>NC_000001.11:74553835-79553835 GCF_000001405.40 Homo sapiens
ATTTTGTGTTAGTATAGCACAGTTCCAAAACCAGGAAATTGACAGTGGTGCAGGCTATGGTTTAAATGTATGTGTCCCTCCAAAATTCATAGGCTGCAACCTAACCCCTAAGTTGATGGTATTAAGAACTGGGCACCTTGGAAGATGACGTGATTAATGCCCTTTTAAAAGAAGCTTCAGAGAAGTAATGGGGAGAACAGAACCAAGTTAGAAAACACTCTTCAGGACATTATCCAGGAGAACTTCCCCAATCTAGCAAGGCAGGACAACATTCAAATTCAGGAAATACAGAGAACACCACAAAGATACTCCTTGAGAAGAGCAACCCCAAGACACATAGTTGTCAGATTCACCAAGGTTGGAATGAAAGAAAAAATGTTAAGGGCAGCCAGAGAGAAAGGTCGGGTTATCCACAAAGGGAAGCCCATCATATTAACAGCAGATGTCTCTGCAGAAACCCTACAAGCAAGAAGAGAGTGGGGGCCGATATTCAACATTCTTAAAGAGAAGAATTTTCAACCCAGAATTTCATATCCAGCCAAACTAAGTTTCATAAGTCAAGGAGAAATAAAATCCTTTACAGACAAGCAAATGCTGAGAGATTTTGTCACCACCGGCCTGCCTTACAAGAGCTCCTGAAGGAAGCAGTAAACATGGATAGGAACAACCAGTACCAGCCACTGCAAATACATGCCAAATTGTAAAGATCATTGATGTTATGAAGAAGCTGCATCAATTAACGGGTGAAATAACCAGCTAGCATCATAATGACGGATCAAATTCACACATAACAATATTACCCTTAAATGTAAATGGGCTAAATGCCCCAATTTAAAGACACAGACTGGCAAATTGGATAAAGAGTCAAGACCCATCGGTGTGCTGTATTCAGGAGACCCATTTCATGTGCAAAGACACACATAGGCTCAAAATAAAGGGATGGAGGAAGATCTGTCAAGCAAATGGAAAACAAAAAAAAAGCAGGGGTTGCAATCCTGGTCTCTGGTAGAACAGATTTTAAACCAACAAAGATCAAAAGAGACAAAGGCCATTACATAATGGTAAAGGGATCAATTCAACAAGAAGAGCTAACTCTTTTAAACATATATGCATCCACTACAGGAGCACCCAGATTCATAAGCAAGTTCTTAGAGACCTACAAAGAGACTTAGACTCCCACACAATACTAGTGGGAGACTTTAACACCCCACTGTCAGTATCAGACAGATCAACGAGACAGAAAATTAACAAGGATATACAGGACTTGAACAGAGCTCTGCACCAAGCGGACCTAATAGCCATCTACAGAACTCTCCACCCCAAATCAACAGAATATACATTCTTTTCAGCACCACATCACACTTATTCTAAAATTGACCACATAGTTGGAAGTAAAGCACTCCTCAGCAAATGTAAAAGAACAGAAATCACAACAAACTGTCTCTCAGACCACAGTGCAATGAAATTAGAACTCAGGATTAAGAATCTCACTCAAAACCACACAGCTACATGGAAACTGAACAACCTGCTCCTGAATGACCGCTGGGTACATAACAAAATGAAGGCAGAAATAAAGATGTTCTTTGAAACCAATGAGAATAAAGACAAAACGTACCAGAATCTCTGGGATACATTTAAAGCAGTGTGTAGAGGGAAATTTATAGCACTAAATGCCCACAAGAGAAAGCAGGAGAGATTTAAAATCCACACCCTAACATCACAATTAAAAGAACTATAGAAGTAAGAGCAAACAAATTCAAAAGCTAGCAGAAGACAAGAAATAACTAAGATCAGAGCAGAACTGAAGGAGATAGAGTCATAAAAAAACCTTCAAAAAATCAATGAATTCAGCAGCTGGTTTTTTGAAAAGATCAACAAAATAGATAGACCACCAGGAAGACTAATAAAGAATAAAAGAGAGAAGAATCAAATAGATGCAATAAAAACATGATAAATGGGATATCACCACTGATCCCACAGAAATAGAAATGGACAAATTCCTGGACACACATACCCTCCCAAGACTAAACCAGGAAGAATTTGAATCTCTGAATAGACCAATAACAGGTTCTGAAATTGAGGCAATAGTTAATAGCCTACCAACCAAAAAAAGTCCAGTACCAGATGGATTCACAGACAAATTCTACCAGAGGTCCAAAGAGGAGCTGGTACCATTCCTTCTGAAACCATTCTGATCAATAGAAAAAGAGGGAATACTCCCTAACTCATTTTATGAGGCCAGCATCATCCTGATACTAAAGCCTGGCAGAGACACAACAAATAAAGAGAATTTTAGGCTAATATCCCTGATAAACATCAATGTGAAAAATCCTCAATAAAATACTGGCAAACCGAATCCAGCAGCACATCAAAAAGCTTATCCACCACGATCAAATTGGCTTCATCCCTGGGATGCAAGGCTGGTTCAACATACACAAATCAATAAACATAATCCATCATATAAACAGAACCAAAACCACATAATTATCTCAATAGATGTAGAAAAGGCCTTCGACAAAATTCAATACCGTTTCATGCTAAAAAGTCTCAATAAAGTAGGTATCAATGGAACATATCTCAACATAATAAGAGCTATTTATGACAAACCCACAGCCAATATCATACTGAATGGGCAAAAACTGGACGCATTCCCTTTGAAAACCAGCACAAGACAAGGATGCCCTCTCTCACCACTCCTATTAAACATAGTATCGGAGGTTCTGGCCAGGGCAATCAGGCAAGAGAAAGCAATAATAGATACTCAAATAGGAAGAGAGGAAGTGAAGTTGTCTCTGTTTGCTGATGACATGATCGTATATTTAGAAAACCCCATCGTCTCAGCCCAAAATCTCCTTAAGCTGATAAGCAACTTCAGCAAAGTCTCAGGATACAAAATCAATGTGCAAAAATCACAAGCATTCCTATACACTAATAACAGACAAACAAAGAGCCAAATCATGAGTGAACTCCCATTCACAACTGCTACTAAGAGAATAAAATACCTAGGAATCTAACTTACAAGGGATGTGAAGGACCTCTTCAAGGAGAACTACAAACCACTGATCAACGAAATAAAAGAAGACACAAACAAATGGAAGAACATTCCATGCTCATGGATAGGAAGAATCAGTATCGTGAAAATAGCCATACTGCCCAAGGTAATTTATAGATTCAATGCTATCCCCATCAAGCTACCAATGACTCTACACAGAGTTGGAAAAAAAAAAACTACTTTAAAGTTCATATGGAACCAAAAAAGAGCCCGCATAGCCAAGACAATCCTGGGCAAGAAGAATAAAGCTGGAGGCATCATGCTACCTGACTTCAAACTTTACTACAAGGCTACAGTAACCAAAACACCATGGTACTGGTACCAAAACAGATATATAGACCAATGGAACAGAACGGAGGCCTCAGAAATAACACTACACATCTACCACCATCTGATCTTTGACAAACCTGACAAAAACAAGCAATGGGGAAAGGATTCCCTATTTAATAAATGGTATTGGGAAAATTGGCTACCCATATGCAGAAAACTGAAACTGGACCCCTTCCTTACACCTTATACAAAAATCAACTCAAGATGGATCAAACACTTAAATGTAAGACCTAGGACCATAAAAATCCTAGAAGAAAACCTAGGCAATACCATTCAGGACATAGGCATGGGCAAAGACTTCATGTCTAAAACACCAAAAGCAATGGCAACAAAATCCAAAATTGACAAATGGGATCTAATTAAACTAAAGAGCTTCTGCACAGCAAAAGAAACTCTCATCAGAGTGAACAGGCAACCTACAGAATGGGAGAAAAATTTTGCAATTAATCCATCTGACAAAGGGCTAATATCCAGAATCTACAAAGAACTTAAACAAATTTACAAGAAAAAAGCAAACAATCCCATCAAAAAATGGGCAAAGGGTATGAACAGACCCTTCTCAAAAGAAGATATTTATGCAGCAAAGCAGACATATGAAACAATGCTCATCATCACTGATCATTAGAGAAATGCAAATCAAAACCACAATGAGATACCATCTCACACCAGTTAGAATGGCAATTATTAAAAAGTCAGGAAACAACAGATGCTGGAGAGGTTGTGGAAAAATAGAAACCCTTTTACACTGTTGGTGGGAGGGTAAATTACTTCAATCATTGCCTCGAAGACAGTGTGGCAATTCCTCAAGGATCTAGAACTAGAAATACCATTTGACCCAGCAATCCCATTACTGGGCATATACCCAAAGGATTGTAAATCATTGTACAATAAAGACACATGCACATGTACGTTTATTGCGGCACTATTCTCAATAGCAAAGACTTGGAACTAACCCAAATATCCATCAATGATAGACTGGATTGAGAAAATGTGGCACATATACACCATGGAATACTATGCAGTCATAAAAAACGATGAGTTTATGTCCTTTGCAGGGACATGGATGATGCTGGAAACCATCATTCTCAGCAAACTATCACAAGATCAGAAAATGAAACACTGCATGTTCTCACTCATCAGTGGGAGTTGAACAATGAGAAAACATGGACACAGGGAGGGGATCATCACATACCAGGACCTGTGGGGGGTTGGGGGCAAGGGGAGGGATAACATTAGCAGAAATACCTAATGTGGGTGACAGGTTGATGGGTGCAGCAAACCACCATGACGTGTGTATACCTATGTAACATAACTGCATGTTCTGCACATGTAACCCAGAACTTAAAGTATAATAATAATTTTTAAAAAGAATAAAAAAAGAGAGTTTCCTTCTCCCTTCTGTCCCTTCTGCCACGTGAGGACACTAAGATGGTGCCACCTATGAGAAATGAGCCCTCACCTGACACGGCATCTGCCAGCAATTTGATCTTGGACTCCCCAGCCTCAAGAACTGTGAAAAAAAAAAAATCCCTGTTGTTTATACATGACCAAATCTCAGATACAGTCATGTGCTTCATAGCAATGTTTTGGTCAAAGACTAACTGCATATAGGATGGTGATCCCATCAGATTATAATGGAGCTGAAAAATTTCTATTGCCTAGTAATGTGTAATGGTCTTGACTCTGCACAGACCTAGGCTAATGTGTGTGTTTGTGTCTTAGTTTTTAATGAAAATGTTTAAAAAATAGAAAATTTTTAAAATGAAGAAAGCTTATAGAATAAGTATATAAAGAAATAAAATATTTGTGTACTGTATACAATGTGTTTATGTTTTAAGCAAAGTGTTATTACAAGAGTCAATAACAAATTAAAATTTTATAAAGTAAAAAATTATAGTAAGGTAATGTTAATTTATTGAAGAAAAAGTTTTTAAAATAAATTTAGTGTAGTCTAAAGTTTGCAGTAGGATATAGTAATGTTCTAGGTCTTCACATTGGCTCTCTGACTGACTCACCCGAAGCAACTTCCAGTCTTAAAAGCTCTATTCATGGTAAGTGCCCTATACACATATGCCAGTTTTTAAAATCTTTCATGCCATATTTTTACTGTATCTTTGCTAGGTTTAGATACACAAACACTTATCATTGTGTTACAATTGACTACAGTATTCAGTACAGTAACATGCTGCCCAGGTTTGTAGCCTAGGAGCAATAGGCTACACCATATATCTAGCCCAGGCTATAAGGTTTAAGTTTGTGTTAGTACACTTCGATGATCACATAACAAAATTGCTTGACATGTTTCTCAGAATGTATCCCTGTCATTAAGCAATGTGTGAGAATGTTTTGTTATAGCAGCATAAACAGACTAAGACAACCCACTTCCCCTAGTAAAGGGTCCTATTGCTTACTGCTAAGTAGAGGCTCTGAGTCCATCTTATTTTACCAGCTACAGCAGACAAGTTACAAAAGAGTAAAAAAATAAAAATAAAAAAATAGGATTCTCAAAATACTTAAGTCCTTTGCTTCTCTAAACTTTCATACAATTTAGCTGTTTCCTTGACCCATATATGAACCCTGCCTTGGAGTCGAAATAAGAGAAGAAATACTACTAACAAGAGCATTGCAATTTTGAAAGCCACTAAAAAGAATATTACAATGTTAAATGCCAATAACAAGAGCATTGCAATTTTAAAATCTCTTCACAACCATTTAAAGACAATTCTGTTAAAACATCATGTAAAAAGCTTCGGTTGTGAAAAAAACTGTCTCAATTGCTAGTATCTTTATAATCAAATTCAAACCTTATTCTTGGGACCTCATAACTATTTATATATTGGTACCTATGAATATTTGGAAAACATATATGTATTCTCTTACTTTTCAATTAAATGATACAGTTATTTTAAAGATTGTGTCAAAAGTCTGCCTTTTATAATATAGGGACTCTATACTTTGAAGGGCCTTTCCATTATAACACTAGTAGAGCCCACATAAAACATTTTTTTTTTATTGCTGAACTTGCAGGAAATAAAGAAACTCATTCTTAAAAAAGTGAGCTTCCAGCAGTGATCTTGGTAAGCACAAAGGAAAATCAAGGTTTCCCTGAGGACAATGAAATATTAGTACTAAAGTTGGAGATTAAGCCTTCAGACAAGAAGAAGAAGATTTATTAAAGACTGGCACATTAAACTGGACTCCAAAAAATTATTCACAAATTAAGATTAACTGAATACACATGAAAATTAAGAAACAAGCCATCATGAATAAAAGTCAGTGGAAATAACAAACTGCAGAAACAGATCACTAAGAATTCCAGATAGTGGAAGAATCCATTTCAGAACAGAAAATAGCTAAGTGTAAAATATTTAAAGACATTTTTTAAATGAAATGACATGAAGTATGAAAACGTAACAAGCAGCCTGTGACCATCAAAAATGATCAGGTAGATTTGGATTAGTGACTGCATAAAACCTTAAGAAAGAAACAAAAAAATAGACCAGGCATGGTGGCTCACACCTGTAATCCCAGCATTTTGGGAGGCTGAGGCAGGCGGATCACCTGAGGTCAGGAGTTTGAGACCAGCCTTGGCAACATGGCGAAACCCTATCTCTATTAAAAATATAAAAAAATTAACCAGGCGTGGTGGCTGACACCTGTAATCCCAGCTGCTCCGGAGGCTGAGGCAAGAGAATCGCTAGAACCCAGGAATCGGAGGTTGCAGTGAGCTGAGGTTGTGCCACTGCACTCCAGCCTGGGCAACAGCGTGGGACTCTATCTTAAAAAAAAAAAAAAAAAAAAAAAAAAAAGAGAGAGAAAAAAAGGAAAAATACAAAAAATAAAATTGTTGAAAGCACAAGCTCAGTGGATGCATTAAACAGAAAATTAGAAACAGATAAATAAAAAAACAAATTGGCAGATTGCTCTGAAAAAATTACATAGAATGCAACGTTTGAGAACAAAAGGGTAGGAAAAAATCTCAGAGCTTTTTTGCCTCACCTGTGAGGAACTAAAATACCTGCCCTATCTTCTTTCCTTGGCCACTAGATTCTACTTCATGAGAATAATGCAAGGTATGTGTGATAATAACCTGTAAATGGAAGCCACTATTACATATCAACAGGTATAATCCATGAGACTGCCGTGGTTTCTTTCCAACTCTTCTCCTCGGGCTACTCTTGTCTAACTTATTTTTCTCAAAACCATTCTTGTTTCTTATACCCTGATTTCTCTTGGAGATGAATTTTGGGAGACAAGATAAATACACACTGTGATTTGACCCTTCCCAACCTCCTTAGGATCAGCTGAGGCAGATGTTTTTCAGGGGTGGACTGGACAAGCACAGAGGTTAGAGGCGCTCAGTTTAGAGAAGTCCCCTTGACTTGGGTGGATTGGGGTGCACAACCATCTTACATTAAGCGTCAGGGGTCACATGAGCTAGGGATTGCCACGAATATGGGCTCTCTACTTAGACACAGCAGGTAACACGCAGTGGCTGTCCAGAGGCAACATCAGCCCCGCATCCACCAGGACTCAGCTTCACAGATCTTATGGTTTGCAAAAGGTGATGAAAATCTGAAAACCAATAGAATCTAACCATTATGGGAGAAACATTCTACTCCAGAAGAGGCCTCAGCGGTGAATGGAAGGATATTTATTGGCATCTTTCAGAGTAATAGTGTGTAACTCAAATACTGTGTCTTGGATGACAGAACAATGATCCCACCATGACTCTTGTAATTGTAGTAGTACTGTGCATTGGAAACATTGTAATTGTAGCAGTATTATGTATTAGAGATGAATTTCAGCGGTGTGGAGGGCGGGATAGAATGTTGTGGCTAATACAGTGTACTTTAAAGCAGTGGTTCTTTATTAGGGCTGCACAGATTGCTTTAAAAAGTATTGATGTCCTGGTCTTACCCCAGAGATTCAAATTGTCTGGGGTGAATGAGGATCAGGATTTTTAAAGCTTCCCACAGGACTCCATGTGTAGCCTAGGCTGAGAACCACTGACTAGTCATTCTCAAACTCTAGCTTACATCCATATTACCAACACAATTTGAATTCTAGGTTCTCAAAATCTGGTCCCTGTTGTAGCGACATCAACATCACGTGGAAACTTGTTAGAAATACAGAATTACAGGTGGCTTGCAGCCCTATTGAATCAGAAATTCTAGGGATAAGGCCCAGAAAATTCTATCCTACTAAGCCCTTCAGTCTTACACAGACCAAACTTTGAGAACTCCTGTTCCAGATGGAGCCACTTTGCCTGATCTGAATATCAGCTGTGATACTTCCTTGCCCTGTGTCTTGAATATGTCACTTCACTTTTCTGTGCTTCAATTTTATCATCTATAAAATGGGCTAATAGTGCCTTCCTCATGGCATTCTGAGGTTTAAAGAGGAAAGGAGAAAAAGAGGAAAAGTAAAGAGTAAAAGAGTAAAAGCATAATGGGTCAAGATGTGTTATACTGATTTACATTGGCTTGTGAAATAACATTTAGGTCTACTTTTTAATCACAGTAGCTATTCAAACTTGAGGTCAGTGGTGGGAAAGTTTAGCTGCACGTATCAATCACCTGGGAAGATTTTTTTTTTATTGTTCTTATGCCCAACTTCTACCCCCAGAGATTTAAAAAAAATCTCTTCAGGAAAATTCTAATGTACAACCAATACCGTTAATATGCAGGAATTTAGATTTGAGTTTGTTAAGCCAATTTGTGTATGCTTAGATAGGTTTGTAATTTGTTGAATTTTACTGGAGAGTTCAGTGCTAAGTAGGGAGCCATTAACATTATGATTAGTTCAGTGGGAAGAGTTTCCATTCATTCTCAGAGATTTTCTTTTCTTTAAGTTAATGACACAGGTGTGTATGTGTGCATGCACGGGTGTGTGTATGTATGTGTGCAAAATAACCACTGTCTCTCTCTAACTGACCTTGAAAGTCTCAGTGGGGATTATAAAAGGTCAATGACCAATTTCAGTGACCTCTAAGATCCAGACAACCAAAATGTTTCACCTTATACTGCATTTGAAAACTTGTATTTCCATGTTTGCAAAGCAAGAACTAAATTAGCTGTTCTAAAAAAAAACAAACAGAAAAAAAAACACTGAGTTTTAGAGAGTATGTTTGATTAGAAATTAGGATTCTGTGTCTCTGAAAAGAAAATCTGACTAATGAGAAACAGCATTTTGAAGCGAAACAAGCTCTAGACTAAAGATAGAAGTTCCAGTTCTGTTTTTGTCCCTAATCAATGTGTAACCCACTCCTCAGACCCCCTTGTTCTCTGCTTTCTCAGTCTGATACATAAAGGGGAACAGGTAGAATGTGTGATATCTAATGTCCCTACCAACTCTAACGTATTATGAAAATTATTAGTTTTTCTCTTCAGTCAACAAAGTCGGATACTCCATGCATGCTATCAGCATCATTCAAATCTGGGCTTAAAAATGTTTAGAACAGCATATAACAATGCTCCCCCAGTCTGTATGTCAATTCAGGTATTCATTCATTTCCATATATTTATTGAGCATGTACTGTGTGCCAGACACTGCTCTTGGCACAGGGGACTGCATGTGGACCAGAACAGATCACATCTCTTCTCTCGTGGGGCTAATACTGTTCTATTGAAGAACAAATCAGCCTGTGTTAACATGAAATGTAATTGTCAGAATTCTAAAGTTATTTTTCCCTTCATCACGACATCTCACATTTGCATTCTAACAGATGTGACAGAGAAGATGGGAATGGAAAGGAAGGATTGAAAACCTGACTAAAATGAAGCTTTTAAAATAATAGTCTTAAAAGGAGAAGCAAATTCTAATAAATCATCCATTCCACTGAAAGATTAAAGGTCATTTGTTCCTTACTCCAGTTATTTCCAAATCTTTGTGTTTAAGGCACATTTTTGAAAATTAAAATTTCTGTGGCAGAGTGAGGATTATTCTTCATAGTTACAGAACTATTTATTAAGTTGAAAGCACTTTAGAAGAGGTCTGCAGAGCACAGTCCTCAGGCCAAATCTGACACTTTGCCTTTCTTTGTAAATAAAGTTTTATTGGAACACACCCATACCAATTCCAATTCTTGTAAGTATTGTCTATGGCAACTTTCATCCTAAAATGGCAGGGTTGAATATTTGCAACTTTATATCCCACAAAGCCTAAAACATTTAATATTTACAACCTGGTTCTTTACAGGAAAAATTAGCTAATCCCTACTCATTAGCAGTGAGATTTTGTTTGAATACAACCGTTAACTGCCCTGTATTAGTAAGTTTACACACTGCTATAAAGAACTACCTGAGACTGGGTAATTTATAAGGAAAAGAGGTTTAATTGACTCACAGTTCCGCTTGACTGGGGAAGCCTCAGGAAACGTACAATCATGGCAGAAGGTGAAGAGGAAGCAAGGCACATATTACATGGTGGCAGGAGAGAGAGAGAGAGCAAGGGAGAAGCTGCCACACACTTTTAAACTATCAGATTTCATGAGAACTCATTACGAGACAGCATTAGGGGAATGGTGCTAAACTATTAGAAACCACTCCCATGATCCAATAACCTCCCACCGGGCCCCACCTTCAACATGTGGGGATTACAATTAGAGAGGAGATTTGGGTGGGGACATAGAACCAAACCATATCATGCCCTGATGGTGTACTCAGACACACTAGAGGGGCATACTTCCTTTCCTAGAAACAGCTAGACATTATGCTAGGACTCTTCTTCCTTATAGCAACACCAAGCTGGATGACCCACTCATTTATTTTACTGGCAGACATCACTTTAGCAGTATGTAGACAAAACAAATTTTGTACATTAATCAAAATTTTGGCTACTGATTCAGAATGACTGCCAGGCCACAAGAAACATGGCCCTCAGCTATTCATCTTGTCCTTTACACTAGTGGACTCCCAATATTTCTGTTCACATACCTCTGAAAGGGTTTTGAAAAACGATATGCCCTCATATATTTTTATATTGACATGTAAACATTTTTATATATTTAAGTAGTTACAGATGTAACTTCTATTATTTTATAAAACAAGACGCTTTAATATGAAGTTGTTGTATCTTTTTTCTACATGTATCCAAAGAAATGAAAATGCTATAGCAATTCCATATCACCTTTATCCATGTCGTGGACGCAGTGGGGTGCCACCCTGATAGTCTCTTCACAGTGGATATGATCGGCCTCCAGCAGCCTGGGGTGGGGTATGCTACCTAAGTTTCTCCACAGGAATTGCTTTTGACTGAAGGGACCACCCAGTCCAAGATTATGCTTGCTCCTGAGTAGGAAGCCAACATCAAGCGACTGTCCTGTTGTGGGCACTTAGAGGCCTGGTCCTTCAACTGCATTTGGCAATCCCACCTCGAGAGCTCCCCTTTGATGAGGTGCACCTCTGTGGCAACTACAACTCTATCAATCTTGTTTCTTGGCCCATTTCTGCTTTTTCAGTTCTCTACAGTGTTGTTCCCAGGGCATGCCCCAATAAACCTTCTGCACACAAACCTCTAATCCAGAGTGTTTCTGGGTGAACCTGACCTAAGACATCCATTTTCAAAAGTATGTTGCTAAGCTCTACTTTGGTGTTAGAAAAATCTCACGTTTTTTATTTTCTTAAACTTACATTTCCGTTCCACTTTGCCCACAGATTTTTATGCTACTTCGGTATATTTTTATACTTAAAAGTCTTTTACTTCTCGATCTGTCATAATTATCTGCCATTAAATTATTATGTAAATTAAATTTTAATTTAAAAAATTTCTTGTGACCATAGGACTCTATGTGTTAAATCTCTCCTGGACTGGGCTATCATTGCAATTATTAGTAATACACATTTAATCAAAACAACATTTATACTATAAATTTTGGCAAATATTACACATAAAAAGTAAAAGCAAAAATGCATCTAAGATAGTGATTTCTATTTTTAATTTGTTTGTATGTCTGCGAACGAATATTATTTACCGCTGGAATAACAGTGTTCAACATCAGTTCTATTCCACTTTCTGTTTTATTTTCATAGATATAAAAATATAGTAATTATGCATGTCACATAAATAAGTGGATGGGAATGGAAGTCATTTTGTTATATTGTACAACAATGCTCCTATTTGAACTCCTTCCGATTTGCCAAAATTTACAGGCTGATAATATACCAAAAATATTTCAATGACTTATCAGTTGGCAATTCAATCACGTCTTCATTTAATTTTGTTGTAAACAAAGAATTGAAAACCACCTGATTTGCAGAGAGATTTGTTACCCAGTCATTTCCAGGAAGGAAAGTCCTCCCCTATGCCATATTTCACCTTGTTCCTTTGATTTGTGTATTTCTAGGGGTCATTGTATCACAGTAAACTTGGTAAGTGAATGAAGAGTTGGCCTCTATTGTGAAAAGTGGGGGACTGACAAAAAACATTGACTGCAGGCTAGTTCTCAAGTCCATTTTAAGATAAAGTGCATACGGAGGTTAAGCATCTGCAAACTAGCCTTCCCAGTGAATCCCATGAAAAGCTTCATCTTCCTTGGGAGGTACATTTACACCAGTTTGAAAGTCTCTGTGTCTCATTAGTACCAATCTCCTGAACAACTGTGAGATTTCTCACATAATTTATGGGTCCCTAATATAATATTTAATTATAAGTAGATATTTAATAAAGACCAGGAAACATATGAGAAAGCGGCAAGATTTAGACACCGGCTTCTCTGTCCCAAGAATCTTCTGTGTACTGCATTTTCCCTAATTAAAAATGAGGGTATTTCAACCTTCCAAAATATTGTTGAGTCCCACAGATTATTGAACACCTTGAGCCTTCTGGAGAAAACTACAAAAGGCATGTGCCTTCTCAAATTCCAGCATTTTATCTTACAGATTTAGTTTCAGTTATTTTGAAGAGCTTAGTTTCCCTGTCACAGGGCATGCTATTAGAATAAAGAACAAAAAAGCAAAGGAAAAAAAAAAAAGGGGTGAGTTTAAGAGCAACTTTTAAAGAATTCCAGCTGTATTTATTCCCTGTTCTCTTGTACCTCTTGCTGCTGCCCATGGTGTCAGGGAATTATTTTTTAAATGACATAATCAAATGGTACAGAAAACAGAGAGGAAATATTACCCAAGGTCAGGAGCGGCCTCTTCCGGGCTGTCCTTGAGACTGTTGGAATATTTCACTTAATAGATGAATCTTCCTTAAGGCTTTCTTTTCTTTTCTCAAACAATAATTTTTCCAAAGGCAAGAATTTTGGCAAAATTATTAATCTTAGAAGGATTAAGGAACTCAACTGTACTTTAAATTTACAACACTCTTAGAAAAGGCTTAACTCAAGAAGTACAAGCAGAAAACCTAATTCTACCTACATTTCCTTTGATTGCCTATTTTTCTTTTGAACTATTTTAATAATCTCCTTTGTTCTTTGATTGACATTAGCTGGAAATATAACTCCCTTCTCACTGATAGAGGACATACTGAGGAAGTTTAATTTTTTTCCCTTCTACAAGTAAACAAAAACAAGTAGATGTTCACATATAATATCTTAGTATCTATTTAAGATACCTCTTCTTAGAAGTAGTGGATATGATAAGAAAAATTCTAAATTTTGTGTCACATGACCTGAGATTGACTGATTTTTAGACAAGCCACTTAACTTTATTGAGCTTTTGTTCAGTTACCTATAAAATGGTGATAGGTGATAATAATTTTTCTCCCTGAAATTATCTTATGTGTGTGAAAGACACATATGAGTGTAGACGGTCAGTATAAATACATCATATACTGTACTCAAAAATACAGCCCAGTGAAACTTCTCTGCTCTGTGGAGTTCAAATATTGTAAGGGAAGAACACAGAGATTTTAAAAGTTGAGTCTTATTTACAAAGAACCATTCACATGTATCTGTAAACATATGATTGATTTATGTTTTAATAATGAAGAAACAGGAAACAAACCATTTCAGGGGAACATACAAGTAATTTTATCAACATAGTATTTGCAGAGAAAGAATTCACTTATTCAAAATATCACAATACTGAATTTCACAGTTAAATTCACATGCAGATTGTAAAATTATGTTATGGGATGTTTTGATGGAGTGTGTTAAATATAAAAGTAATCCAATGCAATACTATTTAGCACATTGTACAAAACTAATTTTTCAATGGGATTAATACATTTACTATCTTTCCTATAAGGTGTGATGTATTCAAAGTGCTCTGTAGCATTGAGTTTGAAATCAGGAAACAAATACTGTTAGAGCTCCACAGTAATACAGCTCAGTAATAAATGAACTTGAATATAATGTAGATGAAATCTACTCATAAAACTTTAAGACAGATGATGGAGATTTATGATGTGCAGTGAGTAATATCCTTGAATAGGGAGTAGGGCAGAGGGACTTCGTGCATGTATCAATACAATCATAATAAAAATAAGTTTAAGATTGACTCCACCACTTTTATATTGAGTGCCATTTACTAGAGAAAGAAAGACAGATAAATCAGAAGACAGGAAAAGACAGAGAGACATAGAGAGGCAAAGAAAGAAAGTTCAAAATGCCTCTGTAGTTGGCTTTCCAACTGAGACTAATCCTCAATACAATCAATAGTCCATGACAGCAGTTTTTGGACATCAGTGTACATCAGTATTAACTGCAGGGCTTGTTAAGCTATGGATTACTGGAACCCACCAAGAGTTTCTAATTTAGTAGGTAGGAGACAAAGGCTGGGAACAATTTCCAGGTGATGCTGATGTGCTGATGCTTCTGATCAAGGGACCAGTCTACTATCTGGTCCAGTGTATTTTTGATCATTGAATGGCTCCATTACACATTAAAATGGAAAATACCTACTATGATAATATGCCTGGTCCCTAGGGACCTTGAGTGTAATGTGGCCAGCATGGATTATATGATGATTTAGAACAGCGGTTCTCAACCTTGGCTACAGAGAAGAATCAAGTGAAAAGTTAAAAATATATATATACTGATGTGTAGATCCATCTAAAACGAATTAAGTCTGAATCTCTGGGGTGGGGAAAAGGGTTGAGTCATTTATAAAAGCGTCCCATGAAAATCTAATGTATATTCTGGCTGGAAAATCACTGCTTAAGGAAATTTTTTTTACCTTCTCATATAGAGAAATGGTAGACATATACATGCGCTCTGGGGCACTTGTATGTCTTCAGGGAAATGAAAACCCCTAGGAGACAGGCTGATACACAACTAGAAAATAATATCAGGGAGTAATTTAGAATGCAGTTGTTACTGTTGATTTATAATGAACTGCAAGGTTAGTTCACAGGTTTGAAATAACAGAACTTGGGAAGGTGAGCAGCACACTCATTTAATCCAAGTTTCTTTTCCATTTAATGACATCAACTAAAGAGTCTAGAATGTTGGCATAATGCTGATGTGCTATGCTTACCACTATAATTATTATACTTATTCCACTT
Source organism: Homo sapiens (assembly GCF_000001405.40). Classification (NCBI taxonomy): domain Eukaryota; kingdom Metazoa; phylum Chordata; class Mammalia; order Primates; family Hominidae; genus Homo; species Homo sapiens. The sequence continues at coordinate 74,569,668 of NC_000001.11, forward strand.
AGCTAAATTATTTACTACTTTTATTTAAATTTGAGTGGCCCTATAAAGAAGGCCCCAGGGACAAAATGCTGGAAGCTACCATTTTACTAGTCTACCCCAGAAAGCAGAACTACAGAAACACACACAAAAAAACAAAGAGCATTTTGAAATAAGATTTCCACTTTGTTATTCTGGCATAAATTAAAAGAATGAATATTTCTAAGTATAAGTGAATATACATGCCAAGAAATCTTTTGCTGGAAGAACTTAGAGATTTGGAGCAATCTTGAGTTTTGAGTGTACGTGGGAGGAAATTTAGAGCTCATTTTCACAGGCCAATTCATTAAAGCCCCAAACCACAGATTTTTAAATAAAATTCCCATGTATGAAATTGAGATTGTGGAATTGACTGGGGCTCTGTATTGTAAAATAAAAAGGACTTTAAACAAACCCCTAACATTAGGACTGGGCCTTCCAGTGATCTTTGGTAAAAGTCAAGCATCTGAAAATTATCATTTTTGTTTGAAAATAATGTTAGGTGTGTAGAATGTGTAACAGCCTCACAAGTTTCTCCATGAGGAACCACTGCTTCTAAGAAGGGTCCTACAGATCTACTTGAGCTATTCTCAAGGTGCTTACTGAGCTACTGACCAGGGCTGACAGATTGGGAATCATCTCAGACAAGCGCAACCAGCAACTAAAGAGGAGAGAGAGAAAATCAAGAATCCTGGTGAGATGCTTGCGTGAATCTTTCTCCACTCTTTACATCTTCAGAAGACATCTTTAAATTATCCTGAAAAACAATAAAAAGGATAGTAGTACCAGGATAAAATCACTCACAACAGTAGAAACAGGACTAAGAATGTGAGGGCCTAAAGGAAATAGCAGAATATGCAAAAAATAATTTTAGTTTTTAGTTCGACTCTTCAAGATTTATATACTTAAATATTTTACGTATAGAATGTAAAACATTTTATATATGTAAAAACTTTGCGAAACTGCAGAAATGAAAGCATAGGGCCCACTTAAAGGCAAATGATAACAAACAACCTTCATCTCATCCTTTAAAACACTAAGGTGGAAATGAATTGTGAAATATAGTTTAATTCTTTACTTCTGTGGCCTGTCCTCTGTGGCACATTCTCCTCTGTATTTTCTCTTTGGGGGTCCTATCTGGGAGACACAGATCTCACTACTTCAGGGAGCTGCCTTGCAAAGACTGAATATGACTTGCCACACCGGGAAGAGCAGTGTGTCCCTGTGCATGCTTTGGCCCCTCCTCCGTCTTTCCCAGCCCCTTTCCTGACAGGCTTAGGGCTAAGTGACACAGAATTGAAGCCTGTGTGTTTATATGTGCACAGACACCAATAAAGGGACAAGCCAGCCCCAAGGGGAGGAGACCCACCGCAGGGCTGCTATTTAGTCCTACAAAGACATTACGCTTAAACTCACTGTCTGCCAGCAAGTCTCCTAGACCTGCACGTTGTTGGGGGAAACATCTGCAGTCTCGCTTTCTCCTTGCACCATATGCTGTTGCTTCTCTCGGGTTTCAGTGAAATCAGGCTTCACTGGAAGTGTTGCCATCGCCTGTAGACTCTCCGGACTCAATTCCCTCTCTCCCTCCCGTGATAATCCTAATCGGAATTTTTCAGCTGCTCCTGTCTCCTGCCTCCCATCGCCACTCCCAGTGGCTGCCTCCTGGCCCTCTGACCCTTCCTCTTGCTCCTGTCCTAGCCCTGAGGTCTTCCGCTCCAGGGCTCCTGGAGTGCCCACCCCAGCCTCTGTTGTATATGTCACTGTCATCTCCTCTGCTGCTGGCACTTCCTCCCCACTCCGTGCTAATTCCTCTACCACCACCTTCCCTGCAGCTGCTGTTTTTCCTACTAACTCATCCTGTTGGTGCCAGGTTTCTTCCTCAGCAACATCTGAAAAGGAGGAGGCTTTATTTGCTATTGTTTTCTCCTCGGCTGTCTCCGAACCTGCCAACACCTCCCTCTCCTCTGCGGCTGTTTCTGCCGTTTCACCACCTCCGTGTAGAACTTCCACAGCCACAACCCTTCCTCCTCCCATGCCCTCATTCTTTTGTGTGTTTCCTTCTCCTTCCATGTCCCCGTCCCCTTCCGAGTTCCTGTCCTGCATCGCTTCTGTCTCCAGAGTGCACTCTTTGTCCTCTTCCTCCTCTGGGTCCTCATCCACCGCTTCCTCCCTGAACTTTTCTGCCATTATGGGATCTTCCTCAGCAACAGCTTCCTGGGTCCTTAGCACGACATCCACTCCTCCTTGCCCTTCAGCTCTCCCCTCCAGTCCTGCGCAGGAGTCGTGATCTTTGGCTGCTAGCTCCTCTGCCTGGCCTGTGGCTGGGATCAGCCCCTCAGGGGCCTGCACCTTTCCTGCTGGCTCAGCTTCAGGAGCTGCTAAGGCCCCCTCTCCATCTTGGCGGTGCCCTTCCTTCAGGGCCCTATTCTCCCTGCTGGACAGCTCTTCTCTGTCTTTGTGCTCTGTGTCTCTGGCTTCACTCAGTCTTTCCCCTCCTCCTTCTTTCCTCAGAGCTGTTATGTTTTCCAGCGACTTTTCAAATCCAGGCGTTGCTTCAAATATGGGAACCACTGTCTCTTTTAGTGAATCTTCTCCTAGAAGCCCTGGATTGTCAGACAACTCAGAAGCCTCCACAGGTGCTTCGTTCTCAGCATCAGATCCCATTTCATTTGGGGGAGCTTTTGTCTCTTCCTCAGCTCTTACTTCTGTCTCTGTTTCCCCTTCTTCCGCTTTAAGTTTTTGCTCTTCTTTAAAAGCATCTTCATCCTTGAGTGCATTTGCCCTTGTCACCTCTTCTCTCTCAGAGTCAGTTTTCCTCAGAGATGTTTTTGGCCTCTCAGCTTTCCTTCGCTCTCTTGCTAAATCTAATTCCTTGGGTAAAATTTCTTTCCTATCATCTTCCCTATTAGCTTCTGCCTCAGTCACCATCTCTTCCCCTTCCACATCTTCCTTGCAAAGGAAGGCTTCCTTTGCAAGGCTTCCTTCCTCAGGGCTGCCCTCCGAAACCTGCATCCGGCTTGCCTCTGCCTCTCCTGTGAAGGGGCTCAAGCGTGTTTCTGTTCTCATAACCTCTTTTCTCTCTTTGGCTGGTTCCTCTCCCCCAAGAATTGCCTCTTCAGAACCGTCCTCTCTCTTTGATGCTGTGTCCTCCATGGGTCCTGTGTCCTCTAGGTCTATGGATGCTTCCTCTTCACTTTCTCCGACATCACTCACAGCCACCCCACCCTCAGCCTCTCCCTCCTCCGATGTCGCTGCCTCTCTCAGGGCTGCTACTTCATGAAGATGCTCCAAGTTCAGGGCTGCTGCTTCATTTGCAAGCACTGCCTTCTCTAAACCCTGTTCCCCTTCAGAAGCTGCTTTGTCTGTCTCAAGCACTGTGAGCATCAAGGCTTGCTTTTCAGGAGCCTCATCTTTACTCAGACCCACAGCATCTTTTGCTGCTGCTTGTCCTATGGGGTCTGACCCCCCTTCACCCAGCCTTCTGACCCCTTCTGCTTCTGCTGCTCCCTCTGCCCCCCTTTCTATGCCTGGAGGGATCTCCCTTTTTTCTGTAAACTCTTCTGCCAATTCTGGCTGCTCTGCTGTTGGCTTCCACGCCCTCAAGGGAGCCTCATGAACAGCTCCTGCTTCTCCCCACAGTGCTGCCTCCCCTTTTCCCTGTACTATGTCAGCATCTCTGTGCTGGGGCGCTTCATCTTCCTCCATTGCTTCTTTCTTCTCCAGTGTATACGTTTTTTGCACCAATTGCTGGGATTCCTTGTTTGAGTTGATTGCTGCTGTTTCATCCACCATGAAATTCATTGTTGGTGCTATAAAAATAAGGTTAGAAATCAAGATTACTTTAATCCAAGCGAACAAGGGAGGGGACACTATAATCTTATATCACACTTATTTACAGTGTGAGATATTTATATGTGATATCAAGAGGCCATTGTATTATATATAAAACACTTTCTCCATTGTTTCTAGGATGCTGACTATAACATGCACCATGACTTAATAATGGTTTTTCATTATGAAAAGAAATGTCTTCAAATTTAAGGAACACATTGATATTAAAGAAAAGCTGATCATCAGAGATGTTTAAAATAAGCAGCAATAAGCAAAAAAAATCTCATGTCCCCATGTCTTGGAATCAGCAAAATCTCCACCTCACTCTTTCTCTTGGCTTCCTCTTTCTCTCTCTCTCTCTTTCACATACATACAAGCTTCCTTTCTTAGAAATAATAATAAGTGGAAAAAATTATGCAATAAGAAAAATAGCATTTAATCTTCATATAAATTATTATTTTATTTGTCTCTTTTTCTCTCTTTTTTTTTTTTTTTCAGGCAGGGTCTCGCTGTGTCACCCAGGCTGGAGGGCAGCAGTGTGAACGTGGCCCACTTCAGCCTTGATTTCCTGGTCTCAAGCAATCTTCCTGCCTCAGCCTCTTGGGTAGCTGGGACCATAGATGCATGCCACTATGCCAGGCTAATTTTTTTGTTTTGTTTTGTTTTGTTAGTAGAGACAGGGTCTTTCCATGTTGCCCTGGCTGGTTTCAACTCTTGGATCTCAAACTCCCAAAGTGTTGGGATTACAGGTGTGGGCCACTGCACCTGGCCCTGAACTCATTATTTTCTGTAGCAGCATAATATGTCTGTCTTCTGCATGTGTTTCTGGTACTCACATGGGCCTTTAGCAACACAATCATTATACAGTGTGAACTGATGATTCTCACTCCCAGATGATAAGCTACTATATCTAGATTTAGTCATCACAAATTGAGTCTTTAGTAAAAAGTCTTACCTTGAGCTACATAGGTAAGTCTTACCTTGAGCTACAAAGCTACAAAGACACCAATTTGCATTACCTCTCACCTGTGTTCAGAAGCTAACTTGCCTTTGGCAAGACAGGATCACAAAGCAAGATAGGACTTTGCAGACCGGGACAGTTTTCAGCATAAATAATCTTCTTAGAGTACAAGTGTTCACCCATAATTTCCTGGTAAACCTGGGTGCACAAGCTATCATAGTTCATAGTTCAATAAATATAGGTTTGATATGTTTTTAATGGAACAAAGTGGATTTTTTTACTATTAAATAAAGTTATATATATGTTGCAAGTAAAATAAGTAAAGAAAGGCATGTCATGCCAAACACCTAAAGCATTTCAATTTCCCAACTGCAGAATAGAGGTTAGGGAGCTAGAAGCTTTGAAAAGGTTCATCTTAATAATTTATATCAATTTAATCTTTTTTATTAATTAAAAAATCACTGGACTAGATTTTATAAAATAAGTTATCATACCAAGATGTCAAACTCTAACTTAAAAAAAAAAAAACTTATAAAGTAGGCAAGTATGATGCTCCTCATTTGTTTTTTACTTGCTTGCCTTCTTGGCTAGCCATCTTACCCCCAACATCATCACCAACAACCTACCAGAAGCCTGAAGTCCTGATCTTACTCACTTCTTCTCTACTTTATACCCCATCCAAGACTGTCTTACCATTTCATTACCGCTTCTAACACAAAACACGGTTATCGTTTGTTGCATTTCCTCAGTCTCTTGCCAGCTATTATGATAAAGCATTTTGAGGTAAAGCAATAATAGCTGATATTACATTTCCCTTAAAATGTGTTTGGAAGGTAATTTGTGATGTCTCCTTTCAAAGGAGTAAAATAAAAATTTCAGGTCTATCAATAGGGCTGAGGTTGACTTTACAGGTCATCCTCTGCTTATCACAGCAGTTATTTCCTAACTTTTACCTAAAAGCTTCCAAAGCAAAATGTAGAATCAAATATTTGTTCACAGAACATATAGCCAATTCACCTGAGAGAATATGGTCCATTTTATTTCATTACAGATTATTACCGTATTTGAAACAAAATTAAATTGAAACAATAGGAAACAATAACGTGTGTCAAGTCTCTTTAATAGTGTATCTGTTGCTATTCAAATTCCTGCATGAAAGTATACTAAAAAGTCAGTTATAAAAACATTTAAAGAAAGTCTTCTGTTTTTCTAATCTGGTTTCTAAATTTATGGATTAATTAAAGAACATTCAGGGAAACAGGGAAATAAAATTGCCTAGCCACCATGTAGTAATATATTATGCCTAAATTCTAGGAGAGAAAGTGCTAATGGCATCCAGCTGAGATGTTATATGAACACAACACTATAAGGGTGTCAGACATGACGTTCCTCAAGCAAGGGAGAAAGAGTAATTGAAGCTTTTCTAAGAAATATTAGTATAAAAACATGACTTTTTTTTATGGTAACCCCATGGGCTTTTGAAAAAATATTTAATATAAGAGAGCAAACAATATTCACAAACAATGGCAATTTGATGAAGTGGAATGAGTGTGTACTTGGAAGTCAGACTAACCTGGGTAAAAAACGCCAGCTCTGCCATTTACTAATTGTATAAACTGGGAAATAACACCTCTCTAATCTTTCATTTTCTTATTCATGAAATGGGAATAGCAATGCTGTACTCACAGAATCCTTTGACAGTAAATGAGATAATTTATGTAAAATGCTTAGCATAGTGCCTGGCATAAAGAAAGCCCTAATAATCTTCCTTGTGCACACCTTTCATTGCTTACAAATAATTAGATTTTCTTGCTTGAATACAATTTGATCAATAACAACCAGTATCTCTGCATTGCAGAATAAATATTTGGGAAGGTGCACCTGAGTTCCTCTAGTTGAATGCCCATTATAAAAGATATGGGTTCTCTAAGATCATGGTGCCTCTCCTGTAAGTCAGCCCGCTGCACAATCAAGTGTTACCTGGCCCTCTTCATGTTGCCAAGTGAGAAATGGAGCTCAGGGAACCAGCATAAATACAGGTACTCTGGCTACTGCTATTTGCTATGAACAATAAAGTCCTTTTTCTCTGACTCAGGTGTCTTATGTCTTCTGCCATGATCCATAAAACTGTGGCTGGCTAAGTTGTTGCTTGAAAGAAGGGTAAAATCTCAAATGCCTCACAGTGCTTGATGACAATTACTAAAATTGAAGGTGGGATAATGTGACCATATGATGAATAAATGAATACCTTTTCCTGCCACCATACACATAAATATATTCAAATAAGCACACTTCTTAAAAGTCATTCAATAAATACTAGAAAGCCTAGTGATTTCAAGAACATGGGAAGTTTGACCAGATTTATGAGTCATGGTCTGTTGGATCACTCTAATTGGACCTCTTGCAGATGGAATACTTACCACCAAGAGCCAGGACATAGGCTAATGGCAATGAATCCTTTCCTAGTTAAAAAAAAAAAAAAGAAAAAAAAGGTCAAATGAATCACTGTGAAATGTACCATGGTTCTCCATCTCTCCAGTTGGGTCAGTTAAGGCAAATTCACCTAGCTGTTCAACTATCTGGGAGGCAGGCTATTGAAAGAAGACTGATCTGAAAATTCCTACCAGTATTGTATAATCTAATGTTCTTTTATTTAATCCTAGACATCAATATATTCAAAAAATAATAATAAATTTATACCTGATGTTAGCTGTGAAGCTCTCCTTAGGGCCTGTCAACTACTTCTGGCCATTCTATTCCTTAGTTGAAAGAAAAAAAAAAAGTGGCAGAAGGAAGAAACAAGAATAGGAAGGGTGGAAACAGGCCGTCTTTTGCAGAGGATTTCTGAAGGTTCTTCCTAGGTAATGATGTGCCCTTACTGCCACTTGTGTCAACCTCCAGCTTCCTCGGTGGCTTCCCACCCTCATCTTCACTGCTGACACCAGACTCAGCATCACAGTGGCAGTGGTAGCCCAATGCCAAGGGTTCTGTTATTATCTGTCCAGCTTATTGGAGGTCACATAAAATATCAAAAGGTATAAAAACAGGTCATGGGAACATTGCTGAGCTATTTCACATCATTTAAATAAGTGGGGTCAATTTAAGTGCATTTACATTAAAAGGTAGCCTTGGTTTAAAAATCTCTGAAGCATAAACAACTCCCAAGCTATGATTTCAAAAAGAAAACACAATACACAACAGAAGATCATGAAGTAAAGAAATCCATGCAGAGAAATACTTGCATTAAAAAAAGAGAGAGAGAGCAGCCAGGAGCAGTGACAGATTTGCCAAATGCACATGCAATGAAATAATTGAAAAAAACAGTTTAGTTGCATTTTCCCTTCTAGGAACGTGTGCTATGGCTTTTATGACACCAATCATCACTGCTTTTCTAAATTGCTAAAACTACTAGAGCTGACTAAACTATGAGCATTTCATCCATTAGTAGATTTTAGTGATTTGACCCCAATATTCACTCCATGGGGACAGAAGCAAAAAAGCTATTACACGATTCCTATAAATTTGACAGTAAAAGCTATTGTAGAAATTCCTGAATTCCTGTTATCTGTAGTTGGTTACTAGCATAGACTTCAGGATCACAGAGACCTAAATTCAAGTCTCATATTACATACTAACCATATCACATTGAGTAAATGCTTTGGCCTAAGCCAACGCCTTGGTTTATCTGTCTGTCAAAAAGAGTTATCTATCCAATGGTTCTTGAGAGGATTAAATGAAATAATATAGAGAGAGCATCTTCATCTTCCACTTATTAGCAAGTATCTAGGCACTTAATAATAACAGCAATGATGATGATGATGATGATGATGATGATGATGGTGATGGGCATTTCTAAGTGTCATCACCCAGTGTGGTATGATTCTAGGCCAAAGTGTAAAGCCAATTAAATTTGTCTTTAGTTTCTGACAATTCCCTTTCTACATCCCTTGCTTATCATCTGATTACCCATATCGTGAATTCCATAAATACCTGACATTACCATTATATCACCTCCTTGTTAACAAAAGTTATTTCAAATAAAACTAGACTTAGATCTGTCTTCTGGGGTAAGAACATAGTATTTCTGAAACTAACTTCTTTCCTTCCCTTTCTTCCTTTCTTTCCTTTTTCCCCCCTTTCTGTCCTTTTTTCCTTCCTTCCTTCCTTTCCTTTCCCTTCTTTTTCCCTTCCCTTCCCTTCCTTTTCCTTCCTTCTTTCTTTACTTCCTTCCTTCCTTCCTTCCTTCCTCCTCCCCCGATATTCTGTTACAACGGATATAACGGATTTACTTTGAGAAAACAGAACTGGAATGCAGTTTCTTGCTTAGTTTAAAGTGAACTGCTAAGGGGTAATTACTTACTGACCCCTCTGTATTTGGAAACGAATAGTGAAATACCTGCCTTAAATCGGTTTTGGAGGGAAAATTGTGACTTAACAATATTAGGACGACAAACAGAAATGAAAAAGGGGAATAATATAGTTCAAATATATTCTCTTTTAAAAATATTTGAACTCAGTTTTCTTCATTCATCCAATATAACAAAAGTTTTTTACAATAAGAGTTTAGAGATTATATCGACTCAAGACAATGATGTAATAGTTGGATTTACTATCAAGTTTTCATTTTAGAAACTTGACAAACATAATACATGAGTTAAATATCATTTTACTATAATAATGTGAATACTGTATATCTAGACAGTTCAAATAAGCAATGTTTTAGGTTTTGCATATAAATTTATTTGGCAATTACATGAAGCTTCATTCCATCAGTGCTAAGACATCAAAGCTTTTTCCAAGTAGTCCACAGGGTATAAAAATATAGTCTATAATATTAATAATAAACAATAAGCAATTAGCAGGTACTGAACCAAAAGACTACTATAAGAAGCCAAACAATACTAACATCATCTGAAAATTAAAACTCACTCAGAAATGATAGTGAAGCTTGTAGTCCCTCTGTCTCAGGGATGTTATCACCACTTGCCCACGTCTGCTGGCTTGCCCCTGGAGGATTAGCCTTCGGAAGTAGATGAGAGCCTGTATAGTTAGGTGTTGCCTATTTCAGATTCAGCAAGAATGGGATGCTGGCCTAAGTATCAAGGACTTACTAGGTGTGAAACCAGAAAAGGCTTCACTTGGTCGTTTTTTCTCAGATGTTCTTCTGAAACTGAAACTTAAAAGCAAGAACTTGGCTGGTGTCTAACCTCAACTGTTTTCCACCCATAGTAAAAGAGGACTGTGCATGCTGAGACTCCCATTTCAGCAATGTGACATATCACTTTGTTGCCTCTCTGTATTTAGCCCTTCATCCCCTAAGGCTCCTGTCTTTTACCTATCAATAAAGGTGACCACTGGAGGCAAAGGTGATTGTCAGTTCTCACAGCATTAGTTGCCAAATGGAATTGTCACACACAGAAAATTTCTTAGAAAGTCAGCTTTTTTTTTTTCACTCAAATGATATAATGATACTTTAAGGTATTTTTTTAAATATCAAAATATTCTTATTTTACAATGTCAGCTTTTTAGTATAAAAACAAATATATTTTAAATAATATGTATTGTATTTTCCCTAAATATGGAGACAGTATTTAGATAGATTATCCAAAGCTTGAAAAAACTAAAGGATACAAAGAAGAAAATAATTATCATAGTTTCACTACTCAGAGAAGACTACTAGTTAACATCTTAATAGATTTCCAAGTATTTTTTACTCGATTCTTACTAAAGGTAGCCCTTAATATCCCACTTTATTAATTTAGCAATATATTGTGACTATTTTCCCATATCATTAAATTTAAAAGACTCTTCAATAACACATAAAACATTATAATAAAGTCTTACTAAATTTCGGTTCATCAATGTCTATTGTTAAATATTGAGCTATTTCAATTGTGATTATAAAGCTATTTTAAACACTACTTATAATCATTTTTGCACATATTTCTGACTATTCCCTTAGGACACATTCCTGGAATATGAATTGCTATGAATTTTTAGAAGCTTTTTATACATATTTCTAAATGTTCTTTTAAAAAGGAGGTATGATGAACAATGTCATCAATAATGACTGAAAGTCCTATGTGCCTGCACTATTTTCACAATTTCCACCAATTCTTTCTTTATTTGATAATTTAGTAATTGAAAAGTGGTGGCAAGGATAGAGCTGTCAATATTAGTAGCAAGCTTTCCTTTTGTGAATTTCCTGCTATACAATGTACATTCTTCTGTTATGATGTTTGCTTTTTCATTGATTTGTAAGAACTCTTTATGTATTACAGACATCAATCATTTTTTCCAGCCTTTATTTTAGATTCAGGGGGTACATATGCAGGTTTCCTACATGAGTAAATTACATGTCACTGAGATTTGGTGTGCAAATGATCCCATCACCCATGCAGTGAACATAATACCCAATAAGTAGTTTTTCAATCCACGGCCCCCTTTCACTTTCCCCGCCTGGTAGTCTCCAATGGCTATTGTTGCCATCTTTATGTCCATACAAACATAAATGTTTTGTCATATCCATCTGGCAAATATTTCTTCCAGAGTTTGTTTTCCTGTATAGTCGTATGTTATTTCTGTTATTGCAAAGAATTTCACATTACTCAGTACTATTTCTTCCAAATTAATGAATTTTTTTCAAATCCCAAACTATTATTGTTAGGATTTGCAGATGTTCTACAACAAATTTTGGATTTAATCTGGCAAAAATTATCATCATCTTTAGTCTTCTATTCAAATAGTTGGAGTGATTTCCCATTTATCATATTTCTTTTTCATCTGCTTTGTGTGGAATAGCATATTTTTCTTATTAAGCCCATGTGTTAGGTTTTTCCTTCTTATACATTTCTTAAAGTCTGATTATGAGTATTTCTCCATTGCGGTTTATTACTTTTGTTGTTGTTGTTATAGTGTGAGTGGGGTGGTTCTTTGAGGCTATAGTGAGAAATTGGTCACCTTACAAATACCACCTGTTGGCACTAATAATTGCAATTAATTAATTATCCAGTGAATTTTTTTCTCTTAGATCCAAGAATTATTTAGAGTACTGCTTTTAAATTTTCAATTTTTCTGGTGAGAGTTAATTATATTTTGTAAATAATTTATAGCTTTATTGCACTGTTATCATTTACTGTGGATTCAACAAATTCTGCTCTGTGCTGCTATAAAAAAGGCACATGGAGAATAATAGTTACATGATAAACCAACCTTCTAAATTATATTAATCATTTTTTCTATGTCCTTATGTATTATGAAAAGGACTGATGTTTATATTTATATACAAATGAGCGTTATTCATTTTGTATTTTCCACTAAGAGAGTGGATAGCTTCTTGAATGCTCTTAAATCCCATTGGGATGCAGATTTTCCTCAAAAACGTTAAGCTGAAATAGTTTCCAATTCCAATTCAGTGACCAAAGAGCTAGAGGAGAAAGGAAAGGAAAGTGGGGCTTTGAACCCTCTTAGCAGAAATGTAATTCACTGCGTTACTTTTCTGTGGTTGCAAGAGCTTCCAGGCTTGGTTAGACAGCTACTCTAGTCTTGACATTGCCATCTTCTTTGTTATGGAAGTGCCTCTATGAATTCAGGGGAGAAGACTCTCTACCCACCAGTGTAGCTGACTTTTTGTTGGTGTTGCCTCACAAGCTTTCCTGGGATGGTGGCAACAGTGGAGAACACTGAACAATTAGAGGCCAGCACACCGGCTTTTTACTTCCTCACGGCTCACCCCTGCTTCCAGCCTCTTCTAATCCTTTAAGTCTAGGATGATTTCTTTTTTAACTTCTATGAGGATGCTCCTCTTTCTCATGGGAAACAAACACAAGATAGCTCCTGATGTCTTTCTCTAATTTGCCCTCATGTAGCAAATTCCTTGGATTTTGTGACATCTGGATGGTACCTTCTTTAGATATAAAAACACACTTTTTAAACTTTGTAAAACATTTAAACTGCTATTTTTATACTTTCTTCCTCATTTAAAATACAACAGGGAAAAAAAATCAGGTACCTGAATTCATATTACCAAATGACATAAATTTCACAGTGTTTCTAATTAACATTCTCCCTAAAAGTCGATTTATAGCCTTCATATCACTTGCTGCTATGTTAATGTAGAAACTTAGAAACTCACTGCAATAATTCAACTGCTTTTGTGGAAACAAATCAAATAACATATGAAAATTCAGGCCATCACAAGTGGGATGTAAAAGTTGATACTTTAATATCTACTAGTCAAGATGCAAATTGAAATATTAAATATTTACTAAACAAAAAACATTCTTATGATCATTTTGAAGCATTATTTATGTGGTTTAAATGAATATTTTGGAATTTTTCAGGTATTTTTTACCATAAACTTTGATTTAACAAAAAAATATTTAGAATGATGACGATGAAAGTTGTAATTTTTCAGGCCAAACATAGTTGCAGGGTAGCATTTTCTCTTTTCTGATTTTTTTGTAATTCTGTGCTTATTTTGTTTCTTTCTTTCTCTTTTCTCCCCTGACCCTCCCACAATTTTACACATCCTCTAGGCCATTTTTCTCCTTTAAAACAATGTAAACGGGGGCAGAACAAAGCCACAGTATTTCTGTCCTGTAGTTGCCAGTTCTCCATGGTAAAGCTTTAGATGTCATTGTCGGCCAGAGCAGATGAAGAGGAAAATATGCAGAGGCATAAGAAGGAAAGTTCAAGAAATCATCCAAGAGCTTCAATGTACTGTATATCTTGGGGGCTTCAGGGGTTTTGTTTGTTTGTTTGTTTTTACAGTATAGGAGTCTCCCCTTATCTGCAGGGTATATACATTCCACAACCCTAGCAGATGCTTAAAACAGTAGATAGTATCAAACTCTATATATACTATGCTTTTTCCTATACATGCCTCCTTATAATAAAGTTTAATTTATAAATTAAGTACATAAGAGATTAACAACAATAACTAATAATAAAATAGAAAATTATAACAATATACTACAATAAAAGGTATGTTGATGTGGTCTCTTTCTCTCTCTCTCTCCTTCTCTCTCTCTCTGTCTGTCTTATTATACTGTACTCACCTATTTTCAGACTGAGGTTAACCATGAGTAACTGAAACTTCAGATAAGCAGGTCAACTGTGCTACGTATTTTCTAGCCAATAGTGTCTGAGGGGTTTGGGCAGTAGAAAGGTAAGGAGAAGTAGAACCACTAATACATAAAACTTTAATAAATGGTTTACGCCCTGAAACAAAAATACTGGTTATTCTATTTCATGCTTACTTGAATCTTCATTATCGGTTCTTTCTTCCAGGTTCTCAAATGTCAAAATACAAATGCTCTAATTTGGTATACGTTACATCTTTTACATTTCCTATCGTGTATTCTCAATGACATCTAATTCATTCTCTCTCCTATACTGTTTTAAACAAACCAAATTGATCCCATCTTAAAACATGTTAAGAATCCTGAGCAACTGAATATCAGAAGAGGGTTTTGTCAAGAATTTTCATCTGTATTTTAAGAATGAAAGAATGCCATAAAAACACCATAAAGATATGCCCAACTTATTCCAAGTTCCTGGTGACCTTGAAAAGTATCCCTGTGCTTTCATCATTCTTTGTGTAGCCAGTCGATTACCTTCCCAACAACTCACCATGACAAAATTCATGATTAACATCATCTACCTACACAGTGAAGATGTTCTTCTGTCATCTTTGACATTGATGCATGGCCCACAAAATACCAGGATTAATTACAAACCGAAGACCACAGCTGTTCAAAGACAGTTGCAGAGAATGCTAAAGTTTAGCCTCCATATAGTAGCCAGAATAATCTTTTCGAAACATTCAGATCATGCCATTGTGGTCTCACATCTTCCTAGAGGAAAGATTTCCTAACTCAGAATAAATTCCTCCCCATGACCTATGAGCTTCCTCCTCTGACCTCATCTTGTACTACTCTACTTGTTTACTAGACTCTGTCACACTGGCCTCATTTCCAATTCCTTCATTCAGCAGCTATGCTCCCAATTTGGGGCCATTGCACTTGCTGGACCCCTGCTCCCTGTGGTCTTTCTGCAGATGACAGAGTGGCCTCCCCCTGCACTTCATTCATCTCTGTTCAGATGTCCGATTATTAGAGAGGCCATCCCAAAAATACTACCCCTTCCTCAAACCATCACTCTATTATCCCTTTACCCTGCTTTATTTTCCTTCTATTACTTAGCCCAGATACCCCATCACATGCTTATTTTTCACTTGGCAGGCATATCTCTCTCCTAGAATATAAAATTCATGTGGAAAGGGACTCTTATGTTCACATTGAGAACAGTGTGTGGCATAAAGCAGATCCTCAGCAAATATTTAGGGACTGAAGAGGTCTATTAGAACAACCACATGCTTCCACAGGTCATTCAGAAATTGTATTTAGACCTCAACTCATAACACTTGACTTTCTTGTTCTTTCATCAGGACCATTTTATCCTGCCTGCCTGATGACAAAATTGCATTTCATTTTAGTTATACTATTATTTAAGTTCAAATTGCCTGGTCAAGCACTATGACTTTTCCTGATTCACATACAAAAATAGAAAATGCTTATTCCCATATGCATTTGACATTATAATTTACATTAAATACACTACTCTTTATTTCATTTATATTTATGATGTATAAATTAAATTAAGTTTACAAATTAATGCACTTGAGTTATTCCACTATTAGAACATATTGCCAAGATTGTGTCACAATGCATGACAGCTTAAGCTGAAAATAACAGAAAAATAAACATTAAAATAACACTATGCCCTGTAATACTGGATTAACACCCAAGAACACTGTCTGATTGCAGCTAGCAATTATAATCTTTTACTTTATCTGCTTCACTGTGTACAGTACATCTTTTATTCAATTCATCTGATTTGTTGATGGACTGGACAAAGTCCAATTAAATATGACATACTATAAAATAGTGAGAAGGAAAATATCATTTTATGCAATCAACCTAAAAGGTATGAAGGCAATGGCTGTACTTTACTCATTTATCCACTGCTATGATCTCAAGTAAAAACAATTCAAATTAAATCATGTTAGCTTAGAGTCTATAAAACATCATTAATTGTATATGATTTTTAGCCCACAGATTTATTTGTAACATAGATTATTCTTTAACATAATAACAGCTTTTATTCTAACTGAAAAATAATTAAATACCATACAAATGTGGGACATGGTCATTTACACATTCTCTCAGCCCTCTTTCATTTCTACCTACAGTTCCAGTCAGGGATCTAAGTACAATATATATGTGTGCATATTTTGTGATTTTATGTGGAATTTTCTTAGAAATTGTTATTCATACAAAAAATTTCAAGAATATTTTTGACTTTTAAATCTATTATTTAAAATATTAACAAATTTATTGAATCATTTCCCTGAGTATTTGTATTTAGAAAACATTAGCCCCCCAACTGTTATAATTTACTCAGCCTCAGGTTTTTGATAGCATTAATCCTTCCACATCATTCTGAATATTATACATGGTCTTTGTTCTGTTTTACCTGTTAATGTCTTATGCTTTATATTCCCTGATTCTATATTTCCTGGCTTTCACAACCCTCAAATTTTGTTCTTTTGTGGAAGATGAACAATAGAACAAAACTATGAGTTCTTACACAGAAGGCAACATATTTTAAAGAAAACGTGCAGTTATACAATACTGTGGCAATATAAGAATAACAGATAAGGTGAATAAGAAGAAAAGAGAAGTGTGCTTATGTGACAAGACATTCAAGATACAGTGTTAAGTGAAAAAAGCAAGTCTCAGAACAAAATGTATAGTATGTTTCCATCTATACATAAAAATAACATATGTATATGTATCTTTGTAATATAGCAATATATATTAATATATCTATACCTATCTACCTACCTATAATTTCTGTAATCATGCACACACCAAAAAATTGCTATCCACCGTTATCCCTGGAGAAAAAGAGTAAAGGTTGGGCGAGAAAGACTTTCACTTTCACTTTATTCTTCTCTGTTCTGTAATGTTTAAACATTTAAACCAAATTTTTGTGAGAAAAAAGTTTATCAAAAACCTTAAAATATCTATAACTTTTGAACAAAAATTATACTTATTGAAATTTATCTTAAGAAAATGTTTATAAATTTGAAATAATCTTAGTAATAAGACACTAAAGTACTAATAACAATAGTGAAAGTAAGAAAAAATATAAATGTCCAACAATAAGGAAATGGCTAAATTATGAGAAAACCACAGAATGGCATAACACACAGAGATTAAATATGTTCATAAAGATTAAAGATGTGAAAAATGATCACGTTATAATGTTAAGATATAAAGCAGCATATATTTTACAAAATATGAAAACAAAACTTTGTAAATCCTAAGTTGACAAATAAAGAGCCCGACCAAATGTTAAAAGTGATCTTTTTGTGTGTGATAAACCTATGAGTAATTTTTCAAAATTACTTTTCTCTATTGTCTAAATATTATTCCATGTGTATTATTTGTTAATAAAAAATTAATAATCGCACATATATTACGGCTTAACAAAGATAAACAGGCTGGGCATGGTGGCTCATGCCTGTAATCCCAACACTTTGGGAGACCGAGGCGGGTGGATCACGTGGTCAAGAGATCGAGACCATCCTGGCTAACACGGTGAAACCCCGTCTTTACTAAAAATACAAAAAATTAGCCAGGCGTGGTGGCGAGCACCTGTAGTCTCAGCTACTCGGGAGGTTAAGGCAGGAGAATTGCTTGAACCCGGGAGGCAGAGGTTGCAGTGAGCTGAGATTGTGCCACTGCACTCCAGCCTGGGTGACAGAATGAGACTCCATCTCAAAAAAAAAAAAAAAAAAAAAAAATTAAAATCAAAGATAAACAGTCCCAAACCTTGCCATCTTGTGTTGAATCCACCTTAATAAAAAGATAACAAAATGTTTTAAAATTATAGATGTTATCAAGTCAAGACCATAGGTTTCCCAATATATTTGAGAAAATTAATAAGCCAATACACTTTTCATTTTACAAACCCAGAGAAAAAAAAACTACTGTCTTCCAGGTGACATGATCATAGTGCTACATCTCTGATATTCTACAGCCTAATTATGACCCTCATTATGTATATCCTACTTTACAAAAAGATGTCTACTTACACAAATTCAGGTAAACAATCTGGTTCTCTGAAGTGAAAATTTAAAAAATGAAAATAATGTTAGTGTTTCTATTGACCTTTAACACCTCTACCTTTTTGATTAGCAGCTTGTCAGCTTGTATACATTTTCTAGATGATACCTTATATGTATGAAAATTTCATAATGAAATTCAAGATCAAAGATTTGAATTATTTTATAAAAGGGTTTCAAATATATTTGAGCTAGAATCTTGATTTATATATGACAAAAATCCTTTTGAAGATGTTCAGGGTCTTTGCATTTTTATTCTAGGGCAGAGGTTTATGAACTTTATCTCTAAAGTCCCAGTTTGTAAATTCTTAGGATTTTGTGGGCTATTTAAAAATACAAAAATCATTCTTGGCTTGCAGGCTATTTAGAAAACAAGACAAAATAGTAGTGGTTTGGCCCCTGGGCCAAAGTTTGTCAAACTCTGTTCTAGAGTTATTTTTGGTAACTTATTCAAAGGTCATATGCATTGCTATACTCCACTATCTAAAACACCTTTATCCTCCTGTATCCCACCTTCAAAATTGTATTTAACCTTTAAAGTTTCTCAAATACGTTCTTCGTGAAAACTTTCAAGGTGTCTTTTAACAAACAGGACTTCTCTCCTTTGAAGCCACATAGCATTTTTTACCTTCTCTATTTTACATGGGACTACTAACCTTTGTCTGGTGGTGTGCCAAGGCTTCCACTCAGCAAGTTATGAGAGAAACTCTGTCTTACACATTTTTTATTGACTATGGTGCCTTGTGCATAGTAGAAGATTAATAATATTGGTTGAAGTAATAGATAACTATTCGACATCTTCAATTCCTAGTAGACCCCAGTGGTTTAACAGTAGTTTTTAAGGGTCTAAAAGTAACATAGACGCTAAAAGCATTCATATGCTTTTAAAACGCAGCTGAATTTTAGTAATATTAAAATGTGAAAATAAATTTTATCTTAAAATCAAGAATGGCTCCTGCATTGACAGGGGAGACAGATGAGAGAGAGCAACCAAAGGACTGTGAACCAGTTCCAGGGCACAGGAGGCTAGGTGAGAGGCAAGCATCGGGCAGGTGCAATCCAGCTCTCCACAGGACACCCCTCAGCCCTTCCACTGTGCTCCTCAACTTGAGAAAAGCATCAGACCTTCCATGTGTCTAAGGTCTGGGGCCTGATTATCCTGACACTCCTTACTGTTTCCATGTCAAATGAACAATCTTACACACCCAGGAGCCCCAGGGATCAGAAAGTAACTCAGTTTCAGAGAACTCAAAGGGAAGTTTGGAATCTTGTAAGAAAATTTTACACTATTATCTAAATCTAAATTCATATTACACAGACGCAATAGGCAATATTTATAAGTTCTGGAACAACTCTGCCTGAATTCATATCCTAGGAATGCCTCTTTTAGCTGTGTAATCTTTGGTAACTTATTTAACCTTTGGAAGCTACATTTCATTTTTCATCTGTAAAAAAGAGATGATGATAATAGAATGTAACTTAGAGGGAGACTGGATTTTTGTGAGGACGTGATGAGTTAATATATCTAAGTGTTTAGAACCATGCCTGGAACGTAGTAAGCACCTATTAACATTAGCTATATATCTGAAACTCCATATATAGCTAAAAACAAATAGTATTTCTAGTATTAAATAATCTCTAAAAGCCACACACATCCTTGCCTTCAGACACATACTGTGCTTTATTTCATTCCTGAGATGGAATTCCCATAGGAGGGAATTTACCGAAAATAGGAAACAGGCTGGATAGAAATTATCGAGTAATTTTTTAAGTGCAAGAGAAGGCAAACAGCAAACTGAAAATACATGTATGATTATGTGACAAAGAGAGACACAGCAAAAAATCTTGAATCCCTAAAGCATTGTCACAGTAGTATTTCCCAAGCTTTGGCATAGTGCAATGACCAAAATCAGCTTCCATGCATGAGGATGATGGCAGCTCAACTCAACGGCCATACTTACCACCTTCCTCCAACCCAGGGAGACCTGCCTTTTTGTCCTTCACCTGAGCAGTGCTTTCTTCCCAAAGCTTACTCTTATCCTTTTCCTTTTCTTCTGCAGAAACATGTTTCCCGGACTTCTCAGATAAACCCTCTGCAATCTCTTGGGTTCCTTTCTCCGTTCCTTCTTTAAGAACATTCTCAAAGCTTTCGTCTATTGGCATCGGCTTGGTCTCCACATCTGCTTTTGTTATTTCTTGGTCTTCAATTTCAATTTCTAAGGATTCCTCAATTGGAAGGTGAGACTTTCTTGGCTTATCATTTTCACTCAGTTCCTGAGAAGATGACCTTCTGGCACTTTCATCTGTGCTGCTGTCAGTGTGGGCTTCCCTGTCCCCCACTGCAGATTCATCCTCACTGTCACTAGAATAAGGGTGACTTCTGGATGAGGTTGATGAAGCAGTTTTCATATCTACAAAAAATAAAAGTGATGACATTGTTGTTGTTCTGTAAAGCAATTGGTTTAATTGTAAAAATTATGTTAGCAATTAATAATACTAAAAATTTTAAAACATAGTTTAATATAGACCTGATATCCTTTTCCCATATAGTCTACTCAGTGGTCCCCAATCTTTTTTATACCAGGGAGTGGTTTCATGGAAGACAACTTTTCCATGGACTGGGGTTGAGTGGGGATGGTTTTGGGATGATTCAAGTGCATTACATTTATTGTGCACGTTATTTCCATTATTATTACATTGTAATATATAATGAAGTAATTATACAACTGACAATAATATAGAATCAGTGGGAGCCCTGAGCTTGTTTTCCTGCATCTGGACGGTCAGATTTGGAGATAATGCGAGACAGTGGCAGACCATCAGGCATTAGATTCTCATAAGGAGCTCACAACCTAGAACCCTGGCATGTGCAGCTCACAATAGGGTTTCTGCTCCTATGAGGATCTAATGTTTCCACTGATCTAACAGGAGATGGACCTCAGGCAGTAATGCCAGCGATAGGGGATGGGAAGTGGCTGTAAATACAGATAAAACTTCGCTGGCTTCCCCACCACTCACCTCCTGCTGTGCAGCCTGGTTCCTAATAGGCCATGGACCCTGTACCAGTCCGTGGCCCGGGGATTAGATCCCTGGTCTAAATCATTGTTAGGATAAGGAAAACCTATCAAATCAATGGAATATATGAGTATATAGAAATTTTCAAGAGATCACATTTAACTATCAACCATCCCTGTTTTTTTGTTGTTTTTTGAAAGCCATTTTTTATTGAAAACGCTTTATAAATATTCACTTTGTTATAGAAAAAAATGAATAATCCTTTGTCTCTTCAACAAAAGCTTTTTTTAAAAAAATTTATTTCATTCTATCACCACAGTATTCTGTGTGCATGAAACTTAAATTTTTGTCTACTGTACTATCCACCATCCTAGTATATCTTGGTATATGGACACAGTAAGATCTGTGTATTTGGCCAGTACATAGACAAATATTTTTAGGTGACACTTGCATGTGTGTGTGTACATAGATGGAGATTTTATCTTATTTTGAGCTCTGCAGAAGCAGAAGCTGAGATGAAGATTCATGTGTGAGAAAAGTATTTAAGATGTGCTCCAGGAGAACTCTTAAGGGAGTAGCAGAAGCAAGGGAAGGAAGGGCAGAAATCAATCAAGGGAGATATTTCAAGCCCCATCTCAATCTCAACCTGATCCCATGGGCACTTCTGACATGTAAGCTATATTAGGATGTAATTTATATTAGGCAGGAGCTGGGCTTTCATACTTCGGAAAAGTCAGACATTAGCTATGGGCCACCCTAGGGGGAATGTAAACTCTCTGGCATTTCCAGGCTCTTTGAGTCTGAGGGTGAAGCACCACCAGTAGTCCAGGGCAGTCCTCTGAAAAAGGTGAAGGGAGCAGAAGATGGGAAATGGGTGAACAAAGTTGGCAAGAGATTCTGGGAGATCTAGGCAGTGTGACGACAGGGTGCTACAGATTCGCAGTCTAGAAACTTACGGTAGCCACAGCTGGTTTATGTAATACCTAGAAAGGTTTTAACAATTTCCAGTAAAGTACCATACACACTGAATCTCAATAAGGAAGCTGGACAGCATAAAAAATCACTGCATACATTGCTACAGGCCAGAGAAATACAATCTAGCTTTTCTAACCAATAGGTCTAGGTCTGTAATTGTTTTTTTTATACTTCCAAATAAAACATCCTACATTTAAATGCTGCCTATTTTTTTGTTTTCTCTGTACTCCTTACTCTTTTTTTTGTTTCTTTATTTCTTTCAGTTCCATTTGGCAGCTGTACCGATGGCTGTAGCAGCTAATGCAGAGTTTAAGATAAAAAATACCTGTCTTTGCGCTTATCCTCTTCTCTCCATGCCTCCAGCCCTGCCGGCTCTCCATGACAGGTCTTAGCATTTTAAATATAGTCTCAGAGACATATCAGAGTTTCCACAAAGATTTGAGAGATGCTACACAGCAGTAAAAAACAAACTCAAAAAGCCTTTCAGCAACAGAGCCCCTGAAGTCTAATTCCATTTGCTTTTATCTCCTGATACCTTGACAAACACCAGATGACCACTATTTTTCAAATAAATCACATACTCTAGCTACTCATTCTTTATTCTCCATTTTATAAAATCTGGATATGCCATCTCTCTGGTAGAAAATGTAGCAAATCAAGGAGAGTTCTTCTCCATCTTATTTGTATCCGTTCAGAAACTTTAGGGTCTATGAACTCCCCTTTCCCTTCAGAGTCTTATGTTTCTTCTTTAAAAAAAGAACATCAGCTCTGATTTATTAGCAGTTTAATCAATGGCTTTCATTAATTACATAGTTAGCTAGGACTCAATGTTATACTCCTTCTGAACTCCAAAAATATATCTACCATCTGAATATGGAAATGACTCCTACTTTTAGCTCTGAGAGTTGGTCATATAATTTTTAAAAATGAGTGCTCCTCTGCCTTTCTTTAGCAGCTTCCATTAATTGTATTATTTTATTTCAAAGGGCTGAAATATACTCTGGTTCAAGTTTGAGTCAGTCCTTCAGAGGAGAAAGATCAGGAGAATGAATGGCCTCGAAGTGGCCAGGGCACCTGACCTCCCATACAAACTCATTTCAGTTTTCAAATTTCTCCCTAACCTCATGCTATAATTTAGTTTCACTCTCATTTCTTTCTCTCATTTACATACACAGACACGGGGGTAAGACTTTGCCTATAAAAAAGCTAAAAAAGCTTCAGGGTTATGAAATAGGATTTTCAAAACTAATTTTATTTATTCTCTTAGAAATAAAGCAAATGCTTATATTAAAAAAAACTTTGAGAGCACGTATGTAAATTTGCTTTGTCATTAGGAGGGAAAAATTATCTTGGAAGCATGTTGATAAACAGCTATGCCTCCTACCCAATTCCATTTGTTCATGTATTCCCTTCTGGTAGTGATGCTATAAGAACCTGCTTTTGCTTGTTTTGGCAAAGAAAAGATCTGCACTCATTGCGTGAGGTCTTGGCCGAAGCCAGCAAGTTTGGTGCCATTGTTCCATGTCCTAAGCAAGGTCTTTGACTTTTCTCTTTCCACAGTCAGGAGCTCTCCAGGCCCTTCTTCCCTTTTCATGTCATTGACAACTGCTTCTTTCTTTCTTTTTTGGCATCACTATAATTAAAATCTTGTTTGACACAGCATGAGATTGAGAAAAAATAACATATTCTCCTGTACGACAAACCCTGGTGTCCCAATCACAGCTCAGCTACTTAATAGTTTCGACTTTGGTTATGCTATTTAATTTCTTTAAGGCTCTGTTTTCTTAACTGTAAAATGGGGATAATTCTACTTGTTCTCCTTACATAATTGTAGAAATTACATGAGAAAAATATTTAACCTAATCAAATGAAATAACTATTTCTTTATAGTCTTTTTTCCTCTATGACATCATACATGTAGCATATTCTAATAAATTTCTCTCTTGTAATTTCTTTCTTGTGATATTGAGTGATATCACAGCTACCATGATAAAGATAAAACCAATCATGATTATGCACCTACTATAAACCAAACCATGACATAGCACTTTACAAACATCTCATTTAATCCTATGAAATAATAATTATCTTCTATTTTGAGATCCAGAAAGAGAGGTCCAAAGAGGTTCAACAGTACCCAATGTCCATTACCTAGTAAGTAGCAAGTTTTTGTAAATGCTTCTTTTGTAATGATAGACTGCAATAAAACCAAGACCCTTCTATTTGCTAAAAGGCCTTCAGACAGGAAGTACCCACAGCCATGGACCCACCATTGCTCCTCTTAGCTGACTTTTCACTGTTACCACTTGAGACTGACAGACAGGAAATTGTTCTCTTTCAAAAATCAGAACTCATGAAATGTGTAGTCTGTCCTTGTTTTTTTATCTCTACTGGTCATTCTTAACTTTGTCCACCACTCCAAAGCTCAGAGTCCACTTAAAATATTCTGAGGCACAGAATATGAATACAAAGCAAAAGCAAAAGGTAGCGATCAAAGTCTTCCCTAGTTTATTTATAACATTTATCATGATGCTATTTTATGAAAATATACATGTTATTCAGTTATTTACCAAATAACTACAGAACACTGTGGGGACACTCACAAAAATGGGGCGTGTGTGTGTGTGTGTGTGTGTGTGTGTGTGTATGCTTTGTATGCCAGCAGTCTTCACTGTTTATACTGCCTGATTGCTAGCTTGATACGCCTGACCAAGGGCACCAGCCACACACACATCCAAAGTCAACACCAGTCCAGCAAATCCAGGATAAAGTCTGCTCTCCCTCCTCATAACTGAGGTTCTGAGTTGTCCTCACTTTCCTTCCAACTTACATAGATTCATTTGTCCACTAAATACATATCGAGAACTTCCTATGTGCCAGGCAATGTTCTACAAGAAAACAGAAACCTTGGTCCTTGCTTCTACCTATAATACACACTCAAAACAGAGATTGACTAATTATCCACCTCCGTTCGCATGAGGGAAATAGATCCACTGTACATGTTCATAAAGGTATTGGTTCACTCTAACAGTGACTGCTGATAACTCTCTCAGAAACTATTGCCATACTCTTATTGCAATCAGTAGCCAAATTGTCTGTTTTAAACCAATGACCAGACCTGACCTTAGTTTTCAATCATTTTCTCACCTGCTAGCAAGGAGCATAATTTTACCACAGTTTAAATTCACCATTTCCTTAATTAGTGTCCTGATTTTAACTACTTTGTTTTTGGTTTATTAGCTGGAAGCACCTACAGAAATTGCAGTTTAAGTTCACAAACTAAAATGAGTAAATTAAGTTAAAAATTTAAATGATCTCAGTGACATAACCGTGGATCCCAACCCAGTGGATCCAATATGCTTTTCAATTCTAATACCATCCAATTCTCTCCTTCCTATTCCTTAGTCCAAGAGTTCACAGCAAAATCTGCATATATGCTGCTCTTAATTTCTTCAAATTAGCCATGACACATGAATTTATATATCCTACTATTAGTTGTATAAATAGTTCTGTCTTAATGAAACTTACAAGTTCAAGAAAAACTGTTTATATTATATGTCAGTTCAATCAATATCTTCATGTACAGTAATAGCTAATTAGACAAGTGCTTTATACTCAATAAATGTTGTAGGATGAATCTGTGCTTAATGAAAATAAAAATATAAATTATCAAATTCCAACTATGAACAGTAACTGGTTTTTAGTCTTAAGAGGGAACATATGCCCACATACTGATAGTTATTATTATCAGATGAAATGTCTCAAATCATCAGGGAGACAAGTATATGTAAGAATACATATTCACAGGTAAATGCAGATATAGCAGGAGGAGAATAAAATAAAATGTTCTCCATATTTACCTTTAATTTCACTTTCTAAACATTAAAATAAACTGTTAAAATATTTATAATACAATCAAATCATGTGTCACATTGTGCTGTATACATTATTTTCATTCATCTGTTGATCTATTCAATCAGCCCTTCATTCACAAGAGTTCACTGAGTGTCTATGTAATGCCTTTGTTTTCTACAAGGCAGATTCAAACTGTAGAGAAACACTTCATAGAAAAGTATTTTTGTGTGAATTAAAGGATAGTTCTACATTTAAGTATTCACCTGAAGTTATGCCTTCCTACTTCGACAATTGAAAAGTGACTATGGATTGGGGAATTATTACCATTAAGAAACATTTAAGTTTGATTGACCACGCAAAAAATCACACATATTATATAGTCTTTGGTCAGAAGCCATCTATAACATTCCCATAATCTTCTCTGATCCAAGAAGCAGATACATTACACTGAAGTCCAACGGTGCGTCTCACAGCACAAAGAATTTCAACACAGGAGAAGCCTACACCCCTATACTTCTTTTCAAACCCATATTGAAGCCAAAAGATTAAGGGTGAGATTCTTAAAATCATAAATCAATTAAGTAGAATATTACTGTGATTCTGGGACTTTAAAAGTTTATAAGATTTACTTCTTCAACAGATTGAAAAATAGCATGAATGAAATCATCTTTCTTACTAGAAAAAAATGACTTCAAGTCTTACTTTCTTTTTTTCATATTCTGGGAGAAGTCTCTTCTCTGTCTCTTTATCTCTACTTCAATCTCAATCTGTCTAATCTTTCTCAAAAGGAGCTAGTTAGTCTTTTTTTTCATTACTAATTTTTAAATTTGTAATTGACAAATAATTATTGTATATATTTATGAGACACAATGTGATGTTTCAGTGCATGTACACATAGTATAATGATCAAATTGGGGTAATTACATATGCATCACTTTAAGCATTCATCATTTCTTTGTGGCGACAATATTCAAAATCTTCTCTTCTAGCTATTTTGAAATATATATTACACTGTTATTCGCTATAGTCACCCTACTGTGTAGTAAAATACTAGAACTTATTCTTCCTGTCTAACTGTAACTTTGTACCCGTTGACCTCTTACTCATGGACACTATCATCCAAACTGTCCATAAAAGTATATTCTCAGTGACATGATACTTTTCCCCTCAACCTTATAACATTCATCTATGACAATATATTTTCAACTGGTGAATTAGTGCCTGGGGTTGCCAACACAAATGCAGAGAAAAGGAAGCTGTCGTTCTTTTTAAATGATAGGAAGTCTCACACATCATTCCTAAACCAGGGTCCTCTCTTAGTCAGCTTGCAGCCAGTAGCACTCTATCACTCATGGGCTGCTCAGCACAGTGTATTCATCAAGGCAGGCCGACACAATTGTTAGCTGGCAGTTCAAATGAGGCTGACTTGTCACAAGAGTGACAGCCTGGGCAATTGTTTGCCCTCTGGGAACAGGTGTAGGCAGGTTCAAATGAAACACATCCAAATACTAACAGCAAGATTCTTAATCATGTCAATAAAAAGGATGTACTGGTGTCTGGGATTCAGTGGTCACATATGCCTCTCACACTTTTGGAAATGAAATGCTGTCTGGCTTTTCAACAGAGTATTCCAAGGAATCCATCATGTCATTATCATTTTTAATACATGCTACTTGTTCGCTGGATAAAATCTCTAATGCTGACACTCCACATACTAAAAGACATGTTTATGCCTTGAATAACACAAAGGCAAGTTATCAAAATAAAGGAATGGAAAATAAGAAAGTCTGACGATGGAGTAAAAAAAAACCATAATCAGCAATGAGATTTGATTTCAGAATGACACTGTTTCAAAACACCAAGCATGCAAAAGAGCCCTTTAAAAGCATAGCTTAATAACATCATTAATGAAACAACAAAAGAAAATAGCTAGCCAATTTAATTTTGGCTCTTAAATTTCCCAATATTTGTGAACCAGCTATATGTTCTTATAGTTTTCATTGCATATCTATTTAAAATATTATATATTATGTATCTATACAACGTTGCTAATTATAGATTTTTCCCATTGAAAATTCCAATAACTGTAAAGTATAAATGTAGCTAGATATCATGGCACTAACCGAAACATCTTCGTATTATTGGTGTTAGCATTCAAGTAGTTGCTTAATATTTAAAAAATATCTTTTGAGAAATCAGCTATGTCAATATGCAGAGGATTCCTTACACCATATAAAAAAATCAACTCAAGATGTATTAAAGACTTAAAAGTAAACCTAAATCTAACATTGAGATTGTTCACAGAACTAGAAAAACCTATTTTAAAATTCACGTGGAACCAAAATGTCTGATCCACCAAAACCATGTGGATCAGACATTTTGTCTCATCTCCTGTATCTATCCTCTGAACATCTGTTGAGTTTCCAAACTCCTAACATCTAGTGAGAACATTACTTACTTATGCTGTAGTCTGCCACTGGTGTTTCGATCCTCTCCAATATTCTCTACTCCTCTTGCATTTTCTTTTCTAACTTAGGACTTTTTTATTTCTCTTTCTTTTACCATGAAAGTCTACCTACTGCTGTTTTCCATACATTTTCTTATATGTAGCTTTCTCTCTTTCTCCCATCTTACCTATTATTAAAATTATACTTTCTTATATTTCTGAAATGCTAAGGTATGTGTGAAAAATCATTGATTCAACTTATGCTAAAAGTGAAATTTAGTACTATTTATTACATGGATTTTATGGTCTCGCATTGAAAAGAATCTTTACCCCAAGTTGTTTAAAAAAACTCATAAATTTCATAGGGATTAAGTATCTGAATTAAAATTAAATAATGAAAATAGATGAAAATTTGGGGATATGTCCCTAACCTTTGGATTAGGAGAAGGCTTTTTAATTAGAAAAGAAACTGTTAAGCAATAACAAACAAGATAAATAGATTAGAGTAATAAAAATTAAAAAGTTCTGAATGACCAAATATTAATGAAGTAAAAAAAAATTGAATGAAAGCATGACAGCATGTGATAAACTATGCCTAATAAAGAGCCCCTCAATAGCCATAATATCCAATAGAGAAATGAGTAAAGCAAGCAAAATATTCACAGAAAAGGAAATATAAATGGACAATGAATATAAGGAAAGATGCTCAACCCACCAGGAGTTAGGGTAATAAAAACTAAAACAAGAAGCTAGTATTTTTTTGTCCATAAGATTAACATAAATAAGATTAATAAAATCCAGGTGAGTGGGTGTATCACAAAACAGGCTTTCTCTTATATCCTTGTTAGGAATGTGAATTATATGACCCTTTCAGAAAGCAATCTGCCAGGATTTACTAAAATCAAACATAAGCAAATACTTAAGGAAATCTAGCCTAAAGATACAGAAATATCAGTACACAAAACAATAAATTGGCATACCATAAACTTTCATATTGCTATTAGCAATAATAAGTTATTCATACACGTATTGACTTTTTAGGATACTTAATATGTGCACAGTTAAACTGAAAAAAATAATTTCAAGAGTAACATGAATTATATGCTTACATATTTGTAAAAAATTACATAAATATTTGTATGTAAGTTTATGTAATGGAAAGATACACTGAACTGTGGAAATGGAGAATTTTTAACTTTTTCCTTCCAAACAATTTGTTACATTTTCAATGTAATTGGAACACTGATAGGATATGGCTATAGTCGTAAATGTCCTTTTTAAGATTCCTTTACATTCTAAAATAGTTACAGAGACATTTGTTTTATGTTCCTCTTTCATTAGGTTTTTGAAGCTGCATTAATAAAGTGTGAAGGTAACAAATTACCTCATACTGTCATGAGTGGGAGCTAAATGATGAGAACACATGGACACATAGTGGGGAACAACAAACACTGGGGCCTATTGAAGGGTGGAGCATGGGAGGAGAAAGAGGATCAGGAAAAATAAATAATGTGCTAGGTTTAATACCTGGGTGATGAAATAACGTGTACGACGAACCCCCATGACATAAGTTTATCTGTGTAACAAACCTTCACATGTACCCCTTATTTAAAAGTTAGAAAACATACATTCAAGAGAAAAAAAAGAGGATTATCTCATTAAATAGAAAACAAAGAAAAGTAGTAAACACACTCAGTAAACAGCCTATGTTACATGATAAGCTGAACAACTCGCCTTGTTTATCCTCTTCCAGTTCACTCTCAGAGCATCCATCATTCTCATCTTTCACATTGTCACGGGCATCTGGTGCCTTCTGTGATGAGGTTTCACTCTCTTTTTCAGGGTCTAAATTATCTTTTTTATCATCCAAAGGTGACTGCGGTATTCCATTCATTTGAACATCAGCCTGTCCTTCTTCATTAGATTTTTCACCTTGTTTCTCCTCATCTACTTCAAAGTCTTCTTCATACTCTGAAATAGGAAAATCTCCACTATAAGAATGAAAATAGAACCCCTTATACTTAACCTATTTCTCTCTAATGAGAACTTTGACTCCATTATCCTCTCTTCTCTGAGCCTTTCTTTGCTTCTTCTTTTTCGTTCAATTAGTGAACATGGAAAACTAACAGCAAATGATCAAAGATTCCAATCAGTTACATACACAAGAGCACAAAAGAAATGAAGCTCCAAATGACAAGGCTGAAACCTAATAAAAGTTCATTTACAAATGAACATCATCATCTAAAATAACCAAAATGGAAAGAGAAGAACTTGATATAAAACAATAAATTAGAAATAAATTAAAAATGAAGAGAACAGGATTATAATAATGAAAGTTAATTTGGAGATCCAGTGAGGTCATATTTCATATGAAAAATGTTCAAAATATTTGGATATCAACTTAATGAATAGTGAAGTGGAAAAATTCAATTAATCAAGTCCAAGAGCCCTGAGAAGTAACACTGTGAATAGCACATTATTTAAGAAACAAATGGACATCAAGAAAAGGCATTATGAAGGATTCTATATGTAGGCCAGAAATGAAATCATATGCATTATTCATTCCTACAATAAATGAAATAATTACATTTCAATGATAAAAATTTACACAAAATAGAATATTCCTGTCACAGCCACATATTTGCTTTATTCCCTGCAGAGGTGCTATAAATCTGTAGCAGGAAAAGGAAATTGTCACATCAGATAAACTCCAGCTGTCCCTCGTGGTTATAATTTTTCACCTTTCATATTTAACTGTTCCCCTTTTTCTTCCACCAAAAACTAAAAATCTTGAAGTGACAACATGCCAAGGATAGAGAGCAAAAGGATCTCATGCAGAACCAATTAAGCAAATAAACAATTATCCTTAAAGTAAAAATTACCGAGAGAATAAATGTTTCTCAATTTTGTGTGTTTTAGTTATTAGCTATTCTGGCTTCTCTGTGGGGGAGGGGGGCCTCTCGGGTAATTTACTTGAGAGCTGTCCACCCAGTGAAAGAAACTTAATCTAGAAATGTATACCCTGTGCATATGCAGAAAGCTCTGTAAATACAGAGGATGAGGGAGATGTAAGGGGAAAAGTGAAATCAAAACCTATAACAAAGAAAATTAGATAATCACAAAAATGTTTCCACAAAAGAAATTTAATACATTTAAATATAAAATATGAATATCAGTAAACCAAAATTGTAAAATAAGCAAGAAGATGAAGAATTTGCTTTATGTTGCTAGACACAAACAGAAACTACTAATAAAAACGAGTAAATATTTTGATCCAAGTATTGCCGGCCAAGTTATAGGATAATTCCTCACCTGACCCTGTTAACTATCAATCAATAAGCCTATTTTTTGAGAATCTTCTATGATTAAGAGGATAAAATTGCAAGACAGAAGACATTACAATAAGACAATCCCGGCCATGAAAGACTCTCCAATTTTTATTGAGGAAAGAAGATGTAGGTACACAAGAAATACTGTACTCACTTTGTAGTAGTTTTTAATATGTGATCCTCAGTAATGTTTTTCAACACAATGGGGCTGGGTTGCTATAGATTTTTAGATAGGACATATAATTAATTATGTGAAGTAGTGTCAAGTAAGCAGAATGTAATGAAAGGAGGATGGAAAGTCATTTTAGGGACTCATGGAAGACTTCCCAAAAGAGGAAGGTAAGGTTAGCTACAGAATACACATACATATATCACACTACAGGAGTTTGCTACTGACCATAAGATAAGCAGAGGGCCAGAGAGAATATGAGTGGATTGCTGCAATTCCATCCATAGTGTTACATAGTAGTGAAATGTCAAGGTTTGGGAATCAGGCATTCATGTGCCCAAGACCCAGTTAAAACACTTACTGACTATGTGACCGTGGGCAATTTGTCTTTAAGCTTCAGTTTCTCCATCTGTAACATGGGTAATACAACGCTATGGTGAGTATTGAGAACAATAATCCCTGGAACATGCTTAGCACAGTGCCATGAATATCAGGGGCATAATAAATATTATGGATTAGTAGTAATCGTCCTTGTGATTGGGTAGTGAAGGGAGTAGATTATAGAACAGGAGAAATCACACACGATATGTACTCCTTTGACAGCAACACACTTTAGTGGAGGCACCTGATTAAAATCAGAGCAGTACAAGTGTCCACAATTAGGACACAATTACAGTTATATAATTGAGGCACAGCACAAAAGTGAAGGAACACGAAGTGAACCACAAGAACAGTCCCAGCATCGTATTTTGTGTTTTCTCTCAAATATGAAAGTCAAGGCTGCCCTGGCTTTATTCTATCCCTGCTATCATCACATTTAAGTATTAGCTTTCTGTTAACCACAAACCTTCCAAACTGTCATTATAGCTCAAAGCACACCACCTTTGTGTCATCTACTCATGTTTTTGATACGAATAAGCCAGCGACATGCTTTCTAAAATCTTTTACATAATTTCTTCTGTTCTCCCATCCCATTTGCCTTCTTCTAGAGAATTTAATTAGCTTGTTGTTTACCATCCCCACTAATGAGGACGTGAGTCAACACGGGGTCAACATCAATCTAGCCACAACCTTCTCTTGCTGACCTTGATTCAAACTTCTTGCTGTCCTTACATCAGCGACTATTATGCAGAGAGCTAAACCCTTGCGGCTGTGGCTGCATTTTTAAAAAAGGAAATGGACATTTAAAGTCCATTAACTAGCCAACACAGAAGAAAGAATTCAGGAAAAGCTTTATCATAGGTATCATGAGTATAAAGTACATCACTCATAGCACTAGTTATGTTGGTTTAAGAAAAAAAAAGAAAATGAAAAGCTTTCATTGAACATGACTTTCATAAACCACCATGCTTCAAAGTTAAAACACATGAAAACACATCCTATTTGTTCATACCTCTGTGATTACTATTGCTGCAGATATATTAAAATTCTCATCCCAAGATAAGACAAAGACTAGAAGAGATTGTGAAGAATGGTGAGCTGGTAAAAGTGCTCTAAGTGAAATCTTTTGTAAAAGATTCACTTTAGTCAGTAATAATCAAACATGAAGTCTAGTGCTATAACAGCCCTGTAATTATTCTCTTGGATTTCTGAAACACTTGGGCAGCAAAAATATGAGGTGGGGAAGAAGATACCTAGAAGTTGTCCCTTTCCCGAAGCCAGCCCTTCCACAGGTACCCCAACCCATGGTTATTGTGCCCCCTATCCAAGCTTTGTCTCTTGAGTATGAGGGACACAAAGCAGCTCTCCCTTTCTGATACTTTGGACACACTATCCACAACCATTTAGTGGGTAGGCTAACTTGTACAGAATAGAAGGTTGTATAGTGTTTGAAAGATTGAGCTTTGGAATTAGACAAACCTGGGTGCAAATTCTTATTCTGCTACTTTCTTTTTGTGTATCTAAGCCTCAATTTCCCAGCCTGTAAAATTGAAGTAGTAATAATACCTATCATGTTGAATGGTGAGGATAAAATGAGACAGTGTGTGCACAGTGCCTAGTTTGGTGCTCAGTGCTTGGCACTTTCATTATTGTTGTTATTGCTGCTTTAGGTATAAGCATATACAGGCATACCTATATACACATGTAAGTATATACAAGCATACCTAGATCTGTGAATGTATACCTATATATATATTCGATATACAGGTATACCTCAGGGATATTGCAGGTTCAGTTCCAGGCCATTGCAATAAAGATAGTGATATAAATTTTTTGGTTTCCCAGTGCATCCAAAATTATGTTTCTACTATGCTGCTGTCTGTTGAATATACAATAGCATTATATCTAAAAACCCAATGTATACACCTTAACTAAAATCACTTTATTGATAAAAGATGCTAACAATCATCTGAGCCTTAACTGGTCATCGTCTTTTTGCTGGTGGAGGATATTCCCTTGATGTTAGTGGCTCCTGACTGATCGGGGTGGTGGTTGCTGATGGCTGGGGTGGCTATGGAAATTTCTTAAAATAAGACAACAATAAAGTTTGCCACATCTATTGACTCTTCCTTTCACGAAGATTTATCTGTAGCATGCAATGCTGTTTAACAGCATTTACACACAGTAAAACCTCTTTTAAAATTGGGCTCAATCCTCTCAAATCCTGCCACTCCTTTATCAACTAATACATTTTATACATATTCTAAATTCTTTGTTGTCATTTCAACAATGTTCATGGCATCTTCAGCAAGAGTAGATTTCATCTCAGGAAACTTCTTTCTCTGTTCATCCCTAAGAAGCAACTCCTTATCTATTCAAGTTTTATAATGAGATTGCAAAAATTCAATCTCATCTTAGGCCCCACTTCTAATTCTCTTGCTATTTCTACCACATCTGCAATTACTTCCTCCACCAAAGGCTTGAACTCCTCAAAGCCACCTGTGAGGAATAAAATCACCTTCTTTCAAACTCCTGTTCATGTTGATATTTTTACCTCCTTCCATGAATCATGAATGTTCTTAATGGCATCTAGAATTGTGAATCCTTTCCAGAAAGTTCCCAATTGAATTTGCCCTGATCCATCAGAGGAATCACTATATATGGCAGCTATAGCCTTACAAAATATATTCCTTAAAGAATAAGATCTAAAATTACTCCTTGATCCATAAGGATAACAACAGAATGGATGTTGTGTTAGCAGGCGTGAAAACAACATTATCGCACTGCACATCTTCATCAAAGTTCTTGAGTGACCAGGTACATTGTCAATGAGTGGTAAGATGTTGAAAGAAATCTTTTTCCCTGAGCAGTAGGTCTCAACAGTGGGCTGAAAATACTCTGCAAACCATGCTGTAAATAGATGTGCTGTCATCCAGGCTTTGTTTGTTTCATTTATAGAGCAGAAGCAGATAAAATTTAGCATAAGGCTTAAGGGCCCTAGGATTTTTTGAATGCTAAATGAGCATTGGCTTCATCATGAACTCACCAGCTGCATTAACCCATAAAAGAAGAGTCAGCCTATCCTTTGAAGCTTTGAAGTCAGGTGTTGACTTCTCCTTTCTAGCTATGAATGTCCTAGATGGCATCTTTTTCCAATGTAAGGCTTTTTCATCTACACTGAAGACCTGCTGTTTAATGTAGCTACATTTATAAATGATCTTCGCTAGGTCTTCTGGATAAAATTGCAGCAGCTCCTACATAAGCACTTGCTACTTCACCTTGCAATTTCATGCTATGGAAATGACTTCTTTCTTTAACCCTCACGAACCAACCTCTGCTAGCTTCATACTTTTCTCCTGCACCTTCTTCACCTCTCTCAGCCTTCATAGAATTGAAGAGAATTAGGGCCTTGCTCTGACTTAAGCTTTGGCTTATGAGAATGTTGTGGCTAGTTAGATCTTCTATTGAGACCGCTAAAATACTCTATATATCAGCAATAACGATTTCTTTTTTATCATGCACATGTTCACTTGAAGTAGCACTCTTAACTTCCTTCAGGAACTTTTCTTTTGCATTCACAACTTGGCTAACTGCTTGGCACAAGTGGCCTAGCTTTTAGCCTGTCTTGGCTTTTGATATGCCTTCCTCACTAAGCCTAATCGTTTTTTTTTTATTTAAAGTGAAAAACATGAGACTCTTCCTTTCACTTGAACAT
Source organism: Homo sapiens (assembly GCF_000001405.40). Lineage (NCBI taxonomy): Eukaryota > Metazoa > Chordata > Mammalia > Primates > Hominidae > Homo > Homo sapiens. Next base: position 74,605,555 of record NC_000001.11, read on the forward strand.
TTAGAGTGTATTATGTAGGGTTATTAATTAACCTAATTTCAATACTGTTGTGGGTTAGGGAACAGAGAAGACCAAGCAGAGGGAGAGAGACTGGAGAACAGCTGGTCAGTGGAGCAGTCAGAAAATTGATTAACTTCACTTTCTTACATGGTACAGCTCATGGCACCCCAAAACAATTGCAATAGTAACAACACAGATCACTGATCACAGATCACCATGACAGATATCATAATAATGAAAAAGTTAGAAATATTGAGAAAATTTGAAACAGAGATGAAGTGAGCACATGCTGTTGGAAAAATGATGCTGATAGACTTTGGTGCAGGGTTGCCACAAACTTTTAATTTATAAAAAGTGCTATATTTGCAAAGCTTGCACAATAAAGTGAGCACAATAAAATGAGATGTGCCTGCATATATATGTGTGTATGTATATATATGAATGCGCGTGTGTCTGTGTGTGTGTGTGGGTGGGTGGGTGGGTGTATGTGTATGGAGAGAGGGAGACAGAGAAGCAGTGGAAGGCAGGAGAGAGGAAGGAGAGAACAGAGAAAAAAGAAGAAAGCAAAAGAAAAAAAGCAGACAGATAGGTTCCACAACCCTAAGCCTATAGTCAACTGCCTTTAGTTATGGCATACTCTATCACCATATAATCATATAGGTTGTACCTACCTGATGTCAAAGCAATTCATCAATTTCATGAAAAACAGTACATTCAAAAACTTTTAAAATAGGTAAAATTCTATTTGGTGAAAATGGTCTCTGCAGAAGTCAATAGAGTCTCTAACTCACATTGACATGTACTCATTCTCTCTCCTCATCTCTGCAGCCAGAACCTTTAACCTTTCTGGGGCTAGGTCTGCCTTCCTCTAAGGTAGGTGACACAGGACTCCATACAAAACAGCAAAGGAAGGAGGTCAGGGGCACCCCACATGTAACACAGCTGGGTAACATTTAATGGGTATTTTTGAAAATTTTGATCATCACATTTCAAAGACAAACGAAACAGCCACAGCTACAACAAAAGAAACTTGTGTTGTTGATTACCATATTTTAAAGTATTTTCCTGGTCGTCTTCCAAGACTTCTTGTCCTGGTTTTCCTTTACTTGTCATTTCCTCCACAGCAGTTACCACTTCTTTGAGCCCTGTTTTTATTTCTTGAGCTGAAAATTTGGCTGAAACAGAGGTTTTGTTCTCCTTGATCTCATTTCTTTTTGGTATCACATACTCTCTCTCTTTCCTCACTTTCCCCTCAGCCTTCTTCAGTTCCTCTCCTTTCTCAGTGCTCTTTTCTTTCCTAGATTTCGGCAAAGACGGTTTTTTGTCAAGGCCCATTGCAATAATGCACCTATGAAAAATATTAGCAGGAAGTGTTTGTTAACCCTTGTAGACAGCACAATGGAACCTCAAAGCTTTTGAAAGCACTTATCTCTTATTCCAGTAAAAAAAGACACAAAAATGTTTTGATTACAGTACACACTAATAAAAATAAACAATTAAAAAAGCTAATTAAAAATAAACTATTCTTTTTTGATACTAAAATCTTGTAAACAAACAACAAATTCTTAATAACGTTATCCACAATAATAAACAAAATAAAATAACTCGTCAACCAAGAACTATAGTTTCAAACTAAAATCTGTGTCTTCAAGTATATTTTTGGTCCTGAACAGTAACACATATCATAGATACAGAAATATAGGTGGGTATATAATTTTTCATACATAAAGACATATCTCAAGTCCTTAAATGAGAATTTTGTGATAATAGAACATGCAGATTTACAAACATAGAGAAGCTGATATAAAAATGGTCAGAAGAAGCAAGATGCCATTCAGTCTGATAAGTTATATTTTAACAACACAACAACAGTAACAAAAGACTTACAAGATTGGCTCTAAATAAATATGATTGATTTTTTAAAGAAATATATACAGTCAAATGTTGCTGCATCTTTTAAGTGAATAACTCAGGAGTTTGTTCACTTATTTTCATAGAACTGTCATTATTGCTTTTAGAATGGCCTTTTGAAGTCTGCACTACAGTCTTCTGGTGATTTTTGCTGGTAATAAGTTCTTATTCCTCAAAAATGGCAGTAATTTATAGAGGTTATGAAGTCATTCCAAGTCAAATCTGGTGAACCATGCAGATAATCTGAATGCATTATGACATTAAAACTTTTTAAATCAATTATAACAAAAGTAATATGAATAAATTGTCTTCTATAGCTTTCTATTTCTTAAGTTGATATTAAAATAAGAATTCCAATGATAATAATATATACATTAATAAAAATGATGATTATGATAATGATAAGATTATTGAGCACTCTCTCTGTGCCAAGCTCTTTTCTGGGTACTCTGTATCCATTATCTTAAGGAATTCATTACCTCATAGACCAATAAATTAAGAACTATCATCACCACTTTACAAATGAGAAAATCGAGGCTTAAAAGGTTCTAGCAGCTCAAAGTCACCCAGTACGTGGGTGATGGAGCTGGATTCTAGCTCAAGACTGCTAGGCTCCATCACATCATACTGAAGCACAACCATATTAGTCTATTACAGGTGTAGGCCTCCAGTTCCTAGTTATGATTTAACTAGTAGAGATGACTAGTTACATAAATGTTACACTTTGAGCTTATCACCAAAGAAAGGACTCACACTCTCTCAGCAGACACTAATACAATCTGGAGAAGTTTCTGGCAAGACCTGGATAAAATCCATGATCTGAAAAATGTTTCTGGTAGTTATCAGTCTCTTCAGTCTTCTTTCTCTAGAACTACTCACGTTCCCCTCTCTGCATGTGATACAACTACCAGAGAACTGAATTTATAGTGGGCAGGTGAAAGGGATCAGAAAGCAGTCAAGACTTGCTAGTCCCAGAAGAATAGAAATAATATGTAAAATCTCAAAAATGCCTCAACCTGAACAAATCCAATGGCAATTACTTAAACTGAAGATTTCACTAAATTTCAGCCATCTGCAGCGTAGAAATAGCAAAGGAATTGATCTTAATAAATTTTCCCAACAAGCAAATATGAGAACTGAGTTATATCACTTAACTTTTCAATATCTCCCCACAAAATAAAGCTAGAAGGATTTGCACTCAAAGTAACTATCAGGCTGTAAAAAATGAGATAATGAGATTATACTTATCTCACCCATATTAAGCATGATAAATATTTCTTGACTATAATGATGATGTGCTTAGCACATTGCTTTCCTTGGAGTAAAGGTGTCATGAATCTTCACAAAATGTGATTACTAGCATTGCCTTCTGTTCAAGCTGTTCTTCCCTTATCAATTGCAACACCAAATCCATTGATTTGGAGCCTCTGATATGTTGTTACTTTTAGTTTATGTTGTGGCTGCGTAAAGGCTTTGATGCCTCCCTACTGCATGCACAGACTTTTTATTGCCCATCTGCTGAAGGGAATTGGACAAACAAAGTGAGTAACATCTGTGCTCTCCTCGTCACTGACTACCTATTTGACTTCTGAATATAATTTGAGGTGTTGATTATGATTACTAAAGCTCAAAGCAGTCTGCATTCTACATGGTTAGGCAATTCTTCCCAAGTTTCATGCTAGCAATTGAAAATTACTACGCCTCTTCAAACAGTTCCTATAATTGAGAGATGAGTACAGTTGTGGAACCTTACACTTTGGAAGTGACCACTGCTCAGCTTTTCTTGTTTTCTGAGGACCTTAAACAGGTAATTCCTAATCATTTAGAAATATAATTCTCTGTTGTTTTATTGTACCATGCCCTCCTTTTTCTCATCACAAATGTTTCTGGGACTGGTATTTTTTAAATAAATTAAAATTAATTTCATTTTGAATGTATTGGAGGAATTAGTGTACATTGTTTAACATAACTAAAAGTATCATTATGGGAGTGACAACAAAGCCAAGGTTACAGAAGGTAATAACCTTTGGGGTAGTTCTCAACTCTCCATGGAGTTCTGCAGTGTTATGGTCTCTAGAATAACCAGAAAAGTCTCAAGTGAGGAAGAGGACAAACAAACAAGGCTCTAGCACTTACTCACCTAACCCTGTACCATTTAAACCAGTCTGACTCAACTTTTACCTGACCTGCAACAGGGAGACATCCAATGACAATGCACTGTTCTATTCTGGGCATTCACAGATTTCATTGGAAAAATGGTTATGAAGTTAACAAAAAAAAATTGAAAACCATTCTTCTATAAGAACTGTGCATTTTAGTTGAGAGTCATAGGCCTTATTCTTTAATATTGTAACCATTTTGATATTATTATTTGAAAAGGTTGAAGAAAGAATCTAGAGGGTACCAAGTGTTGAAATCATAGAAATAATTGTACAGAGGCTAGTGGGTGTTGAATAGGAGAGTAAATGCCATCAGTCAGATTTTGGTACTGATTATTAAACTTCCACAGAAAGTGCTCAGGGCTAATAATTTACAGCTTGGATTTATACCACAACTCCCAAAGAATGCAATATATTTGCACATGGCTGATTGTAGATGTTTATTAGCTTTTCTGGGAATTAAATAGAATTGTGTTAAATGACCTGCTCTCAAATCAGGAGACAGCATATTTGAGTTGGAATAGGAAGGCAGTTCAGGTGGCCCCTAAGTACAGCTGGGCATTGATACTATCTTGCCCTAGGCCATTCAGTCTTCCATTCTCTGGATGATTCTTTTACACTCTTATCTCTCTGAAAACACCCAATGCCTCTTCTCTCAGCCTTATCCTCAGTTGATAAATTTATGTATTGTTTAAGAAAATAGAAACAATCAGCAGAGAGCTTCCAGTTGTTCCCAGCACATCTATTAATAGCAACTCACATCTCTATCTTGTATGCCTTCTTTCTTTCCTCCCGTTACCATACAAGAATGTTCCTCCTCTTCTTAAGGCTTATACCCCCAATTGAGTCCTACATCTCATCTTCTCCAGTCTACCCAATCATTTAGCTCCAGAAATTTCCACCCTTTATGTCATACTTCATGTTTCTTATTCTCTAAAGTATTCAATCGTTTGTATTAGCATATAAACATATTATAGTATCTCCCATCTTAAAAAATAAAGAGGCTTCCTTGAACCACTACATTCTTCCTCCTGGCTACCACCTAATTACCATTCTTTATAGCAAAACTCTTTTAAAAACTTCTCTATAGTCTCCAGCCTTTGTTTTTCTCCAACTATTTTTTAAACCCACTCCAAGAAAGCTTACACCCCAACTGCTGCACTATAACTCGTGCCATGATCACCAGTAACCAACACAGTACCAAATCAATGTCCAATCCTCAGTCTTCATTTTACTTCACATATCCACACATTCAACTCCCTTAATCATGCCCTTATTCCTTAACCATTTTCTTTATTTCCAAGATACTACTCTCTCTAGGTTCTCTTTCTATTCACTGCCTTTCCTTCTTAGGCTAGTTCCTGTTTACCTCCCTCACCTTTTAAATGGAGTGACACTCATCACTCAGACATCTTCTCTATGTTCAATTCTTAAGCAAACTTATACATGTCATCTATATGCAAACCATTCTCAGATTTGCATCTCCAGCCTGGACCTCTCACCTCACCCCAGATTCATATATCCAACTGCCTACTCAGCATTTCTACTTGCTTATCTCATACATGTCTCAGACTCAATGTGTCCTCGACCAAAACCACTTCATTCCACCCCAAAAACCTGCTTCTTCCACAGTCTCAATAAGTTAACTGGACATCTTTCCAGTTATTCAAGACAAAAATTTTGAATCGTCTTTGGCTCTGCTCTTTATCTCATTCCCTGCATCCAATTCATCAGTAAATTCTGTAAGCTCTACCTTTAAAATTACTTCTAACTCATTCCACCATTATCTCTTCTCTGGATTAAAGCAGTTTCTGATATTTTCCCCACACACCCTTGTTTATTTTTCCCATAAGAGTTACTATTAAATCATGACAAGTCATTGCTCAAAACCCGCTTTAGAAGCTTCCCATCCTTCTCAGATAAAAGTTAAAGTCCTTGCAATGACCATAGGACTCTACATGGCTTAGCCTCATGGTCTCTGCGACCCCATCTCCAATTTCATGGTTCTATTCCTTTTGTGCTGGCCAAGCTACCTTAGACACAACAAACACGTGCCTGCTTCATGCCTTCTGTATATGCTTTTCCTCTATCTCAAAAGCTATTTCAAGAAAGAAATTTTTTTTCTGGTTTCTGTTCAAAAGACATCTTATCAGAGAGGCCCTTCCTAACTATCCTGCATAAAATAACACACTCCCCATGACTCTTGTCTCCCTTCACTCCATGTATCTCCCTTACCCTGTTTTGTGTTCATCATACTGACCATCTCACATATATTAATTGCTTTGTAGGTACGTTATTAGCTTTTCCTCCATTAGAATAAGTTCCACAGAGACAAATACTTTAGTTGATTCACTCTTGTGTTCTAGCTTGGCATCTAGCCAATACTTTTAGAAAATATGAAAGCCCACAAGCAAGACTCCTGATTTCAAACAGAATGTTCAGTATGAAAGCTGATAACAGTCAAAACTGACCTTTTATCATGCATTTTGTTATGCCCAAGATTGAAACTAAGGGAGATAATGAAAATTGGGTCAGACAGTAATGCAGGCAAACCTAACCTCTAAAAGGCATAACCGAAAATGTCCAGTCATGTAAATCAGATGCTTGGCACACACTTTAAGGCTCAGTCTAAAACCAGTTACTAAGATGAATGAGGAAAAACAGACACACAAACAAAAACAACAAGCAAACAAAAATATCTCTCTCCTTCCCTTCAGAAACAGTTCTTAAAGTGAGAAGACAGGAGAGATAGAAAGTGAAATAATTTAAAATGCACTAGCTTTTATCTTCGTTATATAACACCTCTGTAAGTCTGATTTATATCTTATAATTTCAAATTCAGCACGCCATGTTACAATAAACAACCCTGAACCTAGATATTGTAGGCCCATCTATACTGAATTTCCTTAATAATTGTGAAGAGAAATGCATTAGTAAAGGCATTCAAAGAAAAATGTAGCAAAACTTGCCCTCTACCAAAGGACATTTGTTTCCATACTTGTAGCAAGGAGATGATCTCTCAACACACACAAACCCAAAGTAGCCTCGTTTGCCTCCAAGCCTGGAACCTTTCCGATGCTTGTATTCACAACAGGAGCTTAACCTGTTCACCTGCATCCCATTCAGGAAAAAGGTGAGACTGAAGGGGAAACCATGATGCCTTTTGGAAATAAACTGAAAGGTCTCTGGAATTAAAATAGAAATACATTAGTGAAAGCAACTGACTTCGGACTAACATCTGTTAAATCATGTTTTTCTATTAGATAAACACAATATTATGATCTAGATCAGGGGTGTCCAATCTTTTGGCTTCCCTGGTCCACACTGGAAGAAGAAGAATTGTCTTGGGTCACATATAAAATACACTAACACAAACAATAACTGATGAGCTAAAAACAAAAAAAAAAGTTCTTGTATAAATCTCATAATGTTTGAAGAAAGTTTTCAAATTTGTGTAGGGCCACATTCAAAGTTGCATGCAGCCTGTGGCTCACAGATTGGACAAGCTAGATCTAGATCATCTTTTAATTTGAGGACAATTTTTAGTGATAAAATTGCATTTGATTACTTTTATTTGTAATAAATACTCCAAGTTTTTATAAAAATTCTTTGATTTGTAATAAAATAATAATACCTAAGGTTACATGAGCACTTACTGTGGCAGGCATTATGCCTTATTATCTTGTTATTTTTCAATCATGTGAAGTGGGAATTTTTCTATTACTAGATTCTAGGTCAAGAAATTAAGACTTAGAAGAGTTCAGTAATTTACTCAAGATCATACAGTGAGTTGGGGAGTTAGAGTTTGAATCCAAACATCTCTGTAGATTCCATGCCTCTATCTTGCTATGCTATCTATTGATAAAGCAGTTAATAATAAAAGGCTACTGTGAGCTCATTAATACATTTTAAAATGCTTTTATTTTTAGTTGTGACTTTAAATATTCTAAAACATACATGAATGAAGCAGTTATTTCATCTCCAAGCTATACTCAATTCTGTTTGGATTTGAGAACACTTTGTTTTCCCCATCCACCCAAAAGTCCCACCAATAAATTTAGAACCACTGCTTACAATTAATAGTTTTTAATCATTCCAAGTCTTTATAATGTTATTTGCAAAGCCTGCCACCCTATCCCCACAGACGTCCTAAACCCTAAGTCTGGGAAACCTTATTCTCTGCAGAGTGACTCAAAATCCTGTGTCTCATGAATATTTCTTACGTCACTTCCTAAAAAGAAAAAAGAAAAGAAAAGAAATAGAGCCTCTCTGGACCCTTCCACATCTGCCAATAATAAAGTTAACAATTTTCACCTCTCTACTATGTACGCATTTCCTATTGTTGCATTTACTACAATAGACTAAGATGTAGCTATACCAGTGGTTTTCAAATTTTAATGGTGTATCAGCATCACCTAGAGGGCTTGTTAAAATACAGATTGCTGGGTTTTACCTCTGTTTCTGATTCAGTACGTCTGTGGTAAGAACCAAGAATTTGCATTTCTAACAAGTTTCAGGTGATGCTGATGCTATTGGTCTAGGGACTGCCTTCTAAGAACTCTAATCTAGACATTAGCTGCTTTACATGTTTGTGAAATCCATAAGAGCTGAAGTTGATGCATCTTTTTTCTCCAAATCCCTGGACAATGGCATAGAAGGCTCCCCCAAAATAATGAGTGAATTATTATTTTAATCTATTTTTTCAGTTATTTAGAAACACTGTGTGTACCACATTTTTTCCCTAAAAAAAAAAAAAAAAAAAAAACTCGGCCGGGCACGGTGGCTCACGCCTGTAATTCCAGAGCACTTTGGGAGGCCGAGGCGGGTGGATCACGGGGTCAGGAGATAGAGACCATCCTGGCTAACACGGTGAAACCCCGTCTCTACTAAAAATACAAAAAAATTAGCCGGGCGTGGTAGCGGGCACCTGTATTCCCAGCTACTCGGGAGGCTGAGGCAGGAGAATGGCGTGAACCCGGGAGGCGGAGCTTGCAGCGAGCCGAGATCACGCCACTGAACTCCAGCCTGGGAGTGAGAGTGAGACTCCGTCTAAAAAAAAAAAAAAAAACTCTACACTAGATGCAACTCATTCTAAAGAACAGACTTATTAAAAAGGTAATTCAGTCATTTATACCTTAGTATTTCTGATGTAAAATTAAACTAGGAAAGAGAGAGCTGAAAAAGGTTAGAGTCTGGGAAAACTAGGATACAATATTTTTAAAAATCCTTTTGTCTTAATGATAAATGGACTCCTCAGGTGGTGAAAGCAAGTTTGATTGTTTTTGTTATAGAAGCTTGAGTCTACATTCCTGTAATATAAACCATTCTGCTGCAGTATCATGCTCCATAACTTCCTAAGTTCCCAGTTCAGGAAGAGAGTGCACTTAAGGAAATGTTGAGAAAGGGCTCAGGAAATCAACCCCTAGAAGTGACTGCCCTTCCATCGGATGCTCATGTAGCTGGAGAGTATGCCCAGATATTACTCCATTTTGTTTTTTCATTGTTTTTCAGAGTTCTAGAACAAGAACTGCCACCCTTTGCCTTTACTCCTTTGTTACTTATTTTTGTATTTTAAATACAGTGACACCTCCCCATCCTGACTTGATGATTTCTTCATGGAGCAGTGGAAAGAACGTAGTCCAGAAATTAGAAGGTTTTGGTCCATGGCACAGGTGAGTGTATCTTGGTGAGTCATTTAACTTTGTTGCCTTTCAGAATTTTCACCCATAAAACAGAGATGGGGGTGTGTAGAATGTGCTAGTCTATCCACAACACAGTCTTAAATATTTTAGAATGTAAAATATTAGAAAGCATTATATATGATTATAATTATAGTATTTGTACAGTTAATTATTTATTGTTCACTGACAGTTGGTAGCACTGTTTTAGGCACTAAAGATAAACAAAAATACTGAAAAATATCAAATGTGTTCTCCTGACTCAAAAAGATATCATTAAACAGGAGGGGCAAAATTAATATATCAGTCTTCTGGATTGCGGTCACCAAATCCTCTCTTTCTTAAAATTTTATCTCTGGAGAAGAATTAAAGGCTTAAAACAAACTGAGAAGCATATATTCATGAAAAATTACTGAACTTTAGGTAATGGGAATCCATGCATTTTTTCCGGGGCTACTCTTATCCCCAACATCTGCTACCGCCTTATCACAGCAGTTCTAATAGGGTAGGCCAGGCCACAAATAACCAGCCGCTTTGCTGTCTGTGGGGGTTGACTTGATTTAGAGTGCAAGGAGAAAAACCTTTCGCCTGTGGTATGACCAGTAATAAGTAGGAATCTCAAAGGCAAGCTAACAGGGAAGGTCAGAGGTTCTATGGGCCTGTGACTGTAGTTTGGGTTTTTTTATTTGTTTGTTTTGGTTTTGGTTTTGTTTTTTTGAGAAGGATTCTTGTTCTGTCGCCCAGGCTGGAGTACAGTGATGCAATCTCGGCTCACTGCAACCTCTGCCTCCTGGGTTCAAGCTATTCTCGTGCCTCAGCCTCCCGAGTAGCTGGGATTACAGGCACACACCACCATGGCCAGCTATATATATATACACATATATATATTGTATTTTTAGTAGAGACGGGGTTTCGCCTTGCTGGCCAGGCTGGTCTTGAACTCCTGACCTTAGGCAGTCTGCCCGTCTTGGCCTCCCAAAGTGCTGGGGTTACAGGCATGAGCCACCACAACCAGCCATGACTGTAGTTCTAATAAGGGCAAGCAACAGGCCAGCGGACAACTAAAAATTTAAAAGGAACATAGAAGCAATAAACCAGTCATAGAAGCATTTGATAAGCTCCCTATATATCCCTGGCTAACTGGAAGTGGCATGGATCAGAGAGGGCTCAACCTTTTCATACATCTCCAGCCTACCAGTAGCTTTCCCTTAGGCACAGAAGAAACACAAGAGAACCTGGTGGAAAATAAAAGTTGGAGCATACTTGAAAATTGCCCACAGTTTGAATGTACCCCTGAACCCACTGTAGTCGGCTGAATTGTGTCCTCCAATAATTCATGACCACCCAGAACCTCAGAATGTGACCTTGTTTGGACATAGGGTCTTCAAAGATATAATTAGTGAAGGATCAAGATGAGATCATCCTGGATTTAAGTTTGGCCCTCAATCCAATGGCTGATGTCCTTATAAAAAGAGGTGAGGACACACACAGACACACAAGAATAGCATGTGAACACAGAGGCAGATATTGAAGTGACGGAACCACAGGCCAAGGAAGGCCAGTTGACAGAGTTAAGAAGAATGCTTCTTGGGGCTTTTCAGGGAGTGTGTCCCTGCCAATACCTTCATTTTTGACTTTTGGCCTGGAAACCCACAAGAGAATAAATTCTTGATGTTTTCAGATATACTTTTGGGGACGTTAGCAATGAGCTATAAAAACACAGAGACTACCCCAAGAGTCCAGACTAAAAAATAGCAATATAATATTTTTTAATCTGAGCAAAACATGGCTGGCTCTGCACCAGGATGATGAAGGCTAAATTTCACAGATTTAATTTTGGTAAGTTACTAAAAAAAACAACAAAAAACAAACAAAAAAAAAAAAAGGAAGGAAAAACCAGAAACAACAATAACCTTTGATAGGGAAAAGTCAGAATCCAGAATTCACAGGAACTTTAAAATAGCACCTAAATATGTAGTTTTCAACAAACAATCAAAAGACATGTTAGAAAAAGGGAAAATATGACATATACCTAGAAATAAAAGCAATTAAAACCACACCTAGGAATCTAATCAAGAGCAACATGTATCTACCCAAAAACGTGTTTTTATGTTCATAGTCCCAAACTAGTATCAATACAAATGTCCTCTAACTGGGGAATAAATTTTTAAAAATATGGTATATCCATGTAATGGAATATACTCAGCAATATAAAGAGAGAGCCACTACTAATACTACAAATATGCATGACTCTCAAAAACATTACGCTAAGTGAGTGTAAAAAGACAAAAGACTACCCATGGTATGATTGTGTTTATAGGAAATGTCCAGAAAAGAAAATCTGTACAGTCAGAAAGCAGATCAGTGTCTTCCTGGGGCTGTCTATGAGACAAGGACCAACTGTCAAAGAGAACAAGGGAACTTCCTGAAGTGCTGGAGATGTCCTACACCTAGTCTGTGATAATGACTGCACAACTCTGTACAATTCTAAAAAGAAATTGAATTATATGCTTACAATGAATAAATTTTATGGCATTTAATTCACACCTCAATAAAGCTATTTTTTAAAACTGAAAAAAAAGTCAATGATAAAAGAAAAATAAGAAACAGGGCTGAGTGTGGTGGCTAAAGCCTGTAATCCCAATGCTTTGTGAGGCCAAGGCAGGGAGATTGCTGGAGTCCAGGAGTTTGAGACCAGACTGGGCAACATAGCAAGACCCTATCTCTATAAAAAATATTTAAAAATTAGCTGGGCATGGCTGAGATAGGAAGATCACTTTACCCTAGGAGTTCAAGGCTATAGTGACTATGATTGTGGCACTGCACTCTAGTCTGGGTGAGAGAGAGACTGTCTCTTAAAAAAGAAAAAAATTAAAAACCGTTAATATAAGTCAAAGCACAATGAACTGCTTCAGTTTTGAGTGCTGACTGAAAGCTATTGGGATAAAACAGAGTAGAAGTCAGTGAGAAAGCTGCACAGCCTTAATCTGAGTCCTAAAAGATGGGTAAGATTTGAATTTGAAAAGGAGAAAAGAGAAAGTATTATAGACAAAGGAAATAGCACAAGCAAAGGAAAAATAATAGTGCGTATGGGACAAGTGAAGCAGCTGTATTTGCCACAGCATAATGAGGAATGCACAGATAGATGCAACAGGATCCGGTTATGGAAATACAGGAAAATGGGGCAGAAAAGGAAGGGATTCTAAGAAAGCCAGAAAAAAATTGTTACTTTATTTTGCACTTAAAATGAACCCAGGAAGCCATGGTTTGTGTTGTCTGAAAAGATAAACATGGCAAATAAAAATGCCTGTGAAGAAATTGTACTCTACAAGTAGCAGGAAATACTCAGTAACTTCATAGGTGTATATAATAAACAATCAGCTTGTGGCTTGAAGTCTAAAATCAAATTGCAAGACATCATGAATTACCTGGGAATAAAGGATGCACTTGCCACCTTTCTAAATAATTAATTTTATTGTTACTTCTAATAAAAAGGCAAGACGAATTAACGAAAGCCAAATCTTAATGAGTTTACTGCTCCAAGCACAATGTTAAATGCTCCCCCTCCAACTTTTGTTAACAGAAATCTTTTAAAACCCTATTCACATTTTACTGAATCATGCACAGCTTTGATTTGTAGAAAGGGCAGATTCTTTTCAGTCCAGCTAAATTGCTAAGATTGCTGAACCACAAGTCAACTCTGAGCCACCCAACTTTTCAATTTTGAACAATTACTTTCCTGGCAATCAAGGGCAAGCTGAGACAAAATTATTGCATCGACAGGATTCAATTATTTAAGTCCCCATTCCATGCTATTATTCAAGACTGTCCAATGCCGTAACAAAACATCCCAGCATCAATATGTATGCAAAATAACACTGACTCAAGTGACACCCTTTTTCCCATAACCTTTGGTTTTTCACTCTCATCACAGAGTGTACATCATCTACCAGAGAATCATTTAGCTAAGCCTCATTCTTTTTTCATTTGTATCTATCACATTTTCCAGCAAATAGATGTTTTATATGCATTTTGTTGAATAAAGTGTGATCTAAAGTCCAGGACAGTTTTCATCACATTAATTCCGACTTTACAGCTAATTTCAGCATTCTCCTAAATCAATAGCTGAAAGTTATACTTTAAAAAAATAAGTGTATGTATCTATGCCACTATCATTAGGGGTTTCATCCCACTTATATCATGAAAATGTAGGAAACTCCATGCTACTCAGAATAGCTCACTGGGGCTGCCTGGAACTGATCAAGGGCCTTGCACCTAGCCAGGGGCTCGGGATTTGCTCTCGACTCTGGTCAGAGTGTTACCTTGGGGAGCCACTCCACCTCTGGAATCATCTCATTTTCCTCAACTACAAAACAAAAGGAATGAACTCTGGAATGCTACAGCAAAATAAACAAGGTAAATTGCATTCCTACCAAATACATAAAATGGAAATGGAAAAAAACAGTTTCTGACATCATTGAGCATCATATTGTGTTTCACTTTAAGTTGAAACTATCATTTAAGTGTTTACCATTTTTGTGATGGAAAGTTTTACATATGTAATTCCTCAATATGAATTTATAGTCTCTCTTTAAGGACATGAATTTTATTTTAAGTAATAGTCACTGTCTTCAATTAATGAGGGAAATCAGAAAGACTAAAAGTAAAAATTCCATGTTTGTCCCCAATTCTCCCCGTAACTCCTACCAAGATTATCCAAATACGTATATTTCTTTTAATTAGTAAAAATGCTATTACTTTTTGGACCCAGTTTCTTAAGCAAGGAAGTAACAATATAACCCTGTAAACACTATTTCTTTTCACTGCTGCTCCCTTGAACTAAATATTGAAGAAAAACATTACAGTATAATTTGCAAAAACCTACATTGCATATAAACATTATCCTATGCTGACAAACGTGGATTTATGATCAAATGAAAGCAAAAATGTACTAAAAAGCTATTTAGCCAAATTCTCCACCAAGTTATTTAGGTGTGATTCACCCTGCAGTTTATTGGATTTGTGATTTTATCTCAACATACCTCTAAAGAACAAATTTCCAATCTGGTATTTTTCTCTTAGAATAATGTATGGCATAATTCACTATGGCAAGCCAAATAGTTAACTTGGAATTTCGGGGACAGCTTATTCGTGCAACATTTTAATGATCATATATCTCCATCCCAAAATTAATCTGTTACCAGGTTAAATCACTCCAAATCCTTTCTTCCACAATCTGCGAGAGTAATTGCTGCTTCAGTTTCAATCATAGAGCAGTAAATCTAGATTTACTTTTAGGCAGCTGGTTTATAAGTCCCTGGATATGCATAATTTCATAAAGTGATTGAAGTCATTTTGATATTATATCAACAGCAGCTTATCTATAACATCAACTCCAAGCAATTAAAAAACATTCACATTTTATGTGTACCTTTTTCAAGTAGTTTGCCTTTGTAGACACAAAGGTTTTCCCCACCACAGTGCTGCTGATAAACTTTAATTTCATCCCGGAAGTCAGGATTATCAGAAGATAGGTGCACATTTTTCCCCAAATAGATCATTGTAATAGCTGCATTACTATGTAAGGATGTTTTATGAATCCTTCTTGAATCCTGAAATAAACAGAAAAATGAGGCTTATTAACGAATTACTTTCTAATGAGAGTTCTTACCTGACATTGTAATATGAAGAATAAAGAAGGTTATTTTTAAGTACCTACCAACAAAATCTAAATAAAGTGTCAATTTACAAATGCACAAAAAGTCAAACTCATTGCAAAATAAATCCTCCTAAATAACTATAACATATATGTTTTGGCTTTCTACTTTTAATGTAAATAATGGGGATTTGGATAGAGTTTGTCATTTTTTACTTTAAGTGCAAGTGTGTGGGGAGGTGTGTGGGAGTGTGTTTGTTATATATAGCAAAAATTTCAATGACACCAAGAAGAAACTTTTGCCTCTGTTAGCTGGTTCTCCAATAAAAATCCAAACAAATGAACTAAATAAATATTAGTAACATCATTTTGTTTCAGTTTGAACTGACTTAGAGATTTAGCAATAGTTTTTGTAATTGGCTGCTTTATCTTTACAGCTGAGCACTGACAACACATCCTTCCCTGGGCTTATTCCATCTGAGAGGGAGATGCACATGTATGATTTCTTCTACGGTCATTCTGAAGATCGGTGTCATCAATAATTTGGGCTTGGGACTATCCAGTTTCACAGGGGCATTCAGTTGATTGAAAATCCAATATCAATATTGTTTATAGTATCAAAACAATCTACCGATCAAAGTCTCTAAAATTACTACAAAAACCTATTTGATATCCTATGGCATTGCCCAATTTAAATTATTTATAAAATATGCAGTAAATGTGTATGCCAGAAAATCAATGTCCTAGGCATTGACTCCTAATTAATTGTTTGAAATATTTTCATAATAGTGAATGAGCACAGTGTTTGCCTGACCTCTACGAGGAAGAGGAGGAAGTAGAAGCAGAACAAAGGAAAGGAGGAAGAGGAAGAGAAATAAGAAAGGCTGAGAGGGTTGAAAGACTTTAAGGGGGGCTAGTAAGAAAATTGTAGGCCTCTAGAATTGTACACAGGCCAGCCTTTCCTTCTCATCTACTTCACTTTCCTAAAAATCAATTTTAAGCTAGACAAAAAATGTGCAGAGACCAACTTTAAGTGGATCCAAGGCAGTAATTTGAGCTGATTCCATCAAATTATAGATGCATGAGAAGCATGCATTTTCTAAAGAATAACAACGCTGCAACAAACATTTTTGAAGGAACTACTAAAATATTTCCATCTCTAAACTCATCCTCTTCCACTTCAGATGATTTCTTTTCCATTTCATTCTATTCTCTGAAGCAAAAACCAGAGGAAAGAAATCTGATGGAATGAAATTCTGCTAGCAACCATCTGAAAGTATAAATGAGGGAGAAAGTCCAAGATTTAAAAATTCAAGCAAATTTTCTTGCCTGTTGGAAGGAAGAGCTCTCAAATAAAGAGATAATCAAGAGACATATTACAGGGCATCAAGAGCCATGAAAGTAAATCAGCAAACTGGATAATTTCTTGCAGATTAGAAACATCTCCCTGAATCACAGTTGAAGCAAAGGGGATGATGCCAGGTCTGACTCCTACTTGGAAAATCATAATCCCATGTTTCCTCTTGCCTGGGCAACTGTGGAGCTGTGACATGCCTGTGTGCAGCCCACTGCACAATCAGCAGACCTCAGGCAAATCCAGCTCCAAGCTGCACCTAGCACCTTTAATGAAGTGACTGATTAAATAAAAGCATCCCCCTTTTGTTAAGCAATACTTTCTGAAGCAGCATGGATTTAGAGGCAGCCCTGTGAGTTTGTAGGCGATAAGCACTATATAAATACTAGGTAATAGTGGGATTAGAGTCAGGGAAAGACCTGTGTCCTGTGTATGAAATGAGAAACTGGAAGGAGAAACTTTTAAAGAGAAAAATACAGGAAAAGGCAGCCCTTTATCCTTTTCATTTCCTCTTATTCATATTTCTTTCTGCTAAAGCTTATTTCTGATGGTAAAATCTCTTTTCTCTTGGGTCTCATTATTTCATTCTCTTTTTAAAAAATATTCCCTAATTATTGCAACCAAGTAAATTTTTTCTAACAAACAGAAGGCCCAAGTGACAGCTCGTGATTAAATATACACACTAGGAAACAAACAGTAGTTTCTTTCAATTGACTGAACTGCCTCTATACTTACCATCTTGCAAAGATATAATGACCAGAGACAAATGAAACTTTAATAAGGTTTCTCGGCCCTTTCTGCTATCCTCAAGTAAGTATCAAAACCTTCCATGAAAATTCAGTTCCATTTGAAGAACAGGAACAAGGCCTCATGCCCCTGCATAACTAAAGCTCTTCTTTCTGATTTCCTTCACCAGTTGCTTATGACTTTCCTTCTCATTTCTTTTCAGATTTCTCAGGCAAGTACAACTGAGCTGATAAAGAAACAGCAAGCCCATTGAGTGGTTAACCCATCAGTCATTATATATTTGCAACATTTAGCATTGAATTGATATACTAAGTTTTCACTGAAATCTCTTTTATCCATGCCCACACAAACAGTATAGTGTCAAAGGGCCTGTTCTTGTTGATAGTGTTGGGTAATAACTCCTCTCCATCTTCTTCACGAAGCCCTGGTGAATTCTGGACATCAAGTAGGGTGACCATGAAATTTATCATCCAAACTTGGACACATAGTGAAAGAAGTGTTACTAAAAATTAGGAAATGGGGGGGAAAGGGGCAGAATTTTGAACTATTCCAGGAAAACTGAGAAGTATGGTCGCCCTACGAATTAGTCTCCCCACTTCTAGTCTGATATCCCTCAAAATCTCCCTCCTGTTGGAAATCAGAGTGATCTATTGTTATTAAACAGATCATGTGACTCTCCTGCTTAAAGCCCTCCAGTGATTCCCATTATCCATGGGATAAGTTCCAACATTCCCCAGGCAACATAAAATGTGTTATATTTTCTAATACCTACTATCTCCCAGTGATTGCAATTTCTCATGCTACATTTAAATGTCTGGCAACGGAACTGATTGTAGTGGCCCAAACACTATCAACTACTTTTAATCTCCAGGCCTCTACAACTGTATGAGTCACATGATATTGGAACTATTCCCTTGTATTATCTCTCTCTCAGTAGATAAGGATGACGTCCTAGTGATCTTCATGCCCCCAGTAACTTGCCAGTGCTGATGCTTAGTAAGGACCTAATTAACATTGATCCAACTGGACACAGACATGGAACAATTAGGCATTCCATATTCTGTCCTTTCCATATTCTGATAAAGCTACAGTAGGTTGGTTCTACCCTATATAGGAAGCTTGCTACATTTATAGAAACTCAATAGTTACCAGAACAGGAAAACTGATTCACAGTGTCTTGTTAAACCAAACACCAATTTTGGTTACTATTCCTTGATAAAGATTGATACAAAACCAGCCTGACCATAAAAAGTGGCAATCCCCATGTTGATGCTGGTGGCCCTAGAGAGAGAAAGTCTGACACAAGCCAGAGGAAGAGTGTTCATATCCCAAAGACTTAGGAAGCAGCTGGTTGTATGAAAACCTCACAGCACTACATTACACATGTTCTTCCCTTTCTCTTCTCTTTCTCTCTGGTTTTGCCTCCCAGTTTGCTTTTAGTATAGTTACTCTTTTCATTTTCTTTTGGGCCATTTTTCTTACTACTGTGTAAACTTTACCTCATGCTTATTCCTAATGTGCCCAGAAACACCTCAATCCTTACAGAGGCATCAGAGCTCTAGATTTTCAGGATCTCTCTCACCTGTTCCTTCCCACAGAAATGATAATAAGGGTTCCTGCTCACATTTCCTCCCCCACTCCCTCTGCTTCCTAACCTACTCTGGTGCTTCCTTGTGTAGCTCTGCATGGTGTGGTGTAAGAGTTATTAACATTATTGAAGATGGGGTCTTGCTGTGTTGCCTAGGCTGGAGTGCAGTGGTGCAATCATAGTGGTGCAATCACTACAGCCTTAAACTCCTGGGCCCAAGCCAACCTCCTGCCTCAGCCTCCTTGATAGCTGGGATTACAGGTGTTAGAGATTGGGTCTTGTATGTTGGCCAGTCTGGTATCAAACTCCTGACCTCAAGTGATCCTCTTGCCTCAGCCTTTCAAGTCACTAGGATTACAGATGTGAGCCACTGCACCTGATCTTGTGATGGTTAATTTTACCTATTAATTTAGCCGGACTCCAATGCCCAGATTGGTAAACATTATTCTGGATGGATCCCTGACCAATGCATGTGGTGTGTCCCCTCCTCTTGGGAACTGTGAGTAACAATCTATCTTTTTGATGGCAATTGTCTCTTAATCTGTAAGTTTCACCATACCTGAATAATTTTTAAAAACCCACATTTTAAAATAGCCATGCAGAACAATATACCTACTTTCATTAAGAAAGGGCCAACTAGTGAAGGTTTCAAGCAGTAGAGGAGCATGTTGAGAGTTTTTCCATAAAGTTTAATTTAGCACCATTATGTAGAATCTAATAAAACCGAGATGAATTTTGCTTATTCCTTTTTCCCCTTTCTGCTTTTCAATCTCAGTTCCCTGGTTCTATCTGCTAACTTCCTACTGATCATTCAAAGCCCATTTCAAATGCCACCTTCTCTAGGAGGCATTCTCTAATCTCCTCGGTCAAAACTAATATTTCTTTCCTCTATGTTTCTATTGTGCTTTATTTATATCACAATTATAGTACTCATCACAATATATCATGGTTAATTGTATATATATATATCTGTCTCTCTTGCTAGACTGCAGTCTTTCTGAGAGAAACAGTTTAGTCTTACCCATCTTGGTAACCTCAGGACCTAGCATATCATTTGCCATTATCAACAAAAACTGGACTGAGCTATATTCTCATTTAGAGGCAGGACAAGTATATAGATGATTGCAATAGTTCCATTAAAAGATTAGTTATCAAGCCCCTGAACTAGAGATGTAGCAGTAAGGATGAAAAAGGATTATCAGGTACATGAGCCACTGTTCAGGTGGCATCTAGAGCTGTGCCATCCAGGACAGCAGCCACTTCTCCCATTTGGATGCTGGGCATTTGAAAGGTAGCTCATTTGCTGTAAGTATAAAATATTCATTGAATATCAAAGACATAGTATAAGAAAATACATCATACTTAATTAAAATTTTTCATATTGATTACAGGTGGAAATGATATTTTAGATATACTTGATTAAATAAAATATATTAAAGTCTTAAAATTTATTTCATGTTTCTCTTTATCTTTTTAAATTGACTATTAGAAAATTTTAGAATTGCATATGTGGCTTGCCTTCTATTTCTATTGGACATCTCTGATCTAGAGAACTTAGCAACTAGCTGGATGTGCAATGCACAAGGAAGAAGAAATTATAGATTTTGAGGCCAAATTACAGGACAAAAGTTTGTGCTTTAAAATAAATAAGGCAACTGAATGGAGAAACTGGCTTAAGTTGTAACCATGTTGAATTTGAGGAGCAGTAGGACCTATCAATTGGGCATCTGTAATTGCACAGGGCTTATTTGGTACCTAGGAGGTAGATAGGGGGCTTTCATGGAAAAGTCTCAAACTAGTGTCATAAACTTTTTGCCCTCTCTTTCAAAAAATGTATAAAAAATAAAAGCAAACTTTGTTATTGGTTTCTAAAATAGATAAACATAACCATTAAGTAGGTTCTTATTTGGAAGCCTGTACTTTCCCTTTTATAAAAGCTATATATGAAACTTTCCACATTTTCAGCAGGCTGCTGTATAGAGTAGGTGACTGGTAAGGTTAGACTACCTCGATCCTGAGTGGGAACACAAAAGTCTGGAGGTGAGTGAGTTAAACCTTAGTGCAAAATGTAACTAGCCTCATGGATTCTGTAAATGCAGTATAAAGCTCTGAAGGTGCTAGAACAAAACAGGACAAAGCAACAGAGTCCAGAGACAACTTGCTGGACTGTGAGTCGTACCACACCTTGCCATTTGGCTCTACTGATCATCCCCAGAGACATGAATCACAGAAGCCAGAGACCATGTTGTTCTACACATTCATAGAGGAGCAGGTGGTGGATACCAGCAAGCCACATTTCATTGCTTTTTACTCTTTCTTTCCTTTTTTTTAAGAGCCTTTAAAAGATGCTTTGCTGGATGGTAGTCATAAAATGAAAGATGAATTTATGTGTAAATTAGTCACAAGAGCCATCTCCCCTTAAATGAATCTTTTCTATATCTAAATAAACGAAACTCAAGTATTAATGTAAAATGTGTGACTCTCCCCACTGAGACAATTTTACTCGATGCCTAAGGATCAGGGCTAGAGTCAACTCCAACAGACATCTAGCATGAAATCATGTGTGAAGATGACTACATCTTGAATAGAAAAACAAGTGTAAAGGCTGAAGCCTATAGGGATGGGTAGATTTATGGGTGAAGATGAAAAAGAATCACAAAGGAGTAGGACAAGAGGTGAAAGGAGACCCCGAGGAAGCATGAAAACAGAATGCCATGGAAGGCAAGAGAGGAGAGGTTTAAGGAAGAGGCAATTAATAGCATAAAATTCTACAAAGAAATGTCATGGTAAGTTAAAAAAAAACTAAGATGGTAGAAATAAGTCTAAATATATCACTAAACAAAGTAAATATACTTGGAC
This sequence comes from Homo sapiens, assembly GCF_000001405.40. Classification (NCBI taxonomy): domain Eukaryota; kingdom Metazoa; phylum Chordata; class Mammalia; order Primates; family Hominidae; genus Homo; species Homo sapiens. The sequence goes on from NC_000001.11 coordinate 74,627,507, forward strand.
TAAACTCATTTATTAATAGAACAGAGATTCTCAGATTGAATCAAACACAATCCACCCCTATGTTACATAAACATATTTAAAGCCTAAAGTTTAAAACTAAAGACACCAAAAGACTAAAAGTGAAAGGAATATATATACACATATGCATATACACACATACATATGTGTATATATACGGTTGACCCTTGAACAACATGGGTCCACACATATGCAGATTTTTTTCAATAAGTATGTTGGAAAATTCTTTGGAGATTTACAACAATTTGAAAAACTTGAAGACAAACTGTATAGCCTAGAAATATTTTGAAAAATAAGAAAAATGTATGTTATGAATGCATAAAATATATGTAGATGCTAGTCTGTTTTATCATTTACTACCATAAAATACACACAAATCTGTTATAAAAAGTTAAGATTTATGAAAACTTACACATACTCTTAACAGACCATGCATGGTGCCATTTACAATCAAGAGAAATGTAAACAAATATAAAGATGCAATATTAAATCATAACTGCATAAAATTAACTGTAGTACATACTGTACTGCTGTAATAATTTCATAGCCACCTTCTGTTGCTATTGTAGTGAGCTCAAGTGTTGTGAGTATCCACTTAAAATGCCATGTGACACTAGTCATGTCCACACGAGCAATTCATCTCTTTAGTAAATCATCTATCAGAGTAAAAAGTAATCTCTCAAAGTTCTTACATATTTTCCATCGTGTTTAGCGTAATACTGTAAACACTGAATAACATCATGGGACTCAACAAAGTTTCACTTGGAGAAACACTCCAGGAAGCAAAGTCATGACATTACAAGAAAAGGTTGAATTGAATTCTCTAGCTGAGGTTGCTCACGGGTGGACGATTCATTTCGTAAAGAGAAGACATAACTTATGGTATTGATAAATACAGTACAGTAGTATAAATGTATTTTCTCTTATTTACAGTTTTCCTAATAACATTTTCTTTTCTCTAACTTTGTAAGAATACAGTATATAATACAAATAGCATACAAAATATGTGTTAATCGAATATTTATGTTATTGGTAAGGCTTCCAGTCAACAGTAGGTTACAAGTAGTTAAGTTTGGGGGGAGTCAAAGTTTATATACAAATTTTCGACTGTGCAGAGAAATGACACCCCTTCCCCCCATGTTATTCAAGTGTCAACTCTCCATATACAGTACACACACACACACACACAGACACACTAAAGAAAATAAGAAGTATTATTAGACAAAATAGATTTTAAGACAAAAAGTAATATGACAAAAAGGATCTCCTCACCAGTAAGATTAAAATAATCTTAAGTCTGAGAGCATATAAGACTTTCTAAACATTTAAAAACAGAACTTGGCATAATTACAAAGACAAATTGACAAATCCATAATTATAGAGAATGGATTTTCATTATAACTCAAGAATTAAGAGACTAAACACATAAAAAGTCTACAAATGTAAAAATATGAGTAACATAATTAACATTTATCTATTGGACATTTATAGAACCTTAATTTCAACATTTAAAGGATATTATTCTTTCCCAAAACTGAACATATATTAGCTCACAAAGCAAGTCTCCACAAATACGACGGAGTTAAAATCATACAGATCAAGAATAAGATGCATTTTTAAAAGTAGCATTCAGTGAGCACAAAAGGAGTTCTTAGAATTGAAACATGGCAGGAGAAAAAACTCAGTAGAATGTGTGGAAGATAAAATTGAAAAAAAAAACCTCTCAGCAAGTAGAACAAAAAGACAAAGAGGTAGAAAGTAGGAGAGAAAAGCTAAGAATCTTAGAGCATCAGTCTAGTAGTTCTAACATTCCCAAAATAGAGATTCCAAAAAGAGAGAAAAAGGTTTTTTTTTTCTTGGAAAAAAAGAAGAGTAAGTCAGACTGAAGCCCTGTGACTCAGGAGACAGACATGATAAGGTCTGTCAAAGCCAGCATGCCTGATGACACCATGCTGTGCTTCTAACCTGAATGCAGAATCCCAGGGGAACCTGGCTCAGATGCTTATTTGTGCTTCACTTGTCACGACCCTGGGATGAAGAGGCTGCTGCTCCCTCCTCCATGCCCAGCTACAGAAGCCCATTCTCCTGGTCATTTTCCTGCTGGACATCCAGTGTCTGGCTCACACTAGGACCTCGCCAGATACCTTGACACACTCATGACCTGACCACTCTGACTTCCCCAGAAGGGGCTTTTAAAACTGTTTAAAAACCAAACCCAGGCTGTGACCCAAAGATTCTATTCAGCTTATTTTCTTCCGGAAATAGCGTCCTTTCATTACAATGCTAGGTTTGAGCTTATTTCTGAAGTTTTATGCATATAAGCGATAGAACTCTAAAGAAAAGCAGGGACATAGTTCACAGGGAAGTCAGCATGGTGCTTGCTCTGGAAAAATTAAAGAATGATGGGGCAGGAAAAAGGGGGCTCTTGCATAATATGATAGAGTTCATCGTGAAGGTGTAGTGAGTGCATGGTGCTTGCTTGGTTATTGTTGTTGAACTTGTACATATAGATAAGACTTTATATATTCTTATGGCTTGTGAGACATTTAAACTTGTGTTTTAAAAGAGCATGAACAGGTAGAATGTATCCCAGTAATACATTTTAACATCCGAAAATCAAATCCTGCCCCCCAAGTGTTTCAGAATGATGAGTAAGTCATTGTTTTTGCTAAGTATGAGCCACATCTTTTGAGAGCATGTTCATTGGCCAGGTAGAAACCAATGCCAGCATGCAGAGTGAAAAATTAAGTTAGTGGATATGGTAGATTCTATTATTGTTCCAAATATTCGCTGCCCTTTTCTGTGAGAGACTGATACTTCCTACTCCATTGAGGTCAGTCTTGGTCAAGGGCTTGCCAAATGGCATTCAAGTGTAAGTGACATGTGCCACTCCTGAGTGGAACCTTAAAAGCATTCTGTGGTTCTGTTGCCCATGAATGAGGCCAACATATTCCAGACTCCTTCATTCTGAGCTGTTCCTCCACTCTGGGTCCTAGAATTACAGCTGACCATAAAATTGTGAGCAAGAATATTGTTGTAAGTTGAGTTGCCTGGGGTTGTTAGACTAAGCTCCAGTAAACTGCTCTATAGAGAACTTACTAATGAAGAAAAGATAAAACAGAAGTCTAAGGTTGCAGCATGTGAGGAAATAATTTGCTCCTTTATCTAAGGCCTGGATATGTTGAGAGACAGAGATGAGTATTAGAGGAAGCCAGCAAATCCAAATTAGAGAGAATGACAGATAGTATGAGCTACCACCGACAGTGAAAGAGTATCTGATCAAAGACGCAGGGCAAGGGTGGGCCTTGGGGATGAGAGAGAAAACATCCTGTCAAAGACAGCAACCAAGGGAGAGAATTGGTAAAAGTAGAGTTGAAAAAAGGAAATTCAAGCAAGCAGGAAGAAGATGGTCCCCATCTTCTGAGAAGGTTAGAGGTAAGGACAGCTGCTGGGAGTGAGATGTGGACATGGGGTGAATAAGGTTCCTGAAAGTGAAGTTGGTTTTTAAGAATCTATGTGCATGCTGGCACTTCACTTCCTGATGGTCAGTCAGTGAAATGTTGACCCAGCTTATTTGCCAATCACAAAACTTTCATTTAATTGCTATTGGTTGTATATTTAACATAATAAAAATGAAGAGATATTTTGCCTTCTTACTAGCTTGTATGTGTATAAAGTCCAACAGGCCTTAAAATTGTTTCTTCTATTAGTATTTTGAGGAAATCAGTACAACAAACTGTAATCTCTTAAAAAATTACTGAAATAATTTATCTATGTATGATACAGTAATTTGCCATAAATTGTTCAAAATAAACTATATTGTGTTTTTTAGGTATATCAAGGTTTCTGAATTTTTACAACTTAGATGTAAAGATGTTTCTAACAACATGTGACTGAACAGGTGCATTTAAGGAAATAAATGATTTGGAAATAGGTATTGGTCAAATTAAATTTGACCACAAGAATTGTTAAATCTTTTATTATTAATTATGCTAAACTCATTATGCAACTGAATTACTCAAGCCTGTGGTTTCAGATACATTCAAGCTTACTTATAAAATTGTATTTCTTTACACACAACGTTTTGCATGCAATTTCCTCCAAATTCTTTTACTGCAAACCTAGAAATCTAATAGTGCAATGTAATCTGAGATAAATTAATAAAAGAAAAATTTGTTCCATAATCACCTTTGTCAAAAGAGGTTCTAAGCCATTTGGAGCAGTGGTTGGACGAAATCTTCTCCTTCTCCATGTTTCAGATCTATTTTCTCTTGTGATTTTCCCAGTTGGGGGAAGTGGAGGAGGAATAGGCATCATGTAACTGTTAATGTTTGGAAGTTGATATGAATTCATTCTCTGTGAATTGCCTATGGAGTTCCTGAACTTCATCACTGCCTTCTTGCCCTGTAATCATATTTCATCGCATAAGAACCAGTGAAACAGAATCAGTGACTCAATGTAACCCAAATTTAAAGACAAGCCTAAATGATTGACATTGCATGCAAACACAACTGATATCAATAGACAAACTCAAAACACTCCAGTCTGCTGAAAAATGACACTTTGTAGTATCTGCGGCAAATTAAAAATTCTAACCTTGTGTGGTATATTTTTTAACTAACATAAAGTGATGACACTTTTATAGTACTTTTGGGGTTTTTCTTCAACAATCCATTAAACCCAATACAACTAAACAATTTAAAATCAAGAAGTTTGAAGTGTGCTTTAAAGCAGAGCTTTAGTCCAGTTAGCAATAGGAAATTAGGACTTTTTTCATATTCTTATTTCAGGCATCTAGGTATTAGAATATGCAGGGTTTGCAAAGCTGTAAACAAACTGGCATGTACTGTTTAGCATAAATAACTCATGTACTATTTAGAGTAAATTATTACATTTACAGAGGAAAAATTAAAATATTTATCAAAATTTTAAGGTATATATCCTTTGACCTAGAAATTCTAGTGGTAGGAATAAATCCTACACAGATAACTATACAAGTTCACTAATATAAATGTGTATAAGGATACATATACACACATGCACACACACACACATATATATGAAGAAGTTAATTGCACAAAATGTAACATCATATAAGTCCATCAATAGGAAGATGTTTAACTAAAACTTGCTTTGTTCCTATGAGAGATCTCACCGGGCTTAAACAAAAATAACATGAATATATTTATCCTGAAATAAAAAGGTTCATATGGTATGACCATAAATTTCTTTTAAATAATTTACGTGTGAATTCTGATTAAAAATAAGAATGACTGAAAAAACTTGAATGTGTGGCTACCTTTAGGGATATACCTTCATATTGTTTTAGAGTTTAATCAGCATGTACTATTTTAATCATTAAAAAACACCAAAGGTATAGTCAATAATTACATTTGTCAGGTATAAGTGAGTCACTGAATTTTCACAAATTGGTAATTTTTGGGTATCTGAGGTAGTTTCCCAAATTTTAAGGAATATTTAAGTAGGTTTATCTATTTTGCACCAATTTATTTCTATTTCTACAATATAAATTTATATTGTACTTATGTTTATTTTTAAATTTCTAATTAATTTTTGATCAACTTAGTTTGTATTTTAATATGCTTATTGGTGAAAAATTGTTTTGTAGAAAGGAAAGTACTCTCCAAATATCTCTCATTGCTAAATGAGCAAAAGGAACTTATAAATGAAGGGCATGGATAGCCCATATTTTGATTTAAAAAGGCATATGAACCGAAAGAGATTTAAGTGGATATTCACCAAGGAGTTTATAATTGTTAGAATGGTTGATATTGCATTTTGTCAAGCTCTAATTTTTCTTTTCTTATATTTTCCATTTTTTCTGTAAAGGAGTACGTTTATATTGTAATAAAAAATAAAAATAAGTAAAAAATAATGACAAGAAAATCAATGAATCTAGAACTTTTTGTGTTTAAGGATTTAAAACAAAATTATTTCTGAGTAGGCATCAATCAATTACATGCCTTCTTTGGAAATGGTTTACCAGTTTTTCAAAAAAATTAACATGTTGTTCTTTACCTTGCTTCTTTTAGTTCGACAGCATTTTGGACATCTTTTCATGCCAGTGCAAGTAATAATACTTTTTAAATGTACTTTAATATAACATAACAAGTTAAAACAATACCCTATTACTTAGGTATCTTCCAATTGTTCACTATTGCAAATACAACAGTACAAAATATTCTTGAATCTGTTTCTTTACACATATTGTGTATTCCTAGGATAAATTCCTACATGTTAAAATGCTTGAGCATGTTCATTTAAAATGGTGATAGATATTTCCATATTGCCTTCACAAATACTTGTACTAATTTCTACTTCTACCAATAATATATGAGAAACTCTCATTCTAACATCATTCATTTTCAATCAAGTCATTATTTTTCCTCATTTGCATCTCATCCCGTCTGTTTTTGGCCAAATCACTTTTGCCTAAATTAAAGACTCTCACTCCTGCTACTTAGCAAAGTTCAACCTACTTCTATCTGTTGTACCTTCAAGTACTTTCAACATGTATATACTTTACTCTTTAAAAAAGCAATAAGAGTTTTTTGAGTGCTCACTACATACTCAGCAATGTACAGAATATTATTCTTCTTTAAGAGCTTCTTGTCTGATTTTATATTAAATCATTTTCATCATCAATGCCATTGAAAAAAATTACAGATAAGACATAATCACAGTATACTTTGTCTGTGAACATTACACTATAAGCTCCAATAAGTTACTTTTGTCTGTCTTGATGCCTAAAGCAGTACCAAGGCCATCATAAATGCTCAATAAATATTTACTAAATGAAAAGTGAGTTTAGCTAGTTGACATTATTGTGGAATTTATCTCAATCTTGTCAGCACATGACAGCTACCATTAGCTGCCTGTCTTTCAATAATACATACCCCAAAAACTTGAAACAGGAAAAGGCCCTGTAAAGATTCAATTAGTAAATCTATCCAGTGGCTCAGAACAGATTTGAAGAGTCACATTAAAGGAAAAAAAAATTGCTCCCCAGCCAGCAGAGCTTAAATAATACCTGATTGATGGTGTTCACATGTCTAATGAAACAAAGTATTGATCAAAGTAGCATTAATAATTATGGAACTTAAAAAATAATATAATCACCTTGGCAAGCATGGAAAGCACCCATCCAAGTACTATCTAGGGGAGAGGAAATCCTACTCATTGGACTTTGAGTATTTCTAGTCCTAATGGCAAAGTTACTGCTGGAGGATACAGAGGATTTTAGCCAAAGACCTTTGAGTTTTCTGGTACCTTTGGCTAGCCCATTCCCAAGATGAGATGGGTGTATCAGGCCATATAGGCCTTATACGATTAACATTCTATTACACTATCTCCCCTCATTCTGATTCCATGCTCACTAGGCAACTTTCTCATTGTGATTTGGCTTCTCATATATGTCTGCCTACTAGGGGATAATGCACTTCTTCTATAAGCCTTGACTATGACATCTCTTGGTGAATAAATAGCCCCTGAATATCATTGAGTTGCCCATTTTCGTTTATTATCTAGAGAAAAATGAGCTTGTTTTGAGTTCGTTTAGTTAGCCTGGACAGTCTCACAAGATGTGACTATTCCTGGACCCTGGCTAAAACAGGAAATCTCTGGGTCTTCAAAGTGGAGACCAGAGCCTAGAAAGTGTCAAACTAATTGACATAAGACTCAAGAAGTTCCTGCCTAACTGTAAGCAGTCTTCCCTGGATGAAGCACCACCACTTTTGGATTAATTTCTCTTGGTTTCTAGAAAACTATTATTAAATTAACTGAAATAAGATTTATGAAAAGTGCTTCAGAAACTGAAAAGCATATTAAGCAGATTAATATATTATTATTTTTAGAGTTGTATTTATACTTTTACTGTGAAACACAATCACTTGTCTGAATTAATTTCTTAGTGTCAAGGTTATCTGTCAATTAAAAATAAAAATATCTTAATTTCATATATCTTGCGTTTCTTAAATGAAACATAATCATTCCTTTGAACATAATGACAATTGTACTCATGTCGCAGGTTTTTTCTTAAGCTGGCAAAATTTTCTTCATTTTAGAAAAACTAACAATACTTTCCCTAATTAGTGAATGTACTAATTCCTCCTCCCTATTTAAGTAACTCATGTTTCATGGTTACCATACCTCCTTCCTGTGCTCTATTAAAATAAGGGAAAATTATCTGAGATATAACCTTGAGAGGGTAGCAGAATCAAGCTCCTATGTGTGATAAACTCAGCATTTTTTAAAGATGGACATTCTATTCTTTCTATATTCAACCTTTTAAAAGTCAAACTTGAAGCAATTTCATACATTGATGGGAAAGTAAGTCGGCATGCAAATGCAAACCTATTCTTGGAAAGTTTCATTTTCTAGGTTTCATGCGTTTAAAATTTGGAAGAAGTCAACACTAGGTCTTTTCTGATAGAAGTTGTATCTGGTTCAGAAAAGTTTTCCCCTTTGTTTTTCAATCAGCCTTGTAAACTAAGGAGAAATCACCATGCATTATTACCAATCTATTCTTTACTTTTTTGCTCAGTGACACAAATTACAGGCCTTCCCATTTGAGTAAGACATAATTAATCACAAGTATGTAGTAAGTGTTTCATACATATACAATATAATTTTCACTGTGTAGATTTTAATCGAATATAATACCTTGACCACTGTAATAACCTATAATAATCTACTCAAAAATTAAAATATATTTATTGATAAAAATAACATTTACCCCAATGGGAAACAGAGCTTCATTTTCCAGCAATGAGGTTTTTGATCTGGACCTTGAAGTTACCTTTGGAACAGTTTCTACTGCAGGATTACTGGGAAGAGGCTGTAATCGAATTGGAGGCTGCATATTTCCTGGAGCAGTATATGGTCGAGGGGCTGTCTAGACAATTAGGGGAAAAAATTCCATTTAAATTAGTATCTTGACATGTTTCCAGAACCAATTAATAACCCAATAAATTGCCTAGAGTAATTAATGGTGCCTTTTTACTGAACAGATTAAACTTTAATTATGTCCTTCCATTATACATACCCTTATGACCCAAAGTATTTGTTAAAACATATGGTGTTGAAGTCCTCTACATAACTAAATGCCACAATTATAGAGTATTCTAGACAAAGGAGATGTCCTCCATTACATTCCTGTATTTTCATTCATACTGCAAACTTGCTGACAATAACTAATTTATGCTCTTCATGCAATGGCTTTGCTCAATTTAATGTTACGTTGAATAATGTTCCTATTTTAGGGGTCTAAAAGGATATTATTGGAATGGACTCATTTCTGTCTAAATGTCTTCAATATAAACTCTACTCTGAATCTTTTAAGCCTTAAGACTGGTGCTGAAGTAAAAGCAGACAGTATAATTCAAACAAAAGAGGAAAGGAAATTCATTACAATTTATTCAATGGCATCCTTGAAATACTAGGAAAACAAAAATAAAAAAATTGTAACTGGCAACTTTGGAAAATGTATATAAAATTGGATATGTTTTCTATGCTAGATATTTTCCATTTGTCCCTCTAGATCTACCATTCACCTTTTCTGGCCTGACCTAGACTCTGGGGGTCACTCCTTTCGGGACTACACCCACTAACCTCAGGACTGCAGCTGGAGTCCACTAGTGACAGGCACTAGCAAGAGATGAAATTAGGGTCTTTCTTCTCCTTGACTCACCCTGCAGGGTCATAATGGGCCAGCTGGGTCCCTCTACCAAAGTCCACAGCTTCTACTGGGAAGCCCTCTCCCAGCTACAGGTACTAGCAGCTGGTTCTGGTGTCCAATTCCTCTGTTCCCCCATTAGGCCTGGGTGCTGTGGCTCCTGATATGCTGACCCTAGCATGCTTAGCATCCCTAGTTGGTTTTCCTTAGCCCTGCCTACTTCTTTGCAAATAGCTTTTTAAACACTTTCTAATTACACTGTTTGAGCCATCTGTCTACCTCCTGCTGAGCCACTGACTGATTCATTTTCTAATCAAGACTATACTGCAGCAAATGCCAAAAGTGCTTGTATAGTGCATTAGAAGTGCTTTTGGGGCATTGAAAGAATATTGTTAGTTTAGTATAAAGATTAGCAATGTGGCTGAGTGCAGCGGCTCACACCTATAATCCCAACACTTTGGGAGGCCATGGTGGGTAGAACACTTGAGCCCAGGAGTTGGAGATCGACCTGGGCAACATGGTGAAACCTTGTCTCTACAAAAAATGCAAAAATTAGCTGGGTATGATGATGTGTGCCAGCTACTCAGGAGTCTGAGGTGGGAGGTCACCTGAGCCCAGGCAGGTCGAGTCTGCAGTGAACTGGGACTGTGCCACTGCACTTCAGCCTGGGCCACAGAGTGGGATGCTGTCTCAGAAAAAAAAAAAAGATTAGCAATGTGTCAAAAGTAGAATACATCAGACTTTTGACCCAATTGTTCTAATGCAATAAAATAGTAGAAAGTCTATCAAGAATTGTACATATATATTTAGGAAGGAGGATGAGAAGGATGGTATATAAGTGACTAATGAAAAGGGTTTAATACATACACTTTAAAGAATGGTGAACAACAAATATTCAGCTCTGGAAAAGTGTGTGTAAATACTTTAAAAAATGATGATAAGGCAGCTCCTACTACCAAAAACCAGCCTTAGAAGTTAGGCTTGAGAAGCATGTCATATGTTGCTAAATCTCTGATTTTGTTAAGTCAACATTTATTGAATTCCCACCATAGAAACCGTGAGAACATAAAAAGTAATTTTTAACATCTAATGGCAACACAAAACAACTAGTGTCAAATGAACCACACAAATACTGCCAAACAGACAATAAAATACCTGAGACCAGAACTTAGAAGTAAAAGTTCTTAGAATCTTTAGGGTAAGCCAAAGAGGCTAATACAACTTAAAGTTCCACAGAAGCAGTTAGATTTTATCCCAATGGTAAACAAGAGAAGAAAGTGGATAAGCAGAGAAGAAGGATAAATTTGAATATCCGACTGGGAAGAAAGCTGGTTGTGAGCAAGACATGGGAAGAGTAGCAAAGATAATATTCCCCAATATCTGTTTTCTTTTCTTCACTGGGAACATGGTTATTATGAATAAAGATGACATTTCCCAGCATCCCTTGTAATTCTGTGTAGATGTATGTCTCAGTTTTGGCCAATAAGATGAGAGCAGAAGTGACACATGAGACTTCCAGGTCATGTGCTTAGAGAGAAGATATGTGCTCTCACTTTACCTCTTCCCTCTGGTGAAATATCCAAACGGCGATATACCATCTTGGCTTTTATGGATAAATGCAACACCCTAAGTTTGGCAGATCAGCAACACAAAGGGAGTCTGGGCTTTTGATGACTTCACAGAGTTAAGATAGCATGCCAGCTGAGACTCATGGATATGCTGAGATGGGGAGGAGACCCTTTTGTTTATGCCAATGTTATTATATTTACAGTTTTCATACACAAACCTATGTCACAACCAATATGAGAAGCCAAGTGGATTGACTAAAGCAGGATTTGGTTTAAAGAAACAAAAAATAAGCCTATATGGTCCAAAAGGTAAAAGGTCTTATAACCCACAAAGAGAAATTAGAACTGAGGTTTCTGAAAAAAGGAATCAGATCACCCAAAAGAATTCTTTTGAACTTTGTAAAACAAACATGCCTCAAGGATCTCTCCTGTCAAATAATCCAACTGAACACAAAAACTTGAAAAATCTGTTGTCGAAATTTAAGAGAACAGTTTACTGCAAACTAGAACATGATCTATTGGCTGTTGTGCTCTAAATTTTACTTCCCTACATTTGCATATAGATATCATTCAGTTAGATGAATGTGGTAGTCAAATGTTTAACTGATTACATTTATCTCTAAAAGCAAATCTGCACCATTAACTAACAGCTGTGAGCTACAAATTGTTGTAGTTCACATCAGAAGCCACCTTAAATTCACTATATTTTAAATTGTGTGTAATATATTTTCTTGGAATAAATATGGCATTGTAGCTTAACATTCTGAAAACCATACCAGAATATGAATTGAAATTAACTACCTGGTGATTACTTAGCTTAGCTGAGCATTTCTAATTCTTAGTAGAAGATCAGTGTGGGTGAATGTTCCAAGCATATGCAGAATTAGCTGAAATGATTTTCCATCGTTTTAATGGGAGTGGTACAGCTAAAAATCTGTATACTATTTTGAAAGTTTAGGTTACCAAGGGCACTAACATTGTATTGGATGCTTTCCTTATTCACTTAAAAAAGTTAAAAAAGAAAAAAATCAATGGCAAGATCTCAAAAGGATTATTATCTTCATCTCAGGGACACTTGGAGATCATGAGTCAAATTTAAAGAATATGTATCCAGATGGAAAAAAAAGGGAGGGGGATTTGGATTTCTGTAAAATGGGACCTATTTAATTCCAAGATCACAATAGGTATCCCTTACGGTGCAAAAGCACCATCAGGGCGGGCCACATGAAGAATCCTGGCTTACCAGAGAGAAAGGTTTTTGAAGCTGGTTTCAGTGTTTCCTGTAATTTTAAAATTACTTTTTCACTCCTACCACATTAAGATCTGCTGGATGTATCATAAACTATTTATTGAGGGTGTTCAGCTGGAAAATTGAAAAGAAAGCCTTTCAAGGATTTTTCCTCTCTGAAACAGGTGGGAAGACTGAAAACAGCACTTGATTGTTTCTTTTGTTTCACTCAGGTTAAGCTTTTGAGAGTCTAGTGAATTTGCCATCCAATAAAAGAATTTGTATACATATATATTCAAATCAAACCTGGAAATAGGGTGACAACAAAGGAAAGATGGTTGCTTTTCATCATTTGAGCTGTTCATCAAGAAATGTCAAAACATATTTACCCTTTGAAAAATGTCAAAGCTTAACACTATATGTGATGAACCTACTTCAACAATCTGTGAAAGCATTGCAATTTCTCCATAAATATTTTGCAAATCAGAAAAAGTACATGTTAACAAGGAAATATATTAGGCTACATAAAGCAAGAATAAAGACATAATCAAGCAATTTATTTACAACTTAAACCATCAACCTCCAGCAAATGTTTTATAAATCTTTTCCTGTATCTATATTATTTCAAGGTACTTTACCTTCCCTCAAGCAAACACCACTTTTAGATTAGAAATGAATCAACCTGGAATAAAATATCAGTGTTTAGTTTCTTCAGATAGAATTTCTGTACATTTAATTATTTTTATTTTAGAGTATGTGCACAGACTTTTAATAAAAGAAGCTCAAATGTTAGTATTTAGCCCAATATGCTACATGGTACCATTGAATATGTAGAGATAAGGTGGAAGTAGAAGGAACAGCAAGAAAAAATCCAGAGGTCAGAAAATATAGAATATGTATAGTGGTCCCATTTTGCTACATTGAAGGGTGCTAAAGAGTAATCATGCAGAAAAAATTTGGAATAGCTAATTTGAGGTCATATGGTTTAGGGTCTTAAATGTCACCTGAGAGTCTGAGCTTTTCTGTAGGGAATACAGGCCAGGGAAAGTATTTGGGTGTATAAATAACATAAGTAATCTGGACTTCCAGAAAACTAATCTAGCATTAACAAGCAAAATTGATTTGGCAGTAGTGATATTGACTAGAAGTGAGATATTCAGAAGAGACAGAGTTGAACAGATATAAGACTATATTTTCATTCAGTAGGACTGGCAGCATTACGGAGTCATGCTCCCAGAGAGTATCCCTTCTGAGAATAAGAAATAATAAATTAATTAGCTGGGATACTGCATGACGAAGTGTTTAATATTACTCACCAGTGCTAACGGACTGGAATGTCCTTCATCAACCAGAACACTATGGCCACGATTACTCTTTGGGCCAACTGGTGGGTGGGGAGACAGGATTGGCATGTTATTTTCAACAGACCTTCTTGTGTGCTCTCCCTAGAATAAGAAAGCAATTTAGCAAATAGATGCATAGTTAGTAATCTAGGTTAGATTATGCATGACATGTGCGAAATACTATATGACTAAAGAAATTCTTTCTCATTTCTTCCAAGAGTTACTTTTGTTAAGGAGTTAGGTGTGGTGGTAAGGCAAGAAATTGAGTCGGCTTTAGTTGTGCTCAAAGAAATAACTGCAAAAGCAGTGTATCCTCCATTTTAGCAATAATATTTGTTAATTTGCTTCAAGCAGATCACTACAAAAGGCATAATGAGCTTTACTACTGCGATCAGTAGACTACCAGAAATAGTACTTTTCTATCTTAGAAAATAAATAATTCCATTAGGCAAAAAGTGTTCCATGTTTTAAAAAAATGAGAGCTAAAATATATCTTGTGCCAAATTCAGTAATAAAGTGAAAATTGTTCAAATAAAAATCATATGAAGAGGCACAAGGGTAGCAAATCTCTGACAATGCTACAATATGCCCATGTACTTCCTTTAGTGGGTCTGGCTACCTGGGCAAGGGTGAATAACACACAGCAACTTTTCCTGCTTCATGCAGTGTGAGTGACTCTTTTTTTCCAGTAACCACATTTTCTCCATCAACATTTCAGCAGATAAATTACAGAATCTATGACTCAGTCCTTGATGTAGGGCAATATTGGCAAAGTTGGATTAACCACAAATCTCTACACACCAACTCTTTGATCTTGGACCCATCTTCTGTCATTTGAAAACATTTTTGTAACAAAATTATCTTCTCACCCTGATAAAATAGACCTGAGTCCATCAGGCAAGGGTGAAAAATTACTGTCTTTTATGGCAAATTATTCTACAGAAGCTTTACAAATATTCATCAGTTTGTGAAACGTATCTTAGGCCACACATTTGTAATACTACAGTACACAGAAAATTAAGAACAACATGTGATTACAAATGACTTAAGAAACTGAGTAAAACTGCCAACCTAAATGGAAATCTTGAATTTAACTGAATATCTCATCTCTTGATTCAAGTTTATATTTCCTGAGTTCACTGCAAAGAAGATATATTTAAAAAATAGAAAACAAACAAAGAATTTTAAAATGCATTTTACAAAATCTACACTTTATCATGCTTTCTTTTGCTAAAGAGGATCCTTTCCACCGTATATTTCCAAGGGTCACATTCAAATGAAAATGTGTCATTGTATCATTCCTAAAAAGCCCTGTTTTCCATCAGGTTGGAAACACTACCATCCATTTTTACCTTCTTAAGACACAAACAAAAATCCCTTGGCCTCTATCACAAGAATATATAAAAGCAAAATTTCAAGAACATTTTCAAGTTTGTCTTTGAAAGGTTTGTGCCTCATTAAAATTTATTTTGTACAAACAGCTCCTATATTTGTCACAATCTTCTGTAATGATGATGGCTAAGATTTAGGCTTGGTGAACCATCATTGACTTCAACTATGTTTTAACCAAAAGTAAAGTGTCCCAGGGAACTGGAATCATAGTTTCACTGTTTTTTTTAAAATCATAAAATAATACTATGAAGTAAAAGAGAGTTATATAACTCCTTACCTTAAACCTCTGGATTCGCTCCTTCCTAGCTAAGGTCTCCAATTTCTTTTTTATTTCAAGCTGATGGTAACGCTAAGCATACAGGAAAGAATAAAGGAGAGAATCATATCAGTTATAGCAAAGACCAGTTTAGAGGAAAATAATTCCAACAGATAACTATATTCTCAATTAGTCCTCTTGTCATTGAGATGGAGAAGAATCATCTGCATCAGTGCACAAGTGGGAATGTAAATTGGTGCAACTATTTGGAAATTCAATTTTGAACATATATTAAGCAGTTAAAAGTGTTCATAACCTTTAACCCTTAAATTTCACTTCTAAACCTGTGGGAAATCTAAGTAATTTTAAAAAATGTCTTATGCACAAAGATGCTATCTGAAAGATTTTTTTTCCTTTTTCTTCAAGGCAAAAAAAAATGCAGAAACAATATGAACTATAAAGAGAATGGCTATATTTCTGGCACATCCATATGATGGAATAAAATATAATTGATCATTTAAATAAGGTTCATACAGATTTTGTTTAAAAAATGGACAATGCACATAATGCAGGATAAAAGCAGGATACAGAATTTCACAGAAATACAATTTAATTTATCAAGCTCATATTGTGTATCTGTCCCTGTGCTAGGAAGGTGCTTCACATACATTATTTCTTCTTGAACAACTCTAATTGCCAAGCCACCCTATTTTACAAACAAAGGCACTGAAGCAGAGGATAATGAACTTGCGCCAGGTCATATACCCAGCCAGGGGAGGAGCTGTAATTTCAACCTTGGCCTATCTGACACTAGCTTCCTGTTTTTCGCTTGTTTTTTCACAAAACCTTGTTGTCCCTGTCACAACATAGTATGAGTTTACTAAGGTAAAAATATGAATAGAAAAGAGACTAGAAAGAAATGCATGTTAACAGCCGTTGTCTCTGAAAGGAGGAATTGTATGTAATTATTTTCCTTTTTTATGCTTTTCCCCCCAAGTTTTTGTAATATATTATTCTATAATTTAAAAATAAGCCCCATGTAAAAATAATCTGCTTAAAAGGCAAATTGAAATTAATTAGACATATTTGAGAGTGTTTTATTCATTGGCCCTTTGAAAAAATGTTTCCCCTCTGTTCTTGGTTCCCTCCTGCTGCCTTAGGAACCCTGCAGACTCAATAATTCCCTATCATCAATCCTCTTCTTAACACTTCCCTTTCCTCTCTCTCTTCCTCTGATCTCCTACCCACTTATCATCAAACTGTTCAATTCACTATCAACCTTTTTCCACCTTCCATTTATTCCCAACTCACTGTAGTCATCCACATCTACTGACTTGCCACTTCCCTACTGCTGAAACTACTTTTGCCAAGTCCACCAATGTTTTTGTCTTCTGGGTCAAACCTAATTTCCTTTTGTTCCCCCAGTGCTCATCTTATTTGACCATTCTGCAGCTTGTGAGAACCTTCCAGCTTCCAGGACACCATGCTAACAGGCATGTTTTTGACCTCTTGAAGGTTCCTTTTCAGCCCATGCTGTTGTTCTTGATCTCCTACAGTGCACATACCTCCAACCAGGTGAGAAAATCTTTCTTCTGAGCTCTTTCTTCTCCCTCACTCCTTCACATTCAGTCAGCTTAAATCTTTCTCCCACTTCAGCTTCTCTGTAGACAGCTGCGTCTCCCAGCATTACCACTACTGCTATTAGCCTACACCCTTTGGCAATAGCTTCCTAATTGACCTCCCACCTCCAATCTTTTCCAGCTCATTAATCCATCTTCCACATTTTTAGCAACATCATCTTTCTAAAACAGCTCTGCTCATTTCTTTTACTCCCCTGCTGAAAAACATTTCATCGCCTCATCACCTACACCCCAAACTTAGTTGAGAATTTAAGGCTCTCCAGAGACTGGGTACCAACTTGTTGGAGAGTGTCACTTCCTGCCACTCTTGCCAACTAACCCACTGTGCAGTCTGGCCTCAGTGAGGGTTCCTTTCCATCTACTATGTCCTTTCACACCTCTGCAACTTCTGAGGTCTGGAACACCTTTCCCACATTTTCACAGGATCCCTCACTCGTCTTGAAACAGCAAGACCTCCGTTCAGTTTCCTCTGACTCCCACAGAGAAAAGTCATCCTCCTCTTCTTTTCTGAACTCACTCTATTCGTTC
Source organism: Homo sapiens (assembly GCF_000001405.40). Classification (NCBI taxonomy): domain Eukaryota; kingdom Metazoa; phylum Chordata; class Mammalia; order Primates; family Hominidae; genus Homo; species Homo sapiens. The sequence goes on from NC_000001.11 coordinate 74,645,174, forward strand.
CTCTCTTCTAGCACTTAGTCACATTCTACAGTATTTTTTTTTAATCCTACCTTGCAGCTTCAACACACAGCCTCATACTGGCACATGGTAAACCTGCAATTATGGCTTGTTGCATGAGTGAATGCATGAATGTGAATACAGCAGTATTAGCAAGGAGCATCAGCATAAACTAAATGTGAGATAAATGTGACAATTTAAAGATAAATATTGTTTTTTTCTATTATGTTTATATATTATTTATTCTATTATGTAACAATTATGTTATTTAATATATTACATATTAACATTTATCTAAAATATTTATTCAAAACTAGGAATCCACAAAGATTTAAATAATAGCATATTCAACAGTTATGATGTGTCACAGGGTGTTAAGTGAGATTTTGGAAAACTAGGCTTCAAGGATTAAGGCTAACAGAGAACTCAGTGCCTATTGAGTAAATTTGAAACAAGGTATTAATTTTATGTTTTATTAATTTTATTTATTTTTTCACAGAAAAATTACAGCTAATACTTTTATAAGCAAGAATTTAGGGCCAAAAACAACAATTCTATGTAATTCATGGACATGATATGAAGCAAAAAGTGAATTCCTAAATTAACAGATCATACACATCTTAAGTGAACACTTCATCTACCTAATGTAGCATAATAATAAATATTTTCAGTGGCACTAGACTTCATATTGGTTTACTGATGATTCTACAGTTGTTCATAAATGTTTACTGCACTCACAGGTCAATGGTTTTATGAGCCCAGTTTTCTGATTTACTGCTTGTATGGTCAAGCCAAGAAGTGACATGCTTTTTCAGAGACTAAAATGGTGTTGATGCTTGAAACTACAAGTTCCATGGAGCAAGGCTGAAATAATTTATCAAATTAGCTAGATATCCCATTAAGATACCCTGTCAGATTAAAAAAATATGTTGTTGATGCTTGGTTTGTGCATCTATGTTGACCAGAGTGGCCTACGGTAGGAGGGACAGCAGATGTTAAAATGCCTATTCCTTGAAATGTAACATACGGCTGAGCTTCAGAGCCTTAAAAGAATAACAGATCTGAAATAATTCATGGCAATGGAATTACTGATATTTAAACAGATGTCACCTTTTTTAGCAAATGGAAATTGAGGTACAGATGGTGAGGGCTGGTATGTTTTAGAGTAGCCATTGTAAATGAAAAATGTACATTTGGAAAATTAAATATCACAAAATATATAATGATGTCCATATTTTTCTCCAACTGAAATGAAGAAAAGCTTACGCTAGACTTCTGGCTCCTGGCTACCCAGAGAGATATTGAGTATTTCTTTCATTTTCTTTTTTAATGAAATGCAGAAAGAATCTCTCTTTTTCTAGGTACAAAAGCATTATTAATTATCATATTAGACAAAATCAATTACAAAGAAAATAGTAAAGATTTATACCTCCATCTTCAGTGATGTGGAAGTAGAAAAAAATAAAATAAAATAAAAAATAAGTATATATTTTTACCTCCATATCAAGAACTTTATGAAAAATTGCCTGGGCTAAGCATTCCCGGATATATTTTTGATGATCCCGCTTCATCATATTTAGTTTATATTCTTTTTCAGAAAGTATTCTTCCACTTCTTGTGATCTGTCATGAATAAATAAAATATACATAGAAATATAAAATAGAAAATGTGGTGTTAGTTTCCAAAAAAGGGAGGCTGGAGGGTGGAGAAGACAGACAGACACACACACACACACACACACACACAGAGAGAGAAAGAGAGAGAGAGAGGCATTGGGGAGGCAGGGAGGGAGAGAGAGAAAAAAAAAAAAAACGAGAGGGGAGAAAGAGGGAGAGAAAGCATCAGTAGCTTTTAAGCCTAAAGGAATATATCACTATGGTTGATCAACTTTCACTTTTAATGAATATTTCATGAGGCAAAAAGGAGAAAGGCAGTCTCATATACCCTTCATTGTGAAAACACACACAGGTGGCACACTTGACGTTTAAAACAAGATTTTCATCACAGTAACAATTTTCCCTTGATGGAACCCAGGTGTTCTTTTCATTTCTTTTTTGAACACTTTCCTGAAGGAAGGGGGCGGGGTACTACTTTGAAAAAATGACCAGGAGCAGTGATCACAGGACTGATGATCTTGTAGGAAGTACTTTGAAGGGCAAACATGCGAGCTACAAAGGATCTCATCAGTTTGCTTTAAAAATACTTGGTTTCATTACTTTGTTTTCCTACTGCTTTTTTTTTCTTCCACTCTCCAGCCCAAAATGTAATTTAATTTGTTGTTTTGATTCAGAATTTTACAGATTATGCATTAGCATACATAGAAGATAGTCAATATTGGTCTCAACTGGCATCATTGCAAGTCCTAGGAACGGCCATTTTTGTTGTGGATTTACTTATTTTTCTTTTCTTTAATTCTTCCTGTGGGCATATTTGTTGATTTGTTGTATTGTTTTCTATCCCCTGTAAACGAAGAGTGTTACCCATACGGATTGTTCACCTTCTTCTTTTCCACTTATTTAAGCTTTGCTCCCCTCTTTCATGCAAGCCACATATTTTTCTTAATTCTGCTAACTGTAGTTTTTAACACTACTGTTGCAACACACTGGAGTATTAAGATCAACCAGAGTTGTGCTACAAGTGATGGCTTATTGATAATCTTTTTTTGTAAATACATTTTCCAATGGAAGAAAGAGGTATACCTATAGAAAGTGTGCTTGGAATTACAAATAACCCACTTACAGTCTTTGTGTGACTATGTCTGATCTCCCCAACTAGAGTGGAAGCTCCTATAGGGCAAAGGTGCTTAAACTTGACCATGCATCAGAACCACCTGCAGGGCTTGTTGAAAAACTGATAGGTCCCTTAGCAGAGCTTCTGATTCAGTTAGGTCTCACATTCGCATTTTCTGTAGGGTTTCTGGGTGACCCTGAACACTGCTAGCTGAGAGGCTATATTTGAACCTCTAGAGAAAGGCCTGCATCTTTCTTATTTGAATTGCCATGCATACAACCAGTGTTCAGTAAGTGCTTGTTAATGATGCTGATAAGTAAATACAAAGTCCTTCCCATTTGTAGGCAAAGTTCACAGACTGTTATCCAAAGAAGTGATGTTAATAGTAACAATAATTACAACACCCGTTTATTGCACATCTCTAACTGCCACGACAATTCTGAGAGGTGCATGCCATCATTCTCATTTTACAATTGAGGAAGTTGGGGCTGAAAAAGTTAAGAAAGTGATTTATTCAAGATTCTATGGCTTATAAATGGCAAGCTCGGTTTCAGCCAGGTCTGTCTGATAACGAATCCTCAGGAGGAGAAAAGCAAGCTCTCTGAGATCTGTCAGCTAGAGTGCCAAGCACAGAAACAACAATTAGAAATGCAATACGTGCTCTTTCAACACCATGGCAACAATAGTTAAGGAAACCCATTGTGTTTTAAGAAGGTAAACAGCTAACACTTTCTATAACCACATCTCTTTCTTTCCATGGAATACTATAACATTTTGAAAAGGTTTCACATTGTATACATTTAGAAGAATAGAAATTTTGTGGAAAGAACAGTTGTGAAGCTAATGAAATACACTAATATTATCAATAAACCATCACAGGAAGTAATTGTTTTTAAATTTGGGGGAAATGTTGAAATGTACATGTCTTCCACACCATATTCTGTGAATATCAAAAGCAATATTTTTTCCGAAGATGACAGTAAAATCTTCTCTATCTTCAATTCCTAACAGTTTCTACCTCATACAATGTGTTCAATAAATATGTGTTGAATGAATGAATAAACAAACCATTGAAATATGCTGTTGGAAAGTCTCAGGACCTTTTCCTCAATAATTTATAAGTTTTCTTAGCAGTCATAGTGACCTGCCTTCCTATCTTTTCAAACAACCTCAAATACATAAATCAAAACTTTGGAAAGAAAGTAATTTTTCTAAAATGAGGGCAAGTGGAAGATGTCACTCAAAGAGAAAGCCTGAAAAGGTAGGGAATTATTGGACTTAATGAAACAAGAAGGTCAGTGGAAAGTAAACCAAAACTTACCAGTCCTGATCTTAAGAGATGACGCCTTATCCTTGTATTGTTAAAATACCCAGCCAGGTGTTTATCCATAAGGCTATTATATGCAGCAAGTAACCTAAAATACAAAAATAAAACCAATAAGCTTTTACAAGGGGTTGTTTGATAACCAAGGCAATTCTTTACTGTTTCCCCAAATAGTGCATAATCATTCACTCATGCAGCCTGCCAGTCATTCATATATGTGTTTAATAAACATGTATTGAGTCCCTATTCTTTTCTAAGCCTTATGATAAGATCTAGAAAATCGTCCTGATTTTAATTATTCCACAGACAAGTATGGAAATCACACATCAACAAGTAAAGTGGATGGGGAAAGTACAACAATAGAAATATGCAAAAAGTCATGGCAGCACAGAGAAGGAGGCCACCAGCTCCATTTGTCAAAAAGGGCTTCACATTGGAGGCCTGATGGGAAAGCAAGGGCTCCTTCAGCAGATTCTTCCAGCGTCTCATGTCATACCCTAAACTCTGGTAACTCAAACTTACCTGCTGTCTCTCATCTTCAGAATACAACGTAGTCTCCCAACTGTGAAGGCCCTTCCTTCACCTGCCAGCCAGCAGATAATATCTGTGGTGTATAAGCCTCTCTTCTCTTAGGAAACATTCTCTGATATGTCCTGGCGTGCTGTGTTGCCTTCCACTCCCGCTCCCCACCTCCTACCCCATAAGACCCTGAGTTACTATCTCATCACATAATATGTAATTGTTTATTTCTTGGTGTCCTCTGCTAGATTTGAAGGCCAGGCCAGGATAGATCATTATTCTTGGTATCCCTACTGATGATATTTGTCATGTATCGAAATAATAATGTGCTCAGGAAATAAAGATATGATTTTGTTTGGGACTTATTTTTATTGTTATAAGTTCCTAACTAAATTTAAGCTCAGTATTTTGAAGTGTTAACCTCCTTATATATATCTAGACATTTGCATTAATTTCACATCCAGCACCAAAACAATAATTCATAGATCACTTTTGATTTTTAGTGTCTTTTATTTTAAGAGTTAAAAGAGGATAAATTGGTTTGTTGATTATATGCTATACCTTAGTAAATTGTCAATCTAAGTCTGTATGTCAAAGTTGAGCACTATTTTCTGTTTCAATCTATCCTTCATTAATTATTCAGTAACTTACAAAAACATGCACGCACATATGTATGTATACATGGTGCATGCACATATACATTCATACATAGACATATACATAGATGTTAGTATATACAGTAGTCCTCCCTTATCCACATTCCAAGACCCCCAGTGGATGCCTGAAACCGTGGATAGTACCAAATCCTATGTATACTAGGTTTTTTCAATCTGATATCCAATACGGCTGGTAAGTGACTGAAGGGTGGGTGGCATATACTGCATGGATACCCAGGAAAAAGGGATGATTCACATCCTGTGCAGGACAGAGCAGGACAGCATAGGATCTGACAACACTACTCAGAACAGCATGCAATTTAAAACTTATACGTTGTTTATTTCTGGAATTTTTCCATTTAATATTTTTGGACTGTGGCTGACCACAGGTAATTGAAACCACCGGAAGTGAAATCACGGATAAGAGGGGACTACTGTGTGTGTGTGTGTGTGTGTGTGTGTGTGTGTGTATACTTATATACACATAGAAAGAGAGAGAGAGAGAGAGAAAGACAAAGAGGAAGACAGACAGAGATAGACAGAGGCAGAGTCAGGGAGAGGCAGAGAAAGAAAGAGAACAAGAAAGCTTAAAGATAGTCCAAACGCAAAGCTGTCTTTAAAAAAATGCATACTCTATTACTGGCAACAAAGTTTTATAATCTATACATTTTATGAACCACTAATCCTTAATTTATTCAAAGATCAGAGCAGGGACTCATATTATAGAGTCAAGTAAATATCATTAGCAACAATTTTATTTAACAGTTTGTACTCCTTAATTACATGGAGATGATATAAGTGACTCCTTCATGCCTCTTTTCTCCTTAACAGCCCATCGCAGGAAAGTTCCATGCTGCCAAACAGTAAGAAAAGTTTAATTTCATCCTCAAAAGAGACTGAAAAGCAGTTACAAAGCTTAGAAACCAAGGTGCCACATGAGGGTTGCAGACATATGAACAACTGCAAAAGCCATTATTTCCCTAGGTTTATGTAAAAAGACAACCCAAGAGCTTCAGTAAGGCACATAGAAAACCAGCTCCGGATAATGCTTTGAAACCATCTTTTAAATGAACTGCCTTGGTGTCCTATAGTTCATCAAAGGTTTCCTGTCTCCAAAAGGTCAACATTGTATACCTTACCCTTTCTAAATCTCAGAATATCTTTTCAGCTCCTCATTTCAGAAAGGTGAGCAGGTGTCTCTCAGTCCTAACAATCATGATTCCACAGTTCACAGATTCTTAAGATAAATCATTAGAGTGATATCATATATAGTCTTTTGTCTGTTTTTCAGGCTCAAGTTTTTTCTTAAAAAAATCAATAATTTTGGAATAGCTGGGAGTGCTAAAACCCGATTAAATGAAGTGGGGGTCAAAAAGTTGGGATCACATAAACCTCAACTTCCCTATTGACTGATAAATTATCCCCTTCCTTAATTCAGGCTCTGTAACTTCTTTAATATTTAGATCCTAATAACAATTGCTTAGCCAGCTTTGGTAGCACCTGATTTTAATTCTGCTCTCTCGGGCTTCTACTAACAAATGTGTGCACGATGCCTGTCCAGGCTTACAAATCGTCAAGCAGGTCCAGTTGGGTTGAAACCTTTTTACACATCATCTTTTCCTATTTAGGAATAAATGTGGGTTCTTGCTTGGGATACCACTTGTAAGCAACTCCTTCCACAACTATCACCATATGACTAGCTTGGTAGGACAGCTGAATAATAACCGGCTCAGTTATTTCATTTTTAGACAATGCTGGAATTTTTTTAACTGAAACTTTACATTACTAAATTGTTTGATATCAAGAAATTGCTCTAAAGTAAATTATATACAGATTTGGTAAAATGGTCAATTCAAGCATTTCCACTGCATGCATATACATGTGACCATCTTTCTGACCATCAAGACTCCTTTCCAGGGAGATGGTCAAATGCTGCGTGGGCCAGTGTCAGCTACACTGTGGTCTGGCTGATCCTCTCTGTTCTGGTCCTTTTCACCTGTACTTGATATGCGCTTGTAGCCCATTTTCACATTTACCCAGTTACAAGAGCTCACTGACCAACACAAACTCAGGTTAGCAGAGCTTTTCTGAAATTCCACCCTTTTCCTCTGCGTTCAGTGCTACTTACTCCCTTCACTTTTCTTTTCTTTTTTTTTTTTCTTTCTTGCTCATGGCATAACCCTGGGCTGACTAAGGTCACCTTGCTCTGGGCTTGGTGATTGTGTTGCAGCTTGTATGTTACACTCTGCATCCAGTGTCAACACTAGACTTCCTGGTCGTGCTGCTTCAGGCCTGTGATCCTCCACTGCACCCTTTTCATCGATTCCGTTGGTCACAGCAAGCACCAGGGCATTGTGACCATATTACTCGCAGGCTATGTTGTCATGCCAAGACCCACAAGTCACTGGCCAGACCAGTCTAACACGTTTGTTTCTTTATGTGATGAACAAGACTATCTACCCATCCCCTGGTCACTAGGTGGGGGAAAAACCCACTTCCTGGCTCAATGCACTGGGGAAAACAGTCTCCGAGGAAACAGAGCAACCTTGTCTCCATGCTGGTTCCTGTTTCCCTCACTTCAGTGCACACACCACATCCTTCAGGGCCTGAAGTTTAGAGGAGCCAAAGCTGAGTCACCGGGGTGCTACCTTCCCAGCTGCGGCCTTTCAGCACTTAACCCTCTAACCCTGCCTCCCACCATGTAATATATAAATGTGGCTCTGTAGTAAAGTCAGTGATTCATAACAATCCCTTCTCCTGATCCCAAAGAGAGATAGTCTACCATATAAAAATCCCAGCTAAAAGGAAAGGCACTATAATAGTTTTTTTAAATCACAAAAGCTTATTGTTTAATGACTAATTTTAGGTTATTCTGTAAGGCATTAGGGACACAGAGATGGCACAGACACTGCACTCATGGAGCTCCCAATCTAGTGGGGAGATGCACACACTAGATACACACTGTGTGTGCACGTGTGTGTGTGTCTGTGTCTGGGTATGTATGTGAGAGAGAGAGAGAACGAGAGAGAGAGAGAGAGAGGAGAAAGAGAGAGAGAGGAGAAAGAGAGAGAGAGAGTTCTTCCCGTATCATAAGCTAATTAATTACCAAGTATCTCCATGTCAGGCACTGAATCCTGAGCTGGGGAAGGAGTGTAATATCCATATTCCATTTTGCAGATTACAAAGCACTCTCACATACATAGTCTCATCTAGTTGTTTTAGACCCATGTAATATGAACAATATCTAACTATTACAGCTCTTTTATCTTACTAAAGTGGAAAAGCTCCAAAACAAGATTATTGCTTAATGTGAGTCAGTTTTAGGAAAACCTAAGGCAATATTTCTTTATGGATCACATTGATAATGTTATTTCTTCTGGCCTGAAGCACCCTGTAACTCTACCCTCATCTCTCCCTGTACTACCCATCCCCACACTGTCTACATTACCTTTGGGGATGAAAAGAGATAGAGAAATGCCAACTCTAGCTTCAGTTCAATTCTGGCTCCACCATTACTGGCTCCATAACTGTGAACAAGTGACCCTCTGCCTCAATTTTTCTGCCTTTCAAAAACACTAGTATACGAACACAGTTCAGCCAATTCTTTGTCAATTTATTATAAGATTGCCTTTTCTCCCATTTCAAATAACATGTTCCTCATTTCCATTTGAAACCTCATTAAAATGACCTTTACCATCTGTATTTCCACCAATATTCTGTTTATTATTGTTTATGTAGTCTCTAAGAAGATGGAGGTTTTCTCTCGTTTCTGAGTCCTCACAAGAATCACCTTTAAAAATTGCCTCATGGCAATCTAGGCTTTTTCTAGCATGCACCTCAGAGCTCTTCCAGCCTCCACCTATTATTTAGTTCCAAAGCCACTTCCACATTTTTAGATATGTATATCCTACTGTTAGTACCAACAGTATATATGTATATCCTACTGTAGGATATGTGTATATATATATATGTATGTATATATGTATATCCTACAGTAGGATATGTATATCCTACTGTTTCTCTTAGTTTCTTTGGGGCTGCTCTAACAGAATACCATAGCCTAGGTAGCTTAAACAAACACTATTTTTGGAGGCTGGAAGTCTAAGATCAGGGTACCAACATGTTTAGGTTCTTGAAGAAGACCCTCTCCCTTGTTTACAGATGACAGTCTTCTCATCGTGTCCTCATATGGGAGAGAACAGAGAGAGAAGCAAGCTCTCTTGTGTCTCTTCTTATAAGGGCACCAATCCCTCATGATCTGATTACCTCCCAAAGGCCTCATCTCCAAATACTATCACATTGGGGATTAGGGTTTCAACATATGAATTTTGGGGAGACACAGACATGCAGTCCATAATAGAAGATATGATCATCCCCATTTTGTAGATGAGAAAAACAAGCCTTAGTTTAAATCACTTGCCAAAGACCATATAACCTAAGGCTTATTCCTGCTAATATGTAACGAATCATAGTGAAGAGCACTCATCAGGTCTTGCTAATGTGAGGGATACAGTATGCTAAGTATAATGATGGAAAAATGTGAATGGTGAAATATTCACAGAGAAATATAATCCACCCAATTCTCCACTACAGAGATAGAAACCTTTTAAATAAAAATTCTTACAGACTTATATTAACAAATACATAACTTTCCTTCATAATTTTAGCATAAAAGCAATGTGCTGAAGTCTTAAATTCAGCTAATCTCTTAAATATATATTCCTGCATCCTGCTTTGCACTAAAAATTTCCTCAAAAGCATACTTGTTTGAAGAGATATTAAAAATAATTTTGGTTCAACCAGGTTAGTTTTATTTAACCCAAATTGTGACTTATTCCATATAAATTAATAAAGTGTTCATTAGTTTCCCATTGCTGCTATAACAAATTACCACATACTAGTAGCTTAAAACAATACAAATCTATTCTCTTACAGCTCTGGAGGTCAGAAGACAGAAACGACTCAAATTAAGGTGGCATTCCTTCTGCAGGATCTAAAGGAGAATCCAGTTATTTTTCCCTTCAATATTCTGGAGGCTGCCTACATGCCTTGGGTCCTGGGCCCTTTCCATTGCCAAATGCAGCCATGGCTGGTCAACTATTTCTCACAATGATATCTCTCTGGTTCTGGCTCTTCTGCCTCCCTCTTCCCCATTTAGGGACCTTTGTGATTACATGGGGCCCACCCACATTAATCCAGAATAATTTCCTTATTTTAGGTCAGATGATTTACAATATTAATTCCATCTGCAACTTTTATTCCTCCTTTTCATGTAAAGTAACAGATCCACATGCTCTGAAGGCTAGAATATGGACATCTTTGAGGGCCATTCTTCTATGTTCTGCAAGGTCTCTCCCATAAGCCTGATGCCAGGAGCAGAAACATTGGACACTGAATGTGATGGTGATTGGACTGTGTCTTAGCCCATTTAATGCTGCTGTAACAGAATACCACAGAATGGGTAATTTATTAAAAAATAGAAATTTATTTCTCACAATACTGGAGGCTGAGAAGTTCAAGATCAAGATGCCATCATCTGGTGAGGGCCTTCTCCCTTCTCACTGCATCACTGAAAGCTTTCCCAGTTCCTTCACTTTTTTTCTGTATCATGACTAAAAATCAGAATGCCTTCACTGCTTTATGACCCAACCAGCTGTGGGTTTTGCCCAGCAGGCCTGAACCCAAACTGAGGACTTGAACATTCCCAGGCACTGAAAAAGTTATCTGGGTTTCCTAGAAAGAAACTGGCCCGGGCTGTGAACCAAATTTCCTAAAATTTCATATAATCTCCATATACCCAGGCCCCCTCACCATGGACAACCTAGATAGCACATCCCTTTTCTCTCACTGTTCATTGTGAGAATATGCTGCAGCACTCTCCATCTAGGTTGCCTTAATAAATGCTTTGGACTGATGACCTTGGCATTTAGTGTTTCTTTCTTTGGAATCCCAACTGGCCCCATCACAAGATATTTTGAGGCCCTCCCTTGTGGGAATTCCTCTACCATCACTTTTGAAACAACTCCATCACAAAATAGTCATCGCATGGCGGAAGGTGGAAGAGCAAGAAAGCACACCCATTCCCATGAGCCCTTGCCCTCGACTTGAGTTCCAAATCTAATTCTACCCCTTATAAGATACATGACCCTCAATAATTCAATCTTCTTTACCTAGCCATTATCCATCAAGTAAAATGCTAGGACTACTCCCTGAAGTGAACATCTCAGTTTACTGGTCTGGAAATATATTTGCTTAAAGCTTCATCATTTTTGGAATATAGAAATTCACATGTGAAAATACCCACATAGAATCTGGCAAACTCCCTCATTTTACATTCAGGAAGCTGAGGTTCTAAAAGTAGGGAGGGTTCATCAATAAATCAATAAAGAACATGCCAAAATGTCACAGGAGTTCCCATAAAATTGTACCTATCTCTTTCCTAGGGTCCTTGTCTCACCACCTTCCACCAGAATTTCTTTCACCCATGTTTAATCACTGTCTTCAGACTCATGTAAAATTCTCTTCTTGTACACCCTCCTATAAGGTGTTGTATGGAGCTATGCACACAGTAAACTGTCACAAACCCAGCCAGGATTTGTTGAGTAAGTGTACAAATCAGTTAATGGAAACAAAGCATATTGGTCCAATTCCTTGACATATATCCTTTTTTAAAATCCACATGTGAGGATAATCACCTTTCTTTTCTGCTTCTGGACAATAAATAGAAGTAGTCTATGGCAGAAGCATATTTTATGTATTTTGGCTTTTTTAAATGCAGCATTCTCCACATGAGTGATCGTACTAACAATTTTCTTTTTGTTATTTGTTTTTGTTTTTTCTTGTGTTTGAAAAAATGGTGCCTTTGTGGCATGCTACATATTGCATTAGAAAAAAATATAGTTCCCAGGGAGGCAGAAAAGTATATCCTTTTGAAGAAACTTGATGAAAGACAAATATAGAACAACTGACATCAGGGCCAATTATTTTATATTCCTATATAAGAAAACTCTTTGCCAACTACAATTACACCAAGAGTCTCTACAGCCTGTCACTTTATAGGGGGTGATTAAACTGATATCATATAAATGATTTTATATTACATTCTTCATTCTTTTTTATTTGCATCCAAACCTGCCAGATCTCAGTAATTATGCTAAATATTGATTTACAATTTTTCTCAGCTTATTCTAACAATGAAGCCAGATGAGAACCATAATATTATTTTATTTATAGCCTTAATATGATGGTTTGAAGTGACTAGTAAAAACAAGACTGGTCTCCAACTGTGCTGACTGCTGGCAAGACAGTTTTGCAGTGTTCACAGATGAGGCAATGGGGAAGAAGTGAATGGGAGTCAGTAGGCCGGAGACACACTAAGTTTGACCAGTTGCATATGAGACATGGTATATGCTTTCATATACCATGAATTCTTCTCTTTATAATGTTACATCTTTGAACAGAAAAAAATTGTAGCAGCTTGACAAATATGCATTAATAGAAAAATTAAAACTAAGGGAGATAATGAGGCTGTTCAGAGGAAAGGTGACCAGAATGGAAACTTCTGGAAACTAAGAATTTTTATCACTAGCATTTATTGCGTACTTTCTTAAATTTTTGTAGTGCATAGAGTAAACACTCTGTATAATATACACAATCTTGTGAATTAGTATTATCTTCCCTCTTCAAAGATGAGTTAACAGATGTAGAGTGGTTAGATAACTAGTCCATAACTAGTTAAAAGCAGATCCAGGATTCAAACCAGGATTGTTCTGCTTTAACCATAAAACTGAATGTTCTCTATGAGGTATTCCTCCTCCTTCTGCTCTTCCTTTTCCCCTCCACTTCCCAATTCCTTGTCCTCCTTTCCCATCTTAGCTAATTTGAGGAAAGCAATTCTCAAGATTTGTTCAAAACACATGCTGAAATGCAGCTTTGGGTACAAGATGTTTATTAGTGATCAACACCTGTGAAAGGAAAAGAGAGGAAGCAGCATTGAGCAGAGGGAGAAGTCAAATCGTACACAGACCAAACAAACCCTTGGCCAACCTATCAGAGAACTCTGTAGTAAGTAGTGCTTCTCTGTCAATGAACAATCAACAAACACCTAGTAGGTGGGTTCTGCCAGCAATTGTGCATTTGGAAAAAAAAATGCTGCTGTGTAGGCTATATTTTCTAAATATATTATTGAGCATATTATACAAAGAAAAAAAATAAAATTGTACTAAAGAGCTTCATCCAAATGTCTGTCATTTTTTTCCACTAAAGGTTAGGTTAATTTCCTAAGGGCTGGTTCTTTTAAAAAGTCATGCTGTTTCTAACCATTTTTGAGATCATCTTACCAGTGTGTTGTTCACTTACCCCCACCCTCTGAAATACCCAGTTTTAAATCTTCTATTGACACTTGTACTCTATGAGTTCCAACAAGTTGTTTACTCACTATTAAGCTCAATTTCCTCATCTGTAAAAGGGGAAAATAATTGTGCCTTATATCACAGAATTTCTGTTAAGCATTAGTATGATAATGCAAGTAAAGAGCTTAGCGCAGTGCATGACACTCTTAGTTGCTATTGTGTTATTAGCAGTGCTTTCTTCTTAAATGAACCACATATACATTTGCCTGTGCTCTGAAAGGAAAATATAACATGGTTTAGAATCATAGAAGAAGTGCAGTAAGGAGACTTGGGAGCAGGGGGATGATTTAAACAATCAGGAAGAAAATGAAGTCTGAGCCAGTAGAAGAGAACTGAATAAGTGCCTGGCCATTTGAGGGGCAGGCGCGGGAACTTACAAGAGGATTGCTCCAGGAAGAGGGATTACCACATGCAAAGGTCCAGGGATAAGAGAGTACCATGGTGCCTATCTTTACACTGTCCTCCTGCTAGAAGCACCTCCTGCTACTGTCTCCACCCCTGTTGCACAGGCGCATGTGTGTGTGTGTGTGTGTGTGTGCCTGTGCACACACATGCACAGTTCCAAAACCCCCCGTTGGAAAAACAGATGACACCCACTGTCTTTTAAAGGCCAGAGGGTAAAACTGAGAGAAGGGTAGTCAGTCAGCATGCCTGCTGCCAGACACAAAGGAGATTAGAGTACTTATTTTGTGCAATAAACCCAAAGTGCTTATGTGCCTGGCCTCGTACTATCCCAAGGTTACAAAGCTACACAGCTGCATAAGCACAGTCCCTGCCCTGAAGGTACAATCCAACCAATGAAAGAATGGTAGTGAAGTATAGTGTGCTACAATCACAACAGCAACTGTTTATTGTGTGCGGCATGCACAATCTCTGTTAATCTGCAAAACATCCTATGTATCAGATTATTATCCCATTTCACAAATAAGTAAATTATACTCATACAAGAAGGGTATCCAAGAAGAACTGAAATCTGAACTGGGTCCTAAATGACAAGTCAAGTGTTGAGGGAAGAAGTAAAACTTGGGTGGGTAATTGTGGGGACAGAAGTACTATCTGGATTCATTCTAAGAAGCAGGGAAATCATACACAAAGTCCCAGAGAGAGAGATCACAAGTTTCTGTCACCCAAATAGGAATTTGTTGATTATTTATGCTATGGCTTGGCTGTGTCCCCACCCAAATCTCATCTTGAATTGTAATTCCCTTAAACCCCATGTGTCAAGGGAGGGACCCAATGGGAGATAATTTAATCATGGGGTTACCCTCATGCTACTCATGCTATTCTTGTGATAGTGAGTGAATTCTCATGAGATCTGATGGCTTTATAAGGGGCTTCCCCTTTTGCTTGGCACTTCTCCTTCCTGCCACCATGTGAGGAAGGACATGTTTGGTTCCCCTTCCACCATCATTGCAAGTTTCCTGAGACCTTACCAGGAACCTCTTTAAACTTCTTTCCTTTGTAAATTACCCAGTCTAAGGTAGTTCTTTATAGTAGTGTGAGAACAGACTAATACAATTTAACATAAAATTAATATAATAAAAGGGAATTGAGTTTACAGTATTATTAAACTGTAAATTGTTGATAAAGGCAGTTACCATTGTGTGTCAAATATACTTTAGAGGGCTATGTTGGCTTGGAAATCTGATCACTCTTTATTTATATTTGATCTTGGAACACAGTCTTTTATAGATACAAATAGCCTACTTAAACTCTTTAAACTACCATCCATTGATTATAAGAAGGCTCAATATACATGTGTGCACACATTCAGACACACAAGTGTATATATATATATATATATAGTGTGTATATATATACACATGTGTATATATGTGTATATATGTGTATACAAGTGTATATGTGTATATATATAATATATATATTATGTGTGTATATATACATATACACATAAATACTTTTACTCATGTATATATAATTTTCAGTTACTTTCTAGTCTTTGGGTATTTCCACAAATGCTTATGAATGGTACCTAATGGCTGTCAGTGATTTCCACTAGTTTTCTGTGATGCAAGTCATAGGGTCAGCTTATCTGAATCAAACTTGGCAAATTTTTAAAAAACTCTCACATATTCTTTTCAATGTGAATAGTACTATTTTAATGTACGATGGGAAAATGTTCAGAAATGATCCCACAGAGCGAGGTATTATGAGAAAGAAAAAAAGAAGAAGGAAAGGAAAAAGGGAAGAAAAACCAAAACAGAAAAGCCAGACACCAAAGAGAACAAATCAATAAACTTACTATGTGTGTTGAGAAGGAAAATATAATCAACCATGTTAAAAACCTCCTAAGTGCCCTAAAATGTAATTCTTATGAGCAGTAGTAAGATTTAAAATGGTAATGACATCTGGGCAAAGGTTAAAGAGGTTGACTAAATTTTAAATGCTCAGCCATTTAAAAATAATACCCATAAGATTTTCACCAGTCTTTCTACCATTTGTCAATGTCAAAGCAATGATGCAGTTTCATGAGTTTGTCTTGAATTCTCAAATTTGATAAAAAGAGCAAGTGTGCTAGAGAGGTACAAATGTTCTGGGTCATTGCTTCCATTTTTATTCAAATTCTCAGTTGTTCAGAGAATGATTTCCTTAAAGGAGCAACCTCATTTTGAGGGGTCATGAATTGGTAGGTCAATGTTAATTTTCTTTCTAAAGATTCATGAATCTAAGAAGAGGTTGTCCATTTAAAAGAAATTAGTTTAATTGAACAAGAAAGTGATTTATTGACTGGAAACACCTTCTCTATGCTCCCTTCCAATTAGCTTGGGACATGTCTGCTTATTTAGAACTGTATATTTTATTTATTTGGGGTTTATGTCCCTTAAGAATTAAATCCTAAAGACTTAAGCAACATATACTTTACACAAAGATCAAAATAAATACACAATAGGTGCCATTCACTGAGTACCTATTATATGTCGATATTTATTAGC
The DNA here is from genome assembly GCF_000001405.40 of Homo sapiens. Classification (NCBI taxonomy): domain Eukaryota; kingdom Metazoa; phylum Chordata; class Mammalia; order Primates; family Hominidae; genus Homo; species Homo sapiens. The sequence goes on from NC_000001.11 coordinate 74,661,765, forward strand.
CCCGTATTTTTGAAGGAAGAAAATAAGAAGCAGAAATTAACTCCCCTGAGTTTACATAAAGCATAACTGGAATTTAAAGCTACATCCTTCTGACTCCAAAAATAAATCCTCTTCGGAAATAGCATGTTTATCTCATAGTTTTTTGCACTGGACATTGATTTTTTTCTCTTTGGAATATCAGTCCTTTTAATTTAGAGGAAGAGAAAAAAGTGGGAAAGATGCGTTTCAGACAGTTGGAATTTATTCATTCGTTCTTTGAAGTGTTCCCATTTTTTGCCCACACTCCTGACTACAGTTTCTGAATATCTCTGTCTTTTAATCACCCTGCCTGAGTTCTCCTTCTCCCTGTCACAGCATTCTCAAGTTTGATTTTTGCTCCATGCTCTTGCATGTGGCCCTGAAACATCAGACTTTCCATTAATTTTTCTGAGCCAGTCTCCTCACCAAGGATTGGAATCTCAATATTCGTCTTCACACACTGCAGCCTGAGGCCAGCCTCACTCACTCCCTAAGGTTTTATTCTGGAAGATTCCAGCATGAATTGAAGTTCCATGTCTCCAGCTTGACTGAAAGGAAAGAAGAACTATGGGAAAGAAGATTTTAAAAGTCATAATCTTACATAAATCCCTATGAGTTGTGGTGAAATATTCATTTGTTGCAGTTGCAGAGAGATTCCCAACTATTGACTTCAACAGAAAAAAAAATGTTCAAACTCATTTTTATAAAGGCTTAGGAGATGATCAGAAATAAATCTGAAATTAATTTATGACTTAAAATTGAAGGCAAATATCATTTTGTTAAAAAAAAGGAAAAATCCTAATTTGGTATGTACAGTTAGTGTTCTACTCAAGGTTCCAAAAACTAAGTAAGACACAGTAAGTAGAACTTAAAAACAAAAGTTAATTAGAGGCATTAACTTCTCCTTACAGGCCAGCTTTCACATGGTTTTATAGCATGCTTGCCTGCTTCTAAGAACATGTCACCTAAATAGGTAATGCTGCTGTCTCCTCTCACTTATTTGAAGTCACAATAGACTACTGCAGTGATGACTGAAATTATACCATGTTTTTAAAGAGTGCTTTTTACTATTTAAAAATGTTTCCCAACCAGGCATGGTGGCTCACGCCTGTAATCCCAGCTATTTGGGAGGCTAAGGTGGGATAATTGCTTGAGCTTAGGAGTTTGAGACCAGCCTAGGCAACATGGTGAGATCACATCTCTAAAAAAATTAAAAATGTTTCCAGATATATCATTGTATGTCTTTCCCCTTCTTCAACATTCTTTCCCCAAATTACTCTCTCCAGGATGCCTTCTCCAATTAACCCAACTCTGCATCTAGCTCAGGACTTAGGTATGGAAGTTGTCCTGTAGAAATCTGTGCCTACTTATGTACCATCAATATTATAAGCTACCAGACACCAAGCGAACATATTGACATATACTATGTGTCAGGCCCTGTGCTACATGTACTACAGCATCTAATTTAACCATAACAACAACTACAAAGCAGATATAAATCCCACAAGGATGGGAAAAAACAAGAATCAGAGAAATTACAAAATTTGCTTAGGGTCACACAACAACTATCTGGCAAATATGACAATCTAAAACTCAGCTGAAGTCCAGTAGCAGCCAGTCACTAAAGCTCTGTAGTGGACATGGTTGACTGGCTACTAGAAGCCATTCCCAAACTTGTCTTCCTTGCCTATCTCTCATAGAAGAAGTTAGAAAGTCAAATACACCCTTTCCTACTCTCTCCTATAGCAAGGCATGTCCATTGCTGCAGTTATGGTCCATGAGAAATAAAGGAAAGTCTAATGGAAGGGTTCTAAAAATGGTGTCCTTCCTGATTTTTGTTAAAAAAAAAAAAAAAAAAAGAAGTCTTCTTTTTACCCATCTGTTTCCTTTTGGTTTGGAGTGGTTTGATAAGAATATAATGCCTGAATCTAGGGCAGTCATCTTGCTAACACAGAAAAAAATAAAAAAATGTTGCCCCAAGTCCTGATATTACTAAAAAATATAATCACCTACCTGTAGGACTACTCATAAAATAAATAATAATTTTTATTATTATTTAAGCCACTAGGAGTTTGGCTTTCTGTTACTTTCAGCTGAATGTATTCCTAAGGTCACTAAAGTCAGAGACATATGGTAGGAATTATTGAGCTAAGTTTGGGGCATAGTCCTGGGATACAATGAGAACCCAAAGATGTAGACAGGTATGGTCTCCACCCTATGGAGTTTGCAATTTACATGGGAGATATAAAAACTATTCAAATGCTACAAGGAAAGTATCTGTATGGTACTTGTTGGTATAACTTTAAAGACAAAATAGTCTTAGAAGCAGCTCTTTAAGTAGTATAGCTTTATCAGTATAGTTTTAAAAACAGAATAATCAACTTGAACAATAAATAGGAATATAATAAAAATGGAAACTATAATTATTTATGGATGTAGAAGTTCAAATGATTTTGATTTTCCTCATGGTATTTTTCTGCTCAAAGTAAAAAATTTTCAAAATACAGATAAATACAAAAAGGAAGATTAAAAAAAAAAAAAACTTGTATCCCTAGTACCCAGAAAGTTGAAGTTCCTTCTAACTCTATTATTCTAATTTACAGCAGATTATTTTATTTCAATCTAAACAACAGAAACAATATTATGGCAAATATCTTGGAGCAAGCAATGAAGAGAAACAGCTTCTTTGTATGAGAGCCAAATAATATTCACAAATATAAAATATTACAATCCATGGCATATAGAGAATGCCAAATTAACTGCTACTATAAAACACTATGATTCAATTCAATTTAAAATCCTTAGTTTTTAATGCTGTTTCATAACTACTATGTGCAATTTATATTGTCTGTTTAGTTCCCTGCTGTTTCTTTCCTTGCTTCAATATTTTGCCCTGAGAATTTTCATTAATTTGTAAATGTTTATGACTATTATAGAAAAATAATAACAGTCGCATAAAAATGGATCACCAGCTTAAAATGTTGAATTTTCTGTTCCAACCAGCATCAGGCACTGAGAGGTAGGAAGTAATTAGATTACTAATCAGACTTAACAGTTCAACACTTACCTGTAGAGATCATTGATTTATTATCTTAATTATTTCTCCCCACTAAGTCTTTACTTATATTTTTTGTTAGCTTTGACTTTTATCTCCCTTTTGAACTTTTGGCTTCAAATCTCCATTCTCCATGTTATAGACTTAACGTCTGTATCACCCCAAAATTCATATGTTGAAATCTTAACCCACAATGTTATTGTATTAGGAGATGGGTTCTTTAGGAGTTGATTAGGTGAAGGTAAAAACCCTCATGAATGGAATTAGTGTCTTAAAAAAGAGACCTCAGAAAGCTCTCTCACCCCTTCTGCCATGTGAGGGCCCAGCAAGAAGATGGCCATCTGCAGCCTGGGCGACAGAGCAAGACTCCGTCTCAAAAAAAAAAACAGCCATCTGTGAACCAGAGAGCAGGCCCTCACCAGACCCTGCAAATGTCTCTTGGGCTCCCCAACCTCCAGAGCCGTGAGAAATAAAATTCTGTTGTTTCTAAGCCACCCAGTCTATGGTATTCTATTTTAACAGACCAAATTGACTAAGACCCCCATGACCCCCATATGTTATCAATCAATCAATCATTTATTTTAAATGATTCTGCATTTCTCATAAAAACCACTTTCAGCCTTTGCAGAGCCAAGTAATGAAGAGCATCAACAGCTACAAACAGGTTGCGTTAGTTTGGTAGGGCTGCGATAACAAGGCATCAGGTAGCTCAAACAACAAAAATTTATTTTCTCATGGTTCTAGAAATCTGACATCAAGGTGTCAGCAGGGTTGGTTTCTTCTGAGGGCCATGAGAGAAGAGTCTGTTTCAGGTCTCTCTTTTTGGTTTGCAGATGGCCATGTTTGTGAGCATGTCTTTGTCCTAATCTCTTCTTATGAAGACACCAGTCACATTGGATTAGGGTCCAGATATTGGCCTGATTTAACCTTAATTACCTCTTTAAAGACCCTGTCTCCAATACAGTCACATTCTGAGGAACTGAGGGTTAGGACTTCAACATATAAATTACAGTGGGAGGGGGAGGCAGACAGAAGGGAGGGTGGCACAATTAAGTCCATGACACAGAAATAACCAGAAAGGTGACCAACCTAAGTATATATCATGGATTTAGACAGAAGAAATAAGGGACATCTTTTCTGAGTACATAAAAACCCAAAATACCATAACTTGATTCTGAATTATCTGTGCTGGCAAACAGAAAAAGATCATTGATGACCATCAAAAAAGGGCATAGATACCTTCTACATCCCAGAACATTCATGTAGATAGCTCAGAAGAAAGAGAAGAGGATAATGAGGATCTCTAAGAAAGTCCCCAGAGCATGGGGAAACCATGCTTTTACTGTCAGAAAAAACTGCACTTCACAGTAACCTGCTCATCGACCAAAAAAGTTAACCATACAAAAGAGACAAGGGGATAAAGACAGCAAGATCGAGTAGACCCATAAGAGAATAAGAAATTATTAAAGAATCCAGATCTATATGAAATCTATATATCTACACTCTTCAATGTTCTTCACTTTTAAAGTATGCTTCTTGTGGCTCACTGTGAAAGCAATGATTTTACAATTGTCAAAAAAATTTTTAATCCTAATACTGAAAGAGTCTCAGTAAGGTATGATTTTTCAAGCTGCACTATTCAACTTGTCACATCTTTTTCTCTTTCCTCCAGAAAAACATTAATCCAAAAAGGCAAGCTCTCAGGTGAATTACTTTAATCCGAGTATATTTCCTGATATGACAATTTGCAGCAATGATGTTGTCAATGAAGGATGTGTTTCTTTACTGGGACTTGTGTAAGAAGAGAGTGATTTTAGAGCTTCTGGCCAGTGAAAGAACCAAATGACTTCTGCTGTGCTGGAACCCAGAGGTATAGTAAATCCTATCTTATGTTTGGGTCGACTTTTTAGTTAGCACAACATGCAAATATACTACCTGGTTAAAAAAAAATCTATCCTTGAAAATCACTTATTTAACCCATGAAGTGCAAAACACATGATTGTGTGTTCAATGTACTATTCAGCAATTTTTGTATGCTGAAGTTTTAGAACCATGGATCTAAGCCAAAGAAATAAACAAAGGAAACATCAAAATGCAGTGCCTACAGATTCAAATAATTCTCCCTTGAGTATGTAGACATTGTACAAGTAGGGCACTGCACAAGTCTTCCTATTCAATATAATCAGGATTAGTAGCTGGTCAGTTAAACAAAAAGTAAAATTAATGAAATAACTGTATATGAATATGTTTACCTTAAATTTTTTTTAATTAAAAGCATAAATATATATCTGTTCACTATTTTTTTGTGATGCCAAGGTCTTTATTTCGTCTATGACTCAGCTGATTTTCCTCTATCTTTTTTTATATGAATCATACACATAATATATCATTTAGGATTTCCAGTTTAGAAAAAGGTGACAAACACACTTACAAACCAATATGAATGTTTAATCTTAGATTTTTTGTTTTCGCAAATTTTATCCTCATCTAATTTGACAGATTTATTTAAACTGACTGACATGTATGGAGTCATTCCATAACATACACTATTCTCAACTATTTGTGTGGGGAAGCGAGTAAGCCATAGCAGGGGAAATTCCAATAATTCAGTCTGCACACCACTTCTCTTGGTCTGTACCAAAATGAATAACTAAAGGTTAGAAGATTATTTCAGTACTACCTTCAATGGCTAAAGTTTTAATTGAAAGTGATAGCTCTAGAAATTAAAAATCTCAAAAATAATTAAACTTTACCTCAGGTTCTGAATATTTGGGGCTGATTTTTAAATTCAGAATTGAATCAGAAGTTTTATTTTCCCATCTCCCTAAAAACCTAGCATGGATTTATTAATAATCAAAATAAGTTAGGCACATCTCCACCTATCCTCCTAGTTAGAGATGCTTTTTCTCAGCAGAGACTGAGAGAAACCCAAAGACTTTCCTGGGGGACCTTGGATAAGGATAGTTGATATCGTTTGGCTCTGTGTCCCCACCCAAATCTCATCTTCAATTTTAATCCCCACATGTTGAGGGAGGGACCTGGTAGGAGGTGATTGGATTATGGAAGCACTTTCCCCCACGCTGTTCTTGTGACAGTGAGGGAATTCTCATGAGATCTGATGGTTTAAAAGTGTGGCACTTCCCTTTCACTTGCTTTCTCTCCTGCTGCGATGTAAGACGTTCCTTGCTTCCCCTTCACCTTCCACCATGATTGTAAGTTTCTTGAGACCTCTCCAGCCATGCAGAACTATAAGTCAATTAAACCTTTTTTCTTTATAAATTACCCAGTGTCAGGAAGTATCTTTATAGCAGTGTAAGAATGGGCCAATAGAATTGTTTTAAGGGAATCAATTTCTATTGCTCAAGTTTGCTTTGTACTCCCTTAAAATTGATCTTCCTGAAAAATGCACTTCCAGTCATGTTGATTTCCACCTACTTTTTTATAATTATCTTTGAATTTTCCAGCAGAAGGACACATCTCTCTTCATCTGGTGGTCTTATTAGGTAGTGCTTTGAGCTTAGAAAAACATCTGAGAAACAGACAATTTGAAGTATTGCACAGGTATTGATACAACAAATGACTTTCATGACTGGGCAACAAATCTAATTGCAAGTCAAACACTGTAGTTTCCAATGCTTAGATTTCAATATAGTTGAAGAAGGACCTAATTGAGCTGTCATTTGAAAGATCATCAAAAACATTTTTTGTGTCTGATCACTATGTGATTTTTGGCTTATAACTCTGAAGGAATTCAAAGAATTAAATGACATTGCCATAACAAACCCCTTTCCATTCCCATCTACTTACATGAACATGTTTGTTAAAGGAGTAAGAGAAGAAAAGACATATACATATATATATTTAAAAGAGCAGAATCTATAACATGAAATGCTTTACAGTGGAAGCCACAACAAATAAGCCTGTGCAATTCAACTCATTTAAGCACAATCAATTTACTCCTTAATTTGTTAATATTTAACAGGAGGGTGAATAGAAACTACCAAAGTTTAATTTAAATATTTAATGACTTAAAGTCTGAAATTCTGTGTGAAAGAGATAATTTTGGTGGTGCAAGTGGGTAACAAACAGACTAGAATGTTACTGTAGCTATCCAAAGTACATCCCAGTTTGCTAACTCGGGAGGCAAGAAACGTATGCTACTTAAGAATGCAATGGACCTTTCTTTAGGAAATAATGTGGTGGGTTTATCATTGCTGTCTCTCCTGGATACACATACTCTGTAAAATTGACAGCTTGACCTAACGGTAGTTTTTAATCTGCCTTCGATGAAAAACGACTGCATTATCAGGGAGTACTAAGGATGTATTAATTCTTTCTTTACCATGCTTCAGTGTACTCTGTCATTACAGAAACACTTCTTTACATTAAAAAGGTATAAACTAATAAGCCTAAACTAACAAAAAATGCTTCTAAACCTTTGAACAGTCTTTCAAAACATATGTCTTCTGCATTTTTTTTCTTGTCATGAGCTATAATGCTTCTCATTCTTCCTTCCTCAAAGAAAATTTACAGATGAGTGCAACTATCTCTATTTACAGCCAAGTGTATCTTTTACACAGAAAGCCAACTTGAGCCAGAAGAGACATATCATTTTATCCTCATGCATGACTGAGGGATATAAAACCACCATTCCACCTCTAGAACTCATGCACAACCCACAAACACACACATAAATAGCAACATGAGTGAGATTTAGCAAACTAGAAGGACAATCAATTGTAATTTTCCACTCTAAAACAATTTCATTCAAGATAGCAATGCTGGAAATGGTATTTTATAGTTGACTTCTACGAAATTATGATGCAGCTCAGATTCAAAATCTCTATTATCTTTGGCAGAAGTTTTAAAAACCATTTTTATTTACTCCTAACTCTATCTGAACAAAGCCGGCACAGGCCCTTTGCAATTTTTACATCAAGTGCTTCATGCTGTAATTAAGTAAGCAATGGAAATCAAAGGAAGCACTAAGAGAAGGAATCAGGACATCATTTATTGATTGGTGGCATTTGAGGGATTTAAAATTTTTGTTTTAGTGTATAACTGCACTTTGTTACCATTTTACCCTTAAAATGTAACAAGTACAAACTGCTTCAGTAATGATAGAAAAGCCTTCTCAGCTTTAATGAAACCTTTTATTTGCTACTGAAACTTTTATTATTTCCAAATGGTAACATAAGCAAGAAAAAGTCACTACTTTTATTTGAGGAAAAACTTTAGCAATTCAAATAATTTTGTTCTTGGGTGAATTTTAAGACATTTAGATTTGTTGTATTTGTGCTTATTGTTTTCATTTACTTTTGATAAATTACAACCAAAAAATGTATACACACACACTATTACGAAATTAGCCTCTAATCATCTATCAAAATACTAGATACTTACATGCAGCCATCCTCTATCAGATGTTGGTCTGATCCAACACAAATTTTTATATATTTAGGCTCCTGCACATCTCAGTTGTTGACCATGTGAGGCAACATAGTGTGATGGTGAAGAGAAATGACTCTGATCCTATATTGTCTGGCTTTGTATTCCAGCCCTTACCCTTCCTAGCAATGCTACCTCTAGAAACTTCTCAGTCCTTGTTGCAGGAAGTCAGGGACCCCGAACAGACAGACTAGGTGGAGCCACAGCAGAGGAACATAAATTGTGACGATTTCATGAACATTTATCAGTTCCCAAATAATACTTTTATAATTTCTTATGCCTGTCTTTACTTTAATCTCTTAATCCTGTTATCTTCGTAAGCTGAGGATGTACATCACGTCAGGACCACTGTGATAATTTTGTTAACTATACAAATTGATGTAAAACATGTGTGTTTGAACAATATGAAATCAGTGCACCTTGAAAAAGAACAGAATAACAGCGATTTTTAGGGAACAAGGGAAGACAACCATAAGGTCTGACTGCCTGTGGGGTTGGGCAAAAAGCCATATTTTTCTTCTTGTAGAGAGCCTACAAATGGACATGCAAGTAGGAGAGAGATTGCTAAATTCTTTTCCTAGCAAGGAATATTAATATTAATACCCTGGGAAAGGAATGCATTCCTGGGAGGAGGTCTATAAACAGCTGCTCTGGGAGTGTCTGTCTTATGCGGTTGAGATAAGGACTGATATAAGCCCTGGTCTCCTGCAGTACCCTCAGGCTTACTAGGGTGGGGGAAAATCTCCGCCCTGGTAAATTTGTGGTCAGACCATTTCTCTGCTCTCAAACCCTGTTTTCTGTTGTTTAAGACGTTTATCAAGACAATATGTGCACCACTGAACATAGACCCTTATCAGTAGTTCTGCTTTTGCCCTTTGCCTTGTGATCTTTGTTGGACCCTTATCATTAGCTCTGTTTTTGTCCTTTACCTTGTGATCTTTGTTGGACCTTTATCAGTAGTTCTGCTTTTGCCCTTTGCCTTGTGATCTTTGTTGGACCCTTATCAGTAGTTCTGCTTTTGCCCTTTGTCCTGTTCCCTCAGAAGCATTTGATCTTTGTTCTGCTTTTTGCCCTTTGAAGCATATGATCTTTGTACCTACTGTCTGTTATTACACCCCCTTCCCTTTTGAAACCCTTAATAAAAAACTTGCTGGTTTGAGACTCAGGTGGGCATCACAGTCCTACCAATATGTGATGTCACCCTGGTGGCCCAGCTGTAAAATTCCTCTCTTTATACTGTCTCTCTTTATTTCTCAGCTGGCCGACACTCATGGAAAATATAAAGAATCTATGTTGAAATATTGGGGGCGGGTTCCCCCAATAAGTCCTCAAATTCCTTATCTGTAAAAATGAGGGTAACTAAAAACCAGCATGAGTGGGAAGATTTAATAAGGTAGTTCATATAAAACACTAGAATGGAGCCTGGCACATCGTATGCACATAATAAATATTTAGTTCTAACACAATTTTCATTTCCGAATACATGCATCTCTAGATTGGATGCACCATCCGGCAATACCATTTATTCAGCACACATTTGTTGAGTTTTATTTTGTTCTGAACACTGTCCTAAGTGAAGGGATCAGAGAAATTAATACAATATGGTGCCTACTTTTCAGGAGCTTACCATTTAAGTGCAAAGTATTTGTTGCCATCTTAACACCTTTCCTGAAGAGTACCATGAAACATACTCTTGCATTAAATCACAAATTTCCCTTTTCCCCATAGGCTTGGAACTAATGGAACTTCAGAAAAATTTGACTTCAGTTTCTGAAATCTTAATCATGCACAGTTTAATCAATAGCTACATTTTTCTCACATTTTAAAATAGATTATTAAATGGTCTAATCAGATTCTAACTAGCCAAAAACTTGAAAAACATAGGAAGACAACCATGACTGACATATTTATTTTCCCAAATGCAAACATACTGCAAACATCAGCTGCTGAAAAATAGTGCTATTTGCATCTTACGTAGCATCTTACATGACCCACAGATAACTAAAAATTGCACAGGAGTTCAGCATCAAAATGTTAAAAAGTACCTAAATTAAATTCAACTTGAGATAAAACAAAAAGTTTATGTAATCATAGCTATATCACTTTTCTAAAAGTTCTGAAACTGATTTCCAACGTGGCACCTTATATGGCTTTAGTTTTTTCAAACATTTTCATTTACGCCATTACACTCAGAGAATTCATTAAAAAGTAAAATCTTGAAGTTTGGGTATAAGTTCCAACACAACGACTAATGTGGTACTTCAAACATCACAAACTCCAAATGATCTCAAATATGTTGTCCTCTGCTAATTTGCTGCTCCTAAAAATGTGCAATAAATGCAATTAAAAAGGAAAGTGCCTTCAATTTAATTGCAAGATTGACTAGGATATTTATCTTCTTACTAGATGTATCATAATAAAAAATCGTCTAATATGCATTACATTGTTTAATTCAGGAGGAAATTGGATATTCTCCCTTCCAATAAAAAAAGAAACTTTTTTTTTTTGCAACAGCCAATAATGACGGTGTTCTTTCTAGAATACATTGAAAATTGCCAAAATAGGTTATCTAAGGGGTTCACCTACCTAAAGCAACTGAAGATCATGAGTAAATACACAGGCACACAACTCCTCCCTCTCTTTTCCTGTGCCATATAACCTTCCTTTATTAAAATACTTTTTAAAGACCCTTATGGTCCTTTTGAGATTGGGCAGAAAAAAATCCCTGAAATAATACCCCCTTTTCCCAATGAAACATCTTTCAATACTGAATGAACTCACACCTCGCTTATATGTAAGCTAAGGTGAGAATGCATCTCTCATTCTCAAATCTCCAAACGAATTCTTATTTTGGTAACCTCTTCTTTTGCATCTAAACACACATGTTCCACACCACAGGATCTTCTTGATCCCAGCGAAGGTCCTTGCTTAATGTATGCGTTTTTCACTTCCATTTTTTAATCCTTCCAGGGTGAAAATTTCAAAAGGGGCGAACGTGGGTGAAAGAAACGAAGAAGGGGAGGGAGGAGACATGATGCCTGGGATTTCTGCCATCCTCGCTGCAACCCAGAATTCGTATATATTTTCCTCTCCCCAGCCCTCCCCCTCGCTCCCCTCTCGCCCCTTCCCTCCGCAGCAGGAGGGAGGAGGAGGGGCAGCTGGCTGAAGCCGCCACCTGCCACAGCGTGGAAAAGCTCCAGTTGTCACTTACCCAGCGGGGTGAGAATGGCTCATTTTTGCAGGATCCCTTTTGGACCCCGCGGCAGGTGCGGAGGGTGGGTGCGTGGGGCCCCGTGCGCGCTGGCGCTGCGACAGTCGCGCTCGAGGGGTGGCTCCGCACCGAGGTCCCCTGTGCGCGGGCACCTGGGCTGGGCCGCCGCCGCCCCTGGGCGCCCGGGCTACCCGCAGCCTCCCGGGCTCCCACCCTCCGTTGGTATCCACAGCTTCCCTGTTGCTAAGGGAGGAGAGAGGCAAGCGCCCAGGGTCTGGAGAAGCGGAGGCGCTACTGGAACCGAGCCTGCGGAAGCTGGAAGTGAAGCCAGCTTCTACCCCTTTTTCTGGGCCCTGATAGGGAGGAGACCCAAGCAAGCCCCTGCTCTGTTGCTCTAGGGCGCGAGTTCCCCAGGTATCTGTAACATGAAAACACAAACACACTCGTGCACACACACAGGCACACCCACACATTTTGGCTGGCGTGCTTCCTGCTAGGCCCTGGGGAAGGAAGGACTGGGTAGCGGCTGAGGGTAATAAGAGCAGGGAGCAGCTACTGCGTGATGCGGTGGTTTCCAGTGCTAAAACAGCGATTGCAAATTTGAGGGAAAGAAGGACGTCTCTCAATCTGTTTTGGGTTTTGAATTTGTTTCTGCATCTGTAAGGCATTACAATCGACTCATTTTCTCCTTGGAAAACCCCTATCCTTCTTCCTAGCTGAGGTCCCCACTTCCAGTGGGCAGGGCTGACAGAGCTGGCTTTCAGAAGATGGGGGAGACGCAGTTATTCAGTAAAGCACCCAGAAACAGTACTTACATTGGAATCCAGTACATGGAATGCAGGGCTTAGATGAAGCAGCCTGGATTTAAAGGAGGATCTGAATGTGGAGGAAGTTTAAGCACTAGACTTAGATAACCTATTCTTGTTTTGTTCATGCTTGGTCAGGTGTTTTGCAGAATGACTTGATCTCTGGCCTCAGGTTCCTCATGTATAAGTGAAGGGTTGGACGCATCAGTGGTGACTGAGCTTTCTAGGGTCTCTATTCTGGGTCAGCCACATTTAGAGGTGGGAAGAGCATCACCTCATTAACGTCATTCTGCTTTTCCTCACGTGGTAAAGACCCACTGAGTATGACAGAGTTCAAACTCCTTAGTGTGACATTCAGGGGCCCTCATCACCTGGCCCCAGTGTCTTTCCCGAGCCTGTGTGACCACTTTCTCCACTACCTTAAACTCTAGCAAAACCAAACTCTTGCGCTATCCCTCTAGTGGAAACATACTTTCACCCTTGACTACTTGGAAAACTTCTATTCATCCTGTAACACTTAGCTTAAACACTTCCTCTTTGACATCCTCAGGTGTGCTAATGACTCTGGCCTCAGGGGGCCACTCGGCTGGGATATGCCTGTTTTGTGCTTACCCCCTGTATAACACTTGCTGAAGTAGATGCTGCCTTTTCTACTCAAATGCAAGCTCCTCCATTTCATTTTGTACATCTATTCCATTTTTCTATATTCTCAGAAGGAAGCAACAGTTTAATAAATGTTTGCAGCATGAGTGAAGGGAAAAAAGGAAACTCTTGAGTGGTGGCATTTGTAACGAGTTGTTACTAAATGCTCTCCTCAGCCTTTTATTGAGCATTTACTATCTCATTTAATCCTCATCTTCATTTTATGAGACAGGTTTTTTTCTCCATTTCATAGCTATCAAAACTAATACATAAAGAAATTAGTTATTTTTTCTGACATCTACAGTGGCTTCCAATGGGAAAAACTAGGATTCAAATCCAGATCTATCTGATTTCAGCCTACAAATGCCTTTAACAATTACAAGTTGATTTACTTTTCCGTGGCCCCTATAAATTGCCAGAGAAGCCAGATATTCTATACCATTACAGGTTTTGGACCTGAGTGACCAGAGCCATTCCAAGAAAAAAAAAAAAATATGATGCTAGCCCAATAGCTTAGGTCCTGAGACTGAAGGATTCAAGGCTGCTTCAGAGCCCAACTGGCCAGAGCTAGACTAAGGCAGAGGTCATCTCCCCGTGTCCCCTACCGTATGTCTATCCCCACTAACATTGGTTTCCATTTGAGGTTGCCCTTAATGCTCACTGTAACTAGATTTCACCTGGATAAAAATCGGGACTGGGGAAGGAGGAGGAGGAACTAGAAAGATACACTGTAACTTGCCCCAGGTGCTGCCAATCCCTAAGGATGGTGTAAATAATGTAATCTTATATAGATACTAGTTGTTACAAAATTCATTTTTGCAAATAGAAAATGGTATTTTCTCACTGGTTCAATGAGAAGGGAAATTAAAATATACTATTTAGATACTCAGGATTCTGTAGAAAAGATTCGCCAGCACTCTGCAGACAGTGAGGTACCCTCAACAGCATGTATTAATTCATAAATGGGGTTTGAGTTCTCCACCCCTGTGAGCTCCACAATTTCACATTCCTGATGAAAACTGCAAGGAAGCTACTAATTTTCACTTCAGAAAATGCTCACTGTGAAAATGTATTGGGAATTTAGCCAGAATGAGTTTCTATGTTAATTTCTAGAATGGAGATAGGGAAAGGGAATAAAGAAAAAAACTAAATTAAACTGTTTCAAGACCAAATAGTCACTGGAGTCCTTTTCACTTTCTCATAGGAAAAAAAAAGTCCCCAGATGTCCCCAGAAGTATCATAAATTTATAAAAAGATTTCAGTTTTATAGAAAGACCTGTGGAGTGAGAGTCAGGGTCAGGAGATTGAGAGAAGTAGAAGGGCAGCGGGGAGATAAGGATTACACCTACAGTGTTGATTGGATCTTCATTCAGGGTGAACAGCAGCTGGACTTAGGAATCACAGATCTAAACTATCAGTGACAGTCTTATTTGTTTTCTGTTGCTATAACAGAATACCACAGATAAGGTGATTTACAAAGAAATTTATTTCTTACAGTTCTGGAGGCTGTGAAGTCTGATGTTAAGAGGCCACATCTGGTGGGGGCTTTCTTGCTGCATGATAACATTGCGGAGAGCATCACACGATGAGAGGGCAAGAACATGTCAGCTCAGGTCTCTCCTCTTCTTATAAAGCCACCAGAGTCATCACTGGGGACTCCACTTTAATAACTTTATCTAGTCCTAATTACCTCCCAAAGGCACCACTTCCAAATACTATCAACATATGAATTTGGAGATTAAGTTTCTAACAAAGGAAGTTTGGAGGACGAATTCAAACCATAGCAGTGACCATGTCTTAGATCAGAGGTAGGCAATGTATGGTTTGCCAACTACATCTGATTCACTGCCTGTTTTTGTACAGCCTATAAACTAAGAATGGCTGCTACAGTTTTAAATGCTTGGGAAAAAATCAAAAGAAGAATAATATTATATGATACACGAAAATTATATGAAATTCACATTTTGATGTCCACAAATAAAGATTTATTAGAATATGCTCACACCCATTTTTTTTTTTTTCAAATGACCTATGCTTTCATGTAACAATGGCAGAGTTGAGTAGTTGCAAGAGTGATTTTATGGCCCATGAAACCTAAAATGCTTGCTATCTTTCCCGTTACAGAAGAAGTTTGCTGACCTCTGGCCTAACTTATCACCACAATTGGAGACGTAACTTACCCTCACGGACTTTGAGAACAAGGACCACACCTTTGTATTCCCAGTACCAAATGCTCTGTGCCTCTCACAGAGGGGTGCTGAATAAATAGGCAAATGAAGAAATTAATGAATAGATTGAAGAAATAAGTTTTCCATGTGTTTATTATTCTCCTGAAAGACAGAGTTCAGGTTACCAAGACTTTCTCCCCAGATGTAATCCCAAAGGCTTTTTGGAGATCTTCAAGGCTACCACTCCCATCTCAGTCCATGAGTGTCAGGACCTTAAAGCATGATGATTTGATGTGATCCAGGGCTACTTTCTTTATCAGCATTATATAAAACCTCAGTAGGAGGCGAATAAGGTAAGCATTTCCTCAGGACATGCTCCATTGTGCAGAGGTTAAATTTACAAGCGAGTTTCCTAATACCTTACATCCCCCAATGTTAGCTTGGGTTGCTCAAAACTATCGCATTGAGAGGCTGAAGAATGAAGTGCCAATGTACAAAATTTAACTTCCAACCTTTGATAATAAGGGGTGCACTGCTCTGAAGTTGTTTTCCATTGTCTGAATGTCCCCCAAAATTCATGTGTTGATATTTAATCACCAATGAGATAGTATTAACAGGTGAGTCTTTAGGACATGATTAAGACCTGAGAGTAAAACCTCATGGATGGGAATAAGGCCCTTATAAAAGGGCTTGAGAGAGTGGGTTCACTGCCTTCTGTCCATTTTAGCTTGTGAGACCCAGTTTTCCCCCTCTCCAGAGGACACAACAACCCAGTGCCATCTTGGAAGCACAGAGCAGCCCTCACCAGACACCAAACCTTCCTGTACTTTGATCTTGGACTCCCAGCCTCTAGAACAGTGAGAAATGAATTTGTATTTTTTATAAATTATCCAGTCTCTAATATTCTGTTATAGCAGCACATGCAGACTAAGACAATAAGCTTAATTCCAGTGATCCACTTAGTGAGGCATGGCATTAGACCTAGGAAAGGCTAAGCAGGCATATTCAATGAATAGAGTGACTAACTCAAATGTGCATCCCTAATTTAGAGTTCTGAACAACATGGATAGGCAAGCTGTCTCCAGATCTTTCTATCCCTATGTTTCAGTTGCATCAAATCTGCAAACTGATCAGTTGGAATAGGGACAGTCAACTGACTTATTTAGTGGCCATGGGAAATCAATGACATTTTCTAAGCCTGTGGTCTCAGAGATGAACAGAACTCCTATCTTCCCTCAAATGTGAAGTCTATTGGGTAAAATGACATGCAAAGAATGACAAAGCAAAAAGCCTAATGCTGTGATGCAAATGTGTGTAAGGTGTCTTCTAACTAATGTTCCTGCCCCCTCACCCCACAACAGGTCCAGCTATGTACCCACTGTCTCTGATGCTAAACATCACTCCACAATTACCACATTATTATTTCTTCCATCCTTGAGACCCTGATTATTTCTCACCATTCTGTCCCAGAGATGCTATACGAGGAGAGGGAAGAGACTGGACAAGATGAAAAGAAGAAGAGAGAAACATAAAGATCATTGGAGAGAAATAACTACTAAGAGACCTCCAAGGAGAATAAGGGACATTTATTTTTACATTTTTTCCAATAATTATATTTCTGATAAATACATTCCCCACCCCACCCCAAAATGTTTCTCTAGAGAATTCAGGAAGAACTCACAGAAGAGTCAGGGCTTAAGATGACCCTAAAAAGATACGTAAGAGTTGGCTGGGGAGATGGAAGTTGGGGAAAAGAGGCAAGTCTTCCCCAAGCCAAGACTCCCCATCAAAGCCTCTCCAGATGAGGGTGGACTCAACTAGTCTCTGTAGACCCTGCCCTTGCTTCTGTAATCTGAACATGAATGGAGGCTGTGATTTGGAACTGAGGAAAGGAGAGAAGAAAGAGAAGTGGTAGGCGGAGAAAACTTCATCAAGGAAATGGGATTCAAGCAGGGCTTAGGTGTGTCAAGCTGCTGCTTCAAGGTCGCCTCCTCTTCTACTGTGGATTGTCTGTGTCACTCTTGCCCCCTAACCACACACTGTGTTGTTGGTGTTCACGTCTACTCTTCTCCAACCCTAGCATAAATTTCTGCTCTTTCCTTCAGTATCAATGAAATTACCATGATTTAGAAAGTATTTAACAAGTATTTCTTGAACAATGATAGAAAGAGTGTAATCCATGTTTTCCTTGACACTCCAATTGGAGGAGAGGACATGAAAAATGTGACATAAAAAGAGTAATAAAAGGATATTTCTTTGGCTCTGGTGCCACCCATGTATGAGTGAACTTGAGAGATATTAAGGAGCTCAGCATGTCTGTGATTGTCCACCATTAGCCAAAAATGCATTCTAAACAACAGGCATTGAATTTTGGGAGAGGAACTTAGTAGAGCCATCACAATGGCCTGATCCAATAGAAGAATAGGTTAGCTTACTTGATCCAGTGTTTCTGAAACAGCTACAGATGGCTGACACTACTGTTTGCCATTAGAAATAGACATTATACTTGGCATTCACAGAACTAAGGCTCCACCTGGCCCAAGATCAGAAAATATCCATT
The DNA here is from genome assembly GCF_000001405.40 of Homo sapiens. Classification (NCBI taxonomy): domain Eukaryota; kingdom Metazoa; phylum Chordata; class Mammalia; order Primates; family Hominidae; genus Homo; species Homo sapiens. The sequence continues at coordinate 74,679,673 of NC_000001.11, forward strand.
GACCATTTACTAAATATCAGGTACTCATTGAATCTTTGCACCTGTAAGGTAGGTTTTATTTTTATCACTGTTTTACAAATGAGGAAGCTGAGGTTCAGATAGATTAAATACCAGCTACTAAGTGGCACAGCTGAGATTCAAATCCCGTTGTCTATGTTTCTAGAACCCGCACTCTTAAACACTTTGCTGTATTGCTTCCCACATCCAAGAGGTAAGAAGACATAACCTCACAAAGAGAAGGTAATAAATGCAGGGTCACTGATCTCAAATAAAAGCTGTTCTCAATTGTGCCAACTGTTCTTCTCCCAACCCTCATCACTCACAGTGACTCAATAATGTGGCTGGTGAAAAACAAAACTGAAGAGCAGGAATTTCATTCATTACCACACATCTGTTTTCTGACAGAGTAAATAGTATACTCCATGCCCTCTCACCCTTAAGAGCCACCATCTCCAAAACATTTTTATAGCTTCATTTGGTTTAAATGACTTTGAGTTGGCTCTTCCATGGAAGCATAGCAGCACTGGTCTTCAAGTATTCCTGCATCATAAACTGCTGGCTGAATTGCCTTATTCTGTTCCTCTCCACAACCTTTGAATTAAATTGTATAGACAAGAAAATTATGATTCTTAAACTTAGGTTATAAGTAGATTCATGGTCTCGAACAGAAGACTAGGATTGTTCATTTGAGAGGTAGATGATACTCAAGCTCATAGAAAAAACCATGTGACCTATATTACCTTTAAAAAAAGAATAAACATAACTTTATTACTTACGCATTCATGTTGTAACTCAGACTTGATTAAGGAAATGCCACCTGATGGGACTTTAAGACATAGATATTGATAGGTAAAGATTCTTTTTGGTAATGACCATATTAGTTTCATGGAAATAAGCACCCTTAAAGGAGTTCATAGATTTTTCTCATAGGACTTAAATACTCTCCAGACAAGCATGCTTTCACTAGTAAATTGCTTAGCCAACACTTCCTCCCTAAGGGCACATAGGTTAAAAAAAGTTTTGTTGCTGTTGGAGTGATAACAAATTCAGAACTAATGAGAATTTCTTGTTATGATAAAAGACAATAACTCAATGGAAGTTGTGGAATAAACATCAAAGAAAATACAAAGAGAAAAACACATTTCTGGAGTGGGAGTTTGGAGAGAGGGATTATTCATTGGTGAATTGCAGGAAAACCCAAAGCAGTAAAAATAAATTAATAAATAGGCATATTAAAATAGCACAACCATGCTCCTAAGTCTCCGCAGATTCACTTGAAAAGAAAAATCTGGGGATTCCTTGATAAATTGACAGTTTGTAATATGATCCCCATAGCTGACCCAAGATCAGAATTGTGGGGTTTCTTCGTTCCTCTGGGCTACTTTTTCAATAAGTTTTTCTCTCAGTTAAAGGCCACATCAAAATCCACCTTTTGGTTGAGGAGGAAGAATCATGACAACAGGGTTTATTCTCTGCACCTGTGCAAGTCTGTCACCCTAGGGAGCTTTTATCCCTGAGCTAAACGGTCAGTCAGACAGGACGTGAGAAAAATGCTCTGATGAGCCAAGGTTCTGCAACATTGGAATCAGAAGCACAAAATGTTATGGTGCTCATTGTTCCAATGTGTTCCATATTCATACAAAGCAAACAAGGCTATTTCTTAAGCTGTAAGCCAAAGGGGAAAAAGCAAAGTGGTTAACACTGGAGTGTGCTATGATGTGGAGAAATATTTTGTAAGTAGGGAAAGGAAGTCGAGAGGGGAATATACAACTTTACTCACTTAAAAGGCAAATAAATGAAAAAGAAAGAGGCAAAGTCGACAAGGAAGGTGCATAGTTTCATTATGCATAATCACAAGAAGTAGAAAACCCACAAATCTCATCTAGTTTTCTTGGCATTATACCTTCGCACTTAAGAGTTGAGTAGTTATGCTTGTGATATTGTAAATTCTGAGAATTTTTTTCGGATGTACCAAAAAGGCCATGTTATGAAAAATGGATTTAAGAAGAAGTAAGAGGTTCCAGTTCCCCTATTTTGTCCATATGCAAACCAGCGATCTAGGTTTGAATTAGAATTCAATCACTTTAAAGATGTTATCACTTTGGGTTATAGGGAAGGCTTGTATGTTTCCACCTCTTTGATGTTAGGCATGGATGGCTATGTGACTTGTTCTGGCCAATGAAATATGAAAAGTGATGCATGTCACTTCTGGGTAGAATCTTTTAAGAGATCCCGCAGAATTCTTCATCTTTCTTTTATTGGCCCCAGTAACCAGCAACATTCCAGATGCTGGTGCTTTCCTCAGCCTATCCTCCTCACTGAGGATGATGTGGCACAGAGCCACACACAAACCCATGATGGACATGACATGTATGAGAAATGAATCTTTGCTGATTAAAACTATTCAGTTCTGGGGGCTGCTGGTTATCACAGCAAAGCTGGCCTGTGGTGATGAATACAGCCATAAATTAGCTATGTGATTTCGAGAAAGCTAGTTTCCCAAAGCCTCTATTTTCTAATCAGAAAATGAGGAGGGCCTAGTATATAGCAAGCATTCAAAAATGGTAATTTATCCATCTTCATGATGATAACTACACTTTATTAGACACCTACACTGTGCCAGTCACTATCTTCCCTGTACATACATCACCTCTCATCCTCACACCAATCTTATAAAGTAGGTGTTCTTGATCTTTTTTATAGATGATGAAACTACGCCTCAGAGAGGTTTACAGATTGATGAAGGTATCAGCTTGTAGGTGGAAGAATCAGATCCTTCTGATTCAAAGCTCTTGCTTTATTCCCCATGCTACCTCTGTTAAGAGAATGCAGCTAATCTGTCATTAAATAAGTGAGAATTTATGATATTAAGACAAACATCATAACATTAAAAAACAAATAAAAAGAAAATAAATTAGAATTTTAAATTATTATATTCTTCAGACAAAGCACCTTTATCACTAAATGATTTTGCTTTCATAATTCCAGCTAAAGCCATGCTCAGTCATTCCCAACCTAGGGTGACCAACACCTAAGGGTTTATTAAGGTAATAATATGGGTTTGCAACCTATTCTCAGGATTTCCACAAGCCTAAAAGAAATGAGAATTACATAGGGCAAGATGGCCCAAGCCAAATAAAAATTGCTTTTTTCTTTTTTATAATAATTATAGTGGGTCATCTCATTGTGGTACATTTGGCTTTCTCATAGGAAGACATTATTTGTTGTTTTTCCTGCATAAAAGTAATCTTTATCGAAACACTACATTCATAGTAGTTCAAAAAAATTATACAAGGGCCCATTAGTTATAAAAAGGTTGTTAAACACTACTATATCCCAAATCTTAAATTTTGGCCAGTACAAGTGTAAATTTTCATTTCTCCATCTCTTTGCAGCTTAGCTCCTAATAACCCAGGTTGTCCCCTGTAGTCCTGAGAGGTACAGGGAAGTAACATAGCAGGAAACATTGTAGGTGATGACCAAGGGAGGATGGCAAAAAATGTAGTGTTAGTAGAGGAACCAGCCAGAGAGTGAATTCAGGTAAAAGAAGAGGAAAGCCACTTCTCTTCAGGTCAATTCCATAAAAGGAAGAGCTGACAGGTGAAATGAAAGTGACAGACTCAAAGTTACCTTGTTATTTATGAGGAACAGAACAGATCACCTAGAATTTGGGGGAGGATGTCTCTCAGAGAAATTGGCAGAAGACTTTGTAGACGATGTGGGTCAAAATGAATCAGACTTTCAAAATGGAGTGCTGTGGCCATCCTTCCTTCTACCTCCCCTGCTAGAAATCGGCTATTGATTTCCAGACTAACTAATTTAAAGGCTCTTCAGTTGTAACAAAACAAAGATAGTGTTTCAAAGACACCCTTTAGTCAGATTTCTGAAGGACAGTTTTGGGCCCTGCCATCAAAGCAAATAAACCCCACTATAGTCATGGTCGCTGGGGGAGGAGTAATGACAATTTAAAAAGTACTGAACATATGATGTGTGCCAGGCTCTGTGCCCAAATGCTTCAAGTGCCATGTCTCATCTTATGCTTAAAAGCTATTGTTTCCCCCTTTTTACAAAGAAAGGTTCTGAGAAGCAGGGAATTGAAACTTTCCTGAAGTCACATGCTTATAAGTAGTTCCTCCTCCTTAGCAACCATTCTCAATCCCTGTGTCACATTGTCCCATGGAGGGTGGTTGGAGATGAGCAAAATCACAAATTGTGGGTGTCATCAAAGAAGGCAGAAGGGAACTTGTACTTATCTAGTGCTTCCAATGTGCTAACAACCTACACAAATCATCTCATTTAACTTCCACAATTCCTTGGGGGAGGCATTATTCTCAAGGTACAGATGAGGATATTGAAGCTCAGAGAGATCAATGATTGGCCAACAAAGTAAACGAGGTAAGATGCAAACCAAGGCATTGTAAATCCTCACATTCAGGGATGCTGCTTCCGTAGCAAGTTGCTTCAGATTCATTTTCAAAAAATTATTTGCCCATATAAAGTATCAATATATGTGACCAAATTTCAGTTCATCTGGAAATACCTGGATATTTTAGTTGCTTGGAAACGGAATATAAGGCAATTTTGTGACATGGTAACTAAAACTATCAATGTGGTACTGGTTTATGCTCTCAGATATAAAAGTTCCTTTGTGTTTTGCATCAAACCGATAATGTTTGGAATACTGTGCTTATATGACAGACTTATATCTCAAAGTACATATTTTTCACTGCATTCTCCAAATTCAGAGGCAAGGACCATTTTCTCTGAGTTATGCTCTGAAAACCCTCTTCATTTGGTTTAATGCGAGGGGGAAGCAGGGAAGCATTCCCTCCCATGCATGGCAGGTAGGTGTAGGAACAGGGAGAACTCAAAACATTTATAGCTCACCCCAATGAAATCCATACCACCAACTTCTTCCTTCTTGCAATGAACTGCTTGCCTTCTTTCTTACACCCTGGAAATTGGTAATATGCTAATGCTTATTCTGCATATGTGTCTGGTACTTCTCTCTGGGATGTGTCAGGGACTTCTATGTAGGGTCACTCAGGCTGCACACCGCATGCACAACTACAGAGTATACTGTTTACATGGACCATGATGGGAATGATGCCCCCCATGGTTGATTGTGCAATTCAGCAGACCTACTGGCACATATTACTTTCTCTGTCTGTGCAAGCTCTCCTGAAATTAAATAGAAAAAAGCATGTTTAGTTTACTGCTAGGTATGACATTCAACGTTCCAAAACAAAAGAACTTCCTTTTAAAACACAATATAAAATATAAATTTATTAAAATGATGATCACTCTAGAAACTATTCCATAGGAGAAAGCATTGAAATAACTGGTGATGTCTAAAGTAAACATGATTGGGACCATGGAAAGTAGCAATGTCATAAAATATTAGAAAGGATTCTATGCAGAAGAGGGAAGAGACTGAGAAGATCTATGGGAGATAATTAGGAGAAGGTATGAGATGAGTTTTGGCTCAGGAAAAGACACAACTTTCCAGAACCAAACAACAAATATAAATCTTGTCACAAAAACCCTATGAGAAAGGGCATAGTTTAATACTTTAGACCCATTTTATAGGGGACAAGTCCAAAAATGGATAATATTTATAATAGAGAAACACTTTATCTCTAGAAGTGATCAAGAAGAGGAATCAAATACTCTATAGGATATCCTTCCATGGAGTATTATTGAACTTAATGAATTATAAGGCATCTTCTAGGAAACTAACTCTGTGTTTATATGATGGTATCAAAACCTACTAACCTTGACCAGTCCTGGAAGAAGGAACTCCCATTACCTTCCTCCTGGAAGGAGGTTGAGGCTTTATAGAAGGTGCTTGATCCAGCCCTTATGTGTATGCATTTCAAAGTTTCTGTCAGGTCTCATGTAGCTAAGCAAGCACAGCCACAGAAATTCTATGTTTTATTAAAGGGCTGGTTTTATTTTTTATTCCTGGAAGACCTAAGAATCACAATTTGAGAGAGGAGTGAGAGTAGAAATAAAGAACCTAATACTGCTCTGTATATTAATAAGTTCTGCCAAATCCACTGTGAGAGAGGTGTCTGATCTGAAAAGTTTTTCTTCTTCCTTATGGTCTTAAACCAGGAATCGAAAACCAAAGGAGGAAGAAAAATATTAAGACACTGGGGAATGGCAGGCAGTCCTATAGCACGGTCTGCCTAATAGTTGGCTGCTTCTGAACTCAGAAGCTATGTCACCTTCTAGAAATGCCTTCTAGGGTTGCCACAGATTCTGATTTTTCCAAAGACACTGAAAAGCTAGATAGATTGAGTGAATTTTTAAAAATGTTTTAGAACATTATGGAAGCCAAATAAATAATATTTATGGTTAGAATTCTGCCCACTGGCTTCCAGTTTATGACAACAGAGTAGGAATATAGGCTTCCTACTCAGGAAAGGAAGGCCTGACCTTCAGAAAACAGCGAGTGGGAAGCCCATGCACACATATATGTCTCCATATGAACCAGCAGGTATCTATCAGGCAAATGAAGACAAAGAAAAGTAGGAACAACTACACTGGTGGGAAGATCTGAAGAAGGCTCAATTAGAGTGACTCCTCCCACATGAGATTGCTTTGCAGGACTTGAAGGGCCAGAGGCCCCTCTTCACTGTCTTGCTGAAGCTCCTGGGTATTTCTCTCTGGAAGAAATAGCTCAGACTTGGGAAGGCCACTGGATCCTCTGGCAACATCAGCCCCTGTAGGTGGGGAGTGGATTTTTCCCAAAGGGTAAATGACCCTCAAGGCCTAGTTTGAAGAGAAAGTCATTATTAGGAAGGAGCAGGGACCTAAGGAAGTATAGCAAGATTAGAAAGTGGGGATGACCACCAGAAGACACCCGTGAAAGCTTTAATTCTTTGCATGAATTTTTTTACTCAGATTGGGGAAAAAGTCATGTTTACTACACCATTTCAAGTGTCTTTCCCTGACAAAGACAACCCTCAGTACATAGCACATTTGCCATCAGCCCTGTTTTTAGATGTAATCTTCAACAGCTTGTTCATATGGATTTTAATTTTAATATGTTTGGTTACACAACCAAGCACTAGAAGCACCAAAAAAGTGACAGGCACAGGATAATCCTCTTTCACTGTGTGGGTAATGTGTTTAAAAAGAACAAAGGGGAAAAGAATTGAGTTTGAGATATGTTTAGATTTTAAAGGTGATGGATATAATATCTCTATATATCTTTCTTTCTCCTTGTTATCATGTGCATTTCTTTAAATTATAGACAAGTCTCAGAGACACAGTCTTTAGGATTTTTCTAGAGTGAGAAAAAATGTGGTAAGGAACATCAGGGTTTATACATTGATTTTTTATGGACTTAGCTAATGCTCGACTCACTCAGCTATTCAAAGAAATCCATCAACACAAAGAGACAGCTACATGACGATATGGCCAGCAAGTCAGGACAGATGGCGTCTAGCCTGAGCTGCCTCTGCACACAAATGGGTGTCAAACAAAGTCATCAACAGGCCCTACACCATCCGGCTTCTCCTATGCAAGATGGTCAATAATGCAACAAATATTGTGAACACCTGGGTGGGAATGTGCTGCTTCTCCTCCCCAGAGCTCTTTGGACTTAGCAGATCACTGGCCTCTACTAATGTCTTTGGGTCACAGCACCCCTGTAATGGAGTGCTAATGACTATGAACTGGAGGGTCATACATCTGAGGATATATATCTAGTTGTCAATCATTTCTCAAATTTGGCACCACTGCACAGGCTGACAATTAGTCTGAATAAAACTAAGGTGATGTTTTTAGTTGCCCCAGGCAAATCAGGCAAGCAACCAAAAATTACCATCAATGGCATGGAGTTAAAAGCCATATCCAATTCCTGCTGCCTATGTAGTCTGCTATCTAATGACAGGTCCTCTGCTTTGCTTTTCTGTGGTTCTTTGAGCAACCACCAGTAGTGGAGCTCATTATTGGAACAAAGAGTAACAACTCGTATTAATAAATCCACCTTATTTGGGGGAGCTTGACAGACAGGATTTGTGGTGATAAGGCATCTGATTTCAGATAAAGACCAAAGTGCAAGACTGCCCCGCTGTCCAGGCTTCTTTGTAGATATGAAATTTGGTTCATTATCATTACCTCCCTGAATAACATTAATTCCACTCAGTGCAAAACATCAAATGGCAGCACTGGTAACATTGTCAAGAAATAGAACTACTAATCAGCAATTGACATAATATTCGACCTGCCTTCTTAGTAACTGGAAATAGTTCCAGTTCAACAGTCATGGAAATAATGAAGTTTTGCAGAACTGCACAAGAAAATCTATGGATATTATAATCTATTGCATAGATTGCTAATGTCCTAACAGTATTTGTGTGATAATGATTCAAACCTCTGCAAATATTTTAGGATGAACAGTTTAATTTCTGGCACTATTTGGGTTCTTTTAACAGCAAATATCTGAAGCATAATTTATCTAAAATCAAAGGTGAATAAAAGGAGAGAAAGTTAGCATGGAATTAAGCGCATTCACTGCTGTAAGATTCACTTTCTGTACCTTAAACTGAACAAAATCTTAGAGTTTCCTTTCTCTCTTTCACTTTTTTTTTGCTTCTTTTTTTCTTACCCAGCCCATGTGATGTTCACTAGAATAACACTATTGACTCGAATGCACCCAAAAGTATATACATATAAGATGATATGTTTTGCCTCTCCAAGTCTGATTATTTCTGGAATGGAAATTACAAATCACTAAACAATTTACACTTGTGTGCATATAATGAAATTAATAACCTTAGAAATATAGATTGCTGTATTGCTTGGTATATGGCTTAATCTTAATTTATTAAGAAAAATTCATTGAGAGATCATCTGGGGTAAGGCTATTCCTATTGTCTCAAAGTGTCATCTTCCAAAACTAGTTTTAACCTGCAATAGAAGAAACCTTTGAATTTTTTTTAAAAAGTCTCTTCTATCCACATAAAAAGGTCTAAAAAGGTACATGTGATCTTGGTCTGATGATAAATTCCTTTACATCTTCAAAAGAAAGTTTCCACTCAGAATTTGTTGGCAAATATATCCAGAGCTTCTTTAGAAGCACTAATTCTAACTCAACCCTACCACAAGGCCTCTGGAAGCTGAAAATTACTAGTTCTAGTAAAGCTCACCCCTCATTGAGTTCCTTCAATGTTTAGGCTGGCAGTAATATCTATCATTTACATATTTCAGAGGTATTCATTGGAATATGGTGACAGGGCCATGACAGAAAGGAGATGTGAGGAGGAGGGAGCTGTGATTGCAGCTTGTGGACTAGGAAACTTTGGAGAGAATCTTCTCTACTGGAAAATAATTGCATGTGATTTTATGTAAAGTATCCAGCACTCCACATCACAGATGTTCAATAAGTGTTGCCTTCATCCTTCTCTAATACTGCTTTATGCAAATATAGCATTTTAAAGAACATGAAGCATGTTTACATGATTTATCATATTTGACCCTCACAATACCCTTTGTAAATGGGCTTTATTTTATGTTTGGAATTACAGATGATTTGAGATGCCAGGGTCTATATAGTCCTAGGTTACACGACTAGTAATTTTAGAATCCATCACCTGGATCGTCTGATTCCAAGACTTTCTTGTCCCTTTACTACCCTCAGCTGCAAGTATTCAGTAATGTGTACCTGACCACTGCATATCTTATTTAAATAATTTTCTTCACTATATGTTTTCATACTTTTAGAGATGATTTATCATCTCCTGGTGTTTCTTTTTCTGTTTGTTTCTTCATTTTCCCTGGTTCTCAGCTTGTAAAACTGTTACATTTCTAATGTTCATGGGTCCATGATTTAAAGTTTTTTGTCAGTATCTCGAGCTCTTCAAAGCGAAAGAACCCTAAAAACAAGGCACATTTCACTCTGGACCATGTTTTTCCTTTGAGCTCTCCTGCTAAAATACCAAACACAATTTGCTTTTCGCTTGTGAGATGGAAAGAAACAGTTGTGTGGCTATAGCTGTCATTTTGCCATTACCATTCTGAGGTGTTGATTTTGTGCTTCACATTTTTCCTGTGTTTTTAACTTGATGCCCTAGCTTGAATTTTTATTTCACTCTAATCGTTTTTTAAATTTGAAGTCTTCCTTTTACTTTGGCAATTTCAGTTGGAACACTATGTTTGGAAAAAAAAATGTTCACAGAGAAACTGAAGGTTAAATCAGCTTTATTCTGTAAACAGTGCCTAAATTATCATCTCCTTCCCATAACAGCCCAATTAATATGTTACAGCAAAGCAGAAAAGCCAAAAATCATGCTGAAAACATGGAGCTATTGCGACACCTGCTGGTAAGAAATAAAGTGCATTGTGTCAACAACAGCAAAAGCAAATGGAAACAATGGATCGCTTGGATAGATTTTATTCCTACAAATCTATCTTTTGTGAATACCTGGTATGTTTCAGGTGCTGTGACAGGCACTGGGACTGATAGGGGGAGGTCTGATCCTTACACTCAAGAATCTCACAGACTTCTGGGAAGAAATATCTCTATCTACACACCTAAATATAGAGAGATTATTTTTTATAGTCAAGGTTGTCAGGTTGGGTTGGGTACACCTAAGATAACACAGGGCCCACAGAGATGACCTTTCACGAATCAGGGACAGTGTCACAGAGAAGGGAATGCTGAAATATTGAAGGAGGAGGCTCCAGGGACCCACTGGAGAATGTAAGCGTAACAGTGAAGGGATCAGATTTTCACCTTAGAAAAATCACCCTGACAGCAATATGAAAGAAGGGAGAGAGACTAGTTAGGGTCAGGAAGGTAAACAGGAAGCTGCTGAGAAAGCTCGGGAGAGGTCAGAGCCTCAGTCAGGGCAGGGAATGTGGAGATGTAGCAAGTAGAAAATTTTCTTAGGAAAGAACATCAGCCAAAATTAAAGCATGTTTTGGGTGTGGACTCTGAGAAAGAAGAAGGATTTTGAAAAGATCCTTTATGTCTATATGGTTACAAACAAAAGGAGCATTTATTTTTCTTAAAAATAAAAAAAAAGAGAGTCTGGCCTTTTAGTGTAGATAGCTTTCTTTGTGTGTGGTCTTAGGAAAGAGTTAAAATATTTCACATCTTATGAGCGCATAATTGCTCAGCAAATACAAGCACATAATTTTATAAAGTAAATTTGGAGACTTTCAAAAAATATTGATCTCACCTGAAGGCAGTGCTTAATAAGTGCAATTTGGAGACAAGGACTCAGAGACACCAATTTGTGTCAACAGTGCTTAAGTGCTCCAATGAAAAACACACTCAAGGTCCTTGAGAAATCTGGATGACCGTAATAAATGTTTTTTCAAAGGAAGGTTTAAAATATTTATTTATTTACTTACTTACTTAGAGACAGAGTCTTGCTCTGTCACCCAGACTGGAGTACAGGGGTGCTATCGTGGCTCTTGGCAGCCTTGAACACCTGAGCTCAAGCGATCCTTCTGCTTCAGCCGCCCAAAGTGCTATGATTACAGGCATGAGCCACTGTACCCATCCTAAAATTCTTAAACCAATAGCTATAGTTATAAATTGAGAAATTAAATATAGTGAAAAATAGGCCATGATTTCCCTCTCTGTCAAAGTAACTCAAAAGAATACATTTTCCCATTGAGAATCAGACAAGGGCATGCACTTATATTCATTTATTTAACAAATATTTACTGAGTGTTTGTATGTATGAACTAAGATAAAAGTATTAAAAATAATATAAATCCCTCAGCTTCCAGGAACAGATAGTCCCATTCATTAAAGTGTATATATTTAAAGTATATATATCACATATATGTATACAATATATACATACTCCTGTGTGTATGTGTGTGCACATGTGTATGAGTGTGTGTATACATCTGTTTTAACCCATGAAGTGCGAGGAAGTATTCTAGAAACAAACAATGAAAATTTTCTTATGTATTAGACATATTTTACCTGTGACAGCTGAATAGTGAGAACAGAGTATTTAATTATAATACCACTTAGTCAAGTATGTTAAAATATAATTTACAGAAACAAAGAAAAAAATAAATAAAAATAAAGAAGAAACTTGAATTAACCAAAGTTATAATATAATAATTATAAATATTACATATATATTCACTTGTATGGGTACTATGTACAAAGACATATATATTTTAAAATCATTTCACTCAATACATTACATGGTTCCACAGGAATAATTATTACAGTGTTCTTTTAAAAAACAAAGTGTGTGTTGAATATATTAAAAAGAGGTACAAAGGAATAAAAATTCAAACATAGAGTGAATTAATGTTGCCAGCTAATGTAATTAGAACTATCACCTGGGAAAACATATCCTACAATAAGCAAGGAAGCTGAATTATTTCTATCTACAAAAATATTTGATCAGAAAATAAAAATTATGTTTATTATAAAGTCTATTTTTTAATCATCTGCTTAAAATCTGCAACATGTATTTCAGAGGCTAATTTAAATGCCATCTGGTGGCATTTATTCATATTTTGGAATTTTATATCAATCTGAATAAATTTTAAGAATTGAAAAAATAAAATGATAAAAATAAAATTTCTTATAAGAACCAGATTTGGCTACGTAATATTGATTTCTTCATTGGAATGATTACCACATCCTGATCTACAAAATAATGAGCTTCCATGAGGGTCATGTAAATAAGCAGTATTGCCAATGTACAAGTGTCCTATATCAAACCTGCAAGGGGTAATTGTCTATAATTCAGCCTCCTACAAGTTTGGACATGCTTTACATGTAGCCAAGTGGATGAAAATATGAGATAAACTAGTTTATCTTGTGATGTTAAAAAATGAAAGAAAACTATTTTAAGTATATTTGAATTTTTCAATGTAGGTAATCATCATTGGAAAGATGGTTTAAAATTAAACTTTATTTCATATAGCCATACAAATTTCACTATTGGTTTTACAGAAATGTTTACTCCGTTTTGAATAAGACCACACAGGTATATCTCCTTAAGAATTACAGATACAATGTGTTATATTACAAGATACATAAACTGTTGAATGAATGAATTAATGTCATCAGCTTAATGACTGAGTTGGGCTAGATTATGATATTTCTTTCAAACACAAGATTACACCAAAGCCCCATCATCTTTCACTGGATTATTGCAGTGGCCTCTAAGTGGTCTTCCATTGTCTGTTCCCTACACAGCAGCCAGAGTGGTCTTGTTAAAACCCAGCTTAGATTGTGTATTTCCTGAATACCCTCCTATGACTGCCAGTGATGAATAGTGAGTGGTTTGAGTGGATTGCCACTTACTGGGTCTCAGCATCTACTGGAGCATCTTAGCCTGCCACCCTGTATAGCGAATGCTAGAATGCCAAAGTTTCTTTTAAAGTTTTTAAAAATTGTTATATATTTAAGAGACACAAGTGCAGATTTCTTTTTTTTTTTTTTTTGAGATGGAGTCTCACTCTCTCGCCTAGGCTGGAGTGCAGTGGCGCGATCTCGGCTCACTGCAAGCTCCGCCTCCTGGGTTCACGCCATTCTCCCGCCTCAGCCTCCCGAGTAGCTGGGACTACAGGTGCCCACCACCATGCCCGGCTAATTTTTTATGTTTTTAGTAGAGACGGGGTTTCACCGTCTTAGCCAGGATGGTCTCGATCTCCTGACCTTGTGTTCCGCCCGCCTCGGCCTCCCAAAGCAGATTTCTTATACTTGTTATTCCTTCTGCCTGGAAAGCTCTGTATCCGGATATCTGTCCACAGGACTGACTTCCTCATTTCCTTTAGGTCTCCTGTTCAAATATCATCTTTCCTGACTATGCTGCATAAAAATAGCAACTGCTCCTGATATTCTCTTGACCCCTTGCTCTATTTCATGTTTCTTTGTAGCTCTTCTCGTCGCTGGACAGTGTACTTGCCTGTCTATCTGCTTATTGTCAGTCTTTCTCCATTGAAATGCAAATTCCATGAAACCAGAGTATTTGTCACTGAAGTATAACCTACCTGCAGAACAATGTCTGGCTCAGAGTAAGGGTTTAACAAATACTTGTTAAATGAGTAATATTTACTTGAAACATTTATGGAAGATTTAGTCAGATGGAAAAGCAAAAGGTTTTTACAACTTGTCAACCACTTACTATGAGGAAAGTACTATTTTCTATCTTATGTGAGGCAAAAGATCACAGACCCATTCCTGAATAAATGAACAGAACAGTGGGAGTCAAATGTCAATAAATAATTGTAATCCATTAATTCATTCAATCTTTATTTATTGAACATTAAGTAGAAGGCGGCTAGATTTTTCAAATCTTTTCTATGTGCCAGGCATCAGGCAAAAACATAATAAGGTTTGTTTAATATATCTTTCATAACAATCAAATAAGTAACTATTATCCCTGATTTACAACCAAAAAAACCTGAGGCTTTCCAAGGATATCCTGCTAGAGTCCAAGGTTGCCACACTACTGAAAAATAAAGACTATACCCTAGTTCTGTCTCATCCTATATTGTTACGGTACTGAAAGGAACACAGAGAAAAGCCACCTGATCATTAGTGAGGTCAGAAAAGCCTTCTAAGTAAAAGTAACACCTACGGTAAACCTTCAAAAGTAATATACTGAAATTAGGCAAAGAAAGGAGAGAGAGTAAGGCATCCTGGCCTGAAGAAATAACATCTGTGAATTATTGTGATATTGTAATTTCCATGAAGAGAGAAACACAGGTCTTAGTGCCTTTGTCTTTAATAATAAAGTAGATTGAAATTTAACTGTCTGAATTTGTTACTAAAATATAAATATACACCCCTCTAGAAACAATGACAGAATGAGTTAATATGTGATATAACTCAATCAGGCAATGCAAATAATCAGCATGAAGGAATTACCTATAAGCACAAGACTGACGAACATCTAGTATTCCAGATTTTAACAAAAGAGATATGATTGCCTATAAACAACTTTTCCCATTTGTAGTATATAATTAAATAACTTATGTGGCAATTAAATTACATGCCAATTAAACAGAATTGCAAGTGCTAACATAACAAGTTAAAACAAGTGGAAGTTATTACTGAAACACATCAATTGCTTTTTTCTACTAAGTTGAATTGACATTTAAAAAATTAACACTGACCTATGTTATGCACTTTCAGTATTTAGAATGTGAGTTAGGCTGTTAAAAGTTTTAAAGGTAAAAAATTGAAAAAGGGTAAAAGAAGTAGATTCTTGTTTCACCTAAATAAAATAATAAACAAAAATAATTTTTAATAGATTGGTTTTACTTATTTTTTAATTCCTTTTTTTCTCTGAATAATCAAAAATAAGCTTTACTTTGAAGTAAGATGGCAGGTGCCCAGAGCTAAGCTTTGATTGCACATAAAACCAGCTTTTTCATACTTGATCCAAATGTCAAATGTCAAATTTCTACTTTACAGTTAATGTACAAACATGTATATATACACCTCTGTGTGTTCTTCTGTGATACAATTTAAATTTCAGATTAAATGTGTATACATACATATGTATGTATATATATACACACACATACATACACAAATATATTAACTTTTATTTAAAGTTCAGGGGTATATGTGCAGGTTTGTTACATAGGTAAACTTATGTCCTACAGGTTTGTTGTACAGATTATTTCATTGCCCAGGTATTGAGCCTAGTTCCCATTATTTTTTCTGACCCTCTCCCTCCTCCCACCCTCCATACTCTGACAAGCCCCAGTGTGTGTTGTTCCCCTCTGTGTCCATGTGTTCTTATTATTAACTCCCACTTATAAGGGAGAACGTGTGGTATTTGGTTTTCTGATCTTATGTTAGTTTGCTAAGGATAATGGCCTCCAGCTCCATCCATGTCCCTGCAAAGGACATGATCTCATTCTTTTTTATAGATGCACAGTATTCTGTGGTGTATATGTACCACATTTTCTTTATCCATTCTATCATTGATGAGCATTTAGGTTGATTCCACATCTTTGCTTATTGTGAATAGTGCTGCAGTAAACATATGTGTGCATGTGTCTATAATGGAATGATTTATATTCCTTTAGGTATATACCCAGTAATGGGATTGCTGGGTCAAATGATATTTCTATCTTTAGGTCTTTGAGGAATCACCATACTGTCTTCCACAAAGGTTGAACTGATCTACACTCCCACCAACACTGTATAAGCATTCCCTTTCTCCACAACCTCACCAGCATCTGTTATCTTTTGACTTTTTTTTTGGGGGGGGGGGTGGGGGAAGGAGTCTTGCTCTGTTGCCAGACTAGAGTGCAGTGGTGTGATCTTGACTCACTGCAACCTCCACCTCTCGGGTTCATGCGATTCTCCTGCCTCAGCCTCCTGAGTAGCTGGGATTACAGGCATCCGCCACCACGCCCAGCAAATTTTTTGTATTTTTAGTGGAGACGGGGTTTCACCATGTTGACCAGGCTGGTCTTGAACTCCTGATCTCATGTTATCCACCCGTGTCAGCCTCTGACTGGTGTGAGATGGTATCTCATTGTGGTTTTGCTTTGGATTTCTCTAATGATCAGTGACATATTAATCCTGAGAGAGAAAATTGTACAGGTAGGAAAACCTGGCCTGTTATAATCTTTCACTCATCAAACTTGAGTGCCTGGGGTATGCTAGGTCTTATCCATCATCTCAAGTTGCTTAAATTCTAGGGCAAAAAAAGTTAAAATTAAAATGAAAATATTCATTCCTCCTGATAAGCAACTGCACGAGTTTTACCTAGTCCATCTTTTTGTCTATTGTGAGGTTTATAGCAATTCCCTTTCCATCATGACTGGAGTGACATCTGATGAATAGCTGCTCCCACATTTCACTAACCTTCCAAGGGGAAAGATGCCTATCTCATCTTCTAAATACTGCACACAAAGACATACACAGATCATCCTAAAACTAATCAAATGATTAATTTTCAAATTTACTCAGAGAAAAGGTAATAAATGGAAATAAATGGCATGAGCAGAACTAGAGGCAGGAGAGTGCTGGGTTTGAAGGGCAAATTGGAGGGGGAGGCAGAACAGCACCTGCTCCTTATGATTGGCTACATCTACAATATACGAAGTAGTGAAAAAGCTGGAAGTTGAAGGTAGATTACAAGTTCCATCCAGGGCTAGGTTTCAATGAGTGACTTTTGAAGAAGGATGGTGATTCAAGATAATTGAGGGTACTTTAGTGACCAACTTAAGCTTGGTGGGATGTGAGAGCTGCTTAGGGCCTTTGGACTGAGATTGGCAATGAAAGATCAAATGAAGAGAGGGACTGAATGAGGTCAAAGAGCAGGGAAAATTGAAATGAGGGAAAATGATTGATACAGTCTGAATGTTTGCATGCCCCCCAAATTTACAGGTACAAGCACCTAGCGCCAAGGTGATGGTACTAGGAGGTGGGGTCTTTGGGAGGTGATTAGGTCATGAGTACCCAGAGAGCTAGCTCTGCCCTTCCACCATGTGAGGACACAATGAGAAGGCACCATCCATGAACCAGAAAGCACATCCTTGCCAGACACTGAATCTGTCGGACCCTTGATCTCGTATTTCCCAGCTTCCAGAACTGTTAGGAATAAATCTCTGTTGTTTAGAAGCCACCCAGTCTAAGGGACTTTGTTATAACAGCCCAAATGGACTAAGAACATGATTTTAATATCCACAACATTTTTTTTTTTTTTTTGAGATGGAGTCTCGCTCTGTCACCCAGGCTGGAGTGCAGTGGCATGATCTCAGCTCACTGCAACCTCCTTCTCCCAGGTTCAAGTGATTCTCCTGCCTCAGCCTCCTGAGTAGCTGGGACTACAGGCACATGCCACCATGCCTGGCTAATTTTTTTTTTTTTTTTGTATTTTTAGTAGAGACAGGGTTTCACTGTGTTAGCCAGGATGTTCTCAATCTCCTGACCCCGTGATCCGCTCGCCTCAGCCTCCTGAAGTGCTGGGATTACAGGTGTGAGCCACTGTGCCCCACCCACAAATGTATTTCAGAGGTTAATTTAAACACCATCTGGAAGCTCTGGAAGCTCTGCCCTAGAACCTGATTTCCTCCCTCTCTAATGAGTTTAGAAAGGTGTGCAACCTAATTTCTAGTCCTCACCACCTGGGGGTTAACGGGTAGGGCAAATGAGGCCACAGAAATAGTAATAATGCAAATTCTATTATTCAGTGACCCCAGTGCCTGGTTCAGGGTATAGAGTTCCCTGAAAAATCTTCTCCAAGTATTTCTGGGGGTCCAGGGCTCTCTAGACCCAGTTTACTTTTCCTGGTCTTGCAGCTGCTAAGTCTTGCTCCTCTGCTTCTCCAAGTAGCAGCACCTAAGTGCTGCTACTTTTCCACTGTGCATTCAGTCTGGAAGGGGTTCTTGGCAGAGGGATGAATTAAGAATGACTGCCAGGCTTGGCTAACTAGGTACACAGTGTCTTTATACACTGAGATACGAAATACAGGAAGTAGAACAGGTTTGTTATTGGGGATAATTTGATTTGGAACATGTCGATTTTGAGAAGTTTTTAAAACATCTGAGTGATAACCAGTTGTCAGTCTAATATATGGACCTTAGGGCCTAGAACAGGCTAGAGATAAAGGCTTGAGGGTCACCAATACCCAGTGATACTGAGGCCTGGTTCAGATGCCAGTCAGAGGGAATGCATAGAGGAAAAATAAAAAACAGAAAGTAAAGCACAGCAACATTTAAAAAGCAAGTGGAAGAAGTGACGCTTGCAAATAAAGCTGAGAAGGTCCAGAAGTAGCAGGAGAATGATATTTTGGAAGTCAGGATGGGAAAGACATTGAGATGTTTATATTTTTAGGAAGAAGATGAAGATACAAGATCCAGGGGCTGATTAAGCAAAGTTCATGCAGAGGCCAGAGCAATGAGATTTAGAGAAACTGTGCTTAGTAAGAAGGAGGGCCATCACTTTCAGTGAAGCAGGAGAATGGGATAAAAGAATGCAAATAAATTTTTAAGTGTGAATAGGATTATTTCCTTCATTGTAAAAAAAAAATCCAGATAAATTGCCTACCATTGGGTAGAACAAAACTCTAGAAAGTAGTGTTCCTCATTTGGTTAGCTAGTAGGCTGACAATAAAGAAGCAAAGAATTCCAGCAATTGAAGAGTTTTTATTTATGTGGAAACACAGTTTGATAGACATAAAAGGGAACATAATCTGAGAAGCACTTAGAAGCTATAGTGATAGGCCTATAAACAAGACTAAGTGAAACCAGCTAATAAACTCAAAAGCTACTCTAGGATGAAAGAAACTGCAAGACATGTAAAAACTGAAATTACATGGATAAACTGTGAAACAGAATTACAGTGTTAATTCCTAAGCAAAATAATATTTCACCAAATAAAACATGGGTACAATTTTGTTAAAATGCATTTGTCACACATACTAAAAGAGCTTTGATTAGAGGTGATGCTTACAATTGGATTTCAAATGTGATGCTACAATCAAAATAAACATCCAAAGCAAATCAATAAGCCCAAGTTCATTTTGGGTTTTGTATTAACTATGAGTTAAGTCTGAGAGTTCATTTCTAGAAATGCAAACACAAAGTTTTCCCCAAGAATAGTTCTCATCACCTGAAGGATACTTTATCTTTTGAAAATAAAATGGAATATTTTCAAAGGACAATTTATTATTTCAAAAAAAATAAAAATAAGTAAATCATTTTGATCCACTTAGTTCAAATTCAGTACAAACACACTATAATTTTTTACTCAGCATGTTTTAAGAATAAATCTTAAGTTATTAGCACAAGTAAGAAATACAGTTGACCACTGAACAAATGTGTGGGTCCACTTATATGCAGATTTTGTTCAACCAAAGGCAGGTGTATTTGCAGGATGTGAAACCCACAAATATGGAGAACTGACTTTTTATATACCCAAGTTCCCCAGGGATGACTGGGGGACTTGAGTATGTGAGGATTTTGGTGTACTCAGAGGGTTCTGGATTCAATCCCTCATGTATACTGAGGGACAACTGTTAATCTGAATGCACAGACATACAATTACAGAAGATTCAAGATAATATAAATATATACATATTTGGAAATTCAAAGTAGGTTATTTTTATTTTTGATGTTAAGTTTTTAGATTTTGTTAATATTATTTAATAAATTATCCTTCCTAAATAGACTTTAGCTACTGATTTGTCAGAAATAACTTTTTATTAAAAATAATAAATTTGAAAATGTTTGAAAAGTGTTGGGGAAAATATTTATAATCCCAGCACTAAGACAAATCATTTTGATAACTATCTACTAGGCATCTCTTGAAATGCATACACAAAAAGAATTATATAGAAGTAGAATTATACTACATACATCCCATATCTGCTATTTAAACTTATTAATAATCCTCTTAATACTATGCCTTAAACATTTTCGCATGTCTAGAACTATGGGTCTACTTTGTCATTATAATAGTTACATTGCATTGCACTGTATGGATGTATTGGCATTTTAAGCATTCAATTGATGGAAATTTAAGTCATTTCCAATATTGTACTATAATAAGCAATGCTGCAATGAAAACGATTTTGGCACATCTTTCCAGATATGTCTATCTCTTTAGGATAAATTTCTGTAGTGAATTAATGGATCAAAGGAAATCCACATTTTAAAATTTAACGACATTTCCTTTCTGCTCTCCAGAACAGAAACAATTTTATACTCCTACCCATAGTACATGAGTGCCATTTCCTCTATTACTAGTGAGGTTGAACAACTCCTTCCATAAATTCACTGGTTATATGTATTCAGTCTTGTATCCATTCATGCCATTTCTTTTGTGGGATGTTTTGCATTTACTAATTAGTTTGGATAATTTTTTAAGGTTAATATTTTTATTTGTTATTGGAGATCTTTTTCTACTTTTCCTATTTTGCTTATTCTTTTATAGTTTGGGATTTGGAGTAATGGTGTAAGGCTTTTCATCCCTCATGATTATAAAAATATTCTACCATGTCTTGGCTCTGTCACCCAGACTGGAGTGCAGTGGCACAATCTCGGCTCACCGAAACCTCTGCCTCCCGGAGTCAAGCAATTCTTGTGCCTCAGCCTCCCGAGTAGCTGGGATTACAGGCATGTACCACCAAGCCCAGCTAATTTTTTTGTATTTTTAGTAGAGATGGGGTTTCGCCATGTTGGTCAGGCTGGTCTCGAACTCCTGACCTCAGGTGATCCGCCCGCCTCAGTCTCACAAAGTGCTGCAATTACAGATGTGAGCCACTTGCACCCGGCTCATCTAAAAGTTTTTGATGTTAGAAGTGAAGTCAAATATTAGCTTTATTTTTTTTCCCAAATGGGGAGCCAGTTCTCTTATTGAATAACCTCTCACCCCACTCAAAAGCCATTTTTACCATCCGCAAAGGGAAGCAGCATACCTGGACTCAACTAGATTTGTTCCACTAATCTAGTTATCATTGAGCTAATACGAGTCCACCTTAGTAACTCTAACTTGGGAAAAAATGTTCACATCTGCTGGGACTGGTTCCAGCTCATTTTCTTTTCTTAATTTTTCTGGCTTCCTTTTTCTCCCCCTCCCTCCCCCTCCCCCACCAAAAAAAACAAACACCTTTAGAAATATGTTGTCAAGTTTCTAAAAATTCCTATTATTTTGACATAAATAACTTTGAATTTCTAGCATATGAAGGGAGAATCTTTACATGAATCTGACCAAGAATCATTTCTTTGAGTAATCCTTTATGTCCTCCATGAGAGTTTTGTAGTTTTCTTTTTAAAGGTCCTGTGTGTTCTTGTAAATTTGGTAGCTTGTATTTTACTACTTAAAAATTGTTTTTTCTTAAAAATTTTTGTGGGCACATAGCAGATGTACGTATTTATGGGGTACATGAGATGTCTCGATACAGGCATGCAATGTGAAATAAGCACATCATGGAGAATGGGGTATCCATCCCCTCAAGCATTTATCCTTGAATTACAAACAATCCAATTACACACATAAGTTATTTCTCACCGCTTTTAAAATTAGTGGTAGTAGTGGCATTGCAATTGTGAAAGAGATCTTTTTTCATTATTTTATAATTTTCTAATATGAATCATTACTGATTCATATTAATTTCTATATATTATATAATTAACCAGTTTTCTTAACTCATCAATAGTTTTTCTGTTTGTTCTCCTGCATATTCTAGGTTTTGAATAACATAATTGTAAATAATGATCCTTCAGCATGCTCCCTTCCAAATCTATGTGAAATTTAAACATTTAAAAGATGTATCTTATTACCAGGTCTTCATTAATTTTACACAGACATAATTAATATTATCAGTGAATAAACTTAGCTCTTTGGTTTAGGCCAGGAATTTTCTTTAATTATTACTTCTTTCATTATTCTGTGAAAGTTAGGGGGCATGCCTATAATTTAAAGGTTGTTTTTGCTTTTTGTTTGTTCTATCATATTATTTTCTTCATCTTTTTCTCTATACTTTTGGAGAGTTATGAAATTTGTTCACGTGACCAAGTTTTCTGTAATGTCAGTCATGCTCATTTGCACCTCCTCTGGGGATTTGCATTTGGGATTCCTTTTTGCATATTTCAGGATGCTCTCTCTTCATTCCTCCTCTGTCTCAATTTACTCTTTTTTGGCTAATGAAAATAAAAGATTATTAATCATTTAAACACGTGTTTGTGCAAGACAGAGTGCTAAGTACTACACAACCATTATCTCATTTAATTCTTACAATTCTGAGCTCCCTAAGCTCCAAATAATTAATTTGCCTAGGATTCCATAGCTTGTCAATAACAGTGCTAGGCTTTAAATCCAGTTTCTTTGCCTTCAGAACCCATGCTCTTGACAACTATACCAGAGATGTACTTGTGGCCTTCCTCCCTGCCCATAAGAGAGGTCAGTTTCTTCCAGATCAATATCTGGAGTGAGATAGCCTCTTCAATATTTTGCGTCAATTCCAGTGCCTGCTGGACTAAGGTACGGGCATCTTCTGCTCCAATTTTTACATTATCTGGCTTTGCTAGAGTCAGACAAATGTTGTTTGCACAAGTCTTGTATTTCTCCAGCAATTCCACTCTCAATCCATTTGCAAGATTTTCTCTGTGGTGACATCTGAGGGTGCAAAGTTCCACTTCCTCCTTAATCTATAGCTGTACTGAAAACTGAAACCTGTAGTCTCTAAAATGCATGTGAAAGCAAGGAGCTGAAGGATACTGTGGGGTGGACCTAGACCTCAATTCTAGCTAGTTCAGATGATTTCTGGTTAAAAAAAAAAAAAAAGTGTGTGTGTGTGTGTGTGTGTGTGTGTGTGTGTGCGGCGGGGGACTTGGTTTTCCAGGCAGTGTACCTCCTGTGTCCCAAGTTAGAGGCAGTGATTGAGTTGTGGCTTTTTCCTGCCTACTCTGTAGATAATTTGGTTCAACGAATCAAATGATTGACACTTATGTTAGAAATTCCCAGTGGATTTTGTCACATGGTTTTCTCTTCACTGTCTTGTACTACTGGAGTTTTGTGGGTATTTTTACATGAAGTTGGGAATGAATAAATCAGGGACTGCGATCTGTAGTTATATTTAGCACATTTAATGAACATCCATATCACATAATTTTGGGATCAGTATTAGACTCACTTTTAACGACACACATGGAGTGTCTCCATGTATGACTTAGGGGTCGACATAGACCAAAGTGAACTTACGTTTCTTTCTATAACATTTCCTAGGCCTTGTCCTGGGATGTAGGAAGTTCCCACAGTATAAGCCCTATGGATTAGCAAAATTGTCATATGACAATTTTTAAATGACTTTTTAAAGCACTGTACTAAAAAAATGAAAGCATTAGAAATGATTGAGCATTGAGCTGAGGTGTTTTTCTGTTTGCGAGATACGGTCAAGGAGGCGCAAAGAGGTAGGTCAAAGTGACCTGACAGGTTTTGCTGTTCTTGGAAATCGTGCAGAAAAAGAAAGCTCTTTATACCACAAATTGGGGAAGCCCCTTGGCACACATACAATTTCTTGTCTCAACAGGCGAGTTACGGACATTAAAAAAATGCTAGTTTTTTTTTTCCCCCTTTCAGAAGCATCCTATTTTTTACCTCTATGGTTAAAGCTACTATGGATGGAGACAGCTAACAAATGCATCAAATGTA
This sequence comes from Homo sapiens, assembly GCF_000001405.40. NCBI lineage: Eukaryota > Metazoa > Chordata > Mammalia > Primates > Hominidae > Homo > Homo sapiens. The sequence goes on from NC_000001.11 coordinate 74,703,797, forward strand.
TGAAATGTGTGACTGCAAATCCCAAGCTACACTAAGTGCCCTTCCTCTGTGTCTGTCACCCTTGTGATGGTTAGTTTTGTGTCAACATAGTCAACATGTGCCACTTACATGTTTATACAAAATTATCAGTTGACTTTAAGGAGATGTCCCTCAATAATGCAGGTGGGCCTCATCCAATCAGTTGAAAGCCTTAAGAACAAAAACTAAGGTTTCACAGAGAAAGAATTCTGCAAGACTGCAACAATAGAAACTAGTTGTATTTCTAGCCTGCTGGCCTGCCCTACAGATTTTAACTTGCCAGTCCCCATAATTGCATGAGCAAATTCTTTCAAATGCATCTCTTAATATATTTTATTGCTTGTTTGTCTGGAGAACCCTGTATGACACTCCCTTATATTCTAAAATGTTTTACTTGGGTCTCATCCTTACTCAACTGTAAGCTCAAGGATATGCACTCTGTCTTATATATCTCTGTATTTTCAAAATCCAACAGGGTGCTTTCTCAGACTCTAGGTACTCAATAAATACTTGTTGAACTAATGGATGCACAGAATAATCTGTTAGAGAAGCCAGAGGTACAGTGAGCAAGGAAAGCCAGAGGCCTGGAAAGTTAAATTTATGGTTTTATATCGACAGCCCACAAAAAAGTCAGCTGAATTTGAATCTCCTAGTCATGTGACCTTTGGTATGTTGATTCACCTTTTTGGGCTCAGGGTGCTGACCAATTTGGTCTCTAATACATTACATGACTAGGTCACACAAGTCAAAGCAACCAGGAACAGAAATCCAAAAGACTGAGTTAAACAATGTTTGTTTATTATACAGGTTATTCTCTACTTTTCATCAAGAATGGGCACTGAAGACTATGTAGTAGCCCTAAGGCCACAGGCACCAACCAAGTAGTGAATGCAGTTGGCTGAAAGTTGGGACAAGACTAAAACCACAGAGATTTATGCAGAGAACATACCCAGTGCTACATCATAAATATGGTAGTTAATGCACACAGTTTGGCTAGTTTTGGCTTCAAAATTAATTAAACTGTATCAATGTATTTTGAAGTGTTAAGTCATCTGTATGCTTTAGCTCCTTCTATAGATGAGGCAAATATACAAACAGATTAAACTGACTTTTACAGAATAATTATTCTTTTACCTTGTTTACATGGAAAGGAATCCTCCATTTTAGGATGCACATAAAATGCCAGCCTATGTTGATGACATTGCCTTAACACTTTTTTTTTAAGTAATTTTACAGGGTAGTTAACCTGTAAAAGAAACAGTGGATAAACTTGAAAATGCTAATAGCAAAAAACACTTCAGCCATGGCACATACAACCAGAAGCCAATGATATCCTTCAACTATAGAAATTAGCGGTGTTTTCTGTTTATTCCTGAAGCAGGATTCCATATTCAAGCCAGAAATTGTCATTCAACAGAAAAAATCAGGTCAAAACAATCAATCACATAATGTAGCAAGACAAAAGTATGTGCTTATGTGAAGAAAAACAAAAACAACAAATAACCGAACTTTTATTTTCTTGAATATAATATTGATGGCAAGATTGCTAAGAGGTCATCCCTGTATTTAGTTTAGATAAAGGCTTCCAGCATAGAACACTGTTAAGAAGTAACTGTCAGGAGCTATGCAGAAGTGATGAGAGGCAAATAATATAAAAACTAGAAAAGCAGGTTTTAATTTTCTATAGACTTTATTACACATTATTATGTTACGAGACAAATGCAGATAATTCTTAATTTATCAAATTTGTGAGCTTAATTAACAAAAATATTTGACCCTCACCAGAAAAACAGATAACTCTAAATCTACTCTGAAAATCTAATCAATTGCGAAGTATTACCTATTTGGAGACTATGTATTATATCAAAGATAAAGCTACTATTCTCACAGAACATATGGGGTCATTGGCAGCCAACCAATAATGAAGTAAATATTCTAATATTTGGGAAAATACTGAGAAAACTAATAAATTGTCCTGGATATTATTTATTCTTGCCTTTACAAAAGACTTACACATCCAAATGAGATTAGTTTAGAATAGAGGTTTTTAGTTCAGAAAATGTTCAAAGTCCAATACAGTCATGGCTAATCAGAGACTAGAGAACCTTTATAAAGGTAAGTAGGCTTGAAAACCCTTGGAAACTGAGCAGTCTTATTTTGAACTAGCATGTTTTAATCAAAGGTATGGAATTAATCAAATATCAATTAAGAATTACTGGAATGCACACTCATGCCAAATGACAACTAACATGTTATTTCCTACTATGATGACTCTTTGATTTGAGACAGATGGCATAAAAAAATATTGCTAGCTATACAATAAATTTTACTCTTCTGCTTCTGCTCTCTAAAGAAAAATCTTATTTTTTCACATAAGAAGCTCATGGAATCGAATGTTAATTAAAGAAAAGATAGGGTAAGTACAACTGGGGGAAAGACAGTACCTCTAATTACATAGGAAATCCATGAAAGAATTAATCATCATAAGAGAAGAATCATTTTTCCAGTAGCCCCACTACCATGAATGATATTTTCATGAGCCTCGGCCACCTTCTCCAATGGATATTGAGAACCTATCACAGGTTTCAACCAGCCAATTTCCATTCCAGCTTGAAGGGCTGCTGCATATTGCTGAAATTCCTCCTAAGAAAAGGAAAAACAAATTTCTTTTTGTAGTGAACCGTATGATTTAATTTTCAGAAGCATTAAAAACACTTCAGAATCTAAGTGTTATACCATGAAGAGTCTCTTACAAATGTGTGACTTTTGTCAACTTGTCCAGAACTATAGAAAAAGTAGTTATCTACAGGGTAACCATAAATCCCATCTGCCTGAGACAGTGTTAGTGTACAAAATACCTGTTGTCCTGAAATTATTACTAGTATCACATTTCTATCTCAAAAGGTATGCTTACCTGGATATAAATTATACTGTCACCCTAGTTGTCCTTCTGGTGACTAATCCTTACCAACTCCCACTAGTCATATAACTAAGTTTAACATCTATTCAAACTTTCAGCTTGCCTGAGTAGGCAAACTGTACCAATGTTTAAGTTACCAAAATCAGAAGTACTTCTTTTCCTACCTTGGTTGAGGAAAAGAGAGTAACTCCAATTATACTCGACTCCTTTGCCATGGTGTCTCGTGGGTTTATTTCAATAGTACCTCTGCTGCCAACAACCTAACATGAAAAACAGCAATTCTACAGTTAAAGATTACTGTAAAATAGTGTTAAATTGTGGTAAAACATTAAAGTGGTAAAAAAAAAAAAAAGAAAAGGAATACTTACTATCACTCGTCCTCCATGTGACAGAAGACTCAAGTCTTTACTAAGATTTACATTAGCTAACATTTCAATAATTATATCAATTCCTTTCTCACCAACATACTTCTATATAATAAAAGAGAAATGTAGAGTAAGATAGCAAGTGAAAAACTGTAAAATAGCTACTATCTGTACAAGATATTATAGAAATATGTTTCAAATGATATATAAATGCTACATCTTTGAGACTAATAATGCAAAATTTTAAATAATCTAATTATATAATCACGATGTAATTCCAAGGTACCAGCCAGAACATCTAAACTGATAAAAATTTGTACTAAATACATTGCTGTAGTGAAATAAAGTTTGTCTGGAATTTTCAGGTGCTAGACTCAACTTGAGTATAAAATACTTAGCTGAAAATTTTCTATCTGTAAAATAAACTTTCATAAAGAAACAATAAATCAAAAGCCCCAAACCCCCAGGGGGCTCCCATTTTTATTAATAAACAAAAAGCAAAAGAAGATATCATTAGCTGTTCGGTTTTGCATGATTTTTGTTGTTTTAGTGCATTTGGTTTTGTTCTAAATGGTTTATCATCTGTTTGATGCACTAACTCTTTTGGGCTCTTGGATGTTGGACGCTGGCTCTTACAAAAAGCTACACACATCTACATTATATTCATTTTATTTTAACACACACACACAAATGAATCCCTGTGCCCGGGATTGCACTAGGTACCAGGAATACAAATACAAACATAGGGAGCTCAAAACAAAACTAGTGAGAAAGATGGGAAATACTACAGTCATAGCTATAAAGTAATGGGCTAAGTAACACATTAGCAGAAATAAATCATAGAATACAGAGAAAAAAGGTTAAGGTTTGATTGCCTGCCATGGTCAGATAAAGTTCCACAGAGACGATGAACTGGGCCCTCAGGGATGAATAGGAGTTTCCCAAGCCAAAAGAAAGGAAAATGAGTAAGGGGAAGCTAGACCTGAGGCTGAGTCAGTCTGGACCAAAGAAACAGAAAAGCAAAGATGGAGGGGACTGAGAACACAAGGATTGAAATACAAGAGGAACTGAAGTACATAATCAGGTAAGGGGGAGTGGCAAGGAGAGGAAGAGGTAGGAGAGAGGAGACTGTAAGTTGGGACAGATAGTGAAAACACAGTGAATGCCATATTAAAGGATTTGGATTGTGTGGGGTTTTTTTTGTAGTTGTTTTGTTTTGTTTTTTTATTACAGGGGTTTATTACTGCATGTGCAAGTGCAGTAGGGAACAGAGAGACAAAACTCCTCTCCTCATAAAGCTTCCATTTTATTTATTTCTGGAGATCTTTTTTAAGAGGGAGATGACAGCATAGATAAAAGGGTGTATTAGCTCAGTTATGAATAACAGTCAAGGCTGGAGAAACTGAGGCCTAAACTAAGTTATGGTGGTCAGTGGAATAGAGATAAGGAAATACATTTGAAAGGCATGTCAGAGATGAAACTGATAAAATGAGGTAACCAACTTGCTGGGTGGGAGGGAGAATGATAATTAAAAGACAGGAAAAACAAACAAAATGAGGGTTTCTGTCTTGGGCGACCAGATGAGTAGCAATGTCTAGCGGGTTGATGGCATGAAGGAAGTGAACTCAGGCCAAAGACAGTTTTGGAAATCAACAGTATATGGGTAGTAAGGGAGCCACAAGAGTATATGAGACTGATCAGGATGAAAGTCTAGCACCAGGGAAGATGAGAGACCAAGCAAAAACAACCTAAGGAATATTAATATTAAATAATATGAAGAGGGCGGAGATTGAAAGTGAAAAGTCAGGAAAGTAAGAAGAGAACCTGTTTCAAAGAAATGTGGTCAGGGTCATATGCTCCTGAAAAATCAAACAAGATGAAGACTGAAAGAAGACCAGCAGACTGTTAATTAGGAGCTTCTCAGTGACCTCTGGGAAGCAGTATAAATACTTGGGCTATAAGCAAAACTGCAGTGAGAAGTGGTGGAAGGTAAGGAAGTAAAAGCAATAAATACTACTTTTTCAAGAAGTTTTGTGGGAAAGAGGAGAAGAGAAAGGGGAGTAAGATAAAGGTTAAGAGAATGTTTTTGAGAATGGGAGAGACTTAAGCAGAAGGAGTCAGTGGAAGCTCCCAAGACCTCATGGTCTTAAAATTAGATTATTGCTGAACAAAAACCATACTCTTAAAATAACGGGCCATTTTTCATCTTTGTGAATATTCTTGGATAATGGTATCAGCAGTGCTAGATCTTAGGTTCCCCAGACGTATAACAAAGGAGTGCTTTTGTTCGGCTTTTTGGCAAGATGATTGCAAAAAAGGTAATAAACTCTCACTCTTATTTTTTCCTTCATTTGTAATGATCTAATTTACACAGTACTCAATATTTGGGAAATTCTAATCTCCCTAACGTGAGGAAGTGGTTGAGGATTAGCAAAGCAATAAGTGTTTAGCAAATTGCTAATATAGTACAAGTGAAGAACTTCAGAATCTGCTTGAATTCTGTTAAATGCAGCAACTAAATAAATGCCACCTCACCATTTTGGATGCAGTAGTGATTATTCCTCCAAAGCATCCAGCTAACAAATGAACTTTATTCCCTGGGCCACACAGATCCAGTTTGTAATTTACAGATATCTCACCTTCCATGGAGAATTCACATCAGTAGAAATTATATTAAGAATACCTCACAGCTGCAAATACAAAGCTGCAGCTTTACTTAGAATGTTATTTGCATTAAAAAATCAATTTTTATAGCTATAAGATTCTAGAGAAGCTATATTCTATTTAATACACATAAACAATACAAAAATGATAGTAAAAGTTTAAAACTTAGACATCTGTTTTTTAAATAAAGTTTTAAAACACGCATAAAAATTCATCGCACTGAAAAAAGGAAGCAAACAGCTTTAAAGGAGTAGTTGGTTAAAAACATATTAAAAAACCACGCAAGTCTCCAAGGAACAAAGTTTGACTTTTGTAAAACAGTGGAAAATTTTACCTTAATTTTATCAATGTAATTCACTTCTCTGTGATTGAACACTTCATGGGCTCCATTTTGCAAAACAATCTTTTGTCCTTCCTCAGTACCAGCAGTGCCCAAAATCTTTAAGCCATAAGCTCTAGCAATTTGGCATGCTGCTAATCCAACCTGAAAAACAAATATAACCCAAGAGTTATATATTCTCTACACTCCTGTAAACACTTAAATACATACAATGAACTTAAGATTCCTATAGGACCCACCCTAACTTTAAGGAACTTAAGAGTGTAAATGAAGAAATAAGAAAAACAGCTAACTTTAATTGAGCATTTAAAATATTCCAGGAACCATACTAAATAATTTCTACATATTGTTTTATTCTATCCTCACAATGACCCTATAAAGTAGATACTATTATTGTCCCTATTGTACAGATAAGAAAGTTGAAGCTTCAAATTATAAGTAATTTGGCCAAGTCATATGCGGAGATGGAAACAGGAGTTAGACCAGTCTGACTGCAGAACTTGAGTTTTTAACCACTGCATCAAGATGTTTGCAGGGTTTAAAGATGATCAGAACATGCTCTCTGACTTCTTTGTGCATATGAAATTCTAAATAACAAATGTAAGGCCTCCACCATTTAAGTAGAAGAGATAGGTATATGGGCAAATTAACTAATTCATCCATATGGTGAATGTTTATAGAGTGTTTACGATGTGCTAGACATGGTACTTAATGTAAGAAATAAACTTATATTCTAAGGGTGGAGGAAGATAATAGTCATATGAATGAATAAAATAAATTCAGGAAATAAAAGTGCTAAGAAAAAATAAGACTGGCTGTTGGGTTAAAGAGACAGGAATAGGGGCTATTTAGGTCATCAGGAAGAGCCACTCTGAAAAAATGAGACCTGAAAAAAGTGAGGAACAAGCCACGAGAACATCCGGTCAGCCACGTGGAGGATGCTGTGGGCATAGTGAATGGCCATGGCTAACCTGGCGAGGTGGGAATGCAGTTGGGGTCAAAGAACAGAAAGAGGGGCAGTGTGTCTCAGGGAGGGGCGTGTACGAAAGGGTCGAAGATGAGGCCAGAAAGGCCAAGTCACACAGAATCTGAGGGGTGAGGGTAGAGGCTTCCGAGTATATTAAAACCTGTGCAGAACCACGGGAGAGCTTAAGCCAGGAAATGATCTGGTTGACTCAGGCTTTAAAAAGGTTGCTCCAATTACATGTGAGGCACAAAGAAAGCGGTGAGGAAAATGGGAGGAGGAAGATCAGTTTGTAGCTGTTAGAACAGTCTAGATAAGAGATGAAGCTGGCTTGAACAAAGGTGGTGGCACTGGAAAAAATAAACAAATTCAGATATAGTTTAGAGGTAAGCTAATGGGACTTCCTCACAGATTGAATGCGGGAGATGAGGAAAAGAGAAAAATACAGGCTGTCTCCTATGTCTTTGGCCAGATTAACTGGGTAGAGTGAGAAGACTGGAGAACACTAAGTTTGTGAAAATCTCCAGATTTCACTTTGCCAAGTGTGGTGGCGCATGCCTGTAATCCCAGCTATGTGGGAGGCTGAGGCAGGAGGATCGCTTGGGCCCAGGAATTTGAGGAGTTTGGGATTGCAGTGATCATGCCACTGCACTCCAGTCTGGGCAACGGAGCAAGACCCTGTCTCTAAAAAATAAAAATAAAAGAATCACTTGTAACATGCTGAGCTGCACAGTGCTCATCTACTTACGGGCGAAGATGTTCAGCAATCAGTTGAATATGAGTATGGACTCAAAAGGGTTCAACTGGAGATATATATTAGAGATTCATTATCTTACGGATGGTATTTAAAGCCAAAGGATTAGGTGGAACATGGTGGCTCATGCCTGTAATCCCAGCACTTTGGGAGGCTGAGGTGAGTGGATCACCTGGGGTCAGGAATTCGATACCAGCCTGGGCAACCTGGCAAAATCCCAGCCTCCCAAAATGCTGGGATTGTAAGAAATCACTAGAATACCAGATAAATGTGCTTAGTATAAAAGAGAAATCAAAGTAATTTAAGAATATAGACAAAAGAGCAATTACTTAAATAACAATACTAGGAAATATATCTGATTAGATGACAAATGATGGTACAAATAAGTGTCACATACATTTAGAGCAGAGTTTCCCAAACTTGGCACTATCAACATTTTGGGCCAGATAATTATTTGCTGTGGGAGACTATCCCATGTATTGAAGGATATCTACTCTCTAGATGCCAGAACCCCTTCCCCAAGTTGTGACAACCAAATATGTCTTCAGACATTGCCAAATGTCCCAGAGCGGAAGGAGAAATGATGCAAAATCACCCGCTACTCATAACCAGTGATTTACAGGGAGGACCGGGTTCGGCAAGAAAAGAATTAAGATGAAAAATAATGATAGAAACAGATTAAAGCTGTAACAGACTTCCAGGCCTGAAGTGGACCTTAAAGATTGTATGGCACATGGGAATAACGAGGCTGGACTCAGCCAGGTTATGGCAGGAATTTGTTTAACTGAAACAAACAAATACATGAAACTCACTGTCTGATGGAGGAGAGAGACATCCAATTAGATAAAACACAACCCACTATGGGGTGGGCACAATTAATTTTCTATTTTAATTTTCAAATTTAAATAAAAGACCTCTAATAAAACCACACTTTAAAAAGCTAACGTAACTACATCTCCTTGTGTTCTAACTGCTTTAAAAGGGCACTCAATAGCTCTTTTAAAAAGGCACTGTTTATTCTATTCTTGTCAACAATTATACCAGCAATGATCCTTCAACAGATTATGCACCATTATGTGTCAACTATTTTTCTTCTACTTATTTTGCTAACACTAAAATAGGGCACTCCTCACCAACATATCTGGATAATAGCTGTGTTCATAAATTCCACACCATTTTAAACACACAACATAATCCCAAAGGAATTCGAATTAAATGAGGACAGAAAGTACAAACAGAAGCAAGGCAAAACCCAGTACTGTTTCCCTCTGATAGGACAGGGAGGATCAGAAGCACTTCACACACCAGGTCACCAGCCTATCCCTGCCAGCTGAGGATTTAACAAACTCAGCCAGCTCAGAGAACAGTGTGGATTTTACCTTAAAAAAAAATCATGGTGAAGCAACTGGGCTTTTTACAAGAGGGTAAAGGGAATATAAAGAGATTTTCTTTAAACTCTTCTCTCCCCTTCCTACTGAAATCTTTCCCTTCTGCACAGAGCACTAAGTTAGCTCTCTGAAAGCCAGGGTAATTTAAATAAATGTATGTGTTTGACAGACCCTTTAGTTACTTAGGGTTAAATTTAATTTAACCCAAAAATAGCCTCTTCAGTGAAGTTAAACAGTGGGAGTTTTGGACAAGGTATATCTGTCATATTGTCTCAAGCCCCATAAAGACAATCCTAGTGTTTTTTCATAAATTGTTTGATCTGTGAAATCCTTTAGAATTGATCTATTTGAAGTGTAGGAAGCTAGGTGTGAAACCTCGTGATTCATCTACCTAAAGAAACAGAGAGACAAAAAGGACTGAAATTACCTGGGCACTTTTAAAGGTAAATTCACATTTTCAGGATACCACTCATTATTCAGGGGACTATGTGCCATTTAATAGGTTACTTCTTTCAATCCACTCTCCAGAATACACAGTGCTCTGAAATGGTTAACAGCCTCCTCAAAGTAAGCATCTAGCCCCAGGCCTTTTATTTTTAAAATGCAAAATCTTATCTCCAAAATTTCCAAAGCATCCAGTGACAGAGTTCATGTGGATTTCTTGTTAAATTCTAACTGCAGAGCTCTAACTTTTCCCTCTAAGCTCCTGAGAGGCAGATTGGCAGCTAGTTTCTCGAAGAGGTTTCTGACAGCCCTGCATTGGGTGATTTCATTGAAGGGCTTATTTTAAGTTCTGAGTCCTCCTCCCCCATTCCCCCACATTAGCATTTTCAGCCATGGGTTGTGGTGTTAAGGACAGGGCTGTATACGTGCACTCCATGGATGTCATCAAAGTGCAGCAGGCAAGCAGCAGAAGGGAGATAGAAGGACTAAGAATTCACAGTGTGGCTTTACCGTGCTGTCTGGGGCAACATAGGTAAGCTTTAATGAGCCTTAGTTTCCTTATCTAAGGGAATATGGAATTAATATCAACCTTAAAGAACTGTTTAAAATTCTAAATAAATATTTTTATAACATATGCTACTTGAAGGCAAAAACAAGGCCAGTTTATCTTAGTCTACACCCAATACAGGTGGAAAATCTAACATATTTTTGAAGGGGTGCTCTGTTGAGTTTATTAACCAAGAAATGCTAAACTAATGACAAAACATCACCTTCAGAAGACCAAAATCAAAAGTTTTACTACATAAAGAAAAAAAGCACCTTTGACTCTATTTATAAATCTGACTTTTAAAAATGACCAAAGGAACTATAATGTGAAACCCATAAACCCAAGCTTGTTTCAAAATACATTAAAAAAAATACTTACTCCTCCACTTGCCCCATGAACCAGAACACTCTCTCCAGCTTTCACACAGGCACTGCAAAGGAAAGCATAAGTTACATCACCTTATTTTTTGAAGCTAATTAATCTCGGGTGTTTTCATCATCTTAAGGAATTTCTACCCCTAGTCTGGCTAACACTTACACAAACAGCAAATGCAACCTGACATACAGCCCCAAATATTCCCTAAGCTCCACAGAATAAACAAAGCCTTCAATTCATTTATTCCTTGAACAAATATTTATTGGGAGTCTTTATGTTCCAGGCACTATGCTGCTGGACACTGGGATGACTATGTGGTGCTACTTCTGAGTGGCTACAGTCCTTGTGGGTTGTGAAGTAAAATTGCTGAGCCTGGAGGATCTGGAATCTCTCATTCCCATATATCCCCCACAGAAAGGGCCTCAAAGCAGGTTTATTATATAGCTCAGTCTTTATTCTGTGGTCTAGAGTAATGTCCAAGTAAACACAGTAGCTATTTTTTTTGCCCAAGGAAAGAAAGAAATTTTTCTTCTCCATGTCTCTGAACATCAGGTTGCACCAGCCTTGTACTCTTTCAGGGAGGAATGCTGAGTTAGCAAAGGTCAGAGAGTAGGAAATGCAATAAATTCTATCACAAAGATTCCCATGTCATCCCCCTGAAATGTCCAGATTCTCTGGTGAAATGGCATTTTCTTTTTACTTCCAGTTCACATGACTACTTTTCTAGTATGTACTGAAAAGAAGGGACATGCAGCAAGGCATGAGGGGATGCCTCACTATTCCAGATGGACGGTGCCAATGTCAAAAGCCAGCAGATGCTGTGAGATCCAGATCTGACTCTCAGGAAGGCTCTCTTACTTCCTCAAACAATGTGGGGTGGCCACACTGCAGAGACATTATAGAACATTATGCTCCACCTGGGAAAGAGAACAGTAACCAGAGTCCTGCTCCCAGCTATGCACCAACAGCTGAGAAGTGGCAACAATGAGCAATAAGTGAAGCTTTCTCCCACACTCTTGCTTAGAGCTGAAGGGACTGAGGACAATATGTTAAAGTAAAACATAAACATAAGGGGATAGGATGACTAGTGTTAAACTATGGGATATGAAATACCTCCCAAAGAAATTTTTCAAAAATTCTTATAAGATGCCCCTCAAACACTAAAGACACATTCTCATAAATCCCTGGGGCCTGGGGTGAGGGGAGAAAAAGCAGGCAAATCCCCTCCTGAATCCTTGCACAGAGTCGCTGTGACAGTTAATTTTATGTGTCAACTTGACTGGGCCAAGGAACCCAATATTTGTTCCAACATTACTCTGTTACAGAAACAGTGTTTTTTTTTTTTTTTCGAATGAGATTAACAATGGAATAGCTGGATTTTGAGTAAAGCAGATGACCCTCTAGAATGTGGGTGGGCCTCATCCAATCAGTTGAAGGCTTTTGTTTTCAAAGACTGACCTCCGATGAGCAAGAGTAAATTCAGCCAGCAAACTTTCTATGGACTTAAACTGCACCTCTTCCTTGTGTCTCCCATCTGCTGGCCCACCGCAACAGATTTTAGACTCACCAGTCCTCCACAATTTCATGGGTCAACTCTTTAAAATCAATCAATCTGTGTGCGCGTGTGTGTGTGTGTGTGTGTATGTGTACAGAGTGACTGATTCTTAAGGAATTTATATAGAGATAAATGATAGATCAGATCAAATAGAAGATCAAATAGATAGATGATTGACTGATAGATAGACAGACAGACACACATCCCGTTGTTTGTTTCTCTGGAGAACCCTGACTAATACAGTCATCTTCCCTGGTGCTCATAACACTCAGCCTGGCCTTCCATGCTGCTGTCCTTTACCATCTTCTAGTCACTGAAGACTAAGACCTGGCACATAGGCTTTCTCTCCCACCCCAAATCCAGCTCCAATCAAGGAGACACTGCATTCCCCAGAAAGAAAATCAAGCATCACAGTTCCTGAATTTTCCTCCACTTATAGCCACTCTCTCCCAGGGCTTAACTACCAGCAACCATTCTCCCTGAGAAATATCAGATGCCAATAACCAATATTATGACAGTAATTTATCCTAATTCTGAAAACCCATATTCTCTCAAAATCTTTCTTCAACTATGCAGAGATTACTGACTCTCAATAGCTCCATTTCTGCCCACTTGCTGCTCCAGGCCTTCCTTCCGTCCCTACTCAGCCTGGACTCCATAGATTGCCCAGCCTCCTCTCCCCGCAGCCCCTGTGCTCTCATTTCTTTTGCACCATTCAATTTTGCCACCAGCATTCTAGCCCTGGATTAATGTTCAAATCTAGCTTCCTTGATACTCCATCCAAATGGCTAAGTATTACAGAAAAAAATCACATGACCATGCATTTTGGTGCCACTTCAGCTCTGATTCTTAAAATATCACTTTTTGCCTCCTACTTAATTGTGAAAAGTGACGCAATCACACACAAGTACCTTCAACACTCCATCTCCCTATCCATAAATGTTTCCATAATTATATCATCTTTACCCTTTCTAGGTTTTACAGATGAGCTGTGCTTTCCATACTGGAAGCCAATCTCTCTACCTATGTCCTAAGTCCTTTCCATCTTGCCTTATGCAGATCTTATTCCATCTGTAAATATGTTCAAGTCTTGTCTATCCTTAAAAAAAAAAATCCCTTTTTTCCACATACTCTCCTCAAGTAACCTTCTACTCTCTCTTCCTTGTCTCCCCCATTTTTAAAAGAATAGTTTCCATTCAAGGAATTGATTTCCTCTTCCTTCCTCAATCCACTCAGTCAAGCTCTTCCCACCATTCTATTGAAAAGGAACTGACTAATGTCACCAATGACCTCTTAATTGCTGGGCCCAACTGTCATTTTTTTCTGAACAGACCTCTGTTGCATTTGACAGCTGGCCTCCCTCCTTAGTATCAATATCAATTGCCACTCCTAAGGCTGCCAGCAGTGATTGCGCACTTACCCTGTGCCAGCCCCGTACTAAGAACTTTATACACATTACCTCCAAGTAATTCTTACCACACCCTAGCAGGTAGGTGCTGTCATTATCTATGTTTCTCAAATCAGTAAACTGCCCTTGAGATGTTTAAGTAACTTAACCAAGGTCACACAACTAGTACTATGTGAAGACATTGACCCAGGCTGTTCTGTCTTCAAAGTCCATGCATTCACTGGATGCTTAAGGAATACCATGACCTCTAGATTCTGCCGGTCATGGAATCCTTTCGGTCTCTTACAACTCTATCCTTTTTCTCTGACTACATTCTTAAATGGTGATGTTCACAAGGGCTCTATTCTCACTCCAGTGTTCTCACTCTCTGAGGAATTTCAACCACTTTTCACCTTGTCAATTCTTACCTACATGCTGCTATCCCCAAATTTGTATCTCCAGTCTTCAAGCTTCCCACTTTTTTATCCAATAGGCTACTGAACTTCTCCATTAGGATGTGTCTCTCACAACTTCAAATCCAAAACTGAATACAGCTTCCCTTTGAAACTTTTTCCCTCTTTTCTTTGTCACAGTTAAACATGACCCAAGCTAGAAAGCTGGACTACTCTTAAGTTCTTCCTCATTCTCTACCTGAAAATAATCACCAAATACCCCTGATTTTACCCCCACTAAATAGTTATTCTTTCCTCTCTACTTACTTCTTCTACCAGAACCCTTGCTCTGGCCCATAAGGATTTTGTCTAGTGGAGACTCCTATAAGACGCTCTTATCTCTTCATTCCTATCCTCAAATCCATCCTACACACAGCAGATAAGTCATCTCAATAAAACATAAATATGACAATAGCAGTCTCCTGAATAAAGCATTTCATTACTTCCAGTCCTTTACAGAGCAATGGATAAGCTCTATAATCTGTCTTTTACAACCTGAATTCTATATATTTGATGACAGCTAACATTTATTGAGAGATTACTCTGTTCCAACTTTATTCTTCGCTACTCTTTCTCTTGAAATCTCTTCTCTAACAAAATCAAGTTTCTATAGCTGTTCCCACACACCATACTGTTTTTCCCCATACTATTCCCATTGTCCAGAATGTCCTCTCTCCTTCTAGTTACCCTTCCTGAGGTGAATTCCCTCTGATGCTTTTCAAATACTTAGTAGATGGGATTAAACTATAGACTCTCAGGCACCAGCTATGGAAACTGACCAGAGGGTCTGGGGTAGGGCCCAATAGTGTACTATTAAATTGCTGCCTAGATGATTCTAATGGATAACAAGATTTTTGAACCATGGCTTTAAAATAATCTAAGTCTTACACCTTGCCAGGAAGCCCTACCTCATCACCACAGGCACATGCCTTCTGAGTCTATATATCCCTATGCACATCTCTACCACTGTACTTTCCACATTATATATAAATATGATCACTCTTATGTCATTTCCCTTACTAGACTGTGAGCATCTTGAAGACAGTGTTTGCTCTTCTTTGTATCCCTAGTGATTAGCACAATTCCCCAAATTCACAGTTTCCATTATATAAATGTTTAATGGTAAGTAACTGGTAACCAAATATGATGAACAGATGGATGGACAGACAGCTAGAAGGCAGGCAGTTAACACTACCCTCTTTTGGCATTGGCCATAAAATTGACAGAATGTGTTATTACCTGTGGATCAGAGCTCGATAAGCAGTAAAATATGGAATGCCGATGGCAGCTCCTTGTTTAAAGTCCAGTTTTTCAGGTAGTTTGTAAACAGTGTGGTCTGCTGCAAGAGCATACTCTGCATAACCCCCAGAGATCGTGCTGCTAGTGAAAACTCTGTCACCTTTCTAGGGGAAGAGATAAATGAATAAATGCAGGAAGACTAAACATATTATGTCAAAATAGGTATAATCCTTTATAACAAGAAATAAGTGAGTACTCATATATTGTCCTCTATAGGGTCTCATATAAATAATTTTTTTTTTTTTGAGACAGAGTCTTGCACTGTCACCCAGGCTGGAGTGCAATGGCATGATCTCAGCTCATTGCAACCTCCGCCTCCTGGGTTCAAGCAATTCTCCTGCCTCAGCCTCCTGAGTAGCTAGGATTACAGGCGCGCACCACCACACCCGGCTGATTTTTGTATTTTTAGTAGAGACGGGGTTTCACCATGTTGGTCAGGCTGGTCTTGAACTCCTGACCTCATAATGTGCCCACCTCGGCCTCCCAAAGTGCTGGGATTACAGGTGTGAGCCACCATGCCCAGCCATAAATCATTTTAAAATACTTCACATTTAAAAATATTTATTAATGGGAACCAATGGGAAGAAAATCTAAGGAAAACAGAAAACATATAAGAAAAAGAAGGATAAACTTCCTTGAATGGCATCATAATGATGTTGATGGCTCAGTCCATGAAGAGCTTGCTATACCAGGCACTGCATTAAGTGTCTCTGGAGTGTTATCTAATTTCATCTTCACAACAGCTAGTGAGGTGGGCATGTATTATCTCTACTTTAGAGCAATCCCCACTACACAGATGAGTAAACTGAGGAACAAAGAAGTTCAATAATTTCCTCAGATCAAGCAGCTAGTAAATAGCAGTCAATATAAACTGTTATTTTTGTCCAAAATGCTAGGGAGAAGAAACAAATAAGATATGAAGTTTCTTCCGCACACCAAACACCTACTCTAAATCCCATCCATGAGTTTCCTCACCCCTGCATTGCCGTTATTTCTCATGCAAACACCCAAAGGCAGAAAACCATACTAGGACCCTGACAGCAGGATGACCCAGGACAGCCTTCTTCTTGTCACGGCACCAGAAACACAGTAAAGCCTCAACAAATGTCTGCTGGACCTCACTATTAAAAAGTAGATGCAGGACTCAGGGTGAAACAATGCCCTAGGCCAGGCATTATTGGGCCAGTATGTAATTTGCACATTAGGGAAAATTAGACTGCCCACCGTAACCACCTACCTTAACTCCTCCTTTTTAGAAAAAAGTAGATATTCCTTAGAATAGGCAAATTATTAAGGTAATGATTGCTCAGTATACTTTAACTGAAATCTGAAAATGTAGAAATGTTATCTGATAGGATAAAGACAAAAAAGATTCAAAAGCCATCCAAGAGTCAAAGACAAGTATCACCGCTTAATATGGTTGCCCAGAAATGTCAAATATGATGAAGATTAATCCAGTTTTAACAGCTAAAAAACATGTTGAATTGATTTCAATATAATTCAAACATTTACTGCGAATATACTACATAGAAAGCATTATTTCAAGTTATGTGAGGCACATCAATACCACTGTCCCTAACCTCAAGCATCCTAGACTCTCGGAGGAGAGAAAAGCAAAGGATAGAAATAATTACAAAAAGCAAGGCAAACATGATGAGCCACTGAAGATAGGTACAAGAAAAAGAAAGAAATTACTTCTAAGTAGAGGAAATTAGGACTAGCTTTATCGAGAAGCTAACAATTGAGGTAAATCTTGAAGAACAGGACAAGATTTTGAAAACTAGAATGGGGAAGAGTCATTACGGGTGAAGGAAACAAAGTTGGCCAAACGATAGGGACAGGAATAAATGCCATGAAATTAGCAGCATTTATTACCAATGAGTAAGCAGACTAATGTGTGGTATGTAACTGTTTCAGGAGATAAAATGAAAAGAAATTGAAGCTAAAGTGTAAAATCCTTTGAATCCATGTTTGTAAGTTTCAATTTAATTCTGTCAATTAGAAGAACCAATATGAACAAAAACACAGAGATGAGAGAGCATGGGATGTGCAGGGAAGGACAAACACTTCATTACTGAAGAATAAACTACACTGTGAGGAGGAGTGGGAGTTAAGACTGGAAAGACAGATGGGAGAGAGCATGAAACAGTCTTATTTCATAGCAATAAGGAATTTTAAGAGTCTCCCTGAAGTCTACAAGACATGGATGCAAGAATGAAAACAGAGGTGTAAAACAATCAGAATTAAATTCTATAAAGTGATTCATTCTAGAGTAAGGATGAATTCCAGGGAAAAGAGAAAGTGTCTATTATAGAAATTCAGGTCAGGGGTATAGTTAAGTAGGTAAGATAGCCTGAACTAAACTACTGGCAGTGGAAATGGAAAGGAGAGAGAAAACAGTTCTAGTAAGGGAAAGCGAGGAGTAATCCTCAAATCCCAGAAGTCACCAAGACAGTCACACAAGAGAGGCGCTATCTGCAGTGAGAAAAGATAAGCTAGTTTTAGACATGTTTTGTAAGAGATTTCTGGAGGTTGATCATGTGAGTCTAGTGTCTCCAACAGAACTCTCTGTAATGATGGAAATGGTCACATCTGCACTGTCCAGCAGGATAGCCACTGGACACGGGAGGCTATTAAGCATTTGAAATGTTGCTAGAGTGACTCAGGAACTGAATTTTCAATATGAATTTAAGTTGAATTTTAAATTGCCACATGTAGCTAGTGGCTACTGTTTTGGATAGCACAGATCCAGAGCTTAGCAGAAAATTCTATGCTAAAGATGTAACATGTGATAATGGCAACAAAAAGAGTGTATGAGATTATGAAAAAGGTAAAGAATACAGAAAGCAGAGGTCTAAATAGAGACTGAGAGCCCCAGACAACACCAAGATTTAAGGAATATCCAGAGAAAAAGAGAGGCCTGAAAACGGAGGCCCAGAAAGGAGGGGGAGAGGAGAACAGAAGAAAATGATGTCACAGAAGCTGCAGAAAAAGTTTAAAGAAAAAGTTAAGTGGCTAAGAGTGTCAAATGTCACAGAGAAATCAAGAAAGATAATGACATAAAAGGGCCCATTAACTTCAGCAATACAGAGGCCATTAGTGACATTAGCAAGAATCCTTTCAGTGGAGCGATGGGGGCAGAAGCCAGGTTGCCACAAGCTGAGGGGTGGAAAGCTGTATGAATTTGCCAGTCTTCCTGTACAGGGGCACAGTAATCTTCTCTGTCTCAACCTAATTTTGGTAAGGTGCTGCCAAAGTTGAGCAGGTCAAGGAATTATGAGGAAAGATGCTAGGACATGAGCTTACTATGAATATGTCTTTGGGCATATATATATATATATGTGTGTGTGTGTATATATATATATCCTGAGCATAACATTTTCACTGAGTCAGGGCTCCAAAACTGTATAGTGACCTTGCATTTTTTCATGTTTTACTTATTTTTCAAAAGAATTAACTTTCTCTTTATATTATGAAGCAAAATTTATAAGAGAAATTAAAAATTATGTTAGCTTATGTATCATCAAGAGTTAGGAAATAGTCTAACTTCCTTGTGTGTTTTCTTTCCTTACATATTTCTATTAAATAAAAAAAATCACAGTTCATTCTGTGGGGACATGAAGATACAGAAATTACCCAGCACCTATTCACTACAATGTAGTAAACAAATAAGGCCTCTGGATAAAATCTAATTTCTTAATTCCTTTTTTGACTAGAGGAGTCCCCCGAGTGGCAGAAATTGTGTAATGGGGCCTTTTAAAACCTTAAATAAGATGCAGTTGAAAGCTATGTTCAAATATTTTTATGAAATAAATTCAGCCAAAATAGAAATAATTAAAAATGCAATACCTTGAAAGCAGATGCATTATCTCCAACAGCTTCTATCACCCCAGCCACATCTGAGCCAGGAGTATAGGGTAAGAGTGGTTTTCTACTATAAGTACCAGAGCGAATGTATGTCTCCACGGGGTTGACACCACATGCATGGACCTTGATTAGAACCTGCAATGACAATGTATTTTAGTTCACAGAAAGAATTTAGGCATTCATTTAACTTTATGCTAGGACTGTGCTGATTATGGGAGCTATCAAAATGGGAGACAAAAGCAAAACAAATAAGTGCTTGCCTTCAACAAGCTCACATTCCAAGTTTTACAAGCTAACATAAATAAGTATGACAGAATGGCTTATGTACTGCATTAAAAACATTTTGGGGAAAATAGTGAAAGAAATATCTAAGGGGATATGTGGCAGAGACCTCTGCGTGTTCATCAAACCCGTTTTCTCCTTTTCCTGGGTACACAGAAAGAGTGGTACTTCTTCGCCTCCCTCATGGTTATGAGTAGCCAAGTAACTGAGTTCTAGCCAATGGAATGTTAGCAAAAGTGACAGTAGACACTTGCAGACCTGACCCATTAAAACTTCCCAGCCAAGCCACATCGTGCTTTTCTTCTTCCATGGAGACCCTGAAGACGGGTTGGGTGGCAGAGCCACATGAAAGAAGAAGCTGAGTCCCTAAGTCACTGTTGGAGAACAGCTACCCACCCACATTTGAGAACTTTTAAATTTAGTGTATAAGAAATAATTGTCCATGGCTGGACTATTGCAATTTTTAGGTTACAGCAATTGTGGGAGCTAATTTTACCTTAATTAACACAGAATGATTACCTCTGGTATAAAAGTAAGGGAAGGCTTTATAAAGGAAGTGGTATTTAGTTAGGGTTTAAAAGATAAGTAGAAATTCTTTAGGAATGAGAGAAAGGATAGGTTGGGTAAAAAAAAATAGCATGTGCAAAGACAGAGAAATGAAAGGAAGTATTAAGGAAATTGGACAAAAGCTGATGTTGTTACAGCACTGTATCTCTACATGGAGAGGAAGTGATGAGAAATAAATTTGTAAAGATAGGTTATATCCAAACTGTAAAGACTCTCATAGGCTTGCTAAGAAAATTAGACTTGGGAGCCATGGAGGGTGCAGTAATAAAAATACATAATTTAAAATCAAAAGTGTATTGTTAAAGTCACTGGAGATGATTAAACTATATACTTAAATTCTCATGAATCACACATGAAAAAGCATGAATGCAAAAGAAAATTGTTTTCCCAGCATGCAAAAAATAAAAATCATGAATGTTTGTAATAGAATAACTTATTCAAAACTCCTTATGTGTCCATTCAGAAAAATCCAATTATTGCACTACATAGATCATTCCCTACATCAAAAATTTTCTTATAACCAGAGGTTATTCTTTTTCATACATCTACTTCACTAATTATCAGGTTTATGTTAACTTTATCAATGTCCATATGTATACATAGTGTAAACTGCATCCTAATTCAATGTTTTTAAAAATAATTGTGAGTCTGCTTCTTTTTAATACAATGTGCAAGAGACTCACACTCAGTATAATTATAGCCTCAATAAAGTAATTTTATTTCTACCTGATGGTCTTTTGGAATCGGTACTGCAATATCTGATCGCAATTTCAGGACTTCTGGCCCACCAAATTCAAAAACTCTAACAGCTCTCATCAACTTCTGTCCAGTCGCCATGGTGATCTAGATACTAAGGAAGAAAAAAAATTAATGTATTGTCACATTGTATCTAGGATATCACCATGTTTTTCCCCCCTGGAGGGAGCAGATCAAACAATTTTTTCAAATAACAATTTAAATCATGAGCTTACCACTGATCTCATTTCATGTTTAAGGACCTTTCATCTTACAAATCCCTCAGCTATAAAGCAGAATCCTTCATGCTACTTCCTGCAGGGATTCAGTGCCTTCAACAAAGGAATCAAACATGCAAACAAAAACATCTGGATAGACATAGCATGATACCATATTTAGGTTTTCTTGCTTGAGTTGCAATACCTTAGAAATTTTATGAGTTGAGTTTTATTAACATTAGGTAAACTGACCTCCTTTTGTTAGATTATGAAACATTCCAAACATTTACCTGACACCCAGTGTATTGGTTCATTTTCATACTGCTATGAAGAAATACTGGTGACTGGATAATTTATAAAGGAAACAGGTTTAATGGACTTGCAGTTCCACATGGCTAGGGAGGTCTCACAATCATGGTGGAAGGCAAAGGAGAAGCAATGGCATGTCTTACATGGTGGCAAACAAGAGAGCTTGTGCAGGGGAATTCCCTTTTATAAAACCATCAGATATTGTGAGACTTATTCACTGTCACTAGAACAGCATGGGAACTCCCTTCCCCCATGACTCAATTACCTCCCACCAGGTCCCTCCCATGACACATGGGAATTATGGGAGCTACAATTCAAGATGAGATTTGGGTGGGGACATAGCCAAATCATATCATTCTACCCCAGGACCCTCACAAATCTCATGTCCTCACATTTCAAAACCAATCATGCCTTCCCAACAGTCTCCCAAAATCTTAACTCATTTCAGCATAAACTCAAAGGTTCACAGTCCAAAGTCTAATTGGAGACAAGGCAACTCTCTTCTGCCTATCAGCCTGTAAAATCAAAAGCAAGTTAGTTACTTCCTAGATACAAAGAAGGTACAGGAAATGGGTAAATACAGCCATTCCAAATGGGAGAAATTGGCCAAAACAAAGGGGCTACAGGTCCCATGCAAGTCCAAAATCCAGCGAGACAGTCAAATCTTAAAGCTCCAAAATGAACTCTTTTGACTCCATGTCTCACATCCAGGTCACTTTGATAAAAGAGGTGGGTTCCCATGGCCTTGGGCAGCTCTGCCCCTGTGGCTTTGCAGGGTAAGCCTCCCTGCTGGCTGTTTTCATGGGCTGGCATTGAGTGTCTGCAGCCTTTCCAGGCACACAGTGTAAGCTATCAGTGGATCTACCATTCTGGGGTCTGGAGGACAGTGGCCTTCTTCTCACAGCTCCACCAGGCAGTGTCCCAGTAGGGACTCTGCGTGGGGGCTCCCAGCCCACATTTCCCTTCTGCACTGCCCTAGCAGAGGTAGGTTCTCCATGAGGGCTCCATCCCTGCAGCATACCTCTGCCTGGACATTCAGGAATTTCCACACAACCTCTGAAATCTAGGTGGAAGTTCCCAAACCTCAATTCTTGACTCTTGTGCACTGGCAGGCCCAACACAACATGAATGCCTCAGAGGCTTGGGGCTTGCACCTCTGAAGAAATGGCCTGATCTGTATGTTGGCACCTTTAAGCTATGGCTGGGATGCAGAGCACCAAGTCCCTAGGCTGCACACGGCATGGAGGCCCTGGGCCCGGCCCAGGAAACCATTTTTTAACTCCTAGGCCTCTGGCCTGTGATGAGAGCGACTGCCGCAAAGGCCTCTGACATGCCCTGGAGACATTTTCCCCATTCCATTATCTTGATGATTAACATTTGGCTCCTCCTTACTTAGGCAAGTTTCTGCGGCTGGCTTGAATTTCTCCTCAGAAAATGGGTTTTTCTTTTCTATTGCATCTTCAGGCTGCAAATTTTCTGAAATTTTATGCTCTGCTTTCCTTTTAAACATAAGTTCCAATTCCAAACCATATCTTTGTGAATACATAAAACTAAATGATTTTAATAATGCGCAAGTCACCTCTTGAATGCTTTACTGCTTAGAAATTTCTTCAGCCAGATACCCTAAATCATCTTAGGTTCAATGCTCCACAGATGTCTAGGGCAGGGGCAAAATGCCACCAGTCTCTTTGCTAAAACACAACAAAAGTCACCTTTGCTCAGTTCCCAACAGGTTCCTCATTTCCATCTGAGACCACCTCAGCCTGGACTTTATTGTCCATATCACTATCAGCATTTTGGTCAAAGCCATTCAACAAGTCTCTAGGAAGTTCCAAACTTTCCCAAATCTTCCTGTCTTCTGAGCCCTCCAAACTGTTCCAATTGTTACCCAGTTTCAAAGTCGCTTCCACATTTGCAGGTATCTTTACAGCAGTACCCCACTCTAATGGTACCTATTTACCGTATTAGTTCATTTTCATATGGCTATGAAGAAACACCTGAGACTGGGTACAATTTATAAAGGAAAGAGGTTTAAGGGATCACAGTTTCACGTGGCTGGGGAGACCTCACAATTATGGCAAAGGAGAACAAAGGCACAACTTGCATGGTGGCAGACAAGAGAGCATGTGCAGAGGAACTCCACTTTATAAAGCCATCAGATCTCCGAGACCATCCTGGCTAACAGTGAAACCCCATCTCTACTAAAAAATACAAAAAAAAAAAAAAAAAAAAAAAATTAGCCGGGCATGGTGGCAGGCGCCTGTAGTCCCAGCTACTCAGGAGGCTGAGGCAGGAGAATGGCGTCAACCCGGCAGGTGGAGCTTCCAGTGAGCTGAGAGATGCCACTACACTCCAGCCACTGCACTGCAGCCTGGGCAACACAGCGAGACTCTGTCTCAAAAAAAAAAAAAAAAAAAAAAACCCAACAGATCTCATGAGACTTACTATCATGGGAATAGCATGCAAAAGACCTGACCCATGATTGAATTCCTCCCCCAGGTCCCTCCCATGACACGTGGGAATTATGGGAGCTACAATTGAAGATGAGATTTGGGTGGCGACAGAGCCAAATGATATTACCCAGCTTTAACAAATCTTAACATTTAAAAAACCTAAACCATTATAGATATAATTGAAGCCAAACCTGCTTCTGTCCCACCCTTTCAAGAGGTGACTATAACCATAAATTTAGTACTCATCATTCTCAAGCATTTAATACCACTTCTACATGAGTATGTAATATTAAACAATATGTGTTATTGTTTTGCATGTTTTCAAACTTTATTTACACAGTTTAGGGAATATAAAAATCTCAGAAACTTAGTGCTGAAAGGAAAAAGAAAATTCTGATTTGAAAAAGAATTCTACAATTCGCTATTTCCTTTCAGCATTAAGTTTTTGAGATTTATCAATGTCAAAACACTTGGCTTTATGTAGTTCATTCATTTTAACAAAAGGGGAAAAACATCAAAAAACTAAAAACAGTGCACCATATGCAATCTTTTATAAATTACAAGGTCACAGCTAACCTTTCTGTCCTATCACTGTTAATACCAAAGGAAATGAAAACTCAGAGTTCAAATAACCTAGAAAAAAGCAAAGAACATTTGTACAGAAAGTTATATAATCTTAGAAAAATTTTTGTACCTGTAAAGATGTAATGAAAGGTTTTGACTATATCCCCATAATTTTATCTGTGGGTTATAATTTCTTGAAATCAACCAAATAGTGTTAGATTCTGCCATCACCTAAAACATCTGCCTCAACCACAAGAAGCTTAAACATTAAGAAGAGCTGCAGAAACCAGGACCTGATATGAAAGAATTCAGACTTTTACTGTATCAAAACTCCACACAGGACTACTCAGAACAGAGCCCATACAGGCTATAAAATGTCATTCCACATTTCCACATACAGCAGCTGGGGCAAGGGGTGGAATCATAAGTATTTTGGTAGTGTTATTGATGGGAAGTTCTTGATATAATTAATCAAAAGTTTGTGCCATTTTAAAACCCTTAAAAGGATTTAACAATGTCTAGCACAAAGGAGAAAGTGACATTTCCAAAGGTTGTTTAGCAATGACATATCCTCAAGGGTGGTCCTCGGGGAAAAACAGAGGCAGAAGCAGGCCTACGGCATAAACACTGCACTTTAGAACAGCTTGGCAGTCTCTGACGGGGAGATGATCTGTCAGAGGGCAGGGCTGGGAAAAAAACAGTCCAGTCCTACTCAGCAATCTCACCACTCTACTTCCATTCAGGTCTTCACTCTAGCTCAGAATTCCTTAGACAAGAAAGTGAAAGTATCAAGAAAATAAAAAAGAAAAAGGTAGCCCAGATGAGAATTTTCCATGGTGGATATAAGAACATAGAGGTTGTTTTTGTTTTGTTTTTTTTTTTTTCAACATGACGTTACGGAAAGAGCAGGTTTTGGAATATGCAGCTCGAGGTGTGAGTCCCAGCTCTATCATGTGGGAGCCACATGGCCTTGGGCAAGGCAGTCAACCTCTTGATGCTGTTTCCTCATCTGAAATCTGGGATCCCACTCAGAGTTACGTGCTAGAGACGTGGCAAGCACCAAGCACAGAACTTAGCAAACACATGATCTTGTATATAGTAGACATCATTATTGTTTTCCCCTCTATTCTTCTTTTCAATTTCTGAATCATAAGGATTGCCTGAGCCTAGGAGATCAAGGCCAGCCTTGGCAACATGGCGAAATGCCATCTCTACAAAAAAAAAAAAAAAAATTATCTAGGTGTGGTGGCAAGCACCAGTGGTCCCAGCTACTCAGAAGGCTGAGGTGGGAGGATTGCTTGAGCCCAGGAGATCAGGATGCAGTGAGCCATGATCCTGCCACTGCACCACTCCAGCCTGGGTGACAGAGTGAGACCCTGTCTCAAAAAAAAAAAAAAAAGCAGCAGACTAGAGAAGTCATTAAAATGTTATGAAAAAAATATACTCTATAGTTCTATAATCATCTTTAATATAACGATATTTACAGAACTCTGGTTATCAAAACAAGCTCTTATTCTCAAAGAATTCGGTCTAGAAGATGACTTAAACAAAACATTAATACTAAATATTGGTTGTTATGCAATGCGTATTTTTCTGAACCTTAACTGTACATGAAGTGGTGTGTTAAACTCAGAGAACACAAAGAGCAAGAAGAAAATGCCCCACCCTGCCCCTAGCTTCTGTAAGCTGGGTGCTCTCTCTCTCTCTCTCACACCTACACACATAGCCTATGAGATGCTTGCTTTTTCCATTTTCGATATCTACCTACTTCCTACATATTTCTTTCACTCACATCTCATGATTACCATAAAAAAACTGTTGTAATAATAAAAGTAAAATTACTCTGAAATAGGATCTGTATCTTTCCCCCCCCACATTTTGGCATTGGCTAAGTTGGGAGAAAGGAATAAAGGAAGATGACTCATCCTACTGGATTTGGAAGACTCATCTGCTTTGCCCAGTACTATCTGACTACATTATCCTATCAGGCTTGAAAGTGATGGGGCATGGCCTGACCACACTATCTCCTACTTTGCTTCTGTTGATCTTATCTCCCACTGAGCCTTTAGCATTCTGATTCATCAGGCTCCAACCTGCACTCATTGCCTTTGAACTCACCTATCCACGGGATCATCATATGCTTCATAACGATGAAGCCTGTCAAAGGAGATTACACAAAGAATAAAATAACGTGGCATACTGATGGCAAATAGGATAATACTTAAAATCCTGTAATACCGGATTTCTTCTAAAAAGCATAAGTCTTCCACCTCCATTGACTTAACTGTTTTCAGAACAGGTAGAGAAGTTATTTAAACTATTATTTTATGCAGAAGTAAAAATAAAATCGCCATCCATTTTATGGATGAGAAAACATCACAAGAGGTTAAGAGACTTGGTCAGGGTCACACAGAAGCAAAGCTAGAACCCAAGTCCTGTAATTAAATGGTGTTAGCTGATTTTTTTCTTTACCATCCTTTTCATCTCACCCTTTGAGATGCTGGCATATAAGACCCTTTACTTCGTAGAAATAAACTTTACAATAGTGATAGTGAGACAGATTGAGCTAGAAAATGTGAAATCAAACTAACCTGCAGGTAGAATCGCATATTTTATGACTAAGGCATCTGCTTAGAGTTTGAAATTTCTCAAATGCCCACTAAGTCAGGGAATGCAGCAGAAATACAAAGGACATGATTCTATTTTTAAAAATGTATAAAAAAAAATTACTCCCTAGCATCGGATCCTTGTGAACAGGACAGGCCTTTCCATTGCTTGTGCTTTTTAATTAAACTATACTTCAAATAGGCCTTCCTGTTTATCAAATATAAACTTTTAAAAATTAAGAGTCCCTTGGTTTAATTTTTGGTTTAATTTTACCTCTGAAAGGTTGCCAATATGCCTTACAAATCTAGGAAATAGAAAATCTAAAATCCCTCTTCCAACAGTGATCTTTTTCCTGGCTATGCTTGTATCCATTTGATTTAAACGAAAATTAAAGGAATTGGGAAAATGTTAGGAGTATATTTTAACATAGGATGAACAGATCAAGTCACAAAGCCAGAGCAAAGGAACATTATGAGACAAGAGCAAAAGTAAAATTAAATAAGAATTCTGGCAAGAATTTTAAAAACTGAAAACTTAGAAAAAAAATCAATCATTACAAATTGTTCTGCTGCTAATACACAATGACTCATGTAAGCATATGGTTTATTATTAACCCAGAAATGTAAAAAAGGCAAGAATTACAAGTGGTCAGAGAAAGTCTCTTCCTGGCTGTGTGATCTTATCAGGTCACTTCTGTTCACTTGAGATAGGACGGGGTAAGAAGAGGGGAGGAGTTTAATAATTTCGGACTCCTCCAGGTTCCATGATCGTATGGAACAGGGCAGTCTGTTCCCTAATGCTGGAGGAGTAGAGCTTGGAGAGATTTGCTGCTGAACTCGCTGCGCTAACCAGACACGTAATCACAGTGGCTTCAGAGGGACTCGCACAACAATTTCCATTAGCTACGGACAAGCATTCCAAACTTTAGCCTTTAGGTTTAATCATTGACACACCTTCCCTGGTCACTGAGTCTCCTCTAGAAACTCAGTATAAACATCCAACGATGTGTTAACAGGGTGTTTTGTAATTTTCTTTTGAAGATTATTCTAGGTGGTGGGCGTCACAGGGTCAATAAAACTATACATTTCTCTCAAAGACTGCAATCCTGATGGCAAAGCTGGAGGAAGCTCCGGGAAACCTGTAATTGTGGGAATCCAAGACAAAAAATCCCCCACAGCTGGGCTGTGGGAAGGGGCCCTACCTAGGAGAAGAAATCAAATCCCCTACAGCTGGGCTGTGCGAAGGGGCACTACCTAGGAGAAGAAATCCCCTACAGCTGGGCTGTGGGAAGGAGCCCTACCTAGGAGAAATCCCCTACAGCTGACAGGTGGGCTGTGGGAAGGGGCCCTACCTAGGAGAAGAAATCAAATCCCCTACAGCTGGGCTGTGCGAAGGGGCACTACCTAGGAGAAGAAATCCCCCACAGCTGGGCTGTGGGAAGGAGCCCTACCTAGGAGAAATCCCCTACAGCTGACAGGTGGGCTGTGGGAAGGGGCCCTACCTAGGAGAAGAAATCAAATCCCTACAGCTGGGCTGTGCGAAGGGGCCCTACCTAGGAGAAGAAATCCCCTACAGCTGGGCTGTGGGAAGGGGCCCTACCTAGGACAAATCCTCTACAGCTGAGAGCTGGGCTGTGGGAAGGGGCCCTGGACAGACCGCTGGGCGCTGCTGCAGGAATCCCCAAACCCAGGCACTGGCTGCAGGGAAAAATCAAGCGGGTGACTGGCGGGGGGGGGGGGGGGGGGTGCAGCGTGGGGCTGGGGGACAGGGAGTGCGGGGGGCGGAGGCTGGGCAGGGGTAGTGCCAACGGACACCTCATGGTGTGGTAGCCTAAACTCAGAGCCTAAACGCAGGACCAGGGCTAGGAGCCCAGGACCAGAAGGCAAAACTTCCTACCTGATTTATGGATGGGAACTTGCAGCCCCTGGAGGGGAATGGCTTCGGTCTGGAGCTCTACGCACTAGTTCTCTGGGAGGACAGAGGGCAGGAAAGGGGTGCAGCCAAAATCAAACTCGGTTCCACTTGGACGAGCAGTGGGGAGATTCGCTGTCTAAACAACTAAGGAGAGTTTTTAAAACCACTTACCAGAATCTAGAGTGGGAATTAAAATCTGCGTGGGCTTCTTCAGATTCCACAGAAATGAGGACTGCCACACCTTCTCCAACTTTTGCAGGCTCCACCCAGGATGTGCGCCTCGCTCCACCCAGGATGTGCGCCTCTCTCCACCCCTAGGCGAAGGCACTAGAATTTCCCAAATTAAGAACGAAGAGGAAGTTTGGACCTTTTCGGCCACCGCTCGCTTCAATATGGCTGCCCCCAGGGAGAGACGAGGCTACCATGAAGGAGCCGAGCGCAGACCCTGAGTCCGTCACCCATGGATCGCAGCGCGGAGTTCAGGAAATGGAAGGCGCAATGTTTGAGCAAAGCGGACCTCAGCCGGAAGGGCAGTGTTGACGAGGATGTGGTAGAGCTTGTGCAGTTTCTGAACATGCGAGATCAGTTTTTCACCACCAGCTCCTGCGCTGGCCGCATCCTACTCCTTGACCGGGTGAGGCCCCTTTGCGCCTGTCCATCGCCTGCCTTCTAGTGCGAAACTTCAGGAGCCCTGTTCCCATCCAGTGACGACCGGATCCAGCATGTCTGTGTTTGCTCCTCTGAGGGGTGGTCTCTGTTTCTTTATATGTGAAATTTAGGGGATTAGATCAGTGCTTCTAAAAGTTTAACGTGGCTATTAATCAGCTGAGCATCTTTTAAAATACAGATCCCGATTCTTTAAGTGTAGGGTAGGGCCTGATACTGTGCATTTCTAACAAGTGCCCAAATGATGTTGAAACTGCTGACCTGGGAACTATCTTGTGTGGCAAAGTTTAGAAAATTTGATTTTATTATATGAATACTAAGGGAATCTAAAGACTTTGTAGCTTGCTAAGGTATTGAATGCCGGAATCCGCTCATCAACAGCTCTGGCAAATCATTGTTACTGCATGCTTGAACATCACCAGTGTTAAGGAGTTTACTGCCTCCTAGTGAGCCCCTCCATTATTACAACTCTAGTAGTTTTACGCAGAGAAAAGTACGATCGTATATAATTTAGGATGGTTAGACTTTTTTTTTTAACTTTATGATGGGTTTACAGGGGTAGTAAATGCATTTTGACTTACATTTTCCACTTATGACGGATTTATTGGGATGTAACCCCATCATAAATCAAGAAGCAGCTGTACAAGCCATACCTCCTTATTTGCAGGTTCAGTTACCCCAGTCAACAGCAGTCTGAAAATATTAAATGAAAATTCCAGAAATAAACAATTAGTAAGTTTTAAATTGCATGCTGTTCTGAGTAGCGTGATAAAATCTTGAGCCAACCAGCTCCTTCCAGAATGGAAGGTGAATCATCCCTTTGTCCAGAATATTCCACTATATATTCTTGCTGCCCTTTAGCTGCTTGGTAGCCTTCTGGGTTATCAGATCGACTGTGGTGGTATCACAGTGCTTGTGTTCAAGTAACTCTTATTTTACTTAATAATGGCCCCAAAGTACGGGAGTAATGATGCTGGCGATTTGGATCTGCCAACAGTAAGTTTTAAAGTGCTTTTTTGAAGTGAAAAGGTGAAAGTTCTTAAGGAAAGACTTAAGGAAAGAAAAAACAGCATATGCTGAGGTTGCTAAGATCTACGGAAAGAATGAATCTTGTCAGTGAAATTGTGAAGTGAAGAAGGAAAAAGAAATTGATCTGAGGTTTCAGGCATCCACTAGGGGGTCTTGGGACATATCCCCTGAGGATAAGGCTGCTTGGGAGTGATACTGCTTAGATTAAAAACCACGGGCTATGTGACCTTAGGAAAGCTATCTCAACTCTGCCCCTTCCTGTTCTATGAACTGAGGATAATAAAAAGTATCTGCTTTATAGGGATTTTGTGTGGAGAAAATAGGATAATTTTTTTTGAAATATTTGGCTTTGTGCCTGGCCCATGCACTGTAAAAGTTGGCTGTGTACTGATTTTATTCGTAGTATTGGCTTAAGAGCATGGAAGACAGCACATTGTTAGGCTCATTCTTTAGGTCCATTATTGACTGATCATTTATTTGCTGATCTCTCAAGTTAGCAGGGCCTGTTCATTTTTAAATCACTTCCATCACCTTCAGAGCAATGGCATTCTTGCCCACAAACTCTCTCTTGCCCCATTTCCATAACTCTGTCTCGCCTTGATTTTTGCAATGGTTCTCTAACAAGCCACTTAACTATTCTTCTCCAAACCATGTTTGACAAATTGCAACTCTGCTTATCTCTCACCTATGCTATGTTTTATTACACATTTTTCTACATCAGAAAATCCAAATGCTTACTCTAGTATACCTTTCAACCTTTTTTTCATTGCTTTTCTTCATCTTTAGCTAGTTACTGAAACTAAACTGTTCTTTTCATCTTGTATTTACTTGCTTTTGCTCATGTTTTTTGGCGGTTTTTTTCCTGAAATGTTTTCCTATCTCTGCATATCTGAGACATGATTCCCAAAACTCCCCTCTCCCACCTGAACCCACAAACACATACTACCTACTTGGAAGTAATGACTGCTTCTGTACTGGTTAGACTTTTATTTCTTATCTTACACCTCGTATTATGGTTTATTTTAAAATCTGCCTTATTTCAGTAAGGATTTGGGGCAACTTACAAACAGGCAACACAAGAAAAAATAAAAAGTGGGAAAATCTGGATAAAGAAAATATAGATAAGATGAAGCCAGCGATGGCATTAGTTGCCAATCCCACCACTAGATCCTGTAAAGTTGCTAGAAGTGGGCCATACATTTGGCTCTAAGATTCAGAGTAGCCAGCACAATGTCAGATACGTAAGTCACCATCACCGAAGTCATACAATGAAGTCAAAATATTTATTTAGGACATGCATAGCAATTCCCGGTTCCAAGGGCAGACAGCAGAGTCTCTTGTGGATCCATCGTATAAATTATAGTTACTTTGAGTATAGTGATTTCTGTTCATGTGGTTTCCTGCATCCCCTTTCCAGTGTCCTTGAGGGGTAGGTTCTGTGTATACCCAAAGTACCTAATAGAACTTTGCAAATAAACATTTGTTCAATTTAAGTTAATATTAAAATGTTTGCCTTCATGAAACTTTGACCTTTCAGTCTTAGCTCCATCCTTCAGGACTACATCTAAAGTCTAATTCAGAGGTCACAAATTTATGCCTCTAGAGACCAAGGAAGTATTATAAATGTGTAAACGGCATAGGTGACAATAAAGGGTAGTAGGTCTTGTGTGGAATTGGGACAGTGCTGTCCTACAAAAGAAATTAAAATTATTTTTTTTTCATTTTTAAATACTGTGCTAGCCAAATAGCTAGAGTACAACTCAGGTGCTGCTAGTATTATCCCTTATACTAATCCCTTTTTTTCTTGCAAAATCATGACCATATTTCAGAAGATGTTTATCAAGTAGTTTTACCTTTCACATAATTTTCTACCTCAAGTTATTTGGGCTCATTCTTATTCTGGGTTAACATTACCCAAAAACATACCGAATTGTTTTTATTAATACTTAAAATCCTGACTTGGGATTATTAATTTAAGAAAGCCTACAATATACTATGCATTATGCTTATTATTTTTGTAAAATATTATATGAAACTTAAATTATGTTATTTTTTATTTTAGGGTATAAATGGTTTTGAGGTTCAGAAACAAAACTGTTGCTGGCTACTGGTTACACACAAACTTTGTGTAAAAGATGATGTGGTAAGTTTTAAAAAATAAATTTGGAAATAAACTTTTAAATTCAGTTACTTTAAATACATATGACAAGAATAGAAAATTCAAGGTAATTTATATGCAGAGTTATAATGGCTGAAGATTATAAAACCTAGAGAGCTTTCATTACAATGGCTCTTTTTGGGTTGTAGGAGATAAAAAGTATGGAAGCATTACTTACTGCTACTCAACAAAACACATCCTCTTGGACACAGCAGAAAGTTCATGGATATTGGACACCTATTGGATCCAAATTTTGAATTTTAATTCTGCTATTTGAAAACCCTGTAACCTAGAACAAATTATGGAAAGAGAAGGGGATTAGCACTATCTCTGTGTTACCAGCTTTACTGATATAAATAAATAATACATTACTTACCTGCATTGCTTTTTGAAAATCTTCATATCTCTGCTGGGTTATTTAGTTTCCTAAGGTAAAGAGTTTAGATGAATTCATAAGTTTTTATCAGCCAGGCACTTTTCATTCCCAGTGAATTTACAAATCCAATTCTGTTTTTAGCAAAAAAGATAATTTATTTAACTGGAAAGGGCGAATGGAGCTAGAATCAAGTATTGCTGGTTCAGATGTTCAAATCTTGTCTTCAGAGTACCCACTTCATCTTCATCTTTAGGCACTGGTTCTCTTTGCAGTGTGCCTTTATTCTCTTCTGCTGCAGATAATCTTTGTTGCAGAAATGGTAGCTGTCAGCAACACCAGTAGAAAAAGAACTCCTTTTCCTGCAATTCATGTGTCCATCTTAGAGAAGGACTTGGAATTGTCCTGCTTAGATTAGGTGCTCTCCCTCTTAGGTTAATTATTTTTGCTAGTGGAATGTGATGATATCCTTGATCAGACATAAGCAAGCACTTGGCACCTCTGATATTGTGATAGGGAGAGTGATGTGTGACAGGGTAATGATTGACAGCCCCACCAGAAATCAAATGGTGTGAAGGCAGGACGATGTTGCCCGGGGATGCTGGGCAGACAGAAATAATAACTGTCTTGTATAAATTCTAGCTCAGACACAATATTACATGTTTCACTAGGTGGTCAGACTACGCCGCAGGATACACTGTAACATGGGTGCAGCCAAGGTTAAAAGGCAGGCAAGTGCTACCTAGGGAAGAGACTAGTACCTGACTCAAGGTCACTAACAAAAAACACGCATACTAGGCTCAAGTGTTGTAACATTTGCTTATAGCAGGAGGGAAGAGACTACACAAGATCTAGCCCTTTGCAATGTGTCAGTCCCCATGGCTAGCAGATTGGTTCCACAGCTGATCAGGGCAGAGTGATGGCATGTACCCCACTTTGTGCTGCAGTAGCTCCCAGACCCTGAACACTGCCCCATAGGGTCTGAAATACAGAAAGCTAGGAACGTGCTCAGGGGCCATTGGTTCTCATGTAGCTGAGCAGTTCCAAGGTTCCTCTCCCAAAGTTAGGAGATAGCAAAAACAAACAAGTGAACAGGGAAAAAAAAACAAACAAAAAAACTGCAAGTTGCAATTGTTACAACAACTGTGCCTGTTACAGAGGGAACAGGAACTCACTGGCTGTGCTCTGAGCTCTTTGCATGCACTGCTATTTGTGAGCTTACTAGTGCTGCTGGTAAGCACTGGTGCTTGGTACAGGATGCTTCTTGGGAACATGGGTGGCAGTTAGGCTTTGTTTGGACCCTTCTCTCACATTACATTTGTCTCTATCTCAATCTAACAAAAAATTTAAACAATCCTAATACAGTTTTTGTATACTACATTTCCTAATGAAAAATCCGTTATGGAATTAAATAAAGTAGTAGTTTACTTCTTCAAAGCACACTAATAGGTGGAAAGAA
The DNA here is from genome assembly GCF_000001405.40 of Homo sapiens. Taxonomy (NCBI): domain Eukaryota; kingdom Metazoa; phylum Chordata; class Mammalia; order Primates; family Hominidae; genus Homo; species Homo sapiens. Next base: position 74,738,470 of record NC_000001.11, read on the forward strand.
TGGTATAGAAGATTTACGGGAGAACTAGAAATTTTAAGAAAATAAGCAAATAAATTTTTGGTGAAAAAGGACCAAGAAAGCAGAGGGAAAAGTTACTGCAGAAAAAATATGCTGAGTGATTCTGAAAATTTCTAAGAGAAATTGAAGTTATGTATGGGGTAAAGGGTCGCCAAAGGACAGGCCATATACTTGCATCTGATACCACTGTTCATTTATTTAGATTGTAGCTCTGAAGAAAGCAAATGGTGATGCCACTTTGAAATTTGAACCATTTGTTCTTCATGTGCAGTGTCGACAATTGCAGGATGCACAGATTCTGGTAAAATTTTGTTGTAATTGTACTTGAATTTATAGATATGTGGGTAGATGTAATTTTAAGCTTTTAACCTGCTATAAATATCAATGAGATATTACCTTATTCAACTAGTTATGTATATATTATTTATTGGTCTGCTCAATCTATTAATTTTTAATATTAGAAAAAAAGAGTAGCTAATCATTGCTAGGAAAATATAAGTCCCAGGTTATGCTTCCTGTTTTCTTTCTTAACGTTTTTATTTATAAATTTTACTTCAGCATTCTATAGTTTGTTTTTGTTTGCCAAGCTTTAAGAAAAAATACTGTGGAACTACATGTAAAATTAAGAGTTTTAAAGAATATTTCATTTTTCCCATTTAAATGAGCATGCATGAGGTAAACATCTGTTTAGTCTTGATTCTCCTTTTTATACCTTTTATATATTTATATATAAAACTGAATTGCATTTTAAGCAACAATAATGTATTGAGTCTCAGTGTGTCAAGTACTAGGGGCACAGTGATGAACAAGATTAAAGACTGTCTTGGTTCCTCTTCCAAAGTTAGGAGACAGCAAAAACAAACAAGTGAACTGGCAAAAAAACAAAAAACAAACTGCAAGTTGCAAAATGTTCTACCGAAGGAAAAAACAACCTGGTAATAGAGAACAGTGCAAAAAGCAGCTCACTTGAAGATAGGCTTCTCTGAAAAGCTTTCTTTAAGCTAAGACTTAAAGGAACAGAAAGAGCTAGGCATGTAGCTGGGAAATGAACATTCCATGAAGATGGAAAAGTATATACAAAGTTTCAGTGGGTCTAGAGAGTGGAAAGAAGGTGCCAGAAGGAGGCTGGGGCCAGGTCATTTAAGGCTTTGTAGACCAGATTAAAGAGTTTGAATTTCTTTCTGAGTTCAGGGAAAAGTTATTGAAGGGACAGTTTTAAGCAAAGAGTGGCTTTCTAGGTTTTTGTTCTGAAAAACTCAGTTCTGCTTCAGCATAGAGAAAGGAGTGCAGTAAGTGAAAAGATACGAGTTAGGAGTAGTTTGTGGTGATAGGTTGGTGTAAGGTGATAGCACCAAAGCAGGTGAGAAAGGAATAGATTCAATATGTATTTCAGCATTTGAATCAACAGAATTGTAAGGTTGTCTGGGGAAGGACAGCCAGAGGGAGGAGGAGAAAGAGGAATCAAGGATAACTACTTAGGTCTGGCTGGAGCCCCTAGCTGTATGGTAGTCGCCTTTATCCAGATGGGGTGTGCTGAAGTTGAAGTGTGTCCAGAATTGGTTCCTTCCAGTGGGTTATTGGTCTCGCTGACTTCAAGAATGAAGCCGTGGACCCTCGCAGTGAGTGTGACAGTTCTTAAAGATGGTATGTCCGGAGTTTGTTCCTTCAGATGTTCAGATGTGTCCGGAGTTTCTTCCTTCCAGTGGGTTCGTGGTCTTGCTGACTTCAGGAGTGAAGCTGCAGACCTTCGCAGTGAGTGTTACAGCTCTTAAAGGTGGCATGTCCAGAGTTGTTTGTTCCTCCCAGTGGGTTCGTGGTCTTGCTGATTTCAGAAATGAAGCCGCAGACTTCCACAGTGAGTGTTAACAGCTCATAATGGTAATGCAGACCCAAAGACTGAGCAGCAGCAAGATTTATTAAGAGTGAAAGAATAAAGCTTCTGCAGCTTGGAAGGGGACTCAAGTGGGTTGCTGCTGCTGGCTCGGGTGGACAGTTTTTATTCCCTTATTTGGCCCCACCCACATCCTGCTGATTGGTCGCTTTTACAGACAGCTGATTGGTCCATTTTACAGAGTGCAGATTGGTGCATTTACAATCCTTTAGCTAGACATAGAGCGCTGATTGGTGCGTTTTTACAGAGTGCTGATTGGTGCGTTTACAATCCTTTAGCTAGACACAGAGCGCTGATTGGTGCATTTTTACAGAGTGCTGATTGGTGCGTTTACAATCCTTTAGCTAGACACAGAGCGCTGATTGGTGCATTTTTACAGAGTGCTGATTGGTGCATTTACAGTCCTTTAGCTACACACAGAGCGCTAATTGGTGCGTTTTTACAGAGTGCTGATTGGTGCATTTGCAGTCCTCTAGCTAGACAGAAAAGTTCTCCAAGTCCCCACTTGACCCAGAAAGTCCAGCTGGCTTCATCTCTCAATCCACCCTCTAAACAGGACACCTCAACTGCTGCTGGGAATTTGGCGATGACGGCTCTAGCTACTTCCTGCTGGATAGGGGTGAAGAAGGGGCCCTGCAGTTGTAGTGTCCTCCAGAGGGGAACTCTTTAGACCAGTGAAAGGGCCAGTGGGTCCGTCCAGGGGTCCTCGGTAGAAGTTGTTAGTTGAGCTCGTTTGGCTACAGTATATAGTCCTATCACAAAGAGTATGGTTAGTATGCTGCTAGAAAATATGATGAAATAGTAAAAGGATTCCATTAAAGGGGTAAAGAGAGGTGTTAAAGATTATGTAGGTTTTCACTTATATTTTTTAAGGAGGAATGGGTTTTTCCTCAGGATCAGAGGTAAGAGCCTTTTTAGTCTGGGATGTTTCCTTCCAAAATAGGAGATGCAAGTCCTCCAATGGTTCGCAGGTGTATCGAGGCTGGTCTGGCTGATCTTGGGACTCCTGAGCTGATGGTCCCGCAGGTTCCTCCGGGGGTGTCCAAAATTTAACTGGGGTGTGGTGAATCCAAGATTCCACTCCTGCCATCTTAACTGCAGTGGGGGTAGAGAGGATTACCGAGTATGGTCCTTCCCACAAAGAATCTATAGATGGGGAGGTAGAGGGGAGAGATTTGACTAACACTGGATCTCCTGGTTGAAACAACTCTGTTCCCTTTTCTCTGTGACATCCTTCAGGTAGGTTTTTAAGGTTTCGTTGATATTTTGCCAAAGAAGTTATATTTTTGACCAAGTTGGCCATTTCCTGATCAAGTAGGAGTTCATTTGTGAGAAAAGTTCTTCCATACAGCATTTCATAGGGACTGAGCCCCATTTTGTGAGGACAATTTTGGATTCTCAACAAGGCCATGGGCAAAAGAGTAGGCCATGGGAGATGAGTTTCTTGTGTTAGTTTTCTTAAGTGCCTCTTGAGTGTTTCATTTGCCTTCTCGACCTTCCCTCAGGATTGTGGCCTCCAGGCACAGTGAAGGTGATATTGTATCCCTAGCTCCCTGGAAATGTCCCTGAGTTATCATGGCTTTAAAAGCCAGATCATTGTTGCTCTGTAAGCTTTGGGGAAGCCCAAATCTAGGAATTATTTCATAAATTAGGACTTTAATCACTGCCTGAGCCTTCTCTGTCTTGCAGGGGAAAGCTTCTATCCAATTTGTAAAGGTATCAACACAGACCGACAAGTATTGAAATCCCTTTGACTTAGGCATATGGGTGAAGTCTAATTGCCAGTCCTCTCTGGGATAGTGACCTACTCTTTGTTCCCCAAAAGAGGCCTTAGGATGAACTAAGGGATTATTCCTTTGGCACACCCCTCACAGGCTTTGACTACCTGTCGGATGGCCTGGAGGAGATTTGGCCCTGTAAATAGGGATTTGGCCATTTGATGCGTGTTTTCAATACCCATGTGAACAGTTTCGTGGAGGGTTTTAAGTATTTTCCACTGGCTGGCTTTGGGTATAAGTACCTTTCCTTCTTCTGTCGTTAACCACGCCGAGGGGAGAAAACTATGCCCCCGTGAAAGTCCCCACTCTGTTTCGGTTGGGGAATACTGGAGCTTAACCTCTTGGAGGGGGTTGTTCCATACCAAGGGTCCTTCCGTAGGTATTTCTAATGGGATGTTCTGCCTGGCAGCAATTTTAGCCTCAGCATCTGCCCAACGGTTTCCTTCTGCCTTTTCTCCTTCACCTTTCCGATGGCTTTGGCAATGTAAGACTGCCACCTCCTTGGGTTTTTACACTGTGTGTAGTAACTCCATAATTTCCTTGTGGTATTTAACGGGAGTTCCCCCAGAGGTTAGGAACTCCCTTTCTTTCCATATTGCAGCATGGGCATGTAGGATTAGATAAGCATACTTACTATCTGTAACAAAGTCTCCCAATCACAACTGAGGAGGTAGGAGAAATACCTGGTTACAGGCTGTCCCAGGATTCCTTGGATGGTAACGGACCTTGAGGACAACTCCCTGAGACAGGAGATTAACACTGAGAAAGCCACACCAGTGTCCAGGAGGAAGTCAATTTCCTGGCCCTCAATGGTTAAACATGCCCAGGGCTCAGTGAGGGTGATGACATGAGCTGGCACTTGCCCCCGGCACCCTGAGTCCTGTTGTTGGGTCAGCTGGTTGGGGGCTTCTGGCTCAGAGAACGTTTGTTCTCTGGGGCAGTGCACCTTCCAGTGATTGCCCTGGCATAGCAGACATGGACAAGCGGGCAGCTTGTTTCTCGTTGGACAATCTTTTTTAAGGTGTCCTTGCAAACCACACTGGTAACAAGCCCCACCGGGTGATTGGCCTGCTCCATTTTATGTCCTCTCTGAACCATCAAGGTTTGTTTGTCTGATGGCCATGACTAAGTCTGCAGCCTTTCTCGGATCTCGCTTTTCCTTTTGGGCCTGTTCCTCTTGGTCTCTATTATAGAACACCAACGTTGCCAGGTTTAATAATGCCTCCAGATTTTTTCAGGGCCCAGGGCTTGCTTTTGGAGCTTTCTTCTGATACCTGCAGCTGATTAGATAATAAACTCATCTTTAAGGATCAGTTGACCCTCGAGTGAGTCGGGTGACAGGGGAGTATATTTTCTTAAGGCCTCCCATAGCCGCTCGAGGAAGGCAAAATGATTTTCTTCCTTTCCCTGAGTTATGGTGGACATCGTTGAGTAATTCATGGGCTTTTTCCTAATTCTCCTTAGTCCTTCTAGAACACATGTCAACAGATGTTTATGACTCCAGTCCCCATGATCTGAGTCGAGGTCCCAGTGGGGAGCCATACTGGGGATGGCTTGCTGACTGGTGGGGAATTTGTCCCTTTCTTCGGCTGTCATTCTATCATTTACTTGACTGAGATATCAGGTATCTCCAAACTCTCGGGCTGCAGCTAAAGCCACATTCTTTTCATTAAAGGCCAGGGTTTGATCTAACAGTAGCATGACATCTCTCCAAGAGAGATCACAGGTTTGCCCTGGAGCCTGTAGGACATCTGTATACCTATCAGGATCATCTGAAAACTTCCCCAGATGTACCTTGATCTGCTTTAAATCAGAGAGGGAGAAGGAGACATGTACCCAAGTTGGGCCAAATTCCCCTCCCGCTACAGCTTGAAGGGGACATAACTGATAGCCCAGGCGTTTTTGTGGTCCTTTGGAGATTTCTTTGCTTGTTTCCTTCTGGGAGGGGGAGATTAGAGGAGGCTTATCATTAATAGGAAGGGGAGCTATAGGGATGCTAGGATGTGGGGGTAAGCTGAGAGGTCCTCTTGTAGGATGTAAATTGCAAGTTTGCATAGTTGTGTATTCTCCTTCAATGAAAAGAAAGCTTGGACATAAGATATTTCACTCCATTTACCTTCCCTGTTACAGAAAAGATCAAGCTGCAGGATAGTATTGTAATTTATACTGCCCTCAGGTGGCCATTTTTCCCCATCAGAGAGAGAATATTGGGGCCAAGCTGTGATGCAGAAAAAAAAAAATGAGCCGCCTCTTTTTCACGGTTTGCGGGTCAAATTGGTCCCAATGGCTTAGGATGCATTTCAAGGGTGAACCTGTTGATGCGTGAGTGTTTGGCTGACAGGTGTCTGGTATTTAGCCCCCAAATTCTAAGGAAAAATAGGACAGAATAGCAAGCGAAAGCGGTCCAATGGTACTCACCACTTGGCAATAGGCGATTGTCCCATCTGGGTCGCCAAAATGTGTCCCATCTGGGTCGCCAAATGTGTCCCATCTGGGTTGCCAAAATGTGTCTAGAATTGGTTCCTTCCGATGGGTTCTTGGTCTCACTGACTTCAAGAATGAAGTTGCAGACACTCATGGTGAGTGTTACAGTTCTTAAAGATGGTGTGTCCGGAGTTTGTTCCTGCAGATGTTCAGATGTGTCTGGAGTTTCTTCCTTCTTGTGGGTTCATGGTCTTGCTGACTTCCGGAGTGAAGCCACAGACCTTCGCAGTGAGTGTTACAGCTCTTAAAGGTGGTGTGTCCAGAGTTGTTTGTTCATCCCGGTGGGTTCATGGTCTCGCTGACTTCAGGAGTGAAACTGCAGACATTCACAGTGAGTGTTACAGCTCTTAAAGGTGGCGCGTCCAGAGTTGTTTGTTCCTCCTGGTGGGTTCGTGGTCTCACTGACTTTAGGAGTGAAGCCACAGGCCTTCGCAGTGTGTTACAGCTCTTAAAGGTGGCCCATCTGGAGTTGTTTGTTCCTCCCGGTGGGCGAGTGGTCTCACTGACTAAAGGAATGAAGCCTCAGACCTCCGCAGTGAGTGTTACAGCTCATAAGGGTAGTGTGGGCCCAAAGAGTGAGCAGCAGCAAGATTTATTGTGAAGAGCAAAAGAACAAAGCTTCCACAGCTTGGAAGGGGACCTGAGCAGGTTGCCACTGCTGGCTCGAGTGGCCAGCTTTTATTCCCTTATTTGGCCCCACCCACATCCTGCTGATTGGTCCATTTTACAGAGAGCTGATTGGTCCATTTTACAGAGTGCTGATTGGCCCATTTTACAGAGTGCTGATTGGTGCATCTACAATCCTTTAGCTAGACACAGAGCACTGATTGGTGCGTTTTTACAGAGTGCTGATTGGTGCGTTTACAATCCTTTAGCTAGACACAGAGCGCTGATTGGTGCGTTATTACAGAGTGCTGATTGGTGCATTTACAATCCTCTAGCTAGGCAGAAAAGTTCTCCAAATCCCCACTCGACCCAGGAAGTCCAGCTGGCCTCACCTCTCAGAAGGAATGGAAATCAAGAATGTGATTCATATGTTAAGTGTGAAATGTCTGTTAAGACACCTGTTTTTGTCTGCTAGCGTTGACATAACAATATAACACAGACTGGGTAGTATAAACAACAGAAATTTATTTTTCTCACAGTTAGGAGGCTGAAAGTCCAGGATGAAGGTACTGGCAGGGGTAGTTCCTTCTGAGGCCCTTGTCCTTGGCTTGCAGGCAGCTGCCTTCTCCCTGTGTCCTCTCATGGCCCTTTCTCTGTGTATGCATGTCACTTGTTTCTTCTACTTCTTGTAAGGACACCAGTCCTGTTGGATCAGGGCTCCATCCTTATGATTTCATTTAACCTAATTAACACCTTAAAGGCCTCATCTCCAAATATAGTCACATTGGAGGTTAGGGCATCAACATATGAATTTTGAAGCCCTGTAGACACAATTCAGTCCGTAAAAACACCACCTAAGTGAAAATTTCAAATAGACATTTGGGTAGAAGTCTGGAACTCAGGGGAGCCATGTGGACTGAGGACAGACATTGAGAAGATGCCAATACACAATTATTATTTTAAGCCATGAGCCTAGTTGAAATCACCTGTGGAGAAAGTACAGAAGAAAAAGAGAAGAGGGCTTGAGGAACACGAGCATTTAGAGACAGTCTCCAAAACATGGTGTTTAATCATTTAGTGGCTCATGGCTTCAGTCTCTGCTCTAACCCTGAACTTTTATCTAACCTTATTTTAGTCTCATTATACCACATCACATCACTGATGTGTCTCCAGACTTTAACTCTCCTGTTTCTATATCCATGTTCTGTTCTCTGTGCTAATCCTGACTGAGCCCAGCCATGCTCTTCTTTGGGCCTAAGCCTCATTGGAAAGCTAACATTTCAGGGAGCTAATTGAAGTGGACTTAGAGGAACTGAGAAATTCACTCATTCACAGCCCCTTTTTGAGGGGGGTCCTTACCTAAGGAGCTTATATTTGTATTCTAGGGGACAGAGGCAGACAATAAGTATGTAATAAAACAGAATTTCTCACTGTGAGATGTGCTGTGAAGGAGATAAGAAGGGCACTCCACTAGAGAGTCAGGGGAGAGCTGCATTTAAAGAGGTGGTTAAAGAAGGCCTTTATTCGAAGGTTGCAGTGAGCCGAGATTGCACCATTGCACTCCAGCCTGGGTGACAAGAGTGGAACTCCATCTCAAAAAAGAAGAGGACCTTTTTAGGTAGTAGCATTGAATGGAAACAGGATGAATGACAAGAAACCAGCCAGGAAAAGAGTAGTCCTGACAGAGGAACAGCAAAAATAAAGAAGTTGATGCAGGAAAGGGTTTGGAGTATTCAAAGAACAGAAGGGAAGCCACTCAAGGTTAGAGAAAATAGCAAGGGCTGGAGCAAATAGAACATCATTAGTCATGGTTTAGAGCTTGGATTCTGTCACTAGCTAGTCTGTAAGAATGGTTTGAAGGGGCAAGAGTGAAAGAAGAGACTAATTGGGAGACTCCTCCAGAAGTTAAGGAGAGAGGTGATGGAGACTTGAAAAAGAGTGGGCAGTGGATGTGGCAAGAGCTGGATTAATTTGAGGTAATCGTAGAGGTAGAATCAATGGGAATTGGGTATAGGGGATGAAGAAGTAGAAAGCATCGGGGCTATCTAGGTTTGGAGCTTGAGCAGCTAGATAGATGATGGTGTCATTTTACTGTAATTAGAAAGACCGGGCCAGGCGCGGTGGCTCACGCCTGTAATCCCAGCACTTTGGGAGGCCGAGGCGGGCGGATCACGAGGTCAGGAGATCGAGACCATCCCGGCTAAAACAGTGAAACCCCGTCTCTACTAAAAATACAAAAAATTAGCTGGGCGTAGTGGCGGGCGCCTGTAGTCCCAGCTACTTGGGAGGCTGAGGCAGGAGAATGGCGTGAACCCGGGAGGCGGAGCTTGCTGTGAGCCGAGATCCCGCCACTGCACTCCAGCCTGGGCGACAGAGCGAGACTCCGTCTCAAAAAAAAAAAAAAGAAAAAGAAAAAAAGAAAAGAAAAGAAAGACTGGATGTGAGTATGTATACATATGTGTGTGTGTATATATATGTATACACATATATACACACACATATATGTATATATGTATGTGTATATGTGTGTATATGTATACACATGTGTACATATATATGTGTACACACATATGTATATATATGGGTGCGTATATATGTGTATACACATATGTATGTATACATACACATACACACACATATACACATATACACACATATATACACACGTATATACATATATACATATATGTGTGTATATATGGTATTTAAACCAGGGAATCTCAAAAGGAGAGCATGTACTTAGAGCAAGGTTTTTCAACCATGGCACAGCTGGCATTTCAGGTCAAATAATTATTTGTGTGGGGGCTGTCCTGTATAATGGAGAATGTTTAAGCTGCATCCCTGGCCTCTACCCACTATTTGCTAGAGATCTCCCTTCCTCTTCCCTTGAGTTGTGACAACCAAAAATGGCTTCAGATATTGCCAGATGGCCCCTGGGGTTCAAAATTATTCTTGCTTAAGAACTACTGAGCTGGAGAAAATAAGGGACCCATGTCTGCTCCCCAGGGCTCTCTGACATTTAGAGACTGACAAAATAACTTACAAAGTCACCTCAGTCAGATCAGAATTTGTGTGCTTGCTATGCTTTCTTATATCATTTCAACAAAGTTTTTTAAGCAATAGAAGGGATATTGAGAAACATTGTACTCATTTTAAAAGATTTTGTTTTGTTTATTTTTATACAACACAATTAGAAGAATGATTGTTTTTTGGTTACATTCTGCTTTCTGGAAGCAATCACTAGCCAAATGTCACTGTTTGTGATTGAATTCTACTTTTACTCTTTCTCAATGACACATCCATAGTTCATATTTCAATATTTTTCCTGATGTTAGGAGTTTGATCAAAGTCATTTTTAAGCATAGTCCGTATTGGCTAGACGAAAAATTTTTTTAAAAACCTTAATAGCTTTTAGGGTTATATATGTTTCTGTAGTTTGTGGAGCCAAACAGATGATCTGGTTACCCACAGTATCAAAATGTAACAAGTTTTATTTTCTTACAGCATTCCATGGCAATAGATTCTGGTTTCAGGAACTCTGGCATAACGGTGGGAAAGAGAGGAAAAACTATGTTGGTAAGATATTTTGTCAAAGAGTAATTTTTTTAGTGTAAAGTGATCCAGAAATTGAATAACCTAATTAGACTCCTGCCTTTAATGTCTCCTTTCTCAAATCTTCTTGCCATTCTCTTACTCATAAACCCTCAGTGACTTACTCCTTCCTACAGGGCAAAGTCCAGAGTTTGGATTTACAGTTGAGGTCTTATTTAATAATATTCTTCTCCACTTACTTTTAACCTGATTCTTAACTCTGCCCTCCTCATCCTAAGTAGGCAAGGCCCCAAAGCACTATGACATCATGGAAAGAGTCACAGAGAGAGTTCAAAGTCCCCTTTACTGATACCTGCTGGATCACAGCTGTGTGAATTTGGGCAAGCTCCTCAGTCCCTCAGGGTTTGAATTTTCTCAGCAGTATCAGTGGTCCAGCTAACTACTGTCGTAGGGCCACATTCAGCCCACATGGGGCAGGATCCCACTATACTCATTTGATTACTTATTGTCTGAGGTTGCTTTTGTGAGACAATGGCAAACTTTAGTAGTTGTGACAGATACTATATGCCTTGCAAAGTCAAAAATGTTTACTATCTATCCTTTTAGAGAAAAGATTTGCTGACCTTTCGACTAGATGATCTTTAAGACTTGCTTTCTTTTTGAGTCCTTCTCTAGCCAAGCTAGCCCTTAGATATTTCTCCCTATTCTGATCTCCTGTGATATTTACTGTTTGGCATGGCATGTTTTTGAACTATTTGAGATTACCCTCCTTCTACCTTCCTATATTCTCCTATTTTCTATTTTTAACAATAACCTATTTCCCAAATAGGGGTGGATGACAAAAGAGGACACCCTTAAAGCATGGCTGAATAGAAAATCAAAGCCTGGCCAGGCGTGGTGGCTCATGCTTGTAATCCCAGCACTTTGGGAGGCCAAGGCAGGCGAATCACGAGGTCAAGAGATCGAGACCATCCTGGTGAAACCCCATCTCTACTAAAAATACAAAAATTAGCTGGGCGTGGTGGTGCGTAGCTGTGGTCCCAGCTACTCAGGAGGCTGAGGCAGGAGAATCACTTGAACCCAGGAGGTGGAAGTTGCAGTTAGCAGAGATCACGCCACTGCGCTCTGGCTGGACAGAGCAAGACTCTGTCTCAAAAAAACAAAGAAAAGAAAATTAAAGCCCGTAGTACTGGTTTATGTCCCCATCTCACTCTTTACTCCATCTGGTATCCCAGATGAAAGCAGAGCCATTCTTTCACCTTCTTCTTTGTTTCCATATTCAATTCGTTATAGGTCCTATCCATGCTGCCCCTCGTTTCTAATACTTGACCCCACCCTAGGTCTTCTGGCACTGCCCAGCCCTCAAGATCCCTAACCTCAGTCTTTACCATTGTCTCCCGACTAGTCTTCTTACTTTAGGTCTTCTCCTTGAGTCCCTCCAACCAGTGCTCTCAGAATCCCCCTTTAAAAAACTCAGGGCCTCAGCTGGGCGCGGTGGCTCATGCCTGTAATCCCAGCACTTTGGGAGGCTGAGGTGGGTGGATCACCTGAGGTCAGGAGTTCGAGACCAGCCTGACCAACATGGTGAAACCCCATCTCTACTAAAAATACCAAAATTAGCCAGGCATGGTGGCATGTGCCTGTAATTACAGCTACTTGGGAGGCTGAGGCAGGAGAATTGCTTGAACCTGGGAGGTGGAGGTTGCAGTGAGCCAAGATCATGCCACTGCACTCCAGCCTGGGCAACAGAGCAAGACTCTGTCTCAAAAATAAAATAAAAAAAACCTCAGGGCCTCCAAACATTTTCTTGGTATTCAGGGTCTTACCCAGACTATTTTGCATCTACCTGTTTATGTTCGTCTTCCAATTACATACTTATGCTCCAGCTATATAGAACTATTGGTTGTTTTCCAAGGGTATCATGCTCTTTTATGTCTCTATGCCCACAGATAAGTGGTGCCTCTGGCTGGAGTTCTTCCTCTCCCTTTCTCTCCCCCGCTCCTTTTTTTTTTTTTTTTTTTTTTTTGAGATAGAGTTTCACTCTTATTGCCCAGACTGTAGTGCAATGTCTCAGTCTCAGCTCACTGCAACCGCCACCTCCCAGGTTCAAGTGATTTTCCTGCCTCAGCCTCCCAAGTAGCTGGAATTACACACAGGCCCTTGCCACTATGCCTGGTTAATTTTTTTATTTTTAGTAGAGACGGGGTTTCACCATGTTGGCCAGGCTGGTCTCGAACTCCTGACCTCAGGTGATCCATCTTCCTTGGCCTCCCAAAGTGTTGGGATTACAGGCGTGAGCCACCATGCCCGGCCCCTTCTTAATTTTTATGTCTGGTGAAATTGCACTCATCCTTTAAAATCCCAACTCAATTGCTGCCTTTCCCATAAAGCTGAGTTCTTAGACTCAGTTGCTTCTCTTCAACATTTTCTTGCCAGTGTGTGTGTATGTGTGTGTATGTACATGCACATGCATGCATGTGTGTTTCTTCTGTCATAAGTCTTAAAGCCAGAGGTCATGTTATAGTCACCCTGTATCTTCATGCCTTATAGGGAGCCTAGAACATTGCAGATGCTCAGCAAAAGTTTATGGAATGGCCAGGCGTGGTGGCTTATGCCTGTAATCCCAGCACTTTGGGAGGCCGAGGTGGGTGGATCACCTAAGACTGGGAGTTCAAGACCAGCCTGACCAACATGGAGAAACCCCGTCTCTATGAAAAATACAAAATTAGCCAGGCGTGGCGCATGCCTGTAATCCCAGCTACTCTGGAGGCTGAGGCAGGAGAATCGCTTGAACCTGGGAGGCGGAGGTTGCTGTGAGCCGAGATTGCACCATTGCACTCCAGCCGGGGCAACAAGAGTGAAACTCTGTCTGAAAAAAAAAAAAAGAAAATGTATGGAGTGAATTTTTATTCTCATAATAATTTTTATAGACCTTGTATGGTTGTTCTTAACCTCTATCCAGTGTTTGCCTCTACTTGGAACATGTTGACTATTTCATCAACAGGGCTATTAAGATTGTGAACCCTAAAGCATTGAGAAGCAGCTCCTGTGTATGATAGAGGAGGCATAGTTTACTCTTGTAACTGTGCTCTGCTCCAAGAGCACTGAGACCCTTTGGCATCCAGTTCTTTTTTATTTTCCCTTGAGATTTCTGTTGAGGTTTTCTTTCTTTCTTTAAGTCGTGTATTATGGCTTTCTAAGCTATAGTGAGATTGAAATTGTTAAAAGTTATTTGATTCTTTGATATCATCTGTTTCTCTGAAAGGTAACGTACAGAATATCTTTCTTTAGAAATGACTGTAGATGATGGAAAAAATTTTATTTAATCTCCTTTGCTTTAACTGTGCTCAGCTAAATTCTATCAAAGCGCTAACTTAACTGTTGTAATGGAACTAAAGTATGTTCAAACACAGCCCTGACGGGACTTTTCTTGAGTTATTTTCAGTTTCTGTGGTATCTAAGTCTTCATATCTAAATTGTTTTTTCCTTGTAGGCTGTCCGGAGTACACATGGCTTAGAAGTTCCATTAAGCCATAAGGGAAAACTGATGGTGACAGAGGAATATATTGACTTCCTGTTAAATGTGGCAAATCAAAAAATGGAGGAAAACAAGAAAAGAATTGAGAGGTATATTAATTGGGTATTTCCATGTTATTCTTATATGCCTAGATCATCCTTGAAAACATTAATACTTACTATCTTCAGTTTATAATGCCAACTGCTTATCTATTTGTAGATAATTTAAAAATACTTTTATTATCATTAATAATAAAAAGATGATCAAAGTAATAGATGAGAGTAGGTCTGGCTGCCATGGGCACTAAATGGAGCATACGGGAGAGGCTCTCTGGGGGATGGTAGGCACGTGACCACCAGAAGCTGGCATAAAGGGGAGAAACATAATTATTCTGGAAGGACAGCCCAGCAGCCACAGGAACTGTAACTGATCAATTTGAAGGCAGCCAGGGAAGAGATGCACACTGCCCCTAGATGGGACCTATCAGAGATTACCTAGTCTTTCCTGTTGAGGGGAACAGCCTGGTTGACTTTTTTTGTCTGATAAATATTTCACTTCTCTGGCTTAGGCTAGTTTAATACCAAACTCTTGTCATGGATTAGATCTAGAATTGCCATAACTTTCTAAATAGGAAGGTATGGCTTTCATTTCACATCTCCATACTTCTTTTGTTCTTCATCGTTACCTCCTGGCAAAGGAAACTTCTATATTATTTTCTTTAACAACTTTTTCCCAAGAATAAAGTTTATATATAAAGTAGTAAATATTATGCTGTCTTTCATATATGAAAGTAATGCCACTGACCTACCATCAGCTAGATGCACAGTTTTGAGTTATCCAAGGAGTAATAGCCAATTTGATGTCGTTTATAATTTTCTTTTTTCTTCTCTCCACTCTTTTGGCTACTTCCATTCAGTCAATCGCTGTCTGAATATCTCTTCAGTCATTCTGTCTCCATCCATACTGCTTCTTTCCTCATTCATGACCATCACAATAGCCTCATTCAGGATGCTTCTGGTATGCCTCTCTGCTAAGCCATTCTTTATCAAATCATGTTTGTAAAGTGCAAAGGATTCCTGTTGCTTAACTTGCCTGCTTAAGATTCTTTAATACTTAGAACTTTTTTTGAAGCATTGAAGGCCAACAAGTGCTAGTGGTGGCAGTGTAAAAGGGTGAAGTGAGGTAGAAGTATGCCACCAAGGCAGAACTGGGTTCAAATCGTGGTTCTGAGTTACTCAGTCTGGTTCCACCAAATTGCTCAACTTTCCAGACTTCAATTTTCTTATCTCTAACTTCTGGGAAATACCTATCTTAAAGAATAATTATTATATTCATTAGATAGTGTATTTATAATGACTGCCCTGACCCTGTTATGTTTTGGACTCTCAGGACAGGATAGCCATTCTCCTTCATTGATTCATGGAGAATAAACCTATAATCATAAAAATATCACCATTCAGGCTTTCTCAACTAGGGTTCCTCATTTGAACCACACAATTCACAAAGTTATTTGAGTGACTATTTTCTGAATTCTCCCAAGGATTTTATGTAACATGTACTATTTTAGATA
The DNA here is from genome assembly GCF_000001405.40 of Homo sapiens. NCBI lineage: Eukaryota > Metazoa > Chordata > Mammalia > Primates > Hominidae > Homo > Homo sapiens. The sequence goes on from NC_000001.11 coordinate 74,753,886, forward strand.
CATTGGAGAAAAGTCAATTCATTACTTACAATGGATGTCTTAGGGTACTAGAGCTTAATTTTCCAGCCACACCCTGGTTGAGAAAAACTGACCACAAAAACCTGGCCACAAAATACTTTGAGCAGGTATTCTAACTAAAGTAATACTTTTAAATAAGCAAAACCCATTCCACCAGACTACAGACTACTATATGTAAGTATTTACTGGTACCATTCCATAAGTTTACCACTTATTAAATTGTAATCCAGTGAGACTGTTTGCTAAAACATAGGAGGTAGCAAATCAGTTTTCTCTGTTTCCTTTCTTGAATTTTAACAAGCTTATAAATAGAGCCCAAGATCAACTAACTGTACACCTGGTGAAGTTAATTGAGCCACGTTCACCAACTATAAAATCAAATTATGCTTAAATCCATTGACTCAAAAATATGTTTTGAGATTATAATGTGCATGCTGCCATTAAGAGCCACGCTTATCATATAAAATCAGGGAAAAATTAAAGAAGGGTAAAAATGTCTTAAGATACTGATTAGAAGATTACATGTGAATTTAGAAAGTGAGAACAAATTAAGGAGCTCCTTTGGGAACAGCTGTATGTTCAACCAAATGCAGTGAAAGAGTTACTCTTCTGATGTTGAAAAGAGAAAAAAATCCTTGAGGTGATGAGTTATGCAATCAGACATTCATTAAGTACTAAGATTGGTTTGCCATAGGACCAAAGTTTCACAATTCAGAGAATTTCAAAAACAAAAAATCCTGAAAAACATTTCAGCAATAAGAAATATTCTATAAATGTGAAAATTAAAGAGGTAGAATATTTTTAATAAAAAAAAAGGCCTTGTTCATGAGAAACAATTCCTAAGCCCACTTCTTATGGGAAGAGACTTATCCATTGGGTTCCTGTTGTTTCTGGAGCTGGGCAAGACAAGACCTTCAAGCAGCAGACTGCTTTATAAACAGCTAATTTGGAGACTGGAAGAGACAGGGACTGACACCAGATGTAGGAAGACAATTCATACATAACGATCTAGAGAAATTTGGATAGCTATTGACTGACTACAAGAGGAAGGCTATCTTTGAATCTATTAATAAGCAGTCAGCACATGGGTCAGATGAAACCATCATCTGGCTATGAGTAGCATAAAATTAGCCATGTGCTTTTCACCAACTGTGTAATGAGAAAATATTACATAAAATGTACAATAAAGGGGCAGAATATATTGTCATCTAATATTGTTGATAAAGCAAATCTGGAAGAAAAGTAATTGAATCCACTTTCAATAGTTTTTTTTTTAACTCTATTTTCTGATAAAATGTACGCAATAGGAAATTTACCATTTTAACCAGTGGCATTAAGTGCATTCACATTGTTATGCAACTGTCGCCACTGTCCATCTCCAGAACGTTTTCATCATCACAAACTAAACTTCTCTACCCATTAAACACTAACTCTCGATTCCTCGTACTCCATTCCCCTGGTAATCACTATTCTATTTTCTCTATGAATTCCACTATTATAGGTAATTCATCTAAGTGGGATCATACAATATGCATCCTCCAGTATCTGGCCTATTTTACTTCGTTAATGTAGGATTCATCCATGCTATAACATGTATCAGAATTTCAGTTTCTTTAAGAGTGAATAATATTCCATTGTATTTATAGACTGAATTTTGTTTATTCATTGATGTGTCAATGGACATTTAAGGTGTCTTTCCCTTTTAGCTATTATAAATGCTGCTCTGAACATCATTGTACAAGTATCTGAGTCACTGCTTTCAGTTCTGTTGGATATATACTCAGAAGTGGTATAGTGTAATCAAAGAAAGCATATTGGAAGAAGTCACTGAGCAGGGCCTAAAATGCAGGCAGGGTTTTTATATGAAGAGCTCTGTGGGAGGGGGAAATAGCATGATAGATAAAAAAGAAGAGCATGAACAAAGGAAAAAGAGATAGTGATATGGTTTGGCTTTGTCCTCACCCAAATCTCATCTTGAATTTCCATGTGTTGTGAGAGGGAGCTGGAGGGAGGTAATTGAATTATGGGGGCAGGTCTTTCCTGTGCTGTTCTTGTGATGGTGCATAAGTCTCACAAGATCTGACGGTTTTAAAAACGGGAGTCGCCCTGCACAAGTTCTCTTCACTTGCCTGCTGCCATGTGAGACATGCCTTTCACCTTCCACCATGATTGTGAGGCCTTCCCAGCCACATGGAACTGTAAGTTCATTAAATCTCTTTCTTTTGTAAATTGCCCGGTCTCGGGTATGTCTTTATCAGCAGTGTGAAAATGGACTAATACAGTAAATTGGTACCACTATAGTGGGGCACTGCGGAAAAGATACCCAAAAATGTGGAAGCGACTTTGGAACTGGGTAACAGGTAGAGGTTGGAACAGTTTGGAGGATTCAGAAGAAGACAGGAAAATGTGGGAAAGTTTGGAACTTCCTAGAGACTTGTCTAATGGCTTTGACCAAAATGCTGATAATGATATGGACAAGGAAATCCAGGCTGATGTAGTCTCAGATGGAGATGAGGAACTTGTTGGGAACTGGAGCAAAGGTGACTCTTGTTATGTTTTAGCAAAGAGACTGGCAGCATTTTACCCCTGCCCTCGAGACTTGTGGAACTTTGATGTTGAGAGAGATGATTTAGGGTATCCGGCAGAATTTCTAAGCAGCAAAGCATTCAAGAGGTGACTTGGGTGCTGTTAAACACATTCAGTTTTATAAGGGAAGCAGAGCATAAAAGTTTTGAAAACTTGCAGCATGACAATGTGATAGAAAAGAAAATTCCATTTTCTGAGGAGAAATTCAAGTCAGCCCTAGAAATTTGCATAAGTAATGAGGAGCTGAATGTTAATCCCCAAGGCAATGGGGAAAATGTCTCTAGGGCATGTCAGCGGTCTTCACAGCAGTCCCTCCCATCACAGGCCCAGAGGCCTAGGAGGAAAAAGTGGTTTTGTGGGCTGGGCCCAAGGTCCCTGTGCTGTGTGCAGCCTAGGAACTTGGTGCCCTGTGTCCCAGCCACTCAAGCCATGGCTGAAAGGGACCAATGTAGAGCTTGGGGCTGTGGCTTCAGAGGGTGCAAGCCCCAAACCTTGGCAGCTTCCATGTGGTGTTGAGCCTACGAGTGGACAAAAGTCAAGAATTGGCATCTGGGGACCTCCATCTAGATTTCAGAAGATATATGGCAACACCTGGATGCCCAGATGGAAGTTTAGTGCAGAGGCGGGGCCCTCATGGAGAACCTCTGCTAGGGCAGTGCCAAAGGGAAGTGTGGGGTCAGAGCCCCCACACAGAGTCCCTACTCGGGCAATGCCTAGTGGAGCTGTGAGAAGCGGGCTACCATCCTCCAGACCCCAGAATGATAGATCCACCGACAGCTTGTACTGTGTACCTGGAAAAGCCACAGACACTCAGTGCCAGCTTGTGAAGGTAGCCAGAAGGGAAGCTGTATCCTGCAAAGCCACAGAGGCAGAGCTGCCCAAGACTATGGGAACCCACCTCTTGCATCAGCATGATCTGGATGTGAGACATGGAGTCAAAGGAGATCATTTTGGAGCTTTAATGTTTGACTGCCCTGCTGGATTTTAGACTTCCATGGGGCCTGTAGCCCTTTTATTTTGGCCAATTTATCCTATTTGAAATGGCTATATTTACCCAATGCCCACACCACCATTGTATCTAGGAAATAACTAACTTGCTTTTGATTTTACAGGCTGATAGGCAGAAGGGACTTGCCTTGTCTCAGATGAGACTTTGGACTATGGACTTTTGAGTTCATGCTGAAATGAGTTAAGACTTTGGGGGACTGTTGGAAAGGGATGATTGGTTTTGAAATGTGAGGACATGAGATTTGGGAGGGGCCAGTGGGGCAACCTGGTGGGAGGTAATTGAATCCTGGGGACAAGGTCTTTCCTGTGGTGTTCTCATGATTGTAAGTCTCATGAGATCTGATGGTTTTAAAAACGGGAGTCTTCCTGCACAAGCTCACTTTTCTTGTCTGCTGCCATGTGAGACCTTCCACCATGACCATGAGGCCTCCCCAGCCACATGGAACCATAAGTCCATTAAATCTCTTTCTTTTGTAAATTGCCCAGTCTCAGGTATGTCTTTATCAGCAGCACGAAAATGGACTAATACAGATGGCAATATGTAAGCCATAAATAGGGATCAGTGAATGGTTCGGTTTACCTAGAAGATGAGAGAGTAAGAATTTCTGTTGTATCACTTTGCTGCTTTTCTTCCTGCTTGTGATGTTTCTTCTTAGTTTCATTGTAGGTTTCTCTTCTTCCTCTTCATTAAATACTGTTCTCCAAGCTTCTGTCCTTGGCCCATGGCTTCAACTAGTTCTGCTACTTTTCCATGTACTGGCAGGTCTTCTAAATCTTTCTAGAGTCTTGGGCCAACATATCCAATAACCATTTGAACATATCTAATTAAAATCTCTCACCAGCTTTTCCTTAATATGTTTCTTACCTTATTCTAAATCCCCCAGCCGTTTTCTTGGTTCCAATTCTTATCATCATTTACCAGCCATTTTCATGGTTCTGATTCTTATCATCATTTACCAGCCATTTTCATGGTTCTGATTCTTATCGTCATTTACCAGCCATTTTCATGGTTCTGATTCTTATCGTCATTTACCAGCCATTTTCATGGTTCTGATTCTTATCGTCATTTACCAGCCATTTTCATGGTTCTGATTCTTATCGTCATTTACCAGCCATTTTCATGGTTCTGATTCTTATCGTCATTTACCAGCCATTTTCATGGTTCTGATTCTTATCGTCATTTACCAGCCATTTTCATGGTTCTGATTCTTATCATCATTTACCAGTGCAAAACAGGTATTTCTATTACATTGAATTACAATTACTTAATTGCACATCTTTTTTTTCCACTGCAACATGGTCACGTTGAAGATAGGACTCCCCCCACCAGCCCCCAACCTTACACACATACACAAACACACTTGAGATATCTTATCCTACAATGTAACATGTATCTGGCTCACAGTAGAAGCCCAAGAAATGTTTATTGAATTAATGATAAAAGATAAAGGAGCTTGAAAGTTAACACATTATATTGAGTTCTCCAAAGGCAAAAACAGTTTCTTGTTCATTATATTCTGAGTGTCTGGAATGAGAATAGTGGTTAATAAATGTTCACAAATTTAGTTGACTAGACTTTTTCATAAATAGTGCTACTTTTTTTAAGGCTTCAAAGCATTAGGATGCTTATTCTGGAAGACCTGTCAGATGGTTTAGAGATGGGGTGAGTACAAGTAGGCTCTTTCTATAGCCTAAGGAAGAAGTAATAGGTCCCTGAGTAACAAGATGAATGAGAATGAGACTGCAGAATATCCATCAGACATGGCAGCAGGTTGGAAATAGGGGTAACACAGAGAAGGAGGACTAAAGAATAAGAGCTGTCTTAGATTCCTCATAGTTGCTAGTCTTTATCATTTTTCTTTCTTTCTTTTCTTTTCTTTTTTTTTTTTTTTGGTAGAGATGAGGTCTTTCTATGTTGCCCAGGTTGGTTTCAAACTCCTGGCCTGGCCAGAAGTGATTGTCACACCTTAGCCTCCCAAAGTTTTGGGATTATAAGCATGAGCCACTGCACATGGTCAAGTCTTACCATTTCTAAAAATGGGTCTAAAACAGCTAAATAAATAACACACATTTCCCTGTATAGTTGACCCTTGAACAACATGGAGTTAGGGTTACCACCCCCCTATGTAGTTGAAAATCCACATGGCTTTTGTTGTTGTTGTTTTTGAGACAGGATCTCACTGTCACCCAGGCTGGAGTACAGTGGCATGATCTTGGCTCACTGCAACCTTCGCCTTCCAGGCTCAAGTGATCCTCCACCTCAGCTTCCCGAGTAGCTGTTACTACAGGCATGTACCACCAAGCCCAGATAATTTTTTGTATTTTTTTGTAGAGATGGGGTTTTGCCATGTTGCCTAGGCTGGTCTCAAACTCCTGGACTCAAGTGATTGCCCGCCTTGGCCTCCCAAAGTGTTGGGATTACATGCATAAGCCACCGCACCTGGCTGACATATGACTTGACTCCCAAGAAACTTAGGTACTGATATCCTACCTTTGACTGGAAGCATTATTCATAACATAAGCAGTTGATTAGCACATGTATTGTATGTTATATATATTGTGTACTGTATTCTTACAATAAAGTAAGCTAGAGAAAAATGTTATTAAGAAAATCATAAGGAAGAGAAAATATATTTATTATTCATTAAGTGGAAATGGATCATCACAAAAGCCTTTGTCTTCATCGTCTTCACCTTGAGTAGGCTGAGGAAGAGGAGTGGTTGGTCCTGCTATCTCAGGGGTGGCAGAGGCAGAAGAGGTAGAGAAGGTAGAAGGAGAAGCAGGAATATTTGGTGTAGCTTTTATTCAAAAAAAATCTGCATGTAAGTGGACCTGTGTAGTTCAAAACCATATTGTTCAAGGGTCAACTGTATACTTAAGACCAAATAAGTAAATAATATAAAGCGAAAACATATATTTTATTTTCTAGTAGTGTTTCCTGGGACATCCCCCATGCCCCCATCTTTTTTCCTCCTAATTCCTCTCTTAGCACATTGTCAGCTTCCATTCATCCTTGCAGTTCAGCCCAGGCATTGGATCTTATAACGGAGAGCATTTTGTGATTTCAGTTAGAGCACTGTGTCCCATCTTTTTCATGGTGTGTTAAATGTGGCTTTACAGTTCTGTAGCTCCTGTTAAACCATGAGCTCCTTGAGGGCACAGACCACAGACCACTTCTCTGGGCTTCTAGTACTGGGCACTTGGCCTGTCACATACATGTTGTTTTTTAAAGAAAATGCTAGTTAAAATCTAAATACATATTAGAATAGCCTTCTTTGATATTTGTGAATGATGGAAGCCTAAAGGAAATAAAATTGTGCCTCAGTTTCCTCAATTCTGTGTTTTTGTTTGAGAAGTTAGAGAAATTCCAGCTTTCTGTTGAAAGTGGTTTTCTAACTGACGTTGAAAAACAAGAATTCATTTTCTCAGGCTTGGCCTGAAAACTTATGAAGAGAACTAAGTACAAGTTGTCCTATGCTATGATAATCTTGACTGCAGAGGCAGAAAAACTGAAGGCTATTTGCTTTTCTTTCAAGGAGAGAAAAAATACAGTTGCCTGAACATACTTTTTTTTTTTTTTCCTTAAATCTCAGAGCTCATTTTGTTGCCTGTGAGAGTTCAGAAAATTGCACTTTTGAAAATCAGGCTTAAGTGTTACTGTATAAGGGGAGAACATAACTTTTGACTTACTGAGTACTGTTTCTCAAAGGACTTTTAAAGTTCTCTTAGAAAAGGGAAAGGAAAACTAGTATTTGAAGTTTTTATTCAGGAAAGGATCTTTGTTCCATTTTACCAGTTGTTTTGGTACCCTAAGGACATAGCTTTGAATTCTTAGGTTCTTTAATGGTTGATTAAAGTAAGGCATACATTCCTTTTTAATTACTTTTTTTTAATGTGATGGATGAGGCATTTTTCACAAGCTGTTAATTCTCGGTGATCATAAAGGAGCAATTTAATCTTATCTTTCATTTTCTAGGAAGAAAGTATAATCCAGAAAAAAACACTCAGTTACCTAAGCCTAAAGTGCAGGGTTGATAAAGAATGGTAGAAGATGAGGTTGTATAACAGGGATGGCGTCTTATGATCAGGATGAGCCACACCATCTTGTGGCATGCTCAGATTTATGTTTTAGATAACGTTAATGTAAGTCATTCTGAACAGGCTGTGTGGAACATGAGAAGGATACCAGTCATTGACATCACCTAAGATGGTGACAAGACCTAGAAAGAAAGATCAAGTCAAGCATAGAAGTTTTCATCAATGTAAGGAACCAAACATTATTGGTAGATGACATGAGGGGCAGATGGAGGAATTTGGGAAAATGTTGATGAGCCGGTTTTATTCTGACCTCATCTCTCAGCTCTGTGGTAGCAGGATATGGAAAACATAAGCAGTCTCCGCTTGGGAGGAATGATGGAAGATGGTGTCTACAGGGGAGCCAGGTTTCAGTAACGGAAGGATGTAAAGGGTGCATTAAGTGAAAGGATGTTACCATGGAACAAGGCCCAAAAAGTTATGTATGTCACGCATCTCAGTCTTTTTAAATTTAACTCTGTGTCTGTTTTTGAGATTAATTCATTCATTGATAAAAATATTTATTGAGCATCTGTTGTTTGCCAAGCACAGCACTAGATATCAAGGTGTACAGTGATGAGTGCATAAGTTCTTGAAAATGGACAGGATGTGTACTCATCATGTTGTATATGTATTAGAGTTAGGTGACATATTTAGGAATATGTGGATATTTGGAGTTTTGGAGTTTTATAGGCTTCGTAAGTAGAACTTAGCCTGTTTATTGAATCAAACAAAGATGAAAATTGGTCCAAATAGAGATCTATTCTGTAGATATCAAAAATTTCTTGCCATAGTCTCCCATTATAATAGGACATAAAAGTAAGATGAGATCTCTGCAGTGGCAGGGGGGTTTCCTAACTTTCAGATCATTCTGATTTGAGACCTAGGATAACACATTTATAGTTACATTTTTATTCTGGGGTTATTCATTCATTTATTCAATATAGTCTTACTGAGTATGCCAGCACTCTACTACATGCTCAGAATATAACAGGAGACAGGTAGATAGGATCCTTGCTCTCATGAAGTCTATATTCCATAAAAGTAGTCATTTTTGATAACTAACTCTCTGGGTACTTACATATATCATCTGTAATCCTGTGACAACCCTGATAGCTACAGGATAATAATATCCAGCTTTATAAATGTGAAAAATCAAGACTGTGGGAAATTAATTGGAATTAGCTGACATCACCTTTCCTAAAAGAATGTTGGTGTCAAATGCATGCAACACACCATGCTATGCTGCCTGCTGCAGGCTACTGTGTCAAGCAGAGTTTTGTGTTAGGTGTTAACATGAGGGTAGAAAAGAAATGAGGCCTGGTTTTCAGAGAGCCTACAGTTTATTGTATCACAAAACTAACACTAAAACTCCAATAGAAAAATGAATAAAGGGAAACAATAATTTACACTAAAAAATTCAAATAGCTAATAAATGAGAAACATTGTATTTTACTTACAAAGAAATGAAAGTTAAAATAATGCGATATCATTTTCACCCATCCAGGTAGAATGTGTTTTTTGATGGGAATATTCAGTGTATAGGTGTAGTGATCTCTCTCAAGTGCAGCTATTAGAAGCGTATTTCTTTGAATATCTATTGTGAAAACAAGCAGTATTTATCAAGAGCCTTGTAATGTTTATGCCTTTTAACGATGTAATGATATTTCTAGGTGTCTATATAAAGAAATGGCTAAAAACTCACATCACATCATTTTCAAAAATGCTTACCACATTTTTGTTTGTATCAGGGAAAATTTGAATGTAAATAAAGGCCAATCTAGATGACATAATGTTGTACTGCCACTCTCAATAAATAATAACTTTGAAAAAACAATGTAAAACTTTATATGTAATATTCTAATTGTGACAAATAGGTATATGGATTAATTAATAAATACATTAATTCAGACTACATTAATAAACTGAAAAGAAAAATATTGAGAGGAGTTATTTCTAGTTATGTAGAGGTGATCTGTATTTGTAACCTCACACATTATACAAATTACCTAAAATGAGCCATTACATTTATGTAATAATAATTGCATTCTTTTTTACCCTCTTCTTTGACCCCTACATTTGGGTTGGAAAGTGAGGTAGGACAGAGGTTGTCAAGAGGTGATTCCAATCCAGTTTTCAGGGCTGTTCTTAAAGAACTGAAATGCATTTATTTCCCTAATAAAACATATTATTTATTTGATTTATATTTATAAAGCTAATATGGGACATAGTCAAATTTACATAACTTATAAGCTCTTGGTGTATTTCAGTCATTTCGTTTCAGTACACACAGATATAATAGTAGTACTTATTTCTTCACAGGTTTTACAACTGCCTACAGCATGCTTTGGAAAGGGAAACGATGACTAACTTACATCCCAAGATCAAAGAGAAAAATAACTCATCATATATTCATAAGAAAAAAAGAAACCCAGAAAAAACACGTGCCCAGTGTATTACTAAAGAAAGTGATGAAGAACTTGAAAATGATGATGATGATGATCTAGGAATCAATGTTACCATCTTCCCTGAAGATTACTAAGCTTTGGTTCTGATGTGTCTTGGCCGTAATGTTTCTAGTAGGTTTTATAAAGCTGCTCTTCATAAGAGTATTTTAGTTTGTTGAGTGTATCAGCCATTCATAAGCCAGTAATGACAAGTGCAGAGCTTCAAACTATAACTTTGTTGCCCAGAGGATGTGCAGTTGTCATCTAAGCTCTCAGCAGTACCCGGCTTATCCTACGACTTCACCTGAAATGCTATAGTTATCCCTACTTTTTTACCAGTTTCTCCCAGAAGCACCTGCTTAATAAATCAAAGATGTTTGAATGGTGTCTTATTCTGAAATAACCTGACCTAAGACAGGTATTTAGATTATTTTGGATACATTTTGAAAAGGGATAGCATAAATATTTTAAGTAAAAAGACCTTTATTTTAAATAATAGTGGATATTTTAATGCTGGAAATTAGCATTATAGTTGATATGCCAGAAATTATATCTTTGGTTGTGATTTAAACTTATGCTATAAACTAAATTAATGATGTAAATACATAGTTTTAAACATTCTTTTAGGGACATGTAACTTTTAAGTATCACTTCAATAATACGTATTATTATAGGAACAAAGATTTGGGAATAATTGATTACAGGTGAGGAAGTACTGGAATTCCAGTTCAAGGAGATACCATTTCATTTAGGACTAAAAGGACAAGATACAAGTTCACATGATGGGAAAAATCAGAAAACCTCTCGCAGACAAAGGGTATATAATGGATATGAGGCATCAAAAAGCATGGTATAGTCAGTGATGGGGAATAGTCCAGAAAGGCTGAAACACAGCATGTGATGCGAGTCAAGGTAGTTGATGCCCAACTGTGAAGGGCCGTTCTAATCTAGCATGGAGGTAGACAGTGTTTCCTTAATATGGCTGCATATCAGAATTACCTAGGTCAGGACGAGGCATGGAGATGCTACTTTAATAGGCCCTGCCGCAGATCTTCCAAACCAGAATCTTAATCCTGGAGTCTAGGAATCTTTATTTTTCACACAACTCATCCAAGTGGTTCTGATAAAATCAGTCCAGCACTTTTAGAACCCACTGATAACAGACTTATTCCTGGAGACAGCATTTGAGGAGGAATTGAAGATTTTTCTAATGAAAAGAAAAAGGGTCACATGAACAGATGTTGCAGTGTACCTGTGCCAGGGATTTCATGTGTACACTTTATAGGAGAATAAGCAAGAGCTTAGGTAAGTTATAGTCCTTACCATTGGGTCTAAGGCAGTTTCCAGGAAAGCATGGCAACTCGTTCAGCTATGTAAGTTGAACTCTGTACCACTTGGGAGGGAACATTCCCCTAGATGACAATGTCAGTGGCACTCGAAGTTGTGCAGTGCACATTCTTATCTACCAACATATACAGCAGTCCTTCTGGGAAGGAAATTTGGGCAGGAAAGGGAACTCACAGTGTCGGAATGCCTGGAGCATTTCTTCTAGTCTGGTGGACAGAATATGAAAGTATCTGCCTGGCAGTGCAGTAAATGAAAAGAGAAGATAAATGAATAAAAAAAAAAGTTATAAATAACAGTAGGAAAGAGAGAGTGCAGGTGGAACGAGCCTATCCTGTGGTGAAATGACAACACATTCTGCAGTTTTAAAATCTAAGAGGCTCATTGACTTTTCTTCATTCATTTAAATTGATCTCCAAGAAAACTATGTATTTTAAAGATTCCATAAACTGAATATATGAATGAGAATTAAGAAGAGAGGGGCTGCTTCCTAATCTGTTTATATAAGGTATAGTATAGTATAATCTGTTTATATAAGGTTAGTAGAGAGGAGACACCAGGTGCTGGCCATAAACCTAAGAAGACATTGAATCCCATTCACTCCTTAACATTCCTTAATATACATTCATGAGCTACATAACATTTTAATCATCAATGATGGACCATATACCATATACGATATGGTGGCCCCATAAGATTATAATGGACCTGAAAAATTCCTATTGCTAGTGATGTGGTCATTGTAAAGCTGTAGCACAACACATTACCCACGTTTGTGGTGACAGTCATATAAAAGTATGGTACATATAATTATGTACAGTGCATACATAATACTTGATAATATGTTACTGGTTTGTGTCTTTGCTATGCTTTTTATCATTATTTTAGGGTATACTACTTAAAATGTTAACTGTAAAACAGCTTCTGACAGGTCCTTCAGGAAGTACTCCAGAAGAAGGCATTGTTATCATAGAAGGTGACAGCTTCATGTGTGTTATTGCCCCTGAAGACCTTCCAGTGGTACAAGATGTGGAGGAGGAAGACAGTGATACTGAGGATTCTGACCCTGTGTAGGCTTAGGCTAATGTGTGTGTTTATATCTTAGTTTTTCACAAAAAGGTTTTTCCAATGTTAAAAAAAATATATAAAAAAGCTTATAGAATAAGGATATAAAGAAATATTTTGTACAGCTGTACAATAAGCTAAGCATTATTACCAAAGAGTCAAAAAGTTTTAAGAAATTAAAGTTTATAAACCAAATGTTCATTGTGAGCCAAGGTTAATTTATTGAAGAAATAAAACATTTTTAATGAAATTTTGTGTAGTCTTAGTGTCCAGTGTTTATAAAGTTTATACAGTAATACGTTTATACAGAACATCCTAGGCCTTCACATTCACTCACCACTCAGTGACTCACCCAGAGCAACTTCCAGTACTGCAAGCTCCATTCATGGTATGTGCCCTGCACAGATGTGCTATTTTTCACCTGTTATACTATATCTTAATTGTACCTTTTCTATGTTTAGATATGTTTAAATACATAAATACTTATCATTGTGTTACAATTGCCTACAGTAGTCAGCACACTAACATGCTGTACGGGTTTGTACCCTAGAAGCAATAGGCTCCACCATGTAGGCCCAGTAGTGATGTTTGCGTGACTAAATCACCTTACAACCCATTTCTCAGAACATGTTTCTATTGTTAAACAACACACAACTATTTTATTTATGTGTTTTATTTATGCCTGATCACCAATATCAATAACTGAAACACAGCAGTTTAGTAATAATTTAATACACACCATAACCTGCCTATTGAGAATGGCATTATATTTGTTTTCATTGTAGTGGCTCCATCCAAAATAAAATGATTTTTTTCCTTCCTTCAGGATGAAGGCAAGCATTTATTCCTACGGTCTGGATTCCTCATATCACCTACAAGTTAACTGCTTTTGTGTTCTAAAAGAGAGAGGAAAAATGAAGTCAACCTTATTGAAAAACAAGGAGGGAAACTAAGGAACATGCTTTTGCTTTTGAGGTTCTAGGCCAGAAGTCATAAGCTGTAACTTGTCCAAGTTATGGCCAAGCAGATATGTTTTGTTTGGCCCACATGGAGTATATTTTTTCTAATTGAATCAACATTTTAAAATATGATGATTTAATATTTAAAACTATAAAGCGCATCTCTAGTTTGTTTTGTGTGTGTTTTTTTAATTGGAAGATCTGGCTGGAGCCGTCTCACATTCCCACAGGACAACACTTAGCCGTTCAAGTACTAGCTCCTCCTTTTGGATAAGACTTGTTTTCCTATTCACCCCAGACCCAGCACCCCCTACTGGTTCCCTGACACAACTGCTTCAATCATTTACACATTGTTTGGTCCCTGTGGGCACCAGCATTGGCAAACTTTGGTTAGATCTTTGGGGAGAATTAAAGTCTATTATTATGTTAGTATATTATATAATAAATAAGAGATGGGAGCAGGATCAGCTATATAATTTTCAAAGGACAGTGCAAAATGAAAATGTGGGACCCTTAAAAAAGGTTTAAGAATTACAAGATGGCAACAGCGGAGCACTAAATCACGTACAGGTACATCTAAGCACGGGGCCCTATGCAAGCTGCACAGGTTGCACATACGTGAGGCTTGGTGCTTTAAGGGAAATGGGTGCCTTCCCACTCAACTGGGTGTTTAACCCTCCTCCCCACATTGAGAAAGAGGCAGAGTGCTGCAGATTCTGTGATGTGCCAGGACTTGACTCCTGCTCACATGTGGCGCCCTTGGGTTCCAGGACAATGGGTAGCTGTTTGGAAGCCTGCAAGGGTGGATGTTTTGGAAGCTAGGGCAAAGATCTCAGTGGCTACCCTTAGATGGAGTAAACCGTAGTCCTTTTCAGAGCCACTTGATTTCAAATGTGAGCAAAGGCAGTGATGAGCACCACGTTTTGAAAACAAGGGCTTTCTCCATTTTGAGATGAGTTATATGATTTGCTGGGTTAAGTGTTGAAGAGCCATGAAAAATGATCACCATCTTTATTCTTATAGATGGCTCCTTGAGCAGGCTTTAATTTGACTGGAGTTGCGGGGAGTAAATATTACACTCCCATATAAGGTGTATAATAGTGACTATTTTTTAGTTATGATTTTTGGCTTTTAAAAATGGGCTTTGACCTTCAAGCCTCTTCTTTCCATACTCTACTGGGCTTCTGTCAACATTCACGCTTCTCTAATGCAATAGGATTTTAATATTCACAAATGCTAATGTTTTTAAACTTAACAGTCCTTTAATGTCCTGGGTTTTTATGCATTCTATTCTTGCCAAGCAAGAATTTATGAGCCCTTTTTGGTTTTGCCTTTAATGTGGTTGAATTTAAACTATAACTTTAACTCATTGCAAATTTTATTTATTTATTCATCTATTTTAATAACATTTTTTGGAACAGTTTTAGGTTTACAGAAAAATTGAGAGAAAAAGTTCAGATAGTTCCCATGTACCCACTTCATCTGCCCACACATGATATCCTTTATCTTATATATCCTACATCTTACATTAGTGTGGGACTTTTTGTTACAATTGATAAGCCAAGATTGATGTTTCTTGACTAAAATCCATATTTCATGCCTCTCTTCATCTCTCTTCAATTCTGTTCTCTCCTGTAACTATTAGTCTATTAGTCCTATATTATACCTACTTATGGGCCTATTCTCCATATTGTCTAATCTTTTCATCCCCCTTCACCAGCTTCTCTTCATCTCTATGTGTGTCATTCTGTGTCATTCACTCGGGTTATTGTTTAGTTAACTCATACCCTCTTCAACTGTGTCTAATCTACTGCCTAGATAGTCCATTGAGTTTTACATTTCAAAGATTATATTTAATTATTTCTAGTTCTTTTTGGTTCATTTTCAAATCAGAGGCAGATTATTTAAAGGTTCTAATAATTATTTCTTTCTATATACCTTTTCCCAGATATTTCAATAAATTATATTTACACAAACCTTTCATACACTTGTATATTATAGAAATGATCTATGTTCTTTAGCTATTCCAAGGATAATTGAAAAGAATGTCCTCACCACCACCAAATCTAAACCATGCAAGAAGAAAGTGAACTATTTCTCAATAACCAGATTGTTTACATGCCATTTTTATTATTTATTCATTTACATGACAAATATTTTTTGAGCACCCACTATATGTCAGTCACATGCAACAGGACAAGGACTCTGCCTTCATAGAGCTTTCCTTCTAGTAACATTATTAAAGATTTTGTTTGTATTGGCACTTGCCTAGGATCTTTAGTGCTCTTTAAATTTTACTCATCAATCAGGGCTCAGCTCAAATGTTAACTCTTTTGAGAAGCTTTCCTAAAAGCTCATTTCATAATTAACTTCTTACATTCCTGTTTTTCCATAGCACTTTCCCAGTACTATATATACATAGCATTTTGTTTATACTTACATAACCACACAAACCAAGAAATCTCTTGGTAGCTATTAATTGCATACATATATATCTATCCATCACCACCATCATATTAAACTTTGACTAACTGAGGGACAAAGCTGTTTTTCCAATATTTTTATATCCCCAGCATCTTGGACGTTGTTGTTTTTTTAACAACTACTTTCTATTCTGGTTTATAAATGCATTGTAGCTGGGAGAGTTCATGAGTATTATGTAATTCATTATTTTATAAGCAAATGACAAAATCCCTAACCAAATTATATTACTATTCAATTCTTGAAGGAATCTTGAAATTGATAAAGTTAAATGACTGAAGTTAAAAAAAAGATGCTTAGAAGCCACTAAACACATGCATAATACTATTCTTTATATCTCACAAAATATCCAAATTTCCAGATGTTAGTATTCCAAGATATACCTTGTGACTAAACATGATAGGTCTTGTCTTTCTTTTTTCACACCAAGCCTTTTGAAAGCCTTTTTATTTTGAAATAACTTCAGATCTACAAATAAGTTATAATAGCACTAAGAATTCCTGAATATACTTTACCCAGAGTGACCATTCTCTCTCTCTCTCTCATATACAGACATACAGTACATATGAATAATCTCATATAAATATACAAACTTTTGAGAGTAAGTTAAATATATTTTACTCTTCACTCTTAAATATTTCAATGTATATTTCTTTAGAACCAGGAAAGTCTCATATAATCTCAGAAAAATTATAAAATCAGGAAATCTAACAGTTATACAACATAATTATATAATCTGCAAAACTTATCCAAATGTCATCATTTGTCCCAATGATATTCTTTGTAGGATAAACTGAATTGCATTTTGTTTCATATTTCTTTAATCTTGTTTAATAGTACATAATTGGTTATAAGCCTCTGCCTTTGATAACATTGACAGGCTTGAAGAATACAGGAAAATTTAATAGCCATCGATTTATATTTTTAATATTCATTTTTAACTAGGTTCAAACTATGCATTTGGAGCAAGAATATTATATAAGTGATGTGTTCTTGTCAAAGCATGACTTCAGTGGGTACAGGATTTCAGTTTGTCCCATTATTGGTTATGTTAACTTTGATCTCTTGGCTAATGTGGTGTCTGCTAGGTTTAATGGTAATTTTCCCTTTTGTAATTAATAAGAAATTTTAAGGATGCTCTACTTTGAGAATATGTAAATAACCTATTTTTATCCAACTTTTACCCACTAATTTCAGCATCTGTTGATTATTCCTCTCCAAATAAGTTATTACTATGATTGCAAAATAATGATTTGTTACCTCCATTATTCCTTCTACATTTATTAATTGGCATTCAACTTTAAAAGACAGCTTTGCTTTCACACACTCTCCCCACATATGAACTCATGGATTCTTGTTTGATTCAAAAGGTTATAATCCATTGCTATCATTATTTATTTTAATGTTCATATTATTCCAGATTTGACCAGTGGGAGTCCATTCAAGTTGACCCCTGTCTACTTTTAACGTATCTCTTTCAGTGTTTGAGCATCTCCTCATTATCTTGCACAAGGAGGCCTTCCAGGCTCATCTTGTACATTCATCTCCCCCAGTCATAGAATCAGCCAAAGAACCCCAATTCGTTTCGGTGGGGACTGGCATTTAGAAACAAAGTTCCTAAGCAATAAGTGTGTTCATGACAGCATTTTCTCTTTTTAAATTACAGAATTATTCATCAGTCTATAATAATCAGTAAATAATCATTATTCAAAGGTTAGATCTTATAGTTTACATCGTCCATGAGATGTGTTGACAGAAATGACATATAAAACTGTCTACTAAGTTCATTTCTCTGTGATATAGCAGCGGGAATGTTCATATTAATATACTGAAATACTGTCTCATTATATTCATTTAATGAATTTTTTTATTCCTCAGCTTTTCATATCAACTCCCACCTATTTTCTGTGACATCATAAGACTTAAATAAACTGTCCTTAACTCTTTGGAGAAAATAACTTTGCAGAGATCAAGAAATATTGGCTAATTTCATTATACTTAACAATTGCCAATAAATTATTCAAACCTGTTTATCTTTGTGGCTAATTTTTAATGATGCTTTGAAATGAGGCAAAAGCAAATGTATAAGTCATGTAGACTAACCAGTCTCTCCTACAGCCACTGTCTCCCACAGCAATAGGCATATTGTCAAATTGAAGTTTAATTCATAGGTTCTATGAAACGGTGGGTAAAGAAGGAAAAAGGAGAAACCAAATGCTCACATTGTCTGATTTTTCACAATTATCCACCAGGTGGCAGAGTACTACACGCAGTGGAAACAGTAGTTTGAGCTTCGTATAAGACAGAGTAGGTTTTCGTTTGTTGTTGTTTTTTTTATAAAAACAATTCTATAATATTTTGATAGTTTTATTTTTGAGAAATAATAACATTAGGAAAACATAATTTCTGCTTATCCTTCTAATAAATTAAATTATCTAATATCAAAGGATAATTCGGTCATACGGTATTTTAATAGCAAAAGCTATCCAGAAGTTTTCACCTTTGTTATTAAAGTATGCCATTAAAATTATGTTATTTCTAAAGAGTAAAATGAAAGAAATATTGGGAACAAGAATTTACTTCGAATCTTTAGGCTGTTTCAGTCTAAAACCTGCATTTAGTTAAAATTGTGAAATCATTAAAAAAAACTTCGTATCTTTAATTACATTATTCACACATCATGTATATATGTAAGGAATTCATAATCAACATCATTTTGTACAAATTCAAGGGATAAATCCTATTTATCCTATTCTAGCCAATTTCCTTAGACGCCTATACACACTAGACAGGGCTTATTTATTTGTGTATAGGTCTCTAAGGAAATTGTTCTCTCAGTGTATCTGTATTAAATCTACCCATGGTCTGAAAAAAGTAAACAATTACAGTTAAATTTATTAGGATTATAGATTTTTGTGTCAAACTGTTTGCATTTATACTTTTAATATTTCCATTCCTCATGCAGTCCCGTTTATTCTTTATGTTAACTGTAATGTTCAATACTTGAACAACAAATAGTTACAATATTTAACTACCTACATTTAGCCACCAAGTCTCTAAATAATCCATTGCTTCCAGTTTAAAACAATCATTCTAAGATTGGTAGTAATTCATGCCTAATGACAACTTATTCTGGATTTTGTACAACTATTGATAAATTATTTTTGATCCCTTAATTTTAAGGGATTTTGTGACACTGATTTCTCTTTGTGATTGTGTAAGTAAAATGGAATATACACTTTCAGTTTAGAGGACACTGCTGAGGATTTCGAAATACAGCACAGCTGAGTACTTAGGACTACAATTGTGGTTGGTGGCAGAAAAGTAGAAATAAATTAAGAGACTCTGGAAGTAAAGTCTGATAAGAAATCTTGTCCTGCATGCAAAGATAAAAATAACCAAATGCTGAGAAACCTTTAGTGATTTGTTGCCTTGCTACTGCTAGTGTGTGTTAGATTTAGTCCCAGTAACATCTGGTTTATCCTTGTAATCTCTAGTTTGCACTTTTTATTTGAAAAACAAAGCAGGATTTTTCTTAAATATCGCATTTGTATTTTCACTTACAAACTTTTGGAGGTATTTGGCATGTGTTCCTCCGTGAACTTAGCGTTTTTGCTTTCTTGCCTGGATCTCCATTTTTGATGCTAAACTTAACTGCTTCCCCAGACTTCTATATTGCACTGTTAGTAAATCAATCTCCTAAATGGGAAAATATTATTTGTGGGGACATTCTTTCACTCAAGGGATGAAGAATGGTTATTTAAAAGGGTTACATTTCATCAGCTATTTCTATAGTCACTTTCTTTTTCTGCCTTTCCATATTTTTTAAATGGAAAAGCTACATATGATCCCTTAACTTGGTTGGTTGGTCAGTGGGCTGACCTGTTGATGTTGAGCGTCTAAATATAGAAATGAGCATATAGCTTGCATCAGTTCCAGTATCATGCCTTCTTTCTATGGAAAATACATGATTCAATTTAATTACATAATCTGTCATTCTCTAAGACAGGGCTTCCAACAGGGCTAAACAATTCTGAAGCGGGTTTGTCTCTTTTTTTAAGAGGGCTAATCAGAAGGGATTTGTGATATTGAAATCACTAAGATATAATTATGAATGATTTTGTGCAATTCAGAAATGAAAAATTCTTCCCCAAAGCCCCAAATCTTTGAGTCTGTTTTGTTTTAAAATAATGGAAATTTGTTTCTTCACTTATATATCATGCTAGCATTGTTAGGTGAATTTCTTAAATGCCAAAAATGAAAATATACTTCCACAAGAAAAGATGAATGAATTTTAAGTGACAATAAGAAATGACATGTAATATAATCCTGGAAGTAGAAATTTCCACAATGATAAAAAACAAGGGAATTTATTTCATGAAAATAATATTAATAATGGTTTTTGACACTGAGATTTTTCATTGTTTCTTTACAATCAGAGAAAAAAGACATTTTTCAGAAAACTTTCCTTAGTCTGTTGACACGAACACCAATTTTTGCGATTAAAGTAGAAACCAGTAATTACATTTTAAAAAAATGACACTCTGGTAATTATATATTTAAAATATGAATCCTAATGTTTAATTAGGTCATATGACTGTAATATCAGCTTGCATTAGCAGGAGATTATCAAATCCCAGCAATTCATTCCATAGAGCAATACAAGTTAGAAAAGACTGCTATAATTGTGAGATTTAAATAGAATAAACCATAATGCAGTACAGTATTCTTTAAATATTTTAATGTTTACTAATGTTATTGAGTAATGAAGTTTATCATCATGGCATATTCTTCTTAGATAATTACTCCGGTAGCAATAAGCACATAAGAAGGTTGGTATTTTTTTTTTTTCCAGGAAAGCTTTCAAATTAATCTCAGAGCAGAGTTCAAAACATGTATTTGAAAGTGGCTTTCTGTATTTCTAATATGCATATGTATGTAGTATTATTTATTTTCTGAATGTAATTACATTGTTCTTGGATGTTAGGTAAGTAATTTTTATTTTTTAACCTGTATCATAAATCTATAAATTATTAGTTCTTACTCTCATTTCTTTCTATTTTTCATTTATAAATAATGCAGTGCAAAGAAAACCTCTTATTTTTAACATAAGTATATGTCTCATTTATGACTGATACTTTCTAAAAAGCTTAAGTATATGCCTGTATTTTGTATTTTAATGTTTCATTTTGCATTAATTATAATCAGTGAAGGTTTTTTGTTAATTTTTGTCTTAATCCCTCCTTGCTTCTATAAACCACACTGATTGGTATTTACTAGCTTTGGTTATATGACACAAATACAAAAAGAATCATAGTAGAGTTTATTTATTAATTATTGAATTGTAATGCAATCCTCTTTCAGCAATATTTTTCTTAGTAAAGAGATCTGTATACAATGTACATGTTGTACTTCTTTGATACCCTGTGGGAATTGTATTCCTTAATATTATATTTCTATCTCAAAGTTTGCTCTTTAAGATATAAAAATTAAGTGGCTACCATAGAATTCATTTGTATAGGTTTAATGAGACAGTACTTTTAAATACTTAAGTTTTAGAGTCTCCTTATGATGTAGCTAATGATTTGCACAGCTAAAACAGCTTGAGTACTTTTCCATTTAACCATAAAAGCTAGGATTTCCCATATATAAGTAACTTTATTACTCAAGAAACTTGTTTTGAAATTCTTCCACACATTATCCTTGATGATGCTATCAGAATTTTTATTAAAAAATCTTTCCTTTTTCCTTCTTGTAGCTACATCTGCTATAACTCATGGCTATAAATATATATTGTATAATGAAAACAAAGTCCTTTCTGGATGACAAGAATCTCAAATTGCTTGAGTGGCTCTGAGGATTAGATATTCTTTTATTTAATGGGCAAAAGGACAGTGATTTCCTTTGTCATACGCTTTGATTGTGTCTTTTTGTATTGACTAAAGCAGCCTATTATATTACAGGCACAGACAAAATGTGTGCTAACATTATTGTATCTATCGATGATATTTGGTGCCTGTGATTCACTGTAAGGAATCTATTTCCTAACACTAGGGGTCATTTCAGCTTGTGGCAACAGTGTATGATATTTAGTTTTAATAAAAGAAGAGAGTAGGAATATGACATTTCCTAGAAAAATATTATCCTGGAGAAACATTTTCCTGGGCTAGGATTCCTAATTTTTCCCCTAGTTAAAGTGTGAACAGATTCTGTTACAGTGTCTACTTTTCAAAAGTAAAACCAAGAAGTGCTTTGGGTTTCTTTTCTTGAGCTCATTTTTGTTAATTCTACTAAAATGTTCAGGTTCCACTCCTGAAGGCATCATGTTTCATCTCACATTTTGCCTCTGGTTGCTACTTACTATTTTGTCATCTTTTGGGGTTTGCTTGGCCCTTTTCTTCAAGCCTTTACATTCTGATTGTCTTGAGTTACAATGGAAGTCTTACTTATTTTTCTCTAATTTTCAAACTGCTGTGAAGTATAGCACACGCATCTGTTAGAGTAGAACTTTGTTCTTTCCATAACAAAATAAACACATTCTATTATAGCTCAGATTTTCTACCCTTAAACGTTTTTAAAATTTCAAGCCGTTTCTTAAAAGTTCTTTGATTTTCCTCTCTGGGACTTAATAATATAAATTACTTATTTCTTTTTAAAAAATCACTTTAAGGGCATGGCGCTAGACATGCAAGATGACATAAGAAACTATTTTTTACAGAATAGCATTATGTATTTTCAAATGAGCTCTAGATTATGTAATATGAATTATGATCCTGTTTATATTGAATGGAGTGGGTAATTGCAAGCTATAAATCATTTCTGCATATCTGAAAAATTTAGCCTTGTTATTCGAGTTGCACACATAAATAAAGAGAGTTTTATTTGTTTCTTTAAATCTATTTTTTTAGATCTGCTTAAAATCGGCTGTGCTTCAGAAAGTGTGGTATATTATGTTTAACCTTTTCAATCTAAAATCAAAATATTTTCTTTGATTCAAAAACTAGATATGTTTTCCATATCTAGCATATCCTAACATATGGAAAATACCAAAGAAAGTTATTTTTTCTACTAAAAATGAATAAGTGATAAAAATGTTTATTAAGCTTACATTGATGCAAATGATAGAGAATTGCCCTTTTTCTAACTTAGAATCAGAATTACAGCCTGATTTTGCAGACATGACAATTGGCCCGTGTATAGCTACAGCTGCAGCAGAGGCCTGCATTCTGCTTACCAAATTCTGTCATTGGTTACCTACCTATAAAAGGGAAATGAATGACCAATACTGTGTTTTGGTTCTGCTAATTGTCTATTCAGTTTTAATTAGCTTGTTTTAATTTTGGAAATAAAAGAGAATGAGGCATATTTTCAATAGGTGACATTTAACATTCTCAGATCTGAGGACAAAACGGTTCTAAATTACAGATAGGTTTTATTATAAAGATAACGGAAAGTGGCAAAACACGAGGAACAATATTACTGCTCACACTTCAGGCTTAAAGTTGCATGTTGATGTCAAGCATATTCTATTACCAAAAATCACTGATGCCTTTACTACATGAGGCTAATATGCCACGTTCCTAAAAATGCATAATTTAAAGCCATTTGAAAGAATGATTTTGAAAAAGTAACATATAATACAAAAGGTATGGTAGTCAGATAAGGTCAACCAAGTTCTATTTTAATCTCTGTCATTGGCTAGCTGTGTGACTTTTAGGAAATTACTACCTTACTGTAGCCTCTGTTTTCTCATTTGTACAATAATAAAGAGGCTGAATCCCCAAAATAGCATCTATGTAAAAGGAGCCTCATTTTAAAATATTAATGAAATGCTTGGCTATATATATCTTTCAAATATATGTACATATGCACATACGCATTCTAAGTTAGAAGCTAAAAAGTAAGGTTGTAGATAATGACTGTATATTACAATATTTTCAGTAACAAAAGCATTATCTGAGCCAAATTCATCAACACTGAAAGAAAAACAAACTCAGTGAAGCATTTAAAGGTATTATTTTTTGTGAAGTCCAATTCTCTGAAAGGTCAAAATCCTTTCCAAACAGTGGTACTCAGAGAGAATCACCCAAACTTATTTGGGTGTATTATAGGTAAATTGTGCAAAAGAATTCACAGCTCCTCTTCCTCCTTTCTTCTTTGGAGACCCTTAATTTTGACCACATTGAAACATGTGACATGGCATACAATATCAACTTTCTCTCTTTCTTCTTTTTTTTTAAAAGCATATTTTCAATATATATTAGTTGCTATTCTATCATAGTGGCAATGGGATTTGATGTCATGAAAATGGTAGCCCACAAGAGAAACACATTACAAAAGCAACTCCTTTCCACCCTTCCCTCCCCCTGAAATAATAACAATTTGCTAAATTGTTGGGAAGTTGTTATAATTCCTTTTCCAAATTATTACTCGCCCTTTAGATTAGAAATGAGGCTCGGGTTAGCAATCAGCTATAAATGGTAGGATTTTTCAAGTAAGAAGCACTTGTCTGATTGTGAAGTGGAGGCCATTACTGCCTTGATTGGGCCTTTTTTTTCTTCAGCTTGCTTGATTTGTGGTTGAGAGCGCATATTCACTCCTGTACTGTGAGCAATCAGAGGCTCCCCCTCTCTTTTTTGCGCAGCGATTTAGGGTCCACTACTTTGGCACAGCAGCCACCTTTTAGCCTCCATCACGCAGAACATATCTCTTTAAAAAAAGGGGGTGGGGGATGGGAGCAGGTAACCAATGTACATTTGGCTCATTAATGTGCCTATTTTATATTTTCAGAGAGAAGTTTTTCACTCTAAATAACAGTCATGTTGGAACTTGAACTTCTACACTCAATAAATAAGTTTGGAAAGCGACTTGAAGCCTGTTAGAGCATATTTCCCATTTCTCTAACCCTTCAAAAAAAAAAAACAGGTGTAGTGGTAAAAAGCTGGGGCTGAGACATCAGAGGGCACATTCAACTTTGACACTAGCATAGTCTTTGTTCTCTAGAAAATATTACAGAAACAAGAGCTTTCTTGTTTGCTTTATTTTGGAGGGCATTTTATAAGTTTTCCACCATATTTAAAGCCTATGGAAAGAAGGCATTTAAAAACTCTCGAAAATAGAAACTTACGTTATCAGGTTCAAAAATTACTTAATACTTCCTCTAAGTTAAAAAGATTTGTTCTTGTCAACAGTAAGGGATATTTTTATTAGGAGTTAAACTCAGCACATTTTACACCTTAAAACTTATTAGAAAATCACCAAAGAAACTGGAGTTTCAACGTTGGAATGAGCTGATCATCTTCAAATAACTATACACATGTAAGAATCTGTGCCCTACACCCCTCTTCTGCTCCTGTTCCCCCAAATTAAAATGTCCTAATAATTTCCATGAAATGAATTTTCTTAAAAACACCCTTGAGTCTGGGTCATAATAAACCTGTGTAATAAAAGGAAGTTCACAAAGATTAATACCATTCTGGTAGGTAGTAATTCCCTCAAAATCTGAGTCAAAACTCATAGTGAATTTTTCCCCAGTTTTCTTGAGTTATAATTTGCCAACCATAAAATTCATTCATTTAATGTATGATTTAATAAACTTTTGTAGAGTTCTAGAATTGCACAACTATGATCACAACCTAATTCTAGATCATTTCTATCATACTAAAAAGAAATCTTACACCCATTTACAATCACTCTCCATTCTCACCCCCAGCCCTATGCAACCATGATTCTATTTTCTATTTCTATATGTTTGCCTTTCTGGGATATTTCATATAAATGGAATAATATGATATGTGTTCTTTTCTGTCAGGCCCTTTCATTGAGATATTTTTAAAGTTTGGAGGTTCCTCCACACTGTAGCATGTACAGTCCTATTTTTCCTTTTTAGTGATGAATAGTATTCCATTGTATGAATGCATCACATTTTATCTATTCATCCAGTGACAGACATTTGGATGTGAATTGTTTGTGCTTTTGGGATGTTTGTATTATTACTGTTACAGACATTCCTGTATAGATCTGTGTGTGGACATATATTTTCATGGGTAGATACATAGGAACAGAACTGCTGAGTCATAAGATAAACCTGTTTAACTTTTTAAAAACTGCTAGCCTGTTTTGCAGATGTTTGCATTATTATACATTCCCAACACAATGTATAAAGTTCCTATTTTACCACAACCTTATCAACACTTGTTATTGTCTGTCTTATTAGTTATAGCCATTTTAGTGTGTGAAAATTTGATCTAGTGATTTTGATTTGTATTTCCCTAATGACTAATGATGACAACCTTTCCATGTGCTTATAAGCCATTTGTATATTTCTTTGGAAGAATGTCTATTCAAGTCCTCTGCCCATTTTTTAGTTTTTTAAAATTATTATTAATGAGTTTTAAGGATTCTTTATATATTCTGGACATAAGTCCCTTATTGAATATATGATTTGCAAATATTTTATCACAGTCTGTGGGTTGACTCTTCACTTTCTTGATGGTGTCTCTAAAGCACAAAAGTTTTTAACTTTGAGCAAATCTCTTTTGAACTCTTAATGGAGAACGATATCCCATCAGTTCCTAACATAATTGTTTAAAGAAAATCAGAGCAAGATAGAAAAGTAAAAGGTTAAAAACAAAACAACAGTCAATTTGTGTCAGTTTGAGAAGAAAGAAATTGTTTTGCATTACATTTCCTTTAAAGTAACATGAAAGTTTTCACTAAAACAAGTTTGTTTTTATTGTTTTTTAAAATCTTCATTTCTAATTTCGTGTTCATCATTAAATCTTTTCCTTGCTAGGTCAGCAGAATCTCAAAATTGAGCCTTGCCCAGGTCCAAGTGGTTTTGAACAATGCATATGTAAATGAACCTGAAGCCACAAAACCCCACTCTCTGTGCTTCTCCCTCTGAGTAACAGTAAATGACAGGAAAAATCAGGATGTAAAAAAGCTTATTCTCAGGCAAGAGACCCTGAGCTTTGCCCTCCCAGGCCTACCGCAGGATGTTATTTGTAAAATGCTTTCTTCTCAGCTATACTCACAAAAGTGATTACCAGCAGCAGCACCTTTACAGCCATTGCTGAAAATCATGCTCACCAGGCAAATCTGGTAGAAATGTGGACAAAACTATTGGTAATTAATGCATTTGTTTTTGAAGTTCGTTGGTAGGGGGTCAGAGGGCAGATGGGGGGAGCTTACCTGTAAGGAAAACCCAGAACTTTTTTGTAATCTCCACAGCTCAGCTCTAAAGTAGCAGAGGTACATGTACCTTGCTTTTAGCAATAAAATTGATAAGCATTTCATTATTTTCTAGAGACCACAATTTAAAACCCCTTGCAGTGAATCCTTTTAGAAATCAAATTATCAACTTTTAATGAATTACTTTGTAGGTCCAGATTTCCATCCGGTATCTGTTGTATATCACAAGCAAGATATAACTATAACACAGTTTGGTTGCTCTAGAGGCCTCTCATTTCTCTCCCACCCTTTTACCAGGAAGAATTTAGCCACCAATACCCAATAAACACAACATACAATTGCACAAAACATTAAGTACTCTTATTTGACTTAGTGAACTTAAAAGTGTTTCTTTTTTTACAAAAACTGTGGATATAACTAATAATTCAGTAATTATCATTATTATATTTTATCTTATAGCTGCAAATGTTGTTGCAAATATAATGTTAAAAATGGCAAGTGCTGCATGGCCTGAATATTTCCATCAAATTTCATTGTACACAGTAGAAAGAAGTCATTATTTCTATTATTTTTATACTTGACTTGGTACTATGAGCCACCTGGATTACTTTTTTTAAAAGTGACTTTCAATGGAGACTCTGCTAAGAATATAATTCAATCTTAAGGACAGAGTTAATCCTTTTTTGACAGAGTTGCATAAGTTGTTCAAATCCATACACTGAAACCTAAACTGAAGGACGGTGCAGTTAAAGCTCTTGATTGTAATCAACCTAGTGATGTTGAAAAGCAGTGCTAATATGCAAGGAATTAAAACAGAAAGGCCTATTAAGGATAGTCAAGTTTCACCAGAAATAAAATTAGGTTAGTTGAGAGTAAGAAATTGTCTCAATAAATGTAAAGTAACTAAAGCAGTGCCTAGTAGTTTTTATAAACGAAAATGGAAAAGGCATAGCCCCCACACAATAAGCTATGCTCTGGAAAGAAAAGAATGCCAAATAGAAAGGGGAAAAGACTGTTGATGTCTTTCAAGAACAAATGAAACCATTAACAGAATAACACCTGTGGTTTGGATCAACAAGACTTATTCTAAAATAAGGTGAATATTCTTTGATTTCTTAACTGACTGTTATATCAACTGAGCAACTTTATACACAGCAAGGAAATAAACCACTTTTCCCTCATCATGAAAGTTCTGCAACAAGGGAAATAGTTCTAATTCATCAAAATCTCAGTAGAAGCAGGGCTTATCAGCCCATTTTATAGCCAGAATATTAACAGTATATTATTAACAGAATATTAACAGAATATTAATCCAGGTGTCATTTTTTTTTGGCCCCCACATACCATGCAAGACATCAAGTCCCTGAAAAGTCCCCAGTACATTTTCCGGGAGTCTCCAGAAGATACCATGTATAAACTAAGTAAACTGTTTTGAGATATGTGCTTACTACTGTTTCCACTGGGATGCTAACACATTTACTAACCTTCACTTGTGCTTCCGTTAGATACTGAAGTGTATACCAGACACCACTGTTCCTGTCAGAAACTAACACTGCCTCCTTTCAGGAACCTGAAGTTCCCTCCATGCCCTATCACTGCTCTGCCAGGTGCTGGCTACACCCAACGTACTGAATTCCTCAGTGCGCCAAATAAGCATGGTAAAGGGACATATGTCTCCGACTGTTTGCATTACATTCTATTTGATGCATCTTCAGATCTGCCCTTGCCCTAATGTGTTACAGAACTTTTAATAAAACAGTGCTTTCTTTCTTCACCTCCTCCATTACTTCTCCCCCTCCGCTTCCCTCTCTCCTTGTCCTTTCATTTATCCTTCCCCTTCTCCTCCCGCTTCTTCTTCTCCTCCTTCAATTTATAGCACTCTCTCCATGACGATTATCTGGATGTTGATCTAAGTGTCAAGCACCATACAGTACTCAGACTTGCTCCTGTATCCCAGGTTAGCTCTATTTTATAGTTTCCACATCTTTGCTTAAATTTCTCATGTCTTCATGAATGTTTTCCACCTTTTCCATT
The DNA here is from genome assembly GCF_000001405.40 of Homo sapiens. Taxonomy (NCBI): domain Eukaryota; kingdom Metazoa; phylum Chordata; class Mammalia; order Primates; family Hominidae; genus Homo; species Homo sapiens. The sequence goes on from NC_000001.11 coordinate 74,783,095, forward strand.
ACAAACTTCCGTGTCATAAGCTGCCTATGGAAAGGGTGACACGACAAAGAACTGCAGGTGCCCTCTCAGTCCTGAGAGTAGACACTAGCCAAAAGCTAGCAAAAAGCAGATTCCTCGGTAATACAGTTGCAAGAAATATAATCTTTCCAGCAATCTGAAAGAGGTTGGAAGTAAATTCTTCCCCATTCAAGCCTCCAACCCAATACCTTTATTGCTACCTGCTTAGATCCTGAGGCAGAGAACCTAGGCTCAGACACTTGATCCACAGAAACGGTGAGATAACAAATGAGTGTTGTTTTGAGTAACTAAGTTTGAGTAATGTGTTATACAATAGAAAACTAATGAAGCTTTCTAAAACTGCGTTAGTGGTTAAGATGCTGGAATCTGGGAACAACTGCCTGGGTTCACAATTCAGTTCCACTACCCTGAAAAGTTACTTAATCACCTTGTCCCTCAGTTTTGTCATATATAAAATGAGAATAATAATGGCATTTCTATGAATAATTGTGAACACTAAATTAGTTAATATAGGTAAAGCATTAGAATAGTGCCTAGCACATAGTAAGAACTAAGTGTTTGCTATTATAATAATGATAAAGTAGCAAGTAATATAACCTATTAATAAAACAATACTAAGCTTTTTAAAATGATAAAATAATAGTAAACATAAAATACTTATGATAAACAATATAAATAACAATATATTATAATATCACCATTATTATACATATCAGAGTAGATTAGGTGATACTGCAGTAACAAAAATTGCAAAATCTCAATGACTTTTGGCATCAATATTTATTCTTGCTCATATTAAATGTCCACCGCTGACAGGAACAGTCTCTATTCATTGTATTCCCATAGACCCAGGCTGATACTGTCTTGAATGTTGCCAGCCACTGCACCAGAGTAAAAAAAAAGTACTGGAGAGTCTCACATTAGTAATTAAATGCTCCAGCCTGGAAGTGACACACCTCATACCTCACTTCTACCTGCAACACATTGGCTCTACACAAATATAAGGGAACCAAAAACATACAATTCTACCATGTATTCAGAAGTAAATAGAGAGGCAGAAATTTTGGCAAAAAGCACTAAAGACTACCACACTTGCTACTATCAGTGTTAGTGTTCTACTCTTTAACCTATGAACAAATTTTGATAAAAATAAAAACTAAATTTGAGAAAGAAAACAAGGTGCCAGCCACACTCAAAAGGGTTAATCTTAGTTATTCTTGTCTTAAGTTGTTTGAGGCTAAACTTGGACTATCCTAAACCTCATTTGGATGTAAATTATTAGAAAACAAATCACTGGTGTTTCAATATATGTCAGTTACACCCAGACATGTTTGCCTCTTAATACTACAGATATTTTATTGAATAGTTGTATTATTTTTAGAATGTAACTTACTACAATTCTATTTGTTTTGATATACCATAAAAGCAGATTTTTATTTTATCAAGATAGAAACCACAAACAACATTAAAAACTACAAAGATGATCATGTGGAAAGCTCCATTGCATCAGATTGGGCTCCCCAAATTGTAGAGTCATACTCTATTTCTGGAGGTGGACAATTGCTCCAAGAAGCCAAGCCTATAAGCAAGGATTATTCTGGGACTGGAGAAAGCCTCGGAGTCCAGGAGCAGACCTAACTGAGCAGAGTATATGGTTTGTAGTGTGGTCTTTTGTGACTCACAATGGATCTTCACTTGCTACTTCTGGGAAAAACTTAAATCACTTTTAAAAAGTAATATACACAAATAGATAAATATTTATCTGAACTTCAGGTGGTAAATGCTTTTCTAAACCTCACTCTAAAGAAAACAAATATATTTGGCAATACAAAAAAATTAAGACAGTGACAATTGAGAAGTTTTTTGTTTCCTAAAAATAATGAAAATAGAAACAATGTCAATATAAGTGTAAAAGAAGATACCTACTATATATGTGTGCAGAAAAAAAGAGTTAAAGTCATTCTATATAAAGAGAATGTATAAATCAATAAAAAGGGATATCATTGTAGACAATTAGCAAAAAAGAGAAAAGTAATTTACAGAGGAATAAGCACAAATGGCCAATAATATATCTAAAAGATACAAACTATTTAATAATCAAAAATTAAAGTTAAAATGATATTTTGTTTTGACTCTTTGCTAAAAATAAAATGATTTATAATAGCCATTATTGGTGAACTTGTTGAAAAATGAGGACTAATATTTGATTACTTAACATTTAATACATTGAGAAAATGCTATCTTCAATAAAAAAGAAAACAATGAAATATTAAAAGTGGTATGATCAAATTTACTAACACTAGAAATAATAAATAATATTTTAGAATACATACACAGAAACAAAAGCTGGAAAGCTATAAATCAAAGTTAATTTAAAAAATGGCTACCTATCTTTGGATAGAAAACTGACAAGTGACTTTTGTTCTCTTAATTTAAAAGAAATATTTTTTTCTAAATTTTGAAACAGTCTCAAATTAACAGAAAGGTTGTAAGTATAATACAAATAAATTTAATTTGCAGCTCTTAAATGGTCATAACATAAACCATTTGAGAGTCAGTTGCCAACATATTACCTCCAATATCTCTGAATACTTCAGTGTGTATTTCCTAAAAACGAAGACATTCATATGGATACCCAACCACATGAAAAATATCAAAATCATGAAAATAACATTGATACATTACTACTATCTATCTTCAATCCCATTAAATTTCCATTAAATGTCCCCCCAAATGTACACTGTAGCAAAATAAAACCAGTTCAGGATCACATATTGTATTTAGTTCTCACGTCTCATGGTATATTAAAGGGACGTGAGAACTAGGAATAGTTCCTATAGTTCCTCAAGCTTTCTTTGACTTTCATAACTTTGATATTTTTGAAGTTTACAAGCAAGTAATTTTAGAGTGTCCCCCAATTGGTGTTTGTCTGGAATTCCCTAGTGATTAGATTCTAGTTATGCATCTGAGGCATGAATATCACAGGAAGCAATGATGTATTCTCATTGTATCCTATCAGGTAGTTCACAGTTTTGATTTGTCAGCATTATAAATCATGTTCACTTTGATCATTTTATTAAAGTTGTGTCCTCTAGGCTTCTCCATGTAAAGTTACTCTTCTTACTTGTAATTAAGAAGTGTTTTTGTAGAGAGATGCTTTGGCACTATGCTAATATTCTTTCTCATCCAACTTCAATTTATTAACTGGTTTCTTATTTTGTTTTATTGTAATCTATTAATAACACTATTTTGATGCTTAGTTTTTCCTCTGTTTGAGCAGTGGAAGCTTACATGCCTCATCATTTGTTGAGTACTTTTTTGCTTTCTGTCACAGCAAAGTATTCTGAGCTCATCTTGTATTTTCCTTCTTCCAGTCCTGGACCAAGTCATTTCTCTAAGGAGTCTTGATTTCTTTTAGTGCAGAACGGCATTTAAAAGATAACATTTTAGAGCCAAATGTGCTAATTATTTGCTTGTCACTGTTCTTGGGCCCTCAGTATACAGAGCTGTAAAACATATGCATTTACACCTATGTTTACATCTATATTTATTTTTATATATTCCTATAGTTATTGAAATCTATAAATTAATACCAATGCCTTCAATTCCAAGCAAATCTCACAGTATTCTTTCCCATTTTCATCCTTTTCATATTTGCAAATCCTTTCCTTGACAATGAGAAACCTAGCTCTCATGATTCTTAGTATTTCTTATTTGACTAATGCCTGTGTATGTAGCAATCTCCTATCCTACTCAGGATCTGACTCCCCACAGCGACCCCCTCCCTCCAATCCCTTCTTATCCCATTGGAGCTGTGTAAGACATGTTGGGCTGTCCACACAGAGAAATGCCCTCCTTACCTTGCTTGGGCTCTAACTCCCCATGCAAGGCAGTCTTCCTATGAATATGCCGTCCTATTTTCTCTTAATCACTAAGGGAAATGGGTAAGGTGTGCCCTTGTTCTGGGCCATTGCAACTCCTAAACCGTTACCCCACTGCAAGGCTCAGCTCCACCTACAGGCTCTGAGATCTAATTGTTTAGGGAGGGAAAACGAAGGACAAATAGGATGAATATTGAGACTTTTTGATATTTTGCAAAGTTCTTACAATAAACGTGTATTAGTTTTATAATTTTTAAGAGTTTTTTGTTAATTTTAAAGATCAGATTTTGATACATTAGACCAAAGGTTAGCAATCTTTCTGTAAAGGGCCAAATAGTAAATATTTTTGGCTTTGCACTCTATACAATGACTGTCACAACTGCTCAACTCTGCCATTAGGAAAAGCAGATGGTCTTAGCTATATTTCAATAACAGTTTATTTACAAAAATGGGCAGCAGATCATATTCGGCCCTCAAGTCATAGGTTGCCAATCCCTGTCCCTAGGGTTTGGGTGCAATAAGCCAAAGTTCAAGCCTAAGCATGCTCTTTGAATACCAGTGAGATGTTAGACAAGTAGTTTATTATCTCCAAGCTTCATCTAAGATTTTTGGGAGTCTCTCATGGACTATCAGTTGTGTAGCTACATTGTAAATGGTAAACTGTTACATAATATACTTACTAAAGATGCTAACCCAGAAATGAGTTATGAGAGGGTGAGATGATTAAAAAGAACATATAAATGATCAAAAAAAAAAAAAAAACAACCCCATCAAAAAGTGGGCGAAGGACATGAACAGACACTTCTCAAAAGAAGACATTTATGCAGCCAAAAAACACATGAAAAAATGCTCACCATCACTGGCCATCAGAGAAATGCAAATCAAAACCACAATGAGATACCATCTCACACCAGTTAGAATGGCGATCATTAAAAAGTCAGGAAACAACAGGTGCTGGAGAGGATGTGGAGAAATAGGAACACCTTTACACTGTTGGTGGGACTGTAAACTAGTTCAACCATTGTGGAAGTCAGTGTGGCGATTCCTCAGGGATCTAGAACTAGAAATACCATTTGACCCAGCCATCCCATTACTGGGTATATACTCAAAGGACTATAAATCATGCTGCTATAAAGACACATGCACACGTATGTTTATTGCGGCACTATTCACAATAGCAAAGACTTGGAACCAACCCAAATGTCCAACAATGATAGACTGGATTAAGAAAATGTGGCACATATACACCATGGAATACTATGCAGCCATAAAAAATGATGAGTTCATGTCCTTTGTAGGGACATGGATGAAATTGGAAATCATCATTCTCAGTATGGTGGGAATTGAACAATGAGAACACATGGTCACAGGAAGGGGAACATCACAGTCTGGGGACTGTTGTGGGGTGGGGGGAGGGGGGAGGGATAGCTTTAGGAGATATCCCTAATGCTAAATGACGAGTTAATGGGTGCAGCACACCAGCATGGCACATGTATACATATGTAACTAACCTGCACATTGTGTACATGTACCCTAAAACTTAAAGTATAATAATAATAAAATAAAATTTAAAAAATCCAAAGGAGTTTGGATTTTATATTAGCTAGTGGTTATTTACTAACATGAAAATGAAATATGAGGAAGATTAACCTAGCAGTGAGTGAGGGGATGAAAAACATGGCCTTAAAGTGAAGAGCTAAGAAATGTTTGCTAGGGCCTAGATACAATATCTGTTGAAACAATTTGATCCAATATAGACTAAGAAGGTAGAGACAGTGAGTCTTTATAACCAATATATCAAGAAAAGCAAATGGTAGGAAGGGGAAAGGAGAAAGGAGAGGGAGACGAGGAAGGCGAAGAGAGAGAAATGGGATAAAGAATTTTTTTAAGATTCATTTGCATAACAAATTACCAAAACACATTATTCTGATTCTGCCAACAGACTATAGCCATTCATACTGAAATTTTAAAAATACTCAGACTTAAACTGCATGTCACATTTTTTTGTATCAAGGAAATGAAACAGAAGAAAATTGCCTGAGACTTAAGTACATTAATTCAAAAGTCTTAAAAGCTAAAGAAGGGAACATCTACAGACTTCATTAAGGAGTCTATTTAATATGGTATTAATACAAAAATAAGAAAGCTTCTCTCCATCTCCTGCTAAATTACTTGCTAGAGATCTGGGAGGACTGGTCAATCTTAAGAATGTCCTACTGATACCTTCCCCATTGTTTGTTCAACTTTACATATTTATGCTCTTGAACATCATTGATCTATGATAGTAGCTCATGGGTGAGAGGTTGCTCAAGATGAAAGGTTCACCATTAACATTTTTAGCCATTTTGAAGATTACTACAAATTTCCCAATGAGTCTAAAATTGGTCTAGGAAATTTTATCCTATCAAAAAGAACTCTGTTCTGCCAATGATATGATTTGGTTTATCAGTAAAGACATTAGTTTGGGATCTCAGGAAAAAAGAAGTATCATAATGTGAAGGGTTAATAATTTGAGAAAATAAATTGCGTGCTCTTTCTTCTCCTCTATAGCCATTGCCTATCCTCCCTGGAGAAGTGTGGCCACCATTTGTTTCGTGAGGTTAATTGTCAAATAAAAACAAATCACAACAGAAAATTATTTTTATGCTTAAAAACAATGGGTCCAGATGTCAGGGGAAAAAATGGGAAATAGAAGCAGAAGCAGTCTGACCCTAAGTTTCTAGTGTTGGCTCTGCTTCTTTCCTAGTACAGGAAATCGTTATTTTATTCCTGCTCTATGATAAACATAAAGTACAGTGCTCAGCAAACTAGATATTCAATCAATGAATAAACAAATCTAAGACCTTGGTTAAGTCATTTACCCTATCTGGAACCATTTTAAAATTTTGAAATAATATTCTCATTTTAATTTGATATGAAGATTTAAAATGTGCTCTATCAATGTTAAGTGAAGAGTAGCTGTGATGATGATGGTGATAAATAAAAAATAGAGTTGCTATGTCCCCAGATTCCCCTGCACATTTTTTTTTTCTTTTACCCAAGACATTTTGGATCCTTTCAATATCCGGTGGAAACATAATTGAAATGTATAAAACCATGGAAGCAAATGTGTTTCTCTAATTTAGAGAAAGAATGATGTTCAGGTCTCATGATAATCCCAGAGTCAACATTCTTCTAGATAGAGGAAAAATGAGGGGTACATAGACAGGAGGGTTGAAACCCATTCTTACGTGAAAGAAGAGGCCACTACATTTGTTCAGGAAAGGTAAGAACAAAATGCTAATGCACTGAACCAATGGACTGGCTGAGGTGCCTGCTTTGATGCTTGGACATAACAATGAAGACAGCCCCAGTTACCTGATTCCCAGCCCAATGCTCCAGCCCTTTGTCACTTACTAGACACATTTCCTCTTTAATAAAGTTCTAATTCAAGGGTCCATGTCAGATGGGGGTGATTTGGAAACATTTTAGGGACTGAAGGTTTATCAAAGTACTGTAATGGCCATGGAATGATTAAAAGGAATGTGTGTGTTCAAATACAAATGAAGAATGATCTGAAGGTAGGGCACAAGGAATAGCAGATGGTAACTATTAATTATTAGCCTATTACCAAGGCTTCAGTCCAGTAAGAAAGAAGGTATTCTATGTCTGACTCATCATCATCTAACAATTTCAGTGCTTTGATTTCTCACAAGAACACAAAAAGAAGACATTTCCTCCTTCTGTTGGTATGTTTGAGAGAGAAAAATTGTATGGCAATGTATGGAATAGTACCACATTAAATTCCTGAACATATATGTCAGCAGCACAACAGACAAAAAAAAAAAAAAAACCACCAGAAGCATGAATAATGAACAGCTCTGGAGACATTATTCTGTATATCTCTTGTTCTTAATTAATGCAATTCTATAAGACTGCACTGGCACATGGAGATTGAGAACCCCCTCTCAGCCTTATCTGCGTTGAGGTAGCATATAATAAGCGTGTAGTCAGCTTGTGCCCTAGTCAAACGGTTTTAATAAAACCCTACAAGCACTTCAGATGTGAAGCGGGTGTGTGGGAGGTAATGCTAGGCATGAGCTGAGCCCAACTTTATGAATGAAGTGGTTACATGTCATTAATGTTTCAATAGGTCCCCTAACAAGGGTAATTGGATCTCCAGGGAACCTCACCAAGCTTCCAAGTTAAATTTGCCAGTGGTGAGGATGCTCAGGTCTTGAAGGTAAGCGGAACCATTCCTGTTTTACCTTGAACCCACGGGTCAAACAGGCCTAAGGGAAATAGTTTGAAGCTGTCATTTAACATTATTACCGACATGTACTGTATTTCCAAGCAGCCTGCAAAAGGAGCCAGAGACATGCATGCATGGCCCCAAGCTGCAGGGTGGTAGCATGTCACATGTCTGGTAACAGAAGGGGATAACCATCCCAGTACAAACTTGACATATATAAATTGATTACATAAGTGGGCAGTGGTGGTCCTTTCAAGTATTCTCCTTTTGTTTGAGCTTTACAGTAAAATTACCAGCAGCAGTTTACAATTAAGGGGAATAATAATAACTGAATATGCTTTCATCTGTACATACAATTATAATGAGCTGCATGCCTTAATAGGATTGTGAAAAATCTGCGTTTGACCCACAGAAAAAAGTAAACATTCTTGTTCTGGATACTATATCATTATCACAACAAAGAGAAACTCCTGAAATCTGATGATTTAAACATCTGGAGAATGTTAATCACTTCAAAATGACGGATGTTTTTTATTTCAGCTTTTGACAGACACACTCCTTTCATAGATAGATGATTATTTACATAAATTACATCATCAATGTGAAAAAAAATCAGAATAACTTCAAAGGATAAAATGCTTAATTAAAAAGAGACTTGTGCTTCTATTTTTTCTCTCTTTCTCTGTTTTTCCTCTAAAGGAGGAGTAAAAAGGCAAATCTACCAATTCCATTGTAGGTGAATATGTAATGAGGTAGTTGTGTTTTTAAATTTCTTCATGTAGAATACATATAACTTTAAGAATAAATTACTCAATTTTTAGTATCCTGAAGCTTGTTAATTGCTTTAAGTCCACTTCTAATTTCTAAAGTTTCCCTTTTTAAAATGGAAATTTGGGGTTCACTTAGTCATTCCGATAGATGAAACAGAACAGATTCAAGCTCAAGTTGAGTCTGAAATTCACCCTCTCTTTTTGTTCAACTTTCAAATTAGCCTTGGTAGATGGAGGGAAACAAACTTTTAAAGCAACTCAGCACTGAATGAAGAGTTTAATAGACCTTATTTCATTGTTAATGCAGGAGTTTTTTTGTTTTGGGCTTTTTGTTGTTGTTTTTTGTTTTTGTTTGTTTGTTTGTTTTTGTTTTTTGGTGGAGCCTGAGAAAATAAAAGTCAAGAGCAGCCCAAAAAGAAAGAATTGAAAACTCTGCTCTTTCAAGGAGCTCTGGCTGTAGTCCCTCAGGGTCTGCCTCTGACTGGCGGCATGCTGCCTAATGCTGGTTGGTAGAACTGGTGCAATTTTGTTGATCCACTACAATTTCCCCCTACACTCGGAACTGATCTGCAGACTGACCTTAGACAATTTGTCTTCTTTCAGGGAGAAATGTCACCCAAAAGGAAGCTATTAAGTCAAGAAGGTAATTCTCTTAGAACAGTCCACTGTATAAACAGAACTTGACCTCAAGTAATTTATTGCTGGTCCCTAACAAAGAGACTTAAGAGTTAGGTCTGATATAGTTGAGATCTGAATCTGTCAATACAAAGGGCAAGCCAGAATCTTGCAAGATTTCTTTTGAGTGGCCATGTTTAGAATATAAGCCAGATCAATATAGTGTTCACACAGGAAACTGGCATTTGGTCTTTTAGAACGAAAAGTTCATTTTATTAACAAATCAGAAATTTGTACTTGCACAGTTCAGCCACTTCCTTAATGACTCCTAGATGATTTTTGTTAGGCTAATACCTAAACATTATATAAAGACTATATTTCCTTGAAAACACTGGGTTAGTTTCAGTGCTCAAGATACAGGTATGTCCCACATTGCTAAGAGGTTTATTTTCTTTTTAACTGAGTGGAAGGTGAAAAGTTAAATTTCTTAGTTGAGTGGAATGAATCATGTTACTTGAGGGCACAGAATCCAATCAATGAGCATCTCATGGTTCAGGATCTGAAAGGGTCAAACTGCTAAGCTGTCTCTTGACAATATCTCATGGACCACCTTTGACGGATGGATATTAGAGAGACTTCTAGAAAAAAAAAAGGAAGAGGAGAAGAAAGCAAAGGAAGGGTAAGAAGTATATTAGGAAAACCCTTTAACTCACTTTAAACTCCTTGTTTATGGTTACTATGGTGAAATTTCCCATTTCCTATTTACAAATGAGGATTTTTCTGCCTTTTCTATTACAACTCTAAATCCCAGCTCCCTTGATTAATGAATAGCTTGTTCAATGGTTCCCTTGTAGGGTCCAGGTATTCTGCTGTGTCTGCTTTCATTGGTAAAAGCCTCCCCTACCTCCAGCTCGCCCTCTCTTTTCCAAGTACCTCTCTCCTCCTCAAGTCCCATCCAATTCACCAACCAGCTCTACCAGGGCTGGTCCTGGAGACCACCCACATCCTACAAGTGGAAAAGTGCTGAAAACCTGTCAGCCACAGCTGACAGAGAGTCCGTCAGGGTAGATTTTAATGCTGTGAACATTTTGCTGATATTTTTCCACAGAGCACTGCCTGGTGTTGACATTTTAGGTTTCAAAGTAGCAACTAATACTTTGCTTCTTGACTGGAACTACCTTTCAAAGCAGTAGCTAGAAAGCCTTGAGACTTTTAGAAATCTCCATTTGTTCAGTCTATAAAATGGGGCTAACACCACAACTGAATACCCCGGAAAAACTGCAATACCTCCCTCACGTGGATGAAGAGCTTTGAGATACTCACAGGCAAATTCTAAAGAAGGAAGTGGAGAGTATAGTGATGTTTTTCTAAATTAAAAGTGACAACCAGCATTTAGTAGGGGAATCAGAAGACAGAATTGAGAGCAGGAAGCCTTATATTCATTACAACAGATGGTTTAGTTTTCACTGAAGAGGAAGCAGCTGAGTGAATGAACAGGGGTATGTCCTTAAAAGATTCAGCAGCCATCCAAATACACAGGAACAATCTAGTGGAAACTAAGGACTTGGACTAGTCTGTATTATACAAAATAAAGCATCCCTACTGAGTTTGACTTCAGCTGGCTGAAGTCATAAGCCATAGTGTTCTACTGTTAAATAACACCAATATAATTACTACTGGCACAGCTTTAAAAAAACAGGACTTTGTTCAAATTCTTAACACAAAGATAAGTCACATAGCAAATCCATAATCAATGCCTGTTGAAAAAAATATTGAATGATTTTCAGTTCAAGGAAAATGTTTTCACTGCTTGGCTTTCCTCTCATCTCTTGCCCATCTCTGCTTTTCTTTTTTTATTTAAAAAACAATAAAACATTTCATTTGAAATATAAAACATGCAGCAAAGCACAGGATGTAATATAACAGACCTCTGTTTTCCACCACCAAGATTAAACAGACTTTAATGTTTTTTAAATATATGCTTGATATCTCCCTCTTTTATAGACATAAGTGTCATATAGCTATAGCCTCACTTCATCATCCTTTTCCCCTCAGTTCTCCTCAAAGGTGAAAACTTATCTGCAGTTTTTTAAAATCATTTTTGTACATATGTTTGTACTTTTCACTACATTAGTATGTGTTCCATACACTATCATTTCATTTCACACTTTTCATACGTGGTATTATGCTTTATATATCCGTTTGCAACTTTCTAACACATAAGATTTATTCATATTTATGTATGTGATTTAACAGCAGGATAACATTTCTTTATCCCTTTATGTGCATAACCTATTCTCTTCCTGAGGGGCCAGTCCAAGTTCTCAGTAACTGCTAGATTGATCCCAATAAATAGGATGGTGGGATTTTTTGTTTTGTTTTTTACTGTTACAAACAAGGTTGAAAATGACATTTTTGTATATATATTCTTGAATGCATGTAAGAGAGTTTTTCTAGGAGTCAAATTGCTAGAAGCTATGGAATGATCATCTTCATTCTCATGCATTGCCAAATTCCTCTCTAAAATGGTAACAATTTATACTACCATCAGCAATAAATAAGAATTGCTGTTTCCTCACATCACCACCAACACTTGATGTAAACCCACTGATTAATTTTTGTCAGTTTAATGGTTGTGAAGTTATATCTCATTGATATTTTAATTTTGTCTGACTACTAATACTATTGAGCATATATTTTTATATTTTATTGACTATTTACACTCCTATGAATTGCTTGTTCATATCCTTTGCTAATTTCCCTTCTGACTTTATGACTTTATGTCTTCTTATTCTTGTTGGTTTTCAAGACAAAGGTTGCAAAATATCTTTCTATGTCAGTCTTTTCATCTTACAATGTCTTTTTCATGAAACTGCTTTTATTTTAATGGGCTTAAATTTATTGATATTTTCCTTTATGATTTTTGCGTTTTGTATTCTGTTAAAGAAATGCTTCTTCACATAATGCCATAAAAGTTTTCTCTAATATTTTCTTTTAAAAGATTTACAACTTTTATTTTTATATCATTATTATTATTATGTAGAGATGGAGTCTCACTCTGTCACTCAGGCTGCAGTGAAGTGGTGCGATCTCGGCTCACTGCAACCTCAGCCTCCCAGGTTCAAGCAATTCTCCTCCCTCAGCCTACCGAGTAGCTGAGACTACAGGCACATGCCGCCACACCCAGCTAATTTCTTTTGTATTTTAGTAGAGATGGGGTTTCATCGTGTTGCCCAGACTGGTCTCAAACTCCTGAGCTCAGGCAATCTGCCCACCTTGGCCTCCCAAAGTGCTAGGATTACAGGAGTGAGCCACTATTTTTTAAATTTACTTTTGCATAAAATGTAGGGGTCTGTTTTAATCTTGTCCCCGTGTCAAGAATTGAATAATTTATCCCTCACCCTATTATTCACAACTCTCTTTTTTTGTAGACTAAACTTCCCAATATATATGATTTTCCTAGGTCTCTATTTTTATAGTCTTATACCAATATCACACTTTGGCTCCCCAAAGATGTCCACGTCCTAATCTCTGGACTCTGTGAATATGTTACCATGCATGGCAGAAGGAACTTTGCATATTTGATTCAATTAAGGACCTTGAGATGGGGATATCCTGGATTATTCAGGTGGGCCCAACCTCATCCAGGAGTCCATAAAAGGATAGAACTTTTCCAAGCTGAGGTCAGAATTAGAGGGATATATAATTACAGCAGAATGGTGAAAACCATGCAAGGTGGTTGGCTTTGAAAATGGAGGAAGGAAGCATGAGCCAGGAATGCTGGCTGCTTCTAGAAGCTGGAAAAGGAAAGGAAATAGCTCCCCAAGAGACTCTAGAAATGAATATAGCCCTTCTGACACCTTGATTTTAGCCCAGTAAGAATTGTATTGAAATTATAATCTACAAAATGCTAACATAATATATTTGCATTGTTGTAAGCCATTAATTTTGTAGCAATTTGTTATACCATCCATAGAAAATGAATATAAATAATAAGAATTATCTCCTACTGTTTTTCTTTTCTAACCTTCCTGGTTATTTCTGGACCTTTATTCTTTTATTTGAACTTTAGAATGAATTTATCAAATCATATAAAAAATGGAATTTTGATTAGAATTGTATTAAATTCCAATCAGTTTGGTAGAAGTGGCTGTTTTTATAGTAGCAACTCTTCCTTTCCATAAAGTTGGTGTGATGGTGAATTTTTTTAACAATTCATTCAAATTTATTTATTTATTTATATTTTAAGTTCTGGGATACATGTGCAGAATGTGCAGGTTTGTTACGTAGGTAAACGTGTGCCATGGTGGTTTGCTGCACCTATCAACCCATCACCTAGGTTTTAAGCCCTGCATGCATTAGCTATTTGTCCTGATGCTCTCCCTTCCCTTTCCCCCACCCTCCACAGGCCCTAGTGTGTGTTGTTCCTCTCCCTGTGTCCATGTGTTCACATTGTTCAACTCCCACTTATGAGTGAGAACATGCAGTGTTTGGTTCTCTGTTCCTGTGTTAGTTTGCTGAGGATGGTGGCTTCCAGCTTGTGATGGCGAATTTTATATGTCAAGTTGACTTGGCAATAGAGTGCTTAGATATTTAGCTAAATATTATTCTGGATGTTTCTCTGAGAGTGTTTTTGGATGAGATTAACATTTAATGTGGTAGACTGAGTAAAACAGATTGTCGTCCCTAACGTGGGTGGGCCTGAGCCAATCAACTGAAGGCCTGAATAGAACGAAAAGGCTGACCCCTCCCTCCAATAAGACAGAATTTTTTCCTTACTGACTGCCTTTGAACTGGGACATTGGCTTTTTTCTTGCCTTCAGACACTAACTTAAATACTGGCTCTTCCTGGGTCTCAAACCTTCTAGCCTTTAGTCTGGAACTAAACCATTGGCTCTCCTACATCCCCAGTCAGCTGATTCACCCTGCAGATCTTATGACTTGCCCACCTTAATAATCACATGAACTGATTCCTTATGATAAATGTCTTTATATATTACATTTTCAGGTCATCTTTTCTAATTTTTCTGCATATAAGTTTTTCATATATTTTAACAGATTTATAGGTTTTATTGGTATTATAAACAGTACCTATTTTATAATTTTAATTTATAGTTTGATGCTTGAGTATAGATTCCACATAAATAAATTTTGAATATTTATTTTCAGAAATGTAACTGAACTCTGATATAGTTTCTAATGCTTTATGTTCTCTTGGACAGTCTATCTAGATGACCATATTAGCTGATATTAACCATTTTGTTTCTACTTTCTAATCTTTATGTACTCCCTTCTCAATCTACTAAAGTGTTATAACATGTATATTGTGTTATAGCGTGTGTATTTGTGAAAGTAAGCTAAATGCTATAAAAAATAGATGAAAGCTTTCAGTGGCTTAGTAAAACTGAATTATCAATTATGTAGTTCAACATATATTGGCAGGAGAACTCTGCTTCAGCAGTTAGTCCCTGTATTAGGCTGTTCTTACATTGCTATAAAGAAATGCCTGAGAGTGGGTAATTTATAAAGACAAGAGGTATAACTGGCTCATGGTTCTGCAGCTGTACAAGGATGGCACCAGCATCTACTCAAAAGCTCCCTGAAGTCTCTGGGGAGGCCTCAGGGAGCTTTTACTCATGGCAACAGCAAAGTAGAAGCTTCATGTCACATGGCAAAAGCTGGAGCAAGAGACAGGGGGAGGTGCCACACACTTTTTTAAATAACCAGATATCATGTGAACTCAAAGCAAGAGCTCACTTATCACCAAGGGGATGGCACCAAGCCATTCATGAGGGCTCTGCCTCCATGATCTGAATACCTCCCACCAGGCCCCATCTCCAACACTGAAGACCACATTTCACCATGAGATGTGGAGGGGACACAAATTCACACCATATCATTCCACCCTTGGCCCCCAGAATCTCATGTTCTTCACACATTGCAAAACACAATCATCCCCTGCCAATGGTCCCTCAAAAGTCACAAGTGATTTCAGCATCACTCAAAAGTCAAAAGTCTCATCTGAGACAAAGCAAGTCCCTTCTACCTATGAGCCTATAAAATCAAAAACAAGTTATTTACTTCCAAGATACAATGGGGGTACAGGAATTGGGTAAACTTTTCTGTTACCAAAGGGAGAAGTGAAACAAAAGAAAGAGGCTGCAGGCCGCATGCAAGTTCTAAACATATCACGACAATCACTAAATCTTAAAGTTCCAAAATAATCTCCTTTGACTCCATGTCCCACATCCAGGGGGCACAATGAAGGGGTGGGCTCCCAAGGCCTTGGGCAGCTGCATCTCCATGTCTTTGCAGGGTTCAGCCCTTGAGGCTGCTCTCACAGGTTGTTGAGTTCCTGTGGCTTTTCCAGGTGCAGGGTGAAAGCTACCAGTGGTCTACCATTCTGGGGTCTGGAGGACAGTGGCTCCCTTCTCAGAGCTCTACTAGGCAGTGCACCAGTAGGGACTTTGTGTGGGGTCTCCAACCCCACATTTCCTCTTGGCACTGCCCTAGTAGAGGTTCTGTGCAAGGGCCCCACACTTGCAGTAGGCTTCTGCCTGGACACTCAGGCTTTTTCATACATCCTCTGAAATCTAGGCAGAGGCTGCCACACCTCTTTCACTCTTGCATTCTGTGCACTTGCAGGCTTAACACCACATGAAAGCCACCAAGGCTTATGGCTTGCACTTTCTGAAGTGGTGGCTTGAGCTGTATCTGGGCCTCTTTGAGCTGAGGCTGGAGCCAGAGTGGGCCTGGGTGTGTGGAGGGCTGTTCTGAAGCTGTGCAGGGCAGCAAGGCCCTAGGCCAGGCCCAGGAAACCATTATTTCCTCCTAGGTCTAAAGGAGGGGCTGCCTTACAGATCTCTGAAATGCTTTGGAGGTCTTTTCCTATTGTCTTGACTATCTGCACCTGGCTCTTTTTAGTTATGCAAATCTCTCCAGCAAGTGGTTGTTTCACAGATTGCTTGAATTTCTCTCATCAAAAAGCTTTTCCTTTCTCTGCCACATGGCCAGGCTGCAAATTTTCCCAACTTTCACTCTCTGCTTCTCTTTTAAATATAAGTTCCAACTTTAAGTCATTTATTTGCTCCTACATCTGAACACAGGCTGTTAGATGCAGCCAGGCAATTTCTTGAATGCTCTGCTGCTTAGAAATTTCTTCTGCCAGATACCCTAAATCATCACTCTGAAGTTAAAACTTCCACAGATCCCTAGGACATGAATACAATGCAGCCAAGCTCCTTGCTAAGGCATAACATGGGTGACCGTTGCTCTAGTTCTCAATAATTTCCTCATTTTCATCTGAGACCTCAGCAGCCTGGACTTTACTGTCAATATCACTATCAGTATTTTGGTCACAAGTATTTAACGAGTATCTAAGATATTCCAAACTTTCCCTCATTGTCCTGTCTTCTTCTGAGCCCTCCAAACAATTCTAGCCTCTGCCTGTTACCTGGTTCCAAAGTTACTTCCACATTTTCAGGTATGTTTATAGCAGTACCCCACTCCTCAGTACCAATTTTCTGTATTAGGCAATTCTTGCATTGCTATAAAGAAATTTCTGAGACTGAGTAATTTGTAAAGAAAAGAGGTTTAATTGGCTTACGGTTCTGCAGGTTGTACAAGCACAGTGTCATCATCTGCTTGGCTTTTGGGGAGGCCTCTGTGAGCTTTTACTCTTGGCAGAAGGTGAAGCAGGAGATTTCATGTCGTTTAGCAAAAGCAGGAAGAAGAGAAGTGTCATACACTTTTCGACAACTAGATCTCATGTGAACTCAAAGCAAGAGCTCATTTATCATCAAGAGGATGGTGCTAAGCCATTCATGAGGGATCTGCCCCTATGATTTAAGCACCTCCCACCAGGCCCCACCTCCAACACTGGAGACAACATTTCAGCATGAGATGTGGAGAGGACACATTCAAACCATATCAGTCCCAGACTTAAGCATCTTCCTTTATGTGACTCGGCCATCTTCTAGGACTTTCTCCTCCTCAGCATAAAGTCACATGGATAGAGAAAGAGAGAGCCTGGAGAGTTGTATGGAAGATTTCGTTATGGCCCAGGTGTTGAAGTGATGTAAATCACTTTTCCCTCATTGTATTAACTAGATCTCAGAGTCACCTGATTCTACCAAACTGCAAAGGAGACTGAGAGATATAGGCTAGGTACCCATGAAGAAAGAGAGGAAGGATTGGTAAATACATAGCAGTCATTTGTGGTATCCCAGTTTTCTTTAGATAGCTTTTTAGAATCCGAATTTCTGAGCCAAAGCATATGCACTTTTAAAGAGTCCATGTTATTTTTATACTTTATTTTTGCATACAATGTCATATGGGAATATTGGTACAATTTCCAATTGTCTTCAACAATAGTAACAATAAGCAATTAAGACTTATTTAAAAATTAATCAAGCTCTGTCCAAGGCTGGTATCCTCTATGAAGTTATAGTAACAGTCTAAATTTCTTCTATCTAAAAACTGATTCCCAACAGACTACATCATTCCAGGGCTGTTAAGTAGGTCATCTCTGGGGGGAAAAAACAACTACAGATGCACCCCATTCCACAGGAAATATCTTTATCTTCATTAAATCAGGGTAACAAAAAGAATGACAGGAAGAAAATTCATGAAAGAACACCCAAACCCATGAGGGAGGGAAGAGAGGAAGTGGGGGTGACTTGCTGATCATGAAGATGGTAAAAGTGAGAATGTGGTGAGGCTATGAAGTATGCAAAGGCCACAGGTCTGCTCTACCTCTTGCTGAAAGAAATTTCTCTTTCTCCTTCAACAGGTGCCTCTTCGAATCTTTGTGATGCCTCTCAACTTCATCAAAGGTCATTTTGTAAATACACAGTTTAATTTACACAAATTTTACTACCTGGAAGAAAATTTTCCCACATTGCCTTCATTTCTGCACTTCAAACCTTTGCTTAGGAATTTCCAGGAAAGTCTCCATACCATTGGTCAACTAGCAACTAACTTCTCTGTGATGGGCATCAACCACTATTATGTTTCATGTCTAACACAGGAGTGCTGGACTTATAATAAGCTCCACTTATTCTATAAAGGAATATAAATAAGAAGTGACGATGTATTTAGGGATCTAGCATCCAGATTAGAGAGAGTTAGTTGATTGGTTACTTAGGTAACAAGTGATTTCCAAAAGGAAAAGTAATGACCTGATGGTGTGTATGTGACCAAACGTCAGGTTACCAACCATAACTGTCTGCAGCCTACATCTCAGATTTTCCAGTTTTCCCTGATGTTTGAGCCCTAGGGGTTAGTTATACTAGGAAGTCCCCAGAAGAATGAGCTCTGGGTGTAATTTTGTCACCCTGTGGCAAAAAGCGCCGTAGAAGAAATACTACATCTTCCTTCCCAGGACCGCTGTGGTTAGCCAAAACATTGCTGGCTGAAATTCCTAACTGTGGAAGAGAGTAGCAAATTAGCTAATCAGAATTGCAGATAAGGTGAAAACAATGTGATAATTTATTATGAAGCCTAAATTAAAAAGCAGGCTATGCTAATATTAACCCCAAAATCTACTTAGCCCCTTTTCACGTTTTATTAAATCCCTTAATATCTTTCCCTGTGTAACTGTATCTCTTTTCCCTTTCTGCTTCTAATATTTTCCTTCATGTGCCTTTCTCCTTCTTTCTCCAATATTTCCATCTTGTCCACTTTTTTCTCCTCCCACTCCATCTTTAACTTCTTTATCTTCTTATCCCCCAACTGTTTTGTCCCCTTCCCAAAAGTCATTAACTGGCCTTTATCACGATACCAAACATATTTTTAGTACTGATCATTAGTGTTAAAGACAGTCTTTAAAAATTCCTCAGTCTTAATATAAAAGTTAAAATTAATTGAATGTTTCATATACAAATTTAAGTAACCTAACCTCATCTGAACACTTGGTGTGCTTCAGAATTCCTTCTATTCTTTTTTTTTTTTGAATGTGAACATAAAAATCTCCTAAAGAAGACATTAAAATGCACTTGTCTGCCCTCTCCTTTCTGATTATGTAGGTTTAGAGTGGAACTGGGGACTTCTCATTTTTACCAAATATCCATAGGTGATTCAGATATGGGTGCTCTCCAAGATCACACTTAGTGAAACTTTGCATTTTCTTATCTTTAATTGTTCTCTACACTCTCTCCCATGTTACCAATTTTAAAATCTCTTCTTCTATTTTTGTTTGTTTTTTTTTTTTTTTTTGAGATGAAGTCTTGCTCTGTGGCCAGGCTGGAGTGCAGAATACATTGTGCAGGATCTTGTCTCACTGCAGACTTCACCTCCCAGGTCCAAGCAATTCTCCTGTCTCAGCCTCCCAAGTAGCTGGGATTACAGGAATATGCCACCACACATGTTTCACTATGTTGACCAGGTTGGTATTGAACTCCTCCCTGCCTCAGCCTCCCAAAGTGCAGACCTGAACCACCATGCCGGGTCTCTTCTTTTCCTTAACTAGTGTTTCATTATTGGAATGCTAAGCATGTGGGAGTTATTTATATCCTACTGCTCAAGGTCATCACCAACGTCTGATTGCAAAAATTCAAAAAATTGCAACCTCAGGCATAAATGGGTTAAACCCCAGTATTCACTATCTACAGATGACCTTGCCTGTTACTTAACAGATAACAAGGTAACTAAAGTACATTTCTTCAGTTTCCATTCTTTAAGTGTCTCTCTCTTTTTTTCTGAATCCATCCTTGCAACTCTTCTCTTTATGACAGAGGGAAGAGAACTTCCTATCCAAGGCTGACATTTTGCCCGGTATCTTGAGACTATCTGCAATCCCATTATTCAGAAGACAACTCTCTCTCCTCTAACTGCCATCATTCTTCCTCATTCCTTCTCTCCTTCCCTTTCCCACCTTCCCCACCTTAATAATCCTTTACCTTTCTTGTTATTGTCATTCTTATTATTAATGACACAAAGATTTATTTCTCCTATGAACTGATAACCTTCTTGAGGACAGGGCCTACATATTCCTTTTTGTATACCTACCTACAAAGCATCTAGTTCAAACGTGTATTCACAATGAGCCTCCAATAAATATTTGTTGAATAAGTGATTAATAGTCTTCTCCCTAAAACAAAACAAAACTGAATGGGTTGCTTTGTCCTTAGGTGTGTTTCTCAAAGGAATCTTTTTTTTGAATCATAGAGATGATGATTCCTATGTTGAATTAAGGAATTACACTAGTAGCTGGAGAGCTGGTCAGAGGCAGGAACAATCAGAAAATGTAGTGAATTTTCCCGTCCAGAATGGCAATTAAAACTAAAATATTTAGGAACAACTTTCTCAAGAAACATGCAATATTTATATGTAGGAAACCACACTGATTGGGATATGCAAGGAACCTTGAATAAATGGAAAGTCATATTTATTCTTCTGGGAGCCGAAGGCTAAAAACTATAAAAATGTCAATTCTTTGTAAAGAATTCTTCCAACATTACTTATACTTTTGCAAGCCACTAAGAAACTCAAGGTGTGTATATTCAGGGCAACTTGAATCTATGCTCCAGAGAAAAAAAATAAAATAAAAATAAAAGAAACCCAACCCAGAATATGATAATACTTTTGATTTTCTATCATGGCCAATGGAGGGGGCAGTTTCAGAGGCTTCTGTGTGGTGTTTGCCTCTGTGCTAGTCCTTATCCCACAGATCAAGGAACCCATGGGAGGGCTCTGCCAATTACTAAGCGTGGACATTTCAATTATACACTTGAGGCCTGGGAAAATGGCTACTGGGTTTGTGAACACAACTGACCCACTGCGGGAGATCAAGGTTAGGACTCCATTTACTACCTGGATCCCACTGACTGCTGCACTAATAGAGAAGAATCCATTGTGACACTTCCTTCAGTGTCAACTTGTACAATTGTTTCCAGTAGTCCTTGAAATGTCTGGGTATTCTTACTCCAATGTATGGTCACCTAAGTGAAAGGCCATATGTCCCTTTGGATAAAGATACAGAGAATCATTATGATAAAACTTGCCATGCTATTCTAAGATTCTTCCTCATGGAGACATAGCCTCTCTTTTTAGGCACTGGGTTTAGGTCTGAAAATTGCCTGGTTCAGATCTGAATCATGACTTTTAAACTAGGGCAGGAACCCTCAGCTTCCTGATCATCCATGCTCAATTTCTTTTGGTTAAATAAGTTAAGCATATGCTTGTTGACTGCCCATCCATCTTGCCCATAGGAATGCTGAGTTCCATGGACAAACTCTATAGTTCTATGTAGGTCAGAGTTTTTGGATGCCACTCTGAACTTGGTACTCATTAAAATAATTCTGCCTATTTTGCTTCTGGTGGTTACATGTTGTCACTTTGTCTCTATTATTTCAGAATCTTTTTATCCCTTTGCTACTAGAAAGCCTAGTTCTGAAACAGTCCTGGATTACAGAGAACAGCCATTGATCTTAATGATGCTAATGCCGCCTTCTCCAGCACATTCTTTATTGTTTTGACAGTGTTCCCCAGCTGAACATAGCTGATTGGCAATCTAGCATGCTCACCACTTGGGTCTTTTAATCCCATGGCAAATCTGCATTTCTATTTCATTTAGTGTGGGCTATCAGTTTTTCCAAGCTTTCAACAGCCATTCTAGAACATACTAGTGTTGTCTCCTAGGGTCCCTGCCAGGGCATTAAATCCTGTGTCCTGGGAAAACACTCTTATATTGATAAACTCTCTTTTCCCCAATTTTATATTCTATCCCTTTGATTCAGCACCATCAGAATCCAGTCCCACATAAACTCTCCTGGCTTGTGGATTGGTGCTATCACCTAGCAGAGGATAGCCTTGGGCAAGCCAGCTCCCTTCATGAAAGGACAATTTTCACATCCACTGATTATTCTTATCTAAAATAATTATTATTATTGTGGCTGCTCAATAGCAATTCTCTAATTCCTTTATTACTTTAGTTTATGTATCTCTAAGACCCCAAAATAACAAAACAGAGAAAATGTAGTGACAGGTAATATTTGAAAAAAAATATAAATTATCCTCAAATGAAAAACATTACCTCTCCAGGAATCAAATTGACACAAATTAAGACAATACATATTTCATTGGAAAAAAATTACTGTTTTTGAAAATAACATACTCAGTTTTGGCAAGGATGTAGTGAAAATGTGAATTTTTATTTCCTTGTGAAGAGAGCGTAAGTTTGCATTAAAAAATTTACTCTTTGTTTTCCAAGAAACAAACAATTCCTCCTCTAGGAATCTTCGGTAATTCCTTTTTGTCTCATTTTACTTTCTCTTTTTCTTCTTAAAGATAGAATTAAATTATACTTTGAATTAAAAGTTTTCTTAGTATCATCTCATCTGCCTTAGCTTGCACTGCCATACCAAATACCATAGACTAGATGCTTAAACAACAGAAATTTATTTTCTCACAGTTCTGCAGTCTGGAAAGTTCAATATTAAGGAGCCAGTGTGGATGAGTTCTGGTGAGGACTCTTTCTTTCTGGCTTCCAGTTGGCCACCATCTCTTTGTGTCCTCACATGACACAGAGAGAGAGAGAAAGAGAGCAGGATCTTCCTCTTCTTATAAGGCCACAATCCTATCTGATTAAGGCACCAGCCTTATTACCTGCTGAAGACCCTATGTCCAGATACATTGGGGATTTAATTTCAACATATGAATTTTGGGGAGATACAATTCAGTCCATAGCATCATCTTAAAATAATTGGCTTTAAATATTTATCCTACCATTTGTATACTTACAAAGGGATTTGTGAGAAATGATATTTGTACAATGTTAACTTTGGTGATTTCTGAGTGATAAGAATTTTTTGCTTTTCGCACTTTTCTACCTTGAATGTTTTTATAAAGTTACTTTTAAAAATTATAAATGAAAAAGCAGTGTCTTTCCAAAAGCACCTTGTTTGCTACCATGTTGAGTTGAAAGTGAGGGAAGAGTTTTTCATCACCTTAAAGACTCTGATCAGTGCACTCAAATGTCCCCACTAAACATTCCTATGAAGACTACAAGAGATAAGGGAAAAAGTATGCTATGGGAGGAATTTCTGGGGGTATAATCAGATGATTTCCTTGAAGTCTTATATAATAGCCTTTAAGTTGACTTGATTTTTCCATTTTATCCATAATATATCTGTTTGTTTCCATATAAAAAGAATATTTAAAATTACTTACTCTTGAGTAAAATTCATGTTCAAAGAAAATGTATCATTATTTATCCCAGGGCTTTAAGTGCCCCTTGATTCAATCAGCTTACATCTGGGGGCACTCAAATCCCTATTTGAGAAGCATGGGCTTAATTTAATTATCAAAATTATCATTTGCCTGAACTTCTACAAATTGTAAAATACCTTCCACATAAATTATCTTACTGGGACTCTCAGCATCCTCTTTTACAAGCTCAACATACTTCACCCAGTCCTTCAGCACTGGAATCCCTCCAGACTCAGTCCTATGCTGCTTTATCATATAACTCTATATTCACTGCCTAGATGATTACTTTTCTTGACCATGATTCAGTTACCTATTACATTCCAGTGATACTGAAATCTATATCTCCAGAGACACGTATACAACTGTCAGCTTGACAGCACATTATGGCTGTCTAAAAATCATTTTAAACTTTAAATATCCAGTATGAAATTCATGATCTTCCTCCAAATCTTGTCCATTTCCATTCAAAAGTGCCACCACCCTTCTAGCTCTGCAAGCCAGAAGAAACTGGTGTAATCTCTGACACCTGAATATTTCTTACACTCCCATCTATCACAAGGTTTGAGAACATCTAAAAACACCTTCAGTTAGTTTATGTCTCACAAGTTCAGTACTGCCATCACCACACCATTCCAGTCCAAGCAGAAGAAACTGGTGTAATCTCTGATACCTGAATATTTCTTACACTCCCATCTAATATATCACAAGGTTTGAGAACATCTAAAAACACCTCCAGTTAGTTTATGTCTCACAAGTTCACTACTGCCATCACCACACCATCCCAGTCCAAGCTACCATAATCTTCCTGACTACTGAAATATAAATATTTAAATTTCTACTTGGAAGTCTAGCAAGCATATTAAAAAGAGGCTGTCCACCTCAACCAATTCTTTTCCCTGTCTTCTTCATGGGAAAAAGTACCACCATAAACCTAGTTCGTTAGATGAAAAATGAAGACATACTTCTGGATTCCCCACTTTATCTCATACAATATAGGTCAACACACAGTTATAGAACATGTTTATTATCACGTAAAATTATCTTTAACAGTGCTGTAGCAAGTCTTGAGATTAGATAGAAGTTTGTTCTTTTTTTAAGAATTGCTTTGGTTATCCTAGGTTCTTTGTAGTTTTGTATGAATTTTGGAATAAGATAGCCAATGTCTTAATCCATTTGTTTGCTATAAAGGATCATCTGAGACTGGGTAAGTTATACAGAAAAGAGGTTTATTTGACTCATGTTTCTGCAGGCTGTACAAAAAGCATGGCACCAGCATCTGCATCTAGTGATGGCTTCAGGCTGCTTCCACTCATGGCAGAAGGGGAAAGGGAGCTGGTGATATGTACGTAGAGATCACATGAAGAGAGAGGACGCAAGAGAGAAAGGAGAGAGGTGCCAGGCTCTTTTTTAACAATCAGCTTGTGTAGGAACTAATAGAGTGAGAACTCACTGCCTGTCTCCACCACCAGGGAGGGCATTATTCTGTTCATCAAGGATCCATCTCCATGACCCAAACACCTCCCATTAAGCCCTACCTCCAACACTGAAGATCAAATTTCAACATGAGATTTGGAGGGGTCAAATATCCAAACTATAGCAGCCAATTTTAACAACAAAGTTACTAGAATTTTGACTGGGATTGCACTGACTTATAGATCAATGTAGGGAGAAGTGACAATAATGTAGAATTCATATTCATAAAAGACATGGCATATTTTAAAAATTTCATAAAACACGTGGCATATTTTTTCATTAGTTTAGGTTTTCATCAATTGCATCAGTATTTTAATTTCTGATTGTTTTCTGCTTATATTAATATATGGGAATACAACCGATTTCTGACTTTGAATCCCGTGATCTTGTAAATCTCACATGTTCTAGCAGCTTTCCTTTAGGTTTCTTGGGATTTTCAATGTACTCAATCACGGTGTCCACTAATAAAGACAGTTTTATTTCCTTCTTTTAAATCTGCATGCCTTTCTTTTCTTTTACTTGCCTATTGTACTGACTAAGAACTCTAGTACTATGTTAAATAGAATCTTGAGGAAAGCATTCAGTCTTTCAACCTTCAGTATAATATTACCTGTAGGTACTTTATCAAGTTGTGGAAGTTCCTTTCTGTTCCTAGTTTGATGAGAGCAATTTTTAAATCAGTCACAGAAATTAGATTTGTTCAAATGCTTTTTCTATATCTACTAGAATGATAATATGTCTTTTCTTTTTAAATTCAGTTACTATGATGAATTACATGGATAAAATTTCAAATGTTAAATTTTGCTAATTGAGGTATATCCCACTTGATCATGATATAGTATATTTTTATGTATTGCTATATTTAATTTGCTAATTTTCTTACAGATTTTTGAGTCTCTATTGATAAGAGATATTTCTTTATACAGTAGTACCCCCTTATCCACAAGGAATATATTCCAGTACACCCAGTGTATGCCTGAAACTGCAGATGGTACTGAATCCTATATATACTATTTTTTTCTACACATACATACCTATTACAAAGTTTGTTATAAATTAGGCACAGTAGGAGATTATCAACAATAATAAAATAGCACAATTATAACAATATATTAAAATAAAAGTTACGTGTATGTGTGCACTTTCCCTCTCAAATATGAAATATTTTATTGTACTACACTCACCTATTTTCAGACCACGGTTGACTATGTTTGATTATGAGTGACTGAAACCATGAAAGTAAAACTGTGGATAAGGGGGGAACTACTGTACTTTTATTTTTATTCCTGCATTTGGAATAAGGGGAATGAGGATCTCATATCAGTTCCCTCCTTTTTATTTTCTGAAAGCATTTGTGTGGGACTGGTATTATTTACTCCTGAAGTATTTGATAGTGTGGTATTGTTTTTACTAGATAAACACTAGTATAATGAAACATATCCTATATAAATATATGAATGAAAAATATTGTTCCAACCATAAAACACTGCATTTTTGTATCTCCCAATATAGTAGAATAATTTATATTTTCATCAGTTATGTTCTTAGACCAGCATGCAACTTAATTGTTTCTTTAGATTTGACGGGAGGCCAGTCGGCTAATAGACACCCTCAGAGAATTACTGAGAGAGGAAGACAAGTAACAGATTTTACATTTATTATTTCGTGACCCTATATACATAAATGATCATTTTTATGTGCTATTTACACCACATTCAGATCTAAGGGGAAAGATACTTCAGTGAAATTTTCCTTAATCTACCTCCTCATCATGCCTCCCATTTTAAACACATCAAAACTACATAAACTGAAAAATAATTTACTGTTAACATTAATAATGGAGTCAGAACCACAGATGCAAAAAGCAATGAACATATGATCAATATTTCTTATATGTGATTCCTTAATATTATATGCAGAAAATAAAAGAATATAAAGAATTTAAGAAGGTTATATATTTTGGGTCATTATTCAAAGACAGAAATATTTATAATTATACTATAATACTCTCTATGCTATGAAATTATTTAATAATTATATACTTATTTAATAATTTTATATTAAAGATAATTCAATATAATCATATATTGTTATATATAATAATTAGTAATTATATGTTAAATATAATTATATATTGTTATATAATAATATATTTAATATAATCACATATAATAAATATATAATTGTATATATTGTTATATAATACATTTTATGTAATTATAAAATAGTATAATTATATAAGTTATATTTGTTATACTTACATAAGTATTATATTATAAATTATATATTATTTCATATATAATTATTATAATATAATAATTATATGTAATTATATTAAATATAAAAAATATATATTATATAAAATTATATTAAATATAATTTAGTATAATTATGTTTATATAATTGTATTAATAATATTGTATAATAATTATACATTGTTATATAGTTATATCTATTACATATCATATGTAATGATTATTAATATTATAAAATTAATAACTAATGTAATACATTAATTATTAATATATAATAATTAATATATAAATAGTTAATATTATAATTAACATTGCATAAGATAATTAATATTATATCATAGATATCTATATTATATTATCTGTATAATATAATATAATAATTAATGTAATTGTGTTTATATTTAATTACATATTTAATAATTACTATTAAATTTAATTTATATTTACATTTTTATTCAT
The DNA here is from genome assembly GCF_000001405.40 of Homo sapiens. Classification (NCBI taxonomy): domain Eukaryota; kingdom Metazoa; phylum Chordata; class Mammalia; order Primates; family Hominidae; genus Homo; species Homo sapiens. The sequence goes on from NC_000001.11 coordinate 74,811,005, forward strand.
TTTTAAGTTATCCATTGAATCCCTATTTATGTTCAAGAAATACAGGCTACCATTAATGAAGAATTATAATGTGTTCTCAAAGAATATTTTAAAATTTCAAACATTAAGAACTCTGGCTAATATGATCAGTTTTACATTCTTCCTTCTCAAATATTAAGTAAATTGAAATTTCCTCAAAGTTTTCTTTTTTGTAAAAATGAGGCAGAAAGGTAACTTTTATTATAAAGGAGACAGGAACAATAAATCCAACTTCAAAGCCTCCTGTCAATATTGTTTTCTATTCTACTTCAGAAAGGTTGTTTGAAGGGAGCTGAAGTACTGGTTTTCAGAGCTTTAGAGTGAGCACTGCTCAGATGGCAAATTTCCTGTAGGAAACACATCCAATTTAAGCCTGGTATCCTACCCCTCATAACACACTGAAGCCATACTACATTAAAACCCAAATATCATGCAAATAGTTAGGCCAATGGCTCTGGAAAGCAACTCCGGTATTATAGGAGTACACCACATATGCTTTGATTGCCATTCATTAGCATGGTTTCCAGTAACAGTGACGTTTCCAAGTGATGCAGAACTGAAAGCAGATTCTGCATGAAATCCCCTTCCTGTACTGCACCTGGTTCCCACTCCGCCTTCCTTGCCCTCCACAGTGACGCTCCAGGCCTGGTTCCTGTCACTAGCCAGGCTATGGTTTCAAATCCCAACTCTGTGTTCTGGTTTTCTTCTGAGTCTTACTAGAGGCTTATAGACAAAATGCAGGCTCCCCATAATCTGTTTGAAAAGCCCACTGCGTTCAGCAGGAAGATATGATTATCCTTTAGTGGTGAACACTGTGCTGTGTGTTGTCATTGTGGAGAATATATCCTTCAAGTATGTGTATGAAGGGAATCAGACTGGGAATTGGGGGGCGGGGGAGTGTGGTTTGTTTCCAGTCTACTGGTGAAACAACCTCTTCTCTGCCAAAAAACCTCAGATCCAGTGTCTCTTGGGAACTCTCTCCCTAGGTTTTACTTTGAAAACCATCTGCTCTCTCGGTGAGTATTGGCTCACCAGGGAAATCCTGACATCTCGGTCTCAGCCTCATGTCCGAGGAAACTCCATACCCAAGTCAGCCAAGACTTGGGTGTCCTTGGAGAGAACATTTTGTGGATCCAGAACTTAGCATGTGTTTATCTTTTGGGCCAAAAATTATCCAGAGATGAAACTCAGTTTCTAATTATGCAAATAAGTACCAAATATACTCCTTTTAAAAGAAAGCAATTATCATATAGTGTAAACAGTCTCTGAATTTCAATTTCAGTTCTGCCAATTAACCACCACACGACCTTGCACAAGTTGCAGATGAAACCTGGACACTGAGTGATCTGAACTGAAACAAATACAAGCAGAAAAACCAAAACCAAAAACTATTCTTTTTCACTATGTCTCTTCAAATGTACTCTTGACCTGTTTCTTCCTCACTGTTACAATGAAATCTTGGCAGGTTTCAAAATCTTTTTATTATGCTCAGGTAATAGAAGTGCTCCAGTCACTTTTATGTGTACCCACAGTCTTATTACAGGGCTAAGAATGTAATAATCCCTGCTCCTTATTCTTACCACTGCCACCACCTCTCACCTTGATATTGCTTTAAGCCTGGAAATACAGAATGAGGGAAAAGCACATTTCACTTCTCTCTTTTCTCCGTCTATTTTTCCTCATCCTCCTGTTCCTGTTTTTAGGACTTATCTGAGTTCTATCAGGCTTGGAGATGGAGAGTGAGGAAGAGAGGTATGCAACACTTGAGTGTTACTTGAGTGGCATGGATAAAATCTATGCTGGAAGCCCCTGAGTATGGCAGTGTTCCAAAGATGATTCTTCCTCTCGTGGGATGCTTTGGTGAGTTTCTTAATGATATCCCAACTGGATTCCTCTAATCACAACTCCTTTGATGCTTACTTGTTGCTTGCTAGCTGCTTTCAATTCTTCCCTCAGCCTCTGATCATGTGGCAGTCAACTACCTAACTGGGGTCACACCTCATATTCAGGCTGTTTCTTGAAGTGGTGGTGGGGGGTGGAATTTAAAGTAGTTCCAATAACCTCTCTCTCACGTGGCTCTTATCTAGCCTATGAAAAAAACTATTGCATCCTTGTCTCACCATGCTATTGATGGATAAGGTTTTCATTCCTAAGTTAACCCTCTTTCTCTTGCTCTATTGTCTTGGGACAATTTGTCTCTAGTTTCTTTTGCCTTCCCTTGCTTCAGGGATCCAGGATTACAGGACAAGTCCTGCAAATAATTCCTTCGAAGCTTACTTTCTTAGCTCAAGGAGGGAAACAAGCACCCCTTTTATCTCGCAGGAGTAGAAACGCCTTCTCCATTGTAATCCTCTCTCCCAGCTATTTCAGCTTCAGCATTTTATACTTTCAAGGTGGATGATGGCTCAAGATCTCAAAATCAAGTCCATGTAACTCTAAATCCTGTGCTCTGAATCAGTAGGTGTCTTGGTCTGTTTTGTGTTGCTCTAAGGAAATACCTATGGCTGGGTAATTTATAAAGAAAATAAGTTTATTTGGCTTGCGGTTTTGCAGACTATGCAAGAAGCATAGAACCCACTCTTGTATCTGGTAGGGGCCTCAAGCTGCTTTCACTTACAATAAAAGGCAAAGAGGAGCTGATATGTGCAGAGATCACAGGGTGAGAGAGAAAGCAAGGGATGGGTGAGGTCCAGGTTCTTTTTTAAAATAATCAGCTCTTTTGGGAACTTAACAGAGTGAGTCCTCACTTACCCATGAGGGAGGGCATTAATCTATTCATGAAGGATCTGCTCCCATGACCCAAACACCTCCCACTAAGCCCCACCTCCCAATACCACCACACTAGGAATTTAATTTCTTTTTTTGTTGTTGTTTTTATTATTATACTTTAAGTTCTAGGGTACATGTGCATAACGTGCAGGTTTGTTACATATGTATACATGTGCCATGTTGGTGTGCTGCACCCATAACTCGTCATTTACATTAGGTATTTCTCCTAATGCTATCCCTCCCCCATGCCCTCAACCCACGACAGACCCTGGTGTGTGATGTTCCCTTTCCTGTGTCCAAGTGTTCTCATTGTTCAATTCCCATCTATAAGTGAGAACATGCGGTGTTTGTTTTTCTGTCCTTGTGATAGTTTGCTCAGAATGATGGTTTCCAGCTTCATCCATGTCCCTGCAAAGGACGTGAACTCATCCTTTTTTATGGCTGCATAGTATTCCATGGTGTATATGTGCCACATTTTCTTAATCCAGTCTATCATTGATGGACATGTGGGTTGGTTCCAAGTCTTTGCTATTGTGAATCGTGCCACAATAAACATACATGTGCATGTGTCTTTATCATAGCATGATTTATAATCCTTTGGTTATATACCCAGTAATGGGATTGCTGGGTCAAATGGTATTTCTAGTTCTAGATCCTTGAGGAATTGCCACACTGTCTTCCACAATGGTTGAACTTATTTACACTCCCACCAACAGTGTAAAAGCTTTCATATTTCTCCACATCCTCTCCAGGACCTGTTGTTTCCCAACTTTTTAATGATTGCCATTCTAACTGGTGTGAGATGGTATCTCATTGTGGTTTTGATTTGCATTTCTCTGATGACCAGTGATGATGAGCTTTTTTTCATGTGTCTGTTGGCTGCATAAACATCTTCTTTTGAGAAGTGTCTGTTCATATAGGAATTTAATTTCATTATGAGACTTGGTGAGGACAAACATCCAAACCATAGCAGTAGGTAATATATATTACATTATGATTGATTGATAGCACTTTGCCCTCAAAAGTGAAATAGCAATTGATAATGAACAAAGCTTCAAATGAAAAGGAATAAATACATTAGATTAGCATGTGCTATTCAATCTCTACAAAATTCTTCAAATAGTACCTCTCACCATTCTTTTTATTATATCCTTCTGGAAGTTCTATAGGCATACATTGGCCTTTCTTATTCTATCCTCCAAATCTCTTAACTGCTTACACATATTTTTTTATCTCTTTATGTGTTAGCTTCAGTTCTGGAAATGTTACCTAAAAGTTATTCTGGAAATGCCAAGAACTGTTTGATTAAAATATAATAAATAAATGTGTACCTGAGTTCTCAAGAAAGTAAGCAAAATCCTCAAGGATCAGATGTGAGATGGTAACTAAAAGATAGAGTGGTAAGAATATAAACCCAATCTGTGATAACTCTCACTGGGATGAGGTTAGGAGGGAGGAGCCAGCATATTGACAATTTCAGAAAGTGTTTTTGACATTCACACACAAATTTGAGATATTAGGCCTACATGTGGGAGGGAGTGGGAAATGTAATACAAGTCAAAGAGCTACAGCATCAGTGAATGACAGGGTGAAAAAAAGAAAGAAAGAAAATCTGCTCGCTGGCAAGAAGATAACAGAGAACTTGTCTATAGGTGGACAAAGTCTCCCTTAAGACTTTATAACCACAGAACTGAAAGTCATGTGTACTTTGGTCTCAAATTTTTACCATCTTTGTATTGTGGGAAACCGTAAGCTGAAACAAATGACTCCAAATTTGTTCTCAGGCCAATATTATCCCTAGATTTCCTGGAAGAAACCAACACAAAATGCTGTCAGTTCAGGTGTACTGAGTCTCATAGTTAAAGCCCCACTAAAGATCAGTTCACAGTTCCAAATGCTACAATCAAAGAGTACACAATTCATTATGAGTGCTACAAACAGCTGATTAGATAATATAATATGATAGAACCTATAAGACTGATTATTTTTAATGTTTCAAAAATTTTTCAGACTTACAGAAAAGTTGCAAAAATAATGAAAAGAAGTCCTAGATACCTTTAATCTGGATTTTCCCAATGTTTAACATAAGCATTCTATTATAGATATACAGATATTTTTCTGAACCTTTTGAGAGTAAGTTACAGATGTAATGCCTATTAACTACTAAATACTTCAGTATGTATCTCATAAAATAAGGCTATTCTCATATAATCACTGTATATAATTATAATATCAGAAAATAAACAATGATATAGTTCTATTATCTAATCTACAGATCTTATTTAAATTTTGTCAATTGTCCATTGAACATACTTTAAAGTAAAAGAAAAAAATGTTTGTCTAGTTTAAGGTCCAATTCAGGACCGTACATTGCTTTTAGTTGCTATGTCTCTTTTGTCTCCTTCAATCTAAAATCCTTCTTCAGTCTTTGTCATTTATGACCTTGATATTTTTGAAGATTAGAGGCAAGTTATTTTGTACTGTATCTCCTAATTTCGTTTTCTCAAATTTCCTCATGAGTAGATTCAAGTTAGGTATTTTTGGCAGGAATAATATTGTGTTCTTCTTAGTGCATCATATCAAAGGCAAATTATGTATATTTGCCCTTTTACTGTGGGAGATTAACTTTGAGCACTTGGTTAAGAAATGTATGTCAGGTTTCTTCAGCACAAACTTACTATTTCTCCTTTGTAATTAATAGATTTCATGTGGAGAGATACTTTGAGACTATGTAAATATTCTATTTCCTATCAAACTTCTACCCATTCATTTTAGGATCTCTTGATGACTCTTACCTGAAACAATTATTACTATGTTAGTTGCCAAATTATGTTAAATTAGTATTTTAAATAAATTAAAATATAAAATAAAGAAATGACAACATAAAAGGAAAAAAACAACAACAAAACTAGGCAGATTTGTAAAAGAACTAAAGAGAACATCCAGAAATGATAGACAATGTCATTGAAATTCAGAAGTTAATGGATGAATTAAAAATACATTAAATGCAGCTGAACAGAGAATTAATATACTAGAAAATGTGTCTGGAAAATTATTCAGAATCTAACCTAGCAATATAAAGAAATGGAAATTTTTAAAGCAAAATTAAAAGGCATGAAAGATCTAATGAGAAGGTACAACATAGGTTTAATAGATGTTTCCAAAAAAAAAAAAGAAAAACAGGAAAGAAGTAATTTTCAAATAGTGGCTGAGAATTTTGCAAAATTATTAAGACACAAATCCTTGGATTCAGGATGTATAACAAGCAGAATAAATAAAACTAAATCCACACTAGATATACCTTAGTGAAATTGCAGGACATCAAAAATAAAGAAAAATTAAAGAACAAAAACAAAGTAAAAAGGACAGATTTGCTACATACGAAGAATGAGAATCCAACATACAGCAGATTTATGGACAACAACAAGAGAAGCCAGAAGACAATGGAGTATTTTAAAGCTGAGAGTTTACTGTAGTTCCCCCTTATCTGTGGTTTTGCTTTCCACATTTTGTTACCTGCAGTCAACTGCAGTTCAAACATACTAAATGGAAAATTTTAGAAAAAAAATGTTAAATTTGAAATTGGGCACCTTTCTGAGTAGCCTTGCCCAGATGAGATGTGAATCTTCCCTTTGTTTAGCATATCCACACTACATACACAATCCACCTGTCACTGATTAGCCATATTGGTTGTGAGATTGACTGTTGCAGCATCTCAGTGCTTGTGTGCAAGTAACCCTCATTTCACTTATGGCTCCAAATCACAAGAGTAGTGATGCCGGCATATTGTTATAATTGTTCTATTTTATTATTGGTTATTGTTGTTAATCCCTTAGTGTGCCTAATTTATAAATGAAAGTTTACCACAGGTATGTATGTATAGGAAAAAACATGGTATGTACAGGATTTGGTACTATCCACTGTTTCAAGCATCCACTGGAGGACCTGGAATGTTGCCCCCACAAATAAGGGGGGACTACTGTACTGTCAATATAGAATCCTCAGTCAAACTTAACAACCATTTAAAAGAGTGTAGCCATACAACAATTTTAAGACAAGAAAATGCTGAGAGAGTTTACTCTTTATAGTTTCTCTATTTAAAAAAATTTTAACACTTTATGTGGTAGGCAGAATCCTAAAATGGCACCCATGATGCTTACCTGTAGCTATTGTAAACATACCTTCTACTAGTTATTCAATCAAACATTAATCGGGGTGCTGTTGTGAAGGGATTTGGCTGATGTATTGATGTCCCCAAATCAACTGGTCTTAAGGAGATTATCATATGAGACCTTTAGATCTGGGCTTAGGGATCAGAGACAGGGAAGCCAGAGAGACTCAAAGTGTGAGGGTAGTTGAAGGAGGCTACATGGCAAGAAACTGGGCAGCTTCTAGGAGCTGAGAGTGTAGACCAAAGCCAACAGTCACCAACAGAATGGGATCCTAAATCCTACAACTACAAAGAATGGAAGTCACCAATATACTGAATAACCTTGGAAGCATATTATTTCCCAGAGGCTTCAGGAAGCAATGCAGGCTGGCTGACAACCTGATTTCAACCCTTTGAAAAGCTGAGCAGAGGTCCAAGTTTCCATCTGTGTCTGGACTCTTGATCCACAGAAACTGAGAGAGAACTGAAAGGATGTACAGGCATACCTTGGAGATATTGCAACTTCCATTCTAGTGCACCAAAATAAAGCAAATATTGCAATAAAGCGAGTCACACAACTTTTTCTGTTTTATAGTACATATAAAAATTATGTTTATACTACACTATAGTCTATTAAGTGTGATGTCATTATATATAAAAACAATGTACATATCTTAATTTAAAAATACTTTATTGATAAAAAAATGCAAACAATCATCTGAGTCATCAGTGAGTTACAATCCTTTTGCTGGCAGAGGGTCTTGTCTTAATGTTGATGGCTGCTAACTGATCAGGGTGATGGCTACTGAAGGTTAGTGTGGCTGTGCCAATTTCTTAAAATAACACAACATTAAAGTTTATTGCAATGGTTGACCCTTTCGTGAAAGATTTCTCTGTAGCACGAGATACTGTTTGATGGCATTTTAGACACAATAGAACTTTCATAATTGGAGTCAAACTCTGCCACCGCTTTATCAACCAATTTTATGTAAACATTCTGATTTTTTTGTTGTTGTCATTTCAGCAATGTTTACAGCATCTTCGCCAGGAACAGACTGCCTGCATACACTACATCCATTCTGCAGCCCATAGATCAAGGAATAATTTTGAGCTTCAAATCTTATTACTTAAAAACTACGTTTCATAAAACCATAGCAGCCATAAATAGTGATTCCTATGATGATGGGTTTGGGCAAAGTAAATTGAAAATCTTCTGGAAAGATTCATCATTCTAGATGCCATTAAGAACATTCATGGTTCATGAAAGGAAGTCAAAATATAAACATTAACAGGAGTTTGGAAGAATTTGATTCCAACCTTCATGGATGACTCAGAAAACCACTTTTTTTGCTCATCTATAAGAAGCAACTAATTTTCAGTTCAAGTTTTATGAGACTGCAGTAATTCAGTCACATCTCCAGGTTCCACTTGTAATTCTAGTTCTTTTGCTATTTCTACCACATCTGCAGTTACTTCCGCCACTGAAGTCTTGAATACCTCAAAGTCATCCTTTTCCGGAAGGTTTTCAAATTACTCCTTGATCCATGGGCTGCAGAATGGATGTTATATTAGCAGGTAGGAAAACAAGATTCATCTCCTTGTACGTGTCCATCACAACTTTTGGGTGACTAGCTGAATGTCAATGTGCAATAATATTTTAAAAGACATCTTTTTCTCTGAGCAGTAGTTCTCAGCACTGAGCGCCACATATTCAACAGACCAGGATAAATGCTCTGTCATCCAGACCTAATTGTTCTATTTATAGAGCAAAGGCAGAATAGATTTAGCACAAATTCTTAAGGGCCCTAGAATTTTTAGAATGGTAAATAAGCATTGGCATCAGCTTAAATTCACCAGTTGCATTAGCCACTAACAAGAGAGTTGACCTATCCTTTGAAACTTTGGGTTCAGGCATCGAGGGCATCTTTTTCCAGTATGAGGCTGTTTCATGTATGAAAATCTATTGCTTAGTGGAGCCACCTTCAACAGTTTTCTTAGCTAGGTCTTCTAGATAACTTGTTGCAGCTTCTACATCAGCACTTGCTGCTTCACCTTGCACTTTTATAACTTCTCTGTTTTTTCTTTAAACCTCATGAGCAGCCTCTGCCGTCTTCAAACTTTTCTTTGGCAGCTTCCTGACCTCTCTCAGCCTTTATAAAATTGAAGAGAGTTAGGGCCTTGCTGTAGATTCAGTTTTGGTTTAGGGGAATGTAGTGGCTAATTTGATCTTCCATCCACTAAAATGTTTGCCCTATCAGCAATAAGGCTGTTGTGCTTTCTTATCATTTGTGTGTTTGGTGGAGTAGGACTTTTACTTTCCTTCAAGAACTTTTCCTTTGCATTCACAACTTGGGTAACTGCTTGGCACAAGAGGCCATACAATTTGGCCTCTCTCAGCTTTTGACATGCTTTCTTCACTAAGCTTAATTAGCTTTTGATTTAAAGTGGGAGACTAGCAACTCTTTCCTTCTCTTGAACACTTAGAGGCTATTGTGGGATTATTAAGTGGCCTAATTTTAATATTGTTGTTTCTAAAGGAATAGGGAGACTTGAGGAGAGGGAGAAAGTCAGGGGAATTGCTGATCAGTGGAGCAGTCAGAACACACACATTTATCAATTAAGTTCTTCATATTATAGGCACGGTGTGTGGTATCCCCAAACAATTACAATAGTAACTAGTAACACCATAAATCACTCATCACTGATCACCATAGCAGATATAATAATAATGAAAAAGTTTGAAGTATTGTGAGAATTACCAAAATGTGGTGCAGATACACAGCACGTGATAGTGGAAAAATGGTGCCAATGGACTTGATCAACACAGGGATGCCACAACCTTTAATTTGTGAAAAACACAGTTATCTGCAAAGCACGATAAAGTGAGGTACAATAAAAGAAGGTGGCCTGGATCAGTGGCTCATGCCTGTAATCCCAGCACTTTGGGAGGCCAAGGCAGGCAGATCACTTGAGGTCAGGAGTTCAAGACCAGCCTGGCCAACATGGTGAAACTCTGTCTCTACTAAAAAATACATAAAAATTAGCTGAGCGTGGTGGTACATGCCTGTAGTCCCAGCTACTCAGGAGGCTGAGGCAGGAGAATCGCTTAAACCCAAGAGTCAGAGGTTGCAGTGAGCTGAGATAGTGCCACTGCACTCCTGCCTGGGCGACAAAGTGAGATTCCATCTCAAAACAAAAAACAAAACAAAACAAAACAAAAAAACGCTTGCCTGTATGTTGTTGTAAACCCCCAAGTTTGTGATAATTTCTTACACTGCTATGGAATACTATTACACTGTATTTTTAAAAGATGGAAACAGGAGATATAAAAAGCAATGGGTAACTCTAAACAAACATTGACTATATAGGACAATGTAAATAATAATAAAGATGGGGGAACACACAGAAGTTAGAAATAAAATACTAGCAAAATTATATTTCAAACAGATGTTCCGAGTTAAAAATTGGAATATCATTGTGTTGATTGGGAAGAGCCTAAAGATACTGAGTAACAAGATTATTTAAAACCAGGTATGTATGTTTAAAATATGACAGCAACCACTAGAAATTGAATGTATAAGATTTCTTTTCACTGTATTATGGGTAATTTCTCAGATCTATTTTTCATATCACACATTCTGTCTTCAGCAGAATCCAAACTGCCTTTTATCCTCTTTATTGTGGCTGGTTTTGTTTTGCTTTTTCGTTATTTGCTTCATCCAATTATTCAGCAAAGGAAGTCATAAGGTGTGATTATTTATTTTTATATTGTTATGTTTTAAGTAAAGTGTTTTAGCTTCGGCTGCTGTAACAAAATATTATAAGGTGTGCGCTTAAGCAAACATTTGTTTCCCACAGTTCTAGGGGCTTGAAATCCAAGATCAAGTTGCCAGCATTGTTGGGTTCTTGGTGAAGGCTTTCTTCTGGTTTACAGATGGCTGTCTTCTCATATCATCACATAGAGGAGAGGGTAATTTCATACCCTTATAAGGACACTAATTCCATTCATGAGGGTCCCATCTTCATGTTTTACTTACCTCCAAAATGTCTCACTTCCAAATACCATCACATTGAAGATTAGGTTTCAACATATGAATCTGGGGGGAGAGGGGACGAAGAGTCCATAGCATAAAAAATTCTAGATACAGAGAAGATTACAAGTAAATCAACTCTCATAATTCACCACTATTAACATTACTATATCTCTGTGTTTGCTTATATAGATACTTATATTGGTAACTTATAAAGATATATGTGTGTGTCTACCTTTATTATGTTTATGCGATTCATACTTTCATTAATAATTATAGCACAATAGTTAAAAGTACAAACTTTGGAGTCAGAGACATGGGTTCAAGTCCAGCTCCAGCATTTACAAGCTTTGTGAACTTGGGCAAATTATTTAATCTTCTGAACCTCAGTTTCTTTATCTGTTAAGTGGAGGGGATGATTACAGTACTTGCCATATAGGATGGTCATGGAATTAAATTTCAGTTACTATTTTTTATTTCTAAAATCTACTTTTTCAAATAACCATTACTATTTTCTTATAGGTTTTTATCATTTCATTAAAAAATTTTTATTTCCTTATTTTATGTCTCTAATTACTTTAAATATATTTGCTTTATAGGATCTTTTGGGTAGTTCTGTCTTTCCAGGTTTTTGAGGGAACACATTCTCTTTTGGATTGGGCTATTTCTCTAGTTTTTCATGGATTGTTTCTTGATGTGATTTACTTTCTTTAAATTTTTTTTCATGAGAAGATTTTAGGTCTTCTGTTTAGATGCTATGTCCTCCTGATCCGTGGTTTCAAGAGCTCACATTACTGTCATTATGGCTACTGTTCATTTTTAATTCCAGCACATCTATGTTCCTCTTCTTGTTTGCTTAACTGTGTATTTTATCCAGCATTTCTTTGGGTTCGTGTTATTATAACTGTAAGAAATCATCTCCGTCGGTAAAATTCTAGACATATCAAAATTGGGAAAAATTTTAGAGTGGACACTTAGCTTCCCAGCATCCTCCAATAATATGTAAGCACAAACTGTTTCTAGTAAAGTGCAAGTCTGGTCTTGATTCATAAACATGCTAAACTGTCAGCCTCCCTCTCCTGAATTAAAAGCATATGCATCACTCTACTAGTTAAGCAAGACATTCTCATTTGACTATGTAAGTTGCAGGGAATGAGAAGGAAGGGCTTGAAGAAGTTTATGGAGGACAGGAAAGAAAGTAGAGAACATTAGTTTTTCAGACTTTTGTAACAGTCTGAGTTCTAAGGAAATGAAGACAGGCAGTTACAATGTGCCTTTGAGCTTTAACATCTGAGGTATTTCCCCAGACTCTTCCCCAGTGAGCAATCCTAAATGGGTTGCCAAGAGAAATGATCAGGGCTATTAGAATAGCTTTGTGACAACATGGAAATTTACAAGATACTTTCACACTAGAAAATTATAATAATGTAATAAGTGTATTACATTTTTAAAGAATAAGGGGATTATTGGCCAATGGCAAGGATTTCTATAATGTAAAAGCCCCAAGAATTTTTTAATAAGTAATGTGATCCACATGTACAGATAGCTGTAACATTACAATACAATAAAGACAATTTACTTCAAAACTCTTGAATCATGAATCTAAAAATTATAGCACAATGCAAATAAACATTCATTTCAGGTTCATTCTGAGCCTGAAATAGTTCTTAATGGTGATGTCTCATACTTCAGTTTGCAAATACACTTCATAGCTTCATTTAGAGTATACGCATTTCAGGTTGGGAGCCCTTATCTGGAACATGAAAATTACACTGAAGACCCTAGACAATAAATCCATGACATTCCAGAAAAACCTCTTAAGCAACATTAATATTACATACAATTACATAGAATTTGATTCACTTTCCAGAATGATTGGGTCATCATCTGGCTTGGTAGAAGATTTGGCTGTTATCAGGCATATTACACTTGGTTTTATTCCCTATAGGGCCTGAAGGGGAGGTCGAATAGTAACAGAATATCTTTTTTTACCACTGTGCTAAAAGACAATTTTTCTCCCCTCCTGGTCTGTCAAGATTCAAATCCCAACTAACACTGGCACATTACTTAACCATTCCTCCATGACTGTTTCCTCATCTAAAAAAAGTGAAAAACATTAACTATTCCATGTGCTGTGAGGATCAAATAAGCTAAATCATAGTTGCTACTATTATTATACTATAACATTAACACTTTTATCATTTTAGGCCCTTGGGAAACAAATAAAAATAATAACGATGGTACTAAAATGTTACTTTACAAGAGACTTTCTAAAGATACATCTCTTGAGGACTTATATTGTGCCAGGCAATTTAGAGTCCTTATATCTTGTTTTCCTAACACGACTCCAAAGTTAGCACTTTTATCCATGTTTTACAGATGCTAGAAATGTGGTTCAGATGGGTTAAATTATTTAACTGTGACCAGCCAGCAAATTGATTTGAAAAGACCAATGCTTTTTCCACTCTTTCTACTGATGCAAGGACAATTTGACCCAAATATGAAAATGATCCTAGACACTTCCACTTATTTTAATGAAAAGTGAGTGTCATCATAATGGAGTACGGGACATATATATAGCTAATTACTGAAAAGAGGGTTGGAAAAAGGCTCAGCTTTTCCATTGACAGGCTTTATGGCTTTTGCAAGTCATCTTACCTCTCTGGTCCTCATTTTCCACACTGGTAAAAAGAGGAACTTGGACTAGTCTAGCGCACCTAGTTAATTTTTCTGTCTCAGTTTCGTTATCTGTGAAACAAGAATATAAGTTTGCCCTCTCAGGGAAATTTTGGGGATGAAATGATTTTGAAAGTATCTTCTAGTTATCTATTTCATAACAACTTGCCAAAATTAATGACTTAAAACAATAACTATTACTTCTGTTCACAGTGAATTGGGTTTTGATAAGACCGAGCTAGGCAGGTTTTGTTCAGGGTGTCTCATAGAGTTTAAGCTGGACAGTGGCTAGGGCTAGGGTCACCTTTAAAGCTTCCTTAGTTACCTGTCTGGTGCCTGAGCTGAAAAGGCTCAAACATCCAGGGACTGGAGGAGCTGGGGCTGTTTGTCTCTCTCCACATATCATCCCTCCATGTAGGATCTCTACAAGGCAATGTTGGGATAGCCAGAATGCACACATGGTGGTTTAAACACAAGCTGTTATTATCCCAAGAAAACTTGCGGATGATACATATCCTTTCCTAACTGAACCTCTGAAATCACACAGCATCACCTCTGTTTCATTGTATTCATTAAGGAAGTCATCAAGTACTAAGTCCTACTCAGGTTGAATAGGAGAAGGCATAGACTCCACCTCTAGACAGGAGGAGTATCCAAGAATTGCACACATCCTTTAAAAACATTCTTTAGACCACCAAAACTTGCTGAAAGTGTAGGTATTGTTATTAATTTTATGCAGACGCAGATTATTCTCTCTGGGAATTATTAACAGCAAATAGAAAACATTTCATACCCAGTGGATTCTAAGACTGCCTTCTCCAAATGTGAAATTGTCGTGTTCTTAGGAAATATCTATCAATTTTTACATTAGTCAAAGTAAAATATAACATGGATAAAAAAATTGTAAAAATACTACTAAACATGATGCTATCTCAAGCCAAATACATTTTTAAAGCTCATCTGCTTAAAAAAGATTGTTTTCCTTTTTTTTCCTGTCTGTTAAAATGGATAATAAAAAAGTGACTATACTAAGTATATTGGGGCATTTGGTCACTTTTGAAAATGCGACTGGGATTTTGAACCATGCTTTATAATCTGGGCCTGTTAACCATGAAGCCATTCTTAGGAATAAGAAAGGTGAGAGGTATGATTTCTTCTGTAAGGGCTAGCAGGGTCTTAGAAGTGCCTCAGTCTCATTACTAATTGAAGATGAAGTTCTGCTGAGAAAGCTTCATGGACGAATTCAGGGATTTTCAGGGAGTTATCTGTTTAGCTAAAACTGGAAGCCAGGTCAGCTGACTCTTATTTCAGTGCTCATTTAATTATTGTACAGAGTTTCTCAAGATCACTGCAAAACTTGCATGACTTTTTACTTGAGAATAAAATGCATTGAGAAGTTTAATATCTCTGTATAGTTTTGACATAATAAATGTCCTATTGTTTGAGCCCTATTAAATTCCTATTTAAATTTGCAATGGAACCAATGTATATTTTCCATAATGGCAAGTTATTTTATCTCAGAAGTAAATAAATCAATAAATATCCCCAATTTCCTTTATTCACTGCTATAGATCCATGATCCATAAGTTTATCTAAACCCTTCTTGATTCTATTTATTTTCTTAAGCTTGTATAAATTCTGAGAACCATCACTAACTCTAGAACTCCATAGTGTTTAATTTAAAATGAACTCTTTAAAACTACAAGGGTACCTATAAAGTTTTTAATAGCTAATCAACTCACTCAGCTTTTGTCTTTCTATAACAAAAAGGTGTTAAATTTTAAATTAGAGATTCCATATCCAGCTTGAACAATTTAAGAGTGTGATCCTATTTTTATAAGATAACATTTTTTATTCTATCTATATATTTTTCCATCCATCCATTCAAACATCCTTCCCGTATCTCCATGTATGTATCAGGCAATATTAACCAAATAGATATCTATTTCCAGAGTTAAGAGAGGTGTCATTTGGAATTATTGAGAGTGATGGGTAGGCTTTTACTTTTTATTTTGTGCTTTTCCATTCTGCTTGAATTTTCTATCCTTATGTAAGTATCACTTAAAATAACTCAGTTAGAATTGTGTGTTACTTAACATTTTAAACATACATTGGGGCCTGTCAGGGGAGCAGGGGGAGGAAGAACATCAGGATAAATAACTAATGCACGTGGGGCTTAATACCTAGGTGATGGGTTTATAGGTGCAGCAAACCACCATGCACACATTTACGTATGTAACAAACCTTCACATCCTGCACATGTAGTCCAGAACTTAAAATAAAATACATGTTAAAAAAACAAAAATGCAATATCTGTGAAGCATAATAAAGTGAAACACACACACAAACACTTTGATATACATGCTTCATATAATTTAATGCTCACTGGGACCTTGTAAAGTAATTATTATTATCCTTATTGTATGAAAAATGAAACAGGCACTGAGAAGTAAGGTAATTTTTCCCAAATGACACACCAAGAGTGGTTCCTCTCTAACCATGGGGCTTATATTCCAAGATCCCCAGCAGATGCCTGAAACTTCACATAGTACAGAATTCTATATCTACTGTGATTTTTGCCTATATGTACATACCCATTATAAAGTTCAATTTATAAATTAAGCACAGTAAGTGATTAACAATAAATAATAGTAACAAAATAATTATAACAAAAGTCATGTGAAGGCGGTCTTTCTCTGCCCCAAAAATATCTTATTGTACTATACTCACCCTTCTCCTTGTGATGACGTGAGATGATAAAATGCCTCCCTGGTTAGATGAAATGAGGTGAATGACGCAGGTGTTGTGACATAGCATTAGGTTACTACTGGCCTTCTGATGATATGTCAAAAAGGAGGATCATCTGCTTTGGGTGATCCTGGATCATTGGGCCATGACAATGTTGATGGCTGGATGTCAGAAGCAGACAATGTCAATGACTAATGTATACATACATTAATCAGTGTCATGTATATAGCATGTATATGCTGGACAAAGTGATGATTCATGGTTATCTTCATTGCTACATATTAATAGGTGATTAATACCTTTTACAAAAAAATTATATTAAAGATTCATTCAGCACCTACATATGTCAAGCACTGTGCAATGCATTACAGAAACATCTTAACAATTTTCCAATGTAATTATTTGAATTCATGGCTTTTGTTTTGATTCTGTGCAATACTAAGTATTAGCAGTTGAGTATAGCAAAATAATAATGTATGCTTGTACTTATTTTTTGTTCACATTACTAATTGTTGGCTATTTTTTTTCAGTATGTGCTGTGTTAATGATCCCTATTTTAGGAGAATTAAATTCTTAGATAAAGAAAATAAATGTCAAAGTTAGGACAATCCACTTTTTTATTGATTGTTGTTGGACATTAGAACACATTTGAACTTTAGCCAACATACCTGTAAGATTAAGCATATGGAAGACTTCAATGCTTCAACCTCTGGCACTCCTACATAATGAGTTTTCCTTCTCATGGCAATACATGGTCTAATTAGATTATGGCCAATATTTTAAGGGAATATTGATGTCATGGCACCCTTTTCCTAAATTTAAAATGCGTATTTACATAGAAGAAAGTAAGAGATACTTGAAGTTCCTTTCTCAAAGCCCTTTGCCTATAAATTTTGTTTGCTTGGCTTTTTCAGTTGCATCTCATTTCAACCTGCTAAATCAGAATACCATAGACTGCATGGCTTAAATTAAAAAAAAACATTTATTTCTCATAGTTCTGGAGGCTGTAAGTCTGAGATCAGGGTGACAGCATTGTCGGATTCTGGTGAGGACCCTCTTTTGGGTTGCAGGCAGTGATTTACCTTTGTATCTTCACATGGTGCAAAGAAAGAGGAAGACAGCACTCTGGGATCCCTTTTATAAGGGCACTAATCCCATTCATGAGGGCTCCACCTTCATGAAATAATTACCTTCCAAAGACCCCACCTACTAAGACATCACCTTTCGGGTTAGGAATTCAACATATGAATTTTGCAGGGACACAAACGTTTATTCAAACCATAACGTGTTCTTAAATATGAATAGAGGAGGAATAAATCTCTCCTTTGTCTAAATAAGGCAAAAGAGGTTATAATCAACTTTCTCCACAGACTCACATTTTTCTTTAGGAAACATAATAGAGTGATCAGAACATCCCACTCCTTCTTGGACAGGTCACTTGACAATACAGGAGTATGGCTATCCTACAAGTGCAAATACATTTTGTCCTCATCTTTAGCATCAGTGAATGTGACCAGCTCTGGAGCTTCAGATCATTGTGATGATTGAGGATTTCCACATTTTTGCAGAGAACTAGGAGAAACATGGATTGCATCTGGATATTGCAGGACGTTAAATTTAATAACAAATTAAAAGCAATAAAATCCTTTGGCCAGTCTCTCTTTTGAGATCCTGTCCTGAAATTTCTATCCGATTATGATTAAAAAAAAAGTCAAAATAGAATCTGCCCAGATAGGGTAGATCCCTACAACACACAAGTAGAAAAATGTAAAGTAAAAAAATATCCATAAAACCCAGCACAACCCACCAAACAGCTTTTATGGAGCAAAGAAGGGGGTTTGTACTACATTGATCCAGAATATCTTGCCATGCTCATTAAACTACCCAGGTTATTTTTCATTTCTCAATTTTGTATATGTAATATATAGCAAATAATAAGTTAATCTGAGTAGCAAAAGCAGAATTGTAACTTTTCAAAACTCTGATACTTTTTGTGAAAAGAACTAAGCAAATCATGCTGTCTTCTGCTCAACGGGGCATAGGGAATAGTGGCCCTCATCCCTCTTCATGTGCTGAAGGCTGAAATTATTCAGTTTTTAGATCTACAAAGCTTGTCCAGCACTCAGACAGCCTGGCCCTGAAGATACATGCACTTAATAAATATTTTTGGATGGTGCTTAAAGCTCTTAAATTGCTAAATAGCAATAATCACAGACTTTGGCAGTGTGCCCTATTAGCACATCTTCAACTGTTATATAAGCAGCCCTAAACGAAAATTAGCCCACGGGACCCCTCTAAACACTCGGCTAAAAATAAACTTCATCATCTCTCATTTCAATGTTCATGAGGTCATAAGCATTTTGTACATTCCATGCACTTGTCATGTCAGTACCTTTGAGCTCAGGAAGTTGACACCTAGAAAAATCAAATATTGAGATCCTAATGGATTCCAGAAAATAGATTTCCCTCTTCAGGCCTGAAAAACGCATACAACTTGAAGACTACTGATTATGCAAAATCCAGGTATAAAGCAATATAGTATAAAGCATTTAGCAAAAACGTTCTCTTGCTATTTTTTTAATTACCTGCCTGACACATGCTCAAAGACAGGATGGAGACTTGTGTCCTGCAGAGGCTTCATATATATTTGTTATTATTACTATAAATGCAAGATAGAGTTCATAGCCAAAAATTAAAAAGAACCTAAGACATGCCTATCTTATAATATAGTCTTGAAATGTAAATGAAGTAAAAATAGTACAAAGGATGGTACATTATAAAGCTGAAAATGTTAGTTGCCAGTACTGTTGTTCCCTATCTGCCTGGATTATTTCTTAATGGTTCTTTTGTAATATTTTGATTTTTCAAAATATGTGGAGTTCTTTTTTTCTCAGAAGTGAGTCGTGCAACCTTCTCCAAGTAGAACATTTTAGCTTTTCTCTAATGTATAACTAACTATTCCTGAATTAAATTTCCTTTCCTTTTTTCTTAGAACATGCCCCTAGTGTTGGGACAGCTTGCAACATTAGCCTTCTCCTCTGGTCCTTAGCAACCTCTGCCAAATGCTAACCTGATCCTTTACATGACAAATAGATATTATTGGCAAATCAGAATTCATATATTGCTCCAGGTCAGGATCAAATTCAGTGTCAATACCAAAGGCTTCCCCAAAAAAGAGTGAAAGTACCTTACTCATTCCAAACATGTCACCTTCTTTTACTAAAATGTCCTAAGTATTAAGCACTCTCTTTTCCTTTATTAATAACCCATGATTCATCAGTTTCCAAGATTCCTTACTAAATTAATCTGAATTAAGTAAATTAGATGCCTTCATTTAACAGATCCCACAAGTCCACAGCTAGTTGGAGAAAAAGTAAAATTTCAATTTCACATTCTTATAAATATTCAGGCTCACATATTTTTATCCACTGTTCATCTTGTTAATGTCAGCCTCCATAATTTATTGACCATGTAAAAATATTTTAGCATGGAAAGTGGAGAAAATGAGTGAGAATAAATCATTCAGTGCTCTTCCGCAATGCAGTCCGGAAGACCTTCATTTTAAATTCTGTATTCAAGCAACAGTTGAGACAAATTGGTTAGCAGTTCATTATGGGAACAATTTCAGAGCTCATTCATTTAGACTGTAAGGACTTTTCTGTGTTACTGAAGGCAGCCAACTCATATTTGGTGGTTTCAAGAACACAATACTTGTTGATTTCTAAAAACTACAGTATATGCTTCAGTTCTTAAAATTCATCATCTAATTTCCTCTGTCTCCCTTCCACTGGGTAAGACACATCTGTCAACACATGTGCTATTGGCCTATTATTCTTCCTCCAGTGGTTATTGAGCTTGACTCTCTATGCTGTGTCAGAGAAAAGTTGTTCTGACACATATGCAGGCACCATGGGGTAATGTAAACTATGCAAGGGTTAAAATTGGTCACCCCTCATCCCCACCCCTGTGAATCTACCTAGAGGGAAAACTAAACATTGTTTTAAACAACATGACTCCCATAATCCTATATATTAAGAATTCACATTGTGAAAGTTAACTTTATTAATTTGTTTTCCTAACAGAACAACATATGTTATGCTTACATTTGAAAGCAATCTCAGAAAAAGGGCCTGCATGTGAATGCAATTGGCTGGGAGTTCACATTTCCCTTTGACAAAATTGTGAGCAAAACACATGTTTTTCCATCTAAGTTAGAAGATGGAAAATCATGCATTATTTTTCAGGCTTTTGTGGCATGCCATTTAAAATCAATGCATATTTCTTCATGCACATTTTCACAAATGTCAATGTTGATACATCCATCAGATCTGTTGTGTTCAATGCCTTCAGCACCTGGAGAACTTGTACTCTTGAAAATATTTTCCCCCTAACTTTTCAATTTGCTCCTGAGAATTGTAATTCCTTTTGACTAGTGATAAGTGAAAAACAGAGCCCTCTATCTTTGTTTCCTGCTGAAGGAATAGAAATGTTTCTATATGCTTGCTTTTAATTTCATGTAGGCCAAAGAATGGCTGTTCCACTAACTGCTATACTACAATAATCTCTCCAGCTCATCTCAAAACTCACAAAGAAAAGAGAAGCCAAGCAGCCACTAACATGTTATAGGTGACATAAGATAATCTGGTACAAGCAGAAAATTCTAAATATAGGAACTCCCGGAAGACAAATAATTTGCAAATAAAACAGAAAATATCATTATTTTGCCAGAAGAGTACTCATTTTTTTCTTACTGTTTAGGAAAGTAAGCTTTTTCTAAATTCTAGTTTTTTTAAATAAAACTTGGCTAGAAAAAGGAAATTGTATGTCTACATTTTAGCTATACACATTCAGGAATAAGGTTACCGGGAAGCCAATCAGACATTGATTGGAAAGGAGAGAGAAAAGGACATGCCCCATGAGTAAAGTAATCTATTCAATATTAGAAAGGGCAGGATGCCAGCAGTAGATGTGTATAGAGAGTGACTTCCTTCAATTTATGAAGAAGGGGTAAAGGTAAGCAGAACATATACTGTTTGCTACAAGTACTTAGAGAGATGTATAGAGTTTATCTTTATTTCTTTCAAATACATGATTAATTTTGAAATGAGATGGGCAGAAAAACTATCCACTAAACAGAAAATAAAGTAAGTTGGAACATTTTATGTACTTAACTCGACATCTGAGTAATCTAAGAAGTGGCTTTTAAAATACAAGAGCAAAATTTTGTTTTGTAAGATGCTGTCAGAATCAACGTGCCTTTATTCAGCTTCTACTGCCTATCGCTTCACCTACCTTTGGCCAAGACCAAATGTAGTACTTTTAAGTTGAATGACTTCACACATATAATATAGCAAATGACTTACTTTTTAGAGAGGTAAGTATAATCTCAAGGCTAGTATTGGGAGTAAAGTCTCTTGACATGTGAAATACGTCAAAACTTATTTTTTTTCTATACTTCAGATTAGAAGATGAATGCATTTTCTTTTAACCACAAAATACTATGATGCATGTAAAATAGGTAAATAAGTGAAACTTTATTTTCAAATCTGTTACAACTAAAAGGAGCACCAAAAGAACTATATTTCCATAGTGAGTAGAAATAAGTAAGTTGCATAAACATAAATATTTACTCCAATGAGCTACTCAGTCATCAGCATTTATTCCAGAGTTCTCAGAGCACAGAATTAAATAAAGTTGATGGTGAACTAGCATTTCAAATTATAAAATCAAATTAATCTTTCTTTGGGCATGAAGATGGGAACTACAATTTTCAAGAAGGAGCAAGTATCTCTTCATAACAATTCTGAAAATGGTTCTTTTAATTTGAAAATGTGCAATAACAACAAAAAATTAATTCAAATGACTTGAATCCTTCCTAAGGAATGTGTAATATATAGTTCAACAGGAGTTAACTTACATGTAAACAATCACAATGAATTATTAGTCATGCACAGGCACACATTCAATGTGTCTATCTATAGATATTCACTAGCATTGGCAAGGCTGTAAGCCTAGGGTGACTATATGTTCTAATTTTGTGCCTAGGAAAGTTTCACTGTATTATTATCCTTTTTCATTCTCAAGAGTCTCCTGGTTTGGATGATAAATTTTACAGCAACATTATGTAAGTCCCAAGTGGCTGATATGATGTCTTAGTATGAATTCTCCTATTTTCTTGTTTTCTACATGTTGTATCTCTGGTTTGCCCATGCTAGCCTGGCTTTCTGGAATAACCACATCAATATACTCAATAAACAGAATAAAGAGCCTTATAAGTTTTTCTGTACATAATTACTCAAAGTTCAATCCTTCATAAGTCTTTACTTCTCTTCTATAAAGAGATCAACAGTGCATGTCTAGTGTTACTATTTCTGTTACTAATTGCTATCACTTAAATGTATGTAACTCAAATTCTTCCAGATACGAAACTACATGCAAAGCACTCTAAGCATCCATGATTTGGGGCTGCATTCACCTGCCTGGAGACTTTCCATCGTCTTTCAAGACGACTTTTACTCTATTTTTCCCTTCATTCATAATTGTCCCTCAACCCAGGGCATCAATAGTTATATAAACCAACAAAATTGAAATCTAAGGATAGAGTTCAAAGTTCCCCACTGAGGAAAATTTGCTGCACGGATGAGGACTTTGCTATTTACCTCTTCATGACCATGACAGATTAGTCATACCTGGGAGTCAAAGAAGATATTTAGAGACTGAATTGATCCCTGAACTGACACTAGGATAATGATGTTTTAGTAAAAGGAAGCTGAATTTGACATTCTCAGACCCAATTCTTGGATGCTGACTGGTTCAGGGACACTGTGTATGTTCATGGTACAATCCTGGGAGGTGTCTCTCATACAATATCAGTCAAACTTCTGTAAACCTGTGTGTTTCAAGTTCTTCAGCAGAGTCCAAAAACCTACAGGTTGGTTAGGCCTATAATCACCATAAGGAGAGAGGCCTCCTGAGAAGATTCCAGGGGTAGAAGTGCCAGGAATCATGGTGATAAAGACAACAGCAGGAAGTGAGAGAGAGTGATAACAAATGCCATCAGCAAAGCTGAGAGCCACAGCAGTGGTTCTCAGCTGGTCATTTCTAACAGGCTCAGATGATCAGTGCTGGTCATTTCTGACAGGCTCTGAGAGCAGCAACAGCTGCTATAGAACATGATAGCCAAAGATGAATAGATTGGAAAGTATATCAGCAATAGCAGCCAGAAATCATCAACTTTAACTAATGATGGGAAGATGGTAGGTGATGGGAGTTAAGAAGGATGGAGTTTGGAGTTAAAAATTTCTATGTAAAATCTGTATACTCTGTTGTCAATAAGGTTGGTGGGACCTATAGAAATAAAGATAACTTGGAAAATGATCAGTTGCCTATTTCACTTACATTCCCTAGACAGACACAAGCTTTCTGACACTTCTAGTAGCAAGTAAACCATGTTCAGGGTAGCCAAGAGAGTTGTGTGTGTCTATCTCATAATGGTTGAGCAACAATTGAAGGGCAACAGAACATCTGTTGGATGCCTTTCCATAATTATGTAATTTAATCCTCATGCCAACACTGCAAGTTTTGAATTCATAAAACCCATTTTATAGATCACTAAAATGGACCTCAGAAAGACTTAAGTAATTTGCTCAAGTACACACCAACAAGTGACATAGCTAGGATGTGAACACAGATCTGACTAATTCCAAAGCCAGTGCTCTTCCCATCAGACTCTGCTGCCTCCCTGGGAGCCCAAGATAAACAATGGAAGCAGTCACCATAACCACCAAGACCTCTCCCTGTCTACCTCCTGCCCCCTGCAGAGGGAAGCAGATGTTCAGCAAAGTATCCATACTTCTGGGCTCTGAAACCATCCATTTCTGAAACTGAAATCCAACAACTGAGAAGTTGCTGACATGGCTGTTGAGTCCTGCCAAGTCCCCTGGGTTTGAGGGCATTTTGGTGTAAAAAATGTTGATAATCACTGTAAATGGAGGAGTATGACTCTTAGCCCGGAAAATGAGGCTAGTACTTAAGTAGTTCTGGCAGCAGCATCGATATTGTGGTACTGGGAGGTACACGCTTTTTGCATACAAAGTAAAAAATAAAAATAAACAGATTGTCTGGAACTCTTCCAACCACTGCCCCTCCTCTATCCCACTTTTGCCATCCCCCAGGGCTTGTAACCCAGTTCTCTCAGTCCCAAGTGTGGTTTTCCCTGTTAAATGCTTGCAGAAAGCAGGTGAAGTATGTGTTGCACGGGTAGATAATGATTGTATCTCCAGAGTACTAGTGTATCAGGCAGTGATGTTACTGTGGTTCCCACAGGTCCAAAATGAGGTTCTTTCTGAGGCAAACAGCATGAGCAGTTTCATACAGAAGACGGATGTCCCAAAGAAAGCTAGACTTCCATAGAAAGGGAGATAAAGTGGAAGGTCTCTGTAAGCTCCTCATAGAAATTGAAGCGTGAGGAGAATTTAGAAGAATCACAAGCATGGCAGGGTGTGCCAATTTTATTAATTAGTTGGTAGATAATTCTTTAGATGTTTAAAATGACATCTGAGAGATTTTCTCTAATGTCAACATATATGAAGACTGAGTTGGTCTTAAAATGCCATTATATTAAAGCTACAAGGAATATTACTAAGTGGAATACATTTCTAATATTTAAATTTCATATGTTTTCATCGTTAAGTCTGTGGAAAAAGAAAATATTTCCATGTTGACACCAGCATTTATTAAGCATTGTTACTGTTCTGCTCTCCATGCTGGGCTTTAAAACGTATTATTTTAATTACTCTTCACAAACTACTTGCAAAGTATTTTGCAGATAACAATTGACATTTGTTGAGCATCTGCTCTGCACCATTTTAGGTGGTTTATGTATATTACTTAACTTAATCCTCCATAAACTTGATACCATTTTTTTCCATTTTATAGACAGCAATAGAAATTATAAGGAAATGGTGATTATTTAATATATCTAGCATATATTGAAAAATTATTCTGTAACAGGCACTGATCTAAATACTTTTCATATATTATACAACTCTATAAAACAAGTACTGTGGTTACACCCATTCACACACAAAGCAGTTGGCTAAGAGAGTTTAAGTAATTTACCTAAAGCTACACAGTTAATGTGTATCAAAACCCAATTAGTTAGATTTCAATGTCTACTAATTTTAACCACTGCATATTTGCTCACAACTTAGTAAAGACAGAAAAGTTTAATAATGCTTCTAAGATCACACAGTTATAAAGAATAGACTTAATAAGACACTGAGTCCCAGGATTTTTTGTTTTGCTTTTTTTTTATTTTGTTTTTTACTTCAAAGTCTATGTCTTTTCCACTTCATCAACAGGTTGCCTTTCTAAGAAGTATTTCTTTGGCAATGAGATTCTACCATAAAGCCTACAATACAAACCCTTAATTATTAACACCCATTGAGTTCTCCTTATGTATATAACAAAAAACAGACTCGATGTGGACCAGAAGACTTTGGCTTTTAGGTACAGTGAAAAGTTGAAGATGGTGTTTCAAAGTTAAACAACAAAATTTGAAAGGCACTGTGAACAGTGAAAACGAAATTAACTCTTTTGGCTTAAGTAAAAATATAGCTTGAAATATTTCCATTTTAAATCTAAATTTTACTGATAAGACATGAAAATAAAATCCTGTCTTCTCTAAGAAATACCATTTCCTAAGTCAGCTAAACAATTGAGTGTCCATCAAATTTGACCCATCCTGCAGTGAATTTTCAAGTAATTTATTCCAGGTATGTAAGCATAAATTCATAAATGATAGCAAAACAAGCGGTATGTTCTTGCTCATTTAGTGTACTCATATTTATCAGTTTCTAGACCTGAAATAGATCTAGAAAAATACATCCATTTGTATTTCTTTAAAGACATTCTTAAATGGAACTTTTAAACCTAAGTAGGCAACATACAACGTGGCTTACACGTTTTGTTTTGTAATGAATCCATAAATCATCTTTCATTAGTGGAAGCTTATTCTGAAATTGTATTGATTATTTACATCTCTTAACATTCTGATGAATATGTGTTCAATGAATCGATGTCCTTTCAATCATTTCATGTTCTTATCTATGATTAGTTATAAAGAGTAATTTCATATTGAATACATAAGCCATGCTCCCACCCAGTCATGAAGTAGAATCAACACCACACCTTCAAATGCTAAGTTAAGTTGATTTAAATGCATGCAGTCCTAATTCAATGTAGGCTACAGTTAAATGTGAAATATAATTTTATAGTTGTATGTTATCAGAATGCTACCTTCCTGTCATGATATCTGTAATTTATATTGATATGATCTAGGAGAAAAAATGTGTGTGTGTCTGTGTGTGTGTGTGTGTGTGTGTGTGTGTATGAGAGAGAGAGAATAAATCTCATAGGTAAGCAGTTCAAGTCTGGTGTATCGGCTCAACAATGTCTTGCTTCCTCTGTCTTTCTGTCCTGTCATATTCAGCGCATTGCTCAAGGTCCAAAGTGGTTGCCTGAACTCTAGTCATCATATTTCTATTTCAGGAAGCAGAAAGAAAGAAAGGAGAAAAAATATATATAATGGCTGCTCCTTTTAAGGAGGCTTTCAAAGAGGCCCACACCACACTTTTACTTAGATTTTACTGAACAGAACTTTGTCACACTGTCACACCTAACTATAAGAGAAGCTGATAAATGTAGTCTCATAGATAGGTGTGTTAGCATTGCAAATAAAATTTAATTGATAAATTAATAAAATTACTAAAAGAAATATTAGGGAAGGCATATTGCAATCTGCCACAGTACCCATTAAAGATGAACAAAACTATTTCTAACAGGATATTGGGAATGTATTTCAAATTTTAACATTAATTTTAGCTTCCAGTATTTTCAGTTTATTGCATTTCAGCACCAACTTACTAACCTCATGCTGTATGTCAGGCACTATTATAATTATAAATTCTTTTGATGAGTTTATAAATTATATAAAATATAATTTGTGTGTTATTTTATTATATTTATGATGTAAATTTATAATTATAAAATAAATTTCTATTTTAATATAAATATAAATTTATATTTAATTTAACATTAAATAAATGTAGATTATAATTTATAAATTCCTTTGAGGAATTTATAGTTATTCATTTGAGGTTAATATTGAGGTTAATTCCTTTAAGGAATTTATTATTTATTTGAGGGATTTTATAATAATCAGGACGTTTTCCATTGACAGTGACAGAAATCCTATTCAAACTAATGTTTGATGTTTATGATAAATGTGCTTTAACTGACACAGAAATTGGTATCAGTTTCCCTTCTTTGCTTTAGGAATAGATAGATGATAGATAGATGGATAGATAGATAGACAGATAATAGATAGATGGATAGATTTTTTTAAAGTAGCATGATCATCATGTAGGCATGATTCTAAGTGATTGGTATGTATTGACTCATTTAAATTTACAAAAACTCTATGAAATAGGTACTACCGTTGTCATTTTAAAACTGAGGAAATAGGCACAGAGAGATTAGTCAATGATGAATTTGTAATCAAATTCAGATAGTCTGGCTCTAGAATTCACCTTTATAACCATTATACTATTGTGCTTTTTGGAATGAATGCTTTCTAAGCAGCATATAACTCTGTAAAGTTATGAGTCTTTGATTTTTACATACATAATAGCTATAAATATTAAAATAAAATTTAAACATTAATATTAAAGTCACTTTTATATTTACCTTTTACACATTTTTTATTTACTTGGTTCTTTTCAGTATTGTTATAAATGCTTACCTAATTTTAAATTCTACTTATTCTGATTAATAATAATTATCATTGTCTTTTTGATGTTCACATTGACCATTGGAAGCCCCCGACACTGACTCCTTTATATTTTTAACATGGCCTCTGATGTCATGGGATACATACTTGCTTTTTGACAACAAGAGGACATTCCAAACCCATCCTGAGTTTTCCAACCACAAGTATCTAGGAAATCCTATTTCATTTTGGTGTTGAAATAGTATAAGACATAAAAATACAGGTATTATGAGTACTTATGAGAGTTGGTGATAGGAAAAAGCATGGCTGCTGCTATTGGGACATTTTTAGTAGTGATGGAGTGGTAAAATACATCCTTTTTAAAGACATTAGCTCATACAAATTTTCCAATTGAATTGGCTGTATTTTTGTACTCTACTGTTCTTATAGTATGAGATTTCATCAAGTCTAAAGACCTTCTATCATAACGGCAATAGGGAGAGAAATTCAAATATAAAATAAAACACCAACAAAATAGCATTGACACCCTGTCATATCCCTAAAGATTAAAAAAACAAAGCAAAACAAACAAACAAAAAAGATTGACAATGCACTATATGAGTAAGGATGAAAGGAAACAGTCAGTCACAAATGTTACTAGTCTAAATTAGTATAACACCTGGAAAAGGCAGTTGCCAATCTCTAATAAAAGCCTAAAATCATACACATCCTTTGAGCCAGCAATTTCACATCTAGGAATTTATTCTACAGATATTGTCATATACATGCAAATGATTTATGTACACAGTTATTCATGCCAGTGTTGTTTGTAAAAGCAAAAAATGTGGAATCAATCTAAATGGAGAAGTAAATTATAGTATATTAACACAATGGGATACTACTCAGATATTAAAATAAATAATGACAAAAGTTCTTATGCAATAACATAGAATAATATTCATGATATATTGTCAAGTGAAAACAGCAAGTGCTATAGGGCATATTAAATGAATCATTTGTACTTTAAAAAAACACTTTAAGGCATATATATCTATGTCCTGTATGTGTGAAGTACCCATGTACCTATATGTGTGTATATATATAACATATACTTGCATATAAATGAAGCATTTGTAAAAGGATAAATAAAACACTGGTATTAGCGGTTACCTTCAGAGTAGGAGTTGGGAGAGCTGACTCTACATCTGTCCTTTTTTGTTCCATTTGAACACATTAACTATTCTGTGACTCCTCCAAATTAATTAAATACAAATAAAGTGGAAAGGATATATTGCATTCCATTTACTACACAAAATGTAACCTTTAGAAAGTTCATACTATTGAACTTTCAGTTCATGGGATTAAGAATTTCATAAAACAGATCAAAATGAAGATAAATCAACAGACTGAAATAAAAAGGAAGCTGGCTGAAATACAGGCAGGATTATTTTTTTAAGGATTGCAAGAAATTAGGAAATACACATTTTAAAACTACAATTACAATCATAAAATTAAAATTAAAAGTAGATTCAATAAAAAGCACAGCTGAAGACAAAGCAGAAAACCAAACCAGTAATGTAAAAGACAAACTGGGGAAGTGTTAAATGCACAGGAAAAGGACAGATTGATGAAAAAGAGGAACAGTGATCTGATATATGGTGCATGGTATTACCTAGGAAGAAACAAACAACGGAATTGGAATCAATTGTTATGACACCATAAGAGAAAATTTTTTCAAGTTGACAAATGATCCAGGTCTGTGATGTAAAGGTCCTAAAATGAATGAAGAGATATATATTCTTGGTCATCTCTTTGTACAACTTAAAATAGTCTGGCCCCAGGCTTCTCCTCCAAATTACTGTACAACAAAGATAATAAAACAAATGAGCAAATTTGGAGTGGGTAATAACTTTTATTGCCAAGAAATTTGTCACTCAACCATACAAGCATGAGTTCAAAACTCTGATATTTAAAAACTAATGGTTTTTAAAAGTTAATAAAAGTAGCAGCAAATCAACAAAAACAACAGGAAAGAAAAACAAAATATTCAAGTAAATGAGAAATGTGCAGAATTTCAATAAAAAAAAAATCTTAATCCAAACTGGCCAATATAGAGAGACCATATCTCTACATTAAATTTAAAAATTAGCCAGGCCTGGCAGCACATACCTGTGGTCCCAGCTACTTGGGAGGCTGGAGTGGGTGGATTGTTTGAACTCAGGAGGTCAAAGCTGTAGTGAGCTGTGATTGTGCCACTGCACTCCAGCCTGGACGACAGAGAGAGACCTTGCTGCAGGAAAAAAAAAAAAAAAAAAAGTCTAAGATTTTATATCCCAAGTTTTCACTGCTAACAACAAATAAGCAGTCACAAAACATTGATCAAATGGAAAAAATCTAAATTAACCAATACATTTAATGAGCCCCCAAATAAAATTTTCATGGCACTTTCTGAACTTTGTGAAGCTGAAGGTTATCCAGAAGAATAAACATGGATGAAGAACCAGAAGGGAAAAAAGACAATGAGTACCCTATCCTTGTCAGATATAAAAAAGTTAGAATATTTGAAATAGTATAAAATGACATCAGGATAGGCTGACTAATAAAACAGAATAAAAGTACAAGAATAGACCCAAGCACAGATGAGAATTTATTATAACATAAAGGTAACATTTCAAATCAGTGTGCAAATGATTGATTACTTAATAAGTAGAATAATTTCCTAAATATTTAGAAACTTAAATTCTTTTAAGTTTTCCATGCATTAAAGACTTAGGGGTAGGAAATACATTTTTAAAAGTTCTAGAAGGGATATACCAGTGAATATATCTTACTAAGATGGACATGACATTTCTCAGTACAAAGAAAAATATCGACTAATTTGATTTCTGTAAAGCTACATCTTGCAAAAATTGCCATAAAGCTAAATGATGAACAACAAACTAAAGGAAATATTTCAGATATGGGTGAACTACATGCCACTGTTATCCTTATATATAAGAAACTATTATAAAACTAATAAGAAAAAAATGAAAATATGGCAAGAACATGAATCAACAGGCACATGAAAAAAGAAGTGTGTATGCTAATACAACAAAAAGATGTTCCATGTAACTTGTATTTAACAAATGAGTTATTAAATAAGACTTTTTAGTCCTCATTAAGTGAACAGTTCAGTTTATAAAACGATGTACAAACTAATCGTGTGTGTGTGTATGTGTGTGTGTGACAGAGAGAGAGAATATATACCAAATGTAGTCTGAGTCACTACTGAGGTAATTATTCTGATTTATACTGTTCTATATTTATTCATTATTTATAATAAACATGTATTAATTTTAAAATCATAATATAGCACATAAATATTTCCGAAGAAAATGTACTGGACATAGATATTTTTCAACTTTAAAAAATACTATTTTCATGCTCCATAGCACGTTACAAAACAGAAAAAGAGAGAAATTTTAGAATGCATTTTACCAACAGAACACAATCTCAACCTCCCGCAAATGATATAAAGAAAACAGAGGTACATAAAAGAATATGGGAATAATTAGAAAGACATATCACATAGGTGGGTAGAAGAATGAATATTATAACAATGTCAATTCTTTCAAAAATAATTTGTAGACCTAATGTAGTCTAATCAAAATCTCAATGAATTATTTGCAGTGTAAGATGAAAGGAGTTTAAATGTCCCTGGAAGAAGAATCAAACCATAGAAGCAAAAATGAAGAGGGCAGGAAAAGAAAAGTGCTGACGGTGGATTAATTGATCAGACAATTAAAACGTTATAATGCCTTGAGAACTGAAACAGTGAAGAATTGGTATAAAAATATATCAATGCACCATTTAAACAGAATAGAAAGTTCTAATACAGATCATAATATGTGTTAGATTTTAATATATAAGAAGAGAAAAATATTTAACAAACGAAGTTGTAAAAATTAGTTAACTTTTCTGATAAAACAAAATAAAATCCTAAGTTTACACCAAAAAGGAGGTGTTCCTTTTTTACTCTCTTCTCCTTTCTGCTAACTGAAATGTAAGCTTGATGGCTACAGCTTAGGCAGCCATCTTAAATCATGAAGTAAAAGTCTATTTCAAGGATGGGGAAATAACAAACTTGAAGTCTTTGTCCTTGATAGCAGCTGCCAAACGACTCCTAGTCCGCTTACCAACAGACTTAATTTATGTGAGAGTGACATTAACATTTGTATGCCACTGTTATTCAGCTTTTCAACAACTCACAGCTAAATTTAATTCTAATTGATACACCTGGGTCAGAACAGTTGAAACCAATAGTACAAACATGGTTGCTAAGACTGGCCCTTCTGCAGGACTGATGGTTAGGGATAAGCAGCAAAGAAGGGGTTTTGAATTATTCAATCACTTCTAAAGATCGACAATATAACATGATGTATTATGAAAAGGTTTCTGATCAAGTATCAATTAGGTTATTATCTAGGATTTAGTATGTGTCAAAATAGATTCAGGACAATATTTAGAAACTACTCTGATTGTTGCTCCC
Source organism: Homo sapiens (assembly GCF_000001405.40). Taxonomy (NCBI): domain Eukaryota; kingdom Metazoa; phylum Chordata; class Mammalia; order Primates; family Hominidae; genus Homo; species Homo sapiens. The sequence goes on from NC_000001.11 coordinate 74,843,695, forward strand.
CATGTTCTTATTCCGGGTTTATCGTATATATGCCTTGTCATAGCCAATGAAACCAGAGTTGGCTAGCTTTTACTACTATTGAAATTCATTTATCAAAAGTGTACTTCGTCACTACCATGTACTAAGCACCATTCTAGCGATGCAGCAGTAACTGCCAAAAAAAAAAAAAGAAAAAACACGCTGCCCTCATGATCTTGTATTACAGTGAAGGGAGGCAGAAAACACCCAATCAAATAGCTAAAATATATAGTATGTAAGAAGTTGATTAAATGCAAAGAGAAAAATAATAAAGAATGGAAGGAGGATAGGGAGTGTCAGAGGGTAGCAATTTTAGATGGAGCTTGTAGAGAGAGCATTTGTAGGAAGGAGATGAAGTAGCAAGCCATCTGATATTTGTATTAAAACACTTTAGGCAGAGAGAAGGGCAAGTGCTTGGGGTGTGCAATGCCTGGCAAATTTGAAGAATAGTAATGTGGGCAGTGTGGCTGGAACAGAGTGAACAAAAGGGAGACTCATAGGGGATGGGATAAGAAAGGTAGAGGGGAACCAGCTTGTGTTGAGCTTTGGAATCTCTAGCTTTTACTCTGAGTGAGATGAAAAGCCATTAACAAGTTTTGAGCAAAGGAGTGACTTGATCTGATTTAATTTTAAACTAATCCTTCTGGATGCTGTACTGTAAATAGACTAGGCATACATACAGAGACTGATTCATTCAGGAGAGATGATGGTGGCTTTGACCAGTGTGGCAACATTGGGGATGCTGAAGAGGAGTCTGGATACCTTTTGGAGATAGTGATGACAGGTTTGCTCTAAGGAATTGGATGTGATGTATGAGAAAAAGAGAGAAAGAATGGCTTCAAGGGTTTTGGCCTGGGTAACTGTTAAAAAGGTGATGTCATTTACTCAGATGGCAATTACTATACTAGAAAAGTCTGGACCTCTCTGTTGATACTCTAATTCTCTCTGAGGTTGACTGCTTAGGACACCTGCACTTCACCCCATACTTTAAAGGGCCTGGACTTGGCCCTCCAAAGACCATTTCTTTCTTCACAGGGTGAGGCTTCCATGGAACCAAGAAGATGTGTCACTCAGCCTCCACTTCTAGATAATGTTCCAGGTGGGACCCTGGAAATCCCTGTCAAATTCTCTAAACCCACTTCCAGGATCTATGTAAGTGCCTATCAATCCAAGTGCAGGCCAGACCATCAATATATGTACCCCCAGCCCAAATGCATAGTAGGGGATAGCTGAATGTGAGATAGTAGGGGTTATGGATGAAATTCAGGATGAGGTGCTCACACACATCTGTGCTAGACCTTTTGTCAAGTGAGACAGAGCCAGGGGTAAGAAGAAAAAGGGGGCAAGCTATGGGTGAGGTCCTAACCTTCACTTTGCCACATTTTGGCATGGAACTCTGGGATGCTTGAAAATTCTAAATTCAATTCCAACTTGAAAGTTTATTATAAAGTATATTTATCAAGCTAGGAATATAGTACATATTTTATTCAACAGGTTGAGAGCCTGACATAAATATTTAGGTGTGTGGTATGTGGGCTCTAGGCCCTGAAAATTATAGGTCTTGACCTGCATTGTAAACATATTGCCATTGATATCAGGCACATATTTACTTTTCTAGATGGGACCCTGAGAAGTAGAGACTGGCCTATTACTGAACATATTATCATAACATTCTTCTGTGGTAACAGACATGGATTTATTTTTTCAGATGGGGCCCTAAAAGGAGTCCCCTCTTTACGCGCTCTCACAGTTCTTAGCTCAGTATTGAGCACCTGTGCAAGTGTTGGAAAACTACTGATCCTTTCTATTCTTAATTTTCATACCTTCAAAATGGTGCTAACAACTTAAAGATTCTTGTGAGAATAAATAAATAACATATAAAGTAAATAAGCAAAATGCTAAGCATGCTGCCTCACACATAAAAAACACCCACATGATTGTTGTTCTTTTCTCAGTAAACATTATCTTACATTTTATGCATTCTTAAATTTTAGAAAAACATAAATAACTACAGAAGCAATGAAACAATTTATGTAAGTGTTTTTCTAATGCCCACTGAATTCTCTCTCACATCAAAACCTGGGAGAACATTTGCATGCAGATAAGTAATTCTTGTGTTCTGTTTTAGAAACTAGTACCATGTTTGCTTCTTGAGTTAAATACAGAATTCCCATTAGTGTTGATGGTAATTAGCCCTGCAGAACAAAGAATGATGAATGGATCCCCTGCTGAGGAATTACTGTAATGACTTTGAACTTTAAGAAATAAACTCAAGAAAGCTACACATGAAGATAACCTCAGGGCCTGCACTCCTGCTGCCATCCTAACTACTATTTTCAGTGGGTAGTCATAAACAAGTCACTTCTCAGCCATATTGTTCTTTATGATCAAATATATGAATAGAATATTCTAGAGGATGTGCCTTAAATTAAGAACATTTGACAGTCCTTAGTGGTACAGACTCCCTGTTTACTGTAAAATGCCCCAGCTATCAACTCAAAGGCCAATCTATATTATAGTAAAGTTGCAGTAGTAGGAATAGTAGTTGTAATTGTAATAGCAGCACCCACCTTGATTGCTTTCATTTCTGATCACCCACCTAAACTGAAGGTTCAACTCTATCCAGCATTTTTAATATGTTCTTGTTACGTTCCTGTATTAGTCAGTTCTCACACTGCCATAAAGAAATACCTGAGACTGGGTAATTTATAAAGAAAAGAGTTTTAATTGGCTCACAGTTCTGCAGACTACATAGGAAGCATGATGCTGGCATCTGTCTGGCTTCTGGGGAGGCCTCAGAAAACTTGCAATCATGGCAATGGCAAAGGCAAAGGGAGAGCTTTAACTCATGGCAGAAGGCCAAGCCAGAGCAGGCATCTTCACAGGGCCAGAGTGGGAGGAAGATAGAGAGTAGGAGAGGTGTCATACACTTTTTAAACAACCAGATTCACGACAACTCATTCGCTCTACAGTACCAAGCGGGGGATGGTGCTAAACCATTCATGAGAACTTTTTCCCTATGACCCAGTCACCTCCCAGGCCCTCCAACATTGGGGATTACAATGTGACATGAGATTTGGGCAGGGACACAGATCCAAACCCTATCAGTTCCTACTGTGTTTTTCTTATTCACCATAAAACTTTATATCTTCTCTACTCTTTATAGCCTTCGTTGAGCCATACTGGGAAACAGACCATACAATCAGGGAAACAAATTCTCATTATATTAAGTTAAATTATACCAAATAAATGTTTGTGCTAAAATTAAGAATAAAACTGTCATATGATCGAGCAATTCCACTTCTGGATATATACCCAAAAGAATTGAGAGCAGGGATTTAGAGAGATTCTTTGTATACCCATGTTCATAGTGGAGTGATTAGCTATAGTCAAAAGCTAGAAGCAACCCATGTATTCATGAAAAATTGATTGAATAAACAAAATGTGGTACATACATGCAATGGAGTATCATTCAGTGTTTAAAAAGGAGAAAATTCTGGTACATACTGCAAAATGGATGAACGATGAAGACATTATGCCAAATGAAATAAGCCAGTCACAAAAAGGCATATACTATATGATTCCACTTATATGAGTTATCTAAAGTAATTAGATTCATAGAAACAGAAAGAAGACTGGTGGTTACCATGGGCTGGGGGGAGGAGGAAAAGGGGAGTTGTCATTTAGTGGGATACAGTTTCAGATTTGCAAAATTAAAAAGTTCTGGAGATCTGTTTCCTAACAATGTGAATACAATTAACACTACTATGCACTTAAAAATGGTGAAGATTATAAAATTTCTGTAGTGTGTTTTTAACCACAGTAAAACAAAAATAAAAAACAGAAAACTTTTTGTTTTGAGTTATAGTTTTTCAACAAATATGCTTACGTGCTTACCACATACCATATCCCATGCAGGCTTAATATTTTGCTAATGATGACATTAGGGAGCTGAGAGTGTAGCAATATAATAAAAGTTTGAAAATAGAGATGATTGAATAAAACTTTGCAATATAATTCTGTGCGTTTATCCTCTTAAATAATTATGCGTATAAAGGAATGCTCTCTATTGCTGGGGAAATCTTGTGTTGATTTATTTCCCTTTCCTTTACACCACCCTTACGTTAAACACATTTCTTTACTCTACTAGGCCAAAGCATCTACAAGAAGCATGCACTATATCAAGATGAATTGTAAATGGCCTGACAGGCATTACTCAGCCTGAGATCACCAGTTTGGTGTTTATCTATGTACAAGAGCCAAAGTATTCCTAAAAAACTGCTTTAACTGCAAATTTCTGAGTAGCAAAGCTATTTTCTCACTTACATTAAAAAATTAGAGAATTGTTTTCATGGAAAATATTTTGATCCAAAGACAAAAGTAGTGTTCTAATTACACCTACACAGGCAGTTTTTCTTCATTTTAAAAATTCTTTTTAAATAATTTCACCTTTTAGTTTATACTCAGGGGATACATGTGCAGGTTTGTTACATGGGTATATTGCTTAATGCTGAGGTTTGGAGTGTGACTGAACCTGTCACCCAGGAATTGAGCATCATATTCAACAGTTACTTTTTCAATCTTTAGCCCTTCCACTCTCACCCCTTTATTAGTTCCAGTGTTTATTGTTGCCATCTTTATGTCCATAAATACCCAATAGTTAGCTGCCACTTATAAGTGAGAATATGCAGCATTTGGTTTTCTGTTCCTGCACTGATTCACTTAGGATAATGGCCTCTAGCTGCATCCACGTTGCTGCAAAGGACGTAATTTCATTCTTTTTTATGGCTGCAGAGTATTCCATAGTATATGTGTACCACATTTCTTTATTCCCTCTCTTAAAGACTTCCTGAAATAATATATTATGAAAACAATTATTATAGATGATCACTTATTAAGAGTGATGCCCTTAAAACTGACCAATAAGATCTTTCAGTAAATATCTATTATTTCATACCAGCCAACTTTTAGGCACTGCCCTAGAATCATAAATCATTGTTAAATAAATATACTCATGCTGCTACTCCCCCTGAAGTCCCTACATAGACTTTTCCATGTGACAAATAGGATGCAAATCAATGTTTACAGTTGCTGTGGTATCAATACAGAGATACCTTATTTCTGTCTCAGATTGCTGGCACAAAGGTCCTAAAAGTCTTGTAATTCCCTGAGTGATTAGGGATAGGAGCTTCTTCTGTTTAAATGAGGTAAATCTTTTTTTTAAAATTTCATTTTTAGTGTTTGTGGGTACATAGTAGGTGTATATATTTATGGGGTTCATGTGATATTTTGATATTGGCATGCAATGTGAAATAAGCACTTCATGAAGAATGGAGCATCTATCCCTCAAGCACTTATCCATTGAGTTGCAAACAATCTAATTATACTCTTTATTATATATTGTACAGATAAGTCATTATTAACTATAGTCAACCTGTTGTGCTATCAAATACTATGTCTTATTCATTTTTTCCAACTTTTTTTTGTACTTATCAACCATCCCCACCTCCCCCCATCAGCCCTCCACTACCCTTCTCAACCTCTAGTAATCATCCTTCTACTCCCTAGGTTCATGAGTTCAATAGTTTTAATTTTTAGATCCCACAAATAAGTGAGAACATGAAATGTTTGTCTTTCCGTGCCTGGCTTATTTCAACTACATAATGATCTCCAGTTCCATTCAGGTTGTTGCAAATGAGAGGATCTCATTTTTTTTATGGCTGAATAGTCAGTCCTCCATATATGTATCACATTTTCTTTATCCATTCATCTGTTGATGGATACTTAGGTTGCTTCCAAATATTGGCTATTGTGAGCAGTGCTGCAACAAACATGGAGTGCAGATACCTCTTTGATGTACTGATTTCTTTTATTTTGGGTATATACCCAGCAGTGGTATTGCTGGATCAATGATAGCTCAATTTTTAGTTTTTTGAGGAAACTAAACTTTTTCCCACAGTGGTTTTACTAGTTTCCATTCCCATCAAAGTGTACAAGGGTTCCCTTTTCTCCAAGTCCTCGCCAGCATTTGTTATTGCCTGTCTTTTGGGTAAAAGCCTTTTTAACTGGGGTTAGATGATATCTCATTGTAGTTTTGATTTGCATTTATCTGATGATCAATGACGTTGAGCACCTTTTCACATGCCTGTTTCCATTTGTATTTCTTCTTTTGAGAAATGTCTATTCAAATCTTTTGCCCATTTTTCGATCAGATTTTTAGAGCTTTTTTAGAGAGTTGTTTTAGCTCCTTATGTATTCTGGTTATTAATCTCTTGTCAGAGGGGTAGTTTGCAAATATTTTCTAAAATTCTGTGGGTTGTTTCTTCACTTTGTTGATTGTATTGTTTGCTATGCAGAAGCTTTTTAACTTGATGTGATCCCAGTTGTCCAGTTTTGCTTTGGTTGCCTGTGCTTGTAGGGTATTGTACAATGAATTTTTGCCCAGACCCATGTCCTACAGACTTTCTCCAATGTTTTCTTGCAGTAGTTTAATGGTTTGAGGTCTTGTATTTAATTCTTTAATCCATTTTGATTTTATTTTTGTATGTGGTGAGAGATAGGGGTCTAGTTTTATTCTTCTGCATATGGATATTTAGTTTTCCCAGCATCATTTATTGAAGGGACTGTTTTACCCCAACGTATGTTCTTAGCACCTTTGTTGAAAATGAGTTCACTGTAGGTGTGTGGATTTGTTTCTGGGTTCTCTATTCTGTTCCATTGTTCTACGTACCTGTTTTTATGCCAGTAGCATGCTGTTTTTGATCACTACAGCTTTGTAGTATAATTCGAAGTCAGGTAATGTGATTCCAAATGAGGTAAATCTTGGTAGTCCTCTAGTTAGTTTCAGGATGGGGGCTGGGAACCAAAAAGACTAATGTTTGATTAGAAACGTGGAACTTTCTTCCCCAATTCCCAACCTCCAGGGAAGTGAGATGGGGTGGCGATTGAGTTAATCACCATGATCCAATAACTCAATTGATCATCTCTATCTAATGAAACCTCAATTAAAAAAAAAAAACCCAAATGATGGGTTTGGAGAGCCTCCAGGTTGATAAACACATTTACCTGCCTGGAAGATTGTGAGCCTCCACAATCTTCATAGTCTATAATCTCCCACACTTGGGACCCTTCCAGACCTGGACATGTGTATCTTTTCATTGGCTATTCATTTCTATCCTTTATAATAAACTGGTAAGTGTAAAATCAGTTGTCCTATCATGTATGTGTGGGTTTATTTTTGTACTTATTATTCTGTTTCATTGATCTACTTTTCTAACTTTATCCCAGTGAAATGCTGCCTTAATTATTATAGTTTTGTAATATGTCTTGAAATCAGATAACAATAGCCTCCACCTTTGTTCGTTTTCCAAATTTGTGTTGTCTATCCTAGGTCCTTTGTATTTCCAAATGAATTTTTGAATCAGTTTGTCATATTCCAAAACAATCAAACAAACAAACGAACAAACTTGCTGGAATTTTAATTGGGATCTTTCTTAATAATTTCTAATTTCATTCCATTGTAGTAACATAACATACTCTGTATGAATTAAATCCACTTAAGTTTAAAATTGGTTTTATGTCCCAGAATATGGTGTATCTTGGTAAATATTCTGGGTATGCTTGAAAAGAATGCACATTCTGCTATTATTGAAGGATCTTTGATCAATCTATGTCAAGTCAGTTGATAGTGATGTTCAAATCTATAATAACCTTGCAGATTTTCCTATGTAATTATCAAATATATTAACTATATTTAGGATTATAGTTATTAACTCAATTATTTACTATAATTGAGGATTTGCCTATTTATCCTTGCAGTTCTATCAGTTTGCCTCCCATATTTTGAAAGTCTCTATTAGGTATATAACTTATTATGTCCCCTTAATTAATTGGCCTCTATACCATTTTATTAATCTGTGTCCATGTTGATATTCTTTATTCTGAAGTCTACTTTGATATTAACATAGCCACTACTGCTTCCTTTTGACTAGTGTTTGGATGATATATCTTTGTCATCCTTTTACACTTAACCTATTTGTGTCTTTATATTTAAAGTGTGTTCTTTTAGACCACATGCTGCTCTATAGAACGAGCTGAAAAATGTTCCATTTTTTTCTATTTATTGGAAGAGTTTGTAAAAAATTGATATTAATTCTTTCTTGATGTTTGATAAAATTTACCAGTGAAGCTATCTTAGCCTGAGATTTTCTTTGTGGGTTGTGTTTTTATTATGAATTCATTCTCTTTATTTGTTACAGGTCTGCTCAGGCTTTCTGTTTATTCTTGAGTGCATTTCATTAATTTGTGTCTAGGAAGTTGTCCATGTCATGTAGCTATCTAATTTGTTAGTATAAATTTGTTTATGGTATTCCCTTATAACCTATTTTATTTCTATAAATTCAGTGGTAATATCTTCTCACTTATTCCTTATTTTACTAAAGTCAGTCTTCTTTTTTATTGATCAGCCTAAAGACTTATAATTTTGTTGATCTTTTCAAAGAACTACTTTTTGTTTCCTAATTTTTTATTTTTCCTTTCTCTATTTCATTATATTTCTGTTTTAATCATATGACTTCCTTCCTTTTGTTTGTTTTACATTTAATTTGCTCTTATTTATCCTGTATCTTCATTGGACCTTTGGGTTATTGATTTGAGATATTTCTTATTTTTTAACATAAGTATTTATAGGTATAAATCCTCCTCTAAACACTGCCTTAGTTGCATCCTATAAGTTTTGGTCAGTTGTGTCTTCATTTTCATTCATCTCAAAGTATTTTTATAATGTTCCTTATGATTTCTTCTTTTAATCCATTGGTTATTTAGGATAATTTAATTGCCACATATTTGTGAATTTCCCAAGTTCTTTCTGCTATTGATTTCTACTTTTATTCCATTGTGCTTAAATAAACACTTTGTATGACTTCCATCCTTTTAAATTTATTGAGACTTGTTTTCAGGTTTAACATATGATTTATCCTAGAGAGTGTTTCATATACCCTTAAGAAAACTGTATATTCTACTATTATATGTGGAATATTTTATATACATCTTTTTTGTCTAGTGAGTTTCAGTGTTATTCAAGTCTTCTGTTTTATATAGACCTTCCGTCTAGTTGTTCTATCCATTTTTAAAAGTGTGATGTTGAAGTCTCAAATTATTATTGTTGAATTATGTATATCTCCTTCCAATTCTGTCAATATTTTGTTTTATCTATTTTGGGACAAGCAACAGACTCTTACCTCCATCTTCTGATCTCAGGGAGCTTTCTGAGCTTTGCCTGTGGTATCCTTCATCTAGCATGGCCTCGAAATTCACTCAAGACGGTAATATGAAACAATCATAGGGCTCACCTAATTTGTTTCCTGTCTCAACCATTGTTTCATATATTTTGTCCAGTTTTCTTTGGTTATTTCAGCTGGAGGAATAAATCTTGCCTCTGTCATTCTAAGAAACAGAAGCTAGTTATGTTTTAAGTCAAATTATTGCAAGATAATATCTCAAAACAAATTAACAAACTTTTTTAAAAAGGTCTGGATAGCAGATACTATTCATATACTATTACTATAATGTTACTATTTTAGGCATTGCCAGCCCTTTAGTCTCTGTCATATATACAGTACTTAACTCTGCCATTGTAGCACAAAAGTAGCCATAGACAATACATAAGTGAGTGTGGCTAGTCCCAATAAAATTGTATTTACAAAAACAAGAGGTGGTGTCCTGGATGTAATTTGCCAACCTAACTTAAAATATTAATTTTTGTTATGTGTCTTTTACAGACTTCCTTTTCTGTGACCCTTCCTTCTGTTAGTCAGATATTGCCTAAAAGAGAATTAAAATTGTTATAAATGGATGCAAAGGAAAAAGAAACTGACAAATTTTTAAACTGCCAAAATGGGCTCTTGAAGATTAAAACAGAAGTTTCAAGGAATGAAAAACAACCAATTTATGCCATAACACCAGAAGTAGAATTTAAGAAGAGCCAGACAACTTCATACATACTCTTTTCATCCTCCCCTCCCCCTCCCTATTCTCGTCTTTAGTCTTTACAGAAATCGATAAAAATCACTGGAGGTGACGAGATTAGGAAAAGAGAAATGTGGTGTTGCCTTGGTCAGGGAGCCAGACATGACAAAAGATGACAAAAATAAAACACAAGGAGAGGATGGGGTAAGTATTAGGAGGCTCTGACTATAGCCAAGGACCAGTGCCAAGGAGATTCACAACATCTGGGTCGGTATCTACAAATCCTGAGTCATTATTTATGTGAGCTCTATTACCCATTCTTTTCATTTCTGTAGGTTAAGGGACTTGCTTTGACAGTCTCTGATATATTACCTGTTATATTATTATTCAACAGGACATTTGCCCATTCCCAGCTGAGCCCCATTCAGTCTAGTAACTAGTGAAGATGGATACTCCCATCTTTAAGAGACAAACACTTTTAAATTAAATTTTCACTTCCCTCCCCTGCCCCTCCCCAAAACAGACAGTGGGATGCTTGTCACTTGGAAAGGGATGAGGATATGAAAAGAAAAGTCCCAATAGGTGTTTTGGGAGAGAATTAAAACTGGGAGAGAATTAAAAGAGGAGATAAGCCTCATCTTTATTATGTCCAACTATCCTAAATATATCCTCCAAATTTAGTGAAAATACCTACCTTTTTTGAGTGAAGCATTAACTGAGAATTATATCTCATAGATTGGACAGCATTTCAAGTTGGAATAAAAAAATACTCTCAACCAGTTTTGTGATCCATAGTTACTGATTTAGGGATTCTGTTCTTTTAATCCTTAAATGTATTTTATTTTCTGGTTGTTTAAAAATCTTTTCTGTTTGTCCAACTCTAATTCTACTAGTTAGCATTTACAACCATACAATTGATTATTATTGTTTAGGCAGCTTACAAAAATTTAAAGGTGTACATAAATCACCTGTAATGGCATCTAATAATAGTACTCTTAGAAGAATAACGAGATCATGAGAGCTTCAAAGGACATTGGAAATCATAATTTCATCTTCATCATCCTACAGATGAGGAGACTGAGGCCGTGATAAGTGAAGTTGCATATCCAACATCACAAAAGTGGAACAAAGACTAAGACTAAAGGTTTTTTGACACTAGTCCATGCTCTTTTAATGATTCTGTGCCAACAGATACATCATTTAGTTCAAAAATTGCCTGTGGAGCTTGAAATACATCTTAATAATTATTTGAGATTTCTTACACAAGAGAAGCCCTATTTCAGCACAAAATAATTTTGCAAAATAAATGTAATCTATGAGAAAATGAAAATCTGACCAACTATGATATTTCACTAGCCCATTCATACGTCACCAAAGACAGTACAACTAACTAATGAGAACATTCATCAGTAGTGTTAAGTATCAATTCCAAAGCACTGTGTACTAACTCTTGCAACAACAGCCCTTGGTATTATTAATCTGTTTCTGGTTTCTATTCTTTCTCACCAACACACTTTCTCTTCACAGTCAGGCCCCTTGGAGTTGATTCGAAAATACTGAGCTTAACCTGGCCTTAGTAAAGAGAGATTTATTGTAAAGAATTGAGGATATTTCCCAGAACTTCACGGCAAATAATTCAGCAAATGCTTTATTAGGAACTCTTGGGAACCCATGGTTTCTCATCTCTTCCACTTATCACATCTGCCCCCACTTTTCTCATCTGCATTTTTTTAAGTAGGTGGATTAGGTCAGAGCACAGTCAACAATACACAAAAGACCAAAAAGTGCTGCTGAGAAACAGCCCCAGTCTCCAAGTCCACATTGCCTTACAGGTAAATTACCTCTTCTAAAAACTGTGTGACAGCATAAAGGAAGTTACTGAAATTTCTAATGTAACTGAGTATAGAAATAATGCTTACCACAGAAATTCTTTACATAGATATAAGGCTGTAGAATTTTCAAAATGCCTCCACATTCTCTTCTTTTCACCTCACCTTAATCCAATGGAGGAGGTGACCAGGTGTCATTCATTCCATTTTGCAGCTGGAGAAACAAACTCAGAGACTTTAAATGATTCATCCAAGCAATCAAATCAGATCTTGAATCCAGGTTTCCTGGCTTCTAGTTCATTTGCCCTTTCAATAACCATATCCATGGCCGCTGGCCTGTGAAAGACAGAAGTCCTGGTGATGTGGAGGTGAAGACGGCCAAGATAGGTGAACTCAATAGTAACCTATTTTAAAACTTGGTTCAGAATCCTACCAGTCTACAAACTGATTATTATTCTTGAATCTCAACTGTACCCATCTTCCATCTTTCCTGCTCTTTCTTGTGGACACACCAAATTATTTTAATCTGTGTTTTCTAATTTTACTTAACTTTTAACTTCCTATGGTCTGATTCCTTTTCTGATTGTGAACCAGGAGTGACCTGAAAAACTGACAGAAATTAACATGAATGGTGATAACAATGATAATAACAACCTAAGGCCAGGCTTCTATAGCATTAGTTTCTTTTGGAACTGAGGAACAGCATAAAAAAATTTAAAGGAAAATGTTAAATATCTGCCACTAGATGAAAGAATTTCTTATTTAGTGATTGATATGAGCCTGAGGAACTAACTCCATGTGTTGAAGCAGAGCAGAAAACTTGAGTACAAAGGTATTCTGCAAACAAAGAACAGTATTTCCATATGTATAAGTTTGGGTCTGGCTGAAGTGAGCTCTGGGGCACCTTCTCTAACACAGACATGCGAATCTGGGATTTGTATCTAAAACATTCTTCATGGTTAGATCATTGTTTATATAAATGTAAGGTGGTAGTTTCTGGTAGGATATCCTGAGTGAGAATTTGCTAGTGAAGAAAACCTGAGGACAGATTTTAAATGTTTCCAAGGAACATATAAACACAGTGTTAACACAGCATCAGCCTATGTCAAGTAAAGCAGATAACATCTTGACATAAGGTTTCTCCCACCAAGAAGTTTGCCTTCGTGAACACCAGGAATCAAATCTCGAAGAAATGAATGTAACTTATAAACTTAAAACAGAAATCATGTGGCTCATAGGCCTATCCTCAAAGAAAACTGACTGGAGAATTTTAATTCAAATTGATGCTAAAACTGAACCTGCTCACTAAAATGTTCATTTTACACATCTTTAATTGACTAACATAAGAAGGATATGTTTTGTGTTTTTAATAAAATGACTACTACCTTGAATATCAATTATTACACTAATAATTAACCAAAAAAATCCAAAGTAATGACTCCTCCTATCCCAGGAATAAACACTGTTACAGCAACTGCTTGCCTTCCTTTCATTCAAAACTTCCTCTTTAACTGAGTACACACAACTCTCTCCTTCCTGGTCACCATCACATTTCTGTTCTTCCATGTTCACCTCTCCCTAGGCTGACATTCTGGACTGGAAGAATGATAGGAAACAATGAAAGAAACCACCAAACCAAGACTGATGGATAACTTAAAAGAGAATCAAGTAAAAATGCTCACTGACAGAAACCCAGTCACAGAAACTTGAAACCTCAAGGTTTAAATTTGGAATGAAACTACAAAAAGCAAGCAGCAAATCCTATGGAAGAAAGATGCAAATTAGGCAGATGAGTGGCAATGAAAATGCATGCCTCTTCCCCTTATTTCCCATAAGGATTTATTTCATTCCTCCTACATCTTTACATTCTCTCTTGGCTTACTACAGCCTCGATATCCTGGCCTCAAGCGATCCTCCCACCTCAGCCTCCCAAGTAGCTGGGACTACAGGCGCAGGCCACTATGCTTGGCTAATTTTTGTATTTTTTGTAGAGATGGGGCTTTTCCATGTTGCCCAGGCTGGTCTCAAACTCCTGAACTCAAGCAATCCACCTGCATCAGCCTCCCAAAGTTTTGGGATTACAGGTGTGAGCCATGGCACCAGGCTGGACTTTTCTGTTTTACTCCTTTTTTAATGGCTGCTTTTCTAATCCTCAACTCTTCCATTTTTTTCCTAACTTCTCATCAACGCGTTTTCCTTTTTCTTTGGTCTGCATTTAAGTTTAAAATATGAGGGGCTTTTATTGTAATTCACGTATAGTTGAAAATCCATTCGACTGCGAGGCAGTACTTCAGCTCAGGGGAGCTGGGATTCTGTAGCAAGCCCAGTCAGTGTCAGATCTCTGCACCAGGGGCAGGCTAAGCCTGTCTTTCACTATGTCTGGCCTGTGTGGCCAGTTAAGGGTGGATGGAGTCTTAAAGCCTCTTTCTTCTGGGTTTTGTTGATACTCAAAACCAACTAAAAATCCCCTGCTACTACATAAGGTACAGTTAAATCTGGAAAAAAAATGGAAATAATTATGGTTTTGTGGCGTCACTTTAAAAATACAAGCATCTTTTCTATTATTTTTCTTTTCTTGCAAATAACACAGAAGTAATATGACTTCCCAGGGATTAACTTGCTCATCTGACCAAATTTGGCTCAACATCTTGACAATGTCTGGTTAAAAGATGTGACTACCACAATCATAGCTTCTTATCCCCTACACCATGTTTTACTCATTACCTGGCAAAGGTACAAGCCAACATTCTCGTAAACCTTCTGATTTCCCGTTCATAATTTGAGGAAGTAAACCATGGCCGAGAAACCACATGAAACTCCATTAAATGAATCTAAATAAATGATAACTCTCCAAATGAATCAGCGTTTACCCAAAATCCATGCACTGCAGAGAGACAGGAATGGTCAATAAATACCAGACTCTCAATAACCACAATGCACAGACTTGATCTCAGGGTCAACTCCATCTCAGCTGAATGTAAAGCGAAAGGAATATGTACAATCCTGGTCACAGCTAGAAATGTGCTGGTTAAACAACAGACCTCATGTGTCTTTGTAACAACTGGCACACAAGGCAGAATAAATTAGGAAAACTGAGTCAGGCCATTAAAATGGATGCTTAAACAGGAAAAGAAAAAGATTTTAAGGACTAAGGATCGCTTTGAAAGATTGCACAGAAGGTAACTTTTAAATTACACAAGATTTTTTATGATCATAACGAGGTCATTTTCTTGGCAAGGCTGTGCCTGAATGGTTTTGTTTGTTTGTTTGTTTGTTTGTTTGTTTTGAGACAGAGTTTTGCTCTGTCACCCAGGCTGGAGTGCAGTGACACGATCTCAACTCACCACAACCTTCGCTTCCTGGGTTCAAGTGATTCTCCTGCCTCAGCCTCCTGAGTAGCTGGGACTACAGGCACACGCAACCACACCTGTCTAATTTTTGTATGTTTAGTAGAGACAGGGTTTCACCATATTGGCCAGACTGGTCTCAAACTCCTGACCTCATAATCCAACCGCTTCGGACTCCCAAAGTGTTGGGATTACAGGCGTGAGCCACCTCACCCAGCCCCACCTGAATGTCTTTTATCCCTTAAACAAATGTTTGTGGAATTCTTATTTTGTTTCAGGGAATGTGCTAGGTACTGGGGATATAGCAAACAAGAAGAATATACTTCTTATCCTTATAGGCCAAGTCCAGGTCATTGCTTGTTTTTTGTAAATAAAGTTTCATTGAAACACAATCATTTCGTTATGTATTTTATCTCCAGCTGCTTTCATGCTATAATGACAGAGCTGAGTAGTTGTGACAGAGATTGTATGACCTGCAAAGCCTAAAATGTTTACTGTCTGGCCCATTAGAAAGAAGGTTTGTTAACCTCTGTTCTAGAGGGGAAAATGAACATGTATATGGAAAATTATAAAACTGTTTAATAAGAGCTAAGATGTGGGAATTGTGCAGTGTTATGGGTTGACAGAGAAGAGTACCTAGTCCTAATTTGAAAGATCAAGGAAGATTTACATTTAAGCTGAGACCTAAACATTAACAAGTAGGTAACCAGTTGTTGGGTACAGAAAGTATCACATGCAAAGACCTAGGGGCATTCACGGAACTGGAAGTATAGGATGTCACTTGACTAGAATAAGGCAAGTGAGGACAGTAGAGAAGAGAGATGATGGCAGAGGGAAAATCAGGACCCAGATCACAAATATTCCTCAATACTATCCTAATAAGCTTTGAAATTATTCTGCGAGTTTAAGGTGTAGGGTGAAATAATCAAGCTGTATGAATCTATAATTTGGTGTTTATATAGGACTTATAAAAAGGCTCATTTCTGACACAGTCACCAGGAAAACAAAAGCAATGAACTTTGAAATTGAGATTCATCAGGAAATGCTAATATTCAAATTAATCCATCCCCCCAAACTTTATCAACCCATGGCTGTGGGAATTAAGTGGCTGGGACAGCATGATAAGACAATTTCCTAGAACTCTTAAGCCAAAGCATCAGTTCCAGTTTGTGCTCCCAGCACAATCAAAGCACACCTGAAAAGATAGTCAGTGATGGATGCTATATTAGTCCATTCTCACATTGCTATAGGGAACTACCTCTTTTATGAAGAAAAGAGGTTTAATTGACTCACAATTCCACAGGCTGTGCAGTAAGCATGGCTGGGGGCCTCAGGAAACTTACAATCATGGCTGAAGTTGAAGGAGAAACAGGCACATCTTCACATGGGTGGGAGGACACTTTCAAACAACCAGATCTCATGAGAATGGTATCACAAGACAGCACTAGGGGCATGGTGCTAAACCATAAGAAACCACCTACCTGATCCAATTACCTCCCATCAGGCCCCAACGCCAACACTGGGGATCACAATTCAACATGAGACCTGGGTGGGGATACAAAGCCAAACAATATCATTCTGCTCCTGGCCCCTTCTAAATCTCATGTCCTTCTCACATTTCAAAACACAATAATGCCTTCCCAACAGTCTCCCAAAGTCTTAACTTATTCCAGCATTAACTCAAAAGTCCAAAGCATAAAGTCAAGGGACAGGGTTGAGGTCATAGCAAAAGTGTGGATACAGGAAGGGATACAAAATTGAGGTCAATAATTGAATTTATTACAGTAGATTAAGTAATAGACCATGTGATTATGTAGGGAAGGGGGTCAGGGAGAAAGAATCCCAGGAAGAGTAAATAGCCAGTGCAAAAATCCTAAGGCAGGAGGATCCCTGATATATTTGAGAAACAACAAGGAGTTTCGTAGGTCTAGAATGCAGTAAGTGAGGAGGAGTGTAGTAGGAGGTGAGACTGAAGAAGTAATGGCGGCCAGATGTGGGGAGAGAATAGCCATTTGAGTGAATGAAAAATCAATACAGGGTTTTGTTCAAAGGGCTAGCACAGTTTGACTTATACTTTAAATGAATCGCTCTAACCCATGTGTTGAGAATAAACTTGATGAAACAACGGTGGAATCAGGGAGAACAGTTAGAAAGCTATCTCAGTAGTTCAGGTTGAAGATAGTGGTACTCAGTGGCAGCAATGGAGATGATGAGAAAAGGTTAAATTTGTATATATTCTGATGTCAGAACCAAGAGGATTTCCTGACAAATTGGATGAGGTGTGTGAGAAAAAGAGAAGAGTCAATGATGACTTCAACATGTTTGGCCTGAATAGCAGAAATGATGGAGTTGCCTTCAAATAAGATGAAAAAAACTGCATGTGAAATAGTGTGAGATGCACCTTGGTGAGGAACATATTGAGTTTGTGATGTTTACTAGAAATCCAAGTGGAGATGTCAAATAGGCAAGAAGATACTAAAGTTAAGGAGAAAAGCCTGAGTTAAAGGTATATATTTGGGAATCATTGGTTTGTGAATGGCATTGAAAGCAAAAATACTGGTTATGTTCACGAAGGGAGTTAGTGTAGATAGGGTAGGTTTAAAGACTGAGTGTTGGGGAGGTCCAACATTAAGAGATCCGGAAGAGGAGGAACAGAAAATAAGACTAAAATGGAACAGCCAATGAGTATAAAGAAAGGCATAAGCAAGTATATAGACATTGTACTACAATGGAAGAAGTCAAATCTAAACTGTCCCAGTTGCCTCAGTTTTCAGGCAGGGCAGGATGGCTTTTTCTTCAGCACCTGATATGGTTTTGCCTCTGTGGCTCTGCAAGGAACAGCCCCACATAGCACAATGCCCCTGTGGCTCTGTAGGGTAAAGTGCTCACAGCTGCTTTCATGAGCTGGTGTTGAATGCTTGCAGTTTTTCAGGTGCACAGTGCAAGCTATCAGTGGATTTATTATGCTGGCACTGGGAGGATGGTGGCCCTCTTCTCTAAGCTCCACTAGGTAGTGCCCCAGTGGGGACTTTGTGTGGGTGCTCCAACCC
Source organism: Homo sapiens (assembly GCF_000001405.40). Lineage (NCBI taxonomy): Eukaryota > Metazoa > Chordata > Mammalia > Primates > Hominidae > Homo > Homo sapiens. Next base: position 74,861,905 of record NC_000001.11, read on the forward strand.
CACATTTCCCTTCTCACTGCCCTAGTAGAGGTTCTGCATAAGGGCTCCACCCCTGCAGCAGACTACTGCCAGAACATCCAAGCATTTCCATACATCCTTTGAAATCTGAACAAAGGCTCCCATGCCTCAACTCTTGCCCTCTGTGCACTCGCAAGCTTAACACCACATGTAAGACTTGGCAGCTTCTGGGTTGCATCCTCTGAGGCAGTGGCCTGAGCTGTAACCTGGCCCCTTTTAGCCATGGCTGGAGCTACAGTGGCTGGGATGCAGGGTGCTATGTGCCAAGGCTTCACAAAGCAGTGGGGCCCTGGGCCTGGCCCACAAAACCATTTTTCCCTACTAGGCTTCCAGGCCTATGATGGGAGGGGCTGCCACAAAGGTCTCTGAAATGCCTTGGAGGCATTTTCCCCATTGACTTGGCTATTAACATTCAGCTCCTCTTTACTTATGCAAATTTCTGTATCCAACTTGAATTCCTCCCCAGAAAAATGGGTTTTCCTTTTCTACCACATGGTCAGGCTAAATATTTTCCAAACTTTTATGCTCTGCTTCCTTTTTAAATATAAGTTCCAGCTTAAGATAATCTCTTTGCACACACATATGAGTATACACTTTTGTTGTGATTACTTGTGGTGCCTTTGTCATGAAATCTTTGTCCATTCCTATAGCCAGGATGGTATTGCCTAGGTTGTCTTTCAGGATTTTTATAATTTGGGTTTTACGTTTAAGTCTTTAATCCATCTTCAGTTGATTTTTGTGTATGGTGTAAAGAAGAGGTCCAGCTTCAATCTTCTGCATGTGGCTAGCCAGTTATCCCAGCACCATTTATTGAACAGGGAGCCTTTTTCCCATTGCTTGTTGTTTTCAAAGGTCAGATGGTCATAGGTAAGCAGCCTTATTTCTAGGCTTTCTATTCTGTTTCATTGGTCTATGTGCCTGTTTTTGTACCACTACCATACTGTTTTGGTTTCTGTAGGCCTGTAGTATAGTTTTAAGTTGGGTAACATGATGCCTCCACCTTTGTCCTTTTTGCTTAGGATTGCCTTGGCTATTTGGGTTCTTTTTTGGTTCCATATGAACTTTAAAGTTCCATATAAATTTTAGTTCTGTGAAGAATGTCAATGGTATTTTGATAGAAATAGCATTGAATCTGTAAATTGCTCTGGGCAGCATGGCCATTTTAATAATATCGATTCTTCCAATCCATGAGCATGGGATTTTTTCATTTAGTTTATGTCTTCCCTGATTTCTTTGAGCAGTGTTTTATAATTCTCCTTGCAGAGATCTTTCACCTCCCTGGCTAGCTGTATTCCTAGTTATTTTATTCTTTTTGTGGCAATTGTGAGTGGGATTGCCTTTCTGATTTGTCTCTCAGCTTCACTGTTGTTGGTTTATAGGAATGCTGGTGATTTTGTGCATTGATTTTTGTATCCTGAGACTTTGCTGAAGTTGTTTATCAACTGAAAGAGCATTTGGGCTGAAACTATAGGGTTTTTTAGATATAGGATCATGTTGTCTGCAAACAGGGATAGTCTGACTTCCTCTCTTTCTCTTTGGACGCCTTTATTTCTTGCTTTAGTTTGATTGCTCTGACAAGGACTTCTAATACTCTGTTGAATAGGAGGGGTGAGAGAGGACATCCTTGTCTTGTGCTGGTTTGTACGCAAAATGCTTCCACCTTTTGCCCTTTCAGTAAGAGGTTGTTGGTGGGTTTGTCATTGATGGCTCTTATTATTTTGAGGTATGTTCCTTCAATTCCTAGTTTATTGAGAGTATTTTAAAGAAAGGAGTGTTGAATTTTATCAAAAGCCTTTTATGCATCTATTATGATAATTGTGGTTTTGTCTTGAATTTTGTTTATGCAATGAATCACACTTATTGATTTTTATACGTTGAAACAAACCTTTATCCCGAGGACAAAGCCTACTTGATCACTGTGGATTAGCTTTTTGATGTGCTGCTGGATTTCATTTGGAATTATTTTGTTGAGGATTTTTGCATTGATATTCATTAAGGATAGTGGCCTAAAAGTTTCTTTTTTTGTTGTATTTCTTCCAGGTTTTTAGTTTTAGGATGATGCTGACCTCATAGAATGAGTTGAGGAGGGGGTCTCACCTTCTCAATTTTTGGAATAGTTTCAGTAGAAATGTTACCAGCTCTTCTTTGTACATCTGTTTGAATTTGGCTGTGAATCCATCAGGTCTGGGGTTTGGGGTGTTGGTATGCTATTTATTACTGATTCAATTTCAAAGCTCACTATGGTCTGTTCAGGGAATCAATTTCTTCCTAGTTCAGTCTTGAGAGGGTGTATGTGTTCAATAATTTATCCATCTCTTCTAGGTTTTCTAGTTTTTGTGCATAGAGGTGCTCATAGCAGTTTCTGATGGTTATTTTTATTTCTGTGGGGTCAGTGGTAATATTCCCTTCATCATTTCTATTTGTGTTTACATGGATCTTCCTCTTTTCTTTCTTATTAGTCTAGCTAGTGGCCCAAATTATTAAATTTTTCAAAACACTAACTCATGAATTTGCTAATCTTTTGAATGGTTTTTCATGTCAAGATTTCATTCAGTTCAGCTCTGATTTTGGTTATTTCTTGTCTTTGCTACCTTTGGGGTTGATTCATTCCTGCTTGTATCATTTTTTTCTGTTGTAATGTTAGGTTCTTAATTTGAGATCTTTTTAACTTTTTGTTGTGGGCATTTAGTGCTATAAATTTCCCCTTTAACACTTCCTTAGCTGCTTCCCAGAGATTCTGGTATGTTGTACCTTTGTCATCATTAGTTTCAAAGAACTTCTTGATTTCTCCCTTAATTTCATTATTTACCCAAAAGTCATTCAAAAGCATGTCGTTTAATTTGCATGTAAGGAATTTTCTTAGTCTTGACATCTATTTTTATTGTGCTGTGGTCCAAGAGTGTGTTTGGCCATAATTTCCATTCTTTTGCATTTGCTGAGGATTGTTTTATGTCCAATCATGTGGTCAATTTTAGAGTAAATACCTTGTGGCAATGAGAAGAATGTATAGTCTGTTGTTATGGGGTGGAGAGTTCTGTAGAGTTCTATCAGATCCATTTGGTCCAATGTTGAGTTCAGGTCCTGAATATCTGTGTTAACTTTCTGCCCCAATGATCTGCCTAATACTGACAATGGAGTGATGAAGTCTACCACTATTATTTTGTGGGAATCTATGTCTCTTTGTAGGTCTCTAAGAACTTGCTTTATCAATCTGGGTGCTCCTGTGTTGGCTGAACAAATATTTAGGATAGTTAGGTCTTCTTGTTGAATTGAAACACTTACCATTATGTAATGTTCTTCTTTGTTCTTTTTGATCTTTATTTGTTTAAAGTCTATTTTGTCTGAAATTAGGATTGCAACCCCTGCCTTTTTCTGATTTCCATTTGCTTGGTAGATTTTCCTCCATCGCTTTATTTTGAGCCTATGGGTGTCATTATATGTGAGATGGGTCTCTTGAAGACAGCATACCCTTGGGTCTTACTTTTTTGTTTTTTCAAGATGGAGTTTTGCTCTGTCACCCAGGCTGGAGTGCAGTGGCATGATCTCGGCTCACTGCAACCTCTGCCTCCCGGGTTCAAGCGATTCTCCTTCCTCAGCCTCCTGAGTAGCTGGGATTACAGGTGCCCGCCACCACACCTACCTAATTTTTGCATTTTCAGTACAGACGAGGCTTTACCATGTTGGCCAGGCTAGTCTAAAACTCATGACCTTGTGATCTGCCCACCTCAGCCTCCCAAAGTGCTGGGATTACAGGCATGAGCCACTGCACCTGGCCGGGTCTTGCTTTTTTATCCAGCTTGGCACTCTGTGACTTTTTTTTTTTGAGATGGATTCTCACTCTGTCACCCAGCCTGGAGTGCAGTGGCATGATCTCAGCTCACTGCAACCTCCGCCTCCCAGGTTCAAGCGGTTCTCCTGCCTCAGCCTCCTGAGTTGTTGGGATTACAGGTGCCTGCCACTACACCTAGCTAATTTTTTTGTATTTTTAGTAGGGACAGGGTCTCACAATGTTGGCCAGGCTAGTCTTGAACTCCCAACCTTGTGATTCACCCGCCTTGGCCTCCCAAAGTGCTGGGACTACAAGTGCGGCCACTGCGCCCGGCCTCTGTGACTTTTAAGTGGGAGCACTTAGCCTATTTACATTCAAGATTAGTATTGATATGTGTGGAGTTGACCCTGCCATTGTGTTGTTAGCTGGTTATTATGCTGGCTTGCTTGTGCAGTTGCTTTATAGTGTCACTGATCTGTGCATTTAAGTGTTTTGTTTTGTATTAGCTGGTAGTGGTCTTTCCTTTCTCTATCTAGTGTTCCTTTCAAGATCTCTTGTAAGGCAGGTCTGCTGGTAACAAACTCCCTTAACATTTGCTTATCTAAAAGGATCTTATTTCTCCTGTTCGGAAGCTTAGTTTGGCTGGATATAAAATATTCAGTAAGAGATTTTTTTTTTCTTTAAAAACTCTGAATATAGTCTCCCAATCTCTTCTGCCTTATAGGGTTTCAGCTGAGAAGGTCACTGTTAGCCTGACGGGGTTCCTTTTGCAGGTGACCTGCCGTTTTACTCTAGCTGACTTTAATATTCTTTCTTTTATTGGGACCTTGGAAAATCTGATGATTATGTGTCTTGGGGATGATCTTCTTGTGTAGAATGTTGCAGGAGTTCTCTTTATTTGCTAAATTTGACTGTTGGCCTCTCTAGCAAGGTTAGGGAAAATTTCATGGATGATATCCCAAAATATGTTTTCCAAGTTGTTTGCTTTCTCCCCTCCCTTTCTAAGATGACAATGATTCACAGATTTGGCCACTTTACATAATCCCATACTTCATGGAGGTTTTATTTATTTATTTTTACTCTTTTTTTGAAATTTGTGTCTGTCTCATTTCAAAGAGCCAGTTTTCATGTACTGAGATTCTTTCCTCAGCTTGATTTGTGTGCTGTTAATATTTATGATTTTATATATGTTAATATTTATGATATTATATTTATGATTGCATTGTGAAATTCTTGCATTGTGTTATTCACCATTAGGTTCTTTTTTATATCAGCTATTTCATCCTTCAGCTCCTATATCTGTCATTTTACTGTGGTTCTTCATTTCCTTGGATTGGGTTTTGCTATTTTCCTGAATCTCAATGATCTTTGCTCCTATCCACACTCTGAATTCTATTTCTGTCATTTTAGCCAGCTCAGCTGGGTTAAAAACTCTTGTTGAAAAACTGGTGCAGTAATTTGGAGGACATATGTCACTCTGGCCATTTGAGTTACCAGTGCTCTTGCATTGGTTCTTTCTCATCTTTGCATATGTGTGTTCATTAAGAGCAATCAGGATGATGTCATTTACATTGACGCCATCAGAACTTGTGCAAGCTTCAATGCCTTCATCTGAAAGATACTAACCCACCTGAGACAATGCTGCTTCTCAATTCTTCTATCCTAACCACCCTACTTTTAAAAAAGAGCTTTATTGAGATATAATTTTCATTCCATTAAATTCACCAACTGAAAATATACAGCTCAGAGTGGCTTTTAGTGTATTCACAGTGTATTTATTTCCTTTCCTATGGCTACTGTAAAAATTACCATAAATTTTGTAGATTAAAACAACACAAATTTATTATCTCACAATTCTAGAGGTCAAAATTCAAAAATTTGTGTGTCATTGAACTAATGTCAACATGTTGATCAGGTTGATTGCCTTTCTGGATGCTCCAAAGTATAATCCAGTCTCTTGACTTTTCTAACTCCTAGAGTCTGCTCATATTCTTTGTGTCATGGCCCCCTTCCTCCATCTTCAAGGCCAGCAATGGCTGGTAGACTCTTTGACTTGATGCCACTTTTCTGATTCTGACTTTTCTGCTTTTCTCTTCCTCGTTTAAACACACTTGTGATTATATTAGGCCCATGCAGATAATCTCTCTGTTTTACAATCAGCTGCTTAATAACCTTCATTTCATTTGCAACCTTAATTCTCCTTGACATTTAACATACCATATTCATAGTTTCTGAGAATTATAAAGTGGACATCTGGGATGAAAAGAGTGACATTAGTCTGTGGGCTACACACAGAGTTGTGTAACCATCATCACAATCTAAGTTTAGAACATTTAGAATATAACGATTCCTTCATAATCATGGTATTTTAAACTGCAACAGCCCTCTCCTATCAATAATCCCAATTTCCTTACTATGCTTTTTTTCATATCACTTATTACCTTCTAAAAATATCACTTGCTTTCTTGTTTTGTTGATTTTATAATTGTTTGTCTCCTCCCAGTAGAATGTAAACTCCAGGAGGATAAGGGTTTTGTCTGTTTTGCTTACAGATATATCCCAAGCATTATAAACAGTGTCTAGCACTTAAACAGGTGTTCAAATACTTACTGAATGAACAATTTCCTTGTCAATTTTAGAGCACAATATGTCTTTGTTCTGCAAACCTGAGACTGACGTCCTCCAGAATTTACTGGAACCTATAGTTTATTGCACTGTGATAGTTTTGTATAAAGTTAAAAAGGAGAGACTTCCTCTCTTATCATTACAGACCAAATTGCAGATATATTATCCCTAACCCTGGATATCTAGGTCAGTGTCACCTAGCTGTATTTAGACCCTTGGTGGAGTAAGTCAATAGGGTTTAAGACTCAGGGAATTTAAGATGAACTTCTGTTTCAGACACAGGCCCTTTATGAATATGATACTCTTTGGATAGTGCAATTGGAGATACAGCAGAGAATAATCATCACAGATACTACTTATTGAATAATTAGTAAGTACTGGGTACTACACTAGGTGCTTTACATGTGTTATGTACAATTTTTAGCACAATCGTGCAATATAAATACTATTATTTTTTTCAGGTGAGCCTCCAAGAGGTTTAGTGATTTCCTCAAGGTTAACTGATTATTAAAAGGTAAACTAGGATTTGAACTGGGTCTGTCTTACTCTAAAGCCCTCTTACTGTCTGACATGTTTGGATCTGTGTCCCCACCCAAATCTCATGTCAAATTGTAATCCCCAATGTTGAAGACTGGGCCGGATGAGAGGTGATTGGATCATGGGGGTAGATTTCCCCCTTTGGTGCTGTTTTTGTGATAGAAGTCTCATGAGATCTGGTTGTTTAAAAGTGTGTGGCACCTCCCCATTCTCTCCTCTTCCTCACGCTCTGCCATATAAGATATGCATGCTTTCCTTTCACTTTCTAAAATGATTGACTGTTTCCTGAGGCTCCCCTAGAAGCCACTATGCTTCCTGTACAGCTGGCAAAACTGTGAACCAATTAAACCTCTTTTCTTTATAAATTACCCAGTCTACATTATTTCTTTATAGCAGTGCAAGAGAGGAATAATACAGAAAATGGGCACCAAGTAGTGGGGCATTGCTATAAAGATACCTGAAATGTGGAAGCAGCTTTGGAACTGGGTAATAGACAGAAGGTGGAGGAGTGTGGAGGGCTCAAAAGAAGACAGGAAGATGAGGGAAAATTTGGAACTTTCTAGAGACTTGTTAAATTGCTATGACCAAAATGCTGGTATTGATATGGACAGTAAAGGTCAGGCTGATGAGGTCTCAGATGAAAATGACGAACTTATTGGAAACTGGAGCAAAAGACACTTTGGCTTCTTAGCAACAACAACAACAAAATTGGCTGTATTATGCTACTGCCCTAGGGATCTGTGAAACTTTCAACTTGAGAATGATGATTTAGGGTATCTGGTGGAAGAAATTTCTAAGCAGCAAAGTGTTCAAGATTTGGCCTGGCTGCTTCTAATTGCCTGTGCTTATATGCATAAGCAAGGAAATGATCTGAAACTGAAATTTATATTTAAAAAGGAAGCAGAGTATAACAATTTGAAAACTTTGCAGCCTGGCCATGTGTTAGAAAAGAAAACCCACATTCAGAGGAGGAATTCAAGCAGGCTGCATATATTTGCATAGCTAAAAGGAATGCAATAGCTATTAGCCAAGATAATGGAAAAATGCCTTGAAGGCATTTCAGAGACATTTGAGGCAGCCCCTCCCAACACAAACCTGGTGGCCTGGGAGGGAAGAATGGTTTCCCGGGCCAGGCCCAGTGTCTCACTGCCCTGCACAACCTCAGGACACTGCTCCCTGCATCCCAACCATTTCACCTTCTGCTGTGGCTAAAAAGGCCCAAAATACAGCTTGGGCAGCTGCTTCAGAGGTTGCAAGCCACAAACCTTGAGCGTTTCCACATGGTTTAAGCCTGCACATGCACAGTGTACAGGAGTTAAAGCTTGGGAGCCTCCACCTAGATTTCAGAGAATATATGGAAAAGCCTGGCTGTCCAGGCAGAAGCCTGCTGTAGGAGTGGAGCCCACATGGTGGAGAACCTCTACTAGGTCAGTGTGGATAAAAAATGTGGTGTTGAATCCCCCATACAGAGTTCCCACTGGAGCACTGCCTAGTGCAGCTGTGAGAAGAGGACCACCATTCTCCAGATCTCAGAACGGTAGATACACCAACAGCTTTCAACCTGCACCTGGAAAAGCTTCAGGCACTCAACACCAGCCCTTGAGAGCAGCCTTGGGAGTTGAGCCCTGCAAAACCACAGGCATGGAGATGCTCAAGGTCTTGGGAGTCTACTTATTGCATCAGTGTGCCCTGAATGTGGGACATAGGGTCAAAGGAGATTATTTTGGAGCTTTAAAATTTAATGGCTGCCCTGCTGGGTTTCAGACTTGCATGGTCCTGTAGCCCGTTTTTTTGGCCAGTTTCTTTCCTTTGAAATGGGAGTATTTACCCAATGCCAGTATTCCCACTGTATGTTGGAATTAACTAACTTGTCTTTGATTTTACAGGCTTATAGGCAGAAGGGACTTGCCTTGTCTCAGATGAGAATTTGGAATCTGGACTTTTAAGTTAATGCTAGAAAAAGTTAAGACTTTTGGGGACTGTTGGGAAGACATGATTGTATTTTGCAATGTGGGAAGCACATGAGATTTGGGAGGGTCCAGGGGCAGAATAATACAGTTTGAATCTGTGTCCCTGTCCAAATCTCATGTTTAATTGTAATCCCCAATGTTGGAGGGGTTGGGGGCTGCTGGGGTGATTGGATGATGGGGGCAGATTTCCCCTTTGGTGTTATTTTTGTGGTAGAGTTTTTATGATATCTAGTTGTTTAAAAAGTGCATAGCACATCTCCCTTCTCTCCTCTTTCTCCTGCTCCTGCCATGTAAGATGTATCTGCTTCCCCTTCACCTTTCATCATGATTGAAAGCTTCCTGAGGCCTCCCCAGAAGCTGTCATGCTTCCTGTACAGCCTGCAGAGCTATGAGCCAGTTAAGCCTTTTTTCTTTATAAATTACCCAGTCTCAGGTATTTTTAATATATATAGCAGTGTTAGAATGGACTTATACACTGTCCACTGTACCACTATACTATCATTTGATCCCATTAAGACCATGTTTCTGGGGAACCTCATATATTGTGGAAAAAATCAAGGCATTAATAATCCATAAATATTGTTAATAAAATACACATTTAGCCAGTTCAACTTTTATTTCATCATTTTTTTTTGCCTGACAATTAAATAAATACTACTAGGTAATTCAACTACTTGTTACTTTACATCTTGGTATAGTATTGCTAATTTTGCAAAAATTTCCTCAAGGCCTTTCTGACCTGGTTTTCACACATGTTCCTACCTTAGTCTATGCTTGTCTTGAAGCTACTAGACCAAGCATCCTACAGTTAACCCAACATCATATAAGTCCTAGTTGGTATTTGGATGGTCTTCGTCTGCCACTCCACTTAACTTTCCATTTGAATCACCGCAATATCTATGAACTCATTAAGAGTACTCAAGAGCTCCATTTCTAACTAGACCCCCTTCTTTTCCTCTGTCCAGCCTCAGACTATGTATACAATAAGCCATCAACATTTTATGTGTGTTCACTTCCTCAAGTTAGGATTAGTAACCTTGCCAATATCCATACCCTTCCTCTTTTCAGTAAACTAGTAACTTTAATCTTCAACTTCCAGAGGACATAATTCTGGAGTCACATTTCTTTCCTTGTCAGCATTCAAGTTAACACTATAGAGGCCTTATTTATGTAATTCATGACCAGAAACTATCAATGTCTTTCAATGAAAGCCCATAACTTGAAGTATGGGAATGGACACCTTTCTTTAGATGCTGGTTTCACTGCTAAATAGTTACGTACATTTGGACCAGTAACTTTATTTCCTCAGTTTCTTTATCTCTAAAATGTTTTAATGATACTCATTTCATAGGGTTTCAAGATTAAATGACATAATTAATGGGTGCCTAGATAACATTTTTTAGAGACAAGTTTATGCATGTAAATGTTTTTCTTCCTGAGTTTTCCACTTTAATTTACTTTCAGGAAAATTGATAACTACCTCTATTCCTATTATTATTATTATACTTTAAGTTCTAGGGTACATGTGCACAACATGCAGGTTTGTTGCATATGTATACATGTGCCATGTTGGTGTGCTGCACCCATTAACTTGTCATTTACATTAGGTATATCTCCTAATGCTATCCTTCCCCCCTCCCTCAAACCCATGACAGGCCCCGGTGGGTAATGTTCCCCTTCCTGTGTCCAAGTGTTCTCATTGTTCAATTCCCACCTATGAGTGAGAATATGCGGTGTTGGGTTTTCTGTCCTTGCGATAGTTTGCTGAGAATGATGGTTTCCAGCCTCATCCATGTCACTGCAAAGGACATGAACTCATCCTTTTTTATGGCTGCATAGTATTCCATGGTGTATATGTGCCACATTTTCTTAATCCAGTCTATCATTGATGGACATTTGGGTTGGTTCCAAGTCTTTGCTATTGTGAATAGTGCCACAACAAACATATGTGTGCGTGTGTCTTTATAGCAGCATGATTTATAATCCTTTGGGTATATACCCAGTAATGTGATGGTTGGGTCAAATGGTATTTCTAGTTCTAGATCCCTGAGGAATCACCACACTGTCTTCCAAAATGGTTGAACCAGTTTACAGTCCCACCAACAGTGTAAAAGTGTTCCTATTTCTCCACATCGTCTCCAGCACCTGTTGTTTCCTGACATTTTAGTGATCACCATTCTAACAGGTGTGAGATGGTATCTCATTGTGGTTTTGATTTGCATTTCTCTGATGATGAGCATTTTTTCATGTGTCTGTTGGCTGCATAAATGTCTTCTTTTGAGAAATACCTGTTCATATCCTTCACCCACTTTTTGATGGGATTGTTTGTTTTTTTCTTGTAAATTTGTTTGAGTTCATTGTAGATTCTGGTTATTAGCCCTTTGTCAGATGAGTAGATTGCAAAAATGTTCTCCCATTCTGTAGGTTGCCTGTTCACTCTGATGATAGTTTCTTTTGCTGTGCAGAAGCTCTTTAGTTTAATTAGATCCCATCTGTCAACTTTGGCTTTTGTTGGCATTGCTTTTGGTGTTTTAGACATGAAGTCCTTGCCCATGCCTATGTCCTGAATGGTATTGCCTAGGTTTTCTTCTAGAGTTTTTATGGTTTTAGGTTTAACATTTAAGTCTTTAATCCATCTTGAATTAATTTTTGTATAAAGTGTAAGGAAGGGATCCAGTTTCAGCTTTCTACATATGGCTAGCCAGTTTTTCCAGCACCATTTATTAAATAGGGAATCCTTTCCCCATTTCTTGTTTTTGTCAGGTTTGTCAAAGATCAGATGGTTGTAGATGTGTGGTGTTATTTCTGAGGCCTCTGTTCTGTTCCATTGGTGGTCTATATCTCTGTTTTGGTACCATTACCATGCTGTTTGGGTTACTGTAGCCTTGTAGTATAGTTTGAAGCCAGGTAGCATGATGCCTCCAGCTTTGTTCTTTTGGCTTAGGATTGTCTTGGCAATGCGGGCTCTTTTTTGGTTCCATATGAACTTCAAAGTCGTTTTTTCCAATTCTATGAAGAAAGTCATTGGTATCTTGATGGGCAGTATGGCCATTTTCAAGATATTGATTCTTCCTATCCCTCTATTCCTATTATTATAGGGAAGGTATGTGTTTGGGGAGAAAATAGAAAGATTTTTATAAGGATCACACACTTGTGCTTTAAAAATAAAAAGTTCAGAGGAAGCAATTCATGAGCATAACAGGATAGGTTAAAATATCTTGAGGATGTATGAAATCAAAATTTTTTCAGCATAAAATTAAAAGGATTCCCATGTGCTAGGGAAAGTGCTAAAGAAAAGTCTTTGAAACTCAGAACCAAAGTGGGACTATCCCCTGTTTCTGGCAGTGACACTGAGATTTGGCAAGATCCCCCAAAATTACATTTGGTTAGTATGTCAGGATCATGGAAGAATATAATGAGGGAAAAATCTAGGCGGGTAGCTTGGAGTGCGATTTTGCCACTTATAGAGTTTTATTTTGTTAAACAGAAAGTAAAGAGTTTTAAAACAAGGTAAGATTTTACTCAAGAGCTATTTTATGAAAATTAATCTGAAGGCAGTCAAAATTGGAGAGAAAAACTGCTGGAAGAGAGAGATTAGATGGAAAGATAGGGATTACAATTTATTGCAATAGCCAGAGACTGAAGTGATAAAAATCTTAAAATTGTACGGTTTGAACCTCCCAGTTGCTGAACTTGAAAAGCTAGGTGAAGGAAGCACTTTGGCCAGGATTTCAAGATGCTCTTGGCTTTGCCTGAGAGAATTACAGCCATCCGTGAACTAAAACAGAGTTTGAAACACAAAGGTGTTAGGAATCTCATTTAACCTGGCCTCAGCATGCCAGGCATATTATGGGATGGACCCTTTGTCTTCTCTTCAGCAATCCACTTTCAATAACCTCAGGACTAAGAGGTAGAAAATTGGATGCTATGGAAAAGGGAAGGCTGAGAGAGTCTTGAGTGGCTCACTGATTGTAATGGCTCCAAAATCAAGCTAGCTGCACTCTTGCAGCCAAGTGTGTGTGTGTGTGTGTGTGTGTGTGTGTGTGTGTGTTTTCTTTTTACACAGTACTCCAGAAAATTTTTACCTAGTTTAAAAATCATTATTGCTATTGAAATACAAACTAGACTTTCATTAAACAACACATACTGGAAAGGTTTGAGGGTTGCCAGTTAAGCTTAGGGAAGCTTTTTCACTGCTCTTAGAGCTGTTACTCTCACAAATGAGAAAGAAATCCCCTGGTTACCATAAAGCATTAGCAAGATACTGACTGTACCTAAAAACTTAGTAACTATTGAATCCAGAAATAAATACCACATAACCAGTTATCTGGATAATTCTAGCCAAAAGATTACTTACTAACCTCCATTTTTCCTTGGAATGAAATATAGAGAAATGATAATATTTCACTAATTTTTATTTAAGGAATAAAGGAAAAGAGAATAATAAATTTTGAGATTCTACTATGTGACAGGTACTTTGCTAGGATTTTGGTATACATTATTTCCTTCAAATTTTACAACAACCCTAGAGCTGAATATTTTCACAAAAGAAAAAATAGAACCTCAGAGTAGTAAGGTTACATGACCCAAATTAAAATGTGTAAAAATTTATTTAAGCTGGATTCTAGTCCAGGTTTGTCTCTCAAATTTTAGAAGAGATAGTTTAGGGAAGTATATGATTAATTTCTAAATGAATAGACAAGAACTACTGATTAAAAGGAAAGAGAAAAAAGATACTTCTAACATATGCCACCTAACTGATATTGGTCCCATTTTATAAATATGGAAATTAAAGAGCTGGAATTTCACTCATTCTGACTGCAAAACTCCTGCTGTCTTTCATTGTACAGATTCAAAGCATGCTAGAATAAAAAGTTTCCTTATTTTATGCAACATATTTATTTAATAGACAGGCAAGTAGAGGGTAAATGAATTTTCCACAGGTAAATAAGTTATCAATAATCAAGAGGCTTTTTTATCAGCTCATGGAACATTTTCCATGGTAGACCATGTGTTAGGCTATAAAACAAGTCACAATACATTTTTAAAAATCAAAATCGTATCAAGTATTTTCATGGCCTACAGTAGATTAAAACTAGAAATCAATTCCAAGAACTGTTAAAACAATACAGATATATGACAAATTTAAAACCTACTCCTGAATGATTTTTGGGTCAATGATGAAATTAAGATGAAAATTAAAAATTTTTTTGAAATGAATGAACATAGAGACACAACATACCAAAAAATCTGAGATATATACAAAGCAGTGCTAAGAGAGAAGTTTATATCACTGAATGACTACATCAAAAAGATAAAAATATCACAAATTAATAATGTAATATTGTACCTCAAGGAAGTAGAATAACAAGAACAAACCAAAGCCAAAGCTAGCAGTAGAAAAGAAATAACTAAAATCATAGCAGAACTGAATTAAGGTGAGACAAAAAAACAATCCAAGGAATCGGTAAATGAAAAATTGTTTTTGAAAAGATAAAATTGACAGACCGCAAGCAAGATTAACCAAAAAAAGAATAGAGTAGATTCAAATAAGCACCATTCAAAATGAGAAGGAGACATTACAACTGATACCACAGAAATATTAAAGATTATCAGAAACTACTATGAACATTTCTATGACCACAAATTAGAAAACCCAGAAAAAATGAATAAATTTCTGGAAATACACAACCTCCCAAGATTGAATCAGGAAAAAAATAGAAATCCTGAACAAAGCAATAATAAGTAGTGACACTAAAACACTAATAAAAATATCTCAACAAGGTCGGGCACAGTGGCTCATTCCTGTAATCCCAACATTTTGGGAGGTTAAGGCACAAGGACGACCTAATGTGAGGAGCTTGAGATCAGCCTGGCCAACATGAGAAAACCCTGTCTCTACTAAAAATACAAAAATTATCTCGGCATGGTGGTTCCCACCTGTAATCCCAGATACTCAGGAGGCTGAAGCAGGATAATCACTTGAACCTGGGAGGCAGAGGCTGCAGTGAGCTGAGATCACACCACTGCACTCCAGCCTGGGCGACAGAACACAACTCTATCTTAAAAAACAAACAAACAAAAAAAAACAAAAAAAACCTCAACAACAACAAAAAAGTCCAGAAATAGCTGGATTTATAGCCAAATTCTACCAGAAGTACAAAGAAGAACTGGTACCAGTCCTACTCAAACTGATTCAAAAGTTTAAGGAGTGAATCCTCCCTAACTCATTCTATGAAGCTAGTATCACATTGACACCAAAGCCAGGCAAGGAAGCAACAAAAAAAGAAAACTCGTGGGGAGGAGCCAAGATGGCCGAATAGGAACAGCTCTGGTCTACAGCTCCCAGCATGAGCGATGCAGAAGACGGGTGATTTCTGCATTTCCATCTGAGGTACCGGGTTCATCTCACTAGGGAGTGCCAGACAGTGGGCGCAGGTCAGTGGGTGCGCACACCCTGCACCTGCAGAAGCAGGGCGAGGCATTGCCTCACTTGGGAAGTGCAAGGGGTCAGGGAGTTAGTTCTCTTTCCTAGTCAAAGAAAGGGGTGACAGACGGCACCTGGAAAATCGGGTTACTCACACCCGAATACTGCACTTTTCCGACGGGCTTAAAAAACGCCGCATGAGGAGACTGTATCCCGCACCTGGCTCAGAGGGTCCTATGCCCACGGAGTCTCGCTGATTGCTAGCACAGCAGTCTGAGATCAAACTGCAAGGCTGCAGAAAGGCTGGGGGGCGGGGGCGCCCGCCATCGCCTAGGCTTGCTTAGGTAAACAAAGCAGCCCTGAAGCTTGAAATGGGTGGAGCCCACCACAACTCAAGGAGGCCTGCCTGACTCTGTAGGCTCCACCTCTGGGGGCAGGGCACAGACAAACAAAAAGACAGCAGTAACCTCTGCAGACTTAAATGTCCCTGTCTGACAGCTTTGAAGAGAGCAGTGGTTCTCCCAGCACACAGCTGGAGATCTGAGAACGGGCAGACTGCCTCCTCAAGTGGGTCCCTGACCGCTGACCCCTGAGCAGCCTAACTGGGAGGCACCCCCCAGCAGGGGCAGACTGACACCTCACACGGCCTGGTACTCCAACAGACCTGCAGCTGAGGGTCCTGTCTGTTAGAAGGAAAACTAACAAACAGAAAGGACATCCACACCAAAAACCCATCTGTACATCACCATCATCAAAGACCAAAAGTAGATAAAACCACAAAGATGGGAAAAAAACAGAGCAGAAAAACTGGAAACTCTAAAACACAGAGCGCCTCTCCTCCTCCAAAGGAACGCAGTTCCTCACCTGCAATGGAACAAAGCTGAACAGAGAATGACTTTGATGAGCTGAGAGGAGAAGTCTTCAGATGATCAAATTACTCTGAGCTACAGGACGAAATTCAAACCAAAGGCAAAGAAGTTGAAAACTTTGAAAAAAGTTTAGAAGAATGTATAACTAGAACAACCAATACAGAGAAGTGCTTAAAGGAGCTGATGGGGCTGAAAACCAAGGCTCAAGAACTATGTGAAGAATGCAGAAGCCTCAGGAGCCGATGCGATCAACTGGAAGAAAGGGTATCAGCGATGGAAGATGAAGTGAATGAAATGAAGCGAGAAGGAAGTTTAGAGAAAAAAGAATAAAAAGAAATGAGCAAAGCCTCCAAGAAATATGGGACTATGTGAAAAGACCAAATCTATGTCTGATTGGTGTACCTGAAAGTGATGGGGAGAATGGAACCAAGTTGGAAAACACTCTGTAGGATATCATCCAGGAGAACTTCCCCAATCTAGCAAGGCAGGCCAACATTCAGATTCAGGAAATACAGAGAACTCCACAAAGATACTCCTCGAGAAGAGCAACTCCAAGACACATAATTGTCAGATTCACCAAAGTTGAAATGAAGGAAAAAATGTTAAGGGCAGCTGGAGAGAAAGGTCGGGTTACCCACAAAGGGAATCCCATCAGACTAACAGCGGATCTCTCGGCAGAAACTCTACAAGCCAGAAGAGAGTGGGGGCCAATATTCAACATTCTTAAAGACAAGAATTTTCAACCCAGAATTTCATATCCAGCCAAACTAAGCTTCATAAGTGAAGGAGAAATAAAATACTTTACAGACAACCAAATGCTGAGAGATTTTGTCACCACCAGGCCTGCCCTAAAAGAGCTCCTGAAGGAAACGCTAAACATGGTAAGGAACAACCAATACCAGCCGCTGCAAAATCATGCCAAAATGTAAAGACCATCGAGACTAGGAAGAAACTGCATGAACTAACGAGCAAAATAACCAGCTAACATCATAATGACAGGATCAAATTGACACATAACAATATTAACTTTAAATGTAAATGGACTAAATGCTCCAATTAAAAGACACAGACTGGCAAATTGGATAAAGAGTCAAGACCCATCAGTGTGCTGTATTCAGGAAACCCATCTCACGTGCAGAGACACAGATAGGCTCAAAATAAAAGGATGGAGGAAGATCTACCAAGCAAATGGAAAACAAAAACAGGCAGGGGTTGCAATCCTAGTCTCTGATAAAACAGACTTTAAACCAACAAAGATCAAAAGAGACAAAGAAGGCCATTACATAATGGTAAAGGGATCAATTCAACAAGAAGAGCTAACTATCCTAAATATATATGCACCCAATACAGGAGCACCCAGATTCATAAAGCAAGTCCTGAGTGACCTACAAAGAGACTTAGATTCCCACACATTAATAGTGGGAGACTTTAACAACCCCCTGTCAACATTAGACAGATCAACGAGACAGAAAGTCAACAAGGATACCCAGGAATTGAACTCAGCTCTGCACCAAGCGGACCTAATAGACATCTACAGAACTCTCCACCCAAATAAACAGAATATACATTTTTTTCAGCACCACACCACACCTATTCCAAAATTGACCACATACTTGGAAGTAAAGCTGTCCTCAGCAAATGTAAAAGAACAGAAATTATAACAAACTGTCTCTCAGGCCACAGTGCAATCAAACTAGAACTCAGGATTAAGAATCTCACTCAAAACCACTCAACTACATGGAAATTGAACAACCTGCTCCTGAATGACTACTGGGTACATACGAAATGAAGGCAGAAATAAAGATGTTCTTTGAAACCAACAAAAACAAACACACAACATACCAGAATCTCTGGAACACATTCAAAGCAGTGTGTAGAGAGAAATTTATAGCACTAAATGCCCACAAGAGAAAGCAGGAAAGATCCAAAATTGACACCCTAACATCACAATTAAAAGAACTAGAAAAGCAAGAGCAAACACATTCAAAAGCTAGCAGAAGGCAAGAAATAGCTAAAATCAGAGAAGAACTGAAGGAAATAGAGACACAAAAAACCCTTCAAAAAATTAACGAATCCAGGAGCTGGTTTTTTGAAAGGATCAACAAAATTGATAGACCGCTAGCAAGACTAATAAAGAAAAAAAGAGAGAAGAATCAAATAGACACAATAAAAAATGATAAAGGGGATATCACCACCGGTCCCACAGAAATACAAACTACCATCAGAGAATACTACAAACACCTCTACGCAAATAAACTAGAAAATCTAGAAGAAATGGATAAATTCCTCGACACATACACTCTCCCAAGACTAAACCAGGAAGAAGTTGAATCTCTGAATAGACCGATAACAGGATCTCAAATTGTGGCAATAATCAATAGCTTACCAACCAAAAAGAGTCCAGGACCAGATGGATTCACAGCTGAATTCTACCAGAGGTACAAGGAGGAACTGCTACCATTCCTTCTGAAACTATTCCAATCAATAGAAAAAGAGGGAATCCTACCTAACTCATTTTATGAGGCCAGCATCATCTTGATACCAAAGCTGGGCAGAGACACAACCAAAAAAGAGAATTTTCGACCAATATCCTTGATGAACATTGATGCAAAAATCCTCAATAAAATACTGGCAAACCGAATCCAGCAGCACTTCAAAAAGCTTATCCACCATGATCAAGTGAGCTTCATCCCTGGGATGCAAGGCTGGTTCAATATACACAAATCAATAAATGTCATCCAGCATATAAACAGAACCAAAGACAAAAACCACATGATTATCTCAATAGATGCAGAAAAGGCCTTTGATAAAATTCAACAACACTTCATGCTAAAAACTCTCAATAAATTAGATATTGATGGGACGTATTTCAAAATAATAAGAGCTATCTATGACAAACCCATGGCCAATATCATACTGAATGGGCAAAAACTGGAAGCATTCCCTTTGAAAACTGGCACAAGACAGGGATGTCCTCTCTCACCACTCCTATTCAACATAGTGTTGGAAGTTCTGGCCAGGGCAATTAGGCAGGAGAAGGGAATAAAGGGTATTCAATTAGGAAAAGAGGAAGTCAAATTGTCCCTGTTTGCAGATGACATGATTGTGTATCTAGAAAACCCCATTGTCTGAGCCCAAAATCTCCTTAAGCTGATAAGCAACTTCAGCAAAGTCTCAGGATACAAAATCAATGTACAAAAATCACAAGCATTCTTATACACCAACAACAGACAAACAGAGAGACAAATCATGAGTGAACTCCCATTCACAATTGCTTCACAGAGAATAAAATACCTAGGAATCCAACTTACAAGGGATGTGAAGGACCTCTTCAAGGAGAACTACAAACCACTGCTCAATGAAATAAAAGAGGATACAAACAAATGGAAGAACATTCCATGCTCATGGGTAGGAAGAATCAATAACGTGAAAATAGCCATACTTTCCCAAGGTAATTTACAGATTCAATGCCATCCCCATCAAGCTACCAATGACTTTCTTCACAGAATTGGAAAAAACTACTTTAAAGTTCACATGGAACCAAAAAAGAGACCGCATCGCCAAGTCAATCCTCAGCCAACAGAACAAAGCTGGAGGCATCACACTACCTGACTTCAAACTATACTACAAGGCTACGGTAACCAAAACAGCATGGTACTGGTACCAAAACAGAGATATAGATCAATGGAACAGAACAGAGCCCTCAGAAATAATGCCACATATCTACAACTATCTGATCTTTGACAAACCTGACAAAAACAAGCAATGGGGAAAGGATTCCCTATTTAATAAATGGTGCTGGGAAAACTGGCTAGCCATATGTAGAAAGCTGAAACTGGATCCCTTCCTTACACCTTATACAAAAATTAATTCAAGGTGGATTAAAGACTTAAACGTTAGACCTAAAACCATAAAAACCCTAGAAGAAAACCTAGGCATTACCATTCAGGACATAGGCATGGGCAAGGACTTCATGTCTAAAACACCAAAAGCAATGGCAACAAAAGCCAAAATTGACAATTGGGATCTAATTAAACTAAAGGGCGTCTGTACAGCAAAAGAAACTACCTCAGAGTGAACAGGCAACCTACAAAATGGGAGAAAATTTTTGCAACCTACTCATCTGACAAAGGGCTAATATCCAGAATCTACAATGAACTCAAACAAATTTACAAGAAAAAAACAAACAACACCATCAAAAAGTGGGCGAAGGACATGAACAGACACTTCTCAAAAGAAGACATTTATGCAGCCAAAAAACACATGAAAAAATGCTCACCATCACTGGCCATCAGAGAAATGCAAATCAAAACCACAATGAGATACCATCTCAAACCAGTTAGAATGGTGATCATTAAAAAGTCAGGAAACAACAGGTGCTGGAGAGGATGTGGAGAAATAGGAACACTTTTACACTGTTGGTGGGACTGTAAACTAGTTCAACCATGGTGGAAGTCAGTGTGGTGATTCCTCAGGGATCTAGAACTAGAAATACCATTTGACCCAGCCATCCCATTACTGGGTATATACCCAAAGGATTATAAATCATGCTGCTATAAAGACACATGCACACGTATGTTTATTGCGGCATTATTCACAATAGCAAAGACTTGGAACCAACCCAAATGTCCAACAATGATAGACTGGATTAAGAAAATGTGGCACATATACACCATGGAATACTATGCAGCCATAAAAAATGATGAGTTCATGTCCTTTGTAGGGACATGGATGAAATTGGAAATCATCATTCTCAGTAAACTATTGCAAGAACAAAAAACCAAACACTGCATATTCTCACTCATAGGTGGGAATTGATCAATGAGAACACATGGACACAAGAAGGGGAACATCACACTCTGGGGACTGTTGTGGGGTGGGGGGAGGGGGGAGGGAGAGCATTGGGAGATATACCTAATGCTAGATGACGAGTTAGTGAGTGCAGTGCATCAGCATGGCACACGTATACATATGTAACTAACCTGCACATTTTGCACATGTACCCTAAAACTTAAAGTATAATAATAAAATAAAAATAAAATAAAATAAAAAAGAAAAGAAAAGAAAACTCAGACCAATATGCCCATTGAACATAAATGCAAAAATCTTCAACAAAATACTAGCTAACCAAATCTAACACTAGATCCAAAAGACAATACACCATGATCACTTGAGTTTTATTACAGGGATAGAAGAATGGTTCAAGCTATGCAAATCAATAAATGAGATTTATCACATAAACAAATAAAAACAATAACCATATGATCACCTCCATACATGCAAAAAAAATTTGATAAAATCCAGCATCCCTTCATGATAAAAACCCTCAATAAACTAGGCATAGAAGAAATATACCTAAATAAAATAAAAGCTATATATGACAAACCCACAGCCAGCATCATAGTAAATATGAAAAGGTAAGAACTAGAATAAGACAAGGATGCTCACTTCTCCATGCCTATGCAACATAGTACTAGAAGTCCCAGTCAGAGAAATCAGGCAAGAGAAATAAATAAAAGGCATTAAAATTAGGAAGGAAAAACTCAAGTTATCTCTATTGGCTGATGACATAATCTTATACCTAGAAAACCCTAAAGATGCTGTCTCCTAAATTCAATAAATAAATTCACTAAGTTTTAAGCTACAAAATAAATGTAAAAAAAAATTAGTAGCATTTCTATACACGAATACTATGCAAGCTGAGAGCTAAATCAAGAACTCATCTTAATTACATTAGCTACAAAAAAAAAAGACCCTAGGAATACATTTAAACAAGGAGGTGAAAGATCTCTACAAAGCACTGTTGAAAGAAATAATAGATGACACAAAAAAATATAAAAAATCCATGATTATGGATTGGAAGAATGAATATCATTAAAATGATCATTCTGCCCAAAGCAATTTACAGATTTGATATGGTTTGGCCGTATTCTCACCCAAATCTCAGCTTGAATTCCCACATGTTGTGGGAGACACCTGGTGGAAGGTAATTGAATCATGTGGTCAGGTCTTTCCCATGCAGTTCTCATGACAGCAAATAAGTCTCATGAGATCTGATATATTATAAGGGAGAGTTTCCCTTCCCAATTTCTTTCTTTGCCTGCTGCCATCCATGTAAGACGTGACTTGCTCCTCCTTGCCTTCCACCATGATTGTGAGACTTCCCCAGCCACATGGAACTGTAAGTCCAATTAAACCTCTTTCTTTTGTAAATTGCCCAGTTTCAGGTATATCTTTATCAGCAGCATGAAAATGGACTAATACAGTAAATTGGTACCAGTATAATGGGGCACTGCTGAAAAGATACCTGAAAATGTGGAAGCAAGCTTGGACCTGGGTAACAGGTAGAGGGTGGAATAGTTTGGAGGGCTCAGAAAAAGACAGGAAAATGTGCGAAAGTTTGGAACTTCCTAGAGACTTGTTGAATGGCTTTGACCAAAATCCTGATAACAATATGGACAATAAGGTCCAGAGTGAGGTGGTCTCAGATGGAGATGAGGAATTTGTTGAGAACTGGAGCAAAGGTTACTCTTGTTATGTTTTAGCAAAGAGACTGGTGGCATTTTGCCCCTGCCCTAAAGATCTGTGGAACTCTGAACTTGAGAGAGGTGATTTGGGGTACCTGGAGGAAAAAATTTCTAAGCAGAAAAGCATTCAAGAGGTGACCTGGGTGCTGTTAAAGGCATTCAGTTTTATAAGGGAAGCAGAGCATAAAAGTTCAGAAAATGTGCAGCCTCACAATGTGATAGAAAAGAAAAATCCATTTTCTAAGGAGAAATTCAAGCCAGCTGCAGAGGTTTGCATAAGTAACAAGAAGTCAAATGTTAATCCCCAAGACAATGGAGAAAATGTCTCCAGGGGATGTCAGGGATTTTCGTAGCAGCCCCTCCCATCACAGGTCTGGAGGCCTAGGAGAAAATAGTTTTATGGGCCAGCCCCAGGGTCCCTGTGTGTGTGCAGCCTAGGGACTTGGTGCCCTGCCTCCCAGCTGCTCCAGCCATGGCTGAAAGGGGCCAAGGTAGAGTTTGAGCCATGGCTTCAGAGGGTGCAAGCCCCAAGCCTTGGCAGCTTCCACATGGTGTTGAGTCTGCAAGTGCACAGAAGTCAAGAATTGAGGTTTGGGAACCTCTGCCAAGATTTCAGGGAATGTACGGAAATGCCTGGATGTCCAGGCAGAAGTTTGCAGCAGGGGTGGGGCTCTCATGGAGAACCTCTGCTAGGCAAGTGTGGAAAGAAAATGTGGGGTCTGCGGCCCCACATACAGTCCCTACTGGAACACCACTTAATGGAGCTGTGAGAAGAGGGCCACCGTCCTCCATACCCTAGATTAGTAGATCCACTGACAGCTTGCACCATGCACCTGGAAAAGCCACAGACACTCACCACCAGCCTGTGAAAACAGCCAGGAGGGAGGCTGTACCCTGCAAAGCCACAGGTGCAGTGCTGCCCAAGACCATGGGAAACTATCTCTTGCTTCAGCATGACCTGGATGAGAGACATGGAGTCAAAGGAGATTATTTTGGAACTTTAAGATTTGACTGCCCTTCTGGATTTCAGACTTGCGTGGGACCTGTAGCCCCTTTGTTTTGGCCAATTTATCTGATTTGGAATGGCTGTATTTACCCAATTCCTGTACCCCCATTGTATCTAGGAAGTGACTAACTTGCTTTTGATTTTACAGGCTCATAGGTAGAAGAGACTTGCCTTGTCTCAGATGAGACTTTGGACTGTGGACATGTGAGTTAATGCTTAAATAAGTTAAGACTTTGGGGGACTGTTGGGAAGGCATGATTAATTTTGAAATGTAAGGGCATGAGATTTGGGAGGGGCCAGGGATGTAATGATATGATTTGGCTGTGTCCCTACCCAAATCTCATTTTGAATTCCCATGTGTTGTAGGAGGGACCCAGTGGGAGGTAATTGAATCATGGGAGCAGGTCTTTCCTGTGCTCTTCTCATGATAGTGAATAAGTCTCACAAGATCTGAAGGTATTATAAGGGGGAGTTTTCCTGCCCAATCTCTCTCTTTGCCTCCCACCATCCATGTAAGACATGACTTGCTCCTCCTTGCCTTCCACCAGGATTGTGAGGCTTCTCCAGCCACGTAGAACTTTAAGTCTAATTAAACCTTTTTCTTTTGTAAATTGCCCAGTCTTGGGTATGTCTTTATCAGCAGTGTGAAAACAGACTAATACAAGGGCAATGTAATGCCTATCAAAATACCAATGTCATTCTTCACAATATTCAGGAAAAAAAATCCTAAAAATCATAAGGGACCAATAAAGAGCCCAAATGGCCAAAGCAATCCTAACCAAAGTGGAAAAATCTGGAGGTATACATTACCTGACTTCAAATTATACTACAAGACTACAGTAATCAAAACAGCATAGTAATGGTGTAAAAATGGACACATAGATCAATGGAACAGAATAGAGAACCTAGAAATAAAGCCACATACCTACAACCAACTGAACTTCGACAAAGTCAACAAAAACATAAATTAGGGTAAAAACACCCTACTCCGAAAATGGTGCAGAGAAAATAGGATAGTCATACGTAGAAAAAAAACTGCATCCATATCTCTCAGTAGATACAAAAATTAACTCAAGATGAATTAAAAACTTCCATGTAATTTCTGAAGCTATAAAAATCTTAGAAGAAAACCTAGGAAAAACTCTTCTGGACATTGGCCTAGGCCAATAATTTATGACTAAGACTTCAAAAGCAAATGCAACAAAACCAAAAATGGATGTGATATGGTTTGGCTGTGTCCCCACCCAAATCTCATCTTGAATTGTAGTTCCCATAATCCCCACATAGTAGGAAGGACCCAGTGGGAGTTAAGTGAATTATGGGGGCGGTTACCTCCATGCTGTTCTTGTGATAGTGAATTCTTATGAGATATGATGGTTTTATAGGGGGCTTTTCCCCCTACTTCACTCTGCACTTCTCCTTGCTTCCACCATGTGAAGCAGGATGTGTTTGTTTCCCCTTCCACCACGATTGTAAATTTCCTGAAGCTTCCCCAACCATGCTGAACTGTGAATCAATTAAACATTTTTTCTTTATAAATTACCCAGTCTCGAGTAGTTCTTTATTAGCAGCATGAGAAGGGACTAATTAACAAGTGTGATCTAATTAAACTAAAAAGTTTCTGCACAGCAAAGGAAACTATAAACAGAGTGAACAGAACTACAGAATGGGAGAAAATTATTGCAAACTATGCATGTGACAAAGGACTAATACCTATAATCTACAAGGAATTCAATCAAACAACTGAACAAAAAAATAAATAACCCCATTAAAATGTAGGCAAAGGATATAAACAGACACTTCTCAAAAGAAGACATATAAGTGGCCAAAAAGCATATGAAAAAAATGTTCAACATCACTAATCATCAGAGAAATGCAAATTAAAATCACAAAATACCATCTTATACCAGTCAGAACAGCTATTATTAAAACATCAAAAAATAACAGATGTGGTCAAGGATGCAAAGAAAAGGGGATGCAAATTAGTCCAATCAAAATGATATGGAGATTTCTCAAATAACTAAAATAGAACTACCATTTGATTCAGCAATCCCATTACTCAGTATCTACTCAAAGGAAAAGAAATTATTATATCAAAAAGACGCCCCCACTAATATATTTATCTATTTATCACAGTACTATTCACAATAGTAAAGTCATGGAATCAAACTAAGTGTCCAGCAACAGACGATTGGATAAGGAAAATGTGGTATATATATATATACACCATGGAATACTACTCAGCCATAAAAATGAATGAAATGGTGTCATTTGCAGCAATGTGGATAGAACTATAAGCCATTATGTAAAGTGAAATAACTCAGAAACAGCAAGTCAAATACTGCATGTTCTCACTTATGAGTGGACATGCAAATAATTTGTACACATAGATGTAGAGAATGGAATAATAGATACTGGAAACTCAGAAAGGTGGGAGGGTAGGAGGAGGGTGATGATGAGAAATTTCCTATTGGATACAATGTACACTACTCAAGGGTTTACATTCAAAGTCCAGACTTCACCACCATGCAATACACTCAGGTAACAAAACTGCACTGGAACCCCTTAAATCTATTTTTAAAAAAGATTTTGAGTCTACTTCTGAGGTTCTTTTCAACATCGCTAATGTTCAACATCACTAATCATCAGAGAAGTGCAAATTAAAACCACAAAATACCATCTTATGCCAGTCAGAACAGCTATTATTAAAACATCAAAAAATAACAGACGTGGTCAAGGATGCAGAGAAAAGGGGATGCAAATTAGTCCACTGTTCTAAATTATGACAACTGTCACTCAGAAGTCTCTCAGTTGAACTTTCACTAAGGGTTCTGTCATCTTCAGGGTTGCTTCTTTAACTCTTCAGTCTAAATCACCATCATCTCTCTCCTAGCCCACTGCAGTCACCACTTAATAGATACACCCCACTGAACAACCCATCTCTCTTTACTTTTGTTCTCTTCTGATCTAAGCTCTATACAACCAGCAGTCAAATAAACTTTTTAAAATATTAACCTTATTTATTTTGTTTTTATTTATTTATTTTTTTGAGACGGAGTCTCGCTCTGTCGCCCAGACTGGAGTTGCAGTGGCGCGATCTCGGCTTATTGCAAGCTCCGCCTCGCAAGTTCACGCCATTCTCCTGCCTCAGCCTCCCGAGTAGCTGGGACTACAGGTGCCCACTACCACACCCGGCTAATTTTTTGTATTTTTAGTAGGGACGGGGTTTCACCGTGTTGGCCAGGATGGTCTCATTCTCCTGACCTCATGATCCGCCCGCCTAGGCCTCCCAAAGTGCTGGGATTACAGGCGTGAGCCACCGCGCAAGGGCCAAACTTATTTTTATGATATCTTTAAAACCCTTCAATGACTGCTGATGTATTTAAATCAAATTTAAAAATCAATAACAGTGCTTGTATAATCTTGCCTGACTCTTCCTCTTGCTTTTGCTTTGTATCACTCTCTCCTTCCATCACTGTACTTCAAACACACTGCCCACCATTCATTCCTCATACACTTTCAGCTTATCTTTTCAGTATTTTACCAGTTTAAATATAATTTTCAGAGATGCTTTGCCTGTTTGCCCAGTCTAAACTGGGTGTCCCTTTAATTTTCAGTCATAGAAGCTTATATTTTTTCTTTGTTGTACTTATCTCAGTTTCTAAATACATGTCAGTTTTTGTGGTGGTTTACTGTTTCCTCCTGCTCTGAACTGTAAAGACCATAAAGGTAGGGACTAGATCTCTTTTGTTCTCTGCTAAATCTTCTGCTTTATCAAAGTGCCTAATACATAGTAGAGGCTCATAAATATTTGGTGAAAAGGTGAATAAACACTCAAGAATAGCCTAATTATTTTAAGATTTGTTATGAAATTTTCTCAAAACAAAATTTACTAAATGTAATTTGCTTTAATCTTAAAAATCAAAGTTTTTATAATGTACTTTATAGTGGTAAAAAAATATAAAAGAAGTATTAAGAAATACAAGTATAGACTGGGATTAACATGTTATATATACTACAAATATTGGAGAAAAGACTTCAAATATGTTCTACTTCATGAAAAATATTTAATGAATAGTGACTTTTTCTGCTGATTCCAAATTTAGTTGGCATAACATAATAAAAAGTGAAAAATACCTGGCCTTAATCAATTTTCTCCTCAATTTTACTGTTCTCAGGTTAAACTTTGTTCTAAAGATAATAAAATGTCCAAAGCGTTAAGTAAAAATGGATTCCTTGACTATATGAAGAAGGGAAGATATAGTAATCTATTCACAAGATGTGACATCAGACTGGTTTTGTATATGTAAAGCAGGATGTACTCATTCATTAAAAAATATCTGCCTAAGAAGTACATGACTGTAAGGAAATTAGAAGTTCTGCTCACGAATTTATTAACTGACAAATCTCATAATTCAGTTATGTGCTGATGAAATATTCCTGACAAAATACCATGACAGGATTTGTTTTATTTACTCATCAAAGAAAAGCTCAGAACAAAATAAACAGGATAATCATGAAATTCAGGTAATTCAAGTTAAACCATATAGAGATGAGTTTGAGTGCATAATATACACACACATACATTTATATGTTAATGCCACTGAAGCAAAAAGTGTTTTCCTTAGCATTTTGAATTATACTCAAATTCTTCATTTAATTTTCCCTGTGTGGACACAGCCACTATGACACATATCTTCTCACATAAATTCTACTTGAAGATTACAATTAAATTGATACTTAGAGCTAATTTCACTATAATTTTGCTATATTTCTAAGTAAGAAACTACCTCTCCATTCACTCTCTCACCTAACTTCTTCAAATCCTTTGTGGAATGAGGCAGAGTAAAAATATTTAAAATAAAATAACATCCTAACTTGATCTATCTTTGTGAATGTTATAAATGGGGTCTTAACTAAAATGTATAAATCATTCTCCTTTGTGAGTCTTAATAGGCTTCTTTTTACCAGACGGAAGTAAAAGGTGAAAGTACATGCAACATGTGCTTGAAATGCTGCTGTCAAGGTTTTCATAAAATGATACACCTCTAAACATCCCATCACAGTTCAGATGTGTTGGGCCTGATATTTTTTAAAAAGTAGTAAAACAGCTAACTACAGGTATAGGCAGAAATCTGTTCCAGATTCTGCATAAAGGCTTCTTGAGACTTTTCTTAGTGATATTTAAAATAAAAAGCAGTACAGCATCCCAGAGCACAGAGTTAGAGAACATAAGGACCTACCCTATGTATGAAAATGACAAGATACTTCTAAGCCTAAATAATTGTGGTCTGAAAGCTAGGTGACAGAAATTGCCCACATTAGTTTACAGGACATCTCCTGGCCAGCAAAAGGCAAGATCAAGAAAAATAGATATAGTTCCCTTTACGGTAATCATTTACAAAGTACTGCTTTCCCAAAGCGTCTTTCACATAATTCATATTGCAACTCTGTGGTATAGGTATTAGTCTTCCCGTGTTGCAGATGAAGGAAATCATACCCTGAAAACTTATACAATTTGACCGGTATCTTCACTGCTGCCAAGTGACAGTCAGCTTTTGCCTCTGGTTCTTCACATGCCAAATATAGTGCTATTCCCACAACAACACCAGGATGTTACATCTACCAAGCTTAAGCTCCTAAGTGCTTTTTGAATCTTGTTTTTGCTCACACAGATTACATTCCTCAGGCCAGATTAAGTTCAACACTCCTGTCAAGAAAGACAATATAGTTGTGTAAGTGTGATTGGCAAACAGCATGGCTGTAGTATTTCAGGCCCTGAGATACACTGCCAGGATGGGGATATGGCCTTGAGTAAATGAATGCTATTCCTTGAGTCCCTTTAGGCAGATGCAATCTTCGTTTCATTTTGTTGAATTCTCTATTATTCATTGACTCTCATAGCTCTCCTCTCTTCCTGATCTTTTATTAAAATCTAACCTATTGTCTTAAGAGATAGTTCAAAATTAAGCCAAAATAAAACTAAAGTTCCTCAAATGTTCTTTGAATCAGTTTTATTATCCTTACTAATGAGTTCAATCTTGATACATGTCCATTCTACATTTGTATGAGAATCGTGTTTTTTAACATGTTTGAAAATTATATAAGCTCTTAACAATGTGCTATGTGTGCTTTTTCATAAATTCTTAATTCTCAAATCAATGCTATGAAGTAGTATTA
Organism: Homo sapiens; assembly: GCF_000001405.40. Lineage (NCBI taxonomy): Eukaryota > Metazoa > Chordata > Mammalia > Primates > Hominidae > Homo > Homo sapiens. Next base: position 74,891,833 of record NC_000001.11, read on the forward strand.
TTATTTCCACTTTATGTAGGAATACAGGCTCACAGAGTTGAAGTGACTTTACTGAATTTGCATAGCTAGAAAGTGGTAGAGATGGAAAAGGAATGTACAGGGAGGAGCTAAAATGGCTGACTAGATGCAACCAGGAAGAGCTTCTCCCACCAAGAGAGACCAGATGGTCAAGTACACCAGCACGCTCTGAATACATCTTCAGAAAGAAGGCATTGAGAGTGTACAGAGGAAAAAAGCAGACCCCATGATGAAAGGGGAAGGAGCTAGGAACACTGCAAGGAATTGCCAGCACCAGGGCTTATCCCTTGCCCTTAGCAGCTCCTACAGGAGTGAGTAAAATAGGTGTGGTGAGTAAAATAGAGCTTCTGCAGAAGGGGTGAGTAAAATAGAGTGGCACACTCTCACCACAGACCTCTGGAATCCTAGCTGCAGGAGAACTTCAATTATTAATGGAACATCAGCCCACACAGATGATAAAGAACCAGCTCAAGAACTCTGGCAACTCTAAAAGCCAAAGTGTCTTCTTACTTCCAAATAGCTGTACGCAGTGCAGCAGTGGTTCTTAACCACACTGAAAAAGCTGAAAGAACAGACAGAATTGAGAGTCTGGATAGTGGCAGGACGTGGTGGCTCATGCCTGTAATCCCAGCACTTTGGGAGGCCAAGGCAGGAGGATCACCTGAGTTCGGGAGATTGAGACATGCCTGACCAACATGGAGAAACCCCATCTCTACTAAAAATGCCAAATTAGCCAGGCATGGTGACACATGACTGTAATCCCAGCTACTCAGGAAGGCTGAGGCAGGAGAATCACTTGAACCCGGGAGGCAGAGGTTGTAGTGACTTGAGATCACACCATTGCACTCCAGCCAGGGCAACAAGAGCAAAACTCTGTCAAAAAAAAAAAAAAAAAACAAAGAAGAATCTGGATAGCAAGGAAGCTCACCAAAATATAGGACAACATTAAAGCCCAATCCAATAAAAACACTAGAACAGTCCAAGAGTTGAAAGACAACATAGTCATTTTAAGAAAGAACAAAACTAAAGTGGAAATAAAAAATTCACTACAGGAATTTCAGAATGCAGTTGGAAGTATTAATAACAGAATAGATCAAGGTGAGGAAAGAATCCCAGAGCTCAAATGAACCATTCCTTAAAATCAACACAGACAGAAAAAAAAAAATAAAGAAAAAAGAATTTTAAAAAATGAAGAAAACCTCCAAGAAATATGAAATTATATAAATGGACAAGACCTGTGACTCACTGGCACTCCTGAAAGAGATGGAGAAATAGTAAGCAACTTGGAAAACATACTTAAGAATATTGTACATGAAAATTTCCCCAACCTCACTAAAGAGGTTGACATGCAAATTCAGGAAGTTCAGAGAACCCCTGTGAGATACTGTACCAGACAACCATCCTCAAGACACATAGTCATCAGAGTCTCCACAGTCAACAAAAAAGAAAACAATCTTAAAGGCAGCTAGATTCATAAAACACATTTTTAGAGACCTACGAAAGGGGCAGCTCATGTACAAAAGGAACTCCATCAGAATAACAGCCGACCTTTCAACAGAAACCTTCCAAGCCAGAAGAAATTGAGGGCCTATATTCAGCATTTGTAAAGAAAAGAAATTCCAACCAAGAATTTCATATTCAGCCAAACTAAACATCATAAGTGAAGGAGAAATAAAATTCTATCCAGACAAGCAAATGCTATGGAAATTCATTACCACCAAACCTGCATTACAAGAGGTCCTTAAAGGATTGCTAAACATGGAAACAAAAGACCATTACCAGCCACCACAAAAATACACTTACTTACATAGACCACTGATAATATAAAGCGACTATACAATCAAGTCTATGTAACAACCAGCTAACCGCATGATGCTGAGTTCAAATTCTCACATGTCAATATTGCAATGTTCCAATTAGAAGACAGAGTGGTAAGTTGAATAAAAAAGCAAGAACAAAGTGTATTTTGTCTTCAAGAGACCCATTTCCTTATGACACCCATAGGCTCAAAATAAGGGGATGGAGAAAAATCTGCCAAGCAGACAGAAAACAAAAAAAAAGCATGGGTTGCTATTCTTATTTCAGACAAAACAGACTACCAACAATGATCAAAAAGGACAAAGAGCATTACATAACGGTAAAATATTCAACAAGAAGACTTAACTTTCCTAAATATATATGCAACCAACACTGGAGCTCTCAGATTCATAAAACACATTGTTAGAGACCTATAAAGAGACTTAAATAACCAAACAATAAGAGTGGGAGACATTCACACCCCACTGACAGCATTAGAATGAGGGTCAAAAAACTACCTATCTGGTACTGTGCTCACTAGCGGGGTGACAAAATCATTTGCACACCAAACCCTAGTGACACACAACTTACCCATGTAACAAACCTGCACATGTACCCCTGAACCTAAAATAAAAGTTGAATAGGGGAAAAAAAGTGGGAGAGACAATCTGTCTTATCTGGAGCCTTAGTCACAGTTACAAAGACCCTCTTACTAAAGCTTTAAATGGCCTCCTCTTCTCTGAGGTAAGGTAAGGCCATTGAGGAGCATAATAAGTATGAATATCCATGAACAAAGTATGATTTATTACTATGGGTTCATATCATAGGTTGATATAATACAAATCATTTACATATTCTTTTGATACATAATTATTGAGCACCTAATGTGTCAAGTCCTGTTTGTTGATTGAGGGAATACAGATGATTGGTGGTAAAAAGATAAGTCAGGCACAGATTTTATTAAGGAACTTACAGTCATAAATAAAAATAACTAAAAAGTAAAACAGAAGCAAAAAAATTAATGTTTATTTTCTGTGTTTATTCATTCAATGACTATTAACACCTAGTATGTGTTAGGTACTGTGCTGTATACTGGAGGTATGGCAAAGAATAAAACAGTAATAATCCTTGTCCTCACGGTGCTTTTATTTCACAAAAAGAGAAAAACATTAAGTAATTGTAAGCGTGACAAGTGTTTTAAAGGATACTTATAGTATGCTCTGCAAGCATGTACCTGGAGAATCCTATCTATTGGTGTTTTCTTTCTACTCTGAATCTTAAAAAATCTCAAAAATGCTGTAAATATCAATTTTATATTTAGATAAATATAAATTAATATCATTAAAAATACAAGATTAAAAGGGGCATGTTTCCTAAGAGATATAGACAAAGAAGTATAAGAATTCAGAGGAAAGTGGAATTGCTTCCAATAAGGGTGATAAAGGGACACTATATGGCCTAGTGACATTTGAAATGAGGAATGATATCAGAATGGTCCCGTATATCTCTTTTAGCATGACAAAACTGTCAGTTATATGCACTACAAATCCATCCACACCAGTTTCTCAACTGGAGGAAATGCTAAATCTTGATTTAAGTAAGGTATCTTCACTATCCCTACATACCCACTTCCCTATCTTTTGTCTTACAAGAAAAATAAATACTCCAAGACAGAGTGGTTAATCCCAAATCCACACCTAGTCCTTGCTGCCTTCTAGGTGCTGTTCACTTCCCCTCACAGTTAGGGGTAGCCATGTGGATAATTCCATCCATTTAGGATGCAACTGGAACTCTACAGGAGTAGGGATAGATTCTAGGAAAGCAGCTTCCTAATAAAACAAAGAATACCACTCGTTTTCTTTTCTTCCTGCCACGAAAGGAGATACAGTATCTGGAACTAGGTGGAAACTTAAAACTCAGCAGCTGTCTTATCACCATGAAAAGATGTCAAGAGCACAAAGAGATGGTGACACTAATATGGCTAAGCCACTAAACCACTGTTAGCAGCTGCTTATCTCCATACATCTTATAGTGTGAGGGGGGAAGTGTTCAAGTTCCTATAAATTAAGTTACCTGTCAATAGAAGCATCCTTACAGGATATAGTAAACGTTCCAGGAAAGAGACCAGAAAGCAAATTATTCTGAGAGAAAAGAAGGGATCAACATGAATATTAAAGAGCTGGTGAGTGTGAAAATGTAACACGAATGTTAGGAAAATACCAGCAAAGAGAGGATTTCTCCTTATCTAATCATGCGCTCTCTCTCCATTCATCCCAGAGTAATACTACTATTTATTTATCACATTCAGATCTTTTCCATTGGCTTTCTGTTTCGGCAGATGAAAATAACTCTTAATACCTCTTCCCAACCTAGTCTTTCTATATCCTCCCCATATGTTCACATTACAAGTTTTAATTAGTGATTACAGTTTACATTATTTTGACTACATAAATGATACCTACTTCAGAGTCAAGTGGTATACAGTGGATAATGGATACACATTGTCTTTTGTATAATTTTGTCTTTGTAGTCCTCCAGTATGGACTAGCTACTCTCTAGGCCTGATGCCCCATGGTCGTCAGGTACTCCCTTTTGTAGCTGTCTCATAGTAGATAAATATTCTTTGGGTTCTGTAGCTTTGTTTCACTTAGTCTTCTTCTTGTTTTGCTGCATAATCTCACAGCTTCCTATGAAGTTGTGCATGAGATGTAAATTTCCACTTTGCACTTCTGAACATTTTATTTATTCTATGCCCACACTTTACTAATATGTGGCTTAGGTACAGAATTCTGAATACTATTCTATTTTTCTTTATTATTAATTGCCACTGTTCTTTTTTTATGTAACTTACTTTCTTCTCTGTGAAATCTGGAGATTGTTTTAAATCCCTGATACTAAGAATTTGATGATTACATGCTTCAGTGTGAATATTTCTCACTTACTGTGGTGGGCATTTCCTGTGCCCTTTTATCCTACGGCAGTGATTTTCAAACTGTAGTCCCTAGGTCAGCAGCATCACTGTCATCTAGGAACTTGTTAGAAAAGAAAGATTTTGAGTGCCACCTTAGGCCTAATGAATCAGAAACTCTGGTGGTGAGGCCCAGAAATCTGTGTTTGAACAAGTCCTGGACATAATTCTGATGATGTATGCTAAAATTTGAGAGCCACTAATCTAGACACATACTCTTTAATTCCAGAAATTTTTCTTGAAGGTTTTCTTTTTTTGATAATTTCCTCCCCTCCATTCTCTCTATTTTCTTAGTCTGGAACTACTGTTAATTAGAGATGATAATCATGGATTGATACTCCAAGCCTCTTTTTCTTTCTTATTTTCAACCTCTTGGTCATTTTATCTTCTAGAATATTTCCCTGATTTTAACTTCCAACATTTTATCACTTTTTTTTTTTTCAAATTTTGACTATTTTTATTTTATTTCTAAGGGATTCTTCTTGTTCTCTGGTGTTCTTCATATCTAGCATCTCATTCTTATTTATGGAAGCCATGTCTATATTTATCTGTCTAAGGATCTTAGAGTCTGGGCAAAAGTTTTATTGTGCATGTTTTCTGTTTCCTCCAGATTGCTTTCATTTTCTACCTTTTTTTTTTTTTTTTTTTTTAAGACACAGTTTCACTCTGTCGCTCAGGCTGGAGTGCAGTGGCGCGATCTCGGCTCACTGCAACCTCCGCCTCCCGGGTTCAAGCAATTCTCCTGCCTCAGCCTTCCAAGTAGCTAGGATTACAGGCATGCACCACCATGCCCGGTTAATTTTTGTATTTTTACTAGAAACGGGGTTTCACCATATTGATCAGGCTGGGCTTGAACTCCTGACCTCGTGATCCACCTGCCTCGGCCTCCCAAACTGTTGGGATTATAGGCATGAGCCACCACGCCCGGCCTATTTTCTAGTTTCTTTTTCTCTCTTTCTCATGTCAGAGGCTTTCTCAAATACTCTGCCATCCTTAGAGAAGTAAGATTATCACAAATTTGTTTAATCTAGTTGCCACCTTGGCATCCACTTTTAGTCCTGACATAAGTTATTTGAATCCTAGTTGTACTCCATCACCTTTGGCCTGGTTAAAATTTCCCATCCCCGCATGGTTTTTTATGATATAACCTGCTTGTTCCTGATTTCACTGACCCAAAACCCAACACATCCCACACCTGCTGACCATGATAAAACCTAATGTTGAACACCTAAGTCATGTAAATAAGTTCTTATCTTTGCAAGTGTTTTCTTTGAACTCCAATCCATAACCCCCTTGTGAAAGCCTAAGGGAAAGCACCCCTCATCCTTAACAAAGGCATAGTCCTACAGGTCCTCTCTCTCTCTTTCTCTTTCTCCCCACCTGCTGGTTGAGCTCCCTGTCATCTCTCAACTTCCCATTGGTGCTCCTAACCTCTCTAGGTTTCCTCCATTTTATGCATTTTGGTTTTCCTTCCTCATTGTGTCTCACCTGACACACACACACATGAACCCAACTTTCTCCTCCAGTCAGGGGTCTCCTAAAGAGTAGCTATCTTAGCTTATGGCCACTCCCAACAAAGAGAGAAACCTCAAGACCAAATCAGAAAGAAACCATAATCATAGAAATCACAACAGGAGATAGGTACAACCCGTGACTTACTTTGGTTAAGAAAGTATGAGCAGAACTATGTCCTTGAGTGGTGAAGCTTCAAAAGTCAATTAGCAATTTGTCTTCCTCTTCTCTTGCCTAAGTAATTCTAGAAGCATATGTCAATACCAAGCCTCCATTAGCATGGGTGCCTGAGTGGCTGTGATAACCAAGAGTCCCTGGTGACTTGTGTATGACACAGATATCTTTAAATTGTTACTAGAGCATAACTGAACTTATCCTGACTGATAAAAGGGAGAAATCATGTACTGTTCAATAAATTAATCTGAGTCAATTGGGTATGCATAGGAAAAAACAAAATGGGATTCTTATCCCATCCCATACATAAAAATCAATTCCAACTAAATAAAAATTACATTAAAAGCTTTGGAACTTTTAAAGAAAACATAAATAAAGTATTTGTGACCTTAAAGTTGGAACTATATCTAAAAACAAAAACCTTATCAATAAAAGGGACATTGATCAACTCGGCATTAAAATTCAAGTTGTAGGTACAATACCAAAATCCTGATGCATAAAAGAAGAAAATGATAAATTATACTTTATCAAAGCTAACAACTTCTACTTCATGAAAGAAAAAAAAAAGGTGTAAGGAAGGGATCCAGTTTCAGCTTTCTACATATGGCTAGCCAGTTTCCCCAGCACCATTTATTAAATAGGGAATCCTTTCCCCATTGCTTGTTTTTCTCAGGTTTGTCAAAGATCAGATAGTTGTAGATATGTGGCATTATTTCTGAGGGCTCTGTTCTGTTCCATTGGTCTATATCTCTGTTTGGTACCAGTACCATGCTGTTTTGGTTACTGTAGCCTTGTAGTATAGTTTGAAGTCAGGTAGTGTGATGCCTCCAGTTTTGTTCTTTTGCCTTAGGATTGACTTGGCGATGCAGGCTGTTTTTTGGTTCCATATGAACTTTAAAGTAGTTTTTTCCAATACTGTCAAGAAAGTCATTGGTAGCTTGATGGGGATGGCATTGCATCTATAAATTACCTTGGGCAGTATGGCCATTTTCATGATATTGATTCATCCTACCCATGAGCATGGAATATTCTTCCATTTGTTTGTATCCTCTTTATTTCATTGAGCAGTGGTTTGTAGTTCTCCTTGAAAAGGTCCTTCACATCCCTTGTAAGGTGCATTCCTAGGTATTTTATTCTCTTTGAAGCAATTGTGAATGGGAGTTCACTTAGGATTTGGCTCTCTGTTTGTCTGTTGTTGGTGTATAAGAATGCTTGTGATTTTTGTACATTGATTTTGTATCCTGAGACTTTGCTGAAGTTGCTTATCAGCTTGAGGAGATTTTGCACTGAGACGATGGGGTTTTCTAGATATACAATCGTGTCATCTGCAAACACGGACAATTTGACTTCCTCTTTTCCTAATTGAATACCCTTTATTTCCTTCTCCTGCCTGATTGCCTTGGCCAGAACTTCCAACACTATGTTGAATAGCAGTGGTGAGAGAGGGCATCTCTGTCTTGTGCCAGTTTTCAAAGGGAATGCTTCCAGTTTTTGCCCATTCAGTATGATATTGGCTGTGGGTTTGTCATAGATAGCTCTTATTATTTTGAGATACATCCCATTAATACCTAATTTATTGAGAGATTTTAGCATGAAGCATTGTTGAATTTTGTCAAAGGCCTTTTCTCCACCTATTGAGATAATCATGTGGTTTTTGTCTTTGGTTCTGTTTATATGCTGGATTACATTTATTGATTTGCGTATGTTGAACTAGCCTTGCATCCCAGGGATGAAGCCCACTTGATCATGGTGGATAAGCTTTTTGATGTGCTGCTGGATTCGGTTTGCGAGTATTTTATTGAGGATTTTTGTATCAATGTTCATCAAGGATATTGGTCTAAAATTCTCTTTTTTGGTTGTGCCTTTGCCAGGCTTTGGTATCAAGATGATGCTGGCCTCATAAAATGAGTTAGGGAGGATTCCCTCTTTTCCTATTGATTGGAATAGTTTCAGAAGGAATGGTGCCAGCTCCTCCTTGTACCTCTGGTAGAATTCAGCTGTGAATCCATCTGGTCCTGGACATTTTTTGGTTGGTAAGCTATTGATTATTGCCTCAATTTCAGCTCCTGTTATTGGTCTATTCAGAGATTCAACCTCTTCCTAGTTTAGTCTTGGGAGGATGTATGTGTCGATGAATTTATCCATTTCTTCTATATTTTGTAGTTTATTTACATAGAGGTGTTTATAGTATTCTCTGATGGTAGTTTGTATTTCTGTGGGATCGGTGGTGATATCCCCTTTATCATTTTTTATTGCATCTATTTGATTCTTCTCTCTTTTCTTCTTTATTAGTCTTGCTAGCAGTCTATCAATTTTGTTGATTTTTTCAAAAAACCAGCTCCTGGATTCATTAATTTTTTGAAGAGTTTTTTGTGTCTCTATTTCCTTCAGTTCTGCTCTGATCTCAGTTATTTCTTTCCTTCTGCTAGCTTTTGAATGTGTTTGCTTTTGCTTTTCTAGTTCTTTTAATTGTGATATTATGGTGTCAATTTTAGATCTTTCCTGCTTTCTCTTGTGGGCATTTAGTTCTATAAATTTCTCTCTACATACTGCTTTGAATGTGTCCCAGAGATTCTGGTATGTTGTGTCTTTGTTCTCGTTGGTTTCAAAGAAAATCTTTATTTCTGCCTTCATTTCATTATTTACCCAGTAGTCATTCAGGAGCAGGTTGTTCAGTTTCCATGTAGTTGAGCGTTTTTGAGCGAGTTTCTTAATCCTGAGTTCTAGTTTGATTGCACTGTGGTCTGAGAGGCAGTTTGTTATAAAGGCTTAAATGTTAGACCCAAAACCATAAAAACCCTAGAAGAAAACCTAGGCATTACCATTCATGACATAGGCATGGGCAAGGTCTTCATGTCTAAAACACCAAAAGCAATGGCAACAAAAGCCAAAATTGACAAATGGGATCTAATTAAACTAAAGAGCTTCTGCACAGCAAAAGAAACTACCATCAGAGTGAACAGGCAACCTACAGAATGGGAGAAAATTTTCGCAACCTACTCATCTGACAAAGGGCTAATATCCAGAATCTACAATGAACTCAAACAAATTTACAAGAAAAAAGCAAACAACCCCATCAAAAAGTGGGCGAAGGATATGAACAGACACTTCTCAAAAGAAGACATTTATGCAGTTAAAAAACACATGAAAAAATGTTCATCATCACCAGCCATCAGAGAAATGCAAATCAAAACCACAATGAGATACCATCTCAAACCAGTTAGAATGGTGATCATTAAAAAGTCAGGAAACAACAGGTGCTGGAGAGGATGTGGAGAAATAGGAACACTTTTACACTGTTGGTGGGACTGTAAACTAGTTCAACCATTGTGGAAGTCAGTGTGGTGATTCCTCAGGGATCTAGAACTAGAAATACCATTTGACCCAGCCATCCCATTACTGGGTATATACCCAAAGGATTATAAATCATGCTGCTATAAAGACTCATGCACACATATGTTTATAGCGGCACTATTCACAATAGCAAAGACTTGGAACCAACCTAAATGTCCAACAACAATAGACTGGATTAAGAAAATGTGGCACATATACACCATGGAATACTTTGCAGCCATAAAAAATGATGAGTTCATGTCCTTTGTAGGGACATGGATGAAGCTGGAAACCATCATTCTTAGCAAACTATCGCAAGGACAAAAAACCAAACACCGCATGTTCTCACTCATAGGTGGGAATTGAACAATGAGAACACATGGACACAGGAAGGGGAACATCACACACCATGAACTGTTGTGGGGTGGGGGGAGGGGGGAGGGATAGCATTAGGAGATATACCTAATGCTAAATAACAAGTTAACGGGTGCAGCACACCTACAGGGCACATGTATACATATGTAACAAAACTGCACGTTGTGCACATGTACCCTAAAACTTAAAGTATAATAATAATAAAATTTAAAAAAAAGAAAGAAAAAAAAGACAGAAAATATTTGCAAGTCACATACTTGATTAAGAACTTGTATTCAGAATATATAAAGAATTTTTTCAAAATTTAATTGTAAGAAACTAACACAATCTAATTTTTTTAATGGACAAAGATTTGAAAGATACTTCATCAGACAAGATACATGGATTACAAATAAGCACATTAAAAAAAGTCAACATCATTAGTTATTAGGGAATTGCAAATCAAAATCACAATGTGATACCACTACCTGGCCATTTGAATGGATAAAATAAAAAAGTCTGATTATGCTAAGTGTTGATAAGAATGTGGAACAACTGGTACTCTCAAATGCTACTGATGGGAACGTAAAATTGTACAATGACTTTGACAGTCTGTGAGTACTATAGAGTTAAATACAACTACCATGTGGTCCAGTCATTCCACTTCTAGGTATCTATGCCCCCAAAATGAAAGCATATGTCCATATAAAAGCTTGTACATGAATGTTACTAGCAGCTTTATTTGTAGTTGGCAAAACTAGAAACAATACAAATGCTTGATACGTGAATTAATAAGCAAATTGTGGAACATTGCTGCAATGAGAAACTACTTAGTAATGAAAGAGACAAACTACTAATACATACAACAACATAATGATGCTTAATGAAAGAACACAAAACATCTTCCTCTCCAAAACAAAGAGTACATGTTATATGATTCCATTTACATAAAACTCAGAAATGCAGACTAATATATAATGGCAGAAATTAGACCCATCGTTTTCTGGAAGAGGATACATGAAGAGATAGAAGGGAAAGTTACCAAGTGACAGGAGAAAACTTTTGGATGTGATTTTCTTGATTGTGGTAATTTTTCACAGTTGGACAAACATGTCAGAACTTCCCAAGTCATACAATTGAAATATTGATTGTTTTCTTTTTTCCAGTTTTAGTGAAATAAGTAGTTTTCTTTTATGTCAATTATACTTCCAAAAATCTAGCAGTAGGAAAGTAAAAACACATAAGTAAACACATACACATATACACACACATGAATGCATTATGAAATCTCTGGTTTCTTACAAGCTACCAGAGAGAAAAGACAATTTTTCTAAAAAGAAAATTACAAGATTAACTGAAAATGTTTCATGAGCAACAGTAGGTGCAGGAAGACAGTAAAGTACTATCTCCAAACTAATTAGGAAAAATAACCATCAGCCTAGAATTCTATACCTAAACTATCATATAAGAGTGAGGGCAAAATATTGACTAGATATTAATAAGATATAAAGACAAAGAGTGTTTAATACCTACAAACTCTCACTGAAAATTACCAAAACATACACTTCACAAAGGAAAAATGGAAACCTAAAAAAAAGAAGTAGGATTGAAAAAGCACTGGTGACCAAATAAGACTAGTCCTTGTCTTGTTGAGGAGATGGTAAGAGAAACTGGTAAAATTAATCACTTAGGAAAAATATGACATTAAAACTGTTAAAATGTTAACCAATTATAGAAAAGAAATAGAATATGTAACCATCAAACTAGAAAAGAAAAAAGTGGTAATCAAAAGAAATGCTACTAATAAAACAGAAAGCAGGAAAAAAAAAAGAAAAAGAAAAAGGGCTATAAGTAGAGAACATTAAAAAAATGGTGATACTAAAAAGATAAGTAGAAAACTTCAGTAATCACAATAGATATAAATTAAATACACTGACTCAATATGAGGCACATTCTCTTTTGCAAACAACATGCCTAAAACAAATGAGAAAATTCTTTAAAAATATGAAAATAAAGGAACAGAGAAGTATATATAGATTCAAAATAGAATTTTTAGAGTGTGCAAAGCTAATACAATGAAATACAGATCATGTTTAAAAAAATTTTGTCCTAAGTTAGAATGAAGAAAATTGATGATTTAAATAAAAAATATAACTCTATGAATAAAGTGTGTAAAACAAGATATAGTCTAAAACAAATTAAGATCTATACTTCTAAATAATGCATTAGTAAAAAGATATCTATTAACATTTGAAAATAGTTTGAATTGAGCAGAAACAAAAGAACTGGATACCAACATGGGTGAACTACAGCTAAAATTACATGTGGAAGGAAATTTACAGCCTTAAATGCATATATTAAATTAAATTACTGAAAATTAATGAGTTAATAAATATATATTGCAAGAAGAAACGTTCATCTGAATTTGGGGGCTCTATTAGTAGTTCATTTTGATGGCCATATGCTAGTACGTTATTTGAATATACTAAAATATATTTATTCTCTTTCAGAGAGCATTTGGGTTTTTTCAAATTGTTGTTATTGTAATATTGCAATAGACTATTATATTAATACATAACTCCTGTAGTAAAAGTTTGAGAGTTTCTCTTAGGCAGATATCTAAGAATAGAATTGTTGAAGTGTAGGGTTTGTGAATATTCAATATTACAAGATAATGCCAAACTACTTTCTAAAATGGTTATACTAATTTATGTTCCAGCAGTAATTTAGATACTCCAATTCTTCCTAATATTTGCCAATCAAAAGAATGTAAAATTCAAATGTGAAATGGCATCTCAATGTGGTTTTGAGTTGTATTTCCCAACTTGAAGAGGTTTAATATCTCTTTAGGTCTTGATTAGTCACAATTTTTTCTAGTTCATGGGTTATTCTTATCTTTCTATTGAGTTGTTTACACTTTTTGTAGTTCTTTTTTATAGTCTTGATTCTAATCCTTTGAAAATTTTATTTGCTATAAATACTATCTCCCAGTTTGTAACATATATTGTTTTTAATTTTTTTATATTTTGGTAAAATACACATTACATAAAATTTATCATTTTAACCATTTTTAAGCATTCAATTCACTGGTATTAAGTATATTCACCTGTTGTGTAACCATCACCACTATCACCAGAACTTTTTCATTATTCCAAAGTGAAAGTTTATACCCACTAAACAATACCTTCCCATTACCCTTCTTCCTAGCCCCTGGTAACCATTGCTCTCCTTTCTGTCTTTATAATTTTGACTATTCTAGGTAACTCATATGAGTGGAAAAACATAATATTTGCCCTTTTGTCTCTGGTTTATTTCACTTAGCATAATGTTTTCAAGGTTCATCCACTTGCACAATAATGTTCCATTATATGCATATGTTACATTTTATTTATCCATTTATCTGTCGATGGATATTTGGGTTATTTCCAGCTTTTGGCTATTGCTAATAATGCTGCTCTGAACATTCGTATATAAATATCTGAGTCTCTGCTTTCTATAACATGTATTTTGTACTTTATTTAAAGTTTCTTTGATAGAGATATTAATTTTATAGAGTCTTGTTAGCAGATCATTCTCTACCCCAAGATCAAAATGGTATTTAGCTATATTTTCTTTATGCAGCTATATGTAGTAATACAATGATGGTTATAATGCTCAGATTAGTGGTATCTTTTTGATAAAGTTAAAAGCAATCAAAATGTTATTTTAAAGGAATACATATATATGAAAAAACATTTTAAAACATTAAAGAAGTGATGAAAGACAAGATTCAGGATAGTGCTAGTGGGGATGGGTAATGGGACAGAGATGTGTTGGGGTAGGAGGAAACAGAAAGTAGAAAGATGAATGTTAAAGGAATCGGAAAAGAAGAAAAAAATCATTATTCACAGATAGTATAATTGTGTATGTCTATAATCAAAACAATATTAAAAATTGTTAGAGTCTTTAAGGTTTGTGGATATAAAAATCTATAAACAAAACCAATTAGGTCTCTATATACTAGCAACAAAGTTAGAAAATGACATGTTTCAAAAATATGTCATTTAAGACAGTAAAAAAAATGGCATACATAGCAAGATGTGCAAGACCCTTATAGAAAAATTATAAACTTTACTGAAAGACAATAAATGGAAAGATACATTGTGTGCATAGGTTGGAAAAAAAATCATTATTTTAAAGATGTCAATTTTCTCCTGATGGATCTATAGACTTAAAGCAATCCCAGACAAAATCTTAAACAGATGCTGTGAGTGTATGTATGTGTATGTGTGTGTCCATATGCAGGACTTCCACAGCATAGTCAATAGTACTTGAAAATTCACAAGACCAAGAACAGCCAAGATCTCCCAGAGAAGAAAATGCATCCAGGGATGAAAATGTACTATAAAGCTACAGTAATTAAGACCATGTAGGATTACTGCTTAAGGAGTTAATTATATATTAAGAAATGGCAGCAAAAAATACAAACTACTCAAATTCTATCTTATTTCTATATGTTCCTTAATATTTGTTTATTTTTAATAGGGTATTGGGCCATGTTTCTATTAATTAATAATGACTAAACAAAAAAGTGTTGATGGATGTCAACTTGAAAGGGAGTTATGCTATAAAACTCTGTTCTTATGCTTTTTATATTTAATATTCTTAAACAGCATGGAAGGATAAAATATTATTTTCACAAAATTATCTTGACAGTTATATTCTTCAGTTATGTTCTCTCACAATTTTGACAATTATTTTCTTCAACTTTGCATATACTATGCACTTTACAAAGCACAATTTTATAGACATTATCATATGTAATCTTTACAACAAACCTATGAAATAAGGAAAGGACGTAATTTGCGGTGGAATAAGTTTGAATCTATTATTGCCCTGAAGCCAACAGCATATAATGGCCTGAATTAGGTTTAAAAAATGAATTATACAAATACAGAAGGAAGGGATCTAGTTTAATGGCAATTTTTAGATGGAGTTGAAAAGGAGCCTTAACATGAGAAGAGATAATAATAAACAGAATTAATGAAAGTGTTTTAGACTGTTCAATAGTAGCAAAATATCCAATTTAAGGGAAGTGATGGCAAGCTGTACTCTGCATTGGTCAGATAATACTGGAATGCTACGTTCAGATCTAGGCACCATGTTTCAAGGCACATTAATATACTAAATAACATCTGTAAGAGGAAGATTAAAATGTTTAAAAAATTTAAACTATTATCAGAGGAATGGATGAAATTAACCTGGAACATGAAATCTCTCATCAAATATTTTAAAAAGGATCATGTTAATAGAGAAATAGAATTATTTAATGTTGGCTCAAATAGATATATGGACAACAGATGAAAATTATAGAAATACAGATTTTGCCTCAGTAAAGAGAAACTTTTTTAATTCAAAGTGTTCGTTCAACTTAAACTTCAGTTTTGGTATTGTGCAGATTAAATATCCAGATGAGTGCCTGACTGTTTTTTCTTATTTATTGAGTCATGACATGCATAAAATAAAAGTGCGCTTATCTTAGATTTACAGTTCAATGAATTTTTACATTTGTAAACTACCATACAAATCAGCATGGAGTACATTTTCTACCACCCCAGAGATAAGTACTGTACTGTCATGGGGTTCATAATCTGGAGAAGAAGTTAAGCTATAAGGGAGGTTCTGAAGCTCTATGAGAGCATCTAACAAGGAACTTAATTTCATTAAGGAGTCAAGTATCCCAAGGAAGAGGCATTTAAATAGAGACTTGAGAGATTAGAAGTTAACCTGGCAAAGGATCATTTTGTTTGGGACTTTTTTGCAAGGTTGGTATAGCATGTGCAAGTCCCACCATTCAAAAGGTAAGAGACAGCATGTAATGTTTAAGAAACAGAAACAACTATGAAGGAAAACATGGAATAAGAATTCAGGTAAGTAAGTACCATACAAGTTTAGTGTTCCCTTTAGCTGATCCTGAATAGCTTCTGACACTTCCACATAATATTGATGAGAAATAAACTACTTGATTGGAACAAACCAAAGAATATAGTAATTTTTCTCCTTATGTCTGAGTTTTCCAGAACCTTCTCTCTAGGCCAAAGCCTCCCTTTCCTAACTCTGCTCTTACAACTCCTTCCCAGTATCTTCATATTTTATTTCCTACATCTCATGTTTCCTATTCTTTCCAGTTGCTTGTATATAAATATTTCTCTTGGGATTCTCTATGTTTTAAAGCAAAAGATTTCTTCAAGAACAAAAAAAAAGGTGAAAAAAAGAACTGATACTTTGTTAGGAAACATATTTATGGACTAAACTTTATTAAATTAGATCATTTGTCCCAGTCTAGGAAAGCAGTCTTATCAAACTTCTATTAATTATTAGCCACAAAAGTCCAATGTTCTTACTAAGAAAATAAGAGCCACTGTAAATTAGAACTTCAAAATCTTTTTCATATTCCTTTCCATTGTATTCCACTTTTTGTGGCATGTTCTAATTATACATTTCTAAAAATTGTAATAAGAGCTAAAATTCATAAAAACCTTAGCCTGAATGAGGCCTTTTTCTAAAATCTTTATGTGTATTTAATTATGTAATTCTTAAAACAATCCATGAGGTAGATAACTATTATTATGACTATTTAACAGATGACTATTTAACAGATGAGAATACCGAAGCACAAAAAGGATGAGTAAATTGTTCAGGATCATATAGTTGGTAAGAAACAGAGTCTAACCAAGGCAATTTGGCTTCAGATCCTCAAATACTAAAAGAGTATTTGTTAATTACTATGATGAAAAATTGCAACTGTAGAAATATCTGGTTTGCAGAGTGTCTTCTATATATCATTGAGGCCATTCATGGAGTACTTGTGAATTGTCATATGTATTTTCTTGCCTAAATAATCCCCATAAAGAATTTCTGAAAAGGGCAAAAATCTAACTTCCCTTTTTCAATAAACTCTATTTCCCAACATAGAAGAAGGGTGGTTAGAAGATATCATGGAGTCTCTTAGGCTGTGGCTCTCAGGAACTGTGGCAAGAGGAGAAAGACTTCCTGTTCTTATAGCCAAGAGCAATCTTAAAGAGGGAGGTTGGTCATAGGATTTCTACCTCTGTCTTTGTCATCTTGATTCCTTTGGATCAGCCCTATCTCCCACCTTTACCCCACTTCTCATACCCCGCCCAACCCCAGGTTCCCAGTGTCCTGGACTGCTGCCTTTTTCACTGTGACCTAAAGCACCTTTCCAATACCGTCCCAACTCTGACCCTCTTCTTCAAGAATATGCCAACTAATCTGCCAAACTACCCTGTGTATTAACTAATGATGCAGTAGTCTCTTATATCCTTGCTGTAATATAATAATAAAAGCATTAGAATTGGAGTCAGATGCTTCCATTTCCCACTAACTATATGACCTGGGCAGGTTATATAACTTCTCTGAACCTCAGTTCCTCATTGCTAATAAAATAACAATGGCCTATAGAATTTTCGTAAAGAATTTTGCATCTTATAAAGTACTAGAAAAATACATTAGTTCATTGACATGTCAGTCAAAAACTCTTTAAGAGAGTCTTGTATCTGGAGATGTCTTAACCCATAGGATAAATATTTATGATAGGAATGTTAGGTGATGTAGGTAGCTGATACAGGAGTTAATTAGGGGACTGAGATGATCTTTCTGCATTCTTCAAAACACATATCAAAACCAGATGTCTCTTATTCCCATATAGCTCTATATGGTAATCAGGTGCACAATTGATATTATATGAATGTATCTACCATAGTGAACGTTTATCCCCCAATCTGTTAGCAAATATAGTCTGAATTGGGGTGGGAGGACTGGGGGCAAGTCGACTGCTTTGGTTTTGTACTGTCCTAATCAGCCCTTATAACAGTAAATTGTTCTACATATATATCCTAATGAACATTAAGCCTCAAAGAAGTTTCATAGACATTTTGGCAAGATGTCTTCATGTAGTACAAACCTCAGATCACTACTGGAAGGCTGTTTTGTGTTTTTGAATAGCTGAAAATATACTGCCTATTTCTAAATTGCAATTAACTATTGTTTTCTTAGGCATGAGTCATTGAATTTGGTCATATGCCACCTCTGAATTCATTGATATAAATTTGTATTCACAAATATTAATAGCAGAATATAATCCACAACCTTTATCCACACAAATTGCAGTAAATTACAGTTCACTAAATTGCTCTAAGAGGAAAAAAGAAATGGTCATGGATTTCATAAAGTGAATACATTATTACTAAAATAATTACAGATTTGTCACCTCAAAAATATCCAGTAGCAACTTTTCCTCAAAACTAATCGGGATTAAGTAAAGATACTTTCAGCCCATATTATATATCATCAACTTTATAGCTACCAAATCCCTTTTTTTGAGGGGGGTATTTACTTTAGAAAAGTTGGTCCTTTTTCTTTCTTCTGAAGAAAAAATAATGTATAAAAAGGAATATTAAAACATGTTTATAAATGCATTAATTTCATTTGTAGAAAATTATATGCCACTGATGTTATATAACTATTATTTAATGTCATGTTATAGAATTGTGGTTTATCATTAACTAACAAGAAATATAATCCATTTACTATAGAGAATTTGATGTATTTTAAAACTGTAGCAAAAAAAGTCAGTTTTTTGTTTATTTTGCTTTTGAAGTAGTACCCTCCTGAACAAGCTAAAGTTTCACAAGAAAAACTTTTTGAGCAAGCTTCCACTATCCTGTGCTAACTTTCATGTTAAATAAATTATATATACACAAAGCATATGTAAATGCTCACACAATATACAAGTTTGTTATATATTAAGTTTGAATCAGAAACGACCGAATACATTCTTATCTCAGCATAAGACTTAAAAAAGGACATTAAAATCTATGCTTAGTGTTGAGTAACTGAACAAATGGTGACTGATAAGATTTTCCTGGAGGCCAAGAACAATAGACACCGGATGGAAACACAAGGATGGAAACTAAGAATTATTCCGTAAAATAAAATAGTAATCAAAATGTTTGTCAACAAAAGTCTGTAGATCTCTGTTTTAATGACTTTCAGTGCTAGCTAGAAGTGATCCAAGTTTGCTTCCGGACCTTTTACTTTCTGCAGTTATACAGCCAAAAGTTCATCAAAAACTGATGGGTCCTATAGCGCGTTCTATTGTTTTATGTAAGCCCAGTTCATAGGGGGAAAGTCACAAGGTGTTGATTTTTAATGCTAATTTTGATTTCTAATGCTTACAATAAATTAAGTCAACCACTTTGTAAGTTCTGTACTGCCATACATCATCTAAACTGCTCAGTGAGGATAAAACATTTTAGAAGCTTATAATTCATACAGTATGTTTTGATTATTTTATACAAACAAAACTAAAACAGCAAAAGGGAAATTGTTGTGTGGTTTAAGGCCACATAATCTGGTTTCAGCTCTTGTCTTTGCCTGAGTTAAAGGCATACTCATTAACTTGAAACAATAAACTCAAATTTTATGTCTCTGGAGAAAATTTAATTCAGGACTTTCGCAGTATCAATGGTAAATATTACACGCAGGCTCAATATGATTTTATACAGATATATAGGACATATAGGTAAAGTAGGCAGTGCCAAAATTTTAAATGAGCAACAGATATATTCATATCATTATCTTATATATGTGTACCAGCCCCTTACATGCACACAAAGTTTTCTAGCTTTTATAGTTTCCTAGCTTTCTCAGTGCTGAATTATAAGCTGTGGTTGTAACTTGAACATTTATTTAGACTAGAAATGTGGAGTAAGATTGAAATAGTATTAATTAAATACCACATTTAGAAAAACTGCGCCATGCAAAAGTCACTAAAAAAAATAACTATCCATCTGAGGTTTATAATAAAAAAGAAATGGCAAAGGCTAATAAACAACCTCCTAACACCTTAGCCAGATGTGATGGAATTAGACAAGGCATTAACACAGAGAAAAGATAAAAAGATGGAATTTTTTGTGAGTATTTTTTTGTCTATTTACAAAACTAAAGTGAGTTAAATTTAATGAAAGAAATAGTAGGATGCAGCATATTGAAAAGAGAAGGATGCATTGTAGAAAAGAGTAGAAAATAAAAGAAAATATCTAGAAGGCAATGAGGCTGAGGGAGAAATAAATGATTTTCACATATAAGAGCAGACCACAGTTCAGCATATATTTCACTCATGTATTTGACTCTTAAACCTAGTCAAATTGTTTAACTCGTGAACACATAAAATAAGGCTATAAACAGTCAAGAGAATAATGAAACTTAGTGATTTAAAGCAAAATTATACTTTTTCCATACTAGTTGCACTATTATTCTTTGGAATGGAAAGGTTGGAAATATGTAATTCATACTGGACTGGTCATTGCGTATTTTTTCAGAAAAAATTCATATATTCAGTCTGGATTTTTTTTAACTTTTATATTAGGCTCAGGGGTACATGAGCAAGTTTGTTATACAGGTAAATTCATGTCATGGGGGTTTGGTGTACAGATTTTTGTCACCCAGGTACTAAGCCTGGTACCCAATGGTTATTTTTTTCCAATCCTCTCCTTCCTCCCACCCTCCACCCTCAAGTATGCCCCAGTGTCTATTGTTCTTCTCTTTGTGTCCATATGTTCTCAATGTTTAGCTCCCACCTATAGGTGAGAACATGTGGTATTTAGTTTTCTGTTCCTCTGTTAGTTTCCTGAAGATGATGGCCTTCAGCTCCATCCATGTTCCTGCAAAGGACAGGGTCTCATTTTTATGGCTTGCATAGTATTCTATGGTGTATATGTACCATATTGTCTTTATTCAGTCTACTGTTGATGGGCATTTAGGTTAACTCTGTGTCTTTGTTATTGTGAATAATGCTACAATGAACATATGTGTGCACGTGAGAATAATTTATATTCCTTTGGGTATATACCCAGTAATGAGTTGCTGGGTGTATTAGTCCATTTTCGTGCTGCTGATAAAGACATACCCAAGACTGGGAAGAAAAGGAGATTTAATGGACTTACACTTCCACATAGCTGGGGAGGCCTCACAATCATGGCAGAAGGCAAGAAGGAGGAATTCACATCTTACATGGATGGTGTCAGGCAGAGTGAGCTTGTGCAGGGAAACTCCAGTTTTTAAAACCATCAGATCTCATGAGACTCATTAACTATCACAAGAACAGCCCAGGAAAGGCCTGCCCCCAGAATTCAGTCATCTCCCACTGGGTTCCTCCAGTGACATGTGGGAACTGTGGGACTTACAAGTCAAGATGAGATTTGGGTAGGGACACTGCCAAACCATATCATTCCACCCCTGCCTCCTCCCAAATCTCATGTCCTCATATTTCCAAACCAATTATGCCTTCCCAACAGTCCCCCAAAGTCTTAACTCATTTCAGCATTAACTCAAATGTCCACAGTATAGTCTCATCCGAGACAAGGCAAGTCCCTTCTGCCTATGAGCCTGTAAAATCAAAAGTAAGTTAGTTACTTCCTAGATACAATGGGGGTATAGGCATTGTGTAAATACAGCCATTTCGAATGGGAGAAATTGGCCAAAACAAAAGGGCTACAGGCCCCATGCAAGTTCAAAATCCAGCGGGGGAGTCAAATCTTAAAGCTCCAAAATGATCTCCCTTGACTCCATGTCTCACATCTGGGTTACACTGATGCAAGAGGTAGGTTCCCATGGTCTTGGGCAGCACTGCACCTGTGGCTTTGCAGGGTATAGCCTCCCTCCTGGCTGCTTTCACAGGTTGGTGTTGAGTGTCTGTGGCTTTTCCAGGCACATGGTGCAAACTGTCGGTGGATCTACCATTCTGGGGTCTGGAGGATGGTGGCCTTCTTGTCACAGCTCCACTGGGTGTTGCCCCAGTCGGGACTCTGTGTGGGGGAAAAGGAAAGTGACCTCACATTTTCCTTTTACACTGCCCCAGCAGAAGTTCTCCATGAGAGCTCTGCTCCTGCATCAAAATTCTGCCTAGACATCCAGGTGTTTCCATACATCCTCTGAAATCTAGGCGGAGGTTCTCAAACTCAATTCTTGTCTTCTGTACACCTGCAGGCTAAACACCACATGGAAGCCTCCAAGGTTTGGCGCTTTCACCTTCTGAAGCCACAGCCCAAGCTGTACCTTGGCCTTTTTTAGTCATAATTGGAGCAGCTGGGATGTGGGGCACCAAGGCCCTAGATTGCACCCAGCATGGGGACCTGGGCCCAGCCCATGAAACCACTTTTTCCTCCTAGACCTCCAGGCCTGTGATTGGAGGGGCTGCTGTGAAGACCTCTGGCATGTCCTGGAGACATTTTCCGCATTGTCTTGGGGATTAACATTTGGCTCCTCATTACCTATGCAAATTTCTGCAGCCAGCTTGAATTTTTCCTCAGAAATTTCCCCTCAGAATTCTTCAGAAATTTTCTTCAGAAATTTTTCTTTTCTATCACATTGTCAGGCTACAAATTTTCTGAACTTTTATGCTCTGTTTCCCTTTTAAAACTGAATGCCTTTAACAGCATCCAAGTCATCTCTTGAATGCTTTGCTGCTTAGAAATTTCTTCCACCAGATATCCCAAATCATCTCTCTCAAGTTCAATGTTCCACAGATCCTTAGGGCAGGGGCAAAATGCCATCAGTATCTTTGCTAAAACATAACAAGAGTAACCTTTGCTCCAGTTCCCAACAAGTTCCTCATCTCCATCTGAGACCACCTTAGCCTGGATTTCATGGTCTGTATCATTATCAGCATTTTGGTCAATGCCATTCAACAAGTCTCTAGAAAGTTCCAAACTTTCTCACGTTTTCCTGTCTTCTTCTGAGCCCTCCAAATTATTCCAACCTCTGTCTGTTACCCAGTTCCAAAGCTGCTTCCACATTTTCGGGTATCTTTTCAGTCATGCCCTACTCTACTGGTACCAATTTACTGTATTAGTCTGTTTTCACACTGCTGATAAAGACATACCTGAGACTGGGAAGAAAAAGAGGTTTAATGAACTTACAGTTCCACATGGCTAGGGAGGCCTCACAATCATGGTAGAAAGCAAGGAGGAGCAAGTCATGTCTTACATGGATGGCAGCAGGCAAACAGAGAGCTTGTATGGAGAAACTCCCATGTTTAAAATCATCAGATCTTGTGAGACGCATTCACCAACATGAGAGGAGCACAGGAAAGACCCATCTCCATGATTCAATCATCTCTGCCAGGTTAATCCCACAACACATGGGAATTGTGGGAGTTACAATTCAAAATAAAGTTTGGGTGAGGACATAGCCAAACCATATCACTGGGTCAAATGCTAGTTCTGCTTTTTAGGTCTTGGAGGAATCGTCACGTTGCTTTCCACAATGGTTCAACTAATTTCCACTGCAACCAACAGTGTATAAGTGTTCCCTTTTCTCTGTAACCTCGCCAGCATCTGTTATGTTTAGACTTTTTAATGATAGCCATTCTGACTGGTGTGAGATGGTATCTTATTGTGGTTTTGATTTGCACTTCTCTAATGATTGGTGATACTGGTTTTTTATTCATGCTTCTTGGCTACATGTATGCCTTCTTTGGAGATATGTCTGTTGATGTTCTTTGCCCACTTTTTAATGGGGTTGTTGGCTTTATTCTTGTAAATTTGTTTAAGTTTCTTATAGATGCTGGATATCAGTCCTTTGTCAGATGTATAGTTTGCAAATATTTTCTCCCATTCTGTAAGATGCTTGCTTATTCTCCTTTTTTTTATTATTTGTTATTATAATTTAAGTTCTAGGATATATGTGCACAAGGTGCAGGTTTGATACATAGGTATACATGTGCCATATTGGTTGCTGCACCCACCAATTCATCATTTACATTGGGTATTTCTCCTAATGCTATCCCTCTCTCAGCCTCGCAACCCCTGACAGACCCAGTGTGTGATGTTCCCTTCCTGTGTCCAAGTGATCTCATTGTTCAATTCCCACTTATGAGTGAGAACATGCGGTGTTGGGTTTTATGTCCTTCAGATGGTTTGCTGAGAATGATGGTTTCCAGCTTAATCCATGTCCCTGCAAAGGACATGAACTCATCCTTTTTATGGCTGCATAGTATTCCATGGTGTATATGTGCCACATTTTCTTAATCCATTTTATAATTGATGGACATTTGGGTTGGTTCCAAGTCTTTGCTATTGTGAATAGTGCCACAATAAAGATACATGTGCATGTGTATTTATAGTAGCATGATTTATAATCCTTTGGGTATATACCCAGTAATGGGATTGCTGGGTCAAATGGTAATTCTAGTTCTAGATCCTTGAGGAATCGCCACACTGCTTTCCACAATGGTTGAACTAATTTACACTCCCACCAACAGTGTAAAAGCATTCCTATTTCTCCACATCCTCTCCAGCACCTGTGGTTTCCTGACTTTTTAATGATCGCCATTCTAACTGGTGTGAGATGGTATCTCACTGTGATTTTGATTTGCATTTCTCTGACGACCAGTGATGATGAGCATTTTTTCATGTGTCTGTTGGCTGCATAAATGTCTTTTTTGAGAAGTGTCTGTTCATATCCTTAGCCCACTTTTTGATGGGGTTGTTTGTTTTTTTCTTGTAAATTTGTGTAAGTTCTTTGTAGATTCTGGATATTAGCCCTTTGTCAGATGGGTAGATTGCAAAAATTTTCTCCCATTCTGTAGGTTGCCTGTTCACTCTGATGGTAGTTTCTTTTGCTGTGCAGAAGCTCTTTAGTTTAATTAGAACCCATTTATCTATTTTGGCTTTTGTTGCCATTGCCTTTGGGTGTTTTAGTCATAAAGTCTTTGCCCATGCCTATGTCCAGAATGGTATTGCCTAGGTTTTCTTCTAGGGTTTTTATGGTTTTAGTTCTAACATTTAAATCTTTAATTGATCTTGAATTAATTTTTTAATAATGTGTAAGAAGGGATCCAGTTTCAGCTTTCTACATATGGCTAGCCAATTTTCCCAGCACCGTTTATTAAATAGAGAATTCTTTCCCCATTTCTTGTTTTTGTCAGGTTTGTCAAAGATCCGATGGTTGTAGATGTGTGGTGTTATTTCTGAGGCCTCTGTTGTGTTCCATTGGTCTATATCTCTGTTTTGGTACAAGTACCATGCTGTTTTGGTTACTGTAGCCTTGTAGTATAGTTTGAAGTCAGGTAGTGTGATGCCTCCAGCTTTGTTCTTTTGGCTTAGGATTGTCTTGGCAATGTAGGATCTTTTTTGGTTCCATATGAACTTTAAAGTGGTTTTTTTCCAATTCTGTGAAGAAAGTCATTGGTAGCTTGATGGGGATGTCATTGAATCTATAAATTACTTTAGGCAGTATGGCCATTTTCACGATATTGATTCTTCCTATCCATGAGCATGGAATACTCTTCCATTTGTTTGTGTCCTCTTTTATTTCGTTGAGCAGTGGTTTGTAGTTCTCCTTGAAGAGGTCCTTCACATCCCTTGTAAGTTGGATTCCTAGGTATTTTATTCTCTTTGAAGCAATTGTGAATGGGAGTTCACTCATGATTTGACTCCCTGTTTGTCTGTTAATGGTGTATAGGAATGCTTGTGATTTTTGCACATTGATTTTGTATCCTTAGACTTTGCTGAAGTTGCTTATCAGCTTAAGGAAATTTTGGGCTGAGATGGTGGGGTTTTCTAAATATACAATCATGTCATCTGCAAATGGGGACAATTTGACTTCTTCTTTTCCTAATTGAATACCCTTTATTTCTTTCTCCTGCCTGATTGCCCCGGCCAGAAATTCCAACACCATGTTGAATAGGAGTGGTGAGAGAGGGCATCCCTGTCTTGTGCCGATTTTGAAAGGGAACGCTTCCATTTTTTGCCCATTCAGTATGATATGGGCTGTGGGTTTGTCATAAATAGCTCTTATTATTTTGAGATATGTTCCATCAATACCTAGTTTATTGAGAGGTTTTAGCATGAAGGGCTGTTGAATTTTGTTGAAGGCCTTTTCTGCATCTATTGAGATAATCATGTACTTTTTGTCGTTGGTTCTGTTTATGTGATAGATTATGTTTATTGATTTGTGTATGTTGAACCAACCTTGCATCCCAGGGATGAAGCTGACTTGATTTTGGTGGATAAACTTTTTGATGTGCTGTTGGATTTGGTTTGCCAGTATTTTATTGAGGATTTTCTCATCAATGTTCATCAGGGATATTGATCTAAAATTCTCTTCTTTTCTTGTGTCTCTGCCAGGCTTTGGTATCAACATGATGTTGGCTTCATAAAATGAGTTAGGAGGATTCCATCTTTTTCTATTGATTGGAATAGTTTCAGAAGGAATGGTACCAGCTCCTCTTTGTACCTCTGGTAGAATTTGGCTGTGAATCCGTCTGGTCCTCAACTTTTTTTGGTTGGTAGGCTATTAATTATTGCCTTAATTTCAGAGCTTGTTATTGATCTATTCAGAGATTCAACTTCTTCCTGGTTTAGTCTTGGAAGGGTGTATGTGTCCAGGAATTTATCAATTTCTTCTATATTTTCCAGTTTATTTGGGTAGAGGTGTTTCTAGTATTCTCTGACGGTAGTTTGTATTTCTGTGTGATCAGTGGTGATATCCCCTTTATCATTTTTTACTGCGCCTATTTGATTCTTGTCTCTTTTGTCCTTTATTAGTCTTGCTAGCGGTCTATCAATTTTGTTGATGTTTTCAGAAAAACAGCTCCTGGGTTCATTGATTTTTTGAAGGGTTTTTTGTGTGTCTATCTCCTTCAGTTCTGCTCTAATCTTAGTTATTTCTTGCCTTCTGCTAGCTTTTGAATTTGTTTCCTCTTGCTTCTCTAGTTCACTTAATTGTGATGTTAGGGTGTTGATTTTAGATCTTTCCTGCTTTCTCTTGTGGGCATTTAGTGCTATAAATTTCCCCATACACACTGCTTTAAATGTGTCCCAGAGATTCTGGTATGTTGTGTGTTTGTTCTCATTGGTTTCAAAGAACATCTTTATTTCTGCCTTCATTTTGTTATTTATGAGCAAGTTGTTCAGGAGCAGGTTGTTCAGTTTCCATATAGTTGTGTGGTTTTGAGTGAGTTTCTTAATCCTGAGCTCCAATTTCATTGCACTGTGGTCTGAGAAACAGTTTGTTGTGATTTCTGTTCTTTTACATTTGCTGAGGAGTGCTTCACTTCCAATTCTGTGGTCAATTTTAGAATAAGTGTGATGTGGTGCTGAGAAGAATGTATATTCCGTTGATTTGGGTTGGAAAGTTCTGTAGATGTCTATTAGGTTTTCTTGTTGCAGAGCTGAGTTCAGGTCCTGGATACCCTTGTTAACCTTCTGTCTCTTTGATCTAATACTGACAGTGGGGTGTTAAAGTCTCCCATTATTATTGTGTGGGAGTCTAAGTCTCTTTGTAGGTCTCTAAGGACTTGCTTTATGAATCTGGGTGCTCCTGTATTGTGTGCATATATATTTAGGATAGTTAGCTCTTCTTGTGAATTGATCCCTTTACCATTATGTAATGGCCTTCTTTGTCTCTTTTGGTCTTTGTTGGTTTAAAGTCTGTTTTATCAGAGATTAGGATTTCAACCCCTGCTTTTTTTGCTTTCCATTTTCTTGGTACGTCTCCCTCTGTTCCTTTATTTTGAGCCCATGTGCATCTTTGCACGTGAGATGGGTCTCCTGAATACAGCACACTGACGGATCTTGACTCTATCCAATTTGCCAGTCTGTGTCTTTTAATTGGGGCATTTAGCCCATTTACATTTAAGGTTAATATTGTTATGTGTGAATTTGATCCTGTCATTATGATGTTCGCTGGTTATTTTGCCCATTAATTGATGCAGTTTCTTCATAGCATCGATGGTCTTTACAATTTGGCATGTTTTTGCAGGGGCTGGTACCAGTTGTTTCTTTCCATGTTTAGTGCTTCCTTCAGGAGCTCTTGTAAGGCAGGCCTGGTGATGACAAAAATGTCTCAACATTTGCTTGTCTGGAGAGGATTTTATTTCTCCTTCACTTACGAAGCTTAGTTTGGCTGGATATGAAATTCTGGGTTGAAAATTCTTTTCTTTAAGAAAGTTGAATATTGGCACCTACTCTCCTCTGGCTTGTAGGGTTTCTGCTGAGAAATCCACTGTTAGTCTGATGGGTTTCCCTTTGTGGGTAACCCGACCTATCTCTCTGGCTGCCCTTAACATTTTTTCGTTCATTCCAACTTTGGTGAATCTGACAATTATGTGTCTTGGGGTTGCTCTTCTCAAGGAGTATCTTTGTGGTGTTCTCTGTATTTCCTGAATTTGAATGTTGGTCTGCCTTGCTATGTTGTGGGAGTTCTCCTGGATAATATCCTGAAAAGTGTTTTCCAACTTGGTTCCATTCTCCTCTTCACTTTAGGTACACCAATCAAATGTAGATTTGGTCTTTCACATAGTCCCATATTTCTTGGAGGCTTTGTTCATTTCTTTTTACTCCTTTTTCTCTAACCTTGTTTTCTTGCTTTATTTCATTAATTTGATCTTCAATCTCTGATACCCTTTCTTCCACTTCATCGAATCAGCTATTGAAGCTTGTGCATGCATCACGTAGTTCTTGTGCCATGGTTTTCAGCTCCATCAGGTCATTTAAGGTCTTCTCTACACTGTTTATTCTAGTTAGCCATTTGTCTAATCTTTTTTCAAGGTTTTTAGCTTCTTGCAATGGGTTCGAACATCCTCCTTTAGCTTGGAGAAGTTGTTATTACCGACCTTCTGAAGCTTACTTCTGCCAACTCATCAAAGTCATTCTCCGTCCAGCTTTGTTCAGTTGCTGGCGAGGAGCTGCGATCCTTTGGAGGAGAAGAGGCACTCTGAATTTTAGAATTTCCAGCTTTTGTGCTCTGGTTTCTCCCCATCTTTGTGGTTCTATCTACCTTCAGTCTTTGATGACGGTGACCTACAGATGGGGTTTGGTGTAGATGACATTTTTGTTGATTGATATTGCTGCTATTCCTTTCTGTTTGTTCGTTTTCCTTCTAAGAGTCAGGTCCCTGAGCTGCGGGTCTGTTGGAGTTTGCTGGAGTTCCACTCCAGACCTTGTTTGCCTGGGTATCACCAGTGGATGCTCAGTTGGAAATGCAGAAATCACCTGTCTTCCGCGTCAATCACACTGGGAGTTGCCTAGACTGTGAGACAAACCCTAGCCACATCTCCAGCATACAAGAACTTCAAAATGTCTGAACCGCAGCAGCCAGGCCTTCCTCCAGGACCTCTTACCCCAGGATCTTGCTTCAAGTGCCAGAAATCTGGCCACTGGGCCAAGGAATGCCCACAGCCTGGGATTCTTTCTAAGCCGTGTCCCATCTCTTGTTTGTTCTCTTTATAGTTTCTTTTGCTGTGCGGAAGCTCTTAAGTTTAATTAGATCTCACTTATCAATGTTTGCTTTTGTTGCAATTGCTTTTGGCATCTTCATCATGAAATCTTTGCCAGTTCTTATTCCTGAATGTTACTGCCTAGATTTTCTTCGAGGATTTTTACAGTTTTGGGTTTTACATTTAAGTATTAAAATCATGTTGAGTTGATTTAGTATATGGCGTAAGGAAAGGATCTAGTTTTAATTTTCTACCTATGACTAGCCAGTCATCCCAGCATCATTTATTGAAAAGGATATCTATCTATAACAAACTCACAGCCAGCATCATACTGAATGGGCAAAAGCTTGATGAATTCCCCTTGAAAACTGGCAGAAGCCTGGTACTGGTACCAAAACGGAAATATAGACCAATGGAACAGAACAGAGGCCTCAGAAATAACACCACACATCTACAACCATCGGATCTTTGACAAACCTGACAAAAACAAGAAATGGGGAAAGGATTCCCTATTTAATAAATGGTGCTAGGAAAACTGGCTGGCCATATGTAGAAAGCTGAAACTGGATCCCTTCTTACACATTATTAAAAAATTAATTCAAGATCAATTAAAGATTTAAATGTTAGAACTAAAAGCATAAAAACCCTAGAAGAAAACCTAGGCCATAGCCATACCATTCAGGACA
The DNA here is from genome assembly GCF_000001405.40 of Homo sapiens. NCBI lineage: Eukaryota > Metazoa > Chordata > Mammalia > Primates > Hominidae > Homo > Homo sapiens. Next base: position 74,921,957 of record NC_000001.11, read on the forward strand.
TATGCATGGGCAAAGACTTTATGACTAAAACACCAAAAGCAATGGCAACAAAAGCCAAAATAGATAAATGCATTCTAATTAAACTAAAGAGCTTCTGCACAGCAAAAGAAACTACCATCAGAGTGAACAGGCAACCTATAGAATGGGAGAAAATTTTTGCAATCTACCCATCTGACAAAGGGCTAATATCCAGAATCTACAAAGAACTTACACAAATTTACAAGAAAAAACAAACAACCCCATCAAAAAGTGGGCAAAGGATATGAACAGACACTTCTCAAAAAAAGACATTTATGCAGCCAACAGACACATGAAAAAATGCTCATCATCACTGGTCATCAGAGAAATGCAAATCAAAATCACAGTGAGATACCATCTCACACCAGTTAGAATGGCGATCATTAAAAAGTCAGGAAACAACAGGTGCTGGAGAGGATGTGGAGAAATAGGAATGCTTTTACACTGTTGGTGGGAGTGTAAACTAGTTCAATCATTGTGGAAGACAGTATGGCGATTCCTCAAGGATCTAGAACTAGAATTACCATTTGACCCAGCAATACCATTACTGGGTATATACCCAAAGGATTATAAATCATGCTACTATAAACACACATGCACATGTATCTTTATTGTGGCACTATTAACAATAGCAAAGACTTGGAACCAACCCAAATGTCCATCAATGATAGGCTGGATTAAGAAAATGTGGCACATATACACCATGGAATACTATGCAGCCATAAAAAAGGATGAGTTCATGTCCTTTGCAGGGACATGGATTAAGCTGGAAACCATCATTCTCAGCAAACTATCTGAAGGACAGAAAACCCAACACCGCATGTTCTCACTCATAAGTGGGAGTTGAACAATGAGAACACTTAGACACACTGGTGCCTGTTGGGGGATGGGGGACTGAGGGAGGGATAGCATTAGGAGAAATACCTAATGTAAATGACGAGTTGATGGGTGCAGCAAACCAAAATGGCACATGTATACCTATATAAGAAACCTGCATGTTGTGCACATATACCCTAGAACTTAAAGTATAATTAATTAATTAATTAATTAAATTTAAAAAAGAAATATCTTGCATAATTGAGTTCACGGATTTTCAAACTCTCTTCAAGAAATTTCCTCTGTATCTACATGTACATAATTTACTGGTTCATTGTGCAAAGTCCTAAAGGTATGATATTCTCAATTTTGTGTTTCTATCTTCATCTTGTTTCTCACCACGAAAAATATGGCATCAGGCTAGGTGCAGTGGCTCATAACTGTAATCCCAGCACTTTGAGAGGCCAAGGCAGGACGAAAAAAAAAAGAAAAGAAAACTGGCACAAGACAAGGATGCCCTCACTCACCACTCCTTTTCCACATAGTATTAGATGTCCTGGCCAGAGCAATCAGGCAAGAGAGATAAATAAAGGGCATCCAAATAGGAAGAGAGAAAGTCAAACTATCTGTTTACAGGTGACATAATTCTATATCTAGAAAACCCCATAATCTTGGCCCAAAATCTTCTTCAGATGATAACTTCAGCAAATTTTCAGAATAACAAAATCAACATACAAAAATACCTAGCATTCACTTTCTTAAGATGACCAACTAGAAGCAGCTGTGGTCCATGGTACTCACAGAGAGGAATGAAAGTGGTGAGTGAATACACACCTTTAACTGAAATATTCAGGTTCTTGCATTGGGAGTGATTAGGCATAGAAGTCAACCCATGCAGAATGAAGAAAAGCAGGGTGGGGCAACATTTCACCTGAGAGTGGCACATAGCCAAGGGAAGCCCCACCCCAAGCCAAGGGAGGTGGTGAGTGATTATGAGACCCTGCTTGGGAAACAATGCTTCCCCCATGGATCTTTGCAACATTTGCATCAGGAGATCCCCACGTGAGCCATGCCAACAGGGCCTTGGGTCTGACACACAGAGCTGTGTGGATCTCGGCACAGCAGCTACTCAGGCATACACAGAATCCCAGAAGCTTTACATACTCTTAGCCCAGGGATCCCCAGCAAGCCTAGAGGTTCATACATATCCTTAGGCAGGGGGCTGAATCCAGGGAGCCAAGCAATATTATTCTGTGGGCCCCACTTACAGGGTACCTCACAAAATAAGATCCACTGGCTCGAAATTCCAGCCAGCCAGCAACAACAGAGTGGAAACTGCCTGAGACGGTGTTCCTGGTGGGAGGGGCCTCTGCCATCTCTGTGGTTTGGTCAGCTCAGCCATTCCAACCCACTGGTTTTGGAGAGTCCAAAGAGCACACACAAGAAAGGGTCCCCTCAGTGCAGCGCAACCATTTTGCCAGATCATGCCCAGACGGCTTCTTTAAGCAGGACCCCAATTCACTCTTCCTCAAGGGGCGGGTCCTCCCAGCTGGGTCCTGGAGCCACTCTCATCCATGTTCTATGATGGACAAAGCTCTAATTTCCCCCTGGGGAGGAGTGCCTGGGGAGTGGGGCAAGTCGCCACTTTGGCTGCCTTGGCTGTTTGTGCTTCTCAGTCCAACCTGTGGGCCTTGAAGAGCCCATACCAATCAAGGGCTGAAGGAATCCCCAACAAAGCACACCCGCTCTACCAAAAAGCAGCCAGACTTCTTTAAGCGGGTCTCCGATCCCATTCCTCCTGATTGAGACCTCCCAACAGGGGTCTCCAGCCACCTCCTGCAGGTGCACTCAGGATAGCAACAGGTCAGTAACCCCCACTGGAACAGAGGTTCCAGAGGAAAGAGCAGGCTGTCATCTTCACTGTTTCACAGGCTTCACTGATGATACCTCCAGATATGGGAAAAACCGAAGCAACTAGGGTCTGCAGTGGACCCCAGTAAACCACAGCAGCTCTAAGGAAGAGTAGCCTGATTGTTAAAAGAAAAAACAAGCAAACAAAAACAACAACGACAACATCAACAAAAAGACTGCACAAAAAGCCCATTCAAAGGTAAGCAATCTCAGAAATCAAAGGTAGATAAGCCCAGAAAGATGAGAAAGAATCAACACTAAAATGCTGAAAACTTAAAAAGCCAGAATGCTCCTTCTCCTCCAAAAGACTGCAACACCTCTTTAGCAAGGGCTCGAACTGGGCTGAGGCTGATTGCTGAAATGACAAAAGTAGGCTTCAGAAGGTGGGTAATAACAAATTTCACTGAGCTAAAGTAGTATGTTGTAACTAAATGCAAAGAAGCTAAGAATCGCGACAAAGCAATACAGGAGTTGACAGCCAAAATAGTCAGTTTAGAGAGGAACATAACCAACCTATTAGAGCTGAAAAACAAACTACAAGAACTTCACAATGCAATCACAATTTACTAAATACACCAAGTGGAGGAAAGAATCTCAGAGCTTGAAGACCATCTTTCTGAAATAAGGCGGGCAGACAAGAATAGAGAAAAAAGAATGAAAAGGAAAGAACAAAATCTCTGATAAATATGGGATTATGTAAAAAGACCAAACCTACAACTGATTGGGGTACGTGAAAGAGACAGGGAGAATGGAACCAAGTTGGAAAGCATACTTCAGGATATCATTCAGGAGATCTTCCCCAAACTAGCAAGACAGGCCAACATCCAAATCCAGGGAATGCAGAGAACTCCAGTAAGATACTCCATGAGAAGATCAACCCAAAGACAATAATCAACAAATTCTCCAAGGTCAAAATGAAAGAAAAAATGTTAAGGCAGCCAGAAAGAAAGGCCAGGTCACCTACAAATGGAAGCTCATCAGACTAGCAATGGATCTCTCAGTGGAAACACTACAAGTCAGAAGAGATTGGGGACCAATATTCAAGATTCTTGAAGAAAATAATTTTCAAACTAGAATTTCATATCTGGCCAGACTAAGCTTCATAAGCAAAGGAGAAATAAGATCCTTTTCAGACAAGTCAATGCTGAGAGAATTTGTCACCACCAAACCTGCCTTGCAAGAGTTCCTGAAGGAAGCACTAAATATGGAAAGAAAAAAACTATTACTAGCCACTACAAAACAAAACTGTTACTAGCCACTACAAAAATACACTGAAGTAAATGGACCAGTAATACTATGAAGCAACCACATAAAGTCTGCAAAATAACCTGCTAGCATTATGATGACAGAATCAAATCCACACATAACAATACTAATAACAATACTAACCTCAATGTAAACGGGCTAAATGTCCCAATTAAAAGATGCAGAATGGTTAACTGGATAAAGAGTCAAGACTCATTGGTATACTGTCTTCAAGAGATCCATCTTACATACAAGGCTCAAAATAAAGGGAAGAAGGGAAAGTTACCAAGCAAATGGAAAATAGAAAAAAGCAGGGGTTTCTATCCCAGTTTCCTGACAAAACAGACTTTAAACAAACAAAGATCAAAGAAGACTGAGAAGGTCATTACATAATGGGAAAGGGGTGAATTCAACAAAAAGATCTAACTATTCTAATATATGTGCATCCAATACAGGAGCACCCATATTCATACAGTGAGTTCTTAGAGAACTTCAGAGACTTACATTTCCACAAAATAATAATGGGAGGCTTTAATACCCCATGGACAATATTAGACAAATCACCAAGACAGAAAATTAACAAAGATATTCAGAACCTGAACTCAGTACTGGATCAATTTGACCTGATAGATATCTAAAGAATTCTCCATCCAAAACCAACAGAATATACATTCTTCTCATTGCCACATAGTACTTACCTTAACATTGATCACATTATTGGAAGTAAAACACTCCTCAGCAAATGCAAAAAACTGAAATCATAACAAAAAAATCTCTCACACCACAGCACAATCATATTAGAACTCAAGATTAAGAAATTCACCCAAAACCAGAAAACCACATGAAAATTGAACAACCTGCTCCTGAATTACTCTTGAGTAAATAATGAAATTAAGACAGAAATCAAGAAGTTCTTTGAAACTAATGATAACAAAAATACAACGTACCAGAATCTCTGGAGCACAGCTAAAGCAGTTGTAAGAGGAAAACTTATAGCACAAAATGCCCACAACAAAAAGCTAGAAAGATCTCAAGTTGACAACCTAACATCACAGTTAGAAAAACTAGAGAACCAAGAGCAAACAAACCTCAAAGCTAGCAGAAGACAACAAATAACCAAGATCAGAGCTGAACTGAAGGAGATAGAGACATGAAAAACCCTTCAAAAATCAACAAACCCAGGAGCTGTTTTCTTGAAAAAATTAATAAAATAGATATACCACTAGCTAGACTAATAAAAAAAAAGAGAGGAGATTCTAATAAACACAATCGGAAATGATTTGGGGGATACCACCACTGACTCCATAGAAATACAAAAAACCATCAGAGAATACCATAAACACCTCTACATATGTAAACTAGAAAATCTGGAAGAAATAGATAAATTCTTGAAAACATACACCCTCCCAAGACTCAACAAGGAAGAAATTGAATCCCTGAACAGATCCAATAATGAGTTCTGAAATTTATGCAGTAATAAATGGCTTACCAACAAAAAAAGCCCAGGACCAGATGGAGTCACAGCTGAATTCTACCAGGGGTACAAAGAAAAGCTGGTATTATTTCTGCTGAAGTCCTTCCAAAAAATTGAAAAGGAGGGACTTCTCCCTAAATGACTCTATGAAGCCAGCATCATCCTAACACCAAAACCTGGCAGAGACCAAAAAAATGAAAATTTCAGGCCAATATCCTTGAGGAATATTGATGCAAAAATTCTCAATAAAAAACTGGCAAACTGAATCTAGCAGCACATCAAAAAGCTTATCCACCATCATCAAGTAGGCTTCTCTCCCAAGATGCAAGGTTTGTTCAACATACACAAATCAATAAATGTGATTCATCACATAAACATAGCTAAAGATAAAACCACATGATTATCTCAATAGATGCAGAAAAGGCCTTTATAAAATTCATCATCCCTTCATGTTAAAAAACACTCGATAAACTAGGTATTGATGGAACACACTCAAAATGTTAAGAGCCATATATGACAAACCTCTAGCCAATACCACACTGAATGGGCAAATGCTGGAAGCACTCCCCTTGAAAACCAGAACAAGACAAGGATGCTCTCTCTCTCATCACTTCTATTCAACATAGTATTGGAAGTTCTGGCCAGGGCAATCAGGCAAGAGAAATAAATAAAGGTATTCAAATAGGAAGAGACAAAGTCAAACTGTCTCAGTTTGCAGATGACTTATAATCCTATATCTAAAGATCCCATCATCTCAGCCCAAAAGCTTCATAAACTGTGAAGCAACTTCAGCAAAGTCCCAGGATACAAAATCAGTGTGCAAAAATCACTTGCATTCTTATACATCAAAAACAGGCAAGCCAAAGCCAAATCATGAATGACCTCCCATTCATAATTGCCACAAAAAAGAATAAAATAGCTAGGAATACAGCTAACAAGGCAAGTGAAGGACATCTTCAAGGGGAACTACAAACCACTGCTCAAAGAAATCAGAGATGACAAGAACAAATGGAAAAACATTCCATGCTGATGGATAAGAAGAATCAATATCGTGAAAGTGGCCATACTGCCCAAAGAAATTTATAGATTCATTGCTATTTCCATTAAACTACTATTGACACTATTTAGAGAATTAGAAAAAACTATTTTAAAATTTATATGGAATCAAAAAAGAGGCTGAAGAGCAAAGACAACCCTAAGCAAAAAGAACAAAGCTGGAAGTATCATGCTACCTGACTTCAAACTATACTACAAGGATACAGTAACCAAAGCAGCACAGTACTGTTACAAGAACATACACATAGACCAATGGAACAGAATAGAGAACCCAGAAACAAGACTGCACACCTACAACCATCTGATCTTTGACAAACCTGACAAAAACAAGCAATGTGGAAAGGATTCCTTATTTAATAAATGGTGCTGGGAGAACTGGCTGGCCATATGAAGAAAATTGAAACTGGACACCTTCCTTACACCATATAAACAAAATCAACACAAGATGGATTAAATACTTAAATGTAAAACCCAAAACCATAAAAACCCTAGAAGAAAGTCTAGGCAATACCACTCAGGACATAGGCATGGGCAAAGATTTCATGACGAAAACACCAAAAGCAATTGCAACAAAAGCAAACATTGACAAATGAAATCTATTTAAACTAAAGAGCTTCTGGACAGCAAAAAAAATGATCAACAGAGACAACCTACAGAATGGGAGAAATATTTGCAGTCTATACATCTGACAAAGGTCTAATATCCAGCATCTATGATGAACTTAAACAAATTTATTTATTTAAAAAAAATTGAAAAGTCGGCAAAGGACATCAACAGAAACTTTTCAAAAGAAGACATACATATGGCTCAGGAACATGAAAAAAAACTCAATATCAACAATCATTAGAGAAATGCAAATGAAAACCACAATGAGATAAGATCTCACACCAGTCAGAATGGCTATCATTAAAAAGTCTAAAAATAACAGATGCTGGCGAGGTTGCAGAGAAAGGGAACACTTATACACTGTTGGTGGGAGTGCAAATTAGTTGAATCATTGTGGAAAGCAGTGTGGTGATTCCTCAAGGAGCTAAAAACAGAACTAGCATTTGACCCAGCAATCCCATTATAATCCCTTTATATTCCCGAAGGAACATAAATTGTTCTACCATAAAGACATACATGCACACATATGTTCACTGTAGCACTATTCAAAACAGCAAAGAATTGAAATCAATCTAAATGTCCATCAATGATAGACTGGATAAAGAAAATGTGGTACATATACATACCATGGAATAGTATGAAGCCTTAACAAGGAATGAGATCATGTCCTTTGCAGAAACATGGATGGAGTTGGAAGTCATTATTCTCAGCAAACTATCACAGGAACAGAAAAGCAAACACTGCATGTTCTCATTTATCAATCAGTGGAAACAGAATGATGAGAACGCATGGACACATTGGGGGAAACAACACACGCTGGGGCCTGTTGGAGTGTGAGGGATAGGAGGAGGAGGGAGAGTATCAGGAAGAATAGCTAATAGATGCTGAGCTTAATACCCATTATGCTGATGGGTTATGCTGATGGGAGTGATCTTGTGCAGCAAAACTCCATGGCACACATTTACCTATGTAACAAATCTGCACATCCTGCACATGTACCCCAGAAATTAAAATAAAAGTTTTTTAAAAACACACAAAAAAACCTATGACTGTGTTCATTTCACAAATGAGAAGACTGAGACTTAGAGAGGTTCTGTAATTTATTCAAGGTAATATAGCTGGTAAGTTGTAGAACCAGAGCTTGTATCTTGTTTTATTTGAATCTTAAACCTGATTATTGGCCACCACACTTTACGGACTTCTTCCCTTTTGCCCCTTCAAAGCCCAGATTAATCCCAACTCTACCATGTATTCCTTTTTGCAGGAGTCAGGTAAGTGCCACAAGGCATAAGAATTAACACTTTTTCTCAACAAAAAGTAGAGTGAAAAAGTTAGCCTTATACTAGCATTGCCCTAATATCAAAACCAAACAAAGATATTACAAGAAAAGAAAGCTACAGACACAGACCAGGCTAAAGAGGATAATTACATGATCATATTAATAGATGCAGAAAAAGAATATGACAAATTCTAACACCCATTCATAATAAAAAAAACTCAGCAAACTAGGAATAAAGAACTTTCTCAATTTGATAAACAACACCAACAAAAAAATCTATAGCAAACCTCTTACTCAATGGTGAGAAACTTGAAGCTTTACCACTAAGATCAGGTAACGTAAGGATGTCCTCTTTCACCACTGCCTTTCAACATCATACTATAAGTCCAGATAATGCAATAAGAAAAGAAAAAATAAAAAGCATACAGATTGAGAAAGAAAAAATAAAACTGCTTTTGTTCACAAAGGATATGATTGTCTTTGTAGAAAATGACAAAGAATCAACAAAAACAGAAAGAAAAAGGAATTCAAATGAATAAGTAATTATAGCAAGGTGGCAGGATACAAGATTAATATACAAAAGTAAATCACTTTCCTATATACCAGAAATAAAAAACTTGAATTTGAAAGTAAAAACACAATGCCATTTACATCAGCAATCCAAAATATCAAACACTTAAATATAAATCTAACAAAATGAGTACAAGCTGTATATAAGAAAAACTGCAAAACTCAGATGAAAGAAATCAAAGCACTAAATATATGAAGAGATATTCCATGTTCATGGACAGAAAGACTCAACACTGTCAAGGCGTTCATTCTCCTTAAGTTGATTTATAAATTAAATCAAATTCCAATAAAAATCCTAGTAAGTTATTTTGTGAATATTGCCAAAGTTATTCTAAAGTTTAGATGGAGAGGCAAAAGACCCAGAAGAGCCAACCCAATATTGAAGAAGAACAAAGTCACAGGCAGATACTACCCAACTTCAAGGCTTACTGTAAAGCTTTCATAATCAAGATAGTGTGGTATTGGTGAAAGTATAGACAAATGGATCATGAAAACAGAATAGAGAGTCCAGATTAGACCCACATAAATATGCACAACTGATCTTTGATAAGGGAGCAAAGGCAATACAATGAAGCAAAGAGAGTTTCTTCAGCAAATGTTGCTGGAAGAACTGGACATCCCTATCCAAAAAAAAAAAAAAAAATCTAGACACAGATAGACCTTACACCTTTCACAAAAACTAACTCACAGACCTAAATGTAAAATGCAAAACTATAAAACTACTAGAAGATAACCTAGGAGAGAACCTAGATGAGCTTGGGTTTGTTAAAAACTTTTAAAACACAATACCAAAGGTATAATCCATAAAAGAAATAGTTGATACACTAAACATCATCAAATTAAAAACTTCCCCTCTGTGAAGACACCCTGAATGAGAATACAAGCAACAGACAGGAAGAAAATATATGGAAAACACATATCTGATAAAGGACAGGTATCCAAACTACACAAATAATTCATTAAATTCAGCAATAAGAAAACAAACAACTCAGTTTAAAAATGACTAAAGATCTGAACAGACACCTCACCAAAGAAGATGTAAAGATGGCAAATAAGTATATGAGAGATGCTGAACATCACATGTCATTACAGAATTGCAAATTAAAACAATGACATACCACTATAAACCTATTAGAATGGCCTATCCATCCTGGCGTGGTGGCTCATGCCTGTAATCCCAGCACTTTGGGAGGCCAATGCGGGCAGATCATAAGGTCAAGAGATCGAGACCATCCTGGCCAACATGGTGAAACCCCGTCTCTACTAAAAACACAATAATTAGCTGGGTGTGATGGCGGGCACCTGTAGTCCCAGCTACTTGGGAGACTGAGGCAGGAGAATTGCTTGATCCCGGGAGGCGGAGGTTGCAGTCAGCTGAGATATTGCCACTGCACTCCAGCCTAGCAACAAAGCAAGACTCCGTTTCAAAAAAAAAAAAAAAAAAATAGAATGGCCTACCCAAAACCTTAACAATAACAAATGCTGTCAAGGATACGGAGCAACAGAAACACTCATTCACTGCTGATAGGACTCTAAAATGGTACAACCAATTTGAAAGACAGTTTAACAGTTGTATTTTGTTTTCTGGGATTTAAACATTTTGTTTGTTTGTTTTGTTTTTTCACAAAACTTAACATACTACTTTACCATACAATCCAATCATTGTACTTCTTGGTATTTACTCAAATGAGTTGAAAATTTATGTCCACCCGAAGCCTGCACACAGATGGTTATTGCAGCTTTATTCATAAATGCCAAAACTTGGAAGCAAACAAAATGTGCTTCAATAGGTGAATGTGTAACAAACTATGTGAACAAACATGCATACAATAGAATATTGTACAGTGATAAAAATAAATGAGTTACCAGGCCATGAAAAGATATGGATGACACTTAATGCATATTACTAAGTGAAAAAAAGCCAATCTGAAAAGGTCATACACACAATATGATAATAAAAAGATCAGTGGTTTCCAGGAGTTATGAGGAGTGGGGTCAGGGAAGATGAATGAGGCAGAACACAGGGGATATTTATGGCAATAAAAGTACTTTTTTTGATACTACAATGGTGGATACATGTCATTATGCATTTGTCCAAGCTCATAGAATGTACATACCAAAAGTGCCCTGATGTAAACTACGGACTCTGTATAATAATGATTTATCAATTGTAACAAATATATTACTCTGGTATAGGATGTTGTTTGTTGGGGGGTCTGTGCATGTGTGGAGGCAGAGGATCTATACGAACTTTGCACTTTCTGCTCAATTATGCTGTGAATCTAAAACTGCTCTAAAAAATAAAGACTGTATTTTAAAAGATACAAACCCCCAGGACAAATAGAACAGAAAAAGAGACAAAATTTTGAAAGATGGGGAAAAAAAGGTGAAATGAATGGAAACTGACTCATCAAGGCAGAGGTAGTTGAAACCCAACTGCCTAGAGAGAGAAACATCAATGAAAAACAACAAATTTGTTCTGCTATACTGTAGAAAGTTTCAGGAATTTAAGGTAGTTGAAACCCAACTGCCTAGAGAGAAACCAATGAAAAACAACAAATTTCTTCTGCTATACTCTAGGAAGGTTCAGGAATTTAAGGTACCAGGCATCTCTGAAGGCCGGGGGGAAGGGAAGGTGAGTACAAGATGAATGATTTTTTTAGTCTAAAAAGGAAATATTTAGAGTTTGGATGCCCTCCCACAACCTACACTGCCAGTAAATTACACTCTTCCCTGCCAAGAGAAAACATGACATTGCTGTAGAGAGTGACTGACTCAGAGAGGTTCTGGTCTTGAGGACACACGAAAGACATGCAATCCAGGATACAGAAAATCTAAAACAAAAGTGAAAGAGAACATCCAGGATAATGATAAAGAAAGATATCAAGACAACTACTATATATAGTAGATTTAGAAAGCAATCTGTCATGTTAGATCATAAAAAAGGAGAATTGATGAAGGAAGTTTCTAAGGGGGAAAAGTAGAACTTATCAATTACCTATGAGGATTGACAGTAATAAAAGGAGCTTTAGAATTTAAATAGAAAGCTTGGGGCTGAATAAAAAGAAAACAAGCACATAGAAAACTAAGCAAAAATCAACACAAGATAGTTAATTCTAGAAAAAACAGTAAGTAGATTAAAAATAATGTAACAGATTGTTACAGGATCAATGAAAGTCAAATTGTGTGATCCTAATAATATGAATAATATGAACACTAAATTATTTAACCAAAACAAAAAAAAAAAATAGGAGAATGAAGGTAGAAAAAGTTTGAACAGAACGAATAAGAAAGCTAAAGCCTTGTGTTCCATAGTAAAAATCAATACATAATTTCTAAAATTGAAAAATCAAGAATTCACAGTGTAGCACGTCATTTGAGTAGTTTTTAATATCATTCCTGAAAAAGAAACTCCCCAAATATAAAATACAAAAGAAAAATCAGCAAAAAGAGTTTAAAATAGTTGCCTCTGAGGAGCAGGAAATTGGGGAGCAAAAGATGCTGTAGACAGAGGATGCCATTTTTTCATCAAAGGCCAGCTAGACTTATATCCCACTTTTCTCAGGAATGTTAGTTTTATGCTTGTTTTTCTACTGTCCTATCCAGTTAGCAACCACCTTTTATTCTCAGAAATGCATGACAAATTAAATGTTGAACCTAATTATAAGATTAGTAGTTATTTTACTTCTAAATTATGCAAATGTATTACTGTATTAAAAGTTTTTTTAAATTAAAGTGGGGGTCTGAAGTCAAAATAAAGTATTTATTTATGCCTTTTAATACTTTATGATTTGGGGCTCTGTGCCTCCTTTTTTTTTAATCTACAAAATAAGGATTAAAACAGTTCTCATCCCACAGTTTTGTTATGACTAAATAGACCATTTCGCACAATGTTGTACACATAATAGGTACTTAATAAATACAAATTATTATTGTATTAAATGCACAAGGCTATGACTCAAACGTTTTCTCCAAAACTCATGTTGTCATTTAATTGCTAATGTAATGGTATTGGGAGGTGTGGGCTTTAAGAGGTGATTAGGTCATGAGGACTCTGCTCTCATGAATGGGTTAATGCCATTACTGTAGGAGATAACTCCTAATGAAAGGATACATTTTGCCCCCATTAGCTCTCTGTCTATCACACTCATTTGCCCTTCTGCTTCTGCCATGGGATGATCCTAGCTAGATACCAGAACCATGTTCCTGGACTTCACAGCCTCCAAACTGTGAGCCAAATAAATCTCTTTTTCCTTTGTAAATTACCCAGCCTGTGGTTTTCTGTTACAGCAGGAGAAAATGGACTAAGACATCCACTAAATTTAAATTTATTCAGAATGAAACAATCTTCTCATATTCATAATAATCTCATAATCTTTAATATTATTGGAAATAAGTGACAAGTTTAAAGCTACATTTCTTTTCTCTTAAATCTATAAAGCATATTGAATAGGCTGTCTGCATGATGGCTTGAAGAAGGAAAGGCCAAATTTGGAACTTTTGATTACAAGGCAAAGACCCAGTAAAACTAAAGTCATTTAGTCCATTCAGATTTTTTCAATCTTCATATCCTAGAAAAATAAATGTCTCATGTTTTCATATCTGATTTTCCCTATATATTTGTCTATTAATCTTTACTTTCTGGACAAATGACCATGTATAATCACATATTGCTAGCTATCATGGAAGCCTGCCTCCTAGCTGTGATGGCAAGAGTTTCTTAGTCGCTACACTCTATGGGATTCTGGTAATACACTCTATGGGATTCTGGTAATTCTGGTAAGGGATCTATAGAGTCTATGGGTTAGTCAGATATGTGGGCAGCCTAAACAAGCTGAATCTAAATGTACTAGATCAACATTATTTCAAAAGAGTCCTATCAAGAGTAAGCACTATTTTACAGGTCAAATACACAATAAGTAGGTAATTTTTGTAGCATCCAGTAGAGAACTTTTAAAACAATATAACATCCTTATGGTTGTTATTTCAATAAATTGATTAAACTAGATATGATAATTAATTAGGCAGGTCCTGTGTTTTAAACTTTATGTTCTAATTTTTTATGTTCCAGCTTTCTAAATTTTATTCATTTGAAGTCTCACTTTCTTCATGGTCTTTCGCAAGAACTCTAGTCTATACAATCTCCCTTCCTTGATCTTAACTACTATTTTGACAATTTTTAAAAATTTGGCCTTCAATTATTATTATTATTATTAATATTATTTTGAGACAGAATTTCGCTCTGTCACCCAGGCTGGAGTGCAGTGGCATGATCTCAGCTCACTGCAACCTCTGCCTCCGGGTTCAAGCGATTCTCCTGCCTCAGCCTCCTGAGTAGCTAGGATTACAGGCACACGCCACCATGCCTAGCTAATTTTTGCATTTTCAGTAGAGACAGGGTTTCACCATGTTGGTCAGGCTGGTTGCGAACTCCTGACCTCATGATCCACCCGCCTTGGCCACCCAAAGGGCTGGGATTACAGGCATGAGCTGCCGTGCCCAGCCCCTTCCATTATTTTTTAAAAGACTTATGTATATAGGTCTCACAAAATTATAATCAATGGCAGGAACCTTGCATTCATAGCATAACCATAAAATAACAACTTTATTTTTACTTTCAAATGAATGTTATTCTCTTCCAAGTAGTCACTTGGTATTCAGGCAACATTCAAAACTACTACCATTTTTTTAATACTATGATGCTTATAGTACATTCTCCTTTATAACCTGTTATAATGAATTTTCTTTCTTTGAAGATGAAATTTATTTTGCAAAACAATCAGTAATTATTTCTCACCAAATCTAGTACCAAGGTAAATGAGTAAGCAAGGGTAGTATTCGTGCTGTTTTGTAGTTTAAATAGTTCTGAATATAATTCCTGAAAGAGCAGCTCCCCAGATTTTTAAATGTAGTAACTTTCAGCCTCCTACTATTTTGTCATTGTTATAGATTGTACTTATTTTTATATATAATTTTAGAAATGTTTGTTTTTTAGTCTCATGTCTCCCTCCTACATTTCTCCTTTGTACTAAGTAAAATGAAGACACATGATGGGCACTTAACCAATGTCTATAATACTGAAACCTCTCTGCCTTTCTTTCTGTAGGAGGCAACCAGTAATCAGAAAGAAACGCAATAAAAACCACCTGGGCAATTCCAAACAACTCAGCATCTCTGGATTGAAATTAGTGGTTCGATTTCCATCAAAAATTTCTTTTTTTTTTTTTTTGTTTGTTTCTCTTCTTCCATTTTTAGAACCAAAGACACCAATTCTGATACCTAGTTTTAAAAAAAATTCTAGACAGGCCTAGGTTTCAAGTTCTAGAAGAATAAGATAGAGCTGCTGGAATATTATGCTCAGATTCTCTTGGCCTTCCCTCTTACAATAAATACATCCACTGCTGTGCTTGGCAAAGTGACAAAAATAGCTGTCTCACTGAGGGACTGCAGGGGAGGTAAAACCTATCCTGGCACAGGCTCTCAGGCTGACTCCTTCTGCCAAGGACTCTCATCATTTTGACATATTGGTCTTGCTAGACTGACAGGAAAAGGCAAGAAAGCGGGTGAAAGGAGAGGAGAGTTCAACTCACTGACCCTTGGGTGGAGCTTTGCTTCCAGCTGTCCCCAACTTTTGCAATTTTGTAACCTTTTTCACTCTTGCCCTGGAGATTCCTATGGGAATGGTGGAGTTCCAGAACCACAGCCCTACAAATGGGAAGGGACATTACCAGTTCAAATAACCCAGGAGGGAGGAAGAGAAGAAAAACAAGTAGAAAAATATGAAACACATTTAAAAAGAAGAAAGATGAGGAAAGACAGAAAATGAAAATACATTAAATACAGAAAACAGAAAGAAAATTTTAAAAAAGGAATTAAAAAAGAAAAAAAGCAGAAATAAAAAAGAAATTGAAAAGGAAAAACAGGAAGATGTAACAAGAACCTTTTCTGTGTGGTATATTGACAGAGGAAATCGAGAATCAAGGGTCCTAATGCCTGTAAAGTACATAATATTAGGAAAAATGCTAAAAAAAAATGCCTACTTTTTTCTTAGCTATAAAATGGGCAAAATAAACTTGCTTATAATATTGAAAACTTTACCTGCTGAGTAAGCGTGCTACATTAAATCCATTAACAGAGTGATTTGGCTGGAAATTTTGCCTGAGTAAAACCTATGTCATCAAGATATACAATTAACTTACATTATTCCCAAGTTTTGCTGATATGCTCTAACCCTATTTCCACCACTTTAAATTATGTTTAAATTCTCATTATATAGTATTCTTGCCACTTTATATCTGACCTCCCTGTCTGCTGTTTACTTGATCTCAATTCATTCCACATAATGACAGACTGATCTTGCTGAAACATTCCCTAAACATACAAAGCCTTTCTTCAAAATCCCTAAGTGTGGCTCCAGATAAAGTTCAACATTTCATCCTGCCATCCAAGAAATTCCAGGATTGAATCCCAACATACTTAATAGTCACAGCCACCAACCCCTACTTTCACATCTGTCCTAAGCAGCCTTGCTGGTTGAGCCTTTACAAATCTTTTCTATCTCTGTCCAAATGTCAGGACTATATAAATTTTTTACTTGTCAACTAAAAGTGTTACTTGCTCTCCAAATAATTAAATTCATTTAAAAAGGACAGCTTTGAAAATGGAAGAGAATAAAAATGGCCCTGTAAACATAATGATAAATGTGTAAATACTGATTTAAAAAAAAAAAAACAGTGCATGCAGGACAGAAACAACAGCAGCCTCCACCAAAGCTGCAGGAACAAAAGAGATTCAGAGAGGTGCTGGTTCTGTGGGAAGAAAAGCTTTTATTCATGCATTCAGTCATTCAACAAATATGTATTGAGCACCAACCAGGTGTTAGACAGATGAGGCTAAAAAGATGAAAAGACAATACTTGCTTACAAAAGTATACTAATCGATGTTTGGGTAAATTAAAGTGGTACATAATGGCTGGAATATGATATCCAAGGGAAGTAGTAGATAATAAACCCATACAAAAACACGTGCTGCAATTTGAAGGCCTTTAATATCATGCAAAGAAGTTTAGATTTTACTCTCTAGGTGTTAAGGAAAAACTAAAATTTTAAGCAGAAAAGTAATACGATTCAAGTAATTAGAAGTGGAATATAAAAAAGTAAAACTTCCAAAGTTCAGACTTACTGGTGTGTGGGACCTTTCACCAAGGTATGAAATTTTGGAGAAAGACCAAGTTTCAGGAAAGACAATGAGTAAGTTTAATTTTCAATACACTATGTTTACATGCTTTTGTGACAACCAAATGGAAAGAGCTTATAATGAAGTCGATGGCGTAGGAATCTATAAATGCTTATGTGATATAGAAGAAGATGGGAGTTAAAGGGAATCAGAAAATTAAGATACTGAGGATTAAAACTAGTATAGAGGCTGGGCACTGTGGCTCACGCCTGTAATCCTATCACTTTGGGAGGCTGAGGTGGATCACTTGGAGTCAGGAGTTCGAGACCAGCCTGGCCAACATAGTGAAACCCTCTCTCTACCAAAAAAAATACAGAAATTAGCTGGGTGTGGTGTTGCCTGCCTGTAGTTCCAGCTACCCAGAAGGCCAAGGTGGGAGGATTGCTTGAACCTGGGAGGCAGAGGTTGCCACGAGCCAAGTTTGCACCACTTTACTCCAGCCTGGGCGACAGAGTGAGACGTTGTCTCAAACAAAACAAACAACCAAAAAAGGATAGAAACTTAGAAACTGACCTGTCTGCAGCAGAGTCACAGTTCTTATTAAAATGAAACCAAACAAGGACCAAAATTCAATAGAATACGTTGAATAGATAGAGCTGAATGGGAAAATTAATATAGGATATTAGGTGAAGAACTCTCAATTATAAGGAACAAGCACCCCCAATTTCCCCACCAAACTATACTAACACCAGGAATTCTACTTGACAACAACCACTAATACCAACATTACCAGTGCTATCAGTGTCTCAGAAAAACAACCTTGCAAGTATTGGAAAATCATTGCCACTGCTGCCCTTCCCACCTGCATCAGCAAAAAATGGAAGCTCATTTATAGCACCCTACTCAAGATCCTAAGTGCAAAAGAAATTTGGAATTTGAGTTTTGACATATCCTTTGAAGAACAGAGGCAAGAAGGAAACCAAAGTAAACAACAGAATAAATAGATCAGAGGAAAAGAGATTGGAACTCTGACTTATTCATTAATGACTAGAGAGATTTTTAACTCAATGGAGAGAAATAGACAAGTATAATAACAATAAAAACATAATAAAATCTGTTGTTAGTTTAGCAGTTATTATATGCCAAGCACTGTATACACTACCTCTAAACTTCATAATAACCCTGTATGGCAGATATTACTATCATCATATTACGCATGATAAAACTGGAGTCAGAGATGTGAAATGAGCAATGTCACACAGCTAGCAAGTGGCTAAGCCATTAATTTATGTTTAAATTTACATATAATAATTGTACATATTCATGGGTTATATAGTAATGTTTTGATACATGTAATTGTGGTGATCAGGTCATGTTAATTAGCATATCCATTATTTCTTTGTTTCAGAAATATTCAATAACTCACTCTAGCGATTTGAAACTATATATTATTTTTAACTACAGCCATCCTACTGTAGAACACTAGAACTTATTCCTCTTATCTAGTTGTTGTTTTGTATCCTTTAACAAATCTCTCCCTATGCCACCCCTTCCTCCTCTCCCTCCTGGACTTAGTAATCTTTTGTTCTACTTTTTACTTCTGATATCACCTTGTGATAGCTTCCACACATGAGTGAGAGTAAGTGGCATTTAACTTTCTGTTCCTGGTTTATTTCATTAACATAATGTCCTCCAGTTCCATCCATGTTGCCACAAATGATGAGATTCCATTCCATCTGATGGCTGAATAGTAATTTCATTGTGTAAATATGCCACATTTTCTTTATCCATTCATCTGTTGTAGACACCTAGGTTGGTTCCGTATCTTGGCTATCATGAATAGTGCTGTAATAAACATGGGGGTAAAGGTTTCTCTTCAATCTCTTCAATATACTGATTTCCTTTCCTTTGTATAAATGCCAAGCAGTGAGATCATTTGGATCATATAGTAGCTGTATGTGTAGTTTTTTGAGGATCTTCCATACTCTTCTCCATAGTGGCTGTGCTAGTTTACATTCCCACCAACAATGTATAAACCTTCCCTTTTCTCCACATCCCCACCAGCATTTGTTGTTGTTGTTGTTGCTTTGTTGTTGTTGTCATTTTCCATTTGGATAACAGACATCCTAACTGGGGTGAGATAATACCTTATTGTGGTTTCAATTCTCATTTCCCTGATTAGTGACGTTGAGCAGTTTTCAAATATTTGTTGGCCATTTGTATGTCTTCTTTTGAGAAATGTCTATTTAGATCATTTTCCCATTTTTAATCAGATTGTTTGGTTTTTTGCTGTTGAGAAGTTTGATTTCCTTGTATATTCTGGATATTAATTCCCTGTCAGATGAGTAGTTTGCAAATATTTTCTCCCATTCCATAGGTTATCTTTTCACACTATTGATTGTTTCTTTTGCTGTGCAGATTTTTAGTTTGATACAATCCCATTTGGTAATTTTACTTTTGTTGCCTGTGCTTTCAGGTTTTATTCATAAAATCTTTTCTTGGCCTGGCACGGTGGCTCACGCCTGTAATCCCAGCACTTTGGGAGGCTGAAGTGGGTGGATCACCTGAGGTCAGGAGTTTGGAACCGGCCTGACCAACATGGAGAAACCCCATCTCTACTGTAAATACAGAATTAGCCGGGCGTGGTGGCACATGCCTGTAATCCCAGCTATTTGGGAGGCTGAGGCAGGAGCATCATTTGAACCCAGGAGGAAGATGTTGTAGGGAGCCGAGATCGCACCACTGCACTCCAGCCTGGGTGACAGAGCGAGACTCTGTCTCAAAAAAAAAAAAAAAAAAATCTTTTCTCAGACCAAAGTCCTAAAGCATTTCTCCTATGTTTTCATGTAGTAGTTTTATACTTTCAGGTTTTATTTTAGTTGTTTAATCTATTTTGAGTTGACTTTGTGTAGAGTGAAAGGTGGGGATCTCGTTTCATTCTTTTACATGTGGATAACCAGTTTTCTCAGCACTATTTATTAAAGAGTCTGTCCTTTCCTCAGTGAGTGCTCTTGGGGCCTTTGTCAAAAATCAGTTGGCTGTAGATAGTGGATTGATTTCCAGGTTCTCTGTTCTGTTGCATTGATCTATGTGTCTGCTTTTATGCAAGTACCATGCTGTTTTGGTTACAACAGTTTTGTAGTGTATTTTGAAGTCAGTTAGTGTGATGCCTTCAGCTTTGTTTTATTTACTCAGGATTGCTCTGGCTTTTTAGGGTATTTTGTGGTTCCATACAAATTTTAAAATTTTTTTTCTATTTCTGTGAAGAATGTCATTGATATTTTTATAGAGATTGCATTGAATGTGTAGATTGCTTTGGGTACTATGGTCTAACTCTTTATCTTCTCCATGCTCTTCTGTCAAAATGCCACCAACATGGAATATATGTAATTAGGTAAACATTTCTATATGAATAATGTAGTAACATTTATTTATGCTTTAACTATATATTTTAAGTTTTTCTTGAATAATTGCTTTGATTCTAAAATTTTCATCAATGACATCTGTTCCAGGTTATAGAAATGTCTAACCTGAGATGAATGCTAATGAAAAAAGAGGTCAAGAAATGTTTCCACTTAGAGCTGGCCACAGAGTAGGGAATGTTATACAGATCAAGAGATTCCATTTGGCCTCAGAAAGACCATGGAGGTTCATCCTTCTGAGAATGGGAAGATTAGATCAGGCCAATCCATGGTTATATTATTCTACAACAAAGGTGACTTTTTCATGACCAAAGAAGGCCTTGCTGATGAAACATAATAAAAATGGTGCTGCCATTTTTAAAACTTCCAACAAGTTTATCATCAGGGCATATTCTTACCTCATGAATTTCCATTAGTTTTTCTGACAGAGTTAAAACATATACTTCTGTGTTCTGGCTGAAATATTCCTTCAAAAAGTTATAAAAGCTCCTGATAGTAAACCCACATGTCAGAGAATATGCTGTAGGTGGTAAGTAAATTTCTTTGTTTTCACTGCACTTAAATTTCTCTTTCTAATCACCCTTGAAGATATCCATGATGTTAACTTATTTCTGTATAATGTGTGTGGTATAAGTGATTCTGTTCTCATAAACAATGCTTTCTTTATTATCAAAATGAAAGTATACTAGAGTAATACTTTTAAAATGTAAGTTGGATCGTGTGACTCTCTCCCCTGATGAAATCCCTTCAAAGGCTTTCCATTGTTTTTATAGGAAACCCTAAAGTCCTTGCCATGTTGAAAAAGGCCCTGAATGATCTGGTTCCTGCTTACCTCCCTAACCTCTCTGGTATCACTCTCCCTCTGGAATGCTATGTTTCAGCTATCTAGGTCTGTCTCTCTCTCTCTCTCTCTCTCTCGCTCGCTAGCTCTCGCTCTCTCTCTCTCTTTTTTTGCTCTATCTTGCTCTATCACCCATGCTGGAGTTCTATGGTGGGATCATCATAGCTCACTGCAGCCTTGAACTCCTGGGTTCAAGTGATCCTGCACCCTTTGCCTTTCACATATCTGGTATTATAGGTACCTGCCACCATGTCTGGCTAATTTTTTAATGTTTCATAGAGACAGTGTCTGCCATGTAGCCCAGGCTTGTTTTGAACTTCTGGCCTCAAGCCATCCTCTTGCCTCAGCCTTCTGAAGGGCCAGGATTACAGGTGTGAGCCACCACACCCAACCCTTAGGTCTCCTTTTGATTTCTCAAATGCACCAAATCCTTACCCACTCAAAGCCTTTATACATATTGTTCCTCTGCTTGGAGTGCTCTTTTCCAGTTCTCTGCAGAGCTGCCTGTTTCTTGGCCTTGGGTCTCATCTCAAATGTTCTTTGTTCAAAAAGGCCTTCCCTCATTACTATCCCTAAAGACCTACTTCCTACCTTATCACAAAGGCATTTCTATGACAATACCTGGGATATTTCTCTTTCAGCACCTATCACAATAGATTTGTGTGTTTGCTTGTTTATCATCTGCCTCATTCACTATAATATTGATCCATGAGCAGTGGCTAATGCCTGTAATCCCAGAGCTTTTGGGGGTTGGGGTAGGAGGATCACTTTAGGCCACGAGTTCCAGACCAGCCTGGGCACCACAGAAAGATTCTGTCTCTACAAAAAATTTTAAAAATTAGCTGGGTGTGGTTACACATGCCTGTAGTCTTAGCTATTCGGGAAGCTGAAGTGGGAAGATTACTTGAGCCCAGGAGACTGAGTCTACAGTGAGTTATGATGGTGTCACTGCACTCCAGCCTGGGCAACAGAGACAGACTCTGTCTCTAAAATATATTAAGAGAGAGATCCATGAAGGCAGTGATATCGTCTGTCTGTACTGTTGTGTACTGTTTTGTTTGGTTTGTTCATTGTTTTTTGAGACAGAGTCTCCTTATGTCACCCAGGCTGCAGTGCAGTGGCACAATCTTAGCTCACTGCAACCTCTGCCTCCCAGGTTTAAGCGATTCTCCTGCCTCAGCCTCCTGAGTAGCTGGGATTACAGGTGCACACCACTATGCCTGGCTAATTTTTATATTTTTAGTAGAAACAGGGTTTCACCATTTAGGCCAGGCTGGTCTTGAGCTCCTGACCTCAGGTGATCCACCCACCTCGGCCTCTCAAAGTGCTAGGATTACAGGTATGAGCCACCGTGCCCAGCCTGTTGTGTACTTATTAATAGCACAATAGCTGGCAGACAGTAGTCACTCAATAAACCTTTGCTAATAGAATGAATGGAGCAGTGGAAGAATGGAGTCAGCATGGGCTGTGCCCTCCACCCTACCTCAGTTTTCTAGGTTTTTATTCCATGTCACATCTTGTTTTCCTGGGTCACATATAATAAATATTCCTGTAGTTCTTGATTAGTTTTTCAGGCTCCGCTTCTCTAATAAACAAGAAAATCTTGTTTTACTAGTTTGATTCCTTTTTCTTTAAAGCTTTTACCTCAAGTGCTACTAACTCTCAAGAGCTACTGAATCACTTTGCTACCCTCCATTGTCTAGAGAATGTGAAGTTTAATCTATGGTCTACCCTTTACGCAAGCTAGCATCTAATACACTCTATGATGCAACTATTTGTTACTGCTATGTAGCTACTATTCGCCATTGGCAGGGCCATCAGATTTCCCCAACTCCCAGTTTCACTTGTAGCCCTGGTGCCAGAAAGATGTCTCAGGAGTGCTGCGAAATAATTTTAGAGGCCTGGGAAAGCAAACGATTTAGAAGTACCTTGTTCATTTATTCTGAATAAATTTGTTCATTAGGATAAGAAACTATCAAACGATGCAAAATGGGGTTTTATTCATATTGATGAGGATTTTTTCAAATAGCTGGGCAAGAAACACCTTTTCCATATGTCTCACTCCCTTAAAAATTAACTGCTGAGCACATAATACCAACTGTGAACATCCCCATCAAGTAATTATAGCTTTAAAAATAAAAATAGCTCAAATGTAATAAAGAACCCAAACTAAACCCTATGGAGCAGAGACATTGGCTAGTGTTTGAGCATTAATTCTTGTCCATATATTTAGAGATACATGGTGTCATTGCTTTTGATGTAGTATAAACCTCATTTTCTAAACAATGTGTTTAATTGTACTTCAACTTGGAGGGATAAACTGCGTTTGGTAAATAACAGTTTTGTGCAAAAGCTCACACAGGACAGGTATTCAAAATCTTTTACAATTCATTCTTTACAAGGTAGACTAAGACAGAATTTGAAACACTTCCTCATAATGGCTAAGAATGATTTTAAAATGATTATTATACAACTAAAACCTCTATTTTTCAAACAAACTTACTGTTTTCTGCATTACTATATAAGATAAACACAAAAAATAGGAAAATAAGAAGATACATGTTCTTTAAGTACGTAAATCTTGAATTTTGTTTAAGTGTGTTTGTAACGGATTACAAGTGTTTTTTGTTGTTGTTGTTGTTGTTTTTGAGACGGAGTCTCACCCTGTCACCCAGGCTGGAGCACAATGGCATGATCTCGGCTCACTGCAACCTCTGCCTCCTGGATTCAAGAGATTCTCCTACCTCAGCCTCCCGAGTACCTGGGATTACAGGTGCGCACCACCACGCCCTGCTACTTTTTTGTATCTTTAATAGAGATGGAGTTTCACCATGTTGGCCAGGCTGATCTTGAACTCCTGACCTCATGATCCACCTGCCTCAGCCTCCCAAAGTGCTGGGATTACAGGCGTGAGCCACTGCACCCGGCCACAAGTGTTTAATTTTATTCTGGTCCCTTATGACGATTTCCAATTCTGTCACACCAAAACGACCTTGTCCTCGGTGTAGTTACTATAAAAACACATTAACACATATGTAGTATAAAAACTAAACATTCTTTAAGACTTTTTGTTTCCTAATCTCCACACATACCTAATCATCTATTGATCCCTCAATCTTTCTTTCAAACGCAGTTACAATTCACAGCAATGTGTGAATGTGTGTGTTTGTGTGTGCATGTGTGAATGGGCATATGTTTGGTGTCTTGCTAGATAATGATGAGCTAAGCTTAATTACTTCATTAGGCAGCAGGCCGTAGATCTCCTGCTGTCATCAGGGGCTGATTAGAATTTTAAAATATTATTTTCACTTAGTGGAATCTCAATTAAATAAATAAATTCCATTTAAAAGCAGCTACAGTACATTTGCTGTTGGTTTTGCCTGTTTACAATTGTTCTTGACCCTGAATTGCCCAAAGCGGTAAATAGTTAAATTCTGGCAAATCTAATTTTACCATTTAAAATATGACAAGACTTTTCTGCTGTGCCAGAATATGCTTATTTTTGAAAGCATGTTCCCTTTTTTGCATCTCTAACATATTTCTCTAACATTATTCTGTCCCTCCTAAATTGTTGGTTAATATAAATTATTGTTGTATGATGAATAGACTATATTTTTGTTTACTTTTTTTTGAGACAGAGTCTTGCTCTGTCACCCAGGCTGGAGTGCAGTGGCATGATATCGGCTCACTGCGACCTCCGCCACCTGGGTTCAAGTGATTTTCCTGTCTCAGCCTCCCAAGTAGCTGGGATTACAGGCGCCTGCCACAAAGCCCAGCTAATTTTTTGTGTTTTTAGTAGAGACGGGGTTTCACCATGTTGGCCAGGCAGGTCTCGAATTCCTGACCTTAGGGGATCTGCCCACCTAGGCTTCCCAAAGTGTTGGGATTACAGGCGTGAGCCACTGCACCTGAATGTTTACATTTTTATGTATTTATTTCAGGGTGACATTTGCAGCTCTACCCAGACAATCATCACAATCTAAGGAAGGCAGAGAGCTGACTTATTCTGCTTTTAGTTACCCCTAACAGAGCTCTGAGAAGAAAGAAAAGAGAGAACTCAGAAATCTGGTTTTGGGTCCTGAAAAGCCAAAGTCATTAGATAAGTACCCTTTGGTATTCCTGCACAGAGCCAGACAACTTCTGGTTTATGTAAGCAAAGTTATAAAATTGTCCCTATCCTTCCTAATTAAAGACCTGAGCATGAATTTTAGGTTTCTTAGAGAATCATTGTTGGGTTTGAGGCACCACAGGCCACCCAGGGAAAATCCAGCTGCATCACATTTGGAGCTGTCCTATCATAGTCTGGAAAAAATGTTCCAATCTTCAAAATATGTCTATACCACTTTATTTCACTCCTATGTGAGTCTCACGAGGGGAAGGGGTAAAGAGAGATGAGAAAGATAGTAGTAAATGAGCATTCTACATGAAAAGTCCTTTCGAAAAAGAACTTATCAATCTGTAAAGAAACTGATTTACAGTTAACTGGCATAGATCAGGTATACTCCTTTCATCAGTTTGTAGCAGGGCATTTTATGCCCTGCCTACAAATAGAGAGCGTGCAGAAAGTCCCCTGCCCTCCCAGGGACTCAGGGATGGCCCCAGACATGATTTTAACAGTGGCAGAGTGGCTTTACAATGGCCTCACTTTCCTAAAATCATCTCCTCCCTTTTGATCCCTAGCACCTCCATGATCCCCAGGTGACCAGGTTCTAGTATGTAGCAGCTTGCCCGGCTCTATTCTCCCTAGCAGGACCACCCGCAATTTGGGATATATCCATCCTCCATGATTGCCGTCTAGTACTTTTTCACACTGCTGATAAACACATACCCATGACTGGGTAATTTATGAAGAAAAAGAGGTTTAATGGACTCACAGTTCCATGGAGCTGGAGAGGCCTCACAATCATGGCAGAAGGTGAAAGACATGTCTTACATGGTGGCAGACAAGAGAGAATGAGAGCCAACCAAAAAGGGCAAACTCTTATAAAGCCATCAGATCAAATGTGACTTATTTACTACCACAAGAACGGTATGGGGGAAACTGCCCTGATGATTCAATTACTTCCCACTGGTTCCCTCTCATAACACGTGGAAATTATGGGAGCTACAATTCAAGATGAGATTTTGGTGCGGACAGAGCCAAACCATATCAATTACTTACCAAATATAACCTATGTTTTCTTATGATCTTACAAGAAAAATTGTTAATCATTCTGTTTGGGAACAAAAATGGTCTTGACTAAAAATACCATAGGTATTATAAACATAGAATCTTGGATTTTTGAGGGATAATACTTTAAAGATTATTTTACAAATGGGGAAGCTGATTTCCCAGTGAAATTGTCTAATTTCCTTAAGGTTACACAGGTACCTAATAATTTAGCCAGAACTAATGTCTGTTTCTCAGTTCCTAATCCATTGTTTTTATCCATGACATGTTGCTGCTTAATATTTCTGCCTTATAAAGAGATAACATTTAGGCATAGGCTGTCTAATCTGAACAATAAGATAGGGAGTTTAGGATCTGATACACAATCTTAAAATGTAGTATAACCACTTTTCTGGGACTTCTTCCTTAAAAACATGTTTAAATCTCACAATTTACTTAGTTGAATTGGATTACATGCCTGTTCATTTGTTCCTGGCGATATCATCCCTTAATCTCAGTAGAAGAGGGACTGCAGTAGTTTCTTCTAGAAATACTGGTAAGAGCCATTCCCCTGAAAAGTGGTAAAGAAATATTGGTTCACTTAATGAGGGAAGTAGCGATAGCCCAAATATCACTTTATGTCATTGATATGGTTTGGCTGTATCCCCACCCAAATCTCATCTTGAATTGTAGCTCCCATAATTCCCATGTCATAGGAGGGACCCAGCGGGAGGGAATTGAATCATGGGGGTGAGTCTTTCCTGTGCTATTCTCATATTAGTGAATAAGTCTCACAAAATCTAACGGTTTTATAAAGGGAAGTTCCCCTGCAAAGTTACCTTTTGCCTGCCACCATGTGAGACATGGCTTTGCTTCTCCTTGCCTTCTGCCATGATTGTGAGGCCACCCCAGCCATGTGGAACTGTAAATCCATTAAACCTCTTTTCTTTGTAAGTCACCCAGTCTCAGGTATGTCTTTATTAGCAATGTGAGAACACACTAATACAGTAAATTGGTACCAGAAGGGGGTGCTGCTGTAAAGATACCCGAAAATGTGGAAGCAACTTTGGAACTGGGTAATACTCAGAGGTTGGAACAGTCTGGAGGGCTCAGAAGATAGGAAGATGTGGGAAACTTTCGAACTTCCTAGAGACTTGTTGAATGGCTTTGACCAAAATGCTGATAGTGATATGGACAATAAAGTCTTGGCTAAGATGGTTTCAAATGGAGAGAAGGAACTTGTTGGGAACTGGAGCAAAGGTGACTCTTGCTATTTTAGCAAAGACTGGCAACATTTTGCCCCTGCCCTAGAGATTTGTGGAACTTTGAACCTGAGAGAGATGATTTAGGACCTCTGATGGGAGAAATTTCTAAGCATCAAAGCAATCAAGATATGACATGAGCATTGTTAAAAGCATTCAGTTTTGTATATTCACAAAGATATGGTTTGGAATTGCAACTTATGTTTAAAAGGGAAGTAGAGCATAAAAGTTTAGAAAATTTGCAACCAGATGATGTGATAGAGAAAAAAACATTTTCTTAGGAGTAACTTAAGAAGTAATTTAATGCAGAAATTTGCATAAGTAATGAGGACCCAAATGTTAATCACCAAGACAATGGGGAAAATGTCTCTGGGCCATGTTAGAGGTCTTCACAGCAGCCCCTCCCATCACAAGCTGGGAGGTATAGGAGGAAAAAATTGTTCACGGCTGGCCTAGGGCCTTGCTGCTTTGTGCAGTCAAGGGACTTGGTGCCCTACATCACAGCCATGGGTAAATGGTACCAACATAGCACTCAGGCCATTGCTTCAGAGGGTGCAAGCCCCAAGCCTTGGTGGCTTCCAGATGGTGTTGGGCCTATGGGTGCACAAAAGTCAAGAACTGAGGTTTGGGAACCTCTGCTTACATTTCAGAGGATGTATGAAAAAGCTTGGATGTCCAGGCAGAGATGTGCTTCAGGGGCAGTGACCTCATGGAGAACCTCTGCTAGGGCAGTGCAAAAGGGAAATGTTGGGTGGGAGCACCCACACAGTCCCCAGTGGGGCACTGCCTAGTGGAGCTGTGAGAAGAAGGTCACCATCCTCCAGATCCCAGAATGGTAGATCCAACAACAGCTTACACTGTGTGCCTGAAAAAGCCTCAGACACTCAATCCCAGCCCATGAAAGCAGCCAGGAAAGGGACTATACCCTGCAAAGCCACAGGGGCAGAGCTTCCCAAAACTATGGGAGCCTACCTTGTGCATCAGCATGACCTGGATGTGAGACATGGAGTCAAAGGCCCCATTTTCATTTCAGAGCTTTAAGATTTGACCACCCCATTGGATTTCAGACTTGCATGGGGCCTATAGTCCCTTTGTTTTTGCCAATTTCTCCCATTCAGAATGGCTGTATTTAGCCAATACCTGTACCCCCATTGTATCTAGGAAGTAACCAACTTTCTTTTGATTTTACAGTCTCATAGGCAGAAGGGACTTGCCTTGTCTCGGCTGAGACTTTGGACTGTGGACATTTGAGTTAATGCTGAAATGAGTTAAGACTTTCGGGGACTGTTAGGAAGGCATGATTGGTTTTAAAATGTGAGAACATGAGATTTGGCACAGGCCAGGGGAGGGATGATATGGTTTGGCCAAATCTCATCTAGAATTGTAGCTCCCATAATTCCCACATGTCATGGGAGGGACCCAGTGGGAGGTAATTGAATCATGGTGTGTCCGGAATTGGTGGGTTCTTGGTCTCACTGACTTAAAGAATGAAGCCGCGGACCCTCACGGTGAGTGTTACAGCTCTTAAGGTGGCGTGTCTGGAGTCTGTCCCTTCTGATGTTCAGATGTGTTCAGAGTTTCTTCCTTCTGGTGGGTTCGTGGTCTCGCTGGCTCAGGAGTGAAGCTGCAGACCTTCGCGGTGAGTGTTACAGCTCTTAAGGCAGCGCATCTGGAGTTGTTCGTTCCTCCTGGTGGGCTCGTGGTCTCGCTGGGCTCAGGAGTGAAGCTGCAGATCTTTGCGGTGAGTGTTACAGCTCATAAAAGCAGCATGGACCCAAAGAGTGAGCAGTAGCAAGATTTATCGCAAAGAGCGAAAGAACAAAGCTTCCACAGTGTGGAAGGGGACCCAAGCGGGTTGCCAATGCTGGCTCGGGCAGCCTGCTTTTATTCTCTTATCTGGCCCCACCCACATCCTGCTGATTGGTAGAGCCGAGTGGCCTGTTTTGTCAGGGCGCTGATTGGTGCATTTACAATCCCTGAGCTAGATACAAAGGTTCTCCACTTCCCCATCAGATTAGTTAGACACAGAGTTTCCACACACAGGTTCTCCAAGGCCCCACCAGAGCAGCTAGATACAGAGTGTCGATTGGTGCATTCACAAACCTTGAGCTAAACACAGGGTGCTGATTGGTGTATTTACAATCCCTGAGCTAGATATAAAGGTTCTCCACGTCCCCAACAGACTCAAGAGCCCAGCTGGCTTCACCTAGTGGATCCTGCACCAGGGCTGCAGGTGGAGCTGCCTGCCAGTCCTGCGCCGTGCACTCGCATTCCTCAGCCCTTGGGTGGTCGATGGGACTGGGCGCATGGAGCAGGGGGTGGCGCTCGTCGGGGAGGCTCGGGCAGCACAGGAGCCCATGGAGTGGGTGGGAGGCTCAGGCATGGCGGGCTGCAGGTCCTGAGCCCTGCCCGGTGGGAAGGCAGCCGAGGCTCGGCGAGAAATCGAGCGCAGCTCCGGTGGGCCAGCACTGCTGGGGGAATCAGTACACCCTCCGCAGCCACTGGCCTGGGTGCTAAGTCCCCCATTGCCCGGGGCCAGCAGGGCTGGCTGGCTGCTCCGAGTGCGGGGCCCACCAAGCCCACGCCCACCCGGAACTCCAGCTGGCCCGCAAGTGCCGCACACAGCCCCGGTTCCCGCTCGTGCCTCTCTCTCCACACCTCCCTGCAAGCTGAGGGAGTGGGCTCCGGCCTTGGCCAGCCCAGAAAGGGGCTCCCACAGTGCAGTGGGGGACTGAAGGGCTCCTCAAATGCCACCAAAGTGGGAGCCCAGGCAGGGGAGGTGCCGAGAGCAAGCGAGGGCTCTGAGGACTGCCAGCACGCTGTCACTTCTCAATGGGGCCAGGTCTTTCACATGCTGTTCCAGTGATAATGGGTAAGTTTCACAGGATCTGATGGTTTTATAAAGGGGAGCTTTATAAAACCTACGCAAGCTCCCTCTTGCCTGCCGCAATGTCAGACATGCCTTTGCTTCTCCTTTGACTTCCACCATGATTGTGAGGTCACCCCCAGCCAGGTGAAATTGTGAGTGCATTAAACCTCTTTTCTTTATAAATTACCCAGTATCCAGTACGTCTTTATTAGCAGAGTGAGAACAGACTAATACAATCGTCCCATTTAACACATGTGAATGCATGAGTGCAGGCAGATGTTATTAGAGTAAATGGACAGGGTTGGAGGATTAATGCTGTTAACACTGCTGCCTGCTGATAGTAAGAGAAGATAATCTCACCCTGTTAAACAGCCCACCACCTAAGAAGCTTAACTTCCCACAGTCAGCAGAGCCTGGCATGATATTAAGGATGAGTTTTAAAACAATAATAATACTGAGTGCAAGGATATCATTTTAAAAATGGGATGAGGAAAAATTCGGAGAAAGAAAAGATGGGAAAACTAACCAAATTAACATGTCAAGCTACTTTTCAAGTCTTAGGAGTGCTATGGTATGATTCATTTGGTCCTGAGGAAAGTGTTGGGTAGCAGTATAAAGCATTTTGGCTTTTCTAATATTCCTATTAGATGATTTGCCAAGGTCACTTTGTTTGGGGTTTTAGAGTAGTTTTTTTTTTTCCATTTTGTTTATTATTTATTTATTTTATTATACTGTAAATTCTGGGATACATGTGCAGAACGTACAGGTTTGTTACATAGGTTATACACATACCATGGTGGTTTGCTGCACCCATTAACCTGTCATCTACATTAGGTATTTCTCCTAATGCTATCCCTCCCCTAGCTCCCTACCCCCAACAGGCCCCGGTGTGTGATGTTCCCCTCCCTGAGTCCATGTGTTCTCATTGTTCAACTCCCACTAATGAGTGAGAACATGCGGTATTTGGTTTTCTGTTCCTGTGTTAGTTTGCTGAGAATGACGGTTTTTAATGGGTAATTTTTTTCAAAATATCTCTGTACAACCACCCTTATAAATATATTTATAAAGTTTACCTGTGGCTTCAAAACAAGATAGTATACCAGCACAGAATGTGGTTTCCCTTCCCCTAAATCAACCCTAGAGAAACCGCAGACTTGAGAGGGAAACACAGGTCTGAACCAACCAATATAAAAGCAGTAAGAAAACGCCTAGGGAGAAAGCTTATGAAAGTCATTGTATAGGAGAGTGGCAACCTGGGTCACAGCATTAAGCACTAGTTTAGAGACAGCTTTAAAATTCTGTTCTTAACCTTTCTCACAGATTACTTTGGGATAGTCATAGTCTGCCTCATCACCAATAAATCCACAGCAACCTTCCAGGTCACTGCCATGGGGTAATATAAAGGCAGAATAAAAGTCCTGCTGGAGTGAAAATATATTTCCACCACCCAGTCACATGCCATGTATCATTCCTTTACTTCTTCCCTATCTAAACCCCCTGAGCTGATGTGTTACAGCCCAAGGGGATTGCCTCTGTCCAGGAATACAAAGGAGATGGCTGATGCACTGCAGTTAAACAGAACATTATATAAAAATATACCATAATAGTAATACACAACTTTAAAGACAGAGATCCCATGTTAGATATTAATTTTTTAAAAAAGATTAAATAACATGCTGTTTAAAAGATGTATCATTCAAACAATAGGATACAGAAAAGAGAAAAAAGTAACCTGCTAATTATTCCAAATTCCAATGAAAACTGGAATTGCACTGTTAACCTCTGACAAAATAAAAATCCATGGAAAAAATCATAAAGGACAAAGAGAAAGGACTAAGAGGAAAATCAAGAGTTCCCTTAATAAAGGAAACAATAGTGCAAGAATATTTAGGCATTGTGAACATAAATGCACCTATCAATATGGATAGGTAGCAGTGTGAACAAAAATAGACAAAAATTGTAGCTTAAGACTTTAAAACACACCCTCAGAAACTGTTAGATAAAGAAAACAAAATTAATTTCTAACTTGGTAATTATGTTGCAATAAAAGTAAAAGTTAATAAAATTTTAAATCCCATATATCTGAAAGCCACAAAATATGTATTAAATAACCTTTGGAAATCATAACAGAAATAACAAAGTATTCATAACTGAACAATGAAATTCATACTATATGTCAAAATTGGTGAGTCACACCTGAACAATATTTATGGAGAAGTTTATAACTTTGAACACATTTATTAGGAAACAGAAAGATTAAAGAAAAACATAGCTAAGCATTCAATTCAAGAAGGTGAAAAAGGTAAGAGAAAATATCTTTAAAAAACAAGGAAATAATAAATTGAGAGTGGAAATCAACTAAATAAAAAATTTAAATAGAAATAGAGAATCATAACACCAAAAACTCATTATTTGAAAAGGTCAATAGGTTAAATTAATCTCATGCAGGATCAAATGCAAAAATAAATAAAATAAGGACACACAGATAAGCAAAATACAGTATAAAAATAACTATAATGCTGGGATTACAGGCGTAAGCCACTATAATGTGGGAGGCCGAGGCAGGCGGATCATCTGAGGTCAGGAATTCAAGACCAGCCTGGCCAAAATGGTGAAACCCCGTCTCTACTAAAAATACAAAAAAATTAGCTGGGCATGGTGGCACGCACCTGTAAACCCAGCTGCTTGGGAGTCTGAGGCAGGAGAATTGCTTGAACCTGGGAGGTGGAGGTTGCAGTGAGCCGAGATTGCGCCACTACACTCCAGCCTGTGCAACAGAGCAAGACTCCATATCAAAAAAAAATTAAATAAATAAAAATAACTATAAGCACAACATGTATTTTTAATAATAATAAATAGTATTATGAAAAATTATATTGAAGTAAATTTGAAAACCTCAATGAAATGCATAAATATCTGGAAAAATATAAAATTCAAAAGTGTATATAAGAAGAAATAGAAAAGTTGAATGGACAAATTGGCATTGAAGAAATTTAATTTCTAAAAACGTCTCAGGCCCATATGGTTTTACAGTTGAGTTCTACCAAACTTTCAAAGATTAGTTAATCCTGTAAAGAGAAAGGAAAAGAAGACTGACCAGTTCATTTTATGAGGCAAGTGTAATCTTTATTTAAAAACTGAGTAAAGATAATACTTTAACAGGAAATTGTATATTTCACTTATAAGCATAGATGCAAAAATTCAAAATAAAGTTTTAGCTACATGTATCTGATTTTTTTTAAGTTTTAAGGATAGCATTATCATACATGATTTATCCCAGGAATGCAATGACATTTCAACATGAGTAAAAACTATTGGTGATATGCACCACATTGATAGACTACAGAACAAAATCATATATTTTTTAAAAATACAGAAAATGATAAACTTCAACCAATACCTTATAATAAAACCTTTTATAAAACTAGGAATTAACAGAAACACCTTTAACTAGATAAAGGTTATATATCCAAGCCCTTCAATTTTTAACACATTCCCTTTAATTTTGGAACCAAGAACAGAATACCCATTTTCTCTGCTATTAATATTGTAGAGTGAAGTATTAAAAGGGAACATCTTCTACATAGGAAAAACAACAGAATCAACATATGAACTACATGAATTCTTAGAAGAGTTCAGCAAAGTTGACAGATTCAAGATCAACCTATACAAAATCAATAGCATTTCTCTATATTAGCAATAATCAACTAGAAAATATATAAAATTAAGATGATATTCTTAAAGGAAACAGAAACTATAAAATTTCTAGGAATTAAAGAGTACTCAAGGATTTATAGAGGAAAAACTCAAAATTCTATTAAAAGCCTATAAGAGAATACAGAGATATTCTATCATCTTAGAAAAGATTATAATAGCTTAAAGATCTAGTTTTTCATATTAATATATAAATTCAATGTAATTCAGATCAAAATTCCAAGTAGATTTTTTAAGGTAAAACATATTCTAAAATTGGTTTCAAGAAATTAAAATCTATGATTAGTTTAAGTCAACTTTGAAAAAGAGCAAATAATAACAAGAAATAAAGAATAAGGAGCAAAAAATAATAAGAAGAGATAGTATGGAACAGTATGAGACAAATAGATAAGCAGTATATAGTAGGGAGTTCCAAAAAGACTTGCAAGCATAAGAACATTATATATGATGAAGTTGGCACTAGAAATTGTGGTGGTCATGAAAATGTGCAGCTCAGAGTTCCTGCTGAAGACATGGAGTTGACAGCCCCAGATGCTGCCCCTCTGCATCCACTACCACATTCACGCCAAGCCCACCCTTCTTAGAGAATGCTCACAGCCAGGCCCTGAGCACAATGGAGGCACCAGTTCAGGCCCATTCCCATAAGACATGGTATTCCTCTGACAGACAGCTTTGGTGTATAATAACTCTACTGGCCTGTCCAAAACTTTCTTAAAACTGTACTATAATTTGAGACTTTTCCTACCCAATCCTCCTTCACAGGTGTTAGAAGCTCATATCAGCAGCCTTTTTGGCCCTCTCCCCTTTATCCTTCACTGGTGTTTCCTCCCATTAATCTTTTGCACCTCTAAATCCATTTTGGCCTCTGCTTCTAGGAGAACTTGAAGTAATATTTTAAAAATGATGAACAGACAGATTATTGAATAGATGTAATTGGGGAAATTGCCTCCCATATAAAGAAAAATATAATTGTATCCCTAATATCATAATTGCAAGTGAATCCCAGATGCATTAATATTTAAATAAGAAAGGTATAAATGAAAACCTCAAAGAAGATAATGTCATCTAGGGCTAGTGAAAGACTCTAGCTTTTCAAAAGCAGCCAGGTGCGGTGGCTCACACCTGTAATCCCAGCACTTTGAGAGGCCGAGGCGGGCTGATCACGAGGTCAAGAGATTGAGACCATCCTGGCTAACACGGTGAAACCCCGTCTACACTAAAAACACAAAAAATTAACTGGGCGTGGTGGTGGGCACCTGTAGTCCCAGCTACTCGGGAGGCTGAGGCAGGAGAATGGCGGGAACCCGGGAGGCAGAGCTTGCAGTGAGCTGAGATCACCCCACTGGACTCCAGCCTGGGCCACAGAGTGAGACTCTGTCTCAAAAAACAACAACAAAAACTACAAAAGCACACATAAGGCAAAGGTATTAATTTGAGAACCTCAAAGTTAAGGACTTCTGTTCAGTGAAGAACACTGTGGCATAGATTACCTCAAATATATTCTCTTCTGTCTCTAACCCTGACAGATTTTCTTAAGTTTAGGTGGGAACATGGCCTCCTGAATAAATGACTATATTCATCAGCCTCCCTTGTAGCTAGAAATGACCCTACGACTATTTTCTAACCAATGAAATATAAGCAGATTTCCAACAACAGTGTGTACCTTCTACCTTGTGCCTTTAAATAAAGGAGCATGCTCTCTTCTCCCTCTTTTCCCCTTTCTCATGGCTGATGAGAGCCACCTTGCACCATGCTGAGAAACCAATACTCTAGAAATGGTGGAATAACAACACAAAAGGATCACTTCCTTCTAAATTGTCACTTGGAGGAAAATCTCTTTCTTGTTGAGCCACTGTTAATATAGGGTTCTACTACAAATAACAGAGTTACCTCCTAAATAATATAAACACCATGGATAATGTTAACGGACAGGTCACAGATTGGGAGTTCATTGGCAATGTCTAAAATCAAGAAGATAAAAATCTAAAAGATGCAAAAAGAATCTAGTGCAAGCAAATAAACATGAAAAATAAAAAACAGGCAAAAGCTATTAACTTGCAATTCACATAAGAGGAAATCCGAAAGACTAAAAAGCATATAAGGAGATGATAAGTTTTATTAGTAATTAGAGAAATCAAAATTAAAATAATATATCACACCCATTAAATTGTCCAATATTGAGTAATGCTAGAAATTGATAGTGATGTAACGTTATAGGGATATTCTTATACTTTTGGTAGGAAGGTATACACAACCATTTTTGAAAGCAACTTGGCAGAGCCTAATTAAATTAGGTATACATATTTCCTTTGGCCTAGCAATCCTACTCCTGGATAGATATCCCAGAAAAATTCTTACAAAGATCCCAAAGCAGATACATAAAAGACTGAATTACAGGGATGTTTCTGGTAGTCAGGAAATGGAGATACTGTAGGTCTCTATCATTGATGGAACAGGTAAATAAAATGCAACCATTAGAAGCAAAATATATCTAATGCATATGATATATAGATACTAAAAATAGTGCTGAATAAAACAAGAAATACGAGATTTAAAGCACTAGATAATTATGTAAATTAAAAATGCATGTCTACCTAAATAACATATTTTATAAATAAATAAATATTTATTTCACAAAAATAGACACAAAAGACCCTACATTAGAATGGTTGAAGAATAAGGATAAAATGAAAAATAAATAAATAAAATGACAAAGAGGGCGGGCATGGTGGCTTACCTGTAATCCCAGCATTTTGGGAGGCTGAGGCACTAGGATCATTGAGCCCAGGAAGTCGAGACCAGCCTGGGCAACACAGGGATACCTGTCTCTACAAAAAATGAAATAAATTAGCTGGTTGTGGTGGCCCATGCCTGTGGTCCCACCTACTCAGGAAGTTGAGGTGG
Organism: Homo sapiens; assembly: GCF_000001405.40. NCBI lineage: Eukaryota > Metazoa > Chordata > Mammalia > Primates > Hominidae > Homo > Homo sapiens. The sequence goes on from NC_000001.11 coordinate 74,959,268, forward strand.
AAGGATCACTTGAGCTCAGGAAGTCTAGGCTACTGTGAGCCATTATTGCACCAGTGCACTCCAGCCTGGGCAACAAAGCAAGACCCTGTCTCAGAAAATAATAATGAAATAAAAGTAATAATAAAATAAAATAAAAAAGGGTCATTGCATACACTAGTGATGACAGTGTGCTATATACTAAGTATAACTAATTCAATCTTCTGCACTCCAAGTCTAAGAAAAATAATCATAAAACAAAATTTATACAAATAATTTGCTACAAAATTAACTCTGCCCTTCTTTAGTATATGCATTATTGTTTTCTTTGTATACTCTTTGAGGTATTTTTCTTATATAACAATCCTGTGAATCCTGTAAGAATTAATTTCACATTAATTTTCAAATTAATTTTCACAGGTCTGTAATCTAGGGAGTTAACCGGAGAGTAGAGGTGGTAGGAATATGAAGGATATGAAGGAAGAACTTTAAATGTTATTTTATCTTCTGGAAACTATGTCTACATCTTCTCTGAATATGTGATTTATTTTAATACTAGATCCTAGTATTATCTTCCTTTTCCACTCTAGGCTCAGAAGTACTAATCTATGTTCCTAGTGAACCTTTCTCTGTTTATAATTAGCAAGCCTAAAAAAGAAATGGAAAGGAGGTGGGGAAGTGATATGGTTTGGATCTGTGTCTCCACCCAAATCTCATGTTGAATTGTAATCCCCAATGTTGGAGGTAGTGGATGAGCTCTCACAAGATCTGGTTGTTTAAAAGGTATGGCACCTCCTCCCTCTTTCTTTTGCTTCTGCTCTGTCCAGGTGACATGCTTGCTTCTCCTTCACCTTCTGCCATGATGTAAGTTTCTTGAGGTCTCCCCAGAAGCCAACTAGATGCCATCATGCTTCCTGTACAGCCTGAAAAACCGTAAGCCAATAAAAACCTCTTTTCTTTATAAATTACTCAGTGAAATATTTCTTTATAGCAAGCAAGGACAGACTAATACAGGCGGATAACCAGAAAAAAAATGAAAAAGAAAGATAGCTAGTAAAATAAGTGCCTTGCTTTTTTATTCCATGTAGACTCTATGTCTTTAGGGTTAAGAGAATAAAAAGTACTGAGTGTGGAGCTCAGCTTTGAATCACTGAAACTCCAACCATTTACCAGAATCTTTTCATGATCTGTCTCTTTCTTGGTCAGCCAACTCTTCTGCTCTCTAAAAGGTTCTTAATACTGTAAGCCAAAATTGCTTGACTTCCTCCAAGTCTGATAGCCCTACGGATGCCTGTACTTATTTCCTATTGGGAATTAATTCATAAATTTAGTTTCAAAAGTGGATTTAGCCTTGTTATTTGCATCTCATTTTGGCAATTCCTTACTATAAAAAACTGTGCTTTGATTTGCTAACAGGACACCTTCTAGACCCTGTGGAATAGAGAAGCTCCACAGGATCTGTGTTCCCCACAGTGAAAATGGCCAAGTGTTCATCATTTGTCTTGAAAAAAGGAAATCTAAAACTAATCCTTGCTTCAGGTGAAGAAGCACTAATGTATTCACTCTACTAGAGCAAATAGATAAAAAAAGCAAACAACTATAGTAACAAAAAAAAATGTCTAGAGCAAAGAGGATCATGGCCACAGCAGGGAAAAAAGGATCATGGCTACAGTGTGGCTATAAATGCCCAGTATCTTTTTTAATAAAATATATTCTATAACCACAACCAGCTTCATGGATGTGCAACCAGTAGAGTCTCACAGGGCTCCATATTCAGAAGGACCCCACCTGGGGTTTAATGCTCTGGGATGGACATCTTGAAACTCTCCCAGCTGTGACTTGCCACTGCTCCCACCCTCTTCCTGAGGTAGCTACCAGTTCAAATTGACTGGAAGAGGTCATAGTTCTCTCCTCCAACCTTTCTCCCTGCTTCTGCACAGGGATCTGGGTGCAGGAAAGGTCCAGGTTAGGTATTCATCTCACCGTGCCTCTGGGTGTCAAAGCAGCAGTGCATTCAGTGTGTGACTCCATGGGGTCTCTCACCCAATCCCACTCAAGTATCAAGTAAGGCCTGGTGCTGGACGCCCATCTGCAGTAAATTAGGCAACATGCCTATGGGTAGGGGAAACTAACTTCTCTGCCCCTGGCTGTGGCTCCAAAGTTTCATTTTGCCCTGGGCCTGCAAATTACATAGTCAATTTGGCCTAAATCCTTCCAGGATCAGAATCAGTACTGAAAGGACATTTTTGAGGTGTTGGGGAGAAGTTTATCAAGTATTGTGACTCTACGATTGTTTCTCTATGTTTGATCTTCTTGAAGTTCTTACTCTGGGTCCCAGTGCCCACATCACACTGGCCCCCGGGGTGCACTCCTCCCTCCTACCATGTGGATTTAAGAAATCCTCTTTATCATCTTTCATGCAATTGAACCAAGCCAGAAACTTTAGAAGTGTTTGTTATATGTTGAAGAAAACAAAAATAATAATAAACACAGAATGCACAGGGTATAGAAATGTTCCATCTAACAAAGTAAAAGTTGTGGTCCTAGGATAGCAGGCTTGTTCTTAGAAAGCCTATGACTCAACCATTCCATGTATTAGCCCATTCTACTCCCCTTACCTCTCCACAAACTTTCCCTTTACCTATTTTTTAATTCTTTCCAGCAGTTCTAGTTTCCTCTCAGAGTAACCTATTACCAGGGTGACTTATACTAGGAATTAAGTTATATTTCAAAGGAAACCCTGCCTTCTAAAAAAAAAAAGTAGTTTTAGCTTTATAGACCTACCATATAGCATAGCCATATTATAATAAAGTACAAAACTATTTCATTCATATATAAGGAAATTCGTGATATAGCAACAAGGATATATCATTCCCTAGTAGTGGAATGCTAGAATATTTTTGTTTGTTTTCATCTCAAATTCTCTACAGTTAAACAATAATGTAGTCACAGGATCCACTGAAAAAGTGACATAGATTTTAGTGGCCATGGAAAGAAAGTAACATGTTCAAGCTTCTCTTTAAAGACCTGACATTGAACTGTGTTCCTAAAAGTTTTATTGTATTGCTTTAATACTTGATTGAGTTTTCTAATAAGTATGACCTAATTCTAACAGTATTTGATGGTTTTATTTTTCTTTTGGTTGTCATAGCTTGCTAATTTGTTTTCATATTTCTTCCTCATACAATTGGTTGATGTTAGCTATGATAGACTTTTTGTGCCAGCTTATATAATAACAGGCAAAGTCCTGCCAACTAATAAATAAATTATCTTAGGCTAGTAGATCCATGACTTTTGGATTTCATGGGATAGTAATTTTTTTTTTTCTGAGACAGAGTCTCCCTCTATCATCCAGGCTGGAGTACAGTGGTGCTATCACAGTTCACTGCAGCCTGGACCTCCCAGGCTCAAGTGATCCTCTTACCTCAGCCTCCCAATACTTGGGAATACAGGTGCACATCACCATGTCTGGCTAATTTTTAAATGTTATGTAATGACAAGATCTCCCTATATTGTCCAGGCTGATCTTAAACTCCTGGGCTCAAGCGATCATTCCACCTCAGCCTCACAAAGTACTGGGATTACAGATGTGAGCCACCATTCCCAGGCACTGGCAAATAATTTTAAAGTGAAGGTGAAACCGATAAATGATTGTCAATGTTTTATTTTATCAAGTAAAAAACAGTGGAAAGTAAAACACGATAATATTATTTCATAAAACAAAGGATATTTTAACACTAAAGGAAGTCCTTTAACTGAAGAAATGAAGCTATGAACTCACTCCATTCTCATTTCGTTGGGGAACACTGAAGATGAACATCAAAGATCATCACTGTTATTAAAAGAAAAACTTTAGACAAACTACATTTAACAGAGTTTAATTCAGCAAAGAATAATTTGTGAATCAGGCAGCCCCCCTAAGCAGAATAGGTTCAGAGCAACTAGACAGAGAAAGAAAAGTGACATTAAAGAAAACTATGGTAAGTGAGGTACAGAAACAGCTGAATTGGTTACAGCTCATTTGAACAGTTGGCGGCCTGTGAGTGGTTGAAGTATAGCAGCTGTGATTGGCTGAGACTCGGCTACTTGTTACAAGAGCACTTCCAATCTCTGTACACATCCAGGTAGGTTACAATTCACTATGTACAAAGAAACCTTTAGGCTGAACTTAAACTATGTAAGGAGGCAGCTTTTGGCTAAACTTAATACTGGGCAATCTCCTGAATTAGAGGTTGGCAAAACTGTTGAATTCTTAATAAATATTTCCCTCCAAACTTTTCAACTGCTTTAAATATTTCTGTAATTTTTATGAACTCTTAGATATGACAATACATGAGATTCAACAATATGGACTCTGTTGTTTTTCAAAGCCATTCTAAATTTAAAAACCGTTGAAGTAAACATTTCATTATACTTTTTTTATTATTATTAAGAACAGTAAACAGAAAGCACTGTAAAGTGCCATTGTCTTCTCTTGAATTCACCCAGAAGTTTTTTTTCTGTCTTGTGCTTTGTATCCAAAACTTTTATTATAAAAAAAGAATGCCATATATTACAAGTTTGAGACATACTATGCATTATTTTTAATACCTGTGACATTACTTTCTAACTAATGGCCTAATTTGACAAAGTAAGCCTCTAGTCTCATCACTCCATATCAATATGAATGTCTTCTTCTCTTTACAAGGCTATCTTACAGATAAAATTTATCTTGGAAAGTATTCTTTACATACATACATACATACATACACACACACACACACACACACACACACACACACCACACACATATATACACACAGATAAAAAGCGTTGGGAATTTTAAAAATTCTGACGAGGCTCTTTGCTTAATAAATGTGGTGTTCCTATATGTATTTTAAGCATATCTATCTAGAAATTTGTTGTTTCCTATGCAGAAAATAAAACACTGTATAGAAATAATGAGAAACTCAAACTCCCTCACCCTTTGTTGCATAATAATCAATGTAAGATATTATAAGGAAGTATTTATTATATCAAAACGAAGGACATTATTCTGATAGCTGTTGGATCTAAAATATAACATTTGACTTTCAAAGCAAGTAAATCAGCAGAGTTCCATATAGGGACTCGACCAACAAAGGATCATGAAGTTAAAAAGTCTCTGTTAATCAATGACAAATTTAGTACTTGTTGCTACAATTACAAAGATAATAGTTCCTTTATGTCAGTGCCTTTGGTTTTGCAGCTGTAAAATAGCTTTGAAATTCAGCATTTCAAGGAATAGAAATTAATAGGAGGTCATTTCTACCAGAGAAATTTTAGGGGCCCATCCTCTCTAATCATCATTAAAAACTAAATCCGTAGGAGAAGAGGCACTTTACTGATTGTCAAGTGGAAGCTATTATTCATTTGATGAAGCTCTTGGCACCGTGCCATCGATTCTGCTCTACAGCCTGCTGCTTGTTCTCCTTCATCTCGTGCAATCAGGGTTGTTTCTGCCTGCCAGGAGCTATTTATAGAGCAAGGGGGGAGAAAAGCTGATATGTTCTCCTTTTTGAAAAACAACTTTCAAACTTTGTAAGTACAAATCTGTTTTCCTTGTCACCAGACTGTGTCTGCTTTTACGTCGATGTAGAAGATAAAGGAAGCTGACTTCAAGACAACTGCCCTTCCTAATAATGATGATGGGATTTGGTTGAGTCACATGCTACACTCATATTGCCTCTAACTCCCCCAGGATTTATATTCCTCGAAACTACATACACCGTCATATGTTCATAGTGTAATTTTGTCATTTCTACACTTTGTGTCCGTTCCTGTTCTATATCTTAATAATTTCTGGAAGACACTCTCTACTTTCTTATTAAAAGTAAATATATTTGGCCCAAAAAAACCCTCAAAATATGAATGTAAGAAAACGGTTGGGGGCTTGATTTTTTTTTTTTTTTTTGAGAGCTGGTTTAAACTGAATTAACAGATTTTGGTGAAATTGTTCTTTCTACACATATAAAAAATGAATTTTCATAAATTTACTTAAAATACTGGTAATCTTAAGGTGATATAAACCTTATTCCCAATTTACCCACATGATATGGACACAGTACTCTCAAAGTTATCTGCAAGCATTTTCACTGTCTTGCATTGCAGTTGTGAACGTATTTTCTAATCTAAACTATTCAGAATCTTTATTTTTGAAAAAGTTTCAGACCTTAATCTCAGCAGTTGCAAAAACCATGTAAAATTTTTTACCCTCTAAAATAATATATACAGAAAATAAAAACAAATAGTAGTCTGCATTCAATATGCTTATCATTAAGAATAGCAATAGCAACAGTTCTGATTGCTAAAATTTAATGAAAAGGAATCGTATTTGTTTAGAGTTAAAAAAACTGAACTTTAAAAATACATGAAAATGTCAAAATTATATGGCCATGGATTGTTTTATGCAGATTCTTTTGAGAAATTTTGTTGGTGACTCTATCAAATGTTTTAACAAGAGACTTTTTTTTAAGTAGCCATAGAGGGTCTCTAGTAAATGTTTGCTTACAAACAGAATATTGAAGACTCCCTTAGATTGTATTTTAAAAAATACAATAGAGGATTAGTCAGAGGAGTGAAGTTATTCTTAGGAGAATAACTTGAGCTAGCAGGGTGAGAAACAGATCAAGGAATTTATTTGCTTTGTTTTACATTCTTAGAAGACCTACATTTCAACATCCCTTTTAGACTGTGGTATTTTCAGCATCCAGGCTTGCAGCAGTGACCAGAATAGTATGTTTATCTGTGAGGCTATAATACCTTTTCTTCTAAAACCTACATACCTACCACTAAGACATTTACCTAGAAAAAGCCAACATTAAATTAAATAGCTTTTGAACAAAAGCTATAGAATAGAAAGTGAAATTATTTATCATGGATCCATGATAAATAGACAGTCAATTGAGATAAGAAGAAAATAAAAAGTTCATTTGACTCTGAATTTTTGAAAATAATTCTGCATGGCCTGAACTTCTAGATAATTTCTGCCCCCTTCCCCCTTAACTTTCAGTTCTCAAAACCTTTCTCTGTATTCTTTCATTCCACACAATGAAGCAACTGAGGCACTTTTAGGATGGGATTATTAAATCTCTGCCACTAATTTGACTGCTTACTACTGGGGATCTGAAGGCTAGGCTACTGGAGCTAATCATCATCTTGAACATTTAATAATTCACTCAACAAGCATTTATTCAGTGCCTATTATGTGCCTACCATCATTCTAGCTGTTGAGATACATCAGGGAAGAAAAAAACACGAAAAATTTTGTATCCTCATTAAATTTATATTCCAAAACAAAGATCATCAAAAAATTGTCTTTATAAATATAGTCCTATGTTTCTCACAAATGAACATTAACTGAAGGGAGACACGTTCTTAACAGTTAGACAGTTCTTGAGCATTGCCCATATATGCCAAGTACTGTGTCAAATAGTTTTCTATGCATTATTTCGTTTAGTTAATCCCATTTAATCTTATTCTTCAAAAAAATTCCCATTATATCGATAAAGAAATGGATATTTCAAAATAATATTAAAATATTTGCTAAGGTTAGAGAGGTAAAGGGAAGATTTAACGCAGGTCTCTCTCATTTATAAGAATAGTCATTCCAGGCCGGGTGCGGTGTCTCACACCTGTAATCCCAGCACTTTGGGAGGCCGAGGCGGGTGGATCACGAGGTCAGGAGATCGAGACCATCCTGGCTAACACGGTGAAACCCTGTCTCTACTAAAAATACAAAAAAATTAGCCAGGCATGGTGGTGGGCACCTGTATTCCCAGCTACTCGGGAGGCTGAGGCAGGAGAATGGCGTGAACCCGGGAGGCGGAGCTTGCAGTGAGCCGAGATGGTGCCACTGCACTCCAGCATGGGCAACAGAGCGAGACTCCATCTCAAAAAAAAAGAAGAGTCATTCCAGGCAAATCTTCTACTGAGGACTTAGTACCATTTATTCAGCAAATATTAAAAGTGCCTAATATGTGTCAGGCACTGTTTTAAACACAATATATTCATGAATCAAAGAGGACAAGGTCCTGCCTTGTGCCTCATAAACCCTAGTTGTAGCAGACAAACAGTAAAAATAAACATAACAGGTAAGCAAATATGTATTACGTTAGAAGGATAACATTAGTGCATTGGGAAAAATAAGTCCAACTTTTTTGGTGATAACTGGAGTTCTTAAGTTAGAGAGAAAGAAAACTTTTTACTTCAACTTTTATAATTAAAAAAAAAAAAAGAGCCCAGGGACCTGTGACTTAACAAAACACCCCAAAGGATAACTGTTAGAGAAGAACACACACTGTAAGGAAGAGGTGACTTCATACTGAGATAAACGGACACCTGTTTTCCACCACCGTGGAGAGCTGGACTTGTCATTTTGACCAAGAGGAGCTTGCGAATAAAGGACAAAGCAGGGCATCAGTAATTGCCCATCTGGACTACAACAAACACACGTAAATCACTGGAAAATCACGTGTGGTTTGATGACATTTATCTACTTTGGCTTCCACTGACTGGCATGCCAAACCTCAGACACCAAAATGACTAAAGTTGGGGAATAAATACCCATCATTAAATTTCCAGTAGTTTAATAATTATCCCTCTTCCTGAGGACATGATTAAACCTCATACAACAGCAAAACTCCAACAAACTAAGCGACTTGGCATCAGAAGTGAAGGGAAAGTAAATGTGAAAAAGAGAAAAAGGATGAAAGTAACAAAGAAAATGAAAGAAAATAGAGGGAAGGAAAGGTATTGGCAACATATAGAGGAAAATCTCTTTGGTGGTTGTCAACCACCTTTTGGCTTAAGTCAATCCACCCACAGGCACTAAACAAAGTGATTTAGCAGCAATTTGGATTGTACCTCATTCCCACCATTCCAGGAGGTGGAACAAGCTCACCCTAGTGGCACCAAATAGTGCAGAAACACAGAAAATATAATTCTACCCTCCTGCCAAGCCTTTTCCTAGGGACAAGGATAAGGTAGATCTTTTTAGCACAAAAATGGTGAACTTTGTCTCTCCCTGTAGTACTAACTATATTTCATCAATATTGCTTCCTCAAGAGAGGAAAAAATGTAATCTATCTTTTAATATTATGTTAAGTGGTCCCAGAGTTATAATTGGCTCAAACCTCAGTCACAGTTCCTTATGATGGTTGAAAACTCAAAATAGTTTTATATCACTGGAACTTCCGGGTACAGCTGAAGGGAAAAAAAATCTTATTACTGACTGGGACTAAGAGAAAAAAATTGACTAAAAGATGATGATAAATCTCATTTGTGATATAACGTAGGAATTACATATTAACTGAGGTCAAAATCAATGCTCCTTAAGTGGGCTCCTTCTCCATCTTTCCTATTTATAAACTGAAAATATCCTAGCAGGTCAACTCCAGAAACTATGTCTATATTCCTCACTGCTATAACTCTACATCCTAGAATAGTGCCTAACAAACAATAGCACTTAATAAATATTTGACCAGAAAAGTTCAAATTAATAAATTTATTAATATTATTTTTCTACCTCACAGGAGTACAGTATCATTTAGATATAATTACACATTTCCTTGAGTTCATTAGGTACCCTACAAAGGCAAAATGACTCTTAAATTCATTGTATTGTATACCTCATTATTGATTTTTATATAGAACTTTTTCTTTTTAAGTGAAAATACTGTGTTACTCTCTGGTCAACATATAAGTGGAAGGAAAGTAACTAATATTTATTGACTCACTAGGACTGGCATGTGCCACATGCCTGCATATGTACTATCTCACTTATTTTTCAGGGCACTCTGATAAAGTAAGCATTATTAATCCCCTTTTTACAAAGAAAGAGACATAAGTTTACAGAGATTAACTAGTTTGCCTAAGGTTACGTAACCAGTAAGTGTCAGAGTTCAAATTCAAACCCAGACCCTTCTGATTGCAACGTTCATACTCTTTCCTTCTATTATATCAAATTGGCAGAGGAAAACATATTAAAGCTACAAAACCAAGCATCCATCTGTCAGACTGAAAAACTTCTCCTCAAGCTTGGGATATGTCTGAGCTCGCATGTTTGTGTTTTCATTATGATAATTCCAGCAAAGGAGAAAAATGTCAATTGAGTCCAAACACCAAAATATCTTTTATTTAAAGATTTTATTTTATAATCATATGCTAAGAAATTGCTCTTCTTTCAAAGGGGTCATTTTATTATAAATGTTTATTTCCTTATGTTTTAGCTTGACTTACCTTTAGTCAGATCGATCAGAAGGAAAAACATAATTTAAAGAAAATCAGAGAAGGAATAAAAAAATACAAAGAAAAGAGAATTGGAGAGATCCTGAGCAGCATCCTGGTAAATCCACTGATGTCCACCAAGGAAGACGTAAAAAACAAACCTTTCTTGATGAATACCAGTTTCCTGGAAGTGGACAATTATGTTCTTTTCATCCAGAAAGTTACTTAGAAAAGCCAGCATGACCTTTGCTTAAATCTCCTGTGAATAAGCTCTGGAAGATGTCCATGAAAGTGTAATCCTATATGAAATTGAGCAATCCTGTAGAAATTAGATTGATTATGAATTTAAGTCTTAGGGGAAAAGGTCTTATGCTGGTAAGTGAAGCAAAGATTATCAGTACTTTCACCACTGGTATCACCTGCACATAGATATTGCACGCACCCCTGAATTAATAATTACCAGCATTGAAAACTAAAGAGAGAAGCCTTTGGTGTGACACAGGAGTGCTAGTATGTCTGTGTGTTTCTTTCTTGGAAAGAAAAAAAAATTCCCCCCCAAAAAAATGGCTCATTTTTAACTGGTCTATGTAAAACTCCCTATAATAAACACATGTTAAATTAAAGAAGAAATTATTCAGTAAAATTTATAAAGAAAAATCATTTTGATAAACTTTTGGCAGCCTCAAACTACTTTAATGATCTGATCAAAGTTCGAGCATTGGTATTGGAAATCTCTATAAGTAAAACTCTGCCAAAAGCAGATATTAGGCCATGAGCATAAATAATCAGAATTATAACCTACCAAAAAGTGGTCTATGTTACCAATCTTTACTGTGCCTCAGTCTTTCTCACCCTAAGATAGAGTTTGTAAGCAATTCCTTTCTAAAAGAAAATATTTTAAATCATATTTGTTCTATAAATAGGCAATTACCTATGTGGTTTCTTTTGAGGGATAGAGTCTATGTGTCCCAAATATCACCCTTTCTTACACACATACTGCTCTAAAACTAAGAAACTCACCAGTAATGATACTTCTTTGGTCTAAGAAATAATGTATGTTAACTGTCCATATAAATATATATCCTTTCCTTTAAGAGCATAATTTGAGGGAAATTGAGTCTATTTCAATATGGGAAAGAAAAAATTTTTAATATCCATAGAAAAAATCAGATGGCAAAATACCAGTTAAATAAGTAAAGATTCCAGAGTGCGTGACAATAGAAAGTTAAAGGTAAATTTTTCTAAAATAATAACATAATTCATCTAGCTCACCTTACTTAAGAAGATTAATGTATGCAAAGCTCTCTGAAGTCCTTGGAAAAAAAGCCACAGAAATAGAGTTCGTAATTATAGCTACATCTCCTAGTGCCTAAACAAATCTTGGTTAAAAGTCACATGAATTCATTCAGATCACCAGACAACCATTTTAGTAAACTAAAAGTAAAAACTCTCACATGCTAGTCAAGAAGCCAAAGAGTTAAATGCAACCTGCAAGGGATCTCATTCCAACCAGGATTCAACTTGGGTAGTATAAGAATCTGATTCACATATTTTTAATGGGCATCTTTCAGACATTTAAAGGAGAAAAAGATTAATAAATTATCTCCAATCCCTACTCCTAACATGCAAGGAATGAAAAGACTGCCACCTGTATAGGATTTGAGTTTCATAGGCATGTTTACTACATCAAAGCATCAAGGGACAGGCTTTGAGAGAAGACAGACAAGATCAAGAGACTTGCACATTTTAAATAAGATGTGAAAATTATGACATAAAAAAGGATCAGAACCTCTCTTTATTCATTCACAATTTTGAGGGCCCTTAAGTGAGGGCCCTTAAGTTAGGCTTAAATTTACTGTATGTCTAGGAAAAGGTTTACTGTGTAAAAGGAAATTTAAGGAGTAACAAATGTATTTCATAGAGTTTATATGGGCTCTATGAAAGCAAGGTGCTTTGAGATTCAAAGATTAAAGGCAACTGTGGAGCCTCATAAAGCATTCACATTCCCTAATGCTGTGAGAATATGAGAAACTTTCTCAGCTGTTGTCAAACAATTTTTTCCATATTTCTTCTTTTCTGGTGCTATCTGTACCAACAAAAGCAATAACACCTTACATTTAAGTTAAGCTTTAAAGATTACAAAAGGAGATATATGTTACCTTTTTTGATCCTTATATATATTCTGAAGGTAGTTATTTTTGTCTTAATGTAGATGAGGCAATTAAGATAAAAAGAAATTTAGTAATTTGCTCAAGGTTACATATAGGTAAGCAGCAGAATTAAGTGTCAAAGCCATGTCTTTGGACTCCACATCCATGACACTGTCCCCGACCAACCTAGATTTATCTACCAGGTAATGATATGGACAACCTGCTGATTTCACAAGGAAGACATTCTAGTCAGAACTGTTAAAATACTTGATTTTAGTATTAAGGCAAATTATAGTAATTTTCATCACTGATAGCACAGTGAAGGTGCAAACTACAACTCTTTTACATGATGCACACTAAGCAAATTGATTAGAGATTTCAGGTTGTTTCTGGATCTGCCTAAGTGTGGCCATCTTGCTGATGCAAGTTTTTTGTTTTTTTTTTTTAAATTTCTGGACCTGAACTTGTGAAACTGAGTTTCAGCAAATTTCAGGACGTGTTGATGCAATCCACATGTAGTGTGCATGAAACGCCTAGGCCATAGCCCCAGGGGCAGGTGGCTCCTTTGATCTTTATAGTTGTAAAGGAAACATTTGGTAATTAGACTTAAAAAGTACCCTGGAGGAAAACAGGAAGGCATTTGTACAATGAAGTGAAACTCTTCTTTTTCTGCCTGAATCTCATTCTTTCAGGAATAAGAGAGTCTGAAGGAGAATTCTGAGGATAGAAGGAACTTCAGAGGTAATTGTTAGATTGGTTCTTGCAATAACAATAAAAATAGACGTAAAAAATCAAAAATAGCTGTTTATATCAAAGCTTATAACAAAAAGCTTCTATAGTAGTATATTTCAGTCAGACTTCACTGGGTAACAAACCACCTCCAAACCTAATGGCTTTAAGAAAAAACAAAACAAAACAAACAAACAACAACAAAAAAACGCTTTATTGCTTTTCACTATTCTGAGGGTTTGGCTGGGTGGCTCCTCTGCTGACATCACCTGCACTTTGCACTTACAAGCAGCATTCACCTGGAGGGTCAGCTATGTGGTCTATATTCAAGGTAGGAAAATAGACTTCACCTGTTGATGGCAGAAGTCACATTGCATAAGTTTGTGGACACAAGAAGCTTAATTCTTGAGAGGCCATGTTTTAACAGTCTACCACACTAGGGTTTTTAACACCACCAGTACACAGAATCATCTATTCTGAAACAAAATACTAATAACAGTCTCACTCCTAGAGACTGATTTAAGTTGTGTGGGGTGAAGCTCAGTCATCAACACATTTTAAAAGCTCTCCAGGTGATGAAAATTAAGCCAGAATTAAGAACCCAGGTTTATATTTCAGTGACTGAATTTTTGCAGTTGCAGAATGAGTGAAAGTACTTCGCAGTAAGAATTTCATACAAATGTAAATGATAAAGGGTAAGATGAAATAGAAAACAGAAATAGAAGACAGAAAAGTATTGAAACAATGTGGATAAAAAAACAGGACAGAGACACTGTCTCCATCAAAACTAGCTATGAATTTCTACCAGTAATATCCTACTCAAGAGATATTGGTGATTGATGACTATACATTATATTTGTTGTTTGTTGTATTCATATGCATAGATATGCTTAAATATTTTATTATAAAATCCAGTACACAGTTCACTCATTTTGCTGTTTTAGTGTTTCTCAATTGATCCTTTGTATTTTCCTTCTAATACATGGGTTCTCAACATGGGCTGAACCGAGGAAGTTTTTTAAAGAATGCTGACTGATGCATAAGCCCAAACCCAAGAATTCTGATTTAAGTGTCCTGAAATGGGGCCCCAGTATCAATTCTTCAGGTGTTTCTATTGTGAAACCAAGCTTCAGAACTGTTGCTCTAAGACGTCATGTTAAACAAAACTTTTCAAGTATTCTTAAGGAGTGTTCAGCAATGACTCTGATAAATCAATACTATGTTCTCTCTTAGGGTTCTAAAATAGCTCTATGAGGGCAGAACCCATATCTTGTTCAACTCCATATGTCCACATCCTGGCACAATGAGTGGCATAAGACATAAACCAGCAATTGATTTATTGAATTAGCACCCCAACCTATTGTTATGTGAATTTGAGTGGTAACTGAATATGCAACAGTTTCCGGAAATACCTTGAATTCATCAAAAACTTACTGAGAAATCTACTGTTGGCAAAGAACTGTGACAGCTGCCTCATATATATATATATTCATTGTATAAATGCCAAGCCATTGGAAAAAAAATGCAATTGGCAGCTACATCCAGGGTAAACTAGTAACTGCAAAATCTTGTATTGCTTGACTACCCAAGTATTAACTGAAATAGTCATGCCCATCAGACACAGGCAGAGTTTATATAGTGAAACAACTTAAAACAGAGTTTATTAACAGCAAATATTCCTACACTCCATAGCACAGGAGTGACCTACCCAAGGACATGAGTCTCAGGCACCCCAGCCCAATGCCAAACAACTGTATTTTTTACTCTTAGTTACATTCACCTTCCACATTTGCTCTTACTTCTTACTGTGTTCCAGCATCTGTTGAACTCCTAAATCCTGTCTTAAACTTCTGTTCCCAACAATGTTTAGCCTTTGGAATTTGACTTCTCTAGTTTCAACCCTCCATCCTCTCTAGAATACAGCTTAGACTGATTCCCTGACTTTTTTTACTCTCAGTCAATATCCAGAAAATGATGCCAGTGGATATCTAGACATGAGGCACTATCCATAATGTCCCACTAGACTGTAACCCATGTAAATTTTTCCCTCATCCCCAACCCACACAGCTTCAGGTCAGGAAAAAATAGACTAAGCACTCAAGCTCAAAATCTTCATTATTTTCATGATTTATTTCCAAGCCCTCTAGTCTGCCTACTCTAGAAGGACTGGAGGAGGAAATCAGGAACCCCTTACCTTGAGTAAACAAGTTTATAGACCAGTGGTCCAAAAGTCCCAGTGTTAAGATCAAACTAGCAATATTTTGATGTACCCCTCAACAAGTAGAAGCCTAACATCCTGGTGTTTCAAGGATCAATATATTTTATATATCTAGTCTTCTGTACCACACACTGGGGCTGCCCCTTCCTGTATCAAGAGAGTATATGGACTCAGGAGATTTCATAAATCAAGTTTTCCAAACTAATATTTGGCATTCTCCTAAATAAGAGAATTAATAAATATAGGAAATGATGAATTTAGCAAAATCAAGCTGATTTATTTAGTGGAGGTCTTCTTAGAGCTTTTATATACACTGTGCCTTTCCAGCACCAGGTGGCTCCTAATGCTGCAAAATCAGTACTGATGATTTGAAGAATTCTGTGATTTCTCACTAACCATCCCAAATCTGGAGATGAGTAAACTGAATTTATATCATTTTATCTCTTTTTATATCTCATGATTGGCTGGGAAGAGAGGGTAGGAGGTACAGGTGGAGAGGGATGGATTAGAGACTGGGAAAATTGGAGAAATGTTTAGGGCTACTAAATAGAAACAAAGACTGTGGGAATTCTTACTAAATTGGGGGAGTTACCAAAGCCCTAGGTTATCTCCTCACCATATGAATAGGATATATTTGTGATAAGGTAAAGTGAATTTTGATACAGTATATTTTACAAAATCTCAGGAGAGCAAAACTTCATACAACATTGGCTGAACTCTAATCAATTCCAGAAATCTTCCGATGCACTCTAACCACAGAAAAGTGGATGGAATACAAACTACCCAGCTCAAAAATTGAGCTCAGAGGGGAAAATGAACTAAAATCAAGAAAAATTCATTAATAGCATATAAAAGCAAATAGAATGTCTAGAAAAAATGATAGCTTTGTTCAGCATAAGCAATATTTTATGCAGGTAAATGATATAACAATTATAGTTACCATACTATAGAAGTAAAACAGTAAAAACAATAAGGGTAAAGAAGTAATAATAACAAAATGGAGGTCAATAGCCTTTTCAGGAACAAATGTAACTCAGAGGGTAGGAAAAAATTCATTGAGTGCTATAGAAGAACATAATAAAATAAGAATAAAATAAGTTCTTCATCAACTTAAAAGATGAGATAAAATGGGAGATTGCAGAATAAGAAAAAAACAGCTTTTTTAGAGAACTATGAAATAAATTGGAGACTGCAAGAAAAAATAGAATTACTAAAATAGAGGGAAAGCTTGAGGTAATCAAGCAAATACAAAGGACAAAGCCAAAACATTAAAACAATTAAAGAAAATATTATAGATATGAAGGACAGGTGAAGACAACAATGAAGATATAATAAATCATTCTGAACTATATAATCTCCAAAATAAAAACCAAAATATATCCAAAGATATAATACAAGACAACGTATCAGAAATAAAGGAAAACTTAAATCTGTGTATCTAAAAGACAATATTTCAGGTGAAAATACAATGATCAACAAAAAATATACTTTAGTTGTTATTGAATTTCAAAAATAAGAAAAACTCTTCAGGAATTCCCTGCAGGAAAAAAAAAAGTCACATTAGCTTCAGACATCTCCATAGCATTGGTTGCCAAAAAATTTTTGAGCAATATCTACAAAGTTTTGAGAGACAGAAGGTATTACCTAAGAATACGATATCCAGGTAAGATATCTTTCAAGAATTAAAATAGATGCATATTTTTAAAAATAAAAAACAGAGGGAATGTAGCAGCTATAAGCTACTGTAAAAGACCCAGTCACTATCTAAATTATTAGTAGGCAAGTCAATCAAGAATTCAGGAATGAAGGAGCCATGGTAAAAGACAGAAGGCTAATTTAATGGCTATTAAACTTGGCAATGAACAAACAGTAATATATCATGCAAAAACTGAGAGAGAAAGTGTGAGCAGCATAATACAGAATATGAAAACATTTCATTTAAAACTTTTTCCATAATCTTTATTTGTAATGTTGGAGGAATTTTTTGTGAAATAATGCTGCTTATCAAGCAGAAATATGTATTTGAAGTTGAAGGGACTGCAACACATGGTTGAAATTTGAAATATGCAGCTTTTTCATGGCCCAACTCCAGGATCACCATGCATATTATAATCTCAACAACTAAATGTGGTGGCCCTGTAGTTTCACTTCAGTTTTTCTTGTATTAAATTCAAATAAGACCATACTGAATGATTTATTTATACAAGCATGACATTTACTATCAATATATTTATCAAAATATTTCTATATGCATATAATATCCCCTTATCAATAAATGTGCAAAGAAGATATCTTAATGTTTTCCTCCTCTTAAATATTATTTAATTATGTTTGGATTTAACTGTTTAATAACTAATTATATGGAGATACGTAGCAATTTATAAGTGATATTGAGTAGTCAGGAGAAACTATGGTACTGTCCTTGTCCTTTACTTTGGTGAATCTGGTTGTTTATCTGTCATTCATTTTATCCTTTTTAACATTCCACTCTGTCCATATGTGTCTGAATCCTAAAAAAAGTTCAGCCTAGATGTACTGAACATAATTTGTCCCACACACCTAATTCCTTTTCCTGGATTTAATTTCTCTCTCAGAGAGCCTGAAGAAAGCATTCCTATGTGCCATATGACCCACATCATGGCCACAGCTTATTAAACAAGGATGAACACCAGGTCCAAGACCAATTCTTTGGTTAGCCATGAATGAATGAATAATTTGAATCAATAAGAAATAGAGAATGTAGTAATTGGTGATAGCAGTTGAATTAGATCAGAGTGAGGACAGCCATGTTGCGCCATGTGAAAGATGAGTAAGAGAAAAACCTAGTTGCTAAAGAAAGGAAAGAATTAGGCACTGTTAGAGAAGAAAAAAAAATTGGCCAGGCATGGTGGCACTTGCCTGTAGTCCCAATTACCCTGGAGGCTGAAGTGGGAGGATTGCCTCAGGAAGTCAAGGCTGCAGTAAGCCATGATGGCGCCACTGTTTTCCAGCCTGGGTGACAGAGCAAGACCCTGACTTATGGCCAGGCGCGGTGGCTCAAGCCTGTAATCTCAGCACTTTGGGAGGCTGAGGTGGGCAGATCACAAGGTCAGGAGATCGAGACCATCCCGGCTAACACGGTGAAATCCCGTCTCTACTAAAAATACAAAAAAAATTAGCCGGCATGGTGGCAGGCGCCTGTAGTCCCAGCTACTAGGGAGGCTGAGGCAGGAGAATGGCGTGAACCCGGGAGGTAGAGCTTGCAGTGAGCGGAGATCGCGCCACTGCACTCCAGCCTGGGCAACAGAGTGAGACTCCGTCTTAAGAAAAAAAACAAAAACAAAAAAACCTGACTTATTTACTTACATAAATAAATAAATAAATATGAATTAGACAGTATTAGAGACCAAGGCAGTGAGAATTTGTGAGGCCAAAATTAAGAGGGAGACGCCAAGAAAAAGGAGCCTAGAATTTGAAGCCACTTTTGCCTTGAGGTAAATACTAGTACCAAATGAGAATACAGTATCTGAGAGCCTAAGAGTTTGAGAAGCTAATCAAAGCTTTCAACAATCATAATTCAGAGGCACAAAATGTAAGAGTTCAAGGAGTTCCAAGTAAGTGGGGCCATTAAAAACTTCTAGCATTTAATTAGGAATCTGAAGGGTTACTTGCTAAAGTAAAAGAAATAGAAGAACCCTCAAAAGAACTGAAGCCCAGCTTTGAATCATCTCAATCTTTACTGGAATAAGGTGATCTCCTAATTAGATTGCTTGCCAAAAGTAAAAGTAAATCCTCTCTGGAGGAAGAAAACATCATTTAAACTTAGAGAACAAATGCTCAGCACTTAAATAAAAATAACCAAGCGTACAAAAAAAAAAAAAAAAACTAAAACAAACGAGATTTGACTACAAATGAGAAGAACGAATTAACAAAAAATAGAAACACACTTATAGGGTGTCTAAATACTAGAGTTTTAGACACAAGTTGTAAATTGTTGATTAATACAGTCAAGCAATTCACTAACCAGCATTATGTCTCTTCTAAGCATTACATAGTGCTGCGATTACAGGCATGAGCCACCTGGCCTGGGCAAGAAAAAATCTTAAAGGCAGACAGGAGAAAACTTCATTACTTTAAAACAAAGCAACAGTAAGTCACACGATGTAACTTTTGATAGAAATAATGGAAGCTAGAAGGGTATGGAATAATATCTTCAAAGTGTTGAGGGGGAAACACCACTTAAAAAAAAAAAAAGAAAGAAATGTGATAACATATTATATAACAAAAGTGGAAAGTGAAATAATAAAAATGAATCAATCCAATTAATCCAAAGAAGGCAAGAGAAGAGAGGAAAATGAACATAGGAGAGGTTAAATAAATAGAAAAACAATAAGATTATAGACACTTTTTAATCCAAATATATTATTAATTACATTAAATATAAATGAATACCCCAATCAGAAAAACAAAGATTATTGAACATGAAAAAAAATCTAACAACTATGTAATGCTTAAAAGAGACATAATGCTGCTTACAAGAAATACAATTTAAATATATGCATATGGAAAGATTGAAAGTAAAAACGGGAGAAATATACCATCAAACACTAATCAAAATAAAGCTGGTTTACCTATACTAAAACTAGAAAGATTAGATATGACAGCAAAACAAACTGAGAAAAAATGATATTTCACAATGATGAAAGGGTTAATCTACCCTTTAGAATGTTAAAATTCTAAATTTTTATGTACCCAATAACATAGCCTCAAAATATATACAGCAAAATGGACCAAAAAACTACACAGAAATAGAGAAATTCATACATGACAGAGAACGTAGACCTGCACAGAAGGTTTTATGGGCCAGGCCTGGAAGTAGTGTACATTACTTCTACTCACATTCCATTAAGTTTAAGAGTTCTAAGCAGTAGTGGTTCTCATACCAAGTAGGTGATTAAGATTTAAATTTGGGGATTGAATAATTTAAAGAGAAATCAAACTCAGTTCTAGAGAAAGTGGCTAGCTGAGACCCAATGAAGAGATTAGGATCTCTAGCCTCCTGTCTAGGATTCAAGTTTAGACTTCATCTTCAGTAGAAGCAGCAAGGGGAAAGAGGACAGACTATCCCAGTACCAGAGCCATAACAAGGGTCAATTCAGCAAACTGGCCACATCTGGTGGAGGTTAAGTAGGGAACTGAAGCAAAAAGAGTTGTCCCTAACACTGTAATCACTCTCCTGGCCTTTAGACAACTTTAGAAAGGCTGAAATAGTCTCTCTTCAGGTCTTACTCTTAAGGAAGGAGAGAGAGAGAGAGACTCTAAATAGTACAAGACTATGATGGACTGTGATGAGCCTGCAAATAATTATAGATCATGAATGCGAATAGGGAAGGCAGGTCCTGATAAAAGAAGCATTTCTTTTTAGCTAAGTTCAATGTGGAGGACTCTCTCCCACAACTCAAAATCATTTTCTTCTAAGGTGGCTTTATTTCCCTTATTTTCAAATAAGGAAAAAAATTTCAAAAGTTTTTTTAACCATATCATCCCCAACTTTTCCACTGGTAGCTGAAGTCTTTTCTCTTTCCACATTATTTAACCACATCATTCCCACTCCACATAGGTTACAGAATTTGTATTAAAGCTGAGAAAGGAAGAAAAAGTCCTGGCCAGATTCTAAGCAGAAGAATAGAGAGGCTAGAGTAAAACATAGGGATTAGCCATCAGAATAGGATAGAAAGGGAAATAGCAAGTGGCCACAGGATGATTAGATCATGAAATCCTGTACTACAAAAAGGTGACAGACACCTGAGATATAAGCACATGTCATAAGCTCTAAGAATTTAGCAACTGATGGTTTATTTTGGAAGAATTAGCAGGAAGAGAAAATAATGTAAATGTGGCTGGACTTATTCCAGTAAGCCTAAGAGTCAAGAACTTTCACATACTATTTAGAAATCCATGGTTATGTGGCCAGACAATCTCAAAATGCTACATGTCAGTCATGTGAAATCTTGGATAGACTTTTATTGTGGGTAGGAAATTTAAATTCAAGCTGAACTTTCAAGAGAAAAATTTGGCTGGAATTCTTTACCCTGGAGCCAAGAAAGGAACTTCGGATTCACTAGTCACTGAGGTATTTGTCAAAAATATGAATCCATGGAATTTTAGCCCATTCTTCATATGCTAAAGGCATAGACAGAGCTTAGCTTAAGCAAAAAGGTAAGTTGAAGAGTTTGTACTTTATAGCCTACCAAATTTCCTTGTATATCTATATCCTGCTTCCCTTTCTTCTCTATCCTGGAGACACTCATGCTTCATTCCAAAGCTGAAAGCTGTAAAGGCCTGTATTTCTTCAGAGTGTCCTATATACTTAACTTCTTATCTCTGCTTTACAGGTGAAAAAGGATGCTCAAGTTGTTTAAGTTTGGATTAGCTCAACATAATACAGAGTAAAAGTGGTAGAGCTCATTTGATTTCTTTTCTTCCTTTAAACATCCACTAATTCATTTATTCATTTTCTTAACATGTATTTACAAAGAGCATGTTATGCATAAAACATCTAACTTTCGCATGGAACCTCATGACTTTTTCAATTAGGCTTTTCTTTTAATCCCCATAATAACTCTCTAAGACAGATAGGTTTCTAACATCATTTCACAGATATAGTCTTTAAGTTTCAAAGAGGTTAAGTAATTAGTCTTAAGTCACTAGGTTTATTAACTCTCAGGGCTAGGACTTGAATCTGGGTCCTCTCATGATAAATTTGGAAGAACTGCCCATTAAATAGTGCTAAAGGTGCAAAGAAGATAACATATTGTTCCCACCTTCAAAAATATCATCTAAAAACCAAAGACAGATTAAATATTAATAACTATCTAAAGCAATATAGATACTATTAAAACACAGTGCCAACTGGTAGACAATAAGTGTCAAGGATTCAGAGAGGAAAAGGATCACTGGTAACTGAGGAATCATGGCAAGTTGCATGAAAGGATCAGGCATTGAGATGGTCATTAGAAATTAAGAAGATTGTGGCTATGTGTAGTGGTTCACGCCTGTAATCCCAGCACTTTGGGAGGCTGAGGCGGGTGGATCACCTGAGGTCAGGAGTTCAAGACCAACATGGTGAAACACTGTCTCTTCTAAAAATACAAAAAAAAAAAAAAAAAAGCCAGGCATGGTGGTGCATGCCTGTAATACCAGCTACTCAGGAGGCTGAGGCAGGAGAATCACTTGAAGCCAAGAGGTGGAGGTTTCAGTGAGCCAAGATTGCATCATTGCACTCCTCCAGTCTGGGTGACAGAGCAAGACTGTCTCAAAAAAAAAAAAAAAAAAAAGAAAAGAAAAGAAAAGAAAGAAAGAAAAGAAAGAAATTAAGAAGATTTAGGTAGAAAGGGAGGAAGGGGTCTTTAGTGCTTTAATGGCATAGTGGATGATATGAATAGTAACAGAGGTAGAAATAAACACACGTGACATGTTTAAGGGACAGTAAGTTGAGTAATAATAATAATAATAGTTGCTGTTTATTGAAAGGAAACAGCTTAGTGATTAAAAGCATTGCCTCTGAAAACAGACTCCTTGGGTTTAAAACATGTTTCTGGCCCTTACTAGCTTTTAAGATAGTAAACTAATTAACTTTCCTATTTCTCAGTTTTCTCATCTGTAAAGTTGGGATAATATTACCTATTTCAGGGGGTTGTTATAAGGATTAAATGAGCTTACAAAATATGTAGAACAGTGTGCAAACACTATGTAAGTTGAGTTATGATATCGTTTGGCTCTGTGTCCCCACCCAAATCTCATCTCAAGGGAGGAAACTGGTGGGAGGTGATTGGATCATGGGGTCAGTTTCCCCTGCTGTTCTCATGATAGTGAGGGAGTTCTCACAAGGGCTGATGGTTTTAAAGTGTGGCATTTCCTCACTGTCTCTCTCCTGCAGCCATGTAAGACATGCCTTACTTCACCTTTTGCTATGATTGTAAGTTCCCTGAGGCCTCTCCAGCCATGCAGAACGGAGTGAATTAAATCTCCTTTCTTTATAACTTACCTGGTCTCAGGTAGCATCTTTATAGCAATGTGAAAATAAACTAATGCAAGTTAATTAAAAGTTCTGAAAATATTGTAAATATTCTCTACTCCAGGCATTGTACTAAGCACAATTTATTATTTCATTTAATCTTCATAATCCTATCAGGTATGTACTATTTTCCCTATGTTACTAATAAGAAAATTAGAACTACGAGAGATAAATTCCTTAAGATCACACAGCTGGTAATCTGAAAAGCTGGGTTCAAATACAAATGCAGACTGTGCTTCTAACCACTAACCTATACTTTCTGGATATAGGAAGCAGTGGGAAAACAATGAAAAGTAGGTTGAGGCCGAATTATGGAGAGCCTTGAAATCATCAGGCTAAGACGTTTAGATCTTATACTACAGGCAATGGAAAGCCACTAAAGGTTTCTGGACAGTGATGTGTTTTAGAGAGATTTATCTAGTCACAGAATTCTGAATGAATTAGAAAGTTCTGGGCCATAGGAATATCAGGGACACACAAGCATATCCAAAATCAGTTTGAAGAATGGAGAACTTCGTTGTTGTTGCTATTGTTGTTCTTTGAACTTACTCTTAAAGATTCATCCATCTCTGTGACCCCATTTAGTCCCTAAGCCATAATGTATAATAGCTTCAATACCAAATAACCATAATTAATAATAGCTTCAACACCAAATAACCAAAGGAGATGTTAAGACATCTATTGGCTGATTCCTAAACCCACCCAAACCAAACCATCGTGTACTCTTTAGCTGCATAAATACAGGTGCAGAAATTTATGTATATCTTTATTTCCTTTGTGGTGTACAACTTAAAGGTATTTAGCAACCTGAACTAGAATATGAATCAATGCGTGTAATTTCTCTGCATTTAATAGCCCTACTCATCTACCAGATGTCATCCCCAACTGTAAAGCATTGCTGGAGAAAGCCATTCAACCAGAGTTGCTACTTCTACAAGCTTATGATCTTCAGCCTCAGCTGGCATTCAAATGCTGCCAAGCAGTGTTTCTTGGCAGCTCTGATTAGATATCTCTCCTTCTCTTTCAGCAGCTATTTCAAATTTTCACCACTCTTAAGCCTTCTATATCTCTTCCTCATCCCACCATCACTGATACCTCCTACTCCACACACACGTGCTCAACAGATGACCTTTTCTGTGTTTTACTAGGAAAATAAATTTAAATGCAATGAAGTAGGAATTTCTAAGCTCCTCACTTGCCACCATCATAAATTTATATGTAAACCCACTTATTTTTATGTCTTTTCCTCTTGGAGCAGTAAAAAGAAGTCCTTCCCTATGTGCAAAGCTAATCTTTTCATCTATACTCTGGATTCCCTCCTAACTCTGTGATATCACTCAACCAATTAATTTCTCTCAATTTAAAATTTTCCATCTTCCCTCTCTACTACCTCTTTCCTTTTAGCAAATTTTCTTAGAGTTCTACTAGTTAAAAGCCTCTTTTAATCCATCTCCCCTGACATTCTTCTCCATCTCCCTCGTTCTTTCCTTTCAAAGTCTAGTTGCTTGAAAGAAGATCCTTATATTCCTTGGGCTCCTTCATCTCTTCATCTAGTCTTTTGATTTTTCTTGTTCACAGAATTGGATTGCTCATAACCCTTGGTTCATGGCACATTCATTGGTTCATCTATGGCCCACTTTTAAATATTTAGTTAGTTGATCAGAGACTGCCTGCTCTCTTCCCCCACTCTCTCCTGCCTTACACTTTCCCTTATATATTTTTCCCAAAGAACACTCTCTTAATGAATTTCATAACCTAAATTCCTATCTTGTAGTCTGCTTCTAGAAAAACTAACCAAAGATACTAAAGCTGATAGAGCAGAAAGATTAAAAAAAGAGCCTGAAACACTGGTGAAATCTTGAAACCACCGCACTAATCCTGGACTGTCTAACTCTGGGCTTCTTGTTATGTAAGAAAAATACCTTCCTATTTGGTTAAGAACCTGTAGCTGGGTTTCCTGGACTTACATGAGAGCATATCCCCAAAATCCCAAAGCTATCTTCTCAAGCCCAGATCATTCTTCTAAATTTTGGATACACAAGTCTAAGTACTTTAGTAATATCTCCATTTAGTACTTCAAACCCATCTTGCCCAAAACTGAACTTATTTTCTCTCTAAATACGCACTTTCTGTATCTCAAACAACAGTGAATGCCACCCCTAACTGTTCAATTGTCCCAAACAAAATTCCAAATTACAAACAAAACCCTATATCCCTTCTTAGCAATTCCTTCCCCACCTCTCCATATCACATTCCTCTCTATCATTGCCCCAGGTGTATTTAGGCACTAGGTCCAGTCCCATGGATTCAATCTCATAAATATATACTTCAAATACATTCTTTCCTCACCATTCCTACTGCCACTGCCTCTGCCTTACTCCAAGCCCTCAGTATTTTGCTGTTTGATAACAACCTCCTACCTGGTCTGCTTGCCTGTTATCTTTATCTTCTCCAATTCATTCCTTACCCCACTTCCATCAGATGGATTTTAGCTTGGCAGGAGACAAAAAGTATTCTTTTCTCTTCCAACAAGTATTCTTCATGGTAAAATAGGATAAATTCGAAGTGGTTATTTCCTGAAAGAGAAAGAAGAAAGAGAAAGAAGAGAACTAAATTCAACATCTTGTTTCACAGATATAGTTTAAGGATATGTACAAGAAAAGATGGGGTTCCATGAACTGCATTAGTACAGTAGAAGCAGAAACTTTGAGCCAGAAAGGCCTAGGAAATCCAACAACCCTTCTCTTCCCTACTTTTCCGCCAAATTCCCAGAGAGATAGGGAAGGACACAGGACTACAATTACTGTGTTTTGAAACTCAAGCAAATTTCATTCAAATTTCAGATGTCCTCCTACCTCTCTGATTGCTGAGCTACAAACCAAATCTGGTTTCATTTGTCTACATAAAATTTTTCAATGATTTTCCGTCACCATCAGGAAAGATGTCTTAGATTAACCCTATGATTCAGCTGCAGCAAACCACCCTGCAAACCTAGACCACTGCTATGATCTGAATATTTGTGTCCCCCCAGAATTTATATGTTGAAACTTAATCCCAATGTCATAGTATTTGGAGGTAGGATCTTTGGGAGGTGATTAGGTCATGAGGACAGAGCATTCATGAATGAGATTTGTGCCCTCATAAAATAGATCCCAGAGAGCTAGTTGTCCCCTTCCACCATGAGAGGACACAATGAGAAGGCACCATTCTCTGCAGGAAGTGGGCCCTCACTAGACACCAAATCTGCTGGTACTTTGGTCTTGAACTTCCTAGCCTCCAGAACTGTGAGAAATAAAGTTCCATTATTTATAAGCCACCCGGTCTATGACATTTTGTTATAGCAGCCAGAAAAGACTAAAACAACTACACTACTCCAGTCACACTACCTCATGCTTCCATGCCTTTTTATGTGCTGTTGCCCCTGGCTGGCATACCATTTTGTTCTACCTTTTCTTCCCTACTGATAAGTTCTATTTTTCCTAGAGATGAAGTTCAAAGCTTCTCTTGACCTATAAAGTCTAAATGCCCTTCAACTGGATTGCAATATTACTCTAGGTAAACTTCTATCAAAGCATTCCTAAAGCTATGTAATATTCCAATGGACTGGGCAGAGGGAAAAAAGCTATATAGTAATATCTGTGAAGCTGTGAACACCTTGGAGGAAGAAAGTACAATTCTGTTTTCCTCTGTGCCTCACATACAGTATGTATTCCTTCTCCAAAGCTTATTTAATGAATTTTTTTCACCATTTACTAAGGACTTACTATTATCCAGGTTCTGTACTAAGGGTTTTATATTTTTTTCAATACTCACAAAAACTCTATGAATTAGGTACTATTATTAATCTCTATTTTATAAATGATGAAAGTGATTAGAGGGAGCCAAGATGACCGAATAGGAACAGCTCCGGTCTACAGCTCCCAGCATGAACAATGCAGAAGAAGGGGGATTTCTGCATTTCCATCTGAGGTACCGGGTTCATCTCACTAGGGAGTGCCAGACAGTGGGTGCAGGACAGTGGGTGCAGCGCACCATGCATGAGCCAAAGCAGGGCGAGGCATTGCCTCACTCAGGAAGTGCAAGGGGTCAGGGAGTTCCCTTTCCTAGTCAAAGAATGGGGTGACAGACAGCACCTGGAAAATCAGGTCACTCCCACCCTAATACTGAGCTTTTCCAATGGGCTTAAAAAATGGCACACCAGGATATTATAACGCGCACCTGGCTTGGAGGGTCCTACGCCCAGAGAGTCTCACTGATTGCTAGCACAGCAGTCTGAGATCAAACTGCAAGGCAGCAGCGAGGCTGGGGGAGGGGCGCCTGCCATTGCCCAGGCTTGCTTAGGTAAACAAAGCAGCTGGGAAGCTGGAACTGGGTGGAGCCCACCACAGCTCAAGGAGGCCTGCCTTCCTCTGTAGGCTCCACCTCTGGGGGCAGGGCACAGACAAACAAAAGACAGCAGTAACCTCTGCAGACTTAAATGTCCCTGTCTGATAGCTTTGAAGAGAGTAGTGGTTCTCCCAGCACACAGCTGGAGATCTGAGAACAGGCAGACTGCCTCCTCAAGTGGGTCCCTGACCCCTGAGCAGCCTAACTGGGAGGCAACCCCCAGTAGGGGCAGACTGACACCTCACACAGCTGGGTACTCCTCTGAGACAAAACTTCCAGAGGACCAATCAGGCAGCAGCATTTGCAGTTCACGAAAATCTGCTGTTCTACAGCCACTGCTGTTCTGCAGCCACCACTGCTGATACCCAGGCAAACAGGGTCTGGAGTGGACCTCTAGCAAACTCCAACAGACCTGCAGCTGAGGGTCCTGTCTATTAGAAGGAAAACTAACAAACAGAAAGGACATCCACACCAAAAACCCATCTGTACATCACCATCATCAAAGACCAAAAGTAGATAAAATCACAAAGATGGGGAAAAAACAGAGCAGAAAAACTGGAAACTCTAAAAAGCAGAGCGCCTCTCCTCCTCCAAAGGAAAGCAGTTCCTCACCAGCAATGGAACAAAGCTGGACGGAGAATGACTTTGACGAGTTGAGAGAAGGCTTCAGACGATCAAACTACACCAAGCTACAGGAGGAAATTCAAACCAATGGCAGAGAAGTCAAAAACTTTGAAAAAAAAATTAGACAAATATATAACTAGAATAAACAATGCAGAGAAGTGCTTAAAGGAGCTGATGGAGCTGAAAGCCAAGGCTCGAGAACTACATGAAGAATGCAGAAGCCTCAGGAGCTGATGCGATCAACTGGAAGAAAGGGTATCAGTGATGGAAGATGAAGTGAATGAAATGAAGCGAGAAGGGAAGTTTAGAGAAAAAAGAATAAAAAGAAACGAAAAAAGTCTCCAAGAAATATGGGACTATGTGAAAAGACCACATCTAGTTCTGATTGGTGTACCTGAAAGTGACAGGGAGAAAGGAATCAAGTTGGAAAACACTCTGCAGGATATTATCCAGGACAACTTCACCAATCTAGCAAGGCAAGCCAACATTCAGATTCAGGAAATACAAAGAACGCCAGAAAGATACTCCTCGAGAAGAGCAACTCCAAGACACATAATTGTCAGATTCACCAAAGTTGAAATGAAGGAAAAAATGTTAAGGGCAGCCAGAGAGAAAAGGTTGGGTTGCCCACAAAGGGAAGCCCATCAGACTAAGAGCGGATCTCTCGGCAGAAACTCTACAAGCCAGAAGAGAGTGGGGGCCAATATTCAACATTCTTAAAGACAAGAATTTTCAACCCAGAATTTCATATCCAGCCAAACTAAGCTTCATAAGTGAAGGAGAAATAAAATACTTTACAGACAAGCAAATGCTGAGAGATTTTGTCACCACCAGGCCTGCCCTAAAAGAGCTCCTGAAGGAAGCGCTAAACATGTAAAGGAACAACCGGTACCAGCCGCTGCAAAATCATGCCAAATTGTAAAGACCATCGAGGCTAGGAAGAAACTGCATCAACTAACAAGCAAAATAACCAGCTAACATAATAATGACAGGATCAAATTGACACATAACAATATTAACTTTAAATGTAAGTGGACTAAATGCTCCAATTAAAAGACACAGACTGGCAAATTGGATAAAGAGTCAAGACCCATCAGTGTGCTGTATTCAGGAGAACCATCTCACGTGCAGAGACACACATAGGCTCAAAATGAAGGGATGGAGGAAAATCTACCAAGCAAATGGAAAACAAAAACAGGCAGGGGTTGCAATCCTAGTCTCTGATAAAACAGACTTTAAACCAACAAAGATCAAAAGAGACAAAGAAGGCCATTATATAATGGTAAAGGGATCAATTCAACAAGAAGAGCTAACTATCCTAAATATATATGCACCCAATACAGGAGCACCCAGATTCATAAAGCAAGTCCTGAGTGACCTACAAAGAGACTTGGACTCCCACACAATAATAATGGAAGACTTTAACACCCCACTGTCAACATTAGACAGATCAATGAGACAGAAAGTTAACATGGATACCCAGGAATTGAACTCAGCTCTGCACCAAGCGGAACTAATAGACATCTACAGAACTCTCCACCCCAAATCAACAGAATATACATTTTTTCAGCACCGCACCACACCTATTCCAAAATTGACCACATAGCTGGAAGTAAAGCTCTCCTCAGCAAATGTAAAAGAACAGAAATTATAACAAACTGTCTCTCAGGCCACAGTGCCATCAAACTAGAACTTAGAATTAAGAAACTCACTCAAAACTGCTCAACTACATGGAAACTGAACAACCTGCTCCTGCATAACTACTGGGTACATAACGAAATGAAGGCAGAAATAAAGATGTTCTTTGAAACCAACGAGAACAAAGACACAACATACCAGAATCTCTGGGACACATTCAAAGAGACAGCAGGAAAGATCCAAAATTGACACCCTAACATCACAATTAAAAGAACTAGAAAAGCAAGAGCAAACACATTCAAAAGCTAGCAGAAGGCTAGAAATAACTAAAATCAGAGCAGAACTGAAGGAAATAGAGACACAAAAAACCCTTCAAAAAAATTAATGAATCCAGGAGCTGGTTTTTTGAAAAGATCAACAAAATTGATAGACCGCTAGCAAGACTAATAAAGAAGAAAAGAGAGAAGAATCAAATAGACACAATAAAAAATGATAAAGGGGATATCACCACGGATCCCACAGAAATACAAACTACCATCAGAGAATACTACAAACACCTCTACGCAAATAAACTAGAAAATCTAGAAGAAATGGATAAATTCCTTGACACACCCTCCCAAGACTAAACTAGGAAGAAGTTGAATCTCTGAATAGACCAATAACAGGATCCGAAATTATGGCAATAATCAATAGCTTACCAACCAAAAAGAGTCCAGGACCAGATGGATTCACAGCTGAATTCTACCAGAGGTACAAGGAGGAGCTGGTACCATTCCTTCTGAAACTATTCCAATCAATAGAAAAAGAGGGAATCCTCCCTAACTCATTTTATGAGGCCAGCATCATCCTGATACTAAAGCCTGGTAGAGACACAACCAAAAAAGAGAATTTTAGACCAATATCCTTGATGAACATTGATGCAAAAATCCTCAATAAAATACTGGCAAACCGAATCCAGCAGCACATCAAAAAGCTTATCCACCATGATCAAGTGGGCTTCATCCCTGGGATGCAAGGCTGGTTCAAATCAATAAATGTAATCCAGCATATAAACAGAAGCAAAGACAAAAACCACATGATTATCTCAATAGATGCAGAAAAGGCCTTTGACAAAATTCAACAACACTTCATGCTAAAAACTCTCAATAAATTAGGTATTGATGGGACATATCTCAAAATAATAAGAGCTATCTATGACAAACCCACAGCTAATATCATACTGAATGGGCAAAAACTGGAAGCATTCCCTTTGAAAACTGGCACAAGACAGGGATGCCCTCTCTCACCACTCCTATTCAACATATTGTTGGAAGTTCTGGCCAGTGCGATCAGGCAGGAGAAGGAAATAAAGGATATTCAATTAGGAAAAGAGGAAGTCAAATTGTCCCTGTTTGCAGATGACATGATTGTATATCTAGAAAACCCCATTGTCTGAGCCCAAAATCTCCTTAAGCTGATAAGCAACTTCAGCAAAGTCTCAGGATACAAAATCAATGTACAAAAATCACAAGCATTCTTACACACCAATAACAGACAAACAGAGAGCCAAATCATGAGTGAACTCCCATTCACAATTGCTTCACAGAGAATAAAATACCTAGGAATCCAACTTACAAGGGATGTGAAGGACCTCTTCAAGGAGAACTACAAACCACTGCTCAATGAAATAAAAGAGGATACAAACAAATGGAAGAGCATTCCATGCTCATGGGTTGGAAGAATCAATATCGTGAAAATGGCCATACTG
Organism: Homo sapiens; assembly: GCF_000001405.40. Lineage (NCBI taxonomy): Eukaryota > Metazoa > Chordata > Mammalia > Primates > Hominidae > Homo > Homo sapiens. The sequence goes on from NC_000001.11 coordinate 74,991,037, forward strand.
CCCAAGGTAATTTATAGATTCAATGCCATCCCCATCAAGCTACCAATGACTTCCTTCACAGAATTGGAAAAAACTACTTTAAGTTCATATGGAACCAAAAAAGAGCCTGCATCGCCAAGTCAATCCTAAGCCAAAGGAACAAAGCCAGAGGCATCATGCTACCTGAATTCAAACTATACTACAAGGCTACAGTAACCAAAACAGCATGGTACTGGTACCAAAACAGAGATATAGACCACCAATGGAACAGAACAGAGCCCTCAGAAATAATGCCAAATATCTACAACTATCTGATCTTTGACAAACCTGACAAAAACAAGCAATGGGGAAAGGAATCCCTATTTAATATATGGTGCTGGGAAAACTGGCTAGCCATATGTAGAAAGCTGAAACTGGATCCCTTCCTTACACCTTATACAGAAATGAATTCAAGATGGATTAAAGACTTAAATGTTAGACCTAAAACCATAAAAACCCTAGAATAAAACCTAGGCAATACCATTCAGGACATAGGCATGGGCAAGGACTTCATGTCTAAAACACCAAAAGCAATGGCAACAAAAGCCAAAATTGACAAATGGGATCTAATTAAACTAAAGAGCTTCTGCACAGCAAAAGAAACTACCTCAGAGTGAACAGGCAACCTACAAAATGGGAGAAAATTTTCGCAACCTACTCATCTGACAAAGGGCTAATATCCAGAATCTACAATGAACTCAAACAAATTTACAAGAAAAAAACAGACAACCCCATCAAAAAGTGGGTGAAGGATATGAACAGACACTTCTCAAAAGAAGACATTTATGCAGCCAAAAACACATGAAAAAATGCTCATTATCACTGGCCATCAGAGAAATGCAAATCAAAACCACAATGAGATACCATCTCACACCAGTTAGAATGGCGATCATTAAAAAGTCAGGAAACAACAGTTGCTGGAGAGGATGTGGAGAAATAGGAACATTTTTACACTGTTGGTGGGACTGTAAACTAGTTCAACCATTGTGGAAGTCAGTGTGGCAATTCCTCAGGGATCTAGAACTAGAAATACCATTTGACCCAGCCATCCCATTACTGGGTATATAACCAAAGGATTATAAATCATGTTGCTATAAAGACACATGCACACATATGTTTATTGCGGCACTATTCACAATAGCAAAGACTTGGAACCAACCCAAATGTCCAACAACGATAGACTGGATTAAGAAAACGTGGCACATATACACCATGGAATACTATGCAGCCATAAAAAATGATGAGTTCATGTCCTTTGTAGGGACATGGATGAAACTGGAAATCATCATTCTCAGCAAACTATCACAAGGACAGAAAACCAAACACCGCATATTCTCACTCATAGGTGGGAATTGAACAACAAGAACACATTGACACAGGAAGGGGAACAACACAGTTTGGGGACTGTTGTGGGGTGGGAGGAGGGGGAGGGATAGCATTAGGAGATATACCTAATGCTAAATGATGAGTTAATGGCTGCAGTACACCAACATAGCACATGTATACATATGCAACAAACCTGCACATTATGCACATGTACCCTAAAACTTAAAGTATAATAATAATAAAATAAAAATAAATAAATAAATAAATAAATAAATAAATAAATAAAATGATGAAAATAAGCCACATAGAGGTTTAGTGGTATATCCAAGTTCACACAGCTAGTAAGTGACTACGCATATGTCAATAATCAATATCAAGTTCAATAATAATAAACATTTATAAATGTTTTGAAGTAGAAATGGCCATATGAGAATATATACAAGTAAGCCAAAAACTATACTTATTCATTTATTCAAAAATATTTACTGAGGATATATTAAGTGTTAGATACTTTTCTAGGTGCTTAGAATACAACAATTAGCTAAAACAGTACCTGCTCTCATAAAGATTACATTCCAGTTTGTGGAGACAGACATTAAACAGGTATATAGAAATGACAGAGAGAGAGAGAGAGAGAGAGAGAGAGAGAGAGAGAGAGAGAGAGAGATATTCATTAAGTGCTATGAAGAAAAATAAAGTAGGGTAAGGAATATTAAGAATTGGAGATGGATAAATGAAGGAGGTCTGTTTCTTATGGGGTGGTAAGGGAAGGCCTTTATGATACAGTATCTTTTGAGCACAGAGATGAATGAAATGAAGAGTCTTGTAGATACCTGGAAGAAGAATATTACAGGCAGAAGACACAACATATTAAAGGCTCTGAGCAGGAAGCAAGCTGGATGTGTTTAGGGGAACAACATAGCTGCAATGGTGTAAGCAAAGAGGAGAAAGGCATCATTCAACTGTACTCTGAGTTTCTCTAAGCAAATGTCTCTGCCCTTTAAAGTAACTCTCTAAGTAAAACTAATTAAACCCCTTTTTTTGCTGTAACTCTCAATTTTTTTAAGAAAACAAAACATATTGCTTAATTTTCTTTAGGTCTGCTATGATTTTGCTCATTCTCTGGGTATGTAGGAGAGAGATAATGTTCACATCTCAACTGAAGTGTTGCATAGTTTTACTGGAGATCTGTTACTTTTCATTTATTTAAAGAAAACATATGATCATTGATGGAGAAAAGAGAAAACCCACAGAAAGTTCATTGTGGATGAAATATATGGAAAAATAAGTATAGTCACGTTAGTCTACCAATTAGGAGAGCTAGGATAAATTAAAAATAAAAATAATTGTACTAAAAGTTAAAACCAGGTAAATCTAAAACTTCAGGACCCCAAAGCTACCACTCAAAACAGCCCAATATCAACTGAAATGGATGTCCAGTCCAAAGATACATCAAAAAGTAGATGCATTCAAATAGCATTTAAGTCTAAAGCTGAGTGCTCATTTGCCAAGCAGACAGGCCATTAAAAACCTGTGGTTTTGGATGTTTTCAACTGAACTTGAATTTTCAGATGTATAAATTAGTTTACCTCCTTGGAAAGACATGATTTCCTGTTTTGAAGAGAAATGTAGCCTTCTAAAAGCTTACTTAAAAGGTTCAAAAGGCTACTTGGGCATCAAATAACTATTAAAAACAATATTTTGACTATTTAAGTGTAAACGAATCAGAAACATATGGATTAAATTTCCCTTAAATTGCACATGCACCAAACTTAAGAGTAAAAGCATGGGTGAAACCTGTTTTGGATTTCAGTGAGCCCAAAACATTTGAAAAATCATCTGAGATGATCAGTGAACTCAAAGTACAGCAGGATTCATCCTTCCTTAATTCATCCCTGTCCTATGCTTCTGGTCTTAATATAAGGAAGAGTGTAAGTACACAAATAGCTTAGAGGTAAAATGTCTAGATCTAAATTTAAATGAGATTTTAAAATAAAGAGAGAAGAAATTGTTAAAATCTTTTTGAAACCTGTATTTAAAGAGAAAGTCTTTATGGTAAAGAAAATCTGAAATATTATTTAGACTCCTTGTACAATTTATTTTTGAGTCTCTAATTAAAGATTGAATTCACATGATTCTAGGATGAATAATAAACCAACTTTTTAAACATATATTATGTTCTAGTCACTGTGCTTAGCACTGTCACATTCATTATTTCTTCATTTAATCTCACCGAAAAATAGCTTTAGGCCCCTGTTATACACAGAGGAGACAAGATATTTGTTGTTTACTCAGTCTTACTCTTTTCACCTTGAGCTATTTACAATTAACAACCTGAATCAACTAACAAAAATATTATAATTTCCTCATCAAAGTAAACTAACATTAAGAATTGAAGTCCTTAGCTACTAGTAGTAGAACTACACAGTACTGGGAGACTGCATAGAAAGTAGTTAAGAGCACATGTTTTTGGGTAGCAAGATGTTTAGTCTTTTTGTACCTAACTCCTTTGTATAATTGGAAAATACTTGTCCCATAAAATCGCTGTGAATATAAAATGGGAAGTTGTATGTAATATGCTGAAAGTAACTGCTTAATGAAAGAAAACTATTGCTTAAGAAATATGTGTATATTCACGTGCTCAATAATTATTTCTTCCAACAACCTCTCAGAGCCAGACTGTGTCACTTCCTGTAACTCTTCCTAGTATGGGCACCTCACTTCTCTCTCTAGACTCCCTAGACCTAACTCTTCACCATGCACTGAGTAGATAATTAATAATTTCCACACCTGTTGAAAAGATTGCTTGGAACTACTTCCATCACAAGTTACAACCATCCACCTTATGGACTGTATCCTGCAGGATACCGTGCTGGCTACTTGAAGATGGAGGCTACTTCAGCACGTGTCAGGCCAGAAACTACCTGTGTCAACCAGTGGGGCTTGCCATGACCCATCTCCTACTAAGTGACATATAGAGGGAGCCTCCTTTTTCCCATTAAAATCTAGCTTGTCTCCTCTACCACCAGTTTAGGGAGTTTACTGCGTTCTAAGAAGTGATCTTTCCCTGGATACCTCTTAGCTTCTTCATTCTGCTCATCCACTCCGCATAACTGAGAACTGGGTAGCTCCAAAGTTCAGATTCATTATCTCTGAAAAAATACGATAAAACATTGATATCACCCTCCCTATCAGCTACTCATGCTTTCTTATCTGGGGGCCATTCCTCTATCTCCCTGTGACCTCCAACTATTGCTCAGCAGGGAGATGGAAATAGAGTGCCTGGGAATAGTTCCCAGAACCATACTGTTACCTACAGAAAAAATACCACAGGACATTTTTCCTTGACCACTCCCTTCTCTAGCAAACACTTCCCTGTATGTCCTTTTTCTTGGGAAAAGGTCTGATTTCCCAGAATGACAGGCAGACCATGAGTCTCATAGTTCCTGTGAAGTTTTTAAACTTTTGAGTTATATCTAACCTTGTCAAATTTGCTGGTTAATCAACTTTCCATTGCCTGTCGGCAGTGAAAACCTGACCAGAAAAGATGTTCTAGCCAGCAGGGAACTGTGAGTTACTTATCTCCATGAGGTTTTAATGAGGCACATTAACTCAACCACTCTAATAAATCTGTACCTAAGGTAATTGGTTATAAATGCCTAGTGAGAGGCTGCATGTGGAGTGAAGGTGTTGAATGTTGTGTACTCACCACAGGTAAGAATTTTAAGAGGCAACTTAATGGTTTGAGAGCCATCTAATTATCATCAGGTTGTTCTTTGGTTGGTCTGCTCTTTGTTTTAAGTTTGCAGGACTAGAAACTAGCTTTAAATCAAAGCTTAAGAAGGTGAAAGTTACTGGTACTTAACAGAGAGCCCCCCCCTTCAACCACGTGCTCTCTTGCGGAGGGAGGAAGAGAAATAATGAGACACTATGCCCTTCCTACAGCTCCAGTAATATTCAATTTTGGTTCATCCGTCAAAGGCAGGGTTAAAGCTGGCAAAGTGGAAGAATTCTGAGTGCTGCTTAAACTTTCATACCCCACTACCCACAGTCTTATTATTCAGGCCAGTCTGGAACAAGGCTGCAGGATTGTTGGGTCACCGTAGAAGAGAAAAATCATTATTGGAGCTGCTGGACTAATAATAGAAGGTGACTGAGTGAAGACATAGCTCAAAGTGGTGCCAAAAATCAGAGAGACCTCAAAGCATAATATAATTGTCAAAACCCAGGGTATGTTTGTCAGACTGAGCATTGCAGAGCAGGATCTAGGTAGGAATTTATACATAATGTCCTAGTGTGTTATAACTGTGACCAAGGAATTATGTCCATATCTAACATATCTCCAGCCAATGGAGGTGGTTACAATGGACTTGTTTCTAGGGTAGACTTCTAGCCCACAAAGAGACAGATGAGATATCAGAAACTTGCAGTAGGCTGACTTCAGGAGGTAAGTTATTCATCTGAGATACCTGACTAGGGTACTAGGAAGAGTAACTAGACAAGCTACCAGGTGGGAAGTAAAGACTTCCCAAGACTCCTCTTTTTCAAACATTTCTCCCTCTTTTCCATAGCCACAACATCCCACTCAATTGCCAAAGTCAGAAACATAGGCACTATACATATTGTTTCCCTCTCCCATACCCTTCATATCCAAATCAAACACTAATCTTTTCTTCTGTACCCTTTAATGTCTTTTAAATTTCTCATTTCTTTCCATCCCCACTGTTATTACCTTAGTTCAAGACACCATCATCTATCAGTTGGATTACTATAGTGGCCTCCTAACTGTTCTTTCTGTCTCCATTTTTTACCACTACACTCCTTACAATCTATGCTCTAGACCTACCTAATTCCTTGTAGTTCCCTAAATGTGCTATGCTCCCTCTTGCTTCTGGGGTTTGCATATCTTCAGTTGGCTAAGTCTCACTCCTCCACTTCCTCAAAGAGCACTTTCCAAATTTCCAAAACTAGGCCTGGGGCTCCACCCCTTTGCTACCAAGTAGCCTATAATAAGGGCTATAAATATCATATTGTGCCTCTCTCTTCTCTTGCCTTGATCTTTTTTATCAACATTTTATTTCTAGGTCTTAGCGTACTGCCTGGACCACAATAGGTTCAATGATATTTAATTAATATTTGTGACTTGGAAGATATACTCCTGACATATCAGATTTTGAATCTAAATAATATTTTTTAAAAAAAAGAGTTAGGGAACATACTGGATCCCAGGAGTTGTGACTGTGCCTCCAGATTCTGAGTCTGAAGAATGTGACTATACTCAATGCTATGGTCTGAACATTTGTATCTCCCCCAAATTTTTTTGTTAAAATTCTAATCCCCAATGTGATGGTATTAGAAGGTAGAGCCTTCATCAGTCACCAAACCTGCCAACAGCTTGATCTTGGATTTCCCAGCCTCTAGATGTGTGAGAAATAGATCTCTGTTGTTTATAAGATATCCAGTTTATGGTATTTTGCTACAGCAGCCTGACGATACCCAAAGAAGAAACTAAGCTTCTAGCAAGTTTGGCTTAAGGAGTGGTAGAGGACCAAGATTGGTATTTCAGTGATCAAGAAGTGAATAACTGAATAAGGCAAAAGAAAAATAAAACAGTACAAAAATAAAACAAAACACCAGGCAGAGCTAACAAAACATGTATACCTATGTTACAAACCTGCACATTGTGCACATGTACTCTAGAACTTAAAGTATAAAAATAAAAAGCAAAAAGACCCCCCCACCAAAAATAAAACAAAACAAAAACAAAAAAAAAACTATACGTCCTCATCAAAATGGAGCTCTTTTAGTGGTAGGGGTGGCAGAAGACATTAACAATATTTGAAACTCTTATTCTATGTAATAATCTATTCAGACACTTCCTTTGGAGATTCCTATTTTCAGAAAAATCATCCAGTCACCCATTCCAACACTGAGTCTATACCAATATTTGTTCCAAGCTGATCATAAATTCTCCCTGCCTTCCCACCCCTACACATAAACTCTACCCACTGTAAATCAAGGTTATCAGGCACAAGTAAAACCAAGACCTAACCTTGATAACCAGTAGTAAAATGTTGCTTTGCTAGAATGTAAGTAAACCTTTTTTGCACACTCCTTTTAATATAGAAAGCTGAAAAAGTTGGAATAAAACAAGTTAAAATCAGTGATTTTACATGATAATGTGAGAACAAACTGAGGATCCTAGTACATAGTAATGTTGCATTTAGGATTAGTCAGAAAGTAAAGCTTCTTAATTCTATTTGCATTAATTAGTCAAACAAACACTTTCTGTAGAGGTATTTGACACTCTCATGTGTTGAGATTTGCCAAAATATGCTAATCATGGTCAATCCTCATGTACCATGTGAAGGCTGGGCTGCTATTCTGTGTGATTGTTCAGGTGGCTCACTACATAAAGTTGCCTAGCCAGAATGATGACTGGAGGCTACAGCCAGCCTGCTGTATGCTCAGTAAGCTTCAGGCCCTGTCATGGGGCTTGCATCACCCAGTGGACAGGGCATCTTTTTCTAATCTACACAAAGGTACCATATGGGTAGTATAGGTCCTGTTTGAAAGGGTTAAGACTCAGACACTGTCATAGCTCTCAAGTAACCCTAGAAGATACAACTTCTGAGTTATATATTTCAGAAATCCCACAGGCTCTCATCAATCTGAGAATATACCATTCTGCCCTCTAATCATCATGACTTTGAGTCTGAACTATTAAATGAACCTACTCAGCCACTGACAATGAGAATTTGTGCTTACAGTGGAGACTGCCAGACCTCTATACTATACATGAAAAAAACAAAAGCTACAAAAGTCTGTTACAGGATAGAGACAAAGCAAAATTCAGCTTTTTATTTATACCTCAGACCTGCTTGATTCCAAGTTCTTTGAGGACACTTATGTCTTTGGTTGTTAGTACTATATATCAACTCTTTGAGAACACATCTTCTCTGGGACTCAGTTGTCTTACTGACTTATGAGATCTAGTTTCAGTCTCAAGCCTGAGTCTTTCTACCCACACCCCTCCAAAGCTGACTATCCTTTCCACTAGTGATAAATATCATCCAAGGCCCAACATATAGGCCTGTATAGGAGAAGGTCTCATATGGGCCAAATGATGAAGCTGAGGCTGACAATATGGTATATTTTATGGACTCCAAAATGCTAAACTTCACAAAAGTGTTTTTCTGTTTAAGTATTATTTCATTGTTTCCCTTAAATGCCTGTTATAAATACCTAGTGAGCTCGAAAGAGTCTGTCATATCATTAACTTTATTAATAAGAACAATAACAACAAATATCTAATCTGGTAAAGACCATCAAGCTAATTTCTAGAGATCAAAGATTTATGAAACTCAGGTCCCACCCATGAGAGTTGCCCCAAAAATACTGTATTATTTCTCAAAACAGCTATCATTAAGGGAAGCCTTGGCCATAACCAGGATTCCAGAGGCACTTCAGGAGGGCAACAAGACAAAGCAGGCCTAGGCTTCAAGGTACTTGAGAGCAGGATAGTAAACTAATCCTTTAGCCCTCAGTTTTTCCTAAGGCTGGCCCCACTGCAGAGTATTCTCCCTCCCTTAGATGACTCCTTAGAAAACCCAATCTCCTCTTTACTGTCTGCAGGTCTTACCTTACCCCCAGTATCTCTCCATATTCTCCCCTAAATGCCAAATTTGGTTTCTGTGCCTGCCTTTTTAACTGAGATCATGACATTCTTCCTTAAGACCCAGAATCATTTCTTACTTTGTCTAGGATCAGCCTCTATAATCTCTTCAAGTTTTTCCAGAACTTTTTAGTAAATTAACTAAGAATTTTTTTTAGAGATGATGACTGAATATTCATATTATCACTACAGTCTTGCACTCTTTGGTGAGGCCCAGGAAGGCCTAAGTTTTCCTCCTACTTCAGCCCTGCTATCCTGACAGGTGGTCCTAGGCTGATGGTAATGTGTCTCTGGAGATCAAAATCCACATTGATATCACTTACTTTTCTTAACATCACTACTTTGGGCTGCATGATTACTGTTATCTACCTGTTGATATTATTCATCTTGCCCTTCTATGGTTCTAGTGGTCTCATAACTCAGTTACAGTTTTTGTTATTGCCTGAAAGAGGAGAATGAGAAATGAACTAGCTTTAGGGTGGATAAGTTGATGCAATCGACAGCAAAGAGAAAAGAAAGAAACAACCCAAGTCCTTGATGATTTTTTTATTGTGGTAAAAAAATAATAACACAAAATTTGCCATTTTAATCATTGTTAAGTGTTCAGTTCAGTGGCATTAATTAAATTCACAATGTTATGCAATCATTACCACTATGTATTTCCAAAACTGTCATTGCTCCAAAGAGAAACTTTGTGTCCACTAAGCAACAGCTCCCATTCCTCCTTCTCCTCAGCTTCCAGTAACCTCTAATTTACTGTCTTTATAAATCTGCCTATTCTAAATATTTCACCAAATGCAACCATACAATATTTGCTCTTTTGTGTCTGGCTATTTTACCTACATTTAGTATGTTTTCAAGGTTCATCCATGTTTAAGCACGTATAAAAATTCCTTTCTTTTTAAGGCTGAAAAATATTCCACTGTATGTATATACAGCATTTGTTTATCCATTCATCTGTTGATAAACATGTGAGTTATTTGTACCTTTTGGCTATTGTGAATAATGCTGGAATGAACATTGGCATACGAATATCTGTTTGAGTCTTTGCTTTCCCTTTTTTTTTTTTTTTTGGTTATATACCTAGGAGTGAAATTACTGGCTCATCTATGTCTAGCCTTTTAAAGAATGCCCAAACTGTTTTCCACAGCAGCTGTACCATTTACATTTCCATTAGCAATGAATGAGGATTCCAATTTCTCCACATCCTTGCCAACACTTATTTTCCTTTTATAAACATTATATATATAAAACCATCCTAGCAAGTATGAAATGTGGTATCTCATGATTTTAATAGGCCTTTTCTTAATGACTAATGATGTTCTCCATCTTTTAAGGTGCTTATTGGCTATTAGCATATCCTCTTTGAAGAAATGTTTATTCACATCCTCACCTCTATTTTAATTGGGTTGTTCATCTTTTTGTTGTTGAGTTGTAGGAATTCTTTATATAGTCTGGATAGAAACTTCTATTAGAGATGTAGTTTACAAATATTTCCTCTCATTCTGTAGGTTGTCTTTTCATTTCTTGACAATGTCGTTTTATGCACAAAAGGTTTTTTTATTTTTTGATGAGGTCCAGTTTATCTATTTTTGTTGTTCTTGCTCTTGGTTTCAGTGTCATATGTGAGAACCCATTGCCAAGTTCCATGTCATAAAGAGGACTTCCACATTTTCTTCTAAGAGTTTTATAGTTTTAGTTCACATTTAGGTCTGGGCCTGTTTGTCATGCCTATAATCCCAGCACTTTGGGAGGCCAACATGGGTGGTTTGCTTGAACTCAGGAGCTTGAGACCAGCCTGGGCCATATGGTGAAATCCCATCTCTACAAGAAATACAAAAATTCCCTGGGCTTGGTAGCACATGCCTGTAGTCCCAGCTACTAGAGAGGTCAAGGTGGTAAGATCTCCACTTGAATCCAGGAAGTGGATGTTGCAGTGAGCCAAGATTGTGCCACTGTACTCCAGCCTAGGCAACAGAGTGAGACTCTGTCTCAAAAAAGCAAAAAACAAGCAAACAAAAACACAAAAATTAATTGGCCATAGATCTATGGGTTTAATTCTAGAATCTCAACTTCATTCCTTTAGTCTACATGTCATTTTTTTTACGCTCTTGATGACTTTTGAGTTGCTGAATTAACAAACCCTGAAGTCCACTATATTCATTTTCTATTGCTATGACTTCTGGGCCTTTTGGCTAAGATCAATTGCATTTTTTATGCTGCTATCTATAAATTACAAATGGTGGCTTTAAACAAACAAAAACAATTACTATCTTACAGTTCTGGAGGTCAGAGGTTCAAAATGGGTTTTGCTGAGTTAAAATCAAGGTGTCAGCAGGGCTGCATTTCTTTCTGGAAAATCTAGGTTATCTCCCTATGTTAAGGTCAGCTGATTAGCAACCCTAATTTCATCTGCAGCCTTAATTCCCCTTTGCCATGCAACATAACATGTTCATAGATTTCTGGAAGTAGGACATGAACATCTCTGGAGAGCCATTATATTGCCTACCATAGTCACTCTAGCTCTGGACTGATAGTCATTCGATACAACAAATTTCTCTATGTTTAAAGCCTACATAATTTAAAGCTGGGACTTACTTATCCACCATAGTCTCCTAACACCACTCAGCATAATGTCTGGAATATAATCTATGCTTGATAAATACTGTTGAAAGATTCATTTATTGATACCCTCAGTGTCTACGTAGTTTAGGCAAGTATTTTTAAAACTAGATCCCACAGAGGCCTAAGCTTCCCTTGTTATGCCTTATGGACCACTTGAGGTGAGGAGGGGGAACTGCTGAGGAGGAGGTTAAGTTGGGACCAACTCCTAGCCTAGCTTCAAGCAAAGCAGTTTGCCTATACTATGTTTTTCATATTTTGATATTCTATGTTAAATTTTATTCATAAAAAGGGACTCTGCTACTAAAGAAAATTTGAAAACCTCTGGGAATAGGTCATTGACAACACAACACAATTTCAAAATGTCTGCCTCATGAAGATGTTGATTTTATAAGATAAATTGAACCAGCTCTCAAGGTGAGTTACCCTTGTAATAGGAAGGACGTGCTTCACATGGTGCCCAGCTGAAATTGGGTTGAGTAGACCTAGAGCATGAAATAGTCTCTTTACAATGCAGCATTCTAAATGTAGTTTCTCATTCAATTCCCAAATATTTATTTCCAATTAAGTAATCCCTGTGGCCCTGTAAGTTTCACAAAGCTCATTGGAATTCAGTTGGAAATGAAGAACTGCCTTTTCTAAGCTACTGAGAAAAGAAAAACAACAGTGACCACTGTTAAGTGCTTACTTACTCTGTGGCAGGCACTGTACTCAGCAATTTACACACATTATCTTTCGTGTGTATGCCGTCCTTGCCAAAGTCCTGCAAAGTACGCAGTGTCTCCACTTTGCTAATAAGAAAACTGGACTAATACACATTAAATAACCTGCCTGAGGCCACAAACCTCTTTAAGAAATCTTTCAATATTTCCCACGATATAGTTTGAATATTTGTCTCCTCCAAATCTCATGTTGAAATTTGATCCCCAATGTTGAAGGTGGGGCTTACTGGGAGGTGTTTGGGTCATGGGGGTAGAACTCTCACAAATTTCTTGGTGCCATTCTCATGGGAGTAAGATCTCACTCTTAATTCCTATTATAATACATCTGGCTGTTAATAAGATCCTAGCACCTTCCTCTCTCACTCTCCTCCTTCCCCTCCCTCTTTTCCCCTCCCTCACTCACTCCTTCTCTTGCCATGTGACACATCTGCTTCCCCTTTCCCTTCTACAGTGATTGGAAGCCTCCTGAGTTCCTTACCAGAAGCAGATGCCAGTGCCATGCTTCTTGTACAGCCTGCAGAACTGTGAGCCAAATAAACTTCTTTTCTTTATAAATTACCCAGCCTCAGGTATTCCTTTATAGTCATGCAAATGGACTAAGACACTCCCATACAGAGGTCTTGTCACTGGTAGGCTGAATTCTTTCCCTGTTCTGTATTGGTTGCAAAAAAAGAACACCCAATTAGAACAAAAAACAAGCAGGCTTTATTTCTGGCCAGAAACGAAGAAGAAGTGAGCTTACACTCTAAAGGCCACTTACCCCTGAACAATAGAAGGCATGAGGTTTTTTTGGACTGCGTATGGGGAGGGAAAGGAATGTTAGCATGTGCAGGGTGGGACCCCAGACATGCAGGCTCAATTCATAAACATACATCTTCATGCAGCCAGTGTACATAGAATGGCAGAGATTTTCTTTTTGGAGAGGGAATTCTAGCATTAAAATAAAATGTTAATAATCTAAAGACAACTAGGGGTCATCTGTTCCAGTTAGGGCCTGTTTAGGGGTCTTATCTCCCTCTTATATCTCATCAAGGGTCAGGAAGCTCTGGGGCCATCCTTGGCTGTCTGGTTTCTTTAAACAGCTGTGTCTACAAATAAATGACTAAAAAATAATAGTAAGAAAAAGAATGTTCACAGCTATTTCATCAGGCTGCTCTGGTAACAGTCTCAAAGATACCCATAAGACTAGGTGAACCATCTATCTTGCTATCCTAAAATGATCCTTTCATTTATATCATGTCCAGTGGCACTCACAGATATTCCAGATTTATAGTCATGTTTATGTGACAGTAAGTGATATGGAATGAGGCATCTGAGTAAAGACCACACCTTCACTAAGGCGTAAAATATTTGGTTGATTTTGGAATAACTGGGAAAGTACTTACTGAAATCCCCACAAAAAGTTTAATACTATGCGTAACTGAAATATAGTAAGCAGTTTTTACCAGAGGCAACTTAGCAGACGTTAACAGTCTACGCTAAGGCAGCCAAACTTGGGTTTTGGTTTGAAACCTGGCTGTGTGACCTTGGCAATTCTTAATTCTGCTAAGTTTATATGGTCTCATATGTAAAACTGGGGTGATAATAAACACTAAGAGAATAAAGCAATACTATGACAGTTGGAGGTGTTTGAAATAGTCCCAGTCACATAATAAATGCTCAATAAATATTGGCTATTAGTATAGTTGACTGATTTTAAGACTTTTGGATATGAATCTTAAATATCAATTCTCACTGCATATTAGCAATTATAATTAGTAGCAATAATAATAAATTACTAAAATAACAAAAGTTGCTCCTCTCTTTCCTGATCATCTTTTTCTCTCTACTGGAATGCTCCCTTCAGCATCAAGTCAGCTATAATATGCTTCATCTTAAAAAGCAACCCTCTTGTGCATGCTTTCCCCTAGCTATCATCCAATATTTATCCTTTCCATTAAAACAAAAATCTTCAAAATTCTGTTTATCTTGTTTATACTTACCATTTCCACTTCCTCTCCTCCATTTTTTCTTGAAACACACTGATGAGATTTTCCTTCCAATACCTCTTTGAAAACTGCTTTTGCCAAGATCACCAATCACTCCCTCATTGCCAGATCCAGTCCTCATCTTACTTGTCCTATCAGCAACATTTGATACAGTTGATCACCCCTTTCCTTTTTTCTTTTCCTTTTTTTTTTTTTTTCAGGCTGGCCTCTAACTCTTGTGCTCAAGCAATCTTCCTGCCTCAGCCTCCCAAGTGGCTGGGACCATAGTCACACACCACTTCTCCCAGCCTTTTCCCTTTACTGTGCCATAATAAGAAATAAAAGAAATAAATGTTTGTTCTTTGTCTCTTTTTCCTGAGAACAAGTTCCTAAAACCCTTGTGATATCCTAGTGACAGGGTAATAGGAGTTTCTTTTCTAATATTTGGTCTTTGTTCCGGTTCCTGACATAAGCTCCTATATCCCCTGGAATTTTCTGAGTGATAGGAGCAACTTTTGTTGTAATCTGGTGATTCTTGTTAGGCTCTTAGGTAGTTTTGGAATGAGTGCTAGCCACCAGAAAGACCAAGACATGATTAGAGGGTTGGACCTTTCTGCTTCCTCCCCTCTAACCTCAGGGGAGGAAAGGAGGGCTGAAGACTGAGTCAGTCACTAATAGTCAAGGATTAAATCACTCAGGGCTGTGTAATGAAGCCTCCATAGAACTCTTAAATGCTGGGAGTCACAAAGCTTCTGGGTCCATAAACACATCAAGGTGCTGGGAGGATGATGAGCCAGGAGAGAGTATGGAAGTCCCAGGCAATTTCCCCATTCATCCATCTCCTCTGCTTGGCTGTCCCTGAGCTGTATCTTTATAATAAACCAGTAAGCATACATAAAGAGTGTTCTTGAGTTCCGTGAGCCATTCTAGCAAATTACTGAACCTGAGGAGAGGGTCTTTGACCTCCCAATTTGTAGGTGGTTGGTCAGAAGTACAGGAGGCTGGGATTGGTGACTAGCATCTGAAGTGGGGGAGGTTGTCTTGCGGCACTGAGTATTTAACGTCTGGGGTGGCAGAATTGAACTGAATCATTGAACACCCTGTTGGCATTAGAGAGCTGGTTAGTGAGAGGAAACACCCACATATTTGGTGTCAGAAATGCTGTGAGTGAAAACAATTCCCTGTGAATATGACAGCAGTCTCTTAGTCCTTTTCAGTCTTCTCTATTGGTTCCTACTCATCTTCCGGAGCTCTTTTACTTGAATGCCCCAAGTCCAGATCCCTTTGTCCTTTAGCTGAACTCACTCTCTAGGTGATCTCATCCAGTTCCATACTTTACATACCATATACAGACTAACAGATCTTTATATATCTCTAATCCCAACTTTTCCCTTAAATCCCAGATTTGTTTATCCAACTAGATGTCTCCTTTTGGATGCCTACTAAGCATCTCAAATACAACATGGCTATAACAACCTGAACATCTGTTTTTCTGTTTCTACTTCCACCGCCATCCCCACCTCCACTCTTCCTTAACTCCATAAATGGCAACTCCATTTTCAGTTGCTCAGGTCAAAAATTTCTTTGACGCTCTCCCCCACCAATTCCCGCCACATCCAGTCCATAAGCAAGTCCTATTCATTCTACTTCAATCTGGTTTCAGTCTAGTAATTTATCCTACAATCTAGTAAGCAGCCAGAGTACCCTTCATTTTAAAATTTACATCAGATAGTGTCATGCCTCTGCTTAAAAATCCTATAATAGCTTCCCATCTGATTCAGAATAAAATCCTAGTACTTCCCGCTAGGTTACTCCACTCTAACCAGACAGATATCCTTCATGTTCCTTGAATACTCCAAGGCTTTGCACTTATTTGCCCTTTCTGCTTGGAGCATTCTTTCTACTTATTTCTATGTAACTTTCTTGCTTACTTTATTTAGGTGTTTGTTCAAATGTCACTTTGTCAGGGAAACCTTGAAATAGTCATCTCATCTTCATCAATATCTATTCCCTATGCTACTTCATTTTTCTTCAGTCACTTTTTATTTCTTTGGAGTTATTTGTGTTCCTCATTATACTATAAATTTCATGAGTATGTGGATTATGTCATTTTTTTTAATTATCCACTGCTGTAGCCTAAATGCCTAGAAGAGTACATGGCACACAGCATAAGCATCTAAAGTATTTATTGAATTAATAAATCATTTCTTAAGCTCCTACTATACACTCATTGTCTTAGTCAATCCTTACAACCACCAGAGTTAAGTGCTTGGACATTAGTGTCAGAATAACATGAGTCTGATGCTAACACTTTTACCGGTTGTAAGTTAGGCAAGTCACTTACATTCTCTAAACTTGTTTCCTCATCTGTATAACAGGAAATAATATATATTTTATGGCATTATTTTGAAGATTAAAAGGGCTAATGCATGAAAAGCTTTGAATAATACCTAAAAGTATCTGAGTATGAATATAGATAAGAAAATTAAGAATCAGAAAGGTTAAACAACCCAAAGTCAGACAGGGGTTATAAAAACAGGAGATTAAGCTAGATAACAAATATAGAGTTCTAAAGCTCAAAAACTTGTGTTTGATTATTCTCAAAGCTACATCAAGACAAGCAGCTTTTTTCCATCATTTGTTTCTATACCTAAAAAGCAGAGTGCATCCTTTGTTTTCAAGTTTTATGAGTGCCTGTGTAGGTGTCCTGTTTTCTGGAATGGGTACTATTACTTTTCTATTTTCATTTACGCACACAACAAACATATGACTAGGAACTTATAGTTTACTTAGGAACATAAGCCATGAGCTTTGGTGGCAAGAAAGAAGAACTAAGAGAGTGCTAAAGAAATTCAGACAAGAGTGTCATATCTTTATTTCTGTGTAGGTGAGAACATTCTCCTATTCCTTTCCCCAATCCTACCTCATATGGCAGTTTCTTTGTAAAGCCCTTGCTATGGAAACACAAATACGTGAGAATGACCCACATACATTAACTTTTCTCCTATGTTAAGCATTCCTGCTTACATTTCTAACTTCAATTTTTCAAAACAAAAATGCATAGATAATCTATGGGGGATAAACCATTGTAGTTACTATTCATCTCATGTGGTTTGCACACTCTTAAGTGGTGCCTCTGGGTACACCATGAAAAGAGCTTTAATTAAGAGCAAACATACTTGGGTTTTACTTATCTTGGGTCCAATAATCAGACTGGAGTTCATGAAGCGGGGAAAAAGCAGACACTTTTCCAAAGCTTTTGTCTACTTCTGCAGTTATAAAAAACAAAGCCACATATATTGTGTAAGACTATTTACAACCTCTGGAGAGAACTAATATGCAGCATTAGTGTGCATGGATATTGTCATGTGTTAAAAGAAACACACTTGCGGTGGGCTTGTAACTACAGAATTTTGGGGTTGAATTTCAGGATTTATTGGGTAAGGGAGTGATTTATAGGGATATTGATATTTTAGCATTTTCTGTTCAACATGGGAATTAGGGGATTATCCTATCCCAGGAAAAATGAAGGCAAAAGCTGTATGTCCCAACTTTAATTTTTAATAACGGTAAATTTGCAGGGTTGTCAAGAATTGGATGGTCCATTTGCCAAATCTCTGTTTTACATATGTACTTTTTTTTACCATATTATTCCTTTCAAAAGGATGTGTTGCCAAGAGTCATTCCTGTCATGGTGTTTAGTGCCAGCGCTGACCAAATAAGAAGCTGTTCATTGTTAGAAAGAACTAGTTTCAGAGGCACAGATGCTATATTAGTGTTGGAAACATTCCTGTTTGGAAGTCTTTGTGTTTCACACTGAATAAAATTGTATTATATTTACCACTGCTTCACCCAGAAACCCCTCCTCTTTTTATTTATGGTAACTTCAATGTGTTTTTTTTAAACTACATCTGGACTGCAAATATAAAAAATACATTAGTTATAAGGAGGGTTGTGACAATGAGACAAAATCCTTGCCTTTACTGCTTTCACTCAAAGGCCTGGAACTCTTGTTTATGATTCTATTTCATAAAGTTAAGCCCCTGGGCAAACGTCTCTAAGCCTCAGCATCCACATTGGAAAATTAGGAATTATATCTACCACCAAAAAATGTTGTCAGGATTTAAAGCTATAACCCTCATATACCATTTAGCACATACAGCAAAGGCAAAATAAACACCCTGTAAATGCTAAGTTGAAGGGGAGTAGAGTGCTAGTTTCAATGCTGTTCTTCCCTTTATAAACTGTGCTACTTTGGCCACTTAATTTTTCAGTTTCCTTCTCTTTAAATTGAAATGATATATTACTGATATGGTTTGGAGCTGTGTCCCCACCCAAATCTCATGTTCAATTGTAATCCCCAGTGTTGGAAGTGGGGCCTGGTGGGAAGTAATTAGATCATGGGAGCAGTTTCTCCTGAATGGATTAGCCTCATCCGCTCAGTGCTGTTCTCCTGATAGTGAGTGAATGAGTTATCGTGAGATCTGGGTGTTTAAAAGTGTATAGCACCTCCTACTTCTCTCTCTTCCTCCTGCCCTGGCCATGTAAAGGCACTGCTTCCCCTTCAACTCCACCATGATAGTAAGTTTCCTGAGGCCTGGAGAACTGTGAGGCAATGAAACCTCCTTTCTTTATAAATTACCCAATCTCAGGTATTTCTTTATAGCGATTCAAGGATGGGCTAATACAATTACCAACATAGATGTGTGATAATTAAATGTGATAAGCATCTAAAGTGCTTACCACAGTGCCTGACACATTGTAAATGTTCTATACATTTGGCCATTATTTCTAATTTATTACTTCTTGAATGCTTTAAAAATAACATATTTCAGCATATTTCAGCAAATCATCTATGAAATAAATTTATTTTCCATAAAAATGTAGATTGGCATTGGACCTGCTATAACTAAGAATTTATTATAGGCAATCATAAGTCTTAAAGTAGATAAGGTATATCCCTGAACTGATTAGATTATTTAAAAATCTTTCAGTCTGGATACCTCAATCCTAGCATGGATATATTCAGGCACTGCTGATTCAGATCCTGTTGAGAAACCTGTAGGCTCTCTGAGTTATATATGCCCCTGGAACAGGCTAGACATGCAAAGTATAAGGAGCTGTTGTCTTGCCCTCTTTGGGCTCTGCCCCATCTAGTCCAACCTCCTGAACCAGTTTCTCTGACTCCTTGATCAACACCTCTGTGGATCCCAACTTTCATGTCTCCTTCTGTTAGAGCTAGGCTTTGGGCTTTTAGTTCCTCTGGAATCCAGTTATCCTATCTTGTAGTCATTGTTGGTGTTCCTATATCCAGTTAACTCTGAATAAAAAATTAAAGATATGCACATACAAAAACCATCATTAACGCAAATACACGGAAGATACACCCACCCAGAAGATCTGATGCATGCAGTCAATGCAGTTGGAGAGAAGCCACTATGAAGATGAAGTCAGGATCACAAAACTTTCAGCACCAAAAGGGTTTCTGGTTGTTCACATGTTCACTAAAGAATATGGCATTCTGAAAGCCAAAAAAAATCTACTTTGTGATAGATTGGTGTATGAGAGCAATGCAGAAATATTTAAGTCCTAAAAATAGAGGCACTTGATTCACTAATTCATTATTTCTGCAAACATGTGGAGAAGTAAGAAGAATGGCTGGCCGGGCACGGTGGCTCACGCCTATATTCCCAGCACTTTCGGAGGCTGAGGCAGGCAGATCACGAGGTCAGGAGATCAAGACCATCCTGGCTAATATGGTGAAACCCTGTCTCTACTAAAAAATACAAAAAATTAGCCAGGCGTGGTGGTGGGCTCCTGTAGTCCCAGCTATTAGGGAGGCTGAGGCAGGAGAATGGCGTGAACCCGGGAGGCGGAGCTTGCAGTGAGCCGAGATTTCGCCACTGCACTCCAGCCTGGGTGACAAAGCAAGACTCCATCAAAAAAAAAAAAAAAAAAAAAAAGACTGGCTAATGTTTATTGAACATTTTCTATGTGTCAGACATAATTCTAAGCACTAAGAAATAACTATCATAGGAAAATAATGCTCTTAATGTCTCTAGTTCACTAAGTAAACTGAGATGCAGACAGATTAAATAATTTACCCAAAATCACATGCCTAGCACATGACAAAACCAGGTACTTTCCATGTACAAGGCACTTTGCCAGAGGGTGAGGATATAAAAATAACAAGATCTAGTCTTCGCCTTCAGGAAGATTAAACTCAAGTGAAAAGTCAGGCAAAAAGAGTAAGCTAATGAAGTAATTTCAAATAAGTACTATAAAAGGCATATAAAATGAGACGAAGAATTCTGAAGAAACTACTTTCAGTAAGGTGGTTATTATGAGCTAAATTGTGTCCCCTAAAATCCTTACATTGGACACCTAGTACCTCAGAATATGACTGTATTGCCAAAAGGGCCTTTAAAGAGTTATCTAAACTGAGGTCATATTAGTAGGGCCCTAATCTAATAACTGATGTACTTATAAGAAGAGGAGAATAGAACACAGACATAGGAAGAACCATATTAAGTATCTGAAGAAGATGACTATCTACAGGCCAAGGAGAGAGGACTTCAAAAGAAACCAAGCCTACCAACACCTTGATCTCAGACTTCTAGACTCTACAACTGTGAGAAAATAAATTACTGTTGTTTAAGCCACCCAGTCTGAGGTACTTTGTCATAGCAGCCCTAGCAAACTAACACAACAGTCAAGGGAGGCTTCTCTCTAAAGTGAGGACATTTAAAGTTAGGACTTGCAGAATAAAAATAGTAGAAGAGAGATCCAGGCAGAGAGAAAAGCAAGAGCAGAGCCCTTGAGGTGAGAATTAAAGGATTTATGCATTCTTCTGGTTTCAGGAGTCATCATAGCCCCTTCACTGAGTGATTACTGACAAAACACTTTACAATTTGGAAAGTATTTTACAGGTTTATTCTCAATTATCATAAGAGCCACATGAGAGGGGTATTAATAGCTTCATTTCACAGATAGGAACAAAGGCATCAGAGATATTAAGTGACTAGTCTAATATCACACAGTAACACAAGAGCCAGAACTTGCATCTAGTTCCCCTGATATCAGAGCCAACATTCTTTTAATTATACCAAACTTTCCTCCTAACTAAGAACATTCCAATGTTTCATAAAGGGCTGTAGGAATCTTATGTTATCATAAGAATTTTATAAGGAAAATATTGTGTCATTAGATTAAACCTTATATCATAAGGAATCTTATGGCCATATCTATGTACGGAAAGTCAGAAAGAGTTGAGAAATTATAATCAGGGTAGAGAGGTCTTCTGGACAGCTCAGCTTTTCATTTCTTCATATGCTTCATCTCCCTACTCCTATACTCTCCTCTTTTAGTCCATTGTAATGATGGTGTTATGGGTTATACTGGGTATTTTTTAAATTTGTTTTCATGAATAAGATATTTTAATTGCTTTAATTCCCCCTCCATTTTAACTGGATAGGCCCATCCATAACCTAGAAACCCAAGAATTCTCTTCAAAATGGCTTTGATTTAACTATAGCCTTTGCAAAATGGAACCTCAACAACTACCTCCAGTGCTTGCCAGCAGGGCATGAGGAAGTAATGCAGGCAAGGGAGATTTCCATATAACACATGTGTTCTAAGTACAAAATTACAATAATTAGAGATGGCAAAGACTGAGCAGTTTATCTTCAGGAAGGTCAATGAAAGATTATAAAATGTTTAGTCTAGGCCGGCTCCCATTCTTCTGAGGCCACATAAAGTGAACAAACCATATATGCCTTCTCTAGCAGACAATTATATTATCTAATCAAATGTAGTTTTAACATATTTGTACAATGTCATGACCCATAACCCTATCATATTTCACAATCAGTTTTTCCCTCTGAAGTATATGAAGATCTGAATGTATAAAAAGTCACTGATTATCTATTAAGTTATTCAACATCTATTTTAAGAGTCTGTTATGGAGAAGCACATTATTAGCATTGTGACATTTATAAAAATAATTAAGAATAAGGCTAGCCCTCAAAAATGAATGTAAAGGTCTAACAGACAGATGTCATCTATAGCTATGCCTGTAATTCAAGGAAGAATTTGGTAAATTGTGGAGAAAGCATTGAGAAATGAAAGGGAGGATCCTCATCTAATCTCGACGTTTAGGGAGCCTTTTACAGAAGAGAAAGTGCTTAAACTGGGCTATGAAAGGTAGTTAGGATTTCAACTGGTAGGATTGCAACTGGTGGAAATGATAAAGGGCTGACTTTGAGATAAAGAGAAAAAGAAATGAGCAAAAGTAAGAAAAAGTGAAGCATTTCTAGGGGACAATTTGATGAAAACTAACATGTCAGACTGGGAAGCAACTAACTCTTATTTTATAAACAATACAGAGCCACTGGAAGTGCTTAAATAGGCAATAGTCTAATGAATGCCTACCATATACAAGGCACCAAGATTGTCCTGCTACATATGAGTCTATATTTTAATTCCCACAATCCAAATACCTACAACACTCAAAAATGAGGAAACTGAGGCTTAGGAAGATTAAATACAAAATGAGTAAGGCTTTAACATCATTAGAATTATGGTCCAGGAGACATGTCTAGTAATCATGTAGCAAGAACTCCCATTTATTATCAGAAACAAGGAAAAGAGGAAAAGATGATTTAGGATCAGGATAATGACATGCTACATTTTAAGTGAGTAAAAGGCAGCGAAGTGGAGTTTTCCAAATACTAATTTTAAAAGTAAGAATGGAATTCGTAAAAGAAGTCACAGCTAGATGTGAATTTGAAAGTCATATCTACAGAGGTGATACATTAAGTCATGGGAAATACAAGATTGCAGAGAGCAAATCAAGAGAAGATATACACAAATTGAAGAGGAAGATGAAGAGAATGAAGGAAGATGAGAGTAGAACAAACACCTTGAGAAAAGCAAAAAACTATGTGGAGAATGCTGCTCCAAAGCAGTAATGAAGTCCAGGTATCATTAAAGCAAGGATTAGTGGTGAAGTGAGAGAGAGGAATAGTGACTTTCTACAGGAATACTGATAGCCTATGAACATAAAAAAACAGGAAGTGAAAACAACTAGTCAAGGGGAAAAGAAAATAGAGAGTTGTTGAACCCATCATGGATTCCAGACTGAGAAGAAGGGCAAGTGGATTCTGCTTTTCCCATTGTCTCTGGCAATCCTTAGTGTGGCTGAATTGATTGTTTTTAAAAAGCAAAGATATAGACATAGGATTATGTCATCTGCAAACAAAGATAGTTTGACTTTCTCTATTCCTATGTGAATACCCTTTATTTCTTTCTCTTGCCTGATTGCCCTGGCCAGAACTTCCAATACTATGTTGAATAGGAGTGGGCAGAGAGGGCATTCTTGTCTTGCACCAGTTTTCAAGGGGAATGCCTTCAGATTTTGCCCATTCAGTATATTGGCTATGAGTTTGTCATATATGGCTTTTATTATTTTTAAATATGTTCCTTCAATAACTAGTTTAGTAAGAGTTTTTAACAAGAAGCAATGTTGAGTTTTATCAAAAGCCTTTTCTGCATCTGTAGAGATAATCATTTGGTTTTTGTCTTTAGTTCTGTTTATTCTGATGAATCACATTTTGTCTTTAGTTCTGTTTATTCTGGTGAATCATATTTGTTGCTTTTCATCTGTTGAACTAAACTTGCATCCCCGGGATGAAGCCTACTTGATCGTGGTAGATAAGCTTTTTGATGTGTTGCTGAATTCTGTTTGCCAGTATTTTATTGAGGATTTTTGCATCAATGTTTATCAAGGGTATTGGCCTGAAGTTTTCTTCTCTTCTTGTTGTATCTCTGCTAGGTTTTGGTATGAGGATGATGCTGGCCTCATAGAACGAGTTAGGGAGGAGTCCCTCCATTTCAAATTTTTGGAATAGTTTCAGAAGGAATGATACCAGCTCCTCTTTTTACCTCTGGTAGAATTCAGCTGCAAATCTGTCTCGTCCTGGGCTTTCTTTGATAGGTAGGTAGGTTATTTATTACTGCCTCAATTTCAGAACTCATTATTGGTCTCTTCAGGGATTCAATTTCTTCCTGATTCAGTTTTGGGAGGGTGTACGTGTCCAGCAATTTATCCATCTCTTCTAGGTTTTCTAGTTTCTATGCATAGAGGTGTTTACATAGTATTCTCTGATTGTTTTTTATTATTATTATTTCTGTGATTTCTGTGTGGTCAGTAGTGATATCACCCTTATCATTTCTGATTGTGTTTATTTGATTCTTCTCTCTCTTTATTAGTTTAGCTAGTGGTCTATTTTATTAATTTTTTCTGGCCCCCCCCAAAAAAACTCCTGGATTCATTGATTTTTTTAAGGGATTTTGTGTCTCTGTCTCCTTCAGTTCATCTCTGATGTTGGCTATTTCTTGTCTTCTGCTAGTTTTGAAGTTTGTTTGCACTTAGTTCTCTAGTTCTTTTAGTTGTGATGTTATGCTGTTAACATGAGGTCTTTCTAGCTTTTTAAAATGGACATTTAGTGCTATAAATTTCCCTCTTTTAGTGCAATAAATTTCCCTCTCAACACTGTGTTAACTGTCCTAGAGACTCTGTTACATTGTATCTTTGTTCTCTTTAGTTTCAAAGAACTTCTTGGTTTCTGCCTTATTTTTATTATTTACTCAAGAATAATTCAAGAGCAGGTTGTTCAATTTCCTTGTATTAATAGTTGTGTGATTCTGAGTGAATTTCTTGTTCTTGAGTTCTAATTTGATTGTGCTGTGGTCTGAGAGGTCATGTGTTATGATTTCAGTTCTTTTGCATTGGCTGAGAAAGCTTCTGAAGCTGATAAGCAACTTTAGCAAAGTCTTAGGATACAAAATCAATGTGCAAAAATCACAAACATTCCTATACGCCAAAAACAGGCAAGCCAAGAGCCAAATCATGAATGAACTCCCATTTATAATTGCCACAAAAAGAATAAACTACCTAGGAATACAGCTAACAAAGGAAGTGAAGGATCTCTTCAAGGAGAGCTACCAACCACTGATCAAAGAAATCAGAGATAACACAAACAAATAGAAAAACATTCCATGGTCATGGATATGAAGAATCAATATCATAAAAATGGCCATACTACCCAAATCAATTTATAGAGTCAATGCTATTCTCATTAAGCTATCATTTACATTCTTCATAGAATTAGAAAAAAAGTATTTTTAAATTCATATGGAACCAAAAAAGACAATCCTAAGAAAAAAGAACAAAGCTGGAGGCATCAGGCTACCTGGCTTCAAACTATACTACAAGGATACAGTAAGCAAAACAGCATGGTACTGGCACAAAAACAGACACATAAAACAATGGAACCGAATAGAGAACAAGAAGTAAGACCACACATCTGCAACCATCTCATCTTTGACAAACCTGACAAAAACAAGCAATGAGGAATGGATTCCCTATTAAATAAATGATGTGGGGGGAAACTGGCTAGCCATATACAGAGAATTGAAACTGGACCCCTTCCCTATACCATATACAAAAATCAACTCAAGATGGATTAAAAACTTAAATGTAAAACCCAAAACTATAAAAACCCTGGAAGAAAATCTAGGCAATACCATTGAGGACATAGGCACAGGAAAAGATTACATGACGAAGATGCTAAAAGCAATTGCAACAAAAGAAAAAATTGATAAATGGGATCTAATTAAACTAAAGAACTTCTGCACAGCAAACTATCATAAGAGTGAACAGACAACCTAGAGAATGGGAGAAAATATTTGCAATCTATCCATCTGACAAAAGTCTAACATCTAGCATCTACAAGGAACTTAAAAAAAATTTACAAGAAAAAAATGAACAACTCCATTAAAAAGTGGGCAAAGGACATGAAAAGACACCTGTCGAAAGAAGACATTTATGTGGCCAAAAAACATATGAAAAAAGCTCAACATCACTGATCATTAGAGAAATGCAAATCAAAACCACAATGAGATACCATCTCATACCAGTCAGAATGGCTATTATTAAAAATCAAAAAACAACAGATGCTGGAGAGGCTGCAGAGGAAAAGGAACACTTTTACACTGTTAGTGAGAGCGTAAAGTAGTTCAACCATTGTGGAAGACAGTGTAGTGAATACTCAAAGACCTAAACGCAGAAATACCATTTGACCCAGCAATTTCATTACTGCATGTATACCCAAAGGGACATAAATCACTCTATTATAAAGATACATGCACACATATGTTCACTGCAGTACTATTCACAATAGCAAAGATATGGGACCAAAGTAAATGTCCATCAGTGATAGACTGGATAAAGAAAATGTGATACATATACACCATGGAATATTATGCAGCCATAAAAAGGAATGAGATAATGTTCTTTGCTGGGACATAGAAAGAGTTGGAAGCCATTATCCTCATCAAACTAACACAGAAACAGAAAACTAAACATCACATGTTCTCACTTATAAGTGGGAGCTGAATGATGAAAACACATGGACACGTGAGGGGGAACAACACATACTGGGGCCTGTCCTCCAACAGGTCTGGGGTGGGAGGAGGGAGAGTATCAGGAAGACTAGCTAATGGATGCTGGGCTTAATACCTAGGTGATGAGATGATCTGTGCAGCAAACCACCACGGCACATGTTTACCCATGTAACAAATCTGCACATCCTGTACCTATAACCCTAAAACTAAAATAAAAGTTGGGAAAAGAAACTAAAATAAAAGTTGAGAAAAGAAAGAGCAAATATCAAAAGTAATCAAACATTAAAAATTCAAAATAAACATCCAAACCTACTTTGTTTTCCTAAGGAACATAGGTCTATCAGCCATGACTAAAGGAATAAAATATGTACATTGTTCAATATCATTCAATTTGGCCAAATTTTCCTCCATAATTACCAGCCAAGAACCAAATTCTGACTTTACATAAGTACTACTGACCTTCCCATAAATAACTATTTTAAGAGGTATGCAGGAGATCGGCGATAAGGGAAAACTTATTGGAGAAAGTGACATTTAACGTAAGTGCTTAATAGATGTTCCTCCTCCTCCCACACATATGTATAGACAGGACCTTGAAAGCCTAAAGACATTATTTCCAAAAGGTTATTCTAGGAACAGGTGGAGGGGTTGGGGGTATGTTGCTAAAAATTTGATTATGATCCTAAGTACTTTCCCCCTGTTTATTCTCTTCTAGAATCCTAGAATTTTAAAGCTGGAAAGGGCCACAGAGATCTCAATCTAAATTTTATGAGTGAGAAAAATCAAATCCAGAGAGTGTCAGTAATATGTTTATCTATGATCACACAGCTGGAAAAGCTGGGCCAAAACTGAAACCTGTCTTATTCTTTTTCCATAAACCCAGAACCAAGCACCAAAAAAGATCTCTAGAACTGCTTTAGGTCCAGAATGATAATTATCTTTAGAGATAACACTACTCCTCTCTATCAAGGGTAGGCTAGGCCTTTCTTTGACTATAATCTTGCTACAGTTCATTCACAGTGACATTATCATCCACTCCGAACTCTTTCCTTCCTCTGTCACTTGTCCCTAAGTTTCCTGGAAAATTAGGTTGAATAACAATGATAGGAAATAATAAATGATCAATCTTTATTAATACTGATGACTATGGTCTTCAAATTATTTTATATTTTTATATACCCTAATCGTGTTCCAGGCAGTTTAGCAAATAGCATAAGTAATGCCTTGCCCTGTAACTAACATACAGGCAATGGACAATGAAAGTATTTTCCATGTAATGTTCACATATCTTTAAACTACAGAAAAGTGCAGGATCCACTTGGATTTTGAAGCCTGACACATTATGAAAGGAGACATTTCTGTCAATCGTTTGATCTCCAAGATACTTATCTCATTAAAATCCAGGATTCTTTGATGATCATATTGGCTGAATGAAAACTTACCCATGGCACTGTTAGGGAATTATTATGAGCCAAGAATGTTATTTTTTATTTTGTCTTTAAATTTTCCTTTTTGAATACGCAAAATATGTTCCTTAAAATCTTACTACTTTCATCATCTTCCTTAAGCACACATTTTAATGAGACTAGGAAAATGCTTATTTTGTTTTTGCAAAGAGAACTGAACAAATCAGGTAAAAGAACTCTAGTTTTAACTTAATTAAAGCTAAATTAAGTGTGTGCCTTTTTGCTTATTTAAATGGCTGAATGTTTTTGCTTGTGTTATTGTTCTTGGCCCACACTGATTTTCACTGCCTGTAAAGCCCAAATTTACTAGATATTTGCTAACTCTACAATTCATTCTAAGTCAGAAATACTTAGCTAAAAATATACACACAAGTCTTCTGATTTTGCATGATACATTTATTTATGGACAGTGTAGGTTCATGACTAGGAAAAAAAGAAAGAAAAAAACTTGTGTTCAAATTGGTTAATAGTTCTCCTTCCATCTTTATATAAGGGAGGCCTGAAAACTTGTTCTACTTTTTACCTCTCTCAAGAGTTATTTTAGAATAACTATTTACAAATTCCCTAGAACGAGGAAAATACAAATTTGTCTATATTCAAAGGGGATTTAAAAGATAAGACAATATTTTTGTTCATCTCTTACATGTATGCAAAATGTTCTTTCACAATTGCATAAGCTAAATAGTATTCAATAGTTATGAAAAGGTGCTCTTCACCACCCACTCCACCAGTTCCCTATTTAATTATTCATAGAAGAAATTAATTGAGTAAAAAATAATCTGCTGTTCATTTGCCTAAAATAGAAGCTACATTATCAAGAATGATGAACTATAGCTAAGAGAAAGTAAGAAATGCAAATATCCTTTATTAGTACAAAGAAAAAAGAATGCGTATTTCCTCAAAATAAAGTAGACTGTCAGCTACACCCGATACTGTGTAATTCAGGGCTGTTTGAACTTTTTGGTTCTTTTTCCTACTCTCATCCCACTTCTGGAAAGGGAACTATTCATAGTGGAGGATAAAGGTTACCTAATAAGACTATTATAGAAGGTATATAATTTACAGCCATTATATCCTACATCTATATAATTTCTATAACTGTTTAGTATAAATAGTAGAAAACACTTCAGTATGTTGGCTCTGTGTGTTTCCCCATTATACCATTTGTAAGTTACAATCATATGTTTTTAGCCTAAACTTTTCTTTGTATATGGTATTAAAATCCACAGTCAAGTCAGATCAAGTTGGGATATATTTTATGCAAGGGTCATCTAGAAGCTTAAGTATACAAAAACAACCAACCCTAAGAAGCTAACTCATATAATTATCTCTTTTGAAGCTTCCATAACTTGTTACTAGCATGCTATTTCTTATCTTAAAATTCTTGCTAAACATCACTTGTTTAGGGACAAAAAAAATCTAACACATGTTTTGTTCCGTCAGTGTATTTTTCACAGTCCCATATCTCAAAAAGAAATCTACAGCAGATGAAGCTTACGTACACTATAACAAGTCTAGCCGTGTGAAATGTGATTTGCCATCATTACATTACACATGGAAGACAAGTTGACTCCACTGTGAATTTTTCATCAGCCAAGCAAAAGACTAATTGAAAAAATAGTTCAAGTTTTAAAACTTTACTACTAATGTATGTGTTTATTAGGCATATTCTGAATAGAACTTAACTAACAGAGCATGGCCTGGCTATCAGACTTTACTGGATTGGATTATATAATGCAAAGAGAACTGCACCTGCAGTTAAAATAATTAGGTTTGAGTCCTTCTTCATTGATGTGTTGTGTGGCCTAAAGCAAGTCTCAACCTCTCTGTACCCCCATTTTCCATGTATTTTTTCATTATCAAATAAAACTAATTTGCAAATAAGTTAAAGAAGTGGAAGGCATTTGGAAAATTTGGAAGTTCCATATAAACACAGATAATTACTATTGTTGCTATCCAGGCATTCTAAGAAAAGGATTCTTAGCTTGTGTTGTAGCTATTGATTGTACACACATTTATAGGCAAATATTAATATGCTTAAATTGGGGTTAAAGGATGGAATCATGTGAATAATTGAGGATTTTGCCTTTCCTGAGACCAGTCTACACAGCGCAAAACAGGGTGGAGCATTTCTACATGGAAATCTCCACACAGCCAAACTCAAGCTAGGCTAGAAAATCTCACTATCAATTAAAAACTTCTTTAAAATCTTAAGTGTTTTTATCATTGCTTCAAGTTTCTCACTGGTTTAGGAAACCCAGCCATCATTGATCTAGTAGTTCTCATTCATTCATTCATTACTGAAAAGTTTGGCTATCATCTTCCAGCTAAACTGTAGTCATAAAACAATAACAAAAAAAGCCTAAAAATCAAAGTTTATAAAAATTGAGTAATTTCTCAGAACAAGAGAAACATCTAGAGACACTGTGTCCTCTTCTTTCTGCTCCTAACATTGTACACTTGCCAAATGTTTAAAAACTGCATCTAGTCATACTCCAATATCCAATCTATCCAGCAGAGAAAACACCTGTTGTGGCTTCAGAAATACAATAGGAAGGAAAATTAATAGATTGCCACTAGCCAGAATGTTTTAGTAGAAACAGAAAATACATTGATATACCTCTCAGAAGATACTCAACTGCTTTTCACTCCAAAATAAACCACAGTGATATCCCCATAGAGTTAGGTAGGTAATTAGGTCGGTGCAAAAGTAATTGTGGTTCTTGCCATACATAAGATTATCAGTAGAGGTTCAGTGGAACCTCTATATATTATTAAAATCCCAAAGAAGTATGCTGCCTCAAGTTCAGTGTAATATCAAGTATTGTTCCAAATTCCAAGACCAAAAGAATGCTAGAAGTAAGCTAACTAGCTTTTCATACAAAGCTAAAAAGATATTAATTAAACCACTTTTAGGACAGAAACAAAGCTTTCTGCTTCTTTTGTGTGCCACCTAACATCTAATCTGAAGATACAGAAATTTAATACATGGCTATTGTTTGACTAAAGGTACATAAGTAAGATTTCAAAAACTCTGACTTATATATTAGATTAATGTAGTCTGAAATAAACTATTCTTATTAATCAGTGACTCAGATAATAAGTGATGTGTATCCCATACAGTTAAGAACATTTATCAAATCATGAGAACATATTAGAATTTTCTGGAAGTAAATTGAACTTTTTTTCAGTGTTTCAGTAAGCCCATCAAAATATCATGGGTCTTTAAAATAAAGAAAATTTTACTGTTTGCCAAATACTATGTTAAACCATTTATATGTATTAACTAGCTTTAACCATTTTACTACTTGTGAGGAAGGCAGTATTTTCTCCATTTCACAGATGAGAAAACTAGCCACACAGCTTGTAGATGTTGAAAACAAAACCCAATTCCAGATTGGCCTACCTCCAAGACTGGTACAGTAATCTTAACCATTACACTATACTACCACACTCTCTTCTTTGGAGGCTCACAGCTCTGCATAACAAATATTATGGCTTAAAATGCACAGCAGAAAAACCCCTGCAATTGATAGAATTCTTCCAAGGTCCATGCCACCAGGGTTCAAAGACTAGCGGAACACCAAACGGAAAAAATCTCTGGTTAAATCTGGCTAAAGGAGACAAAGCCTGAAGAAGATTGCAGGGCTGCAAGTCAGAAAATGTTGATCCAATAACCTGCCTAACTGTCTATAGCTGCTAATCCTCCAGCAGGATTAGTTGACTGCAACTCTGATGGGAGGCAGTTGTTTAAGATTGCTTCTGGGTAGCCATATTTCTATTATCTCCCTTTTATGGAGGGACACCATAAACTGCACCATGCTCTAAGGTCAGAAGCAGTTCTCATAGGCTTTTCTAGCTGCTTCCTCCAGGGCAACTGGCTGAGGACACATGACTAAGGGAGTAACCTAAGTAACTTGAGCACTGGTTTAAGAGCTGGAGTTTGTTGCTTGCAAGAGTGTGTGCCCAACAGACTTCCAAAACAGATCTGCCAGCACACAGCCAGACTACCCAAATTGCTTTTCTCTGCTGTGTGGCGGTCAGGCAGAAAAGGATGGTTGCCAGCAATATACCAGCTACCACAGGTGGAATGCCCAGCAATCCTAATCTGAAGAAATATTTCAGAACTTTTATTTCACAGTTTTGTCCTTTTCTATTAGTTATGTAG
Organism: Homo sapiens; assembly: GCF_000001405.40. NCBI lineage: Eukaryota > Metazoa > Chordata > Mammalia > Primates > Hominidae > Homo > Homo sapiens. The sequence continues at coordinate 75,023,466 of NC_000001.11, forward strand.
GAGCCTCTTAGCTAAACCCTAACAGATGTCTCTTTAAAATGTTATTAATGCCAAACTGAAAGTGACCTTAATCTCTATAGAATTAATGTTATTTTTCCTGCAAGTGAAAGGAAAATCAAAAACAGAAGAAATTCAATTCAGAATGCTACTGCTTAAAATATTAAATACCACTACATAACATCAATGCCCTCATTAATGAAGAAAATATGTTTGTTTTTATGTTTAAACCATATGAATATATGCATATTACATAATTAGAAATAAAATGCATGTGCATATCTTTTACTTTCTTGAGCTTGGCAAATAAGAAGAAGGTGGCTTCTCTATATAAATGTTTTATTTCTTTACAATTCCTGAAAAGAATATATGTACACAAATATTTTATATGGCTACTAGACTGCAGCATTTTTACCCCAAAAAATTAAATATGGTTGCATTTAACACTACAATTCCAAGTTAAGAAATCCGTAATTATAATGTCACTAAGAAAATCATAATTTTGGGGGGGAAGATAAACTACTTTTTTATATCAATTATATGACAAAATTAGAAAAAATATACTTACCTCATTTTTTAATTGCCTATAAATATTCCCTATAACTACCCTTCAAAACATTTTTCACTCATTTATCTAGCATATTAGCTATTATGTAAAAGGCATAAAATTGGCATTTTAATTCTATTTATCCAAAAATTATTATAATTAATTCTCCCTAACAGAAATACAGTTGACCCTTGAACAACATGAGGGTTTGGGGTACTGACACTCCATGCATTCAGAAATCCACATCTAACTTTTGACTCCCCAAAACTTAACTACTAATAGCCTGCTATTGACCAAAAGCCTTACCATAACATGAACAGTCAACCCATATTTTGTATGTTATATGTACTATATACAATATTCTTAAAGTAAGCTAAAGACAATGTTATTTTAAAAATTATAAGTTAGAAAAAATATATTTACTATTCATTAAAGGGAGTAGATAATCATAAAGGACTTCATCTTCATGGTCTTCACATTGAGTAGGCTGAGGAGGGTGACAAAAAATAGGGAATGGTCTTGCTGTCTCAAGGGTGGAAGAGGCCGAAAAAGTAGAGGAGGTGGAAGAGGAGGCAGGAGAGGCAGGCACAGTTTGGTGTAATTTTTATTTTTTAAAAAATCTGCTTATAATTGGGCCCACACAGTTCAAACCTGTGTTGTACAAAGTTACAATATCCCTACTTCTATTTTCACATCTAGAATAATTTAGTTATTTTATTTTAGATATGATTCTGTAGTGTCTATGATTTCTCTAAATAAGAAAGTAGCCCCAAAGATTTCTCACAGCAGCACTAAGGGAAATATCTGCAGAGGTAAAGAAGAACATATATTTCTCCTGCCAAGAATGTCTCTACCAGGAGAGCCCTTTGATCTTAATTTAGTCTGCATCCACATTCTAGACCCTACTCTTTCTCCACATCTCTGTGAGGTAGAGATCAGCAGAATGCAATATTGCCCATGTTGTCTCTCCAGTGAGACTTCCTAGGTGTGAATATTAGCTTTGCAATTTACTAGCCAGGTAACCCTGGACAAGTTACTTGACCTTTCAAACTTCAATTTCCTTTGCTGTAAAATTTGGCTAATAAAAGTACCTACCAAATGTCAAATAATGTATACAAGGCACTTAGTAAAATTATTGACAAGTAGTAAATAGTCACTACATTTAGATTTTAGTATCATATCTATGAGATCATCCAGAGAGTTGAGGAAGGTATATTTACATTAGTGAGCAGTAGAACAGATGGCAGAAACAAGTTCTGTCACCAAGTCTAATGCTGTTTCTAATGATATACATTAAATGTCCCTGAATAATGCCATACAGAAATGAACTAAAAAAAATTATCTTCTCACAAGAAGAGAATCTGAAGTTGAATGCCAGACTTCAATAGCATTGCTAAAAAAAAGAAAAAGTGAAGAGGTTAGGAATTGGGATCCTCAGGAGGAATATATTTTTTTCATTAGTGTCAGCCAAAGTAAACAGAGAATAAGCAAGAAGATACACTTTTGGGATGGCAAAATAAGAACTTCATATAATGATAAAGTAAAGACCTCAGAAAACCCACTCCTCCTAAAAAGCAACGTGAACACTGGAAAGAATTGCCAAAATCAACCATTTTCAGAACTTTGGAAATTAACTTAAAGCTTGCAACAATCCAAGAAGTGTTTATTTTAAAAAGAAAAAAGACTGACTCTCACTGACCACTAAGCCAACTAAACAGAGATTTAAATGGCCACATACAATCAAAAAACAGACTTTACAGAATTAATACTGGAAAGTCACTTGACAAAAAGAAACAACAGCAAAAAACCCCTGAGAAGGAAGAATGTGATTTCAAAAATTGTCCCATTATATTGTCTTAAATGTCTAGTTTTGAGAAAAATATTATGAGACATGCAAAGAAAAAAGAAAGTATGGCCCATACACAGCAGGGGAAAGCAATCAATAGAAACTATGACTGAAGATATCCAGATGTTGGACATACTGGACAAAGACTTTGAACATAAATTTGTTCAAAGAACCAAAATAATACTGTCTAAAGAAGTAAAAAGAAATATGAGAATAATGCTTCACCAAAAAAAAAATACCAGTAAAAGGATAGAAATTATTTTAAAGTTGCTAATAGAAATTCTAGAGCTATAAAGTATAACTAAATTTTGCTAACCTGCCAGAAGGTCTCAACAGAAGAATGAACAGATTAGCAAAAGAATTAATCAGCAAACTTGAAAACAGGCCACCATCAATTGCTATCATTTAGTCTGAATATCAGAACAAAAATAAAAGAAAAATGAACAGAGTCTCAGAGACCTAGAGGACGACATCAAGCATACCAAGATATGCATAATGAGAGGAGAGAGATAAAGGGATTAGAAGAATATTTGAAGGAAAATAGCCAAAATTTCCCAATTTGGTGAAAAACATTAATCTATACAATAAGAAGCTCAAGAAACTCCACGCAAGATAAACTCAAAAGAATTAACACTTAGACACATCATAGTCAATATGTTGAAAACTAAAGACAAAGAGAGACTATTCAAAGCAACAAGAGGAAACAAGTTATCACATATAAGGGATCCTCAATAAAATTAGCAGCTAATTTCTCATCAGAAACCATGGAACCAAGTAACTAATAGGAGAATATATTCAAGGTGCTGGAAAAAAAAAAGTGTCAACCAAGGATTCCAAAATTATCGTTCAGAAATGAAGAAGAAATTAAAACACTCATATTTAAAAAAAACAGAAAAATGAAAACAAAAAACATAATTTGTCACTAATAAACCTTCCCTATAAGAAATACTAAAAGAAGTCATTTTAGCTAAAATAAATGGTCACTACACAATAACTCAGATCCACACAAAGAAATAAAGAGCACCAGCAAAGGTAACTGTATGCGTAAAAAAAAAAAAAAGACCATAAAAATGTTTGTAACTCTTTTCTTCTTTTATCTGATTTAACAGACAACTGCATAAAACAATAATTATGTGTTGATGAACCTAATTATATGAAATGTAATTTACATAACAGGAAATAATGCAATATTACAGCAAAGTTTTTATATACTATTGAAATTAAGTTGGCATTAATCCAAACTAGATTGTGTTAAGGTAAGATGGGAATTGTAATCCTTAGGGCAACAAGTAAGAAAATCACTCAAAAAAAAAAAAAATACAATAAAAGAAGCAATGAGAAAATTAGACTGGCATGCTATAAAATATCTATTTGACATAAAAGAAGGCACAAGTGGAAAAATAAAAAAATAAAAAGGGCCAGGTACGGTGGCTCACACCTGTAATCCCAGCACTTTGGGAGGCCGAGGCGGGCGGATCACAAGGTCAGGAGATCGAGACCATCCTGGCTAACATGGTGAAACCCTGTCTCTACTAAAGATACAAAAATTAGCTGGGCATGGTGGCAGGTGCCTGTAGTCCCAGCTACTCAGGAGGCTGAGGCAGGAGAATGGCGTGAACCCAGGAGGCAGAGCTTGCAGTAAACTGAGATTGCACCACTGCACTCCAGCCTGGGCAACAGAGCAAGACTCTGTCTCAAAACTAAATAAACAAATAAATAAATAAATAAATAAATAAAACATAAGATGTATAAAATACAAATAGTAAACTGTCAGGCATAAATCTTAATCATATATTACATTAAATATAAATTGATTAAACATCCTAATCAAAAGGCAGAAACAGGTGTAATGGTTATTTCAAAAGGATCCCAATAAATGCTGCCTAGAATTGACACACTTTAAATTCACAGACACAAATAAGTTGTATGTAAAAGAACTGAAAATGTTATACCATGCAAACAATGAACAAAAGAGAGCTGGAGTGACTAAACTAACAGCAGACAAAATACACTTTAAGATAAAAATGTGTGAATTTTATAATAATAAAATTATCAATCCACCAGGAAGACATAACAATTATAAACACATATGTACCTAACAATAGACTCTCAAAATACACAAAAGAAAAAGTCACAGAATTGATGGGAGAAATAGGTACATCAACAACAATAGTTGGGCTTCAATATACTACTTGCAAAATAAGTATAGAACAACTAGACAGAAGGTCAGCAAGGAAATAAAAGACTTGAAGATTATTAGACCTGTAAGACATCTATAGAATATGTCACTAATCAACAACAGAATGCACATTACATTCTTGTCAAGTACACATGGGACAGTCTCCAGAAGAAACCGTATGTTAGGCAATGAAACAAGTTTTAATTAATTTCAAATAATTAAATTCATACAAAGTATGTTTTCTACCACAGTACAGTGAAATTAGAAAGCAGTAACCAAAGGAAATTTGGGAAAATCACAAATACATGAAATTTAAACACACATCCTAAATATCTAATGGGTAAAAGAAGATATCAAAGGGGAAATTAGAAAATATTTTGAGATGAATAAAAACAAAAATCCAATATACCGAAACTAATGGGATGATGCAGCTAAAGCAGTGAATAAAGGGAGATTCAAAACTGCAAATACCTATAAACAAATGAAAAACTGCCCTGGTGCCGTGGCTCACACCTGTAATCCCAGCACTTTGGGAGGCCAAGGCTGATGGATCACTTGAGGTCAGGAGTTCAAGACCAGCCTGGCCAAAATGGTGAAACCCCATCTCTACCAAAAATACAAAAATTAGCCCAGGCGTGGTGGCACACACCTGGAATCTCAGCTACTTGGGAGGCTAAGACAGGAGAATCACCTGAAACCAGGAGGTGGAGGTTGCCATGAGCCGAGATCATGCCATTGCACTCCAGCCTGGGTGACAGAATGAGTGAGACTCTGCCTCAAAAAAAAAAAAAAAAAGTGAAAAACTATAAATACCTGAAAAAATGAAATAGTGACTAAAAAGGCCATAAAGAAAATCAACAAAACCAAAAATGTATTCTTTGAAAAATCAAAAATATTGATAAGCTTTTAAAACTGATCAAGGAAAGAGAAAAATTATGAAAAATCAGGCATGAAAAAGGGGACATGACTACCAACCATAAAAGAATAGAAAGGATTAAAAGGGAATACTAGAAACAACTGTATAACAACAAATTAGATAAGCTAGATAAAATGGAAAAAATCCTAGAAAGAAAAACTAGTAAAACTGACTCAAAAAGAAAAAGAAAGTCTGAATAAACCTATACTAAGTAAAGAGGCTAAATTCATAATTTTAAAAGTTCCTATAAAATAAAGCTCAGGCCTAGATAGCTTCACTGGCAAATTCTACTAAACTTTTCAAGACAATTTAATGCTACTTCTTTAAAAATTCTTTAAAGGCCAGGTGCAGTGGCTCACGCCTGTAATCCATCACTTTGGGCGGCCAAGGTGGGTGGGTCACCTGAGGTCAGGAGTTCAAGATCAGCCTGGCCGACATGCTGAAACCCCGTCTCTACTAAAAATACAAAAAGTAGCCAGGCGTGGTGGCAGGCATCTGTAATCCCAACTACTCAGGTGGCTGAGGCAGGAGAATTGCTTGAATCCAGGAGGCAGAGGTTGCAGTGAACTGAGATCACGCCATTGCACTCCAGCCTGGGGGAAAAGAGTGAGACTTCATCTCAAAAAAATAAAATTATTTAAATAAGTAAGAGCAGAAACACTTTTCAAGTTATTTTATAAGGTTAGTATTAACCTGATACCAAAACCAAAGACATCATTAGAAAAAAAAAACTACAAGCCAATATACTTTATGAATAAAGAGGCAGAATATCTTAACAAAATACTAGCAAAGAAAATCCAGCAACATGTAGAAAGGATTACATACCACAATCAAGTGGGATTTGTTTCAGGAATGCCTGTTGGTTTAACATCTGAAAATCAATCAAGGTAATGCACCATAATAATAGAATAAAGGAACAAAATTATAATCTCCATATGTACAGAAAAATGTACTTTTTGTGGGAAAAAAACACTCAACAAACTAAGAATAGATGGAAATGTTCACAATGTAATAAAGGCTATCTATTTTTTTAGAATCCACAGCTAACATCAGACTTAATCATGAAAGACAGAGTAGTTCCCACTTAAGATCAGAAATAAGTTACCAGCTTGTGTCTATAACCCCACCTACTCTGGAGACTGAGGTGGAAAGATTGCTTGAGCCTAGAGTTTGAGGCTACAGTGAGCTATGACTGTGCCGCTGCACTCTAGCCTTGGTGACAGAGTGAGACCCCATCTCTTAAAAAAATAATAAAAAGGCTGGGCACGGTGGCTCACGCCTGTAATCCCAGCACTTTGGGAGGCCGAGGCAGGCAGATCACAAGGTCAGGAGACTGAGACCATCCTGGCTAACATGGTGAAACCCCGTCTCTACTAAAAATACAAAAAATTAGCTGGGCATGGTGGCAGGCACCTGTAGTCCCAGCTACTCAGGAGGCTGAGGCAGGAAAATGGCATGAACTCAGGAGGCGGAGCTTGCAGTGAGCCGAGATCTCACCACTGCACTCCAGCCTGGGCGACAGAGCAAGACTCCGTCTCAAAAAAAATAATAAATTAATAATAATAATAATAAAAACAAAACAAGGATGTCTGCTGTTGCCACCTCTATTCAACATTGCACTGGAGGTTTAAGGCAAGGCAAGTACACAAGAAAAATAAGTAAAAGGCATGCAGGTACAAAAGGAAGAATCTATCTCTATGTGCAGATTTTTGTTACACAGAAAATTCTCAAGAATACACAACAATAACTTTTAGAATGAATAAAATATGTCATTAAGATAGAATGATACAAGATCGATATAGGAAAGCTATTGTATTTCTATACACTAGCAATGAAGAATTCAAAACTGATATTAAGAAAATTAAGAAAGTAATTCTATAAATAATAGCATCAAAAAGAATCAAATAATAATAGATTTTACTAAAGTATTGCAAGATGAGCACTGAAAACCACAAAACATAACTGAAAGAAAATCTAAATAAACGGATGGCTATTCTATGTTTCTGGATCTATATAGTTAACGTTTTTTAAGATGGTGATGCTAACTACAATGATCTACAGATCTAAAACAATTCCTATCAAAACCTCAGCTGCTTTTTTGAAAAAATTAACAAACTTACCTTAAAGTTTATTCGAAAATGCAAGGGACCCAAAGTAAACAAAACAACTTGGAAAAAAAACCAAGTTGTAGAATGTATACATCTTAATTACAAAACATACCAAAAAGCTACAGAAATCAAGACAGAATGGCACTGGCATAAGAGTCGACAATAGATTAATAGAATAGAATTTAGAGTCCAGAAATAAGTCCAAACTGTATTGTCAATTAATTTTTAACCAGAAAGAATAGTCTTCAATAAATAGTGCTGAGGCAACTGGTTATCCACATGCTAAAGAATGAATTTGACATTCTAACACACATCGTATACAAAAATTAACTCAAGATGGATGACAGAACTAAATGTAAGACCTAAATGTAAGAGCTAAAACTATAAAACTGTGAGAAGAAAACACAAAACTATATCCTCAGGACTTTGCATTAGGCATTAGTTTCCTAGACAAGAAATAATAGATAAATTAGATGAATTGAAATTTTTAAACTTTCTTGAAAGAACACTACCAAAAAGATAAAAAGACAGTCGACAGACTGAGAGAAAATATTTGTGAATTGTAAATTAGGTCAAGGACTTGTATCAAGAATATACAAAGAACCCTTACAAATCAACAACATAAAGACAAACAACCCAAGTAAAAAATAGACAAAGAATTTAAGTACACATTTCTCCAAAGAAGACAAAACAATAATCAAAAGCACATGAAAAAATGTACAACACCATTAGTCATTAGAAACACAAAAGTCAAAATCACAATGAGATAGTACTTCACGGCAACTAGAATGGCTACAATAAAAAAGACATACAGTAACAAGTACTCAAAATAATTGTGGAAATATTAGAACCCTTGTGCATTGCTGATGGAATTGTAAAATGCTTCAGCTTCTTTGGAAAAGTTTGACAATTCTTTAAAACTTTAAACATAGAGTTACTATATGACCCAGGAATTCCACTCCTAGGTAATATATCCAAAGAAATGAAAATACATGTCCACACAAAACCCTTTACATAAATGTTCATAGCCAAAAAATGGAAACAACCTAAATGCCCATCAACTAATAAATGGATAGACAATGTGGTATAGCCAAACAATGGAATATTATTCAGCAACAAAAGGAGTACATGCTATAGTACATGCTACAAAATACATGTTATAACATGATACAGCATGCAACACACATGCTACAACATGAATGAAATTTAGAAACATGTAAAGTGAAGCCAGTCACAAAATAAAGAAACCTTTGTACACTTCCATTTATATCAAATAATCAGAATAGGTTAATCCATAGAAACAACTAGATTAGTACTTGCCAATGGCTGGGGGAGGAACATAGGAAGTGACTACTAATACCCATGTGTCTTCATTCCACTTGCCAATGGCTGGGGGAGGAACATAGGAAGTGACTACTAATACCCATGTGTCTTCATTCCACTGGGTTTCTTTTTGCAGTGATAAAAATTTTCCAAATTCAATAGGGGTAATGGTTGCACAATACCATTTTAGTGAATATACTAAAAGCTACTGAATTGTTCATTTCAAGAGAGCGAATGTCATACTATGTAAATTATATATTAACAAAGCTATTACAAAAATAATAAAACAAAGAAATGCAGCTGTCATAGTAATTTATTTAAAAAATCCAATAGGCACAAATAAATGAAAAGATATTCCATGTTTATGAATTGTAAGAAATAATATTGTTAAAATGTCCATACCACCCAAAGCAATCTATAGACTCAGTGCAATTCCAATCAAAAATCCACTGGCCTTTTTCACATAAATAGAAAAAAAAATCCTAAAATTTATTTTTGACCCCAATAGCTATAGCAATCTTGAGCAAAGTGAACAAAAGCTAGAGGGATCACTTTATCTGATTTCAAAATATACTACAAAGCTAAAGTAATCAAAACAGCATGGTACTGGCATAAAAACAGACATACAGACCAATGAGCAAAATAGAATCCAGAAATAAATTCACATATTTATAATCAATTGATCTTTGGTAAAGTCAAAAACACACAATAAGAAAAGGACAATCTCTTCAATAAATGATGTTTGGAAAACAAGATATCCACATGCAGAAGAATAACATTGTACTCTTATCTCATACTACATATGAAAATAAATTCAAAATACATTAGAATTAAAGTAAGACCTGGGACTGTAAAACTACTGGAAGAAAACATAGGAGAAATGCTTCTTGACATCTGTCTGAGCAATGATTTTTTTTGATGTCACCCCAAAAACACAGGCAACAAAAGCAAAAATAAACAAATGGTATTATATCAAACTAAAGAGGTTTTGCAAAGCAAAGAAGCAAGCAGCAAAACAAAAAGGCAACCTATAGAATGGGAGAAATACTTGCAAAGCATACATTTGATAATATCCAAAAGATATAAAGAACTCAAACAATAAAATAGAAAGAAAACAAATAACCCAATTAAATCATAGGCAAAGGAATTAAGTAAACATTTCTCAAATGAATACATAGAAATGGCCAAAAGTTACATGAAAAGATGCTCAACATCACTAATCATCAAACACATGCAAATCAAAACCACAATGAGATCCCACACTTCACGCATATCAGAATTGTTACTATTAAAAATCAAATGAGGAGAGAGGGAGACCAAGATAGCAGAACAGAAAGCTCCACAGATCATCCCCGCTTCAAGGACACCAAGTTAACAACTATCTACACGGAAGAAGAAGAAAAAAAAAACACCATAAGAAGCAAAAATTAGGTGAGCACTCATAGTATCTGGTTTTAACTTCTTATCGCTGAAAGAGGCATTGAAGAGATAGAAAAAGCAGTACTGAATCACCGATGTGACCTTGCCCCCAGGCCTGGCCACAGCAGCAGGGTGCTGAGAGCATCTCTGAGCAATGTGCAGAGAGAGAGAACACAGCAATTGTGAGGCGGTGAACTTAGTGCTGCTCTGTTAGAGCAGAAAGGAAAACCAAACCAAACTCAGCTGATGCCTTGTATTAGTCCATTTTCACACTGTTATAAAGAACTACCTGAGACTGGGTAATTTATAAAGGAAAGGAGTTTAATTGACTCACAGTTCCACATGGCTAGAAGGCTGCAAAAATCTTAAAATAATGGTGGAAGGTGAAGGGAAAGCAAGACACATCTAACATGGTGCCAGGAGAGAGAGAGAGCAAGGGGGAAAGTGCCACACTTTTAAACCATCAGATCTCATGAGAACTCAGTCACTTTCACAAGAACACCATGGGGGAAAATTCACGTCCATGATCTAATCACTTCCAACCAGATCTCTCCCCTGACACATGGGGATTAAAATTCCACACGAGTTTTGGGTGGGGACACAGTCAAACCATATCACACCCACCCAGAGAGAGAGTATTTAAACCAGCCTGAGCAAGGGAGGAGTCACCAATCCCAGCGGTTCGAACTTGAGTGCCTGCAACCCTTTTGATCTCTAGGTAAACTTGAAAGGCAGTATAGGCCATAAAGACTGCAACTCTTAGGTGAGTCATAAAGATGAAATAGGCCCAGGGAGAATGGACTGGGGCTGGTGGGGGTTGGGGGGAAAAGCATGTTACATAATGAGACACCAGCTGGGGCAGCCAAGGGAGTGCAGACATCATCCCTCCCCTAATCCCAGGCTGCACAGCTTATGGCTCCAAAAGAAACACCTTCCTTCTGTTTGAACAGAGGAGAAGAGTGGGGAAGACTTTGTCTTGCAACCTGGATACCAGTGCAGCCACAGCAGGATAGGGCACCAGTCAGAGTCATGAGGCCCCCGTTCCAGGCCCTAGCTCCCAAATGACATTTCTAGACATATCCTGGGCTAGAAGGAAGCCTGCTGCCTTGAAGAAAAGAACCCATTCCTGCCAGCATTCATCACCTGCTAACTGAAGAGTCCTTGGGCCCTGAATAAGCAGCAATCATACCCAGGTACTACATCAAGGGCCTTGGGCAAGCCTCTGAGACTTGCTGGCTTCAGGTGAGATTCAGAACATTACCAGCTGTGCTGGCTATGGGACACTCCTGCTTGAGAAAAGCAGAGGGGAAAGTAAAGGAGACTTTGTCTTGCACATTATGTACCAGCATGGCTGCAGGGGTGTAGAGCAATAAGCAGGCTCTTGAGGTCCCTGATGCCAGGACCTGATGGTTGGATGACATTTCTGGACCTGCCCTTGGCCAGAAGGGAGCCCACTGTTCTGAAGGGTGAGACCCAGACCAGGCAGCATTTACCAGAAACTGACTTAAGAGACCATGAGCCCTAAGGGGACATTGGTGGGTCTGACAGTACTCCTCATGGCCAGGGGTAGTGGTGGCCACAGGGTGAAGATCCTCTGCCTTTGGAAAAGGGAGAGAAGAGTGGGAGGGACTACGTCTTGTGGTTTGAGTGCCAGCTCAGCTGCAATACAATAGGATACCAGGTAGACTTCTAAGATTTTTTACTCTAGTCCCTGACTCCTAGACAGACAGAACCTCTGGACCCACATGGGGCTTAGGGGGCCTCGTCACCCTGAAGAGAATATCCCAGGCCTAGCTGGCTTTGCCACTTGCTGATTGTAGAGCACCAGGACCTTGAAATAACATAGGTGGTAGCCAGGGAGTGGTTACAGCAGGCATTGGGTGAGACCCAGCACTGTGCTGGCTTCCCGTGTGACCCACTGCAGTCATAGTGGTAGTGGCCACAGGCTGTGCCTGAGTCACTCCGCCCTCACTTTAGGTGACTCAGAACAGAGAGAGAGAGAGACTCTGTATGTTTTGGAGAAAGTAAGGGAAGATAACAAGAATCTATGCCTGGTAATCCAGAGAATTCTCCCACATCTTATCCAAGACAATCAAGGTGGTACCTCTATAAGTCTGCAAGAACTGCGGTGTTACTGGGCTTGTTGTGCTCCCTAAATCAGAAACAGCTTAGATCACAACACCCAAGTCCTTTCAAAATATTTGAAAAGTCTTCCCAAGAAAGATGGCTACAAATAAGCCCAGACACTGGAGACAACAATAAATACCTAACTCTTCAATGCACACCACCAAAGAACATTTACTAGCTTCAATACCACCAAGGGAAACATGCCCTCACCAAGTGAAGTAAATAGGGCACCAGAGACCAATCCTGGAGAAATAGAGATATGTGACCTTTCAGACAGGGCATTCAAAATAGCTGTGTTGAGGAAACTCAAAGAAATTCAAGATAACACAGAGAAGGAATTTCAAATTATATCAGATAAATTTAACAAAAAGAAATAAAGAAAATCAATCAGAAATTCAGGAGATGAAAACTGCAATTGGTATATTAAAGAATGCATCAGGCTGGCAAGATGGCCGAATAAGAACAGCTCCAGTCTGCAGCTCCCAGGGAGACCAACATAGAAGGAGGGTGATTCCTGGATTTCCAGCTGACGTACCTGGTTCATCTCTCTGGGACTGGTTAGACAGTGGGTGCAGCCCACAGAGGGTGAGCACAAGCAGGGTGGGGCATCACCTCACCTGGGAACAGCAAGGGGCCAAGGAACTCCCTGCCTTAGCCAAGGGAAGCCATGAGGAACTATGCCATGAGGGACTGTGCTATCCAGCCCAGATACTATGCTTTTCCCAAGGATTTTGCAACCTGCTGACCAGGAGATGCCCTCCTGTGCCTACACCACCAAGGTCCTGGGTTTCAAGCACAAAACTGGGCAGCTGTTTGGGCAGGCATCAAGCTAGCTGCAGGAGTTTTTGTTTGTTGGTTTGTACCCCAGTACAATTGTTCTGGAGACAGAACCATTCATCCCTCTGTAAAGGGGGCTGAAGCCAGGGAGCCAAGTGGTCTCACTCAGCAGGTCCCACTCCCACAGAGCCCAGAAAGATAAGAATCACTGGCTTGAAATTCCCGCTGCCATCACAGCAGTCTGAAGTCCACCTGGAATGACTGAGTTGGTAGGGGGAGGTGTATCCACCATTAGTGAGGCTTGAGTAGACAGTTTTCCCCTGATGGTGCTAAGGAGGCCTGGAAGTTCAGACTGGGCTGAACTCAACACAGCGTGGCAAAGCAGCTGTGGCCAAACTGCCTCTCTAGATTCCTCTTCACTGGGCAGGGCATCTCTGAAAGAAAAGCAGCAGCCCCAGTCAAGGGCTTATAGTTAAAACTCCCATCTCCCTGGGACAGAGCACCTGGGGGAAGGGGTGACTGTGGGCACAGCTTCAGTGGACTTAAATATTCCTGCCTGCTGGCTCTGAAAAGAGAAGCAAATCCTGGCAAGGTGGATTCTCACAGCACAGCACTCGAGCTCTGCCAAGGGACAGACTACCTCATCAAGTGGGTCACTGACATCCATGCCTCCTGACAGGGAGAGATCTCCCAACAGGTGTTGACAGACACTTCATACAGGAGAGCTCCAGCTGGCATCAGGCTGGTGCCCTTCTGGGACGATGCTTCCAGAGGAAGGAGCAGGCAGCCATCTTTCCTGTTCTGCAGCCTCCACTGGTAATACCCAGGCAAATAGGGTCTGGAGTGGACCTCCAGGAAACTGCAGCAGACCTGAAGAAGAGGGACCTGATTGTAAGAAGAAAGACTAACAAACAGAAAGCAATAACATCAGCATTAACAGAAAAGACCACCACACAAAAACCCTATCCAAAGTAAATCCACAAAGATGAGGAAAATCCAGCACAAAAAATGCTGAATATTTCAAAAACCAGAATGCCTCTCCTCCTCCAAATGATCACAACTCCTCTCCAGCAAGGGCACAAAACTGGATGGAGAATGAATTTGATGAATTGACAGAAGTAGGCTTCAGAAGGTGGGTAAAAAGAAACTCCTCTAAGCTAAAGGAGCATGTTCTAACCCAATTGAAGGAAGTTAAGAACCTTGACAAAAGGATACAGGAACTGCTAACTAGAATAACCAGTTTAGAGAAGAACATAAATGACCTGATGGAGCTGAAAAACACAGAATGAGAACTTCATGAATCATGCACAACTATCAACAGCTGAATTGATCAAGTGGAAGAAAGGATATCAGAGATTGAGGATCAGCTTACTGAAATAAGGCGTGAAGACAAGATTAGAGAAAAAAAAATGAAAAGGAATGAACAAAACCTCCAAGAAATATGGGACTATGTGAAAAGACCAAACCTATATTTTATTGGTGTACCTGAAAGTAATGGGGAGAATGGAACCAAGTTGGAAAACACTCTGCAGGATATTATCCAGGAGAACTTCCCCAACCTAGCAAGACAGGTAAACATTAAAATTGAGGAAATAAGGAGAACACCGCTAAGATACTCCTTGAGAAGATCAACCCGAAGACACATAATCATCAGATTCACCAAGGTTGAAATGGAGGAAAAAATGTTAAGGACAGCCAGAGAGAAAGATCAGGTTACCTACAAAGGGAAGCCCATCAGGCTAACAGCAGATCTCTCTGCAGAAATACTATAAACCAGAAGAGAGTAGGGGCCAATATTCAACATTCTTAAAAGAATTTTCAACCCAGAATTTCATATCCAGCCAAACTAAGCTTCATAAGTGAAGGAGAAATAAAATCCTTTAAAGACAAGCAAATGCTGAGGGATTTTGTCACCACCAGTTCTGCCTTACAAGAGCTCCTGAAGGAAGCACTAAATATGGAAAAGAAAAATCAGTACCAGCCACTGCAAAAACACACCAAAATATAAAAACCAATGACACTGTGAAGAAACTGCATTAACCAATGTGCAAAATAACCAGCTAGCATCATGATGACAAAATCAAATTCACACATAACAATATTAACCTTAAGTATAAATGGGCTAAATGCTCCAATTAAAAGACACAGACTGTCAAGTTGGATAAAGAGTCAAGACCCATCAGTGTGCTGTATTCAGGAGACCCATCTCACACGCAAAGACACACATAGGCTCAAAATAAAGGGATGGAATAACATTTACCAAGCAAATGGAAAGGAAAAAAAAGGAGGTGTTGCAATCCTAGTCTCTGATAAAACAGACTTTACACCAACAAAGATCAAAAAAGACAAAGGAGGGCATTACATAATGGTAAAAAGATCAATGCAACAAGAAGAGCTAACTATCCTAAATATATATGCACCCAATAGTAGCACCCACATTAATAAAACAAGTTCTTAGAGACATAAAAAGAGACTTAGACTCCCACACAATAATACTGGGAAACTTTAACACCCCACTGTCAATATTAGATCAAAAGACCGAAAATTAAGGATATTTGAACTCAGCTCTGGACTAAGCAGACCTAATAGACATCTACAGAACTCTCCACTCCAAATCAACAGAATATACATTCTTCTCAGTACCACATAGCACTTATTCTAAAGTCGACCACATAATTGAAAGTAAAACACTCATCAGCAAATGCAAAAGAACGGAAATGATAACAAACAGTCTCTCAGACCACAATGCAATCAAATTAGAACTCTAAGAAACTCACTCAAAACTTCACAACTACATGGAAACTGAACAACCTGCTCCTGAATGACTACTGGGTAAATAATGAAATTGAGACAGAAATAACGAAATTCTTTGAAACCAATGAGAACAAAGACACAATGTATCAGAATCTCTGGGACACAGCTAAAGCAGGGTTAAGAGGGAAATTTATAGCTCTAAATGTCCACATCAGAAAGCAGAAAAGATCTGAAATCGACACCCTAACATCACAATTAAAAGAATTAGAGAAGCAAGAGCAAACAAATTCAAAAGCTAGCAGAAGACAAGTAATAACTGAGATCAGAGCAGAACTGAAGGAGATAGAGACACAAAAAACTCTTCAAAAAAATCAATGAATCCAGGATCTGGTATTTTTGATAAGATTAACAAAATAGATAGGGGCGGTTCCAAGATGGCCAAATAGGAACAGCTCCAGTCTACAGCTCCCAGCATGAGTGACGCAGAAGACGGGAGATTTCTGCATTTCCAACTGAGGTATCAGGTTCATCTCACTGGGGCTTGTTGAACAATGGGTGCAGGACAGTGGGTGCAGCCCACTGAGCATGAGCCGAAGCAGGGTGAGGCATCAACTCACCCGGGAAGCACAAGGGGTCAGGGAATTCCCTTTCCTAGCCAAGGGAAGCTGTGACATACAGCACCTGGAATATCAGGTCACTCCCACCCTAATACTGTGCTTTTCCAATGGTCTTAGCAAACGGCACACCAGGAGATTATATCCCGCGCCTGGCTCGGAGGTTCCCACGCCCACAGAGCCTCGCTCATTGCTAGCACAGCAGTCTGAGATTGAACTGCAAGGTGGCAGCGAGGCTGGGGGAGGGGAGCCTACCATTGCTGAGGCTTCAGTAGGTAAACAAAGCGGCCAGGCATCTTGAACTGGGTGGAGCCCACCACAGCTCAAGGAGGCCTGCCTGCCTCTGTACACTCCACCTCTGGGGGCAGGGCATAGCCGAACAAAAGGCAGCAGAAACCTCTGCAGACTTAAATGTCCCTGTCTGACAGCTTTGAAGAGAGTAGTGGTTCTCCCAGCATGGAGTTTGAGATCTGAGAATGGACAGACTGCCTCCTCAA
Source organism: Homo sapiens (assembly GCF_000001405.40). Classification (NCBI taxonomy): domain Eukaryota; kingdom Metazoa; phylum Chordata; class Mammalia; order Primates; family Hominidae; genus Homo; species Homo sapiens. The sequence continues at coordinate 75,040,570 of NC_000001.11, forward strand.
GTGGGTCCCTGACCCCTGAGTAGCCTAACTGGGAGGCACCTCCCCCATAGGGGCAGACTGAAACCTCACACAGCTGGGTACCCCTCTGAGATGAAGCTTGCAGAGGAACAATCAGGGTCTGGAGTGGACCTCCAGCAAACTCCAACAGACCTGCAGCTGAGGGTCCTGACTGTTAGAAGGAAAACTAACAAACAGAAAGGACATCCACACCAAAACCCCACCTGTACGTCACTATCATCAAAGACCAAAGGTACAGAAAACCACAAAGATGGGGAAAAAACAGAGCAGAAAAGCTGAAAATTCTAAAAATCAGAGTGCCTCTCCACCTCCAAAGGAACGCATCTCCTCACCAGCAACGGAACAAAGCTGGATGGAGAATGACTTTGACAAGTTGAGAGAACTAGGCTTCAGATGATCAAACTTCTCTGAGCTAAAGGAGGAAGTTCAAACCCATCGCAAAGAAGATAAAAACCTTGAAAAAAGATAAGACAAATGGTTAACTAGAATAACTAGTATAGAGAAGTCCTTAAATGACCTGATGGAACTGAAAACCATGGCATGAGAACTACGTGACGAATGCACAAGCTTCAGTAGCTGATTCGATCAACTGGAAGAAAGGGTATCAGTGATTGAAGATCAAATGAATGAAATGAAGTGAGAAGAGTGTAGAGAAAAAAGAGTAAAAAGAAACTAACAAAGCCTCCAAGAAATATGGAACTATGTGAAAAGACCAAATCTACATCCGATTGGTGTACCTGAAAGTGATGGGGAGAATGGGACCAAGTTGGAAAACACTCTGCAGATATTATCCAGGAGAACTTTCCCAACCTAGCAAGGCAGGCCAACATTCAAATTCAGGAAATACAGAGAATGCCACAAAGATACTCCTCGAGAAGAGCAACTCCAAGACACATAATTGTCAGATTCACCAAAGTTGAAATGACGGAAAAAATGTTAAGGGCAGCCAGTGAGAAAGGTTGGGTTACCCACAAAGGGAAGCCAAACAGACTAACAGCGGATCTCTCGGCAGAAACCCTAAAAGCCAGAAGAGAGTAGGGGCCAATATTCAACATTCTTAAAGAAAAGAATTTTCAACCCAGAATTTCATATCCAGCCAAACTAAGCTTCATAAGTGAAGGAGAAATAAAATCTTTACAATAAGCAAATGCTGAGAGATTTTGTCACCACCAGGCCTGCCCTATAAGAGCTCCTGAAGGAAGCACTAAACATGGAAAGGAACAACCAGTACCAGCCACTGCAAAAACAGGCCAAATTGTAAAGACCATCGATGCTAGGAAGAAACTGCATCAACTAACGAGCAAAATAACCAGCTAACATCATAATGACAGGATCAAATTCACGCATAACAATATTAACCTTAAATGTAAATGGGCTAAATGCTCCAATTAAAAGACACAGACTGGCAAATTGGATAAAGAGTCAAGACCCATCAGTGTGCTGTATTCAGGAGACCCATCTCATGTGCAGAGACACACATAGGCTCAAAATAAAGGGATGGAGGAAGATCTACCAAGCAAATGGAAAACAAAGGCAGGGGTTGGAATCCTAGTCTCTGACAAAATAGACTTTAAGCCAACAAAGATCAAAAGAGACAAAGAAGGCCATTACATAATGGTAAAGGGATCAATTCACAAGAAGAGCTAACTATCCTAAATATATATGCACCCAAAACAGGAGCACCCAGATTCATAAAGCAAGTCCTTAGAGACCTACAAAGAGACTTAGACTCCCATGTAATAATAATGGGAGACTTTAACACCCCACTGTCAACATGAGACAGATCAACAAGACAGAAAGTTAACAAGGATATCCAGGAAATGAACTCAGCTCTGTACCAAGCGGACCTAATCGACATCTACGGAACTCTCCATCCCAAATCAACAGAATATACATTCTTCTCAGCCCCACTCACACTTATTCCAAAATTGACCACATAGTTGGAAGTAAAGCACTCCTTATACAAAAATTAACTCAAGATGAATTAAGGACTTAAACGTAAAACCTAAAACCATAAAAACTCTAGAAGAAAACCTAGGCAATACCATTCAGGAAATAGGCAGGGGCAAAGACTTCATGAATAAAACACCAAAAACAATGGCAACAAAAGCCAAATTGACAAATGGAATCTAATTAAACTAATGAGCTTCCACACAGAAAAAGAAATTATCATTAGAGTGAACTGGCAGCCTACAGAACGGGAGAAAAATTTTGCAATCTATCAATGTGACAAAGGTCTAATATCCAGAATCTACAAGGAACTTAAACAAAATTTACAAAAATAAAACAACCCCATCAAAAAGTAGGTGAAGAATATGAACAGACACTTCTCAAAATAAGACATTTATGTGGTCAACAAACATGAAAAAAACCTCATCATCACTGATCATTAGAGAAATGCAAATCAAAACCACAATGAGATACCATCTCACACCAGTTAGAATGGCGATCATTAAAAAATCAAGAAACAGCAGATACTGCAGGGGAAATGGAGAAACAGGAACGTTTTTACACTGTTGGTGGGAGTGTAAATTAGTTCAACCATTGTGGAAGACAGTGTTGTGATTCCTCCAGGATCTAGAACCAGAAATACCATTTGACCCAGTGATCCCATTACTGGGTATATACCCAAAGGATTATAAATCATTCTACTATAAAGACACAAGCACACATATGTTTATTGCAGCGCTATTCACAATAGCAAAGACTTGGAACCAACCCAAATGTTCATCAATGATAGACTGGATAAAGAAAATGTGGCACATATACACCATGGAATACTATGCAGCCATAAAAAAGAATGAGTTCATGTCCTTTGCAGGGACACAGATGAGTCTGGAAACCATCACTCTCAGCAAACTAACACAAGAACAGAAAACCAAACAATGCATGTTCTCCCTCATAGGTGAGAGTTGAACAATGAGAACACATAGACACAGGGAGGGGAACATCACACACAGGGGCCTGTCAGGGGGTAGGGGACAAGGGAAGGGAGAGCATTAAGACAAATACCTAATGCATGTGGGGCTTAAAACATAGGTGATGGGTTGATGGGTGCAGCAAACCACCATGACACATGTAAACCTATGTAACAAACCTGCATGTTCTGCACATGTATCCCAGAACTTAAAGTATAATAAAAAAATGCATCAGAGTGCTTTAATAACAGAATAGATGAAGCAGAAGGAAGAATTTGTGAGCCTGATTTAAAAACACAGAGTAAGAGCAGACAAAAGAAAAAAAGAATAAAAAACAATGGAGCATGTCTACAGATCTAGAAAACATCCTCAAAAAGGTAAATCTAAGGGTTATTGGCCTTAAAAGGAGGTAGAGAAAGAGACAGGATTAGAAAGTTTATTCAAAGGGATAATAACAGAGAACTTCCCAATCCTAAAGAAAGACATCAATATCCAAGTATGAGAAGGTTGTAGAACACCAAGCAGATTTAACCCAAGGAAAATTACCTCAAAGCATTTAATAATCAAACTCCCAAAGGTCAAGGATAAAGAAAGGATCCTAAAAGCAGCAAATAACCAATAACATACAATGGAGCTCCAATACATCCGGCAGCCGACTTTTCAGTGGAAACCTTACAGGCCAGGTGAGAGTGACATGACATACTTAGGTGCTGAAGGAAAAAACATTTACCCTGGAATAGTATATTAGGCAAGAATATCCTTCAAACATGAAGAATAAATAAATACTTCCCCAGACAAACAAAAGCTGAGGAATTTAATCAATTTGATTTAATCATTTTTGTACCTGTCTTACAAGAAATTCTAAAGGAAGTATTTCAATCAGAGAGAAAATAACATTAAGGAGCAATAAAATAATCAACTGAAGGTACAAAATTCACTGGTAATAGTAAGTACATAGCAAAACACAGCATTTTATAGCACTGTAACTGTGGTGTATAAACTACTCTTATCCTAAGTAGAAAGATTACATGAATAACCAATCAAAAATAATTACAACAAGATATAGTACAGTAAGATATAAATAAAAACAAAAAGTTAAAAAATGAAGGGACAAAGTTAAAGTAATTTCTTATTAGTTTTTTGTTTGTCTGTCTATGCAAATAGTGTTAAGTTGATAGAAGATTAAAATAATGGGTTATAAGGCAGTCTTGGTAACCTCAAACCAAAAAACATGAAATGGATACATAAAAATAAAAAGCAAGAAATTAAATCATATCTCCAGAGAAAATTACCTTCACTAAAAGAAAAACAAGAAGGAAATAAATAAGGAAGAAAAAACAAAAACAACCAGAAAACAAATAACAAAATGGCAGGAGTAAGTCCTTACTTATCAATAATAATATGGAATGTAAATGGACTAAACTCTCCAGTCAAAGTACACAGACTGGCTGAATGGATGGGGGAAAAAAAAGAAGCAATAATCTGTTGCCTTGAAGAAACACATTTCACCTCTAAAGACACACAGACTAAAAATAAAGGAATGGGATAAGATAATCCATGCCAATGGAACCAATAAAAGAGCAGGAGTCACTATACTTATATCAGACAAAATAGATTTCAAGAAAAAAAACTATCAGAAAAGACAAAGAAGGTCACTACATAATGACAAATAGGTCAATTCAGCAAGAGGATATAACAATTTTAAATACATATGTGCCCAACACTGGAGCACCCAGATACATAAAAGAAATATTAGAGCTAAAGACAGAGATAAGCCCTGATACAACTGGAAACTTCAATACCCCACTTTCAGCATTGGAGAGATCTTCCAGGCCAAAAATCAACAAAGAAATATCAGAGTTAATCTGCCCTGTAGACCAAATGGATCTAATAGATATTTACACAACATTTTATCCAAAATCTAGAGAATACACATATTTTTTCCTCAGCACATGGATCATTCTCAAGGATACACCATATTTTAGGTCACAAAGTAAGTCTGAAAACAGTCAAAAATATGAAATAATATCAAGCATCTTCTCTGACCAAAATGGAATAAAACTAGAAATTAATAAAAAGAGGAATTTTGAAACAATACAAATACATGGAAATGAAACAAAATGCTTCTAAATTACCAGTGGGTCAATGAAGAAATTAAGAAGAAAATTGAAAAATTTCTTGAAACAAGTGATAATGAAAATACAATATACCAAAACTGTGGAATACAGCAAAAGCAGTACTAAGAGGGGGGGTTATAACTATAAGCACCTACATGAAGAAAAAGAAGAAAAACTCCAAATAAACAATCTATGATGCATCTTAAGGAACTAGGAAAGCAAGAGCAAACCAAACCCAAAATTAGTAGAAGAAAAACAAATAATAAAGATCAGAACAGAGGCTGGGCGCAGTGGCACACACCTATAATCCAAATACTTTGGGAGGCCTAAGCAGTTAGATCGCTTGAACTTGAGTTCAAGACCAGTCTGGGAAACATGGTGAAACTCCATCTCTACCAAAAATATCAAAAATTACCAGGGCATGGTGGCACATGCCTATAGTCTCAGCTGCTCAAAAGGCTAAGGTGGGAGGATCACCTAAGCCCGGGAGGTTGAGGCTACAATGAGTCATGATCATGCTACTGCACTCCAGCCTGGATGACAAAAGTGAGACTCCATATTACAAAAAAAAAAAAACAAAAAAAACTCGAGCAAAAAATAAACGAATTTGAAATTCAAAAAATACAAAAGATAAATGAACAAAAAGTTGGTTTGTTGAAAGGTTAAACAAAACTGACAAACCTTTAGCCAGACTAAGAAAAAAAGAACATCCTTAGACGAAATTGACAAATTCCCAGATACATACAACCCGCTAAGGAAGAAATCCAAACCAAGAAGAAATCCAAAACCTGAACAGACTAATAACAAGTAATGAGATCAGAGCCATAATAAAAATCTCCCAGTAAAGAAAAGCCCAGGACCTGATGGTTCTGCTGTTGATTCTACCAAACATTTAAAGAAGAACTAATACCAATCCTACTCAAACTATTCCAAAAAATAGAGGAATAGGGAATACTTCTAAACTCATTCTAGGAGGCCAGTACCCTCATACCAAAACCAAAGTCACATCAAAGAAAAAGAAAACTACAGGTCAAGATCTCTAATGAATATTGATGCAAAAAAATCCTCAACAAAATACTAGAAAACCAAATTCAACAATACATTAGAAAGATCATTCATCATGACCAAGTGGGATTTATCTCTGGGATGTAAGGATGGGACAACATACACAAATCAGTCAAGATACATCATTTCAACAGAATGAAAGACAAAAACCATTTGATCACTTCAATCGATGATGAAAAAGCATTTGATAAAATCCAGCATCCCTTAATGAAAACAACCCTCAAAAAACTGGGGATAGAAGGGACATACCTCAAAATAATAAAAGCCATATACAACAGACACACAGCTAGTACACTGAATGGTGAAAAACTAAAAGCCTTTCCTCTGAGATCTGGAACGACACAAGGATGCCCATTGTCATCACTGTTATTCAACATAGTACTGGAAGTCCTATTTAGAGCAATCAGACAAAAGAAAGATATAAAAAGCATCCAAATTGGAAAGGAAGAAGTCAAATTATCCTTGTTTGCAAATGATATGATCTTATATTTGGAAAAGCCTAAAGACTTCACAAGAAAATGATTAGAACTGATAAACAAATTCAGTAAAGTTGCAGGGTACAAAATCAACCTAGAAAAATCGGTAGCATTTTTTAAAAATTTTTTCTTTTAAGTTCTAGGGTATGTGTACAGGATGTGCAGGTTTGTTACATAGGTAAACATGTGCCATGGTGGCTCGCCGCACCTATCAACCCATCACCTAGGTATTAAGCCCAACATGCATTAGCAATTTTTCCTAATGCTCTCCCACCCCTCACTCCATCCCCCGACAGGCCCCAGTGCATGTTCTCCTCCCTGTGTCCATGTGTTCTCATTGTTCAGCTACCATTTATAAGTGAGAACATGTGGTGTTTGGTTTTCTATTCCTGCATTAGTTTGCTGAGGATAATGGCTTCCAGCTCCATCCATGTTCCTGCAAAGGATATGATCTAGTTCCTTTTTATGGCTGCATAGTATTCCATGGTGTATAAGTACCAAATTTTCCTGATCCAGTCTATCATTTGTATATGTCAATAGTGAACAATGTGAAAAAGAAATTTTAAAAGTAAACCAAATTATAATAGTCACACACAAAAGTAAATCTCTAGGAATTAACCAAAGAAGTGAAATATCTCTATACTGAAAACTATAAAACACTGATAAAAGAAATTGATGAGGATATTTTTTCCAAAAAATGGAAAAATATTCCATATTCATAGATTGGAAGAATTGATACTGTTAAAATGTCCATACTACCCAAAGCAATCTACAGATTCAGTGCAATTCCTGTCAAAATACTAATGACATTTTTCACAGAAACTGAAAAACAATTCTAAAATTTATATGGAACCACCAAAAGATCCAGAATAGTCAAGTCATTCTGAGCAAAATGAAGAAAATTGAAAGAATCACATTACCTGATTTCAAAGTATGCTATAGAGCTACAGTAACCAAAACAGCATGGTGCTGGCATAAAAAACAGACACATAGACTAATGGAACAGAGTAGAGAACCCAGAAACAATTCCACACACCTACAGTGAACTCATTTTCAGCAAAGGTGCCAAAAACATACAGTAGAGAAAAGACAATCTCTTCAATAAATGGTGCTGAGAAATTGGATATCCATATGCAGAAGAATGAAACAAGACCCCTATCTATCACCATATACAAAAATCAAATCAAAATGGATTGAAGACTCAAATCTAAGTCCTCAAACCATGAAACTACTGCAAGAAAACATTGGAGAAACTCTGCAGGACATTGGTGTGGGCAAAAATTTATTGAGTAATACCCCACAAACAGAGGCAACCACAGTAAAAGTTGAAAAATTGGATCACATCAAGTTAAAAAGCCTCTGCAAAGCAAAAGATACATCAACAAAGTGAAGATAAAGCCCACAGAATGGGAGAAAATATTTGTTAACTACCCATCTGACAAGGGATTAATAACCAGAATATACAACGAGCTCAAACAACTCTATAGGAAACAAATCTAATAATCCAATCAAAAGATGGACAAAATATTTGAATAGATTTTTCTAAAAAAAAAAAAACAGAAAATGGCAAACAGGTATATTAAAAAGTACCCAAAATCATCGATTATCAGAGAAATGCAAATCAAAATTACAATGAGATATCATTTGACCCCAGTTAAAATGGCTTACATCCAGAAGACAGGCAATAACAAATGCAGGCAAGGATGTGTAGAAAAAGGGAACCCTTGTACACTGTTGGTGGGAATGTAAATTAGCACAACCGCTATGGAGGACAGTTTGGACTTTCCTCAAAAAACAAAATATTGAGCTAGTATGTGATTCCACAATCCCACTGCTGTATATATAAATAAAAGAAAGAAAATCAGTATATTAAGGAGATATCTACACTCCTGTTTGTTGCAGCACTGTTTACAATAGCTAAGATTTGGAAGCAACCTAACTATCCATCAATAGATGAATGGATGAAAAAAGAAAGGTATTACATATACACAATGGTGTGCTAGTCAGCCATAAAAAAGAATGAAATCCAGTGATTTACAACAACATGGATGGAACTGGAGATCATTATGTAAGTGAAACAAGCCAGGCTCAGAAAGACACACATAGCATGTTCTCACTTATTTGTGGGATTTAAAAATCAAAACGATGGAACTCATGGACTTAGACAGTAGAAGGATATTACTAGAGCCCAGGAAGGGTAGTGGGGAGCTATGGGGGTAGGTATTGATGGCTAATGGATACCGAAAAAATAGAAAGAATGAATAAGACCTACTATTTGATAGCACAACAGGGTGACTATAGTCAATAATAACTTTACATTTTTAAATAACTGAAAGAGTAATTGGATTGTTTGCAAATCAATGGATAAATGCTTGAAAAGATGGGTACCCCATTCTTCATGATGTGCTTATTTCACATTGCATGCCTACATGAGAAAATCTCATGTACCTCATAAATATATACACCTACCATGTACCCATAACAATCTTAAATTAAAAAATAAAATAATAAAAAAGCAGAAGATAAGTGTTAGCCAAGATGTGGAGAAAAGAGAACCCTTATATACTATTGGTGGGCATATAAATTAGTACGGCCATTATCGAAAACAGCATGGATGTTCCTAAACAAATTAAAAATAGAACTACTATATGGTCCACTAATCCTACTTCTGGATATATATCCAAATGAAATAAAATTAATATCTCTAAGAGATATGTGCCCTCTCATGTTCATTGCAGCATTATTCACAATAGCCAAGATACAGAATCAACCTAAGTGTCCAACAGATGAATGGATTAAAAAAATGCAGTGTATATATACAATGGTATATTATTCTGCCTTAAAAAAGAAGAAAATCCTGTCATCTGTAACAACATAGATGAATCTAGAGAATAATATGCTAAGGGATGTAGGCCAGGCACAGAAAGACAAATACTGCATTATCTCACTTTTATGTGTAATCTAAAAAAGTCAAATTCATAGATACAGAGAATAGAATGGTACTTGCCAGAGGCTGGGAGATGAAAGGGCTGGGGAGATGCTGAAATGGCACAACGTTTCAGTTAATCAAGATAAATAAGTTCTGGAGATCTAATGTACAGTATGGTGACTCTAGTTAATAATACTGTTTTGTATACTTGAAATTTGCTAAGAGAGTGTATCTTAAATGTTTTCACCACATACAAAAGGCAAGAACTATGTGAAGGGGTGAATATGTTAATCAGCTTCATTATGATAATCAATTCACAATAGCTACATATATCAAAACATGTTGCATACTATGAATATATACAATTTTTATTTGTCAATCATGCCTCAATAAAGCTGGGTGGGGAAAGGTAAAAGGTGGATAGGGTGTGGTTTGCCTCTAACAGTTTGAAGAAATGCCACCTTTTGTTTCCATTCTTGGCCCGCTTTAACAAACACTCATATCTATGTAAGCTGGGGTCTGACTTGTCACAAGCAGGCAGAGGAAAGGGAACAGAGGGTTTCACTTGAGTTAACTGTCAAAGCACTTTCAGCCAAAATCTCAATCATTGGGTGCACTTGACAGATTCAGAAAACAATTTCTGGATCCATCCAAAAACCTGGAACTGTTGTAAGAACAATTCATCCCCTTTATTTGTCCTAAGATAAGTTCTGAACACAAGTAAAGAAAACCAGATTGCTCTATATCAGAATAAGTAAGTAAGACTGCACTAAAAAGCAAGATTGAAGGTAGCTTAAAAATACATCCAAGTTGTCCTGAAAGCTTTCAGTGCTTCTGACAATACAACAATCACATTAGCATCTATTTTCCAGTTTATACCTATTGGAATCTCTTCTTTCAACTCTGTTGAATTTTCAACCTTTTTCTACTAGTGAGAGGCAGAAAACCTGATGGGTTTAAAACCTGGATCTACCACATAGAGGAAATCATTCCTCTACCACTAGATGAAATCTTTCAACCTCTCTGGACCTTAATTTCTTCATTCCTAAAATAAGAATTAATAAGGTCTGGTCTGTCTACCAAATGCGGTGGCATGCAAATCAATAGACGTATGTAAAATTACTCTAAATTGTAAAATTCTACATAAAACACTTAGCATAATTAATATGAGCAGTACAATTAGTTCATAGCTAAGGTGGCTTGAAAATCCCTGCGCTTGATAAACACAAGGAAGAAGAATAAGGAATTTTTGCTAATCTTGGAAGAAACAGTAGTGGAAGGGAGAGAAAAAAGCAAAGATAACCTCCTTTGGAGCTCTTTTTTACAACTGGGCCCTGGTGTGAAAATTTTCCCCACATTCAAAAATCATGTTCTTCAATTCCAAGAGTCAGAATGTTCAATTGTACATCTCTGAACTCCTTTTCAGCATCAGGCAGAACTAAATCCAAATTATTAATATAGTACTTGTTTTATTTAGAATTTCTAAATGGATGTTTTCATTTACTTGTCCAGCTAAAGTAGACTATAGGCAGTCTTAAATATATCAGTCATGCATCTTTGATTGTCTTATGTCTCACTTCACAGTAAGACATTCTGTGAAGCAGAAAATACTATGGTTGAAGGAGCATTGCATAAGCTATCTAAAAGGAGACCTGGAGCTCTAATCATAACTTGCTGTCTTGACCTTGAGCAAATCACAACCTCCTTTTGTTTGAGCTTCATTATCTATAGAACAGTGGTAATTATATCTGTCTTATATCCCTCATAGAGTAAGGGTGAAAGTCATGTGAGATTATCTGTGAAAGCAAGATATTTAAAAGATAAAAACTGTTAGGTAAATGCAAAAGAACTAGTAATGTAGGGTTTTAAATATATACATATATATACACACACACATATATAGATATATAAAATATCATTCTATATGAATTCTACCAATGCATTTTATTTCTCCTTCCAGAGCAATACAAAATAAGACATCTTCCACACGCCAGCCTTTCATTTATTTACCATTCAGACATTTATTAAACATTATATACAAGACAGATTCCTTTGTAGAAAATTGAAAAAATAAGTTCTGTATGAAGGTATCTGGATTGAAAGTGCAAATGTGCCACTACGTGACTTTGAGCAAATTGTGGACTCTCACCGTCAGTTACTTTAATAGCAAAATGGAAGTGATACTAGCCATTTTGCAAAGTTGTTGTGGCATTTCAAAGGAGATATTATATATAAAATTACCTAGCAGAGCACTAGCATATAGAACTGCTCAATAAATGAAGCTCCTGTTATTATTATTTCAGGTATATTTTCTCATGTCATTCAACCCAAGAACTCCTAATCTAGATTCCATAACCCCGTTGCAACTGCATGCAAAATTTACGTATGTATGCACAAGTGCATCTTTCTGGGAGAAGGTACATAACTTTCATCAAATTCTAAAAACAGTAAAAACAGTCACTTCAACATAATCCATAAAGGTGATATCCAGCATAGAACACAATATTCCAGGAGTTGACTTAAACAGTGGGTAAGGTTGAAGCCATTAGCCCCCGTAAAGCAGCTCCCTTCCACACTCATAGGAGACATCACAAATCAATCACTAAATTATGTTCCACTGAGACCTGAAGCAAACTAATAATGCCCCTCAAAAGATAGTTCTAGATAGACACTACCATTTTGCTAGAGGAACTTCTGAAGGTTAAACTCACTTGACCTCTTGACCTAGAACCAGCTTTTTTTCCCTTTCACTTAGCTGATTTTAAGCTGATAGTCACCTGAAACTGTTCTGTCTTTTCAAAGAATTGATATGCCATATAAACTTCCTACATCCCTCCCTCCATCTTATTACTTATTCAAATGTCAAAAGTTGGCCTCAGTCTTTTAAGATCATGTTAAATAATAATATAGTTATCCATTCACTTAATCATTTATCTAAAAAATGTTTATTGTAATGTCCTCTGTGTGCTTATCATCCACTGTGGGACTGTTAGCCAGCTCTCCAAGCTTTCAGTCATACATAAATTTGATTGATATGTTTCTGGGTCATTAATAAAAATCATATTAAAATGGTATTTATTGCAATTAATATGTAGATGTAAAACAAGATACCCACAAAATTTCTAACTTAGGCTACTTCCTGAATACAGAATTAGTAGAAATAAATATGTAATGGTTGATACTCCAATTATTAATTTATTGCCTCTAAGCTCCAAATCCATTCTTCATTACCTGCTCTGCAATAATGAAGCAGAAACCTGTAAATATTTCTTTTGCCAGCTAGCACAGTGCTAAACTTTGTCAGCAGAGGTCACTGGAGGGATACTGAAGAAGGAAAGAGTTTATGAATCTAGTTCCGGTATACTCCTCTTAGAAGGCTTCTGCACTATGAGCAACTTCTGTAGCATCCAAAGGCCAGTAGCATACATCACATCGTTGTGAATGGCTTCCCTCATTGCCCTCTAAGGTAACTTCTTCAGTGCCCAGCTCCTTAAGCAATTGAGGGTCAGCAGTGCCTGGTGGCCAGCAATGTTTGGCTTTGCAATGAAGTATGGCACCTCCCGTTGGAAGCCTTCCTATAGCATCCTTTGGGAAGCTTTGCAGCAGGTTCTGAGTCACACCACCGCTCCACGGACAGCTTTCTCAAGCACCCAGAAACTATATTATCAGCAAGTCCTGCCAGCACAACACCTCAGCAAATTCCTCCACCATTCGGTAAACTGCACCCTGTCCAACAAGATCTGGATCTCAGCCCAGAGGCATAGAGGGGCTTTTCCTTGGATGCTCTTTCTCAGCCACAGGGGTAGTGGCTGCTCTCTATGCCTGCTATTCCAGTACTGTTTAGAGATCTCTTTGTCCCATTCTAGCCAATTCCTCATTACTCCAATCCCCAGTTATAGCTAATAACTCTTTATATTAAAATTGTCCTGTTCAAATTATCATGTGATTTCAGTCTCCTGATTGGACTTTGCCTGATATAAAATTAAAATCACAACTGATCCAGGAGATAAACTGACAAAGTTGGGATTTTAGAATTGGTTTGGTCATGCACTTGGGCTTCAGCATAGTGCTGAGCTCCTTGCCAAAAGGAAATAGGATGCTATTAATTCTGACATGCAGTGGCATCAAAATTAATCAAGCTATCACTTGTCGCTTATTGTAATGAAAAACCAACTGAAGCAAATGCTTTGAAATCCAAGTGGCTCCTGCACTTGAACATTATAGCAATAATGATAATATTAAGGACTGTGACGTGGGATAGAAGCTTTTAAGTGTGACTTGAATGCCTATTTTTTAATACCGGCAAGCTCAAATCCTTTAACTCTCAGTTCAAGTCACGGCCTAAGAGCCATAAAGCTTTCATGATAGCCCTAAAAGAATCTCTAATTTCTGTAGCCATGTGGCGGATATTGTTGAAAATAAAACACAAAATATAATTGTGTGAGTTTCTGAGTTATAATAGTTGAACTGACAGTCTTGCCAAGTTTCTTACATGACAGTACTGATTAAGAAAGAATGGAATTCAGAAACTTGGGATAAGATACCCAGTTGGACCCAGATGAAACTGACAGTCTTGAAAACTCCACTATTAATACACACAACTCTGGTCCTCCCTTACCAGTGGAAGTAGCTTGCCCTCTAGTATCTAAAAATATAGCCTTCCTTTGCTTCAAAATCCTGTGATAATGTCACCTGGTGAACATATCTTGAAAGAGAACGTTTATTTTCCTTAAGACCCACCACAACCAGTTTCCATTGCCACTATATCCATAAACAGAGTTAAATGTCAGTATGCCCCAGGGATCAAGAACATACCAGGACCTAGGAAGAAATTATTAACATACACAAAACCTGCAACATTTTGCTAAAATATATGCAGAAACCATGGGAACATTTGTGGGTCTCGACATGTAGGCACCTGGGAGAAGCAAGTACTAAACCAATCTGGAGGCACACCCAAAACAAAAACATTATGGGATACCCTAAAAAAAAATTTTAAAGCCACTAAAGACTAGCTCATGATTAAATAAATATAAAATCACAAGGAAACAGTCCATAATAGGCAAGAATCAAGAGATACCAAAAAGGTATAATTAAAACCATAAGAATAGAACAAGATTCTGAAACAGATGACAAAACAAACATCTTTAAGTAACATGAAAGAAAGGATGAAAATCCTAAAACTAAAAAACTATGAAAATAGATGTTAGAAAAAGAGGCAAACAGAACTTTAAGACATGAAAAATGTCAATTAAATTTTTCAAACTTAATTAGCTATAGCTAAAGAGAGAATTCATGAAATTGAAGATAGGTCTGAGAAAATTATCCATAATGCATCAGAGATTTTTAAAAATTGAAAAACATCAAAGAGCATTTAAGAGATATGAAGGATGGAGTGAGAAGGTTCAAAGTAATCCTAATCAAAATTCCAGAAGAGGAAAATAGTAGCGAGAAGGTAACATTAAAAGATATGATAGTGGAGAATTTTCTGGTATTAATGAAATACATATATCCTCAGACTCATGAAATTCAAGATGTCTTGAGTATGATATAAATAAATAAAAAAGACACACATACTGTAATAAATCAAAAAAATCAAATAGAAACATAATATCTTAAAAAGTAGAAAAACATTATATACAGGGGAAATATTTACTGTTGATAGCCCTCTCAACAGCAGCAATATGTCAGGAGACAATGAAATAGTAACAACAAAGTGCAGAATAAAGATAACTTTCAATCTAGAATTCATCACCTAGATTTTTTTAAATCACTTTAGTAGAATAAAATAAAGATATTTTAGAAAAAAATATTAAGAGATTTAACAGAGCCTCACTGAAAGAATCACTCAAGGATGTATGTTAGGGGAAAGACTATAAGCTTAGAGGGACTGAATTAACAAAAACCATAATGTTAAAGTACTAGTAAACATGTGGGCAAATCTAAAGAAGCTTTAACCATATAAAAACAAAGACTATAACCAAAAAAGAAAAAAAAAAAGGAACATTCATTTTGGAGGTCAAAATTAAGATGGAACTCAACTATTAGGCAACAACATGTAAGGAAAGTAGGAGGGATGCATGTTAAAAATAGCTAAGAAGAGGATAAAAATATTATCTTAAGACTTTTTAAGCAAGGATGTTAAAAACATTTAAGTAATCGCTGCAAGAATAGATATAAATGTATAATTTTCAAATTAACAGAAAAAATAAGGGGAAGAAGGAAAATGGAAAAATAAAACAAGCAAGGAAAAATTATGGTGAAGTGACAATTACAAAATAAGATAGCAGAAATTAAATGAAATGTATCAATAATCACAGTAAGTATAAACATATTCAACTTGTTAGTTGAATAAATGAAACCTTTTTAAGGTTCTGTATGACATGTAGAAAATGCTGTGTTGGCGATTAGAAATCCAAATCAAGTCTCTGCAATAAATATTTGTGGCCATTTACCCAATTCCAAGACACCAGTTCACAGACCTGGAATCCCTATTTTATGGGGTAGGACATTGAGAAAGAACCCTGCAACATGGCCATAGGTATTTACTATAAATCTCTTATGAGACTTCCCCAGAGAGATTTGTGACCATATACTAAAATGATTATGCATTAGGTAAAAATAATTATTCTGGCTTTATGAGGGTTTTATAGTTGCTCTAAATTGATAACCTCTGAATACTCAATGTCAAGGTGGTATATTGTCAGAGCAGGGACTTAAATTAGATGGTGAATAGAGTCTTGCCCCAAGTATGTCCTGCAGTGAATTCAGTGGGCCCACAGATATGTCTTGTGACTATTTCCTTGGTTCACAAAACGTGTAATTACAATAGATATACCAAGCAACTCAAAGAATCTGTATTTTAGATCCCTGACCCTGGAGGAAAGATTAATGTGATAGGGCAAGCCTATTGGAAGCCCCTGGAACTGTTCCTATCCCACTTCCCAAAATAGCAAATTGAAAGCAACATTGTATCCCCATGGAGATGATTTGCAGGGATTAATGCCACCAGTGAAGTTTTGAAAGATGCAGAAGTGATGTTTTTATTATATGCCCATTTGACTCACCTTTTGCCTGGTGCCTTTGAATTACTGAAAACTTAAATAGGTGGTGAAACCCATTGTAATCGCTATTCCAATAGTATTACCTTTACTAGGTATAGCCCTCCACCCTTCTTGTGCAGCTACCGATCTCACAAATGCTATTTTCTCAATTCCAATTGCTAAAAACTATTGGAATCAGTTTACCTTCAATTGGTGTTCGTAACAGTACCCCTTAACTGTACACTTCTGGGATGTAAACTCACCTGCTACCTACCATAATATAGTCAAAAGAGAACCAAATCACCTATCTATAGACCATCCCAGTGGTCCATTACATTTAAGACATAATGTCATTTGGACCCAGTCAGCAAGAAATAGAGTACTACAGACATCTTGAGAAGACACATGAATGCCAGTGTAAAATAAACCCTATGAAAATTCAGAGACTTGCCACATTAGTGAAGTTTCTGTAGCATCTAGGAATATTCTTTCTAATGTATAAGACAAGTTTTTGAACTTTACACTTTCACACTGAAACTCTTGGGCATATCCTTGGATTTGGAGGTAATATGTATCACACTTGGTTGTGATTACCTTTACAGATCCAGGATGGGTACATGCTTCCTGGTCATGTGAAGTTTATGATTCACCAGATCCATGGTATTTGGTGTATCTGTGGAAGATAGGTATACATATATTTTATTATTCCTCATGATTCTGAGTGAAGAATTTGGATAGGGTACAACTGGAATGGCTCATTTCTGCTCTACTTTATGTCTGCTGGGGCTGGAATGTCCAAGATGTCTTTTTCACTCATATATCTGTTGCCTCAGCTGAAATGGTCCAAACAGTTATGGTAGAATGATCCAAGTGGGATCGTATGCCTGGCATCTTTGTTCTTAAAATAATCTATGTTCCTTAATTTTCTTCCATATAGTATTAAGGCCTCTCCCTCTGCATGTGACCTCTCCAACAGGGCAGCTAGAGTTCTTATGTAGCAGCTCGTTGCTCCAAAAGTACAAAAATGAAGACTCCCAAACTTTCTTATTGCTTGAACTCAGAAGCCCTACAACTTCAGCCCACATTCTAGTGGTCAAAGCAGACGCAGAGCTAGTTAATAGTCAAGGGAAAGAACTATACAAGAGTGTAAATACCAGATGGCATGGCCCATTAGGGATCAACAATACAGCAGGCTACTAATTCACCTTAAGTCCCCTAATTATTCATGTTCCTTCTACAAGTAAACTATTCTCATTCACTCCTAATACTTTCAAAATCTCATCTCATTTTAGAACTAGGCTTTGGTTTGAAGTCTAGGACCTCATCATCTAAATCAGGTCCAGGTGTGGATAAGGATCTTCTACACTGTTCTTTGTATCTGAAAACAGAAGAACTAAAGAGACAAGTTATCTTCCCCCACACATCCACACACAATGTAGAGGGAGAGATAAGGTAACAACAATAGATAGTGCTAACCAAAAAGGGAGATAAAAATGAGAGGTACAAGGCAATCACTGGTCCACAGCAATTGAGAAATCAAGTCAGAAACATGTTGCCAACTCTCCCTGCTCCACAGGCAGAGAATGTTCACTGATAAGAACCCAGATCAAATCCCTGGAAATAGTTCTCCTAAATTCTGGCACTTTGGGGTCTGGCATCCTGGTTGCATCCCTGATTCATGTCCTGTTCTATGGGTTAGCAGCCATCTAAGCCTGCTTTCTGCTCACAGGAAGTTGATGGGCAAGAGACTTCTTTTCATTTTGATTGTCTCTGTCTCTTTAATGCAAGCTGATGTAATTTTTAAAATTTTTGTGGACTTCTTGTGTATCAAATTATAAATCCATACTATTTGACAAAAAGCATGCCCCAAGAATCATTAAGACAGTCCCTCTCCAATATGGGCTAAGCATCAGGATGCTGTGGGAGAGTATCTTTAAGATTTTTAGAGCTCACAGATCTATAGTAAACAAAACAGCATGCTACTGGCATAAAAACAGACACATAGACCAATGGAACAGAATAGGGAATGGAGAAATTAATTCACATACCTCAGCCAGGCGCAGTGGCTCACATCTTTAATCCCGGCACTTTGGGAGGCCAAGGTGGGCAAATCACTTCAGCCCAGGAGTTTGAGGTGAGCCTGGGTAACATGGTGAAACCCCATATCTACAAAAAAACACAAAAATTAGCCTGGCATGGTTGTGCACACCTGTAGTCCCAGCTACTTGGGAGGCTGAGGTGGGAGGATCTCTTGAGCCTGGGAGAGCAAGGTTTCAGTATGCTGTGATCATGCCTCTGTATTCCAGCCTCTGTGACAGAGTGAGATGCTGGCTCAAAAAAAAAAATCCACACACCAACTATGAACTCATTTTTGACAAAGGTGCCAGAAACATACACTGAGGAAAAGACAGTCTCTTCAATAAATGCTGCTGGGAAAACTGGATATCCATATGCAGAAGAATAAAACAAGACCCCTATCTTTAGCCATATAAAAAAATCAAATCAAAACGATTAAAGACTTAAACTGAAGACCTCAAACCGTGAAACTACTACAAGAAAACATTGGGGAAACTCTCCAGGATATTGATCTGGGCAAAAATTTCTTATGTAATATCCCACAAGCACAGGCAACCACAATAAAAATGGGCAAATGGGATTACATCAAGTCAAAGTTCTGGACACCTAAGGAAACAATCAAAACAGTGAATAGACAACCCAGAGAATCAGAGAAAATAGTTGTCAACTACCCATCTGAGAAGGAATTAATAACCAGAATATATAAGGAGCTCAAACTCTATAGAAAAAATATAATAATCTGATTAACAAATGAGCAAAAGTTGAAACAGACATCTCTCAAAAGAAGACATAGGGCAAACATGTATATGAAAAGGTACTCAACATCATTGATCATCAGAGAAATGCAAATCAATACTACGATGAGATATCATCTGACCTCAGTTAAAATGGCTTATATCCAAAAGTCAGGCAATAACAAATGGTGGTGAGGATATGGATAAAATGGAACACTCATAAACTGTTGGTAGGAATGTAAACTATTACAATGACTATGCAGAACACTTTGGAACTTCCTCAGAAAACTAAAACTAGAGCTACTATATGATCTAGCAATGCCACCACTGGGTATATACCCAAAAGAAAGAAAATCAGTGTATAGAAGAGATGTCTGCACTCCCATGTTTGTTGCAGCACTGCTCACAATAGCAAGGATTTGGAAGCCACTTAAGTAATCATCAAGACGAATCGATAAGGAAAATGTAGTACATATAAGCAATGGAGTACTATTCAGCCATAAAGAAGAATGAGATCCTTTCATTTGCAACAACCTGAACGGAACTGGAGATTATTATGTTAAGTGAAATAAGCCAGGCACAGAAAGACAAGCTTTGTATGTTCTCACTTATTTGTGAGATGTAAAAATCAAAACAATTGAACTCATGGACATAGAGAGTAGAAGGATGATTACCAGAGGCTGGTAAAAATAACAATTGGTACAATAATAAATTAATTGTGCATTTAAAAATAACTAAAAGAGTATAATTGGAATGTTTGTAACACAAAAATGATAAATGCTTGAGACGATGGATACCCCATTCCCTATGATATCATTATTTCATATGTTATGCCTGTATCAAAACATGTCATGTATTTTTTTTAATTTTTCATTGTTATGGGTACATAGTAGGTCTAAATATTGATGGGACTCATGAGATATTTTGATATAGGCATGCAAGTGTAACAGTCACATAAGAGTAAATGAGGTATCCATCATCTCAAGCATTTATCATTTTTTGTGTGTGTTACAAACATTCCAATTATACCCTTTTAGTTATTTTTAAATGTGCAATAGATTATTGTTAACTGTAATCTCCCTGTTGTGCTATCAAATAGTAGCTCTTATTCATTCTCTCTAATTGTATGTTTATACCCATTAAGCATCCTCACTTCCCTCCCACCCTCACACTACCCTTCCTAGTCTCAAGTAATTATCATTCTGCTAGCTCCATGAGTTCAATTATTTTAATTTTTAGCTCCCAGAAATCAGTGAGAACATGCAAAGTCTGTCTTTCTGTGCCTTGCTTACTTTAACATAATTTCCTCCAGTTCCATCCATGTTGTTGCAGATGTCAGGATCTTATTATTTTATTTTATGGCTGAATAGTACTCCATTGTGTATATGTGACATTTTCTTTATCCATTTGACTGTTGATGGACACTTAGTTTGCTTCCAAATCTTGGCTATTGTTGTTTGTTTGTTTGTTTCTGGGATGGAGTCTCGCTCTGTCACCCTGGCTGGATTGCAGTGGTGCAATCTCGGCTCACTACAACCTCCGCCTCCTGGATTGAAGCAATTCTCCTGCCTCAGCCTCCCAAGGAGCTGGGATTACAGGCAGGCACCACAACGCACAACTAATTTTTGTATTTTTAGTAGAGACAGGGTTTTGCATGTTGGCCAGGCTGGTCTTGAACTCCTGACTTCAAGTGATCCACCCGCCTTGGCCTCCCAAATTGCTGTGATTACAGGTATGAGCCACACGTCTAGCCTTGGCTATTGTTAATAGTGCTATGATAAACATAGGCATGCAGATATATCTTTAATATGTTGATTTATTTTCTTTGTAGTATATACGGGGCAGTGAGATTGCTGGATCATAAGGTAGGTCTATATGTAGTTTTTCTGAGGAACATCCATACTATTCTCCATAGTGTCTGTGCTAATGTATATTCCCACCAACAGCATATGAGAATTTGCTTTTCTCCATGTCTTTGCCACAATTTGTTACTGTCTGGCTTTTGTATAAAAGTAATTTTATCTGGGGTGAGATGATAACTCATTTTAGTTTTGATCTGCATTTCTCTGATGATCAATGATGTTGAGTACCTTTTCATATACATGTTTGCCATTTCTGCATCTTCTTTTAAGAAATGTTTATTCAGATCTTTTGCCCATTTTTTATTTGGATTATTAGATATTTTCCTATAGAGTTGAGTTTCTTACAAATTCTTGTTATTAATTCCTTGTCAGATGTGTAGTTTGCATATTTATTCTCCCATTCTGTGGTTTGTCTCTTCACTTTGTTTATTGTTTCCTTTGCTGTGTGCAAAAGCTTTTTAACTTGACGTGATCTTATTTGTTCATTTTTACTGTGGTTGCCTGTGCTTGTGGTGTATTACTCAAGAATTCTTACCATAAACTAATGTCTGGATAGTTTCCCTGATGTTTTCTTGTAGGTATGTCACAGTTTGAGGTTTTCAATTTAACCCTTTAATCCATTTTAATTTTATTTTTGTCTATGGTGAAATATAGGGGTCTTGTTTCATTCTTCTACATATGGATATCCAGTTTTCCCAGCACCATTTATTGAAGAGGCTGTCCTTTGCCCAATGTATGTTCTCGGCACCTTTTCAAAAATGAGTTCACTTCAGATGTCTGGCTTTATTTCTGGGTTGTCTGTTTTGTTCCATTGGTCTATATGTCTGTTTTTATGCCAGTACCATGCTGTTTTGCTGACTATAGCTCTGCAGCATAATTTCAAGTCAAGTAATGTGATTTCTCCAATTTTCTTCATTGTGATTCCTCCAATTTTCTTCATTTTGCTCAGAATGACTTTGCCTATTCTGAGTCTTCAGTGTTTTCATATAAATTTTAAGATTTGCTTTTTTCTCTTTCTTTTTTCTATTTCTGTGAAGAACGTCATTAGTATTTTGATAGGAATTACATTGAATCTGTAGAATGCTTTGCGTAGTATGGACATTTTAACAATATTGATCATTCTAATCCATAAACATGAAATATCTTTCCATTTTTCTGTGTCCTCTTTGATTTCTTACATCAATGTTTTATAGTCCTTATTAGAGAGATCTTTCACTTCTTTGGTATGCCCTTGAAGTATGCTCCTAGGTATTTTATTTCTAGCTATTATAAATGGGATTACCTTTTTTTATTTCTTTACTTTTTAAATTATTGTGGGTACATAGTAGGCATATATATTTGTGGGGTACGTCAGATGTTTTGATACAGGCATACAACTTTAAATAATCGCATCATGGAGAATGGGGTATCCATCCCCTCAAGCATTTATCTTTTGTGTTACAAACAATCCAATTATACTCTTATAGTTATTTTTAAATGTACAATTAGGTTATTATTGACTATAGTCACCCTGTTGTGCTATCAAACAGTATGTCTTATTCATTTTTTCTAACTATTACTTTCTGTACCCATTAACCATCCCTACATCTACTCCAGCCCCCTACTAGGCTTCCCAGCCTCTGGTAAACATCCTTCTACTCTCTATGCCCATGAATTCAATTGTTTTGATTTTTAGATCCCACAATTAAGTGAGAACGTTTGGTCTTTGTCTTTCTGTGCCTCGCTTATTTCACTTAATATAATGATCTCTAGTTCCATCCCTGTTGCAAATAACAGAATCTCATTCTTTTTTTGTGGCTGAACAGTACTCCATTGTGTATATGTACCCTTTTTCTTTATCCATTCATCTACTGATGGATACTTAGGTGGCTTCCAAATCTTGGCTATTGTGAACAGTGTGGCAACAAACATGGGAGTGCAGATATCTCTTCTATACAGTGATTTTATTTCTTTTGGGTATATACCCAGTGGTGGCATTGCTGGATCATATGGTAGTCCTATTTCTAGTTTTTGAGGAAGCTCCAACATGTTCTTCATAGTGGTTATACTAATGTACATTCCTACCAACAGTGTACGAGGGTTCTCTTTTTTCTCATCATCACAATCATTGGTTATTGCCTATCTTTCTATTACATTCTTGATTTCTTTTTCAGATTGTTTGCTGTTGGCGTATAGAAATGCTACGATTTTTGTATGTTGATTTTGTATCCTGCCACTTTACTGAATTTATCAGTTCTAATCGTCTTTTGGTGGAGTCTTCAGGTTTTTTCAAATATAAGATCATATTATCTGCAAACGAGGATAATTTGACTTCTTTCTTTCCAACTTAGATGTCTTTTATTTCTCTCTTGCCTGACCGCTCTAGTTAGGACTTCAAGTACTATGTTGAATAATAGTACTGAAAATGGGCATCCTTTTCTTGTTCCAGATCTTAAAAGAAAGGTTTTCAGTTTTCCCCTATTCAGTATGATACTAGCTGTAGGTCTATCATATAAAGTTTTTATTGTGTTGAGATATGTTCCTTGTATACCAAGTTTGTTGAGGGTTTTACCATGAATGGATGTTGGATTTTATAAAACACTTTTTCAGAATCAATTGAAATGATCCTGTGGTTTTTGTTCTTCATTCTGTTGATATTATGTATCATATTGATGTATTTGTGTATGTTGAACCATCCTTGCATCCCAGGAATAAATCCCAGTTGGTCATGATGAATAATCTTTTAAATGTGTTGTTGAATTTATTTTGTTAGTATTTTGTTGAGGATTTTTGCATCAATGTTCATCAGGGATATTGGCCTGTAGCATTCTTTTTTTGATGTGTCTTTTCCTAGTTTTAATAACAGGGTGATACTCGCCTTGTAGGATGAATTTGGAAGTATTTACTTCTCTTGTATTTTTTAAAGCAATTTGAGTAGAATTGGTATAAGTTTTTTAATTGTTTGGTAAAATTCAGCAGTGAAGCCTTTGGGTTCCAGGCTTTTCGCTGCTGAGAGACATTTTATTAGGCTTCGATCTCATTACTTGCTATTGGTCTATTCAGGTTTTGGATTTCTTCATGGCTCAATCTTGATAGGTTGTATGTGTCTAGGAACTTATCTGTTTATTCTAGATTTTTCAATTTATTGGCATATAGTTGCTCATAGTAGCCTGTAATGATCCTTTGAATTTCTGTGGTATCAGTTTTATGTCTCCCTTTCCATCTCTGATTTTATTTGGACTTTCTTACTTTTTTCCTACTCTGAGTAAAGGTTTGTCAATTTTGTTTATCTGTTTTTTACAAAAATCCACTTTCAATTCATTGATCTTTTGTATTTTTTTGTTTCAATTTCATTTATTTCTGCTTTCATCTCTATTATTTATTTTCTTCCACTAATTTTGGGTTTGGTTTGCTTTTGCTTTTCTAATTATTTGAGATGCAACATTAGGTTGTTTATGTGATGTCTTTCTACTTTTTTGATGTAGAATGGTAGGAGTAAGTCCTTACTTACTATAACTACTGACTTTCTTCTGAGTACTGCTTTTGCTGTATCCCATAGGTTTTTGTATGATGTGTTTCTATTTTCATTTGTTTCAAGAAACTTTTTAATTTCTTTATTAATTTAATCATGGACCCACTCGTCATTCAGGAGTATATTGTTTGCTATGCCAATTGCCATGTGTTTGTACAGTTTCCAATCTTCCTCTCATTACTGATTTCTAGTTTTATTTTCTTGGGTCAGAGAACATACTGTATTTGACTTCAATGTTTTTTGTTTTTTTAATTTTAAGACTTGTTTTGTGGGGCCAGGCACAGTGGCTCACCCCTGTTACCCCAGCACTTTGGGAGGCTGAAGTGGGTAGATCACCTGAGGTCAGGAGTTTGAGACCAGCCTGGCCAACATAGCAAAACCCCGTCTCTACTAAAAATACAAAAATTAGCCAGGCGTGGTGGTGCGTGCCTGTAATCCCAGCTACTCGGGAGGGTAAGGCATGAGAATTGCTTGAACCTGGGAGACAGAGGCTGCAGTGAGCTGAGATCATACCACTGCACTCCTGCCTGGGAGACAGAGCGAGACTCTGTCTCAAAAAAAAAAAAAAAAACTTCTTTAGTGGCCTAAAATATGGTCTATCCTTGAGATAATCCATGTGCTGAGAAAAATATATATTCTGCAGCCACTGGATGAAATGTTCTGTAAACCTCTATTAGGTCCGTTTTGTCTATAGTGGAGATAAAGTATGATGTTTCTTAGTTGATTTTCTGTCTAGATGATCTGTCCAATGCTGAAAGTGGGGTGACAATATCTCCAGCTAGCATTGTATTGGGGTCAATCTCTCTCTTTAGCTCATAATATTTGCTTTATATACCTGGATTATCCAATGTTGGGTGCATATATACTTATAATTGTTAATTCTTCTCACGACCCCTCATCATTATATAATGACCTTCTTTGTCTCTTTCTACATTTTTGTCTCAAAATCTATCTTGTCTGATATAATTATAGCTACTGCTTTTTTTTTGGCTTCTGTTTGCTGAAATATATTTTTCCATCCCTTGATTTTCAGTTTATATGTTTCTTCATAGGTAAAGTGTATTTCTTGTAGGCAACGGATCACTGGGTCTTGGGTTTTTGTTGTTGTTTAATACCCATTTAGCTTCCTCATATCTTTCAATTGGAGAGTTTAGTCCAATTATAGCCAATGCTATTACTGATAAGTAAGGACTTACTCCTACCATTTTGTTATTGTTTTCTGGTTGTTTTGTAGTCTTCTTTCTTTCCTTCCTTCCTTCCTTCCTTCCCTCCTTCCTTCCTTCCATCCATCCTTCCTTTCTTCTCATCTACCGTTTTGAAAAGGTGATTTTCTCTGGTGATCTGTTTTAATTTCTTGATTTTTACTTTTGTGTATCTGTTGTAGGTTTTTAAATTTGAGGTTATAATGAGGCTTTCAAATAACATCTTTTACTCATTATTTTAAACTGATGAAAACTTAACACTGATTACAAAAACAAACAAATGAACTAACCAAACAAGCAGAGAGAAAATGAATAAAACCTCTACACTTTAACTTCATCCCCCCAGCTTTTTAACATATTGTTGTTTCTAATTACATCTTATTATACTGTTTAAGTCTTGAAAAGTTTAGTTATTATTTTTGATCAGCTCATCATTTAATCTTTCTACTCAAGATATGAGTAGTTTACATATCACAATTACAGTGTTAGAATATTCTGTTAGTCTATGTACTTACTATTACCAGTGAATTGTGTACCTTCAGATGATTTCTTGTTCCTTAACATCCTTTTATTTCAGATTGAAGAATTCCATTTAATATTTCTTGTAGGACAGGTCTGGTGCTGATGATATCCCTCAGGTTTTTTGTTTGTTTGTTGGTTGGTTTGTTTGTTGTTTTTTGTTTTGTTTTGGTTTTGGTTTTTTTTTTTTTTTTTTGGTCTAGGGAAGTCTTTATTTCTCCTTTGCGTTTGGAGGATATTTTTGTTGGATATACCATTCCAGGGTTAAAAGGTTTTTGCCTTCAGCACTCTAAAGATGCCTTGGCACTCTCACCCAGCCTGTAATGTTTCCACTGAAAAGTCTGCTGCCAGACATATTAGATGGAGCTCCATTGTATGTTATTTGTTTCTTTTATCCTGCTGTTTTTTTAATCCTTTCTTTATCCTTGGCTGGTAGGTGACATTTACAGTTATGCACCAGCTATGGCAGAAGCCACTGGGTACGTGCTTTATGTTTGTTTACTGGAGAGTCTCTCTGTTGTCTCAGAAGTTGGGCTAGTCTGTGGAATGCCTGGTGTCCTGAGTTCCCTGCTCATCCCCAGAGGCTGGGGGACAAAGATGGGCAGAGATGGACTGCCAAGCTCTCCCTCAGATACCCCAATGATGAGCACCAGTACCAGCGCTGATGGGGTGGCAAGGAGAGCTTATGGTGAAATTCACCAAGTTCTCCAGTGGGTGAGGGAAGAGAGGGTTGCACCAGCTCCACATTCTGGACTGGCAGGAATGCGATCTGCCTCCCTATCACCCCTCTGTCCCAAGTCTTGTGACTTTCAGTTCAGATAGACACTGTCATTTATTTCCATGCTACAGTGTAACTGAGGGCCATGAAAACACCTGTCCCATGGATTTCTGCTAACATGGCCTCAGGATGGAACCTTTTTCCTCAAGCCAAAACAGACAGCTTTGCAGCTCACCTGACTTCTACTGCAGGAACACTGCCCTTCAGTGTAGAAAGTGGGAGGGGACCACCCTTCATGGAAGCCCAGCCTTGGTGGGCACACCACTAGTAGGGATGCAACAGCCCCTAATAGCACTGGAAAGGCCATCTGCAAGTATACTTATGCAAACCGCCTGGGGGAGCAGTTACAGCTGCATCCACCACAGTGGGCAGGGGTGAGGAGGAGAGGGTCCCATCTTCATGTCTCTTCCTGAGCACCAGAGCTGCCTGTTAGTGGGCTAGAACCACACTCTTCCCCTACAGACCTCAGTGCTGTGTCCACATGTCTGCTGGAAGGAGCACAGTCACCTTCAGTTCACAAGCAGGAAACTCTCAGGCACAGGAGTGTGTGCACTCTGGTTTCCTTTGTTCCAAGGGGTACTCCTTTGGAACACTGTATTCTCCCTTCCCCTAGGAGCAGTCTGCCCTGAGAGTTAGACCTATGGGAATCCTGCATTCTTCTGAATCCCACTGGCCCTCTGTGGTTGCCACAGTCCAAGTGTGCGGTGGGGAAGGTTTGCAGGGGATCCGGTGATGCACAGACAAAAGTGCTGAGACTACATGGGCAGGATAGAATCCCAAAATGGGTGCTCACCCCGTATAATACCTGCTACTCCAGTTCGGGTCTCAGAGAAGGGCAAGTGACCCTGTGCTAGCTGGAAGCCTGCTGCTCTGCTTTCAAAAAATTCCAAAATCGCTGCCCACACCAGTGCTTGGACTCACAAGGGTAAAGGGCAGGACTCTCCAACAGTTCAGAAACTAGCAGTCTGCTGCATGGCTGAGGGGAACAAAAATACCCCCAGCTACCCTTTCTATGGGACTCCATGTTCCTCAGGGGTCAATCTCTCCCAAACTCTTGTTTCCTTCTTTTTCTGTGCCCCAGCTTTTTCCCATGGGTTCTCTGATTGGCTCTAGACATCTCCCCTCAGTATTCCACTCTGGCCATAATTATTCACCTATAACTTTGGTTCTTCTGAGGAGAACTGGTGACTGATGTGCCTAGTTAGACATGTTGAAAAAAAAAAACCTAAAATTTTAAAGAATAAAAACAAAGAAAAGTCAAATCCTTTCTTAAATACCAGCAATGAACAATACAAATTTGAAATTAAAAACACAATACTATTTACATTAACACCAAACAATTATATACTTAGGTATACATCTAAGAAAAATGTACAAGATGTATAGGAGGAAAACTCCAAATTACTGATGAAAAAAATAAAAGATGTAAATGGAGAGCCATTCCACGTACATGGATAGAAAGACTCAATACTGTCAAGATTTCAGTTCTTCTCAACTTGATATATAGATTCAACACAATCCCAATCAAAATTTTGGCAAGTTATTTTATGAATATTAACAAACAAATTCTAGAGTTTATATGGAAAGGCAAAAGATCCAAAATAGCCAACACAATATTGAAAGGGGTAGAACATGGTCAGAGGGCTAATACTACCCAACTTCAAGACTTACTGTTAAGCTACAATAATTAAGACAATGGGATACTGGTGAAAGAACAGAAAAGTAGATCAATGAAACAGAACACAGAGTCCAGAAATAGACCCAAAGAAAAATAGCCAATTACATACCTATGGGAATGGATAAAATCCAAAACGCTGACAACACCAAGTGCTAAGAATGTGGAACAACATGAACTCTCATCCATTACTTGTAGGAATGCACAATGGTACAGTCACTTTGGAAGGCAGTTTGTCAATTCCTTACAAAACTGAACACATTCTTATCATATAATCCAGCAATTGTTCTCCTTAGTATTTACCCAATTGAGTTAAAAACTTATGTCTACACTAAAACCTACATACCACCATAAAAGATAAATGGATTTTTCAAATTTAGTATACAAACACAACAGAATACTATTCAGCCATTTTTAAAAATTAAATCCTATCATGTGAGACAATATGCATGAACCTACAGGACATTATATTAAGTGAAATAAGCTAGGCACATAAGGACAAGTACTGCATGAGCTCAGTCATATGTAGAATCTATAAAAGTTGATCTTATAGAAGTAGAAAGTAGAATAGGGATTACCAGAGGCTGTGTAAGATAAGGAGAGGGAAGGATAGGGAGAAGTTGGTCAATAGGTACTATTTTACAGTTACATAGAAGGAAAAAGTTCAGATGTGCTATTACACAGTAGGGCAATATAGTTAACAATAATGTATTATAGGTTTCAAAATAGCTAGAAAAGATGCTTTTGAATGTTCTTATCACAAAGAATGGATAAATGTTTGAGATGATACATATATCAGTTACTCTGATTTGAATGTATACATGTATCAAAACATCACGCTTTACACCATAAATATGTACAATATATTGTATATATAATTGTGTATCAATTAAAAATAAAATTCAAAACTCTATACACCAATGTTTATAGCAGCTTTATTCATAGTCACCAAAACTTGTAAGCAATCAAGATGTTCTTCAATAGTGAATGGATAAACTGTGGTATATCCATGAAACAGAATATTATTCAGTGATAAAAATGAATAAGTCATAAAAAGACATGGAGGAAACTGAAATGTATATTGCTAAGTGAAAGATGTCAATCTGAAAAGATTACATACTTCATGAGTTCAAATATATGACATTCTAGAAAAGGCAAAGCTATGGAGAAAGTAAAAGGATTACTAGTTGCAAGACTTCCTAGACAAGGGAGTGAGGGATGACTAGGTATAGCACAAGGGATCTTTAATGCAGTGAAACTATCTTGTATGATACTATAATGGTGAATATATGTCATTATACATTTGTGAAACTCCATAGAATATAAAATTCAGAGTGAACCCTAATGTGAACTATGGCCTTTAGATAAAAATAATATGTCCATCTATCTATGTAGACAGATAGATATCAATAAATTACTGCAAATGCAAATTTACCACAATAATGCAAGATGCTAATAATAGGGGAAATGAGGTGGGCAGGGTGGCACGTGGTATGAGAAGTACATGGGAACTCTTTGTACTTTCTGCTCAATTTTTCTATAAACCTAAAACTGCTCTAAAAAGTAAATTCTATTAATTAAAAAGGGGATTAGAAAGAGAGCAATATGTTATGTCCTTCAGTGGAAGGTCTTAAACAGAGTAATTCTTCCTAATTTGATCTATACATTAAATTCATTACAATCAAAATTCAATTTTTTTCATGGAACTTGACAAGTTTACACTAAAATTCCTATAGAAGTGTAGAGAGCCAAAAACAACCAAAAAAACCAAAGATGGTTTTAAAGACAAGGCATAAACTGATACTTATTGACCTTGTTTCATTACTTACTAAGACGACAATAATTCTGACAATGTAGGACTTACAGGTAAGCAGACTAATAAAATAGAATGAATTAAAGGATCCATGTCTGTATTAATTTCATAAAAGATCAAAGTGACATTATAAATCAGTGGGAAAAGGGTGGACAAATAACTATCCCTATGCCACTGTCTTTTCATGTGATGGAGATCTTCAAGTCTACAGGACTGAACGTTGGGAAGGAAAGATGAATGTGAAGTGGGGAACAGCAAAAACAGCCTGGATCTCATAAGCATGAGCTGAAGCCAGTGAGGACAGACTAAAATTCCTGACAGTTCTTGTTACCTCCAATCTTGATGTACAGGCATTCTATAGAAGCTGGGGCCCTTCTTCATGGAGCTAAAACACACATACCAGACCCAGGTGCTAGAGAAGCTAAAGGAGGATCCAGGGGAAAGTAAAACAGTCACAGCCTTACTGCTGCTTCATGCCAATGAGGTGATCCAGCAAATATAGGATAAAAGTGTAGGGCTACAAAATGCCTGTTGCTTCACTTCAGCCCTCCAAATCTCACACAAGAATCTCTCTTATGGCCTACCCTAACTGAAAACATACACAAAAGTAAATCCTGGGAAATATAGTTTAGCCTAACCAAACTGACATACTATAAAGCCAGCACAATTAGGAAAAAATGTATTAATACCATCCCCGAGAAAGGACACAGACCATTGAGGAAAAGATAGATAAACGTTAACATTATAAACTCCTCTATGTCAAAAGAGACTATGAACAAAGTTAAAAGACAAGCCTCATACACCTTAAAGATAATTGAAATCTTTATAGAAATCACAAAAAGATTCATATCTAGAACATTTTAAAAGTTCCCACAATCAGTAAGAAAATTTTATGCAAATCAATAGGTAGACAATTCAGGGAATAAAAATCTATAATGGACAATGAGCAGGTGATCAACTTCACAAACGTATCAGAAAATAAAAATTAAAATAATATCCCTGAGATTGGCAAAAATGTAGTAAATTTGAAAACACCAAGTATTACTGAGGACCTAGGAAAAGGATAGTTCTTATACATTGTTATTAAAGTATATACTGGTACAGCCATGTTGAAGAGATAATTTAATAAGTTGTGTGTGTGTACATGCACATAGTAGAGAACACAGAAATTTCACTTCTAGGTGTCTTAAAAAGAAACTTGCACATGTATATGAGAAGACATTAAAGAAATATTTACTGGAATACTGTTGACAACAAAAAAGTGACATCAACCTAACTATTCTTCACTTGGGGATAAAAAACTGTTTATTTACACACTGAAATATATAGCAATTAAAATAAATTAACTGATTTTAGTGTATCAGTATGGATAAATTTCAAAAAATGTTAATAAAAAAAGTTAACAAAGTTTCAAAATGGTACATAGAGTAGGATAATGTAAAAGTCTGAGCACATATCAATAACGTGTGTGTGTGTGTGTGTGTGTGTGTGTGTGTGTGTGTGTATAAATGCATACATATTCTGGACCTATACATATGTAGTAAAAAATATATGCATAGAAAAATGCCCCAAACTCAAAATACTACTGTAGTTTCTCATGATGTGAGACAGAAAAGGAAGTGCCAGGAGAGTGGAACTTTAGCTACCTCCGTAACATTCATTCATTCATTCATTTATAAGAGGGATCTGCTAAAATTTAAAAATCTATAATCTGTGATGGCTACCTGGATGTCTGTTTTGTTATTTTCTTAATTCTATATACTTATAACATTCCATAATGTAAGACAAAACACTTTAAGAAAAAAATTAAAGGCACACATGAGAAATTTATTTCACAGTACACCTCAGAAATTTATTTCACAGTCTCATGTGTAGGGACTCCATTTAACAGTTGAAGACCTAAAAACAACTATGAGATAGATCACTTTAATTACTTACAATTAAATTCACAGAAAAAGTGATCAAGCAGACCATGTAGATGAGTTTAAATCTATACAAAGACTGGATAGGACCAAACAAATAGTTTCTAGTAACATGCAATGGACTTTGTGTCCAATCTTTGGATGTAATATCTCTTGAAGGATACATAAGAAACCAGTAATCAGTAGTCATAATTATTAAGAGAAACAGAGGAACCTAACCAGTAGTTACATCATTAAGAGAAACAGGAATGAATAAGCAGCAGTGGGAGACTTAAGTTTTCACTGTGTACCATTTTGTAATGCTGAAAGTTTTTTGACATTTGAACCTTTCCAGAGTATACAATATCATACACGTAAATTTTTAAAAGGCAATCAAATATTTTCCTCCAATTGTCTTTCTCCTTTTTCAATGTAAACGGTCCTGGAAGCAGTAACACAATGATATCTCAGGGTAAGTTAGTTTACAGATGACATTCCGTAAACTGACTTATATAGAGGACTATAATAACAGAGTGGCAAATATTTGCTACAAATGCCACTACTCACTACTCTATTGCCCGTGACAGATATTGCAAATCTATGTGGCACTTTTTCTTGCCAAACCAAAGGCTCCAGGCAGCCATTGTCAATTGATCAAAGATAGCACTCCAGATAATGTTTACTTGTCATACTTACTTCATAAGTATATACAGTAAGTATACTTGCTCTATGCCGTGAATGAACAGTAAGTAGGAAAACATGAAAGAAAAAATGCAGAAGAAATTTTGATCTTCAATGGAAAACTATGCATTGTCTGGAAGACACTATTCCGGGTTGTCCGATTTTAGTCTTTCATTGTCTTTGAGCCATTTTACAACTTTAAAATGCAGGTAATTGATAAAGATACAAATTATGTCCTTTCGGGTAGAGATTTAATAGACTTCCCTTCCCATCCTGTGGGAAAAAAACTATTTCACCCTCATTTGCATGTTTATTTCAGTATTCCTGATCTATAAATCTGCCTGTTTTACAGATTCTCTTTTAGCCAGTTATGACATTTCTCTGGTCCCTCATTGAATGAGTTAAATAAAATCTTTAACAGGTGTTCATTTTTATATTCATATGAGAGTCATTTTACTTTTCAAAAAATTTTAGAATGTTGTAGGGTAAGACAACAAAAGGAGACACATCAAAAAAGTAGGAGCAGTATCTCCTTTAGGGCACACTTTGCTTACTGTAGTATTTTACTTTACAGAAAGATTTCCTGCACTAGTATCAGAGGAATATTCTAGCAGTGCAGAAAGCTCAGGTGAACAGATTCAGGGTTTTTCTTCTTAAAATACATCAACATCTGAGCAGCCATATGGAGAATAATCAAAATAATATTCAAAATCTTTATTTTACTTTGCTCTTTTCTACAAAGTCACTGGCCCAAGTTATCTAAATACTAGTCATATTATATTCACAGACACAACCTAAAAGTAATTTCCCCCAAATAATTTGTATTCTTTTAAGATTTCTGAAAAGTTGACTTATTTCCAGCAGGTTCCTTCCAGCTCAGTTTTCACTATGCAGCTTTGTTAAATTCATTCACAGGATTCTGGAGGCAGACTGAGAACATAGGACTTTCCAACTGGGAAAGTTTATGTATGCCCTCAAATGTTGCACCCCACCCCCAGCTCCCCGCTCAAGTCACCCCACATCCAATTCAAGAGCCTTGTTACTATACCAAGAGAATAACAAAAGCCTGGTTTTGTTTGGTTTTATACCAGTATGGCAGTATGACAAAGAACTCCAGTTTCTATAAACAACAGTAACTAAGCCACAGTTTTACTGAACACTGACCTAGCTGCTTAAGGTAAGAGAGCAAAAGATAGCTCAGTTTTTAAATTAAAACCACAAACAATGTGAGTTCCTCGTTTTCACAAAGCAGGTATCTAATTAAAGCTTTTCAAGACTATTCTACTCCCCCACCCCAAACCTGCTTCCTAGAGTTACTTTTAACTGCAGTTTTCACAGAAAACAGAAAAAAGAGGAAATGATTTGTAAATACACAAAAGACTGAGCTCATCCTCAGTGACTCCCGGGCATACTCCTGGAGAAGGGCTGAGCAATTAAGGTGATTGTGGAGGTCATAATCACTGTAGCTTGCTGTGAAGTTCGTGTGAATATTTGAATATCAATGCATGTAATATATGCAGAATTAATTTTCAGAAGCCAGGCTACATTGTTTACATGGAATTGAAAATCTCACTGCCTAGCTTGTGTGTATGGAGTTCTGAATAGAGAAACAAAAGGAATGGTTAAAACCATGCTTAATGGGGTCCTGAAAACACATTTTCAAAAAGGATCAGACATGATTTTTAAAAGGTAGCAATTTCATTTCTGGGAAAAATGACTTTTTTGCCCTCTGGATCTTCTTCTTATCTCCTTTTTCTGCTACCCATTGTCAATGATGATTTGGTAGTTGCTGAAATTGTTGACCGTTCTTTTAAAAAACTAAACAAAATTTACGTGGTAGCAGGTGCTTTCACATTTTATTAGCTTCCTTTTTTAGATGATAAAATCAACCCCAGAAGAGTAAAATGACTGGTTGGCCTAAGGTCATAAATGACGGGGTTAAGATTTGAACTCATATATCCTAACTTCATTTTGTCAGACAGAACCTTAAAAGTAATTTTGTTGAAACACCTCTGATATTTTCCTTTTAAAGACATTTGTATTTAAATAATCTTATCCATTGTAATTTGGCACCACTCCAAATATGCAGGCAGCTGTGTATGATGCCAAAATTCATCTCAAGTTTATATACTAATCTTCATTTCCATTACTGTCACCCTCAAGACATTATCTCTCATCTAAACTACTGCAAAAGATTGCTAACTAGTCTCCCTTTGTCTACTCTTACCTTTCCTACTTCTTTCTTCTCTCCTTAACATAAATCAGATCATGTAATGATACTGCTAAATTCTTTCAATGATTTCCTATGGCACTGAAATAAAATTCAAATTCCTGACCATGACCTACATGACCTGATTCTTGGCCCAATCTCCAGTGTCATCCTACTTTGTACTACTCTCCCCACAACTAACTATACTGCAGCAACACTGGCCTTCTTTCTACTCAGCAAACACATCAAACCAATTCAGTGTCAGGGCCTTTGCACTTGCTATTTCAGTTTCTTGCCAATTTTTAGCTCAAACGTCACCTCTTCAGGGAAGCCTTCTTCTCTATCAGAGTCTTTTATTTTAGTTTTTTTATAATGCTTACTACTATGAAATTTACTCATTTATTTGTTATTTATTTCTTGTCTTCCTCTTCTAGGAGTCTGTTTTCTCTCTTTCACCACTGTATCTCTTGTTTATGAAAAATTCCATAACTGGGTTGAACATATGAATGTGTGAATGAATAAGGTTGTCAAAGTCCAGTTGACAGCATTACACAGATAGTTATGTGTGTTGGTTGGGGACAAACATCAAGGAGGAGATTTTTGTTCTTAACAAGGAGAGTGGCTTGTCAGGACCCTTTCAGAATTTGTTTATGCAAAAAATTTTCACAAGCAATTCCCTGAATCTCATTCATGACTCCCTACAAGGCCATGGAACACAAATTAGGAACCTCTGTTTTAGTTCTAGTATATGGTACAAGTACATTATCTTGACTTACATGATGCTGAATAATTTAACTTTTGTTTAGTTTGCTTTACTCCTCCTGCTCCATCTCTGCAATCTAAGCTCAAGCCATACTGGATTACTTTCAATTCTAGACTCTTACTAGAAATTCACCTGCCTCTAGACTTTTCTATTCCCCTACCTAGAATCTACTTTTAACTCCCACCCCTGACTTTCACCTAACTCTAATTTTTCAAATCGCTACATAGACCTCATTTTCTCTAGGAAGTCCTTCCTAATTAAGTATGAGTTTAGAGTCCTAAAAAAGGATCTCACAGTCTATTCTGTACTTGTCATATTAAAACACTTCCACAAAGTATTGTGATTGTCAGTTTACATTATTCACACGCACAGATTCTGGGAATATGTCTGTTTTATTCAACCTGGTATCAATAGTGCCTAGTATAATGCCTCACACAGAGAAGGGCCCTTATTAATATTGGGGAATTAAAACAAACTTATCTTCCTGGCCTCCCCTTTATTTTTATAAATGTTGGTATTTCATATCAGGAAGTATATATGAATTTCAATCATATTATACAGGATCTTCAAATTAGAGTTTCCAAATTTAGTCACAAATTTTGTTTCTGATTTTAAGGAGAAATTTTTCAAAGACTAATACAGTTTGTATCAAGGTTTAAATTGTGTCTTTCAAATGTTTTCAAATGGTAAAATAAAGGGTAGTAAAACAAGCAATATTTGTAGTTACAATAAAAACAGAAATTTCTCCAATGTCACATTCATGTTAATACTGAATTTGCCTGTCTGTGGAATGCTTATTGCTATTTAACAAAAACTTGAGAGGCCATGTAAATCACTCAATCAGCTTCTAAATTAAGCCAGTTTAAAGATCTTTCATGGGTAAGTTTAAATAAAACAATAATATAGCATGAATGTATACTGTGGGAAACTAATGAGCCTGATGAATTAACAGTGCGATCAGGAGGCAGAACTAGCAAGCAATTTGGGTAATAATAAATGTTGGTGCTAATCTCTTCAACTTTGCTTCCTCTGTATTTTCATAGTAGAAGGAACACTTACAAACACAAAGACTTTTGATAGTCTACCAAGAAAAGTTCCTAATAATACTTTACTCTTCCAGCACCATTCATCTCCAAAGGGCCTTAAATATATTCCCCTTTTCTCATTTCAGATATACAGGGGGACCCCAACCAAGGAATGGCTCTTTATTCAGAATTCCCAATGAGACCGTTCAAATCCTATGCAAGAGAATCATCATTTTGGAAAAACATGTGTGCCTTCTAAGACAACTCATTTTTTAGTTTATATGAGAACCAGAGATGAAATATGAATATGAGCAAAATAAGCAGAATCACAATTCAGAGAGATATGGCTTGGAAAAACAAAATAAAAGGATGTGTTTACATAAATTATAAGCATTCCAGGGCTAGGATATTATTCTTTCTCCAGTTCTGTCAACCATTTACGTAGTATTGTGTACACTTGTGGCAATACAGAATGAATAATAATAATTAATACAGTATGTTTGTTCTGAATGTCACAGACTTCTTCTCATTGGGTTCCTGCAGTGCAGTTTTTTTTTTAGTTAATTTATAATTGACCATATGTATTTCCCAATCTTCGCCTGTTAGGCATGTTTCTATACAAATCCACTAGTGATTATTTTGGACAAATATCTGCTATATCATTATTAGCAAGGCATGGACTTCAAAGAGTTCAACTTGGATAGTGTTGGAATGCTGGCCAAGAGCTTTAACCTCAAAGGGGTGTGATTTCGGTGATTTCTGGTTTCAGATGGCTCTGAAATGGAGAACAGAAATGGGGAATCGGTAGGGGAGTAAGAATAAAGAAGGGATAGCAAAATCAAGCATGAAGCCATACCAGTACCATTTAAAATACCAAAACATTAAAATTCAAAGCCATCTTTTTTTTCATCCTTCTAAGGTATTTATTTGTTGAAGGAATCAACAAATCAATGTGGAGAGTCCCTATTGAAACAGCTTTCTAACTGGCTTCCTCACAAATCTTCTTCCTTCTCCAATCTACTTTACAGACTTCTGCCAGGACAATCTATAAGTATAGTTCCAGCAATAATTTTTCTTTAATTAAAAAAAAAATCAAACTAACCACTGCCTGTACAATAACTCTTTGGCATGGATCCTAGGGTCCCTTGCAATTCAGCTGTGCTGGACTTTCTTGCCCAATCTCCTTCCACTCACCTCCACACATTCTAAGTGTCCACAATATTAATCCTCCCTACATTCTCTCAAACATCCTCTGTTGAGTTCCCAGGAACATCCCTGACTCGTCTATACTGCAGTGCCTTTTTTTTTTTTTGTTACTTACTCTATAACACTCATCCTCACTTTGTAAACCAAAAAAAAACTTTCTCATCACTCAAGGCACAGATCAAATATCATCTCCTCCATGCTAACTTTCCTTACTCTCCTCTTATTAGATGAACTAATTCCTCCTTATCACTTCTTAGTTTATGTGACAAGCCACTAACCAGTCTCCTTCAATAGACCAAATTCATGGGCAGAGATATCTCTTTCAGCCTTAGGTCAAGCACAGCAGGTGCTCAGTAAATATTTGCTTAATAAAGGTATGAATTACTACAGCTTTAAAACACTAAAATAAAATGTGAAAAGTACATTTTCTTAGCAGGCAATACAATGAAATCCCTAGCAATGCATATCACACCACTGTCCTTAGCATTTGCCTCCAAACAGAATAAAAACAATTATTGATAGAAACAGCCTATAAAGCAGATACTGGCTCAATCCCTCAACACGTTCTATATAGAGGTTACATTCTAGGTTTCATTTAGTTTGTGAAGCCCAGAAAGGGCACCCCCACCCCACCCTAGCAGTAAGCATTAATCACACTGAAAGTGCTAAATCCAGTAACCTCTAAGTGCACTTAAGTCCCACTCAAAGTTAAGGGAAATTATGTGTATACGAGAAGTAGAAGGGGAGGAGAAATAAGAAAGATGCCTTGCTATTTCATGAAAAAGTCAGGAAAAAGACCACAAAGGTTCAATTCCCGAGAAAATTGTCACCCATTTGCTGTCACTTTTTCATCTTCATAGGAATTTATTGGATTAGGAAAGACCTTTGCTACTCCACATTATCCCAAGCTCCCAGTTGCCTTTGCATTAGTTAATGTCTGCACTTCCTGGTTAATTGTGGCAGACTAGCAGCAGGCTGCACACATGTCAGATGTCATGCTCTATCAGATGAAGAGGTTCCTGCCTCAGGCTGTTTATATATGACCTACCAGGATTTCCTGCTGCATGATGAAATAATTAGGAGGCCCTGGCATGCAAGGAATAATGTTGCAAGTAAGTTGTAGCAGCGTTATATTTGAAAACAAAATTGAAACATTTGGCTTATCTGTATCAGAATCTTCCTTAGGTTTACTGTGAACATTCTATTCCTTATTTTTATAAAACTTACATTGGTGTTAATTTTAATGTTCACCGGAGAATACAATGAGTTTAGCAAGGCTTTCTTTAATGCTTGTGCTGTGATTTGAGTCAAGAGTAAACAGGGTAGGGAGAGGTCATTTTTGTTTAATTTTCTAAATAAAGTTTGTCTTTTGACTTTTATAAAAAACCAATTCTACAGACTCAACAAAGTCTGTAGAAATACAGACTTTGTAATTGGTAAAAAAGTTAGTAATATTTTCTAAATCAATTAATCCCTAAGTCTTACTGAACTCTAACTTCTTTCTCACGCAGAAAATAAGTATGCATTCTGTTTATAATAAATGTTTTGTCCATAAGAGTATATTCAAAGACTATAAGCTCTTAGCCACATATGATTCCCAAGGTACCAGGGAATCATCCTGTATACAAACGTGATTCAATATTAATAATAAAAAATCCAATAATTTCATAAATTCTATCAACACAGCTAAATCGGCTGGACAATTTAGATCAAGTTATATTAGTAGGTTTTCCACTACCATGTTATGTATCCCTCTGCCTTAGTTCTTAATACCTGTTCACATTCTTTATTAAACCACTCACCTTCCATAATAAGACTGTAAACTTCCTGAAGGCTGTCATGCATTTTTTGTATCTCCTATTCCTAGTACAGTACTTAGCACATGTAACTACTCAATAAATTTTTGTTAAACTGAATTATATAATATGAAGTGAGGAAGGGAGAACAAGTGCTTAAGGAAAAAGTAATGATGAAGTTGAATTCCTTAATTCTCCTTATCTTTTTCTGTGTTTATGTAATGCAATCTTTCCGTGTAGGTACAGTGTAATCTTTCTCCCCCTTAATCTTTCTACCCACTAATTCCTCACTGCTGCAATTCTTCTAAAAAAGCTAGTGATTCTCAAACCCCTCATCTGAATCATGGGCTTAGTATTATTTGTTTATATATAATTCCTATCATAAATTACTAAAAAAAATTAAAATCCATCCATGTTTTGTTGCTTGAGAATCATACATACAAGAAAGAGATGAGGTACATTCCTGGAAAGCCAAGGAAACACAGTTTCAGAGAAGAAGGGAAGTTTCCTATTATAGTTGTAGGAAAGTTTTAAGAAAAGCAAGATACAAGATATTTAAGAACAGCAAATGGTTTTTTCCCAAGCATCAACCCTGATCCATTAATAATAGCTACCATGTAAAGAGACAGCCTCCAGGTTCTGTGAGAAAGTACAATAATTCATTGGTGGTGTCTGTCTTGGCCTTGGAAGAAGTAACAATGTAAGTACCAACTACCTGCATCCCAGTAGTTCTTGCTAATGACCCAGAAGGCTGCAGTTATTTTAGAGGAAAAGTGGAGAACAAAGAGACGCTCAAGTAAACGAGGATCTCTGAAACACAGCGAAAGTTCAATTAGGCACCATACCCAGGTTTTGGCCTCCCACTACCTTAAGCTGCTTAATAAACATGTATTGACCACCTATAGGAGGCATACAAATAAATATAAAATTTTAATATTATGTGATTAATAACATTAAAGCCTACAAAGAATGTTAAAGGAATTCAAAGTGAAGTGACTAACCTTGGTGGTGATAAGAGTAAGGGATGCCAGGAAAGGTTTCCCAGAGAAAGAGATGGTCTGAACAAGGCTTTAAGTATAGTAGAAATTATCCAGACCAAAAAAATAAAAATAAAAATAAAATAAATAAATAAAAGAAAGGCATTCTGGGCAGCATATACAACAGCATTCAAGGAAATATCCTTAGTTCAGTTGTGCTGTTTAATTGAAGTGCATG
The DNA here is from genome assembly GCF_000001405.40 of Homo sapiens. NCBI lineage: Eukaryota > Metazoa > Chordata > Mammalia > Primates > Hominidae > Homo > Homo sapiens. The sequence continues at coordinate 75,082,102 of NC_000001.11, forward strand.
TGTGGGATAATTAGAGATAAAGTTAGAGAAGTGGAGAACAGCTGGACCTCAAAAAACTTTGTGTGTCAACAGAGTGGAGAATTTTCAGCAGGTCAGTGGTTTTTATCTCTTTCTCACCCTGCATTGACTATACCTTCTCTATCCCTTTTCCCTCAGTGATAAACACATTGTGGTCTCTCCTTTACGACAAAAATTTTCCTTTGATCCTAAAATCTCACTGATTGTATCTTTCCTTCTCTCCCAACCAAGTAGACAAGTTTCTGAAAATAATCATCTAATTTCAGTCTCTACTTCATATTTACCACTAAGCCTACTGTAATATGTTTTCTGTCCCATTGCTCCATCTGACTCCATGAGAAAGCACCCTCAGCAAAGACTCCAATTAACTCTGTTGTCTGTTCTAACAGGCCTGGGTCTTAAGAGGACCGTTAGTGACATCTGACATGACTGATAAGCACTTCTTTGATGCCTTCTTCCTTGGCTTCCAGGACATAGTCTCTTTTGCTTTTCCTCTTACCTCTCTAGCATCCCTGAGTCTTCACTGCAAGCTCTGCCTCCTCTACAAAAATTTTAGATGCTAATATACCCCTCTTTATACATGCTACTCGTTAGTGAATTCCTTTCCATTCTTCAAGATCCAACCAAAATGCCACCGCCAAGGTAAAGCTTGCTCCTGAAGTACTTCATTTACAATTATCCCACCATATTGCACTTATGTGCATGTCAGCCTCTTCCTGTAAATGGTGAGCTCTTCAAAGGCAAAGGCCATGTATCATACAGTATCATTGTATCTACAGTCATGTGCTGACACTTGGTAAATATACTATCTTTCCTTATTGCAGAAAGGAAAGGAGGGTTAGTCAGTGGTACCCTTTGCATGAAATGTTTGGGTCTTAGAGCCCTAAAGGGTAGTAATCCCTCATGTTACAAAAAGAAATTGAGGCTCAGAATGGCAAGGTGATTGACCCAAAACCACAGAGCATACAAAGGGCAAGATTTTGAAATTCCAATTTCCTGCTATTTCATAGCTTGCCTGCTCCATTTTAAGTAAAAGATTCATACAAACTATCAAAATCAGGAAAGAATTTTAACTCAGCAGTTCTGAATTTACAAGTAACTGTATAATAGAGGGAACAAAAACAATTAGTTTGTGCAAATTTAGGTATCTTCTGTTTCTTAGGAGTGTGAAAGAGAAGAAGGATGCTAAAGATGATAAATTTCTAGAAGAAACATTCCTGTGAGTTGCAGAAGCCTTGGTAAAATGTGTTTAATCCAGTCAGGAGATCCTCAGAAATGCAAATTACCCACTTGAAATAAGAAGGCACCTATTGTTCAGCCTTGATTGCCTCTGCAGGCCTACAGGCAAGGAAAAAAATATATATTTGAAGAAGAAAGGAGTCTAAGTAAACTGCACACATAGAAGAAAAATTAAAAATGAAGCCAAACTCCAACAGGGCTTCCATTTACCATCGAAGTGAGAAGAGATTATAGAGAAAAACCATTTGTGATTCTCAATCCTTTTAACTTTGTGTTGATTTTTGTTGTCTCCTATTTTCTTATAGGTGTTGATAAATCTAAATATATATTACAGTAGTTCCCCTTATCCTAGGGAGATATGTTCCAAGACCCCTAGTGCATGTGTGGGGTAATTAGAGTGAACATGTTGGGTAATTAGAGTGTATGTGTGGGGTAATTCAAGTAATTACCTCAGTGGACGCCTGAAACCACAGATAGTAAAAAACCCAACTGCTGTCAATCAGAACATGTTTCTGTTCATGTCTTCCACAAATTTAATGTTTTTTCCATCCTAAGCAGTTATCATGCGCTACAGCCATACATTTTGCAGTTTCATGTGCAACAGCAAAACTAGCATACATTTATTTTTTCTTCTCCACAATTTCACAGATAAAAGATTCATTCTTACCACAGAACTTAGCAACCTCAGCATATAATTTTTGTCCTTACTTTTTTTTTTCTTTTCGTACTCAGTCAAGAACTTTACATTTGCACTTAAAGGAATTGAGTTACTGTTTCTCTTTGACATAACTGAATTGCCACCCACCACTACTCTTGTGCTTTGGGACCATTATTAAGTAAAATAGGGGTTACTTGAACACAAGCACTGTGATACTACAGCAGTTGATCTGATAACCAAGGAGGCTACTAAGTGACTAATAGGTGGGTAATGTCAGACAGCATGGAGACGCTAGACAAAGGGATGGCACAGGGCCTGGGCCGGATGGAACAAGTTGGCAGAAGATTTCATCATGCTACTCAGAATGTCACACAATTTAAAACTTGTGAATTATTTCTGGAATTTTCCATGTAATATTTTTAGATTGTGGTTGACCTTGGGAAACTAGATGTGGAAAGGGAATCCATGGATAAAGGGAGACTACTGCATTATATTTGTCCTGTAGAGCCCTATCTCCCCATCCATAAATGTATACAGGGAGAAAAATTAGAGATGTCTCATTAATATAAAATACTTTATGCCAACAGAATAGACTTATAACAATAGTAAAAATGATAGTTTTCACTCATTTTGACATGTTCTTCATTCAGATTTTTGTTTCTATCTTACTTCTGCAAGTTCTATTCTTTTGCCTTGGAAGAAAATATGCTGATTTTTTTTTACTTTATTCCTAACTCAATTTATCTTTGCAAGAAAAGGCTTAGTGAGCAAAAACATAAGAAAACTTTCAAAGTCTGAGTTTAAAACATAATGAATCCTTCAGAAGAAAATAAACAAGGTGCCTTTTTTTTTTCTAAAATAATTCTCATCTAACCTGTTTACCAGCTGAGAAATAAAGGCCTTATTTAAACTTGAAATTTTTTTCATCTCTTTACCCTATCTCCTTTTCATCTTTATAAACAGAAGAAAATCTAGAATTACTATACTAACAAAGGATACAGCTGAACTACACACAGGTTAAAACATTCTAAATAAAGTAGAGAATAATAAATAATAGAATAGTCAAGGGAGTTAGCATAATAAACACATGAAGAGTAACATGACATCCTACAATGTAAGATGTCTCCCATTTCTAAGTATTTTAAACTTCCTAAATGGAAAGAGAGCTTTAAAGGCATAAGCTAACATTCTATTTGCATCAAAACTAGAGAAATCATATAGTCCACTTCTTAACTAATTCTAAAATCCTCATTAAAAATAATAGTGATAGCAGTAGTAGTGGAGGCGGTCATGATAGTGGTAGTATCAACAATTACCATTCATCATTCACTGCACATATTTGCAATATGTCAATCACTATGCTAACTGCCATACACGCATTATCTCATTTAAACCTCATAACAATCCGTTTGGATAATTATCTCCACTCTACAGATGAATATTCAGGTATATTTCTGGCTACTGGTGAGCTAGCTTCTGTCAGAACATTTTTAATGTTAAAAAATTTATTACTTCCTAAGGCAGCCCTTTCTATTTTAAAATGATTGTGTTAAAAAACTTTTGTTCATATGGACCCCAAATTACCTTCATGAAACCCCCACTCGTTCACCTTAGTTCTATTTTTTAGAAGCAAAACATGTCCAATATTTTTTCCAAGTGACAACCCTTCAGATCTTTGAAGATTGCTATCATGATATCATTTGCTATAACTAACCTGGTTCAGTATCACTGCAGCTAGATCTATCACCAAAGCCAGGCCAACCAATTTACTCCTCATCTGAAAACTCAGTTTTGAGCCAAAATCTGAGAAAAAATTAGCTTCTAGACAGGAGAACTATAGAGAATACTTTATCTCACATCCTTTATCACAGCAAGTTACCCTAACGCTGGCTTTTTTCTAGTTTGTGATTTTTTCCAGTTTATGGTTAACCAGTTATCTGTTTCCTATGACAAATCCCCTGCCTTAATTTTATTCTACTCTGAATCCTTCAGTGATTTCTAATAGGAAATATAAGTCATTAGCAAACTCTACAGGGCAAATAATTTCAGGTTTCACTCTTACACTCTTTAAATAGTATCTTGTTGGTAATGCACATTGTATTTTAAAAGAATTAGAACTGAAAATGCAAATAACCAACACGTATTAGTGATTGCTACAAGCCAGGCACTATTCTAAGCACTTTACTTATATTAACTCTTTCAATCCTGACAATCCTATTAAGATTGGTACTGTTATTATCACCATTTTAATAATGAAGAAACTGAGGCATAGAAGCTGACTAACTTGTCCAAAGCAAGTCCTATGGAACCTGGAATAGAAATCCAGGAAATATGACTTAACGCTTCATCACAACATTATGCTTCCTTCCAGTAAATATTAAAGTCTTCTGGAATCTGAAAATTGTTTCCTATAGTTTGGCATGTTCCGGCAATTTCCAAAGAGCCTTCTAGATCAGCAATGTTTTTCTGGGTCATTCCACTCCTCTTTTGTGAATTAACACATCTTTCTTCTTATAAGAGTGGCCACAATACGGGCTGGGAGCAAGGATACTTTGACTCAGGAATGAGGAATCAGAAATGCAGGTTGACCAACAAGACTCAGTAAGATCCAGATTTTTGTGGGAAGTGGAGGAAGAGGGATGCGACTACTTCAAGTGATATTGAAGATATAGTTTCTTTTATATACTAATGTGGCCACCACTGCCACATTCAGCTATGCTCTGAAATGAAGACCCATTGGTCAATTATATCTATATTTGGTTCAACTTGTGTATCTTTTCAGGACTATGTACTCTCAGTTATAGTCAAAAGACTGGGTCTATTTTGCAAACTCATTGTCCTGAATATGAAAACAGAAAAAGCTAGAGTTTTGTTTGGAATGGAGCTCACATGAGTTCTATAGTCATCTTCCAAGCCAACAGTTAGAGACAGTATAGTTGTTTAACTAAAGACACTTAACCTTCTGGCCTTTTAAAATCTAAACTGAGAGGATACTAGATAAGAAAAAATCTGCCTTTCATAGTCAGCAGTTATGGAAATTAAAGAAAAGAAAAATGACTTTTTACAGGGACTTTTTGTTCATCATAGGTTAAAAAAAGGTAAAAAAATAAGGCTCATTTTTAAGATATCTCACTTTCTGCTCAAGTGCTATTTTGTGTCAAACTCAATTGTCCACACAATGTACATACATAATCTATCTGTTAGAACTCAAAAAAGAATCTTATCTATTTTGACCAACCTAATCATGACTGAATGAATGGTTCCATCATTTCAAGAGAAAATTATAGCGAGCTATCCCACATATAGGCAGTTTTAACATGAACCATTCTCTCAACCTAACTAAGCAGTGGAGATTCTTATTTTAGGATGGAATGAATCTTCCAGATCTTGGCTCTGTCTTTTTTTCTTGGCTGCCTTCTAACTATTTGTAACCTCTTGTTGGTTACTTTATCTCCCTTTACATCTTTTCCTACATTCCCACTCAACCCCAACCTCTAAAATGCAAATCTTTTTTATATGTCAGCCTCCATTTGGCAAGCTGGATTACTGATTCAGGCATTTTTCTGCTGATTTAAACAAATCGCTTATCAGTTATTTTTCTGTCCCTAAATCCCTATGCTATAATAGGGTAATATGAGGAAATGTTCATCTCTTACTATCTTTTCTAAAGTAAAACATGCCTATTTATTGCACAACTATACACACACAGCCCAAGTCCCACAACCTTCTCAACTTTACAATGAGTAATAATTTCTTTTTTCAAACAATACAAATATATCTTCACTTTGGGAAGACAGATGAAGAATTTATCCACATGTATTTCTGATGCAGGTGAAAAGACAACAAAATATACTAAGAATTTAAGAACTTTCTCCATCTTTGTCATGTGACCATTCTGAACTGTCCCAGAAAAAATGGCATTTTCACTAAACACATGTGTGTTTCAGCTCTGGATAAATGTATTCTTATAATATTTTTCATTTGCTATATCATCTTTCCAAATAGTTTCTCACAGTCTATTAGCACCTCTCTACAAATCTTAGCAGCCCACAGCCCACAAAATATTCCCAAGTATCACAGTAGTTGGTTTCATACCCAATGTATACAAGGCTTGTTCTTCAGCACTCCATCTCCTGAAAAACACAGAATAGTACAAATTCTCTGGCCTGTGAGGCAAGAATGAGGTTCACAAAAATTTGTCAAGATAAATTCATCAACTTCTACGGCAGAAAGCACACAACAGTGGAAAGTTTCAATATTCACCTTCTCAGCTTCTCTATTCCCTGGTGTACACAACCTTCTTCAGAAATGGAGCCTGCTCTATTCAGAAGAGAAGTTCTCTCTTATCTATCATTTCACTTTCTGTGGTTTCAGTTACCTGTAGTCAACTGCCATCCAAAAATCTTACAGTATTTTGAGAGAGAGAGAGATAGAAAAAAGGAGATCTTATTCACATAACTTTTGTTACAGCATATTATTATAATTGTTCTATTTTATTATTAGGTATTGTTGTTAATCTCTTACTGTGCCTAATTTCTAAATGAAACCTTATCAGCAGTATGTGCAAGAAAAAAATCATAGTATACATACAGTTCAGTGTTATTGATGGTTTCAGGCATCCACTGGGAGTCTTGGAACATATCCGGAGCAGATAAAGGGAAGACTAATCTAACCTGGAAACAATTTTTGTCTCTTTTTCAAAGAAAAAGGTGCTAGAGATACTAACTGAAAAAGCATCTGCCTTGGCTGCATAATAATCTTCTTGAGACTATGCAGGGCTTCTGCCTATAGCTGTGCAGGTTGCGTTCTGCACAAAAGTACTAAGCCAAGGGAGCAAGTGTGGCTAAAATCTGGGCTTTACATAGTTGGACAAAACCCATACCCTTAGGATGTGACTGCTGAATGGAGGTACCTTTACTAATTTGTGCAAAGGCACTAATGGGTTAGTGGTGACCCTGTAGATAAGGAGCATATCAGCTTTATGATATGGTCCCAGCATTTTGAACAACCCATGACACATAAGAGCCACAAAGTAAGCATTTGAGAGGTGAGGGGAGAGAAAGGAAATAAATAATTCTCCACAAGTAGTATCAATAAATGCAAAACTCAAGCATAGAATCTGAGAGAAGTGCTCCTTTCTTTGGCTGTAGAATGTGCACTGTTAAACCTGCAAAGTCAGAGAAAAAAGAAAAATGAGCATTATGTGTTGTTACTGTTTTTATTCATTTATTTTTAAAAATCATGACAAACATAAATTAAACTACAACCTAACTTTTAATCATCCTGACCCCCTAACAATCTAGCCAAATGTTTTTGATGCCAGGAGTATATCATAATTTTATTAAAAATAAAGAACATTTTGATGGGCAAAATATTTTGTAAACTTGCAATGCATTTCATCAAGGTACAACTGTGTACTTTCTACTTGTAACCCAATATTAAAAGAAGTAGCATGATTTTTAAGTTACGAGGGAAACAAAACTTCTGTAAGCCTATACTCAACTGTATTAGTTACCTGTGGCTGCTATAACAAATTATCACAAACTTGATGGCTTAAAACAACAGAAATTTATTCTCTTAGAGTTCTGGAGGTCAGGAGTCCAATATCAAGGTGTCAGAGGATCACACTGTCTCCAGAAGCTCTTGAAAGAATCCATTCCTTGCCTCCTCCAGCTTCTGGTGGCCGTTGGCCTTCCTCGACTTGTGGCCATATCTCTATCTGCTCTGCCTTTACATGGTCTTGTCTTCAGTGCATCTTCTCTTCCACATGTCTAATTTCCCTCTGTCTCACCCTTATAATAATATGTGATTACATTTAGGGCCCACCAAACAATTCTGGATAAATTCCTTCTCTCAAGATCTTGAATGTAATTGCATCTTTGGCTCTATTATGTAATATTCCCAGGCTCTTGGGATTAGGAAGTAAATATATCTTTTGAGGTGCCCTTTTTTGCCTGCTACACCCACATATTGTATTTTACTGTTATTATATTATCCGAATAAATATTCATATTGTTCTCATTTTTCATGGTTCTGTAAATAGATTACAATACTTTTAGGAACTCTCTTGAAACTGGAAAGATTCCTTACTTAAGACACCAGAATTTTTTATTCTAAATCTAAGTCCAAATTCAATGACAACTCTTAAGGAACATGTTTCACCTTTATATGGTGAACCTCCTATAAACATTCTGAACTAATTTTGTGCAATTCTGAAATATTTTCTTTAGATACCATAAACTGCTTTGTTACATAGTTGTAGTTGAACTGATAGTGCCAAATTACTAGACAAATAAAATATTTGACAAGTCAGCCCTTTCTCCTTTGTCAAATTTGGCTTGTATCTCAGAGAAATATAATAAGCTGAAGCAATTGGTACTTTGCAAATTGCCAAAATTATGTGCCTAAATTAGAATTTCATCAAATAATGGTGACGTGAACATCAGCTTACTATATTGACAACTATAGTGTAATGCTTTTAAATGTTTAGAATAAATTTCAATGAGAGATTATGGATAAAAAGAAGTGCTAGCTGTCCACACAGATTTAAAGAGGGCTAATAATATCATAGCTATATCTTTATGCCCAGGGAAGTTATTGTTTTTTGTTGTTTTCAGTGTACCCAGAATTGAATAAGCTCCTGAAGACTGATTTAGGCTAGCTAAACTCATCAGAGTTCTGATTCATAAAGCAACATGTTCATTTACAATGAGGAATATGGTTTTCTTCAGTGATCACGGGAATGGGTCTGTCTGTTATTCAGGGAATCCCTTTCTTCAGATCAAAATGCTCAGAGGGCTGATTTATTTATCAGAAAGTAGCATTGTTAGCAAGGAATCTAAGCAAATTGAGTTTGAAATAGTAATTTATATGAGCCATGCACAACCTCACACACATATTAAGTTTCCACACATGGTTAATATCATCTAAAACCTGATGATTCTTACTTGCCTTACATTTAGAAAGTAGTCTTACTTTCAATTTTTAGGGACTCCTCACTTTGCACCAATGTACAGTCTATAACATGGTTAATTGGGTTGCAATCAAATAATCGAATTGGGGTTTTCTAATGCCAGTATTTTGGCAGCTTTAATAATATATCTTGAGTGACTGGAGCAAGTGAGTAGATACTACTTAGAATTGACATGATAGCTAAGATCACCCCAGCTAATTACAATAAATAGCTTTAATGTAAAGTAAATCCTTCACCTTTGACAATGATTCTGTCAATTACTGCAAGCTTAATATTTTTTTTTAAAGGCTGAATCTATACTTCAAACAAACAGGTTTAGTCAATCTCAGAAAGTGTATAAATGATGCAGTAAGGAGTCCTCATCCTGAGCCAGATCTAAATCCAATGATTACCAAATGAAAAAAAAAAAAAAAAAAAAAGGAAGGATTTTGGTTTATTTTCTCTGTTTATTCAAAAAAAATTACAAAATCCTATTGTTGACTATTATAAGAATAAGCAGGCTATCCTTATCTTGTGGTCTTTTCTCAGTTCACACAATTATTTTTGCTTCTTTTCCCTGGATGTAATATGCTTTTCCTTTACATGGTTTTAAAAATGCCTTTAGGGCATTAGGGTGGTGCTAGTTCAATAAAAGGCAGTCATTGTCTAATGATACAGGACTGATTCACTAACTGTTTGCAAAATATTTTGAAATATTGGCATTAACTTTAAAAACTACAAAGTATTATTTCCCAGTGGTAATCATAACTTTGAAACGCTAAGAAAGGAACAAATCCAGCGTCTAGCAAAAAGACTTGCATGCTGAGTTGAACCATACTCATTCATACATTCACTCATTCATTCAACGAATATTTATAGGGTGCTAGGATTTTGCCAGGTACTAAGAATACAATGCTGAGAAAAAAAAATACATAGCCCCTGTCTTCATGGAGTTTACAGTCTAGTAGTAAATTCAAATTCCATCAGATCAATGTATATTTCCTAGTCATGTTCTGAGAATGCTTTTGATTCAGGATTTTTGCTCTTCAGTTCAGCTAAGTCCAGGTTCTTTTCTTACGACCAGGAAAAAATTAGGCACGCAGACACGTGGAAGGATGAGGAGGGCAGAATTTATTAAGCAAAAGGAAAGTTCTCAGCAAACAGAGGGGTCCTGCATGCAGACTTCCACCTCACAAATTGAACACCAGGTCCAGCACACCTGAGCTGAAGAGGCCAGGCTCCTCCCTTGCATAAGGCAAGAAATCCTGCTGGCTCCACCCCATTCCCCCAGTGTGTAAGTGGGCATGCCCAGGCAAGCCATAGGTAGTATCAGAAAAGGCAACATTCTATTGGTTAAAAGGCATTATTCAGAAAGAATCAATCAGGAAAGACTGGGCAGCAGAAGTTCTCCCTCTGGGTTTCAGGTTTCATCCTGGACCAGCAATCCGGTCTTTCAGCCTTCAGGCTGTTTTAGGCTTGAAGATGAGGTTTCACTGTGGGGCGGCGGGGGGGTGGGGGCATTCCCTATCTGCCTAGGCCTTTGTCTGTCTCCTGCCTATATAATTTTTACATTAGGACAATGAGGCAAATTGAAGTCGTAGATGGTAACAGTGACAGTACTGTCTACTTCTTGTAGACAGTAACAGTGAATACTGTGAATAGCCTAGATCTTGGTATACATGATATAAAGAAGACAAAATGAAAGTAGATATTTGAAGGACTGTTAGGTAGAAGCAGGAGTAGATTATTTGTTACTCTAAAAGCAGAAAGACATGGATTACAAAATGTTACATTTTGACTTAAAATTTTTTAAAACTGTAAAAAACTAGAATCACTCAACATCAGAGATATCCAAGAACAAAATAAGTATCAATCACAAATACTACAGAACAAATTACTATATTGCATGGAAGACTGTCTTGCTGATTGCCAATGTGTCTTCTGTTTATAATTTTAATATGCTAGGATCCCATGAATCTGTTTAGTTTATTTTTTTGTTTTGTTTTTTGTTTTTTTTTTAATAAATCAGCAAAAGAAAACAGTTACTAAGAAAAATAACCTTTTTGGTAATATCTGCAGTTTCCAGATAGATTATTTAGGTTATAAACCTACTCTCATTTATCTGAAAGTATCTTAACTCTACTTCACTTTGTGTAGGTTCATACAATGTGCATTAACTTAGTCTTAACATTTTTAATAGTTTCAAATTGCTTTTGAGGTTGTGTTTTCTGCATAAATTAACCTTGAACACAAAATTTTCACTCAAGGGTAGATAACTTTTCTTAGCATACCATTACATGAACAAACTAAAGTCCAATTTAATCTATTTTCTTCATTTATAATTGACCTATTCTTCACCATCTATGATTTTTTAGTAACAAATATATTTCTGAAAATTCTGAAAAGAATGTATAAACCTCATTTTCACAGCTACATCATCCTTATGTCTCAAATCCTAAGGTTATATTTCAGGGACACTACTTTCATGCTATGGAATTTTTGGTTCAATATCTTGTCAGATTCCATTATTTTCAATATATTTCTCATGGTCATTTCTGTTGTTCTACATTTTCAACAAAGGTGACATATCACTAAATAGGGCTGACCCAGGTGATCAACATGAAGTTTCAGTAATGACAATATGTAACTTTTAAGTCTAGGTCATAAAAGGCATTGCAGTTTCTACCTTGAGTTATTGGATCACTTGCTCTGGGGAAAGCCAGACAAGCAGGTCATAAGAACATTCAGTCATCTCTTTGGAGAGCCCTAGGATGTGAGGAACCAAGGCCTCTCACCAATAACATGACTAGCATAGACTAACTTGCCAGTCTCTTGTAAGAAGTGAATATGCCAGCCACAGTCAAGCCTTCAAATGACTACAGCCCAACCAACATCTTGACTACAAACTCATGATAGAGCCTGAGGCAGAACCACCAAGTTAAGCCACTCCTGAATTCTTGTCTGAGAGAAACTCTGAAAGATAATAAATGTTTATTGTTGTTTTAAGCAAATAAGTTTTGGTGGGATCTGTTTCACATCAAAAGATAACTAATATACAGCATATTTCTAACCTCACATATATTTATGCTATCATTACTTATAGAGGGAAACATATATTGCTCACTTTTTAAAGTCTATTGTATAGTGTTTTTGTTTTGGTAGTTGATTTTATTTTTTGTCTTTTTATTAATAAAATCTAAATATTTTTGAAGATCAATTACATGAGAAAATGTTCATGTTAGTGTTTAATGAAAAAAGCAAGTTACAAACTCTCTACAAAATATGAATTATTCCAAAAGGTTAATTTACATCTATGCATAATGAAACAGTTAATTACTCCCACATAACAAACTATGCCCAAATTCAGTGCTTAAAACAACACAACCATTTATTTGCTAACAGTTATGCAATATGGACTGCATTGAGTTGGGCAGCTTATCACAAGCTGACTTCAAATTCACAAGTGAGCCCCATTAATACCACATGGTAAGCTGCCCATGTGGTATTAATGGGGCTCACTTGTGAATTTGAAGTCAGCTTGTGGCTTGACTGGAACTGAAGAATCCAAGATGGTTTCATCCTGTGTCAAGTTCCTAGGCTGGTACATCTGGAATGGATGGGATTTAGCAGTCTCTCTCTCTCTCCTTGTAGTCTTTCTGCAACAAGGCCTACCTTTCTACAAGACGTCATTCTCAAATAAATTACCTCAGGCTTCTTTATATCATAACACAGGACAAAGAAAAAGCTGCAGGCTGCCTAAAGACTAGATCTAGAACTTGTACAATTCTACTTTCACCACATTTCATTAGAAAGCAAATCAGATTCACTGTGAGAGAGGCCTACTCAAGGACATGAATTCTGATAGGTATGGTTCATTGAGAACCATTCCATAACAAATTAACACACACAATGTCTGTATTTTCCAAACATTCTAAAATAAAAATGCATTGCTTGTGATTTCAATAAAACAATAATTTTAAAAATCTGATGACCATAAAGTCAATATTTTGGAAGACAGTCATTGTCACTGCTGAGGCTAGTTTTGAGGAAAATAAATCTCTGATTGCTACGGCCTCATCTGGGAACAGAGAGTTCTTTGGGTCGATGCATACTGCTTAGTTAGAGCTCTTATACCAAATTCATGTTTAATAAGTGTGTGTGATGCCAATTTTAATAATTTCTAGGGATGGAAAGCGTCAATCCAATCACTATTCTCTGTACCTTGTTTTGTCTGCAATATTTCTGGATAGATAAAAGCACAGGGGTTAGGGTAGAAAAGCTTGGGGATAATTCATATTGCTATATTTCTCAAAAGAATCATGAATAGGTCATCAGGGACAATAAGAATGTTTAAATCAATTAACTTTTATTTAAAAATGTATTACATTCAAAACCCAATCTTGGGTACCATGTGGAATGCAAAGCAATGAAAGACAAATCTTTGACTCTACTGAACATTTAAAAAGTCAATAATCAGAAAGATCTAATATGAATCTTAAAAGATTGTCCCAAAATAGCTTTGTAAAATATTTTGTTGATATAAAAATTACAAATGTAACAACCAAACTTAGCAACTACTTTTCTTTCTCAAGTGATGGAACTAATTGGACCTATGACAAAAGACCTTGCCAACAGGAAAGATGCTGGCCCCACAGTTTGTAGTGGTTACAATAATGGTACCAACCCTTGGAATAGTGGATGGAATCTTGAGCTGCCTCTGGTGATTAATATTAAGTGTCAACTGGATTGGATTAAGAGTGCAAAGTATTGTTTCTGAGTGTGTCTGTGAAGGTGTTGCAAGAGAAGATTAACATTTGAGTCAGTGGACTGGGAGAGGAAGATCCACCCTCAATGTGGGTGGGCATCATGCAATCGGCTGCCAGTGCAGCTAGAAAAAGGAGGCGAAAGAAGGTGGAATAAGCTGGTTTGCTGAGTTTTCCGGCTTTCATCTTTCTCCTGTGCTGGTTGCTTCCTGCCCTTGAACTTCAGACTCTGGGTTCTTCAGCCTTTGGATTCTTGGACTTAACAATAGTGTTAGCCAGGGACTCTCACCTTCAGCCACAGACTGAAGGCTGCACTGTTGGCTTCCCTACTTTTGAGGCTTTGGGACTGGGACTGAGCCACTACTGGCATCTTGTTCCTCAACTTGCAGAAGGCCTATTGTAGGACTTCACTGTGATCACGTGAGTCAATTCTCCTTAATAAACTCCCTTTCATATATGCATACATTCTATTCGTTCTGTCCCTTTGGAGAACCCTAACTAATACGCTGCCCTTTCTTCTTTTCCTTTTCTAGCAGACTTTTGCCTGTCCTGTGGCCCAGAAACAGCAGTTCTGAGCTACAAATCTGGTTTCAGTAGGATAGTAGCCCAGAAAGCCAGTACGGTAAGCTTGAGTACACCAACCTCCAGCTTCAAGTCTGTTCATTTACCCCAAGCCATGCACCAACCTATCTCAAGATGACTGAAGTCAACATAGCATGATCAAGAAACAAGCCTAAAACTACATGTCAGAAGTAAAGCATAAGGAGCTGATACTTTTTAATTATGAAATATCAAAAATTAAAATGCTTAATTATTAGAAATGATGTTATAATTATAAGATCATTAGAAATGACGTTATAGTAACAATAGTGGCCACCATTCATTGAATTCCTACATCTGTTTTTTATCATTCTAGCCACTATAACTACATTATCAATAATAATTCTATGAGGAAGATATTATTACAAACCCTCTCCCCTTTATACCTAAAGAAACTATTTAAGTAACTCACCCAAGGTCATAGAGTTTGGATTCCAGCCCAGGTCTCTCTGATGCCAAATCAGTATTCTTTTTACTTACAATCTATAGTACTCTCTTACTCAAATTTAAATAAATGATTCTCTCAGAAAGTAACAAATTTGATACAAACTACCATTGATTTTAGACATATAAATAAATCTGATGTTCAAAACTATTTTATTGGTTTCTTGGGCATATATATAAGTTGTTTCATCATCCTTAGAAGTTTTCTACATTTGAGAAACTAACAACATAAGTTATTGAAGTGTGCTATTTCTTGGGTCATCCTCAATATTGTACATTTTATAATAACAGCTCCCATAAGACAAAAGCATTCAATAGAAATTTATGAAATGAATGCACAAATTCTATCTTTAGCTTTTTAGTAAGCAGTGTCAACTTAGAGTGCTCCACAAATATTAGTGATTATTATAATTACCTCAATTAAAAAGTACCAAAAGAACTAATGAGGTTTGGTGAACTCCTAAAGGATTTTCTACATGTCTAAAATTTTTGAGCCTTAATTTCAAGTCTCTTATAAATATTTTTGAATTGATATTGCAGAGATTTATCTATAGACTTTTTATCTTTATTCAGAATCTATTAAAATTATAGAACTCAAATATATTTGACTTCCAAGGATACTTGAAATTCTTAGCCCAAAATAGTTTTATATTGGATTGAAATGATGTCTTTAAAAAATATATATTTATATTACAGATTTACATATTTTATTGACTAAGTGAGGAATACTGAATTCATGAGACAAACCTGGTAGAAAGTATATTTAAAGCTACTAAAATAGCTATGAAGGAGTAACTACATGAGTGGATTTCCAGGTCATAGAATCAGTTCAACTAAAATGTTACAGGAAATCTATTTCTAGCTGTCCAATTAATTAAATAGATTTAAAGACTAATACTTGATATGCCAAGGGCAGAACAAAAGCCTAGCCTAGAGGGATTGGATCCTCTTCTTTTTCTAGCCCCCTTTATTTCTAGGAGTCCATTACACCTAGATTTTGTTTGCATTTGTCTCAGTTTGCTTCATTCTGTACATTTCCAAGTCTTTTCTTGATAATAATTTTATTCCCCTGTCTGCCTTCTCCTGGCAACAGCTGACCTGGCTGCAAGCCCAAAACCTGGTAAATGACAAATCACTACCAGATGAAGCTGCAAGTTTTACATAGAGTATTTCCTTCAGGCTCAGAAACTTTGAGGCCCAATAAAATTACTGGAGTGATTCAGAATCACGGGGAGATCTATTTTTTGTGAAAATTTGTTAGGTTCTGCTAAATGATACAGCAGTAATAAAGAGTCTCATTAAAAATTTTCAAAATCAGAAAATAGAAAATAAGTTGCCAAGGGCCAGGAGAAATTATAATGGTGACTGGGAAAAAAGTTATTAAGCAAATGATTACATGACAAATTCTCTGCTTTTAAATTATTTTCCTAAGTTTTTTTAATTTAAAAATGTATTATAAAAAAGTATACATAATTTTTTATTGAAACATTAGAAACCAGACACTTCAAAGAATAAAATCACACACTCTCACCATTAAAATATTTGACTATATCCTTTTTTAAAAAGTTCTGTTACTTTTTTATTTAAATATTAAATATAGTATCGATATATAACATTCTAACGAACAAATAATAAAACTTTACTTTTAAAAACTTTATTATTATTTGGGTTTAAAGATGGGTTTTTAAGAGTATATGTACAATAATTTTTCTAGGATCTAATGCAAGCTTGTCCAACCCACAGCCTGTGGGCCGCATGCAGCCCAGGACGACTTTGAATGCGGCCCAACACAAATTTGTAAATTTTCTTAAAACACTTTTTATGAAATATTTTTGAAATTTTTTTTTTTAGCATATCAGCTATCATTAGTGTTAGTGTATTTTGTGCAGCCCAAGACAATTCCCTTTCCAATGTGGCCCAAGGAAGCCAAAAGATTGGACACCCCTGAATGAATAAAAAAACAGAAATAAAAAATTTAGTTCTATAACTAACAATAAAAACAAAACTACTTATGGGAATCACAAATAAAAGTCTCTTAATAGGCCTTTCTAATATTTTTAGAAATATTATAAAGAGGTGGAATTTTTCACCTCTTAGAGTCTTAAGAATCTACCTTCCTTAGTCCTCAGCGATAAATATCAGATTTTTTAAAATCTTACTTTATCCCACATGCCATATAACTTGTTCTGAAAAACAGTTGGAAAACTATTTCCTAAATATATGTGGTATTATTTGGGGGCAATGCTGATGACATTTAGAATGGTTATATACACAAGTAGAAAACGTACAGGGTCTACGAAATTAAAACTGAACATCTGTAAAATGCTTTGTAAAAGAATGTAAAAAGGTTATAAATCAATTTGTGGGTGTTTAAAGCAACGCATATTTGCCCTGCACTTTGCAGATTTGATTTATTCTCAGCTTAATGATGTTTACATAGGTTAAGCCTTCAGCAAAGTTCAAGGAGCCAAATTTCTCCATAATTCCCTCCCACCAAGGTATCCTCATTAAATTTTGGTATAATGGCAAGATCTTGCAATCAGAAGACCTAGGTTTTTATCCTTCGCCCCTTACTAACTATGCAAAGTTAAGAATCTTACTAAATATAATCCTCCATTTCCATATCTTTAAGAACGAAAATTTGGTAATGGCTATTTGATGGTCACTCTTTAAGCATTACTTTTAGGATCAAAATCAAAGAGATATTATATACAGGTAAAATTCCTTTTTAAACAGTAGTGCACTCCATAAGACAAGAAAATGTTATTCTTAAAACTGTCTTCTCTGGTCTGGCAATATTTATGCTGCACCTTCTCTTTCATCTTCACTCCCCCTTTGAAATGAACTAATACAAAAATTAGCCTCCTAAATCTTAGAGCTAATTCAATTATGTGATTATAAGAGACCTAGAGCACTACCTAAGAAATATTACTGCATTTCTTGGGGCAAAGATCCCAGTTCCCACAATGTTAGCTAACTTATTAGTAAATTTCCCCATGGGAATTAAGACCTTGGCAGACAAACAGTAAACTTCTGCTTACAAAAGGTTTTTGCAAACTGACCACTTTCACATTTTTCCTGAAACATCAATTTAGACAAAGCAGATGTGAATTTGAAGTGAATAAACCTTTTTACTACAGCAAGAAGAATGGGAGTTATTGACATTAAAAAGGGAGGCGGAGATATGTAAAATTGAACTCGAAAGTTTATCCTTTTATTCGTAAAAGAAAAAAATATAGAATTACTATAAAGTAACTCCCACCCCCCTACTCCTTCCCTTCCTCCCTAAAAGAGTACGCTTTGGCTGTGGGACTGACTGCTGGATGTTGTAGTGTTTTTTGTTTCTTTGTTTGTGTTGTACGTAAAAGTCTGAAGGAATTTCAGAGTCTATTAAAGTTATCACTTCTTTAACATTACACTTAAGACGAATAAGCCAAGGACTATCTTAAAGACAGAAATATCAAACCCTTATCCCCAATCTACTCTATCCATTAGAGAAAATAGGGTACATTGAGGGGGATGAACATTTTTCTTAAAGGGACAAATACTCATTCTTTTGAAACTCTTCCCAACGTAGTGTCAAAAAAATTAACTACATTGCTTTATGACGGTAACATAAAAAGAATAAAATTAAAACAATGCACGCTTTTAAAATTAGTTAAGAAAATGGCTGGGGCACCATTTTTTTCTGTCACTATTAATTATTACCCATTTTAAACTGCAAATTTGCAGTGTAATGTTCTGTTGCTCAGAAAAACAAACAAAAAATTTCTATCCCCTGACTGAGATAAACTCCCTTCATGTGGACTTTTCCGATTTGCAAAGTCGTCTTCCCAGCTTCCCTCTGTCTTTCTCCCTGGCCTGGAGCCACTCCCTGGGTAAGGGCCACCCAAGGCTGACACTGAATGAATTCCAGGCAAATTCCATAGCCAGTCGGACTTTTTTCCTCTTGTACAGAGTAGTACAGTAAATGGTTATAATAATTAAAGCAGCATCGTTGAGCTCTGAGTGCTTAAGGTTGATGACCCCCAAAAATGAAATTTCAGTGAGCTGAAGATGGAAGTAAAAGAAACTTCAAAGGATCGTGTCTAGACGACACCTTCCTGTCTCAGAGAATTGCTTGCAACGTCCACTTCGATGCAGACAAGCGAGAAGGAAAGCCTGTCAAAGTTCATTGACCATAGGTAATGATACAGGGTAATTTCTTCTGATAATGTCACCCAAAAAGGAAATTCTACAGACCAAACCGATTAAGACCTCAAGGGAAATATATGAACAAAATTGTTTTTTGTTTTTTGCTTTTGTTGGGGGGTTGTCGGGAGGAGAGTATAGTTCTGGATGGGATTTTTAAATTGATTAGGACCTTTTTTTGTAGAGGGAGAGAAAATGAAACTAAATTTTTTAAAAATACTGTGATACGTAAAAGATATGTCTTTTACAAGTTTCCATTATATATTTATGAACTCTTATATCCTTGGTTCCTTACAATCAAAAACCATGTGCCTTACCGAGAGGAACACAGCTATTTCTTTGAAAAGAAAGAAGTTGATTTGGCAACTCTAATAGTTTATATCTTACTATATGTTTCTGAAATGAGACAGAAATACATGGTTTGTGATTAGCTGAATTGATTTTATGTGAATATATATTTAGTATGAACACGTTTATAGCATACATTTATTCATGTATAAACAGTGTGACTAAAGAATAAATAGAAATTTTAGTAATTTCAAGCTGTCTTATGTGAGATATCTAGTGTTTATTATTATATTATGTTTATATTTTTATCTAAAGTGAATTTTTTAATGAAGACATAATTTTGTGTTTTAAATTATTTTATTTTCTCCATTTGTCCAAATTGCCTTTAAATTGCCTCTTAAAAAGTGTGAGTGTTTTAGCTCTTTATAATGACCACCGAGTCAGTGGGCTGATTTATCTTGAAGTACATGTGTATATTAACGAAGTGTACTTCACATTCCAAGATAATACATCTGGTGATTTATAGCCATATGAATGTGAACAGGCTGTGAAAGGCTGATCTTGCCAGCCATCCCTGGCAGGCTATATGGATGAAAATAACTCTTTGATCCTATAGCTAGCTACAAACTAGGGTAGCTAGTCAGGTGGGTCTATCTCCCTGTTTATCAGAGTGGGTCCTATATTATCCTGCATTATTTGAAAATAGGCTTTGCTGTACCCCTTTTCTCACTTAGTTTGACACCTCAGTAGGCACCCTCACTGATACTTCCATATCTCACTCTGGGATAGTGAAACACTCACTCTCTACAACTTCTATGAGATTGCAACCTTCTTCCAATGTAGTTTTCTGTAAAATAAGACTCATATGTGATAGTCATGACTATTTTTAAAAGTTGTCCATGATATTCTGGAACTTTGATTTGGTGAGAAGCATAAAACCATATCAACAGCCACATTTACCAACCCTAATTTGGTTTCCTGTTTTTCTTTAAATATGCTATTGAACAGTATGACTCAGGTATCAAAATTCTAATAACCATTAGTTATTTATTACTAATGAAATTACATGCTTCTACAGTAAAATTGCTGTAATTTAGGCTAAGAGAAAAGAGTAATTACAAACTAGGAAAAGTCTCATTTGAAACTTAAAAGCTGTTATCACTGTTATTACTTTTCAGATTATTACTTAAATTACAAGTAATATATATTCTATATTATTATTTAAGTCATACTTTTAGGACTAATACATTTTGCCTGGGAGACATCTTTAGAAAACTTGCTTATTTAAAATTTCAACACTTATGTTTTTCTGATTATGAAAGTAATTAGGGATGCATTACAAAAAAATGTGAAATGCAAAAACATTTAAAGAAGAAAATAAAAATCACTGATCACCAACATTTTGACACATTTCATTCTATTCTTGTTTTCCATATATTATTTTGCATATAGTTGAGATCATACTTTACATGACTTTTTTTTAATTATACTTTTTTAGGGTTCATGTGCACAACATGCAGGTTTGTTACATATGTATACATGGGCCATGTTGGTGTGCTGCACCCATTAACTCGTCATTTAACATTAGGTATATCTCCTAATGCTATCTCTCCCCCATCCCGACTTGTTTTTAATTATATCATAATCATCTCACTCTTCAGAAAAATTATTTTAATAACTATATAATACTCTATCCTAGAAACATATCTTAATCATGTACCTAATATGAATATCTTGCTTGCTACAAATAACTTGCTATTAATGACAACAAAAAAAGCTGTATATACTCCTTCTGCACAAAATTAGAGGCAACCAGCACAAACTTTTTTAAAGCTCCCTCCTTTCATATTTAAAAATAAACTAATGCTCTGCAGTTAGTAGTAGTGAACAAAAAGCAGCAGAGAAGAAAATACCCATGACTTTCTTCTTGTGCAACTATATTCTGTCGCATTTCCTTCCAGTCTTTTTTCTTTCATTTTAACACATTTGAAATTATTTTGCATATAGAATTTTGTATCCAGCTTTTCTTGCCTAACATATCTGAAGCACTTTCATGACATTAAAATTATTTATAGTATTTATTGTTGTTTTAGTGACTTATTAATAACTACATTAGGTTTCATCACTTGAGTAAAGTATAATTTACCCAACCACATCTCTAGGCATTTAGACAGTTTACAATTTTTTCTTATTATAAATAGGGCTGTGCCAAATCTCTTTGAGTGTAAATCTTTATGAGCATTTTATATTATTTTCTTTGCATATATTTCTTAAAAAGGGAATACAGCATTATAAACCTCTTAAAGGTTTTTTTGCTATATTGTTTTAAGCTATATCAGTTTTTACTCCCAGCAAGAATGTAAATTACTTTCACCGACACCAGCATTATCTTTTAGGCTTTGCTAATCTGATTTGTGAAAAAGGTAATTTAATTACTCTACTATTTGCATTTTACCAGATACAATGAGGTTAATTTTTTAATATATATTTCGTAGCCATTTGTAATTCTTCTTTTATAGAATGGTCATACCTTTTGTCCATTTATCTATGGGACTTACTGCTTAATGACTTGTATGAACACTTTATACAACAAGGTTATCAATTCTTGGTCACATTTGTTGCAAATGTATTACACCTTAGAACATTTATTGTTTAAATAATACACAAGACCATACTTTGTAAAATATACAAGATATGTTATTTAACATAATCATAGTTTATACAGAAATGCTACCTCAAAAAAGTCCCTGAGGCTGGGCATGGTAGCTCACGTCTGTAATAATCCCAAAACTTTGGGAGACTGGGGTGGGCAGATGACTTGAGCCCAGGTGTTTGAGACCAGCCTGCACTACATGGCAAAACACTGTCTCTACAGACAATACAAAAAAATTAGCCAGGCATGATGGCATGCACCTGTAGTCTGAGCTACTCGAAGGCTGAAGTGAGAGGATTGCTTGAGCCTGGGAGGTTGAGGCTGCAGTGAACCCTGATTGTGCCACTGCACTCCAGGCTGGGAAACAGAGTGAGATCCTGTCTTGAAAATAAATAAATAAATAAATAAATAAATAAAAGATAAAAGATAAAAAGTCCCTGAAATATTCTGAATGTTACTAAAATAATATTGCATAAATTATTCATGAGTATTCTCTCTAAAGAAAGGAAGACTCCATTTATATGATCACCAACTCTAAATTAGCAGAGTTTGAATTAATAAAGATTCTCTGAAGGTAGATTAGACACATTACCTCTCTGTCACTTTAAAGACTAGAGATGATTATAAAATGATAATGACAATTCACATTTTTTTGTTTTGTTTTCACATAGGAAATCATGTGCACATGCAGAGATCTTCCAGATTCAGACACTGCTGTAGGAATTTGTTTTTGCAGCCTATTGAGTATAAAAACATTTCCAGAAGATAAGAAACAATCAACTTCAGGTCCCCTATGACATCATTAATTATGAACGAGTACAATAAGCAAACTAGTGATAATATAATGAACATATTTTTTAAAGTGGAAAAAATTAAACCAATATGGCAAAAACTCTTCCTTTCATTACATTAATAATAGAAAATAGATTTCATAAAAAATACTATTTCATTTTAATTCACTCAAAATGATAAAAGGGGCTTGGTGCGGTGGCTCACGCCTGTAATCCCAGCACTTTGGACGCCTGAGGCAGGCAGATAGCTTAAGCCCAGGAGCTGGAGACCAGCACTGGCAACAAAGTGAGACCCCCATCTGTTTTAAAAATTAGCCCAGCATAGCAGCATGCACCTGCAGTCCCAGCTACTGGAAGGATGGGGGCGTGGCTGAGGCTGAGTTGGGAGGATCATTTGAGCCCCAGAATCAGAAGTTGCAGTGAGCTGATATTGCATCACTGCACTCCGTCCTGGGCAACAGAGCGAGACTCTGCCTCGAGATATATATATATATATATATATATATACACACATATATATACATATGTATATATATGTATATATATGTGTATATATATATATGTATATATGTATTTATCGTGATTAAACAAAACTCAAATGACAAATTGTCTTTCTAGCTCCACAAAGCCTTTTAAATACTTAATTGTGTTATATAGCTTTAAATTATTTTGTAAGTTATAAAAAGCTAATACAATTATCATTCATGCCTTTATATTTTGATGCTTTGAGGGGTTAACAAATTCTGAGTAAAAACATTCATTTAAGAAATCCAGGCTAGTTATGGTGGCTCACGCCTGTAATCTCAGCACTTTGGGAGTCCAAGGCTGGAGGATCACTTGAGTCCAGGAGTTGGAGATGAGCCTGGGCAACAGAGTAAGACCTCATCTCCACAAAAAAATAAACAAAATTAGTTGTTTTCTTCCTTTTAAAAATGTACGTTTTTTTCTACAGGATCCAACAAAGTGAAGAAACAATCTTTTATCATTTAAAAATGTAACCCATCCTGCATGTGAGATTTTGGGTGGTTTTTGTTTGTATGTTTAATATTTTAACTTTTAGTAAGTATATATACCATATTTATAGTTAGAACAAATGACACAGAATGATTTTTAATTGGCCCCAAAACATTTTTCTAGTTTGTCTTCATGGCAAAAAAAAAAAAAAAAAAAAAGTTAGTAGTCCAAAAAATTAAGCCTTGAAGTCATCATATCTACTATTATAATTAATCAAATAAGCAGTTCACATATAACAACTGTTTCTGGCTCAAAATTATACTTTTTTAAACAATTGTAATAACTAGCAATCCATGTATGGCTTTCTTTTCAAGCATTTCTGCACCATCTAAGTAGCTCATGAGCACTCTTGGTTTTTTCTCCATTCAAAGTAAGTCAAACATAAAACAAATCTACCTTGATTCACATACAAGGGCTTTGTGCCTAATGATATGGACATAATGAAACAGCTGGTACCATGTCTTTGATGAACCAAATAGAATGCAGCTAAGAAAATAAAAGTCAAGTTTCCAACTCTAAAGCACTTTTACTTTGTATAAACATAGCTCATTATTTCACATTATAAAATGTGAAAATATATCCAGTGTTGGCATAGCTTATAAAGTGCAAAAAACAAACAAACACAAAACCCAAAATAGCCTATGCTCTTCATTGTAGTGTCTTTTTAGTTTCATTGAACACATCAACTATTTCAAAATGCCTTTCTCAAGATTTTTAGGGGTTTTTTTTGGGGGGGGGCCTTGACATTGGCTTTAAACATTTTGGAACATGTTCATTTTCTTATTTGTGTTCACACAGAGGAATTCATATGAAATTAATGCCTACACTCTAATTCTAAATTTTAATGCCCAGTTGTTTAAAATAACATAATCTTAATAAATGCTCTATTTACTAATTATAATATAGTATTACATCCTATTAGACAGACATAAGTATGATTAGCAAACAATTATAAATGCTAACTACATTTATAATTATCTCATGTTAAACATTATAAAATATTATATACAATATTATATAATATGTTACTGCATAACATTATCAAACTTAATTATGATTATTTATACATATTTGGTTATGAGGAATAAAACTATAATCTAATGCCTTTTAAAACATAAACTAGCATTTCAATTTTTATTACTTTTTTAAAAAAATTATTATTCTACTTTAAGTTTTAGGGTACATGTGCATAATGTGCAGGTTAGTTACATAAGTATACATGTGCCATGCTGGTGCGCTGCACCCACTAACTCGTCATCTAGCATTAGGTATATCTCCCAATGCTATCCCTCCCCCCTCCCCCCACCCCACAACAGTCCCCAGAGTGTGATGTTCCCCTTCTTGTGTCCATGTGTTCTCATTGCTCAACTCCCACCTATGAGTGAGAATATGCGGTGTTTGGTTTTTTGTTCTTGCGATAGTTTACTGAGAATGATGATTTCCAATTTCATCCATGTCCCTACAAAGGACATGAATTCATCATTTTTTATGGCTGCATAGTATTCCATGGTGTATATGTGCCACATTTTCTTAATCCAGTCTATCATTGTTGGACATTTGGGTTGGTTCCAAGTCTTTGCTATTGTGAATAATGCTGCAATAAACATACGTGTGCATGTGTCTTTATAGCAGCATGATTTATAGTCCTTTGGGTATATACCCAGTAATGGGATGGCTGGGTCAAATGGTATTTCCAGTTCTAGATCCCTAAGGAATCGCCACACTGACTTCCACAATGGTTGAACTAGTTTACAGTCCCACCAACAGGGTAAAAGTGTTCCTATTTCTCCACATCCTCTCCAGCACCTGTTGTTTCCTGACTTTTTAATGATTGCCATTGTAACTGGTGTGAGATGGTATCTCATTGTGGTTTCGATTTGCATTTCTCTGATGGCTAGTGATGGTGAGCATTTTTTCATGTGTTTTCTGGCTGCATAAATGTCTTCTTTTGAGAAGTGTCTGTTCATGTCCTTCGCCCACTTTTTGATGGGGTTGTTTGTTTTTTTCTTGTTAATTTGTTTGAGTTCATTGTAGATTCTGGATATTAGCCCTTTGTCAGATGAGTAGGTTGCGAAAATTTTCTCCCATTTTGTAGGTTGCCTGTTCACTCTGATGGTAGTTTCTTTTGCTGTACAGAAGCTCTTTAGTTTAATTAGATACCATTTGTCAATTTTGGCTTTTGTTGCCATTGCTTTTGGTGTTTTAGACATGAAGTCCTTGCCCATGCCTATGTCCTGAATGGTATTGCCTAGGTTTTCTTCTAGGGTTTTTATGGTTTTAGGTCTAACGTTTAAGTCTTTATACCACCTTGAATTGATTTTTGTATAAGGTGTAAGGAAGGGATCCAGTTTTGGCTTTCTACATATGGCTAGCCAGTTTTCCCAGCACCCTTTATTAAATAGGGAATCCTTTCCCCATTGCTTGTTTTTGTCAGGTTTGTCAAAGATCAGATAGTTGTAGATATGCGGCGTTATTTCTGAGGGCTCTGTTCTGTTCCATTGATCTATATCTCTGTTTTGGTACCAGTACCATGCTGTTTTGGTTACTGTAGCCTTGTAGTATAGTTTGAAGTCAGGTAGTGTGATGCCTCTGGCTTTGTTCTTTTGGCTTAGGTTTGACTTGGCGATGCGGGCTCTTTTTTGGTTCCATATGAACTTTAAAGTAGTTTTTTCCAATTCTGTGAAGGAAGTCATTGGTAGCTTGATGGGGATGGCATTGAATCTGTAAATTACCTTGGGCAGTATGGCCATTTTCACGATATTGAATCTTCCTACCCATGAGCATGGAATGTTCTTCCATTTGTTTGTATCCTCTTTTATTTCGTTGATCAGTGGTTTGTAGTTCTCCTTGAAGAGGTCCTTCACATCCCTTGTAAGTTGGATTCCTAGGTATTTTATTCTCTTTGCAGCAATTGTGAATGGGAGTTCACTCATGATTTGGCTCTCTTTGTCTCTTGTTGGTGTATAAGAATGCTTGTGATTTTTGTACATTGATTTTGTATCCTGAGACTTTGCTGAAGGTGCTTATCAGCTTAAGGAGATTTTGGGCTCAGACAATGGGGTTTTCTAGATATACAATCATGTCATCTGCAAACAGGGACAATTTGACTTCCTCTTTTCCTAATTGAATACCCTTTATTCCCTTCTCCTGCCTGATTGCCCTGGCCAGAACTTCCAACACTATGTTGAATAGGAGTGGTGAGAGAGGGCATCCCTGTCTTGTGCCAGTTTTCAAAGGGAATGCTTCCAGTTTTTGCCCATTCAGTATGATATTGGCTGTGGGTTTGTCACAGATAGCTCTTATTATTTTGAAATACGTCCCATCAATACCTAATTTATTGAGAGTTTTTAGCATGAAGTGTTGTTGAATTTTGTCAAAGGCCTTTTCTGCATCTATTGAGATAATCATGTGGTTTTTGTCTTTGCTTCTGTTTATATGCTGGATTACATTTATTGATTTGCGTATATTGAACCAGCCTTGCATCCCAGGGATGAAGCCCACTTGATCATGGTGGATAAGCTTTTTGATGTGCTGCTGGATTTGGTTTGCCAGTATTTTATTGAGGATTTTTGCATCAATGTTCATCAGGGATATTGGTCTAAAATTCTCTTTTTTGGTTGTGTCTCTGCCAGGCTTTGATATCAGGATGATGCTGGCCTCATAAAATGAGTTAGGGAGGATTCCCTCTTTTTCTATTCATTGGAATAGTTTCAGAAGGAATGGTACCAGTTCCTCCTTGTGCCTCTGGTAGAATTCGGCTGTGAATCCATCTGGTCCTGGACTCTTTTTGGTTGGTAAGCTATTGATTATTGCCACAATTTCAGAGTCTGTTATTGGTCTATTCAGAGATTCAACTTCTTCCTGGTTTAGTCTTGGGAGAGTGTATGTGTCGAGGAATTTATCCATTTCTTCTAGATTTTCTCGTTTATTTGTGTAGAGGTGGTTGTAGTATTCTCTGATGGTAGTTTGTATTTCTGTGGGATCGGTGGTGATATCCCCTTTATCATTTTTATTGCATCTATTTGATTCTTCTCTCTTTTTTTCTTTATTAGTCTTGCTAGCGGTCTATCAATTTTGTTGATCCTTTCAAAAAACCAGCTCCTGGATTCATTAAGTTTTTTGAAGGGTTTTTTGTGTCTCTATTTCCTTCAGTTCTGCTCTGATTTTAGTTATTTCTTGCCTTCTGCTAGCTTTTGAATGTGTTTGCTCTTGCTTTTCTAGTTCATTTAATTGTGATGTTAGGGTGTCAATTTTAGATCTTTCCTGCTTTCTCTTGTGGGCATTTAGTGCTATAAATTTCCCTCTACACACTGCTTTGAATGTGTCCCAGAGATTCTGGTATGTTGTGTCTTTGTTTTCGTTGGTTTCAAAGAACATCTTTATTTCTGCCTTCATTTTGTTATGTACCCAGTAGTCATTCAGGAGCAGGTTGTTCAGTTTCCATGTAGTTGAGCGGTTTTGAGTGAGATTCTTAATCCTGAGTTCTAGTTTGATTGCACTGTGGTCTGAGAGATAGTTTGTTATAATTTCTGTTCTTTTACATTTGCTGAGGACAGCTTTACTTCCAAGTATGTGGTCAATTTTGGAATAGGTGTGGTGTGGTGCTGAAAAAAATGTATATTCTGTTGATTTGGGGTGGAGAGTTCTGTAGATGTCTATTAGGTCCGCTTGGTGCAGAGCTGAGTTCAATTCCTGAGTATCCTTTTTGACATTCTGTCTTGTTGTTCTGTCTAATGTTGACAGTGGGGTGTTAAAGTCTCCCATTATTATTGTGTGGGAGTCTAAGTCTCTTTGTAGGTCACTAAGGACTTGCTTTATGAATCTGGGTGCTCCTGTATTGGGTGCATATATATTTAGGATAGTTAGCTCTTCTTGTTGAATTGATCCCTTTACCATTATGTAATGGCCTTCTTTGTCTCTTTTGATCTTTGTTGGTTTAAAGTCTGTTTTATCAGAGACTAGGATTGCAACCCCTGCCTTTTTTTGTTTTCCATTTGCTTGGTAGATCTTCCTCCATCCTTTTATTTTGAGCCTATGTGTGTCTCTGCACGTGAGATGGGTTTCCTGAATACAGCACACTGATGGGTCTTGACTCTTTATCCAATTTGCCAGTCTGTGTCTTTTAATTGGAGCATTTAGTCCATTAACATTTAAAGTTAATATTGTTATGTGTGAATTTGATCCTGTCATTATGATGTTAGCTGGTTATTTTGCTCGTTTGTTGATGCAGTTTCTTCCTAGTCTCAATGGTCTTTACATTTTGGCATGATTTTGCAGTGGCTCGTACCGGTTGTTCCTTTCCATGTTTAGCGCTTCCTTCAGGAGCTCTTTTAGGGCAGGCCTGGTGGTCATAAAAATCTCTCAGCATTTGCTTGTCTGTAAAGTATTTTATTTCTCCTTCACTTATGAAGCATAGTTTGGCTGGATATGAAATTCTGGGTTGAAAATTCTTTTCTTTAAGAATGTTGAATATTGGCCCCCACTCTCTTCTGGCTTGTAGCGTTTCTGCCAAGAGATCCGCTGTTAGTTTGATGGGCTTCCCTTTGAGGGTAACCCGACCTTTCTCTCTGGCTGCCCTTAACATTTTTTCCTTCATTTCAACTTTGGTGAATCTGACAATTATGTGTCTTGGAGTTGCTTTTGTCGAGGAGTATCTTTGTGGCGTTCTCTGTATTTCCTGAATCTGAACGTTGGCCTGCCTTGCTAGATTGGGGAAGTTCTCCTGGATAATATCCTGCAGAGTGTTTTCCAACTTGGTTCCATTCTCCCCGTCACTTTCAGGTACACCAATCAGACGTAGATTTGGTCTTTTCACATAGTCCCATATTTCTTGGTGGCTTTGCTCGTTTCTTTTTATTCTTTTTTCTCTAAACTTCCCTTCTTGCTTCATTTCACTCATTTCATCTTCCATCACTGATACCTTTCTTCCAGTTGATCGCATCGGCTCCTGAGGCTTCTGCATTCTTCATGTAGTTCTCGAGCCTTGGTTTTCAGCTCCATCAGCTCCTTTAAGCACTTCTCTGTATTGGTTATTCTAGTTATACATTCTTCTAAATTTTTTTCAAAGTTTTCAACTTCTATGCCTTTGGTTTGAATGTCCTCCCATAGCTCAGAGTAATTTGGTCGTCTGAAGCCTTCTTCTCTCAGCTCATCAAAGTCATTCTCCGTCCAGCTTTGTTCCATTGCTGGTGAGGAACTGCGTTCCTTTGGAGGAGGAGAGGTGCTCTGCTTTTTAGAGTTTCAAGTTTTTCTGCTCTGTTTTTTCCCCATCTTTGTGGTTTAATCTACTTTTGTTCTTTGATGATGGTGATGTACAGATGGGTTTCTGGTGTGGATGTCCTTTCTGTTTGTTAGTTTTCCTTCTAACAGACAGGACCCTCAGCTGCAGGTCTGTTGGAGTACCCTGCCATGTGAGGTGTCAGTCTGCCCCTGCTGGGGGGGCTTCCCAGTTAGGCTGCTCAGGGGTCAGTGTCAGGGACCCATTTGAGGAGGCAGTCTGCCCGTTCTCAGATCTCCAGCTCCGTGCTGGGGGAACTACTGCTCTCTTCAAAGCTGTCAGACAGGGACATTTAAGTCTGCAGAGGTTACTGCTGTCTTTTTGTTTGTCTGTGCCCTGCCCCCAGAGGTGGAGCCTACAGAGGAAGGCAGGCCTCCTTGAGCTATGGTGGGCTCCACCCAGTTCGAGCTTCTGGGCTGCTTTGTTTACCTAAGCAAGCCTGGGCAATGGCGGGCGCCCCTCCCGCAGCCTCACTGCCGCCTTGCAGTTTGTTCTCAGACTGCTGTGCTAGCAATCAGGGAGACTCCATGGGCCTAGGACCCTCTGAGCCACGTGCGGGATATAATCTCCTGGTGCACCGTTTTTTTAAGCCCGCCGGAAAAGCGCAGTATTCGGGTGGGAGTGACCCGATTTTCCAGGTGCCGTCTGTCACCCCTTTCTTTGACTAAGAAAGGGAACTCCCTGACCCCTTGTGCTTCCAGAGTGAGGGAATGCCTCGCCCTGCTTCGACTCGCGCACGGTGCGTGCACCCACTGACCTGCGCCCACTGTCTGGCACTCCCTAGTGAGATGAACCCGGTACCTCAGATGGAAATGCAGAAATCACCCGTCTTCTGCGTCACTCACGCTGGGAGCTGTAGACTGGAGCTGTTCCTATTCGGCCATCTTGGCTCCTCTCCACAATTTTTATTACTTTTTAAAAAGCCTAAATTTAAAGACATGATTTCCTTAATACAAGACTGTTTTATATGTAGTTATCACAAAATAAATAAACTCATAATATTGACAAAGACTCTATGTCTTTAATCATTTTTTAAATTTCATTTTCACAATAAAAATATCACCCCCAAAATCACAACTTTTAGAAAGTGGTTATTTTGTTGTCCCCAGAAAATATGTACTTTGTTATCTCAGTAACAGAGGTAAATCTTCACTACCTAAATACTGTATTTTCCTCTATCATAATAGTTTGACACGGAGAATTAAGATGTTGGCAAAAAACAAAACCACTGACTCCCCTTGCTATTTTACCCTGCATAAAGACTCACTTTAAAAATCTTTTGTCAAAAATAAAAAATTAAAATGTACTGGGAACAAACTATTAAAATATATCTTCTTTATGCTCTAATCCTCATCAATTACTTTTATCAACTCATAAATTCAGGATACATTGCTAACCAATTTTCTCAAAACACCGTAATAACATTTTCCACAACACAGTTTTTTTTCTTTTTAAATCCAAATGGAATGACTATCAACCTTTCATTCATGTAATATAAATGAAATTTTGGTTATTTTCACTGTAATTTTAGACATTCATAAATCTCTACTTAGCATTTCTCTTTGGTAATTTAAGATATTTTATCAAAAATATTATTTAAAAAATTTTTTCCAAGGAAAAGAGGAGGAAAAAAAAGTCCTAAAATTAGAGATGTTTTACTTGTAATTTAAATCTTGCTGAGACTTTTGGCTTGGTGTCCTCAAAAGAAAAAAAAAGCCCCTTTACAATGGATACGATAGCAAAGCGGCCAAAAAATGTTAGACTTGAATATTAAGGGTGTGGTGTTTTACTTTATTTTCCCTTACCCTGAGATCTCTAGAAATCATTTCCAAAGATAAAATTCTGATTAAACTATAATATCTCAAGCAGATCTAACAGAAGATCCAATACAAATAATAATTGCACTTATTGCGCTTGACCCATTACATTTTACTTAAACTTTAAAGATATGATAATCCCAGCACTTTGGGAGGCTGAGGCAGGCGGATCATGAGGTCAGGAGATCTAGACCATCCTGGCCAACATAGTGAAACCACATCTCTACTAAAATACAAAAAAATTAGCCAGGCTTGGTGGCACATGCCTGTAGTCCCGGCTACTCAGGAGGCTGAGGCGGGGCAATCACTTGAACCTGGCAGGTGGAGATTGCAGAGAGCCGGGATTGCACTATTGCACTCCAGCCTGGCGACAGAGCGAGACTCCGTCTCAATATATATATATAAGTGTGTGTGTGTGTGTGTGTATATATATATATATATATGTGTGTGTGTGTGTGTATCTATATATATGTGTGTATATATATGTGTATATATGTGTATATATATGTGTGTATATATATGTGTATATATGTGTATATATATGTGTATATATGTGTATATATATGTGTATATATATATTTAATTAGCTACCTGTGCATATTTTAAATACATCAAATACAATATTTACTTGTAAATTGCTTGATTTGAAATAAAGCATTTTCCTATGCTTAAATTTTAAACTTACTTAGAGGGAAAAAAAGATACTAGAGCTCTACCCTAAAAGGATCAGCAGTGAACATGTTTAGAACTGCATGTACTGGCCTGTAACAATTTACTTTAAAAACCACCAAAGCCAGTGCAGTAACACATGCACCTGTAGTCATAGCTACTCAGGAGGATCATTTGGGCCCAGGAGCTCAAGTCCAGCCTGAGCAACACAGTGAGATTCCATTTCTAAAAGTCTGGAAAGTCTCTAGAATCACTAATATGTATGCCTTTGGTCAATTATCTATTGCCACAACAACTGACCATCGGAGAACCTAATCAGAAGAGGATACCAACTGGTAAGCTTTATATGAGCAAACCGTGAAAAGAAACTGAACCCCAGAAAAAAGGTACCATGTAGGTCCAGGAAAGATCTCTACCCTAACTGTGTGCCCTAGAGAGCCCATTCTTCATTTTAAAGGAAAATAGACTTTTCCACCTAACCTCTCCATTGAAGACTTTTCAAAACCAGAGTCTAAGCCAAAGAGAAGCAAACACCTGAAGATATAAGACATTTATTGTATAGTTTCTTAAATGCACCTCCCACCAGCAATTAAAATAGTGAACAACATCTTGATGAATGGAATACATAAGACTTAGAAAGTCTCAACCAGCAAGGCTGAAACATGACTAGTTCTGAATTTCTGGCTGGCAAATAGCCGCAGTATATAGTTATCCCCTGAATTTCATGATTTTCAAAAGCTTTCAAGTTGGAGTTTTAAGTTTCCTGTTGGTTATCTTTAGGGTAGATGAACATTTTAAGAAACTTCACAGAAATAAGAGATAACTATGCTTTACTTTAAAACCCAAATTTCCATAATTTTTTCTCTCTTTACAATATCAAAATTTATCAATATGTCAACATTACTTTTAAGTACTTTATTTCTTAAGAGCCATGGGAAAGTAATCTATGAGGAGTATTTGTCCCATGTAAACCCACAAACTGGAAAATATTATAAGCAAAACAAGTGAACAGTAACTCAATATAGAGAAAAATAGGCAATACCCTTTTTGAGAAAGCAAATTCTCAAAAATATTTAGAAGACAGTTTAAAGTTTAGCAAAAAAGAACATCTAAGCCCTTTATCAGACACTCTGAATTAAAGACTCAATTGCCCAAAATATTTTGAAAGAATATCAAATGGTAGAATTAGTGATTTGATAGTTACTTAGTAATACAAAATACTTTCTTATATATGAAAGCTTCAACTACATCATGACAAGCAAGTAAGTTTATTTATTTTTCTCTGATCTAAACTACCAGATTAGCTAGTAGCTGGAAATAATTGACAGATGTGAAAACTTCTCTGTAAAACAGTTTTCTAAATAACATATCTGTGCTGAAACTGAAATAGGTAATAAATACTTAAGATTAAGCATTCTGAGATGTGCAACTGACTCTGAAGCTAGCAACTTCTAAATAGTGTTTGTTTGCCTTTGAGGTGTTTTGGTTTTAAATTCTTTCTGTCCTGTAAACTATCAGGTTTTTTATTTTTTTATTTTTTTAAATTAAAACTACAGTCACCAGTTCCATCAGGTCATAGCCTATAGGAGGAAAGTATAATCTCTTTGTTCCATCACTATATTTTTACCTTCAGGATCTGACCATGAATTTATTTAATTATGAACAAATATTTATTGAGCACCTACAACAAATGAGATGAGAAAAATAAGAGATAAGTAAGAAGAAATATATTTTAACAGGGTTTCACCTAATAAGAAATCACTAAAATGTATCTCAATTAAAAGGTTTAAAAAGATATATGGTTAAAATATTTATCATATCTTTTGTTCTCATTTCTTTTGCTTTTTAATTATTTATTTACTTTGCTCTCAAAGTAAATAAATATTCGAGAATTTACCTATCCCTATTTTCAGGGTTGAATTAAATTCTATAATACATTCTTAAATAATCAGCTGTAGCAGTAACCTTGAAAAATAGAAATAAAGAAGCATTTTAAAATTCTTTTAAAGAATGCATAAAATTAATTCGGAGAGAAAAGATGAAAAATGATATTATTCTACATCAGATAATTGGTTCATAAATATTTTTATATTGTCATCTATTCCTATCTGTGGGAAAAACCAGTTGTAGAGTAAGTTGTTTAATGTCTATCTCAGCCAGCCATCTGCCTGTAAGCATCAAGGGATGAGGAAGGACAGGACTGGTCTGTTCTGTTTATCAGAGTGTTTCCCAAGCGCTTGCCACAGTGCTTGGCCCATAGCAGGTGCTCAATAAATATGCATTGAATGAATATCCATAGGCCATCTTTTCCATTCTCTTGCTATCAGAAGAAAGGGTCTACTGCTGCTCTGCTAATCACTCAGATTGTCTGTCTCTTTCTGTGTATAGAAACAAACAACAACAACAACAACAACAACAGTTCTGTCTATGTACTCTCCCTCCTTGGGGAAAAAGAGCTTTAGTGCCATAGCTCTAAAAATCTTTCCCCACAGAAGGGTTTTAAACTTCCTTTTCGTAAAGGCTTGGCTGTGAAGGGAAGACCAAGAATCAGCACAAATTCATTGGGAGATACATAGTTAATCTCTGCGGGTGCATAACCTTCTAGGTTAGGCAGTCTCTGACCCATTTGTTATTCAACCAGGAATTTCCATGGTTGAAGACTTCCATTATAAAGTCTTTAGAAAGTCCCAAACATTTCTAATCCCTGGGTTCCACACTATCTACCAAAATCAAATCCCCTGAATTTAGATAGGAATTACAATAGAAACCACTACCAGACTTCCTCATTATGGTCCCTAAGCGCCAATGAGCCCTTATCACTGTGACTTTCTGTTTATTCACATTTAGAATGTCCTTTACAATTCATTCTCTAGAGATTCACAACTTACCTAACATTTGCTTATTGCTCCACATTTTAAAAAAAATCTTGATACAGTATCTCTTTTGATCATCACAATGACCTCAGTACTTAGTCAAAGAAGTTATTTTCCCAATTTGCCAAATAAAAAGTAGGCATAGAAAGGTCACAAGTCTAGTAAGTATCAGAGCTGAGTCTTTTATCTCTAAGTTAAGATGTTTTAAAAAAGATGACTTAATGTACGAATCACAAACTAGTAACCTTCTTAAGTGTCTCAACACAGTTCTTTTATAAACCAAAATTAATTTAAATGTGCGTAAGCAAGCTACGTCATAGGCCCCCATGCTGTATGGTATTTTACCAAACCCTTCCCACATTCATATTACTATCTGATCATTAAAATTGTTTGCACTGTGATCCCATCAAATGGAACAGTCATTCATTCATTCATCCATCCATTTGTTCGCGAAACACAGTTGTAGTCACTATCTGAGGTACTAGGAATCAATCTTAAGTTCCATAAGACATACTCACTGACCTCAAAAAGTTTTTAGGCTAGTAAGGGAATCACATAAGCCCATCTGGACAAAAAGGGTAACAAATAGAGGAACACACAAAACGCCAGCCAAGCATAAAGGTCAAATATTTAAATCAGTATGTGAGGATCAGATCATAGAAGGTAATCTATATGGCTAGTATGTCTCCATTGCCTCTCTCACTTTGGTTTTCAAATGGCATTCCAGAGTGCAGCTTTCAAAATTTAAATTCCATGTCCTTATTAACATTCCATCATATGGAATGATAAGTTTAGATTTCACTTCAGATTAATCTCAATTCATTACAGATTCATGTTAAACACTGGTAACTACGTTTTGGAGGAAAGCTTAAGGCTATAATTCTACCATAAATTTTAAATTTTTTAAACAGATATTCAATATATAACAAAAAAGGCAGATAAGAGAGATGCCTTATTTCTGATCAACAAAAAAAATTATATTCTATTTTATAGCTAGATTATAGCCACTTCAAATGTTTTAACACCACATGGACCGCTGTTTCTAAGTACATATAGTCTTATTGTATCAAACTCAGTGAATGTGAAAAGCCACATAACCAAAATGTACCCAAAGGGAACACATCAAGTTTTCTATACATTGCCTAATACTCACTAAGCCTCTGAATGTAAAAAAACTGAATTATATTTTTTAACTATTTGTTGATTTGTGAAAGGGGCTCTGGCTCAACTACAACATAAAAAAAAGTTTGGATTTGACATCTTGGAGTTTCTACCAAAAACCCTAATCCAGTCCAAGACTGTCAAAACTGTCAAAAACAAAACTGTACTAGTTTTGTATTCGTCTTTAAACTCCTAGCCTCACGAATCAGCATGTATAGGAAAAGAACATGTAATGAAGGTGCTAATTATTCTGTTATACACCTTGAGCTGTTCTCAGTATATCAGTTAAGATACTTTTGGCTGAATTAAAAAAAAATCTAATTCAAGATAGTTTAAATCATAGAAGTAATGTTGAGATATAGTTTTAACACAGAGGCTCTGATTCTCATTCATTTTCTCAGCTTTGCCCTCTCGTTTCCCCCATGTGTCAGTTTTATCCTTGGGCCTACCCTTCCTGGACACAAGATGGCTACATTTGCTACATTCTCCCTAGTTTATGTCTAGGGAAAATAGGGACTATCCAACATCCTGAAGATCAAACAAAACTCCTAAGGATTATTTTGACTAGACAATCTTGCTTCATTCATTCTTTCAACAAGTATTGATCACCTACTCTGTGTCAAGTACATTTTTTGGCACTGGGAATACAGACTGAACAAAACAGAGTCTCTATCCTTATGGAGCTTGAGTTCTTGTAACCATTCATTAATCAATCAGTGAGACAGGATTGATTTACCTCCATTGATTTACCTCCTGGGCCTAGGATTAGGGACAATCCCAGTCAAACCACATGGCTACTACACAATACTGTGAAGAATAGAATGAATGCTGGTGTGACAACAGCAATGTTTACTACTCTTACCTATAAATATTTTGGTGATGGGTATTGATAATCAGTTAGATTAATTCATACACAGTTCTATATGAGTTGAGAAAAGATATGCATACAGAAGTGGTTTATACAGAGATAAGCTATACTTTGGGGAGAGTGGAAGTAATAATGCCTTGCAGTTGTAAAGTGGGCCACAGATCCCAGCCACATTCAGCATGATGAGACTTCTGTGCTACCCAGATGCTACTGAAATGCCAACCACCTAACAAAAATTAGCCATGCCAATGTTTTTGCCACCATAATTAGTACCAGGAAATATGTTTAAAAAACTTTTTTATAACAATATGTTTTTGGAAAGTAAAATATCATCACACTCCATACCAAGACTACAGAATGTCCTAGTTCCCATTAGTCTCTTCCATGGACACTGCCTTCATCTGTGAATTTAGTCCTGCAGATATCCACTAAGGAGACCTGAATGGGGATGGCCATTTCAATCTAAGCCCATTAAAACAACCAGAAAAAAAATGCATGTCATATTTATAGTGAGAAGTCTCTGAAATAAAGATAGAGTATATTATGTTTACAAATGACCTATCACATTACTTGTTTTTAGCTCTGCCTTACCAGAATCAGTAGTGGTGTTTACTTAACACCAAACTGTAAGGCTAAATCACTAAAAATAAGATCCCAGAGATAGGGTATTAGAAGAATCACACTCAGTGTGTCTTGCAGTGGGCATGAACTAAATAACCAAGTAACTGCCCGATTCAGTAAATATGAGTTCTCAAGGAAATCACCTCCAGCTTAAGTGAAAATGCTCATATGGAAGGCAGCACTGAAGGTAGGCTTTAAAGGTTGAAGGAAGATGCATAGAAGAATTAAGGAGACAGGTTTGGGAATTTGCAAATATTTTTATTGGTTGGAGTAAGCAGATTATCAACAGTAGCAATTAGCCAACTGTTAACAAATGTTTGAAAAATTCAGAATTGGAAGATTTAAAATAGTAACACTTGATCTTTGTAATTTCAACAATTTTGTGGAGTAGTTTTGCTTTAGGAGATGAGTGTCATTGTTTTGCTCTTATTTTCCAAGCTCTGAAAAATAACATTAAATATATGTCTTATTTTGTTAGACTTGGATTCATACTCTGAGCTGGAGTCAGTTAACTTCTCATAAGACAATATTGATTAGCTTTGAAAAAGGAACTCCTGCTAGTCTAGAGACCAGAATTCAGCTACAACTTCATTTTCACAAATAAACTATGACATGGTGGTACTCCAACAGGAATATAACCTGAAGAAAAACTTCTCTGGAAGACTGTCAGAACTAAGATTTCAAAGCTGGCTTGAGAAAAACTCCTGAAAATCTGTCAACAGAGTTTTAGTCCTAAAAGCCAGAAAGATTTTCAAAGGGTAATGATATCTTACTTTTATGACCCTTATCTCCCCAAAAGATGGGGAAACTGAGGCTCAGAAAGTTATGTGATTTCCCCACGGTCACAGAGCTAAAAACCAAAGGGGCTGAAATGAAAACACAGGTCGGTAGATTCCAACTCTAAGACCTTTCACTTCAGCATTCTGCCTTTCTAAGAAACAAGAAGTTGAGAAAAATTGAGGAAATCAGAAATAAAATATGTGACAAATGCCAGTAGAAATCAATAGCTCATATAAACAGGTCTGTGATTATGGTGAGGCAAAATGAGGAGCAATCTTCTCTATAAGAAAAGCACAACACAGACTTAGTCCAAAACCCAAGATTAAACAGAAAACAATTAAAACGGCAATGTTTCCTCGGGGTAAAAAGCATTAAATTAATTCAATCGAATAATTTATCCTTTCTCTCCTGATATTTTCCAGCAATGTATAAAGGAAGAAAATTATACGTTGATCTCTAAAATTATCAGAGATAGTAACTAAATTTAACTTTATGGTAATTCTTGTAAGTGCTAAAACATCTTAACATCTAAATTTTTTACTCTAAATTCCCAAAACTTTCCATAGACAAAAACTTTCAACTTTTTAACAAGAAAGTCTGCTAAACAGTTTATCCCCAATTTGTCTGTATGAAAAACAAACTCAGCTTTGCAGTTTGGGGATAATTAATCCCCAAAGCTAGCAAATATATGGTGGAAAAACAGCAAATACTGACTTCAGTAATATATTGCCTTGAAAGATAGTATCTGTAGAATCCTCCTTCCTCCCCTAATCATCTAAAAGTTTTCCATAATAAAAATATAAAATTATTATGTAGGAAAGTGAGAGGGAAAGGTTAGAGGAAAAGAGCTGTTCAGGTTTTAAAATCCAACAAACTAAAAAACTAGCCCCAATACTGTACCCAATCACCACTCTTTCAACAGATTCTACAACAGACCAAAGGAATAATTATGATGCAAGACTCAAAACAATCCAGCAGATGTTTTAGGAACACCAAGTTAAACCCATCCCCTCCTCATACCTGAAAAAGTACAGAAGGTATAGGTTATCTCAAGAGCCATAAATTAATTCCCGATAGCCTTGTGGGGGTAATTTGCTTTCATTCCACACAAATGACTTTAAGATTCAACTTTAAGATTTTTATAACATACACAAGGTATTGTGATCATCTGATACTTTACTAATTCATATACAAAGTATTGTGATACATTACAAAGTGTTGTGATATATATACTTTACTAATTCATATACAAAGTATTGTGATCATCTGATACTTTACTATTTTAATGCCTTTAAGATTTTTAAAACATACACAAAGTATTGGGATCATCTGATACTTTACTAATTCAAAGTCCAGGGGGTAGATAAAAATCATTAAAGAATTACAGGGATGAGCTAGTTGTATTTTTGTCAGTCTCCTTAAAAGATTGAGAATTTTCTGAGAACAAGGACCACCCATGTCTTATTCTTTGTATCCCCAGTTCCTGGTACATAGTAGGTGCTCAATACATACTTGATTAATTAAATTCACAAAGATGTATATAGTTTTCTTTTGATAATCATTGACACTCATTTGAAGATGCCTTTTTGTACTGATGTAACTGCAAAATTTTTTTAAGAAAATGAATCAAATTAATTATTCTTCCAATCCCACGTTTTATAAGAGTATAACTAAGAACTAAATATGTGTAGGAGAAGGCATTAGACCTTAAAGAGGCACATAGAAAACTCATATAGAAGTCCAGATTGACTAAATCAGGTTTATTATTTTATCCATTAGTCTAAGCAGATTAATTGGAACCAGACATGTGAAGATCCATAAGGTTTTTTAGTAACAATTACTTAAAAAGAAATTTATAGGCTACATTTCAACACATCCAAATTAACAGTTTAAGAAAAATGTAGATCCTGATAAATATTTAAAAGTGTATATAGGCAAAAATGTTATGATACTCATTCTCTTTTTATAACCATACTTATTACACAGTTAACAAGGTACTCAATTCCAAATGATTTGTATAAATAATGTCAATTATCCACATTACCATGAATATATTTTATTTAGAAATTACACCAAAACAAAAATTTGTTTTCTTAAATAAACAAACAGAATGACGATACATCCCTAAGTAGTTATTTAATAGACACACCTTAACCACAGCATCTGATTAATGAGCAATAAAAGCAGTCTGTCCAGGTAACAACTAAAAGAATGTGACAACCTGGTTTTGGTAGATCGCAAAGAAAACTTATTTGTCAATTGAAAAATACTGATCTAGGAATAAGTGGCAGAAGCTTATTAAACCAAATGTCAAGGTTGATATTTCTAGACTTATAACTAAAATATCATGAGAAATTGCCATTTTTTAAGTTTTATACTGGGGTACACATATTGGATGTAAACAAAATAGGTCAATCTATCAACCAAAGTGTTCCATTCTAGAAAAGATATTTGAAATACACAGCCAATATTTGCTTTTTCAAGCCAATTCCTGCCTTGCAGTTATTCCACTGTTAGATATAAGCTTAGCCATCAAGCATAGATGCTTGAACATTTTTTGAATTACCACAAATGGCCTTAAGGTTGTTAGCTTTTGATAATATAATGCAAAACCCCTGAGTAGCCACAAAATTAAAAAAAAATACCACTTTAGGTAGACTCAGTGCTTATTTGTGTTACATTTAATATATGCTTAATATGATCCCATTACAATGTTATTCTATTTTAAAAGTCAATTATTACACCTTTGGAATAATGTCAAAAATATAAATTCCAAGTTTAATATAATGAAGAAATACACAAATTATCAGAATTATACATTAACTCCCAATAGCCACATCCAAGTTCTGTGTGCGTGTGTGTGTGTGTGTGTGTGAGAGAGAGAGAGAGAGAGAGAATTGTTTATTTGGGTTATTTTATTTTAAAGTTTTGTTTTGTTTCCAAATATTTTTCCTGTACTGTTTTAATAGTTCCTCCCACCCAACACTTAGCTCAACTGCTTTTGACCTATGTGAATGTGTTTCTGATGTCTGCCAGTCAATACAGAAGCGTAATTTCATTAAAATATATTATATATGCTCAGGACTGAGAGAACATTATAAAATGAAGTTTGGCTAAAGTTCAACAGGGCATCAAATAGCACTGGCAAGAATTTTCTTAGATGGTGTAAAATCTTGCTAACACAACAGTGTGTGCTTAACACAGGAACAATATCAGAAACAGATGTGTTCCAAATGACCAAAGTACCAAACAGAAACAATAATCATGGAATATACATTTAAAAACAATACCCTTGCCAACTGGGAAAAAAAAAATTTAAGTGCATGTCTTTGTCAAATAAGAAATGCTACTGATATTTTTCCAGACTAAACTTGGCATACAAATATTTTCCCTTTTGCATTCTCTTATATATTGGCATTAAACTTCTATGAGGGTGGCCAAAATTAATGATATAATTATTAATACATGTTAAAAGAAACTAATCATAGGAAAAGGAAATAAGTCCTTGATTTAACCTAAGAAATTCAGAGGATCTAAGGCCTTCTATCCATCATTTGGAAGGGAAAACATTCTCAGCCCAGAAGAATCTCACAGGCGCGCGCGTAGGTAGACACACACACACACACACATACACACACACACACACACTCCTTTTACCTTTTAAAAGGGCTGTATACTCGTGCGTGGTCAGTTACATGTATTTGCCCAAGCATTACACCATAGTATTAAAAGTTCTAAGGACCAAGGGCTATGGCTGGCACAGGAACTAAAGCCAAGTAGAAGAAACTCGAATCCCCGAGGAAGCCCTCCCAGAGGCTGAAATCGCAGGCCTCCAGGGTGATGGTCAGGCCCAAGGCCCCTAGCGCCTGGCCCCTCCAGGGCTACTGCCTGCCCGCCTAGACGCCGCGCCGAGGAAGGCAGGCGGCGAAGCCACTCCGAAACGACAGCGGCCTCACCCGGCCGTATCGCTCCCTCCAGCCTTTCTTGCCGACTCGGGCATCCGGAGCCTGTCCACCTCACGGGACAGCTCAGGCACATGTCTGTTCTGACCTAGTTAGGCCTTGCCCCCGTGGCCTTGTTGTTTGTTGCTGGCTTCTGTTGTGGTTTTTCCTCTCATTTTCACAGCGTTCTGTGGGGTGCTCGAATGTGCACAGCGGGACTTCTGAAGTGTTGGACAAGAATTACCTACCTATTTACCAGTAGATACGGCTGAGGGAAGGAGGGCTTGGGCCTTGAGTCTCCTTCAGGCTCTCCTTCTCAGGAAAGAAAGGTCTTATCCTCTGGAAGACCGATCTGATTCCAGGAGAAGAATGTTACCCATGTGAAACCCAAGCCTCTGCCCTGGGGTTTCCCACGGAAAAGGATGCGAGGAGGGCGGCGGTCAAACCCACCAGGGCGAGGCGAGGAGCCTGTCTCAGGGCCTGGCCTTGGGTAGGCGTCCAGGCTCTCGGAGCCGCGGCCACCCACACCGACTTTGGATTAGTGATGAGGAAGGGCGGGGGAGAGGATCACACAGGTCCTCCACCTGCTTTCTGAACAGAGCTTGTTTCCGGGGCACCCGCTCTCGTCGCCCAGCCCTGCGCCCAAATGCGTCAGTGCCTCCCGGAGTGCACCGCGCGGTGGGGATGCTCCCAACATGCACTGGGGCTGGAGAACTGGGGCCTGAAAGCCGTGGGGACCTGCCTGACTCCAGGGCGTTTCTCTCGAGGTCGCTTTCGAAGGCAGGCGCCAGCCCAGGCCTCCGGGAGAGAGAAAGGGCCTCAACTCCCAATGGTGGCGCCCTGCGGGCCTCCGCCTCGCCTCGGGCGTTGGGGTGTTACCAAGGAAAAGCAACAATATTTATGACCAGCAGGCGATGAGAAAGTGTTCGCCCATCACGCGATCCATCTCGCTCCCCTGGCTGATTGCCATCCTGGAGACCATCCAACCACCCCCCGGTACCCCCGCCCCCATCCCAGGCCCAGGCTCCACACGTGCCTAACTCCATTTCCGCCTGACTCCATTTCCACCTAACTGACCCGGCGCAGTACTCAGGTCCCTCAAGACTCGCCGCTCCTACCCCGCCCCCAGTCCCGCCATCCTCAAGGTCTTCTAAGAGAATTCTCACTTCTATTATAATACTTCAGGAGACTGGGAGGAGCCACACAGCCAACCTGCAAGGGCGCAAAATATTCTTTACATGCAGCACAATGGTTAAGACCTTGTAATGAGTTTAGGTTCAGCCTCTGTCTCTAATTTGTCGTGAGAATGTGGGACACCTCTCTGAGCTTCAGGTTCCCCATCTGTGAGTCAGGCATAATAATACCTACTTCACAGAAGATTGTGAGGAATACATATGACAACATATGTAAAAGCCGGGCAAAGCTAAACAATACATGTTACTTCTTATAAAAGGATGCAAATTCATCTCTAGAAATACAGTCTTTTTAGGAAAAAAGTTGTCTCAGCCTGGGAGGAAGGGTGGTTTAAAGAAGCAGGAATTCTGGCTTAGTTTACTGCCTGCTTTTTTTCTGTATCCTGACCTCTAAAAGACAGATTTACATGTATTAATCCAGGTTTTTTTTTTTTAAATGCAAGAGGTTCCTCCCCACACACAATACCCCGAAACTACCGAAGCAGGGCAGAAGTATTCTGAAGGAGAGGAGGGGAAAGAAACCTTAAAAAGGCATCGTATGTATTAAAAGCTTCAAAAGAAACTGCCGCCTATTTATTTCTTCCCAAAACTTTGAGATGCAAAAACAATAATGATGCAAACTGTAAAGAGCTTAGCCACATCAGGGTGTTATTACTGAAAGTTGGAACAACCTAAAGACTCCATTTAAAATTAATAGTAATAATAATAAACACCTGTCGGAGGCCCTTCTGAGGAAGGGGGGTGGTATTTGAGGGAAATAAATGGGATTAATCACTTCTGAAACAATTTTTGCCGTGTTTCTAAGCCTACAGCAGCTATAGCTGAGTTCGCAAATCTTCTTGGTGTGTCTGCCAAGAAGACACACCAAGTCTTAAGAAACCTAGTGGTTTCTCCCTTAGCGCTGAGTAATTTCAATATCGCAAGCGCTGGTAAAACCATTCCAGTTTGCATGGTCTCTTCCAGCCCTTTTTCAGGACTTTGGAATCCCAGCCAATTCCTAGACAAGGGCCTGTTTCTGCTTGGATGGACTGTGACTGGGGAGAGACTA
Organism: Homo sapiens; assembly: GCF_000001405.40. Lineage (NCBI taxonomy): Eukaryota > Metazoa > Chordata > Mammalia > Primates > Hominidae > Homo > Homo sapiens. Next base: position 75,126,961 of record NC_000001.11, read on the forward strand.
GGCCCAGCCACCAAGGCACCCAGGGCACACTACTGTGATCCGCTGTAGAGTGGGACCTGTCGTACTCAAGAATGAAGACTCCATCTACTGCCCTCGCGTCTCCTCCGTGTTCTTCCTCCTCTTTGTGGACTGTAAACGAAGGTGTATCTCCTTTCTAGGCCAGAGAGGATGGCGTGCAGCAGCGCCTGGCTCCAAATGACCTCAGCTCCCATTCTGACTGTCCATCTTGGGTCCTCTTTTTACCCTGAAGCAAGCCAAAACCTACATCAATGTCTGGCCATCACACACAGCATTTCCAAGTGCGCGTCCAGAGTCTGTCTATGGGGGCTTGCCCCAGGCTTGGCTTCTCCTATCCAACACATTCCTACTGGCCGCCCCTCCCCGCCCCCAGAGCCTCCTGTATAAACAGAGGCTCTGACTCAGTTGGTCTCTTAGGCACTCAGAGTAGGTTTCCCAATTTAATTGCAAACGCTGAGGTCTGAAGGACTCGCAGGAGGGAAGAACTCAAATGAAGCATAATGCCTGAGGATCCCTTGGAGGTTATAAGCTTATAAGCCTCTGTTATAAGACAAAATAGCAAAGTAATTAAAAGTCAGCCCTCCGTGTCGGATGTCTGGGTTTGAATTCTGACCTGGCTTGGTAAAATATGACTTTGGGCAAATTAAAGAAGTGAGGTTGTATATGCCACAACATCAGTGGGGCGTTTGACAAATAACAAGCCACTTGCTAATTATTATGTCAGAATTTTCATGCCCTTTCTTACCTAGCTCTTCAAGGGCTTGAAAGATGCAGGAACTGAGCAAGAAGGTACCTATGCAAAGACGTAGGAGCGCTAGAATTAAGAAGGCAGAGAAAGACATGAAACCCCCTGCGCCTGCCAGCATATACTTTCATTCAGAAAGCAATTTTTTATTGTCTAGTGCCAGGCACTGAACTAGGTTTCGGAGCGTCGTCAGAACAGCACATGGTTCCTGCATCCAGGAAGCTTGTAGAGCCTCAGGAAGAACTGCAGGGGTCGACTTTATTCAAGTTTGTGTCGGGAAAAACTATTGCTAAAGGCTTCTCCCGAGTGGTCAGTAAATGAGAAACAATAAATAGCCTTTGCACAAACTGAACCACGCAGCGCAGCCTCTGCTACTGCACACAATAACAGGAGTTCGGTCAAGGCCCAAAAGGAAAGTTCCAGAAGTGAGCGCAGACCTTTGGACCTCAGTCTGTACGGAGATCGAGTCACCGTCTATTCAATCCAGGTTTTGTTCCACTTGCTGATGATTAGACATCAAATTATGCAATCTGCAAGGAAAAGGAGAGAGAACGATTTTACCGCCGATTTAAGCGTTCTCCTTTTTCCCCTTCGTGGCCGTTTTATTCGGCACTGAAATGCTGTTTAACCTCAGCAAGAGTAGGCGTGGGAAGGTGGCGCTCTTCCCCACAGCACACCAGGCACCCCCCAGCTGCTCAGCGGAAGTGGGCAGAGGCAAGAGGCTAGCGGCTGGACCACTTGTGCTGGAGTGGTAAAGAACTATCATGAATCCATTTACTGAAAGTGTCCATTTCTGAACTCACCCTAAAGAGGACAAACACCGCAAAGTAGTTAAAAGTCAGGCATTCGCGTCGGACGTCTGGGTTTGAATTCTGCCCTGGCTTGGTAAAATAGGGCTTTGGATAAATTAAAGTAGGGTTGTGTGCCATAACGTCAGTGGGGGCATTTGACAAATAATAATCAACAGCTATGATTACTGCCATTTTCACAATATTCAGAAGGTTGTGCAAACTGACAGAAGGGTGCCAAGCATTTTTAAATGTTATAGATTAACTCTCAAATAAACCAGCGACAAAGGAGATGAAAAAGGTGTTCATTGTGCATCCTTGGGCCTAGTTGCCACGACAGAGGTGGCTACAGGCAGCTGCACTCATCTCTGGAGCCTCTGCAGCCCAGGGAGGTGCGTCTAACCTCATGACCCTCTGAACCCCTAGAAGTGGTCAACTCGCTGAAGAACATTGACCTACCCTTCACTGGGGAAATTGGGCCTTTGGTGGCTCCTCTACATCCAGACCTCTCTAGAGAGGTGAAGGAGGATGTGGTAGGAGAAACATTATGTTCACTAAGAACCTCCTGTGTGGATGAGCACTTAATTCAACATTGTGATTTTTTATGACAATTTCCAAGTGATGCCATCTTCATTTTACAAATGAGAAAGCTCAAGTGTTAAAAATTTAAATTGCTCAAAATTCCATTACATATTTTACTAACTTCAAACCTGTGCTCTTACTATAATAACACGTTGCCTACCTCTTAAACCCTGAACTCCCATGAAGGAAGGAAGGCAAGCAGGGAAGGAGGAAGGGAGAGGAGGAGGATAGGAAGGAAAGGAAGAAAACCTTGCCACAGTTACAAGAACCAGTCTCCTGTAGCAGAAATGGCATATAGAAGTTATTTAAGTTTTTAAAATTCATGGCTCAAGATTCTTGGGCCAACTTTTTTTTTGTAAAAGCATAGCTTTACGAGTTACACCGGAGGTGGAAGTGTTGCTGGGGAGAACCTTAGACACCAAAGTTGTGGGCGGTCGGCGCAGGCTTGTGTGGGGCTCATTCACCCTGGCTAACAACTTGAGCTGAGGGTTCCCTTATCAAAATGTCATCCAAGCCTGTGAATAGGAGGCTCACACAGCCCCACTTCTGCCTCTCACCTATCCCCAGAAACCGAGAAAACCATCTGGTTTTTGCACTTAGATAAAGTTTAACTTTCCTGCCACACTGGCCGAGTTGGGCTTTCAGACATCCCTGGGGAAGTGGGAAAACGGGGATGTGGAAGGGGAGGAGAAGCCTGAAGGGCCTCGGTTCCATCCTCTTTCTTGATCAGCGAACTCCAGGCTATATCTGCCCGGTTTGCCTAGGACTTGTAGGGAAACGCGGTAAAGGGAGGCGGGTAGAGAGTTGGATTCTCTCTCTCTCTCTCTGGCCACCTTGGATTTCGGCTTTTACAGAATTATGCAGGCAGAGTTCTGTAGAAAGAGGTTAGAATCAGGTTTCCATTGGTCCTGATTTGTTTATCATTCTAAACAGTAAAATGCATATAAAACCGGCACCTCCAAACCACAGGCGTGCTTAAGGCGCTATTGTCGGCTTGGAAATGTCACAATGAATAAATGGTGTGATGGACTTTAGCGTTTCGCGCCATAGCTTTTAGCCGGGAAGCTTTCCAGGCTGCCCTGCTTAATTTCGGCGTGGTTCCTAATTTTCTCTCTCCCATCCTCTCTCTTAGACTGGAAACGCTTCCCCTATTTCTTCCGTAGCGGACCGGGAGAGCTTACTGGCGCTCTGCGAACCGGCTGGAAAGAAACACCGAGTCACTCGTACAGACTCTTGGTCGCAGAACTTGGCTTTCCGCTATTGGTCCTCCAGAACCGCTTGAAACAACTGGCCCCAGCTGGCGCATCAGACCGCAGTGAGGAATGCCGCGGGGCGGGTGGCGAAGGCAGGGTCTGCCCGCCAGTGGATTCCCGGGTGTCCCGCGTGGAGCAGGCTTGCCCAGCTGGGAAGCCCATCAAACCTCAGTCTTGGCCCACAGTGGGAGAGAGACCAGTGGGTCCCAGACGGAGGCCCTCGCCCGCTTTTGGCGACCTCCACTGGCGTGAATAAAAGCACCCCTCTCTTACCCTCAGAAACTGTGGGTAGCAAGGTATAAAACGGAGTCTGGGACCGGTAAGTCCCAAGGTGAGCCCGTATACAGCTCTGCCATCTCTGAGGGGTTATGCAGATTCTGAGCAGGGTAAGTTTGTGGAAAGAACCTCTAGAAGCAATCTCCTAAAGTCTTTTTCCAGACTAATATTTATAATGGTTACACGTGATGGGCAAAAATCCAAAGACACGGTCTCCTAACCCTGAACCAAGTGTGACATCCACAGTTTCAGAGTGGTTTTAGCTGAGATTTCACCTTCAGGGATCGAAGGAGTCGCCAACCAGAATTCTGCCAGAATCCGCACCTTCTTATGATCGCGAAAGTCTCCCCATCCTCCACCGCCTCCTACAGTCCTATGGCCCACTGTACCCTTGGCGCTGGAGCCCTGGAGGTGGGCGGTGAGGGCCGCGGGCCAGGGAAAGCTCGGGTCCGCAAGAGCAGGGCTCTGTTTCTGCGCCTGCAGGCCGCCCGGGAGTCCTGGATGCGCCTCCTTTGACCACGTTTTCTCTCAGGCTCCAGCTGTGCCTCGCCCCGATCTCCACAGGTCTGACCCAGGCGAGTCCCTAGAAGGCGGGCGGGAGGAGCCGTAGCAGGGGCAGTTTCGGGAATCCGAGTTTCCGGAGATTGCCTGAGCACCGCAGAACCTCCAGGTTAAGTTCTCTCAAACGTGTGGTTACTCACCCCGAGGAGCTCAGAGGCAAAGGGTTCAATAGTCAAGTTGGTGGGGACTTTCCCTACTTAAAGTTATAATTTGCTAATTCGGATCTATTGCTTTTAAATATCGAGTTCCAGAGACCTCTGTCAATGCAGGCTTAATTTCATCCCACTGATGAAGGATGTTTATAAACGGCGCCTGCAGTGCGAGCTGAGTGTGAAAATATCAGTTTTATGCCTTTTGATAAGAATTACCGAGGCGGAAGGCTCATTAGACGATTACAAATTTCGCAGCTGCTCGCAGCCCAATTAGGCAGCTCTTCGGGTGAGTGGAAGCTGTGGGGGTCAGGGCGGGTTGATGTTCCCTCTCTCCAGCCCGGACCTCCAATCAAGGCCTGGCTCCACGGGATCTAGACCCCTTCCCTGCCCCCATCTGTTTTTAGGGAGATACACTCAAGGCTTCCCTTAAGCAGGAGAGGCACAGCCTGGGACAGGACGCACTCCGAAGTCTCTCAGGCTGTCTTTCCCATGGGCTTGCAAAAAGCCCTGTGGTCCACGGATGTTGGTAGACACCTTGGGTGGGCCTGCCGCCTCTGATTTTCAAATTTTCAATTTAGTAGGTAGGAACTGTCACGACGCAGGCGATTGCTTTTCCACCTGTGGACACATAAGATGATGTTTTTTTGATCAGAGTCTTCGTTCAAAATTGGAATCAATTGGCGTTTGGGCTAAAAACCCTCATTACTAAGACCAAACAAACAAACAAAAACTCTTTTGATTTTTAGCGCACCCCTGTAAAGTAGGAAGATAACTTTTCCGTTGCCCCAGCCGAGGATGAGCGTGGGTAAGAGGCGTGACGCGAGCTCCAGGGAACCGGGCCACCAGGAAGAAGCTATACCTTCGTACGCCCACCCCTGACAAAAGGTCAGAAGGTCGTTGGACCCCAGACCGACAGGACGATCAGCCCTGGGATTCATAGCAAACACATTCCCCTCTTCTTGCACACTCGACCCCCAGCCAAAGGCTTATACCGCCCAGGACATAGAAATTGACTCACCGCCCAGAGGCTTACAGCTCAAGGAGGGGTGCGCGCAGCTGCACCCCGGGACAGGTCAGCATCCCACAAGGCGCCTGGAGTAAAGCGAGGCCAGACCAATCTTTCACGTCTTCTGCTCCTGTCTGACGACCATTCTTCTTCCCCAAGCCCAGAAACCTCTAAAAATGAATCATTTTCTCCACTTATGCAGAGATAGACGCTCTTAGATCAAGGTTAGTATTTTGAAAACCTGACTGAGAGCCGCCTGATTAGGCGAGGGTGGGTGGAAAGACCGCATAAATGCCCGCACCCCCGCCCTGCTTCCCTAACACAGCTCCAGCTCTCTCTGGATCTCCAAATGACCCGCGCGATAAATTCTCCTCGATAGTAGCCAGACAGTACCCCAGATTCACTTTAAACCCTAACACACACACACACACACACACACACACACACTGTAATTAAATATCCAAACCGGACCTTTATGTTTAATTCCACTTTCAACGAAATCCTGCTCTATACACGACCTGATGGCGCCAATGTTCTGCACGACTCTGACTTTCCATTCGGAAGAGCGGTCTCCACAACGATGCTATTTCATGGAAAATGCATTATGTGAATTTCTCCACCACCCCCAATACCGATTTCTGCATTTGATGAAAAACACAAGTCTTTCTGGTTCCCACGCACAAGTTAGCTTTTTGAAAAGTCAGTCCACCCCAATCTTTCAATTTTCTAAGAGGGCACAGATTAATTATATCGTCCTCCTCCCTTCGCTCAGTAAATTTAAACGAGATCTCCCAGAGAGGACCGGCAGGGGGATGGCTAATATTAACTTGTGCGCAGCTGCGCGAAAAGAAAAACAATGGCGATAGGAAAATGCTCTGAAGACTCTAGTGTTTATGGGAGAAAAATGCAATGGAGGAAAAACTAAATTTGTAGTGGTAACTCGGTCCCAGACTCTTACACAGGCTCACTTCATCACAGGAAAGGCTATCTATCTCCTCCGCTAGCCGGCTGCTGACCGAGCTGGGGTCTGGGCAAGATCATTTCGCTCTTTTTCTTCTATACAAATAAGGCAAGGAGATAAGATATGTGTGTGTGCGTGTGTGTGTTTTACATATATATTTCCATCTAATTAAAGCAAAATCCTATGATTCTGTTAAAGGCCTTTAAGAAATAGACTCCTAGATCTTCTTAGTTTCAGAAGTTTAGCTTTTTAAATGGAAACAAAAATCATTTAAAAATAATCTTTTAACCAAATTTGTCTTTATACACTAAATAATGAAATAAAGTTTATACCACAAAGAGTCTGTTTAAACAAACACACCTTCCAATCTTAATCAAAATTAAGGTACCCTGAATACCTCCCTCCGCCGCTTCCCCGCCCCGCAGTCAGAACTTGAGGCAGAAGACAAGGCTGCTCGGGCTTACATTTTGTCTAGGAGATGAAAGAGCAATACTCATTAGCAACATACTTTTGTCTTTCTTGTAGCCTTGATTTCAAATCTAGTCGCAAATCATAAGCTTTTGTGTTGCTCAGATGTTCCTTCTTTATCTTAATGAGAAAACTTTTCGGAAAGGGAGCGCGAACTGCTAGATAAGTCAGCTCCCAGGCTGCCAGGAGCGGTGGCATTCCTCGGCTACACCGGACAGCTGCGAGTTTCAAGAGAATGACTAAAACTTTCAAGTCACCCAGACCTCCACTTCCCCTTCTGCTTGCTGCAGAAAGAGATGTAACCTGAATCTTTGTTTAGGTTTGGGTTGGGGAGCGAGAATTTAAAAGTTATGGCAAATGCAGACAGCAGATTTTTTAAAGTCAAGTTAACAGGACATCCCCCAATTTTTTTTTCTTTAGTACTAAACCTGAAGTCAGTTGGCGTGTTCTGATAAAGATTTTAACATGTAGAGAAGGCGGGTTTTCCTGAAAGAGGCGAAGCAATTTCTCCAGGAAAGACTTTCCCCCACACGCCCCCTTCCTTTATATTAGGTTCCACCCTCTGGAAAACAAAACTTTTTTTTTTTTCTTTTCCTGGAGGGACTCAGGAAAAGCTCAGTGCTCACTTCACTCAGAGCTCAGTGAAGCTGGGAAAGGAATTTTAAGAACGGTTCATCAGAAAGTGGTCAGGCCACAGCGGCCTCTTTGGACGAAGACACACTTGTAGCATTATCCTTCTCGGCATCAGCTTTTATTAGTGGATCGGGGCGGGGGAGGGGGGAGATCGGCAGACACGGACAGCCTCTGACCCTCTGGAGTTGGTATGTGATAAGCAGCCCTAGCAGTGCCATGTATTGGAAGAACGATCAGATGTTTGTGTGTAAACTAGTAGCAAAGGACGTGCCGGAGCTGGCAGTTCCCCCTGAGAAGGTGAGCGAGCCGACGCCTGGCCAGACCAGCTGAATCGCAGTGTCCTTGAAACTCGAGTTGTTTGGGCTCCTAAACAAGGTTCAGAAACTACCTGTAACGGCCTCATCTTCAGACCTGGCAATTTTTTTTTTTTATTACGTAGTAGCGTTAGTCAGTAATCATTGCACTCCCTCCCCAAAAGCTCACTTAACCTGAGACATGGAGACTGTAATTTGGGAGATGAAGCCTCGAGCCTAAGGCGCTCTCAGGTCCATGTGAGTCGTGCTTTTGTTCTATTTGCTGTGGTGATCGTGGCGGTCCGGGAGAGTGGGTCGGGAGGACTGGGCGGCTGTCGGGTGGAACCGGAGACCTGGCTCGTTTCGTTCGGCTGCCCGCGGACACTTGCCTGCCCTGAGGCACACCTCCCTCTGCGGGGCTCCAGAAAGGCCTCCGGGATCCCTGGGCTTGCCGGGAGAGCCATTTTACCTAAAATGCCAAAAGAAAACCGCAGGGCACAAAACGAGTCACGCGGTTTGTCTGAGTAGACTGGGGAAGCTGACAAGCTCTCACCTCACTCGGGAGGCAGGACCTGTGGGTATTTGGTGTTTTAAGTTTGAAATCATCTGCAGCCTGTCTGAGGGCCTCAGCAGGACGCGCGCGGGGCGCCCCTGACTATTTCTTTGCTCCGAAGCCGGTTGGGGACACCAGGCGAAAGCGGAGCTGTTCTGTTTAAACGCCCTTTGTGTGTGAGGACGCGGCCTCAGTGCAGCTACGCTGGGTCCCGCGTAGGGAGCGCACCCCAGAAAGGGAGGGTCTCGGCCGACGGTCCGGGAGGCCCCCAGGTTGGTATCTTGCCTGGTGCTTCCAGAGGGAGGGAGAAGGGGAGGCGAACAGTCAGAAATGCAGAAGTGCGAGCCGCTCGAGTTCGGGGTACCCACCCGCCCCCGAGCTAGAGTTTTTGGAAACGAAAGCGGTCTAAGCCCAGGGACGCTGCGTTTTCGTTTAAGAACAAAACTCCAGCAAATACTTGGAAACACTTGAGTAACGCGCGTTGTTTCTTTAAAACATTTTGTCAGAGGTTGGGTGAGTTCTTTTAATGGCACAAATTAAATTCAGCTGGATATTTTCCATTATTCTACCCGCTTTTTGCGCTGGTTAAAAATAATCCTTTAGTAGCTCAAATGTTGACTTACTGAGCAATAAGTGGCAATTTACACCTTAAAGAAACGAGTGTAAATCACTCGCCACTCTAATTGCTGTAAGTTTACGAAAGAGCTGCTGGCTCGGTTTAATCTGAAGCATTTTCATTCAAATTGTCATCGGAACAAACACCAGGCTTCTTAAATCCCGCTGTAATTAGCTTTCAAGTATCCTATTAAACCTCTTCACCTTTCGGGCTATCCTATTCAAAAAGCCCCCTTTTTAAAATATATATGTGTCTTGCTCTTTTAATTGAGGTTATTAAAGAAATCTAGTTTCTTCTCCCACCCCCTCCTCAATCCTCTTTTCTTCTCTCGCACTCCACCTCCCACTGCCCCGCACCCCCTTTAGCCCGGTGTTCCCCGCTCCGCTATGATTGACGTCTGGAAAGAAAGAGCTTTGTGAGGGGATGATTGTTATTAACTTGTTATCCCCGGCGGGGGGGCGGGGAACCGACGTGCCCGGGTGAGCGCCGGAGACCCGGAGCCCGGGGAGCGCGGGACGAGCTACCAGCGCTCGGGTGGCGGCCGCCAGCGGCCAGCGAAGGAGGCTGCGCGCCAGCCCGCCCGCGGCGCCCGGGCTCAGGCGCCGTGACGGCTGCACGCGCTGCCCCGCACTCTGAGGGCCTTCATTAGCTCGCTCCCCGCGCCGAGGCTGGGGCGGGCAGCACGCTCGGAACTTCTGATCTGTTTCTCCATACTTTCTCCCCCTCCTACTCCGCAGTGTCAGGGGCTCATGTCAGAGGAGTGCGGGCGGACTACAGCCCTGGCGGCCGGGAGGACTCGCAAAGGCGCCGGGGAAGAGGGACTGGTGAGTGCGGAGGGGCTCGCGTGCTGGCAAGACTGGCCGTGGGGAGGCGGCGCAGGACGAAGGGCCGCTGTCCCCGCGCTCCTTCCAGGGCCCAGCTGGCCCCTCCTGCAGCAGACAGAGGACGGGGCGGAGAGGGTCTGGGTGGGGTGGGAAGCTTAGCTGGCCCGCGAGGAGGGCAGGGCCGCAAGACTTCTGGGGTCCGAATAGGTCAGGGGTCGGCAGCCCCAGCGGGTGCGTAGCCAGAGCTTGGACTCGGGGAAGAGGGCGAGAATCGTGACCTCAAGAAGCTGGGGGTGGGGTGGGGTGGCCAGGGGGAAGGGAGGGGAGGCGGTGGGGGCGCCCTTGTGGGTAGGTGGGATGCGAAGGGGAGGAGGGGTCTAGAACCGCCTGCGCCTCGCGGTTTCCTGCAGGTGAGCCCCGAGGGAGCGGGGGACGAGGACTCGTGCTCCTCCTCGGCCCCGCTGTCCCCGTCGTCCTCGCCCCGGTCCATGGCCTCGGGCTCCGGCTGCCCTCCTGGCAAGTGTGTGTGCAACAGTTGCGGCCTGGAGATCGTGGACAAATACCTTCTCAAGGTAGGATAGGGCCTCGGGTGCGAGGCCCAAGGGGAGCGGGCTTAGCGTGGGAGCTCTGGGAAAAGAGTAATGTTCCTCCCACCAACCTTTCCGTTCAAGTTCTGGGTGAAGGTTGTAGGCTTTTGCAGAAAATCAGCCCAGTTTAGGGCAACTCATGCGGTGGGATAAAGTGAGAAGAAATCCCAGACTCTTCTATGTCGTTGCAAAACAGCTAATGTGTGACACATCCTGGTCTGGACGCGCCGGATGTGTGTGGATGCGCTGGAGTCAGCCACTGGCTTGTAGTGGAAGGGAAGTGGAAAAACCCTTATCCATTCTGAGACAGAAACCTGCTTAGTTATTTTTCACCCAGCCCCGAATTATTCCTTTCTTAAACATCTTTGTTCCCTCTAAACGGACTGTGGTCTCTCCACCCCAGTGACGCCCACGCCCATGACTGCTTAGAAGAATTTTAAGTTGGTATGTATTAACTGATTCCCTTTTGCAGTGTCTCTTTTGGTGAAAGCCACTGTAAAGTAGCTTAAAGGATCTTTTCTGGACAAATTTTAAAAATACAGTCCTATGTTTTTTTACAGTTACCTGAGGCTTTTCCAAAGTTAAAGTTTATAGGTCCATTTAAATAAAAACCATTTCAATATATTCCTGCTCTTATTAAGGTTTAATACTTCTAGGCCACTCAATGCTGTTGTTACATCATCTTGAGTGCTTGGGGAGAAAATGGAAATTGATATAAAGTTAGACACACACAGCCTGGGAAGAAGTGTTTCAAGTGTGGTTTGAGAGTTGATTGTCTTAATTTGTTTTACTTTTCTCTTAAAATATTGTGGGGGAATTTTGGAGTAGAAATTTTGGCAGGCCACAGTTATCCACCTCAGTGCAGATCATGGTCCCATGTGTCTTAATCAGAATATCATGGGGTTTCAACTTAAATAGCTTTTTAAAACCACTATTTAAAATAATGGTCTCTCCTACACTGAATTAGTAGCAAACCAGTTCACTTTCTATTCTCTCCCCACCCTGCTTAGGTTTTCAAAAGGATTAATTATGGAGAGTATGTGTTCAAAATTCGTGTTAGTGGGTTTCTTTAAGTTTCTACCTCAACATACAAAGCTTCTTCATCTGTAAAATGGGAATGCTACCCTATAGATAAAACCTAGAGAAAATGCCAGAAGAAGTTTTGGTAAAAAGATTTAAAAATGACTAAATTAATCTTACTTGGTGGTTGATTCTTAAAGCTGGCAAATTAACATTGGCTTTCTCTTTAAATCTGCATTCTTAAGATTCCACTTTCAATGTTTCTAAAACTGAGCATTTTGGATATTGCAAAATCATCTTTTGGGTTAAAACTAGCATCCTATTTTTAATGAGCCCTCTCAATAATTACCGTAATCTTTAAGAATGTTTCTGAGTAGACCTATGAAGGCTCTAACACTTCACAGCAGAGAAGATATAGAAGGGTTATGATGAAGTGACATTTAACACAACCTCTGAAATAGATAATAGTTTCTAGTGTTAATCTTGTATACATTTATATATTATATATCTTTGTATTGCATAAAAATCTAAGTTAAGTGAGTTACATAAAGCTTTCCTTTGTAATAGGGCAGGAGTCCTCCCAATGAAGCCTTCCATGTACAGTATTATTGTACCACTTCTTGTATTCTTTAGTGTGTAATTTCTAACTAAAGTTTGATACTATATGATTGACAAAAACTGAATTATTAACCTTTATTTTCCGTTTTGAGTACTTCCTGCAGAAAAGTTTGAGTTTAACTTGAGTCACTGATTTAAAAAAAAAAGTTAGACCTAGTATAGAAATATTATTTTAGGGTGTAACTAATATAGAAAAACACTATCTTGTGAGGCAAATAAAATGGAGTTAGAAAAGTATGACAGGAGTTAGATGCATTGATTACCTTGTCCAATAACTTCAGTGCTCTGTCCTTCGGGTAGTTTTTCTGGCTTGGTCCAAGTTGTATGTTTAGACATACACAGATTAGATTAATAGTAGGTTTATAGTCTCCAGAATCTCCTCTCTTCACCTTACTTTACTCCCTGGCAAAGAAATGGAAGATAAACAGACATTTTAGGAGGGAAGTGAACTTTGAAAAAACGTGACAACCAGGTCTGGCTTTAGGAGGGAGTAAGAGAGAGGCCATGGCTCTTCCCCTAAAGCCTAGCTTTAAAAACAAAACAAAACAAAATCCTGGGTAAGATTGAAATACAGAAGGCCCTAAACAGTGGAATTTTAAAGGAAGCCTGTTCATCTAAACTTTATACTGGTTGGTCCCATTTTAGGAAAAAAATATAAGGAAAATGCTTTTTTTATTTCCAAGGCAGTATTTAACATTGTTAATATTATTTATTCAGATTTCCTCAGATTTCTTTCTGTTTTCATTATTTTAAATATTGTCTATAGTGAGCATGTAAGTTCTAAGTTCTTGTAAAGACCAAAACTTTTTGAATGTCATCAAAATGAGACTCTCATTAATGCTTTGGAAAGAGACACATAACTGTAATTAGAAGTCAGTAAAACTTTCAGCTTCGAAGTACCTTTTATATATTGCAGAAAAACATGTTGGACCGTAGTTCTAATTCGATAGACACATAGTCTTTATTATGGAATAGTTGAGCAAAAGCCATATCTCACAGTCATTTACTTTCCTATTTTAGTCATTGGATCCATTTTTAGGGTGTAATTGGTGTTTTTGTATGTTACTGTTCTTTTACATGAAATTCAATTAAGCATAAATCAGGTTCTTGTGTCCACTTAACAAGAGCAAACTTTGGGAGCCTGCATTGCATGCAAGCCAGTTCTATCTAATACACATCTTCATACTCCAGGGCTAAAGTTGTAGCGCTTGTAATATAATGGCAACAGTTTAAAGTAAGAGTAATTATGACTTGTTCCCTGGATTGACAATATTTCATGTTCCTATTTAGAAAGTATAAAATACTGGCCTTATTAAACACCATCTTATGTTTTACTACTTGAAGTGTAAGTGGAAAACAGTGCTTGAGTGCTTTTTTAGAACCACTTATGATTAGATTTATTTTTTTCTCCTGTAGCCAAATCAGTAAGCAGTTTTACCAATATACTTTTCTACTTATTTCTATTGTTTCTGTTCAGCTGTTTAATATTAGAAGAGAACCCGGGCTTCTGCTACATCAACATTTAAATTTATCTGAGCAATTTCTGTCCTGTATAGGTAACTATCTTATAAACCTGCATTTTCACTTTCTTTATTGCTCTGTTTAGGAGGTATACAGTTTATAATTGTTTAGCCAAAAAATAGGTTGAGAGAGTATGTGTTTTGTCTTCTTTAACCACAAGGTTTCATGCTGGGAAGAACTTGGTAAAATATAACAAAAAAAACCTGTATGTAGGACTTTAAAGTAACCAAACTATTCCCTGTGTTCATAAAGATTCCATTTAAGAAAGAAAGAAAAAGCAACCTGAATTCTTCAAAGGAATAGAAAATATTATAAACACAAAATGTGGCATATATTAGTATAAATTTTTGGTTGAGGTCTAAAAGATAATATATCCAGATACATGTTTACAAAAATGACATCTTAAAAAAAAATGACATCTTTTGGATGAAAACATTCAGAGCATGTGTTAATATATTAAGGGGCCAGTTTTTTAAATTGCCCAATACACAAAACCAATGAATACTTTTCTTAAATATGATATTACAATGGCTTCTCTTCCCTTCACAGGTGAATGACCTATGCTGGCATGTCCGGTGTCTCTCCTGCAGTGTTTGCAGAACCTCCCTAGGAAGGCACACCAGCTGTTATATTAAAGACAAAGACATTTTCTGCAAACTTGATTATTTCAGGTATGCTGTGAAGCTTTTTCTTAGTAGATACTTGAATAAATTATTATGCAAAGAGACTTTTGTAATAGGCTTTTTCTTGTTCAGTTTTATTTAATGAAGCCCAGTTTTTCTTATTTAAGAGATTTCAAAATGAGGGTGCTTTCCTGTTTGAGATATAATGTGTATAAATAAGCATGTTTATCCTTTTTGGGAATTCAGTAGACAAAAGTTAATTTTAAATAATACTTTCACTTTGGGGAGTGAAAGTTTGAGGCATTACAAACAGGGAATCTTTTTTGCTGTACATAGGTATAAAGTATGAAAAACAAGATGACTTATGACAACGCCCCTGTTTGGTGGGAATGGTTAGATGAAATAAAATCATTATGGGGGAGAAAAATCAAGATTTTGTTATGCTTTTAGCAGTTTACCATAGAATGATCCCTACTTATAAACCTATAAAATTCTAAGGGTTTGTACACCATGATAAACTGTAGTATTCAGAAGAATTGATCATTCTGGTATAAATACACCAAATCTAATTCTGCCTCAAACTATTTCTTTTGTCCGATCTTCAGTTTCTGAAATTAGATGAGATATCACATTTTCTGCGTGTGATCTCTGTGTAGTTTAAATTTAAGGTTTCTTCCAAGGTATAATTCTGTATGAACAGTTGTGTAGAAATTAAAATAATTCTCAAGAATGACTTTTAAAAATTACAACATATTTTCTTTATTTACTTTTCTAAATGAAAAATGTTCATTGTAAAACGGGGAAATTAATACTATATAATAAAGGCTGTAATACTAATTTTGTACTCCATTTCAAAAAATGATTTCAAAGAGTTTAGTGATTAATTTGAATAAAAATTGCTAGGTAACTTAAAGTAATTTATGAGACCCAGAGTCTTTTATAAAATCACAGAATTTTATAATTACCAAAAAAGCATATTTCTCAGCAGGTTTACTTTTCATTACTTCAATATTGGTAATAATTTGCTTCCTCATTCACTTGGGATAGGCTAATCTTAATTTTTGGTAGTAACTTAAAGCCCTTTGAAAGGTTTGCTTTGAAAGATTTCACAAGTGAAAGTCTAGTTCTTTAGGATTTTTAAACTCCTTGCTTCATGTTATATTCTGAAATTTGTCTTTAGGATTCTATTTTTCAGAGTAACTAAAAAAACAAAGTGGTAATAGCTTTAAAGATGTATCTGTCAATAAATAGACACTGACTAATCTAGTGTGATTTGGGCATGCAGGGCCACGACTGTGATTGTGATAGGAGACATAACAAAGAGTTCCAGTCACTCAGGCTGTAAGAAGAAAAGAACTATTTACATATAGCTTTGGTATTTTAAGATTGACCTGCATTTAATGTCCAGTTAGGACTCTGAAAATTTAGAAAATATTTCCTTCCTTCTATGGATAACAATACAATAGCTTTTTCACCAAAGGAAACATTTCTGACTTTTCCTTTCTCACCCAACAGGGTGAAGAATTTCTGTTATATACATTCTTTGATAATTTCAACATTAAATATTTACATATTTTAACATCCTAAAAACTATATTTAAATCATTTTCTAATTATCTTAACTTGGTTTTAAGAAGTCATTATTTATATCTTCAGTTTTTCAGTATAAATATCTTCAGCATACTTTTGCACTTTTAGATTTTCAGTCTGGAGAGTATGTGTGTTTATCTTGATTCTTTAAGTAAATTTATAAATGCACTGATATTTGATACAACAAAAGGGATTTTAAAACTCATTTTAAAAGAAAACTTCAATCTTCTTTTAGAGGAACAGAGAAAAGGTCTTATTTTTATAAACAGCTTTGAGTTGTGACCCTATCTCATCTTGATTTCTTATTATATTGACTTTTAGAAAAATAATTGATTCTTGTTTCATTCTCACAATATTTAAATACTTAGGTTATTTCAATGGGGTAAGATAATGTGCTGGTTTAATATTCGACTGATGAATATCTCACCAGGCATTAAAATATTTACCTTCCACACCTCTATTTAATGTAGAAGGTATGGAACTCGCTGCTCTCGATGTGGGAGACACATCCATTCTACTGACTGGGTCCGGAGAGCCAAGGGGAATGTCTATCACTTGGCATGCTTTGCCTGCTTTTCCTGCAAAAGGCAACTTTCCACAGGAGAGGAGTTTGCTTTGGTGGAAGAGAAAGTCCTCTGCAGAGTACATTATGACTGCATGCTGGATAATTTAAAAAGAGAAGTAGAAAATGGTAAATATGTACTTAAATACTTTTGAGTCTTTTGAGACAGTGAATACAGGAATAAAAATAACTTTTCCTAAGGTCATCTTAATGCATTATTTTGTACAATGTATAAGTGTGGTAAAACTCATTAAGTACTCTACTGTTTGTGATGGTCTCTATTTGTTTATTTACAAGGAAAGCCATGGTGTATGTATTAGTTTTGTGCCATATTCTCAGGCAGCAGCTTTGAGTTAGGGTTTTGCTTTTCTTTTTGTAAATAGTTGTTTTCCTGTATTTGCTGGGCCTTAGATGTGTACTTCTAACTTTTTGAACTTTTCACTAAATATACAAGTCTGTAAGTGGAATATTTTTTGTACAGTATATCTGTAGTATGTTTTAAAACTTAAGGGGTTTTGCCGTCTAGAAAACATATACAGTTACACAAAAAGCCAAGAGATATAAGAAACCTGTTATTGTAAGATGGGTGTACCCATTTGAATTACCAACATATATAGTGTGTTTTTTAAATGCAGGGAATGGGATTAGTGTGGAAGGTGCCCTCCTCACAGAGCAAGATGTTAACCATCCAAAACCAGCAAAAAGAGCTCGGACCAGCTTTACAGCAGATCAGCTTCAGGTAAGCATAACAATGAATTTTTTATTTTTGAAGCCCCTCCCAACCAAAAAAACAAAAAGTAACCTCCATGCTGCCCAAAAACATTTTTATGTTTTCTAAAAAATTAGCCTATGTGTTTTATGAAAACTAATTTGGTGAATATATGAAAACATACTTATTGCCCTAAAGTGTTTGCATTTCTAGCATCATAATATAATATGAAATAGTCATTCAAGTTTTGTTTCCCTGGGGTCTATTGGTATCAACATCAAAGTGGAAACAAAGTATTTTGTCCTGACTTCCTGATTGCATCGTTCTGAACCAGGCATTTATATTACTACACATAATTGCAATGGAAGACAAAATATTTTGAGACTCTGAAGAGAGACATACATGTCCCATGTGAGTCTATGGGACGCTAATGTGTTAGTCTTTGTAACAAACTGCAATGAGTCATTTAATGAACACAATTGTACAGTTTTTGAGTAGGAAATAATTGAAAGTGCCTTAAAGTAAATAGGAAACTACTGGTTGACTACAATTGAGCAGATTCCTTTATGTTTTTAAAGGTGGTAAAGGGAGTACTTCTATAATTTGATATTAAAGTTTTATTATGTCCCCTGAAAAGGGAGGGATTTTTTTTAGCTTAGTTGCCCTAAACATGATTGTTATAAATTTGATTTATACAAATTATCAAAATAATTAAATTACTCTTTGCTTTATAAACCTATATAATGATTCCTTCTGGCATTTTTGCAGATAATGAAATCATATTTTCTAAAAGATTAATGTGGCTGAGGTATTTGTTTCATGTTAAGGAAAAGTAACATTTGTTGAACGCCTATCACACTGCTGGGTACCTTATACATAGTATCCATCTTAGCTCAGACTTTAAAGGACATTTATGCAGTGTTAACAAATGAATAAAAGTAACTTTTTCGAAAATCACGTTTAGTATTCTAAGACCTGCCAGTATTTAAGATGGATACAAGTGTTTCAGGAGATAATTTTTATTTTGAGAATGATTTAGAAAAGAAACCTTGATGTGACACACATATTCCAAGGGAACGTGGCAATGGGAAGCACTCTAGCATTAAAATCTAGATCCATTCAGAAGAATTTTCCAAATGGATGATTGTTTCAGATTTCTTAATTTAGGCATAAATTCGATTTCTTAATTTAGGCATAAAGTACATAGTCAATAAGCAAAAAATGAAAGATAAGCCAATTGAAAGAAATATCTCTGTTTGAGCCTTGCTTTCTGGGTTCTTCATTGGATTATTATGAAGATCACACAATGCCCTGTCAGAAGATGTGAGTACTTCTGAAAGACCTGGAAAAATACTCAGTCACTAAAGGTGTCTAGTTAAAATAGAATCTCTAATATAAATCTGTTTTCACAATGGTCTGTTCCCATGAAGGACTGGCTGTAATTTTAATAATTACAAGGTTGATAACTTTCATTTGATATAATAATTTATTATTAAAAATAAAATTGTGAAAATTTGAAACCACTGTAGATAGACACTTTTCTATGGGAAAATAATTACAAATACTAATTAAATAAAATGGGAATAATATTTGTGGAGGTCTTTTTATGCCAAATCCTATACCAGGCATTTATCTACTTTATCTCCTTTAACTTTTACAACAAACCTCATTCAAGAGTGCAGGAACTCCTCAAAGCAAACCACCAAGGGAGTGGTTGAGAAGAGATTTGGAACCTTCTCCTCAAACATCTGGTCTCTTCATTTTGCTTGATCTTCCAGGAGACCATGAGTGGAAGTCTGTCTTATCAAAACTCCAATTAATAGCAGCAGCAGCTAAAACAAAAGAGTGAGATTTTGAATCTTGTAGATAGCCTTATGGTTAAACATGCATAAAATATTTAAGCCTTACATTATGGTATGTAAATGTGATCTAAATCATAAGTTTTAAAAATTGTATATCAGAATTATAGGTTTTAAAAAATGAAAGCATATTACCATTTTCAGATTACTGATGAAAGCATAGGTAATATGCTTTCAAAGTATATTCTCATTCAATATTTATTAGCATTTTATCTTATGGAAGGGGTGGCTGAAACAAATGAGATACAATCTTTGTCCTAAAGTGGTTCTTTATAATTTAGGAATCTGAAATAGATATTTTAAAAAACTGAATCATTTATTTTAGCCAGACACTCTAATAAATCGGTATCCTTATTGTCAAACTCTCCTACATTTAGGAATGCTGAATATTTTCAACTAGAGCTTGAATTTGGCAAGATAATAAAATATTACATGTGACCAGTGAGTAAGTCAAGACTATCTAGTCAGTACCTGCTTTGGACAGAGGAGAGTTAAAATGGAAGGGATAAATAAGAAAATTTTCCAAAATTATTCTATAGAGATTTATGGGGAGAAAAAATAGTTTAAGACTCAGAGGATGTATTGGCAAATATATTTCAAATACCGTCCCATTTGTAGAAATGATATTTAAGAATTTCCTGCTAATATTATGGATTGCTTATTCTATGTAGAAGCACTCACTTAGTGATTATTAATATTAAACACGCCAAAGTTAGCTCCTGCTTTAGTCTGTTTTCAGATCGAGTTACTGCTATGCAGCCTCCTGACTTTTCTGGTAGATCTCCTGGCCTAAAAATGATGAGTGTCTACAGAGGCTCACTCCTTGTCCACGTTAGAAGAACTTGGAAAAGGAGTGAAGTAGGCTTCAGCAGCATTAGTGCCTAGAGAATAGTGAAACTAAGTAGAAATTAAAAGTACCTCTTTTTTCTTTTTGTGTGTGTGAGACTAATCATTGATACTATTGAAAGGAAGAACAATCAACTCATCTTACTTTTCCTTTAGAATATTTCAATTCTAAATGATCAGAGTTGTTTTGCTTTACTCTTTAATGAGAAATTACTTAACTAAATACAATTTGATTGCAGTTAAATTTGTGAATTTAAAAATGCATTTATGAAAGGCATGAAGTTTCTGTTTTGTAAATTATTAATAATGACCTTACAAAATCCCCAAATCTGTTCAACATTTTTCTATTTGAAAAATTAAAAAACAAAGACATAATTTGCTCGTTCTTTTTGGGGTTATTACATGTTCAACTGCATAGAAACATAACTCTATTTTCACAGGAAGATACCAAAGTAACACATTTGGAGTAGGAAAGAAAGAATAAAGTGAACTGAGCAAGAATAAACTTTTAAGCCAATTCTGCCCTTTTTTAAAAGCAAAAATCCATGTTCTGTTTACAGTGAGTCTGTAGATACAATATAGTTAGATGGGAAGCCAAGAATACTTAATTCTAGAAGGGTAAATTTGTAAATCTCAAAATTTGTAAACCTCAGAAGGTTTCCCAGAACAATATTGGCCTTTTTTTCTACACTGTCTTCAGATTTTCCTTACATTGCCAAGTTTTACTCTGTCAGAAACTCTTAACATACTCTCTGACAGAAAGGGAGTTTAACTCCTAGGGATACGAAAAATAAGACATTCCCCTTGATCTCAAGGAACTCACTTTCCACTATGGAGATAAACTTGAAAACAAATTATTTAGCTACCCTGTGACAAGTGCAGTGGCAGAAGATAGCATTATATGAGGAGCATAGTGGAGAATGCAATTAATTTTGCCTGCTGAAAAGAGTGAAGTCCAGCAGTGCTTGAGGTCTTTAATAGATTGGTTACCCACATCCTATGCCTGTAGACAAGCACAATCACATTGGGTGCCAAGCTCTTCTCTCTCATTCTTCATAATAATACATTTTTTACATTTTGTAATGCTTCCCTCAGTTGACTGACTTTTAGTAATAAAATTCAAGTATCTCACTTAATTCTCATAATGATTCTCTTTTCTGAAAGAATTCAAAGTTTTTGGCTTGTGCTTATATTCTGGTACTCTCTCCCACACTACTCTTCTCCCTTTATCTTTTATTATAGGTAGTCATTGGCATGTCGGCATCTTTCTGCCAGGAAATTAAATCCAAAGAGTTTTGTTTCATGTTTCACTATCTCTTAGCACTTGGCATAGTGGTTTCAATCCAAAGGCTTACATCAGAATCACCTGTAAGCTTTTAAAATATATACATGTTTAGACTCTGGTAAATTCTTATTCAGTGGACTGGTGAGTGTCTCTTTTTAGACACCTTTTTTTTTGCATAGAGCTAGTGCTCAAAACTATGATGGAGTTGTTACAATTAAGTGGAATCCTTCTGTTGATCTGTATACTATTAGGTATTAGGGGCCTTGAACATCTTTAGCTCAGGAAAGGTTGGAGACAAATGTGATATGATTTTTGTATTAAGTTTTCAAATGTTGGCAGTTTTTAACAAAATGGAAAAAACAATAAATGAAACTCTTGCTATTTGATTTGTGGGTTATAAGATTGAAAGAAAAGAAAAGGTGAGCTTATTTTTAACAGCATAGTTGAGAGAGTTTTACATTGAAATGGATTTTTTTAAAGTTCTCAGCATAGCAACTTGTGTATAAATTTACAAAATATGCATTCGTTTTCACTTACCCATATTTCCCCATACCGATTTTCAAGTAACAAAAGTATCCCATGTTCTTGTGCATGTCTTACCTCTTATGATAAAAATGCAGGAAGAAGACTGAGCTGCTTGTTTTTAGCTATTTACTACATACATGTTTTAAACAACAGGTTATGCAAGCACAATTTGCTCAGGACAACAACCCAGATGCACAGACACTCCAGAAATTGGCAGAAAGGACAGGCTTGAGCAGACGTGTGATACAGGTGATTACTTTACTTTTTTTTTTTTTTAAGGTTTTTAAAAAATAGATATTGGGTCTCCCTATGTTGCCCAGACTGATCTTGAACTCTTGAGCTTAAGTGATTCTCCCACCTCAGCCTCCCAAAGTAATGGGATTACAGGATGAGCCACTGTACCTGGCCACAGGTGATTAACTTAAAGGTCAATCAAGAGAAACAAAAAGTTCTAATTCTGGGTATTTATAAGTATGCATTGGTGTTTTTTTGTGTGTGAAGAAATGTGAAAACATTGCTTTTTCATTTTAAGTCTCTTCACATTCTAAATCAAATTTTTAAAATGTAATGATTATCCTGCTTGGGCTAGGCTACCATTTGTCAAATGAGTCTTTGCTCATGTTACTTCATTCAGTACTCACAGCAACCCTAAGATCCTCAGGCTAAACATGTTCCAAGATAAATCTTGCTCTAAGGTCAGTGTTTTTCCTACTTTTTTTATGATTGTGTGTGTGATGGCTGCTGATGGCCTTTGCCAAAGATCCAGGGAGAGGAACTGGTGTGAACAAAGCTGAAAAGTGATGAATTAGTGCAAGTTTTTTCAAATGTAGAATTTATGTTTGGAAATAGTGGGAAATGAAATTGTTGGAGTTAAAGTTGGAGAGGCCTGTGAATGCAGAGTTCTCTTATGAGCAGGTAAAAGCCATGATATGTGATTTTAGGAAGAAAGGGCTAGTCACAGCACATGGGAAGAACTGGAGTTGGGAGAGACTAGATAGAGGTAAGCAGCTTAGTTGGAAGGCTGGAATGCCCAGCAACGTAGTGTGGTTTTGTTGTTGTTGTTGTTGTTGTTTGTTTTTTGTTTGTTTGTTTCTGAAGAGACACTTTACTGGGGTAGAATTCATTTGGGAAACTTTTTGAAACAGGGTCATGGGTGGCCTAGGCTGGAGTGCAGTGACGCAATCACAGCTCACTGCAGCGACCTCCAGGTCTCAGGTGATCCTCCCACCTCAGCCTCCCAAATAACTGGGACCACAGTTGCACACCACCACGCCTGGCTAATTTTTAAATTTTTGTAGAAACAGAGTCTCACCGTGTTGCCCAGGCTGGTCTCAAATTCCTAGACTCAAGTAATCCTCCTCCCTTGGCCTCCCAAAGTGCTGGAATTATTGGCAATGAGCCACCATGCCCAGCTGAGAAACATTTTATTGAGTGAACACTGATGACAGTTGATGGATGCTAGAAAGACAAGAAAGAATTGGTAACTGCAATGGGGAAGCAGAGAGGAGTCAAAGAGTAAATGACTCTGCCAGGCTCAGTTGCTCACACCTGTAATCCCAGCATTTTGGGAGGTCAAGGCAAATATGTCACTTGAGTACAGGAGTTTGATACCAGTCTAGGCAAGATGGTGAAACCCCATCTCTACAGGAAAAAAAACAGCCAGGCATGCTAGTGTGTACCTGCAGTCCCAGCTACTTGGGAGGCTGAGGTGGGAGGGTCACCTAAGTCCAGGAGGTTGAAGCTGCAGTCAGCCATGATAGTACCACTGCACTCCAGCCTGGGTGATGGAGTAAGATCCTCTCTCAAAAAAGTCAGTGACTTATAAATTTCAAGTCAAAGTAATCTTGGGAATGGTGCCATTGACAGGAATGTGAAAGTCAAAAGAAAGCTGGATTGGAAGTTGGACCCTTTTAGCTGTGCTAATTATGCAGTGATGGTGGCAGTTAACTATGCAAACAGGTATTTGAAAGAATGAACAGGACTCAAGCAAAGAGATCTAATGCCATGAAATTAGATAAGATCCTTTAGAAAGAGATCATAGGGTATAAAAGGTGAAGAACGGGTTTCAGAGAGGAGAGCAGGGTAAGAGGTGCTATTTAAATGGGACGTAGTAACAGCCAGAGTTGAGGAAGGAGTCGGGTGGAGAAGAAGCATGGAAGCTGAAGAAGTGGGGTGAATTCAAGAACGAGATGGCCAGCTGTGTCAAGATTATCAGAGAGACCAGGGAAATGGAAAATAATTTTATTTCTTTTTTTTTTTTTTTTCGAGACAGAGTCTCTGTCACCCAGGCTGGAGTGCAGTGGTGTGATCTCGGCTCACTGGAACCTCCGCCTCCCGGGTTCAAGCAATTCTCCTGCCTCAGCCTTCTGAGTAGCTGGGATTACAGGTGCAAGCCACCATGCCTAGCTAATTTTTGTATTTTTAGTAGAGACGGGGTTTCACCATGTTGGTCAGGCTGTTCTCAAACTCTTGACCTTGTGATCCGCCCGCCTCAGCCTTCCAAAGTGACGGGATTACAGGGGTGAGCCACCGTGCCTAGCCGGAAAATAATTTTAAATAACACCGGAAGTTCAAAAAATTTAAGGAGTGAAAGCAAGTAACCATAAAAGGCAAGAGGAAACTCAGGGAGGGGAAAGGCAAATGTCTTCATTGCACATATTTTATTTTGTTTCTTAATTTGGGTGGTTGATACATGGGTACTTATTCTTCTGTAAGCCTAAAGGTTTCATAATTAACAAATCACCTGTACGAAGAAGCAGATGGAAAAGACCTGATGATACTGCAGCTTCTCTAAAGACCTAGGGTTCACAGTGTTTTAATTGACTGCAAGGTAATGAGGCTGTCTTAGGAGACAAGTTCTACCACTTCAGCACTTTCAGATATCCAGATTATTGTGCTTATTTCAGAGTGCCAAATTTTAAGAAGGGACTAATAAGCAATCTGAAAAACATACTACCTCAAAGGCTACCAGGGTTGTGAAAGATTTAGATCATGCCATAATATTAAAGGCAGCAGGGATATTTATCTGGAGATAAGGCCAGGAGATGGTAAGAGAAAGAGTAATATCCAGAGTAGGTGTCTTTAAATATTTGTGAAAGGCTTCCCTGCAACGGAATGTAGAAAAAGGCACTGGTGTTCACTCATAATGAATTTTCTCATTATTGAAAGGCTACACAAATGGCACGGACTACCAAGGAAGGTAGTGAGTTTCCTCTGCCTGGGAGAACAGTTTTCTTTGGCAGGTAGTTCCGACTCCACGGGCTAAAAGTTCCTTCTAATTTAAGACTCTGTATATTCATAACAATGATAGCTTCAGGTAAGTCAGATGCATGACTTATATCATTTTGAAGTTGGAAGCAAAGAAGAAGGAGAGTTTTCTTAGAGCTTTTCATATTTGAAGGACTAAGGAACACAGGCAGACATCTGTCATGTAATTTCCAGGCATTTAGGTTACTAGTACTATGAGCAAGTTAACTTTGTCCTAAGCCCTACCATTTGGAGAATATATTTTGAATGTTGGCTTTCAATATGTTAAGGTTGAACATTAAATATTTTTGATATGATTCCAAAGGAAAGAGTACTAGCATGCTTATGTGTTTATTATTTGTATCTATACATAGGCTCACTATATGTTGTAGCCCTTCAGAGTATTTTATAAGAATTACTGTGATCTCAAATAGTAATCATACTTTCCCTCAGCCTCCTTCCTAGCATTGGGCATAATATTTTAGAAAGGTAAGAAAAAAGAGTTTTTATTACTAGACTTCTTCTAATATGCAAACTAGGTCACCCAAAGATTAGGAGGAAACTGGTGTGATACGTGGAGAGTTTCACGTTTCCTAGTTACAAATATGCTTAGTAAGACATTTGTAATAAAGCAGACTGTCCTTATACTGAAGTCAAAGAATAAAGATGAGTGATTTTTTTCCCCACACACTGCATCCAGATACAATCACTGTTCACATACTCTTTCAGATAAGTGAATTATGATTTTTATGTTGTGCAGAGACAGAGTAAACTATTGCTATTTCTTCCAATCAGTGTACTAGGAATACCCTTCCATATTAACATCATATTTATTGCCACATATATTGAGCATAGCACAATTTATTTAGCTTCCAATTTTTCACTATTATAAAATGCTGCCATGAGCAACATTGTATATCTACCTTGCGTGCTTGTTCAATAGTTTCCTCAGGATAAATTTCTGGAAGGGAGATTGTTGAGTCCAAAGATAAAACATGCATAGGGCCTTTATACAAACATGAAATCTCTTTGCCTTTGAGAAAGTTCATACAACTTTATTCTGCCAGGAGCTACGTACAAGAGTTCCTTTTCCCCAACTCAGAAGAATCCTGAATACTGTTACTCTTTTACATCCTTTACAATTTAATAGTTAGAAAAGAAAATCTCATTGATTTTATTTCTGTTTCTTATATTATCAATGAGCTTGAACAAATTAGTTTATTTTTTCATTTTTAAGACCGTATGTTTTTAGCTCACTCTTCTGTTGGGTTATTTTCTCTATATCTTACTGATATTTATTAATCCTATCTGTCATGTTAACCTTTCACGGTTCATCAATTTCCTTTTTATTTTTTCCACACAGAACATTTATATTTCTATGTGTTTAAATCTCCCAGTCTTTTGATAGTTTTGGCCTTTTTTTTTGTTTTGTTTTTCTTTTTTTGAGATGGAGTCTCACTCTGTCACCCAGGCTGGAGTGCAGTGGCACGATCTCAGCTCACTTCAACCTCCGCCTTCCGGACTCAAGCGATTCTCCTGCATCAGCCTTCTGAGTAGCTGGGACTACAGGTGCGTGATACCACACGCAGCTAATTTTTGTATTTTTTGGTAGAGACGGGGTTTCACCATATTGGCCAGGCTGGTCTCGACTCCTGACCTCGTGATCCACCCACCTCGGCCTCCCAAAGTGCTGGGATTACAGGAGTGAGCCATCACGCCTGGCCTTTTTGTTTTGTTTTGTTTTGTTTTTTGAGATGGAGTCTTGCTCTGTTGCCCAGGCTAGAGTGCAATGGTGCAGTCTCAGCTCACTGCAACCTCTGCCTCCTGGGCTCGAGTGATTCTCCTCCTCAGCCTCTCGAGCAGCTGGGACTACAGGCACCTGCCATCATGACTGGCTAATTTTTGTATTTTTAGTAGAGATGGGGTTTCACCATGTTGGCCAGGCTGGTCTTGAACTCCTGAACTTGTGATCTGCCACCTCGGCCTCCCAAAGTGCTGGGACTACAGGTGTGAGCCACCACGCCGGGTCTAGTTTTGGCCTTTCTTATGCTTCCCTATCTAGAGAGTATTTCAATGTTGCCTTTTGTTTTCTTAAACTTTTATTGTTTCAATTATTTACGCCTAAACTTTAATTTATCTGGCTTGGTTCATGGGAGATAGGGTTTTATCTATTTTTTTCTCTCTTTCAAATGATAAACTATCAGTTTTCCCTAAATCAGTGAAACATGCTTTCCCAATAAAATAAAATCCCATCTTTGTCATATACAAAATTATTATATTTGGCTTTTTGTCTGGGCTTTCTAAAGGTTTCATTCTCTGCATTAGTATTTTGCTTTTCCATTATATCTACATGGCCTGATTTTAGCTTAGTTTATGATTTAGAAGTCAAAAAATTTAAAGTAGTTACTCAGAAAATGTTAACTCTTGTTGGAGGTTTGCAAACAAGAAGGAGGAAATTTTGTCAGTGAGGAGAGTCAAAAGGACTTATACTTGATTCTGAAGCTGGGTAGCATTCATGCCAGAAGGAATTTCCTGATGTCTGGAATCTTAAACTATATTTTGCTCTACCAGTTAGTTACATGATACTTTGTTTTTGCAAACCTCCTTCTGCTTGATTACCTGTGGATGATCTTTCCAAGAAGCTGCTTAACAAGATAGTTATTCTGCTGTTTATATTATACCTTCTTCATGTTTATTTACAAAGTTTGAGTGTTTTTTTTTTTCAATCAAAAGATGGTGTTTCTTTTGTTTTACAACTGCATAGGTTCCATTCAATATATAACTTATTGGAGACAAAAAGATACTTTGAAGAAACTCTGGGAATCATAGTGCAACATGTTTTAGGTTATATGTAGTCCTCTGGCGTATGTGTCTTCTGGGTCCCATAAGGGAAAAAGGCCGGTGGCAGTGGTTCCCCCTTACACATTGGAGAATGTTTGAGTAATGTCATCCTATTTGGGTGAGACTAGTGTTAGTAGTGACATCTATTGTTCCAGAGCCTGTGGGCAGAACTGTGGAGTTTGGGGTGTGGTCTATAGGTATCTCTGAGTCTCACTAACACTCCAGAGAACAGGGATGTGGAGGAGGCTGTGACTTCCCACTTGTCTTACTGGTGGATACCTAAGTCTTGTCCCAGAAACATTCCTTAGCTGCTACTTTTCAGCCTCCTGCTCAAGGCTATATACCCCACTAGATTATTAATTTTTTATTCTTTTAGTTTTAATCACTCTTGAGAGTATACTTTGCCAACCTTCTATTTTTGAATGCCAGGGGCAGGGTGTAGTTCTGAAGTAAGGCCAGCTTTTTCTTATAAATTCTTTGCAGCTTCCTTTTATTTCACATTAATCAGCCCTGATTGCCTTGTGCCATCAAGGCCCTACCACCAGCCTTGAACAGACTTATGCCCCTGATGTTTTCCTGGCCTCATATCCCTGATCCCAAAATGTTCTCATGCTAAGTTTTTATCCCTTCGCCTCTCTTTCCTCTCATGACAGAATTGTTTGGAGTGATGGAAAAAAAGTGATACAGTATTTTAATGAAGAAACACTCTCTTTTTTTTTTTTTTTTTTTTTTGAGACGGAGTCTCGCTCTGTCGCCCAGCCTGGAGTGCAGTGGCATGATCTTGGCTCACTGCAAGCTCCACCTCCCAGGTTCACTCCATTCTCCTGCCTCAGCCTCCCAAGTAGCTGGGACTACAGGCACCCGCCACCATGCCTGGCTAATTTTTTGTATTTTTAGTAGAGATGGAGTTTCACTGTTTTAGCCAGGATGGTCTCGATCTCCTGACCTTGTGATTCGCCCGCCTTGGCCTCCCAAAGTGCTGGGATTACAGGAGTGAGCCACTGCGCCCGGCCCATGAAGAAACACTCTCTATGGTCAAGTTTTATCACCTGTCAGGGAATTCAAACACAGGCATATTAGCTACTGGAAGCATTCTGGGCAGCCTAGACTTACTTGCCCTGACCTGGATGTAAAGCTCCACTTGCCCTGAATTTGCTTCTTTTATTTCTGCAGTAGAGTGGACAGCAGGGTGGTTAGCACTTTACATTTTGTGAACTCTCATCAGTGGATGTGTTTGTATTTAATTCTACTTAAATATTATGAGTTTTTTTCTTATTAAAGACCTGACCTTAACATGCTTCTTAGGGAATAGCCTATGTATTCACCAAGAGAAATTGAACTCAGCAGGTTAAAATCTGACTGGAATAACTGAATCAAGAGGTTTGTAGAAAGCTTTAAGTTCTCAGTAGGGATTTTAGTCATTTGAACAAGGATTTGAAATAAGTCCAGCAGGTGCCTAAGAATACATTTAGTAGTCTTTTTTTTTTTTTTTTTAAGTTCTGATTAAAAGAGCTTTTTCTGCTTTTCCTTTTGTCCTAAATACCAGTAGTAAAACCAAGGAGATTTCTCTGGAATTCTTGAGGGCCCTTCCCCACCTTTTCTGGGGAAGATGCTGTTTTAGTATAGAATTGGCTTTTATTTTTATTTTTAAAAAATCTAATGGAGTTTTTGGGGTACTTTTGTTTGGGCTTTGTTGTTGTTGTTGTTGTTGTTGTTTTGTTTTGTTTTGTTTTGTTTTTGAGACAGAGTCTTGCTATGTCGCCCAGGCTGGAGTGCAGTGGTGCAATCTGAGCTCACTGCAACCTCTGCCTCCTGGGCTCAAGTGATTCTCCTGCCTCAGCCATCCGAGTAGCTAGGATTATAGGTACCAACCACCACGGCCAGCTAGTTTTTGTATTTTTAGTAGAGACGGGGTTTTACCATGTTGGCCAGGCTGGTATTGAACCCCTCACCTCAGGTGATCTGCCTGCCTCAGCCTCCCAAAGTGCTGGAATTACAGACATGAGCCACAGCACCCAGTCAAATCCAATAGAGTTTAATAATTGCATTCAAGGGGTAACCTTAACGTTTGACCAACTCAAATTCAACAAACCAAAATCCCTTAAGCAATTGGTCCCCTTTCCTACTTAAATAGAATTGGCTTTTAGGTAAATCACCAGAGAGCTATCAACTGAGCAAGAAAAATGACCACTGTTATTTGGACTAAAATGTTTCTTTTCTGTCTATAGAACTTTTATAAAAGCTGAGTTACATTTATGCGGTGCTTGTGTGGTAGTGTGATTGAGGTTGCATTCATTTTTTAACTGAGTTGATAATGTGCTCAGAAGCTGGTGTGTAACCTACCTACTTCTGTTGCTTTTCTCCCTGCTCAGGTGTGGTTTCAGAATTGTAGAGCACGCCACAAGAAACACGTCAGTCCTAATCACTCATCCTCCACCCCAGTCACAGCAGTCCCACCCTCCAGGCTGTCTCCACCCATGTTAGAAGAAATGGCTTATTCTGCCTACGTGCCCCAAGATGGAACGATGTTAACTGCGCTGCATAGTTATATGGATGGTAGGTATCCCAACATTTAACAGCTGTCTCCCAGGCAATCAGCAACTGGTAACTTCTAATATTAGATTATTGATACAATTCACATTTTGAAATATTACCTCAGTAGTAGCTGAAAAATATTGTGGGGGGTGCAGTAGAGAGCAAAATTATCCAAACATTTTTATTTCTGTGATTACATTTTAAGGAAGAAGTTTAATACTCACTTTGCAGCTAAGATGCAAATATTAATAATGACTCAATGCTTGATCTTTACTTAGAAATTTTTTGTTTGTTTTTACCGGTAAATATTTAAATACTTTATTTCCTGTGATCAGAGCAAGTGTTCACTCAGATCTTTAGATGGGAGTTTAATAAGTTTTGTTAAAGAGTTGTTTTTTATAGAAGAAAATCATACATTTAGAAGAGTGCATACGTA
Source organism: Homo sapiens (assembly GCF_000001405.40). NCBI lineage: Eukaryota > Metazoa > Chordata > Mammalia > Primates > Hominidae > Homo > Homo sapiens. The sequence goes on from NC_000001.11 coordinate 75,157,492, forward strand.
ATAACTATTCAGCTTGATGAATTAATAAAATGAATGTATCCATATAGATATTGCCCAAAGTAGCAGATATAATTAGCATTTCAGAAGCCTCTCTTATGTCTCCTTCCAATTATTATCCTTTTCTCCCAAAGTAACATGGCACTGATTTCTAAAACCACCCTTTAGTTTTGCCCTTTTTGAACCACACAGAATGTATTTTGTGTCTCACTTCTTTCAATTACATTGTGAGATTCACCTATATTATTGTGAGAATCTGTTATTTGTTTTCATTGTTATATAGAAATCCACTGTAGGAATATACCACAATTTATCCATTTCCTGGTTAATAGATATTTGTGTTTTTTCCAGTTTGTGCTTTTATGAATATGCTGCTATGGACTTTATTGTACATGCTTTTTGTGCACATTAATTCACATTTCTACTAGATATGTACCTGGGAGTGGGACATAAGGTCATGGGCTACACATATGCTCAACTTCAGTCATTCTGACAGATAGTTTTTCACAGTGGTTGAACCAGTTTACACCTTGACCAGCAGCAAGGTTCAAGGTGCTTCACATCCTCACCAACACTTGGTATGGTGTAACTTCCTGATATTAGCAAATTTGATGATTGTGCAGTGCAATCTTATTTTAATTTGCCTTTCCCTGATGACTGAGCATTTTTTCATCAGGTATTTGTATATTCTCTTTTGTGAAGAGCTGTACAAGTCTTTTTGTCTTTTGGCCTACTGGCTTGTCTTTATTATTTATTTAAATGGATTTGCTTAATTTCTTCATGTAATCTGCATATAAAGCTTTTTGATAATTGTATGTGCTTAGAATATTTTCTCCTACTTAGTTGCTTGGCTTTTTCTACTCTCTTAATGGAATGTTTCATTGAGCACAAGTTCCTAATTTTAATGTAGTTTATTTCATCATTTTTCCTTCATGAGCCATGCTTTTTTTGGTGACATGTGCAAGAAATTGTTTATACTCAAAGATAATGAAGATATATCTTCTATGATATCATCTAGAAACTTTGTTTTACCTTTGCTGTGTAGATTTACAATTCATTTGGAACTGAATTTTGTGTGTGGTGTGAGGTAGAAAGTGAAGCTTTTTTGTTATGTTGATGAAAATAGAAAATGTCCAGCTTCTCTGTAGAGACATATTTGCCATAAATCAAATGTCCGTATGTTGTGTCAATTTCTGTACCTTCTGTTCTATTTTATTGGTCTATTTATTTTTGTGTTGCTACTTAATCATTCTAATCATGGTAGGTCTATAATTTTTAATATATGATAATGTGTTTCTATTTTGTTGTTATTCAAGTTTGTATTGCCCATTCTTGGCCCTTTATGTTTTCATAAAATTTACCTACTTGTCTATTTCTACCCCAAAAGGGAAAACAATTAAGATTTTGATACAATCTATTACAGCAAATATATTGATCAGTTTTAGGAAATTGCCATCTTAACAGTATTTTCTTCCATACCATGAACTTTAGCATGTCTTTCCATTTGTTTAGATCATCTTTAAATCATCTCATGATTTAGACTTTTCTGTTTAGTAATCTTGCACATCTTCTGTTAAGTTTATCTCTAAGTATTTCTTTTGATTCAGTTGTAAGTGGTATTTTCTCTATAAGTAGAAATCTGGATTGGTAGTTATTTTCTTTCAGCACTTTGAAGATATGATTACCTTGTCTTCTGATTTTCATTGTTTGTTTTGCATATGGATAGCTAATTAACCTGGCCCCATTTATTGGTAAAGTCAGCTATTGACCTTCTTGCTCCTTCGAAAATAAACGTCTTTTTTCCTCAACTTTTTTCTTTGTGTTTGTCTTGAAAAAGTTTTACCATACTGTGCCTGGGTGTGCTTCTTGAATATGTAGTTTGATGTCTTTCATTATGGAAAATTCTCAGCTTTTGCCTCCTCAAATATTGTTTTTGCTCCTATGAAAAAATTTTCTTGTTTTCTTCTGAACTATTTTTCTAGTTCACTAATGCTCTCTATATCTAATATCCTGTAAAAAAATCATCCACCGACTTCTTAATTTATTATGTTTTTCAGTTTTAAGATTTCCATTTATATGCTGAAATCATCCATTTTGTCACTTTATCCTTATTTAAATTGTTATACTAAAGTTCAGGTGTGATAACTCCAATATCTGGATCTTTGGTGGGTCTATTCTGTTTTCTTAATTTTCCTCTTTATTTTCTTTCAAGTCATGTCTTGTTATTTGTCTTCTTATTTGCTATTGCATTTCAGATGTTGGGTATGAGTAACTAAAAATAATTTGAGGCTGTGGATGATATCTTTCACTAGAGAAGATTAGTTTTACCCCCCAGGTAGTCAGAATAGGGTGAAATCAACTTAATCCAATCAGGCACAAATCCTTAAGAGGGCTGGTATATTTTTGTTTTACTACTCCTTGGAGTTAGCCCTTTGGAATCACAAATGAATCCCTGTTTTGTTTTGTTTTCTGTTGTTGTTTTTAACTAGGGCTTCTCCTCTTCAGCGGGCCCTGCTCTTTAATTTTTGTTTCTCACCACTCTGCCAAAGTCTAACTTCTGAATGCTCTGCTAAACTTCTTGGCCTATCAGACATTTGTTTTGTTTTAAATTGTCACTATCCTTGCGGGAGGAAAAGCATCCTCATTTTCTTTCCCTCCACTCTGGGACTTTGTAAGTCCTCACTACTTAAGTGTCTTTCAGATGCCTTCAAACAGATTTTAAAAATTTTGTCCAGATTTCCTAGTTGGTCTCAGAGAAAGGTTTGGTTTGAAGCAACATAGCCCTTGCTGAAAGCAGAAACTTCATTTTAAGTTTTGGTTAGATAAAAAATCAGAGCCTGTACTGTTGTTGCCATTTACTTATACTAGCATTAAAATTGTGTGTGTTCACATGAAACACAGTAGTGTTGCCTGAGTCCAGTGTGTTTTGATGTATGCTTAGGGAGGAGGTAATTAAACATTAATGAAAGAAACTTGGGGAAGATCATCCTATACAAACACCTTCATGAGAAAGCTAGCAGCAGCATCTCTGAAGAGGAACCCATGTCTTTCTAGCTTCAGGGTGAAGTGCAGTGAATGGGGTATGGATGGAGGACATTAAAATGGCAAAATCTTGTGGCCCCAAATAAAGATTTGGGGGTAAAACTGTTCCTGGACTCTCACTATGCTGAATAGGTTAATGCTTCTGCTGAGGTCAGTGGAATGAGTGTAGCTTGGTGCCCTCAGCTATAATGAGTGATGAAAACAATGCCTTGGATTGTTTTTGTTTGTTTATAAATCAGTTTTATGCACCCTACAAAACTGATCCACAAATTTCTTTCTATTTTGTAGCTCATTCACCAACAACTCTTGGACTCCAGCCCTTGTTACCCCATTCAATGACACAACTGCCAATAAGTCATACCTAATTCTTTTTTCAGGGATAGACTTGATTAAGGATATAAATTTGTCATTTATTATGTATAAAATACCATTGAAAAGATATTACTGTTAATTTTTTATTTAACACCTAAAGCATTTCCAACATCACTTTGCTGCCCAGGTATGTATCTATAGTTGGCCTGCAAGACACTTTTATTAATTCTTCATTTTTTGTAAAACTTATGTTTACAAGAAGAAAACAAATCAAAACATTTTTTGTATTGTCTGGAAATAGTTCACTCTAGTGTGTATCTGTTAATTTATTTGTCATCAAAAGAGCACTTTGCCTAAAAGAAAGGACTGACAAGTGTGCAAAATGTTTACAATCTTTTGTGAAATTGTAGTTTATCATTAGTTTGTATCTGTAAGTTATTGTAATAAATATTACCTGTATTTTTTGTTATATACAACTTTATACTTTGAAGCTTGTATCTGTGAATTTGCAACTGAAATTTATTTTGCCAATGTTTTCTGAATGAACTGAATAAAGCTTCTGTTGTAGCATGCCATGCAAACACATTATTGTGTTTGTGGTTGATGAATTATGGCTGTAAATAACACTATAGTTTAATAAGCCCACCATTCTGAGTTTATTAAACATTTTCCATTCTTGTGAAAATTTCAACCAGTTTGTCCTTTTTGTGTGTTTTCAGCAGTAAGTTGACTTTAGTCTCTTTAAAATCTAACAACTAATAAGTTTAAAAAGTATTGTGTTTTGAGCTGCATTGTATGAACACATTTGAGTAGGAAACATATTATTCAAAAAAAAAAAACACAGTAAAACATTTAATTTGGCAAAAATTGTCTTTTAGGCCAGCTAATAAAATCAATGTGAAAGAGAAGGCAGAACACTTTTCAGAATGGACTTCGGAGGGTATTACAAGCCAGAAATGAAATATGGGCCATAATATATTTCTTCAGGAGTGAAAAAAGAGAACTAAAAGTTTCTAGAGCAAGAACTCTTTGCATTTTCTTCTTGGTGAATACCCTTTAGGGATGGTGATTCTGAGAGCTGAAATCTTAAACCTCAGGACTTTATCTTATGTGGCAGTGGACTTACAAATTTTTGAATTTAAAGAATTTAGTACTCACTTTTTGTCTTTTTATATGCCAGTTGGGGAAGAAAAAAGGTAATGAGAAAAAACTTTTAGAACTTAGGTTTAAGTCTGTGTTTAACTGAGCAGATTTGCATCAGGCTGAGGACTGGAAATAATAGCAGAGTATTTGTAATTTTATTCTAGTAATCATAAATACAACCAGAAAGTAATCATATGGATATAAGTAACTTATCTGCCTGAAACCAGAAGCAACAAACCTGCTTCATTATGGGAGAAAGGGGAGGGATTTTTTTTTTTTTAAACCGGCTACTCTATTTTAAATCCCTTTGTAGCCAGAAGTCAACCCATCTAATCTTGAGCCTGATGCTAATCTCTGTGGGTTTTTGTCTACCTGTCCCAGGCATGAAGTGATGAGGTCAGCTTTACCTTTACCTGATGTCTAGGAAAGCTTTTGTAGTATAGCCAAGCTCTGCACTGTTAGCAGTTTACAGCATTTCCCAGCTGACTATAATTGGCATCCCTTAGCTTGGGAGGTGGCTGATTGTGAGTATTCATTTTTATTTGCTGTCTTTTTCCTGTGCTCATCATCCTCTGACTCTGTACAGAGAGTTTTTACAAAAATATATCACCACCCTTTTTAGTTCCAAAGATGAATGCCCAAAGTTGAAGTAAAACTTCCTAACAAAGAGGCTCAAAGCTATCAAAATAGATGAGATTTATATATCCTGAATATAAAACTGTTAATCATGAAAAGAGATAGATGTGAAAGTACTAAAAATATGATATGTGATAGAAGCTTCTGACTTTGCTATCTCTAGCCAGAGATCTTATTTTTAAAACCTAATATTAGGAAAGAATTGAAGTATTTCCATGCTAGTAATATTCAGTGTTTAAGTATGTGAGCACAATACTTACTTGAAATTGAGTATGGTCAGCTTTTGTGAAGATTAGAGAAAGAAAACTCTATATTGTTGGAGTAGCAAAGATGTGGGTAACAAGTAGTTATCTCTTAGGTGTGAAGACATTCATGAGCTGTGAGAGGGTAGGATACCTTTTTTTTTTTTTTGCAATTCAAATCAAGAATCCCATTCAAACATTGAAATGGAAGTCACACTAAGTCAATACTCTTTAAGTGATTCTTTTTATTTGGACAAGGTAGTATTTAGTAGTAGTTTTACATTTGACAAATGTCATTTTTAAAATTCCACATCACTCGTTGTAAATTATAAGTACACCTGTTTTGAATATCCCATAATAAACATTGTTAGATAGAATCACAGCTCATGCTTTTAAAATTTGTTACAGTCATCTGAAAGCTGATAGCTGTAGTATTTCTTGATGTGGTATATTATGTGTATAATTACTCTACTAGCATGATTAAACTAGGTGGCATATTGGGACTTTTGTTATGGCATGGATGACTTTACCAGTTAGCAAAAGTAATGTTTCTATTTTATTATTTAGAACAGAAGTAATTTAGGTTGCAATACACTAAGTACCAAAAGTATATTAGTGTAGGAAAAATTCTCAATGGCTCCTACCGGAGGAGATAAAGAAACTGATATTAGCACTATATGATTTTTACTCTTTTGAAACACAACTAAATATTTAGATGGATCTGAGTCCAAAACAAGTTCAGGTACACTGGATGACATCTCATAAACATCTACTTGGATTCAATCAGATAGTAAGTACTATTTTGTAGCCTACATTTTCCCTTTAGTAAATATCTTTACAAGTCAAATATTACCTACAATATCATTTTAATTGATATATAGTACTATGTCCCCTCAAATTTCTTGTATTAAAACATAGTCTGCAATGTGGTGGTATTAAGAGGTAGGGCTTTTGAAAGATAACCAGGTCATGAGGGAAGAACCCTTGCAAATGGGATTAGTGCCCTTATAAAAGAGACCTAAGGGGCTTGTTTGCCCCTTTGGCCTTCAGCCATGTGAAGACACACAGGTGCCATCTATGAGGACTGGGTCCTCACCAGACAGAATCTGCTGGTGCCTTGATCTTGTTCACTACCTCCAGAACTGTGACCAATACATTTCTGTTGTTCATAAATTACCCTGTCTGATATTTTGTTATAGCAGCCTGAATGGACTAAAACATATAGTATTACACTGCTTGAATAAAACAATTTTATTAGATAAATAGGTTGTATCTAACTTTTTATTATTATGAATAGAGCCTAACATTGTGAGCACTTTCAGGATGTCCTGTTTGAGTGCCTCAGGGGTATTTTGATATGTATTCACAGCAACTTCATGAAATGGATTCTATTATCACCCTTATTTTACAAACATAGAAATTAAAAAATTGATATGTCCACTATCTTGGTGGCAAGTAACAAAGCCAGTATTTGGATTTAGCAGCTCAGTGATTCCAGATGCCATAATCTTAACCACTATGCTATACTATTACCATTTTAAATGACACTGTGAAGGCATCTTTGTGGCTACCTGCTACCTTTTAATGTATATTCTTATTTCCCCAGTGTGAATTCTTGGAAGTGGAATGGATGTGCATGCATAGGTTTAAAAGGCTCTTGAAATGCATTGATTTCCCACCAAATGTTGCACTAAATTACATCTCCACCAGCAGTGTTTGAAGTGTTTTTGGAACCCTTGTCTGTCCTGCCTAAATTGGAGTTGATAAATATTTTTTAATCTTATACTCAAAAATACAATTTTAAAAAACTTTATTTATTACTTGATATAAAATTGTAGTTTGCATTTCGGAGAACCAGTATCCTTTTTTTTTTTTTTTTTTCCAGGCAGAGCCTCGCTGTGTTCCAACTACTGGGCACAAGTGATCTTCCCAAGTAGCCAGAACTACAGATGCATGCCACCACACACCACACAAATTTTTTTTTGTAGAGACTAGGTCTTGCTATATAATATGACGCACAGGCTGGTCTCGAATTCCTGGGTTCAAGCAGTCCTCCCACCTGTCTTCCCAAAGTGCTGAGATTATAGGCATGAGCCACTACGTCCAGCCGAAAACTAGTATCTTATAAAGGGGCTAAATTTAAGCACAAGCTGCCACTTTTGTGACTTTTTTTTGCCTTTAGTTATTCTGCATATATTACTAAAGTGAGCATTCATTAGGATTTTTTCAGCTGAGGTTTCATTCACTTGATATCAAATGTTTTACTTTAGTACCTGGCACTCTATCATATTCTGTTTTCTTTGTTGCTGATTATGGTGATAACTTTATTACATGGTCCTTCATACTTTTTAAATGCGTTTCTGTATATCATCATGCTCTCATTCAACAGATGAGGGAATTGAAATTTAGGAAGCTTCAATTAACATAATTAGGCCTTTGGTTTTAATATGCAAGAATTCTCCAGGGCACCAGATTATTTTTATAAATGTATAGAGATCTTAGGAGAATAAATTAACAAATTTCCCCCAGTTCCTTGAGTTTCATAAGAAATAGACTGCCATAGGCTTAGAGGATGTGAAAACCACTGCAAGGAACTGCTTCTCCTTTTCTAAATTGTCATCAAGTACAGTACTTACCACAAAGATCTGAACTTGCTAGGGGGCTGAGAGTGGAGTTTAGGGATGGACTGTGTATGGGCACTTGTATGGGGGTATCAATGGAGGAAAAAAAGATGTTAAGAAATAAAGAATAGAAGGGGTCCTGGGGAGGTAGAAACAACATCTGTCTTGCTCTCCATTACATTCCCCAGTTCCTGCCACCAAGTAAGCACTCAGGGATTGAATGAGGGTGGTAGAAAAACAATCAGAATAAGACTCTATGTTTGAGCGTCCTAGGATAACTTCAAATTCCAAAACAGATCTTTTCAAATCCTTAAGGAAAATATTCTACCCTTCCTTTAGCAAATATCTTATATACCTGTGGCAATTTATATTCTTTTTACACCATTTAGCATGGAATGGGAGACAGCTGGATTTTGACACTTTCTCTGACACCAATTAACTGTATCCCAAGGACACTTAAGCCTCCCTGCATGCTGATTTCCTCAACAGTAAAAGGAAAGTTTTTATGAAGCAAAAGTGAGATGAATGGAAAAAAGACATGGTAAAAACATGATCCATTAATTTTGAAGGGCGGGGTTAGTGGCAGGAAATCAGGCACTCTGAGGCCGGGCAGTTGGAGGTGATGGAGCACCAGAAGTTTGGCAAGCACTGCCCTATCCCAGGCAACCCCAGGAACAAAGCACTTTGTGCATTTCTTTAAATAAAGTCAGAGGTGGAGCATCTATGCTGCTAATGAGTTACACATTCTCCAGCAAAGTGTTTTTACTCCAACCTCCCTACAAATGGAAAACATCTACTTCCTGTCTACATTAACTCCCTTCTTGATCTTAAAGAATTATTCAGTCAAGTAGAGGTGTGACCTTCTGTGATTTGGATGTAGAGAGTCTGTAAAATTTAGTTTGCAGAAATGATTTGAATGTTTTCCAAAATAATTTTCTTAAACCCAAAGGAATTATGATGCCATATTTGAAAATGGAAACCATTGTTACAAATTCAATTTCAAAATATTTACTTCCCGGAACCAGGGTGATGTCTCTAGAGAACCACTACTAGTTATTAGCTCATTTCTTTCAGATGTATTGGAATAAGTCTGTTATTTTGCCAGCATGGTTCTGAACCACAAATTTCATCTTTGGTTGAAACTCCTCCAAGCGAGACCATATGCAATTTTCCTAGTTCATCATTTGTCTTTCAGAAGACAGCATGGTGCATTTATGACAATGGTAAAAACATGTCTCAGAAGTCTTGGTGAACAAAACTAGCTTGACAGGCTCCACAGTAGAGCCTAGCACTTGCAAAGGGTCATCAATGGAACCAAGGTGGGAGAAGGATCGGGAAACTTCTAACAAAGACTTGGATCCAATCCTATAATGGGCTTCCTCTCCTGTTAGGATAGAATGAGGGCGATGAGACAGTCTACAGGAAATTCATGGGCTCAGAGGAGCATGCAGTGCTCATGTAGGGCAGGGGATAAGGTGTCGAAGTGGAGCTGAGCTGGCACAGGAGCAGGCAGGGCAAAGGCAGAGTTGCAGCCTCTGTGTGTCACTTGCCTGCTTGTGTTCTAATCTGAGAGTGGACTTCTGGCCTTTGTGAAGCATTAGTTTATTCTGCTCTGTCATGGACATCTGCAGGAATGGCATGGCAGTAGGGCTGAAGCTACATTACAGACAACATGGAGAAGTATCACAAAAACTTTCACGTCATGCTGTCTGGAGTCCTCGTTTTGCCACATCCCACCATGGTGACTGTGGGCAAGTTATTAAACTGCGCTGTGCCAGAGTTTTCTCATATGCAAAATGGACTAATAATAGCACTTTTCCCAAATGGTTATTGTGACCCTGTGATAAGATAGTACATATAAAGTACTTAGAAAAGTATCTGGTGCACAATAAACCCTGAAAGTTATCTGTATTTATTCCTTGGTAAACTAACTCCTAACACCAGAGGAAAAAAAATGCCACCATCTTTCACTAGCTTTCCCTCTCCTTTCTCCATTTCTCTTTTCCTGACTAACAATTCCTCATCATCCAGGACCAAGCTCAAATATCATCCCCTCCAGGAAGCCTGCCCTGATTGTTCCCCACACCCCACCCCAATGTGGGTGAGTTCTTTGTGTTCCCATCATTTCCTCAAAGGATATCTCTACACTTTAATAAGTTTTATTATAATTTTCCTTCCTCAGTTTTGTCTCAAGATTAGACTAGAGACCCTAGACTATTCATGTTAGGGTTTCTAGGAGCTAGCACAGGGCATTGACAGAGCAGTCTCTTGCCATGGTTAATTTACTCCATGCCAGGATCCCAGGGACAGCCTTTCCCCAGCAACTCCTCAGCCTGGGCTACACGATGGCCCATGGAAGTTCTCTGCCTCAGATGGAACTGTTTCTTGTTCTCTTCGACTAAGCAAAACAGACAGGTTGGGTCATTATCGAGTAATTCAGGCAAGAGAAGCAGCCAAACACATGTTTTTATCTGAGTTACCCAAATTGGCTGACTCCCCAGCCTGCAGTTACTGGGTAATTGCTCAATCTTCCATTTGGCTTTTACTGTGTAAATGTGGCTGCAGAGTCTTTTTATTTCTCTCGAATGGCTCCTCCCATTTTCTGTCTAATATAGGTTAAAATGTAAAGTTTTCTTTTTCCTCTGCCCGCAGTAGCTGTCTAGGCCATCAGCACACCTTGCTTCATTAGCCTTCAAAGTGGGCCAGAATGGTCGGATAGGTATCTAGTCATAGTTTTCTGTTTGTTTGTTTGTTTTAGACAGAGTTTCACTCTTGTTGCCCAGGCTGGAGTGCAATGGTGTGGTCTCGGCTCACTGCAACCTCTGCCTCCTGGGTTCAAACTACTCTCCTGCCTCAGCCTCCCAAGTAGCTGGAATTACAGGCACCCACCTCCACACTTGGCTAATTTTTACATTGTTTTTTAGTAGAGATGGGGTTTCACCATGTTTGCCAGGCTGGTCTTGAGCTCCTGATCGTAGATGATCCACCTGCCTCAGCCTCCCAAAGTGCTGGGATTACAGGCGTGAGCCACTGCACCTGGCCTGGTCATTGTTTTCAATTTGTCCTGGATAATCTGCTGTCAACCCCTCTTTTTTTTTAAAGAGAGAGGACGCACAGGAAACACATAACTCAGTCATATGTTTCACACACTGGGAGCTTTTCCTGTTCTGGCCTCAGGTGCAGGAATTCTGAAATCCCTTTCTCAGAAGCTATGACCACAGCTCACTGTAGTTTGTGGAAAGCTCACAGGGTCTGCTTTCAAGTAGTTAGAGCCTGGTTCCAATTCCAGTCCAGCCTCTTACTACCTATGTAACCGTGGGCATATCACTTACCAATTCATCATATGCTGCTTGTTTTACCCTTGAAATGTCTCTAGAATTTACCTGCTTCCCCACATCTTTGCCATTCCTACCTACTGCAAAACATCATCTCCCACCTGGACTATTAAAATACCTACACAACTTGTTCCGGGCTTCCACCCCTTTCCCCCTAAAATATGTTCAAAAAGATGTGTTTAAAACCTAAATTAGAACTTTTCTGTTGAAACCCCCCCTGTGGCTTTCCTTCATATTAAGAAGAAAATGTAACATCCTTTGTGGCCTTGAAGGGCACTTTTCATGGGGTGGCCACTTCACACCCATGCACCCCATTACTTTCTGCCTTCATCTCCTACCCTCTCCCCTACTCCCCTACTCATTCACTTGCTCTCTTGCTTCCAGTCACACTGGCCTCCCAAGCTATACGCAAGTGGGCAGGATAAAGTAGTGTTTATGAGATTTGGAATGAGACAGCTTGACTCTGCCATTTTTCTGGCTGCATGGCCTTGTTGCTTAATCTCACGGAGCCTGTTTCTCTTCTGTAAATGAGCACACCACTACCCACTTTGCAGGGTTACCCTGAGGATTAAATGAGATATTAAATATAATGCAGTTGAGCACAGTATTTGGCATATTGTCAACCCTACGTCAAGAAGTGGTGGCTACTGAAGTGAGGTGTGAATGAGGAGAGTGGGCGGTGGAGGTGGGTGGGTGCTCTGAAGTGGAAAAGGGGCTCTAGAGCTTTCCCTAGAACAGGATAACCCTTTCCCTCACAAACCGTACTCCAATTTCAAGCCCAATTTCTGCTGAAGTTCAGCTCAAGCCCTTTCTTTTGATGTTCTTAGTAGAAATATTTAAACTATCACTGAGCCATCCCAATGAACTGTTGATTTCCCCTGCATACTCACTCTGCCAGCCCACAGCTCCATTGCTCTGGTCTGGAGAAGGCCAAGCCCTTGAAAAATTTATTCCCCAGAAGCCTGATTGATCTTGATTGCCTTTCGTGGCCCTACTCCAAGTTCTCCATATCACTACTCAGCTGTGGGTCCCATTTAATAAAGGCACCACAAATGTGGAGGGGGAACTCCTGGTCTTTGCCAGTGAAACTGGCTCACTTTTCAGGCTTCATGGTGCTACCCTGGTTCCACTGTTGGATGAACACTCTAGGAGCCTGCCAGCTATGCCAGCTCTGCCAGCTCCATTTTTTCCTTTTCAGCAGATACCCCAGGTCTATGTTGCCAGAGAAATGGCCACTATGTGCTGTTTGGATTCTTACCTCTATGCTAACATGAATCCACACTGTCATGCCTGCTGAATCATTTTTCTCTGCTCAGCTGAAAACTCAAGACTTCAGTGCTTCTGGGCTACGATTTCTTTTGGACTATCGAGTACAAGAACCTGTGGATTTTAGACCAGTCACCTTGTATGGTAATTGAAATTTTAACAAGCTAAATGAGTAAGTGATATAAAATTCTGTTTAATATTAACTCTTTAACCCAGGGAGTTAGGTAAGTGCCACCCACTGGGCCTAAATCATAGCACAAAATCACTCAGTTGCTCAGTTGGCCAGCAAGTCAAGCAAAAAAGACAAAAACAAAAGCAAAAACAAACACAAAGCCAGCTTCCCTATAAACTACTTTGATCAGCTTTTTAAGCTTTCCCAAACTGACCATATTATTTAATTGTTAAGAGAACCTGTGGACCTTGGGACACAGGAACTGCAGAGTGCTTAAAAATCACTGAAACACATGAGCTATCTATTTCTTTACAAACCAATGACTAAAAAGGATAATAAGTTTTAAATCAGGCTGTAATTCAGTGGCTCTCAAATTTTAAGATACTCAAGAGTCAACTGGAGACTGGGGAGGTATTAGAAATGGTCAGTCTCAGAGATTCTGATTTGTCACATCTGGGGTAAGGATCAGAAGTCTCTGTCTCTCCTAAGCTTCCTGGAAGAATTTTGCAGCAGATGGTCAGAGATCACACTTTGAGAAACCCTGAGACTGTAGGAGGGAGTTGCTAATTCACACCATATTTGCTCTCATTAATCTACTGTTTATTTTTCTAGTGTCTGCTGTGAGCTGGGGGCTTAAAGTACACTATATTTACTCTTTACAACATTGCCGCATGGTATATTATTATCATTCCCACTTTACAGATGATACAATTGAGGCTCAGCACGGCCAAATAACTCACCTGGTGGGCTGGGATTTGAACTCAGGTCTTTAATTTCTTTTTTCACCACATATGATACAGTGAAAGTTGAGAATGAGGGAGGCAGGTGGCCTGGGAACAAGCCAACTTAAGGCACGCTCAGAGCTTAACCAGCCCTGGCAGGTCAAAAAGTTAGAATAATTAGATCTATTTTGTTTACACCAAAATTCCTTTTGTTGATTTTTTTTTAATTCCATGAAATCTTTTACCAAAATGTTATTTGGCATTATGCAGTTGCCAAAATGTGAGTTAATCATTTGAGTGAGTACACTTGGTAGCCAACATCTACATATTTTTCAAATATGCAGACATTTTGGCTAGTTACAGACATACTGACTTAAGCCTAGTTTTAAGGTAGGAAATCTGAGTCACTGAGTGACCAAGAGATGGGGCCAAATTTTTATTATTATTATTATTATTATTATTTAGTATATTTTCTCTACCTGGTGTGCTAACCTGCATGGATGCAAATGCTTCTTCCAAAATGGGAAGGGCCCAATATACTCGGTGTTGCAGGAGGTTGTTCTCACATGAGAATCACTTATCCAAAGAAGCTGACAACTGAGGATAAAGTGAATCAGTGCTAATAGGCATGTTCTCTGTGCCTCGAGAGAAGATTGACCAAGCTGCAACCATAACAAAAATGCTACTGAACTGTTCCATGCTGTTAAGATGGTGAAGGCTGGGGTGAGCAGGAAGGTAACACCAGAGGAGGGCTGCTGTTCCAGGTTTCAGACGATGACTTATAAAGTTTCTCTTGCCTTCCCTTCTTTCCACCAAAGAAGGAATGATAAACAGGGTAACAATGGCCATCTTAAAGACTGAATGGCAGAGGGAGAAGGAGCATGGTAAGTCTGTGGCTTTGCTAATGGACAGAATAGAGTGGCACAGCTCCTATACTGAATGCTTAGCCAACATCTTGGCAGAATGATTGGTGTTTGTGTAGGGCGAGAAATACTGGCCTGGAAACTTCAGGGATGTGCTGGTAGAATAATAGCAAAGAGATTTGCACAGCAGCTGCTTGTCTCATCCCTGGTTCTTGCCAAAGCTTCCCCCATCTTTCATCTCTTGAAGCACAAAAATTCCTCTCTTGCAACAATACTTCAATTCCATTTTAATATTCTTATTCATCAAATGGCATTTTACAGCCTAATTTAATGACCTTATAACACACACACTCTACTCATATCACAACTATTTGGACTGCTTCTTACAGATGTATGAGACCACTATACCAGTCCTGAGATCTTTAAACAGTCACATTTAAATACAATTTAGGAATTATTTTGCCCTCGTAAGTCTAGGCCTAATAACTATTGCCCAAATAGGAGATTTCAAAAGAGAATAGGGAAGATTTGATTGTAGCCACTGTTGAATTTGTCCATCAAAAGTCTTTTGAAGCTTCCTTTGACACAACATAACTTCTAACCATGGTGAAATGAGGAAAGACTGACTGAATAAGAAGCTTATATCTCTGCCAGTGTAAGATTTTTCCCAAACCTTATGTGTTTCATTTTATTTTCCATAATTCTGGGTATGAAATTCACATCATTTCCCTTACCAGGATATTCTGAGGTTCAGCAGGAATTTGGTTGGGACATATTTTCCTGAGCATCTGCCTGAATTCTCCTGCCTTGAATATTTTTAAATCTTCATTCTTTTAGTCATGCTCACAGACTCAGTGCCTTGCAGAATGCTGGAACAGTCTTTGGAGATCATCTTATCCAATCCCCTTATATTACTTTCTCAATCCAAATTCCTCTCCCTTCCAGCTTTTCCTTAGAAATGGAAACAAAAATAATCGTGTTTGGGCCCCCTGCCTGAATCTCCTAGGAACACCCTGGGCTCTGCTAAATGATTTGCTTGCCAGTGGAGTCTCTCTGTGAGAATACTGAACTGCTCCCAAGTCTTCATGACACTACCTGCTTGTACCTTAAAATAACTCTCAGCTGGAAACCCTAATGTCAAACTCTGAATTCTGGTATTCTGTTTCTTTTCAGCTCAGTCTCTTTCTTTTGAAGAAAGGGCTCTGTCATTAAGTGCTGATTGTGAGTATGCTCAACCTGTTCTGGGAGTCTTTTGGGAGATTCCATTTCCACTGGAGTAGGCAAGATATCTAGGAAAAAGAAACAAGAGAATATTAATATGAATACCTGACATTTAGTGAACACTTGGTATGTGTCAGGCACTGTGCTAAGAGCTTACACATGTTAACTTTCTTTAATCCTCCCTATATCCCACAAGTTAGTTATTACCATCCCTATTTCATGTTTGAGGAGACTTGAGCACAGGTCACAAAGCTTGTAAATGGCAGAGCCAGGATTTAAATCCAGGTGGTTTAGCTTCAGGATATATACTCTTTTTTTTTTTTTTTTTTTTTTTTTTTGAGACGGAATCTCGTTCTGTCGCCCAGGCTGGAGTGCAGTGGCACGATCTCGACTCACTGTAAGCTCCACCTCCGGGTTCACGCCATTCTCCTGCCTCAGCCTCCCGAGTAGCTGGGACTTCAGGCGCCCACCACCACGCCCAGCTAATTTTTTGTATTTTTAGTAGAGACGGGATTTCACCGTGTTAGCCAAGATGGTCTCGATCTCGTGACCTCGTGATCTGCCCGCCTCGGCCTCCCAAAATGCTGGGATTACAGGCGTGAGCCACCGTGCCCAGCCCAGGATATATACTGTTAATCATTATGCTATCCTATCTCCAAAAATCTAAGGTGTAAGCAAGAAACCATCTTAATTTACATGAGTTAGGGAATTAAAAAAGAAACTGATCTTTTTGATTGTCTGATGAAATAACTCGGAGACCTCATCCTAACTGCAAGTGTGTACTTCTTCTTTCCAACCATGGTAGCTTCTGGGATCCTAGCTATACAGTTTGAGCATCTCAAATCTGAAAATTCAAAATCCAAAATGCTCCAAAATCCGAAACATTTTTGCACCAAAGGAAATGCTCTTTGGAGCATTTTGGATTTTGGATTTGGCAATGCAAATATTCCAAAATCTAAAAGAAAAAAAAAAAGTCAGAAATCTGAAACGCTGCTTGTCCCAAGCATTTTGGATAAGGGATGTTCAACCTGTACTTCCTTAGTCCAAGGAGTTGGTCTTTATTACTCTGGTGCTAAAGAGAAATTACTTTCAGTTCTGTTGGAGACACTCATGATTCATTTGGCTCTTGTGCCAAAAGAATGGTGTTACTGAAACATTGGCAGCCTAGCAATTTGGTCATCTACCCTGCCCCCTATCCTGGCCATCCTGGAGTCTGGTACAACCCCTGTCTGCTGAAGAAGGGCTTTGGTGATATTAGGCCCCTGTTCCTGCCAGCTGGAAGCTCTCCAGATACAGAGAAGAGGATGCCTCTCTTCTGATATCCTCACCCTGGATATACTCAGCTATAGTCCCTCCCTACACCTGTAATTCCAGCTCTCAATAATTTTTTTATGCTGGGGTCCATAGCTTCTCTATTTTACTCATGACTACATGTGAGTGTGTGTGGACACACATGCATACACACACACACACACGCCACAGCCATTGCCCCAAGACAGGTCTGCAAGTTCTGGAGGCTAGAACCAATTCCTTCCCCTAATTCTGCCCTTTAGCCCTGAAATTTCAGCCTCAAAAGCCATCCTATTTCCTGTTTCAGAATAAATGACATTTCCTCTAGAGAAACACTCCCCCAGCCACCCCAGCAACATATTATACAAGGTAGAACATGATAAAGTGCTACAGTGCATGGTAGCAGATAGAATATATCTTCACAATTCCTGGTTTTCTTTTTTTTTCATTTTATTTTTATTTTTTATTTCTTAAATTTTTATTTTGATAATTTTGGGGAAACAGGTGATGTTTGGTTGTATGAAAAAGTGGTGATTTCGGAGATTTTGGTGCATCCATCACTCGAGCAGTGTACACTGTACCCAATGTGTGGTTTTTATCCCTCACCCCCTCCTACCCTTCCCTGGAGTCCCCAAATTCTATTATATCATTCTTACGCTTTTGCGTCCTCATAGCTTAGCTCCTGCTTATGAGTGAGAACATAAGATGTTTGGTTTTGCATTCCTGAGTTACTGCACTTAGAATAATGGTCTCCAAGTCCATCCAGGTTGCAGCAAATGTCATTATTTTATTCCTTTTTAGGGCTGAGTAGTATTCCATGGTATAGATCACATTTTCTTTATCCACTCATTGTTTGATGGGCATTAAGGCCGGTTCCATATTTTTGCAATTCAAAATTGTGCTGCTATAAACATGTGTGTGCAAATGTCTTTTTCATGTAATGAATTCTTTTTCACTGGGAAGATGCCCAGTAACGGAATTGCTGGATCAAATGGTAGATGTACTCTTAGTTCTTAAAGGAGTCTCCATACTGTTTTCCATAGTGGTTATACTAGTTCATATTCCCACCATCCAGGTGAAAGTGTTCCCTTTTCACCATATCCATGACAATATGTGTTTATTTTTGATTTTTTAATTATGACCATTTTTGCAGGAGTAAGAGGTTATTGCATTGTGGAATTTGATTTGCATTTCCCTGATAATTAGTGATATTGAATATTTTTTCCTAAGTTTGGCCATTTGTATTTCTGCTTTTGAGAATTGTATATTCATGTCCTTAGCCCACTTTTTGATGGGATTATTTTATTTTATTTTATTTTATTTATTTTTTATTATACTTTAAGTTCTAGGGTATACATGTACACAACGTGCAGGTTTGGTACATATGTATACATGTTCTGTGTTGGTTTGCTGCACCCAATAACTCTTCATTTACATTAGGTATTTCTCCTAATGCTATCCCTCCCCCATTCCATCATCCCCCAACAGGCCTGGTGTGTGATGTTCCCTGCCCTGTGTCCAAGTGTTCTCATTGTCTAGTTACCACCAATGAGTGAGAACATGCAGTGTTTGGCTTTCTGTCCTTGTGATAGTTTGCTTAGAATGATGGTTTCCAGCTTCATCCATGTAGCTACAAAGGACATGAACTCATCCTTTTTTGTGGCTGCATAGTATTCCATGGTGTATATGTGCCACATTTTCTTAATTCAGTCTAACATTGCTGGACATTTGGGTGGGTTCCAAGTCTTTGCTATTGTGAATAGTGCCACAATAAACATACATGTGCATGTGTCTTTATAGTAGCATGATTTCTAATCCTTTGGGTATATACCCAGTAATGGGATGGCTGGGTCAAATGTTATTTCTAGTTCTAGACCCTTGAGGAATCACCACACTGTCTTCCACAATGGTTTAACTAGTTTACACTCCCACCAACAGGGTAAACACATTCTTATATCTCCACATCCTCTCCAGCACCTATTGTTTCCTGACTTTTTAATGATCACTATTCTAATTGGTGTGAGATAATATCTCATTGTGGTTTTGATTTGCATTTCTCTGATGGCCAGTGATGATGAGCATTTTTTCATGTGTCTGTTGGCTGCATAAATGTCTTCTTTTGAGAAGTGTCTGTTCATATCCTTTGCCCACTTTTTGATGGGGTCCTTTGATTTTTTTCTTGTAAATTTGGGTAAGTTCTTTGTAGATTCTGGATATTAGCCCTTTGTCAGACGGGTAGATTGCAAAAATTTTCTCCCATTCTGTAGGTTGCCTGTTCACTCTGATGGTAGTTTCTTTTGCTGTGCAGATGCTCTTTAGTTTAATTAGATCCCATTTGAAACTTTGGCTTTTGTTGCCATTGCTTTTGGTGTTTTAGTCATGAAGTCCTCGCCCATGCCTATGTCCCGAATGGTATTGCCTAGGTTTTCTTCTAGGGTTTTTATGGTTTTTAGGTCTAAAATGTAAGTCTTTAATCCATCTTGAATTAATTTTTGTATAAGGTGTAAGGAAGGGATCCAGTTTCAGCTTTCTACATATGGCTAGCCAGTTTTCCTAGCACCATTTATTAAATAGGGGATCCTTCCCCCATTTCTTGTTTTTGTCAGGTTTGTCAAAGATCAGATGGTTGTAGATGTGTGGTGTTATTTCTGAGAGCTCTGTTCTGTTCCATTGGTCTATATCTCTGTTTTGGTACCAGTACCATGCTTTTTTGATCACTATAGCCTTGTAGTATAGTTTGAAGTCAGGTAGTGTGATGCCTCCAGCTTTGTTCTTTTGGCTTAGGATTGTCTTGGCAATGTGGGCTCTTTTTTGGTTCCATATGAACTTTAAAGTAGTTTTTTCCAATTCTGTGAAGAAAGTCATTGGTAGCTTGATGGGGATGGCATTGAATCTGTAAATTACCTTGGGCAGTATGGCCATTTTCACGATATTGATTCTTCCTATCCATGAGCATGGAATGTTCTTCCATTTGTTTGTGTCTTCTTTTATTTCGTTGATCAGTGGTTTGTAGTTCTCCTTGAAGAGGTCCTTCACATCCCTTGTAAGTTGGATTCCTAGGTATTTTATTCTCTTTGCAGCAATTGTGAATGGGAGTTCACTCGTGAATTGGCTCTTTGTTTGTCTATTATTGATGTATAAGAATGCTTGTGATTTTTGCACATTGATTTTGTATCCTGAGACTTTGCTGAAGTTGCTTATCAGCTTAAGGAGATTTTGGGCTGAGACGATGGGGTTTTCTAAATATACGATCATGTCATCGGCAAACAGGAACAATTTTACTTCCTCTTTTCCTAATTGAATGCCCTTTATTGCTTTCTCTTGCCTGATTGCCCTGGCCAGAACTTCTAACGCTATGTTGAATAGGAGTGGTGAGAGAGGGCATCCCTGTCTTGTGCCAGTTTTCAAAGGGAATGTTTCCAGTTTTTGCCCATTCAGTATGATACTGGCTGAGGGTTTGTCATAAATAGCTCTTATTATTTTGAGATATGTTCCATCAATACCTAGTTTATTGAGAGTTTTTAGGATGAATGGCTGTTGAATTTTGTTGAAGGCCTTTTCTGCATCTATTGAGATAATCATGTGGTTTTTGTCTTTGGTTCTGTTTATGTGATGGATTACATTTGTTGATTTGCATATGTTGAACCAGCCTTGCATCCCAGGGATGAAGCCAACTTGATCTTGATGGATAAGCTTTTTGATGTGCTGCTGGATTCAGTCTGTCAGTATTTTATTGAGGATTTTTGCACTGATGTTCATCAGGGATATTGGTCTAAAATTCTCTTTTTTTATTGTGTCTCTGCCAGGCCTTGGTATCAGTATTATACCGGCTTCATAAAATGAGTTAGGGAGGATTCCCTCTTTTTCTATGATTGGAATAGTTTAGAAGGAATGGTACCAGCTCCTTTTTGTAACTCTGGTAGAATTTGGCTGTGAATCCATCTGGTCCTGGACTTTTTTTGTTGGTAGGCTATTAATTATTGCTTCAATTTCAGAGCCTGTTATTGGTCTATTCAATGATTCAACTTCTTCCTGGTTTAGTCTTGGGGGGGTGTATGTGTCCAGGAATTTATCCATTTTTTCTAGATTTTCTAGTTTATGTGCTTAAAGGTGTTTATAGTATTCTTTGATGGTAGTTTGTATTTCTGTGGGATCAGTGGTGATATCCCCTTTATCATTTTTTATTGCATCTATTTGATTCTTCTCTCTTTTTTTCTTTATTAATCTTGCTAGAGGTCTATCAATTTGTTGATCTTTTCAAAAAAACCAGCTCCTGGATTCAGTGATTTTTTGAAGGGTTTTCTGTGTCTCTATCTCCTTCAGTTCTGCTCTGATCTTAGTTATTTCTTGCCTTCTGCTAGCTTTTGAATGTGTTTGCTCTTGCTTCTCTAGTTCTTTTAATTGTGATGTTAGGGTGTCAATTTTAGATCTTTCTTGCTTTCTCTTGTGGGCATTTAGTGCTATAAATTTCCCTGTACACACTGCTTTAAATTTCTCCCAGAGATTCTGATACATTGTGTCTTTGTTCTCATTGGTTTCAAGTAACATCTTTATTTCTGCCTTCATTTCGTTATTTACCCAGTAGTCATTCAGGAGCAGGTTGTTCAGTTTCCATGTAGTTGTGTGGTTTTGAGTGAGTTCCTTAATCCTGAGTTCTAATTTGATTGCAGTGTGGTCTGAGAGGCAGTTTGTTGTGATTTCTGTTTTTTCACATTGCTGAGGAGTGCTTTACTTCCAACTATGTGGTCAATTTTGGAATAAGTGCTATGTGGTGCTGAGAAGAATGTATATTCTGTTGATTTGGGGTGGAGAGTTCTGTAGATGTCTGTTAGGTCTACCTGGTTCAAAGTCAAGTTCAAGTCCTGGTTATCCTTGTTAACCTTCTGTCTCTTTGATCTGTCTACTATTGACAGTGGTGTGTTAAAGTCTCCCATTTTTATTGTGTGGGAGTCTAAGTCTCTTTTTAGGTCTCTAAGGACTTGCTTTATGAATCTGGGTGCTCTTGTATTGGGTGCATATATATTTAGGATAGTTAGCTCTCCTTGTTGAATTGATCCCTTTACCATTATGTAATGGCCTTCCTTGTCTCTTTTGATCTTTTTTGGTTTGAAGTCTGTTTTAAAAGAGACTAGGATTGCAACCCCTGTTGTTTTTTTTTTTTTTTTTTTTCTGCTTTCCATTTGCTTGGTAGATCTTCCTCCATCCCTTTATTTTGAGCGTATGTGTGTCTCTGCACATGAGATGGGTCTCCTGAATACAGCACTCTTGATGGGTCTTAACTCTTTATCCAATTTGCCAGTCTGTATCTTTTAATTGGGGTATTTAGCCCATTTACATTTAAGGTTAATATTGTTATGTGTGAATTTGATCCTGTCATTATGATGTCAGTTGGCTATTTTGCCCGTTAGTTGATGCAGTTTCTTCCTAGCAGCGATGGTCTTTACAATTTGGCCTGTTTTTGCAGTGGCTGGTACCGGTTGTTCCTTTCCATGTTTAGTGCTTCCTTCAGGAGCTCTTGTAAGGCAGGCCTGGTGGTGACAAAATCTCTCAGCATTTGCTTGTCTGTAAAGGATTTTATTTCTCCTTCATTTGTGAAGCTTAGTTTAGCTGGATATGAAATTCTGGATTGAAAATTCTTGTCTTTAAGAATGTTGAATATTGGCCCCTACTCTCTTCTGGCTTGTAGAGTTTCTGCCAAGAGATCAGCTGTTAGTCTGATAGCCTTCCCTTTGTGGGTAACCCGACCTTTCTCTCTGGCTGCCCTCAGCATTTTTTCCTTCATTTCAACCTTGGTGAATCTGACAATAATGTGTCTTGGGGTTGCTCTTCTCGAGGAGTATCTTTGTGGTGTTCCCTGTATTTCCTGAATTTGAATATTGGCCTGCCTTGCTAGACTGGGGAAGTTCTCCTGGATAATATCCTGAAGAGTGTTTTCCAGCTTGGTTCCATTCTCCCCGTCACTTTCAGGTACACCAATCAAACATAGGTTTGTTCTTTTCACATAGTCCCATATTTCTTGGAGGCTTTGTTCATTTCTTTTTACTCTTTTTTCTCTAAACTTCTCTTCTGACTTCATTTCATTAATTTGATCTTCAATCACTGATACCCTTTCTTCCACTTGATTGAATCAGGTACTGATGCTTTTGCATGTGTCACGTAGTTCTCATGCCATGGTTTTCAGCTCCATTAGGTCATTTAAGGTCTTCTCTACACTGTCTATTTTAGTTAGCCATTCGTCTAATCTTTTTCAAGTTTTTAGCTTGCTTGCAATGGGTTCGAACATCCTTCTTTAGCTCGGAGAAGTTTGTTATTACCGACTTTCTGAAGTCTACTTCTGTCAACTCATCAAATTAATTCTCAGTCGTGCTTTGTTCTCCTGCTGGCAAGGAGCTGCAATCCTTTGGAGTAGAAGGGGCACTCTGGTTTTTAGAATTTTCAGCTTTTCTGCTCTGGTTTCTCCCCATCTTTGTGGTTTTATCTACCTTTGGTTTTTGATGATGGTGACCTACAGATGGGGTTTTGGTGTGGATGTCCTTTTTGTTGATGTTGATGCTATTCCTTTCTGTTTGCTAGTTTTCCTTCTATCAGTCAGATCCCTCAGCTGAAAGTCTGTTGGAGTTTGCTGGAGGTCCACTCTAGACCCTGTTTGCCTGGGTATCACCAGCGTAGGTGCAAAACAGCAAATATTGCAGAACAGCAAATATTGCTGCTGATCCTTCCTCTGGAAGCTTTGTCTCAGAGGGGCACCTGGCTGTATGAGGTGTCAATCAGCCCCTACTGGGAGGTTTCTCCAAGTTAGGCTACATAGGTATCAGGGACCCACTTGAGGAGGTGGTCTGTCCATTCTCAGAGCTCAAATACCATGCTGGGAGAACCACTGCTCTCTTCAGAGCTGTCAGACAGAGATGTTTAAGTCTGTAGAAGTTTCTGCTACTTTTTGTTCAGCTATGCCCTGCCCCCAGAGGTGGAGTCTACAGAGAAAGACAGGCTTCTTGAGCTGCAGTGGGCTCCACCCAGTTCGAGCTTCCTGGCTGCTTTGTTTACTTACTCAAGCCTCAGCAATGACAGACACCCCTCCCCCAGCCAGTGTTGCCAGTTCGATCTCGGACTAGGAGTGAGCAAGGCTCCATGGGCATGGGACCCTCTGAGCCAGGCACGGGATACAATCTCCTGGTGTGCCATTTGCTAAGACCATTGGAAAAGCGCAGTGTTTAGGTGGCAGTGTCTCAATTTTCCCGGTACAGTCTGTCATGGCTTCCCTTGGCTAGGAAAGGGAAATCCCCAAACCCCTTGTACTTCTTGAGTGAGGCGATGCCCCGCCCTGCTTTGGCTGGCTCTCCAAGGGCTGCACCCACTTTCCGAGCAGTCCCAATGAGATGAACCAAATACCTCTGTTGGAAATGCAGAAATCATCTGTCTTCTGCATCGATCATACTGACAGCTGCAGACCGGAGCTGTTCCTGTTCGGCCATCTTGGAAGGGACCCCCATTTTGTTTTTTTTCTTGCTTTATTTTTTGAGTTTCTTGTAGATTCTGGATATTAGTCCTTCGTTGGGTGCATAGGTTACAAAAAATTTTCTCCCATTCTGTGTGTTGCCTGTTTACTTTGCTGATTATTTCTTTTGCTGTACAGAAGCTTTTTAGTTTAATTAGGTCCCATCCATTTATCTTTGTTTTTGTTGCATTTGTGTTTGGGTTCTTGGTCATGAATTCTTTGCCTAAGCTAACATTGAGAAAAGTTTTTCAAATGTTATCTTCTTGAATTTTTATGGTGTCAGGTCTTAGATTTAAGTCTTTGGTCCATCATCAGTTGATTTTTGTGTAACGTGAGAGATGAGGATCCAGCTTCATTCTTCTATATGTGGCTTGCCAATTATCCCAGCACCATTTGTTGAATAGGATGTCCTTTCCCCACTTTATGTTTTTGTTTGCTTTGTCAAAGATCAGTTGGCTGTAAATATTTAGCTTTATTTCTAGGTTCTGTATTCTGTTTCATTAGTCTACATGCCTATTTCCTTTTTTTTTTTTTTTTTTTTTGAGACCGAGTTTCACTCTTGTTGCCCAAGCTGGAGTGCAATGGTGCGATCTCAGCTCACCACAACCTCCACCTCCTGGGTTCAAGCAATTCTCCTGCCTCAGGCTCCCAAGTAGTTGGGATTACAGGCATGTGCCACCACACCCAGTTAACTTTGTATTTTTAGTAGAGACAGGGTTTCTCCATGTTGGTCAGGCTGGGCTCAAACTCCCAACCTCAGGTAATCTGCCCACCTCGGCCTCCCAAAGTGCTGGGATTACAGGCATGAGCCACTGCGCTCCGCCTTACATGCCTATTTTTATACCAGTACCATGCCACTTTTGTAACTATAGCCTTGTAGTATAGTTTGAAGTCCAGTAATGTTATGCCTCTAGGTTTGTTCTTTTTGCTTAGTCTTGCCTTGGCTATGTGAGATCCTTTTTGGTTCTTTTTTGGTTCCATATGAATTTTAGGATTGTTTTCATAACAAGAAATTTCCTTTAAACACGTTGGCTGATTGTACCACCATTTTTTCCTTCCTACATAAATAGAAATATTAGATGAGTGAGGTTAGGAGTACTACTGAGAATGGTTAGCTGTTCACTCCTCTTTCTTATGAGCCAGCTGCCCTTGGGGAACAGATATCTGCCTTGCTGTTATTACAAAACTTGGCTTATGTGCTCACTTTAACAGCACCTGTACTAAAATTGGAATGATACAGAGATTAGCGTGGTCCCTACACAAGGATGATATGCAATGTGTGGAGTGTTCCATATTTTTAATCATTGGCATCCCTGAAAGAGATGGGGAGGGCACAAACAACTTGAAAACTGTTCCAGGTTATCATTTATGAAAACATCGCCAACCTCTCTAGAGAAGTCAACAGTCAAATTCTGGAAATACAGAGAACCTCTGCAAGATTCTACAGAAGAAGATCACCCCCAAGACACATAATCATCAGATTTTCTAAGGTCAAAATAAAAGAAAGGAATGTTAAAGGCAGCTAGAGAGAAAGGGCAGGTCACCTACAAAGGGAACCTCATCAGGCTAACAGCAAGCTGCTCAGCGGAAACCTTACAAGCCAGAAGAGATTGAGAGCCTATATAATGTTCTTAAAAAAAAAAATCTTCAACCAAGAATTACATATCCAGCCAAACTAAGCTTTCTTAGCAAAAGAGAAATAAAATCCTTTCCCTATAAGCAAATGGTGAGGGAGTTTGTTACCACTAGACCTGCCTGACAAGAGATCTTGAAAGAAGCACTAAATATGGAAAGGAAAGACCATTACCAGCCAATACAAAAACACACTTAAGTGAACAGACCAGTGACACTATAAAGCAACCACACAAACAAGCCAGCATAATAACCACCTAACAACAGAATGACAGGATCAAATGTACACATATCCATATTAACTTTGAATATAAATGGGCTAAATGCCCCCACTTAAAAAGCACAGAGTGGTAAGGTAGATAGAAAACCAAGACCCAGCAGTATGCTGTTTTCAAAACACCCATCTCACATGCAATTACATCCATACATTCAGAGTAAAGGCATGGAGGAAAATCTTCCAAGCAAATGGAAATCAGATAAAAGCCAGATTTGCAATCCTAATTTCAGACAAAACAGATTTTAAACCACAAAGATCAAAAAAGACAAAAGAGGTCATGACAATAATGGTAAAGAGTGCAATTCAACAAGAAGACCTAACTATCCTAAATATATATGTACCCAAAACAGAAGCACCCAGATTCATAAACCAAGTTCTTAGAGACTCACGAAGATACTTAGACTCCCACACAATAATGGTGGAGACATCAACAATCCACTGACAGCATTAGGCAGAGACAGAAAATTAGCAATGATACTCAGGACCTGAACTCAACATTAAACCAAATGGATCTGATAGATCTCTACAGAATTCTCCATCCCAAAACAACAGAATATACATTCTTCTCATCGTCACCTGACACATACTGTAAAATAGACCAAATAATCAGATATAAAAGAATCCTTAGCAAATAGGAAAAAACTGAAATCATACCAAACACACTTTCAAACCATAATGCAATAAAATTAGAAATCAAGACTAAAAAAATTTATCAAAACCACACAATTACATGAAAATTAAACAACATGCTTCTGACTAACTTTGAGGTAAATAATGAAATTAAGGCAGAAATCAAGTTCTTTGAAACGAAGGAGAACAAAGATACAACATACCAGAACCTCTGGGACACAGCTAAGGTAGTGGTAAGAGGGATATTTATAGCATTAAATGTCCACACCAAAAAGTTAGAAAGATCTCAAATTCACAACTTAACATCGCAGCTAAAAGAACTAAAGAGGCAAGAGCAACCCCAAAGCTAGCAGAAAAGAAATAACACAAATCAGAGCTGAACTGGAGACCAAGACACAAAAGACCATTCAAAAGATGAATAAATCCAGCAGCTGTTTTTTTTTTTTTGGAAAATTAATAAAATAGGCCATTAGCTAAACTAATAAGAAGAGAGAGAAGATGCAAATAAAAACAATTAGAAATGGCAAAGGGGATGTTACCACTGACCCCACAGAAATAAAAATAACCATCAGAAAGTACTACAAACACCTCTATGCAAACAAACTAGAAAACCTAGAAGAGATGGTTAAATTCTTGGACACATACACCCTCCCAAGACTGAACCAGGAAGAAATTGATTCCCTGAACAAACCAATAACAAGCTTTAAAATAGAATCAGTAATAAATAGCCTACTAGCCAAAAAAAAAGCTCAGGACCAGACAGATTCAAAGCCAAATTCTACCATATGTACAAAGAAGAGCTGGTATTATTCCCACTGAAACTATTCCAAAAATTGAGGAGGAGGGACTCCTCCTCATCTCATATGAGGCCAACATCACCCTGATACCAAAACCTGGCAGAGACACAACAGAAAAAGAAGACTTCAGGTCAATATTCTTGATGAACATTGATGCAAAAATCCTCAACAAAATACTGACAAATGGAATCTAGCAGCACAGAAGAAAGCTAATCCACCAAGATCAAGTAGGCTTTATCCCTGGGATGCAAAATTGGCCCAAGATATGCAAATCAATAAATGTGATTCATCACATAAGCAGAACTGAAGGCAAAACACATATGATTACCTCAATAAACTAGGTATTAAGGGAACATACCTCAAAATAATAAGCGCCATCTATGGCAAACCCACAGCCAACATCATACTGAATGGGTAAAAGCTGGAAGTATTCCTCTTGAAAACCAGTGCAAGACAAGTATGCCCTCTCTCACCACTCCTATTCAACATAGTATTGGAAGTCCTGACCAGGAAAATGAGGCAAGAGAAAAAAACAAAGGGCATTCAAACAGGAAGAGAGTAAGTCAAATTTTTCCTGTTTGCAAACGACATAATCTTATATCTCGAAAACCCAAGAGTCTCAACCCAAAAGCTCTGTTAGCCTATAAACAACTCCAGCAAAGTTTCAGGATATAAAATTAAAGCACAAAAATTACTAGCATTCCTATACACCAATAATAGCCAAGCCAAGAGCCAAATGAAGAATGCAATCCTATTCACAATTGCCACAAAAAGAATAAAATACCTAGGAATTCAGCTAACCAGGGAGGTAAAAGATCTCTACCTTGAGAATTACAAAACAATGCTCAAAGAAATCAGAGATGACACAAATGGAAAAACATTTAATGCTCATGGATTGGAAGAATCAATATCATTAAAATGGCTGTACTGCCCAAAGCAATTTATAGATCCAATGCTACTCCTATCAGACTACCAATGACATTCTTCATAGAACTAGAAAAAAACGATTTTAACATTCATATGGAACCCAGAAAGAACTCAAACAACCAAAGCAATCCTAAGTAAGAAGAGCAAAGCTGGAGATATCACATTACCCAACTTTGAACTATATTACAGGGCCACTGTAACCAAAACAGCATAGTACTGGTACAACAACAGACACATAGACCAATGGAACAATAGAGACACCAGAAATAAGGCTGCACACCTACAACCATCTGATCTCTGACAAAGCTGACAAAAACAAGTAATGGGGAAAGGACTCCCTATTCAGTAAATGGTGCTTCTGATTTCTTGCTCCTGGTCTGCATTCAAGTTGGGGAGACATTTCCTTTATGCCCTGTATCCATGATAAAAGGCTGCAAGGAAAGTCTGTTTTAATCTCTTACTTAGGGTATAGGAGAAGGAAATGGTTTGCGAGGACATGGTGTGCCCTTGTCACAGGTGTCACCACAGCAAGGTCCTTCAAATTAATGACACAGGAGAGGATGGTTTCTGAGAACTTTGCTTGTTAGCTTCCAAGGCAGCTTTGAAAGGCCATGTAGCTGTGATTTCCTGAGTGCCAACATACATGCACTCAGGAAATACCATGCAGGGCACTTGGCACACACAATTCAAAACAATACTACCAGACAACTATTTAACAGATGAGAAAACTGAAGCATAGAAAGTTTCAGTGACTCCTTTAAGCTTGCCCAGTGAAAAAGTGGCTGACCTATGCAGAGCTGTTTTAACTTATAATTGGAAGCCCTGCTGATTAACTGCAGTAGCAGTTCTGAATTCCCAGGATCAGAGTGAAACTGCCTAGACTGGTATCTTGCTCAGAATAGACAGATGAGTGAATTAATCAATAGTTAAGATGAGTCTACCCGGTAAGCAGCCTCTTTTTGCCAGCATAACATTCTCCTAGTGAAATCTTAATGTTAAAACTCAACATACAAAAATCAAAAGCTGAGCAACTTCAGTTGACATGAAGGTGGCTGAACCAGAGCACCACTTGAGGCTTCCTTCTTATTCCCACCTAAAGTCCCCAAAGCACTGCCATAAAATTGCAAAACTTGGCCCCAGTAAAGTTTGAAAACTACCAAATGAGTCCAGCTCCCAACTCAGCATGATAGACAGTATGCTATTTATCAGAAAAAGTCCAGCATTTGGTTATAGGGTGTTAACATGGAACTCTTCCTATTTTGGTTTCTGTTGACAACAGATGCCACATTCCAAAATGACAGACCATCTTGGCTGAGAAATTATTATAAGACTTGTCCGCAGCATACAGGGTATAGAAGGTTCAAGTTGTTGGCTATTGGAAAGGGTCTTGTGAGGAAAGTATTGGGGGGGTCCCTTTCCTTCTCATCATCTCAATTCAAGGGAAAGAGGCTCTGGTGGGTTCATTTGGAGAATTTGAGTCTTGCTGCTTCTGGTTGGCAGGCATAGTGGAGCAAGGGAGGATGAGGAGAGAAAGACTTGGCCAGTTACTTTACCAGTGGAGTGGAGAAGAAATGCTGTTGTGATAGTAAGGGTCTGCACTTAAGATTGTCAGTGTGTGAAAACAAGACAGCATGGGAGTTTTCTTAGATCTTGTTCAGTGGGGTCACCTGAAGGATACTAAAGCCCCAGCAGAAAAGAAGCTGAAGGAAGATTCCTAGGGACAGAGGGGAAAGGAGAAACAGTTGGACTAGACTGCATTCACCCAGGTCAAGGAAACTACAGACAGGAGATAACCAGGAATAAGAAAGATCCCTGAGGAGCACAAAAAAGAGTCAGCTTAAACACCTGCCAGCCCCAGGGAAGGTGAGCCATTGTAGCAGCACAGTCACAGTGGCTTTCATGCCCCTTCATCTGTCCTTCCTTCCCTTCCTTCTACATGGAAGGGTCAGAAATCATGTTGAGCCAGCTATGGGAGGAGAAAAAGCATGAGGCAAAGAAATAGAGAAATCTCATACTCCCATGACATCCCTTTCATTTTAAATTACTGTTTTGTTGTTGTTGTTTTGTTTTGCTTTTTTTTTCATGTTAAGTGGCTGTAAAACTTTCATTTACCTAAAGGGCTTTTTATCCAGGGCAGGGAAAGACCACACTCAATGAGAAGATTTAAAGACAGAGTGGGAGTCAAATGTCAACTTTAGTTTGTATTTATACCCATACGTGTTGCTCATCCAACAAACAAATTTTACTTATGTTCAGATGAAATATACACCTTGTAAATTCTTTCTATAGAGTCTAGTCCAGCCTTCAGGAACTTACAGGTCAAGACTTTCTACAACAGCTCTGGGAACTTTTGAGCAAAGCTTGTCCTGTTTCTCCTGAACTACTTTTCTCCAGGCTCTTTTCTCATGGGCCACAGCTTCACAGTTCTCTCTCTTGGGCTCCCTCCCTTGGAACTGCCTGTCCTCCATACGTCTTCTTTTGTCCTTATGGAGCCCATTCCTGGGCCCAGTGCTCCCTAGGTAGAGGCACTATTCCTCTTTGGTGACTGTGAGGAGAATTCCTTAATGTTCTCCATCGGAAAATTAACCTACGTTGAAATGATAATGCTCCGAACATGTGAGGTCTTCTGAGCTTTGTTTTCCTTTCCCTCCATCATCACATTCAGATCCTGAGAACTTCCATCATGAAAACATCTATGAAAAGATCTGGGCACCAATGACTGTGTTCACAGCTTTGAGCTTTCAGCCCCACTATCAGACTTTTTTAAATCAATTCCATCTTAACACCCTCTATGGACACTGCCTGTTCTGAACTGTCTTCTGAACCTTTCCTTCTTCTCTCAAATAGGATTTTATTTTCCTCTTTACATATTTTGCATTGACTTTGGCATGCATCAGCAGTAACCAAGTAACCATTCTTGACATCTTGGCCTGCTGTTTAGAAAACCCTCCCACAAAATTTCAACAAGAACTATCCCCTAGAGATGGTATCAGATAGCATTTGCCGTTATAGACAGTCATATTGCTATTTCCCAAGATATCTTTATAGGGAACAGCTGGCTTCTGCCTGCACCATCTGACAGACAAACAGCATTATCAAAACATAAGCAGGCTGCTTCTTTCTTGGGATAAAGGAAAATAAGATAACAGTGAGTAAACAGAAAATTATGATCCTTACTTTCCCCTTGTTTTCTTGTATTTAATCAAGTCATTTTCTAAAGGGAAAGTTTGCCATCAAAATTTGGATGCAGGTTACTAGACCAGCCAAACAAACTATTAATTTATAAAAATATCATGATAAATATAATTCAAGCCTTTAAGTGAAGAGAAAGGAACTAGCAGCCCATTCTATTGATTTTAGCACACATAGCACATGCAGCTGATATGTACAATTTAATTTATGGATAGGGTGTCTAAAGATGATTTTCAGCATCATCTATTAGCTAATGAAACAAAAAAAGTCATGAAATAAAAACAGTTAAATGTTTTCTAAGTAGATTGAAATTAGAAAATATCTAATAGCCCTTTGCTGAAACTAAAATCTCATCACAGTAATATCAAATGTTAGTGATGTCATAAAAACAATAATATAAAACATACTAACTGACTTGATTTAAAATGTAGTCTATCAATCAGGAAAAAGACATCCTTTCTAAGATTGATATCTATCATTGTGTTCTCCCTCATCATACTGTAATCTCTATGAGGGCAAAGACCAGGACAGCTTTGTTAATTCTAACACTAATACTGAATATCGCCTAACACTAATACTGAATGACTATTGGCCATTTAATCAACTGTTCAATGCTATTTACTCATTCATTTTTTATTCATTAACAATTGGATTCTTTGCAAAGGCCTCGTCAAAATAAGGATAAATATGATATGGCCCCTGCCTCCAGTTGCTCACAGCCAAAGGAGAAAGACAGACTTATAAATATATTATTGTAACACAAAATGTTCAATGCTCCAGGAAATATTTGAGCTGAACACAGATGAGATAATGGCTAACTCTGCCCTGGGGAAAAAGTAAATCTTTTTAGGGTAGGATTCCTTTTAGCTGGGTCTTAACGAATGAGAGGCCAAGGAAACGATAGAGTGTAGACGGACTCTTTAACAAATAAATCTGAAAAAACTTTTTTCTTTATAACCTAAAAGTCAAGATTATTTAAATAGACTTTTTTGGGGCTTTTTATTGCCATTCAGAATCATGCAGAGTATTCTTTAATAATCAAAATTTTGCCCTATATTTTTCTTTTTGAATAAAAAGCAACAGATAGATCATTCCACTTGGCTACATGTTCATACGTTGATTACTCCTCCCAAATTTGGAAATTGATTTGAAGTGATAGTCAAGCTTGACATTTGTGTCCCACTGCTTATTTTGTTTTCACAAGATTGTTTTCTATATTATGAAATGTAAATACCATTTCTCAACCAGATATCATTTATCTTGTCCTAAATAAATAACTGCTCAAAGTAATAAAATCAAGATTCTTCAAAACAAACCATGAAAACATCATTCATACCAGACCAAAGGAGAAAAAGAAACTTAAAGATACGTGTAGTGGAATTAATTGTATTAAACCATGAAAATGTTGATCTTGTCTACATACATCTGTATATTCTGGAGCTGGAACTTTTTCTTAGAGATAAACAAAATGTTACAATGTTTAAAAATGTCTTCATAAATAAAATAATCCTCTTTGGGGAAGATAATAACCACATCTTGTGCTAATAGTAATTCTGTGTAATGTAAGATATTAGCATATTTACTTAATATTTTGTTCAAAGAGTTTGAGTTTAAAAAAAGAAAAGATTATGGTGATAGTTACATGACTCTGTTTGTTAAAATTCATAGAATATACACTTAAAAGCTTGATTTTATTGTATGTCAACCTAAAATATAAAATTTTCAAAAATTTAGAAGAAATGAAAAGATATGAGAGAGAGGAGAGGAAGAGAAGAGAATTTTGGTTTTATCATTTGGAAAACATTAAACTTTGAGCCCTTCCCCTGACACTCCTCTGGACTCCTTTCCAAAAGGCAAACACTTGGTACATTTTAAGCAGAAAAATTAAAATCGATCACCCACACAGCCAGGCCAAGAATGAAGAGCAAAAAACTTGGAATTTGACAAGAAGGAAAGGGATCCAAGACAGGAAATTGACTTGGTCAGACGTGTGGAAAATCAAGGCAACCCACAATGCCATTAATGAAGGTCCCCATAATAAGGCCTTGCCTCTGCACCCCACCCGCAGCCCCCACTCTCTCCAGCTGAGAGGATTTATTTCAGAGGAGCAGTGCCAGCGCCTTCCAAGGGAAACACGGTTGGAGCATGTTTTACCATGCAATGCTACAAAGGAGGCACAGGTGGCATGCTGGAAGCTCTTCCTCAGGATGGAGGGAGGGAGCCAACCGCAGCCAGTGTCCTTGATCCTGGTCTAAGGAAACTAAACCCCACTGAACAGAAATCTCAGCTCCAAAGCCAAAAAAGGGAAAACACAGTTAAGAGGTCTTTATTCTTCAAAACAGCAGAAGCTGTGTGTCTTTTCCTGTCTCCTGTTACTAAAACATGTTAGAGGCAAAGTTTACTAAGAAGATGGTCATTAGAAATGACCTAAAGATAATGGGACTAAAGAATATTAAAAAGGATATGAAAGTGGATTGCCATCATTGGCCAGAAGCCAGTGTTAGATCAAAATTGCACAAGGATTAGCCAAAGAGGATATAGACCAAAGCATAACCATAAACTGCCCAAAGCCAAGTATGTCTGTTAGCTCAACAGTCTGTGCACAGTTAGAATTGATTCTTGCAGAAAGTTTTATAGTTTTACATGAAAAGGAGAAAAAATATGTATAGCCAGTCTTCTAAGAAGAAAAAAAAATGTTACATATTTGAATCCTATCTCCACCACTGATGAGCCCTGTGACATTTGGTTATTTATTTGTGCCTTAATTTCTCCATCTATAAAATGGAGAATATCACTACCTATTTCATATAGTTGTTTTAAGTGATTAAATACAGTTAAGACATCTGGAACAGTGAGTGGCAGATACTAAGTGGTATGTAAATGTTAATTAATATAGTTGTCATATAATAAGCATTTCACATTAGAGTTGGTTTTGGTATGCCGATACCAAGTATATTCTGAAATAGCCCTGAAACCTGACCAAGGTCTGTAAACCATGCAGAGGCTTGTTATAAACTTCCTCAAGTTTTCCTACAGAACCATTTGCTAAGACTACCATTGATTCTTTCTGGATTTCTAGCCATATCTCCTTGAACCCAATTCCAGTAGTCCTAATTCCCAAGGCCTATTTTATCAGAATAACAGTGAAGTTCAATAAACCCTGAGTTTGCAGTCAGGTGACTTAATGTTGTTATTTCTCTACTGAGGCACCTGTCAAAATCAGTGCCCCTTCCTGGACCCTTGATTCCTCCCATCACAGAAAGGGATCAGACTGGATGACATCTATGCTTCCTTTTAGTTGTGATATTTTGTTGTTCTTTCATAACATTTTAAGTAATTTTTTTTATTTTTTACTTTTTTCATACATTGTGTCCAGGCGCTATGCTTTTGTTTGTTTGTTTGTTTTTGAGACAGAGTCTCGCTGTGTTGCCCAGGCTGGAGTGCAGTGGTGTGATCTCGGCTCACTGCAGCCTCCGTCTCCTGGGCTCAAGTGATTCTCCTGATTTAGCCTCCTGAGTAGCTGGGATTACAGATGTGCACCATCACACCAGGCTAATTTTTGTATTTTTAGTAGAGACGGGGGTTTTGCCATGTTGGCCAGGCTGGCCTTGAACTCCTGACCTCAGGTGATCTGCCTGCCTTGACCTTCCAAAATGCTGGGATTACAGGCATGAGCCACCATGCCCAGCTAGGTGATTTATTACATTTTTCATTTGAATGTCTGTTGCAGAGATACAGTGCAAGAGGACTTTATTTATGAGCTAATATGCTTTTCCAGCTGCCTTTTGGACATCTATATCTGGATACTCCCTGCAGGCTCCTTCATCTCTCTATGTGAAGTCAAATTATCACCTTTCTATCATCCCATGAGCCCAACCTGTTTCCCTCCTGAGATTCCCAAGAATAACCCCACTGTACTTTTGGTCCCTAGCTTAAAGTGTCAGCTGCCTTAGATGATCCCAGCACATTGCCTTTCCACATTTCTCTCCTGTCTCCTCTCTGCCATCTTTGAGCAGCCACTTAGGTTCAGGCTCTTCCCAGTTCTCTTTTGACCTTGCTTCTTACATCTTAATGTGCAGCAGAATCACCTGTGGATCCTATTCAAATGTAGATTCTGATTCTGTAGGTCTGGGACAGCCAGAGGTTCCACATTTCTAATATGCTCCCAGATAATGTAAAACTGCTGGTCCCCTATCACACGTTGAACAGCAAGGCACATTTACTTCTAATGAGAGCCCCAGAATCCAGAAGGTTTCCGTTTTAATCTAATTTTCGGGTTTGTATTCTAAACTATGCTTCTTTTCTTTCCTGCTAAAATATGGCTTGCATAATTCGTAGTAAATAAAATCTCTTCACAATATAACTCCAACCTGTGTTTTGCCTTAACTTCCAGAATCCCTAGCCTACATTTATCTAACTAGCTACTTTGAGGATGTATTTTTCGCTTTCTGCCTTCATGCCTTGTTGGGCTCAATTCTTTGCTTGAAGTGCCATCTTCCCCCTTTTATTTGTGTTACTCAAAATTTTATAACTCCTGAAGACCTGACACAAATACCACTTAGTCCACAAACCATGTCTATTTCCCTGAAATTCATCCTTTCCTTTAAATACTCATGGTGCTTTGCTGACTTTCTGATGATTCACATTCTGCTTTAAATTTTATATTTATACATCTGACCCCTCTCCCATCAGACCAAGGGCTGCTTAAGGGGTTGCTTCAAAGCAGGAAGAACTGTTTAGAACAATTGAACAGAAGCACTCCTTCACTAATCATTCAAATTCATATAGGCTGAAAATATGAAACAAATAAAAAACAGTTTAGACAGCTTCACACAGCATGAAACTATTAGCCATTATTGAGGGTAACTCCAACTTTTGGGGCATACCTCCTACTTTTTTATTCATTTAGCCTATATTTACTAAGTTCCACCTGTGTAAGACCCCATGATGAGGGCAGTGGCAGGACCCAAATAATAAGGCTGGCATCCTGGAGGTCCCTGCCATCTGGTTAGGGAGATAGTGAGGGGGCCACTGAGGGTGTCCACTGCAGTCTCCTGGGCTCCTGCTTGAGGCAGGGTCCTGGACCAGAGGAGCCATGAGCCTTGTCTGCAACATAATTGTTATGTTCTGAAAGCTTATGGCTCTGGAGATAACACACTTATTAGGCAAACACCGTGAGGATTTATCTAGAAATGTGCTTTCACTGTAATTCCCTGCATTTGATAGCCTCCCTTTCCAGCATTTATAGCCACCACCTGTGCTTTCATTATTCACTCTAATGTCTCTGTTTGAGGCTGATGTGCTTAATTTTCCAGTGTCTCAAAGGAAAACAGGAAGTTTCTCTCATGAACTTAAGCTTCCCATTTACTCATGAGTTACTCTCTTAAGAAATAAGCATCTTGGACACATTCATTGCCTGTGTAAGGAGGAAGATCCTTAGCCACTAGGATCAGGAAGTGTTGACATGGCATCCTTAATGCTTGTTGATGAGGTTAGATAAAGATTAGTTTATCTGCCTCTCCTAAGAAATTTCTCCTGAGAAATTACATTGTTAGAAAGCCTAAATATGTGATTCCCAAACATTCCTCTTTATAATCTGAGAATTAGGGAATCTTACAACTTGAAGGTTGTTGAGAGATTGCCGGGTTCATTCTCTCATGTTTTGCTCGGTGAGGAAACAGAGATCCATGATCATTTGCTTAGTGGAAGAGCAAGGCCTCAAACATAAGTCTTTAGAGTCTAAGCCTAAGAGGCTAAGTGGGAGAAAGAAAACTACATATCTCTATCTATATAATTTGTATCTCTCTACTTCTTTCCATATCTATCTGTCTCTCCTCTGCAATGTGTCAGGTACTGTGTTTTTGGTACTTTAGATGTCTTACCATGTTAAATTTTCACATTACCCAAATTCCCAGAGGCAGGTGTTGTCCCAGTTTTATAGATGAGAAATCTGAGTCTCTGAAAGGTGAAGTAACTTTCCCGAGAGTAGGTAGCAAGTGTATAGATTATACAACATGCCCATGCGCCCTTCCTCAAGGAAAGACTTCACCTGGTGGCCAACAGCAAGGGGTCTTGCTATTTGGTGGTATAAGAGGGAGAAAAGGAAACAGTCCTTATCCTTAGGTGAATGGATGAGGATATCTTTATTCTACCTTATGGGTTACTGACTTTTTTTCTATTCCCACCTCTGAGTCTTATTTCTCAGTCATTGTGTACTCCACACCAAGAAGCTTCCCAGCCCTCATGCCTCTTGGCTCACAACCTCTCTCTAGTATGGTATTCATTCCTGGGGCTCCCATTGTCCTCCTGCTTCAAACACTTGTTATTCTATACTTTGAGACCTAATCTATCTCCCCAGCTTCGGTCACTCATCAACAATTGCATGCTGTGCCCATCCCAATGGTGCACAAACTCAAGGGTCAAAACATGAGACTCATCTCTCTCTCCCCTCTCTCCCTCTTTCCCTCCCTTTCTCTCTCCCTCCATCATTTTGGAAGTCTCATTTTCTTCCTGATGCCTTTAATATCTTTCTTTCTTCAATTCCCTATACCTACTTTCAATATTCTTCTGAAGACAACTCAAATCCTATATTCCCCATGAAGTATTCTCTCACCTCATTTACTTATTAAAGAAGCATTTAATAAGCACCTGTTGTATGATAGAGAGCAAGGCAGATAGAGTCTGTGCCTTCATGGGACTTATAGTCTGGCGGAAGCTATAAATAACAGCAGTTGTAATGACTGCTCTGAAGAGAAAGCAATGGACAGTGACAATATACTTTTAAATCTTCCACACTGCCTTCCATTCAGAAGGATTTTAATAACGATCGAGTTGGATTTTTTTTTCCCTCAAATCTGAGGGAAGATCTGGTGGTGGCATCTGTTAGCATGCATTTGTGTCTGGTTCCTGTGAGCACTATTGTCAATATTCTGCGGTCTTTGCTGTCTGGGACACTTCAGAGGTGACTGATAATCAAGTGATCAATTCCAGGTGAGAAAAGTTCATGGAGCTGTGCTGCATGGATATTAAGTATAGTCTGAATCAAGCATCAAGCAGCTGCTTCTTTGGGGGCCAACTGGGTGGTACTGGCAGGAATTTCAATTCCCTGGAGCTTGAAAGCAATACACATGGCACTCTTTAATGTGAATCCAGCTAAAAGCTGGCTGGGGAACAAATGACAGCCAGATAGCTTGCCCTGCCATAGTCGTGAATCTTCCCTTTGAGGATTGCATTATTAGAGTTCTTTCCTCCCAAAACACTGTATTATAAACCTAATGCTTGGCTCAGTGGTTTAGGGATATATAAGAAAGCATAATAGAAAACATTCTAGATCAGCTCCTATTTCTGTTCTCAATATTAAGATAATTTTGGTATCTGTATCTGCCTAAGCTTCATATTAAGAGACGGAAAGAGATTGTTTTTTGTATTTCTTGATAGCAGCAATAGACGAGAGTTACTCATGTGCTCTGCTGTATGCTGCTCACACACATCAAATTACCCTCCTAACACATATACTTGCATGTCTTGCACATGTACAGGCACACGCTGCAGGCATAGTCCTCTAAGGCAATCAAAGCACATCAAGGGTCCTGCCTACATGTGCTTTTAAGTTCCATTAAGGACTCTTGGAGAGTGACTATTTCATAATGGCTCACACTTGATAAAACCAGTTCAAGAGCAATTTATATGCCCAAGACTAACATATGAAAAAACAACAACGCAGAACAAAAAATTGTGTGAGCAGCAAACCAAAATTATTTTTTAAAGTTTCTAATAGCAGGAAAAATTAAACAATTTTATAAAAAGGGTAAATTTAACAATTTATGAAATAATTTAATTTTAAAGTATTAATTAGGAAAACACAGAAACATTTTTTGTTAAGATTTGGCATGTTTCATATCGGAAATTTTTTGCTCCATTAACTTAACATTTACTTTTTTATATGAACTGGGAAATATACTTGTTGTTCAGATATTATCTACTTCTCTCTATCACTTAAAGTGCTAAAATTAGCATTCTAAATATATCCTGATGCTCCAAGAAACTATATTAAAAAACATAGTTGTATAGTTCCAAAAATCTCTACTTTGCTCTTTTGATTTGATTCGATTTGATTAAAATCAAAAATTTAAATTTGATTTCTCTTGACCTCACCTCCCTAAATCACAGTGATAGTTCAAGTTACATGTTATAGATGGCAAAATGATTTGCCTATCTATAGTTGTTTAAATAACATGATATAAAATGACTTCTAGCCACTTCTTTTTTCTCTCTATTGCGGTCACCAAAAGCTAATTTAGGACTCACTAAAAGAAAAGGAATATTGCTTTTAAACATGGTTTTTTCTTTGCCGATTTTATTTAAGACTGGTAAGCCATCTTGTTCTGTCTCAGAAAAACAGGAGCCTCACCTATAAGGCTGGAAATAGTCCTCTAGACAGATTTGAAGCCTGCAGTTTTCAGGGGTTTCCTGTCTACAACCCAATGTAGAGAAGCAGAATGAAAAAAGTCTTTCCACTGACCTACACAAACTCATGGAACAGGGGCTGCAGAGAAAAACCTCTATCAGATTAATCAAATGAAGATCTATGGCCTTAATTTTGAAGCCTATGATCATCCAGTTATGAAACATTAAATTTAACTGTTATTCAGTTTCCAGAATTAGAGAACAAGTAAAGATTAAGGGACTCTAGAAATGACATTCAATTTGCCAACTTCACAAATCTGGCTTAATATCAGGATTTAAGAGAAAGGTAATGGTGAGGAAGCATGAGACAGGTGAGCTGAAATCTCAGTGAAGTTCCTCTTGGGTACTCCGAAAGAGTCTGTCATCAGTGACCCAAGAATTCAAGCTATGTTAAAAAAGTCTCATATGGGATTTGGACTGAAGCTCCAGAGAAGGAGGGAAAGTCACCTATATCTTCTCATTTACTCTGGCCTGGGTGCAGGGATGGTAGTGGGAAGAGTCTTCCAGTACTGTGATGCCCTTCACTAGCTTCTCAGAGAGGCCCAAATAAACTGTCCACTAGGGTAGGAAGGGAGTGGTAAAGTCCAGGTGCTGAAAGTCCTCAGTCAAGAGAATATCACTGTTAATGACTAACAGGCATTGCCCAACTCTAGGTACCAGTCCTCAATAATGGATATGATGCTCACTCTCATGTTATCTTTTCAGCAGCACTGTGAGGAGGGGGCTTGCTTCAGTTGTCAGTTGAGGAAGCCTTTGAGCAGTTTAACACCTTGCCTGTGGTCGCAGAGTGACAGGGTGACGTTGGAAAGCTCCCCTTGGCCTGTTTCTCAAGCCTGTATTAACAGCCTCCATGCTATATCACTGGGCTCTGTCATTTGCCTTTCCTTATGCCCTAGCATGGTTCAGAACTCATACTATTGATCTGCCAGTCCATAGCACAAAACAACCTGCTGGTTCAAGTCTTCATTTTCATAATTTTTTTCCTCTTCCACCTCCATTTCCTCCCAAATACCTTATTAGAAATTCAGACTTTTGTAAGCCAGGGAAAATGAGAAAAGAGATTGAGTTGGAGGAAAGGAAATGACAGGGAAGATCTGAAAAAGAATCCATCTTGGTGTTGAGAGGAAAGAGAAAAACACAAGCTCATCATGACAGCAAAGCTTTGGCTAACATGTAAAAGCACTGTGAAAAAGAGGCAGATGTTTTTGAATACCTTAGTCATAAATCATATTGGGACATCATTCTTTTTTGTTTGTTTAGGCTAAATGCAAATAAGCATGTGATTAGTTTCATTGTAACACAGTTGGCTTCAACGCTGTTTATCAGAGGATAGAAAAATAATTTTATTTGCTTAATTATTAGCTTATGATTTGCTATTGAGTTTCTTTTTCAATAGATTTATGAATTGCGTTCAGAAGGCACCCCACTTCCTGTAACATTGCCCTCTTGGATCCCACTAGAGATTTTTGTGCTTTAGGTTCTCCAGCCTCTCCTTGGAGACCAATGCTTTTCACAACATCCTACCTTCATTTTATCCTTTCTGTGCAGACACACATGCAGCCGTGCACATTCATCTGCCTGGAAGAATGTGGAGATTCCAAGGTTATTCTAACAATGGATCAAGTTCAGGCTCCACGTTAATTTGTAAGTACAATGAAAACATCTTTCTCTTTTGATAAACTTTTCCCACCCTTGTTAACATACTGTGCTCTTTAATTGCAAAGGGACAGAAGATGAAGAAGTATCATGTTTTTGAGCCAGTGGTAGAAGGGTGTTTTACTTGCATTCACAATTTCCCCACTTGCTTAAATTATTGTGATTCATACAGTAAATACAAAAGAAAAAAAAAAGCCAAGGAGTTAAATTTAAAGAAAATAAAGCTAGTGACTTCAAATAGTAAAACTGAATTGCTTGCTTTTAAATTTGTCACATAACAGCCCCCATTCCCCCAGTGCAGAAACCATGACAAAAGATGTCGCCAGATTCTACACATTTTGGCTGCCTTTCATTCCAAGCAATTGCGAAGTTGTAAATGGGGGAAAGGGCAGTTCAGTTTGACCTGATACATTTAATAGGGTCCATGATGGTAACATCATTCTGTTGTCTAAGCTTTGAATAAATGATACTCTATGTCCATGAAGGAATGCACTTTTTTTTTTTTGACAGAGTCTCGCTCTGTCACCCAGGCTGGAGTGTAGTGGCATGATCTCAGCTCACTGCAACCTCCACCTCCCGGGTTCAAGCAATTCTCCTGCTTCAGCCTCCCAAGAAGTTGGGACTACAGGCTCGTGCCAACACGCCTGGCTAATTTTTTGTATTTTTAGTAGAGACGGGGTTCACCATGTTAGTTAGGATGGTCTCGATCTCCTGACCTCATGATCTTCCCACCTCGGTCTCCCAAAGTGTTGGAATTACAGGCGTGAGCCACCGTGCCCAGCCTCACATTTGTTTTAATGGGGGTTGTCTTTGTTTTCTTGATGATGATTGATTCACTAATAACCGGAAGTAACTCAGCTAGGTCCTGAGAGAAATGTCTTTAATGCCCATTTTAGCCCTAATATGGGAAGTAACTTCGAAGAAGTAATGTTTTATCTGCGCTCTCTGTCTCTCTCTCTCTATATATATATTTGTTTTTTTACTTACTTTATTTATTAGACCTAGATAATGAGAATTAGATTATGACACAAAGTTGTTAATATCAATGGAATGTGGATCTGCTATATTGATTTTTTCATTAATGATTTGTTGAATTGTATTCTTATAATCATATATCTATATTTTATTATAAAATAATCATTTACACACATCTAAGGTTAACATTTGCAAGAAACTGGAAAAAACGTTAAGATGTCATTTCATACACTATGGTCTGCAATAATGATTTTAGTTCAAATTTGTCCCCATATCTTTTGCCAACAAAAACTGATTTATAAAGCATGTTCCCCAATCCAGAACCAGATAATAAGGGAGATAATTACTATGCCTGGTTATAGTTTAAGAACAATTTCCTGAGGCACCACTTGTAAAAGTGAAAGAACATACATTGGAATGAGTGCTAGTCAGCTGTATACTAAAAGAAAAGTGAGAAATTGTTACACAGAGCCTGTTTTCCAATAGCAGTTTAAATAAGAACTACATTGTCCCTGACAATCCCATAGAACCTTTCATAGTGTGATTTTACTATACAGACACACTAACTCTTTTTAAGCTCTTTAGGGACATAGAAAAAACAAATTAATCATTGCACAATGGTATATCATTTATTTACCAACATAAGTGCTTCATCATTGAAAAGTAGGAGTTATTAAGACGTAAAGCAGAATTTGACTTTCTTGTGGAAACTACATTATATTTTATTTCAAATAAAAAAGAATCATTAGCTATATTAATACCATGTCTTATTGTTTTATTATCTTATTGTGTTCTTATTTTAAAAGAACACTGAAAACT
Organism: Homo sapiens; assembly: GCF_000001405.40. Taxonomy (NCBI): domain Eukaryota; kingdom Metazoa; phylum Chordata; class Mammalia; order Primates; family Hominidae; genus Homo; species Homo sapiens. The sequence continues at coordinate 75,201,220 of NC_000001.11, forward strand.
GCAAGATCATTGTTTAATGTTTTCATTGAAAGAAACCCATTAAATTCTAGGGCTGGGCGCAGTGGCTCACGCCTGTAATCCCAGCACTTTGGGAGGCCAAGTCGGGCGGATCACCTGAGGTCAGGAGTTCAAGACCAGCCTTGCTAATATGGTAAAACCTCATCTCTACTAAATACAAAAATTAGCTCAGCATGGTGGTGGGTGCCTGTAGTCCCAGATACATGAGAGGCTGAGGCAGGAGAATTGCTTGAACCCGGGAGGCGGAGGTTGCAGTGAGAGGAGATGGTGCCACTGCAATCCAGTCTGGGAGACAGAGCAAGACTCTATCTCAAAAAAGAAAAAAAAAAGAAAGAAAGAAAATAAACCCATTAAATTTTAAAGAATAATTAATTTTGAAGATTTAATATATAATTCAACCTAAGAAAAGACATCAATATATTTGTTTTAAAATTTAGCTTAAGATAAATCAGTGATAGGTATGTTTAATCTTGCTTTAGGAAACTGTTAATTGGTGTTCATATTCTTTAGGGCCTCTAAATTTACACCCGCCTTGAAAATAATAACGTTTTTCTCCTATAAATTTTGACAAAATGAAATGAAGGACTGAGCAAACCTTTGGCAAATAAAAACAAAGAAAAACTGACTAATTTAGGCTGTTTGATTTTTTTTTTAAAGTATCTCATCCATTTAGCTTTGACTTATTTCCTTTGTATAAATTATCGGTTTCACTTATTTGATTTGTCAATGCACAGCTGGAGAAAAGTGGAAAATTTTAAAAATATAAATCTAGTTTAAAATAAAAAACCCACCTAGATATTTGGTATAGAGAAGATACTGTCATAGTATAGTGGGTTTTGAAAACAAAAGCTTTTCTCTTTTTCTAGATTAAAGAAACCAAAAGACAGGCAGTTATTTCTTATTTAAATCTTTATTAAAAGAAAAAAGATTTAAAACAAGTAACAACAAATTTCATTAAATATTAAACATTTTAATTATCAAAGATATTTAGACAATACGTTTCTAACATTTCTGCACAGCAGAAGCACACTGATTATAGAGCTCAGACTGTCATGTGCTCATGTGAGTTTATTTTTGGCATAAAAGTATCTAAAGTCACATTTAAACAAATGTGATAATATTTTATAAACTGATAGTAACTTACTGATGATTGATTCTCAAAGCTTTCACAAATTATCATTATATGATTGACATTCTCTTAGGGTGAATACTTTTCTGGACTCTTTCTGTAACAAACACTGAGTAACCAACTGAATTAATTTCCTTAAAAGTTAGTAGTACTGGTAAAATTATTTAAAACTGAATTGGAAATTATGTTCCTGTTTATAGTAGTACAATACAATTAACATACTGTAAGTAAACTGATTTTTTCATACCAAAAGTTAGAAAATGAAGTGGCATATATAGAACAGGCTTTGATGAAAATAAATGATCATTTAAAAGGGAGCTATTCAGTACATGACATCTGTGAGCACCCTTTCGAGGAGTAAAGTTTCCCTTTGCAATTCCTAGAAGTTTCTCTTTCTGATCTTTGTAAAACACTGAGAAATGCAGTATTATACCTATTGTATTTTCAAAGATCTACTATAGAAAACATTTCATTTTAAAACTTCTCTTTTAGTAAAAAAAAAAACAAAGAAATCCAACAAGTGTTCTTTCGGGGTTTGTTTCTTCTTGCGTGTAGTACACATTCATGAATGTCCACTAGGCGCAAGGGAAATTGTTTAGCTGCACAATGTATTCCATAATAGTGAGGATATCAAACAGAGCAAAATGACAAATGTTTTCCAATCAGTGAGCTAAGAGTGAAACAAATGCAATAAGACTTGTTTTAATCACGAAACATTGCAGGTTTTAATTTTTTAAAAAACAATGTTTGTAAACTTGCCCATAAAAGCTGGGTAATATTAAATAGCCAGTAAGGCACTTTGTCAGAGGGCTAAGTAGTAAAGGCTGGATGATTGGCAATTTGTTTAAGAGGAAACATTCTATACTTAAAGAGAGCAAACTCTCAACTGGGGCAGTCCTTTCACTGATTTACTGTCCAACGAGAGTGGGAAAAACTTTAAAATTTTTAATTTCACTTTGCTGACCAATTTTCCCTGCAGAAGAAGTCTTCTTTTAGTTGTAATTTTAAAAATATATTAGGAGCTATCAATTTAAGTAATGTATCATTTTTCAATCTAAGATTTAAAAGAATATTAACATATTCAGTAGTATTTTCAAAACATCCAAGCCACTCTTTAAAAACGAATTACAAAACAAATGATCTTAGTATAAAAATGTTTTATGTTATTAACAATTCCCTTGCGACTTCTGATGGCTTCACATAGTACAGTATAAGCTTTGGTATAAAACATGCAAATGCAAGCCAACAAGGTCGTGAATACAGTGTTGCTAAACACAAAGCACTTATGAAACAAATGTTGCACAGACACAGCAGATGGAGAAAAGGTAACACACAGCTGTAGGACGACCAGTTTGCTCTTCTACTGCTTCCTAGTTTGTGGATTTTCCTCCTGGAAAATCTTCAGCAAAGGTTGACTCACATAATAAGGTCTTGCAGTAGAACCATCATTTCTTTCTAAATCTTCCACTAGGAGGAAGAATGGTACAGAGTAAATATCAAAGCAGAACTGTAAGAGAAGTAACACCGCCATCTGCTGTATACTCGCTTTACAGCAGTTCAAAATCCTTTTGTTGTTTTTTTTTTGTTGTTGTTTTTTAAACAGCATAGTTTGGCATCAACATTATTGTAAACATAGTTATGCGAAAACAATAAGCCCTTGTGATTATGTCAGCAAGATATTATTTCATTCTGTGTAACAGGTCAGATTCTGCCAATATTGCGTGTCTCTCAGTTGCATGATTGAGAAAATAACTTTCACCTTCTTTTTTTCAATTTACTTTCTAAATTACTATATTTGCTTAAAATTGATTCTGTTTTGCCATCAATAATTTAAATAGTATAGCCTTGAAAAATAAAAATTGTGAAATTTCAGATTTCAAACACATCAACTGCAAATTTTGAGGAACATTGCCCTGGTTTTTCACAGTTTTTAGTTTAATTGCTTTGTAAGAAAATGGCTTCTAAATATCTTCTCAAAAACAATGCTCATTTTTATTCTACATATTTCAATTACACAAATAAGTAGTAAATGGAGAATATTTTTCTGACTAGATGTTAGCTCATAATATAAATTGGCAACTTGTTTATGTGTTGATTTTTATTTTATTCAAGTGATTTTTTCAACTTTTTTTTTTTAAACAGGGTTTTGCTCTGTCACCCAGGCTGGAGTGCAGTGGTGTGATCATGGCTCACTGCAGCCTCGATCTCTTGGGCTCAAGTGACCCTCACATTTCAGCCTCCCAAGTAGCTGAGACTACAGGTGTGCACCACCACACTTGGCTAACTTTTATATTTTTTATAAAGATAGATGGGGTTTCACCATGTTGCCTAGACTGGTCTGGAACTCCTAGGCTCCAGTGATCTGTCCATCTTGGACTCCCAAAGTGCTGGGATTACAGGCGTGAGACACCACACATGGCCAATTTTTCAACTTTTATGTGTATCAGAATCAACTAGAGAACTTTATAATAATTCACATCGTGGCTCACATCAAATCACAGTATATCAGAATCTCTTGGGCAGAGCACAAACATCTATAGTTATAACAAATTCTCAGGTAGAGGTCACTATTCTACTAGTCCTTTGTTGTGGCCTTTGTCTTGTTGAATAATAAAAGACTAATCTAGAAAGATAAGTTGTCATTATCTGCATTATGCTTCAAGGAGAATAAGAATGCAGAAGGCTCTTTGCCAAAATGTGAAGCCAACTGACACTTTTGAATACAATAATCTCAAGAATGTAAGCCAAGAACAAGCTGGTAGTCATTATATATTAAAAATCTTCCCTATTCATTGGCTTATTGCTATTAATTAATCTGCCACAGAGTCAGTTTAAATCTAGGTGTCTACACTTGAAGATAATTAATACGTATTTAGATCAATCTATAACACAACAATACATTTCTGACTCTTTTCTTGGATATATGAGTGATATTCAGATCAACATGTTCCTTTCTGTCAATATATAAATAATCCTTATATACAAGTTTAAGGTAAAAGCCAAGAAAATACAAATTGATTCAATGCTCCTTTTGGGGTGCATTTTTACATGGTTAACCACATCATACACATTTGCACACAGGGGATGGCTAGGCAAGATGTGTGTCTGATTCATGCTTTGTTCTGCCATTCAAAACTTACACATGACTATCAGAAACCTCAGGCGGCCAGCGGTGGCAGGTGGCAACAACTTTCCTCCTAAGCCCTGCAGAGAGAGAGTTCCTAACCCACAGTATGCCCCTCATAAAGGTATTAGATGATGGAGCGCCAACAGTATATTTCCTTAGGGTAAAATCTGAAGTGTCTTTCTTTTCTCTTTCCTCACTGAAAGGTGAGACAAAATCAAACCTTCTGTAGAACAAAGCCACACAATCTCTTTAATCTAGAAATACAGGTATACTCATGAAAAGATATAATCACTCTTCTGAAACAAATTCATATTGATTTTCTATATAGTGGGAATAAGAAATTTGGGTTAAAGACAAAAGGCATGAGTTATGTAACAATTTCAGTTTTGTTCAGAATATTTTCACCATGGACAGAGGTTCATGTTGTTGGAAATGACACTCCAGAACTCAGATTCGACTTCAATATAAACATGATTTCACTAAAACAGAATGGGCTCTGAAGGTTCCATAGTATTTTTTACCCAGTAATGCTCTCCGTAGAACCTATATAACATTAACATCTATGTTTGTTATGGACATGACTCACTGAAATATACTTCCTAGGGAACCATTAATACAAGTTTAATCACAGTTTAGAGAGTTGTCCACCAGCTTGAACAGTATAAATATAACCATAGCACCATATTTACAAATTTAGTACCATATGCTGGTTAACTATAAATCAATATTTTATGGCTAATTAATTACACATTTATAGTGTTTTCAAAAATTGCCTGAATATCCTTTACAAATATACACTTATAAAAAGAAAGGCTATTAAAGTGCTGCAATGGAAACAGCACGCTGAGTTATAAAAGTTATTAAAACACTCTCGGCTACAGATTTTAAAAAACGTTTGACATTAACATTTTGATCTTTAGCTGGGACCACTGTCTATAAAGTAGACAGCAGCTAATGTCATCAAATACCTGACACCTCAGGTAGTACCAGGTGCTGACTTCTTAGAATTAAGCACAGAAATTTCACATTACTCAAAAGCAACATTTCCAAATTACAATCAACCTAATTTACACAACTTCTACTTAAAAATGAGTGACACTGTTTGGAGCTTTTCTACTCTTTCTGCTTCTGGGGAACTAGTTGCTTCTTGATCAGAATTCCATGCAGGTTAGGGGTTACGAAGTAGGGTTTTTCTGTAGATCCATCATTTCTTTCCAGATCTTCACCTGTATATGCAGCAGCCAAAGCAGGCAAAAGCAGAAGCAGCAGAACAATTATACACATTTTTATAAATTGGAGGGTCGAACAGGGAAAAATCAGAAAAATCAGTGTTAGAAAGTCAAATATAAGACAAATTAGTGCAGTTTACTTGCTGATTCTGGGCAAGGTAAGAAACCTCAACCTCTGCCAGGAAACACTGAAACTTCCTAAATCCCTCCCACTCCCAGAGAGATGTATTTTGATACTTTAAAGGCTAAGAAGATATTCTATGTCCCTTCAAAAAAGTGTCATATTTAAATTCTGTAACTGTTCATTTCAGAAAGATATAAATTGCCAAATCCTCCGGGATGGAGCTGAATAGGAAGTATATTAATTCTGTGATAAATGTAGAATAATAATGGAATTTCAGACTTTCAAGTCACTTCTAATGGTAGTCCATACTCCGATGTTACAGACGAACACCCTGAGGCCCAGGGATATAAAACAACTCGCTGAAGTCAAAAGCTCTGAGGTAAATAGGATGAGATAGGGACCCAGCTTCTTGACACCTAGTTTTGCTCTTGTTCTACTTAACTATAAGGCACCCTGTCCTAAATTCTTGCGGTCTTCCTCAGATTGTATTTGAAAGCTAATGTCAATGTATTCTGACTCTCATAATACATTAATTTACCTTTCAGCTTTGCTTAGGCTAATATTAAATTGATGGCATGTTCACTGACCACCCACCTGCTGGCTAGTTGGGAGGAAGCACCAGAATTATGCTGACAAACAAGGATACATTTGCATGAAATTAAGCCTCCCGCAGATATATACAATTCACAGCAGATAGTAGCTATAGTCTTGGGAATGGTTGGGTCATTGGTTTAGTAGATTTCTACTAGCGCTCACAGTGACCTTCCTCACATACAAAATGAAAAGCAAAAGAGGGAACATGATAGACGCTGAACATTTTGCTTTTTTTTGTCCTTAATCCTATTTCTATACAATAGTCCCCTCTTACCCAGTTTTGCTTTCTACAATTTCACTTTCTGTGGTTTTAGTTACCCAAGGTCCAGAAATATGAAATGCAAAATTCCAGAAATAAACAACTCATTAATTTTAAATTGTGTACTATTATGAGTAGCATAATGAGACCTCAAACCGTCAAGCTCTATCCCACCCTGGCAGGGAATCCTCCCTTTATCCAGCATCACCTTGCTGTCTAGGATGCTCTTCCCTTAGTCACTTAGTAGCTTTCTCAGTTATCTGTTGCAAGATCACAGTGCTTGTGTTCAGGTAACCCTTATTTTAGTTAATAATGGCCCCAAATTGCAAGATTAGTGTTGCTGGCAATTTGGATAAGCTGTAAAATGCTTCCTTTAAGTGAAAAGGTGAAAGTTCTCGAGTTAATAAGAAATAAACTTATACTGAGGTTGCTAAGATCTACATAAGAACAAATCTTCGGTTTTTTGTTTGTTTGTTTGAGGCAAAGTCTCACTCTGTCACCTAGCCTGGAGTGCAGTGGCGTGATCTCAGCTCACTGCAGCCTCTGCCTCTCAGTTTCAAGTAGTTCTGCTGTCTCAGCCTCCAGAGTAGCTGGGATTATAGGTACCTGCCACCATGCCTGGCTAATTTTTGTATTATTTGTAGAGACAGGGTTTTGCTATGTTGGTCAGGCTGGTCTCGAACTCCTGATCTCAAGTGATCTGCCGGCCTCGGCCTCCCAAAGTGTTGGGATTACAGGCGTGAGCCACCATGCCCGGCAAAACAAATTTTTTATACGTGAAATTGTGAAGAAGAAAAAAGAATTTTAAGCTAGTTTTGTTGTATCTCAAACTGCAAAAGTTATGGCCACAGTGTATGATAAGTGCTTAGTTAGGATGGAAAAGGCATTACATTTGTGGATGGAAGACATAAACGGAAACATGTTCCAATTGACAGCAATTGGGTTTGGTACTATTAGAGAATTCTGGCATGTCCAGGGGTCTTGGAATGTAACCCCCATGGATAAGGAGAGATTACTGCTGTATATAACATATCTATCTTGTTATTACTCTTAAGGTACTGGTAAGAAGTCTGGCCTGGATCACATTAATAAGCATCTACAACTATTATTTTTTTCCCACTCTGAGATGATGAATCTCAGTACCTTGTAATAATAAAAAGATTCCATGTTTCTAAAAATGAAGTGTTTACAAATGGTTTGCATTGTAAAAATCACCAGTTTTCTGGCAGCCAAGACAATAGGAATAAATAAATAAATAAATCTACACATTCAGAATTTGGCTCAGGGCATCATTTAAGAAGAATATTTTACAAAGTGTGATGTTGCCCATAGTAACAGCTAGGGGAGGAAGAGAAACACAATTTAAGTTTCCTTGTTCTTTGTTATCACAGACAAGTGTCTCTGAAAGGAAATGATTCATGTCAACATGCAATACACTGAATCAAGCTGATGTACCTGGCTTTCAAGGAGTTGGCAATTAATAAAGATGGTGGAAAACATTTCTTACTGTCAAAATTCAAAATCAACTGCCAAACTTAAAATCCACATATTAGCCAAAACTTCCAAAGACTGGAAGCTAGTAGGTTCTAGACATTTCCTGAGACAAATTTTCATAAGTATTTTCAGCTACAAGAATGGGGAAGGTCACATAGTGATTTCCAGTTATTGCTCCCATGGTTAATGTTGGAGATGAGAGGAGAGATCTTTGAGCATTCTAGAGCCCTGCGTCCACCATGTTTTAGTGCTTGACCTTACTCGTGCTCCTTCTTCCATCCCATACCTGAACTGTTTGTTCATGTGATATTTTGTAGATAGATGGCTTTCCTTAGACCACTGAAGCACTAGGAAAACATTAAACATTTCATTTCCATTTACAACCAGAGGAAGAGCTAACTAGTACATAAAGTTCTCTTGAATTCTTTGTCCGGTTATTGAGAATTGATTTTAACAGGCTCAGAAACAAACAAACAAAAAACAAGGCCAGACTTTTTTCCAGGAGGTTTTCTTTGAATATATCTCCCTATAGTTATCGTCTCTCTTGATCCCAGTGTGAAGTTGGTGCTGTGGGTTATTCTAAAATGCAAACTGTAAATTTTATACAAGTGGATTGTTCAGTAATGGCCTGTCAGAGAGTAAATGTTCTCTGTTTCTCTTAAGGGCAATGTGCTAGAGAAATAATCTCTCAGGATGTGTAGTTGTGCAGCTAACAAGTTCTGCTCTTTTACTTACTGACTCTACTTTCTGTTGGTTTGCCAAAGAAATGGCATGGAAGGTGAAAGCCAGATTAAGCTTCTGCTAGGTACTAGGTTCTCCAGGACTTTTCAAGTGAGGTACTAATATTAAAAAAATCTTTTTTTTTTTCTCAGAGCCAGGATCTTGCTCTGTTACTCAGGCTGGAATACAGTGGCACTATCATAGCTCACTGCAGCCTTGAACTCCTGGGCCCAGGTGATCCTCCCACCTCAGCCTCCTGGGTAGCTAGGACTACAGGTGTGTGCTACCGTGCCTGGCTAATTTATTTATTTATTTATTTATTTATTTTCTAGAGATAGGGTCTCACTATGTTGCCCAGGCTGGTCTCAAGCTGGGCTTCAAGCAGTTCTCCCCATCTTGGCCTCTGAAAGCACTAAGATTACAGGTATGAGCCACAGTGCCTAGCCAAAAAAAGAAAACCCTATTTTGTGTATGGGAGTTGCATATGCAACTATAGGAGCATCATGTATAAGTCAGTGATGAAAGCTCTAAAGAAGTATTTTAACTCTATGTATCAAAATTAATCCAACTATTTCCTAGAGGCACTCCTCTCCGAATCCTATCCATTTGTCATTGTGATGCACAGTGCGAATTGGCCCTATATGTCCTTGAAACCACCTTGTCATCTTGGCTTTATCAGAATTTATAAATCCTCTCCTCAAAGAATTCCACATATCTAGTTCCCAGAGTCCTGTTACGTCTTCAGTTCTGTTAACAAAGCATGGCAGAAGCCAATCATTATTATTCACTTAAAAAATCAAGAAATGAACAAAATAATTTCATGCTAACAGTATGCCATGAAGCCTGTGCTTCATTTCAGTAGTTGACTCTTCTGTGCTTTGCAAACTCCATTCTCTTAGCTGTTAAGATTTCTTTTTAAATTTTGTATTTTTCTCTAAGCCTTGTTGAGGTATAATTTTTTTATCCAACTTTATTGAGATATAATTAATAAATAACAACTGTAAATATTTAAGGTGTGTAATGTTTTGATATATGCATATATAGTAAAATGATTGCCACAGTCAAGCTAATGAACATGTCCATAACCTCCCATAGTTATCTTTGTGTGTGTGTGGTGAGAATACTAACGAGCTTAGCAAATTTCAAGTTAACAATACAGTATTATTAACTATAGTCACCATGCTGTACATGTGAGTGCCATAATTTATTCATCCTGCATAACTGAAAGTTTGTACCCTTTGACCAACATCTCTCTATTTTACTGACCCCTCAATCTCTGGTCATCACCCCTCTACTCTGTTTCTATGAGTTTGACATTTTTAGATTCCACATGTAAGTGAGATCATGAAGTATTTGTCTTTCTGCATCTGACTTATTTCTCAGGTATTATGGTTTAAATAACATCTACTAAGCAATATCTCTTTCCAGATAAACACGTTTTGTGGTTGCAGCCAGGTAACAGCAGATCCCCAAGCCAGCTAAGGACATGGGCCTTCACCATCTCACCTTTCAGTTATCCACCGAAGGGGGAAAACACACATACTGAATACTCACAGAAGCAGATGAAAATTGTTTCAACACACATTGCATAGACGCTGAAGAACCCATGTGCAATCAGGTAAGACCCAAAAATGACTGTCTGTAAATGGATGAAGAAGAGAACCAACATGTCATTTACTTTGACCAGAAGAAGAATAATGCAGCTATAAATGAAAGCCATGATGAGAAAGTTTTGAAGTACTCTGTATGGGAAAAGAGTTCAGTATAGAGACCAAAAAGTTCAATGATAATGCTTCTGCATACTTTGTACTGAGACTTAAACAAGTTTTATTAAATTAACTGCCTTTTTTTTCCCTTTTTTGGGGGGTACTATTTTCTTTCTTCCTTCCCTTCCTTTCCCCTTTCTTTTCTTTTCTTTTCTTTTTTTTCTTTTCTTTTCCCTCCCTCCCTCCTTCCCTTCCTCCCTTCCTTCCTTCCTTTCTCTCTCTCTCTTTCTCTTTCTTCCTTTCTTCTTTCTTTCTTTTTCTTAATAAAACAGAAGTTTATTTCTCCCTCGGATAACAGTTTATAAGAGGTGTTCCAGATAACAGAACAACCCTTCTCAACACAGTGATCCAGGGACTCTTGCCACATGCCCAGCTCTTTAGAAGAAAGAGAGAACAAATTTTTGTATCAAGCAAAGAGATTTTGCCAATGATATTTTGTGTCTCTTCAATCAGTTGATGCCAGTGTTTTTATTTCTGAAATATTCTTTTGAATTCTTTTTAAACTTTTATTTTTTTAACTTTTATTTTTGGTTAAGGGGTATGTGTACAGGTTTGTCATATAAGTAAATTATGTGTCATAGGGGTTTTGTGTACAGATTATTTCATCACCCAAGTAACAAGCCTAGTATCCAATAGGTAGTTTTTCGATCTTCTCCCTCCTTCTACCCTCCACCCTCAAGTAGGTCCCAGTGTCTGCTGTTTCCCCCTTTGTGTCTATGTGTACTCAATATTTACCTACAACTTATAAGTGAGAACATGCAGCATTTGGTTTTCTCTTCCTGTTTCAGTTTGCTTAGGATAACAGCCTCCAGCTCCATCCATGTTGCTGCAAAGGACATGATCTCATTCTTTCTCACGACTGTATAGTATTCCATGGTGTATTTGTACCACATTTTCTTTATCCAGTCTATAATTGATGACCTGCTCATTTTCTTCCTGCCACCCCCAGTACTTAGCAAAAATATGTCAGTTTTAGTATCTTGTACCCAAGGCAATAAAGCGTTAGGCATTAAGAGCACATACTGCCTGGGTTTGAATCACAGCTCAGGCACTCAACAAGTGAATTATCCTTTCTGTGTCTCCTAGATAAAACTGGCAGTGGGGGAGAGGCAAATGTGAGTAATGCCAGTATTTTTGAAATGTGGGTTAAATGACTTAATATATTATGATAGATACTGCAGGGCTTCACCCAGATCTACACTGCCTCATCCATCCTCAATTGTTGGAAATCTAGGCTGCTAATGACTCAGTTGCTTCCCTTACTAACAATTGCCCTTCCTGCAGGGAATTGCCTCACCCAAAGTTATACCCTCGTGCAGGGGTCAGTTCATGACCAAAAACTGCCTGATGCAGCATACAAAGGTCCAGCCTCTTTGCCAGAATGTCCTGCAATTCTGAGGCCTCAGCTGTAACTTCGGCATGGGTCAGCTTCTCCTGCTACCTATCCTGCCCTCCTCACTTTCTTACCAATGTATCTCAGGAGACAGCTTCCTGACATACCTTCCGCATGCAATCCTCTGTCTCAGGTTATTTCCAAGGAACCCAGTCTCTAAAGTAGAATGTGGGTTGGCATAAAGTAAGACCAATAATTTTTGCTATCATTACTATTTCTACTATTCCTTTTTAAAATTGTGCTATCTCTGATAAATCACAGAATCAACAATACCCAGCTGCTACAGAATGAATTGTGTACCCCCTAAATTCATTTGCCGAAGCCCTAAGCCCCAATGTGATTTGAAGGTGGCACCTTTGGGAGGTGATTAGGTCAGGAGGATCGGATTAGTGTCCTTATAAGATAAATGAAAGAGATAATCTCTCTCTCTCTCCCCACCATGTGAGGATACAGGAGGGTGTCTCTCTGCTCACCAGGAAGAGGACCCTCACCAGAAATCAAGTTGGCTGACACCTTGATCTTGGACTTCCCAGCCTTCAGAACTGTGAGGAATAAATTTCTGTTGTTTAAGTCATCCAGTCTATAGTATTTTTATTATAGCAGCCTGTACTGACTCAGACACCAGCTCTTACCAGCAAAGGTACCCAGTAGTAATTTAAAGATGCTGGTCCTTGTGCAATCACTGGCAGTCTTTGTGTGAAGAATAGGAAGGCCAGAACACCTACATTGAAAAGGTAGAACATGTATATTATACTTTTGCAAAAGAATATAGTTTTTTGTAGTAAAGCAGTTTTTCCAAGCATCTTTTAAACTTTTTTTTTTATTATTTTCATCATGATTACTTACCTATACTTCCAGCAACTAGAAGTTTCCCCAGGAATAATACAAAGTATGTAACTTCATCTGTAACTGCAACTCTGAGTATCAGAAAAAAAGAAAGTATAATTCTGTGTTTAAAATATACTTGGTACTTGAAATTTATGGCAGTAAATTTTCATGAGTTTATTTTGGTGTGTCTTTGCTGAAATTGTATTTGGCAATTGTTTTGCAAGAAATGATGGTGGAACTCATGGATGATGTTCTGACTTATTTTTAATGTAAACAGAAGATGGCATTGTAGGGCTGTCAGGAGCCCTGCAGTGGTGGTGTCAGCCTCTCTGATTTGAAGCCTATAGACACCCTGAGTCCTGAGGATGCTGTATTGTTCTCTGATTTTGTTCACTCAGGCTCCACCAATTCTGGGAGGGGGAAAGATGATAATGTGGTTCATCTGGGGGAATTTCTTGAGCAGAGGGGATAATAAAAATGAAAAAATGCCAATGGACCTAAAGACACAGGTGGGTAATGGAAGCAACAATTCTCAGATATGAAAATAAATTAATGGTATGAGAGAGAATATTTAAATCTATCAAGTTAAAAGATAATATTCATATCCAATAATGCCACCAACACTTTAAATAACAACATGTAAAGGATGTAATGCTCAAGGTTCACTACATTGTTAAATTACATTGTGCAGCCTGATTACTTACTTCAAAACATTTCTCATCAGCAGATTGAAAGCATCTTTTGCTGACCTGCAGAAGTTTCTGCCATATATTGCAATCTGAGGAAGACAGTGGCTATTATTCTGGAGCCAGTAACATACTCTAACAAGATCAAAAGACAATCCAATGACAGGAAGGTAACCAAATTAATTCCTGTCATTTGTAGAGCTATCTCCACTCTTTTTTCTAATGTGTATTTGTGGGACACACTGTGTGTCCTCAGCTCTACACAACTCTCAGTGTCATTGACAGTCAGGTGTGCTTCCGATACTGTATGCCCTCAAACTCTGGGGGATTAGACAGCCTTAAACAGAGGCAGCTCTTTTTCCCAAATTCCAGATAATGGCTTCTGTCTTTAAAATGTTTGGGCTAGAGTTTATTGCTAAAAAGGTTAAATATTGTAGTCTCTACATAAAAAATTACTCTTAAGGAAACCCAATACCTTTCACTAAATTTGATTTATTGATGAATAGGTTTAACATAATACTCTCATTGGAGGTAAATTAATGACTGTTTGAATCTCCATAACTATTTCAATCACTTTTCCAGACCCTGTGCTACTGTGATAACAAGCAAATGTCATAAGGTTATACTGTAGCTTTCTAAAGGTTAGAAGAATTATATTTCTGGATCCCTTATGTTAAAAAAAAATATTTAGGAATTTCCATATAGCCATAGGAAACAAGTAAAACTCAGTCAAACATTGTCAATGTCCACACATTTCAACACAAGATTCATAAAAAGGATAAGACCCTTCTTTAAAATTATGTAAATTCCAGAATTAGAAAGTATTTTCTTCTCAGAGTAAAACATAGATTAAATACTCTTTCTTCCCACTAAACTATGCCAAAGACACACAAAACCATTTTTTATCCAACACACTTATAAGTTTCCAAAGTGTGTAATATTTTTTTCTCTCAAAAAAGATATTGAAGGTAATAATAAAGTATAGTTCAGATACTATCTCAACTAGGGAAGCATATCCCTGAATCATGCATTGGATTCACAGGCCTTATATCAGCATAGTGATAAATTCAACTGCATGAAGTAAAAGTACTTTAGAGAGGGCAATGTAGACACAAGGTTTGGGATTGCAAAGAAGCAGCTTAGTAAATAATAAAATAATCTACCTACCATAATATAGGCATTTCTGTTTAAAAACTTTATTGCATTTTCCAAACACCAGAAGCAGCATCTCAGGCAGCATTGTAGGAATTTAGACAATGTGTTCTGGGTACCTATGAGAAGGAGATATTTAAATCTATTAATGATTTGCAGCTGAACCTTATCAGTCAAAATAAATATAATACAACATTTAAAATGAGATTTAAAATTTTTTATTGTTATAAAATATACATAATATAAAATTTGCCATTTTAACCATTTTTAAGTGTACAGTTCAGTGGCACTGAGTAATTTATAATGTTGTACAACCATCACTGCTGTTTCCAGAACTTTAAAATCTCAAACACAAATTCTATGCCCTTCAACAGTAACTGCTCATTCCCCTATTCCCCCAGCTCTTAGTAAACTCCATTATATTTTTTGTCTGTATAAATTTGCTTCTCCTAGGTGCTTCAAATAGGAGGAATCATACAATATTTACCCTTTTGTATCTTGCTTATTTCACTTAGCATGATGTCGTCAAGGGTCATCATT
Organism: Homo sapiens; assembly: GCF_000001405.40. Classification (NCBI taxonomy): domain Eukaryota; kingdom Metazoa; phylum Chordata; class Mammalia; order Primates; family Hominidae; genus Homo; species Homo sapiens. Next base: position 75,216,279 of record NC_000001.11, read on the forward strand.
TCATTCCTTTTTAAGGTTGAATAATATTTGATTGTGTGTACATAACACATTTTGTTTATTCATTTGTTAATTGGAATTTGGGTTGTTTATACCTTCTGGCTATTCTGAATAATGCTGTTATGAACAGTGATGTGCAAGTATCTGTTTGAGTTCCTTCTTTCAATTCTTTTCATGTATATCTAGATATAGGATTTCTGGGTCATATAAAATTATATTTAAAAATTTTTTAGAAGCTGCCATACTGTTTTCTACAGTGACTACATCATTTGACATTCCCTCCAGCAATACACAGGGTTCCAATTTCTCCACATTCTTACCAACACTTGTTATTTTCTGCTTTTTTCTTTGTTTTTATATATATATAATAGCCATTCTAATGTGTATGGAGTCTCATTGTGGTTTTGACTTGCATTTCCCTAATGACTAGTGATATTAAGCATCTTTTCATGTCCTCATTGGCCATTTGTATATCATTTTTGGAGAAATATCTATTCAAGTTCTTTGTCCATTTTTGAACTGGGTTGCTTATTATTTTGCTGTTGAGTTGTAGAAGTTCTTTTATGTTCTGGATATGAATTCCTTATCTGGCATATGATTTGGAAATATTTTCTTCCATCATGTGGGCTGTCTTTTCACTCTCTTGGTAGTGTTCTTTGTTGAATAAATGTTTTTAAATTTGATGAAGTTCAATTTATTTTTCTTTTGTTGCCTATGCTTTGGGTGTACTATCTAAGAAATAATCACCAAATCCAATGTCATGAAGCTTTCATCTTATGTTTTCTTCTAAGAGTTTTATAGTTTTTGTGCTTTTGTTTAGGTCTTTGATCCATTTTTAGTTAATTTTTGTATGTTAATGTAAGATAAGGTTGAACTTCATTCTTTTGCATGTGGATATCCCATTTTCCCAGCACCATTAGTTGAAAAGACTGATCTTTTCCCATTGAATGGTCTTATATGTGAGAGTTAGTTTCTGGGATTTCTGTTTTATTTTACCTCTATATGTCTGTCCTTATGCTAGTACCACACTCTTTTGATTGCTGTAGATTTATGATAAGTTTTGAAATCAGGAAGTATGAGTCTTCCAGCTTTTTTGTTCCTTTTCAAGTCTTTTTCCAATATTAGTAATAAAATATTTTAAGGTACATTCCAAGCAAAGTTTATGTGTTTGTAAACAATATATATCAGGTATGAAGATTTATGCCCGTGACACCCACATTTATATTTTAAGCCTAACCTGACCTGAACTATATACTTGGAACTGCCAACCTGACATCTCCATCATGCTTCTCAACAATAACATCTCAAAACAGAATTCTTAATCTCCTTTTTGAAATTTGTTTCTTCTGGCTTCCACAGCTTAACAAATAGGATCACACACCTTTTCTCTCTTTTATTCACCACTGTCCCTCCCCTCCCCTGACATCAACTCCTTCAGCAAGCTCTCTCTGGTTTTCCTTCAGAACAGAACGGGTCCCAAATATGCCCTTTCATCCTTACTACCCTAGTCCAAGTTATAATCATCAGGTCTCCCCCAACCCCCAACCCAATTTATTATCTTCACAAAAGTCAGGACATCTGAAATCTTACGTTTAAGACGGTGGTCCAAGTATTCTAGTACAATTTTAAACATTTGAATTAATGCAATAATTAAAGATCCAAATGCTAGGGATCCTGTGTGATATCTGCACAAAAATAAAATGAGAATAAGTTAAAACTTAATACTATTATTTAAGGGGATGCTAATTGAATAATTTTCACAAGTAAAAGGTATCTGCAGAAGGATTAACAGCAAAGAGACTTTTGCACTCTCTTATTTAGATTGATAAAAGTCTCTATAGAGGATTTTAAACCATATACATCTGTCTTACCCTTTATCAGCATAAATGACACCAATAGTCTATCATCATAAAATAGGATGTTTTTACTGCTCAATGGAGACACAGAGCCAAGTTAATCCTTGATCTTTCATTTGGTATCCTCCTCTATCTTTTTCTCTCTCTAGTAACCTATAGCATTTAGAAGGAAATTGGCTTGGGTAGGGATTGTAAAACTGGCTATGAAACCAGACAAAACCAATGGGCATCCATGAATTTTGATTCATACCTTTGATTTCATTTGTACCTTGCCACTTGAATTAATGAGCCAAGACTGAATTACAAGCACACTAAATGTAACTGACAAGATAGGTGTAGGCTTCAACTTGAAACTTACCGTATGGCTCGTCCAAATGCAGTAAAAAGTGGATATCGTGGGATGTCATCAGGTTTTTTCATGGCCCAGTAATAAGTAGCGAATGCACCAGCAAGGGCGCACTGACCTAATGCAATGACGAAGTTTATAAGCCAGAGAAAGACAAATAAGTTGTATACATGGAAGGTAGGGATGTACTGATGGTACAAGCTCTTTCCACCATAGAAAGCAAAGTTACACAGAGCCCCAGGGCAAGCTTTGGCAATTTCAGTTGTATTAAAAATCTGCATTGAGAAAAAGGAACACAAGGACATAATATTAAATATCACTCCAAGATAACAACTCCCTGTGTTTTCCTCTTCCCCTTAATTGCATATCCTGTTGTTTCTCTGTTAGCTCCTGCTCTTACTCCTCTATTTTCTGTTATATCACTTTATATAATTATCTAATGAGTGCTGGAAAGTATCCCATTTTTCATCAAATGCTCATAATCTGCACCCACTATAATTTCACATTTATCAGTGTTGTTGTTGACCATACCTACTTTCTATGGTCTTGGGTATATGGTAGGGCAGGCAAGCTCAGGAAATACAGTGCTTTCTCTCCATTCCACCCACTGTTTTCCATACTCTCCTGCTTACCTGATGCACACTCCCCACTTCAGCACATAGTTGTCCCCATCAGTGTATAGGATCTCTGCTTCGGGACAATTCCTACCACAACTACAAAATGAATTGCAGCAGAAGTCTATATTGAAGTAAGTAAATGAAAGAGTTTCTTGTACTTACCTCTGGGTCACAGGTTTGATTTTCATGTATACAATGCCCCCCTGGAGCTATGACTTTGTATACAGGTACCCCCGATGTCGCCAAGAAACTGAATAAACTCCATTAAGGATAAACCATTTGCTGGTAGATTGAAAATAAATGGACAAGAAAACAATACTGACAACTCAAAAGTGCATGAGAAATTAACTTAAAAAATGCCTAATATTTTAATAATATTCATCTATTTTTCAGGCCTAGATTAATGTAATGTGGGCCAGCTGCACTGAGTGGCCCCTTAAAAACAGTAAAATGTATAGGAGCTTTCTTGGCTTATTGCTAAGGAGCAGTATCATGTGGAGACAAAATAAAACAAATCTACAATATGAACTATTTGAGGGGAAATTCAATCGGTAGATTGAAACGTTTTTAGAGCTTGGGAAAAAAATAGTTATTTCTTAGTACATTCCTCATCTTCCCAGGGATAGAAAACACTGAACACAAACTCCTGGTTCACGAGTAGTCATGTGAACCTGAGGTTTAAAGAGGCCAATTACCAAAGGATACACTGCTGTCACGACCCAGTAGCAAATGCAGATTGAGAGCAAAATGAAAGTTAAAGCTGGATAGACTAATGTACTAGGAACATATCCAATGGCTCTGAAATAAAACAAATAGTTGAAATTCAATTGTTAAAACTAGAAATAAGCTTTAGACTGAATTGATTCTAAGAAAACTGGTAATAACCACGGACTCTTTTTTGGTGATCATTCTGGCATATTCTCAGTTGGTTTTACATTTTTATTTATTTATTTACTTTTTTTAAAAGTACGTTGAGGCATTTTTCCGATGCACATGTTAGACTCCTGCCTAAAGTCCCTCAAATTTTCCTCCCTTTGGTTACTACTGTCTGATTTGATACATTGTAATCATGGCATTTCTTCCTTTCGTTTAGATTCTTAGACTTTTAAAATTGAAGAAGACCTTGAAGATCATGTGTCACACTGAGGGAATTCCCCACTAATTCAAGAATCCCCTATACTTCTTCAGAATGTGTTCACTACCCTTCGGTGAACACATTGAGTGATGGGTACTTACTTTTACATGACATGGCTTATTCTATTTTCTTATCAAGGTATTAGAAATTTCTTCATTATCTGCCTGTTTGCAACCTATATCCTCTAACTTCTGGGGAAGAAATGACCATTTTACCATTTTTTCCACATAGCAACACTTCAGGTAATTCCTTATTCTTTTTTCTTTGGAAAATATAATGTCTATTTGCAGTTAAATGTATTTTTAAATTATAAATTTAAATTATATTTGAAAATATAATTTCTAAAATGCAATTTTGGAAAATATAATTATCAAGGATAATAATTTCTTTGATATTTTCTAATAGGACATGGCTTGTGAAATGTTCACTAACTGACTGCATCACTTCTAATGACTTCTGTTACATGATCTTTTCAGCATATGACACTGGATTAAACACAATACTGTTTCATATGGCCATTGAGAAATAAGATGAAAATCTTATCACTCCTAATGCATTGATGCTTAGATTTTTTTGTATTTGCTACCTTCCTCACCTCACTATTTAATCTATAGTGTTTTCTCTTTTCTCCATACACTGCTAAGTGAATTATTGTGTGTCCTTAGGTTTACCCTGTATTCTCACACCTATTTATTTCAGTCCTTATTACCCCCTGAGCAAACTACCAACATGTTTCAGTTTTACTGGCCCTTTAACACAAACACATATGCTCACACAAATGCACATTTAGAAGTGAAACAAGTAGAGCAAGTTACAGTGAACTGCACAATATCATACTACTTAAGAAATAAACCCAGAAAATCAGTAGTTTTCAGTGGCTAATGATAGGTTATTGTGGGAAGGAGAGAGAGTTTAACTAACTGCTTGTTAACTATTTAAACCACTGACTTCAGGTGGCACTATTATAATAAAAATAATAATACTGTAATTTTCTTCAAATAATCCTTAAAGACTGTTAAAAATAATTTGGTTCTTGGTCATTAACAATGTAGTTTCCATCACACTAAATAGAGAGCATGGGCTGTTGGCTTTATAATAATGCTTTCCCGGTTACTTCCATGCGTTATTAAAAAGTTCACAGTATTATTCTTGAATGACCTTTTGGAATAGTGTGGAAACTATAGGTGTTATTATCTCTTGGCATGAATTTTATGAAAGATTTAGTGTTTATTTTGTAACTTTTAAAAAATAAAAATGACTCTTGGTATAAAGTGTTCCTAAATTATGGGCTTTAGATATGAAATGTATAGTCTGGTGCTCCTAGAATCAATTGTCCTGTCTATTAGAAAATTATGTCACTCAGACAGAAGTGGCAATAGCATATAATTGACTTTATAGAATTATGGTGATTTAAAGTTTTGCAAATGATCTCAACCATTAATATGAACATATGACCCAGTATGAAAATAATATTACATGTAATCTAGCTAACTTTTATATAGCACTTTATCACTTACTTTCACATGTGTCATTCTCCTAACACATATTTGGTGTTCAAAAACTGCTAATACGTAGACTAAATAGGTTTTACCCTTATTCTACCCAATGATTATTGAGGTTTGGGGATATTAAAGGACTTGTTAGTGGTGATCTTTCTAATAAGTGACAGAGTGTGAACTTGAACAAGTTTTCCTGAATGGAAGATGCTTTCTTTTAAAAGTCTTCTTCTTCTTTTTTTTTTTTTTTTGAGACAGAGTTTTGCTCTTGTTGCCCAGGCTGGAGTGCAATGTCACGATCTCAGCTCACCGCAACCTCTGCCTTCCGGTTCAAGTGATTCTCCTGCCTCAGCCTCCCAAGTAGCTGGTTACAGGCATGCGCCACCACGCCCGGCTAATTTTGTATCTTTAGTAGAGACGGGGTTTCTCCATGTTGGTCAGGCTGGTCTCGAACTCCCGACCTCAGGTGACCAGCCTGCCTCGGCCTCCCAAAGTGCTGGGATTACAGGTGTGAACCACCGCGCCCAGCAAAAAGTGTTCTTAAAAGGAAAATAGGTGAGATATTTATGCAAGGGACAGTGACTGATTTTACTGACTGATACACTTTAGCTGAGTTTCTACATTAAGGGCCTTACTTGCTTCCTTCCTTCAGCAGGATAATGGCGACTCGGATTCGATTCCTGAGGAAGATCAGCATGAGGATGACAATCACTTCAATGATGCAGAGTATTATCACTTTGAACAGGAAAAAAAAAATCAGTCTGTAATACAAGTAGATACGGAAACAAACCTTCCCTGCAAATGCTAGGATTGAACTTTATGATTATTTCTGCCAATTCTGACACCTCATAATCTAAGAAGTGTTATCTCTCCAAAAATGCCAATCTTCGAAATTAACTTTCACAAAATCCTAAGAAATCTAGATTAAAGCCTTTAGCAAGGGCTTGAACATCTCTTTTGGAAAGGGTTCATCTCATCCATAAAAGCATTTCACACAACTTGTAGAACTTAGAAAATAGGAATGGAAAAAGGGAAGGGCTGCTTTAGGTAGTTCTATTTTAGATGTTTTCACCTTTAGTTCATTAAGTAAGACAATATACAGAAGACACGTTTTGAGCTGTTCACTTTCCTCATAATGCCACTTAACTGTCCTTGCTGGCTGGCAGGGCAGGTTCTTGGCTGTCCCATTATTAATTTGTGACTCTTCGCACTATGGGCACCATTGATGGAATCGGGGTGTAAACTTAACCCAACTTGGCCAATATAAGTATTAGAATTTAAACTGAGGGAACCTAGTTTAGTCAACTTGATTTATTTAGTCTTGAATTGAAATTTATAAATCTTGAATTGAAGGTTATACAAACTGCGTCAAAACCATCTTTATGTGAAATAAGTGAATCTGCAGAGAAAGAATAAAGTATAGTTGTATAAAGAAAGACAGCAAGGAGAGGAAATCTTGGGTTCTTTTTGGCTTTCATTTCCTGACTCCAAGTAAACTTTGAAGTCCAGCTACCTTTCTGCTTTTTTGAGTTTGACGAGGCACTTCTATATCCTTACAGTAAATACCATCTGCTCTGTTCTCAGCCTGTTCCCGTTTTCTTTTCTCTTCAGCTAGCTTGAACTAGTTTTTTTTAAACTTGAAGCCAAATATCATCAATTATTATATTTCCTCATTTCTAAGACATATCCTTAATTAAATAATAACTTTTTAGGAAAAGTGAAGAAACACTTCATTAAATGTTTAATAATTTTAAGATGCATCCTGATTTCAGAAGTGTTAAAAAGTAAAAGGTATGGATCTTAAAATCCAGAAACAGAATCTAAAATTGTTCAAGGAACTTAATGGAAACTTAAATTCCCACTTGTGAAAGAATCCAGTCTATAACCTCCTTGCTAGATGGTTATTTAGCTCATGCTTGAACAGTTCTGTTGATGGAGAGCTCATTATTTCATTCTATTATTATATCACTGAAATTCTGACACATCACACATCAGTTACTGTCTCCGAGTAAGCAGAAGTTCACCCAGAGGTATACGAAGATCTTAGTAATGTATCATCTCACTTCTACATCTTCCTTTAGTTATACTATGTATTTATGTTTTCATGTACATTTTATTCTCTTAAAACACCAATTTGAACCCAAAATTGTGGCATGTAACCATATTATGCTAAAATTGTTATCTTCTTTGAATGAACCTATAAAGATAATACATGTAAGAGTCACTTTATGACATTGCACCGTTAAAAAACCCTCTATATCTAACTTCTGCCTTTATAAAATTGCACCCTCAAAATAATTACATTAGAGAAATATAACTGTCTTTTGAACTTACATACAGTCATGCACTGCCTGACAATGTTTTGGTTAACAATGGACTTCATATAAAATGCCAGTCCTGTAAGATTATAATGGAGCTGAAAAATTCCTATTGCCCAGTGGCATGGTAGTGCAATGCATTACTCATGTGTTTGGAGGGATGTTGGTGTAAACAAACCAATTGTGCTGACAGTCATATAAAAGTACAGCACATACAAGTAGGTATAGCATATAATGCTTGATGCTAATAATGAATGAGTTTGTTATTGTTTTATGTATTTACTACACAATAATTTTTGTTATTTCAGAGTGTACTCCCACTACTTACTATAAAAAAAGTTATCTGTAAAATAGCTTCAGGTGGGTCTTTCAGGAATATTCCAGAAGAAGGCATAATTATAATAGGAGATGACAGCTCCATGTTTTTTATTGTCCCTGAAGACCTTCCAGTGGGACAAGATGTGGAGGTGGAAGAAAGTGATATTGATGATCCTGACCCTGTGTAGGTCTAGGATAATGTATGTATTTGTGTCTTTAAATTTTAAATTTTTTGTTTCTAATTTTTTAGATAAAATAGAGATAGGGTCTCATTCTGTTGCCCAGGCTGGTCTTGAACTCCTGGGCTCAAATGATCCTCCCACCTTGGCCTCCCAAAGTGCTAGGATTATAGGCATGAGCCACCACACCTGGCCTGTGCCTCCATTTTTAACAAAACATATTGGAAGTAAAAAAAAAAAAAACTTTAAAAATAGAAAAAGCTTTTAGAATTAGAATGTAAAGAAAGAAGATGTTTTTGTACAGCTGTTTGTATACGTGTGATTATAAAAGAGTCAAAAATTAAAGCTAAATGTTATTATAAAAGTCAAAAAGTTAAAAAAATTAAAAATTTATAAAGTAAAAGTTATAGTAAGCTTAGGTTAATTATTGAAGGAAGTTTTTAATAAATTTATTGTAGCCTACATGTACAGTGCTTATAAAGTCTACAGTAGTGTACAGTAATTCTTTTCACATTCACTCACCACTCACTTACTGACACCCAGAACAACTTCCAGTCCTGCAAGCTCCATTCATGGTAAACACTCTCCACACGGGTACCATTTTAAAAAATCTTTTATGCCATATCTTTACTGTATCTTTCTTATGTTTAGATATACAAACTCCTGCCATTGTATTACAATTTCCTACAGTATTCAGCAGAGTAACATGCTGTATGGGTTTGTAGACTAGGAGCAATAGGCCATTACGTGTAGCCTAAGAGTGTAGTAGGCTATACCATCTAGGTTTGCATAAGGATACTCTATGATGTTTACACAATGAAAAAATTGCCTAACAATGCATTTCTCAGAACGTATTTCTCTCATTAAGCAACACATGACTATCCTATATCCCCTCTTTTGTTTGAATAAGAGTAAATAATATAAATATATTCGATGCCCTATAGAGTCATTAGTATAACTGTAACTTAACAAAGGATGAGACTGGCACCTGGGGGCTAAGAGATATACACGAATTCATAGTTAGTTAATAGCAGAGATGTGAATAGAACCATCTCCGAACACAAAATAGAACTCATAAAATTACAATTTTGGTATTTATAACTCTGCCTACTTTCAGTGTTTGTGTTAATGAGTGTAATTTCACATATATGCTTTTGTTTTTGGTACCTAGAATTCTGTCCAAACACAGAGCAAGTAATCAATTAAAATCTGAAAAGTGAGTTATGAAAGCGGAGGCTTATTTATCAGTATTCCTAGACTTGAAAATTCTATTAAGCTCTGTATTTTCCTAAAGGTACATCTCTTTACTTTTCCAATGGCAGATTCTGATCTCCTCAATGGCGTTTGTGTGGAAGGGTCTTATGAGACAGCCGGGGGTGGGCACAGAACCCGTAACTAAGATCCATCCAAGAGTAAAACTAGAAGTTTCAATACATAATGGGTGACATTTGTCACCTTTAGAAATAATAGACAACAGTAAGCAGGTTGCTGAAGAGATGTGGAATCATTTAAATTCAGGAAAAATGATGAGGATGCAATTCCCTGATCCTGATGAGGACGGCTGATTTTTGCAGTTAAAAAGGAAAAGGTATAAATGAAACAATTCCATAACATATTTGGAAAAAAGATGTCAGAGAAGGATATTAGTCTGCATGAGAGCTAGAAATGAGAAGCCAAACAGTAAGAAGTTGGAGTTTGATACAGTATTTTTTTTTTTAAGAGAAAAACTAAATGCGGTGGAGAAGGAATCTGGGAGGGACATCTGTGCTGCTCAGCTAGGTCATCAAGGTTGGCATCATCTGAGGAAAGCATCTCCCACCGCTGTCTGAGCCCCTTTGCTAAAATAGCTTCTGATTGGTAATCTTGCTTTCCAGGTGCTCTGATCCCAGGAAGGTAGTGTCCTATATGGAAAATGTCTGCACTTTGGTCACCAGGAGACTATCCTAATGATGTAAACAAATGTAGGGTGCTTTGGTGACTTAACATGAGCTTGTCCTTGAAAGCCTGAGTATCCTTGAATGAAGTGGCAAAGTCAAGTTTTCAAATTGATGGGAATGGGACGCATGCCTGTAATCATGATGCCCCACCAAGATATTGCTCCCTTCTGAGGTTCTTTCTGGGCTTCTTACCAGGCTTCCTTGAATGTGTCTTGTCTGGCTCTCTAACTTCAAGAATATAAAGATGATTTTTTTTTAAAGCAACATGTAGTTAGAGATTATTTTGAAAATCTTGATTAAAGAACACAAATCTTACAAGGAGTATTACAATAACACCATTCTAGGAATATAAGATTAAAACCATCACTAAAATCATCCTGCTTAAAAAATTTTGTTACATTTAAATAAATATTTACATTTGTTAATATTAAAAAATATCCTTAAGAAATTAAAAACCTTGAAGAAACACTTCAAAAATGCAAATTTATTTTCAGATACTTATTACTCATAATTCCTATAAGTGGTTTAAATGTTTTGTTATGAAAAATTGTTGCTTGTTTTTCCTTTTCCTTTTTCTTTTTTAAAAACAAGTTTCAGGCTGGGCACGGTGGCTCACGCCAGCACGGTGGCTCATGCCAGCATGTTAGAAGGCTGAGGTGGGAGGATCACTTGAGCCCAGAAATTCAAGACCAGGCTAGGCAACATAGGGAGACCCCATCTCTACAAAAAATTAAAAAATTAGCCAGGCATGGTGGCACACATCTGTGGTCCTAGCTACTTGGGAGGCTGAGGTGGTAGAATTGCTTGAGTTTGGGAGGTCAAGGGTGAAGTTAGCCATGATTGTGCCACTGCACTCCAGCCTGGGTGATAGAGCAAGATCCTATCTCAGAAAATTAAATACATAAATAAATAAATAAATAAAAAGTTTGAAAAATCAAGCATTTGTTTCTTTTTAAACATCTTTCTTAGACCTCAGGTTAATGCCTATAAATGTCTACAACCAAACAATTTTAATTTGAAGGCAAATGGCTTGAGGTCCTTGTAAGGTAGCATTTTCTTAGATTATACAATAAATTTTCCTCAATGACTTTTCCACTTACTGTAGTTAGAGGATTATAGACACATTACTTTTTATGACACTAGTGATAAATACATTTAACAGGTTATACCAACCCAAGTTTTCCTTTAGGCAAAAAGATATTTTCTCATTATTACAATTTTAATGAAACCAGTTTTTAAAATACTCACTAAATGTGAACCATGTTTGTTGCAGTTCAAAGTACATGCTTATGTTAGTCTGAATCCCGATGTCATAGATAGTTAATACAGAACTTGGGCGTTCCTGAAGATTGGTGTACTGCTGGTAACAGTGCCATATTCCTTGAAAAAGAAAGAAAAACAGAATAATATAAAATATGATTTTCTGAAATAGGAGCTATATGTGCTCATCATACATATCTATATGAAACTGATCAGCATGGTAATTTCTGCAAAGGCAAGACACATATTTACACAGCAAATATTTTATTTGGATCCAATAGTCTAAACATGCTACTGTATTTGATATAAATGTTTTCAGTATTTGTCTTGATAATTATGGCAACATCTGGCTTTAAATGTCCTTTTGACTAGAAATGACCTTAATGTCCATCAGTAAGACATCATGATATATTTGTTCAGTAGAAAGATGCGTCAAAAACTCCTCCTAAGGTTTATACCTAATACGAATTTATGATTATCCATTTATTTATTTATCCTTGCAATTCTATGATTTTTGAGGTTATTTTAATAGATGTAACAAGTTTAGGGTTGGCATATTTTTAGTGAACTAAATCATTTTTATCCATAACATTGTCATTCTAAAATCTGTTTTGTCTGATATTATGTCTTCTTCCACTTTCTTTTGTTATTGATTGCTAGTATATTCTTTCCATCCCTTCACTTGCAAATGTTCTGTTTCCTTACATGTTGTATAACTTTTATAAATAATTTATAGCTCCAATTTGTATGTGTATATTTTAATCTGACCTGACAATCTCTGTATTCTAATTGGTGAGTTTAACATATTTATACTTTATATACTGATATATTTATATTTGTTTCTATGTTCTTAATTTTGCTTTTCGTATTCTACTTTGTGTCTATACTTCTTTTCTTCCAATTCTTGTCTTTTAAAAATTGATGATTTTTTGTTTGTTTACTTATATTCCATTTTTCTTCTCTACTCTTTTTGAGCAATCTACTCTATTTTTATAATAGATTACCTTGAAAATCTGTTCTTTTTTTAATAAGCCTAGAGTCAATATGTTAACAAGGAAATACAAGACCTTAGTTACTCAATAATCACCCACTCTAATTATTGCTCAATAATTTTGTTATGTACATTTTAAATAAATTAGTTAGCATGTAGGTAAAGCTAAACAAATTTTGCCTGCATAAAATAATAATTTTAGTGTCCAATGTCTAAAGCAATTATTATTTTATGCAGGCAAAGTTTGTTTAGCTTTACCTAAAAGCTTACTAATTTATATTCTTTGCTCACTATGTTTTCTTTTTTTTATTTTTTATTTTTGTATTACATCTCATATATTTCTGTGGAATCATTCTCCTTCTTCTGTCTCTCATAGCTGCATTCAATCCATCAGGAAATACAGCTATTATACAAATAAAAGCATGTATGGCCACCCTCAAGAGTTTCTCTCATTTGGCATATAAATTTCTGCAATCATCTCCTTACTGGTCTCGTTGCTTCCACTCTTGCCTCACCATGGTCTATTCTCAACACAGGGACTAGGGCAATCATTATATCTCATCTCTTTGCTACCCAAAGCCCTACATTGCCTCCCTGTTTCATTCAGAGTAAAAGCTTAGGTTTTATAATAATCTGTAAGGCTCTGCCCCCTTCATAAATTCTATGACCTCATCTCCTACTATTTTTTCCTTTACTCAGTACACCCATCCACACCAAGCTCTCAGCCACTTCTTCAACACACTCTTATGTTATAAGGCCTTTGCTCCAGCTGTACCCACTGTCTGGAACTTTTCCTTCATCTTAACTGTCTAACTCCATTGCTTCCAAGTGTTTTCTTAGATATTTTCCCCAAAAGAGCCCTCCTGCTAATACTGCCATTTTCACTCCTTGCCCTACCATGGCATTCTCAATCTCCCCTTACCTGCTCTACCTTTTCTTTTTTCCATAGCAATAACCACCTTCTAAGATATATATTACTTAGGCTATGAGCATCATGAGAGTAAGAACCTTAGTCTGTTCCTTTACTGTTGTACATCAAGAGTCTAAAATAGTGTCTGTACACAGCAGCTGTTCAATTGATATTTGTTGAATAAACAGAATAATGTATGACTAGATGTGGATTTCTCTTCCTTTACTCTCCTTAGTATAATGAGGGCTTCCTATATCTATGGATCCATGGTTTCATCGGTTCTAGAAAATTCTCAGCCAAGAGCTTTCAAATATGGTTGATATATGTTAGGCCTTTCTCAACCTATTTTCTATTTCTTTGAACCACACAATCATATTTTTGTCCCCTTGTTACATTCTGCTATATTTTTGGTAATTACTTCAGATTCATATTTCAGTTCATTAATTCTCTATTTTGCTGTTTAGCTTATCAATTAGTTTTTAATCTAACATTTTTATTTTGAAAAGTTCTATATGGCTCTTCTTCATGTATGCCTGGACGTTTTTGTTGATTTTTATTTTTGTTGCCCAAGCCTTTAATAAATGATACTCCATGTCCATGAATGAATGAATTCACTTTTTTTTTTTTGAGACAGAGTCTCGCTCTGTCACCCAGGCTGGAGTGCAGTGGCACAATCTCAGCTCACTGCAACCTCCGCCTCCTGAGTTCAAGCAATTCTCGTGCCTCAGCCTCCCGAGTAGCTGGGACTACAGGTGTGTGCTACCATGCCCAGCTAATTTTTATATTTTTTTTAGCAGAGACGGGGTTTCACCATGTTGGCCAGGATGGTCTCAATCTCTTGACCTTGCGATCCACCTGCCTTAGCTTCCCAAAGTGCTGGGATTACAGGTGTGAGCCACTGTACCTGGCTGTGATTCTATCTTTAATTCTTTAAACCTTTCATGCATGGTTATTTCATGTTCTATATCTTTCTTTCTTGATTTGTTTTTGTCTTTTGAGACAGAGTCTTATTCTGTTGCCCAGGCTGGAGTGCAGTGGCATGATCTCGGTTCACTGCAACCTCCTCCTCCCAGATTCAAGCAATTCTCCCACCTCAGTCTCCCAAGTAGCTGGGACTACAGGTATGCACCATCATGCCCAGCTAATTTTTGTATTTTTAGTAGAGACAGGGTTTCACCACGTTAGCCAGGTTGGCCTCCCACTCCTCACCTCAAGTGATTGGCCGCCTCGGCCTCCCACAGTGCTAGGATTATAGGAGTGAGCCACTGCAGCCAGCTACATGTTCTATATCTATTAATTCCCATATTTGAATTCTTGGAGACCTCAATCTCATGTTTATAGTATCCACTGATTTTCACACAGAACTGTTTTCTTGCAGGTCAGGTAGTCTCGGACTTTATTGATCTGAATCTGTGAAAACCTGGTGATGTTAATTGAGGAAACTTTCATCTAGAGGAGATTTACATTTGTTTATTTTGGCAGTCAAAGGGTACTAACAAACTGGGGTCATTTTAGACATTTCTAGGATGCCAGACTTACTCCAGGAGTTTCAGGTATGATCCCCTGTTCTGCTGCCAACTCAGGTCTAAGTCTCCCGATCCCAGCACTGCTATGGGTTACCCAGTGCTTCCTGCTTGGTTCCCCGCTTTGATTTTAGCTCATGAGTTATTTTTTTCATTTGGAGGAGATTTCCTTTATTTCCTAAAGTTTATCAAAACAATGTATTATATAAAACAATACAGCGCAATCCTCTTTTTAATGTCACGATTTCATAGCAAGAAGGCCCTTCAGACAGTTTACTTTCCTCCTACTAGTGAATGTGAAAGTCTAGACAATATTTTCCAATTTCTCTTTCTTTGCTTTCTCTCTCTTGTCCTAGATTTTTAAAAATTATGATCTCTGGACTTCAAGTCCTCTTTCCTCAATAATATTCCTGAATAACAATAATATCAGCAACAACAAAAATAGACATTATTTATTGAACATTTACTATATGCTAGCAAAATCTAAGTACTTTATAAGCATTATTTTGTTTAGTAGTCACATATTCCTGTTATATGATTGAGAAACCTATGAATTAAAGAAAACTGTATGCTTGCAGAGGATCATACAGTTAATATGTGATGAATCTGGGATCGTGCCTTTTTCATACCTTAAATAGATGCTCATAAACCAAAGTGTTATATGTCTTCTCCTGTATACCTCTTAACCTGTTCTGGCCAATGAGAATTGTTCCATTGCTGTTCATAAACACTTGCCCACAAACAGTCTGGCTTTTTCTCTGCTCAGTATGACACATCCACATTGTTATTTGCTCTAGTAAATGGGCTGCTGTCAGTAGGAAATTTCAGTAGAAAAAATTGGTTTCTCATGATATGTAGAAAGTCAATTGTCCAGGATAGTAGCAGAGGTCAGTTACATGTAGTCTTATTTTCTGACACTCCTCAACCTAACTGGACCTTTCCTCCCTCAGTAAATTACTGTCAAGCTTACTTCCTACACCATTAATTTTTGGGTTAATACTATCTAGGGAGTCAATAGGGAGCGAAAATTAAGTTGTTTTACCTGCACTTTTTATATGTTGACCATGTTTCTCCTTTTTGCCATTGTCAAAACTGCACTACAGCCAATCTCAGATTTTTCTTGCTACTTAAGACATCAGTTAAGTCAATAGCAGACTTTACTGCCCTTTCCTTCCTGATGACAATGCAAGAGTGATTGAATCACAAGCCCAGACTCTCCAGTGGCAAAGGGCAGAGTTTATTTTAAGCTCCAAGCAGGAACACAAAAACAAGATGTTTAAACAACTTTTTTTTTTGCAGTTTCTGATTAGGGCATGAAAGTTCTTGTGTTCCTGGACCAGACTGATCCACCTCTTATTTGTTACCTGGCTGTGCTCAATAAGAAGCTCAGGTGGGATGCAAGAGGAGCCGTACAGCAGGAGCAGATAGGGAACACCTGAGAAGTCCAAATGATTTACTAAAAACTCATTGGAGATAATGAGGAGGGTAATAACAATAACCCAATGCATACTGATTGTCAGCTGTGTTCCAGGTACTGCTCTAAGAGCTTTATATTCATTGTCTCATTTAATCCTTAAGATCCTCTGAGATGAAGATACCATTATTATGCTGATATTATAGACGAGAATACCAGGTCTTTTAACCACCAACAAACTTCCAAAGTTACCCAGTTGTATGTTATGGAGCTGGATTAGAACACAGGCTAACTATACAACCTGCAGATTCAACTGCATTCTTATATGTGCAAAGCTCTTCTTCATTGAATGACAGAAATAAGAGATTGTTATTTTTGATGTCTACTACCATAAAACTGTTGTCAGTCCAAATGGTGCCGTAGGGGAAATCATTCTTTTAAATAGAAACATCTCAAACATTCATATAATATATTGGCTCATACCTTTTTTAGAAGACTGAAAGGAAGCTTCCACAGGTGGTATATACTGTTCCACGTGAGACACTTTAATTCATATGTAGAGCTCACATTATACCTGATATGTATTGTTTTGGGGGGATCAAGTTTGTGATTAGATTTCAACCTTGATTTTAAAAATTGTATTTGTATAAATTTATGGGGTACGCATATAATTGTGTTATATGTATATATTGCATAGTGGCTCTTAGTGTATCCATCACCTGAATGACATGCATTGTATCCATTAAATAATTTTTCATTATCCACCCCCTTCCAGTCGTCAACCCTTCCACGTTCCCACTGTCTATTACTCCACACTCTACGTCCACGTGTACTCATTATTTAGCTCCCACACATTATTTAGCTCCCACACATTATTTAGCTCCCACAGACAGTACTGTAATTCTCCATACAAAAGTGTAATTCGGAATACTTGCCTCTAGAGGGCAATGCTTCATTGTGGAGTACCAATTATTAAACGGTGTGACAGCACCTGGATTAAACGTACTAAGTTGAAAGAGAAAAATAGATCACACTTCTGTAACTTTTCGGACCTGGCCTTTGATCGGATAGAAACGTTAAAGAAATAAAAGAAGTTGTCTGAAATGTTTTTCATTAATCTAAAAGGATTTCTTTTTACCTCCTTCTTAGTATCCATGAGGCAGGAGACCAAAGGCTGGTAGGGAAAAGAGTAAAATGTTCTGACAGCATTTTTTCCCCAAAGATACAGGAAGAAAAAGTTACAGAGACAATATATGCAAAATGAAATATTTTTTCTAAGTTTAAAGCTTTTTTGAGGGTAAAGAATAATTAGATCCACTGAAAACAAATGCTTTCTGGTAACTGATAACAGCGATTGAAAATAAAAGGATTATTCTGATATTTGATAATTTGAAGAGGAGTGATACCTACCATAACCTATAATTCCAATCACACCAATCATGAAGACCCAGAAGAGGCATCCAGCTATGAACCTCAGAAGTATCAAAAATATCCAACTAAGGACCATGGCAATCGTCAGGCCACTAGAAAAAACCCACAACAAACACAGTGGTCAAGTGTGCTAAACACAGCATATTACAAACATCAAGACAAAACTTTTTTTCTATTCAAAATTATTCTTAAATTCTTTTATTTTACCTGGCTATAGAAACATTAATAATGTTAAAAAGTGTAAACAATGATTTCCATTAAGACTTTCATATGAAAGAATAGGATCATCAGGGACTTTATACAGAACTCATCTTCATGTACCTGGGTAAACTGAAGTCTAGTATCAGTCATTGTTCAAGGAAAAATACAATTTCTCCAACTACAATTTTGATTTATTGGAGACAGTTGCCATGTCTTATTTTTTCCCTTCCTACCTATCTACTAGGTCATAAATTGTGAAATGTATTCATGATGAATTTGTTCTGTTCCATTTACTTAGTGACTGGTGGAAATCTTCTATAATATGGCTATCTAGAAGTAAGAGAATCATTTTGGGGCAGAAAGATAAGAAAAATAACTGGCCATCCCCGGAGCCCATAATGCTGTAGTCATTATCACTATGGTCTAATTATCTCTAGGAGTTTGTGATGCCTTATGTCATCCAGACTTCTATTCCAGCTCCCCAGTGATCTGTGGGCCATTATTTGGAATCATGATAAGGCTTCTGTGTCTCCAGGGACATGTGACTTTATCAAGCAATTAACAGCACGACTATCTTCTGTCAGCTTTAATTTCTTCTTAGAGCTTGACTGAACTACTAGAGAAGCTTCTTTTCCTCCCATATATCCAGGTTAAGGTCACATTGGAGTCTTCTAATGTAATTTCCTCAAAGAGAACTCATTAAGATCGGAAAGTTGGCTGACTGTTCTATTAAGAACTGATATGTCTGGTGCTATCTGTAAGTTTCCAAACATAGCAACAGACAGAGTGTAGTACATTTATTAAGTTATTGTCTCAAGTGTTATCTTTTTATTATAAAAAATCTCAATAATTACTGTCACTGGATAGATGACAACACAGTATTGAAGTATCATGGTCTTGCAAAGCCTGCGCTTTTAACTTGAGAAGTCATTCCCTCTTAAAATCACGGACACTTTAATGCTTAAATATTCAATATGATTGAAAGATTATTCCATGGCCTAGCCCAAGGGAAGTATTCAGAAATGTCAGAGGAAAAAAAACAAAAAATACAGCTATTTTAAGCGTATCAATACTTTAGATTTATATTTATAAAATAAATAAGAGCAGAAGAATTGAAAATAAAGGGAGATGTTCATGTTTTACTCTTATGAGTGGTGCCTGGGTGGAGAGGGTTTCATTGTGTGTTTTGGGGGTGAGGTAGGCAGGATAATCTATCATAATGTACACTTGTTCAGGTAGGTGTGAAAAAGCCAAATGAAGAAGAAGCGTGGAAATTATCTAGTGACATTTGGGTCTGACAATAGGAGAATCAATTTAAATACTGTCGAGAATAGACTACAATCTCTGCTGGAGATAAATCCTAACATACTAACAGTAATTACTGTAATTGTTTAGGACAAAGCATCAAAATGAGTAAAATCTCATAAAGTGATCTAATTTTACAGCTCTAAACACCACACACTAGTATCTCACACAAAATACAACTTAGACTTTATTATGCATCATATAGTTACATGCATCTATCTTGCTCCACTAGTGTTTTTCGTACTCTTCCCTGAACCACATTTTTTTTGTGCTGCTACATTCAAGGACCCATATAGAAGTTAGGAAAACAAAGATGAGTTAGACATAGTTACTATTGTAAAAAGTTCATACTTTATCAGAGGGAAAGGGCCAGGTAAATAAAACACAGAATGGTAGGTGCTATATGGAAGATAAGTATGTGTGTGTATTTATAGGTGTGTAAACACACACATGTACACACATGATGGGTATGAGGAACACATAAGAAGAAGTAAGTAATTACATCTGGGGAAGATAATAAAGGTTATAAATGATACTAAAGCTGATTTTTAAAAAGGAGGTGCAGTTGTCCAGGACTCAGTACCAGGAAAGGAAACAGAATGTGCAAATTTACAGGATTTGATAGTCTAGGGATGGGCACATTATTTGATATGTTTAGAATATAGTGTTAACCAAGAAACTTGGGTGGAGATGAATCTGAGAAACTAAATTGGGCTAGGTTTTAAAGGGCCTTAGAAGTAACTGAAAAAGTTTTAATTTTAGTCTTTGACCATTAGGGAACCATGGGAGCTTTTAAGCACTGGAGGGTGACAAAAGAGCCAGACAGTAATGACAGTCTTAAATGGGTCACACATTTACCCATTCCAGTCCAGTGACTACATTTCCTTAACTTTCTAGGAATGCAACTCTTATGCCTGAAAATGTTACATCTCCTCCTCCTTGTTATCTATACATATATATTTATGTATCGCATATGTAGCTATGTAGCTTTCATAACTACAATGACTTCTGGTTATGATGAATACCAATCATTACGTGGAAGGGATGTGTTGAAAAATAGGAACGATCCTTTTAAAGTCAAGGGAGGGACGAATTAGAAAAAAGAATCTGAGAAACAATCCTGCCTCCACAGTAGCATGTGATGAGAAGCACACGAGTATTACAGATACAGAAGTCCTGCAGATATTGCTCCATGTGACTTGAAGTATATATTCATAGGTACTTTTATTAGTACTTTAGTGAATAAAATTAAAATTTACACTCTGCCAACAGTGGGCATATTTCCAAATATCTTTTCCCTGTCTCACCTCACCTGAAAAAGAAAATGGCAGGAACTGACATCTGAGTGAAATTTGTTATGCCACCAGTACATTTCTTTTATTCATGAATAAAAATATAAAATTTGAAGAAAGAGTTCTACAAAGATAAAATCAGAATGGGGCTGGAGAAGAAACATCTATGTGTTTTCACTTACATGAGAATCCAATACCAAGTTCTTGCATAGTCTTCAAACACTTTCAATCCAAGTGACTTTGCATCAAGAAGTTTATTGATACCACTGCATTGAAAGAAGGGAAAAAATCAATTATTTTTTGATGACCACTAAACAGAAATGTTCTTTTTATGATAAAAGGGATTCTGCAAGGTGCTGTTGAAAGCATGTTTTCAGAAACCATCTATCAGTAGTGACTGTTTTCCTAGCCACAATAATACATAAAATGTCACTTCAGTAAACCTGCAAAGGTAGCTATAGCTGCACGCAGAGAGAACATGGTTTTCAAGAACGGTGAACAAATCCTTTTCCACTGTATGCAACATTCCCTCAATATTGCAGAAACCTCACTGTAAGAAATGAATTTAAATGATAAGATTAGCTTTTAATTTGCAAAACCCATAGTCAAGAATGAACATGATCTTTAATTCCTCTTCCTAATCCTGACAGTAAGGCATGATGGAACACATACTAGAAATTTCACAATCATCACTGTCCAATTTGAGGAATTATCAAAGTGAACACATTTATGTAACTACAACATTGTCAACCCCTTCTTCATGTGCCCCAATTGCAACACCTCTCCCTTCCTCAAAGTAACCACTATTCTGACTTTTGTGATAATTCCTAAGTTTTCTTTTTCATTTTACTAATTATATATGCATCACAGGGAAATAAATTTAACTCTGCTTGTTTTTGACTTTTATATCAAAGAAATCATATTTGTATCATTATTTTGAGACTTCTTTTACACAGATTTATATTTCTGAAAATCATGCAAGCTGCTATTGTATTCTAAATCTGCAGGAACTACACTGTACTAATTATACTCCTAAAGTCTTTTAAGATAAATAAATTTTTAGAATATCTTTTTTATCTATAATTCAACAACTGAGCAATGCAGCGATATGCTGTACACATTTATGTTTGTGCACATGTGTGTATGCGTGCACACAGGGAAATATATTTTCCAGTAACATGGAGCACCATGTGTGTAGAGCCAAGGGACGTGGGGAATTTACTGCATTATACTTAGTACATAGAAATTTGATATGCCACCAATACATTTCTTTATGTCACACTTCTATACCTGTTGATAATGAAAGATTTAACCATTTTGAAAAGCATCATTATTCTTTCTTTCTTTTATTTTCCTTTTTTTTTTTTTAAATCCCAGCTAGTCAGGAGGCTGGGGAAGGAGAATTGCTTGAACCGGGAAGGTGGAGGTTGCAGTGAGCTGAGATATGGCCCCACTGCTCTGCAGCCTGGGCAACAGAAAAAAGCATCATTATTCTTTCTAAATGATTCTGGGTTCTCCCTTACATGTTCTTCTTAATGAATATGTATCAAGCTCTTCAATTCACAGTAACACGTATATTTCATATATATATATATATATATATATATATGTGATTATTTTCCTATAACCCTTAACCCAATAGGCGCTTTAGTCTCGAGTGCAATAACAAAATGCATCAAACTGAAAATTAGAATGTAAACACACATACTTTGCAGCAATCCCGAGTTCTACAACACTTCTTGTCCCTCCATTTCCATCTTGAAACATCATCTTACTTCCTATTGTTAAAGTGCCATTTTTGGTAGAGAAGTCAGGGAAACATCTCTGGAGAACTGTAAAAATAAATTAAAATTATTGTAATCACTTTTCTATTTCTTCTTTAATGATGTCCTCCCTTTCTTAAGCTTTCTGTTATATATAATCAAATTCTTGCTAGGCATGCAAATTGCTCAATATAGATAGCTCATTGCCTGTTACTTGATGATATGATTTTCTAATGGTCCTAAGACTAGAAAGCAAATATGATCACACTCTGAAACTACATTCTAAACTTGATTATTTTACATCTGGTATATTCATCAAGTCATCATAAATAAAATGTACATCACAGGTTTTAAAAGAGTAACAATGATACATACCATTCATGGTAAGCACATTTTAGTAGAAAGGCCACATTAACTTGTATGACTGGATGAGTTTAGTTTTACTATTAAAAATACATATTAGGAACTACTTGAGTAAAACTTTGAAAATTGGGGATCAGTGAATAATACCTTGGCAAATAAGAACCAGCTCAAATTTTAGGCTACTAAAACAACTAAATTTTTGTCTGTGAATTCTTAACAATTTGTCTCCCAGCTTTTTCATTTACAACAGTTTTTTAGTGGAGCTGAAAATGGAAATTCTGAAACTATCAAAAGAGGCCTACACTTTGTAGACTGGTATGATTTCTAAGAAAAGTAAAATCACTGTTCAATCTTCTATGTTCTTATTTTGATTGGAGTCTTTGCCTCTTTACACATTTATTTCTAAAAATATTTTAAAACCACAATTTTAAAGGAAGAAATAAGGAAAATCAGAAATGGATCATTTTCATATTTTTTTTTCTTATAAGAAGCATCACTGAATTGCACAGTTTCATATGTAGTTTAAACCTGAAGATATTAAAGCAGTTGAGCTGGGGAAAGAAGAAATAGGTCTCTTTAAAGCCTTTCCCGACTTTCCTGGCTTAAAAGGATTTTCTTGTCTGCTCACCTCTAGCCTCTGCTGCACTTAGGACGTGGCTGATTCCTTTACCTGCCCCACCTTTCTACTGCTCTTCCCTTCCTTTCTGTGGCAAATTTGACACAGTAGCCTTTACCAGCTGCTTCTACACCCTCAGTTTAATCAGAGTTTTGGCCCCACCACTTCATGGAAATTATCCTCCCAGTGATCCCAATGACCTCTGAATTGTCAAAACCTCCAGATATGTTTTAGTCTTCATCCTGCTTAAACCCATTACCTAGCACAAGGCTTGGCACACTGTAGAAATCAGTCAATATTTGCTGATGAATGAGTTAACTTTTTCGAGCCTTTGACATGGTAGATACATACTCCTTGGCATATTGAAACTCTCTTTTCTTGGCTTCCATGGTCAGTTTCTCTCATGTCCTCCCATATTTCTGTGCACTCTTTCCCTTTCTACTTCTTAAATACAAGTGTTCCTATCTAGAGGGTCCCTTGACCTTATTTCATATATTTTTTTCTGGATAATCTCATGCAATCTGTTAGCTTTCATTACTAAATGTGTTCATTACATATTTGGAAAGTGGATAAAATATTAAAAAAATTAGTCCTTCCACCTACAGTGTACTATATTAACATTTTAGGGAATTTCTTTCCAGTCTTTCTTCTACAGTAAATATTTTTTGAGAGTCAAAATCACACAAGACATGCAATGTTTTCCCTTGTTTACTTGTTTTAACCTTACTTATTTCCTTTTATGAGCTCTTTAATGAACAAATTTTATTATCTGCATACTATTCCATTGAGTGCTATTTAATCTTATATTAGGAGGAACACAAGTTGATTACAACATATAATGTCTTTCTCACTAGACTGTGAGGGACTACGCCTTATTCATTTTTGTATCCCCAAGGTATACTTTATCCTGTGTACTTAGCCAAAGTGTACTTGTAAGGGCAGAGACTATGTCTTATACCTTTATACCTATTATATCTTTTGTTACTAATGATTTATATTTATCCTTTTGCATAAAAATTTATAACATTGATTTTGGCTATGGACATTTGTTGCTGAGAGCTTCCTGGTAAGTGCTGTTGCTGTGGGACCTACATCTTTGCTTCAAGGTCTTTTATGACCCAGGGAAGAGTGATGGAAGTATGTAAGACATGTTTGGTGGTAGCTACTTCAGTGGGTATTTGACTGTCTACTCAAACTAATGACTAATGCCTTTCCTCCTTTTTAAGAGAAATATATACATTGTAAGAAAGTGAATAAATAGAAAAAAGAAAGAAGAGTGAAATTTCCCACAGTTTTGCCACTCCCAAAATGACTACTTAATGTTTTGGTATATTTCGTTCCAATCTTTTTCTTTGAAGAGGTTTTCTTGTGGTTATTTATTTGTTTGTTTTAATTTATACATGTTTATCATTATAAGGATAGTAACAGTTTGAATTTTATTTAACATTATAACATATACATGCATGTTATTCTAATAGTTATATTTAATAATTCTAAAATATTTCATTTAGTGAATACATTATAATTTAAATATTCTCGGTCTTGGATAGTAGAGTATTTCTTTCTTTTTTCTTTTTGACACTTTAAATGTGATGGACATTTTAATGTAAAGCTTTTTTTTGTAATTAGGATTATATCCATAAGAAAGAAAACTCAGTGATTATTTCATTTTCTTCTTTTTCTTTTTATTTTTTTAGAGACAGTGTTTCACTCTGTTGCCAAGGTTGTGTACAGTGGTACAATCATAGCTAACTACAGGCTTCAACTCCTGGGCTCAAGTGATCCTCCCTTCTTGACCTCCCAAGTAGCTGGGATTACAAGTGCACATTGCCATGTCTCACTAATTTCTTTTTAAAATTTTTGTAGAGACAGGGTTTCACTATGTTGCTGAGGTTGGTCTCAAACTCAAGCAATCCTCCCACCTTGGCCTCCCAAAGTGCTGGGATTACAGGCATGAGCCCCTATGCCTGGCCTCATTTTGTCCACAGTATACAGTTCATAATTTTAAAGAAATAAAATATTGACTAATTCCAAATATATATAAATATTTCAAGTGATAAAGACAAGTATATGTCCTCCCCCTACTCCTCAGGCAATTTCTGAACAAACTTTTCAGCTAAAATCAGGAGTGGGTGTATATGAGCATATCTGTGTGTGTGTTTATGCGTGCTTCCAAAGCACCAAATGATCAATCTGACTGAGCTTTCAACATTCAATCTTTTTCTTGTATGTTTACAAAGGAAAATTCAAAAATTCAGAGTTCCAGTGAAAATGTACCTGGCTGGAGCCAAGAGATGAGCTCTACTTTTGACTTTCCTGCTAATCAACTCTGGGACTTTAGGCAGTCAGAGGACCATTCTTGGCCTCAGTCTCATCAATTGTGAAATACGGGAACTTAATTAAGTAGCATTTTGGTAGATCCTATGTTTCTAAGGTAAAATAGTTGCCACTTACAAGGTTTGCTGGGAAAAATCGCTGTTGGACAATCATCATCCAGTAAAAGCTGTGTGAGAGACTAAAATAGAAGGAAGAACGTTAACATTTCAAAGGCCATGTGATGATTACTTTATACTGAATCTAAATATGTCCTTTAAAAAATTTAACTCCATAATAATCTCCTTATTTCAAATTACTTCTACTAATAATATTAATTGTAAGATTATCACACACACAATCTTGCTTGACATTCTTAACTGTCCTAACTGTAATTCAATCGGACCAACAATAATAAAACCAGATCATCTGAAAACAAGGAACACCTTTGGAGGTGTGTGTCTTTGTCTTAGCCATATCCTGAGTCTCTGATTTTTTTGTGGGTTTTTTTTTCTAGAAAAACAACATCTTCTCTAATTTAGAAACCATTCATATTATTTAACATTGTGATGATTTAGAATTCTCTTACGTATCTCAAACCTAGGTAAGGGTTGGGGTTTTTTAAATGAGTTGTTATCAAACTGGGCTTGGAAATAAAATTCTACTTGTTACTAAGTTGCTATGGGGCTTCATCACCACATTAACGAAATGGTGATTGCAAATGACATTAACTCCTAGTTCTAGAGTAAAAGTCTATCCAAGTAGAGAATTTATTAGTGTCGGGGAATAGTAGAAGCTAATTAACCAGACATAACAGTCTTTCATGACACCCCAAATCTACAAAATGATGTGCTATAACTGGTGTGCATGCACACCCAGTACACATGCATTTCTGTTTCAATGAAATTGTATCTAATCATTTCCTAGAAGATTTGGGAGCTTGTTCAGTAACAAATTCTCACGTTACACTTGAGATTGAAAAAAAAAGTTAAATTGTTCTCTTGCTTTAAGCTTAAACACACATACCTTCACAGGCTTAGCAGTGGTCTTACAGAACTGACGGTAGTCTTCCCAGTAGCTTTTGTCTTTTGTGTACAAAAGTTGCATTTCCACATAGGTTAAAAATTTTTCTGGGCACTTGGAGACACAGATCTGTGAACGAACAAAGTGATGAGAACTGAACTGAGTTGAACAAACCCAGGAACTACCTATAAAGCTAGACTTCTAAATTATCCACCATAACAAAAAGCAATGCACTGTTTTCCATCTAAGAAACCTAAATCAATTTCCTTGCTCTCTCTCTTTTTCTTTCTTTTTTATTTTTTTAGAGACAGTGGCATGACCATGGCTCACTGCAGCCTCAACCTTTCTGGGCTCAAGTGTCCTCCCACTTCAGCCCTTTGAGTAGCTGAGACTACAGGCAAACACCACCATGCCCAGCTAATTTTTGTATTTTTTGCAGAGTCGGGGTTTTGCCATGTTTCCCAGGCTGGTCTCAAACTCCTGAGCTCAAGTGATCCACCCATCTCAGCCTCCCAAAGTGCTAGGATTACAGGTGTAAGCCACTGAACCTGGTCTAAATCAATTTTCTAGTCTTATTGTAAAAAATGAAATTTCATGTACTAGTTACCAATCTCTATTCTTTGCTCTTTGATATTGATGTTATGTTAAAACAAGATACCATACAGTGATAGACTTATTTTTAATTTTTGATTTTGAGATAATTGTAAATCAACATGTAGTTGTGAGGAATAATAGGGATTTCACATACCTTTCACTCTGTTTTCCTCAATGGTAAGAACTTTCATAACCATAACACAATATCATAAGCAGGAAATTAATATTGTTACTGGTATAGTTTGGTTATTTGTCCCCACATACCTCATGTTGAAATTTGATCCCCAGTGTTGGAGATGGGGCCTAATGGGAGGTGTTTGGGTTCATAGATGCAGCAGCACCCTGTTCTTATAGTTCAGGGAAGCATCTGTCCTGTTAATGGGGTGTTCATGAGGGCAGATCCTCCTTGTTCTTGTGATGATGAGTAGCTTCTTAATCTATTAATTCCCTCAAGAGTTGGTTGTTAGAAAGAGCCTGGCACCTCCCTCATCCTCTCTCTTGCTTCCTCACTAGCCATGTAATTTCTGCACATGCCAGCTCCTCTTTGCCTTCTGGTATGAGTGGAAAGCAGAAAGCTGAAGCCCTCAACAGAAGCAATGCTGGCTCCATGTTTCTTGTACAGCCTGCAGAACCATAAGCAAACAAACCTCTTTTCTTTATAAATTACCCAGCGTCAGGTATTCCTTTTGTAGCAACACTAAGCAGAGTAAGACAGTTAGAAGACACTAACCTTACTCAGAGCTCACCCGTTTTATATTCACTTGTTTCTGTGTGCCTGTGTATGTGCGTAGTTCTATGCCATTTTATCAGACATGTGGTTGTGTGATCACTACCACAGGACAGAGATGGACTTTTAATAAAACACTTTATGATTTTACAGTATAATTTAAGATTAATATTGCTTGTGTAGTCAATGCATATTCAGGGTTAAAATCTTCCTTCCTTTCCTAAATATGAATAAAATGATGATTTAAAATTCTCTGAATATTGAACACCTATGACACTAATAATTATTAGTGCCCGTGAATTCTCAAACACAATTCTCAAAATGTAACTGGGGTTTTATCACCATAAGAAACTAACAAATCAAGGCTATTTGGCACAATCAATCATCATTATGGTCTTTTACCAATACCATCTAAATGTGGACAGAGAGGTCATCTTTGCAATTATTTTACATTAATAAACTTTGGGGGCCTATCAGTGCCAAGCCAGATCACCATGCTACTTCACGAAGCCACCACAGAGTGACTGAAATCCAATTAGTAACTCCACAGAGGGAAGGCAGAATCAGAGGAGATACACTATTGGTTTTGCTTTTTTTTACAATAAAAAACAAAAGTCAGATGAAGCCATGTGAGCTGCAGCTAACCCTTTCAAGTCTCTCCATCACCTTTAGTTCCTTCTTCTGAAATCTTTCTCAGCCCTGACTTGCTCCATCTCCCTACTCTGGTAATTATTCTCATTGGCCAAATTGTAGCTCAACTCATTGGCAGTTAGGTAAAAACACTGCTGCTTAGCTGACATCTCCTTTCCATCTTTTGGGTTATGTACCTGCTGTACACAAAGGCATTTGGTGTGGACCCTACAGCTAAGTTAGCAGGAGAATAACAAAATGTATAGGCCTCTCTCACAGTTAATATTTTCTTGAAGCAATAGCAGTTCAATTCCCTCTAGAAATTTTGGCAGGGCAAACAACTCATCTCCACATCCACACCTCCACATGTATTTCCTCTTTCTTAGTCTCTCATCCACACGTGTGCATGCACACACACAATGACATTTGCATATTCATGTACCTTCAGAGAAAATATTAGTGGCTTCATAGGTATCTTTCTAAGAAAGCTGAAGAACAATTTAGGGACATTCACAGCATGCAACACACCCACATCTTTTAGAAGGTTAAGATGATTATCAATGCAAATGTCAAAAGTTCATTCTGATTGGAGCCAAGCTGAATAAACCATTAACATATTAGGAGATACTTGACAGACATTTAGACTTCAACAATTGACTCATGTAACTTTGAAAGACAACTGAACTACTTCTATTGAATACACTTAAATGGATTTATAAGTGAGTACTGAAAGAACTAATGCTTTCACAGGCTTTAAATGATGGTAGGTACTTCTGAATTGAGACCATGATGATTCTGTATTTATAAAGCACACACAAACAATGTATACTACACATAGAAAAGTGCTGTGTATGCAACACATAAAAGAAAGTAATTAAAATAGTAAAACGTAGTTTGTTAAGGAGAATCACATCAAATCTCATTCTAGACACAAATGAGCTGTTAAAAAACAATACAACTGCACTTTACTTTCTCCCTCTATCAGACCAATTTGTTCACTTCAAATAGGGTGCAGATTAGTAGTAATCAACATATAATTAGCCAAAATGAAGGTCACATTGAGATTGGATGTTCTAATTGATCACAGTCTGTCCTTTAAGTGCTTGTGACACATGTCTGGACCATGCCAGCAGTTAACAAAAACATCGTGCATAGAAATATGGCTCAGATCAGTAGATGCACCGTCTGGAAGACTAAATGCAAGTCTTCATTATTAGCAGTCAATAATGACTCAGCTAATAAGAGCTAATTCTGACTCAGTTCTGATTCTCTGTGCACCACAAAGGGCACTTTGCATAAAGCTCTGTATTACCATTTCTATCTTTAATTCAGATAGTCTTAACACTCAGTTACAAATTGGAATTTGGTGGCTGGGAGAGTGAATTACATTGAAGGTTAAAACACCACATTTGTTATGAAGAAAAGATGATCTAGTAACTCATTTATGAAACAAGAAAAAAGCATAATATGCAAGTATATTTTGTTTTATCATAGGAATGATAGATTTGTAGAGTACAGTGGAAAAATTCTTAACTAGAAGTAGGAAGATATTCATTCTCTCATTCATTCAGTCATTTGTTCATTCATTTAATAAATATTTACTGATCCCCTACTCTGAGCCTGTTCCAGGCACTGAGGACAGAAATAGTAGTGAACAACACATAAAAATCCTTGCCCTCAAGCAATTTGTCTTCCAGTAGTGGTAGTGGGAGACATATAAGAAATAATAAATAAGTAAAATGTTTGTCATAAGATGGTAATAAATAGTAGTAAATAAGATGGTATAAGATGATAAATAAATAAGGCTGGAAAGGAGGCTACAGAGAGAGAAAGGAGTGGCTGCGTGGGATTCTAATTTTGAAGAGGTAGTCAAAGAAGCCTCACTAAGAAGGTAACATTTGCAGAAATTCTTGGACAGGATGAGCAATCAAGACATACAGTCATCTGGAAAAATAATTCTCTAGGTAGGGAGAACAGCAAAGTCTAAGTCTCTAAGGCAGGAGAGTTCCTGGATCCTTTCAAGTATTAGTACAACAAATGGCCAGTGTGACCCAAGTGTAGTGAGAAAAGGGAGTAGAATAGGATATGTGGTCAGAGAGTGGGTCAGACAGTGAAGGATCTTACAGGTCATTGTTAGGACCTTGGCTTTTCATATAAGTAACTTGGGAAGCTATTGGGGCATTTAAGCAAAGAAGAGACATAATCAGACTTATATTTAACAGGACCACACTGGTTACTGGGTGGAAAAGAGACTGCAAAGGATAAGGGGGCAAGGACAGAAACAGAAAGACCAGTCAGGAGATCCTTGAACTAATCTAAAAAAGAGGTGATGGCTCCTTGAACTAGGGAAGAGGTGGTGAGAAATAGTTTGGCTCAGGGTACATTTTGGAGGGAGACCTAAGGAGAGCTCAAACATGGGTATGAGAGAGAGAGAAATCAAGGATAAGGTAGAAATCAAGGTATTTGGAGCTGGCATTAATTGAGACAGGGAATACATTGGGGTGGGGAACAATTTTAGGGATAAAGTCAGAGATTAGGAATTCAGTTGTGGACATGTTAAATTTGAGATGCCAACCAAATATTCATGTAGAAATATCACATGGGTGGTTGGATAGAAAGGTCTGGAACTCAAGGAGCAGATTTATTTGGAGATGTAAATTTGAGAAGTCAGCAAGTAGATGGTGTTAAACCCAATGGACTAGGTGAGATCATCAAAAAAGTAAATACAGACTTAGAAAAGGACCAAGCTTCTTGTGGGAGGGAAATGCAGTGTTTAAAAGATGTTAGAAAGATTAAGATAACTCATCAAAGGAGACTGATAGGGAGTAGACAGAGAGTTGGGAGGAAATATAGAAGAATGTTGTGCCCTGGAAGCCAGGTGAAAAAGGTATTTTAAGGAGGTGGGATTGATTAAATACTGTTGTTAGATCAAGTAAATGTGGATTTAATACTAACCATTAGCTTAATAATGTTGAGGTCGATGGTATTGTTTAGGGGAAATTGAAGTAGGGATAAAAGCTTGGATGAGAGTGAGAGGAAAGGATTTAGATAGATAAATGTGGACTATTCTTTTGAGGAGTTTTGAAAAAAAATAAAAGAGGCACAGAGATATGGACCAGTAGCTGGAGGGGGATGTGGGATCAAGGGAAAAATTTTTTAAGATTAAAGAAATAACAGTAGTGAACAAAACAGATAAAAATCCTTGTCCTTAAGCAATTTGTCTTCTAGTAGGGTGAGACAGGAACCAAATGACAGATAAGTAAAATGTTTGTTGTAAGATGGTAATAAGTGGTAATGAATAAGATGGTATAAGATGGTAAGTAAAAAAGGATAGAAAGGATACTAGAGACAGAGAGGAATGGCTGGGTGGAATTATAGTTTTGAATAAGTATTCAAGGAAGCCTCACTAAGAAGGTAACATTTGCAGAAATACTTGAAGAGGATGAATGATCAAGCCATAGCTTTGTATATTGATGGAGATAATTTAGTAGAGAAGGAAAAAATGATAATAAAAAAACATTTCAAAGTGATGTGCTTAATTATGCAAGAGGATGAGATTTAATACACAAATGGATGGGCTGGTCTTAGAAGCACAGGCAGTTCACCCATGGGGAATTAGAGGGAAGGCAGAATGAGTATATGACATAGACGAAGATAGGCAGGCAAACGGATGTCAGAGAGGGAGATTTTAACAGTTGTCTTCTGAATGCTTGTACTTGCTCAGTGAGACAGGAAGCAAAGTTAGAAGCTGGCATGGAGATTGGGAAAGAGATCTTGGAAGTTCCAGGTGAGAAGAAAAGGTGTGAAATTCTATAGCAGTAGGCTATAGAATGGACAACGGTCTGTAGTATGGTTGAGAGACAGCATTAACGGCCCACTTGAAGTTAGGTCCTGAATTTAAATGGTTGTTGTATGTTTTTCTCCAAGAACACACAGCTGCCTGGATTCAGGCATGGAGTAGGCTGAAAGCTACCTTTATAGTCAGGTTTTGCCAGGGACTTACAACTAAGTGAAAGGGGACAATGGAATTGAGAATGTTTATACAGGAGTGATTTCACTGAGAGACTGTGGAATCTAAGTCAGGTAAGGAGAGAGATGCAAACCTGAGGGAGCTGAGCAATACTTTGGATGGGTTAGGATCAGTGGTTTGCAGGTCCCAGTAAGGTAAAAGAATTATTGGAGTTGCAATGTCAGAGGAATCAAGATGATCAGAGAAATTGAGATTACAAAGGGTAGCAATTATTAATACTGGAAAGGTCAAGGGTTTGCCCTTGGGGACGTGGGTAGAAGTGGTCACAGAACTAAGATACCAACATCCCAAGTGGGCTTTAGTCTCAGCAGAAGTAAGATTTCAAAAGTCTTTGAGGGAGATGAGGAAGCAAAAAAATAAAGCAGATTTACAAACTAATCCTAGGGACTAGCTTTGGGTATAGTTACCGGCACATGGAACCAAGAAGAAGCAAAAAAGTCAGAAGTCTATTAAGTTTCTGAGGTAATTGTAATGCTAGAAAAAATCATGAGGTAGCCTTAAAAAGCCTTTCACTGTTAAAATAATATTTGTGATATGAAACTTGCACAACTGGAAGTGAGCTTCAAAGCAATATGGGCCTCAAGACAGCACACTTTCCAGTGCTCAGCAATGGTGTGGCCTGGAGGTTAAAGGACAGAAAATCACCTCCCAGGTGGCCAAGCAAACGGCTATAGGAAGCAATGGACAGGGAAATCTTCTCAGAGAACGCAATCCAGGTGAAATAAAAGACTGTTCTCCATTGCCACAATCCAGAAACTGCTGTGTATTTATCACTCCTTTTCTAAATGAGAGTTTGTAATTCTAATTTTTCTGTCCATGTTACCATTGTACATGTAGTGTCAAGACTTGATAAAGAGAACTATACATCATCTATAGATTCTGGACTTTGAGTTAAAAACAGTACTACATGGGATTCTGGGTTCTCCTTTGGGAAGAAGAAGTGTGTTCTGGAGGCCAGAGAGGTAGACTATAGAAGACACACTTAACTATTCATTGAGGTTTGTGTCTCTTGTTCCATTTGTTCCATGGTATAGAAAAGGCAGCTCAGCTCATAGCTACATTGCTCAATTCCTTTCTCCTTGAATCTGGGTGTGACCTATCTTTTTTGTGGGATTAGAAACATATAAATTTCTTTTTTAAAAACTTTTATTTTAAGTTCAGAGGTACATGTGCAGGTTTGTTACATAGGTAAACTTGTGTCATGGAGTTTTGTTGAACAGATTATTTCATTACCCAGGTATTAAGCTTAGTATCCATTCGTTGTTTTCCCTGATCTTCTTTCTCCTCCCACCCTTCACCTTCTGATAGGCCCCCATGCCTGTTGTTCCCCTCTTTGTGTCCATATGTTCTCATCATTTAGCTGTCACTTATAAGTGAGAACACGTGGCATTTGGTTTTCTGTTCCTGTTTTAGTTTTCTAAAGATAATGACCACCAGCTCCATCCATGTCTCTGCGAGGGACGTGACCTTGTTCTTTTTTATGGCTGCATAGTATTCCATGGTGTATATGTACCACATTTTCTTTATCCAATCTATCATTGATGGGCATTTAGATTGATTCCATATCTTTGCTATTGTGAATAGTGCTGCAGTGAACATACATGTGCATGCATCATTTTAGTAGAATGATTTATATTCCCTTGGGTATATACCCAATAATGGGATTGCTGGGTCAAATGGTATTTCTGTCTTTAGGTCTTTGAGGGATGCGACCACTTATAACCAGTTTGTGTCTGTGGCATATGAGTGGAAATGCAATGTGTGAAACTTCTTATCCAAGGCTTTTAAGAGCAGGATGTTTTATTCATCCTCACTGTGTCCTTTTCATTGCTGGATGCATATGATGGGGAGGATTTAAGGAACAGCAGAGCCACCCTTAAGTGCTTAAGCCACCCTTAAGATGGAAGGAGCCTAGAGGAGAGTACCTACTGACCACAGACACCTGCCTTTTACTGTTATATGGTCAAAAAATAAATGTTATTGTGTGAAGTCACTGAAAAACGTGGTTTGTTAGTTATAGTAGCTAGCTTTACTTTTCCTAATACAATGTTGATCTTGATAAAAACTCCATTTCTCTGGGCTGCACATATTTATTTATAAAAGTAAGTGGTTGGACAAGACAATCATCGAGCTTCCTAAGTGATTCTAAAATGATTAATTTCTGCTTAGTTTTGATTGTATATAAACAAATATAAGCTCATACTTATATCTTCCCATCGTCTAGAAATTCATAATGAACCCCCTGCCCACGCACACACACAGAGAACTCAAATGGAATTTCTCAATTCTTTTATCCAAGAATGTTCAGAACGGCTGACACTACCAGTGAGGCACCTTTTGCCTTACCTGTGTGGTAGGGCACTGTAGGTTTAGCAACACGGAGGGACTGGTACAGCGTAACAGGTTAAAGTAAAACAAAATGGTCTTGTTCCTGTTAAGAAAGAAAACATAATCTTTTTAGTGACCATGGAAATGTTCCATATCATTTCAGACCCTGAACACTTTTTATAAATAACCTTTAAAAATTGGTTTCATTATCTACAGAGGCTGAAATATATTCTCCCTCTCCCTTAGGTACCTAACCTTTAAAGTATCTTTTTTTTTAATAGTAAAATGTTGAAACAATCAAACTATCCATCAACAGGAGATTGCTTAAATAGATTTGTATACCCATAAGGTAGAACATTACATTGCCATTGAAAATAATGCTAAAGAACTAATTTAATGGATGGTGAAATTTACAATATGTCAATTTTAGGAAGCAGGTTACTAAAGAGTATTAACATATGGTTTGATTTTAATTTTATTAAAAACAAATATAACATGAAGAAACATTATTACATCTGAATGTTGGGATTATATTGCTTAGTTTATTTTTTGTGCTTTTATGGATTTCATAAAATAAATATACATTACTTTGGTAATCTGAAAAAACATAAATGAATTAAGTGATACTTTCTCTCTGCTGAAAATTATAGCCAGTGGCAGAGTAACGAAGCAGGTTGATATTCATTATCATTAGCTTTGAGTGGTATATTACTCTGCCATTTAGCAAGCCACAGTTCTCTTTTGAATCTCAATTTTCTCATCAGTAAAATGAAGATAATACTATTCCTACCTACTTCACAGAGTGTTGGGAGGGCCTAAGATAATGCGTAGTGGACTTAAGACAAGTGGTTGCCCAACTTCAGCATGCACAAGGAAAACCCGAAGTGTTTGTTCAACATTTTGATTCCCAACTCTTTCCCAACCCTTGAGAGTCCAAATGTCTAGATATTGGGCCCAGGAATTAGTATGTTTTCCCCTAAGCTCCCCAGTGGATTCAGAGAGAGTGTTCTGTAAACCATATCTTAAGAAACACAGCTCTAAATATTCAGGAAGAATGTTTCTTAACTCTTTGTCAACTCCCCAGTAAATTAATGTGACTACATGCATAGCACAAAATGTAATGGGCTATTGAGCAATATTTTTCCTACCACTCAAAATCAGTAAGTAGGATCCAAATCTAAGGATAAAGAAAGTCTTCCACAAGAAATTGGGGATAGATCCTTTAATCACTTCTACCTGCTTCCTACACCTGTCTACATAAGCCAATATTGTGGGGAGGGAGGTGGATCAGAGACAGTGGAGTCGGCAGGATACAACCAATGATTGCAGTTAATAGAACTCTCCCTACAATCCTCACTGAGGAGAGGACTAGTTGTTTCTTCCAAATTCCAAGTTATAGAGGGTTCTAAGAGAATCTCTCATAGAGACTGAAGATGCAGTAAGAGGGGTAGACCAACATCTCATTTTTCAATTGAATGTCTCTTATGTGGCAGACCTGCTAGTCAGCCTTCCATGCCCATTTGAGCAGGGAGAAATGAGACCCAAAGAGACCACAAGAGAATTGAAAAAAAGTCAATGAGGCAGAAAGAGGGCAGCAGTAAAACAGCCCATCATAATAGGATATGGAGTCAATAAACGGACTTGAGCCTCCCTGGTGGTACCTCACCTGACATTAAGAGACTGTGGAGGTGAATCACCAGGGATGGAGCTGAAAGGGTTTGGAGGAGGGCAAACCAAAGCTGATGACTTACATGAAAGAACTATTCAGTGAGGACTCCCCCAGAAAATGTCCACCTGCACCCCATGAGAGAGCCAGCCCTTGGATGCCTGCCCCAGTGAGTGTTGATGGCTGGTCAGTTATGTCCGAGCCACAGTGACAACAACAACAGCAAAGTAAGTGCACAGAAATATTCCAGTTGCTTTTTCTTTAGTAAGAAGGGGCAGTAGCTAGGAAAGTAACACATCATCCCTTTTCTTCTCTTTCCATCCCTCACAGCATAATGAATAAGCTAGAACCAGAAAGGAAGAGAGGAGACAAGTAATAGCAGGCCAGGCCCTCTCTCTCACTCCAAGTTCTTTGGCAGAGTCAAACCTGAGCTTGGGGATTGGAAGAAATGAAACTGAAATCTTAAATTGGACTACATTGAACTTTTAACAACAGAAAGTGTCTGAAAACTATGTAATCTGCCTGAAATATCAAAGTGAGAAGGGAAATCTGAAAAAGCATTTTTAAAGGCAATGATATGAGAAAAATAAACCCATTCTATGTTTGTATTCCACTAAATTCAAATGGCTGAAGAAGCTGTTTATAAATTAATACACAATATGTACAAGGCTACTACTTTGAGATCTACAAGTGCTAACTTGGCTATTTCACCACCCAGTCAACTACATCATCCACACAGTCTCACAGTGCATGTGATTCAAATTTGTACTTGAGCAAATGAATAAATTATACATATCTTGGATCACTGGGGTCCCTTGGGAGTATTTAAAACTGTGAATGGTAAATCAGTAAGTGCCAAGAGTTTGCCATAGGTAAAATTGATTTATAAACTGCAAACTGCTATGTAAACTCAAGTTATTCACCAGATTATATTATCCTCAAGGGTAAGGTTTATACCTTATTCATCTTTACATCCTACCTTGCCAGAACTTAACCTCATACTTGGCCCACTCTAGACACTTATCAGATGTTTTGGAATGAATGAGACCAATTCCATAATGTTTTTGAAAATATTTATCTCAAAGTTTTTTCAAGTAAGTCTTAGAATCATCATTAGTATTTCAGCACAAATCTATAGTCATTCTATCACAGTCACTGATATTCTCAAATTTCAGGGGACCACAACTTTTTTTTTTTTTAGACGGTTTCTCACTCTTGTCGCCCAGGCTGGAGTGCAGTGGCGCAATCTCTGCTCACTGCGACCTCTGCCTCCAGGGTTCAAGCAATTCTCCTGCCTCGGCCTTCTGAGTAGATGGGATTACAGGCACCTACCACCATGCCCAGCTAATTTTTGTCCTTTTAGTGGAGACGTGGTTTCGGCATGTTGGCCAGGCTGGTCTCAAACTCCTGACCTCAGGTGATCTGCCTGCATCGGCCTCCCAAAGTGCTGGGATTACAGGCATGTGCCAGCGCACCCGGCCAGACCTCAGATTTTTTAGGTGCAAAGTAGATGGTGGTGGTTGCAGCTGAGCAATTCTGTAGAAGTAATTGAGGAAGTAACTCATAATTTAACTTAAATTATATTTCCATCAAGAAACAAAATAGAAACAATAGCAAACTACTAGTTCCAGGTGATGTATCAGGCACTTAAGCCTATCTCTCTTCTTTCCTGAGACTCATCGGAATAAAATAATAAAAGTACCAATAAATGAATAAACCTCGCCACACAAGCTAAGAATGTGGAGGATGTGATTTGATCACAATTTTACAGGAGAGTTCAGCAATATTTGGAATACGGGATGCATATTGAAGTGTGCTGAACAATGAATGCACATACAGGGGTACAGGGAGGGTGGGACAGAATTTGCCTGTTAGAAATCATGAAACATGCTAGACTGAGTTGAGAGTGAGAAATGTAGCCAAAGCAGAGAGATTAATCGAAAGTTTCTTTACAGATTTTCAGTGCAAATCAGAACCGCTGTGTTTCTCCCAGACCTCTATGCTTAGAATACCAGCATCCAGAAAATAGCTGATGAGCTAAAACTAAAATTGCAAAAAAAAATCTCATAATGTTTTAAGAAAGTTTATGATTTTGTGTTGGGCTGCACTGAATGCCATGCTGGGCCACGTGGAGCCCATGACCTGTGGGTTGCACAAGCTTGTTCTATGGCGTTTTGAAAGCCAGTGCCTGACATCCAGCTTTCCACCAATTCATGCTGTAATGGAATATGACAGTCAACACAGCCCTGTCACCCCACATGGTGCAGAGGCCTCCTTGGTAAGATGACTGACTAACACAGCAGCAAAGCAAATCCACCCAAACCACCCAGTCCTTTTTTCTTTAGTAATAGATAATTATGTAGCATCAGGCATATATGAGGAATCAAAACATAAAAGAGAAAAACTAAACAAACAAACAAAAATTAAATTATTAAAATAATTAAGGGCATAGGAGGGAACTTTAAAACCTCTAATATATTCAGAGAAATTTAAGCAGATTATTCACAAAATAAAAATGTGATGTTATTGTAAAAGAATAATTGGAGAACAAGAAAGGCTTATAAAGATTAAAATATAATTGCCAAAACAAAAAAAAATCAAAAGAAGAGATGGAAAAAATTAAGAAATTCTAAAATACAGAACAAAAAGTCAGAGATGAAAAATAGAAGGAAAAAAAGGAGAGGCACTGAGACGAATCCAGGTATGACCAATAGTTCCAGAAAGACAACTGAAAAAATGGAAGGGATAAAAATCGCAAAGAAATAACAGAAGAAAATTGTCCAGAGCTGATGAGAGTCATAGTTCTTCAGGATTAAAGGACTTACTAAGGACTCAAAGAAAGAATTAAACAGGCCTCTATCAAATTGTGAGATTTCAGAACACTAAGAATAAAGAAATGATTTTAAGTACTTTCTAAAAGGAAAATACTTATCATGATGTATGTGAATTCTACTGGCATTAGACATTCTGGATAACAAAAATGATGGAGCAATGTCTTCACATTTCTGAAAAGAATTGTTTTTCAATCTACACTTCTATAGCTATACCATCAATCAAATATAAAAAGAGAAAAGAAAAGATGAAGAGACAAAGAAGACATTTATAGGAACTCAGCAAGTTTACTTCTTATGCTTTCTTTTTTTAGGAAGGTAATTGAGAATATTCTCCATGAAAACAGGTGGGTCAACAGAAAGAGAGGCAGCCTTGGGATATAGGAAACAATAAATTCACATACTTACGCTAAAAATTATTATTTATATGAAATTAAAAAGTTAACTGGGCATTCTGTGCTTTTGTTTCATAAATCTGTTAACTCTAGAAAAAGACAATTTAACAAGGTAGAGAAGCCCCAGAATTAAAGCTATGCAATAGGCCTACAATTTACCAGGTCCTGAGTAAAGCAAAAGGACAGCAGCTCTGCAAGGTAGACCTTCAGGGAAAAGGGGCCCCTGAAAAATAGTATGATTGAGATGGCAGAAAAGCACATTGTTCTGATGAAGGCTATCCAAGAAAAACCTTGTGGGTAAACAAAACATTATGTTAGAAAGTCACTATGTTGAAGCAAACTAAAATGTGAGATGATCCTATGCTGCTAATGAAGTGTGAGATTTGGCTTTGATATCAAGGACATGGTACAAATAAGAAAGTAATGGCCTGACAGTGAATACAGTTTGTAGAGTTATGACAAAGCAGAAGTTTTTAAAATCATTTTCAAATTCTGGAACCAACCTACCAATACATCATGCAAGATTCTGTTGAAGTTCCAGAACTGAACATAAATGGTGACAAATCTGATCATGTAAAATGGTATTTATAGAAAGTATTTCCAGAAAGTAAAAGGTGAAAGGGAACGAAAAGATGGACAGAAGGGTAGGGGTGATAATATCCTCTTACATAAAGATGAGCTGAGACACTGACAAAAGTTAGCAGAACAAGAAGTAGAGGTATTGCATACTATTTAAAGTCATAAAAGTAACCACAAGGCAATCCAAAAGTAGTAATTTAACTACCAAACATGGGTGAAGGGGATCAGTAAGATAATGTATATGAGTTAGAAATATTCATTTCCCATAGCAGACTGTCAGTGGATATTATCTAAACTTAATAAGCACAAAATAAAATAAGCTTATTATTTAAAGTTCTGTAAAAACCAACTGCCAGAAGAACTAAAACCAGAGAGAGAAGAGATTGTCCCAGTGAAAGGAAAGTGTGGGTGAAAAGTCCTAGAATGAGAGACCATTGCTTTTATTATAAACTCTTCATTACTATTTTGTTTGTTTTCACATGCATATATTATTTTGATTCAAATTTTAAACATTAAACAAATTGTGTGTGGATACTGGTAGTAAGTTCAATCAAAGAGATTTGTGAGATATTTTTGCCATTTTGTCAGAGGTCAGTGAATTGAAAACTAAGTTGCTATTGCTTCACATAGATGCTGAATTGGATGCAAGGCTTAAAAGGGAGGGACTTCAAAATGGCTGATGAGAAGCATATAGTACCCACTTGCACTACAAAGAAGAACCAAAATAACAAGTAGATAATCACACTTTGAATAGATCACCTAAGCAAGAATGCCAGAATTCAACAGCCAAAGTGAACAGGAAACAGCTAAGGCATGG
This sequence comes from Homo sapiens, assembly GCF_000001405.40. Lineage (NCBI taxonomy): Eukaryota > Metazoa > Chordata > Mammalia > Primates > Hominidae > Homo > Homo sapiens. Next base: position 75,257,480 of record NC_000001.11, read on the forward strand.
AAAAAGAGTGAAGAGAGGCAGCATGCTCAGCCAGGATCAGCTGGGAACCTAGAGAGGCTTTCCGATGCAGGAAAAGGGTGAGAGACCCCTAGTGGTCCACATTCCCAACACAAACTCCTGCAATTCTAGCCATGGGTGAGCCCCTTGACCCACTCAGGCACTGAGACTAACATAGGAAATTGCCTGGAGACTGCATAACAGCATTGCTCCAAAGAGAAAGCTTCTACTGGGTCTCACACCCCTCCCTGAGGTCTAAGAAGAAACAGCAAGGTGGCTGGCAAGATGGCTAAATAGGAACAGCTCTGGTCTGCAGCTCCCAGCGAGAACTACTCAGAAAAAGGGTGATTTCTGCATTTCCAACTGAGGTAACCAGTACATCTCAGTGGGACTAGTTGGACAGTGGGTGTAGCCCAGGGAGGGCGAGCCAAAGCAGGGTGGGTTGTCACCTCACCCAGGAAGCATAAGGGGTCAGGGAACTCCCTCTCCTAGCCTAAGGAAATAGCCATTAGGGACTGTATCATGCACTCTGGCCCAGATTTTGAGCTTTTCCCACGGTCTTCGCAACCCGCAGACCAGAAGATTCACTCCAGGGCCCACTCCACCAGGGCCCTGGGTTTCCAGCACAAAACTGGGTGGCCATTTGGGCAGACACCAAGCTAGTCACAGTTTTTTTTCATACCCCAGTGGCGCCTGGAATGCCAGTGAGACAGAACTGTTCACTCCCCTAGAAAGGGGGCTGAAGCCAGGGAACCAAGTGGTCTGGCTTGGCAGTTCCCACAACCACGGAGACCAGAAAGCTAAGATCCACTGGCTTGAAACTCTCACTTTGAGCACAGCAGTCTGAGCTCGACCTGGGATGCTTGAGCTTCGTCAGGGAAGGGGTGTCTGCCATTGCTGTGGCTTGAGTAGGTGGTTTTACAAAGTCGTTGGGAAGTTGGAACTGGGTGGAGCTCACCACAGCTCAGCAAGGCCACTGCTGCCAGACTGCCTCTCCAGATTTCCTCCTCTCTGGGCAGGGCATCTCTGAAAAAAAGGCAGCAGCCCCAGTCAGGGACTTACAGATAAAACCCCCAACTCCCTGGGACAGAGCACCTGGAGGAAGGGGCGGTCGGGGGTCCAGCTTCAGCAGACTTAAAAGTCCCTGCTGGCAGCTCTGAAGAGAGCAGCAGATCTCCCAGCACAGCGTTTGAGCTCCAATAAGGGACAGACTGCCTTCTCAAGTGGGTCCCTGACCCCTGGGTATCTTGACTGGGAGACACCTCCCAGTAGGCGCCAATAGACACCTCATACAGGAGAGCTCTGGCTGGCATCTGGCAGGTGCCCCTCTGGGACGAAGCTTCCAGAGGAAGGAACAGGCAGCAATCTTGGCCATTCTGCGATTCTGCCAGTGACACCCAGGCAAACAGGGTCTGGAGTGGACCTCCAGTAAACTCCAGCAGACCTGCAGCAGAGGGGCCTTACTGTTAGAAGGAAAGCTAACAAACAGAAAAGAACAGTATCAACAGCAACAAAAAGGACATCTACTCAGAGACCCCAGCCAAAGGTCACTGACTTTAAAGACCAAAGGTAGATAAATCCATGAAGATGGGGGGAAATCAGCACAAAAAGGCTGAAAATTCCAAAAACCAGAATGCATCTTCTCCTGCAAAGGATCACAACTCCTCGCCAGCAAGGCAACAAAACTGGACAGAGAATGAGTTTGACAAATTGACAGAATTAGGCTTCAGAAGATGGGTAATGACAAACTCCTCTGAGCTAAAGGAGCATGTTCTAACCCAATGCAAGGAAGCTAAGAACCTTGAGAAAAGGTTAGATGAATTGCTAACTTTAATAACCAGTATAGAGAAGAACATAAATGACCTGATGGAGCTGAAAAACACAGCACAAGAATTTCGCAAAGCATACACAAGTATCAATAGCAGAATCGATCAAGTGGAAGAAAGAATGTCAGAGATTGAAGATCAACTCAATGAAATAAAGTGAGAAGACAAGATTAGAGAAAAAAGAGTGAAGAGAAATGAACAAAGCCTCCAAGAAATATGGGACTATGTGAAAAGACCAAATATATGTTTGATTGGTGTACCTGAAAGTGACAGGGAGAATGGAACCAAGTTGGAAAACACTCTTTGGGATATTAGCCAGGAGAACTTCCCCAGTCTAGCAAGGCAGGCCAATATTCAAATTCAGGAAATACAGAAAACACCACAAAGATATTCCTTGAGAAGAGCAACCACAAGACACACAATCATCAGATTCACCAAGGTTGAAATAAAGGAAAAAATATTAAGGGCAGCCAGAGAGAAAGGTCAGGTTACCCACAACGGGAAGCCCATCAGACAAACAGCAGATCTCTTAGCAGAAACCCTAGAGGCCAGAAGAGAATGGGGGCCAATATTCAACATTCTTAAAGAAAAGAATTTTCAACCCAGAATTTCATATCCAGCCAAACTAAGCTTCATAAGTGAAGGAGAAATAAAATCTTTACAATAAGCAAATGCTGAGAGATTTTGTCACCACCAGGCCTGCCCTAAAAGAGCTCCTGAAGGAAGCGCTAAACATGGAAAGGAACAACCAGTACCAGCCACTGCAAAAACAGGCCAAATTGTAAAGACCATCGATGCTAGGAAGAAACTGCATCAACTAACGAGCAAAATAACCAGCTGGCATCATAATGGCAGGATCAAATTCACATATAACAATATTAACCTTAAATGTAAATGGGCTAACTGCCCCAATTAAAAGACAGACTGGCAAATTGGATAAAAAGTCAACACCCATTGGTGTGCTATATTCAGGAGACCCATTTCACATGCAAAGACACACATAGGCTCAAAATAAAGGGATGGAGGAATATTTACTAAGCAAATGGAAAGCAAAAAAGCAGGGGTTGCAATCCTAGTCTCTGATAAAACAGACTTTAAACGAACAAAGATCAAAAGAGACAAAGAAGGGCATTACATACTGGTAAAGGGGTCAATGCAACAAGAAGCAGTAACCATCCTAAATATATATGCACCCAATACAGGAACACCCAGATTATAAAACAAGTTATTAGAGACCTACAAAGAGGCTTAGACTCCCACACAATAATAGTGGGAGACTTTAACACCCCACTGTCAATAGTAAACAGATCAATGAGACAGAATGTTAACAAGGATATCCGGGACCTGAACTCAGCTCTGCAACAAGCAGACCTAATAGACATCTACAAAACTCTCCACTCCATATCAGCAGAATATACATTCTTCTCAGCACCACATTACACTTATTCTAAAATTGACCACATAACTGGAAGTAAAACACTCCTCAGCAAATGCAAAAGAACAGAAATCATAACAAACAGTCTCTCAGACCACAGTGCAATCAAATTAGAACTCAGGACTAAGAAACTCACTCAAAACTGCAGAAGTACATGGAAAGTAGACAACATGCTCCTGAATGACTACTGGGTAAATATTGAAATGAAGGCAGAAATATAGATGTTCTTTGAAACCAATGAGAACAAAGACACACCATACCAGAATCTCTGGGACACATTTAAAGCAGTCTGTAGAGGGACATTTATAGCACCAAATGCCCACAAGATAAAGCAGGAAAGATCTAAAATCGACACTAACATCACATTTAAAAGAACTAGAGAAGCAAGAGCAAACAAATTCAAAAGCTAGCAGAAAGCAAGAAATTACTAAGATCAGAGCAGAACGGAAGGGCACAGAGACACAAAAAACTCTTCAAAAAATCAATGAATCCAGGATCTGGTTTTTTGAAATGATGAACAAAATAGTCAGCTAGCGAGAGTAATAAAGAAGAAAAGAGAGAAGAATCAAATAGACCCAATAAAAAATGATAAAGGGGATATCACCACCGATCCCACAGAAATACAAACTACCACCAGAGAATACTGTAAACACCTCTACTCAAAGAAACTAGAAAATCTAGAAGAAATGGATAACTTCCTGGACACATACACCCTCCCAAGACTAAACCAGGGAGAAGTTGAATCCTGGAATAGACCAGTAACAAGTTCTGAAATTGAGGCAGCAATTAATAGCCTACCAACTAAGAAAAGTCCAGGACCAGATGGATTCACAGCCAAATTCCACCAGAGGTACAAAGAAGAACTGGTACCACTCCTTCTGAAACTATTTCAAACAATAGAAAAAGAGGGAATCCTCCCTAAATCATTTTATGAAGCCAGCATCATCCTAATGCCAAAACCTGGCAGAGACACAACAACAGAAATTTCAGGCCAATATCCCTGATGAACATGGATGCGAAAATCCTCAATAAAATACTGGCAAACTGAGTCCTGCAGCACATCAAAAAGCTTATCCACCACGAGCAAGTCAGCTTCATCCCAGGGATGCAAAACAATAAATGTAATCCATCGCATAACAACCAATGACCAAAAACCACATGATTATCTCAATAGATGAAGAAAAGGCCTTCGACAAAATTCAACAGCCCTTCATGCTAAAAATTCTCTTTAAACTAGGTATTGATGGAACGTATCTCAAAATAAGAGCTATTCATGACAAACCCACAGCCAGTATCATACTGAAAGGGCAAAAACTGGAAACAATCCCTTTGAAAACCGGCACAACACAAGGATGCCCTCTCTCACCACTCCTTCACAGTATTAGAAGTTCTGGCCAGGGCAATCAAGAAAGAGAAATAAACAATGGGTATTCAAGTATGAAAAGAGGAAGTCAAATTGTCTCTGTTTGCAGATGACATGATTGTATATTTAGAAAACCCCATCATCTCAGCCCCAAATCTTCTTAAGCTGATAAACAACTTCAGCAAAGTCTCAGGATACAAAATCAATGTGCAAAAAGCACAAGCATTCCTATACACCAAGAACAAATAGAGAGCAAAACTATCAGTGAACTCCCATTCACAATTGCTACAAAGAGAATAAAATACCTAGGAATCCAACTTACAAGGGATGTGAAGCATCTCTTCGAGGAGAACTACAAACCACTGTTCAAGGAAGTAAGAGAGGACATAAACAAATGGAAAAATATTTCATGCTTATGGATAGGAAGAAACAATATTGTGAAAATGCCATATTTCCCAAAGTAATTTATAGATTCAATGCTATCCCCATCAAGCTACCACTGACTTTCTTCATAGAATTGGAAAAAACTACTTAAAAGTTCATATGGAACCAAAAAAGAGCCCGCATTGCCAAGACAATCCTAAGCCAAAAGAACAAAGCTGGAGGCATCACACTACCTGACTTCAAACTATACTACAAGGCTACAGTAATAAAAACAGCATGGTACTAGTACCAAAACAGATATATAGACCAATGGAACAGAACAAAGGCCTCAGAAATAACGTCACATATCTACAACCATCTGATCTTTGACAAACCTGACAAAAACAAGCAATCTGGAAAGAATTCCCAATTTAATAAATGGTGTTGGGAAAACTGGCTAGCCATATGCAGAAAGCTGAAACTGGATCCCTTCTTTACCTTATACAAAAAGTAACTCAATATGGATTAACGACTTAAAAATAAGACCTTAAACCATAAAAAACCCTAGACAAAAACTTAGGCAATACCATTTAGGACATAGGCATAGGCAAGGACTTCATGACTAAAACATGAAAGCAATGGCAACAAAAGCCAAAATTGACAAATGGGGTCTAATTAAACTAAAGAACTTTGGCACAGCAAAAGAAATTAACATCAGAGTGAACAAGCAACCGACAGAATGGGAGAAAATTTTTGCAATCTACCCATCTGACAAATGGCTAATATCCAGAATCTACAAATAACTTAAACAAATTTACAAGATAAAAACAAACAACACCATCAAAAAGTGGCTGAAGGATATGAACAGACACTTCTTAGAAGAAGACATTTATGCAGCCAACAAACATATGAAAAAAAGCTCATCATCACTGGTCATTAGACAAATAAAATCAAAACCACAATGAGATACCATCTCATGCCAGTTAGAATGATGGTCATTAAAAAGTCAGGAAACAACAGATGCTGGAGAGGATGTGGAGAAATAGGAATGCTTTTACACTGTTGGTAGGAGTGTAAATTAGTTCAACCCTTGTGGAAGGCAGTGTGGTGATTCCTCAAGGATCTAGAACTAGAAATACCATTTGACCCAGCAATCCCATTACTGGGTATATACCCAAAGGATTATAAATCATTCTACTATAAAGACACATACACACGTATGTTTATTGCAGCACTGTTCACAGTAACAAAGACTTGGAACCCACCCAAATGCCCATCAGTGATAGACTGGATAAAGAAAATGTAGTACATATACACCATGGACTACTATGCAGCCATAAAAAAGGATGAGCTCATGTCCTTTGTGTGGACATGGATGAAGCTGGAAACCATCATTCTCAGCAAACTAAAACAAGAACAGAAAACCAAACATAGCATGTTCTCACTCATAAGTGGGAGTTGAACAATGAGCACACATGGACACAGGGAGGGGAACATCACACACTGGGGCCTGTTGGGGGGTTGCGGCTTAGGGGAGGGATAGCATTAGGAGAAATACCTAGTGTAGACGACAGGTTGATAGGTACAGCAAACCACCATGGCACGTGTATACCTATGTAACAAACCTGCATGTTCTGCACATGTATCCCATCACTTAAAGTATTTAAAAAAAAAAAAAAAAAAAGGAATAGCAAGGCACCATTTTCAGAGCCTGGAACCTACTGTACTGCATCCTGTCCTAGGGCTCAACAACCCTTGTGTCTCCACATCCCTGGAGCCCCATTGACATCCCCTACCTGCAGCCATGTGCTGCTGCTGGCTGCTCTCACCAAGGCCAAAGTGCAAGCCATTGGCATTGATCCCCATGTGCCCAGTGGCAGGGCTGCCACACGTTTACAGTTCCCTGAGAAAGATTATTCTGTTTGCAGCTGCCACTCAAGGACAACTTGTGTGATTATAAAAAATTAAAATCATATCAAGTTTCTTCTTAGACCACAATAGAATACAATTAGAAATCAATAATGAGAAGAGCTTGGGAAACTATAAATAAATGGAAATTAAATAACATGCTTCTGAATGACCGTTAGGTCAAGAAAGAAATTAGGAGGAAATTTAAAATTTTTTTCAAACAAAGGAAAACCAAAACACAATGTATCAAAACTGATGGAATAGAGAAAAAGCAGTGCTAAGAGGAAAATTTATGGCAGTAATGACCTACATCATAAAAGTACGAAGACAATCTAACAATGCACCTCAAGGAACTAGAAAAGCAAGAACAAACCAACACAAAATTAGTAGAAGTAAATAAATAAAAATGAGAAGAGAACAAAATAGAGATTAAAAAACAATGGAAACAATTAACAAAACAAAGTTTTTATTGAAAAAAATAAAACTGATAAACTGCTAGCTAGGCTAACCAAGAAAAAAAGAGAGAAGACCCAAATAAATAAAATCAAAAATAAAAGAGGAGACATTACAACTGATACCACAGAAATGAAAAACGCTATCAGAGACTGTTATGAAAAACTGTACACCAACAAACTAGAAAAATGGATAAATTCATGGACACATATAACCTACCAAGGTTGAATCAAGAAATAGAAAAACCAAACAGACCAATAACAAATAATGAGATTGGATCAGTGATACAAAGTTTCCAAACAAAGAAAAGTTCAGGACCAGATGGTTTCACTGCTGAATTTTACCAGACTTACAGAGAAGAATTAAAACCACTTCTCTTCAAACTATTCCAGAAAATTGGAGAGGAGATAATTCTTTATAAGTCATTCTGTGAGGCCAGCATTACTTTGATACCAAAACCAAACAAGGACATAAAAACAAACAAACAAAAAAACACTATGGGGCAATATCCCTGATAAACATAGATGCAAAAATTCTCAACAGAATACTAGCAAACTGAAAGCATATGCAACTGGGGCAGGGGCTGGGGAGTGAAGAGAGGCTGGTTAATGGGTTAATGGTTAATGGGTACAAACATAGAATTAGATAGAAGGAATACATTTTAATGTTCCATAGCATGGAAAGATGACTATAGGTAGCAACAATGTACTGTACATTTCAAAGCAGCTAGGAGATGGGACTTGAAATGTTCTTAACACATAGAAATGATAAATACTTAGGTGATGAATACACTAAATACCCTGACTTGAATATTACACATTTTATGCATGTAACAAAATATCACATGCACCCCATAGATAGGTACAAATATTACATATTACATATCAGTTTTAAAAAATCTTAAATAGAAGAGCATTGTCCTCTTAATCTTTCTTGTTTCCTTATCTTAACCTCATGGGGCCAGGTATTTCAGTCTTGGTAATGGTGCTACATCAGACAATGTTCAAAGTAATTTCGGCACAACCTTTACAAGCTGAAGTTTTTGTAGTAGCCAGTAGGTGGCATCAAAAATCAATCACGTTCTCTTTTTTTGTGGAAATCTCAAAGAAAAGGTCTGTACCTAAGTGTCATGAGCAACTTTCCCAGAGCTCAAGAGGCAGAGAAAGTTACACACAACAACAAAGCACTCCGTTTTCCTTTGAAGTCGCTGTTTCATCTCTTTGGACACCGTAAAAACCCCTGGTGTTTCTCCTAGAGTCTTTTTGGTTAGATAAAGCACAAAAGGCCAAAAGCCACATCTCAAATATCACACCACCTCTAAACATGGACTTTAGGCTCGGTTATTAAGGAATGTCTTCCAGAGTTGGGAATCAAAGGATTGCTTAAATACATCATGACAATTGTTAAAGTCTAACAGGTAAGTTTCCCCATTTTAGAGCTGCCTAAATTTCTTACACATCCTAACATAGATGCATTTCATTTTGGCATAGAAATACACACACACACACACACACACACACACACACACATTTATTTGTGGTGTTTAAAACATGTAATGATACTTTTACAAGCTATGCTATGTTTAAGATTTTTAGGCCTGGGTTAAACAAGTAAAATGGAAAGCCAAGTTCACTGCAACTGTCTGTGTGTAACCTAAACAGCTTAAGACTTAGGGTTAGAATGTGCTACCTTTGCCATTTAATAGACAGTTGAACCTTAACAAGTATTTTAACCTTTCTGAATTTTAGTTTTCTAAATTTCCAAATAATAGTAATAATAGTCAGACTCACTTAGCAGTGTTGTTGAGGACCTGATCAGATCTTTAAGCTGACCTCCACTTTGGGAGCAAATCATTCTTATCTGTGTTACCCCTTTTTTCTCATTCATTTAACAATGAATTTACTGAGCACATATTGTAATGCCAGACAATGCTGTAGGTTCTGAAGATATGACAGTGAAAAAGACAGAGAATGGCCCTGATCTCAAAGAACTTTGGGCCCAGCCCGGGAAGATAAATGAAGCTAACCAATTAATAACCAGGATAAATTCAGGCAGTGATAAGTATCTAAGACAGTAAATCAAGATCTTGTGCCAGAGACTAGGAAGAGGAATGGTGACGGTGCGTGCGGCTGCTTCAGATGAGATTGTCAGCACTATATTTTAGACTTAAAATAGCACACTGCGCCGAACACAATAGATCGAATCCATAGCTTTCTTGACTTTATCTCTGAAGACCAAGAGACTCTTGAAGAAGAAATCTGTGCCTTATTTGCTCTAGTATATTGCATAGTGACTGGCCCATTGGAGGACCTCAACAACATGAAAGTGCTTTTAGAAGGCCAATGCATGCTTCTCCTACATGACTGTTCTCTCATTTAATTTTTGCTTCATTATCAGGAAATAAAGACTGAGGTAGGTTGTGTTCCATGCCATGGGTCAATGCTAGAGGTAAAGTCAGAATTTGACTCCAGGGTACATATTCTTTTGAGAAAATGTTTATCTGGTTTTTTTTTCTTTTAAAGGGGCTTTAATTATGAAGACAATCTATTGTCTCAGCATATTTACTTCTTTTTTAAATTATTTAATTTTGGAAAATTCGGTAGGAATATAAAAGTGATACACATTTTTGGTAGAAACTTGCAATGCACATAAACATACAAGAAAATAAAAATACTCAATTTTCTGTCATGATTCTATAAGGATATCTGCCATTATATTTATTTTTATTTTTATTTTTTTAAATTCAAACAAGGTCTGGCTCTGTTGCCCAGGCTGGAGTGCAGTGGTGCAATCTCAGTTCACTGCAACCTCCACCTCCTGGGCTCAAGCCATCCTCCCATCTCAGCCTCCTGATAGCTGGGACTACAGGCACTCCATCATGCTCAGCTAATTTTTTAAAATTTTTTTATTTTTATTTTTATTTTTTTGTAGGGACAGGCTTTCACCATGTTGCCCAGGCCAGTCTTGAACTTCTGGGCTCAAGTGATTGGCTCGCCTCGGCTTCCCAAAGGGCTAGGATTACAGGCATGAGCCACCCTAGCTGGCCTAATTTTTAAATGAAAAAAAGCTTAATATTTTTCTGCATACATGCTTATTGTGAACCATTGAAACAGCTCAAGAAGGTATAAGGAAGCAGCAAGAATGTTCTTTTTAAAATGTTAAATGGATTCGGTCACTCTTGTTGGAACACCTTTCTATGTCCTTCTCTGCACTTATAAATAATCCAAATACTTTATCAGAGTCCATAGGACACAGAAAATATGACTTCTACCTGTTTCTCAGACATCTCCTCATTCCACCACCCTCTTTATCGGCTACGTTTTGGCCTCTTGGCTTCCTTCTAGTGCTAGTCCTGGTGTATCATAGGGTCACTCATGCCTCAGGACCTTTGCACTTATTGCCTCTGGCTTGAGTGCTCTTCCCAGGGCTTTTGAAAGGCTGGTGTCTTCCTGGTCTTCACATCTCAGTTCAGAAGTCACCTCCTCATGAGAGTGCTTCCCTCACCCCGTAACCACAAGGTAACTACCTCCCATTGCACACCAGTCATTCTCTGTTAGGCCATCTGCTTTGTTTTTTTTCTTCATAGCATTGATCACTATTTGAAGCTATCTTGTTATTTACATTTTTATTGAGAATCTCCCTTTAACTTAAACGTAGGCTTCATGAGGGCAGGTAGCTTGTTCATTTGTTTTTACTATAACCTCAGCCTTTAGAAAACTGTCTGGGATATAATAGGGGCTCAGAAATATGAGAATGAAAATAAAAATATAATCCCATAATTGAAAATAATTACTGTAAGCATATGTATATCCGTTCAGACTTTTTTCTTGCATATGTTTTCATATATGTGAATATAGAGTATACAAGTGTACAAACATACCAACAAAATGAAATTATACTACACATGCCATTTTAATAACTTCATTTCTTGAATTAACAATATATCATGAGCACATTTCCTTGCCAATAAATATATCTCTACCCAATAATTAATGATTAAATGGTATTTTATAATTGACTATACCGTAATTCATTTAATCAATCTCCTATTGAGAAACATTTAGGTTGTTTCCATTTTATTATTACTATTACATAGTGCCTATAACGTTAGGAAATCTATGCAAATTTCCACTAGATGAGTTTCTAGGATGAAAACTGCTGAATCAAAAAGAACCTATATGTTTGATAAATATTTTATAAAATCTGATAAATATCAAATTACACTACTGCCAGTAGAAAATGAGGCGATTTTTTCTCCTCACTCTGGCCAACACCGGAAATTTTAATATTTTAAAATTTACTTGACAACCTATAAGACAAAAATAATATTTTAATTAATTTGCAATTCTTTTTTTAACTGTAGTTGAACTATATTTCTATCATTATTGGCCATTATATTATTTCCTGTTTATGACTTTTACCTACTTTCATATAGGATGATCTTTTTTTCTTTTTGATTTTGAAGAACAGCTCATATAAAAAAGGTGTTGATACATTTGGTCAGATATATATGTTGAAAATATTTGTTTTTCCTAGATTTCCATTTATCTTTCAACTTTGTTTCCAATGAGTTAAGGTGTATTTATGTGTTGAAATTCTTCAAAATTTCTATTTTCTGCTTTTGGTGTTATCTTTAGAAAAGTTTTCTTAACCCCATAATTCTATAAATATACCCTTGCATTTTCTTCTGTTACTTCTATGGTTTTATATTTTATATACAAAATCATCAATGCTTTAGTGTTTATTTTGGTATAAGATATGAGATAAACATCCAATTTTATTTTATTTTTATGAATGGTATTTCAGTTAATTCAATACTATTTATTTAATAATCATCTTTCTGCTACTGACTTGAAATCCATCTTTATCACATTCAAAATTTATATTTTTAATAGGATTTCTTTCTGTCTGGTTTTATGATAGTTTCACATTGTTATAATAATGTTACTATCATGATATATTTACTCCAATATTTTCCCTTGATACCATTTGATATGGTTTGGCTGTATCCCCACCTAAATGTCATCTTGAATTATAGCTCCCATAATTCCCACATGTTGTGGGAGGGAACCCGTGGGAGATAATTGAATGGTGGGGGCAGTTTCTCCCATGCAGTTCTGTTAGTGAATAAGTCTCACAAGAGCTGATGGTTTCATAAGGGGAAACCCCTTTCACTTGGTTCTCATTCTGTCTTGTCTGCCACCGTGTAAGACGTGCCTTTTGCCTTCTGCCATGATTGTGAGGCCTCCCCAACCACGTGGAACTGTGAGTCCATTAAGCCCCTTTTTCTTTACATATTACCCAGTCTCAGGTATGTCTTTATCACCAGTGTGAAAATGGACTAATACACCATTTTATACAATAAAACTTATGCTTAAAAAACTTTTAATATTGACTAAAATCTTGCATTTTTGTAAATATTTTACTGCTGAAAGTCCAAATATAATTTAGAGTAACTTATTAAAATTTTAAATTAATACACATTTATCATAAGAATTAAAACAATCATGAGACTTAAAAATGTACATTAGAGCAGGTTACAGGATTCAGAAACAAATATATAAATTTATTATTTAGTAATTGTTTTAGAAATCAGAGAGGAAATGGGTATATTATTCAACAAACGATTCTGAAATAATTAACTCAACAATTTGGGAAAATAGTTTGATTTCCACTTCAGTCTATATACAAAAATAAATTTCTAGGGAATTAGAAATTTAAATATAAGAAGGAAGCCATCAAAATACTAGAGAAATATTGGAGAATGTTATTTTCAGGGCGAGGAAGGCAATGATAACCCAGACCCCAGAAACTGTAAGGGAAAATCAACAGAATCAACTGTTGAACATATATACATGATTTTCAGTGGTTCCATTCTATTTCATTAAATTGATGGGCCATAATTTACTATCATTCACATATTGTTGAGTATCTGTGTAGTTTCCAATATATTATTATTTTGAATAATACTTTAATGAACATGTTTGTATTAAGCGAAGCCTATCTTTGAAAGATCATTATGTACTGAAATTTGTGCTGTCACATTTTTGTTTGACATAAGTGGATCATTGGCTTATGTCTGGAAAACTTCTTGTTACAAATGCCCTTTTAAAAACAAACTGTCTTAAAGAACTAGAGATTGAGAGATTTGTATGGTTTCTTTTACCACTTGGTGCTCTCTTTGTCCTTCACAGTGTGAAGGTTGCAAAGGTTTTGTGGGCAATGTCTAGAATTTTCTGAGTTACTGAAGTTAAAAGAATTACCTCCCTGGATCAAAATTTAGCCCAGTCATCTCTAACAGGCAATGAGGAGTCAACTAGTCCCCTATAAATTTACCCTGACATGATTAGGAATTTGCCCCTCTCCTTAAATTTCTGGGTTTTCTTGATTGTGATAATTCTACTTCATGAATTTTGTTAACCATTTTCTGAATCTGTCTTTTTTCTTTTCTTATTTACATTTAAAAATTATTTTTAAAAATGTTAATAGTTTTTTGGGTACAGATGATTTTTGGTTCCATGGATGAATTCTTAGGTGGTGAATTCTGAGATTTTAGCGCACCCATCTCTTGAGCAGTATATACTGTATGCAATGTGTTTTCTTTTATCCCTCACCTCCTCATAGTCTCCCCCTCCTCGAGTCCCCTAAGTCCATTATATCACTCTGCATGTTTTGTGTGTGTGTGTGTGTGTGTGTGTGTCCTCATAGCTTAGCTCTCACTTATAAGTAAGAACACACAGTATTTGGCTTTCTATTCCTGAGTTACTTCACTTAGAATAATGGCTTCCAGCTCCATTCAAGTTGCTACAAAAGGCATTATTTCATTCCTTTTTATGGCTGAGTAGTATTCCATGGTGTGTATATACAACATTTTCTTTATCCACTTGTTGGCTGAGGGGCACTTACGTTGGTTCCATATCCTTGCAATTGTGAACTGTGCTGCTGTAAACATGTGTGTGCCTGTGTCTTTTTTACATAATGACTTCCTTTCCTTTGGGTAGATACCCAGTAATGGGATTGCTGAATCAAATGGTAGACCTACCTTTAGTTCTTTAAGGAAACCCCATACTGTTTTCCATACTGGTTGTACTAATTTACATTCCCACCAGCTATGTAAAAATGTTCCCTTTTCACCACATACATGCCAACATCTATTGTTTTTTGACTTTTAATTATGGCCATTCTTGCAGTAGTAAGGTGGAATCTCATTATGGTTTTAATTTGCATTTCCCTGATGATTAGTGTGTTGGGCATTTTTTCATATGTTTGTTGGCTATTTGTATATCTTCTGTTGAGAAATGTCTATTCATGTCCTTAGCCCACTTTTGATGGGATTGTTTGTATTTTTCTTGCTGATTTGTTTGAGTTACTTGTAGATTATGGACACTAGTCCTTTGTCAGATGCATAGTTTGCAAATACTTTCTCCCACTCTTTGAGTTGTCTATTTACTCTGCTTATTTATTTTGCTGAGCAGAAGCTTTTTAGTTTAATTTGGTCCCATTTCTTTTTTTTTTTTTTAGACTTGTAATATTTTATTTCTCACAAGATAGATATTGTATCATGACCAGTTTGCTTTTATTTTTTTTTTATTTTTGTTTTTGTTGCTTTGCTTTTGGATCTTAGTCATGAATTCTTTGCCTAAATCAATGTCCAGAAGAGTTTTTCCAATGTTTTTTTCTAGAAGTTTTATGGTTTCAGGTCCTAGATTTAAGTCTGATCCATCTTGAGTTGATTTTTGTATTAAGTGAGAGATGAGGATCCAGTTTCATTATTCTACATGTGGCTTGCCAGTTTTCCTAGCACCATTTATTGAACAGGATGTCCTTTCCCCAATTTACGTTTTGTATGCTTTGTCAAAGATCAGTTGGGTGTTAAGTATTTGGCTTTACTTCTGGGTTCTCTATTCTTTTCCATTGGTCTATGTGCCTATTTTTATATCAGTACCATGCTGTTTTGGTGACTATGGCCTTAAAGTACAGTTTGAAGTCAGGTAATGAGATGTCTCCAGATTTGTTCTTGCTTAGTCTTGCTTTGGCTATGTGGGCTCTTTTTTTATTCCGTATGAATTTTAGGATTGTTTTTTTCTAGTTCTGTGAGGAATCCTGGTGGATGAGAATTGCACTGAATTTGTAGATTGCTTTTGGCAGTATGGTCATTTTCACAATATTAATTCTATCCATCCATGAGCATAGGATGGGTTTCCATTTCTCTGTGTCATCTAGGATTTCTTTCAGCAGTGTTTCGTAGTTTTCCTTGTAGAGATCTTTCACCTTGTTGGTTAAGTGTGTTCCTAGGTATTTTATTTTATTTTTTGCAGATGTTGTGAAAGGAATTGAGTTCTTGATTTGATTCTCAGCTTGGTCACTGTTGATGGAGAGCAGTGCTACTAATTTGTGTACATTGATTTTGTAACCCGAGCCTTTAGTGAATTCATTTATCGGGTCTAGGAGCCTTTTGGATGAGTCTTTAGTTTTCTAGCTATGTGATCATATCATCAGCAAACAGTGACAGTTTGACTTCCTCTTTTCCAACTTGCCCTTTATTTCTTTTTTTGTCTGGTTGCTCTGACTAGGACTTCCAGTGCTATGTTGAATAGAAGTGTTGCATGTAGACATCCTTGTCTTTTTCCAGTTCTCAGGGGGAATGCTTTCAACTTTTCCCCATTTAGTATGATCTTGGCTGTGGGTTTGTTACAGATGCCTTTTATTACTTTGAGGTAAGTCCCTTCTATTCCTTTTTGTTGAGGGCTCTCATCAGAAAGCAATGCTAGATTTTATCAAATGCTTTTTCTGCATCTATTGAGATTGATCACACAATTTTTGTTTTTAATTCTGTGTATGTGATGTATCACATTTATTAACTTGCATATGTTAAACCATCCCTACATCCCTGGTATGAAACTCACTTGATCCTGATGTATTATCCTATTGATGTCCTGTTGGATTCAGTTAGCTAGTATTTTGTTAAGAATTTTTGCATCTATGTTCATTAAGGATATTGGTCTGTAGGTTTCATTTTTGTTATGTTCTTTCCTGGTTTTAATATTAGGGTGATACGGGCTTCCTAGAATGATATAGGAGGAGCCCCTCTTTCTCTATCTTTCGGAATAGTTTTAGTAGGATCGGTACCAATTCTTTGAATATCTGGTAAAATTCAGGTGTGAATTCATCTGATTTTGGACTTTTTTGTTGTCAATTTTTAAAATTACTGAGCATCTATTCTTAAAATCTGTATATCTCTTGGAATAATATGCTCCATAGTTACAAGTGGGCAGCATAGACAACATAACTGAAGTGTCCTCAGCTATGTTTTTTGTTGTTGTTCTTGGAAGTCAGGGGTGTGGTTGCTTTGGGGTTTTTTTTTTAACCATCTAGAGCCAGCTTTTATAGAAACTGGATTGGTTTTGAAGAACCAAAAGATCCAGCAACCACCCCAGGTTTCCACAGAGAAATGGACCAGTGAGAGAAGAGGGAAGGTTTTCTAAAAATATGAGATTTATGGGGGGCTGCTTGTGTGTGTGGTTTATTTTCTTAGATTAGAAAAATAGACAATGTGCTTTCAGAAATGAAAACTTCTGTTATGATTACCATTAGAAAGAAATTTGATGGAACATTCTTCCTTGTTTGTTTCAGCTACCCAGGGACATTGCCCACAGCAGCCAGGTTGCTTGGAAAAGGATACCAAACATTGAAGACCTTCTGGGTGTGCCCCTTACTTCGAAAGGTGGAATGATTTATCAGTAGACACTGTGACAAAAATAATCTTAACAATTGGACTGTCTAGCTTTGTAGCAGCTACTCATACCTCAGTCTTCTAATAGCCCATTTATAAGGCATTTTAAAATATAGCTTCTGATAAAATCATTGGTCCAATCTATTCATTATAATTATATTTTTATAACTAGAGTCTTCATGCATTCTAATAAAATGCTGCATAACACTGACATCATGTCTTAAGACATATAATATAAAACTTCCCAACTGCTTATAGCTATCTGTTAGAAAAAAGGGAGGGAAGGCTTCCTTTATGAATTTAAATCTTCTTAAGAAGTCTGGTAGGATTACTGTAAAAGTGATATCTAGGTTCCAGTTTAGACAGTAAAATCACACAAAGCAAAGGTGGCCATACTCACTCATTGGGAGTGCCCTTCTGGCCACAAAAGTGGCCCTGGCTGTCTGTAGGATAGGCTGCTCTTCTGGGGTCCCCATGTACCCAGGCTGCAGGAACAAGAAAGGACAAATATGCTATCAGCAAAAGCCAGCTAAAGGCAGTTTGATTTGAGATATTAGAATGCACCACTGCAACACACTAACCTCTCCCCTCAGTCACAGAAGATTATTGATTTTCTTCAAAGAGTAATTTCTTAATGAAAAGTAAAATAAAATATGGATGAACCAGTCAGAAAGCACATTTCTCTTATTCTCTCAGGATTCAGCTGGGTTGTAGCCAAAACATGAGGTAATGCACTTAGAAAATGACATTTATTAAAATGTGAATTAGAGGGCACATTATAAAAGCTCAGTTGGCTAGAAGTCACTTTTTCTAGGGTTCAAAACTAAATGACTTCATAGCAGACCTAATACATTTACAGTAAATAATATGATGTAATACTTTTGGGTTATGCATAGGTGAAAACCATTAAAAAATTCAAAGGGATGAAACTATAATGCCCAATTCAAATTTACTAGTTCTTTATGATTTCATGTGACATTATAAAGGCAAACAATAGCAACTGCAGAGGCAATATGTAATAAAGACTTACCCTAAGTTCTGTCTGATAATCTCAGAGCTTAATAGAAGTATCAAGTGATCTCAAACTTCATGAAAACTAAGGACTTGATTTTCTATGAAGACAATGGGCTCAAACACATTACCCTTATTTTTTAAGAATTATAAACTTAACTTGATAGCTAGACCATAGGACCACAGAGAGTAACGTATATTAGGTCAATTAGGAAATGCTTTCTAATTTTAGCTGAATATTTCTAACTTCTCCAATTTGACTAATACAGTTCCTAAAAATCTGGGAAATGTGCTTGGGTCATCTAATGCTTGCCTCTGAATATGGAAACATATCTCTTTGTCCTTTGCTTCCTTTAACATTTGCCCAGCTATCTCCCTCCCCACATTTATTGGATTTGACATTTCATGTTATAATTCAATCACTCTTATGTATATGGCCTGTGTGACTTGGGAAGATAAAAAAATCAATTCTGTATGAGAATTTCAATATGGAAGAAAATTTTTTCTCAATATTTTTTCTCAATCTAAGCCTGTCTTTTTAGTATCTAGCACTCACAAAAGTCCCCTTTGTCTAATTCTTTCTCCAATGTCATAGAGGCCAAATTGGTTTCATCTTCTAATACCTTCTTATTAAATCTGACTCATTCGGGTAGCTCTCAGCTGCCGTATCTTCCCGTCTCTATTTCCCAGAATAAAAAAGTGGACTACAAATAAGGCATTTAAATAACAAAGTGTTCAATGTGCGATGTCTCCAGACCCCGTATCATTACATTCTGCTTCTATACCTTAGTTTGTCATGTTTTGGCTAAATCTAAGAAAGAGCTTTATTTTACCTATTTTTCTGTAATGTTTTTAAAGCTTTATTCTAAAATGCCTTATTCTTTTTTTTGTATACAATTATTAATTCAGAAATGAGCACCCGAAGCATTTAGATTGTTAGATTTTCCCTGAGTGAGTCACTTAATTATTTTGAGTCCTGACTTTCTAATTTGTTACTACAAAATGAGTATAATAATACCTAATCCCACAAGAATGTTGAGAATATAAAAGAAGATAATGAAAATAGAGTGACTAACATGGTGCTTGGCATACAATATGGACTCAGTAATCTTAGTTCTTGTCTTATTTGGGTTTCCCCAAAAGCAAAATCTAAGACAAGAGCTTTGATGCAGGTGGTTTATCTGGGAGGTGATTCCAGGAAGCTTAAATAGGTATAAGGGAGATGAGACGGAAGGGAGCAAAGCCAATCAAGTGCATGTTAATGAGTGGAATACTGTTGCGGGCAGCTGGGGCTCCATCCCTCTGGGGAACTTCTGCAGAGCCGTGTGGAACATGTCTGTCAGTAGGAATTGTAAAACTGCCCACCACAGCTGCAAAACAACTCAGGTGGGTCAAGGGGAAGCAGGGTCAGGTATCCGCAGCATCTGCTATTGTTTTCTTTCCCTCTTTCATCATCAATTAATTAAGTAAAGGATTTACTAAATGATCATGATGTGTCCCATACTAGAAGTTATACCAATGTGAATTTATGTTAGAGTTCTCAAGAAATACACGAAAAGGGGAGAATAAGGTTTGTAGAAGGTTTAGAGAACAGGTGAGACTTGAGAAAGACTTTAAAAAATAATTAGGATTTGGACATGTGGCTGGAAGTAGGGAAGGATTTATAGATTGAGGAAATAGTATAATAATAAGATCTTTCATTTATTAATTGCTCACAATGTGACAGCTGTTGTGCTAACTTGATTACACCCATTGTCTCAGCTGAGTCTTATAGCATGCCTAAAAGGTAGGTATTACTTTCACCTGAATGGTATAGATAGCTGCAGCTCAGAGTTTAATTTATCACTCAAAATCACACAGCTTTAAGTGAGATAGACAAGGTATGAACTCAGGTGTGTTGCTTGCTTTCTATTGCCTGTGGTTTTAACCACCAAACTAGAAAGGCGATAATGCTTTCTGCAAAAGGATAAAGGAGGAATGAGCTTGTTAACAGGGGGAAAACAAGGACATCAGCTAAATAAAGATCAGCAAAATGTTCATAATGTAGGAAAAGAGATGACAGGCAATTTTGGAGCTTTTGCCATTTGGAGAGAAAAGCTTCTACTTGTGGCAGGGGGAGAAGGAGCATATCTGATTGGGGGGGATCTGAGTGTCTGGGGATAAAGGAGAGAGAGATGAAGATGGAAGTGTCAAGAGAAGAATACTTCTTCTTGACTTTCTGGTTTTGAACTGTGGCAGGTGGTTGTGTTTACTGAGCTGCTGCTACACCTCTCCACACAGCCTCTGGCACAGAAGTTGTGCTGCAGATGGTCTGTGTTTGAGCTGAAACATAAAGACTTTGAGCTGAAAGCTACAAAAAAGAGGAAAAAAAGGAGATGGGCAGCAGCCATCATTTTGTCCCTATTAATAAATTAAGGAGCTTCTGACATTTTACTCCCTTTCTTGGAATTTTTCTATTCATGGAACATCCAAAACTATGCTGTCCAATATGGTAGCCACTACCCATGTGTCTATTCAGCACTTGAAATGGCTTCTCCAAATTGGGACATACTGTAAGTGCAAAATACACATCATATTTTAAAGACATTATAAACAACAACAAAGAAGAATATCTTAATTTTTATATTGGTTACATTTGAAATATTTTGTTATATTTAAGTAAATAAAATATATTAAGTTATTATTAAAATTATTTTCACCTGTTTCCCTTTATGCTCTTAAATGTAGCTATCAGAAAATTTAAACTTACACATATAATTCACTTTATATTTCTCCTGGACAGATCTGTTCTAGTAGAAAGAACAGTGTCAAGGGCTTCTTTAAGGTGATTATGAGTGCCATAACATCACCAGTTTGTATGACAGTCATTCTCAAGCACATCATACCCAACACATCCTTTTTATAATAGTTAACAATGCTCCTTGTACAATCTTGAAATAATAGTCACAGATAATATATCTCAGCCAAACTCATAATTTCCTTTAAAAAGGCAATAAAATATCCTATGTAATATGAATGAGAAATAATAAAAAGTAATTTATAATTAAATAGTATGCACATCAATATGCAAATGCTCAAATGTGACTAAACTGGAAGAGATGTGAGTAGTCAAGTGCTTACACCTACAGGTAGAATCACTGTGAATGTAGCAGCTTTAAGTGCAGGAGGAAATATGTATATTGAATAGGAAAATCAAATACAACAAGTGGTGTGTTTTTAATAATATAATTTTCCTAAATGAACAAATTTTAGCAAATTCTAACAACAAAAAAGTAGAATCTTCTCTCAAATTCCCTTGGTACTTATTGCAATCATGCAAAATAACTTTTATTACTTTATTTTATTTTATATTGTTATTGATATATTATAGTTGCACATATTTTTAGGGTACACATGATGTTTTGATACATGTATACAAGGTTTAATGATCAAATCAGGATAATTGGAATATCTATCACCTCAAACCTTTTTCTTTGTGTTGGGAACACTACAATTCTTGTCTTCAAGCTATTTTGAAATACACAATAAATTATTGTTAACTACAGTTTCCCCACTGTACTGTCAGATACTAAAATTTATTCCTTTGAATGGCATATTTGTACTCATTAACCAACTTCTCTTCATCTCTCCCTCCCTCATTCCCTTTCCAGCCCCTGCTAACCACCATTCTACTCTGTACCTCCATGAGATCCACTTTTTTAAGTTTTTGTAATGTTAGAACAGAATTTCTAGATTCAAATATGTGAAAACAAGTTTTCACCTACATCAGTGGGACATGGGAAAGTCAAGCAGAAAGTGAGGTGTAGGAGTAAGCCACCTTGAAGGCACATCCTCCACCCTAACTCAAGCCTTCAGTTGACTGCAGCTTTGGCTTACATCATAACCACAACTTCATGAAGAACCTGGACCCAGAACCACCCAACCAAGCTGTGCCTACATTCCTAACCATGGAAATTGTGAAATAAGAAATATTTGTTTTTTAAGTTGCCAAGTTTGAGTGTAGTTTACAATGCAGCAATAGATAATGAATTATTATATAGTTTTGAAAAAACCTTTTTTTTGTTCTTCAGAATTTATCTTATAGCTTTTTTACCCTTTGGCTTATATTTTGAATTAATGTATAGTATCCCCAAACAGTTTCCTTTTTTTACAACTTATAAAGTGTATGTTTGTATGTATGTATACATGTATGTATGTATTTTTATTTCAGGGTTTTGGGAGAAGAGGTGGTGTTTCATTACATGGATAAGTCCTTTAGTGGTGATTTCTGAGATTTTGGTGCACCTGAGCAGTGTACATTCTACCCAATGTGTAGTATTTTGTCTCTCAACCCCTCCCACTTTTTCCCTAGAGTCTTCGAAGTACATTGTATCATTTGTATGCTTTTGCATCCTCATAGCTTAGCTTCCATCTATAAGCGAGAATATACGATGTTTGGTTTTGCATTCCTGAGTTACTTCACTTTGAATGATGGTCTCCAGTTCCATCCAGGTTGCTGCAAATTACATTATTTCATTCCTTGTTATGGCTGAGTAGTATTCCATTGTGTGTGTGTGTGTGTGTGTATATATATATATATTGTATATATTATATATTGTATATATAATATATATTGTATATATTATATATTGTATATATAATATATATTGTATATATTATATATTGTATATATAATATATATTGTATATATTATATATTGTATATATAATATATATTGTATATATTATATATTGTATATATAATATATATTGTATATATTATATATTGTATATATAATATATATATTGTATATATTATATATTGTATATATAATATATATATTGTATATATTATATATTGTATATATAATATATATATTGTATATATTATATATAGTATATATTATATATAGTATATATAATATATAATTGTATATATTATATATATTATATATATATATAAAAAAACACCTTTTCTTTATTCACTCATTGATTGATGGGCACTAGGGCTAATTCCATATGATATGGTCTGGCCTTGTGTCCCCACTAAAATCTCATCTTGAATTGTTATCCAAATTATAATCCTCACGTGTTGGAAGAGGGATCTCGTGGGAGGTGATTAGATCATGAGGGTGGTTCTACCATGCTGTTCTCATGATAGTGAGTGAGTTCTCATGAGATCTGATGGTTTTATAAGGGACATTTCCCCCCTTCACCATGCATTTCTCCTTCCTGCCTCCATGTGAAGAAAGATGTGTTTGCTTCTCCTTCTGCCATGATTGTAAATTTCCTGAGACCTCCCCAGTCATGCTGAATTGTGAATCAATTAAACCTCTTTCCTTTGTAAATTACACAGTCTCAGGTGTGTCTTTATTAGCAGCATGAGAACAGAATAATACAATAAATTGGTACAGGAATGGGGTGCTGCTATAAAGACACCCAAAAATGTGGAAGTTACTTTGGAACTGTGTAGTAGGCAGAGGTTGGAGCAGTTTGGAGGGCTCAGAAGAAGACAGGAAAATGTGGGACAGTTTGGAACTTCCTAGAGACTTGGAGGGCTCAGAAGACAGGTAGAGGTGGGAAAGTTTGGAACAACTTAGAGACTTGTTGAATAGCTTTGACCAAAATGCTGATAGTGATATGGACAATGAAGTCCAGGCTGAGATGATCTCAGATGGAGATGAGGAACTTCTTGGGAACTGGAACAAAAGTGACTCTTGCTATGCTTTAGCAAGGAGAATGGCAGCATTTTGCCCCTGCCCTAGAGATCTGTGGAACTTTGAACTTGAGAGAGATGATTTAGGGTATCTGGTGGAAGAAATTTCTAAGCAGCAAAACGTTCAAGAGGATGTGGAGCATAAAAGTTTGGAAAATTTGCAGCCCAACAATGTGACAGAAAAGAAAAACCCATTTTCTGGGGAGAAATTCAAGCCTGCTGCAGAAATTTGTCTAAGTATCAAGCAGCCAGATGTTAACCACCAAGATAAAGGGGAAAATGTCTCCAGGGCATGTCAAAGACTTGAAAGGCAGCCCCTCTGATCACAGGCTCAGAACCTAAGAGGGGAAATTGTTTCCTGGGCTGGTGCCAGGCCCCCCCCCCCCCCCGCTGCATTTAGCCTAGGGACTTGGTGCCCCACATCCCAGCCACTCTAGCTGTGGCTGAAAGGGGCCAGGGTATAGCTCAGCCCATTGCTTCATAGGGTGAAAGTCCCGAGCCTTGGCAACTTCCATATGGTGTTGGTCCTGTGGGTGCACAGAAGACAAGAATTGAGGTTTGGGAACCTTCACCTAGATTTCAGAGGATGTATGGAAATGCCTGTATGTCCAGGCAGAAGTTTGCTTTGGAGGTGGAAACCTCATGGAGAACCTCTGCTAGGGCAGTGCAGAAGGGAAATATAAAGTCAGAACCTCCACTGGGGCATTGCCTAGTGCAGCTGTTAGAAGAGGCCCACCATCCTCTAGATCCCAGAATGGTAGGTTCACCAACAGCTTGCATGATGCAACTGGAAAAGCCACAGACACTCAATGCCAGCCAGTGACAACAGCTGGAAAGGGGGCTGTACTCTGCCAAGTCACAGGGGTGGAGCTGCCTATGACCAAGGGAGCCCACCTCTTGCATTAGCGTGACCTGGATGTGAGACATAGAATCAAAGAAAATCGTTTCAAAACTTTAAGGTTTAATGACTGCCCTATTGGATTACAGACTTGCATGGGGCCTATAGCCCCTTTGTTTTGGCCAATTTCTCCCATTTGGAATGGGTGTATTAACCCAATGCCTGTATCCCTATTATATCTAGGAAGTAATTAACTTGCTTTTGATTTAACAGGTTCACAGGCAGAAGGAACTTGCCTTGTCTCAGATGAGACTTTGGACTTGGACTTTTGGGTTAATGATGAAATGAGTTAAGACTTTAAGGAACTGTTGGGAAGGCATAATTGTGTATTGAAATATGAGAAGCATGTGAGATTTGGAAGGGGCCAGGGGTGGAATAATATGGTCTGGTTCTGTGTTCCCACCAAAATTTCATCTTGAATTATAATCTGAGTGTAATCCCCACGTGTTGGGAGTGGAGCTTCATGGAAGGTCACTAGATCATGGGTGCAGTTTCGCCGTGCTGTTCTTGTGATAGTGAACAGCAAGTGAACCATACAGATCATGAGATCTAATGGTTTTATAAGGGGCTTTTCCCCCTTTGCTCTGCACTTCTTCTTCCTGCCACCATGTGAAGAAGGATGTGTTTGCTTCCCCTTCCACCATGATTGTAAGTTTCCTGAGGTCTCCCCAGCCATGCTGAACTGTGAGTTAATTAAACCACTTCCCTTTATAAATTACCCAGTCTTGGGTATGTTTTTATTAGCAGTGTGAGAATGGGCTAATACACCATATTTTTGCATTTGCGAATCGGGTGACGGTAAACATGCGTGTGCAAGTATCTTTTTCGTATAATGATTTCTTTTTCTCTGGGTAGATACCCAGTAGAGGGACTGCTGGATCAAATGGCAGATCTACTTTTAGTTCTTTAAGGAATCTCCACACTGTTTTCCATAGTGGTAGTACTAGTTTACATTCCCACCAGCAGTGTAAAATATTCCCTTTTCATCACATCTACATCAGCATCTATTTTTTTTTTATTATGGCCATTCTTGCAGGAGTAAGGTGGTATTGTGTTGTAGTTTTGATTTGCATTACCCTGGTAATTAGTGATCTTGAGCATTCTTTCATGTGTTTGTTGGCCATTTGTATATCTTCTTTTGAGAATTGTCTATTCATGTCCTTTGCCCACTTTTTGATCAGATTCTTTGGTGTTTTTCTTTCTGATTTGTTTGAGTTTTTTGTGGATTCTGGATATTAGTCCTTTGTCAGACACATATTTTGTGAAGAGTTTCTCCAACTCTGTGTGTTGTCTGTTTACTCTGCTGATTATTTCTTTTTCTGTGCAGAAGCTTTTTAGTTAAGTCCCATCAATTTATCTTTGTTTTTTTGTCACATTTGCTTGTGGGTTCTTGGTCATGAACTTTTTGTCTAAGCCAATGTCCAGAAGAGTTTTTCTGATGTTATATTCTAGAATTTTTATGGTTTCAGGTCTTAGATTTAAATCTTTGATTCATCTTCAGTTGATTTTTGTATAAGGTGAGAGATGAAGATCCAGTTTTATTCTTCTACATGTGGCTTACCAATTATCCCAGCACCATTTGTTGAGCAGGATTTCCTTTCCCTACTTTTTTTTTTGTTTGCTTTGTCGAAGATCAGTTGGCTGTAAGTATTTGGCTTTATTTCTGGGTTTTCTATTCTGCCCCATTGGGCTATGTGCCTATTTTTATAGCAGTACAATGCTGTTTTGGTGACTATGGCCTTATAGTATAGTTTGAAGTTGGGTGATGTGATCTGTGATCCCTTCAGATTTGTTCTTTTTGCTTACTCTTGCTTTGGTTATGCAGGCTCCTTTTTGATTCCATATGAATTTTAAGATTGTTTTTTCGACTTCTGTGAAGAATAATGGTATTTTGATGTGAAATGGCCTAATCTGTACATTGTTTTCAGCAGTATGGTCATTTTCACAATATTGATTCTACCCACCCATGGGCATGGTATGTGTTTCCATTTGTTTCTGTCATCTATGATTTCTTTCAGCAGTGTTTTGTAGTTTTCTGTGTAGCGATGTGTCACCTCCTTGGTTTGGTATATTCCTAAGTATTTTGTTTTTGTTTTGCAGTTATTATAAAAGGGATTGAGTTCTTGATTTGATTCTCAGTTTGGTCACTTTGTGTATAGCAGTGCTACTAATTTGTGTACATTGATTTTGTATCCTGAAACTTTCTTTATTTATACTGAATTTATTTATCAGTTCTAGCAGCTTTTTGGATGAGTCTTTAGGGTTTTCTAGGTAGACAATCATATCATTGGTGAACAATGACAGTTTGACTTCCTCTTTACTGATTTGAATGCCCTTTATTATTAATGTTGTCTGGTTACTCTGGCTAGGACTTCTAGTACTACATTGAATAGAAGTGTTGAAAGCAAGCATCCTTGTCTTGTTTCAGTTCTCAGGGGGAATGGTTTAAACTTTTCCCAGTTTAGTATAATGTTGGCTGTGCGTTTTTCATAAATGGCTTTTATTACCTTAAGGTGTGTCCCTTATATGCCAATTTTGCTGAGGGCCTTAATACTAAAGGAATGCTGAATTTTATCAAATGCTTTTCCTGTGTCTATTGAGATGATCATACAATTTTTGTTTTTAAATCTGTTTATGTGATGTATCACATTTATTGACTTGCATATGTTAAATCATCCCTGAATCTCTGGTATGAAACCCATTTGATCATAATGTATTATTGTTTTGATGTGCTGTTGGATTCAGTTAGTCAGTGTTTTGTTGAGGATTTTTGCATCTGTGTTCATCAGGAATATTGGTCTATAGATTTTTTGTGTGTGTTATGTTCTTTCCCAGTTTTGGCATTAGGGTGATACTGGCTTCATAAAACGATTTAGAAGGTTCCCTCTTTATCTTTTGGAATAGTGTCTATAGGATTGGTACAACTTTTTCTTTGAATGTCTGATAGATTCATCTGTGAATCTGTCTGGTCCTGGACTTTTTTGTTGTTGGCAATTTTAAAATTATCATTTCAATCTTGTTGGTCTGTTCAGAGTTTCTATTTCTTCCTGGTTTAATCTAGGAGGGTTGTATATTTCCAGGAATTTATCCATCTCCTCTAGGTTTTCTAGTTTGTGCATATACAGGTGTTCATCGTAGCCTTAAATAATCTTTTGTATTTCTGTGATATTGGTTGTAATTCTCCCATTTTGTTTCTAATTGGATCTTCTCTCTTCTTGATTAATCTCACTAATGGTCTATCAATTTTGTTTATCTTTTCAAAGAACCAGCATTTTGTTTCATTTATCATTTTTTTTGTGTTTCAATTTTATTTAGTTCTTCTCTGATGTTATTTCTTTTCTTCTACTGGGTTTGGGTTTGGTTTGTTCTTGTTTCTCTGGTTCCTTGAGGTGTGACTTAGGTTGTCTATTTGTGCTCTTTCAGACTTTTTGATGTCAGCATTTAATGCTATGAAGAGTCATCTTAGCACCACTTTTGCTGTATCCCAGAGGTTTCATTAGGTTGTGTCACTATTTTCGTACAGTTCAAATAATTTTTTAAATTTCTATCTTGATTTTATTGTTGACCCAATAATAATTCAGGAGCAGGTTATTTAATTTCCATGTATTTGCATGGTTTTGAGAGTTCCTTTATGAGTTCATTTCTGATTTTATTCTACTGTGGTTTGAGGGAGTACTAGATATAATTTTGATTTTCTTAAATTTATTGAGACTTGTTTTGTGGCCTATCGTATGGTCTATCTTGGAGAATGTTCCATGTGCTGTGGAATAGAACATATATTCTGCAGTTGTTGGGTAGAATTTTCTGTAAATATCTGTTGAGTCCATTTGTTCTAGGATATAGTTTAAGTCCATTGTTGCTTTTTGACTTTTTGTCTTGATGACCTGTTTCGTGCTGTCAGTGGAGGGTTGAAATCCCCCACTATTATTATGTTGCCATCTAATTCATTTCTCAGGTCTAGTAGTAATAGTTTTATAAATTAGGGAGCTCTAGAGTTAGGTGCATACATATTTAGAATTGTGATATTTTCCTGTTGGACTAGTTCTTTTATCATTATATAATATCCCTCTTTGTCTTTTTAAACTGTGGTCACTTTAATGTCTGTTTTATTTGATATAAGAATAGCTACTCTTGCTTGATTTTGGTGTTCATTTTCATGGAATATCTTTTTCCACCCCTTTACCTTAAGTTCATGTGAGTCCTTATCTGTCAGGTGAGTCTCTTGAAGATAGCAGATAGTTCGTTCGTGAATTCTTGTCCATTCCGCCAATCCAAATCTTTTAAGTGGAGCATTTACATCATTTACATTCAATGTTAGTATTGAAAAGTGAGGTACTATTCTATTCATCATGATAGTTGTTGCCTAAATACCTTGATTTTTTTCATTGTGTTATTGTTTTATAGGTCCGTTGAGATTTATGCTTTAAGGAGGTGCTATTTTGGTGTATTTTGAGGATTCGTTTCAAGATTTAGAGCTCCTTTGAGCAGTTCTTGTCATGCTGGCTTGGTAGTGAGAAATTCTCTCAGCACTTATTTGTCTGAAAAAGCTTGTATCTTTTTTTTTCATTTATGAAACTTGGTTTTGCTGGTTTTGTTTAAGGAGCCTAAAGATAGGACTCCAATCCTTTCTAGCTTGCAGGGTTTCTGCTGAGGAATCTCCTGTTAATATGATAGGTTTTCCTTTATAGGTTACCTGATGCTTTTGCCTCACAGCTCTTGAAATTCTTTCCTTTGTCTTGACTTTAGATAACCTGATGTATATGATGATCTTTTTGTGATGAATTTCCCGGTTGTTCTTTGAGCTTCCTGTATTCAGATGTCTATATCTCTAGCAAGGGCAGGGAAGTTTTCCTCGATTAGTCCCTCAAATATGTTATCCAAACTTTTAGATTTCTCTTCTTCCTTGTGAACACAAATTATTCTTAAATTTGGTTGTTTATCATAATCCCAAACTTTTTGGAGGCTTTGTTTTTTTTTAATTATTTTTCTGTCTTTGTTGGATTGGGTTAATATGAAAGCCTTGTCTTTGAGCTCTGAAGCTCTTTCTTCTACTTTTTCAATTCTGCTGTTGAGAATTTCCAGGTATTTTGTATTTCTCTAAGTGTGTTCTTCATTTCCAGAAGTTGTGATTGTTTTTTATTTATGCTGTCTATTTCTCTGGAGATTTTTCTGTTCATATTCTGTAACTTTTTTTCATTTCTGTAAGTTGGTATTCACCTTTCTCTGGTGCCTTCTTGAGAAGCTTAATAATTGACCTTCTGAATTCTTTTTTTTTTTTTTTTTTTTTTTGGCAATTCAAAGACTTGGTTTGGATCCATTGCTGGTGAGTTAGTGTGATCTTTTGGGGGTACTAAAAAACCTTGTTTTGTCATATTACTAGAATTGTTTTTCTGGTTCCTTCTCATTTGGGTAGACTATGTCAGGGGGAAGATCTGGGGCTCAAGGGCCGCTGTTCAGATTATTTTATCTCACAGGGTGCTTCCTTGATGTGGTGCTCTTCTCCTTCCCCAAGGGATGGGGCATCCTGAGAGCCAAACTGCAGTAGGTGTTATTTCTCTTCTGAGTCTAGCCACCCAGTGGAACTAAAGGGCTGTGCGCTGCTACTGGGGAGTGTCTATGAACAGTTCTGTGATGTGATCCATCTTTAGGTGTCTCAGCCGTGAATACCAGCACCTACTCTGGCAGAGGTAGTAAGGGAGTGAAGTGTACTCTGTGAGGGTCCTTGGTTGTAGATTTATTTACTGCCCTTATTTTGTGTTGGCCTCCAGCCAGGAGGTGATGCTTTCAAGACAGCATGTATAGGAAGGATACAAGCTTGCTCTAGGGTTGTGTGGATAAGTATTCAGGTTTCTCAGGAGCTGGATGGGGCCATGGAGCTTCCAAGAGGTTGTGTCCTTTGTCTTCAAAGGTTTTCGGCTGTCTCACAGAGCCTCAGCAGCAAGCCCAAAAAAAACTTTTATATTTGAAGGAAATAATTTCACCATCTTTCTTTTTTCAAATTAAATATTCATAATAATTAGGAAACATCTTTTCTATTTAATTTATTATGTGTTAAGCTTATAGCTACACTTTCTAGGATTTTGGTATTTTTCAGTCCTCACTGTATGATTTAACACATGGAATCCTAAACTTGATTTAAAATATTCCTTAAGACCTAAACTATTACACAGTATCTGACATCTATTTACCTTAGTTCTTAAAGTAAACATGAAAAACTTTATGTTAAAATTCCAGTCTAGAATATGATCAAACTCCTTTTCATTCATTCATTCATACTGAATTGTCAATTGTCACATTTCTATTTATTTGGTCATGAATGAATGAATGATATAGGCACACATAAACTCTGAAGATATAGAGATGAATACATCTCATATTTAGTATAATACTATTTCTCAACACATTCTTCCTAGAGAAACTATATATGATACTGATTGGCAGTGCAGAGGGAAGACAGGTTCTGAAGATTGTTAGTGTATTCTCTTAAGCTCAACCAAGTCATCGCCTTAATTTCAGCTGCTCTTCAAGTTGTTGTCTCTATGCTAGAACAAATCAAAACAGCCTCTGTCACTTTGGATGCAGCACTAGATCAAACAAATGCTTTCTCCTTTTTCCGATAAGTGGATAACCTTCAGGGCATTTGCTTTTACCTGGTAAGGACAGTACTGCATCTTCACTTTCTTCCCTCAAGGTTATATGACCTTCTAGCTCTTTGCCACAATTTAGGCTACAGGGTTTTGATAATATCCTTATTCCACAGGATGCCACACAGATTTCCTTATATTCATAGCATCATGCTGATAAGATCTGGGGAATAGTGGTTAGCATATAATCTTGATGCCTTATAAAGACACACGTGTGCTAATGGATAGGAGAAAAATATGACAATACAGGAGTCTTCCACCTCATTAAAGTTCCTGAGGGGTCCAGTAGTTATATCTTCTCCATAATTAAAGATAAGTTACTGCGTCTTACATTTTCTGCTATTAAAAGGGGTGCAATACTTATTAGTTGTCAGATTTGAGTAGAGCTCAGAGAAATAAAATACTTTTCAGATAATCCAGGCTGCTTTACAAAGAGGTGTGTCACTGGGTCTAAAATACCTGTCAGAGAACAAGATAGTTTATGGGGCCTGTGGCAAATCTCTATTAGAGAGTCACAGTAGAGGTCTCTAGGGTGTTGAAGAAAATCCATGTTTTTTTCAGAAAATAACTATTCTTCTTTTGAGAAATAGCCCCTTGGCCCTGAATGAACACCCAATGACATGAGCTTCCCATCATAATGTTTAAAGGGTACTATTTGGTCCATCAAGCCTAGAGGTGGTTGTGCCCAGAAGTACTCCATTCCCAATGGATATGACATTCCTACAACGCTTCAGAAGGTCATAAAGCTCAAGAAAGTTACATAAGAAGAATTCTTACAATAGTAATATATTAACTTCTGATGCCAATAGGCATGTGTTAAAGAAACACATACATGAAAAAGTCCCTTTGATCATGGAAATTTAATCATGGAAAGGTACCTTTGATCAACTGACTGAAGAAAAAAAATTAAACCAGATTTATAGACGGCTGTGGAGGATCTCTTAGCATTGACTAGGGTAAATTTTTCTGGTTGTCTACTTTGACCGAAAGAGTAGAAGATCTGAATCATTTAATCTATTCATAGATAGAGGCCAATGATTTGGCTACATTGTCATGGACTACAAAAGAAAAATATTAGACAATCAATGGCCAGGAAGTTTGAGAAATAACTACAAGGGTTGACCTCTAAATGGACCCAGAATTTGAAGATACGTTTGTCTCACGTAGCTGCTTAGTGAAGCCCCTTCTGTAGAGGTAGTTTTCAATAATCAAGATGGAAACCACTCATTCAATGATTTTGTAATAAAGTAACCATGATAACAGGGATGAAGATTATGTGTGGGTTTTGATAACATGGACTTGTACTCACAAAAGATGACCTGGCTTCTAACAATGTGTACGCAACAAATTTATCAGCATAGATGACCAACACTGAACCCCATTCACCCAGAAGTAGCTGGCATAATGGAACAGTAGAATAACCCCCTGATGAGCCAGTTATATCCCCTTGTAGGAAACAATGCCCTTCGAGGCTGGGGAGCTGTTTTCTGGAGCATGGCAGGATCCTAGCAGAAGACAGATGTTAAACTCATATAGAATAATTGAGTAGAGTTTAATAAAGAAGATATTTATAAAGGTATGAACAGCGTGAAGGGAAATAAGCAGGAGTTGATGTAGAACCCAGAGATTGGCACCAATAGGGAGCAGTTTCCACCCCTAGGCCTGAAGAGGCCCAGAAGAAGTAACCCAAACCCAGGAGAAGAAGCTGAATGGAGAGAGCTCACTGACAGCACTGACAGGAGCAGGAGCCTTAGAGAGGTGTAGCCAAACTGTTGTGACCCATCAGCAAGAGAGTCAAAGGAAGAAATTCTACAAACTCATGCTCCTACCCTCCAATCTCACAAAATTGGAAGCCAGAGGACAAGAGAGCCACTTGCTGTAACCCATAAATGCCAGATTCCCAGGGGACAGAGCAGGATGAGGAGAATAAGGAAAAGATTTGGAGGGGAAAATGAAAAACGCCCAGCCCATATTCTGAACAAGTGACCAGCCTATTAAAGAGTGGGACTTCAGATATATACAGCAAGACATTCAGCACTTCATTTAAAAAATATATAAGGTTTTCAGACTTTCTTTAATCAGAATTTACTGCTACATGAAACAGCAATAGCAAAGAGCAAGAAGATACACCCAAATTTCAAGGTCTATGAATTGGAAGGAGAGTAGGATGTAAAAGATGGGACAAAGCATATCCTTAAAACAGGTTTGCAGAAAATAGACACAGAATTGAAGAAAACAGAAAAACAACCAAATTACCAAGAAATGAAAGTAGGCTTTTTATAACACCTGTGGGTTTTTTTTGTTTGTTTGCATTTGACTTTTTGCTGATTACTTTAATACACTTATGTTTCTGATTATTCTAAGTCAATGCTAGACCACCACTATTCAAGATTTTATTTAAGATTTTGATTCACATTAGAAGATAGGTTTTTCATTTTCATTTTAAAGGTAAGGAAGTATTTGAAATAATGAGGACGAGAGTTTATGGGTTTTTTTCCTTCATTCATTGTACAAATAATTTCTTCGTTCATTCTACAAATATTGTTTAAAGTGCTTCCTCTGTGTCAGCACCAACCTAGAACCTGGGAATATAATGGTCCTTGCTCTCCCAAAGCCTACAGTCTGTTGGGAGAAATAGATTTTAATGAATTAACTGCACAAATAAATGTAAAATTCCAATTCTGACACGTGCTACAAAGGAATCATGAATAACATGATTCACAGAGGCAGATGATCACATGACGGAGGTCAGGGATGATGTTTCTGAAGAAGTGATTCAGGAGCTGAGACCTCAAAAACGAATAGAGGCCCAAAAGGCTTCCAGCAGATGAACAACATGGACAAAGGGCCTGTGAGGGGTGGGAGTGTGATGGGTACTGAGGACAGAAAGGAGACCAGTGTGGTGCTTACACAGAAAGCAGGGTAGGCCGGGCACGTTGGCTCACACCTGTAATCCCAGCACTTTGGGAGGCCAAGGCGGGTGGATCACGAGTTCAGGAGATCGAGACCATCCTGGCTAACATGGTGAAACCCCGTTTCTACTAAAAAATACAAAAAATTAGCCAGGCGTGGTGGCGGGCACCTGTAGTCCCAGCTACTTGGGAGGCTGAGGCAGGAGAATGGCGTGAACCCGGGAAGTGGAGCTTGCAGTGAGCCGAGATCGCGCCACTGCACTCCAGCCTGGGTGACAGAGCGAGACTCTGTCTCAAAAAAAAAAAAAGAAAAGAAAAGAAAGCAGGGTAAAGCGTAATTTCAGATATGGATGGAGAGTTAGCATCTTAGGATTTTCTATGATGAACTACAGGGAGATTTTTTTTAGTTGTTAGTGTCAGCTGTGAATTCCCTGGTAAAGGTTCTGTTCAGGCAGGTCCTTATCTTCCTATTCAAATTTTCCTGGACGAGGTCTAGGCCACCCCCTATTCAGTGTTTCTGGTCTTGTCTTTACTTGCTTAACTGTGCTTCTATAATTAGCCACATCTTCTTGCTTTATATGAAGCAGCTCTCATGGTTCCTAAAAATCGATACAATGTATTGTATCTGAAAATGTTACATGTAATACTCATTAACATCTACTAGTAAATAACACTTTTTTGGGAGACCCATGAAATCCTTTGAGGTTTTTCTGGCCAAAGAATGAAATATTGCCTACAATAATTTTATTTACTCCATAGTACAAACATTAACTGAAGGAAAGAAAACCAACTATTTAGGTGTGGATTATGATAAAGAATACACTCCCCTTTTTAGTCTATACAAAATAGAGACTAATTTTTTTAATTACTGAAGATTGACAATGGCACTGCAGCAAAGTGACCCATATCAGTCTCAGAGGGGCAAGACTGAAGATAATAGATTGTTGATGATCTTTGCAGAAGAATACCTGCCTTTCATTTATCCCCCAAACTGTTCTTGGATACTCGCTGTTTTAAGCCCAACTCAGTGTGGAATTAGAGGAGGCAGGAGGTGAAGGAGGAAGAGAAAAGTATTAGTTGAAGATCATGGGGTTCTGGTCTACCCCTCTCTCTGTAACTTTCATTACTTATTCCTCATTTATTGTTTTTATTAAATAAAATACAGTATAGTGTAGTGTTCAAGAGCACAGGCTCTAGAATTAAATTACTTGGGTTACGTTGGTGAATAAAACCAACACAAATCTGGTTCAATCATCTTTTTTCTTCATTATCTCACTGTTTTAGAATAACTTTAAAACACCACTTTAAGTGAAGCTGACTCACGTTTGTGCAGGTGCACATGTGCTTCATGTGTGCATAAAACAGAAAGAGAAGAGAGAAGAGAAATTATTTGTAAAAGAATTCTATTAGGGAAATTCATAGCAGATAACCAAAGATTGGCAAGAGATGGTGAAAAATTTATTCAGGCAAATTATCTTTTCACTCATATCGAGGAAATGCATGTTTCTGAAGTACCAGGAGCGAGTATTATGATCTAACATTATCTCTCATTTTCAAACATTTGCAAAGCATGTTCTTGTTGTGCTCTAGGGTTGAGTCAGGAGTTGCAGCCATTTAAAAGCCCTCTGTCAAGGAGAAAATGTGATTAGACCAACTGCTTGCACCGACACTTAAAAATTAACTGCATATCTGTTTGGGGCAGGGGAGGCATTCCCTAAACACTTGCTGGTTGGGAATGTTGGCTTTCGAATCATTACTTTGTATCCCTTAAAGGTACATTTTAACTGTTTTAATATGTGAGGAACAGGCCGGCCAAATTGTGCTTATGGCTTTTTAACACAAGCAATTTACAAATGCAATGAAGCAGATAATAGGACACATGATACCAAATTTGAAAATCTGTGTTGATGACACCGCTGCTATAGAAACATTTTTGGAAGCAGTCCTGTATCTTGTTGCTTAGATAAGAAAAATGTTGTTTGTCATTTCACAGGTGGCCTCTTCTACCCAATGGTGAGTTTAGGGTCATGTCCTTGAGCACAAATCAATCCCTCTCATGATAACAATACTCCACTTAAAATCATCTACCATGAATGCACTCAACAAAGTAAACAGTAAAAAACTCACTCAATACTAAAATATCTGCTCAAGTAACAGTGAAAACTAAATGCTTTCTTTTTAAAATGAAGACTTCCAAAATAAAAGGAAGTATATAGGTTTGTAATTTAATTTGTAAATATTTATATATTTGTAAAAAATGCAAAAGGACATTTAATACTAATTCTGGTTATAAATACAATGATAACATTTTTCATTAAGAAAAGGTTCCTGGAACAATTTAAAAAACAATAGAACTGGAATTTCTAAAAATTCTTACTTTTTAATTGGGAGATATGATTTTACTTGGCTAAAACAATGTTTCCAAGCTGTGATCTGATAGGTTCACTTATTTCCAAAAGTAGATTAACAGCACAATGTAATTTCCAGTTATACTCATTGCCAATTGCCAGTTTCCTCTTGCAATGAATATTGTGGTCACACCACCAAGTTCCCAAATTAGAACAACAGGATGCCTAGTGAGGTACAGATGGTTATTATAAAAAAGACAAGAGATAAGTGTTGAGGAGATGTGGAGAAAAAAGGAATTCTTGTACACTGTTAGTAGGAATGTAAATTAGTATAGCCATTACGAATGATAGCATGGAGGTCACTCAAAAAATTAAAAATAGAATTATCATATGATCCAGCAATCCCACATCTGGGTATTTACCCAAAAGATTTGAACTCAGTATGTTGAAGAGATATCTGTACTCCCATGTTCATTGCAGCATTATTCACAATAGCCAAGATTTGGAATCAATTTAAGTATCGATCAATAGTTGAATGGATTAAGAAATTATAGTGTATGTGTGCTTGTGTATGTGTGTGTGTATGTATACATACATACACATATACACACAAAATGGAATATTTTCAAGCCTTAAAAAAGAAGAAAATCCTGCCAAGTTGTGACAGCATGAGTGAACCTAGAGGACATTATGCTAAGTGAAATAAACAAGACATAGAAGAAAAGTATTGCGTGATCTCCTTTATATGTGAAATCTAAAATACTCCAACTCATAGAAGCAGAGAGCAGAACGGTAGGTGCCAGGATCTGGGGGTGTGGGAGAAATTAGGAGATAATGGATAAAAAGTAAGAACTTTCAGTTATAAGATGAATAAGTTCTAGAGATCTGATTTACAGCATTAACTACAGTTAATGATGTATTTTATTCTTGAAATTTGCTAAGAGAATATATCTTAACTGTTCTTTCCAAACTAAAACTCACTTACAAACAAAAGTAACTACGTGAGGTGATATATCTGTTAGCCTGACTGTGGAGATCATTACACAAGATATACATATACTAAAATACCAGGTTGTACACCTTAAATATATACTTTTTAAAATGTGTCAATCATAGCTCATAAAGCTAAAAAATTAAATTAAATTAAAAATGTATATTTATGTGTTTATTAGTAAGAGAAACTGTTCACTGCTTCTTTGTATGGACAGAATGAAAAAGTCATCTTGGAATTATCTTTGTTCTTCAGAAGGTCACTTGAGTGACTTCTCTTAGTTATGAAAATATGCTTTCTTCCTTCCTCATGTTTATTGGGATAGAGGAAGACTAACTTGCTTTAAGAGAAGGAAGAGATAAGACCTCAAACTTTTCTCCCTGAGATTTTAATTTAGGATAGATCAGATTGACTCTGAACTAGGTTTGCTGGACAAAAAGGATAAAAATACCCTCAAAGGGAACTTACTATGGAGGAAGAGACTGGGCTGGGGTCCTAGGCTTAAAAGCAGGGCCTAAGAGTAAGGGCTGGTTCTGATCAACCAAGAAGCCAGTTTGGATGCAGCCATTCTGACCCTTGTCATGCTTTGGGAACCAATGTTTGAATATTGGTGAAAGACTTAAAAAGCAGTAGTCTTGGATTGGGAGCCACTACAGTAGTGGGAAGATTAAGATGAGCAATGGACTATGAAATGTACTAAATGGCACAACCAAAATGTCAGATCTCCAGAACAATACAAAGTCTCTACACCTAGGAACTGGAAATCAGATTGCTCCCTCCTTGGTGTTTTGGGAAAGTTTAGTCAGGAAAGAGTGTGATGTGCTAGATTTCCTTAAGTAATAAATGAAAAAATAGATGTGACTGTATTATTGCCCCAAAACAATAAACATATAGTTTAATATCAAAAATGATGAGGTAAATTTTGACTACTTTATTATTAACTATTTTGTTTATTCTCTACCTTATTCTACGAAGGATTAAGGCTGAATATGAAAATTTAGCCTTATGCAATTATGTAAACTTCTTTCTTTCTCTACTTGGTATTTTCAGTTCCACTGTCTCCAGTCTCCAGTCAAGCCATGATGCCATTCCTTTAATCCTTTGTACTGATCTATAAATTATCTGCATGTCAAGGCTCTTTACTGCTGTGCTTTGGCTTGGTTCATTTCTCTATTAAAGAAGCAATCACAAGCCTGACCGTATTCAAGGGGAAAGGATTGCAGATCCTACTTCTCAATGGGAAAAATGACAAAGAATTTGCAGCCATGTATTAAGGCTACCATTGTCCACCCTCTAGCCAGTTTTTTTTTCTTTTTTTTTTTTTTTAATATTCCCTCCAAATGTAAATACACTTATCTTCTCTCAAGATCCCCAGAAGCTTCATCCAATTACCTCATCAGGCTCTGGCTTAAGGTCTAGATCTCATCACCTAAGTCAGGTCCAAGTGTGGACAAGGCTCAGCAGGGTTAGCTACTTTCCTGAGGACAATTTTTTTTAGCTAGATCATTGAATTCATTAGGTACATTTCCTGCATCCCTCATTACCACAGCAACAGTGACGCCAGACTTTTCACCACTACATAGCGAGGTGCC
Organism: Homo sapiens; assembly: GCF_000001405.40. Classification (NCBI taxonomy): domain Eukaryota; kingdom Metazoa; phylum Chordata; class Mammalia; order Primates; family Hominidae; genus Homo; species Homo sapiens. Next base: position 75,296,648 of record NC_000001.11, read on the forward strand.
CTGCCCCCCTGCTTCCAATCACATCTTTCTCATTTTCTTTCAAACTCACCGACAGCCTCCTCAAAACTCACGGGGTTTCTGAACACCACCTGGTCTCAAAACCAATGCCTGTATTGTAGGTTTTGTTAAGCCAGGATCCCACTTCCAGGTACCAAATTTTGTTCTGCTTATCTATTGTTGCACTCCCAAACTCACTGGCTTAATATAATAAATTTTTATTTTGCTCATGATTTGGGGTGTCAGGAATTTGGGGAAAGGCTTAATTCTCCCTTGGGATCTCTCATACAGTCAGGTGTTGACTGGGGCTTCAGAAAACCCAACTGGGCTGATAGTGGACACTAATTATCCCTGGGAGCCCAGCTGAGCCTGTTGGCCAGGACTCCTCCACGTAGCTGCTACACATAGCTTGAGTTTCTTACAGCATGGTGACAGAGTTCTGGTCTTGTTTGCATTAACTTTCTTGTTAACTTTTTACTTTCTCAGCTACTAGAGATAATTACCCCTGGGAAAGGTTAAAAAAAGCAAAACCAAAACAAACTTTGGATCCTAATTTCAAGCACTTCCTAAGTAAATACAGTAATGAACTAAATCACCCAAAGAGTAATCAATTTAAAAAGAAAACAAATTAAAATTATTTATTTACTTATTTATTTTTGAGACAAAGTCTGGCTCTATCACCCAGGCTGGGGTGCAGTGGCATAATCTTGGCTCACTGCAACATCTGCCTCCCAGGCTCCAGCCATCCTCCCAACTCAGCCTCCCGAGTAGCTGAGACTACAGGAGCACACCATGACACCTGGCTAATTTTTGTATTTCTCGTAGGGACAGGATTTTGCCATGTTGCCCAGGCTGGTCCCAAACTCATGAGCTCAAGCTATCAGCCAGCCTTGGCCTCCATAAATGCTGGGGTTATAGGCATGAGCCACTGCCACCACACCTGGCCATAAAAATTTATTGAATGTTAAAATTGTGCTATTATATTGTATACTTAATGATAGCAATAAGTATAGGAAAGAATAATTTGCATAATAAATATTCCTATTTTTTTTCTAATTAGTACAATAATTGAATAGTAACCATCACCAAAGTAGGACAAAGAAGGGCTATTACCATAAAGGTTAGTTTGATCTTTCAAGATTTGATTACTTCTACCCAGACGCCACTTCATCCACTTGAACAAAGGTTCTGTTGTTCATCAATCAAATGTTAAGTGTCTCTGTTGCACTGAAGTATTACCCTAGCTGGCCATATTCCACATAAAGGGCAAAGAACAGTTTCTCTCAGCAGATTTTGTAAAAAAACAAAACAAAACAAAAACAACAACAACAACAACAAAAATGTCTCTTCCATGGAAACACTTCTTTATGAAAAGATCATGGATGAAAGATAAGTCTACAAAGGCACTAATCTAATATAGTTGGCAAAAGACACCAAAATAACTGTAACACATCAGTGAAACTGACAGCATCATATTTGCTCAAATGAAGGTATATATTCTTTCATGGTAAAAAATCCTTAACACTTCTAGTAACCTCTGCCATAGTTTCCCCTCATGCTTCTTTTAGTCCAACATTAGATATAATCAAAGAATTAAGTTTATCTTGAAATGAAGTCAGTAAGGCTATATATAGTTCAGGGATTAAAAAAAAGGTATATATATTTTGTAAACTTTGTGAGTCACTAATTTTAATCAGTGGCACTGGGATTAATCTGGAGACATCACTGAATTAATTTACTACTCAACACAGTTTTTTATTGAGTAACATTTATCTGCCAATTTCCTTATGTGAATTAAGACATTTACAAACTGAATTTGGGGTTCTGGGAAAAAAAGGCAAATTTCTTATCTTGCTCCAGAGAAAATAATGGCATACACTCCTCTGTTTTGTCTACGGAAGAGTGGCAGTGGGTTTTCCCACTCTATATAAGGACACAAAGCATTTTTCTGTGGACTACATTAGACTGGCTTCGAGATACAGAGGAGAGACCTATTTGATGAAGGAATAAGGCCTCCTAGTGGAAAGATTCTGGTCACAGGATGAGATCTTTGTGAAGTTCCTGTGTGCAGTCAAACTTTAATAGACCAAATTATGGGTTGCCATGGAAATAATATTGTAAATTATATTGAAAAGAAATTTATTAAAATTCAGAACAACTCAGTTATACAATGGTAGCAAACAAACTACTACCCAGAACTGTTATGCAGCATTATTGGTACAGTTAGGTATTATTTCATTTACTCCTCACAACAGCCCTGAAAGGCAGGTAATGTTTCCACACTTTCCAGATAAGAAAACTGAGGTTGAGTAAGTAACCCAAGACCATCAAAAAATGCTGAAACTCTAGATGTGCCTGATTCCAAATCTTTCACTTATGTAACACATTTCAATTCTATGATGAAAAGTAAAAACAAACAAAAAATTACACAGATAAGAAAGATGTGTCCCAAAGTGAGAGAAACCAAAATTCTATATTTTGTGTAAGAAAATTTATTTTATTATAATATTTACTCTAGAGATTACATATTGTACTACAACTTCATTAATGTTTAGAAGTTAAAACACTTTAAGAAATAATGAAAGAATGTTCTGAAGTTCTTAGAAGAATATATTTAGCTTTGTGATTTATGCTCCTTTATTTTTCTCTCCCTCCCTATTTTCCTGTCTTAATTTTTTGAATTCTCTAATTCTGTGTAGCTTTTGCATGGCAATATTGAGATTATCTTTTGGAAATGACTTTCAGTTGGTGTTCTCAAAGTATTTCTCTTATTGGAAGATAAAACTGAAGAGCAGGGAAAAATGTTTTTCATTGTTCTCCAGTTAGGATATAACTTTCTTTCTGCTAATACATTCTATCCACATTGACTCCATGCCATTAATTATTGGTACTAGCTAATATCTGACTTTCACAACTTTCACCCTAATAATAACATATTAAAGTTTCCTAAGTCAGAATTTAAGGGACAGAACCTATGTCTCTGGGGAAAAAGAAGTTTGATCCATTCATATACAATTGTGAAACCTTCTTACAGAAAATATTCACACTAGTCCCTTTGGTAGTTGTTTAAAAAAAATCCAAATGGGCCAGGCACAGTAGCTCATGCCTGTAATCCCAGCACTTTGGGAGGCCGAGGGGGGCAGATCATGAGGTCAGGAGATCAAGACCATCCTGGCCAACATGGTGAAACCTTGTCTCTACTAAAAAAAAAAAATACAAAAATTAGCTGGGCATGGTAGTGCATGCCTGTAATCCCAGCTACTCGGGAGGCTGAGACAGGAGAATCATTTGAACCAGGGAGTTGGAGGTTGCAGTGAGCTGAGATTGCGCCGCTGCACTCCAGCCTGGGAACACAGTGAGACTCTGTCTCAAAAAAAAAAAAAAAAAAAAAAAAAAATTTCAAATAAAGAGTCTCCATACTTCTCTTATTTTCACTTTCATAGAAAAATCTTTAACCTAACAATAAATAACAGAGTATATCTTTGCTAGCTATCACTTGGGCAAAGAGACTAGAACTTTTTGTATGTCAATGAATTATCTGGTGAAATTCGTAATAATTGTTCCTTCTTTTTAATTTGCTTATAAAAAGAAAAGTTTATATATTTAGTATTACCTAAAAAGATCTAGGCCCTAGTTCTTATTAGCAAAGAACAACATGAACATAATTAGTTGCTTATTAGAATTTCAAAAGTAACAATGATTAAAAAGAAACCACAAACTTTTCTCTTTCTGCTTTATAATTGTATTTACTTAAGTAATTTGGGCTTGCCTTTGACTAAACTGTTTTATGTTCATTTTTTATTGTCTGCTACCCGATAAATCCTGGTGAGGCACATTTCCTCCAGGAAAGACAACAGTCAATAATAGGAAGGCTTTTGGAAGACAATAATTAATTTTTTATATGTGACACTGACTTAGTTATTCCATTAGCAAGTGTTAAATATTTTCTATACCTGTATTTACTCACCCACAAGTCCTAAAACAATGTAGCCAATAATACACAGTAGGAAGATCATACAGCACAGAACATCTGTACAACTCCTAAAGACAAAAAAAGAAATAAATAATTAAAAGAGGTCCCAAATGACTTCCTGTTTCCTGCACAAAATGAAGGAAGAGAGAAAAAGATAGTAATAGTGAGATGTTATTTCATAATTGCATATTTTATTCAATAATTTTGAAAGGTAGATCAGATGTATTTCTGCAAAGACATTAGCAGCCGTGGAGGGGCCATAGTTCCATGATTAATGAATATCCCTCAGAACTCTTAGTATTTGTTCTCTCTTATTTATTTGTAAAATATTTTTAAAGATTAGAGTATGCCAACATCAGATAGCCATTTTTTATTTGAAATTGTAATATAAGCTATTTGATTTTATGATTTTCTTCTTCATGCCTCCTTCACACATGGTATAAAATAGCCATTTCCCACCCTCTTCTTCTTCATTTTCTTCATACACATTATAGGGGTACTATTATTAGATAAAGGATTGACTACATTAACTTTCTATGGAGAACTGAGTTGTAACTATTCCAGGAACAAGGTATATAAAGCATTAAAAATAAAATGCCTCAAAAGTATAAGTTTTCTAGCTATTTCTGTAAGCTACACATTGTAAATGTAGGTTTAGAGGAAATCTGACTCACAGAGAGTCAGTGATTTGCTAAAGGTCAGAAGCCCAGCCAGGATCCAGCAGGGATACTCAAGGTTTTCAACTAAAGTATTTTCTATTCCCAATATTACATCTTGTTCAGCTTATAAGTGGTTTGGAAGGTCAAAGGTATGGCTTGAAAGTGAGCAGCAATACTGTCATTCTTTATTTGAAACTTAATGAGGACTCCGTTAGTAAAGAAAAAGATCAGCTCATTTGACAGAATTAAAAGTTGCACATGAGAATTTTCATAGTAAAAGTTATTGATCTTGAGGGCATACAGATATGCCCTAATCTTTTAGCACAGGCAGGTTGAAGTTACACACTTATTTTTTGAAGTGGTAAGTAATGAATAATAATGGCACAGTAACAAACACACATTGATAAAGCCTGTTATACTTGTATTACTTTCAGAAACATAACCTTGAGAGATTCCTAAGAATATCTTTAGGCTATTATGGGTAGTAAAGTGAGTTCGCTTACTTAAGGTACGTGAAAGAGGTTCTTAAAGAAGGGGGCAAATATCTAGATCTCCAACGCCAAACCTTTTTCACTTATGAGTTATGTTAATATGATTGTAATTTTCTGCAAGGTTTTAAAATAGCTACATCTAAAATCAATTACACACATTCCTGTAATTCTTTACCTTGGAATAGGAAATGGATCTTTCATAGAGAAAGTTAACTGGTGGGCAAACCAGCAACAAACTGTCATTTGTTTAAATCTAGTTTCAACCCAGGAATTTTTAATTTCATTTGAATTTAAGAATTATGAGAATAATAACAAGAGAAGAAAGCAGGTGCTCTAGTTTTTTTGTTTTTTTTTTTTTTTTTTTTTTTTGGTTAACAACCATTGTAAGCAAAAACACGCTTGGGTGTGAGCAGGGTATCTGTTTCACCTGCATTCTTACGTATCCTTCTTAATATTAGATTCTCAGTCTGTCAGAGCAGTTGTTACATACCTCAACACCGAATAGAAAATGCATACAGGTAAGAAACTCAGAGAGAAAAAACTAGAGCATAGATGTGCTTTAATTAGAAATCTTGCATTTTTCAAAGCCCTGGTGTGTAATCATAACTACCAGGAAGCTGGAGAGAGGGATATAATCAGAAGCACCAGCCAGGGTGGCCTGCCATCCCGTCCTTATATATCTATAATGTTATATGTTTGTATCATTTCTAATAATACATAATATAACACATACAGTAGTCTCCCCTTATTCGCAAGGGAGGCATTCTAAGACCCCTAGTGAATGCCTGAACTGCGGATGGCCCCAAACCCTGTATTTTGTTTTTTCCTATACATGCAGACCTATGATAAAGTTTACTTTATAAATTAAGCACAATGAAGAAGTTAACAATAACTAATAATAAAATAGAAAAATTATAACAATATGCCGCATCACTACTCCTGTGCTTTGGAGCCATTATAAAGTAAAATCAGGGTTACTTGAACACAAGCACTGCGATACTGAGACAGTTGATCTGACAAGCAAGATGGCTAGCAAGTGGCAAAAGGGCAGGCAGGTTAGGTGGCCTGGATAACGTGGATACAGTGGACAAAGAGATGATTCACATGCTGGGTGGGACAGAGTTTGATGGCATGAGATTTTATCCTGCTATTCAGAACAGTGGGCAATTTAAGACATAAATTATTTATTTCTATAATTTTCTATTTCATATTTTCTGTGCATCACGGATGGCCACAGATGACCTCGGATAACTGAAACCTCAGAAAGCAAAACTTCAAATAAGGGAGAACAACTGTATTCATAATGACTCTATGTTACATACTATTATAAGGTTTTGTATTTATAATGCTACATAGTCAATGCAAGTAGAGGTAAACATCTAGGAAGATCAATGAAAGAAACTTAACAGTTTCAAAGAACAGAGCACAAGGACAGAAGCAGAAGCGGATCCCAAATGGAAGGTTTTTGTTTGTTTGTTTGTTTTTTGAGCCGGAGTCTTGCTCTGTCACCCAGGCTGGAGTGCAGTGGCGCAATCTCAGCTCACTGCAACCTCCGACTCCCTGGTTCAAGCAATTCTCCTGCCTCAGCCTCCCAAGCAACTGGAACTACAGGCATATGCCACCATGCCCGGCTAATTTTTGTATTTTTAGTAGAGACAGGGTTTCACCATATTGGCCAGGCTGGTTTCGAACTCCTGACCTCGTGATCCACCCACCTTGGCCTCCCAAAATGCTGGGATTACGGGCGTGAGCCACCGCACCCGGCGGAAGTTTTTTAAAAAGTAAAACCAACACTCTTTCACTACTTGCACTAATGAATTAGCATCAGTTGGTGTTTTGGTTCTATATAGGGTTTTACACTATAATTTATTTTTTATTCTTTGGTGCCAAGGAAACACTAAAGCATCAGGAACTACCCTGTCCCCACCCAACTATTTCCCCAGCAGTCTCTCACCACAATGGGACAGCATTTCTCAATAATTCACACCTTAAGGTGTTTGGAGATTCTATTCTGGGGCCAGGGAAAATAATATATTAAAGTCTGCTGGGAGAGGGGAGGGATAGCATTAGAAGATATACCTAATGTAAATGACGAGTTAATGGGTGCAGCACACCAACATGGCGCATGTATACATATGTAACAAACCTGCAGGTTGTGCACATGTACCCTAGAACTTAAAGTATAATAATTAAAAAAATATATCTCAGTAGAAGATCTAATTACATAGTGATTGCTTTATCCCTTAAACAAAACAAATTTGTATGGAATGCTTACTATATGCATACAAATAAAGGATATAAATATCCAAAAAAAAAAGTCTGCTTTGTTTTTCTGGTACACTGCTTTAGAGAAATGGCAGACCATACCCTATGGCCAGACTGGTTAATTTTGTCTTACTTAACCAGAGAAGGTGGTTGAACAAAAACCAAGAACTCAAATCTCCCCAGTAGTAGACATTAGTATTTCTAAATTTGTTTCTGTAGCAACTTGATTCACTTTATTGTTTTAGAAAAATTTTTAAATAGGTGTGTGTGTGTGTGTGTGTGTGTGTGTGTGTACTTTCAGGTAATTATAATTACCTGCTATTTTTTCCATTAATTTATCTGCTTCTCTCCCTTTCCTCAGATATATTCTCTCTAAAAATATAATTAGTGCTTAGAAAGTTACCGGAAAATTGAATGTGAACAAATCAAAATATAGCTTGGGCACCATTTTGTGAGTCAAGGAAAGTAGCAGAAACTCAATTCAAATGTGTTAGACGTTGTAGTGCCTTATCATTGTTTCTTTATTTTGATTTCAGAGCATCTGTCACAATCCTAAATGTTCTATAGGAAATGAGTTCTTTTTTTAAGAAAAAATAAGGTTTTAATTGGGATAGTTCTCAGAACTCTTTAGACAGCTATTGAGATAACTGGGTGATCTAAGCTCATGGCTGAAAATTATTCTGAATCATATTCTAGCTACAGGCTTGTCATAACTGGACTTTTTCCTTAGGTGGATTCATTTTTACTTTCACAGCAAGCACTATGAACCATTGTACTAAGTTAAAAATGGGTTGCTTCCCACTGGGTCCCAGAAAGAAGACAGAAAGAATAGTTACAGAGACAGTTGCCCAACTCTCTCCCTCACCCTCCCTCCAAATCAAAGTCCCGCTTTCTCAAAACAAGCTGCCCACACCCCCATTTATCACAGAGCCACTCAAAACTTTACTCAGATTGTGTTTCTCTGGCATAAAAGTGTTTTCAAAAGTTAAACTACAGAACTACTATTGCTACCTTATATCTATTTTCCAAATTAAAAGAATAAGAATAGGATTCCAATTACATGTGCATGTGCAGACTTCCCTTTCCTCCTACCTCTAATCCACAAATATTGTATGCCTATAATCACCCAGACTTAAAGTGTTGGGAGTTGTCTTTGACTTTCCCTTTTTGTTAGCTTATCTTTTATATTCAATTGACAAGTTCTCTTGACTCCTTTTCTCTGATGTGTCTTTCATCCACCCCTTTCTTTCTATTGATGTTGCCTGGACTTAGTCCAGGGTTTTTAATCCTCTCTTCAGACTATTGCCGTGGTCTCTTAATTGGGATTTTGCAAGTAGTTTCTGCCTGATCCAATTCGGTCTGCACATCACTGATATTACTGATATGTGATGAGTCAGTTTACTGTTTAAAAAATTGCAGGACCTCTCCATTACCTATTTAATAGTTTTCAAATATCTTCACTTCATGTTTAAGGACCAAGATCAATCCTAATTCAAGCCCCAGGCTACCTTTCTAGCTGTATCTCCCATTATTCCTTCTTAATGTGTTTTAACCAATTTGGACTTTTTCACACAATGATACACAGCCCTTGGGCACACTCAGAGCTCTCTGCTCATAGCACCTCTAGACTCCCCCTCCTGGGATAACCATATGTCCCAATTTGCATGGGATAGCCAGGGTTTACACCTCTTTCCCTAGAATAACCGTTAACAATGTTTCCATTTACTCTCAAAAAAGCTCCAGTGTGGATCGCCACATTCTATACTAAAATCCTATCCTTCAAGTCAGCTGAAATGTCACCTCCTTCTTGAAGTTTTCAACTAGAAGAGCTCTCTCTAATCCCCGTAGACCTAGGGAACTTTTGTTTGTATCTTTAAGGCAACTATATTTAATCTATTATAGCCTAGATCAAGGGCAGCAAACTACAGTGTATGGGCCAAATCTGGTTTGCTGTCTGTTTTTGTACAGCCTGTGAGCTAAGAATAGTTTTTACAATTTCTAAACAATTTTTTAAAAATCAAAGGAATAATATTTTGTAACCTAGAAACGTTATGTAAAATTCAAACTTGCATTCATAAGTAAAGATTTTTGGAAAACAGCAATACTAATATATGTATATCGTCTAAGGCTACTTTCTTTTGCTACAATGGCTTAGTAGTTGCATTAGATACCATCTGGCCTGCAAAACCTAAAATATTTACCACCTGGACATTTATAGAAAAAGTTTACTGACCTCTGACCTAGACCATAAAGTCCTCTATTGCAGCATTTAGCAGAGTCTTGCATGCTACAGACATGCAACAATCTATGTCCCGTGAATTATTAGTGAGATGCACCCTTCACTGACAGTCTAATGCATCATAAACAGGGCCTGGTAAAAATCAAAATGCTGTGTTTCAAATTTCAGATCTTTTTTATTTTTTGTAGTGAATATGTTGCTTAGAGATTCAAATTTTTGGTCAAGCTTAAACATGCTATCTGGACATTGCTATCTCCAGTAAAATAAATCACTAAAAAACAAATGCAAACAAAAAAAAAACCAATTAGATTTAATTTAGAGGTAATAAGAGAGTTTTGTTTGATAAGTGCATATTTTGGTTTCACACTAGCTCTTATTCTCCAACAACTGTCATTTTGCTTCCTTTTCAGGGACAGCTTTCTACTCTCATCCAGAAACTGATTCATTTACTGGTTTCCTTTCTTTTTTTTTTTTTTTTTTTGAGACGGAGTCTTGCTCTGTGGCCCAGGCGGGAGTGCAGTGGAGCAATCTCGGCTCACTGCAAGCTCCGCCTCCCGGGTTCACGCCATTCTCCTGCCTCAGCCTCCCGAGTAGCTGGGACTACAGGCGCCCGCCATCACGCCCGGCTAATTTTTTTTGTATTTTTTTAGTAGAGACGGGGTTTCACCGTGTTAGCCAGGATGGTCTCGATCTCCTGACCTCGTGATCCACCCGCCTCGGCCTCCCAAAGTGCTGGGATTACAAGCGTGAGCCACCGCGCCCGGCCGGTTTCCTTTCTTTGTGGCAGATGAAATTCCAATGATATCAACCATCCTGAAAGGTCATTAATATCAAGCATTAGAGTGAGAACAGAAGTCCTAAAAGTCATTATTCTCTGACAGATCATCCGTTTGTGCCTAATGAATCAGTTTAGGGACTGTCCACTGCCTGTGATTCCAGTCGGATGCTCACCTCTCATTTGAAAATTGTTGGTGTCACCTGGGTACATCTGTCTACAACATGGCTGCATTTATAACCCAAAGTCTAGAAGCATTGGTCCTCTGTGGTTCTGTTGGCACCTGAATGATGCCATTCAGTCATCTGTTACTGCTCTGATTCTTACCACAAAAGTCTGTCCCAGGAAGCAGAATGAATGCTTCACTTCCCACAGGCTTTATTAGAGGATAATGCACTTTGGGGCCATCTTTCAAGCTTCACTGAGATACGTTTGGCAAACTGCAGACCATGCTGTGAATTAGATCATCTGAGTTGCTACTAGTCAGTGTCAGCTGGACTCTATTTTGAAGTATTTAGGAGTAGAGATCCATGTAAGTTAAAAATATTTTCCCTTTTTTCCCCTACTTCTCACGAATAATAGAGAATCTGGTGATTTTTGAGAGGGACATCCTCTAAGAGCTTGCGTTTGAAAGCATTAATTGTATCCACCCCCTTGGTTCCAGTTTCTCTTCTTCCCACATACATTGTCTGACAGTTCTTTGTTGTTCTGTTCCCCAATCCACAGCTTGAGGTTATGCCGCACACCATTCTTTGTGTATGTGAGAGCTGAGATTTTATTAGAAGGCAAGTTACACTGGCTGTTTCTATAAGAGGTTAAAGATTATCTTGAAGAATTTCGCTCTGTTACTGAAATCAGAAACCTCATAGAAAGGCACAAATGAGCTTTTAATTACATGAACCTGTATTTTCAGGTGTTTGATATTAATACAAGTTTTTTAAGCGCCCTAAAAAATTTTAAAGATGACTTTAAATTTACATTTACCTTTGAAGATAATCCTGGCATCCAACCATTGAGAAAGAAGTGTTGGTTTTGTAGGATTATTATTTTTAACACATTTTAAACTGTTGTTTAAAAACAAAATGTACCAAATGACTCAATACCCTATGAAAAAACAGTATAATATTGATAATATCTTTCAAATGTATTAGGTTATATAAGATAACATTTAAGTATTGTAGCTGCTTTAGTTAGTTCTTCTGAGTAATTAGATCTTAAAAGCTTCTCTATCTTCTGATTAGTCTTCTATTCTAAACTGCTTGCATTTGGGTTTCCATTGCCTTGAGAGAATAGCTTTAACTGGCTGTGATTTATATTTTCATTTGTAAAGAGAATTGAAACCTGATTTTTTTTTTTTTACAAAGAGGAGTTTAAGTGATGCCTGTATAAAAGTGTCTTTTGTTTGAAAGGGGGCAAGATAAGACAAAATTGGTTTTACGATGTAATTATCATGTGTGTAAAACTTGTATAATATTCAGTAATCTGTCAGTAGGTGGAAACCACTCTGCAAATGCTAATAAAGTGAAAGCGAGATCACAGTTACTGCTTATATTACAGGTGGGGCATTGTAGACCAAAGGCACTACACAGCAGGGTGCAAAGAGACCTAGCTCTAGATAGCTTTGGGACATTAGTCCAAAGTCATCAACAAAGGTTGAAGGGAATTCATATCTGTTTGGAACACTTTTTAATCTTTTTGGAATAAGTTAGAATCTATGTAGACACAGAGTAGTGCTAAAAAATGTTTGTTAAAACAATGAATGAACTTCCGGAAATTCTCATTCAGCTATTAAAATAGAAAACTGCATGTCTCCTAATAATCATATGATAATCTTTTTTAGTAATTAAAAGCATACACATTAAAGTGAGGAGATTACTATTTGTCACCTCAAATTTTAATAAGTAAATAAAAAATATTGCCTGATGATGATAGGGGACTTAGAAAATTGCAAGCCCTTTGACCCAGTAATTTTCTTTTTAGTAATTTATACCATGGGCATAATTATAGATGTAGTAAAAATTTATTTATAAAGATTGAAAACACTGCACTGTTTATAATAAAGAAAAGTTGAAAACAACTTTTAGAACAATATTTAATTATATGAAAAAATGTTTTAGGCTGGCATAGCGGCTCATGCCTGTAATTCCAACACTTTGGGAAGCTAAGTTGGGGGGATTACTTAAAGCTAGGAGTTTGAAACCAGCCTGGGCAACACAGTGAGACCTGGTCTCCATAAAACATTTTAAAAATCAGCTGCATGTGGTGGCATGTGCCTATAGTCTCAGCTTCTTGGGAACTTGAGCTCACGAGTTCACTGTTGGAGTGAGCTATGAATGTGCCACTGCACTCCATCCTAGGAAACAGAGCGAGACCATTGCCTCTAAAAAAAATTTTTCAAATAATTTTTAAAAATAATAAAAAGGAAAACAAGATTTCTCTATTATAAGCATATTTTACTTATTGGTTTTGGCAATTATTTCAGTCCTCAAAGAAAAGCAGTAAATACAACATGCCATATTTGACATAAATAACAGCAAACATTATACAAGTATGCTATTGGTAAACTTTAGTATGAATGGGAGGTTTGCACAGATTTTGGAAAGAAAATTAACAAATCTGTGAAATAGTATAATAAGGAATAGTTATTGCCCTGGGTTGTCCATAGCAAAGAAGCATAGGCATTCGGTACATACCTATTGAATGGATCAATGAAAATATTATCTGAACATTAGACAATATTTTGTAGACATTTTAAAAAACACATAAAATGCTGTATCTCTCCTGTTCTCAAAGTGTTCAGCAAAATGGGAAACTCCAACCATTGTAATGGAAATTTGAATCATTTGGTTAGAGCCCAAAGTAGTACGAAAATTCTTTTTTGTGAATATTTGCCAACCTATTTTATCTACAGGCTGGTTATACTATAACACAGCATTACTAGTAACAATAGGGTCATTATTATTAGCAAAAGTAAAAGACAAACTTTGTAGAGGTTTTAAGATAAAACTAAATATTCCCTAAATGTTTATTTGAAATTATAATCTCCATGTAATAAAGTTTAAATTTGTACCTAGGTGATGTATCTGTTAAGAATTTGCTTGGCTGAAAATACCAGGAAACTTAAAGCCAGAAATGTGGTTTAAATTTCAAGGAATTTATTTGTTAAATACAACAGGAAGTGCTGCAGTTGGCAGTCCTGAGCTGGGGTGGTGCATCATCCAGGGATGCCATTAGGGACTTGACTCATTTCATCCTTCCACCCCTCTCATTCTTAGCTTGTAGACATTTGTCTTCATGTTTATGCCTCATGTCACAAGTTGACTGCTGCACTCAAGACACCTGAATCTCTTCAAAGAGTCTTTGTTTTTTTATTTAGGGAAGAAAGTCCCTCCTGGCAGTCTTTCTCTTTAGCTCATTGGCTATTCCTGTGTCTCATGACCATCCCTACCTGGAAGGTGCTTTAAAAAAGTGTTTTGCTTTTCAGCTTCTCTACTAGCGGACACAAGAGAAAATATGATTTGGAATGCATGTTGAGTGAGACAAATTACAGAATATATCACAGCTACTACTGAGATTTATTTTAAACAATTACAAAAAATAAGATTTTCCCATTCTAATAATTTCAAGTCAACCCAAATGGATTGTGCAAATAATATGGGCTTTTTGCAACTATTATTAAATACTAAATAGAAATATAAAACTGAATATTATATATTTTCACAGAATTCAAGTAAGTTAAACTGAGATTTGTTTCCCAGCAAAACCATGTTCTAGAGCTGATATCAGTAACAGCAAAATAGCAAGTAGTTAGATTTTAACTCTGAATAATTTTATATCTTATATTCAATTGTTTATATAATTCTTGACATTCATATTCAGTGAAATGGAATTTTAAATTTAAATTTAGCCATAGTAAATATATACATTTACAGTTGTCATTACATTGAGTATTAAAATATAAATTTTTAAAGTTAATATATATGCATATATATTTAAATCATTAGACATAAAATGTATCACAAACTGTACTAGTCTCTTTCATTTTAACATAAGATATTCAAAATAGCATCTTTTTTTTTTTTCTTTTTGAGATGGAGTCTCTCTCTGTCACCCAAGTTGGAGTGCATTGGCACGATCTCGGCTCACTGCAACCTCCGTTTCCCAGGTTCAAGCGATTCTCCTGCCTCAGCCTCCCGAGTAGCTGGGATTACAGGCACTCACCACCACACCTGGCTAATTTTTGTATTTTTAGTAGAGACGGGGTTTCACCATGTTGGCCACGCTGGTCTCGAACTCCTGACTTCAGGTGATCTGCTGGGCTTGGCCTCCCAAAGTGCTGGGATTACAGGCGTGAGCCACCGCATCCAGCCCTCAAAATAGCATCTTAATGTTGGGAATGAGTCATTAGGCAATCTATACTTAATTTTGTCCAGAGTGGTCTCAGTTCTCTTACAACAAAGCACTACAATTCAACTTACATAACAGGTACCAGCTCCTACTAATATCCTCTTTTCTGCCATTCTGAAATATGGCCTTCAAAGACTCTAATTTCATGATTAATGAGGTACCTATTTTGTGCCGGATACTGTGGCAGATGCTATGAAACGTTGGTGAACCACACAGATGAGATGCTTTCTCTCACGGAGTTCCCAGTTTAGTCTGGGGAACAGATAATAAATAAGTAACGATCAATCAATAAAATGATGACAGATTGTGTAACTGCTAGGGAAAAAAACATGATTCTATGAGGGAAAATATTAAGGATGGCCTGCATATAGAGGGTTCATAAGGAAGGGGTCTCTGAAGTGGTTGTAGGACTTGTATTTCAGGCAGAAGAAACAGCAAATGCAAAGGCCCTGAGGGCAGGTGAGACCAGGGTATGTCCTGGGAGCTGACAGATAGCCAGTGATATGGTTTGGCTGTGTCCCCAACCCAAACTTCATCTTGAATTGTAGTTCCCACAATTCCCACATGTTGATGAGGGGGGCTGGTGGGAGATAGTTGAATCATGGGGGCAGTTTCCCCCATACTGTCCTCATGGTAATGAGTAAGTCTCATGAGATCTGATGGTTTTATAAGGGGAAACCCCTTTCACTTGGCTCTCATTCTCTTTCTTCCCTGCCACCATGTAAGATGTGACTTACTCCTCCTTGCCTTCCACCATGATTGTGAAGCCTCCCCAGCTATGTGGAACGGAGTCAATTAAACCTCTTTCCTTCATAATTCCCCAGTCTCGGGTATGTCTTTATTAATAGCATGAGAACAGACTAATACAGCCAGTGTGGATGCAACAGGGGAGAAAGGGATAGAGCAGCTGCTATAGTTTGAATGTGTCCCCCAAGGTTCATGTGTTGGAAACTTAATCTCCAATGCAACAGTTCTGAGAGGTGAGATCTTTGAGAGGTGATTAGTTTCTGCCCTGATGAATGGAGTCTCAGGAGTGAGTTCTATATCTGGGGCGGGGATGGGGGGTGTTACAGAAGCGAGTTTGGTTCTTTCCTGTCCTTCTTCTGTGGCATATGTGATGCCTTCTGTCATGTTTTGATGTAGCCCCTCGATCTTGGACTTCCCACACTCCAGAACTATGTGCCAAACAAATTTCTATTCTATTATATATTAATATATAATAATATGTATAATCTATTCATTATTATATATATAGCAGCACAAAACATGCTAGGGCAACAGCACAACAGGTGGTTGGTACAATTAAGTGACTGAATAGCCCTCAGTGTGGAGGAGCGTGGACTTTTCTGTCAGGGGAGTTCACTCGCAACATTTCATATGTTAAAGGACTTGACAGTTCATGACTCACCTTGAAATATACTATCTCATTTGGATGATTACAAGTTGTAAAGTTGATATGAGAGCTGTTATTAATACATCACTTTACAAATTAAGTCACTCCTGATTACAATTTCAGTTCATTTTCTATTGGAAGTTCTTGAATAGGGGGAGTAATAAAACAAAAGTTCTATCTCAGTTAGATTTATCTTGACCAGGATGCAGAATGAATTGGGATGAAGTGTGTGGTGAATGCGGTGTGGTAGCAACACAGAAGAGAATGAAACCAGGGCCAGTTCTGTTTCATCTTCATCATCAGCCTCCCACACATGTCTGTTTTCCCGGGTACCAGGAATACTGTGAAAATAAATGTCAGAGCATGGGAGAGTTTTCAGCTCCAAAAAGATGCCTCATGGGTTGAAATGGATATGAATGGATTTCTCTCTAACGGTTTTTAACACAGAGGGAAGAAACGATGGTTATGGATCATTTCAGCACCAGATCCTATATTTGTCTCTCTGACAGTTTTCAAAGTAAACTATTTCACTTTTTTATTACATCAACTTGATAAAAGCATATTTTCTCTAAGTTCTTGGAGATCAAAGATCATATTTTTCAGTTTTCTGCTGTGAATGTAGTTAGCTGGCATCTGTCTTTTCTGTAATGGACATAAGGGGTTGTTGCTGTATTGTTGGCTTTAGTCCCTGAGGATCAAAAAAGAGCTGGCCTTGACTGCTCCTGGATGTGGACTGTCCATTATGAACAATACACATGACAACTTACTGAACTGTGTTGTTTCTAGGTCTTGTCAACTGTATTTAAGGGAGCAAAGACAGAGTAAAAGCAAGGAGGGAAAGAGGATAAAAGTGACATCTAGAAGCAAGACAAAACCAAGATAGAAATAAGCTGAAAAGGGATTTAAAGAAGAAAGAAAATGAGAGGAAGCAGTAGGGCTCCTGATGAAAATCCGAAGTTATTAAAGATTGAGAAAGAAAAAGGCAAAAGAGAATAAATCAGAAAAACAAGATCAAGAAAAATGCAGAAAACTATTTGTGGTTATATGGAAAGGAAAATAAAAGTTGTACAGTGAAGGAAGCTTGCTAACATCTGTTTGAATCTGGAGAAAATATAAAAGCAGATACATATCCTAGTGTAAAAGTAGTAGCTTATGTGCATGAGAAAGCAGATAATAAGGTGAATGATGATATTAATTTCCCTTAAATGTATTTAATTTCTCTATTTTTACTTTATAGTTTAAATAATCCTAACAGTCAGATACACTAGAGAAAAGTTTAAAGACGTTGGTCTTTATTGTTCTCCTCCTTTAAACATTTACAGTTTATTCCTTTCTAATACAACAACTGTTTGTCAGCTACCAAAAAGCCACTTAACAGACTCATGCATCTCTTTGTCTCCCCCTTTACTAGACTTAGAGAATTTACCTCAACTCAGTGTCTGTGCAGCCTGGTCCCGGTACGGTAACAGAACGACCTGTAATCCAATGCTATCTTGCATGGACAATAAAAAACACGCCAGCATCATCTTTCATATTTTGATGTAAAAAGCATGTGAAATCTATGTTTTATTATTAAAAGCTCCAAGACTTGCAGACTTTCACATTTGCTTCATCTTTCAGTTACTGGAAAAATGTGCCAAAGTGTGTGGAGAAGCAGTCTATCTTTAGACTTTCATTGATGCTAGGGTTGCAGTAGTGGCAATAACAATAGGTGAGATACAACTTAAAGACTTAAGAAGGCCATAGTGAAATATGCCCAGCACATAAAGAATTTCAATTTACCTTAAGTAATGCAAGTATTTAGAATGGTAACTGGGACTCCTAGGCTCTATTCTCAGGAGATCAGCATCAAATAACTCTGAACCATCCCTGATTCTTGATCATCACTTTTATTGAGCTCAATGCTTTTCAGAATTTAGATCTATCAAATTTGATTTTAAATTTGGGCAGCAAATTAATATGATTGCTTTGTTTTAGTTAGTGTTCACTAAGAGTTTTCCTAGAAGAATAAAGTATTAATTTTAGGTAGTTGAACTGCAGATTTTAGTCATTCTGTCTCATCATGCTGCAAAGAGAAAGGAAGAATATACTAGAATACAGTCTCTTATCTGGGCTTGAGCCTTAAGGCAAAGATTTGCCTTGAGAATCACAATCTGGGAATTTAGATTCTATCTACAATTAACACCTGGCAAGTCTCTCAACTCCCCACTTACCACCACAAAGCAATTGTTTCTATCCACAACAGAGCTGCAGGATTATTTATGCAGTATTTGTAAAGCACGTAGAACTCCTCATAGAAAAAGTTGAGTTAGGAGTATATGTCCATTTATGTGTGTTTTAAAAAGAAGAAAGGGAAACAGAAAACTGAAACTTTGACATGGATTGGATTATAAATTATTACCATCATTATTTATACATCTATATACAAAAGCTTAAAAATAAAAAGCTTTAGGGCACAAATAAGTTTGCACCAGTCTATAAAGTCTTTGGTTTTCTAACCTCTAAGGTCTAAATTATCCCAATAATATTTAATATTGGTTAATTTTACTAGGCAGAACACCACAATATATGGTATAATTTTAGTATGCCCCCAAACATGAATTTCCCAGGAAATCATAATTATTAGCACTCCATCCTTGTAATCATCCCGTCTGGTCTTCTAGAAAAACCCTCTCACATGCACTGTCTTTCATCTCTTCTGCTCCTCCTCAATCTTCCTTGTGGACTGTTCTGTCTCTACCTGTGTCTTAATGTTTGCCTAAACCTCAGGGCTTTCTCATGATCTTCTAATTCTATCTGTTAATCTAAAGTAATCTCATCTATACCATAGTTTCCAAGACTTTAGCCATGATAATAACCCTAACCTTTCTCCTGAGTGCCAGCTTACTTTTAAATTTTCAAATGTTCCAAATCGAACTTACTACTTCTCTGTGAGGTCCCAGATTTTCTCTCTTCTCCTTAACTATCTCTGCCCGCCGCTCACTCTTTCATCCAAGCTAAAAATTCTGCCATTCTTGACTCTTCTCTCTTATCCTCCACATTTAGTTGTCTGACAAGCCCTGCTGATTCTCCATCCTACAATGTTCTGTTTCTTTCCCTCCAATCTCATTGCTACTTTCTAGGTTGAAGCCTCATCATCTCTTATATCTGGAGTGATAGCACAGCCTCCAGACAGCGTCTTGCCCTTTTTGGCCCCTAATCCACATTTTATACAATACATAACTTGACATATAAATCCACTAGTCAAAACATTTTGAGACTTTCAATTGCTTACAAAATAAAATCCAGATTTCTTAGTCTGGCCCTTGCTAAGCTGCTCAAAATTACTTTTTATCTTCCGTCCACTCTCACATACAACCTTTGCATTCCCAAAATCTTAGTGGCTTTTTATCTTGATGAACCATATGCATTTGATGTATTTTACCTGTTTTTGACATTTAAAAATGGCAATTTCATATGGCTCAACTAATAATGGCTATCTGCCTTGAAAGCTCTCTCACCCTTAAAACTTGTTAAAACATCATCAACACCCAGCTTAAATGTTACCACCTCTGTGAAGCCAGCTTAAATGTTACCACCTCTGTGAAGCAATCATTTGCCACACTAGGTTAAAGAGCAGTTCCCTCTTTGATGCTCCCTTACCTCTGGCATAACACTGTGTTCTAATTATTTGTACCTACTTGTCTCTATCATTTGAATACGGGAAACTTCAGGGTAGAACTTGGAACTTAATTAACTCTATATCTTTACTTCTATAATCAGTAGTTAATAAATATTTGTTAGATAAATGAATGGACTTCTTTCGAATTTGTTATACAAAGGAGCTGGTAAAATTTTTGGTTAAAAGTAGAAGGAGGGTTAGTATTCTGATTTAACATATTTTACAATGCTTCTTTTCTCATTTTATATCACCTTCTCCCTTTGCTTCTTACTGGGTAATGTATTTGTTCTTACCAGATGGATTTAATATGGCTATGAAAGAAATGCTTATTCACTACCAGGGCACATGGCCACAGTAAGTCTTGATGTGCATATATAACCCACATGAATGCAAATGTGTAAGGTTGAGCCAGCAAAATCCCAGAAGGCAGCAAACAAGATTAGGCAGCAATCAGAGGGCAAATCATTTCTAGGCAATATCAGATTGTTTTTGATAACATTTGAACCAAAATTCTTTTCAAAAGGAAAATCCCAAGAACAATAGAAATAGAAGAGATGAAGTTTGTAGAAAACTTCAAGTGAGCACTTAGGATATTGCATATTTTAAAAGTACGATTTTAAACCAAGAGACTATGTATGTTCCAATCTTTCAATCATCTCTGATACCAGGAAAGTGTCATTTAACATGGACTGATCTAGGTGCAGACAAGAGGTGCAAGATCACAGCAGGTCAGTGAAAGACGCAGCATCAGGGCCACAGCCGGACTTAGACTTAAGAAGGACTTAAACCAGGACCGAGGCTCTGCCTCAGCCAGTTTCCCCACACATGAGTGAGAAGGGAATAGGAATTTTTAATGCCAGAGACATAGTGTTCTGATTCCTACATATTACTGGTTGCTGGAATAGATAAAAATTAGTTAGAAAATTAAATGTAGCAAATTCCTTAGTTGGGTTCAGTCGCTTATTCTCAATGTTTTTGTGGTTTCATGAAATCCCTTTCACACACAATTAAAGACAGGTTCTTAAGAAAGATACACAATTTAAAAGCACTATTCTGGTGGGTGGGCAGAGTGAACATCCTAGATGTCTTAACCAACTCAGGCTGCTATAACAAAATACCATAGGCTAGTTGGTTTAAATAACAGCCATTTGTTTCTGACAGTTCTGGGGGCTGTGAAGTCTGAGATCAGTGTGCCTGCATGGTCAGGTTCTGGTGAGGGGCTTCTTTTCTGATTTACAGCTGCTTCCTTCTTGCTCCATCCTCACATCACAGAGAAAGAGCACTAGCTCTCTGGTTTCTTCTTATAAGGTCACTAATCCCATCAGTAGGACCCACCCTTATGGCCTTCTCTAAACCTAAGTACCTCCAAAGGCCCCACCTCCAAATACGATCACCTTGGGGATTAAGGCTCCAACATACAAATTCTGGGGGACACAAACCTTCAGTCCATTACACCAGGTAAGTAGCATTTCTCCTAGTGTAGTCAGAATAGAACCTACTCTCATTTGGGTGTGCCATCCCTCTTGCATACAGTAAACCTCTTTTAAAAGATACAGTTGAAGTTGGTCATTTAAATCTGCTCTATAGGGCTGAGCTCAGTGGCTCATGCCTGTAATTCCAGCAACTTGGGAGGCCAAGGTGGGAGGATCACTTGAGGCCATAGTTTCAAAATCAGTCTGGGCAACACAGTGAGACCTTCGTCTCTACACAAATAAAAACATTAGTCACACAGGGTCACGCACACCTGTAGTCCTAGCTACTTGGGAGGCTGAGGTGGGAGGATTGCTTGAGTTGAAGCGTTCGAGGCTACAGTGAGTGATGATTGTGCCATTGCACTCCAGCCTGGGCAAAATCCCATCTCTTGAAAGAAAGAAAGAAAGAAAGAAAGAAAGAAAGAAAGAAAGAAAGAAAGAAAGAAAGAAAGAAATCTGCTGTATAGATGTATAGATAAAAGTGAAATATTAAGTATTTTACTTTTGTTAGTATATTTTTAATTTTAAGCCAGATGATCTGCTTTATTTTATGCAAAAGCACAGATCAGTAAGTCAGATAAAAATGCAGTTCTATGACAAGTTCATATAGGAACTTGAGGATTCATGTCCTTGAATCTTGGGATAAACAAAATCTCAGAAGAGGCAAAAGAATGACACATAAGCCAGGTTAACTTACATTGTCCTCTGGCTTTCAATGTGGAAGCATTACCCTTGGATAGCTCTTGAATAATCTACTCTAAGCTTCATTTTTGCCAGCACAACTCTTTGTGGCTGCCTTGTTCTGTGGTCTCTTTGGTACTTTTGGCAGCTGTCTTCTATGGAGAACTGAGCACCAGAATAAAATGAAGGGCAAAGCCCTGCTTCCTGTCCTTCAACACCAGTATTTAAAGTTAATCTAGCATTCTTCATTTCAAATATGCAGTTCAAATATCACTCCCAACCCCCCCTGCCAACGCACATCTCCCCAGCTCATATTTTCAAGGCCTTTCTGGATCTGCAAATATGTAAATCTTCAGAGATATGTGCTTAGTTCTCCAAAGCACATCAAGACTATTAAATAATAAGGCCCCAATAAAAATCTAGCTATGCTGACATTTAGATGACAAGCTGGTAAACAGTACATTATGTTGATTTTTATTTAGCTCCATATGATTCTGTAAAGACTTTTGTGTGCTTTGCGATACATTAATATTTGTACAAAAGAAAAGTACAATCTTTCCTTCCTTTCCCTACCCCCAATCCCTGGGCAAAAACATTCTCTCTGAATATATGACTAGCTTACAGGAAATAGCATTTGTTGTAGATGCCATATCAATTCAGATGGTAGAAAAATTTATAAACATAATCCCAGGATAATAGGTTGAATTTGTTATAAAACTTTTGAAGTTTGATTTTATTTGCAGCATGGACCTCAATAATAGATAGCTCTCAATCTGTTTATTCCCAGAAGTGATACTGAAAGGTGAACAATTCTTAACTTTATTAAAATGTTTTTATTATAGATATATTTATATCATTATCAGTTGTTCTAAAGACAGTGAAAGAAAAAGATCTTAAGTCCAAGACCCAAGTTCTGCCTTTTTTTCTCCTGAACTATATTCTGTAAACCCCACAAGAGGCAAGACTATGACGGCATTTCTGCCTTTCTACTATCATCATTCTGGCGAGGAGAACAGACAAAAATATGTGTGTTTAACTATAATGAAGGGTTATAGTTTGGATTGTCTTAGCATGGATCACAGGGAATAGAATGTATAATGATCATATATCATGAGTAGCTCAGCAGAAGGCTTTCAAAATATAACAGATAAAATAAAAATGTATCCTAGAAGAGGAAAAAAATAGACTTAAGTAAAGGAAACAGAGGATAAAATACCTAACTGTTGAAAATGCTGTGAAATATTCTTATTTCATTTTCCTAAGTTTGTTAAATGCTTGGCTTTTGTACGTGAATTGGAAAATCTGTTCTCTACTTCCCCAGTCTCCTACTCTGCACCATCTTCACTCTGATCCTTTTCAAATCTTACAGACCTTCCTAGCCTAAAGAAGAGATAATTACTCAAAAACATAAAAATGTGTTTATTATACATAATTCAAATATTCTGGGAAGTCAAGAATGTAGGACGTCTAAGCTTATAGTGTAATATGGTTTACACAGAAGCGTACATTTAAATTTAGTAAAAGCTACCTACCAGCTGCCTCAAAGAAAACCAGATCTTTGAAAAAATAATAGAGAATGGTATCAAACTATATCTGACTAGGCAAAAAAGAAAATCCATAAAAGCAATCAAAGAAATTTATGAAAGGAAAAATGAACAACAAAAGATAAGGAAGTTGATCATAGAAATCCTAGAAATAAAAAATATTTTGAAAGGGGGATTTTATAATTAATTTGCCCTGTAGCAAATATTAGAGCTATGTGATAGATGTTTAAATACAACACACCATTTATTTGCAAAAAAACCAAATGCCTATGTATTGTACTCTAAAAGGCTTAGCATAACGAAAAGAAAAAACCAAAGATATATACATATTGTGCCTTGTAAGTTAAGGGAGGTCAAGTTCATTCTATATGCCTAAGGATATAAGTTTGTCATTAAGTTATAGTCCAAAGGGTTGAATATTAATGGTTGCTACCTTTCCTTAATGGGAGGATTATTTTGAATGACATATATTTGTCAAATAATAAGGATCATTTAATTATATGTATGTCCTCCTAACTGCTTAACATTAAAGAGGTACGTGACCTAAATCATAGTTTTGGTTAGATAACTTTGTACCTGAGGTTCCCTTCCTGTCCAATTACCAAGCAAGCTTTTCAAATGCACTGAAAGATTTAATTCATAAAGCCCTTAAGAGCCTTCTGGTAAAAGGTTGAAGCAGCACAAATAAGCTACTGATACATGACCGTGTTTCAGAAAATCATGCCAGGACTCTAAGCAAGTGTGCTTATTTATCATTGTTGAATTGCTACAGTAAGGCAAAAAAAATTCCCGAGCAATATGAATATATTTATTATAAATATGTAGGAGAAAATGCAAATTACACTTTAGTATCATAATATTAAGATGTTTATTTATAACTTTATGACATTAGAGAAAGCATTTGTTGCTCAGAAATCTTTGTCTATATATAACTACAGGTCTCTAATTTTATGAGAGAAAGGTTACTTGCCTATATTTATTGGCATTTTGTCAGTTCCAAAGCTGCTTCCACATTTTTAGGTATTTATTATAGCAGCAATCCACTTCTCAGTACCAATTTATTTCTCTTAGCTCAGGCTGCTATTAACAAACACCACAGACTGAATGGCTTAAACAACAGAAATTTATTTATCACAGTGCTGGAGGCTTGGAAATCAAAGATCAAGGTGCCAGCCAATCTGGTTCCTTATGAGGGCCCTCTTCCTGATTTCTAGATGAATGCCTTCTTGCTGTATTGTTATATGGCAGAGAGAGAGAGAGAGAGAGAGAGAGAGAGATCATCCCTATTGTCTCTTCTTACAAGGGCACTAATCCCATTCCTGAGGTCACCACCCTTGTGATTTAATCACATCCCAAAGGCCTTTACCTCCAAGCACCATCACACTGAGGATTGGGGTTTCAACACGTATATTTTGGGGGACACAAACATTCAGTTTATAGCAGAGATTCATCAAAATATAATGAAGCAGATAAAATATTCAACAATCCATTCATAGTGCCTGATTTATAAGTTTATTTCCACATGTATTTTAAAAATCATGCTTTATATAAATGATAATTTAGTATTAGCGACTTTTTCCTTTTAAATTTCACCAAAAAATATTTGATTCATCTTTAACACCCATGTCTTTGTCATTACTAGGTTTCTTAGTCCAATTGTTCAGAGTATGTCAGTTTCAATTCTAAATTGTCTGAGATGCAAACTTTTTTGAATCCATTGATGAACTTCCATGGGAAATTCAATTCCAAACTTCCCATTTGTTATCTCCACAATGTAACTACTTCTTGCATTGCTTTAAAAATTGATCTTTAAAAGGATTGTTTACAGGCCAGGTGTGGTGGCTCACGTCTGGAATTCCAGCACTTCGGGAGGCTGAGGCAGGATTACTTGAGGTCAGGAGTTTGAGACCAGCCTGGCCAAAATGGCAAAACTCCATCTCTACAAAAAAATATAAAAATTAGCCTGGTGTGGTGGCACATGCCTGTAGTCCCAGCTACTCTGGAGGTTGAGGCAGGAGAATGGCTTGAACCCAGAAGGTGGAGGTTGCAGTGAGCTGAGATTGTGCCCCTGTACTGCAGTCTGGGCAACAGAGCGAGACTCCATCTCAAAAAAAGAGCATGGTTTACAATGACATCCAATATTGCTACAGCCAAAAGTAACCAATACATCCTTATTATTTGCTCCCTCTTTTTAAAAAAAAAAAATCTCATTTCATCTGATGGTCTGTAATGATTTCAAATTAGCACGGTGATCATTATATGCTGGTGTGTCTTCCCCCAAATATTAATTAACTCTTCTAGATAAAGGAATTGAGAGAAAACTCAGTAATTTAGGAGACATTCTTAGGACTCCAGAAGTACTCAGCAACCAGAGGACATTAGACATTTGACATAATTTTGAGGCAAATCTTGGATTTAGAACCAGTCTCAACTTCCATTATCCTTTTCCTCCACCCATGGGATAGATACGGATTTCCTTTCACTCTCAGCTTGCTTCCTCACTCAGCAAAAACAAACAAACAAACAAACAAACAAAACACTGCACGGACAGATGTACTTGAAAATGATTTTGGAGAAATACAGGAGAAAGAACTCTACACTCATAACCTAGACCTGGATTCCAACCTTGTCTTTGCCACCAAGTCACCAGGTAATTGTGACTAAGCTTTTTCATGTTTTTAGCACTCTGTTTCTCATCCGAAAATAGGAGACTGAACCAAATAAACTCTAATGTTCTTTTTTTATTATTATTATACTTTAAGTTTTAGGGTACATGTGCACATTGTGCAGGTTAGTTACATATGTATACATGTGCCATGCTGGTGCGCTGCACCCACTAACTCGTCATCTAGCATTAGGTATATCTCCCAATGCTATCCCTCCCGCCTCCCCCCACCCCACAACAGTCCCCAGAGTGTGATGTTCCCCTTCCTGTGTCCATGTGTTCTCATTGTTCAATTCCCACCTATGAGTGAGAATATGCGGTGTTTGGTTTTTTGTTCTTGCGATAGTTTACTGAGAATGATGATTTCCAATTTCATCCATGTCCCTACAAAGGACATGAACTCATCATTTTTTATGGCTGCATAGTGTTCCATGGTGTATATGTGCCACATTTTCTTAATCCAGTCTATCATTGTTGGACATTTGGGTTGGTTCCAAGTCTTTGCTATTGTGAGTAATGCCGCAATAAACATACGTGTGCATGTGTCTTTATAGCAGCATGATTTATAGTCCTTTGGGTATATACCCAGTAATGGGATGGCTGGGTCAAATGGTATTACCAGTTCTAGATCCCTGAGGAATCGCCACACTGACTTCCACAATGGCTTCCACAATGGTTGAACTAGTTTACAGTCCCACCAACAGTGTAAAAGTGTTCCTATTCTTTGCAAAGTAAATGAATCATTATTATAATTCTATTTCAACAAAAGTATTAAATGATACTAATTCTTTTAAATTCTATGGTTGAATGTAATGAGTAATTAAATATGTTTCGCTAATTCTTCCTATTTCTACTTCTGCTACCTTAGGTTTTGGCTTTACAGCTCAGTTGCTTAACATGTTAACATCTATGTTTATCTCTAAAGTTTATCTCTAAAGTCTTTTTAAAGAATCAACTAAGCTTATTTTGGGTTAAAAAATGGCTATTGAGCTCATTCAGCATACTAGTATTTCAAAGCAACCAACAACTGCCATTTCCATTACCTACTTTTCATGTTAGGCTAAGAAGAGTAAAATTTACTGATGTTTTTCTAACCCCAGCTTCCCTACTGTGCACAATGAATAGTTAAGCAGAACATTTTCATTTCTAACTCTAGCCGTGAAGATTTCCCACCACTGTGACACAGAAGGATGCACACTTAAAGACAATACATTTATTTAGTGGATATGAACGTCTTTTGACTAGAAAAAGAAATAACAATCATCTGCAGTACTTTAAATAGCAAACATCTGTTTTTCCCAACATACTTCAAACACTTTGAATTTCCTGATTAGTTGTTATATGAGAACTGTATTTCTGAAAGACATAATGAGGCAGTTTAGAGATGAGCTTAAATGATCTTCAAAGCAAAGTGAAGAAAAATGCTCATGCTCTGGGTAAGGATGGTTAAGCCAGATCCACCATAACAGGAACAAATAAGAAATAATTCTTTCAACTATTTGCATTTAAACTGAAAGTTCTATTAAGTATTGCAAGCAAAGGAGGATGATATAAATGAGCAAAGCATAGAGAAATGAAAATATAGCACTATGGTCTTATATCATAGCAACAAAATCCATGATGCTATTAAAGCAATCTGTGCTTGACTAAGCTAAACATAAAAATATTTGAAGTAATGACATGAAGCATTTTTGTGAGTATTACACAAGTGCATGCGTACATCATGAGGTAGGTTCAAGAAGTGTATGTACAAACACATTTATGGGCAATTGCTCCAGTCTGAAGGCTGCAAGTTTATTGTGGCCACATCAGCCCTTCCTCAGGAATTTGTAGCATAAAATGAAGAGGATCATCTATTTTTTCTCACAAAATTTTCTAAAAAGTGCATTGTGTCAATATTTCCAGGTGACATTTGTTTTATTTTTAACCCATAATTTTTATCTGCTCCATGGTTTTAAAAATGTTTTTACTGAGAAGATAAATATCGCAAGTCAAATACCAAAGAATAACAACAACAAGGAAAAGAAATATAGACCCAATGAACAATGAAAGTTAAAGTGCTCTCACTATTTTTTAATCAAGCAAATATTTAGTGAGCATTTATTATATACCAGGTCTTGTACTAGGGGATGAGGATCTAGAAACAAAAGCTTTAAGGAACTCACAATCTACTCATGGATAAAAATACACAAACAAGTAAACAAAAAATTCTCAACACAACCAGGGTAATAAATGGAGTGTATAATGCATAAAGCACTCGAAGAGCACAGACAAGAGGGGAACTGATTCTGCCATGGAGTAACTGAGGCTGAGTTGAAGAGGGAACATGTGGACTTGACCTTCACATGTGAGTAAAAGACAGAAGAGGGCACTGAGGACACCATTTTTCAACTTGTATGAATAACAATAAAATTTTAAGAATCTGATACATTTATTTTTCTCAAGACCTTTCTTTAAACACCTATTGTTGCCCTATAGGTACTGATGGATTAATTTCCCAGAAATATTGTTAGGTTAAAAAAACACAATTATAGCATGTTATTATTTATATGAAAAAAGGGAGATTTTTATATATACATATATACAGTATACAGTAGTCTTGCCTTATCCACAGTTTCGCTTTCCAAGGTTTCAGTTACTCTGGGTCAACTGTAGTTAGAAAATTGGCAAGTACAGTATAATAAGGTATTTTGAGAGACAATGAGAGAGAGAGATTCCAGTAACTTTTTTTACAGTACATTGTTATAATTGTTGTATTTTATTATTAGTTACTGTTGTTAACCTCTTCTTGTGCTTAATTTATAAATCAAACTTCATCATAGGTATGTATGTATAGGAAAATGCATAGCATATGTTTCAAGCATCCACTGAGGGTCGTGTGCATGCATGCGTGTGTGTGTGTGTGTGTGTAGAGTATCCCTTATCCAAAATGCTTGAGACCACAAGTGTTTCAAATTTCAGATTTGGGAATATTTGCAATGTACATAATGAGATATTTTGGGGGTGCAACCGAAGTCCAAACATGAAATTCATTTATGTTTCATATACACCTTATACATATAGCCTGAAGATAATTTTATACATATTTTAAATAATAAATGTAACCATCACATGAGGTCAGGAGTACAATTTTCTACTTGTGATGTCATGTCAGTGCTCAAAAAGTTTCAGATTTTGAAGCATTTTTTATTTTAAATTTTCAGATAGTGATGTGCTCTCTCTCTCCGTGTGTGTGTGTGTGTGTGTGTGTGTGTGTATAATATTTTATATACATATAAAATATTATGTATTTCATATATATGTATATATACATAAAACCTGCCAGAGATGAAACACTGCTCAGGAAAGTATTCCATATTCTGAATTAAGACACCTTGCTTCTATTCTTACTGCTTTTTTTTTTTTTCTCATTTGGAATACTTTGTCCTTTTCCTGCAAAATACTCATCTTGCCCACCTTTCAAGGCTCAGTTCTAAAGCTTTCTCCTACATTAAATCTTATCTTTAAAATATAACTGGGCTGTCTCTTCTATGACTGAAAGTCCTATTTTGCTCTTCCAATCACAGTTTAGTAATTAACAGCTCTCCAAGGTTGTATGAGCTAGTTTTAACCCCCCAATTGTATTGCAAATGATATAGGTGGTATATAAGGTTAAGGAAGTAGACATGGTCTACTAACCTGGAGTTAGAATCAATAAACAGCACACCAACATTATAATAACCTAGTTTAGGAAAACCAAGAGTGTTTAACAAATTCATAAATTCAGCACTTATATTATGTACAAGCATTGTATTATGTACAAACATTTTGGGGAGGAAGTTGATGGCAGTGGGATAGGAAATCAAACCTCTTCCAGAAAGAGATGGAGTTTCATTTCCTCTTTTATTGAACAGTAGAAAATTAAATTATGGATAATCCATATGGAGAAGATGGCTTGTATGGTTGCAACTTTAGCTCCAAAATCTTAAAAAACAAGTGATATCAAATGCAAAACTGTAGAAGAACAGAATTTTCTCCACCTATTGTAAGGGATAAACTCGCCTATCTACAGAAAAGGAAACTATAAAATGCTAATACATATTACAATGGAGCATTTTCAGGAAGAAAACATTAAGAAATAAGGTACATGTAAATCAACTATGGTATGAACTTTTTTACTTTAAACTTTGAGTTAATGATATTTTCCTTCAGTTTTCACCATTGTTTCTAAGCTTTATTTTTTTTTTTTTACTGTCTGATAGTAAGCATCCTATGATGAATAAACAACAAATTACCAAAAACATGAGATTAGTAATGATTATGAGGAACACAACTTTGCCAACATGAAGAAATTGTTTCCTGAAGACATTCAGTAAATAAATAGAAGGAGACTTCAATCAGAAATAAACTCACAGTGTGATCTGAATTCAAAAGTCCAGAGAATGTAAACTGATGTCTATGCTGGTAAATCATGAAACACAATATCCTGAATACAGTTCAACAAGCAACTGAAATCTAAATGACAATATGATATGTGTTGGGAAGTTTAAATCTAATTTTATCATGTTTAGACTTAAAAAATATGCAGCTGTGAGGTTTGTCCTCACTTTTACAATTTGGGTTTATAAGGCTAGCAGTGAAAAGCTATTCCTTTTCTTCTAGACACTATATAGGAAATTTGGGTAAGCTCATACCAAGTAAAGAATCATGCTGGAGTGATGGCTTCGATTACCAAAATAGAGAGGCATCTCAAGTAACGCTTAGCTGACAGGTGCATACACTATTTATATCCTAATCCCTTATTTAACCAACCCAACAAAATAATCATTACAAAACTAATATGTGAGTAGAAAAAGATCTAAATTAAATACCAATACCCAGATAAAATTTAATATATTTCCCCATTAATTCTTCCTCACAGGTCTAACTAGAAAATGACCTTGGTATGGAAATCCTGCATAGTCATTACATTAAGAAAGGCATGTTAGTGCGTAAAGAGGACTCTTCCAGTCTTTGCCTTTATGCCTCCTGATAAGCTCTTTCTTTGCCCAGGTTCTCTGCACTACTATTTAGATCTGGTAACCTGGCTCCACACTGTTAGTTTCTGAAGGACTGAGAAATCCCATAATGCGATGCTGCTACTAGGATCGTCCCTAGGGTCCTAGTTCACCATCTCCAGGCTGGTTACATGGTAGGTGGTGCCACGCCCCAGGGCCCCAGTCCACAGAAACTACCAGCTGCTTTCCATCCCTGCTGGCTTCCCAACCAAGCCTACCCACTGGTCTTCTGTCCATCTGAGCACAAACTGCCTTTAATTTTTTAATAGAAAAATAATCTATTTTCCCACTCTCTTGCCAAAAGAATGTACACTTAAATATATAGATTGATTGAGAGCAAATAAAAACAAATCCATTTAGCAGCAAGACAGCCTGGGCAGAACAATATTTGAAAAATATAGCTAATATATTCTTCTGACACAGGTATGTTGGTCTGACACAGGAATACGGTAAGACAGATAATATTAGTTTCTCTAAAAAGAGGAGATATGGGTCAGTTACAAACATTTTAGTTGTAACCACAGGAAAGGTGAAGGGTCAGGTGAATTTGGGTTGAATGAAATATCAAGATACTGTTATCTAAGAATAGGAGATAGAAAAAGAAACTGGACACCATGTATGGGCTACCTCCCCTATGCCCCCAGCTGCCAATTCATTAGGCAGCTGTGTTCTATGGCAACTACGACTTCTAAGAGCTTCTGGTGCTGCAGGTTCACTCTCTGGCATTATCTCCTGAAAGCAGGGTATTAGATGATCATATGGCCCTCCTTAATTCCCTAACAAAGCTCCCTGGGAAAAAATAGTCTCAAATCCTCATCATGGCTTTCAAACCTCTCTACAATCCCACATGATCTATTCAGCTTCGTTGCCAAAGTGTCTTCCATCCTAGTCTCTGTTCAGCCCCTCTGGGGTACAATGGGATATACTATGCTCACGTGCTGTGATCCGCATGAAAAAGCTCCACCCTGGTTTCCTTTTAAGGAAAGACTGGCTGCCCAGCAGTGAGGAGTGTGGTATGCAGACAGCCTCCTGTCTCCAGACAATATCTGCCAGAGCCTCAGAGCCACTTGAAAATGGAGGGTGTGAGGAGAAAGAGGATCAAAAAACTACCTATTGGATACTATTCTTATTACCTGGGCGATGAAATAATCTGTACAGCAAACCCCTGTATCACACAGTTTATCTATATAACAACCTTCGCATGTACCCTTGAACCTAAAGGAAGAGTTAAAAATAAGTAAATAAAGATGTGGTCATTTCAGAGTTACTCTAGACTCCTCCCTGCTGGATAGCTGAGGCTTTGTTGGACCTAGCAGTTTGAAAACTTCCTCCCTCTTGCTTCCTTTCCCTTCTTTTCACAGACGCTGATCACTAGAAAAGAGCCTGCACCGCAGACTACATCTCAGCATCTGACCCCAAGAACCCAATCTGCAACACATACCTCCATGAATCCAATTCTCTTTTCCATTCTTGTGTATCTGTTAAATCATTCTCCTCCTCCAGGGTCTAACTCAATGATACCTCCAAGAAACATTTCTTGATTTTTTTTTTTTAGTCAATAATAATTATTCATTTTACTCTGTTCCCCGAGTTATGCTTATACTTCTATTTAGCAAGTCATTCATTTTTAAATGTATTAACATTAGTGGTTGAAATTTTAAGTTTATTGGGAGCATAGTCTGTGTCTTATTCAATTCTGCATACTCCACTAGAATGAAGGAATAAACTAATGCACAATCTGGAATCCTCCTTAACCTCTTTTTTCCTTTTCCATAAAAACTGAAATGAAATTCCGCCAATATTTCATCTCTGATATTTTACACATATGCCGAGGCCCCTTCACTTTTCAGCCATATGTTTTATTTAGGCTCTAGTTTTTGGTCTAGCCAAGCAAATCTACTTTGTATGGTACATGCCTACTCCTATTTTTAAGCCATTGCAAGAGATAATATCTACCTCCTTTGCCAATATGATCCTTCCTTCAAAATACTGCCGAAGATTCTCCTACTACGTGAAGCATTCCAGGGTACTGTCACCCAGCTTCAGTCACCTCAAGATCTCCTGGTTCATGTAATTTAGGTATCTAATATATGCCCACAAATCATTGTTCTTCATCACTTTTAAGTACCAATTTTTATGTTCCCTTAAGTCTTTCCTACGCTAGAATAATATTCTGTGTGGCAAATGAAATATATATATATACACACACACACACACACACACACACACACACACATGCATATACGTATATGCATATATATACGTATATATGCATATATATACGTATATGCATATATATATATTCTAGATTAATAATATATGAGGCTTCACTTCCCCATTCCCAAAATGTGTGCTGCATATTTTCTCTGCCCTCTCCAACACTCAACACTCCAGCCCTGGGCCTTCCACCACCACCACTGCCACCCCACCATCACCACTGCCACCACCCCCGTGATGGCCTTACCTCATAATTTATTGAGAAAATAAAAGCAACCAGCAAGACTACCTCTTCTTTTCATTACCAAAACTATTGACACTCCAACATCTGTAACATATTCCTTGCTTACTATCTTGCAACTATGGTTCAAAGTCCCTGCTTCCATTGTAGGCAAGACTCTCCAATTGTGTTCTGGACTCTGTCTTTAGGACTTTGTCTCCATAATTTCTTCTTTATCTTGTGTCATCAGTGGCCTTCTAGATAATGTCTAGCACCACACACCACCATGTTCTAGTGTCTCCCATCTTCAGAAAGCTCTTCTTTGGCCCCAGATTCCTCTCATCCTCCAGGAAAACTTACTGAAAGTGTTGTCTTTATTGCCTCTGGTAGCCATCTCTACTAGATTCACCTCACAATCTCTAATGAACTCTTCTTAGTCACACTTTAGTGGCCACTGCTGCTGAGCTTGCTCTTGATGAAGTCACTAATGACTCATACTGCCAAATCCAATGATCATTTCTCAATTTTTATCTTGTTTGACCTCTCAAGGTAATCAACATACTGGGCCACTTTAAAAACCACAACAGAACAAAAACCCAAACTCTTCTTGTAAAACTTTCTCTCTTTTTTTTTTTTTTTTTGGCTTCTACAACATCTGATTCTCCTGCCTTTTCTCCAACTCACTGGGTGTTCTTCCATGTCCTGTACTGATTCTTCCACCTCTGCTTGATCTCCAAATGCTTTTGAGTCTGGAGTGTTGTTCTTGGGCCTCTCCTCCATCCTCCTAAGTGTTCTCATCCAGAAGCTCAGCTTTAAGTCTTATCTGTAGGCAGACAACTCCCAATTCTTGATCACCAGCCCTCATTTTATTCTTCACTGAGCTCCAGACTCACGCATGGCATTCACAGGCTGATATCTATTTAGTATCTCAAATTTAACACAGGCAAAACAGAAGTCTTAACCTCTCTAATCTTTTCATCTGTACTATAGGGGAGCATCATCCTCCTGGTAGTTCAAGTCACAAATCTAACAATTACTCTTGACTCATTTTTTCTCTTGCTTTTCACATCCAATCCCATCAGTAAGTGCTGCTCCCTCTACCACCAAAGCATATCTTGAGTCTATACAAGTCTCTCTATTTCCACTATCACTACCCTCTTCGAAGTGACTGACTCCTTCACTTATACAACTGCAAAAGCTTCCTGTGAATCTCCTTGCTTCTGATTTTGGACACTTAAATTCTCCACAGAGCAGTCAGGATGAGTTTTAAAAACAGATTAGCTCACTCTGTTACTAAAACCCTCACATGACTTTTCCACTGCACTCACTGTAAACATGCTTAGCTTGCAGAGCATCTCCTACCCACCCACTACCTAAGTCCCGCTCCCATCCACCTTGCTGCACTCACACGGGCCTCTCTGCTCCCTGCACTAAGTGTATTCCTGCCTTAGGGACTCTTCATTTTGCCTCCTCTATCTAACATGTTATATCCTCAGACTCTGCCTGACTTACTCCTCTTATCATTCAAGTCTCATTTCAATTGTCACCTCCATAAAGAGATCTTCCTTCATCACCAAATCTAAATTAACACTTCCCCTCCCCTACAAAGGCCCTGTTACATCACTCTGTTTTACTCTCTTCCTCTTACTTATGTTCATTTCTCAGATGTTTTCTGCCCTATTTCTTCCCTCTTCCAAGAAGACAGCCACCTTATCTATATTGCTCATCACAGTATCTCTAGTGCCTAGAAGACATGGGGCATGTAATAGATGCCCATGAATGCACATAAAAGATGCTCTATGAAAAATGCCTCTTGTAATTTAAAACTAAGAAAAATCCTTATATACTGAATAATTGGTATATTTTCTTCCAGTAAAAAGAACTGTATAATCCACTATGTTTTTCTTTTTATATTGACATGTAGGAAGCCCACTGATAAATTTAATTTCAATATCAGCTACTGTATTAGTCTTGAGTCAAAAATTTCTTTAGGGACTTTGAATTTCTATTTTCATTTTAATAATTCTAATGCATCCAGATGTTTTAAGTCATTTCACTTAAGATCCTTTCTAGAAAGAGGCATATAGGTATATAAGTAAATAGAAATGAAAGCTTGAATGTTCTATAGTTGTCCTTTTTTTCTTTATACACAAAAGAGTATACTAAACAAATTGGTAGGTGTCACAATACTGAAAATAACTATTATTATAGAAGGTGGAAAATCTGTCTGAAATTTAGTAAAATCATTTAGTTTACCTGAAGCATTGGAGGGGTGGTAAGTTCACTATCATGAAAAGATTCAAGGAAAGAATGAAGAGCCACTTATTAGGGATGTTGAAGAAGGGGTTCATTCATATAAAGAAGTTGGATTAAGTGACCTCAAAGTCCTTTCCAATCCTGAGATTCACTGACTCTGTGATTCAACTCTTGATGCCAAATCACAAAATAAAAAGTTCAGCTTTAGACCTTAGTGATAGCATATAATGCACTATGTGGACACACACCACACATTCTTATAAATTCTAAAGTGTTGTTATCAAGTAGACATCTCAAATCATTGTGACAACACTGTGCTGTCTTCTAAATGTATGCCGTTCTCATATTTGCTTCTTGTTGAATTAATTGGTATGCTTTTTCTAATTGTATAGGAGACTTAAATATACGAAGGTGGGGCTCATTATCATAGAAAATTATGATTGAAAACCTATAGAAAAAAAGAACACAAAATTTAAAAAAAAAGTAGGTCCTGTGTTGTAAAAATGTCTGCAAGAGGTTACAAACCATTTTGATTTGTAAAATAGTTTGGAATAAAAAACCTATGTCCATAGCACTTCCTTTGAAAACTTTTTTATAAAGTCTCAAATGTAGAAGGAAATGAAGAGAAATAAAAGTAAATAATTGCCCCAAATGGCTAATTCTTCAGAATGCAAATGTGAATTGAAGATGTGCTCTAAATCTGGCATTTACATTCTTCATTCGGAATGGAGCAAATGGCCTAATGTGATTAATTATTTATTAGCGTGACTCTTTTCCACAGAAAGATATAGGTTAACACTCATCTTTAATATTTGTGGCCTCTTTTATTCCTCAATATATGAGCTTGTTCTTTTTTCTATTTTTTTTTTTTTTGCACTTTAAAATGTCACCGTCTACAAGTTATTCCTGATAATTACGCAAATAACCTAAAAACTCTGTAGGCACCTTTAAATCAAGAGATTTTTTAAAAAGTATTAATTAACTATGCTTTCTATGTGCCAGGCACTGTGCTATGTGCTAGAAACACAAAGACAAACTAAAGAAAGTTTCTCCCCAACAAAGTTTGAAGTTCAGTAGGAGAGGCAGATAATAAAGAGATTAATGTGATCAGTGAAATTAATAGTTATTGATGAGGGCTCTGGAAAAAGGAGAGTGTGTCTAGTACTGATAGGAGTAAGAAGAATGTAGAAAAAATTCAAAGCAGAGGTGACCCTTGCACTCATACTTGAAGACATTCCAAGAAGAGCCAATAGTACACATCAAAGTATGAGAGCCTGAGAACACTTATCCTTTCATTGTAGTCACACTTGAGTTCTTTCCATTCCTCAAACATTCTAAACTTGTGTCCATCTCAGGGACTTTGCATTTGTTATCTTCTGCCTGAATGCTTTGACCCTAGATCTTTGCATGGCTGGCTCCCTCTTGTCATCCAACTCTTACCTGCCATCTGCCCAAGAGCCCTTAACAACAGCCCAGTTCCCCATTCACTCTCAACCATATCATTTGATTGTATTTATGTTACAGTATTTATCACTATTGAAAGTAGCTTTATTCATTTCTTTGCTTTATATAATTGATGTCCTATCTAGAATCTCAGGTCTATGAGAAGCCAGAAGCTTGTCTGTTTTGTTCATCAGTGTGTCTTCTGAGCTGAGAAAAGTCTCTGGTATATAATGCATATTTGCTGAATGCATAAATAAACTATCATCTTGGCCTCAAAATTAAGGATGGACTCAATCCTGAAAAAGACAGAATTCTGGCAGGACAGAGTTGGTTAGAAGGAAAGCAAGACAGCATTTAAAAGACGATTTCAGTAACTCAGCTAAGAGATTATTAAAGCCTCAACTCAGGCAGTTGTCCTGGGAAAGCAGAGTTCTAAGAGGTAAAAAGAAGACAAAATCTGCAAGGTTTTAGGACTATTATATATTCAGGGTAGAAGCAAGAATCTAGCACTATTGTGTTTAACAACTAGTTTGATTGTAGTTACATTCACCAAGGGAGGAAACACCATGAGAAGGAGCAAGAAGGGTATAAAGGGCAAAGGAGCTCATGAGTTTAGGCTCTAAAATGTTGAGTTTAGGATGCCCATGGCACATCCAGGTAGAACTATCAAGTAGAAAGTCAGAAATATAAATATATTTCTGAGGCTTTTTGAAATACTGATATATTTCTTTTAACTAAAACACCTATATAAAGGGGACATTTTGAAAGAACATTAAAGTCTAGTGGAAAATTCTCTCTTCTGAAAAATATCCTCTGATCACCCCTGGAGTGAATTGCAGGCACTCTTCCTTGGTGCTCCAAGAGTAGTCTGTGCACTTATAATACCACGTTGTAGTTAGTTGCTTGCTTGGCTGACTCTTCAGTTAAGCCATGAGCTCCACTACATACAGCTGTACATTGCAGACCTGTGAGTAACAGTTTTGATCATGTCACACCAGTCCACCGGTACTAATTTCTCCAATGAGTTCCCACTGCCTAAGAATCAGCTCCAAATGCTTTAGCATGGTATTCAAAGCCCTACATAATTTTGTCCTAACATATCTGCCTAAACAATCTCACTCTGCGTTCTCTAAATGCTTGAATAAACTCTCTGCTGAGCCAAACCAGTTATGTACATTTCTGCAGGGTCTGAATATTGATTCTGTCATGCCCTAGAATTACTCCAACTCAGGGATGATGACTGGCACTGACAAAGCTCACAAGAGACTGATGTCTAAAATCAGAATGCCAATGAAATAATTTACATTGAGAAATTTAACTGCTGAGCCGAACTGATGTTCATGTTGCCCTGACCAGTTCATTCCTCCCTGTAGGCAAACTACATGAAAAACCTAATTATCAAAAGGTTGCTTGATGAGTGTGGAGTCAGAACAAGGGGAATTGCATGAATAGAATATCTGATGGCATCCATCTCTGCTAGCCTGTGGTCAAGAGAGCAGGATCCTTACATAGGATCCTCTCATCAATTTGACTTGGTGCCCTAATCTGGAGAGTTCTTGGATGGACAGAGTTGTTTGATCATCATTTGTACTTCTCTTTAGATATGTTAATAGATTGAATAAATGTATCATCAAGCCTTGCTGGACTAGAAGCCTTACAGGTCTCATTATGGTGACTATCTACATCTGTGCTTTAATTATGTGTTAATTTCTAGTTTAACTCTTAGAAAACAGTGCTATTTTCCAAATTCCTAAGTTTGGAAAAGTGCCTCCCATAAATTAGTAGTCTTCTTTGCTCTGTGGCCCTGCCCAGGAATCAGCACCTCTGACACCAGCCTCAGAGTGCCCGTCCTTCCCTGAAATCCTGCAGCAGCCTTTGCTGTGGACCACACATTTGGTGCACAGCCCATGTTACTTGTGCTTGCTCTTTAGCTTTTCATATGCTTGTGGGGTCTTGTCATCTGGTGTGTAATTTCCCTTGGAGGACAGAGGTGTGCATTCAATATTTGTGTGAGTAATTAATGATGAGGTCTAGATTTTCATTTTTTTCTTAGTATACCACTGGTTATAGCACCTATTCCTTGGACAGCGTTCTGTTTGTAAAATGTATGGTTATTATTATTATTATTTTTTGAGACAGAGTCTTTCTCTGTCACCCAGGCTGGAGTGCAGTGGCATGATCTCAACTCACTGCAACCTCTGCCTCCTGGGTTCAAGCGATTCTCCTGCCTCAGCCTCCTGAATGTGAGATTAAAGGCACGCACCACCACACCCGGCTACTTTTGATATTTTTAGTGGAGACGGGGTTTCACCATGTTGGCCAGGCTGGTTTCCAACTTCTGGCCTCAACTGATCTGCCGGCCTCAGCCTCCCAAAGTTCTGGGATTACAGGCATGATCCACCGTGCCCGGCCAGAATATGATTATTTCTTTCACAGCTATGCTTGACAATGTCAGCATTATTTAAAATTGCATCCTTTTTTCAGGATAGTTTACGTATTTAAAACAAAAGGAAACAAACTCCATCTCTAAAACCCGAGATGATAATATGTGGCCTTTATTACAGGATGCCAACTGTAGCAATTTGGACTTTATTTTCCTAGACTTGGATCACAGGTCAAGCAAATGGTCATACAACATTTTAATGACTTTGACCTAATATAAAAAGAGAGAGATAAACAGAATAGGCTGAACTTTTTGTATGAGGACCTGTAAATCTTTGACCTCCCTTGACACAGCATACTTGGATCCACACCATATGCAGTGTCATGCCCCCTGTAGACATGTTATAAAAACTAATTGACTTGAAAAATAGTATGAGGTGTATTCCATGAGACCTAGTAATGCAAATAGCGCAGAGAACTCTGCTACTACTTTCCTGTTAGCAGAGTATCTTATTTAGGAATATAAACCCAATATCACACCATTGGCATCTGAAAATGGTTGAGGGTTCAGATAGCATCTTAGCAAGAACTTTAAATATAGACTTAGAAGTCCTGAAGTTTAAACCCATAAGTGAAGCTTCACTTACATATGCTGACTGTTTTGTCTCAAGTGTAATAATGCTATGGCCGTTACTCAGCCCCTTTTGAAGTTCATCCTTGTATTTATCCCTGGATTCTATGTCACACTGCTTCCTTCCCATTCTTGTTTTCTTTCCTTCACTCCTTAAATAAATGTGTATAGTACCCCTTACTCTATCAGAAGAATTATGCTAGTTGGTAATAATACAAAGATGAGATGTTCTCTTCCTCAAAAATAAGTGGGCTTATCAGTAGGCTTCCTACAAGGCAGTACAGGAAGAGAAACAGTGGATTACATGGTTCTTACCTAACAGAAGAAAGCATACCAATTCTCCATCAAATAAAATTTAGTTAGGTCTACATTATGAGATGAATTTCTCATGTAGCATCTTATCGGAGAGCTTTCATTTCTTAGTTTTCTATGTGTATTCAATTCCAATGTCTAATGCCAAGGATAATGCTGAATATCTTTTTCACTAATCAATCATTTTTTGATTCTGTTGAATATCAGGGAGAAATCTTGGGGCCTGAAGATCTATTTTGTGAAAAGGGCCTGGGGAAACACCTTAAACTATCAAAATCATCTTCTCTTGGTTATTGGACAATAGCTCTCATACACCCAGTTCTTGGTAGATGGGAACAAATGAGACACTGAGTTCACCTCTCCTATGCATGACCATCATCCCTTCGCCTTTTCTCAAAACAAATTCAGTTGGGTGGTGACTAGGCACAAAATGCTGCCCTTGTGAACTGAGAGAAGAAAGCAGAACATAGTGGACTGACAAGCAGAGAATGCTGTAAGAGTCTGTCTGAATATCCAATAACATTTGGGATTTTTCAGGAGAGCTTCATGATGTAAGCACAAGGTGTTATTAAAGCCAGTCCTGCTGCTAAAGGCAATGTGGAGAATTGGGGGCTTCTTATTTGCTCCTTAAACACCCCAGTTATTTTCCCGGTAAGGACAGTATAGAACCCTGCTGTCTGAAAAAGTTACAAATAGGCCAACTATGTCTTCCTGTATTTATGCCTCCCTGGTTTTACAATGCTTTCCTCCATTCTTGGATTGAAGGCAGAGGAAGGTCTGCCCACAGAATGACCAGCTCACCTTTGAAGGTCTTTGTGGTGCCGGAGGCATCACAAAAGGCCCCAGGTAAAAATAAATTACTTTCCTCACAGTGATTATCACAGTCGTTTAGACTTTACCTGAACTACACGGTTCCGTCATTAAATTCTACATAATGGAAGACAGGAGATCTCACCTCTTTTACTACACCTAAAACCAGCCAGGCATAATTCTGCTCTCTTATCTATGGCCTAGAAAGACACACCTGTAATCTGTATTTCCTCTTTCTAAATGTGTCAGCCTATTTATTATAATTATTATTACTGTTGAATCTGATTTATACCTAAAGTTCCCTTGAAGCCAACAGGCTACATTCAATGCTTACAAATAAGTTATTGTAAAATGGATGTAATCATAGTAAAAGTAGCCACTACACTGAATGAGGCTGTTTGTATACTAGACAACAAAATGTATTCATGGTGTTACCATGGAGAGAATGGAGAGGTTTTGGACTCATTTTAAAGAAGGTGCCTTTATTCTAAGTATACCTTTAAATGAGTAACCTGAAACAAATGACTTGTTTTTTTACAAAATTAGAACAAACTGAATATACGTCTCTTTAAAGCTGGGCTATTACAGGGACATAACAGTAAATGCTAACGTACATACTGATGGTTGGCACGTGCAAATGAGCATGCTGATCGCTAGTTCACATCACGGTTCATTATGACATACAACTGACAGAAATCAAAGTTAAGCAAAAAACAGCCACCAACTGCACAGTCTTCCCTCCATATGTAGACATTTTACCTCACAATCCCCTTTGTTATTAGCAAAAAGCTTGCAAATAGAGGCTAAAATAAATAATAAGAGGACTATGAATTACTGGCTAATTTTAAAATGGCACAGAACCTTGGAGAGGGCAGGAAGCACCAGCTGAGATGAGTACATATTTCCCTAGAGCATTTTAAACTATCTTAAAGTGCACACGATGCATTGGTGAATGACTGCCTCTGAGAAAGCACTCTGATCTTGGAAGCTGAGCAGCACAAATACTTGGCTTGGAAGAAGTTGGCATGGCAACTCTGCATTTGCAATGGTGAGTCCCAGAGTAAACAGGTGCATAAAACAACTACTTGAATGAGTTTGCTTCTCTACAAAGTGGTTAAATCTCATAAAGCATTTTTTTTCACTTCTCTTTTTGAAAAGTACAAACACTTAGTTTAATAATGTAAGGCAGTTCATTTGCTAATGGGAGAAGATATTCATGACTCATGGAAAGATTTATTCTCTGTACTTTCCCTGTGTAAATAAGGTGACATTTAGGCAGAAATATATCATTTTCCCCTCACAGTAGACACAATTCTCCACTGACTGGAAAACAGTACCTCCCCCATCCCCCAAAGCTTTCTGTGTATGTTTAAAAAAGCATATTCCCCAAAAAATAATTGCTTACCTGTTGGCAACAGGCCCCTTGAAATCTGGGTCATATGTCCTTGGATCACCTGCATTTAAAACAAAGACATTTTAAGCATATAAGCCAGCAAATAAATTAATATAAAATATTAATGAAGAAATATCTACATATTGGTTAGTCCACTGCTCAGTGCAGTGATGAATTCATACTTTGGTTTGATGAAACATAAGTATGTCTTGGTTACAGTTGTCAATTCTTTCTCCTATCTCCAGCTTAGAAGGAGGACTGGGAAGAGTGGTTAAGGAACATATTCCATATACCCAGTGAATGTATCCTCCCACCATACTGAGTACCAACATTAAAGATTGTATCCAGGGTAGCAAAACTTGAAGACTTTATGGTCTGCAAAACAATTTTACCATCTTCCATCACCAAGTGTTGCTGAGGACTTGTGAGGTGCACATTTCAATATGAGATGCCTCCTTATCCCAGCTCTCCCATTCCTCTCAGTAGATTAGAGTTTCCTTCGAGAAGTTCAAATACTAGGTACTGTTGGTCTCTATCATGTTGGCTGTATGGTACATAAAAATTAATGTTCTATTATAAAAACATTTTTATTGCAGTTTTTTCAATCTACTGGCAGACTTCATGCCATCTGGGAAGGTGCCCTTGTCACTTTACTGCATTATGATTGTGATATATTACCCTTTTCTTTAAACAGTGAAAGTACATATGGAATGGCTTTTTTCTCCCTACATGTACTGTGTGGGCAGACCCAGTAACAAATTATGTAAAGTCATTGCTGGCCAAGGGTGTGCATTTTGCAATCCCCGACTTCTTGACTCTTCCCCTACAACCTAAGCACTCCCACCTGTTCCTCTAGGGATTTGTCCCTATAAAAAGGTCTGGTCCTGAATAAAAGATAAAATTTTCCTGTTTGAGACAGTTGATTTGTACTTCAGTGCCAAGTTCTCTAGCACACTGTCTGCTTCTCTTTTTTGGACAGCTTATCTGAATCTGCCTCACTGCAACAGATAATATTAAAAGTGTTTAAGTCTACTTTATCTGAGAACTGACCATCCCTCTGTCCCCCAATCCACAGGAGTAGGTCTTTAGTAGTGACATTTCTTCTTTGTGCCTGTTTTCTGGCCATGGCCAACTGGATCTGGTTCAGATATTGGATCCAAGCTGGGCCAGTCAGATTCTCAATCCCAGGAATTTAGAATTAGAATGGACAACGAGTTATTCTCAGTAGAAGACTGGAACTGCAAAATATAAACCTCGCAAACAAGAGAAGCAGAGAAATCTGGCTTTCAGAAAGAAGTTATTGAAGTAAATGTTCAAAGAGAAACAGAGACAATGGTCCTAATGGCATTTATCTTGTGGTCTAGTTCCTACCTGAAGCCCAGCGTTGAGTTTCATGAGATACCTTATAGTCTTAAACTGCATTCCCTTTTCTCACTTTTAACTAGTTCAAATTGGTTATATGTAACAAAAGAGCCAAAGAGTCCTATTAATAATTCGTTCTCTCTTGGCTTACATTTTAACTATTTATTTTAACAACATTTTTTGGATCCTTGCCATGAACACTGGTGTGAGGATATGAAGAGGAATTTTTCAGACTAAGTCTGCCTTTATGAATCTCATACTTGAATAAGAAATATAAGCTCGAGAGGGCCGGACATGGGTGGCTCACACCTATAATCCTAGCACTTTGAAAAGCCAAGGCTGGTGGACTGCTTGAGGCCAGGAGTTCCAGAGCAGCCTGGGTAACCTGGCAAAACCTCAGATTAGCTGGGCGTGATGGTGCACACCTGTAGTCCTAGCTATTCCAAAGGCTGAGGCATGAGAATCCCTTGAACCCAGGAGGCGGACGTTGCAGTGAGCTGAGATTG
The DNA here is from genome assembly GCF_000001405.40 of Homo sapiens. Taxonomy (NCBI): domain Eukaryota; kingdom Metazoa; phylum Chordata; class Mammalia; order Primates; family Hominidae; genus Homo; species Homo sapiens. Next base: position 75,341,438 of record NC_000001.11, read on the forward strand.
TGGCACTGTACTCCAGCTTGGGCGAGAGAGCAAGACAGATGAGAGAAAGAAAAGAAAGAGAAAGGAAGGAAAGGAAGAGAAAAGAAAGAAAAAGAAAGAAGGAACGAGAGAGAAGAAGGAAGGAAGGAAGGAAAAAAGGAAGGAAAGAAAACATAAGCTGGAAACATCATTTCAACACTGTGTGGTAAGAGCTGTGATAGAGAATGCTGTGGGGCACAGGGCGGGTCACGAATGAACAGGCTTCACAGGCTCCTAACACTCAGCTCTGGCTTCATTTTCTGCTCATGCTCTGACCCTGTGCTCTTTGACTTGAATCTTTCACTCTGATGTTGAACAGTAATATTTGCATCATTCCTGGTTCTAGATTTCAGTTCCCTAATCTGTCTGAATAGCTGAAATAGCTCAAAAACTTTTAGGGGTACAAGATTCCAACAATCCCCCATATCAAATATTCTAATTCCATAGATCTGAGGAATGGGCCTGAGAATCTGTATTTTTAGATGACCCACTAACTGACTCTGATGCACAGACAGATTTGGGAACCATTAATCTATTTGATTTTAGTCTCAATTTAATAAGTACATCCCAGTTTACACACTGTCATTATGTCTAGTTCTACTTAACAGACCAACCTAATGGAGAAAATGAGGAGAAAAGCAGGTCATCATGATGTGTATGAGTTTTGGGAGACACTACCATTAGATGTGAGGAGCCAGTGAAAGAGTTTTAGGAAGAGACACAGACATTCAAGAAAGTCAAATAATTTCAAGAAAAAGGAAAGATCATAAACTCTATAAAATTTATTCTTATTTGTACCAGGGACTACCGTAAGTTCTTTACATGTAGGTCTGCCATCTTGCACAATTCCACATAGAACGCAATGTGAATTGTACTTCTCTGAGCACTGCAATGCAATAGCCCTAGTGTATTTATTATGTCATTTAATGTTTCTAAAAATTCATGCCATTTCAATGTAATAAAATATGCCATTATTATTATTCTATTTTACAAATGAGGAAGTTGGGGTACAGAAAGGTGAGATAATTTTCCCTAGCTCACTCAGCTAACAAGAGGCGGAGGTGGCATTGGAAGGCAGACTGTCCAACTCCAAACAAAGCCTGTGTTGAACCATTTAGCAGTAAGTTACTCACTGGTCATTTTAAAGTAATCCCACAGATGAGTAAGGAGAAGACAGGTTTAAAGGGGTTAACAACTTCTATTGATTTTGTAATTATTTGCTGTTTACATTAAAGGTAGGCAAAACCAGCTTAAAAGTATTTAGGCTGGCTTCCAATCTTCCTGTGATTTGTACCTCACCAAGTGAGAAAGTGGATTGCAGTGTAAATGAAATGCCATTGTCGAATCTGCCTGAAAAGCTGACATTTTCTGATTGTAAATACTGGCTGCTTTATTTTTCAGTTGAAAATACACCAAAACCAGTCAGATGATAAGATTGAGCTGATTCTGTATAGTAATGACAGCTGGAAAGTGATTACTTCACCCTGCCCCCATGTGCTGTCAGAATTTGTATTGTCATGCAAATTTTTTATATCCTGCAAATCAATAGAGGGCAGTGCTTTTATAGGGGCCCTCACGTACTCTAATTGCGTCTCTGGAATAAATAGACTGAAGGGCCAGCTAAATGAAAAAAGCCACAGTGGTTCGCTGTCATGTGGCTTAGCTCCTTGAATGCAATTCATATTTCTCACTTAAAGACAAAAAACCCTAAAATTATATAATATTTTATAAGCTTCTTAAGTCATTTGACTTTCTGATCACCAAGTTTATTGTCTTGCAACAGTAAATTTAGAATCATTGAAAAACATTTATAAAAGACAGCTACACATTTGTTGTGGTGGTTAACAGTTGGTATTGCAGCCATACAATGCAATTTCCAAACCAGAAATAATTCATGAAGATTAAGGAAAATAGTTCAGGTAACTAATTCAATTCATAGGGGCAGATTTCACATGGCTCCATTGAAAGCAAATGGCAAGATAAAGCAGCCAGTGATGCTTAGAAAGACTCTTTTCTTTAAAAGTAATCTGTTTCTCAAAGAAAATGACAATATAACTACCATTGATAAGCTATAAAAAGTAAAAATCCAAAACATTTGATTTTATTCCTGCAGGAATATTCTCCTTCTGAGAACCTAATATTAATTCAGAGAGCAAAAAAGGAACTCAGGTGGGATGAATACATGTTCTAGAACTTAAAAGAGACCTACTGTGAGTAAGCAGGTCAGATTACTTTCCAGTGAACATGGAAAAATGGAGCAGTACAAAATTAAGACTTTAATATACAACAATAGCCAGCAGAGAAATGTGAATACTTAAGTACGTGTTTTGTTTTATTTTTAAAACATGCTTTATAGTATGTCTATAAAAGAGGGCCTGTCATTTCATTCAAAGAAAGGGTTCTGTTTTCCTCTAAGTCCCACCAAATAATAAGGAATCATGTTCTTAGCCATTTCTTACAGGATGATGTTCCCACTTCTTAGCCCAACACACATGGCTTTTTACGATATGGCTCATCTCACCAGTCTTATTTCTTATAATGCCCCTCTTTTAACTTGATCTTATGCAATTCTGTACTATGTATGGTTCCCCCCTTTTCATATTCATATTCTGTTCCCTCTGAGCAATGTGACTTTCTCCTCCTTATTCCCTTGGTGATGGCTAAAGGAGGCCTACACTTCCCCTCACAAACTTCCTACTGATTCTCAAGAAGGACAAGAACAAAGACATTCTACTGGCCACTGTGCCAAAGTGGGCCAAAGTGAATTCCACCCACTTTGACAGGAGAAGAATCCTGAGAACTTTCAAAGAATTCCATTCCAAAGCAGCTAATTCCATTAATCTCTGAGACACAGTACTTCCATTTGCATTGTTGAGCTTAGGACACTATAATACAGGTTATCTGTTTTCATGTTGTGGTAGACAGAATAATGGCCTCCCAAAGATGTTCACATCCTAATCCCTGGACCCTGTAAATGTTACCTAATATAAGGAAAGGGATTTTGCAGATGTGAATAAATTAAGGACCATGAAATGGTGAGATTAGCCTGGTTTATCTGGGTGAGCCCAATGTGATCACAAGGGTACTTCTATAGGGAAAAGGGAGGCAGATGAGTCAAAGAAGGAAATGTGACAACAGAAACAAGGTTGGAAAGATGCAATGTTAGAAAAACTCAACTGGCTATTTCTGGCTTTAAAGATGTAAGAGAGTCATTAGCCAAGGAATACAGAAGCTTCTAGAACCTGGAAAAAGTAAGAAAATGGATCTCCCCTGGACATCCTGCTAATCCCTTGATTTTAGCTCATTGAGATGTATTTTGGACTTCTAACATCTAGAATCGTAAGATAATAAATTTGTGTTTTTCTAAGCCACACTTAGAATTGTGTGGTAATTCATTACCACAGCAATAGGAAGCTAATACACATGGCTATTTATCCTACTGGATTACTACATAGTTTCTCTAGGGCAGAAATGAGATCTTGGTTATTTCTCTGTTCCTGTTACCTACATTAGTGCCTGTTGTACACATAGCAGGCATTCAGTAAATATTTACAAGATAAGTTTTAAAAGAATGTCAATGTAATTTTGATATCTTATATATTTAATTTAGATTATGAAAATACAACTAAAGGATCAATCTTGGCAGTCACCAGCAAATCACTTTAGATAAATTTCAACTTAGATTAAAGGAAGTTAATAGACTCCTAGAAGTGCACCGATGTGAAAAATTACTCCCCTTATCACCAACACTAATTCAGTATCTGATTGTAATGTCAAGGCAAGTAGAAGCTGACAAAGGAAGTAAGGGAGAAAGTATCCCATATTGGTGAATAAAAACTGGGTATCAAATTAACTGGTATAAAATGTTATTTCTACCATCTATAAGCAGTATGATCTTGGGAGAATTACTTTTTGCCCCTCTAACCTTCCATTTTTTCATCCATAAAATGATAGATAATGGAGGGAAAAAAAGTTGGGAAACAATTTCTACCTTCAGAGGGGACCAACTAATATGGGAAACAGTAAAATGTAAATTACCCACATAACTAAAGCGATCAGTGTAGAATCAGTACAAACCAACTTGTTGAATTGACACGTTGGCTACAAATAATACCAATAATTCTAGAAGGATTTCAGTGACTAAGCTGGGTGTGATGGTTATGGAATAACTTTTAGAAGGAGAGAAATTTTAACCATACTTAGAGGAAAGAATGTGTCATGTGTGAAAGCTAGACAACAGCACATACTTAGCTGTAACAAAGAGCTATGCCTAGGGAACAAGACATGACAGCAGTTAGAGGAATTAAGCACATTACCAGGAGTTGGAGAAGGACTTACACCACCCCCAAAGTCTTCTAAATAAGCAACATAATTGTTATGTGTTTATATATTTGATGCAGAGGAAATAAGAAAGTTAAGGCAGATGAATCAATGAGGAAATGGCTGTTGTATTTCAGACATAAGATGGTAGATGCCTGGCTGAGGCTGTAGCTGTGAGAGAGGATGAGGTAATTCAGGAAGCATTACAGAGGAATACATTTGTTGGGGGTGAAAGAAAGGGCATGGTACCCTACATCATCACCTAATGATGACAACGCCTCATGCAGAAAATGATGAGCATTCCCAAAACTCATCTCAGGCAGAAACATGACCCCACATTGGACATGGCATGATTAATGGAAATGCAAATGAGATTCCTTCAGCACTGATTTCAAACCAAACAATACAGTGGTATCATGACCTATGATGGTTGTTTTTCCTCCCAGTCTGAGTAACTTCCTAAATAAGAGATGATGAATCACCTTATATTCTACCAAGAATGTCAAATCTCCTGTTTTAAGAAACATTTTCCAAATCACTAGGATGTTTTTTAAGTAGTTTGCATCATCATTTGAAATAATTTGCTCTATATGAACACAAATCATAAACAATTCAGTTATAACCTTAGAAGTAACAACTAAAAGAAGCACCTCAAAAGAAAAAATATATAAAGCACTCAGGCTGCCTCTTAACAGACTGATTTTATAGGCAGTGCTGAAGAATGGACGTTTAGGGGGCATTTGAAATGCACTTTTGAAAAACTGATTTTTCTTGATTAGTGTGACAAAGCAGTGAATTTGTGCTATAGAACAGCCATGAATTATTGGATAATCACACATCATCTCAGAATAAATAAATTCTGAATCAATAGTGATTTAAAAAGAAAGTCTGGAAGCAAACAAGAACATGAATTGAGCTTGAAGGTTATCAACTTGGGTTTTCTAACATTTCTTTCTAGCTATATTTGTATTTTATTGCTCAACATGAATCACTCAAAAAAAAAGACCTATGAAATACTCTAATTACATTGAAACAATTCCTTATTTTCCTCTAGTTTCAAAGGTTATGCAATTCATTATCATGCCAGGCCCTTTTCCCCTACCTTCTAAAAAAAATAACAACTTCACAATTAAAGATGGAAAACGAACAGCATACGCATTCGCCCTAAATATAAAACAAGTGACTTCATCTTGCTTTTCTGAGTGCGGAGTTCAGGCAGCGGCACAGTAAATGAATAAAGATTGGGGAAAATGATAATTTTCATCATTAAATAAATATAAGAATTAAGTTCTTCTGTAAGAAGGGGAAAATTGTCTTTAAAGTTATAGCCAAGTAAAAGACTTTCTATTAAACTTAAGAATAAATACCACTAAAGAAAAACAGCAAGAGTTTGTCAGTTTATCACAAGTGCCTAAAGCAGTTTGGTAGCTAGTGATAACATCTCTCCTGCTTCCTCATATCACCCACAGGTTATTGATGAGAATAAAATTAAACTGCTTATCAACTCTGACTTTTGCCACAACTCAAGAAGATAGACGTTAATAATCACTGGGAAAACATCCCTATTCCTGGGCCTAAAGTGTAGGAAAGAAAACATGTTTTAGTGCACAATTTCTACCCACAATACATCATGATCTAACAAATAAAAACTACAGGTGGAGTATTCTATTAGAATCTGTATCACATGGATGCTTCTATTTACAGGGTAATTGAGCAAAAATGGTGGTAAACTACGATCTCTCACCAATGGGTCAGGCCAGTCACTTAGAACTATAAACAGGAGAAACAGCAGACAACAGAGATACATACAACCTATTGTATTATCCATTATAAGCTGTTATTGAGAGAGAGAGAAAGAGACAGAGAGAGAGGAGAGATCTTCTTTCCCAGGGCTAAGGGAGTGGTGGTGAGTGTGTGTGTGTGTGTGTGTGTGTTACAGATTAAGATAATCATAAGAAATAGATGCCTAGAGCTGATCTCACCCTCTTTTGGAGTTGTATCTCCTTGGCTAAAGTCAAAGATACAATAGCCTGGATTTTATATACTTGTAAATTCTGTGGACCATATGTGAGGCAGAAATGTCGATGAAATTTTTTTCTCACAAAATGGATTTTTTGTAAAGAGACTGAACATATTGTGAACTAATTGTCAAAAGAAAACCTTGGGATTATTTCTGTTATATTCTGCATAGATTTGGAAGAGAGAGTGAAAGACTAGAGAAGGAAAACCTAGCATTTAAGAAAATGGATTTGCCTCATATTCTTCCATGATGCCAGTAGTAGAAAACTGTGAGGATAAATCTGCAAGGAAAAACTATACCTGCTAGCTTCAATTCCAAAAGTATTGTAGGCTCCCTTCTCTCTCTCTCTCTCTCCTCTCTCTCTCTTTCTCTCTCTCTCTCTCTGTCAAAGCAACTAAAAATTTGAGATATAAAGCTTAAAGAATATCTTAAAAGCACTATAAAATTGACAAAATAGTGGAAAAATATCAGGCCAAAATACAGGAAAAGGGAGAATCCAGAGAAAGAAAGACAGTACTAAAGCTATTATAGCCTCAAAGATATTTATCAACTTAGCAAATTCCATGAGCAAGGGGGCCAGAAGACATAACCTAGAGGCTGTTCAAGATGAGGGCTCAAATAGACTGTCCCTCCATACAGTTGGAACTTTAGAGAGCTATCCCTCAGATTAAATCCACCATAGCCTTAAGAATGGTGGCACTAAGCGAAAAGATGAGGAAAAACACCTCATTTGAATTTGCAGTGTATGTGAAGTAATCAAACTCTATTCCACCTGTAGGTGCTCCTAGAAAACTGACAGATTAATAACAACAAAAGACCTCTGTTGGAATGTACTTTTATTCTATGTGTTCTCATAATAGTTTTCCAAAGAAAATAGGCAGCTCACACAAAAAAAGCTACATCAGGAAACAAGACACCAAGAAAGAACTAGATCATTAGCAAACAGAAATAGATATATGAAGTCTTCAGATATTTAAATTATTAGTCCTAGTTTATAAAACAACTATGTTTACTGTTTTTTAGAAATAAAAGACAAACTTGTAGATAAATGTGAAGAACTATAAAGTTACCTAGTAGATTTGAAAATGAAGCAAATTGAATCAAGAAACGAAAGTCACAGCAAATGAAATGTAAAACTCGGTAGATAAATTTGACATCAGATTAGACACAGCTGAAGAGACAATTAGCAAACTAGAAAGTAAGTCAACATAAATTATTTAGAATGTAGCATAGAGAAATAAAGAGATGAAAAATATTAAAAAATAATTGCTGGGCCAGCTGTGGTGGCTCACACCTGTAATCCCAGCACTTTGGGAGGCCAAGGCGTGTGGATCACCAGAGGTCAGGAGTTCTAGACATGGTGAAACCTCATCTCTACTTAAAATATATAAAAAATTAGCCAGTGTGGCAGTGCACACCTGTAGTCCCAGCGGCTTGGGAGGCCGAGGCAGGAGGATTGCTTGAGCCCAGGATGCAGAGGTTGCAGTAAGCTGAGATTGTGCCACTGCACTCCAGCCTGGGAAACAGAGCGAGACTCCATCTCAAAAACAAACAAAAAAAAAGTAGTTGTTACACTGAGGATGGAATGTGAGGATGGAATGCGATGTTCTAACAGATATCAAATCAGATTTCCAGAAATAGGGAATAGAGATATAGAGATGATGGAGACAGGCAATGAAACAAAATAGCCACCAACATAGAATTCTATATCTGGTGAAAATATGTTCAAAAGAAAGGGTGAAATAAAGACACTTTCAGGCAAAACAAATGAGAGTTTGCCCCAGCAGGCCCTCACTAAAATATATTGTGTAATGAGAGAAGAAAAAGTAAGCCAGATCAAAGACTTTTGATGAAAGAAGAAATGCAGAGTGAAGAACTATGGAGAAAGGAGAATGATCACTTATTATTTAAAGCAATAATTAATAAAGTCTTGTGGGGTTAAATAAAATGAGAAAATTATGGCAATAATATAATACAATCCAAAAATTGAAATATTATGGACTTTGGTATTATTTAAAAAAAGGGTAAAATATGAATGCATTTTAAACTTTTATAAGTATGCAGGCTGCAATTTTAAAAGAGTAGAATCAGCATACATTACTTCCAGACTAGTAGAGGAAGGAAAATAGAATAAGAAATTTGGTCCATCTATAATCAGGTAAGAAAGAAAAGGAAAATAAACATAGACCAGTCTGGGAAATAAGAAAGCACAACATAAGATGATATATACTGTTATGGACTGAATGTTTATGCCCTCCCAAAGTTTATATGTTGAAGTCCTACCGCGCCCCCCCCAACTCCAGCCCAACTATGATGTTATTTGGAAGTAAGGGCCTTTGAGGGTGGTAGGTTTAGATAGAATCATGAGAGAGGGGTTCCCATGATTAGATTAGAGTTCTTATAAGAAGAGGAAAGGAGACCAGTGGTCTCCCTTTGCCGTGTGAGGACACAGCAAGGGGATGTCTGTCTACCAGCCATCTATAAATCAGGAAGAGGGCACTCAACCAGAATCACAAATCAGGAAGAGGGCACTCAACCAGAATCAAATCAGCCCACACCCTGATCTTCAACTTTTCATCTCCAGAACTGTGAGAAATAAATGTGTACTGTTTGAGCCACCCAGTCTATACAGTATTATGTTATAGCAGCCTGAGTAGGCTAAGAAATATACAAGCTCAAGTTTATTTACAATTACATTCAACAGAAAGGGACAAAATATGCCTGTAAAAGATAAAAGTGTCACACTAGATAAAAAACAAAATCCAACTATATGCTATATGTATATACAAAAAACAAGGATAGAAAAAGGTTGAAACAGACTGGGCCTGGTGGCTCACGCCTGTAATCCCAACACTTTCGGAGGCCAAGGCGGGAGGATCACAAGGTCAGGAGTTCAAGACCAGCCTGGCCAACATGGTGAAACCCTGTCTTTACTAAAGACACAAAAAATGAGCCAGGCATGGTAGCATGCACCTGTAATCCCAGCTACTTGGGAGGCTGAGAAAGGAGAATCGCTTTAACCCAGGAGGTGAAGGTTGCAGTGAACCAAGATTGTGCCATTGCACTTCAGCCTGCGTGACAGGGTGAGACTCCATCTCAAAAAAAAAAAAAAAAAAGACAGAAAGAAAAAGGTTGAAACAAAAGGATGGAAGAAGATAAAGCATGTGAATTTTAACCGAAAGGAATGAGTTGAAGTTGATCTCTAGAAATCGAAATTATAGTAAAATATATTACTATTAGGTTGGTGCAAAAGTAATTGTGGTTTTGCCATTGAAAGTACAGCAAAACTCGCAATTACTTTTGCACCAACCTATAGCAATAAAGAGGGTCATTTCATAATAATAAAGGTTCAGTTAACTAGGAAGATGTAACAATTTTAGTTACATGCACTTCATAACAAAATTCAAAATGTGAATGTTTAGAACCACAAGGAGAAAGAGACATAATCATGGTAAAGATTGTAACACATTTTCTCAGTAATTTATCCAATATTTTGATCAAAGAGACAAAAATCATCAGTAAGTGTACACTCTGTTCAATAAATGGTGGTAGGACGATGGATATCTATAAAGAAAAAAAATAATAAACTTGGACATTACCTTATATCAGGCACAAAAATCAATCTCAGATAGAAAAGCCTGAAGTGAAAGGGTAAAATTATAAAGTCATTATGACCTCAGAGAGAGGATTTATTAAGCAGTGCACAAAAAGAACTAGTTATAAAGTGAGTCTATTTGTAGAGAGACAGATATAAGGTATTTTTACGTTATTGGAAGCATCAGGCTTTCTTCCTTCTATTACACTGGTATCAGTAAATGAGTTCTAATGTAAGGGAAAGCATTGCCACACTTGGCAAGATAATGTGCTTTGATGTACCCGACTCTACAAAGATGTTCTTGAGGATGGAACTAGAGTGGTTGTACTGAGAGTGGTTTAGAAATCCTGGCCACTTTAAGAGTCTTCCATTCCAGTCTTTGAGATTCTAACTGTCGCCCCACCCCCCCAAACCATCCCCCAAAAGCACTCATCATAATGAATAACACACTTTACCAAAAAAAAAAAAAAAAAAAAAAAGAGAGAGAGAGAGAAAGGAAAAGAAAAAGAAAAGAAATTTTAGTCATGGAAAGGCTCAATAAAGAGAGGGATAACATTGAATTACTAATATCTAGAATATGTAAAAAATCCCCCTTTTTTAAGCACTTTAAATCAAAAGAACCTTGAAGCAAAACTGGAATCTGTTCTACTATTTTTGAAAAACAGGATTTCTTTGGAGTACTGATAAAAGACTAAGAAGGTTCTTATACCCCATAAGTTATCTACCTAAGGAAGGAAAAAACAAAGATAAATTCTGTGTTTTAAGATACTTTCTGTGCTTTATGTTGTCTTCTTTGTCTCTTTTTTTTCTTCAACTTTTATCTTAAGTTTCAAGGTATATGTGCAGGATGTGTAGGTTTGTTACATAGGTCAAAGTGTGCCGTGGTGGTTTGCTGCACAGATCAACCCATCACCCGGGTATTAAGTCCAGCATCCCTTAGCTATTTCTCCTGACATTCTCCCCCACCGCCAGTCCCCCAACAGGCCCAAGTGTGTGTTGTTCCCCCCGATGTGTCCATGTGTTCTCATTGGAGAACTTCTGTTTTTTGTTTTTTTTTTAAAGACAAAACTTTATAAAAACATGAGCAAGAGACTTGGATAGGAACTTCAGAGAAGAAAATCCAAATGGTCAATAAATAATGAAATCATATTCAATCTCATTAGCAATTAGGAAGATATACATTAAAACCACAGAGAAATTATTATATACCCCCCAAAGATGCATAAAAATTGAAAAGCTTGATAATATGATGTCTTGACAAAGATATGGAGTCTTATACACTGCTAGTGAGAATAAAAATTGGTAGAAGTGTTTTCAAAAAGTTTGGCATGATCTGACCCTATAAAAGAACAATTTCAGTCCTAAATATATACCCCATACTACGTGTATGTGCATTAAGATACATGGATAATACGGTTCATGGCAGCAGCATTTGTAATAGCCAAAAATTTAAAACAATCTAACGTTTTTGAAAAGTAGAGAAGACAAATAATGACATAGTCGTACAATAGGATACTAAACAGTTACTTCTTTGCTAAAGTAATCACTGTCTAGAATTTCATGATCATCATTTATTTGCTTTTCTTGTAGTTTACTATTTCTTATACATTCCTAAATAATATAATTTGTCTATTTTTGGCTTTATATAGATGGAATCAGATGATACGTGCTTTTTGCTCTTATCCTTATGTTTGTTAGATTCATATGGCCATATGTATGTTCTCTCTCACTCTTTCTAAGACATACCCACACACTCACTCACAAAACAGAAGAAAATGAAAGGTTACATTTTTCCAAACAAGAAATCCAAAACATGTTAGCAATATTACTTCAAAGACTCAAGTAATCCAAGTTCAGAGACTGAGACAGTCCATTCAGTGAGCCAACTGAGCATCTGCTATCATTTTGATTACAGCTGGAAATCTGTGTAACTTTAGCAAGTCACTTCTCTAACTCAAGATATAATAATTTTTTGACTATCTATTAGTCCTCACACAGGTTTTGTTTATTGTCAGCCATCCCTACTCGAATTTAAGAGAGTCAACTTTAAGAGGGCAGGAACTTTGTCTGTTTTGTTCATTACTGTATGCCCCACCACTCAGAACAGTGGTTCTGGATCATAGTAGATGCTGATTAAATATTTGCTATGAACAAATAATGAAATTTATCTTAGAGCTGTCTTTTTAAAAAATTATTTGTTCTGCTACTTTTTATTCACTCTCCACACAGGCTGATGCCAGTTAGGCTTTTCATAATGCTGCTCATGCAACCATTGGCTAGAATGCATCATAAAACTGACTTAAGAAGTGTTCTGCTTTCACATTTTAAAAGTCTAAACAGCCAGCCGGATTTCCAACTTACTTTCTGCAGAGAGATAATGATGACAAAGTCACAAGGCAGGATTAATATGTACACTTCTAAGCAATTTCTAGTCACTTGGTTGCTTCAGTTATATTTCTGCCAGTAGTCATTCCCTCCTGCTAAGGCAGCTAAGGAGGGGTGGCACCTCCAGCTTTCGGTTCAAAAACAGTAATATGGGGTAAGGTAGAACCTATTCTCAACACTTTCCAAGGATTCTTCTTCCACATTGTATTCACTTGAAGGCCTGCAAATTAACACATGACCTTTCACTCACTACTGATTTTTTAAATGAATGAAATGTTTTAGAATCCAAATATAAGTTAGCAGAGGGATTTTAGAACAAAGTTTCTATTTCTAAAGAACATATACAGGTTATATGTGTGGAATCACTATAGATGTCTGTTTCTCTAACCATAAATTCCCTTGATCATCCTAGTGCCACAGGAAAGTCTCTTAGAGGACTGAGGCTGAACCCTTTAAAGCTGTGTGCAGGTGGGTGTTCTAGGCATTCTGCAGATAATTCAGGTTATTTCATTTCCAATCATTCCCCAAACTTCTTGATTGGTGGAATACTTGAATTAAAATATCTGGAAGTATTGGGAGAAAAGCTGTGTTGGGAGAGAAGCTGAGGCAGGGCTTACATATCCCATAGACTTGCTGGCTCCCAGCTTCTAGCACTCCCATTATCTCAAGCAGCCATATGTTTCTCATTCACTTGATACACTGTTTCCTTTCAACCCCCACATCCTCACTACCTGTTTCTTTGTTTGAGCACCAATAAAAAGCGTGGGCTCCCAGAGCTTGGGGCCTTTGCAGCCTCCACACTCACGATGGCCCCCTGGTCCCAATTTCTCTCTCAAACTGTCTTTTTCTCATTCCTTTGACTCCGCCGGACTTCGTCACCCCCACGACCTGGTGTTGGGTCTGATCACTCCGACACAGAAAAGCTTACAAAAATCAAAGTATCATCCAGTGGCCCAATCAACTTTCGAGCTCTTAAGTAAAACCTCCTAGGTCTTCTTTTTCTCCCAGGAATTTTCCAGAATTTCTGAGGTATCTATTTTTGACTCAGATCTTTTAGGTAGCCCTATGTTCTCAAGAAGAAAGGAGCTCCGGGCTTCTTTTCTGTGCCACAGTGGATTCTGACACATGGGATTCTGACACCAATCCAAGGAGGGTCCACTACCTTCTTCTACTTAGGTCAACATTAAAATTGAGAAATATTACTTCATTATGTCATAATGTATATCTGTTTCTCGATGTCCACTTTCCCACCACTGTGTGTTATCAGTTACCGTCATAAATGAGAGGTTGGTAAGATGTGCTTATTTATTTAGTAATATACATTTAGTCAAAACTTTTAAAGTATGGAATTCTCTGTGTTTAACCAACAAAAATTTCCCATACACATTCTTATTAAAGAAAATTTTACAAAGAAATAAAACCAAGGTTGATGCACATGAAGACATAAAGAGCTCTTAACTAATTTAAAAAATACTGTATAAAAATTATAAACTGTATTTTGTGCTAGGAACAAAAGATATAGTAGAAAGAGCTAATCAAGATACAAAAAGTTTATATTCTAACACTATGTTTTTGACTCAATATGTAACCTTGAAAAAATCATTTTGCTTTCTTATGTCTCAGTTTCTGTTAAAGGAAGAATATAATCCATACACTACCTATATCACAACTGGAAAAGTCAAATGAGATCATGATGTGAAATTATTTACGATATTTCCATTAATGTGAGAAAGTACTGTGATTATTACTGTTACATATTAAGTGACATGTGAAATGTCTGACAAAGAGGTCCTCAATAAAAATTAGAGTTATGCATCACATAATGATGCTTCAGTCAATGATGAATCACATACATGAAGGTAGTCCTCCAAGAAAATAATGGAGCTGAAAATTTCCTATTACCTAGTGACTTAATAGCCATTGTAACTTCATAGCACAAAGCATTACTCATGATTGTGATGTTGGTGTAAACAATACTATGCTGTCAGTTGTATAAAAGTATCACACATACAATTATTTACAGCCACGATACTTGATGATAATAAATGACTATGTTACTTGTTTATGTATTTACTATACTGTATTTATTTTTTAAAAAAACCCAGTAAATTGTAAAACAGTCTCAGGCAGGTCCTTCAAGAGGTATTCTGGGCCTCTTGAAGTCAGTGGCTCATGTCTGTAATCCCAGCACTTTGGGAAGCGGAGGTGGGCAGATCATCTGAGGTCAGGAGTTTCAGACCAGCCTCATCAACATGGTGAAACCCCATCTCTACAAAAAAATACAGAAATTAGCTGGACATGGTGGCGGGCACCTGTAACCCCAGCTACTCAGGAGGCTGAGGCATGAGAATTGCTTGAACTCAGGAGGCACAGGTTGCAGTGAGCTGAGATAGTGCTACTGCACTCCAGCCTGGTGACAAAGCAAGACTGCCTCAAAAAAAAAAAAAAAAAAAAAAAGAGATATTCTAGAAGAAGGCCTTGTTAGCATAGGAGATGACAGCTCCGTGCATGTTATTGCTTCTGAAGACCTCCCAGTGGGATAAGATGTGGAGGTGGAAGACAGTGATATTGGTAATCCTGACCCTGTGTAGGCCTAGGCTAACATGTATGTTTGTGTCTCTGTTTTTAACAAAAAGTTTAAAAATTAAAAAATATAAAAATAGGAAAAAGTTCATAGAATAAGGATATAAAGAAAGAAAATTTTTTTGTACAGCTATTTATGTTTTAACCTATTATTACAAGACTCAAAAAGCTTAAATGATTTAAATTTTAAAGTAAAAAAGTTACAGAAAGTTAAGGTTAATTTATTATATATTATACATTTTTAATAAATTTAGTGTAAACTAAATACACAGTAATATACAGTAGTATCCTAATATACAGTAATGTCCTAGGCCTTCACCTCACTTACCATTCACTCACTGACTCACTCAAAGCAACTTCCAGGAAGTCTTGAAAATTAATTGTAAGTGCCGTATTTACAGGTGTGCCATTTTAAATCTTTTATACTGCAGTTTTACTGTACCTTTTCTATATTTAGATATGTTTAGGTACAGAAATACTTGCCATTGTGTTACAATTGCCTACAGTATTCAGTACAATAACATGCTGTACAGATTTGTAGCCTATGAGCAGTAGATTATACCATATGGCCTAGGTGTGTAGTAGGCTATACCATCTAGATTTGTCTACGTACATGCTATGATGTTTGCACAACAACAAAATTGCCTAACAATGCATTTCTCAGAACATATTCCCATCCTTAAGTGGCACATCGTTGCATTTCCTATCTTTTTTCTCAACTCTTCTCCTAAGAACTGAAATCAATTTTAATTCCCACATCCATGCCATCCAATCCATCTTCAGTTATCTTACTTGCAGGAATTTAGAGAAAGAAAAGAATTAACGTTATGCCTTTTCTTGGCCTTAGTTGCTGGTGTCTTTCCAACCTCTAAAAGAACCAAGAGCACTTCCTGTATATCGTCACTAAAAGCTCTTGAACTTGGAGGCTCAGGCAGCCTGTGATACTATTCATTGATAGAGAGCCCTTAAAATGTGAACGTGTCCTGACCAAAAACTTCCATCTAAGTTCATTTCAACCTCTGAAAAGGTTTCTCTGAGCACTGAGTAGAATTGAAATTTCACTGAGTGCTTTCTCTGTAAGGCCCTATCAGAGACACAAAGATGGATAAGAAACAACTCCTCTTGTGAAGCAGAAATACACAAATGTACAAAGACTGTAACACAAGAAGTCAAAGAGTGCTTAAAGAGGAAACACAAAGGCCCTGGAAAATGTGAGGGAAAGACAGCTCATATTTAGCTGTGAAACCAAGAAAAGCCTCATGTAAGGAGGTGGTCTGCAAGCTGGACTTTGAAAGAGGGTTAAGAAAATGGGCCCAGTGGGTGGAGGAAGGAAAACTTGGGATAGAAAATCCTGTGTGTCAAGGAAATAGTGAACCATGAGGAGAGAAATGGATAATTATGGTCATAGTTTAAATTAAACACTTACTCAAATCAGCTAGTTTTCTTTCTTACTAATTTAACTTTAACCTTGCTCTCAAATCTCATTACAAAAAGATAAGCATGCGTCAAAGAGTTATATGTCACACATCACTTCCAGAAAACCCGTTCCAGAACTTTAGAAATGTTAGAAAACAACTTGCCTTTAAAATTTAACATGGTTTTTGCACTAGTCTGTTTCTAGTTCTGTGCTTCTTCAATGTCACTTACACACACACACACACACACACACATACAATACACACAACATAGTCCTGCATACTATTGCTTAGGAAAGATTTTTACTACATTAGCTACTTTATTTCCTGCCAGAAACCGTATCTGATTCATTGTTTAAGTACTAAATAAAAATATAAAGAGAAGAACAGAACAGAAAATTGGTAAGTTTGAACAGTCAGGTTTTTCCAGTAGATACCTCAGGAAAAAATACTTGAAATAATGTAAATCAACATACAGTGAATACATGGGGCACAGGGGAAAACTGTTATGAATTAAAGATGTTTGATAAGTGTGCATGCCATATTTGGTATATTTAACCTTTAGCTATTGTTGTGCTAGTGCTATACTTTATATATTTAAGACTCAATTTGGTATGTTAGTCAAAGTTTTGCATTGCATTATTTTTTAAAACTTTTTTCTAGCTTTATCAATGTATAACTGGAAAATAAAAATTACATATATTTAAGGTATATAATGTGATGATTTGATATACATTGTGAAATAACTACTACAATCATACTAATTAAATCTAGCATCTCACATAGTTACCATTTTGTGTGTGTGGTGAGAACACTTAAGGTATATTCCTTTAGCAAATTTCAAATATATAGTATAGTATTATTAACTGTAGTCACCATGCAGTACTTTATACCCCCAAAATTTATTTTTTGTAATTGAATAATTTTTTATTAACATTATTTTTAACCAACAAATCATAATGGTGTACATTCGTGAATGGGATATGATGTGATGGTTCAATACATGTATACAATGTAGAATGATTCAATCAAGCTGATAAACATATCCCTTATGCTTGTTATCATACTTTGTGGTAAGACATTTGAAATTTAACCTATTTTGAGATATACAATGTATTATTGACTTAGTCACCCTGCTGTGCTATAGATCTCAAAATCCTATTCTTCCTAAGTGAAACTTTATAACCACTGACCAACAATTTCCCATTCCCTCCCTTCCCTCCCCTCCCCCTGCAACCTCTGGTAACTACCATTCTACTCTCTCTTTTATGAGTTTGACATTTTGAGATTGCCCATGTAAGTGAGATCTTGCAGTATTTGTCTTTTTGTGCCTAGGCATATTTCACTTATAATGCCCTCCAGGCGGCTCCATGTTTTTGCAAATGACAGAATTTTCTTTTCTTTTTTTTTTTAAGGTGGAATAGTATGCTATTATGTATATATGCCATTTTCTTTTCTTTTTTTTTTTTTTTTTTTCTTGAGACAGGGTCTCACTCTGTCACTCAGGCTGGAGTACGGTGGCGTGATGTCAGTTCACTGCAGCCTCCACCTCCTGATCTCAAGCCATCCTTCCTCCTCAGTCTCCCAAGTAGCTGGAACTACAGGGGCATGCCACCACGCTGGCTAATTTTTGTATTTTTTTTTTTTTTAAGAGACAGAGTTTCACCATATTGCCCAGGCTGATCTGGAACTCCTGGGCTCAAGCAATCCACCCACCTTGGTCTCCCAAAGTGCTGGGATTACAGGCCTGAGCCACCATGCCCAGCTATACCACATTTTCTTTATCCATTAATCTGTTGATGGACACTTAGGCTGATTCCTTATCATGGCTGTTATGAATACTACTGCAGTGAAATATGGGACTGTTGATAACTCTATAACATATTGATTTCAATTCCTTTGGATATATACTCAGAAATAGGATTGCTGGATCATGTGGTAATTCTATTTTTGGTTTTTTGGGGAACTTCCATACCATTTTCCCATAATGACTGCACCAATTTACATTCTCACCAACGGTGCACAGGGTTTGCTTTTCTCTACATCCTCACCAACACTTGTTATCTTTCATATTTTCAATAATAGCCAACAGGTATAAAGTGATACCTCACTGTGATTTTAATTTTGCATTTCCCTAGTGATTAGTAATATTGAGCATTTATTCACATCCTGTCAGTCATTTATATATCTTTTTTTGAGAAATGTCTGTTCAGGTCCTTTCCCTATGTTTTAATTGAGTTACTTGTTTCCTTGCTACTGAGTTGTTTGAGCCTCTTATGTATTTTGGACATAAATTTCTTATCAGATGTATGGTTTGAAAATAAGTTTTCCCACTCGCAAATTGTCTGCCTTTTCACTTTGTTAATTACTTCCTTTACTGTTCAAAAGCTTTTTATTTGATGCAATCTCATTTGTCCATTTTTGCTTTTGTTGGCTATATTTTTGGGTTCATATCAAAAAAATCCATGACCAGACAAGTGTCATGGAAATTTTCTTCTGTTTTGTTCTAGTAGTTTTATAGTTTCAGGTATATATTTAATTCTTTTGTCCATTTTAAGCTGAATATTTATTTTATTTCATAGACGGGGGTCTCACTTTGTTGTCCAGGCTGGTTTTGAACTCCTGGCTTCAAGTGATCCTCCCACCTTGGCCTCTCAAAGTGCTGGGATTAGAGGTGTGAGCCACTGCACCTGGCCAGTTGTTTTTTGTATATGATGTGAGATAATAATTCAATTTAATTCTTCTACATTTGGATATCCAGTTTTCCCAACACTACTTATCAAAGAAACTATCTTTTTTTCCCATTGAGTGTTCTTAGCACCTTTGTTGAAAATCACTTGAATGTAAATGTGTGAGTTTTATTTGTAGGTTCTCTGTCCCGTGCCATTGTTAAACGTGTCTGTTTTTAATGCCAGTGTCATGCTATTTTGATTACAACTACTTTATAATATATTATGAAATCAGGGGGTGCAATGTCTTTGGCTTTGTTCCTTTTGCTCAAGACTGTTTTGGCTCTTCAGGGTTTATGTGGTTCCATAAAATTTAACAATTGTTTATCTCTATTTGTGAAAAATGCCATTGAAATTTTGATAGGGATTGCACTGAATGTGTAGAGCACTTTGCATAGTATGAACATTTTAACAATATTAATTCTTCCATTCCATGAACACAAGATATCTTTCCATTTATTTGTGTTTTCTTTAATTTTTGGCATCAGTGTTTACAGTTTTTGGTATACAAATATTTCCCCTACATGATTAAATTTACACCTAAGTATCTTATTTTTTGTTGCTAGTATAAATGAGATTTTTTTCTTCATTTCCTTTTGAAATAGTTTGTTATTTGTGTATAGAGGTGCTAATGATTTTTCGTGTTGAGTTTGTATCCTACAACTTTTCTGAATTCATTTACCAGTTTAACAGTTTTTTGGTGGAATCTTTACAGATTCCTATCTTATGTATATAAGATCATGTCATTAGCAAGCAGACAATTTCACGTCTTCTTTTCCTATTAGGATGCCTTTTATTTCTTTCTGTTGCTTAATTGCTTGGTCTAGGACTTCTAGAGTTATGTTGAAAAGAAGTCATAAGAGTGAGCATTCTTATTTTATCCCTGATCTTAGAGGAAAAGCTTTCAAGTTTTCACTGTTGAAAACTTCACAGTATGTTAGTTTCACTATTGAAACTTTCACAGTATGTTAGCTGTGGGCTTATGATATACAGCCTTTATTGTGTTGAGGCACATTTCCTCTATACCTAATCTGTTGAGAGTTTTTATCATAATAGGGTGTTAAATTTTGTCAAACGCTTTTGTGCATCTATTGAGATAATCATTTAGTTTTTGTGCTTCATTCTGCTAATGTAGGGTATCACAATTTTTTATTTGCATATGTTGAATCATCCTTGTATCCCAAAGATAAATCCCACTTGATCATGATGCATAATTGTTTTGATGTATTGTTGAATTCAATTTGCTAGTATTTTGTTGAGAATTTTTGCATTTATGTTTATCAGAGATAATGGCCTGTAATTTTCTTTTTCTGAGGTGTCCTTGTCTGGCTTTTTATCAGGTTAATGCTGGCCTTGTAAAATGAGTTTGGAGGTATTCCATTCACTTCAATTTTTTGAAACAGTTTGTGAAGAATCAGTATTAGTTTTTCTTATTTTATCCCTGATCTTAGAGGAAGACATTTTGTTACTGATTAAATCTCCTTACTTATTATCGATCTATTCAGATTTTTTATTTATTCTTGATTCAGTCTTGGTAGATTGTATGTGTCTAGGAATTTATTTCTTTTAGGTTATCCAATTTGTTGACATATAATTATTCATAGCAGTTTCTTATGATCCTTTGTGTTTCTGTGGTTATCAGTTATAATGTTCTCTTTTCATGTTTGATTTTATTTATTTGAGGCTTCTCTCTTTTTTAATCTAGCTAAGGTTTTGTTGACTTGTTTTTTTAAAAAAATGTTCGTTTCATTGATTTTTTTTCTATTGTTTTTCTAGTCTCGCATTTATTTATGCTGTGATCTTCATTATTTTCTTCCTTCTACTAACTTGAGGCTTATTTTGTTCTTCTTTTCCTACTTTTGTGAAGTCAGATGTTAGATTGTTTATTTGAACTCTCTTCTTTTTGGATATAGGCATTTATTGCTATGAATTTCCCTTTTAGAACTGTTTCTGGGGCATCCCATAAGTTTCTATACATTGTTTTCATTTTCGTTTGTATCAAGGCATTTCTTGACTTCCTTTTTTATTTCTTCTTGACTATTGATAATCAATTACCCATTGGTTATTCATGAGCATGTTGTTTAATTTCCACATATTTTATATTTTCTGAAATTCATTCTTTTATGATTTCTAGTTTTGTACCACTGTGAACAGAAAAGATACTTATGATTTCACTCCTCTTAAATGTAAGACCTGTTTTGTGACCTAAAATATGACCTATCTTGGAGAATGTTTAATATGCCCTTGAGAAGAGTATGTATCCTAATCCTGTTGGACTGCATGTTCTTTAGACATGTTAGGTCCATTTGATCTAAAGTGTAAGGGGGGTGAGTATAAGTCCACGCGAGTATAAGTACAAGTCCAGTGTTTTCTTTTTGATGTTCTATCTAGATGATTTGTCCATTGTTGAAAGTGGCATATTGAAGTCCCATAATATTATTGTATTGCAGTCTATATTTCCCTCAGTTCATTTAATTGCTTTATATATTTAGGTTGGGTGCATATATATTTACAATTTGCATATCCTCTCGATAAATTGGCCTTTTAATCATATCTTTGTCTCTTTTTAAAGTTTGTAACTTTAAGTCTATTTTGCCTGATATAAACATAGCTACCCCTGCTCTCATTTGGTTTCCATTTGCATGGATATCTTTTTCTATCTTTTCACTTTTCACTCTATGTATCTCTTTACTAGTAAAGTAAGTCTCTTGTAGGCAGTATAGAGTTGGGTCTTATTTTTTTAACCCAACCAGTCATTCTGTCTTTTGATTGGATAATTTAATCTATTTACATTCAAGGAATTATTAATAGGTAAGGATGTATTATTGCCATTTTAAAGTTATTTTTGGTTGTTTTGTAGATTCTTTGTTTCTTTCTTGTCTTTTTTGTGGTTTGGTGGTTTTCTGTGGTGGTATGCTTTGAATCTTTTCTTTCTGTTTTGTGAAACTACTTTAGGTTTTTAATTTGTGGTTACCATGAAACTTATATAAAATATTTTATATTTAGGCTGTTTTAATCTGACATCTTAATTCTAATTGCATACAAAAATTCTATATTTATACTCACCTCCTTATATTTTATGATATTGACTTCAAAATGTACACCTTTTTGTGATTTGTATTTCTCAACAATTTATTGTACCTGTAGTTGTTGTTAATAGTTTTGTGTTTTACCTCTCATATTAGAGATAAAATTGCTTTCCACATCACCCTTACAATATCAGAATATTTGGAATATAATTATGTATTACTTATTTGATTGACTTTTGTACTTTCATGTGTTTTATGTTGTTAATTAGCAGTCTTTCATATTAGCTTAAAGAACTTTCCCTAGAAATTCCTATTAAGAAGGCTTAGTGGTGATTAATTTTCTTAGTTTTTGTTTGCCTGGGAAAGGTTTTGTGTTCCTCATTCCTGAAGGACAGCTTTACCAGATAAAGCATCCTTACTTGGCAGTTATTTCCCCCCAGTACTTTGAATATTCATCCTACTTCTCCTTGTCTGCAGCGCTTTTGCTAAGAAATCTGCTGACAGATGTATTGGGACTTACTTGTATGTGGCATATCTTTTGTATTTTGCTGCTTTCAGAATTACTGTCATTGATTTTTGAAGATTTTATTATGATGTGTCTTGGTGAGTTTCTCTTTGGTTTGTATTTGATTGCAGAGATCTAAGCTTTTGTATTAGACCATTCTTGCATTGCTATAAAGAAATACCTGAGACTGGGTAATTTATAAAGAAAAGAATTTACCATTATTGCAGGCTGTACAGGAATCATGCTGCTGGCATCTGCTCAGCTTCTGGGGAGGCCTCAGGAAACTTAAAACCATGGTGGAAGGTGAAGGTGCAACAGGAACATCACATGGCCAGAGCAAGAGCAAGAGAGAGTAAGGGCTTGTTGCTACACACTTTTAAATGACAAGATCTCATGAGAAATCACTCACTATCATGAGGACAGTAACAAGAGGGATGATGCTAAACCATTCACGAGATATGCCCCATGATCCAATCATCTCCCACCAGGCCCCACCTCCAACATTGGAAATTATAATTAAAACATGAGATTTTGGTGGGAACACAGATCCCAACCATATCAGCTTCCTATACCTGGATGGTGGTGTTTTCCCAAGATTTGAGAAATTTTCACTCAATAGTTCCTTAAAAATGCTTTGTTGGCCTTTTCTCTCTCTTCTCCTTCTAAACACCTACTACGCAAAGTTTAGTTCTCTTGATGGTTTCCCGTAACTCCCACAGGCCTTCTTCATTCTTTTTTATTCTTTTCTCTTTTTGTTCCTTTGACTGGATAATTTCCAATATCCTGTCATGGAGCTCACTGATTCTTTATTATGATTTAGGAAGCCTGCTACTGAAGTTTTCTACTAAATATTTTTGTTCACTTATTGTATTTTTATTTCTAGGATTTTTCTTATTTATAATTATTTCTATTTTTGTCAAACTTATTTTGTTCATGAATTGTGGCTTTTGATTGGATAATTTAATCTATTTACATTTAAAGTTGACAAGTTAGGACTTTCAAAAAGTTGCCATTTTGTTCATTGTTTTATGAAGGTTATGTGGTTCCGTTGTCCTTTGTTTCCTTCTTCTCTTGCTATCATTTTTTTTACATTTGAATAACACAGGATTTCTTTTATTTTTATTTTTTAACTTGTATTTTAAGTTCAGGGGTACATGTGCAGGATGTGCAGGTTTGTTACATAGGCAAATGTGTGTCAAGGGGGTTGGCTGTACAGATTATTTCATCGGCCAGGTGTTAAGCCTAGTATCCATTAGTTATTTTTCCTGATATTCTCCTTCCTCCAACCCTCTGCCCTCTGGTAGGCCCCAGTGTATATTGTTCTCCTCTATGTGTCTAAGTGTTCTTATCATTTAGCTCCAACTTATAAATAAGAACACATGGTATTTGGTTTTCTGTTCCTGCATTAGTTTGCTAAGGATGATGGCCTCCAGCTCCATCCATGTTTCCTCAAGGATCTAGAGACAGAAATGCCACTCAACCCAGAAATCCCATTACTGGGTATATACCCAAAGGAATATAAATCATTCTATTATAAAGACACACGTATATTTATGTTCATCGCAGCACTATTCACAATAACAAAGACATGGAATCAACCTAAATGCCCATCAATGATAGACTGGATAAAGAAAATATGGTACATATACTCCATGGAATACTATGCAGCCATAAAAAATGAGTTCTTGTTCTTTTTATTTGTAGTTTGTTAATATTTTCTAGCAGTATACTTTGTTCTGTTCTCATTCTATTTTATTTATCTGCTAGAGGTTTTTTTCCTCTGTTGTTACCAGGGGGGTTAAATGTATATCTTATAGTTATAACAGTCTATTTTAAGCTGATAGCAACTTCAATTACATATAAATCTCTATACTTCTACTTCACTACTCTCACCTGTATGCTATTGATATCACACTTTATATTTTCTGTGAATGAATATACAATATAAAAGATATAACTATTCTTTCACAAATATTATGGCTATAGTTATTTCTAATACCTTAGTCTTTTTTCTTTTATACTAGAGTCAAAAGTGATTTACACACCACCATTAAAGTATTAGAATATTCTGAATTTGCCTTTACCAGTTAGTTTTATACTTTCATGTGTTTTCATATTTTTACTTAATATCATTTCATTTTAACTTGAAGAACTCCTTTTAATGTTTCTTGTAAGGCAGACCTAGTGGTGATGAAGTCCCTCAGCTTTTGTTTGTTTGAGAATGTCTTCATCTCTCCCTTTCTGAAGGAAAACTTCTCTAGGTGTAGCATTTTTGGAGCCTTTTTTTCAGCCTTTTGAATATATAATCCCATACTCTCCTAGCCTGCAAGATTTCTGTTAAGAAACCCATTGGCAGCCTCATTAAAGTTCTCTTGTGTGTGATGAGTCATTTTTCTCTTGCTGCTTTCACAGTACTCCTTTTGTCTGACTTTTGACAATTTGATTAGAATATTCAAGAATATTCAGAAATTATTTTAGTTGACCTTTCTTGGGGACCTTTAAGCTTTATGAATTTGTAGTCCCATATTGCTGTCAAGATTTGGGACGTTTTCAGCCATTATTTATTTAAACAAGCTTCCTTCCCTTTTCTCTCATTTCTTGTTATGAAATTCTTATAATGAATTTATTTGTTTGTTTTATGATGTACCATAGGCGCTGTATGCTTTTTTCACTCTTTTTCATTCTTTTTTCTTTTTGTTCCTCTAACCAGGTAATTTCAAATGAGCTATATTTGAGTTTGCTGATTCTTCTGCATGACTGAGTCTGCTGTTTATGCTCTCTATTAAATTTTTCAGTTCTGTCATTGTATTTTTTAGCTCCTAGATTTCTGTTTGGTTATTTTTATAGTTTCTGTTTCTTATTAAACTTCTCATTGTGTTAATGCTCTGTTTTTGTTATTTTTAAATAATTATCTATCTATGTTATCTTACATCCCATTGAGCCATTTTAAGATGATTATTTTGAATTCTTTGTCAGATAATTTGTAGATCATCATTTCTTTGATGTCAGTTACTAGAGCTTTGCTAGTTTCCTTAGGCAGTGTCATGTTTGCTTAATTGTTTGTAATCCAGGTAGCCTTGCATTGGTAGCTGAGCACTGGAAGAGATAAAGACCTCTTTCAGTCTTTACAACCACTTTCAGCAAGTAAATACCTTCTCCTGTTAGGTCCCCAGGATAATGGGATTGCCTCTGGAATTTCAGTTCAGTGAGGTTGAAGCTGGGTCACATAGTTCTTGCTGGGTCCACAGTGGGATCTGTGATTGGTAAGTCTGTTGTCAGGGGGCTTAGGTAGGCATATCTCCTATGGGGTCCCTAAGCAGATGAGACTGTCTCTGATACCTTGGTCAGTAAAGTTGTCATCGAGACAAGGATCATATGCTTCAGGATCCACAGTTGGATCTGCAGAAGGTGGGCCTATTAACAGGTTTGTGGACAGGTGTGGCTCCTGCTGGGTCATTCCTGTTGCATTATTCATCAGACAGGACTGCTCCTGGATCATGGCTCAGAGGACCTGGAGTTGGGTCACATACTGCTTCAGAGTCCACAGTCAGGACCAGTGTCAGCAGGCCTGTTACCTGAAGCAGGGACAGATGTGGTTCCTCGTGCGTCCCTTGGTGGATGGTGCTGGTGGCAAGACTAAGGCCAAATGGGGCTGTAGCAGAGTCCATAGGGGGATGGAGCTGTTTCCAGGTTTGTAGCCAAGGTCACCATCAGTGAGCCTGCCACCTGGGCACAGGCCTGCCTTCTCAAAACAGCTGTCATCAGTCTTAGGGTCTACCAGAGCTTACAATCACTTACTTGGATCCCATAGCTCCCACAAAGGCATTTTTTTCCCATAAATGGCTGAGAAATTATTGTTGGAGTTGGGAGAATATGAAAGGAGACCTCCCATGCCACCAAATCGCTGACGTCACCCCTGTGTTGCATTTTTATACCACATTCTCTATGGTTAAGGAATACATTGATTGTTTTTGGAAAAGAGCACTTAACAGTTTCTAAACATTTAACAAATAGCTAATGATTTTTTGTCAATATTTATTGAGGCTGGCCTCACATCACTAGGCCAGGTATTAGAAGAGAATATCAATATTACTGAGAAATTTGCTTTAATCAGAGTTATCTAACAAAGCAACCAATTAAAAAAACACTCATAAATATCACATTTTACAAGATGATCTGATCAATCAGTACAAAGTTCTTATCATAATCACAGAATTGAGTAATTACAGTTGTTCCTTGATGTCCACAGGGGATTGTTTCTAGAACCTTTCCCTTATAACAAAATCCACAGACGCTTAAGTCTGCAGTTGACTCTGCAAAACGCATGAATACAAAAAGTCTGCCCTCTATATCTGTGGGTTCTGCATCCCACAAATACTGTATTTTTGATCCACAGTTGGCTAAATCTGCAGGTGCAGAACCCGTAAACACCAAAGGTTGACTGTATTTGTTAAGTAAATACTTACCTAATACACTTTGGCTTTGACTTAGGTGGCATTAACTCAATATTTCTAGAAGATATGTTTATAAAGTCTACTTTAATAGGTACCTTCAGATCATAACAATAAAATTGATTTTGCTCTCTCTGTCTCTTTAAAATGTGCATGCACACACACACACACACACACACACACACCACACTCAAATTGGTATTCTGAATGCTCCAAATCAAATCTTGGTGTTCTGAAATATATCCTAAGAAATGTCTATTATTGTCAAGGGGAACTCCTTCATGATGCATACGCAACTATGAGAATGTTCTGCATGTTTACTGTTTTCACTTCTGTCATGATCTATTCAAGAAGGAAGTTTATGTATAAAACATTAAGTGTACTAACCAATTAAATACATATTAAAATGTATCAACATCATTAAAGTCCAACAAAAATTTTCCTAGCAGGTATACATCTCTCTTATTTTTCTGGTTTTGTGGAAGACATCCAAAGAAAGCAAAAAGTGATTCGTTCTCTCTTTCTCACATTTTTTTTTTTTTAAAGACAGGTTCTCACTCTGTCACTCAGGCTGAAATATAGTGCCATAATCCATAACTCACTGCAGCCTCCAATTCCTGGGCTCAGGGAATCTTCCTGCCTCAGCCTCCTGAGTAGCTATGACTACTGGTGCACACCACTACACTTGGCTATTTTTTTTTTTAATTTTTTGAAGAGACAGGGTTTTGTTTTGTTGCCCAGGGTGGTCTCGAAATTGTGGCCTCAAGCTATCCTCCTTCCTCAGCCTCACAAAGTGCTGGGATTACAGGTGTGAGCCACTGCTCCTGGCTTCTTCTTACTATTTACATACTTTCATACAAAATAAATAATCTACTCCATATAGTATCAGAGAAATTTAAAAATAATGCTATCTACTGCATTTTTATTTTTAAGGATGATTAGTACTTTTACGAGTTCCTGAGGTGAGGAGAAGAAAGAATGCATGTTCTTTTCAGTGCAATGACAAAATTGAGATGATAGCCGTGATTCATGAGAGATACATACATTCCATAAAAATGTCATGATAGAAATTTCATTTTGATAGAGTATTATTATTTAATTTGGGGAAAAATGTAAATGTCTCCAAATAGAGGTTGATTCTTATTTTCATAGCAATACTTTTGGCACACAGTTAAGTGTTTATTTAAAATAAAAAATCATAATTTATTAAATCTATTTTTACATTTTCTATTAAATGTGGTTCTTTCATTTCTTCAATATAAAAATAAAAACTTTTTTAATAACTGAAGATGTTAGTTAAGTTTATAAGGAAAGAAAAAGTAAAACTTCACCAAAAGAATAAAAAACAAAGATGAAACAGTTCAATCAATTACCAGGTTTCCAGCTGGAAGTTTTCCCATTGCTTGGCCTTGAAACTTACTGCTTACAGCTCATCTTCTCTAGCACCAATCATGGATTACCATGTATGCAATCCAGTTTTCTCAGAAGGTTCTACGCCATCAAGATACCATTCATTTATGTTTGAAAATAAAATTATTTGAATAGGTTAGGCTTTTACACTAAGAGTAGTTCTGACTGAACTAAGAACTTTATTCAATGAATAGGAAAATTATGTTCCTCATCCTCCATCCTCTGGCTTTAAGCCAGGCCTGGAACCTGGCAAAGAATGTCAAGCATCTAAAGCTAATATTCTAGACTTTGGTTCTAGGAGGAAATAAATAATTTCTGGGTTTTTTGTTCCCATATGCTGTAACATAAACTTATACCTATTACATAGAAAAATAACTATTTTAGAAAGAAGAATATCAATTTAATAATTTGTTTATTGAAATTTTTCCAGTTAAAATAATTTTTTCCACTTCAAACTGCTTTATAACTTCTTTCATCTCCTTAACTACTGAGACAGACTCAGCCTTGGGTAGCATAGTGATCAGAATATTTCCAACCACAGTTTCTTATTGCAAAGACGCCCAGTAGTGTGTGTATACAAATACCTGGAGGTGACCTCTTCCAGGCAATTTACATAGGATAAGTATTTTGGACCGCTCAGTGAACTACAAAGTCAATCTCAAAGGCTGTAGAGAGAAGATGGAAGTAACAAAATTCCTGGAGCATAAACCAGAGCATTCCTAGCAGATATTATATACTGGTTGTACTCAAAACATTCCACAAAAACTCACAAGTGTATGATGTCCTGCAGAATCAAACAGGAAACTGAGTATCACCAAAGAGGGTAACTTTGATACGGGATCAGAGTGGGTATATGGTAGGCTAATGAGAAGAGTCAGGGGTGTCAGAGAGATGGAGAAAATCAGCAACAGGAGAAAAATGTAATTTCCTGCTGTAAGTAGTTGTAAAACTGAGCATTTAGTAAATTTCTACTTATTGCAGTTTGTCCCTACAAACTCTTTAATAATATGATCAGTTTTACTGGTTGCATGAAACAACGTACATGTGCTACAGGGAAGATCTAAACTAAGAGGCATATTAAGAAAGAGGAGTGAGGAGAAGGATTGGGACAATGCTCTCATCTCATACAGAGAAAACTCCTCAGTTTTCCTGTTGGGTTTGGTAGGTACAAAGCAAATAAAGGGGCTGGACTCCAGTTTTATCACATACTTCAAACTTCATGCTCCATCTCTCCATCTCTTTACGTGCAGCAAGGATGTGTCAATGGGAAATTATACATTCACCCCATTTGCGAAGGCAGGGAATCAAAATTTATTTTTAATTAAAAACAAGATATAAAGTATTTTTAAAATAGAAAACTTCATGCAGTTTGTGTTCAATTGTTACTGTGTTTATCTGCACAAGTTACTTAACTTCTCTATGCCTCAGTTTCCTCATCTATAAAATAGGAGAAATAGAACCATCCTCAAAGGGGTTTTAGATACATTGAGTTAGCATATGTAAAGCAGTAAGAATAGTGTCCAACTCACAGTAAGTGCTGTAAACTATTTTTATTGTTATTTTTGTAGTCACATCAACATATCCAAAGACCCAAGTAGCTTTCTACAGAGCATAATATTCAGCCTTTCCTGATTATCAAGAAAATTAAGAAAATGAAAAATTAAAAAATCAAAAAATGAAAAACAGTGGAGAAATAAAATCAGATCCATCCCAGAGTAGCCACTTTATCTGTTTTTAATAATTTGAAAGAGACAGAGAGTCTAAATTATTTCCAGCTAATCAATAAAAGATATATTCATTTGTATTACTTTAGACTAACCTACGAAAAGCTAAAATGAAGGCCCACCTATTTAAAAGTGTGAGATTATATATTTTTTTATTTAGTTCAACCTTCTAAAGGCTGTTTTTCACACAGGTGAGGAACAGTTGATTGCAATACTTTGTGCTAAGAGGTAGTTCATCCTGCCAGAAAGAAAAAGCCAGGTTGGATTGACAAGGTATATAAAAGCTCCAAGGTAGCTGGGCGCAGTGGCTCAAGCCCGTAATCCCAGCACTTTGGGAGGCCGAGGCGGGCAGATCACTTAAGGGCAGGAGTTCAAGACCAGCCTGGTCAATTTGGTGAAACCCCGTCCCTACTAAAAATACAAACATTAGCCGGGCATGTTGGCACATGCCTGTAATTCCAGCTACTTGGGAAGCTGACACAGGAGAATTGCTTGAACCTGGGAGGCAGAAGCTGCAGTGAGCCAAGATCATGCCACAGCACTCTAAACTGGGTGACAGAGTGAGACTCTGTCTCAAAAAAAAAAAAAAAAAAAACCTTCAGGGTAAGGAAAGAGCTTTTTCCCAGTGAGTCAGAGATCAAATGCATGTAAAATGTTTTACCTAAATAAAAAATTTGCCCTTTTTCCTTAAATTTACACTTACTTTTCCCCAGATGCCTAACTCTGGCTAACACTTACATGCAGATTGAGAGGAAAAAATAAAGAGTAATTAAGATTACAGGAGAATATTTTAATCCTGGCATTCTGACACTGAGGATATTCAACATAAAATACAACTTTACCCAAGCAAAACAAGATTAGGAGGAAATCATCATGACAAAATAAAACTAGCAATTCTAAAGACATGTACATATAGTGAAGTGAATTTTTTCTTTGTAAAAGTTAGTTGAACAATGGTCAAAATGGGTTAAAGAATCACATATTGTTAGTAAACCAGAAAACTGCAAAAATTGACCTTGGAAGAAATGAAACCTTCAGAGAAGTTATTAACAGAAAATAGAATTGACATTAGCTAAACTTTTCATGGTAATGTTTACTGACCAAAAATTGATAAAAGAATTATATCTTCCTTTAAAATTTGACATTGGAAAATTGTATTAGGGAGAAATAATGACCACAGAAATATTTAATGAAATAGCTTTGGTTGTTCAAACAATGTAGATAAAACATAATCACTAAATCAAATCTTTGTTTTTAAATTGACATTCAGTCCAATGAAGTTTAGTAGAATAAAAAAGAATAAAACCATAGTTTAACACTGCTATACAAAAAATTAAGGAATCAAACTCATAGATTTTACTTCAAAAAATGTAAGAACTCCTTATTGACCTGAATTCATTGATGATCGTATAAATCTGAATATTGGTATTTAGAAGCAGAGTCAAAATATCCTCAGGTCAACATTTAAATTAGGTCAAAGTGTCAGAATCAAGAAAAAGATCTAGAAGATGGCTGACTAGATGCAGCTGGGAAAGGCCTCCCTCACTAACAGAAACCAAAATGTAGAGTAAACCATTATACTTTGAAAAAATATTTTGAGAGAAAACACCAAAAATCGATAGGGAGGTGACAGACATTGTGGCTAAAGAGGGAGGAAACTGGGAAGCCTGCATGGAGTCACCGAGCACCAAGACCAGCTCCTGGCCCTCAACAGGTCCTAAGGAAGGGGTGAGTAAAGGAACTCCAAGGCACCACACCCCAAATACAACCCTCTGGGATCCTAGAGACAAGAGATCCCATTACCCCCACAGACATTTGAATTGGCAGGAGGAACTTCTTAGAGACCAGACAGAGGCAGAGATTGAACCTGCATAGAACCCTGAAGGTTTCAAGGTGGCACGTGGTGCAGCAGCAACTAAACGTGACTTCAGGCATTTATCCCAGAAGGCTCTCTATCTTGCTCTGAGTGACTGTAGCTCCTGCTGACTGTTCGGCCAGGAGAGAGCAAGGCTGCCTTTCCTGCAGGAGCAGGGCACATCTGATCCACACGCTGCCTTGTCCACCAGTCCCTCCTAAGACAACCTGCCTGGCTACTCCTGCAGGAGGTTGCCCACAGCACAGCCTCTACTGCCCCACCTGAGTGTTTTGCCAGCTGTCTGGGAGGAGTTAAACTCCCCCAGCACAGCTGGCACTCAACCCTGAGGGTTCAGAGGACAAAACTACTGGCCGAGTCCCTACCCCCCAGGATTCAAGCACACTACCCAGGGGCATCAAGCTGAGATCTGTGGCCTGAGCTCAGGTTGGGGAGGAGCCCCCACTCTCAGAACACTGAGGGAGTGTGGCCTGTGCTCATGTGGTGGCATGGGAGCTGGTCATCCCTCCCTCCACCAGACCAGTCCAGAAAGGGTGTAGCCTGTTAGCTGCAGCTTCTGCCCCAAGGAGCCCTGCAGCCTAGAACATTTTGGAACAGCAAGTGACCTGAATGCAGAAGGCTTGGGACAAGTCTAGCTGGTTGGGCCTGTTCTTACGCAGGCATCAGAGGGAGACCCAGTAGAAGGGGTGCAAGCTGAGCAGGTCCCACAATCATCCTCTGGGCTAAAATCCCTGGCCACAGTCAACACACAAGCTGAATACCTGTGGTACCACCACTCTCCCTCAGGATCCTCCACTCTTGACCCACTGAATCACCAGACTACCTGCAGACATACCTCACAACCTCCTTGGACTCTGCCAGGCTTAGAGGACCAGTAGGTCTCCAGGGAATTGTGGGTCTCCTGGTGACCTAACACTTGGCACAGACCACACCTAAGAAGGTGTGGAGAAGGTAGCCCACCAAAGCCCCACTTGATGCTAAGGAAATGCAGGCGTGATGCCAGTAACTGCAGGGTACTCCACTAAGGCCTGTAGACAAACTTGGTGAGGAAGTCATCTTTTGCCCCCCATTCCCCTCCCCAGGGCACCGCTGCACATGCACTGAAACACACAAGAGGCATGTGGCTAAGAGCCTATCTGCCAGCCCTGACTCTTAAGCACTATCTACTGGATTGCAACCTGAATCACACCGGGAAGCAAAAATACATCCCTTCAGCGCTCAATGCCTGGAGACCCATGCAGGAAAGGATCCACAACTGAGGAACTCTACACAGCCTTGGCCCTCTAAAAGCACATAGAAATGAAGCCAGTACTATACACAACATACACCACAGTCAAACACAAAAATTATTATAAAAACAAAAAGTCCCATCCAAATGACGGCAATTTCAAAAAGAAATACTGGCCCCCTCATATGAGAAGCAATCAGTGCAAGAACTCTAGCAATTTAAAAAGTCAGAGTGTTTCCTTACCTCTAAAGGATTGCACTATCTCTCCAGCAATGGATCCTAACCAGATTGAAATGTCTGAAACAACTGACATAGAATTCAGAATATGGATGGCCAAGAAAGCTCAACGAGATTCAAGAGAAAATTAAAACCCAATCCAAGAAAACTCAAAAAATGATCCAAGTATCGAAAGACAACAGAGCCATTTTAAGTAAGAACCAAACTCAACTTCTGGAATTGAAAATTTCACTATAGAAATTTCAAAATACAGCTGAAAGTCTTAATAACAGATTAGACCAAGCTGAGGAAAGAATTTCAGAGCTTGAAGATCAGTCTTCCAAATCAACTCAGTCAGACAAAAACAAATAAAAAAGAATAATTTAAAAATAGACAAACCCTCTAGAGACTATACGTGTGACTCACTGGCATGTCTGAGAGAGAAGAGAGAGTAAGCAACTTGGAAAACATATCTGAGGATACAATCCACAACAATTTCCCCAATTTTGCGAAAGAAGTTGACATGTAAGTTCAAGAAATTCAGAGAATCTTTGTGAGACATTATACAAGGTGACCTTCCTCAAGACACATAATCATCAGAATTTTCAAAGTCAACAAGAAAAGAAATCTTAAAGGCAACTGTAGAAAAGGGTCATATCACTTTTCTATCACTGTTCACAAAGGGAACCCCATCAGGTGAACAGTGGACTTCTCAGCAGAAACCTTACAAGCCAGAATAGACCTGGAGGCCTATTTTTAGCATTCTTGAAGTAAAGAAATACCAACCAAGTATTTTGTATCTCACCAAACTAATTTTCATAACAGAAGGAGAAAGACAATTTTTCCCGAACAAGCAATCACTAAGAAAATTCATTACCACTGAATCGTGGAGGAGCCAAGATGGCCGAATAGGAACAGCTCCTGTCTACAGCTCCCAGCGTGAGTGACACAGAAGATGGGTGATTTCTGCATTTCCATCTGAGGTACCGGGTTCATCTCACTTGGGAGTGCCAGGCAGTGGGCGCAGGTCAGTGGGTGTGTGCACCGTGTGCGAGCCGAAGCAGGGCGAGGCATTGCCTCACTTGGGAAGTGCAAGGGGTCAGGGAGTTCCCTTTCCAAGTCAAAGAAAGGGGTGACGGACGCACCTGGAAAATTGGGTCACTCCCACCCAAATACTGCGCTTTTCCGACCGGCTTAAAAAACGGCGCACGACGAGATTATATCCCACACCTGGCTCAGAGGGTCCTACGCCCATGGAGTCTCGCTGATTGCTAGCACAGCAGTCTGAGATCAAACTGCAAGGCGGCAGCGAGGCTGGGGGAGGGGCGCCCGCCATTGCCCAGGCTTGCCTAGGTAAACAAAGCAGCCAGGAAGCTCCAACTGGGTGGAGCCCACCACAGCTCAAGGAGGCCTGCCTGCCTCTGTAGGCTCCACCCCTGGGGGCAGGGCACAGACAAACAAAAAGACAGCAGTAACCTCTGCAGACTTAAATGTCCCTGTCTGACAGCTTTGAAGAGAGCAGTGGTTCTCCCAGCACGCAGCTGGAGATCTGAGAACGGGCAGACTGCCTCCTCAAGAGGGTCCCTAAACCCCGAGCAGCCTAACTGGGAGGCACCCCCCAGCAGGGGCACACTGACACCTCACACGGCAGGGTACTCCAACAGACCTGCAGCTGAGGGTCCTGTCTGTTAGAAGGAAAACTAACAAACAGAAAGGACATCCACACCAAAAACCCATCTGTACATCACCATCATCAAAGACCAAAAGTAGATAAAACCACAAAGATGGGGAAAAAACAGAGCAGAAAAACTGGAAACTCTAAAAAGCAGAGCGCCTCTCCTCCAAAGGAACGCAGTTCCTCACCAGCAATGGAACAAAGCTGGATGGAGAATGACTTTGACAAGCTGAGAGCAGAAGGCTTCAGACGATCAAATTACTCTGAGCTACGGGAGGACATTCAAACCAAAGGCAAAGAAGTTGAAAACTTTGAAAAAAATTTAGAAGAATGTAAAACTAGAATAACCAATACAGAGAAGTGCTTAAAGGAGCTGATGGAGCTGAAAACCAAGGCTCGAGAACTACGTGAAGAATGAAGAAGCCTCAGGAGTCGATGCTATCAACTGGAAGAAAGGGTATCAGCAATGGAATGTGGGGAAAAGCAAGAGAGATCAGATTGTTACTGTGTCTGTGTAGAAAGAAGTAGACATAGGAGACTCCATTTTGTTATGTACTAAGAAAAATTCTTCTGCCTTGAGATTCTGTTAATCTATAACCTTACCCCCAACCCCGTGCTCTCTGAAACGTGTGCTGTGTCAACTCAGAGTTAAATGGATTAAGGGCGGTGCAAGATGTGCTTTGTTAAACAGATGCTTGAAGGCAGCATGCTCCTTAAGAGTCATCACCACTCCCTAATCTCAAGTACCCAGGGACACAAAAACTGCGGAAGGCCGCAGGGACCTCTGCCTAGGAAAGCCAGGTATTGTCCAAGGTTTCTCCCCATGTGATAGTCTGAAATATGGCCTCGTGGGAAGGGAAAGACCTGACCATCCCCCAGCCCGACACCCGTAAAGGGTCTGTGCTGAGGAGGATTAGTAAAAGAGGAAGGAATGCCTCTTGCAGTTGAGACAAGAGGAAGGCATCTGTCTCCTGCCTGTCCCTGGGCAATGGAATGTCTCGGTATAAAAC
Source organism: Homo sapiens (assembly GCF_000001405.40). NCBI lineage: Eukaryota > Metazoa > Chordata > Mammalia > Primates > Hominidae > Homo > Homo sapiens. Next base: position 75,377,624 of record NC_000001.11, read on the forward strand.
CCGATTGTATGCTCCATCTACTGAGATAGGGAAAAACTGCCTTAGGGCTGGAGGTGGGACCTGCGGGCAGCAATACTGCTTTGTAAAGCATTGAGATGTTTATGTGTATGCATATCTAAAAGCACAGCACTTAATCCTTTACATTGTCTATGATGCAAAGACCTTTGTTCACGTGTTTGTCTGCTGACCCTCTCCCCACAATTGTCTTGTGACCCTGACACATCCCCCTCTTCGAGAAACACCCACAAATGATGAATAAATACTAAGGGAACTCAGAGGCTGGCGGGATCCTCCATATGCTGAACGCTGGTTCCCCGGTTCCCCTTATTTCTTTCTCTATACTTTGTCTCTGTGTCTTTTTCTTTTCCAAATCTCTCGTCCCACCTTACGAGAAACACCCACAGGTGTGTAGGGGCAACCCACCCCTACATCTGGTGCCCAACGTGGAGGCTTTTCTCTAGGGTGAAGGTACGCTCGAGCGTGGTCATTGAGGACAAGTCGACGAGAGATCCCAAGTACGTCTACAGTCAGCCTTACAGTAAGCTTGTGCGCTCGGAAGAAGCTAGGGTGATAATAGGGCAAACTAAAAGTAAAATTAAAAGTAAATATGCCTCTTATCTCAGCTTTATTAAAATTCTTTTAAAAAGAGGGGGAGTTAAAGTATCTACAAAAAATCTAATCAAGCTATTTCAAATAATAGAACAATTTTGCCCATGGTTTCCAGAACAAGGAACTTTAGATCTAAAAGATTGGAAAAGAATTGGTAAGGAACTAAAACAAGCAGGTAGGAAGGGTAATATCATTCCACTTACAGTATGGAATGATTGGGCCATTATTAAAGCAGCTTTAGAACCATTTCAAACAGAAGAAGATAGCATTTCAGTTTCTGATGCCCCTGGAAGCTGTTTAATAGATTGTAATGAAAAGACAAGGAAAAAATCCCAGAAAGAAACGGAAAGTTTACATTGCAAATATGTAGCAGAGCCGGTAATGGCTCAGTCAACGCAAAATGTTGACTATAATCAATTACAGGAGGTGATATATCCTGAAACGTTAAAATTAGAAGGAAAAGGTCCAGAATTAATGGGGCCATCAGAGTCTAAACCACGAGGCACAAGTCCTCTTCCAGCAGGTCAGGTGCCCGTAAGATTACAACCTCAAACGCAGGTTAAAGAAAATAAGACCCAACCGCCAGTAGCTTATCAATACTGGCCGCCGGCTGAACTTCAGTATCGGCCACCCCCAGAAAGTCAGTATGGATATCCAGGAATGCCCCCAGCACCACAGGGCAGGGCGCCATACCCTCAGCTGCCCACTAGGAGACTTAATCCTATGGCACCACCTAGTAGACAGGGTAGTGAATTACATGAAATTATTGATAAATCAAGAAAGGAAGGAGATACTGAGGCATGGCAATTCCCAGTAACGTTAGAACCAATGCCACCTGGAGAAGGAGCCCAAGAGGGAGAGCCTCCCACAGTTGAGGCCAGATACAAGTCTTTTTCGATAAAAATGCTAAAAGATATGAAAGAGGGAGTAAAACAGTATGGACCCAACTCTCCTTATATGAGGACATTATTAGATTCCATTGCTCATGGACATAGACTCATTCCTTATGATTGGGAGATTCTGGCAAAATCGTCTCTCTCACCCTCTCAATTTTTACAATTTAAGACTTGGTGGATTGATGGGGTACAAGAACAGGTCCGAAGAAATAGGGCTGCCAATCCTCCAGTTAACATAGATGCAGATCAACTATTAGGAATAGGTCAAAATTGGAGTACTATTAGTCAACAAGCATTAATGCAAAATGAGGCCATTGAACAAGTTAGAGCTATCTGCCTTAGAGCCTGGGAAAAAATCCAAGACCCAGGAAGTACCTGCCCCTCATTTAATACAGTAAGACAAGGTTCAAAAGAGCCCTATCCTGATTTTGTGGCAAGGCTCCAAGATGTTGCTCAAAAGTCAATTGCCGATGAAAAAGCCCGTAAGGTCATAGTGGAGTTGATGGCATATGAAAACGCCAATCCTGAGTGTCAATCAGCCATTAAGCCATTAAAAGGAAAGGTTCCTGCAGGATCAGATGTAATCTCAGAATATGTAAAAGCCTGTGATGGAATCGGAGGAGCTATGCATAAAGCTATGCTTATGGCTCAAGCAATAACAGGAGTTGTTTTAGGAGGGCAAGTTAGAACATTTGGAAGAAAATGTTATAATTGTGGTCAAATTGGTCACTTAAAAAAGAATTGCCCAGTCTTAAATAAACAGAATATAACTATTCAACCAACTACAACAGGTAGAGAGCCACCTGACTTATGTCCAAGATGTAAAAAAGGAAAACATTGGGCTAGTCAATGTCGTTCTAAATTTGATAAAAATGGGCAACCATTGTCGGGAAATGAGCAAAGGGGCCAGCCTCAGGCCCCACAACAAACTGGGGCATTCCCAATTCAGCCATTTGTTCCTCAGGGTTTTCAGGGACAACAACCCCCACTGTCCCAAGTGTTTCAGGGAATAAGCCAGTTACCACAATACAACAATTGTCCCCCGCCACAAGCGGCAGTGCAGCAGTAGATTTATGTACTATACAAGCAGTCTCTCTGCTTCCAGGGGAGCCCCCACAAAAAATCCCCACAGGGGTATATGGCCCCCTGCCTGAGGGGACTGTAGGACTAATCTTGGGAAGATCAAGTCTAAATCTAAAAGGAGTTCAAATTCATACTAGTGTGGTTGATTCAGACTATAAAGGTGAAATTCAATTGGTTATTAGCTCTTCAATTCCTTGGAGTGCCAGTCCAGGAGACAGGATTGCTCAATTATTACTCCTGCCATATATTAAGGATGGAAATAGTGAAATAAAAAGAATAGGAGGGCTTGTAAGCACTGATCCAACAGGAAAGGCTGCATATTGGGCAAGTCAGGTCTCAGAGAACAGACCTGTGTGTAAGGCCATTATTCAAGGAAAACTAATTTGGTGGAAAGATAATAAAAATAAGACATGGGAAATAGGTAAGGTGATAACGTGGGGGAGAGGTTTTGCTTGTGTTTCACCAGGAGAAAATCAGCTTCCTGTTTGGATACCCACTAGACATTTGAAGTTCTACAATGAACCCATCGGAGATGCAAAGAAAAGGGCCTCCACGGAGATGGTAACACCAGTCACATGGATGGATAATCCTATAGAAGTATATGTTAATGATAGTGAATGGGTACCTGGCCCCACAGATGATCGCTGCCCTGCCAAACCTGAGGAAGAAGGGATGATGATAAATATTTCCATTGGGTATCGTTATCCTCCTATTTGCCTAGGGAGAGCACCAGGATGTTTAATGGCTGCAGTCCAAAATTGGTTGGTGGAAGTACCTACTGTCAGTCCCATCAGTAGATTCACTTATCACATGGTAAGCGGGATGTCACTCAGGCCACGGGTAAATTATTTACAAGACTTTCCTTATCAAAGATCATTAAAATTTAGACCTAAAGGGAAACCTTGCCCCAAGGAAATTCCCAAAGAATCAAAAAATACAGAAGTTTTAGTTTGGGAAGAATGTGTGGCCAATAGTGCGGTGATATTACAAAACAATGAATTCGGAACTATTATAGATTGGGCACCTCGAGGTCAATTCTACCACAATTGCTCAGGACAAACTCAGTCGTGTCCAAGTGCACAAGTGAGTCCAGCTGTTGATAGCGACTTAACAGAAAGTTTAGACAAACATAAGCATAAAAAATTGCAGTCTTTCTACCCTTGGGAATGGGGAGAAAAAGGAATCTCTACCCCAAGACCAAAAATAGTAAGTCCTGTTTCTGGTCCTGAACATCCAGAATTATGGAGGCTTACTGTGGCCTCACACCACATTAGAATTTGGTCTGGAAATCAAACTTTAGAAACAAGAGATCGTAAGCCATTTTATACTGTCGACCTAAATTCCAGTCTAACAGTTCCTTTACAAAGTTGCGTAAAGCCCCCTTATATGCTAGTTGTAGGAAATATAGTTATTAAACCAGACTCCCAGACTATAACCTGTGAAAATTGTAGATTGCTTACTTGCATTGATTCAACTTTTAATTGGCAACACCGTATTCTGCTGGTGAGAGCAAGAGAGGGCGTGTGGATCCCTGTGTCCATGGACCGACCGTGGGAGGCCTCACCATCCGTCCATATTTTGACTGAAGTATTAAAAGGTGTTTTAAATAGATCCAAAAGATTCATTTTTACTTTAATTGCAGTGATTATGGGATTAATTGCAGTCACAGCTACGGCTGCTGTAGCAGGAGTTGCATTGCATTCTTCTGTTCAGTCAGTAAACTTTGTTAATGATTGGCAAAATAATTCTACAAGATTGTGGAATTCACAATCTAGTATTGATCAAAAATTGGCAAATCAAATTAATGATCTTAGACAAACTGTCATTTGGATGGGAGACAGACTCATGAGCTTAGAACATCGTTTCCAGTTACAATGTGACTGGAATACGTCAGATTTTTGTATTACACCCCAAATTTATAATGAGTCTGAGCATCACTGGGACATGGTTAGACGCCATCTACAGGGAAGAGAAGATAATCTCACTTTAGACATTTCCAAATTAAAAGAACAAATTTTCGAAGCATCAAAAGCCCATTTAAATTTGGTGCCAGGAACTGAGGCAATTGCAGGAGTTGCTGATGGCCTCGCAAATCTTAACCCTGTCACTTGGGTTAAGACCATTGGAAGTACTACAATTATAAATCTCATATTAATCCTTGTGTGCCTGTTTTGTCTGTTGTTAGTCTGCAGGTGTACCCAACAGCTCCGAAGAGACAGCGACCATCGAGAACGGGCCATGATGACGATGGCGGTTTTGTCGAAAAGAAAAGGGGGAAATGTGGGGAAAAGCAAGAGAGATCAGATTGTTACTGTGTCTGTGTAGAAAGAAGTAGACATAGGAGACTCCATTTTGTTATGTACTAAGAAAAATTCTTCTGCCTTGAGATTCTGTTAATCTATAACCTTACCCCCAACCCCGTGCTCTCTGAAACGTGTGCTGTGTCAACTCAGAGTTAAATGGATTAAGGGCGGTGCAAGATGTGCTTTGTTAAACAGATGCTTGAAGGCAGCATGCTCCTTAAGAGTCATCACCACTCCCTAATCTCAAGTACCCAGGGACACAAAAACTGCGGAAGGCCGCAGGGACCTCTGCCTAGGAAAGCCAGGTATTGTCCAAGGTTTCTCCCCATGTGATAGTCTGAAATATGGCCTCGTGGGAAGGGAAAGACCTGACCATCCCCCAGCCCGACACCCGTAAAGGGTCTGTGCTGAGGAGGATTAGTAAAAGAGGAAGGAATGCCTCTTGCAGTTGAGACAAGAGGAAGGCATCTGTCTCCTGCCTGTCCCTGGGCAATGGAATGTCTCGGTATAAAACCCGATTGTATGCTCCATCTACTGAGATAGGGAAAAACTGCCTTAGGGCTGGAGGTGGGACCTGCGGGCAGCAATACTGCTTTGTAAAGCATTGAGATGTTTATGTGTATGCATATCTAAAAGCACAGCACTTAATCCTTTACATTGTCTATGATGCAAAGACCTTTGTTCACGTGTTTGTCTGCTGACCCTCTCCCCACAATTGTCTTGTGACCCTGACACATCCCCCTCTTCGAGAAACACCCACAAATGATGAATAAATACTAAGGGAACTCAGAGGCTGGCGGGATCCTCCATATGCTGAACGCTGGTTCCCCGGTTCCCCTTATTTCTTTCTCTATACTTTGTCTCTGTGTCTTTTTCTTTTCCAAATCTCTCGTCCCACCTTACGAGAAACACCCACAGGTGTGTAGGGGCAACCCACCCCTACAATGGAAGATGAAATGAATGAAATGAAGCGAGAAGGGAAGTTTAGAGAAAAAAGAATAAAAAGAAATGAGCAAAGCCTCCAAGAAATATGGGACTATGTGAAAAGACCAAATCTACGTCTGATTGGTGTACCTGAAAGTGACGGGGAGAATGGAACCAAGTTGGAAAATACTCTGCAGGATATTATCCAGGAGAACTTCCCCAATCTAGCAAGGCAGGCCAACATTCAGATTCAGGAAATACGGAGAACGCCACAGAGATACTCCTCGAGAACAGCAACTCCAAGACACATAATTGTCAGATTCACCAAAGTTGAAATGAAGGAAAAAATGTTAAGGGCAGCCAGAGAGAAAGGTCGGGTTACCCTCAAAGGGAAGCCCATCAGACTAACAGCAGATCTCTCAGCAGAAACCCTACAAGCCAGGAGAGAGTGGGGGCCAATATTCAACATTCTTAAAGAAAAGAATTGTCAACCCAGAATTTCATATCCAGCCAAACTAAGCTTCATAAGCGAAGGAGAAATAAAATACTTTACAGACAAGCAAATGCTGAGAGATTTTGTCACCACCAGGCCTGCCCTAAAAGAGCTCCTGAAGGAAGCACTAAACATGGAAAGGAACTACCGGTACCAGCCGCTGCAAAATCATGCCAAAATGTAAAGACCATCTAGACTAGGAAGAAACTGCATGAACTAACGAGCAAAATAACCAGCTAACATCATAATGACAGGATCTAATTCACACATAACAATATTAACTTTACATGTAAATGGACTAAATGCTCCAATGGAAAGACACAGACTGGCAAATTGGATAAAGAGTCAAGACCCATCAGTGTGCTGTATTCAGGAAACCCATCTCACGTGCAGAGACACACATAGGCTCAAAATAAAAGGATGGAGGAAGATCTACCAAGCAAATGGAAAACAAAAAAAGGCAGGGGTTGCAATCCTAGTCTCTGATAAAACAGACTTCAAACCAACAAAGATCAAAAGAGACAAAGAAGGCCATTACATAATGGTAAAGGGATCAATTCAACAAGAAGAGCTAACTATCCTAAATATATATGCACCCAATACAGGAGCACCCAGATTCATAAAGCAAGTCCTGAGTGACCTACAAAGAGACTTAGACTCCCACACATTAATAATGGGAGACTTTAACACCCCACTGTCAACATTAGACAGATCAATGAGACAGAAAGTCAACAAGGATACCCAGGAATTGAACTCAGCTCTGCACCAAGCGGACCTAATAGACATCTACAGAACTCTCCACCCCAAATCAACAGAATATACATTTTTTTCAGCACCACACCACACCTATTCCAAAATTGACCACATACTTGGAAGTAAAGCTCTCCTCAGCAAATGTAAAAGAACAGAGATTATAACAAACTATCTCTCATACCACAGTGCAATCAAACTAGAACTCAGGATTAAGAATCTCACTCAAAACCACTCAACTACATGGAAACTGAACAACCTGCTCCTGAATGACTACTGGGTACATAATGAAATGAAGGCAGAAATAAAGATGTTCTTTGAAACCAATGAGAACAAAGACACAACATACCAGAATCTCTGGGACACATTCAAAGCAGCGTGTAGAGGGAAATACATAGCACTAAATGCCCACAAGAGAAAGCAGGAAAGATCCAAAATTGACACCCTAACATCACAATTAAAAGAACTAGAAAAGCAAGAGCAAACACATTCAAAAGCTAGCAGAAGGCAAGAAATAACTAAAATCAGAGCAGAACTGAAGGAAACAGAGACACAAAAAACCCTTCAAAAAATTAATGAATCCAGGAGCTGGTTTTTTGAAAGGATCAACAAAATTGATAGACCGCTAGCAAGACTAATAAAGAAAAAAAGAGAGAAGAATCAAATAGACACAATAAAAAATGATAAAGGGGATATCGCCACCAATCCCACAGAAATACAAACTACCATCAGAGAATACTACAAATATCTCTACGCAAATAAACTAGAAAATCTAGAAGAAATGGATAAATTCCTCGACACATACACTCTCCCAAGACTAAACCAGGAAGAAGTTGAATCTCTGAATAGACCAATAACAGGCTCTGAAATTGTGGCAATAATCAATAGCTTACCGACCAAAAAGAATCCAGGACCAGATGGATTCACAGCCAAATTCTACCAGAGGTATAAGGATGAGCTGCTACCATTCCTTCTGAAATTATTCCAATCAATAGAAAAAGAGGGACTCCTCCCTAACTCATTTTATGAAGCCAGCATCATTCTGATACCAAAGCCGGGCAGAGACACCACCAAAAAAGAGAATTTTAGACCAATATCCTTGATGAACATTGATGCAAAAATCCTCAATAAAATACTGGCAAAACGAATCCAGCAGCACATCCAAAAGCTTATCCACCATGATCAAATCGGCTTCATCCCTGGGATGCAAGGCTGGTTCAATATACGCAAATCAATAAATGTAATCCAGCATATAAACAGAACCAAAGACAAAAACCACATGATTATCTCAATAGATGCAGAAAAAGCCTTTGACAAAATTCAACAACCCCTCATGCTAAAAACTCTCAATAAATTAGGCATTGATGGGACGTATTTCAAAATAATAAGAGCTATCTATGACAAACCCACAGCCAATATCATACTGAATGGGCAAAAACTGGAAGCATTCCCTTTGAAAACTGGCACAAGACAGGGATGCCCTCTCTCACCACTCCTATTCAACATAGTGTTGGAAGTTTTGGCCAGGGCAATTAGGCAGGAGAAGGAAATAAAGGGTATTCAATTAGGAAAAGAGGAAGTCAAATTGTCCCTGTTTGCAGATGACATGATTGTATATCTAGAAAACCCCATTGTCTCAGCCGAAAATCTCCTTAAGCTGATAAGCAACTTCAGCAAAGTCTCAGGATACAAAATCAATGTGCAAAAATCACAAGCATTCCTATACACCAACAACAGACAAACAGAGAGCCAAATCATGAGTGAAATCCCATTCACAATTGCTTCAAAGAGAATAAAATACCTAGGAATCCAACTTACAAGGGATGTGAAGGACGTCTTCAAGGAGAACTACAAACCGCTGCTCAAGGAAATAAAAGAGAATACAAACAAATGGAAGAACATTCCATGCTCATGGGTAGGAAAAGTCAATATCGTGAAAATGGCCATACTGTCCAAGGTAATTTACAGATTCAATGCCATCCCTATCAAGCTACCAATGACTTTCTTCACAGAATTGGAAAAAACTACTTTAAAGTTCATATGGAACCAAAAAAGAGCCCGCATCGCCAAGGCAATCCTAAGCCAAAAGAACAAAGCTGGAGGCATCACACTACCTGACTTCAAACTATACTACAAGGCTACAGTAAGCAAAACAGCATGGTACTGGTACCAAAACAGAGATATAGATCAATGGAACAGAACAGAACCCTCAGAAATAACGCCGCATATCTACAACTATCTGATCTTTGACAAACCTGAAAAAAACAAGCAATGGGGAAAGGATTCCCTATTTAATAAATGGTGCTGGGAAAACTGGCTAGCCATATGTAGAAAGCTGAAACTGGATCCCTTCCTTACACCTTATACAAAAATCAATTCAAGATGGATTAAAGACTTACAAGTTAGACCTAAAACCATAAAAATCCTAGAAGAAAACCTAGGCATTACCATTCAGGACATAGGCTTGTGCAAGGACTTCATGTCTAAAATACCAAAAGCAACGGCAACAAAAGCCAAAATTGACAAATGGGATCTAATTAAACTAAAGTGCTTCTGCGCAGCAAAAGAAACTACCATCAGAGTGAACAGGCAACCTACAAAATGGGAGAAAATTTTCGCAACCTACTCATCTGACAAAGGGCTAATATCCAGAATCTACAATGAACTCAAACAAATTTACAAGAAAAAAACAAACAACCCCATCAAAAAGTGGGCGAAGGACATGAACAGACACTTCTCAAAAGAAGACATTTATGCAGCCAAAAAACACATGAAAAAATGCTCATCATCACTGGCCATCAGAGAAATGCAAATCAAAACCACAATGAGATACCATCTCACACCAGTTAGAATGGCAATCATTAAAAAGTCAGGAAACAACAGGTGCTGGAGAGGATGTGGAGAAATAGGAACACTTTTACACTGTTGGTGGGACTGTAAACTAGTTCAACCATTGTGGAAGTCAGTGTGGCGATTCCTCGGGGATCTAGAACTAGAAATACCATTTGACCCAGCCATCCCATTACTGGGTATATACCCAAAGGACTATAAATCATGCTGCTATAAAGACACATGCACACGTATGTTTATTGCGGCATTATTCACAATAGCAAAGACTTGGAACCAACCCAAATGTCCAACAATGATAGACTGGATTAAGAAAATGTGGCACATATACACCATGGAATACTATGCAGCCATAAAAAATGATGAATTCATGTCCTTTGTAGGGACATGGATGAAATTGGAAATCATCATTCTCAGTAAACTATCGCAAGAACAAAAAACCAAACACCACATATTCTCACTCATAGGTGGGAATTGAACAATGAGATCACCTGGACACAGGAAGGGGAATATCACACTCTGGTGACTGTTGTGGGGTGGGGGGAGGGGGGAGGGATAGCATTGGGAGATATACCTAATGCTAGATGACGAGTTAGTGGGTGCAGCGCACCAGCATGGCACATGTATACATATGTAACTAACCTGCACAATGTGCACATGTACCCTAAAACTTAAAGTGTAATAAATAAATAAATAAATAAATAAATCCAAAAAAAAACAGTATTAAAAAAAAAAAAAGAAAATTCATTACCACTAGACCAGTTTTATAAGAGACACTTAAAGGAGTTCTAAATGTGGAAATAAAAGAATAATACTTGCTACCACAAAAACACATAAGTACATAGTCCACAGAACCTATAAAAAATAACTACACAATTGAGACTACAAAGTATCCAGCTAACAACTACACAATTGAGACTACAAAGTATCCAGCTAACAACATCACAACAGGATCAAAACCTCACATATCGTCCATGTGCAGTGGCTCATGCCTGTAATTCCAGCACTTTGGGAGGCCGAGGCGGGTGGATCACGAGGTCAGGAGATCAAGACCATCCTGGCTAACGTGGTGAAACCCTGTCTCTACTAATAATACAAAAATTAGCCAGGCGTGGTGGCGGGCGCCTGTGGTCCCAGCAACTTGGGAGGCTGAGGCAGGAGAATGGCATGAACCCGGGAGGCAGAGCTTGCAGTGAGCCGAGATCGCTCCACTGCACTCCAGCCTGGGCAACAGAGCGAGACTCCGTCTAAAAAAAAAAAAAACAAACAAAAACTCACATATCAATATTAACCTTGAATATAAGTGGCCTAAACACCCCACTAAAAGGCATAGAGTGGCAAATTGGATTTTTCTTTTAAAAAAAAGACCCAACCTTTCTCTGTCTTCAAGAGACACATATCATGTGTAACAACACCTATAGGCTCATTGCTCCTGAATGACTTTTGGGATAGAAAAAGGTCTATCAAATAAACAGGAAATGAAAAAGAGCAGGAGTGGCTATTCTTGTATGAGATAAAACAGGATTTAAACTCACAACAGAAAAAAAGACAAAAAAAGGGTATTACATAATGATAAAGCGTTCATTTAAACAAAAAAGACATATTTGCCCTAAATATATACGCACTCAACACTGGAGCACTCAGATTCATAAAACAGGTACTTCTACACCTATGGAAAGACTTAAACATCCAATAATAATGGAGAACCTCAATACCCTAACTAAGAGTGTTAGATCATCAAGGCAGAAAACTAACAAAGAAATTCTGGACTAAATTCAATTCTTGACCAACCGGACCTAAAAGACATCTACAAGATACTACCCAACAACCACAGAATATACATTCTTCTCATGTGCATATGGAATATAGTCTAAGATCAACCACATTCTTGGCCATAAAACAAGTCTCAATAAATTTTAAAAAACTGAAATCACACTAGACATATTCTCAGACCACAGTGGAATAAAAATATATATCAACGCCAAGAGGATTTCTCAAAACCACACAACTACATGAAAAGTAAGCTCCTGAATGACTTTTGGGTAACCAACAAAATTAATGAAATAAAAAAATTCTTTGAAATAAATGAAAAGAGAGACACAACATAGCAAAATCTCTGGGATGCAGCAAAAGCAGTGTTAAGAGGAAAGTTTATAGCACTACATACCTATATTGAGAAGTTAGAAAAATCTCAAATTAACAATCTAATATCACACTTAGAGGAACTAGAAAAACAAGAACAAACTAATCCCAAAGCTGGCAGAAGAAAATAAATTACTAAAATCAGAAGAGAACTAATTGACATTGAGATGCCAAAATTCATTAAAAAGGATCAACAAAACAAAAAATTGGTTCTTTGAAAGGAGAAACAAATAACGCCAATAGACTACTAGCTAGATTAAAAAAGAAAAAAAGAGAGACAATTCAAATGAGCACAATGCCAACGACAATGGTGACATTACAACCAATCCCATAGAAATACAAAAGATCCTCAGAGACAACTATGAATACATCTATCTAAACAAACTAAAAAATCTAGAGGAAATGGGTAAATTCATAGTCTCCCAAGATTTAATCAGGAAGAAACTGAAACACTGAACAGGCCAATAATGAATTCTGAAATAGAGCCAGTAACAAAAAATGTACCAACCAAAAAAAGCCCTGTAGCAGACAAACTCAGAGCCAAATTCTACCAGGTGTATAAAGAAGAGCTGGTACCAATCTTACTGAAACTATTCCAAAAAATCAAGGAGAGGAGACTCCTCCCTAATTCATTCTACAAAACCAGCATCATTCTGATACCAAAATCTGGCAAAGACACAAGAAACAAAGAAAACTCCAGGCCAATACCCTTGATGAACTTAGACACAAAAATCCTTAACAAAAAAAAAAAAAAAATGAGCAAATCAAATCCAGCAGCACATCAATAAGCTAATTCATCCTATCAATTAAGATTTATTCCTGGGATGCAAGGTTGGTTCAACATACATGAATCAATAAATGTGACTCATCACATCAACAGAATTAAAAACAAAGACCATATGATCATCTCAATAGATGCAAAGAAAGCTTTTGATAAAATCCAATATCCCTTCATAATAAAAACTCTCAGTTTTTTAAAAATCTTCAAATGTCTAACAAAACTAAGCATTAAAGAAGCATACCTCAAAATAATGAGCAATTTATGAAAAACCTGTAGCCAACATCATACTAAAAGAGCAAAAACTGGAAGCATTTCCCTTGAGGAACTAGAACAAGACAAGGATCCTCACTCTCACCACTCCTATTCAGTATAGTACTGGAAGTCCTAGCTAGTGCAATCAGGTGAGAGAACAAAACAAAACGGATCTAAATAGGAAAAGAATATGTAAAATTGTCCATCTCCACTGAAGATAGAACTCGATACAAAGAAAACTCTAAAGACTCTCTTGAAAGACTCCTAAACATAATAAATGACTTCAGTAAAGTTTTAGGATACAAAATCAATGTAAAAATCTAGTAGCATTTCTGTACAGCAGTAACATTCAAGCTGATAGCCAAATCAAAAATACAATCCCATTTACAATAGCCAAAAATAAAATAAAATACCTAGGAATACATTTAACCAATGGTGTAAAATAGAGAACTACAAGGAGAACTACCAAACACTGCTGAAAGAAATCATAGATGACACAATCAAATGAAAAAATGAAAAAATATTCCTTGCACATAGATTGGAAGAATCAATATTGTTTAAATGGCCATACTGCCCAAAGCAATATACAGATTCAACATTATGCCTATCAAACCACCAACACCATTTTTTGCAGAATTAGAAAAAACTAATCTAAAATTTATATAAAACCAAAAAAGAGCCCAAATAGCCAAAGCATCCTAAACAAAAAGAACAAAGTTGGCATCACATTACCCAACTTCAGACATCACATTACCTAATTTCAAACTATACTATAAGGCTACAGTAATCAAAACAGCATGGTACTGACATAAAAACAGACGTATAGACCCATGGAATAGAATAGAGAACTCAGAAATAAAGCTGCACTCCTACAACCAACTGACTTTCAACAAAGCCAACAATAATAAGCAATAAGGAAAGGACTCCCTGTTTAATAAATGGTGTTGTGGTAGCTGGCTATCCATATGCAAAAGAAAGAAACTAGACCTCCTACCTATCACCATATACAAAACTTAACTCGTGATGGATTGAATATTTAAATGTAAGACCTCAAACTATAAGAATACTAGAACACCACCTAGGAAATAACCTTCTAGACATTGGTCTTGGCAAAGAATTTAGAACTAAGTCCACAAAAGCAATTTTAACAACAACGACAAAAAAATTAAGCCAGGCACAGTGGCTCACACCTGTAATCCCAGCACTTTGGGAGGCCAAGATGGGTGGATTGCTTGAGTCTGGAAGTTTGAGACCAGCCTGGGCAACATAGTGAGACCCCCATCTCTACAAAAAGCATAGAAATTAGCCAGGCATCGTGGCACATAGTCCCAACTACTCAGAAGGCCAAGATGGAAGGATTACTGGAGCCTAGGAAGGTCTATGCTGCAGTGAGCCATGATCACGCCACTGTACTTCAGCCTGAGGGACAGAATGGGAACCTGTCTCAAAAAAAAAAATTGACAAGTGGGACCTAATTAAACTGAAGAGCTTCTGCACAGCAAGAGAAACTATCAACAGGTAAAGAGACAACTGACATAATGGGATAAAATATTAATAGCAAACTATGCACCCAACAAAGGTCTAATATCCAGAATCTATAAGGAACTTAACCAAACAAGTAAAAAACAATTCCATTAAAAGGTGGACAAGATACTTCAAAAAGAAGATATACAAGTGGCCAAGAAACAAACGAAAAAAATGCTTCACATCATGCATCATCAGAGAAATGCAAATCAAAACCACAAAGCAATACCATCTCACACCAGTGAGAGTGGTAATTATAAAAAAGTTAAAAAATAACAGATGTTGGTGAGTACACAGAGAAAAAGGAACTCTTTATGCTGTTGGTAGGAATGTAAATGAGTTCAGTCACTGTGGAAAGCAGTTTGGAGATTTCTCAAAGAAGCAAAAATAGAACTACTGCTCAACCTAGCAATCCCATTGCTTGGTATATATCCAAAGGAAAAGAAATTGTTCTACCAAAAAGACACCTGCACTTGTATGTTTATTGCACCAGGATTCACAATAGCAAAGATATGGAATCAAACTAGGTGCCCATCAACAGTGGAATGGATAAAGAAACTGTGGTACATATACACCAGGGAATACTATGCAGCCACAAAAAGAGAGAAATTATGTCCTTTGAAGCAACATGGATGTAGGTGGAGGCCATCATCCTAAGTTAATTGATGCAGAAATAGAAAGCCAAACACTGCATATTTTCCCGTATAAGTGGGAGCTAAACATTGGGTACATACAGACATAAACATGGGAACAATAGACACTAGGGACTATAAGATGGGAGTGAGGATGGGGACAAGGGTTGAAAATCAACCTATTGGGTACTCTGCTCACTATTTGGGTGACAGATTCTACCTCAATAGTTCTATCCCAAACCCTCACGTCATGCAATATACTCTTGTAACAAGCCTGCACATGTGCCCTCTGAATCTAAAATAAAATTTGAAATTCAAAGAATAAGATAGAAAAATATCTAAACACTGTTTTCATTGTCTCGCATGTCATGCAGATCTTTGCCTAAAAAAGCTGGAAAGCCATCTCAACTTTCTTTGATTTGGCTAAGGAAGTGTTATTTGAAGGATTATTATGAAACAAGTATTGATACCTCATTTAAAAAGACTCTCTGTATACATACACATATGCCCATACATATGTATACATATGACAATGTAATCATGTTTTATGTTATTACAAAGGGTTAAAAACTCTTCTTTATCCTGTATACTTTAAAGTAATATATGTTTATGTTAGGTTATAAATAAAGATTTTGACATGTCAGAATCAAATTGGTAGGGGCAAAGTAGCCAATATCCAAAATGGCATACTGTACTTTAGGCTAATATATTTGCTTTTGTGGTTTGATAATTATGTACTATAAATTAGATAAAATGTGATAAATGAAAAAAGTAATATTGACTCATTAGAATTGTGCTTTGAGCATTTTAAATAGCAGTTGGTTATTTATTTGCTCACTTCACAACTTGATTTTGAAAATAGGAACTGTAATTATAAACAGATTTGTCTGATTATTTTGTGGAGAATAGACCAGAGTAGGGTAATAGCTGCAGATAAAAATGAGTTAGGAGGTAATGGTAGGTATCTAACTGAGAAATAACAGTTGTTTGAATGAAGCAATTTAGTGGAGATGGTGAGTGGTGATGCCCTTATTAGAGAAAGGAAGGTAGACACAAGAGCAGATTTGGTGGGGTATAAAGTCAAATAAATAAGTCCAGGGCAAGAAAGAGCAATCAGGGCTAGAGATGTAAATCTAGGACTTAACAGCACATTCATGGTATTTAAAACTATGGGATCAGATACAATTACCTAGAAAAGTCAGAGAAAATGCATCCTGGGGGCTCTCCAACACCCAGACTTTAAGTGTGAGCGACTGGCCAGAGAAGGAGAGATCAGAGAGTCAGGAGGAAACCCAGGAGAGTGTGGTATCTTGGAAGCAGAAGAGGAAAGTTTAAAAAAGTAGAGTGGCTGAGCATGCTAAATGCTGCTGAGAGAGAGTAAGGTGAGGAAAAGAATTCTGTAATGGAAGAGCAAGATACAAGTCTGTGGAAATGATAAAAAACTGTTTCATGAAGTAATGCAGATACAACTCCAGTTGGAGTGGGTTAATGAGAGAATAGGAGAAAAGTGGAGTCAATGCCTATAAACAATTCTTTTGAGTTTTAGCGTGATGAAAGGGTTAATTGATCATTTTTTTTAAATAAATTTCAGGCGGCTGTATTAAGGCATATTTACATGTAGGCAAGAGAGAGAGGGGATAATTGCAAGAGCAAAGTCTTTGAAGAGGCAATGCTGATAGAGGTACTATGAGCCTTGGAAAGGATGAGGTCAACCCTTCCCTGTAACAGAAGAGGAAGTGAAACGAGCCACTGGCTTTGGTGGGCCTCAGCTTCTTTGGAACACAAGGCTGTTGAAGAATGTGTCCTATGGGTTAACACCAATAACACTCCAGTTCTCCCAAGCTTACCCCCATTGTTAGCACAGTTAAGCTTTCTTTAATATCAGGCTCTTAAAAAGAAGTGTAAATGTGGAGTGAATGAACCAAAAAGAAAAGACAAAAATGCCATCATCCACCCAATTGAAATCCAAGGCCTGTTTATCCACTCACCCCTGAATACTGAGTGCACCCCAGATCTTAGGATCTGGGAGTGTTTCCCTCTGCTGAGATGCACTTTTAGTGGATGCAAAACCAACAGTTCCTCCTGGGCCATGACTCAGCAGAGTTATCCCAGTAATACCTTGTCTGGGAGAATGGAAATGGCATAGTACAATATCCTATATTGAACCTTTCCTCTTTCTTTTACTTCTGTCCATTCAAGCAGAAGCAGCACTCAGTGGTACTTCTCTCCTTGGGCTACTTTATATCAGAAGTGGAGTGTTTTTCCTCATTAGCTTATTTATCTCATAAACCTTGTGAGAAAGATGAGGGCTTTATTTTAGGCCTAATTACTTTATTCCAAGTGAGAAGACAAGGTATATGAATAAAAACATAACTCAGATCATACTGAGCAAAAAACATTATTTTGACCCATGATACATTTTGAGGCAGAATGATTCAGACTTCTGATGGCACAAAAAAGACTTGACCTCTACTTTGTTTTAAGGTAGGAAAAAACCATCTGCTGATACATTTTTTACCTTTTTATTTCAACCCCTGAGATTAAAAAATTACAAATGGAAATTTACAAAATAGCCTCTACAAAAGTTTCTATTACCTACCTTTCTACCTTATATGATCATATATGATTAAGTAACAAAATCTATATGAAGGAATTTTGAAACTGTAAAATGCTATCTAAGTGTGAGAACAAACAGCAGCATCTAAGTAGGTAAAATTAAAGTACATGAGAGTCAATAAATGGGTTTTGAGAAAAGAGGCAGGAAAGTACATGTATGATCATATTTTCTTATACATTTATTTAATCGACAAACAATAATTGTGTATATTTATGGGTTGCAATGTGATGTTTTGCTCTATGTATATATACATTGTAGAAAGATTAAGTTAAGCTAATTAACATATCCATCACCTTGCTATGGTGATCACCGTTAATAATAATGTATTGCATATTTTAAAATTGCTAATAGAATGGACTTTTAACATTCTCACCACATATATAATAATCTTTTATTTGAAGATTGGGGATCCAAGTAATGTTGGAAGTCACCGAGTAAAAGTACTTATTTATATACCTCAGGGGCAATGAGATTGCACAAAGGAAGAGAAATTCTTGAAGCCAGTGCTGCTGAAATTTTTGTTTGCACATGAATCACCTGAGAATCTTCTGAAGGTGCAGATTCTGATTCAATAAGTCTGGGATGGGACTTGAGATGCTGAATTTCCAACTCCCAGGTCCTACTCATGCTGCTGGTCTACAGACCACACTTTGAGTAGCAAGAATCAACTCTATGGGGCTGACTAAGGAGAGAGCCGGCTGTCGGAAAAAGAAGACTGAATAATACACACATAGTGTCATGAAAGCTGGAGAGTGAAGGTGTTTATTGGAGAGAGAGATTTGAACAAGACTCATGTGTCAAAGTCACAAACTGAGCTGAAAGGAAGGAAAGAAGACAAGATGTGTCAGGTGAGCTGGGGTGATAAAGCATCAGTAGCTGCATGATGTTTTTCCTGGGAAATTCATTTACAACTCCAAAAAGAGGGAACCCTTTCAGGAAGGAGAAACAGACAGTTGAAAGAAGAATCCAAAAAAAGCTTCAGTCAGCAATTATTCTTTACCAAACAAATATTTCGCTATTCCTAGATTTTAAAAGAATCACATATTTCTCAATGGATAGACTGTCATGAAAGATTCTTAGCACTTAATACTCAGACTATGACTTACCAAAGTCCTCTTCCTCAGAGGGAGTATCTGCTGGTTTTTCTAGGAAAAAGCACAAAAGGCAAAAAAAATATTTGTAGGGGCTGATGACTCTGAGGTTCTATACACATCTCTCCTTATCCTAAAAAATCTTAGTCTTTAGACTAACACACAAAATAACATAAGGCAGTTGGACTGGTTGAAGTAATTCTTTATACACAAAGCTGCCAATAATGAGCATTTATTCTTAAGAAGTTACCAAAAAAATAATTCATGAAGGTGCTGGAGGTAAGAGGTTTGGGGATGATGAAATAAAGCTGTTAATTCTTCCATTTGCATCTATGACTTGTATAATGTAGGTGATATGTAGAGACTTGAAAAATTCATTACTAAGAAATGAGGCATTTTGTTTACTTTCATTTTCTGTTCCTGCTTTAAACTTCAGAAGACACATTAGTCATGAAAAACTTAATATGCATTAAATACCTTTTATTACATGCAGAATAGCCAGTGTAGCCTAGGGAAAAGAGATATATTTTGAATTCAGCAGTCCCACCTTAATCACACTACGTGTGGCCTTTAGCTTTAACAGAAACTCCCATGTGATAACTATGAATGACTCTATTCAATTTGGAAGGTACAAATTATGGTAATTTTGGGGAATGGGGAGGTGGCACGTGCCATAATGAACAATAACAGCATCCTAATGCTTCAAGTGTCACATATGTTAAACAAAAACACTAATGCTTTCTATGAACACCCCATTCTCTGGTGCTTTATCAGACTTGCCAACTCATTAATTAGAGCTATTGAAAAGAATTCCGTCTATAGACCTCATGGGCAGAGATTACAATGCTTGGTTTCCCCATTGATTTTTCATCAATCGGACTAACAGTAGCAAATCATTGAGAGTCAGAGTTGGGGTAAAGATTCCAGGGAAAGCGAACATTTGTAAATTGTGTTCCTTTGGGAAAAATAATAATAACGATAATTAAAATAGTAACCAACTTTTGAACACTTACTATGCACCAGGTGCCATGTTTCATTTATGTTATCTCATTTAATATTCACAACAAGCCTTGCAGTAGTTACAATAATCGGTTCACTTCTAAAAATGAGAATCCAAGGTTCCCAGAGGCAACGTGAACTTTTGGGTCTAATCTTTGTTTAAAGTCACACTGCTAGTAAGTGGGGAACCTGGAATTCAAACTTAGGTCTGTGTGCTCCAGAGTCCATTTGTAATCAATATAACTACTAGCCTCCAGTAATGTCAAATGTATGAGAAAAATAAAGATTACTCATAACATTTTCAGGATATTCCCCACCACCACACACACACCTTTAAAACTAGCAATGCTGACCCACATTCATTAGGATGGTAAGCATTATTAGGGACATACAGGTTTCACACTTACCATTTAAAAAGCTAAATGAAGTGCCCAAAATATAAAATGGCCATCCCTTGCTGATTTTCTTAAAATAGTATGTACGTGCAAGGATTGGCACCTGAGAGGTAGAATAAAATGAATAAAATGTCAAGATACAATACGGACTACCTTTTTCCTGTTCCTGGGCCCTAAATGACTGAGTTTGCCTTTAATGTTCCGAATACATTTTTAAAAAACAACAAAATTCGAGGTTCATGGTTATCTTAAAAGGTTACATGTCATAGCTTTTTGTATCATGCACTTCTAATCACATTTTAGCTTATATAATAACAGTGGTCAGCCTCTGCCTCCAGCCCTCTACTCCAATTTTCTCCAGCTCCCTCAGCTATATAAACTAGTAAATTTCACCTGCAGACCCAGTCCCATTTGGAATCAGTGCCGGGTATAGCAGGAAGCATGTCAGTAATCTCAGACCCTGCCAATGAGAGGAGAAGGGAACTGGTAGTTACTATAATGTAGGTGTTTCACAGATGAAGTTAAATCCTCTTAACAACCATACACTGTATCATATACCCCATTTTACACTTGAGAATACTGAAACTAGGCTGGTGAAAATATTTGACCAACGTTGTACCTTGTCATTGGTTAAGGAACAAACAAAGCAAACAAAGAAAGCAGGATCTAGGTGGTCTCCATCTCCCAGGCTAAATTCCATACAGTATAGTTTTGACTCCTCTTTCTCAATTTTGCATAATGAATCAAAAAAAGCAAAGTTCATATTTTGGCATGATCAGTTTACAAGATGGTTGAGCCTGCTTTCTGTAACAGCTTATGTCTTTTTCAAAACTTGTTTAGGAGAACATTCGTATCTTATGTAGGCTGCCTTCTGGTGTCTGCGTAAGATACCAAAGCCATACTATTTTGACCTTGACAACAACTGGGAAGACTGGAATCTAGTGTGAGAGAAGTTCTTGGACATTCACCCTGCCTGCTTATATCTAGTATAGTAAATTTAGAATGAAGTTTCAGACTAGGAGCCAAAAGAGTCATACTTTCCAGTTTTATTGCTGGGCCTTTTACCACACTTCATTCCCTTTTGTCTTTCTTGCTTGGAAGGTCTGTTCAGGGGGATGAGAACTGGTAGGAGATGGAGGTGGAGGAGGGGGTAGCAATGAGTGGAACGCATTGATGTGAGTCCTGCTCCTATTGTGTCATCCTGAGACCTTATTAAAAAGAAGCAAGACCCTAGACCCATAATCAAGCACAGCATCACTAATGATGGGTCAACCGGATGTTGTTTCTCCTGATGTAAGGCAATAGAGTTTATACGGCATACCTAGCTAGTATGTATTCTGGCTGAAAATACCCAACAGGAGCCACCACCAATGATTTATATTTAATCTAACCTACACATAAGAAATAAAGAAGATAAATAAACTAAATGAAATCACTGGAAAGGAACTAAACAAATCCAGAAAGTGAGATATTCTCGAGGGCAATAGGTCAGTGTCAGAGGAAAAGGGGAGTGTGCTAATCAGAAGAGACTTCAGGGACATAGCTACCAGATGCAAGGTCTGGCCCTGGATTAGACCCTGATTTGGACAGAATGTGGTAAATACAGTGTTGGGGGACAATTGGGGCAATCTGAATTAGAATGAATATTAGCTAAATTTAACATTTGTTGTAATGGAAAGATGGAAAATCTTAACAGAAAAAAAGCAGGTAGCAAAAAGCATGTAAAAGCAAAATCTCATTATTGTAAAAAAATTGTATATCTGGAAGGAAATATAAGAACGGTTTTATCAGTGGTGATTAAAATATGTTGCTTTATTTAGTTAAATTTTACTTTGATGTTTTCTTTGACTTTCTGTAATGCATGTAAAACTGCTTTTATAAGCAATCTACAGATCTTTTTACAAAAAAATACCTGCACTCATATGTTTATTGCAGAACTGTTCGAAATACCAAAGTTATTGAATCAACCTAAGTGTTCACCAACAGTAGGTTAGATAAAGAAAATGTGGTACATACACAACCATGGAATACTAAGCCGCTGTTAAAAAGAATGAAATCATGTCCATAGCAGCAACGTGGGTGAAGCTGGAGGCCATTATCCAAAGTGAATCAGCACAGAAACCGAAAATCAAGCACCACATTTTCTCACTTACAAGTGGGAGCTAAACCAAGGGAATATGTAGACATAAAGATGAAAACAATAGACATTCATGACTCTAAGAAAGGAGAGGAAAGGATGGGGATACAAGGGTTGACAAACAACATATTAGGTACTATGTTCACTATATTTGGGTGATGGGTTCCATAAAAGTCCAAACCCCAGCATTATGCAATATACTCACATAACAAACCTGCACATGTATCCCTGAATCTGTAATTGTATAAAACCTGCTCTTACAGTAATAAAAATTATTTTAATTAAAAATAGTTACTTTGAAATGGAAGTGCATGGGTCCTTCTCACAGAGCCTATTTTTTAGTACTCAGAATACATAACTAGTAGGTAGAATCTTCAGGAATCAAACCCAAAGGTTACGCATTTTTAAGTACGACCTTTACTTCTATTCACTCTTTGGGCTTCAGGTGCCAGGGATGAGTCCCTGCACTCATTTAACATTTGAGTTGCTCTAGCATTCTTGTCACTGTCAGCAGCTTTCCCTCACCCCCTGTGTTGGGCTCATCAATGTGAAAGTCTGGGCTTCTGCCTTAGTTGCTTTGCCCAGGGCTCCATTCCCCTTTCCTGAGCCCACCTGCTTGGCTTTGGCCTGAGGTCCTACCTTGCTTCTGCCAACCCTGAAGACTGAATCCCACTCTTAGAGCTCCAAATCTCTGACTTGACTATGTCTGTGAGTAGAGAGAAGGCTCAGTGCCATGATGCTGCCATTTATCTGAATTTCCAGCATCTTCTCATGGCAAGGACTGCCACTGCTGTGCCCTGCTTGCCAAATTGGATTCTTTTTGATTGCTGTTGTCTGTCCAAACTATGCCTGATCTTGGCATGCCTATTATACTGCAATAGACAAGGCAACTGCTCTTGTAAGGTGAGCCTCTGAAGCTGGCTTCATTTCCTACTCTGTCCTGGCTTCCACCCTCATTCTACTCACTGGCTTTTGCTATAGAGCCCTGAAGTCCGGAAGCCCAAGACAGAGCTGATGCCAAGTCTGCATCATTTGAGAAAGAGGCTGGTTATAAACTCACTACTTAGGGCAAGAAATGGAACCAGGGTAAGAGGACAACCATGTCCAGAGGCTTATTATTTCCTTCCTTTAATTTATTCACTCATTTAACAAACATTTACTGAACTCTAACTGGATATCAAATTCTATGCTGGGCACTGGAACTACATAGGTGAACAAGAGAATCTCTGTCCTCATGGAGTTTTTTATAATGCATCAGGATGATAGATCTTAAGCAAATCAGCATACCAATCATTATTTGCTTGCAAATGTGACATGATAGATGCTGTGAAGAATAAATACAAGGTGTGAAGACAGCATTTAATCTGGAATTTAAAGGATGAGTAAGAGTTTGTATGATGGTTGGCAGCCTCAGCAAAAGGCAAGCATGGCCAGAGATCCTATGATGGGAAGGAGCTTGGCATCTATGAGGAACTGAAACAAGGCCAACATGTAGCTGGAGGACACTGGGCGAGGGGCTGGGTGGTGTGAGCTGGGGCTAGAGAAGTGGGATGGGAAGGAGAATGAACACATTTGACTGTCATATAGAAGGCCCCAGCTGCTCCCCATCTAGATGCCCTTGTAAACATATATACTGCAGCACGGAGGTTTGAGATGGACCTGAGGCTGCTGAGTATCACCTGTAACCTTCTGTGTTCTCAAAAAAAATTTGCTGCTGAGTCCAAAAAGTAACAGTATTCTGGGCATCATGGTTGGGCACTGGAAACAAAACAAAACTCATTATCCTGTGCATCAGTATCCTGTTTTGCAATTCTAGCAGACAAAATTTCAAGAAAAATGTAGTGGAGTTAGAGACGGCCCAGAGAAAGGCAACAGAGAAAGGGCTAAAAAATGTGATCCACACATGAAGCACCTCACCAAGAGTGAAGAAAGTTGATAGTTAAGATGACCAAAGTCTACAAAATCATAAAGCTATAGAATGGTTACAGGGGAGAGAAAGTTGAACACAACATTTTGATAGTTAGAAATAGTATGTGTGTGTTTTGAAATGTATAAGATTTGAAAACTCATAGCCTGAAAAAAACACATTTTGGACAAATGAGATAATGTTCTGTTTTCTGTATAGTCACAGGGGAGTCCAAGAGGCCTGGCCCAGTACTGCCTCTCACTCACTATGGCTTTGGGGTAAAGAAGGATCCTGAGTTTGTCTCCTTCTCTGTAAAATGGGATGGAGCTTTTTCACGGGGTTTTTTAAGAAACAGATGACATTTGAAATGTTCACTACAAGAGGTGGCTGGCAAGATGGCCAAATAGAAACAGCTCTGGTCTGTGGCTTCCAGCAAGATCAACGCAGAAGGCAGGTGATTTCTGCATTTTGAACTGAGGTACCCTGCTCATCTCATAGGGACTGGTTAGACAATGGGTGTAGCCCACAGAGGATGAGCTGAAGTAGGGTGAGGCATCACCTCACCTGTGAAGCACAAGGGGTTAGGGAACTCCCTCCCCTAGCTGAGAGAAGCCATGAGGGACTGTCCCAAGAGGAACGGTGCATTCTGGCCCAGATACTACACTTTTCCCATGGTCTTCACAACCCACAGATTAGGAGGTTCCCTCAGGTGCCTACACCACCACACCACCAGGGCCCTGGGTTCCAAGCAGAAAACTAGGCGCTGTTTGGGCAGACACTCAGCTCAGCTGCAGGAGTTTTTTTCATACCCCAGTGGTGCCTGGAATGCCAGTGAGACAGAACCATTTACTCCCCTGGAAAGGGTGCTGAAGCCAGGGAGCCAAGTGGTCTAGCTCAGTGGATCCCACACACATTAAGACCAGCAAGCTAAGATCCACTAGCTCGAAATTCTCGCTGACAGCACAGCAGTCTGAAGTCAACCTGGGACACTTGAGGTTGATGGGGGGAGGGACGTCCACCATTACTGAGGGCTCAGAAGAAGGTTTTCCCCTCACAGTGTAAACAAAGCTGTTGAGAAGTTCGAACTGGGTGGAGCCCACCACAGCACTGCAAAGACACTGTAGCCAGACTGCCTCTCTAGATTCCAACTCTCTGGGCAGGGCATCTCTGAAAGAAAGGCAGCAGCCCCAGTCAGGGGCTTATAGATAAAATGCCCATCTCCCTGGGACAGAGCACCTGGGAGAAGAGGCAGCTGCGGGCGCAGCTTCAGCAGACTTAAATGTTCCTGCCTGCTGGCTCTGAAGAGAGCAGCAAATCTCCCAGCACAGGGCTCGATCTCTGCTAAGGGACAGACTGCCTCCTCAAGTGGGCCCCTGACCCCTGTGCCTCCTGACTGGGAGATACCTCCCAGCAGGGGTCGACAGACACCTAATAGAAGAGAGCTCTGGCTGGCATCTGGCTGGTGCCCCTCTGGGACGAAGCTTCCAGAGGAAGAAACAGGCAGCAATCTTTGCTATTCTGCAGCCTCCTCTGGTGATACCCAGGAAAACAGGGTCTGGAGTGGACCTCCAGCAAACTCCAGCAGACCTGCAGCAGAGGAGCTTCACTGTTAGAAGGAAAACTAACAAACAGAAAAGAATAGCATTAACATCAACAAAAAGGATGCCCACACAAAAACCCATCTGAAGGTCGCCAACATCAAAGACCAAAGATACATAAATCCACAAAGATGAGGAAAAACCAGCACAAAACGGCTGAAAATTACAAATACCACAATGCCTCTTCTCCTCCACAGGATCACAACTCCTCACCAGCAAGGGAACAAAACTGGACAGAGAATGAGTTTGACAAATTGACAGAAGTAGGCTTCAGAAGGTGGGTAATAACAAACTCCTCCGAGCTAAAGCAGCATGTTCTAACCCAATGCAAGGGAACTAAGAACCTTGCAAAAAAGTTAGAGGAATTGCTAACTAGAATAACCGCTTTAGGGAAGAATATAAATGACATGATGGAGCTGCAAAACACAGCACAAGAACTTTGTGAAGCATACACAAGTATCAATAGCTGAACTGATCAAGCAGAAGAAAGGATATCAGAGACTGAAGATCAACTTAATGTAATGAAGCATGAAGACAAGATTAGAGACAAAAGAATGAAGAGGAATGAACAAAGCCTCCAAGAAATATGGGACTATGTGAAAAGACCAACCTACGTTTGATTGGTGTATCTGAAAGTGACCAGGAGAATGGAACCACGTTGGAAAACACTTTTCAGGCTATTATCCAGGAGAAGTCCCCAACCTAGCAAGAAAGGCCAACATGCAAATTCAGGAAATACAGAGAACACCACAAAGATACTCCTCGAGGAGAGCAACCCAAAGACACATAATCATCAGATTCAACAAGGTTAAAATGAAGGAAAAAATGTTAGGGGCAGCCAGAGCAAAAGGTCAGGTTACCCACAAAGGTAAGCCCATCAGACTAACAGTGGATCTCTCTGCAGAAACCCTACAGCCAGAAGAGAGTGGGAGCAAATATTCAACATTCTTAAAGAAAAGAATTTTCAACCCAGAATTTAATATCCAGCCAAACTTAGCTTCATAAGAAAAGGAGAAATAAAACCCTTTACAGACAAGCAAATGCTGAGAAGTTTTGTCACCACCAGGACTGCCTTACAAGAGTTCCTGAAGGAAGCACTAAATATGGAAAGGAAAAACCAGTACCAGCTACTGCAAAAACATACCAATTGTAAAGACCATTGACATTATGAAGACACTACATCAACTAATGGGCAAAATAACTAGCTAGCATCAAAATGACAGGATCAAATTCACACATAACAATATTAACCTTCAATGTAAATGAGTTAAATGCCCCAATTTAAAGACACAGACTGGCAAATTGGATAAAGAGTCAAGACCCATTAGTGTGCTATATTCAGGAGACCCATCTCACGTGCAAAGGCACACACAGGCTCAAAATAAAGGAATGGAGGAAGATTTATGAAGCAAATGGAAAGCAAAAAGAAGCAAGGGTTGCAATCCTACTCTCTGATAAAACAGACTTTCAACAAACAGAGAATAGAAGAGACAAAGAAGGGCATTACATACTGGTAAAGGGATCAATGCAACAAGAAGAGCTCACTATCCTAAATATATATGCACCCAATACAGGAGCACCCAGATTCATAAGATTCATAAAGCAAGTTCTTAGAGACCTACAAAGAGACTTAGACCCCCACACAATAATCTTGGGAGACTCTAACACCCCACTGTCAATATTAAACAGATCAATGAGACAGAAAATTAACAATGATATTCAGGACTTGAACTCAGCTCTGGACCAAGTGGACCTAAAATACATCTGTAGAACTCTCCACCCCAAATCAACAGAATATACATTCTTCACAGCACTACGTTGCACTTATTCTAAAATTGACCACATAATTGGAAGTAAATCACTCCTCAGCAAATGCAAAAGAATGGAAATCATAACAAACCATCTCTCAGACCACAGTGCAATCAAAATAGAACTCAGGATTAAGAAACTCACTCAAAACCATACAACTACATGAAAACTGAACAACCTGCTCCTGAATGACTACTGGGTAAACAGCAAAATTAAGGCAGAAATAATGAAGTTCTTTGAAACCAATGAGAACAAAGAGAAAATGTACCCAAATCTGTGGGACACAGCTAAAGCAGTGTTTAGAGGGAAATTCATAGCACCAAGTGCCCACAGGAGAAAGAAGGAAAGATCTAAAATCAGCACCCTAACATCACAATTAAACGAACTAGAGAAGCAAGAGCAAACAAATTCAAAAGCTAGCAGAAGACAAGAAATAACTAAGATCAGAGCAGAACTGAAGGCGATAGAGATAAAAAAAAAAAAAACCCTTTAAAAAATCAATGAATCCAGGAGCTGGTTTTTGAAAAGATCAACAAAATAGATAGACCGCTAGCAAGACTAATAAAGAAAAAAAGAAAGAAGAATTAAATAGATGCAATAAAAAATGATAGAGGGGATATCACCACCGATTCCACAGAAATACAAACTATTGTTAGAGAATACTGTAAACACCTCTACACAAATAAACTAGAAAATCCAGAAGAAATGGATAAATTCCTGGACACATACAACCTCCCAAGACTAAACCAAGAAGAAGTTAAGTCCCTTAATAGACCAATAACAAGTTCGGAAGTTGAGGCAATAATTAATAGCCTACCAACCAAAAAAAGCCCAAGACCAGATAGATTCACAGCCAAATTCTACCAGAGGTACAAAGAAGAGCTGGTACCATTCCTTCTGAAATTCTTCCAAACTATGGAAATAGAGGGAATCCTCTGTAACTCATTTTATGAGACCAGCATCATCCTAATACCAAAACCTGGCAGTGACACAACAGAAAAAGAAAATTTCAGGCCAGTATCCTGATGAACATCGATGTGAAAATCCTCAATAAAATACTGGCAAACCAAATCCGGCAGCACATCAAAAAGCTTATCCACAACAATCAAGTCGGCTTTATCCCTGGGATGTAAGGCTGGTTCAACATATGCAAATCAATAAACATAAACCATCACATAAATGGAACCAATGACAAAAAGCACACGATTATCTTAATAGATGCAGAAAAGGCCTTCAACAAAATTCAACAGCCCTTCATGCTAAAAACTCTCAATAAACTAGGTATTGATGGAACGTATCTCAAAATAAGAGCTATTTACGACAAACCCACAGGCAATATCATACTGAATGGGCAAAAGCTGGAAGCATTCCCTTTGAAAACCAGCACAAGACAAGGATGCCCTCTCTTACCACTCCTATTCAACATAGTATTAGAAGTTCTGGCCAGGGCAATCAGGCAAGAGAAAGAAATAAAGGGTATTCAAATAGGAAGAGAAGAAGTCAAATTGTCTCTGCTTGTAGATGACATGATTGTATATTTAGAAAACCCTATCGCCTCAGCCCAAAATCTCCTTAAGCTGATAAGCAACTTCAGGAAAGTCTCAGGATACAAAATCAATGTGCAAAAATAACAAGCATGCCTATACACCAATAACAGACAAACAGAGAGCCCAATCGTGAGTGAACTCCAATTCACAATTGCTGCTAAGAGAATAAAATACCTAGGAATCCAACTTACAAAGGATGTGAAGGACCTCTTCAAAGAGAACTACAAACCACTGCTCAAGGAAACAAGAGAGGACACAAACAAATGGAAGAACATTCCATGCTCATGGATAGGAAGAATCAATATCATGAAAATGGCCATACTGCCCAAAGTAATTTATAGATTCAATGCCATCCCCATCAAGCTACCATTGACTTTCTTCACAGAATTAGAAAAAAACTAACTCAAATTTCATATGGAACCAAAAAAGAGCCCATATAGCCAAGACAATCCTAAACAAAAAGAACAAAGCTGGAGGCATCACGCTACCTGACTTCAAACTATACTACAAGGCTACAGTAACCAAAACAGCATGGTACTGGTACCAGAACAGATATATGGACCAATGGAACAGAACAGAGGTCTCAGAAATAATGCCACACATCTACAACCATCTGATCTTTGACAAACCTGACAAAAACAAGCAATGGGGAAAGGATTCCCTATTTAATAAATGATGTTGAGAAAACTGGCTAGCCATATGCAGAAAAGTGAAATTTGACCCCTTCTTTATACCTTATACGAAAATTAACTCAAGATGGATTAAAGTCTTAAATGTAATACCTAAGACCATAAAAATCCTAGAAGAAAACCTAGGCAATACCATTCAGGACATAGGCATGGGCAAAGGCTTCATGACTAAAACACCAAAAGCAATGCCAACAAAAGCCAAAATTGACAAATGAGATCTAATCAAACTAAAGAGTTTCTGCACAGCAAAAGAAACTATCATCAGCGTGAACACACAACCTACAGAATGGGAGAAAATTTTTGCAATCTATCCATCTGACAAAGGGCTAATATCCAGAATCTACAAGAAACTTACACAAATTTAGAAGAAAAACAACAAATAACCCCATCAAAAAGTGGGTGAAGGATATGAACAGACACTTCTCAGAAAAAGACATTTATGTGGCCTACAAACATATGAAAAAAAGCTCATTGTCGCTGGTCATTAGAGAAATGCAAATTAAAACCACAATGAGATACCATTTCACACTGGATAGAATGGTGATCATTAAAAAGTCAGGAAACACAGATGCTAGAGAGGATGTGGAGAAATAAGAATGTTTTTACACTGTTGGTGGGAGTGTAAATTAGTTCAACCATTGTGGAAGACAGTGTGGTGATTCCTCAAGAATCTAGAATCAGAAATACCAATTTGACCCAGCAATCCTATTACTGGGTATATACCCAAAGGATTACAACTCATTCTACTATAAAGACACATGCACACATATGTTTATTGCAGCACTATTCACAACAGCAAAGACTTGGAACCAACCCAAATGCCCATCAATGATAGACTAGATAAAGAAAATGTGGCACATATATACCATGGAATGCAGCCATAAAAAAGAATGAGTTCATGTCTTTTGCAGGGACATGGATGAAGCTGGAAACCATCATTCTCAGCAAACTAACACAGGAACAGAAAACCAAACACCACATGTTCTCACTCATAAGTGGGAGTTGAACAGTGAGAACACATGGACACAGGGAGGGGAACATCACACACTGGGGCCTGTCGGGGGCTGGGGGGCTAGGGGAGGGATAGCATTAGGAGAAATACCTAATGTAGATGATGGGTTGATGGGTGCAGCAAACCACCATGGCACATGTATACCTATGTAACAAACCTGCACGTTTTGCACATGTATCCCAGAACTTAAAGTATAATAATAATAATATTCACTACACAGGTACTGTCACTTAATAGGTACTTGTTGAATGTTAATGCCTTTCCTTACAGACCAAAGAAGTTCTGAAAGATGGTGCTATATGAAAATAAAATAGGGGGATGAAAATAAAAGGTGATTGATCCAACTATGCATCCATAAGAAAGAATGAAATCACATCCTTTGCAGCAACATGGATGCAGCTGGAGGCCATTATCCTAAGTGAATAAACGCACAAAATACCACATCTTCGCTTATAAATGGACGCTTAACAATGAGTCCACATGGACATAAAGATGGGAACAATAGACACTGGAGACTCTAAAAGATGGGGGCAAGGTTTGATAAATAACCTGTTGGGTCCTGTGCTCACTACAGGAAGTCCATGAGTCCTTCTCACATAGCCTATTGTTTAGTACCCTGAATATATAACTGGGTATGTGTTTTCTGGGTGAGTACACCTACAGAATGTATTGGGTAATGAGTTCAATAGAGGCCTAAAGCCCAGAATTAGTCAATATATCCATGTAACAAACCTGCACGTGTACTCCTTGAATCTAATTTTTTTTAAAAAAGAAAGGTGATTGATTCAGAAGAGACAGGGTCTTGTTGTTTCTAGTGCTACCCTGTTAGAACAGAGTGAGTGTTCAAAAAGAGAGAAAGGCAACAGAGAAAGGGCCAGAAAATGGCCCTACAATACTTCAGTCCAGATAGCAAAGAGAATAATATTTAGAGAGTTTTGGTTGAATAAATGAAAATAATACAAATATATTTAATTGTTTATTATTTAAAATAATTTAGAATAATTATTTTTAAAATTATTGATATTTCAGGAAATAGCCTGAACTATGAAGCAAACATTTGCACCTCAAAATATACCCAATGGTATCACTTCCCAAAACACAATGCTACTACAGATGGTCATTGATAATTATGTAGGGCAGGAGTCTCCCAATGCCTCTTTAAGAATCATGCCCAAGGCAGCTTCAGCCCAAGGTTGTTTCAGAACTTATTCTCTTGATTGTCTAGTAGCTTTTGCCACTTCAGTTAACATCCTACATGACATACATACATACATATATACTTGCAATACACACAAGCATACATTTTCCAGGATTCCTCAGCTCACATTTTTCACCTGTTCCTACCTCTCAATGCTCTCAAAATTAACCTATTCTTATTCCAATAATTCAGATATAATGTGTCTTACTTTTAAATCCTCTTACCAGGTGTCTTTAATACTATAGTGTGAATTATAGAGAGTATATGTTATATATGTTACACATTTCAGAGTGAAATTGCCCATATTTGTATTAACTACATTTTAAAAGATGTCCCAAAGCAGAGAAATATAACGCACAAATTTCTTGCAGAAATTGTGGCATCAGATGACGGGTGGCAGGCAAAGGAGGTAAAGAAAAGGATAGACTTGGCCATAATTATGCCATTTCTGAATTATTCATGCAATTAATTACCTGCCATGCCTATTTATAAGGCAAGTCATGGGTTCCAACATATACTATCGCATCTTTTCATTTGTGATAAAAAAAAAATAGAAGCCAATCTCTATGCCCAACAAAAGATTAAGGGTTCATTGAATGAAGAAGACCCATGTGGTATCAACTCAAGTGAAGTCATCTTAAATAAACCCATGTTTCTAGGAGATCATATCTTTTGTCTAGAATTAGAACTGTCTTTTGAATAAAGAAAGGTCCAGCCTCTTTCCTTATCAGCCTTTATAATATGCCATAATGGTGTGTGGCAGGGGAGCTGAGAAAAGGAAAGGTAGAAATTGGGTGGAAGATAGAATCTAATGGCCACATACAAAGTCACAAGCTTCAAAACGGTTCTCAACAGTTGGTGACAAACTGGTATAACTGATTTTTTGCTTTGTTTTGGGGGAGGGAGTTTGTAGAAATCGTGCTTATTACACTTATTTACATTTTAAATGAAAATAGATTTGTATTGTTTTCATTCATTCACCCAAAATTTCTTGAGCAGCTGCTCTGTGCTAACGGTGTGACACTAAGGCCACAAAGAAATAGTGAGACCCTGTCTCTGCCCTTGAATAGTTTGCAGTCCAGTGAGAATGAGAATTTTGTCATATCTCTTGAGGTAGTGATAGTGCATGGGGTGTAATCATAGTAAGACATGGGGAAAAATTAAAACGTGATGATCAAAGTATAGTGTGGAAGTTACCAGCTTTGGGGATTCAAACTGGACTACTGGCATAATGATGTACTTATTTTTCAATGCTAGAAACATAGTCGATGTCCGAGTTTTATCTAGGTCCTTGGGACTAGAGAGCAGATTAGATAAAAAACAGTATTCATCATTCCCTACTCATTTCAATGTATCAATTTAAGCACATTTAGAGAGTTGAGAAGGAAGAAAGGGGTCTCAAGTCCAATGAGGCAGGAAAAGCTAAATATGCCCCATGAAGTAGGCTATGCAAATTTGTCTAGTGTCAATGTACTAGTCAATTCTCCAAACTTCAAGAGATATCTGAAGGTTATGTAATCTTCACATATTTTCACCTGCCTTTGGAGAATGCATAATTACGTTTCCCCCTCTAAAGGTCAGAAGCAAAACAATATCAATACTTCAGCCCAGATAGTATATAAAGAGAAAAAATAGTGTGCAAGTTGAAAGAGCATGAAGTACCAACTATTTGATATATTGGAGATAGGGAAAGGAATAAACAGCCACAAAAGGGGAAATAGAGGGATTCTTTATTTCACAATTGTCAACCCATAACAGAGCCAAATCACCACGTACAGAGAGAACAAAACCATGATCCTCAATGAAAAATAAACTCTAGTATGCCTGGATCAGGGATTGGGGATAATGGTAATAGAGAGAAGGAGAGGAAAATATATATAGGGACAGATTGTTCTATATGCACAGATACACTTTTAATAGGACTTCTCTTTTCTGGAATCATTTTTTCATCTTTATCCTTAACAGCTGTCACAGCACAATGATATTTTGTTGTTGTTGTTTTGTCATGGAGGTTTAGAAAATGTGCCAAAATACCACTGTTAGTTCAGTGTAGCCCATATCCATAGATAACAATGTTCTCTGTTGAATGACAATTCGCTATGATTTATAAATTTTGTAAGACCTTTCATCTTGAACTCCAAATGAGTTGAGAATGACAGTTTTCAGCCTACTTTTAGT
This sequence comes from Homo sapiens, assembly GCF_000001405.40. Taxonomy (NCBI): domain Eukaryota; kingdom Metazoa; phylum Chordata; class Mammalia; order Primates; family Hominidae; genus Homo; species Homo sapiens. Next base: position 75,412,036 of record NC_000001.11, read on the forward strand.
ATCTAATTAAACCAAGCAGATTTTATTCAGTAGAATTTGATGAGGAAAAAACAGGAAGAAAATATAGCACTTCACAATACTGTTCATGCAGAGACATAGTATTATTTTCTTAAATATAATAACATTGTTATTTCTAATCATCTTTAAATGCAAGGACTATATCTTTTTTAATCTTTGTATCTCCAGCGTATAACACAGTGCCAGGCACATCTAAGTATTCAAAAATTTTGTTGTTGAATAAATAAAAGCATGGATTTCAGTGATTTGGTGGCGGGAGATAAGTTCCATCACAACATAGAACAAGGAGGAACAATTTGTGACCAAGTGCTTCTATAACTACATCCTGGGCCCATTTCAACCATTTTAATCATATCACTCTATGCATTGAGCTTAGATCGAACCTCAGAATCCTTCTCAATACAGCAGACCAGGAAGTTACACTTTATTAAATAAAATTTGCATTTGGAGTAAAATTTCTTTCCTATAACTACAATAGAGGTCTCCATCAGGCAGACCACGAACAGGAGGTGTATTTCCAAAATTTCTTCTCTGGTATCAACATGCATACAACAGTCCTCTCTCATCCACAGTTTTGCTTTCTGTAATTTCAGTTACCTGTCATCAGCTGAGTTTAAAAAATATTAAACAGAAAGTTTCAGAAATAAACAAGTCATCCGTTTTAAATTGTATACTGTTCTGAGTAGTGTGATAAAACCTCACGCTGCCCTGTTCCTTCTTGCCCAGAAGGTGAATCATCCCTTTGTCCAGCATCTCCATGCTATCTATGCAACCCACTCATTAGTCATCATCATCATCTGCTCCTGACATCCAGCCATTGATACTGCCATGGCTCAATGATCCAGGATCACCCAAAGCAGATGATCTTCCCTCTGACATACCATCAGAAGGTCAATAGTAGCCTAATGCTACATCACAATACCAACATCCTTTGCCTCATTTTATGTAATCGTATAGCCATTTTATTATCTCACACCATCACAAGAAGAAGGGTGAGTATAGTACAATATGGTATTTTGAGGAAGAGAGGCCATATTCACATAACTTTTATTATGCTATGTTATTACAATTGTCCTATTTATTAGCTATTTTTAATCTCTTACTGTGCCTAATTTATGAATTAAACTTTATCATAGGTGTATATAGAAAAAATAGAGTATATATAGGTTTTGGTACTTGCTATGATTTCAGGCATCCACTTGGGGTCTTGGAATATATCCCTCAAAGATAAATGACCCTTGTATATTCATAATTCAAATACTTAACATATCCATAAACAAGCATATTTTAGAGTTTGCTATTCTGTCTTCTTCTTCCTCTCTTACAAGTCACCATTTACATCTATAATTCTTGAGCCAACCACAGGACCAACATAAGAAACTTTTGCTAGTATCCTTGTTATAAATAAAATTAATTTGTGAATTTGTAGTATTATATTATTTATAAGATTTGATACCAGTTTTTCTATTATCTGGGATCTCATATATTTATTTATGACTGTCTAGAATTTTACTGAATCACTAGTACTTCACAATGTGAGGTGCTCAATAAATATTTGCTAACAGGATTATAAAATTTTCAGGTTGTACAACTTCCTTTCTCTCTACCATAGACACTCTCTGCATGTCCTGAACTCCACAGAATAGCCCACAATAGATCTGTTATCCACAAATTTCACTCTAGCCAAGTCTTTGGGCTAATGTTACCTAGGTCCAATGGCACAGTTTTAAGAAATCACTGATAATTCTGAGAATACTCTGTTCCTCTATGCCAAAAAGCCATATGGCTAGGGATAAATACAGTCCCAGGCAGTCCACATGAAGTGAAAGCTATATTCTCCCTAGCTTTCCACCACATGTGGCCAGTCTTGCTTTTCTTCCCTTGGCTGTTGTCTTACTGTATTCCTTATGTTCAATCCCTAATACTATCCATTTTGCATACGGACAATGGAGCCCAGCAATCAAAAGGGAACCGTAATTTTTTCACCATTTTTCTATCAGTTTTTTTTCTTCCAGAGCTAGATCTTGAGTCATTACTCTCTCACCCTGCTTGCATTTAACCTAAATTCACAGAGTTGCCAAAAACATCCTGTGCTCAAAATGTCCATGTTTTACCTAATTGTCCTTGATCTCCACTACTCCTTCCTAAATCATATTCTTCCCGACCACTGACTTGGTCAAGATCAAATTTGAATTGTTATAACACCTTGGGCTTTATATATACACATATATACATACATACATACATACATACATACATACATATCCACATACACACACACACACACACACACACACACACACATATATCTTTTCCTCTTGTGAAGAGAGAGATGCACCAGCAAACCTTTCAAAGATTCTTTTAATCCAAAAATATTTACAGAGTATCTACATTCTTAAAAACACTATGCTAGGCACCAGAGTTAGTAAGAAATAAGAGAGACATAGGCTCTGCTCTCATGGAGCTTAAGAGAAGGACATAACCAACTATTTATACAGTAAATTGTTGAATTAAAGTTGTGTTTAGGTGTCATTAAAAAAGAGGCTTTAAGTGCTATAAATGTGTAAAGCAAGTAAACTTGACTTTGTGAGTCAAGGAAGGCTTGCAGTAAGTGTGGAAAGACAGGCAGGAGTTAAATAGGCAAAAGGTTAGAAGGATGAGTGCTCAAGGCAAAGGGAACAGCACATGTGAAGCCTATGAGGAAGGAGAAAGCATGCATATTAAAGGATCTAATAAAAGTCTAGCATAATTGAAAAGAAGAAAAAGAACCAAAATGACAGTGGAAGAGAAAAGGCAGAGACAATAGTAAGAAGACTTTATGTGGGGCCTTGTAGGCTAGAATTTTTATCTTTACTGTGACATCAGTGGGAAGCCATTGAAGAGTTCTAAGCATGAAAAAAATTGTATTTCTTTCAAAGACTATTCTGGCTGCAGTGTGGAGAATGATGAGAAGGAAATAAGGATGATGCAAAGAGACCAGTCAGGGGAGTGGAACAGTATTCTAGGTGAGAGATGATTATATCTTGGATAAGGAAATGCCAAAGGAGATGGGGAGAAATACATAAACACAAATGATATTTGACGGGTAAAAGTGACATAATTTGATATAGTTTGGCTGTGTGTCCCCACCCAAATCTCACCTTGCAGCTCCCATAATTCCCACGTGTTGTGGGAGGGACCTGGTGGGAGATGACTGAATCATGGGGACAGGTCTTTCCTATGCTGTTCTCATGATAGTGAGTGGGACTGACGAGATCTGATGGGTTTAAAAATGGGAGTTTCTCTGCACAATTTCTCTTTGCCTGCTGCCATCCATGTAGGATGTGATTTGCTCTTCCTTATCTTCTGCTATGATTGTGAGCCTTCCTCAGCCATGTGGAACTAAGTCTAATCAAACCTCCATGTTTTGTAAATTGCCCAGTCTCAGGTATGTCTTTATCACAAGTGTGAAAACAGACTAATACAGTAAATTGATATCAGTAGAGTGGGGCGCTGCTGAAAAGATACCCAAAAATGTGAAAGCAACTTTGGAATTGGGTAACAGGCAGAGGTTGAAACAGTTTAGAGGGCTCAGAGGAAGCAGGAAAATGTGGGACAGTTTGGAACTTCCTAGAGATTTGTTGAATGGCTCTGACAAAAATGCTGATAGTGATATGAACAATAACATCCAGGCTGAAGTGGTCTCAGATGGAAATGAGGAACTTGTTGGGAACTAGAGTAAAGGTGACTCTTGCTATGTTTTAGCAAAGAGACTGGTGGCATTTTGTCCCTGGCCTAGAGATTTATGGAACTTTGAACTTGAGAGTGATGATTTAGGGTACCTGGTGGAAGAAATTTATAAGCAGGAAAGTATTCAAGAGGTGACTTGGGTGCTGTTAAAGGCATTCAGTTTCATAAGGGAAGCAGAGCATAAAAGTTCAGAAAATGTGCAGCCTGACAATGCAATAGAAAAGAACATTCCATTTTCTGAGTAGAATCCAAGCCAGCTGCAGAAATTAGCATAAGTAATGAGGAGCTGAATGTTAATCCCCAAGACAATGGGGAAAATGTCACCAGGGCATGTCAGAAGTCTTCATGGCAGCCCCTCTTATCACAGGCCCAGAGGCCTAGGATGAAAAAGTTGTTTCATGGGCTACACCCAGGGTCTCCCTACTGTGTGCAGCCTAGGGACTTGTTGCTCTGTGTCCCAGCTGCTTTCACCATGGCTGAAAGGGGCCAATGTAGAGTTCAGACTGTGGCTTCAGAGGATGCAAGCCCCAAACCTCTGAGCATACAAATGGTGTTGAGCCTGCCAGTGCACAGAAGTCAAGAACTGGGGCTTGGGAATCTCTGCCTAGATTTCAAAGATGTATGGAAATGCCTGGATGCCCAGGCAGAAGTTTGCTGCATGGGTGGGGCCCTCATGGAGAACCTCTGCTAGAGCAGTGTGAAAGGGAAATGTAGGATTGGAGTCCCCACACAGAATCCCTACTGGGGCACCACCTAGCGGAGCTGTGAGAAGTGGGCCACCATCCTCCAGACCCCAGAATGATAGGTCCACCAACAGCTTGCACTGTGTGCCTGAAAAAGCTGCAGACACTCGACACCAGCCCATGAAAGCAGCCGGGAAGAAGGCTGTACCCTGAAAAGCCACAGGGGCAGAGCTGCCTAAGACCATGGGAACCCACCTCTTGCATCAGCATGACCTGGATGTGAGACATGGAGTCAAAGGAGATAGTTTTGGAGCTTTAAAATTTGACTACCCTGTTGGATTTTGGACTTGCATGGGGCCTGTAGCCCCTTTGTTTTGGCCAATTTCTCCCATTTGGAATGACTGTATTTATCCAATGCCTGTACCCCCATTGTATCTAGGAAGTAACTTACTTGCTTTTGATTTTACAGGCTCATAGGCAGAAGGGATTTGCCTTGTCACCAAGATGAGACTTTGGACTGTGGAACTTTTGAGTTGAAACGAGTTGAGACCTTGGGGAACTGTTGGGAGGGCATGATTGGTTTTGAAATGTGAAGCTACGAGATTTGGGAAGGGCCAAAACGATATGATTTGGCTCTGTGTCCCCACTCTAATCTCATCTTGTAGCTCCTATAATTCCCATGTGTTATGGGAGGAACCTGGTGGGAGACAATAGAATCATGGGGACAGGTTTTTCCCCTGCTGTTTTCATAATAGTAAATGGGACTCACGAGATCTGATGGTTTTAAAAATGAGAGTCTCTCTGCACAAGCTCTCTTTGCCTGCCACCATCCATGTAAGATGTGACTTGGTCCTCCTTGCCTTCTGCCATGATCGTGAGGCTTCTACAGCCACATGGAACTGTAAGTCCAAATAAACTTCTTTCTTTTGTAAATTACCCAGTCTCAGATATGTCTTTATCAGCAGTGTGAAAACAGACTAATACAGAATTTAACCACAGTTTATGGGGAGGGGAAAGAGAAGTTCATGATGATGTTTATGTTTATGGACTAAATAACTATGTCTAATCAAATGGTTGTGCCAGCCACTGGCAAAAGAAACAGAAGTCATGGAATGAGTTTGGAAGACTGATGATTAATTTATTTCTGGACATAGGTGAGATCTCCAGATGAAAGTGTCCTGTGTCATGTTGACGTTGGATACATGGGTCTGGAATCCAGAGGAATCATCAGGATTAAAAACATACGTTTGAAAGACAATCTACAGGCAAGGGTAAGAATGGCTAAAGAAAGAGTTCTAACAAGAAGGGCAGAGAGCCAAAGAGCCAAGGCTAAAATCTTAAATCCATACTGAAAAGGATGGGAGGAAGGTTATGAACCAACAAAGGAGACTAAGAGGCATGTGGAAAACTGTTGTGCATTTCTCAAAATCAGCAATCAGAATGTTTTGTAGTAACTAAAAAGCAATAGGAAAATGAAACATCTTCTGTGCTATGTGTTTTAAAAGATTGTAGCAACTAATAGTCACAAGCACAAAAACACTCAGGAAATGACATTGCCTTTTGCTTTTACCCCTCACACCAAACTTCATGTGGCACTAAAAATACAGAAATAAAGAAGCTGTGACATTTAGATATTTTCTTATAATTGTATGTTTTCTTATAATGATTCTTGTTGCTTGCGTTCTGTGCCCTGCACTGTGTAATGATGCAGAGCATGGAATCCAAGCAACAATGCAGTGCTCCATTACCTAGTTTACACAACAATTAGTCAACAGACATTTGTTGAATGTCTACTATCTGCCAGAGCCTAGGAATACAAGAACGTACAAAATAGATACAATTTTGGAGCTTATCATCTACCAGGCAGATGAACAATTAGAAATAAGCTTACAAAGAAAACGTAACTAGTAATTAGGTTCAGTATTTGTAAATGAAATCTACAGGATGCTATGGCAGAATATAACAGGGAAACCTATTTTGTTTACATGGGAAGTGTTCAGGGGGTAAAAAATCACTCTGAGTAAGTGGCATTCAAGCCTATGTCTAAAAGATGAGTAATAGGTCCCTAAGAGAAAATGGGGAAAGCATTCCAGGCAGAGACAAGAGCATGCATGGTAGGTCTGAGGAATAAAAGGATTTAGCCAGTATTACTGGAGGGTTTGAATGGAGGAAAGAGTAGTAAAAGATGCACTTACAAAGGAAAGGCAGGACCAGATCATGCAGGGCCTCTGTGCCTGGAAAAGGATTTGGGATGTTATCCTAAATGCAATAGATTTGCTCACAAGATCATATATTCCTATTTGTATTTTGAAAAGATCAGTTATTTTTTAAATTTTTGAATTGATTAAAAGTAAAGCAGGAGAAACTTCTGCTTCTAACTGTGAAGAATTAATTGCTGTCCTGCTATAAATAACTAGAAAACCAGAAAAAAAATAAAATACAACAGTTTTCAAGGCAAAGGACTGTAATGCCTAAGGGAAGGGGAGCAAGCTAGGTTCACCTTCTAGTAGTCCCAGATTATTGCCTGGAAGTAGTGTCCAGGCCAAGGCTCAGAGAAGGGAACCAAAATAGAGTGCAATGATTTCAGCAAGTTGAGGAGACAGAGATCAGAGTTTGAACAGGTAGAAGCCTAAAATTTGTGGGCAAAATATCAAGAATCTAATGCTATTAAGTGATCAAATACATACAATAAGAATCCCCAAAGCAGGAGAAGGGCAGAAAAATATTTGAAAAAATAATGGATAATTTTTTTTTAAATTGGAATAAAATGATAAACACACAAAGCCAAGAATTTCATCAAACCCCAGGCAGGATAAACATGAAGTCAACCACACCAAGGAACAATATAATCAAATTGATGAAAAACAGCAAAACAGAAAGTAAAATCTTAAAAGTAGCCAGAGAAAGACATATATACAGAGAAAGAAAGATAAGAATGAATGACGGTAGACTGCTCATCAGAAAACTAAGACAATGAATGACATCTTTAAAGTGCTAAAGAGAGAGAAAAAAAAAAAGGACTGTTCGTGTGAAATTCTGTACCAGGAAAAAAAAACTTTCAAAAATGAAGATGAAATAAAGACTTATTTCAGAACAGCAAAAAGTGAGAGAATTCATTATCAGATCTATATGGTAATGTTAAAATAAGTTCTCTGTCAGAAAGAGAATCATACCAGATAGAAAGTTGAATCTACACAAAGGAATTAAGAGCATCAGAAATGATAAATACATAGGTAAATATAAATACAATTTTGTCAGTTTTAATCTCTTCAAATCCTAATAGGCTATTTAAAGCAAAAACAATATAAATGTATTGTGAAGTTTATAACACATTTAATTTAAATGTGCAACAATAATTAGATCCAGGACAGGAGATTCTTATACTATACATGGAGTGGTATAATATTACTTGAATGTAAACTGGTAAGTTAAAGACGTGTCTGCTGTGAACCCTAGAGCAACCATTGCTATGGTGTGAATTTTGTGTCCTGCTAAAATTCATATGTTAAAATCTTAACTCCCAAGATGATGGAATTAGGAGATAAGGCCTTTGGGAGGTGATAGTTCATGGGGGCAGAGCCTTCATGAATGAGATTAGTGTCCTTCTAAGAGAGGCCCAGGAGAAATGGCTCATCCCTTCTACCCTATGAAAACACAGTGAGAAGACCTATCTATAAACGAGGAAACAGGCCCTCACCAGACACCAAATCTGTTGGTGCCTTAATCTTAGACTTCTCAGCCTCCAGAACTGTGAGAACTAAATTTCTGTTGTTTATAAGCTACCCAGTCTATGGTAGTTTGTTAACAGCAGCCCAAGTGGACTAAGACAATTGGTAAAAAATAAAACAAAGTATAGCTATTAAATTATTGGTGTAGATAAAGTACAATAATAAAAAATGCTCATTCAAAAAGAAGGAAAGAAAAGAGGAACAAAGGAACGCAGAACAGATAGGACAAATTAATGAATGAACAGCAAGATGCTGGGTTTGAAACCCAACTCCACTGATAATTAGATTAAAAGTAAATTGTCTAAATACTAATTAAAAGGCAGAGCTTGTAAATTTACATAAATTTTGAAAAAGCAAGAAACAACTATCTGCTGTTCATAGAAACACAAATTCTGGGACTGACTATTCAATATAAATTCCTCAATTTCTTAGGTTTTGAGTGCTTTGAGTAGAGCCTATATGTTTTCAGATTATTGTGGAATGTAAAGTTTTCTTCACTCAATAAGAGAAATACTTTTTTGTTGATACATTGACCACATTATTTTCTTAATAATTACGATAACTCAATAATTGTAGAGACTGGTTTATAAAAAAAATTTTCATATCAAAGGCCAAAATTACTTTACTTTCATCTATTACTCTCTGTCAAGTGAAAACGTTTATGTCCCACAGTTAAGAGTATCTCTCAAAATACCAAGGCCTTAGAAGTTTCTTTCCTGATACTTCCATACTTGATAATGGCTATAGAATAAATAGCCATTAGAACACAGATGTCACAAAAATGAAAATAGCAAGCATTTAGACACCTAGGAAATAATCTCTTTGGAATATAATATAACTACTGTTTCAGAGGGGGAAATAGTTGTGTCTTTCTCACAGGATTGTTTTCAAATATATTATAATATGGTCCACTTCAAATTTTGCCCTTTCAAAGCACAACAATTATTTACCATAAAATAGCTTGAAAAATGGGAACAATTTTATACATACTGTTAGTATGTATAAAAATATACCTAAAATCATGTTATATTATTTTAATTAACATAGATAGAATGTGACATCTACAGCCAATCTAGGACTAGGAACCCTGCAGGTGCTAAAAAGCCACCATTATTTTAAAGACACCCTATTTCGCCTGAAGACTGCAAACTTGAGGAGGAATAAAAGGAGTTGTTGCTTTTTCTATACAGAGAAAGATACTGACTAGTTAGAGATTTTTATGTAGGCCATAAGCCATATGTGCAAAAAAATGAATAAATGGCAGCCCAGTTAATCCTCTTATTTTATTTTTTCTTTCAACATGAAGGGATTGTCAATGACCCACTGCACTGTGGTGTGCTATGGCTCATTTTGCTGAATGCATAGAGACACTGTTTCAGAATTGTCCTCAATGGTGCCCTAATAGTCTGAGAAATTTGCTAAGGCTTTCCTCTTCTTTCATTAAGATCACCATTTTGCATACAGCTCTCAAAGAGCTAATTGCTGGCTGTTCGTTTTATATATGTCACTAGCTCATTGCTGCACTGCTAAGGGGAAAAACACATAATAGAGGAAGGAGAAACATGTAGGTGGAAAAAAGCTTTTGTTATATAATACAAACTTACAATTCATAAAAGCTTATGGAATAAGGTGAAAATTTTATTCACCAGAAATCTTTAGAAGAAATCTGTTACTTTTTTGAAAAAAAAAAAAAGTACTTTGGTGAAGTGTTTGAAGTGTGGTCCATATATCAAGAATTGTCCTGGGACTGCTATTCATGTGACAAGGAGAGGAATTTGAGGAGTGGGCTGTGATTGTATAAAATGGTCATACTTGTGACCCCTCTCAGATATTCAATAAAATTACTGAACTCAAGAAATACTTGTTAAAACCACTGGTGTGTGTGTGTGTGCACGTGTGCTTAAGAGGCTGTGCTTTTTCACCCAGACTGATGTGATGTAAAATTTGGACATGAAATGCCCTTTGAAAAAGGCACACATGGAAAAGCAAACGCCCTTTCTGGAGTGAATACTAATGAGCATTGAAGCCTCCAGGTTAGAGTCATCTAATAGTTCTTCTAAGAGATATGATTTCTATCAGGCTAGTTATGGACACATCTGGACATTTCACTAGGCTGCAAGATCATAGGAGGCCGGAAGAGACTCTTATTCATAGCCTTATCCAGTTTCCCAGAGTGCATAGCACAGTGTTTTGGACTTACAAGTCCGCAGTGAATAATTGGCAACAAATAAATGAAAACATAATTGCCTTATGATGAGCTAGTTTTGTTTCACCTCAAAATATTTGTGTAGATAAAAACTTAGAAAGTAAACTTTAGTTTATTTAGTTTAGGTAAATAATCGGTATCCTGCACCAACTGATACCATACACAACAGTAGCGATTACAGATGTTTTGACTGAGGGACATATTTATATTACCAATAGAAATGGGAATGTCAAAAATAGGGATTTGGAATGTGCAGCAAGTTTTACATGTTAAGAAGCTCCTAGAATACTTGGCAGTTGCAAAAAACCTTGATTGCATGAAGGAACCCTTATCTGTTCCGTTTGCTGTCAAGAAAACTGGCCCAGAGGGGTTATGTGAATCTTTCCAGGAGGACCAATGGTTAAATGGCCAAACTGGAACTTGGGCCTAGATTTTGACTCTAGGTCTATTGCACTTTCCACTACCCATAGCTGCTTTCTATTAGGTTGGTGCTAATAGTAGAGACTCAGACTTAACAGAAGCCAGACCTCTTCTCTTCCTGTTGTCTTTATGTGCTAATTTGAAACAAACAAACAAAAAATAAAATAGTAAAGTCTTCCATTTTCTCTGCTCTCAAAATTCCCAAGGCTTAAGCTAGTTCCATTTATTGACATTAAATCCTGATTCATCTCTCAAATGCCTTTGTTGCAAGGATTGGAAGAAAAGCATTCTCTGGGGTAGGCAGTGTTATTTTGGTTGCCTGAAAAAGAACAGAAAGCTATAGTACTCTCTACGGAATGAATACCTATAGCAATTTCTCACACATATGGCAATTTCATACATACACCGTGAAACAACGCTTAGCAACCTGCTTAGTAAGGTCAAGCTTCCTCAGCAAACAATGAAATATAAACATATCATACTGCAGTTTCCTATGGCTGGTGAAATTAGATTAGATGGTTGTCTGCTCGTTATATGAATCTTCTATCAACTCAGCTGTAGCCAACAGAAATATTGATCTAACACAGAACAAGAAAGCTGATATCTTTAAACTATTGCTTGGCCCTTGGTTATTTCCCCTAAAGTATATATTTTTATCAATGTATTTTTATTTTGACCTTAAATTCCTAACTAGAGTCTATGATTTAAGGATTTTAAGAAATGAAGCTTTCGCATCATATTTTGCTATTTTACTATCGTTCTATTAAAGATTGGAGAAGCAGAAAAGTTAAATGTTTGCTACGTTAATATGTGCCTGGCTCTATTTGCCTTGCGTCTTTTGGAAATTGCGAGCAGCTCCATACTCCCTGCTCCCAGGACGCACTTATCTGTTTACTAGCTGTCAAAGTAAATTTATAGTACTGAGTGACACCATTAGATGGCCTGGGACAGGCCTTGCTGAGCACACACAGATACACTTGCATACCCATTAAGTTGAAATTTTGCCAAGAACCTATTAACCCATCCTAATCAACTGCTGTTTTCCATTTAAAACACCATTAGTTTCCTATGGTTTGTTGCTCAGGGTATAAGCAGAAAAGACACCATCAAGTGGTTAGAAAGGGTGTTGCTTTGCTGGATGCCCCTATGCCTCCGGAGAATTTGAATTTGGCATTAGTATGTATCACTTTCTTTCCACCGCTGGAATTAATCATGCATTCCAAATATTTAGGACTACCTCACAGAACACAGGATTTTAATACAGTTCATTGCTTAAAGATTGTGGATAATTAATTTGTGCTCAGCCTGCAGAGGCTTTTGTTTCTAAAGAGGACTGTATAATATAATTGTAACCATATAGAACCGATGACTCTCAGTCTAAAGCTATACGTTAATAGATTAACAAAGATCTGCCTACACACCCCACCCCCTTGAGCTTCCTCTCCAAGTTTTTAAAGTTTTCTCTAAGGTAGTTTTGTTTGTTTGTTTGTTTGTTTTGTTTTTTGAGATGGAGTCTCGCTCTGTCACCCAGGCTGGAGTGCAGTGGCATGATCTCAGCTCACTGCAACCTCCACTTCCCAGGTTCAAGCAATTCTCCAGCCTCAGCTTCCCAAGTAGTTGGGACTACAGGCACGTGCCACTGCGCCTGGCTAATTTTTCTATTTTTAGTAGAGCCAGGTTTCACCACGTTGACCAGGCTGGTCTTGAACTCCTGACCTCAAGTGATCTGCCCGCCTCGGCCTCTCTAAAGTAGTTTTAAATACCTGATACATTATCATAACTTCTAATAATAAAGTCCCTTGTAAGAGCAAGAGTTCTAATAATAGTGAAATGACAAGTCAGCCAAAAAATGATGTCTGATTTTGTGAGGTTTGCTTTGGGATTGGACACCTAAGAAGATGAAAGATGAAATATCAAAATGTCAAGAGTTTTTTTTTCAAACAATGCATTCTCTGCAATCAAATTGCAAGGAACAGGATTTACGTTACAGTATCTCAATATAATTTCTTCTTATAAAGAACATGAAAAGTGAAGAATTTAGTGAGCCAACTGTATTCCCCAACTCATCAAATAACAAAAACATATACAAACAATTCATTTGAAAAGTTCAAGCAATTCAGAAAAAATACTAAATACATTTCCCAACAATAGGAACACTTTGGTGGTAGGAAGCATTTAAAATAATAGCACTGCTCCATTAGGTTCATTTAAAAAATAAATATTTCACCTTCTTTTTCCAGGTTGTTAAAATGTTATCTTCATTTATTGTAGCTCTTTAAGCACAAGTTGTTCAAAAGTTAACACTAAACAGGAAATTTAATGTACTAACCAGGTAGAAGGTGAAACAAGAGGTACAGCAAAAGGAGCCAAGTATTGTGCAAGTGCAGCCCCAGTGTGGGGAATAACAAAGCCATGGTCTTTGCATATTCCTACAGGTACTCAGCACTATGTTAGGCACATGTTAGGAACTTAATTAAGCATTGGGTGGTTGATTAACTGAGTGATAAAAGATTTATGAATAGTAAAGAGCTTTGTAAAATGGAACAATTAAAATCAGAGAGAAAGGCCAAAACTAATTGTGTGAAAGTGGCAGATGGTCGATAAAGCTGTGAAGTCCCGAAGTCTGTAAACTTGCAGAAGCATTGCATTTTAGAGGAACACTGTCAGCAATCAAGGGACCACAGCCTAGTGGAAAAGAAAGAGGCTGCACAGACGATTATCTTCTTGAGAACCCAAAGGCTGTCAAATAGACAGGCCAACTTAATTAAGAAACTTATTTTAGATGTACCAAGTGTGTCCTAGTCAATCTACTAGAGAGTAAAGACCATGGGTAGTGGCAGCCCCTACATGGATTCCTCCAGTAATAACAATGCTGTATTCTGAATTATTTGGAGAGGTCAAGTTAGGTCCCCCTTGAACATGCCATGCTATGGGCCCTTCTTAGCCGCAGAACTCACGGTTCTACCAACACTGCAGAACATCAGAATCGCCTTGCACAGAAAATACCAGAGGGAGGCTACTCCAGGACAGGTTTAGCCGTCAGCACTCTCAAACAATCCAGCCCTCCCTTCCTCCCTTTCAGTGCCCTTTTTCTCAGGTGAGAAAGGTAACATTTTAAAACGCTTTTTCTTCAGGTGAGTTTTCTCATGCTTTCACCTCCATCTGGTTTTATTTGTCTCTAGAGAATGATGCCTGAGGGTTCAAAGGAAGTGAAGGTGTCAGAGGTGTTACAGGATTTACCCAAGGATGTCCAATACACTAAAACCTACTGACCACATTTCTGCCAAAAAAAGAAACGCTGAAAAATGAACAATGAAAGATTGTGAGAAATAGTTGATTAAGATAGGGTTACACAGGGGAGGAGAGGAACTAGGTAGGTTCTTACAAAATTTAGAAGCCAAGCCAAACCGTAGCAGGATTTAGTTAATTTACGGTGGGAAAATATGATTCTGAAAGTCATTCCTGATCTCTCCTAACACAAAATCATTCCAGGTGTTCTTTTAGGAAGTAGTTAGTTGTTTAAATATTAGAAATGGTTATTGCTGAAATTGGCAGTGAGTCCAACTGTTTCCAAGCACCAGTTCCATAATCAGAATCCCTAAGGATGGAGCTCAGGCACATGTCCTCTTTAAAAGCTACAGTTAATATGAAAGAAAGCAACACAATAGACAAGGAAACAAGGATATGGTTTCCCGACTAATCACACAAAATGACACTGCAGAAAGACACATCTAACCAGTTACAGTGAACATTTGTCTTCCTAAAAAAATTATTTTGGCTGTTCAGAATCTGAATGCCCTTTCTAGATTTGGATAATTCTCCATATGTGAAGAAGTAAGAGTCTACCTCCCACTGTAAAACTTAAAAAGGAGGCTGACTCACTTTCCTAAGCTCTTTGGTAACTAGAGCATGGGCACCTGCCTTAGGCCTGGCCAAACAGCTGAAGCCACTCACGACTTTGAATGTGGATCCAGGGCACAAAGAAGCAGGGAGAGAAGAGAATCTATTCTAGCGGCACTGATAGCAGCAGCGGTATGGAGCTTCCAGGTGCAGTGGCAGCATCCTTGCCAGCGGGACAAGCTGCAGCGTCCATCTTTCAGCGCTGGTGCAGCGGCGCTTCGCCAGATGGGTGCTCATGATATTGGCTGTGTTTCTAGGATCCCAGCACCACTTGGTTCTGCCTCTTTTTGGGGCTCATTTTCCAGCATCCCCAGCAGCCCTGCCGGCTACTCAGGTTCCATTTAATAAATCCATTTGCTGCTTAAGACAACCAGGGTCAGATCCTGCTGCTTGTCCCCCATCACCTTGACTTGATGCATGAGGCTTGCAGAATTGTTCAGGGGACCCCTCTACACCACAGCGAGATTCTCTCAGCTTGGTTTTGCATCCTCATTATTTCTCATCATTAAAAGTTAACAGCCCTACATGCTACCTTCATTAATTTTTGGGCAAATATGTTTTAAAGTCAGATTGCATTTTGATTTCTATAAATAAGCTATCATTTATTTCTCCTAAACAAATCAGTCTAAATTAGAGCTTGCCATAGGGATACCAGTCATGCATTGAAATTCCAAAGCATACCAAAATAGAAAAATGCCTGCTATAATAAATGTCCTCAGGATTGGGCCACTTCTATTTCTGTAGGCTTACAAAATACTAGCAACAATTATATTTCACACCTCTGATATGCCTGTACACTCAGAATTTTCCTAGAAAATGTGCCATTAATTAATCATGTCTCAAGGAAATCACATTATTTATGACTGATACAGATATAACAATACAGTTTAGTGGTTAAGAGCATGGACTCTGCAGCCAGACTGCCTAGGATTAAATCCCAGGCTGTGATGGGATTTTGGATGAGTTAGTTAATCTTTTGTGCCTCTATTTCTTATCTTTAAAATGAGAATAATAAAAATGTCGTTGTGAGGATTAGATATTTTACACATAAAATGATTAAGACAGTACCTAACCCTTATTAAAAAGCCATTGAAATGTTTGTTTTTATTATATTCTCAAATTGTGCCTACTCAGGAATGCATGACAGTCATGTGTATGATTAGTCAAATAAAATTCTCTTTCCCTATAGCACATGGTGCTTCTTATCTTCCTTGTGGTTGGATGGAGCCATGTTTCTAGGTCTGGCCAATGAACCAGTCACATACATTAGTGTATTTAACAGGCAGTGTGAGATTCTCCAGAGTGCTCACTTCCCTCGAGTACGGCAAGGAGGAATGTTTGATATGGTGGAGACTGGAGGGCTGGAGTGAATAAAATTAGCAGAGTTCCTTTGCTGCCCTGAGATGGGTATGTTACATGAGCAAGAAATAAACCTCTGTTGTTTTAAGCAACTGACATTTTGGGGGAGTGTTGTTACTAAAGCATAATGTAGTGTATCCTGACTAATGCAGAAAGCATGGCAATTATCTGGATATTTCAATTAAATAATATTTCCTATTCAAGTGACTAGCATCCTCAGAAATACCTAGAGTGGGATAATACCAGTAAAGAATAAAATTATTTTTCCATTATAGGCAATCATCCTGCTTACTGCCTCTGTATTTGTCCATCAATTATCCTTGTTAGCAACTCAAGGACAGGGAGTACGTCCTATTAATTTTTGAATCTCAGAATTTAGCACAGTGCTTGATATACCAGTTGGAACTCATGAAATGTCTGCTAACTCAAATGAAGCTTTAGAGTGCAAATGTGATCCGATCAGATGTTCTCATTGTGGAAGTTGCTAATCCATGACTTTGGAAGCTAAATTAGCTTCACCAAGAGGGCACTATTTAGCATAATAAACTAAACCTGACAGGCATCCCCAGTACAAGCACCAATTTAGAAAGATTTGTTTAGGAAAAAATACACATACAGGATACACATACCACCTGTGTAATTCTGTCATTCCAGTGTCTGATTTTACTTTGGCTTATACTCATAAGAGTATGGCAAAGTAGAGTTGTCAAGAATCTGAGAGATTGTCTACGCAATACCCCATGTTAAATATAACAAAATTGAGGCCCAGGAGCAATAAATATAATAACTGGTGTCAGGCACAAAGCTAGTTAGTGCCAGAAGTAAGAGTCTTAGTTTTTTTGTCTTTCCACAATACCAAATAGTTTAAAGAGCATACACCATATAGGTGGTCACTAAATACATTATTTTGCATGCAGTTATAAGCAGTGTTTTAACACTGGTTAAATATCAGCATCCTCCCTGTAGGTTTTAAAGAGGACATGTGCCTGAGCTCCATCCTTAGGGATTCTGATTATGGAACTGGTGCTTGGCAACAGTTGAACTCACTGCCAATTTCAGCAATAACCATTTCTAATATTTAAACAACTAACTACTTCCTAAAAGAATACCTGGAATGTTTTTGTGTTAGGAGAGATCAGGAAAATAGGAATCATCATCAGCCTAAAGCTACGTTAATGTGCCCCTCTAGGTAGCAGTACTGAATGAATGTGTGCCACATTCTAAGTTATTCGACTTGTGCTACAAGTTCTTGTTGGAGGAATATATTCTAACAAACCAAGAAACAGGCTCCAGGGTCAGTATATCTGGATCCTCACTATCATGAACTAGCTTTGTGTTAAGACTATGTACAAAAGTAAGAGTAGAAAGCCATCTTTCTTGGGCAAGTGAGGGCTATGATGTCTAAGCACTGATCCATTCAAAGAATATTTGTGGGCATAAGTGTTGGTCTGTTTACGTTGCTATAAAGGAATACCCGAGACTAATTTATAAAGAAAATGAGGTTTATTTTGGCTCACAGCTCTGCAGGCTGTATAAGAAGCATGGTGCCAGCATCTGCTTCTGGTGAGAGCCCCAGGAAATTTCCAGTCATGGTGGAAGATGAAGGGGAACATGTGTCACATGGCAAGAGAGAGTGAGAGATCAAGCAAGGGGTGGGTTTATGCCACACATGCCAGATCTCGTGTGAACTCAGAGTGAGAACTCACTCATTACTGCAAGGATGGCACCATGCTATTCATGAGGGAGCTCCAAATGCCTCCCATCAGGCCCCACCACTAACACTGGGGATTACATTTCAACATGAGATTTGAAGGGACAAACATCCAAACCATATCAACATCTATTGTGCTGGGAGCTAAGGATACAAATTCCAAAATAGATAAAATCATGGCCCTCATGGAGCTTGCTGTCTCACAGAGCTTTCTAATATAAACGTACCCATAGGAATAGTCAGGTGAGCAGTTTGGAGCAAAGTCATTGCTGTGGTCTGAATGTGTCCCCCAACATTTATGTGTTGGAAACTTAATCCTCAGTGCAGCAGTGTTGGGAGATGGGACCTTCTGGGAAGTGTTTAGGCTCTGCCTTTATGAATGGATTATTACCATTATAAAAGGGCTTAATGAAGTGAGCTTGGTCCTTTTTCTTCCCTTTCCATCCCTTTTACCACATGAGGACACAGCATTCCTCCCCTCTGGAAGATGTAGCAACAAGGTGCCATCTTGGAAGCAGAGACCAGTCACTCACTAGATACAGAACCTGCTCATTCCTTGATCTTGAGCTCCCAGCCTCCAGAACTGTGAAAAATAAATTTCTATTGTTTAAAAACTACCCAGTCTGTGGTATTTTGTTATAGAAGCGCAAATGGACTAAGACAATCATGTACAATAGCATTTGCTGATCCTGAAACAGTATGATGTGGAGAAAAATGCATATGTTTCCTTACTGATCACTGTTAGTGGGAATGGTGAGAGATGAGAGATAACAGCTCTGGAAGGGCTGTCATTGATGTGCCAAGAAACTTAGACTTTATCATATAGGTCAGGTCCTCAGACTTTAATATGAAGGCCTGAATCTTGTTTAAAATGCAAGTATGTGGACACCATCCCCAGAGAATCTGACTCAATAGGTTGGAATGGAGCTCCTTGGGTCTGCCTTTTTAACCAGCACATCAGGAAATCTCACCCAGGTGGTTAGAAACTCTGCTGTAGATAAGCAAGATAGTCTCAAGGGCAGCAATACATTTTAGAAAGATCACTGGCCTTGAGCTCAGGCCTCTGGGCTCCAACCAGATTCAGCTCACTCTCTACTATTCCCCACCACCTCTCTTGTAACTTTGCCCAAGCACACAATTTCATTTAAACATCCAGCATTAAAACATACCAACAACAGAATAAACAGCAGCAGCAATGGACACTACAATAAAGCGATGAATCTTTACCAGTGATTAAGAACTGGTTTTATCATACACCTGTACAGTTATGTGAGGGGAGGATGGAGACATAATTGAGAATTCCATGGGAAAAAAAATCCAAACCGTTTTATTGAACTGGAAAAATCTCTCCAGTCAAAAGAGCCAATCCAATACTTGAAGTAAACACCGGCTTTAAAAAACAATGCACTTGAATATATTAGTTTCTGGGCCTCAATATATTATCAAGGAAGAAACAAAGCAAATACTTAGGGAGTCAATAAAGTCATTAAAGATTCTGATCACTTCTATAAACCCTCAGTGGTTCCCCTCCCCGCAAGCTATCATGATTACTATTCAGACCAATGAACTGTGTTTCTAACCATTAGAAAATCAGCAGCTTATTGTGGCATACTGTGTGTGGGATTGATTGGGTTACACTACTTTAAATGAATGTGAGATATGAAATCATTATTTCAATATTGTTTAAAAATTAATTAGAACTTTTCAGAATTGTTTTAGAATGTCAAGGTTTAATTAACTTATTTATTTAACAGACTCATATGTGACCTTCTTTGCAGAGAGCCTGTGGATTTCTTCAGCATTTAATAGTCTAGTGGCGAGGAGGAGTGGGTTTTTGTTTTTTATTGGAGAGCTGAAATACACTCATTGTCTTTTTATCACTTTAATAGTTCTTTGTGTTGCAGGTAAAGCATTATTAATTCATGTCCAATGAGAAATATACAAGGTTTTTGACGACATAGCAAAAACTAAGCAATAAAAACAATCATCCGAGGAGAAGGGGAGGAATAGGTCAGTCCTTTAGATGAAAACAGGTAATTCAAGTAAATGCTCAAAAGTATAATTTGCGTATTTCCTAGTAGTCAGAAAGTAATGTCTCTGTATCAAAGTTCATTCCTTTGCCAAGGGAGGAGAGGAGTATTATTTCACAGTGTCGAATTTTAGTGCATTCTTCAGTTCATTTTATTCTTGCCTATGTGTAGACAGTCTCCACTTAGAATATGTGAATGTCAAGCCAGTTCATGTCAATAATGAAAATAGGATTCCCTTGTGACTCCTCCCCCTTCATTTTTGTAGCAATTTGCATTAAATCAAAGTTAAGTTATCTTGTCAACTTTGATCTCTCCTCAATTGCTCTAAATCCTCTAAGAAATCCATTTCCCAGGCTGCCTGGTGAACCTTCCTAAAATGAATCTTTATTAAACAATACCTTTGCAGCCAAAGGAGTTTCTACACAAATTGAATCGAAGTATGAATATTCTTCACCAGAAACCAAGCTTCTTTTATCCCACTATGAGGCTGTTTCAACTAGCCCCTGCAAACATTTTCTGCAACTCACACAGGGGGAAACAGTCATCTTTACATCACAAAGTAAACAAAGGGTCTCTTCTGCAAGACTAGTACATGCTCTAAACACTGTCATATTTTTTATGAATAAAAGCATAATAGTTTCTTCAGCTCTCAAAAATGTTTAAATATTATGTGTATCATTATACATTCAGAGGCTGACACTGCTATTATTTTACATGATCACCAATTGATGCCAATAGGAATCATTTCCAGAGACTGGTTATAATGGTCTACATGGCAAGTAAATTATTGCTTGAGAGACTATTTTTGCTGTGTGACTACACTACTGAAAATTATACCCAGCTTCATTTTGTAATATTGTCTTAAATGGCTAGGTGGAGTCTTAGTACTGTAGCTCAAAATACATTTCAAATGATGTTTAGAGATCTCTGTTCACCTGAAAAAAAAATGCGAGGGTCCATTCCAAAGAAAAATTCTATTATTATGCTGTGTCATAAACAATTATCACAGACAATAACAAGCCACAAAGAAAGCCACTTGTTAGTGTGGATTTAAACTGAGAGTTCTGAATATACAGCCCCAAATCAACCACACCCTTTTCCCCACCCACCCTAACATCTTCTGGACCAAAGCAAATCTCTCTACCTGTGCTTGGAGTTTATCCCTTCCTACCTGTTGGGAACTTGGTTCTATTATTTATTTTTCATTTTTGTAGCCTCAGTCTCTCCCTCTGCACTGCCTCTTTTTCTTCTGCTATAGTTTTATCTTTCCCACCAAAAATAATGTTTCCTTGACCCTGATTTCTCCTCTATATAACTATCTCATGTCTCCCCCTTCTCCTCACTTCACAAATGAGAAGCAAATGCTCAATAAATATTTATGGATTAAATGGGTAAAGAGAAATCTATTTCCCTATTGCTTCATCTCACACTTACTCCTCATTCCACTGCAATAGATAGAAACTACTGAGCCCATTCCTCTACCACAGCTGGTCTCCAGAGGTGGCCAATAACTTTCTCATTAAAAAGTTCCCTGAGCTCTTTACCCTTCATTCTAGCTGACCTCTACACAGCATTTGATATTGCTAACCAGCCCTCATTAGGAATACTCTCTCTTTCTTGAATTTTCTTATAATATCCTAAGTCAATTATATCACCAGTTCTTTGAAAACTCACTGATGGCACATGTTTTTCTAACCCTCTCCTCCTTTTTGCTCTACACTATTCCAATGGGAGATCTCACCCACAGACAAAATTTC
Source organism: Homo sapiens (assembly GCF_000001405.40). Classification (NCBI taxonomy): domain Eukaryota; kingdom Metazoa; phylum Chordata; class Mammalia; order Primates; family Hominidae; genus Homo; species Homo sapiens. The sequence goes on from NC_000001.11 coordinate 75,433,577, forward strand.
AACTACCTTCTCTGGCAGCCTCTTCCAAATTTATAATCTTAGTTCTCTTTTTCTTTCTTCATCTCTTAGATCTGTCTTTCTAAATTCCTTTTGTACCTCTCCTGATAGAAAATCATGTTGGCACCTCAAACTAAACAGATCTGAAACAGAATTCAATCTGCTCTTTCTCTGTATTTGTTTGTTTTCACACTGCTGATAAAGATGTACCCGAGACTGGGTCATTTATAAACGAAAGAGGTTTAATTGATTCACAGTTCCACATGGCTGAGGAGGCTTCACAGTCATGGCAGAAGAGTAAGGGAAGTCTTACATGGCAGCAGGCAAGACAGAATGAGAACCAAGTGAAATGGGAAGCCCCTTATAAAACCATCAGCTCTCATGAGACTTATTCACTGCCCCGAGAATAGTATGGGAAAAACCACGCCCATGATTAAATTATCTCCAACTGGGCCCCTCCCGCAACACATGGGAATTATGGGAGCTACAATTCAAGATGAAATTCGGATGGAGACACAGCCAAACCACATCACCCTCTCATCTCTAAGCCCTCCTTTCCTCTGTGTTCTCACCTTAGCCGAATAACAGCACCATCCTCCTGGTTACATAGTTAGAAACTTGAGTGATTTTTAAGGAGGCTCCCATTTCCCTTACCTGCAGCTTCCACTCAGTGTCAACAACTCTTGATACTTTTTTGAAATGTCTCTTGAGTTTGCCTCATACTTTTCCATTTTCCTTGCTATTGTCCTAGCTTAAATTTTTAGAATTTCTCAATGGGACAATTACAGAAGCTATTAACTGATCTCTCTGCCTCCAATCTCATCCGTTCCCAACCCATTTTTTCATATTAATAGACTAAGTTCTCTGAGAGTAGAAATGTCTTAGTCACCTTCATATTCCTCTGCACAACTGCTCAATACATATTTGTGGAAATGAACTCCCACTGCCAGCAATTATCTTCCTAAAATACAAATCTGTTCCTATAAATTCACTGCCTCCAAATCTTCAATGACTCTTGCTGCAGAATAAAGGGAAAACTCCTTCATGTGACACTCAGTCTGCTGTGGCCGGGTCCTAACCTACTGTTTTGCCTGATCTCCCTCCCACCTCACGCCTCCCACCTATCTGCCACTCCAGCCACTATTTAGTCTTTCCACTTATTTCTAGAATCCACTCTGTATTACTCCATCCATGGTTTGGTGTGCCTGTTTTGCATCCCTGCCTATTGAAATCCTACTCAACTTTTAAGGTCAAACTACAATTTCACCTTCTCCATAAATTTTTCTCCAAGTCTTCCTGTAAGGAGTAATTGCTTCCCTCTCATGTACCCTGGCACTTTGTACTTCCACATGGCCCACACTGTGCTATGCCCCATATTACAGTTAGGTATGGATACGTGTTTCCTTAACCAGCCTCACACACACTCTGTAAGGACATCTTAAATCCCCCACTATGCTTAGGCCAGTGCCTCACAATAGAAAGATTCAATAAAGGATTACTAAAGTCACTTAATAACTCTTCTTTCATCTCATTTTACAAGAGCCCAGTTTAGTAATTTTAGTACTTTCCTCTCTGTTACTGCCATATTTGGTCCAAAATACTTAGATGTATTCTGTTCACCCAGGCTACCTCCATCCCCAAAAGCACTCTTTGTACAAGGTACTAGAGTTTCAGTTAACTGAAATATATATGTCAATTAACTGAAATACGTTAATACCTATTAACTAAAATCTACATGTAAGATAAATGCTATCTGTGTGGTTTTAACATGGAAATTAAGAATCCTGTCAATAAATCTTACGTTTTAAATCATTAATCTTTTACATCAGCATCACTCTTGGCCCTTGGGGGGAAAAAGGAGCCTTCTTTTCTAAGGTTGTTCATTCCAGGGATGCTTCCATGATCTCTGATTCCAGATTTTTATACACCAAAAGGATACTCCAAGAGTGACTATTCTCCACACCTCATATAATGACTTCTCTTCTTCCCACACAACTGTGGAAAGAAAGACTCCACTGTGGAGCTGTGGAGACAAAGACCTACTTCACTCCTCTAGGTCAGGTAAAGCTGGCTCATTCCTATAGGAGCAAACTCACACATGATGTCCTTTTATTGGTTTATGAGAACCCAAGACTCAAACTTAAGATTGTAACAACTGAATTCTATACTGCTTACCTCATAAAAAATAAAAAGATCATCAGCAATGTTATCAGCATTCTTTCAAAGACATCTTTAAAACCCATGTCTTTGTATTTTGCTCTCCACCTTTTGCACCATCACCACCACCACACACACATACACACACATATACACACACATACACATGCTCACAAAACTACTACAACCTGATCTAAAAAACATTTCACCTGTTAACTTCAGGGAGATTACATTAGAAGTTATAATCGCAAATAAGAGTAGCCATTAAAAATAAATTTAAAAACATAAATGAAGACACACTAGTTTACAAAATTATATTTGTACATGGCACTGAGTTTTAACAAATTTGTATTTTATTTCCTGACTATAAAGTATCTACTTATCATGATAAAAGAGTAAATTGGTTTTCAAGATGTAAACATCTTTATCTTTACCATAAAGAATCATCTAAATTATGTGTGTGTGTAAAACCCTCAGTTTGGTTAGTTCACAGGGAGTAGCAGCTAATGTTCATAATTATCACGATGAATTTAAGTAATAGGGTAAATGTGGCTTCCTTCTGTATTATACATTTTTTTAGGTTTCACAACTTCTATACATGTCACAATTATAATACTCTTTTTCTATCACTGATTATTTAAAGTTCTATTTCTTTCTAAAGAAACTTTCAATTGGTAACACAATAGTAAATATTCATGTATGTAAAAATATCTAAACAGAAAAGGTACAGTAAAAATACACTATAAAAGATTAAAAATTGTATACCTGTATAGAGCACTTACCATGAATGGAGGGTGCAGGTATGGGAGATGCTTTGGGTGAGTCAGTGAGTGAGTGCTGAGTAAATGTGAAGGCCTAGGACATTACTGTACACTACTGTAGACTATACAACCACTCAACATTTGGGCTACACAAAATTTATACACAAATATTTTTCTTTCTTCAACGATAATTAACCTTAGCTTACTAATTTCTTTAGCTTAGGAACTTTTTTAATATTTTAAATGTTTTGACTATTTTGTAGTAACATTTAGCTTAAAACAAAAGCACAATATACAGTTATAAAAAAAGTCTGTTTTCTTTTTGTCCTTAGTCTTTAGCTTTCTTCTATTTTTAAATTTTTTATTGCTTTTTTAAAACTTTTTAAACTTTTTTGTTAAAAGCTAAGACATAAACACACATATTAGCCTAGGCCAACACGAGGTTAGGATCGTCAGTATCACTGTCTTGTACCATGGTCTTGACCCACTGGAAGGTCTTCAGGGGCAATAACACACATGGAGCTGTCATCTTCTATGATAACAAGGCCATCTTCTGGAATACCTCCTAAAGGACCTGCCTGAGGCTGTTTTACAGTTTACTTTTTTAAAAAATAAGTAGAATAAGTACACTCTAAAATAATAATGAAAAGTATAGTATAGGAAATATATAAATACATAAATCAGTTACACAGTCATTTATTACCATTATCAAGTATTCTGTACTGTCCATAGTTGTATGTGCTATATTTTTATACAGCTGACAGGGCAATCGTTTTGTTTACAATAGCATCAACTCAACTACAATATTACAATGGCTATGATATCACTAGGTGATAGGAATTTTTCAGTTCTTTTGTAATATTATGGGACTATCACTGTATATGCAGTCTTTCATTAACTGAAATATCATTATGCAGCACATGACTGTACATGCAGCTCCTCACTTTTCATATAAAGAATGAGCCAGTGACATCATTTGCCTCTATCCTGACTTAAAGGACTTATAAGACAAACAAAATTTTATCCTGAATTCTGATGTCTGTATTTAGTCTTTAACAGTATTTACTGGAAGAACTTGTCTTTGTGGGAATTGTAGAATTTCATGAAGAGTGGCTTCAGTTATTGTTAATGAAATAACAGAGTTGTCCAAGGTGAAGAAGGGCCTATGGGGCATCACAGCGATGATAAAGCAGGATGGTACAAAAACACCAGAATGATTAGCATCATCTCCAACACTCTCACTGGTATTGATAGGTGGGCAATAGTTTTGTAAGCTTCTGAAAATTTACCAGAGCCAGCAAGAAAGCAATAATTTTTCTCTGACCCCTTTATTTCTGAGGAGAGATTGTTAAAAGAGCATCAGCTTCCCTGTTGAAAGACTGAGTTAGCTAAGGGGAGAGATAAATTTTGTGTGAGTATAGTGGGTTTCCAATAATGCACATTTCTTTTGATCTATTGTTAGTACTGTATTTGTCCTTTTGGATTCCTGAACTGTGTGATGCAGTGATTTTGAGTAGGATTAGCCCCCAGAGTGAGCCACTGTTAAGAACTACTTAGCCGTCTTCTTATTCACTCTAATAAAAAAGAAACATCTCAGAAAATCAAGCAATTCAAAGCCCAGCTACTCAACAGGTTATGTGAAAGAATGTTAAAGTTTTCATTCAAGAAATGGGGAGAAATCATGCTAAGATATTAAGAGAAATGAAGGCTAGTCATTGGATTCAGCAATCTGGAAGTTATTGATGACCTTGACAAGTGTAGTTTTACGACATGAAATCATGGGGAAGAAAGCCTGATTGGAGTGGTTTTCAGACAGAATGACGGTTTCCAGAAATGGCAAACTAGAGTTTCTGAAAGAGACCCTTCTGCAATAAACCAAGTATATCATGAATAAAACATTCTGCTTTAAAGAACTGCTGGGTTTGCAGAAACTAAGAACAATATCCAAGCATCTCTATAACCACCACCAAAACACAGCACAACATAGAACAAATCCAGGAGCTGAAACCTAAGTAGGGAGCACTGTGCAGTACTAAATGAGAAGAGGAAGTGGGGTATGTGCAAGGCAAACAATTGCTGACCTCATCACAACTAACTAAGACTAAGCTTTAGGCAGCTGCAAGACAGGGAAGCTGAACCTCAGATTCTCAAATTAGTCCAGATACCTCAAAGAGGCTACAATGGTCCAGGTTGATAGGATCCTAGGCTCTGAACAAAAAAGCCTGGGACTCTTTCTGAAGAAAAGCATCCCAATTTAGGCCCATAGCACTCTCAATAATTAAGGTATAACAAATATAAACTTTCAATTAAAAAATCACCTAACACACCATAAGCAAAAACAAACCGAAACAAATGATAGATTTAGATCTCTTCAAAGACTTCAGATATTGAAATTAACAGCAAAAAAATAAAGTCAAAGTCTTTTAGGATAAAGACTATCTATGAAAATACCAAAGAAATAATACATGAAAGCACAAAATAAGCAAGCAATATGCTATGGTTTAAATGTTCCCCCAAAGTTCATGTATTGACAACTTGACGATCCCCAGTGCTTCAGCACTGGAAGGTGGGGCCTAATGGGAGGTGTTTGGATCCTGGAGTCACAGCCTTCATTAATGAATTAATGCCATGATCTTGGGGGCAGATTTGTTATTGTGGGAGTGGATTCCATATAAAAGAATGAGTTCAGACCCCTTTACTCTCTCTTGCCCTTTCTTTGCTCATCTGCCATGGGATGACACAGCAAGAAGGCACTTGCCAGATGCCAGCCCCTCAGTCTTAGGTTTCTCCACCTTTGGAGCCATGAGCCAATAAATTTCTGTTTATATAAGTTGACTAGTCTGTGGTAACATGTGGTAAAAAAAATGACCAAGGAGATTTGAAAAGTAACTAACAAAACTTTTATAAATTAAAAACATTATTGTTGATATTAAAAACTCAATGGATCTAGGCAAAATGGTGCATGCCTGTAATCCAAGCTACTCAGGAGGCTGAGGCAGGAGGATCACTTGAGCCCAGGAGTTTAAGATCAACTGGGGCAACATAGTGAGACCCTGTCTCTAAGGGGAAAAAAATCTCAATGGTTGAAATAACAACATTTTAGCAAAGCTGAAGATAGAATCAGTGACTAGAAGACAGAAATAAATAGATAATCCACAATGCAGCTCAGAAAAACACAATATGTAATATTAAAGTGATATAAAAGAAACAAAGAGTAGATTTAAAAGATCTAACAATCCTCTATGCAAAGTCCAGAAAGAGAAAATGGAGAAAAGGCAATACTGGAAAAGGTAATGGCAGAGAATCTCAAATTGATAAAAGACATGAATCCAAAGACACAAGAGACACAATATCTACAAACAGGACAAAGAAAAAATATCCATTCTAAGACACACTATAATAAAAACTGAAGAAGTATACATAATGAGAAAATCTTAAGCCAGTCAGAAAGCAAGCTAATATTATCTAAAGATTGACAGCACACTTTTGAACAGAAAAAAATGGAAGCCAAGAAGACAGGGGGAAAATAACATTAAGAAGTACTGAAAAAAAGTGACATAAAATTGTACATGTCTTTATTCATTCACATTTATTTAGATGCCACTATGTGTCAGAAACAGAAAAAAATTGCCTTCATGTAACTTACATTGTAGTGGTGGGAACAGATAATGAAAATGTAATTAAATATGTCAGATACAATGGTGCAAATAGAATAGAAAAGGGAATAGTAGTACCAAGAAAAAGGAGAATTTGCAATTTTTAAAATCATTGTGGTTTGAGAAGTTCTCACTGATCAAGTGACATTTGGACAAAGACCTGAGGGAAGTTGGAAAGAAAGTTAAAAAGATAGTTATGAAGAAGGCATTAAGGAAAAGATGGCAAATTCAAAGGCCATGTGGTAGCTCCAGGACATGGCTGAGGAAAAGCAAGAATGCCAGTGTGGCCATAGCAGTGGGAGTGACAGTGAGAGCAGCAGGAAACAAGGTTGGAGAGATAACAAAGCTAGGGTAAAGGATACCACTGAGACCTTCCAGGTGACTACGAAGATTTTTCCATTTTACTCTGAGTGAAATGAAAAGCTATTAGAGGGTTTTGATCAGAGCCATCTCGTGATCTCTTTTACATTTGTAAAGAATGACTTGAATGAGATTATAAGATGGAAAGAGAAGCAAGGAAACCAGCTGGGAAACTATTGCAATAATCTAGATTATGGTAAACACGGTGCCATGTACAAGGGTGGTAGTGTGCTTTAAGGAAAACTCTTTCAAGAATGAGGGCAAGAAAAAAACATTTTCACATAAGTGATAACTCAATTTACCAGCAATAGTACTTCACTGAAGGAATTTCAGAAAGCAAAGAAATCATCTCTGAAGAAAACTCGAAATTTAAGAAAGTATGGCAGGCAATGATATTGGGAGGTTATAATACAAATATTAATATTAAATAATATATTACTAATATAATTAAATAATGATAATGACAATAATGCATAATTTCTTGGGTTCCAAATAAAAAATGATAGAATTAAAATTCTGCAAAATAGCATACATAACACAAGAAGGTTAATTACAGCACAAATGTTCTGGAATCCTTGAATTGTTAAAGAGGAGGAATAAGATTTTAAATTATTTTAAATTAAGCATCTGTGGTAAGCTTACAAGGATAACTGGAACAATAGAAATAGTGCATGACTTTCAAACCAGTAGAGCAATGTTTCTCAAGGGAAGTGTAAATGACAATTTGTGCAGGACAATTATTCATTAGACAAAACTATTCTGCCATTTATGCAACATATTCAGCATTCCTGAACTCTGCTCTCCAAATGCAAGTAGCACCCACTTCAGTCATTGTGATAATCTAAAAACACCACAGATTTCCAAATGTTTGCAGGGAGAGTACTGTATCACCTTTACATGAGAACCACTGAAGTTCATGGAGAAAACAAATTAATATAAAAGTTTAGCCACACTCAAAATAAAAAGCAAGATTTAAAAAAAGTCAAGGAAAAAAAAAACAAATAGAGAGGCCAAAGGTGAAAAAACAGTATATAACTAATTATAATAATAAACATAATTGAATTAAATTTGCTGGAGTATTGGTTGAATTAAAAAAATATATTACCCAATTACATAATTACATTGTGTACAAGTAACACTTCTAAAACTTAAGAACACAGAAAGATTTTTTTAAGCATTAGAATACAGCATGGTCTTCTCTGCTGCTGGATTTTAACATTTTTTAAATGTTAAAAAATTCAAGTGTTTTTAAATATTAGCCAGAAGAAAGTTAGATTATATTATTAGATATATTACAAGATGTATATACTATTAGATAGTGTATATTAGGAGATTTTGACATGCTTTAATTATTGCCAGGTCAAGGACACAAAACCACAAGTAATGTATAAGTGATTTGAACAACTCAATTAGCAAGTTTGAAGATGTGTGTCCATATATTCCTACATATATTTCTATACCTAAAATGGGTGAACACATATTCTTCTTTTATAAGAATGATCATTTAACTAATTTCTTGGTTGAGTGATAATGTGCCAAAGAATATTACAGACACTTGACAGGCATTAACTAATTCAGTTAATTCTCATAAAACTGCCAAGAGATAGCTTTGTAAGGACAAAGTTTAAATCTGACCCTTTGTAATTCGGCTCTAGTGCCCATGTGTTTAACCCATATAAAACATTTTCTGAAGGAATATTTTCACAACATAATACTTAGAAATTTTCACAAATTTAACAAATTTATAGCTGCTAAAGGAAAAAAAATAATGAACCTTGTTAAAGATGGTAAAGGAAGACTATTCAGGAGACTACTGCAATCGGGCTTTGCGGTAGGGAAAAGAGATTGAACTCAACTCCCTGACAAAAAGTGTCTTCTTAACCTTGAGTCAGGTTCCTCTGAGACCTCTTCTTGACTAGGCCCTGATCTTAGGTTCTGCCCTTTGTCTGCTTATTCCAATTTTAGCAACCATCCTGTTGTGTTACTTTAGTAAGAATTCCCCTCCCTCAATATCTAATCAGATGCCTCATTCTCCACCCTTGATATCTTCTTCAGGAAGAATACTTTCAAGTCAGCCATTACAAAATCTCCCTTGCCCTGATGTTTTCCTCTTAGTAATTTTCTTTCCACTGACTCCCACCATGATCCTTGGCTATCAAATCCCATTTGTCCTTCTTGTATTCAGAGTTCAGCGAAGACTCTTTCACTTACTGCAAGACCCCTCTGCAGCCATCGCTTCCCCCTACTGCAAAACCCTATTGCAATAATCCCCTTCTTGAATAAAGTTTCTTGACCATCTTTAACAAGTGCCTAAATAATTTTCAACACAGTCCACATGCTCTTGATGCAATACTGTTCATTTAGAAGTCAATAACAAGAATAACAGAAAAGGATAATTTTAAACTCCATAAGTTGGATATTTAAAGCAAACATGCATACTTCCACATACTTCTAAATAACTCATGGGCCAAAGAAGAAATCATAACAAAACCTTTTCAAAAATCTTGGAATTGATTAATAAACTATTGCATACTGAAACTTGTGGGAAGCTGTGAAAGCAATACTTTGAGGGGAACATTAAGTTAATCATAAAAAATTACCATTTTTGGTAATTCAATAGCAGCCAAATATCAGCAATTTCCTATGGTTTAAGCTAAACCTGTAGCCTTACATGCTTATATTAGAAAATAAGAAATGCTGAAAATTAATGAGTACAGCTTTGAACTTAAGAAGTCAGAAAACAATAGAATAAACTCAAAGAAAATAGAAAAAAGTAAATAAATTTAAAATTAAAAATAAGCAAAGCAGAAAAAATCCTGCCTCAGAAAGACTAAAAGCTTTGAGAAAACTCATTGATTGATACATAAAAAAAGAAAACACAAATAAATGGATATTGAATATGAAAGGGGTGTATAACTACAAACATAGGAATGTTTAAAGATAAAAACATGAACAACTTTATGCCAATATTTATAAACTTATAAAAATGTATAAATTCATAGAAAAATATAACTGACCAAAACTTACTCAATAGGAAGCCTGAATTATAACTATTGAAGCATTTAAATGACAATGCAAAATCCATATTTTTTTAAAGACCTATATTATTTTATAGGCAAGGTCTACCAAAGTTGTGAGGAACATATCTCAATATTCAAAATGTTCCAAAGAACAAAATAAAAAGAAAATATTCCCAAACTCCCATTTTATTATCTAGTATAATCTTAATCCCAAAAGCAAACAAAATTACTGTTTATTAAAGGAAAACTTCAGCCTTTCCCAATCATAAACATAGATACAAAAATTCCAAATTAATTTTTTAAGAAAATCTAACAATATAAGAAAAACGTGGTAAGAAATGAAAAGACCATTTAAAAATAGAAAAATTTATAAATGTTATTTTCACAGTAAATGATTTTTAAAAACCATATGATCATCTGAATGGATATTGTCAAAGAACAATTATACATATGGCATCATTTTACCCAGAGTTTTACTGTAAAGAGAAGAAAATAAATAGTGCTGATGGCCAGGCATGGTGGCTCATGCCTGTAATCCCAGCTCTTTGGGAGGCTGAGGTGGGCGGATCACCTGAGTTCAGGAGTTTGAGACCAGCCTGGCCAACATGGTGAAACCCTACCTCTACTAAAAATACAAAAATTAGCTGGGCATGGTGACGCATAGCTGTAATCCCAGGTGCTTGAGAGGCTGAGGCAGGAGAATCACTTGAACCTGGAAGGTGGAGGTTGCAGTGAGCTGAGATTGCTCCACTGCACTCTAGCATGAGTGACAAAACAAAACTCTGTCAAAAAAAAAAAAAAGAAAGAAAGAAGGAGGGAAGGAAGGAAGGGAGGGAGGGAGGGAGGAAAGAAGGAAGGGAAGAAGGAAGGAAGGAGAGAAAGAGAAAGAGAGAGAGAGAAAGAAAGACAGAGAAAGAAAGAAAGAAAGAAAAAGAAAAAAAGAAAGAGAAAGAAAGAAGAAAGAAAGAAAGAAAGAAAGAAAAAGAAAAGAAAGTGCTGAAGATCGAAGGAGACATAGGAATAAGGAAAAATTTTATTGTTATTTTTGCTTTGTTTTTTTTTTAAGATGGGAGATAATACAGCATATTTGTATGCTAATAGAGATGATACAAGCAACATGGTAGTGATAGATGCAGCAAGAGATAGCAGGATGATTATAAGAACAGAGTTCTTGTACCAGAAAGAGGAAATCAGATCCCATGCATAAGGGGAGGGTTCCATCCTACAGTGGAGCAGAGGCAGTCCACTTGTTTTAGCAGATGGGAAGGCAGATTAGACACAGATGATATACTTGTGATGGGAAGATCATGAAGTACTCTTCTGAGCCACTCTGTTTTCTCTGTGAAGTACAAAGCAGGGTCAAAAGCTAATGGTGAGATTGGGTTAGGTAGAGGAGAGAATGATGGAGATTGAGGAGAAAGAAGAAGGTGGGAAATAATTAACCGTGAGAGTAGGAGAGTATATTGAACAAGAAAATGTAATGAGACATCCTCTCTCTTGATGTAAATTCTCTTGGTATTTCCTCATCTCACTGATATGGTTTGGATATTTGTCCACTCCAAATCTCATGCTGAAATGTGATCCTCAATATTAGAGGTGGGCCTAGTGGGTGATGTATGGGTCATGGGAGTGGATCCCTCATGAATGGGTTGCTGCCCTCTCCACGGTAATGAGTGAATTCTCACTCTATTAGTTCACGTGAGAGCGGGTTGTTTAACATGCCTGGTATCTCTCTTGCTCCTTCTCTTGCCATGTGACACGCCTGCTCCCCTTGTGTCTTCTGCCATGAGTAAAGGCATCCTTAGGCCTCACCAGAAGCCAAGCAGATGCTGGTGCCATCTTTGTACAGCCTGTAGAACCATGAGCTAAATAAATCTCCTTTTAAATTACTCAGCCTCAGATATTTTTTGTGGTAACACAAATGGACTAATATGCTCACTGTCCAATCCTTACTATATAAAATATATATAATATTATACACACAATATAATATATGTATATATTACGTAATATATACATATATATGTATAAATTATATATATAATCCTTTCCTGGATTTTTCTCCTCTTCCTGACCTCTAAATATTGGAGTGCCTGAACTCAGTCCTCAGATATCTTCTTTTCATTATGTTTCTGTGTGAGCTCACCTACTCCCAGGGCTTTAAATACCATCAACATGGTAAGGACTCATAAATTTGTATTTACATCTTCTTCCTCTGCCAGGAGCTCCAGACCTTTCTCTCCAACTGCCCATGTGGCATCTATGCTTGGATAGCTAAAAAGCACCTCAAGTTCAACATGTCCAAAACAAACTTTTTATTTTTCTCTCCAACCTGTTTCCATTCAGTCTTCGACAGTTCAGTAAATGACACCACCATTCATCAAGTTGCTCGGGGAAGAAACTTAGCTTTCCCCTTGATTTCTGTTTCTCTTGTACCTCACATCCAATCCATCAGCAACTCATATGAGCTCTACCTCCAAAACAAACTCCAAATTGAATTCCTCTCACCACCTCCACCACTACTACTCTAAGCTACCAGCATCTCTTCTCAACATCGTTGCAGTAGTTTCTCTGACCCCCCATTAGTTCTACTCCCAGTCCTGGTTCATTCTCTACATGCAGTGGAGTGATCTTTTAAAAACGGATCAAGTCACATAGTCTCTTGTTCAAAACTTTCCATTTTTTTATAGCATTTTGTACAAAGTCCAGTCTTCACTGTGATCTACCCGGCCCTACATGATCTGGCCTTGGCTGCCTCTCTAATCATATCTCCCCCTCACTCAATCTACTTCAGCCATACCAGTAGTTTTACTGTTTCTAGCAGATGTCAAGCTCATCCTACTTCAGGGTCTTTGTATCTGTTTTGAATGGTACCCCAGAAATGTTGAGATTACTCACTCTTTTGAGTCTCTGCCTAAATATCACCTCTTCGAGCTTACATTTTTATCCAAAAAAAACCCTGTCTTCTTTATCTCTCCCTCTTTATTATGCTTTATTTTTCTTGATTGCATGGATGTTATTTTGTTTTAGATATTTTGTAAATCTCCTCCATTAGAAAGAAGGTCCTATAAAGGCAGAGATTGCCTTGTCACCACTGTGAACTGTGAATAGTGCCTGGCTATACACACACACACACACACACACACACATACACACACACAATGGTTGAATGTATTCAAGCCCATTTCAATTGGCTTTGGAAATCATGACTAAATTCTCTCTTTCTATTTGGTAAATCTGTCTTTTAACTAATTTTGTTTGCATTATGTTTATTAACATATGGATCCTGTACCCTCTAAAATCTGCTTGCTTCCTAGTAGAATAGTTATTTCTTAAACTGACTTTCCCATCTTTAAAATAACACTGAAAATTTTGGGAATTAAGTACCGACAGAGATCACTATTTAGATGCAATCATTCATTCATCAGCATCATTTCAAATACATTGTATTATTCTTTAATTTGATCATGAACTTCCATTTGCCATAAGAAAGCACAGGCCTGTGGAAGGTACCCGGTGCTGATGTCAGAACACTCAGAGTGGATGCCTTACTTAGTCTCTGATTAGTATAGAAACCTACGAAAGCTTTTGTTAATCAATGATTCCACCACTTCATGTGTTAAACAGGAACAGCTGCCCTAATATGCTTTCAAAGAATTATCTATGAATAAGTATAAAGGAGTTGAAGTGTTGGGAGAGAAGGTATAAAATATTTTCTATTAAGATCATTGCAGGAATTACTGAGGTCTTTCACTGATTTCTATCTCTTTAAACTTATAGGAAAAGCTCATAAAATTTCAAGTGAGGTTAATATGGATTTTGTAAAGTAAGGATAATTTTTATTAAAATAATCACTTATTTTACCTACTTCTAGCTTCTAATACTTTGTTAATAATTAAGTCTCTGGATAAATAATATAGAAAGTGTTTTGATAGAAATATTTTAAAATAATCTTTGAGATATCATGGAAAACAAGAGATGCTAAAAATCTGCATTTGATGGCTGTTTTAATTTTTGAAAGGAAAGAGGGTTTATTCTGAATACTGAGTCTGGATTCTATTTCAAATAAAATCAACTGTATTAAGTGTAGAGCATGTAAACCCTTCTTAAAATTGAAAGTGATGATTTCTAGAGGCTCTCATAGGTGAACTAAAAACTAAACTCACACAAAAATACCCTAATTTTTTCTTTTCTTTTTTCTCTCCTCCTCTTTATTAATTTTTTGCCTTATTTGCACCTTGTTTGTTGAATTAGATTGATAGGCTAGTTCATAGTTATAGAAACAAATATATCTAGGTTTCAGTAAGTCAGTTTTGTTTTTCATTATACCTTAATGGTTTAGTAAATATAAGCAAATGATAGCACAGTTAGATAAAATTATAATTCCCAAAGCTTAATTTTGTAAAAAAGAATGAGTCTGTGACAACCCAAGGAATGAAAAAGTTTTAAAACATTTTTATTAACTACTCAAATTAAATATAAAATAATATTCAATTAAATATATAAAAGACCAAAAGCTGAAAAAGATTATGAATGTTTTCCATCTCAGTGAATGGCATCACCATTTATCCAGTTCAGTCCTCTCCACCATCTGAAACAATTTGGCTAAGTTGCTGTAACAAAGGAATCCAAAAAATGCTCTATCACAAATAAAAAATGCAAAATGAGTAGAACAAAGGCAGTGGGGAGGCTCTGCTCCACAAGACTATTCAAGAATCTGGGCTTTGTCTATCTTGTCCTAATGTTCAAGTCTGCATAGATGGAAACATGATCATCAGCAAGGTGTCCATGTCCCAGCCCATGGGAAGGCACTTAGAGTCCAGGGCAAGCAACTTTGTATTTTAGGAGGGGGCCCGAATGTTGGCCCAAATTTAGTTCACGATCATATGTAACTGAAAGACAACTTGACAAAAGAAGACGTTAGCTAGGTGGTCACCTGTGCAGCTCAAACTCAGAGTGACGTAGGTGGCACTATCTCTAAATGGAAGAAAGGAATAATAGATACTGGGGTATTTAATGGTTTCTGCTACACACATCCTAAATCTAATCCATCACTGAGGTAAATCTATTTGCCTCCTAGACATTTCACAAAAGCACACATTTCCCTCCATTTCCACTGCCACAGACCTTGTCTGAGATATGATCACCTCTCACCTGTTTTGCTACAATAACCTCCTGACTAGTCTCCCTACCTTTACATTAGCCTTTGCTCCCAAAACAATTGTCTTCATTACAGCCAAAAGGCTCATTTTGAAATGTAAATCTAACCATGTCATAACTCTGAATAAAAATTTTCAATTGCTTATCATTATTCTTAGGAATCCTTGACAAGAACTCTAAAGTCCTACAGATTTGACTCTCCTTTCCTCTAGTCTCACCTCTCACTATTCTCCTCTCTCCACTCCACTCCCACTCAGTACTGCAATCACATTTGCCTTCTCTTTCTCAACCACAGCATGCTCTCTCCCACCACTAAGATTCTGAATGTGTTCATCCCTCTGACAAGAATATTCTCTTCCATTTGCCTCACTGACTTATACATCAGTTCTCCACTCCCAACTGCTTTCTCAGAGAAAGCATCCCTGAGCCAGACATTGTCAAATCCCCTGTAATACATTGTCATAGCTCCCTGCAATTTTGTCAGTGTTGGTAATGATACATTTATTTTTGTGATTATTTGAGCTGGGGAAGTCTGCAGCTTTAATTTTGGCTTGTTGCTTTCAATTATGTCTTGCCACATTGGTTGTGTTCTCTTCTCTGGGTGCTTGTCTCCTTCCAGCTTTAGACATTCATGAGACTGGTCTGGCTTACAGTGAAGAACCTCAAATTACAAATCCTGATAATATTAGCTTCCCTTTTTGTTCCTTTACCCATTCTCACCTCTAGCAATCTCCCTCAGGTAAGAATCTAGGTTACAGTTACCAAGATAGTTAGCCTATGTGGCTCCCCTTTTTGCCCCACTCTCTTGGGGTTTTAAGAGTGGAACTTGGACTTTGCGGGAATCTTCCTCACTTCTCCTACAGCTCTCCCATGCCCCTATAACTATTTTCTTCAATTGAAAGTTCATTAAATGGGCCTTTCAGAACTGTGACATATATGTTTATAGAAATCTATTTAACCCAAGATCTAAGACGAGTGGTTTTTTTTCCCCAAGATAGAGGATAAGAGGCTTTTAGTGTGCCTCAGCCACTTGAAAATATCATGGTGGCTCACGCCTGTAATCCTAGCACTTTGGGAGGCCGAGAAGGGCGGATCACAAGGTCAAGAGACCAAGACCATCCTGGCCAACATGGTGAAACTTCGTCTCTACTAAAAATACAAAAATTAGCTGGGCATGCTGGCGCATGCCTGTAGTACCAGCTACTCAGGAGGCTGAGGCAGGAGAATCTCTTGAATCAGGGAGGCAGAGGTTGCAGTAAGCCAAGATCATGCCACTGCACTCCAGCCTGGTGACAGAGCAAGACTCTATCTCAAAAAAAAAAATTAATCGCAGGATAATGCATAATGATCAACTTTGTGAGCTTTATTTAATTCAAGAAGAAAAATGAAAATCCACTTGAATCATGTAGGACACCCCAGATCCCAGGGAGGTGAACACGAGCAAACTTCCCCCGTGACACCAATTTGCTGATAAAAGCGAGTGAAGCTCCAGTACTTGAGAGAGGCAGAGAGCCTCCCTCTGTGACTCATCTTTCCACTGAGGATCTGATCAACCAAGGTCAAGGGGGAGCACTGTGTTTCTCCCAAGCCCTGGAGCTAAGTTGGGGAGAGGCTTCCTGATACTGTGAGGGAAAGGCGCCAGGAAAAGCTGTAGACATTTTCCCAGACCCAGGGTTGAGAGCTAGATGTCATTTTTAATCTGGTCACATACAAAATCAGCCATTCTTTGGCCACCTGGCAGCATTGCCATGTAGGCACTTTAGTCTCAGGCCAGAGATTGGAGAACCTGCTCTGGATCAGGGTAAGGGCTTACATAGCAAGAACTGTGGAACACACCTCAGTAGTAGGTGCTGGAATTTTGCTCCCTACCCCCCAACTGCAATCCTGGGGCAGAAGAAAAGCTGCTACTGCTGCAGTTTCCTCTGGCTGGCAAGACTTGTAGCCACAGCCAGCTTGAAGACATGAAACGGGTCTATGTACGCTATTGCTGGGTACCCCAGTCTGCTACCCTGAGGTTGTGATGAAGTGGGGCCCTCTCCACCCCATGCCCAGGCAGATTTCCAGGGACTTGGAGCACCTGCTCACCTGGATCAGCAGCCTGAGCTACACCACTCTTCCTGTGCAAAGATCCTAGTACAGGAAGGCCCTCCCTCCTTCATGCATGGGCAGAACTCCAGGTATTTGGGGCATCCACTCAACTGGTCCAGCCTCCTGAGCCACCCCACCTTTCCTGACTTAGAGTGTGTTACAGCAAGGCCTTCTCTGTTCCACATCCAAGCAGGTCTTTAGGCATCTGGAGCATCCACTGTCTTGGATTAGGAGTTCAGCTCACCCCACAACCCCAGGCAAGGAAGTTGGAGCCAAGGAGGTTTCCCAGCTGCATGCTTAGGCACACCTCTAAGCACTTGGTAGCTACCCACTGGATTCTCCCTTGGGACTGGTGCTTGTGCCTGCCAGCAGGCGACTTCTAGGTGGGCCATCTTGGTCTTGCCCATCATGGCCTCCACTGCCCACCAGAGCTGAGCAGGGAGCTCAGACCACTATGCATTCCATGAATTGGCCCATTATCTGAGGCAACAAAGAGCTTTTGCTAGTAAATAAGGATCAAGTAAGTACCCAGACATGTTAGCCGCAGCCAATTCTTACCTATAAGCACAATCTATGGGCTTGTAGGTTGAACTGCACAGCCCAATATAATACCTGCCAAAAAAATGTGCATAAGGCTATAGAAGCAAAACCAAAGAACCCTACCCAGCATTCTCTACCATCGTACTCCCTAGGAAGGGAAGGGATAGGAAAATGAACAAAAAAATAATAATATTATACAAAAAGAAAAAAATAAAAAATCCTACCAGCATGAAAACAATGACAAAAATTAAAACTAATAGCATCTCCAGATGAGAAGCAACCAGCTGAAGAATTCTGGCACCATGGAAAATCTGAAGGTAGTGTCATCATTAAAAGATTGCATTCTGTCTTCTGAAATTGAAAAACTCACTTAAGGAATTTCAAAATATAAGTGAAAACTATATTGAGAGACTAGACCAAGAAAAAGAAATAATTATTTCAGAACTTGAAGACTGATCTTTCTAACTAAATCAGTCAGACAAAATTTTTTTAAAAAAAATTTTAAAAAGTAAACAAAGTCTTCAAAAAATATGGGATTATTTAAAGCAACCAAACCTATGAATTATTGGCATTCCAGAAAGAAGGAGAAAAAGTAAACAACCTTGAAAACACTTGATCTTAGCCAAAAGGCCAAGAAGCGATACAACCTGGAAAACATATTTGAGGAAATAATTTATAAATATTTCCCTACTCTGCTAGAGAGGGAGGCATCCAGATACAAGAAATCCAGAGAACACCAGTAAGATACTATACAAAACAAACCCCACAAAGGTATATAGTCACCAGACTGTCAAAGGTCAATGCTAAAGAAAAAATCTTAAAGGCAGCTAGAGAAAAAGGTCAGATCACATACAAAGGTAACTCCGTCAGTCTAACGGTGGACTTTTCAGCAGAAACCTTACAAGCCAGGAGAGATTGAGGGCCTATTTTCAGTGTTCTTAAAGATGAGAAATTCTGACCAAGAATTTCATATCCTGCCAAACTACGCTTAATAAACAAAGGAGAAATAAAATCTTTTCCAGACAAGCAAGCACTAAGGGAATTTGCTATCACTAGATCAGTCTTACAAGAGATCCTTAAGAGAGCTCTAAACATGGAAATGACAGAATGATACTTGCTACCACAAACACACACTTAAGTACAGAGCCCACAGACCCTGTAAAGCCCCCACACAATAGAAAGTAAAAAGCAACCAGCTAACAACTTCATAATAGGATCAAAACCTCACATATCAATATTAATCTTAAATGTAAATAGTCTAAATTCCTCAGTTAAAAGGCAAAGAGTGGCAAGTTGAATAAGTAAACCAGACACATCTGTCTATTACCTTCAAGAGACCTATCTCACTTGTAATGACACCCATAGGCTCTAAGTAAAGGGTTGGAGAAAGATTTATCATCCAAATGAAAAAAGAGCAGAGGTCACTACACTTACATCCGATAAAACAGACTTTAAACTAGCAACAAACAAGGGCAAAGGGGGGCATTACAAAATTATTAGGGATTCAACTCAACAAGAAGATGTAACTATCCTAAATCTATATGCACCCAAGATTGGAGCACACAGAATCATAAAACAAGTACTTCTAGACCTATGAAAAGACTTAAACAGCCACATAATAGTGAGGGACTTCAGCTTCCCACCAAAAACACTATTCAGACCATCAAGGCAGAAAACTAACAAAGAAATTCTAGACTAAAAGTTCAACACTTCACCAATTAGACCTAATAGTCATCTACAGAATACTCCATCTAGCAACCACAGAATATATATTCTTCTCATTTGCACACAGAAATTAATCCAAGACGGACCACATTCTTGATCATAAAGCAGTCTCAATAAATTTTCAAAAACTGAACTCATACTTTATCTCAGACCATAGTGGAATAAAAATATAAATCAATACCAAGAAGATCTCTCAAAACCACACAATTACATAGAAATTAAACAACTTGCTGTTCAATAACTTCTAGGTAAGCAATTAAAGTAATGGAGAAATCAATAAATTCTTTGAAATAAAATGAAAACAGAGACACAACATAACCAAATGTCTGGGATGCAACAAAAGTAGTGTTAAGAGGAAAGTTTACAGTACTAAACACCTACATCAAAAAGTTAGAAAGATCTCAAATTAATAATCTAACATCACATCTAGAGGAACTAGAAAAACAAGAACAAATTAACCCCAAACCTAACGGAAGAAAAGAAATAACTAAAATCAGAGAATAACTAATTGAAATTGAGACCCAATTGAGACCCTTTGAAATTGATACAAAGGATCAATGAAACCAAAAGTTGCTTATTTGAAAGGATACCCAAGATCAATAGACCACTAGCTAGATGAACAAAGAAAAATAGAGTGAGGATACAAACGAGCTCAATCACCAGCGACAATGATGACATTACAGCCAATCCCATAGAAATACAAAAGACCCTCAGAGACTATTCTGAATACCTTTATGCACAGAAACTAGAAAATCTAGAGGAAATGTATAAATGCCTTGAAACACACATTCTCCCAAGATTGAATCAGGAAAAAATTGAAATCCTGAACAGATCAATATCAAGTGCTGAAATCGAATCAGTAATGAAATAGCTACCAATGAAAAGAAGCCCTAGGCAAGATGAACTCACAGCCAAATTCTATCAGACATACAAAGAGGAGCTGCTACCAATTCTACTGAAACTATCCCATAAAATTGAGGGAGAGGGACTCTTCCCTAACTCATTCAATGAAGCCATCCTCACCCTGATCCCAATGTGTGTGAGGACACAACGAAAAAAGAAAACTATAGGCCAATATTCCTGATTAACACAGATATAAAAATCCTCAACAAAACACTAGCAACATGAATCCAGCATCACATTAAAAAATGTAATTCTCCATGATCAAGTGGGCTTCATTTTTGGTATACAAGTTGGTTCAACATGCGCAAATCAATAAATGTGATTCATCTTATAAACAGAATTAAAAATAAAAATAACATATGGTCATCTCAATAAATGCAGAAAAAGCTTTGATGAAATCCAACCTCACTTTATGATTAAAACCCTTAAGAAACAAGGCATTCGAGGAACATATCTCAAAATAATAAGAGCCATCTATGAAAACCCACAGCCAACATCATACTGAATAGGCAAAAGCTGGAAACATTCCCCTTGAGAACTGAAAGAGACAAAGATGCCCACTTTTACCACTCCTAGTCAAAATAGAACTAGAAGTGCTAGCCAGAGCAATCAGATAAGAGAAATAAATAAAAAGTATCCAAATAGGAGAAGTCAAACTCTCTCCCCACAGATAATATAATTCTATACCTAGAAAACCCTAAAGAATCCCCCAAAAGGCTCCTAGACCTGATAAACAACTTCAGTAAAATTTCAGGATACAAAATAAATGTACAAAAATCAGTACCATTTCTATACATCAAAAATATTCAAGCTGAGAGCCAAATCAGGAACATAATTTTAATTAAAATAATAGCACAAAAATATTTAGAAATGCATCCAACCATGGTGGTTAAAGATCTCTACAAGGAGAGCTACAAAACACTGCTAAAGAAATCATAGAGATATGATGCAAAAACATTCCATGCTCATGGATTGAAAGAATAAATATCATTAAAATGAACATACTGCCCAAAGCAATCTACAGATTCAATGCTATTCCTATCACACTATCATCTTCACAGAAATAGAAAAAAACTATTCTAAAATTCATATGGAACACAAAAAGAGCCCAAATAGCCCAGACAATTCTAAGCAAAAAGAACAAAGTCAGAAGCATCACATTACCAAACTTCAAACTATATTATAAGGTTGTAGTAACCAAAACAGCATGGTACAAAAACAGACACATGGATCAATAGAACAGAATAGAGAACTCAGAAATAAAGCCACATACCTAAAGCCATATGATCTTCAGCAAGTCAACAAAAATAAACAATGCGGAAAGGACTCTCTATTCAATATATGGTGCTGGGATAGCTGGCTAGCCATGTGCAGAAGAGTGAAACTGGACTCCTACATATCACCATAGACAAAATTTAACTCAAAATGGATTAAATATTTAAATATAATACCTCAAACTATAAGAATCCTAGAAGAAAATTCAGACAAAACAATTCTGGACATTGGCCTTGAGATAAAATTTATGACTAAATCCTCAATAGCAATTGCAACAAAAGCAAAAATTAACAAGTGAGAACTAATTAAACTAAAGCACTTCTTCACACCAAAAGATACTATCAACAAGGTAAACAGGACAGCCTACAGAATCAGAGAAAATATTTGCAAACTACACATCCAACAAAATTCTAATATTCAGAATCAATAACTAACTTAACAAGCAAAAAACAAATAACCCCATTGAAAAGTAGGCAAAAGACATGAACAAACACTTCTCAAAATAAGACATACAAGAGGCCAACAAATATATGAAAAGATTGTCAACATCACTAAGCATCAGAGAAATCCAAATCAAAACCGTAATGAGATACTATCTCATACCAGTCAGAATGGCTACTATTACAAAGTCAAAAAAACAGTGGATGTTGGTGAGACTACAGAGAAAGGGAATGTTTAAACACTCTTGGTAGGAATGTAAATTAGTCCAGCCACTGTGGAAAGCAGTTTGGAGATTTCTCCAATAACTTAAAACAGAACTATCCTTTGATCCAGCAATCTCATTACCTGAGTACTTATCCAAAAGAAAATAAACCATTCTACCAAAAAGACACATGTACTTCCCTGTTCACTGCAGCATATTAATAACAACAAAGACATGAAATCAACCCAGATACCCATCAACAATGGATTGGACAAGGAAAATGGGTACATATATACCGTGGAATACTACAGTCATAAAAAGAATGAAATCATGTCCTTTGCAGCAACATGGAAGCAGCTGGAGGCCATTATCCTAAATGAATTAACACACGAACAGAAAACCAAACACTGCATGTTCTCACAAGTGGGAACTAAACATTAGGTACTCATGGACATAAAGACTGCAACAGTCAACATTGGGTACTACTAAAGTAGGGAGAAAAAAGGGAAGTAAGAGTTGAAAAACTATTGGGCATTATGCTCAGTACCTGGGTGACAGGATCACATTTGTACTCCAAACCTTAACATCACACAAAATACCCAGGTAACAAGCCTGCACTTGTAGACCCTGAATCAAAAATAAAAGTTGAAAAAATAAGCTATTTTGGCTCCCAATTAGTCTTACATATTTGATCCAAATTTCACTACATTTGGCTGATAGTCTTAATAATTGTATTTCTGTTCTGTTTTCACTTGGAGTTTTCTTCCTTAGGTTTTTATTCTTTGGGGATTTGTGAGAGAATGAGGGCTTTTTGTTTGTTTTATTGTTTTTAAGAATTTCTAAAAGGAAAGTAGCATTAAAATGCCTTTATTCCACCATCTTTAACTAGAACTATCTGTAGCCATGAGTAAATGTTAATATACTAGAAAGTTGTGCCTGCTTATTCTGTGGCTTCACACTCCCAAGAGAATGCTTGCCACAGTTATAAGAAGCACCTTATAGTGTATTTAAATAACATCTTCTCCAAATAAAGCAGAGAATATTACCAAAAGAAAACTATCTACGGACATCCCCAATAGGTCCACACATTTTCTGATGGGAGAAACAGCCTGTTATAACACACAGGAGGAAAATAATATCGATTCCCCAAGCCCATGAGGAAGCACAGATCTAAGATTATAGAACTGCAAAGGCTTTCTGTTTGCTAAGCCTCTTGCCCGTGACTACTTTTATTCAAATACTATGTAGGTAAGCATATAGCACATAGTGATAGGAATATACAAGGTTCTCAAAATTTTAATTCTTTCTTTCGCCTGTTAATGCAGTAATAAAAATGTTTCTTTTAAAGAAAGAAAAGCTTTATCAAGTGCCTACCGTATGCTTGGGACAGTGATAGACACCAGAAGTCCCAAGTGGAGGAGAAAGACAAGTAAACCCAAAAAGACAATTAGCATAAATAGTATTGCAATCACAGAAGATGCTTTAAAAAAACAGAAATGAACCTTCTGATCTATCCTAACATCATGGGAAAGAAAAACAGAGCCTTCCAAAAGGAAGACATGCTTAAGTCAAGCTGCAGTCTTAAAGAATAATAATAACTAACCCCACAGAGAAACAGGGGAAAAAGTATTCCAGGCTGTGGAAGAACATCATCCTATAAGCTCTCTGGAAGCTAGGTTGTGCAATATTCAAGGCATTATAAAAAGTTCACCGAGGCCAGGTGCAGTGGCTCACTCTTGTAATCTCAGCACTTTGGGAGGCCGAGGTGGGTGGATCACTTGAGGTCAAGCGTTTGAGAACAGCCTGGCCAACATGATGAAACCCCATGTCTACTCAAAATACAAAAACTAGCCGGGCATGGAGGCGCATGCCTGTAATCCAGCTACTAGGGAGGCTGAGGCAGGAAAATAGCTTGAACCCGCGAGGCGGAGGTTGCAGTGAACTGAGATTGCACCACTGCACTCCAGCCTGGGCAACAGAGTGAGACTCCATCTCAAAAAAAAAAAAAAGTTCACTGAGGTGGAACAACGGAGGGAGAAACAAGTGGAAGTAAATGTGGTTGGAGAAAAATCAGGACCACATTCCTTGTAGCATGTGTCAAACCCTGAGGATACAAAGACTAAGACACAGTCCTTACCCTCAATAAGTTTACAATCTTGTAAATGAGCCCAGCACATAAACAGAGAATTTCAATATTGTATGATAAGCTAAGTCATAGTGAATGACACTAACTTACCCCAGAAGTCAGGAAAGATGAATCCTAGCCAAGCCTTAAAGAATGAGAACAAGATAACCAGAGGATGGTGAAACAGAAGTTAGAAAAAGTATTTCCAGTAAATATTTTTACAAGTGCAGGCTTGGAGGTGATAAATGGCATGTTGTGTGAGATCTCACCCAAACATAAGTAGTTCAGTGTTTCTGGGGGCATAAAGCATGAAGAAATGGTTTGGTCATGAGACTAAAGTGAAAGGAATGAGCTGACTATTGAAGGGGAATTAACATCCTGCTAAGAATCTTGAGCTGTATCCTACAGATAATATAGAATTACTGAAGAGTTTCAATTAGGAAAAAACATACAGTTTAGGCTGATCACTCATGATAGGTTTGAGGGAAACAGTCCTGGAGGATTGAAGGACAATCAGAAATGCTATTACAATAGCCCAATAAAGAGACTGTGATAATTTGATCAAAGGTTGTTACATTACAGAAGGATAGAGTGATGGAGATAAACTTGAGAAAAAAATTACAGAGACAAAATCAGAAGAATGTATTCATTGGGAATATGTAAAAAATGAAGGGAAAAGGAATCAAGGATACTATCTACCTTTCACAAAAACTAAGGAAGGGAATATCTCTTATACTTTGCTTAATTTATAGTATATTTATTAATATTAGTCTATAATCTTAATGAAGGAAAGAACTATGTTATTTGCTTTTCCAGTGCCTAACCCAATGCCTTCACAAAGTGTGCACTTAATAAACATATGAAGAATTAATGAGAAAAAGCAAGGAACTGGTGGAAAAAATGAGTTTGTTTTTGAATATAATGAGTTTGAAGATGCCTGTGGAATTTCCATACAAAAATAATACGGATCTAGAGTTCAAGAAAGAGGTTCAAGTAAGAGATAGAGAATTGAACCCCATCAGAATAACTAAAGCCAGAAGAATGGATGAGCTCAGAGAGTGAAAAAAGATATTGGTGAGGGATAGTGCCCCGGAGAAATCACTTTAATAAAAGTTTCATTCTTTTTGGCCCAAGGATAGAGAAAGATAATTTATCCAGATGAAGATTCAAGAGTCACAAGGACGTCTGCTCTAATCCAAGCACAAGGAAGAACCATCTCTCCTCTAATAGTCACTATAAAGCTATTGCCTGTCTTACGAAATTGACATCCCATGGAAAGAAAAAATAATAGCCTTTATTTATTTAGTATTTAGTATTTACAAAGTTCCGTTTTTAAGTATAATTTACATACAGTAAAAATTTATCCATTTTTTGGACATTCAGTTCTGAGCCTTGACAAATGTACATAGCTATGTAGCCACCAACATCATCAACATATAAAGCACTTTCATCCTCCAAAACTTTTTATATGATCCTTTGTAGAGGATCCCCTTCTATTCCCAGCACCTGACAACCACTCGCAGATGTTTGTTCATTTGGTGAGGTGCAAGAAAGGTATGGTAATTATTATCACCCTCCCTTTCCCGAGAAGGAAATACAGTAGCTTTCAGAGTTATGTGACTTGCCCAAGTAACATAGTTAGCACCTGAGCCCTGGGGTTCTAATTCTAAATGGAATATCTTTCCTTTGAAACCCAGAATGTCATCTTATCAGCACACAATTATTAGAATTCATGGCATGTAATGCAGGCCAATAGTCATAGTCTGTAAAGCATCTAGAATCTTTCAAATGTTCAACCAATATAATGGTAATTGTAACTTAAAAACATATTACTTTTATTATCATTATTTAGATAGGGTCTCACTATGTTGCCCAGGCTGGCCTTAAACTCCTGGGCTCAAGAAATCCTCCTGCTGCAGTTGGAACTACAGGAGGCACGTGAATCTTATACAAAGCAGTGCTTAAGCAATGCCCTGAAAACCAGGAAGAAGAAGTAGGAAATAATTCTTGGAGAGTTGGTTTTAAAACTGGATTGTTCAGGTAGCAGGTGTTCCTGAGAGTAAGGGCGACTATATTAAAATTAATGGCTATATACACATCGAACATAAACTATACAAATCTGCCTCACTATATATACATTCTCTGCACTGTTCTCTCCACATGAATGAGCTCTGCTGTAGGAGCTCTTGAACTCTGGAACTCTGAGGACAAATGGAGTTTATAATGTTATGATAATGAGAAGCCCTATTTTAAAAGGAATCATTATTAAAGTACTCTGCTTTAATTTGGCATTGCCTTCCTACTTCCGCCCAACTTTATTTGGAATGAATTGAAATTTCTAACCTACTACCAGTACAGAAACTATGTGATTAAGACAATAAATATTTCACAAAATGTAAACTCAACTTTTGGGGCTTTAAACATCTGCTCTAAAGATAAAATGTTTACAGATGCACAGTCATGGACAAAGTGAAACCTTTCTCCCAAAAACGTTTTATGAAACTGGAAGATATAAGCCCATTTACAAACAAAGTTGGTGTATTGCTAAACCTACTGTGTAGATTTAAACTAATTCACATGTAATGTTGGTCATTTATATGGGTCTTTATGCAGCTGTGGGACAATCTCAGAGTCTTTTTGACTACTTTAGATAAAATTATTCAATGAGACTAAAACTCAACATTCAAGATTCCAATAAAAGGGATCTAGACATTGGAATTGAAATATCCCCCAAATCTCTACTGATATTATTGCTATTTTTATTGCCAATATTCTCAATAGGAATAATCTCATGTCAACATTTAACCAATCTTTTCTCCATTTATCTTTTCTACCCTAGAAATGCAAGACAGGTAAGAAAATCACTTACATCCAACTACCTTCTAGTTGGATAATTGTTCACTTTTAGTCAGGAATTTGAATGGTTTTCCATTCTTACATAATTCATCTCCATTAAAATCAGTCTGACATCCTTGCAAATTTATCCACAATATGGGGAGAGTTTTACAGATGTATATCACCATAATATTAATGATAGTGAAAAAAAAAATGGAAGCAACCCAATGTCCGAGAAAAAGAAAATGGTTAAATAAAGGCTGGTATATTGATTAAACAAAATGTCATGCACCATTTACAAGAATGTTTACAAAGATTATATAGCAACACAAAAAATGCTTTTGGCATACAAAGTCTTCACATAAACCAAAAGAGATCTCTTCTCTGATGATCAAATTAATTCCACAGATAATCGAGCACATTACTACTATACATCAGGTATGAAAATAGTTTTAAAATTGTTCCCTAACCATTTTCATCTCTGACAATTTTCACATGCACC
The DNA here is from genome assembly GCF_000001405.40 of Homo sapiens. Classification (NCBI taxonomy): domain Eukaryota; kingdom Metazoa; phylum Chordata; class Mammalia; order Primates; family Hominidae; genus Homo; species Homo sapiens. The sequence continues at coordinate 75,461,324 of NC_000001.11, forward strand.
TTTCTCCCTGTAAGATAATATTATTTAGGTCACAACCTTCACACACGTGTTATCTTAATTGAATCCTTATAAAATCCAAAGAGGTAAATAATATTATTAGTTCACTGGAGTAACTATTAATATTATTATGAGTGGTGTGTCTCAGGACATTAGATATATTTAATTGTGTTTTGAGGATCCCATTTGTCCAAGTCAACCAAGTCACCAAATTTTGCTAGCCACGGTGACTAAATAGCTCTTTCCTAGCAAAAGAAAACATAAAATTCTCATTATTGAGTTACTGTCTAGGCCAGCACTGTCCAATAAAAATACAAAGCAAACCCTTGGATAGCATTTCTGAAACTGCTCTCGGCCAGAGGAGTGCCTACTACCCTAAAGAGTGAGTCCAAGGCCAGGCAGCATTCACAATAAGCTGACTAAAAAGCCCTTGGGCCTTAGGGGGAACATTGGTAGTAATCTGCCAGTACTCCTCATGGCCTGGAGTGGTGGTGGGTATGGGATAAGACTCCTCTGCCTTTGGAAAGGGGAGGGAAAAATGGAAAGTACAATAGAACATCAGATGGCCTTTTAAGGTTTTTGACTCTAGTTCCTGGCTCCCAAACAACACCTATGGACCCTCCTGGGTCCTGGAGAAAATCACAATCCTGCAGGGAAGGACGCAGGCCTGGCTGACTTTGCCACCTGCTGACTGTAGAGCCCTATGGCACTGAGCAAACATAGGCCATAGCCAGGGAGTAGTTAAGCAGGCCTTGGGCAAGACCCAGTGCTGTGCTGGCTTCAGGTCTGACCCAGGACATTCCTAGCGGTAGTAGCCAAAGGGTGCTTATGTCACTCCACCCCCATCTCCAGTTGACTCAGAACAAAGATATAAACTCTGTTTGTTTGGGAGAAAGTAAGGGAAGAGAACAAGAGTCTGCCTGGTAATCCAAAGAATTCTCCCAGTGCTTGTCCAAGAACATCAAGGTGGCACCTCTACACGTCTGCAAGAACCACAGTGTTACTGGACTTTGGGTACCCCCTAAAACAAATACAGCTTAGATCACAACACTTACGTCTTTTAGAATACCTGGAAAGCCCTCCCAAGAAAGACTGGTACAAGAAAGCCCACACTGAGAAGACTAGAATAAATACTTAACTCTTCAATGCCCAGACACAGATGAACATCTGCAAGAATGAAGACAATCCATGAAAACACAACATCACCAAATGAACTAAATAACGCATCAGGGACCAGTCCTGGAGAAACAGATATGCGACCTTTCAGACAAAGAATTCAAAAGCTGTTTTGAGGAAATGCAATGAAATTCAAGATAACGCAGAGAAGGAATTCAAAATGCTATCAGAAAAAATTTAACAAAGAGATTGAAATAATTAAAAAGAATCAAGCAGAAATTCTGGAGCTGAAAAGTGCAATTGACATACTGAAGGATGCATCACAGTCTTTTAATAACAGAAATGATCAAGCAGAAGAATGAATTAGTGAGCTTGAAGACAGGCTATTTGAAAATACATAGAAGAGACAAAAGAAAACAGAATTTTTTTAAAAAAATGAAGCACACCTGCGATATCTAGAAAATAGCTTCAAGAGGGCAAATCTAATAGTTATTGGCTTTAAAGAGAAGGTAGAGAAAGGAATAGGAGTAGAAAGTTTATTCAAAGGGAAAATGACAGAGAACTTCCCAAACCTGGAGAAAGATATCAATATTCAAGGACAAGAAGGTTATAGAACATCAAGCAGATTTAACCCAAAGAAGTCTGTCTCAAGGCATTTAACAATCAAATTCCCAAAGATCAAGGATTAATAAAAAAAGATCCTGGCTGGGCACGGTGGCTCACGCCTGTAATCCCAGTACTTTGGAAGGCCGAGGCAGGCGGATCACAAGGTCAGGAGATCGAGACCATCTTGGCTAACACGGTGAAACCCCGTCTCTACTAAAAATACAAAAATTAGCTGGGCGCGGTGGCAGGCGCCTGTAGTCCCAGCTACTCGGGAGGCTGAGGCAGGAGAATGGCGTGAACCTGGGAGGCGGAGCTTGCAGTGAGCCGAGATTGTGCCACTGCACTCCAGCCTGGGCTAAAGAGCGGGACTCTGTCTCAAAAAAAAAAAAAAAAAAAAAAAGATCCTAAAAGCAACAACAGAAAAGAAACAAATAACGTACAATGGAGCTCCAATATGTCGGGCAGCAGATTTTTCAGTGGAAATCTTACAGGCCAGGAAAGAGTGCATGATATATTTAAAGCAATAAAGGAAAAAATTTTTACCCTAGAATAGTATATATCTGGTGAAAATATCCTTCAAACATAAAGGAGAAATAAAGACTTCCCCAGACAAACAAAAGCTGAGGGATTTCATCAATACTAGACTCATCCTGCAAGAAATGTTAAAGGGAGTACTTCACTTAGAAAGAAAGGAATGTTAATTAGTAATAAGAAATCATCTGAAGTTACAAAACTCACTGGTAATAGTAAGTACACAGAAAAACACAGAATATTACAACACTGTAACTGTGGTGTGTAAACTACTGTTATCCTAAGTAGAAAGCCTAAACAATGAACCAAACAAAAACAATAACAACTTTTTGAGACATAGCACAATAAGATATAAATAGAAACAAGAGGCCGGGCGCAGTGGCTCATGCCTGTAATCCCAGCACTTTGAGAGGCCAAGGCAGGAGGTTTATGAGGTCAGGAAATCAAGATCATCCTGGCTAACATGGTGAAATCCCATCTCTACTAAAAGCACAAAAAATTAGCTGGGCATGGTGGCATGCACCTGTAGTCCTAGCTACTCGGGAGGCTGAGGCAGGAGAATCACTTGAACCTGGAAGGTGGAGGTTGCAGTGAACCGAGATTGCACCACTGCACTCCAGCCTGGGCGACAGAGTGAGACTCTGTCTCAAAAAAAAAAAAAAAAAAAAAAGCAAGAAAGAAGAAAAAGGTAAAAAGCAGGAGGACAAAGCTAAGGCATAGAGTCTTTATTTGTTTTCTTTTTGCTTGTTTGTTTATGAAACAGTGTTGGTATCAGCTTAAAATATGAGTTATAAGATAGTATTTGCAAGCCTCATGGTAACCTCAAACCAGAAAACATACAATGGATACACAAAAAATAAGCAAGAAATTAAATCACATCACCAGAGAAAATCGCCTTCATTAAAAGGAAGGAAAGGGAAGAAAAGACCACAAAACAAGCAGAAAACATAGAACAAAATGACAGAAGTCCTTATTTATTAATAATAACGTTGAATGTAAATGGACTAAACTCTTCAGTCAAAATATACTGACTGAATGGATGGGAAAAAAAAGAAGTAATAACCTGTTGCCTACAAAAAATACACACATAAACTGAAAATAAAGGGATGGGAAAAGATATCCCATGCTATTGGAAACCAAAAGACAGCAGGAGTCACTATGCTTGTATCAGACAAAATAGATTTCAAGACAAAAACTATATGAAGAGACAAAGGTCTCTGTATAATGATAAAGGAGTCAATTCAGCTAGAGAATATAACAATTTTAAATATATATGCACCCAACACTGGAGCACCCAGATACATAAAGCAAATATTATTACAGCTAAAGAAAGAGAGAGGCCCCAGTACAATATACAATAATAGCTGGAAACTTTAACACCTCACTTTCAGCCTTGGACAGATATTCTAGACAGAAAATCAACAAAGAAACATCATACTTCATCTGCACTATAGACCAAATGGATCTAATAGATATTTACAGAACATTTTATCCAAGAGCTACAGAATACACATTTTTTGTTCATCAGCACATGGATCATTCTCAATGACAGACCTTATGTTAGGTCACAAAACTAGTCTTAAAATATTTTTAAATGAAATAATATCAGTCATCTTCTCTGTACACAATGGAATAAAACTAGAAATCAACAACAAGAAGAATCTTGGAAACTATACAAATGCATGGAAATTAAACAATATGCTCCTGGATATGGGTCAATGAAGACATTAAGAAGGAAATTGGGCCAATGAAGAAATTAAGAACACTGAAAATTTCTTGAAACGAATGATAATGGAAACAACATGCCAAAACCTATGGGATATAGCAAAAGCAGTACTCATACATACCTACCCAAAAAAAGAAGAAAAACTTCAAACAACCTAACAATGCATCTTAAAGAACTAGAAAGGCAAGAGCAAACCAAAACCAAAATTAGTAGACGAAAAGAAATAATAAAAATCAGAGCAGAAATAAAGGAAATTGAGATGAAGAAAACAATACAAAAGATCAATAAAACAAAAAGTTGGTTTTAAAAAACATAAACAAAATAGACAAACCTTTATCCAGACTAAGAAAAAAAGAGAGAAGACCCAAATAAATAAAATCAGAAATGAAAAAGGAGATATTACAACTGATACTGAAGAAATTCAAAAGATCCTTAGTGGCTACTATGAGCAACTATATGCCAATAAATTAAAAAATCTAGAAGAAATGGACAAACTCCTAGACACATGCAAACTACCAAGATTGAACCAGGAAAAAATCCAAAACCTGAATAGACCAATAACAAGTAACAAGATTGAAGCTGTTATAAAGTCTTCCAGTAAAGAAAAGACCAGCACCCAATGGCTTCACTGCTGAATTCTACAAACATTCAAAGAAAAGCTAATATCGATTTTCCTCAAACTATTCCAAAATTAGAGGATGAGAGCATACTTCCAAACTCATTCTACGAGGCCAGTATTACTCTTATATCCAAATCAGAAAAAGAGACATCAAAAAAAGGAAACTACATGCCAATATCTCTGATGAATATTGACACAAATATCTTCAACAAAATACTAGCAAACCAAATTCAACAATACATTTAAAAGGCCATTTGTCATGACCAAATGGGATTTATCCCTGAGATGCAAGGATGGTTCAACATACGTAAGCCAATCCATGTGATATATCATATTAACAGAATGAAGGACAAAACCCATATGATCATTTCAATTGATGCTGAAAAAGCATTTGATAAATTTCAACATCCTTCATGATAAAAATCCTCAAACAACTAGAAATAGAAAGAACACACTGGCCGGGTGTGGTGGCTCATGCCTGTAATCCCAGCACTTTGGCAGGCCGAGGTGGGCGGATCACGAGGTCAGGAGTTTGAGACCAGCCTGGCCAACATAGTGAAACCCTGTCTCTACTAAAAATACAAAAAGTTAGCTGGGCGTGGTGGCAGGTGCCTGTAATCCCAGCTACTTGGGGGGCCAAAGCAGGAGAATTGCTTGAACCTGGAAGGTGGAGGTGGCAGTGAGCCGAGATTGTGCCACTGCACTCCAGCCTGGGTGACAGTTCAAGATGCCATCTTAAAAAAAAAAAAAAAAAAAAAAAGAAGGAACATACCTCAATAGAATAAAAGCCATATATAACAGATTCATAGCTATTATCATACTGAATGGGGAAAAACTGAAAGCCTTTCCTCTAAGATCTGGAACATGCCAAGGATACCCACTTTCACCACTGTTATTCAACATAGTACTGAAATTCCTAGTTAGAGCAATGAGACAAAGAAATAAAGAGCATCCAAATTGGAAAGGAAGAAGTCAAATTGTCCTATTTGCAGATGATATGATTTTGTATTTGGAAAAACCTACACTGCACAAAAAACTATTAGAATTGATCAACAAATTCAGTAAAGTTGCAAGATACAAAATCAACGTACGAAAATCGGTAACATTTCTATATGCCAATAATAAACAATCTGAAAAAAGAAATTTAAAAAGTAATCCCATGTACAATAGCCACAAATTAAACTAAATACCTAGGAATGAACTAAAGAACTGAAAGACCTCTATAATGAAAACTATGAAACACTGATGAAAGAAATTTAAGAGGACACCAAGAAATAGATAAATATTCCAGGTTCATATACTGAAAGAATCAATGTTGTTAAAATGTCCATACTACCCAAAGCAAGCTACAGATTCAATTCAATCACTATCAAAATACCAATGATATTCTCCACAGAAATAGAAAAAACAATCCTAAAATTTATATGGAACCACAGAGGACCCAGAATAACCAAAGCTATCCCAAGCAAAAAGAACAAAATTGAAGAAATCAAATTACCTAATTGCAAATTATACTATGGAGCTATAGAAACCAAAAACAGCTTGATAGTGACATAGAAACAGACACATAGACCAATGGAACAGAATAGAGAACACAGAAATAAATCTACACACCTACAGTGAACTCATTTTCAATAAAGGTGCCAAGAACATACACTGAGGAAAAGACAGTCTCTTCGATAAATGATGCTGGGAAAACAGGTTATCTATATGCAGAAGAACGAAAGTAGATGCCTATCTCTCGCCATATACAAAAACTAAATCAAAATGGATTGAAGGTGTAAATCTAAGACTTCAATCTATGAAATTACTAAAAGAAAACTTCAGGGAAACTCTCCAGGACATTGTTCTGGGCAAGAATTTCTTGAGTAATACCCCACAAGTGCAGGCAATCAAAGCAAAAATGGACAAATGAGATAACATTAAGTTAAAAAGTTCTGCACAACAAAGAAACAATCAACAAAGTGAAGAGACAACTCACAAAATGGGAGAAAATATTTGCAAACAACCATACGACAAGAGATTCATAACCAGAATACATAAGGAACTCAACTCTATAGGAAAAAAATCTAATAATCCAATCAAAAGATGAACAAAAGATTTGAATAGACATTTCTCAAAAAAAAGGCATACAAAAGGCATATAACAAGGTTTTCAACACCATTGATTATCAGAGGAATGCAAGTCAAACTACAATAAGATATCATCTCATCCCGGTTAAAATGGCTTATGTCCAAAAGACAGGCAAAAACAAATGCTGGAAAGGAGAGGAGAAAAGGGAACTTTCATACACTGTTGGTGGGAATGTAAATCAGTGCAACTACTATGGAGAACAGTTTTGAGATTCCTCAAAAAATTAAAACTAGAGATACTATATGATCCAGGAATCCTACTGCTGGGTATACACCCAAAAGAAAAAAGATCAGTGTATCAAAGAGATATCTGCATTCCCATGTTTGTTGTAGCGCTCTTCACGATAGCCAAAATTTGGAAGCAACCTAAGTGTTCATCAACAAATGAGTAAATAAAGAAAACATCATATTATACACCATGTAGTACTATTCAGCCATAGAAAAGAACTAGAGCCTGTCATATGCAACAACATGGATGAAATTGGAGGTCATTATGCTAAGTGAAATAAGCCAGGCACAGAAAGACAAACATTCCATGTTCTCACTTATTTGTGGAAACTAAAAATCAAAATAATTGAACTCATGTTGATAGAGAGGAGAAGGATGGTTACCACAGGCTGGGAAAGGCAGCAATGGGGTTTGGGGGATGTGGGGATGGTTAATGGGTACAAAAAAAATAGAAAGAATGAATTAGACTTAGTATTTGACAGCACAACAGGGTGACTATAGTCAATGATAATTTAATTGTACATGTAAAAATAACAAGAAGAGCATAATTTGATTATTAGTGACCCAAGAGATAAATGTTTGAGGGGATGGATACACCCATTTTACATGATGTGATTATTATACATTGCATACCTGCATCAAAATATCTCATGTACCTCATAAATATATACACCTGCTATGTACCCACAAAAATTAAAATGAAAAATTAAAAATGTATATATATTGCATGCCAGGTATGCAAGTTTTAATTTTTTAGTAGCTGCATTAAAAAGGTAAAAAGAAACAGATGAAATTAATTTTAATAATGCCTTTTACTCAACCCAATATATTCAGATTATCATTTCAACATGTAATCAATATAAATTCATTTATTTGAGATAAAAATGAGATATTTTGAATCCTTTTTGTTTTAACCAAGTCTTTGAAGGCTGGTCTGTATTTTACATTTACAGCTCATCTCAATTCAGACTAGCCACATTTCAGGTGCTCAATAGCTTCATGTGAAAAGAGGCTACCATCTTGGACAGCACAGTTGAAGACTAACTGATTGATAAAAGAATGTTGAAAATACTTATGAAAGGTAAATGATGACATAATAAGCGTGAGCTGTAACACCATGTGCCACTTAAGAAGACAATAATACCATTTATATAATTTAGATGCAGATTTTACTAGCATTCCCAGAAAAAAAAAAGTGTAGTGAATTTCTTCTTCTTTCCTTTTGGCAATATCATTCTGAAACCAGTGTGTGTAGAACTTAGGGGAAAAAATCACTAAAATGGTACGGCGTATAATGGAATAAAAATATTATGCCATTGGGATAAGGTGTCCTGGCTTTGAGACAAAAAGTAGAGTCAGACTGAGCACAGTGGCTTATGCCTGTAATTCCAGCCTTCTGGGAGGTGAGGCAGAAGGATTGCTTGAGACCAACGGGAGACATAGCAAGACGCTGTCTGAACGATAAGTAAATATTATCTGGGCATGGTGGTGTATGCCTGTAGTCCTAGCTACTCAGGAAGCTGAGGTGGGAGGATCATTTAAGCCCAGGAATTCGAGGTTACAGTGAGCTATAATCACACCACTGCACTCCAGCCTGGGCGACAGAGAGAGACCTTGTGAAGAAAAAAAAAAAAAAAAAAAAAAAAGTAGAGTCAACGTATCCTGACTCCCATAATAAAAAATTGCAGTTCAAAGGGAGGAGGGCTTCACGGATGACTTGCATATTTCCTAAGCTCCTAAAACATTCTTTAGAGGCAAGTATTTATCACCAACCTTTCTATTTGACAGCATATTAAAGATATTCCTACAGTTTTGGTGTTTCTGTAAGAGCAACTAAGGAATAACCCTGGAAAGATAAGAGCTTTTCATAACAACCAAGCTTTCAAACCAATCAATCCTCAAGACAATACTTTTTAAAAAAATTGAATGAAGTCTACACGTGAAGCTAAAAGCTTTGGTTTTCAAGAACCCTAGGGCTATACTTTAAAACAGCAGTAAAAAACATACTCAAAGATGGAAGAGAATGAGCACTCAAGAGAAACCAAGTGAATGTACAGTTGTGCCCTACCTTATAAATGTTCCTCACGTACTGCCACAGCTAAAATTAGGTCCCCACGTTTGAAATAATCCTTCCACAAAAGGTAGTTTATGTTGTATGAGCTCTTCTGTAACATAACGGTAGAATTTATAGTCTAGTGAGGACTACTACAGCCAAGTAAATAGGCATCTAAATTATTATATAGTGTGAAGACTACCAAGATAGGGAAGGTATAATGGAAGCACGCAGGAGGGGCCATAACCCAGACGTGAGGGGGAGGGAATGTTACTGGCGTCAGCTTCCTGAAGAAAGTGAAGTCTAAGCTAAACCTACACCATGAGTAGGTGTTAGCCTAGTGAAAGGAATTTGAAGCAGAGGAAATGGAATGTCCAAGGCCAGAGAGAAGCGTGACCTGGCATGGCATGTCGAAAAACTGAGATAAGTATGGTGGGAGGGTTGGGAGGGGCTGTCCAGGTGGAGAGATGTGGGTAAGGAGTTAAATAAGAGTGCCATCCTGCCATCCCTTTTAAGCTACGAGTATGGACTTGTTCTCTAGAACAATGGATAGCTACCAGAGGCATCTGAGTAACTGTTTCTGCTTTGACTCCCTACCTTTGGTGGGTTTCTAACTCCTCAATTACATGAAAATTCTAAAACTAAAGCATTTTGCAAGTATTTTGGGGGTAAATGAAAAAGCTAACAAAACACAACTATCTTCAAATATAATGCAGAGAGGGAAAAATAGAGGGCTCAGACAAATTTATTCCCTGGACTTGGAAAGTTAGTATTTTCTCAGTGATTCGTTGAAGATCTATTTTTTAACCTTTTTTTTACGGCCTGGCTGTGTTTCTTTGGAGTTTCATAAAATTAATGGCTTGTAACATCTCATTACTGGGCAAGTCTAAGGGCACCTTTCTCATCATTGCTTGAATTTCTGCCTTGAAGGGAATCCCCAGGATGGGAATTTTCCTGCGAGATGGATTGCTGTTTCATTTGAAGCCTTCCTTTCAACAAGGAAAAATTTCAAATCCCTCTCCATCTAATACATAAGCTTGTGTGCATGAAAACACACACACACACACACACACACACGTACACACACACACACCCATGAATTAAATCAGAACCAGGACAAAAGAAAAGGAGGGAGGAATGACATAAGCAGCTTCCAAAGCACTGCCTCTACCTGATCATAGCCTTTTATCTCAATCATGGCAGGGGGAAAGCCCATGCCCTCAATCAAGCAAAAGATCTCAAGAGAATGCGGGCAGAGCTCATGTCTCTTCTCCAAATATGATTTTTTTTCTATTTTTCCTTTGCTAATGTGTTCAAAGTATTTCCTCTCTCTGGCATTCCACTGCCCTCTATTTCTTAATTTTCTTCTACTGACTCCAGACTGGCAGCTTTTTCTTAGCTCAGTCTCTAAACCCTTTGTGTAGTTTCTTATGGGCATTTACTCTTATTCTACCTATGCCTAGAGAAGATCAAATAAGCTAGTTTGTATCCTCTGTCCAAAACTTCTGCACATTCCTAAGGACCATGAACAAGGAACCACTAAGGCTTTTTTTTCTCTGATCTATATTTATAATGCCACTTCCTGGTTATTTTTATTTTCCAGACCCATAATCTGTTTTGTGGCAAGCCATGGAAGGAACTCTCAGGTTTCTCATGTCTCTCTAAGCAGGATTTGGCAATACTAGATATTGTATTTTAGTAGGATTTTGGCTAGTGTTCAGGACAATAGGCAGAGCATATCCCCCTGGGTTTAAAAAAAAAAAAAAAACTACTGGGGCCTGGGTGTTTATTCTTCTTCTCTCAAGCCACTGGGAATAGAGCTTTCAAACAAGACCAAAGAAAAATATGAGAATAAAAAGGCTTCATGGAAAAAATAAGGTATCTTTAGGGTGAGTCATGCAGGGGAAAGTGTGCCGAGCACCTGTCAGTAGTACCTTTCTGATTCAGTCATGAGTATCAACTTAATTCTTTCTTTTGAGAAGAAAGCCAAGGTATTTTGAAATGCATAGCTGTTTAGATGTGGTACCCATTCTGCAAAGTTAATAACATCTTTGAGGGTTCATTAATCTCAACAAGCCTGAAAAAAAATAAATTTTCATGTTCTTGCTCTCCTACTATCATTCTTACAGTTCTTTTACATAAATAATTGGTTATGGTTCAAATTAAAATAACTTTGACAATTATTAAGCAAGCTAGGAGTGTTTTGAGCTTGCGCTGTGAAGTGAGATATCAGCGCCCCAGGGTGCCTCAAGACCATGTGTTATCTTATGATAACATTCAACTCACTTTTTTCTAGGCTTATAAAATACAAGTTTTTCATTTAGCAGCTGAAATGACTGTGCTCTCTTTAGATAATATTCCCTCACTGAAAGGTTAGTCTCAATAGAATTTTTATGATTAAAGCACAAATGTGGTATTTATGAGGACTAGGATTTGTGTTTCTGGCAACCCGAGTGTCCTCAAAAGCATTGCAGCCCTGTCCTCATTTCACAAGTCCTATAATGTTTTGCAGACCACCGTGTCCTCTATACTTAAATCCTTCTCATAGACTAACAAGTGGCAAGCCTTCACTCTTACACATATTATAATCTTTGTGGGATGCACTAAAGACTTCTGTGTGATGAATTGTCATCTCCCTCAACCTCAAAGGTAACTGGCTATAAAACTGTTTTATGTTGCTAGTATTCCTAGTCCTCGTGTAAAAATACTAGCTGTAATTCAGTGTTGGCAATGTGGTATTATTCATAAAGCATTCAGACTGTACAGTTTTAGAATGTCATCGGAACTTCCTGATTGAATTACAATCTAGCATTCAGCTAAGTGTCCTTTTTTATGCATGAAAATTACTCACAAGCATTTCCCAACATCTCCAGGGCCTACATGGGAGTTCCAGAGGGAGCAACACTTTGCATAATCCTTCAAAAATATCTTCAGGGACATTCAAGAACCAAGAATTGGATAAAGCTTTTAAAATCAATGCTGGTTATAAAAGAAAAAAAACATAGCTTACAAGATGAAAATGTGTTGATGATTTTCCAAAGAGGAAGAGGAAGCCTCTGAAAATATGACTCAACTTCACTTGCTGGTTTCCAAAGCAAATTCTAAGTTGATGACATGGATTTAGCCCAACTGTGTCAGACAATTTTTGGTGAGGTAGGCGATGGGGTTTTGTTTGTTTCTTGCAGAATTTGGGGGTACTTGATTTGCGCTGTTCTTTGCTAAAAACACTTATCTGCCCCACTCAAAATCCATTCACACATAGATGTTTTCTTATTCACATTTCTATGTTTAATTTCAAGAGATAATACTTTTACAGATGACTTTCCCTATTGTATCAGCTTCTCTAATTCTAGCACTATAATCAGCATCTTATTTTACAAGTGCTTTTTCTTGACTCTAGCCTTATTTTTTATGTTCTTTCCATAATTTTATAAATTCCCTTTCTTTATAAATAAGAAAATAATTTTTTCCTCTGTTGTGGCCTTTTCCAACTTTGTCCAATAGCAAATTTGTCCAGCCTAGCTGGTGGCAGTATATTTAGTACTAAGTAATATAATGAATCTTCTAAATATGAGCTCTGTGGCTCTGTAGTGTGGTGGTGTCATAGAATATCAGAGATATTTTAGTCCTGATTCAATACCTGCACATACATGACATATAGACATAACATTGTTTTATGCCTGTAGACTTGCTTTGTTTCTTCAAAAATATATGTTAATAAAAATGTGAGCAGATTTGCTGCTTCATTGAATATTTAACACTGCTTCATTAAATTAGTTCACTGTCAATAACAGATTTCATTCTAAGATTCAAGGCAGGAGATGGGGAATGGCAACAATCTGAAAAATAAAAAAAGAAGGAACTTCTAAGAATATTTAGATTTCTTTGTCATACAGTCTGCACCTTCTGTCAATTCCTAGGCACTTACTGTCGATAGTAAATTTGTCCAGTCTAAACTTACTAGATTCATTCTGTTTTATTATTAAATAAAGTCATTTAACACTGCATACTAAAGCTAAATTAAACATGTTCCCAGGATAATTATCTCTATATATACTTACATTCATTCACGAGAACACTACTTTCAATCTTATAATACTAATGCTTTCAAATTCACACCTCAATGCCAATATTCTCCTCTGACTTTAACATTTTCTGGATTGATAATCAATATAGTGGAGTTATTGTCATTCATAAAATTAAGATATAGGTCATTAGCTAATCTTGATAGTAAGACATTTACGTGTAATGTTACACAAGGATGTTTTGTTTTGTTATTGCCAATTAGTAGTCCAAGTTAATTGGAAGTTTTCTTTGTGGGGCATAGAATTATGTGGCTCAAACACATTTTCAAAATGACAATACAAGACAGAGTCATAATTAGTAAAATTTTATACCCCAAATTTCTCTTATTTCAATACATATTTAATTATGATGTGAGTGGGCTTCCTTTAAAAACAATCCAGAAAATTCTACTTAGGCTAACTTTATAATAAACAATATAACTGCTCTTTTCATATAATTTGTTTCAAAAAGCATATGTTAGTAACTGGAATTTTCAAGTAATTCTGAATTCTTCCAAAGCACAGGTCTACTAAAATGGCCCTACTAAGACCTCTGGTAAGAGAGCAGCAACAATTCAACTGCCTGAATGAAATGCCAAATGGCATAAAGTAAAATCGTTGTGTGTCGCCCCTGAGTTATTCACACATCAGCAGGAAGTGAAATGAGGAGCCTGAATTCCATGTCCTTTACCACTTGCCCTCTGTGGCATTTATGAAAGAACCCCTCATAAGGAAAAATAACATCAATAATGATGATCTTACGCCTCATCTCTTAAATATTCACAGCTCAGCAAAAGCCTAATAAGAAGAGTGGCCTTTATGTCCTCTTTCTAGATGTCCTTCCAATATCATTTGAGGAAACCTTGTAAAAGACAAATAACAATCATGATAGAAAATTTATTTCGAAAGAAGGAAAGGAATGATGAGGAAGGTATTTGATAGAAATTTCAGTAGATGAGCTTTGATATTACCTCTTGTTTTGCTACTCCTCTTGGGAAGAACCAACCCTCAATTAGCGATTGAGTTTAAACTCCTCTGAACAAGTATTATTTCTCTGATTACTCAGAAAGATCTATTTTCTTCCGATATTTTATTATTACTTGTCCAGCCAGAATTCCAAACCAACATTCCTTCTAAAATATCTCCTTGCTCCTCTTTTCATTCTGCCAGTTTCACCAGCTTACTTTCATTCCCATTTCCCACTATTTTAACTGCCACTCTAATATATATGTCTCACTTATAACCCTCAGCCATCTCCAAACCTTTCAGAGAATACCCATAATGGAAACATTACAGGATTAGGAATTAGGGCTCAGAATATCTCAGCTCTAATCAGAGAAGCAATATAGTATATGTGTTTAAGAGTGAGGGCTAAAGAGATTAAATAAATAGATCCTACTCCCAGCTTTACCACTTACTAATTATGTGATGGTGGTGAACTTATTTAACCTCCCTGGGCCAATTTCTTCATCTGTAAAATGGAGATAAAAACAACATATATCTCAGTGGCTGGGTGTGGTGGTTCATGCCTGTAATCCCAGCACTTCGGGAAGCCGAGGTGGGCGGATCATGAGGTCAGGAGTTAAAGACCAGCCTGACCAATATGGTGAAGCTCTGTCTCTACTAAAAATACAAAAATTAGCTGGGAATGGTGGTGCGCACCTGTAATCCCAACTACTCAGGAGGCTGAGGCATGAGAATCGCTTGAACCCGGGAGGCAGAGGTTGCAGTGAGCTGAGATCAGGCCACTGCACTCCAGCCTGGGAGACAGAAAGAGATTCTGTATCAAAAAAAAAAGTATATATATATATATAGAAAGTTATCAAGATTAACAAGGTAGAGCATTTAGAATTCTACCTACTAACTGGGGAGCAGCCAAGATGGTAGCATAGGAACAGCTCTGGTCTACAGCTCCCAGCGTGAGTGACGCAGAAGATGGGTGATTTCTGCATTTCTATCTGAGGTACCGGGTTCATCTCACTAGGGAGTGCCAGACAGTGGGCGCAGGACAGTGGGTGCAGCGCACCGTGCACGAGCCGAAGCAGGGCGAGGCATTGCCTCACTCGGGAAGTGCAAGGGGTCAGGGAGTTCTCTTTCCTAGTCAAAGAAAGGGGTGACAGACGGCACCTGGAAAATCAGGTCACTCCCACCTGAATACTGCGCTTTTCCGACAGGCTTAAAAAACAGTGCACCAGGAGATTATATCCCACACCTGGCTCGGAGGGTCCTACGCCCACGGAGTCTCGCTGATTGCTAGCACAGCAGTCTGAGATCAAACTGCAAGGCGGCAGCAAGGCTGCGGGAGGGGCGCCCGCCATTACCCAGGCTTGCTTAGGTAGACAAAGCAGCAGGGAAGCTCGAACTGGGTGGAGCCCACCACAGCTCAAGGAGGCCTGCCTGCCTCTGTAGGCTCCACCTCTGGGGGCAGGGCACAGACAAACAAAAAGACAGCAGTAACCTCTGCAGACTTAAATGTTCCTGTCTGACAGCTTTGAAGAGAGCAGTGCTTCTCCCAGCACACAGCTGGAGATCTGAGAATGGGCAGACTGTCTCCTCAAGTGGGTCCCTGACCCCTGACCCCTGAGCAGCCTAACTGGGAGGCACCCCCCAGCAGGGGCAGACTGACACCTCACAGGACCCGGTACTCCTCTGAGACAAAACTTCCAGAGAAACGATCAGACAGCAGCGTTCGCGGTTCATGAAAATCTGCTGTTCTGCAGCCACCGCTGCTGGTACCCAGGCAAACAGGGTCTGGAGTGGACCCCTAGCAAACTCCAACAGGCCTGCAGCTGAGGGTCCTGTCTGTTAGAAGGAAAACTAACAAACAGAAAGGACATCCACGCCAAAAACCCATCTGTACATTACCATCATCAAAGACTAAAAGTAGATAAAACCACAAAGACGGGGGAAAAAACAGAGCAGAAAAACTGGAAACTCTAAGAAGCAGAGCGCCTCTCCTCCTCCAAAGGAACGCAGTTCCTCACCAGCAACGGAACAAAGCTGTACGGAGAATGACTTTGACGAGTTGAGAGAAGGCTTCAGATGATCAAACTACTCCGAGTTACAGGAGTAAATTCAAACCAAAGGCAAAGAAGTTAAAACCTTTGAAAAAAATTTAGATGAATGCATAACTAGAATAACCAATACAGAGAAGTGCTTAAAGGAGCTGATGGAGCTGAAAACCAAGGCTCGAGAACTACGTGAAGAATGCAGAAGCCTCAGGAGCCGATGTGATCAACTGGAAGAAAGGGTATCAGTGATGGAAGATGAAAAGAATGAAATGAAACGAGAAGGGAAGTTTAGAGAAAAGAGAATAAAAAGAAACGAACAAAGCCTCCAAGAAATATGGGACTATGTGAAAAGACCAAATCTACGTCTGACTGGTGTACCTGAAAGTGACGGGGAGAATGGAACCAAGTTGGAAAACACTCTGCAGGATATTATCCAGGAGAACTTCCCCAATCTAGCAAGGCAGGCCAACATTCAGATTCAGGAAATACAGAGAACGCCACAAAGATACTCCTCGAGAACAGCAACTCCAAGACACATAATTGTCAGATTCACCAAAGTTGAAATGAAGGAAAAAATGTTAAGGGCAGCCAGAGAGAAAGGTCGGGTTACCCACAAAGGGAAGCCCATCAGACTAACAGCGGATCTCCCGGCAGAAACTCTACAAGCCAGAAGAGAGTATGGGCCAATATTCAACATTCTTAAAGAAAAGAATTGTCAACCCAGAATTTCATATCCAGCCAAACTAAGCTTCATAAGTGAAGGAGAAATAAAATCCTTTACAGACAAGCAAATGCTGAGAGATTTTGTCACCACCAGGCCTGCCCTAAAAGAGCTCCTGAAGGAAGCACTAAACATGGAAAGGAACAACCAGTACCAGCCACTGCAAAATCATGCCAAATTGTAAAGACCATCGAGGCTAGGAAGAAACTGCATGAACTAACGAGCAAAATAACCAGCTAACATCATAATGACAGGATCAAATTCACAATAACAATATTAACTTTAAATGTAAATGGACTAAATGCTCCAATGGAAAGACACAGACTGGCAAATTGGATAAAGAGTCAAGACCCATCAGTGTGCTGTATTCAGGAAACCCATCTCACATGCAGAGACACACATAGGCTCAAAATAAAAGGATGGAGGAAGATCTACCAAGCAAATGGAAAACAAAAAAAGGCAGGGGTTGCAATCCTAGTCTCTGATAAAACAGACTTCAAACCAACAAAGATCAAAAGAGACAAAGAAGGCCATTACATAATGGTAAAGGGATCAATTCAACAAGAAGAGCTAACTATCCTAAATATATATGCACCCAATACAGGAGCCCCCAGATTCATAAAGCAAGTCCTAAGTGACCTACAAAGAGATTTAGACTCCCACACAATAATAATGGAGACTTTAACACCCCACTGTCAACATTAGACAGATCAATGAGACAGAAAGTTAACAAGGATACCCAGGAATTGAACTCAGCTCTGCACCAAGAGGACCTAATAGACATCTACAGAACTCTCCACCCCAAATCAACAGAATATACATTTGTTTCAGCACCACACCACACCTATTCCAAAATTGACCGCATACTTGGAAGTAAAGCTGTCCTCAGCAAATGTAAAAGAACAGAAATTATAAGAAACTATCTCTCAGACCACAGTGCAATCAAACTAGAACTCAGGATTAAGAATCTCACTCAAAACCGCTCAACTACATGGAAACTGAACAACCTGCTCCTGAATGACTACTGGGTACATAACGAAATGAAGGCAGAAATAAAGATGTTCTTTGAAACCAATGAGAACAAAGACACAACATACCAGAATGTCTGGGACATATTCAAAGCAGTGTGTAGCGGGAAACTTATAGCACTAAATGCCCACAAGAGAAAGCAGGAAAGATCTAAAACTGACACCCTAACATCACAATTAAAAGAACTAGAAAAGCAAGAGCAAACACATTCAAAAACTAGCAGAAGGCAAGAAATAACTAAAATCAGAGCAGAACTGAAGGAAATAGAGACACAAAAAACCCTTCAAAAATTAATGAATCCAGGAGCTGGTTTTTTGAAAGGATCAACAAAATTGATAGACCGCTAGCAAGACTAATGAAGAAGAAAAGAGAGAAGAATCAAATAGATGCAATAAAAAATGATAAAGGGGATATCACCACTGATCCCACAGAAATACAAACTACCATCAGAGAATACTACAAACACCTCTACGCAAATGAACTAGAAAATCTAGAAGAAATGGATAAATTCCTTGACAC
The DNA here is from genome assembly GCF_000001405.40 of Homo sapiens. Lineage (NCBI taxonomy): Eukaryota > Metazoa > Chordata > Mammalia > Primates > Hominidae > Homo > Homo sapiens. The sequence goes on from NC_000001.11 coordinate 75,479,676, forward strand.
ATACACCCTCCCAAGACTAAACCAGGAAGAAGTTGAATCTCTGAATAGACCAATAACAGGCTCTGAAATTGTGGCAATAATCAATAGCTTACCAACCAAAAAGAGTCCAGGACCAGATGGATTCACAGCCGAATTCTACCAGAGGTACAAGGAGGAACTGGTATCATTCCTTCTGAAACTATTCCAATCAATAGAAAAAGAGGGAATCCTCCCTAACTCATTTGAGGAGGCCAGCATCATCCTGATACCAAAGCCGGGCAGAGACACAACCAAAAAAAGAGAATTTTAGACCAATATCCTTGATGAACATTGATGCAAAAATCCTCAATAAAATACTGGCAAACCGAATCTGGCAGCACATCAAAAAGCTTATCCACCATGATCAAGTGGGCTTCATCCCTGGGATGCAAGGCTGGTTCAATATATGCAAATCAATAAATGTAATCCAGCATATAAACAGAACCAATGACAAAAACCACATGATTATCTCAATAGATGCAGAAAAGGCCTTTGACAAAATTCAACAATACTTCATGCTAAAAACTCTCAGTAAATTAGGTATTGATGGGACATATCTCAAAATAATAAGAGCTATCTATGACAAACCCACAGCCAATATCATACTGAATGGGAAAAAACTGGAAGCATTCCCTTTGAAAACTGGCACAAGACAGGGATGCTCTTTCTCACCACCCCTATTTAACATAGTGTTGGAAGTTCTGGCCAGGGCAATTAGGCAGGAGAAGGAAATAAAGGGTATTCGATTAGGAAAAGAGGAAGTCAAATTGTCCCTGTTTGCAGATGACATGATTGCATATCTAGAAAACCCCATTGTCTCAGCCCAAAATCTTCTTAAGCTGATAAGCAACTTCAGCAAAATCTCAGGATACAAAATCAATGTGCAAAAATCACAAGCATTCTTATACACCAATAACAGACAAACGGAGAGCCAAATCATGAGTGAACTCCCATTCGCAATTGCTTCAAAGAGAATAAAATACCTAGGAATCCACCTTACAAGGGATGTGAAGGACCTCTTCAAGGAGAACTACAAACCACTGCTCAATGAAATAAAAGAGGATACAAACAAATGGAAGAACATTCCATGCTCATTGGTAGAAAGAATCAACATTGTGAAAATGGTCATACTGCCCAAGGTAATATATAGATTCAATGCCATCCCCATCAAGCTACCAATGACTTTCTTCACAGAATTGGAAAAAACTACTTTAAAGTTCATATGGAACCAAAAAAGAGCCCTCATCGTCAAGTCAATCCTAAGCGAAAAGAACAAAGCTGGAGGCATCACACTACCTGACTTCAAACTATACTACAAGGCTACAGTAACCAAAACAGCATGGTACTGGTACCAAAACAGAGATATAGATCAATGGAACAGAACAGAGCCCTCAGAAGTAACGCCACATATCTACAACTATCTGATCTTTGGCAAACCTGAGAAAAACAAGCAATGGGGAAAGGATTCCCTGTTTAATAAATGTTGCTGGGAAAACTGGCTAGCCATATGTAGAAAGCTGAAACTGGATCCCTTCCTTATGCCTTATACAAAAATTAATTCAAGATGGATTAAAGACTTAAATGTTAGACCTAAAACCATAAAACCCCTAGAAGAAAACCTAGGCATTACCATTCAGGACATAGGCATGGGCAAGGACTTCATATCTAAAACACCAAAAGCAATGGCAACAAAAGCCAAAATTGACAAATGGGATCTAGTTAAACTCAAGAGCTTCTGCACAGCAAAAGAAACTACCATCAGACTGAACAGGCAACCTACAAAATGGGAGAAAATTTTCACAACCTACTCATCTGACAAAGGGCTAATATCCAGAATCTACAATGAGCTCAAACAAATTTACAAGAAAAAAACAAACGACCCCATCAAAAGGTGGGCGAAGGACATGAACAGACACTTCTCAAAAGAAGACATTTATGCAGCCAACAGACACATGAAAAAATGCTCACCATCACTGGCCATCAGAGAAATGCAAATCAAAACCACAGTGAGATACCATCTCACATCAGTTACAATGGCAACCATGAAAAAGTCAGGAAACAACAGGTGCTGGAGAAGATGTGGAGAAATAGGAACACTTTTACACTATTGGTGGGAGTGTAAACTAGTTCAACCATTGTGGAAGTTAGTGTGGCGATTCCTCAGGGATCTAGAACTTGAAATTTCTAGATTTTGACTAGAATTTGACCCAGCCATCCCATTACTGGGTATATACCCAAAGGACTATAAATCATGCTGCTGTAAAGACACATGCACACGTATGTTTATTGTGGCACTATTCACAATAGCAAAGACTTGGAACCAACCCAAATGTCCAACAATGATAGACTGGATTAAGAAAATGTGGCACATATACACCATGGAATACTATGCAGCCATAAAAAATGATGAGTTCATGTCCTTTCTAGGGACATGGATGAAATTGGAAATCATCATTCTCAGTAAACTATCACAAGGATAAAAAACCAAACACCACATGTTCTCACTCATAGGTGGGAACTGAACAATGAGAACACATGGACACAGGAAGGGGAACATCACACTCTAGGGACTGTTGTGGGGTGGGGGGACGGGGGAGGGATAGCATTAGGAGATATACCTAATGCTAAATGACGAGTTAATGGGTGTAGCACACCAGCATGGCACATGTGTACATATGCAACTAACCTGCACATTGTGCACATGTACCCTAAAACTTAAAGTATAATAATAATAAAATAAAAAATAAAAAAAAAGAATTCTACCTATTAACCAAAATACTGAATACACATTGGCTATTTGTATTAGTGTGTGTGTGAGTTTGTGCATGTGTATATGGCACACACTATATTAGCTGCAACAGTCTCTGATGTTTCAGTTTCCTTGTCTGAAAAATAGAAGTTTAGATTGGACCATCACTAAAATTCCTTCTTGCTCCGAAATATCAGGAACATGAGTCTAATACAAATCTTCTATTTTTTGAATTCTAAGACTTTAATAGCAATCTGTTATTTAACTTGTATAGCAGATGAAATGGAAGATCATAAAACAAATAAATAGCAAAGCCTCTGTCCTTAAGAGTCTTAAAATATTTTGTTTTAAAAAGTAAAGATAAGTTTCAATTTGTTCCCTCAGATATATATCATTTTCTTCCTGTATTACTTGATAAGGTTTTCAGGAAAATATAAAACACTAAGGAAATTTACTTATAGGATAAATGTTATGATAAACTATGAAATAAAATAAAGTCACATGATACGTTAAGTTTACCAACCAAATAAATTTGAAAATTGAATAAATAACATTTATGGTAAAAATACAATAAATTACACTTTTATTCACATTCAATTAATATTTACTGAGCTGCTTCTATTTGCTGAGCGTAACAATAAATTAGAAAAGGCTTTAGTGTAAACATTTAGAGAGGAAAGGAGACAGGAAATGGCTTGCCACCTCAGGACAAAGGGAAAACTGCGTTGGCCAAAACTGGCCTGAGGGAAACAGAAGTGCTACCTCAGATGGAGATTAATCAATCTGAAATTAAGAGAAAAAGATCCTTAGATGTGGTAAAGAGGTGAGCAAAGCTTTGTTTTAAAAATCCAGATATCATTTTTATTACTGGTGTTATTAAAATCAAAGTTCTAAACCTCAAAAAAAGCTTAAAAACATTTGGTTCCCTAAAGCCACAAATAGTCTCATAGAACATAGCATAATTTAGGTATTAAAAAGTCCTCATTATTTGAAACAAGATAAAACAGAGATGTGCTCTAGCTAGGATTTAGAAAATATGTTAAGGAAAATCCAAATGGGGGCAAAAATGAGACCCTCGAATAAAAGAGTTGCTGAAACATTTAGAGAAGTAGATTTCCCCTTCTTTTTAATGAAATAAGAAAATAAGAAATTATTCTTTATTTAAATATTTGTTTACAATTTGTTAATTTCAACTACATTTCAAAAAATGTTAATTATGTTACTTTAAAAAATAAATTTTAAACGAGGGTATTGGACTAGATGATCTCTAAGAAATTTTCTGTGTTAGTCCATTTTCATACTGCTATAAAGAGCTACCTAATACTGGGTAATTTATAAGGAAAAGAGGTTTAATTGAATCACAGTTCCATATGGCTGGGGAGGCATCAGGAAAATTACAATCATGGCAGAAGGCGAAGGGGAAGCAAGGCACATCTTACATGGTGGCAGGAGAGATAAAGGGAGAGTGAGGTGGGAAGTGCCACACTTCAAAACCATCAGCTCTCATGAGAACTCACTCACTATCATGAGAACAGCAAGGGAGAAATCCACCCCCATGATCCAATTATCTCCCACCAGGCCCCTCCTCCAACATGTGGGAATTACAATTCAAAATGAGATTTGGGAGGGGACACAGAGCCAAGCCATATCATTCTGTCCCTGGCCCCTCCAAAATCTCATGTCCTTTTCACATTTCAATATCAATCATGCCTTCCCAACAGTCCCCCAAAGTCTTAACTCATTCCAGCATTAACTCAAAAGTCCAAGTTCTGAGACAAGGCAAGTCCCTTCCACCTATAAGCCTGTAAAATCAAAAACAAGTTAGTTACTTCCAAGATGCAATGGGGGTACAGGCATTGGGTAAATGTTTCCATTCCAAATGGGAGAAATTGGCCAAAACAAAGAGGCCACAGGCCCCATGCCAATCTGAAACCCAGTGGGGCAGTCATTAAATCTTAAAGCTCTAAAATGATCTTCTTTGACTCCATGCCTCATATCCAGCACACACTGATGCAAGAGGTGGGTTCCTACAGCCTCAGACAGCTCCACTTCTGTGACTCTGCAGTGTACAGTCCCTGTGGCTGCTTTCACTAGCTGGCATTGAGTGCCTGTGGCTTTTCCAGGTGCACAGTGCAAGCCGTTGGTGTATCTACCATTCTAGGGTCTGGAGGATGGTGGCCCTCTTCTTACAGCTCCCCTAGGCAACATTGCCCTCTGCATTGCCCTCCCCTCTGCATTGCCCTAATGAAGGTTCTCCACAAGGGTTCCACCCCAGCAGCAGACTTCTGTCTGGACATCTAGGTGTTTCCATACATCCTTTGAAAGCTAGGTGGAGGCTCCCAAAGCTCAACTCTTGCCTTCTGCACAACTGTAAGCCCAACACCACGTGAAAGCTGCACAGGTTTGGGGCTTGCACCTTCTGAAGCAACAGCCCAAGCTGTTCCTTGGCCCCTTTTAGCCACAACTGGAGCTGGACCAGCCAGGACACAGGGCACCATGTCCAGAGGTTTCACAGAGCAGCAAGGCCATGGGCCTGGCCCACAAAACCACTTTTTCCTCCCAGGCCTCCAGGCCTGTGATAGGAGGCTATGCCATGTAGATCTCTGAAATGCCCTGGAGACATTTTCCCCATTGTCTTGGCTATTAGTATTTGGCTTTTCTTTACTTATGCAAATTCTAACAGCAAGCAGCTTAAATTTCTTCCCATAAAATGGGTTTTTCTTTTTTCTCATCACACAATCAAGCTGCACATTTTCCAAACTTTTACGCTCTACTTCCCTTTTAAACATAAGCTCTAATTTCAGACAATCTCTTTGTGAACACACATGATTGTATGCTTCAGAAAAAGCTGGAATGCTTTGCTGCTTAGAAATTTCTTCTGTCAGACACCCTAAGTCATCTCTTTGAATTCAAAGTTCCATGTCTAGGATCTCTAGGGCAGGGGCAAAATGCTGCTAATCTCTTTGCTAAAGCATAGGAAGAGTGACCTTTGCTCCAGTTCCTGGTAAGTTTCTCCTCTTCATCTGAGACTACCCCAGCCTGGGCTTCATTGTTCATATCACTATCAGCATTTTGGTCACAATCATTCAACTAGTCTCTAGGAAGTTCCAAACTTCCCCACATATTCCTTTCTTCTTCTGAGCCCTCCAAACTGTTCCAACCTCTGCCTGCTTCCCAGTTCCAAAGTCACTTCCACATTTTCAGGTATCTTTATAGCAGTGCCCCAAACTCCCAGTACCAATTTTTCCATATTAGTCCTTTTTCACACTGTGACAAAGAACTACCTGAGAGTGGGTAATTTATAAAGAAAATAGGTTTAATTGCCTCACAGTTCCACATGGCTGGGGAGGCCTCAGGAAACTTACAATCATGGCGGAAGGTGAAGGGGAAGCAAGGCACACTTTACATAGTGGCAGGAGAGATGGTCAGGGGCAGGAAGTACCACACTTTAAAACCATCAGTTCTCATGAGAACTCACTTACTATCGTAAGAACAGCAAGGGAGAAATCCACTCCATGATCCAATCATCTCCCACCAGGCCTCTCTTCCAACATGTGGAGATTACAATTCAACCTGAGATTTGGGTGGGAATGCAGAGCCAAACCATACCAGTTTCTATTTCTAAAGTTACATAAACTTATTTAGTAATAAAATAATAATATGAAAATACTAAAACAACAATATGACAACATTTTCAAATATGGTATTTCTCCTACAAAGGAAACTTTACAAGGCTCTATTCAAGACAGCAAATCAAATGCCTGTTGCTAAGAGAATCTGAGAATATTTGTCATTCTGTCCTTGATATAGACAAGAAAATTATTTCACACCTAAGTTAATGAAGTAAGTCTCCAAGATAACTTCTGTTTGAAAAAAATGCAGGATGGGCATATGTCTGTGTGTGTAGAGGGAGTGATATTGAATAATTAATTTTTGTTTTGTTCTGTTTTTAAATGAAAATAAATAGATCTTAAGCTGAATTGAACAGATATCAAATGTTTTACTCTTATTCTATTAATTTTCCAAAATTCAGAGAAAAGAAGCACAAACAAAAGAAATGATTTATCTTTAAAGAAGGTAACTATTGACTTAAAGTCAAAAGTTTTGATTGGTTTAGAGTCGATCAGCCTTTTTGAAAAGCAGAAACTTTTTAACTGTTAAAAAAACTTTATTTTGGGATAAATGTTTCCCTTCCAAATGGGAGAAATTGGCCAAAACAAAGAGGCCACAGGCCCCATGCCAGTCTGAAACCCAGTGGGGCAGTCATTAAATCTTAAAGCTCTAAAATGATCTTCTTTGACTCCATGCCTCACATCCAGCACACACCGATGCAAGAGGTGGGTTCCTACAATAGAAAAAAGCTTTCATTTTCTTTCTGTTCTGAATCCTACTGTTCTTGATATTGTATTATTTCAATAACATTCATAGAGAGGCCTTAATTACTTAGCTCTGTTATGCTTCCCAAATATATCATGGAAATTAGACAGTGGTTGAATTTAGGTCATGTGAAGGATTATTTTCTACATGGGTAGAAGATAGGAAATACTTTAATTGATATTTTATTGTAAATGTGCAGTGACTAATGTACAATAATAGGGATTCTGGAGACCTAGGATTAGGTTCTGGTCTTGACACCAGGATCATTCATTCAGTCATCAAATACTTAATAAATATCTATTAATAGTATCTATTATGTGTCCTTGCTCCTATGGAGTTTTCAGTCTCTGAGAGATAGGAATGAAGGGACAACAGACAATAAACAGATACATAATTATAAGTTGCAACAAGTAAAGAGAAGTAAATAACAATGCATAAAGAGAGAGAATAACAGGAAGAGGAACTCTTATGGAGTAGTGAAAAACTGGCAACTCAGAAGTGATGATACTTGGCTGAAACCTGATATATAAAATGAATCTAGCCTTGCAAATAGGGCAAAAATAGCTCCAGGCAGAGGAAACCACATCTATAGTAGCTCCGAGACAAGATAGAGTTTGGCACTTTCAAACAATTACAGAAAAGTGTGCATCACACATACTGCATAGAAAATGTCTTATCTAAGACCAGTTAATTGTTCGGGGTCTAAAGAAATAATCTGAATGGGCTACTACAGAGTTGACTCAGAGCTCAATGGACTGTGATCATTTCTATGAACCCTCTGAGGGCAAGGTACTCTACGTTGAGATGATTTTTGGCCAAGTCTAAAATATGGTCATCTGTCACTTAACATCATGAATCACTTCTGAGAAATGTGTCATTAGGGGATTCCATCATTGTGTGAATGTCATAGAGTATACTTACAAAAACCTATATGAGATCGCCTACTACCCACCTAGGCTACACTATATAGCCCAGGGGTCCCCAGTCCCCAGGTCACAGATGGTACCAGTCCATGGCCTGTTAGGAACTGAGCTGCACAGTGAGGGGTGAGCAGCAGGTGAGCCAGTGAAGCTTCATCTGTATTTATAGCTGTTCCCCATTTCTCACATTACCACCTGAGCTCTGCCTCCTGTCAGATTGGCAGTGGCATTAGATTCCCATAGGAGTGCAAACCCTATTGTGAACTGCACATGCAGGGGATCTACGTTGTATGCTTCTTATGAGAATCTAATGCCTGATGATCTGTTGCTGTCTCCCATCACCCCCAGATGGGACTGTCTGGTTGCAGGAAAATAAGCTCAGGCCTCCCACTGATTCTACATGATGATGAGTTCTATAATTATTTCATTATATGTTACAATGTAAAAATAGAAATGAAATGCCAAATGAATATAATGTGCTTGGATCATCCCAAAACCATTCCCCTCCCAAAGTCCGTGGAAAAATTGTCTCCCAAGAAACCAGTCCCTGGTACCAAAAAGGTTGGGGACCACTGGTATAGCCCATTGCTTCTAGGTAAACCAGTACAACATATTGCTGTACTGAACACTGTAGGTAATTGGAACACAATGCTAAGTATTTGTGTATCTAAACATAGAAAAGGTAAAGTAAAAACAACGTAGTATAATATTAGGGGATCACCATTGCATACGTGGTCCACATTTGACCAAAATGTCATCATGCAGTACACGATTGTAAAATTAACAAAGTACTGAGTTAATTTGTGTCTGAATTTTAAAATGACTGTCCAAATAATCCGGATTTTCAAAAAATCAACTGCCATCATTCATATTTAGTCTTCTGGAGTCACTCAATTGTGCATTAATGTGTTGGCAGTAACTAGAAATACTTGAACTTTAATTATTTTTTTAAAAAATCATTTATTTCCCTAAGATGAAATCTGTCATGTGATAATCAGATGTATGTGACATTTTTCTGTAGTTATAGCAATAATTTATATGTTCTGTGGTGAAATAACCTGATGACATATATACAACTTGCTAAAAAGTGTACAAGTCAAATGTCTAAGAAATAATTTAATTTTTTGAGACTGAGTTTCGATCTTGTTGCCCAGGCTGGAGTGCAATGGCGTGATCTTGGCTCACTGCAAACTCTGCCTCCCAGGTTCAAGCAATTCTCCTGCCTCAGCCTCCCAAGTAGCTGGGATTACAGGCATACACCACCATGCCTGGCTAATTTTGTATTTTTAGTGGAGATAGGGTTTCTCCATGTTGGTCAGGCTCGTCTCAAACTCCCAACCTCAGGTGATCTGCCTGCCTCAGCCTCCCAAAGTGTTGGGATTACAGGCCTGAAGTCAATTTTAATACTATGATAGCTGTTCTCCAATCCAAAATAAAAGTACCCTTTCCTTACTAAAAATAAGCCCAGAATTTATACATGAATTTAGAGAGTAATTATTTTAAAAAAAACATAAATTCATGTGTGTGAGGAGAGGAGGAGTCAGAAAGCTTTAATGAACTGAAAATAAAAATATTCAGAATTTTTGCTCCTTAACTCTTGCTTCACTAACAAAAGTGTGTCTAGAACCAAAATAGTTAGATGAAAAAGAAAAACATAGAGCCAGCTCTCAGATATTCTGTCTTTACGCTCACCCTGTAACCATGGAATACAGGATGCAAGGTCAATAACTAGGTTTTTCATTTGTTTGTTTGTTTGGTTGGTTGTTTTTAAGACAGGAAATTTTCAGGCGTAAGTCCTTAAAAAATCAGAAGCAGCACTAAACAGTTATCTATGTTTTAGCAGGTAGAAGCTTTAGATGGAATGGCCTGCCTTTGTTAGCACAGTGAGTCTCCATCATATCTTAGGTGATGGCATGAATGAAATAACAAATGGAGTACATTGGCAAGTCAAGAACACAAAAGACAACTTAAAAAAATTTGCCAAAGATACTGACAAAAAATAAGTAGATTTTAATATTCAAGGAAGGATATTTACAACCAATAACAACTTAGGTCTCCAACTATTTTAACAGTAGATGTACTCACTTTTAATAGTAAGCAAAATAAATAATTTGTACCTACTAAATTAGGAATATTAATCCTTTACTCAGCTTCATTACACACTAACCCATATAAAGAGTTAACAAAAAACAAGAGGTGATATTATTATATGTTCAATACGCTTAGGTATTTGATCTCCAATAAGGACACTAAAATTCACACTAATTAGAATTTCAGCTCCACATGAAGATGTTAAATTGTAAAATTAAAAAAAAATAAAGTTAATAAAACATCAGAAAAATAGTGAGTCAACAATGTCTCTCTAATATTTGTCTATTATTTTAATAAATAATCTATTCTTCCTATAAATCACTACATAAAACCTATAATAGCTCTGATGTTCTCATATCTCAGCCTAAGGAGGAATGAATAATGCATTGGATATCTAGCGATATGAAGAATCATTATCATTTACAGCAATTACTGACATAAATAAACAGAATGCTACATTTAACCACTGGTAGATATTAATGGATTCGTTCATTTAAAATTGCTTATGTCTTTAACAAAGGCATTTAGGATATCTTTGTGAATTAAGTGATTTTCTTTGCTCACCTACAAATGGCTTCTTTTTTCTAGGCTTTCCATAAAAAACACACTGGGACAATAGCTTTTTTAATTAATAAGGTTGGTCTCTCTATAGAAGAAATATTTATAATTTATGAAAAGAGCATCTTTCTTTACACTGTTTTATGACACATTATTGATCAATATCTGAAGAATAATTATTGAGACAGTTACTCAAAACCTTCTACACTCTCATTGTCTTTATCCATGTAATCTTGCCACTATTGTTCATTGAAGAGAGAAAAGTTTGTAAAAGATGCTTTGAAATATTGTTAGAGTTTTGTTCTCTCCAAAAACTAAAATATGTGTCTCCACATGCTCATTCAAGTTTGTATGTATGGATAGCACAGAATAGAAAGATTAATTCTATCTCCAGTGGTCAGGGAGAGACACATTCAAGAACAGTGTAATTCTTTACATGGGTTAGTGCATACAGAAGCTGAGTAAAGAATTGATATTCCTAATTTAGTAGGTACGACTTACTTATTCTGCTTATTATTAAAGGCAAGTAAATCTACTTTTTTAAAAAAAAAAAGTGATCTAAGTTATTTGTTCTTAACACTTGCTTCATATCAAATTTCCTTTTCTTCCTTGCTGGAAGAGCCTAGATTTTGTGCAGTATATACCCTCCTCTTTTACCACTCCAAAGTAAATACTTTTAATTCAAAGCCATCGTAGTAACCCCATTCCCCTCTCCAGGGATTGGCTTAGTCAGGGTTTGTGACCTAACCCTGGCAAATGAGCTATGAGGGGAAGTCTCCTGGGGCTTCTGGGTATAGTTTCTCTACTCTGAAAAAGACACATGGAAAAGATAGATCCTTTTCAGCAGGAAATTATTGTGACTGGTTGTGATACCATCTTGCCACCATCAGATAAACAGCTTGAGGTCGAAGTTGATATGCTGAGGATCAAAGAATTTTGAGACAGCAAGAATCTAGGATCTCAGTGATGTCACTAAGATGTGAATTAACCAATCCAGGAAACTCTAGGTTTCATGATACATTTCCTTATTGTTTAAGTTACGTGAGTTGAAGATTTCCTGTTACTTATAGTTGGAAGATTAAAATTAATTGAATACACAGAAGAAGGGGAGCAGTATACATATAAGAAACAGGATGTATAAAATCACAAAGGTGAGATAAAATATTGGATAAAAATAAATGAATGAGTGCACTTTTGATTTTCTAAGGAGCTTCCTGGCTCATGATGCTTTATTTTTCCCAAAACCATATACAGCTGTCCTGGGAAAATGTGTAGGTAAGTGTCACAGAGTTTAATAAACTCATACACTTGTGCATACATACACACACAAGCACGCACGCACGCACACACACACACACACACAGTATTATGCAGGTTTTTGGTAACATCACAGGATCTGCAGGAAAATATCAAGCTGTGTGGGAACATCAGTTGCTTGTTTCTAAAGAAAGGTTATTTTGTCTTAGAAAGAGGGACTTGATTTTAAAACATTTTTTATGATTGCAACAAGTGGACAGAATATGGGGTTTTCATTTCTTCCATTTTTTATTCTACCTTTTGTTCTACTTGGTGATACCTTGAGAAGCAGTGGAATTTATTTTAGTGACTTCAAGGTGTTAAAAAGTATCCTGAAATAGCCTGTGGCTGACTGAACACAATGGGTATGTTACCTGTTTTAATGAAAACAGGGATGTGCCGGGCCCTGCAGTTCATCTCTCTGTGGAGAGGATTTTGGCCTGCTTTGCTCTTTTGCCTTATCCCTGAAGTATCACATTTCAAAACATGATGAGGAGGTTGGTATGCCAATCCAAATTTTTTCTCTTGAAATGCACATCATGTGTAACATTTCAAAGGTCATTCTCTAGACTTTGTGCTTTTAAATTACAATAACAGGAAAATGAAATGAAAGCAACTAGCCTGTCAAAACTTTAGTAGCATAACAGAAACATTTTCTGAGAATATCCAGGAAGTTTTATTCAAGAAGACATTTATTTATTGAATGTCCACTATTTGCCCAGTGGCTATGACAATATCTGGCAAAAAGGAAGCACTCAATAAATATTAGTAGAATGAATGTATGATTGAATTAATGAATAAATAAAGATTAAAAAATGAAAAGGACACAGTCCTTTACCACAGAGATTATAGTCTAATAAGGAAGATATACACTGCTATAACTGTGAGGCAAGGTAATAAATTCTATAAAATACAACATGCTAAGAAAGCACATAAAACTTTATTAAATACACATAGATAAGACTAAGGAAGTGCCATAAAGGCAAAGATAAAGATATATTGCTAGAACAAGCTTAGAATTAAAGAAGGGCCATGTTCTTAGTCTCTGGGAAAGAGGGAAAAAGGTATTATGATTATTGCTTTTATTTACTCAGCACGTCTTCTCCCTTCCTTTGGTAACAAATTCTACCCCTTGGCCTGACCACAGTGCTACCATATTAAACAAACTAGATCAATGATGTTACTCATCTATTTGGGCACAGGAGATTGGGCAAGGAATGGGCAAATGTCCAAAGTTGGAACAAAAACTTTTCCTTGGAATTTTCTACCTGAAGGTAAGAAGGTAGTATCCTTCCTTTAGCTGGTTACAAAGCCCTTCATATAAAATCCTAGAAGTGACAAAGACCATGACCTCATCATGTGAAGAGTCCTGAATGCATTAGAAGAAAAGTCAAAATGCAGAGAAGTGAAAAAAGTATTATGGAATCATCTAGTTCCCTGATTCCAGACACATTCAGCGTCATGTTTGCCCTTTACAATTAGTTGAGTTAATAAAGCCCCTAATTTTTTTAAGCTACTTTGCAGATTTCTGACCCCTGAAACTAAAAGAACAATGACATACATAAAGAATGCCAGAGAATTTCAAGCCTTTGGTTGCGTCTGATGACTTTTTTCTCCATAATTGAAAGTAGATGGTATTTAACCTTTACATGTCCAAGCCAGATATCGAACAATACAAATGTACAATTATATACCAGTGAATACATGTGTATCATCAATATATGTGTAATCTAACAATATAGCCTGAAAATACAATATGCAAGAACAAACAGAATTGCAAGAAGAAATAGATAAATCAGCAACAAGCAGCAAATCTATTAGAGAAGAAACAGAGATTAGCCATGGGACAACACTAATTAGATTTTACAATGGAATTATCAGCCACAGTAGAGACTGAAAACACAATGTAATAATATCTTCAAAATCCTGAGGGGAAAAAAATAGCTTTTAATAAAAAAACTATACCTAGCTAAACTGTCATCAGGAATAAAGATATATTTTCAGATATATAATGACTTACAGAATATAAAACAAACCATCTCAGTAAGGATGTCAGCAAGATGACAGAATAGGAGGCACAGGATTCTCCCTCCACCCACAGACACACCAAATAAACAACTACACATGGATCAGTTTCATCTGAGAAAAATCCAGAAGCTTGTTTATAGACTCCTGTACACAAAGTGACTGAGGAAATTCTCACTTCAAAGCAGCATCTGCCTGAGGTTCTGGCTTTTAACTAGCTTGTGCTGGAAGCTGATGAGGTAAGCAATCTCTAGTCCTCTGGAAGCATAAAGGGGAATGTGGGCAATTCCTATGGCTTCTCTCACTGCTATGGTTTGAATGTTTGTCCTCTCCAAAACTCACATTGAAATTAACAAGTGGAACCTTTGAGAGGTGATTAGGTCATCGGGGCAATGCCATTATCAAAGGGTGAGTGTGGCCCCATTTTGTCTCTTTGCCTTTCTGTTTTCTGCCATGTGGTGACACAGCAGGAATGCCTTTGCCAGATGCTAGTGCCTTTATCTTGAACTTCCCAGCCTCCAGAACTGTGAGAAAATAAATTTCTGATCATTATAAATTACCCAGTCTCAGCTATTCTGTTATAGCAACACACAATTGACTGAGACATTACCCCCGGCCTCCTCCAATGATAAAATCAAACCCCCAACTTCTCCCTGGAAGAACCTGGACCACACATGTAGCACCCAACTCTTATAGCTAGTACCCAAGGAATTAACTCCAAACTTGCATATCTCTGGAAGTTGAGAATCTAGCATCAAAGTCACTGGCTCCTGGAGCTGATGAGACAGGCAATCACTAATGCCCTGGGAATTTAAACAGGCATGTGGCATGCCCAGAGCTCCTTCTCTGGGAATAAAACCAAGCCTCCAACTTCTCCCTAGGAGTTGGCCTACCTGTCTAGTATCCCAACTTTTCTGGTCGTTACCTGAGAAGCTGGTCTCTAGCCACCTTTATCTGACAGCTGATGGGGCCTGGCATTCACTAGACCCCTGAGAGTGACAGAGAGCAAAGAAGTGATTTGAAAGAGCATTCAGTCAGAATGAGCACACAGAAATTTTCCACAGCTCTCCTCTCTGGCTCAGTGAAGACTGAGAGGGGAATAAACCCCAGCTTCCAGCTTCTCCATGAAGAGAAAAGGAATTGGATCATACATCTAATACTCCAACTTTTCTAGCTGCTACTCTAGGGAATGGATCCTATCTCACTGTCTCAGAGCACTGATGAAACTTGGTAAACTTCAGTCTTCCGAGACCATTGAGAAAAAAGATGGCTCTTTGCAGCACATAATTTGAGAGGCACCCAGAATCTCTGAAGACTGGGAGAGATGGCTGTCTTACCTAATGCACAGAAACCAACTAGGAAAATGAGGAAACGGAAATATGTGACAAACAGAAGAACAAGATACTTGACCTAATGAAATTGAGATATGTAATTTGCCTGTTGGAGTTAAAAATAACCATCATAGGCCAGGCGCAGTGGCTCATGCCTATAATCCCAGCACTTTGGGAGGCTGAGGCGGGTGGATCATGAGGTCAGGAGATTGAGATCATCCTGGCTAACATGGTGAAACCCTGTCTCTACTGAAAATACAAAAAATTAGCCAGGTGTGGTGGCGGGCACCTGTAGTCCTAGCTACTTGGGAGGCTGAGGCAGGAGAATGGCGTGAACCCAGGAGGCAGAGTTTGCAGTGAGCCGAGATTGCGCCACTGCACTCCAGCCCGGGTGACAGAGAGAGACTCCATCTCAAAAAAACAAAGAAACAAACAAAAAGTCATAAAGATGCTCAATGAGATAAGGAGAATAATGTATGAACAAAGTGAGAATTCCAGCAAAGAAACAGAAAACAGAAAAGTACCAGGTATCATAGAGCTGAATAATACAATAACTGAAAAATTTCAATACAAGGGCTCAACAGCAGACTAGATAAGGAGAAGAAAGGTTCAGCAAACTCAAAGACAAGTATCGGAAATCCTTCAGTCAAAAAAGCAAAAAGAAAAAAATGAAAAAGAGTGAAGACAGCTTAAGGTAATTGTAAAACACCATCAGAGGCAATCTCTGTAAAAATGCAATCTCCACAAAAAATTTAATTTTTAAAATTTTTAGTTTTTGTGGGTATATAGGATGTGTATATACTTAAGGGGTACATAAGATGTTTTGATACAGGTATGCAGTATGAAATAATCACATCATGGAGAATGGGGTTTCCATCCCCTCAAGCATTTATCTTTTGTGCTACAAACAATCAAATTACACTCTTTTAGTTATTTTTAAATATACAATTATTCATTATTAACTATAGTCACCCTGTTGTGTGATCAAATACTAGATCTCATTCATCCTTTTTTTTGGTAATCCCTATCAAATTTTTAAAAGCAATTTTCACAGAAATGAAATCCTAAAATTTGTACAGAACCACAAACAACCCCAAATAGCCCAAACAATCTTGAGAAAGAAGAACAAAGTTGACAACATCACACTTTCTGATTTCAAATTATACTACAAAGCTATCCTAATCAAAACAAGATGATACTAGTATAAAATCAGACACACAGACCAGTGGAACAGAATAAGAGAGCCCAGAAAGAAACCCACAAATAAATTGTCAAATAATAATTGACAAGGGTACCAAGAACAGACAATGGGGAAAAGACAGTCTCTTCAATAAATGGTGTTGGAAAAACTGGATATCCATATGCAAAGAAAAGAAAAATGGAATTGGACCCTTATCTTACAATATACACAAAAATCAACTCAAAATGGATTAAAGACTTAAACCTGAGACTTGAAACTGTAAAACTTCTAAGAGAAAACATAGGGAACAAGCTCTATGATGTTGGTCTTGATGAAGATTTTTTTTTGCATATGACATCACAAGCACACAAGGAAACAGACAACAACAACAAAAAAAAAAACAATAAAAGTGGGACTACATCATGCTAAAAACAAACTTCTGCAAAGCAAAGGAAACGATAAGATGAAAAGGCAACCTACAAAATGAAAGAAAATATTCCAAACCATATATCTAATAAAGAGTTAATATCCAAAATATATAAGAAACTCATAGAACTTAATAGCAAAAATACAAATAGCCCAATTAAAAATATGGGCAAAGGACTTAAATAAAAATTTTTCCAAGGAAGACATAGAGTTTGCCACTAAGTATGTAAAAAGATGGTTAATATCACTAATCATCAGGGAAATGCACATCAAAACCACAATGAGATATCACTTCACACCTATTAGAATGGTTATTATCAAAAAGACAAAAAATAAGTGTTTATGAGAATGTGAGGAAAAGGGAACTCTTGCACAGTTATCAATGAGAATGTAATTTGATATAGTCATTATGGAAAACAGTATGGAAGCTCCTCAAAAAATTAAAGGAAGTACTGCTATATATACGATCCAGCAATCCCATTTCTGAGTACATATCCAAAGGCAATGATATCAATATGTCAACGACATATCTGTGCTCCCATGTTCATTGCAGCATTATTCACAATATCCAAAATATGGGAACAACCTAAGTGTCTATAGACTGATGAATGGGAAAAAAAATTGCCGTGTGTGTGTGTGGG
Organism: Homo sapiens; assembly: GCF_000001405.40. Classification (NCBI taxonomy): domain Eukaryota; kingdom Metazoa; phylum Chordata; class Mammalia; order Primates; family Hominidae; genus Homo; species Homo sapiens. Next base: position 75,497,288 of record NC_000001.11, read on the forward strand.
TGTTTTATTCAGACTTTTATAAAGAAGGAAATCCTGCCATTTGTTACAATGTAAATGAAGTTGGAGGACATCATGTTAAGTGAAATAAATCAGACACACAAAGAAAGTTACTGCATAATCTCACTTATTTGTGGAATCTAAAAAAGTCAAATTCATAGAAGAAGAGAGTACAATGGTGATTTCCTGGAGTGTGGGGGGAGTGGTAGGTGGAGATGCTGGGCAAATGGAACAGTGTGTCATTATGTAGAATAAATAAGTTGTAGAGATCTAATGTACAGCATGAGGACTATAGTTAATAGTACCGTAAGACATATGTGAAATTTCCTAAGAGATTAGATCTTAGGTGTTCTTACCATACACACACAAAATGGTAACTCTGTGAAGAGATGGATACGTTAATTCTATATTCAGTTTGTAGTAATCAGTTTCTTTTGTATATGTATATCAAAACAATACATTGTGTACCTTAAATATATACATTTCAATTTAAAAAATGTTTAATTCCATAAGAAAAATAATTACTTAAGAATATACTTCATCTGGAAAGAAAATAAACTCAGAGGTCAGGTGTGGCTCACAAGAAACAATACCACAGAAATTGATTTTTTGAGTACTGCTGGATTTAATTGCTAATGACTACAAAATTAGTAACATATTTCATGTGTTTAAAAATGCAAAACCGAATTTCTACACAACAAGATAAGGAGGATGCTAATCAGTGGATATTTAAAGCATGCCAAGGTTTTCATCATGTTGAGGAGGAGGATAAGAATACAACTTGAAAATTGCTAGAAAAAGATCATTATGTATACATTAAGACTTTTTCAAAATTAAGATTATGTATACAATAAGACTTCTATTTCTGACAGTATATTACACTAAATAACCTGAAATTTGCCATTCATTCACTCATTCATTCAATATTTCTTAAAACCTGGTTTTAGGTCTATGTTTCCCAGTAGGTCAGATATAATGGTGCATGTACACTGCACCTGCTCAGTGTAAACTTTCCCTTTCCCACATATCTAATCTTAAATATATCCAAGCCAAGGAACCAACAATAAACCTTCATAACAAAACTACTGGAGTAGCAGCACAACCTTCCTAAAATTTGATATTACTTCAGTCCATTTAATCATAATTTCCTTTTTACAAATTCTAACCTTATGTTGCATTCTTTAAAATGCATAGGAAAATATGGTACTCATTCAACTGTCTTAATCTATTTTCTTTAACATAATAGCAATTTTTAGATTTGATTATAACATCTGCATGCTAATCCAGTTTTTTTTAACTTAAGTCTTCAAAAATATTTTCTATTTAATAATACAATGAAAGCTATGCAGTCTTTCTCTTTCTCACTAAAGTCAGACATACTTAGTGAAAGAAAAGTACACATTATCATCAAAATCATGTTTTTTAAATCAGCAGGCATGTAAATTTTTCATGAAATGAATTTAATCCAGTTGCAAATATGGATTATTTTCAAGATGAGAGAACTCATAGATCATAAGTACACTTCCTCTCTCAAATGATAGAATTGTATGCAATATATTGAAAGTCAAGTTTTTGCTATCAGCAAATATACTCAAAACAGGTTTACCTAGTGTTTTGTCTATAGTCATATGCCATGTAACGATGTTTTGGCCAACAACAAACCACATATATGAAGGAGGTCCCATAAGATTCTAATACCATATTTTTACTGTGCCTTTTCTATGTTTAGCTAAATGAATACTTACCACAGTGTCCTAGTTAGCTGCAGTATTCAAAACAGTAGCATGCTGTGTAGGTTGGTAGCATAGGAGCAATAAGCTATACCATATAGCTTAGGTGTGAAGTAGGTTATAACATCTAGGTTTGTGTAAAAATACTCTAAGGCAGTGTTCCCCAACCTTTTTGGCACCGGGGACCTGATTTTGTGGAAGACAATTTTTCCATGGATGGGGGCCGGAAGGGAGTGGTTTGGTAGTTTCAGGATGAAACTGTGCCACCTCAGATCATCAGGCATTAGATTATCATAAGGTGCACACAACATAGATCCCTCGCACGTGCAGTTCACAACAGGGTTTGTGCTCCTATGAGAATCTAATGCCACCTCTGATCTTGACAGGAGGCAGAACTCAGGCAGTAATGCCTGCTTGCCTGCCACTCACCTCCTGCTGTGTGGCCCAGTTTCTAACAGGCCACATACCAGTACTGGTCCATGGTTCGGGGGTTGGGGAACCCTGCTCTAAGGTGTTCACCCAATTATGAAGTTACCTAGCAAACAACGCATTTCTCAGAACATATCCCCATTATTAAACAATGCATAACTGTATTTATAAATATATTTTGTATACTCAAATAAGGCACAGGAACTTTTAGCTGGAGCTAGTTACCTCTTTGACTACCCTATCTCTTTCTCTTCTTATTTCAGGGCAGGAATATTTTTCAATACTGTATCATTTCATGTGAACACACTCAGTTCTTTGTCAAATGTACAGATGCAGCTAGTGTAAATATGCTCATTACCCACTATGGCAGAGAATAGCTGTCCGCCAACTCATTATCCCTTCTCCTGGGCACACAGCTCTACTGCACTTTCTAGCCTCCTTTGTAGTTAGGTGTGGGTATGCTAACTTAGTTCTAGGTAACAAAATGTGGACAGAAGTGATAGGCATTATTACTAGACCCTGCCCATAAACCCCTCCCATCCACTATCTGGCTGTCAATGCCCACGTGATGTTGAAAGCCACCTGCTAAAGATGGCATACCAATGAAGGCCAAGATGTCCAAATGGCCATGTGTAGCACAGTCCTCCTAAACCTGATTTCTACCATCCCTAACACACAAGTATACCATTGTGAACCCAATATTGCTATTATGTGAGCCGGAAATAAACTACTATGTTAAACCATGGCAATTTTAAGGTTTATTTAATAAGAGCAACTATTCTATCACAATCAATACTGAAAGTCATGCATCAAAATGGACTACTGCTATGAGAAAAATCTAAAATATGTGTCACTTGTGGCCAGGCAGTAAATAATAAGAAATTAATGTCTGAGGATCGAAAGATGGAGATTCTTGGCATGCAGTGGCAAAGCATTTGGTAAAACTATTGCCTGCAAAAACTGGAAGATAAACAAAAGTAATATTTACCATCACTTTATCTACCTTCTGCCAGTACACCCTTGGAAGCCATATGTTTAAAATGGAGGCTCCATAAAATTGAAGGAACATAGATGCTTGAGTCACTGCTTGTAGGAGAGGCCAACCCTGTCAATTATATACAAGATATTTTTTAACTTTATATGAAATGGAAATAAACTTTACAATATTAGAACCATTACACATTTTAGGTATTTTTGTTACAGTAGATATTTTGACTGATACAAACACTCTGAGGTTCCTTTGTAAAATTGAAGCAAATCACTTCTGCTCTTCAGTACAATTATTGGTAACAACAGAGAAAGTTACTTTGGTGAAAGAACCTTGAAAACTTCAAATCAATGAGCATTTCACTTCAAAGTCAGTATTGCGGGTAAGGATTAAAAGCATGAGTAAAGGGTTCCAAGGAGTCTAGTCTTGAATGCCAACTCTCTCATTTTCTAGTTGTATGGCCTTGAACAAATCGATGTATCATCTTGAAACCTCTTTGTTCTCATGCATAAATTGAGGATAACTTGCCCTAATTTGTAGGGTTGCCATAACAATATTACAATATACACAATATGCTTAAGGCAAAGTCACGCATTTAATAAAGTGCTCAGTTGATTCTTTCCTCATCCTATCGTATTTTCAGAGTACTAAATGAACCTTAGAAAACTAGTAGTTTGTATTGATATATAAGATCACTTCAGAAGAGAAGATTTAATTTAGTAAAAAACTCCATCCAACTCCAATGAACATTAATAAAAAAACATAATAAAGGCATAATACAAGTACAGATTAATAGGGTCAGGGAGAGACAAAGAGCCAGTCTTCCCAGCACATTTCAGTAAAAGCCTCTCCAGGAATTATTTCCCTCCTATATCTTGATTCCTCTATACCTCCTCAATCTCACTCTCCTTTGCCAAGTGCTGAAAGCCTAAAAGACAGTGACAAAATAGATAATAAATCAGATATTTCTTTGTCAACAGAGATTGTTACTACATTCCCATAATTTGCACAAAACTAAAGATAGCAGATCTTGCTACTTTTTCAAGGTAATCTCACATTATTAAGGGGAGCATTCCAGTAAGCATAACTGATAATGATAGCAATACTTTTATGTTTGCTAAGCATTCTATAAAGTTCAAAGCATTTTCAAATCCACTTTCTCATTATATTGAAAGAAACATGATCAAGTAAACCTTGCAGTCATGAATTTCATGGGCCAAGGAGAGTTTATGTTGGTTTTGTCAGTCTCCGGTAAACTGCCATATCACCCCAAAGGACATCTGAAATAGTTTACACTCCAGGTTCTTACACAGAGGCTTCTTGCTGAGTAATTATGCTTATCTGATGAATTGTTATCTGAATCAAAAGCTTCAGGCATAGAGAAATGACAGATGCCAATGAATAATGCCAAAGCCAAATGCTTAATAAAACAGCGTTATACAGCAAAATAATTAACTTCCATAGTTCTTTTTAAAAACCTGCTTTCTGTCTAGGCACACATGTGCTAAAAATGAATCTAACAAGTTCAAGTCACACATACAAAGCTGATAATTCAAATACAATGAGAATAAAATTACTGAAGTTCTTTGTGATGAAACAATGCATAAGATAGATTCAAGCCCTAAAAGCAAGTGTAAAAATCAGCACATGGTACCCAGTGACGTGCCAACAATAGTTTTGTTAACAAAAGCAACAGAAGAAAGGCCGCAATTTTGATGCACCAAGTAAATGGTCAAATTCTGTACTACACACACATGCACACTCACAGGCACGCACAACATGCACATACACACACATGAAGCTTCTCTGAGTACAGAGCTACTTGTTTCAAAGTCAGTGACAGTTCTGTGCCTGATAGACCTTGTTTTCCTGCAGAGGAGGGCACAGATTTAGCTGAATAAGACTAAACACTGATCAAAGGACAGAAAAACATTTTTGCCTGTATATCTGGCAGCATGTTTTTAGCCAGCAGCGTTTTACCTTAACATGGCCTCATGGGAAGTCTGAACTCACAAGAAATTAGTCATTTACAGTGCCAACTACAGTATGGACCCTCAATTAATAATCATGCATGAAGAAAATAAAGATATATTTCAAGATCTCTACTTTCTTTTTTATTTGTTTATTTTTTTATTATTATACTTTAAGTTCTAGGGTACATGTGCACAACGTGCAGGTTTGTTACATATGTATACATGTGCCATGTTGGTGTGCTGCACCCATTAACTGGTCATTTAGCATTAGGTATATCTCCTAATGCTATCCCTCCCCCCTCCCCCTACTCCACAACAGTACCCACTTTCTTAAAATAAAAATTTATATTCTTTTCACCTATAAATGGACTTAGAAAAATTAATATTACAAAAATGGCTCAAATAGGATTTTAGCATATTTTTTGAATAAGTCCCAGTATTGTAATGTAATAGGCCTCGCACTGGGAACTTAAGAGTGGGGGCTCCGCCTTGCTGAGCTAGCAATTTGCTCTGCCATGCCTCAAACCACTCAACCGCTCATGAGCCTTAATTTCCTTATCTGACTCACATTTTCCTTGCTTACGTCACAGAGTTATTCTGAGAATTAAATAAGATAAACATACTCTGACAATTAGAGTGTTACATGAACAAAAGGTACTATTGTCATTATGTTTTATTCGAAGTAATACAGCCACAGGAATCTTTACAAAAATACACAGATATTCCTGTATAGTTTCACTTTACCTCAACTCTTTCTCAAATCTTCTCTCAAGTCAGGCCAATTAACACTTCTCCTGGATAGTGTTAATACATATTAATAATTTATAGTTGTGGAGTCACTATCTCAGTACTTGAATCACATTCTCTTCAAAAAATGCACTAACTCTGGTTTGGCTCTGTGTCCCCAACCATATGTTACGGTGGGAGGTGACTGGATCATGGGGTCAGATTTCCCCTTTCTTTTTTTGTGATAGCCAGTGAGTTCTCACGAGATCCGGTTATTTAAAAGTGTGTAACACTTCCCCCTTTGCTCTCTCTCTCCTGCAGCCATGCGAAGACATGCTTGCTTCCTCTTCACCCTTCTGCCATGATTTTAAGTTTCCTGAGGCGTCCCCAGTCATGCCTCCTATACAGCCTGTGGAACTATGTGTCAATTAAACCTCTTTTCTTTATAAATTACCTAGTCTCAGGTAGTTCTTTATAGCAGTGTGAGAAAGCACTAACACACTCTTATAAACCTCTCAAGTAATATGTGCTGTAATCAAATTGTCCATTGGTAAATCAAGTTCCCACACATGCTGAAAGAATTATTGGCCTGTCATAATACTTAGGTTGCAATGAGAGAAAAAGATTGTGTCTACATAAACGGCCATGGAACTACTCTGACAATAATACTCGGTCAGGCTAATCCAACATGGAATATGCTCTGAGTCACCAAAAGTGAAAGCTGGAAAACCAGGTCTGTAGTGTATCCTGCCACTATATGTGTAGGCTGAATATGCAAAGACCTGAGGAAATGTAGGATATTTTTAAAGAGAGATTTTTTTTGTCTACATTTTGCTGCTTAGTTATGTTTTGTATTTTGCCCCTAAACAGTGAGGGGATTTTTTTTACTAATCTTTATCATTTTTTCCACTTTTAAAGATTCATTTTTGTAACTTTTATGAGATAATCAAACTACACAAGTATTTTTATAACTCTAAATCGGCAAAGTAACTCGATACATGCTTGTGTGTCATAAAGTTATCTTAAAATAATTAATATACAGTATTTCCATTTTCCCCAAGGTTATCCTTATTCCACAAATGAGAAATTCTCACATTTGTAATTTTACTTTTGGTCATTAAAAAACAGGGAAAAGCAAGCACTGCTGTTAAAATAATAGTTACCTTTAGGGGAAGTGGTAGTAATTGGGAAGGGGCATTAAAGGGATTCTGGGGGACCAATAACATATATTTCTTAATGTTTGTGGTAGTTACATGGATCTGTTTATTTTGCAATAATTCATCAAGCTGCTATCATATAATGATGTGTATATTTTTCTTTGTATGTATGTCAATAAAAAACATTAAAAATTGCATAGAACATAGGAATATTGAAAATTTATACCTCAATCACTATGCTAACCCCATATTTATGAAATTTTCAGTTTTACAGATAAAATGTAGACACAACCATAGATATATACCTTTTCTTTTCTTTTTGTTTCTACTAAAAAATATAAATCTTTTATATAAAGGACCAAGTAAAGGATGTCAATACTGGAAACTAATTTGAAATCTGTACATGTAAAATCATTGTGGAAGCCTGTCATTAAAGTTCTAAATTAGGGCAAAATCATTATCTTCTTTGCCTCAGTATACAAAAGTTTTCTGTAACTAGGGAAATACCGCTCTATCCCCCAGTTTGTCAGTGTAAATAATTATTTCCCTTTTTTATAATTTCAACTTTTATTTTAGATTCAAGGGATACATACATAGGTTTGTTACATGGGTATATTGCATGATACTCATGTTTGCGTTATGAATGATCCCATCATCCAAATAGTGAGCACAGTACCCAATAGAGTGGTTTTTCAGCTCTTTCCTCTTCCCCCTCTCCCCTCTCTAGTAGTCTTCAGTGTCTATTTTTCCCATCTTTGTGTCCATAGGTACCCAATGTTTAGCTGTCAGTGAGAATCACAATATTTTGGTTTTTGTTCCTTCATCATTTCATTTAGGATGATGACCTAGAGCTGCACCCATGTTGCTGCAAAGGACATGATTTTGTTCTTTTTATGGCTGCATAGTATTCCATGGTATTTCACAGTATATGGAAAATATTTTCTTTATTCACATTTTCTGTATTCAATCCACTGATAATGGGCACCTAGTTTGATTCCATGTCTTTGCTACTGTGAATAGTGCTGTGATGAACAAATGAGTGCATGTGTCCTTTTGGTAGAATGATTTGTTTTTCTTTGGGATACTAATGGGATAGCTGGAATAAATTGTAGTTCCGTTTTAAGTTCTTTGAGAAGTCTCCAAACTGCTTTCCACAGTGGCTGAACTAATTTACTTTTCCACCAACAGTATATAAGTCTTCCCTTTTCTCTGCAGCCTCACCATCATCTGTTATTTTTGGTCTTTTCAATAAGTCATTCTGACTAGTGTGAGATGGTATTTCATTATGGGTTTGATTTTCATGCCTCTGATGATTAACGGTATGGAGCATTTATTCATACTTTTTTCGCTGTTTGAATGTCTTCTTTTCAGAAGTGTCTGCTCATGTCCTTTGCCCACTTTTTAATGGGGTTATCTGGGTTTTGCTTGTTGAGTTCTATAAGATACTTTTGGATTTCAGATATTGGACCTTTGTTGGATGCATAGTTGCAAATATTTTCTCCTATTCTGTGTGTTGTTGTTTAATTTGTTGATAGTTTCTTTTGTTGTGCAAAATCTATTTAGTTTAGCTAGGTCTCACTTGTTTTTTGTTTTATTGAAATTACTTTTGAGGAAAGACTTAGTCATAAACTATTTGCCAAGACTAGTGTCCAAAATGGCATTTCCTAGAATTTTTTCTAGGTTTTTTATAGTTTGAGGTTTACATCTAAATATTTAATCCATCTCACATTAATTTTTGTATATGGTTCAAGGTAGGGGTCTAGTTTCATTCTTCTGCATATGGCCAGCAAACTATCCCAGTACCATTTATTGAATAGGAAGTCCTTTCCCCATTGCTTATTTTTGTTGATTTTGTTGAAGACCAGACAGTTGTAGGTGTGTGGGTTTATTTCTGGGTTCTCTCTTCTGTTCCATTGGTCTGTATGTCTGTTTTTGTACCAGTACGATGTTGTTTTGGTTACTGTAGATTTATAATATCATTTGAAGTTGGATCATGTGATGCCTCAAGCTTTGTTCTTTTTGCTTAGGATTACTTTGGCTATTCAGGTTCCTTTTTGGTTCTATGTGAACTTTAGAATAGTTTGTTTCTAATTCTATGAAAAATGATGTTGATTGATAAGAACAGGCTTGAATCTATAGATTGCTTTGGGTAGTATTGCTATTTTAATTATATTAATTTTTCCAATTGACGAGCATGGAATGTATTTCCATTTGTGTCATCTGTTATTTCATTCAGCAGTGTTTCGTAGTTCTTGGAGAGCTCCGTCACCTCCATGATTGGATGTACTCCTTGGTATTTTATATATTTTTGTGGCTTTTGTAAATGGGATTATATTCTTGGTTTGACTCTCAGCTTGAATGTTATTGGTGTAGAAATCCTACAGATTTTTTACATTGATTTTGTATGCTGACACTTTACTGAAGTTGTTTATCAGGTTTTTGGTGGAGTCTTTTGGGTTTTCTAGGTATATAATCATATTGTCAGTAAAGAGAGATAATTTGACTTATTTTCCTATTTGGATCCCTTTAATTTATTTCTCTTACCTGATTGCTCTGTCTAGGACTTTCTGTGCTATGTTGAAGAGGAGTAGGAATCCTTGTCTGGTTCCTATTCCTATTCTTTTTTTTTTTTTTTTTTTTTTTTTGAGACTGTGTCTCACTGCCCAGGCTGGAATGCAGTGGCTTGATCTTGGCTCACTGTAATCTCTGCCTCCCAGGCTAAGTGATCTTCCCACCTCAACCTTCCAAGTAGAATGGAACCACAGGCACAATGCCCAGCTAATTTTTGCATTTTTTGTAGAGATGGGGTTTTACCATGTCACTAAGTCTGATAGTTCCTATTCTTAAAGAGGATGCTTCCAACTTTTGCCCATTCAGTATGATGTTGGCAATGGGTTTATCACAGATGGTGCTAATTATTTTGAGATACATTCTTTCAATGCCTAGTTTGTTGAGAGTTTTTATCGTGAAAGGATGTTAGATTTTATTTAAAGCTTTCTCTGCATCTATTGAGATGATTGTATGGTTGTTGCTTTTATTTCCATTTGTGTGGTTGATCACATTCATTGATTTGCATATGTTGAACTGACCTTGCATCCCAGGAATGAAGCCTACGTGATCGTGACAAATTAACTTTTTGATGTGCTACTGGATTTGGTTTGCTAGCATTTTGTTGAGAATTTTTTTGTGTCTATGTTTATTAGGGGTACTGACCTGTGGTTTTATTTTTTCATTGTGTCTTTGCCAGGTTTTGGTACTATGGCGAGGCTGGCTTTATAGAATCAGTTAGGGAGAAGTCCCTCCTCCTCGATTTTTTAAATGGTTTCAGTAGAATTGGTACCAGCTCTTCTCTGTACCTATGGTAGAATTCAGCTGTGAGTCTGTCTGGTCCAGGACTTTTGGGGAGTTGGTAGGTTTTTTATGACTGATTCCATTTCAGAACTCAATATTGGTTTGTTCAAGGTATCACATTTGTCCTGATTCAATCTTGAGAAGTTGTGTGTTTCTAAGAATTTAACCATTTTCTGTATACTTTTTAGTTTGTGTGAATAGAGTACCCACTCAACATTGGAACACCCAGATTCACAAAACAAGTACTTCTAGGCCTACAAAAAGACTTAGATAGTCACACAATAATAGTGGGAGACTTCAACATCCCACTGACAGTGTTAGATAGACCATCAAGACAGAAAGCTAACAAGAAAATTCTGGACTTAAATTTAACACTTCATCAATTGGATATCTACAGAATATTCCATCCATCAACCATGGAATAAACATTCTTCTCATCTACACATGAAACATACCCTAAAATTGACCACATGCTCAGCCATAAAGTAAGTCTCAATAAATTTAAAAAAAATCATACCAATCATACTCTTGGACCATAGTAGAATAAAAATAGAAATCAATACCAAAATACTACACCATTATATGGAAATTAAACAACTTGCTCCTGAATACTTTTGGGGAAACAATAAAATTAAGGCAGAAACAACAAAAATTCTTTGGAATAAATGAAAACAGAGACATGTCATCCCAAAATTTCTAGGATGTAGCAAAAGCAATGGTAAGAGGAAAGCTTATCACACTAAACACCTACATCAAAATTTAGAAAAATCTCAAATTAACATTCTAACATCATACCTAGAGGAACCAGAACAACAAGGACAAACTAACCCCAATGCTAGCAGAAGAAAATAAGTAACTAAAATCAAAGTACAACTGAACAGTATTGAGACACAAAAATCCATATAATTAATAAAATCAAAAGTTGGTTCTTTAAAAGGATAAACATGTTTGATAGACTGGTAACTAGATGAAGAAGGAAAAAAAAGAGAGGATCCAAATAAGCACAATCAGAAATGAACAAGATGACATTACAACCAATCCCACAGAAATACAAAAGATTCTCAGAGACTATTATGAACATCTCTATGCAAACAAACTAAAAAATCTAGATGAAATGGAGACTTCCTTCTTTATGTAAGAAAAGGTTACAAATAGAATGGGAATAAATGAAATATTCTTAGTATATTAATATGAGAGAATAATTTAGGGAATCTAGGGAAGAGAGTGAAAAAATGCTAAATCATTTGACCTATGCCACACCTTTGAGATGTTGACCCACAGTGGGTTTTTCTAGACCTTCTGAAGAAGGCTATGTAAATTATTTTTCTAGAATTAAAAGGAAATACACGTCATGATGACAATGACAAAGCTGGGAACCAGTGAAAGTACATGGAATTTGGATTTGGGTTAGGGGAATGGAAATGACTTGGACAGACTGGCATGGGCCTTCAGAAGCAGTTGATTTTTCTCAGGCATATCCACAGACCATGCCCCACACCTCGTGCTTCACACTGAGATAAAAACTACTATGAAGGAATATCTATAAATATCTTTGCTAACAGAAAACTCAAGACTTGGGAAAGTAAGGTTTCATTTTTTTATTCAAACTGAAAGCTTGAGTTTGGGATGAGAAAAGAGTAAGAGAAATGAATGATTATGAGATTATGCAGTGTGATTCGTATTTCTGAAACTGTTTGATATCAAAAACATAAATTTTTTAGTTGGGACAAACACTCATCTTTTGAGAACTAGAAGACTCAATATGTTTGCCCACAAATTCACAACTTTGATCGGAAAGGCTTTAAATAGGAAATGAAAGTGGTAAAATAAAAATGTTTGGTTAAAACAATGAAAATAGAATGGTTACTTTGGAGGACATGAGATACTGGAAGAAGACTCACAATGGAAAAGATACCCAGTAATTTATAGGAGAAAACTATTTGTAAAGAGGAGGCAGATATAAGAGTTATGATGTAAGTTATCTATCCTCCAAAGCACCATGGTTCATAAATTTAAGAACTAACACAAGGAAGTAAATGGAATTTTATTTATTGAATGCTAACTATGTGCTAAGCCCTGTGTTACAGAGACAAAATACAGTGCCTGAGAACCTCAGTCCCTAAGACCCACAGTCTAGTGAATGACGCAGATTATAGGGCTTACAATTAAAGTATAGTATTTTAAATACTGGTAAAGATTCATATGGATTTCTATGTGTAGTAGTCTGTTCTCATGATGCTAATAAAAACATACCCGAGACTGGGTAATTTATAAAGGAAAGAGTTTAATTGACTCACAGTTCCACATGACTGGGGAGGTCTCACAATCATGATGGAGGACAAAGGAGAAGCAAGACACATCTTACATGGCAGCAAGAAAGAGCATGTGCAGGGAAACTCCCCTTTATAAAACCATCAGATCTCATGAGACTTATTCACTATCATGGGAACAGCATGGGAAAGACCCACCTCCATGATTCAATTACCTCCCACTGGGTCCCTCCCATGAGACATGAGAATTATGGGAGCTACAATTCAAGGTGAGATTTGGGTGGGGACACAGCCAAACAATATCACTATAAAATCTGAGATGAGGGACATCTAACGCACACCAGACAGTCATGAAAAAACTAAAAGTAAGTAGACCTTGAAGAGTCCTAAAATGCAGCAGAAAGTCCAAGGATGTTCTAGGAAAATAAGAAAAATACTGTATTTCTCAAATTTGATAAGATAAATTTCCAACTAGATTTAAGAGATAAAAATTTATATGCCAGTGAAAAGAAATCAAGATTGAAGACAGAGCAGTGATATGGGTACAAAAATTGAAAAAGACAAAAGGAGAGAGAAAGAGACATGAGACTTATTCAGGTCATGTACTATAGGCTATTTGGCCAGTTGGGGAATATGAATATCGCATTCCTGATACATTTTAAAGGCAAACAGGAAATGAAAACTCAAATTTACTGAACATCACTATGGAGCTACAAGACTATGCTAAACAAATTCACATATACTGCCTCAAGATATAAAAATTATGGGAAACCTTAAATAGCCAGGCATTCTGTGGAAGTCTATTTGCTAAATTCAGTGCATCTCATAAATTCTTAATGTGCCTTGATAAAAGTCCCTGTTTGAGAAGTTAGAAGAAAAAAATAAAGATATCTAATCTCTGAACCCAATTCTGATCAACAACAACAACAAAAATAGTTAAAGAAAAATGGTAGGCCGGGCGCTGTGGCTCACGCCTGTAATCCCAGCACTTTGGGAGGCCGAGGCAGGTGGATGACGAGGTTAGGAGATCGAGACCATCCTGGCTAACACGGTGAAACCCAGTCTCTACTAAAAGTACAGAAAAATTAGCTGGGCGTGGTGGCAGGAGCCTGTAGTCCCAGCTACTCGGGAGGCTGAGGCAGGAGAATGACGTGAACCTGGGAGGCGGAGCTTGCAGCGAGCTGAGATCGCGCAACTGCACTCCAGCCTGGGCGACGGAGCGAGACTCCGTCTCAGAAAAAAAGAAAAGAAAAAGAAAAGAAAAAATGGCACAAACCTTGGGAAAAATTCAAAATGTTGCCTTAGATCTTGCTATAGTCAGGAACAGAAATGCTAAATGTAGTCAGACTTGTATTCTAAATATAGTTAGATTTGTTATTGGACATTACTTTCTGAACTTTTCAAGTATAGGGACTTCTTTTAAATGTCAAACATGTTTCATAGACTTTTACACGGTAATTATATCAGTTAATTAAAAATATACATAAAGGCTATGGATGGGCAGGGGTATTGAATAAACACAGCTACGATAAAAGCACATGTGATTTTTAGAATCTGCTTGAAATTTTTATCCAAAAAAACTACAAATGCAGAATAATATAAAATCAGCCTAGCAGAGTATTTCTTATTTAAAAAATATCATCTATTAAATTTATTTTAATATATTCCCAGTACAATTTCACCAGCATTATTTTTACAAGGGATTAACAAAGTGATATAACTAATGCACTTTTATGAAAGTCACTCTTAAAAGATGGGATGCCTGTTTTTGCCAGTAAGAAGTGGACAATTTCTCAGTTTGGGGATGTGCATTACATCTTTAAGGCTAGCCTGGGGTCATTTAATAAATTATCTTTCCAAGCACTAAATAGCTGCTAGCTTCAAAGAGTTAGTGAACCCCTTAAAAAGCAAATGATTTATTTCTTTCTCGCCATTAGGGTCAAGCCAGACTATTCATTAATCCTCTTCCCATTCAAGTGAGGCATTAAAGAAACTCATATTATAATCTCAACTACATAGCTAGGACATTAAGTCCAGAAGGGCTTACTGACTGCAGAAGGCCACGAAAAGTTATGTGGAGGGCTGTGACAGGAACTCATTAGCTTCTGAGTCCTGTGCTAAGTCCACAGAGCAATCAAGTTGATGTGCTATAGCTTGGCCTCAATAAATGAAAATGTGCTCATGTAAATAAGCACAGCCCACGTAAAAAATAAAAGCGTTGAGATACGGATTTCTCCCTAAATATATAATCTACTTTAAGGAATTATTTTATAAATGAAAAATAAAAATTGACTCAAAATTTATTTACAAGCAGATTTTCAACATCTAAGATGACTGACTGCAGTTCAATAAAGAGTACTAAAACCAGAAATCCCTTTCATGTAATATTAAAAGAATCAAGTTTACTCCGAGCCGAAGGCCCAAAAGATGGCAGTCTGCATCTGGGTTTAGACTAAGCAAAATTAATCCCATTTTAACTAGAATGACTGACTATGCCTTCACCTCTGTAGATTACTTTCTTGAGTTTTTTTTAGCATTTTCTGAATCCAATTTTTAGTTAGTGTCTGAAGTTGATTTAGATAAGCATATTAACAGCTGAAACTTTTATCCAACAATCATTCAACAATGATTTGGTGTCAGACACAGTGTATTGATGTTAAAGTATGTGAGCAAAACAAACAAGTTCCTACTCTCATGAAGCTAATGAGAGAGACAACATAATATGCACACAAGTAGATATTGGATGTAGTACTATGAAGCGTAGTGATCATAAGAGTATATTGGAGGTAATACACGTAGTACCCATTGTAATGGAGTAGGAGTAGAGGAGAAGGCAGTTGGTAAGATTCTCCTGAGGAAGGCTGATGCAGAGCTAACTAGCCAAAGAGGGATGGGAAAGAAATAGCTATGGAATCATATCCCATATTTACATTTCCCACAGATATTTTATGCCATGAGTTTCACTTTGTTGTGTGTTTGCTAACCATGCCTACTTCATTATTATTACTAATTTACTTGGGCTGATCATAGTATTCGGGACTTTTTCATCCATTATCTTAATTCTATTTGATTCTCACAATGACTCTATCAATTAAGAAGGATGATACTGTTAGGTTCATTTCACATATGAGAACCTTGAGCCTGAGATAAAATACTTGCTCAATGTCATATGGTTAGTAAATAGCAAATCCAGAATTGGAAGTCAAATCTTCTGTCCAGTGCAACTGAAGAGAGACTTGAATCTCAACTACACAGACAAGATTAAACAGAAGGGATAAGTCCAATAGTGGCTTATACAGACAGCCAACATTTATAATTGAGGCAAAGCTCATGTGGAGTCTGAATTAAATGAACTGGCATAACACATTCCACAAATCCACTTGCCGGTATACACTATTTTAATGGAGGAATCATGTTTATTACAATGCAGTCACTTGGCTTCTCAAATTCATAGTTAGATATTTTATTCATAGAGTTTAAAATCTGAGCATTTGTAAAGTGCAGCTTTGTCCATAGCTTTACCAATTGGTACTAGATAATTGGATGGAATAAACTGCCCTATAACATAAAAGCTTAAGAACAAAACCAGCTTGATTTGTAGAATATATCAGAGGGCTAATACTAAATTTGAAGCTTATCTCAAATGGAAGATACAAACAAAAATATGTTTTTCTTTTTTACATCTAAAACAACTCTAGTTAGATTTAAATTCCTAGTTAAACTTGCCAGCCACTCACTTGGAAATGAATGCTATGCACCAATCTTGATTGGTACACAGCTAGAGGTAGACAAGGAGTTCCAATCCAACATACAAAAGGGAGCCTTTGAAGAGAAAATTATACTTTTCCTATTGGCTCTTCTCTTCATTGTATGATGAGTATATTGAATCTTATTCTAATTTTAAATCAATGCTATATAAAGGACTGCCATATTATCATTGTCTATTTGAATTACAGCTCTGTTGCACAGCCTGGAGTGCAGTGGCACAATCATAGTTCACTGCAGCCTTGAACTACTGGGCTCAAGCAATCCTCCTGCCTCAGCCTCCCAAGTAGCTAGTAGTACAGGCATCACACCTGGCTACCACAGCTGGCTAATTTAAAAAAAATTTTTTTTTGTAGAGCTGGAGTCTCTCTATAGTGCCCAGGTTTGTCCTGAACTCTTGGCCTCAAGCAATTCGCCCTCTTCATCCTCCGAAAGCACTGGCGTTACTGGAGTGGGCCATGAGCACCCAGTCCCCTTGTCACTATTAATATAAAAAAGAACTCTGTACTGGTTGGCTCTTGTTTAATGTCTCTTCTTCACATTTGTTTGAACCAAAAATTATGAGCTAAGACTTGATAGCTGTATACTTTAAATCCACCTTCTGAGCCTCTCAAAGCTGATCTATATTCTTATATACTTATCTTTCAGCCAACATTTGTCTGTCACACCAAAATTCTGAGAGTGACAACAATTTGTAAAAATGTGTTACATTTCCAGATGAGTCAGTGCGGTCATCATGTGAAGTACTCAGATACTCTACAGGCCCCAAAGGAAATGCTAACATGGCATCCAAGTGAAAAACAGAGACATAACAGACACTGAATGGGCATGATTCATTTCTTTTTGGACTCCTTCCCTCTAATCTGAGAATCTCTCTTTCACCAAAATAAATTTTATTTGGAACACATTATTTGGTACTTCATTAAGTAATTAGTGTCTTTAAACACACATCATAGGAAAACACATGGGTTGCACCAGCTAAGCAGTTCATTTTAGACTATGCAAAGGCAACAACAGACTTTTGATTTAAATATTAAATTATGAATAAAAGTGAATTGTTAGAGTCAAAAGAACTACACTGATCTATAAGTACAAACCCAGACCATATTTCCAGTACAATTTTGGGGTACCTGTTAAGACTGAAAAGAAAATATGATGTTTTGCTACAGAAACTGTAATTTTATCTTCTCTGAGTATCTGTCTTTCAGGTACATGGACCCTATGGATGGAGATCAACTGATAAAATAGACATAAATAAAATCAGAAAAGGTTTTTTAATCCAAGTAATTTTATTGAACTATATTAGGATCTCATAGTTAGACTGTATGCACAATACATCTCGGCAATATTAATTGCAGCATAACTTGAAAACCACAGTATTAATGCAGTTCAGCTTATCATTCTCTTACTCTTCACTTTTTGTGTGTTGTTTCACTATTTTCTCCGTTTTTGGTTATTGTAAATGTTTATTTTATTGTAAATTGACAACTTATAATTGTATAAATTTATGGGGTACAAATGATGTTATTATTTATGAATGTCATGTGGAATAACTAAATCAAGCTAGCTAACATATTCATCACGTCAAATACTTAATGTTTTTGTGGTAAGAACATTTGAACTTTACTCTTAGCAATTTTGAAATATACAATATTCTATTATCAACTATATTCACAATGCTGCATGATAGATGTCAAAAAAAAAAGCAAGCATATTTCTCTTGTCTGAAATTTTGTACCTTTAACCATTATCTTCCCATTCCCCACACACCTCAGCCTCTGTAACCACCATTCTACCTTCCGCTTCTGTTAGTTCAACTGTTTTAGATTCCACATGTAGGTAAGAATGTGAGATATTTTTCTTTCTGTGCCTGACTTATTTCACTCAGCACGATGTTCTCCAATTCCATCAATGTTGTTGCAGATGACAGAATTTCTATCTTCTTTAAGGCTGAACACTTATTTCATTTTTTTAATCCATTCATCTGTTGATGGACATTTAGTCTGATTCCATAACTGGTCATTGTCAGTAATTCTGCAATGAACGTGGGAGTGCAGACATCTCTTCAACAAACTGATTTCAAATATTGGGGGTTCATACCCAGAGATAGGATTGCTGGATCATATGGTAGTTCTATTTTTAGCTTGCTGAAGAACCTCTATAGAATTTTATATAATGGCTTTACATTCCCATCACAGTGTACAAGGGTTTTTTTTTTTCCCCATCCTTGCCAACACTGCTATCTTTTGTGTTTTTGATAACAGCCATTCTGACAGGTGTGAGATAATATATCATTGTGGTTTTAATTTGCTTTTCTCTAGTGATTAGCAATGTCGAGTATTAAAAAAACTTTTTAAATAATTGAAAGGGGCTTAAGAAATTATTCAGTTCAGTTTTCCAATTATAATAGAGCCACTATAAAAAATTCTTGGTTATTTCAAAAATCGTATATCAATCTGAAATCATCTATCTTTGCAGAAATACCATTCTTTCTAGATTTAAGATGTGAGTTTCCAAATTCCTTATCTAAAGCCTGAGTTCCCATAGATAATAAACACAGGCCGGGCGCGGTGGCTCACGCCTGTAATCCCAGCACTTTGGGAGGCCCAGGCGGGTGGATCACGAGGTCAGGAGATAGAGACCATCCTGGCTAACAAGGTGAAACCCTGTCTCTACTAAAAATACAAAAAATTAGCCGGGCGTGGTGGTGGCGGGCGCCTGTAGTCCCAGCTACTCAGGAGGCTGAGGCAGGAGAATGGCGTGAACCTGGGAGGCGGAGCTTGCAGTGAGCGGAGATCGCACCACTGCACTCCAGCCTGGGGGACAGAGCAAGATTCCGTCTTACTAAAAAAAATTAAAAATAAAAAAAATAAGCTACACTCAGACTGTGGATTACATGAGGTCAAGGTTTAAGACTTTGTTCATTTATATTAAGGGAATAAATAAATGAACTGATGGGAGAATGAATCTAAGTTCTATGTTAGATTATGACCAGGGTAGGCACCGTGCATGCTGATTCACCTACAGGTTCCCAGCATCCAGCACAATGCATGGCACACAGTCGCCCAACAAGTTTTGTCAAATAAGCTCTTTGACCATCTCTTCCTGCAAGCTGGGGTAAGAACTTTTAAATAACGATTTTTTGTCATATGGTGTATTTAAATTTTAAAATCTATCATTTAAAATCTATTTCAAAGTGGCTCTTAGCTGCTGCATCCTAGAGTATCTCCCATTATAAGTCTCTAAAATTATCAATTCTGTTCATGGGAAGAATTGCATGTGGCTCTCTAAATAATCATACTTCTATAACTAGCCTATTTTTAGAGGTCTTCCTTCAAAACAATGATGAATCTCTGGACTTAAGGTAGGGAACTTCTTAATAGGAGCAATATGTTGAGAAATTTCCTCTTCAGTTTGTCCTTCTTTAAAGTGAATCTACATTTGGAGCTGTTGTTTCATCAAGGATCAATAGCTGCTCTGTTCATTTCAATGTTTTCTTTCAGTCTCAATCCTTTTCTTTTAATTTGTCTGCCCTTTCCGAGACTATATAGAATGTGTGAGACGCTCCTGCACAAATTCAGGATCACAAATGAGGAGAGCTAAGGTGAAACACATATTAAATAAACACACAGTGAGAGGGAGGGAGAGAGAGAGAAAGAGAGGCAGCAGAGAACACCAAGGCACAATAGATTGAAAAGGGGGACAGCTATACCACTGAATTTAAAAAAAGACCTTGTGACCCAAAAAAAGTCAGTGACAAAAAAAAACTTTATGACCTAAAAAAAAGGAGTGGAGGTGGATCAAACAGCCCCAAAAAAACAAAAGCGGGAAAGCAAAAGGCGGGAAGAAAATGGCAAAACACAAAGGGTAGGAGAAAAGCAAGAGGCCGACAAGAGAGGATTTATGTTTGGATGTCTTTGACCCCGGGGGAGACAGCTGACAATAAGATCTGACTGCATGCAACAGGAAGGATTTCACATAAATAGAGGACATGTCATGCAAAAAGCAGAAGAAGCAAAAGGCTTGAAAAAGAAAAGTAGAAAGCAAATAAACTCATAAACATCAAAGAAAAAATATTTCTTGAACATCAACGATTCTATCATCAGCATCTCTAAGAGTTTTCAACAGTAACTTTCCTGTCCCTGTCTTATTGACAATCTCTCCAGGCTCTTCTGAGAATAGTTAGAAAGTGCTTTGGAGGCCAGAGAGGGCCAAGAAATCCCCTCAGAGCTCTTTTTGGCCATCCTTTCTACTGGATTTCTCTGAGATTTCCCAAATGTCTTAAGTCAATGGCAGTGAGAGTAGTTATTAAACAAGGAATGCTGTGAACACCTTTATCTTCAGAAGCCATAAATCTTAGGTCCTGATTCTAGAGGGATCTTAAAGCTACATATATATTCGAAGGAATTAATTGGCAAATATTGGCCATAAGTTCATTTGCTTCCACATGTAAGCTTTTTTCTACTTTAAACCTCAGGATGAATGTCATTTATGAGCAGTTTAAATTCGAGGAAATATTCAAATTTCCAATAAACTTGGTATATCCATCCAGCAGAAAATTATGAAGTCATTAAAAATAGCAGTCTCAAAGAACTAATAAATGAGAGAATATTCATGATATAGTTTTAAGAATACAGTTCCAATTATTTATAATACATATAAATAGGCATATATTGAATAATTTCTTTAGAGAAAATTAAATTAAGTCCCCATTGTATACTACGAGCAGTCTGTATTTATCATTTGTAGCACTCGCTGTGATGGTTATTACTTATTTCCTCAATAACCCGTAAGCTGTTTGTCTTGTGTATCTGGCATGCCCAGTGCCCAGCACTGTAGTTGATCCATACTGAGTACTCAATAGATGTTGCTAAGCAAATTAATGAGAGAAATAAACAAATAAATAGAAAAAAATCTGAAAAGCAACATACGATATAATTAAACTTGTTTTCTTTGGAGTAATGTCATTAGAAGTCGTTTTAATTTTCTTCTTTGAACATTCTATCTGTTAAAAACTTCTAAAATTAGAATAACTTCCATAATCACAAAAAGTTATTAGTAAAAGAATCCAGTCCCAAAGAGCACATATTGTATGATTCCATACATGTGAGATGTCCAGACTAGGAAAATCAACAGAGAGAGTCAGATTAGTAGTTGCCTAGGGCTGGGGGCTGGGTGTGACAGGGACAGGGAGTGAATGCTAACGAGATTTCTTGTTGGCATGACAAAAATGTCCTAAAATTAAATGCTGGTGATGGTTTCACAACTCTGTATATACATTCAAAAGCACTGAACTGCATACTTTAAATGGGAGAATTTTGTGAAATGTAAATTATATCTCAATAAAGCCGTTTAGAATACTTTAAAGTTATTAGTAAAAATAAATCATTACTAGCTCTTATTTTTTCATTTGAACCCACAAACAGGGCTTTGGTGTTATAACTCTGAATATCTCTCTAAAAATTAACTTTTTCATCCTAATTTCTCAACAAAGGGCAATAGACAAGTTTCGCACAAAGTGTGAGCGCTTTCAGGAGAGATATTTCTTAGTTGATAAGGTAGGTTACCTTAAGATGAATTTTTCTGGGCTTAAAACATTATTGGCGAGGTGTGGTGGCTCACGCCTGTAATCCCAACACTTTGAGAGGCTGAGGAGGGAAAATAACTTGAGATCAGGAGTTCGAGACCACCCTGGCCAACATGGCAAAACCTCGTCTCTGCTAAAAATGCAAAAATTAGCCGGGCATGGCGGCACATGCCTGTAATCCCAGCGACTTGGGAGGCTGAGGCAGGAGAATTGCTTGAACCCGGGAAGCAGAGGTTGCAGTGAGCCAAGATCACACCCCTGCACTCCAGCCTGGGCAACAGAGCTAGACTCCGTCTCAAAAAAAAAAAAATTATTATTTGCATCATGCACACACATATACACACAATTCTCAATAACAAAACACAGGAAACCTATTATGTTTGAAAAATATGCAATATTCCACAAATAATAGCTCAGCAGACTAAAGCCATTACTACCTTTCTTCCTTTAGTGAACATCTCTATCATCTCCTAAAGAATATATCTTATCATTTAACAACAACTCTCTAACAACTTTGCTCTGAGTCAACTAAATTCCTCATAATGTCTTTCACAAGAGGGAGGTAGGGTTGTCTCTTAGAAAGTAAGACATCTCTTTGGATTGCTGAAAGCAAGCTCCTTGGCCAATGGCCATTTCCCTTTAGAGTTTACAGTGTGGAATAATCTTGAGACAGCTGATGTAGGACCAGCTCAATCATGGAGAAAAGTGGTCGGGACTGAAATGGCATAGTCACTGAAATCATAAAGGTCATTTTTTAAAAACATACCATGATGGAGACAGAAACCCATTTTTATCACACTCTGAACTGACTTTAAGTTTCAATCTCTTAAGCAAAGGCTGTCTTTGTTTTTGTCATCACACAATGTCCTATAAATTGTGAGCACTAGGTTAAATGATTATATTTTAAGGGATAATAATATAATATTGTTATGATGAAACACTCTTGAAATTGGAGTGGCATGCCCAGAGTGATGTTGCAATCCAGCTACCTGAGAGACAGAGGTGGGAGGATTGCTTGAGCCCAGGAGTTCAAGACCAGCCTGGGCAACATAGTTAAACCATGTCTCTAAAAATTGTTTTTAAATTGGGATGGGCAGGCCAATCCCAAACTCACTTAAACATACCCAATTTAAGAAGACTTTTAAACTTCAAATTTTGAAATTGTTCTTTGACAATTATGCATGCTAATAATGGGCTTCCCTATTACCTAAAGCCAAATAAATGGATGAATGGGGGCATGAACAGAAGGATGGACAGACAGTAGATATAGATGAAAGAATAGACAGGGATAATTGAAAGAAAGAATGAGAAAGAGGAGGGGAAAGGTGGGTAAGAAGGGAGGAAAGGAGGGAGACAATGAGAATTTCAACTGGGAATGATAAACTATAAGAAGTCAGTTTAGAAGAAATAATAATTTTGGTCTGAAAGACTCGCAAAATGAAGTAGAATTAAGAGGCATAAGTTAAAATAGCATCATGATAGCTAAAGAAAATCATTTCCACCACTTTAGAGTATGCTTGTAAGAAAATAGAGTACAGTGGGGCAGTGGGCAGGGGGAGATTGTACTGTTTTTAACAATACACTATTTTTCAATTATCCATAATTTACTGAAAAATAAATTCCAACTCTGTCCTATTTTAGACAACACTGTCATATGTTCAAGTTTGCTTTGACAGGGAGAAAGGTCAAGGGTTTTTTTTAAATATGACTCAGCAATATATTCCTGAGGTCAGTTGTCCTGACACAGGGTAGCAGGGGTTGAAACACAGTAACACTTAACTCGTTAACAGAAAAGCTCTCATAAGCTCAAAATGGGATGTACATACAGCAATAAACTCTGTTCAACCTTACACAAGGACACAAAAGTGAAAAACAAAAACAGGGGTAGCATTCAAATTTCAAACAGCATAGTGGGCCCACTGAAATATCACATTGAAGTTGAGGGAAGTCAACCACATGATCATACTTTTAAATACTATTCACAGATGGACTAGTTTAAAATGCAGTCAAAACAAGAAAAAGTCTAAAAGCAGGGAAATAGTGTAACGTCTGGGACGACATAAGCATTGGGATGAAGTGCAGACAGCACAGAGGTAGGCGTCAAGGATCTTCTGTCATTCTTAATTCTATAAAAAAAATCACAACTTCTTCAGGTTTCATTTTCTCTTCTGAAATGTGAATATCTGTCTGACTTGCCTCTTGAGATCATTTTATAGTGATTAAAGAGCTAATATTTGTGAAAACAGTTTAAAAACCATAGAGTACTACAAAACATAAAGGAGAATTTGAATTTAAAAACAGGTTAAGATAATGGAGGCTCCCAGTGTCATCTGGTCCCAGGCTGATGCTTGACAGGTAAAACTGGAATTTGCTGCCCCAAACTATAGTAATTCTCCGGAATTTTTTGCTTTGCTTGTGCAGAGAAAAGGAATACACCAAAAAGGTAGAAGCTCAAATATAGGAGGTGCTGCCGTACTGCTGTGGTCTGAGTGAATAGGTGCCCCTTTAAGTTACAAATGTCACTTGCCTACATCCTGGACTCCTCCACATTCTAATGAGAGTATTGGGACAGACATCACATGAGGCTTAATCTGGAAGAACTAGAAAAAAAACAATGCACGCAGTGTACAAGTCATCAGGGGCCCTCGTTTAGCCAGCAGCATCCTTTTCTGGTCTTTGGGTTTCACAAAATAATAGAGGAAAAAGACATACTCTGAAGAAATCCCAAAACAGGAAGAGAAGGAGCAGGAGGAGAGGAAGCACAACACTCACAGTGCCCAGGAAAGTGGTGATGGTGAAGAAGTTGTTTAAAAGAGCTCAGATATCTCCCCTGCAAAAGCAACTGCCTGAGGAGTCTACAGCAGGTGAATAGTTTTCAAGGTCTTTTAATTTGGATAAAATGACCAAAGAGGAGGAGGATGCTTGTGACTTTAGTACAAACGACATGTAACAGAACCTGGTTTCTTAATGTTTTGAGCAAACTGCTGGAGTGTTCTATGTGTATAATGCACCAGTGTGTTATGGCATGACGTAAACTGTATAAATTTTGTAAATATGTATCATAATATATTCATGAAAACAATCAGGACTTTTTTTTAAAAAAAAAAAAAGAATAAGTTAAGAATAATTGAGAAATCCCTGTATTTGGGATCCAGGTCACTTTTTTCTTTCCTGGTGTAATGTTTTCAAGGGGAAAAGTGATTCAGACATCTTATCTCTCTGCTTTTCCTTTCAAGAGTCTGCCCTGCCAGATTCTTTTTCCCACCCCCTCATCTCTCAGGCATCAACTGGCAGTGCTGGTGGATTAACTCCAGCACAAGAATGTGTGAAAGTTGCTCTTCCCAGTCTGGTCCTCTCCCGACTCTTTAGTCATATGCATAATGGCTTAGAACCTGTCCCCAAACAACCTTGAACTAAACTAGATATGCAGCGCTCTACTTCTGGAGCTTGAAGGACTTTCTTATTATGAACGAACAGCTTTTGAAACAGAAGGAAATGAGAGGGACCAACATTTCTTTCTGTGACTTAAATTGTACTTGCTTCATTTTGGGATGCCTTGGAGTCTGTTCACATCCTGTTCTTTTCTTCTAAGTGTGAGTTCTCAACATAAGGGAAAGCAGAGAGGGCAGCTCTTGAAGGTAGAAAGAAGGAAAGATACTCTGTCTCACTTCATTTGATTCCCCTTAGAGTTCTGCAAAGACTCATTAGCAGAGGGCTAAGATAACCCTAGTACAAGTGCAGCTAGAAATGAATGCATATTTAGCACCTACTATGTGCCAGGACCTAAGTTGCATGTTTCTATTCATTGATTCTACACAACCATACCCCATTTACAAATGATAAAACATAAGAACTACCATGGTAGTTCCCAAATGATTGCCAAGAACTCACTGAAGAGAAAATGCTTCTTTTCCTACTGCTTGCCTGTTTAGCAATGACTAGTGCATGAGAGTAGTACTTACCTGTGCCCTTCAGGTAGCATGTGGATATGACTCTGGGGACAGACAAGCCTAGTTTTAAATTCCTATTGGGTCACTTTTGTTCATATAATCTTGAGCAAGAAATATCTACCATTTCTGTTATGTTAGATCCCCCAGGCTGGAGTGCAGTTGTGTGATCTCAGCCCACTGCAACCTCCACCTCCCACGTTCAAGCCATTCTCCTGCCTCAGCCTCCCCAGTAGCTGGGATTACAGGCACCTAACACCACGCCCAGCTAATTTTTTTTTTTTTTGTATTTTTAATAGAGATGGAGTTTTGCCATGTTGGCCAGGCCAGTCTTGAACTCCTGACCTCAGTTGATCCACCCGCCTCGGCCTCCCAAAGTGTTGGGATTACAGGCGTGAGCCACCATCCCCAGCCTAAACAATTCTTACAACAAAAACACAACAACTTAAGACAAATAAGCTAGATGTGAAGGATGTTGCTGCTATTATTCCTGCACATTTTCCTAAACCAGTGGTTCACGCTTGAGGCAATTTTGCCCCACAGGGGACATTTGACAATATCTGGAGTTGTTGTTGATTGCTACGCCGGAGAGTGGCAATGCTACTGGCATCTAAGAAACAGAGGCCAAGGTTGCTGCTAAATCATACTACAATGCAGACAGCCCTCTTAAAAACAAAGAATTTTCTGGGCCAAAATATTAATAGTGGCAATGTTGAGAAACCCTTCTCCAAGGGAATAAAGTAGGCAAAGTTGAAATCAGATAAATCTGTTAAGACCAATTGATGACATTCTACTTATTTAACAGAAATACAAGTGACATGGTTTGGCTCTATGTTTCCACCCACATCTCAGGTTGAATTATAATCTGCAGTGTTTGAGAAAGGACCACGTGGGAGGTGATTGGATCCTGGGAACAGATCTCTTCTTTGCTGTTCTCATGATAGTGAGTGAGTTCTCACAAGATCTGGTTGTTTAAAAGTGTGTGGCACTTCCCCCTTAGCTCTCTCTCTTCTGCTGCCATGTGAAGATGTGCTTGCTTCCCCTTCACCCTTACACCATGATTGTAAGTTCCCTGAGGCCTCCCCAGACGTGTCTCCTGTACAGCCTATGGAACTATAAGACAATTAAACCTCTTTTCTTTATAAATTACCCAGTCGCAGGTAGTTCTTTATAGCAGTGTGAGAATGAACTAATACAACATGAGGGTGAATTCACCCTCATGAATGCACCCAAAAATTTTCATAAGAGCAAATAGATTGGAAAATTCAAAACAGCTACTTGTCAATTGTAGATTAAGTGATTACAGGAAAGGTAACCATACAATTTGTTTCCCAAACTTGTATGATATGAGGAGTAAAGGAGGGTATTTTATTAATTTTTCAGGATAATGGTCATATATCAGGATTTCTCTGGGCAAACAAGGTTATATGGTTCCCTGGTTATAAGAGAATGCGAAAATAAAGTATGTCACATTGTTGTTATGGAATGATATGTAGTCAGCAAAAATATTTTAAAGGATATTTAACAACATTGTAAAGTGTTAATAATGTATTTTATATATCCAGCCCTTTATAAGGCTAGATATATTTATGAATCAAATTTTATAATATATATCCTTATCTGTATTGAAAAAAGAATGGAAAGATATAGTACATAGCATTTTTAACATTAGTTCACTGGCTGTTGAAATTACAGCTGATGATTTTGGTTTTTCTCTATATTCAAAATTGCCTATAATTTTTTTAAATTATAAATATATCCTGCTTCTTTAAGAAGAAATGTAATTCAGTCCCAGTTGATGAGGCAAAGTTATTCTTCACAGAACAATGTCAGCTACTAAATATAGAAAAAATGATATAAATTAGAAAAATCACACTTTTTATACCTCCCAATGAAATAATTATTTCAGGCAAAGATCGTCAATGCATTTTAAAATATTTAGGTGAAAGATTGTTGAGATACTCACAAGGTGCTAAGGTATTAACCAACAAGTTAGTTGCTAATTGTAAAGTGAAAAATAAACCTTCACAATGAAGAGATTTGGTGATGACCATACCAACAAAGTGATCAAATTTAACATCATTTTAGTGAAAAACCTGGCATTATATGCCTTCTGTTGTGATGTAACATGAAATAAGAATATCACTTATGGAATATCCTAGCCAAAAATGTTTAATTTAAATCTAATTAAGCCATTAGACCCATTTTAGTTTATAAGAAATCCAAAGAGTATAAGAACAAGGAGAACCACAGCATGCAGAAGAAATCAGACAAATCCAGAATGTGGGACAATACAACTGTCCTGCCATGTCTTCAAAAAGTAAATGCTATAAAAAAGAAATAAAGGGATTTTGAGATTAAAAGACACTAGAGAAATGTAACATGAATACAATCTGTGAACTTTGTTTGAAAAAAAGAGAGAGAATGAGAGAGATAAATGTCATCTTTAGATAATTGGGGAAATTTGAATATAAATTGAATATAAATTGGTTATATTATCATGTGTGTGGGTATAATATGAATATAAAATTGTCTTAGATATGATGATGGCATTGCAGTTATATGAAATATTATGGTAAATATTATGTCTGCAACATATTTTCAAGGTGTTCGGAAAAAAGTTCACATACTTACAAATAGCTATACAAAGTAAATATGGCAAAACATGAATAACCGCTGAACGAAGGTAATGAGTATACAAGCGTTCATATTGTACTATTCTTTCAATCTTTCTGTATATTTAGAAAATGTTTAAAGTTAATGGAAAAATATCCAAAAAGGTACGTTTAATGTAATATATTTGAAGCAGTGTGATTACATTTAAAGCAGCATAATTAGTAGTCCCAGAGTTAACCTTTGTCTTTGTAGGTTACATGGAAATGGTGAACCTACAGCCATTCCCTTATTCTGCACACCACTTCAGGCCAGCTTTTCCAGTTTCACTTCTATGGGTCTCGTCACTTCCTGTGATATATTTCAGTTTCCGTCCCCTCCACCACAGACAGTACCACCTTCTTCTACCTCCTCCATCTTTGAGGGTCCTTATCTCCCCAGGAACAATGGAAATAGAGCACAGAATCAGTAACTAACTTCCTTCTAGTGGCAAAAACAGTTAATGTCAAATTAATTACTCCCAGGTACTCCCCTACTTTTCCCAGGCTACCTCACAGTTAGGTTGGGGTCATGTAACTGGCTCAGAGGGAAAAGGCCGGTTCCAGGCCAAGACAGCTATGAGCTATGCAGCCACTTCCATCTTTGTCTACCCTTATCGCAGAGGCCCTTAGTGTGGCTGCAAAATGAAGGAAGATCCCCCATTCATATTAGACTGTGATATGAACAAGAAATACATGTCTGTTGTGCTAAAGCCACTGAGATTTCAGGGTTTGTCTGTTACAACAGCTAGTCAGAATTTCTTAGTTTCTAAATCTTTCTGAGAGGCTAACAGGAAACCCCTCTACTACTGCATCCAGTTTACCCTTTCTTTGAATATTGCCTTTAATATGCAATTAAGAAAAAACTATTGGTGTTCCCTTAGGAAATTTTATCTCCCACAATTTTCAGAGTAAACAATGCGCATTCTTCCAAATCTCTACTTAACATAACAACAAGCACATTTGACCATTTCCTCAAAAAGAAAAGAAAAAAGGCTGGGTGCGGTGGCTCACACCTGTAATCCCAGCATTTGGGAGGCTGAGGTGGGCGGATCACCTGAGGTCAGGAGTTCGAGACCAGCCTGGGCAACATGGTGAAACTCTGCCTCTACTAAAAATGCAAAAAACTAGCCGGGCATGGTGGCATGCACCTGTAATCCCAGCTACTCAGGAAGCTGAGGCAGGAGAATCGCTTGAAGCTGGGAGGCAGAGGCTGCAGTGAGCCGAGATTGCACCACTGCACTCCAGCCTCGGTGGCAGAGCAAGACACTGTCGCAAAAAAAAAGAAAAAAAAAAGAAAAGAAAAGAAAAAGAAAAGGAAAGAAAAAAAGAGAAGGAAGGAAGGGAGTGAAGGAGGGAGGAAGACAGAGAGAGAGAGAAAAAGTGAGAGAGAAGGAAAGAGAGAGAAAGTTAGAAAGGGAGAAAGGGAGAAAGAGAGAAAGAGAGACAGAAAGGAAGGGAGGGAGGGAGGGAGGAGAGATTGCTTAATAGGTTAGGAAGTTCTTTTGCCAGGACTTCTACATATCCTCCTGTATGGGTCAGATGTGTCACACCCAGACACACAGAAAGCCAAAAAAGCATTAAAATGGGCTACAATTTGGTGACTTGGGAACAAAAACATAAAAACATAATATTTTCTTAGAAAGGATTTCTAAGCCTAAAAATGAATTATTGCCTTGGACAATGACAGCATTAATCCTGGAAGAAAACATATCTGGCTGGCTCTGTATGAGAATTCAGATTTCTTGATTTCTTTACCACCTATTGATTGGCAACATTTCCAATGAACAATTTTACTTATTTCATTTTAAATTGATTTCTCTTTTTAGCAAGACTTTGCTTTTTGAGAGCACTGAGGCAAAAAAAAAAAATCATTTAATTTTACTTTTTGAAATCAATGTCTACAAGACCCTTCCAGTCAATGGATTACCCTTGCTATCCATTAGACACCTTTCTAGGCTGTTCACTGACCTTTTGTATCACATATACGATTGCAGCACTTTTAGTCTTACATGAAATGTTTTTGTCATTTTCCCCCTTTGCTCTTTCTGTCACTTTTAAGTTCTGAACTTCACTCTGTAATTGCTCAGCTTCTCTTTTAAACTTGACATGCATTATGTGTCTTTTGTGCCCTTAATTACATTTTGTACTTTGGGGTTCAACTGTGTTGGTCTTTTCTAATCCTACTATATTGATTGCTATACAACAAGCCTCCTTCCCTCTGGGAACACTATTTATCTTTAAGCTATTTTTTTTCCAGTTCTGAGAACCACTAAATTTCTTTCTACTGCTCTTTCCAGGAAATCTCAGACTATCCTGTTGTGATGCCAAGATCTATTCACTAGAAACATAATTACTTCTCTTTCAACATGAGCTCTCTATAGGCATATTTGAAAAAGAAACCAAAGTGACAAAATGTAGAAAAGATACATGTGTCAAGAACAGACAAGACATTTCAGAATATTCAGGAAGCAAAAAATATATATTTTATAAAATTATGAGAAGGAGAAAAAAAGGATGGTTTCTTAAAGAAATATAATATGGGAAACATTGAGTTAAAGCACAGTATAAACACATGGATTTTACGAAATTAAGAGTATACAACTTTAACGTCTAGTGCACCAAACACAAAAGCACTAGCTGTGAAGAATGTTATCATTTGTCAAATGCAGGCAAACATCTTCTTCTATGAAAACATGTGCGACAGTCTCCTCATTTGTCCCACTCTACCCAGTATTATTTCCCTCCAACTTTCTCCAGAATGCAGCCAGAGTCCTTACCATAAAATGCATCTTTAATCATTTCTCTGCTGGAAAAGCTTTTAATGACTCTCCATTCTAGAATAAAGCCCAAATGCCTATAAAACCCTAACTATCTGGACCCTATTTACTTTTCTTTCTTCATTTCTAGCCACTTCCCTTTCTTCCCAAAAGCTGTATGTTCCAAACAAAATGTTCTTATGGTTTTCCTCTGGACCTTTGTATACACTGGTTTCTCAGAATGCTCTTTCCTGCCCCAACTCCTCTTGGTCTGTCTATTGCTTATTCATCTTTCATGTAAATGCCTCTTCTTACCTGACTCAAGTAAAAATTAAGCAACTCGCTTCTGTGTATTATTATAGTTCATTGTATTTCTCCTATCATAACACATAACTCACTGTTACATTATCTTGTTTACTTACCTGCAACCCACTTTATTCAGCAAGCAATAGGATGGTAATGACAAATATTTATCATTTTTGCCAATATCCCAGCACCCGGCACTGTACCTAGCACCTGATGAAGACTGATAAATGCTTTGTTGGATGGATGTCGTACAAATATTTAGTAACCCAAGGTCTAATTTTAACCTCTGGTTGCAATTCTTGTTGAAAATCTCTCCAAAATAAGAACTGGCAACCCTTAGCATGTGCATTAAAAATGGCTCATTAGCAGGATACCTTTGGGATATGGGACAGTTGATGCCTCTATTATCTCTTTCCTACTAACCATAAGGGCTTGTAGTGATAAAAGATGCCCATCATGTTCAAAATTCAGCAGTTGGGGTTCTCTTAGCACCCACACAGTCCATCTTCACCTGTTTAGAGGTACTCATTTAGCCACCAAAACCTTCCAGGTTCTACTCTACAGAAGAATCAGGGTGGCCCAGTAAATGCCATCTCCCACAATTTTTAGCCTGACAATAGGATGGATTAAGCATTTTAGAAGGAAAAGTACTCCTTCCAAAGGCAGTCAGCCTCTTTCTATTGTGTAATGAATCAGTCTACTTTTCTGTCTTAGTAAATCTAGTACAATAAGAAAAATTGCATCTCTTTGGAATGACTAAGCAGCTTATAAGATCTCAGAGTCCTCATCTTAGAAATAGTATCCTGGGAACTTTAGATTTAGAGATAGAGAAAAGTGGCTCAAAGCTGTACTAATCCCCTCTAGAAGTCTCTGAAATAAAAAACTACTTAATTCAAAATATTCTGCTTGATTTTAAAAACTTCATTCCCTCCTTTTCAAAATTTCTCCTGCAAGGGCAGGAAATTCAACCAGTGGAGGGTACAGTAAAGGGAAACTGTATTGAATCAGATTTGGAATATTTACATATTGAAGTTTATGCTCCAAAGTATCAAATTTAGTGACTCAGGAGAAAACTTCCTTTAAAAATTATGTGAATATCATTAAGTACTACCTTGATTTTGCAAGAAATAACATCTTTTTTTTGAGACGGAGTCTTGCTCTGTGGCCCAGGCTGGAGTGCAAAAGGTAATAAGAAATAAAGAAAGCCTTTGAGCATTTGGAGGAACAAATTCAAAGAAAAATAGTTTTCATTGTTTTTTATTATTATTAACAGAAAAGGGAAAAACATGAAAATTATCTGGCTTACTGCCCAAACTAAGGGCATCACTAAGAAAGTATTTTCACTCCTCTTAATATCAAGAGTATAAAAATTCTGCTACCAAAAATAAAAACAAAGTGAAGCTTCATGTCCAGGAGAGTGGAGGTACAGCAAAATGCTACCCAAACTATTGGTAATTTATTAGTAAGTGTAATTTAAAATCAAATGCTTTTTGAGTTATAGAATGTGGAATAATCAACCTTTCAGGGTTCAAATGGGCCACAGATTTTCAAAAAGGACATCAATAGAAATAAACTGTAGAAAAGCTATTTGGACTGTCCTAAATCTAAAATAGCCCTAGTTCCCAAATATGTCTGTTCATGTGCTTCTTTTTATGCCTGACTACAAATTTGCTGACAGATGTTGTGTCTCTTAATAGTCAAATTTTGATATTTCTTCTTTGTTTACCCACTAATTGCTCTCAGTACTACCTCCCGACTTTACTTTTACCAAAAACTAAACTTGGGTACTTTACGAGTGACCCTGACATTTTCTAGTAGCTCCTTATTTCCTCAGATGCCAAAACCAGCAACTAATTCTTGAATATTTTTTCCATACCTGACAGAGCCTGCAATCCCATCCTATGACTTTCCAAATAAATACAGTTCAGCCATCAAAGTGAGTCAGAAGTAGGTCACATACCTGGACCAGTGATGGAAAGGTTGGGCATTTGAACAGAAAATTAATGAATATTAAAGTGAGGAAGTTTAATGGATATTAAAGTTAGAAAGTGTAAGGTGCTTTCCTGCCCAGAGATTAGAAAACCTGACAAGTCTAGAACTCTAATAACCACAAATGGCCTATTGCAGCTTTATCAAGATGCGCTCCACAGGACAATAACATGGGAAGATGCCCCCCAGATTGCCTTTCATGAGCAATAAATGTAGAAGCAGCTACACAACACAGCTTTTCTCTTGGAGATTCAGAAAGCGCATTAGCATATTAAAAGATTTTTTAAAGCCTGTCCATAAATAGACCTATTTATCTCTGTTTAATCTGATATTTAATCTGCTTTCTGCCAAACATTTTTAAAAATTATTTTTAATTTGTATACATTTATCTTGTAAAATATATTGCCAAACTTTTTTGACCACTGAATACCTATTAAGATCTCAGAGAACTGGTATCCCAAGAAATATGCTTGAGAAAAAGCTGACCTGCTCAGTCATTCATATATGCTGCTGCTTCTTGATCACCTAGGGCTACCCTATAAGGTCAGGCATTGACCATTTGATGTCCTAAAGCTGTGTTTCTTAAACTTCTACATGCATATGAGTCACTGGGGATCTTGTAAAAACATAGATTCTGATTCAGTAGGTCTAAGGTGGGCTCTGAGAGTTGGGGTTTCTAACAAGCCTCCAGTTGATGCCAATGCTGCTGGTCCGTGTCACACTTTGACAAAGCTCTACAGGGACCTGGCAATGGGAAAATATTCATATCTCCAATCTCTTTATCTTACCATCCTTAGTAACAAATCTTCCTAAAATACTGCTTTCATTATGTCACTTTGCTGGTCAAAACTTTCAGTGCTTCCCTCTTCTCTTCCACATTAGTCATTCAATGATAGACATTTATTAAACCTTTATTGTGTGGTAAATAGATTAAGAAAGCCTCTGTCCCTATATACTCAAGAAAGAGGTGGGTAAGAAACAAGGCACAGAATGCTGGGAGCCAAAACAGTAGAGAATAGCTAATTTCAGTAATTTGAACGTGCTACATGACTAGACCAATAATTCCCAAAGTGTGTTGCCCAAACCATCAATGGAAACCATCAGCATCACCTGGAAACTTGTTAGAATGCAAATTCTCAGGGCTCATCCTAGACCTACTTAATCAAAAACTTCAGAAGTGGGGTCTAGAAATCTGAGTTTTAACAAGCTCTCCAGGTGGTTGAAAACCACTGGATTAGACAATCAGTAAGTTTCTCTCCAGCTCTAAAATTCTATCATTTTGACTGCTGATACCTCTTTCAATGATTTTTGTTATCCAGACTTTTATAAACTAAAAGCATACTCTCGGGAATTAACTTCCGGGATTTAAAATCCACCTCTTACACTTAATTGCTGTTTACACTTGCACGTTACTTCAGTTGTCTAATGCTTCAGATTATCATCTATAAAATGAGGGCAATAATAGTTCCTATTTTCATACGGTTGTTCTGAAAATTAAATAAACTATAATAAGTAGCCAACCAGGCAAGATGCCTGGCATGTGGTGCTTCAGATCATAACACAGTCATTACCCTCTTAATAAGGCCTTCTTTGGCCACTCTATCCAAAATTGCCACCCACCCCTACCATTTCCTTGTCCCCTTCCCTGCTTTATTTTTCTCCTTTGCAGTTATTATTCTCTAACATACTACATATTTAAATTGTTGCTTTCTTTACTATCATTTTCCACTAGAATGTAAGAGCTATAAAACTGCCAAAGATTTTTGTCCATTTTGCTAAGAGCTGTATCCCCAGTGTTCAGTATAGAGTTTGGCACATTATAAGCACTCAAAACATATTGGTTGGGGCTGGGTGTGGTGGCTCATGCCTGTAATCCCAGCACTTTGGGAGGCCAAGGTGGGCAGATAGCCTGAGCTCAAGAGTTCGAGACAAGCCTGGGCAACATAGCAAAAACCCATCTCTACCAAAAATACAAATTAATATATATAGGTTGGATGAATAAGTGAATAAATGTTAACTATTATTGATATTTATCTTATTACTAATAATTAGCAATCTAAACTTTCCTTATTGAAACAGTTTCTACTTCTTGTTCATCGCCACAAATTGCACTTATGTCCCATTCCATGCTCTACTCAAATTATGCCCCATTTCTAAGATGCCCTTCTGCCTAAATTCAGCCCATTGTAGACCCTGCTCAAGTTCTGCCTTTTCCTTTAAAGTTCTCTGATGACTGAATGACTCTGATGATTCTGGCTCTATAGCTCTCTGAATGTCTACATTGTTTACTATCTGTGCCATACAATTTAGCACTTAATTATCTTAATCTAGTGTCAGTAGAATGAGTAACTTTTAAGGAATTTACTGAAAGAGTCTGTGTCATTCATGCAATAAATATTCCATGAAAAATTGGAGGAACGAGGCCCCAACGGAAACAATAGAAAACCTTATCATTAATTATCCATGTTGTCCTTAAATAATAAAAATAGCACTTTACATTTTACAAATAACCCATTAAGGCTGTTGGAATCAAAATGGAGTCCCTTATGTTTAAAAAAATATCTGACAAATAGAGCCAGGGAAGGCAACGAAAAGAAGGCTCTCACACTTGTATACCTGATTACAAAACTTATCACAAAAGACTGCAAATACCAAAACCTTGCAGGAAGGCCACTGCACCCTTGTGTCCAACCTCAGACTGACGTTATCCATGTTATTATATGTCTTTGTACCCAAAGATAACCATTTCAATAAAATTATGTAATACTCCTCATTTTTTCTGTAAAAACTCTTTGTCTTCCTTTACCTATCTGAATACACACATAGTTTACTATGCACATTTCCCCATTGCAATACCCTATTCTTGAATATTTTCTTTTAGAGAGCTTCTCTGTGACTTAAGTTGACACACTTTTTAACATATCATCCTAATTTTGATTAGATGATCTCAAAGACTATGTATCCTTGGTCTCAAATTTTCGAAACGTCTTTAGGTAAATTATGAAGAGACCATTTCCTGAACTGTAAAACATAAGAATAAATTGCAAAAGTCATAAAAAAAGCAGATAATTACCCAAGAAGTTGTCAAGTTCAGGGATGGAAAATAAGTGGCTCTTTTGCCCTGAGTCCTCCTGCCAACTGGATCTGCAAAAGGTTTCACCATCATCCCCATGCAGTACTCGAGACAGGCATTATCAATTGATCAGAGCTGGCAGAAAAGGGGACACCTATTTGCCATGCTATCTTACTCTAACCATTCTGCTTTTAAATGTAAAGGAAACAGATATTTAAAATTTTAAAGTGATTTACCTTTTGCAAATCACCTGTTAAAGTCGTCGGAATCAAAATGGAGTCACTTATGTAAAAAAGAAAAAAAAAATAAAGCCGGGCTCCATTTGTCCAGGTACATACATGGTCATACATGGTGACAGAACCAAGACCTAAGCCAGCCTCCTGATTCTGTCCAGGGCTCTCTGCCCCTCCTACTCCATTTCTGAAATTCAGTACCTACATTTTCATTCTAAAGCAATCAAAACATAAGAAGCAAACCTTTGACAGAGAGTTTTCATACTAATGCTCATTAATATAATGCTGAAATGAAAAATGACAGCTTCAAGTCAAGTGACAGACAGGGTTGGTTAGCCTGTTATTTTTCAGTTCAGTTTATTTACCTAAACCTAGAATGTGTCATGACTGGAAATAGACAAAACAGATTATTCTAATTCCACTGTCCTAGAAAAAGAAAAGGAAAATAGTCCTCATTAATAGGAACTGGGCTCAAATCCAGTCCTGAAATAACTTCCATTACTGAATCAACTTTTTAAAGGTGACTTTTCGTTTATTAATGGCAAAGCATTTTAAGCATAGCTTTAATTACTCAGTTTAAATTATAGGCAGACATACAGAATTGGAAAAATAAGAAAAAGAGGTGAGAGAGAGATAAACATCTACTTTAATATAATGACCATTCCCTTACTATGGAAATTATGCCCACATTATAATTTTTCTGGAGCCTCTCTCTGAATCACAGCTTCTAAATATTAAAATCACCTCTATAATGCAGTTGGAATAAAAACTGACTTGTCAAATTGTACCTAGTCAATTGATAATTCTATCTTGATTAACTCTCATTTTTTAGGCTTACTATAATTGAAGCTGCTTTTTTTTTTTTTTTTTTAAAGAAAAATCATCATCTAACACAGAAAATGCTTCTGGCACAATCTGCTTACCTAAGGAAACCAGGATAACAGGCAGTTCTGTTACTTCACAGAGTTAATCCATTTTAGCACCTATGTTACTTAGTTACAAGGTACCAGCAGTTGGTCCTATAGTTTGTCCTTTCGCCCTGAGAAGGTGAGCCTGATACATATTTGAAGGAAGAAGGAGGAAAGCAGCAAGTACACAGAATCACTTCTCAGCACGCACCCTGCCACCACCCTGGGAGAAATGCTGAATCCGCAGCTGAAGTTCAGGGTCTGTGCTGCCCCTCCTCCATGCAAAAGGGCAAGTCAGTTCTAGGGTTCTTCCATCGTGTGGAAACAATGCCAAAGGCCCTCAGAAAAATCCAGCCACAAAGCTGGAGTGATTCTCACCTTAGCCCCCTAAGTTAGCCCAAAGATCACTGGTGTACCATGAATTGGGGTCAAAGCAAGAATGTCACCAAGAGTTCTGGCCATATCCCACCATGCTAGCCTGGGCATGGTACCTTTAGACAAACAGGGTAGCCAGGACAAATTTTGACTTCTAGAAAGTAGACTAGTATTTCCTAAAGAATGGTGCAGGAAACACTGGAGAACTCTACTCTCTAGCCTAGTCATTACAAAAAATCAGAGATGGCTTCCCCTGTATCACATTACTGAATGAGTTTTTCAGGCAATAGATTTAATCATCTGGAAAAGAGTACAAGTACCCCAACTCACTCAGCAGAAACATTTTTAGTAGTTGGCATCTAAGACACCATTCACAATTACTGGAAACCCTATAAAACACTACCACTTTCATAATAAAAACCCAAGGCCAGGAGCGGTGGTCCATGCCTGTAATCTCAACACTTTGGGAGGCGGAGGCGGGAGGATTGTTTGAGCCCAGGAATTTGTGAGCAGCCTGGGCAACATAGCAAGACTTCGTCTCTTGAAAAAAAAAAAAAAAAAATCCTTGAGAAATGGCTATATGCTTGCTAAATCCGAAACAGTAGGTAGAAAATAAGTTTAAGAGTAGAAAGGACTTGATAGGGAATTACAGTTTGGTCACTGCTCAGCTCTGTAACCTTGAGTGAAATTACTTCCTATCTCTCAGTCTAACTTTTCTCTTTTTAAAAATAATCATAATAAAACTAATTTCCCAGCAGAGTCCTGAGGATTACATAAAAAACACGGAAAAAGTGTCTTCATAAAAATGCCTGGCCCGGCCAGACGCGGTGGCTCACGCCTGTAATCCCAGCCCTTTGGGAGGCCGAGGCGGGTGGATCACGAGGTCAGGAGATCGAGACCATCCTGGCTAACACAGTGAAACCCCGTCTCTACTAAAAATACAAAAAAAATTGGCTGGGCATGGTGGCGGGCGCCTGTAGTCCCAGCTACTCCGGAGGCTGAGGTAGGAGAATGGCATGAACCCGGGAAGCGAAGCTTGCAGTGAGCCGAGATCGCGCCACTGCACTCCAGCCTGGGCGACAGAGCAAGACTCCATCTCAAAAAAAAAAAAAAAAGAAAAGAAAAGAAAGAAAAAAAAAGCCTGGCCCATGATAAAAAATAAATAAATAAATAATTATTATTTTCTTCTCCCATTTTCTTTTTACTAGCAAAGAAAATATCTAGGCCGGGCGCGGTGGCTCACGCCTGTAATCCCAGCACTTTGGGAGGCCGAGGCGGGCGGATCACGAGGTCAGGAGATCGAGACCATCCCGGCTAAAACGGTGAAACCCCGTCTCTACTAAAAATACAAAAAATTAGCCGGGCGTAGTGGCGGGCGCCTGTAGTCCCAGCTACTTGGGAGGCTGAGGCAGGAGAATGGCGTGAACCCGGGAGGCGGAGCTTGCAGTGAGCCGAGATCCCGCCACTGCACTCCAGCCTGGGCGACAGAGCGAGACTCCATCTCAAAAAAAAAAAAAAAAAAAAAAAAAAAAATATATATCTATGCCAAATGATTCTGAATATGTATATAGCTTAAAAACTTAAGTAACATGCCAGTGTCTTATCTATGAAACTGTTGTTTGTATTGGTAATTTGAAGCAACTACTATTTATGTATGTAATTATATGTGAAATTTGAATGAATTATAACTCTGGGCAATCATCTAGTTGAACAATTCAAATTGGTACCATAATCTGGATCTCCTTTTCCAGAAATACATTGCAACTTTATTTCTCTTCTAATCAATCTCATTATGATGGAAGAGAAAGAGGGAAAATCTATCCCTCATCAGTTGAATAATAGCAATGTGTTATGGCTTCTTTTCTACTGAGTCCATTTCTTTTGTGTTAGATAACATGTATCTCTCAAAGTATTTTTGCTTATCTGTCTTCTAGAGCCTGCTTATGCATCTTATATTGCAAATATATCATTCTGTTCAGTTTTAGAAGCAAGTATGTACAATTCTGAAAAAGGAGGAGAGAAAGAAATGCATGTTTGATGCATCTAAGAGAACAGGCAGAAACAGCCTATGGCCAAGGACAACAGCAGGCTTGTCCATCTGCCCATCATCAAACTGAACTGTGTCCACTAGTTATCAGCAGGGGGTGGCCAGTGGGCATCACACTAAAATAGAATTTCTGCCATTGGGAATACAAGGTGAGGAGGGAAGAAATTGTTTCAGAATCCATTTCTGCTTTGGCATGATGTATATAAAGAATTGTTGCTTGTTTCTTACACATAAATATAAAACTTCTTTCATTCTTTTTTTTCATTTATTAAACATTTTCTGGATGCGTTTTAGGATCTAGGCACTGTGCTGGCCACTAGGAATATAAAGAATAATTTCTTTCTTTAGCGATTCTGTTTTCTGAGGGGGACAGAGAAGTAAACAAATAATTATAATACAGTAAGATGACAGCTAATATACATACAATGTGCTATTGGAACCCAAAGAAAGAAGTAATTAACTATGCAAAAATATAGCAGGTTTACAAATTTGTGAGGCATCTTTGCAAGAGGCTATGCTAATCTTCTCTGTAATATTCCAGTGTTGATACCAACAGGAATGAGACCACTACAGGAGTGAGACCAACCACAGAAGTAGAATAGAACATCCAAGAATAAACAGATGGATCTTGATGAGTTATGCTTATCTTAGGGTAGGAGAAAAAAGTGTTTATTGTCTTTATCTTCATTTGTTACAGTCTTTTTTATGTGTGTGTATGTTTATGATATAATTTTTAACCTTAGTAATAGCATCTAAATGTCTCAACCTCTGTATTCTATATCAGTATGCTTGAGGGTATGACCACTGGAAAACACAGATATAGATATGATATAAATGTAGATATAGATGCAGATTGTAAAATAGATTTAGATAGCTTCTTGTCTCTGGAAATACTACTTACAATATATTTTTTAAATTTTACAATAAAGCATTGTCTTTTAGGTAATTTCCTAACAGAAAAGTGAAGATAAGGCATAGCATTTATTGGCACTTAGCAAAATTAAGATGTTAATACAAATACAACCTTAGTGTGCTTTTAGACATACTATAAAGGCTTCTTTTCGATTACAGAAATGAAGAAGGAACGAATTGAGGCACTCCAATTTCAGCTAAAGTAGAAAGTGTGGGTAAACTGTCAGCTTACTGTTTAAATGTCTGTTGGCTTTGTTACTAGCACACTAATTTGGAAACAAAATTCACATCGGTTTCCAATAAAATTTATTGTTCCTCTTTGAGGCAATTTTTTGTGCTAATTTACCCAAGTCTCATCTTGGGTGTCCCAGGCATTCCTCTGTGCTGTTCCTGAAACCATACATTGGCCTGGAGCTATTTGAGTAATAATATTGGTGTTCCCCCTCCATGCCCCAGTCACAGGAGCCAGTGG
This sequence comes from Homo sapiens, assembly GCF_000001405.40. Classification (NCBI taxonomy): domain Eukaryota; kingdom Metazoa; phylum Chordata; class Mammalia; order Primates; family Hominidae; genus Homo; species Homo sapiens. The sequence continues at coordinate 75,538,933 of NC_000001.11, forward strand.
CACATTCTGAAAGGTATCCAAGACATTTGCTTGCCCCAGGAGCACCATGGTTTTAAGCATCAGGCTTAGCCAGGGTCTAAGTCTGCTTTGAAGAACCCACTCCAAAGAGTAACAGCTGTCACTTTGCCTGTCTCTGTCCTGGTGGACACCAAAACTTAAATAGTCTATCCCCTGACGAATTCAAGAGAATATAGTCACATTGTTATTATTATCCATCAATTGTACAAGACATAAAAAGTCCTAAACTTACCTCTAATCTCTACTTTAGTCAGATAATTGACTTTTTTCACATATCAAAATTTCATTTGTACCTTACCTACATGTAATGAAAACCACAATGCCTGTGGATATAGCTTAATGTTTTTATTCTTTCCACTTGTCAACTCTGTATAAGTAATTTGAGGTCACTGTTCTCAATGTGTTTCTCTTTTAATAATATCTAGCACAGCTTCACAGGCAACTTTATTTTAAATGAATGTTTTCTATTGATAGTGGTGGTGCTAGAGGTGTTGCCAGCTTTTCTGTTCCACTCCAACAAGTATCCAAGTGTTGTCCTATGAGTGAATAAAGTTTTGCCAAGATCTACGTTATTTTCTATGCCTTTTATTACAAATTTCTAGCCAACATAATTTTTCATTCCCTGCGTATGTAAAAACTGCAAAAAAAAAATGGAATTTAAAAATAAAAAGTAAATGTCCTTACGCAGTAATGGCTCAAGCCTTGAGTAATGGCTCAAGCCCAAGGAATCTGACTCATAAATGCTACGGAGAAAGTCATTCATTAACTTAAGGTCAAAGACATGCAAGCTACTTGACAATAAATGGAGGCCAACAGAAACATTAATTAGTGGAAATGTTTAAAAAGTAGACGTCACTGTGAAAGCAATGGCTTATTTCTGATGATGAAAGGTGTGATATCTCTTCTAGGTTATTTATTAACAATAGCCAATATTCAGAAAAAAAGAGATAAATGAGCAACATAGAAAAGGACTAGGTAACACCCAACTTATGAGCAGCTTCAAAACTCCAAGAGCATGCCAGTTGTATAGTTTTAAGAAAGTATTTTCCCTTACGGTATTGTTAGACATGGTAGAAACACTTTGCTTTCAGCTCACATAAGCCAATCTAAATATAATGTAGTTGAAATATAATATTGCCCTGGTAATTCTATATTAAATTCACCTAACCCTTTGTAACACACTTCTGAATTTCTATCTGTGAATAATAATGAAAAAACACCATTTATTGAGCATATATGTACTACTTCTCAGGCACTGTGCCAATTTAATCCTTACCTCAGTCTGTAAGATAATTATTATTGTTATTTTTTACAGATGCGCAAACAAATCTAAAATTCTAAAACAATCTGCTATAGGCGAGAGTATGTTAATAATGCTGTATGTATGCATAAGAGAAAATGTCCTCTAAGTCTGTCGTTCTCCAGTTTTCATACTTAATAAACAAGAAGCAATCCACAGTCAAAGGGCAGAGGCTCTGGACACAGAATTCCCTGTAACATGTTCACAAGATCAGATAAATGCCTCTGTCAGTGACTGTCCATATAGTACAATGTATTTGCAGCCTTGAGGAACATGTGTAGATTCAAACATATTCTGGGTTCCTCTTTTAAGAATCTTGTTAGACAGACCTTTAGATCTTATTTTTAATAACTCTTAATCTTTTTTATATACTCAGCCAAAGATCAAAGCTGCTGCTTAACTTTAAGCTATACATTCTGTATTTTCTACTTTAACTTGTACTTATGCCACATTTTTTTTTCATAGCAAGAGATAGATTTACCTTCACGAAGGAATACAATTTGCCCTTAAGGAAATGGTATTCATTTTCAATAAACATTTGGTAAGTAACTACTTTTTCAAAAGTCAAAGACTAAGTCCGAAGAAGGTAAAAAGATGGATAAGACCTAACCTATGCCTGTAAGGGGCTTAAAATCTAACTATGGGGACAGAAACTGAATCAGGGCTAAGTTTGAAGTAAAGCCTCACACTCCCTCTCCAAAGAACAATTTCTGACACAGTATTGTTTCTCTAAGGAGCAAGCTCTAACTTTGTCTCAATACGAGAAAGGGGGCTAAACAATAATTGTCTAGGATAAACTGTTAAAACTAAAAGATTCTGGTTCTACCAATAACTCTGAGGGAGAGGGGGCAACGCTGGAGAAAGGGAACAGTTTCAGAATTGACATAAGTGTGCCTGAGGATGTTCCTTTACAAACCACATACCCCCAGCTTGCCATGTTCCCAAGAATCACTGCTATAGGGAGTCCAGGTATAGAAAGGAAGACGTCATGCGTCTCAGAATCTTGAGACAGGCAAAGACGGAGAACCACAAGGTCTAACATGCTGTAGTTTTCCAGGTGCAGCTTCCAGTGACAACATAGTATATACTCATTTTTCTATTTGTCCTTATTTAATATTAAATAAAAAAGAATATTTGGCACAAAAGTCCAGATCAAGAGGAACTTAATTCAAGTAGGTGATTACCTGTGTCATTCATTGAGATAAAAGGCTGTCTCTTCAGAAGTAGGCCTGAATCACTGCAAACTTGAGTTGCTTAGAAAAGAGTCTGTGATAAAAACAAGTATGAAGATAGTTACCTAAAGCAAATTATTTTTACTCATTAACAACTAACCTTTTGGGAATGCTCTCATAACTTACTATAATTTACTCTCCCCAAAAACTCAGAGAATTAGCCTAATTCTCTTCTACACATAAAATACCGCAGATATTTTCTCTCTTTGGAGAAGCAGCCTTTCTCCTTTTTACCAAAATGAAATTCTTAGTGCCACAGCTTCCTAAATCTATTTCAGTCCTTATATTTATCTTTTATCTATTTTCACACTTCACGTTCCCCCTGTAAAATGCACCCCTAACCAGTTGATATTCTATCTTATCTTCCATCCTCATGCACCATTTAGCATTTACATTTATGTTTTATGTTTTGCTGCCACACTGATTACCAAATGGTGGTGGATGACATTTTTGTTTTGAGTTCAGCATTTTGTTTCTGTTTTAGTTTTAGGGCGAGGGGTTTTTTAAATGGTATTATATGGCATTTAAAATTATATGGCATATCACTCTATAAAAATTTAAGTTAAAGAAAAGCCTTTTTCCAAATGAAGGGGAAAAGCTATTCAATTTTACCACATAGAAACCACTGCTAAAATTTTGGTATTTTTCCTTGCAGCATTTTTTTCTATGTATGTTTTTTAACTTTTCATTTTGAAATAATTTCAGACTTACAGAAAAGCTGCAGAAATATACAGAGAGTTACCATGTACCCTTCACCCAGCTTCTACCATTAATATGTTAATGACTTCCATAACCATAGTATAGTTGCCTAGATCTTCTATGTATATTTTGACAAGGTTGAATTTATATTTTTTGTTCATTGCTTTTTTTGCATTTAATATGATAGCATAAGCATTTATATTAAGTTCTTCAAAAATATTTTAATGTCCAAGTAATGTCATACTACATAAATGAATATTTTAATTAATTATTTCCATACTGTTGGATATTGAGATTGTGATTTTTTCTATTATTAAAAACTCTCATCAACATGTTATCATTTTTTAAGTATCTACTAATTTTATGGGTCAAAAAGGTAGTCTCTCATTTTAAATTGCTTTTTTGTAGTTATTATTGAAGGTGAACATTTTAAATGCTTACAGTTTTTATTTCATCTTTTGTAAACTGTTTATTCAGGCCCTTTTCCTTGTACTGATTGGTGTCTGAATGTATTACTTACAAAGTTATGTAAAGCTTACATATTTAAGATTAAGCTTTTGACTCAAAGATTACAAAGTGTTTTATTGTTTTGTATTCACCTTTTGATTATTTTGTTTTTATTGCAATAATCCAAAATAATTTTGCTGACTGAAAACAACATATCTCTTTTATAGTTGTAATTTGTAATTAAATAACTTTTCTATAAAGTAAAACTTCCTTCCATTCTTCAACTCAGTATTTCTCAAACTAAGATCTATCAACCACTAGTTATCTGAACATGTGACTCTTGGGAATGATAGGAATTTCCTTCCTTAAAAGAGTCTATATATTATTCAAGTTTGACAATTACTGCAAAAGGTACAAAAGTCAAAGGAGGAATTCCATGTTTAATAAGATGCCATGCATACACAATAAAAACACTTTATCAAAGGATCAGTTAGTATTGTATGTTTTCTAGTGTTAATTATTTTATACTATTTTAATGTCTTATAAATACTCATAACTGACAACTAATTTCTTTTGTGTTGTTACAAGCTGAACATCAAAAAGCTGTATTTCACTTCTACAATACTAAATTGCTTAAAAGTCCCAAGGCACCCCTAGCTCTTATGTCAACTACCTCTGCTCCCTTTGCCTGGAGTACTCTCTCACTCCATTCCTCCACCTCAATCAAGTGGAAAGCTTGTGTGCCTCATTGTCATTCCTCTCCACCAAACCATCCCGCAAAAATATCTGAGTTGTTGTATTCTCTGCTAACTTTTTCTCCATGTTTACTTTCACCGCTGCATTATCCTGGCATTTTGTTATGTAGCTGTTGCCCCTCGCAACTGTCAGAGACTGTTCTCGATATTAAATTATCATCGCTGTAATTCCAGTGAGGCTAGAAAAGTTCCTATATATATATATAAATAAATATATATATATATACACACACACATATATATACGTATATATACACATATATATACACATATATACACACATATATACACACATATATATACACATATATATACATATATATATATAATTGGAACTTCTTTAATGTTTATAAAATGAATTATCCATATAAGGTAGCAATCATCTGGGAGAGTTCTAAGAAGCCCAACCTTGTTTGCTAAATTGTACTGACAAATAATACTGCAAGTTCATCTTCCAGCTCTGCAATCAGTTGTCTCATGGGATCCACACTTCATTTTGGCAATGTCAAATGCTTTCTATTCTGTGATGAGTGACTCAAGCCAAAGATAACATCTTTGCTCAGGCAGGTGATTAATAATCACTCTTTATAAAGACTTTTTATATTGAAATAATTTCAAACTTACAGAAGAGTTGGAAAATGCTATGGTTTGAAAGTTTTCCCCTCTCAAACTTATGGTGAAATTTAATTGCCATTGTAACAATATTAAGAAGTGGGATCTTTAAGAGGTGATTAGGCCATGAGGGCTCTGCTGTTATGAATGAATTAATGCTGTTATCAAGGGCGTCGGTTGCTTATAAAAGGATGAGTTTGGCCCGATTTGTTGCTTACTTTCTCCCCCTCTCTTTGCCCTTCCACCATGTGATGCCTTCTGCCATTATGATACAGCAAGAAAGTCCTCACCAAATGCAGCCTCTCGATCTTAGACTTCCCAGCCTTTAGAACTATAAGCCACTATGTTTCTGTTTATTATAAATTACCCAATCTGTGGTATTCTGTTACAGCAGCACAAAACAGACTAAGACAGAAGAATGAAACAAAGAACTGTTGTATATTCTTTAACCATACTCCTCAATTGTTACCATTTTGCCACTTTTGATTTCTCTTTCTGTGTGCATGTGCACACACACACACACACACACACAACAAAATACTTTTGCTGAACCATTTAAGAGTTACTTGCAGATTATGTCCCTTTATCTCTAAATACTTCAGTGTTCATTTCCCAATAAAGAATGTTCTCATAAATTAACACAGTATATTTATCAAATCCAAGAATTTAACATTTACGCAATACTGTTATCCAATATACAGCCTATATTCATTTTCCTCTAATTGTCCCAATAATGTCCTTTACAGAATTTTTTTCTCTGATCCAGATTCAAGATCACACATTACATGTAGTTGGCATGTCTGTTAATCTCCTTCATCTGGGACACTTCACATTTTGTTTTTCATGACATCGAAATTATTCAGAAGTACCAAGGGATTTTTTTTTATACCTTAAGTTCTGGGGTACATGTGCAGTTTTGTTACATAGGTGTATACACGTGCCATGGTGGTTTGCTGCACCCATCAACCTGTAATCTACATTAGGTATTTCTCCTAATGCTATCCGTCCCCTAGCCCCCCACCCTCCAAAAGGCCCTGGTGTGTGACGTTCCCCTCCCTGTGTCCATGTGTCCTCATTGTTCAACTCCCACTTATGAGTGGGAACATGCAGTGTTTGGTTTTCCGTTCTTGTGATAGTTTGCTGAGAATGATGGTTTCCAGTTTCATCCATGTCTCTGCAAAGGACACGATCTCATCCTTTTTAATGGCTGCATGGTATTCCATGGTGTATCTGTGCCACATTTCCTTTATCCAGTCTATCGTTGATAGACATTTGGGTTGGTTACAAGTCTTTGCTATTGTGAATAGTGCCACAATAAACATACGTGTTCATGTGTCTTTATAGTAGAATGACTTATAATCCTTTGGGTATATACCCAGTAATGGGATTGCTGGGTCAAATGGTATTTCTAGTTCTAGATCACCAAGAGATTATTTTAAAGAATGTCCCTTTGGTTCTGTATGATGTTTCCACTTGGTTAGATTCAGATTATGCTTTTTCAGCAGGAATACTGCATAAACATTGTTGTACATTTCTCAGTATAACATGTCAGGGATCATACCTCAATTTATCTCATCATTGGTGATGTTAACTTTGACTACTCAGTAAGGCGGCATTGGTCAGGCTTCTCCACTTTTCATTCTGTAATTAATAAGTAACCTCCAGGGAGATACTTTGATGAAATGTAAATATCCTGTTCCTCTTCAAACCTTTAGCTTATTGATTATTCTTCTGAATAAATCATTTTATAATGATTGCAAAATGTTGATCTTCTACCTTTACTATTTCTTCTACATTTATTAGTTAATTAACCATTCTTTTTTCTTTTCTTTTTTTTTTTTTCTTTGAGTCAGGGTCTTGTTCTGTCACCCAGGCTGCTGGATTGCAGCAGCACAAGCATGGCTCACTGAAACCTCAACCTCCTCGGCTCAAGTGATTCGTCCCAACTCAACCTCCCAAGTAGCTGGGATGATGGGTGTGTGCCACCACACCAAGCTAATTTTTTTTGCCCAGATGGGGTCTCCCTATGTTACCCAAGATGGTCTTGAACTCCTGGGCTCAAGTGATCCTCCCACCTCAGCTTCCCAAAGTGCTGGGGTTACAACTCCTAGCCAAGGTGCCCAGCCCATTCTTTTTTTGAAAGTTCTTCTCCTTAGTTTGTATTTTTATTCTTCATAAGACTGTTCAAATTCAAAATTTTTTTTTTTTTTTTTTTTTTTTTTTGAGACGGAGTCTCGCTCTGTCGCCCAGGTCGGACTGCGGACTGCAGTGGCGCAATCTCGGCTCACTGCAAGCTCCGCTTCCCAGGTTCACGCCATTCTCCTGCCTCAGCCTCCCGAGTAGCTGGGACTACAGGCGCCCGCCACCGCGCCCGGCTAATTTTTTGTATTTTTTTTTAGTAGAGACGGGGTTTCACCCTGTTAGCCAGGATGGTCTCGATCTCCCGACCTCATGATCCACCCGCCTCGGCCTCCCAAAGTGCTGGGATTACAGGCGTGAGCCACCGCGCCCGGCCCAAATTCAAAATTTTTAAAAGTGGTATCTTTAAACCTATTTTTAAATTTTAATCGCATTTTTCTTTAATTTTTACATTTCCAATGTAACATGTTAAGGACACCTACAGCCGACATTCTATGTTACTCAACCATTTTCTACTTTGTAAAACTTTGAAACTTCTAAGTCTTGCCACAAACTTCTAACTAAAATCGAAGACTAGCTCTGTCTTGTTCCAATGCTCCTTAATCAGTCCTCGAAAATGTCTAACTCCTACCTAGGAATCTGGTGATTATATTAAGGGTCTTCAGAAGGTTCATGGAAAGTGTGTATTATGAAAAAAAGAACCATGCATGGATTTTAAAAACTTTGCACCAAAATAAACTCATACTAACTTGTTATAAAAATGTCTGAAGAGGATCTAGTTTGAGATGCTAAGACATCACTTTGAAAATACCCCTTATCACAGCAACATGAATTCTGCTAAAATTGAAGCAAGAACAAACATTAAATTTATGGTAAAGTTTGGATGAAAGAATAATGAAATCATTCATGTTTTATGAAAAGTTTATAGGAATGGCCCAAAGAAATCAGCAGTTTACAAATGGATAACTCATTTTAAGAGTTAACTCATTTTAAAAAGGGATAAGACCACACTGAAGATGAAACCTGTGCAGGAGACCATCCACATCAATTTCCAAGGAAAAAAATTCAACTTTATTATGTCCTAATTGAAGAAAACCAAGGATTAACAGCACAAACAATAGCCAACACCATAGCCATCTGCATTGGTTCAGCTTACACAATTCTGTCTGAAAAATTATAGATGAGCAAACTTTCCACTCAATGGGTGCCAAAACTATTGCACCCAGATCAGCCACAGAAAAGAGCAGAACTCTCAATGGAAATTTTAAATAAGTGGAACTGAGATCCTGAAGCATTTCTTCAAAGAATTGTAACAGGAGATGAAACTTAGCTGTGATTCTAAAGACAAAGCACAATTACAGTAATGGCTACCAAGAGGTGTAAGTGGTCCAGTCAAAGCAAAAGTGTCCTGGTCAAGAGAGAACATCATGGCAACAGTTTTTGGGGATGCTCAAGACATTTTGCTTTTTGAGTCTTTGTTGGACCAAAGAACAATAACATCTACTTATCATGAGAATGTTTTTGAGAAAGCAAGCCAAAGCTTTAGCAAAAACAAACAAACAAACAAAACACCCAGGTAAGCTTCACCATAGTCTTTCTCCACTATAAAAATGCACCTGCTCATTCCTCTTAAGAAACAAGGGCAATTTTGCAAGAGTTTCAATGGGAAGTCATTAGACATCCACCTTACAGTCCTGATTTGGCGCCTTCTAACTTCTTTTTGTTTCTTAGTCTTAAAAAATCTGTAAAAGAAACCCATTTTTCTTCAGTTAATAGTCTAAAGTCTGCATTGACTGAATTAAATTCCCAGAACCCTCAGTTTTTTAGGGATGGGCTAAATGGCTGGTATCATCACAAGTGTCTTGAATTTGATGGAGCTTATGTTTAAAAATTAACCTTATACTTTTTATTTTAATACTTTATTTCCATTTTCCACATAAAAATTTATTTTCATAAAATCCAGATTCTGCACAATATTTTTCCATGAACTTTTTGAAGTCTCCTCACATCTCTAGTTTTAGACAGACCAAGTCTCATTTTTATTATGTTTCATTACACAGTGGAGATTAAGGAGGACTTAGTCTAATCTTTTAATTTAGAGACCAGTTTCCTTCTCTTCAACTAGTTCAATTCTGTGTTCAGACAAGAATCAAAATAAAATCCTCAGAAAATGGATCGATCTAATAGTTTCAGTGAAAAAATACTTTAGATGCTAACTTTATGAAATTTAATGATCTTTTAACTTTATGAAATTTAATGATCTTTAAAAATGTGTTTACCATTAAGCAACCACTATACTAAATAATAATTTAAGCAATTTTGCTACTAAATATTACTAATTTTTTTTTATTTCTGAAGCTCTCTTTCTAGACTGCAGATTAAGAGCTATTGGTCCCAAATATGCGGTTTTCCCAAGTCAAGTAACCATGTCAAGAAATGCCATTCTGTCTAAAAGGGGCTAAAAAGGACTCAAAGAATACACATAACACATCTCGCATCTGTGAAGACTGTTTACTAATGAGATCATCAAGAAACAGCCAACATCAATTGTTTAGAGTGAAAATTTGAAACTTGGAAACTGTGGCATAGAGCCTCATAGATTTTCATAGCTGGAAAGGACCTTGGTGGTCATATTCAGCCCAAAGCTCCCACTTTGTAGATGAAGAAATTGATACAAAGAGACATGTCATAATTTGACCACAGCCAATTCATGTCAAAGTAAATAAGGATAAAATGTTAATTAAGAGACAAACAGGAGGTTGGTAATTTGAAGAGTCTAAGTTCATTAGTGTTTCTATAACACAATTTAGGGTTTGTCAAGTCCAGTCTGGTTTCCCATATCTTCCATCTTTCCTATCCCAAAAGCTATGGCTATAATCTCAGCCAGGTTTCTGGAAACAATCCTCGTTGAAGACAGATGAGATTTAAGGAAATCTAGTCAACATCTGCAGAATTGATATCAAATTAAACATGTTCTTTTTTTACCTAAGCTCTGATTTTATTTCCAGAGGTTTTGCTTTGACTCTTTGACCAAATTCCCTTCTTGAATACAGTTTGGGTAACTAGACACTGAGATTGGCATTGTTCTCTGTTCTTGAGTTCCAGTCTTGGATAGCTGCCTAGTAAAATACTAAGGCTAGGACTGTATGTTGTTCTTACCAAGCTCTGCTTCTTCCTACAGAAAGAAAAGTTAACCACAAATCTCAGACCAATTGGCCTGCTCCATCATTTAATGATGCAGCTGCCTACATCTTCAAATATTCATGAAACTAAAAATTCTCCACCGCCCCACTCTTCCTTCTTCTTAGTACACCTCTATCACGATGTATTGGATTACTCTATCTCATTTTCAATACCTGTGACCTTTCTCATTTTATTCATTTATTCAACAAACATTTATGGAGTGTCTCTTGTATGTCAAATATTGTGCTAAGCATAGGTGCAGATGGTAGGAATGAAAAATAGTTATACTTTAATTCCTGACCTTAAGGGATTTACAGTCTTGTGACGGCAACAGATTGTAAATGGTACACAGATAAAACCGTGTACTTACAAGGTGAGAAAAGCATCAGGAAGGAAACACAGAATTACCCAGTTTAGTCAGGGAAAAGTTTTCTGGAGAAGTAACATTATATCTGGAGATTTGAAGGATAAAAATGAACTAGCTTGCGAAGCAGTGGAAAAAGTATTTCAGACAAGGAACCAGCAGATGTGAACATCCTGTAAAGGCTCGGGAAATTGGGGAAAGTAAACAGAGATCAGTATGGCTGGAATATATTGAGGGAAGAGGAAAGCTGATTAAATGAGAAAAGAGAAGCAGATTGTACAAACCCTTGTGGGCCATGGGAAAGCATTTTAATTAAAATATAATTGTAATGAGAGGTCATGTTTTTAAGTGAAGAAAAAAACATAGTTTTCATTTTTAAAAGATTATTCTGCTGAGTTGAAAACAGGCATTCAAACAAAGACATGTATACAAATGTTCATAGCAACATTTTTCATAAGAACCAAAAAGTGGAAACAACCCAAATGTCTATCAACTGATGAACAGATAAACAAAATGCTAAATAACCATGTAATGAAATATTATTTGGCCATAAAAAGGAATGAACATCATGGGTTAACCTTGAAAACATGCTAAGTGAAAGAAGCCAGACACAAAAAGCCAGAAATACATGATTCCATTTAAATGAAATGTCCAGAATAGGTGAATTCATAGAGACAGAAATAGATTAGTGGCTTCCAGGGGCTGGAGGATGGGCATGGGATGTGACTGCTTAATGGATGAGGGTTTCTTTTGGGGGTGAGGAAGATGTCCTGCAATTAGACACCAGTGATGCTTGCAAAACATTGTGAATGTATTGAAAGCCACTTCATTGTACACTTCTAAAATGGCAAACATGATAAATTTTACATTATGAAAATTTTACCTTAATAAAAAAAAAAGATCATTATTTGAACAATAGACTACTTTGCAAGAGAGAGGGGCTAGCTGCTGAGGGAGTAATCTCCATACATGGACAAAAGCAGTAACAGCAGAGACCAAGAAATGGGGAAGATCCACTGTAAATTTCACAGGATTTGATGATGTCAGTAACTGAATCAGGGAGAAGGAAGCAGAGAGGAAGGAAGACATCCAGAATTACTCAGAAGCTTCTGAATGAAAGAAGAACATGTTTCAAGAGGAAATGAAGGGCTTAGCTTTGGACTCATTAACCTTGAGATGCCCATGACCCAGTCTAGGATATCCTATGCTAAGACACTTCCACACTTTAGAATATTACTTTAACTTTTCTAAACTTCACTTTTCTCATCTACAAAATAGAAATATTAATAGTGTCTATCTAAGATAATTGTTGTTAGAAAGAAGTTAGGTAATTGATGTAAAGTTTTTAGCACAGTTCTTAACACACAGTAGACCCTCAATCACTATTAGAGATTATTATTGTTGTTATAATCTTTGTTTTAATTACTATACTTATTCCGTATGCTGATTCTCTGTTCCCACTTTCAGCTTCTGCAGATGCTTAGCCCACCCAAAAGGGCTGGTTTTGAATGAAGTTTCAAGCCCTCCCAATTTGCTCCATTTTACTGCAGCTAATGAGTCCATAACTAGTCATAATCTCAGATATATTGACAGGGAGGGACCTGTCTGGTTGAAAATAATATTCATATTCCTTAGCCAGGCAAGTATATTCCTATGGTGGAGAAGGCACACTGAGCTCCAATAACCGTATGACAATTTTACTTTTAAAAGCATCCAACTCACTTTCTTCTAATTTTATGCTTTCTTGGGATCCTCCTATCCTTAATTTTATTTCCCCAAGCTTTCTCTCCCACAGGGATTAAAATGTGCTGACAAGCTGACAGGAGTATTCCAGTCTACTTGGCAGTTAACTTCCTCATAGAGACGTCTAAATTGATGTTCTGGTTTATAATCAGACTCTTGTAAGTTTGGTCAGAAGGGATCAATTTGCCTGGGTCTGTTAACCTCTAGGTGTCCACATAATAACCCAGTTTCTGAACCTGAAAGCTGCATATCAGAACCTGGGCAATGAAAAGCCAACAAGAAATGACACATACACTGTATCACCAGGCTAGAAACAGCCACTCAGACGTCACAATACAATTTTGTACAGAATTGTGAATATTAAGGAGTTAATGTATATTAAAGTGCCTGGCACATGTTAGACTCTCGGTCAACATGAGTTTATTTTTTATTTTTTAAATCATATGCAACTCACAAGGGAAAAGAATCCAAGTCTGAAAAATTTCAGATGAACTGAAATGATCCTACACTTTTTGTGCTCCATCTCAGTCAATCCCTAATTTTCCTTTCTCTGAAAAATTTCTTTTTTAGTGTTTTCTCATTTGGGCAGCTGCCTTTTGCAATTGGCTGTCTCCATAGTTCATCACTCAATAATGCTTAAAGAAAGTATTAGTGCAAATGAAAGTGCTATCTGAGAATAATCGTATATATTCTGAGGAATAATTAGCTCACAAACCCTGTGATCTTGGGCAAGCCACTTAACCTTTCTACATGTCTGTGTCTCATTAGTCAGCAAACGTGCCTCACCAGCCCATCCTATAATGTCTCTTAGTGTCCTTTCCATCCCTAGTATCTGTAAACTATATTCACTACTAAATTCTCAGCACTTAGCACCCATAGGTGCTATTGACATATATGTTGAATGATTGAATGTATGTATTTTAGGCCTATATTTGGTTCACAAATCTCATAAATAAGCCCCATTTTTACAATAAAGAAAAGGAAAATCAGTCACTAACTTGCTTTACACAAAAGTTTAAAAGTTCTAAGCCTTAAAAAATATAACGGCAAAAAAATATATAGGCTGAAATTTGAAAACAGACTCTCATATAGGCATTCTATATGCCAACCTCAACATCATATAAACATATATGAATGAATGAATGTATCTATCGATTGATCAAAACTTGTTGAATTTTTTAAAGCATAAATTGTATGGCTGGTTTTTTTTTTTTTTTCATTTGGGCCCTTTTTCCCACCTCTGAATGCCCAGAGAGCATTGTTCACAATAACTAATTTAACAAATCTATCCTTTTGGAGTGTCTGTTGCTTTAAAGAAATGATGACACTCTTCAACACTGATTAGAATCACAGTACCTAAGAGAAGCTCTTTTATTTTTTGGTGGCATACTTTCTAGAAATTATCTTTGGCTTTTTAGCTCAACTAATTCACATTTGTGGCTACAAAACAATTATAAATGATAACTTTTCCATGCTTTCACCTTTGTTAATAAACGGTTTAAAGAATGAGGGAGGTTTTTTTAAATTCCATTTTAATCTATCGTTCCTGACATTTAACAGAAATCAGGACACCAGTTCAAAAATTACGTACCAAGTCAAAAATGAAAAACTTGAGCTTGCAGAAAAAGTTGTGTTGTCTTTTCTAACAAACTTCACATTTTCCAAAAAAGAAGTAGACTATATTTCTGATTTCTTATTTTGTTCTTCATTTACTCACCATGACTACGGCATGAATACAATTATGTATATTTTCTATACTACAGTTTCTCTCAGTTCAATTAGTTCAGTTTCACAAGTATTATTGACTACCTATTGGGAGCCAGCCACTATGCTAGGTTCTAAGGAGTACAAGAGTAATAAGACATATTTTCTAACTCTCATGAAGTTCACATATTACTAAATTTTTTCATTGTTTTTTCAATATCTCAGCTGCCACAACCATTTTAATCAAATAATTTTACTTTTGCCAGTTTTATATTTTGAGGTTTAATATATAACTGCTTTAATATTTTTGAAAAATTACTGGTCTGAGGGAAGCTAGAAAAATTTAAGTAATTACAATACATCATCATTCAGGTAATAATAAAAGCATTGTCTTACCCTGGGTTCCCCAGAATACCAAGCCTAAGACACAAAAAATGTAACTTAAGGTCCAGAGCTAGGGAATGGGGGAGAAGGGAGGAAAGAAAGGTATGTCAATAAAAGATTCCATGTTGAGTTGACTGGTCACCCATACAGATGGCTGGATATTCAGTCTTACAGGACACCTTAATAACCTCTTAGAGAAAGAAAGTATGAAGTATTTATTCATTACTGTTGCCTTCTATTGATCAAGGGTGGTCCCCCAATTATTCAACTCCCCATCATTTCTAGGTTGCACATGCATGGAATACTGAGCAAAATCTCAGGGATGTTTTATTCCCTACTGCTTCACTACCAGTAAGGAATCCTTGTGGAGCAGGAGGAGGAGGAGGAGGAGGAGGAGGAGGAGCTAGGGGTAAATTGCACCAGCCTGAAGCAGGGCACTGTCAGGTTGCTCCCCCATGAAACTGGGCGGCACTTTCATAGAAATGGTCACCACAGCCACAGCTGGGATAAGAGTTGAGGCCAACGAAATTTGAAGCCGTGTGTAAGAAGCATTTGATAAAAGTGTATGTAAGGCACAAAAGTAGAACTGAATAGAGAGTGATTAATTCTGTCTGCAGATAAAGGGATCAGAAACTTCACAAACAATTCCTCAGAAAAATTATTAAAAGTAATTGAAGTATCAGGCTGGGTGCAGTGGCTCATGCCTGTAATCCCAGTGCTTTGAGAGGCCAAGGCAGGCGAATCATTTGAGGTCAGGAGTTTGAGACCAGTCTGGCTAACATGGTAAAACTTCATCTCTACAAAAATTAGCCAGGCATGGTGATGTGTGCCTGTAGTCCCAGCTACTCAGGAGTCTGAACCATGAGAATTGCTTGAACCCAGGAAACAGAGGTTGCGGTGAGCCAAGATCACATCACTCATTGCACTCCAGCCTGAGCAACAGAGTGTGACTCTGTCAAAAAAAAAAAAAAAAAATGTAATTGAAGTGTCAGATGCCAAAAGGGGATTAGTAGTCCAGACAGAAGGAACAATACATATGACACAGATGTTTGAAACAACAAGATACATTTGAAGAAATGAAAGAAAATTAGTACCTGTATTCCTGGAGTTGAAGAAACAGTAGATGTGGTTAAAGATGTAAACAGAGCCCAAAACATAATGGATTTGATAAGCCATGTTAGGAGTTTAAATTTAGTACCAGAAAAAAATGGACAGTCATTTGAGTGGTTTTAAACAAAAATATAAATTTAGGGTAGGGTGTAAATAGAATTATACTAATAAATATTATTATGGAAGTAGGAAATACAAAAAAATAAGATACTGCCTTTAAATAGATTCAGTTATGTTAAGGATACATATTATTAGCTCTAGAGTAAACACCAAAACACAATAATAAAAGGTATATCTAAGAAGCTAATAGAGAAAATAAAATGGAACACACACATACAAATTCAACCAGCTCATAAGAAGGCAGAAAAAAGAAAGAGAGAAAAAAATAGAAAGACAGAATGAAAACAAATAAAGACAGTACACTTAACGCCAACATTTCAACAATTACATTAAATGTAAATGGACTAGACACTCCAATTAAAAGTCAAATAAATGCAACATGGTTGAACCTCACAGATATTGTGCCACATGAAAGAAATTGGACACAAACAAGTACATACTAAATAATGTTAATTTATATAAAAGTTTAAATCAGACAAAACCACTTTATATTGATAAAAATCAGATCAGTGGTTGCCTGAAAAACTCGTTAGTGCAAGATATTGACTTCAAAGATGTAAGAATGAGCTTTTTAGGGAGATGAAAATGTTCTATATCTTAATTGGTTTGGTGGCTCTACAAATGTATATGTTTCTCAAAGTCATTGACCTGTACACTTTGAATATGTAGGTTTTACTGTATATAATTTATACCTAAACAAAATTGACTAAAAAAAAGAGCAAACAAACATCTCTCAAGTTCCTGACTTGAATGAATAAGTGGTGATGATGGTGAGAGTAGAGGAGAAACAGAATGTTTTGGCCTCACATTATAGGTTTGTTTACATGGAGTGCCCGTTCAAAGCCAAGCCATTATGCTAGGGGCTGGAAGAGCAAGGATAAATAAGACACAATTCCAATTTGTGTCTCTTATTTATAATAAGACACAATACCAATTTGAAGGGTAGTCACAAAGTCTAATGCAGAATATATGAAAACAACTTTGTTTACTACACTATGGGAAATGTTCCACTAGACTTATGGACAAAGTGCTGTGGAAGACAGATACTTCATGTAATAAAATATTAAAAATTCTCCATCGTTAGATGAAAAACAAATATTTGTATATCCACACAGTAGAATGTTATCCAGCAATTAAAAGAAGCAAAATATTAAACTTGCAACAACATAGATGAATCTCAAAGTAATAGTGTTGAGTGAAAGAAGCCAGACTTACCTTCCCCCAAAAAAGTACACATTATATATTTCCATTTGTAGAAAACTCTAGAAAATAAAAACTAATCTATAGTGATAGAAAGCATATGAGTGATGGTGTAGAAGGAGGAGGGGATGGAGAGTGATGGAAAGGAAGGATTACAAAGGAGAATGAAGAAGTCATCAGAGGTGATGATATAGTTATTATTTTTATTGTGATCATGATGTGAAACTTTTTCTGACCCCTCTTCCTCCAAGCAAAATTAGTCACATTGTATTTTGTTCTACTGTGCCCTATGTTTGTTTCATGGGTAATACATACGTCAAAACTTACTAAACTAATCTAAATATGTGCAGTTTACTGTAGCCAATTATACCTCAACAAAACTATCTTAAAAACACTGAAAACAATCTTGGAAGATGAAAGAGATATATTATGTTATAGCTGCACTGAGTAGCATATGATCTACATTAAAATCTAAATTTCTAACATTAAATATAATAAAGAAAATATTCAAGTTGGAATAATGATATTGGCAAGCCCCCACTGAGTGTTTACTCTGAGACAGGCACTTTGTTAAGTCACTCACTTGCATCTTTTCATTTCATCCCTGCAACAACCCTATGAAGTAGGTACTATTAACATTTTCAAATAATAAAAGAGGAAACTGAGGACATAGAGTTAGAAGTGTGTTCACCTGTGAGTAACAGAAAAACCAACTTCAGGGCATAAACAAACAATGGCTGTTATTCTTCAAAAAGTAAAAAAGGGGATTGGAGATAGGCAATTCAGGTCTGTTTTACCTACTAAGTAATTTGGACAAGGACGGGTAGGCTGTTTCTTTTGCTGTCCCCACCCCCACGCACAGTGTACTACCTTCCTCATAGTTATATGATCGCTGCTATATCTTCTGGAATCACAGGACTCCAGGTAAAATAAATAAAGAAAGACGGGTGATGAGTACACTAATAGCCAAGACTTCACCACTACACAATATATATGAAAAAGTGAAGAGAAAGAAGACATAAGGGTCATACTGGCTGAATCCCCTAGCTTCCTCAGGGGTTTTACCCAGCAGGCTTTTGCCTATTTGTCATTGGCCAGAACTGTGTTACATGGTCACCCCTAACTGGAAGATGGCTAGGAAGAAGGTGATTGTAGATAGAAGCCAGAGCAGCAAATTAGTAATTTCTGCCATTGCTACTAAGAGATGGAGTGAGAATTTGGTCTAGCCTTATTCCCCAGGCCTGTGCTATTAACCATAATGTTATACGAATAAAGTTCTCCATAAATTCTCCCCAAAGCCATCTTAATATGCCAAGCAAAAAGAAAAAATTTCATCCAGAGAAACATGGATTTGACACAGTGTAAGTGCATAGGGAGCATGTAGATGACTTTTTAGAGTAGCATTATTTTCTTATCTAATGCAGGCAACATTGAAAATGTGGGAGAGAAAGGAAGGAGTGAATACACAGAAGAAAGGTGGGCAATGGTGACCTATAACTTAATTTCACATATTTTCCATCTAATAGCTCTGTCTCTTCTGTGGCCTTGTGATAGAGCACCAGTTCCTGAATGTCTCATCTAGAAAGTTCTCTGGTGCTTTGTCAGGGTAATTTTCCACATTCTACAAGTGTTATCTGGGTATAAACAGGAGGCAAGGTAGTTTTTAAAACAGAAAACAAAAATTATATGGTTCATATTTAGAAGACATAAATATTTTCAAACCACTGGCTATTCAAGTCATTTCCACTATGAGATTAAGCCTATACACATTTACACTGTAGTATACTTAGTGTCTGTCCAGTATTTTGGTCAATTAGAATTTATGTAATTTATTTGCTCAATGATCCAATAGATAGAAAAAGCATTTTGTCAAGTATAAAATATTATGTGAGTGTTAATGGCTATTTATGACTATATTAGAATATAGTTTTTGGTCAGTGAGTTGAATATTGGTTAAGAATCCACTTTTTCAATCTAAATTATTAAAGATTGATTATATATTAGCACATTCCAAAAACATACGGAGAAATCCACAGCCATTTATTGAGCATATACTATGAGTCACACATTGTACTGGGTTCAGAAATAAAGCATAGTAACTATACTATAAAAGATCACAATCTAATGATGACAATTTGATAACTGCTACAGTAAATTTATGTAATTGGCACAACAAATGTCCTTCTGATTTCTCTTCCCTCTGCATTTTTAACTTTTATTTTATCTTTGGATGTAACTGCAAGGTAGTTGATCAAGATGATAAAGTAATAGCAAGAACACTGTAGAGTTTACACCTGAGAGATTTAGAAACATACTCTCTAAATTTTTTATTATTTGATAAAATGTAAAACAAATTTTCAAGTTACTTGCTAGGACAAAACATTGCCAAAGATCAAGTGTGTTGGTTATGGAGACGTGTCAATAATTTTCTGCTGGAGATTCAAACTGCAGCCTAGAAACTAGCACAGCCATCACGCTGTACTAAAATTGACAGACGTGAGTATTCAAGCACAGTTCACTGCTTTTTGTCATCTACATGCATAGCAAGTACACACCGTTGATTTGCCATTCCACTCAGAGAAGAGGAAAAACTCCACACTACCTTAATATGGCTGTAGGTTGGTTAGCTGCTTTTTAAGAAGAAAAAGTTTGAAGATCATATTCAAGAAAATCCCCAAACTTTTATACAGAACTACAGGAAATGAACGATGCATCATTTTCTTTATCAACAACAACTTTGCGATATTTTGATGTAGGCCCTGAGACTTCAATATTGAGTCATTATTATAAAAACAACACTTTCCGACCTGAGAAAAACATATTTATGTAGAATTAAACTCATTCAAAGAGAAGGAAAGTGCAGAGTGATCTTGGTCACACATTCTTTTCCTCAGAATCAAAACAGGTAAAATAACTTATTATAATTATTAAATAAAAGTCATAAGCTTACTGATGAGACTCAAACAAGATTCCAAAAGGTCTCAGACAGTAGCCAACACTAAATGCTTCTTGACCATCTGCCACATTTCAGGCACTGTGGTAGAAGTGCAGCTATTGACTTGCTCACAAGAAGCCTGTTATCTACTAAGAAAAGTCTTATTAACATGAAACCATGAAACAATAAGAGTATATATTCTTAAAGTGTTAAGTGGAAATGTACAAACTATTAGAAACTACAGTTTGTATATCTATATATACACATATGGAAATGATATATATGTAATTGTTAAAGTACTTTATATATATATATAAACAGTTCCTAATAGGTACTCAGTGTCTGGCTCAGTCAAGCGTAATAGGAAATCATGATGAGCAGTAAAGGAAAAAGAAGCAGAACTGGAATAGGGTGTTAAATGATTTACAGAATACAAACAAGAGGAAAGCAGAACAGCCTAAATGCTAGGAACTGCACAAGCAAAAGCACAGATCTGGAAATGCACCATGACTGAGGGAATTGGCTGGGACATAAAAAGGAAAGCTCTGGCTATCATGGTCAGTTAGCACCAAATATTGGATCTGATAATATCGGATAGTTCACTTGGAAGCACTGAGTAGTATATTGAGAACTTTGCATTTCACCTAGTGAGCAACAGGCAAAGGCAGTATCTGAACTGGGATGACATTTCATTCAAGATTTTTATATGCACTGTTCACAGTACAGAGTATATGCTTCTTGCATACACATTCAAATGTTTATCACATGACATCAAAAGCATAAGCAACAAAAGAAAAACTATATAACTTGGACTTCACTAAAAATTTTTAAATTTTGTGCTCCAAATGATACAATCCGAAAAGTGAAAAGACAACCCATAGAATGTGAGAAAATACTTGCAAGTCATATATCTAAAAAGAGACTTGTATCCAGAATATATAAAGAAGTTTATAACTTGACAATAAAAAAGACAAATAGCCAAGTAAAACATGGGCAAAGGATTGGAAGAGACATTTATCCAAAGAATATATACACATGGCCAATAGCACATGCATAGATGTTTATCATTAGTCATTGGAGAAATGCAAGTCAAAAACCACACTGAGATATCACTTTACAGCCACTGGAATGGCTATAATCAAAAAGATTTAGGCAGTAACAACTGTTGGTAAGGATGTGAAGAAATTGGAACCCTCATACATTGCTGATGGGGATGTAATGTGATTCAGACATTTTGGAAAGCAGTTTCACAGTTTCTCAAAAAGGTAGAACTACCATATGATACAACAATTCCACTCCTAAGTATATACCCAAGAGAAATGAAAATATATATCCATAGAAAAACTTGTACAAATATGTTTGTAGCTACGTTAACAATAGATGTACTGTGGAAATAACCCAATGTCCATCAAGAAATGAATGAAAAACAAAATGTGGTATATTTTCATACAATGGAATAATATTTAGCCACTAAAAGTCTGAATAAAGTATCCAAAATAGGCAAACCTATAGAGACAGAAAGTAGATAAGTGGTTGTCTAGGATTGGCAGGAGGTTGGAGGAATGGAGAGTGACTGCTAATGAGTTTTGGGTTTCTTTTAGGGGAGACAAAATCTTCTAAAATTATATTCTGGTGATAGTTGCACAACTCTGTGAATATCATAAAAGAAAAATGAAATTGGACACTGTAAATAGTTGACTGGTATAGCATGGGAATTATATAAAGCAGTTTTTACAAAAGTACACTTTAAAAATTGCCTGGTTTCTAATTGTCCCAGTAAAGTTTTGTCTGTGGCAGATTTGGTCCTTTGCCTCCCTGTGCCCCAAGACTCAGCCAGTGCCTCCAGAGATGGAAGAAGCTCAGTTTCTACTCACTGAAACAGGCTTGTCCCTGAAAAAGATGTTTATTAATCACCTATTACGAATCACCTACTATATCTGCAAATCAGTTGACATTTTACTCAGATTTCTAATTTAGTTACCTTTTAAAGGTATGTTTTCAGTATATACCAATAAATACCAATAAATACATTAACTATGTTGATAACAAATTATGTACCTCATCCTATTTAGCTACATCTGATGTAAAAGTCCTAATAATAAGGTTAAAAACTACCTCTGATTAAAACTACTTCTCGCCAAGACTCCCATTCATGTGTCCACAGGGTAATTCAACACTTTGCCAGCTATTTAGTTGTGGCTTCTTAAAGGAAACAAGATGTCAGTCTCTATTTTCATGGATCACTTTTATCTGAAATCTTTTCTCTGCATGATACAAATTTACTAGAATCATAATCTGTCCTTTGTAATATGTCAAAAAGTGGAGAAATCAATTATGTGTAATTATACATGGAGTCTCCCAGTATACTTTCAGAGCTTATTATTAGTAAATTTCATGACAAAAGAAGGACAAGAATAGAAATATTTCATTACAAAGAAACGAGGATAAGGTAGTTGTTTTTTCAAATTACTCTTACCCTGACTTTTTTTCATAGTATTTAATACCCACTGGCATACTTTACATGCATTTGTCATTTTACTTTTATTATTGTCTGTCTCTTCCCAGAGGAGTACAAGTACTATGAGGAAAGGAACTTTGGTATTTTTCACTCCTATGTCACTAACACCTATAACATTCAATACTGTAGGTCCTCAATATTTCAATATCATAGGTATTCAATAAACACTGAATGCATTTAACATTTAGGAAGCATTGGAAGAGTCCTACAATTGCTGGCTGAATAAAATTAAAAGGAAAATAAAATGCTTTTACATTTTAACTATTTTATCTCACAAAATCTCTCCAACATCCTGATAACCCTATCTCTACTGTTTGCAGAATAAGAGTTGGCATTTTCAACTTGGTCAGCAAACATGTTTGAGGTTATCATTCACTGTTAAACTATGGTTATTTTAAATTCATTGTGTATTATTATTGTAATTTACCATAGAGTGACAGTTATAATCTGATTTGCATTGGAATAAGCAAAATGAGAAAATTTTATTTGAAGATGCAGTTGTACTTTTTATCAAGCCATCATTAATGTAATATTTTTTGTTATAAGAACACAATTTTGGGAGGGAGGGAGGAGGTAAAGGAGAAGAAAAGATAACTATTGGGTTCTGGGCTTAATACTTTGGTGATAAAATAATATGTACAAAAAAAATCCTGTGACACATGTATACTTATGTAACAAACTTTCACATGTATCTCCAAACCTGAAATAAAAGTTAAAAAATAAATTTAAAAAATTAAAAGAAACACAATTTTAGGATATTTTGATAAAATTTTGATGAACTCCTTCTTGGAGGTAGTCATATAAGAAATACTAGTATTTCCCAGATTTTTTATTATTTGAATTTTTTTCTACCCCAGATCCATCAGCACTCCTCTATGGAAAATGTTTTTAATTCTTAGACTTCTTTCATTTTGTTTTTAGAAATAAACCCAAAAACTATATCACCAGGTTTTCTACAATTTTCTTATTATTTTTGTAAGTGAGAATTTTAAAGAAATTGCTAAGATAATATAATTTTTAGGCCAGGTGCAGTGGTTTACACCTGTAATCATACCACTTTGGGAGGCTGAGGTAGGCAGATCGTTTGAGCCCAGGAGTTCAAGGCCAGCCTGGGCAACATGGAGAACCCCTATCTCTATAAGAGTTACAAAAATTAGCCGAGTATGGTGACCTGCACCTGTACTCCTAGCTACTCGGGGGGAGGATTGCTTAAGCCCGGAGATGGAGTCTGCAGTGAGACATGATGGCTCCACCGCACTTCAGCCCAGGTAACAGAGTGAGACGACTCTGTCACAAAAAAATATATATAATTTTCGTCTCTTAAGTCTTGAGTAATTTTTCCTTAATCCTTACCTTATGCCAATTCAGGATCTGTATCCTCTCACAGTCTCTCTTTCAAATGGGTGATCACTTATCTTTCTTAGTGGTCTATTATTTTTTGCTCCTATACTCTGTTCTAGCTGTCATGATACCATAGTAATCCTCAATATGTGAAACAACTCAAGAAACAGTTCAAGGAAAAACACTGACATTTTTACAAAAACACTTGTATATTACACTTCAAAAGTTTTGGTCTGCTTGAGGTTAGTTTGTGTTTCTTTCAGCTACTGAAATGTTTCTTACCTTTTCTCTTTGATACGCAATCATTACATTCTGTGGATTTTAAATATAGATTACATATATCTTAATATCATCATAATGTAGTTTTATACAAGAACTCTTTATAAAAGTATGGATATAAAAGAATCCCTCCTTTGGTAGGAAAATAAAAGAATTTGGGATGTAAATTGAGTTTCACAGAAAATCTCAAGAATAGTTTTGTTTTAGTGGGAAATGTAAAACTAAATTAAGCAGTTACAGAGATTAACAGCTCAGGACCCATTTCCTTACTAGCATATTAACACTGAAGAAAAGTATCAGAAGATGATGAAAAGATAAGGGTAGATATTTTTTTTTCAAATGAGTAAATGTGTCACACCTAAACAAGAAAGGGTCTTATTCAGAAACCATTCTGTAAAACATGTACTTTGTCTGCTCTACATACTCTGCATGCCAAAATCTTGGCTGAAATTTTCTACTGTATCATCCCAGTTGAGATATTATATTTAATGCCATTTAGAAAAATTATTTTTACATATTATTTTTAAATAATAGTAAAAAAATTCAGAATGACTAAATGAATACCTTAAAATAAATTATACAGATAGCTAAACAAATAATTTAGAACATGGTTTTCTATACTGTTCTAGAGGAACTTACAAGTCTCCTATAAAAGACAAGCCAAGACCGTGGTCTTGGTATCAAATGTAAATGAAATTGTTATATTTATAAGACCGCATTATCCTAAACCACATAATAAGTGCAAATAACATAGTTGTTCTATTGCATTATATATTGAGGCATTTGACTCCATCAGTTTTCAAACAGGTGTCTGAAAATCACACAAAAAGCTTATGATTTCCAGCTCTGTCTTAAAGCAAATCGTAAGAACTGTCTTCAAAAAGTTATATTGGAAAAGATTCATATTAGCAATAGAGAATATAGGGTAAAAACTGAATTATACTGTTGAAATTTAAAATCTGTAGCCTCTAGCATGTAGGAAAAAAGAAAAAAGAAAACTGGTGTATTACCCCTCTCTACATATTTAGATGGTGACAATTCTTGCCATCAATGACATCAAAACACATTTTCACCAAATACATCAGAACACTGTACAAATACACACTGGCTCCTTGTCACAAGTTGCAATATGCTGATCAATATCAAATGGGCTAGACTGACCTGTGAAAACAAAAACTACTGTAATCTACTGTGCTAAACCCAAAGAAGCAGTTTACAGGAAAATTAGAATTGTTTCTTCATTGGGAGAATTAATTTCAAATTAAGCATTCTTAATTTATGTCGAAGTGATCCACTGGGGTAAAGAAAGAGCAAATTTGATTTTCAAGCATTAACATCACTATCAAAAGCTTATCAATTTGGGTATCATGATTTTGAGAATGAATCACCTTCCTCTCATAAGTCCCCCAAAAGGATTTTTTTTGCAATCGTTTTTATTTTTCTACTCAGAGAAAAGCTTTGTAATTAATTTTACATAATCACCAAATAGAATGAATAATCTGGCTCTTTACCTGAGAAGTTAGGACCCATGATCTTTAACTCCATGGCTTCTGCAACCCTGATTTATTTATTTACTTTTTTTTTAATTTTTATTTATTTATTTATTTATTTATTTATTTTTCGAGATGGAGTCTCACTCTGTCGCCCAGGCTGGAGTGCAGTGGCACCATATCGGCTCACTGCAAGCTCAGCCTCCTGGGCTCACGCCATTCTCCTGTCTAAGCCTCCCAAGTAGCTGGGACTACAGGTGACCGCCACCACCAGGCCCAGCTAATTTTTTGTATTTTTAGCAGAGATGGGGTTTCCCCGTGTTAGCCAGGATGGTCTCGATCTCCTGACCTCATGATCCACCCACCTCGGCCTCCCAAAATGCTGGGATTACAGGCGTGAGCCACTGCGCCCGGCCTATTTTTATTTTTATTTTTAAGTCCTGGGGTACATGTGCAGGATGTGCAGGTTTGTTACACAGATAAACATGTGCCATGGTAGAATTTTAATATCTGCAAATGACCTAGAACCATTAATGTTGAGAATCAGAAAATAAATGATTAGAAATAATCTATAAGTTGTTGACCATTACAAACATTTATCTGAAGTCTCTTCCCCAGGTTAAACATTAATGAGGTTGCCTGCCCCAAAACCATCACTATGCCAGCCTACTTTTCCCGACCATAACTGGTGAAGGAGTCTTCAATCTATTTTCATCGGAATATTCTCACATTAAATTATGCTGAAAACAAAAGCATTCGCCTTATTGGAAGGATGCAAAACACTGATTAGTTCATCCTCAAAATGTTTAACAAGATCTCAGCAGGAGACAAAGAGAAGTCTAGAGAGAACAATCAAGCTCTTGGTAAAACGAAAAATTCAGCTAGCCTCACAAAACTGCCACTAATGCACAAAGTTATAACAGCAGCAGTTAATTATGGCCAATGCTGTATCCTCACGTATGGTAACAAAATTTATAACTAAAATGTATCTATATCAGAGTCTTTTGTAGAAGTGGGATAATTCTGTAAAGGGGTCCTTGGCAGAACTATTCTTCTAAATGGCCATAGCCATTTCCATTTTTGCCACACATATTTCTTTCTCCTTCACTCCAGGCAGTAATGTAGAACAGGTGAGCAGTCTTTGGTATCAGAGCCAGGTTCAAGTCCTAGTTTTTCACTTACTCATTTTGCAAATCATTTTACCTCTGATCCTCAATTCCCTTCTCTCTAAAATGAGGGTAATAATTCCTGCCTCCAGGAGCCATTATGAGAATTAAATAGTACAATTTATGCAAAGTGTCTGACACTGAAAAGCTACCAAATAAATACAAAATGCTTTTTTACCTGGTATGGATAGACCTTTATAGGTAATGAAGTAGCATCTGAAATACAAATTTTTAAAATCCTAGTTGGCATCCAAAACTTATTAATATTGAAGGTGTTATTTTTCACACTGATGTATTATTCAAATGTTAAAAAAGAAAAAGGAAAACACTGCTGTCTTTAAATAGCATACATTTCACTTCAGGCTATCTGTTTATAACAATGAACCAGGAACATTATGCAGTAATAAGGCAGTTCTGAAATCAATGTTGGAGGCTGTGAGAACCAGGAGGAAATGGAATGCCACAGCACCAGAGGTTATTGAGACTCAGTGCCCAATGATTAAAGCACAACTCATATAAAATTAAAAAGAAGACAAATTATTCTAGTACTAGCTATTTATGATAAAAATACACGTGTGGCACCACCTCAAGCCAGTTTATAACAACTAAAATTCTATGAGATTTAGAAATCATTTTGATAGAATGAAATTATCAATACTAATAAAAATATCTATCTTTCAAAAGAATAAGAATGAGTCTGTGAAATAAAAGGCCAGTTCCAGCTGCAGTTAAAGCAGAATATGTGTTATTTTTGTTACAGCAATTTTAAGCATTCCTTCAAAAATACCACACAGGCCCAAAGCTTCAGTACCAGTATGAAATAAATCATGCTGCTAAAAGGTAAATATTTTTATTATCTCTAACAACTTTGTGTTAAAACCATTGTGAAAATGCAGCTAGATTCTTTAAAAATCACTCTCAAACATGTATATGCATTTGAATGATGTGTAAATTATGTTACTAAGTTGGTTTTATACAATGCAGAGCACAGCAGAAAAGAAAAAGATTTCACTCAAAAAGTTGAACTGACAATGCATTTATCTGGCTACAGCCAATGAAAGATTTCAGCACAAACGTAAATAAATGGTCTTTACATGCTCTAAAAGTAATAAAAATAACACCTTATGTTTATTTAATATTGAAAACATTTGAAGCCCCTCACTTAATCTTAACAATTCTGTAGCATACGTATTATCAGTATCTGTTTTACTGTTAAGACAACTAAGGCAAAAAGAGGTTAATCAACCTGTCCAAGATCAGAACTGTAAGTGGAAAATCTGGATTTCATTGTCTGACTATGGATCCCCCACTTTTATCTGTTACATTATGTTACTCCATCTCTGCTTCGTATTTTCCTAATCCAGTAGTGGATAGCAACGTTGACTAGAGGCAAGGGTGGGTGCTCAACCTATATGATCTCTTTCAGCCTCCATAGCCTAATGATCATGTGATCTTAGAAGTGGATTATTTCAGACAGAGCCATACTGCTTCTGCAGGTGTTTGGGTATCCCTGGTTTCCTCAGGGATAACTTTTTGCACTTTTTCCAAAACTAAATCTGAAACAGAAAAGAGAGCTACTTTCCTATGTACAGCTCCCCCACATAGATGACAACCTCAGAATTCACCCAGAAGATAGACGTCCTGTCCTGGCATTAGAACCTTTTGCATAATTTGCTAAGCAGAACTGTCTGACAGTAGCCAAACAGTAATATGCAAATTATATTACTATAGATTATGAGCAATGACATCATTGTTAAAAGAACAGTGAGAAAGAAGAAAGATGAGATTAGAGTATATGAAAGCTTCAGAGTAATTGCTAATTCCAAAGCCATAAAAAGCAAAATTCATATAGGATGGCCTGGTTCAATATTGTTGGATAACAAAAGAAAGGAAATGGACCTCAGGGTAAATTACTAATAGGCAAAAATGTAGATAACTAGAAGTGTGTGATACCACTTCTACCAGTCACTAACAGAGGAGACAGTGAGAGTTGGCCTTTCACGGATGTATGAAATAAAGCAAATGCTTAAGATTTAGGGTCTGAAAAAGCAAGTAATATGCTAGAATCATTCTAAATACGATTTAATAAGGCTAGGAAGGGGAACAAAGGCCAGTTACGAGATTATTTAAGCTTTTCAATTCCTGAGATTGTTGTTTTCTGAATTAACTTTTTTCCACACTGATATTCAAGGAAGGAGAAAAATAGAACACAGACTACTTATTATTGGAAGAGCAATTTCTCTGAAATAGTAGCTCGTAACTTCTTAATGTGTAGCTATTGCTACCCCATGGCTGCAATAATGAGCACAGACTTCTCGGCATATAGTTAAATACATTATTAGTGACTTTCCCCACTAATAATGCTAACTTATGTATTGGTGCCTAAGAAATTGGCAATGTAGGAAAGCAGTAGATTTTGTTTTGTACTTTTTTTCCATGCAAGAAGTCTTCACATGGAAATCAGCAAAACAACTGTTGTGACTATAGCAGTAAATTAGTTTAAATAGAAACTGTAACGTATAATTTGTGGGCACTAAAAGTCTTTCAGTTACACTCAAGGATTTATTATCAATAAAGAATGATTACTTTCTATTTTTTAAATGTTTCCCATTAAAAATCCATTAGGAAACTGGTACCAAAAAAAAATCAGGATAAACCCAACACATAACCTCCAACAGATTTATACAATTCTTCACCAACTCTTTGGAAGGACATAGATGGTTAGAAATAGTGAGAGGATAAATAGAAGATGAAGCAGAGCTCCGGCCAATAAGCTACCTAGCTAACCTCAATTCTGACTGGCCCAGATACAGGAAACAGGCCTTTTTTTCTTTCTTATTCCCTCTATTATCCTCCCCACTTTGAGAGATTTCTCAGAGAATGAACTTGTCCTTTGAATTTTTCCTTGCTTTTCTATTTTCCATACCTCTATCTGTTTTTTCTGCCTTTGGCAATTCAGATTCTTCTTCCATATTTCTCAAAGTGGCCCTCTGATTCTTAATCCTACGATCCACCACAATGATGCAGACTGAAAAATTACCACATCCCTGCAATAGCGTCTTCCTTACCTACATCATTCTATTCCTCACAAGAATAGAACATCCTAAAGCACAACGTTTTCTCATAAAGATGCTTTCAATTTCCCTTCACAGAGGAATCTAATGGCTCCCATTTGCTTCCACATCAAATCCAAATTCCTGATTATATGAATCATTTATCACCAATCTCCATCAATATTTATATGAGCATCTCCTTACAATTTTAATTAATCCTGTGTACATGTCTGGGTTTTTGTATGTACTTACACTTGCTTCACATAATGTTGCCTTCCCTCACTTAGGCAGGTAAGGCTTCTCCTGAGTGAACCATTCCTCTTCACATGCCACCTGAAAAGGGACTGTGCTTATTCTGTTTCTTCCCTAGGAACGTCCAGCCCCATCACTTTATCTTCAAATTGACTTCCCTTTTACCCAACTCAAATGTCACCTCCTCCTGAATTCATCCCTAACCACCCATCTTCAAATAACCTTTCATGACTTTAAGCCCAATGACACATTCATCTCTACCTTTTTTTTTTTTTTTTTTTTGAGACAGGGTCTCTGTTTGTTGCCCAGGCTGGAGTGCAGCAGCATAATCATGGCTCACTGCAGCTTCTACCTCCCAGGCTCAGGTGATCCTCCCACCTCAGCTTCCCAAGTAGCTTGGGACTACAGGTGCATGCCAACATGTCCAGCTAATTTTTGTATTTTTTGTAGAGACAAGATTTCACCTCGTTGCCCAGGCTGGTCTCGAACTCATGGGCTCAAGTTATCTGCCCTCATAGGCCTCACAAAGTGCTGGGATTATAGGTGTGAGCCACGAAGGCTGCCCTCAACTTTTCTTAACAACACTTAAAACATTCTATTGAATGAATTATCTGTTCAGTAGAACACAAGTTCCTTGCAGGTAGAATTCACGTATAACTCATTATTCTACTCTCCATGAATAATACCTGGCTAACGGTAAATGCTCAAAATAATATCAGTTAATAGGATTCAGATTCAATATAATGAAAGAAGTACTTAGTTGTCTGCTCTTCCATCTAATATTTCATTGAAATTGTAATAAAGAACAAATTTAACCCATGGTATCTCCATTTGAGTTGCTCAGAAGCAGACCTTGAGATAAGGATTCTATACCACAAGCAATTTATATGAGAGGTAATGCCAGGAAACACTAATACAGGAGAGGAAAAGTGAGATATGAAATGCAGGAGATTCAATAAAGGGCTCACTATCAACAGATCATTTGGCACCTGGTGCTTAATTCAGCTAAGCAACTCGGAAGCCAGAGTAGAACATGCAACTCAAAGTTATCCCAACAGAAGGAAAAAGAAGCTGAGGTGTTTGTTCACCAATTCCTACTAGTCATTTGTTGAAGGCTGATGGGAGGGGACATTCTCTGGCTCCACCAGACTGCTCATGGACAGGTAGAGCAAGCTCTACATCCAGACAGGACCTTCAGGCTAAGAGCTACAGGTGCTGGCATTGAAAAATGGGATGGGTGCTGAAAAACGGGGAGCAATGACAGGATGTAAGTAACTAACAGAATCTACTACAAACAATAACAGAAAGAAGGAAGGGGCCCACAAGTGGATGTGAATTTGAAAGACAAAATACTGATGGAAGATTTATGACTGAGAAGTGAACGAAACACAGAAATACACAGAAGAAATCAAAATACACAAAGAGAAAGGCTAAACCTCAGGAATGGTGGTAGGTGAAAGAGGAGGGTTCAATCTATTTTATGGAATCCCCATCTAGATAGGATTGAGACTCAGAAGTTGACAGTGAAACATGAGGCTGAAGAGGGAGGGACTGATGCAAGTCTGTTTTGCAGAGACTGGTATACTATATCCCAACACCTATTTTTGCAGTTTTTGTGGTTTTAAAGCATTGTTTATAAAATGAGAATTTGTGCCAGAAACTATATGTAGTTTGCAATGCCTAAATTTTTACTATCTGGCTTTCACAGAAAAAAATTTGCTGACCCCTGGTTTATGGAATAGAAAGCACACATACTAGCCCTTTCCCACCCCTGGAAGTAAGACTGCCTAAAACCAGGCACTTAACACTGAACGAAAAAAATGTGGGCTATCTTCTCTGATCATACTAGAAAAAAATAAGACAGTACGTTAATGTGCTAATTAAAGCCCTCCTCATCCTAGTAATTAGGGATTCTCAGGCTTAATGATCAGTGCCCTAGTCATGAAGCAAAAGGCAGAGGATGCCGGTCAAGAAACATCTCCCGTACCCAGAGCCCCCAGTCAGTTTCATTCTTCCAGATGGACAGCCCACCCAAATCACTAAATGTTTGACTAAAGCCAGCAATATGAAAGAGAAAGATATAAACTAGTAGAAAAATGGCTCCACCACAAGCGCTAATAATCCAGAGGATTTAAGAGTGCTTTTGAAACCCTCAAAATAATATTCTCAGAGACATTCCCAAAAATGTTGACTCTGCAAACAGGAAAAATATATTATGAAAAAACATAGGTGAATAAGAAAATGATCTTAGATTAAAACATATAATTTAAGAGAAGTCTTACAAGACAAAACCAGGGAAGTCTCCCAAGACATAGAACAGTAAGGACAAAGAAACAGAAAATATAGACTAAAGAAACACAGAGGATATATCCAGAATGATCAATATTGACTAATAAATATTGAGAAAGTACATAGAGGGGAGATGATTAGCAAAAAATAAATACAGACATCCCCTGACTTTCAATAGGTCAACTTAATTTTTTTACTTTGCCATGCTGTGAAAGTGATATACATTCAGTAGAAATCATCCCTCAAGTACCCATATAACCATTCTGGTTTTCACTTTTAGCACAGTATTCAAAAAAAAACATGAGATATTCAATACTTTTTTATAAAATAAGCTTTGTATTATATGGTGTTGCCCAACTGTAGGCTAATGTAA
This sequence comes from Homo sapiens, assembly GCF_000001405.40. Lineage (NCBI taxonomy): Eukaryota > Metazoa > Chordata > Mammalia > Primates > Hominidae > Homo > Homo sapiens. The sequence goes on from NC_000001.11 coordinate 75,571,639, forward strand.
GTGTTCTGAGCACCTTTAAGATAGGCTAAGCCAAACTATGATGTTTGGTAGGTTAGGTGTATTAAATGCCTTTTTGACTTAGGTGTATTAAATGCCTTTTTGACTTACGACATTTTCAACTTAAAGTGGGTTTATTAGGACATAACTCCACTAAGTTAAGGAGCATCTGTATAAGAGAAAATAGTAAATAAGTAAATAAAGTTGTTCAGTTGAAAACAAAGATAAAGAAAAGATCTTAAAAACTTCCAGAGATTAAAAAAAGCAAAGTAATCAACAAATGAATTAGAATTAGTCTGATATCAGATTTCTTATCAGCAAAACTAAGTGCTAGAAGACAGTGAATTTATGCTTTCAAAGTTCTGAAAAAAATGATCTTCAACCAAGAAATATATGTCCAGCCAAATGACTTGATCAATTAAGTGTGAAAGTAGAATAAAGATCTTTGTGGTTTGCAAGATCTCATTCATTTTATCTCCTGTGTACCCTTCCTTAGGAAGTTAACTTAAGGATGTAAGCCATAAAGAAAACATAAGATCCAAGTAACAGGGTGATGTCCATGGAACAGTGAAAGTAAGTCTCACAATGACAGCTTTGGAATGACCCTAGAGAGTAACCAGGGCAGACTAGACCCAGTGGATATAGCATTCCAGGAGGCAGGTCTTCAGAGGAAAAAAGGAACTGAATGGATTCAGAACTATGAAAAGGGTAAGGATATGATAAACTCTATTAGTGAAGTGTTCAAGCAGATAATTCATTGGGATTTGAAGCTAGAATATTCTCCCCTGAGTGGCAGAGAAGTCCTATATAAAACCTATTGAGAAAGAAGTATAACTTCCATAGACCAATAGAGAAGGAAATATATTACTAACGCACTGTGCCTAGCTCTGCAGACATATTATATTTATCTTGTCATTTTAGAGGGAATATTGTTTATTGGCTTAGAACACTGAGAAGTACCAAGGTAAAAAGAAGTGGAAGAAAGACTGGGAGTTATAATGTGTTTGTCTTACAAAGTGGAGAGTTCAGAGGTACTGTCCATTGTCAATGAAATAAGAAATACAGATTTGATTATATTTTTGAAGTACCAAAGTTAATCTGTAGGAAAACAGACTATTGATATGATCATATGTGGAAAAAGAGGAATGGGGAAGTAAAGAGTAATATAAATAAATTCAGGCTTAAGCATATCAAGAAGAAAATATGGCCAGGCGCAGTGGCTCACCCATGTAATACCAGCACTTTGGGAGGCTAAGGCAGGCAGATCGCCTGAGATCAGGAGTTTGAGACCAGCCTGGCTAACTTGGCAAAACCCCGTCTCTACTAATAATACAAAAATTAGCTGGGCATAGTGGCATGCACCTGTAGTTCCAACTACTAGGGAGGCTGAGGCAGGGGAATTGCTTAAACCCGGGAGGCGGAGGTTGCAGTGAGCTTAGATTGCACCACCGCGCTCCAGCCTGAGCTGAGCGACAGAGCAAGGCTCCATCTCAAAAAAAAAAAAAAAAAAAAAAAAAAAGGAAATAGTATATAAAGGTACTAAAGCAAGAAATAATGATACATATTAATTAGAAATATAGATATAACAATCCCAGCTACTCAGGAGGCTGGGGCAGGAGAATCGCTTGAACCCGGGAGGCAGAGGTTGCAGTGAGCAGACATTGCACCACTGAACTCCAGACTGTGTGACAGAGGGAGACTCCATCTCAAAAAAAAAGAAAGAAGTATAGATATAACTGCCAGAAGAATCAAAACAAAAACAGTTAAACGTTGGCCACCTCTGGGGGTAGGGAAGGGTGTGGCTAAGGATTGCAGTTTTTTATTCTAAATTCTTCTGTATTGTTTGATATTTTTAACCACATAAATTTGTTATTTAAATAAAATTGCATGTTTATCAATGCACAGATAAATGAAAATATTCCTTAGAGTGTCTCCCTCACAAGTAATACAAAATGAATATGTTTAACCGTTGCTGGGTATCGTCCTGACTACTAAAAGTGACAATGATTATACACAGGGAGCGTAACCCAACCCCATATAAGCTCTATTGCCACAAACTATGCCGATTTATTGTATGAAACAAGTAGAAGCTACTCCAGTAAGTATCAGGTAAATTGTCACAATAATAATTTATTTAATATGGTATACAACTCAAATAAGAAAGCCAGAAAAAAAAAAGATATTTTTCCTCCTCCTATGGGAGTTTTTGTTGTTTTAAGAAACATGTACAATGTTTTGGCCACACTGAGGTTCAGAAATAGCACTTGCATCTTCTACCCGAATATATTTATGGCAAAGATAATTATGCACCCCATGCACTGATGCACTCAATGCATCAGCAAATATGGCAAATCTGAAGACTGTCAGCGAAAGTCTCAACTTCTTGTAGTCTCAGCTGAATAACCTTCATGAGGTAGCATTTGGAAAAATATTTTTTTAAAAAGTGAAGAAAGCAAAATGCATCAAAGTCAACACCTTGAATTGCACCTGGAAGCAAATTGTGGAACTAGAGGACAAAAATATAATGTTCCCCCTGTGGCTTATCCTATTAAGAAATAAGCCTTCACTCATTTTCTGAGTTGCATTTTCAAAAGCTGCTACAAGTAGACTGCATTGCAGTAATATAGTTTTAAGAAAGCAATGTGGACAGAGAGTCCACATTGATATTATTTAGTAAATGATCTAAACCATGCTATTTGGCTTTGGTGCACCTGACTTAAGCAAGAATGACCTAATAGCAAATCATTAACTGTCACTAAATTTGGGATGTTATCTTCTGTGACACCTAAAATTCATGCAGTTTTAAACAGATACATCTTGATAAAATATTGACAATAATAAATATCTCTGATACTTAACTATAAGCCAGCAGTGCTGATAAAGCAAACTGCCTAATGATATAAAAGCAGAAGCAGGTCTGGCTCTTAGGCAAAACTGTGGAGCAAGCAGCTCTCAGCGACCCACCTCATTTGGAGCTCCACTCCTACCAGCACCCTATAGACCAAGCCCTGCCCTCTACAGTATCACCCAGGTATTATTTCTACTTTACCATATACATCTCTCCTATATGTGATTCTGTCCTCTCTTTGGTCCAGTCATTAGAAGTATTAAGACCATATTGTGGGAATCTAAGTAATATGAGAAAATTATTTCAACAATAAAAGGTACATAAGGGAGAAGACTGAGTATCCATTTATGGACTTTTGTATGCAACATGCTTAAGAACTAACAGGAGTAAAACACAAAAGGGCTGGCCAGGTCAGCTTGGTCTGTAAGGGAATAACAGCAGTACACATTCTACTGGGAAAATAAACAAGGACAATGAAGAATGAGAGAAGCCTTAGGATGACTCTGGAAATCAAGGTCCAGTGAAGAGGGGTACTATCACTCCTATTTTCTAGAGGAAACATATAGGATATCAAAATGCTTACTAAAGTTGAGTCAAGCAGAAAACCCAAAAATCATTTTCTTTCCCTAAAATGACTTAATTTCTAGATGCTCCACATTTTTAATAGATAATCAAGTTTCTTAACTCTGTCACACATACTTTCGATGCAGCCTAATATTAAATTCCCTCAACTGATTATATTGTTTCACCAGATGCTTCCCCCACATGTGTCATTATTTGTAAGTATGAACTAAAATGATTTCAGACTTTAACACTTTAGTTTAATCATGGGGTAATACAGGGTACAATGTAGAAAGGAAAAAATTTAGCATTTTATAATGTACTTATTCTGATGGGACCAACCACCAAGTGACAAATGAATCATATTATTGACTATGCACTACATTTGTATTGATTTGGTGAATGTATTGCTGAATAGTTAATGGTATGTCAGCCATTCACTTACAAATACATATTTCTAAGGCTGTCATACCAAGATATAAAATATTTCCTAGGAGCTGGTAGGAAATTTAGCGCAGATCATGCATAATTCTTTAAAAACTGTGTTTTTTTAACTCCACAATTGTTTGGACAAGTTATTTAGAGTAGTCCACACTTACACTATCCTACTTAATACAGAGGGTATATATTTCTATTGTAATAACTTGTTTTGCTGAGTTATATAGTGCACAATGCAACCCAAAAAATCTGAGCTGACCTTGTGTGGCTAGATTAATTGACAAAAGAATACCTAAACAGCTGCTGTGTGGTGAGTTAACCATAAGCACATTGGACAAAATGGAAATGTAGGATACACGAAGCCTGAACAATGTCATTAACTATGGACTCCTAGGAAAGTAGAATGTTGGGTCAACCAACATTCAGAAAGTAACCAGGAATGGCAAGAACTTTTTGAAAGCTAAAATGTTGGAGAGCTTGTGACTAAGAGGCATAAATACAAACAGCACCAGAAATGTAGTAGCCAAAATGAGAACGGTTGTCACAAGCTATTAAGAGCTATGTAGTACAGAAAACTGCCACCCTAGCTAGACAGATGTGAAAAACAGCTCTCTAGAGTAAAGGTGGGGGCGGGGAGTGGGAGAGAGAGAGAGAAATAGAGATGAATGGGATGTCTATTACAGTAAAATAAAAATATTTTTATAAAAGAAATAGAGATGAGAGATAGATAGAGATAGATGGAGAAATGAAGATGGAGATGAAGTTGGAGATGGAGATAGAGATAGAGACAGAGAGAAACCAAAATACTTAAGGTTTTATAAATGTTCCTTTTTTTTTTTCTTTGCTTTTTGAGAGGAAGTCTTGCTCTTTTGCCCAGGCTGGAGTGCAATGGCGCGATCTCCACTCACTGCAAGCTCCACCTCCCGGGTTCGCACCATTCTCCTGCCTCAGCCTCCGAGTAGCTGGGACTACAGGCGCCCGCCACCACGCCCGGCTAATTTTTTTGTATTTTTTTTTAGTAGAGACGGGGTTTCACCGTGTTAGCCAGGATGGTCTCGATCTCCTGACCTCGTGATCCGTCCACTGTGGCCTCCCAAACTGCTGGGATTACAGGCGTTGAGCCACCGCACCTGGCCTAAATGTTCCTTTAAAAAGAGCCATTTTAATCTAAGCTATCGCAAGTCCTAGATCTGATGGGTGGTAGAGTTTTCCATATTATAAGTCTATATGATTCAACACAACTATACTCATTTCTGAAATCCTTAGACGCAGATCTCATGGTGCTTAGAAGCAGGGGCTGTGATGTCAGACTGCCCAGGCTTGAATGCTGCCTCTGTTACTTGCTGATGAATAAAGAGAAGTTAACCTTTCTAAACTGTTACTTTGTTTGCACAATCAGGACAATACTGGGAATTACCTCACAGAGGTGTAGTGAAGATTTACCTCTTCTTGGATGTCTAATGGGCATCTCAAATCCAAAATGTCCAAAACTGAATTCTTGATCTTCCTTTCCTGAACCTGTTTCTTCCACTGTCTTCCCAATGCTTTTCCCATGATTCAGAGCAAAGCCCTGCATCTCATTGACTCTTCTCTTTCAGACACCATATCCTGTTGGCTCTATCTTCAAAATATATCCAGAATTCAAAACTTCTCTCCACACTCCACCCCTACCCTGATCCAAGTACCATAATCCTTGCTTGGGCTATTTCAACAGCATCCTACTTGACCTCCTCTTCTAACTCTTGCCCCCACAGTCTATTCTCAACATAGTAGTTAGAGGAATCCTGTTAAAATGTCTTTTCTCAAACCATTCATTAACTTTGCATATTTCTCAGAATAAAAGCCCAAGTCTACAAAATCAGGCCCTTTATTAACTTTCTGACCTCATCTCTGGTTGCTCTCCTCCTGGCCATGAGCATCTCTGCTTCTGAAACAAACATGCGAAGCATGCTCCCGCCTCAGAGCCTTCGCACTTATTCCCTCTTTCTGGGCCTTTCTTCTTCCAGACATCCAGATGTCTTTACCAGCGATTTCAGATCTTTGCTCAAATGTCACAGTCTCGGTGAGCCCTTCCCTAAATACCTTCTTAAAATGAAAGACCACCACATTCATACATCATACTCCCCTTCTTCCGTTTATGCCTTTATTTCCCCTCATAAAACTCACCACCATATAACACACTATATGTTTTATTTATTAATTTTAATTATTTTGTGTCTTCTCCCCCTAAAATATAAATTCTCTGAGAGCAGAGCTACTTCTCTGTTTGATTCCTCATTGTATATCCCCATATCCTATTGTGTACCTATTCTGGGACATTACTGAGTTCAATAAGTTAATAAGTACAAAACACCTAAAAATGTGTGACACATACTAAGTGTACAATAAATGTTAGTTGTTGTTTACTCAGGATATTCATTTATGTAATTTCTCCTAGTTTTTAAGTCTTCCCAATATATACTGTGATTATAAATTACATTAGCTTCAAAACAGTTTGTTTCTTAATGTTTCACTTTTGTCTTTAATATGAAATTAATCTAACATTAAAAACTCATGACTATCAAGCTCCAAAGACATTCTCTAAAGATGATCTGCTAAAAACTAGTTTTTAATAGCTTTTAAATAAATATTTTATACTCCTTAAACAATCCATAAATACAGTTTCTATATTTTTCCCAAGTAAATTTTGAGTAAGAAGAATTATAAAAATTAGTGATATATAATTTATATATGGTTCTGTATTCATTTTTTATGATTCCTTAAAAGTTTCAAGCTAATTGAGTTTAAATAAATAGTTAAAATAATTTCACTCAAGCTCTGTGATTAATAACTGAAATAGCACAAAAAAACATCTAACACACCAATATTTTTCTCTTGTCATTCTCTTTACCTTCTTAAATTCCAAAGATAGACAAATAGATGATTGATAGAGATAGACAGATGATTGATAGATAGATAGATAGACATAAAATAGAATACTATTCAGTCTTATAAAAAGAAGGAAATCCTAATAAAACTGAAGTGCAGTGTGCTAAGTGAAGTAAGCCCAGCATAGAAAAACAAATATTGTGACCTCATTTATATGTGGAATCTAAAACAGTCAAATTTGCAGAAACAGAGCATAGAATGGTGGTTGACAGGGGCTGTGGGGGCAGGTGCAGGGATGGGGAGATGTTGGTCAAAGGGTGCAAAGTTTCAGTTAGACAGGATAAACAAGTTCCAGAGCTTTATTGTACAACATAGTAAAACATAGTTAATAATAATGTATTGATACTAGAAAATTGCTGATATAGTAGATCTTAAATACTTTCACCACAAACAATATGTGAGGTGACAGATATGTTATCAGGCTTGATTTAATCATTTTTCAATGGATATATATATAAAATATGCTGTACACTGAAAATACATACAATTTTTATTTGTCACTTACAAAATCATCTGTATTGCTAAATTCAGCATTTAAAATATGAAAATATTAGCATACATAATCTACCATATGTACTAAAATGGAACATATATTATAAATATTCAAATCAATAATAGTAATATGGATTAAAAGCTGGTATCTTTGAGTTCTAAATGCTCATTATTAACCTAATAATTAAAATCCACAGTTTAAATTGCTGAAAGTAGAGGTTTCAGTCAGGAAATGAACTCTGAACTATGACCATTAATTAAACAGGAAAAGGAGTTAGTTATAATCTGGGAAAATGTGCCATTTGGATGACTACTGAAGGCATTGCAGAATTAAAGGAAATGCCTTTGACTAATCAGCTGAACTTGACCAGAACACATAAATTTAAGTCAGTTATCTGGGCATGGAGGCAAACATCTATAGTCCCAGCTACTTGGGAGACTGATGCAGGAGGATCGCTTGAACTGAGGAATTCAAGGCTGCAGTGAGCTGTGATCACACGACTGCACTCCAACCTGTGTGACAGAGCAAGACTGTCTCCATAAATAAATAAGTAAATAAATAAACAAAATGTAAGTCAGGAGCTTAGAATAAGTTATAGGTCCCTAAGCAAAATATTTCAAGAGGACTCTCATTCACTTCCCTACACTAATATATTCCTTTTCAGTATGAATTCTAAATGGATAGCCTTTTTGCTTGAACCCAATGCATTTAAAAGACCCCTTTCCTACTAATTACACCTCTTGCAGGAGTCATATGAAATATATTAAGATCTAGGAATGTTTTTGAATTGATAATGAAAAAAGGTTTCTCAATAGATAAGGTTTAGAGAAGACAGAATATATAGAAGAACAAATCTGAAATGATTCTATAGATTTTCCTTTAACAAAGAGAGAGGATTTGGAGAAGACAAAATTCAACTATCTACACACACACACACACAAACTAGTCAGCCTATCTGAACCTGCCAACCAGGAGATTTTTTAAAAAAGTAATTCAGGAAGATAACACAAATGGTCAGCATTTAAGATCTCAGATCAAATTTTTGGATGTTTTTAATAATTCAGCATGTAAGGAGCAAGCATAGTATTTTCCATGCATATTTTTACTAGTTGGAAATTGTTAACTATCCAGTGAGCATGTCTCTGTGGAAGGACTCACACTGCATAAAATCTATTGATAAAATATTAACAGCAGAGAGTCTTTCATTTAAGCACTTCTCAAAATAAAAAATAAAAAAAGACTACCTACAGCATAGAATAAAAATATTATATTTTTAGCATCAAAAGATAGAAATCTAATTCCCAGATATAATATTAGTTACAAATAAACAAAAAATAAAAATAAAAAAGCAAAACTTTAAGTTGTAGGATTTACGAACTTAGCCAAGCAGTAAAACATGCAGCATTCTGAAAAATGAATTACCACGGGGTGGGTGTCCCATATGACTAGCTCTAAAATGTGTGGTTTGAGAGTCAGGTGCAAATATTTGTGCTGTCTTATGTTGTCTCAACCACAAGGTCCATAGCTGCTTGTTCATGGTAGGAAGATAAACTAAGTACCACATACAAACAAGTTTGTTAGCAGAAAGGGCCATAACACTCCAAAGTTGGTTCTTCTGAAGAATTCATAGGAACAAAACAGAATAATGAGTTAGGGCCCAGCGCAGTGGCTCACACCTGTAATCCCAGCACTTTAGGGGCTGAGGAGGGTGGATCACTTGAGACCAGGAGTTCGAGACCAGCCTGGCCAACATGGCACAACCCTGTCTCTGCTAAAAATACAAAAATTAGCTGGACATGGTGGCCACACCTGTAGTCCCAGCTACTCAGAAGGCTGAGGCAGGAGAATCAGTAGAACCTGGGAGGCAGAGGTCGCAGTGAGCTGAGATCAAGCCACTGCACTCCAGCCTGAGCAACAGAGCAAGACTCTGTCTCAAAAAAAAAAACAAAGAAAAAGAAAAACAAAGAAAGGAAAGGAAAGAGGGCCCATATGTTTAGCATAATGCACAGGGAATATTTTTTTAAAAAATCAAAACCTACAAGATGGAATTAGTGCCTGTGGAGAAGAAAGATACTTTCTTTCTCAGATACCTACTATCCATAAAGCCTAGCTATAAACACAAGTCAGAAAGTCAGAAATATCTTAAGGCAATAAAATTTTTAAAAACAAATTATGTTACTCCATTTTGTCCATTTAAAAGGCAGACAAGCCAGACCCTGAAGGCTGATGAAAATAGCCAAATTCAACATATAATGACATCAATGATTTAATCCTTTCATTACCAAGAGTATCAAAGACCATTCACATTAGTAGACAAAATCTTAAAAAACTGGAGGTGGACCTAGAATTTATATTATACTATATGATCAAGCTGTTTCCAAAAACCAAAGCTCATTGTCTAAAAATTGAACATGGAGCCTGTTAAAATTGTTCCTTGTGAGTCTTGGTTGAAAGAAATGGTGGAGGTAACTAAATGAACTGGCTTATACTCAAAAGGCTTAAGCCATTATGGTCCACTAGGTAAAATATATAAAAATGCCAAATAGTTAATGTCACTATTAGGACCAACAATTGTTGGTTAAAGCTGCATTGTCAGCAATGAAGAATGTAATTTTAGAAATATAATGAAAACTCTTCTATGATAATTCATAAAAATAATGTATATGGAATAAGATGATGTGGGAAAGGGGTACAGTATTCCAAAATAACACTTGATCCCAGGTAGTACTGTTTGATATTTCTTCCCACAAATCCTCAGTGTTGGAGGTGGGGCCTAATGGGAAGTGTCTGGGTCATGGCTGTAGATCCTTCATGAATGACTTGGTGCTGTCATCACAGAAATCAGTGAATCCTCACTCTTAATTCCCTTGAGAACTGTTTTTAAAAGAGCCTAGCACCTGCCTCTCCCCTCTCTCTTGCTTCCTATTTCACCATGTGATTTCTGAACACAGCAGCTCCTCTTTGCTTTCCACTGTGACTGGAGGCAGTCTGAGTCCTCGCCAAAAACAGAGGCTGATGCCATGCTTCTTGTACAGCCTGCTGTGAGCCAGGTAAACCTCTTTCTTTAAAAATTACCCAGCCTCGGGTGTTCTTTTACAGTAATGCAAACAGACCAAGATATCCAGTTATATACAAAAGGATACTGAGCTTTCACTTCCAGGCGCTTCAGGAGCCACGGGTTACAGTGCAGACATGGCCAAGTCCAAGAACCACACCACACACAACTGGTCCCGAATATGGCACAGAAATTGCCTCAAGAAACCCCAATCACAAAGATACGAATCTCTTAAGGGGTGGACCCCAAGTTCCTGAGGAACATGCGCTTTGCCAAGAAGCACAACAAGAAGGGCCTAAAGAAGATGCAGGCCAACAATGCCAAGGCCATGAGTGCACGTGCAAAGGCTATCAAGGCCCTGGTAAAGCCCAAGGAAGTTAAGCCCAAGATCCCAAAGGGTGTCAGCCACAAGCTCCATCGACTTGCCCACATTGCCCACTCCAAGCTTGGGAAGCATGATCATGCCCACATTGCCAAAGGGCTCAGGCTGTGTGGGCCAAAGGCCAAGACCAAGGATCAAACCAAGGCCCAGCCTGCAGCTCCAGCTTCAATTCCAGCTCAGGCTCCCAAAGGCGCCCAGGCCACTACAAAGGGTTCAAAGTAGAGATCTCCATCTGCCAATATGAGGACAGAAGGACTGGTGTGACCCGCCCTGCACTGCCGTCTGCATAGGGCTGGTGTCCTCCTGTGCTATTTGCACAAATAAATCTGAGGGTAACACTCCTCCCCTACCCCCACAAAAAAGTATAGATTTTTAAAGTCTGAAGGTATCAAGGAAACTTTCTAATTTAGCCTCTTATTTAAATGAAGCCTTTCACTACAGTGATTTTCTAAGTTTATAATTCAGAAAACAGAATCCTCTCCCATCATTTCCTTTTCTCTACAATTTATCTGCTAAGGAATCTGGGCCCTTCATTATTAATTATTGCATGAGCTGGACTCAGTAGCAATCAGGAAACAGCTTCATTTTTCTCCCATCACTGCATTCAGACATTCTGTCAGGTCTCCCCTCCTCTAGCCTTGACAGTGTCTCTTTCAGATTTCTTTTCATGATAACAATTTTGTCATCCAGTATTAAAAAGTTCAGTCTTGTCTAACTCAAAGCATTAATCTAATACTTGATTTGGAACGTCCCCTCCTGTCAGCTCAGGAATGACTCAGTGTGAGGGGAAGAGAAGCTGTGAGAAGACATAGGGGAGGACTCTGTTCTGGTTTTTTATACTCCTTTCTTCTCTCCCTATCCCACCCTCAACCTTGCCCTTTCCATTTCTGAATCCTGGGAGATGGCAGGGATCAAAAAAGGAGCTAATTTATAACTCTCATTTGACTATCAGATGCCCTCTGTCATAGCAGCCTTCCAAATATTGGATCTCATTAAGTACATTTGCAGATTCTTGGGAGACTCTCAACAAGTTCCTATGCCCTACATGTTTCCTACAATAGACAATGAGCTCTTTATCTGACCGCTCAGAATCACCTGCATCCCTCAGCTTTGCCCCAGTAGACAGCCCTCTTAGGGTCCTCTTGACTCACAGGAAGTACAATGAACGTGCAGCTTGACAAACTGCTGACTCCTTCCTTGTTGCCCCACAGTCAAGGGCAGCTCTACTTTGTTTTCTATCCTTTGTCTTTTCCAGAAAAGAAGCAGAGACCTATTATTATCACACTTTGCTTCAAATTATGGAGAGTCACATGTCAGTTTCTCTCAAGAAAAAACTCACTTTCTGCTCAGCTAGATGCAAAGGGAAACCCCACTAATTTTTGCAATTTGGCAAACATCCAGCCAGGGACAGAGATGACACTCTACCATTTTGTAGATGACCATAACCTCTATATGCAGTACTCTTGGGGCTTCCCAACATGTGATTTGGTGGTGAGGGAAGCATCTGCCTCCCTTCCCTCTAAAAAAAGTCTGAATAGGCCAAAGGCAGATCACAGACCAGTTGGTGGTCCGGCCAATTTTCAGTAATTCCTATGGGGCTGGGTCAGCACCAATCTCTGAAGTATGGAGGAGATTGTCACTCAATGTCCCAAGCTTTGAGGTCTCAAATTCTAAGACAAGAGGACATCTCCCATTCCACATGTTCTTATAGATTCAAAGTGGCTTTTTAATAAAGTGTCTTAAATGAAAATTTATCTTTCTGAATTGCCACCCAACTAACTGGGGAGGAGAGATCCAAAGTAAAGGGCTTAAGGGCCTCACTCCAAATGGCTCTGTCCCTTTACAGTGAAACTGTCCTTTTGAGCTTCTGTAGTCTAGTCTATGTGGAAATGGTGTAAGGCAAAGGTAATTAAAAGGTTCATGAAAGTAAGAGCAGTGCAGCACTATCCTAACTGCATTCTTCCTGGTGTGAATAAATTAATCTGTTTCAGTCACTGCACTGGCAAACTAGTCTAGGTACCGTATCACATTAGAATATAAAAACCCTTACACAGTAAAAGTGGTAAATGTATTCTGAATTAACAATGAATTAGGACACTGTCAGTATTTCTACTAGCTAATTAGAAAAGCTAGAGTCCTCATATTTGGAAGACGGATTCACTGACACTTTCTTTAGGATTTAGGAACATAAAATCAAGCCATAAATACTGTGTTTGCTTTTGGGGGTTTTGTGGGGGTTTTTTTGGGATTTTTGTTTGTTTAGTATTTTTGAGACTGAGTTTCGCTCTGTCACCCAGGCTGGAGTGCAGTGGTGAGATCTCAGTTCACTGCAAGTTCAAGCGATTCTCATGCCTCAGCATTCCAGTTCAAGCGATTCTCATGCCTCAGCCTCCCAAGTAGCATGTGCCACAATGCCTGGCTAATTTTTGTGTTTTCAGTAGAGAAGGGGTTTCACCACGTTGTCCAGGCTGGTCTTGGATTCCTGGGCTCAAGCAATCCACCTACCTCAGCCTCCCAAAGTGCTGGGATTACAGGTGTGAGCCACCATGCCCAGTGGGGTTTTTACAATTTCTAAGTAAATTTAATGATCAGGAAGATAATTAATCCTGCAAATAACACATAACTTATCTTTCTTATTCTAATTTTATACATAAATATGTGATTAAGTAGTGGTTCAAAAAAGCTAAACTCCATAGCCAGAAAGTCAGAAAGCCTGGTTCCACACTCAACCCTGGGACTTCCTGGTTGTATAATTTTGGACAAATCACTTCATCTCACTCAGCCTTGGTTTTCTAATTTGTAAAACAGCAATGATTTAAGAAAATTTGAAAGGTTGTTATGTTTTGTAAAGGGACTGCAAATCACTTTGTAAATATTAGTTTTCTCTCTCTTTAAAAACACACTTTTTTCTGGTAGATCACATAAACTGAATTTATCTGAATAATTAGGAGCATAGTCTTTAAAGTCAGACAGACTCATTAATCATCCAATGCCAGTAAGTATTTGCTGAATAAATAAATGGAATACTTTTTCAGTTTTATACTATATCAAAAACCATAGTCAAATTATGCATCCTCTCGAAGCCTCAATATTCATGTATGTAAAATATACAAAAAGAATACCCACTTCAGTGATTCTCAATCACAGTACATATTAAAAACCAAACAGTTTCTGATTCAGTAGGTCTGAGGCAAGACCTGGACAATTGCATTTAAACTTCATGAGTATTTGGAAACTGGCCCACAGCTGAGAACCACTATGCTCCCTCTGAGGGCTGTTGTGAGGATTAAATGAGACAATGTCTGAAGGCATTTCATGTATTAGCACATGTTTAATACATATAAATATATAGATTATACCCTTCTTTTTTAACACCATTTTATACATATTTATTCAGTAAATTATATAATACATTTAAGAATTAATAAGTGAATTATTAAAGCATTGGTTCTCAAACTTCAGCATGATTCTAATGGGGGACTCATAAAATACAAATTGACAGACCCCACCCTCAGAGCTTCTTCTGACTCAGTAGCTCTGAGAGGAAGTTCAAGAATTGCCTTTCCAACAAGTTCCCAAGTGATGCTGCTCCAGGGATGACACTTTGAGAACCACTACCTAACAAAAACTTTAATCATATTTGTGATGGCTCATTTTACAGGTCAACTTGACTGGTCCACAGAGTGCCCAGACACTTGGTTAAACATTATTCTGGATGTATCTATGAGGGTGTTTCTGGATGAGATTAACATTCAAATCTGTAGCCAAAGTTAAGCAGATTGTCCTGCCTAATATGGGTGGGCATCATCCAATCCTTTAGAGGCCTGAATAGAACAAAAAGGAGAAGTAAGGGAGAATCTGCTTTCTCTGCTTGTTTTTGAGCTGGGATGTCAGTCTTCTGCATTTAGACTGTAACTATACCACCAGCCTCTCTTCTGGGTCTCCAATTTGCAGACAGTAGATAGGGGATTTCTCAGTCTCCAAAACAGAAGAGCCAATGCCTTATAAATCTCTTTCTGTATGTATATATGTGTGTGTGTGTGTGTTTGTGTGTATCTGCCTGTGTGTGTCCTACTGATTCTGTTTCTCTGGCGAACCCTAATACAATATTTAAGAAATTATATATATATATATAAAATTTAAAATGACAGGCAGAAAATACAATTTCAAAATGCTATATTTTAGATGTCTGGAGTTTGATTTTTTTTTTTGTTTGGTGACTTGAAATGTAGTCTCATATGATTACTCCTTTCTCAACAAGGCCTTAACTGACACCTGTCTTCTAGGATGAATGGGAAGACTACACCTTTGCAGGTCCACTATACCATATATTGACTTAAGATATATGATTGCACTTAACAGCCTTGAATTGAAATGGACTAATAGGGCATTACTTGCTATCTTTAATAGAAAGCAAAGTCCTTGAAGGCAGAAATCAGATCATAGTTATTATCTATGTACCCCAAGGGCCTAGCACGGTGCCTGCAGACAGTCAATAAAATGCTTAGTGAATGCATGAAATAGAGTAAATTACTCCACTCAATTTGGAATAGAGTAAGTTTTGTGATTTTTTTTTTAAGTCTTATGATAACTCCATGGGAAACTCTAGACGTAGATAGAGTTATCTCTCAGCTCTTTTATCAAAGCAGTGGTTCTCAAAATGCAGAGCTGGGGCAGGCTGGTGCCCCCTAGAAGACATTTGGCTATGTCAGAGACATTTTTGTATGTCACAACTGAAGAGGGTCCTAAAAACATCTAGTGAATGAAAGTCAAGGATGCTGCTAAACATCCTACAATGCCCAGGACAGCCACCGACAACAAAATGTTCGGCCTAAAATGTCAAAGGTGTCTAGGTTGGGAAATTCAGCATTAGAGGAATGCAGCTGAGCTAATTAAGCAAGGGTCCTAACCCTTCTCCCATCACCCTCCTAAACAAAATTTGGCCTTAAATAAAAGCATATCAATAGCAGCAACTTACACATGTATAACAATTTGTTTTACAGATAACATTTTGCAACCTGAGGCTCAAGGTCACAAGGGCTCAAGTTAGTGGTTGATTAGCAGTAAAATGTATTCTTACCCTGAGCCAAACACTCTTAAACACTTTCTTCTTAACTCCTGGCCAGTTCATTCATCATTTAATGTGAACCTCGTCAGTAGCTACTTAATCACTGCTTTCTCATGTTACCTCCATTTCTGAGCCTAGACAAGATCACCTGTGTCAAGAGATACCTTTCCTCCAGTTGTTGTTTTGGTAATAAATTTTTTTGATTTTCTTTAATTCAGTTATGTGGCTTAGCTCTTTTTCACATTAGGCCTCTTTCAAAGTATATATTAAGTCTAATATTGGTTTAAAACATTTTGCAATAAAGCCTGATTGAAAGATAATGAAATGGCAACTTTCACAGTCAAGAGCAGGACAAACAACCAGTTGTGACCTTCCCTTTTTCCTTTTCAGTTGGGCCCTAAATTGCATTCCAAAGACCCTGCTCCTGGAACAGCCTTCTGCAATCAACACAACCTCTTGGAGGTTTTACTGCGTCTGGCACTCGCAGGTTCCCCTGCTCTCACTCTCTCTCTCTCTGTTTCCTTGCTGTGAAAAACGTGTTGACCATCAGGCATATGGCAGAATAATTGGATTTCAGGCAAGCCAATGTGAGAAACCAGAAGGCAAATCTGGTCATTTGTGGGTATACACAGGACAAAGAAAAAGGAGTGTAGAGAAACAGAGGCTGTCCTGGAGGTAAGCTGAGGCTGAAAGTAGTTTACTCGATAAAGCCCTGTTGCTGTAAGACAAAGAAAACTTTGACTATGTTGCAGCACTCTCGTATCCAAAAAAGTGGAGTTAGGAGAAGGAAAGAAAGAAGGGATGAAGGAAGGAAGGAGGGAGGGAGGGAAGGAAGGAGTGAAGGAGGGAAGGAGGGGGGAGGAAGGGAGGTGGGGAGGAAGGTGACAGGGAGAAAGAAAGGGATGGAGTAAAGAAGGGGAAATGGAATGAGCATTTATTGAATACCCACTATATATAACTTTGCTATTTGTTATGTCATTTAATCCTCACCATAGTCTGTAAGGTAGGTAATATAGTCTCCATTTTTTTCAGATAAGGAGAGTGAAGTTGAAAGGTTAAGTCATGTGCCCAAAATCACAGAGCTGAGATTGGAACACATATCTGCCCGATCCGAAAGTTCGGAAAAAAAAAGAAAATGGTTAGGTTCTGGGAAAATGTGGGGTTTTTTCTCCCCATCCCCAGAGATAGATGTTTTTTAAAATTTTTTAAAACATATTAAGAAAAATCATTTGGGGAACATTGTACCCGGCATGATAGAAAACTGAATTGAGATATGGGATTGTTCTTCCTGAAATAAAGATATCTGGTTCCTATACTTACTTCATACTGGTTTTTTTAAAAAGCAGATAATATTTTTTACATTTATTTCTTCCACAAATAATTGGAAACACTAAGTGAAAGGCACTGTGCTAGTCACCATTGAAGGTATAACTGTGAACAAGGCATGAAATTTACAGTCTAGTAGAGAAGAAAAGTAAACATGCAATTATGATAGAGTTTGATAAATATTATAACAAGTGAAACCTCAGGGAGTTATGGGAACAAGTTAATATTGACAAAGAGAAATGCCAGAGTTTCAGGTTGAGGCTTAAGGCATGAGTAAGCAAAGTGAAAACCCCTTTCTTCCACAAAAGAAGTTAGAAGTCAACGTTAAGTTTGGAGGAACTGCATTCACGCGCACCCTCTCTCTTTCTCTCTCTCTCTCTCTCAAACAATACTCTAATTCTAGACAATAAAAGAAAGACCTCTGCCACCTAATCTGCCATGTCATTCATTAAAACAGAGCTAATTCCATAACATGTGGTAAAAAGCAGCATTGGACTAAAAGCCAGATCTGAATTTTCATCTAGGCTTGCCAGAGTGCTGGCTATGTGACTGTGGGAAAGTAAGTTTAACTTCCCTGATCCTAAGTTTCCTTATCTGCTAAGGGAGTTAAGCTAAACCATTTTTAAGTCTCTCCCATTTTTAATACTCTCTGTAGTTCTAACTCTAATGACTACTCAACGACATAGTGTAGCTTGCAATCAGAAATTTGTTTGATAAACTGTCTTAGAACTTTAGACTTTTGAATATTTATGGAGAGAGAGAGCAAGATGGTATAATGGAAAGCTCTACCCATCGTCCTGCCAGCAAGAATATCCAATTAACAACTATCTACACAGGGAAAATACCCTTATAAGAACCAAGAACCAAAGTCAGGCGAGCATACATAGTATCTGGTTTTACCTTCATATCACAGAAAGTGGCACTAAAGAGATAGAAAAAACGGTCCTGAATCACCAATGCCACCCTGCCCCCACCTCTGGCAGCAGCTGTGTGGTAGTGAGAGCATCTCTGTGTGCTCGGGGAGAGAGAACACAGCAATTGGGAGGCATTGAACTCAGTGATGTTCTGTGAGAGCAGAAAGGAAAACCCAGATCAAACTCAGCTGATGCCCCCTGCAGAGAGAGCATTTAAACTAGCCCTAGCCAGAGGGGAATTGTCCATCTCAGCAGTCTGAACTTGAGTGCCTGGAAACCTCACCACCTAGCGCCAAAGTGGTCTTCGTCTCTAAGTAAATGTGAAAGGCAGTCTAGGCCATAAGGAGTGCAACTCCACAACCTGTAGGCAAGTCCTAGGGATGAAATAGGCCCAGAGACAGTGGATTAGGGGGGCACACGACGTACTGAGACACCAGCTGGGGTAACCAAGGGAGTGCTGGCATCACCCTTCCCCTAACCCCTGACTGCTCAGCTCTGGGCTCAAAAAGAGACCCCTTCCTTCTGCTTGAGGACAGAAGAGAGAAGACTCAGGAGGATTTTGTCTTGCATCTTGGATACCAGCTTAGCCACAGCAGGATAGGTCAGCATCATGAAGCTCTGTTCTAGGCCCTAGCTGACAGATGACAATTCTAGACATACCCTGGGCCAGAAGGTAATCTGCTGCCTTAATGGAAAAAATCCAGTCTTGCCAGCATTCATCACCTGCTAGCTACCTAAATAACCAGTAGCAATACCCAGGTACTACATCAAGGGCCTTGGTAAGCCTCTGAGACTTGCTGGCTTCAAGTACCAACACTGCCACAGAGGCATACAGCACCAGTGAGCTCTTGGGGTCCCCAATTCCAGGACTTGACTCTTGGACAGCATTTCTGAACCTGCCCTGGGGCAGAGAGGAGCCCAGTGCCCTGAGGGGAGTCTAGTCTCAGGCTAAACAGCATTCACACAAGCTGACTTAAGAGTCCGTGGGCCTTAAGGGAACATGGCTGATAGTCTGGCAGTAGTCCTCATGGCCAGGGGTGGTGGTGGCTATGGGGTGAGGTTCCTCTGCCTTTGGAAAAGGGAAAGAAAGAGTGGGAAGGACTACATCTTGCAGTTTGAGTGCCAGGTCAACAACAATAAATAGAAAATCAGATAGATTCCTAAGGTTTTTGATTCTAGTGCCTGACTCCCAGATAGCACTTCTGAACCCACCTGGAGCTTAGGGGACCCCGCTACCCTGAAGGGAAGGAGACAGGCTTTGCCACCTGCTGGTTTTAGAGCCCCAGGGCCTTGAGTGAAGATAGGCAGTAGCCAGGGAGTAGTTACAGCAGGACTTTGGCGAGACCCTGCACTGGGCTGGCATCAGGACTCACTCAGAGCAGTCATACTGGTGGTGGCCACAGGAGCTTTAGGTGGCTCAGAACAGAGAGAGACTGTATGTTTGGGAGAAAGTAGGGGAAATAAACAAGAGTCTCTGCCTGGTAATCCAGAGAATTCTCCTGAATCTTATCCAAGACTAACAATGTTGTACCTCTATGAGTCTGCAAGAACCACAGCATTACTGGCCTTCGGGTGCCCCCTAAGGTGGGAGAAAGTGAGAGAAATCACCTTCACTAAAAGGAAGACAAGAAGGAAGAAAACACCATAAAACAATAGGAAAACAAATAACAAATGGCACGCGTAAGTTCTTACTTAACAATAACATTAAATGTAAATAGACTAAACTCTCCAATCAAAAAACATAGAGTGGTTAAACCCACTTGATCACGGTGGAGTATCTTTTTGATATGCTGTTGGATTTGATTACCTAGTATTTTGTTAATAATTTTTGCATCTATGTTCATCAGGGATATTGTTCTGTAGTTTTCTTTTTTGTTATGTCTTTTTTTGGTTTTGGTATTATGGTGATAACAAAGAAAAGTCAAAAATAGAAAACTACAGGCCAATATCTCTGGTGAATATTGATGCAAAATACTCAGCAAAATACTAGCAAACCAAACTCAACAATACACTAGAAAGATCGTTTATAATGACCAAGTGGGATTTACCCCTGGGATGCAAGAATGGTTCAACATATGCAAATCAAGCAACATGATACATCATATCAACAGAATGAAGGATAAAAATCATATGATAATTTCAATTGATGCTGAAAAAGCATTTTATAACAGTCAACATCCTTTCATGATAAAAAAAAAACCTCCAAAAACTGGTGATAGAAGGAACACAACTCAACAGAATAAAAGCCACATATGACAGATCCACAGCTAGTGTCTACTGAATAGGGAAAAACCAAAAGCCTTTCCTCTAAGATATGGGACATGACAAGGATGCCCACTGTCAACACTGTTATTCAACATAGTACTGGAAGTCCTAGCTAGAACAATCAGACAAGAGAAAAATATAAAGGGCATCCAAATTGGAAAGGAAGAAGTCAAATTATCCTTGTTTGCAGATGATATGATCTTATATTTGGATAAACCTAAAGACTCTATTAGAAAACTATTAGAGCTGATAAATTCAGTAAAGTTGCAGGATACAAAATTAACATAAAAAATCAGTAACATTTCTATATGCTAACAGTGAACAATGCAAAAAAAAATTTAAAAAGTAATCCCATTATAATAGCCACACATAAAATTAAATACTTAGGATTTAACCAAAGAAATGTAAGATCTCTAAAATTAAAACTATAAAATACTGATGAAGGAAATTAAAGAGGACACCAAAAAATTGAAAAATATGAATATTGTTAAAATGTCCATACTATGCAAAGCAATCTACAGATTCAATGCAATCCCTATCAAAGTAACAATGACATTCTTCACATAAATAGAAAAAACAATCCTAAAATTTATATGAAACCACAGAAGGCCCAGAATAGCCAAAGCTATCCCAAGCAAAAATAACAAAACTAGAGGAATCACATTACCTGATTTCAAATTATATTACAGAGCTACAGTAAGTAAAACAGCATGATACTGGCATAAAAGCAGACACATAGAGTAACGGAACAGAATAGAGAACCCAGAAAGAAATCTACACACCCACAGTGAACTCATTTTCAACAAAGGTGCAAAGAATATATACTGGGGGAAAGAGATTCTCCTCAACAAATGGTGCTGGGAAAAATGGATATCTATATACAGAAGAATGAAATTAGACCCCTGTCTCTCACCATACACACAAATCAAATCAAAATGGATTAAAGAAATCTAAGACCTCAAACTATGAAACTACTATAAGAAAACATTAGGAAAACTCTCCAGGACATTGGTCTAGGCAAAAATTTCTTGAGCAATATCCCACAAGCACAAGCAACCAAAGTAAACATGAACAAATGGGATCATATTAAGTTTAAAAGTTTCTGCACAGCAAAGGATACAATCAACAAAGTAAAGAGACATCCCACAGAATGGGAGAAAATATTTGCAAGCTACCCCTCTGACAAGGGATTAATAACCAGAATACACAAGGAACTCAACACTAAAGGAAAATGTCTATTAATCCAATCAAAACATGGTCAAAAGATTTGAATTGACATTTCTCAAAAGACACAAAAATGGCAAACAGGCATATGAAAAGTTACTCAAAACCATTGCTTATCAGAGAAATACAAATCAAAACTAAAATGAGATATCATCTCACCCCAGTTAAAATGACTTACATCCAAAAGACAGGCAATAACAAATGTTGGCATGGATGTGGAGAAAAGGGAACCCTTGTACACTTTTGGTGGGAATGTAAATTAGTACAACCACAAAGAAGAACAGTTTGGAGGTTCCTCAAAAAACTAAAAGTTGAGCTACTATATGATCCAGCAATCCCACTGCTAGATATATACCCAAAAGAAAGGAAATCAGTATATCAAAGAGATATATGCACTCTTATGTTTGTTGCAGCATTGTTTACAATAGCTAAGATTTGGAAGCAACCTAAGTATCCATCAACACATGAATAGATAAAGAAAATGTGGGACATATACACAATGGAGTACTATTCAGCCATAAAAAAGGATGAGATCCTGTCATTTGCAACAATGCAGATGGAACTCGGGATTATTATGTTAAGCGAAATAAGCAGGCACAGAAAGACGAGTGTCACATGTTCTCACTTATTCATGGGATCTAAAAATCAAAACAATTGAACTCATGGAGATAGAGAGTAGGAGTTACCAAAGGCTGAGAAGGGTAGTCAGGGGATGGAGGGAAGAGGGGATAGTTAATGGGTACAAAAAATAGAGGGAAGTGGGGATAGTTAATAGGTACAAAAAATAGAATTAATAAGACATACTATTTGATAGCACAACAGGGTGACTATACATTTTAAAATAAGACAAAATGTAATAGGATTGTTTGCAACTCAGTGGATAAATGCTTGAGAAGATGAATACCCTATTCTTCATGATGTGCTTATTTCACATTGCATGCCTATAATAAGACATCTCACATACCCCATAAATATATACACCTACTGTGTACCCACAGGAATTAAAAATAAATAAAACACTTAAGATCTTTACATTGAGACTATCTCCAGTTGCGTCATTTAAAAATTATACTGAGCCCAAGTCACATGAATTTTACAACCAATATTAAACAAGGTAAGAAAAACTGACATCATAAATGGAGATATATCAGCTTTTGAAAAATCCCAAAATGAAGTTCTGAAGGGAAAAAAAAGAACATGTTTAAATATAGCACGACAGTATTCTAAGCCGGATCCAAATGTCATTAGTGTCTCCAAATGAAATGTTAAAAGATTGAATTACCCCATTTTGTATTATATTATCTGACTGCTTATACAGTAGAAAAATAGTAAGACTAAAAAAATTAGAAAAGCTGAATTTTGGTCTTAATATTATTTTATTCATAGGTCAGCATTTTTTAAACTATCAGTATGTCAACTGTAAAATGGCATTCAAAATTATAATGAAATCGTCAAGTGATATGTAAATTGATAATAAGCAACAGAAATGCTATGCTTTCTTATCTTTATAAATAAGAAAATTAATATTTTCAAATTTTCTCTGCCTTTTGAAAATTAATTAGCTAACATTTATGAAGTTTTTATACCTTGGAAGAAAACTAATGATGTAACAGAAAAAGGCAGAGGGAAGATGGTACCTTTTTTTTTTATCATTTTAGTAAAAAAGAAAGATTATTAAACTAACAATGTTAACCAGTAACAACCTGAAAATAAAGTCAATATTTATTTTTTCATAAACAATTAGTGAGGGTAGATAAAGTCAATATTTCAGTGTATATTTTGCCCCTGATTTCAGTAAAACATATAAGGCTGAAAACAAATTATAAATTCATTTTAAAACCCTTAAAATTATATTTGGTATTACAACTCTGAAGTTTTTAGTGTGACCATTTTCAATAAATTACTTTTTGTTAACCAAGACTAACCCAAAATAAGAAAATAATTATATCAAAAGAAGAAAGAAAGGGAGGTAGGGAGGTAGAAAGGGAAGAAAATATACCTCTTCTAGTGCTTCAGAAATAATTCTAGAGTAACAAGTTTTAAAGATTCCAAATGTGGAAAAGTCACCTATTAAGTATTAACTAAAGACTAACTCCAGGTTGACAGTGATGTATTCTCTGGAAAAGACTTTGCCTAAGGGCAGCTTTTCACACTTTATTCACACACACAACCCATTCCATTGTCTATATTTTTAAATCAGAAATTTTCCTGCCCAAAGCATACCAGATTTCAATATTTCAAAAACATCTCAAAGGCCCTGACCCATAAATTATTTATTCCCTGTGGATCATGGAACCAACTTTTTCACTACAATTAAAAAAAAACTTTTGATGAGTTAGATAGTTCCCTATTTGAAACCTGAAAGAAATGAAAACCATAATAGTTAATTGATTATCCAGAAATAGATTCATGATATTGATTATTCAGGCATGATCTGAAAATTCTTACTACTACAGAAAGAAGCAATATCCACTCTGAACTATGTCTGTAAATTTCAGCTCACTGGCTGGCACCAGGACTCTTCCATTCACTTGCATAATTTTTAAAAAAACTGCATCTTAAAACTCATTCATATGTTCATTTAACAAATAATTATTAAACACTTTCTAAGTGCTAGGCACCAATAGAAAGATTTACTAGTCTCTATTTTCAAGAAGTTTATGGCTTAATTTTATATTCATGTATAAACTTACCAGCATTAAAGGAAGAATAGGACAGAAAGAAAAATGAATGATATTTGAAATATAAGCCTTAAAAGTTCCTGTTAAAAAGAGATAATTTAGCATCACATTCATTTGTACCTTTTCCCTTAGAACTCAAGCTAATATTACATATCTGACCTATTGACTAGCTTTCTGAGAATTTCTAACATCATTCAAAAAGAACACTATTAAGATTTACAGCTAATATCAAATCTTCTAATAACCAATTGGTACAAGTCCCTGAATATATTAATAGCAAATTCACTTTTTCTTTTTCTTTCATGGGCCCACACTTAACCTTTAGGCTCAGATGATACTGAGTTTCTTCAAACTAAAGTGATAGTTCAACATAGTAGACACATGCACACACACACACACACACACACACAATGTAATGTTCACGAGAGAAAATTGAATCCCTGAACAGACCAATAATGAGCTCTGAAATTGAGGCAGTAATAAATAGCCTACCAACCAAAAAAAAGTTGAAGTTGCACCAGACAGATTCACAGCTGAATTCTACCAGATGTACAAAGAAGAGCTGGTACCATTCCCACTGAAACTATTCCACAAAATTGAGGGAGGGAGAGTGACTCCTCTCTAACTCATTTTATGAGGCCAACATCATCCTGATACCAAAACCCTGCAGAAATAAACCAGAAAAAGAAAACTTCAGGCCAATATCCTTCATGAACATCCATGCAAAAATCCTCAGCAAAATACGGTCAAACCAGATCCAACGCACATCAAAAAGCTTATCCACCATGATCAAGTAGGTTTTATCCCTGGGATGCAAGATTGCTTCAACATATGCAAATCAATAGTGATTCATCACATAAACAGAACTAAAAACAAAAACCACATGATTATCTCAATAGATGCAGAAAGGGCTTTTGATAAAATTCAACATCCACTCATGTTAAAAACTCTCAATAAACTAGGTAGTGAAGGACCCTACCTCAAAACAATAAGAGCCATATACAACAAACCCACAGTCAGCATTATACTGAATGGACAAAAGCTGGAAGCATTCTCTTTGAAAACCAGCACAGGACAAGGATGCCCTCTCTCACCACTCCTATTTAACATAGTATTAGAAGTCCTGGCCAGGGAAATCAGGCAAGAGAAAGAAACAAAGGCATTCAAGACCAGCCTGGGCAACATGGCAAACCCCTATCTCTATGAAAAACATACAAAAATTAGCTGGACATGGTGGCGCTTGCCTGTAGTCCCAGCTACTTGGGAGGCTGAAGTGGGAGGATGGCTTGAGCCTGGGAGGTGGAGGTTGCACTGAGCCAAGATCATGCCACTGCACTCCAGCCTGGGCAATAGAGCCAGACTTTGTCTCAAAAAAAAAAAAAAAAGCCACAAAAAGAACAAAATACCAAGGAATAAACCTAACGGGGGGTGAAAGAGCTCTACAAGTAGAACTACAAAACACTGCTCAAAGAAATCACAGATAATGCAAAAAAATGGAAAAATATCCCATGCCCATGGACAGAAAGAATCAATATTGTTAAAATGGCCATGCTGCCCAAAGCAACTTATAAATTCAATGCTAATCCTATTAAACTAACATTGATATTCTTCACTGAAATAGAAAAAAATTTCAAAATTCATATAGAACCAAAAAAGAGCCTGAATAGCCAAGGCAATCATACACAAAAAGAGTAAAGCTGGAGGCATCATGCTACCCAACTTCAAACTATACTATAGGGCTGCAGTAACTAAAACACCATGGTACTGTTACAAAAACAGACACATAGACCAATGGAACAGAATAGAGAACCTAGAAATAAGACTCCACACCTACAACTGTCTGATCTTCAGCAAACCTGACAAAAACAAGCAATGGAGAAAGTATTCCCTAAATGGTGCTGGGATAACTGGCTAGCCATATGCAGAAGATTGAAACTGGACCTCTTTCTTACACCACATACAAAAATTAACTCAAGATGGATTAAAGACTTAAATATAAAACCTAAAAGTATAAAGTCCAGAAAGACAATGAGGGCATTACCATTCAGAATATAGACACGGGCAAAGATTTCATGATGAAGTTGTTAAAAGCAATTGCAACAAAAGAAAAAAATTGACAAATGGGATCTGATTAAACTAAAGAGCTTCTGCACAGCAAAAGAAACTACCAACAGAGTAAAAAGAAAACCTAGAGAATGGGAGAAAATTTTTGCAACTATGCATCCAACAAAGGTCTAATATCCAGCATCTATAAGGAACTTAAACAAATGTACAAGAAAAAAAAACCCATAAAAAAGTAGGCAAATGGTATGAACAGACACTTTTCAAAAGAAGACATACATGCACCCAACAATCATATGAGAAAAAGCTCAGTATCACTGATCATTAGAGAAATGCAAATAAAAACTACAATCTCACACCAGTCAGAATGGCTATTATTAAGAAGCCAAAAAAAAACAGATGCTGGCAAGTTGTGGAGAAAAAGGAACATTTACACACCATTGGTAGGAGTGTAAATTAGTTCAACCATTGTGGAAGACATTGTGGCAATGCCTCAAAGAGCTAAAAAGAGAAATAACATTTGACCCAGCAATCCCATTACTGGGTATAAACCCAAAGGAATATAAATTGTTCTATTATAAAGACACATGTACACGTATGTTCACTGCAGCACTATTCACAATAGCAAAGACATGGAATCAACCTAAATTCCCATCAATGATAAACTGAATAAAGAAAATGTGGTACATATACACCATGGAATACTATGCAGCTATGAAAATGAAAAAGATCATGTCCTTTGCAGGGACATGAATGGAGCTGGAGGCCATCATCCTTAGCAAACTAACACAGGGACAGAAAACCAAATACTGAGTGTTCTCACTTACAAGTGGGAGCTAAATGATGAGAGCACATGGACACATAGAGGGAAACAACACATACTGGGGCCTATTGAAGAGTGGAAGGTGGGAGGAGGGAGAGGATCAGGAAAAGTAACTAGTGGGTACTAGGCTTAACACCTGGGTGATGAAATAACCTGTACAACAAACCCCCATGACACAAGTTCACCTATGTAACAAACCTGCACATGTACCCCAAGCTTAAAATAAAAATTAAAAAAGACTATTCATAAACAAATATATATATAATGTTGTTTAGACTATTACATTTCCACAGAAAACTCAGTTAATTATGCCAGTTATGCTAAATTAATGCAATTGAATATTACCAAACCATTTAAAATAAAATTATGAAAATATATAAAAATATAGAGAAATGTTTGATTCATTCAATAAATGTTCATTTAGTATCTGTGATATGTCCAAAATTACACTTGACATTTTGGATTAAAGGATAAATTGCGCACAATCAAAATGCTCGCATTGCTCACAGCCTAGTAATGGGTATCTAGGAAGGGACAAAAAGATTGGGAGCAACGCTAAGAAAGAGATGACAGTTTCTAGACAACTAGCTTGGAAATAGAGCACTGTTTTTTCAAGCATCAATGTACAGGCTGGCTGGCCTAAAACTAACTGATAGCGCATCAACAGAACAATTGGAGACAGAAGTGGACCAGAGCGACACTCTAACCTGGGATGTTAAGCCACTGACTGATTTGCGGTCAGGTTTTTGGTTCCTTTTGCTTCAGTGCAGAAGTAGGGCTGAAGACCCACATGAAGATTGAGAAAGGAGATGGATGTGTAGAGTCTACATTTAAATTGATATAAGAGCACTAACAGAGGTATATGAAAGATGTTATGGGAGCAATGAGAAAGAAGTGCTTAATTTGAAGGTGGTAGTCAGAGAAGATGGGAAATTTTACAGAGAAGTTGACATTTGTGCTTAATCTTGGAAAAAAATAGAAATTTTCAGAATTATACATGTGCACACACACACATACAAACCATCCAAAACAATAACATCATGAAGGCAGAGAAGCATAAAAGAATGTGTATGGCCCCCAGTATTTAGTGTGGTCGGATCATTAAGAATTAGGGTGAATGTGGGAAGTGGTGGGAAATGAACCTGGAAGGGTAATCATAGGTCAGATTCTAGACTTGGATGGTTTGCTACAGAATTTTGATTTTGTCTTGTGTAGCCAATGAAAAGCCATTATTGGATTTTAGGGATGTGAAATGACCAGATTTGTCTTTCAGGAGTGTCATAAGTGCAGGAGTTTCTTAATTGCAGTAGAGTAAAAAATAAATTGGAGGAAAGCTAGGTCGAAAGCAAGGAGACCCCTTAGTGCAGAGGTGGTCTAATCCATATTAGAAATGATAACACTGACTCAGATCTGTGGCAGCAGAGATAGAGAAAAGTAGATACTTAGGATCAAGAGTAGTGACTGACTTTATCAGTTTGAGCAGAGCCTGGAAAGAGGATGTGAGAGGGAATATGGAGTCAAGGACTCTTAGCTTGTGCAAGCAGACAGATAAAGATGTCATTATATAAAAGTACAACCATGAAAATTATATATGAACCAAGACTAGATGGTAAACTACAAAAATAAAGGAAAAAAAGTTGAGTTAGAACAGTAGGACCACTTGTTTTCCAAAACTTTTTCAATGTCATACTCTATGTCTGAAATTGTTTGGGGTTACATCTAGTTTTAAATATTAACTCTGTAAATCATTAGTTTTATAATTTTGAGCAGGTTGTTTAACCTCTGTGAATTGTCTCATCCAAATATTTATTTATTTATTTATTAATCTTGTTTCAAAAAATATTTTAAGTAGTTTATAAAAATAAATACAATTCAGCAAAACAAAGTACAGTCATGTGCCACATAATGACATTTTAGTCAATGACAGACCACATACAGAATAGTGGTCCCATAAGATTATGATATTGTATTTTTACTGTACCATTTTTATGTTAAGATATACAAATATTTACCATTGTGTTATGATTGTCTAGAGTATTTAATACAGTGGTGTTCTGTGCAGATATATAGCCTAGGAGTGGAGCAATAGGCTATACCATATAGCCTATCTATGTGTATAACTAGATATGGCTACACCATCTAGGTTTCTATAAGTACATTCTACAATGTTTGCATGACAAAATTACCTAATGACACATTTATTAGAATGTAGCCCCATACTTAAGCAATGCATGACTGTGTATAAAGAGAGACAGTGAGAAGAAAGAGTAAGAATATGAGAAACAAAATGAATCAAGTGCATGACTTATGATGACATAACCTTGAGCAAGAAGTGAGCTCAACATTAGTTCTGAGACTTCCTGTCTACCCATAGTGGAAAACACAATGAGTTCCATGAGTGACATTGTTCATTTTGGCTAGCGACATTTCAGAGAAATTTATCCATGAGATCCTCATAATACAGATTCTAAAAACAGTGATCAGCACAAGAAATAACATCCCTTGAGTTCATGTCATTTGCAGGGACATGGATGACACTGGAAACCATCATTCTCAGCAAACTAACACAAGAACAAAAAAACAAACACCGCATGTTCTCACTCATAAGTGGGAGTTGATCAATGAGAACACATGGACACAGGGAGGGGAACATCAAACACTGGGGCTTGTCGGGGGCTGGGGGGCTGGGGGGCTAGAGGAGGGACAGCATTAGGAGAAATACCTAATGTAAATGACGGGTTGATGGGTGCAGTAAACCACTATGGCATGTGTACACCTATGCAACAAACCTGCACATTCTGCACATGTACCCCACAACTTAAAGTATAATAAAAAAGAGAGAGAAATAACATCCTTGAACTTAATACAATGTCAAGTTTCTCAATGCCAGCCAATATTATAACAGGTAAGCACAAATCAGCAAAAGCACTTCTGCAGGGACCAAAATAACACAAGCTGGGTAAAGAGCTATCTCAAGGTCTGACTGATTCCAGGAAAAAAATTTAGCATATCTAAAGCAATGAAAATCTTGCATCTTTATTTAGAAAATCTCTCACAAATTTCCCTTCCATAAAGATCACTCAACGACATCATCTAACCACCTTCCCACCCCGAGTTGTTTTCCTAATGATTCCTGAGACATTGGTCTGACAATGACAGTTCTCAAAATTCTCAGCCTCAAAACAAACAAAAACTCAATTTTCAGAAATACAAGATGCAGCATAAAAACTCATTAAATAGGGCCAACTGAAGGAAGTCTGAACTTGTGAAAATTCTGAATATTCAAAAGTTATTCCAGTCCTTTAATACAAGCAATTGGCTAAAGAAACTACTCATTAGACTTCCTCAAAGATTTGCTTTAGTAAATGATTATTTCTAATTAGTATACTTTTCTACCATTTACTGCTGTTAAAAATTTGAAAATGGGTTGTTTTCCCAAATAGGTTAAATAGGTTAAATGCCTCTCTTGACCTCGGTCAACTTATTTATAATCTATTATTTGCCTACGCTTCATTATACCTAAGGTATTTATTCAGGCAGTGAGAGTTTACAGAAGTTAAAACATAGGGAGCCTTGGTCTTAGAATTAGTCAAGTGAAGGCTATGTCCTTCTTTTGTCTTAGTAATGTTTCCATAAATCATTAAATACAAGTTGGTGTGTAGGAAGTGTGATAATTATTCAATGCAGTTTTCATAAAGTTCAAAAAATAATATGTATTAACGTAAGACTTTCTGAGTGGTTAAGGATTGTGGAGGGGTGTATTCCAAAGCTGTGCTTTATAATTTCAAGCCTATCATACCTCATACAGTTAAGATATCCCTGGACACATCTATTTATGATTAAACATTTTTTAAAGAGCAATAATGGTCCTCCTTTAGTCACCAATACTCTTTCAGTAAAGCAAAGGTGTTAAATCAGCAGAATCAATGTCATTGCCATGAGTAAAGAATGTGATGACATTCTTGTGCAACCAAACAAAAGTGTGATAAGAGGCTGAGATAAATAAGAAAAATGTGTTTTTCACTTCGAAAAAAAGTATTTCAAAGTGAAAGGTGCTGTTAATACTAGTTTGTGAAGCATAAATGCCCAGTAAGTAGCTTTTACCTTTTTTGTTAAATTTTATGACTTTGGATATTTTTAAACTTGTACGTACAAATGTATATAATCATAGGCTAAGCTTAAAATAAGTTTTGACTTTCCTGTAAGGCAAATCTAGAGTAGTAATACATTTTTAATAAAATGTAAATTTATTTATGTATATTTAATTTGGGTTTGAGAGTTTTTCAACATTTATTTTAGATTCAGGGGGTACATATACACATTGTTACCTGGTTATATTGTGTAATGATAAGGTTTGGAGTACAGTTGATCCTGTCACCTAGGTACTGAGCATAGTACCCCACAGTTCATTTGTCAACCCTTTCCCCCAACCTCCCTCTCCACTCTAGCAGTCCCAGTATCAATTGTTGCCATCTTTATGTCTATTAGTACCTGTTGTTTAGCTCCCACTTATAAGCGAGAACATGTGGTATCTGATTTTCTGATACTGCATTAATCCATTTAGGATAATGGCTTCTAACTGCATCCATGTTGCTGCAAAGGAAATGATTTTGTTCTTTTTTTGGCTATATAGTATTCCATAGTGTATTTGTACCTTTTTTTTTTTCATCCAATTCACTGTTGATGGGCACCTAGGTTGATTCCATGTCTTTGCTATTGTGAATAGTGCTGCAATTAACATGCGGGTGCATGTGTCTTTCTGGTAGAATAATTTGTTTTTTGAGGATATATGCCCAGTAGTGGGATTGCTGGGTCAAGTGGTAGTTCTGTTTTAAGCTCTCTGAGAGACCTCCAAACTGCTTTCCACAGTGACTGAACTAATTTACATTCCCAACAGTGTATATATGCTTATAAGCATTCCCATTTCTCTGCAGCCTCACCCAAATATTTTTAAATTTTAATAATAGTTATTCTGACTTATATGAGATGGTATCTCGTGATTTTTGATTTGCCTTTCTCTGGTAATTAGTGATGTGGAGCATTTTTTCATGTTTTTTTTTTTTTTTTTGCTGCTTGTATGTCTTCTTTTTTTTAATTGTATGTCTTCTTTTGAGAACTGTCCATTCATGTCTTTCTTTTGCCTATTTTTAATGGGGTTATTGGTGTTTTACTTGTTCAATTGTTTAAGTTCCTTATAGATTCTAGATATTAGACCTCTGTCAGATGCACAGTTTGTGAATATTTTCTCCCACTCTGTAGGTTGTCTGTTTACTCTGTTGATAGTTTCTTTTGTTGTGCAAAAGCTACTCAGTTTAATTAGGTCTCACTTGCAATTTTTGCTTTTGTTGTCATTGCTTTTGAGGACTTAGTCATAAATTTTTCCCAAAGTCAATGTCCAGAATGGTGTTTCCTATGTTTTCTTCTAAGATTCTTATAGTTTGAAGTCTTACATTTAATTCTCTGATCCATCTTGAGTTAATTTTTCCATATCAAACAAGGTAGGGGTCCAGTTTCATTCTTCTGCATATGGATAGCCAGTTATCCCAGCACCATTTATTGAGTAGAGAGTCCTTTCCCCATTGCTGATTTTGGTTTACTTTGTTGAAGGTCAGCTGGCTATAGGAATGCAGCTTTATTTCTGGGTTCTTTCTTCTGTTCCATTGGTCTATGTGTCTGTTTTTGTACCAGTACCATGCTGTTTTGCTTACTGTAGCCTTACAATATAGTTTGAAGCCAGGTAATGTGATGCTTCTGGCTTTGTTCTTTTTTCTTGGGATTACTTTGCCTATTTGGGCTCTTTATTACTTTATTACTTCCATATGAATTTTAGAATAGTTTTTTCTGATTCTGTGAAAAATGCCATTGGTAGCTTCATAGAAATAGCATTGAATCTGTAGATTGCTTTGGGGAGTTTGACCATTTTATTATTCTTCCAATCCATGATCATGGAATGTTTTTCCATTTGTTTCTGTCATCTATGATTTATTTCAGCAGCGTTTTGTAGTTTTCTTTGTAGAGACCTTTTACTTCCTTGGTTAGAGGTGAAACCAAGGGGTGTGTGTGTATGTGTGTGTGTACTGTAAATTAGGCTATGTTCTTCATTTGGCTCTCAGCTTGAACATTATTGGTGTAAAGATATGGTACTGATTTTTGTACATTGATTTTGTATCCTGACACTTTACTGAAGTCATTTTTCAGTTCCAAAAGTCTTTGGCAGTCTTTAGGGATTCCTAGGAGAGATAGTTTGACTTCTTCTTTTCCTATTTGGATGCCTTTTCTTTCTTTCTCTTGCCTGATTGCTCTGGCTTGCACTTCCGGTACTGTGTTCAACAGGAGTGGGAAGAGTGGGCATCCTTGTCTTGTTCCAGTTCTCAAGGGGGATGCTTCCTAAAATGTCAATTTGAAAGCCTGATTTTTGTCTTTGACTTTGAACACTGAAAGACAATCCAGAGAACTAGCAAATTTACATTTAAAAACCTGCCTTTTAAGTTTTTAAAAACTATGAATTTAAAATTGCTTCTTTTAAAATTGGGTTTTAAATTTTTGATTCTACAAGAAAATTTTCATTCAACAAGCACTTAGGACCTGTTCTGAGTTTCTTCAGAGCCTTTCTTAAAAGATAAGGCACATATTGAAGGTAGAGTTATTAAGAATGAGAAGGTGGAGAAAAAATAAAAATAAATAAATAAACAATGCAGCTCTCATCCAAAATCCTAATGGCCCAAAAAAGCTACAAAAAAAGATGCCTGAGAGGCCACCCCTCCTTTCATATTAAAAAGCTATAGTGATTTGTAGAGTCAGAGCTTAACAAATCACCCTATTCTTCATCCTTTCCTTCACTAAGTTGTCAGACAGATGC
Source organism: Homo sapiens (assembly GCF_000001405.40). Taxonomy (NCBI): domain Eukaryota; kingdom Metazoa; phylum Chordata; class Mammalia; order Primates; family Hominidae; genus Homo; species Homo sapiens. Next base: position 75,605,562 of record NC_000001.11, read on the forward strand.
AGAATAGAAATCAGCAATGTGAAATTGTGGTTTCTCAACTGAATGAGGAATTTTTCACCATGACTTTAATGTTCCTCTGTCATGGGCCCTAATGGGAAACTACCAAAAGTTATAAAATTCGATTATACTATGGGAATCCACAGAAGGGGGTAAAGAGAAAGCAAAGGCAAAAAAGAAATGTCTTTATTTTGAACCCTAATCATTTATTTAAAAGCTGTGTCTCATCTAAACACAGAACAATGGGATAGGGAAAGCTCCTGCTTCCGGATCCCTTTTTCAGAAGCAGCTTCCTAGCTTCTCTCTGGAAGAAAGGAAAGATGATAGGGCTAGCCCATAGCTTCTCAGCCTTGGCAACATTGACAATTTGCACTAGGTAATCTTTTGTTGTGAGGAGGTACATTATAGAATGTTAGTAGCATCCCTGGTCTCTACCCACTGGATGCCACCAGCGCCACTCCAGTCATGACAATCAAAATATCTCCAGACACTGTAAAATTGCCCCTGGTTGAGAAGCATTAGGCTAGTTCCCGCACAATTTTTTTTTTTAATTTTTCTTTAGTTCTTTAAGATCCTTTCAAGTGAGGGAATGGACTGCCACAGTCAGCAACAAGATGACTGGCAAACTCTTGTCTTCTGGAAACTTTTTCCTACTATGGCATATTTTATTATTTTGTCAGAAAATCCATTTCTATACCTCTCTTAATACTCCATTTAATATTTCTTAAAGATAATACATTTAAAGACGTAAAAGAAGATAAAAGAGAAACATCCTTAGAACTAGGCAACATAAGACCATTCTACATTAATTCATCTTACCTCCATAGGAAACTGTCATAAAAAGCACCCAAAATTTAAAATAGTAAAAGAGAGGTTAAAACCCACCTCAATACACAGATAGTAACAAACAACAAGGAATAAAACCCACTATTATTCTTCCATCTTAAAAAAGCAAATCTTTTTTCAACTCCACAACTCCCATCCCCAGCCATATCATTTCTTTGCTCCCTTTAAAGCAAAACCCTTCAAAACAGTTAACTGTGCTGTCTTTAATTTTCCTCCTCTTCATTCTCTCTTAACCCACTTCACTCAAAGCATCATTGCCACCACTTCACCTGGGCTGTCTTTGACTTTCATATTAATTAATTAAGGTCTTCAATGACTTTCATATTAATAAATACAATGGCCATTTCTCAACCCTGATCTTACCTGACCTATGGGCAGCGTTTGACACTGTTGATTATCATTTTCCTCCTTGATACACTTTCTTCCTTGGTTCCAAGACCCCACACCCACTTCTTAGTCACCAGTTGCTCTTTCTCAATCTCCTTTACTGACTCCTCCCCTTCTCACTTATCTCTTAATAATGGAGCAGCCCTGGGCTCAGATCATTTCTCTCAATCTATACTCAATTCCCAGTGAGTCTTCCAGTCTGTGATCTTAAATACCACCAATGTTCTGATGAATTCCAAATTCATATGATCAGCCCAAGCCTCTCTCCAAGACTCCAGACTTACATATCCAGCTTCCTACTTGTCATCTTCACTTGTATATCAAATAAATATTTCAAACCCAAATGTGTCCAAAACTAAACTTCTGATCCTTCCCCATAAACTTGCCCCTTCTACAATCTTCAAATAGTAGTTGATGCCAAGTCCACCTTCTCTTAGTTGTTTAGGTCAAAAACTGTGCATTAATCCATCACTCCTTTCTTTCTCTCACATGAAACATCCTGTTAGTTTTTAAAATTATATAAGTTCTACCTTAAAAATATATTCAGTATCCTTCCATTTCTCATGTTCACCACTGCTTCTACCCTGATAGATGCCACTATCATCTCTCAACTGAATTATTTTTTATAAGCAACTTTTTATTTTAAAATATTAATTGACAAATAAAGACTGTATGTATTCAAAGTGTACAACATGATGATTTGGTATATGTACACGTTGTATAATAAATAATTATTACAACCAAATTTAATAACACATCTGACATAGTTTGGGCTGTGTCCCCACCCAAATCTCATCTTGAATTGTAACTCCCATAATTCCCACATGTCATGGGAGGGACCCAGTGGGAGGTAATTGAATCATGGGGGTGGGTCTTTGCCATGCTGTTTTCATGATAGTAAGTCTCATGAGATCTGATGGTTTTATAAAGGGGAGTTCCCCTGTACATGCTATCTTGCATGCTGCCATGTAAGATGTGACTTTGTTCCTCATTCACCTTCTGCCATGATGGTGAGGCCTCACCAGCCATGTGGAACTGTGAGTCAATTAAACCTCTTTCCTTTATAAGTTACCCAATCTTGGGTATGTCTTCATTAGCAGCATGAAAACAAACTAATACAATATCCATCACTATCTATGCTGTATATTATGTCCCCAGAACTTGTCTTATAACTGTAAGTTTGTACTGTTTGACTAGTATCTCCTCACTTCTCCCACTCCCCCAGCCTTTGGCAACCACCATTCTACTCACTGCTTCTATGAGTTCAATAATTTTGGATTCCACATATAAGTGAGATCATACAGTATTTTTCTTTTTGTGCCTGGTTGATTTCACTTAGTATAAAGTCCTCCAGGTTTATCCATGTTGTTGTAAGTCAATAGCAAAAACAAAACAAAACAAAACAAAAAACAAAAAAAAACAAATAACCCAACTTAAAAATAGGCAAAGGAACTGAAAATATATTTTTCCAGAGAAAAAGATATGGAATCAACCTACGTGTCTATCCACAGATGAATGGATAAACAAAATGTGAGGGGTATGTGTGTGTGTGTGTGTGTGTTGTGTGTGTACACAATGGAGTATTATTCAGCCACCAGAAGAAGAAAATTTTTAAAGAGTTATTGCAAAAGATTCCTTACTAGTCTTCTAGTTTCTCATTACCCCTACATATTGGCTCGATATTCTCAACACAGTCGCCGTAGCAATTATTTTAAAATGTAAGTCAGATCATATTTTTCCTCTGTTCAAAATCTGAACTGGTGCCACATTTCCCCAGAGTAAAAACCAAAGTCTTAAAACTTTCTAAAAAGTTTAATATAATTTAGTCTTCCCTCATCTTTCTGACTTCATTTTCTATTTCTATCCCCCTTACTAATTCCACTTGGTCTTCTTTCTGTTAGTCAAACATACCAGGTATATTTTCACTGTAGGGTCTTTGCTCTGGCTTTTCCTTCCTTCTGGAAGTCTCCTCCCCTTCCACTGCTTCATGTCCTTCAATATTACCTCGTCAATTGGTCCTACCCTAACCACCCTATTAATACTTGCAGCTGGCCCACCATCATCCCATGATTAGCAATCCAAATCCCCCTTACTATGCTCATTTTTTTTTCTTTCTGTCATGGCACTTTTCAATTTTTAATATCAACAATGTATTCATGCTTATTATTCATTGTTTGTCTTCCCTATGTATAGTGTAAACCTCATGAAGAATTCATTTTGTTCCCTGATTTATCCCAAGCATGCTTAGAATAGTGCCCAGTACATAGTAAGCGATTGATTAACACTTATTGAATGAATAGAGAACTACATGAACGAATAAAATAGATTAATATCCTACTCTCAAGTAGAAGAGACGGCAACCTTCCTTTCTTAAATCCTCTTTCTCAGTCTCCTATTTATACCTCAAAGGACTAACTGGGCTGGGAGGAGGAAGGGATTCTTTGGTAAGGAGGAATAGATAAATACAGCTGGAAAGGTTTTTATTTGAATATTTTAGGGTTTCATTTCTTTGGGTTTTTTCTTTTTTAATTGGCAAGTAAAAATTTATATATTTATGGTGTGAAACCTGATGTTTTGATATATATACACATTGTGGAATGGCTAAATCAAGCTATTTAACATATTCATTACCTTACATTCTTATTTTTGATGGTGAGAATAAAAGATTGTAGATTTTAAGAAACTTTCTATCTTCTTAGTTTGGAGGACTGTGAAATCTTGTGCTGTTGGGAGATTTTAGGGCTTTTGTATTCTCTTTATCACTCTGATTTTTGGTTCGGTAGTGCTTCAATTTGGAAAGTATCTTCTAAACTAAATGAACTAGAGGAGCCAGGAATCAGTACTCAAAAAAGCAGAGGAGAAAGCAAGCTGCTACAAGAAACTCAAGGGAAACAAGAAAAGAGAACTTCAGGGTTTCAGCCCAATTCACTAAATAGGAAAGAGGGCTAAGATTCAAGATCAGTGTTGGAACTAGTAACAAATATTACATTTCATGATAGAGGTGCAAAAATAATGAACCACAGGTATATTCATGATCTAATGTTATGTAACCTATTACCCCCAAATTTTAGTGGTTTAAGACAAGAGTAAGCATTTATTATATCTTATGGTTTCTGTGATTCAGGAATCCAGAAGCAGCTTGATTGGATAGCTCTGGGTCGGGGCTATCATGAAATTCAGTCAGATGTTGGCTGAAGCTACAGTCATCTGAAGGCTTGACTTGGTTGCAGGGTCTGTTCCCAAGATAGATCACTCACATAACTAGCAAGTTGTTGCTATTAGCAGGAGGCCTCAGTTCTTCCCACACAGAGCTAAGATTCAAGACTTCTATGCAAGTCAAGAAATACACACACACACACACACACACACACACACACACACACATAGTGAAGTCTGAATATAAATTAGGAACTGAGCTCTTCTTCTCTCTCCATAGGTATATACATATACATACATATACCTATATACACATAGATATCCTGGAGAATTATTTAGAGAGAGCAATATTTCTACATCAGCTCCCTAGGCCAAGTAAGGTGACCCAATGGACTTCACTTTTCTAAAAAGTGCAGTTATACTTATGTATCTTCTCTTACTATTCATCAAAATACCGACAATATTTTGGGCTGAAATGTTAATAATATCTGTATGAACCTCTGCTTCAAAAAATAATCCAAGGGATCCTTGAGTATTTTTAAAACATGGCATCTGGTTTCCCCAAAATGAGCAACATAAGAAAGCAAAGAATACAAAAGAACAAGGCAGAAGCCATAGTGTATGTCTTTATGATGTAGTTTTCTGCTGTACAGTACTGATCACATGGTCAGCTGTGATTCATTTTGGAAGGGGAGTATGAACAGGTGTGAATACCAGTAGGTAAGGATTCCTAGAGATGTTATCAACATCTCAGCCCGAAATATTGTCGATATTTTGGTGAATATTAAGAGAAGATACATAAGTGTAACTGGACTTTTTAGAAAAGTGAAGTCCATTGGGTCACCTTACTTGGCCTAGGGAGCTGATGTAAAAATACTACTCTCTTTAAATAATCCCCCAGGATATCTATATATATACACACACACACACGGAGAGGAAGTGCTCAGTTCCTAATTTATATTCAGACTTCACTATATATATGTGTGTGTGTGTGTGTATTTCTTGAGTTGTATAGAATACGTACTTATGAATAACAAACTTGACCAATTTTCCTACAGACATAGACTTCTTGCATTTAGCAGTATCACTCACCTCTTACTCCATCATTTCTTCAATAACTCCATCAACACTGAACCTTCTAACTCTAACATGCTACGATTCACTACTGTGAAAAAAAAGCTGATGTCATAAACACATTGTGTTCCAGTATCACTAAGGGCCATACCCCATTCTTAGGTAATCCCTGAGGTCCTACTAGCCTTGCTAGCCTCAAAGGAGTCACTTGGAGTATAAAGAGGGGGAGGAGACTGAACAAAGTCCTGGAGCTATAGTATATTTTTTCATTGTTAATCCTTGGCAAAGAAGTAGGTAGTTTGGAGGTGGAAGTAGGCCATGATTACCTTTAAAATAATCTACTATTATTTGTGTCTTTCCTGAATATCATAGCACCTTCTTGTCACAAATGCTTAGGGGAAAGAAAATCATCCAATATACCCCATATCCCACTTACCAACATCTCTACAGTAAAATGAGACCCAAGAGCATGATTTCCTTAACTAGCTATCAAGCAACTACCTCCAACAAACAGCAGTTATCATTAATATGTTCATGCTATTTTCATTTGTGAGGTCTGTAATCCATCAGAACAACCTGACAGTGATTAAGTAAAATCAAAGAGACTTTGTAAACATCTGTGTGCTTTTATTGTTACAAATGCTTCATTATAAAAAGATCAGTCAAAAGCATAAAAGTACCCTGGTTTAAACTTTTTCTGTGTTTGAATGAGAATGTTTCTCTTGGAACATGCTCATATCAGGCTTCCACTTGGCAAAATCACGAATTGGCTGATGTTGTTTTAGAGGCTTTCTCATGTCCCCTTCCAAACATCACTCTTCTCCTTCTGTGGACCCCTTTCTGTTATCTAGGAGCCCCTCATGCTGCCTTCCACATTCTGCCTACTGCACAGTCATGTTCTGGACCCCTCAGAATCCCCCTCTACCATTACAATATGTTTTTCCTAAGACTTACTTGCATTGAAAGGCTTGCCAGGGAAGTGACTAATCTTATCATCTTGTACTAAATGTTAAATTAATCCTCATTCTCTCTAGAATTGTTTTCTAAGCAGGGATTCCTAGAGATGCTATCAATATCTCAGCCTGAAATTGCATAGGTATTCTGGTGAATAGCAAGAGAAAATAACGTGAGTATAACTGGACCTTTTAGAAAAGTGAAGTCTATTAGGTCACCTTAGTTGGCCTAGGGAGTTGATGTAGGAATGCTCCTCTCCCTGAAATAATCTTCCAGGAGAGGAATGTATCCCCAAATAGCAAGTGAATATCCAATGGCTTCTCATTGCACTTAAACTCTATATTCCTTTTTATGACCAAAAAGGCCTGGCTTCTCCCTAACTGTCTCTTCCTTACACATTACACCTCTTCCTTTTGTATGTGAATGTGCCAAGCTACCACCTCATTTCTACCTTAAGGCCTGAAGTGTTATGTTCCAGTTCTTGGCATGCAAATTACTCTTCATCACTTGTTTCCCGACACAAATGCCACCTTTCCAGACAATCTAAAGTAACCTCAAAATCATTTGCTCGCACATCACTTTGTTTTATTTCTCCTGGTATTAATCACTATGTGAAATTTTCTGGTTCATATTATTTGTCACCTGCTTCTTCCAGGCCTCCTCTTACTTCATTGTCTATCATGTTCATTACCGTATCCCTAGTGTTTTGCACAGAATCTGGTACATATTCAGTGCTCAATAAATATGTGCTAAATGAATAAATGAATAAATTAACCTAAACATAAGTTTTACACTTAAGTAATTGAGCAAGAAGTCTTTGTTGTACTAATATTGGAAAAGGCAGGGGTGGGGGTGGTGACGTGATTATAACCAATGTAACCAGCTTGCATTTATAAGACTTGTATTGATTATGAACTATAGCATTTTTTCGTTAAAAACATTATCAATATTGGATTGTAAAAGATTCCATTGGCCTTTCTGAAAGACTGTCCTTTTGATGAGATGTCACAAATGAATGCTAATGTCCCTTGAGAAATCCTGCCAACAGATCTTATTCTTCTATCAATGTTAAGAAACTGCATTTCTCTTTGGCCAATTTCTAGGCTTATGGATAGTCTCTCTTGCTAGGACTTCAGAAGCCAATGAGCAACTTGCCTGTCACAAGATCCGACGAATGATCTCTCCCTGCATGCGGTGTAGCTAAGCAGAGAAGCAGCTCTTGTAAGAGAATAACCAACACAGCATGGAATATTGCTAAATCTACAGTGTTTTATCCAGCAAAGTTCACCCCAGTAGCCTGCCCCTGCCAATAAAGCCTAGAAATTTTTCCTACCAGGCAGTCCCAGTTTAGTTGGTTGTAGCTTAGAAGCAGACATCTGAGAGCAGTTCAGCAAGCCTGCAGTCAGATGCTTTTGTAGAGCTCTCCTCTTAAAAGGCAAAATTGAGGCAAGTCAATAGATTACAACTTTCTGGGTTTGCTTCTGTCATCTATCAAATATCACAATTCATCCTGCTTCGCTAAAGTGAAACTCCAAGGATTTGTTTTTAAAGGTGTCCTTCTTTCTGTGAAATACTAAATGAACTTGTTTTAAAAAACAAGAACAACTCAACACAAGTTGATAGGAGCTAAGTAACATAACTTTTCCTTTAAGAAAAACATGTAGCATGAGAAAACCTTATTTTTAAAGTACTACATAAAATTTATTGAGACCACATGTCGTAAGAAAGCTTGATTATTAATCCTTCCAGAGAAACTGTTAACACTTAACTGCTATTCTTCAATTATTTCACTATCAAATTAAACTTATTCAAGAAAATACAAATGATTCCATACTGACCTACAAAACAAAAACTTTTTGGTGTTTTGAGGGGACGGAAGAATAAAGGGGAGGTGTCTTTTTCATCAAATCTCTTATATGAGCTCATTTCATCAATCTAATTGTATCTTTTTGTGCTTCTGCCAAGATTATTAATTTCAAGGGTAAGATTTTCTCTGGCTACCATGTACTGTAAAACTGTAAAATTTTTTCCACTCTTCATGGACCATTTACAATCTGCAAGGTTTGGGGTGGGAATGAAATGTATTTCTGCCAATGGATAGCCACATCAGCAGTGCTGAAAACCAATCCTTCTGTTTCACTCATCGTGCCATATGGCTCCATAAAAAAGGAGCGAACCAAAAGTGTAGCTCATACGCCTTGTCAATCTGGGCTTAGACTAATTATTTGATATTATGATAAAGAGAGGAATCTGTTTGTAGGTGAATATATTCTCTCTTCTTTCTTTACTCGTGTATCTCTATACCCATGCGCTAATTTATGGAGGGGGGGAATCAGAGGTTTAAAGCCCCTCTAATTTTACAGGAGCTATAATATTTTAAGAAAAGGCATTGCAATAAAATTGTCATACATAGGTTATAATTTTTAACAACAAAAAGTCCCAGGTGTTTTCATAGTAATGTCTTCTTAAGAATTAAGGATCATGATTTTAAACGCTTTCCAGTAAGTGCTTTGAGTACTCCGGAGCAATTAAAAAGCAAGCTGACGCGCCAAGATAAAGTTGTGTCCCCCTAGTGACCTCTAGAGCGGAGCTAAGCTCCCACAAGCCAGACTTGGGAGGAAAAGCAAAAAGCACGCCAAAGCCTGAGCGCTGCTGTAGTCCAAGCCAATGTATTCAGTAATACCCTTCACCCCTCAGTTCTCATCTGAGTTCCTGTCCTTTTTTATATAACCCCAAAGGCTCAGTAAGTCGCTGCCTCCCAGGTCATTGGGCCCATTGTGTTGAAATCCAACTTCGAACGACGCCCCTTCCTTGCCACCATCCTCAGGTCCAGTTCCCCCGCGCACAGCCTTCCTCACCGCGCATGGTGTCGAGCCCACTTCCACCTCTCTGCAGTGCTGCAGACAACCTCTAGGGCTCTGCGAGTCCCCCAGCGAGAGCTAGGGAGCCGACAAGCTGCGACCTCTGCGAGTCCGCGCTGCGGGAGCGGGTGGCTTGCACCTGCTCCCCGCGCGCCGGCTCTGCGACCCCTAGGCAAGACGCAGCCCAGGAGGCTCCCTCCCGAGTCGCGCCCCGGACCACGCCGCAATGCCTCGTCACCCCAGCAACAAGCTCTTCCTTGTCCTCCCCGCCATCGCTTCTCTCCGCGAACTTTCCAACTTTGGAAGCCCGGGTTCCAAAGGAGCAACAGGGAGACTGCTTAGCCGGAGCCACTGCCCGTCTCGACAGGTTGGGGAGCAGGAAGTAGCCTGCAGGGACTCGGCCGGTAGCAAGTCCCCTTGACCGCAGGGAAAAGGAGAGGCAGCCAGCTCCAATCTCCTCCTGAGGATGGAGGTTGGGGAAATGGATGCAGAACTTGTCACCCTAGGGACGAAGGGGCGGAGGGAGGGGGGATTGGAAGAAAAGAATAGAAGAGACCATGAAAAACTCTCTCTCTCTCTTACACACACACACACATACATACACACACACACACACACACACACACACACACACACACACACGAGAGGGAGAGAGAGAGAGATTCCGGAAAAGACAAGATGCTAGGAGCCCAGTCGCTTCTCTCCCCACTGCCCAGAGGCTAGGAGGTGCAACAGATAGATACCCAAGCTCGCCGAGTAGCAAAGGGGTGGGGTGAGAGAGGAGTCTCCAGGTTTCCCCAGGTTGCAAAAGGGGCACAAACTCCTGTCAGTGTCCCCGGAGGCCAGGGGAGGTGCAGCGGCGCCGCGGTTTCCCCCACCCCCTCCCCGGACACGGCAAACTCTTCCCCGGCAGGAGCCTTCCACTTGGCCGCGCCTGGATGTAAACAGGCCGGCCCGAGGGGCAGAGGGCGGGTGAGAGAGGGGAGGCGGCGAGGGGAGGAGGGAGCGGGACTCACCCTTGATGCTGGGGGGCTTTCTCTTCTTGGCCATCTTCTGTCCCCTTCCCTCCCCCGGACCCCCCACGCGCTTCCTCCGGCTGCCGCGCAGCTCCCAGGCGAGCCCTCGCCGCGGCTCTCAGCTCAGCGAGCTCTTTGTTGCTGTGATGGCATCTGCGAGCAGCAGCGGCGGCCGGGCTGCGCGCTCAGCTCGGCTCGGCTCGGCTGGGGCGGGCGCCGCCGCCCCTCTGCTCTCGGCCGCGCCGCTGGCCCCCCTCTTGCGCTGCTGTGGACGCGGTGGCTGCTGCGGCGGCGGCGGCTGCTGTGCTGCTCCTGCTGCTGGAGGGGGCAGCGCTGGGTCCCCTGAGCGCCCGCCCAGCGCTGACCTCCCCCTTCTCCACACCCTCCCTCCCCCACGCCCCCACCCCCGGTGTCCCGTCTGAGCCGCCAGCCCCCATCCAACCGGCTACCGCGCCGTCATCCAGCAGCCTCTACTGGAAAGACAACGGTGGCGGCGGCGGGGAGCTGCTGGGGGGCGCGGAGAGACCGCGGCCATCTGGGGCCGGGAAGGAGAAAGCCAGGCAGAGTCTGATGGAGTCTGCCTCCGGCCTGCCTTCCTCTGGGCCTTCGAAGCCCCCTCTCAAAAGGCCAGGACGCGCTGGGCCCAAGAAAGACACCCGTCTTCACAGGCCAACCAGAACTCTGGCCACCTGCGGGAGGACGGCACTGTCCCTTGCGACCCGGCCCAGGAGCCGTCCTCCTCCACAGCCTCCTCGAGGATAGCGAGCCCGAATTCCACGCGGGCGATGAGCCCCGAAGCGCGCGGTTGCCTCTGCCCCTCCCGAACCGAGAAGGAAAGAGGGGAGAGGGAAACAGGAGTCTGATGGAGGGGAGAGAAATGGAATTCCAGAGGCAGCCCACGGGCAGACACCTGCAAGAATGGCTGTGTTCTGGCCCTGAAGTTCTTAATAGTGAGGGCCCAGGATAGTTCCCTTGGGGCTGTGGGAAAAGAGGGAAGTTCACGCTCTCAGATGTTGGAGGAATTGGAAGCCGGAGGTGTGATTTCTTGGCCTCCAGCAGAAACTTGGTTACAGTGGCCACGTTCTTTCTCTCTCTGATTGGGGGTTTGCTTTGGAAAGTTCTCATGTTCCTGGAGGAGCTGTCCTCCCCTCGCGTGCTGATAAGGGATGAAAAGAAGTTCTGCTGGCGTCCCAGAACTGCAAGGGCAGGCGAAAGTTTAAGAATATAAAGGAGTATCGGACCTTAAAAAGAAACGCTTAAAGGGTAGGGTAGGGAGAGGTTACCAGGGTGTGCCACTGTGGGAAGAGGCTACAATATCGAATTTTTTTTATATGCTGCAGCTGAGATTGCCGCCGAAACGCACTTCCTAATTCGCAGTGACCTTCTTAACACTTCTCCTTTCCTCCTCCTAGGTTAGTACAGTTCCCAGCCCAATCTGATTGTCTAAACATTCAGTGAGTTAATTCAATATCTCCACCCAGAAGTTGCCCCAGTACTAGTGTGGTGCGGCAAAAAGAACAGTGAAGTCAAAAACCCCAATTGTGAATTCTGGCCCTGTAACTTCGTAGCTCTGAGAATTTGGACAAGTCACTCAATCTCTCTGCTCTTCTGTTTTCTGATATGTGCGATATCATCTCAAAAATTTCTTCCAGCTCCTGAGATATTAGTGACAAAATCATCACAAGTTATTTTTTCAGCCCTTCTAAATATAGCTTCATATAATGTAATATATTGAAGTAAATAATCTAGAAACATGTGAAATGACCAATTCCTCTCACAATGAAGATGTGCATCAGAAATAAAAAACAAAGAACATGTTTCTTTTAATAAGCAAAATAGACCCATTCTCAGACTTATGATCAGAAATAAGACTGACTCAAAGTTTTCCTCTTCCAAACAGCTGCCTCTTATTTAATTAAAAACTACTCTTCTAGGTCTTCAAATGTTTACTGTGTATAATATTAGACTTTGTAAATATTTCAGTCCATTTTATGTGCTCATATTTTATCACCAACTACTAATTATTGCCTATATTAGAATAATGTTTTTCTGTTTATTCATTACTTTCACATACTTTATTTCATTTAATCATGACCACACCCATGAGTTGAAAAGCAGGTCCTGTCTTCTAGGTTTTACAGACGGTGAAATGGGATTCGTGGAGGTATGATAACTTGCCCACAGCTTCGGTGTAACTCTTTTAACTCAATACCCAGCTCTCTCCACAACACTAGCTGCCTATGTGAAATAGAATATTTCTGCTTCAGACCAGGAATGGTTTCCTTTTTCTAATTTATTCCTTCCACAATGTCAGTACTATTCTCAACAGAGGAGACTCAAATTTAGTTGACTAGTTAGGACTATTTTTGGTACATGGATGTGATTAATATGCTTTTACACTGTTAGCACTTCAAAGTGTCCTTACATGCATTATCTCAATTAAGGTCATGACAATCACATAAGATCATCAAAAGAGGTTTATTCAGCCCTGCTGAACAGATGAGGAAACTGAGACCAAAAGACATTAAGGCCACAACTACCCAGGCCCTGGATTTCCAGGCCAAGTGTTTCCCCTATAGCCCACACTGTGTGTTTTTGTTCAAGGGTTGCAATTAGAATGACTGCAGGGAACAGTAAGACAGAATACATGACACCATCAGTATAAATATACAGTCATGCATTGCTTAACAACAGAAATACATTCTGAGAAATGTGTCTTTAGGTGATTTCATCCTTGTGCAAACACCATAAAGTATACTTAAACAAACATACATGGTATAGCCTACTATACACTTAGGCTATGTGGTATAATCCATTGCTCCTCAGCTACAAACCTGTGTAAGATGTTACTATACTGAATATTATAGGCAATTGTAAAACAATGCTAAGTATTTGTGTATCCAAACATATCCAAACATAGAAAAGGTGCCATAAAAGGCTGGGCATGGTGGCTCAGCCTGTAATCCTAGCACTTTGGGAGGCTGAGATGGGTGGACCACCTGTGGTCAGGAGTTCACGACCAGCCTGGCCAACATGGTGAAACCCCATCTCCACAAAAAATACAAAAATTAGCTGGGTGTGGTGGCAGGTACCTGTAATCCCAGTTACTTGGGAGGCTGAGACAGGAGAATCGCTTGAACCTGGGATGTGGAGGTTGCAGTGAGCCGAGACTGCACCATTGCACTCCAGTCTGGGCAACAAGAGCGAAACTCTGTCTCAAAAAAAAAGGGGGGGGGGAAGGAAAGAAGGAAGGAAGGAAGAAGGGGAGGGAGGAAGGGAGAGCGGGAAGGAGGCAGGGAGTGAGACAGGGAGTGAGACAGGGAGGATGGAAGGAAGGAAGGAAGGGAGAAGGAAGGAAGAAAGGGACGGAGAGCAGGAGGGAGGGAGGGAGGAAGGGAGGAAGGAACAAAGGAAGGAAGAAAGAAAAGGTGCTGTAAAAATGCAGTATTATGAATTTATGGGACCACTGTCATATATTCAGTCCATCATTGACTGAAATATCATTATGCAGTGCGTTGCTGTATAGATGTACTTGACCAAGGGAAGGGGACTGTAGAGAACTGAGAGGGTGTGTACCACTAGTCAGCTGCAGGATGCCTTGTGGGAATGAAAACGTCGGGGCTGTAAGAATTCTGATTTTTCAGGAGTCAGAAATCCAAATTTTCTGGTGAAATATTCTTTTTGATGTTGATTAATACATTAAAAAAACAAAAACACAAACACAAAAAAGGGTAGGCCTAACAGAACACATCTGCCAATAATATGTAGACTATGAGCTATGTGTCCATGTGTCTGTTTTTAAATTTCATCAATTGCTTTTAACCTCCAAACAGCAAGGGCTGAACCAAATCCTTGAGTATGGTTCTAATTCTGATGGCATCTAATGTCCCTAGAATTAGAGATTACCAAGGCCTTGGGTGCAATTAATTATGATTTATAAAAATGATTTGTGTGATAGGTGTTTCTAAATTTCTGGCTATTCTTTTTATTATTATTATACTTTAAGTTCTGGGATACATGTGCAGAATGTGCAGGTTTGTTACATAGGTATTCACGTGCCATGGTGGTTTGCTGCATCCATCAACCCATCATCTACATTAGGTATTTATCGTAATCCTATCCCTCCCCTAGTCCCCCACTCACTGACAGACCCCAGTGTGTGATGTTCCTCTCCCCGTGTCCGTGTGTTCTTATTGTTCAACTCCCACTTATGATTGACAACATGTGGTGTTTGGTTTTCTGCTCCTGTGTTAGTTTGCTGAGAATGATGGTTTCCAGCTTCATCCATGTCCCTCCAAAGGATATGAACTCACCCTTTTTTATGGCTGCACAGTATTCCATGGTGTATATGTGCCACATTTTCTTTATCCAGTCTATCACTGTTGGGCCTTTGGGTTGGTTCCAAGTCTTTGCTATCGTGAACAGTGCTGCAATAAACATACATGTGCATGTGTCTTTATAGTAGAATGATTTGTAATCCTTTGGGTATATACCCAGTAATAGGATTGCTGGGTCAAATTGGTATTTCTGATTCTAGATCCTTGAGGAATCACCACACTGTCTTCCACAATGGTTGAACTAATTTACACTCCCACCAACAGTGTAAAAGTGTTCCTATTTCTCCGCATCCTCTCCAGCATCTGTTATTTCCTTTTTAATGATCACCATTCTAACTGGCGTGAGCTGGTATCTCGTTGTGGTTTTGATTTGCATTTGTCTAATAACCAGTGATGATGAGCATTTTTTCATATGTTTCCTGGCCACACAAATGTCTTCTTTCAAGAAGTGCCTGTTCATATCCTTTGCCCACTTTTTGATAGGGTTGTTTGTTTTTTTCTTGTAGATTTATTTAAATTCTTTGTAGATTCTGGATATTAGCCCTTTGTCAGATGGATAGATAGCAAAAATTTTCTCCCATTCTGCAGGTTGCCTTTGCACTCTGATGATAGTTTCTTTTGCTGTGCAGAAGCCCTTTAGTTTACTTAGATCCCATTTGTCAATTTTGGCTTTTGTTGCCACCATTGTTTTTGATGTTTTAGTCATGAAATCTTTGCCCATGCCTATGTCCTGAATGGTACTGCCTACATTTTTTTCTAGGGTTTTCATGGTTTTAGGTCTTACATTTAAGTCTTTAATCCATCTTGAGTTAATTTTTGTATAAGGTAGAAGGAAGGGGTCCAGTTTCAGTTTTCTGTATATGGATAGAATTTCTGGCTATTCTTGAAGCCATCAATGAGAATGATCACAGTAAATGAAATACTTTTTAAGTCACATGTGGTTCTTCTGGGCACAGAGACACACATTTTTCCTGATAGTGATGACAAGGTTCTGACAATGAAGATGATGACAAGGACAAAACTGGCCTCATCTCTATTTCCCTTAAAGGATAGTTCTGAATGAACCCTTTTGAAAAATAGACACAGAACTGAAATGGTAACATTAGTTACATGTCGTATAATCATTATTCTTAGATTTTTCTAGCCATGCCAAGACTACACATAAAGTAAGAAATAGTCAGAATGAGGAAAGGAATACATGTTCCTACGTGGAAGTATTAAGTAAGCTCAACAGGAATAATGAACTTATACAAATTATACTAAAGACAAAAATGAAAATGTAATTCATAGTACACAAAGCATGATTGCCATGAATGTATGTTAGTGCAATTGCAGTGAAAAGGTTGAAAAATATGACCCACAGAAGAGTATTTTTGACTGAAATATTTTACATTGAATACCTGTGCATAAATTAACTACCGTAGTTTAGAGAAAAATAAAAAGAAATAACAAATGTCCCACCAATTTTAATAATATTGTAACATCGAAGGATGTCAAATGATCCAAACTTGCTCCACTGTTGAAAAACCACATTGTATTTTAAATTTTTACACACAAAAAAATCATAATATTCACCTCAGCTGAGGTTTTTAGGGACTGTACAATTCTGTGACTGGAAAGGTTAAAATAGAAATAATAGTTGAAAGAGAATGAGATTAGCCAGCTAGTCCATTTTTTAAAAAATTTGTTTCTGGCACTTACAGACTCAATTAACATATGAAGGGGCGGAGAAACTGAGGTTGGCTTCCTACCCCATGCCACACACCATTATGTACACATGAGACTTAAATAACACTTCTTCCCTTTCTTGTGACTGACACAGATACTTACTATAATAAAATTTCACCTGAATTAAACAGAAGGTCTTAGGGTGAGACCCTGTAGAATTTTTAATCTCTTTACTCCATTCTGATTATCACATTGATGATCCTTAACTCAGAAAACATGCAATTTCATTTATGTGTGTTTGAATTGGGCAGAAAGATATGAAATTCAGAAACATCATTGAAGGGCTTAAATGCAAATTCTGAGTTTCTTAGATAAAACCTTCACAAAGAGAGTCCTCCTCACCCCACCCCCAACACTTTACTGCTTTCAAAGTACCCATAACACTACTATTACTACTAGCAATTAAAAATATTGTGCTCAATCTGTGCAGAGGAAAATTTTGTTAATTTTGCCAAGTTCAATTTGCCAACTGTCATCGAACCTCTAGAATTGCATTCCTCTAGAAGGAGTTAATTAATAGGGCACTTCTTTGTACTCACAGTGAAGTGTCTGCTTATTGCAGTTCAACTCCACAGAAACCCCCCCAAAAAAAATAAAGAAAAAAAGAAAGCATTTGGGATGGCCAAGAAATCTTAAAGCTAGTTATCTAATCATATAACCCAGAAATTTCACCAAGAGAAATGGCACAGACCTGGCTTGAGTGAGACAGAGTATGAATGGAAGGACACTGTCAGACATTACATAGAGATAGTTGTGTATAATCCACCGTTAAACTCTCAAGGTTTTCTGAAAAATACATAAACAACTAGAATTGGTTTCTTTAATACTCCAGTTGGCCTGCTCAAGGACAGAATTTTCTATATTACTCCTGCCAGCTTCCAATTAATCAATTTACCTCCAAAGTGTTCTTAAGTTGTCCCATTATAATTTGTTTATAACTTTGGTCCTTGGCTCAGTTTACCAACTCATTCCCTCATATATGAGTGAATCATTTGCATAAAAAACAAATGGCATACCAATTAACTAAATGCTTCTGACATATTTTTGACAATGAACCAAATTGTATTTTTCCTTGTCTTCTCTTTTCTACTTCTCTTAATGCAGTAACTATCAAACATTTATTCAACAAATATGCATTGAGTAAAACTATATGCCAGTCGTTCTTTTAAGTGATTGGTTATATAATGGAGAAATAAAACAGCATAGTTCATACATTCATAGTATTTACAGTTTTACAAGGGAGATAGAATTAACCAAATAAATAGATAATTACAAATTGTTACAAGTTCTATGAGAAGAAAAACAAAAAACATAGTGCTATAGGAGAGGGCAACATATAGCATAATTTAGATTGAGAGTGTCAAGGAAGATTCCTCTAAGAATGTGATGTTTAAAAAGAGAAATGAATGACAGAAATGAACTAGGCAAAAAGTAGGGAAAAGACTGCTCCAGGCAGGGAAAACAGCATGCTGAAAGGCCCAGGTAGGAAATTCAAGATCAGAGCAGTAATTTCTAAATTCCAAACTGACCAAGCATCCCACCAATTTTTTAAAAATTTCTCACACTTCTTCAACTACATTTATCTGGTTACTTTTATATTGTGTATACTATTGTACTGATATATTATATATTATAAAACATACACAAAAATTTGAAAGTCTCAAAGGATAAGGTTTTTTTTTAAAATGGACCATCTTGGACACTTTCAACTTCAGAACCTCCTGAATGAGATGAACTGAAGGACCAATGTGGCTGAAGCTTAGGACATGATAATATTAAGCAGAGAAATGGTATAATATAATTTACACTTAAAAGTACCAGCCTGGTTCTTGTATAGGTAATTGGAATAAGCCCTATAAACTAATGATATAGCTATAGAACTGGTTGAGAGTTAAATTTGCACACCACACCTCAGTTGTGCTCTGGAGCCCGTCATTGAGTTGGGGACTGATACTGAAACTTTCCATTTAAAAGTAATTCAAGAACCTACAAGCAATGTACTCCATAGCCATGAGCACAGATGACACCCACATCTTGGTTTCTAAATACCATCATTCACTAAAAGAAACAGGGATCCTTGGAAAAATGACTCCAGGTCTGCAGCAGGGAAAGTACCAGGTAAACCTGGAACATATTGATGTGTCAGAAAACACAAAAGAACTCAGACTAATTAGATCATGTTAAAAGGACAAAGGAGCCAGCTTGAAGTGGTTGTCTACTGATCAAACATATGAAGAGCTGAGCCCCAAAAAGATTAACTATGATAATGTATTCTAATACATTGAATAAAATAAAATGTGTAAGTCCATAGTGATAGTCAAAAGAGAAAATATTAACTAAATATTAACTATTTTTAGAAGAATATGAGCTAATAAATGTAGAAGAAATGATAGAATTACAAAGTCATCATTTTGCAATGCCCAATGTAATAACTATGAAATCAACAGATGCCAGAATCATTGGATAAAAGGTTGTTGGGAACATGATATGCATATGGTCTCAAAATATTGCCTCATATGTTAGTCATTAATTTTTTTTTCAGAGTGCTAAGGCTTTATTACAAATGGAGTTTACACTAGAGGGGCTCTTCTCCAATCTTTCTTCTGTACCCTCTTCTCTCCCAAAGATATCTCTCTAGGGGAGGTCAGTAGGCCATTAGAGAAGAGGAAATCTGGAGAATGAAAAAGAGCACTGCTCTTGCCAAAGTCCTCTGAAACAACCACTGAGTCCTTCTGGCTCCAGTTGAGAATCTGGACCTTGAAAATGAGAGCTAAACTTCTTCCACTAGAAGAGGATGATCACTGATGCTGCGGGTCCTCTGAGACTTAGCAATATCTTCTCTCTGAACCTCAATTTTGAGTTGCCCACTCACAGCCATCACTATGATGTTCCTTTGAACACAGACCTCTACTGAAACCAGCTCTGCTGTGACTTATGGCAAGTATATGAATGCTTTTTTCTAAATTACCCTTTATATCTCCTCAGGGTCACTAAAGAACCCTAGATCTCTTCCATAACGTGCACCAGTCACTGTTCGGCCACCATTTTTATTCTACTGTGTCACCTCACATTGACACAGGGCTTCTCTCAGAGACTTCCAACCTCTCAGCTACTGATGTTCCAAAGTTCCCGCAAAAACTATGAACCCACTGAGTCGCACTGTGAGTAAAGGGCACTGCATCATCTCTCACTTACTTGTCTCCCACACACACCCCTTAACTCCTCCCCTAGGACTTTCTACTTTTCATATGGTGGGACTTCCCTTGTATCATCTCCTCCATGCCTTCTACATTATGACTTGTTGTAATATTCTATTTCCAAAGAGCTAAATTTTCCTTTTGGTTTATAAAGGGCTACTTTTGGAACTTAGAAACCAGAAACTATTTCCTCCTTTCAAAAATCCTGGATTTCATGACAATTGTCTCACAAAGGGCTCAAGAAAATTGGCCTTGCAATTCAAAAACTGAAGAAAGATCCCTTTTCTCTAGGTGGATTATGCCTTTCCAGAAGTAACAAATGCCACTAATTCAAGGCGTAATTAGCCACTGGGCAAAGCATTTATTAGGAATTAAATATTCATTGGTTTCGCAGGCCAAAAATACTATCTTCACTAGGGTTACCAAAGCATATTCAATCGGAAAATCTGAATTCTGGTTGCAACTTGTCAAATGATACACTTTGTGACTTTTGACAACTCCCATAATAAAAAATAATAGGATCAGCAATTTTTGAGCCCCTATTTGGGCCAGTGAAGCTGGACTATCAGTGATACTGCGTCTCTTATTTATTTATTTTCTGGTACTCCTGTCTATTTATTTCTGGTAGTCTAGTCCCCCAGTTACCATCCTAAATCTTCACCATACCCCTGTAGTTTCTGACTCCAGCCTTCCAATGTAAGAAACCATAAGCTTCTGTAGTTTAAATTGCTGTTGTGTTTACTGATATTTGCAGTCACTTTCCTAACTGGTGCACCAGGTGGGTCTGGGTGCAGTTTGTAGATATGGTGGCAAGAAGTTAAGAAAGCTTCTGTGCGCTTCTAGTTTCTCTTTGAAGTAGGGCATATAGTTATCTGCTGAGTTTGAGGAAGTATGTTGTGGGGAAGAACATCTGAGAAAACCGGAAATGATTTTACATGCCTACTGTGGAGAACAGGGGAAAGGAATAATTAAGAAAACATTGAAAGAATCTTAGTCACTATTAGGGTCAAGATGCTGTTAAAGGCAATGGATTTATTTAGAGCAGAATCAAGCCTGAAATCATTTTATTTTGCTCCGTCAATGTAAAGGACCAGAGAAGGTCAGTGATCAGATTCATCTAGATGTGTGTTTTGTAACAAGGATTTGAGAGAAGGAGAACAGGGCACAGAGTTTAAGAGATTCATAAGAAACAAGAAGTAGTGTGTTATGGAATCCAGCCAGAATTAACAAAGATGTGAGGAAGGGAGGAGGCTGACCATCTCTCTCTCTCCTGCTAATATACCTGCAATGGTGTTCCATTGCTCATAGAAAAACAGTTCAAACACTCAAGATGCCTACACAGGAATGATCTGACTCATGACTCTTTCCAGCCTACTCTTGTGTTGCTCTTGCCGTTGTTCTCTATACTCAAGCCATGCACACAGAGGGCTGCAAGAAAATAAGCCAAATATATAATTTTTGATGAATTCTATTTGCTTTCTTTTCCATGTACATCCTCTCAGCCTGCCTTTTCTAGCCAAATCTTTATTGCTTCCCTGGGCTTATTTTTCATTAGCTCAGTCCCTTCTCTCTGTTCTAGCAACGCCACTTTTAACTTTAATTCTTTTAATTTCTTCTCCTTGAAACTTAATTGATCTCCCTGACTCCATTCTTTCACCTCTCTAATCCATCTTCACATTGATGCCTTGGTTATCTTCACATTACTCTGAGCAAAGCATATTATGCTTCTGTTCTTAAAGCTTTTATAGTACAGCATGAGCTTCCTATGTCATGTAAAGTTCTCCGCTACCTGGCACCAGTTCACCTTCCCAGCCTCCTCTCTTCTACTCTCTGCCCTCAACATTCTATGTTCTAGGCACACTGGATTCTTTATAATTCCTTAAATATGCCACATATGTTCATATGGGTTTGTTTTCAATCACATTGTTTTTTCACTTCCCATCTCCATCTTTTAAAGTCCTAGTCATCCCTTGAGTCATAAATGGTACTCATTTTCTGAGAAGTAATGGTTCCCTTTGTGTATTACCGTAACATGTCGGTTATACCTTTATCATTAAGATTTATTTCATTTACATTATATCTTGATTATCTGTGTGGATGTCTGTCTCTGTCAAACTAGAAGGTCTGTTTGGGTTGAGATTTTGTCTTAGTCATTATAATAGGAACTTAGTTCCTAGTTCAGTGGTAAGTAATCCTTAACAAGAGCAGTAGGGGATAGGGTTGCAATAGTATTTTGGGATCAGATTAGGGAGCCCCTGAATGTCAAGTTACAATGAAGAAAGGGACTAAGAGTGGTGGCTCTCCTGTAATTCTAGCACTTTAGGAGGCCAAGGTGGGAGGATCATTTGAGGCCAGGAGTTCAAGACCCAGCCTAGGCAACATAGCGAGACCTTGTCTGTACAAAAAAATTTTTTTTTAAATATCCAGGCACGGTGGCACACACCTGTAGTCCCAGCTACTTAGAAGGCTGTGGCAGGAGGATTGCTTGAAACCAGGAGTACGAAGCTAGAGTGAATTATGATCATGTCACCCACTCCAGCCTGACCAACAGAGCAAGACCACATCTCTATTAAAAATAAAAATTAAAGAAGAAGGGAAATTCGTATATAATAGATATTTAATAAATACTTTTTAATTGAAGAGCTGTTAATAACCCAAATCTCTTTTTTTTCTTCATTTGACAGATTCTAAGTTTTCCCATTTGCACAGGAAAGGAAACTCTTCCTTTATTCTTTGGAATATTATTAATTGATTCATTCATTCAGCTTTTCTTGAGCATCTAGTATGAGTTGAAAGAGAATTTATAGTCCATCTAATTCAGTTTTCTCAGTTTAAACCTAAGGAAACTGAGGCCCAGCAAGTTGAAATGATTTAACATAGGTCTTACAGCTAGTACGTGGCGAAATAAATGACTAGAAGCTAGTCTGTGCCTTGCCTTCTAACCCACAGCTTCCTAATTTTACAAAATTCTTACAAGTTTGAGTAGGTGATAGGCAGAGTGATGGCACCCTAGAAACCTATGCAGAAAAAGATTCTAATTACCAAATTCAAAACTTTAGGATATGAAAGAAGTTTCCCTCTGCCTCAGGCTCTCATTGCTTTATATCTGATTTTATAAAACCTTCCCAATTTGTTTCACTGCTTTCATAGTTCCCTCTCTGCAAATTGATTTCACATATCTGTATCAGACCACATGCTAGTTCCCAAACCTAAAATGAATGTTTCATTTCATCAGTCACCTATTTAAAAATCCTGTCTACTTTTCATTGATTACAGAATAGAATATTGATTACAGGGTAAAAGACAGGTCTAGATTCAAATCATGCCTCTACCTTGCCTCTTTCTTCCATAAGCTGTGTTTCAAGCAAATCACTTAAACATTATGACCTTTAATTTCTACAACTGACAAATGGCAATAAGAGAGTTTAAGGTTTCGATATTGGATTTCAGCCAAATATTTAAAAATATCCTTCCCATATAACTTAATTATATGAATAGCAAATGGGAAAAACTAAAGCAGCAAAAAAAGTAAATAGCATTCAAACAAGAGAAAGGTTCATGTCATAACATTCAAAAAATTGTAGCCATCAAAGAAAGACACAAAGAAGTTTTCAAGAATTTACAGAATAAAGCTTAGAACAGTATGGCAAACCTCTTAATGTCATCCTCCAAACAAGCACTTTGTAGGGAAGGTGAGCAAACAAAACTCTGAAAAGTATAACCACCTACTCCTACACTATAACATGGGAAAGGTAGCTTTAGATGAAATATGAGTAACCCTTAGAGGAGACAAAGAATTTTGCAAGGGGGGAAAAGTCCCATCTCAACTAGTTGCATGTTCTACCAGAAAAGGGAACTATTGGAAATCTCCCTTTTGGCATCTTCCAGCTGGGTGAAAAAGGAGAGGATGATGGCAGAACAATCATAAACACCCATAGTTAATTATCTCCAACAATAAATAGTGATATAGCAGAAAGGAAGAAAAAAATAGAAAATAATTAGGACAAGAGTCTCTAAGGGAGGGAAAGTGGAGAAGAAGCATGTGTAGTGCCTGAAGGGAAGTAACCTACATGTACTTCCTATGTTGTTTATTTTTTTCCCAGAAGATAAGAGAGAGGAGCTTGGGAGGAAGAGAAATTGCTACTGGGGAGAAATGGGCAAATATGGAAAGGGAAACATAAAACAAGCTAATGACATTGAAATAGAGAACTCAACAAACAAAACCAAATTCCAGATTACTTTCTTTAAAGCAAACAAAGAATCTGGGCTCCATGTTGATTAGAAGAAATAATCCAAAGCCCAAGAATACTTCTCAGTGTAATGAATATAAACTCCAATAGATTAAGATTTTAGCACAGAAAACATTTACTAAAATTTCAGAAGAGAGTAGAGTGTGGATCCTCCTCCAACTGTACACAGCCACAGTTGAGCTCTTTCTTCCTCCTTGAATCTAAGGTAATAGAAAAGCAAGTGGAATTCACTCACACTATAGCACAGCGAAGAGAAGGCCTAAACAAAACTGCTGTATTTTAAAAGATAAAAAGAAGGGACACAATAACTTTGCAAACACATTATCAGCAAAAATAAATACATATGAGAAAGAAGGATACAAATACAGATGAAAAACCATGCTGGAAGTAAGCAGAACTTCACAAAGAAATAATTTCCAGCCAGTGCTTCATGATATAAAAGTTAATGAGAACATAAAATCAATTTTTAAAGAAATGAGGTGTAAAACAGTATTGAAGATGAAAGGGAAGAACGCAAAGCTGAGAAAACAAACTGAGAACCACACAACACCATTAAAAGCAAGTTAGAAAGCACAAGATATATCTCCATTGAATATAATTTCAAACTCAAAACTCAAATTTAAATTTCTTCTATCCCCAGCCTATGTAAGTAGGAGTTAAATTAGCTTTTCTTTTTCTAGCTCCATCCCCCCAATTTGCTAGTCATTGTTTCTGATATCTGTGGGGAGGAGGGTAAGAGTTGGGGAAATGCAGCACAGCTTTTGTGACAGCTACAGTTGTAATCTACCCGCAGGGCCCTCTGGGTGGCAGAAATACAATAGCTGACTCTGTAGGGTGCCTTTGTGGGTTTCTCATCAATCCCAGGCAATTGGCTTGTCTGCCTCTTTTCTGTCTGCCTGCTGGATTTCTGGGGTCCACCTCTCAGTTCCTGTCCTTCAGGCAAGTACTCTTGGTTACAATCATTTCCATAGGGTCCTTATCAAGTCTCAGAAACATTCACCATTAGCCTGCCACATGAAGAAGTACAGCTCAGTCACAAAGCAGCCACCTGCGTGTTCAGCCGCCAGACTGGGCAGTTCCAGCTACAGCATCTCAGCTTTAGAATATTCACTGGTAAGATGCTCAAGTTCCTGGAGACATGCAAAAGCTTTCCAAGTGGTCCTCTAGAAAAGCCTCTCCTTAACCTTAGGAGAGAGGATTCTGCATCTACCACATTCTGCCTTTTTTCACTATTATTATTATTATTATTACTATTACTGGGCTATCTGACTGGTCCAAATTCAAGGACAGGTGAAAAGACAACTTGGCTTCTACAGAAGGTTGTTTTTACCTGTTTACTCCCAAAGAGTAAATAAACCGTCATTGATAAAAATAAAATAAGAAGAGATCAGTGGATGCAACTCCCCATGCTTTAAGTGTATTTCACAGAAGCTCACCTGAGGTTCAGAGGAATTGGCAACTGCCCAATTTTCCAGGTCAGAGAAAGACATGGACTCGCTGTCTTTCAGGTCCCCAACTATGTCAATACTCAGAAACAACTTAGAACACCAACAGAAGGCATTAAGTCGCCTATCCGGGGAGCCATATTCTTCAGGGTCTGAAATTCTTGCTGTGCCAGCACTGAGGCAATTTCCACTTCTCCGAGCATGCTCTGCAGTGTCTATTTAGGGTATTTGTACCATCAAAAAATACATCCACTTCTCCATCAGAGGCTGGTACTTAAGGTGGGTGAAATGTAAAACACTGTCAATTTCTCACCAAATAAATCTCTTTCTCTTCAACCTCAACTTCTTATGTAGACTAGAGAGGAGTGAATCACTGCAGCTGGCAGAACTAGTTTAGAACCTTGACCTTTGAAAGTTCAACATGAATGGTCTGGTTCCTCTCTTTAGAATGGGAAACATATTGTTTTGTTGTTAACTTTTCCAACAGTGCATCTTGTTGTCTACCATATCCTTTCTTGTATTATTACTGCTAGGGTATCTGTGACTTCCCTAAGACAGAGACAATATCACTCCTTTTTTTGGAGACAGGGTCTCACTCTGTCACTTAGACTGGAGTGCAGCAGCCTAATCTCATCTCACTGCAACCTCCACCTCCTGGGCTCAAGCCATCCTCTCACTTCTGTCTCCCAAGTAGCTGGGACTATAGGCATGCACAACCACACCTGGCTAATTTTTTTTTTTTTTTTTTTTTTTTTGAGACAGAGTTTTGCTCTGTCACCCAGGCTGGAGTGCAATGTCGCAATCTCAGCTCACTGTAAACTCTGCCTCCCGATTCTCCTGCCTCAGCCTCCCGAGTAGCTGGGATTACAGGCACACTCCACTGCGCCCAGCTAATTTTTGTATTTTTAGTAGAGACGGCGTTTCACCATGTTGGCCAGGCCAGTCTTGAACTCCTGACCTCAGGTGATCCACCTGCCTTGGCCCCCCAAAGCGCTGGGATTACAGACATGAGCCACTGCGCCCAGCCAATTTTTGTATTTTTTGTAGAGTTTTTGCCATGTTGCCCAGGCTGGCCTCAAGCTCCTGAGCTCAAACAATCTGCCAGCCTTGGCCTCCCAAAGTGCTGGATTACATGGATGAGCCACCCTGCCTGGACAGTATCACTCATCCTTATTTTCTCTGCAGTGCCTGGAGTCACTGACGACAAATCATAAGCACTTGGGAAATTTAATTTTAAGGAGAAGCCAACTTTTCCCTTCCTGTGCACATATTACCCACCCTTCAGTCCTGGATAAGGCTACCTTTTCCATGAAGAATTCCCTTCTATTTCAGCCCCATTATTTTCTCCGTGTCTCTGAACTCTGAAACTTTGTTCATATGATGCTTATGTCATCATGTAAATTTTTCTTTACCTTGCCTCTTCAGTACAGACTTGAGCTCTTTATGGATCATCTTATACTTACTTCTTTAGAGACATTCTTATAAAATATTCAATAAATATTGAAACAAATGCTGTGCTAACTCAGATAAAAAAATCATCTCAGCTATATGTATTTCAGAAGGAGCTACTTCTTTTTTTTTTTGCTTGTGTTGTGTAACATTAAACTAAAAATAATTCAAACAAGGATCATCCTGAAATGTTAGAGCAAGAGAGAACTTTAGAGATGATCAGTTCCACACAGTTTACTCCATTGTAATGAAGTGGCATCTTACAAATGCTGCCTCCCTTCACCCTCTGCTGACCATTCTAGAAACTGCACCTTTTAAAATCTCATTGCAGAATGACTATCATTCCTGTTTTTCCATGCTCCTGAAATTGTTTTTCAAGAGTCAGGTTTAAATGTGTTCTATATAATGGCACTTGTTCACGCTCCAGAAAAACTAAGACTCTATTACCCACAGGGAATATTTGAGCACTTGAGTTCTAGAGCCAAATTGCTTATGTTCATAAGTTAGTCCTTCTGCTTCTGGCTCAGACAAGTTACCTAACATCTCTGCTGATCAGTTTCTGATCTAAAAAATAAAAACAACAATAATAATGGTGATCTTTAAAAGTTGCTGTGAGGCTAAATCAATTAGTGTCTGCAAAACACTTAAAACAGTTCCCGAAAACAGCAAGCCCTCATTATTATTTGGTGGTGCTGGTAGTAGTTGTGATTAATAACTTTTATACCAATGACAAATATTTCTTGTTTGTTCATTTTAGCAGGCTAAACTGGAAAAGCTATACACACACTCTGATCTATTCATCTTTAAATCCCTAGTATTCAGCATGGTGTCTGGGACATAGTAATTACTCAACAAATGTTTGTTGAATAAAGTTTATAAATAATATGATTACTTAAAATGCAAGCTCTTTGTTCTTTTGGCTTAGGATTGGCTTGGCGATGCGGGCTCTTTTTTGGTTCCATATGAACTTTAAAGTAGTTTTTTCCAATTCTGTGAAGAAAGGCATTCGTAGCTTGATGGGGATGGCATTGCATCTATAAATTACCTTGGGCAGTATGGCCATTTTCACGACATTGATTCTTCCTACCCATGAGCATGGAATGTTCTTCCATTTCTTTGTATCCTCTTTTATTTCATTGAGCAGTGGTTTGTAGTTCTCCTTGAAGAGGTCCTTCATGTCCCTTGTAAAGTGGATTCCTAGGTATTTTATTCTCTTTGAAGCAATTGCGAATGGGAGTTTACTCATGATTTGGCTCTCTGTATGTCTGTTATTGGTGTATAAGAATGCTTGTGATTTTTGCACATTGATTTTGTATCCTGAGACTTTGCTGAAGTTGCCTATCAGCTTAAGGAGATTTTGGGCTGAGACAATGGGGTTTTCTAGATATACAATCATGTCATCTGCAAACAGGGACAATTTGACTTCCTCTTTTCCTAATTGAATACCCTTTATTTCCTTCTCCTGCCTAATTGCCCTGGCCAGAACTTCCAACACTATGTTGAATAGGAGTGGTGAGAGAGGGCATCCCTGTCTTGTGCCAGTTTTCAAAGGGAATGCTTCCAGTCTTTGCCCATTCAGTATGATATTGGCTGTGGGTTTGTCACAGATAGCTCTTATTATTTTGAGATATGTCCCATCAATACCTAATTTATTGAGAGTTCTTAGCATGAAGCATTGTTGAATTTTGTCAAAGGCCTTTTCTGCATCTATTGAGATAATCATGTGGTTTTTGTCTTTGGTTCTGTTTATATGCTGGATTACATTTATTGATTTGCGTATATTGAACCAGCCTTGCATCCCAGGGATGAAGCCCAGTTGATCATGGTGGATAAGCTTTTTGATGTGCTGCTGGATTCGCTTTGCCAGTATTTTATGGAGTATTTTTGCATCAATGTTCATCAAGGATATTGGTCTAAAATTCTCTTTTTTGGTTGTGTCTCTGCCCGGCTTTGGTATCAGGATGATGCTGGCCTCCTCAAATGAGTTAGGGAGGATTCCCTCTTTTTCTATTGATTGGAATAGTTTCAGAAGGAATGGTACCAGTTCCTCCTTGTACCTCTGGTAGAATTCGGCTGTGAATCCAACTGGTCCTGGACTCTTTTTGGTTGGTAAGCTATTAAGCTGGAGGCATCACGCTACCTGACTTCAAACTATACTACAAGGCTACAGTAACCAAAACAGCATGGTACTGGTACCAAAACAGAGATATAGATCAATGGAACAGAACAGAGCCCTCAGAAATAACGCCGCATATCTACAACTATCTGATCTTTGACAAACCTGAGAAAAACAAGCAATGGGGAAAGGATTCCCTATTTAATAAATGGTGCTGGGAAAACTGGCTAGACATATGTAGAAAGCTGAAACTGGATCCCTTCCTTACACCTTATACAAAAATGAATTCAAGATGGATTAAAGACTTAAATGTTAGACCTAAAACCATAAAAACCCTAGAAGAAAACCTAGGCATTACCATTCAGGACATAGGCATGGGCAAGGACTTCATGTCTAAAACACCAAAAGCAATGGCAACAAAAGACAAAATTGATAAATGGGATCTAATTAAAGAGCTTCTGCACAGCAAAAGAAACTACCATCAGAGTGAACAGGCAACCTACAAAGTGGGAGAAAATTTTCGCAACTTACTCATCTGACAAAGGGCTAATATCTAGAATCTACAATGAACTCAAACACATTTACAAGAAAAAAACAAACAACCCCATCAAAAAGTGGGCGAAGGATATGAACAGACATTTCTCAAAAGAAGACATTTATGCAGCCAACAGACACATGAAAAAATGCTCACCATCACTGGCCATCAGAGAAATGCAAATCAAAACCACAATGAGATACCATCTCACACTAGTTAGAATGGCAATCATTAAAAAGTCAGGAAACAACAGGTGCTGGAGAGGATGTGGAGAAATAGGAACACTTTTACACTGTTGGTGGGACTGTAAACTAGTTCAACCATTGTGGAAGTCAGTGTGGCGATTCCTCGGGGATCTAGAACTAGAAATACCATTTGACCCAGCCATCCCATTACTGGGTATATACCCAAAGGACTATAAATCATGATGCTATAAAGACACATGCACACGTATGTTTATTGTGGCACTATTCACAATAGCAAAGACTTGAAATCAACCCAAATGTCCAACAATGATAGACTGGATTAAGAAAATGTGGCACATATACACCATGGAATACTATGCAGCCATAAAAAATGATGAGTTCATGTCCTTTGTAGGGACATGGATGAAATTGGAAATCATTCTCAGTAAACTATTGCAAGGACAAATAACCAAACACCGCATGTTCTCACTCATAGGTGGGAATTGAACAATGAGAACACATGGACACAGGAAGGGGAACATCACACTCTGGGGACTGTTGTGGGGTGGGGGGAGGGGGGGAGGAATAGCATTAGGAGATACACCTAATGCTAAATGACGAGTTAATGGGTGCATCACACCAGCATGGCACATGTATACATATGTAACTAACCTGCACATTGTGCACATGTACCCTAAAACTTAAAGTATAATAATAATAAAAAAAAAATGCAAGCTCTGATTTACACTCAGTCCAAATCTTGACTCTGCCATTTAATAGGTATGAAACTTAACTTTGGGGAGGGATTATTTATGTATTTATTTTTAACTTGTTTAAATTTATGGGGTACAAGTGTAAATTTGTTACATTCATAGATCGTGTAATTGTAACGTCAAGGCTTCAGGGTATCCATCACCTGAATAACATACATTTTCCCCATTAAGTAATTCCTCATCATGCACCCCTGCCACACCCACCCATTCACCCCTCGGAGTCTCCTTTGCCTATCATTTCACTCTCTACATCCATGTTTACACATTTTTTAGCTTCCACGTATGAGTGAGAACATGCGATGTTAGGCTTTTTGTGTCTGGCTTGTGAAACTTAACTTTTCTGAACTGTTATCATATATATAAAATGATGGTGATTACAGCTCACACTTCCTAAGACTGTTATAAGAATTAAGATATTATATACAAGAAAAGCACTTACAATAAGATCTGGCACAGAGTAAACAATAAGTAAATGTTAGATAATATTATTTATAAAGATTTCCCAAAGTAATATTTATAAAGTATAAGCAGACTTGTAAGAGCATCTGACATACCTGAGTTTGAATTCTGACTCTACCATTTGCTAGATATAGGGATTTAAACATGATACTTAGCCTGTAAACCCAAAATCCTGATTTAGAATTCAGATAATACTACTTCCTTTCTGTTTTAAGAAGTAAATGAAATGGAGTGTATAAAACAACACTGTGCCTGAGGAACTGCAATCATTTAATAAATGACTAGTTTTGTTTTGCTGATGTAGTTCTTGTTTTTATTATTAGCTTTGCCAATAAGGAATTTTAATCCAGATAAGAAACAAAGAAATAAATAACTACAGTATAATGCAAGTAAATGTCATGGAAATAATAAAGTTAACAAATGCTTTGACAGTTTATGAGTAGGAATGATCAGTGTGAGCTGCAGTAATAAAGAATACTTTCTGAAACAGATAACATTTCTATAAAAGAAAATAGAGAATAGGTAGATATCCCAGGCAAAAAGAAGTATGACCTCAGGAAAGGTAAACCAAAGCACAAAAGCAGGAAGAACAAGGCTTATTTGAGCAGTAGAGAAAATGGGCACAATTAGTAGATTTATTATAAAGATATTCATCAAATTATTAATCCAGACCTGCACTGACCAATATGGTAATCATTAGCTGTATGTGACTAAAGAGTTCTCGAAATATGGCTAGCATAACTAAGGGACTGAATTTTTAATTTAACATAATTTTAACTAATTTAGATTTAGAAACTGAAACAGTTCATAGGAGCCAGCAACTCCATTCCTCAGTATATATTCAAAATAATTAAAAACAAAAACTCACACCAATACTTGCACAAAAATGTTCATTGCAGCACTATTCACAGTAGCCAAAAGGTGGAAACAACCCAAACATCCATCAATATATGAGTGGATAAGCAAAATGTGGTCTATACATGCTATGGGATATAATTCAGCCATAAAAAGAAATGATCCTGATACATGCCACAACACTGATGAACCTCAAAAAACATTATACTAAGTGAAATAAGCCAGACCCAAAAGGACAAAAATTGCACTTACATTAAGTATCTAGAATAGTCAAAGTCATAGAGAGAAGAAGTAGCGTAGAGGTTACCAGGGGCTAGTGGAAGTGAGGAATGGAGAGTTATTGCTTAATGGGTACAGAGTTTCTGTCTGGGTGATGAAGAGTGTTTGGAAATAATGGTATGGTTGTACAACACTGTGAATTTAGTTAATGACACTGAATTGCAACTGAAAAATGTTTAAAATGACAATATTTTTGGTGATATATATTTTATTACATTAAGAAATTAAGCAGAGTAAAATATTTTTCTGATAAACATATCTTCATTGTATTTAAAGTTTATCAATTCCGGGTCAAACTGGGGGAGTGGAGAAGACAAATTAAAAAATATTTTATTGGGAAAATTTATAAGAATTGAAACATGGGAATACCCACTATACACAGACATGCCTTTAAAAGGACTATCCATGAGATCCCCTTAAATTAGCCTCTTCCAAAAAGATATTAAAATAGTGCTTGAAATTTTAATTCAAAAGTATAGTGAATTTCTTTCCCTCTATTACCTAGTACCTCACTGATATAAATCCGCCTATGCAGTTGACATAGTTTTGCCAAATTATTGTATATTCTCTTGACCTTCCTTCTTAAAATATTTATTATAATTGTGTAATAATAGCTAACATTTACATGGCAATTGTTGTATTAACTCTTTTAATCCTCATGACATCTCTATGCAGTAAATATGATACAAAATAAAAAGACTTAAATAATATGACATCATTTATTGTCTTATTATAATATTAGAAGCTAATAGTACGATTAAAGCAAGTTTCATGTTTCAAGTATAGTGACTCTGATGGCCATCACTGCTCCAAAATCACACAAGTGAAACATAGAAGCATTTGTATGATTTAACATAGTAAGTAGAATCTAGTTTTAATAGCTATTTTATAACCTGAAATGTATTTATTCTTATAATAACAAACACAGTGTTAATATGTATTAAAGTTGTAGGATCTTAATATCAAAACAAAATGAAATAAAACCTGCAAGGAATCAGGAAAAGTTCAACACTGTCCCATGAGGATTTATAGTGAGGAAAGTGGTGCAGTCTAGGTTTAACTAAGGTAGGAAAGCCAACGAAAGAGCCCAGGCTGTGTTACACAGAGACAGCAATTGAATATACTCCACAGCTGAAATCATAAAGTTTCTCAAGCAACCCATTAATAATTAAATTTGCTTTCTCTGATAAATCTTGTCAGCCTGCTCCAAGGAAAACGGTCCTTCTTTCTTTGTAGTTTTCAGCCAATCAACTTGCCCATGGACAAAAAACAAAATTCATTATTTTTATGACTATACATAGCTTTCCACTATGTATATTTACCACATTTTCTTTATCCATTCCTTCATTTTCGACACTTAGATTCATTCCAATATCTTGGCTGTTGTGAATAGTGCTGCAATAAACATCAGAATGTAGATATCTTCTGCCAATTGCAACAATATGAATGAACCTGGAGGACACTGTGTTAAGTGAAATAAGCCAGGCACAGGAGCACAATTATCACATAATCTCACACGTATGTGGAATCTAAACAAGTTGATTCATGTAACTGGAGAGTAGATGAGTGATTTCCACGGGCTGAGGTGGATGGGGGGAAGAGAGTTGGAAAGATGTTGGTCAAAGGATATGCAATTTCAGTTAGATGAGAGGAATAACTTCAAGAGATCTATCATACAACATGGTTATAGTTAATAACAATATACTGTATTCTTGAAAAATGCTAAGATAGTGGATGTTAAGTGTTCTCACCACAAAATGATAACTATGTGAGGTAATGCATACGTTAATCAGCTAGATTAGGTGAATCCACAATGTATGTATACATCAAAACATACTGTGATAAACACATGTAATTTTATCTGTCAATTTAAAACAAAACAAAACAAAATTATTGTTCTACCAGTCTATAGTTCATGTTTTAATAAAGCCTTCTTTACTTTTGTTCCATGATAATCAACCTATGCTTGATACAGGGAAAATACTACCTCTCTCAAATCTAAGTAAACTCAGCTCAGTTTCTAGCCAAACTAAATACCTCTAAATTATTCTTTGACTGTTATTCCGATAAGCCTCTGAGCCCTTAGAAGCATGCAGCCTAAGAAAGTTTTTCATCCAGACCCACCGTGTTCTGTCTTGCCTTTGCTCACTTCCCCAGTGCATGCCATTATACAGGGATCAAACTCATGGGCTTTTACATGCTAAACCTGGCTCTTAGCCATGTGTGTTTTTGTTCACAGTTGCAGTTGAATTAATGTTGGGAAATTGTTTTCTATGGTCTCTGACAAGTTACAGGTAACTGGGAATCTGCTTGGCCCTTTATCTTTGTTTAGTTGTTTGTCTGACTGTCATAGAAATTCTGATATCTCCTGATATCTCTTAACCAGATGATGAGATAAGGGGGTAGTCAGATTTGGCTGGCCTCAGCCTTGGGGTTGAGGAATTGCCCTTGTCACATCTGCTTGATTTGTTAACTTTTCCAACCATTGAAAGAAACTTCATGTTGTTTGTCTTATGATCTATAATTGCTTTGGTCAGTTATTTTTAGGTCGTTGTACTGAAAGGGGGAAAAGGCCTTTTACTTTCCTTAGAAAATAAAGATATGTAAGTTACTTGTTACTGTGTGGCAAACCACCCCAAAACACAGTGCCTTGAAACAGCAACAGTTTCGCCAAATTTTTGTTGAGTTTCTTCTGCTGATCTTGCCAAGCCTAACTCATGTGTTTGTAGTCATCCCTGTATTCAGCTGGGGCTGGATGATATCATACAACTTCTCTTACATGTCTACAGTCTCAGCTTGGATGGTTGGACCAGCTAAGCCAGCTGGGTCTCTCTCTATGAGGTCTTTCATCCTGGCTTCTTCACATGGTGGCAGAAGTGCTCCAAGAGAGCAAGCCCCAGTGCACACATGCTTATCAAGCCTTTGCTTGCTGTATATCTGCTGATATCTTGTTGGCTGGAGCAAGTCAATGGTCAAGCCCAGAGTAAATGTGACAGGGACTACACAAGCATATGGAGACAGAGAAGTGTGATTCATTGGGAAACCATCACAGAAGGAAGCTTGTCTTTATAATAGTCTGTTTATAATGGTAGTTCTTTCTGTACCTGTGAGTGATTCTACCTCTCATTCTCTCTCTCTCTCTGGGGGAAATTTTGAATATTAATTGATCATAACAATCTATCATTTGTGCATGCTATAGAAATATCCAGTTCAAACAGACCTTCATAGGAAGAAGATGCATGCAAATATTAAAACCAGTTTTTCATGGATCATGAAGTAGAGTTGTGCCTTCTGAAAGAGCTTTGCTTGGTTTGTATTACAATTGTATGCAGGCTCGAATGTCCTTAAAATGGGAATAATTGCTTCTGGCTTGTCTGGGGCTTCATGGCCTTCTGAGGAAACTAAAGGATTCAGAGTACATGAATTTTTTATTCTTTCCTCTTGGAAAATATTAATAAATAAAAAAGTCCCACGGAAATAGTCACAAATGAGCCAAGTGAAGATGTGAGGAAGAACTTCATGTGAACTATGACAAAATATTATAAAATCTTACAGTAGAACCCATAAGTTGATCATGTCTGAACAAGTCTTCCCCAAAAAGGACATAATAAAATACAAAGAAAGGCAACTTTAGACTCTCCCAGAGTTCTTTCCTTGCCCAGAGATATGACAAGATACTTCTGCTGAGTATGAAACATTTTCTAAACAAATGGCATATTTGTGTCTATTACTTTTTTATTTTTAAATATTTTATTATATTTGAATAAAATTTGTCTCCATCATAATCTTACATGTTTAAAGCATTTAAGAACACTTTTGTTAAGAAAGAGTCCATAGGCTTCAGACTGCCAAAGATGTTGGTGGTGCAAAACATGAGGAATCTCTTAACATTAGTATCGTCTCCGGGCATAAACTCTTCATGTGTATATGAGCTTGATTTTTGTACATTGCTTTGTGGAGAATAAGCACTACTTCTACTGCCAATCTTTCTAAAGAGTCTTTGACTTCCACTGCCAGCAGAAGTTGGGTAATAAATGTAAACATTGTGATCTTCTGCACTGACTGGCTTTTCTACAAATGGCTTTTGAAAAACTTCCTCATTTACTTCTACATGATCTTCCCCTTCAATCAGATTACATTCTTTGGGATTATTTGGGTCACGGTTCAAAATTGCATAACAAGGAAGTAAAATAACTTCAGCTTGAAGAATACTATATACCTCTCTCCAATCTTGTATGAGATACTGCATATTCAAGTCATTGATTACAAATGGATTCCTGAGTTTTGCATA
The DNA here is from genome assembly GCF_000001405.40 of Homo sapiens. Lineage (NCBI taxonomy): Eukaryota > Metazoa > Chordata > Mammalia > Primates > Hominidae > Homo > Homo sapiens. The sequence goes on from NC_000001.11 coordinate 75,641,752, forward strand.
GGCAACCACTTTGTCCAGTGGAAATCCTTTAGAGTGCAAAGAAAAAAGACAATCACATAAAGGCCAGTTTTCCACTGGTTCCCTCAAAATAACCTCCTCTTCAAATACCACTACTGTGATATATTTAAATAAGGAGACCCATTCAAGAATTTCCTTCATTGGTTTGGATTTGGATTTCTTTGCCATGGAACATATTCCAACCACAATCTGCCTTTCTGGTGGAGAATCATCTTCCTCCTCATCATCTTCATCTGCATGGTGGAAGAAATGTTGATAATTTCCAGGATTTATTTCTGTGTCTTCTGGTCCAATGAAGAATCTGGGGGCTTCACTAATTTTTTATTTTATTTGATGTAGATATAATTGAAGTGATATATATTAAAACTGCCTGTAAATAAATAGCATCAGAAGAAAGCATTCTCCTTATGTTAGCTGACACACAGGTCTGTGACAGCTTGTTTCTGCTTATACAATCACTTGATATTATGATGACTTTTGGCAAATGCTCTTTTGTTCTTAGATACCATTGCTTCATTGTTGATATCAAAGTTGTTGTTGCAATTCAAAATACAAAGACAGTGAGGCTACTGCTTTCTTGAGTTGATACAGCAATCTTTTTACCTGCCACGAATATGGTCATCACGTGAGCAGCTGTGAGATGGTCAAGCCCATTCAGGTCTAGGTTTCCCCCTTTCATTCTGGAGGCAGGGCTGAAGTGTTCGTCAAGATTTGTGTCTATGTCTGAAAAAAAATGTAATTTAATTATAAAGTCTCATGGTTAAACGAATTCCTATTCTGATTGACTTATAGAGACGAATAAGAAATTCAATAATCTTCAGGAAGAAGAGAGAAAAATTTATATCCTAATGTTTTAAGTGTGCTGACCATTTATAAAAGCTTGAGAGGCTTGCTGAAGCCATAACTCAATAAAACAAGAAGGAGAAGTATGAGGAGGAGGAGGAGGAGCTTACTATAAATTAAATTAATGGCCTTGGTTGCAAAGTCTCAAGAGGCAGAAAAATATAAGTAGTTATCAGTTTGGAAAACAGTGGGGGTAGGGGAGAATTCTAAGAGAACAGTACTTTTAAACAAAAATTGGAAAGTTTTAATATTTGGTAAATACAGAAAAAATTGTAAACAAATAAGTTTAGGTTATATTTCTATCAAGGCGAATCACTGGACAAATTAAATTGGTTTGGTAATTTGGCTTTAAAAATAGCTACATGTCTTCCCCTGATTTCATCACAGTGTGAAAAATGTTGGCATATTATTTTCTCATGAGAAACTTAATTAATTCTGATTTGCTAGATTTCCTATACTGATTTTTACTTCCATTAACTGTTAAAAATTATAAAATTATCATTCAACCATCTTTGGAAAGATTTGCTCTTGTGAGCTTCAGATAATACCATAAATCATATAGATCTAGTAACTTTACTTATACTACCTATATCAAATTTTAAATATCATATTTGTCTGATGAACTGTTTTAAGATCAAAAAGGATTGTGTTTCTCTTTAATGTCAACCTCAAACAATTTCCAAAATCTCTGGCTGACTTCAAGACCCCAGACTATTGTTAAACTAATTAATTTCATTAAAGTAGTCTTTGGTTATCTGGATATTTTCTAAGTAGAACTAAATTCATAAATATAGAATATAAAAACAAGCAAATATCGTTTAATTATATGTATATATCTTATTCATTTACATTCTAGATTGTCCATTAGTTAACATGATAGAAAAAAGATGTGTAAATACCTTTAGGTCATTGGTTTGGCTGTGTCCCCACTGAAATCTCATCTTGAATTATAGCTCCCATAATCACCATGTGTCATAGGAGGGGCCCAGTGAGAGGTAATTGAATCATGGGGGCAGGTTTTTCCCATGCTGTTCTCAGGATAGTAAATAAGTCTCACAAGATCCCATTGTTTTATAAAAAGGCAGTTCCCCTGCATGTGCTCCCTGGCCTGCGGCCAAGTAAGACATGGTTTTGCTTTTCCTTAGCCTTCCATCATGATTGTGAGGCCTCCTCAGCCATGTGGGACTGTGAGTCCATTAAACCTCTTTTCTTTATAAATTACCCAGTCTTAGATATGTCTTTATTAGCAGCATAAGAACAGACTGAAACAGTAATGTGAGTATACATGGTCATTTTTTCTACTTCATAAAATATAGAAAAGATATAGAAGCGTGTTCACAGAACATTAACAATCTTCACTGGAGTTCATTCAGGGCTAAAACACTTGTCTATGATAGACAGTTCTCAGTTATCTACATCCTAATTGTTCTGTGACTGTGCCCATTCACTAGTTAGTTGCTTTTGTTAAAAGATGTAAATAAAATAATGATATATTCATTACAAAGCAATAAATATGCAAGATAATGGACATGTTTTATCCATTTGTCTATCAAGGGAACTGGTAAAATTTTACTAAGATAGTAAAAAAAATTTAGCATATGCATTGTTTTATGTATTAATAAGGCAAGTGTATTTTGAAGCTACAGTCAAGAGTTTTAAATGTGTCATTTAACCATATGTGCATTTATGTATATTTAAAAATATACATACAAAGGTGTAATAAATTAGTAAACAAAAGATATAAATAATAAACAAGGGATCATTCAGAGAAACAATTGGCCTATAAGTATAGTTTCAGTGCCTTTGTCATACTATTGAATGACTTTTTAACAAAAGTTCACCTCTAAAAAAGCTAATGTTTCTAACAATTATTCTAACTTGCTTTTACTATTTTTACTATTATAGTGGAAAAAAGATTTATTTCTTCACCCATCACAGGGTTCATGGCTGATACACCTGTAACAAAATACAAATTAACAACAAAAAAAAGCCTAACAAATTTATTCAATATAAGTCTTTATATATATATATTTTTTTTTAATTATACTTTAAGTTCTAGAGTACATGTGCACAACGTGCAGGTTTGTTACATATGTATACATGTGCCATGTTGGTGTGCTGCACCTATTAACTCATCATTTACATTAGGTATATCTCCTAATGCTATCCCTCCCACCTCCCCCCACCCCACAACAGGCCCCAGTGTGTGATGTTCCCCTTCCTGTGTCCAAGTGTTATTGTTCAATTCCCACCTATGAGTGAGAACATGCGGTGTTTGGTTTTTTGTCCTTGCTGAGAATGATGGTTTCCAGCTTCATCCATGTCCCTCCAAAGGACATGAACTCATCCTTTTTAATGGCTGCATAGTATTCTATGGTGTATATATGCCACATTTTCTTAATCCAGTGTATCATTGTTGGACATTTGGGTTGGTTCCAAGTCTTTGCTATTGTGAATAGTGCCACAATAAACATATGTGTGCATGTGTCTTTATAGCATCATGATTTATAATCCTTTGGGTATATACCCAGTAATAGGATGGCTGGGTCAAATGGTATTTCTAGTTCTAGATCCCTGAGGAATCGCCACACTGTCTTCCACAATGGTTGAACTAGTTTACAGTCCCACCAACAGTGTAAAAGTGTTCCTGTTTCTCCACATCCTCTCCAGCACCTGTTGTTTCATGATTTTTTAATGATCGCCATTCTAACTGGTGTAAGGTGGTATCTCATTGTGGTTTTGATTTGCATTTCTCTGATGGCCAGTGATGATGAGCATTTTTTCATGTGTCTTTTGGCTGCATAAATGTCTTCTTTTGAGAAGTGTCTGTTCATATCCTTCGCCCACTTGTTGATGGGGTTGTTTGTTTTTTTCTTGTAAATTTGTTTGAGTTCATTGTAGATTCTGGATATTAGCCGTTTGTCAGATGAGTAGATTGCAAAAATTTTCTCCCATTCTGTAGGTTGCCTGTTCAGTCTGATGGTAGTTTCTTTTGCTGTGCAGAAGCTCTTTAGTTTAATTGGATCCCATTTGTCAATTTTGGCTTTTGTTGCCATTGCTGTTGGTGTTTTAGACATGAAGTCCTTGCCCATGCCTATGTCCTGAATGGATGGTATTGCCTAGGTTTTCTTCTAGTGTTTTTATGGTTTTAGGTTCTAACAATTAAGTCTTTAATCCATCTTGAATTCATTTTTGTATAAGGTGTAAGGAAGGAACCAGTTTCAGCTTTCTGCATATGGCTAGCCAGTATTCCCAACACCATTTGTTAAATAGGGAACCCTTTCCCCATTTCTTGTTTTGGTCAGGTTTCTCAAAGATCAGATAGTTGTAGATGTGTGTTATTATTTCTGAGGACTCCGTTCTGTTCCATTGGTCCATATATCTGTTCTGGTACCAGTACCATGCTGTTTTGGTTACTGTAGCTTTGTAGTATAGTTTGAAGTCAGGTAGCATGATGCCTCCAGCTTTGTTCTTTTGGCTTAGGATTGACTTGGCAATATGGGCTCTTTTTTGGTTCCATATGAACTTTAAAGTAGTTTTTTCCAATTCTGTGAAGAAAGTCGTTGGTAGCTTGATGGGGATGGCATTGAATCTATAAATTACCTTGGGCAGTATGGCCATTTTCACGAAATTGATTCTTCCTATCCATGAGCATGGAATGTTCTTCCATTTGTTTGTATCCTCTTTTATTTCATTGAGCAGTGGTTTGTAGTTCTCCTTGAAGAGGTCCTTCACATCCTTTGTAAGTTGTATTCCTAGGTATTTTATTCTCTTTGAAGCAATTGTGAATGGGAGTTCACTCATGATTTCAATAAGTCTTAACGTGACATGAGAACCTTCAGAAATGAAGGCCCAAAGAAATAGGGAAGCCTGTGTATTTCTATGGACAGTTGATATGGCCTGGCTCTGTGTCCCCACCCAAATCTCATATTGAATTGCAACCCAAATTGTAATCCCCACATGTTGCAGGAGGGACATCATGGGAGGTAATTAGAACAAGGGGGTGGTCCCTGCATGCTCTTCTCATGATAGTGAGAGAGTTCTCACGAGATCTGATGGTTTTATAAGGGGCTTTTTCCCCTTTTGCTTGGCACTTCTCCTTCCTTGCCACCATGTGAAGAAGAAGTAAAGGCCATTCTTTCTATGCTTTAGCAAAGAGACTGGCTGCATTTTGCCCATGCCCTAGAGATCTGTGGAACTTTGAACTTGAGAGAGATAATTTAGGGTAGCTGGCAGAAGAAATTTCTAAGTGGCAAAGTGTTCAAGAGGTGACAGAGCATAAAAGCTCGGAAAATTTGCAGGCTGACAATGCAAAAGAAAAGAAAAATCCATTTTCTGATGAGAAATTCAAGCCAGATGCAGACATTTGCATAAGTAATGAGGAGCCCAATGTTAATCCCCCAGATAATGGGGAAAATGTCTATAGGGCATGTCAGAGGTCTTCACAGTAATCCCTCCCATCACAGGCCTGGAGGCCTACGAAGAAAAATGGTTTCTTGGGCCAGGCCCAAGGCTTTGCTGCTTTGTGCAGGCTTGGGACTTGGTGCCCTGCATCTCAGCCATGGCTAAAAGGGGCCAACATATAGCCCAGGCCATTGCTTCAGAACGTTCAAGCCCCAAGCCTTGGCCACTTGCAATGTGGTGTTGGGCCTGCAGGTACAAAGAAGTCAAGAATTGAGGTTTGGGAACCTCCACCTAAATTTCAGAGGATGTATGGAAATGCCTGGATGTCCAGGCAGAAGTTTGCTGCAGGGCAGAGCCCTCATGGAAAATCTCTGCCACAGCACTGCAGAAGGGAAATGTGGGGTCAGAGCCCCAATATAGAGTCCCCACTGGGGCACTGACTACTGGAGCTGTGAGAAGAAGGCCACCACCCTCCAGACCCCAAAATGGTAGATCCACTGACAGCTTGCACCGTGCACCTGGAAAAGCCACAGATACTTAATACCAGCCCATGAAAACAGCCAAGAAGGGGGCTGTACCATGCAAAGCCACAGAGGCAGAGCTGCTCAAGGCCATGGGAGCCCACCTCTTGCATCAGCATGACCTGTATTTGAGACATGGAGTCAAAGGAGATCATTTTGGAGCTTTAAGATTTGACTGTCCCACTGGATTGCAGACTTGTGTGAGGCCTATAGCCCCTTTGCTTTGGCCAATTTCTCCCTTTTGGAATGGGAGCATTTACCCAATGCCCATACTCCCATTGTACCTTGGAAGTAACTAACTCGCTTTTGATTTTACAGGCTCCTAAGTGGAAGAGACTTGCCTTGTCTCAGATGATACTTTGGACTTGGACTTTTGGGTTAATGCTAAAATGAGTTAAGTCTTTGGGTAACTTTTTGGAAGGCATAATTTTGTTTTGAAACGTGAGAAAGACAAGATTTGGGATGAGCCAGGAGTGGAATGATATGGTCTGGCTCTGTTTCCCCACCCAAATCTCATCTTGAATTGTAATCCAAATTATAATCCCCATTTGTTGGGGAAGGGATCACATGGGAAGCAATTAGATCATGGGAACAATTCCATTCTGTTCTTTAAATAGTGAATGAGTTATGAGATCTGATAGTTTTTTAAGGGGCTTTTTCCCACTTTGCTTGGCACTTCTCTTTTCTGTTACCATGTGAAGAAGGACATGTTTGTTTCCCCTTCCATGATGTTTAAAAGTTTCCTAAGGCCTCCACAGCCATGCAGAACTGTGAGTCAATTAAATCTTTTTCCTTTATAAATTACCCAGTTTTGGACAGTTCTTAATAGCAGCATGAGAATGAACTAATACAACAGTCATGCAGTATGATTAAAATACAAAGAATATAATCTAATGATAATAAACTGGAAGTAACTTAGCAAGGCTGTTTACTGAGACCCTTCTCAGTGTTTCTGTATAATGTTCCTTCCCTTCAGGTATAGGGCAGGACACTTGGCATATGATAGTCCTCAGGGGAGGAAGAAGGGAAGGTCAGAGAGTGACCTTCCTAGATTGTATGGCCTGCTTTAGGAAAGAAGGGAGAGGTGAGAGTGGCCTTCATGCTTCTGATGTTTTTTCCAAATGCCAAGGTGCCCTATTTTGGGGTAGTGTCTCCCAATCCCTGTCACTCTAAACCAGGGGTTTTAGGAAATCTGAAGATACAGTTCAGGGAATCCTGAACTTTGATGGGAAAAAAAAGGATTTTTTTGACATCCTGACTAAAACTTAACATTATGAGCATGGGCAAACAAATAAATAAATACCACTGTAATATTAGTAGTGCCTATGATTTTGTCTCAAATGGGAATTATGGATATTTTATAATATATTACAGCTGTTGCAGAGGTTGAAATATATTTTAGATTCATGTTATTTTGAAATTACAATAATTTTTAGATCACAAGCTATATCAAATGTGATTGCAGTCTTTTTGTCAATAGATGCTCTTGTGATGTAGCTGGGAAACTATTGGGTAACTAACTCTGTGCCTAGTAGTTGTTCAGCAGCAAAATGGTAATGTTGCATGTCTTTACAATGATGACCCAGAAATCCCTATCTATAATTGACTGTTGATTAACGACACAAAGGGAGAAGCATCATTTTCATTCTCCGTTAGTATTTTGCAAATCTGGGCAGTTCAAATGAGAAATCTTGTCTTAATCCCTAAGGCAACATGGCCTTTTGAAACACAAATAGGTGTACTGGCTACTTGAATAGACCAGACAAGTTTAAATACATTTAACAGTTGAGGTCACTCCTGAAGTGTTATTTCTATTTATTACTTAAAATAAATATAGATAATGGATTGGACAGTGATACAAGTCATGTATGGTGTTGAAGTTCTGTGAATAGCTAGAAGAAAGGTGTTAAAAGTGTTGGTCTGCCTTCCATTCACTTCCTTCAAGAAATGGAAAGGGAATGGGGATCCTTGGGAAAAATTTAAGAACCAGGAGACCTGATCTAATCTCTTTGTCAACTGTATTTCTAGGTCTATTAAATAGACTAATAATATTCACTAGAAGAAAGATAATTTATCTCTGAAAAATCTTTAGCAGAATGGTCATGGCCAAGGTCTTCAGTAAATAGAATCAGGATCTATGTCTTCTTGAAGAATGTCTCATAAGCTATGTAACTCTCTAAGATATAAAATATCTTAGATATAAAATAGGATGCTTCATGGTTTAAACACTATGCCTGAGAAATCCCACAAAACTCACTTAGGAATCTCACCTATTCTGGAGCAGAGGTGTATGCCTGTACTGAAAAGCAAGGACCTAGTGACCTGCTCTCAATGCCTCAGAATCTCTCTGCTTCTTCTGAACCTCTGGATTGCCTGTAGCCTTGAAAGTATTTAATAAGTCTTGATACTGGGTAATATCTCTTACTTGTTTAAGCCTGATTTATAATAACAATCCACTCTTGTGTGTTAGCTCAGCAGCAGAGATTCTTTCTTTTATATTGCCTTGTGTATTCTCTCTCTCTCTCTCATTATTATTTTTATACTTTAGGGAGTATGAGTACAGCTTTGTTACATGGATATAATGCATAGTGGTGAAGTCTGGGCTATTAGTTTTACCATCACCCATTAGCGTACATTGTACCCATAGGTAATTTCTCCTCCCTCAGCCCTCTTCCCAGCCTCCCAGTTTCTCTCTTTTTCTAAACATCATCTGTATTATTAAGCAAAAACATGCACATGCAGCGTGTTGTACAAATGGTGTTCATGAGTCATTATTCTTAATACTACAAATTTTATAAGTAACTTTGTGCAAAAGTAAATAACATCAGAACTGAAAACCTTTATTTTGGGAAGGCACAAAATGCCACAAGATGACACATAAAACAATTGCCAAATTCCAGAAGGATATTTTAATATAATTAGTTTTCTTTGAAATTCTATGCATTTATCTAAGCTTTAAAACATATTTTTGTTAGAAATGGTGTAGACTTCATCAATCTGCCACAGGGTCCATGATAAAAAATGTTTAGAATTTCTGCTCTGAACCAAGTCTAATTATTTCTTGCCTTTAGGCATATATGCCCTATATATAAGTCTTATTAGAATGACAGCTCCTCAGACAAATCTTCAGGCTGGAGTGCAGTGACACAATCACAGTTCACTGTAGCCTTGATCTGGGCTCAAGCGATTCTCCCACCTCAGCCTCCTAAGTAACTGGGACCATAGGCATGTGCCACCACACCCAGCTAATTTTTTTGTTTTGTTGAGACTGATCTGAAACTCCTGGGCTCAAGCAGTCCTCTCACTTCAGCCTTCTGAAGTGTTGAGATTATGGGTGTGAGGCACTTCACCCAGCCTAGATATTGCTTTTACCGAATTCAGGCCACAAATTCAAAATAATAAAACTGCTCAGATGTCCTTTATACCCAGACTGTCTTTGATACTTCCCAGATGACCACTGATAAACCCAAATTTGTTCCATCACCCTATAAAAAAGAATGTTGAAATAAATCAATGTTTGATATTTGCCATAATTTAATTGGCTTAACTGCTCTAAGTAAATAAATTGAATGACCTAGAACCTTTTCCTTGGGAGCCAAATGTCAAGAAGTCATTTACCATTCTTAAACATATAAGCCCTGACTTGGGTATTCCTAACTATGCTAAATTGTGTACCTAAAAGCATGGTTGTAGTTTAGGGGTACTCCTTCAAAAACGAGGAACTCATAACAAGCACATTGCTTATCTTAGTATTTCTCTTGACCCTGTAGCTAAGAATTATCTGCCTTGTTTATACCCTACAGCAGAGGCAGCTAATTTAGTTGAAGTCTCTACAGACATTGTTCTAGGTCTACTTCTCACCCACGAGTCCATTGTGTAGTAGAAGACTTTTTACTCCAAAACAATACTCGCACTCTGGGAGGCCAAGGCAGGTGGATCATGAGGTCAGAAGATCGAGACCATCCTGGCTAACACGGTGAAACCTCCTCTCTACTAAAAAATACAAAAAATTAGCTGGGCGTGGTGGTGGGTGTCTGTAGTCCCAGCTACTCGGGAGGCTGAGGCAGGAGAATGGCGTGAACCCGGGAGGTGGAGCTTGCAGTGAGTCAAGATCGCGCCATTGCACTCCAGCCTGGGCGACAGAGCGAGACTCTGTCTCAAAAAAAAAAAAAAAAAAAAAAATCCAATACTCAACTCTTCTTGGCCAGCCACATTACTGATTATAAAATTATTTGATTATCTGCTTCCCTCCTTGTTACAGTAGATAGGCAGACCTGAGCAGGGCAGGAGAGGCCCCACACACACACACGCACACGTGGAACGTCAGGCGACCATCAGGTTGTGATCGGGCAGTTGTTAACTATCTCTCTAAAATAATAATTGGTCACAGCCAGCTTCAGAGAAAGGCAGACTCCCAATAGATAGAAAACCCTGAAACAAGTGATCAGCTTCCCAGTGAGATCTCAGGAGTTGGGCAAGGGGGCTCAAGCATGCTTATTAAGAGGCAAAATGGTGGAGTTTAACTGGTAGATAACCTTCCTCTGGGAACATTCAACTGGTAAGAAAAAAATGCCTCAAGTGAGCACGTGCACAATTTCAATAAACACACTGTACATGCAGCCCCTCCCAAGTGCTGGCAGGCCACTGCACTTGTAGACAGCTCACCCCAAGGGAAGAATCAGGGAATAAGGAATGGAAGATCCTGGATGTACACCAACATATAAAACCCTAAGTCAAATGTCAAACTGCACTTGAGTCTCTCAAGTTGCCTACTTGGCCCTCTTCCAAGTGTACTTTACATAAACTTTCGCTTCTGCTCTAAAACTTGCCTCAGTCTCTCACTCTGCCTTATGCTCCCAGTTAAATTCTTTCTTCTGAGAAGGCAAGAATTGAGGTTGCTGCAGACTTGTGTGGATTTGCTGCTGCTAACATCATAAATATCAAATTCTGTTCCAATCTAAATCCAGCTACAAGCCAGGCACAGTGGTTCACAACTGTGAAAATCCCAACACTTTGGGAGGCCAAGGTGGGCAGATTGCTTGAGACCAGGAGTTCAAGATCAGCCTGGGCAGCATAGCAAGACCCTATCACTACAAGATTTTACAAATTAGCTAAGCATGTTGGTATACACCTATAATCGTAGCTACTCAGGAGGCTGAGGCAGAAGGATGGCTTGTGCCCAGGAGTATGAGGTTGCAGTGAGCTATGATCACACCACTACACTTCAGCCTGGGAGACACAGTGAGACCCTGTCTCTCAAAAAAGAACAAAAACAAAAAAACAGTCCCACAACCTTATTTTTCCTTCTTGACAAAAGTAAATTCTATGCTAACAGTTATTCAAAAATCTAAGCATGCAATATCCTGACTCTCCTTATATTCCCCTGGACAATTCTGATATGAAATTCAAATTCTTGTTAATGGCTCATTACTTAAAATTTATAAAAGTATATGTTGTACTGGATATGCTATGCCATCTGACCATTCTGTGATTGAAACTTCCTCTTTATATCATAGCTCATTCTACTCAGATGACTGAGTTAATAGCTCAAACCATGACAGCTTGTTAAAGGTTTAATGTTAATATCTATGCAAATAAACATGCCTTCAAGTTTTTTATGATTATGAAAGGACATTGAAACAAACTCAGAAACTCACTCAAAAATGAAAAACAGGCCGGGCGCACTGTAATTCCAGCACTTTGGGAGGCTGAAGCAGGTGGTTCACCAGAGGTCAGGAGTGTGAGACCAGCCTGGCCAACATGGTGAAACCTCATCGCTACTAAAAATACAAAAATTAGCTGGGTATGGTGGCACATGCCTATAATCCCAGCTACTCGGGAGGCTGATGCAGGAGAATCACTTGAATCCGGGAGGCAGAGGTTGTAGTGAGCCAAGATTGCCCCACTGCACTCAAGCCTGGGCGACAGAGAGACTCAAACTAAAAAAGAAAAAGAAAATAATGACTCATGAGAGCCAATCCAACATCTGAAGGGAATCTCTGTCATTAAGACTGAAACACGCATATAATTTTTTTAAGCTAAAGGAGATAATCTAAGCAATTACTCTGCAAAATCAACAGCCCACACTGATTTAACCACTATTTAGCATCTAAAAGATAGTTGCACAGTCTGATATAAAGAACTCAGAAGGACTAATTCAAATATAACAATTATTCTATCTCTACAGAAGAGAAAAAGATATTGGTTATTTCAGACCTGTCTCATGCATAGCAAGCTGGACTTTAGCATTTCAAAGAAGGCAACTTGGTGGTGCCTAAGTCAATTGTCAGAACTTTTGTTCTCATGTCACATGAAAGCACCTACAATGGCAGGACAGATTGGAACAAATGTTACAAAAATATTGGTGAAGATGATTTTACCTGACAGCTTCAGCTAGTAACAAAGCCTTGCCTTATTTGTAATTGTAACCCAAAAAACAACTATAAAGGTAGGGTAAAGCTCTGACCAACTCAAGGACTATCTAACCATTTAGAAATGGATAGCATTCAGGTGCCTAAATTGAAAACCTAGACGTTTCATCTATAATTTTCTGGTTAAATTATATTTTCTTTTGCCAAATGATTTGACCCTTAATTGTTACAATAAAAATATTTATAGGTTTTACTTTCTCCACATGAGGAATACATTTAATGACCTCTAATGATAAAGGAATTCACTTTACAGGTGAAATACTTAAGGAATTATAAAAGGTTCTCGCTTTAAAACAGAAACTTATTTGTCTATATAGTCCTTAAAGTTCTAGAAAGATAAAATAAACTAACATTACTTTAAATTAAAATTGTTCAATGTTTCAGAAGAAAGCACATTCTAAATTGTCAGATGCTGTCAAAAACAAATATAGTCACAATCATATGCTCAATTGATGCATGTTGCACATTCCAAGCACACCATCAAGCACAACCCTGGATGATACACAATCTGGAGGCTGGGTACAATAGAAAGATACCAACAAAAGTTAGCCCTAGAAACATGATAAAAGGGTCATTAAGGTACTTTTAACCAGAAATACTGCTCTTTAAAATGAAGGGAATATGCCTGTGGATTCATGATTTTAGGTGTAAATGAGCAAAGAATCTCACAAACTAAACTCGCAGTTCTATTGAAAATCTAACCCTGAAGCCCATTAAAAGACCTCCAGAAAGAGATGACTTCCATAGACAGCTGCCCCATAATACATGGGCAAAAATAAAGACTACATCAGCATAAACAGCTTCCCCCCAAAACTTTTCCCATCAAGGTAGAATAAAAGACAATTTTATTATTAATACTCTTTCTCTTTCTATTTGCAATACTCGTTTCTTTCTATTGCTCGAAAGTACTGGACTGCTAAAAATGGTCACCTTACTCTTCTGTTCCCTTCTTTCAACTGCCTTCTTTCCTATAAGCCCCTTTGAGCTCCTTAATTTGCCTTTCTCAAATAATTATAATGCCTCCAATCTTTTCAAATTTGGGTTCGTCATCTGGCCTTATATCCCTCTAATAAAGATTAATCCAGATTAAAAGATTAAACTAAATCTTAACTGGAGTCTAAGCTCCCCCAAATTAGCTAATGCTTCTGTTATCTTATAGAGCATCAAATAAACTCAGAAGTTGGGGATTTAAATGACTAATGACAAAAGTTATGTAGCTTCAGGTACTATGCTTATTACCTGGGTGACAAAATAATCTGTTCACCAATCCCCCATGACACACAATGTACCTGTGTAACAACCCTGCACATGTACCCTGACCTAAATAAAAGTTAAAAAATAAATAAATAAAGCTATGCAGCACCAGGAAGAATTCTTCAGGTGCCCAGGAAGGGAGTATTTAGGCTAGCCCTGGGGCAGAGGGGAATCTGATGTCTAGCAAGAGGAAAGTGGGTCCTGACTGGCTTCACTACCAGCTTCCTAAAGTGGCCTTGGTCCCCAGATACATTTCAGCTGCATCCAGGCCATAGTAACTGTGGTCTTCATGCAAGCTCTCGTACTACACTGATCTTAGAATCTGTGTGCTAGGGGTACAACCCAGCATGAAACCAGCTTTGGCAGCCATGGGAGTGCCTGTGTTGCCAGCACTCCCAACTCTGGGCAATGCAGCACAGAGAGACACTCCTTCCAACTGGGGAAGAAAAGGGAAGAGTACAAGAAATTTTGTCTTGCAACCAGGTACCAGCCCAGTCACAGTAAAGCACAGCATTGGGCAGAATCCCAAAGCCCCTGATTCTGAGCCACTGTTCCATACATCCCTTTGGGCCAGGCCAGAAGGGAAAGAGAGGTAGAAAAAAATATATTAGAAAGTTTATTCAAAGAAATAGTAACAGAGAACTTTCAACTTAGAGAAAGATATAAATATCCAGGTATAAGAAGGTCAAAGAATACAAAGAAGATTCAAACCAAATAAGACTACCCCAAGGCATGTAATAATCAAGCTCCAAAGGTCAAAATTAAAGGGAAATCCTTAAAGCAGCAAGAGAAAAAAAGCAAATAACATATAAAGGAGTTCCTATACATCTGGCAACAGACTGCTCAGTGGAAATTTTATAGGCCAAGAGAAAGTGGAATGACATCTTCAAAGTGCTGAAGGGAAAAACTTCCAACTGAGTATACTGTATCCAGCAAAGTTATTCTTCAAACATGAAGACAAAATAAAGACTTTCTCAGGCAAACAAAAGCTAGGAGAATTAATCACCACCAGACCTGTCTTACAAGAAATGGTAAAGGCAGTTCTTTATTCTGAAAGAAATAGACACTTACATGTAGCAAGAAATAATCTGAAGGCATAAAATTCGCTGGTAAAAGTAAGTACACACACAAATTTGGAATACTCCAATACTGTAATTGTGGTGTATAAAGCACTCAGATATTTAGTATAAAGACTGAAAAGCAAATCAACCAACGATAATAACTACAACAATTTGTTGAGATAGGCTATATAAAAAGACATAAATTCAGAAAACATAAAGTCAAAAAGTAGAGGAATGAAGTTAAAGTACAGAGTGTTATAATTTTTTCTCTGCTTAATTGTTTATTTTATTCATGATTAAAGTTGCCATCAGTTTAAAATAATTTCTAATAACTATAAGATTTTTTTGTAAGCCCCATGGTAATCACAAAGCAAAAACATTTAATAGACACATTAAAAACAAACAGCAGAGAAATTAAAACATACTGCCAGAGAAAATCACTTATTTACTAAGGAATACAGTAAGAAAAAAGAAAGGAGGAGAGAAATTCTAAAACAACTAAAATACAAGTAACAAAATGGTAGTAGTAAATCTTTACCTATCCATAATAACATGAACTAAATTCTCCAATTGAAAGATATATTACCAGGCATGGTGGCTCATGCCTGTAATCCCAGCACTTTGGGAGGACAAGGCAGGCAGATCACCTGAGATCAGGAGTTCGAGACCAGCCTGGCCAACATGGTGAAACCCCATCTCTACTAAAAATACAAAAATTAGCTGGGCATGGTGGTGCACACCTGTAGTCCCAGGTACTCTGTAGGCTGAGGTGGAAGGATCACTTGTGTCCAGGAGGTGTAGGTTGCAGTGAGCTGAGATCAAGTCACTGCACTCCAGCCTGCGTGACAGAATGAGACTCTTTCTCAAAAAATAAAAATAAAAGACATAGAATGACTTAATAAATTTTAGAAAAAGATCCAACTATATGCTGCCTACAAGAAACTCACTTCACATATAAAGACACAGAGAATGAAAGTGAAGAGGGCCAGATGAGGTGGTTCATACATGTAATACCAGCACTTTTGGAGATGAAGGTTGGTTGATCACTTGAGCTCAGGAGTTTGAAACCAGTCTGGGCAACATGGTGAAACTGCGTCACTACAAAAAATACAAAAATTAGCCAGGTATAGTGGCACATGTCTGTAGACCCAGCTACTAGGTAGGCTGAGGTGGGAGAATCACTTGAGCCAGGAGCTGGAGGTTGCAGTGAGCTGGGCTCACACCATTGCACTCCAGCCTGAGTGACTGAGCAAGACTCTTTCTTAAAAAAAAAAAAAAAAGTGATGGGTTTAAAAGGATATTCCATAAAAAGGGAAATTTTTAAAAAGCAAGAATAGCTATATTTACATCAGATAAAATAGATTTCAAGTCAAAAACTGCAAAGAGAGACAAAGAAGGCCACCATCTAATAATTAAGGGGTCAATTCAGTAAGAAAATATAAAAATTATAAATATATATGCCCCCAACATTGGAGCACTGAAACAAATAAAGTAAACATTAATAGATCAAAAGGAAGAAGTAGACTGCAATACAACAATAGTAAAGGACTTCACTGTCCCTCTATTATACCACTCTGTTATTATCCCTCTATTAGTAGCAATAGACAGGTCATTGAAACAGAAAATCAACAAAGAAACATCAGAATTAAGCTACAGTCTAGATCAAATGAACTCAACTGACATTTACAGAACATTTCATGCAAACTGTTGCATAATACACATAATACACATTCTTCTCATTGGACATGGAACATTCTCCAAAATCACCACATGCTAGGCCACAAACAAATCTTATGGTTTTTGTTGTTGTTGTCGTTGTTGTTTTGAGACAGGGTCTTTCTCTGTCACCTAGACCAACACAGCTCACTGCAGCCTCGACCTCTGAGCTCAACTGATCCTCCCAACTCAGCCTCAAAGGTAGCTGGGACTACAAGCACATGCCACTATACCTGGCTAATTTTTCTATTTTTTTTGTAGAGATGGGGTTTCACCATGTTGCCCGAGCTGGTCTTGAACTCCTTGGCTCAAGCAATCCTCCCACCTCAGCCTACCAAGTAGCTGGGACTATAGGTGTGAACTACTACACTCAGCCTGGTAAACAAATCTTAACAAATTCAAAAAAAATCAACATTATATTAAGTATCTTTTCTGACCACAATTAAATAAAACTAGAAATCAATAACAAAAGGAATTTTGGAAACTTCATAAATACATGGAAAGTAAATAATGTGCTCCTGGACAACAAATGGGTCAATGAAGAAATTAAGAAAGCAATTACAACATTTCTTGAGACAAATGAAAATGAAAATACAACATATCAAAACCTAAGAGATAAAGCAAAAGCAGTTTTAAGAGGAAAGTTTATAACAATAAACACCTACATCAAACAAGTGGAAAGTTGTTAAGTAAACAACCTAATGATGCACATCAAAGAACTAGAAAAGCAAGAACAAACAAACCCAAAATTAGTAGAAGAAAAGAAATAATAAATGACAGAGCAGAAATAAATGAAATTGAGACTCAAAAACAATACAAAAGATCAGAAAAGGAAAATTTGGTTTTCTGAAAAGATAAATAAAATTTTAAAACCTTTATTTAGACTAACAAAAACTAAAGAGACAAGACTCAAAGAAATAAAATCAGAAATGAAAAAGGAAATATTACAACTGATACCACAGACATATAAAGGATCATTAGAAACTATTATAAACATCTATATGCCAATAAATTGGAAAACCTAGAAGAAATGCACAAATCCCTGGACACAGACAACCTAACAAGATTAAATCATGAAGATATAAAAGATCTGAACAGACCAATAATATGTAACAAGATAGAACAGTAATAAAGAGTTTCCCATCAAAGAAAAGTCCAGGACCTGATGGCTTCACTGCTGAATTCTACCACATGCTAAAGAAAACTAATATTGATTCTACTCAAAAAGAGGAAGAAATACTTCCAAACTCATTCTATGAAGCCAGCATTACTCTCATATCAAAACCAAACAAAGATTTTTTTAAAAAAGAGAGAGAAAGAGAGAAAAGGAAAGAAGAAAAGAGAGAAAAAAAGAAAGAAAGAAGGAAAGAAAGAAAGAAAAAGGAAAGAAAGAAAGAAAAAGAAGGAAAGAAAGAAAGAGGGAGGGTGGGAGGGAGGGAGGGAGGGAAGGAAGGAAGGAAGGAAGGAAGGAAGGAAGGAAGGAAGGAAGGAAGGCAGGCAGGCAGGCAGGCAGGCAGGCAGGCAGGCAGGGAAAACTAGGCCAGGCACTTTGGGAGGCCAAGGCAGAATTGCTTGAGCCCAGGAGTTGGAGACCAGCCTTGGCAACATTGCAAGACCCCATCTCTACCAAAAAAAAAAAAAAAAAAAAAAGTTAACTGAGCCTGGTAGCACGTACCTGTAGTCCCAGCTACTCAGAAGCCGAGGTAGGAGGATTGCTTGAGCCTGGGAAGTTGAGGCTGGTGACAGAGTGAGACCCTGTCTCAAAAAAAGAAAAGAAAACTACAGACCAATAATTCCGATGAACATAGATACAAAAATCCTCAACAAAATACTAGCAAACCAAATGTAATAATACATTAAAAGAATCATTCATTATCATCAAATGGGATTCATCCCACAATGCAAGAACACACATGCAAATCAATAAATGTAATATATCAGATTAATAGAATCAAAGCACCTTGGAGGCCAAGGCAGGCAGATCGCTTGAGGCTAGGAGTTAGAGACCAGCCTGGGAAACACGGTGAAGCCCTGTCTGTACTAATATTACAAAAATTAGCCTGGTGTGGTGGTGCATGCCTATAATCCCAGCTACTCAGGAGGCTGAGGTATGAGAATTGCTTGAACCCAGGAGGCAAATGTTGCAGTGAGCTGAGATTGTGCTACTGCACTCTATCTAGCCTGGGCAACAGAGCAAGATTCTGTCAGAAAAAAAAGAATCAAGAACAAAAACAAAATGATCATTTCAGTACATTCCAAAAATTATTATATAAAATTCAGTATCTTTTCATGATGAAAACATTTGACAAACTGGATATAGAAGGAACATATCTCAAAAAAATAAAGACCATTTATGACAAACCCACAGCTAGCATAATACTGACCGGGAAAAAATTGAAAGCCCTTCCTCTAATACCTGGAATAAGACAAGGATGCTCACTTTCATTAAACATAGTAGTAGAAGTCATAGCCAGAGCAATTAGACAAAAGAAAAGACTAAAGGGCATCCAACTTGGAAAGAAAGAAGTCAAATTGTCCTCATTTGCAGATGACATAATTTTTATATTTAGGAAAACTTAAAGATGTTAGCAAAAAACTAGTAGAACTGATAAACAAATTCAGTAAAGTTGCAGGATATAAAAACAACATACAAAAATCAGTAGCATTCCAGCCAACAATCTGAAAAAGTAATCAAGAAAGCAAGCCCATTTACAATAGCTATGAAATATAGATTGCATGGGAATAAATTTAAGCAAAGAAGCAAAAGAATGCTACAATGAAAACTATAAAACACTGATGAAAGAGATTAAAGAAGACATCAAAAAATGGAAAAATATCTCATGCTCATGGATTGGAAGAATTATTATGGTTAAAATGACCATATTGTTGTTAAAATGTCCATACTTTGTAGACCCAAAGAAATCTGCAGATTTAATGCTATCCTTATCAAAATACCAATGACATTCTCCACAGAAATAGAAAAACAATCCTAAAATCTGTATGGAATCACAAAAGATCCTGAATAGCCAAAGCAATTCTGAGCACAAAGAACAAAGCTGGAGGTACTATATTACCTGACTTCAAAATATACTACAAAAGCGTAGTAACCAAAACAGCTTAGTACTTGCATACAAACAGACACACAGACTAATGGAACAGAATTGAAAACACAGAAATAAATCCACACATTTATAGCTAACTTATTTTTGACAAAGGCACCAAAAATATACACTGGGAAAATGAGAGTCTCTTCAATAAATGGTGCTGAGAAATTGGATATCCATATGTAGAATGAAACTAGAACTCTATTTCTCATATATACAAAAATTAAATCAAAATGGATTAAAGACTGAAATGTATGACCTAAAACTATGAAACTACTGCAAGTAAAAAAAAAAAAAAAAAAAAAAAAAAAACACCATGGAAATGCTTTAGCACATTTGTCCAGGCAAAGATTTTTGGGGTAAGACTTCAAAAGCACAGGCAACAAAAGCAAAAATTGACAAATGGGATCACATCTACCTAAAAAGCTTCAGTACAGCAAAGGAAAAAATCAGCACAGTCAACAGACAACCTACAGAATGGGAGAAAATGTTTGCAAACTATCTATCTGACAAGAAATTAATAAAAGACTATATAAGGAACTCAAACAACTCAACCAAAAAAATCCAATTAAAAAAACAAAACATTTGAATAGCCATTTCTCAAAAGGAGACATACAAATGTTCAACAGGTATATTTTAAAATGCTAAACATCACTAATAGTCAGGAAAATGCAAATCAAAATCACAATGAGATATCACCTCATCCCAGTTAAAACGGCTTTTATTCAAAGGACAGAAAATAACAGATGATGGTAAGGTTACAGAGGAAGGGGAATGCTCGTGCATGGTTGGTAGAAATGTAAATTAGTATAGCCACTATGGAAAGCAGTATGGAGGTTCCTCAAAGAAACAAAAATAGAACAAACATATAATCCAGCAGTCCCACTACTGGGTATGTATCCAAAAAAAAGGAAATCAGTATATTGAAGAGACATCTGCACTCTCATATTTATAGCACCACTATTCAAATAGCCATGATATGGAATCAACCTAAGTGTCCATCAATAGATAAACTGATAATGAAAATATGGTATATATATACAATGGAATCAATTTTATTCAGTCATAAAAAAGAATGAAATCCTGTCATTTGCAGCAACATGAATTGAAGTGGGGGACATTATGTTAAGTGAAATAAGATAGGCACTAAAAGACACATATTGTGTGTTCTTACTTATATTTGGGAACTAAAAATATTGATCTCACAGAGGCAGTGAATAGAATGGTGGTTACCAAAGGCTGAAAAGGAGAGTGGAGAGGGAGCTGGAGTATGAAGAGGGGTTGGATAATAGGTACAAAAGTACAGCTAGATAAGAGGAATAAGTTCTAGGGCTCAATAGCATGATAGAATGACTATAATTAATGATAATTTACTGTATATTTTTAAATAGCTAGAAGAGAAGATATGGAATGCTCCCAACACAAAGAAATTATAAATGTTTGAAGTGATAGATATCCCAATTACACTGATTTTATCATTACATATTGTATGCATGTATCAAAATATCACATGGTCCCCATAAATATGTATAATTACTGTTTGTGTATAAATTTTAAAAATTAGATATATGTATGTAATACCCATCCAGGGTTTTTGCCTTTCACAATTAGAACAATTAAATTTAGATAGTGTTTGATATAACCAGTTAATAATGATGTGTTTGTATTCTCTCAATGTGTACCTCAGGACTATTCTTTCTGTGTACTTATTATATGGCCCTTCAGTGCTTACCATATCAAAATGTGATATTTTCACATCCTTTCATATAGTCATTTGGCCTTTCAATGTATTCAAAACAAACTCTCCAGCTGCTCTTATTTATTTAAGATCCCAAGTTGAAAGTTACTAGGATGTATCCAAAACACAAGATTTCACCTGTTTATACAAAGATTAGTTCCCAAAGTAATACATGATTCAATACATAGTCAGTTTATACCTGACTATGACCAAATAGCACACAAAAGAGCTCAAGCTTTAGAAGCCAAAAGACTAGCATGTACTTATTAACTAGATAATAGAGTTACTCTCTACTTCTACTGACCAGTTACTATGGATTGAATGTTTGTGTCCCCTCAAAATCCATGTTGAAATCTTAACCCTCAATGTGATGGTGTGAGAAGATGGGCTTTTGGAAGGTAATTAGCTCATGAGATTGGAGCTTTCATAAATGGGATTTATGCCCTTATGAAAGGGACCTCAGCATTCTTTTGTTCCATCATGTGAGAATACAAAGACAAGTCACTGCCTGAAACACATACAGGACCCCTAACAGAATCCAAATATACTGGCACTCTGATCTCAGATCTCCAGAACTGTGAACAATAAGTGCTTGTTCTTTAAGCCATTCAGACTGTGGTAATTTGTTGTAGCAGCCAAACAGACTAAGACACCATTTCAAGAAAGGATCTGCCTCAGAAACTATTATGAACACTTCTGTGCACACATACTAGAAAATCTAGAGGAAATGGATAAGTTCCTAGACATACACAATCTCCTTGAAACACTGAACAAACCAATATCAAGTTCCAAAATTAAATCAGTAATAAAAAACTTACCAGCCAAAAATAGTCCCAGACCAGATGGACTCACAGCTGAATACTACCACACATACAAAGAAGAGCTGGTACCAATTCTACTGAAACTATTCTTAAAAATAGAAACTATTCTTAAAATAGAGGATCAACTCTTCCCTAACATATCCTATGAAGCCAGTACCACCTTGATACCAAAGTCTGGCACAGACCCAATGATAAAAGAAAACTACTGGCCAATATCCCTGATGAACATAGATCCAAAAACCCTCGACAAAATACCAGCAAACTGAATCCAGTGGCATATCAAAAACTTAATTCACCATGATCAAGTCGGGTTCATTCCTGGGATGCAAGTCGGTTCAACATACACAAATCAATACACATGATTCACCACTTAAGAGGAATCAAAACCAAAAAATATCTGATTATTTCAATAGACACAGAAAAAGATTTTGATAAAATCCAACATCCCTTCATGATAAAAAACCTCAACAAACTAGATATCAAAAGAATATACCTCAGTAAGAGCCACCTATGACAAATCCACCCACCACCAACATCTTACTGAATAGGCAAAAACTGGGAGCATTCCCCTTGAGAAGAGAACTGGAATAAGACAAGGATGCCCACTCGCATTACACCTATTCAACATAGTACTGGAATACTTTGCCAGAGCAATCAGGCAAGAAAAAGAAATAAAAGGCATCTAAATAGGAAAAGAAAAAGTCAAATTATCTCTCTTCACTGATGATACAATTCTACACCTAGAAAACTCTAAAGACTAAACCAAAAGGCTCCTGGAACTAATAAAAGACTTCAGTAAAGTTTCAGGATACAAAATCAATGTACAAAAATCAGTAGGATTCAATAACATTCAAGTTGAGAGCCAAATCAAGAATGCAATTCCATTTACAATGGCCACAAAAAATAAAATAAAATAAAATATCTAGGAATACAGATAACCAAGGAGGTGAAAGATTTCTATAAAGAGAACTACAAAACACGATTAGAAGAAATCACAGCCTGTAATCCCAGCACTTTGGGAGGCCGAGGCAAGTGGACCACAAGGTCAGGAGATCGAGACTATCCTGGCTAACGTGGTGAAACCCCATCTCTACTAAAAATACAAAAAATTAGCCGGGTGTGGTGGTGGGCGCCTGTAGTCCCAGCTACTCAGGAGGCTGAGGCAGGAGAATGGTGTGAACCTGGGAGGCTGAGCTTGCAGTGAGCAGAGATTGCACCACTGCACTCCAGGCTGGGAGACAGAGCAAGATTCCGTCTCAAAAAAAAGAAAAAAAAAAAAAAAAGAAATCACAGAAGATCACAGAAAAATGGAAAAACATTATACGTTTATAGATGGGAAGAATCAATATTATTAAAATGGCCATACTGCCCAAAGCAATCAACAGATTCAATGCTATTTCGATCAAGCTACCAACATCATTTTTCACAGATCTAGAAAGAACTATTTTAAAATTCATAAGGAAACAAACAAAAAAAAGAACTCAAATAGTCAAAGCAATCTTAAGAAAAAAGAACAAAGTCAGAAGCACCATCTTCAAACTGTACTATAAGGCTACAATAACCAAAATAGCACGTTACTGGTACAAAAACAGACACATAGGCCAATTGAACAGACTGGAGGACCAGAAATAAAGCCACACACCTATAGTCACTTGATCTTAAACAAAGTCAACAAAAATAAGCAGTAGGGAAAGAACTCTCTATTCAATAAATGATGCTACGTTAACTGTCCAGCCATATGCAGAAGAAAGAAACTGGACTCTTACATTTCATCATATGCAAAGATTAACTCAAGATGGATGAAATATTTAAATGTAAGATCTCAAACTATAAAAATCCTAGAAGAAAACTTAGGGAACACTATTCTGGACATCAGCCTGGGGAAAGAATTTATAACTAAGTTTTCAGAAGCAATTGCAACAAAAATAAAAGTTGAAAAGCAGAGCCTAATTAAAAGACCTTCTGCACAGCAAAAGAAACTAACAGAGTAAATGGAAAACCTATAGAATGGGATAAAATATTCGCAAACTATACATCCCACAAACTACTCATCCTAGAACTATGCATTCTAATATCTGGAACCTATAAAGAACTAAAACAATTCAACAAGCAAAAATAAATAACCCCATTTAGAAATGGGGAAAAGACATGAACAGACATTTCTGAAAAGAGGATATATGAGCAGTCAACAAATACACTAAAAAATGCTCAACATCGCTAATGATCAGAGAAATGCACATCAAAACCACAATGAGATACCATCTCATACCAGTCAGAATGGCTACTATTAAAATGTCAAAAAAACAAGAGATGCTGTTGAGGCTACAGAAAAAAAGGGAATGCTTATATACTGTTGATAGGAGTATTAATTGCTTCAGCCACTGTGGAAAGCAATTTGGAGATTTCTCAAATAACTTAAAATGGAACTACCATTCAAACCAGCAATCCCATTACTTGGTATATATCCAAAAGAAAATAAATTATTCTACCAAAAAGACACATGCACTCACATGTTCATTGCAGCACTATCACAATAGCAAAGACATGTAATCAACCTAAGTGCCCATCCATGGTGGATTGCATAAAAAAAATGTGGTATAAAAAATATGAATTACCATCAGAGAATACTATAAACACCTCTACACAAATAAACTAGAAAATCTAGAAGAAATGGATAAATTCCTGGACACATACACCCTCCCAAATTCAGGTATTTGACTTCCCAGAAAGAAGTCAAATCCCTGAATAGACCAATAACATGTTCTGAAATTGAAGCAGTAATTAGTAGCCTACCAACTAAAAAAAGTCCAGGACCAGATGGATTCACAGCCAAGTTCTACCAGAGGTACAAAGAGGAGCTGGTACCACTCCTTCTGAAATTATTCCAAACAATAGAAAAAGAGGGAATCCTCCATAACTTATTTTATGAGGCCAGCATCATCCTGATACCAAAACTGGGCAGAGACACAACAAAAAAATAAAATTTCAGGCCAATATCACTGATGAACATCGATGTGAAAATCCTCAATAAAATACTGGAAAACTGAATCCAGCAGCCCATCAAAAATCTTGTCCACGATCAAGTCAGCTTCATACCTGGCATGCAAGGCTGGTTCAACATACACAAGTCAATAAATGTGATCCATCACATAAACAGAACCCATGACAGAAACCACATTATTATCTCAATAGATGCAGAAAAGGCATTCAACAAAATTCAACATCCCTTCATGCTAAAAACTCTCAATAAACTAGGTATTGATGGAACGTATCTCAAAATAATAAGAGCTATTTATGACAAACCCACAGCCAGTATCATACTGAATGGACAAAAGCTGGAAGCATTCCCTCTGAAAACCGGCACAAGACAAGGATGCCATCTCTCACCACTGCTATTCAAGATAGTATTGGAAGTTCTGGCCAGGGCAATCTGGCAAGAGAAAGAAAGTATTCAAATAGGAAGAGAGGAAGTCAAATTGTCTCTGTTTGCAGATGACATGATTGTATATTTAGAAAACCCCATCATCTCAGCCCAAAATCTCCTTAAACTGATAAGCAACTTCAGCAAAGTCTCAAGATACAAAATCAATGCGTGAAAATCACACGCATTCCTATACACCAAGAACAAACAGAGAGCCAAATCATGAGTGAACTCCCATTCACAATTGCTACTAAGAGAATAAAATACCTAGGAATCCAACATACAAGAGATGTGAAGGACTTCTTCAAGGAGAACTACAAACCACTGCTCAACGAAATAAGAGAGGACACAAACAAAATAGAAAAATATTGCATTCTCATGGATAGGAAGAATCAATATCATGAAAATGGCCATACTGCCCAAAGTAATTTATAGATTCAATGCTATCCCCATCAAGCTACCATTAACTTTCTTCACAGAATTGGAAAAAAATACTTTAAACTTCATATGGAACCAGAAAACAAAAACAAAAACAAAAACAACACAATCTAGTACTAACCCTATTTTACAGGATACTGAGACACAGATATGTATAGAATATCTGAAAGAATACACAAGAAACTGGTGATGGTAGCTGCTTTGGGGAAATGGAATGAAGTGCCGAACTAAGAGGAGGACTTATTTTCTCTGCTGTATTGTTCAAATTTTTTTGCCATGTGAACATACTATTGAATGGCTGTCACAAAGAAAAACTGATTAAACAGATGGAAAAACCCAGCAGTCACTGTCAAAAGACATAACATTTCTTTTTATTCGAAGAATATGGAAACACATGAAGATGTTTTCACAAAGCAGAAGATAGCAAGCATGCTCCCAGACTGGGGTCTCTTAGAAAGCCTGAATTTTCACCTGGAAGCATTCTGGTTGTCTCTTATTTTATATAACTAATTTATTCACTTCCAAATAATTTGCCATTTGTGAAACTTTAAATCCTCTAAGAGTGTCTATTGCCATGTTTCTGCTAAACACATTGCTATCTCATTAAGACAACAACGGAATTACCTATTAAAAATTATAAATTTTTAAACAAGTTATATCACTCCAGGTATAAGATAATAGGTTTTACTGTGGAAGTGGCACTGGGCTAATAAAAAATAGGTAACTATCAACTTGTTATAATTATATTCCTTGGGGAGGATTACTTAAAAAGAATGTCCTGGATCCTAGGAGCCTTTTTTTTTTTTTTTTTTTTTTTTTTGGTAAATAAGATCTCACTGTCACCCAGGCTGAAGTGCAGTGGCATAATCACGGCTCACATGCAACCTCGACCTCCTGGGCTCAAGCAATCCTCCAGCCTTAGCCTCCCGAGTAGCTAGGATTACAGGTATATGACACCATGCCCGGTTAATTTTTTGAGAAGGAGTTTCACCATGTTCCCCAGGCTGGTCAGCTGGTCTCCAGCTCCTGGGTTCAAGTGATCTGCCTGCCTTGGCCTCCCAAAGTGCTGTGATTACAAGCCTGAGCCACCACACCCGGCCCTGGGAGCTTTTCAATAGTATTTTCTGAAACGCTTGTTTATCTTTCTGTGGTTAAAGGAACATTTGACTGTGTGAAGAAAACAGACCAATTGGCTGGGCACAGTGGCTCACGCCTGCAATCCCAGCACTTTGGGAGGCTGAGGCAGGCAGATCACCTGAGGTCAGGAGTTCAAGACCAGCCTGGCCAACATGGCAAAACCCCATCTCTATTAAAAATACAAAAACTAGCTGGGTGTGGTACAACGCACCTGTAATCCCAGCTACTCGGGAGGCTGGGGCAGGAGAATCACTAGAATCCAGGAGGTGGAGGTTGCAGTGAGCCAAGAGTAAGCCAAGATCACGCCACCGAACTACAGTCTAGGTGACAGAGTAAGACTCCAACAAAAGAAGAAGTGAGAAGAAGAAGAAGAGGAAGAGGAAGCAGACCAATAGAAAGGTATCTGGTCTTGAGACACAATCTTTTCAATTAAACTTCCTATTCATTTGTCCATCTGTCTATTTTTCTTGAGTTCTTTTTTCTTTTCTTTGTACCCAGATGAGCTCATTTTCTTGAGTTGTTACATAGCTGGAAGATAAAAAAAATTCTGCCAATCAAATGATGCTTCCTTAAATCTCATCTCTGCTGATGTTCTAGTCTTTAAGCTTGACCCAGTCCCATTCCTGAATTCCAAGCCTGACATGTGGATTCCCTATACCCAAGGTCACTGTACTGATTCCCTGCTTATGGTCTACTCCCTCTACATCTAGTCTCCATTCTGGCTTGACACTCCCAAACAAACTTTAGTCAAAGGCCTGCTCTTCCTGGGACAGCCCCTAGAGTGTATTACCTTTAGCCAGTGTATAGTCTCACCCAGTGGAGGACACAAATAAGATCTCATGTCAAACCATCACTACTGTCCCAACTTAGGAGGTGGGTAGCCGAGATTGATAAGGAGTTCTTTAATCTCTGGGAATGAAACACTTTAAAAATCTTATTACTTTTAATAACGAACATTCCCCTAACTCTTGTTGTCAGAATTCTGACGCCACTATAAGTTCTCCCTTACGTTCTTCCCATCCCCACCACACATACACACACAAACACACATGCACGCACAAAAAAAAACACCAGACACATACAAACCCATGTATTTAAATAAATAAAATACTTGAGCAATTTCTTCACAGTCTTGAGGACAGAAATTGAGTCTCAAACATACCAGGAGCTTTACTAAATTCTCTATATACATCTTTCACCTTCATAGATGAATGAAAGGGTTTCTGCCAACACTTCAGTAAATTATAAAAGCCAAATATCTCTGTTTTGAGGGTTGAATTATTAGGGGAAAAACAAATATGGAACCTATTTAAAAATGTATAACATGAGAGAAGGATAGCACTTACTATACAAATTAGAATTAGACATAATCCCCAGCCTGAAGGAGCTCAAGAGTTGAGCAAATAGAATTAATGATACAAATTACAAGACTTCTAAAATACAAAAAGAGAAGATAAAGAGATCAAAAAGATAGAAGATATGATAATGAATACAGAAAATAGTCATATTTCTAACCTTTTGAACCTGTAAATAACAGAAAACTCTAAAGGACAAAGGAAAATAAAGTAAGCAAAGGTAATAATCAATGATACCTAAAAGAAAACCTTCCCAATTTAAGAAGTTATTTGATCCCAGAGTTGAGATATTCCTACATGTAAGGAAAAATTAATAAATATATTATGATGACTTTTAAAGCTCAAAAGTAAAGAAAGACTCTAAAAAATTCTAGACAACACAAAATGAAATTACATACAACAGAATGAAAGGGAATTTGCCTTCTTTTTTGCAATTCTAAATGCTAGAAACAATAGAATTAAAACTAGGTCTAAATCTCCCATGAAAAACTAAAGTTATTTTGTTTTTATATTTGACAATTATATAAATATGCTTAATAATGTTTTGAAATTTGTAATGGCTTAAAGTGGAATTTAAAATAGACTGTCCCAACTTCTAGATCACTGGAGAAGAAGGTGGGTAAACCAATCTATATATAGGAGAAAATACAGAATTGGGGAAGAAGAAGAGTGTGCTGAACAATTCAGAAAAGATAGCTGTCATTATATTCTTTCTGACAAGGAGTAAGATAGAAACCACACCCCCTCTTCAAAGAGGGTTCTTGTGACTATACTTTGAAATTCATGACCTGATTATCCCAATAATAGGGACAGTTGTCTTACTGGAGTTTTAAATGCCAGACATATGGTGAGGAATTGTGTTAAAATATATCTGGGATTTGTTTTAATTGGGTATGATAAGACATGCACACACAGAAACAGAAATGACCGTCATGAAGAAAGAAGTTTATACTCACACATCCTTAGAAACAGGAAGCACTGCACGTAACATAGGGAAGCACCAAGGTCACTCAGGAGACAAAGGCGTAAGGAGAAAGCATGGACCAAAGACTTTCCTATGGTTTTTACAAGAAGGAATGAGTAAGGTAAGGTAGGCAGATTTAGGAGTGGTTTGTTTGAATAACTTAGTGGGCTCTGGGGTATAGGAATTCCCCCATTGCCTGGAACCTGGCCCTGAGGTGATCTTAGGGGATGGGGCTTAACCTGTGGGAGCTCCATAAAAGAAGCAGTTGGTGTGCGTGGACTCTGGATTTACTCATTTTCACATAAAAACAGTATTCACAGGAGAGTAATTTGCTAGCTCTAGAAATTAGCTAACCATAGGAGGAGCAGTCTCTTCAAAATTAGCAAGGCCCTCAGATGTCAAAACATCATAAAATACAGAAAATAGAAAAATGCTAATATACGCATCCAGGAGTTAGAGAAGCAGAGAGACTCACTGAGAGAAACCAGTAAGTAAAATTCATAAATAAATAGATGCCATGAGGAAATAGAACCATAAAAAAGCAGAAAATCATAAAACTATAAGTTCTCTGAGAACAGTAATTGCCTCCATCTTATTCACAGTTCAATATCTCCAGCAACTTTGACATTGTTTTAATAAAGGTATTGAATTAATGACTGGATCACTCGCTTTAAAAATCAAACAATACTAGAGAAAACAAGGGCAAAGAGAATTGATAGTGATGAGTGCAGTAGAAAGAGAGTCACTTAGAAAGGGCGAAGCTCTCAAGCACAGAAACAGACATTAGCTGCTGAAAGGACAATAGAAAAAGCTGATCTCGAACCAAGCTGTATTCTGATACAGGCTGAAGTTTTCTGAAATGGCTGTAGAGGAACTGAAACTATTTCTTTTTATTTTCACATGGATTCTTAAAATAATTCTTATTAATAATACCTAATATGCGTTAATGGAAGACTAACCATAACCTTACATCATACAGAAAGTTCCAACTTGGAGGACGTAGAGCAACATGGCCTTCTAGAAACCTCCAGTGATCATTTCCACCACAGCAACACCAAACTGACCAACTATCCACCCAAAAAAGCACCTTCATAAGAACCAAAATCAGGTGAGCAATCATAGTGCCTGCTTTTTGTTTCTTTGTTTGTTTGCCATGCAAACCAACAACTTGCAACAGTATCTGCTTTTAACATGTCAGAAAAGAGGCGCTGAAAAAGGCAAGTACCAAATACAGGCTTGAATTGCCTATGCCACCCTTCCCCCATCCCCTGGAGTTAGCCACATGTCACAGAGGGAAAAATCTGTGTACTTTGGGGAGGGAAAGCACAGTGATTGTAAGATTTGCATTGGAATTCAGTGCCGCACTGTCACAGTGGAAAGCAACAAGGGGCAAAACTCAGCCTGGGCCCACAGAGAAAGCATTTAGACCAGCCCTAGCCAGAGGTGAATTATCCATCCCAACAGCAAGAACCTGAGATCCAGAGAGTCCCACCACCATGGGCTAAAGTGCTCTGGGGTGCTTAATAAATTTGAAAGACAGTCTAGGCCACAAGGACAGCAATTCCTGGGCAAGTCCTGGTCCTGTGCTGGTCTTGGAGTCAGTATACTTGAAGTGCATGCAACCTAGTGAGACAGCAACCAGGGCAGCCAAAGGAGTGCTTGCATGACCCCTCCCCAAAACCTAGGCAGCACCAATTGCAGCTCTGGGAGAGATTCCTTTTCTCTGCTTGAGAAGAAGAGAAGGGACAGTAAAGAGAACTTTGTCTTGTAACTTGATACCACCTCAGCCGCAGTAGAATAGGGCAACAGGCAGAGTCCTGAGGCACCCATTCTAGGCCCTAGCTCCAGGATGACATTCATAGACATGCCCTGGGCCAGAAGGAAACTCATTGCCTTGAAGGGAAGGACTCAGTCCTGGCAAGATTAATAACCAGCTGACTTGAGAGCCCTTCAGCCCTGACTAGTCAGCAGTAGCCCAGTAGTACTCACCATGGGCCTTGGGTGAGACTCAGAGCTCTGCCGGCTTCAGGTATGACTCAGCACATTCCTAGCTATGGTGGTTTTGAGAAAAGACTCCTGCTTGAGGAAAGAGCAAGGAAGAGTAATGGGACTTTATCTTGTAGCTTGGTTACCAGCTCAGCCACAGTGGGGTAGAGCACCAACTGGGCTCTTGGGGTCTCTGATTCCAGGACTTGGATCCTGGATGGCTTTTCTAAACCTGCCCTGTGCCAGAGGGGAGCCCACTGCCCTGAAGGGAGAGACTGAAGAGGTCTTGGGCCTTGAGTGAATATTGGCAGTAGCTAGGCTGTACTTGCTGTGGGTCGGGGGTGTGATGACCACAAGGAAAACTCTGCTTGAGGAAGGGGGAGGAAAGACTGGGAAAGACTTTCTCTTGTGGCTTGGGTTCCAACTCACTGTAGTAGAATAGACCACCAGGTAGATTTCAAAAGTTCCTGACTTCAGACCCTAGCTCCCAGACAGCATCACTGGACCTACTAGGGGAAGGGGGGAGCTCACTGCCCTGAAGGGAAAGACACAAGCCTGACTAGATTCTCCACATGCTAACTGAAGAGCCCTTAGGCCTTGAGTGAACATAGGTGGTAGGTAGGGAGTGGTCACAGTGGGCTTTGGGCAAGACCCAGTGCTGTGTTGGCTTCAGGCCTGACCCAGCATAACCCCAGTGCTGGCGACCACAAGAGTGCTTGTGCCATCCTTCCCCAAGCTCCTAGGAGCTCAGAACAGAGAGACTCTGCTTGTTTAGGGAAAGATAAGAGAGGAGAACAAGAGTCTGCCTAGTAATCCAGGGAATTCTCCTGGATCTTACCTAAGATCACCAGGGTAGTACCCCTATGAGTCTGCAAGAGCCATTGTTTCACTGAGCTTGGGGTCTCATAATGCAGATATGACCCGAGAGATTTTCATCACAACACTTAAGTCCCTTTGAATACCTGGAAAGCCTTCTGAAGGAGGACAGGTACAAACAGACTGCAAAGACTATAATAAATACCTAACTCTTTAATGCCCAGACACCAATGAACATCTAAAAGCATCAAGACCAGCAAAACATGACCTCACCAAACAAACTAAAGAAGACACCAGGCACCAGTCACAGAGAGAGAGAGATATATGACCTTCCAGACAGAGAATTCAAAAGAGCTGTTTTGAGGAAGCTCAAAGACATTCAAGATAACACAGAGAAGGAATTCAGATTCCTATCAGAAAAATTTAACAAAGAGATTGGAATAATTAAAAAGAATCAAGTAGACATTCTGAGGTGAAAAATGCAATTGACTACTAAAGAATGCATCAGTCTCTTAATAGCAGAATTGATCAAGCAAAAAAAAAGAATTAGTGAGCTTGAAGATAAGCTATTTGAAAATACACAGAGGAGACAAAAGAAAAAAGGATTTTTTTTTTTGGAGATGAAATTTTGCTCTTGTCGCCCAGGCTGGAGTGCAATGGCACGATCTCAGCTCACTGCAACCTATGCCTCCCGTGTTCAAGCGATTATCCTGCCTCAGCCTCCTGAGTAGCTGGGATTACAGGCATCTGCCACCATGCCCAGCTAATTTTTGTATTTTTAGTAGAGACAGGGTTTCATCATGTTGGTGAGACTGGTTTCGAACTCCTGAGCTCGGGTGATCCCCCCCAACCTCAGCCTCCCATAATGCTGGGATTACAGGCATGAGCCACCTCACCCAGCCAGAAAAAATAATTTTAAAAAATGAAGTGCACCTACAGGATCTAGAAAATAGCCTCAAAAGGGCAAAACTAAGAGTTATTGGCCTTAAAGAGGAGATAGAGAAAGGGATAGGAGTAGAAAGTTTATTCAATTTTAATTTTCTGCATATGGCTAGCCAGTTCTCCCAGCACCATTTATTAAATAGAGAATCCATTCTCCATTGCTTGTTTTTGTCAGGTTTGTCGAATATCAGATGGTTGTAGATGTGCAGTCTTATTTCTGAGTTCTGTATTCTGTTTCATTGATCTATGTGTCTGTTTTTGTACTAGTACCATGCTCTTTGGTTACTGTAGAGCCTTGTGGTAGTTTGAAGTCAGGTAGCATGATGCCTTCAGCTTTGTTCTTTTTGCTTAGGACTCTGTCTTGGCCACCCAGGCTCTTTTCTGGTTTCATACGAATTTTAAAATATTTTTTTCTAATCCTGTGAAGAATGTCAACAGTAGTTTAATAGAAATAGCATTAAATCTATAAATTATTTTGGGCAGTATGGCCACTTTCACAATATTCATACTTCCTGTCCATGAGTATGGAATGTTTTTTCATTTGTTGTGTCTTCTCTGATTTCCTTTAGCAGTGGTTCATAGTTCTTCTTGAACAGGTCCTTTACTTCCCTCATTAGCTGTATTCCTAGGTGTTTTATTCTCTTTGTAGCAATTGTGAGTGGGAGTTTTTTTCACGATTTGGCTCTCTGCTCATCTGTTGTTGGTATATAGGAATGCTTAAGCTTTTTGCACATTGATTTTGTATCCTGAGACTTTGTTGAAGTTGCTTATCAGCTTAAGAAGCTTTTGGACTGAGACGATCACTCCCTTACACCTTATATAAAAATTAACTCAAGATGGATTAAAGACTTAAATATAAAATCAAAAACTATAAAAACCCTAGAAGAATATCTAGGCAATAACATTCAGGACATAGCCATGGGCAAAGATTTCATGACAAAAACATCAGAAGCAACTGCAACAAAAGCAAAAATTGACAAATGGGATCTAATTAAACTAAAGAGCTTCTGCAGAGCAAAAGAAACTATCATCAGAGTGAACAGACAACCTATAGAATGAGAGAAAATTTTTGCAATCTATCCATCTAACAAAGGTCTAATATCCAGAATCTACAAGGAACTTAAATAAATTTGTAAGAAAAAACAACCCCATTAAAAGTGGGCAAAGGACATGAACAGATGCTTTTCAAAACAAGACATACATGTGGCTAACAAACATATGAAAAAAAGCTCAACATCACTGATCATTAGAGAAATGCAATTCAAAACTGCAATGAGATATCATCTCATGCCAGTCAGAATGGCAATTATTAAAAAGTCAAGAAACATATGTTGGCGAGGCTGCAGAGCAATAGAAATGCTTTTACATTGTTGGTGGGAATGTAAATTAGTTCAACTATTCTGGAAGACAGTGTGGCAATTCCTCAAAGAACTAGAACTGGAAATACCGTTTGATGCAGCAATCCCATTACTGGCTACATACCCAAAGGAACAGAAATTTTTCTATTATAAAAATACATGCACACATATGTTCATTGCAGCACTATTCACAATCACAAAGACACAGAATGAACCCAAATGCCCATCAATGATAGACTCAATAAAGAAAATGTGGTACATATAGACCATGAAATACTATGCAGATGCAGCCATAAAAAGGAACAAGATCATGTCCTTTGCAGTGACATGGATGGAGCTGGAAGCCATTATTCTCAGCAAACTAAAGCAGGAACAGAAAACCAAACACTGCATGTTCCCACTTATCAGTGGGAGCTGAACATAGAAACATAGGGTGGAGAATAACACACACTGGGGCTTGTTGGGAAAAAATGTTGGAAGGGGGAGCATTAGGAAAAATAGCTAATGCATACTGGGCTTTATAACAGGAGATAGATTGATAGGTGCAGCAAATCACCATGGTACACATTTACTTAGGTAACAAACCTGCACATCCTGCACATATACCCTGGAACTTAAAATTTTATTTAAAGGTATAGTAACAAAACTTCCAAAACCTAGAGAAAGATATCAATATCCAAGTACAAGAAGGTTATAGAACACCAAGCAGATTTAACCAAAAGAAGAGTACCTCAAGACATTTAATAATCAAACTCCCAAACGTCAAGGATAAAGAAAGGATTCTAAAAGCAGAAAGAGAAAAGAAACAAGTAATATAAAATGGAGTATTTCTGGCAGCAGACTTTTCAGTGTAAACCTTACAGGCCAGGAGAGAGTGGCATGACATATTTAAAGTGCTGGGAAAAAAAGTTTA
Source organism: Homo sapiens (assembly GCF_000001405.40). Classification (NCBI taxonomy): domain Eukaryota; kingdom Metazoa; phylum Chordata; class Mammalia; order Primates; family Hominidae; genus Homo; species Homo sapiens. Next base: position 75,676,993 of record NC_000001.11, read on the forward strand.
TCCTAGAACATTATATTCGGTGAACATGAAGGAGAATTAAGGACTTTCCCAGATAAACATAAGCTGAGGGATTTCATCAACACCAGATCTCTCCTAAAAGAAATGTTAAAGACAGTTCTTCAATCAGAAAGAAAAGGACATTAATGAGCAATAAAAAATCATCTAAACATACAAAACTCACTGGTAACAGTAAATACAGAAAAAAAACAGCTAAATAACACTGTAATTGTGATATGTAAACTACTTGAGTAGAAGGGCTAAAAGTTTAACCTATCAAAAATAATAACTACAAAAACTTTTCAAGACATAGATAGTATAATAAGATAAATGGAAACAACAAAAAGAAAAAGTGTTGAGTTTTGTTTTCTCTTTGCTTGTTTATTAATTTGTTTAAGCAATCAGTGATAAGTTGTTATCAGTTTAAAATAATGGCTTATACTATTTGTAAGCCTCATGGTAACCTCAAATTTAAAAACATAAAACAGATACACAAAGAATTTTAAAAAGCAATATGTTAAAACATATCATCAGATAAAAACACCTTCACTAAAAGGAAGACAGAAAGGAAAGGAAGAAGAAAGAAAATGCCACAAAACAACTGGAAAACTAATAACAAAATGGTAGGAGTAAGTCCTTAATTATCAATAATAACTGAAAGTGGAACAAACTCTCCAATAAAAAAACGTAGAGTAACTAAATGCATAAAAAAAACAAGACCCAGTGCAATCATCTGTTACCTATAAAAAACACATTTCCAAGGGAGGAACCAAGATGGCCGAATAGGAACAGCTCCGGTCTACAGCTCCCAGCCTGAGCGACGCAGAAGATGGGTGATTTCTGCATTTCCATCTGAGGTACCGGGTTCATCTCACTAGGGAGTGCCAGACAGTGGGCGCAGGTCAGTGGGTGCACGCACCGTGCACGAGCCGAAGCAGGGCGAGGCATTGCCTCACTTGGGAAGTGCAAGGGGTCAGGGAGTTCCCTTTCCTAATCAAAGAAAGGGGTGATGGACGGCACCAGGAAAATTGGGTCACTCCCACCCAAATACTGCGCTTTTCCAAAGGGCTTAGAAAACGGCGCACCACGAGATTATATCCTGCACCTGGCTCGGAGGGTCCTACCCCACGGAGTCTCACTGATTGCTAGCACAGCAGTCTGAGATCAAACTGCAAGGCTGAAGCGAGGCTGGGGGAGGGGCGCCCACCAATGCCCAGGCTTGCTTAGGTAAACAAAGCAGCAGGGAAGCTCGAACTGGGTGGAGCCCACCACAGCTCAAGGAGGCCTGCCTGCCTCTGTAGGCTCCACCTCTGGGGGCAGGGCACAGACAAACAAAAACACAGCAGTAACCTCTGCAGACTTAAATGTCCCTGTCTGACAGCTTTGAAGAGAGCAGTGGTTCTCCCAGTACGCAGCTGGAGATCTGAGAACGGGCAGATTGCCTCCTCAAGTGGGTCCCTGACCCCTGACACCCGAGCAGCCTAACTGGGAGGCACCCTCCAGCAGGGGCACACTGACACCTCACACTGCAGGGTACTCCAACAGACCTGCAGCTGACGGTCCTGTCTGTTAGAAGGAAAACTAACAAACAGAAAGGACATCCACACCAAAAACCCATCTGTACATCACCATCATCAAAGACCAAAAGTAGATAAAACCACAAAGATGGGGAAAAAACAGAACAGAAAAACTGGAAACTCTAAAAATCAGAGCGCCTCTCCTCCTCCAAAGGAACGCAGCTCCTCACCAGCAATGGAACAAAGCTGCACGGAGAATGACTTTGACGAGCTGAGAGAAGAAGGCTTCAGACGATCAAATTACCCTGAGCTATGGGAGGACATTCAAACCAAAGGTAAAGAAGTTGAAAACTTTGAAAAAAATTTAGAAGAATGTATAACTAGAATAATCAATACAGAGAAGTGCGTAAAGGAGCTGATGGAGCTGAAAACGAAGGCTCGAGAACTACGTGAAGAATGCAGAAGCCTCAGGAGCCGATGCTATCAACTGGAAGACAGGGTATCAGCGATGGAAGATGAAATGAATGAAATGAAGCGAGAAGGGAAGTTTAGAGAAAAAAGAATAAAAAGAAAGGAACAAAGCCTCCAAGAAATATGGGACTATGTGAAAAGACCAAATCTACATCTGATTGGTGTACCTGAAAGTGATGGGGAGAACGGAACCAAGTTGGAAAACACTCTGCAGGATATTATCCAGGAGAATTTCCCCAATCTAGCAAGGCAGGCCAACGTTCAGATTCAGAAAACACAGAGAACGCCACAAAGATACTCCTCGAGAAGAGCAACTCCAAGACATGCAATTGTCAGATTCACCAAAGTTGAAATGAAGGAAAAAATGTTAAGGGCAGCCAGAGAGAAAGGTCGGGTTACCCTCAAAGGGAAGCCCATCAGACTAACAGCGGATCTCTCAACAGAACCCCTACAAGCCAGAAGAGAGTGGGGGCCAATATTCAACATTCTTAAAGAAAAGAATTTTCAACCCAGAATTTCATATCCAGCCAAACTAAGCTTCATAAGTGAAGGAGAAATAAAATACTTTACAGACAAGCAAATGCTGAGAGATTTTGTCACCACCAGGCCTGCCCTAAAAGAGCTCCTGAAGGAAGCGCTAAACATGGAAAGGAACAACTGGTACCAGCCGCTGCAAAATCATGCCAAAATGTAAAGACCATCGAGACTAGGAAGAAACTGCATCAACTAACAAGCAAAATAACCAGCTAACATCATAATGACAGGATCAAATTCACACATAACACTATTAACTTTAAATGTAAATGGACTAAATGCTCCAAGTAAAAGACACAGACTGGCAAATTGGATAAAGAGTCAAGACCCATCAGTGTGCTGTATTCAGGAAACCCATCTCACGTGCAGAGACACATATAGGCTCAAAATAAAAGGATGGAGGAAGATCTACCAAGCAAATGGAAAACAAAAGAAGGCAGGGGTTGCAATCCTAGTCTCTGATAAAAAAGACTTTAAACCAACAAAGATCAAAGAGACAAAGAAGGCCATTACATAATGGTAAAGGGATCAATTCAACAAGAAGAGCTAACTATCCTAAATATACATGCACCCAATACAGGAGCACCCAGATTCATAAAGCAAGTCTTGAGTGACCTACAAAGAGACTTAGACTCCCACACATAAATAATGGGAGGCTTTAACACCCCACTGTCAACATTAGACAGATCAACGAGACAGAAAGTCAACAAGGATACCCAGGAATTGAACTCAGCTCTGCACCAAGCGGACCTAATAGACATCTACAGAACTCTCCACCCCAAATCAACAGAATATACATTTTTTTCAGCACCACACCACACCTATTCCAAAATTGACCACATACTTGGAAGTAAAGCTCTCCTCAGCAAATGTAAAGAACAGAAATTATAACAAACTATCTCTCAGACCACAGTGCAATCAAACTACAACTCAGGATTAAGAATCTCACTCAAAACTGCTCAACTACATGGAAACTGAACAACCTGCTCCTGAATGACTACTGGGTACATAATGAAATGAAGGCAGAAATAAAGATGTTCTTTGAAACCAACGAAAACAAAGACACAACATACCAGAATCTCTGGGACGCATTCAAAGCAGTGTGTAGAGGGAAATTTATAGCACTAAATGCCCACAAGAGAAAGCAGGAAAGATCCAAAATTGACACCCTAACATCACAATTAAAAGAACTAGAAAAGCAAGAGCAAACACATTCAAAAGCTAGCAGAAGGCAAGACCTAACTAAAATCAGAGCAGAACTGAAGGAAATAGAGACACAAAAAACCCTTCAAAAAATTAATGAATCCAGGAGCTGGTTTTTTGAAAGGATCAACAAAATTGATAGACGGCTAGCAAGACTAATAAAGAAAAAAAGAGAGAAGAATCAAATAGACGCAATAAAAAATGATAAAGGGGATATCACCACCGAACCCACAGAAATACAAACTACCATCAGAGAATACTACAAACACCTCTACGCAAATAAACTAGAAAATCTAGAAGAAATGGATAAATTCCTTGACACATACACTCTCCCAAGACTAAACCAGGAAGAAGTTGAATCTCTGAATAGACCAATAACAGGATCTGAAATTGTGGAAATAATCAATAGCTTACCAACCAAAAAGAGTCCAGGACCAGATGGATTCACAGCCGAATTCTACCAGAGGTACAAGGAGGAACTGGTACCTTCTGAAACTATTCCAATCAATAGAAAAAGAGGTAATCCTCCCTAACTCAGTTTATGAGGCCAGCATCATTCTGATACCAAAGCCGGGCAGAGACACAACCAAAAAAGAGAATTTTAGACCAATATTCTTGATGAACATTGATGCACAAATCCTCAATAAAATACTGGCAAACCGAATCCAGCAGCACATCAAAAAGCTTATCCACCATGATCAAGTGGGCTTCATCCCTGGGATGCAAGGCTGGTTCAATATATGCAAATCAATAAATGTAATCCAGCATATAAACAGAGCCAAAGACAAAAACCACATGATTATCTCAATAGATGCAGAAAAGGCCTTTGACAAAATTCAACAACTCTTCATGCTAAAAACTCTCAATAAATTAGGTATTGATGGGACATATTTCAAAATAATAAGAGCTATCTATGACAAACCCACGGCCAATATCATACTGAATGGGCAAAAACTGGAAGCATTCCCTTTGAAAACTGGCACAAGACAGGGATGCCCTCTCTCACCACTCCTATTCAACATAGTGTTGGAAGTTCTGGCCAGGGCAATTAGGCAGGAGAAGGAAATAAAGGGTATTCAATTAGGAAAAGAGGAAGTCAAATTGTCCCTGTTTGCAGATGACATGATTGCATATCTAGAAAACCCCACTGTCTCAGCCCAAACTCTCCTTAAGCTGATAAGCAACTTCAGCAAAGTCTCAGGATACAAAATCAATGTGCAAAAATCACAAGCATTCCTATACACCAACAACAGACAAACAGCCAAATCATGAGTGAACTCCCATTCATAATTGCTTCAAAGAGAATAAAATACCTAGGAATCCAACTTACAAAGGATGTGAAGGACCTCTTCAAGGAGAACTACAAACCGCTGCTGAAGGAAATAAAAGAGGATACAAATAAATGGAAGAACATTCCATGCTCATGGGTAGGAAGAATCAATATCGTGAAAATGGCCATACTGCCCAAGGTAATTTACGGATTCAATGCCATCTCCATCAAGCTACGAATGCCTTTCTTCACAGAATTGGAAAAAACTACTTTAAAGTTCATATGGAACCAAAAAAGAGCCCGCATTGCCAAGTCAATCCTCAGCCAAAAGAACAAAGCTGGAGGCATCACACTACCTGACTTCAAACTATACTACAAGGCTACAGTAACCAAAACAGCATGGTACTGGTACCAAAACAGAGATATAGATCAATGGAACAGAACAGAGCCCTCAGAAATAATGCCACATATCTACAACTATCTGATCTTTGACAAACCTGAGAAAAACAAGCAATGGGGAAAGGATTCCCTATTTAATAAATGGTGCTGAGAAATCTGGCTAGACATATGTAGAAAGCTGAAACTGGATCCCTTCCTTACACCTTATACAAAAATCAATTCAAGATGGATTAGAGACTTAAACGTTAGACCTAAAACCATAAAAACCCTAGAAGAAAACCTAGGCAATACCATTCAGGACATAGGCATGGGCAAGGACTTCATGTCTAAAACACCAAAAGCAATGGCAACAAAAGCCAAAATTGACAAATGGGATCTAATTAAACTAAAGAGCTTCTGCACAGCAAAAGAAACTACCATCAGACTGAACAGGCAACCTACAAAATGGGAGAAAATTTTCGCAACCTACTCATCTGTCAAAGGGCTAATATCCAGAATCTACAATGAACTCAAACAAATTAACAAGAAAAAAACAAACAACCCCATCAAAAAGTGGGCGAAGGACATGAATAGACACTTCTCAAAAGAAGACATTTATGCAGCCAAAAAACACATGAAAAAATGCTCACCATCACTGGCCATCAGAGAAATGCAAATCAAAACCACAATGAGATACCATCTCACACCAGTTAGAATGGCAATCAATAAAAAGTCAGGAAACAACAGGTGCTGGAGAGGATGTGGAGAAATAGGAACACTTTTACACTGTTGGTGGGACTGTAAACTAGTTCAACCATTGTGGAAGTCAGTGTGGCGATTCCTCTGGGATCTAGAACTAGAAATACCATTTGACCCAGCCATCCCATGACTGGGTATATACCCAAAGGACTATAAATCATGCTGCTATAAAGACACATGCATACGTATGTTTATTGCGGCATTATTCACAATAGCAAAGACTTGGAACTAACCCAAATGTCCAACAATGATAGACTGGATTAAGAAAATGTGGCACATATACACCATGGAATACTATGCAGCCATAAAAAATGATGAGTTCATGTCCTTTGTAGGGACATGGATGAAATTGGAAATCATCATTCTCAGTAAACTATCACAAGAACAAAAAACCAAACACCGCATATTCTCACTCATAGGTGGGTATTGAAAAATGAGATCACATGGAAACAGGAAGGGGAACATCACTCTCTGGGGACTGTTGTGAGGTGGCGGAAGGGGGGAGGGATAGCATTGGGAGATATACCTAATGCTAGATGACGAGTTAGTGGGTGCAGCGCACCAGCATGGCACATGTATACGTATGTAACTAACCTGCACAATGTGCACGTGTACCCTAAAACTTAAAGTATAATAACAAATAAATAAATAAATAAATAAATAAGACTTGGAAAAGAAATAAGACAGGAAAAAAAGAAGAAACACATTTCCTCTATAAAGACATGTATAGATTGAAAATAAAGGGATGGAAAAAGATATTCCATGCAAACAGAAAACAAAAAAGAGCGGAAGTAGCCATATTTATAGAAGACAAAATTGATGTATTAGTTCGTTTTCATGCTTCTAATAAAGACATATGTGAGACTGGGAAATTTATAAAGGAAAGAGGTTTAATAGACTCAGTTCCACATGGCTGGGAAGACCTCACAATTATGGTGGAACGAAAAGGAAAAGCAAAGGTACATCTTACATGGTGGCAAGCAAGAGAGAAGCGTAGGGGAACACTCATTTATAAAACCATCAGATCTCCTGAGACTTATTCATTACCATGAGAACAGTATGGGGGAAACTGCCCATGTGATTCAATTATCTCCACCTGGCCCCACCCTTGACACATGGGGATTATTACAATTCAAAGTGAGATTTGGGTAGGGACATGGAGCCAAACCATATTATTGCATCCTTGGCCCCTCCAAAATCTCATGTACTCACATTTCAAAGCCAATTATGCCTTCCCAACAGTCTCCCAAAGTTTTAACTCATTTCAGTATGAACTCAAAAGTCCAAGTCCAAAGTCTCATCTGAAACAAGGCAAGTTCCTTATACCTAGGAGCCCATGAAATCAAAGCAAGTTAGTTATTTCCTAGATACAATGGGGATACAAGCATTAGCTAAATTGGAGAAATTGGCCAATTTCAAAGTGGAGAAATTGGCCAAAATAAAGGAGCTACAGGCCCCATGCAAGTCCAAAATCCAGCAGGGTATTCAAATCTTAAAGCTCTGAAATGATTTCCTTTAACTCCATGTCTCACATCCATGTCACACTGACATAAGAGGTGGGTTCCCATGGTCTTGGGCAGCTCCGCCCCTGTGGCTCTGCAGAGTACAGACACTCCTGGCTTCTTTCACAGGCTGGTGTTGAGTGTCTGCAGGTTTTCCAGGTGCATGGTGCAAGCTGTCAGTGGTTCTACCATTCCGGAGTCTGAAGGATGGTGGCCCTCTTCTCATAGCTCCATCATTAGGCAGTGCCCCAGTGGGGATTCTGTGTGGGGCTCTGACCCCACATTTCACTTCCACACTGACCTAGAAGAGGTTCTCCGTGAGAGCTCTGCCCCTGCAGCAAACCTCTGCCTAGACATCCAGGCATTTCCATACATCCTCTGAAATCGAGGCAGAGCTTCCCAAACCTCAATTCTCAACTTCTGTGCACTGGCAGGCCCAAGACCACATGTAAGCCACCAAGGCTTGGGGCTTGTACTCTCTGAATCAATGGCCTAAGCTGTACCTTGGCCCCTTTTAGCCATGGCAGGGATGCAGGGCACCAAGTCCCAAGACTGCACAAAGCCACAAAGCACTGGGCCTAGCCCACAAAACCATTTTTTTTTCCTGGGCCTCCTGACTTGGGATAAGAGGGGCTGCTGTGAAGACCTTGGACATGCCCTGGAAACATTTTCCCCATTGTCTTGATGATTAGCATTTGGATCCTCATTACTTATGCAAATTTCTGCAGCCAGCTTGAATTTCTCCTCAGAAAATGGGTTTTTCTTTTATATTGCATAATCACGCTGCAAATTTTCTGAACTTTTCTGCTCTGCTTCCCTTTTAAATATAAGTTTCAATTCCAAACCATATCTTTGTGAATACATAAAACTGAATGGTATTAAGAGCACTTTTGACCAGTTCCCAAGAAGTTCCTTATCTTCATCTGAGACCACCTCAGCCTGGACTTCATGGTCCATATCACTGTCAGCATCTTGGTCAAAGCCATTCAACAAGTCTCTAGGCAGTTCGAAACTTGCTCACATCTTCCTGTCTTCTGAGCCCTTCGAGTCTCTGGGAAGTTCCAAACTTTCCCACACTTTTCTTTCTTCTTCTGAGCCCTTCAAACTGTTCCAACATCTGTCTGTTACCCAGTTCCAAAGGTTGTTTCCATATTTTTGGGTATCCTTATAGCAGCACTCCACTCTTCTGTGGTACCAATTTACTGTATTAGTCCATTCTCACACAGCTAATAAAGGCATACATGAGACTGGGTAATTTATAAAGGAAAGAGGTTTAATTGACTCACAGTTCCACATGGCTGGAGAAGTCTCACCATGACTTACAATCATGGTAGAAGGGGAAGCAAACATGTTCTTTACACATGGTGGCAGGAGAGGGAAGTGCTGAGTGAAGGGGGAAGAAAGCCCCTTTAAAACCAACAGATCTCATGAAAACCCATTCACTATCACAAAAACAGCATGAGGGTAACCACCCCCATGGTTCAATTACCTCTCACCAGGTCCCTCCCATGACACATGGAGATTATGGGAACTACTATTCAAGGTGAGATTTGGGTGGGGACACAGCCAAACCATATCAGAGGTGAACAAAATAATGCCTTTTGTAGCCATTTGCACACGTGTGTGTATATGAAGATTTCAGAGGGTAAGAAACATCACAAAGAATAATAAAACAAGCTGTGAAGATGGAATATTAGGAGTAAGTGGGGAATGCTAAAAAATAAAAAATAGTCATGGAAGCCCTCCTTAATAAGATGAGATTTTCACAGAGATGTAGATGAAGTGAGAGAATGAAACACCTCAACATCTTGAAGTAGAGCCTGTTGGCAAAGGTCAATAAGTACGGAAGCCCTAAAGCAGGAGTGTTTTTGGCCTTTTGAGAAACAGCAAGGAGGCCATAAATGATGGGAAGAATCGTAAGGAATGAGGTCAAAGAGGTAAGAAGGAGTCAGATGTTGCAGGATCACAGCGATTATTGAAGGGACTTTGGTTTTGCTTTTAGTAAGGTGAGAAGTAATTCAAGAATTTTCAGCAGAAAAGTGAAATGTATTATTTGCATTTTAAAAGGATAACTCTAGTGAAGTAGGAAATCAGGAAATTGGAAGCTATTACAACACATCCCTACAAGGGAAGAGATGATGGTTGCTAGGAGAAGGGATTACTGTGGATAGCTACCATGTGGACAGATTCAGGATATATTTGGATAGTACAGTCAACAGGATTTGCTGAACGTGGATGTATTTGGACAATAGAGTAAATTGGACTTGCTGATGTATGGATTGTGATATGAGAGGAAGGAAAAGGTCAAGGATGATTCCAAGGTTGTTTAATCTGAACAATGTGGTAAATACTAATGCTTTTTGACACAAGAATAATACAGAGTGGTCGCAGAAGAATAGAGAATTCCAGGCAGGAATTTTGCATAACTAGCAAAAGGAAACTTTTGAAAGAGCTACATAAGCTAGGGTCTGAAAAACAGGATGTGTGCCAACCTAAGACTGACTGAACCCAGATTGGGTCCAATCTGGTGCTAAATTTGACCTAGGTTTCACCTAGGACCTCATTACACACTCATTAACATACTAAATCACACACCCACCAGCACCATGACAGTTACAGGAATAACCATATCTCATGTGAAAGTGAATGGCTCCACAGTGCTGAAAAATCTTCACCTTTTTTCCAGAAATCTTTTTTTCATACAGAGTCTCACTCTGTCACACAGGCTGGAGTGCAGTGGCACAATCTCCACTCACTTCAACCTCCACCTCCTGGGTTCATGCCATTCTCCTGCCTCAGCCTCCCAAGTAGCTGGGATTACAGGCGCCCACCAACACGCCTGGCTAATTTTTGTATTTTTAGTAGAGACGGGGTTTCACCATGTTGGCCAGGCTAGTCTTGAACTCCTGACCTCAGGTGATCTGCCCACCTCAGCCTCCCAAAGTGCTGGGATTACAGGCATGAGCCACCACATGCAGCCTTTTCCAGAAATCTTTATGAATATTTCACCACTTAGATAAAGAAACCTATAAGAATAGAAGCCTCAAATTTCATTGGATGTGAATTTCTCCCCAGGACACTCTCACTTCCCTTTCTTGTGTACTTTTTGCTTTGGAATAAATCTCTGTACTTTCACTATTTTCCAACTCTTCCTTGAATTCCTTCTTGCAATCGTGTCAAGATCCTGGACACCAGCAGGAGTCAAAGTCCTATGGGCATTTGGGGAGCTCCCCTAGCCCACTAGTATCACCTTTATGGTCATCCAGCCAAGAGACTTGTCATCCCCATTTTAGGACTAGCAGCAGTTGTTATGTCTCACTTTGACCTCAGTCAAAGTCTTCTCATTCCCTGAAGTTATTGCTAATTTCTTCCTTGTTCCTCAGAGCTGACTACAGCTTGAATCCCCTCAGTCATAGTGCCTCTGCTCTCTCTGACTAGAGAGCAAACCTTGTTTGCCCTGATGAGTGACAAATGGAGGTGGAAAGGTTTCAACCTACACCAAGTAGTTCTGAGATGCCACAGTCTTTCCTGACAGGAGGCTAATGAAGGCAGTAGGCTAAAGTCTCATACTATGCAGTGCTTGGCTAGCCTCCTAGGAGCACTATAACTTTTCCCAGGAAGAGTCTTCCATTTTCTCAAGGAACCAGTTGTGGCAAGACACTGACCCCAGTTGGGAACTATTTTCTCTTTCCCATCTTTCTTTAAACCTTGCTTTTGCAATTTTTCTCTTCTGTGCTTCTTCCTCATACTTCACACAAAAGCTCAGTATACTTTTTGGACACAGCAAGATAGGCCTCTTAGATATTGCCCTCTGGAATGCCAAATCCAGGCCTATGGTTCTTAAGATGTCCTTTCGAGGTCCTTCTTTATTGGCCATGCTGAATCATCTCTATTCCCAAGTTTTACTTGATAATAAATGTTCAGATAGATATTGCATGCTCACTGCTTTCAAATTAGACCTGCAGCTCATCCTACTTGACCTCAAAAGCCCTCCCATTTTCAAAGCCTCGGGGGCTGTGAACACCTGAGCAATGCTAGGGCTCCAGGGAAACACCTGGATGCCAAACACATGCTCAGCCAGTGATCATCTCTTTAAAAGACAAAAATAATTTCCCATACAAGTGTCAGTATCCCCTCAAACCAGAAGCCAGGCAAGGACTCCAATCTCTAATTGAGAAGTTTTTGAAACATGGCCTCATGGTTCCATGTCAGTCTCCTTGTAATACTCCTATCTTCTCTGTTCAAAAACTAAATGAAGAATTTCATCTAGTTCAAGACTTATGAGCCATTAATGAGGCTGTAATTCCCTCACATCCTATGGTGCTAACCCTTATACCATACCTATCCAAATACTGAGAGACACCAATTGGTTTACTCTATTAGATCTTAAGAATGCTTTCTTTTGTATTCCTTTGCACCCTGACTCTCAGTATTTGCTTTTTGAGAGGACTAATCCTGAAACTAATATTACCCAGAAGTACACCTGGATGGTACTGCCTCAGAGCTTTAGGAATAGCCCTTACTAGTTTGAAAATGACTTGGCATGAGTATTAAGGGACCTAGAGCTAGAAAATTGAGCCATATTCCAATACGGGGATGACATCCTTGTATGCAGTCCACTAAAGAGGACTCAGATAAGAATCCCATTCAAGTCCTAAACTTCCTGGGAGAAAGGGGGTATCAGGTTTCTCCATCCAAGGCCCAGATTTCCAAACTGGAAGTAAAATATCTGGGGTACATCCCAAGCCTAGGAAACCAGATCTTGTCTGTTGAGTGAAAGGAGGCTGTCTTAAAGGGGGGAACTCCACAAATGAAGAAGCAACTCTGAACTTTTCTAGGTATGGCAGGATTATACAGGATTTGGATCCCAGGTTTTGGGCTCATTACTAAGCCATTGTACGAGGCCCTAACAAGACCAGACCATGAACCACTCAAATAGTCAGGGAAATAACAAGAAGCTTTATCTTCTAGCTGAAGAAAGAGGGGTTTGCACAGAAATAAACCACACCTGATGTTCTTATATTAACATTTCAGGATTAATTGAACTGCAAGTTTGAAAGATTTACCAACAGGCTACCTGGCTACATAATTTCAATAACCCCACCACTCAAACCATCTGAGACTCTGTCAAAGGATACCTACCAAGTGTGATCTGGTTCCTACATTTCCTGGGACATTTAATAGCTACCTTATTACTACTAATCTTTGGTCCTTGCTTGTTTAGCCTCCTTGTAAAGTTTGTGTCTTCTAGGTTGCAACAGTTCCATGTCAAAATTTTGGTCATGCAAGGATTTCAACCAATCCCTGCCTCAGATTCAGACTCTCCTGATGAATCACCCTTGGGACCCTTAGACCAGGCAGCTGGAGACTCCCATTCCCTTTCCAGGCAGGGCCAACACCCCTAATCAGCAGGAAGTAGAAATAGAAGACTAACCTCCTCCCTCATCAACACTTAAGAATAAGGAATGGTGTTTTAGTCCATCCTCACACTGCTATAAAGATACTACTGGAGACTGGGTAATTTATAAAGAAAGGACGTTTAACTGACTCACAGTTCTGCATGACTGGTGAGGCCTCAGGAAACTTACAATCATGGCAGAAGGTGAAGGCGAAACAAGGCATGTCTTACATGGTGGCAGGCAAGAGAGACAGAGGCAGGGAAGTGCCAAATACTTGTAAAACCATCAGATCTCATGAGAACTCCCCCCAATATCACAAGAACAGCATGGGAGAAACTGCCCCCATGATCCACCAGGTCTCTCCTTTAACACACGGGGATTATAATTTGAGATGAGACTTGGGTGGGGACCCAGAGCCAAACTATATCAGATGGAAATCTCTGAGAGGGGAAAATGAGACAAGAATAATACAAGGTGGCTGCAGAACAATAGAATAATCCAAGCAGGAGTTTCACATGACTAGCTAAAGGAAGATGTCAAAATAGCTGTATATGCTAGGGGTTAAGACCCTGAAAAACCATAGTGTTGGCCAAGCTGGGTAAGACTGACTAGACTCAACATAGTGCTAGATTTGATCTAGGTTTTACCTAGGACCTCATTATACACTCATTAACATACTAAATCACACATCCACCAAGGCCATGACACTTCCAGGAACACCCATATCTGGTGTAAAAATGTGTGGGACCATAGTGCTGAGAAATCTTCACTTTTTTCCAGGAATTTTCATGAATATTCCACCCATTGGTTAAAGAAAGCCATAGGCCAGTTGCAATGGCTCATGCCAGTAATCCCAGCACTTTGGGAGGCTGCAGCAGGCAGATCACTTGAGATCAGGAGTTCAAGACCAGCCTGGGTGACATGGTGAAACCTTGTCTCTAATTTTTTTAAAAAAAGAAGAAAATAAAGGAAAAAAAAAAGAAACCCATAAAGGTGGAGGCCCCAAACCCTGTCAGGTGTGACTCTCTTGAATACACATGCACCCCCCCCTTTCTTGAGTGTGTACTTTTCGCTTTCAGTAAATCTGCATTCTTTCACTATTTTCCAACTTGTTCTTGAATTCTTTCTTGCAACAGTGTCAAGAGCCTGAACACCAGCCAGGGTCAAGGTCCCACCAGCATTTGGGAACCTCCCCTAGCCTGAGAGGAAAACTCAAAATTTAGTTTTGTATTTGTTAAATTTGACAGGTCTTTTAGCCATCTAAAGGAAAATGATAGCAATGAGATTTTTGAGTCTAAAGCTCAGAGGAGGGGTCAAGGCTGGTAATATAAATTCTGGAGTTGCTAGCATAAAAATGGTATTTAATACCACTGTACTAGATAAAATCATCTAGAAAATGAATATAGAGCAAAGACAAGCTACAGAGTGAAATCAGTTTCCCTGGAAGCAGAGCTTGAGACAAGGATTAGAGGCACTTGATTTATTGAGAAGTCTCTCCTCAAGAAAAACTTGTAAGGCCACGAGGGAAACAAAATGAAAAAGGGGGAAAATCTGAGTAACAATATGGTCTCAGATAAAATATGGCCTTCTCCTAATCCTTGGTTGGGGCATGGGTGGCTTAGAGCCTCTGGGAGCTAAGTTGACCCACCCTGAGGCAAGGAAGATGGGAGGCTAAGAAATACAAGATCAAGGTGCAAACCAATTCAGTGCCTGATGAGGGCCCTTTTCCTGGCTTGCAGATAGCTGCCTTCTTTCATGTCTTTACATGGCAGAGAGAGAAAGATCTGGTCTTTCTTCCTCTCTTTATAAAGATACTAATCTCATCATGGGGGCCTCACTCTCATGATCTTATCTAAACCTAATTATTTCCCAAAGGCCTCACCTCCAAATAGCATCACAATGGAGGTTAGGGTTTCAATATATAAATTTGGAGTGGGGGGACACATCAGTACATAGCATGCTTCATTGTCTCATTATACTTTACTTACAAAACACAAATTTAGATATAAAATTATTAAGTGTGCAACTACAGTGTTGAATGCCAGTGAAGTTGATCCTGCTAATGGGAATGATCCAGCAGACTGGGAAAACCACAAGTAAAAAACACAGAGAGAGAACAATTCAGAAGTAAAGTGTTTGCATAGATGAGAAAAGATGGGATTCTTTTTTTTTTTTTTTTTTTTTTTTCTGAGACAGAGTCTCGCTCTGTTGCCCAGGCTGGAATGCAGTGGCACGAACTTGGCTCACTGCAACCTCCACCTCCTGGGCTCAAGTGATTCTCCTGCCTCAGCCTCCCAAGTAGCTGGGAATTTGGGCATGTGCCAACATGCCCAGCTAATTTTTTTTGTATTTTTAATAAAGACGGGGTTTCACCATGTTAGCCAGGATGGTCTCAATCTCCTGACCTTGTGATCCGCCCGCCTCAGCCTCCCAAAGTGCTGGGATTACAGGCATGAGCCACCGCAGCCGGCCCGAGGATGGGATTCTATGCAGAAGTAGAAGGGTTGACCTTAAATAGGAGCATTAATGGTTTATTTCATGTAATAGGAGAGGAAGCAGAGTGTATCTGTACATGTGCTGGTAAATTGTTTGATGTGGTTATGAGAGCAGGAGATAGTCCTCTTCTTATTGCTTCTGTTTACTCATTGGTATTAGAACATTATTATCTAAAAAGGAAAGGAATGGGAAAAACGAGAGAAGGGAGAGAAAAATATGTAGGTAGGTTTGAAAAGAGAAAAAGTATGTAATATTCATCTAGGAATGTTTATGAAGCAGGTAAATATAGTAAGATTTCTAGAACCCTCATGAGGGTTGGTCAATTTGAAATGAGACCAGTCAGTCTTTAGCCACATCTCCCCTGGGAACAGATGCAGAGTAGTCAACAAGTTAGATGTAAGTGTGATGGAATTCTGCCAGCTGAGAATAGTGAAGGAAAAAGGGGCAAGACTGTTGAAGGTATATGCAAAGGAATGATTATAGTAATGAAACATGAAATCTAAATCATTCAAGGAGCAGAAGTGAGGACATGAAGGGGTAAATAGAGTAAAGATAGTAGGGCAATGGATTGGAGATCCTAGTGGCCTCAAAGAATTGCTGAGGTTGGGGTATCAAAGACTGAATTGGAAAGATAATTACAGTGAAATGATCAAATGGAGGCTGGACAGTTAGTCAGGAATTCTAGAGTTCTGGCTGTGCCATGTGAATTCATTCAGTTCTAGGGAAGTTTGGTGCCATCTGATAGCAGTTTTCAGTATTGGCCTAAATATTGGGTTATATTCTGGCCTCTGGCTTGCTTAGACTTTCAGAAAGCAGAAATTATCCAGGAATTTCCCATTTACCTTGGCACCCATTTCAGCAGCCCCGGTTAGGATTTGGGGGAACAAACCCACTGCCTCCTAGTTTTTCAAAGAGTTATCTGCTGTTTGTTCACCTGGCCTTACTTTATTGTCTCTATCCCCTACCCCATAGAAGATAGCTCATATACATTTGCGAATGGGTACTGAGTAAAAGACCAGAGGCAACAGTCAATTAGATAATCTCTAGATTCAAGTTACTGAAGCGTTTCTTATCGCAAGGCAGTATTGTATTTTAAGTCACAAGCCTGATAAAAATGGTACGGAAGAGTTCTGAGAACTGCATACTGGAGCCCACCAATGTTTACAGGTTCAGGAGATAAGGAGAAACTAGCAAAGGAAAAAGACATAGAGACCAGTGAGGTAGGAGAAAATCTAAGGAAGTGGGATATCCTGAAAACCAAGTGAAGAAAGTGACTCCAGAAGGAGGAAGTGATCAGCTATGTCAAATTGTGCTGCTAGGTCTAGTAAGATGAAGAATAAGAACTAACCATTGGTTTTAGCAAGATAAAAAGTAATTTTGATAGAGTTGTGGAGCAAAAGCCTGAATGGGGAGGGTTTAAGAGAGAATGGGAAGATGAGAACTGGAGGCATTAGGTCCATACAGTGTAAGTCTTGAGTTTTGCTGTGAAGAGCAATGAAATGGGATGATAGTTAGGAGAGGAAATGGAGTTGAGTTTTTTTAAAGATGAGAGTGATAATATCACATTTATAAACAGATGGAAATGACCAAGCAGAAAGGCAAACGTTGATGTAGAAGAGGAAAATAAGAATTACTAAAGTAATACCTTTGAGTAGGCAAGAAGGAATGGATTCTGTGAGACATATAAGTGGAAGATTTGGCCTTATGTCAGAAAAATGGACTGTTATCTACAAATAACGGCAGGTAAGCAGAGTATAAAGGTGTAGATCCTAGTAGGTAGAAAGAGGTGGTAATGAGAGTTTGTGCACATTCTATTCTGATTGCTTCAATTTTTCTTTTCTTTAGAATCTCCTGAGTTATACAACTTGTGGAAGGGAGCCATTGGTACATGTTAATTTCCATTTTTTTAATCAAGAATCTGTTTTCTTCCTAGCATTTATCACTATTTTTAAAAAACATGCCTATTTCTCCTTGTTGTTACATGTAAATCCTATTGGAATGGTAACTCTTGAGCAAGAATACTGTGTTTTTTCACTGCTATGTCCCCGTTAGATTAAGATGTGGGACATAGGTACCTTACCTCATAAGGTAAGAAAATGTCACTCTAATATTAAAATAAATTAGATGTTACATAGAAAAACTGTAGAAATATTTACTAATAGAAACAATGCTCATTAAAATCTATGTAAATGTGTAATTGATAGAAATTGCACTGTCTTTAAAGTTGTATCAAGAAGTTTAATATACCTATCATGTCTCATTGGGAAACTACCAATTTAAATGAATACATGAAAAATATAGTATGGAAATTTTTATCATTCTAAGTCGTTCAAAATGGAAGGTTGTATAATAGCTTTTGTGGAGTTGGTTAAAAGCGAAGTTGGTTGGGACGCTCAGCATTTGACATATTACTTGGCATACAAGTGGAGCAAAACAACTATTTTCATTCCAAATAATTTGATGACAATATTTTTACCAAAA
This sequence comes from Homo sapiens, assembly GCF_000001405.40. Classification (NCBI taxonomy): domain Eukaryota; kingdom Metazoa; phylum Chordata; class Mammalia; order Primates; family Hominidae; genus Homo; species Homo sapiens. Next base: position 75,695,000 of record NC_000001.11, read on the forward strand.
AGAATTGTTAACCAGTTTCTAGAAGAACTTCTGATTAATCAGACAGAACTATTACAAGGGTAAAAAAGGCAATTGATTAGACTACTAACTTTTTGGGATCAGCTCTTTTTTACACTTAATTTATGTCACCAAATTTAATTTCATGAGTGGATATAACCACCATCTCTGTGCAGATGATCATTAGAAATTACAGTAGCAGACATTCTGCCCACTGAAATTTATGATTGGCATTGGAATTTACAAACTAGTTCCTGTTGACTTTGGCTAACAGAGATCAGTGCCCTAAAATCAGATGCTTCTAGGTAAATTTACAAAATCAGGTTTCTAAATCTGTAAAACTAAATATATCAGATAACGCCAAGTAGACTTTTATTTGTGAATGGTGTCTCCTGGAGCTGTTTAATGTGACATCCCAACTAGAAGATAAACTAACTCCTGGAGGTCCAATTATTACATAACAGTTACTTTACAAAATGACCACGTTTGACTTCTGATAGCCTAGGAATTTAGCATCTGTTAATGAGCTAGAACTGAAAGGCAGTTATCAACACTTTAAGGAGCATACATCCCCAATTCCTAGGACAATACTTAAGGAGGAAAACAAAAGACTTAGTAGTTTACTAAATTTGTAGGGAAACAAATAAGGTATGTTGTCAGCAAATAAGATTATGAATACTATTTAATATATAGTATTTATATATGTATATAAAAATATATGACTTATATATGTATATAAAATATATATTGTTTACATATAATTTATATATAAATAAAATAGTATTCATGATACTATGTATACTGTATGAATTAAATATATATTATTTATATATAAATTAAATAGTATTCATAACATATATATAAACCTGATACTGAAAGGAATTTCAAAGTTAATTTCCTGACATTAGAGAATGGGGAACACTACTGAGTGAAGCTGGGAAAGTCTTACACTAATAGGAAACTAGCCTTTTTTTTTTAATGGCAGCACAGCTGAAGGACACACTTAAATGTTACTCATATTCCACATTGGTATTTGCATCAGTCAGGATATGTTAGATTATACTGCAGTAACCAAGAACTCCAAATGTTGGTGGCTTTAGATAATACAAGTTTATTTCTTACTCAGGATAGAGTCAGATGAGGGTCCTGATTTACATATTCTCACTCCGGGACTTAGGCTAATAGCCACAAGGTGGAACACTGCTTATTGTTGTGGCATACGGGATATGGTGCACTTGTCTTAAAGGCCTCTGTCCAAAGGTGACATGTGTCACTTCTTACATTTCATTGGCCAAAGCAATTTACAAGTCACACGACCACACTCCTAAGGAGTAAGAAAGTACAATTTTATCATATGTTCAAAGGAAGAGAACTAGAATATTTGTTAAAAGACTTTATGACTATCATGATAGGAAAAAGGAGATTCATAAAGGATAGGAATAGGAAGCATTACATTAAGACATAAATTGGAAGAGAAGTTGCTAGTGATTCAGTAACTAAAATTGAGAAAAGGTAAATAAATATTGAGGATTGGAGTCATCAAATCAAGTACCAACAATACAGTCAGCCAAGAGGTGGGAAATATGTCGACTCTCTTAGACTCAGAAGGTGAACATCGGCCAGGTGCGGTGGCTCACGCCTGTAATCCCAGCACTTTGGGAGGCCGAGGCGGGGAGACCACGAGGTCAGGAGATCGAGACCATCCTGGCTAACATGGTGAAACCCCGTCTCTACTAAAAATTGAAAGAAAAAAAAAATTAGCCAGGCGTGGTTGTGGATGCCTATAGTCCCAGCTACTCGGGAGGCTGAGGCAGCAGAATGGCTCAAACCTGGGAGATGGAGCTAGCAGTGAGCCGAGATCCAGACTGGGCAACAGAGCGAGACTCTGTCTCAGAAAAAAAAAAAAGGTGAACATGAGAGTCACGGAGTTTTGTGTTTTATGCGATCAGGAGTGGGCCAGAGTTCTGAAAATGAGAGACGAAAAGGAAGTTAGGACTTTTTAGAGTGATGTAAATATTCTCTATTTTGACTGTGATGGTGTATGCATTTGTCAAAGCTCATCAAAATATGAGCCTTATTGAATATAAATTATATCTCAATAAAGTTGATTATTTAAAAAGTAGTTAAGGGAGCCAGACATGGTGGCTCACACCTATAGTCTCAGTACTTTGGGAGGCTGAGTAAGAGGACTGCTTGAGGTCAGGAGTTCAAGGCCAGCCTAGTCAATATAGCAACACTCTGTCTTCACAAAAATTGTTTTTTAAAGTAGTTAAGAGACTTAACATTTGTTGAAAATCTATTTTTGTGACAAAGGCCATGCTAGACATTTAAATATATTTCAATTAAAGCCCACAAGAATCTGACAAGTTCATAGGATGTAAGGCTCAGAAGAGTTCAGTAATTTGTTTAAGAACATATAATCAGAAGGTATAAGAATCAAGATATCAATCCAAGTATTATTGACTTCTAAGCTTGTGCACAAAGTTAATGCAAGAAAATAGAAAAGTAGGCCAGGTGCAGTGGCTCAAACCTGTAATCCTAGCACTTTGGGAAGCCGGGGCTGGTGGATCACTTGAACTTAGGAGTTCGAGACCAGCCTGAGCAACACGGCGAAACTGTCTCTACAAAAAATACAAAAATTAGGGGGAGAAGCCAAGATGGCCGAATAGGGACAGCTCCAGTCTACAGCTCCCAGCGTGAGTGACGCAGAAGACGGGCGATTTCTGCATTTCCATCTGAGGTACCGGGTTCATCTCACTAGGGAGTGCCAGAGAGTGGGCGCAGGTCAGTGGGTGCATGCACCGTGCGTGAGCTGAAGCAGGGCGAGGCATTGCCTCACTCAGGAAGCGCAAGGGGTCACGGAGTTCCCTTTCCTAGTCAAAGAAAGGAGTGACAGATGGCACCTGGAAAATCGGGTCACTCCCAACCGAATACTGTGCTTTTCCAACGGGCTTAAAAAACCATGCACCAGGAGATTATATCCTGCACATGGCTTGGAGGGTCCTATGCCCACGGAGTCTCACTGATTGCTAGCACAGCAGTCTGAGATCAAACTGCAAGGTGGCAGTGAGGCTGGGAGAGGGGTGTCCGCCATTGCCCAGGCTTGCTTAGGTAAACAAAGCAGCTTGGAAGCTCAAATTGGGTGGAGCCCACCACAGCTCAAGGAGGCCTGCCTGCCTCTGTAGGTTCCACCTCTGGGGGCAGGGCACAGACAAACAAAAACACAGCAGTAACCTCTGCAGACTTAAATGTCCCTGTCTGACAGCTTTGAAGAGAGCAGTGGTTCTCCCAGTACGCAGCTGGAGATCTGAGAATGGACAGACTGCCTCCTCAAGTGGGTCCCTGACCCCTGATCCCCGAGCAGCCTAACTGGGAGGCAATCCCCAGCAGGGGCAGACTGACACCTCACACGGCCAGGTACTCCAACAGACCTGCAACTGAGGGTCCTGTCTGTTAGAAGGAAAACTAACAAACAGAAAGGGTATCCACACCAAAAACCCATCTGTACATCACCATCATCAAAGACCAAAACTAGATAAAACCACAAAGATGCGGAAAAAACAGAGCAGAAAAACTGGAAACTCTAAAAAGCAGAGCGTCTCTCCTCCTCCAAAGGAACGCAGTTCCTCACCAGCAATGGAACAAAGCTGGATGGAGAATGACTTGGACGAGCTGAGAGAAGAAGGCTTCAGACGATCAAATTACTCCGAGCTACAGGAGGACACTCAAACCAAAGGCAAAGAAGTTGAAAACTTTGAAAAAAATTTAGAAGAATGTATAACTAGAATAATCAATATAGAGAAGTGCTTAAAGGAGCTGATGGAGCTGAAAACCAAGACTCGAGAACTACGTGAAGAATGCAGAAGCCTCAGGAGCCAATGCTATCAACTGGAAGACAGGGTATCAGCGATGGAAGATGAAATGAATGAAATGAAGCGAGAAGGGAAGTTTAGAGAAAAAAGAATAAAAAGAAAGGAACAAAGCCTCCAAGAAATATGGGACTATGTGAAAAGACCAAATCTACATCTGATTGGTGTACCTGAAAGTGACGGGGAGAATGGAACCAAGTTGGAAAACACTCTGAAGGATATTATCCAGGAGAACTTCCCCAATCTAGCAAGGCAGGCCAACGTTCAGATTCAGGAAATACAGAGAACACCACAAAGATACTCCTCGAGAAGAGCAACTCCACGACACATAATTGTCAGATTCACCAAAGTTGAAATGAAGGAAAAAATGTTAAGGGCAGCCAGAGAGAAAGGTCGGGTTACCCTCAAAGGGAAGCCCATCAGACTAACAGCGGATCTCTCGGCAGAAACTCTACAAGCCAGAAGAATTGGGGGCCAATATTCAACATTCGTAAAGAAAAGAATTTTCAACCCAGAATTTCATATCCAGCCAAACTAAGCTTCATAAGTGAAGGAGAAATAAAGTACTTTACAGACAAGCAAATGCTGAGAGATTTCGTCACCACCCGGCCTGCCCTAAAAAAGGTGCTGAAGGAAGCGCTAAACATGGAAAGGAACAACTGGTACCAGCCGCTGCAAAATCATGCCAAAATGTAAACACCATCGAGACTAGGAAGAAACTGCACCAATTAACGAAAAAAAAAAAAAACACAGCTAACATCATAATGACAGGACCAAATTCACACATAACAATATTAACCTTAAATGTAAATGAGCTAAATGCTCCAATTAAAAGACACAGACTGGCAAATTGGATAGAGTCAAGACCCATCAGTGTGCTATATTCAGGAAATCCATCTCACGTGCAGAGACACACATAGGCTCAAAATAAAGAGATGGAGGAAGATCTACCAAGCAAATGGAAAACAAAAAAAGGCAGGGGTTGCAATCCTAGTCTCTGATAAAACAGACTTTTAACCAACAAAGATCAAAAGAGACAAAGAAGGCCATTACATAATGGTAAAGGGATCAATTCAACAAGAAGAGCTAACTATCCTAAATATATATGCACCCAATACAGGAGCACCCAGATTCATAAAGCAAGTCCTGAGTGACCTACAAAGAGACTTAGACTCCCACACATTAATAATGGGAGACTTTAACACCCCGCTGTCAACATTAGACAGATCAATGAGACAGAAAGTTAACAAGGATATCCAGGAATTGAACTCAGCTCTGCACCAAGCAGACCTAATAGACATCTACAGAAATCTCCACCCCGAATCAACAGAATATACATTCTTTTCAGCACCACACCACACCTATTCCAAAATTGACCACATACTTGGAAGTAAAGCACCCCTCAGCAAATATAGAAGATCAGAAATTAAAATAAACTGTCTCTCAGACCACAGTGCAATCAAACTAGAACTCAGGATTAAGAAACTCACTCAAAACCGCTCAACTACATGGAAACTGAACAACCTGCTCCTGAATGACTACTGGGTACATAACGAAATGAAGGCAGAAATAAAGATGTTCTTTGAAACCAATGAGAACAAAGACACAACATACCAGAATCTCTGGGACACATTGAAAGCAGTGTGTAGAGGGAAATTTATAGCACTAAATGCCCACAAGAGAAAGCAGGAAAGATCTAAAATTGACACTCTAACATCACAATTAAAAGAACTAGAGAAGCAAGAGCAAACACATTCAAAAGCTAGCAGAAGGCAAGAAATATCTAAGATCAGAGGAGAACTGAAGGAAATAGAGACACAAAAAACCCTTCAAAAAATCAATGAATCCAGAGGCTGGTTTTTTGAAAAGATCAACAAAATTGATAGACTGCTAGCAAGACTAATAAAGAAGAAAAGAGAGAAGAATCAAATACATGCAATAAAAAATGATAAAGGGGACATGTCCACCAATCACACAGAAATACAAACTACCATCAGAGAATACTATAAACACCTCTATGCAAATAAACTGGAAAATCTAAAAGAAATAGATAAATTCCTGGAGACATACAGCCTCCCAAGACTAAACCAGGAAGAAGTTGAATCTCTGAATAGACCAATAACAGGCTCTGAAATAGAGGCAATAATTAATAGCTTACCAAACAAAAGAAGTCCAGGACCAGATGGATTCACAGCCAAATTCTACCAGAGGTACAAGGAGGAACTGGTACCATTCCTTCTGAAACTATTCCAATCAACAGAAAAAGAGGGAATCCTCCCTAACTCATTTTATGAGCCCAGCATCATCCTGATACCAAAGCCTGGCAGAGACACACAAAAAAAGAGAATTTTAGAGCAATATCCCTGATGAACATCGATGCAAAAATCCTCAATAAAATACTGGCAAACCAAATCCAGCAGCACATCAAAAACCTTGTCCACCATGATCGAATGGGCTTCATCCCTGGGATGTGAGGCTGGTTCAACATACGCAAATCAATAAACATAATCCAGCATATAAACAGAACCAACAACAAAAACCATATGATTATCTCAATAGATGCAGAAAAGGCCTTTGACAAAATTCAACAACACTTCATGCTAAAAACTCTCAATAAATGAGGTATTGATGGGATGTATCTCAAAATAATAAGAGCTATCTATGACAAACCCACAGCCAATATCATACTGAATGGGCAAAAACTGGAAGCATTCCCTTTGAAAACTGGCACAAGACAGGGATGTCCTCTCTCACCACTCCTGTTCAACATAGTGTTGGAAGTTCTGGCCAGGGCAATCAGGCAGGAGAAATAAATAAAGGGCATTCAATTAGGAAAAGAGGAAGTCAAATTGTTCCTGTTTGCCGATGACATGATTGTATATCTAGAAAACCCCATCATCTCAGCCCAAAATCTCCTTAAGCTAATAAGCAACTTCAGCAAAGTCTCAGGATACAAAATCAATGTGCAAAAATCACAAGCATTCTTATATACCAACAACAGACAAACAGAGAGCCAAATCATGAGTGAACTCCCATTCACAATTGCTTCAAAGAGAATGAAATACCTAGGAATCCAACCTACAAGGGACATGAAGGACCTCTTCAAGGAGAACTACAAACCACTGCTCAATGAAATAAAAGAGGATACAAACAAATGGAAGAACATTCCATGCTCATGGGTAGGAAGAATCAATATTGTGAAAATGGCCATACTGCCCAAGGTAATTTATAGATTCAATGCCATCCCCAACAAGCTACCAATGACTTTCTTCACAGAATTGGAAAAAAACTACTTTAAAGTTCATATGGAACCAAAAAAGAGCCCGCATTGCCAAGTCAATCCTCAGCCAAAAGAACAAAGCTGGAGGCATCATGCTACCTGACTTCAAACTATACTACAAGGCTACAATAACGAAAACAGCATGGTACTGGTATCAAAACAGAGATATAGATCAATGGAACAGAACAGAGCCCTCAGAAATAATGCCACATATCTACAACCATCTGATCTTTGACAAACCTGATAAAAACAAGAAATGGGGAAAGGATTCCCTATTTAATAAATGGTGCTGGGAAAACTGGCTAGCCATATGTAGAAAGCTGAAACTGGATCCCTTCCTTACACCTTATACAAAAATTAATTCAAGATGGATTAAAGACTTAAATGTTAGACCTAAAACCATAAAAACCCTAGAAGAAAACCCAGGCAATACCATTCAGGACATAGGCATGGGCGAGGACTTCATGTCTAAAACACCAGAAGCAATGGCAACAAAAGCCAAAATTGACAAATGGGATCTAATTAAACTAAAGAGCTTCTGCACAGCAAAAGAAACTACCATCAGACTGAACAGGCCACCTACAGAATGGGAGAAAATTTTTGCAATCTACTCATCTGACAAAGGGCTAATATCCAGAATCTACAATGAACTCCAACAAATTTACGAGAAAAAAACAAACAACCCCATCAAAAAGTGGGCAAAGGATATGAACAGACACCTCTCAAAAGAAGACATTTATGCAGCCAAAAGACACATGAAAAAATGCGCATCATCACTGGCCATCAGAGAAATACAAATCAAAACCACAATGAGATACCACCTCACACCAGTTAGAATGGCAATCATTAAAAAGTCAGGAAACAACAGGTGCTGGAGAGGATGTGGAGAAATAGGAACACTTTTACACTGTTGGTGGGACTGTAAACTAGTTCAACCATTGTGGAAGTCAGTGTGGCGATTCCTCAGGGATCTAGAACTAGAAATACCATTTGACCCAGCCATCCCATTACTGGGTATATACCCAAAGGATTATAAATCATGCTGCTATGAAGACACATGCACACATATGTTTATTGTGGCACTATTCACAATAGCAAAGACTTGGAACCAACCCAAATGTCCAACGATGATAGACTGGATTAAGAAAATGTGGCACATATACACCATGGAATACTATGCAGACATAAAAAAGGATGAGTTCATGTCCTTTGTACGGACACGGATGAAGCTGGAAACCATCATTCTCAGCAAAATATCACAAGGAGAAAAAAACCAAACACCGCATGTTCTCACTCATAGGTGGGAATTGAACAATAAGAACACATGGACACAGGAAGGGGAACATCGCACAGCGGGGCCTGTTGTGGGGTGGGGCGAGGGGGGAGGGATAGCTTTAGGAGATATACCTAATGTTAAGTGATGAGTTAATGTGTGCAGCACACCAACATGTCACATGTATACATATGCAACTAACCTGCACATTGTGCTCATGTACCCTAAAACTTAAAGTATAATAAAAAAAAAAAAAGAATCTGAAAATGCACTCCTCAGAGAGTGTGTCAGAAGGCATACAGCACGTTCTCTGTTCAGATGTCCTCTGGAGGTCAGGTGCCACGCCTGTTCAGTACCAGACCTTGTCTACTCAAAGGAAGCTTTTTGCATCTGCAGGGAAGCCCATACAAAGCTATAGTGTAGTATTGTCTTTACATGAATCAACAAATTAGCAAAATAAAGGAATCAAAGAAAAAAAAAACCTCCAGGCCAAGCATGGTGGCTCATGCCTGTAGTCCCCACATTTTGGGACGCTGAGGCAGAAAGATTGCTTGAGCCCAGGAGTTCAAGGCCAGCCTGGGCAACATGGTGGGACCCTGTCTCTAATTAGTTAATTAATTAATAATTAAAAATAAACTTGGAAAACAAAACCAGGGAGAAACTAATGAATCAATGTGTTACACCTGCATATACTGAACAAAAGTATAAACCAAGTATATCTCAAAATAAAACCCAGCCCTAAAAGCTCTTTCTGGAAAGTAACAAATTCTATACAACCATAGGATTATTAGGTATAAGGTATAAAAATCAGGATATTAATATAGTCAATTGTTATGCCCATAGGCTTCTGAGAATTCATTTAAACATACATTATCAGTGATTACTCAATATAAGCTCTCTTTAACAACAGGAAAATAAAGCTCGGCAGAACATGATGGCTCATACCTGTAATCCTAGCACTTTGGGAGGCTGACGGGGGAGGACTGCTTGAGCCCAGGAGTTCAAGTACAGCCTATGCAAAATACCGATACCTCAGCTCAAACAGACAAAGATTCTTATGTTCTGGTTAGTTTGGGTTTCTTTATTCAAAGCAATAAAATTTGTAATTTTCTCCCTAAAAAATCTGCACCTATTTCATTACATTTCCTCTTAGTTATGGTTTCAATGCTGTTGTGAATAATATTTTCTTTTCCATTATGTTTTGCAGTGGTTATTACTGGTTTGTATAAAAAGTATTGATTTTATATGTTGATCTTGAAGCATAGTGTACTACCTTGCATGTGGTAAGAGACCAATAACTGTTTAATATTATTTCTATGTAGACAATGATATCATCTACAAATAATGACAGTGTTATCTTTCTTTTTTCTAATTCCCAAATTTCTTATTTCTATTTCTTCTTACATTACATAGTCGGGGATCTCCAGCACTAAACAACAGAATTAACAGCATCTTGTTTCTAACTTAAATGGAAATGCATTGTTTGATAGTTACTACAGGTTTTGGTTCTCTCTAACAGGTAACTTAGCTAGTTTTCCTAGTTTGCTGAGATTCTTGTATCATGTATCATGAATAAACATGATAATCATCTGGTTTATTCATGTTTATCTACATCAGCTGAGATAATCATATGTCCCCCCATTAATCAGATAATATACCTACTATGTGCCCACAAAAGTAAGTAAATAAAAATCAGATATATAGCATAACATTAATGAATTTTTGGATGTTGGATCATTTTTGCACTACAGAGATAAATCCTACTTAGTCATGATATGTTCACATTGCTAACTTTAGTTTGCTTGTCCAATCATAAGAGTGATCAACACACAACACCTTTTTCTTATACTCCCCTTTCTAGTTTTAGTATCAAGTTTATACTATCTTAATAAAAATGAGTTGCATTGCTGTCTTTTTCTATTGTCTGAATTAGTTTATATATGATAAGACTCACCTATTTCTTGAAAGAACGAATCTATAAAACCATCCAGAGCTTGAGGCAGTGTGGTTGGAGGGTGGTTGATAGTTTATTCAGGTTTACACTTTCCTCTTGATACAATTTTCATGATTTACATATTTCTAGAAAGTATCTGCTTTATTACTATACTCACAAAACTTTTCGTGCATTCTCTGATTTTTTTAAATATTCACTAAATCTATAGTTATCCCTTTTTATTATAATACTGTTTATACATTTTCTCATCTTTTCCTCAGTCTCGCTAGAGGTATATCTATTTTATTAAATAACCAGCTGTGTTTTTGTTTGTTTGTTTGTTTGAGACAGAGTCTTGCTCTGTTGCCCAGACTGGAATGCAGTGGTGCAATCTCGGCTCACAGCAACCTCCACCCTGCACCGGGTTCAAGTGATTCTCTAGCCTCAGCCTCCCAGGTAGCTTGGATTACAGGTGCACCACCACGCCGGACTAATTTTTGTATTTTTAGTAGAGATGGGTTTTGCCATGATGGCCAGGCTGGTCTCAAACTTCTGGCCTCAAGTAATCCTCCTGCCTTGGCCTCCCAAATTGCTAGGATTACAGGTGTGAGCCACCATGCCCAGCCTCATCAGCTTTTGACTTTGTTAATTCCATTACTTATTTTCTGCTACATTAATAGCGGGATCTTTTGTTCCTTCCTTGTACTTTATTCAGGTTTACTCTGGTTGGTTCATTGCTTTTTAAAAATCTTTCTGAGCTAAGTATTTCACTGTTTTTTGATTTTTGAAAAAGATGTGTTCAAGGTAATAAATTTCCCCTAAGTCCACTAATTCTAATATGTGGTTTTTTATTAAAGAGTTCAAAATATTTTGTTTTGATTTCTTCTTTAACTTACAAATCACTGGAGTTCATTTCTAAGTTTCCAAATGCATGGAAACTTGTTATTAGAGAACACAGTATGTTATATAATATTAGTTCAAAAAAATTTGATGAGGTTCTTCTTTTGACCTCAAATATAATTTTTGCAAATATTCCATGTATACTTCAATTTAAAAATTATTTTCTCTATTTACTCTGCACAGATGTATATTTTATCACCCTTACTAATTTTGTTGTTAATCTATATTATTAATGTTTTCTTACTGAGGTACTGATTTCTGAGAGTATTACATTAAAATTACCTAGTGTGATTGTAAATTTGTCATTTTTTCAATATATCTGTTATTTTTGCTCTTTATGGGCCCTGCTTCTGTTATTAAACACAAATATTTTCCATCTCTTTATTTTCAATGTTTCTGTATTGTTTTGCCTTGTGATTCTTGCAAGCAACATAGCTGATCATTTTTTAGAAGGCAATTTTGTGATGAGTGATGTTTATCTGATTTCTGTCATATTATCCCATGTGTCCTGTTTACCAATTCATTTTTCTTTTTTTCATTTTGGATTGATACATTTTCCTGTTTCTTTTGCTTCCAAACTGCTACTGTAGTGTCCACAGCAGCTAACATATGTGAAATATTTCTCATGATTGGTAATTTTATAAGCCTCTCACTCTCCCTCAATTGCAGCTTTACTGAAGGATGACTGATTGTATCTCTAAAATACCTTCTAAGACCCATTAAAGAAACTTCATGCTTGCTACCTAGTTTGTATGTTGAGGAAGACCATTCCAGATATACTTACAAATTTTGGTGAGAATCTGTTTAGTCTTTTTCACATGATATGGTAACAGAAAATTGACCATATTTTAATATGTATATGTAAAGAATAATATGTATATAATAATGGAACTATTTAAAATCTAGTTAACAACAAATTAATAAATGCCAGGTCTGTCCCATAGACCCTGGCTGACAGATGAAATGAGTACTCAGACACAGGTATGCAGTTTAAGAGCAGCTAGGTGACTGCCTGGCTCTAGTGGCCAAAGAGCAGTCTCAAGAAGCTGGAGCTGCTTGTTTTTATTCAGTGCAGGCACAATGCCAAAAACCTGGAGTCAACACAACCTGTAGGTAATTCACATTTTTTTCCCTCCTTTCTGAGAACTTCATGTGCAGATGATCAAACGTCAGTTCCTGGTCAACATAAGTAAACAAGCCTGTTTAAGATTAATTACCCCACACTCCCTTGTACCTACTCCTTGACCTCTGACTCAGGGTTATAGAACAGCTGCCTTCAGCTATTCTCCCCCAGGGCTCTGCAGAACCTTCTGACCTTTGAGAAGGTTTGCGTCCTTTCCCTATAGTTTTTCCCACTACTCTGACGGATCCCCCACAAATAAAAGGTATTCTGCTTTACTTGATAATCTTATTTTTTATAATTTCTATGAAAACCCTATCCTCTTGTCATTGTTTTGAAACCTCAAAAGTATTCCTTGTAAAGGGTTTCCAAATATATGACCTGGAGAACAAAACAGAAAAATCAAAAGAAAGACAGTACTCCAGGGGAAAAATATCAAATTTGGATAAATTGATTAATACAGTAAAAGTCCAACATGACTATTAATCAAAACATGCAAATTAAAATGTTACAAATTTTCATCTATTAACTTGTCAAAGATGAAAAAATAAGGAAAGTTGGGAAGAAATTGCTATTGATTAAATTAGGTAACTTGTATGGTATTTGACATGTAGTTGGCACATAGTAATTATTTAATAAATACTACTAAATGTATTATTGCTCTTAATATTATAATTTTATTTGACAAGGCTAGTGGGAATGTTAACTGGTAAAATATTTCTAGAGATTATATCAAAATCCTTAAAAATGTTTATTCTCAGCTGGGTGCGGTGGCTCACACCTGTAATCCCAGCACTTTGGGAGGCCAAGGTGGGCAGATACCTGAGGTCAGGAGTTTGAGACCAGCCTGGCAACATGGGGAAACCCCATCTCTACTGAAAATACAAAAAAAAAAAAGCTGGGCATGTGGCATGCGCCTGTTATCCCAGCTAATCAGGAGGCTGAGACAGGAGAATCGCTTGAACCCATGAGGTGGAGGTTTCAGTGAGCCAAGATGGCGCCACTGCACTCCAGCCTGTGTGACAGAGCAAGACTCCGTCTCAAAAAAAAAAAAAAAAAAAAAAAAAAAGTTTATTCTCTTTGACCCAGGAAGTATGTGAATTTCAGGATTATGTGCCAAAGAAATAACTGGATAAGTACACAGTGATACAAGTTCAATGACGGTTATTTCACCACTGCTTAAAAAAGTAAAAATATTAGTCTATACATTCAACAATATGAAATTGGAAAACTAAATTCTGATATTTAGTATATAGTTTGTGAAAACATTAAAAACGATGGCAATTATGTCTTTATGGGGGAAATGTTCATGATTACTATATTTTCAAAAGGCAAATATAAAATTATACATATAATAAAACTCAACCTTTCCTCCAGAAAAACCTCAACTTTGTAAAAATAAGATTATAAATATATGTCTGTATTCTATGCACTAAATTATACAAGCTATATATCAAATATTAACATAATTTATTTTTGTATTTATCTTAATTTGTGGGGTTTTAAAATAATTAGCCGGTACTTATAATCTTATGAATCAATCTTATTTTAAAAATAAGTCAGTTTAAACCCACTGTGGCAATTTTGCTATCTTTCCTGTCCCACTCTCCTCCTTGTTCTTGTTCTTAGCTATTTTGGCTATGTTAAACTTGCCTTTGTTAATCCCGGATACTGATGAGTTGTTGCTGTGCTATGATTTTGACCTCCCAATAACTCAACCACTTATGATCTTAATCTCAGAGTTGTAACTTGATTCTCCTGGTTGAAACTTTCCTGGTTCCAGTCCATGACTCTTTAACCTATAACCAAATATACACGGCTCCCTTTAGCCTATAACCAAATGTATGCAAGTCCCTCAGTATAAACTGATACTTCCAGTTCAACATCAGATTAAGAGTACATGCTGAGATTTCAAATACTTAGAAATCTATTTTAATTTTTTGAAAAGCATATAAGTAGAAAAACACAATAACTAGACCTATAGGAAGGCGGTATTATTACATACTGATACTCATTGTTATGAAAAACTGTTAAATCATTATTATGAAATCTTATTACAGACCGATCCTGGTTCAAAATACTCACATCGCCAAGAATTTTTAACTATCTGAAGCTCAAGTCTTTGAAGTATGATAGTGGGGAGAATGAGTAATGGCTTATTCAGGTTTTTTCTTTCTTGATGTAATTATGGTAATTTCTACAGTTACGGAAAAGCATGTTTTGTTTGTTTCCAAATTTATTAACAAAACTTTTCATAGCACTCTTGTGGTTTTTAAAAATCTCTCCTAAATCTGTAGCTATTCCTTCTATAAATTCTAAAACTGTTTAAACATTGTATCTTTTATCAGTCTTGCTAGAGGCACGCCTATTTTTAGTTTTTTTTCTCAAAAATCAGTTTTTAATTTTGTTGATTCCACTGTTTGTTTTCTACTACACTAATTCCTGTTCTTGTACACAAATGCTTATAGCAGCTTTATTTGTAATACTCATAAACTAGAAACAACCTAAATATCCATCAATGAATTCTGGTATATCCAACAAAATGCTACTCGCAGAAAAGGAACAATTAGTGATACTCAAACATGAATGAATCTTAAAATTATGGTAAATAAGTAAGCCAAAAAAGGTACATACTGTATGATTCCATTTATATAAAATTCTAGAAAATGCAAATTCATCTACAGTGACAGAAGCAGATCAGTGGATGCCTGGGAACAGGAATGAAGGAAGGATAAAAAAGGGGCATGAGGAAATTCTGGGGTGATGGAAATACTTGTCATCTTGATTGTGGTGATGGTTTCACAGGTGTATACATATATCAAAACTCATTCAAGTTGTTCAAGTTGTACAATTTAAATATGTAGAGTTAATTGTACATCAGTTATACCTTAAGAGAGCTGTTGGCCAGGTACGGTAGCTCATGCCTGTAATCCCAGCACTTTGGGAGTCTGAGGCAGGAAGACTGCTTGAACCCAGGAGTTTGAGATGAGCCTGGGCAACATGGTGAGACCCCATCTCTACAAAAACTTTAAAAATTAAAAAATTAGCCAGAAGTGGTAGCATATGCCCATAGTCCCAGCTACTTGGGAGGCTGAGGTGAGAGAATCACTTGAGCCCAGGAGGTCAAGGTTGCAGTGAGCTGTGATCCCACCTCTGCACTCCAGCCTGGGTAACAGAGAGAGACCCTACCTAAAAAAAAAAAAAAAAAAAAAAAAAGGAAAAAATAAGCAGTTAAATAAAATCTAAAAAGCATAGAGATAGATGAGTACACAAAGCACAGAATCTTTGTAACTAGGCACAATTTAGCTTGATTAGCATAGCTCCCTATAAAAAGGGAAATGGTTCCTTGGTTCTTATGGTTGCAACAAAGATCTGCTCAGGCTATTTTAAGAGGTTTTACTGTGAAGATACAGCTAGACTCTTATGCTACTCCAAGAACAAAGTGCCAAAGTATAATACGGTCTAGTGACAGCTGAAACCAGAAGGCAGGTCTTAGAAACAACTAATATAATCATCTCTATTTGAAGATGTGAAGTTTTTATTTTCCTGTCTCTCCTGGTAATTTTATTTTTCTTTACTCATTTTCTCTCTACCCATTGGCTTCCCCTGTTCCTAGTTTCTGTTTCTCTATAACTTTAGCTTGCACATGACAATCATGAGCTATTGGTGAACTTTCAGTTGCCCACAACCAACATCTCTGCTTCTATGACTTAAATTCCCAAGACAGCCAATCTGATTGACTAAATTCATCATTTTGTGCCAGGCTATTGGTAAAATCCTGACTGGCTCATGAATTGACTTCTGTTAGGTCAGACTGCATAGGCCTTGACCCAAACAGCCATAGGCCAGGGGCAGCAAGGTCACTGATAGTTCAGAACACAGCTGCTTGGGGAGCACAAGAGCTACACAGGGCAAATTCCCATAGAAGCAGATATAAAGACAACAGCCAGTTCTTGACATCTCTAGTAGACTCACTTTATGCTGAAATTATGTCATCAACCAAGTGACCTACACATAGCTTGTGGGCCTCTTGTTGGTCGTATCAACTGAAGAAAAAAATAAATCAAACTTTTAAAAAATAGTTTTATTCAGAAATCTTACTGAGGACTGTAGACCATAGACTACAGCATGGGAGCTGTTCTGTCAGACTGCTTCAGCACAATATTTCAGCTCATGGCTAATAAATAGGTAGCAGGAGTTTAGTATGTGAAAAATCATACCAAAGTTTGGGTACAGTAGTACATCTGATTTATCCCATCAGATGCTATCTTATGTGCAGGAAAAGTCAAGGACAAGGGTCATTTTTCTTTCAAGGAATATAGTGACTCAGGCAAGAGATGTGGGGGTACGGTGATGTGTTCTATCTTGTTTGTCCTCAAAGCATCCCTCTGTCTCAGAATCAGAGACTTTGTGAAATCATGCTGGCAAGCAGAAATGAGCAAGTATGACTTCTTATCTTTGCTACTTTGTCTCTCAGGCATCTCCTTATATGACCATCTTATTCTGACTCTGGCCAACACAAGAGTTCCATTAATATTGCTGTTTGGTCTCAGATATTTCCAGTTTCTTTTCAAATCCCTCCAGGTATAGTCCTCTCACTCTAGTTCTGGATTATGCTCTATTCTTTGGCTCTCAAAGGATTTTGGCATTTGAAGGTGGCATTTACTAAGCACAGTGTGTCTGATCTGACCATATAAGCATTCTCTTTGTCTTTCTATTGGTTTCCAAGACCTAGGAAATCCTACTCTTGCCCCTAACTTGTTTCTCTCTGTTTTCTGGCTGGAAGAATGTACACTACATGGTAAAGACTGGTTTTACCCTTTGGTAAATCTCAGCTCCTTCACCTATTATGGTCCAAATTAGAATCTGAGTTTACTATCTGATCTTATTTGGGAAAACTGATAATTTCATATTTCTGAGTCTGCAAAGTTAAAAAGGTCTATCTGTGGTTCCAAGGTGACATACCTCCTAAGGGCCACCTAAAAATGAATATACAGATTAATCTTTCAAATGTAAAAGAAAGAAGTCATTAAGAGAGAAAACCTCAGTAAGTATTAGTTCCTGGGATCTAAGCCAAGTAGCTACATCTAGTGCCTGAAGTAGGATCAACAATTTTTAAGCATGACTTTTGCTCTATAAACAGAAGTGTCAATGAATGTAAAACTGGCTTTTCATTGGCAAGGCTGACAAAGCCTTAAGTAACACCAGAGGCTTGGCAGTGGTATAATCATAAATTACTTTTGTATGATATAACTTTTTATAAAAACATAATGTAATGTGCCCAGTTCTATTACTATTGCTACAGAAGACAAAACAAGCATTTGAGAAAAAAAAAAAAAAAAATGGAAAAGAAAAAAAAAATCAGGTACCAAAAAATGCTGTCGTTTAAAAAAAATTAGTTTTATAATTACAATTCAATCATCTTTTTTTCTATTTATCTGAGGGAAAAAAATATGAATGCTACCAAGAGTTTTGCACTTGGCTCAAACTCACCTTCTCTCAAACTACTGTCATAATTCTTAATAATTTCAATATTCACAAAGATGATCCCTCCAGCAACATGGCCTCTCAGTTCTCTGGCTTCCCTTCCTACAGTAATCCTGCTATGTACTTCAAAAGCTCACTCCACGATGACAACCTAGACCTTGACTTTACTATAACTGCTCCTGTTCCGCCTAACCACTACCCTCTATCATTTCAGCTCATTCTCTCCAATCTTCCAGTTCCATTAACTTTTCAAACTCACTAGGCATGCCAATGTATTGAACCTATTACCTCTGTATTTTTATTCACCCCTCACATCCTTACTTCTCAAGTGTAAAGAAATAGGAGACAGTGTATATTGATATAATAATTTTATACTCTTTCCTCAAACTTCCAACATTTCCTCATTCTCTGCTAATGACCTTATTTCCTATTTCATTGAGAAATAGGAACAATCAGAAGAAAGTCTCCAACTATTTCCTCCATAATGTCTACCAATCTATGGGCATCTAAACTCATATACTCTTACTTTCCTTTCTGCATGAAGGTCTTCTCCTCAGGAATATATGACTACATATAAGATTTTGTATTTAACTCCAAAGGATTCTCAGATCCATTTTAAGTTTATTCTGGAACTGCAGGTTAAGAACCACTAACCTGGAGAACTAAAGATGGCCTATCAATTATATCATATGCCCATGGGTTAGGGAGAGATGCGGTGGAGGCCAAAGCAACTTTATCTTTGGTGCTACTTTGCAATGATGACTTCTGACTCACCCTATTTCTGAGAACACCTGTAAGATTTATATTGTATCTATTGTCCCTTGTGTAAGGACACATAATTAAAGTAAGTCCTGCCCTTAGGTCAAAATGATCTTGATGTTATTATATTTAAATTGTGCTATACGTCTCTCTGAGTCACTCTTTCCTTATGGTATATAAGCCCTAGGTCTGGGGAAAATGGCACTGAGATCCGACACTTTGTTGCCCAAGCTGAAGTGTGGTGGCACAAACACAGCTGAATGCAACCTTAACCTCCCGGGCTCGAGCAATCTTCCTGCCTCAGCTTCTCAAGTAGCTGCGTGTACAGGTGTGTGCCACCACACAAAGGAAATTTTTTACTTTTTGTAGAGATGGGATCTCACTATGTTGTCCAGGCTGGTCTCAAACTCCTGGGCTTAAGCCTCCTGCCTTGGCCTCCCAAAGTGCTGAGATTATAACTATAGGTGTGAGACACTGTTCTCAACCTTGATGAACATATATGCAAAAATCCTCAACAAAATGTTAGTAAACCAAATCCAGCAGCACATCAAAAAGCTAATCCACCAGGATCAAGTAGGCTTTATCCCTGGGATAAAAGGTTGGTTCAACATATGCAAATCAGTAAATGTGATTCATCACACAAACAGAACTAAAGATAAAAACCACATGATCATCTCAGTAGATACAGAAAAGTCTTGATAAAAGTCAACATTCCGTCATGTTAAAAACCCTCAACTAACTAGGTACTGAAGTGATGGCTCAAAACAATAAGAGTCATCTATGACAAACCCACAGCCAACACCATACTGAAGAGACAAGGATGCCCACTCTTACCACTCCTATTCAACACAGTACTAGAATTCCTAGCCAGGGCAATCAGGCAAGGGAAAGAAATAAAAGGCACCCAAGTAGAAAGAGAGGAAGTCAAGATGTTGGAAGTCAGCAACATCTCTGTTTGCAGACAATGTAATTCTATACCTATAAAATCCCACAGTCTCTGCCCAAAAGCTCCTAAGTCTGATAAACCACTTCAGCAAAATTTCAATGTACAAAAATCAGTAGTATTTTCTTTTTTTTGAGACGGAGTCTCACTCTGTCACCCAGGCTGGAGTGCAGTGGCGCGATCTCAGCTCACTGCAACCTCCACCTCCTGGGTTCAAGCAATTCTGCCTCAGCCTCCTGAGTAGCTGGGATTACAGGCATGTGCCACCACACCCAGCTAATTTTTGTATTTTTAGTAGAGACAAGGTTTCACCATGCTGGCCAGGCTGGTCTCAAACTCCTGACCTCAGGTGATCCACTCGCCTCAGCATCCCAAAGTGCTGGGATTACAGGTGTGAGCCACTGCACCCAGCAAAAATCAGCAGCATTTCTATACACCAACAATGTTCAAGCTGACAGCCAAATCAAGAATGCAGTCCAATTCACAACAGGCACAAAAAGAACAAAATACCTAGAAATATAGCTAACCAGGGAGGTGGAAGATCTCTACGAGAATTACAAAACACTGCTCAAAGAAATCACACACAACACAGAAAAATAGAAAAACATTCCATGCTCATGGATAGGAAGAATCAATATTGTTAGAATGACTATACTTCCCAAAGCAATTTACAGATTCAATGCTATTCCTGTCAAACTACCAATGGCATTCTTCACAGAGTTTAAAAAAACAATATTTTAAAATGTATGTGAACCAAAAAGGAGCCCAAATAGCCAGGGCAACCCTAAGCAAAAAGAACAAAGCTAGAGACATCATGCTACCCAAATTCAAACTATACTACAAGGCTACAGTAACCAAAACGGCATAGTACTGGTACAAAAACAGACGTAAAGACCAATGGAATAGAATAGAGAGCCCAGAAGTAAAGCTGCACACCTACAACCATCTGATCTTCAACAAAGTCAACAAAAACAAGCGATGCGGATAAGACTCCCTATTCAATAAATGGTGTTGAGGTAACTGGCTACCCATATGCAGAAAATTAAAACTGGATGCCTTCTTTATATCATATACAAAAATTAACTTAAGGTGGAGTAAAGCCATAAATGTAAAAGCTAAAACTATAAAAACTCTGGAACATAACCTAGGAAATACCATTCTGGACACAAGCCCTGGCAAAGATTTCATGACAAAGACGACAAAAACAATTGCAACAAAAATGAAAATTGACAAATAGGACCCAATTAAAGTAACGAGCTTCTGAACAGCAAAATAAACCATCAACAAAGTAAGCAGACAAACTACAGAATGGTAGAAAGTATTTGCAAACAAAGATCTAATATAAAATATTTGCAATGAAGGTCAATATCTAGAATCTATAAGGAATTTAAATAAATTAACAAGCAAAAAGCAAACAATTCCGTTAAAAAGTAAGCAAAAGACATGAACAGATACTTTTGAAAAGAAGAGAGACACGTGGCCAACAAGCATATGAAAAAATGTTCATCATCAGTAATCAATAGAGAAATGCAAATCAAAACCACAATGAGATACCATCTCACACCAGTCAGAATCTCTATCATTAAAAAGCCAAAACATAACAGATGCTGGCAAGGTTGTGGAGAAAAGGGAACACTGGCCTGGCACATTGGTTCACACCTGTAATCCCACTACTTTGGGAGGCCGAGGTGGAGGATTGCTTGAGTCCCAGAGTTAGAGACCAGCCTGGGCAACATAAAGAGATCCCACTTCTACAAAAAATTAGCCAGGCACGGTGGCCTGTGCCTGTAGTCCCAGCCACTTGGGAGGCTGAGGAAGGAAGATGGTTTGGGCTGGGGAGGTCGAGGCTGAAGTGAGCCATGATCACGCCGCTGCACTCCAGCCCAAGTGACAGAGTGACACTCTGTCTCAAAAAAAGGAAAAACAAAAAGAAAAGGGAATGCTTATACACTGCTGATGGCAATGTAAATTAGTTCAGCCACTGTGGAAAGCAATGTGGCGATTTCTCAAAGAACTCAATACAGAATTACCAGAAATCCCATTACTGGGCATACACCCAAAGGAATATACATCATTCTACCATAAAGACACACGCATATGTATGTTTATCGCAGCATTATTCACAACAGAAAAGACACGGAGTCAACCTAAATGCCCATCAACTATAGACTGGATAAAGAAAATATGGTGGCCGGGCATGCTGGCTCATGCCTGTAATCCTAGCACTTTAGGAGGCTGAGGTGGGCAGATTGCCTGAGCTCAGGAGTTCAAGACCAGCCTGGGCAACAGGGTGAAACCCCATCTCTACTAAAATACAAAAAAAATTAGCTGGGCGTCGTGGCATGTGCCTATAGTCCCAGCTACTTGGGAGGCTGAGGCAGGAGAATCGTTTGAACCCGGGAGGCAGAAGTTGCAGTGAGCCGAGATCGCGCCACTGCACTCCAGCCTGGGCAACAGAGCAAGACTCCATCTCCAAAAAAAAATAAAATAAAAAAATAAAATATGGTACATATATACCATGGAATACTCTACAGCCATGAAAAGAAATAAGATCATGTCATTTGCAGCAACACAGATGGCACTCAAGGTCATTATTCTAAGCGCATTTACACAGGAACAGAAAACGAAATATTGGCCCAGCGCTGTGGCTCATGCCTGTAATCCCAGCTACTCCGTAGGCTGAGGCATGAGAATCACTTGAATCTCGGAGACGGAGGTTGCAGTGAGCTGAGATTGGGCCACTGCACTCCAGTCTGGGAGAGAGAGTGAGACCCTGTCTCAAAAAAAAAAAAAAGGAAAAGAAAAGAAAAAATATCAGAAGTTCTCACTCATAAGTAGGATCTGAACATTGAGAGTACACATGGACACAAAGAAGGAAACAACAGACACTGGGGCTACTTGAGGGTGGAGGGTAGGAAGAGGGAGATCAAAAAACTACCTATTGGGTACTACGCTTATTATCTGGGTGACAAAATAATCTGTGCACCAAACCTGTGACATGCAGTTTACCTATATAATAAACCTGCACACGTACCTCTGAACCTAAAATAATTTTTTTAAAAAAATAAGGTGAATTTAAAAATATGTATATTGATGGGGGTGAAACTTAGAGAAAAATTAGAGTCATGGGACTCATCCCAGCAAGGTGGGAATCTTCAAATGGTTATTAAGAAATGGAATGAATAAAATGGAAATTGATGGGGTTAAAACAAAGGTCTTAATACAACACTGCCAAAAGTTCGGTGGACCAAAGGGAGCCCCTGCTGGTCCCTCAACATTAAAGGGCCAATTTTCTGTATTTGCCCGATTGGAGAAATCGTAAAAGAGAAAGCTGACCAACAATTGCCTGAGGTAATGTTGAGGTGGTTAATGAAGATATACAAAGTTCCTTGGCTCAATTCCCTACTGGGAACACAAAGTGTTTTTCACCAGAGGCTTTTTTACAAAATGATCTTGGGTGGAGAAGAAAAGTTTCTGGGGCTAGAACACAAAAATGTAAAGATTGATAGGATTATGAAAGTTAAAAAGTTTGTAAATAAACTTTATATAAAGTTGTGACACCTTTACTTAAATGTTTCATGAAAACGGACATTGTATCTGACCAGAGCATGTTTCTCCTACTTAGTACTGCAAACTAGAAGGCATTTCTAGTAATGGTAAATCTGCCATTTAAGCAATATTAACTGGACATGCTAAATGGGAGCCAGTAAATTGCTCAAGCCCTCAGAGGGTAGAGTAGAAGATGGAGTGCTGGTAGGGATGAAACCTCCACTTGATAGCCCTTTGTGGAGTGTTTACTAGGGGTCATAGCAAAGGCCTGTGAGCACCTCCCAACAACCACTACTGGGACTGTGGACTACAGAATTTCTACTTGAGAGGCATTTCTGCCTTGGAATGGGACATTAACAGAAGCTATCCCTATGACTGGAGGACATAAAATGATCTTGACACCTAAAATACACATGCTGTCTGGAGTGATGTCAGAGAAACACTCTAACGGGGATAGCAGTGCCCAGAAGAGTACATAATAAAATGGGAATGGATCTTGCTACCTGAGGAGTGCAAAGAGGATATACTCATGAGCTGCGAGCCTCTTTCTCTCCTAGGACTGATCCTGGAACTGGTGAGGAGTTGCTGGATACCATAGTACCTGACAAACAGCTCTAACCTAAGAGTTGCTTGGCTTGTGGATGGCAGTTCCAAGGTCATCAGGCAACATCCTGTTTGGAAGGCATTACTCTGATTGAAGAAGAGTCAAGAAAACTTTTTTGTTTTGAGCTCTTTATAACTTATAATGATTAAGTGTATTTTTGTAAGCAAAATTTGTCCTTCTCTCTATATGAGTTCTCCCAAATTTGAAAACTATTTGTGTTATTTTATGGCAATATAGTTATGTACATATGTTCAATATGAATGTTTTCTTTTGTAATAGGACACAATTGGAGACACATTATTTTACCAAGGCTTTGACTGGAATGGTCTATTTTCAGACATGATCAATCTGCTTGGGGAATTGAAGTTGACTGCAGAGAGCCAATAAAAAGCCCATGGAAAGACTGGTTCCCTAAGAAGTTTCCTGACCCGTGGTAAGTAATGAATGTCACTTTCTAACAGGATCAGAAATCTCAAGATATTTTGAGACCTCAAGAAGAGAGAAATTTGTACAGGTATTATAAATGCAGTCTAATGGTGAATCCTTGGCTTTGCTTCTGGCGTTGAGGCTTTAAAACACTGGAATAAAAAATTCTGATAGTTCTAGCAAAGCCAACTTAAAAGGAGCCTATATGGCTGATCACTATTCCTGCTACAATTTATTCAAATAACCAGGCCAATATAATGAGACAAATTTATTTTGCAAATAAATTGGTCCTAGTATAATTTATCCTTGGTAGAAATAAGAAAACTGGAGAAAAAAAAATCTTAGATTCTAGCCCTGACCACTGCTTTTGAGTTTTTATAATTTGCCTATAATTTGGACTAAATCCTGAATTATTTCCTGGCTACAAGAAGTCTCTAAAAAGGAACTTGGTTTTAATTTTCTTCATGATGCTTTTAGTTGGCTGCTTACTCGAATAGGCTCCTTTCATTTTTGTTCTGGCATACAAATTCTCTTCTGATTGTAATCCTTGTGTGGATTGTATTTCTACTATTCAAATTATTGATGCTATGTATCTTTTGTTGTTTTACTTCCGAGAAAACTAAAGTCATAGTATTCTGAAGACTAGAGAAATTCAACGAAGCCTGTCAATCTCCCTTGTTTGAAATCCCAAGGAGTATGTTGGCAATGAGAAACCAATATGGCCCAGTGGGATTTCAAAGGCTCTGGGACCATTGCAAAAAAGAAGGGTGCGTGAGACTCTACACATGAATTAGTGGAATGTGGAGGACAAAGCAACGCCACCTAGGATGTTAATCCACCATGTGGACTTCCCCTGTTCTGGGAAGGCTTCTAAGATTTCCCCTCTCTCTATTGTTTCTTGTGTAAAAGCATGTACTTACTGTAAATCCTGCCCTTAGATCAAGACAACTTTGATGTTATTGTATTTCAATTGTCCTACATGTCCCTTCTGAGTCACCCTTTCCCTGTGGTATACAACCCCTGGGTCTGAGGGGTAATGGCACTGGGATCCACCATCTTGTCTCACTGCCGCCTGAGATGCAGACAGGGCTTCTGTTTTTAAGTCTCCATTAAATGTTTCTTTTTGAGAAACGTTAATGTGTCAGCCTCTTTCTTTAGCCTCTCAGCTTCCTTAGACTTTGGAGCGTAGGTCTGTATAGTCCTGCTTACCTTGAAATAGATGGGTTAGGGAGAAGGAACACCAGGGAGACGTTCGAATTATTTCACCTAAAAATGTAGAGAAGTTTTGTGAAACAGTGCTTAATTAATAAAAAGGTATTTCTTGAGAGATGGTTCTATTCCTACTACTGGCAAAAATGTAGATGAAAGATTGTTTGGCATGATGCCAAATATTACCCTATAAATTACTTCCTAATTGCAAAGGGAAAACTATAACTTTACCATAGAAAGAACTGTCTGTCAATAATCAAATGATCAAATAGCATTGTCAACAAAGAGTCAAACTTTGTAAAATATTTGAAGAGATTTATTCCGAGCCAAATATGAGTGATCATGGCCCACGACACAGTCCTTGGGAGATCCTGAGAACATGTGCTCAGGGTGGTTGGGGTGCAGGTTGGTTTTATATATTTTAGGGAAATATGAGACTTCAATCAAATACATTTAAGAAATACATTGGTTCAGTTCAGAAAGACAGGACAACTTGAAGCAGGGGTGGAGCTGGGGGGGTAGGCGGGGGGAGGTTCCAGGTTATAGGCAGATTTAAACATTTTCTGGCTGACACTTGGTTAAGTTTATCTAAAGACCTGGAACCAACAGAAAGGAAATGTCTGGGTTAAGATTAAAGGATTGTGGAGACCAAAGTTCTTATTGTGCAAAGGAAGCCTTCAGGTGAGAACAGAAAAGCATTCTGTTATCTCTCTCCTTCAGAGAGAAGAGATTGTAAATGTTTCTTATCAGACTTAAGGTCTGTGTTGATGTTAACATCACTGAGGTATAAAGAGGCATGTCCAACCCCCACTTCCCATCATGGCCTGAAGTAGTCTTTCAGGTTAAATTTAAATTTTAGAGTGCCCTAGCCTACGAGAAAGTCCATTCAGATAGTTGGGGGGAATTTAGAATTTTGTTTTTGGTTTACAGCAAGCTTGTCCAACCTGCTGCCCACAGACCACATGCAACCCACAGGCCACATGCAGCTCAGGACAGCTTTGCATGCAGCCCAACATAAATTTGTAAGCTTTCTTAAAACGTTATGAAATTTTCTTGCGTTTTTGTTTTGGTTTGTAGCTTATCAGTTAACATTAGTGTTAGTGTATTTTATGTATAGCCCAAGACAATTCTTTTTCTTCCAGTGTGGCCCAGGGAAGCCAAAAGATTGGACACTGCTGGCTTACACCATCACCAATAGTGGGACAAATCTGATATTAAATGCCTCCTAATGTAATACAATATTAACTACACAGTATGACCTTTGAAGTATCCTTATCCAATGTTTAATCTGAACTCCTCAAGCCTCTGGTAACTTGCAACTGATAGGAAATACAAAATCTAGAGGTACAAAATAAATAAAATCGGACAATCCAGCATTAGGGCATTCTTCATGACAACTGCTTGGTATCTTAAATTTGTTTAAAAAGACAGTTATTATTGGGAAAAATGAATTAGATTAAAAGCTTTAGATTAAAAGAAGCCAAAGAAAGTTAAAGCCCAACTTCAATGGGCAATCATTCATAGGATCCTGGTTCAAAAACAAACTATTTACAAAAGGTATTCTGGAGACAACTGGACAACTGGAGAAATGTAAATATTCTCTGGACCTTAAATAATAGTAGCGAATAATTGTTAATTTTCATTGATGTGATAAAGGTTTTATAGGAAATGGTTATATAGGAAAATGTCCTTGTAGGAGACATATAGCTAAAGTATTCTGAACTGAAGTGTCTTATCTACAACCTACAGATCTGAGAAAAATAAAACCAACAACCAAAACACACACACATAGGTACACATATAAATATATAAATAAATATGGAAAAATATTTGAATCTAGGTGATAATGATATTGAGAAGAAATTACTCAGGCCGATAGTACGAGTATGGGAGTCCTCAGTGTAAAAAGTGAAGTAGAGGTTCCTCTTCAAATGGACTTTCCTTTCCGTCTAATTAGGAATAAACAGTAACTTCTCTTAAAAGCAAAATTTATTCAAAGAACTGTGCTAACATATTGGAGGCCGAAACAATGAGGTTCGTGATCAACTCAGTATATCACTGGAGGCTATATGAGTAAGCAGCAAACTGTTTCTCATAAATGCAGAACGTTGGCGAACTGACAAACTGCGTATGCCACCCAGGAGGACTGCTGAGGGTAGTTACGATCTAGGCACAAATGTTTCTTATGATTAGGCATAATTGAAGCCTGTCAGTAACAATATGAACCTGTGATCAATTAAGCAGCTGACCAATCGTTACCACCTCCTCCCTGCTCCTGTTACCCAAAAAATAGGAAGGGCTGTGGAAGCTCTGTGGCTGCCTTTGCTCACGAGAAGCAGGGAGCTCTCTTCTTCTTCCCCTGGCCCTTTCCTTAAAACAGTTCCTTTTGTCTTAAGTTATCATTTCTACGTTCGTCCCTTCATTTGATCTCACAATGATGGTCTCAAGCAGTAACAGTAGTAACTGCTGTAACGATGGTCTCAAGTAGTAACCGTGGCAGTTGGCCACACTAACATTCTTTGATATCTGTTGGCCGTAATAAAGAAATCAATGTACTTTGTGCTCTTAGCTGCCACATTTTAGCCTAGATATTTGCCCTGGCATGCTTATACTGGTCCAAGGAAGCATTAGGCCATAGCCTGTTTTCTTCCTTATCTGGAGGTGTTTTTACCTTTCTCAGCATTCCACAAGTTGCTTCCTCCTTCCTTTGTTCTCCTCTGTCTTTGCCTCTTTTGGAAAGTTCTAAGTTGCTAGCCAATCAGGACAAGTACAGAGGTCCCCTTCCAGCCAATGGAAACCGGACACGGTAGTAGGGTGCACGTGTCAGGTTATAAATGACCCTGTCTCCTTTATGCGTGTGTGCTCTCGTGGCAAGACTACTAGCGAGCGGCAACCTTTCTGCAGAAAGTAAACTAGCCTTGCTAAGAGCTCCTTTGTCTCAGTGTTGATTTTTGCAACACTGAGCGCCCGTTCCCAACATCAGTAAGGCTTTTCTTTTTAATGAAAAGCAGCCCCAAATCCTTTTCTAAGAGCAGCCTGTGAAGTCGAGCTGCAGGCACAGACAAACAAGGGGGTAGCTTGCTTGGGTGAATGGTGGCAGGAACTACCGACTAGACATGTTTAAGATGAGGGCTCCATCTTCGCTTCTCTGCCAGCCACGTGTACAGTAAGAAGGGGTTACAATAGGCATATGGGTGATTTTGTGCTTTTCGTTCATCTTTTCTGTGTTTAAAATGTTCAGAATAAGAAATTGGAACAAAGGAGACATGAATAGACAATTCCTAATCATCTTTAAGAGTCCGCTTTGTGTTTTACTTACCACCACCACTTTGAAGGCTTTCTTGCCTATACCAGGACAAACTCAGCTCTTTATCCCTTTTCCGAATTTTCCTGGTACTTTCACTTTGAATATAGCGCTTAATTAACATTCTGCCTTGTACCTAGGACTAACACACTATAAATTCCCAGAAGACAAAGTAGGGGAATACAATAACAGGATATAGAATTTTAACAGCTAAATTAGATGAATTTATGGGTGACCTTTATTGGGCAAAAGAAAATGTTAAGTTAGTATAAGATTTAGTATAAGCTACCATCTCAAAACTCAGGGTCTCACTGGAAGAGAAAGTGACTCCAGGTAGAATTCCTCAGGGAGACATTCACTTCCATCATTCGCTGAACCAGGAGCTTTGGACAGCCTCGGATTGCACCCGCATATCCAAGGACACCACATCAGCGGACAAGTCATAAACAGCCTTGGGAATACGCGGAAAGGTCAAATTTACCTAAACAATTAAATTCTCTTTTAAATTTTAAGGAAACACAAGTATGCTTTCGCTTTAGGTAGGGCATTTGAGAGCAAAATGTACTAATACTTTGAATCCGCCAAGCAGACACGATCTGGGTTTGACCGTTCTCTCCGGGTAAAGGTGAAGGCTGACCACGGGGGCCGCTCTCCCTCCAGGCCCCAGCCACGCCCTCTAACCCAGGTTCCCGTCCTGCACCGCGCCGCAAGTCCCCCCACCGTTCAGCGCAACCGGGCCCTCCCAGCCCCGCCGCCGTCCCCCTCCCCCGCCCTGGCTCTCTTTCCGCGCTGCGGTCAGCCTCGGCGTCCCACAGAGAGGGCCAGAGGTGGAAACGCAGAAAACCAAACCAGGACTATCAGAGATTGCCCGGAGAGGGGATGCGACCCCTCCCCAGGTCGCAGCGACGGCGCACGCAAGGGTCACGGAGCATGCGTTGGCTACCCGGCGCCGGGGACCGCTGCCACCCCGCCTAGCGCAGCGCCCCGTCCTTCCGCAGCCCAACCGCCTCTTCCCGCCCCGCCCCATCCCGCCCACGGGCTCCAGTGGGCGGGACCAGAGGAGTCCCGCGTTCGGGGAGTATGTCAAGGCCGTGACCCGTGTATTATTGTCCGAGTGGCCGGAACGGGAGCCAACATGGCAGCGGGGTTCGGGCGATGCTGCAGGGTGAGAGGGAGCCCAGCGGTGCGGTGGGGCTGGAACATGGGTATTGTGGTGTCGGAGCAGGGGGCCCTGGGCCAAAAATAGGTGCGGCCGGGAGGAGTGGGAAGTCGGGCTGAGGAAGGAGCCAGCCTAGGGGCCCCCAACCTGCTTTCACGCCTCCTACCACCGGACGGAACGTAGCCTAGCGTTTCATTTTCCGTATCCTCCCGTCAGGCGACCCCGTTATAGCCGGCATCCTCTCTTTAGAATATCGTTTTTCTTTCTCTGGTAAACCCTCCAAATATTTACCGCGGGAATCCCACCTTTTTCCAAAGTGACCCCGTCTCTGTGTCAGAACCACGGGAAAAAGAAAAATGGAGCAGCTACTCCTTGAAATACTTAATGTTTAATAAGCTTTTCGTTGTAACGTTTCCACGTTGCTTACGGGAAAAAAAAAAGTAAAAAAAAAACCTGCAGAATTTTATGTGAACTTGTGTGTATATTCTAGTATTGGATCTTAATAGATTCTAAATAAGTTTGTCACTAGATGAATTTTGGTATCTTAAATATTCTTGATATGTTCACACCACTGCCATTTAGATGTCACTTAAAATTAAGTTAAAGTTATGTCTTGGACCAAAAAAGCTGCGGTTTTAGAATAATCCTAAAGAATTGCTGCCCATGTTTTGCTGGTGTTATGCAAGTTAATGTGCAGTGAAGGCAGAAATTGGGAGATTTCAGCTATTTTTAACTCCTACACCAGAAAAGCAGATTTCTCAACCTCCAAGGAAGGATCTAAAAAAAACCTGATATAGAAAACTTACACCCTTTTTCTCTTCTTTAACCCATAAAACTGACACTCTTATATTCCCAAGAAATGCACAAAAGTGTTCAATTCTAGTGGTGCTGTTTCGATATTTGGAATTTCATTGTTCTAGACAGAGAGCCCGAAGTAATAAAACCAATAGTTATATAGCATTAGGCTTTCAAAACATTATCGTACTTTAATCGTCCGAAAATACGCAGTGAGATTAGTCCCATTTTTTGGTTTTGAACGGAAGCTATAAGCAGTTTGTAAACCTGTCTACGGCCACAAATATGGTTGTGGAACCTAGATTCACATTCAGCAATTATAACTCCAGATCCCGTGCTGTTTCTGTTTTCTATTTGCAAACCACCTCTCTAATTAACTGGCTAACTTTGTTATGTAATTAACAGGTTGATGGGCATTGTATTCTGGTAATAGCAACCTTTGCACTTTGTTCTATGTAACATATTTTCCTGAACAGTCACATGTGAAGTGACTTTTTCCCTATTTAAATTCCCTCGGTTGGCCAGGTGCGGCGGCTCACGGTTGTGATCCTAGCACCTTGGGAGGCCTCGGCGGGTTGATCACTTAAGGCCAGGAGTTCGAGACCAGCCTGGCCAAAGCAGGGAAACCCTGTCTTTACTAAAAATAGGAAAAATTAGCTGGGCATGGTAGCATATGCCTGTAATCCCAGGAGGCTGAGTCTGCAGTGAGCGGAGATCTCTCCACCGCACTCTAGCCTGGGTGACAGAGGGAGACTCTGTCAAAAAAAAAAAAAAGTCCCTCAGTAGACCATTTAACCTGGTTTGAGTTCTGACTTTTGTGCATGGTATTTAAAAACGCATTTATAATAGAGTCAGGTTTTTTGTTCTGATTTTTGTGGAATGTTTTCCTTTGTTATGGAACCTAGTGACCAATTAGGATACTAACAGAAAGATCAGTATAGCAAGGTGGTTAATAGCATGCGCTCTTGATAGTAAATGTTAGAATCCTGGTTGCACTAATAGTAGAGTGACTTTGCCTAATTTAGTTGACTTTCTGAGCCTTCGTTTCTTCACATGCGAAAGTGGAATAAAAGTAATGGCTTAATCCTAGACTTGACCTGGGATTCAGTGAATTAACCTGTGTAACGCGACTGTAAATCAGAGTAGATTTGGTCTGTGACTGCTGGACAATAAGCACCAGAGAAACTGTTTCACTTTTTTTTTTTTTTTTTTTTTTGAGACGGAGTCTTGCTCTGTCACCCAGGCTGGAATGCAATGGTGCAGTCTAGGCTCACTGCAACCTCCGCCTTCCGGGTTCAAGCGATTCTCCTGCCTCAGCGTCCCGAGTAGCTGGGACTACAGGTGCGTGCCACCACACCTGGCTAATTTTTGTATTTTTAGTAGAAATGGGGTTTCACCATGTTGGTCAGGCTGGTCTCAAACCCCTGACCTCGTGATCCGCCCACCTCAGCCTCCCAAAGTGCTGGGATTACACGCATGAGCCACCCCACCTGGCACTGTTTCACTTTCAAAATAAAATTAATGAAGATGCAAAGAAAATGCGAGTTTTCATACTCTGTATGTTTTTATTACTGTAGTATGAGGTATGTTATTTGGAAAGCACTGTTTCAATTACAAATATTTGACACTCTTAATTATATTGTCACCTTACATGTAGGAATTCGTCTTTTATAAGTTGAAATTGTCATCTACAAAGACAGTTTCTTTTTACGGATTTTGAAAAACATAAGAATTTAAATAAAGAAACTTTAGTATATTCTTCAGCTGCTCTTTTCTCTTAGTATCTAAGCTTGTTAAAATTGCTGGATAGTTCAATTAAAATCTTTTACAGTGAAAATTGTGTAATTTTGACTGTCCTGAAACCTTTACTCAAGAACACCATTGTGGTTCCCAGTTTGGCAGCTTTAATAAATGCAAATTTTTACTTTTGTATCCATTAAACTGTCATGAATATAAAAATGGGTTGCAAAACAATAATATATGTATATTTGATTGTTTGTTTCTTTATATGTTCCTTTGAAGAAATATGACTATATTTCAGATCCTAAGACAAGTAGTGTATTAGTAGTTTAGAAGAGGGATGGCAAACGTGTTTGTAAAGGAACGGATAGTACATGTTTTTGGCTTTGTGAACCAGATGGTCTCTGTGGTAACTACTTAGATCTGCTGTGAAAGCGGCAATAGACAGCATGATGTGGCTGCACTGGTTTGGTGACTCCTTGCTCAGAACATTGTAAGAATCCCTGTAGACAGCAGAAAATACAGAACATGGTTTTATGCTAATTTGTTTTGTTAGAGTGGGGTATCCTAAAAAATGAGATCCTCTGAGGGGAAGGTTTCCAGAGGCATGCATGGGAGGCTCACAGTGACAGGGTATCAAAGTTGATGGACTAGGCAACTCTTGAACACAGTATGTTCACTTCCAGCCTATCGTTCTCCCCACCCCAACTCTCCAACCATTAATGTCCTAGGAGCTTGTAAGATACCCAGAATAGTGGTCCTACATCTACTACTACCCTTGACTGTTGTTTGTCCTAAACCCTCCACTTCAGTAGTATAAATACCACTGACTTTATTTTCATTACTTTTTAAAAACATCTCCTCTGTAATAGGAATTTATATAACTGATAATTGGCTTATTTAAATTATGATTGAAGGCATTTAAATAGTGATGACTTTAAAAACTATGAGTATGGTCAAACCAGTTGCTGTACTCACTTATGATTATCAGTAGTCTCTTATCTGATTAATGTTTAACTTATCAAATTTATTTTAATAAAAGTGTTCTTTACAGGTCCTGAGAAGTATTTCTCGTTTTCATTGGAGATCACAGCATACAAAAGCCAATCGACAACGTGAACCAGGATTAGGATTTAGTTTTGGTATATGTTCGGTTCTATCTTTTGACTTTAAACTTATACATATGAAGCTTTATATGTTTTGTTTGGAATATGTTTGTAAATAAACTTAATAATGTCTTTCAATGAGTAGAACCAGTCCACTGTCCACAGATAATTTACAATAACTCACACTCCATTCTTCCTGATCTCATTTTCTTCCTCAGTATACTACACTGTACATTAGATCTGTTTTAGCAGCATACATACACTTAAATTCCTTCCTTTTTTTCTGAGTGTTTAGCCCAAAATAAATGAGATTTACTGATATATATGAATAGTCTTCAACTTACATATCTGAATGCCACAAATACATTTTAAAAACACTTGTTAGATTACAATTCTAGGTGCCTGGTAATAAGCTAAAGCTTGTTTTTGCTATAATATATCCAAATTGCAATTTTGGTACTATTAGATGAAGTTCTCACTCCTGGGACCAGGGAGCCATGATTTTTTTTCCTCTGCCCTCTATAAAATGAAAACTACACACAAAAAATTTGAAATAATATCTATCTTTGGCATTCTTGGCCTTCTAAAGTGCTTCTTCAAAATTTTTATTTTTTCTCTAGTTAAAAACCATTTACTCAATTTATTTGGTCTCAGAAAATAGTTAAAGGCAGCTGCGATAACTCACAGCTAGGTACAAATGACAATCTCAAAGCTCTCCAGAGTTATTTTTTTTATTATTTGTTGTGTTTTTTAAAGATTTTTCCCTTTTCTTTATAAAGGTTTTTTTTTTTCTTACCAGAATTTAATGAAATTTTTCTTTTCTTTTTCTTTCTTTCTTTTTTCTTTTTTTTTTTTTTTTTAAGATGAGGTTTCATTGTCTCATTATGTTGCCCAGGCCGATCTTGAACTCCTAGGCTCAAGCAGTCCTCTTATTTCAGCCTCCCAAAGTGCTGGGATTATAGGCATGAGCTACTGCACCCAGACCAAATGAAAAGTTTCTGTGTTTTTTTTTTTTTTCCTGTGACTTCTAGCCAAAGACTGGATGAAAATTTTCTCTTTTCTTTTTTTTGAGACAGAGTCTCACTCTGTCACCCAGGCTGGTGTGCAAGTGGCTCACTGCAACCTCTACCTCCCAGGATCAAGCGATTCTCCTGCCCCAGCCTCCTGAGTAGCTGGGACTACAGGTGTGGGTCATCATGCCTGGCTAATTTCTATATTTTTAGTAGGGATGGGGTTTTGCCACGTTGGCCAGGCTGGTCTCGAACAGCTGAAGACAAGTGATCCACCCACCTCTGCCTCCCAAAGTGCTGGGATTACAGGCATGAACCACTGTGCCCAACCTAAATGAAAATTTTTTTTCTTTTCTCTTTCTGTAGCCAAAGACTAAATGAAAGTTTTCAAGCACTGTGAGGATAGCCATTTGGGATGGTGGATTTTTTTTTTTTTTTTTTTTTTTTTTTGAGACTGAGTCTTGCTCTGTTGCTCAGGCTGGATTGCAGTAGCTCCATCTGGGCTCATTGCAACCTCTGCCTCCTGGGTTCAAGCGATTCTCCTGCCTCAGCCACCCAAGTAGCTGAGATTACAGGTGTGGGCCACCATACCTGGCTAATTTTTATATTATTAGTAGATATGAGGTTTCGCCATGTTGGCAACGCTGGTCTCGAACTCCTGGCCTCAAGTGATCCACCCGTCTTGTCCTCCCAAAGTGGGATTATGGGCATTAGCCAGCATGCCCAGCCAGGGTAGTGGATCATACTGAGATAATTAGCATTAATTTGGTATGATTGCTTGTCACTTTAAATTTCTCTCTCAGTAGTAAGAGACTTGCAGGAGAAATCTATGGTGGTTCACTGAGTGACAGAGGATGAGTTAGATATAATTGTTTGGGAGGGAGATTGTGAAGTTCAATACGGGTCTATTCCTTGAACCAGTTGCATCTGGTTCTTTATCTGTAAAGTGGAAATAATATCTATAACACAGAATTTCTATGAAGATTAAATTATATGCTGTATTTAAAGCCCCTAGCACTTAGTGACTGGATCAAAGTAGTTTCTCAATAAATAATACATAATACATACTTGTCATTTTTCCTTTTTTTTTTTTTTAAGAGACAGGGTTTCACTCTGTCACCCAAGCTGGATGCAACCTTGACCTCTGGGGCTCCATGGATTCTCTCGCCTCAGCTTCCTGAGCAGTTAGGACAATAGGTCCATGTCAACCACACCTAGCTGATTTTTTAAATTTTTAAATGTTTTGTTGAGACAGGATCTTGCTATATTGCTCAGGCTGGCCCCAAACTCCTGGCCTCAAATGGTTCACCTGCCTCAGCCTCCCAAAATTCTAGAATTATAGGCATGAGCTACCGTGCCCAGACTTTCTCTACCCTCTATCTACCTGCAAGATTGCTATCAACTGGCACCAATCTTAGAAGTAAAGCTGTGATAGAGAGAACACTGGACTGAAATTCTTAAGTATACTTCTGCTAATTCATTGTGAGACTGATACTAGAATTTCCTTACTCTGCATTAGTTTATCAATAAAAAGAGAGATTTGGCTGGGCGCAGTGGCTCGGGCCTGTAATCCCAGCACTTTGGGAGGCCGAGGTGGGCGGATCACGAGGTCAGAAGATCGAGATCCTGGTGAAACCCCGTCTCTACTAAAAATACAAAAAAAAAAATTAGCCGGGCGCGGTGGCAGGCACCTGTAGTCCCAGCTGCTCAGGAGGCTGAGACAGGAGAATGGCGTGAACCCGGGAGGCGGAGCTTGCAGTGAGCCTAGATTGCGCCACTGCACTCCAGTCTGGGCGACAGAGCGAGACTCCGTCTCAAAAAAAAAAAAAAAAAAAAAAAAAAAGAGATTTGATCTTATGCTCTTCAATTCAGCACCAGAATTCAGCTTTTATGTATTGTTTCTCACATCCCCATACAAATGATTACTGTAGTCTTAAACATTCCTCTGTGCATTTGCTCTCATTTTTCTTGCTTGAAATACCCTATTATCTCTTAAATTTTACCTAATCTTTGACGTTAGATGCAACCACATTAAAACACAAGGATACCATGGATTTGAAAAGATGCAGTTAGCAATTGACTCCTCTCCTCAATCAAGCCACCATACTAATTTCATTAATTTTAAAACAATCCCTTATTTTATGTAAACAAATTGTTGGACACCATTTATTAGCATTGCAGCAGGATTTTATGTTATTATCTTTTGAAAAACCTTTCTACCACTTTTACCAGTTGCTTTGTGCTAATTTATAAGCTTGTCTGAGTTTAAAGGAGCTGTAAGCCTAGGCATGGTGTCTCATGCTTGTAATCCCAGCACTTTAGGAGACCACGGCAGGAGGATTGCTTGAGGCCACGAGTTCAAGACCAGCCTGGCATCATAGTGAGACCCTGTCTCTGTGAAAACAAAAAAAATGAAATAGATAGGGTGAGGTGGCTCCCAGCACTTTGGGAGGCCAAGATGGGAGAATCATTTGAGCCCAGGAGTTCTAGACCCATTTGGGCAACATGGCAAAACCCTGTATCTACAAAAATTACAAAAATTAGCCAGATATGGTGGCATGTGCCTGTGATCCCAGCTAGTTGAGAAGCTGTGGTGGGAAGATCATTTAAGGCCAGGAGGTCGAGGCTACAGTGAGTCGTAATTGCACCACTGCACTCCAGCCTGAGTGACAAAATGAGACTGTCTCAAAAAAAAAAAGCAAAATTATGATATTGATATTCTTATATGACACTTTGAAATAAGTTTTATTGCTTTATGTCACTGAGTGTGTTTCATCTATTTCGTTAGATTGATTCTTGTCGTCAGGGAGATGTCTTGTATATTAGTTTCACTTCAGTGTTAGCAAACATTTGATAAATTGGCTTAGGAACTAATAATAAGTTAAACGTTTTTTATATCACCAATTGGAAAAGAAAAACTCACTTGAGCTCTACAGGTTAATATCTATTACTCATTTGTAAAAGTTAAAAATCTTACCTATTTCCTTTAGCATTTGTATTGACATAGGTTTATTTATATTGTGTAGTGAACTCTTGATTAGTCAAAAAATGCACTGTAGTCTGAGTTTCTGATAATCAAGGATTTAAGTCCCCACAATAAATACACATTTCTACATACTGACTTCATAGGACATTTTTCCTTGTTATCCAGTTTTAACTTTTCTAAATAATTTTCCCTTAGAGTTCACCGAACAGCAGAAAGAATTTCAAGCTACTGCTCGTAAATTTGCCAGAGAGGAAATCATCCCAGTGGCTGCAGAATATGATAAAACTGGTGAAGTAGGTATATACATTTTAAAGAGGGAAAAATCTTTTACATTTTTTACAAGATTATGTAATCAAACTATCTGGATTTCAAAATATATTTTAACTCAGTTCTTTTTCTTCTAGTATCCAGTCCCCCTAATTAGAAGAGCCTGGGAACTTGGTTTAATGAACACACACATTCCAGAGAACTGTGGTAAGCTTTCTTTATATTTTTAATACTGGAATGCATATGAGTAAGAAAAATTGTGGAACTCTACTCAGTCATTTTTTTCAAATATTTCTTGCCATTAAATGACTTTCTACCTTTGTCTTCCTGCTCAGACTACAGTGTTTGCCCACTTTTGGAAGCTTGCACTCTATACCTAGATGCGTTTTTCCTTCTTCTAACTGGTTCCAACCTTAACTTGCACCTAAACCTTGGTAACTTCCGTTTCTAGAGTTGGTCAATTTGTTGTGTTTTATTCCTATCTTCTATATTACATTTTATTGAGTCTTTTTTGTGAACCATGATTCTTTTCCTCAGACCCAGTTTTAGAGTTGAATTGAGTTTTAACAAAATCAAGTTAGAACAGGAATACAGGTTCAAATTACAAATAGTAAAATAATTTTTTGAAAATTTTAGAGCTTTAAGAAAGTATAATTTCTTATTGTGCCAGCCAGAACACATGTAGATATTATATTGCAAATTTCCTTTTAAAACAAATTTTGGTCATATTGAAAGCAATTAAAATAGTTTACCTTTATTTCTATTGTGATGTACTACATATTACAATGTGTTGAAACATTTTGATACTGTAGGAGGTCTTGGACTTGGAACTTTTGATGCTTGTTTAATTAGTGAAGAATTGGCTTATGGATGTACAGGGGTTCAGACTGCTATTGAAGGAAATTCTTTGGGGGTAAGTGACTTAGAAAATTAACTACCTAACTCAGCTCTTGTTAATGAGATAGTTACTCCTGAAGAAGTTGGATTTTTAGAAGAAAAAAAAAGGAAAGTCAGTTACTACTAGGTAAGGTTAGTGGGTACACACAGTTTTCTTTAAAGAGGAACACAAGATTCAGCAGTGAAGCCTGGAGTTCTGATTTCGAGGCTTGATAACTCTGGCCTTGTCTCTAGTACTCGGAGTTCTGACTGTCCTTTGGAGGAAACTGTATACTTTGGCTGCAGCTTCAGTGGCAATTCTTAGGTAAAGCCAAGGGCTAAATCCAGAATTCAGGAGCAGGATTGGGATGGTTTGCTGCCACTATGGCAGTACTGAAATTTAGCAAGCAATTCTTTTTTTTCTCACTCTGTCGCCCAGGCTGGAGTGTAGTAGCGCGATCTTGGCTCACTGCAACCTGCACCTCCTGGGTTCAAGCAATTCTCCTGCCTCAGCCTCCTGAGTAGCTGGGATTACAAGTGCGCACCACCACGCCCAGCTAATTTTTGTATTTTTTTTTTTTTTTTTTTTTGAGACGGAGTCTCACTCTGTTGCCCAGGCTGGAGTGCAGTGGCGCGATCTCAGCTCACTGCAAGCTCCGCCTCCCAGGTTCACGCCATTCTCCTGTCTCAGCCTCCCAAGTAACTGGGACTACAGGCGCCCGCCACCATGCCCGGCTAATTTTTTTTTTTTTTTTTTGTATTTTTAGTAGAGACGGGGTGTCACCCTGTTGGCCAGGATGGTCTCTATCTCTTGACCTCGTAATCCGCCCACCTCGGCCTCCCAAAGTGCTGGGATTACAGGCGTGAGCCACTGCGCCCGGCCTAACAAGCAATTCTTAGGCCTGATCATACATACTGTGTCACATATTCTAAACATAATTTTTTATTAGTGCATTTCACTATAGTAGATTTTCACAGATTATAATGCCACAGGTCCTACATATAACCTAATTTTATGAAAATACTTAGATTAGCAGATTTATTTCCTCATTCTAACTTAGAGGCAAGGTATAGGCCAGTTCTTTGGACTTACCTGTTAGGTGAAAAATAGTTATTTTTTCATTTTGAATTATAGCATCTCTGAATTTACATATCCAATAAAAATGACTTGATTTTTTAATGTCAATTTTCTTCGGTAGCAAATGCCTATTATTATTGCTGGAAATGATCAACAAAAGAAGAAGTATTTGGGGAGAATGACTGAGGAGCCATTGATGTGTGTGAGTATGTGTAACTGCCGCTTTATTTCACACTTAAGAAGGGAACAAAGGTGCTATTTCTCCTTTTCAGTCTATATGTATATATTGGGATATTTAGCATTGAAACAAAACTTAGCAACATATTATTACAATGATGTGTCAAGGATGCCAAGAAAGTATCATAATAGGCCGAGGGCAATGGCTCGCACCTGTAATCCCAGCACTTTGGGAGGCGGAGGCGGGCAGATTACTTGAGGTTAGGAGTTCACAGCCTGGCTAACGTGGTGAAACCCCATCTCTACTGAAAATACAAAAATTAACCAGGCGTGATGGCGCCTGCCTATAATCCCAGCTGCTCAGGAGGCTGAGGCATAAGAATCGCTTGAACCCGAAAAGTGGAAGATGCAGTGAGCAGAGATCACACCACTGCACTGCTACCTGGGCGACAGAGTGAGTGAGACCCTGTCTCAAAAAAAAAAAAAAAAAAAAGGTGTCATCATAATTTTGTTGCTTATTTCCAGGAGAAGAGAGATCTACTTGTGATGTTTTTGGGATGTCAAAAAGTGTCATAATAATCCTCTTACTTCAGGAGAGAGAGCTCTATTTAGTGGAGCATTCTACACTTTAAGAACTGAGTCATTGTGTCAGGAAGTTCAG
Source organism: Homo sapiens (assembly GCF_000001405.40). Lineage (NCBI taxonomy): Eukaryota > Metazoa > Chordata > Mammalia > Primates > Hominidae > Homo > Homo sapiens. Next base: position 75,735,508 of record NC_000001.11, read on the forward strand.
ATTGAATGTAGGGCAATGTGTGTTTGAACTAGTAGTGTTTTGAATTAGTAAAAAATTAATGTTGGCTGGTCGTGGTGGCTCACGCCTGTAATCCCAGCACTTTGAGAGTCTGAGGCAGGTGGATCACCTGAGGTTAGGAGTTCGAGACCAGCCTAGCCAAAATGGAGAAACCCCATCTCTACTAAAAATACAAAAATTAGCTGGATGTGGTGGCGCTTGCCAGCTACTTGGGAGGCTGAGGCATGAGAATCTCTTGAACCTGGGAGGCAGAGGTTGCTGAGTAAAGATGGCGGCACTGCACTCCAGCCTGGGCAACAGAGTGAGACTCTGTCTCAAAAAAAAAAAAAAGCAATTAATGTGGGCTGGGCATAGTGGCTCACACCTGTAATGTCAGCACTTTGAGAGGCTAAGGCAGGAGAACTGCTTGAGCCCGGGAGTTCAAGACCAGCCTGGGTAACACAGTGAGACCCTGTCTCTAAATAAATAAATAAATGAATAAATAAATAAAAATTAATGTGAACCTGTAACTGAAGAAATAGCAACTTATTTGTTGAATGACTGAATGACTTGGGAAGAATAGTTGTAGAGTTTATTTAAACCTCTGAAAGCAACTCAACAAATTTTTAAATTAGATTTTTTTAACAAGATAAATACACACACAGACATACACACACACACACACACACACACACACACACGCTCTATTCTGAAACTGTTGTTTACCTAAGGATTTTTACTTCTTGTTTACTCAAACATATTTCAATCTAAGGTGTGGTTGTTATACTGAAATACAGTAGATGTATTAGTTTTGAGCTAATGATGAGAATTCATCTTAAAGAACAGAAAATAATATTTGAAAATAAATGTTTTTTATTTCAGATACCTAAAATTTCAAGCAAACTGTTTAATAAAGGAATTTGTACATATTTGCTAGGAAATTTGCAATTTTTTTTAACAATTGAGAGGTTAGCTAAACATTCTCACTATTGTCTATAAGAACTGTGTGAAACGTCTAGATTGTTCTCCTGTAGCATATACAGTCAGCTCTCCATATCCATGAGGGAATAGTTTAGGACAGGTTGCCCTCCATATCAAAATTTTTGGTTGCCAAGTCTGTTATACAAAATGTACAGTTAGCCCTTTGTATCTGTGGGTTTTGCTCCACAGTTGGTTAAATTCCAAAATTCGTGGATGCCAAAGGCAAACTTTTAAAAAATTAAAATTTTATAACTTTTCTAATTATAAAATACTGAGTATAGAAAATTTAGAAATGTTTTAAGTAGAACAAAAATATCTGTAATCCCTCAGATATGGAGTTAATTAGTATTACTTCCTTATTGTAGTGCCTACCACATTTTTAAATATGTAATTGTGTTTTTAACAGTTAGCCCCCATTATATACATGTAGTTTTATGTACATCTTTATTTAACAACATGAACATTTTCTTATGCCTTCCTTCTTTTTACATGCTGTAACAATACTGCATAATTTGCTATCTAATGGATATGCTATAAATTGTTTCACTTTTCTGTACTGTTGAATGTTTAAACTCCTTGGGTTTTTACTTTGGAAAATAATGTTATGGTAAAAAATAATACAGAAAAAAAATAAATAAAAATGATCAAATAAGAAGCCAAGAACAGGCCAGGCATGGTGGCTCATGCCTGTAATCTTAACACTTTGGGAAGCCAAGGCAGGAGGATCGCTTGAGGCCAGGAGTTCAAGACCAGCCTGGACAACGTTGAGAGACTGCCACCACACACACACACAAATATATATATATATATATATATATATATATATATATATATATATATATGAAACCAAAAAGAAGAAAAGAAGACAAAAACAACTCTGAGGAACCAGTAGTGACAAGCCATTTTGTATAGAAAAAAACAGGCTCATTTACTTCACAGGCTCTAAAAACTTCACTGTATTATGAAACAGACAGATGTCTAATAGCATATTTCAGGGAAAAAAATACCTTAAAGGTGGTTAAAACAAAATTTTGGTACTTAAAAGGGGCATCTTTTATGGACAACTCCTTAATTTGTCATGATGCTGAATACATCAAATCTCCAGGTAGCAGAGTAATCTAGTTCAGTTAACTTGAGTGACACCTGAATCCCCTCTACAGAATCCCTGTCAAAAGACCATCTGGCTGACATGTTTTTATACCTCAGGTGCCTGGGAATCAACACCTTCTGAAACAGCATCATTTGCGAGCATCTGTTATCATTAGAAAAATATTTTGGATTACATAATGCTTAAGCACAGAACCTGTCATTTTTTTTTTTATAATTTTACCAGTTCATACTGTAATAGGTGTTCAATAAATGTTAGAGTGATTTCACTGTACTTTTCTTTGGCTATATTGCCCTTCAGATGTTTGAGTATAGTTATATTTATTTATTTATTTATTTTTTGAGACGGAGTCTCGCTCTGTTGCCCAGGTCGGAGTGCAGTGGTGTGATCTTGGCCCACTGCAACCTCTGCCTCCCAGGTTCAAGCGATTCTCCTGCCTCAGCCTCCCAAGCAGCTGGGACTACAGGTGCGTGCCACCACGCCTGCCTAATTTTTTGTATGTTTAGTAGAGACAAGATTTCACTGTGTTAGCCAGGATGGTCTCTATCTCCTGACCTCATGATCTGCCCACCTTGGCCTCCCAATGTGCTGGAATTACAGGTGTGAGCCACCATGCCCAGCCAAGTATTGTTATTATTTTTTTTTTCTGAAATGGAGTCTCGCTCTGTTGCCTAGGCTGGAGTGCAGTGGCACCATCTCGGCTCACTGCAACCTCCACCTCCCAGGTTCAAGCAATTCTTCCTCAGCCTCCCAAGTAGCTGGGATTACAGGCGCCCGCCACCAAGCCTGGCTAAGTTTTTGTATTTTTAGTAGAGACAGGGTTTCACCATGTTGGCCAGGCTGGTCTCGAACTCCTAACCTCAGGTGACCCACCTGCCTCGGCCTCCCAAAGTGCTGGGATTACAAACCTGAAGCCTCAGCCACCACGCCCGGCCCTAAGTAATCATTTCTAGTGCCCCTATATATGCTTACTACTTTGAATTAAAATGTATATAGTTTCTTTCTTTTTTGTTGTATATTTTTAAAAAATAAATTGACATGGGTTCTCGGCATGTTGACCAGGCTGGTCTTGAACTCCTGGTCTCAAGCGATCCTCCCATCTCAGCCTCACAAAATGCTAGGATTACAGGTGGGGGGCCACCATGCTCGGCCCAGTTTCTTTCTTCTTTGGACTGTAAGTACCTTAAGGGCAAGTAACTTGTTTCTTTAGTATCCACAGTACCGGCCACTCTTGAATTAACTTGCACTAACACTTGCCTTCTACCACCCCCTTTTATCCATTACTGCTTGTGTCTTGTCACTCCTCTGTTTAAGAGCTCTAAGAGGCTCCCCTGTTTCTACCAGATAAAATTTTAAATTTGTAATGTGATATAAAAGATTCTCGTCGACCATTTCCTTCCTTTCTTTCCAGACTCATGTCTTACCATTCCCTTACATGCACAGAATTTACATACTGTGGAACTCTGGTACTTTCAGCATTAGAAACACTGGGTAACTCTGTTTCTTATCTTAGTGTCATAGCATATGCCATTACTTGTACCTGGAATGCATATTCTTCCTCTTTTTCCCTCCTCGCAAAGAAGCCATTTTCCTTTTTGAGACTTAATTTAAACATCCTCTGCCCTGGGAAACTAGTTTCTCAAGCCCCTTGTCTGACTTTCACACATAGAGTTGCAGTATAGTTATTTATCTTCACTGTTACATTGTGAAAATCTCTAGGACTGAATGTCTTTTACCTCTGGTTTCCCCATATCCTAATTTACATCGTGGTACATAGTAGATATTCAATACATGTTTGCATGAATGAATACATGTGAAATTGAATTTAATGAACTTGTTTAAAGCTATCTAACATTTTCACTTTTTATTAAATATATGATTTGTTGATATACCTATGCCTAATTTGAATTATATATTAAGTGTTTTTAGGCCAGGCACTGTGGCTCATACCTGTAGTCCCAGCACTTTGGGAGGCTGAGGCAGAGGATTGCCTGAGCCCAGGAGGTTGAGACCAGCCTAGGCAACACAGTGAGATGCCATGTCTACAAAAAATTTAAAATTAGCTGGGCATGGTGATGTGTGCTTGCAGTCTCAGCTATTATACACGGGAGGCTGAGGCGGGAGGATTTCCTGAGTCCAGGAAGCCAAGACTGCATTGAGCCTCTGCATTCCAGCCTGGGCAAGAGAGTGAGACCCTGTCTCTTACAAACAAAACAGAAAAGTTTTTACATTTGAGTGGTTTCTTTGATTTTGTAAGAACATTTTAATTTTAGATATTTAAAAATATTTAAAATACAGCTTAAAAAATAAAACAATCCTGTTTCCAAACAGTCAAAATTTAATCACTAACATTTAATTTCATTTCTCTTGTTTTTATATATTCAAGGCTTATTGTGTAACAGAACCTGGAGCAGGCTCTGATGTAGCTGGTATAAAGACCAAAGCAGAAAAGAAAGGAGATGAGTATATTATTAATGGTCAGAAGATGTGGATAACCAACGGAGGAAAAGCTAATTGGTATGTTGTTCAAAACATCTTTGTATATTTTTTCTTAATTGTTTTATCTTCAAATCTCTCTTTCTTTCTGTATATTTTTAAACCACTACAGTTAAGGTATGTTTGTGGAACTGGAAGGCCTAAAGGAGATTATAAACAGTTCAGTGATTTTCAAAAACTAATTTTAAGCCCCTGCACTGTTTTTTCAAATTAACTCTCAGAAGTTTAATGTGTAAAATAAAATACAAATGCGTGCTCTGTTTGAATCTGATTAGGAAGGCTAGCACTCTGTCTACTTGGCTTATTATCTCCACTCCTCATCTCCTATACCAGCCGCTCCTTGGAATCCCTAAAACCCTAAGGAAAAAGGAGAACCTTTGGTATAGTGCCTGTCTCCAGATGTCAGAAATAAACAGAGTCAGTCTTAAAACAGGTTATCTATTAGAGAAGACAGAATTTGACTTTAATAAAATCTGAAATTTTCTAATATATGGTCAAAAAATATGAAGTTCAACAAAGGATCAAAAATAATTTGTATAAATATAAAATACTAAAAAAAAACACTCGATTATTTGTTGATAAAAGATGAGGAAAGTTCAATAACTGTTAAGTTCAATAAGAATCAATAGTATGAGCCTTTAAAAAGCCAATGTAATTTTAAGCCAAAGTAATAGAAGTACAGCATCAAATAGAGAAAAAATGGTGACAGTTCTGGGCAACACATTTTAAAACATGTATTGAAAAACTTGACTAAATCTAGAAGCATGTAAGTATCTTGCATTAGGAGGAGCCTACAAAACATGTTCTGAAAAGCAAAGCCTTGGTTATTTTGGAAGAATCTTGAAGTTTTTCAAATATTATTACACAGAAAGATGATCAGGCTTATATGTTTACTTCAGGATGCCAGCTTAGAATTAATGAGTGAAAGTTAGAAAAATGTAGAATTTAGCTTAACATAAGGACAGGCTTTCTATCAGCAGTGCTGTTAAGTTGTCATGGGAAATACTGTATTTACCCATCACTACAAGTATATAGAGAGTTTCTAGAATAACTTTTTATTGATTGGAATAATGTACTAAATGACCTGTCTCTCTTTGTAAAAAATTCAGATTCAATATATTTGTGTGCCATATACTACAGTTTTCTAGCAAATAAAACATCATTTTTTTTCAGAGTGAGCCTACTAAAAAGTTACTTAGATTAAACATATCAGTCAATTCCTTATGAGCATCCTAAATATATTCAGTATTATGGAGTGCTATATCTTTACCTTTAACCAATTCCTGGTAATATCAGCAACTAATAAAAAGTGAAGAAACTATTAAAATTTAACAAGTTGAGAGAAATCTAACAATGCAGTTTGAAGTTTTCGTAATTTTAAAAACGGATTAGCCAGGTGCAATCACTCACGTCTACAATCCCAGCAGTTTTGGAGGCTGAGGCAGGAGGATTGCTTGAGCCCAGGGGTTCAAGACCAGCTTGGGCAACATAACGAGACCCCATCTTTACAAAATTAAAACAAAAAGAAAGAACTGATTACAACTGTTCACTGTTCATATAGTAAGGCAAATTAGGTAATATATGAAACCAGATAACAATTTTTACGATTTTGTTACTATTATTAAATAAAACTATAGAATGAGTGGTAATGTATTGGTTTTAACCAAAGAAAATAAGTTTGTGTTGTTTAGGGAAGAATATACCTTTTTAAAAGAATTTTTCGTGTACCAGGATATATAGAACATGAATTAGACAGATGCTTGGATATTTGCATTTTTTTCTTATGTTGCACTTCAAGATCTTTCTGAGAAATTCTTCTGTAGGAAAAAATCAGCAAATATTCATAATAACTCAGCTATAACAAAAACACTGACTTGCTGCATAAAGAAACAGTAGTTGGAACATATGGATCTCCATTTTATTTATTTATTTTTTTGAGAACATCTGCCCTTTAATTTGCATTTAAAATCAGTTTCTTTAAATACTTTAGTTACAAGTTCTGAATAGTGAAGACAGAGTAGTAGATGCTGCAGGCACTCAGTATTGGCTCCCACCCCTTCCCCCCTCCCCACCCCCAGGCCTCACTTCTTGGCTCAAGATACAAAAAGGCACTCTCTACTGGCCCTAGTGTCAAATGTCAGCAGCCTCAGGCCTGGATGCAGTTGGATACAAAGCCATGAATCCCAGTAGCTCCAAGGAATTCCAATGATTGTGCCCAGATCCACCGGCAACACATCTTAGAAATGACCTCATCCATTACACCACTATCTACTAACACCCTCAGGGTGGTTTCCTACCCCAGTCCACGTCCTCCAAATCTGTGTCCTGCAGAGGAAGAGACAAGGCCCCACTATAACGCAGGAAGGAACAAGAACTGCCTCCTCAGCCCACGGGCTTACAGCAACTTACTTGAAAAGCTCAAGGCAATCTGAGTCTAGAGGAGACCTCCCTTCCCTAATCTCTACCAGGCTCTGGCCCTTCTTCGGGACTACGCTTGGTTCCACTGCCATGATGTGCTAGAATCTGCTCTAAGTAAGAACAAGGTGCTAGAATGAGGCCCAGCAACCAGGAAAGGGTTGCTACAGCCCCAGCTGTGTGAGATTGTGCCAAGATGAGTCTTCTTGGTGTGAGCCTATGATGGAGAGCGTGAGGGCAGACCTGGGCTCTCCTTCTATGATGATTACAACACGTGACCTCAGGGAACCTCTGCTCTCTCCTCCCATTCACACACCCAGATCCCCTGGCCTGTGCTTCCTGGTAGAGGTAGAAGAGGCATCTTGAAGTCAATGACAATGGAGAATGAAGGTGCCATTGAAGAAGGAAAGCAGCACCTCTTTGCCTGTGTTCAATCCCTCCATACAAGTGGAATCGAGAATGTGCACAGCCAGGACAGAGGCTGCTCTGAGCTTGGGAGGCACAGCATCCTCCTAGATGTCTCTGCAGAACAAACTTTCAAAAGATAGGAACTTAATCACATGGTCCTCGGGGGTTTCTCTATAGTATACCAGCACTAGGGAGAAGCAAAATCATCTTTGCAGAGAGCTGATGGAAGAAAGGCAGGAATATGAATGAGCATCCATTAAGGCTCTCTCTCTCAAGCCTAAGGAATTAAGATATTCGAGGGTATGAGACAGGTGCAGAGAGGGAGAGAGCCAGGCAGGAACACCAAGAAAAAAGCTGTGACTGCTGGTTACATAGTGCTCTGCTTCCTTGCTTGAGGCCAACAGCATGTGCCTGTCACCAGGCTAACCTGGGACCCATGAGGGGACAGGGAGAAGACTGGTTTTCAGTTCCTGCATGATCAATTTGTAGGGTGTGTGGGTTCCTCCTAAAGATCAAAGAGGAGGACTCTGGGATCCTCTACCGCTGCCTTGATTTTGCGGAGGAAAGTCACAGCCTCTCTGCCATCAATCAGCCGGTGATCATAGGTCAGTGCCACGTACATCATGGGCTGCACCTCTACCTTGCCTCCTATAGCCACTGGCTTGTCAAAGATGCCATGCATCCCCAGGATGGCAGACAGGGGGGTTGATAATGGGTGTTCAAAGAGTGAGCCAAAAACACCTCCATTGCTAATGGTGAAGGTACCACCATCCATATCTTCAATGGCAAATTCATTCTTTCGGGCCTTCTCTCCCAGTTCAGTGATGGTCTGTTCAATATCTGCATAATTCATAGCTTCCACATTCCTGATGACTGGAACCACCAGACCCTGTGGGGTGGCCACTGCAACACTGATGTCAATATAATCCCTATATACCACCTCTTTGGTTATATCATCAATCACTGCGTTTACAACAGGCTGTTCCTGCAAGGCAAAGGCTGAGGCCTTCACAGATGCCGACATGAAGCCTAGTTTGAGGTTATGTTTCTTCAAAAAAGCCTCTTTGTGCCGAGCCCTCATCTTCTGGATGTTACTCACATCAATCTCATTAAAAATTGTCAGCATTGGCACATGTATTCTGGGCCTCCTTCAGACGCTGAGCAATGCACTGCCGCATCCTGTTCATTTTCTCCTGATGTTCTGAATGCAGACCTTTGCCAGCTCCTGGCTCAGCTAGTGGTGGGACAGCAGTGGGTTTTACTGCAGACACAGGTTTGCTAGAAGGAGGTTGTGAGGGCGAGGGCACTGGTGGCATCGAGTGGGTATGGGTGCTGCATGGGGAGGAACTGCCGCTGCTATAGGTTCTGCTTTTGGGGCTGCAGCAGCAGGAGCTTCAGCCGGCTTGGCCTTAGCAGGAGCAGCACCAGTTTTCCTGAGTGTGAAAAGCGGAGTGCCTCCTTCGACTTTTCCCCCATCAGGTACGAAAAGAGCTTCAATCATGCCATTTGCTGGTGATGGAACCTGCACCAATGTCTTGTCAGTTTCAATCTCACAAACCACTTCATCTTCTGCAACTGTGTCTCCAACAGCTTTCTCCCACCTGACATCTCCCTCTGTGACAGGTTCTGCAAACGCTGGGGTTTTGACTGTAACCAAGTCATACTTGCATACAGTTGTAGTTCTGAAGAAGCGAACACTGAAGACACTGTTGTTAATGACAACCTTCCTGCTGTTAGGGTAACCTGGTCCCTGGCATAAGGAGACCCCAGGCAGGGAATGTCTCCCTAGAGGGCAGTTCCCCTTCTGGAAGGCAGAGAGCGAGTGGCTGAACGCCCGGGACACAGTGGGACCGGGACAGCATCACGGCGGCCGGGTCTCCGTTTTATATTATTCCTTTTCACAGGCAGCTCTATTTGCCCTCCTTTTCAAGATAGCATGCCCCTTAAAGAATAAAATTAGTTTTGGGAAAGAAAAAGTGCCAGTTTCAACAGGCATAGACTGTCTTGTTGTAATAATAATACTATACCAGGAATTTTTACTTGCAACTCATATTACTAAAAGAAAGTTAAATAGCATACTATAGTCCCTCCTTATCCTTGCAGGATACATTCCAGGACCCCTAATGGATGCCTGAAACCTCAGAAATACCAAACCCTGTATATACTATGTTTTTTTCCTACACATATATACTTATTATAAAGTTTAATCTATAAAGTGGGCCCAGCAAGAGATTAACAACAACTAATAAAATAGAACTATAACAATGTATTGTAATAAGTTATGTAAATGTAGGCCAGGCATGGTGGCTCACACCTGTAATCCCAGCACTTTAGAAGGCCCACGTGGGAAGATCCCTTGAGTCCAAGAGTTTGAGACCAGCCTGGGAAAGGTAGTGAGACTTCATCCCTACAAAAAATAAACAAAAAATTAGCTAGGCATGGTGGCACATGCCCATAGTACCAGTGACTCAGAAGAGGTGGAAGGATGGCTTGAGCTGGGGAAGTCGAGACTGCAGTGAGCCAAGATCATGCCACTGTACTCCAGCCTGCGCAACAGAGTGAGATCTTGTCTAAAAAAAAAAAGTTATGTAAATGTCCTCTTTGTCTTTCAAAATATCATATATACTGTACTGCGGGTAACTGAAACCACAGAAAGTGAAACCCCATGGAATGGGGGAGGGCCTACTGTGTTATTAAGACATAGACCTCAAATACTAGCTCTTCCATATACTAGGTACGTGACTAGGCAAGTTTTTAAACCTGATTATTTATTTCCTCATTTGTAAAATGTAGGTAATAATAATTGGGATTGTTAAGAGAATTAACTGAGAGAGCAATCACCATGTGTTATTTGCCGATATTATCACCATTATCCGGTATGTGTATCTCTTAGGTATTTTTTATTGGCACGTTCTGATCCAGATCCTAAAGCTCCTGCTAATAAAGCCTTTACTGGATTCATTGTGGAAGCAGATACCCCAGGAATTCAGATTGGGAGAAAGGTAAAGTATTTATTAATGATTAGGGCCCCAAATATTATTTTAATTATAAATTGCAAAATTACTTAACTTTCCTTTAATAAAAACATTTGTTTGTATTAAGTTGGAGTAAAAATAAAGCTATGTTTTGATGATATTAGATCAAATAGTCTATATACTACTGAAGATTTTGTGAACAGTCATTTCAAGTCATTTTGAAAGAGTAGTACCAACCTGTGGAGAAGGCTAATAACAGCTGTGAGGAATAATGAAGTAAAATCAAGCTATCATTTATATTACCTGACCAATAATAAGAATTCTGGATATTTCAAGGGACTTTCCCACTCTTTTCCCCATTGGATCCTCACAGCAACCTTTTGGTAGGATAAGTGGCATTATGCCCATTTTACAGATAAAAACAATGTGACATAACTGAGATTTTACTAGGTCATACAACACTAAGAAAAAAGTCTATGCCTGAAAAGAGTGTAGAAAATAGCAAATAGCCTTGAATATGGAAAGGCAAGAAAATCTTACTTAAATAAGAAAAGGTAATTTAACATATTTGAAAAGGTTTGTATTCTGAATATGTGGAGATAAATTTGGCATTTAAAGTAGACTAAAGAGAAAAGAGTTTAAAATTTTATAAATCACAATTTAAAATTATAAATTTTATAAAGAAGGAAAGAAATGAAGTCAATAAAGTAATTTTTTTTTTTTTTTTTTGAGACAGCGTCTCGCTCTGTTGCCCAGGCTGGAGTGCAGTGGCAGGATCTCAGCTCACTGCAACCTCTGCCTCCTGGGCTCAAACAATCATCCCACCTCAGCCTCCTGAGTGGCTAGGATTATTGGCATGCACCACCACACCTGGCTAATTTTTGTATTTTTTGTAGAGACAGGGTTGTGCTGTGTTGCCCAGGCTGGTCTCAGACTCCTGGGCTCAAGCAATCCTCCCACCTTGGCCCCCTAAAGTGCTGGGATTACAGGCATGAGCCACTGCGCCCAACCAAAGTCCCAAAGTTAGAGGCAGAGTTGAAATCAATATGAAGGTATCCTAGGACCTTACCCAGTATAGTTTCTGATACTGTATTGTGCTATATTTTCAATCAGATATTAAAGGTAGACTGCACTTGACAAAACAGATGATACTGTTGTATGTAACAAAATATAAGAATTAAAAATTATTGTGCTTTTCCCAAGAAATTGTTTTTTATTTGTATAACAGATCATGTTTCTGTCTTAGGGATAGTTGCTAGCAAACTTGGCCAAATGTATGGCCCATCTTTAGAAAGTATAAAGGACCTAACAGCTTATACTTTTTTTAGTAGTAAACTCACTCCTGATTTTATCTTGCTATTTCTAGTTTTTTTCTTTGCCTAATTTTCTCACTTAAAAAAAAATCTACTTCAATAAATATTTATGTAGTGCATACTATATACAGTATTCTATCTATTAGGGATACAGTATGGATCAAAATAGACAAAAATCCCTGGCCTTAGGTAAATTACTTTCTGGTGAGTGATAGAGATAATTATATTGTGTATATTTAAGCCTCCTTAAATCTTTATTGAAACAAATGGATATTTACAAATTTGTGAAATTTAATGTTTTCAGGCCAGGTTTGGTGGTTCATGACTGTAATCCTAGCACTTTGGGAGGTTGAGGTGGGAGAACTATTTGAACCCAGGAGTTCAGGACCAGCCTGGGCAACATATTGAGACTTTACCTCTACAAAAAAATTTGAAAATTAGCCAGTGGCAGTGGCGCACACCTGTAGTCCCAGCTACTTGGAAGGCTGAAGTGGGAGGATCACCTAAGCCCAGGAAGTCAAGGCTGCAGTGAGCCATGCTCCTGTTGCTGTCTGTACTGCAGCCTGGATGACAGAGTGAGACCTAATGTTTTCAAATCTTTTGTGTTTTAGAAATTATATGGTTTGAGATGAGCCCAGGAAGCATTTTGGTTTTAAATGTTGTGGGGTTTGGGATAAATCTGGTAGGGTGTTTTCTCATTATATATGCATGGTGGTCCAAGATTCTAGTTTATTAACTTTTAAAGACAAAATAAAGGGATGTTGGCTTCTTTCTAGGTCAAACTATCGTTATTATTTCTTCAAACTCAGAAGCAGACTATTAAAACCAGCAAATTAAAGGGTTAGTTTATAGCTCTTTGTTTCCATTGCTCCTGTTTCTTATTCTGCTTATTAAACATGAGATCAAGTTTTTTTCCTTATTAAGAGTTATGTCTGCAACTTCCTCTCATGATTTAGCATAACACTAATAGTCATATACAAAGAGAAAGAGAAATAAAAAATAAAGCAAATGTATCAAAATGTTAACAATTGGTGAATCTATTATAGATGAAGGGTGTATAAGTACTTACATGCCTGTTACAACTCCTCCATTGGTTTGAAAATTTTTAAAACAAAAAGTTGAGGGAATGTAGCTAGTTTAGTAGTTTCTTATAAAGTCAAACATACACTTATCACATAACCAGTGCCCTTAAATAAATACCCAAGAGAAATGAAAATAAAGACCTATATACAAATGTTTATTGTAATTTTATTAATGATTGCTAAAAAGGAGGGGAGTATCCGTCAACTAGTGAAAAGATAATGGATATATGGTACATCCAAGAGTGGGATACTACTTAGCAGTAAAATAAATGAATTATTGATCATGCAGCAACATGGATGAATCTCAGAAGCACTATACTAAGTGAAAAGTCAGACACAGAAAGCGGACTTTATTATTTCACTTAAATGACATTCTGGAAAAGGAAAGACTACGCGGAGAGAAATCACACAGTGGTTGCCAGGGGATAAGTGTAGAATAAGGAAATTGACTATAAAGGGAGAACAAGGTAACTTTTTGGGGTTCTAAAGTACTCTGTATCTTGAGCATGGTGGTGGTTACACACATATACATTTGTCAGAGCTATTAGAAATGTATACATAAAAATGGTGACTTTTCTACATGTAAATTATACCTCAGTAAACCTAATTTTAACAGAGTCAAAGGAAAACAAAATCAATTTTTATTCAGTAGATTATTTTACTAGCTCTATTAAGATTAAAGGTCTCAAATCAGATTGTGTTTACTAAATGTTTTTTCTGACATGGTAAAATAGATAGCTTTCAAACATATAATGAGATTTGTCTTTGTTGATAAGATGTACTTGTAGACCTTTAGACTAGTGTTGGTTTCAAAATTTGTGAAACATTGTTTTAGATTATGGTTGGCAAATTTTTTTGTAAAGATCCAAATTATAAATATTTCAGGCTTTGCAGGCCATATCTCTGTCACAACTACTCAGTTCTGCCATTGTAGCAAGAAAGTAACTGTAGATGATATATGAACAAATAGGCGTGACTGTATTCCAATCAGGCTTTCTTTGCAAAACAGGCATTGCAGACTACAGTTTGTTGATCCCTGTTTTAGGTAATTGCAGAAAGTCATGAAACAGTGATTAAAGCAAAAATTGATGCTGGCTCAAAAAAAATTCCTTAAAATATATCAATTTTCTTATTAGGAATTAAACATGGGCCAGCGATGTTCAGATACTAGAGGAATTGTCTTCGAAGATGTGAAAGTGCCTAAAGAAAATGTTTTAATTGGTGACGGAGCTGGTTTCAAAGTTGCAATGGGAGCTTTTGATAAAACCAGACCTGTAGTAAGTAATATGGGTTCATAATCTTTATAGGATCTTTTATTTATTACATTAAATAAGTATTTTTACTTTAAAATTGTATGTTCAGTGTGTTTCTCTTTTTAATATCTGCTTATTTTATTAAGGATATAGGAAAAATACTGTTACTTTTCTTTCTTTTTTTTTTTTTTTTTTTGAGACAGAGTCTCACTCTGTCACCAGGATGGAGTGCAGTGGTGCAATCTCAGCTCATTGCAACCTTCACGTCCTGGGTTCAAGAGATTCTCCTGCCTTAGCCTCATGAGTAGCTGGGACTACAGGTGCACACCACTCTGCCCAGCTAATTTTTGTATTTTTAGTAGAGATGGGGTTTCATGATGTTGGCCAGGATGGTCTCGATCTCTTGACCTCGTGATCTGCCTACCTCGGCCTCCCAAAGTGCTGGGATTACAGGCGTGAGCCACCGCGCCTGACCATATTGTTACTTTTCTTAATTTTTTAAATAATTCTTCAAGTTTTCTTACTATACATTATAGAAATTATTTTAGCAACTGCAAAATTACTGTAGTTGGTGCTAGATTTAGAGAGGCAGTCCACCCTAAATATGATCATCCTGTTAATATGTACTCATTTTCTGTTTTTACTCATTAAGAACATTTCCCCTAGTAAGATTTCTCTTGTTAAACAAAAGCAATGACTTTTTTCTAGAGTATGATACTATGCCTAACAAATGCCTCTTACTACCTTTAATTAACAAATAATATAAACTTACGTGCCTATTCCCTGTTCCCCACCAGTTTCTTGTTGCTGTACATCACCTTCTCTTTGTACACTCCCTAACATAGACACTTAGGCAGATATTGTGTGTTTTAAAGATAACATGAACTTTTGCTTTATAATATCTTAAAATACTAGGTAGCTGCTGGTGCTGTTGGATTAGCACAAAGAGCTTTGGATGAAGCTACCAAGTATGCCCTGGAAAGGAAAACTTTCGGAAAGCTACTTGTAGAGGTAATTTTAATACTGCTTGCTTTGTTCAAATGTAAAGACACTCATTTTCATTTAATATTTAGAAATGATTTTTAAACCACAAACTAATCAATTTCTACTTTGATAGCAAGAAGATAATGTGGTTTTATCAAGATGAGTTTCAAAGACATTTCTTTTTAGAGTGTGCCACTATTGGTTACTTCTGAACCTGACACTGTGCTATGCATTTTTTTTTTTTTTTGAGATGGAGTCTCGCTCTGTTGCTCAGGCTAGAGTGCAGTGGCACAATCTCGGTTCACCACAGTCTCCGCCTCCCGAGTTCGAGTAATTCTCCTGCCTCAGCCTCCCAAGTAGTGGGAACTACAGGTGCGCACCACTATGCCTGGCTAATTTTTGTATTTTTAGTAGAGATGGGGTTTCACTATGTTGGCCAGGCTGGTCTCGATCTGCCCGCCTCAGCCTCCCATAGTGCTGGGATTACAGGCATGAGCCACTGGGCCCGGCCTTGTGCTATGCATTTTAAATATATTTTCTAGCCGGGCGCGGTGGATCACGCCTGTAATCCCAGCACTTTGGGAGGCTGAGGCGGGCGGATCATGAGGTCAGGAGATCAAGACCATCCTGGCTAACACGGTGAAACCCCGTCTCTACTAAAAATACAAAAATTAGCCGAGCATGGTGGTGGGCGCCTGTAGTCCCAGCTACTCGGGAGGCTGAGGCAGGAGGATGGCGTGAACCCAGGAGGCAGAGCTTGCAGTGAGCCAAGATCACGCCACTGCACTCCAGCCTGGGCGACAGAGTGAGACTCCGTCTCAAAAAAGAAAATATATATATATTTTCTGATTCTCTCAGTAACCCTTTTTTGGGTGGTGTTATCTCTTTTAAGGATCAAGAAACTGAAGCTCAGAGGTATTAAATGATTTGTCCAAGGCCACACAATTTATAAGTCACAGATCCAGGATCCTTGCTTTTTTTTTTTTGCGGGGGGTGGGAGACAAAGTCTTGCTCTGTCGTCCAAGCTGAAGTACAGTGGCATGATCTGGGCTCACTGAAACCCCCACCTCCTGTGTTCAAGTGATTCTCCTGCCTCAGCCTCCCGAGTCGCTGGGACTACAGGCACACACCACCACACCCAGCAAATTTTGATATTTTTAGTAGAGATGGGGTTCCCTTATGTTGGCCAGGCTGGTGTTGAACTCCTGGCCTCAAGTGATCTGCCTGCCTCGGCCTCCCAAAGTGCTAGGATTACAGGCCTGAACCACTGCGCCTGGCCTATGTTATACTCTTAATTCTTGTTACTTCCCATGTCCTCTTGAGTATCAGATAATTTTAGTACTATAAAGAGTCGTGTCTTCCATGAATTTCCAGGGTAATTCTTAACTCTTACCCCTTTAAATATTGATGCTCCCCCATTATCTGTATTCTTTCCTGCAACTCACTATGAGTTGTATAGTGAACCTCCTATTTCTCTTTTTTTTTTTTTTTGAGACAGGGTCTTGGTTGCCCAAATGCGAGTGCAATGGTGCAGTCATGGCTTATTGCAGCCTCTTGGGATCAAGCAATCCTCCCACCTCAGCCTCCTAAATAACTGGAACTATAGGGGCACACTACCATGCCTGCCTAATTTTTTTATTTTTGTAGAGATGAGGTCTCACTATGTTGCCCAGACTGGTCTCAAACACCTGAGCTCAAGCAATCTTTCCACCTCAGCCCCCCATGAGCCTCCTATTCCTATCTCCATTTGTCAGTGGTTCTCAAACTATTTGTGGTGAAAGACCAGTTTGTTTTAATTTCCAGTTAATGTGGACCATTATTTTTGTAAAATATAAGAATGTCACAACAATGTTAAATTGCTGTAAAAGTGTCTAAATGCTTATTCTCATCTTCTGTACCATCAACCAGTAACAGTTTGTGAATTGGCACTGTGGACAAACTTGGATTAGCACTGCTCTGTGTCCCTTAACCTTAGTTTCATAATGTATCTTTCTACACTATATTCTAGATAATTTTTTCAGATCTGCTTTCTAGTTCTCTTATCTTGTGCCTAATCTATTTAATCTGTTGATTTTTTATTAATGACTACTTTTCATTTCCAGAAGTTATATTTGGTTTTTTCCATTATACCTTCTGTTCAACATCATACCGCCTTTTCCTTTTTTCTCATTAATCATGTAAAAATTCTTCATTTATAATCAATTTCAGATTTTTTTGTTATCTTCAATTCTTTGGGTGCTAATCTTTCAAGGTGTATTGTGTCTTCTAACTCTTTTATGGTCAATTATTTTGCTTTTATTTTTTATTTGTAAACAACTTACCTGCAGGAAGTACTCTATTTCTCAGAGCATTATGGAAGCATTTTAGAAATTGGCTTTTGTACTTTTTTGGCACTTTTGTTAGGTACTCCAGAGATTTCACCATTCTAAGAGCTGTTATTTTACATTAATTTCTTGACTTGGAGAATCCTGTATCACAGAGCTCGTACATTGATCTCACACATTAAGAAACTCCGTACATTCCAGTCTGGGCAACAGTGTGAGACCCTGTCTCAAAACAACAACAATAACAAAAGTCCTTTTTTTTCTTGTTCTTTTTTTAACCCTCCTGGGCAAGAGATCAGCTTCTTTGTGGCCCTCCTATGCTGATGAGCCCAGACTTTTAATTGCCCCTTTGGAAAGCAAAGCTTTTACATGCAGTGATTCTCAGTTTTAGCCCCTTAGATTGTTCATGCTCACATCGAAATCTCCTGTTCTTATGTGTTTCTTAAAACTCTGGTTCCTATCCTGCTGAGCCCAAATCTGAGTCTGATTTTTCTTTTCCTCCATGTTATCTCTTCTCAGGATTTAAATTCCTTTTTAGAGGCACTTAGAGATTTCTGTTTCTTTCCTATGAGCTTTTTTTTTTTCTTAACCAAGTATTTCTTTGTTAACTCCTTCATGTTGCCAGAACTACATATGTACATTTTACTAAATGTTAGTTTATCTTATTCATAAACAAATTTCAACCTAATGCTTTTCAGTGAAGATCTGTCATCGTCTTCCAGGTCCTCCTTACCCAAGTATCTGATGATAACTGTATTTTTGGCTTTCAACTCAATATAGAATCTTCTCCTTTTATGTTCTCTTTCTTATAAATTCTAAAGATTTTTTTCTTATTAAATATTGAAAAATCTTAGTTTTTCCTTACTGCTTAACTCAAAATAGTCTTTTATCATTTGATTTCTACTGAAGATTTGCTTATCTTTTAAGCACTCTGCAAAATGCTGATAGCTTCTTTTTTTTTTTTTTTTTTTGAGACAGGGTCTCACTCTATTGCCCAGGCTGGAGTGCAATGGTGTGATCTCAGCTCACTGCAACCACTGCCTCCTGGCTTAAGTGATCCTCCTACCTTAGCCTCCTGAGTAGCTGGAACTATAGGTGTGAGCCACCATGCTCAGCTTTTTTTTTTTTTTTTTGTAGAAATGGGGTTTTGCCATGTTACCTAGGCTGGTCTCGAACTCCTGAGCTTGAGTAATCCGCCCATCTTGGTCTCCCAAAGTGCTGGGATTACAGGCATGAGTGACTGCGCCTGGCCTAGTTTTTCATTTTTAATTGGTAGGTACAGTGATATGACACTGTAATTCCTTGTCACTCCTTTGCTAGGTGTCTCTCAACCCATTTGTGTGCCCTTTGAAACTTCAGTTTTTTGTTTTTTTTTTTTTTTTGAGACGGAGTCTTACTCTGTTGCCCAGGCTGGAGTGCAGTGGTGCGATCTCTGCTCCCTGCAACCTCTGCCCCCGGGGTTCAAGTGATTCTCCTGCCTCAGCCTCCCGAGTAGCTGGGTTTACAGGTGCCCGCAACTGCACCCGGCTAATTTTCTTTTGTACTTTTAGTAGAGATGAGGTTTCACCATCTTGGCCAGGCTGGTCTTAAACTCCTGACCTTGTGATCCACCCACCTTGGCCTCCCAGTGTTGGGATTACAGGCGTGAGCCACCGTGTCCAGCCACTTGTCTTTCAGTCTGTGTACTCTATGTATAGCATTATGAATGAAAAGGGTCAGGTTATTCTTGGAATCCACAATTAAATAATTGTTTAGCCATTTCATGTGTGGTATTAGAAAATATACAATGATCTGCCCAAGGGTTCCAAGATGGCTGAATAGGAACAACTCCAGTCTACAGGTCCCAGCATGAGTGACACAGAAGACGGGTGATTTCTGCATTTCCAGCTGAGGTACCGGGTTCATCTCACTGGGATTTGTCGTACAGTGGGCGCAGCCCACAGAGCATGAGCCGAAGCAGGGCAGGTCATCACCTCACCCAGGAAGCGCAAGGGGTCGGGGAATTCCCTTTCCTAGCTAAGGGAAACTGTGACAGATGGTACCTGGAAAACTAGGACACTCCCACCCTAATACTGCGCTTTTCCAACAGTCTTAGCAAACAACACACCAGGAGATTATATCCTGCGCCTGGCTTGGAGGGTCCCACACCCATGGAACCTCACCCACTGCTAGCACAGCAGTCTGAGATGAAACTACAAGGCGGCAGCAAGGCTCAGGGAGGGGCATCCGCCATTGCTGAGGCTTGAGTAGGTAAACAAAGTGGCCGGGAAGCTCGAACTGGGTGGAGCCCACTGCAGCTCAAGGAGGCCTGCTTGTTGCTGTAGACTCCCCTCTGGGGGCAGGGCATAGCTGAACAAAAGGCAGCAGAAACTTCTGCAGACTTAAACCTCCCTGTCTGAAAGCTTTGAAGAGAGTAGTGGTCCTCCCAGAATGGAGTTTGAGATCTGAGAACAGACAGACTGCCTCCTCAAGTGGGTCCCTGACCCCTGAGTAGCCTAACTGGGAGAGACCTCCCAGTAGGGGCCGATTGACACCTCATACGTCCGGGTGCCCCTCTGAGACGAAGCTTCCAGAGGAACAATCAGGCAGCAATGTTTGTCATTCTGCAATATTTGCAGTTCTGCAGCCTCTGCTGGTGATACCCAGGCAAAGAGGGTCTGGAGTGGACCTCCAGCAAACTCCAACAGACCTGCAGCTGAGGGTCCTGACTGATAGAAGGAAAACTAACAAACAGAAAGGACATTCACACCAAAACCGCATCTGTACGTCACCATCACCAAAGACCAAAGGTAGATAAACCCACAAAGATGGGGAGAAACCAGAGCAGAAAAGCTGAAAATTCTACAAATCAAGAGTGCCTCTTCTCCTCCAAAGGAATGCAGCTCCTCGCCAGCAACGGAAGAAAGCTGGATGGAGAATGACGAGTTGAGAGAAGAAGGCTTCAGATGATTGGTAATAACAAACTTCTCCGAGCTAAAGGAGGATACTGGCAAACTGAATCCAGCAGCACATCAAAAAGCTTATCCACCACGATCAAGTCAGCTTTCTCCCTGGGATGCAAGGCTGATTCAACATACCTTGAATCAATAAATGTAATCCATCACATACAGAACCAACGACAAAAACTTATGATTATCTCAATAGATGCAGAAAAGGCCTTCAGCAAAATTCAACAGTTCTTCATGCTAAAAACTCAATAAACTAGGTATTGATGGAATGTATCTCAAAATAATAGCTATTTATGACAAACCCACAGCCAATATCATACTGAATGGGCAAAATCTGGAAGAATTCCCTTTGAAAACTGGCACAAGACAGGGATACCTTCTCTCACCACTCCTCTTCAACATAGTGTTGGAAGCTCTGGCCAGGGCAGTCAGGCAAGAGAAGGAAATAAAGGGTATTCAGTTAGGAAAAGAGGAAGTCAAATTGTCCCTGTTTGCACATGTCATGATTGTTTATTTAGAAAACCCCATCATATCATCCCAAAATCTCCTTAAGCAGATAAGCAACTTCAGCAAAGTCTCTGGATACAAAATCAATGTGCAAAAATCACAAGCATTCCTATACACCAACAACACACAGAGAGCCAAATCATGAGTGAACTCCCATTCACAATTGCTTCAAAGAGAATAAAATACCTAGGAATACAACTTACAAGGGATGTGAAGGACCTCTTCAAGGAGAACCACAAACCACCACTCAATGAAATAAAAGAGGACACAAACAAGTGGAAGAACATTCCATGCTCATGGGTAGGAAGAATCAATATCGTGAAAATGGCCATATTGCCCAAGGTAATTTATAGATTCAGTGCCATCCCCTTCAAGCTACCAATGACTTTCTTCACAGAATTGGAAAAAACTACTTTAAAGTTCATATGGAACCAAAAAAGCCCACATTGCCCAGACAATCCTAAGCCAAAACAACAAAGATGGATGCATCATGCTACCTGACTTCAAACTATACTACAAGGCTACAGTAACCAAAACAGCATGGTACTGGTACCAAAACAGATATATAGACAAATGGAACAGAATAGAGCCCTTGGAAATAATACCACATGTCTACAACCATCTGATCTTTGACAAACCTGACAAACACAAGAAATGGGGGAAGGATTCCCTATTTAATAAATGGTGCTGGGAAAACTGGCTAGCCATATGTAGAAAGCTGAAACTGGATCCCTTCCTTACCTTATATAAAAATTAATTCAAGATGGATTAAAGACTTAAATGTTAGACCTAAAACCATAAGAACCCTAGAAGAAAACCTAGGCAGTACCATTCAGGACATAGACATGGGCAAGGACTTCATGTCTAAAACACCAGAAGCAATGGAAACAAAAGCCAAAATTGACAATTGGGATCTAATTAAACTCAAGAGTTTCTGCACAGCAAAAGAAACTACCATCAGAGTGAACAGGCAACCTACAGAATGGGAGAAAATTTTTATAATCTACCCATCTGACAAAGGGCTAATATCCAGAATCTACAATGAACTCAAACAAATTTACAAGAAAAAAATCAACCCTATCAAAAAGTGGGTGAAGGATATGAACAGACACTTCTCAAAAGAAGACATTTATGCATCCAACAGACACATGAAAAAATGCTCATCATCACTGGCCATCAGAGAAATGCAAATCAAAACCACAATGAGATACCATCTCATATCATTTAGAATGGCAATCATTAAAAAGTCAGGAAACAACAGGTGCTGGAGAGGATGTGGAGAAATAGGAATACTTTTACACTGTTGGTGGGACTGTAAACTAGTTCAACCATTGTGGAAGACAGTGTGGCAATTTCTCAAGGATCTAGAACTAGAAATGCCATTTGACCCAGCAATCCCATTGCTGGGTATATACCCAAAGGATTATAAATCATGCTGCTATAAAGACTTCTATGACCAAAGATGTAGGAGGATTTCCCACCCACACCAAGCAACAGACACTAGCTGGGTATCCTCCAACTTAGTTCTGACACTACCTACCCAGAGATAGCATCAGATCCCACAGGCTTAGTCTCACAAGACTGCCCCTTCTTTTCCCCTAGTTGCAAGTCCTGGACTCCAGAACTTCTGGCTGACTGGCTTCAAGTTGGGGTTCCCATGACCTCATCTGTGAATTCCAGTAATTTGCTAAAGCAGCTCACAGAACTCAGGGAAACACATTTACCAGTTTATTAGGAAGGATATCTAATTTTTTTACTTTTTTTTTAATTATTATTTTTTTCATACAGAGTCTCCCTCTTGTTGCCCAGGCTGGAGTGTAATGGCGTAATCTTGGCTCACTGCAACCTCTGCCTCCTGGGTTCAATTGATTCTCCTCCCTCAGCCTCCCACATAGCTGGGATTACAGGCACCTGCCACCATGCCTGGCCTTTTTTTGTTTGTTTGTTTTTTAAGTAGAGACAGGGTTTCATCATGTTGGCCAGGCTGGTCTCAAACTCCTGACCTCAGGTGATCCACCCACCTTGGCGTCCCAAAGTGCTGGGATTACAGGTGTGAGCCACCACGCCCAGCCAGGAAGGATATTTTAAAGGATACAGATGAAGAGATGTGCAGGGTAAGGTATGAGGGAAGATGCATATGGCTTCCATGCTCTCCCTGGGAATCTCACCCTGTAGGAACCTCTGGAAGCTCTCCAAACCCTGTCCTCTTGAGAGGTGAAGCCAGCTGGACTTCCTGGGTCGAGTGGGGACTTGGAGGACTTGTCTGTCTAGCTAGATGATTGTAAACACACCAATCAGCACTCTGTAAAAATGCACTAATCAGCACTCTCTGTCTAGCTAAAGGATTGTAAACACACCAATCAGTGCTCTGTAAAAATGCACCAATCAGTGCTGTGTCTAGCTAAAGGATTGTAAACTCACCAATCAGCACTGTGTAAAAATGCACGAATCAGCGCTCTGTGTCTAGCTAAAGGATTGTAAATGCACCAGTCAGCACTCTGTAAAATGGACCAACCAGCACTCTGTAAAATGGACCAATCAGCAGGATATGGGTGGGGACAAATAAGGGAATAAAAACTGGCCACCCCAGCCTGCAGCGGCAACCTGCTTTGGTCCCTTTCCACGCTGTGGAAGCTTTGTTCTTTTGCTCTTCACAATAAATCTTGCTGCTGCTTACTCTTTGGGTCCACACCACCTTTAAGAGCTGTAACACTTGCCACGGAGGTCCGCGGCTTCATTCCTGAAGTCAGCAAGACCACGAACCCACTGGAAGGAAGAAACTCTGGACACATCTGAAGGAACAAACTCCAGACACACCATCTTTAAGAGCTGTAACACCGCGAAGGTCTGTGGCTTCATTCTTGAAGTCAGCAAGACCAAGAACCCACTGGAAGGAACCAACTCTGGACACACTCTTGGGTGTTCATGGAGGCTTCATTACATAGGCATGATTAATTAAACCATTGGTCATTGATGATTTAACTTGACTTGTAGCCCCTCTCCCCTCCCTGGAGGTTGTAGGGTTGGGGCTGAAACTCCCAACCCTCTAATCCTGCCATCGTCTTTCCAGTGACCAGCACCACGCTGAACCTAGCAGACAAAAGACAGCACGTTGGAGATCCCAAGGAATTTAGGAGTTGTATGCCAGGGAACAGGAACATATTTCCATCCTATAACATATCTTGGCCATATAACTAACTCATAGAGCACTTACTATCCCTTATTGAAAGTATTTGTTTTATGTCTTCTATTTAATTCTGAGCCTCTAGAGTCTAAGAAGCATCTTTTAGTTGTCCTTTCCTCTGTCTTGGTATCTGATACAGTGCCACATTATTTTTCTCTATCTGTAGCAACTTTCTTTTTTTTTTTTTTTTTTTTTTGAGACAGAGTTTTGCTTTTGTTGCCCAGGCTGGAGTGCAATGGTGTGATCTTGGCTCACCACAACCTCCACCTCCCAGGTTTAAGCGATTCTTCTGCCTCAGCCTCCTGAGTAGCTGGTATTACAAGCATGTGCCACCATGCCTGGCTAATTTTGTATTTTTAGTAGAGACGGGGTTTATCCATGTTGGTCAGGCTCGTCTCAAACTCCCAACCTCAGGTGATCTGCCCGCCTCGGCCTCTCAAAGTGCTGGGATTACAGGTGTAAGCCACTGTGCCCAGCCAGCAATTTCTTCTAGAAAGTCCCAGCAGAGGCTGGGTATGGTGAATCACACCTGTAATCCTAGCATTTTGGGAGGCCGAGGTGGGTGGATCCCTTGAGCCCAGGAGTTTGAGAACAGCCTGGAACAGCCTGGGCAACATAGGGAGGGACCTCATCTCTATTTAAAAAGAAAAAAAAGAGGCCGAGTGCGGTGGCTCACACCTGTAATCCTAGCACTTTGGGAGGCTGAGGCGGGTGGATCACCTGCGATCAGGAGTTTGAGCAGCCTGGCCAACATGGTGAAACCCTGTCTCTACTAAAAATACAAAAAAAAAAAAAAAAAAAGCCTGGTGTGGTGGCACACGCCCAGCTACTCGGGAGGCTGAGGCAGGAAAATCGCTTGAACCTGGGGGGCAGAGGTTGCAGTGAGCCGATAACGCACCACTTCACCCCAGCCTGGGCAAAAGAGTGAAACTTTGTCTCAGAAAAAAAAAAAGAAAAGTCCCAGCTACTTTGGGGGCTGAGGCGGGAGGGTCGTTGAGGCTGCAGTGATCTGAGATCATGCCATTGCATTCCAGCCTGGAAAACAAAGTGAGACCCTGTCTCAAAAAAAAAAAAAAAAAAAAAAAAAAAAAAAAAAAATCAGGCAAACTGAAATTGAAGGACATTTTACATAAAATAACCAATCAACATTCTTCAGAAGTGCAAAGACGTAAAAGATAAGGAAGGATTGAGGAATTATAATAGCCTGGGAAAGAATAAGAAGAAATAACTAAATTCAACGTATAATGGTGGAAAAAGAACATTAGTAGAAAACTTGACCAGATTTGAGTAAGGCTTATAGTTTAGTTGTTAATACTATACCAGTGTTAATGTCCTGTTCTCGATCATGGCACTATGGTTTGGTAATATGTTAACATTAGAGGAAGCTGGGTGTAACTTCTATAAACCTAAAATTCGTTAATGAAAAGTTTAAAAAATAAAAAGGTCAGGCACAGTGGCTCACGCCTGTAATCTCAGCACTTTGAGAGGCCTAAGTAGGAGGATTGCTTGAGGCCAGGAGTTGCAGACCAGCCTGGGCAACATAGCAAGACCCCGTCACTATAAAAATGAAAAAGCCCCAGGAAAAAACTTTTAAGTTTTCTCAATAAATATCCTTTAATTTTTTTCTTTTTAATTCTAGCACCAAGCAATATCATTTATGCTGGCTGAAATGGCAATGAAAGTTGAACTAGCTAGAATGAGTTACCAGAGAGCAGCTTGGGAGGTTGATTCTGGTCGTCGAAATACCTATTATGCTTCTATTGCAAAGGCATTTGCTGGAGATATTGCAAATCAGTTAGCTACTGATGCTGTGCAGATACTTGGAGGCAATGGATTTAATACAGAATATCCTGTAGAAAAACTAATGAGGGATGCCAAAATCTATCAGGTAAGGTTAAAGATGATTTTTTTGGTTTGCAAGGAGAGAGAATATTCATAAATGACAACGTGGATTTCTGATTATTTAGAAATTTTATGTCCCTAGTAGCAATAAATGACTGTCATATATGGCTGTGAGCCAGTTTTTGGAATTAATTAATAGAAAGAAGAATGTTATTTGTGATTAAGTATAAGTCTGAAGAGAGAATAGGCTAAAAAAAATGGTACAGACATGTGTATTACGTTTGGATTAGATTTCTTTGAGTTTTAACAGATTGGCTAATTGTAACCCAAACTTTTCTCTCCAAAAAGTATGCATGTCATTTAAAATTAATTATTTTGATTTGAATCTTGCCTGACAACTATTTAATTTATTGTAACTATACTTGGAGTCAAAAACCAACATCAGGAGACAGTGATGTAGATTAATTCCAAATTAAATTGGTAGTCAAAAAAACTTAGGAGGAATTCAGTAAAAGGAAATATAAATGTGCATGTTCTCTACATGTGGCTTAAGTAATTACTTAATAATTACCACATTCTTGCTCCTCAGTATCTCTTCCCTTGTTCCCCCTACACCTAGCAAATTATTTGACTCATCCAGTCATTGGAAATACTGAGTTCGAATCAAAATGCTGGAGTGAGAAGGAATGTTACACGTAGTGCAGCCTCTCCATGTAGACATGAAAAAACTGAGGTCCAGAATTTGTGCCTTATCCAAAGTCACAGGTTTATGTGGTGATACTCTTCCTCTCCTAGAGCCTTTAATTATAATTATTACTATTATTATCATCAACAGTTTAGCTTTTCTCTGCCATCTGAGAAGATGAACTAACGAATGGCTAAAGTTAGAAGTTTAGAATGGAAATAAGGTCTGACTCTTGAAATCCTTCCAGCATCTTTTTCTTTAGCAACTCTGTTCCACAGGCAGTGGGAGAAAAAAAAAAAATTAAGGGTAAGAATAAAAGACTGAAGGAGACAGCTAGCTAAGAACAGTTCAGAAAATTAGACAAATATTTTGGCCACATTAAACTTTAGTTTTCCCAAACTTTCTGAAATGTAAATATCTTTTCTTTTTTTATATTTTGAAGACTCTTCTCCAAAATTTTGATAAATGGCTTTTTATAATAACTTAACCAATCTTTAGAGAATTCCATATTTTCAGACTTTCACAAAATCAGGTTTTGGAATCTGTAGAGGCTACAGACCCTATATATGGTTTGATTCGGTTTTATATTACAACACAGCTTATGCTACTGTCTAAAATGTTGAATAAATCAAAGTATTTATGTACTAAAGATATTTAACCTACACTTATATTTTTCTTGCAGATTTATGAAGGTACTTCACAAATTCAAAGACTTATTGTAGCCCGTGAACACATTGACAAGTACAAAAATTAAAAAAATTACTGTAGAAATATTGAATAACTAGAACACAAGCCACTGTTTCAGCTCCAGAAAAAAGAAAGGGCTTTAACGTTTTTTCCAGTGAAAACAAATCCTCTTATATTAAATCTAAGCAACTGCTTATTATAGTAGTTTATACTTTTGCTTAACTCTGTTATGTCTCTTAAGCAGGTTTGGTTTTTATTAAAATGATGTGTTTTCTTTAGTACCACTTTACTTGAATTACATTAACCTAGAAAACTACATAGGTTATTTTGATCTCTTAAGATTAATGTAGCAGAAATTTCTTGGAATTTTATTTTTGTAATGACAGAAAAGTGGGCTTAGAAAGTATTCAAGATGTTACAAAATTTACATTTAGAAAATATTGTAGTATTTGAATACTGTCAACTTGACAGTAACTTTGTAGACTTAATGGTATTATTAAAGTTCTTTTTATTGCAGTTTGGAAAGCATTTGTGAAACTTTCTGTTTGGCACAGAAACAGTCAAAATTTTGACATTCATATTCTCCTATTTTACAGCTACAAGAACTTTCTTGAAAATCTTATTTAATTCTGAGCCCATATTTCACTTACCTTATTTAAAATAAATCAATAAAGCTTGCCTTAAATTATTTTTATATGACTGTTGGTCTCTAGGTAGCCTTTGGTCTATTGTACACAATCTCATTTCATATGTTTGCATTTTGGCAAAGAACTTAATAAAATTGTTCAGTGCTTATTATCATATCTTTCTGTATTTTTTCCAGGAAATTTCATTACTTCGTGTAATAGTGTATATTTCTTGTATTTACTATGATGAAAAAAGGTCGTTTTAATTTTGAATTGAATAAAGTTACCTGTTCATTTTTTATTAGATATTTTAAAGACTTCAGAAAATATAAATATGAAATAATTTAAGAACCCAAATCTCTGAATTTAATATTTCTTTGTAATTCTAAATATCGAATACTGCTAAACTGTGTTATACTAAATGGAGTGCTTTCTGACATCACATCTCATTCTCTAGTTCTTTGACATCAACTGTGTCCTACATTTTAATTCTGTTCTGACACTATGCAGCAGAGTTAGGGTCAACCCCATAAGGCTGCCCTCACTTCAGAGGCCAGTCACAAGTCCTGACTCCCCAAGCTACCCATACTCTGTCCAACATGGCTACAAATTCAGGTATTCCCATGACCCTGCCCTCAGGGTCGATAATTTGCCAGAATAGCTCACAGAACTCAGGAAAACACTTAACTTACATTTACCTGTTTATATCAGAAAGGGTACAACTAGGAACAATTAATGAAGAGGTGCATAGGGAAAGGTATGGAGGGAGAAGGGAGGTGCAGAGCTTCCATGCCTTCTTCCAGCATATTACCTTCCCTGCATGTCTCTGTATTCCTCAACGTGGAAGCTCCCCAGCTCAAATTCAATAGTTTCCATGGAGCTCAATCTCCAGTCCTCCACTCCTCCCCAGAGGACCAAGGTGAAAGCTGGAAGCTCCCAACTGTATTAGTCTCCTAGGGCTGTCATAAAAAATACACTGGAGACTTGGTAGCTTAAATAAATTTATTTTCTCACAGTTCTGGAAGCTAGAATTTCAAGATCAAGGTGCCATTTGGGTTGTTTCTAGTGAGGCCTCTCTTCCTGCCTTATAGACTGCCACCTTCTGTGTCCTTACATGTCCTCTTCTCTGTGCATCATGAAGGGTTGGGTTAGGGGGAGCTCTTGTGTCTTTTTCTCCTCTTCTAAGGACACTAGCCCTGTGAGATTAGAGTCCTATCCTCATGACCTTAATTAACTCCCTAAAAGATCCTATCTTCAAGTACAGTCACATTGGGAGTTAAGGCTTCAACATAGGAATTTTGGAGGGACACAACTCAGTCCATAACATCACCCTCTAATTACTTAGTCCTTCTGGTGACCAGATTCCTCCTGAGATTATCTAGGGGCCCCACCCTAAGTCATCTCATGCCAAATTCAGGTATGATTGAAAAGGTTTATAAGGAATAACAGAAGATAACTCCAAGAACTCAAGAAATTCCAAGGGTTTTAGGAGCTCTGTGCCAGGAACAAAGACCTGGGAACAAAGACCAAATAAATTTCTTATACCACATTAAATTACCAAAATAATCGAATTTCTTACAAATATAAAATATTTAAATGACATTTCCTTCATGCTCAATGATGAAATTTTATTTAAATGATACAACTTGAGATTGGTAAGGAGATTTAGAGAATTCTTAATTGGGTATTATGTAGAAATGAGAAGTTAAATAGAATGTATATATTTCAAATGCAAATTTGAATTTGCAGTACAGAGGCCCAACCATTTCTAAACATAAAGCTTCTAGACATGGGCTGGGCATGGTGGCTCGTGCCTATAATCCCAACACTTTGGGAGGTTCTGAGGTGGGAGGATCACTGAGGGCAGGAATTTGAGGCTTCAGTGAACTGTGATGGCACCATTTATACTCCATCCTGGGTGACAGAGTGAGACCCTAAAAAGAAAAAAAAGGTCCAGGCAAGGTGGCTCATGCCTGTAATCCCAGCACTTTGGGATGCCGAGGCGGGCAGATCACAAGGTCAGGAGTTTGAGACCAGCCTGGCCAACATAATGAAACCCGGTCTCTACTAAAAATACAAAAAATTAGCCGGGCGTGGTGGTGAGCACCTGTAATTCGAGCTACTTAGGAGGTGAGGCAGGAGAAACGCTTGAACCCGGGAGGCCGAGGTTGCAGTGAGCTGAGATTATGCCATTGCACTCCAGCCTGGGCAACAGGAGCGAAACTCCATCAAAAAAAAGGAAAGAGAGAAGGGAGGAAGGAAGGGAGGGAGGGAGGAAGGAAGGGAGGGAAAAGAAAAGGTTTCTATACCAGATATAAATGTACTCCAAAAGAAGGGAGGGAGGGAGGGAGGAAGGAAGGAAGGAAAGAGAAAAGAAAAGGTTTCTATACAAGATATAAATGTACTCCAAAGCCTTATGATGAGAATATTATAGAATCCTTGCTAATAAATATTAAGCACTTATGTAATTTTGCATCAGTTAAGCCTTTTTAGTCACAAGTAAATGAATTTAAGCTTCTTTAAGCAAATATGTATTTTAAGTATGTGGAAATGACTCATAGGTCTGAAAGGGAGGAATGAAGTCAGTCTCAGGAAGGGACTAAAACTAGAATAGTCAGTCCTCAGGAATCCATGAAATATATATAGTCTTTTGCTAACTCTCTACTTCTGTCATTTTATTCATTGTTGCTCTATAGTCTAACTTTCTCTGCTTCTTTGATCCCACAATAGAATCAGACTTCACGGTAGCATATTTATATTTTGGATTGACCACCACATTTATAAGCTTGCTGACTAGGGCCATTACAAGAAGGAGGGTAGGTACAGTCATGGACTACAAACATGACTATTAGTTGCCCCCATCAGTGAATTGATGGTTCCTAGAGAAAGCACAGTTTTACATGTGATCTAGTAGGTTTACCAGAATTTTAATGAATGTTTAAGGAATCTACCAGAGTCATCAATTTGCATAGAGGGAGAAGAATTATTCAGTGACTCCTCTGGATTAAAAAAAAAATGGTTGTTGATATGGCTTCTAGAATTACAGCCATTAATTTGAATATATTATCAAATAGTACAAAGGGTCTTTGGAGATTAAAGATTAAATTCCACAGGCAACAGTGTTTTTTCTTTTCTTAATATGTGAAAGACTGTATTTAACTCATTGGATGAGGGAACTAGTACAAAGTTAAAACTGGTATAAGGGAGAATTTAAAGAGCAGATAGAGGCAGTAATAAATGCTTAAAAGAATTTGCTAGGCTGGGCGTGGTGGCTCACGCCTGTAATTCCAGCACTTTGGGAGGCCAAGGCGGGCAGATCACCTGAGATGGGGAGTTCGAAACCAGCCTGACCAACATGGAGAAACCCTGTCTCTACTAAAAATACAAAATTAGCTAGGCATGGTGGCACATGCCTGCAATCCCAGCTACTCGGGAGGCTGAGGCAGGAGAATCACTTGAACCTGGGAGGCAGAGGTTGCAGTGAGCTGAGATCGTGCCATTGCACTCCAGCCTGGGCAACAAGAGTGAAACTCTGTCTAAAAAAAAAAAAAAAAAAAAGAATTTGCTAGTAGATTGACCATATCCTATAGGGCAGGGGTCCCCAACCCCCAGGCCACAAACCAGTAGCAGTCTCTGGGCCATTAGGAACTGTGCTGCACAGCAGGAGGTGTGTGTTGGGCGAGCAAGCATTACTGCCTGAGCTCCACCTCCTGTCAAATCAGTGGCAACATTAGATTCTCATAGGAGCACGAACCCTATTGTGAACTGCACACATGAGGGATCTAGGTTTCGTGCTCCTATGAGAATCTAATGCCTAATGATCTGAGAACATTTTTATCCCCAAACCATCTCCCCTTGCACCCCCCACTGTGTCTGTGGAAAAATTATCTTCCACAAAACCGGTCCCTGGTGCCAAAAAGGTTGGGGATCACTGGTATAGGGCAATAAACCTAATGGGACCATCTTTTCTACAGAGCAGAAATTAGTTGTAGTTAAGGTTCAGTTGCA
The DNA here is from genome assembly GCF_000001405.40 of Homo sapiens. Classification (NCBI taxonomy): domain Eukaryota; kingdom Metazoa; phylum Chordata; class Mammalia; order Primates; family Hominidae; genus Homo; species Homo sapiens. Next base: position 75,767,331 of record NC_000001.11, read on the forward strand.
TTACTTTCCTTTTTTTTTTTTTTTTTTTTTACAATTTAACATCTACATTTACAATTGTATAACAGTCTGTCCAATAAAAAGACAATGGTACATATCCCATCAGATAATATGCAGAGGATCCATTAGATAGTACCTAGCACACCACTAAAGGGACGCCCAATAATTTATTGTATCCTTTTTCAAGGCTTTGACAGTGTTTCTTAACAGTCTCTTACTTTTCATCAAAAGGAATCTGCCACAAGTATTCCTGATCAGTAAAAAGCAAATTTCATTAGGTTTATGTGGATTATTTGCCTAGGTACAGCAAGAGTGTTCGTTAGTCATGTAGATCTCCTCAAATTTACTTTGCAAATCCAGAACCATACAGTACTGAACAAATTACTAAGGCCACAGGATTAACTTCTGTCTGAAATTTTTCATCAGAGACCTCAAATCGGACTTTTAAAAGCTTCTATAGCTTGACATCCCAAGGCTGGGGAATCAAATCCAAGAAACTCTCCACTAGATTTCTCCTGTAGTACCTAAGAGCTTGGGTGAATCTCTCTCCTTAACATCTTCAGAATTTGCTAGGGTTCCTGGCCTGCCGAGCATTGCTCTTCCTTACCACTTACAAACATTTAAGCCAGGCACTTTTCCAGTGTTATTGAGACAGCTTTGTAGGTATTGACTCTACATATAAAGTCAACTTGTTTTTAATAACGGGCTTCTCATAACTGATTAAATTAGAATTATTTTCAAAAAGGACACTCTAGGTATGGCCCTCATGACCTAATCAGTTATCCTGGTAAAAAGGAGGTCAGATTCCTTTTGAATACTGCTGTGAAATAAAAGGAAATTCAGCACATTCCTGAATTCTGAGGGCTTAGGATCACATGCCATTTAAAAATGTCAGAGCTGGGCCCTGTGGTTTATACCTGTAACCCCAGCACTTTGGGAGACTGAGGTGGGAGGATTGCTTAAGCCCAGGAGTTCAAGACTAGCCTGGGCAAGATGGTGAGACCTCATCTCTACAAAAAATTAGAAAATTAGCTAGGTGTGGAGATGCACATCTGTGGTCCCAGCTACACAGGGGGCTGAGTCAGGAAGATCCCTTGCGCCTAGGAGGCTGAGGCTGCAATGATCCATGTTCAAACCACTACACTCCAGCCTGGGTGACAGAGCAAGACCTTGTTGCAAAAAAAAAAAAAAGAAAATTTCAGTTTACAAAAGCGGAGTACACTAAATTGGAGTCAATAGCTTATGAAGAATTTTAAAGGGCTTCCTCATATACCATAAAAATAGAACACTACATCAACAATATTCCAATAAATAAATAACCATGATTAAACTTCTCTCATCAGTTCATTCAGTCCTGTGTAATTATGCTGCTGGAAATTGGGTTGGTGGACTGCTTTCATGAATCAGTCTGTTTCCAGAAGAGAGTCCTAGAAATGCAGACTCAGTTCACTGCTATGGCTTGAAAGTTGTCTAAGCTATGTCTGCTCAGAAGCCTGTACCCATGACTCTATTTTTTGAAGAATTTATCAGTAGTCCAAAGCACCTGGTTCTTTCCATGAGGCTCTAAGACTGCCCTTTCTTGAAAACACAAATTTGGCTTCTAGTTTATAGCAGAGCCCTTGAGCAAGCATCAGAGTAGCACAGAAACTCTGTGTACATGGCCAAAGCTAAATGGTGTTTGATAAGGTTTGGCTCTGTGTCCCCGCCCAAATCTCATCTTGAATTGTAATCCTGGGGGTGATTTCCCCCATGATAGTCTCATGATAGTGAGTTCCCACAAGATCTGACAGTTTTATAAGGGGCTCTTCCCCCTTCGCTTTCTTCTCTTTCCTGCCACCATGTGAAGAAGGTCTTGTTTCCCCTTCACCTTCCAACATCATTGAAAGTCTCCTGAGGCCTCCCCAGCCGTGGAACTGTGAGTCAATTAAGCCTCTTTCCTTTATAAATTACCCAGTCTCAGGTATTTCTTTATAGCTGTGTGAAAATGGACTAATACAGTGTTAATTTATTCAATATCAGAAAGAAAGAATACAATTCTTTGTTATAGCATAGCTGCTACATTTCTTTGAAGGGGGATCATTTTTATTTGAATAAATGTAATAGAATATTCAGTGAAAAGTAATCCTTTCTTAAAGGATTGGGTGGTAGACAGAATTTAAGAAAGGATTACTTTTCACTGAATACTTTTCTGTTAGGCAGCTGCTTTTTGAAATTCTGTGCATTCACAGATATATATTTTTTCCTTTGTTTCCCACATAAATAGCATACTATATGGTTTGTTGCTTTCTTTTTATGTCTGTTTTCACTTGGTATATTTTTAAGACCTTTCCATATGTGTAGAGCTTCTTCATTCTCTTTAATAGCTGTATAATGAATATACCATAGTTTATTTAACCTTTTGATGGTCAATTAACTTTGTTTGTTTGTTTGTTTGTTTGATTTTTGAGATGCAGTCTTGCTCTGTCACCCAGGCTGAAGTGCAGTGGTGTGATCTCGGATCTCAGCTCACTGCAACCTCTGCCTCCTGAGTTCACCCTATTCTCCTGTCTCAGCCTCTCGAGTAGCCGGGATTATAAGCATGTACCACCATGCCCAGCTAATTTTTGTATTTTTTTAGTAGATACGGGGTTTTGCCATGTTGGTCAGACTGGTCTCAAACTCCTGACCTCAGGTGATCTGCCTGCCTCAGCCTCCCAAAGTGCTGGGATTACAGGCATGAGCCACTGGGCCCGACCAATTAAAATTTTTTAAATCTTTTGCTATTACAAAGACTGCTCCTGTGGTTATTCTTGCACATAAGTCACTTCACAACCAAGGGGGTATATTCGTAGGATAAATACCTAGGAATAGAATTTTCAAATGTAGTTCAAGAATTGGGCTGGGGGCGGTGGCTCACATTTGTAATTCCAGCACTTTGGGAGGCTGAGGCGGGAGGATGGAGGATTGCTTGGACGCAGGAGTTTAAGACCAGCCTGGGCAACACAGGGAGACCCTGCTTCTTAAAAAAAAAAAAAAAATAGCTGGGCATGTTGAGGCACACCTTTGGTCCCAGCTACTCTGGAGACTGAGCTGAGAGGATGATCTCTTGAGCCCAGGAGGATGAGTCTGCAGTGAGTCCTGATCCCACTACTGCATTCCAGCCTGGAGAACAGAGTGAGACCCTGTCTCAAAAATAATAATAATAAAAATTAAAAATGAATTGTTAGAATATATACTTCCTACATATATTTCTATTTTGCTTACCACTGTACCCCCAGAACTTAGAATAATATTGGCGTATTCTAGGCATTCAATACATACTAGTTGAATGAATTTATACAGCAGGAAGTTAGGTTTGTTTTTCATTCCTTCGGTAGTTATTAACAATCTGAATAATGTTACTTTTTGGGTCTGATGCTTATATGATTCTTATTTCAAGCATTGCCTTTCCCAGGATATCAGATCAATCCCTGTCTCCCTCTGTTGTCCCCTCTACCACAACTCTCTCCCATCTGATTTACAGGCACCTTTTCCATAGCATACTAAGCTTGCCTTTGTCAGAGAATTTGTCACAGATTATTTACCAACTGTCTTTCCCACTAGGCTCCTTCAGGGCAGATGCATTTCTTAGAGGGCCAGCTACATAGCACATGCTTAATACTTACTGCTTATGTTTATGTAATGTAAATTCAGACGATTATCACTCTCTGGCTCTTGTCAGAGCAAATGCAAATGTTCTCCAGAGAAAAACACCTTCCAATTAGGCCTTAATATGAGCTGACAACCAAAAATCTTCAAAATAAATAAAGAACCAATCAGCATGAAAAAAAGTCAACTGAAAATTAAAAGTAACACATTTGGGACCTTGATATGGTTTGGATCTTTGTCCCTACCCAAATCTCATGTTCAACTGTAATCCCAGTGTTGGAGGTGGGGCCTGGTGGGAGGTGATTGGATCATGGGAATGGTTTCTAATGGTTTAACACCATCCCCCCGAACACTGTCCTTGTGATAATGAGTGAGTTTTCGCATGAGATCTGGTTGTTTAAAATTGTGTGGTGCTTCCACCCCACACCTTTTCCTCCTGCTCTGGCCATGTAAGACTTGCCTGCTTCCCCTTCACCTTCTGCCGTGATTGTAAGTTTTCTGAGGCCTCTCCAGCTGTGCTTCCTACATAGCTTGCCAAACCATGAGCCAATTAAACCTATTTTCTTTATCAGTTATCCAGTCTAAGGTATTTCTTTATATCAATGAGACAACAGACTAACACAGACCTCAAGACTCCAGATATTAGAATGATCAGATAAACAGTACAGTTGGCCATACTCTGTTTCCGTGGGTTCAGCATCTGTGGATTCAACCAACCTCAGATGAGAAATACTCAGGGGAAAAAAAAATTCCACAAAGTTCCAAAAAGCAAAACTTGAATTTGCCACATGCAAGTAGTACCTTGAATCCACACAAATAGAGTGATATGTAGGCATCTTATTAGATATTATAAGTAATCTAGAAATGATTTAAAGTATATGGGAGAATGTGCATAAGTTATATGCAAATACTATCCTGTTTTATACAAAGGACTTGAGCATCCTTGGAGTTTGGTATCTGCAGGGGTTCCTGGAACCAGTACCCCCTGCAGATACCAAGAGAAAACTGTATACAGTAACTCAACGTGAAAGATGTAAAGAAATTCGAAAAATCACACAATGGAAAACAATAGGAATCTATAAAAACAAAAAGGTAGATCTGAAAAATAATCAAATGGAATCTGAAATAGTATTTCTCAAGTTTTAACATGCATAGGAATCCTTGGGGAGCTTACCAAAATGCAGAATGCGATTTGGTAGGTCTAGGATGTGACTCAGACTCTGCCTTTATAATAGCTCTCAGAGTGATTTTGATGCTGCTAGCCCATGGATTTTAAGTAGGAAAAGAATACTAGCTTATAGATAGGAATAAATTATCCAGGATGCATCACAGGAAGACAAAAAGGTGAAAAATACAAGAGGTTAAGAAATGAGAAGGATGCAACAACAAAGTGTAACATGTCAGTCAGGTTCAGTGGCTCACTCCTGTAATCCCATCACTTTGGGAGGCTGAGGCAGGCAGATGACTTGAGGTCAGGAGTTCGAGACCAGCCTGGCCAACATGGTGAAACCCTGTCTCTACTGAAAATACCAAAAAATTAGCCAGGCGTGGTGGTGCATGCCTGTAATCCCAGCTATTCAGGAGGCTGAGGCAGGAGAATCACTTGAACACATGAGGTGGAGGTTGCAGTGAGCCGAGATCGCACCACTGCACTCCAGCCTGGGCGACAGAGAGACTCCATCTCAAAAAAAAAAAAAAAAAAAAAAAAAAAGGAAGTCTAACGTGTCAACTAAAGTCCCAGAAAGGGAGAATGTTAAAAGAGAGAAGGCCCACTCTACATTTGCAGGACCTGGAGCAAACTCGCAAGTGCACACCCACATACCATATAAGATACATTTAACAGTTAAAAGTTAATACCCAAGCTAATCCACAGTTAAATAAAATATGCTCTGGGTGGGGCATGGTGGCTCACATCTGTAATCCCAACACTTTGGGAGGCCAAGGTGGGTGGATTGCTTGAGGCTAGGAATTCGAAAACAGCCCGGGCAACATACTGAGATCCCCTGTCTCTACAAAACAAACACACACGCAAATTAGCCAGGCATGGTGGCACATACCTGTAGTCCTAGCTACTTGGGAGGCTGAGGTGGGAGGATCACTTGAGCCTGTGAGGTAGAGGCTGCAGTGAGCTGTGATCGCACCACTGCACTCCAGCTTTGGAAACAGAGCAAGACCCTGTTTAAAAAAAAAAAAAAAGGGCTGGGTGCAGTGGCTCATGCCTGTAATCGCAGCAGGTTGGGAGGCCAAGGTGGGCATATCACAAGGTCAGGAGTTCGAGACCAACCTGGCCAACATGGTGAAACCCTGTCTCTACTAAAAATACGAAAATACAAAAATTAGCCAGGCGTGGTGGCAGGCACCTGTAGTCCCAGCTACTCAGGAGGCTGAGGCAAGAGAATCACTTGAACCTGGGAGGGGGAAGTTGCAGTGAACCGAGATAGTGCCATTGCACTCCAGCCTGGGCAACAAGAGCAAGACTCTGTCTCAAAAAAAAAAAAAAAAAAAAAAGAAGAAGAAAAAAAATGTTCTGGCAAGGCACAGTGACTCAGGCCTGTAATTCCAGCACTTTGGGAGGCCAAGAAGAGAGGATTGCTTGCATCTAGGAGTTCAAGATCAGCCTGGGCAACATAGTAAAACCCCATGTCTACAAAAAATAAAAAATTAGCTGGACATGCTGGCATGCACCTGTATTCTCAGCTACTTAGGGGGCTGAGGTGGGAGGATCACTTGAGCCCAAAAGGTCCAGGCTGCATTGAGTGGTGATTGTGCCATTGTACTCAGCCTGGGGACAGAGTGAGACCCTGTCTCAAAAGTCTATCTATCTGTCTATCTATCTATCTCTATATTCTGTCCTCCAGTTTTCATAATTATACCTTGATGACAACCCAGAATGCCAGGTTCAAATTTAGCCAGCTTGAACTTCTTAGAGTCATGTGCTAGAAAATTACAGATTAGGAAAAGATATCTCTTGGCCTGTTCCTTTCCTTATACCACTTCAGGGTCTTGCATCACAGTGCATTTTGTACCTATGCTTGTGGACATCCTAACCTAGACATCCAAGCTCCCTTCATACCCTGCTTACATCAATGCCTGGGCAACTCCTTGGGACATGTGGTGCACATACCAGCAAATGATCTGCCCTTTAAGGGAAGGACCCAGGGAAGATACCCAAGTCGAATTTGGAAGGGGTGTATGGGGCCATTTGGGTAGAAAAAGGCAGGGAGGGTGACCTGAAATACCATCTAATGGTGGCGAGGCTGATTCTGGGTGGGCATGTCCACTTGATTCCAGGGACTCCTTGCTGCATGTAAAGGTATGTGGCTATAGGAGGACCAGAGCAGGACCTGCCCTCTAAACATGGGCCACCAATCCACCTTACCTGTGTCTAGGAATGGTATTGTAATAGATCATGCTAGAAAATTTTTAGGAGTGATACATTCTCAAATACAGGAAGTTCATCAAATACCAGGTAAAAGAAGTAAAAGTAAATCCACAATTAGAGGCATCTTCATGAAACTGCACAAAACAGAAGACCAAGGAAAGATCTTAAAAGCAGCAAAAGAGAATTACCCACAAAGTAACAATTAGATTGACAAATTGACAGATATCTTCTCTTTTTCCTTTTTATGTGTGTCTTAAAAAAAAAAAAAATATATATATATATATATATATATATATATATATATATATATAGTTAACAGTCCTGTGTGTGGAGGGTTGACTTTCAGTAGATCACAGCGAGGGAGCTGCTCTGCTCCAGAAGCAGTTCCTCCAAGAATGGTTTAGCACCAGGGACCACACAAATGAGCATTGCCTTATGGGCAAGTGGGCTGTGATATGGTTGGCTTTCTGTCCCCACCCAAATCTCATCTTGAATTATAATATCCAGGTGTTCAGGGAGAGACCTGGTAGGAACTGATTGGATTAAAGAGGTGGTTTTCCTCATGTTGTTCTGATAGTGAGTTGTCACGATATCTGATGATTTTATAAGTGTTTGACATTTCCTCCTACACAACACTCTTCTCTCTCCTGCTGCCTCGTGAAGAAGATGCCTACTTCCCCTTCATCTTCTGCCATGATTGTAAGTTTCCTGAGGCCTCCTAGGCATGCAGAACTGTGAGTCAATTGGACTTATTTCCTTTATAAATTGCCCAGTCTCAGGTACTTTTTTTGTTTTTGTTTTTGTTTTGAGACAGAGTCTCACTGTGTCACCCAGGCTGGAGTGCAGTGGTGTGAGCTCAGATCACTGCAACCTCGACTTCCTGGTTTCAAGCGATTCACCTGCCTCAGCCTCCCTGGTAGCTGGGATTACAGGCACCCGCCACCATGCCTGGCTAATTTTTGTATTTTTAGTAGAGACAAGGTTTCACCATGTTGGCCAGGCTGGTCTTGAACTCCTAACCTCAAGTGATCTGCCCTCCTTCCCAAAGTGGTGGGATTACAGGTTTGAGCCACCGTACCCAGTCTAGAATCTTTAACCCACAAAGTTCTTTGAAGAGTCATCTGTGTGAAATAAAGCCATTTTCAGATAAACAAACTAACAGTTTTCTACCAACAGAAAATCTAGTGAAGTAAAATCATTAAGGAAGAGAAGATCTCTCCAGAAGGACAGTGTGCTATGCAAAAGGAAAGCGTGCTATGCAAAAGGAAATAGTTAAATGAATTGTAACTATTGGGTAAAAAGTTTGCCTATATTAGGCTGGGCGCAGTGGCTCATGCCTGTAATCCCAGCACCTTGGGAGGCCAATGTGGGCGGATCACAAGGTCAGGAGATTGAGACCATCCTGGCTAACACAGTGAAACCCCGTCTCTACTAAAAATAAAAAAAATCATCTGGGCGTGGTGGCGGGCTCCTGTACTCCCAGCTACTCTGGAGGCTGAGACAGGAGAATGGCATGAACCCAGGAGGTGGAGCTTGCAGTGAGCCGAGATCACACCACTGCAATCCAGCCTGGGTGACAGAGCAAGACTCTGTCTCAAAACAAACAAACAAATAAAAATTGCCTATATTAGATGATGATAAGATAGTATTTATGAAGTTAACAAAAAAACATAACTAAAATATGAGAACAAGTCCAAGGAGGTTGAAACATTTGAAATGTCCTAAGGTTCTTGTACTGTTGGGAGAGAGGGTTAGGATATTAACTATACACATTTTTAATTATGCAAAGTAAATTTCAAAATAGCCACTAAATTATTGGAATTCATAACTTCTAAACCAGAAGAAAAGAAAAAATAGAATAAGAAAAAATTAAGACACTTTTTTTTAAAGGCAAGAAAGGCCAAAACAATAAAAAACCATAGGAAAAGTGGAACAGATAGGAAGAAAAAATTTGGATGATAGAAACAAGCCCAAAATAAACAAATAATTACATGTAAATGAACTGAGGTTACTGGTTAATGATAGACCAAAAAGTCAGCCATATTTCATTTACAAGACACACTAAAACATAAGAGCACAGAAAGGTTAAAGATAAAAAGTTGAAAAAAAACTCTTAGAGGTAACTATTAACTAAAATAAATTTGTGGAAATTAACATTTAACAAAGACTTTTCAAGATAAAATGCCTTATTAGGGCTAGATATGGTCATCATTTAATGATAAAAGGGTACGCCTTGGACAATAGCTGTCTGTTGCCTATAATCCCAGCACTTTGGGAGGCTGAGGTTGGAGGATCTCTTGAACCCAGGAGTTCAAGAGCAGCCTGGGCAATAAGCGAGACCTTGTGCTTATAAATAATTAAAAAATTAGCTGGGGGTGGTGGTGCACTCCTGTGGTCACAGCTACTTGGAGGCTGAGGTGGGAGAATCTCTTGAGCCCAGGCAGTTGAGCCTGCAGCTAGCGGAGATCCAGCCTGTGTGACAGAGCAAGACCCCATTAAAAAAAAAAAAGAAATTGGCCAGGCATGGTGGTGCATCATGCTGTAGTCCCAGCTACTAAGGAGGCTGACATGGGAGAATCACTTGAGCCCAGGAGTTCCAGGTTACAATGAGCTATCATCCGGCCACTGCTCGCTAGCCTGAGTGACAGAGCAAACCCTGTTTCCTTTCCCTTTTTTTTAATTCCCTACAAATGAACAATAACAAAACAAAAGGCTCAACTCAACAGAACTAGATAATTTTAAATTTACATGCAGGCCAGTGTGGTAATGGCCTGTAATCCCAACACTTTAGGAGGCCGAGGCAGGAGAATTGCTTGAGTCCAGGTGTTGGAGACCACCCTGGCCAACATAGCAAGACCTCATCTCTAAAAAAGAAAAAAGTAAAAACAAACAAACAAAAAAAACTTAAACACATTTAATAAAGTATCCCAAACTATAAATGGGAAAAATGAACAGAATTACAGGAAGAAATGAAGAAATCCATCATCATAGTACATTTAATACTGTTTCTCCCTCTCAATTATTGATAGCCAACACGTGTCAGTATGTCAGGAATACTTCTCCAAATCCTTACTTAAAGCAATCAATTTTAAGAGCACAAGGTGCCAATATTTTCTAATGAGTGTTCAAAAATGCTGGTGCAGTATGAAAGACAATGCACAAACCAAAACAGCTGTAGTACACACAGCATATCCGAATTCTGTGGAAAGCTAGTAAAAGGCATACAGGCGTTTCTTTTTTGAAAGTAACTTCCAGCCGTTCCAAGACAGCCGAATAGGAATAGCTCTGGTCTGCATCTCCCAGTGTGATCCATGCAGAAGACGGGTGATTTCTGCATTTCCAACTGAGGTACATGGTTCATCTGAGTGGGACTGCTTGGACAGTGGGTGCAGCCCATGGAGGGTGAGCTGAAGCAAGGTGGGTGGGGCATCGCCTCACCAAGGAAGCGCAAGGGGTTGGGGGATTTCCCTTTCCTAGCAAAGGGAAGCTGTGACAGACTGCACCTGGAAAAATGGGACACTCCCACCCAAATACCAGGCTTTTCCAATGGTCTTAGCAAACAGCACATCAGGAGATTATATCCCGTGCCTGGCTTGGCAGGTCCCATGCCCATGGAGCCTTGCTCACTGCTAGTGCAGCAGCCTGAGATGAACCTGAGAGGCAGCAGCCTGGCAGGGGAAAGGGCATCTGCCATTGCTGAGGCTTGAGTAGGTAAACAAAGCGGCCTAAAAAGCTCGAACTGGACGGAGCCCACTGCAGCTCAGCAAGGCCTGCTGCCTTTGTAGACTCCACCTCTGAGGGCAGGGCATAGCTGAACAAAAGGCAGCAGAAACTTCTGCAGACTTAAACATCCCTGTCTGACAGCTCTGAAGAGAGCAGTGGTTCTCACAGCACGGAGTTTGAGCTCTGAGAATGGACAGACTGCCTCCTCAAGCAGGTCCCTGACCCCCGTGTAGCCTAACTGGGAGAGACCTCCCAGTAGGGGCTGACTGACACCTCATATAGGTGGGTATCCCTCTGGGATGAAGCTTCCACAGGAAGGATCAGGCAGTAATATTTGCTGTTCTGCAATATTTGCGGTTCTGCAGCCTCCGCTGGTGATACCCAGGAAAACAGAGTCTGGAGTGGACCTCCAGCAAACTCCAACAGACCTGCAGCTGAGGGACCTGACTGTTAGAAGGAAAACTAACAAACAGAAAGGAATAGCATCAACATCAACAAAAAGGACATACACACCAAAACCCCATCTGTAGGTCACCAACATCAAAGACCAAAGGTAGATAAAACCACAAAGATGGGGAGAAACCAGAGCAGAAAATCTGAAAATTCTAAAAATCAGAGCGTCTCTTTTCTGAAGGATCACAGCTCCTTGCCAGCAACAGAACAAAGTTGGATGGAGAATGACTTTCACAAGCTGACAGAAGTAGGCTTCAGAAGGTTGGGAATAACAAACTTCTCTGAACTAAAAGAGGATGTTTGAACCCATCAGAAGGAAGCTAAAAACCTTGAAAAAAGATTAGACAAATGACTAACTAAAATAAACAGTGTAGAGAAGACCTTAAATGACCTGATGGAGCTGAAAACCATGCCACGAGAACTATGTGAGGCATGCACAAACTTAAATAGCCGATTCGATCAAGTGGAAGAAAGCGTATTAGTGATTGAAGATCAAATTAATGAAATAAAGCGAGAAAAGAAGTTTAGAGAAAAAAGAGTAAAAAGAAACAAACAAAGCCTCCAAGAAATATGGGACTATGTGAAAAGACCAAATCTACGTTTGATTAGTATACCTGAAAATCACGGGGAGAATGGAACCAAGTTGGAAAACACTCTTCAGGATATTATCCAGGAGAACTTCCCCAACCTAGCAAGGCAGGCCAACATTCAAATTCAGGAAATACAGAGAACACCAGAAGGATACTCCTCAAGAAGAGCAACTCCAAAACACATAATTGTCAGATTCACCAAGGTTGAAATGAAGGAAAAAATGTTAAGGGCAACCAGAGAGAAAGGTCAGGTTACCCACAAAGGGAAGCCCATCAGACTAACAGTGGATCTCCCAGCAGAAACTCTACAAGCCAGAAGAGAGTGGGGGCCAATATTCAACATTCTTAAAGAAAAGAATTTTCAACCCAGAATTTCATATCCAGCCAAACTAAGCTTCATAAGTGAAGGAGAAATAAAATCCTTTACAGACAAGCAAATGCTGAGAGATTCTGTCACCACAAGGCCTGCCTTACAAGAGCTCCTGAAGAAAGCACTAAACATGGAAAGGAACAACCAGTACCAACCACTGCAAAAACCTGCCAAATTGTAAAGAACATCAATGCTAGGAAGAAACGGCATTAACTAACAGGCAAGATAAACAGCTAACATCATAATGACAGGATCAAATTCACACATAACAATATTAGCCTTAAACGTAAATAGGCTAAATGCCCCAATTAAAAGACACAGACTGGTAAATTGGATAAAGAGTCAAAACCCATCAGTGTGCTGTATTCAGGAGACCCATCTCACACATAGGCTCAAAATAAAGCGATGGAGGAAGATCTACCAAGCAAATGGAAAGCAAAAAAAAGCATGCGTTACAATCCTAGTCACTGATAAAACAGACTTTAAACCAACAGACATCAAGAGAGACAAAGAAGGCCATTCAATGGTAAAGGGATCTATTCAATAAGAAGAGCTAACTATCCTAAATATAAGTGCACCCAACACAGGAGCACCCAGATTCATAAAGCAAGTCTTTAAAGAACTACAAAGAGACTTAGACTCCCACACAATAATAATGGGAGACTTTAACACCCCATTGTAAACATTTAGACAGATCAACGAGACAGAAGGTTAACAAGGATATCCAGGACTTGAACTCAGCTCTGCACCAAGCAGACCTAATAGACATCTACAGAACTCTCCACCCCAAATCAACAGAATATACATTCTTCGCTGGTACCACATCACACTTATTCCAAAACTGACCACATAGTTGGAAGTAAAGCACTCGTCAGCAAATGTGAATGAACAGAAATCACAACAAACTGCCTCTCAGACCACAGTGCAATCAAATTAGAACTCAGGATTAAGAAACTCACTCAAAACCACACAACTACGTGGAAACTGAACATCCTGCTCCTGAATGACTACTAGGTAAATAACGAAATGAAGGCAGAAATAAAGATGTTCTTTGAAACCAATGAGAACAAAGACACAATGTACCAAATTCTCTGGGAAACATTTAAAGCAGTGTGTAGAGGGAAATTTATAGCACTAAATGCCCACAGGAGGAAGCAGGAAAGATCTAAAATCGACACCCTAATGTCACAATTAAAAGAACTAGAGAAGCAAGATCAAACACAGTCAAAAGCTAGCATAAGGCAAGAAATAACTAAGATCACAGCAGAACTGAAGGAGATAGAGACCCAAAACACCCTCCAAAAAAAATCGATGAATCCAGGAGCTGTTTTTTTGAAAACATCAACAAAATTGATAGACCACTAGCAAGACTAATAAAGAAGAAAAGAGAGAAGAATCAAATAGATGCAATTAAAAAAGATGAAGTGGATATCACCACCGATCCCACAAAAATACAAACTACCATCAGAGAATACTATAAACACCTCTACGCAAATAAACTAGAAAATCTAGAAGAAATGGATAAATTCCTGGACATATACAGCCTTCCAAGACTAAACCAGGAAGAAGTTGAATATCTGAATAGACCAATAACAGGCTCTGAAATTAAGGCAATAATTAACAGCCTACCAACCAAAAAAAGTCCAGGACCAGTTGGATTCACAGCCGAATTCTACCAGAGGTACAAAGAGGAGCTGGTGCCATTCCTTCTGAAACTATTCCAAACAATAGAAAAAGAAGGAATCCTCAACTGATTTTATGAGGGCAGCATCATCCTGATACCAAAGCCTGGCAGACACACAACAAAAAGAGAATTTTAGACCAATTTCCTTGATGAACATGGATGAAAAATCCTCAATAAAATACTGGCAAACCGAATCCAGCAACACATCAAAAAGGTTATCCACCACGATCTAATAGGCTTTATCCCTGGGATGCAAGTCTTGAATCAATAAATGTAATCCATCACATAAACAGAACCAAGGACATAAACTCATGATTATCTCAATAGATGCAGAAAAGGCCTTCGGCAAAATTCAACAGCCCTTCATGCTAAAAACTCTCAATAAACTAGGTATTGATGGAATGTATCTCAAAATAATAAGAGCTATCTATGACAAACCCACAGCCAATATCATACTGAATGGGCAAAAACTGGAAGCATTCCCTTTGAGAACTGGCACAAGACAGGGATGCCATCACTCACCACTCCTATTTAACATAGCGTTGGAAGTTCTGGCCAGGGCAATCAGGCAGGAGAAGGACATAAAGGGTATTCAATTAGGAAAAGAGGAAGTCAAATTGTCCCTGTTTGCAGATGACATGATTGTATATTTAGAAAACCCCATCGTCTCAGCCCAAAATCTCCTTAAGCTGATAAGCAACTTCAGCAAAGTCTCAGGATACAAAATCAATGTGCAAAAATCACAAGCATTCCTAAACACCAATAACAGACAAACAGAGAGCCAACTTATGAGTGAACTCCCATTCACAATTGCTTCAAAGAGAATAAAATACCTAGAATCCAACTTACAAGGGATGTGAAGGACCTCTTCAAGGAGAACCACAAACCACTGCTCAATGAAATAAAAGAGGATACAAACAAATGGAAGAACATTCCATGCTCATGGGTAGGAAGAATCAATATCATGAAAATGGCCATACTGCCCAAGGTAATTTATAGATTCAATGCCATCCCCATCAAGCTACTAATGACTTTCTTCACAGAACTGGAAAAAACTACTTTAAAGTTCATATGGAACCAAAAAAGAGCCCACATTGCCAAGTCAATCTTGAGCCAAAAGAACAAAGCTGCAGGCATCATGCTACCTGACTTCAAACTATACTACAAGGCTACGGTAACCAAAACAGCATGGTACTGGTACCAAAACAGAAATATAGACCAATGGAACAGAACAGAGCCCTCAGAAATAATGCCACATATCTACAACTATCTGATCTTTGACAAACCTGACAAAAACAAGCAATGGGGAAAGGATTCCCTATTTAATAAATGGTGCTAGGAAAACTGGCTAGATATATGTAGAAAGCTGAAAGTGGATCCCTTCCTTACACCTTATACAAAAATGAATTCAAGATGGATTAAAGACTTAAATGTTAGACCTAAAACCATAAAAACCCTAGAAGAAAACCTAGGTAATACTATTCAGGACATAGGCATGGGCAAGGACTTCATGTCTAAAACACCAAAAGCAATGGCAGCAAAAGCCAAAATTGACAAATGGGATCTAATTAAACTCAAGAGCTTCTGCACAGCAAAAGAAACTACCATCACAGTGAACAGGCAACCTACAGAATGGGACAAAATTTTTGCAACCTACTCGACAAAATGTTTGCAACCTACTCATCTGACAAAGGGCTAATATCCAGAATCTACAATGAACTCAAACAAATTTACAAGAAAAAAACAACCCCATCAAAAAGTGGGCAAAGGATATGAACAGACACTTCTCAAAAGAAGACATTTATGCAGCCAAAAAACACATGAAAAAATGCTCATCATCACTGGCCATCAGAGAAATGCAAATCAAAACCATAACGAGATACCATCTCACACCAGTTAGAATGGCAATCATTAAAAAGTCAGGAAACAACAGGTGCTGGAGAGGATGTGGAGAAATAGGAACACTTTTACTGTTGGTGGGACTGTAAACTAGTTCAACCATTGTGGAAGTCAGTGTGGCAATTCCTCAGGGATCTAGAACTAGAAATACCATTTGACCCAGGCATCCTATTACTAGGTATATACACAAAGGATTATAAATCATGATGGTATAAAGACACATGCACACGTATGTTTATTGCGGCACTATTCACAATAGCAAAGACTTGGAACCAACCCAAATGTCCAACAATGATAGACTGGATTAAGAAAATGTGGCACATATACACCATGGAATACTATGCAGCCATAAGAAAGGATGAGTTCATGTCCTTTGTAGGGACATGGATGAAGCTGGAAACCATCATTCTGAGCAAACTATCGCAAGGACAAAAAACCAAACACCCCATGTTCTCACTCATAGGTGGGAATTGAACAATGAGAACACAGGGACACACGAAGGGGAACATCACACACCGGGGACGGTTGTGGGGTCGGGGGAAGGGGGATGGATAGCATTAGGTGATATACCTAATGCTAAATGACGAGTTAATGGGTGCAGCACACCAACATGGCACATGTATACATATGTAACAAACCTGCACGTTGTGCACATGTACCGTAAAACTTAAATAATAATAAAAAAAATCAAAATAAAATAGAAGTTGAAGAAAAGGAAGAAAAACAAAGTCAGGAAACAACAGAAGCTGGATAAGATGTGGAGAAATAGGAACACTTTTACATTGTTGGTGGGAGTGTAAAGTAGTTCAACCACTGTGGAAGACAGTGTTGTGATTCCTCAAGGATCTAGAACTAGAAATAGCATTTGACCCAGTGATCCCATTACGGGGTATATACCCAAAGATTATAAACACACATGCACACGTATGTTTATTGGGCACTATTCACAATAGCAAAGACTTGGATCCAACTCAAATGTCATCAACGATAGAGTGGATTAAGAAAATGTGGCACATATACACCATGGAATACTATGCAACCATAAAAAAGGATGAGTTCATGTCCTTTGTGGGGTCATGGATGAAGCTGGAAACCATTATTCTGAGCAAAGTATCACAAGGATAGAAAACCAAACACCGCATATTCTCACTCATAGGTGGGAATTGAAGAATGAGAATACCTGGACACAGGGCAGGGAACATCACACACAGGGGCCTGTCATGGTGTTGGGGGAGGGGGGAAGGATAGCATTAGGAGAAATACCTAATTTAAATGATGAGTTAATGGGTGCAGCAATCCAACCTGGCACATGTATATCCATGTAACAAACCTACACGTTGTACACATGTACCCTAGAACTTACAGTATAATTTTTTTAAAAAAAGTAACTTCCAATATTTTTACTATTAGCACTCTCCGAAGAAGTGTTTGTGGTGGCGGTGGTGGTGGTGGGGAGGGTGGCCTGTGTGTGTGGCGAGGAGAGGGGGCGGGTACAGGGCTGGACCTTGAGATAGATAAGGCAAACAGGAAGGAAATGTGAACATTTCATTAATATTCATTTAAAAAATATTCATTGAACACTTACTACGTGTAAGCAGGCACTCTACTAATTAACAGCCATTTCAGATTTTCAGAGTGCAAAGGGCCTCAAGAACAAATGATTTATTTTTTTGAGACATGGTCTCGTTCTGTCTCACACCCTGCAGTGCAGTGGCATTATCACCGCTCACTGTAGCCTCCACCCCCTGCCCCACAGCTCAAGTAATTCTCTCACCTCAGCTTCCCCAGTAGCTGAAACCACAGGCTTGGGCAACCACGTCTGGCTCATATTTTTATTATTTGTAGAGACGGGGGTCTTGCAACATTGCCCAGGCTGGTCTGGATCTCCTGGAACCGCCTTTGCAAAATTATAACTGAGGAAATTATGGCAGTGAAAGAAATCAGACCTAACGGATTCCATCTTGCTTCTAACTTTTGTTTTTGAGACTAGTCTCGCTCTGTCGCCCAGGGTGGAGTGCAGTGGCGTGATCTCTGCTCACTGCAAGCTCCGCCTCCCGGGTTTAAGCCATTCTCCTGCCTCAACCTCAGGAGTAGATGGGACTACAGGCGCCCACCCCCACGCCCGGCTAATTTTTTGTATTTGTAGTAGAGACGGGGTTTTAGCCAGGATGGTCTCGATCCCCTGACCTCGTGATCCGCCCGCCTTGGCCTCCCAAAGTGCTGGGATTACAGGCGTGAGCCACCGGCCGCTTCTAACTTTTAAGCTGTCCTTCTTCATTCCTGAGCCTAGGCTGAACCAATTTAGGGAGGAATTCAGTTTATGGTTTGACTCTGAAACAAAATTGATAATATCCCTTTCCCAAAAAGACCGCTTTTTTGCCTGGGGACCAGTCTGCCTTTGCAGAACCAACAGATTAGCTACAAGATTAGAAATTACAGTTTAGAGGTCATGCAGCCTCTGGCTCCAAGTTTCTGAACCTCCCCAAATTGCTCCTGGGGATAACATCACTATTGTAAAACCTAAGATAAGTTCTTGAGATATTTTGCAGACCCTGCTCTCCATGGATCAGTTGAAACCACCCAGATTGGTAATTTGGCTCAACCAGTTCTGCCATCCTACCCAGGAACAGAAAACAGCAAGAAAAACTCACGTCTACCCACTATGAGTCCATCTCCAACCTGACCCATCAGCACTCCCTACTTCCCAAGCCCCTAATCGCCGAATTATCTTTAAAAACTCTGAATACTGCTTGGGGAGACTCCATTGCAAGTCCCCTGTCTTGATAAATGGGCTATCGGTCAGCAGCAGGCAAAGTGAACCACAATATTGGGTGGTTACACTCCTAGGATCAAGCAATCCTGCTGTCCGGCTTCCCAAAGTGCTGGGATTACAGGCGTAAGCCACCGCGTCCAGCTAGAACAAATGATTTCTTAAAAGCAACTCAGATATTTAAATATTATTTAAAACTGTTTCTAGACAAATCGGAGTGACTATGGGACAAGCATATGGTCGCAGGACTTTGGACGCAGGCAGTGAGGACACCTATGAGCGATCAGTGGGGTCCTACGGCAGCCGTGGAACTGCTCTGCCTTGCAGGCGAAAGTGTGGTCAGCTATATCGGAGCGCGATGGGGGCCTGAGAGGCGCATCTGCGCAGGCGCCCGGCTCCTAAGTCTACCCAGGAACTGACCCTGCTCTCTCCTTTCCCTGTTAGACATGGTAAGTGTGAGTTTAGCGCTGCTGTCCGGATGGGTTGGTAGCAGACAGGGTGGAGTAGGGTTAAGCACACTGGTCACCTTAGGATTGGTTTCCTGGTGCTGGAGAATGGTTAGGACACAGGCCTTGGAAGGTTTTTTGAGTGTGAAATATTACTCAGCGTTTTCTGCAGACCTCGCGGGCAATGCCGCTTCTAATTTTATCCAGGCCTTCTTCTGTAGGGAGGGCCTGTTAAGAGTTGAGCAGCCCGATTTCTGAACCCCTCTAAAAAGCTGTGGCTGATTGGTGGCTTTTTTTTTTCTTGGAGAGGGGGTGTCAAAGATTTCTTTAAAATCGTTAGTGATGTGGTCTCGCTTTAAGATTTTTAATGGGATCAGAAGAAAATTCGGTACTTAATCACTTCCGGTAATCTTCATGACCTGTTATAGTGACTGCAGTGTACTCTCAATGAGGAAGATATAGATACGAAAAGAACTAGAGCCGCATCACATGGGGACTTCTGCAAATACAGAGACTCGGATTAAAGGTGGAGAAGATGGAGCTAAAGGAACTGCTTATTTAATACATTTGAACAACTTTTGGGGTACTTAGAAGGTGCTTTGAAACCTGCATTTGATTAAGCAAGAATTCGCTTGCAAGTTAAGGGTTAGATTTTTTTATTTTTTAAAAATATGCTTTCTGCCACATGTAAACCGTAAGTTGTCCTGAAATGATAAGCTTTGATATTCTATGGTGTTTATTTTTTACTTATCTTTTTGAATGAAAAGTGAACAACAAGAAATGCTGGTGGTAATTTTTTGGGTCAATGATGAGTTGGCATGTATTCTGAATCTAAAGTTGATTATTACTACTTTAGCTCTAGAATTACTCTGAGACCTGAAAATTACCTGAATCGTGACTAAGACGAAGCCTGAATGATTTAAGTTCTTTTTTGTTGGATACAATTTGTTGTTGTTGTTGTTGTTTTGGTTTTGTTTTTGAGTCGGTCTCCGGTCGCCCAGGATGGAGTGCAGTGACACAACCTCAGTTCACTGCAGCCTTAATTTCCCTGGCTCAAGCGATCTTCTACCTCAGCCTCCCTAGTTAGTTACAATTTTTAAATGGAACGTTTTCCTATTACAAGATGAAATCAAGTGAAAATTGAGATGTATGTTGAATCTATGCTGTGGGGCAGAAGAACGTTGTAGAGGTAAACATTGATGAGATTACCACTTTATTTTGAAAGGGCACTCCACAGAAGGATGTTATTATCAAGTCAGATGCACCGGACACTTTGTTATTGGAGAAACATGCAGATTATATCGCATCCTATGGCTCAAAGAAAGATGATTATGTATGTATAATTTTTTTATGTTGGAAAGTTTATTTTAAAGAAGTGTGACAGTCATAAGCAGTGAGACAGTATTTATGTCTTAAAATGGCATCCAACTCCATGCAGAGAACTGAGGATGTGCTGTGCCTTTGAACTTCAGTTAAGTGTGCTTTGGACGTCTGAGGCTGTGGGCTTATTAGAATCTCAGTTTTTACCTATACTGAGAGGGCTTGCCAGACAAAGTAGATGAGGGTTTGAGGTACAAAACGGGTTTCTCTTTTTGTAGTTAGGGGTAATACTTTCAAGGTCAATGATGTGTTGGCATGTATTATCTGAATCTATTGCTGATGTGTAATAACACTTTAGCTCTAGAATTACTCTGAGACCTTGAAAAAGTTTTACCTTAAATTTTTAAATTTCGAGGAAAACTCTGGGACAATCTTAGCAAAAAGTAGTAAACAACTTAGTTAAGAGTAAATGTTTTTCCCTGTAGTATCCAAACTCAGTTGTCTTAGTCTACCGATTTGTGGGATATATGGTATGTATTAATTTTTTACTTAAGTGTTAGGTTCCCATAACCTTGAAAATACTCTATTAGCAATCATGGAGTTAAGGCCATATGGATGGGGCTGGACTCGTTTCTGCCTTTATCTGCTATCTATCTTTATGCCCTGAATTTGGGTTAGTAGCAAACTAAGATGCACCACCTGTTAAAAAAACTTCTTTTTTTCCTTTTGAGAGCTATAACCTCACTTTGTTGCCCAGACTGGAGGACAGCGGTGCGATCTGGGCTCACTGCAGCCTCCATCTCCTGGGTTTAAGTGAGCCACCTGAATAGCTGGGATTACAGGCACATTCCACCATGCCCAGCTAGTTTTTGTATTTTTCGTAGAGACTGAGTTTTGCTATGTTGGCCAGAGTGGTCTCAAACTCCTGACCTCAAGTGATCTGCCTGCCCCAGCTTTCCAAAGTGCTGGGATTACAGGCAGGAGCCACCACCCAGCCACAAAACTTCTTAAAATATAATGCATTGTTGAGTGTGGGAAAAATTTGTTTCTGGAATCCTAATACTAATTTTCATGTATCATTGATTAGCCACTGTTTTATCTGGGCTTAAACATCTTTGGCATGTTTAGGGCATTTTGATTTTTCATGTAGTTATATAATTTACTAATAGATAATAGGTTTTGTACAGAGTCCACATTAAAATAGATGTCTGATAAATATGGTATAGGTACTCGGAAAGAAATACTCTCCCTGAACTTCACTGATGAAAAAGGTAGATGTTTTTCTGTCTCTGGCTCATGGGAGAAACTAAAGCACTGTTTGTATTGTCAGCCATAGATTAACTAATCCTGTGCTTCTCAGATAATTGTTTTTTTCTGATAATAGTTGTGTCTGAAGATGGCTTCTAACATTGAGCAGCACAGATTTTAAACTCACTACTGATCAGTGCTGTTAAGGTCAGGAGAGGTAAAAATAGCAGCATGGCTAATGAGTTACCTTTGTGTTTAATCTCTTTATAACTTGTTACCAGTTCAAATGACAGATTTAAGAAATTGTGTATTATTTTAGGAATACTGTATGTCTGAGTATTTGAGAATGAGTGGCATCTATTGGGGTCTGACAGTAATGGATCTCATGGGACAACTTCATCGCATGAATAGAGAAGAGATTCTGGCATTTATTAAGTCTTGCCAACATGAATGTGGTGGAATAAGTGCTAGTATCGGACATGATCCTCATCTTTTATACACTCTTAGTGCTGTCCAGGTAAATACTAATCAAAATTGCAACGATCTTGATAGTATGTTCTCTTACTTCAGAGTTGGAAATTGAAACTGTATCAGGATTTGGTCAAAAAGTTTTGTTACAAGTGAAGCTGTCCTACAAGGTCAATGATGTAATGGCATGTATTAGCTGAATCTAAAGTTGATGTGAGTTCTAAAATTACACTGAGACCTTGGAGGGTAAAATTTTTATCTTCAGTATGTGTAAATACTGTAAAATAGCTAAATGGAGCTATTTGATTTTGATATTAGTGAACATCTACCTGGTGGTTTAAAGTCTTTCTGGTACTACTGGGTGCTGAGATGGGAAGATCAGGACTTTGTGTGGATGTGAGTTAGTATACTTGAGTATCTTGGAATGCCAAGTTAAAATTTATATGTAGAAAATTATACTTTAAAGATTTGAGTTTTCTTGATACTATCTAATTTTATTCAATAACAGGAGAGTCTGCATATTTGAGAAAAGGTTATATACACAGAGACAAAAGGATGTGCTTGACAACTTAAAAAGAGTTGAGCATAAGATCATTAGAATAAACCTGAAAGGGACATTTACCTAATACTTGTCTTTATTGCAGATTCTTACGCTGTATGACAGTATTAATGTTATTGACGTAAATAAAGTTGTGGAATATGTTAAAGGTCTACAGAAAGAAGATGGTTCTTTTGCTGGAGATATTTGGGGTAATGTCAGATTTAGTCCATTCTACCCAAAATACCAATATTAAAATGTACTGGTTTTGCTAGTAACCAGTTTATAAGTTTTTCATCTTTTCAGGTCCCACTAAGCAGCTGGTCTAACTGGAGTTAATGGTCTGCTGGAACTTCCAGCATGCACTGTGGTAGTTATATCAGCATATACAGGAGCACTGGAACAGAGGGGGCCAGTCTAAAAGATAAGGTAGGTGGAATTTTTTTCCCCAATATTTGGTGGCTTTGTAAAGTTTTTTAAAAACTACTTGCTGGAAAGGGAAAAATATTTAAAAAAAAAAACTTTACAAACTTGCTGAATATTTGAGTGGAGGGAGGGAATAGAATTTTATTTGATAAACGTAGATAATCTCTGCTTTAGGGATGAACACAGTGCAGGCCAGAGAGACCAGCTGCTTCATGGGATGTGAAAAATCTACTTTTATAAAGTAGGGTAAGTTTATTTCATTATTAGAAATGGACTAATACTTTGGGTTCTATTAGTTTTCTTCTCTTTGGTTTTCTTCTCTTTCTGGGCTTTCTTTAAGCAGCTTAAGATAATTTGCTGTTACTTTTTTGTGGCAGGGTCTTGGCTCTGTCCAGGTTGGAGTGCAGTATTTTGGGAGACAGTTGCTGGGGCTGGAGAGCTCTGTTGCCCAGGCTGGAGTGCAGTGGTGCAATCTTGGCTCACTGCAACCTCCACCTCCCAAGCTCAAGCAATTCTCCTGCCTCAGCTTACAGAGTAGCTGAGATGTGCACCACAACACCTGGCTGGTTTTTGTGTTTTTAGTAGAGATGGGGTCCCCTGGCCTCATGTGATCCTCCTGCCTCGGCCACCAAAAGTGCTGGGATTTCAGGCCTGAGCCACAATGCCCAGCCCCACCTAATTTTTTTTAAAAAGTTTTTTGTAGAGATGGGGTCCCATTATGTTGCCTCGGCTAGTCTCAAACTCCTAGGCTCAAGTGATTCTCCCACCTCAGCCTCCCAAAATGTTGGAATTATAGGCAAGAGCTACTGTGCCTGGTCAATTTGCTGTTATTTTTGACAAAGGAATTTTCTTGGGAAGTAAAGGCACTTCAGATTTAGCTTTCCTCCTGACTACCCTAAAGTGAAAGTTAAGCTTGAACTCAATTTAAAGTGGTAGTTGTGCAGTGTTTGTTTTTAGATGACTCATGTATGATTTGGTAACACCTGCCTTGATTTGATCTATTTTTATTGTAGGAGAAATTGACACAAGATTCTCTTTTTGTGCGGTGGCAACTTTGGCTTTGTTGGTAAGCTTTGAATATTTGATTGAAATGATTAAAGTTCATGAATACTCTGGAATTTTTTTTTTTTTTGAGTCTGATCTGCTGAATACTCTGGAATTTAACAGGCATCTTTTTTTTTGTTTGTAGGGGAAGCTTGATGCTATTAATGTGGAAAAGGCAATCGAATTTGTTTTATCCTGTATGAACTTTGACGGTGGATTTGGTTGCAGACCAGGTTCTGAATCCCATGCTGGGCAGGTAATTTATGAATACAGATGAAAATGTATTGTCATTTTGGAAGCCAGTGTAGTAAAATAAGAAAATTGGTTATTTCAGTGTTTGTCAAATACACATAAAGTTAATTCGACTGTAATAGGGCATCTTACATAAGAATTGCTTAATTGCTATCATTACTTTGCTTTATATACTATATACCTTTCTCTGTCGGTGGATTCGTCTGACCTAAGCAAACATAAGTGGGTTTATAAGCACCAAAACACTTTTGTTTTCCATTAATTTTTCACTAACCATACAGATAAAAAAAAAAACAACACATTTTTCTTTCTTTCCTAAGATAAATTATGAACCTCTTTTCTTGTGCCAGAGAACACTGAATATGTGAATGGATGGCTGTGAAATACTAGCCATGAAGAAATTTTGACAATAATATTTCAGTGCAGAATTGCATACTAGTAATAGTATGCTTGGATTTTTTCAGATATGTGGTATTAATACATGTTTGGAATTTTAAGTGTCAGATCAAGAAGAAAAACTTAAGATATAAAGTGGTGTTTTAATAATTTGAGTTTTATCACTTTTAATGTCAAGAAATTATTATACACATAAACTTTATGTCTGTAATTTTAGATCTATTGTTGCACAGGATTTCTGGCAATTACAAGTCAGTTGCATCAAGTAAATTCTGATTTACTTGGCTGGTGGCTTTGTGAACGACAATTACCCTCAGGCGGGCTCAATGGAAGGCCGGAGAAGGTATTGTTTGATAAGCCATATTCTGCTAGCTTTAGAACCTTGAGTGAATGCTGCTGCTTTGTCTTGCCTGTTTCTATATTGTAAATTGGCCATGAGCTTATTTATTACCTTTCCCTGTTGTGAATTTTCAGTAATATATCCTACTAAAAGACTCCCCTTGACAAAGTAGACCCCCATGAGTTGAAATACTCATTGATCCTAATGTCCATTTCCAGACAGTCTTGTACAGGAATCTCCATGTTTAAGGACAGTTGATTTTGGCAAATTGGATTTTTTAAAAATTAGACTACAGAATTTTTGTTTGCAATCTTCTTATTTAAGGAATACCCAGATAATTTGGTTTGGAGAGAAGATTATTAAATTTTCCTCCACATAATAGGTCTCTCTTATCAGGTCTGTAAGGGACAAATAGTGAATACTCATTTGCAACTATGTAATTGTCCTGTAGAGCAAGTGCAGCCATAAGTGGTAAGAAATGAATGAGTATGGCTGTGTTCCAATTACAATTATTATGGATGGATATACTTGTATTTCCTATGTCAGATGGAATCTTGCTCTGTTGCCCAGGCTGGAGTGCAGTGACGCCATCTTGATTCACTGCAACCTCCGCCTCCCAGGTTCAAGCAGTTCTGCCTCAGCCTCCCAAGTAGCTGGGACTACAGGCGCACGGCTAATTTTTGTATTTTTATTAGAGACGGGGTTTCACCATATTGGCCAGGCTGGTCTCAAACTCCTGACCTCGTGATCTGCCTGCATCAACCTCCCAAAGTGCTGGGATTGTAGGCGTGAGCCACCGTGCCTGACCCAGGACTATATTTAAATGATTTATAAATGTAAAAACTATTCCTACACTATAGATTTGACTCAAGGATTGTAGCTTGCTGTGCCCCTGCCCTCTGAATGGGACGTGGTGGTACAGTAGCTGGGATTACAGTCATACACCACCACGCCCATCCAATTTTGTATTTTTAGTAGAGATGGGGTATCACCATGTTCATCAGGCTGATCTTGAACTCCTGACCTCAGGTGATCTACCCGCCTCAACCTCCCAAAGTGCTGGGATTACAGGCGTGAGCCACTGTGCTCGGCCTGTATTTTTATTTTTAAACCTTAGTATTTCTGAATAACAACGGGTAGAGAAACACCCGCAGTAGCTGTCTACAATAGAGTGAAATAAAAAGCCTGAGGAACTGTCAACAGAAAAATGGGTGGCCGTGGGGAGCACCGGGACCTGCACTTGCACACAATCTAGGGCAGCTTCTAATGAGTCTATGAGTTACTCAGGGATCTCATTAAAATGAGATCAGCCTTGAGTGGGGTTTTCTTTATAGACTTCTGTCACCATATTTTGAAGAGCAAGGGTTTAGTTGATTTTAAGCAGGTGTGTACCCCCCTGGACAGTGCTTGTAGAAAAACAGAACTATACCCATGGATTTCATGATTATACTGCTAGCTTCTTGGTTAAGGGGCTGAGTTAGGCATTCATTGCAGATAGAAACAAAGCAGATGCATGCTTATCAGTGAGTACTGAGATATTTAGCATGGTTACCTATGAATTGAAGTTTGGTCTCTTCTTACCCATTAATTGATTATCTTTCATTCTAAGCAAGTATTTCATACCCTGCATATCAGTATATCCCTGGATTTCGTCCTTCCACATGGTTTGACACTTTGAACATCAGATTACCTAAGAGTGAGACTTAACCCACTTTTAAATTGTTCTCAAAATTAGGGAAATAAAAGAGAATGAAATTGTGGCAACTTTTTTCCCTCCTAGTTACCAGATGTATGCTACTCATGGTGGGTCCTGGCTTCCCTAAAGATAATTGGAAGACTTCATTGGATTGATAGAGAGAAACTGCGTAATTTCATTTTAGCATGTCAAGATGAAGAAACGGGGGGATTTGCAGACAGGCCAGGAGATATGGCAAGTAATATTTCTGACATATTTCTATAAATTATTTCAGCGTTTGCATTACTTCATGGTTCCATGGATTTCCAGGGTGGCATTCCGAGTGTTGCTTTGAAAGCAGTTTTTTTTTCTATTTATTGTAGAGTGTATGAAGGATATAGAACAATCTTACAGAAATTTCTTGTCGCTTGTTGCTAACAAAATTAGTATATGGTAAAGGTCAGGTATTCATAATTTGAAGTTAAAGAAGTTTTCATTTTGTGATCTGTATATAAATTCTTTTTTAAATAGGTGGATCCTTTTCATACCTTATTTGGAATTGCTGGATTGTCACTTTTGGGAGAAGAACAGATTAAACCTGTTAATCCTGTCTTTTGCATGCCTGAAGAAGTGCTTCAGAGAGTGAATGTTCAGCCTGAGCTAGTGAGCTAGATTCATTGAATTGAAAGTTGCATAGTATAGTTTTGCCATTTTAACATTTCTGTATTTGAAGTGCTTATCGAATCTAAAAGTGACTACTGTTAATATTTTGTATATTGTGTTAAATTAATTTTAATAAATTATATAATTATACATATTGTAAAATAAAGACCGGTATTTTATTTTCTGCTTTTTATTCTGAAGTCCTGTTATTCTGACTACAGTTCTTTGTGTATACTTCTGTGTCTGTTATGTTCAATAACTGAGCTAACATAAAATAACTCTAGGTTTCTACTTGATTTTTCCCCCATGTATACCTTTCATCTGTTCTATAGCAAGTTGATGTAAATTGGTTTGTCAACAAGAATGTTAACTGATGAAAGTGGATAGAACCCATACATGAATTAAATGATGCACAAAATAAATGGCTGTTGAAATTTGGAAATGATTGATAGGTTTGAATATGGTTATTCTGAATTGGTCACAGACTTAGGTTAAATGGCAATCTACCATCTTAAAATGGGGTTGTGATTCGGACTGTCCTTTTTTTTTTTTTTTTTTTTTTTTTTTTTAGCATTTTATATATCAGAATTACCCAAAGAAGGAGTTGTCTTCAAATAAGGAAACACTAACGGGTAAGTTGATGGTCACCACAGTATTTTTTTGCACCTGTCTTTTTCTTAAAAAGCTAAAATGGGTACAATCACTCTTTTTTATTTTTTTGTGACAGAATCTCTGTTGCCCAGGCTGGAGCGCAGCAGCACGATCTCAGCTTAACTGCAACCTCCGTCTGCCGGGTTTAAGCAATTCAGCCGCAGCCTCTCGAGTAGCTGGGACTACAGCCGCACACCACCATGCCCGGCTAATTTTTATGTTACTTTAGTACAGACAGGGTTTCACCATGCTGAGGAGCTGGAGACCAGCCTGACCTTGTGATCCACCCACCTCGGCCTCCCAAAGTGCTGGGATTACAGGCGTGAGCCACCACGCCTGGCCTAAAATGAGTACAATCACTCTAGGGGTTTACAGTTTTGGTGAAAGTGAGGTATTCTCTATTTTTAAATTTTATTTTTTAGAGACAGGGTCTTCCTTTCTTCCCCAGGCTGGGGCATAGTAGTGCAATCACAGCTCACTGTAACCTTAAACTCCTGGGCTCAAGCAGTCCTTCCACCTCAGCCTCCTGAGTACCAGGGTCTACAGGTACCTGCCACCATGCCCACTATGCCCAGCTGATTTCTTAATTTTGGGGACAGGCACTGTCTTCCCCAGGCTGGTCTCCGGAGGTGAAGTAATCCTCTGGCCTCAGTCTCCCAAAGTACTGGGATTACAGGGAGGAGCCATCGTGCCCGATCTGAAAATAAGGTTTTTTGATGGAAATTGAGATTTTTCTCAAGTATGTTTGGAATGCCCTGTGCAATAATCATTCCAAGAACAGAGATGTTCTTAAGGACTGTTGTCACTGCATGTGGGTAAACCGCTGTGCATAACTGGTTTATTGAGATACTCAACAGTGGCAGGATTTCAGTAGTGGTGTAAATTAATGTCTTCTAATAGCTTCTGTATGGCAGTATCCAGATAATTTCGTCATGTTTAATCCATGGATCTCTGGTAAGTTGGTACTATTGGCCTTATTTAAGGAATTTTCTAAAGGTCACCACTGCAAAGCTGGAGTTTGAACTTCTAGTGTGCCATTAACTGATTTATATGTTAGAAACCACAGTACTAGAAATTGGTAGATGGGGAATTGTTAACTGAGAGATCTTACCCAGTCAGTCTTTCCCTGTTTCCTACTCTACTATGCACACAGCCATGTGCATACTATCTTTTGATAATATAACTATCTTTCCTATATTTGGTCACAAGATCAACCTTAGGTGGGTTATGCTGTGTGAGCATTACACGTTCTCATTGTGTCAAAGGCACTGGGTGTACTGTGTTGGGTGGTTTCTACATTTAAAGATAAGCTAGTGTGCTTGGACGTGTGGGAAATGCATGTAACATTTGCAATAAGGGAGATTGGGTGCTGTGAGAATAATGGGGCTAACAAATCGGGTGGTCATTGATGGGCCTTGCAGAGTTCTGGTCAGTCTGATACCTGCAGGCTGAGGATGTTCCAGTGAGGTTCATGTGGAAAGTGATGGGTTTGGGAATGGCTGGAAGCAGGGTCATAGACCTGAAGTACGTGAATCCATGTGGAAAGCTGAGCCTGCCTGCGCCTGCGCAGTGCAGCTTAGTGCGTCGGCGCGCAGTTCTCCCGCCCGTTTCAGCGGCGCAGCTTCTGTAGTTGGGCTACTGGAGGGGTCGCTCAGAAACCTCATACTTCTCGGGTCAGGGAAGGTTTGGGAGGATGCTGAGGCCTGAGATCTCATCAACCTCGCCTTCTGCCCCGGCGGTTTCCCCGTCGTCGGGAGAAACCCGCTCACCTCAGGGTCCCCGCTACAATTTCGGACTCCAGGAGACTCCACAGAGCCGCCCTTCGGTCCAGGTGGTCTCTGCATCCACCTGTCCTGGCACGTCAGGAGCTGCGGGCGACCGGAGCAGCAGCAGCAGCAGCCTTCCCTGCCCCGCGCCAAACTCCCGGCCAGCTCAAGGCAAGGAGTGATTGGGTGGAGGAGTCTCCTTGAGGCTAGAGGCCGGCAGTTCATGGAGGCTCGGGGGCACGTGGGTGGTGGTTACCACAGTGAAGTTGTGATTTGGTTGGGGCGTGAGATCTGAGTGCCCTGGGAATTTGGTGAGTCTGGGTGATTAGAAGCCTTGACTTTTCAAATTGGTTCTATTGCAAGACCTTGACTGTGGATGGCTCAGTTCTGAGAAAGGCTGAAGTATCCCATATAACGTCCCTCACAGTGTCTGACAAATGACAGTTTGTGCGTGAGTTTGCT
Organism: Homo sapiens; assembly: GCF_000001405.40. Lineage (NCBI taxonomy): Eukaryota > Metazoa > Chordata > Mammalia > Primates > Hominidae > Homo > Homo sapiens. The sequence continues at coordinate 75,797,521 of NC_000001.11, forward strand.
GATAGAAGTTGTGAGCTGATCTTTGGCTGCTGAATTTAATTCTCCAAATCCTGCTAAGGTGGGATAAAATAGATTAAATTGAACATTTCATCTAATTCAGGGAAAATAATATGTTTAGTATTAAAAGAGTGGGCTGGGCGGTGGCTGACGCCTGTAATCCCAGCACTTTGGGAAACCAGGGTGGGCGGATCACTTGAGGCCGGGAGTTCCACACCAGCCTGGCCAACATGGTGAACCTCCCACCCCCATCCCCTATCTCTACTAAAAGTACAAAAATTATCTGGGTGTGGTGGCACGTGACTGTGGTCCCAGCTACTCAGGAGGTTGAGGTGGGAGGATGGCGAGTCCGGGAGGTCGAGGCTGCCGTGAGCTGAGATTGCGCCACTGCATTTCAGCCTGGGTGACACAGTGAGACCCTGACTCAAAACAAACAAACAAAAAAGATGCATGTCCTTCAAATCATTTATTATTTTGTTAGTCTCTATTCATGACAAAGCATCACCATTTTTCACACACGATTGCAACACAATGGTAAAGTAACAAATACCAAATCCAATGGTCATTTTTCAGTTCATCTCATGTGACCTTTCTGCTGTATTTAATGTTCTTAATTTCTTTATTTTTAGAAACAGAGTCTCGCTATGCTGCCCATGCTGGTCTCAAACTCCTGGTCTCAAGTGCTCCTGCCTCGGTCTGCCCAAGCATTGGGATTACAGGCATGAGCCACTGCTGCCTGGCCTATGTTTAATGTTCTTGACTGGTCTTCTCTTAAACTCTTTTAATTTGGCTTCCTTGATTCCACTTGCCCCTGTTTTTCTGCTACCTCCCAGAGAATTGCTGTGCCCACCTTTGTTCCCAAATTATGGGCATGTCATTAAAGCTTTTTTTCCTAGGCCACTTCTACCTAGATGTGACTATCTCCACAGCTCAGATCTCATCTACACTCCAGACTTACTTCAGACTGTCTTCTGAAGTTTTTATTGATGGACTAATGGATACCTCAGGCTGACTATATGATTAATTAAATTCCTCTCTGCACTTTTTTTTTTTTTTTGAGACAGAGTCTTGCTCTGTTGCCCAGGCTGGAGTGCAGTGGCATGGTCATGACTCACTGCAGCCTCAAATTCCTGGGCTCAAGCGATCCTCCCACCTCAGCCTCCCGAGTAGCTGGGACCAAGGCATGTGCCCCTACAGATGGCTAATTTAAAAAATTTTTTTGTAGAGACAGTGTTTTCCTACGTTGCCCAGCCTGGTCTCGAACTTCTAGGCTCAAGCGATCCTCCTACCTCAGCCTCCCAAAATGCTGGGATTACAGGTGTGAGCCACTGCACCTAGCCCTCAAACTCTTAAGTGTTCTTCCATCCTTGTAGCTTACTTACTGTACCACCAGAGTTATGTGGAAAATGATCTTATCATGTCCCTTGCCACTTAAATCAGTAGACCTGTATCTGCAGGTAAAAGATCAAACTCTCTAGAAGGATAGCCAAAGCAATTGGGATCGGTTTCTAATCTTTACAGATTTATCCCTCATCATTTAATATTTACCCTGCTTTCTAACAAAACTGAGCTACTTGCAATTCCTTTAAAGCAACATGAATGTTCACATTGTCAGTCTAATCCCTCTCTTCATCAGATGCTTGGTCACCCACTTATTTATCAGTAATGATAACATTCACTAATTTATATGCACCTACTTTGTTCTGGCTTCTTACTAGGCAGACGGTATCTTTGATCCTCACAATAATTTTGCAGAGTAGATTTTTTTTTTGTTCCTGTTTTACAGATAGAACCAAGGCCCAAATAGGCGAACAAAGGTTCAAATTATGTTAGCAGCTGGGGATAATAATCTGTGCTCTCAATGAACTTAAGGTTCAGTAGAGAAGACAGACTTAAAAATCAACAAATACACATTTAAGAAATAACTGTATTTGAGGTATTTATAATTTTTGAGGTAGGTATAATTAAAGTATGGGGACAAAAGTGGGAAAAGACATTTCACAGAGTAAGTGCACCTTGAACTGGTCTTCAAGAATAAGTAGGAAGAAGAATGCCAGCCAAAGGGAAACAGCTGGAGCGCATTCTTGAGAAAAACACGTGCAAAGGCACAGAAGAATCATGTAAAACTGCTAATAATTTTGCTTGGCTAGAGCAGGAGAGTGATCTAGGTAGATAAACTTGAATGTAGATATAGTTGTGAGAATTAGATCTGGGAGACAAATTTAACCCAGAGACCCCCCATATTCAACACCAGGTCTCTGGTTTTGGTGACTGGATAGATGGTAGTAGTATTTTCTGATTCTGGGAATTTTGTAGGCAAAGCAAATTTTAGAGGGAAGATGATGAGCTCTGTTATGGACATGCTGAGTGTGAAAAGCCTGTGGGATATCCATATATTTATATTAAGATAATTGAATATAGGAAACTAGAGCTAAGAAGAGAGAAACTTGAGGGAAATATGGATTTGAAAGTTACCAGTATGTTGGGACCACAGCAGAGAATATGAAGACTATATAGCAAAATAGAGGTCAAGGAAGTAGGAGGAGAATTAAGACAAGTGAATGAGTTTCAAGAAAGGGTATATAGTCTAAAAGTAGTCTGAGAACAAGAAACAGCCCTCTCCATCTCCAGTTTCCGCATCTCCAGTTTCTGGCAACCACTCTCTTCCTTAGCTCCCTAAAGCCTAGAAATGCTAATGGAGCACATTTTATGCTGGTTCTACACACGTCTTTATGATAGCACCCCTACACCCTGTCCACACCTTTGTAAATATTCTCTTTATCAAATTATCCCAGTTTGAGTATATCATTGATTCCTGCTGGAACCCATATAATGAAGTTATATTTTACCCTATGGTGAGTATGGGGAGACACATAGGAATTGTAAGAAAGAGAGATACTGATCAGATTTGCTTTTCAGAAAGATTATTGGTGATGATTCGAAGAATAGATTAGAGAGGTGTAATACTGGAAGCAAGGAGAAGAAGAAGTAGGAAACTTGCACAAGGACCAAAGAAGATACAGGCTTAAAATGGGCTGGGAGGAGTAGAGAGGGATTTAAATTTTAGTGATGTTAAAAAAAAAGAATTCTAGCACTCAGTCACTGAGTGTTAGGGTTGATGAAGGAAGAATTGAGAATGTCTCCTAAGCTTATGACTTGAGTGACAAGGGACAAGCTGGTACAATTAACCATACTGGTAATAAAGAATTAATTTTGAGGGAAAGATAGAGTTCACTTTTGGACATTTAGAATGCTGGGAAGATACCTAAAGGTTTATGCCCAAGAGATAGATATAGTGACCTGGAGCTACATTGTCTGATAGAATATTCTGTGATAATAGAAACGTTTCATACTTATGCTGTCCGATGTGGTAACTAGTAGCCGTATGTGGCTTTTGAGCATTTGAAAATGTTGCTAGTGTGACTGAGGAACAGAATTTAAATTGTATTTAATTTTGATTTAGTTAAATACTCACATATGCTGCTTTATTGAACAATGCAGGTATAGAGCTGAGAACGGTTTTTGCACTTTTGAAGGATTAAAGAATCAAGAATATTTTGTGATATTAAAATTATATGAAATTTAGAATTCAATATGTAGAAATAAAGCCATTTTTAATTGAAACATAGCCATTCTCATTTATTTATGTATTATCTATGACTGCTTTTCTATGATAGTGTCAGAGCTGAGTAATTGTGACAGTGATTATATGGCCCACAAAAGCCTAAAATATTTGCCATCTGGTCCTTTATTTAAAAGTTTATGGGCTGGGCATGATGGCTCATGCCTATAATCCCAGCACTTTGGGAGGCTGAGGTGGGCAGATCACCTGAGGCCAGGAGTTCATGACCAGTCTGGCCAACATGACAAAACCCTGTCTCTATTAAAAATACAAAAAAAAAATAGCCAGGTGTGGTGGGCATGCCTATAATGCCAGCTGCTTGGGAGGCTGAGGCAGGAGGATTGCTTGAACCTGGGAGGCAGAGGCTGCAGTGAGCTGAGATTGCGCCATTGCACTCTAGCCTGGGCAACAAGAGTGAAACTCCATCTCAAAAAAAAAAAAAAAAAGTTTATGCTGAGGCATGGTGGCTTATGCTTGTAATCTCAGTGCTTTGGGAGGCTGAAGTGGGAGGATTGCTTGAGGCCAGGTGTTTGAGATCAGCCTGGGCAATGTAGCAAGACCCTGTCTCTATAAAAAAAAAATTAGCTGTGTGTGGTGAGGTGCACCTATAGTCCATAGTTACTCAAGAGGCTGAAGCAGGAGGTTACTTGAGCCCATGAGCTTGAGGCTGCAGTGAGCTGTGATCACACTACTGCACTCCAGTCTGGGCGACAAAGAGAGACCTTGTCTTTATAAGACAGTAAAATAGACTGGGCATGGTGGCTCCCGATTATAATCCCAGCATTTTGGGAGGCTGAGATGGGAAGATCACTTGAGCCCAGGAGTTTGAGACCAGCCTGGGCAACATGGCAAAACCCCATCTCTACAAAAATACAAAAAATTAGCCTGGCATGGTGGCATGAGCCTATAGTCCCAGCTACTCGGGAGGGTGAGGTAGGAGGATTGCTTGAGCCCAGGAGTTCAAGGCTGCATTTAGCCAAGATCACACCACTGAATTCCAGCCTAAGCTACAGAACGAGAGTCTCACATACAGACAAAAAGGAAAAATTAAAAGTTTAGCAACCCCTGGTTTACAGTTTAAGGAGTCGTTACAGCTATATACGAAGGCTTGAGAGTTGTCAGAAAATAGATGTTAATAGAAACAAAGAGGAGAGATGAGATGCCTGGAGATGCATAATGTTGATTTGTGAGGGAAAGCTTAAAAGTATGAAGCCCTGGAGGCCAACAGTTAAGAAGCAGAGGAAAAAGGAGATGGCAAAGGAAACTAAAAGTGGTTTAAAGAGAATTCAAGATAGAGAGTTGTGGAAATCAAAGAGAATAGGTGAACAGAGCCCAAACATTTTAAAATTTTTTTAGAACTTCTATGTGCCAAGAGGCTATGCTAGGTTGTTTATGTACATTATTTAAAAATTTTATGACAATCCTGTAAAATAGGTAATAGCTTACATCAGTAGATAAGTACCTAAATAAGGAACTGAAGCCAATTGAGTCTAAAATGCCATTTGCATAGGGGAGAGAAATTCAATGAAGAAATTAACAGAAGAAGGTTAAAAGAGGTCTAATAATTATTATACAAATGAAACATATGTCTTAGTCTGTATTCTGTTGCTTTTAAAAGAATACTTGAAACTGGGTGATTATCAAGAAAGAAAACATATTTCTTGGAAGTCTGGAGGCTGGGAAGTCCAAGGTCAAAGGAGGCACATTTAGTGAGGGTCTTTGTGCTGGTGGAGTCTCTGTAGAGTCCTGTAGTGGTACAGGGCATCACATGGAGAGGGAGCTGAGCATGGTAGCTCAGGTCTCTCATCCTCTTCTTATAAAACCACCAGTCCTACTCTCGTGATAACCCATTAACCTATTAAATCATGAATGGATTAATTCATTCATGAAGGCAGAGCCCTCATGCCCCATCACCTCTTAAAGGCCCCACCTCTGTCCTGCCACACTTCACTGGGGATTAAATTTCAATGTAAGTTTCAGAGGGGACAGATATTCATACCTTAGCAACACATCTGGTATATTTGAAGATTAAAGGGTAATTTATGATTTTAGCCAGAGTAGTTGCAGTGAACTTGTAGAGGCAAAAGCTATATTAGCATATTTTTGTATATTTATCAATAATGTCATTAATTTTGTTATAATCTGTTTATTTTCAAAAATCATTTTCACATGAAATTTTATAGAAAGTGAACATAGTGGTTGGGTGCGGTGACTCAGGCCTCTAATCCCAGCACTTTGGGAGGCCGAGGCAGGCAGATCATGAGGTCAGGAATTCGAGACCAGCCCAGCCAACATGGTGAAACCCCATCTCTACTAAAAATACAAAAATTCACCAGGCGTGGTGGCGGGTGCCTGTAATCCCAGCTACTCGGGAGGCTGAGGCAGGAGGATCACTTGAACTTGGGAGGTGGACGTTGCAGTGAGCCGAGATCATGCCACTACGCTCCAGCCTGGGCGACAAGAGCAAGACTCTGTCTCAAAAAAGAAAAAAAGAAAAAAAAGGAAAGTGAACATGGTATAAATTATAATGACTAATACATCATTGCATAATTCAAATCTTTAAGAATTGACTGTTAATTTTTCAAATTTAGGTTCATACTTTGGAAACAAAAGAGCTTATGCAGAAAACACAGTTGCATCAAATTTTACTTTTGGTGCAAGCTCATCTTCTGCACGAGATACTAATTATCCTCAAACACTTAAAACTCCATTGTCTACTGGAAATCCTCAGAGATCAGGTTATAAGAGCTGGACACCACAAGTGGGATATTCAGGTAAAATAAGTGGAAGATTAACCTAGATGATGTTTTGAAACTTAAAAGTTTTATAAATTATAAATTAGGGTTATTAAGTTCATTTGAATTTATCTATAACTGATATGAATGAAAAATAAATACATTAGTTTACCTCTATCCATAATTTGAGTCTAGATTAATAAGGCAACATAGTTTCTGAAATTGTTTGTTAATAAATGTAAGTCTACATTATTTTAACCATTCTGACAAAAAAACACACAAGAAAGAGAAACCTCTCCCTTTTATACATGATGGCATTTAAATCTAAAAGTTGACCCTGATATTACTAGTGAGTGGTTTTTTTATACTTAAATTTTAATTTTTATCTAAATCTATGAGATTTTCTTGAAGAGTAGATAGATAAAATAGGTTTTCATGTATAACAGTTTTCTAAGGTATATACAACAGAATTTCTTGGTTACAGGGTAAGTTATGTAAATGCATATATTTATAAGATAATGACAAATTATTTTTTAAAGTAGTTCTACCAAAGTATAAATGGTAGTTAAGTTTATATTAGATCTACAGAAGTCAGTTTTAGCTCTGTAGTAGAATATGACCTTCCTTTTTTTTTTTTTTTTTTTTTAATTTTTTGAGACAGAATCTCACTGTGTCGCCCAGGCTGGAATGCAGTGGTGTGATCTCGACTCACTGCAATGTCTGCTTTCCGGGTTCAAGTGATTCTTCTGCCTCAGCCTCCTGAGTAGCTGGGACTACAGGTGCTTGCTACCACGCCCGGCTAATTTTTGTATTTTTAGTAGAGATGGGGTTTCACCATACTGGCCAGGCTGGTCTCGAACTCCTGACCTCATGATCCACCCACCTTGGCTCCCAAAGTGCTGGGATTACAGGCATGAGCCACTGTGCCTGGCTGACCTTTTTATTTACTTTTATTTTTATTTTTATTTGTTTGAGATGGAGCCTTGCTCTGTCGCCCAGGCTGGAATGCAGTGGCACAACTTGGCTCACTGTAACCTCTGCCTCCTGGATTCAAGCAATTTTCCTGCCTCAGCCTCCCGAGTAGCTGAGATTACAGGCATGCACCACCACGCCTGGCTAATTTTGTATTTTTAGTAGAGACAGGGTTTTACCATATTGGCCAGGCTGGTCTTGAACTCCTAACCTCATGATCCGCCCACCTTGGCCTCCTAAAGTGCTGGGATTACAGGTGTGAGCCACCGCACCCAGCCCTGACCTGTTTATTTTTAAGTAGAAAATAAATACCAAGTTCCAGTGGAAATTCAATAGACATATAAAAGACATCTCTAAGGTTCTAAAAATACATTTATGCTGTTATCTCTCTGTTGTAAATAACATAATAATGAGCATCCTAATACATAAAGCTTTTTTCTGAGTCTCTTATTATTTCCTTAAAACACACCCTTAGAAGTCAAATTACTGAAACATAGGGAAATTACCTTTTTTATTTTTTTTAATTACCATTTTTTGTTTTTTTTTTTTTTTGGTTTTTGAGACGAAGCCTTGTTCTATTGCCCAGGCTGGAGTGCAGTGGCACCATCTCGGCTCATTGCAACATCCACTTCCTGGGTTCAAGTGATTCTCCTGCCTCGGCCTCCCGAGTAGCTGGGATTACAGGCATGCATCACCATGCTCAGCCAATTTTTTTTTTTTAGTAGAGATGGGGTTTCGCCATGTTGGCCAGGCTGGTCTCGAACTCCTGGCCACAAGTGATCCTCCCACCTTAGCCTCACAAAGTGCTAGGATTACAGTTATGAGCCACTGCGCCTGGCCAAAATTACCAGTTTTTAAGAATCTCAGATATATTGCCAAGTTTCTTTTGAGAACTGGACTAATTTTTAATTCCATCAATAGTGTATAAGGTAAGCCAATCTTACTCTATCCTCATCATTACTAACTTCTAAAATTTATTATGATTATTGGCTAATTTAGTAATCATCATCATCATCATAAGATTATTATTAAATTAGCCAATAATCATTATCATAATAAATTGTATTGGTTAATTTATTGGTTATTATGGTATGCTCTTATTAACAATGTGTAAGAGTCCACTTCAACATTTGATATTGTTAGACTCAATATTTTCCAACCTAACAGTTGTAAAATACTACCTGAGTTTTTTATTTTCTGAGTTTGCATTTTCCTGATTACTAGTGAGATTATCTTTTTCTGTACTTTTGGGCTATATATCTTTAATAATGGTCTGTGAAATTAATGTTCATGTCTTTTACTCATTTTTCTTTAGGCTTATTTTTCTGGATTTGTAGCAATACTTTATATATTCTGAGTAATAAATATTTTGATGACTTTTCTGTTTGGTTTTTTTTTTTTTTTTTTTTTTTTTTTTTTGAGAAGGAGTCTCGCTCTGTAGCCCAGGCTAGAGTGCAGTGGCGCGATCCCGGCTCACTGCAAGCTCCGCCTCCCGGGTTCACGCCATTCTCCTGCCTCAGCCTCTCGAGTAGCTGGGACCACAGGCACCTGCCACCACGCCTGGCTAATTTTTTGTATTTTTAGTAGACATGGGGTTTCACCGTGTTAGCCAGGATGGTCTCGATTTCCTGGCCTTGTGATCCGCCCACCTCGGCCTCCCAAAGTGCTGGGATTACAGGCATGAGCCACCGCGCCCGGCCTTTTCTGTTAGTTTCTATGTTTCTAGTTCTTTTTTAACTCTGATGGGTCATTATGTCTAGCTGTGTGCCAATATCACACCATCTTTAGCTTTATAATAAGTCTTGATATTTTGTAGGACAGCCTTGCCACCTGTACCCTCCACAAGCCACCTTACTCTTCTTTAGAGGAGTCTTGATTCTTCTTGGCCCTTTGCTCTTCCATGTAAATTTTGGGCCAATTTTTCAAGCTCCACCAAAAAACATATTGAGGTTTTGATTGAAATTATAGTTGTACTGAACCAATAGATCCTTTAGGGAGAATTGAAATAAGAGGCTAACTGATATCTACAGATTGCATTATTTTGTCCTCTTGATTAAGAATTTCCTAGTTTTTTTTAAAAAAAGAAATGATTATTATCAATGTTTATATCTTTTCTTTATTTAAAAATTTACAGCTTCATCCTCATCTGCGATTTCTGCACACTCCCCATCAGTTATTGTAGCTGTTGTAGAAGGGAGAGGACTTGCCAGAGGTGAAATAGGAATGGCAAGTATTGATTTAAAAAACCCCCAAATTATACTATCCCAGTTTGCAGACAACACAACATATGCAAAGGTAAGTATTAATAATTCTAGAAAATGGTTGCTCTGTTAGGCAGTATCTAGAGTTTAAAGTCAGTGCCTTCCCAATTTGTTTACTTTTTGGTAGAATAAAGGTTATTCATTATTATGTCAATGTAAATACTCTGAATTAAAATAAAACTGTGTTATATCTGATTTTTATTTTTTAAATATATTTTGTCCAAAAAGAGTGTGTTTTACTGTTATTTAAATAAGCTATTGTTAGTATTAGTTTCTAAAATTAACATCTTCAAATTAATAATTTCTGGATTTATTCCAAAGGTAATATATGTGATAATGTGGTACTGATCATAATCCTTAAAGACACAATCCCAAATGCCATAATCCCGATGTTCAAATCTTGAAAGATCAAAATCCTTAATGTTGAAATCCTGAAAGCTTAATTCTAGGGAAGGGATTAATGCGTTTTTGGTTGTACACAAGATAGTTGCATCATGTTAGATGCATCATATTAGGCAATACTACTACCTTATTATTTTATTTGGAAATTAGGTATGGTTTAAGGAGATGCATAGGGGTGCCAAATTGGCAAGGGATAGACTTGTGGATTTAAGTATAGGTGACAACTTGACTGTATTAAAAAAATACCTAGTAAAGCATTATTTGGGCTGTGTCTGTGAGGTTGCTTCCAGAGGAGATGAGTGGGTGAGTCTGAGTGGACTAGGCGGTGAAAATCTGCCCTTAGTGTTGGTGGGCACCTTGCAGTTGACCAGGGCCCAGAGAGAGCAAATACAGAAATTGCATTTGTCTCTCTCTAAGAGCTGGGACAGACTCTTCTGCTGCTGCCTTGGACATCAGAAATTTGACTCCACAGAAGTTCGTTATCACAACATTGACTGTGTGTAAGCATTGTGCATATACATTAAAATGTTGAAATTTTTTTGATAAATGAAGACATGTCCTTTTTGTACATCATTTATTTGTGAAAGATAAAATTTATTTCTTGAAATCTTAGCTCTTCAGGCAACTGTGTATGTGGTGACCCATAGAAGTTTTTGATCTATCTCATCAAAAGACTTAGGTTGTCCCTGGTGGTATTTCAGATGACCATATTTATGAAGCTTGGTGCAGACAATTACCAACCATAGTGATATGCATTTATACATTTTGCTTTTTGACTAATTTCTAATTTTTGACTAATTTTTTTGTGAATACAATTTGTCTGCTCATAACTGTTATTATACCTGTGTGACTGTCATTAGTACACTTAAGTGTTCATGCTTGCAAAAAAGTTATTATTGCCTATTTTATTGTGTAAAGTGGCCTATGAAGTGTACTGTTCTGTTTTTATATGTTTCTCAAATAAATCCCCTTTTAAAAATGCAAATCAATGTCTTAAAATTGTTTTTGAAGTTATTTCTTCCAGAACTGTGTTTTTGGGATTTTGGTCTTTTGGTATTGGGGTTCTGGGGATTTTTAGACTTTAAGGATTTTGCTCTTTTGGGATTTTGACATTCAGGATTATGGCATTTGAGATTGTGTCTTTCAGGATTATGGCCCAAACCCATGATAATGCTAACTCCAGAGAGTTATTTCTACTGAACTGTATTTGAATTTTATTTTTTCAGAGGTAAAGAAAACTAGTATCTTAGATCAGTCAGAATTTAGCCTCTTAATTTCTTGCCTTCACTTCTTATTTTGCCTTCATTTTATATCACTCATCATTCATTTGGGCCACTCGCCTATTGTCATGGGAATTTGCATGATCTATCAGGTAGAGATAGTTTACTCCTAATTTCTATGTTATTTAACTCAATTATTATTTTATTTTATTTTTAAAAGGTCTTGCTCTTTTGCCTAGGCTGAAGTGCAGTAGCATGATCGTGACTCACTGCAGCCTCCCACCTCAGCCTCTTGAGTAGCAGGGACCACAGGCATGCACCACCACATAGAGCTGATTTTTAAATTTTTTTTGTATAGATGGGGTCTTGCTCTGTTACCCAAGCTAGTCTCAAATTCCTTAGACTCGAGTGATCCTGCCCCCTCAGAAGTTGAATTGCCCCTCGGGTTCCCAAAGTGCTAGAATTATAGGCATGAGCCATCGAGCCTAGTTAATTATTATTTTGAAGATGTGATCTAGTGTTTTATTTCAAGTGTTTCATTATTTTTTAATTCTCTTCCTTTAGTCCCTCTTTATGGTCCTCCAGTGTGTAGACTTCCCTTTCCTAATAATTAATTTTTTATTATACCTAACAACCTTAATGATACTAGTATTGCATACTAACTTCATCTGTAGGTATTTTATACATTTTTACAATTTCAAAAGAGTAGGAAAAAAGTTTTTAAAAAAAAGGAATGTTAGACAAATTGAGAATTTCTGTGTTTGGAATAGTTCTAAGAAATACACCTTATTTTATGAAAAGCTAAGCCATAAGGCAGATGTTTCTCATCTGTGTTTATGTACTTTTCAACAGTTAATCTGTACCAGTGTGGCCATACTGATTGTATTGCCATAGTTACCCTTTTTTTTTTTTTTTTTTTTTGAGACAATGTCTCACTTTGTTGCCCAGGTTGCCAGGTTGGAGTGCAGTGGCACAATCTTGACTCACTGCGACCTCTGCCTTCCGGGTTCAAGCAATTCTCCTGCCTCAGCCTGCCTCAGCCTCCCAAGTAGCTGGGATTACATGTGCACACCACCAAGCCTGGCTAATTTTTGTATTTTTAGTAGAGACAGGGTTTCACCATGTTGGCCAAGCTGGTTGTGAACTCCTGACCTCAAGTGATGCAGTCGCCTTGGCCTCCCAAAGTGCTGAGATTACAGGCGTGAGCCACCTCCCCTGGCCCATAGTTACCCTTATTGGATGTATTTACATTTTTCACAGAGTATTTGGATAAAATACTAAGTATAAGAATTTATTTAAAAACAATTTTATTTTGGGAATATATATTTGATAAGTTCAAATTAATTTTTGAACTTAAGGCTGTTAGAAACTATTGTGAGTAAAATATAGCCTATTTTATGACAGTATTTTATGTTAGTAGTTATATAGGAGATATATGTTCAATATACTACCATTAGAAATATATATACATATATATTTTATTGTTATTGGTGGTGGTGGTGTTTGTTTGTCTGTTTTTGAGACAGATTTTCCCTCTGCCACCTAGACTGGCGTGCAAAGGTGCCTGGTGTGATCTCAGCTCACTGCAACCTTTGCCCCCTGGGCTCAAACTATTCTCATGCCTCAGCCTCCTGAGTAGCTGGGATTACAGGCATGCACCACCATGCTCGGGTAATTTTTGTATTTTTTTTTTTTTTTTTTTTTTAGTAGAGACAGGGTTTCACCATGTTGGCCAGGTGGGTCTCGAACTCCTGGCCTCAAGTGATCTGCCCACCTCAGCCTCCCAAAGTGCTGGGATTACAGGTGTGAACCCACCTGGCTAGAAACATATTTTAATTGAAATATATCATTAGGACAGTTATAATTTTGTGTATCTATGAATTAATTTTAAATACTTATCTCAGAAAAATATGAAACTTTTATTTCCTAAGCTTTATTTAAGAAATTGTTTATTCAAATGATTTCAGGTGATCACTAAACTTAAAATTTTATCACCTTTGGAAATAATAATGTCAAATACTGCTTGTGCTGTGGGGAATTCCACCAAGTTGTTCACTCTGATCACAGAAAATTTCAAGGTAAGTGATGTTTACTGTTTGTAACATTCAAGATCTAATCACTTATTTATTTATTTGTTATTTATTATTTATTTATTTTTTTGAGACAGAGTTTCACTCTGTCACCCAGGCTGGAGTGAAAGGGCGTGATCTCGGCTTACTGCAACCTCCAGCTCCCGAGTTCGAGTGATTCTCCTGCCTCAGCCTCCCAAGTAGCTGGGACTACAGGCGTGTGTTACCACACCCAGCTAATTTTTGTATTTTTAGTAGAAATGGGGTTTCACCATGTTGGCCAGGCTAGTTTCAAACTCCTGACCTCAAGTGATCGATCTGCCTTGGCCTCCCAAAGTGCTGGGATTACAGGCATGAGTGAGTCACTGTGCCCGGCCCTAATCACTTTATTTAAAATTTACTTAATAATATCATTATAAAGAACAATAATTTTAGTAACTTTATATTTAGTGTCCTAAAGTAGTCACTAAATACAAATCCTAATCTAAGGGACTGTTAATACAGATAATAAAAATGATAGGGAATTTACTTATTTGATTTGGCACCCTGATCTACTTTAAACAAAAGAAAACATGTTTTAGGTAATAAGGAAGTTTCTCAGATATACAAGGGGCAGACCCATAGAGAAAGCATAAGTTTCCCTTACATGTATTTTCCTGGAAACTACTTATTGTGCTGTCAGACTGGTTGAAATTGAAGTTCTTAGGGGATAGCAGCTATCAGCAAGTACCTTTTTCTATAGGGAATTTAATTTGTATTACAGAATTGTTTCAGCTTCCCCTGATAACATGTACTGCCTTCCAGTTAGCCTGCTACTCTAGTGTCTATCTGTAGGACTGTAGTGGGTAAGCACTGTGGAACCTTATCCAACAAGAATGGGGGCTGTGGCTCCAAACCAAGTAGACAGCATTGCAGTTGGAATAATTCCTTAGGAATGCAAATTATTTTCAGAATATACTATATTTTGTTATGTTTTTAGACTTATCTTTTACTTTAACACATTTGGAACCAAGCTGAGGTTTGGAGTCCAATGAGTTCCTTTCCTGTTCCTAATATATTCAGCATCTGCAGTCATATAAGATTTGTCATGGTGCTCTTGGATTTCCTGTATAGATGAGCTGCCTTTGACTCATTGCCAGAGATAGTCCCTATTCTAAATCTATTGTCTCTATTAGACGAATCACTTTATCTGTTCTTTTTCATTTATAACTTTATACTTCTTTTCATTATGCCTATTTATCCATACCTTTCCAACTTTCATGTTTTGTTGTTGTTGTTGTTGTTGTGATTAGGCCTTATAATTCTTTTGGTTATAAATAAGAGAAATCTAATGTAAACTACCTTATGCAAAAAAGGAAATGTATTGGCTTATGTAACTGGGAAGTCAATGGTTGAATAGATCCTGTTCCTACTGTCAAAGGTAAACAAAGCCAAACACTAGCTAAATATTTTAATCAGTAATATGCTGTTGCAACAGAGAAAAGAGTCCAGTGTGGACTGAATTGAACTTCGGTTTATACTGGGCATTTTAATGGGAGACTAAGGGAATAAGGAGGAGTAAGCACAAGCTCAGTAGAGTCAGGGAAGTGAAAAATTATTATAACAAAAAGTAAGACCAGGTGCGGTGGCTCATGCCTGTAATCCCAGCACTTTCAGAGGCCGAGGAGGGTGGATCACAAGGTCAGGAGATCGAGACCATCCTGGCTAACATGGTGAAACCCCATCTCTACTAAAAATACAAAAAAATTAGCCAGGCCTGGTGGCACGCGCCTGTAGTCCCAGCTACTCGGGAAGCTGAGGCAGGAGAATCGCTTGAACCTGGGAGGCAGAGGTTGCAGCGAGCCGAGATTGTGCCATTGCACTGCAGCCTGGGCAACAGAGCAAGACTCCATCTCAAAAGAACAACAACAAAAAATCTGGGTTTGCTAACTGGCACTTACCAAAGTTAGGCTCCTATTCTCCCACAGAGGATAGGAGACAGGGACCCTATTTTTAGGTGTTAAGTGGAATAAACAGTAAATTTTTTTTGGCAGCCTGAGTTTTCTTAGGCTGGCACTTTATGAGAGGCTAAGGTCATCCTAGGGATGTGGCTTTGAGCAGTTAGAAACAATGTTAGTGTTTCGTTCAAGTCTTTATAGGCCAGTTGGAGGCTTAGTTGAGAAGAAGGCTTATAGTAGCCCAGGTAGAGTTTGGTCAAAGAGAGCATCTTTATCACTACTCTCATTCCCCATATCATCCTTTTTCTACTGCAGATAGTTTACTTCTATGAGATTTAAGAAGATGATTGCTAATGGCTCAAGGCTGATGTCATCTCAGCTTAGCTAACCCAGAGGGAAAATAATTTCTTTATTCCAGTGTCCATGTATGAATTCCAGGGAAGGATGCTGACTGATTCCGCTTTGTTCAGTTTCTCACACGTTAGAGTAATCACTATTTCTGGGGGTAGATACACTATAATTGACTAATCCTTTTGCTGTGAGACACAGAATACTATGATAGCTAGGCCTTCCAGAATCACATGGAATGGGGGATAAGTCCTCCAAAGGCAAAAACAACATAATTTCAGTGCATTTGAATAGTAAGGCAGTATAGCATAGTGCTTAAGAATAGAGAAGTCAGATTGTCCCGGTTTCAGATCTTGACTCTACGTGACCTACTGCAAGACACTTAACTTCTTGGAGCTTCAGTTTTTTTCATCAGTAAATTAGGGACAATAGGAGATACCAACCTCCTAGAAAATTGATATTTTATATAGGGTAATCAGAGATGGCCTCATTGATAAGGTTACATTTGGGCAAAGTTCTGAATGGAGTGAGGGAGCAAGCCATGGAGGTATTTGAGGTAAAAGTATTCTAAGCAGAGGGAAAATTCGATATTTTTATTATCATTATTACTATTATGACTACACTTACCATAAGAAGACCTTCATTAGCCAGGTGTAGTGACATGTGCCTGTAGTCCCAGGTACTTGGGAGGCCAGGGTGGGAGGATCACTTGAGCCCAGTAGTTCAAATCTAGCTTGGGCAACATAGTGAGACCCCTCTCTTAAGAAAAAAAAACAGACCTGCATTAAATCAAAAGCAATATGAAGTATAAGGAAAATGGACTTCAAAGAAATCTAAATTTGAGTCTCAGCTTTGGCACAGATCAACTGTATAATATCAGAAAAGTTACTTGACTTTTCAGAATTTTATTTATATGAAAACCGGAGTTAATAAGATATGTCCCTACTTGGTCATGATATTTTTTCATTCTTAACAGCGCTTACATAGTCTATTGATATAATATTACCTTTTCTTAACCATCAGTTTTATTCAAAGGAGGTAAACCTTTTACTTAACAACTTGATGCTTTTTAAAAGTTCCATTATCAACCGGGTGCTGATGTCTCACACTGGTAATTCCAGCACTTTGGGAGGCCAATGTGGGAGAATCACTTGAGCCCAGGAGTTTGACACCAGCCTGGGCAGCATAGTGAGAACTTATCTCTGCTCAAAAAAAAAAAAAAAAAAAAAAAATTAGCCAGATGTAATGGTGTGTGCCTGTAGTCCCAGCTACTCAGGAGGATGAAGCAAGCAGATTGCTTGTACCCTGGAGTTCAAATTTGTAGTGAGCTATGATCATGCCGCTGTATTCCAGCCTGGGCAACAGAGTGAGACCCTGTCTCAAAAAGATTATAATTTTCTCTTTGTTCTAAATAAATTCAATTCACTTTATGTAAATAGTATATCATAGATAGGTAGAATTGGTGTTTTCATCTTTTCACCTGGGGCATTATAAGAATCTACCCTTTCTCAATTATGATAGACTATGGAAAGATGAATATAAAACTGTGAAAGGTTATTTCTATACAAAAGATTACTAAAAGGCATAGATTTTAGTACAATCTATACAAAAGATTACTAAAAGGCAAAAGATTACTAAAAGGCAAAGATTACTAAAGGCAATAAAAAATAAACTGTCATGTTTATTTTTTATTATTGTATCTAACATATTCCATTAAATCTCATAAGAGTAAGGTCTAATAAGAGATACAAACTACTATAATTCACTTAGCAAGAATAATCATTCTTTTTATAGAAATAACTAAGAAAAGTTCTTATTTAAATGTTGAAATTTTTATACAATATTTAAGCCACTTACCTAGCATGTGTTTAAGAAAGCAGTTTTGGGCAAGCGCATGGCACTTCAAACTTTATTTTGAAATTAAAACTTCTTTTCAGAATGTTAATTTCACTACTATCCAAAGGAAATACTTCAATGAAACAAAAGGATTAGAGTACATTGAACAGTTATGCATAGCAGAATTCAGCACTGTCCTAATGGAGGTTCAGTCCAAGTAAGTTATATATTTATTTATTTTTTTACTAGCCCACAGCTACCAATATCATATCAAGTAAGTTATAACTTAAGGAAAGTAAATAAATCTCCAGTGTGAGTTCCACAAGGGCAGGGACTTTTGTCTGTTTTGTTCTCTGCTGCATTCCTACCACCTGGAAAATTACCTGGTTCATAATACATAGTAATTATTGAAATAGTGAAATAGTTGACTAAAATTTATACACAAGGCATATATTGCTAACTTAATTTATATAGAATTTCTCCAAATTAGTCATAAGCTATTGACCTAATGGTTGCTACTCACTTTACTTTGGAGTGAAAAGCTCAAGTAGCTACAGTAAACTGGAAATGTGAGGGCATAGGAGTAAAACACAGGTAAAGCTGTGTTCCTGTTTCTTTCTGTCTTTACTCCTAACAGATTCAGCATGAGACAGAGAATGGTATTTTTGGAACACATATTTCCTAGAACATACGAAATAGATACTTTCTTTGAGTCAGGTTGGATTACCTGTTTACTCAGTTAATAACAATCATTATTCTCACTGAGATCATAACATACTTCTCTGTACATTGAGATCTGATTCTACCGTTAAAGTACCGGATTTTTCCAGGCTGGGCACAGTGACTCATGCCTGAAATCCCAGCACTTCGGGAGGCCAAGGAGTTTGAGACCAGCCTCAGCAACATGGCAAAACCCCATCTCTACCAAAAATACAAAAATTACCTGGGTGTGGTGGTGCATGACTGTCATCCTAGCTACTTGGGAGGCTGAGGCAGGAGTATTGCTTGAGCCTGGGAGGTGGAGGTTGCAGTGAGCCGAGATCACACCACTGTACCCCAGCCTGGTTGACAGAGCTAGACCCTGTCTCAAAATAAATAAATAAATAAAGTATCAGACTTTCCTAACATTATTTGAATACTTAGAATGGTACATCAAAAATTGATGCAAATTACCTTTGATTGAATGTTACCTCCTAACACAGGATTTATCGGAATTTAAAGTCCCTTAAGTGTCAGACTTGAACTTGAAATTAATACTTGAAATTATTTATTTTCATTCATTTTTATGATTTAGAGGTTATTTACCTAGTTTTCAAAAATATGAAATACCTGGTGTACCTTTTCCTTTTGAGTTTAAGCAATGCTATGCAAATATTTATAATTTTTCTTAAGGGGAAATAGATAATTTTTTATATTAAAGACTTATAGTGATGTATTATTGGTCATCTTTTAGGTATTACTGCCTTGCAGCTGTTGCAGCTTTGTTAAAATATGTTGAATTTATTCAAAATTCAGTTTATGCACCAAAATCACTGAAGATTTGTTTCCAGGGTAGTGAACAGACAGCCATGATAGATTCATCATCAGCCCAAAACCTTGAATTGTTAATTAATAATCAAGACTATAGGTAAGATCATCCATTTTATTTGTATAAAATATATCGGTATATATATATTTTTCTATTAATGGTAACTTTAAAGTTCTTTTTTTCTTTTTTAAATTTTGAGATGGAGTTTTGCTCTTGTTGCCCAGGCTGGAGTGCAGTGGTGCGATCTCAGCTCACTGCAACCTCTGCCTTCCAGGTTCAAGCAATTCTTCTGTCTCAGCCTCCCAAGTAGTTGGGACTACAGGCATGTGCCACCATGCCTAGCTAATTTTTCTATTTTTAATAGAGACAGGGTTTCACCATATTGGCCAGGCTGGTCTCAAATTCTGGATCTCAAATTATCCACCTGCCTCAGCCTCCCAAAGTGCTGGGATTACAGCCGTGAGCTACTGCTCTCAGCCTAAACTTCTTTGAATTATTTGATGGAGAATTTTATTTAAGAGGTAGGTTCTTGCTATTTTGTCCAGGCTGGTCTCAAACTCCTGGGCTCAAATGATTGTCCTGCCTCAGCCTCCAAGTAGCTGAAACTATGGGCACAAACTGCCATGCCCAGCTAATGGTGGAGAAATATTAAGTAAGCATGTTTTAAATCATTGTACTGTTTTTGCTGAACTGGTCAGATGTTTCACCAAAATCAAGTTTTAAAAAGATATTTGTACTAAATAACAAAAAACAACCCAGTTCAGAACTGGGTAAAGGAACTTAATAGACATTTTCACAAAGAAGGTAAACAAATGGCCAGTAAGTACCAGAAAAGATGCTCAACTTTACTAGTCATTAGGGAACTACAAATCAAAACCGCAGTTAGATACCACTTCACATCCATTAGGTTATAGGTTAAAATTACTCTGTCTTTGACTTTCTATGATATCCTATGTTATCATGGCATAGAAAGTCAATGACCAAGCCTGGTAGTTATTACAAAGTGTTTTATATTCAGTTTTACCTTGTCATGTTTCACACTTTATCATTGTCAAACATTGTTTGACTTCCTGCTATATATTAGGGATACAGATACTTAAATGATAGAATATCTGATCTCCAGGAGTTAGTATTATAGTTGAAAGGAACAATTGAAAAGTCTTTTCACAGACTTAAATGAAAGAATCCTCAGGTTAAAAGATGGATATTCTACGTACTGAACTATCTGAATAGCTCCAATGCTTCCATAGGCTTGCTGCCTGTTCAGTGCAGTATTACATCCATTGATTTCTATAACAAATGGGAGGTTTATGTGTGCCCCTTACCTCCTTTTAGAAATAAGTTCTCAAAAAAAAAAAATGTACATGTGATGGGAGACACCCCCCCTCCCCCTAGCCAGTTGATATGAGTAGTTCCCTACAAATTAGTTTAAATGGGTATGACAGAAATCTGGTAGAATGATGACTAAATCTTAAAAGTCATTCTTGTTTCCTCTCCTTTCACACCTCAGATTTGATCCATCAGAAAATCCTCTTGATCTAGCCTTCAGAGTATATACCAGTTCTGGATCACTTGTCACCATTTCCAAGGCTACTACCCTAACCCAAACCTCTATCATCTTTAGCATAGACTACTATAATAGCCTCCTAGCTTTTCTTTCTGCCCTCTTCTTACCTTCCTATAGTTTATTCTCAACATATTAATAGTAGTCATACTGTGATATCCTTTTAATCCAGAAATCAGATCTTGTAACTCTTCTGCTGAAAACCTTCCAGTGGCTCTCCTTACATTTACAATAGAATCCAGACTCTTTGGCCTATAAGGACTTCTATGTCCTGGCCTCTATCAACTTCTTCATTCATCTCTCTCTATTCTTACCCCCACTTGCAAAGCTCCACTAACCTTGATCTTCTTTTTTGTTCTGGAGCCAGACTTCCTGGGCTTAAATTGCTGCTATGCTACTTACTTGGAAATCTTGGACAAGTTACCTAATTTCCTTGTTCTTAAGTTACTTCTGTTGTAAAATGATGTGGCCAATAATAGTGCCTATCTCATAACATGGTTATTAGAATTAAACAAGTTAATACTTTTAAAATGCTTAGAACAATTGTGGGTACATACTAAGTATCATTTTATGTTAGCTGTCCTCATTATTGTTGTCATGATTCCCATCCCATCGTCATCTTTGCATTGCTGCCTTCTTTTTTAATCATTCAGTTCTCAACTCTACTATCAAATTCATAGGGAAGTCTTTCTTAATCAACCTAACTAAAGCAACCACCCTGGTCCTTCTCTGTATATTCCGTTTTTTTTGTTTGTTTGTTTTTTGTTTTGAGATGGAGTCTCACTCTGTTGACCAGGCTGGAGTGCAGTGGTGCAATCTTGGCTCACTGCAAGCTCTGCCTCCAGGGTTCACGCCATTCTCCTGCCTCAGCCTCCCAAGTAGCTGGGACTACAGGCACCCACCACCATGCCCAGCTAATTTTTTTTTTGTATTTTTAGTAGGGACGGGGTCTCACTGTGTTAGCCAGGACGGTCTCGATCTCCTGACCTCATGATCCACCCGCCTCGGCCTCCTAAAGTGCTGGGATTACGGGTGTAAGCCACCGTGCCCGGCCTGTTTTTGTTTTTTTTAGCTGTTTCTGTACCTAAAATTATTTTCTTGATATGATTATGTGTTTATTGTTTTTATTGTTTATTTCCCCTCGCTCTTTGTCTTGTCTTCAGTCACGGCCAGTAAACTGACAAAAGTTATTGTCAATGGCTAAGTGCGGTGGCTCATGCCTGTAATCCCAGCACCCTGGGCAGGCCAACGTGGGTGGATCACTTGAGGCCAGGAGTTTGAGACCAGCCTGGTCGCCATGGTGAAACCCTGTCTTTACCAAAAATACAAAATTTAGCCAGCATAGTGGCACACCTGTAATCCCAGCTACTCAGGAGGCTGAGGCATGAGAATCACTTGAACCCTGGAGGCAGAGGTAGCAGTGAGCCTAGATAGTGCTGCTGTACTCCAGCCTGCGCAACAGAGCAAGACTCTGTCTAAATAAATAAATAAATAAAAAGTTATTGGCAATCGCCATTAGGCTGTAAGGTCTGTGAAGACAGGAATCATGTCCGTCTTATATGCCCAGTGTTTAGCATAGAGTTTTGAATACCATAAGGGCTCAAAAAGTATTTGTTAAATATTAAAATGAATCAGATTTTTTACATGTATTATATGAAGTTGTCTAATAAATAGTCCAACTAAATGAATTTTTTTGTTTCTTTGTTTTTGTTTGTTTTAGACAGAGTCTCACTTTGTAGCCCAGGCTGGAGTGCAGTGGCGCAATCTCGGCTCACTGCAACCTCCGCCTCCCGGGTTCAAGTGATTCTTATGGCTCAGCCTCCTGAGAAGCTGGGATTACAGGTGCCTGCCACTATACCTGGCTAATTTTTGTATTTTTTTTTCAGTAGAGATGGGGTTTCACCATGTTGGCCAGGCTGGTCTTGAACTCCTAACCTCAAGTGATCCACCTGCCTCTGCCTCCCAAAGTGCTGGGAATACAGGCATGCGCCACCTTGACTGACCAGCATTCTTTAGAATAGCTCATTTCTTTATAAATCACCTAGGAATTATGAAATTGTCTTGTACTTGTCATCAGAACAAGATCATTATAGTAAATATTTATTTTAACAATATAAAAGCCCCTCCACCCTTAAGGATATATTATTAATATCTTGCTATTATGGATGGAATAAATAGACTAGAAAACTTTATATTAGTGTGAATATTGTAACTGATCTATAAAAGAAGTCATAAAGTGCAAGGAGATTCTATTCATCCTTGTTAAAGTGTAGTTCATTGACCAATAGCATATATGGGAGCTTGTTCAAAATATATCCTCATAAAATGAGTTAGGGAGGATTCCCTCTTTTTCTGTTGATTGGAATAGTTTCAGAAGGAATGGTACCAGCTCCTCCTTGTATCTCTGGTAGAATTTGGCTGTGAATCCATCTGGTCCTGGACATTTTTTGGTTGGTAAGCTATTAATTATTGCCTCAATTTCAGAGCCTGTTATTGGTCTATTCAGAGATTCAACTTCTTCCTGGTTTAGTCTTGGGAGGGTGTATGTCTCCAGGAATTTATCCATTTCTTCTAGATTTTCTAGTTTATTTGCATAGAGGTGTTTATAGTATTCTCTGATGGTAGTTTGTATTTCTGTGGGATCAGTGGTGATATCCCCTTTATCATTTTTTATTGCATCTATTTGATTCTTCTCTCTTTTCTTCTTTATTAGTCTTGCTAGTGGTCTATCAATTTTGTTTATCTTTTCAAAAAACCAGCTCCTGGATTCACAACAAAGATCAAAAGAGACAAAGAAGGCCATTACATAATGGTAAAGGGATCAATTCAACAAGAAGAGCTAACTATCCTAAATATATATGCACCCAATACAGGAGCACCCAGATTCATAAAGCAAGTACTTAGAGACCTACAAAGAGACTTAGACTCCCACACAATAATAATGGGAGACTTTAACACCCCACTGTCAACATTAGACAGATCAACGAGACAGAAAGTTAACAAGGATATCCAGGAACTGAACTCAGCTCTGCACCAAGCGGACGTAATAGACATCTACAGAACTCTCCACCCCAAATCAACAGAATATACATTCTTTTCAGCACCACACCACACCTATTCCAAAATTGACCACATAGCTGGAAGTAAAGCACTCCTCAGCAAATGTAAAAGAACAGAAATTATAACAAACTGTCTCTCAGACCACAGTGCAATCAAACTGGAACTCAGGATTAAGAAACTCACTCAAAACCGCTCAACTACATAGAAACTGAACAACCTGCTCCTGAATGACTACTGGGTACATAACGAAATGAAGGCAGAAATAAAGATGTTCTTTGAAACCAACGAGAACAAAGACACAACATACCAGAATCTCTGGGACACATTCAAAGCAGTGTGTAGAGGGAAATTTATAGCACTAAATGCCCACAAGAGAAAGCAGGAAAGATCTAAAATTGACACCCTAACATCACAATTAAAAGAACTAGAGAAGCAAGAGCAAACACATTCAAAAGCTAGCGGAATGCAAAAAATAACTAAGATCAGAGCAGAAATGAAGGAAATAGAGACACAAAAATCCCTTCAAAAAATCAAAATATATCTAAAAACTTTTTTTGCGACAAGATCTCACTCTGTCTCCACACTGGAATACAGTGGTGCAAGTATGGTTCACTGCAGCCTTGACCTCCTGGGCTCAAGCAATCCTCCCATCTCAGCCTCCTGACTAACTGGGACTAAAGGCCTGTGCCACCCTGTCCAGTTAATTTTTAGTTTTTTGTAGACTCGGGGTCTCACTATGTTGTCCATGCTGGTCTTGAACTCCCGAGTTCAAGTATTCCTCCTGCCTTGGCCTCCCAGAGTGTTGTTGAGATTATAGGTGTGAGCAACCGTGCGTGGCCCAAAATGTAGAACCTCATGCTTTTTATTAGACCTACTGAATTAGAAATTTATGTAATTGTATGCACAGTAAAGTTTAAGAATCATTGCTGGCCAGGCGCGGTGGCTCACGCCTGTAATCCCAGCACTTTGGGAGGCCAAGGCAGGCGGATCACAAGGTCAGGAGATGGAGACCATCCTGGCTAACAAGGTGAAACCCCGTCTCTACTAAAAATACAAAAATACAAAAAATTAGCTGGGCGTGGTGGCGGGCGCCTGTAGTCCCAGCTACTCAGGAAGCTGAGGCAGGAGAATGGCGTGAACCTTGGAGGCGGAGCTTACAGTGAGCCGAGATCGCGCCACTGTACTCCATACTGGGAGAGAGAGCGAGACTCTGTTTCAAAAAAAAAAAAAAAAAAGAATCATTGCTGTAGATTATAGGATTATTTAATTACAAAGTGAAATGAAATTTTCTTGCGTTTTTCTTTGTATTCTTACTGACATTTCTTGTGTTTTGAAAGGAATAATCACACTCTCTTTGGTGTTCTAAATTATACTAAGACTCCTGGAGGGAGTAGACGACTTCGTTCTAATATATTAGAGCCTCTAGTTGATATTGAAACCATTAACATGAGATTAGATTGTGTTCAAGAACTACTTCAAGATGAGGAACTATTTTTTGGACTTCAATCAGGTAAATCAATATTATTTAATATTATAAATACAAATTATTGAAAAATACAGTTGGCTTAGTTATTTTTCCATGTTTCTGAAAGACAAGTAGTGAAGGTGTTAATTCTTGTATTCTTTTATGGAAAATATTTTCCTGAAATTTTCTACTGAGTCCTGTAGTAAATAATTTCAGGGGTACATTATGTAATGTATTTTGATTTCCTGTATGCTTTTCTTTTCCATTTTTTTCTGTTTTTTTTTGTTGTTGTTTTTGTTGTTGTTGTTCATAGATACTTTACATTCTTTTTCTCCATGGTAATCCTCAAAGATGGGAAGATTTGTTCAGACTACGTAATTATCAACGGATAGGATATATTAGTTTCCTAGGCTGCTCTAAAAACTAGTACCTACTCCATGGTTTAAAACAACAGAAAGTTTTTGTCTTACAGTTCTGGAAGCTAGAAACTTAAAATAAGGTGTCAGAAAAGCCATGCTCCCTCTGAAACCTATAGGGGAGAATCCTTTGCCCCTTTCTAGCTTTTGGTGGTCGCTGTCAGTCCATGATGGGCCTTGGCTCACAGGTTTGTCATTGCAATCTCTGCTTCTATTGTCATATGGTTTTCTCCCTGCGTGTCTTCACATTGTCGTCTTATAAAGACACTAGTCGTATTGTATTAAGACCTACCTTAATAACCTCACATTAGCTTGATTACATTTGCAAAGATGCAATTTCCAAATAAGGTCACACTAACAGATACCCGGAGTTAAGACTTCACAGTATCATTTGGGGGTCACAATTCAACCCATAACATGGGATAAGAAAATTGCCCTTGCCTCAGGGTCTGTTTCTGGAGAACTCACCCTAACACAGTCACCAACAGGCATATTGCTAATTTTTTTTTTCTTTACTTTAAATTCTGGAATACATGTGCTGAAATGTGCTGAACATGCAGGTTTGTCACATAGGTATACATGTGCCATGGTAGTTTGCTGCACCTATCAACCCATCATCTAGGTTTTAAGCCTTGCATGCATTGGGGATTTGTCCTAATGCTCTCCCTCCCCTTTCCCTCCACCCACTGACAGGCCCCAGTGTGTGATGTTCCCCTCCCTGTGCCCATGTGTTCTCATTGTTCAACTCCCACTTATGAGTGAAAACATGCAGTGTTTGGTTTTCTGTTCCTGCATTAGTTTGCTGAGGATGACGGTTCCCAGCTTCATCCATGTCCCTGCAGAGGTCATGAACTCATTCTTTTTAATGGCTGCATAGTATTCCATGGTGTATATGTGCCACATTTTCTTTATCCAGTCTATCATTGATGGGCATTTGGGTTGGTTCCAAGCCTTTGCTATTGTAAATAGTGCTGCAGTAAACATACATGTGCATGTGTCTTTATAGTAGAAAGATTTATAATTTTTTTGGTATATACTCAGTAATGGGATTGCTGGGTCAAATGATATTTCTGGTTCTAGATCCTTGAGGAATCGCCACACTGTCTTCCACAATGGTTGAACTAATTTAGACTCCCACCGACAGTGTAAAGTGTTCCTATTTCTCCACATCCTCTCCAGCATCTGTTGTTTCCTTACTTTTTAATGATCGACATTCTAACTGGCTTGAGCTGGTATCTCATTGTGGTTTTGATTTGCATTTCTCTAATGACCAGTGATGATGAGCTTTTTTTCATATGTTTGATGGCCGCACAAATGTCTTCTTTTGAGAAGTGTCTGTTCATATCCTCTGCCCACTTTTTGATGGGGTTGTTTTTTTCTTGTAAATGTTTTTAAGTTCCTTGTGGATTCTGGATTTTAGAGCTTTGTCAGATGGGTAGATTGTAAAAATTTTCTCCCATTCTGTAGGTTGCCTTTTCACTCTGATGATAGTTTCTTTTGCTGAGCAGAAGCGCTTTAGTTTAATTGATCCCACTTGTCAATTTTGGCTTTTGTTGCCATTGCTTTTGGTGTTGTAGTCATGAAGTCTTTGCCTATGCCTATATCCTGAATGGTATTGCCTAGGTTTTCTTCTAGGGTTTGTATGGTTTTAGGTCTTACATTTAAGTCTTTAATCCATCTTGAGTTAATTTTTGTATAAGGTGTAAGGAAGGGATCCAGTTTCAGCTTTCTGCATATGTCTAGCCAGTTTTCCTAGCACCGTTTATTAAACAGGGAATCCTTTCCCCATTGCTTGCTTTTGTTAGGTTTGTCAAACATATGTGGTGTTATTTCTCAGGTCTCTGTTCTGTTCCATTGGTCTATATATCTGTTTTGGTACCAGTACCATACCGTTTTAGTTACTGTAGCCTTGTAGTAGTTTGAAGTCAGGTAGCATAATACCTTCAGCTTTGTTTTTTTTTTTTTTTGCTTAGGATTGTTTTGGCTATATGATCTCTTTTTTCATTCCATATGAAATTTAAAGTATTTTTTTTTCTAGTTCTGTGAAGAAAGTCAATGGTAGCTAAATGGGAATAACATTGAATCTATAAATTACTTTGGGCAGTATGGCCATTTTCACAATATTGATTCCTCCTATCTGTGAGCATGGAATGTTTTTCCATTTGTTTGTGTCCTCTCTTATTTCCTTGAGTTCTTTTTGTAGTTCTCATTGAAGAGGTCCTTCACTTCCCTTGTAAGTTGTATTCCTAGGTGTTTTATTTTCTTCGTAGCGGTTGTGAATGGGAGTTCACTCATGATTTGGCTCTCTGCTTGTCTATTATTGGTGTATAGGAATGCTTGTGATTTTTGCACATTAATTTTGTGTCCTGAGATTTTGCTGAAGTTGTTTATCAGTTTAAGGAGTTTTTGGGCTGAGACGATGGGGTTTTCTAAATATATAATCATGTCATCTGCAAACAGAGACAATTTGACTTTCTCTCTTCCTATATGAATACCCTTTATTTCTTTCTCTTGCCTGATTGCCCTGGCCAGAACTTCCAATACTATGTTGAATAGGAGTGGTGAGAAAGGACATCCTTGTCTTGTGCCGGTTTTCAAAGGGAATGCTTCCAGTTTTTGCCCATTCAATATGATATTGGCTGTGGGTTTGTCATAAATAGCTCTTACTATTTTGAGATATGTTCCATCAATACCTAGTTTATTGACAGTTTTTTAGTATGAAGGGTGTTGAATTTTATCGAAGGCCTTTTCTGCATGTATTGAGATAATCATGTGGTTTTTGTCATTGGTTCTGTTTATGTGACAGATTACATTTAGTGATTTGCATATGTTGAACTAGCCTTCCATCCCAGGGATAAAGCCAACTTGATTGTGGTGGATAAGCTTTTTGATGTGCTGCTGGATTCGGTTTGCCAGTATTTTACTGAGGATTTTCACATCAATGTTCATCAGGGATATTGGCCTGAAATTTTCTTTTTTTGTTGTGTCTGTACCAGGTTTTGGAATCAGGATGATACTGCCCTCATAAAATGAGTTAGAGAGGAGTCCCTCTTATTCTATTGTTTGAAATAGTTTCAAAAGGAATGGTACCAGCTCCTCCTTGTACCTCTGGTAGAATTCGGCTGTGAATCCATCTGGTCCTGAGCTTTTTTTGGTTGGTGGGCTATTAATTACTCCCTCAATTTCAGAACTTGTTATTGGTCTAGTCACAGATTCAACTTCTTCCTGGTTTAGTCTTGGGAGGGTGTATGTGTCCAGGAATTTATCCATTTCTTCTAGATTTTCTAGTTTATTTGTGTAGAGGTGTTTATAGTATTCTCTGATGTTAGTTTGTATTTCTGTGGGATCAGTGGTGATATCCCCTTTATCATTTCTTATTGTGTCTATTTGATTCTTCTCCCTTTTCTTCTTTATTAGTCTGCATAGTGGTCTATTTTGTTAATCTTTTCAAAAAACCAGCTCCCCGGTTCATGGAGTTTTCGAAGGGTTTTTCATGTCTCTGTCTCCTTCAGTTCTGCTCTGATCTTAGTTATTTCTTGTCTTCTTCTAGCTTTTGAATTTGTTTGCTCTTGCTTCTCTAATTCTTTTAATTGTGATGTTAGGGTGTCGATTTGAGATCTTTTCCACTCTCTGATGTGGGCATTTAGTGCTATAAATTTCCCTCTTAACCCTGGTTTAGCTGTGTCCCAGAGATTCTGGTACATTGTCTCTTTGTTTTCATTGGTTTCAAAGTACTTCTTTGTTTCTGACTTAATTTTGTTATTTACCCAGTAGTCATTCAGGAGGAGGTTGTTTACTTTCCATGCAGTTGTGCAGTTTTGAGTGAGTTTCTTAATCCTGAGTTCTAATTTGATTGCACTGTGGTCTGAGAGACTGTTATGAATTCCATTCTGTTCCATTTGCTGAAGAGTGTTTTACTTACAATTATGTGGTCGATTTTAGAATAAGTGCTATGTGGTGCTGAGAAGAATGTATATTCTGTTGATTTGGGGTAGAGAGTTCTATAGATGTCTATTAGGTCCACTTGGTTCAGAGCTGGGTTCAAGTCTTGAATATCCTTGTTAATTTTCTGTCTCATTATTGTCAGATTCGCCAAGGTTGAAACAAAAGGAAAAAATGTTAAGGGAAGCCAGAGAGAAAGGTCAGGTTATTTACAAAGGGAAGCCCATGAGACTAACAGCGGATCTCTGTGCAGAAACCCTACAAGCAAGAAGAGAGTGGGGGCCAATATTCAATATTCTTAAAGAAAAGAATTTTTAACCCAGAATTTCATCCAGCCAAACTTAATTTCATAAGTGAAGGAGAAATAAAATCCTTTACAGACAAGCAAATGCTGAGGGATTTTGTCACCATCAGGCCTGCCTTGCAAGAACTCCTGAAGGAAGCATTAAATATGGAAAGGAAAAACCAGTACCAGCCACTGTAAAAATACACCATAATATAAACACCAACAACACAGTGAAGAAACTGCATCAACTAATGTGCAAAATAACCAGCTAGCATCATGATGATAGGATCAAATTCACACATAACAATATTAACCTTAAATGTAAATGGGCTAAATGCCCCAATTAAAAGACACAGACTGACAAATTGGATAATGAGTCAAGACCCATCAGTGTGCTGTATTCAGGAGACCCATCTCACATGCAAAGACACACATAGGCTCAAAATAAAGGGATGGAGGAATATTTACCAAGAAAATGGAAAGCAAAAAAAAAAAAAAAGTAAAGTAAAAAGCAGAGATTGCAATCCTAGTCTCTGATAAAATGGACTTTAAACCAACAAAGATCAAAAGAGACAAAGAAGGGCATTATATAATGGTAAAGGGATCAATACAACAAGAAGAGCTAACTATCCTAAATATACATGCACCCAATACAGGAGCACCCAGATTCATAAAAGAAGTTCTTAGAGACCTACAAGGAGACTTAGACCCCCACACAATAATAGTGGGAGACTTTAATACCCACTGTCCATATTGTTAAATTTAATGGGCACATTAGTTCCCTTATTTGAATAAGAAAATTGCCCTGGGCAAAGTACATCAACAGATGCTTCTCAAAAGAAAGACATACAAGTGACCAATAAACATATGAAAAAATGCTCAATGTCACTAATCCTCAGAAAAGTACAAATCAAAACCACAATGAGATGCCATCTCACACCAGTTGGAATAGCTATTATTAAAAAGTCAAAAAATAACAGATGTTGGCAAGTCTGCAGAGAGAAGGAAATGCTCATACATTGTTCTTAGGATTGTAAATTAGTTCAGCCTCTGTGGAAAGCAGTTTGGAGATTTCTCAGAGAACTAAAAATAGAATTACCATTCAACCCAGCAATCCCATTACTGGATATATACCCAAACATAAATAAATTGTTCTCCCAAAAAGACACCTGCACTCACATGTTTATTGCAACATTATTCACGGCAGCAAAGACATGGAATGAACCCAGGTGCCCATCAACAGTGGACTGGGTGAAGAAAATTTGGTACATATACACCTTGGAATACTATGCTGTTATAAAAAGAATGAAATCATGTTCTTTTTGGCAGCATGGATGTAGCTGGAGGCCATTATTCTAAGTGAATGAACG
Source organism: Homo sapiens (assembly GCF_000001405.40). Classification (NCBI taxonomy): domain Eukaryota; kingdom Metazoa; phylum Chordata; class Mammalia; order Primates; family Hominidae; genus Homo; species Homo sapiens. The sequence continues at coordinate 75,828,551 of NC_000001.11, forward strand.
CAGAAACAGAAAACCAAATACTGCATGTTCTTACTTATATGTGGGAGCTAAACATTGGGTACACATGGGGATATAAAGATGGGAACAATAGCTATTGGGGACTCCAAAAGGGGAGAGGAATGGGGCAAGGGTTCAAAACTATTGGGTACTATGTTTACTATCTGAGTGCTGGATTCAATCAAAGCCCAAACTTCAGCATCAAACAATGTATCTATGCAACAAACCTGCACATGTACCCTGTAAATCCAAAATAATTTTTTTTAAAAAGGAAAAGAGAGGAGGTTCCAAGATGGCCAAATAGGAACAGCTCCAGTCTGCAGCTCCCAGCATGAGCAACACAGAAGACGGGTGATTTCTGCATTTCCAACTGAGGTGCTGGGTTCATCTCACTGGGGCTTGTCAGACAGTGGGTACAGCCCATGGAGCAGGGCAGGACATTGCCTCACCTGGGAAGCACAAGGGTTCAGAGAATTCCCTTTCCCAGCAAAGGGAAGCCATGACAGACAGTACCTGGAAAATTGGGACACTCCCACCCTAATACTGCGCTTTTCCAATGGCCTTAGCAAACAGCACACCAGGAGATTATATCCCGCACCTGGCTTGGAGGGTCCCACGTCCATGGAGCCTCGCTCACTGCTAGCACAGCAGTCTGAGATCGAACTGCAAGGTGGCAGCGAGGCTGGGGGATGGGCATCTGGCTTTGCTGAGGCTTGAGTAGGTAAACAAAGCGGCCAGGAAGCTCAAACTGGGTGGAGCCCACCGCAGCTCAAGGAGGCCTGCCTTGCCTCTGTAGACTCCACCTCTAGGGGCAGGGCATAGCTGAACAAAAGGCAGCAGAAACTTCTGCAGACTTAAACATCCCTGTCTGACAGCTTTGAAGAGACTGGTGGTTCTCCCAGCATGGAGTTTGAGATCTGAGAATGGACAGACTGCCTCCCCAAGTGGGGCCATGACCCCCAAGTAGCCTAACTGGGAGGCATCTCCCAGTAGGGGCCGACTGACACCTCATACAGCTGGATGCCCCTCTGAGACAAAGCTTCCAGAGGAAGAATCAGGCAGCAACATCTGCCGTTCTGCAATATTTGCTGTTCCGCAGCCTCTGCTGGTGATACCCAGGCAAACAGGGTCTGGATAGGACCTCCAGCAAACACCAACAGACCTGCAGCTGAGGGTCCTGACTGATAGAAGGAAAACTAACAAACAGAAAGGACATCCACACCAAAACACCATCTGTACACCACCATCATCAAAGACCAAAGGTAGACAAAGCCACAAAGATGGGGAGAAACCAGAGCAGAAAAGCTGAAAATTCTAAAAATCAGAGCACCTTTTCTCCTCCAAAGGAACGCAGCTCCTTGCCAGCAACGGAACAAAGCTGGAAGGAGAATGACATTGATGAGAGAATAAGGCTTCAGACGATCGGTAATAGCAGACTTCTCCAAGCTAAAGGAGGATGGTCGAACCCATAACAAAGAAGCTAAAAACTTTGAAAAAAGATGAGACATATGGCTAACTAGAACAAACATTGTAGAGAAGTCCTTAAGTGACCTGATGGAGCTGAAAACCGTGGCACGAGAACTTCTTGATGCGTGCACAAGCTTCAGTAGCTGATTTGATCAAGTGGAAGAAAGGCTATCAGTGATTGAAGATCAAATGAATGAAATGAAGCAAAAAGACAAGTTTAGAGAAAAAAGGGTAAAAAAAACCGAACAAAGCCTACAAGAAATGTGGCACTATGTGAAAAAACCAAATCTACATCTCATTGGTGTACCTAAAAGTGACGGGGAGAATGGAACCAAGTTGGAAAACACTCTTCAGGATATTATCCAGGAGAACTTCCCCAGCCTAGCAAGGCAGGCCAACAATTCAAATTCAGGAAATACAGAGAACGCCGCAAAGATACTCCTCAAGAAGAGCAATTCCAAGACACATAATTGTCAGATTCACCAAAGTTGAAATGAAGGAAAAAATGTTAAGGGCAACCAGAGAGAAAGGTCAGGTTACCCACAAAGGGAAGCCCATCAGACTAACAGCGGATCTCCCAGCAGAAACTCTACAAGCCAGAAGAGAGTGGAGGCCAATATTCAACATTCTTAAAGAAAAGAATTTTCAACCCAGAATTTCATATCCAGCCAAACTAAGCTTCATAAGTGAAGGAGAAATAAAATCCTTTAAGACAAACAAATGCTGAGAGATTCTGTCACCACCAGGCCTGCCTTACAAGAGCTCCTGAAGAAAGCACTAAACATGGAAAGGAACAACCAGTACCAGCCACTGCAAAAACATGCCAAATTGCAAAGACCATCAATGCTAGAAAGAAACTTCACCAACTGACGAGCAAAATCACCAGCTAACATCATAATGACAGGATCAAATTCACACGTAACCATATTAACCTTAAATGTAAATGGGCTAAATGCTCCAATTAAAAGACACAGACTGGCAAGTTGGATAAAGAGTCAAGACCCATCAATGTGCTGTATTCAGGAGACCCATCTCACTTGCAGAGACACACATAGGCTCACAATAAAGGGATGGAGGAAGGTGTACCAAGCAAATGGAAAACAAAAAAAGCAGGGGTTGCAATCCTAGTCTCTGATAAAACAGATTTTAAACCAACAAAGATCAAAAGAGACAAAGAAGGCCATTACATAATGGTAAAGGGGTCAATTCAACAAGGAGAGCTAACTCTCCTAAATATATATGCACCCAAAACAGGAGCACCCAGATTCATAAAGCAAGTGCTTAGAGACCTACAAAGAGACTTAGACTCCCACACAATAATAGTCGGAGACTTTAATACCCCACTGTCAACATTAGACAGATCGAGACACAAACTTAACAAGGATATCCAGGAATTGAACTCAGCTCTGCACCAAGTGGACCTAACAGACATCTACAGAACTCTCCACCCCAAAGCAGCAGAATATACATTTTCTCAGCACCACATCACACTTATTCCAAAATTGGCCACATAGTTGGAAGTACAGCACTCCTCAGCAAATGTAAAAGAACACAAATTATAACAAACTGTCTCTCAGACCACAGTGCAATCAAACTAGAACTGAGGATTAAGAAACACACTCAAAACCGTTAAACTACATGGAAACTGAACAACCTGCTCCTGAATGACTACTGGGTACATAATGAAATGAAGGCAGAAATAAAGATGTTCTTTGAAACCAATGAGAACAAAGACAAAACATACCAGAATCTCTGGCACACATTTAAAGCAGTGTGTAGAGGGAAGTTTATAGCACTAAATGCCCACAAGAGAAAGCAGGAAAGATCTAAAATTGACACCCTAACATCACAATTAAAAGAACTAGAGAAGCAGGAGCAAACCCATTCAAAAGCTAGCAGAAGATAAGAAATAACTAAGATCAGAGCAGAACTGAAGGACATAGAGACACAAAAAACCCTTCAAAAAATCAATGAATCAAGGAGCTGGTTTTTTGAAAAGATCAACAAAATTGATAGACCACTAGCAAGATTAATAAAGAAGAAAAGAGAGAAGAATCAAATAGATGCAATAAAAAATGATAAAGTGGATATTACCACCAATTCCACAGGAATGCAAACTACCAGCAGAGAATACTATAAACACCTCTATGCAAATAAACTAGAAAATCTAGAAGAAATGGATAAATTCCCGGAGACATACACCCTCCCAAGACTAAACCAGGAAGAAGTTGAATCTCTGAATAGACCAATAACAGGCTCTGAAATTAAGGCAATAAATAATAGCCTACCAACCAAAAAAGTCCAGGACCATATGGATTCACAGCCGAATTCTACCAGAGTTACAAGGAGGAGCTGGTACCATTCCCTCTGAAATTATTCTGATCAATAGAAAAAGAGGGAATCCTCCCTAACTCATTTTATGAGGCTGGCAACATCCTGATACCAAAGCCTGGCAGAGACACAATAAAAAAAGAGAATTTTAGACCAATATCCCTGATGAACATCGATGCAAAAATCCTCAATAAAGTACTGGCAAACCGAATCCAGCAGCTCATCAAAAAGCTTATCCACCACGATCAAGGCGGCTTTCTCCCTGGGATGCAAGGGTGGTTCAACATACTTTGAAGCAATATACGTAATCCATCACATAAACAGAACCAAAGGCAAAAACTCATGATTATCTCAATAGAGGCAGAAAAGGCCTTCAGCAAAATTCCACAGCCCTTCATGCTAAAAACTCTCAATAAACTAGATATTGATGGAACGTATCTCAAAATAATAATAGCTATTTATGACACACCCACAGCCAATATCATACTGAATGGGCAAAAACTGGAAGCATTCCCTTGAAACCTGGCACAAGACAGGGATGCCCTCTCTCACCACTCCTATTCAACATAGTGTTGGCAGTTCTGGTCAGGGCAAGCAGGCAAAAGAAAGAAATAAAGGGTATTCAATTAGGAAAAGAGGAAGTCAAATTGTCCCTGTTTGCAGATGTCATGATTGTTTACTTAGAAAAACCCATCGTCTCAGCCCAAAATCTCCTTAAGCTGATAAGCAACTTCAGCAAAGTCTCTGGACACAAAATCAATGTGCAAAAATCACAAGCACTCCTAAACACCAATAACAGACATACAGAGAGCCAACTCATGAGTGAACTCCCATTCACAGTTGCTTCAAAGAGAATAAAATACCTAGGAATCCAACTTATAAGGGATGTGAAGGATGTCTTCCAGTAGAACTACAAACCACTGCTCAACGAAATAAAAGAGGACACAAACAAATGGAAGCACATTCCATGCTCATGGATAGGAAGAATCAATATTGTGAAAATTGCCATACTGCCCAAGGTATTTTATATATTCAGTGCCATCCCCTTCAAGCTACGAATGACTTTCTTCACAGAATTGGAAAAAACTACTTTAAAGTTCACATGGAACCAAAAAAGAGCTCGCATTAACTGGACAATCCTAAACCAAAAGAACAAAGATGGAGGCATCACGCTACATGACTTCAAACTACACTACAAGCCTACAGTAACCAAAACAGCATGGCACTGGTACCAAAACATATATAGACCAATGGAACAGAGTAGAGCCCTCAGAAATAATACCACACATCTACAACCATCTAATCTTTGACAAACCTGACAAAAACAAGAAATGAGGAAAGGATTCCCTATTTAATAAATGGTGCTGGGAAAACTGGCTAGCCATACGTAGAAACCTGAAACTGGATCCCTTCCTTACACCTTATACAAAAATTAATTCAACATGGATTAAAGACGCAAATGTTAGACCTAAAACCTTAAGAACCCTAGAAGAAAACCTAAGCAATACCATTCAGGTCATAGGCATGGGCAAGGACTTCATGACTAAAACACCAAAAGCAATGGCAACAAAAGCCAAAACTGACAAATAGGATCTAATTAAACTAAAGAGATTCTGCACAGCAAAAGAAACTATCATCAGAGTGAACAGGCAACCTACAGAATGGGAGAAAATTTTACAATCTACCCATCTGACAAAGCGCTAATATCCAGAATCTACAAAGAACTTAAACAAATGTACAAGAAAAAATCAACCCCATCAAAAAGTGGGCAAAGGATATGAACAGACACTTCGCAAAAGAAGACATTTATGCATCCAACAGACACATGAAAAAGTACTCCTTATCACTGGCCATCAGAGAAATGCAAATCAAAACCACAATGAGATACCATCTCACATCAGTTAGAATGGCAATCATTAAAAAGTCAGGAAATAACAAGTGCTGGAGAGGATGTGGAGAAATAAGAATGCTTTTACACTGTTGGTGGGACTGTAAACTAGTTCAACCATTGTGGAAGACAGTGTGGTGATTCCTCAAGGATCTAGAACTAGAAATACCATTTGACCGAGCCATCCCATTACTGGGCATATACCCAAAGGATTGTAAATCATGCTGCTATAAAGACACATGCACACATATGTTTATTGTGGCACTATTCACAGTAGCAAAGACTTGGAACTAACCCAGGTGTCCAACAATGATAGACTGGATTAAGAAAATGTAGCGCATATACACCATGGACTACTATGCAGCCATAACAAAGGATGAGTTCATGTCCTTTGTAGGTACATGGATGAAGCTGGAAACCATCATTCAGAGCAAACTATCACAAGGACAGAAAACCAAACACCGCATGTTCTCACTCATAGGTGGGAAGTGAACAATGAGAACACTTGGACACGGGATAAGGAACCACACACCAGGGTCTGTCGTGGGGTCAGGGGATGGGGGAGGGATAGCATTAGGAGATATTTGTAAATGAGGAGTTAACGGGTGCAGCACACCAACATGGCACATGTATACATATGTAACAAACCTGCACGTTGTGCACATGTACCCTAGAACTTAAAGTATAATAATAATAACAAATGAAGTGAAAAATAAAAAGGAAAAGAAAGTTGCCTTTGCAACCTGGCTGTTTGTCCACTGGCATGGTGGTGCAGTTTTATTCTTAAATCTGTAGTTGGAAGGATAGTTTATATGTACTACTCTTTGTCCAGTATTTGGTTGCTTTCAGCTTGGTCTGTCTTCCATACCTCCACTTGCCTGACTACCCTAGCTTGTGTTCTGGTAGTCTAAATGAAAGTGGTGCATTCAAATCTAGAAGGCATTTACTACCTGAGTAGGTTTTCTTCAGTCCAATTCCAAATACCTTTAATTAGCGTAATTCCTTCAAAATTCTGGTATTATATTGACTGTGACTCTGCCTGTCCAATGTTGTCCAGTATATTCTTTTTTAAATATGTATATTCCTGTGTATTTAGTATTGGGAAAGGCAGAAAGAGGCCATTTTTAACTATCCTTTTCTTGTTAATAGCAACATCTTGTTGGTCTACCTATACCTGCCATTTAGTGTAATACGTAAGTGCCAAGAATATGAAAAGTCATTTAATCATGTTACATTGGTCAAGCTCCAACCATTGATACCTTTTTAAACTTTCTGCTACCAAATATGCATTTATACTTATCTACTTTTCACTCCCTTTGTTTAAGCCAGAAGTGGTATTCTCTAGCTAATTCCTCCATCTGTTCCCTGGATCCCATCCTTGCACTTATCTCCTGTATCTTCATTATTTTTCTCTCCATGGCCTTCTTCTAAGAGGATTTAAACTTCCTCATGTCTCTCCTATCTTTGTAAAAACTCTCCCTGGACTTCATCTTTTCTAGCTACCACTATATCACTTCTCTATTCACAGCCAAACCTGTTGAAAAACAAATTTCCTATGCTCACTATCTTCTCTTCATCACTATGTCTCAATGTGCTGCAATCTTATTTCTGTGCCCAGTACTGTGCTGAGACTGCTCTTGTCAAGGTCACTGGAGCAGATCTTGTTGGTTCTCTGTACAGATTGTCTTGGATCCCTTTTACCTTTCGGAGTTCACCTTTTGCTGGTCTGCGTGCCTAGTGGCCCACACCTGGACTCTTTTTCTATGCCTACCTTCAGGCTGTTAGAGCGCTTTGTTCTTAAACACAGAGTACCCAAAATGCCTGGTAGCCCTTAAATGACTGTATGGTGTGAAGATATGAAAGCCTAGCTCTTTCACATTGATTTGGCAAAAACCTGAATATAACTTAAACTCCAGAATTTCTTTGCAAGATTAGTTGAAGTTACCTTCCACACAACTTTGCCTGAAATCACACTGTTGGTTGGCTTGGTTTCCCTTCTCTGTCCTTTTCTCACTGCTCTACTGGTTTCTTCTGGAAGCAGATTCTTTTTCTCTTTTTCTTTCTTTTTCTTTTTTTTTTTTTTGAGACAAGGTCTCATTCTGTTGCCTAGGCTGGAGTGTGGTGGTGCGATTTCAGCTCACTGCAACCTCTACCTCCTGGGTTCAAGCAATCCTCGCACCTCAGCCTCCCAAGTAGCTGATACTATAGGCCTCTGCCACCATACTTAGCTAATTTTTATGTTTTTGGTAGACACGGGATTTCACTATGTTGCCCAGGCTTGGAAGCACATTCTTAATAAATTACTGGCACATAAATCCTTGCCTCAGTGTCTGTTTCTGGAGAACCCAACCTAACACAGTCAACAACAGGCATATTGTTAAATGTAATGGACACGTTAGTTCTCTTATTTGAATAAGAGAAATGTCCACAATTTATTTGATACTGCTGAATATCTGTCATTATTGAATTACTGCCTTTCTTTGTTTCTGTGATTACACAACCTCCTGATCTTCTTCCTCTGTCTTTGTGGTTTCCTTCTGAGTCTTTTAAATATACTTCTCTTCCTTTGCTTATTTCCTAAATGCTATGGCTCTTCAAAGATATGTTCTGGGTTGTCCTTTTATCCTGAATTTCCTTATTGTATGACTTACCCAGTTTCATGGTTTTATGACTATTATTCACATATTCATGACTTCCAAATTTACATCTCATGCCTAAATATCTCTCCAGAACTTTGGACTCAAATATCTTATTGCCTTCTGAGCATTTGCTGTGATCTACATGTTGTGCTTCTCCAAAATTCATATGTTGAAGTCCTCACCTTCAAGGTGATAGTATTAGGACGTGGGGCCTTTAGGGGGTGGTTACACAAGGGTAGCCAGAGACCTCATGAATGGGATCAGTGCCCTTATAAGAGAAGCTCAAGGGAGACTCCTTGCCCCTTCTACCATGTGAAGATACAGCGAGAAGGTACCATCTATGAGTCAGAAAGTGGGCTCTTACCGGACACTGAATCTGCCCAGCAGAAAATAAATTTCTCTTGTTTATAAGCCACTCAGCTTGTGGTAATTTTTTATAGCAGCTTGAATGGAATAAGAGCATTTGTTAGGTGTTCCTCAATCACCTGAAACTTAATGTACCCAAATTGTGCCCTTTTTTTTTTTTTTTTTTTTGAGACGGAGTCTTGCTGTCACCTACCCTGGAGTGCAATGGTGCAATCTCAGCTCACTACAACCTCTGCCTCCCAGGTTCAAGTGATTCTCTTGCCTCAGCCTCCCGAGTAGCTGAGAATATAGGCACCCACCACCACACCCGACTAATTTTTGTATTTTTAGTAGAGATGGGATTTTCTCCATGTTGGCCAGGCTGGTCTCAAACTCCTGACCTCAGGTGATCCACCAGCCTCGGCCTCCCAATGTGCTGGGATTACAGGCGTGAACCACTGTGCCCGGCCGCCATCTTCTTTTCTAAATCAGTTCTTCCTGGTTTCAGTGAATAGCTCCACATCCACCCTCTTTATGCAAGCTAGATACATGAAAGTCATTCTTAACTCTTACCTTCCTTCCAATCAGTCATCAAATCTGCCATGTCTCCTTGCTATATACCTCTTGGATGTATCTGCTTCTTCTATCCCCATGGCTGCCACTCCAGCCCAGGATACCTTAATTCTCTCATCTCATTTCTTATAAGAGCCTCCTATTTGGTCACCCTTCTCCAACCTTGCTGTTTCTAGCCTTTTCTCTACATTGTTGCCTGAGTGATCTTTTGAAAACATAAATCTGAGACTATCACTCTGTATTCATTTCTTAATGTTGATATAAAACATCACCACAAATTTAGGGGCTTAAAACAACACGAATGTATTATCTCACAGTTCTGGAGGTCTGAAATCAGTTTCACTGGGCTAAAATCAGTATGTCAGCAGGTCTACATTTTTCCAAAGGCTCTGGAGGGGGAGTCCATTTCCTTGCTCTTTCTACTTTCTAGAGGCCGCCTACATTTCTTGGCTCTTAGCCCTTCCTCTATCTTTAAAGCCAGAAGTAGATCATTTTCCCTTCCTCTGACTTCTGCTTTTGTACTTATATCTTCTCTCTCTGACACTGATCCTCCTGCCACCCTCTTGTAAGGACTCTTAAGATTACACTGGGGCCAAGAGACAATCCAGGATAATCTCTCCATCTCAAGACCCTTAATTTAATCCCAACTAGAAACTTCCTTTTATCAGTTAACATATTCACAAATTCCAGAAATTAGGAAGCAGATCTCTTTGGGGGTCTGGGGGAGGGTGGTGGTTACCATACTCATCTGCATAAAATCCTTCAATCTTTTCTCTTTAGATTCTCTTCTCACAACTTTTAGATTAAAATGCAAACTTTTCTATATAGCTGTTTTCCTGTAATCTCCCACAGCATCTCTTGATACTCTTCACTCTCCATTTTCTCTTCTAGTCTAAATGAACTTCTTTAAGTTACTTAAACATATCTGCTGTCATTTTCTGGCTTTGGAACGCTGTAATTTTTGCCTAGAATACCTCTTCCTCCTTCCCTGCAACCCCTTCTCCCAGGCTTCTCTAGCTAACTGCAGTTCATCTTTTATCATTCCAGTTTAGATGTGACTTTTGCTACAGGCCTTTCTAATTCCGCAAGTCAGTGTTAGGCATCTTTAATACATGTTTCCTGTAGTATCTTGTTATGATGACACTTATTTTTCTTTTTGTAAATGCATGTTTTGTTTGATAATTCTTATATAAGGCTAGGACATAACAGTTTAACATATTTGTTAAACTATTGATTTGTTGTTGAATCTGTTGAAATTGTATTCTGTTATTCCCAAGACAATACTGTTTGTATGATAAAATTTTGATGATAAACTTGGATTTTTTTAAACTTTAATTTTGATATATTTTAAGTTTTTAAATTCCTTATGACTGAAAATTTCAAAGTGATATCTATAAATAAACATTTCTCTGTTTTCTATATCTTTTTCTTTTCTTTTTTTTGAGACAGAGTTTCACTCTGTCACCCAGGCTGGAGTGCAGTGGCACAATCTTGGCTCACTGCAACCTCTGCCTCCTGGGTTCAAGCAATTCTCCAGCCTCAGCCTCCCAAGTAGCTGGGATTACAGGCGCCCACCACCATGCCTGGCTAATTTTTGTATTTTTAATAGAGATGGCGTTTCACCATGTTGGCCAGGCTGGTCTCAAACTCCTGACCTCAAGTGATCCACCTGCCTTGACCTCCCAAAGTGTTGGGATTACAGGTATATGCCATGTTTTCTATGTCTTAATGGTTTGTAATTTATCTTAACACACAATAAAGTAGAGCAGCAGGGCATAGGGCAGAGTGGGAGGGTAATTTTTACAGTTTATTAAAATATAAGAATCTCATGTCTAAAACACCAAAAGCAATGGCAACAAAAGCCAAAATTGACAAATGGGATCTAATTAAACTAAAGAGCTTCTGCACAGCAAAAGAAACTACCATCAGAGTGAACAGGCAACCTACAAAATGGGAGAAAATTTTTGCAACCTACTCATCTGACAAAGGGCTAATATCCAGAATCTACAATGAACTCCAACAAATTTACAAGAAAAAAACAAACAACCCCATCAAAAAGTGGGTGAAGGACATGAACAGACACTTCTCAAAAGAAGACATTTATGCAGCCAAAAAACACATGAAAAAATGCTCACCATCACTGGCCATCAGAGAAATGCAAATCAAAACCACAATGAGATACCATCTCACACCAGTTAGAATGGCAATCATTAAAAAGTCAGGAAACAACAGGTGCTGGAGAGGATGTGGAGAAACAGGAACACTTTTACACTGTTGGTGGGACTGTAAACTAGTTCAACCCTTGCAGAAGTCAATGTGGCGATTCCTCAGGGATCTAGAACTAGAAATACCATTTGACCCAGCCATCCCATTACTGGGTATATACCCAAAGGACTATAAATCATGCTGCTATAAAGACACATGCACACGTATGTTTATTGCGGCACTATTCACAATAGCAAAGACTTGGAACCAACCCAAATGTCCAACAATGATAGACTGGATTAAGAAAATGTGGCACATATACACCACGGAATACTGTGCAGCCATAAAAAATGATGAGTTCATGTCCTTTGTAGGGACATGGATGAAATTGGAAATCATCATTCTCAGTAAACTATCACAAGAACAAAAAACCAAACACTGCATATTCTCACTCATAGGTGGGAATTGAACAATGAGAACACATGGACACAGGAAGGGGAACATCACACTCTGGGGATTGTTGTGGGGTGGGGGAGGGGGGAGGGATAGCTTTAGGAGATATACCTAATGCTAAATGATGAGTTAATGGGTGCAGCACACCAGCATGGTACATGTATACATATGTAACTAACCTGCACATTGTGCACATGTACCCTAAAACTTAAAGTATAATAATAATAAAATAAAAAATAAAATAAAATAAAATATAAGAATCTAAACCTTTTAAAAAAAACCCATTACCTCCTTTATTATAGGCATTCTATAAGTGTTAGGGATAAAAAGATGAGGAACATTAAGCTATATCTGTCCTCAAGGACCTCACATCCATGTTCGGGCAACAGAACTCTAATTAAATAATTTTGATGCAATGTGATACATGCAATAACAATTGAGTAGTTCATGGGAACACAGAGAAGGGAGTTGGGATAAAGACAGAATCCAGATGGGATTTGCAGGAATAATATTTCAGCTTTGTCTTAAAAGAAGGAGTAGGATTTTAGCAACAGGAGAATCCTAGCAGTGATATTCGAGATGAAGGGAACATGCCTGTGCAAGGTATGTTGATGTCCATAGCAGTAATGCAGATGTTTTTTGGATATAGTGGTTAGGATAAGGATCTGGTATGCACGCCATTGGCTATGATCTTGACCAGTCATTTCCTTCCCTCCCTCCCTCCCTCCCTCCCGCTTTCTCTTCTTTTTTTTTGTTCTCTCTCTCTTTCTTTCACAGGGTCTCACTCTGTCACCCAGACTATAGTGCAGTGGCACTATCATATCTTACTATAACAAACCTCTGGGTTCAAGTGATCCTTTTGCTGCAGCCTCTTGAGAAGCTATGTCTACAGGCCTGCACCACCATGCCTGGCTAATTTTTACATTTTTTGTAGAGCCAGGGTCTTGCTCTGTTGCCCAGGCTGAACTTGAACTCCTGACTTCAAGCAATCCTCTCATCTCAACCTCCCAAAGTGCTGGGATTGCAGGCACAAGTCACTGTGCCTGGCTGTACTTAGGTTGATATAAAAGAGCTTGCTGTATTTAAGGATTGGCCAGTAGTTATTTATGACTTAAAGCCTTGGGGAATGGCAGGAAATGAGGATTGAGACTAGACTATGAAGGGCCTTTTTATAATGCTAAGGAGTTTAATTTTTTTCCTTCAGGCAATATGGAGCTGACATTCTGAACCTAGAGAGTACTGATCAAATCCTATTTTAGAAACATTCTGGTTGTAGTGATAGATTTGGGGAAAGGAAGAAGGAGGAGTCTGGAAAGAGAAAGAGCAATATAAATGAGGGCTAAAGGGAGTCTGACTAATAGAATCACATGTAAAATGTCATAATAGTATTGTGCCATATTGCACATAATGAAGAATATAACCGCAATATATTCAGCCTATTCTAATTTTTTAAACTATTGGCGAAAAGAGCCAAACTCTGTAAAATATTTGAAGAGATTTATTTTGAGCCAAATATGAGTGACCATGGCCCATGAACACAGCCCTCAGGAGGTCCTGAGAACATGTGCCCAAGATAGTCGGAGTACAGCTTGGTTTTGTATATTTTAGGGAGGCATGAGACATCAATCAAATACATTTAAGAAGTACAATGGTTTGGTTCAGAAAGGCAGGACAACTCAAAGCAGGCGGTGGGACTTCCAGACTGTAGGTAAATTTAAACATTTTCTAGTTGACAATTGGTTGAGTTTATCTGAAGACCTGGGAATGTTCAGGTTAAGATAAAGGATTATGGGGACCAAGTTTTATTGTGTAGAGGAATCTCTCAGATAGCAGACTTCAGAGAGATAGCAGGTTGTAAAATGTTTCTCACTGGACCTGAAAGGATGCCTGGCTCTTAGTTGATTATCTTCTGGATCTGGAAAGAAAGGAAGGAAAACTGTGGGCAGCAAGCCACCCAGGCCCCAAGGAAAGAGACCGAGGACAGGAGCTGTTCCAGTATAGTAAAATATAAAACAAGAATAGTTATACCAGATATAGATCTTAGATATGATTATATATGAATATCATTAATCATTAGTTTGTAGCAATTACTCTTTATTCCAATATTATAATAATCCTCACTCCATAATCATACCCTAGGAAAAACCAGGCCATACAGAGATAGGAGCTGAGGAGACACAGTGAGAAGTGACCAGAAGACAAGAGTGCGAGCCTTCTGTTATGCCCGGACAGGGCCACCAGAGGGCTCCTTGGTCTAGTGGTAATGCCAGCGTCTGGGAGGACGCCCGTTGCCAGGCGGACCTTGGTCTAGCGGTAGCATAAGTGTCAAGGGAAAACACCCGCTACTTAGCAGACCGGGAAAGGGAGTCTCCCTTTCCCCAGGGGAGTTTAGAGAAGACTCTACTCCTCCACCTCTTGTGGAGGGCCTGACATTAGTCAGGCTCGTCCACAGTTATCCGGAGGCCTAACAGTCTCACTGTGATGCTGTGCTTCAGTGGTCACACTCCTAGTCTGCCTTCGTGTTCCATCCTGTACACCTGGCTCTGCCTTCTAGATAGCAGTAATAAATTAGTGAAAGTACTAAAAGTCTCTGATATGCAGAAATAATGGCATAAGCTGTCCTTCTCTTTGTCTCCTCTCTCTCTCTGCCTCGGCTGCCAGGCAGGGAAGGGCCACCTGTCCAGTGGACACGTGACCCACGTGACCTTACCTATCATTGGAGATGACTCACACTCTTTACCCTGCCCCTTTTGCTTTGTATCCAATAAATAACAGCGCAGCCAGACATTCGGGGCCACTACCGGTCTCCGTGCATTGGTCATAGTGGTCCCCTGGCCCAGCTGCCTTTTCTTTTATCTCTTTGTCTTGTGTCTTTATTTCTACACTCTCTCGTTGCTGCACACGGGGAGAAACTCACCCACCCTGTGGGGCTGGACCCTACAGAAAACGAAGGGGTAAGGGGATTCTCTATAGAATGTGAATTATTCCCACAAGAGACTTTGCAGGGCAATTTCAAGGCATGGCAAGGACATATATTTTGGGGTTAAATATTGTATTCCTTGTTTCATAATGTTATGCCAGAGTCAGATTGAAAAGCAAATCACAATATGCAGGGTCAAATAAAACCCATCTCATGAGAATCTATGGTTTGTAGGGCATAACTCCCTAGACCCCTTAGGTAGGAATTTGGGCCAGATACAAAATCAGAGCTTAGGCCTCAAAACAGTTTTAACATAATGAATTACCATAGAAACAGAAAATTAGAAAGGGGACAGTTCTAGAGGTAGGCAAACTGAAAACTATCAAAAGACACCTGACAGTTTGAACAGGTAGCAGGTAAAATAAACATTTTCTTATTTTGTGGGTTTCTTTTTTTTTTTGAGATGGAGTTTCACCCTTGCTGCCCAGGCTGGAATGCAATGGAGTGATCTCGGCTCACTGTAACCTCCGCCTCCCGGGTTCAAGCGATTCTCCTGCCTCAGCCTCCCGAGTAGCGGGGATTACAGGCATGCACCACCATGCCTGGCTAATTTTGTAGTTTTAGTAGAGATGGGGTTTCTCCATGTTGGTCTGGCTGGTCTCGAACTCCTGACCTCAGGTGATCCACCTGCCTCGGCCTCCCAAAGTGCTGGGATTACAGGCGTAAGCCACCACGCCCGGCTCTTATTTTGTGTTTTAAGGGATAACAGCATGACACCACTTTGAGAGTGTTAATAAGTCTACACAAAAACTTTTAATGTTATATATTACTATGATAATAACCATGAGTCATTAAGAAATAGTTATCATTGTTCACTGTATTTCAAGTATGGGGAAATAAGTACATTTTAAAACAATCTCTATGTTAAATGGTTAAAGTTTATTACTTATTTATATTTATTTTTATTAATTTTTTTGAGACAGAGTCTGACTCTGTTGCCCAGGCTGGAGTGCAGTGGCACAATCTTGGCTCACTGCAACTTCTATCTCCCTGGCTCAAGCCATCCTCCCACCTCAGCCTCCTGAGTAGCTGGGACTACAGGTGGGCACCATCCCACATGGCTGATTGTTGTATTTTTTGTAGAGACAGGGTCTCACTGTGTTGCCAAGGCTGGTCTCAAACTCCTAAGCTCAAGTGATCTCCTGCCTTGGCCTCCCAAAGTGCTGGGATTATAGGTGTAAGCCACCACACCTGGGCTGAAATGGTTAAAAGTTTTTTAAAAAAATACCTGGGGATATTTAAAAGGGATAGTTTACAATTTTCTATAAATTTATTTTTGTAGAACACTGTAAGCTGGAAAATAAATTGAGAAGAATAAAATAAGTTTTTGAGTGGTGGTACATGCAAGACACTTTACACATTGCCATAGTCTATTTGTGTTGCAGTAATAAAATACCTGAGACTAGGTAATTTATAAAGAACAGTGATTTATTTCTTACAGTTCTGAAGGCTGGGATCTGCAAGGTTAAGGGACCTGTATCTGGTGAGGGCCTTCTTGATGCATCATCCCACGCCAAAAGGCAGAAGGACAAGAGAGCACACATACAAGAGAGAGAGGAAGGGGAGCAAACTCATCCTTTTATCCAGAATTTACTTCCAGAACAAGTAACCCACTTCTGTGATAATGGCATTAATCCATTCATGAGGGCAGAGCCCTCTTCACCTAATCACCCTTTAAAGGTCCCACCTCTCAACAAGGTTGCACTGAGATTAAGTTTCTAATGCATGAACTTTGGGGACACATTCAAACCATAGCACTCTGCTCCTGGCTCCCTCAAATTCATGTCCTTCTCACATGCAAAATACATTCATTTCATCCCAATAGGCCTAAAGTCTTAACTTGTTTCAACACTTACTCAAAAGTCCAGAATCTCATCTGAATCAGATATGTGAGACTCAAGGCATGATTCCTCCTGAGGCAAATTCCCCACCAGCTATGAGCCTATGAAATTAAAAAAGTTATCTACATCCAAAATGTTGGGACAGGCATAGGATAAACATTCCCATTACAAAAGGGAGAAATAGGCAATAAGAAAGGAGTAACAGGCCCAAGGAAATCAGTTCAAACCTCACAAGGAAAACAACAGTAAGTCTTAAGAAGAAGAATCTTCTTTGACTCCATATCCCACATCAGGGGCACAGTGGGGAAGAAGTAGGGCTCTCAAGGCCTCAGGCAGCGTCAGGGCTTAGTCCACTCAGCAGCTCTCATGGTTTGCAGTCTCATGCCCATGGCTTTCTCAGATTGGAGTTACATGCTTGTGCCCCCTATAGTTCTGTGGTCTCAGGGTGGGGAGGTAGGGGGTGATTACCCACTCCCATGGCTTTACTAGGCATTGCCCTAGTGGGGACTCTGTGAATGATGGCCTCTATCCTATGGCTCCACCAGGCATAGTGGGGGCTTTCTGTGGTAGGTTCTCTGTGGTGGCTCTGCCCCATGATAAGTCTCTGCCTGGGCCCCAGGCTGTCCTCAACATCCTTTGAAATTTAGGCAGAAGCCACCATGGCTTCATACCTATTGTATTCTGTGTGCCTGCAGAATTAGCACCATGTGGACACTGCCAAGATACACAGCTTATACCTTCTGGAGCAGTGGGTTGAGCTGCAGCTGGGCTCACCTGAGCTACAGTTGTGGTGGCTGAGAGGTGCTATGCCAGAATTAAGGAAGCAGAGTTCCAAGGTGCTGCAGGGCAGCAAATGCTGAGGTCTCACAAGCACCTTGCTGGAAACCTTGCCCTCAAGGTCCTAGCTTCCCTAGATCTCTGAAATGTTTTTGGGGTCATTCTCATTGTTTTCATGAATAGAACCTGGCTTCTTTCTATACTAATATTTTTAGCAATCACTTGACCACACCCTTAGTATTCTCCCCCAAACATACATTTTATGTGGCCAGGCTAAGAGTTTTCATAATTTGTTTATTCTGCTTCTTTTTAAATTATAAATGTCATCTTTAAAGTATTTCTCCCTTCTCTCATTTTACTGTAAGTGACTGAAAGAAGCTATGCAACATCTTGAATGCTTTACTGCCTAGGTAGCTCTTCTGCCAGATATCCTAGTTCATTCCTCTTAAGTTCTGCCTTCCACAATATCCTAGGACATGGATACAGTTCTGCCAAGTTCTTTTCAACTGTAACAAGGATGGCCTTTACTCCAGTTTCCAAGATTTTGTTTTTCAGTTCCACCTGAGTCCTCATCAGAATGGCCTTTACTTTCCATATTTCTACCAATGTTCTGATCATGACCACTTAAGTAGTCTTTACAACATTCCAGACTTTCCTTACATTTCTTTCCTTTTTCTGAGCCTTCACTAGAATTGCCCTTAATGTTCTTCTGTTCATGGCAATCTGGGCTTTTTCTAACCTGCTCCTCCAAATTCTTCCAACCTCTACCCATTCCTATTACCCAATTCCTAACCTGCTTCCACATTTTCAGGTATTTGTTATAGCAACAACCCCAGTCTTGGTACCAATTTTCTATCTTAGTTTGTTTTGTGCTGCTATAACAGAATATCTGAGACTGAGTAATTTATAAAGGACAGAGATTTATTTCTTACAGTTCTGGAGGTGGGGAAGATCAAAGTCAAGTGGCTCACATCTGGTGAGGGCCTTCCTGCTGCATCATAACATGGTGGAAGGGCAAGAGAGCATGCATGCATATGAGAGGAAGGGAGCTGAACTCATCCTTTTATCAAGAACCCACTCTCATGATAATAGCACTAATTCACTCACAGAGGCAGAGCCCTCATGACCTAACCATCTCTTAAAGATCCTACCTCTCAAGACAGTTGCATTGGGGATCAAGTTTCCAACACATGAACGTTGGGGATCATATTCAAACCGTAGCACAAGTATTACCTCACTTAATTCTCACAACACACCTGGGAGGTAGATGTTATCAGCATTTAAAAGATGAGAACAGCTATTGTTTAGAGAAGTTAGGTAACTCTTGGGAAGTTATGTGGTTAGTGGTTGAACTATACTTTTAAACTAAGGATCTTTTAAATATCATGAAGAAAAGTAGAGATCAAAAAGATGAGAAGAAAATTATGATAGACAATATCAAAACCAGAGAAGTAGAGTTTCAAGAATGAGGGTAAGTCGTGTTGCTATAATAGAATACCTGAGGCTGGGTAATTTACGAAGAAACGAGTTTATTTGGGTCACAATTCCAGTGACTGGAAAGTCCAAGAGTATGGCATTGGCATCTACTCAGCCTCTGGTCAGGGCTTTCATGATGCATCATAACATGGAGGATGGTCAAGGAGGAAATAGACATATGCTAAGAGCAAAATGAGGGGCATCCTCACTTTCTAACAACCTGTTCTTGTGTGGGAACTAGTCCCTTTCTGTGTAAACTAATCCAGTTTTATTAAGGGGTTAACTCACTCATCACGGTAGGAATGGCACTAAGCTGCCCATGAGAGTGGAGCCTCTGTGACCCAAATGTTTTCCACTAGACTCCACCTATTAAATGTTTTATCTCCCAACATCGCCACACTAGGAATTAAGGTTTCAACATGAGTTTTGGTGGGGACAGGCAAATCATAGCAGAAGGGATGGTTAGCAGCATTAAATTTTGAGGTGAGATTGAGTAATCAAAATTAACAAAAGAGCATTAGAATTTAGTTATATTCATTTTACATGTAAGATAGTTAAAGAAGACAAAAAGTAATATTTGTAGGTAGAACTGTTCTATTTTATTCTTTGAGGATAATATTTTACATAGTCAATATTTTGAACTGTACCATAAAGTTTAAATACTCACATTTGTTTGTTTGTTTCAGTTATATCAAGATTTCTTGATACAGAGCAGCTTCTTTCTGTTTTAGTCCAAATTCCAAAGCAAGACACGGTATGTTTTTGTATACATTTTGTATTATATTATTATACATTATTTGATGGAACTTGTCTTAATGTAATGTAACAATTGGAAAATATCAAAATGTTTTGGGAAAGTCCTTCATTATTGATATCTGGAGTATTTTATGCCACTGTAGAGGAAACTTTTTTCCTAATGTATTATCCTGTATGTTATAGTGAAATTTAAAATTTCAGCCCGGCATGGTGGCTCATGCCTATAATCCCAACACTTTGGGAGGTCAAGGCAGTTCAAGACAAGCCTGGGCAAGAAAGTGAGACCCCATCTCTACAAAGGATCAAAAAATTAGCTGGGCATGCTGTTGCATGCTTGTAGTCCCAGCTCCTGGGGAGGCTGAGGTGGGAGGATAACTTAAGCCTTGGGAGGTCAAGGCTGCAGTGAGCTGTGTTCGCATCACTGCACTCCAGCCTGGGTAACATAGTGAGGCCTTGTCACAAAAAAAAATTGCTTTTTAGATAGTTGAGGAATTGGCCTATTTTCACTGATCAAATATTAAGGAGTTATATATAATTTTCAAAAGACTTAGACTATAATAATATTTGCCTAATAACTAACTAACTAAAATATATTAGAGCTAAAGATTCTTCTTAAAAGTGATCATTATGTGAAGTTTGATTAGTCTTCAAATATTATTATTATTATTTTTGAGATGGAGTCTCACTCTGTCACCAAGGCTGGAGTGCAGTGGTGCGATTTTGGCTCACTGCAACCTCTGTCTCTCAGGTTCAAGTGATTCTCTTGCCTCAGCCTCCCAAGTAGCTGGGATTACAGGCATGCACTACCATGCCTGGCTAATTTTTGTATTTTTAGTAGAGATGGGGTTTCACCATGTTGGCCAGGCTGATCTCGAACTCCTGACCTCAAGTGATCTGCCCACCTCGGCCTCCCAAAGTACTGGGATTGCAGGTGTGAGCCACCATGCTTGGCCAAGTCTTTAAATATTCTTAACCTTTAAGAATGAAACAACACATTTTCTGGATATTTTTCCAATTTAAATAGTGCTTATGGGTATATTCTGCAAAGAAAGTAATAATAGCTTTCATTCTTCCATTTAAGATGAACTGAAGAATATTTACTATAATGAAATACAGGTATATTTTTGCCCATATGCATAAAAAGAAAAGTCTTGCACATCAATAAAATTTAATTTACAATTTGATGACATTTGTAAATCCATTGAAAGCTAATCTATATTTGGGAAGCCTTTTTGTATTATAAAGAAAATACTCTTAAGGTTCATTTATAATAAAATCATCACTAGATTGAAAAGCTTTAGCTGTTGGGCAGGCACAGAACTGAGTTTCCTTAAATAATTGAAGCTGCTTATACTTCAATGTATACAAATGGGAAGTAACCTAAAACAACTGATGTTTGGAATTAAATTAGCAGCCCTCATAAAATAAGTTTGGAAGTAGCCCTTCCTCTTTAATTTTCTGGTAGAGTTTACATAGAACTGGTATTATTTCTTCCTTACATATTTGGTAGAATTTACAAATGAAGCCATTAAAGCCTGGAATTTTTTTGGTAGGAAGGTTTTTAACTATAAATTCCACTTATTAAATAGGCATAGTGCTCTTCAGGTTATCTGTTTCTTCTTGAACAAGCTTTGGTACCTTGTGTCTTTTAAAGAATTTTTCATTTCACCCAACTTTTCAATGTATCAGCATAAACTATCTCATAATATCCTCCTTATATCTGTAAAATTGGCAGTGATACACTCTCTCATTCCTGATACTGATAATTTTAATATGTTCTCTGTTTTTCTTAATCAGCCTGGCTAGATATTATCAATTTTATTGGTATTCTCAAGGAGCCAACTTTCTATTTCATTGGTTTCTCTTTTTTGCTCCTGTTCTTTATTTCACTGATTTCTGGTTTTATCACTCTTCTGCTTACTCTGTGCCTACTGTTCTTTTTTGAGGTTGTAAAGGAGGAAGCTGAGGTCATTGATTTGAGAACTTTTTTCCTTCTAATATAAGCATTTTAGTACTATAAATTTCTCTCTGAGTAATGCTTTAGCTGTATTCCACAATTTTAGATATGTTGTGATTTCTTTTTCTTTCAAAAAGGTCAAAACACTTTCTAATTTCTTTTTAAACATTCTTTGATGTATGGGTTTTTAGAGGTATGTTATTTTATTTCCAGTATTTGGGGACTTTCCAAATATCTTTTTGTTATTGGTTTCTAATTTAATTCCCAATGATCAGAGACCATGTATTATATAATATAGATCCTTTTAGCTTTATTGACTTTTTTTATGGCCCAAAATAGAGTTAATCTTGGTAAATGTTCCATGTGAACTTGAAAACAATGTGTATTTTGCTGTTGTTGGTTGGAGCGTTCCATAAATGTCACTTTGTTCAAGTTGTGTGGTAGTGTTCTTCAAATCTCCTATATCCTTATGGTGTTTTACGTTTTTTTGTTTTGTTTTGTTTTGTTTTTCTATTTGTTCTATCAGTTATTAAGAAAGGAGTGTCAAAATCTCCAAATGTAATTGTGGATTTGTCTATTTTTCCTTTCAGTTTTATCAGTTTTTATCTAATGTATTTGGAATCTTTGTTATTAGATTCATAAACATTTAAGATTGCTATATCCTCTATAAATTGAGCCTGTTGTCATTATGAAATGATGCTTTTTTATCCCTAGTAGTATTTTTTGCTATGAAATCTACTGCATCTAATATTAATATAGCCACTCCAGCTTTCTTTTGGTTAGTGTTGCCATGGCATATCTTTACCATCCTTTTGCTTTTAACTTATTTTTGTCTTTATATTTAAAGAAGGTTTTTTGTAGGTGACATATAGTTAAGTCTTAACTTTTTGCATACAATCAGAGAATACCTTACTTTTAATTGAGGTATTTATTACATTTACACTTAATAAGATTATTGATATGTTTTTATTTAAATCTGCCATCGTTTTTTTTTTCATTTTTCTCATCTGTTTGCTCCCTTGTTTCTTTTTTTCTGCCTTCTTTTGTATTTTTTTATGATTCCATCTCATTTCCTTTGTTGGCTTATTAGATATAACTCATTGCCTTCATTAGCTTAATTATTGACTTAGGGTTTATAGACTACATCTTTAGCTGAATTCAGTCCATTTTTGTTTATTTTTTATTTTATTTTTTGGGACAGAGTCTTGCTCTGTCACCCAGGCTGGAGTGCAGTGGCGCCATCTCGGCTCACTGCCACCTCTGTCTCCCGGCTTCAAGTGATTCTTGTGCCTCAGCCTCCCTAGTAGCTGGGACTACAGGCATGCCACCATGCCATGCTAACTTTGGTATTTTTAGTACAGATGGGGTTTTGCCATGTTGGCCAGGCTGGTCTCAAACTCCTAACCTCAAGCGATCCACCTGCCTAGGCCTTCCAAAATGTTGGGATTATAGGTGTGAACCATCGGACACAGCCTCAGACCACTTTAAATAATATTATAATACTTTACATATGATATAAGAGCCTTGCACTAGTATACCATCATTTCCCTCTTCCCTACCATTATGCTATTATTGTAACATGTTTAACTTCTACATATATTTCACAATTCATTTTTAAAAATAAGACAGCTTTATTGAGATGTAATTACATAGATTACAATTCACACATTCAAAGCCTACAATTTAATTGTCTTTAATGCATTCACAGAGTTGTACAACCATCACCACAGTCAATTTTAGAACATTTTAATCATTCCCAGAAGCAATCCTGCAACCACTAGCAATAACTTCCCATTCCTTCTAACCCCCGTTTCCCCAGCCTTAGACAACCAGTAATCTATTGTCTGTCTCTACAGATTTGCCTATCCTGGACATTTTATATAAATGGAACATTTTAGTATGTACAGGTAGTCTTTTGTGACTGGATTTTTAACTTAGCATAACGTTTTCAAGTTTCATGTTGTAGCATTTATCAATACTTTATTCTTTGTATTGACAAATAATATTCCATTGTATGGATATAACACATTTGGTTTATCAGTTTATCAGTTGATGGCTATTTAGGTTGTTTTCACTTTTGACTATTATGAATAATGCTATGAATATTTGTGTGCAGGTTTTTCTAGGGACATACATTTTTCATTTGTCTTGATATATACCTAGGAATGGAATTGCTGGGTCATGTGATAACTCTATGTTTAATAATTTGAGGAACTGCTGGATTGTTTTGCAAAGTGACTTTATCATTTTAGGTATCCACCAGCAGTGTTTGAGGGTTCTGATTTCTCCACATCCTTGTCAAGACTTGTTATTATCTTAATTTTTGATTCTGGTGAGCCTGTCGGGTGTCTCATGGTTTTGGTATACATTTCCATGATGACTGACAATGTCGAGCATCTTTTTACATGCTTATTGGCCATTTGTATCTTCCTTGGAGAAATATTTATTAATATTATTTGCCCATTTTAAATTGGGTTGTTTGTATTTTTATTACTGAGTTGTGAGAGTTCTTTATATATTTTGGATACCAATCCCTTATTGGATATATGATTTGCAGATATTTTCTCCCATTCTGTGGGTTGTCTTTTCACTTTCTTGATTATATGCATGTTAATCCCCGATCAAAAAAATGAATACTTAACTCTCTTTTCTTCCTTATCTCCCATAAACATGGATACTTACATCCTTGCTTTTCATCACCCAGTATGATTATAACAGTTTTAGTTAGATCAAAATTATTATGAAAATTATTACGTTATACAGAGCTGAGCCTGCGTGACTTTTTGTGGGCTTTTCCCCAGAAATTAGTAACTATTTTTCTTTGTTTGTTTGTTTGTTTGTTTGTTTGAGACAGAGTTTCACTCTGTCACCCAGGCTGGAATGCAGTGGTGTAATCTCGGCTCACTGCAACCTCCACCTCCCAGGTTCAAGTGATTCTCCTACTTCAGCCTCCCAAGTAGCTGGGATTACAGGCACCCGCCACCATGCCCAGCTAATTTTTGTATTTTTAGTAGAAACGGGGTTTCACCATGTTGGTCAGGATGGCCTCAAACTCCTGACCTCAAGTGATCTGCCTGCCTCAGCCTCCCAAAGTACTGGGGTTACAGGCGTGAACCACCACACCTGGCCTGATTTTTTTTATTGTTAGATTCAGGTTACATAACATTGGCAGAAATACCACAGAAGTGATGATGCGTTCTTCTCATTGCATCTTCTTATATGGCACACAATTTTGATTTGTCTCATTATGATGATAAGTTTGTATACTTGGTTGAGATGGTGTAAAATTGCTGCACAATTATGATTCCCCCATTTAATTAATAAGTATTTTGTGGGGAGGTAGCTTGAAACCATGTAAATATTTTGCTCTTCTTTCAATTTATCCAACTTTCAATTTATGTATGTATGTATTTAATCCATATGGACTGATGATTTTATATTCAATTGGTTATAGTCTATTACTGTCAATATTTATTTTGATTCTCACATTGTCTCAGATTTGACATGTGCAAGCCTCTTCTAATTTGCTTCTATGCTCTTTGGAAATGCATCCACAATTCTTTGAGAACTTTATCATTTTCTGCCTCAAGAAAATGAGCCAGGCTTATCTTGTACTTTCCTTGGTAGCCTTTGAATCAACTATTTCTCCCAGGAGTCCTGGTTCATTTTAGTAAGGAATGGTATTAGAAATCAAGATTTGAGCACCAGGTGTACTTATTGCTATTGGGGTATCACCATTCTAAAACCCTCTCATGGCTAGGGCATAAGTGTGTGTGTGTATATATATATATATGCATAAATATATAGATATTGACCTCTATATTTATTTCTGTATTTATCTATACAATAGAAAATCATACGTTCATACCAATACTTCCAATTTCAATTTACAGTCACAGGGTTCATACTAGTTTTCTCTCTTTCCATATTAGTAACTCTCTTCTCTGTCAATGAAAAACCTGATGAGAAATCCTATTATCCAATGAGAAGTCTTCATTATTCTTAATATATTAATATATTTGATATATTCAGGAGGAATACCAATCTCCTACTACTGCTGCTCCCTCCCCCATGCAGATACCATCTTCACTCTGCCTATGCTGTAGTACTCCCTGCTGAACTGTCTTCCTATGCTGAAATCCTTCTCACCTCTCTCAGGCTCAAGCTGCCCTTCTACGCAGAGGAGGCTTTCTTCAGCCTACTTGGGATCCAAAACCTGTGTCAGGGTTTCCCTCTTCTCTTGCATGAATAACCTCCTGTTGTTCATATTCAGGCTCATATACCCTTGCTAGGTAGACCTTCAGTTTAAATGGCTTCCTTGTC
Organism: Homo sapiens; assembly: GCF_000001405.40. Classification (NCBI taxonomy): domain Eukaryota; kingdom Metazoa; phylum Chordata; class Mammalia; order Primates; family Hominidae; genus Homo; species Homo sapiens. The sequence goes on from NC_000001.11 coordinate 75,854,559, forward strand.
CTCCTGTGCTATACCACCCGTCCGTCCTCTCCCTGCTCTGGCTTTGCCACCCCCACACCAACGATGCTCTCTTCTTCCTATTTGGGCCCTAACAACTGATACTACATCACATTGTTCATATTAAAATGATTTTTCAGTATATATGGAGGGTTCTTCACTTTATTTTTGAATATGTTGCTAGCCTAACCTTTTTTTCTTTGCATTTGTTTAACAGTGTTGTTGGAATCAGTAAATGTTTTAGGATTTTCAGAGACTTAAACATGAATAATCAATATAAATAAAAACAAAGTACCACAGTTAATGTTTATGATATTTTGCCAGATGTCACTGCTTTGGATGATATTTTTGAATGAAAAATATCTTAAATACTTAACAGTTTTTACTTATGAATAGCATATTTTACATAGAAAAATGCAATGCAGTTTAATAGAACAGGAAATGGCCACTTTATATAGATAATTAGTATTTGTATTAGTTTTTTTTTTTCTTTCTTTTTTGAGACAGAGTCTCACTCTGTTATCTAAGCTGGAGTGCAGTGGTGTGATCATAGTTTACTTTAGCCTTGACCTCCCTGGCTTGTGCAATCTTCCTACCTCAGCCGCCTGAGTAGCCAAGACCACAGGCATGCGCTACCACACCCAACTAATTTTTAAGTTTTTTGTAGAGATGGGGAATTGTCTTTTTGCCCAGGCTTGTCTTGAACTCCTGGGCTCAAGCAATCCTCCTATCTTGGCCTCCTGAAGTGCTGAGTTTATGGGTGTGAGTCACTGTGCCTGGCCTGTATTAGTTTTCTAAGGCTGTGTAACAAAACACTATGAATTGCACATCCTAAAATAATAGAAATTTATTGTCTTACAGATTTAGAGGCTAATAATCTGAAATCAAGGTGTTTTAGGGCCATGCTCTCTCTGCGAAACCTGTAGGGGAATCCTTTCTTGCCTCTTCCTAGCTTTTGGTGATTTGTTTACAATTATTGCCATTTCTTGGCTTGAATCTTCATAACGCCAATCTGTGTTTCCTCGTCAAATGGTGGTGTCCCTGTGTTTCCACGTGTTCACAACGCCAATCTGTGTTTCCTCTTCAAATGGTGGTGTCCCTGTGTTTCCATGTGTTCACATGGCTGTCTTTGTATGACATCAATATTATTGGACTAGGGGCCTACCCCACTCCAGTATTACATCATTGTAACAATTACTAACCTCTGGAATGACCCTATTTCCAAATAAGATCACATTTTGAGGTACTGAGGGTTAGAACTTCAACAGAATTTTTTTGGAGGGAACACAATTCAACCTTTAACAGTGTATAAGTGAAGGCTATGTTTCTATTTTACTATAGGAAAGAATTAATCATCAGATTATACCTGACAGCAATCTCTTTATTGTCAATTTATGTAACATATAGTATTATGCAATCACACAGTTTCATACAGTGTCACTAGTTATAGGAATTAGTAATATACATCTTTTTGCACTAGACAATTTCTGGTTAAATTAGGAAAAAAATATCACTTTGACCAACTAGTTTTCTGAGAAATATCTGTGAATAGCTTGCCTGCTTCTATACTCAGTTTGACTATCAGATTTTAGAAAAGTCTTCTGGTCTAGGTTTAAGGTAATTCAGTAAGCTAAGAATCTGGAACCTTTTTTTCTGTTCAGAAAAAAAAATTATAATTAGCGCCATAAGGTTTTAAAGGGTCAATGTTACTTCCCATCCTTTTTTCTTTCTTTCTTTCTTTTTTTATGTATATTTTAGGTTCTGGGTTACATGTGCAGAACGTGCAGTTTTGTTACATAGGTATACACGTGCCATGGTGGTTTGCTGCACCTATCAACCCATCACCTACATTAGGTATTTTTCCTAATGTTATCGCTCCCCTAGCCCTCCACCCCCGACAGGCCCCGGTGTGTGGTGTTCCCCTCCCTGTGTCCGTGTGTTCTCGTTGTTCAACTCCCACTTATGAGTGAGAACATGCGGTGTTTGGTTTTCTAATCTTGTGATAGTTTGCTGAGAATAATGGTTTCCAGCTTCATCCATGTCCCTGCAAAGCACATGAACTCATCCTTTTTTATGGCTGCACAGTATTCCATGGTGTATATGTGCCACAATTTCTTAATCCAGTCTATCACTGATGGACATGTGAGTTGGTTCCAAGTCTTTGCTATTGTGAATAGTGCTGCAATAAACATACATGTACATGTGTCTTTATCGTAGAATGATTTATAATCTTTTGGGTATATGCCCAGTAATGGGATTGCTGGGTCAAATGGTATTTCCAGTTCTAGATCCTTGAGGAATCATCACACTGTCTTCCACAATGGTTGAACTAATTTACACTCCCACCAACAGTGTAAAAGGGATCCTATTTCTCCACATCCTCTCCAGCATCTGTTGTTTCCTGACTTTTTAATGATCGCCATTCTAACTGGCATGTGATGGTATCTAGTTGTGGTTTTGATTTGCATTTCTCTAATGACCAGGGATGATAAGCATTTTTTCATATGTCTGTTGGCTGCATAAATGTCTTCTTTTGAGAATTGTCTGTTCATATCCTTTGCCCATTTTTTGATGGGGTTGTTTGCTTTTTTCTTGTAAATTTCTTTAAGTTATTTCTAGATTCTGGATGTTAGCCTTTTGTCGGATGGATAGATTGCAAAAATTTTCTCCCATTCTGTAAGTTGCCTATTCACTCTGATGATAGTTTCTTTCACTGTGCAGAAGCTCTTTAGTTTAATTAGGTCCCACTTGTCAATTTTGGCTTTTGTTGCCATTGCTTTTGGTGTTTTAGACATGAAGTCTTTGCCCATGCCTATGTCCTGATGGTATTGCCCAGGTTTTCTTCTAGGGTTTTTATGGTTTTAGGTCTAACATTTAAGTATTTGATCCATCTTGAGTTTATTTTTGTATAAGGTGTAACGAAGGGGTCTAGTTTCAGTTTTCTGCATATGGCTAACCAGTTTTCCCAGCACCATTTATTAAATAGGGAATCTTTTCCCCATTGCTTGTATGTCTCAGGTTTGTCAAAGATCAGATGGTCGTACATGTGTGGTGTTATTTCTGAGGCCTCCGTTCTGTTCCGTTGGTCTATATATCTGTTTTGGTACCAGTACCATGCTGTTTTGGTTACTGTAGCCTTGTAGTACAGCTTGAAGTCAGGTACCGTGATGCTTTGTTTAATCTTGGCTATGCGGGCCCTTTTTTGGTTCCATATGAACTTTAAAATAATTTTTCCAATTCTGTGAAGAAAGTCAGTGGTAGCTTGATGGGGATGGCCTTGAATCTATAAATTACTTTGGGCAGTATGGCTTTTTTCACGATATTGATTCTTCTTATCCATGAGCATGGAATATTTTTCCATTTGTTTGTGTCCTGTCTTATTTCTTTGAGCAGTGGTTTGTAGCTCTCCTTGAAGAGGTCCTTCACATCCCTTGTAAGTTGGATTCCTAGGTATTTTATTCTCTTAGTAGCAATAGTGAATGGGAGTTCACTCATGATTTGGCTCTCTGTTTATCTGTTATTGGTGTATAGGCATGCTTGTGATTTTGCACATTGATTTTGTGTCCAGAGAATTTGCTGAAGTTGCTTATCAGCTTAAGAAGATTTTGAGCTGAGACAATGGGGTTTTCTAAATATACAATCATGTCATCTGCAAACAGAGACAATTTGACTTCCTCTCTTCCTATTCAAATACCCTTTATTTCTTTCTCTTGCCTGATTGCCCTGGCCAGAACTTCCAATACTATGTTGAATAGGAGTGGTGAGAAAGGGCATCCTTGTCTTGTGCCAGTTTTCAAAGGGAATGCTTCCAGTTTTTGCCCATTCAGTATGATATTGGCTGTAGATTTGTCATTAATAGCTCTTATTATGTTGAGATACATTCCATTGATACCCACTTTATTGAGAGTTTTTAGCATGAAATGCTGTTGAATTTTCTGAAGGCCTTTTCTGCATCTATTCAGATAATCATGTGGTTTTTGTCGTTGGTTCTGTTTTTGTGATGGATTATGTTTATTGATTTTGTGTATGTTGAACCAGACTCGCATCCCAGGGATGAAGCCGACTTGATTGTGGTGGATAAGCTTTTTGATGTGCTGCTGGATTCGGTTTGCCAGTATTTTATTGCGGATTCTCACATTGATGTTCATCAGGGATGTTAGCCTAAAATTCTCTTTTTTTCTTGTGTCTCTGCCAGGATTTGGTATCAGGATGATGCTGGCCTCATAAAATGAGTTAAAGAGAATTCCCTCTTTTTCTATTGATCGGAATATTTCAGAAGGAATGGTCCCAGCTCCTCTTTGTACCTCTGGTAGAATTTGGCTATGAATCCATCTGGTCCTGGACTTTTTTGGTTGCTAGGCTATTAATTATTGCCTCAATTTCAGAACCTGTTATTGGTCTATTCAGAGATTTACCTTCTTCCTGGTTTAGTCTTAGAAAGGTGTATGTGTCCAGGAATTTATCCATTTCTTCTAGATTTTCTAGTTTATTTGCATAGAGGTGTTTATAGTATTCTCTATGGTAGTTTGAATTTCTGTGGGATCGATGGTGATATCCACTTTATCATTTTTTATTGCGTCTATTTGATTCTTCTCTCTTTTATTCTTTATTAGTCTTGCTATTGGGCTATCTCTTTTGTTGATCTTTTAAAAAACCAGCTCCTGGATTCATTCATTTTTTGAAGGGTTTTTTGTGTCTCTATTTCCTTTAGTTCTGCTCTGATTTTAGTTATTTCTTATCTTCTGCTACTTTTGAATTTGTTTGCTCTTGACTGTCTAGTTCTTTTAATTGTGATGTTAGGGTTTCAATTTTAGATCTTCCCTGCTTTCTCCTGTGGGCATTTAGTGGTATAAATTTCCCTCTACACACTGCTTTAAATGTGTCCCAGAGATTCTGGTACGTTGTGTCTTTGTTCTCACTGGTTTCGAAGAACATCTTTATTTCTCCCTTCATTTTGTTATTTACTGAGTAGTCATTCAGGAGCAGGTTGTTCAGTTTCCATGTAGTTGTGTGGTTTTGAGTGAGTCTCTTAATCCTGACTTCTAATTTATTGCACTGTGGTCTGAGAGGCAGTTTGTTGTGATTTCTATTCTTATACATTTGCTGAGGAGTGTTTTACTTCCAATTATGTGGTTGATTTTAGAATTAGTGTGATATGGTGCTGAGAAGAATGTATATTCTGTTTATTTGGGGTGGAGAGTTCTGTAGATTTCTATTAGGTCCACTTGGTTCAGAGTTGAGTTGAAGTCCTGGATATCCTTGTTAATTTTCTGTCTCATTGATCTGTCTAATATTGACAGTGGTGTGTTAACGTCTCCCATTATTACTGTGCAGGAGTCTAAGTCTCTTTGTAGATCTCTAAGAACTTGCTTTATGAATCTGGGTGCTCCTGTATTGGGTGTGTATATATTTAGGACAGTTAGCTCTTCTTGTTGAATTGATCCCTTTACCAATATGTAATGGCCTTCTTTGTCCTTTTTTATCTTTGTTGGTTTCAAGTCTGCTTTATCAGAGACTAGGATTGCAACCCCTGCTTTTTTTTTTGCTTTCCATTTGCTTAGTAGATCTTCCTCCATCCCTTTATTTTGAGCCTTGTGTGTCTTTGCATGTGTGATGGGTCTCCTGAATACAGCATGCTGATGGGTCTTCACTGTTTATCCAACTTGCCAGTATGTGTCTTTTAATTGGAGCATTTATCCCATTTACATTTAAGGTTAATATTGTTATATCTGAATTTGATCCTGTCATCATGATGCTAGCTGGTCATTTCTCCCATTAATTTATGCAGTTTTTCCATAGCATTGATGGTCTTTACAATTTGGCATGTGTTTGCAGTGGTTGGTACTGGTTATTCCTATCCATGTTTAGTGCTTCCTGCAGGAGCTCTTGTAAGGCAGGCCTGGTGGTGACAAAAATCTCTCAGCATTTGCTTCTCGCTAAAGGATTTTATTTCTCCTTCACTTATGAATCTTAGTTTGGCTGGATATGAAATTATGGGTTGAAAATTCTTTTCTTTAAGAATGTTGAATATTGGCCCCCACTGTCTTCTGGCTTGTAGGGTTTCTGCCGAGAGATCCGCTGTTAGTCTGATGGGCTTCCCTTTGTGGGTAACCTGACCTTTCTCTGGCTGCCCTTAACATTTTTTCCTTCATTTCAACCTTGGTGAATCTGCCAATTATGTGTCTTGGGGTTGCTCTTCTTGAGGAGTATCTTTGTGATGTTCTCTGTATTTCTTGAATTTGAATGTTGGCCTGTCTTGCTAGGTTGGGGAAGTTCTCCTGGATAATATCCTGAAGAGTGTTTTCTAACTTGGGGCCATTCTCCCAGTCACTTTCAGGTACACCAATCAAATGTAGATTTGGTCTTTTCACCTAGTCCCATATTTCTTGGAGGCTTTGTTTGTTTCTTTTCACTCTTTTTTCTCTAATCTTGTCTTCTCTCTTTATTTCATTAATCTGATCTTCAGTCACTGATATCCTTTCTTCACTTGATCGAATCAGCTATTGAAACTTGTGTATGCTTCAGGAAGTTCTCATATTGTGCTTTTCAACTCCATCAGGACATTTAAGCTCTTCTCTACATGGTTATTCTAGTTAGCCATTCATCTAACCTTTTTTTCAAGGTTTTTAGCTTCCTTTTGATGGGTTAGAACCTGCTCCTTTAGCTTGGAGAAGTTTGTTATTACCGACCTTCTGAAGCCTACTTCTGTCAAGTCGTCAAACTCATTCTGCATCCAGTTTTGTTCCCTTGCTGGTGAGGAGTTGTGTTCCTTTGGAGGAGAAAAGGTGTTCTGGTTTTTGGTATTTTCAGCCTTTCTGCTCTGGCTTCTCCCCATCTTCATGGTTTTATCTACCTTTGTCCTTTGATGTTGGTAACCTACGGATGGGGTTTTGTGTGGATGTCCTTTTTGTTGATTTTGATGCCACTCCTTTCTGTTTGTTAGTTTTCTTTCTAACAGACAGGCCACTCAGCTGCAGGTCTGTTGGAGTTTGCTGGAAGTCCACTCCAGACCCTGTTTGCCTGGATATCACCAGCAGAGGCTGCAGAACAGCAAATATTGCTGCCTGATCCTTCCTCTGGAAGCTTCGTCCCAGAGGGGCAACCGCCTGTATGCGGTGTCTGTTGGCCCCTACTGGGAGGTGTCTCCAAGTCAGGCTACACAGGGATCAGGGACCCACTTGAGGAGGCAGTCTCTCTGTTATTGGGGCTCAAACACCATGCTGGGAGAACCACTGCTCTCTTCAGAGCTGTTATGCAGGGACGTTTAAGTCTGGAGAAGCTGCCTGCTGCCTTTTTTTCAGATATGCCCTGCCCCCAGAGGTGGAATCTAGAGAGGCAGTAGGCCTTGCTGAGCTGCAGTGGGCTCCACCTAGCTCGAGCTTCCCTGCCACTTTGTTTACACTGTGTGTATAGAACCACCTACTCAAGCCTCAGCAATGGCGGACGCCCCTCCCCCTGCCAAGCTCCCACATCCCAGGTTGATCTCAGACTGCTGAGCTACCAGGGAGGAGGTCTCTGTGGGCGTGGAACCTGCTGAGCCAGGCACGGAAGGGGATCTCCTGGTCTGCCAGTTGTGAAGACCGTGGGAAAAGTGCAGTATTTGGGCAAGAGTGCTCCTCCAGGTACAGTCACTCACAACTTCCCTTGGCTAGGAAAGAGAAATCCCCCCACCCCTTGTGCTTTCCGGGTGAGGTGATGCCCTGCCCTGTTTCGGCTCACCCTCCGTGGGCTGTACCCACTGTCCAAGCAGTCCCAGTGAGATGAATCAGGTACCTCAGTTGGAAATGCAGTAATCACCCATCTTCTGCGTCAATCTCGCTGGAAGCTGTAGACTGGAGCTCTTCCTATTTGGCCATCTTGGAAGCGTGGTCCACTTCCCATCCTTTAAACTAAGGAAAACTTTAGTTTTGGGAGAATCAGTCAGAATTGTAAATCTTTTTCTCACCATTGTGTTTCTGTCCTTTGTGGAGGCTTTTTGTTAAGACTGTACAGATCAGATTTAGTAACCTTTAGGGAAACTTAAGCAATATATTTAACTTTATGCATGATTCATGGCCTTCATTATTTCTTATAATGTTTCTCAGTTATCATTTTTTTAACCATCTGAAAATTTGTTTTGAAGGGCTCTTTTCTCATTTAATATAAGCACAAATCTCTTAATTGAATACAGTATTTACTAAGTTCAGACTTGTGCTGGTTAAACTGAATGATTTGCTAAAACTTGTGAATGAACTAAATGCTTTCAGAAAATTTTCAGTAAGAAATTGTTTGCCTAAGATGAGTTCTTATTCTTTCTTTTTAAGAATATTGATTCCTAGAAAATGCATGTTTCTGACCATAAGTGTTCACTAAAAATAAAGCTTAAATTTCTTATCTTAACACAATTTTCTTTCTGTACAGTATCTATAACCATAGCACTTAATGTATTGCACTAAGAATATTTGTGTTTTCCACTACAAATGCTTAAAATACTTTCCCCAACATTTGAAAAATTTATATTAAAGATATTTTTCTAATTTTTATCATGAGTTTTTTGCATCATTTTGAATAACTTTTTTTCAAATGATTTCAGACTGCCATATAGAGTATCTGAAGTATATGATTCCTTCTTTGATTTATTCTATGATTCATTTTAGTAAGTATTATGATAAGTGCTAAAATATAATAAGAATTACAGCTCTGATCCAAAAGAATTTATACTCCAATGTTATATTTGGGTAAAAATAAAATAAGCAATTACAGCATAGTATTATCTAGAACTGCAAGGGATCTGAGATTCTACCCTAGTTGCAAACTAACTAGTTAGCCTGCCATAGTTTCATAGATGCTGACAGAAGGCACAAGACGCTTGGGTCAAAGAGAAATATAAACATGCTATTATCGCTTCATTAAAAAAATATAAAATGGCTTTTTTTGCTTGTTTTTACTTCCCCCTCTACTTTTCTTCTGTTTCTCTGTAAAGCAATATTTTTTGGAAGGATTATCTGTAACTGATGTATCTAATTATGCTTCTTTTCTCTCCAAACCCATTCCAAACAAATCTTCGCCTCACCACTCCACTGGGAGGATTATCTGTAATTTGTGTATCTAATTATGCTCCTTTTCTCAAAGCCACCAATTATTTCCATATTGCTATATCCAGTGGTTAATGGCAGTGCTCATCATGCTTGACCTAGCAGCAAAATTTGACTCAGATGAACACACTCATTTCTCATTTTCTTCTTTTGCCTTCTGTAAGAGTATTCTTTTCTTTCTACCTTCCTGTTTATTATTATTTTTAGCCTTTTCTTAAAGTAATGAGAAATAATATACAATACAGAAAACTGTACAAAATAAAAATGTAATGTTACATTGATTTATCACAAAGTGAACATTCATGTAACAACCACTCACGTAAAGAAATAGTTATCACCAATACCTCAAAAATTCCCCTTCTTCTCCTTCCCATCCATTATTTTCTACCTGTCTCCAAAAAGAAACGACTTTTAGTAATCATTTCCTTTTCTTTGTAATTTAGTTTGACTTGATCTATTAAAAACTTTATATATAAAGGGATTATTCAATGCATATTTTTTGTGCCTGACTTCTTCAAGTCAACATTTTATTTGTGAGATTTAACCATGTTGTTTCATTCAGCTTTAGCTCATTTATTTTCACTGCTATATGATATTCCACTGTATATTAATATGCCATTATTTATCCATTTCATAATTGCTGAACTTTTGAGTTGCTGACAGTTTTTGCAATCAGAAATAATACTGCTAAACAATCTTGTACCCATCTCTTAATGTAATTGTACATATGTTTTTATTTGGTATATAGTTAGGAGTGGAATTGCTGGGTCATGTGGTATGCATATATTCAACTTTGGTAGATAATGCCAAAATGTTTTTCAAAATGATTTATCCATTTATCCTCCCATCAGCATATGAGAACTCCAGTTTTTCTTCCCCAAACCTGATATTACTGGTTTTAAAATTTTAGCCGTAGCATTTTAATAAACGTGGTTTTAATTTGTGTTTTCCTATTAATGAGGTTGAACATCCTTTCATATGTATATTGACCATTTGAATATCTTCTTTTGTGAAAGTCTTGCTTGAGATTCTTACTCATTTTTCTATTTGGTTTATCTGCTTTTGTGATTTGTATAGCTTCTTTTCACATATTAGATATAAGCCCTTTTTTGGTTATGTGTGTTACAAACATTTCTTCCCATTTTGTAGTTTAATTTGCACTGAACATTGTGGGATAGATGCTGTTGGTATGCTACCCACATTGCCTTGGTATTCACTTTTGTGCAGGAAGACTTCTTGCTTGAAGCAGCTGAGACTCTGCTTTCTGAAGAATTTCTCTGGCCATAAGAGAGGCTGGAGGGTATTAGGGAATTGATGCCCTGGCAACAGCTCTTAACCAACACTGAATAGGAGTTGATGAATAAATACCCCATTTTCCTTACCTCTGGAGATAGCTTCTGAAACTTACTCTATTCCATCTCTCAGATGTCTCCATCTGAGAGATGGAGACAAATTGGTTACTTGATCATTAATGTCTCCTGTACAGGTATCCTTTCCTTCTCTGTCTTACTTCCCCACTCCCTTGCTTGTTTTTGCTGGAATTACTTTTTAAAATAAATTATTTGCTCTCAAATTCTAGTTTCTCAGAGTTGGCTTTTGGAGAACCTATCTTGAGTTAGTAATATCTTTTGATAAATAGAAATTCATAATTTAAATGGATCTAGTTTATCAGTTTTTTTTCCCTTCATAGTTAGTGTTTGCTCTGTCCTGCATAAGAAGTCTTTACCTACTCTAATATCTTGATTGTACCCATGGAATTTTAATTTTAATTTATGAAGATGATTGAATGATAACATGGAGACACTAATGCTATTGTTTATTACGTATAGTTCCCAAGAGGAGAGGGCATGTCAGGCAGGACCACCTGGGGAAGTACTAGGGTTGGTCGAGAGGCAGAAGGAGCAAGGAGAAACATGGGCAAAAATGCCAGGAAGTTGCTAGGTAGGGAAGTCACCTGTTGGGCAGGAAGTAAAACACAGATGTTGAAGTTTGTGATTGGAGAGTTTGTAATATGATTTTCACATGCCTGCAAAAGCCAGACTGCAAGGGAGATGTAAACAACTTTAGCTATTAGTTTCACCGTGTGATTAATGGATGCCAAATCATCAATTACAAAATCTATAAAAGTTAATTAGAACACACAAGGCCATGAAGATATTCTTCTTTATTAATTCCAGATATTTTATTGTTTTACCTTTTATACTTAGATATACAATCCATCTGGAATTAATTTTTGTGTGTAGGTTGAGGGAAGGGCCATGTTTCTTTTCTTCCCATATGGATTCATAATTCTACTGGTACTATTTACGGAAAAGACTCTCCTTTCCCCACTGTTCCGCAGTCAACCTTTGTCATAAATCGAGTGCCCATATATATGTTTAGGTCTATTTCTAGACTCTTTATTCTGTTCCATTGGACTCTGTTTTTACGTCAATACCATCATTTCTTAATTACTGTAATTTTATTAGAAGTTGACATTCATTCATTAGTTAGTCTTTCCATCTTCTTCTTCTTCAGTGGTGTGTTAGCTATTTTTGGAATTATCCCCCTGCCCTTTTTTGAGACAGGGTTTCACTTTGTCACCCAGGCTGGTGTGATCACTGCTTACTGCAGGCTCAACCTCCTGGGCTCAAGTGATCCTCCCACCTCAGCCTCTATGTAGCTGGACCACAGACATGTGCCACCACACCCAGCTAATTTCTTAACTTTTTTTTTGTAGAGGCAGAGTTTTGCCATGTTGCCCAGGCTGGTCTCAAACTCTTGAGCTCAAGTGATCCTCCTACCTCAGACTCCCAAAATGCTGGGATTACCGACATAAGCCATTGCACCTAGCATGAATTATTCTTCTTTAGTGATAGTGATGATAGTTGTTTTCTGTTTAGTGAATTTTATTTATTTTTAATCTTCCAGTTAGTTTCAGAGATCCATTGTAAGAGAACATGACATAACCCATTTGGGGCTAACAACATTTATTATGGCATTTTTTCTAAATTGATGCATATGGTCACAGAACAGTCCAGGTATTGTGCAGTGGGGCTATAGACCACGGTACCTCAAAAAGAAACATCTGGCTAGGCATGGTGGCTCATGCCTGTAATCCCAGAACTTTGGGAGGCCGAGATGGCTGGATCATCTGAGGTCAGGAGTTCGAGACCAGCCTAGCCAACATGGTGAAACCCCATCTCTATTAAAAAAAAAAAAGAAACATCTTCATATCAAGTACATTATGTCATAATTGTAGTCCTAAAACTCTACTTCATCTGTCAGTATTGGTAAATTAGTCCAGGCACAGGATCATTCCTCATTCCTCCAGGTTTGGTAACACTGCCCAATTCTAGAGTGCAATTTAATTTATATAAAATTTATTAATAAAATTTGGAATGTTGATATTGCTTTATTTTGGCAAACTATAATTCCTAGTGGAATTATGAAAAGTTTTACTTGAACAAACAGGAACCAATGAGGGAAATCAGTGTTGTTCTATAACTATCTGGGAGGTTTGGATTCAGCCTTTTAAAATATCATCTATCTACAAATACTCTTTGTGCCTTTTTCAGTTAATCTTAGTCTCTTGGTGCTGCTCAGGATTGGACTGCATCTCCTTTTGCTATTCAGTTTAAATTGAACCCAAGAGATTGAAATAGAAATGAAAATTGGATACAAAGAGATGAACTCTTCTCATTTCCAGACTTTTGGGAAACCGGTGTGCTAGGTTAATTATGGTGGGTCAATAATTTTGTATCATTCTTTAGGCTTGCATTGCGGCTAGGCTGATATATAAAAATATATGGGATATGGAAAGAGTAAGAATGTTCAAGAGGAAAACCCATTGTTCTATTAAATATTTATGGTGTCCATCCAAATTTGGGTTTTTATCTTAACAGGTCAATGCTGCTGAATCAAAGATAACAAATTTAATATACTTAAAACATACCTTGGAACTTGTGGATCCTTTAAAGGTAATTTATGTGTGTGTATCGTACAAAACATGTCCAGCATTATTTTTTAACTTTTTGTTGGAAAAAAATTTCAAACTCGGAAAATTGCAAGAATAACATGGCGAATTTCCCATATTTTTTTTCTTTGTACATACTTTACATACACATACACATTGTTAGCCTTATTATGCTTACTGAACCATTTAAGAATAAATTGCAGCACCTAAGTACTAAGGTACTAAGTACTTAGGAGACTAAAGTCTCCCAACAAAAAGATGTTCTCTTATATAATCATAATATTATTATCAAATTCAGAATAATTAATACTGATGCAATACTATTTTATAATATGTATCCCATACTCAAATTTTTAAAATTGTTCTAATAATGTTCTTTATAGCATTTTTTTCCTGATATAGGGTCCAATCCAGGATCATATCTTATATTTAATGTCATGTTTTTTAAAACTCCTTTGAAGTGGAGAAGTTTCTCAGCCTTTGTTCATGATACTGACATTTTGAAGCATAAGGGTCAACTTTTTAAGTAGAATTTCCTCAATTTATGTGATTGCTTTCTCCTGATTAAATTCATCTGTGCATATTTGGCCTTAATACTCTATGATGTATCCTTTTTAGTGCATCACATCAAGAGGCACATAATGCCATTTCCTCATTCTTGGTGATATTAACTGATCAATTTCTTCACCATAAATTCAGATTTTCTTTTGTAATTAATAAGTTATTAATCTATGGAGAGTTATTTTGAGAATGTGTAAATAACCCAATCCTCATCAAACTTCCACCCATTGATTGTAGAATTAATTGATGGCTCTTACCTGAAGTAATTATTACTCTGATGGTTACAAGATGATTATTTTCTCATTAACTTTTAAATACTACACTGTGTAAAACTTGTTTTTATTGAAGTGATAAAGGGAACTGCTTTTGAAAAAGAAATAATGAAAAATATGGAATAACTTTGTTATAGAGATTATTCTAATAAATATTAACATGGTTTGGCTGTGTCTCCACCCAAATCTCACCTTAAATTGTAAGAATCCCCACATTTCAAGGGCGGGGACTGGTGGAGATAATTGAATCATGGGGGTGGTTTCTCCCATACTGTTCTTTTGGTAGTGAATAAGTCTCACAAGGTCTGATGGTTTTATAAAGCAGAGTTCCCCTGCACATGTTCTTCTTGCCTACCGGCATGTAAGATGTAACTTTGCTCCTGATTTACCTTCTGCCATGATTGTGAGGCCTCCCCAGCCATGTGGAACTGTGAGTCAATTAAACCTTTTTCCTTTATAAATTTCCCAGTCTTGGGTATGTCTTTATTAGCAGCTGAGAACAGACTGATACAGTAAATTTTACCAGTAGAGTGGGGTGCTGCTGTAAAGGTACCTGAAAATATGGAAGTAACTTTGGAACTGGGTAACAGGCAGAGGCTGGAACAGTTCGGAGGGCTCAGAAGACAGGAAGTTGTAGGAAAGTCTGAAACTTCCTAGAGACTTGCTGAATGGCTTTGACCAAAATGCTGATAGTTATAGGGATAGTAAGGTCCAGGCTGAGGTGGTCTCAGATGGAGATGAGGGATTTTTGGGAACTGGAATAAAGGTCACTCTTGCTATGCAAAGAGACTGGCAGCATTTTCCCCTGCCCTGGAGATCTGTGGAACTTTGAACTTGAGAGAGAGGGTATCCAGGGGGAAGAAATTCCTAAGCAGTGAAGCATTCAAGAGGAAGCAGAGTATAAAAGTTTGGAAAATTTGCAGCCTGAGGATACAGTAGAAAAGAAAATCCCATTTTCTGGGGAGAAATTCAAACCAGCTGAAGAAATTCGCATAAGTAACAAGGAGGCAAAAGTTAATAATCACCAAGACAATGGGGAAAATGTCTCCAGGTCATGTCAGAGACCTTTATGGCAGCCCCTTCCATTACAGGCCCAGAGATCTAGGAGGAAAAAATGGTTTTCTGGCCCCGCTTGCTCTGTGCAGCCTAGGGACTTGGTGCTCTGCGTCGCAGTTGCTCCAGCTATGGCTAAAAGTGGCCAACACACAGCTCGGGCCATGGCTTCAGAGGGTGCAGGCCTCAAGCCTTGGCAGCCTCCATGTGGTGTTGAGCCTGCAGGTGCACAGAAGTCAAGAATAGTTTGGGAGCCTCCACCTAGATTTCAGAGGATGTACGGAAATGCCTGGATGTCCAGGCAGAAGTCTTCTTCAGGGACGGGACCCTCATGGAGAGCCTCTGTTAGGACAGTGCAGAAGGAAAATGGGCAAAAGCCCCCACACAGAGTCCCCACTTGGGCATTGCCTAGTGGATCTGTGAGAAGAGGGCCACTGTCCTCCAGACTCCAGAATGGTAGATCCACCGACAGATTGCACCATGCACCTGGAAAAGCCACAGACACTCAACACCAGCCTTAAAAGCAGCTGCAGGGTTCAGGGGGCTGTACCCTGCAAAGGCACAAGGGTGGAGCTGCTCAAGGCTATGGGAGTTCACTTCTTGCATCAGTGTGACCTGTATGTGAGACATGGAGTCGAAGGAGATCATTTTGGAGCTTTTAGGTTTGACTGTCCCACTGGATTTTGGACTTGCGTGGGGCCTGTAGCCCCTCCATTTTGGCCATTTTCTCCCATTTGGAATGGGTGTATTTACCCAATGCCTGTACCCCAATTGTATCTAGGAAGTAACTAACTTGCTTTCCAGTTTTATAGGCTCATAGGCAGAAGGGACTTGCCTTGTCTCAGATGAGATTTGGACTGTGGACTTTTGAGTTAATGCTGAAATGAGTTAAGACTTTGGGAGACTCTTTGGAAGGAATGATTGGTTTTGAAATGTGAAGACATGAGATTTGGCAGGGGCTAGGGGCAGAATTATATGGTTTGGCTGTTTCCCTACCCAAAACTCACCTTGAGTTGTAATAATCCCCACATGTCAAAGGCAGGGCCAGGTGGAGGTAATTGAATCATAGGGCAGTTTCCCCCATGTTCTCCTGGTAGTGAATAAGTCTCACGAGATCTGATGGTTGTTTAAAGGGGAGTTCCCCTGCACATGTTCTTCTTGCCTGCTGCCATGTAAAACATGACTTTGCTCCTTATTCACCTTCTGCCATGATTGTGAGGCCTCCCCAGCCATGTGGAATTGTGAGTCAATTAAACCTTTTTCCTTTATAAATTACCCAGTCTTGGGTATGTCTTTCTTAGCAGCATGAGAAAGGACTAATACAAATATGTATAGTTAAAGTAATGTGGCAAAAGACTTCAAAAATGTTTTCACCTTTCTTGTAATGAAATAAATGGAATAAATCACCAGAAAAATATTGAGAGATTTCATGAAACACAAATTTTAAACTTTGGTATGTCAAAAGCAAAGTAAAAGGCAAAGGTAGGAAAAATTTATAACAAATGACAGTTTATTAGTCTGTTTTCATACTGCTATAAAGAACTACCAAAGACTGGGAAATTCATAAAGGAAACAGATTTAATTGACTCACAGTTCAGTATGGCTGGGTAGGCCTCAGGAAATGTACAATCATGGCAGAAGGAGAAGGGGAAACAAGGCACCTTTGTTACAAGGCAGCAGGAAAGAGAAGGAATGCAGGAGGAACTATCACACACTTATAAAACGATCAGATCTGATGAGAACTCACTCACCATCATGAGAACAGCATGAGGGAAACTGCCCACATTATTCAATTACCTCCATCTGGTCTCTCCCTGGAAAAGTGAGGATTATGGGAATTCTAGGGATTATAATTTATGATGAGATTTGGGTGGGGAGACAAACCCTAACTGTATCAGACAGACAAAATACTAATTTCTGTCATCATAAAACTCATGTAATTTCATAGGAAAATATTGAAATGCCAATGGAAATATGGAAAATGACCCAAAGAAGGAAATCAAGGTGATTAATAAATGGTACCAAAAATGTTAACCTCATCATTAATCAAAGCAATACCAATTAAAACCATAGTTCTTATCTGTCAAAGAAGCAGACATTTTCATTTATCTTAAAGGATGTAACTCATTTCTAATTAGAGATCTATGAGACAGACAACTTATTAAACAGCTGGTAAAAATACAGATTTCACATACTTTACAAGGAATTGTGCTGGAAATGTTTGCAACATCTATTTTTTGATCCTGTAACACTACTTCTAGAGATTTGTCTGAAAGAACTTTTCAGAAACATTGGCCAATATTTATGTCCAACAATGGTCATTACAGTATTATTTATTTATATCAGTGAGAAATTATAAGTAGAGTAGAACTGCAGTAATTACAGGAAGAGACTATTTGCTTTCCATAGACTGGAATATTATGAATTATTAAACATTTTTGCCTTGAAAAGTTTTTTATATGTATGATATAGTATCAGTTGAGCATCCCTAACCCAAAAGTTAAAAATTTTAGATGCTCCAGATTCTGAAACTTTTTAAGTACCAATGTGATGTCACAAGTGGAAAATTTTACATCTTGACCTTATGTAATGTGTTGCAGTCAAAATGCAGGTAGTCAACACAGTTTATTCAGCATCCTAAAGGGAAAAAAGACCCTCCCAGCTATCTTCATCTGTAATATATCTTTCCTGTGCATTCCCAGATTCTTCTATGCAAACATTCCCACAAAGGGTAACACAATGACACAGCTACAGGTCAGATGTGCCAATGGCAAGTTTCCATGATGCTCCACATAGGGCCAAGACTGATGTGCATTACTGTTTTTTTGCTTATTGCCTGCTTTGTCTAGTGGTTAAGATAACAAAAACAAAAAACAAAACAAAGAAAATGTCAGAAAGGCCTGCAGTAACAGTGATAAGAAAAAGAGGAATCACTTACGTTTATATGTAACACAGAAAGTCAAGCTATTGGAGAAACTGGATAATGGTGTAAGTGTCAAAGGTCTTAAAGAAGCCTGTGCTGTTAGAATGACTGCCAGATATGACCTAAAGAAACAAACGGATAAACTGTTGCAGTTCTATGCTGAAAGTGATGAACAGAAGCTAATGAAAAATAGAAAAACACTGCATAACATTTTAAAAAAAAGAAAGAAAGAATGGATCCATCTGCCTTGCAGTGAACACATGCCACTTAATGGTATACTGATCATGAAACAAGTGAAGATGTTATCACAATGAAATGAAAATTGAAGGGAACTGTCAATATTCAACAGGCTGGTTGCAGAAATTTAAGAAGAAAATAACATTAAATTTTTAAAGATTTATAGTGATTGAGCATCTGCTGATCATGAAGCATTGGAGAAATTCATTGATGAGTTTGCCAAGGTCATTGCTGATGAAAATCTGATGCCAGAACAAATCGATAATGCTGATTAAACATCATTGTTTTGACATTATTGCCTCAGAAAGACACTGACTACAGCTGATGAAGCAGCCCCTGTGGGAATTAAGGATGCCAAGGACAGAAAACAACTATGCTGGGCTGTGCTAGTGCAGCAGACACACGTAAGTGTAAACGTGCTGTGATAGGTAAAACCTTGTGTCTTTGCTGTTTTCAAGGAGTGAATTTCTTACCAGTTTATTATTATGCTAACAAAGAGGCCTGAATCACCAGGGACATTTTTTTTCCAATTGGTCTCACAAACATTTTACACCAGCAGCTCATGCTCACTGCAGGGAATCTGGATTGGATGATGATTGAAATATTTTGTTATTCCTTGACATCTCTTCTGTTAATCCTCCAGCTGCAATTTTCATCAAAAATAATGTTTATGCCATATATTTTCACCTAAATGTGACTTCATTAATTCAGCCATGTGACTGTGACAAGAGTATCCTTAGATCAATGAAGAGTAAATACAAAAACACTTTTTAAAAATTTTTTAATTTTTATTTTAGTTTTGGGGGTACATGTGCATGTTTGTTATGTGGGTAAACTTGTGTCTTGGAGGTTATGTTGTACAGATTATTTCACCACCGAGTTACTAAGCCTAGTACCCAATAGTTATTTTTTCTCCTCCTCTTCCTCCTCCCAACCTCCACCCTCAAGCAAACGCCAGTATCTGTTGTTCCTGTCTTTGTGTCCATGAGTTCTCATCGTTTAACTCCCACTTTTAAGTGAAAACATGGGGTATTTGATTTTCCGTTCCTGTGTTAATTTGCTAAGGATAATGGCCTCCAGCTCCATCCATGTCCCTGCAAAAGACATGATCTTGTTTTTATATATATATATATAACTGCATAGTATTCCATGATGTATATAAACCACATTTTCTTTATCCAATCTGTCACTCACGGGTATTTGGTTGATTCCATGTCTTTGCTATATTGTGAACAGTGCTGCAGTGAACATTCGTGTGCATTTGTCTTTATGGTAAAATGATTTATATTCCTCTGCATATATACCCAGCAATGGGATTGTTGGGTCGAATGGTATCTCTGTTTTCAGCTCTTTGAGGAATTGCCACACTGCTTTCCACAATGGTTGAGCTAATTTACATTCATACACCAACAGTGTATAAATGTTCTTCTTTCTCTACAAGCTCACCAGCATCCGTTGTTTTTTGACTTTTTAATAATAGCCATTCTGACTGGTGTGAGATGGTATCTCATTGTGGCTTTGATTCACATTTCTCTAATGATCAGTGATATTGAGCTTTTTTTTCATATGTTTGTTGTCCACATGTATGTCTTTAGAAAAGTGTCTGTTTTGCTTACTTTTTAATGAAGTTGTTTTATTCTTGTAAATTTAAAAACACTTTCTTGAACAGCGTGCTAGCATCAGTGAACAGAAGCATAGATGTGGAAGTTTTTTTAGAGTTGCAGTCTTGCTCTGTGCCCAGGCTGGAGTACAGTGGCACGATCATTGCACACCGCACCCTTGAACTTCTAGGCTCAAGTAATCCTCCAACCTTTCCTGAGTAGCTGGGAGTACAGGCATATGTCACTATGCCCAGATAATTTTTTAAAATTTTATAGACAGGGGTCTCGCTATGTTACGCAGGCTGGTCTTGAACTCCTGGGCTCAAGCAATCCACCTGCCTCATCCTCCTGAGTCACTGGGATTACAGGTGTGAGTCACCACACCTGACAATGGAAGGTTTTTGAAAGGAGTTTAGTATGAAGAATGCCATATATGCTGTTGCCAGTGCTTGGAACATAGTTACTAAAGACGTGGTTGTGCATGCCTGGCACAACTTCTGGCCTGTGATGCTGTTCAATGATGATGATAAAACAAGGTGGTGACTTTGTAGGATTCCATATGTCAAGTGAGAAAAAATTATGTCTGACATCCTAAAATATGCAAAATGCATACTTTCAGAGTCTGTCAGTAAGCTGGAAGAACTGGGTGTTAAAGTTTGTATTTATTTATTTATTATTTGAGATGGGGTCTCACTCTGTCACCCAGGCTGGAGTGCAGTGGTGCAATCTCAGCTCACTGCAACGTTTGCCTCCCAGGCTCAAGCCATCCTCCCACCTCAGCCTCCTGAGTAGCTGGGACCACAGGCACGCACCACCATGCCCAGCTAATTGTTTGTCTTTTTGATAGAGACGGGGTTTCGCCATGTTGGCCACACTGGTATCGAACTCCTGAGCTCAAGCAATTTGTCCGCCTTAGCCCCTCGAAGTGGTGGGATTACAGGTGTGAGCCATGGCGCCAGGCCAATTGACATTTTTAACATCAATAATGAGGCCCCAGCTGTTCATTAATCAATGGATGATGAAATAGACAAAATGGTTCTGATTCAAGGTGATCATGACAGTAATGACGATGAAGATGATGTTGTAACACTGCAGAAAAAACGCCTACAGATATGGTAAAAATGTGTGATGGGCTTATTGAAGATCTACAGTTTTTGTTAAGCAAAATAAAATTCCTATTTTTACTGTATAAGAATGGAGCAGCACACATTCATAACAGAACAAGAAATCATGTCAATTATAAAATCAAAGAGAAATTTCTATGACAAAAACCATTATTAATGAAGCAGATGACTCTAGAGGAAACATTTCTAAAAGCGGGCCAGCAAAATGCCTCCGTATCCTTAGAATACCCACTTCCTGGTCCCTTAACTGTTTCTGATGTTTCATCTCACTTAGAAAAATAAAATACAGCTTACAGTAACCTCTTAATCAAAATATAGCATTATAGGTGGATACTGGAAATTATTAGTTGTTGCTGTCATTTAAGAGCTGATGCAGGTACTCTGGGGGTGCTACCGTGCTGTTAGCCTGAACACATTTTTTCACTATATTAATGGTATGTCAGGTTTTTTTTTTACTGTTAAGTACTTATGGGTAAATAAGTGTTAAAAAATGATTGCTTATTGGTAGCATATAAATTCAGAGTTGGGAATGATAGTGATGCCAAACAATCACAAATTGTCCACCTAAGTGCCTGAAATAGTGACACCTTTGCTTTCTGGTGTTTCCATGTACATAGACTTCTATGTGCAAAATTATTTAAAGTGTTGTATAAAATTACCTCAGGCTATGTGTATAAGGTGTACATGAAACATAAATGAATTTCATGTTTAGACTCAGGTTTAATCTCCAGGATATCTCATTATGTACATATGCAAATATTCCAAAATCTGAAAAAAATCCAGAATCTGGAACTTCTGATCCCAAGCATTTTGGGTAAGAAATACTCAACCTGGATTAAGTCGGGGTTGGGGAAGGAGCACACAATGATATAAAATTATTTATTTTAGATACTGACAGGAAATATAATATTTAGAATGTTTATCTTTGGACAATAGTAGATTTAATTTTTTTCTTTCAATTTTGGTGAATTTTTTAGTTTTTATCTGTCTGTGCATATTATTTTCTGTTCATAAGCAAAAAAAGTTATCACCATTGCTTCATATCAAATTTAAAAAAGGAGATAATGGCCAGGCTAAATATGCTTTCTCTTCTTCTTTTCTGTTTATTTAGTTAGTGACCCCCTCATAGTTTTCATTAAGCAAAATAAAATCCCTATTTTTACTATATAAGAATTGAGAAATTGCTCTATTTATGAATATACAAAGCACTTTTTTGGTCTAATGTATATCTAACCTAAATTTTGGAATTATATGTAGAGTACTCTAAATGTACAACAGTAGTTGTTTAAGTACCTATATATGTAAGTTGTCGGGTGTTAACAATTAGTAGAGAGGCAAGAAAAATAAAATTTATAATAAGCAGTGGATGGCACTAATTAGCCATGTACTCTTTATTTGGAAAAAGGGAAAGATACAGTCTATCCTCAGCTAGATAGCTACAAATATATTTTATGAGTATATAAATGAGGAAATGAAGAAAGCACTTGGTAAACTATAAAGTATTAAACAACTGTAAAATGATATGTTTGAATGATCTTGTAATTGATTATCCTTAACTTTTTTATTTTATTCTTTAATAGATTGCTATGAAGAACTGTAACACACCTTTATTAAGAGCTTACTATGGTTCCTTGGAAGACAAGAGGTCTTTGTCACTCAACCGTTAATAAAAAATAAGATTATTCTCTTCTTCCTGATCATAACTGATTTTAAAGACTCTAATTGTATTCTATGGAACAATTACTTGAGTTTTGGTTAACAGAATCTTTAACCTATTCATCAAAATTCTAATTGTACATTTCACATTATAAGTAGAATAAATAGGGTAACAACACATTGATTATTTGTGTTAAAGGACAATTAGAATAGCATGAAAACTTGAAATCCAAGCACAATTTTAATATTTCCTTTTAAAGCCATTCTCCATGGAAAGACTTGCAAATAATAAAAATATATTTCTTTATTTTGTTAAATCATGAAGGGTCTAATGTAACAAAAAATAGTAGATATAAATATTGAATACAATCTAAATGCTGTTTAATTTTAACAGTATTAAATTATTAGCAGTAGTTGTGGACTGAAGAACTACTGGTTCAATCCAGACCTTGGTTCTGAACTGAAAAGATTTGTGATACTTAAGAACTATTATTCTATTAATTGAAGATTTATCCCGTGTGAGGCCACACATTGAAGTTAATAATAAAACTGGCTTAATTACAAATAAAATATAGAATGGAATGAAGGAAAAGTTGAGGAAAATATGTGTTACCAGATTTCTGGTTTGCATAATCACTGAACTTTACCACTGGTAATTGTGAGGTTCCTGTTACGCTGTCTACATATGTGTTTAGTGTCTCTTGCCTCTACCGAAGGCAGGGATCATATGTTATTCTTCTCTGAATCTCTTCACCTAGCACAGTGCTTGATACATGGTGTACATTGATGTTTATTGAGTGAATGAGCATGAAGCCACAATTTTTATGACAGTTCTTTAGAGATGTATTTTGTACCCACAGGCACATCAGTATATGTAATTTGTGAGCTCTATTAGCAGATGTAGAATTGTTTTTGGGGTCCTGATGCTGTTTTAGACTAGTCCTGACTGATGAAACAGTTTAAATATGAAATAGTCACAGCTCTAACTTAAGTAAATTTAAATATTTGTTGCTTAATTAGTTATTTCAAAATAACTTTCAACAAAAATTTGCTATCATCAATTGTGATTCAAATTATAAATTAAAATAACTCTTTGACTTATTGCCTATAATGTTTTTCTTTTGGCCTTAATATTAGGTTTGGAATCATACTTGAAAAGATTAAAACAGTAATTAATGATGATGCAAGATACATGAAAGGATGCCTAAACATGAGGACTCAGAAGTGCTATGCAGTGAGGTCTAACATAAATGAATTTCTTGACATAGCAAGAAGAACATACACAGAGATTGTAGATGACATAGCAGGTAATTTCTTTATTTGATAATGTTTTTTGTAGGGATAAAACAGCCTTTTCAGGACATGCTGTCCTTTTTTGCTGCTGATGACTAGCCATACATATTTTAAATTTATTTTTCGTTACCAAAACATAAGGTTAGCATGTAGTGCCATTTAAGGAAACAGCATATGTGGCAGCCTTCATACTAAACTCCTTTTGAAAACCTTCCATTGCCAAGTGCAATAGCTCATGCCTATAATCCCAGCACTTTGGGAGGCCAAGGAGGGCTGATAGCTTGAGTCCAGGAGTTTGAGGCTAGCCTTGGCAACATAGCTAGTCTTTTGTAGAGACAAGACGTTGTCTCTACAAAAACTGAGAAAATTTGCCAGGCATGGTGATGTATGCCTGTAGTCCCAGCTACTCCGGAGGCTGAGGTAGGAGGATCACTTGGATCACTTGAGCCCAGGAGGTCGAGACTGCAGTAAGTTATGATTGTGCCACTGTGCTCAGCCTGGGCGACAGAGTGAGATCTGTCTTGAAAAAAAAAAAAAATTATTAGAGTTTGAAAGAGCAACAAGACCTCCTATTTATGTATAAAATAAGAATTTAAAAACCATGTGACTCTTTAAAACAGAGTGATTTTTCTCATTAAAATTTATTCATTTTGTTTTGTTTTTGTTTTTCTTGTTTCTGGTCACCAGGAATGATATCACAACTTGGAGAAAAATATAGTCTACCTTTAAGGACAAGTTTTAGCTCTGCTCGAGGATTTTTCATCCAGATGACTACAGATTGTATAGCCCTACCTAGTGATCAACTTCCTTCAGAATTTATTAAGGTTCATTTTAGAGTGGTTAGGAAATTAGTGTTTCTGATTTTATAGAATTACATCTACATATTTTTGGGACTTCTTGAGTTTTGCAAGCCAAATTTCTGAATGTTCTGTATCTTCTCCTATTCCTACCCACCCACCTAACTAATGTACTAATCTAAGAGTGATTTAGATGCTTTTGCAGAAATACCAAACTCAGTGTTTTCCACAGTTCTGGGAGCTTGGTGTAAGAAAAAAAGGAAAATGAAGAAAGAACATCCAAAAGCTGTTTATGATAAAAGAAATTAGGAAAATACCACACCATTTGCCTGTTAAAGGTTTAAAAAGTCCTGAAGTAAATAAATCTACTTAACTTTTAAAAATCTAATATTTCCAAACCTTTGTACCACAGGAATAATTTTTCCTATATAGCTCCTTTACAATATACCAGTTTGGGAAAGTCTAACCCACTCTAATCTTTGTTCTATCTGCTTAGGGGGTACTTTTTGATAAGAACAAACCATTTAGCTTTCAGGCTTTTAGAGCTTGAGTACGATTAGAGATTGAGTTGAGGTTCAGATATAGGACAAGGGCTGCGACAGGGGTCAGAGATGGAGTGAGGATCACTGATGTCCATCATGCGTGTTACTTGGTAATAAGATGTAGTGTTTTTAACATTTTAAGACCTATCAGAGTAGTCATCCCAGATGAACTAGGTCAAAATATCCTGCTTTTTAAAAATGAATGTATGGGTTAAAAAATTTGGCTTTATCCTTTGAAGTGATCTACCTCTTACATTTCACAAATATTATTTAGAACTTTCTTTGTGATACCATATCTCAAAGAGTAAAATGATTAACCTAAATACCCATATTTCTGTTGTTTAAAATCTTACATTTCATAGTAGTGTGCATTTATCTTGACATTTGTTTTTTAATCTCCAAGCAGATTTCTAAAGTGAAAAATTCTTACAGCTTTACATCAGCAGATTTAATTAAAATGAATGAAAGATGCCAAGAATCTTTGAGAGAAATCTATCACATGACTTATATGTAAGAGCATTTGAAGTATTTGAATATTGAATTAAATTGGTTTAATTTGAGAAACTGTTACAATTGTATTAGTTTAATTTTTATCTAATTACAGACAATTGTAGAATTATGCATGTTAGCAAAGGAAGTCTGTCTTTGTGATTAGAATCACTGAGCCTCACAGAAGCTTCGGGGAAGATCTAATTGCAAACAAATACTTTTATAATTGATATTTCTGTAATGTGCATTCTACCATGATGTAGAACTTGGCACATCAGGGGCTTACCTGGGCTTCGTTCAGTTTATTATTTTCCTATGGTCTGTAAGTCCTCAGCTTCTTATACCTTGATATTAATAATTCAATAGCAATATCACAATAGTGTCAGTTCTTTTGCTGGTCATGAAATAGTAGCAATACAGCCAGAAAGAAGAAGTAGAAGATTTAGAACACTTATTAGGCTGAAGTAATAAAGAGAAAGGTTGGGCTTTCAAGACAATTTCAAGGCATGTACCACCAACATTTTAATATATAGTAAGTTTTGGGTACATATTTATCTTTGCAAGAGAAAAACTTTTTGCACTATATCACAGTATAACTCTGCCTTATAAAAACTTAAATAATTATATTATTCAGATATTGTGTCTGTGTGCATGTGTGTGAGTGAGAGAACAAGAACGAGAGAGAAAGAAAAAATGGATGAGAGAGAAAATGCATATAGTTTTTGTGTTGAACTTAACATTTGCAAATTCACAAAGTGATTAGCAAATGGGATCTTTCCAAGTATAATGAGGGCTTGATTTGACCTATATCAAATATTCTTAATAATAAAAACTTATTTTATTAATATCATATAAAAGCAGTTATTTCAAAAATGTTATGTTAATACACAAGAAGATAGATTCTTTGCCACTAAGTAGCTGTGATCTTGAGCAAAAACTTCAATTTCCTCATCTCTAAAATGAGACAGATGAACAATAGGCTTTATCTATAGTGTATAACTCAGATGTGAATATTATTTTACTTCAGGCAATGAATTTAATATTATTTTACGATTACAATGTATGTCCCTTTTGAAAAAACATTATTACATGTCTTACCAAACGTGTTTTCAGGATAGTGTGCAAACTGCTTAGTGAGATTTATGAACATATTCATTGCTTATATAAACTATCTGACACTGTGTCAATGCTGGATATGCTACTGTCATTTGCTCATGCCTGCACTCTTTCTGACTATGGTAAGTTGCTTTCTTTGGAATAAACATATTGCATAGTTAAATTTGTATTCGATTCAAACAATTTGATATAATAGTTATGACATTTAAAATTTTTAACTTGAAATAGAGTCTCTTGCCTCTGGTCCTAGACTAAGACACAAAATAAAGAAAGTGAGATTACCCTTAAAATTTTTTTTGAAGTAAAAATTATTCTCTCAGAAATTGGCAAACCAAAAAGAAAAAATTGCAAGAAACTAAAGATTCCCCAAATAAGAAAGACTGTAAGAGCTGTCTCCTTGGTAAAAATGACAGTGATCTAAATTTATAAAGTTCAAATCTGAATACTTATTAGAAGCAGCGTGATAAACGTTAATAGAGAGAAATGCATCTCCAGAGTGAGCATTTTAATCCACTAGCTCTTTAGATGTGAACATACCAAAATTAGGAATTATGTAATTTATTTTTATATCCCAAGTCTATAAAAAGGCCATGAATATAAATGTTAAGTAATTTTCTCATGTTAAATGAATACTTCGAGTTAGTGCTTTGACATTTCTTATCTAACTTACCAGTAATAACCATACTCCAGTATGCAAATTTACTGGACTAGTATGTGATAATTATGGTTGAATAATTGTAGACTTCATTACATTAAAAACATTGAAATTTCTAATGTAAATCAGCAGTAAAATTTCTAAAATGTTATGTTAATTTACTTTTATGGGATGTATCTTAAGATTTTTTCATATTTCTTATGGAAATATTAACTTTTTCTATTGGTATTTTATAGGCCAAAACTTTTCAAACTTTTATATCTCCTTTGCATCAAAACTCTACTTTAGGGGTCAGATATTCCAATGGTAGTTTTGTTTTTAAACTATTAAGAGATTTAGTCTTGCTTCATTTTAGTTTGAGAAGGATCATTCTGAAACTCCATATCTATAAATAATGAATTTTTGAAAATACTTAAAATTTTTTTTCTAACCTCACTTTTATGATGAATGTTTTCAAGTTTATGCATTTTAGATAAAGGTATGGAACATTTTGGTTTTCACATATGCTTTCACCCTCTTCCTCCTCCCCCCACTTCAGGTGGTATCCATAGAGACCTGATCCTTATTTATTTCTATAGATTAGCAGATTATTTGTGTTGATCTTCTCTATTCTCATTCTCTGAAATTTCCTTTTATACAAAATTTCTCCATGGGCTTAGAAAGAATTATTTTTATATTTGATTTTATTCTATAATCATACCTCAACTTATGAGCTAGGTGTTTGAAACCAGCCTGGGCAACATAGCTAGACCTCATTTCTAAAAAAAAAAAAAAAAAAAAAAAAAATCGGTGAGAAGTGGTGGCAGGTGCCTGTACTCCCAGCTTCTTGAAAGGCTGAGGCAGGCAGGAGGATGGCTTGAGCCCAGGAGTTTGAGGCTGCAATAAGCTATGATTTTGCCACCGTATTCCAGCCTGGGTGATAGACCAAGACCCTGTCTCTAATAAATACATAAATAAATGCTAAGCGTACCAAATTTGAAATAATATTAAAGTAGGGAAGTAGTGTTTAAGGTAGAGTAAGTAAATATGCAACTCTGTATTACCAGTAACCAACTATGATTTTTAAAGTACAATCAATGAGTACTTGGTTCTTTTTTATTTTTATTTTTATTTTTTTTTGAGACAGAGACTCACTTTGTCAGCCAGGCTGGAGTGCAGTGGCACAATCTCAGCTCACTGCAGTCTTCACCTCCCAGGCTCAAGAGATCCTCCTATCTCAACCCCACAAGTAGCTGGGACTACAGGCATGAGCCATTACACCTGGCTAATTTTTTTTTTTTTTTTGTAGAGATAGGGTTTGACCATGTTGCCTAGGCTGGTCTTGAACTCCTGAGCTCAAGCAATCAAGCAATCTGCCCTCCTCCGCCTCCCAAATGCTGGGATTACCAGCATGAGCCATCACGCCTGGTCTGCTTGGTTCTTTTTAATCTACAAAAAGCTGAAAATTTTATAAACTATTTTGGAGCTCAGGACAGTGGTAAAGAACTAAATTCTAGAGTTCTCTAGAAGTGAATAAAAGTTGTGATAGTGATTAGAGTGTGTCCATTATAATTTAGAAGAATTTGGGTGGGGATTTGGGATAATATAGTACCTTAATGTTATTATTCCAAATTGACCAGTGTGAAAATCACTAAGATATAGACAATACATACACACTACAAAATCTTTAGACACAAATATATTAATCTTTAAAAACCATTCTATTTTTTTTCTTAAGTTCGACCAGAATTTACTGATACTTTAGCAATCAAACAGGGATGGCATCCTATTCTTGAAAAAATATCTGCGGAAAAACCTATTGCCAACAATACCTATGTTACAGAAGGGAGTAATTTTTTGATCATAACTGGACCAAACATGAGTGGAAAATCCACATATTTAAAACAGATTGCTCTTTGTCAGATTATGGCCCAGATTGGTAAGTTATGGCTTTATTTATAATGACCAGTTTTACACTCTTTTCAGAATGCTTTGTGCCTAATTTTTTTAGGGCCATGTGCCTAATTAACCCAAGAACAGTTTGGAGCAGATTCTGTTACCTAAAAGTATAACAGTGTGTCTGTTGTGTAAACTATAACTTTACTATTTGATATTTATTAAGCTCCATCCAATTTCAATTGCATTGCACTAAAATTTTTTTGGGATACTACAGAATTGGGAACATTCTTACTATAACTATTAAAGTTGCATCAAATATTACTAAATTGAATCATGCAATTATTTCTGGTTCAAAAACAAAGTTTGTTGTGAGAAAAAGTGAAATGAGTAGGTTAAGCTGTTGCCTTTAATAATCCATGTGAGTTTTTTCCAAAATTATTAAATATAATATTGAGCAGAGAAACATTTCCCTTAACTTGAGGGGTACCAATAACTTGGCCATAGCAGTTGATATATTATACATACACATGTGCATACATGCATCTAAATGGCTGTCACTGACCCAACATTGTTACCTATTTCTTAATATGGAGGCCCAGCTTAACTCCTAATTCTGAAAACTGGGTTTCCTTGAGAACTATATGAATCAGAGATGAGATACTTGGCCAAAATGAAGTGGTTCTTAAGCAGGGTTGGTTTTGATCCCTTACCTCCCAACTCCCAGAATTTGGCAATATCTGGAAAAATTTTTGGTTGTCACAGCTGAGGGGAGTGTAGAGTCCAGGAATGCTGTTAAACATCCTACAATGCACAGAACAGCTCTTCCTCTCCACGCTCCCCTGCTTTCCTCACCCCACCATACACACACACATAAGAAAGATTTATTGAGCCCAAGATACTAGTAGTGTCATGGGTGAGAAACCTTGGTCTAATGTAATGAATTGTAAGGAGAACAAAGCAATAATAATATTGGTGATACAGTATAAATTCACCCTTAGTACTGGGACAATCAGAGACAAATGAGTTAATGAAGAGTA
Organism: Homo sapiens; assembly: GCF_000001405.40. Taxonomy (NCBI): domain Eukaryota; kingdom Metazoa; phylum Chordata; class Mammalia; order Primates; family Hominidae; genus Homo; species Homo sapiens. The sequence continues at coordinate 75,884,819 of NC_000001.11, forward strand.
AATATTTTATTGATTTTGTAGGTTTATTGGAATTAAAAGGACATTTTAGCTAATTTCCTTCGCCTTATAAGAATACTGTCTGATTCATGTAAGACATAATACTTCGATTTGAATTAGCTATGAGGAGCTAATATATATGTATATATGTATATGTATGTATGTATATATATGTGTATATATATGTGTGTGTGTATGTGTGTATATATATATATGTGTGTGTGTGTGTGTGTGTGTGTGTGTGTATATATATATATATACCAGCCAGGAGGCTTCTGTAATAATCTAGATAAGAAAGGTTGAGAAACTTTTTGATGGAGGTTAAGAGAGCAGAGAAAATACAAACATATACCACTTAATAATATACGCTATGTGTATATATATAGGGTATATATATACCTTCTATATATAATATAAATATATATATTATATACATTATATATATAAAATATGTATATAATACCGTATATATACTACGTAGTATATATAGACTCACACTGGGGGTGTGTGTGTGTGTGTGTGTGTGTATATATATATATATAAAGGTATGTAACATTTTGGTTTTCACATATACTTTCACCCTTTTCCTCCACCTCCCACCTCAGTTGGTATCCTGAGTGTGTATATACATATATATATATATATGTATATATACACACACACACACAAACACTGGGTACATATATATATACATATAACCTTCACATTTATTTCACATTTATATAATGAAGGTAATATATATGTATATGTAAAGTATTATATGTATTATATGTATATGTATTATATATTACATATGTATTATATATAATATATATTATATATTATTATATATTATATATTATATATTATTATTTATATAATGTATTATATATTATATAGTATATATAGTATATATAATGTATTATATATTATATAGTATATATAGTATATATAATGTATTATATATAGTATATATAATGTATTATATAGTATATATACTATATAATGTATTACATATTATGTATAGTATATGTAATGTATTATATATTATATAGTATATGTAATGTATTATATGTATTATATAGTATATATTATATATGATGTATTATTTAGTATATATAATATATATGATGTATTATATAACATATATAATATATATGATGTATTATATAGCATGTATAGTATATATGATGTATTATATAGCATGTATAGTATATATGATGTATTATATATAGCATGTATAGTATATATGATGTATTATATATAGCATGTATAGTATATATGATGTATTATATATAGCATGTATAGTATATATGATGTATTATATATAGCATGTATAGTATATATGATGTATTATATATAGCATGTATAGTATATATGATGTATTATATATAGCATGTATAGTATATATGATGTATTATATATAGCATGTATAGTATATATGATGTATTATATATAGCATGTATAGTATATATGATGTATTATATATAGCATGTATAGTATATATGATGTATTATATATAGCATGTATAGTATATATGATGTATTATATATTATATATGGTATATATGATGTATTATATATTATATATGGTATATATGATGTATTATATATTATATATGGTATATATGATGTATTATATATTATATATAATATATATGATGTATTATATATTATATATAATATATATGATGTATTATATATGATGTATTATATATAATATATATGATGTATTATATATATTATTATCTATTATATACGATGTATTATATGCAAGTTATTATGTATAATATATAATGTATTATATATTATATAATGTATAATATATAAATATATAAATATATAATTATGTATAAATATAGAAATATATACATTATACATTATATACATTATAATGTATAATATATAAATATATTATATATAAATGTATACATTATATATAAATATATTATATACATTATATATAAAATATGTATATAGTTATTATACCTTATATATACTAAACAGTATATATATATACTCACACTGGTACATATATATATATATTATATATATATATATATTACCTTCACATTTATTTCACATTTATTCTCCTAGAAACTCCATAAGAAAGTTGTATTTGAAATCTAAGTTCTGCTCTCTGAGGGCAGGACCCATGTCTGTTTATTTACCCTAACACATAGAAGGGCTTCAATAAATAGGTATTGAATTTCTATAAAATGAGGAAAGTCAGGCTCAAAGACTTGCCCAAGATCACCCAGTATAAATCCTTTACCTTAGTCTTCCCCACTTGCCCCATTATGCCGTTTGACTCTGTGTCTCCACCCAAATCTCACCTTGAATTGTAATCCCACGTGTCAAGGGAGGGACCTGGTCGGAGGTGATTAGATCATGGGGGGCGGTTTCCCCAATGTTGTTCTTGTGATAGTGAATTCTCACAAGATCTGATGGTTTAAAAGTGTTTGGCAGTTCCCACCTTGCTCTCTCCCTCTCCTGCTCGCATATGAGGACGGTCCTTGCTTTCTATTTGCCTTCCGTCATGATTGTAAGTTTCCTGAAGCCTCCCCAGCCATGCAGAATTGTGAGTTAATTAAACCTCTTTTGTTTATAAATTACTCAGTCTCAGGGATTTTATAGCAGGGTGAAGCAGCAGACTAATACACCCCAGTAGCTAATATTGAGTGTTCACTATGCCCATCACTGCTGTATATACCTTGCATGATAATACGCATTTCACGTTTATCTGCCTGGAAACTGGAAGTGTTATCTGGTTAACACTCATAAAAATATGATAAAGATTATTAACTCCATGTTATAGATGAGTAAGTCAAAGTATTGAGAAGGAATTTGTCCAAGATTATATAGTTTGTAAGAGGCAGCACAAGGATTCAAACCCATGCAGCCTGACAAATAATCTTTGCCCTAAATTAGCAAATTGTCCCCACCCTTCTCCAGAATCTTAAGAAGGTAGCAGGTCATTCCTGTTTTCTTGGAAATGGACAGTTTGTTTATGTTTTTGTTTTTGTTTTTAGCCAGAAAGTTCTGATTCAAATTCTGGCTCTATCACTTCATTATTTATTTTCAGCAAACATTTATCATGAGATTATGTGTCAGAAGCCACTCTAGGTTCATAATTCATCCTTTTAGGAAAACAAGCAAAAAAATAGAGTAGAATGGGGGAGATACATCTTTCTAGTTTTTATAATTTATTGGGTTATTTTGAAAATTAGGAAGAGTGGATATAAAATATCTAGTATGTCGAATGGTATAGGTGCCGTTATTATAATTACTACTGTTATGATTATTACTTTTATTTTCATTAATATTAATCTGACTTTTGGTTTCTTTTCTTGCTACTCCTTATTCCTCAGAGTTAAGCCCTATTCTTTACCCTTTTTTTGTTTTTAATCTTGGAGTAATCTGGCTTTGGTTTTTTTGCTGCTATTATTTCACCATTTTACCTATACAGAATTCTGTATATGTGGTACGTTTCCCTTTCAACTATTTGTATATTTTATCTTCTTATAATGTTAGAATGCATTTTAGATTTTATTCTATATTGAGACTGGTGCATTAATCAGATTGATTTGTTTTCAAAAAACGAATATTTTAGATGAGTTAGCACAATAACTTCTTGGGCAGAAACAGTCTTGTGGGTGAAAATTCACCTTTTTTTTCTTTTTATTAAATGTTTTGCTTTTATTTTGCTTCTGAATGTTTCTCCATGTTTGTAATCACAGATATTTCTTTATATCTTTTTATAATGATTTTATTAACTTCAGCTTTATAGGCATTTTCTTCAGATTTTCATATTTCTTTTTTTAATTTATTTTATTTTTGACATAATAATTGCACGCATTTAAGAGATACATAGTGATGTTTGAATACATACCATGTATAATGATTAGATCAGTGTAACTGGCATATTATATTCATAAGCTTTATAAGCATTCCCTTCATATTTTAATATTTTGAATGTTATCATTCAAGTAAGTTATTTAAAATTTTTATTGTGTTTATAACTGTCTGTTTGTTATGTACTTGAACATTTACTGCCTTATTTGAACTTCTGGATAACTTTGTACAGTAGGTAGGGCAACTTTTTTTTTTTTTTTTTTTGAGACGGAGTCTCATTCTGTCGCCCAGGCTGGAATGCAGTGGCGCGATCTCGGCTCACTGCAGGCTCCGCCTCCCGGGTTCACGCCATTCTCCTGCCTCAGCCTCCCGAGTAGTTGGGACCACAGTTTCCCCGCAACACGCCCGGCTAGGACTGGGAAAGTTTAAGTGCTGTCTAAGCTTTTATAATAAGGGATAGAACTGGGGTCATGTCTTCTAATGCCATATCTAGTGTTCTTTCTACCATATAATCCTTGTAAATAATCTGAGAAGTACAAAATGTTATTAGTAATTATATTTTATAAACACATTTCAGTTTATCTTGACCTTATATTTTACAGGATCATATGTTCCAGCAGAATATTCTTCCTTTAGAATTGCTAAACAGATTTTTACAAGAATTAGTACTGATGATGATATCGAAACAAATTCATCAACATTTATGAAAGAAATGAAAGAGGTACCCAAACAAAACTTTTCTTATGTTAAAAACATTAAATTCTCTCACTAATGGCCAGTTATCACATAAAATATTTTTATACTAAAATATGCAGATGTTGCTTATACCCTTTTCTAAGAGCCAGAGGGCAGTCAAAGACAGCCTCCTAATTTCTGTTTTATGTGGAAATGGAAGACAATGTTTAAGTGAAAATATAATTTTAAGAGAAAGAGCTAGCATTATTAAGTAATAAAAGTGTGCCTAAATGTTTTTATAGGAAATACGTAAAAGACTTCAGAAAATGATAACTGGTTCAGTACCATTTTGCATAGTATTTATTGTTCTTCATAGGCTTGATTTTAAAACAAAAGATTACTGTGTTAGAAGGGTTTCAAAAATCATCCTCTTCTTTGTTCTCATAGAATTTTCACTCCCTGTACCAAAGTATCACCTATTTCTGATTGAGCAAACGTCAAGTAGGCTTTAGAACTGAAGGAATTAAGTGTAACTCTTGGGATATCTGTATTATGAATTTAGGATCACTGTTTAGTTGGAAAATTTTCTTCAAGTAGATAGGTGGTGACTAAAGTTATCATTTGTCCCATGATTTATATAATTATTTATTGTGTATTGAATATCTATAATAGATCGTAGCAATATATTAGGCACTTAAGGTATATTTTTAAATGGTCCTAGCACTCAAAAAGCTTAGTCTCATAGAAAGGTAAAATGTCCATCAAAGTTACTATTGTGTCATAATATAATAAAGATAAAATTCTATTTTTGAGAAAGAGGTTAATAATCTTCAGTGGAAAAGAGCACTTCTGTCAATTTAAGTCTTAGTCTCCATTGGTCATGGATTTAAATTTATTTGTTAAACCAAGAATCAAGACTTAGGTATTTTTTCTTAAATTTTTCTTTACTTCATCTTTACAGGGTATAGAGTAATACTTAAATAAATTTGAGAGATGGTTTTGGATACTTTATAGCAGTAATTGATTAGTCATTTGTGGAGAAGAAAATGACCATCTTTGTGCTTAGTTTAAACATTTAATTTATTGCATTTTTTCACTGTATCTAAAGCATCAATATTTTAGATAATGGTTATTTACTCTGTTGTCTCATATACATATGCATATGTCTATTTATGTACACATCAGCTATTCTACTGGAATTATTAGTCATGAGATTTTTAGAAAAGAAAACTATTATTTTCTGCTCAGCAGGATGTCTCTAAGAATACATTTCAGATGAACTTATAAAGAGACTGGGTTTCTCCTCATTTTTTCCTGTGATATTGACAGCTGTTTGGTTACAATGAATAAATATTAAAATTATATATTTCAGATAGCATATATTCTACATAATGCTAATGACAAATCGCTCATATTAATTGATGAACTTGGCAGAGGTACTAATACGGAAGAAGGTATTGGCATTTGTTATGCTGTTTGTGAATATCTACTGAGCTTAAAGGTATTCTTTTATTTTAAGTATATTGATTTTGAGTCCTTCTTTATGTATCCTTTTATTATTATTGAATTTTATGGACACCCACAAATAGCTTTTAAAACAATTTAGATAGTAAACACATATCATCGCATTTATATTTTTGTTCCTTCATTTCCAATGAAAGTGGGAATCATTAGTTTGATAACCATGATATAGATAAGGAAAAGATGAAATCAAGAAATTCAAATAATGCAAAATTAGTCAGTTGGCTTTAATTTCATCAAATTCAGTAGCAAAATATGAAGGTCTTTCAGTAATTGCCTCCATGTGCAATGATGTTGACTATGATGTTACAACAGGAAGGAAAGCACTAGGCAACTCAGGTAACTTTACAGAAAATCTATTTTACCTACCTAAGTAAATTTTATTCCTTTAAAGAAAGTAGTTTTTCACAAATCAACTATGTAAAACATTGATTTTTGCTCTATTAAATTAATTTATAAAATATCTTTTTAAATGGTCACTCACAATATATACAGATATGAACAAAACTGAAATAAAAATACTTTTTCTTATTTAAGATACCTTAAAATGTCCCTAAGATGAAGTTATTTACCTTAAATGAAAGTCCATAATGATTTATTTATTTTTATTATATTTATTTATTTTTTGAGACAGGGTCTCACTCTGTTGCCCATGCTGGAGTGCAGTGGCGCAATCTTGGCTCACTGCAACTTCCACCTTTCAGGCTCCAGCAATCCTCCTGCCGCAGCCTCCTGAGTAGCTGGGACTGCAGGCATGCACCATCATGCTTAGCTAATTTTTGTATTTTTAGCTGTGACGGGGTTTCACCATGTTACCCAGGCTGGTCTTGAACTCCTGGGCTCAAGTGATCCACTCACTTCAGCCTCCCAAAGTGCTGTGATTGCAGGCTGAGCCGTCATGCCCAGCTCGTAATGATTTATTATATAGAATGAGAAAAATCTATTTTATGCTTAAAAGTATGTGATAAATCAAAAGTAATGGTAATAAATAATATTAGTCTTTGTAATTTTGAATGTGTCAGTTTCAATTTCTCATATAAATAAAGTGCATATATTACTTAAGATTAAAAGCTAATTAGTGCCTCTGATGGTTAATTTTACATGTCAGTTTGACTGGGCCACAGAGTGCCCAGACATTTGGTCAAACATTGTTCTGGATATGTCTGTGAGGGTGTTTCTGGATGAGATTAGAATTGGTAAACTGAGTAAAGCAGATTGCCCTACCTAATGTGGGTGGGTCCCACTCAATAAATGCAAGCCTGAATAGAACAAAAAGCCTTCCAATGAGTAAGAGGAAACTCCTCCTTCCTGGCTGCCTTCAGTATGGAAGATCTGTTCTTTACTACCTTCAGACTCAAACTGAAACATTGGCTTTTTCTGGGTCTGGAACCTGCCAGCTTTGGACTGGAGTTGTACCATTGGCTCTCCTGGACCTATAGCTAGCCCATTTTAGACCTTGGTACTTGTTAGCCTTCATAAATCACATGAGCCAGTTTCTTATGATGAATCTCTTCACACGCACACACATACACACTCTCTCTCTCTCTCTCTTTCTCTCTCTCACTCTCACTCCTGCCCCACCCCCTCTCTATTGGTCCTCTTTCTCTGGAGAACCCTAATACAAATCTTGGTTCTGGTATGATCTGACAATAGTGGTAAGTAAAATATCACTATCGTATACTCTTAATCAACTGCTTGTAAGCAGCAGAGATCCAGGTGATTTTATATATGATACTTCCAAACATTTTTGGCAAACTAATGAATATAATGAAATTGGCTGGTTGCTCCTAGTGTCACTAGACAAAGTTGGGAAAGCAAAGGATGAACTCAAGGATTCAAATTGCCAGCTCGGGCCCCCACCCAAGGGACTTCCAGTCACTGCCCATCACATACTTGGTGAGGGCCTGCCTGTCACTACCAGGAAGAACCAGGCATCACATGTGTCCCTAGATCACAGCAGGGGGGCTGTAAGAAGGGCAGGGTTTCTTAACCTGGGATCCATGGATCCCTGGGCTGCATGAATCTGAAAACTTGAGTTCAGAAGCCTCAACTTAGATGGGAAAAAAGCCTCTTTATGGTCACTAACTTCTACTCGAAATTGAGCCTTTTCTTCCAGGTGAATGCAGGCAAACAAGCACACCAGGGTTAGCAGGAACTGTGTTTTCCCTAGCTAGAAACCACAGGTGTTTTCCAATTCTGTGACAGTGGCTGTAGACACCAGGAAATGTGCATCACTTCCTCACTGCTTCCAAAAGCAGGACTTAATTAGCCTTGCTGCTATTTAATGCATTATTTAATGTGTTAACTTAGAAGCATGTGTGTTACTTTTTAACTAAAACATTTTAAATAACAAAAAAGCACCAAATTGCCAGCTCATTGCTGCATAAATGACTTGAAAGCACCTAAATGTGCCCTGAAGGAAATCCTTATCTCCTATAGTCACAGGGTTGAGATTGCTGAAAATCAAACCCAGAATCTCATCCTATGCCAGAATTACAACACAAGTTGAACTCCCAGCTTTATAGGGTATCTCCTGTTAAAGTGAGGGCATTAGTTGGGAAGGAATGGGAGACTACCAGTTGGAATAGGAATGTGTAGGGAGACACTGATGAACCTGGGGACATTTAGGCCCTAAATTCTGATGAGTTGTCTTTGCCAGTAGAAGAGACCACTTCACCGCATCTGAGGGGATTAACCTAGCATTACCTGAGGAAACTGTAATGGCATCCCAGCCAATGCTGAGTCTCCTCAAGTCGCACTTCCACCACATTTCTTTGCCTCTAGACCTATAACTAGATCTCTAAAGGTGAGGTACAAAATGTGACTATAAGGAGATACATTGCACTCTGAAAGAACTACTTGAATTTTCTACTTTATACAGACAGAAATCCATGGAACATGCATGGGAATGTATTCTAAGGGTGTGGGATAAGGGTGGAAGGAACATAAAGTTGGATTAGGCTGAAGTTTTTGATATGGGCTTACTAAGCCAGGTGTGCATTTAATGTTGCAACTCAAAGAGTTAGAAAGCGATCTAACAGTTTGATTGACTGGCTGAAAAACAGACCAAAAGTTGGCCCACCATGAATGAGTTGCCTTGGTTTAATGCAGGGATTCAAAGCTTAGGGAGGTTGGAATGTTAGAGTGGGTTTGTCATTTAAGATCACTTACCCATCCTGGAAGAGTCCAAATGACATACCTTTTACCATGACTATGAGAAATAAATTTGTGAGAGGAGCCCTGGCAGCCTTGAAGAGCTCTGTTGTCACTCTTCTATATAGGACAGACATTACGGCCCACCATAAGGCCTTTACTGCAGGCACTGAATTGGGAAACCCAAATGCAATAGGAATAATTGGATCCCAGGGTGGTAGGGGCCAAGTTGTGGCACTCAGCCACCAAGGACAAGGTGGAAAAGTTACTGTAATGGGAAGCAGAGTTAAAGCAGCAATCAGAATAATCTGACTTACATAGACCTATGGCTTTGGATAGGAGGGCTACTAAATTCTGACTTGATCTGAATAAGCATAAAAGTTCTAGGTTGAGGTTTTATGCATGAGATCAGCAACAGGAGCCTGCAGTCACCAAGACTGACCTGGCTATAGCCATTACTGCATGCCCAGTCTGTCGGCAGCAGAGACGAACATTGAGTCCCCTTTATGGTACCATTCCCTGGTAGCAGATTGATTACATTGTACCACCTCCATTATATTCATATTGGAACAGACACTTATTCTGGACATCAGTTTGCCTTCTGTATGTGTAATGTTTCTGCCAAAACTAACATCCATGGACTTAAAGAATATCTTATCTGCCATTATGGTATTCCACACAGCATTTCTTCTGATCAAGGAACTTACTTCACAGCAAATGCAGTGCTGCAAAGGGCCTGTGCTCATGGAATTCACTGTTTTGACTGTGTTTACCAACCATCTTGAAGTAGTTGGCTTGATAGACTGGTGGACTAGTCTTTTAAGGACTCAATTACAACACCAGCTAAGTGGCAATACCTTTCAGGACTAGGGAAAGGTTTTCCAGAAGGCTGTATATGCTTTGAATCAGCTTCCAATATATGATGCTGTTTCTCCCATTGCCAGGATTCATGGGTCCAGCAATCAAGAAGTGGAAATGGAAGTGGCATCACTCACCATTACCCCTAGTAACTCAAGGGCAAAATATCTGCTTCCAGTTTCTATAACCTTGCTCTGCTGACATAGAGGTCTTAATTCCAAAAGGAGTATGCTTCCACCAAGAGACATAGTGATAACTTTTTGACCTGGAAGTTGAGACTCCTGCCCAGCCACTTTGGCTGTCTTATGCCTCTGAATCAACAGGCAAAGAAGGGAGGTATTGTGTTGGCTGAAGTGATTGATCCTGATTAGCAAAGGGAAATTGGACTACTACTCCACAATGCAATAAAGAAAGAATATGTCTGCAATACAGAAGATTCCTTAGGGTATCTCCGTTCTGTCATGCTCTGTGTTAAAGGTCTGTGGAAAACTACAACCCAACCCAGGCAGGACTATGAATGGCCAAGACCTTTCAGGAATGAAGATTTGGTTCACCCCACTAGTTAAAGAGCTCTGACTAGCTAGGGCTTGCTGAAGCCAAAGGAAATACAGAATAGGTAGTAAAAGGAAAAGGTAGTTGTAATTACCAACTACAACTCTCTTACCAGTTACAGAAATAAGGACTGTCTGTAATTGTCATGATTATTTCCACCTCATTTGGTATGATTTTTTTGGTGTGTATATATATACATATATTAAACAAATATTTTATTTCTTCTTATTCTCTTATAATGTAACATAAGATGTGTTGACTTCACGTCATATTATTTAAGTATTGCCAATTTCACATTATAGTATTTAAGTTATGAGATATCAAGAAGAATGAACATCACTCAGTGACGTTACCTCCTTTTCTGGAAAAGGGGTTAGTGCTTTCTCAGTTGTGCTGAAGACAGTTGTATCATATTAGAGGGAAGTATGACCTAATTATTGTCTTCATTTGTAGATTAAGTGTGGTATAAGGAGATGCCTATGGATGCCAAGTTTACAAGGGGTGGATTTGTGTTGAATAGTTTTATGTGTCAACTTGGCAAGGTCATGGGGTGCCCAGACATTTGGTCAAACATTCTGGGTTTATCTGTAAGGGCATTTCTGGATGAGATTAGTAGACTGAATGAAGCATATTGCCTTCCCTAGGGTGGATGGGTCCCATCCAATAAATTGAAAGCCTGAATAGAAGAAAAAGGCTGATCCTTCTAAGAATAAGAGAGAACTTACTGCCTTCAATCTGAAATACTGAAAGACTAAATTGCCTTCAGACTCAAACTGAAACATTGGCTCTTTCTAAGTCTACAGCTTGCAGGCATTTGGACTGGAGTTATTCCATCAACTCTCTTGGGTCTCCAGCTTGCTGACTGTAGATTTTTGATCTTGCCAGCCTCCATAATTGCATGAGCCAATTCCATATAATAAATCTCTTTACACACATACAACACACACACACACACACACACACACACACACACACACACACACACACCCTATTGGTCTCTTTCTCTGGAGAACCCCATCTAATACAGTATCTGTTTTCTTTTTTTTAATTTTTTTTTGAGATGGAGTTTTACTCTTTTTGCCCAGGCTGGAGTGCAGTGGCATGATCTCAGCTCACTGCAACTTCCACCTCACAGGTTCAAGCATACAGTATCTGTTTCCAAAGTATTCTACAATAGTTTAAAATAGTGTTTTTAGTATTACTTTACAATATTATTTTCTAGTATAAATAATTTAATAAAAATGTAATATTGCTACTTATTTTAAATTTAATTATTATTTTCTAACACAGTATCCTTAGTGCCTAGCACAATTCTTGCAACAGATAGGGTCTGAATAATTATTTGCTAAATTGAATTAACCTGAAATAGAGTCTACAAAGTTCCTCTAATAGATTGGTTTGGCATATAACTTTTAAGGACATTATTGTTATTGAATATAGTCTCTACCTTTTAAATAGCTTACTGTGTTCTAAATATTTCCTGTAGCTTTATAAATTTGGTTTTGTTTTATACTCCTTTTGATTTGTTGAGTAGGTATTTAAGAATTTTCATTTTTCTGTCATATACAAAATTATTCCTTCCCTTGCTTTTCACTTTCCATAGTTGATAGCCATTTTGCCAATCAATTATTTTTACTGTCTTAATATTTAAATTTCCACTGAACACCTACCTAATTTGTCACTCATAATGTCTTAAAACGTAACTGGTTATTCAGATCTCTATCTGCCTTAGTAAATTCTGGGCTGGAAATCTTGTGCTGGCTGTAAGTCACTTGAACCACTTTCATCAAAATCACCTAAAGTACTTACAGAAAATGCCATTTCCTGGGGCGCCACATTAGAACTATTGGTTGACAATTTTTCAGGGGATATGTACCAAGAATTTGCATGTTTAACAGGCTCTCTAAGGGATTACTAATGTTTGAGAGCCATTATCTTAATCAGTGTTCTCAATCTTTCTTTTTCCTCTACCAGTACCTAACCCAAACACAATGAAGTCTAAAAACTAAAAACTTTTGGAATTTGACATACCTAAGACAATCTCTTGATTCCACTGCCAAAACCTACTTACAACTAGGGAGGCTACTTTTATAGTTAAGTTTTTTAAAAATTGAGGAAAATATTATTTTTTTTGCATGTGAGTTACCTTCCTAATAAATGATTACTTCAATTCATAGCTTTGTTTCTGGTAAACTTCATCTTTTCAATATCTTCAGATATATTTTTTAGGATTTTATTTTCAGTTTTGTTCTCTTTCCCATAATGTGGCATACACGTCTGTGCACAAACATAATAAACATATCTTCTTCATTTAATATAAAATCTCAAAACATTTTAAAATGGATTGATAATGTTAGCCTCCAAATTATTAGTTTTATTCCTACATCTCTGCCAAGCTACTTAGAAAATTAAACTAAAATTTTATGTTCACATAGTTAAAATAGAATTTTCTAGTTAATTTTTAAAGTACTAATATTCATTGTCTGTTATATATTCCAGGCATTTACACTGTTTGCTACACATTTCCTGGAACTATGCCATATTGATGCCCTGTATCCTAATGTAGAAAACATGCATTTTGAAGTTCAACATGTAAAGAATACCTCAAGAAATAAAGAAGCAATTTTGTATACCTACAAACTTTCTAAGGGACTCACAGAAGAGAAAAATTATGGTACTGCATATAGAAATTATACCTATACATTCAAATACTATATATTCTCCTAAGACAAACTTTCATCTCTTCTTTACTTGGCTGTTAATCTAAGGAAATTTTCTCATTCTTTTGAGTGCTTATATTCTCTTAGATTGTATTTTCTATGTCAAGCTCATTGTATCTATATCTAGATATAGATATATAAATCTTTTTAAATTTTTATAAGCCAGTAACTATGTAAAAATACAGTGACAACTGAAAACCCTAGAAGTATTAGTTTCCTTAGAAAATGTAATTTATCTTATATTTGCAAGTTATATAATGAATTGAAAATTATATATTTTCTACACAATCTTTCAGTAGCAGGGTCCTTCCTCTGTTTTTCTTCAGGTTCTGGGTACTTGAAAATTAAATCTAAAATCTTAAATCTTAAAAGAGAATGTATTACCAAACCATATTTTTTTTTTTTTTTTGAGACAAAGTCTCACTCTGTCGCCCAGGCTGGAATGCAGTGGCACTATCTCTGCTCACTGCAACCTCCACCTCCCAAGCTCAAGTGATTCTTCTGCCTCAGCCTCCCGAGTAGCTGGGACTACAGGCGTGCACCACCATGCCCAGCTAGATATTCTTCAACTTGATTAGATACTTTCTATTTAAATCATTAAGTCTCACAGATTCAGAGAATTTTCAATTGGTCTGTACATACAAGTTTCAAAAATTATTTTAGCTATGGATATGACCCTTTGAGGGAAAAAAACCATCTTTGTTTTGCTATTTGAAATGGGAAATCAACTGGATTACTTATTTATATCAGATGTTTAAAATTTATGAGCCTCAATTTCATGATCTATGACATGGGAATAATTTTTTATATATGTAGAGTTGCAAAGATTCAATTAATTATCAAATGTGAGCTGTGTGGCACACTGCTTAGCAATTACTAACGTCTCAATAAATTTTGATGTTGCTTCTATTTCTAAAGCAATAAATACAGTAAGCTATTGGTGTACAGTAGAAAGCCATATGGCATTTATACAATAAAATTAAGCTCTAAAAACATGAGAATTATAATTGATCCTTTGAATTTGCATATAGATTACTCACCAACTGTTACATCTTCTGAGAAATTCCTGTCTCATTGATTTAGGTGGGTGAATGTTTAGCTGTAGTGTTATCCCTGTGACTAGCTATTATCTTCCCCTGCAAAACTCATATGCCTTTTGACCTTCTGTTAACCAACTATATTTGCAAATGGAATTTCAATATTATTATTTTCTAACTATCTCTTTTGTTCCTGATATCTCAGAGCTATATTGAGAGGTAACTGATATTCTAATTTGCCCTATGTGTCTTGGATAAGTAATTAAATCTAATAATTGGCAAGTTGTCATCCAGAATTTTAGAAAGCTTAATTCTGAGAATTATTGAGTAGTTCAGAAGTGCCTCTAGAAGGGAAGTTTAAATCTGTGACTAAAAGATTAATACTAGTTAAAAGAAGCATAAAAATGCCAGCAGTAACAATATTGAAGCCAAATTTAAAACAAATAATTCTAGGATTAAAAGCTGCAGAGGTGTCATCACTTCCACCATCAATTGTCTTGGATGCCAAGGAAATCACAACTCAAATTACGAGACAAATTTTGGTAAGAAACTTTGTTCTTATTTGTTCTTCAAATTAAAAAAAATACTTTTAGTGTAGATTTTTATTATGACCTTTGATCTAAATATATAATAATTAATATAATAATTAAAATATTTAAAATTAAAACCTAATTTCTAAACAAAGAAAATTAATTTTACTTCTTAAAACTCTTTTGGTTTGGTCTATTATAATCCTCGCAGCAAATCAGCTAACAAGCTAGGAGATAAAAATTAAACAGTTTAGTTTATAAAATAATTATTGCTATACTAACTTTATGATGAGGAAATAAATCTATTTTAAGTGGACATTAAAAATGAAAATCACTATGCACAATATTTGTATAATTATATATTTTTTATAGTTTTCAAAGCTTTTCTACTCATCATATGTAAGCCTCATAACTCTTCATGAAGTAATTAGGTCTTTATAGTAAAAGATTAAAAAAGGATTACTTCTACTCTTAATTTTACAGGTTCACAGAGGTTAAGTGATTTGTTAGGAAGCAGTAGGTTCAACACTAAACTCACATCTGTTGACTCAAAATTTGGAAAATTTTGGTTGCTTTATATAAGTGTTTTTGGTTTTGGGGTTTTGTTTGTTTGTTTGTTTGTTTAAGATGGAGTTTTGCTCTTGTCATCCAGGCTGGAGTGCAATGGCATGATCTCGGCTCACTGCAACCTCCGCCTCCTGGGTTTAAGCGATTCTCCTGTCTCAGTCTCCTGAGTAGCTGGGATTACAAGCGCCCACCACCACACCCGGCTAATTTTTTTTTGTATTTTTCGTAGAGGTGGGGGTTTCGCCATGTTGGCCAGGTTGGTCTCGAACTCCTGACCTCAGGTGATCCACCAACCTCGGGCTCCCAAAGTGCTGGGATTACAGGTGTGAGCAACCGCTCCCAGCTGCTTTACAGTGTTTTAAAAATGCAATGTGTTCAGTAAACTGACCTAGGTGCAGTGTGATATTTTCTTCAATAACAATTTTCTGTGTCCCTCACTCTTTCTTAACCTGTCTTCCATTTTTAATTCCTCTCTCCTTTAAGTTCCTCTACTGTCTCTGTGACTTCACTTGCCTAATTATCTATTTGAATCTCTTAGTCAGAAATTTTAACTGTTCTGTACTCTGAAGAAGCTCTTATTACCTAACTCTTTAGAGTTCATCTTACCACATTTCAATTATGGACCACCTCTCTACTAGCCTTCTAGTAGGCTTTGATTCTCCTAATGAAGTTTGAAAAATATTCGAAACAAGCTATTTTTATCCACTGCAAATTCATATATTCTGATTTTAGTTGAATATTTTACTGGATAATTGTGATTTTTTTCTTTTTTTAATTGATAATAGTTGTACATATTTTGGGGCTACATGTGATATTTTGATACTTGCATGCAATGTGTAATGATCAAATCAGGGTAGTTGGGATAGCCATCACCCCAAACATTTATCTTTACTTCATGTTGAAAACATTGCAATTCTTATCTTCTAGCTATTTTGAACTATACGACACATATTAACTATAGTCACCCTACTGAACTATCGTACACTAGACTATTTCTTCAATCTAACTGTATTTTTGTACGCATTAACCAACCTGTATTCATCTCCTTCCTCCTCCAAACCCTTCCTAACCTCTAGTAACCATCAATGAGCTCTTCACCTCCATGAGATCAACTCTTTTAGCTCAGGCATATGAGTGAGAACATGTGGTATTTGTCTTTCTGTGCCTGGTTTATTTCATTTAGCATAGTGATTCTTTATCCATGTTGCTACAAATGCAAGGATTTCATTTCTTTCTTTTTTGGCTGAATAATATTCCATTGTGTATATTTACCACATTTTCTTTATCCATTCATCTGTTAATGGACACTTAGGTTGATCCATATCTTGGCTATTGTGAATAGTGCTGCAATAAACGTGGGAATATAGACATCTCTTTGATATACTTATTTTCTTTCTTTTGGATAGATGCCCAGCAGTAGGACTGCTGGATCATATGATAGTGCTATTTTTAGTCTTTTGAGAACCCTCCATGCTATTTTTCATAGTGGCAATACTAATTTACATTCCCATCAACAGTGTATGTGCATTCCCCTTTCTCTATCCTCACCAGCATTTGTTAATTGTCTGTCTTTTGGATAAAAGCTATCTTAACTAGGTGAGATGATATCTCATTGTGGTTTTGATATATATTTCCTTAATGACTGGTGATGTTGAACATTTTTTCATATACCTGTTGGCTATATGTTTGTTTTGTTTTTTAATCTTTTATTTCACTTATGTTGTTCCCTCTGCTAAGAATTTAATTCCTCTTCCTCCATCTACCTCATCCATATAATTTTTATTTAACATTTTTACCTAGCTCAGATGTGAACTTCCCCAAGAAACTTCCCTGAATTTTTTTCCAGTGGAGCAATGTACTCATTTCTTGTTCTTAAAGGCCCCTTTTCACAACAACTATGATGTAGTTGCAATAATATATCCACATTGCCTATTTTTTGTTTATTTTTATTTTACTTTATTTTAGATTGAGGGGGTACATGTGCTTGCTTGTTACATAGGTATATTGCATACTGCTGTGAGTTGGGCTCCTAGTGTACCCAATAGCCAGATAGTGAACATTGTAACCAATAGGTAATTTTTAACCCTTGCCACCTCCTACCTTCCCCCTTTTGTCCCCAGTGACAGTTATTTCCATCTTTATGTCCATGTGTACCCATTGTTTAGCTCTCACTTATAAGTGAGAACATGCAGTATTTGGTTTTCTATTTCTGAGTTAGTTCATTTAGGATAATGGCCTCCAACTCCATCTATGTTGTGTAAAGGACATGATTTCATTCTTGTTTATGGCTATTAGTATTCCATGGTTTTCTTTATGCAGTCAACTATTGGTGGGTGTTTAGGTTGGTTCTATGACTTTGCTATTGTGAATAGTGCTGTGATGAACTAGGTACAGGTGTTATATATGTGTATGTATATATATATATATATATATATATATATATATATATATATATATATATATATATATATATAGTTCTTTTAGTTCTTTGAGAAATCTCCGTAAGGTTGAACTAATTTACATTCCCACCACCTGTTGGCTATTTGTATGTCTTCTTTTGAGAAACATCTATTCAGATGTTTTGCCAATGTTTTAATTGGGTTTATTTGGTGGGATTTTTTTGCTATTGAGTTGAGTTACTTAGATGTTTTGGTTATTATTTCTTTGTTATTATTTTGCTTAATTTGGTTGTCAGAAGGAGAGCTTGAAAATATTTCCTCCCCTTCTGTAGGCTGTCTCTTCACTTTGTTAATTTTTTTTTTTGCTATGCAGAAGCTTTTTAACATAATGTAATTATATAAGTGTATTTTTGCTTTTATTGCCTGCACATTTGAGGTTTTACCCAAAAAGTCTTTGCCCACATTAATATCCTAAAGCATTTCCCAATGTTTTCTTCAAGTAGTTTCATAGTTTCAGGTCTTACATTTAAGTCTTTAATTCATTTTGATTAGATTTTTATATATGGTAAGAAATATGAGTCTGGCTTCATTCTTCTATATATAGTTATCTATTTTTCCCAGCACTATTTATTGAAGAGACTGTCTTCTTGGTATCTTGTTGAAAATGAGTTGGCTGTAAATGCTTGGACTTATTTCTGGGTTCTCTGTTCTGTTCAATTTTTTGATGTGTCTGTATTTATGCCAGGACTCTGTTGTTTTGGTTACTATGGCTTTGTAGTATATTTTAAAGTCAGATAGCATGATGTTTCTAGGTTTGTTCTTTTTGTTCAGGGTTGCTTTGACTATTTGAAGTATTTTGTGGTTCCATATAAATTTTAGGATTTTTTTCCACTTCTGTGAAGAATGTCTGTTATTTTGATAGGGATTGTATTGAATCTATAGATTACATTGAATAGTATTGACATTTTAGCAGTATTTATTCTTCCAATCAATGAACACATTTATAGCAATATTTATTCTTCCAGTCCATAAATGGGATTTCTTCTTGTATTTTTTTCAGTTTGTTCACTATTGACGTATACAAATGTCACTGATTTTTATATTTTTGGTGGAGTCTTTAGGGTTTTCTAAGTATAATATGTCATCTGTAAAAAGGATATTTTGACTTCTTCCTTTCCAGTTTGGATGCCTTTTGTTTCTTTCTCTTGCTTAATTGCTCTGGCTAGGACATCCAGTACTATGTTGAATAAAAGTGGTGAAAGTGGGTGTCCCTGTTTTGTTCCAGAAGTTAGAGGAAAGACTTTCCATTTTTACTCCCATAGTATTATTTAGTTGTGGGTTTGTAATGTATGTCCTTTATTGTTTTGAGGTGTGTTCCTTCTACACCCAGTTTGTTGAGACGTTTTGTCATAAAGGAATGTTGAATTTTGTCAAATACTTTTTCGGCATCTATTGAAAAGATCACATGGTTTTTGTCCTTGATTCTGTTAATATGACATATCATATTTATTGATTTGCATATGTTTTATCATTCTGGCATCCCTGGGATGAATTCCGTGTAATCATGGTGAATGATCTTTTCAGTGTGTTGTTGTATTTGGTTTGCTAGTATTTGGTTGGGTTCTTAATTTATGTTTAACAGGAATATTGGCCTGTAGTTTTCTTTATTTGTTGTTTCATAGTCTGGTTTTGATATCAGGGTAATACTAGCCTCATAGAATGAGTTTGGAAGTGTTCCCTCCTCTGTAATTAATTGAAATAATTTGATTAGACTTGCTATTCATTCTTCTTTAAAAATATCTGGTATAATGCAGCAGTGAAGTCATCAGGTACTGGCTTTTCTTCTTTTTCTTTTTCTTTCTTTTTTTTTTGACAGGATCTTGTTCTGTTGCCTGGACTGGAGTGTGGTGGTGCAATCCCAGCCCACTGCTTACTTGACCTCCTAGCTCAAGTAATCCTCTTACCTCAGCCTCCCAAATAGCTGAGACCACAGGTACACACCACCACATCTGGCTAATTTTTATTTATTTACTGTTTTGCAGAGATGGGGGTCTCCCTATACTGTGGGGTTTTCTTTGAAGGGAGATTTTTTATTATTACTTCAATCTCATTATTCATTATAGGTCTATTCTTGTTTTCTATTTCTTCATGCTTCAATCTTGGTAAGTTGTATGTCTCCAGAAATTTCTTTCTTTCTTTTAAGTTTTCCAATTTGTTGGCATATAGTTGTTTACAATAGTCTCTAATGATCCTTTGTATTTCTGTGGTATCAATTGTTATGTCTCCTTTTTCATTTCTGATTTTATTTGGGTCTTCTCTCTTTTTAGTTGGTCTAGTAAAGATTTGTTTGTCTTTTGTATTTATTTTAGTTTCAACTTCATTTATTTCTGCTTTGATCTCTATTATTTCTTTTCTTCTACCAATTTTAGGTTTGGCTTGTTGTTTTTGCTTTCCTAGCTTTGAGAAGTACCACGTTAGGTTGTTGTTGTTTTTTTTTAAATGTTTCTACTTTTTTGTTGTAGGTGTTTATTGCTATAAACGTTTCTCTTAGCAATATGTTGCTGTATGTCATAGATTTTAGTATGTCATGTATTTTTTTCAAGAATTTTTAAATTTTTCTTTTTAATGTCGTTATTGACCCATTGATTGTTCAGGGGCATGTTGTTTATTTTCCATGTATTTATATATATAGTTTCCAAAAGTTCATTCTGTTATTGATTTCTAGTTTTATTCCATTGTGGAATAAAATATACTTCATAGGGTTTCGACATTTTTGAATTTATTGACACTTGTTTTGTGGCCTAATGTATTGTTTATCCTGGAGACTGTTTCATGTGATGATGAGAAGAATTTGTATTCTGCAGCAGTTGGATGAAATGTTCTGCAAATGTCAGTGAGGTCCAGGCAGTCTAGAGTGTAGTTTAACTTCAGTGTTTAATTGTTGATTTTCTGTTTGGATGATCTGGCCATTACTGAGAATGGAATGTTGAAGACCCCTACTAGTATTGTATTGCAGTCTATATTTCTCTTTATATCTATGAATTTTTGCTTTACATATTTGGATGGTCCACTGTTGGGTGAATATATATTTATAATTGTTATGTCCTCTTGCTGAATTGACCCCTTTATTATTATAGAATAACATTCTTTGTCTCTTTTTACAGTCTTTGACTTGAAGTCTATCTTATCTGATATAAACATAGCTACTCCTGCTCTTTTTTGGTTTTTATTTATCTGGAATATCTTCTTCCATCCCTTTACTTTTAGTCTAGTATGACTTTGTAGGTGAAGTGAGTTTCTAGTTAGCATCATACAGTTAGATCTTATTTTATTTCTTTTATTTTTTTTGAGGCAGAGTTTTGCTCTGTCACCCAGGCTGGAGTACAGTGGCTTGATCTCAGTTCACTGCAACCTCCACCTCCCAGGTTCAAGCGATTCTTCTGCCTCAGCCTCCCAAGTAGCTGGGATTACAGGCACCCGCCTGTACACCCAGCTAATTTTTGTATTTCTAATAGAGACAGGGTTTCACCATGTTGTCCATGCTGGTCTTGAACTCCTGTTTTTTTAAGTCTTGTTTTTTTAATCCATTTAGACACTCTTATGTCTTTTAATTGGAGAATTTAGGACATTTACATTCAATACTATTACTGATAAAGACTTACTGCTACCATTTTGTTACTTGTTATCTGGTTGTTTTGTAAGTGCTCTCTTTCTTCCTTTTTGATTAAGTAATTTTTTCTGGTAGTATGTTTTAATTCATTGCTTTATATTTTTAATATATATAATATATATACAATATTATATATATTATATATAATATATACATATTATATATTATATATATATAATATATAATATGTATATATTATATATAATATATATAATATATAATATATTATATATTATATAAATTTAAATATATATATTTTAATTTATGATTTTCATGAGGCTTATAAAATATTTTATAGCTATAACACTTTATTTTAAACAGATAACTACTTAGTTTTGACCATAGAGAGAAGAAAGTAACAAACAATGGAAAAACTGAAACACTCCGTACTTTAACTTCATTCCCCTGACATTTTGATTTTTTCTTGTCTCAATTTACACCTTCTTATATTGTCTATTTCTTTAAAGGTGTCTGTAGTTACTATTTTCATAAACGTGTCTTTTTTTTTTTCTTTTTTTTTTGAGATTGAGTCTCACTCTCTTGCCCAGGCTGCAGTGCAGTGGCGCGATCTTGGCTCACTGCAAGCTCTGCCTCCTGGGTTCGCACCATTCTCCTGCCTCAGCCTCCTGAGTAGCTGGGACTACAGGCGCCCACCACCACGCCCAGCTAATAAATGTGTCTTATAGTCTTTATGTTAGAGATATGAGTAGATTACACATCACATTTATAGTATTAGAGTATTCTGAATTTATGTACTTACATTTAAACTTCAAGTTTGTTTGTTTGTTTGTCTTTTGCATGTTAGCATTCTTTCCTTTCAGATTTAAGAGCTCCCTTTAACATTTCTTATAATATGGGTCTAGTAATGATGCATTTCCTCAGCTTTTGTTTGTCTAGAAAAGACTTTTTCTCTCCTTCATGTTTGAAGGAAAGTTTTGCTAGGTATAGTATTCTCAGTTTGCAGTTTTTTTCCCTTCAGCACTTTGAATCTGTTATTCCACTCCCTCCTGATCTATATGGTTTTTGTTGAGAAGTCTGTTGCCAGATGAATTGGAGCTGCTTTATATGTTATTTGCTTCTTTTCTCTTGCTGCTTTTAGGATTCTCTTTGTCCTTGACCTTTGAGAGTTTGATTATTATATCATTTGGCTTGTCTTATTTGGGATGAATATATTTGGTGTTCTGTGACCTCTTGTACCTAGATATTAACATATTTCTCTAGGTTTAGTAGGTTTTCCATTTTATTCCTTTAAATAGGCATTCTACTCTTTGCTCTTTCTCAATTCTCTCTTGAACACCAGTGAATCTTAGATTTGCTCTTCCACGGTGTATCTCTCTCTCTCTCTCTCTCTCTCTATACATATATATATATATATATATATATATATATGTATAAAATCTTTCAGGCTGTCTTTATTCCTTTCATTCTGTTTTTTTTTCCCTCTGACTATATCTTGGCTTACTGCAACCTCCGCTTCTTGGATTCAAGTATTTCTTGTGCCTCAGCTACCCAAGTAGCTGGAATTACAGGCATGTGCCACCGTGCCTGTCTAATTTTTTTAGTGAGACGGGGTTTCACCATGTTGGCCAGGCTGGTCTCTAACTCCTAGGCTGAAGTGATCTGCCTGCCTCAGTCTCCCAGAGTGCTGGTATTATAGGCATGAGCCACTGTGCCTGGCTAATCTCACTGATTCTTTCTTCTGCTTGATCTATTTCTTTTTTGGAGAGCCTCTGTAGTTTTTTTAAGTTCAACAAATGTATTTCTCAGTTCCAGGGTTTCAAATCTGTTTGCCATTTGATTTTTAAAAACTTTCATCTGTTTTTTTTTTTTTTTGAGACAGAGTCTGGCTCTGTCACCCAGGCTGGAGTGCAGTGGTGTGATCTCAGCTCACTGCAACCTCTGCCTCCTGGGTTCAAGAAATTCTGCTGCCTCAGCCTCCTGTGTAGCTGGGATTACAGGTGTGCACCACCATGCCTGGCTAATTTTTGTATTTTTAGTAGAAATGGAGTTTCACTGTGTTGGCCATGCTGGTCTCAAACTCCTGACCTCAAATGATCTGCCCACCTTGGCCTTCCAAAGTATTGGGATTACAGGCGTGAGCCAATGTGCCCGGCCAAACTTTAATCTCTTTATTAAATTTCTCTGATAAATTTATCAGTTGCTTTTTCTGTGCTGTTTTAGAGTTCATGAATTTTCTTAAAACTGCTATTTTGAATTCTTGATCTTAGAGCTCACGTATCACCATCTCACCACGATGTTGATCACCAGCTCCTTGCTTTGTTCATTTGGGGAGATCATAGTTTCCTGTTTGCTCTTGTTCCTTGTGGATATATATCTATGTTTTTGCAATGAAGGATCAGTTTATCTTCAGTGTCTCGCTTGTTGGACTTTCTAGGTTGTATGTTTGCTTAGAAGTTCTTTGCAATTGTCTGTGATTCCCCTTAATCCTAGATTGCTGCCTCATTTTCAGCACTAGATGGCACCTTAAGCCCAGAATTTCCTCAGCTCTGGCAAATGTTTGCAGTACTACACATCTCAGATGGTAGGGTTCTTAGAGGGGATACCTCAGCTGTGTGGAAAGGCTGGCTAGGGGTTTATACCCAGATGACCTGTGGCATCTGCTTCCTCTAGCATGGTGCTGCTGTACATCCACACTGATTTGGTGTCTCCTTCGACTGAAATGAGGAGTAGTTTTACAGGCTGGAGTTTCTAATTCCACTCCCCTTTTTGTCTCTAGCTGCCCTCAGGCGGTTTTCTCCCTCCAGGCACTAGTGGTGCTTCCTGTGGGTTTAGGCAGGAATGATTTTTCTGCAAGGGAACCCAGGATGGTGGGGAAGCTGGCTATCCACCTCAATCTCACTTTTTCCAGAGTAGAACAAATGAGATTGGGAGGAATTTTCTGTGCATGATGCCTGGCAGATTGGGGCACGGACATTGCAGATAGAGAACTTTCTTTCTTTTTATAGTCTGCTCAGAGTTTTTCACTTCTCTGTCTCCCAACTATCATTTCAGCCTCAGATTTGGCTTCTAAAATGTTGCTGGTGTTAATCTGTGCTCCAGATATTTGCTTTTGGTTCTCTGTGGGGAGAGCAAAGGCAGACTGCTTCTACTCTGCCATTTTGTTGATATCCAGAATTGTATTTTTTTTTTTTTAGTATATACTTTAAGTTCTGGGATACACGTGCAGAACGTGCAGGTTTGTTACATAGGTTTACATGTGCCATGGTGGTTTGCTGCACCCATCAACCCGTCATCTAGGTTTTAAGTCCCGCATGCATTAGATATTTGTCCTAATGCTATCCCTCCCTTTGCCTCCCACCCCCTCCCCCCGCTGACAGGCCATGGTATGTGATGAGAATTGTATTTTTTTCTTTTTATTTATTATTTAGCTTCTTTTACGATAACTCTTTTGAAACAGTTTCACTCTTCCTGTACTCTCAATCACTTCACTTTCTACAGATAATCTGCCTCCTACTTTTTAACAAATTTGAGGTCATCTTGATGAGTTCTTGAACCTCCCCTCCTTCAAAATTTTGTTTTGAATATTTCTGTTTTTCTTCCATCTCTCTTCCATCTTATCTCAGAGGAAGAGACTGACTTTCAGACAGAAGGTTAACTATTCTACCTTTTAAAAAAATCTCCACTAAGTTATTATTACTTCTCAGTTCCCTTTATTCTCTTTTGCATCTTTAATATTTTCGTCACAGGCTTTTCCTTTTTCTAAGAGTATGCTTAGATTTCTCCCCTAAAATTCTGCCTGTTTACTCTACTTTTCAAACTATTATTTCATTTTCTTTTTACTGCAAACTTATCAAAAGTAACCCATGCTTGCTTCTTTCATTTCTCATGTTTAAACTGAGTCTTATTGTCATCACTCTCCCCAAAGTTTTCTCTTAAATACCAACTAATTATAAAATCCTTTGTCCTTCTTTTCACTTCTGATCTTCCATGATCTCTCTATGGCACTTGACACTACCCTTGTTTTCTCTTTTCTTAATTCTGCCCTCTCTTGGCTATGTGGAATTATTCTCTCCTGGATATTTTCATTCTCCTACCTGTTTGATTATTTCTTCTGTCCCTTCTTCACTAGTACTTTTTCTTTTCTTTTTTTTTCTTTTTTTTGAAACAAGGTCTCACTGTGTTGCCCAGCCTGGTTTTTAACAAATTCCTGGGCTCAAGCATTCCACCCGCCTCTTCCTCCCAAAGTGCTGGGATTACAGGCATGAACCACCGCACCCAGCCATCATCATTACTTTTTCTTATTCCACTTACTAAATATAAAAGTTTCTAAGATTTTTGCCCTTGTTTCTTTTCTTTCTAAAATCTGCACTTGGTGATCTCATCTTTTCTCACAGCGTCCATCATCATTTCTGTTCAACTCTGAATCTATATATTTTTCTCCATATTTCTCCTACATATCTTAATCTATGTTTAAAAGCCAAAGTTAAATTTATCATCTTCTAAAAAAAACTCTTATCTCTTCACCTTTAAGTCTCCCAGTGACTCACCAAAGTCATATATGGATCATTCCTCTTAATCACCTGTCATTAGGACTATGCAGTAAGTTCTCTCTCTCTCTCAATCTATTTATATACACTTCTACCAGATTGTCTCCTAATGCATAGTTTTTATTATGTAGTTTGCCTACTCAGAAACTTTTAATGATTTATTACAAAGTAAAGTTGAACTCCTTTGTCTAGTGTAAAAAGTCCTCTGTAATTCTCAAAATATATTTTAGAATTACCTGCATTAGAATTGCCTGAGATACAGGGTACCATACTAGATTGTCAAGGATCTTCTGTGGCTCAGGGATTTGCCTTCTTAACCAGTTTTTACGTGATTGTAAAGCTTATTGGCTTCTGCTTCATGATTTTCCTTTGTTTTCTACACCTCCCTTACATAATATCACTCGGTTTCACGTAATCTACATTTCTGCAATTTCAATCTTGTAAATTAAATTACTTGTCATTACTACATTGAATTACTTGCCATTTCATCATATTGACCTGATTGTGTACCATGCTTTCAAATGTACCTGCTCTAACTGTTTCCTCTGTGGAATACCCCCTCTTCTAGGCTGTTTTATCTATCAGGATTAATTTCAATACTCCATCCTATTCAAGCTTTTCTTGGCCTGAGCTGGAAGTGAGTTTCCCTTCCTCTGAGTATTTTATGGCTGTTTTATGGGACTTTTCTTAATTATTATAATCAGTTGCTTACAACAAGCCTTTTGTTTTTTTAACCATTAAGACTGTAAGCTCCTTGAGTTCTGTTATCATGTGAGGTTTACATTTTTGTATCCCCCATAGATATATAAACGTAAGCTTAGAGGCCTGGAACATAGATGATAGTAGATATTCAATAACTTTCTTAAAATAATAGACTAATTGGTAATTGATCTGTGTACCAAATAGATAGATGGGTGAATATATGGTAATCTTATTCTACCTCATAAAATCTTACTCATTTTTCCTATAGTGAAAAGTAAAAAAAAATCTGGAGTTGCTTGCTATTATGAGTTGAAGGGATTATATTTCAGGGAAACTCACTAAGACTTTCCATAAAAAGTTAAGATTAAAAATGCTGATTTCTCTATCTAGTTCAGGCAAAGAGGTGAAATAAGAATTTTCTAGGTATATTTGCAGTCCTGAAGTTCTATTCAAGACCAAGCATCTAAAGGACTTCTACATTCCTGTTTTACATATTATTTCTTGGGTATCCCGAAGTTTAGTTTATTAAAAATTAAGGCATGATTTTAAATAGCTATTCATATTATTTATTTTTAAAATGTAATTTACCCCTCAGGCAGTATTTTCTCTTAGGCTCCAGCAGTTTCTATATATGTACTCTCTTTAGGGGCAAGCAATTTTCTGATGACCCATTCTGTGTACCAGTTTATCTGTTGGGGAATTAAAGTAGGAGATAGCAGAGTAGTACTCTTTGGCATCATTTAAAAGTATATTACCACATAGCAATGAACAATGCTGTTTTCCCATACCTTTTTAATGGGAAAGTGTTTGTAGAGTCTATCTCTGGTGGATTTTCTATTACTTTTCGGTATTATGTTGAGAAATCTGACCTATTTAGCATAATTTTTTTCATTGAAAAGTGATTTCAAGAACATAAGATCTGTGATAAAGTAACAAATACTCAGAATAAATTATGTTCTTTCAAATACAATATTTCTTTTATTTCTTCTTGTATATTCTTTCCTTGTTGGAGGAAACTGATTTGTTCAAAGGAATTAGTTAACCCTTGAGTTCCATATGTCTATGGAAGGAGATAGAATATTGCCAACATGTGGTTTAAATAAAAATTATGGTATTTGTGTATATATATATATATTTTTTTTTTTTCAATGACAGCAAAACCAAAGGAGTACCCCTGAGATGGAAAGACAGAGAGCTGTGTACCATCTAGCCACTAGGCTTGTTCAAACTGCTCGAAACTCTCAATTGGATCCAGACAGTTTACGAATATATTTAAGTAACCTCAAGAAGAAGTACAAAGAAGATTTTCCCAGGACTGAACAAGTTCCAGAAAAGACTGAAGAATAATCACAATTCTAATGTAATAATATATCTTAATTCAAGGAACCTAGAATTTATTTTTCTCCTTAGAGATAAGGAAAATAACATTTGCCAAATTTCATATTTTAATTGAAAATTACATTATATTAACATCACAATTGTCATCTATATATTCTATATGAAAAATATTTATTATAACTTAACAAATGAGAACTACTTAAAGGAATGGTTTTTATGTTAGGAGAAAATACAATACACCACTTTTTTCTCACAAAAATTCACATTATTAAGACCTAAGTTCATTTATACTTACAAGTTATAGTTTAAAATATTATTGTAAATACCCTAGTTTAATAAACACCTTTCTTTTTAGGTCTGGAAACTTTTTTGAGCTTTTCTTTTACATTCTATTCTGAAGTAATAATGCCCTATAACTCAACAATTTATTAATCAGTACCCCCACTTCCAACACTGGAGGGTTCTGAAGTTCATCAGAGTAATTTTGGAATCACGCTGCTAAGTGAGTAATCTCAGCATAAAGGCCTAACATAGACAAGTTATTCTTTTCTTGGGCAACTAAGTGTCTGGAATTCAAGCTATACATTTGAAACATTTATTTAGTAAGCTACAGTATTCATAATAATTTGACCCACCAATATTATTCACAGACCACTTAGGGCCATATTTTATTCTATAACATTTAATATTAATGTTTGTTGACTTTATTAAACACTCAGCATTCTAAGTAAATATTAGTAGCCAAGTATATTGAAAAAGTTATAATTTAAATGGCACACATATTATTTTGGAAAAGTAAATATAAATTATTTTTTGTTTTACATTCAATTCAATATATATTAAATGTCTTGTTAGATTACTTATATTCCTTATTGTCATGTTTTAGAAAAAATATCACAATATTTATATTTGACTATTAGCTATGTTTTAATTCACAGCCTCTGAAATGAATTACATTTTGTGTGGTCATTTCTTTTTCTTTATATTTTTTCTTTTTGAGACAGAGTCTCGCTCTTGTTCCCCAGACTGGAGTGCAATGGCGTGATATCGACTCCCTGCAACCTCTACTTCCCAGCTTCAAGCGATTCTACTGCCTTAGCCTCCTGAGTCGCTGGGACTACAAGCGCCCACCACCACGCCTGGCTAATTTTTGTATTTTTGGTAGAGACGGGGTTTCATAATGTTGGCCAGGCTAGTCTCGAACTCCTGACCTCAGGTGATCCGCCTGCCTCGGCCTCCCAAAGTGCTGGGATTACAGATGTGAGCCACTGTGCCTGGCCTTATGTGGTCATTTCTAAAGGCAGTTAGGTAATTTAGGCTTGTGGCAAATTTCAAGAAGACACTGAGGAGGAAAAGGGCATGGCAGATTGTTTGGGGTGGCAGGAAAAAAAGAGAGGAAAGCAATAAAAGGTAGAAAGGGAGTAGGCAGTGGGGAAAAAAACAGGCAAGCAGAGACGAGTGCAACATATCAAATATGCTGAATATCATTTCATCAAATACATTAACTTCTTTTTAGATGTAACCTCAATGTTAGATTCCACCCGACTTTTAAGAAATTTTTCATCAATTAAAGCTTTTGATGCAAAAACTGCAGCCAAATGATTAATGTCTTTTATTTTAGAATTGAGATACTGATATAAAAACAGGTTTATATCTTCTTAAAATTAAATTACTTTTTCTTATACCATTTTGTGTGTAGCAGAAACATACAAAAAACCAAATCAAATAAAGATATAATTATTATGTCATGGTACTACAGAATGAAGGTGAATACTAGGGAGATAATCCATTTCTTAATTTTAAGATCTATTTGCTCTACTCTTTTGTTCCTCTTTGCCTTTGCCTTTTTCTAATATTATAGATCATTATCTCATAATCCAGTCTTTCAAGGTAAATGCTCATAATGTGTTAGCAAACTCCTTTAATTTCCACCACAAAGCCATTATTTTAGCCTGTTCCACCTTTCTCCTCATAGAATAAAATCCTACATAAGATAGTCTTTTTCAAGTTTAGGGGTAAAATATGGGGGGGTGGGGATGGAGAAGAAACACAGCTTATTCTCATGCCTAGGAAGTAATGCATTTATTTTTACATTTACATTCAATAAAATTAATTTTTTTGGTGTACAGTCCTGTGAATTTTAGTACATTTATGGATTCACATAACCACCAGCAAAATCAGGATAGAGAACCCTCCCATCATTCCAAAAGACTTCCTTAGTGCTGTTCCTTTGTAGTCAAATCTTTCCCTGACCCTTAACTTTAACCCAGCAATCACAGGCCTGTTTTCTTTCCCTATAGTTTTATTTTTTCCCAGAATGTCCAACAAATGGAATCCATATAGCATGTAACCTTTTGAGACTGGCTTCTTTTGCATAATGCTTTTGAAATGTATACATGTTGCTGTGCCTTTTTATTGCTGACAAGTATTTCATTGTTTATATGTGCCAGAGTTTGTTGTCCTTTCATTCACTGAGGGACATTTGGGTTTTTAGTTCTTAGCGATTATGAATAAAGCTACCATAAACCTTCCTATACAAGGTTTTTTGGGAGCATAAGTTTTCATTTATCTAGATTAAATAGGAGTAAAATAGCTGTGTCATACGTTAAGTGTATGTTTTATTTCATAAGAAGCTGCCAGACTTTTCCAGAGTGACTATATCACTTTTCATTCTCATCAGCTATGTGTGAGTTCCAGTTGCTCCTCATGTTCACTAGTACTTAGTATTGTCAGCTTTCTTTTCTTTTTTCAGTTGAGCCATTTTAATAGGTGTGCAGTGAGTAATGCTTTTTAAACAAATTTTAAAGCTATTCTGATAATTTTTTTAACCAGAAGTGATGTTTTATTTCTTTTTTCTATTTTTAACTGCTTTTAGCCTCTCTGATAGCACATTTTAAAATCTGTTCCTTCAAGCAAAAGTTTTAGAGTAAGTATTACTTTTAGAAAGCTATAAAACAAATCTAATTCAGTAAATATTTTCTATGGACCAGGCAACATATTAGGTGTTAGAGGTACAAGAGATAGGGCATTTGACTTGAGAACCTTGGGTGTAATAAAGAGAAAAAAGCACATATATTAGGATTGGAGCATCATGTGATAAGTGCCATAATAGAGGAATGTTTAAGGCAATGGAACCAACCGTATGTAACCTTTGTCGGTCAAAGGGAATTTAGAGGATAAAATATATTGGGTTTTAAGGAAGGAAAAGGCATTTTAGATAGATCAGCATATGTGTAAGTAAAGATATGTGAAACAGTGAGCAGCTTAGTTTAACTAGAGGATACAGTGCATATGAGAGAGTGAAGCTAGGTGCTTTCTATCAGTTTCTCCTATAAACCACTGTAGAGTTTTAAGGCATGTTTGCCCTTGGGGGATTGGCAAGGGATGGTGGTAGTAGTAATGGTGGTATAACATAATTAGATTTGCATCTTAATAAGATCATCTGGGTGTTAGCATGAATGATTTTGAAATGGGCAGTTGAAACCAGAGTCAAGGAGACCAAATAGTTTAAGAGACTATTTTAGTAGAGTTGATGAGGGTTAAAGGTAGAAATGATGGGAACAGGACAGATGCGTGTGGGAGGAGAGAAGAGTTGAGTGGGCAGAGTGGCTGATGAGGGAGAGAAGACATTGATTTGAAAGATATCATGTCTTTTGAGGGAATATAGTTGGAGCTGGAGGTCATTATCCTCAGCAAATTAATGCAGGAACAGAAAACCAAACACCGCATGTTCTCACTTATAGTGGGAGCTAAATGATGAGAACACATGGACACATGGAGGGGAACAACACACACCAGGGCCTGGCAGAGGGTGGAGATGGAAGAGGGAGAGCATCAGGAAGAACAGCTAATGGATGCTGGTCTTAATACCTAGGTGATGGGATGACCTGTGCAGCAAACCACCATGGCACACATTTACCTGTGTAACAAACCTGCACATCTTGGACATGTACCCCTGAACTTAAAAAAAAAAGACAAAAAATGTTTTAAATGTGAAAACAACAAAAAAGATATGTTCGAGTGCTTACCCTCAGTACCTCAGAATGTGATGTTGTTTGGAAATAAGATTACTGCAAATGTAATCAGATAAGATATGACAGATGTCTTTATAAGACCACATGAAGACAGAGGGGAACACCATATGAAGACAAAGGATTGAAGTAGTGCAGCTACAAGCCAAGGAAGGGAAACCACCAGAAGCTAGAATGAGGTAAGGAAGAATTCTTGTAAAAGCTTCAAAGAGAGGAGGGCCCTGGTGACACCTTGATTTTGGACTCATGGGATTCACAACTGTGAGATGAGAAAGTACGCAGTGTGTGGCACTTTGTTATGGCAACTCTAGGAAACTAATACAGAAGGGAAGAGTTCAGTAAGATTCTGGGTGGTGATGGATTTATCATGTTGAGAAATATGGAAGTAATCAGAATTCCAGTAGGAAGAAGTTCCTGAAACTTAGATGCTGCTTATTTCCCACCCTTTAGAATAGGTATGAGCCACAGTCAATAAAAGTGAAGACTAGACCAAATTTGTTAATCTTTCTTAGAGTTGAAGACATATGAAGAGAATGATGGAAGAAAAGGATGAAAATTAGAGAATAAATGTCAAAAGATTTGCTGAGGTATTTGGCCAGACAAATCACTTCATCTGGATCACCAATCTAGTGTTTCTTTATGTGCTAGACTAAAGGTAGCTTTTAGGCTTTCTTTATATTAACTTATTTTTAACCAAAATATATAACTATTTACATGTTTCTAGTAAAGGAAATATTCATATGAATAGCCTGTCTATAATATATACTTCTATATTTATGAGCTTAAAATATGCTGAGTTATAATTAAACATTTTAATAAAGTGTATAAGTAAGCATTTCTATAATTCAATCCTATAATGTATTTTTACTTCACCTAAATGAAAGTAGAGGGAAAGAAAAAGCAAGTAATCTGGTTGGATTGCTCCATGTCTTTGCTACTTTACTATTTACATTCTGTTCTTTAGACACTGTAATAATAATATTCACACAGTTTATGTTAGTACAGAACCAGAGTGAACACTCTTTCTATAAATTGTCACACTTTGATAGTACTCAGACTGTGAGTGGACAGTGGAAACTGCTACTGTCTGCCATAATTTACTAAGACAGGCCCTAAAATATATAGTGATAAGGTGGGAACAGGTGCTCATTGTCAAAAACTGTGAAGAGTCTGACATTTTTACCCTAATTGCAAGCAAGCAGTTTAGCCTGCCATAGCTTCATGCTTACTGTCAGAAGACAAGAGACTCCTGGGTTAGAAACAAAGGACTTTATTACTAATGGCATTAGCAAGTAGCATAAGATTGATGCTTGTGTCGATTCCACTTAGATCCACCCTCCAAGATATGGAGTGGTCCAAGTAGATGTGGACACAGTAGATTTGTGTCACAGCTGAGGAGCTCTGAGCTTGGGAAATTCCAATCTTTTATAATGAGTTTCCAGCAAACTTGCTCAACCTTTGCCTGAGAAACACATTGCTTTTTTATACTAGACAATAAACAAACCTGCTCTCTGCTCCAAAGGAAGACACTATCTCTATCTCCCAAACTGCTCGCTATACAAACATTCTTGAAAAGCTAGCCCATAATAAATGGAAATTAGTGCCTCTGCTCCTGACAGGAAAAACACGAGAGAGATCCATAGAGAACTGTCTTCCAAGTCTCATGTTTGCATATAGTTATAGAGAAAAAAGTCTAGTACTTAGAAAATAGCCAAAAAATTGTCTGAGAAAACTCTACTTTTTAAGATAAGTTTCGTCGTGATGAAAGAACATGCAGATTGAACTGATATTTTCATTTTGATGTAATTTGGATGAAAATAGTTCATTTCACTTTGTGTAAAATGCATATAATTTATTCCATTGTATAGAAGTAATGGGCAGAGTCATGTATTGATTAAAGTGATCCAATTAAGATGTTGTGTGAAAATATATTTTCTAAATGAATGTTTAATGCAATAAAAACTTACATGAAGTGAATTTTTATTAACTTCTAAGCCATACATTGGTAAGCATTGTTAAGGAACTTAGGACACTGACGTATGTTAGATTTCTAAATTCAGATAGTTTTGTAGACGAGCAGGAATTAGAAGTGAAAATATTCCATCTGGGAGCATATTGTTGGTTAATAGTTGATTCCTGATGGTTAGTCTGCAAAGATGTAATAGTTCACATGGATCTTTGTATCTTGTTGAAGGAATGTAATCAAACCAATTTGAAATAATTGGATGTCTTCCTAAACTCAGCTGTGTCTGAAGAAAAGCAAAATATTTTACTTTTGTAATGTTTTGTAATTTGGATTAGTCCAAATTATTAAAACTTATTTTTAATTTAAATTTAGAAAATAGACCATAAATTTATAAAACCCTTATAACTTTTTTCCAAAGCATTTTTACTTGAGGCAAGTATTTTATTCCCATTTTTTTCCACAGGGATAAACTTCAAATAATCTATATGTCTAAGGACACAAGGCAACAGTTTTTTTTTTTATTATTATACTTTAAGTTTTAGGGTACATGTGCACAATGTGCAGGTTAGTTACATATGTATACATGTGCCATGCTGGTGTGCTGCACCCATTAACTCGTCATTTAGCATTAGGTATATCTCCTAAAGCTATCCCTCCCCTCTCCCCCTACCCCACAACAGTACCTAGAGTGTGATGTTCCCCTTCCTGTGTCCATGTGTTCTCATTGTTCAGTTCCCACCTATGAGTGACAATATGCGGTGTTTGGTTTTTTGTTCTTGCGATAGTTTACTGAGAATGATGATTTCCAATTTCATCCATGTCCCTACAAAGGGCATGAACTCATCCTTTTTTATGGCTGCATAGTATTCCATGGTGTATATGTGCCACATTTTCTTAATCCAGTCTATCATTGTTGGACATTTGGGTTGGTTCCAAGTCTTTGCTATTGTGAATAGTGCTGCAATAAACATATGTGTGCATGTGTCTTTATAGCAGCATGATTTATAGTCCT
This sequence comes from Homo sapiens, assembly GCF_000001405.40. Lineage (NCBI taxonomy): Eukaryota > Metazoa > Chordata > Mammalia > Primates > Hominidae > Homo > Homo sapiens. The sequence continues at coordinate 75,919,888 of NC_000001.11, forward strand.
TTGGGTATATACCCAGTAATGGGATGGCTGGGTCAAATGGTATTTCTAGATCTAGATCCGAACAAGTTTTTAATTTTAGTTGGATTGTACTTTTATTTTATCAACTTCTTCCTGAAGAGTAGTAACGGTCAACTTAGCCATATAGAATTATCTGGGAGACTGTAAAAAATACCAGTGCTCAGGCCCTACTCCACAAATTCTGATTCAACTGGTCTGGGGTTGGACACAGACAACCTAAGTCCTAAAAGTTTCCCAGGTGATATCAACCATTGTAGAGTAAAGCTTCATACACAAGAAGGCCTGACACAGGCCTGTCCAAATGAAAAGATGTCTTTTAAAGGTCTAGAAAGGCATCTTTTAAAATATTTAATCTTACGGATCAAATGTTAATAGATTGACTTAGGAGGAAAAAACATTGCTGTATTACAGAAATATTCTCCACTAGAACATATACTCCACAGGCTACATGATACTATTGTTTATCTATTACTTGTATAATGCATTCATTATTCAATTATTTAACTATTAAAGAGTATATGCTTAGCATTGTGATAGGTGCTTGGGATAATTTGCTAGGGTAGGTAAAATAGACACATCCTCTGTGCTTACAAGACTCACGGTGTAGAGGTAGAAATATCTAAACATATATTTACAATAAAATATATGTGCTGCGATAGGGAAAACTACTGGGAAGTGTGGAAATGCAGAACAGAGGTATTTAAAGTGTTCTTTAAGCAGTTTTAATGCTATTCTTTATCTTCCTGCTCAATGCTATTTTACTTTATTAAACTGCAATTGATTGGAACCCAGCTATAAATTTTTTGCCACTTAGGCAGATGATTTTGGTCAACTAACTCACTCTGTCCTAGTGCTTTTCTTTTCTTTTCTTTTCTTTTCTTTTTTTGGAGACGGAGTCCCGCTCTTTCGCCCAGGCCAGAGTGCAGTGGTGCGATCTCTGCTCACTGCAAGCTCCGCCTCCTGGGTTCATGCCATTCTCCTGCCTCAGCCTCCCGAGTAGCTGGGACTACAGGCGCCCGCCACCATGCCCAGCTAAATTTTTGTATTTTTAGTAGAGACGGGGTTTCACCTTGTTAGCCAGGATGGTCTCGATCTCCTGACCTCGTGATCCGCCCGCCTCGGCCTCCCAAAGTGCTGGGATTACAGGCGTGAGCCACTGCGCCCGGCCTGTCCTAGTGCTTTTCTACTAGTGTTGTATCTCAGGAATAGCATTCATGGAACTGGTTGAGAATTGATATGTTCTGTAACAATTATGCAGAATTAATACTGGACCAAGGACAAGCAAGTTTCTGAAAATGCAAAAAAAAAATTTGTTTTAAAAATGGGCTGCCAAAATAATTTGATAAATTTGCTTTGCTTATAGTTGGCTCAGACATTCATATTCACTGCTGAGGCACTGAAGAAAAAAAAACAGTGGAGTTATATCTCTTATGAGTTTATTTCTGAAGTCACACCCTTAAAGATTAGGGGAACTACTGGATTCCTTGTTAATTTGATTGGTTTAAATTTATAGGGGTAGCTTTCTCTCTATTAAACGGACTTCTTTCTTGCTACTAATGGGCATGATTCAATTTGATGATGACACTTGCAGTTCATTTTGACAGGGTACCCTGTATGCTGTTAATTGTTTTCTCTAAATTTGATTTATTCCAGAAACTTTGTAAAGAAGGTCTCCACATTTCTGAGGGATAGATATTTTCACTTGAACAAATATTTTAAGCCTTTATTTATATTTTTATAATGCTTGACGTTGCTTTGAGAACTTGAATGGAAAAAATCTGTTTTTTGACATATGATTGTATTTGTGGGGAGAAATGTAACCCTTATTTTGAAATATTCTGTTGGAAAGGAAGTCTGTTAAATTTTTTGATTTTGTTTTTAAAGGACAGAGACATCTTAAACAGTTTTAAAAATATAATTAGGATATAATATATATCTACTTAATACTAAAATGAACTATACATATAACTTAAAATTCTTTCATATTTCTAAAAACATAAGAAGTAAAGGACTGTTTGAGATTTTCCCTATTATTTTTATTAATAGGCATATACTCAATGATCTGTCACTGGACATATTCTATAAATTAAAAATTAACTGTATTCTTTCCTTTACAGTTGAATCTTAAGATTCACTAATATTTGAGCCCATTTTTTTTAAAGTAGTTTTCTTACCTTTATTTCCTTGACTGAAATGACAGAAAGCACTCTGGAACATAGTACCAAACATGTTTTGGCATCTTCATGGATGTCAGCCAATTCACGATCAACCATTACTCTTACTCTCGAAGGGTAGAGTACTATTGTTAAGACAATGTTGATAGGGTTTTTTTCTCTTTCTAAGATTCCATATTGCAGTAGTATTTTGAAGATATTAGACTGTCTTGTCTGAGCTACATAAAAGAGAGGTGTGATGCCACTTAATGGGCTTGGACAGTATACTGGTGTGAAAGTTCTGTGAATTAAACAAAACAAAAACTCATTGGATATAGAATTAAGAAATGTGACAAACACTTTATCTTGCTAGTAATGGGAAAATAATAGTTTAAATGTTAAATGTCTTAAATGTAACTTTATATGTTTCTTTTTTTTTTTTTTTTTTTTTTTTTGAGATGGAGTTTCCCTCTTGTTGCTCAGGCTGGAGTGCAAAGGCACGATCTCTGCTCACTGCGACCTCTGCCTCCTGGGTTCAAGTGATTCTCCTGCCTCAGCCTCCCGAGTAGCTGGGATTACAGGCATGTGCCACCACACCTGGCTAATTTTGTATTTTTAGTAGAGAAGGGGTTTCTCCATGTTGGTCAGTCTAGTCTCAAACTCCCAACCTCAGGTGACCTACCTGCCTCAGCCTCCTAGAGTGCTGGGATTACAGGCGTGAGCCACTGCACCCAGCCTATATATTTCTTAAAAGGAGTTTTCCACTCTATGAATCTAGACTAAACTGAAGGTTAAAAGAAAACTCCTACCAAACACTTAAACCCCATTTACATTGTAAAAATAAAAAAAAACAATTTATAATATATGTAAAGTGTTTACTTTTAGTCATAGCAATTCTAGTTGAGAAATCTGTACTGCTTAGGACAGTATTACAAAACTGATGTAGCTCTGGAAATAATAAAATGGAAAAGGAGGACAGAACTTTTTGATTTAACTTTATTAATAGAAAGAATTATGTGATCATTTGCATATCTTTTTGTTTTTGTTCTTCTTGATCATGTACCAGACATGAACTTGAATTGAGTTTGGAAATTAGGAAAGGAATAAATACAACTATCTTAATTCTATGTTTTTCACTTTAATAAAATTAGAGTTGGTTGGGCTTAGGAAATGTAAATTATAGTGAGAACCATATCAGGTCCCTCAAGGGCAGAATTTTTCTTCTTGAGTAAAATTTTGAAATCTAGGGAAATCTTGTTTTCCCTAGAGTGTCACATGATGGCTAGACTTAAAAATTTCTCTTCCCTTATGACAGAAATGAAAACTTTATTTTTTTAAATGGTATATACTTCTTGCAGTTGTTTCATTTAATAGACTTTTATGCTGTTATTTTGGTCAGAGTAAATATTGTTGTGGTGTCCTTGACCACAGGAGATTTTCTATTAGCAAGCCATAATTTTGCCAAGTAATATGGTTTTTAGGCTAATGAAAGAGAAATTTTATTAATGATTTTTGTCTGTGGAATTCTCTTGACTGGCCTAATAAAATACTGCAGGACAGCACACAAAGTATAAATACTGGTTTTAGGCAACTACTCAGAGCAAGGAAAGACTTATGCAAAAAGGGGAACTTTAAGACTGCATATATAGTACTTAGGTAAAATGGGAGGCAGCATGGTATAAACAATAGAGACAAGTGTTCTAGGTTCTAAGTTTTAGCTCTTTGAATTGGCTGTGTGATTTTGAGCAAGTTGGCCTCTTTACATCTGTTTCCACAAGCATTTATGTACTCATCTGCTTATTCCTTCATTACCTAATTTATTTAATACTTGCTTGCCTAGAGTGTACTGAGAAGTAGATACACAGAGATAAAAGATATAGTTCTTGACTATTATAATCTAGTAAGGAAAACACAAGAAATTGCATAAATACAATACAAGGTGATAATCACAATGATAGAAGCATGCTCAGGGTACTATAGAAGCACTGAGGAGGGGTACTTAACTCTATCTGAAATAGTCATTTCCTATAGGTTATCCAGAAACTACGATTTGAAAGATTAGTAGATGTTTTCCAATAAAAAGATTCAAAAGAATGTTTTAGGCACAAGCATAAACCAGCATTGGAGGATTGCTATAGCAGAACTAGCTATAGAAGATAAATGTTTTATAATAGATGAGCTTTTTTCAAACTATTTTTGAAGAATCTGACAAAACTAAGAAAAAAGAGTTTTTCTGGTTGATGTCCTAGAGCCCTTACCCCCTGCTGGATCTTTGTTCAGGTCTCCAAAAAGTATAGTTGGAAAGTCACTGGACCAACTAGTTTATCTGCAAAGCTTCACCAAACGCTGACATGCCAGGATTTTGTAATTTAAAAAATAGTGAATTGTAGTGCAAAGTAGCATTTTAGAAATCAAGATGTAGTTTTTTGTCATAACTCTGTCACTGGCACTATACATACATATATGTATATATATACACACACATACACATATAGAAAGAGAAAGGATATATATGTTTGTATATACATATGAATATGGATATGTATTATTTCCTGTATCTCTCGTGGAATCATCTCCAGACCAATAATGTCATGGGCATATTATCTTTTTTACAAATACTTCCAACGCATGGAGAACTTCTAAACTACATTTCTTTCTACATTACCTATCATTGGTATGCAGTTTCCCAAACCACCACTGCATCCAGGTCTTTCACATTTCTTTACTTTGTATATGTTCTTCTCCCCTGCCTTTTTTTTTCAATTCTGCAATAAGTCTAACTCATCTTTATGAGACCTTATCTAATAAACTGTTTTGTGAACTCTTCTTTGATTACCCTGATATATCTCATACTCCTCAGGGCACTTTGTACCTACCTACATTAAATTTGTATCTTTTGGAAAACTTATTTAACACCTCTAAACTTTCATTTTCTCTTCTTCAAAATAAATGGATAAGCAAAACAATCTACAAAAGTGGAAGCCTCTAAAAGATAGTAATTTCATCTTAGTTCACTATTGCATATTTAAGTGCCTAGAACAATGTTTGGCCCATATTACGCACTCAAATATTTGTTAATTGAACTTTTTTTACTGAAAATTTTGACTATATATATGTCATAGTAAAAAATTCCCTGAGTTTATCCTGTAGCTTTCAGGTCTAACAAGATTTTTGTTGATATGTAATCACTTAAACTTTTCAAAGGCAGTTTAATGTATTCATCTTGCTTGTTCTTAAGAAAATATTTGACTTAAGAACCTTATAAGTATGGGAATTCTGGAGACTCAGGGGGCAAAATATACCATAAGTGGTCATTATTAAGATTTAGAGATATTTGTTGATTCTAAGATATTAAGATTGACATTACCTTTAGAAGATAATGAATACTGAAAAATGTTGAAAACATGACTAAAACCCAAATAGGTTTAAAATGAGATTTAAAAGTCTAATCTGTACCCAAATGACATATGATTAATCCTCATGTTTAAAGAGTATGTTACTGTAAACCAGAATTTGCTTAATCTGTACTGACAGTTAATTATAGCAGTACTTATATGGATGAAGTGCAGCAAGCAAAGCAAGAATTAGTTTTTAAATGTGAGGTTAATGAACTGAACTCTTGGTATCTGAAAACCTGTCATAATGCTTATGAAATGGGGCATAATATTTCCATACAGACATGCAGAGAATTATTCAGTTTTTTAGCTATAATTATTTCTAATTTTTTTCCCTTCTCATTCTCCTTCAATTTCTAGCTGAAAAATTTGATAGATGCTTCTCCAGAATAATTTTACATGTGTGATATTTCACACAGTTGACTTTCTTAAAACTATGTTTTCCTTTTACTCAGTTGGGCTAGTCTCTCCAAGTTACCCATTCATCTCTTTGGCTATTTCTCCTCAACTGTCTTTCACTGGCTCCTCTTCCTCTGCCCTCAACATCTAAGTAAGTATGCATGGCCTTTAGACCAATTTTATTTGGCTATTCCCAGGCAATTTCATTTATGACCATAACTTCAATTCCTGTCCATTTATTTATTTCAACAAATACTGAATGCATACTATATGCCAGGAACTGTTTTAGGTGCTTGGGATATATCAGGAAACAAAATAAAGATCCTTACTATCTTGCTTATATTATAGTGAACGATTAACAACAATGTAGGATGAACACAGTAAACAAGCAAATTTTATGTTAGCAGGTGATGAGTGCTTGGAAAAAAGAATAAGTAGAGCAGAATAAGAAGTATGGATATGCTGTGGGCTGGTACGGTCAGGGCATTTTTAAATATTAAATAAGATGATGGAAGAGTACATTATTGAAAGATGACATTTGAACAAAGACCAGAAGGAGGTGCGGAAGTTAACCATTTGGATATTTCAGGGCCCTATGGCGGGAGACTGTGCCTGGAGTGATGAAGGAAGAATAACGGAACCAGCGCGGCTGAAAAGAGGACAGAGGTAATGGGATGCCACATTATTTAGAGCCTTATGGATCACTGTAAGAACTTCACCTTTTACTCTAAACCAAAAGGACAAGCCATTGGAGGTTTTGAGTAGAAGAGTAGTGTGATCTGCCCTTTGTTGAGAATTTGTTATAGAAGGAAGGAAATCACTTAGCTTGGAACATAGTAGTGGAGACAGCCAGATGCTGTACATTATTTGCAGGTAGAACCAACAGATCCCAATATAGACGTGAGATGTAAGAGAAACATTAAGGATGGCACTGTTTATCTAGCCACGTATTGCACATCTCTACCTCGATATCCATTAGGCAGTGCAAACTCATATGTCTAAAACTGATTTTATAGGTTTTTTAAAATATTTTATCTCGATAAGCTTGTATGACCATTTTGGTGGGCTGAATAATGGCCCCTCAGTATGGCAAATAGGATTTTGCAGATATGATTAAGATCTTGAGGTGGGAAATTAACTAGGTGTGCCCAGTGTAATTGCAAGAGTCCTTATAAGTGCAGAGAATGTTGGAAGCAGAGTCAATGAATAAGATATGATGATATTACAGTGCTAGCTTTGAAGATGAAGAGGCTATCAGCCAAGGAATGTAGATGGCCTCTGAAAGCTGGCAAAGGCAAGAAAACAGATTCTTCCCTAGAGCCTCCGTAAGGCACTGGACCTACTAACAATTTGATTTAGCTCTATAAGACTCATTTTGGACTTTTGAACTCCAGAACTATAAGAACTAAACTATAAATTTGTGTTGTTTTAAGCCACTAAGTTTGTGGTAATTTGTTGCAGCAGCAACAGGAAACTAATACAACTTTCGACCACTCTCAAAATTTAGAAATCTGAAGATTAACTCTTTCTTCTCTTAGATCCTCCAATTCTGATCACTTACCGTGTCTTGTAATTCTGTCTAAAAATCTCTCTCCTTTCTCCCACTGCTACTGTTTTAGTTTAAGTTCTCATAATTTGCCTGGACAGTTGTAGTATCAAAGGGTGAACAGAGGTTGGGAGGGATGTTGGTAGAAGAGAATTAGTTCTCCCCTCAAAACTATTATAAATACACATGTAAACTAAGTACATGTACTATGCATGCTATGCAAATTCAGCCTCAGGGACCTTCTCTAACCACCCCCCTTTAAAAAAATTAGATCACTTTCCCCCCAACTCTTCCCACATAGAACATTGTACTTGGAGTGCTTGAGTAGTCTACTAACTGGTTTCCCTGCCCTAGCTGCAGCCTGTTTTCCCAAAATCCAATCTTCAAATGGGGCTGATAAATCTTTTTAATTGTACAAGTTGATTGACCTTCACTGGCCAGGCATTACCCATGGTGTAAATTTCATGTTCCTCACTCTGGCCTACAAAGTCCTTCATTCTTTCAATTCCAGTCTTCATTTCTCTTACTACATGATTCCTATCTCACTCTCTAGCTATTACTAAACTGCTTGTAGTCATTGGATACAACAATGTTGTTTGTATCTCCCTTAGTTTCAGTAATCCTCCTTCTATCTAGATTACATGTCTTCAAGGGAAAGAAAGAAGAAACTCTTTGTTATCTTTTAAAAATCAGTTTAAGACATCACCTATTCTATTGAGCCTTCTCAGATACCTACTCCTCCCTAATGGTGTTAACAATTTCCTTCTCTGCTCTCTCTACCTGTGCATGCTTCTATTTTTGTACCTAGAGTGTGGCTATAATTGCTGTTTAAATTTATGCCTCACTTACTAGTATATGAGCTCTCTAAAATCAGGAAATGTGTCTACTTTGTTTTTGTATCCCCAATAAATAACATAGTGTCTGGCACTTAAAAAATGCTTAATATTTATTATTGTTATTTGAATGGAATGACATCTCTCTTTAGCCACCTACAATCTGTCACACTGTGGCATTTAGATGTTTTTTGCAGATTTGTGGTGAAAATGAACAAACTTAAGTTTCTTCCCCTCGTTAATTCTATCTCCTCTCCTCCAGGGAGATATAATAGGGAAATTATCAAATTAGAGTCTAAACAAGGGAGGATGACCAAAGAATGATGTTGTCGAAGTAAAGAACAACAGATAATAGGAAATTTGGGGTATTCATTATGAGGACATAATAGATGTGTTCAAATACTTGAGAAGTTTTCTTTTAGAAAAGAGAGTTAGCAGACTGATCTTTATAGCTACTTGGGCAGGGTTGGAGAAATGCAAGACTTCAGTGCAGTACAGGAAAGAAGAATCAAATAAAGCTGCTTCAAAATTCACTTACTCATTCAACAAAATCTTGATTGAGCAGTTGCTACGTATCTGACATAGTTCTACACACTCTATCCGTGAGGATAGATAGTGAGCAAACCAATGAAAAAGGAACAACAGTAAATAAACAGGTCAGTGATCAGCAGGTGCAGAGAATTAAAGTAAACTACTGTAATGACTGAGTGGCTTCTTTAGATTGTGTGAGTAGGAAAGGCCTCTTTGAGAAGATGGTATTTATACTGTGACCTAGCTGATGAGGAGGAAGGTCCAATTGAATAAATTTTCAGGCAGAGGGAACAGTATTATGAGGCCTTATGGCAGGAATGAACTTGAAGATGTTCAAGAAACAGAAAGGTCTTTGTGGCTGGAATATAGTGTTCAAAAGGGAGAGTAATACAAGATGGGGTTTGGGAGAAATACAGAGGGACCTTTCATGTAGGGTTTTTATTTTTTTTTATTTATTTATTTATTTTTTTTTATTTTTTTGAGACGGATTCTCGCTCTGTCGCCCAGGTTGGAGTGCAGTGGCGCGACCTCAGCTCATTGCAAGCTCTGCCTTCCGGGTTCACGCCATTCTCCTGCCTCAGCCTCCCGAGTAGCTGGGACTACAGGCGCCCGCCACTGCGCCCAGCTAATTTTTTTTTTTTTGTATTTTTAGTAGAGACAGGGTTTCACCATGGTCTCGATCTCCTGACCTCGTGATCCGCCCGCCTCAGCCTCCCAAAGTGCTGGGATTACAGGCGTGAGCCATCGTGCCCAGCTTCATGTAGGGTTTTTAAAAAAGGGGTATTGTTTGAATGTTATACCCCTTGTATAAAATCACTGTAGTGGAAAAACTGGAGGATTTTAACTATGGTTGATATGAGCCATTTTGTATTTTTAAAAGGTCACTCAGGCTTCTGAGTCAATAACAGATTATAGGAGTTGAGAGGGAAGAGTGGAAGCTGAATGACTCTTTAAGAGTCTATTGCAGTTTTCTATGCAAGAGGTGATGGTGAGTTCACCTAGATTTGAAACGAAAGAGATGAAAGGAGATGAAAAGAAAAAGAAATGATTGGGATATGTTTTGGAGATAACAGGACTTACTGATGTGTTGAAGCAAAGGAAAGAATCAAGAATAAATCCTAGATTTCTGCCTTTAGCCACATGGTAGAGAAACAGGTGCTGTTAATCGGGGGTTGGGGGGAATTCTGGGGAAGGAGAAGGTTGGCAGAGAGGGGGGGTGAGTTAGATCAGTATTCCGCTTTGTTTCTATTCAGTTTGAGATGCCATGTGGCAATGTCAATTAACTAAATATAGAAGGGAGTTCAGAGCTCAGAGGCAAAGTCAACACTGGGGATAAAGATTTTGAGAGTCATTGGCATATACATCATATTTAAAGTCATATGACTATATATTTATATATTATATATATTCAAATATTTAGCTATATATAACCAGTTGTATTTATTTAGTTATATAACTATTATATGACTAGTTATATTTATATATTTATATAACTAGTTATATTTATATTTAGTTATATATATAAAACATATATAACTATATATAACATGTATATATATAACTACATATAAATATAAATATATGTAAATATAAATATAAATATATATATATATATAACACTAGGAAAAACAAGGACCCCAAGGCAAAGGAACGGTTTACCTAAGGAAATAGTTAACTCACTACTTCTAGAATTGTTTAAGAAGAGACCAGTGAGCATCGACCAGTTGCTGTCCAGGGTAAAGGTCTGCTAATGAATTCTCAGGCTCCATACAAATATAAAATTCTATGATTCTGAGAGGTCTAAGTGATGTTGCGATCAGTAGAACTGGCCTGTAATGGGTTTTACCTTGTGGATGCATCTAAGTTGAAATTGATTAATTTTAAACCTGTCTTAAGACAGTTGTTAATGGCACCCTATCATGTTCCACTGTGTTTCTCTTTGTTTCATTTTCTGTCCAGCTTTCTCCTCTCTGCTTCCATTTTTAATTTTTAAAAATTTATTCTCTCTCCCTCTGTTTGCCTCAATTTTTCTTTCCCGTGGACCTTCCAGGGCTGTAGACAGGCACTATTTAGCCCAGCTAGTGACAGTCAGCTTTAGAAGATTTGCTGATCTCTGCTGTAGTTACAAATATAATGGTTACTTAAAACACAAAGTACCATTTGGTAGTTTTGTTTATTGTTGTTTCCAAACTACAGCTATCAGTTCATGTACTTTAGTAATCATTAAGTAATGAAATCCAGTGGTTCTCCGATACCATAGGATGCACAATCAAGAAAAAACTCTGCTTTAGGCAGAATCTAAATTGGTTTAGTCTTTAACTGATCTTGTCCATTTTGTTTTTCATTGCATACATGCATTTATATTGCACCTAGTACAGACTTGCATACATAGTAATGTGATTAATAAATATTTTGCTGAATGAATGAACACATGAATGTTTTATTCAGATGAATATCTAAAACGAAAGAATAAATTAAAGTTAGTGCAAACTAGGTAACTTTAAATTCTATATTATGGACTCTAAAAAGAGGATACATTGGAGATTTGATTTTCATAAGATCCTCAGTAGTATGCATTAGGTAGATTGACATGTGAACACTATAAAAATTTGGTTCTATTATCGATAGCATCAGGTACTTGACCTTCATTGTGCTCAAATTTGGAGAATTTGGAGTCTAATTTATAAATGTTTAACACACAAATAGGGAACTATTGTGTTTAATAAGTATTACTATGTGAAGATGTGTGCATGTTCCCAATTGTACTTTGAAAGTCAGCTTATAAACATATATAAATATAAAACCATAGGATTCGCAGAAATAGGAGATCATAGTATTACACAACATAGTGTCTTTGTTTAGTTAGAGAAACATGTTGTTTAGCACTAACATGTAAGCTGTGTAGAGCAGAATCACTAATGATTTATTGGTACATAATAATTTACATATAAATAAAAATGGAATACATAATAAAAGAGTGAAGGAGTGAACACGTGGTCAAGCAATTAGGTGAGAATTCCTTACTTCACATATAGCCACTATACATGTGAGTTTTAGAAAAAAGAAGCACTCTACTCTCGTAAAGATAAATTTTCTTGTTCTATAGTGAAAACATATGAAATTATTACCTCCATATCAGTGCCAGGTTACAACTTCTGTCTTGAACATAGTCTTTTGTCTTCTTGAGAAGCAATTCCACAAAGTCAGGATTACCTTTTCTGGCAAAAACCCAGTACAGAATTGTATTCACACATATTTCAGTGAAGTCGAGGTTAAAACTTACTTCAAAACGGTATCCTGATTTTTCCACAAATGCAATGTAATCTGTGAGTAGTGCGTCAAAACCATCCAAGTCCACATACCTCAGAATTTTTGCCAGTGATCTGTAAATCCTTGGTTCGTAACAGTGATATCCCCACTGACCCAAAAACTGTAGGGAGGGTCTTTTAACAATTTTGTCAAGGAGATTGCAGAATATATTGCTTCTTGGACAAGAAGTCTTACCACATAATTTAGTAGATTTACTCATTGTTACTTATAGCAGCACTGTAGAAATAAAATCAGAGGTAAGCATACTGTAATCCTCCAGTTACATATTTTGACAATGTGGCAGGCTTTACTCCACAAACAGAAGTGCCCTTTAAACTGTAACCAGAAAAAATAAATATTACCATAAAGTACTGGATGACATCACAATAGGTGGAGATTCCTCCACAATAGGTAGAGGTCACCAGCATAGGTCAGAGGGGATATTGTATGTAACTGGTGACATTTGAAAGAGACATATTGGACAGAAATGACATACGTGAAAGCTAAGATACAATATATTTAATTTTCTAAGAATTCAGTTCAAGGTAGTCTGCCTGGTTTCTCAAGTTCTGCATGTTTCTTCAGTAGACTAAATAATGGTAATAAATACATTGATTATCCTTTGTAGGCTATTATGTAAGCAGACAATGATTGCTAGAGTGAATAAATTCAAGTGTTGTTCTCATGTTCTGCATGAATACTGTATGCTCTCACTTAATCCTCATTGATTATTTCCCCTATCTTGTAGTTGAGGAAATTGAGGCTTACACAGATAATTTTTTTGTTGTTTGAGACAGGGTCTCACCCTGTCACCCAGGCTGGAGTGCAGTGGTACGATCATGGCTCACTGCGGCCTTGACCTCCTGGGCTCAAGCTTTCTCTCACCTCAACTTCCCAAACAACTGGGACTACAGGCATGCACCGCCATGCCTGGCTAATTTTTGTATTTTTTATAGAAACAGAGTTATGCCATGTTGGCCAGGCTGGTCTTGAACTCCCGAGCTCAAGTGATCTCCCTGCCTCAGCCTCCCAAAGTGCTAGGATTACAGGCTTGAGGCACTGTGCCTGACTGAAGCTTACATAGGTTAAGTAACCTGCCAATATATTCATTCCCAAAGAGAAAGAATGTCATACAATATTAACCAAAATTTAAAGACTTTGTTTTAGATTTTTGTTGTTGAGACAGTGTCTTACTCTTTTGCCTTGGCTGGAGTGCAATGGTGCGATCTCGGCTTACTACAACCTCCACCTCCCAGGTTCAAGCAATTCTCCTGCCTCAGCCTCCTGAGTAGCTGGGATTACAGGTGCACACCACCACGCCCGGATAATTTTTGTATTTTAGTAGAGACAGGGTTTCACCATGTTGGCCAGGCTGGCCTCGAACTCCTGACCTCATGATCCGCCTGCCTTGACCTCCCAAAGTGTTGAGATTTCAGGCGTGAGCCACTGCATCTGACCTTTTTTTAGAATTTTAAATTTTACAGAAATTATTCCTCTATAAACCAGGCAGAATGTATACAATTTGAACATTAAAGGTACTTCAAGCTTGATATGGTGTCCTTGCCCCACTACAATAAAGGGGAAAGATGTTATGGTTGTTTTTATCATTATTCTGTAGTTAATGTTTCAGCCACCTTTTTATACTATTCACAGAGTGATCAGTCTTAACAACCTTGGATGTATGTATTAGCGTTTTTAAAGGTAATTAAATATATTCTTTTTCCTTTGGCATATTTTTATTTAAATCATGTGAATGATGTCTCTTTAGTAAGAAAAAATTATTACTTTAGATTTACTATAATATACATCTACTAATATTGCATTTTATTTTGTAAACTCTAAACTGTCTTTTCCCAGCTGGACAACCTAATTAAACTAACTACATATTGTCATCTTTCTGAAAACCAAGTTTTGTCATTTTCTTTCACTTTTTCTGTTTTACTTTTTTTGCCTCAAAAAATATTTTTTAAATTAAATTATTTTACTGATTTCTTAATACAATACATAAAACTTATAAAAAATTGAAACACTATAGAGCCAGCAACAATTCCTCCCTGAGATAATCATCCTAGCAGTTTTATGTATAGCCTTTCAAATGCTTTTGCTTATGTGTGTATAAAATTTTCTTTTTTTAAAAGAATACAGAGACCTAATCTGAAAAAAATTTGTCATTCTTATACAAATAGGATACATTACACATATCTTGCTCTATGAGTTACTTTTTATTTCTATAACAACGTAGTATTATTACCTTTGTATGACCATATATGGTCATACATGCTAACTCTATGTCCTACTTGTTACATATCCGGTACTATTTTAAATGCTTTATATATTAACTCCTTTAATTCTTACTTCACAGATAAGGAAGCTGAGATGTAGAGCTGAAGTGTCTTGCCCAAGATCATTTGTCTAGTAAGTGATAAAGCTGGAATTTGAACCCAAAGAGAATAGGGCTAGAGGCTTTCTCTCTACTCTCCCCTGGTTCTCCAAAGTGAGCTACCTTTCCATTTCTATGGCTAGTTTATGAAATACAGTCATGAAACAAGAGCTCTACAATTATATGTCAAAAAGCAGAAGATAGATAGTAGGTTAATCCTGCTTTTGGAAAAAAGTGTTCAGAATATACATTAAAGTAATACTAACGTAAATCTGTGGACATGAAAAACTGAGTGATTTTTTCTCATTTTTCTTTGTACTTTCTTGATAATTTGAATATCAGTGTGTATTTTTTGATTATGAGAAACAAGTCATGCTCACTTTGAAAATAATAACTACAACATAGTAAGTCAAAGCTGTTGCTGCATTAGTTCTTTAAAATTTTTAAAACATTGGCCGGGCACAGTGGCTCACGCCTGTAATCCTAGCATTTTGGGAGGCCAAGACGGGCCTCGAACTTGAGGTCAGCAGTTCGAGAACAGCCTGGCCAACATGATGAAACCCTGTCTCTATTAAAAATACAAAAGAATTAGCCAGGTGTGGTGGTATGTGCCTGTAATCCCAGCTACGTGGGAGGCTGAGGCAGGAGAATTGCTTGAACCCTGGATGCAGAGGTTGCTGTGAGCCAAGATCGTGCCATTGCACTCCAGCCTGGGTGACAGAGTGAGTAAGACTCTGTTTTAAAAATATATATATTTTTAAAGTTATTTTCACTGCTAATGTAAACATAAAAAATATATATAGTAGACAACCTAGTAATTAATAACACTAGCTAACATGTATTGAGTTCTTGAGTACTTACATTGTACTAGGTGGGTGCTTTATATGCTTTTTTTCTCTTTTAATCATCATAATTTTTTTTTATTTTACCCATTTTATGGTTGAGGAATCTAAGGTTTAGATTGGTTAAGCCACTTGCCCAAGGTCATACAGCTAGTGAGTGGCAGTGATTTGAACCAAAGCTGAATCCACAGTTCATGTTCTTTGCGTTCAGCTGCCTTCAAACTTTGGTATAGCTATAACATCTGCGCTAGAGTACATCTTACACATTTTATATTTGTAGAAAGCTCTCAATAAAATAATTAGAAGTCTAATGGCACTGAAATATATTCCATGCTTTAATAAATGTCCTGACTTAAAGAAAGAAAAATGTTACATACATGTTTCTTACATTATATGCTAATAATTGAGAAATAATAAGTTTCAACTAAATATCTTACCTGGTCTTTTCAGTACTTAAGATTGCATAACCTAAACATAGATTGAATGTTGGCCTTTATGTGTTGTAAGTAGGCCAAAAGCTATATAGGTCCCAAATGCTGCCTGAAATTTCTACTCACTTATTCTTTTAGATTAGGGCATTTCAGACCTAGGTGTTATAGTTGAAATCATTATTACTAACTAATGCTTGAAGTAATTTGTTTTTATTGTATTCCTAAGCCTATGACCTGGCTCAACCCAGCTACAAGTTGTTAATAAGAGGGAAGCATATCAGGAAAATCTGAGTGCAATGGTTTAGGAATTGGGAAAGTATAAAAGGTATAGCACAACAGCACTAGACAACTGAGGTAGTCACCTACCTAAGGAGAGATGCCAAGGACAAGTTGGCCAGCTAAACACTTTCTCCAGAAATGGGATTTATAGGTAAGTCATACATGAGTGACATGTTTGTATAGTCTCAGCAAACTACAAAACAAATGTCAGTAGATAAGAATGACTTTGATGGATTCAGTAGTACAGTTGTTACATAATTATATAAAATAAAGCTTGTAAAAGTTCTATTCTATCTACTCTATAAAGTTTATACAGATTGAGCATCCCTAATCTGAAAATCCAAAATCCAAAATGCTCCAAGATTTGAAACTTTTGTGGCTCTGATATGACATCAGAAGTGGAAAATTCCACACCTGACATGTTTGCTTTCTGATGATTCAATGTACACAAACTTCATTTCATGCATAAAATTATTTTAATATTGTATAAATTTATCTTTAGGCTATGTATATAAAATGTATACGGAACATAAATGAATTTCATGTTTAAACTTGGATCTCATTCCCAAGATATCTCATTGTGTATATGTATGCAAAAATTCCAAAATTTGAAACAAATTCAAAATCTGAAACACTCTGGTCCCAAGCATTTTGGATCGGGATACTCAGCCTGTATTAGCCCTTTTACCAGGCTTTGCCATTCTTACTACCATTCATTTCTAGTATTGATTCATGTATTTAAAAGAAAACACTAAGCAAAAATATATTTGAGAGAAGAGGAATTTCCTGATTTTTGAAGTATGGGTAGGATCAGTGTGTATTTCCAAAGGCAGAGTGTCCATGTCCATGCCCATGTACATATTATACGATGCCTTGAATATATTTTAATAACTCAGTGTCAGCTTTACAAAATATCTTAAGATACATGGCAAATTGGATTTTTACTGTTCTATTCATGAATTGAGATAACCCTCAGGAAATACTTAGACTCATAATTTTGGTTCCCTTAGAACTTTGGCTTGCACAGAGCTACAATTGGTAGACTTGTCTCCACCTCACAATATATACTCAAATTTATAACACAATCTTTAAACTTAATTTTAACTCAGTCTTTGAGTTAGGCTATTTTAAGACATAGCCTTGTCCAACTTTTATGTGAGTTTTCCTTGGGACCATGTCTACCCCTCAGGCTAGTCAGTTGTGGCTGAAAAAGTCAGAAACCACAAAATATCTAGTATTACAGTTAAATTTTAAAAATAAACACACAGGTGACTCATAATGAGCATATTGGAAATACGATTACTTGCAGAAAATCCTAAGAACATATGTGAAATTTTAACCCTTTAAAAACAAAATCAAAGGTCTAATCTTTTTAATTTATACTTAAAAGTCTCACCATGCTAGATGTCCTAGGATTATGAATACCTAAAAGCTATTAACAGATTCTTTTATTGTTTGTCACTCTTCTATTGAGCTATGCAAGGTTCTTTGAGATAAACACATTTAAGGTAGAAAATATCATCAGAAGTACATTAAAATCCAGATTTCACTTTATGTGTGGAAATCATGTGGTATTTTACCCAAGTAAGAATGTAAAGTTCTTACCTTCTCTCTTCCTCAGGAGAATATCACCTCTGCCACTTAGGTGTCATTTTTCCCCTTATCTTGTATTGTGATCAAAGAAACACATAACGTAAAATCTCCCCTCTTAACAAACTTTTAAGTGTAAGCAAATATCTAGAACTTTTTCATTTTTGCATGACAAAAACTGTATGCTTATTGATTAGAAACTCCCCATTCCTCCATCCCCACAGCCCCTGGCAATCATCATTTTACTTTCTGCTTTGTTAAGTTTGACTGCTTTAGCTACCTCCCATAAGTGGAATCATGCAGCATTTCTTCTTCTCTGACTGGCTTATGTCACTTAGCATAATGTCCTCAAGGTTCTTTTATGTTGTGGCATATGGCAGGATTTACTTCTTTTATAAGGCTGAATAATATTCTGTTGTATGTATGTGGCACATTTTCTTTATCCATTCATCTGTAGGTGGATATTTAGGTTGTTTCCACCTCTTGACTGTCGTAGATAATGCTGCCACAAACATGGGAGTGGAAATATCTCGTTGAGATCCTCTTTTCAATTCTTTTATATAAATACCCAGAAGTGGAACTGCTGGATCATATGGTACTACTCTTTTTAATTTTTTGAATCAATCATTTTAAATCAATCAATGATTTTAAGTGTTAAAATTACCCCTCTATTTGAATAATCATTTTACCATCCTGTTCTATTTTAATATATGAATCTTCAGTTTGAGTATTGCATCATATAGATAGAGATTTAGAATCTATTCAGTCAAAGGAAGCTTGTGATATAAATTTTAATTCTTTCATCAATCATCGCGCCCAGCCCTCCTTACTGTTTTCTGTGATGGCTGCACAATTTTACATTTCTACCAACAGTGCACAAAGGCTTCAGTTTCTTTACATCCTCAGCAACGTTTGTTGTTTCCTGTTTGTTTTTTGTGTTTTGTTTTGTTTTTTATATAATGGCCCATCATAACAGGTATGAGGTGATAGCTCATTGTGGTTTTGAGCCTCTTAACTGATTTCTGGATATCTAACAAAGATGAAGCATGTAACATAGTAATCAGTATTTTAGGGAATTCAAGCATAAAATTATTAGAATCTAGCACTCAACCAGTGGTCAATTGACAGCTGACCTTTGAGAGACAGAAAGATCTAAGGGACAAAATAATTATACATTTCTATAGCTTATCCTAACATTTCTGCACTCTTAGATTATCACGAATTAGTTTCCAGATATTTTGTTAAGCCACTGTCATGTGGCTCCTTTTAATAATGGACACTACCTGTATAGTCAATTTTTAAATGAGATATAATGTACATTCTATAAAATTCACTCTTTTAAAGTATAATGAGCAAAGTTTCAACCAGAGTTTTATAAAAATCTCCAATTTTTTTTTTCTTTTGCGATACAGTCTTGCTCTTTCACCCAGGCTGGAGTGCAGTGGCATGATCTTGGTTTACTGCAACCTTTGCCTCCCGGGTTCAAGAGATTCTCCTGTCTCAGCCTCCTGAGTAGCTGAGACTACA
Organism: Homo sapiens; assembly: GCF_000001405.40. Taxonomy (NCBI): domain Eukaryota; kingdom Metazoa; phylum Chordata; class Mammalia; order Primates; family Hominidae; genus Homo; species Homo sapiens. The sequence continues at coordinate 75,939,121 of NC_000001.11, forward strand.
GGCGTGTGCCACCACGCCCAGTGAATTTTTGCACCATGTTGGCCAGATTGGTTTCCAACTCCTGACTTCAGGCGATCCACCCACCTCGGCCCCCTAAAATTCTGGGATTACAAGCATGAGCCATCATGCCCAGCCAAAAATCTCCAGACTTTTAAATTAACGTGTCTTCTATTATTTGATTCCCTTCCATCTCCTAGAAAAAAAGGGTTTGATATTTATTAATAATTCAATGAAGGCATTTCTGTAATCAGCTTAGACAACATTACCCAAGTACATATTTTGCAATAAAACTGAGTAACTTGAAAATATTGGCAGTTGTCAAGAATTACTTTGGCACTCAGAACATTTTTTATAGCTTCTATGCTCCTGTGTCAGTAACACAATTGATTTTAAGTGTTAAAATTATCCCTCTACTTGAATAATCATTTTACCATCCTGTTCTATTTTAATGTATGAATCTTCAGTTTGAGCATTGCATCATATAGATAGAGATTTAGAATCTATTCAGTCAAAGGAAGCTTGTGATATGAATTTTAATTCTTTCATCCATCATCATTCTGCTTTAGGTTTTAAACTTTGTAAATTGGCTTTTACAATCAGTTTACATATATATGTGTGTGTGTATAGATGTACAGTCATGCATCACTTAACAATGGGGACAGATTCTGAGAAATGCATTGTTAGGTTGTTTCATTGTTGTATGAATATCATACAGTATACTTACAAAAACCTCAATGGTTTAGCCTACTATACACCTAAGCTATATGGTATAGCTTATTGCTCCAAGGCTACAAACCTGTACAGCATGCTAAATAGCGTGGGCAATTATAACACAATGGTAAATGTTTTTGTATCTAAACATAGAAAAGACACAGTAAAAACAGTATAAAAGGGCGAGGTGCGGTGGCTCATGCCTGTAATCCCAGCACTTTGGGAGGCTGAGGCGGGTGGATCACGAGGCCAGAAGATCGAGACCATCCTGACTAACATGGTGAAACCCCCTCTCTACTAAAACTACAAAAAATTAGCCAGGTGTGTTGGTGGGCGCCTGTAGTCCCAGCTACTGGGGAGGCTGAGGCAGGAGAATGACGTGAACCCTGGAGGCGGAGCTTGCAGTGAGCCAACATTGCTCCACTGCACTCCAGCCTGGGCGACAGAGCGAGACTCCATCTCAAAAAAAAAAAAAACAAAAAAAGTATAAAAGATTTTTTTAAATGGTATACCTGTTAAGGCACTTACCATGAATGGAGCTTGCAGGACAGAAATTTGCTTTGGGTGGGACAATCAGTCAGTTGCGAGTGAATATGAAGACCTAGGACATAATTGTACAATATTGCAGACTTTATAAACACTGTACAAATTAATTGTACTAAATTTATTTAAAATTTTCTTTTCTTCAGTAATAAATTCATCTTAATATAACTTTAAAAAATAAAAGAAAATTTTGTGGATACATAGTAGGTGTATATATTTATGGGGTACCTAATATGTTTTGATACAGGCATGCAATGTGAAATAAACACGTCATAGAGAATGATGCTCAATGTGAAATAAGCACATCATGGAGTATTCATTCCCTCAAGCATTAATCTTTTGAGTTACAAACAATCCAATTACATTTTTAAGTTATTTAAAAATATACAATTATTATTGACTATAGTCACTTTATTCTACTATCAAATAGTAGGTCTTATTCATTCTTTCTATGGTTTTGCACCCATTAACCATACCCACCTCCCCACCAACCACCCCACTGCCATTCCCAGCTTCTGGTAACCATCCTTCCACTCTCTGTGTCCATGAGTTCAGTTGATTTGATTTTTTAGTTCTCACAAATAAGTGTGAACATGTGATGTTTGTCTTTCTTTGCCTGGCTTATTTCACATAACATGATGATCTCCAGTTCCATACGTGTTGCAAATAACTGGATCTCATTCTTTTTATGGCTGCATAGTACTCCATTGTGTATATGTGCAACATTTTCTTTATCCATTCACCTATTAATGGACACACCTGTTTCCAAATCTTAGCTATTGTAAACAGTGGTGCAATAAACCTGGGATTGCAGATATCTCTTTAGTATACTGATTTCCTTTCTTTTTTTTTGTTATTAATATACTCTAAGTTCTAGGGTGCATGTGCACAATGTGCAGGTTTATTACATATGTATACACATGCCATGTTGGTGTGCTGCACCCATTAACTCGTCATTTATGTTAGGTATATCTCCTAATGCTATCCCTCCCCCAGCCTCCCACCAAAGGACAGGCCCCAGTATGTGATGTTCCCCTTCCTTTATCCAAGTGTTCTCATTGTTCATTTCCCACCTATGAGTGAGAACATGCAGTGTTTGGTTTTCTGTCCTTGCAATAGTTTGCTGAGAATGATGGTTTCCAGCTTCATCCATGTCCCTACAAAGGACATGAACTTATCCTTTTTTATGGCTGCATTATATTCCATGGTGTATATGTGCCACGTTTTCTTAATCCAGTCTATCATTGATGGACATTTGGGTGGGTTCCAAGTCTTTGCTATTGTGAATAGTGCCGCAATAAACATACATGTGCATGTGTCTTTATAGCAGCATGTTTTATAATCCTTTGGGTATATACCCAGTAATGGGATGGCAGGGTCAAAAGGTGTTTAAAGTTCTAGATCCTTGAGGAATCGCCACACTATCTTCCACAATGGTCGAACTAGTTTACAGTCCCACCAACAGTGTAAAAAGTGTTCCTATTTCTCCTCATCTTCTCCAGCACCTGTTGTTTCCTGACTTTTTAATGATTGCCATTCTAACAGGTGTAAGATGGTATCTCATTGTGGTTTTGATTTGCATTTCTCTGATGGCCAGTGATGATGAGCATTTTTTCATGTGTCTGTTGGCTGTATAAATGTCTTCTTTTGAGAAGTGTCTGTTCATATCCTTTGCCCACTTTTTGCTGGGGTTGTTTGTTATTTTCTTGTAAATTTGTTTGAGTTCTTTGTAGATTCTGGATATTAGCCCTTTGTCAGATGAGTAGATTGCAAAAATTTTCTCCCATTCTGTAGGTTGCCTGTTCACTGTGATGGTAGTTTCTTTTGCTGTGCAGAAGCTCTTTAGTTTAATTAGATCCCATTTGTCTATTTTGGCTTTTGTTGCCATTGCTTTTGGTGTTTTAGACATGAAGTCCTTGCCCATGCATATGTCCTGAATGGCATTGCCTAGGTTTTCTTCTAGGGTTTTTATGGTTTTAGGTCTAACATTTAAGTCTATAATACATCTTGAATTAATTTTTGTATAAGGCGTAAGGAAGGGATCCAGTTTCAGCTTTCTACATATGGCTAGCCAGTTTTCCCAGCACCGTTTATTAAATAGGGAATCCTTTCCCCATTTCTTGTTTTTGTCAGGTTTGTCAAAGATCAGATGGTTGTAGATGTGTGGTGTTATTTCTGAGGCCTCTATTCTGTTCCATTTGTCTATATCTCTGTTTTGCTACCAGTACCATGCTGCTTTGGTTACTATAGCCTTGTAGTATAGTTTGAAGTCAGGTAGCGTGATGCCTCCAGCTTTGTTCTTTTGGCTTAGGATTGACTTGGAAATGCAGGCCCTTTTTTGGTTCCATATGAACTTTAAAGTAGTTTTTTCCAATTCTGTGAAGAAAGTCATTGGTAGCTTGAAGGGGATGGCATTGAATCTATAAATTACCTTGGGCAGTGTGGCCATTTTCATGATACTGATTCTTCCTATCCATGAGCATGGAATGTTCTTCCATTGTGTTTTCTTTTATTTCATTGAGCAGTGGTTTGTAGTTCTCCTTGAAGAGGTCCTTCACATCCTTTGTAAGTTGGATTCCTAGGTATTTTATTCTCTTTGAAGCAATTGTGAATTGGAGTTCACTCATGATTTGGCTCTCTGTTTGTCTGTTATTGGTGTATAAGAATGCTTGTGATTTTTGCACATTGATTTTGTATCCTGAGACCTTGCTGAAGTTGCTTATCAGCTTAAGGAAATTTTGGGCTGAGACAATGGGGTTTTCTAAATATACAGTCATGTCGTCTGCAAACAGGAACAATTTGACTTCCTCTTTTCCAAATTGTCTGATGCTAGGGCCAAAGGGCAGGCCACAGGCTGCAACTGCCTCCAGCAGTGAAGCCACTGTGCACTTTCACGTGCCCAGATAGAGTTTCCTGCCTATGGCTGTTACTGCTGTGGACTGCTGCATGTGGACTAAAGCATGTGTGGAACACAAGCTGCCACTACTGGAGATACAGTGCAAGTCAAGCATGGGCTGATGCCGTTAGGGCTGAAGTACGAGTGAAGCAGTTTCCCACTTTCCTGTGTACAGCTGATGCCACTGAAAGCAACCCTGGCCTCCTTAGTTTCAAGGCTGTAGTGCATCCCTGAGTACTCTGCCAGGGGCCTGGGGAATCACCCCACCCCTGCCCACCACAATCAGTGTCTGTACACACCATTCAGAGGCCTGAAGACAAGTCTGCCTTGCATAGCTTCACACCGTACCCCTCAGTGTTAGAGCACACAGTCTTGGGGCCTGGGAAATTATACAGCCTGGGCCACCACTGTTGGTACCTGAGTACTTCTCTAGAGGTGTTGAGGTTGGACCCACCCACCCTGCTGCTACCATCACAGCTGGAACTTATCTTCATGTGTCATTTGCGAGCCTGGAAACTTCCTGCCCAGCTCATTGCAGTCACCATTAAGACCAGTGTGCACCACTTGGGATGCAGAGGGTTTTCCTGCCACTGCTGCCACCATTGCTTGTTCCATGCCTGCTACCCAGAGACCTGAGAACCTATCCATTTGTTTGGCCCACTCCTGCCACCACTGGCATCTGAGCAAGATGCCTATAGGTCTGAGAATCAGCCTGGCTGGACCTGCTATTACTGGTGCCAGCATACACCACACTGGGGCACCAAAGGCAGACATGCTCAACCCACTGCTGCCATCACTGGGACCTGAAGACTGGCCCACCTGGTATTCCCATTCCCAGCAAAACTTCATCACAGCCTCTACTAATAGCCACACTCTAAGCCATCAAGGAAATCAGACTCAACTAATACTGTTTACAGCCAAAGAATCATACCAAGACTACAGTACTGCAGGAACCCAGAATTATAGCCAAAGTGCCCTACCCAGCACTACAGATACATCATCAGGAAAAGGTCCTCCCCTACAAAAGCAAATTCAAAAAATTGGAAGAAGCAACCATTAGACCAGTTGCACAGATATCAATATAAGGACACAGAAAACGTTAAAAAGCAAGTAAATGTGACACCTCCAAAGGAACGCAAGAATTCTCCAGCAACAAATTCCAGTCAAAAATAAATTTTCAAACTCTCAGAAAAATTCAAAATATTTATTTTTAAGGAAGCTCAGTGGAATACAAGAGAATGCTGAAAAACAATAAGAAAAACAATTCAAGATATGAATAAGAAATTTATCAAAGAGATAGATATCATAAAAAAGAGCCAAACAGAAATTCTGTAAATAAAGGACTCATGAATGAAATACAAAATACATTTGAAAGCATCCACAATAGACTCGATCAAGCAAAAGAAAAATCTCAAACTTGAAGACAGGTGTTTTGAAATAACTCAGTCAAATAAAAATAAAGAAAAAAAAAGAATGGCCAAAGACTTCCTGACATATGGAAGTCTGTAAAGTGGCCAGTTAGTCAAAATTTTGGAGTCCCAGAAGGCAAAGAGAAAAACAAAAGGGATAGAAAACCTATTTAAGCCAGGTGTGGTGGCTCACACCTGTAATCCCAGCACTTTGGGGGGCAAAGGTGGGTGGACTGCTTGAGCCCAGGAGTTTGAGACCAACCTGGGCAACATGGAAAAACCCTATCTCTAAAAAAAAAAGTTAGCTGGGCTTGGTGGCACACACCTGTAGTCCCAGCTACTCAGAAGGCCAAGATGGGAGGATTGCTTGAGCCTAGGAGGTGTAGGTTGCAGTGAGTCAAGATCACATCACTGTACTGCAGCCTGGGTGACAGAGTGAGACCCTGTCTCAAAGAAAAAATAAATAAAAAAGAAAAAGAAAATGTATTTAATTAAGTAATAGATGAAAACTTCCCAAATGTAGCAAGGGATTTAGACATGCAGATACAGGTTGCTCTGAGATTCTCCACTGCACATTATAGCCAAAATGTCTAAAGTCAAAACAAAGAGAGAATGCTAAAACAGCAAGAGAAAAGCGTCTAGTCACCTATGAAGGAACCCCCATCAGACTAACAGTAGATTTCTCAGCAGAAATCTTACAGACCAGGAGAAAATAGAATCATATATTCAAAATACTGAAAAAAACTTCTGCCAGTCACAGATACTATACTCAGCAAAGTTAGCCTTCATAAATGAAGGAGAAATAAAGTCTTCTCTAGACAAGCAAAAGCAGAGGGAATTCATCACCACTACACAAGAACTACAAGAAATGCCTAAGGAATCCTACACCTGGAAGTGAAAGCATAATATCTATCATCATGGAAGCACATGAAAATATAAAACCTACTCATAGAGCAAACACACAAACAGGGAAGAGAAAAGACTCAAATGTTGCCACTATATAAAACCACCAAACCACAACAATAAATAGTGAGAGAGAGAGAGAATATACAAAACAATCAGAAATCAATTAATAACATGGCAGAAATAAGCCACCACATATCAATAATAACCTTGAATGTAAACAGATTAAACTTTCCATTTAGAAAATATAGGCTGGCTGAGTGGATAATAAAACATGACCCGACTGTATGCTGCCTACAAGGAAATCATTTCATCTGTAAAAATACATAAAGACTGAAAGTAAAGGGATGGAAAAGATTTTCCATGCAAATGGAAACCAAAGCAAGCACAAGTAGCTATACTTATATCAGATAAAACAGACTGTCAAAACAGTAAAAAGAGACAAAATGGGTCATTATATAATGATAAAGGGATTAATTCTACAAGAGGATATAATAATTATAAACATATATGCACCCAACACTGGGGCACCCAGACATATAAAGCAAATCTTATTAGATTTAAAGGGAGAGATAGACTTCAATAAAATAAAATTGGAGACTTCAACACCTGACTCTCAGCATTAGACAGATCATCTAGGCAGACAATTAACAAAGAAACATTAGATTTAAATTGCACATTAGACTAAATGGCCTGACAGACTTTTACAGAACATTTCATCCAGCAGCTACAGAACATACATTCTCCTCATCAGTACATCAAACGTTCTCCAAGATAGAGCATATATTAGCACACAAAACAAGTCTCAACAAATTTTAAATGACTAAAATCATATTAACTATCTTCTTAGACCACATTGGAATAAAACTAGAAATCAATAACAAGACAAACAATGATAAAAGAAATCATAGAGAATGCAAACAAATGGAAAGACATCCCATGCTCATGGGTCAAAAGAACTAATATTAAAAGGACCATACTACTCAAAGCAATCTAAAAATTCAATGCAATCCCTATCAAAACACCAATTTCATTTTTCACAGAATTAAAAAAACACTCCTAAAATTTGTATGAAACAACAACAAAAAAGCCCAGATAGCCAAAGCAATCCTGAACCAAAAGAACAAAGCTGGAGGCATCACACTACCTGACTTCAAAATATATTACAAGGGTATGGTAACCAAAACAGCATGGTATTGGTATAAAAACAGACACATAGATGAATGGAACAGAATAGATAATCTAGAAATATATCCATATATTTATAGCCAGCTGATTTATCTTCCTTCCTTCCTTCCTTCCTTCCTTCCTTCCTTCCTTCCTTCCTTCCTTCTTCCACAGGGTCTCACTCTGTCACCTAGGCTGGAGTGCAGTGGTGTGATCTTGGCTCACTGCAACCTCCACCTCCTGGGTTCAAGTGATTCTCCCAGCTTAGCCTCCCAAGTAGCTGGAATTACAGGTGTGAGCCACCATGCCTGGCTAATGTTTTAGTATTTTTAGTAGAGATGGGGTTTTGCCATGTTGCCCAGGCTGGTCTTGAACTTCTGGCCTCAAGTGATCCACCTGTCTTGGCTTCCCAATCAACTGATTTTAAATTAAAGCTATAAGAACATACATCAGGAAAAGGACTCCTTCTTCAATAAATGATGCTGGGGAAATTGGATATCCATATGCAGAAAAATGAAACCAGACTCCTATCTTTTGCTGTATACAAAAATAAACTCAAGACAGATGAAAGACTTAAATATAAGACCTGAAACTACAAAACTACTAGAAGAAAACATAGCGTAATCACTTCAGGACATTAGTATAGGCAAAGATCTCATGGCTAAAAGATCAAAAGTGCAGACAAAAAAACAAACAAAAAAAAAACCAAAACAAGAAAAACTGATAGAACTATATTAAGATATTAAGCTAAAAATCTTCTGCACAGCAAAGACAGTAAACAGAGTAAAGGGACAACCTGTTGATTGGGAGAAAATATTTTTAAACTATTGATTTGACAAGGAAGTTAATATCTGAATATACAAGAAACTCAAAACAACAATTAAAAAATGAATTCAATTAAAAAGTGGGAAAAGGATGCAAATGGACATTTCCCAAAAGAAGATATAAAAATGGCCAACAGCTGTGTGTGGAAATTTTTAACATCACTAACCATCAGGGAAATGCAAATCAAAACCACAGTAAGATAGCATGTTATCCTAGTTGTAGAATGGCTACTATTAAAAAGATAAAACATTATTATGTTATAGATGCTGGCAAAGATGGAGAGAAAAGGGAACTCTCACATACTGCTGGTGGTATGTAAATTAGGACAGCCACTATGAAAAACATTATGGAAATTTATTTTAAAAGTCTAAAAATAAAACTCCCATTGATCAGCAATCTCACTATTGGATATTTATCCAAAGGAAAAGAAATCAGTATGTCAAAGTGATACCTGCACTCCCATGTTTATTGCAGCACTATTCACAATAGCAAAGATGTAATCAGACTAAGTGTCCATCAATGGATGAATGGTTAAAGAAAATGTGATATATATACATACTTGAATACTATTTGGCCATAAAAAATAATGAAATTATATCATTTGCAGCAATTTGTATGGAACTCAAGGTCATTAGGTCAAGTGAAATTAGCCAAGCACAAAAAGACAAATGTCACATGTTATCAATCATATATAGAAGCTAAAAAAGTTCATCTATGGAGGCAGAGAATAGAATGATAGATACCAGAGGTGGGAAGGATGTGTGGGTGGAGTGGAGAGGGGATGAAGAGAGGTTAGTCAATCAGTACCAACGCAGTTAATAGAAGATATAAATTCTAATGTTCGATTGCAGAGTAGGGTGACTATAGTTAGCAACAATGTATCAATAGTTAGAAAAGAGGATTTGAAATGTTCTCAGCACACAGACATGATAAATACTGAAGGTGATGGATACCCCAAATACCCTTACTTGATCATTTCACATTCCATGCATGTAACAGATACTCACATGTACCCCATATACATGTAAAATATTATTTATCAATTTAAAAATTCTTTTGATTCCCTTTTGAGAAGGGAAGGAGAAGGCCAGAGAGTGACCTTCCTAGCTTTTATGGCCTGTTTCAGGGAGAAGGGAATGGGGAAGGTGAGAGTAAGTAGTCTTCCTGCTTCTGCTGTTTTCTCAAATGCCTAAGTGCTATATTTTGGGAACACTATCAGTGCTAGAAAAATTTATGGTAAAAAGGTATTACTGGCCTAACCAGGAATGTTTTGTGGATCTTTAGCTGGATCAACCCAATATATGTTTTTCTTAATGTAAAAAGTAAAGTAGAGGTTCCTTTTCAAAGACTTTCCTCCCCATTTAATTAGGAATAAATAGTAACTTCTCTTAGAAGCAAAGTTTATTCAAAGACCTGTGCTAACCTTCTTAAGTATCTGCTAGCCATGATAAAGAAATCAATGTACTTTATGTTCTTAACTCCCACAATTTAGCCTAAATATTTGCCCTGGCATGCTTATACTGGTCCAAGCAAACATTAGGTCATATAGCCTGTTCCTCTTTCTTATTTGAAGGTGTTTTTACCTTTTTCAGCATTCCACAAGTTACTTCCTCCTTCCTTTGTTCTCCTCTGCCTTTGCCTCTTTTAAAAAGCTCCAAGTTGCTAGCCAGTCGGGACAAATACAGAATGTGAGGTCTTTTTCCAGCCAATGGAAACCGGACACAGCAGTAGGGTGGATGCGTCAGTTTATAAATGACCCTGTCTCCTTTGTTTGATGTACTCTCATGGCAAAACTGCTGGCGAGTATACCCTTTCTGCAGGAAGTAAAAATGGCCTTGCTGAGTAAATTAAATTTACGTTCAAGTGCTATTTCTTTACAGCACCAGGGAACAAGCATTTCAAACACTTAATCTCCTCAAATTCCTTTTACCAGAGAGCTCCTTCTTTTAAAACTTTTTTTTATGAGATGGCTTTACTTGCTTTCACAGATTTATACTTCTAGACTTTAAAAAACTGTTTTCTTGTCCTCATCAGATAATCATTAACTACAAATTTTCATTGTTGCCAACTAAAACAATTACTGAATTGTCTCTACATTTTTATCACATTAATTCATATATACACTGATATTATATCAAATTATATCACTTATTAGGTAGCTTTATAGGCTTTTTATTTTTTCAGAGAAAAGTTGGTATTATATAAGGGTAAAATTAGTAGGCTGTTATGTATCCGTGAACCATTATTCCCAATGTTAAATAATACTAAAATTATTTTCCTTTAGATGAAAAGAGATGACTTCAGTGACTTTTATAATTCAGTGTGAAGCTAGCTTGAAGCTAGCTTTAAATGCAACTCAATGTGATGTGCCTGCCTGAGGCAACTGACATTTCAGATTGTGATTCTTTTCACCCCCAAAGCAAGAAGGTCTGCTCTTTTCTGTAGTTAGAGCTATTTTAATGAAGTTAATTTAAGAGGTCAGAATCCAACTTGTGACTTCTCAGATTCTTTCATTTGCATTACAAATCATTTAAGGGAAAAAGGAGCAACTGACTAAAATATATTGGAGAAGGACTAGAGTAAAACATTATTAATGTGAACTGTTATTTTTAAAAATCTGATCATCTAGACAGAGGTAATGAAAGCCATCGGACGAAATGCTTTACAATGGAAATCAGTAAGAGTTCATTGGGGAGATTAAACTATTCACTAGAACAGAATTTTTAATCACTCTCAGTATCTGAGAATACCAGTTACATAATGCCCAAATCACATTATGAACAATGCCTTCCTGTTTTTCAGGCCAGGAGGAAAAAGAAGTGAGTCTTTATCATTTGGTTTTGTGCATCATTCTGTTGGTTAGCATAACTACGTGAATAGATGCTGGAAACCAAATACAGTAAGTCTTCATTTCATGTCCTTGATAAGGCTCTTGGAAACCTATGCAACTTTAGAAGAAACTACTTATAACAAAACCAATTTTACCATAGACTGATATATATATATATAAAGAGTTACGTTTCTAAGACACATTTCCGATCACAAAAACATACAATTTTTTTATGTTTTGATCTCCTGGGCTCAAGTGATCCTCCCAACTCAGCCTCCTAAGTAACCAAGATTACAGTTGTGCACCACCATGCCCAGCTAATTTTTAACTTTTTCTTTTTTGTAGAGATGGGGTCTCTCTCTGTTTTCCAGGCTAATCTCAAACTCCTGGCCTCCCAAAGTGCTGGGATTACAGGCATGGGCCAGCATATCGAGCCACTAAACTTTTAAATAAAGACACAAAACACTTTTAATATTAAGCATGGAAATACATGTGAACTATTCATACATTTAGGATTAATAAACACAAGCAAGATAATTATTTACCCAGTTTTTGGTGAATCAGTAAGTGATGGCAGTCATGGTTATTAAATCAAGAAACATCTCCTACTATCATGCAGTTCAAAAACTAACTGACAAACAGGGTGGGTGCTCTGTGCACTTTCATAGCTCATCATTTATTGTCATATGTCGGTATGATTACCACCTACTTTATGAATTTTTATTTGACAATAATTTGTATTCATTCATTCATTTTTCAACTTGCTTATTAGAGTTCAGGGTCTTGGGTGGCCAGAGCCTATCCTGGCAGCTCAGGGCACAAGGTGGGAGCCAATCCTGACAGGATGTCTTTCCATCACAGGGCGCACTTACCCCCACACTCATTCAGACTGACATCATTTAAATGCACCAATTCCACACACATGCACAGCTTTGGGATGTGGGAAGAAATTAGAGTGCCCAGAGAATACCCATGCAAACATGGGGAGAATGTGCAAACTTCACACAGACAGTGGCCCCAGCTTGGAATTGATTTTTTTTCTCATCAGTGTTATAACAAAATGATGTTGAATGAACCATTATTCAAAGGTCTGCCATACCAATATTTATTGACTATCTAGGCAGTGTCTTGCAGAGGATATAAAGTAAAATCAATGTGTGGTATACTTTCTTAAAGCTAATTTTAGTTTAAAAATAAAATATTTTGTCAAATGAAAAGATTATTTTGTTGTGGAATATCACTGAATTTTGTCAGTTGTCATTTCAGTGCTTAAATGGGTATTGATCATGTATGTGAATTTCTAACAATTTTCTTGTACACAAATGGAGGAACAAAAGCTTACTCTCTGTTGCAAAACAGCAAGTAAGCAAACAAAACCACAAGCCAATAACTAACAGACATGCATATCTGCAGCTCCTGTCAGCTCCCTGATAAGATGAAAAGGAGTGAGAGATTTTTAGTGGTAGAGGTTTTTTTGTTTTGTTTTGTTTTGTTTTGTTTTGTTTTGTTTTGTTTTTATCTACTTAAGTTTGGGTAAGTCTATAATACTATGGGTATGTATTCATGGACAAATGATCATTCTCTTGATAATGAAAAGGACTGAATATCAGCTGTGGAGGGAAATAGAAAGACAACAATGGACCCAAGCCACGCAAGTTTTAAGTTTGTAAATACTGTACATCTCTTTTCTTGTTCCAGAATTTCATTACATTTGTATTTCTCTGGGAGGTGGTATACAATTTTATAATCAAGAGGGACAAGATAGAATCTTTTCTGCCTCCTGCTGTGGTTGCTCAGTTGTGGTTTTAATTGTTGCACCAGCAGGAAAATATATGGCTTTAATTCTAAAGGATTAAGAAGACTTGAGCAATATATGTATGCAGAAGATAGAGGCTGGTGCTCTTACTTAGGAAAACTAGTCAACCTTAACACACTCAGTAAGCAAGTTAATGAACTCCATTGGTAAAAGATAAATGAAAAGTGACATTTCTTTCCTTCTTTACTATATGGTTAGTTATTTTTATTATCCTATATAATAGGCATGATTTATATAAATAGCATTAGTCTCTAATAGTGAAATGAGCATTGTATATAGAATGAGATGAACTGGGTTTAAACATAACACTATGGTTAATTAAACGTATAATTGTATCCAAAATTACACATTTAAACTCCCTGGGTCTTTAGTTTTCTCTTTTGGAAAGTGAATATATTATAGCACATAATTTCTAAATTCGCCAGCTCATCTCTAAATTATCTAATATCTAGTCCGGATTCAACTTTCCCCAAGTGTCCTAAGATGTGTCTTTAGAGTTTTTGTAAAAATATAAAACCAATAGAAATTCACAAATTGCATTTAATTTTTTGTCTTTTTGGATTTTGAAACAGTTTTCAAACTCCTCTCATAATATTGACTCCATGATGATTATGGAATATCCTACATTCTGAATTTGTCTAATTGTTTCCTCATACTGAGATTTAACTTCTTTCTTTATCTGTTATACTTTCTTTCTTCTTTCTTTTTTTATTTTGTTTTTTGAGACGGAGTCTCACTCTGTCGCCCAGGCTGCTGTCACCCAGGCTGGAGTGCAGTGGCAGCAATTATGGCTCATTACAACCTCTGCCCCTCGGGTTCAAGTGATCCTCCTGTTCCCGGACCAAACTGAGGGTTGGGCTGCTATTTCTTGCGGCCCAATAACAAGATGCAGATGAACTGGGGAGGAAGAGAGTTTTTATTTCTGTAACCAGCTACAGGGAGAAGGCCTGGAAATTATCACCAGACCAACTGAAAATTACAAAGTTTTCCAGAGCTTATATACCTTATAAGCTATATGTCTACATGTAAGTGTGCATTAAATCTAAAGACATAAGTGATTAACTTCTTTTAATCTATCTATAACTAAGGTCTGGGTCCTGAAGACCTTCTTCTGGAGCCTCTGTAAGTTTACTTAATCTAAATGGGTCTAGGTGCTGGGGTGATTACCTTTATCTTGTCTCCTGCTAAATCATAAAGGTTTGGGACATTCCTTTAGACCCCAATAAACTTGTTTGTGGAGGCCTGGGGAGTTTCTTCAGACCCCCAATAAAACTTCTTTAATCCTAAAAGGGTTCTGTCAGGAATTCCTTTGTTATCTTGTCATGCTTCAAGGCCCAGGAAAAGCCTAAGCAAAACTCTTGGCGGGCTCTTTGTTACATTCCAGTTTGTAAAAGGGCACTGGCTCAATCACCTTTTAATGTTTAACTTAGCTACTCAGTCAGTGCTGGGACAGTTGCAATGGAAGCCTGAATTAATGAGAACTGGCCTGCCACACTCCGTCCTCAGCCTCCCAGGTAGCTGGGACTACAGGCATGCATCACCACTTCTGGCTGATGTTTGTATTTTTAGTAGAGATGGGGTTTCACAATGTTGGCCAGGCTGGTCTTGAACTCCTGACCTGAAGTGATCTGCCCGCCTCGGCGTCCCAAAGTGCTGGGATTACAGGCGTGAGACACCATGCCTGGCGTTATCTGTTATATTTTTTGTAATCTAACTTCATTAAATTCAGTGTAGCATTTTTTTACAAGATTACTTCATAGGTTATATTGAAGTATTATTTTGCATCATACCAGAAGTTACATGACATCATACTGTCCCAGCATTAGTGAAGCAAAGTTTGATCCTTCTTTAAGGTAGTGACTACCAGATCACTCCATTTTTTTTCCATCCAACTCATATATTTTATACTTCCTTGACTTTCAATGTCATTTCAGGACATTTTATTACTGTACTCTTGGATTTCCTAAACATACATTCATCCTATCAGTAGCTGCTGGCTAAGTCTTCTAATCATTTTCATTACCTCCTTGGAGCAGGTATTCCCATTTGCCTATTAGTATCTAAAATCCTTACCCTCTTGTGGTAGTCCCCCAACACCTTATATTTTGTGGTCTCTTACCAAGCCCCTTTCTACTCCAACTAAATTAATTTGCTTTTTGTCTTCTTCACGTGGTCTTTTCATTCTCACCTCTGCCTTCAATATCTGACTGCTTCCTCTGTAATCCCCCCTGCGACTGCCCTGGCTTGTTTATCACCTCCTTTATGATTTATCCCAAACCACTAAAATCATTCTCAATATTCAGTTTTTCCTAGTGGTCAAATATTCAGTTTATGGCATATACTTTTATAATTTTCAATAATGTTTCTTTCAACTGGAAGTAATAAGTTTTCAATATAAGGATTATATTGATTCAAAGTTATAGTAATTGAAAAAGTTGAAATAAGATTAAAACATGTGATAAAATTGTTTAAAGAATAAGTTT
The DNA here is from genome assembly GCF_000001405.40 of Homo sapiens. Lineage (NCBI taxonomy): Eukaryota > Metazoa > Chordata > Mammalia > Primates > Hominidae > Homo > Homo sapiens. The sequence goes on from NC_000001.11 coordinate 75,954,704, forward strand.
TTTGTTTTTATCTCCATAGCCACCATCTCTTACATAAGAATATGAGTCAGCATAATGATGATGAATGAAAGTACTGTTCTTTATAAAGTCAAGGAAGCCACCTTGTGAGACTAGGCTATCATTCAGCAGTGTTGTGAATTTTCCTTTCTAATTTCAGGTTAGGTGTGATTTTTATGTGGCCTATATTTCTGGATTTGGGCAGTTTGTTCCAGATGGAACTTTTATGACTATGGTTTGCTAGGAAATACTGCTGGGCTTGCAGATCATTCATTCACTGATAAACTGAATTGACTTTCCCATGTACTTAAGTCAGTTTATCAGTGTGATGTGAGAGAAAACTGGATTTGGAGTCAGGACAGGGGTTTAAGTACTGTCTCTGCTACTTACCTTATGTGTGACCTTGAGCAAATTCTTTAACCTATTTGAATTTTACCTTACTGCAAAACAAAAAACAGTATCTTACCATGACTACTTCATTATGTTGTTGCAAAACACAAATTAGGTATTGTGAAAAATCCCTTGTGATTTATAAAGTGCCATCAAAATACACAGGGTGATTATTTATGTTTTTCAACTTAATAAGGTGATTAATAGCTTCTTTTTGGGAAAAATTTCTATTTCAAAATAATAAAATATTTGTTTTTGTAAAGTGGGAAAGATAGATTTAATTGGGATTTTTAAAAAGCAATATGGTTGAAAATAAAGAGAAAGAAGGTAACTCATTTTTATCTGAATTCCCTTTTGCCATATATTTCACTCATTTTCTCTGGTATCTTTATTCCTTCTACATTATAACATTGTGTGTTTTTGTTTGTTTTTTGTTTTGTTTTGGTTTTGAAAGTTATGCAGCAACATCTTGCTAATTTTTTAAAAATACTGATCTACCTCCTAGTTTTAGGGCTAGCTTTACCCAGTTGAACAAACTTCTCTACCCTTTACATCCTTTTTTTCTGACATTTTTGCTGTAAATCATGTTCAATCAGTTAATTACGTGATCAATATTTATGGCATACGTATTACTAAAAATTCATTCTGTTATTAATGTAAAAATTTTAAAATGCATAATACCTTTCCTGGATTCCATTTATTTGGATAATCAACTGTACTAATCACCTACTATATTCGTGGTATATTCTCAAGAAGACTTCATGTGAGTCTGAGAGACAAATATAGAAAGATCTTAACAATAAAGTTATTGGTATGGAAATGAGAAATAAAGAAGAGTTTATAGAGAACAGATCATTTATAAATTGTTCCAAGTGGAGAACCTATTCATTGTAAAGTGTGGTAACTTTCAGTTATACCAGGTGCTGATTTTTATTTAGAGAATATTTAGGAATCATATTGTGAGGCTATTTGGGAAGGGGATTCATGATCTATTGGTGTGTAACAAATTACCCTAAATATGTAGTGGAAGTCACACTCTCTCTCTCGCCACATTTTATTGATTAGAAGTCACTAAGTTCAGCCTACATACAAAGAAAAGAGAATTAAATAATTCATTAGTACATTTTATACTTTCCATGCAACTGCAGGTAATATTGTCACTAAACTTTCTGCCTCAACATAATGAGGAGCCCCTCTTCTCCAGTTTCCAATAATGTTTTTTCTTATTTTTCTTTAAGTCCTCACCAGTAGCCTCCTCAAAGGTCATTAGGATTCTGCTTACACTCTCCTCAAAGTCCTTTCAGCTTCCTCTCAGTTCTTGGTTCTGAAACTTCTCCCACACTTCAGGTTTTTATTACAGCATAGTACCATTTTCTGTGCTAAAATCTTCATTGGTTATCTATTGCTGTATAACAAATTGCCCAAAATGTAGTAGGTTAAAACAATAACAAACATTTGTTATCTTCACAATTTCTGTGGGTTAGGAATCCAAGAGTGGCTTAGCTAGGCATTTCTGCCTCAGTGTTCCTCTTGAGGTTGCAGTGAAGATGTTGGCCAGACTTAAACTCATGTGAAGGCCTGATGGAGGTGGGAGAATCTGTTTTCAAGGTTGCTGCCGAGTATTGGTGAGAGGCTTCAGTTTCTTCCAACGTGGCTGCTTGAATGTCCTCAGGACATGATAGCTGACCTCATCCAAAGCAGCCAATCCAAGAAAGCAAGGTGGAAGTGACAATGTCTTTTATGACCTAGTATTAGAAGTTACAAACCATCACTTCTGCCACATTCTATTCATTAGGAGAAAGTAATTAAGTCCAATGCACAAAGGGAGGGGAATTTGGCTTCTCTTTTTGAAATAAGAAGTGCCAGAGAATTTGCAGACACATTTTAAAACCACATAATCTAGATCCTGCTCTTGTCCAGTAACCCCTCCAAAAAGATCTCCAAGAGAATGTGCACACACACACACACACACACATATGAGGAAGCAAGACAAAGCTGGAATTTGACCCCAAACTCCAACAGCATATAACTCCAGGTCTACAGAGAATTATTTTACTGAAGCTAGATTGGTCTGAACCAACATAAAAGCAGGCCAGAAGGATCTTATGTGTTCTTCTTCTCCAAAGCTAACCATGCCAGGAGGGGAAAAGTGGAAGGAGCACCTGTGGGAGAAGACAAGAGAGCAGACATGCAGAGCACATTTTCTTTAATGCCTAGAGTTGCTTGCCTCAGGTTTCTCCAAATAGGGTAGTAGCTCCAGGGCTTCTTTTGTGGAAAGAAGGAAAAAGGGAAACATAGATGATGGAATTTTCTTAGGGCAGCTGTAGTGTTCTTATCACTCCAGGCCTATGAATGAAAAGAGAAGAGGAATGGCCCTACATATGCATTCTGTGATGTTTGATTAACAAAGAGACTCTACTCAGTAACACAGTGGTCAGTATCATGTCCTGAAAACTTACCAGATCATAGCAGCAGATGTCTTCTATTTCAAAGCACAATAACCTGGGAGCTAGGATTCGAATTACCTCAGTTTTTCATTTTTATCCTGTTAATCTAGTTGGCTTAACCGTAATAATAATGGTCAATTTATGGTGTGATTGTGGCTCTTGTGAGGAAAAGATCAGCAGCGCATTGAATAAGTCCCATTGATTCCATTTGTGGGACTCCTTCAGAAATCTTTCCTACTACAGCAATTGAGATCTAATATAAGGGCAGTCCAGGCCTTGAGTCCCTTTATGTATGTCCCTTGATGTTGCCTCTAGAAGTTTCTGAAATAGATTAAGCCTGGAGACCAAGTTTATCCCATGATTACCATTCGCACTGTGCTCACTTCATTCTTCAAGGAAGCCTTTTATTCATTCCTGCCACCTAAATGATGTTCAACTGCATTGGCCAATAAAACAGGGTAATTAAAATGAATGTGATTCTAAAGCAAAGCCCAAAACACAGTTACACATCATAAAAATGCTCCAAATTTTTTGTCACCATATTAAATTTTAGAAATCTCTTCTCATAATCAATTACTATTTCCACATTCCAGAGTGATTCTCGAACTCTGAGTGATGGTTCTCCTAAGACTTCCAGCTCTTCCTAGGGTGACAGATGGAGGCAGGTGGAAAATCATTGCCTTTCCTACACTCTCTTCCACCATCAGGAAATTGGTAAAAGTGGATAAAAGACTAAGTGTCAAACTGTCTCTCCTTCTCTAACCCTCGTTTTTACTTCTTTTCTTTTCTAGCTCGTTCTAAACAGGTAAAGGAAGGGTTGTTATCAAATAGATTCTGCTGGAAGACCACAATGTAGCAAAGCATGTGATGGAAAATCTAGCACTGATAGACTCATTAACTCTGAAAGGTGAAGGAAATACCTTGTTCTTAGCAATGAAGTGTTACCACAGTACTTGACACAATCCTGTTGGATTAATACAAATGATTTATGTGACCCATCTAGATTCCTGTGCATGTCACTGAAGGTCTTCTTTAATACAAGCCCTATCTACTACTTCTGTGTTCCTCCCCTGACCTGTCCATTGCTTGGGTCATGAGAAGCCACTGTCTTTTCCCCACACATCCTGTTGTTTCTATGCTCTGGTTTGTTTTTATATGCTTTCCTGCTCCCTAGGATTGCTCTTCCTTCCCCTTCTTTTTCCCCATCGTCACGACCATGCTGTTCTTCACTCCATCCTTAACTTCCAGATTGAGCAGACCACTTCTTCCTCGCATCCTCATTAAACTCTGGACTCCACATTGAACAGTACCCCTAGATTGTGATCTCGTTGAGAGCAGAGAGTACCTCTGAGTCTCACTGACCTTTCTGTGTCTAGTACCAAGCACAGTGCCTGGCAAAAATAAGTGTATAATACATAGTGATCTGAATTGAGGTTCTGAAGGGAATTTACTGTATTCAATTTGTTCATCACTCTGTAAGGATCCCTAAATCTACTATTCTATTTTTACTTGGTGGATGCATTTTGGGAACCAATCATTGAAAACAACTTACATTATGTTTTCTCTGCATTCTCTGATTGCATGCCTTTTGTAAGAATATTTTATAGACAGTACTTCTCCTGTCACTCTTATGATGTGGGTTAACATCACTGTATTGAATGAATAGCTTATTTATTGAGCTGCTGGTTTTCTCATAGACTCTTTCTTTTAGAAAAATACAGCTTTGACAGATAAAGGACCTAGAATATCTATATAAAAGAAAAAAGAAAAGATATACTTGCCGTCTAAATTCCTGACACTGTAATAAGCCAACTTTTTTTTTTTTTTTTTTTTTTTTTTTTTTTTTTTTGAGATGGAGTCTCGCTCTGTCGCCCAGGCTGGAGTGCAGTGGCGGGATCTCGGCTCACTGCAAGCTCCGCCTCCCGGGTTCACGCCATTCTCCTGCCTCAGCCTCCCAAGTAGCTGGGACTACAGGCGCCCGCCACTACGCCCGGCTAATTTTTTGTATTTTTAGTAGAGACGGGGTTTCACCGTTTTAGCCGGGATGGTCTCGATCTCCTGACCTCGTGATCCGCCCGCCTCGGCCTCCCAAAGTGCTGGGATTACAGGGCCAACTTTGATAACATTGATTTCATAACTAACCCAAGATAGATCTTGAAATCACTCAATCTATAGTTTCTTTAAAGCAAATAATTCAGCCAACAAAGGCACGTGAAATGAATGATAAGCAAGGATCATCAATACTATGATATTTATTCCACGTCTTAAGTCCAAGAGAATAACGCTGGGATACTTTCATTCCATAAAGAAGCCAAAACAATTTATGTATTGTGACTATTATGAGAAAGGCAAATTGCATTGCAGTTTGTGCTACTATGTGCTAGGTGGTGTACTTGGTAAATATTTTATTACTTCATTTAGACCTTACTACACTATTGTATGAATCAGGCTTCTCCAGGGAAAAGGGACCAATAAGATGTATCTATCTACATATCTTATTATACATACATACATATATACACACATACATATACACATATATGAAGAGATTTACTAAAAGGAACTGATCCATATGATTATGGAGGCTGGCAAGTCTCAAGTCTGCAGGTGGTCAGTAGGCCATAGACTCAAGACAACCAATGGTGTAGTTCCAGTCTAAAGGCTGACAAACTTGAGACCCAGGAATAACCAATGTTTCAGTTCAAGTCCAAAGCAGGGAAAAAGCCAATGTGCATGTCAAAGGCAGTCAGGCAAGAGAAATTCTATCTTACTTGGGGAATGGTCATCCTTTTTGTTCTATTCAGGCCTTCAACTGATTGAATGGGGTCCACCCACATTAGGGTGGGCAATCTCGTTTACTCAGTCTACCAATTTTAATTTTATCCAAATACATCCTCCAAGAAACACCCAGAATAATGTTTGACCAAATATCTGGGCACCCAAGGCCCAGTCAAGTTACCACATAAAATCAACCATCGTCACACCTTAGTATAAGTTCCACGACTATCCCTGCTTTTTAAATGAGAAACAGTGAGAGGTGCTGTAACTTCCTTGTCACATACAACTGGTAAACGGCAGAAACTTGTTGCGGGAAGTCAGGGACCCCAAATGGAGGGACCGGCTGAAGCCATGGTGGAAGAACATAAATTGTGAAGATTTCATGGACATTTATTAGATCTCCAAATTAATACTTTTATAATTTCTTACGCCTGTCTTTACTGTAATCTCTGAACATAAATTGTGAAGATTTCATGGACACTTATCACTTCCCCAGTCAATATGCTTGTGATTTCCTATGCCTGTCTTTACTTTAATCTCTTAATCCCACCATTTTCGTAAGCTGAGGAGGATGTATGTCGCCTCAGGACCCTGTGATGATTGCGTTAACTGCACAAATTGTTTGTAGAGCATGTGTGTTTGAACAATATGAAATCTGGGCACCTTGAAAAAAGAACAGGATAACAGCAACGTTCAGGGAAGAAGAGAGATAACCTTAAACTCTTACCGCCAGTGAGCTGGGTGGAACAGAGCCATATTTCTCTTCTTTCAAAAGCAAATGGGAGAAATATTGCTGAATTCTTTTTCTCAGCAAGGAACATCCCTGAGAAAGAGAATGCCTCCCTGAGGGTAGGCCTCTAAAATGGCCCCCTTGGGTGCGGCCATCTTCTATGGTCAAAACTGTAGGGATGAAATAAGCCCCAGTCTCCCATATCGCTCCCAGGCTTATTAGGATGAGAAAATTCCCACCTAATAAATTTTGGTCAGACTGGTTGTCTGCTCTCAAACCCTGTCTCCTGATAAGATGTTATCAATGACAATGCGTGCCAAAACTTCATTAGCAATTTTAGTTTCGCCCCAGTCCTGTGGTCCTGTGATCTCGCCCTACCTCCATTTGCCTTGTGATATATTCTATTACCTTGTGAAGCATGTGATCTCTGTGACCCACACCCTATTCGTACACTCCCTCCCCTTTGAAAATCACTAATAAAAACGTGCTGGTTTTGTGGCTTGTGGGGTGTCACGGAACCTACAGACATGTGATGTCTCCCCCGGACACCCAGCTTTAAAATTTCTCTCTTTTGTACTCTGTCCCTTTATTTCTCAAACCGGCCGATGCTTAGGGAAAATAGAAAAGAACCTACGTGAAATCGGGGGCAGGTTCCCCTGATAGAAACTCTGTTCCAACCCAGGTCTGACTGACCAAAGCACAGTGTTTAAAAAGAGCGTTTAGACAGAACTGGGGTTTTTGTGAGAATTACATTTTTTAAAAAATGAACCACGAAAGAATGTATCATTGTGATTGGCACACAAGCTCATTATAGCTAATATTATTATTAGCATTAAAAGCATTATTATTAATTTGTTAATATTATATAAACCTTTGTATCCTTAGAATAGTTGATAGTGAGAATGCCAAAATGGACCTTAAATGAAAATATATGTGACCAATATTTTGTTTGATCATTATTAATCTCTATTCTTTTTCTTGCTTTTGTGATATAAAGATAAAAAATTGTGAGTCACTGACAATTAATTCCTCCAACATATCTTCTTGTAAAGATAATATTACCTTTGGCAGAGATATATCTCATTCCTGCTGATGTCATTAGAAAATGACAAGGTCAACCAAAATGAGAAATTGACAGCGTTCTTCTCTTTCCAGTTTTTAATAAGTATTGTCAAAAGAAATAATAATCAGATTTGAACTTGTTTGTCCTTGAAGTGCCTTTTTCTAAAGGCCTCCTAGGAAATCTGTTGTAAGATCAAAAGCAGTTGGGAAAAAGTAAAAATCACTATGTACACTTCCTTACTCTATTCTATGTGATAGAAATAAAATACTTATTCACTGTCAGTGACCTGGGCACTAGGATATTTGCATTCTTTTTTCCTAGAGTGTAAAAGAATGTTGGTAAAGGGAGCTCTGATACATTAATAAGCCATATGTTCTAATGTGTAAATAAAATACAGACTTTTAGGGAATAAATGGTGTTTTCAGACCTTCAGCCTCCTTTTTAGAGCAAGACTTCAGGCAAAATTGTAAAATTAGTTATATATATATATATATATTTATATATATATATTTATATATATATTTATATATATATTTATATATATATTTATATATATATATTTATATATATATTTATATATATATATTTATATATATATTTATATATATATTTATATATATAAATATATATATATTTATATATATAAATATATATATATATTTCTTCTTCTTCTTCTTCTGCTATTGAGTCTCCTATATTCCGTCACCCTCAGGAACCAAAATCTTCATGTTCTTTCATCTTCACATTTTGTGTTCTCAGCAAAGGATGTGGTATCACCTTTGAGATACCATGACTTATAAGAATTATTGTATTCCTTCCACAAATCCCCTTTATAATTTAACAAGCTTTGTAATTTAAAAAGTCTTAATTTTAGGCATCAATGGGATTGAGGAGGCATTTGCTAAAATTAGAGAAAAGTTCCTGGAGTTGCTGAAATCACAACGTATAGAAAACAGGCTCTTTCTCTGCTTTTCCTAGACATTAAGGCCAGCCTGCTTGTTTCTCATTTTCTATCTAACACAGGCTCTCCATTTCAGCCACATGGATCACAGTACTAATCACCCTTACCTGATTTATATTAGTGGTTTCTTTATCTAGAAACCACTAGTACTGAAGAAGCTAGTAGTACAGAAGAAACTAGTGGATTCTTCTGTATCAATGCTATTGTCTTCACTCAAAATGCCTTCCACTCCTCTCTAGGGCAATCCATGACCCTTACCTCATCTGAGCCCAATTTAATCCAAATTCTCCTCTCTCTAACACAAACAGTTTAATCAAGAAATGAACCATCCTCCAAAGAAACAACTATAACAGAGTATAATGTAACATATACAACAGTAGCCATTTGTGCATGGGCTGGTGATAGATTCTTGTCCCAACCCCTAAAGAGCTTATCTTCTTATAAGGGATACAGAAAAAATAATATAGTGAGGAGGATTCAATAGGAGCAAATGGCCCAGGGTATAATAGGAACATAGAGGAGGGATACCCATGTGTGAGGGTGCATTGTTGTTGGTTGGGTAGCCCTTAGAAACTGCATTGTCTTGTTTCTCTAACTTTGCTAAGTAGCCAATGCATCATAGTTATAAAAGATAATATTTTATTCTAATAGGACCAATTAAAATATATGTCATAAACAATCTTTCCTGCAAAGGCAGTAGTGGTCAGATCCATGAGCTCCATTAGATCTTGTTATCTCTTACTCTCAGCATCTCACGCTTAATAACAAAGAGGCTGCTGGTTCATATGCATCCCAGCTTCCCACTCCCTGGTGTGCAAAGGTGCTCACTGAAGTGAAGTCCTCACAGCCATACCAACAAGCAGTGTTTGACATGTGGTTGCCTGCAGAAGCAGCCAGATGAAGGGTATTTAAATTTCTAAGGCACTAGGAGATTATAGAGAGCAATGATTAGGAATTGGCTTGCTTACTGGGCTCCGTGGCTCACTCCTGTAATCCCAGCCTGACCAACATGGAGAAACCCCATTTCTACTAAAAATACAAAATTAGCCAGGTGCGGTGGTGCATGCCTGTAATCCCAGCCACTCAGGAGGCTGAGGCAGGAGAATCACTTGAACCGGGAGGCAGAGGTTGTGGTGAGCTGAGATTGCGTCATTGCACTCCAGCCTAGGCAATAAGAGTAAGACTCCATCTTAAAAAAAAAAAAAAAAAAGAAGTGGCCTGCTTAGTTTTGAGTTTATCACTTACCAACAGTTTGACATGGGAAAGAGGATTAAACTCTTCATGGCTTGATTTTCTTATCTATAAAATGGATAGTACTACCTGATAGGATTGATATGAGAAGGAAATGAGATAAAGTTCTTCACATTGCACCTAACTTAGCATATTAGTTTCCTAAGCCTGCCGTAAAAAATCAGCATAACTAGGTGGTTTAAAACAACAGAAATTTGCCGGGCATGGTGACTCATGCCTATAATCCCAGCACTTTGGGAGGCCGAGGTGGGTGGATCACTTGAGGTCAGGAATTCTAGAACAGCCTGGCCAACATGGTGAAACCCTGTCTCTACTAAAAGTACAAAAATCAGCCGGGCGTGGTGGCGCATGCATGTAATCCCAGCTACTTGGGAGACTGAGGAGAGAGGATCGCTTGAACCCAGGAAGCAGAGGTTACAGTGAGCTCAGATTACACCACTGCACTCCAGCCTGGCTGACAGAGTAAGACTCCATCTCAAATAAATAATAATAATTTTAAAAACCCAGAAATTCATTGTCTCACAGTTCTAGAGGCTAGAATTCAGAAATCAGGCTGTCAGCAGGGCCATGCTTCCTCTGAAGGCTCTAGTGAAGAGTCTTTCCTTGCCTCTGTCAGCATCTGGTGGTTGCTGGCATTCCTACATTTGTGGACACATCTCTCCAACTTCTGTCTCTGTCATTATGTGGCTCTCCTTGTGTGTCTGTCAGTGGCTTCACATGGTCTTCTTTTAAAAACACCAGCTGCTTAGAGAAGACAAAGGATAACCTGGATAAAAAAACAAAAAGCACACTTAAGGATATACAAGGAAAGCACAAAACAGATTGTCTGGAATTGAAAACATAATTTACAAATGAAACATCAGTAGATGAAGAAAGAAGAACATAGTTCCTGTCTAGAGCTATGTACTGATCTGAGACATCAGATTTCTCAAGACACAGAGCAAATATTTACATTCAAAAAATGAAATCATGATGGAAAAGAGAACAGACTTAGAGAAAATATCTGTGGAGCCTAAAATGGAAAAAATAGAAATTCCAATTAAAGAAAAAGCAACAGATGGATGAGAGAGCTGAAAAAAGGCCTGACCACTGTTTGAAAGTGCATACTACATTTTAGGAAAGACTGAAAGGAAAAGACTTAACTAGGCATATCCTCATAAAATTCCTGAATTCCAGGATAAAGAGAAAACCTCACAAAATTCCAGGCAGAAAGAAAAAGTGGTTATGAAGGCAAAACAATCAGACTGTCTTTGAATTTCAGCAATACTTGAAGTGGTAGAATAACATCCACAGATGACTTAGAAAAAAGGACTAAAACCTATTATCCAATACAGAGGCAATATATAATTCATGGGTCATGCAAAAGGAAAAATGTTTTGGGCTATGCTCTACCTAAGGAAAATATGTGAGAAAGGACACCAAGCAAAGAAGTTGGAACAGAGACTTAAATATAAGGGAAGATGAAGAAGAGAGGAAACTATGTTTAGAAATAAGAAAGGAAGCTTAACTGAAGATATAAAAGAAGCCGTAGATACAATGATACAATATAGAGAATACTATGTGCAACTTTTTAACAATAAATTTGAATACCTAGAGGAAATAGATGTTTTCCTAGTAAAATGCAAATCAAAGTTGGCATAAGAAGAAATAGAGAACTTGATAGGTCAATTCATGTAGCAGACATTGAAAGTATAAAAAAGATCACTATTTAAGAAGGACAGCAGAATCAGAAAGTTTCTCAGCTGAATGTTATCTAACTTTTAAAAGAACAGTTAATTCTAGTGTTTTGTAAAACTATTTCATATATAGAAAAAGATGAGAAGTAGCCAGATTCATTTTATAAACCCAATTCATTTTATGAGTTCAGCATTAATATGTAAGGTTGACAAATAGTGAAAAAAAAGGAAATTATAGCCAACTCCAATTATGAATATAGAGGTTGCCAATATGAGGGTTAGGAAGAGAAGGATAAGGAACTTTGAGAGTATGAAATCCTGAAAATAATAGTAGTTTCTTTCTGCTCTTCATCAGTCAGAACTAGATTTGCTAGCGATATATGACAGAATAGCCAAAATTACAGTGGCTTAAATGTGACAATTTTAACTTTCCATTTCATAAAAAAAAAGTCAAGAGCCAGGTTGTCCATGGCTAATACACTGACTCTTCAAAGTTATCAGGAACCCAGGCATTGTCTAGCTCTTTTATCATCACTAGACTTCATTCTCCTAGTCCAAGGTGGCTGCTGGAGCTCCAACACTCACACCCATCTGCAGCAGCAGTATAGAGAAAGGGATACAGGAAAAAGTTACAAAAGGCACATACCAATTATATTTTAATGTGGGTTACCTGAAATTGCCAGTCAGCACTGCTGCTTATAGCTTACTGGTAAGAATTTAGTCTATTTGCTACATCTAGTTGCAAAGAATTCTGGGAGTATGTGTTCATTTGCTATTTTTAATCACCTTGGCCATATGCACCATTACAAATCAGAGATTCTGTGACATAGGAAGTGGGAGAGATCAGATATTGAAATCCAGAACTAGCTACCTCTGTTCCATGTTTCCTGGGACAAAAGCAACTCCCTGTCTGTAGGAGAGAAGTACCTTAAAGTAGGCAGTGTTGAAGAATGGCTTCCCTTCCATGTTGTTCCTTTAAGATGCCAATGCTCATAAAAAGGAGGTTGCCTCCCAACTCACATCCTAAATAGCATAGTCCAAAGGGCAATCCATCTCCACATAGATGCCAAAAAGGCATTTCAAACTGACATTTATAAAATAGAGCACTTACCTCTATTGGCACCCCTGCCCAAACCTATTTCTTCTCCAGTATCAGCTCTCATACAATACCATCACCTGGCCAAGTGCTCAAACCAAAAACATTGAAGTCATTTTTTATTCCACTCTTGTCTTCTCTACTCCCCTACCCCCTTACCTTCATTGCATTAGTTCTACCTCCAAAATCTAACCCAAGCCTACCCACTGCTCTCCATTACCACGAATTCCAACCCTCATCCAAGCAACCATCAACTCTTGCCTTGTTGCCGAAATATCCTACCTGGTCTCATTTCCAACCTCAGCAACTAATGATCTGTTCTCCACATTGGAGACTGAATGATATTTTTACAATCCTTTTTTATTTGATATTTAAAAATTAAAATGGTAATTTTATTTCATCAGATGAAACAACACAATCCAGATGTACATAAAGACAAATCTAGTCATCTTCCCTCTACCCACACCCCTCTGAGGTCACTTATTAACCCCCTGGCTTGTCTTTTTCCTCATCAATCTCTTTTTACACATGAACTTATACACACAAACAGATACATGGATTTTACTTATGTTTTCTGAAAAACAGTGCTCATTGTTCATCTTATTAGCTTGTATTTTTATTTTTTATGTACATTGTATCATAATGTACAATGTATCATAATGACATTTGAGGAGGGGGGTCTCTTATTTTCAACAGGGAGAGTTAAGCCTCTTTTAACTTGTATTTGCCCAGTTGGTATAGTCTGAGCTAAGTAAGTGGCTGAACTAGGAATTAGAAACCACTGGGCTAGCAGTCTGCCACATCATCTCTTAAGCAAGCTATAGGTAAATAGGAAAATGTCAACCACATTCAAATAACTTTTCTGAACCCGAGGGACATCCTTTAGAAATGCCACTGTATTTAAGCAGCTAACTTGTGTGCATGCTCATGGTTGTCTAAGTGCTCACCCTAAAGGTTGTGCCAACTTACATTCCCATCAGTATTTTGTGTTGCCCTTTTCCTGCCATCCCTGTTAAGTTTGGGTGAAAGTGATCTATCCCTTTTAATAAATTACTCTTGTTTAAAAAGATAAGGAGCTGAGGACTGCCTACCTCATTAGCGGAGTGCAGAGGAAACAGTTGAAGACATATTTTTAGACTGTCAGACTTCATCTTAGCAGTTTAATAAAACAACAACTGAAAAATCTACCTGCTGACATGACTTTCGTTCACAGTTGAGGTCGGGAAGCCATAACTGGTTTGAATAGATTTCTGTTTTATTTGAACAACTTGGTTATTCCATATTGGAATTCACTGGTAGGTCATATGCTGATAAACCATTTTACAAACTTTAAAAATGATTGCTGATCTAGATTAGAAAAGAAGTCGATTTGGAAATGCTATGAAAACCATCGGTGAGAAATACTCTGTGTCAGCTTTCAGATAAGCATGACTGTCCATGAGCTCCCTGGTCATTTAGGGAAGCTGAGCTATTGCCTATGAAGGTTTCTGTGCAGGGTCTATGGCGAAGTGAGCTGAAAGCTCTATATGGTTGAATGAACTGAAGAGCAGAATGTCCATTGGCTACATGTCCCAGGATCATCTGCAATGTCTGGGTTTCCACTTGGCCACACAGAAAATGGGTTGCTTATAAATTATTGTTTTAGTGTCAGCAAATAAAGTTATCATGAGTCATACTTTCTTTCCTTTTATACTGGATAGAATTTCACTTTTTAAAAGATCTTTGCATAGTGTATTTCTTAGTTGTTGTTTTTTTTCAGTGAATGCTGGAAGCTTAGAATTGAAACAGACTCCCTCTATTTAGCCTTTTTTTTTTTTTAACATTTCCAATTTCTTGTTGTATTTCATGAGAGTCCTAATATCCTAATCTAGTCACACTACAGTGGTTTTCATTTATAGGATAAAATTGCACCCACAGCATCAAATTAAACTTTTTAAATTAAATCAGTGGTTAAAAAATTAACCCTGTGAACAATAAACATGTATATTTTCTATATATATATATAAAATAACTAACATGTATTTAAAAAATTATAGTTTGCAATGCCTCTCTATGCATATTTTAATCAACCCTTATGCCAATTCTGTGAAGTTGGTGTTGTTGTCCTCCCTATTTTGCAAATAAGAGTTGGGTTACAGGAAGAATAAGTGACTTGCCCAAGTCACACACCAATAACTGGTGGAAGTAGAACTCATACCCATTTTTTCAGATTCTAAGTCCTATAGCTTGTCTCCTCCTTAGAAGTAGCGGTATTGATTCATTCACTATTTATTTACTCAAAAATGTTTAACAAACTTAACAAAAACAGTGTGGGCACTGAGTTGGCTCTTAAAACACAGGAAATAATAGGACACAGTCCCTGCTTTGATGAGCTTGTAGTCAAATAGGGGAAGGCAGTCAAGTAAACAGGAAGTGACAACACAGGATGGTCCATGCTTTGTTAGGGAAACTACAGGGAATAATGGGAGCCGTAGAGAGGCACCTAACACAGTGGGGCAGAGGGAATGATGGGGTGGTCAGCAAAAGCTTTCTGGAAGAGGTGATGTCTAAGATGAGACAATAGATAAGAACTTGTGGTGCAAAATGGAGAAGAATATTCTGGGCTGATTGAGCAGCATGTGCAAAAGCCCTGAGGCAGGACAAATCATGCTTTGGAAGGGAAGTGCTTAATAGGTCAGCATGACTCAAATGCCGAGTGAGGATGAGAGTCATAAGACAGTTAAGGGAAAGCTGAGCAAGCTGGGCCTTGAGACGATGTTAAGGAAAGCCCTTGCAGATCTGCAAGCTGGAGAGTAATGTGTTGGCTATACTAACTTGTATTAGTCTGCTCAGGCTACCATGACAAAATACCATAGGCTGAGTGGCTTAAACAACAGAAGTTTATTTTCTCACAGTTCTGGAGGTTAGAAGTCTAAGATCAAAGTGCCATCAGGTTTGGGATCTGGTGTTGCAGCTCTTCCTAGCATGTATATTGCCACTGTCTCACTATCCTCACATGATCTTTTCTTTGTGTGTGTGCACAGAGAGATCTCTGAGAGCTCTTCCTTTTCTTATAAGGACCCCCATCCTATCTGTTTATGGATCCAGCCTTATGTTCTCATTTAATCTTAATTACCTTCATGAAGGCCCTATTCTAAATACAGTCACATTGAGGGTTAGGGCTTCAACAAATAAATTGTAGGGATCAAAATCCAGTGTATAGCACTACTTGAAGAAGGCTACTCTGGCATGAATTTGCAATGAATGGGAGAGGAAGTGAGACTAGAGTAAGGGAAGGCAGATAGGAGATGATAGTAATAAAAGAGGTGATGGATGACAGTGGCCTGTACTGATGCCCGGTAACTACATCTCATCACCCAAGTATCTGTGGCAATTTCATTTGGTGAACAAAAGGCAAACCTGCCTGAGCACTGTCTAAGGCTAGCAATGCGAAAAAAGGACTCCAGGCTCCTAAACTACCCCAACAACAACCACAGAGCCCCCAGTAATGCAAATTTTTCTCAGTTGGCTGCCAGGTAATTTGCCACATCTTTGAATTGGTTTATAGTTTACCTTCTCCAGATACACAGAAACTTCTTCCTTGATGATATTTTTTCCCTGCTTAGTCAAAAGCATGCAACTGACATGCAGTAGACATCATAGCCATTCTGACTGGTATATGTGATAGAGTTGTAGTTATCTGAGAATTAGACAGATACTGATTCATGTCATGTTTCATGTATTAGATTCTCATCTAATCAAAACATTGCAAAAACATCATCTCCTAAATATGAAATTACTCAGTGAATAAATCATAACAGGAAGCTTTCAGGCAAGCCATATTTAGGAAATGAAATTTAAGTAGGAGAAATTACAAAAGGGATAGGGCAAACAATTGCAGTTCTGAAAATAATCATTTACACTCTCCTAGTACTTGGTGTTGGAGAAGCAATGTGGCTAATAGAAGAGAAATGCAAATTGAGAGAGTCTACTCAATTAAGCAGGATATCATCCCCTGCGATTTACAAAAAATAAAATCTAACCTCCTTAGCATGGCATACGAAGCCTTTCAGGGTCTTTCCTCACCAGGTTGTTCTGCCTTGTATTCTTTCCTCACATGTTTCCCCTTCCTGGTATATCCTTTCCTTGTTTGCCTATTGGTCAAATTCATGTTTACTTCACAAGTTTTTGCTTAAGCATGACTTCCTCTCTGACAGCTTTTCCATCTTCTGTGCTTTACCACCCACTACATTAAGTTCTCTTTCCCTGCATTTCTATTGTACCCTGTTACGCTTCCATTGCAGTACATTATGAATGCACATACAGTTAATCCTTATTATTCACAGATTCCATATTTGTGAATTTTCCTACTTGCTAAAATTTATTTGTAACCCCTAAATTGATACTTGCATCACTTTCCTAGTCATTTGTAGACACACGTATGCATAATGGCAAAAATTTTATGTCACCTGACACACATTCCCAGCTGAGATCAAATTAAGGGACACTCTGTTTTCTTCCTTTAGCTCTCATACTATGAACATATATCTATTTTGTGGTCTGTTTGGCGCCATATTGTCACATTTTTGTGCTTTTCATTGGTGATTTCCCCATCTAGAATGGCCCCCAAGGATAGTGCTGAAGTGCTGGCTAGTGCGCCTAACCGCAAAAAGTCTCTGATGTGTCTTAAAAAGAACATGTGTGTTAGGTAAGCTTCACTTAGGCACGAAGTCTAATGCTGTTGGCTAGCATTGTATTCAATGTCAGTGAATCAAAAATATGTATTAAATAAGGTATCTTTAAACAGAATGCCACATAAAACAAGGTTACATACTGATCAGTGGACAAAACAAATTTTGTGACCAGAGGTTCACAGGAACTTAACCCCATGTTTCCCCTTGGAGCAGTGGTTCAATATTTGATAATTTAGCATTTGGAATGACTTTATAGAATATGATTCTCATGAATAATGAGAATAAACTATATTCATATATTTGTGTACCTATAAAATTCCTTGAGAAATGAAACTATCACCTTTGTGTACCTAACACTAGCATTATGGTTAATATAAGCACATGGTTGGTGCTTGATATTCTTGACAATAATACCAAGGGATATTTCAAACACTGATTTCATTGGCCATTACAGGTTCTTCCTTATGCCAGTCCACCAAGAATACCTGCTTAAAGGCCAGGTAATTACAAGTCCCTTTTAAATATTAGCTTGGGCATAAGCTCCTAAGAAATTGTTAATGGTCTTAAACCTTTATTGATTTAAAGGGATTGTGGCATTACTGAGTTGGGAGTTATGTAACTCTAGGAAAAGTCAAGACATTATCTAGTATACACAGACAGAAAGAGGCTACTTAAAACAGATTTGCTAAAGCAGTGGGTTTCAATGGTAGGGCCTAGGAATTTGTATTTTTAACAAGGACCCTAGTGATTCATATGTAAGATGTTAACAAAACACCATGAGAAACAGTGCTATCAGGTGTTCCTTACCTAGTTGTCTTCTTTGGGGATACCCAAAGCGATCTTTTTTTTTTTTTTTTTGAGATGGAGTCTCACTCTGTCGCCCAGGCTGGAGTGCAGTGGCTCGATCTCAGCTCACTGCAAGCTCCACCTCCCGGGTTCACGCCATTTTCCTGTCTCAGCCTCCCGAGTAGCTGGGACTACAGGCACCCGCCACCGCACCTGGCTAATTTTTTGTATTTTTAATAGAGACGGGGTTTCACGGTGTTAGCCAGGATGGTCTCAATCTCCTGACCTCGTGATCCGCCCGCCTCGGCCTCCTAAAGTGCTGGGATTACAGGCGTGAGCCACTGTGCCTGGCCAGGGATCTTTAACTCTGGTAATTTTTCAGAGAACTAAAGCATTTTTGTGATTCCATAAATTTTAAATATTTTACCATCTCTGTGCATTTACAAATAACTCTACTGGGTCTATTTCATCTCTTTTTCACTAAGGAGCAAGTGGTAATCAGTTTGACTAAGAGTTCAGATTAATTCTACGATGTCTTTTAGTGTATTTCACTGCTCTTGGCCCATGCAGTCCACTCTGAGCTGGGATATTAGCTTCAAATTTGGGTGCTCTCTTAAGGCTAAGTTTTAGGGTAGCATCAGGATAGGCTAGGTTACACTGTGGTAACAAGCAACCCCAAAACTCTCTGTGTTTGAAAGATGAAAGTTTATTTTTTTCTAATACTACATGCTTAACTTGTGATGGCAGGGACAATGCTCATTAATGCTCATTCAGGCACCCAGGATGATGGAAGCATTATCATTTTACAACATTTCTATTTCAACATGAGGGTTCAGGGTTTGCTGTGACAGTGGAAATAAGCATGGAGGATAATGAGCTGGATCTTAAATGCACCTGCTCAGTAGTGGCACATCATTTCTGTTCTCATTCCATTGGCCAAAGCAAGCCACTGGCTATGCCTAATTCCAAGAGAACAGAGAAGTATAATCCACAGTATTCCCAAAAGGAGAGAAGAGAAATATTGGGGAATATTTGTAATTCCTACCATAATCTAATAACTAAATACTAGATTCACCTTTTCCCCCACATCCAGAATACACTCCTTACCCTTGCTCCCTGCAAGAGAGAGAACTCCAAATCCCCATGAAACACTATGAACTAAAAAGAGGTACCTCTCCCTCTCTCCCTACCTTTCCTATAGACTAGGACAGGATAATGTCAATAAATGTTCACATTCTGTGAGAGGAAGAATGGTAGACACATAACAGTAACTGGTCTGGAGCAATTCTGAAAACTCACTAGGCATGTGTTGATTTCCTACATTGGAGGTAGAGAATATTCCCTGATTTAACTCCATTCAGATCTCTAGGAGAGTCTCCCAGTCCATTAATCCCCACAGCCCTTGGCTTGGTCCTCTAGGACGTACTTTCTTCTCTATTATCATCCTTGGCCATGAAGTGTGCTTTGAGTGATGCTGCCATCTCAATATGGGTCTTCGGGCTTTGCTGTGTCAGGAGAAGTGAAGAATCATACTCTGAATTTTAAATGCTTCTGCAATAAAGTGTATTATGTCATTTTGTTGGCCAAAAACAGATGAAAACTAACTGAAATGGGTATGGGTAGCGTCATGTAATCCTCCCATGTGCTCAGGAGAGAAGAACTCAAATACATTGGTGAGCCTTGGTATTGTTTACCACACTTAGTTTCTGTTTATGCACTTACTTGCTTAAAGAGCAGAGTTCCAGCAGACAGACTAGGGCTCAGGGCTGGCTTGGCTATTTACTTTCCCTGAGAACTTAAATAAATTACTAACCTGTTAAATAAACCTCAGTTTCCTTATCTATAAAATAGAGATTATTAAGAGTACCTTCCTCCATGGGTGGCTCCAAGGATAAATGCACGTCAAGTATATAGCAAAGTGTGTGGCAAAGTAAATTCTCTCAAATGTTAGCTGTGGTGTTTACTACCCTCCTGATCACAACATTCTGTGCTGGAAAATTCTGGAAACTACATTCTTCTCACAGAATAGGTGTTCTCTGCTGTGGGGTCTATAATCTACCCCCTGCTCCCACTGGATTATTGTTGAGTGTGATGGAATAATGAAGAGGGATTTTCGTTGTTGTTGTTGTTGTTTGTTTGTTTGTTTTTCTAAGACAGAGTCTCACTTTGTAGCCCAGACTGAAGTGCAGTGGTGTGATCTGGACTCATTGCAACCTCCACCTCCTTGGTTCAAGCAATCCTCCTGCCTCAGCCTCCTGAGAAGCTGGGATTACAGGTGCCCACCCCTACACCTGGCTAATTTTTGTATTTTTAGTAGAGATGTGGTTTCACCATGTTGTTCAGGCTGGTCTCAAGCTCCTAACCTCAACTGATCTGCCAGCCTCAACCTCCCAAACTGCTGGGATTACAGGCATGATGAAGAGGCATTTTATGAGTCTTTTGTTTGGCAGGGCTTCTTTCTGCAAGCCCCCATTTTTGTAGCACCATGACACTTGCTGCACAGCATCGTTAATCATCTTCTGGCACAGTAGTTAGGGAAATTTTATTTATTCACTTCATGCCCAGCATGGGGAGGGCCAACGACTCCCTTTAAGACCATGCATTTCATTGCTTGAGTCATTGAACACAATAGGACAATATACAAAGATTTCTGAGAAAACTGAATTTCAGCAAATTCAGGATAAATTATAGGAAATCAATGAATGATAACACCGTGAGGTTAAAAAGTACTCTCTTAAAAACATGTCCTTTGAGCCTTCTGGGTACTACTAATGACATCTTTTTTTTTAATATCTTGAAGCAAGATTTCATAATAAAGAATGTTGTCTAATTCCTCTGCACCAATGGAAAAACACCTTCCTGACTCCCACAAAGCATTTGGGAAACCCATGATGTATAGGGCATTATAATTATCACTTGGAATATGAAAATGTGGGAGATTGCTTCTTGTCCTCAAGGAATTTCCAATCCAGTGGGAAGAATATAGATGGGTGAGCTGAAAATTCCATACAATGTGTTAAATACTCCAACCAAAGATTAAACAACATGAAATGGATTCTCAAACAAAAAAACAGCTTAGGTCTACCTAACTTAGGTTTACCTGCAGTGTTAAGATTTAGTTTAGTTGCCATGGCATGTGGGCTGAATTGATCATCAAAATGCAGTTGGTAATTTTGTACTGCGACGTATCTATACAGCTAAATCATGTTCAATTTATTATCTTGGGATAATAAACCAAACAGAGTTTTGGATCCTATGAGATCTTCCTTGGCCTTATTACATTTTATAACAGCAGGATAGCCTGTTACATTCATTTTGTTTGTTTATTTTTCTCCTGGCCTTGTTTGTAAAGAACTGTATATAAAATAAAATACTCCATTGATTTATACATTGGCATCTGGCCATCCATAATCAAAGACTATTCATAACCTCACCTTTCTAGTGTCACTTCCTCAGGAAACTCAGAGATAGATTGATGAATATTATCTATCAATTTGCCTTTCTTTTCATTGGAAATATAGAAATATATATTATTTTGGCATGCTGAATTTGACCTTTTCCACACCAGTGTTTTATCTGCCTGGGACAAAGGGCGTAAAAGTCAGTAAAAAGCAGGTCAGAGGAGAAGACTACCGATGAGAAAGAAAGCTTGATTCAGAAGGGCAGTAGTGGCATTCACAGTGTTTTTGAAGTACTTAAGATATTGTACTTTCTCAAGAGAAACTGTCTTCAACAAGTAAAGAAGAATGTCAGGAAATTGTATGGCTCTTGGAAATAGCTCTCCATCAAAGAGTGATGAGAGAGCTTTCTGAAAGCATGAAGCTTATGGAGTGGGGAGCCTAGGTAATACCTAGACTGTCATCTCACAGACTTTCTGAGAGTTTGGTCATTATCTCAAAATTGATAAAAGATCGTTAAATAAGGAATTAAACACAAATGTGGGCTACAGTCCAGCTGTCAAAAAGTAAGACAAATCTGACACCAGTGTCTAGTTAGACAAATGCGTAAACTAGCCCGGCTAGCCTAGGCAGAGCAGCCACATAGGGCTGTGGGGGTTGTCAGGTGCACAGCAGCACCGCACTGAAGGGAATGTTATCCACATCACAGACCTGTGCATTTATTATTTTGGGGCAGATGGCAGTAAAGTGTCTCACTCTAATAAATCCATATGCTAGAACAATGTCCTCACAGGTGTCTCATGGAGGAGACTCCTTTTCTAATTTGCACCGAGCAGTGTGTGGAGTAGCAGCACCCTGGCTCCTGCTCAAAAATAATGAGTTCAGACATTCCTCAGCATTTTTTAGTGTTTGAGTCCATTCTGGCAGGATCGTGTCACCAAAACTCATTCGTTCATTTGGCAAACAACTAATTGAACATCTGCCGCATGCCAGCTACTGTTGCGGGCACTTGGACACAAGGGAGAAGAAAACAGACAAAACTTCCTGTCCTTAGAAATCTTTCCCTCCAAAGTGAACTTTGAACTGAGGAGTAGGAGTAACAGAGGACATGGAAAGAGTGGTGCAGAGGACCACGATCAGGCTTTTAGGACAAAAGATCCTGCGTTTATTCCCAGCTCCAGAATGGTATGGCCTTGGGCAATTTGACTCTTAGACTATTTCTCTACAGAAAGGTTAATAATACTTTCCTCATTGGGCTTGTTGGAAAAGTTAAAGATAAGATTCCCGAAAAACTCTTTTCATGTGGAGCTTATGATGCAGAAAGTATACAATTGATGGTAATAATAGTTATTGTTGTAATTATTATCTAAGTGAGGATACTATCATGGACAATCCAATTCTGAAACTACTCCTGGACAGCAACATCTGCTAACTGAGGCTGCCCCGAAATGGAGGGAGGGTGTTAGAACTGGAAGTTTTATTTTATTCTGTGTAAAACTTGGTCTCTAAACCTCACTGAAGAAATCTAGGATAGCAAAAACAGGACAGACCTCATGACCTATGTGAGAAAAAAAGACTTAAAGAAATTTAAGACCCTAATAATCTCTATGGGAAATGGGTGTTGAAATGAGATTCATCTGAGATGGCAAAGCCATGCTTAGTTATGTTTCTATGTGTTTCCAGAGGGCATGAGTTTGATAGGAAAGAGAGATTCAATCAGGAGGCTGTCGCAGGTCAGCTCCAGGAGGCCAACTCTGAGACAGGGATTTGCATGCAGGAGGATTGTTGAATGTGCTACTAGGTTCAACAACTGTAGGAAGCAAGGAAAGCAGGATTGGGCAGAAGGGGAAATTAAACTGCGATGTATTGAAAGAGGCCTCACCTGAACTTATAGGAGCTCTGAAGCTGGTGGCTCTTCAGACTTAGCTAGAATTGGAAAGAGGGGGCCAGACTTTTATTCTCATTTGCCATCATTGAACTGTTAGTGCATGTAGTGTGTCCTTGAGGAGAGTGACCTTGAATGAAGTGACTCTTCGGAGGAAGGCAAATCCCACTGAGGGACTCAGCTGAGAGCTGCCAGCTGCCAACACACCCAGCAGCAGGGAAACAAATGCTGCAATCCTGGAGGGAAAGAGCTGAGCAGAGCATCTACACAGAGGTGAAGTCCACCTCCTGGGCAAACCCATCCATAAAGAATCCTGCAGACAGATGAGTTGGCGGCACTTCCTAATCTTATCCTCTTTGCGGCATATCAAAAATAATAATATGTGTACGGTGCATTGGGGTAAAAAATTAGGCTGCTTGTGGTCAGAAGGGACAGGCTCAGGGACTTCAGCTGCCTGCCACATGGCAACCAGACAGCCCTGAGGACTGAGGGGATCAAGGTTTCAGCAAACTCATTTAAATAACTTGAGCCTATGCACACTGCTTGGGAGGTGGTGAATTAAGGTCTTAAGGACAGGTTTTAGTGGGTGCAAAGATTATAGGAATCTTTTGGGAAAGGCATGTGGTCACTAGTGTATAAGAAGTAGACATAATTCCTCCTGTCACATTTGTGTAAGGTTCACTCTTTGAGTACTTTAATTGTTACAAAATCAAAGGCTAGGCTCCAACTAATGATGTCTTCACTTTGAATCTCCTCACCCCCAACAAAGGGTTTGAGACCCATGAAACCTCCCTGGGTCCAGAGACATGGATTTAGTTTCTCTGGGGCTGCCAATTACTTCAGAACCCAGAATTCAGTTCATTATTATGTAGCCTAATTGAGGTGCCCCTAAAATACATTATTGATTCTTTTCTCTTTTTTTTTTCCATCTGTGCTGCTCATTACAAAATGATGAAAGGTGGAGAGCTCTGCTATGTGCTATGGCTCATGGTCTCTGTCTGACTGCTGTTGTCCATCACATATATGCAAGCCAATGCCCTGTTGACAATTCTGTTATTAAGCAACATGTCACACATTACAGCCTAGGATTGAAAATGTGTTTTGTTTGGCCCTTGTATTAGGCCAATATTATGTTCTATAAAGAAATACCTGAGGCTGGGTAATTTATAAAGAAAATAGGCTTAACTGGCTTGTAGTTCTTCAGGCTGTATAAGCACAGCACCAACATCTGCTTGGCTTCTAGTGAGGGCCTCAGGAAGCTTACAATCATGGCAGATAGTGAAGTGGGATCAAGCATGTCACATGGCAAGACTGGAAGCAAGAGAGAGGAGAGGTTCTACATACTTTTAAACAATCAGATCTTGCATGAACTCACTCATCACCACGGGGATGACACTAGCCATTTATGAAGGATCCACCCCCCTGATCCAAACGTCTCCTACCAGGCCCCACCTCCAACACTGGAGATTACATTTCAACATGAGATTTGGAGGAAACAAATATCCTAAGCATATCAGCCCTCATAGTGTTAGTTCATAACAGTATATATTTTTTAAATGTTAGTTTCCAGCTTAAAAAGAAATTGAGAGATTTATGAAACACTCAAAGGATCTGGAAAGGCTAGGCTCTGATTTGTTCCCATGTGACAAAAATTGATCCAAGCCAACTTATGGCTATACCTTTTTTTTTTTTTTTGAGAGGGAGTCTTGCTCTGTCACCCAAGCTGGAATGCAGCGGCACGACCTCAGCTCACCACAACCTCCACCTCCCGGGTTCAAGCAATTCTCCTGCCTCAGCCTCCCAAGTAGCTGGGATTACAGGTGCGTGCCATCACACCTGGCTAATTTTTGTATTTTTAATAGAAACGAGGTTTCACCATGTTGGCCAGGCTGGTCTCGAACTCCTGACCTAAGGTGATCCACCTGCCTTGGCCTCCCAAAGTGCTGGGATTACAGGTATGAGCCACCATGCCCTGCCAGGTATACCTTCTTGAGATGGGATTTGGACTCTCTGGTTTGTCTCAGTCTCCACCATGTCCTAATCTCTCCCTACCCAATTGCTTCAGTCATTTATGTTATTTGCTGAACCCTATAAGAGTTTGATGTTTGATTTGTACAAGTTTTTGGGGGGGTGCCTCGTGAGACTTCTAATAGGCATGAAGGAAAATGGTCAACATTAGTCTTGGGGACAAAATAGGTATTGTAATCGATTAGTATGACTTTGAGTCATCAGGTTTGAAGTGCGGCCAAGGTCGTGGGAGCCTATAGGTGGTATCCACCAGGAAAGAAGACAGCCAAGCAGCAGCTGCTGATGAGGGATGGCTGTGGAAATAGTGAGGTAGGGGAACCTTCCAATGAAACTCAGCAGCAAAGACCCATAGTCAGAAATAGGTTAATAACAGGCGGCTACTGAAAAATACGGGTCAGAGAGTTCAGAGGATGAGTCAAAAAACGGGTTCCAGGAACCTAGAATAAGAGGAGGGAGTGAAACTGGAAAGATACCCGCTTGCCTATGGGGGCCAACCAAGGGTTCCCCGACTTTGGTCTTTCCTCCTTTGTGTATCAGACTCTGCCTGTGATTTCTAAGGGTACATGGGCTCAGCCTCTTGCACCCTGAGGGACTCATACAGCTGATAAACAGAAAATCACTTTATTGAAAACAAATATATTTGTTTCAGGTAGT
Organism: Homo sapiens; assembly: GCF_000001405.40. Lineage (NCBI taxonomy): Eukaryota > Metazoa > Chordata > Mammalia > Primates > Hominidae > Homo > Homo sapiens. The sequence goes on from NC_000001.11 coordinate 75,980,517, forward strand.
ATTCTGTTCCATTCCAGTCCAAAATACTAATATACTGACTGTTAATGACCAAAGTAATGTATTATTATTATTTTATTTATTTATTTATTTATTTATTTATTTATTTATTTATTTATTTCTGAGACGGAGTCTTGCTCTTTCACCCAGGCCGGAGTGCAGTGGCGCTATCTCGGCTCACTGCAAGCTCCGCCTCCCGGGTTCACGCCATTCTCCTGCCTCAGCCTCCCGAGTAGCTGGGACTACAGGCGCCCGCCACGACACCCGGCTAATTTTTTGTATTTTTAGTAGAGACGGGGTTTCACTGTGTTAGCCAGGATGGTCTCCATCTCCTGACCTCGTGATCCGCCCTCCTCGGCCTCCCAAAGTGCTGGGATTACAGGCGTGAGCCACCGCGCCTGGCATATTATTTATGTAAACAGTATAGGCACAAGAACAATTAAAATTTAAAATTAGGTAATACATGTTATTGGGTAACCACTGTAGACCAGCTCCAGGTAAGATAATGGATCAAACCAGCCCTCTCCCAATAGATATTACATAGTATTATTGGACTCCCCAGGAAACTTGCTGCTCTTTTTCTCCTTCTGTACAGCTCCATACCTTTCACAAGCGGGAGGAGTTTTAAGTCATGTATTAGGTACATGACTCACATGTCTTGTCTTTTGCATGAGATTTTTGAATACTCCTTGTATAACCATGGTTACACTGATCAAGCTCAGTCCCCTTCTCTGTCTCTTCTTCCCTTCCCTCTTGATCTCTCTCACTTGCCCGTCCTGCTATCTCCTTCTGCCAGCATCCACCTTATCTGCCCCTCTTACTTTTCTTGCATTTCTCTTCTTGTTGTTTTCCTGTTTCTCTGATTGACTGATAACTAGTTTCTGTTTGCTTGCTGGACTTTAGAGTTCATTCACATCCTGTGTGTGTCTCTCTCTGTTTTTGTTTCTTTGACGAGAAAAGCAGACCCTTAAGTCTCCAAGGAATTGGAGCTATAGAGGTTAGAACTCTCACTTCGGCCTGAGGACAGCTTACCCTTTCGTTCACCTTTTGTAGGGGATAGGGATCTCCCTCTTTCCTACGGTTTTGGTGGCCTTTGGCTGGAAGTTTGGAGAATTAGGCTACAGCTATCAAATTAGTTATGTTTTGAGCTGTTTTGGCTCATCATTCTTATGTGTGCACCAGCCCCAATGCCCTGTCAACAGGTGAAGCCATGGAGTCAGTAAGAGACCAGGGTGTAGGTGTCTGAGAATTATTCCAACCAGCTGGGCCAATGAGACACATAGTTTGTATAAGAATAAACAAAAGAGACAAAAATAGCTTGAGAAAGACTAGGCAGAACTGTGAAGTTACTATAGCAAGAATCTATATAGAAAGAGAAAGGAATTTTACTTTGAAGATATTTTGTGGCCATCTGAGCAGAAGCTGCTCACGTATTCCTTCCATTTGTGAACTAGAAGTGACCTTAATGACAGTTGATAGGAACAGCTCCTTATTCACAGGAATTAAATAAAGGGAAGCTGTAAGTGTTCCAAGTGCAAGCGTGTGGCTCAAATAAGCCCAGGTCTTAGCTGCCTGTGTGTTGAATGAGGTTGTATTAATATTAATTCCCAAATCTCAGTGGTTCCACACCATGCTGGATGCTTCCTTCTGCTCCTCTTCCCCTTGGACCTCAGACTCCAGGTTCTTCAGCCTTTGGACTCTGGGACTTGCACCAATGGCTTGCTGGGGGCTCTTGGGCCTTTGGCCATGGACTGAAGGCTGCACTATCAACTTCCCTAGTTTTAAGTCTTTCTGACTTTCACTGAGCCACTACTGGCTTCTCTTCCCCAGCTTGCAGACAGCCTATCGTGGGACTTGACCTTGTGATTGTGTGAGCCAATTCTCCCTAATAAACTCCCTTCCATATATACATATATTTTATTAGTTTTGCCCCTCTGGAGAACCCTGACTAATACAATGAGAATCTCCCTGCCTGGGCAGAACATTGGGCAGGCTTTTTGTATGAGTGGAGCCACTGCTTACTTCCATGGTCAAGCAGGCCTGGTCACTACACTTCTCCAAAATGGGCAGAGGTGAGTATCATTGTGCCTGGGCAGGGTAACTGGGGAGGTCTCTGAGGCTGGGTATGGAGACTAGCTGTCTAGTCACTCAAGCTAGATTAACTTCTTGTTATGCTTCTGAAGGTCACCAGTTCAGCTTTGCAGATAGGCTATGAAGTTGATGGATATCTCTGATTGGGCACCCCAGCTGGTAGGAACACAGGTATTACCAAGATCTGCATGCTAGTCACTATGACCTCTACTTCCTTTCTTTGTTCCTACTTAACCCTGGGTGGTCTAGCCATTATTGCTACCTACAGTGTATCCCATAAGGTGAGACCAGAATGAATTTCCTGGAATACATCTCAGAATGCTAGGAAAGCTGGATGACTGCCTCTAGTCCTCTTTTCTCCCTGTATAAACTGTGGGCCCAAGCCATCTTCTCAGTCTGGTGTTGTGCAGGAGGAGGGAAAGGGGTGTCATGCTCAATTTGAGGCCATTCTTTTTAAACTTTGATTTCAGTTTTCATGCAGTTATGTGAAACATGGAATCTCAGGCTTGTATTCAAGTATTGGGGTTTTCAAAAAAGTATTCTGATCTGTCGGTAGTTGCTAGTTAAACATTGGGTGGGGAAGCAATGGAGCCTAAGACCTATTCTGTTTCTTGCTGGTGTCACTAAGGAGACTTTAAATGACTTGCACTGACTATACCCTCTTCTCAGGATGTACATGAGAAAAGAATGTAATTATTTTCAAAGAATGACAAGAAAATTATATTTCTTATTTCCAATCTTTATTATTTCTTTTCCTACCATCAGCTTAGAAGTCCTTCCTTCATAAGAACAAAACAAACCAAAAAAAGAGCTTAACTTCAATCATGACATTTTTTGCAGCTGCAGCTCCTGTTCCACTTCCTTTCTTGTACTGCTGAACATCCAGATAGAGGCATTGACATGCATGGTTTCCAACTGATCACTTCCTACTCCCTTAAGGACCTCCTGTCAGGCAGGTATGGTGGTAATGAATTCCCTTAGCATTTCTTTTCCTTAAAAGGATTTTATTTCTCCTTCACTTATGAAGTTTAATTTGGCTGGATATGAAATTCTTGGTTGGAATTTATTTTCTTTAAAGATGCTGAATATAGGCCAGGCGTGGTGGCTCATGCCTGTAATCCCAGCACTTTAGGAGGCCGAGGCAGGCAGATCACGAGGTCAGGAGATGGAGACCATCCTAGCTAACACGGTGAAACCCCATCTCTACTAAAAATACAAAAAATTAGCTGGGCATGGTGGCAGGCACCTGTAGTCCCAGCTACTCAGGAGGCTGAGGCAGGAGAATGGCATGAACACAGGAGGCAGAGCTTGCGGTGAGCCGAGATTGCGCAACTGCACTCCAGCCTGGGAGACAGAGTGAGACTCCGTCAAAAAAAAAAAGATGCTGAATATAGGCTTCCAATCTCTTCTGGCTTGTGGAGTTTACTCTGAATAGTCAGCTGTCAGTCTGATGGAGCAGGTGACCTGCTCCTTCTCTTTAGCTGCCCTTAACATTTTTTTCTTTCATTTCCACCTTGGAGAATCTGATGACTTTGTATCTTGTGGATGGCCGTCTTGTTTAGTATGTCACAGGGATTCTCTGAGTTTCTTGGATTTGAATGTCAATCTCTCTAGTGAGGTTGCGGAAATTTTCATGGATAATACTTTCAAATATGCTTTCCAAGTTGCTTGTTCGCTCTTCCTCTCTTTCAAGTGTACCAATTTGTAGATTTGTTCTCTTTAAATAATCCCATATTTCTCAGAGGTTTTGTTCATTCATTATTCCTTTTTCTTTATTTTTGTCTGACTGAGTTGATGTGAAAACTGATCTTTGAGCTCTCAGATTCTTTCTTCAGCTTGGTTTATTCTGCCATTAATACTTCTGATTGTATTATGAAAATCTTATAGTGAGTTTTTCAGCTCTATCAGATCAGTTTGGTACTTTCTTTAAAATGGCTCTTTCATCTTTTAGCTCTTGTAATGTTTTACTGGATTCCTTAGATTTCTTGGATTGGTTTTCACCTTTCTCCTGAATCTCATGATCTTCATTGCCATTCTGTATGGAATTCTATGTCTGTCATTTCAGCCATTTCAACCTGGTTAAGAACCATTCCTGGGGAGCTAGCATGGTTATTTGGAAGTAAGAAGACACTGTGGCTTTTAGAGTCACCAGAGCTCTTTATATTCTCTGATGCTCTTAAGGGTTTGACTGTGGTGTAAGTTGGATTCAGTTGATTGGCTTTATTTCTGGACAATTTCAGGGGGCCAAGACTCAGCTCAGGACTCCAGTGCTGCATGCGCTAACTTTGGGAAGTTGGGACCAGGCCCATGGCTTTGTTCTCTGGCCACTTGAGGTTAAGCACCTGCTCTGCTTGAGGGGCTGAGGTATTCCTGGTCCACTGCCAACAACAGTCCAATGGGCAGGGGTGGGGGGTGCTGGCAAAAGCACTTGATTGGGATGGCAAGGTCTGCTCATGTGCATGCACTGCTAAGGCAACTGGGGGAGGTTACAGATAGGTGCATGCCGGGGTTGCGGGGGGCACTGTCTGCAGGAGCTCTCTGATGGTTTGTGGAGTCTACCAGTGAAGAAGCTATGGTAGTGGCTGCTGTGAAGTGTCCTGGTTGGGCATTGACACTGTGTTGCAAGCAGGTATGGCCAGGCAGGGACCCAGGGAAATGCTGGCAGACAGGGGGATGCTCAGATCAGACTGATCCTATCCCAAGGGCAAGATAACTCTTTTCTGTCCAAGTCCAATAGTCAAAGAAGGCCAGAGCTATCTAGAGGAGTGTGGAAACCTTGGGGATAAGTGTCCCTGGCTGTGTTCCACTGTAGCTATTCCCATGCAAAACCCTCTGGACTTCACACGAGTTGCAGTTATGTCCCTGATAAATCTCCAAGCAGCGCTTCTTGACATCTCAAATGTCCATGGGTGTTGTGGAGTCTCCTGAAGCTAAGATTCTGGAGGTCCATGGCAAGACTGGGCCACTCCATACCTATTTAACTCACCTTTTCCTCTGGAGCCACTTGGGGCTAGAAGCAAGTATTGGTGCTAGGCCAAGCTTCCTTTCTCTCTTTCTTTCTTTTCTTTTTTTTTTTTTTTGAGAAAGAAAACAGTTTTATTTTTAAAATAAATATTAAACCAGAGTGGGATGTATATCACAAGCAATCCACTAAGAGCTTGCAAAGACAGAAAGGAATCTCCTTTTATAAAGCTAAATAGGTACAACCCATTACATTCATATTTTCAAAATAAAATTGCTAACATTCTAGTATCTTTTTGAGTGGAAGTAGATTTTGCAATTTGAAATCAGGTGAGGGCTGACAAATTTCCACATTCCCCCAAGGGACAATACTGTGCCCTCTGAGGTCCATACCTAGATGTGAAATTGGTGGGTTGAAGCATGAGCTCACTTTCAACTTTGTTAGAAATAGCAGCGACTCTCCAAGTGACCCTGCTAACTTACAGAACCACTCACAGTGCATTCACGGTCCAGTTGCTCAATATCTATTATGTGAGCGAGTGTTATTAGTCATTGGGTGTTCTTTTCTAGTATTGTCTGTTAGTATTGTTTGCTTAGTTTCCATTTGAGTTGTTTATCTTTTTCTTTATCAATTTGTTCGAGACTTTTAATGTTATGATATTATGGGAACAACAGTTTTGTAGATATATGTGAGCAAAACATTTGTCTAATTTATCTTTTCATTTTTATGATATGTAATGAACTGAAAGTGCAAATTTTAATACCTTGAGTTTATTAATATTTTTCCTCATGGTTTTTGATTTTCGTGTTTTGTGTGAGAATCACAAAAACCTGTGGTCAATATATTCTAATTTTTAAAAGCTTGGGTTTTTACATTTAGGTTTTTAATCACCTGGGATTTATTTTGTTTGTAGTGTGCAGTAGGAGTATACTTTTATTTTTTCCACATTGAAAAAATTGATTATTTTAGTATGTTTTTTTTCATTTCACCAAGTTGTGATGGAATTAGCATGATTTTTTGAATACTTTATCCTTTACCCAATAACCTTTGATGCTGCATATGTCTTATATTAGGATTCTAGATATGCATGAGTCAGTTTCTGGGATCCCCATTGTTCCATTGGTCTTTTGTCTGTCTCTGGCAAATCTCACACTGTCTTAATACTGTCTTACTACAGATAGAAAATAATACTTATGTTAAATAGGACAAATAGGAAAATAATACTGATGTTAAGTAGGACAAATCCCTCAATCCTTATGATATGTAATGAACTGAAAGTGCAAATTGTAATACTTTGGGTTTATTAATAGTTTTCCTTCTTTAAAATTTTTATATTTGTTATTGGTCTTTTGTTCTCCCATATACATTTAAAAATCATATAGATAGATAGACAGATATATAGATAGATAGATATAGATATAGATATAATTTTTGAGATAGAGTCTTGCTCTGTCACCCAGGCTGGAGTGCAGTGGCGCGATCTCTGCTCACTGCAAACTCCGCCTCCTGGGTTCACGCCATTCTCCTGCCTCAGCCTCCCGAGTAGCTGGGACTACAGGCACCTGCCACCATGCCCGGCTGATTTTTTGTATTTTTAGTAGAGACGGGGTTTCACCGTGTTAGCCAGGATGGTCTTGATCTCCTGATCTCCCACCTCAGCCTCCCAAAGTGCTGGGATTACAGGCTTGAGCCTCCGCGCCTGGCCAAAAATCATAGTATTAAATCCATGAAAACTTTTGGAATCTCAGTTGAAATTACATTGGATTAATGAATGAATTTTAGAAAAATTGACATTTTTATGATATTGAGTCTTTTTATTCACAAACATTGTGTATCTTACCATTTGTTTGAGATATCTATAGTATCTTTTAATATTTACAAATTTTTCTCCATAATGGTCTTCTGCATCTTTGGTTTGAATTTATTTCTGGGTATCTTTTATATATATATATTTGTTACTATTATAACTGGTATCTTTTAAAAATACATTTTTCTGTTGATGTTTAGAAATTCAGTTAAGTTTTATATATTCATCTTCCATTCACCAAATTTTCAGGGGAAATTATTATAAATTATTAATGATTTATCAACTGTAAATAATTTATTAATTTTAAGTAATTTCTCTGTAGACCACATCATCTGATAATAAAGTATCTGATTTTAAAATTTTACTGTCCTTTTATTTCTCTTTGTCTTGCTGTATTGGTTTGAACATCCATTGCAATGTTGAATAGAAATATGATAGAGGGTGTTTTTTTTCTAGTTTCTGATTTTAAAAGAAAGACTTCTAATGTATAATGTATATCAGTGAGTATAAAGTTTGCCATAGATTTTGGTATACATTCTTTATTGTTTTAAGAAATCTTTCTTCTATTCCTAGTTTGCTAAGTTTTTTAAAATGTAACTAATGAATGTTGAATTCTATCAAATGTTTTCTTCTGCATCCATTGAGATGGTCATTTTTAAGAATCATTTTAATTGGTAAAATCATATGAATAGACTTTTTCTATCGTTAAGCCATTCTTGAACTCAGGGAATAAATCTTAATTGATTACAATAGCCTATTTATTTATCTTTTTATACACACGGGTGCATTATTAAATAAGATTTACTTATACAGTAGGTCCCCAAATAATGTTGTTTCATTCACTGTCATTTCTTTATAGCATTGATGAGAAGACAAAAAAGCTCTCTGGCTGGAGCCACTCTCTATGTGGAATTTGCATGTTCTCCCCATGCCTGCACTGATATTCTCCCACATCCCAAAGCTGTGCACAGATTTTGTAGGTGCCCTAAATGAATTGGTGTGTCTGAATGGTTCCAGTCTGAGTGAATGTGGAGGTGTGTGTGAGGGCACCTTGTGATGGAAGATTGTCTTGTCCAGGACTGGTTCCCAGAAGAAGATTCAGCCACCCATGACCCTGAACTGGAATAAGCAGGTTGGAAAATAAATGAATACACAAATATAATTTATTGTCAAATAAAAATTCATAAATGAGACCAAAATCATACAGATAAATGACAATAAGCAATGTGGTATAAAAACACTCAGCAAGCCTGCCCTATTTGCCACAGTTAGTTTTTAAATTGCATGGTAATAGGAGGTGCTCCTTACAATTTTTGCTTTGCAAACATTTATCCTGGACTTAACCCTTCACCATGACAGCTGCTAATACTCACTGATTCGCCAAATTTGGGTAAATAATGATCTTACTTGTTTTTATTACTCTTTCTTAATTGTACATGTAGCTCTCTTTTATTTCATTGTTTAATATTAGAAGTGTTTTGGGTCTTTATTTAGAAGTCTGGTAAGTTTTTGTTACCAGAAATATGCCATGGGAACTTAACTCTTGTTTATACCAATTAGCCTAAGATAATAATGAATGAAATAAGATAATAATGAAAACAATTATTGAAACAATTTATAATCGTTTTCATTATAAAACAAAAAACCAGTCCTGGACAAGACAACCTTCCATCACAAGGTGCCCTCACACACACCTCCACATTCACTCAGACTGGAACCATGATTTAAAGTCGCAGTTTCAAAGAACCTATTGACAACATTTAGTGAGGATTTGCTGTGTTATATTTAGGGTTGTCTCGATCTATCTCTCTTTCTTTTTCTTTTTTCCATATTCCAAATTGAGATTGGCAGTGAAGGCATTTTGTCTTCCACTCTCAGAGCTCTCACCAGATGAATCTCAGATCATTATCTCCAGCCCGACATTTCTCCTGAGCTCCGGTCCACACATTTTTACCTGAGTACTTCATTTTCACATGCTCAAAAAATTGTCTTCCACAAATGGCTGCTCTTTTCTTTGACTTTTTTAAACCTAAAAATTGGTTTTGAGCTCTCTTCTTTGCTATATTTCATATCTAATTAATTTCCATGGTCTGTTAGTTCTGCTATGTGACACATCTTTACTTTCTCTCTCTTCATTTCCATCCTTACTATCATAATCCAAGTCCTCATTACTATTTCCCTAGATTATTACAAGAACTATCTAACTAGTCTTTCTTGCTGCAGATTTGATTCTTAACCCCATTCTCCCATTCTAATCTACAGATTCTGCCAGGTAATCTCTAAAAAGAGTCTCTTTCATTATGTCAGTCTTAAGAGCATGCTGTGGCTCTTAGTTGTTTATGTGATACTTAAGTGCTTCCTGGTTGACATGTCTCTCCAATCATAGTTTCCATCAGTTTCCTTCAGAACCTATCTTCCAGCCACACAAGTGACTGTTCCCCAATATGTCTTAGCATTTTCAACATGTAAACTTCTCCTACATTGCCCTTACAATGTCTCTGACTCAAAATCTTAAGCTATCATAGCTCATAGCTAGTGTTTACTGAGCACGTATAATATTCTGGGTAGTGAGCCAACTGCCTAACGTACATCCTTTTCAGTGATCACCATGCTCCTGTGATGGTAAAGATTGCTGCATTGACTGAGTGCTTACATGGTCCAGGCACTGTTCTAAGTATTATTTCACTAAATTCTCACAACAACTCCATAGACAGGTGCTGTTATTATCCTTAGTTTCAAAGGAGGAAATGAGATATAGAGAGGTGAAGTAACTTTCACAGGACTATACAACCAGGAAGTTGCGGATCCAGGATTTGAATGCAAGTAGTCAGATTCTAGAACCTCCATGCTTTACCATTATGTAGGAGGAAATTGATGCTTGGAGAAGTAGAAAAACTAGTCCATCTGTGCAGGACTTCAGGGGCATTGGTTAATGACCCTATCTCTGATTCTCTTATTTCCTTTTCTAGACATTCACTTCTCCAGATCCTCCCATGTTTACTGTAAAGTCTAATTCCCATACTAAATCCTTTAATCCCCTAATACATGGCTCTGCTTTCCTAACTGAACCCTGACACACTCACAGTACTTTCCAGCTCACACATAACTTTCATAGACATGATCTCATTTATTCCAAAGCTTTCCTGGGATTCAAATTATTATTATTATTATTATTATTTATTTATTTATTTATGAGTCTCCCCGAGCAAACCCTAAGCCTCTCAAGAGTGAAGATGGTAAAAGAAGAGAGAAATGCTCTTCCTGTAGTGCCCTCAAGTCTTAAGTGAGAAAATAGATACAAAATATAGGAGTCACAGTTCATGCATTTGCCAAAGGAAAGTAATTCTGAACTTCCAGATGCTTTTGCATGAAGGTGGAGTTTTGCAAGTCTGGAGGACAGCTCCTGGAGATGAAAATAAATTCTACCACTTTACCGGAGAGTTTTATTTCCTCCATATGTTTGTACATTTTTCTTTCCTTATGTTTGTGATTCATCTGTGGCTCAAGAGATGTGTGGTGCCGGGGGATTGATGGCTGGGAGGGCTGCAGAAATGGTGTAGACAGTTACTGCAGTGATGTGATACAATTCTTGGCATTTGCACAAATATGGAGTGTTCAGACAGCCACAAAGTGGTGGAAGTAGCTCTGAGAACCCTGACTTTTACTGGGAAATCACCTGATTTTAGGTGAGGCCGGGAGATCACAGAAAAGAAGATTGATAGCAAACTTTTATAACAACTTTGGGATAGCCTTAGTTATGAGTAAACACTTTCACTACCAATCACAACATTGTTAGCTTTGATCAGGCCTTTGATGAGGCTTTCTGGTGCTTACTGTTCTCTGTCTTCTGCCTTCATGCTCCCTGGAATTTTACTGTCTCCCTCATAGGCTAGTTGAGATGTGGAAGAAATAATCTATGTAGAGCATTTGGCACATCCCCAGCTCCTCCCATGTTTGCTCGGCTCAGATACCTACTAAAGTGCCTGCTGCATAACAGACAATTTGCAGATTAATTGGAAAACCAGAAAAATACCCAGGATGCCTGACTTCTATTCTGGTACCCCTTTTACATTAACTTTTTTTTTTTTAATCAGTTATGTTACATATGCTTACTCATATATTGTCTTCATATCCCATGTGGCAAAGCAGATACATGTGTTGTAACACCTTATTGGTTAGAGACTGCCTTCCTGGTTCTACTCATTACATTCCAATCGTGGCATATCCTCTAAACTTTCTTTTCCCTTCATAAATCCTCTTTCTTTTTTTTCCCCCTCACAGTTTTCCTGAACAGGTTGACTATTAATTGTGTCTGCTTGATGTGGACACCAGGTGGCGCTGGACATCAGATTTGGAGAGGCAGTTGTCTAGGGAACCGGGCTCTGTGCCAGCGCAGGAGGCAGGCTGGCTCTCCTATTCCAGGGATGCTCATCCAGGAAGGAAAGGTTGCATGCTGGACACACTAACCTTGAAGAATTCTTCTGTCTCTCTCGTCATTTAGAAAGGAAGGAAATTGTTAATTTTTAAAAATAAGTCAAACTCGAATTTTACAAGAAAGTCCATCTCTAAACAAACCTCTACCACACCCAGCTACGAAGTAATCCAAAATTGATAGTTTCTTAATGCTCATGCAAAGCCTTCACTGAGAATGACTTTTCCATTTTCGTGGCAACAGAAAAAGGAAGCAGAACATAAGCTCTAATAAGAAAGGTAGTTACTCAGACAGGGGTAAAGGGACTCCAGGGGGAACTGAATTGAAGCCTGGAATGAGAAATATTACCATACTTCATAAATGCTAAGATGTCATTGATTTTAAGTCTCCCTGCTGCTTTATTTGCAGTAAGGAAGAAAATAGTCCTGCCAACTAAATTGAATTGTTGACTGTAAGGCCTAATCTGATTTCAGAGATATTTAAGTGGGAATAAAACTTTCTGTCTTTGTATTAAATATGGTAACTCTGAGGAGAGTATTCAGTCAGTTGCCTTCTAGTTGTCTTAGCCTCCCGCTCAACCTGTCTCTACCCTGGAGCACCTAAGAGATGGCTTGAAAACAACCGCGTTTACAGGACTTCCAGGAGAATGGTTCTTGTTCTTACTGAGAGTAAATACAGACTGCTTCCTTCCACTTCTCCTTAGAGAGTTAAATGAACCCCTGTAGTCAAAGATGACTCACTGCAGCCACTAGAACAGAGGTTGGCCAACTATGGTCCTTGGGCCAAATCTGCTCCAACACCTGTTTTTATACACTCCAGAAGTTTAGAATGGTTTTCACAGGTGAACATTTGCAATTAATTTGATAATAGGGACCATTAACTATGACTCCAATTAAGAGAAATGTTATGCCTTCTAAAAGTGTTTAATTCTTGTCATTAGTAGACTTGTATTATAAGAAATTATACTCAATTATTATTATTACATTTTGAATTTTGCCAATAATACATTTATGGAAATTTATTTTACCTCTTGTTACATATGTAGTTACATAATGTCATCAACTTTGCCACTTGGGCTGAAAAGCCTAAAATATTTACTGTCTAGCCCTTTACAGAGAAAGTTTACAGACCCCTACTCTAGACCAAAATGGAAATTATGGGTTAGTCTGTTTCAATCATCAATAAGAGTGCCAAGATACCTGAACAGAAGTCGGGCTGAATAAATCAGCTTGCTGCAAATGGCCAGACCCAATCAATAGATGTGTAATAGGAATGTGGCTACTAAGTAATGAGATTTTTAAAAACACTAGACTTCCACATATAAAATTAAAATTATAAAATTAGTGCTATTCTACCCAAAGTAGACACCTAGAGAAATTCTATGGTTATTTTAAAACTCTCAGAATGGTCTTTAAAAGTAGTTTATGAACCATGCAATGAAAATCTATTATTCATTTCTATTAGCATTTCTTGAGTATGTGCTAGGTAAAGTGAAAGACATGGATGGGGTAAAAGATGAATTACATATCGTAGCTTGAATTTTATAATCATATTTTGTTTTGACCTCAAATAATGTTTACCTGATTTCAATCACTAGATTTAACTTTAAATGACTTTGAAAAAACTTATAAAATATGCCCTCAATGTTTGAAGATGCAATTCCAACTAAAGATATTGGGCCAGACATAGTGGCTCATTCCTGTAATTTCAGTACTTTGGAAGGCTGAGGCAGGAGGATTGCTTTAGCTCAGGAGTTCAAGGTTGCAGTAAGCTATGATCACACCACTGCACTCCAGCCTGGGTGATGGAATGAGATCCTGTATTTAAACAATAAAAATAAAATATATTGATATGCTGCAATCACAAGAGAGAATTGTAATAGAATTTTAAAAGTGTCCAGAGCAGTGGCACAATTGCACAGCCTCCTAATGTGATTGGGAAGAAATACTCTCTGGAAACTCTCTAGCATGCACAAGACTTAATGTTTTTGATAAAAAGTTCATTCTGATATTTTATGATCACACTTCATATATTCACATACCACACCAGGCTATGACTTGGCAAGGAAACAATTCCTTGTTTTAGTTGGAGGAAGGGCTGTATATAAGGGAGTGGGAAAGTTGAAGCAAAACTTTAACTTTTCATAGGGGAATTCCTAGGTGCTCTCCACTTGAAAAATCATACTGCCTCAGAATTAATGGTCATGATAATTTTGAATCCCCTCTTCTTGAATCTTGGATTTACAGCTGATTTCCTTACTGAAATCTGTGTCTGATACTGCTTTCCAAGGATGCTGGACAAGTTAATTCTGTCTAATTCAGACTGCATTTCTGAAAACAGGGAGAGAGATTGAGAATGGAGAGAGGGAGTGAAGAACAGAGACACATACACAGAGAGAGCAAGAGACACAGAGACAGAGGAATTGAGAGATATTGAGAGAGATAAAACAATGTAAGACAGTCAGTGTGGTCTGCATCTGCTTAAGAGTTAGGAATTGGATTTAAAGTTGAACAAAGAAAAATGGGAGGGCCACTCAACCCTCCTATTTGTCTTATTTATGTAACAATGTAATCCTTGATATCTCTATTAATGTAACTTGACCTGACACACTCACTAGACTGATTTTATTTCTTTCAGTAATTTTCTGTTATTGGTTACTTTCAAAACTATGTCTCTGATTGGAACAAAAAGAATTGTACATCAGGGACCTCTGTAAATTCACTTTTATTTATTATCAGTTAGGATCTTATAGTCAGTGAATTTGGCTTATCGTGGCTTTAGCACAGATGGTAATGTACTTACTGGTCTCTGAAATTTCTGTTTTGGGGACATGGAGGCAGGGATCTCTAGAAGATTTCCCCCAGAGCCACATCTACAAGAAATATTGGTATAGTTATATCAAAATGTACAACTTCCTTTAAGCAACTTTTAAATTACATTTTATTAGTTATGTCCTTAAGGCTGTTTGTGCCAATCTTTCCTTTTCTTAAAAAAATCAGTTCATATTAAGTACATTCTTTTACTGTGAAGCTTATGTTAACAGATGAAAAAAGGTTTGAGGAAAGGAGAAGAGTTAGGATGTGGCATCTTTGAACTAAAGAGCGTTCCAGAAGGAGAGATGCAGTGCCAGCCAGTCTTCTAATGTTTTGGGGAACCATGATGAGATGGATTATTTTCAAGGCTGTCAAGTCTCAAGGCTTCCTTGGATTTTCAGTATGGTAGCGTAATCAAGATGGGGATATAACCTTGCTCAACCCTTGCTGTCTCTTCCACCAAAATGGCAAAAGATCACCTTCAGCTTGCTTATAAAAGACCCATGTTGAAATAACATTTGTAGTAAAGTCATGAACTCTTCTATACATTGGTCTTTCTTTTGTCTGAAGTGCATTCATGTGAATGTACAAAATCTCACCAGAAGCAGAATTCATGTCATATAGCCCCCTAAAAGAATTTTCTCCTGGGAGGGAATGCTGAGTGTTTTGTTTTGTTGTGTTTTTGACTTGTATTAAAAATATTCTGTGCATAGAGCTGTCTGGAACTGATTATTCACTGAAGACTGCTCTTTGTATGTTTTTAATGTTCATCCAGCAGATTCAGCTCTGGCTCAACAGATAAAGGATTTCATATATTTGTGCATTCAAAATATTTTAATTATTAGAAAATGAAGAGAGTTGAAATGTCTTTTTAAAATTCAGATGCCTGTCTGTTGTTTTTAAAGTCTTCGATACTTTGCTTTTTAACTTCTGCATAGGGTCTGCATGATGTGCCCTGTATCCACATGGTGCATATGATAGCAGCCCCTGTGAATGGATAGCAGTGAGCATAAATATAACTGGGATTACCCCTTGAAGCATTCCTCTGTAATAATGTAAAGAAATATGATTCTAATGGATCTGACACTTCTTAGATAAGGTATTTATACTTAAATCTGCACACACAAGCTTCAGGTGACACCTGCAAATGTTAACAGCTGTAAGAGAGATAGGGCTGGAAATAGAGTGGTGGTCATGATTGCCAACTTAGAACGTAAGATTACAATTTATTCTTTTGTAAACTTTCCAGAACCTATCCTATTTAAACCTTTTCCCTAGTATCACTGGGTACAAGAAAGAGCTTCATAGTGCTTTGGGTTTCTTCCTCACTCATATTCTATGGACTACAGAACAGCTTTCAATTCAATACTCAAAAACTATTGTTTTTGTGTGTGTGTGTGTGTGTGTGTGTGTGTGTGTGTGTGTGTGTGATCTATCGACTACATAGAATCTGCAGACACTGTTCTAACTACTTTTGATGTATTAATTTTTAATCCCAACCACCCAATGAGGTGTATTATATATTTTATTTTTTTTCCAAAGAGATAGCTACTAAACACCTAGCTCTACACTAGCTAGTAATCATACTAATAGGTAATCATACTACCTATTGATTTATTTCCTCCAGGTTTCCTATTTTACCTTTAAACAAAAGTAATCTGGCAAGGAATCTTTGGTTTCACTAAGGGCTAGGAGGGGAGACTGGGCAGTGGTTATCCTGGCGTCTCTGAAGTGTCATCCTCTTCCCAGTCTTATTAGTCATGCATACTGGCATGGTGGAGAGTTCCTGGAAGACTTTCACAGAGTCATGGGCCATAGCTAACATGCTTCAAGTCAAGCATAGCATTTTCTTGATTTCTCAAGCATTTTTTGTCACACTGCCTATTATAGGGATAACACTAGATGAGGGAGATTATATTGTCTTATGAAATATGTTTTATAATATGTTTGTAATATGTTTTATTATTATTTGGATTAAAAAACAGTGGAAGTGCAAAGTGTTAGAATTTTTGGTGACATATGAACTATACATTTTATTGGGCTAGGATCAGAAGGCTGAAAGTAGTCTTAATGTAGGCCTCATCTCCATTCATGTTTATAAGGCAAAGTAATCTTATTCTTTGAGGTTCATTTGCAGATTTGAAAATCATATAGATTGGTCTTAGAAATCAATTTGCAGTGTTATTGTTTGAATATGGCATATATTGGGTTTTTCAAAGGAAATATGAAATCTTCTTAAACTCATATCAACACCCTCAGTCTGCCAGATGAGACAAACTTGGTGAAAATCAAACAACTGCTAATTTAGCAAATTGGAAAGGTAAGAGTGGAGATGGATAATCTATACTCAGAAGAACCTTTTCTCGGCAGATTTATATTTAAATAAGCCAATCAAATCGGTTGCCTTAAAGGCCACAGTCATAAGCATAATTAACCTCTCTGTGGTTGTTGGAAATTGAGAATGTTTAGTGTTCTGAAGAAATAACTGTCTTTTTCTTTTATAAGATAGTGAATTACATTATCTTTAAAGGAAAATTCTCAAAGTAAGCCTTTTGGTGATTATAAAAACCCTGTGGTTATTAATTCAGCTGAATACTTTTGAAGTCACTCTCCCTTTACATTTTGGACTTTTAGTTTTAATTCTTCCCTCCAAAATTTGCTTCTTCTCCTCTTGCCATTACCTTTGGGAAGGCAAATATTTGTCTCTTTCCAATATTAATGAGATCTTGCTTTCTCAATAACAAAGTAACTGCTGATGGATAAAACAATGAAAATATGCAATTTTTTTCCCTCAAGGTATTTAATTCACTTGCCTTTTCATCTTTGAGATTGTCAGTTCTGATAAAATTTTAGTGTAAATCAGCAAAACATTTGGCTTATTAAAAAGGGCCAAACTACAGAGAATGCTGGTCTACAGAACTTCAGAGAATCCCTGAGAGAATTCTAAGGTAGTATTTTTGGCTACAATTTATAGGATGAATGCTCTTGGAAATAGCTGTCAGGATGTTGATCTTTGGAGCTTTAATACCTTAATTTTCTTGTCATCTTATTTCCAACTTTCTTCTGCATTATTTTACCTGGACAAAATTCACCCTTCAGTCAAGACACATTTAGGATAATAGTTGTCAGGGAATCAACTTGTTTCCAGGAGGTTTTTAAAGCATTTTGATTTCTTCAACTATTCTAAATTGATATAAAATGGAGAGTTTTTCTCTCTAGCATGCAATTTATTAAAATACTATAAATTTGTCATTAAAAATGAGGAAGCCTTACCCTCTGTGGTTTTTCTTTTTTTTAATTGTATCTGACCATTGCTGAAAAGCCCATTGTATTGTATGTATTTGTTCATTTCACTATCACTCTAATAGATTGTGAGCTACTCAAGGACAAGGGTTGTGTCTTAATCACCTTTGTATTCCCAGAGCTAGTGCAGGGCTTGGCACCCAGTGGATACTAAACACATGGAAACAAATGACTGCAAGTTAAGACAAGGTCCTGGGTCATGCTTCTAATTCCCAACAAGACTGAACCAAAGGCATCCAAGAGGCGTAGTTGTAGCATATCTTATATTTTAAGAGTCTTTGAAGAAGTATGGTCAGCAAAATTGTATGCAACATGTACCATATTTACACAGTACATTTCCCAAAGTACTTACATTATCACATCTATTCTAATAATTAAGTGATATGGTATTGATCCTGGTTGGGTATTGCACATAGTAGACACTCAATAAATACCTGCTGAATGAGTGAAGGACTAAAACATTTAGCAAATAAGGGGTTTAAAACACAAATCAACTGTCACTGACTTAAGCAAGTTAACATAAGAATTTGAACTAAACTCTTAAGTTTCCTGAATTGGTAAATATATCATGTTGTCTCTTATTTCATCTCTGGCTTTACATAATAAAGTGAATACTTCCAGATACTTGTGTTTTAAAGCTTAGAACAGCTTAATTTGGGGGAAGGCCAATATGACGTAGTGTAAAATGAGAAGTATACAATATTTTTAAAAAATGAACTTTCACATCCTTCACTTGGTGATATGGTTTGGATGTCTGCCCCCTCCACATCTCATGTTGAAGAGTCATCCTCAGTGTTGGAGGTGAGGCCTGGTGTGAGGTGTTTTTGTCATGGGGGTGGATCCCTCATGAGGCACCCTTCCTGCAGTAATGAACTCTCACTGTTAGGTCATGTGAGAGCTAGTGGTTTGAAAGAGCCTGGCAGCTCTTTTGCTACCTCTCTTGCCATGTGGTATGCTGGCTCCCTCCTCACCTTCTGCCATGATTGTAAGCTTCCTGAGGTCCTCACCAGAAGCTGAGCAGATATTGGCACCATGTTTCTCATATAGCCCGCAGAACCAGGAGCCAAAATAAACCTCTTTTCCTTACAAATTACTCACCCTCACATATTATTTTATAGCAATGCAAAATGGACTAACACACTTGGTTTCCAGGATATGACATTCTGTTGGTTTTTCTCCTACCTGAGTAGCTGAGCCTTCTCAGCCTCTTAAATACCATCTATATGCTGATGACTCCTACATTCATATCTCCAGCACAGTCCTCCCTCCGAGACTACAGACTTGAACAATAAATTGTATACTTGACACCTCTACTTCAATGACTCACAGACCTCTTAAATTCACCGCATTCAAAACAGAGCTCCTGACTACCCTCCCACAACTTGTGCCACCTACAGCCTTCCCTATTTCAAAGGATCTTCATTGTTTCAGTTACTCAGCCCAAACACTTGGAGACATCCTTGACTCCTCTCTGTATCTCAAACTTAGAGAGTCTATATAATTTACTTTGAAAACAAGGTACTTTCAGAATGAAAGGAACTGCTATAACCAATTATGACCAGACAGCAACTTAAACTGGGATTGTTCAGGGCAAAATAGATTCATGTCACCCTACTCCTAACCACATCCAAGCCATCAAGAAATGTTAGCTGAACCTTTAGAAATGATCCAAAATCCACCAACTTTTCACCACTGCCAACTATTATAATCTTGCCTCATGTCACTGTTATTGTCTCTCCTGGATTCTCCAATAACTTCCTAACTGGCCTTCCTATTTCTGCCATTCTCTCATCCCGTCCAAACTCCATCCCAGGTTGGTCCTGTGTGCCTACACCTCTGTGGTAGGGCTTTTTCAATGTTTCTTCTTCCTCTCTTCTTTGCAACTATTTTAGAGTATTTTGTGTAGGTATAACAATACCATGAACTGAGTAATTTATAAAGAAAAGAATTTTATTTCCTATAGTTCTGAAGGTGAGGGGCCTATATTTGGTGAGGGCCTCCTTCCTATGTCATCCCACAGCAGAAGGCAAATGGGCAAAAGAACATGTACATAAGAGAGAAGGAAGGGGACAAACTCATCATTTATAAGGAACCCACTCCTGAAATAACTGATCTACTCCTGCCATAATGGCAATATTCCATTCATAAGGACAGAGGCTTCATGACATAATCACTTCTTAAAAGTTTCACTTCTTGCTGGGCGCAGTGGCTCATGCCTGTAATCCCAGCACTTTGGGAGGGCTGAGGCGGGTGGATCACGAGGTCAGGAGATCGAGACCATCCTGGCTAACGCGGTGAAACCCCATCTCCACTAAAAATACAAAAAATTAGCTGGGTGTTGTGGCGGGCGCCTGTAGTCCCAGCTACTCAGGAGGCTGAGGCAGGAGAATGGCATGAACCCGGGAGGTGGAGCTTGCAGTGAGCCAAGATCGTGCCACTGCAATCCAGCCTGGGAGACAGCGAGACTCTGTCTCAAAAAATAAAATAAAATAAAATTAAAAAATAAAAAATAAAACAAAAAAAAAGTTCCACTTCTCAATACTGTTGTATTGGGGATTATGTTTCCAACACATGAGCTTTGACACACACATTCAAACCATAGCATTTCACTTCTGGTCCTTCCCCAGATTTATGTTCTTCTTAGGTGCAAAATGCATTAAGTCCATCCCAATAGTCCCTAAAGTCTTAACTTGTTCTAGCATCACCTCAAAAGTCCAAAGTACAGAGTCTCATAGGAATCAGGTATGGGTGAGACTCAAAGAACAATTCATCCTGAGGCAAATTATTCTCCATCTGTGAGCCCGTGAAATTAAACAATTATATACTTCCAAAATACAATGGTGGGAAAGGCATAGGCTAGACATTCCCTTTCCAAAAGGGAGTAACAGAAAAGAAGAAATGAGAAACATGTCCCAAGTAATTCCAAAAGCCAACAGGGCTAACAACACTACATTTTAAGACTCCAGAATAATCTTTGACTCCCTGGGCCAACTTCTGGACACACTGGGGTGGGGGTTAGGCATCCACGGCCTCAGGCAGCCCTGCTCCCACAACTTTGCTGGGCTCAGCCCACTCAGAACTCTCACAGGTTGGAGTCTTATGCCTGCAGCTCTTCTAGGCTGGCTTTACACACTGGTAGCTCTACAGTTCTGGGGTCTCAGGAGTGGCTCCATTCGGCCTAGTGGGGACTCTTGGCAGTGGCCCTCCTCCCATAGCTTCACTAGGCATTGCTTTAGTGGGGACTGTCTGTGGTGATTCCACCCCTGTAACGAGCCTTTGTTATAAGCCTTCAGGCTGTCCACTACATCCTTTGAAATCCAGAGAAAGCCATGCACCAACAATTCTTGCATTCTGCATATCTGTAGAATTAGCACATGGATGTCACCAAGGCTCCCTGCTTGTGCACTCCAGAATGGAGGGTTGAGATGCACTGGGCCTGCTTGAGCCATGTTGGAGAGGCAGAGAAGTGCTACACTAGAATGTGGAGAGCAGAGACTGAGGGATCCCTGGGCAGTGAGCCCTAAGATACAGAGGGTACCTGATATGGTTTGGCTGTGTCCTCACCCAAATCTCATCTTGAATTCCCAGGTGTGTGGGAGGGACCCAGTGGGAGATGATTGAATCATGGGGTCAGGTCTTTCCTGTGCTGTTCTCATGATCGTGAATAAATCTCACAAGATCTGATGATTATATAAGGGGGAGTTTCCCCGCACAAGCTCTCTTTGCCTACTGCCATCCATTTAAGATGTGACTTGCTCCTCCTTGCCTTCCATCATGATGGTGAGGCTTCCCCAGCCACATGGGAACTGTAAGTCCAATTAAACCTCTTTCCTTTGTAAATTGCCCAGTCTTGGGTATGTCTCTTTCAGCAGCCTGAAAACAGACTAATATAGTACCCTAGGCCTCTCTTTTGACCTATTTTGTTCTCTTAGGGCCTAGGCCTTTGCACTCTGAGCCATGGGCACTGGTAATTTTCAAACTGCCTTCCAGGTTATTCTTCCACTGTTCTGATGAATAGCCCCAGGCTTCATTCTCCCCATAATAATCTCTTTATCAAATCGTTGCTTGGCTGCATCTTTGATTTCCTCTTCTGAAAATGTCCTTAATTTCTTACCACACAGCCAGGCTGAGAAGCCTTCAAATCCCTAATCCTGTTTCTCTTTTAATTATAAATTTTGTCTTTAAATCATTTCTCTCTTCTATTTTACTATATGCAGTTAAAAGAAGCCACACAACTCCTTTAATATTTTGCTTAGAAATTTCTTCCACTGTGTAACCTAGTTTATTGCTCTTAAAGTCCCTCTTCCATAAAGGCCTAGGACATGGAAACAATTCTGCTAAGTTCTTTGCAACTGTGTAATAAGGATGGCCTTTGCTCCAGTTTGTATTACCTTTTTCCTCAGTTCCATCTGAGACCTCATCAGAATGATCTTTGCTGTCTATAGTCTATATTTTTATCAACATTCTGTCAAGACCACTTAAGTAATATCTCAGAAGATGCAGGGTCTTGCTTCAACTCTTGTTTTCTGAGCCCTCACCAGAAGTTCCCTTAACACTTCATTCACACTTCATTCACAGCAATCTAGACATTCTCTAGCCTGCTCCTCCAAATTCTTCTAGCCTTGGCCTATTACCCAATTTCAGAGCCACTTCCACATTTGCAGGTATCTGCTATAACAACAGCCTCACTCTCAGTACCAATTTTCTATCTTAAAATAGTCTCACATCTGCCAGGCATGGTGGGCCACACTTGTAATGCTAGTACTTTGGGAGACTGAGGTGAGAAGACCATTTGAGGCTGAGATTTCAAGACCAGCCAGGGCAACATTGTGAGACCCTATCTCTACAAAAAAATTTAAAAATGTTCTCACCTCTGGCAAGGAACTTCTTGATGCATTATTCCATGGCAGACGGTGGAAGGGAAAGAGAGCACACATTGGGGCAGAGAGGAGAAACTCACCCTTTATTAGGTACACCAGTCCTGCAACAATTAACCCACTCCTACAATAATGGCATTAATTCACTCATGAGGGAGAGGCCTTGTGACCTAATCATCTCTTAAAGTCCCCACCTTTCAACACTATTGCATTGAGAGTTAAGTTTCTAAAACGTGAACTCTTTGGGGGACACACTTAAACCATAGCAGCGGCCAAGCTGTCTTGTGTTTCTGGTGCATCTTGTGTGGAAGAAAATCCCTGCCCCTCCCCCAGTGGTAGGAGACCTCAGTGGTGTAGTTCTTCTATGTCTTCCCCACAGGTGAAGGGTTTTGTTTTTTTGGTTTTTTTTAACCATTTTTTTAGGGGTGGGGGCAATGAATCTTTACATGTGCCTTGTTTGGGGGGTGGTGACAATAGGATTCACTGCTCTCCCCAGTGGTTTAAGACTTTTGCTCCATATGGGAGAAGGGACCTGGGAAGGAATTATACCCTCAGAGGGGGCTAATCCCACTCTGCACATCTGCACTACCAGGGTGGGTCCTCTCCAGGCTCCCATCTGTCCCTACTCTTCCTGTGGTGGTTTGGGGCCAAGAGCCTGCTGGAGTGCAAACTCCTCTGTGTCTAGGGCTCCCAGGGCTCTTTCCTGTCACAGTAGCCCACGCTTGGCCTTTAGCAGTGTATTAACATTTTATTTGATTTCGTCTTGCCTGGGTGCACAGTGGCTGGTGCCTCCTTTGCCTGCACTCTGCTATAGGTGTACCAGTCTGTGCATCCCACTCTTCTTGATGGGGCTTCTTTCTTCTTGGGATTTGGGTAACTTTGTAGTCTTGCCACTTCAGCTGTCTCTGTTAGGGTGAAAAAAATGCTTTTTCCATCTTTTTTACACTCAGGCAGAAGCAGAACTTGGCTCTTATTTTAATGATGTACCTTTGACCCAAATTTTCTGAAACCTCTTTTTGAGAATTCTCTTCTACATTGAATATCCCTGGTTTGTAGCACATTTTTACTCTTTAAAAGTGAATTTGCTCTTTTAGGATAGCTTGAAGTAATTTCGAAATAAGTTTGATCAATAAATGTGTAAACCTGCTGAATACTGTCGCTTTTAATAACCATAGACTTACACAAGATGAGGCTATATAGTAATAATGAGAAAGGACTGTAAGAAAGTGTGACTTAGCCCATCCAGGTTTATTTCATCTTGGAATTGCTTTGATCTGATATTGAGACAGCTGCACTGGTCATTTTGAGGAACCATAGAGGCAGGAAAAAAGGAAAGAAAAGGTGCTGGGTAAGCACTTTAGAGGGGGAAGCTCCACCCACCATCATCTACATCAACACTGCCAAACAGTCACTAAATAATTATAACAATCTGACTTTAAGCAATTGGGCACATGCCTAGCTCCCTCTCTAGAGGATGGTGTGATAGGAAAAATCAACTAAAATTTGAGGGTCATCTCTGTTACTTAAAGCTATGCAAATTCCAGCACGTCATTCAACCATCCTGAGTTTAATTTTCCCATCTAAGAAAAAAGATAAGCATAGCGCTATCCTGGGAGGGTGGCTGTGAGGCTCTATCAAAATAATGTATAGGAAGTGCTTTGTAAAGACCTAATCCAATGTTAGTTGTTAGTGATGAAGTTTTATTACTTTGTTTGTGAGAGATCTATCACTATCATAATTATTAACAATGATAAGTATTTATTATCTATTATATTACATTAAAATATGATATTATTAAAATTATTTTAATGACTGCTTAATAAGTAGAAAAAATTTACATTTTTGAAAAAGATAGTATAAGCTTACTCTTCATTAGATAGATCTGGGTCGCTAAAAAAATTCCTCTTTAAAAAATATTTTCCTTTACTCCTATATTATTTGTTAATATATTCCCTCTGGCATATCAGCCTTAAGACCGACTTTTTATGTGGTTTTATGTTTTTCCTGCATTGGGATATCTTTTATGATCAATGTTTATATTACTTTACTACAAGTGATTTTAGAGAATGTGGTAGTTTTATTATATATATTTTATTACATATATTTTTATTATATATAATATATTCTTATAAAATTTATTTAGTTTTACTTAGCTCTTATTATATCTTGTTGGAATATATGTTTTATACTGATATAAGTTGTTGCATATATATTTATTCAGATTGATTTTAATTATCTTAAGCACTTTCCATATATAAATTAATTTAGTCCTCACGACAGCCCTCTGAGGTTGGTAGTAGTATTATTTCTACTTTACAGTTGAGGAAACTGAGGTATAGAGAGGTTAAATAATTTGCCCAGGTCCTATGGCTACAGAGTGGAGAAGCTGGGTTTCACAGCTTGCTCTAAACAATGTGCCTGTAACTAGTGTGTAAACTGCCCAGGGGCTTCCCTATAGACATGGACAAAATACCTTGCCTTACAGAGGAAGATGTGATGGATTACCCAGAATTTCTCTTGGGCTTCCAGTTATAGGCAGGTACCCTTTTTTCCTCTCCTGTTTTCAAAATAGAAGTTAACAACTGCCCTCATTCTATATGGATGCCTTCTACTTTTGTATCCATCACAGGCCTGTTAGTGGATGTTCAATAGAGGCTCAATATGTGAATAAAAAGAGACTTCCAGGTGAGGCCTTCCTAACCAAGCCAGGAGTAAAGTCAGATTTTGGCAACAAATTACTATCATTTTTCTCTTTGTCCCAATCACCAGGGCCCAGGTCCTTCCTGCTCCAGAATGGGTCTCTGTTTGAGCCAGAGATGAAGGTGTGATGGGGTCAGAATGAGGTTCTCTCTTTTGATGTTAAATGAATGGGAAAATAGTGAGTTGGCTCCCTTACAAACTTAGAGGCAAATTT
The DNA here is from genome assembly GCF_000001405.40 of Homo sapiens. Lineage (NCBI taxonomy): Eukaryota > Metazoa > Chordata > Mammalia > Primates > Hominidae > Homo > Homo sapiens. The sequence goes on from NC_000001.11 coordinate 76,005,713, forward strand.
CAAGTCTTGACATTTTTATTATTGAGGGGTATTTCAGACTGACAGATAATAAGAGAAGGTAGGTTATGCTGACAAACAGTAACAAGATACCCATTTTTTTTGTCGAGTTTCTAAGTCAGCTTGGAAAACTATTGGCTTATCTCCTTTCAAGCCAGCTTGGACATCTGTCACAGATAGAAGAAACATGCTGTGTAATGATGCTGAATGATGCTTCTCCCTTTGGAATGTACTGTCTCATCTTGGAAAATGTCACCAGCTCTTATGCATATGGCTTCTAATCCCCCTTTTGGCTACATTTTGCAAGTTGTAACTTCAGCTGATGGTGCCGAAACTTTGGTTATCTCATCTTTAACAAATTTGTTAACAAACAGAATGATCCTGAATGACTGCCATGATCTTCGACGATGGCATTGACTTAAAAAAAATTTTCTGCAGCCCCTAATTATTAAATTATAATTTAAAAAACTCCCAAGAAGGCCTTTTTTTCTGTTTTTATTAATGAACTTTAAACTTGAAATAGGCAAGCAGCTACATTCTATGGAATTTGGCCAGTTATGTTTTATTAATGGAGGCCTGGATGACAGGCAAATGTTCCTTGACTTCTTTCCAATTGTGGTTTTGTGTAGTAGAAAGCCATCATCCAGGATCTTCCCCAAGGCTGCATCATGGTTCCCCTGGGATCCTGTACTTTCAAATTGCTGTACGTGAGATTTCACAGACATGTTTACAGTGATGATTCACTTGATATTTAATAACATGGTCTGGTATCCAGTCACATGTTTACAGTGTCTTGAACAAATATTTGGATCAAGGAATGTCCAAAAAGCAATTCTCTAAAATCTGTATTGTGAAGACCTAACAGAACAAAATATCTATAAAGTGGAACTTTTTTTCATGATGAAGCCATGAGTAGGATATAAGTAAACATCTCCCTTTTTCTTGGTAAAAGAGGATGCTGGTAATGTGCAAGCTAAGAGATTCATTGAGTTTTAAACTAACTGTCCCTAGCATTAGAAAAAGAACAGCAGGAGAAGCAAACAGCTTATATAAAATGCCCTGTTCATTTGAGGGTGAGTATTAGATTTGAAAGAATCATCATCCTTCTCCAAAAGGAGAGAGTTATAAAGGCCTAAGAACATTCCAGCAGACGTGGAAGAACTCCTCATTGTGACTGGAAGCCCCTTGGAAATCCTGTTAGATTCGTTGATTTCTGTTGCAAGCATCTGTGTGTACCCAAGCAATGCCCAAGTGTGCCTGGAGTGGGGGCCTTCTAAAGGAAATCTCTACTCATCAGATGATTCCCTTTGGGATGCTTCCAGGCCATCTCAGTCCTCTAAGGAGATGCTCTTGTGTCCAGCTCTTCCTCAGCATCTCAGAGGCTTTAAAGTATTTGGATGAACCAAGTAGATCCACATGGCAAATATCTGCTGAAGTACACATCTATACTAATAGGATAACATGAATTATGAATTGCCATTTTAAACCATGCCTGTGATAGAAGAAAATGACTGCAGTTGCAGCATCAAAGTGACAACATGCATTAACCCCCTAGAGTCACTTCCTGACCCCTCCAGATGCACCAAGGTCAGTGAAGGTTCCCATGGTCAGGAGGATAAAGAATCAACACCACCACCTGTAATGGTCACTTCAGTAGGTCGTCAACTTTAGCACATTAATTAATGTCTTCTTTCATGCAGCTGTAGGGTTGAATGAAGATCCGGCCTCTCTTTTCTAAGACAAGAACTAGAGAATATATCTTCCCACTCAGTTATTCACAAGTAAAGAGGGCATTGGTGGGGAGCAATAGTGAATCCAGATAAACTGGTACAAATAAAACAAAGAAGCTGGGACTGTTTACAGATCAGCAGTAGGAAGGCTCATCAATCAAAAGTTGTTTTGCTGTGTGGCGCTGAAGAGAATTATAGTTATATAGCTAAGACTGTAAAAGAAGTTCCAATACTGCCCTAACCTGGTGTAAGACAACAGAATCTCTGTAGTGGACACCATGATTGTCACCCCAATTTCACTCTCCCCATTGTACTCCAGCCGTAAGGTTTGAGAGCTGATCCCCAGTCAGAGTAAGCCTATCCTCTTTTCCAAAACTAGAAGTTCAGGGCAATGAGACTCAAGGAAAGATTTGCTAGAGGCTTCTGGGAAAGAATATTATTACTCTTGAGAGTTTCTGGAAGTGACTTTCTCTCTTCACGGATGTGAACAAAACAGCTGTGGTACTGATTGCTACCAGCAGCACTCCTATGTTCATGAGGAGAACCAGCCTTAGGAGCAAGTGACCTATGTGGAAAGACAGTAGATACATGGAAAAAGAACCTGAGTTCTTAACGACATTGCTGCGCACCTGGGTAAACCAATGCTGAGGCACACTGTATTTCTGGACTTTTTAGTACATGGACCAATGCCTATCCTTGTTTTCAGTTTGAGTTTGATTAATGAATCTTGCTGCTAAAAGCATCCTTACATACGCATTATTGTAGCAGACCTTTACGCAGGCACCAAGAGAAATTGTGGATCTCCCTGGTTAGGTCAACAATCAAGGGATGGCCACTCTGCCAAATTTCAATTGTAGTATGTGAGATTTCAGAGAGGGCAGTAGTACACATGGATGAATCACCTAGTGTTTAAACGTGATCTACTATTCACTCATAAGAAATGTTTCATTGTAACTAATTTCTGTTGTGGTAGGATAGGTAGTCCAGGAATCAAACCCTACTAGATGGAATTGATGATGAAGAGAGTAGCAGAAGAAGTCTAATGAGATATTACTAGTTTTAAAATATCCTAACAGGCTTACTTTCAAACAGGACTTAGAGATAAAGATCAGGATTGTGACTAGCTTGGGAGGTTTGTATGCAGTACAAGAAAATCTATACAAATTGGGGAAAAGGGCACCACTGAAATCTCTCCATTATGAAATACCACTGAGACATTAGACTCAGCTCACCTCTGTTCTGAGGCAAATAGTACCAAAATGTCATCTAATATTTAGCGGTGACATGAATTTCTGTGGTATTTCAGGCTATTTATTGCAAAAATTTATATATTTATATTTTTTCCAAACACTGGGGAGTTTCAGTAAAGGCTTCATTCTCCGCCTTCCTCCCTCTCTCTTCCCACCCTCATTTCCTTTTTCTCTCACTCTGATTCTAGGTCCTTCTCTTGTTAATCTTTCGAATCCTTGGTTCTTATTCCAGCAACAGCGTGGAGGTGGGCAATGTGCATTGACATACTTCATCTTCATTTCTTTTTATGTTCATGGGAATCTTCATAGCACATTGATCTGATGCTTTCTATAAGTCTATTATAAAATGTTGATGGGATTTTGTGGGTCTTCCTGATACTAGACAGATCTTCTGAAATTTAGTTATTCTTTTTTGGTTTGTTTACAAGATAAAAACCATCTGAGTGTCTGGGGCCCAAGGCCTAAAAACCTCAACATCAGGGAACTGTAGTAGTCACCGCTCACCATGTCCTTTTCTTCTTCTTGTCCTTGTTCTTATTTTTTCTTTTTTTCCAGCAAAAATTGGTTACTTTGCTTCTGTCACCTATTGAAAGAACTGACTCTTGATAGCAGGAATGAACCAAAGAATCTTTTGATTGTTTTAAGACAAAAAACCTTGAATGATTACAGCTAAGACTACAACAAAGTGAAAAGATTTTGCAAAGCCCAGATAAGATAACACTGAAATCAATATCACTAAACATTTTCAGTAATTCCCTCTATCACAAAGCTTTCTGTGAACCTCTCCACTGAAATAAATCCTTTTATCTTTAGTACCTCTCTCACCTTACCTGTACCTCTCTTCTAAGACTGATTTCATTCTGGTTGACTGTATAGGCTTTGGGCTGTGTTTTATTCATCTCCATATTCTGGTACCTAGTATAGAGCTAAGAGGTACATAGCACATGTTAAGTTAGCACATGACTACAAAGTTTTAGGCCTTTAGCACATGTTAAGTTAGCACACGACTACAAAGTTTTAGGCATTTAGGCCTCACTTACACAATAAATATTTACTGAGTATCTACTCAGTACCAAGCACAGTTCTGGGCACTGGGATATACTGTGATAAGTAGGACTGTCGAAGTCTCTGCCCTCATGGAGCTTTCACTCTAGTGGGAGAGACTGATAATACACAAATAATATGGAATATAATGTCAGGCAGTGAAATGGCAATGGAGAAATAAGGATAAGAGGATAAAGAGGATGGGTGGGATGAAGGTAGAGCACTATTTTGTGAGAACTCAGAGATGACAAAGGGGTAAATGAAGCCATGAAAATATCTGAGGAAGGAGCACTCTAGGCAGAGGGAATAACATGAGTGGAAGAGCAAGAAGGCCAATGTGACCAACAGGAATGCTCAGAGAGGAGGTTGAGACCAACAGAACGGGATCATATGGGATCTTGTAGGTCATACAATAGTATATTTTTAGTATGGTGGGAAACCAATGGAGGGTTTGGACAAGCAATGCACATGATAAGGAAGTTCATTTTAAAAAGGTTGTCCTGATTGCAATATTCAGAATGGATTATAGTGGGATACAAGTGGATGCAACAAAACAGATTTGGGGAAAGTAACTTCAGTCTAAGTTGATTAGAGTATATGTGATTAGGGTGGTTAACAGTGGTTAGATTCCCAATACAGTTTGGAGTTCAAATTATCAGGGCTTATTTTGACCTATTAAAATTCTCCTAGAAGGTATGCACTTTACAGAAGTTACACTGAAGTGAAGGCTGATACTTGACTGGTCAGGCTATAATCTAACACTGTGGTTCTCAAATTTCTTGGTTCCAAGACTATACTCAAATATTATTGAAGATCCCAGAGAGTTTTTTTTTATGTGGATTAGATCTACTGATAAATATATATTTTTAACATATTGGTTGATTCATTTAAAACCAACAATAATAAACTTAATAAACCAATTATATGTTAACAGAAATAACATAATTTTGTGAAAACTATTTTTTAAAACAAAAACATTAGTGAACATAATGGTATTGCTTTACAGTTTTGCTAATTTCTTTAATATCAGAAGACAGCTGGATTCTCATTTCTGCTTCTGCATTCAGTCTATTGTGATATAGCATATCATGTAACTTCTGAAAAACTTCACTGTACACAGGTAAGATAATTTTAAATCAAGTTTAGACTAAAGCTGCCTCCTTATATATTTTAAGTTCAGCCTAAAGGTTTCTCTGTACGTCGTGAACTATCACCTAAATGGAATTGTAAACAGACTGTGGCCTACTGTTGTGCCAATCACTGAGTTTTGGCCAATCAAATGTGGCCAACTGTCCAAATGAGGCAAATGCTGAGTTGTAACCAACTCAGCTGTTTCTGCACCTCATGTCCGTTTTCTGTAGGTCACTTTCCTTTTTCCATCCATTCATCTTCCTCCATGTGGCTATGCTGGAGTCTCCAAGCCTACTCTAGGTTGGGACACTGCCTGATTCACGAATTGTTCTTTCTCAATTAAACTCTTTTAAATTTAACTTGGCTAAATTTTTTTTAAAACAAGAATGAGGGTAAAAAAGATCAATAACATATTAGTATTACTATTTTTAGATGCTGACCTCACAGACTCCCTGAAAGGATCTCCATGACCTCTATGGTTCCTTAGACTGCACTTTGAGAACTATTGACGTACAGGGAAAAATGCTCTTGGTGGTAAGATTACAACTCTATATAAAAGAGATAAAAGCATCAGTCCCATGAATTAGCATGATAAAACCATTATAAAATGTCTTTATCACTTGTAATCACCAATGCTCTATAGAAAACCCGACCACAATTTAAAGATTGTTTTACATTAGGGGTCCATAACCTTTTAATTCCGAAAACACTAAGGGGTAAGCATGAAACAGCAAAGATTCTGACATAGGAGAACAAAGCAAGGAAAAAAAAAAAGAAAAAGAAACAGGCCGGGCAAGGTGGCTCGTGCCTGTAATCCCAGCACTTTGGGAGGTCAGGAGTTCGAGACCAGCCTGGCCAACATGATGAAACCCTGTCTCTACTAAAAATACGAAAATTAGCCAGGCATGATGGTGCATGTAATCCCAGCTACTCAGGAGGCTGAGGCAGGAGAATTGCTTGAACCTTGGAAGAGGAGTTTGCGGTGAGCCGAGATAGTACCACTGCACTCCAGCCTGGGTGACAGTCCAAGACTCTGTCTCAAAAAAAAAATTAATAAAAGAAACAGAAACAGACTTATAGACCAATGATAAAGAGGTGACAAAAGAGAAAGAGAAAGAATTTCTGTTGCGGGAGTGGGAGACTAATGATAAAAATTGCCTTTGGATGGCTCAGTGGTTCTCATGTTCATTAGCCATTCTGATCTAACAAGTCAGCTTTGCTCAGGCAGCCTGGTTCTGAACTGTGTGCCCTAAGGCCTTCCCCACAGAGGGGGGCCCAAGGAGGAGACACCATACATCTGAAGCCATATGTTGGTCTAACATTACTCCATAGGTTGCAAAAATAATCTCCACCTAAGCTTTTCCATCTCCAATGCCAACACTTCATTTCTCCAAGTGAAATTCTGGCTTTAATACTATATGTGTCATAAAATCCACCGCAGGTGAGTGTGACTGAATATAAAATAACCCAGTGCCCCATTTGCCTGGATCAGAAATCCAGGGAGTATACTCAGACAACCCCAGGAGTGAGGGAAAAGGGAGAAACTTTATCCTCTCCAAACTAAGCATCAAGCAAAACTCAGCTTGTCTTTCCAGAAAACACAATGGTTTGGTACATGACATTCAACAGCAAAACTCTACTAACACTCAACTTTTGCCAAAAGGAGCCACAGGAATCCACAACATCCTTACGTGGCCTTAAATATCAAAGTAATGTGTAAGATATCAGAATACGTCTTAATGAGCCAGGCACAAGTTTCCAAAGAAGTTCTGCTGAGTTTTACTCAGTCTTATAGAACACAAGCCCAGCTGCTGCTAAAAGTAAGGCAGCTTGAAATTTCTGTGCTGGGTGAAAGGTGGCCATAATGTCAGTGGTCTGCTTATTCCCCTTGTGGGAATGGGACTTGGTACTCTGCTATGCATCTGACACCATTGAGAAAGGTTATTTGAGCCCAGTGGGGCTGGTAGCAAAAGTCTAAATGCCTACCAGCTTACAGCTAGAACATATGTACCCCCATTGGATTGTCATAGTGTTGTGTACAATGTACCTGTTTTTTTAATCTCCAAAACTTCCTCTTTTTCTTTCTCTTTTTAAAAATGCAAATGAGAATGGCACTGGCATCTCAGGGTTTTAAAGAGCAGAGAATGCCTATTGTGCAGTGATGTGTGACTGAATCCAGCAAGGAGGTTAGAGACACATTGTCAGGAGCTAGCTGCAAATCCATGGGCTTAAGAAGGCCATGACTTATTTACAACTTCTTATTTGCCACTGGTGTCATTTGAGTTTTTATGGGTTTTAATAAAGAGTAATATACATATATTGTTCTCTTTTGGAAAACAATCATGTCTGAAATGTTCCTGAGATTCTTGTAACAGTTATCACTTTGTTTTTGCAGTTCCAGTTAAGCACAGAATAAAATCTGGACTGTGTCAGTTTGTAAAGATCTTATGTCTACTTGGTCATCAGGTAAAATTCCTTTCTGTGTTGTGAAAAGAGGCAGACTGAAGTCATTAGTCACTGCCAATGTTGTATCAGTTCTTGCTGGTTTACTCTCATAGCACTGGAGACATTAATAAAATGGGCTGCCAAGGCCCCTTACAGGCAAACTTGTAAAGTAGGAAGCAATTCTCTTTGGTTGATTCCTTCTCAAAGGCAGTGGGTGTTGTAGCATCAGTGAAAAGAATTAAGATCATTGGCTTTGCAATCAGAGATATCTATGATTAGATTCCGTTTCTTCGGAATTGGTTCAACAAATATTTAGTAAGTGCCTACTAAGTTCTGGCCTCTTTTCCAGGCATTGAGATGCAATAGTGGGAAGAAAACAAACATGGGTGCCTGTCTGCTAGTTGGGGAGGCAGCCACTAGCATCCCGGTGACAGGCTTAAGGCTCAGCCTTATGCTGAGCAGTTTTTTACCTTTCAGCTGCAAACCTTCCTTTCTGTACAGTACTACATGGGACTGGCCTAGGACTCTTTCTCTTTTGCCCACTGGCTTCCTGTAAGGGTCTATGTATCAGTCTGTCTGCATGCTGCTGATAAAGATATACCCAAGACGGGGCAATTTATGAAAGAAAGAGGTTTATTGGACTTACTGTTCCACATGGCTGGGGAGGCCTAAAGGTCATGGCAGAAGGCAAGGGGGAGCAAGTCACATCTTACGTGGATGGCAGCAGGCAGAGAGCTTGTGCAGGGAAACTCCTGTTTCTAAAACCATCAGATCTTGTGAGACCCATTCACTATCACAAGAACAGCATGGAAAAGACCCAGCCGCATGATTCAATCATCTCCCACAACAGGTGGGAATTATGGGAACTACAAGATGAAATTTGGGTGGGGACACAGAGCCAAACCACATCAGTCTGCAAATAGGGATGCTAGAGAGAGACTAGCATCTAGTGGGAGAAGGGGCTTTCTTCTTGTTTTTTTGTTGTTCCTCTCAGCATCATCCCAACAGTGACCTTGGCCTGACAGCAGCAGTTGGTTCCAGTCTCCAGCCTCTTTTGAAAACCTGAGAGCCAGCCTGTTGGTATGTTCTCAGAAGTAATGGCAACAGCTAGGTCATGCTCCTCTTCAGAGGTCTGAGCCCCAGCTCTTTCTCAGAGCTTCTGGGCTGTGATTATTCCAACCTCTTCCCTGAACAGCAGCTGCTCCTGCTGTTGTACATCAGAGTTACCCCGGCGAGCCCTGTTGTCTATTCAGCCCTCCACCATCTGGAAAACCAAGTCCCTATAGTAGATTTTATGTTAAAATGCTTCATGCGGTTTTTGTTTTCTTGACAGGATCCCTATATACTCATACCATACAAGCTTATCTTAAGATATTTGAGATTTGTAACAAGTATGCTGGGGAATAGTCAACTGGTTATGAAGCACATCATCTTGATACATTCACCATTTTCAATAACGAAAAGAGAGCAAGAGAGTACATGTATGTAGTTACATATTTCGTATAATTTCAAAGAGAGGAAGGTAAAAATGTCCGTGCTTACTTTCAACAGATCATCATGACCTTTTTGTGAAACTGAAACATATCAGAGGTAGCTTTTCTTACACATTTGTTTAGACCTATAAAAGAAATAATTTCGTGACCTACCAAACCATAACTGGATAATATAAACCCATATTCTTCCAGTTTTGTTTATTGGGAACAAAGCTTCTGCTCATGGTCATTCTTCAACCTCTTTTCTGCAAATTCATTTTATTTCTATCATCTCCTTATATGATACATATTAATTTAACCTGAATATGTGTGGATTCTATTGTAAATAATGCATTTAACAACAATCAATAATGCACTCATATCCACTTTTAAGCCCTGCCCTTACTACTTCTTGATGTTAATTTCTAAGTATAGAATACGCTTTTCCCGAAATGCAATCTAGCTTGTAATGTGCTGGATTTTGAAGAGCCAACTTTATTTAAATAGGATCAGTGACTCCCTCTCAGATATTGATATGCAATTCCAATTCTGTCAGATTCATAATTATACACTTAATAATCTTCTACTATGAAATGGAAGTAGCAATCTGTATATCTGGCTAGCTATCTACCTATTTAAATATCAAGCCTGTCTGTCTGTCTATTTACCATGCCCTTTTAAAGTTGCTTTAATATGTTCTAATAGATGGAAGTCTGGCAAGAAGATATAGGTCTTTGTTCACAGACAATAGGAAAAAGCCTAAAATGTTTAAGTTCAGTTTCACTTAATTTTAAAGATGCACAAACAAGGTGCCTCTAAGTGAAAGACTAGAATGAGTTTAATTAAGAATTAAATATCCGCTGATGAGTCTTTGTACAGATTTTACAAGTTGCTATAGTTCCCAAGAACTAAAAAGTGAATCACTATAATGACTCAGTAACATACCCTTTTATAAGTCAGATTTTCCAATTTCTTGTTAGTTTTTGATTGAAGAGGACTTCTTTAAATTGTCAGATGAAAGATCATGAAAAAATAATCATTGATGATAGATCACTGTGTGATTTTTGGCATCTAACTCAGGAGATAAAAAACTGGTAACTCAGAACTCTTCATTTCCATCAGATGATTACTCAGCACTTATATGCATTAAAAGATGGTAATAAGGATTGAACTGATGTTGAATCCTGTTTTGTTTCAGCATTAAATAATATTCATCCAAGATTACCTTAACTGAGAAAGAAATATATTGCATTCAGAAGTGGATTTCCAATAGCATTTTACTTTTTCTGTACAATAATTACATTTCAAAATTTGAAACATACTTATATTTATTTAATCAACCATGTACAACTAATAATTGTAACAATAACAGTACAGAAAAATAATTTAATACTTACAGCTTCATGTTTACAAAACAAAAAACTTTTTTCTTGTAATTTTCAGTTTCAAAATATATTTATAGCAGAGAAATATGGTAGGGCTATCAATAAAATATTTCCAAGCATAACATCATATTACATTAGGGCAAAATTATGTGAAGGAGGTGAAATGAAAAAACCTCACAAAGAGGCAAAATATTGGGTAAAATGTCCAGTCATCAAAGAGCATGGTCATTGATATTGTTTGCCTCTGTGTCTCCACCCAAATCTCATCTCGAATTGTAATCTCCACATATCAAGGGAGGAACCTAGTGGTGATTGGATCATGGGGGCAGATTTCCCCCCTTGCGGATCTTGAGATAGTGAGTGAGTTCGCACAAGATCTGGTTGTTTGATAAATGTCTGACACCTCCACCTTCTCACTCTCTCTCTCCTGCCCCCTTTAAAGAAGGTGCTTGCTTCTCCTTTGCCTCCCACCATGACTGTAAGTTTCCTGAGGCCTCCCCAGCAATGCAGAACTGTGAGTCAATTAAACATCTTTTATTTATAAAGTACCCAGTCACAGGTAGTATCTTTATAGCAGTGTGAAAACGGACCAATATAGTCATGTATCTTTTAAATAGATGATGATGTGTATAAAAACACTATGGCATTTAGATTTCATTGCATTTATTTAAAATTGTAATGAAACACTTGATATTGCCGGACACGGTGGCTCAAGCCTGTAATCCCAGCACTTTGGGAGGCTGAGGCAGGCAGATCACGAGGTCAGGAGTTCGAGACCAACCTGATCAACATGATGAAACCCCGTCTCTACTAACAATACAAAAATTAGCCAGGTGTGTTAGCATGTGCCTGTGGTTCCAGCTACTCAGGAGGCTGAGGCAGGAGAATCACTTGAACCTGGGAGGCAGAGGTTACAGTGAGCCGAGATTGTGCCACTGCACTTCAGCCTCGGTGACAGAGCAAGACTCTGTCTCAAAAAAAAAAAAAAAGAAAGAAAGAATTGATATTTATAAGTATTTGTAATATGCTGAAATTATGTCTTTGCAACTACTTAAACTAATAGTGAAGTGTTTTAGGTAACAGCCTAAGGATATGTACAGGAGTATCTAGTCTTTCATACTTATTTTAGGGGACAGAAGTAAGAAAATTTGAAGACCTCTGGCATACAGAGACCAGCAAATAGCCAGTTTAGAATACGTAATTCAGGGTTTCTTAATGGTGAATGCCGTCTCTGCATCAGTGAAGAGATTCCGCGTTCAGCATCAGAGGATATTTTACAAGATTCTCTAGTGTTCTTGGACACAGGACACCATTTCTTAAAGACTGATCACTGCATAATAATAACAATTATAAAACTGCATTCAGCAGCCGGGTACAGTGGCTTATGTCCATAATCCCAGCACTTTGGGTGGCCATGGTGGGAGAATCACTTGAGACCAGAAGTTTGAGACTAGCCTGGGCCACAAAGCAAGATCCTATCTCTCTCAAAAGAAGAAAGAAAACCATTGCATTTAGTATCGTTCTTAAACATACATTGAGGAAAAGGTTTTAGAACTAAAATATTGGGATTCCGTTTTTAATATCAGACACTATTTTTTCCTATGCACTGTAGTATCACATGGATTATCCTCTTAGTATACTATTTTAGTGTAAATCATTTGTATGTCTCTTACAGTTTGCTTAGCACATAGAAGACAACTAATAAATGTTGATTTTAATTAAAATTCAGTAAGATAGAGGCCATTCGGTCCTTTATGGGTTTTTTTTTTTTTTTTTTTTTTTTTTTTGAGACAAGGTCTCGCTCTAATACCAAGCCTGAAGTACAGTGGTACAATCATGGCTCACTGCAGCCTCGACCTCCTAGGTTCAAGAGATCCTCCCGCCTTGGCCTCCCAAAGTGCTGGGATTTCAGGTGTGAGTCACCATGCCCAGCTTAGTCCTTTATGTTTCAAAAAAGTACAGCTTCAACTTCAATAAACAAATTTAACTTTAGATAAGTAGAGAGAACTGGTGCTTCATTCCATAACTACCACAGCTTAGATAACATCTCCAACCCAGCCATGTTTCACTGGCCAATGGGGAAACACTGGTTACCTGTCACTTTTAATTATATGCTAGGACTGAAAGGTCACAGACACTTATTTTTGAATAGGACTTTTCAAGTCTGCAGAGGTTATTAGTTGCCGAACCCTACAACTTACAAACTCCTGACTCTGTAGGTTCCTGCCTGAATCTGTTGCCTCTAGACATAACTACAGATTGTAAAAACCATGATTATTCTGGGCAGATATAAAGCTCTTTGCATTGCACACAACAGCAGTGGAAAAAACAAAATTAATCTTGCAGATGTTATTGAAATGTAAATGTCAAATATTCTCAATTGGGTATGAGCATTCACAAACTTGTCTTCAGGCACCAGGGGTGCTCAGAGCACTTGAAAAGGAAAATCTCAACTTTGAAGACAAAAGCAAAGATGCAAGCAGTTTCCTCATGTTCTCTGTTTGCAAATGTGCTTAGCATGGACTCTGTCAAATCCTTGTTCACAAAACCCAATTTGAGTCATTCTATTTAAATAAGCTGTTAGTGTCCTCTCTCTTACTTTCTACAAAAAAGCGACTATATCAACTATATCGTTGAAACTGCTGTTATGCAAGATTTTCTCCATTTCCTGCCTCCAGCCTCACAAGCTTTTGCCCTAAAATTGATTCCAAAAGGCAGCCAGGAAACATACCCATGGAAAGGGTGTTCCATGCCAATCCAGCCTTCCTGAAAAGCAAGCAGTCTCTTTGCTTCTGCAATTTCACATGATCATACCATAAATAGTCTGCGATCCATGCTAGTATGCTTTTCATTTACATTTTACAAGGTTGGCAAGGCCACTCTCAAAATAATTTCACCAACCAGGTGACATGTCAAGGTGTCTCTTAGTTGTATATCTAAAGTTAATTCTATATTTTCTTAAAACAGCCAAGAAGGGATTCCGAAGATAGAAGAGGAGGCATCAACACCGTGAACATCATGGCTGAGTTATTTTGTGAGAGGGATAAGCCTAAAGTAAAAACCTTGGATTTGCCTCTGTCCTTGAACATGCTATCTGGAAAGAGTTTTCTTAAAAGTATTGTTGTGAACACATCCATTTTCCCAGTATAGTTGAATGCAGGGTTTAATAAATGGAATGAATCTAGTTTTAGTTCCTGTACTGCTTGTGCTTTCAATAACCTCTATATTTGAATAACACATTTCAGTAGATATGTTTGTTAGCGTTGAACTTGTAAGTTGACGAAGAAAGGGTAGTACTACCAACCCTGAGAGGATAAAGAGAATTCTATGTGTTTTACAAACATATATTTATCATTTTGAATTTATATATAGTCAAGGATGCAACTCCTCCCTCAATTTATATAAGCTCTTGTTGGTTTCTACAGGCATCCCTCCCTGTAAATATTTTATTAGCGGAGTCAGAGCATTCACATACATTCTCACTAAGAATGGATTTTAAAGTCAGAAGTTCAGAACCATTAGCAAGTCTTCTTGCAATGCTGCAAAGTAATGGAAATCCTTAGACTCAGCCAGTTTGGTCTTGTTTAGTGAGGGGATGCACTGAGTAACCCCATCTTCAGGTACCAGTTAGATAACAGTAAGATGTATTCCTGAGGGTCCCCATCGAAGTTGCACCCCGCCCCATCAGGAGAATCAATCATGACCACAGCCCCTTGACACTCACGATCTTGGCTACATCGAGGCTCCAGCAGCAAACAGTTTAAAAGCTGCTCATCTGCCATGATGAGTTTTGAGGTGCTTGGAACTTCTCAGAAAAGAGATATATTATGGGCATTGATCATTGCATCAGTGAAGAGCACGTGGCTGCAGAGGTCAGAACAGTTAATAGTCTGCTTTGTTAAGAGGGGAAGGGATAATAAATTAGAGAGCACTTAATATTGGCACCACTGAAGACAGTATGGGAACTGATAGGTCTGAGTGAGGGAAAATCTTGTGCCACTACTAACAAACCTCCTAAACCCTTAAGCTCCCTTCAGAGATTATTGTTTTCCTCTTAGGTCTTGCCTGAACCCTGGCTGCACCCCCAGTACAAGTCCCTCCCTCAGACCTGTTGAGTGGAGCTATTATTCTTCCATAATGTGCACAGTACAGGTGGAAAGTTGGGGTGAGTGTTTATTAGTGTTCTCAGGTGCTCACTGTCACTTCACACAGGCCTGCATTTACCCTGTGTAAAACTCATACCTTTGGGAGGTTGATCCCACTAAGCTATACCATGGTATACTTGGTACACTGTTGCTTATGGAGCCCTAATGTCATTCTATTTCATGGAAGTCTCTAGCTTTCACTATCACTCTCCATTCCAACTACTGCCATAATTGTAGGATATTTCAGGATCCTGGAGGATAGGGTGAGATTAGAAACCTCACAATTTCCCTGGACTTTCTTAATTTATTGCATTTCAATCACCTAGGATGAGACCTATAGGTTCTCCTTTACCTCTTCCTCTCTATATTAAGCCCTACCTAATTCTTGATTCTAGAATCCATCCCTACCACCATGCCCTAGTTCAGAATCTTGTGTCTCTCCACTTCCTGATATCTTCATCTAATCTCTTTTCTGTGTAACCACCAATGTGATATATTTTATTTAAACATTGCCATGTCAGCTGGACATGGTGGCTCACACCTGTAATCCCAGCACTTTGGGAAGCCAAAGTGGACGGATCACTTGAGGTCAGAAGTTCGGGACCAGCCTGGCCAACACGGTGAAACCCCGTATCTACTAAAAAATTACAAAAATTAGCTGGGCTTGGTTGTGCATGCCTGTAGCCCTAGCTACTGAGGACTGAGGCTGAGGGAGGAGAATTGCTTAAACCCAGGAGGCAGAGGCTGCAGTGAGCTGTGATTGTGCCACTATACTCCAGCCTGAATAAATATAGCCATGTCAATTCTTTATTTAAATACTTTACTTGCATTTTCTATCAATTTTGTACCAGGTGGTATTCAGGATACTTACCATGACATAGCTCCATAAGTTAACCCCATCAGCCACTTCCCGCTTATCTTTCCAGTTCATCTTTCCATGCTCACCACTCTCTGTCTTAGACTTTGTGGACAGCAAGATTGAATGGCTTGTAGCTCCCTGTACATACCATTCTATGCCTTGCTTCCATGCTTTTACTCACACTCTTCCCTGTACCTGGACTGCCCTTCCATTCTTCCCATTCTACCTTAATGTACCCCTTAGGACCTGCTATGTGATATTCAGTGGGAAGGCTTCTCACACCCCATGAGTTCAGTAATCTTCCTTCAAGCTCCCAAATTAATCTGGGCACCTTTCCAGCAGTGTACTCATTACTTTCTATCCACTCATTCATTGGAATCGTCTGCTTATGTTTATCTTTCCTTATCTAGACTTAAATTATAAGTTCCTTGAAGTCTTAGAAGGTATTTTATTCAAATTCCTATTTCAATACTTGGCACAAAGTGGTTATAAGTGAAAAATAATGATAAAAACAGAGACAAAATAATGAGATCCCCCTATACACAAGGCATTTAATAGGCATTTACATATCATATATCATTTAATCCTCACCACAGCTAGAAAAGCTGTTTACTGTTATGCCCATTTACATCAAGGCAACTCAGATACAGAGAGATGGAACACCTTGTCCAAGGTCACCTGGCCAGTGAATGTCAGAATTAGGATTTGAATCCCATTTATTTGACTTCAGATCACACATTCTGTTTACCACAACCACATGTGAAGGTCGTCCTGAAAGGATGCTCTGCTTTCTGAATCATAACGAGTTGGAGAGGAATGAAAGCTGCTGATAAAGTTAGCACATTAAGTGTCTAGCTGGTCACCACACTCCAGGGCAAGTGCAGTATTTCATCATTGCCTGCATTTCTACATCCTTCACCCATGACAGTCCTGTGGTCATGGACATTCGAAGATATTTAATAGATAGACTTACTAGAAAATGTAACTGACTTATAGGGCAAAGAATGGCATAAAGAACACGCCATTCAGATTTTGGTTACATAAGTAAATTGAAGACATTACAGAAAAGGAGCACCCATAGACACTGTTTTACTTAGAGTTTTTTTTCCCAGTGCTTCATGGATTTACTTACGTGCAGAATTCTTAAATATGAAATTAAAGTTATCGACATAATTAACAAGTTTAGCATAGTTACAAACTTTATTTTGAAGAGAATATAAATATATAGAGTCAGAGATATTCCAGAAAATAGAGAAAATGTAGGTGTTATATCTTAAGAACCACCACGGTGTAGTTACAATAAGTATGCATAGATGAAAGCTAGGCATATTTCAAAACAAAATTTCTGTGACTTAAATTAGCATCTGTCATTATGACAGCTGCAAACCATCCCCAAAGAGTCTCATCTTTATGTGGGGTTCAAGCCAGCCCATTAGTCAACATTAGATCAAAATCCCTCTCCATGATGCTGGTAAATGGATGTCATCTAATAGAAATGCAACAAATATTTATTGAAAACCTGTTGTAAGACCTGAGCTAGGCTTTGTGGAGGATATGAAGATAGCACATCTCTCCCTTAAGACTCTTACAAAACAGTCACAGATTAAAAGTTAAATCAGAATACAAGCTGTTACATTGAAAGTGGTCACACAGACAGTGGCTATTACCAGCTCCCCTTACCTTGGTTGATATTTCCTCATGGCACTGTTTCCTGAAGTTGTAATATATAAATATATTTGTAGATGTGTGTATACATACATTATCTGTTACTTAGTGATGGGGATGCATTCTGAGAAATATATCATTACCAATGTTGTCATTGTGGAAACATCGTAGAGTGGACTCACACAAATCTAGATGGCACCTAGGCTACACACCTAGGCTATATGGCATAGCCTATTGCTCTGCTCCTAGTGTACAAACCTGTACAGCATGTTACTGAGCTTAATGCCATAGGCAACTGTAACACAATGGTAAGTACTTATGTACCTAAACATATCTAAAAATAGAAAAATTAAAATACAGTATTATAATGTTATGTGACCACTGTCATATATGTGGTCCTTCATTAACCAAAATGTTATGTGTCGCATAACTGCACCTCTATCTATCTATCTATCTATTTGTCATCTATCTACAAATCCTTATGTATCTATTGATCTCTAACTCTGTATCTACATCTATCTATATCTATATATAATTTTCGTTGTTGCCCTAGTCTTCCCCACTAGAATTTTAAGTTTAGTAAGGGCAGGGACTTTGTCTGTCTTGATCACCATTGTATTCACAGCAACTACAATTCCTGGCACATAGTAGATGTTCAGTAAATATTTGTTGAATGAATGAGTGAATTTGGAGAAGAGAGAAATTACTATAAACAGAACTAATTAAAGAGCAGGGGGCATTTCATTTAGTTCTTGATAAATGAAGATTATCTGGATAAAGGCAGGGAGCTATTTCAGGATGGACATTTAACAAGAGCAAAGGTGAGCTGCAGATAGACCTTCTTAGCTGGAAAGTATGTTTTCTGTTGTACATTATTTAGCCATAGGATTGGTTGGACCAAGTAAGGAGTGTTCTCTAGAGTGTAGGCACTAGACCTGTCTGAGAGACTAAGTTACTCAGGTCAAAACAATTTCTGTTTCCCCAAGTTTGTGGCAGTCTGTCTGTGCTTGTAATTGTGGTTTCTTACCACTACCTAGGACTGCATGTTCATTTCCTTGCCTGTAGCAAAGGCCTGTAACAAGGTCTGTTTTGAGCAGGCTGTCAGCACTGATGGGCTAAAATGTCAGCTAACCTGAAAATGACACCTCTTCACCAGTGTGTTTTGCAGAAAAATCCTTCAGAGAAAGGGCACTGGCTCTTTCAGTGTGTTTTAATTTTTATAATTTCCCCCCATATGCTAGAAGTTTTATCTATCTTGATTTTGCTCTCAAAGCACCCACAAAGATTGATAATCAGCAACTGAAACCTCAAAACCCCATACATATCTTATCAATCCTCTAGATATGTCTGCATGAAGACTCAGATGTGTGCCGGGCTGGGTGACATTGTCAGAGGTCATCCTCAGCAGGGATTAAGTTTGTATATCTCCACTTGAAATTCTAACTGGGTGATCCAAGTATTCTTATCTCAACTTGGAACACATGTAGAAGCTATAACATTATTAATTTGCTGAACTTTTAAACATTCCTCTTTGCTCTTGGAGTTTTATCAAATCTGCTTTGTGGCTCAAATTTTTGCTTCAAGTTTTAAAAATGAGCAGCAGGAAGCCTTTACATTTTACTTATAAAGATAACATTAAGATGGCCAACATATATTAGGGCTTTGGTTAATTTTTAAAATTAACCAAAATGTTGATTGTTTGAATGGACCCTGTTATTTGAATGGAATCTTCTAGGGATCCCCAGTATATAAAACAGATCAGAAGAGAATTGCTGTGGTTAGAGAAGGAGGCTCAGAGCACCCTGGGCTAGGTTTCTGCTCGTTTTCCTCCTACCCCACCCCTGTAGCAGGCAACATTCTTGAACTCCGCCGAACACAACTTTAGAACCAGGGAATTAAGATGACACAAAAGCCAGGCACGGTGACTCATGCCTGTAATCCCAGCACTTTGGGAGGCCGAGGCAGGCAGATCACTTGAGGTCAGAAGTTGTAGACCAGCCTGGCCAACATGCAAAACCCCTGTCTTCTAAAAATACAAAAATTAGCCAGGCATGGTGGCATGTGCCTGTAATCCCAGCTTCTCTGGAGGCTGAGGCAGGAGAATCACTTGAACCCAGGAGGCGGAGGTTGTAGTGAGTGGAGATCGCACCACTGCACTACAGCCTGGGTGACAGAGTGAAACTTTGTCTTAAAAAAAAAAAACGACCCAAAAGAACTTTCAATTGTGTCACCATGAAGACCATAAAAATAGTCATTCATCCAGGGTTCACTCTGTAGTGTCATTACCTCAACTGCACTCTTAACTCCTGACAAATTATGCTACCAATAGTACGTTTATTCTTCTGAAAAATTCTCACTTCATATGTGCTGGGAATTTAAGGTAGAAAAGTATAGCCTGTATCGTATTCTAGATAAACATAAAGTATCCTGTCAACAATATAAATGATTCTTGTGAGAAATGGAAACTTTCACTTGAAATATTATTTGTTTTGCCTAAACTCTTAACATTTCAGTCATTTAGTGTAAATCCATAGTCAGTACACAGAACAGGTGACAGATCTGAGTTTGGAAATGTTAACACCGCACTTTGAATCCCACCAGGAGCTCAATGATTTATAACCTTTGTTAATCTTCAGGAGCCTCCCCCACAAACCCTGTTGGTTAATAATGCTATTGCTACTCCTGCCCAGATGGTGCAATGTGGCTATGGAACTTGTTATAGGGAGATATAGTAGGTGCTCAATACATATTCAACTTATCACAGGCATGGGATAGGTCAGAAATTAGGTTTGGCTCTCACCCTTTGATCCTCTTTAAGAGACATGCTCTTTTCATGTCACCTACAAATAAAAAGTAGCCAGTGTTGCCTGCTGTTAATTGGATTTATAATCATAAACTGTCATGTAAAAACATTTATTTAAAATAATTGTATAAGAATATACCAAGATATCATATAATTAATTAAATTTAGCAAAGAGTAACCTCTATGTTGTGAGGGGGGCCATAGGTTAAAAGGGTATACAAGGTTACCCACTAGATGAGAGAAGAAGATATTAGAACATATTTAACTTTTATAGCATCTTACAATTTTTCTATTTTTGTATCTTTTGTAATATACATGTTATTGTAGCATCACAAGTACATATTAATAACTTATGAGCCCATACATTTATGTTTGAAAGATTTTACTAATAGTCTATGAGAACCACTTCATGTGGCTCTCACTGCACAAAAATGAGTTCCCCATTTTATTGCTCAGTAGTATAGATGAATACAGAGCCAAAGAGAGTGTCAGAGGGATAGAATGAAGACTGGCACCCAAGAGGCCTGTGTTTAAATCCCGGCTTGACCAGTTGCCACCCTGGTCATCTAGGACAAGTTTGCATCTCTGAATATCAATTTCCTCATCCATGAAAAAGGGATAAAAATGTCATTATTTTACATTCGGTAATTTATTTACAGTGTATACTAGAGTATTTGACACAATAAATAGTATCTATTATCATTTGTGAAATTCACTATTCAATTTGTCCTCCAATTTGTCACATTTTCAGCTGTCAGTAAAACACGGTTACGTTAAAAACATAAATAATGTCTAGTCCCTTGGGATGCAAAGAGGTCCAGATTTTCTCGTTCTTTTCAACTCCTTAGCTGTGAAGGCTACATCCTGCACTTATTAATCTGTGTATTGAGGGGGGCGGACCCTTGATTCTTGTCTTTGATAAGCTCTGCTCAGCCATGGCTGGATTAATGCATGTCCACATCCACATTACAGGATTCAGTAAGAAAAGAAAGTCAGCTCACACTGTGTGGTTAAAGATAATGGAAATGTGCTTATTAGAAGTCTTCCAGAGAGAAAATTTCTTAATTACTTGCTTTTGATCAAAATGAGGGTAAACAGAAGCAATTCTGAAGCAAGACTTGTTATTGTGTTTTTCTGAACACAGTACGCAAGTCTGACAATTAGGAAGCAGTTTTCTGCAGTTCTTTCACATTTGTTTGAGTCTCACAGAGTTTGCAACCAAACTAATAAAGAAGGGAGCCATCTCACATAGTTTTTAGAAGAAAGTGATACATAATTATGGAGTTTACCAAGAACAAATCTCATCAGAGCAGCTTAATTTTTTTATAAAAATGAGTTACTTGTCCAGTTGGTCTATAGACTGCGATAGACACAATGTGTGTGATTTCAGAAAAGCATTTGCAGGATATATCACAGCAATTTTATAGTCAACATGAGAAATGTGATCCTGACCATGCCAGGATTAGGTAGGTAAGATTGTAACCCAGTCCATATAGGACATGGAGTGATTAGGTTAGTAACGCTTTGAATGATTGTTTGAGGGGGATGGTTAATGATGTAATTTTTTGTGTGTGCAACAGGGAAATCCTAGTGATCCTATGGTTTTAGTGTTTAAAATATTCCTCAAATAACTACAGGTTTCAGAAAAACCTGGTTGCTTTAGAAAGAATGTAGCCATGGTAGAAAATGCAGTCAGACAATCTACACAAAAATGCATCTAGACCTCCAGTTCCAAAATGGCTGCATAAAAGCAAACTACCTTTACTCCCTGTAACAGAAAATTAAAAAGCAAATATACGGTGCCGAGATTATCAACAGCAGTATCCCAGAACGCATATATGAGAGGAGACAGTTCCTGGGACCATAGAGAAGTGAAACAACTTCCAGCACACAATAAGAGAATCAAACTTCCGTATCTGAGACATTGCTCTCCACAATCTGTCTGGCACAGATTATGAAAAATTTTCCCCAACTCACAGTTTCTACACTGGAAAGTGAGATTGAGGTTAACAACCAGCTTCCCTACCATCTTGGGTTTTCTGGAAAGAGACCTGTCCCTGCCTCAACCCACAGGAGGCATCAGGAGTTCTTGAAAGGAGCAATATCCCCGAGGACAAAGGGGAAAGGCCAATATCCCCAAGAAATATCCCTGAGGACAAAGGCGGCAGAGGCCGAAGACAAAGGGGGAAGATAGGACTACCATCCCCAGCCTTGGAAACTCTGCTCTGTAACTCAGCCAAAGGAGAAGCCAAATCAGAGTGGCTGTTCAGCAGCACCACACTGTAGATGGCTTTTTTCCATACATCCCTTGGGCATGAACCCTAGCCAGCCTTCCCACACTACTGGGATATCCCCTCTGAGACACCCACCATTTGAGATGAGTGGCACTCTGATTGTTTACTACAATCAAGACAAACCTGGGCTTAAGGCAACATCTAGTGCCAAGAAGGCAGTAACCTAGGGGAAAAGAAAGAAAACCAACAGATAAATTACAAAGAATCTCTAAGCAAACATATCCAATAAAAACCTAAACAAGCCAGACAGAGGACTGAAATAAAGAACAAATTATTCAATAGAAAGACATATTTATGTATGTCCATAAGAAACAACAGCAAATGGGAAACTATGACCTCCTCATATGGAGAAAGCAAGGAACCAGTGACTGACCCCAATGAGACTGTGATATGTTAACTCTCTGGCCAAGAATTCAAAATAGCAGTTTTAAGGAAACTCAGTGATCTCCAAGATAATGCAGAAAAGCAATTCAGAAATTTATCAGAGAGATTTAACATATATTAAAATAATAAAAAAGATCTAAAATAAACAAACAGTGGTGCATCCAAACAATGGTGCTAAAACATGCTAAAAGGAAATGAACTATCAAGCCATGAAAAGGTAAGGAGGAAGTTTAAAATGCATATTACTAAGTGAAAGAAGTCATTTTGAAAAGGTTACATACTATATGATTCCAACTGTATGACATTCTGGAAAAGGCAAAATTGTAGAGACAGTAAAAAGATCAGTGGTTTCCAGGGATTAGGTAGGAGGGAGGGATGAGTAGGTGGGGGCACAGAGGATTTTTAGGACAGTGACATTACTCTATGTGATGCTATAATGGTGGATACTTGTCATTGTACATTTATCCAAACTTTCAGAATGTACAACGCCAAGAGTGAAGCCTCCTGTAAGCTACGGACTTTGGTTGATAAGGATGTGTCAATGTAGGTTCATTAACTGTAACAAATGTACCACTCTCGTGGAGGATGTTGGTAATGGGTGAGGCTATGCATATGGGGATAGGAAGTAGATGGGAACTTTCCATACCTTCTGTTCAATTTTGCTGTAAATCTAAAACTGCCCTAAAATTAAACTGTATTAAAAATCAAAATAAACAAAACAAGAGCTCCAAAGCTACATCATCACACAATCACTTTGTTTGTAAGTATAGCAGTGGGTCAGATTCTTCCATAGTAATCAATTGATTAAAAATGTTTACTATGGTCAAAGCATGAGCAAAGACTATTACCATGTTTCTAATTAGTAATGAAAGTCTTGAAGAGTGGTGGGTTGGTAAGTGTTTAACAACTAGCTCTTTAGGAAAAAAAAACAACGTATGCATATAGATACCATAGAAATAAATAACCTCAAGTACATAGATAATAAGATAAATAATAATAAAATAAATAGGAAATTATGAGGTTTTTTTTTAGAAAATTTCTAATTTTTAGAAAAAAATTAGTTTTTTTTTGCCTTTTTCAAAAATACTTTTAAGCTTTTAAAATGTTTTATTTTGAAATAATTTTAGATTTACAGAGAGTTACAAGATGGTACAGAGTGTTTTCATATAACCCTCACCACCCAACTTCCTCTAACGTTAACTTATTACATAACCATGGTTATTTGTTAAAACTAGGAAATGAACATGGGTATAATATTGTTAAGTAATGTAAATACTGCATTTAGATTTCACCATTGTTTCCATTACTATCTTTTTTCTATATTCCAGAATCCCATTCAGGATGCCATGTTGTGTTTACTTATCAAGCCTCCTTAGTTTCCTTTGATCTATCAAAGTTTCTCAGGCTTTTCTTCTTTTTTCATGACCTTAGTTTTTAGTATAACTTATTAATTTTATGTGTATTTCTGAGTTGTTGGCTTTATAGGTTTATAATTTATTAAAGCAGTTACCCAAAGAGTGTGGTTTCATGGATCGATGTCATATGGATAGAAGTTACTAGGGATAAGCCCACAAGAATCTGTCATTGGTCTTTTCTCCTCAACAGTTTTACTAATGACTTAGAAAAATCTATTGCTGTCATGAAAGTCATATTAGCAAGTGATACAGATGGGGAAGTGTAACAAATATGTTGGATAATACTTCAGAACTATGGGGACCACAACATGATAGGCAAATCTAACAGTGTAAAGTATTACAGGGATGAATGTATCACCCAACAACTGTGTGCCAAAAAAAACCCTCTATTGCTGAGTCTAGAAAGATGTGATTTAAATGAAGTGCATGCTAAAAACATGCTTAGGGCTTTAAGATTTTTCATGTTCCTTTTGGGGACAGAATGGCTACCCAAGGGACTGGTAAGAGGTAACTTGAATGTCTGGGTTCCATTCAGGCGCATGATCTCTCCTCAATATGAGGGAGATAAAAATATTTTCAGGGACATACTAGTCCAAAGTTAGGTAGCTAGTCTAAAATGGTATGTGATAAGAATGATCTAATTTTCAAGGGAGTGTCCAGATTCATAAATAGCTGTTGCCTAGGGAGGTATGAAGAAGGACCTGGAAAGGTGAGGCCAGGTAGAACTCTCTGCCAATGATCAAGTAGCCACAGAGGCTTTGTATTAGGTTTCTGTAACCAAGGGCAAGGGTGTTCCTTGAGGTTAGAAGGTACCCTCTAGGTTAGGTAATGGGTAATTGCAAGTAGAATATGCACCCATGATGTCATTTTCCTGCCAAAAACCTATTTAGCTTGCTCTGCTTCCATAGAAATACAATGCCTATCCTAAAATACCTGATAGTTGTGTCTGTATTGATCAACTAAATTCAGAGTATTATGGTGAATAATTCTGGATACCAAAACCGTGGCCATTTTAAAGGGAGGTAGGGTGAGTGATTAGAGACTGAAAACAATGCCATGTGATAAGCATGTGAAAAATTGAAGAATGCTTAGCTTAGCAAAGAGAAGATATAGGGAAAGTAAGATGGCCATTTCTGAGTATATGAAAAGCTGTGTCATGTGGAAGCACAATTACACTCGGATAAATGAGTAGACACTACAGAAAAACAAATTTTAGCTCAAAATACAGAAGAGCTTTTAATTATTAGGGCTGTCCAAAAATGGATGAGGCTATCTCAGGCAGAAGTGTTCGAGTAGAAGAGAATAAACATTTGGTAGACATGCCATCTGGATGATTGATTTAGTTCTGCGATATCATGACATGTATTTCTAAATGTGACATAGTGCCTATCTAGCTGGCCGCTAGCGGAATAATATTAGTAAAACATAGAAGTTATGTTGGATCATTTTGGGCTCACATCAGCCCTTTAATCTTTTGCACTACTGAGCAGCCCTCACTGAATGTAACTTGCCCTCATGCTGCTGAAAACAGCCAGCCATATAGCACAATGCAGTATCCCATGTCTGTTCTGTCCAGGTTCATCTTAGCTTAGTTTGACCAGGTATTTTGACTTGGATGTGCTTGTGCAGTTTTTCCCAATATTTGTGGTTTTTAAAAACTCAGTACTTAACCTTTCTCACACTCTCTTCCATCAAACCAACTCCCCTCTTTCTTTCAAGATTAAGTCTTATATTTACTATATCCATTTTTAAAGGCATTTAACCTTTTAAAAACCATGCTGGTATTTTTCTATTATCAGTGTTTTTGTTAACAGCCTTCTTACCAAGTTACATGTAGTTTCGGTAGTCTGTTTTTGTGTCTATTTTGCCCATTAGCCCAGGAAGTTTTAGTTTGTGATTTGGAAGAATAAATGATTGCCTGTGTTGAATGAAGTGCTGGACTTAAGAGCAATGGTTCCCAATTCTGATGACACATCATAATCACCAAGGGAACCTAAAAAACTTCAAACCTGTAGGGTCCACTTCAGGACCTCCCAGGGGTGGGACCTGTAACATTGTGTTTTTAGCAAGTTCATTTGCAGCCAGCCTGTGAAGCTGTGATTTGGAATCACTAGACAGATGACCTCTAGCATCACGATTTTAAGATGCTACCCACCTCCCCTGTCATCTATTACAATGAAACACACACTATCCTTGGAATAGTGAAGCAGCAAAACATGCATCTCAATGTCTACATGGACAGCTGCCCCCACTGCACTGAATTTTATGTATCAAGCACAGTATGTTAAAACCACGGACATTATGCAAGATAAACATCTCCAGTAAAATAGCCTTCAAGTCACAAATGTCTTCATATCACTAAAATTTTAGCTCTCAAGAACATTGTGTTTATTGAGCAAATTTAAAAGGTGAGCCTGTCTTTCAGCTAGAATGCCAGAAATTTAAACAGATTAAGAATATTCTGAAGTCAGTATGCAAATTGGCAATAGGACTCTAATTTGTGACTATTTTCATCCCAACCAACATGAGAAATTTTGATATCATTGGAAATCTTTACTTGCAAGAGCTGTTATTAGAATAGGAAGGGTGGGGTGGTCAGGATGGAGGTATGTTTACTCTGCAGCTGGTCATTAGCCTGGAACTTGCTCAAGTCGATTTTATGGCCATTAATTTCGATGCCCCCATTAGAAAATTTACTTCGAAGGCCATTTGCATGACATCTGCTCTCCTTTCAATCTTGTCTTCTCCCCTCAGTAAATGTAATTTCCACAGTGACTGCTTAACTGACAATTTTAAGCAGGCAAATCTTGAACTTTCCACATTAAATAGGAATCTAACTTTTTAGAAAGTTATCTATAGCAATGAAATGTTTTCTTAGTCTTGTGCTGAAGTATAAATAGGCAGCTGAGCTATGGGCCTACTGCTGTCGAATCTTGATAAGAGAAATGCCAAGAGGTTTGAAGAAGAAGAATAAGAAAAACCTGATATAAAGCTGTGCTTCAATACTTTCAGCAAATTATAGGATATTAATAACCCATCCCAGGTTGTCATGTGTGCAGGAGGCTTATTGCAGCAGAACAGAGATTATGCCCTCCCTGGCGTACCTTGGATGTCTGGCAAAACAAACTTAAAACAGGAAGCGTAACTCACAAATCAAAGATAAAAAATATTCCTCTTAACATTTCCTAGAACTTACTAGGTCTGTTCAGCAACTGCTTTCTCCTGCTAATGAGTTAAGATCTCATTAGAATGGTGAGTGATTCTGTAAGCCAGAAACCCTGCATTTTGCAGGCACTGGTCTCAAAATTGTCACCACTTGCCTTGACTTCTTGGCCTTCTATAGGTCTTTACAATAAAGAGTGAAACCAGAATCACATTTCTTCAGTCCCTTTGTACAATAATTTGACTACAAAATCATACTTCATTGGATAAATTTCTGTAAGTAAGCAGAAGATATTTGAAATATTAATAACACGGGAAAGGTAAAGGAGTGAAAGCAAGTCCTTTGTGGAAACTAGAATCCTTGCTACCCTCCATCCTAAGCAAGAGCGTGAGATAAAAGTGAGAATATTTACTGAGCCCTAAATTCTCTTAAATGAGCAAGAGTGAATTGAAACTTTCAGTGGTCTCCAGGCTACTTGAATGAGAGGCCCTAATCCAGAACAAGAAGAGTTACCGAAAATATAAGCAAGAAATAAGAGGAGAGAAAGAATTAAGAAGGGAAAAGAGAGGAATAAAAGTAGACGAGGATGGAAAGAGAACAGAATACTTCATACCTCATATACTATGTTTGATACATTGTATACAGCAACATCTTAGAAATATCATTTGAAAATGACTGTTCATTTTCCCAGGAAATTAAATATTAAAATATCTTGTTGTTCATTTTGCAACTCTATTGTGAGTTCCCTCTATTGTGATTAATCTTCTTCCAGTACTACCATACACCTAGCACGTAGTAGACATTCAATAAACTGGAGGAGGGGGAGGCAGCAGGATAATGTTTGCTTTTTTATTTTTAAACTCATTTCATTTTTTGAATAAGTATTATATTCACATTGTTATGTTTTGTTGTCCCCCCTCCCTCCAAAATACATATTTTGAATCTCTAATCCTCAATATGACTCTATTTGGAGATAGGGCTTCTGAGAAGGTAATTAAGGTTAAATGCGGTCATAAGAGTGGGGCCCTAATACAAAGAACCAGTGTCCTTATAAGAAGAGGAGACATGGGGAGTGCATGCATGCAGAGGAAAGATCATGTGAGGACACAGTGGGAAGGAGGCCATCTACAAGTCAGGAAGAGAGGCCTCACGAACCTAAGCCTGCTGTCACCTTTGTTTTGGACTTTCAGCCTCCAGAACTGTAAGAAGATAAATTTCTGTTAAGCCACTCAGTCTGTGGTATTTGGTTATGGCAGCCCAAGCTGACTAAACAACATGGCCCTAAGATTAAAAGGTAACAGTGAAAAGTCTTTCTCCTTGCCTCTTTCTCAAATGATTATATCCTTCCCTACCTTTTAAACAGTAGGCAGCATATTAATGAATGACTTTCTGATGGACCGTGACTAATGTGTCTATCAGTAATACAATGGAATCTAATAGGCTGTAGTAGAATGATGTCCTTATGACCAGGAGACATGCAGGGCTTTGAACTATTACCCTTTTTTATTCTCACACTGTGGTAACTTTCTATTTCTGAATTTTTAAAAATAGTTTTTAAGATTTTTTTCTCCATCAGTTATCAGCTATTACTGGGGCTATGAATGTGCTTCACACTAGCATCTGCCCCACTTATTGCTGATTACCAACTTTGTTAAAATTGTTTCTTTTTTAAAAATCTTTATTTTATTTTATTTTAAGTTCCAGGATACATGTTTAGGATGTGCAGGTTTGTTATATAGGTAAACATGTGCCATGGCAGTTTGCTGCACCTACCAACCCATCACCTGGATATTAAGCCTCAAATTCGTTAGCTTTTTATCCTGATGCTCTCCCTCCCCCTTGCCCTGCACCCCACAAAAGACCCTAGTGTGTGTCGTTCTCCTCTTTGTGTCCATTGTTCTCATTGTTCAGCTTCCACTTATAAGTGAGAGCATGTGGTGTTTGGTTTGCTGTTCTGCGTTAGTTTGCTGAGGATAATGGCTTCCAGCTCCATCCATGTCTTTGCAAAGGACATGATCTCATTCCTTTTTATGGCTGCATAGTATTCCATGGTATATATGTATCACTTTTCTTTATCTAGTCTATCATTGATGGGCATTTGGGTTGATTCCTAAAATTGTTTCTAAAGTAGAAGTCAGTAAGATCTAAGTGACAGCCAAGCTTTTCTGTATGAGATAAGCACATGGGCTTTGATTTCTCTTTTACTGTTTCAGAAGTCATTTTTTTTTATTGTTTTTTAGTTTCTGGCTATGTTCCGGTAGTTGAGATTGCCAGAGATGTGATTTGCAGTTAGCATTTTGTATTCATAACTGACTGTTCCTCCTCTATAATTTCACAGTCTAAAATGTCCTGGCTTTGTCAGGAGGTGGCATCAGTTTGCCTAGTAGCTTACAGTTATGGACCTTGCATTGTTTGCCTTTGAGAGTTTCAAAAATGTCCACCTATTCTCAACCCATCAGTTTCATATATCTGCCCAGATGATTTGATATCCAAACAGAAAACTATTTGTAGCAATATACTTCAAATTAAACAAGAAGCCCCCTTACTTATACGTGAGCTTTTCCATTACACATGGATGTGATGTTCTCTGGAAAGGTGTACGGTGGGCAGTGCTCAGGCTGAGGACTAAACTGTGAGAGCCCTATGAGAGTGGTTACATGAACCACTGCTTGCTGAGCATCATCATATCATAGATTAAAACTAGGCAAATGAAGACCACTCTCCATTATTCTCTCCCGGTCCAGAAAAGGAGCAGCAGCTTTCTTGCTCCTTAGTCTAAACCATACAATAAAATATAACCATTTCCCCATATTTTTAGTCCATTTGGGAGAATCAGCCAGGCCTGGATGTGCCTTTGGTTCTTTTACATGAGTCTGGAGTCTGACAGATGTGAGTTCAAATCTTGATTCCAGCACTTACTGGCCACATGACTGTATCGAAGTTTCTTAATGTCTCTACACCTTGCTTTTTTATATGTAAAATAGGAATATTCTTAGTATCTATCTCATAGGGCTGTTGTTAGGATTAAATGAGGTGATATATGTGAAGAATTTCTTGGAACCTTTTGGCATGAAGACCAATTTATGATATATTAACTATTTATGGGCTACTTTAAAAATTGAGATTTGGGATATATTTAAGTCCCTTAGAAAGAATGTATATCCATACAAATTAAATTACCTACATTATTTAATAGAAGAATGTCAGTGAGAAAATGGCATGCTCATTATCCCCAGCAATTTTTCTATGAGGGCACAACTCTAATCTTTCATTGTGGAACTAGCGTGTGAGTCAAAAGGGATCCACAGATCATGGGATGCTCAATGTTGGAACACAACACTAATACCTGATGGATAATTTGACTGATTAGAATGACCTATCACTTATCATCATCAATAAATCACAGCATGTGAAACCATACTGCATACCTTGAATATTATTGCTTCAACTCTCATTCTCCTCTCATAGCACAAAGCATTTTGCTTAACAACAGCCACATTCTTATTAAAGTGAGCCCACAGGAAATGTTTGAAAATGGTACCCTAAGACCAGAATCACATGAAAGTTTGTTAAAATGCAGATTTTTGAGGCTGGGCTGGCTCTGAGAGTAGGAATTATTAAGACTGCAAATGATGACAAATTTACAGAATTATTGCCCTGAAATGTACAGAGGTAGGCTTTTTAGCCTCTTTCTTGAGTTTTCTGGTTTTTTTCTTGTGCATATTCTCCAATAAGAAAGCAGTTAATCTAGAACAGTGATTTCAAACCCCAGCTCCCACCTGCTTTGTGATTGCACATTGGGAGTCTGATTTCAAAGGTGTGCAGTGAAGCTTGGATCATTCTAATATTTCTCCAGAAATCACGATTCTGACAATCCTGATTTTATCAAAGCTCTATAAGTGCTAAATAGTTTTTCTGAATAGAAGACAAATATCTTTCCCTTGTTAATCCTTTTATTAAAAGATACATAACAGTATGTTTTATCCTACTCTAGCCTTACATGAAAACCTAACCCCAAGCCTGTATATGATATAGTATTTGACATTTTGAATAAATAATGGAACATCTGGAATCTTCAAAATCAACTTAGAAATTTCAGTTTTGCACAAATCTCTTAATACTCTAGGATCTGGATAAACAAATTACATTCCCTATGCTGAGTTAAATCAGATTAATGAAACATTATAAGTATCTCAGTGTAATACTCCAGATTTGATGTAATCTGTGACCACCCCACCTCTCAGACATATAGCTTTAGAGAGGCACAGTCCCCTTTGCCTGAGAGAACCCATCTTTTTCCCACACTGTCATCCTCCGTGGCTATCACAACTGGCTCACTTATTTTTTAAGTTAAATTATTTGTCTTCCATGTAGTTGGAGGAAGTCAATTATCTTAAAAACTTCAGTGGCTTCTTGTTGGTTTTCTTCAAATGTGACACCCACATGAGGACAAAGAAAGCTTCTCCAAAGGTCCTGATGAAGGTGGAGCAGT
Organism: Homo sapiens; assembly: GCF_000001405.40. Taxonomy (NCBI): domain Eukaryota; kingdom Metazoa; phylum Chordata; class Mammalia; order Primates; family Hominidae; genus Homo; species Homo sapiens. Next base: position 76,037,387 of record NC_000001.11, read on the forward strand.
TTTAAAATTACCCAGGGCTCAGTACTCAACTTCTCAGTGGGAAGCAGATGTCCGTCCTGTAAGAGGAAACTCCAATATTCAACAAGTGTTGTGAGTCCAAAGTCCCAGGACTCAAAGAATACACTTAGCACTTTGCCTGAAGTCATGTATGGGAAACCAAACACTTACTTTAGTACCTGCAACATTATAGGATAAAGGTCATACTAGCAGGTGATGAATATCATGCCTTAGGAACTCCAAGCAGACAACGATTTTCTGTACTTTGCTTTAGAGGTGAGAGCCGCATTGGAGGCTCAGGGAAAGTGACATACAGAAGACAACAGCTGCGTTTTGGTTGGAGGTGATTTGAAGCTGTTTGTTATTTCACATGGCAGGGATGAGGAAAAATGGGTGGAGGGGAGGAAGGTCTACTTGTTTATTTTCCATCTCCTGTGGAGTATTTGACATCTGGAAGTTCCAATTAGCATTTTTAAAGTTGTGTTTCAGATCACCCTTATGATTTTCAATTGGCATTAATCTGAGATGCCCCAGATGATCTTTTACACTTTCGTTAAACATTGTGATGATGCCTTTATAACTTCTTCAAATAGCTGAACCACTGGCCAAATTTTGAAAAGCAGATCATCAATCCAGAAAGTGTGACACTGTGTTCACACAACCAAGGATTGCAAATGATGCAATTTTAGCACCATATTCTTCATCTAAGACAACTTACCAGAATCCTTTGCATAAATTAATAGTTAAGGTTCTTTTTATAATTCTCTAGTGATCCACTAGTGCACCTTCTCTAGTGACTGACTATGCGCAGACATCAGTATCTACATAGAGTCTAATCAAGTTGTCCAGTTGATATGCTGAGATCCCTGGAAAAAACCAGGAATCTTCAGAAAAGCATTAGTTACCTCTAGAAGTGCTATTTCTTCCACTTTCTTTCTCATGTTACCAAATAGTTTCGCATTAGCTCTAAAGGAGGTAATCTACTTACTCTATCAGGTCCCTTATCTGTATTATCTGTGGCAAAATAATTCTGCTGACTTTGCTCTGAATAATTACCAAGAGCTCACTTAACATGGCTATAATTCTCTCCCCATCTGACTGAGGAATGTTCTTAAACTCCCTCAATCATTCCAGCCCACATTCTTTCAGTATAGCAACAGCGTGTCTGTAACTTTTGTTTCCTTTAATTCAGGATCATCAGAGTGGGTATAAAACAATGACCACCTTTCACAGAATGAACTATACTTACAGTGTTTAATATATATTATCTCATTTGATCCTTAGGACAAAAAGTTATATACATATATGTGTATCTATAAATGTATGTATTTATCGCTTTTTATAGGTAGTATTGAAACCACAGTTCAAGGGCAGTAGCCCAAGATTACTCCACTAGTGAGCAATAAACTTGGGATTTTAAACACAGGCTTTGGTTTCAAAAGTCAATTTTTTTAAGGCTCATAAAATAATTCTTTGGCTTAGCAAAGCCCCTTGCTTATTTATATATACCACTTTAAACATATTAAGTATATTAGTTAGAAACATTTTGAATACTAGTGACAAAAAAAAGTAACTCAAGCTAGTTTAGTAAAAAATGGAAATTTATCAGTTCAGTTGTCTGCAGGAGAAAGCAGGGGTGTGGCTGAGCACAGGCCCATGGAGCTAGGGACTCTTGTTCTCTCAGGCCTCTCTTTCTCTCCCTCTTTTTCTTTCCTTTTCTTTTGCACACCACCTCCCCATTCCCCGCTTTTTTTTTCCAGACAAGCTTCTTTACATAATGAGAAGCAAAACCTTCAGCAACATCTCTAGCTGGTTTGGGTTAGATGCCCATCTCTGGACTCATCAATTGTGGCCAAAACAACGGGGCCCTATCGTGTAAAGCCCCCTTTAGAACCTCCGCATGTCTAGAATCAGGGAGAGACGAGATTCCCCAAAGAGGGAGGTTAACATTCCCAGAAGGAGGGAATTATATGATTTCAACTTATATTCTCATATGGATAGAAATGCATTTACCACACTCCTAATGTAAATCAGAATTTCTGATTTTCTGATGCTCTAACCACATTTCCTAATGCTACATTGCACCCAGCACAATGTCTGGCACCCAGAGATGTTCAACTGCTATTCTTCAAAGTATAAATACATTTCACCCATTTTTACTTTCATTCTACTGCTTCATTAAAAATATTTTGTATTTCCTTACATTCCATCTGGAAGTCTATAACTTAGTACCTGTGTAATAAGGGATTTGGCACTATCACCTCTCTAAAATAACATGTTAAAATGGTAAGCATTCTATGGTTTTCTTGGGGAGACTTTTTTTTTTTTTTTCTTTGAGACGGAGTCTTGCTCTGTCGCTCAGGCTGGAGTGCAGTGGTACAATCTCGGCTCACTGCAACCTCCACTTCCCTGGCTCAAGCAATTCCCCTGCCTCAGCCTCCCGAGTAGCTGGATTACAGGCGCACGTCACCACACCCGGCTAATTTTTTTGTATTTTTAGTAGAGAAGGGGCCTCACCGTGTTGGCCACACATGAACTCCTGACCTCAGGCAATCCACCAGCCTCGGCCTCCCAAAGTGCTGGGATTACAGGCGTGAGCCTCCGCGCCCGGCCAGGGAGACATATTTATATGTAAAAAGCAAATGTATCTTGTCATTGGATGCTCATCCACAAGAGTCACAAACCCCATTCTAACACCAGCTTTGTGGTTTACTAAGTGATATCAATTTCCCAGCGTGGCAGATGACAATGTGTGTATGTAACTTGAATAAAAGCCAGGGCAAAGAGTTGAAACCAGCCTCATTGTCTGGGTATTACTGGAAGTTCTTGTTATCACGGCAGAGGAAATCAAGGATGCGGACACTCCAAAGGTGAGGTTAGAGCAGAAGTTTAATAAGCGAAAGGAAGAAAGCTCTCGGGAGCAGAGAGGGGTCCCAGAAAGATGGGTTGCCATTTTACAATGAAATGCAAGGGTTTTTATAGACAAGCTGGTGGGGAGGGTGTTTCATTTACATAAGGCTCAAATTTCTGACAGTTCCCACCCCACTTTTTCTAGTGCTCATGCGGGCTCCTTAGTCTGAGTTACTCCATGTTGCCTATCTCTTCCCACTGCGCATGTGTGAAAAAGGCCAGGAGGCGGGACCCTCTACAGTGGACGCTCCTGGTCCAGGGTAGCTCGTCTTATCAGTGCTGCTGCAGGCACTCCCTGCTGTGCAAACCTCCTTGTCTGAGTATTTCCAAGAAGGGAGAGGACTGTGCTTACTGGGGCCCACTGTATGTCTGTATGTCACACAGGAGGCCCCTTTCTGTGTTAGAAGCTGCTTTTTTGTTAGAAGGGAATTCTACTTAGGACCCTTGCCCTATCTGCCTAGTTGATTTCTTTCTCTCTCCTCTCACAGAGTGTCACAGAAAGAACTCCAATCCATCAAGCAAAAGTAATTAACAGCAATTCAAATCTTTATTGGACTCTTAGAAAATAAACAAGGAGATCTAATTTGTAGCTCCCACATAGATTTTTGTCTCCACTCCTGTTGTTTTTAATTAATTCAATAATATTTACTAAATGTCTCCTATGTGTCAGACGTGCTTCCAGTGCCCATAGAGCCTGCATGTCTCCACTCCCCGAGTTCCCCTCTCCACTCCTTGGATTCAACTCTCAACTTCAAACTGAGTTTTGAAGTCAGTCAGGAGTGGGGGAGGGCGGTTTTTTTTTTTTTTTTTTTTTTTTTGAGACGGAGTTTTGCTCTTGACACCCAAGCTTGAGTACAATCACGCGATCTTGGCTCACTGCAACCTCCTCCTCCCGGGTTCAAGAAATTCTCCTGCCTCAGCCTCCCAAGTAGCCAGGATTACAGGCGCCTGCCACTACTCCTGGGTTCACTTTTTTTTTTTTTGTAATTTTAGTAAGACGAGGTTTCGCCATGCTGGCCAGGCTGATCTTGAACTCCTGACCTCAGGTGATCCACCCGCCTCTGCCTCCCAAAGTGCTGGGAGTACAGGCGTGAGCCACTGCGCCTGGCCGGGAGGGTGGCTCTTGACTTACAGGGCCTCCCCTCCCCTCCAAGGTCTTCTTTAATTCTGCACATTATTTTAATTATTTCTAACAAGTACCTTGATCTTCATTTGTGAAATCTAGTGACCCAAAGGCAGCTCCCAACCTCCCTGGGAGTTGATAGGGGTGGGGTTGGGAAGAGAGGGGAGAGAGGAAGAGCTGCTCTTCCCAAGAAGGGTTTTTGTTTTGTTTTGTGTTTATTTGTTTTGGCTTTTGGTTTTTAGTAGATGGGGGATGTACACGTGAGAGGTGAGGGAGAGAGCAGACTGCAAACCCTGTAACTGATCCATGTATTATCTGTTCTTTTAACTGAGTAACATGCTTTTCAAAAGTGTTTTTCCATGTTTCAGAGACAGAAAAGGGGAGAAAAAGAAGAAGAAAAGGGAGAGGAAAAGGTAAAAGAAAAGAAGAGAATGAATTGCAGCTGAGGAAGTGGAAGAGCGAGAAGCGCTTCCAGATACCAGGTAACCTCTTTCTTTGACTCCTGATTTGCCACTCATCTCCCTAAATGCCTTAATGACCTGTCACACAGGTGACTCACATGAAGGCCACATGGTGTATGTTTCTCTTACCCCTGTCTGCTATTGAAGACATAGGATTTAGTTTTGGGAAGATGTGTGCTGGAGAAATAAAAAGCAGACACAGTGGTTGAATGCAAAATGAATCATAGGAATTATCCAGTAAAATGGCTTAAAATCATATTCCAGGCTCTGAAGTCATGGAAAGTCTCTCTTAATGCATTGGAACCTAATCTAGTAATTTCACCTGGGTTCCCCATCCAGGCATCTCTTTTCTAATTTGTTCAGAAGTAAACAAGGTAACAGCTTTTAAACAGCCAATTGCCATGGACATTGATAAAATCTACAGGTTTCATTACTTGATGTCCAAAGACATTTCGTCCTATTTACATCAAAAACACTTTGGAATTCTGAAAGACAGCAAGCCTTTATTTGAAAGAAATACACGTTGAAGTTCTTTAAGGATGAAAGCAGAACTGTCTTGGAGCTGATGCTAAAGCAGAGTGAGAAGACCATGTGTATTTTCAAATAAATTTTGAAAAACTCCTGAGACTTGGGAAAGGGTGTAATAGAACAGTGCCTATAACTGAGCCTTGCAGAAGCTTATCACAGCATAGAAGAAATTGATGGAAAACTCACATGGGCATCAGAAGTTTCCTTTTATTGGAAACTTTTGCAGTTTTGGAGACTCCTTATAAAGACCTGAGTTGTTAGCAGGCATCTAAATCTGGCACTAGAAACAATTGAGATGATTTTACAGTGTATCTGCCCAGATCCTCACTACTAGATTTTCTGGGTGTTTTCTTATTTTTGACACTTGCCTCAATCAAATTGAGGCAGTCTTTTAAATTTCTGTCTAAAATTAACTGGTATTTTCAGGTATATTGGCATCATTTTAAAATCCATTTATTTTTAAGAACATTTGAATGTGAAAAGAGATGTATATGCAAACTGTTGGATCAGGCAAGTTTCCTTCAGGCTGTCTGGATGTGTCTATCTATAGCATTTGGCACATACCTAGCTGTCACTCAAAAAAGATAGCTGATGTTCAAAGTTAATCTGAAGTACCTACTTGAAGTCTGCTTTATTTATTTTTTTAATTTGGCCAGTTCATTCTTGGGGAATGGAAAGGAAGGAAAATGGCCAGGCACAGTGGCTCATGCCTGTAATCCCAGCACTTTGAGAGGCCGAGATGGTCTGATCACTTGAGGTCAGGAGTTCAAGACCAGCCTGCAACATGGTGAAACCCCGTCTCTACTAAAAATACAAAAATTAGCCAGGTGTACTGGCATACACCTGTAATCCCAGCTACTGGGGAGACTGAGGCAGGAGAATCACTTGAATCTGGGAGGCAGAGGTTGCAGTGAGCCAAGATTGTACCATTGCACTCCAGCCTGGGTGACAGAGTGAGACTTTGTCTCAAATAAAAGAAAAAAAAAGGGGGGGGGAATGAAAGGAAGTGTTTCCAGTTATTTGACTTAATTCCATATACTTTAAAATTTATATTGAACATTAGAGAGTTCTTCAAGTGAATGTCGAATATTAGTCTGTCATTTTACATTAGAAGCAATGGGCTTAAGTCCTCAAACCACATTATAGCTAGACAACACAAAATGTTCACCCTTAGTGTTAATTAACTTGAATACTCAGGTCAAAGGTCTTTATTTTGGCCTATGAATAACCAAATACTGATAATCCACTTTGGTGATTGAGATTGCAAATCTACAGGTTTTGGGGGATTGAAGTAGGGTTGTTTTTTGGGGGTTGGATCTGGAGTTTGTAAAAATCTGTTATGGGGCTAAAACAACTGGAATTCACCTCTTTGTCTCTGAAATCTTAGAGATAAAGCCTATATCCTTAGTATATAGCCTGGGGTTTGAAGAGAATTGATGCTGATGGACTCTTGGTTGCCTACCTGTATCGTTTCTTCTTTGTTTCTACCAGAACCTTGATTTTGTTTAGATATCTCCTCCTGTCCCACATAGTAATGCATTTCAGGGGAAGCTGACCCCAATCCCACCTCTAGGTGTGGGCCTGATTGGCAGAAACATGACAATCTCATCCCCTTGCTCATGTTTAGTTCAGTGATAGGCATGGGGCGCAGCTCTGGCCAGTGAAACTAGAGGCAAAGTTTGCTGGGTGGGGGCAGAAGAGGAGTTCCAAAGACCATTTCTGAGAGAGGATTATAAAGATATATTTCCCTTATTCCTCTGAATGTTGCTGTATTTGCATGTGATGCCTGGAACTGCTGCAGCTATGTTGCTACCAGCCTGAGGTTAATGTTGATATAAGGAAGGGAGAGCAGAGTAAAAAAGAATCTGGCTCTTCAATGACCATGATAAGCCACTGAATCAACTAACTACTTCTAGACTTCTTTCTTTGTGAGATAATAAATTTCCCTATTGTTAACACCATTGGGTTTCTTTTATTGCCAGACAAATGGACCATAACTGATAAAGCTGTCCGTGGGGATTTGGAGCCTTGGTCGATTCGGTTGCTGAAATAGCTTTCCTAGTGCCACAACTTACAATAATGTGGGCTTTAACTATTCTATCAAAAATGAAAGCTGTATGAGACAGCTCAGCTGAAGATATGCCATTTTAGAGCAAGAATCAAAGCTAGTCTGTGTGATTTGGGGTGATCCAACAAACTTCAGTGTCACTTATTAAATTGGGCTGAAAGTGCCTCTATTTCCCAGAAGTACTTTCAGGATAAATTCAATTATATAGTTTTAAAGTACTTTTAGAAGAAAGACATATGAATTTGAATAATGATAGCCTTTTCTGACATGTCTTTATATCCATATAAGAACAAAGGCTTCTAGCATTTCGTCTCTCCTGAGTCTATGGAGTAATCAAGCATGTATGCTATTGTAATTTCAGTGGTAGCAAAGAAAAAAAAATAATTCACAGAGAAAATCACTATAGAGATGTACTTCTGAGATCCATTCCCATTATACTTGGACAAAATAGCCGCCCATAAGTGACACAGAAGTATACAGAATCTCAGAACTAGACTTTTGACACCCCAGTGGAGTGCAGATTCTGTAACATCATGCAGAAACGAACAGAATGGTTTTGAAGCAAGTTTAAAGACAAAATTAATATACAGTTATTTTAAGAGGAGAAACATACTATGTTTGTGGGTAGACTGATTCAAGTTGAAACATGCTAAATTTTCATGAGCAAGAGAATGAATGAATACAATTGAATATTATGTAGCAGTGAAAATTAACAGACAGGATGTACCTACATTTACATCAATGAACTGCACATGTATAACAATAAACAGAAAAAGTAAGACATAGAAGAATATATACAATATGTTAGTATAAAAAATAGTACCATGTAAAGTGAGACTATTCTTTAGGGATATTACATTTATAGTAAGTATAAAGAAACTCATGATGGTGATAATCACTGCATTTAGAATACTTGCTACCTCGGAGCATTAGGAAAGGGAATGTGACCAGAGGGAAAAGCAAATGGGTATTTTACACTTTAAATTATATTGAAATATTTTATTCTTTAAATTGAATAGCAAATGCATGAATCTTCACTCTATTATTTTTATAGTTTTATTGTTTGTGTGAAATTTTATAAGATGTTTACAATAAAACAAAATAAGACTCTCAGTTTTATCCCTGATGGGAGACACACTGGTACTGAAAATTTTCTCAGCTGTGTGAGAATGACAGTCTCACTTTTGACTTAGAAGATTCTAGGTTCACTACTCACTGTGGTGTTTTTCTAACCATATAAAGAGGGAAGCTCCTTGATACTTATGTAAGAGAGCCAGACAAATATGTGAGTCTAAATAGAGTCTCTGGTTAGTTTATTATAATTGTTTTTCTTTCAATCCATGTCAAATGTACTACACTGTACTCTAGCAGGCAGGGTTATACTGCTCAGATACTCTTCCCCTTGCAAGGTAATTGTCATGGCTTTTTTTATGCGTCAATGTGACTGGCTCAGAAGATGCCCAGATATCTGATTAAAAATTGTTTTTAAATGTGTCTATGAGAGTGATTCTAGAAGAGGTTAGAATTTGCATCGGTAGACTGAGTAAAGTAAATGGTTCTCCCTGTGTGAGAGGGCATTATCTGACCTGCTGAGGACTCAAATAGAACAAAAAGGTAGAGGAAGTTTCACTTTACTCTCAGCATCTGGCTGCCTAGGCTAAGACATCTGTCTTCTTCCTTCCTTACACTGGGACTTACACCATCAGAGTTCCTGGTTCTCAGGCCTTCGGATTCAAACCAGAGTTTACACCACTGGCTTTCCTGGGTCTCTACTTCGCAGCTTCTCCAATTATGTGATTCAATTTATATATATAAATATGTGTGTGTGTATATATATTTATTTGTAATTAATTAATATTTATTTTAATTATTTTCATTAATATAATTTATATATTTATTTTAATTAATTTTTATATTTTATATATATAAAATCTTCTGTTACTTTGACCCATTGTCCCATTGTCATCTTGCAATAACTCTTCACCACACATCTCTCCTTCATGGCATTTAAGGCAGTTGTATTTATATTTATTTGTGTAATCAATTGATCAATGTCTGTTTTCCAGACAGACTGCAAACTCCAAAAAGGCAGACTATCCTGTTTTACTCACCATTATATTCCCAGAGCTTAAAAAAGTGTTCAGTGTATACTGGCTGGATTAATTGAGTAAAATAAAACAGGATCCACATCATTTTTTTTCTTCACCGTAGCCTACTGACATAAAGACTTTCTTAAATTTTTCCCAGTGACATAAAAAAATGGGTTACTGTCTTCCTTCTCACCATATCTTTCTGTTTCATTTTTCTTGATTATTCTTAACACTACTTGTCTATTTTATTTTTGGTTTCTCAAACCCGACTTGGGATAGGTGATACCAGGAAACATGAGGAAGGCAATGAGAAGAGTGAGGCAGTAGAGAAGACAAGCCAGGGAAGGAGACTGGAGCAAGATTCTGATCTGAGGGAAGAGGCACCACATGTCCACACCCTCAGAAGACTGACTGGTCTTCATTCTGTGGTATAACTAGAAGCGGGGAATTGATGGGGAGCTGGAAATTATGCATCTTGGAGGAAGGGCCAGTCAAATTAGTTGGCCACGAACTCACTGCTTATGTAGATTCTGGGGACATAGTGTGGCATAGTGGTTGAGATGCAGGCTGCGGAGTTAGCCAGACGTGGTTCAGACTGAGGTAGGTTTGAGATCTCCTTCTGCCAGTGCACCGATTGGGGAGCTTTGGGCTGTAATCAACAGAAAACCTAACCCAGATGAGCTTAAACAATAAGAAATTTATTGACATAGCTGGAAATTCAAGTTTGGGTAACTTTCAGGGTCAGCTTGATCCAGTGGCTCTTATTCTTTTTTCTTCTTCTTCTTCTTATTTTTTGCCATACTTTCCTCCCTCAAAAAGTACATGTACTTTTCTCTGTCTGCTTTGTCCCCAGGCTGGTTCCTCCCTTGGTGATTCTGCATGCATGCCACCTTCCCAACATCAGCCTTTTTCCTCTTCTAGGAGATCCCAGATTTTTTTTTTCTTACTGTAAAGACAATATAGGTTCATTTTAAGAATTTGAAAAATAAAGAGAATAATACATAAAAATTAAAATTATCACTAATACTTCTATTTTGAAAAATCTCTAATGAGCATATATATATATTTTACATATACTTGTGAATATCTTTAAGATACATCTGTGTGTATGCATGTGTGTATATATCTCATCATGTATGTTAAAACAGTTTGGCTTTCATTTATATTCTGTTTGCCAGATTTATTCTGTTTGCCAGATTTAATCTTCTCTTATTAGACATTTTGTTGGGTTTTAATAAACATGACATTACTTTTCCAAAAAGAAATTAATTTGAACTTTATATAGTTGTTTAAATCTAAATGACCAAGTTATGCCTTTTATGCAAAGGTATTAAACCTAATTGCCTTGCAGCAGGGTTTCTGTTTAGTTGATAGTACTTGTTTTTACTTAGAACACTTAGCTGATTTGAAATTGAGTATTAGTCTTCTGGTTTTGCCTTGTGTTGTTTGATGTTGGATTTGAGAATAGTTTGCCTGGGGCCTTCTTAAACCTACATTGAAATAGTTTCCTCGTCTGGTGATTTTTATGTCAGAAAAGTTCCGTGAACTTGTATCATATTTACTCCCTGGTGCCAGGTTACTGTGCTCTCTGGGGGAGCGCCTGTACACATACATTTATGAACATAAGGATGGTAAATTGATTGTGGAAAATTCCCTTTATACATGTAGAGGAAATGCTTTTTAACAATATATACATTCTGAGTCTAACACTGCCAAGAATATAAAACCCCAAATCCCTAGCCTGTGTAATGTGTAATTATCTGTGAAACTAGATTTGTGTGTATGTGTTTGTGTGTGTGTGTGTTTATGTGTGTGTGTGTGTGTCAAGACACAGAGCTTGGTCCCCATCACCTGTGGGTAATTAGCTGGGATTGCGGAGTGCATCTGGCTATCCTTGTAGACATCAGTCTCTGTTATGCAGAACCAATAATGGTTTCTCATCCTGGAAGCAACCCCCTGCTAATCTTGGTGAAATAGCAGTAGCACTCACAGCAGCTCTGCTTTCATTAAAAATTAATGGTGATGTGGGCACTGGGAATTAATTATGAGCTGTGAAATCTATGTCTGATATGTTTAAGAAAAAAGAAAACTATGACTGCTCAAAATAGACTATTTTCAATGCATTTTGGGTGTTCCCTTTCTACCACAAAAAAGGTTTAATTGATTTCAAAACTCCTTTTTTTGCTCTTTTTATTAAAAAATACACAGTTCGAAGTGCTTCTTTTGCTCTTCAATGATTAAAAAAAAACAAATAGTTCTTCCTTCCAAATAATTCTTTCTAATAAAACTGGTAATATGTTCATAATTTTGCTGGCAATTTGGGTACTAGAATGTTTATATCTTATTGAAAGCTTAGAACAATAGTAATGAAATCAGAAGAGATTTATTATTTGCTGCTGTTACTTGTTTAGTATTTGTTTCTGTTAATTATTTGAATTACATGAAATATGTTTTGCATTAAATCTTTCAGTATGAAGGAACAGATGCTTGGGAAGATAGAAAAGAATCCTTTTGCCTTGGGAATGTTTTCTCCTGTTTTTTTATGATTTGGAATTTGGTGCTTTTCCAAGGTATTCTAAATGCTTAATGAGGTCTGGTAAGGATGATATGACAGGCTTATAGGAAGTGCTAATTTTTACAAATGAGTTCTTTCAGGATTTGCCCTCAGGATTTCACTACCCTACGTTTTGAAAGAAAAAGCTCAAAGTAAGGTACTTATGTCCTGAAATATCTGTGGGGCATGCTCTTTCCTTCCTTCTTCCCTCCCTCCCCCCTCCCCCACCTTTTCTTCCTTCTCATTCATTTATTCATTCAATGATTTCTTCATCCCCCATTTTTGATTACCTTAGGTGTTCACTGCACTTGGTTCTCTCTGAGATGTGAAGATAAAACAAAGCCCTAATGAGCCTTTATTTAATCCTTACAGCAACCCTATGGGTTAAGGTTAAACTATCATTTCCATTTAAGAAATCAAGGCTTAGGAAGTTAAATCCTTGGTTGCTCAAGGTCGCTGAGTTAGTAAATGATAGGTCAGGGTCTTTTTTTTCTGTCTTTGCTCCCTTGGAGCGAACTCTCTCCCTGTTCTCCCTATGTGTCAGAGATGGCTCTGAACCCAGATCTGTGGGTTTCCAGAATGTAAGCTCATTACCCTACACCATTCTGCATTAACACATGAGATAGAAAAATGTGAGAACGATGAAGCATGATTTAAATAGACTCAACTAAAATGTAGATGAATCCGTGGATGATAAAATCTTCAGGAAGTTAATTTAAGAATGATACCATTTATTGTGCACTATTATGTCCAAGAAGTATTTACATTAGTTATCACTATTTTTTTTTGTTGTATGTGTGGTTTTTAAAAAAAATTTTTTAAATTATACTTTAAGTTCCGGGATACATGTGCAGAACGTGCAGGTTTATTACATAGGTATACACGTGCCATGGTGGTTTGCTGCACCCATCAACCCATCATCTACATTAGGTATTTCTTCTAATTCTATCCCTCCCCGCAAGCCCCCACCCACCGACAGACCCTGGTGTGTGATGTTCCTCTCCCTGTGTCCATGTGTTCTCATTGTTCAACTCCCACTTATAAGTGAGAATATGCGGTGTTTGGTTTTCTGTTTCTGTGTTAGTTTGCTGAGAATGATGGTTTCCAGCTTCATCCATGTCCCTCCAAAGGACATGAACTCATCCTTTTTAATGGCTGCATAGTATTCCATGGTGTGTATGTGCCACATTTTCTTAATCCAGTCTATCATTGATGGGCATTTTGGTTGGTTCCAAGTCTTTGCTATTGTGAGCAGTGCTGCAATAAACATAATGTGTGCATGTGTCTTTATAGCAGCATGATTTATAATCCTTTGGTTATATACCCAGTAATGGGATTGCTGGGTCAAATGGTATTTCTGGTTCTAGATTCTTGAGGAATTGTCATACTTCTACAATGGTTGAACTAATTTATACTTCCACCAACAGTGTAAAAGTGCTTCTATTTCTCCACATCCTCTCCAGCACCTGTTGTTTGCTGACTTTTTAATGATCGCCATTCTAACTGGCATGAGATGGTATCTCATTGTGGTTTTGATTTGCATTTCTCTAATGACCAGTGATGATGATCTTTTTTTCATATGTTTGTTGCCTGAATAAATGTCTTCTTTCGAGAAGTTTCTGTTCATATCCTTTGCCCACATTTTGATGGGGTTGTTGGTTTTTTTTTTTCTTGTAAACTTGTTTAAATTATTTGTAGATTCTGTATATTATCCCTTTGTCAGATGGATAGATTGCAAAAATTTTCTCCCATTCTGTAGGTTGCCTGTTCACTCTGATGATAGTTTCTTTTGCTGTGCAGGAGCTCTTTAGTTTAATTAGATCCCATTTGTGAATTTTGGCTTTTGTTGCCATTGCTTTTGGTGTTTTAGTCCTGAAGTCTTTGTGCATGTCCTGAATGGTATTGCTTAGGTTTTATTTAGGGTTTTTAGGTTTTAGGTCTTATGTTTAAGTCTTTAATCCATCTTGAGTTAATTTTTGTATAAGGTATAAGGAAGGGGTCCGGCTTCAGTTTTCTGCATATGGCTAGCCAGTTTTCCCAATACTATTTATTAAATAGGGACTCCTGTACCCATTGCTTGTTTTTGTCAGGTTTGTCAAAGATCAGATGGTTGTAGATGTGTGGTGTTATTTCTGAGGCCTCTATTCTGTTCCATCGGTCTATATAGCTGTTTTGGTTGCTATAGCCTTGTAGTATGGTTTGAAGTCAGGTAGCATAATGCCTCCAGCTTTGTTCTTTTTGGTTAGGATTGTCTTGGCTGTGCAGGCTCTTTTTTGGTTCCATATGAAGTTTAAAGTAGTTTTTTCTAATTCTTTGAAGAAAGTCAGTGCCCAAAGTAACTTACTGATTCAATGCTATCCCTATCAAGCTACCATTGTTATCACTAACTCTTACTGAAATCCTATAAGGTTGTCCCATCTACAGATGGAAAACTGTGGCTTAGTTTAGAAAGATTATCTTGCTGAAGACCATAGATCTAGAAAAAGTTTGGAGATTTAAAGCCAGGTGTGTTTGATTTAGGTTCTTTTCATGACACCACATGATCTTTGGAGGTTGAAGTCATAGAGAGCCACTTGCTATGACAGAGAGGAATCAACTAGAAGTTTACATATTCTCTTATTGGGTGCTTAGCATATGCCAGGCTTTGCGCCAAGCACCTAAGCTACAGCCATTGTGGACCAACAAATCTTTCCCTCAAAAACCTACTGTCTAGTCCTTCTGACACTGAAATCAAAGCTGCTTTTAGCCCACTGCCTATGAGAACATTTCTGACATATCTATTTATTTTGACTAAAAATGGTGCATAATCAGGCCATATTTCTGAAAATGTTAATTAGGAAAGCAATTTTCTGTTTTCATTAAGGACAAGTGTCTTGGGTGAGGAGAGGGAAGAATAAAAGTTAATATTTGGTGAAACACTGGGCCACACTAACCATCACATTAACCACGGGAAGAAAGTCAGCTTTGGGGTTTTAAGTGTTTAGAGGTCTCTTATTAAAAAAAAAAAAAGTTTATTTGAAGTTGCTATGGTTACATTTTATTCATAAAGGTAAAACAACTGAAAAAGTGGCCTAGAGAAATAATAATAAAGTCATGAGCCAACATTTGCCAAGTGCTCGCTGCATGCTCGGCACCACAACACATGCCTACATGTGTCATTTAATGTAATCCTCACGACAACCCCAGCAGATAGCCTTATAATTCTCATTTTACAGAGCAGAGTAAGGCACAGACAAGTACAGTTAACATGCCCAAGGTCCAACAGAAGAATGGGAATTTGAACCTAGGTAGTTTATGATCCAGGTTGATTAAATTCATTTAACAATTGCTCATTTGTCCCTTTATTTTGCTCATCTAAACACAGTATAGCACTCATTTCACTTAATTCAACAGAGAGTTTTGCTTCAAGCCTTCTAAAGTGTCATAATTACTCATTGTTATCACAAAACATGTATTTAGAACCAACCACATGCCAGGCCTCATACTAGCTGACCAATATACACAGTGTTTGGCAAAAGCTAAGGTAATGTTTATCTTTTAGGTTTGTGTTTTATGTAAGTCCCTACAATGTTATATCTTCTCATAATCTTTCTGCAGAAAATTACAAGCTGGCTGCAGAATAGCAATGAGTTATTCTTTTCTATTCTTTTGTGTAAGACATAATTCACGTTATGGAAAGGTCTGATTTCATAAACCTATGATTAGGTGAGGTAACATACAAACATGTAGATTCATTCAGGGTCTAGTTTTTACAGCTTTCTAAAGTCCATATGAGAACTCCAGTGTGTCTTCCTTTAAAAAATATATACCTTGTTTTTGGAAGATGATCTAGGGGGTAAGGTAAGATTGAGGTCACAGGAAACAAGGGTCCATGATAATTCAGTGCAAGGTGTTAGTTATTGTGGTTGTTGGCAGTCAGAGAGTGGTTAAGTGATGACCGTTGCAGCATCCTTCCTCTGGCAGCAGCAGGAGCTGGGTGACGCTGAGCTGCCTGTTTCCAGGCCACTCACTGTGGCTTTGATGTGCTGTGTCTGCAACTCATTCCCCAGTTCTGTTCTCCAGCATTTCATTGTCAGCCACGGCCAGGGTACCCCGCCGCCTCTCACTTCCATCACACAGCCAGCCCCAGGCAGACTGTTTTTAAAAACATAAGCCAGTCTTGCTTCTCTGCAGATGGAATGTTTTACGTGAGAAATAATCCAGCTGAGTGTTTGCTCCACAGTTTGAATAAGAATGAACTGGCCAGTGGCTTAGTAGGGATTCAGGTCAGGAATGTGTTCTGCTGTCAGAAGGGGAAGTTAATGGTGGAAATTTGTAAACTGCTGTTGTTGGGTTGACATAATATGTATGGTCTAGTAGGATTAGAAGTTGATTCTAGAGTTAGACACAGGTTGAAGTCCTGGTGTTGCTTTTCAGTAGCCACCCCTTGTGAGCCTCAGTTTTCCTTCCATGAAACTGAGGAAAAACTTGATGCAAGAAGTGAAGAGAGAATGCAGGTACAGTGTTTAACATATTGCCCGACAAATGCTCAGTTAATGCTGTCTATTTTTTTTTTTTTTTTGGTCATTTTGGTCTTTATTTTATGGTAAAGGGAAAGCAACCCACTGTTTTTAAATCTTCCGCAAAAGCATGGTTACCAACGGCCTAGAAAATGACAAATAGTGTTAACTCCTTCATATCAATACCCTTTCCACTAATATTGTTTCAAGTGGAGCCAGTATGATTATGCTTTGATTTGCTAGCATGATTAAGCATATAACAGTGTAAGAGTCAACTAACTGATGACTTTATCAGGGAAGCCTCCATTCTTATTTTAAATTTCCTATCTTCTTTTTTTATTTTTTTGAGACAATATCTCACTCTGTCACCCAGACTGGAGTGTAGTGGCTGTCGTAGCTCACTGCAGCTTCAGCCTCCTGGGCTCAAGCATCCTCCCATCTCAGCCTCCCAAGTACCTGGTACTCAGGCATGCACCACCATGCCTGGCTAATTTTTAAAAAATTTCTTGTAGAGACAGGGTCTCACTATGTTTCCCAGGCTGGTCTCAAACTCCAGGGCTCAAGCAATCCTCTTGCCTTGACCTCCCAAAGTGCTGGGATGATAGGCATGAGCCACTGCACTTGGACTGTCTTTGTAATTTTATCAGATTTACTTTAAATGCTTTGTCGTTTTAGTGACAGAAACATGTGCATTCATGCTTATTTTACTCTCTTGGTGTAATTTTCTTATATACAGCCCCTCTTTAGCCCTAACAGTACTTTCTGATTAAGTTTTCTTTTGTCTGGAATTAATATTGAAGCATCAGTTTTCTTTTCTGTGCAATGGAATAAACTAGTGATACACATAACATGGATGAATCTCAAAAAACATTAAGCAGAGTGAAGGAAGCCAGACACAAAGATTACATGCAGTCTAAAAGCATTTTTTAAAAGACTCTTGAAAAAATAAATCTAATTTATAGTGACAGAAAGCAGAGCAGTGGTTACTTGGGGCCAAGGGTGGGGTGGGGAAATTGACTGGGGAAGGAATAAAGGAAACCTTTCGTGGTGACAGAAATGTTCTGTATCTTGATTGTGGTGGTAGTTACAAGAGTGCGATCAAACAGTGTTCTTAAAATGGCTGTACTTTATTGTATATAAAGCATGTTGCAGTAAAGTTAAATAACAAAATTCTGATCGGATGGTTTCTGTCTTTTTTACAACATGGGTTTATTTAGCCTTAATTATTAACAACAGTTGCATACTCAAAGATTTCTAGATTGATAGCTATTTTCCCTCAACATTTAAAATACATTATTCTATTATCTACCTATTATTGCTGAGAAGACTGTCAGTTCCATTGTTACCGTGTCTTATTTTCTTCTCCCCGGAGCTTTGTTTACTTCTTGTTTTGGATGTTGTGCATTTTCAGTAAGATGTGTCTTGTTGTGTATTTGTATTTTTATTTATTTTGCTTAAATTTTGCTATGATTTATTACTAAATATAATGACTTCTTTCTTTAATTGTGGAAAGCTTTCAGACACTCTCTTTGGATATTGGTTCTCCAATCTCTCCATTCCTTCCTTTAGGAATTCCTATTAGATGTATGAATTAGACTCTTATTTTAACCTTTTAGTATCTTAATATCCCTTAGATATTTCATGTTTTTAATATCTCTTTTATTTGTGCTGCACTTGTGCTAAAATAATTTCCCTAGGTCTATCTTACATTTCATTAATTCTTTGTCACCTGTGTTGGGATTTCTATTTCAATGAGTATACTTTTTGTCACTATGATTTCAATTTCATCCTTTTCAAGCATGCCTATGTGTTTTTTAATATTTTCTACCTTTAGCTCTTTGGACATGTTAATCATGTTTATTTCTAAATCTCTTTCATTTTCTTCCATTATTCCAGGTGATGGTGTGCCAGTTCTGCTCTCTGCTGTATCTGTGTCCTGTTTCCTTATGTCGTTTGTAATTTTTGATCACAAGCACATTTTCAACAAGGTTTGTTTACCATGGGACCCCCATGAGGCCTGAACTACAGAAGTGGTTTGGGGTTTGCCTCTGCCAGGTCCCTGGAGGTTTCATTGGCCTTAGATTAATTTTTATGTTAAACTTCTGTGGTAAATTGTGTTTCTGGAGAAGACCACAACAATAGACCCTCTCCCAATAGCTCTTTTGTAATGTGATCTTGCCACTCCTCCATCAAGAGGTGGAGTTTATGATCCCTTCCCCTGATTCTGAGCTGCCTGTGACTGACTTTGATTGACAGAATGTGGCAGAAATGACACTGCATCACTTCCAAGACTGGCCTTATGAGACTCCCAACTTTTGCTTTCACTACTTGGAGAGCTCCCTTTTGGAGGCCAGTCATCGTGTTAGAAGCATAACTAACTGGAGACCACTATGTGGTGGAGAAGCTCATGCTGTCTACATATAGAGGGAAATGGCATATCAATGAATTAAACATGAAAGTGAAGATTTCTTGGCCCTCTCCATCTTACTCAGCTCATTGGAGCCACCAGCTGAAAGCAAGGGAGTGAATGAGCCCAGCCCCGAGTGGAGCAGAAGGAGCCCAACCAGCGAAGCCCAGCCTGAATTCCTGACTAACAGGTGATGAGCAAGTAGTTTGAATCCACCACCTAGCCTTGAGATTCCGATTCTTGCAGTCGATCCTTTTCCACTCATTGTGTAGGCAGTTGGGAACATGTCTTCTCATTTCATTACTCTAGTGGGGGAAACTTTTCAAGTGTTTCACTGGGGCCCTTTCCAGTCAGATTAGTTTACTGCAATGACTAGAAATGCATCTTCACTCATGATGGCCCAGGTTAATTCTTGACCCCTCTGGCACAACTGTCTCTCATCATCATAAAGAAGCATAACATATATAACTATTCCCTCTCTTATGCCACCCCTCTCCTCACAAACATGTAGTGGTTTCCAATTTTCTATGAAATAAAACTCTTGTTTTTCAGTTCCAGATATTTTTATCTAATGAAAGGCCCACATTTCTTATTTATGTATCTATTTATTTATTTATAAGAGATGGGATCTCACTATGTTGCCCATCTGGTCTTGAACTCTTGGCCTCCAGTGATCCTCCCACCTTGGCCTCCTAAAATGTTGGAATTATAGGTGTGAGCCATCGCATCCAACAAAATCCCCACTTTTCTTATCTCACTGGTCTACATATCTGTTTCTCAGTCAACCTGAACTATCTCTTCTTACTCTATGTACCCCACTCCATATCCTGTCTCCATAATTTTACTCTCATTATTCTCTTTGCATGAGATACCCAAAGCTCTGGTGTTCACATGTAGATAGATCTAACCTATCTTTCAAACCCCACTAAATCACCTCCTCCACTATAAAGCCTTTTTTGGTAACCCAAGCTATAATGTCTCCCTCCTTTGAAGCCCAGTAATATTTTTTACCTGTCAATGTCTTATGATTTCTACCTTCTCAGATTTTTAAAGCATAGTGGTTTAGAATAGAAGTTGACAAATTACAGTCCAAATTACTGACCAAATCCAGCCCACTATCTGTTTAGGAGAAATAAAGTTTTATTGGAACACAGTCACGCTCATTCATTAAGATACTGTCTATGGTTACTTTTGCACTACAATGGCAGAGTTGATTCTTCGTAAGGGAGACCAGCAAAGCTTAAAATATTTGTTGTCTGGCCTTTTACAGAAAAAAGATTGCTGATCCTTGATTTAGAGCATGAAAATTGGATTTTGTATTACACCTTAATATATATATATATATATATATATATATTTTATTTTACTGTAAGTTCTGGGATACATGTGCAGAATGTGCGGGTTTGTTACATAGGTATACATGTGCCATGGTGGTTTGCTGCAACTATCAACCCGTCATCCAGGTTTTAAGTTCTGCATGTATGTATTTGTCCTGATGCTCTCCCTCCCCTTGCTTCCCACCCTGCGACAGGCCCCAGTGTGTGATGTTCCCCTCCCTGTGTCCATGTGTTCTCGTTGTTCAACTCCCACTTATGAGTGAGAACATGCAGTGTTTGGTTTTCTGTTCCTGTGTTAGTTTGCTGAGAACGATGGCTTCCAGCTTCATCCGTGTCCCTGCAAAGGACATGAACTCATTGTTTTTTATGGCTGCATAGTATTCCACGGTGTATATGTGCCACATTTTCTTTATCCAGTCTAACATTGATGGGCATTTGGGTTGGTTCCAAGTCTTTGCTATTGTAAATAGTGCTGCAATTAACATATGTGTGCATGTGTCTTTATAGTAGAATGATTTATAATCCTTTGGGTATATACCCAGTAATGTTACCCCTTGATATTTACCAGCTGTATGATTCACAGCTTGCTGTGAAGGCCAAGTGACAGAATATGAATGCACTCTTTTGGAATCTATAAAGTATAAATGTAGAGTGTTACTATTGCTATTACTTTTGCCTAACTCAAAGTGTGTTATGGTTTGCCTCTAACTGAGTAAACAGTTCTTATAAGGAAATGGAAAGAAAGTAGAAACAGGATGGTGTCAGTGAGATACCACCTTATTCCTGCAAGAATAACCATTATCAAAAAATAAAAATAATAATAGATGTTGGCAGGGATGTGATGAAAAGGAAATGCTTTTAGACTGCTGTGGGAACGTAAACTAGTACAACCACGGTGGAAAACAGTGTGGGGATTCCTTAAAGAACTACAAGTAAAACTACCATTTGATCCAGCAATCCCACTACTGGGTATCTACCCAGAGGAAAATAAGTTATTATACAAAAAAGATACTTGCACACGAATGTCTATAGCAGCACAATTTGCAATTGCAAAAATATGGAACCAGCCCAAATGCCCATCAATCAATGAGTGGATAAAGAAATTGTTTTATATATATATATATGCACACACACGCACAAATACACACACCCACATATATATATATATACACACACACACCATAGAATACTACTCAGCCATAAAAAAAAATAATGGCATTCACAGCAACTTGGAATGGAACTGGAGACCATTATTCGAAGTGAAGTAACTCAAGGATGGAAAACCAAACATCATATGTTCTCACTCACAAGTGGGAGTTAAGCCATGAGGATGCAAAGGCATACAAATGATACAATGGACTTTGGGGACTCGGAGAAAAGGGTGGGAGGGGGTAAGGATAAAAGACTACACACTGAGCACAGTATACACTGCTTGGGTGTTGGGTGCACCAAAATCTCAGAAATCACCACTAAGGAACTTATTCATGTGACCAAACACCACCTGTTCCCCAAAAAACCTATATAAATAAAAAAGAAAAAGAAACAGGGTGGTGCTATGTTGGGTATTATTGCATTCTTTCTATAACAGTGTATAGATATGTGTGCACAAGCAACGTGATCTAGATAGAAGCTTCAGTAAACAGAGACCTATATTAAACTTAGAGAAACAGAGAAAAATTTTCCCTTGTAAGCTCTGATGTGGAACAATGTGGCCACAGTATAGACACAGGTTAGTGTGTACCAGCACATCTTTGGTACATATCTTTGCTGTGTAAAATGTCCACCTGAAGATGAGATTTCAAAAGTGAAAAAGTTGACATTGTCCTTTCTATCTTGAAATAATCTCTCAGCTTTTGTGTTTTTGTAGAGGCAGATTTTTGAACATGGAATGTCAAAGATGATTTCTCAGTGTGGATAAAATAAATGAGAGGCCATTGTTAAAAACAAAAAATGAGGCCAACTCCACACTGACAGCTCAGAGATGGTGGTTAAGAAAGCCCTGTTTCTAACCAAATCCCACAGCCAGTAGTAGTTTAAAAGAAGTAATGTATGTCCCATCAGGAAATTTTGCTTCTACATCTCTTCTGGGATGTTATTAAATTTTCTTCTAGGAAGGAGACCAGTAAGCTACAAATTGTTTTCTCTACTGTTTGTGCAGTGAAAGCAGCGGGTGGGAGGGGAGTGTTTAAGGAGTCTGGCATTCTGTGGGGCATCAGGGCCTCTTTAATTAGAGGAAAGCTGTCAGGGAAGATGGACAGTGTTCCCTTTGTTAGGGCAACACAGTGTCATTCAAAATCATATTTGTTTTTAAACTCGGTGTATTTGCACACAACCACAATGAGATACACAGTTTAGATGATGCATGAGAATTTTGATAGGAGATGTTTGCTTTCAAAAATAAAACAAATAGTGACACAGGCTTTTGAAAACCAAGAGTTGCAATGAGAGTGCTGTGAAAAGTTCACTCTAACTTTGAAATTTGCTGGTAAATGGGTTATATCAGCCTGAGGGGAACTATAACACACATGGATACTTTGAATATGAAAATGGAATAAAAACTGTTCTGTCAGTAGAAGTAAATTTTACAACACTGAACCCTTTGTTGCTTTTTTTCTTTCTTAGGCATCTTCAACTCTAAGTAAATTCATACAACAATAAAATGATATAAATTGTTAAAACTTTTCAATTTCTAGGACTTTCGTTGACTTGGGCAAGATTAAGAGGAGAGGTTAGTGTCTGCATATCTTAGTGATGATATTCACATCATCCAGGAAATTTTATTTTCCAGAACAAATTGACTATTATGGCTAATCAATAGTGTACTGATACCTTAATGAAGCGTTTCCTTTAAGAGAAGTGACCTAGGGTGGAACCTGTTGTTGACATTTGTCCCAGGTCACTGGTATATAAAATGCCCTGTGTTGTGCTTACTTTTTTATGTTGTTTTATTATAAGCAATCCTGGATTACCCAATAGGCAAGCTACACATTCCAAAAGTATCAATAAAATAGGAGCATGAAAAAAGAAACAACTAGGGTTGCTCAAGAAATTGATATATAAACATCAAAGTAATTTTCATGAAAGACAAAAATGAGACTCTATTGGACTTTGTTATAGCTGCTAGTCAGGCACCACATAATGATGTTTTGATCAATGATAGGCCACATATACAACAGTGGCTCCATAAGATTATAATGGAGCTGCACTGTATAGATGTATCATTTTTCCTTTATACCATATTTTTACTGTAGTTTTCTATGTTTAGATACCCAAATACTTACAATTATATTACAACTGCTTACAGTATTCGATAGAGTAACATTCTATAGGGGTTTGTGGCTAGGAGCAGTAAGCTGTATCATAAGCCTAGATGTGTAGTGGGCTATACCATCTATGTTTGTGCAAGTACACTTTATGATGTTTGCACAATCATGAAATTACCTAATGATGAATTTCTCAGAACATATCCCTGTCGGTAATGACTATATGAATTTTAGCAAGGTTTCTATGCTAAATCATACATTGGGGGAGGGAACACCAGAAAATTTTCAATGCTTAGGCCTTTAAAAGTCATAATCAGGCCTGATTACATGTCACATCATAATTTTGTTGTATCATAGTAGGCTTTTTAGAGAAAATCAAAGAAAAGACACAGCCCCATAGACTCCACAAGGAGCCTACACAAGCATAAGAAATATACCCAGGAAACAATTAGAGACCTAATCAGTTTATAATTTAGTTATAATTGTGTTTGTTTGATGTTTTATTTGGTTTGACTATGTTGTTAACTCTCATGTTGACAGAGTACTTTATTAAATTGTCAAATACCCATTTGTTTGAAATATGGGTAATTTGCAGTTACTGATTTACATGCTGTGAGACATGACCCACCACACTGCAGGTAGATGATCAGAGAGTATCTCTCCATAGTTGAAGTTTGCCCAGCTATAGCCCAGTAGACTAATGACTGTGGAAGTGAGCTGCATGGAACTCAACTAACTGGAGCCTTCAAATAATTGGATTTTTTCCTCTTGTACTATTTTTTCTGTTTAAAAAAGAAGCAATGCCATGACAATAACCCAGATAAGTTTTTTTAAAGTGGGGTTCCTAATTGTGGTTCTGGAGCAGTACATATTAAGCCCAATTTCCTGGCCCGCTTCCATCTACAGTTCTGCTTAGTGAAAACTATTATTGCTAAGGATGATGCTGGAAAACCCCAACTTTTAAAGAAGTATTACTTTTGTTTGCAATATTGAAATGAAGTAGACAAACAGATTCAGAAACATTTTTTAACCATAAGAATTGAGGCAGAAATTTTCTATGTAACTCTAGTTCATTTTACTGAAACCACAGTTTTATTTATTCAGCTCTACTTCTATCATTGAGGTAATTAAGTTTCATTGTGTCTGGCCTGACATCTTTCTTAGAATATCCAAGGATGGCAGCATTTCGAAGTAGGCCTACCAAAGACATTCATCCACAAAGCCATGTACGTGCCCAAAAAGTGTTTTCCCGGGGGAAATCTCTATTCCCTCCTTGGAAAATTTCACTGAGTTGAAATAACCTTGAGGCCAAATTGCTGGTCTAAGGAAAAATTATAAAGTGTGTGGAGAGAGCCCAACATCTGGTGAGGACCTACTATTTGCCTATTGTTTTATCTACATTACTTCATTTAATTCTGTAAACCAAAAAGTATCCGAGACACATCTCAATCAATTTAAAAGTTTATTTTGCCAAGGCTAAGGACATGCCCATGACACAGCCTCGGGAGGTCCTGATGACATGTGCCCAGGGTGGTTGGGCTACAGCTTGATTTTACACATTTTAGGGAGACATAAGAAATCAATCAGTACATATAAGATGTAAATTGATTCAGTCCAGAAAGGTGGGACAACTCGAAAGATGGCGGTGGGCTCCAGGTCATAGATGGATTCAAAGATTTTCCAAATGTCAACTGATTAAAAGAGTTCATCTAAAGATCTGGAATCCATAGAAAGGAGTGTCTGGGTTAAGATAAGTGGTTGTGGAGACCTAGGTTCTTTTTTTTTTTTTTTTTTTTTTTTTGAGATAGAGTCTCGCTCTGTCGCCCAGGCTGGAGTGCAGTGGCGCGATCTCGGCTCACTGCAAGCTCCGCCTCCCGGGTTCACGCCATTCTCCTGCCTCAGCCTCCCGAGTAGCTGGGACTACAGGTGCCCACCACCACGCCCCGCTAATTTTTTGTATTTTTAGTAGAGACAGTGTTTCACCATGTTAGCCAGGATGGTCTTGATCTCCTGACCTTGTGATCCGCCCATCTCGGCCTCCCAAAGTGCTGGGATTGCAGGCGTAAGCCACCACGCCTGGTGGACCTAGGTTCTTATTATATAGATAAAGCTTCCTGGTAGCAGGCTTCAGAGAGAATAGATTGTGTAAGTGTTTCTTATCAGACTTAAAAAGATGCCAGACTCAAGTAATTCTCTACTGGATGGAGGAAAAGACCTGGAAAGGGAAAGGAGTTCTCTACAGAATGTAGACTTTCCCCATAACAGCTTTGCAGGGCATTTCAAAACATGTCCAAGAGGCCGGGCACGGTGGCTTACGCCTGTAGTTCCAGCACTTTGGGAGGCTGAGGCGGGCAGATCAACTGAGGTCAGGAGTTCTAGACTGAGCAACATGGTGAAACCCTATCTCTACTAAAAATACAAAATTTAGCTGGGTGTGGTGGTGCATGCCTGTAGTCCCAGCTACTCAGGAGGCGGAGGCAGAAGAATCGCTTGAACCTGGGAGGTGGAGGTTGTAGTGAGCCTAGTTTGAGCCACTGCAATCCAGCCTGGGTGACAGAGCGAGACTCCATCTCAAGAACAAACAAACAAAATATGTCAAAGAAATATATTTTAGGATAAAATACTTGGACTTCTTTCAAGGCCTGCTATCTGTCATGTGATGCTATATTAAAGTCAGGCTGGAATTTGCTGTCATTGCTACAAGACGTCTTAAGATCTCTGTTTTGGTGTTAATGCTGGTCAGCTATGCCTGGATCCCAAAGGGAGGAGGGTATAATGAGGCATGTCCAGCTCCCTCTTCCCATCATGGCCTGCACTAGTTTTTCAGGTTAATTAAGAAAGCCTTTGGCTAAGAGGAGGGGTGTATTCAATTGGTCGGTCGGTGGGGGGGGGGGGCGCTTAGAATTTTATTTTAGGCTTACATTCCTCACAAAACTTCTAGGTATATTTGCATTCTTATTATCTTCATTTTTCCAGATAAGAAAGCTGCAGCTGTATTTTTCCAAAAATATTTAACCTGTGTCGAATCATGAATAAATAATCAGGCAAATCAAATTTGAGGAACATTCTGCAAAACAACTTTTCAAAACAACTGTTAAAAACAACTCTTCAACACTGTCAATGTCTTGAAAGACAAAATAGGAGAACTATTCTAGATTAAAAGAGATGAAAGACAAATGATAAATCAAAAGCAATACGTGATCCCTGTTGTCTTCCTGACTGAAATCAACAATCAGGAACATTGTTGGTACAAAAGGGAATTTTAAAACATGGTCTTAAATGTGATAATGATGTGTAGTTGTGTAAGAGAGTATTCTTGATATTATAAGCGACATGCTAAAGTCTTTAAAAGTGAAGTGTCTTAATGTCTGCAACTTACTATCAAATGTTGCAGGGGTGTGTGTGTATGCACACACATGGAGAGAGAGAGAAAGAGAGACAGAGGGGAAAAGTAAATGTGGCAAAATGTTAACAGATGTTGAATTAGCTAGGCACAGTGGTTTGAGCCTGTAGTCCCACCTACTCGGGAGGCTGAGGCGGGAGAATTTCCTGAGCCCAGGAGTTCAAGGCTACATGAACTATAATTGTGTCACTAAACTTCAGCCTGGGCAACATAGACAGACTATCTCTTAAAAAAATAAAAAAGGTAAAACAAATTGATGAATCTCTGTAACGTGTATATAGGGTGTTCTTTGTATTGTTCGATTTTTCTTCAGGCTTGAAATTTCTCCAAATAAAAAGTTGGGGAAATCCGAAAGGATGCTGAGTTGCAGAGAGGTAAAATAATGATAGCAAAGTTGAGATTCAAACCGAGGTGTTTCTGCTTTAGCTTTGGTTCCAACTCCCTGCACATAAGTTACCGCTCATCTGGCTGGGAAAATGAGAGGTCACTCTTGAAAAACTGGCTCACAATACAAAGAAGTATATCCCACCTCACAAATGAGTCAGAGGTACAGTAAAGACTGTAGGAGTTTGGAAGAGGAGTCGATGCTGCCATGCCCTAAGGCCAGGAACTGCATCTCTTTCTTCAGGGCTCTATGTCCAGGTTCTTGGAAACAGTAGGCACTCAAATAAATTTATTGAATAAGTACTTCTTGTTAGTATTGGCCATCCTATGGATTGTGACTTTTGAATTAGACACTTAAAGATGAGTTGGATTTTGATTACTGAAAAGAAGGGAAGACTATCCAGGTAAATAAATGGCATGCGAAAAACAATGCAGGGCAGGGAAGAAAAGTGGGGAGTGAGGGGTGGGGGAAAAGCTGGATAAACTGATAAAATTATTTAATAGCTTATCCTTAGGTCTCATCACTTGCATAGACTGGATGATGGTTTTAGAGATATATTATTTTGTGTTCTTTTTCTTCTTCTTCAACATATTGTTCTTACTGCTTCCCCTGCCCCACACCCATTTTGGATTAGGAGAAGGAATATTGCTTATTGCAAGGGTCAGCCTGGGTTTTAGCCTTAAAACGTCCCAAAGAAAAATATCTGGGCACATTCACTCTGAGGTGCAGAGCTAGAAGAAAGCTTTTCAGGATGCCAAGAGTATTTCATTTGACAGCACGTATTCGCTTTCATTCAAGATGAACCCTTAGCTAAATCTCGTTATTTTGCTATTTCTCATCCATGAAGAAGCCACTTGAGGTGCCCAAAGAACCCTAGCATGCCAACTGTTAGCATGGCTGGTGTGTGAGATCGCCAGCACTATGTACTCTGCAGAAATGTCATCTCAAATGCATCATTTTGCTAAGTAAGTGCCCCTGCTCAGTGCCAACACTAGTTTGTCTTCTGAATAGGCATGCTTCCTAGAAATTACCCTTTAGCTGACCCCACAGCACAACACACGTTACATGTTTAGTGATGTCACTCCCATTCCCTGGTTGCAGACAAGAGATGCCAGAAAAGAGGAGGGAGTTTAGCATTGAGGGAAATAGAAAGTCTCTCATCAGAGGCTCAATGCCAGATACACACATTTCAGGGCTCAGCCCACTGAACATGCAGACATACATGGAATCCACGGTGAGAGTATGGAGAATCCAAGTGGAATGTGGGACCAGAAAGAGGCGGGAAGATCAGAGTTATGTGTAATAAAAGAGCTTTAATAAGTTGCAAGAAAAATTTTGGGTTTCACGTAAAGGAGGATTTTGAAAAGATTAGAACTATTGGAGCTCGGGAATTCCTATAGAATGTTGTGAAATTCCTTCTTTAACTACTATGGATTCCTTTCTGAGATGGATTGAGTTTGTACTGTCTTGTCTGAAACACAGGGTTAATTCAGAAGTCTACTTAAGACACTATTAACATTTATGCAGTAGCCAGATATGTGTGACTGCTTCATATCATTAAAGAATAGAGTAGTTTTGCCAAAAAAAAAAGGTACCACTATATTAACTTTCTTTGGTTTTCCCTAGACTTAACAGGTGGATTTTTGGGTTTGCTGAAGAAGAAAAAGAAGGAGAAGGAGAAGGAGAAGAAGAAGAGAAGTGTGATTAACAAGAAAAAAACTTATTTGGGGGCTATGAACACCTTGAATATTTAACAGAATATCAGCTACTCATCTGTAACCATTCACTACATAGCTAAACTTTTAGTAATAATGTAGGTATTCTCTGGCCAAGAGAAAGATAGGATGTGTGTGTGTGTGTGTGTGTGTGTGTGTGTGTGTGTGTGTGTGTGTGTTTAACAGAAGAAAATGGAAAGAAAATAAAATAAAGGATATTTTGGAGTCAGTGAGTAAATATTTACTTTTAGAGTATAGCATGTTTTAATGGAATATGATGTGTAGGACTGGAGGAAAAATAACAAATATATTTACTTATAATTACTTATTATTTTTACAAACTCTACTTACTAAAAATTATTTGAGACAGCTCACATTTATCCAACAAACACTGCTGAACACCTCATATATCCTTTGCCTAAATTTGTTGAGAGTAAGTACAGAGCACCACATGAGTCAGAATTCATAATGGCATGTACAAGGAATGTGATCACTAGTAGGAGGCAATTCTCTATGGACTTCCTAAGTTTCTGTATGTCTTGTGATAAGAGGTAGAGAATGCCTTTGTTATAGATTATCTTTTCAAGGATATTTGCATTATTGACTAGCCTTGGGGGAGAAAAAGGGAGAGACATAAAGACAGAAAGAATATTTCCCTCAAGAGCAATAGGCCAGCATGCTTACTGCCTATTATAAAGTATTTGAGTTCCCTAAGCTCAGGATTTTTTCCTTTTAAACAAAACCCACAGTGGCTTGGTTTTCTTCAAGTTACCATGTGGGAACTGGGGCTTGGGGAATGGGTGCAATTGCTGTAATAAGTAGTCCCATAACTGTAAGTAATAAATAGTTCTACATCTCTGGCCCAGGGGTCTTGTAGCTTCATCCAACAGCCATAAAAATGTGTAAGTAATTTCTTAGTTTGTATGTGGGGTAAACTTCCAGACCCTTAACAAATTTTGTTATTTGCTTTGAGTATTTGCATTTTATTCAGACAAATACTTGAGCCAAACTTGTACTTTCTCAAGGAAAAATATACACTATCATATTTAATTTTCTTGTTAAATTTAAACTCAAAAACCTCCCCAGGGGAAAATGAGTAAAGGATGTTGTAAAAGAAAGAAGAGTCAAAATGGAATGATGAGAGTACCAAAAATAGGCTGGGTTTAGTGGCTCATGCCTGTAATCTGAGCACTTTGGGAGACCACGGTGGAAGAGTCGCTTGAGGCCAGGAGTTCAAGACCAGCATAAGCAACATAGCAAGACCCCATCTCTATTAAAAAAAAAAAAAGTAAACAAATAGACAAACAAAAAATACCAAAAATAATGAAAAACCAAAAAAACAGGTCAAGAAAAGAGTAGAGCACAGGCATTAAACTTTTAAAAATGTCTTTAGACAAATGTTGTTTAAAAATATTTTAGATTCATCCAGTGGTTATGCTAATAGACATACTTTTGCTGAAAATATGGACAAGGGCTAGTTTATAGGGAGAGAGGTGGTTGACTATTCTTCACTAATTTTTAAATGGCAAAGTTTTATTACAGTTAAAGAATGGAAACAGACAGCTGTGAATAATTCATTTAAAATGTAAGCTGATGAAAGAAGGAGACAGACATTTTTCTAGTGTTCAAATTACGCGGTGCTTGTCCTAAATACTGCTGAATTCACCACTTGGAAGGGAAGACAAATCTTATTTGGAACGTGCCATTATTTAGTATGTAATTTCTTAATATCTCTTAATTATAAAGGTGTCAGTGAAAACCACAAACTCAGTTATTTAAATCTTTGATGCTTTTGAAAATTCAGCTATCTTCATCTATTAGACAAAACAGATTTATTTATAAGATTCTATTAATTACATTTTAATAAAAATGAAGATGAAATAAAGTGGAACAAACTGAAAAAGAAATCATAGTGTTAGTGAATAATTTTTAACTACACTAAATATCAAATAAACACAATGCACCATGGCTGGTTAAAAAGTACTACATACAGTGATTTTTTAAAAAATCATGATATAAAGAAGGTAGCTTCCACTTAGAAGAAAAGCATCACTGATTTCTCAATCAACTGAGAACAGCCATAGGGATAATCACAGGCCACTCTTGTCATTAAACATGAACTCAAAATCCATCCAAATCAAGTAATCAGTCTGATGATTAAAAAGTAGAAAATGCCTTATAGAGAAATATAAAATGATCTGAGAATATCATATGTGATGAAGGAAGTAATAACACATCCAAAGTTTCTTACCCAAAACCTTTGAGCAGCATTCAGAATGGTAGGACAATCTGATTTTCAATTTCATACATTTATGGTTGCTAGCATCTTTCATCTGGAATTCTTAGTTATCTCTTCAGAGTTGAATGAATCAAATCAGATTAATCAGCATTAACTGAGCATGTAAGGTACTGTATTTCCTTGCTAGGGGCACAAAAAGGTGAAGGCTGAAAAGAAAAAGAAGAAACCAGTAAGCTTCCAATCTATTAGGGAAGTAAGGCTAAAAATAATAATAAAAAAAGTAGATAACAGGTCAAGTGAACACTGGAAAAAACTTCCACCAGATAGGATGTGACTCATTGCCAAAAGAATTTTGCAAACAGTAATTGTTGGAATTCAAAGAGGAGAAACTACACTAGACTAGGGTGGTCTGAAAGGGCATCAAGAGCCAAATGGGATTTGATCTGGGATTGAAGGATGGTGAAATCTAGCTGAGTAAAGAATGCGAAGATCAAGACAGAGGTTGGCAAACTACTGCTTGTGGGCCAAATTGGGTCTGCAGATTGTTTTTCTATATCTGCAGAACCAAAAGTGGATTGTACATTTTTAAATAGTTAAAAAAACAAAGAATAATATTTCATAGCACTGAGAAGTACATGAAATATAAATTTTAGTGTCCATAAAAAAGTTTTATTGGAACACAGACACTGCCCATTGTTTATTTCTATGGCTGCTTTCATACTACAATGGCAGTGTTGAATAGTTGTGACAGAGACCAAATGGCTTGCAAAGCCTAATATTTACTTGGCTCTTTGCTGACAAAGCTTGCCAACTGTTGGTGTAAGAGAATAACGTGCAATGATTAAGGAGACAATGTTGGCAGGCCTATAAATGTATCAAGAGGCCACTGAAAGTTTTGACTATAGGAGGAAGCCCATTCACAAATTGTTTCTGCTTCCTATACACATCACCTGGGCTTGCAAATGTTTGTTAAACCAACAAATGAACCAGGATTTTCAGATTCCTAAGTCACTTGTTGCTTTATATCTGTTGCTCTTGAAAAGAATGAATGGCTTTTCCACAGGGGACATTCCCCTTTACGTTTGTCTGTTCCACCTTCACGCAGGTGTGCTGGGAGCAGCTTGATACATATTGACATTGTTGGGCACAATAACAATACCTTGTGTTTCAGGGGTTGTGTGAGAATGTATTCAGGTGACTTCTTTTTGGACCTTTTTTCTTTGCATTGGATGATGTTTTTCTTCTACCTTTTCTACAATAGTTCAGAAATAGATACAAACAGGAGGGTTCGGGGAGATTCCTGGAAGGGGATGGTATTGACACGAAGAATTAGCAAAAATCATAGCTCTCTCCAGAGGGTTTGTGAGGGCTAGACCATTAGAGGAAAAAAATGGTTCAGGCAAAATAAACTGCAGCAGAACCCCAACTGTTAGGCCCTCTCCCCTGGGTGTTCCCATCAGTCCTGCATGGATGCATTTCAAATACCAACTTTCCATTCTAATCTTTTAGGGCAGCATGTAACCAGGCCTCACTGAGAGGAGAAATCCAAGAAGAGTGTAGAGAAACACACATGAGAGGAACCTCACAATAAAAAGGAAACAAACTCTGGGAAACATGGTTAAGAAATATCAGACTCAATTAATAATGGAGGCTTCAACAGCCTTGGAGAGATCCAATACAAACTAAATTCAAACTATATGCCAGTGCTTCTAGCCATATTTACTTTTTTTTTCTTTTTTTTTTTTTGAGATGAAGTCTAGCTCTGTCACTCAGGCTGGAGTGCAGGGGCACGATGTTGGCTCACTGCAATCTCTGCCTCCCAGGTTCAAGCAATTCTTTTGCCTCAGCCTCCCAAGTAGCTGAGACTACAGGTGTGCGCCACCACACCCGACTAATTTTTGTATTTTTAGTAGAGACGGGGCTTCACCATGTTGGCCAGGCTGGTCTTGAACTCCTGACCTCAGGTGATATGCCTGCCTGGGCCTCCCAAAGTTCTGGGATTATAGACGTGAGACACAGTGCCCAGTCCATATTTACTTTTAATTGATTATGTTTTTTTTTTTAAAAAAAAACTTAGAGGAAAACTCTTTAAGAAAAACAAATCAGGCTAAAAACTACATTCTTCTAGGTAATGAAAAGTAGGCAAACAACATTAGTTTTGGATTTTTTAAAAATTAAAAACAGCTTTTCTTAATTGGTTCATTTGAAAAAAAATGGAAACTTCCAATAGGGAAAGGTAGAGCTGAGATGAAGTTAAGGGAGAATGTTACTGAATGGGAAAATATATAATATTTTAAAAATGCAATTTTAAATCATGCGTAACTTGTCTTGGAGTTCATCCCAGATAAGTATCAGTATAGTCAGGGATGTTGACGAATTCTGGATTAGAAGAACTGTGCAAAGGTTTGAAATAGCAGTAAGCTCAAGTCTTGGGAATGCAAACTGGATGACATTTTGGAATGTCCTACTATCGAAAAGGAGAGAAATGAAGCTTAACCCCATATGTCAGTGTATTCTCATAAACAGCTACCTAAAAGGGCATAGCCAAGATGCAGTTAAACATAGCTACAGACACACGTGTGGACCTGGACAGCTAGATGCCTGCTTTAGGATATGAAAAATTTCCTAGGTCACAATTATAACAGTGCAATGATTTCTAGAAAAAGAAGATCATTTCCTATCCTGGCTCAGAATGTTAAAAAAAATGACTTTCCCATAACATTTTCTAATGGATCTTCCAGTCACAGTCTCCTATGGAGGCATAATTTATGTAGTGGATGACAAAGAGTTTTATGATATCTGGAATTCATTTAAAATCTTTAGATTGGAAAAATTGAGATCCAATTAAAATCTTAATAAATGACTCTGTGTTGCATATAAATATATTAAATTAATATGTGTGCAGGCTGAAATTGGAAAAGTTATGAGAGTCAGCATGTTAATTCTATTTCTATCAGGGAACTAACTGTATGTTATAACTCTGAGAATTATTGGGTAATGGGGCTGTTTACAATGAGGCAAAACTGAATTTAAATAGCAAATATTCACCCATGACTTGTCATAACTCATGAAGTCTCCACCTTGAGGCATGGTGAAATCTCACTAGTGAAAGGCCTCTGAGGAGAGGGAAGGTGGACCAGGAAGCCAAGAAGAGCCCTAGGGAGGCTGATGTAGTGAAAGGGCCAGGTCCAAGGATCTCTCCATGAAAGGAAGCAAAGGCTGGCAGGCTGCTCTGTGGCACCCCCACGTAGTAGGTGAGATGCAGCAGTGAGAATCTTTGATTGGAAGTCATTCTCATGCACAGAAGGTGGTAACAGCTTGGTTGGTGAGAGACTGATGAGAAGTGCTGGGTCTTTGTTAAGGTATGACCCAGGGGCTGAGGGTTGAAAAATACAGGGTGAGTGTATGTATCCGGTACACTCAGATTGATAGAGTGTACCTATCCTCTGCATACTCACATATTTACCCTAGGTTTTGTATCCTAGTCTGTATCCCGGGGAGGATTCATACTTACCCTAAGTTTTCCTATGGCTACACTAAGACAACAGATGAAATGTGAAGAGTGACAAATGACAGAAATTGGGCTTCTAACATACTGGACAGCTGAATGTAGCAGTTAAGATGGCAAACCCACAAGTCCCTAGATTCAAACCCCTGTTCCCCTAGTTACCAGCTGGGGATGATAACATCCATGTGGATGTTGTGAGGATCAAATGAGATACTTTCTTTAATTGCAGGATGCTCCATTTTGTTATTATTATTTTTGGAAATAGAAACTCTTGGCTTTAAGTCACATAATGTTAGAGCTGGAAAATTATGCTACACCTATGGATTTGACTAAGCTGTTCCTGTAGTTTGGCCAGTTTTAAAACAAAAAAATCCTGGCAACACACTCCTATCCTCCCAGCCCCAACAAATCTGGCTATCTCCATTCCCTGGTAGGTTCAAAACCTGTTTTTATTTCCATCCAAAAGCTTCCCCCCCACCCCCAGACATCGAGTGGTCCATCTAAAACAGTGATTGTTAATACTGTTTTGTAAATCTTCCAGTCCAGATTTATTCTAGAACTTGAGTTTGTTTTTAGATTGTTATAAATGTGCCTTTATTTCTAGCTGTTTGACATAACTTTTGGATGTTAATAAAAAAAATAACACCTTGGGAAGTATGGACATGGGTGGATAGAAATGTAATTGAGAAAGCCATATCCAAGTAGATTGAGGGAATTAGTAAAGGCCTCATCACGGCATACCCAAGTCATAACATGTTAAAAGTTTGCTCCGTTGGTGTTCATCCTCCTGAGACACCCAAGGCTGATGGCAATTATCCTATTCATCTTCTCCCACAAGTCTGTCTTTAGCGGAAGATTTTTTTCTTTACATAAAGAGCTATCATATAAAAAGTGCTCATAGTGCCAGAAATTGAGGTAAATGCAATTTGCAAACATTATTATCTCATTTAATTCTCTTGAGGATAGATAATATTAGATAAGGTAAGGATTAAAGAGAGGTTAAGAAACTTGATCAAGGACACCCAGCAGGGAAGTACTTAGCAGGGCTGTTCACTAGGGCCTGCTGTTTCTCTTTCCAGATGTACAGACTTTCTAGAGAGAACGATGTGCTCTGCCCACCCTCACCCCTTTGCTCTGCTGTTCTGCCAGGGACATGCAGGAGACGGAGGCCTTCCTCTTAACCGCAAGAGGCCTTCCTTTTTTACTAATATTCCTCAGCACAGACCCTTTACGGGTGTCGGGCTGGGGGACGGTCAGGTGTTTCTCTTTCTCCTTCCTGAGATCTTTGCTTCCAATTTGGCTAAGGCCCTTTCCATGTTATAGTATCATGTATCTCTTATTCTTGTCTTTCTCACTTAACTGTGAGCCCACCTTGATGTTAGATATTCTGAAAGTCATTCTCCTATCCCTGAAAGGTCTTCAATAAAGATTTTTCCTCCACTTAGTGGAAGGTGAATAAAGTTTATTCTTCCATTTAGTAGTGGCTCAATAAAAAAGTTTGTGGAATCAATCAAGGGATGAGTAAATGAATGAAATACTGAATTTTCCTGGCCTATGAAGGACCATGAGCTAAAGCAGCGGTTTAAAGTATATAGTCCCAAACAAAGAATTCTTACTAAAAACACACCGGATCTGTAAGGCAGAGGAGGGAGGGGCGGGAGGAAGAAGTCGAAGAGCAGGGTGTGGTATTCCAGGGAGACTGAAGACAGGAGCTTCCCATGGGACAGGCAGTTCATCCACAGGCTCAGCTTCTGCAACCTCCTTCCTGTGGTTACTCCTGCTCTCTAAGAATTCTGCATGTTCTCATCAAGAAAATACCAAATTCCTTGAAAGCCTGGATTCTGCCTTGTGGTTTGTGAGCCAATCTCATGACACCACCAGCCCACAGTGCTTTTCCTGATTCCATGGAGGCAAACTAGACGGAGCTTCTAGCAAGTGAAACTTCTTTTGGGTAGATATTTGGGGGCCGCTTTTAAAATTTTTCTGACAGACCAAGTGGTAAAAATCTGTGTGTGTACACGGAATGCTCTCTCCCTTCTGCAATGCGTTTACTCTCCTTGTAGAAATAACTGCTTCTCTTAGCCGGCTCTTGCTTGGAGCAGGGAAGAGCAAAGTCCTATCATGTACACATACACAGTTTATAAACATATACTGTACAATCAACATGTACATATATAATACAATATACACATGTGTGCATCCTGTATCTGTATACTGTATATCATGCATATACAATTTCATAAACAAGCTTGTACCAGGAAAAGGCAATAATTTATATATTATACACACATACATGTATATGTAAAATATGTACACACACACAAAATATACCATACAGAGTGTAAGGTTCATGACGTCTTTCTTTCGTTGATATTTGTGCTCACTTATTAGCGGTAAATTATTAATTTTAGATAAGCCCATCACAGAGTGAAGGCTCAATCCTTGAACAGCCCAGGGAGAACTTCGTTGCTACTTTTGAAAAGCCCTTTGATGTGCCCAAAGTCTCCAGAAGGGCGATGCCAAACCCACTCAACTTTGACAAAGTGTGAAACGTCTGTAAAAAGGAGTTCTCTGATGTGTGAGAGGAGACGGAACCGAGAAGAAAAGGCCGTACTCTGCCCCCCGCGGGACCCAGGTCCCCGCCTGCTGCAGAGCGCACTCTGCGCACGTCGAGCCGCGAAAGGTTCACAGAAGAAAACAAGAGAAAGAAGTAGCAGGCACTGAGGAGCCGCCGGCGCCGGCGCCCAGGACGGCACGTGACCCGGGGGCGGGGCCGCGCGGGCCGCGGGCCAGTGGATGGGGACGGGGGCGGGGCCGCGGCTCGGGGGGCGGGGTCTGTGGCGGCGCAGCTTACACCGCGGTCCCCTTATTTGGATCTGCGGGAATGTGGGCTGGAGAGGTCCTGCCGTGGTACCAGCCTCCAGCCTGCCCCCAGGACTGCCCCTGACCCAGGCGCGCCCGCTGCTCGGTGGCAGGAGGGCCGGCGGAGCGCCATGGCCTGCATCCTGAAGGTAACGACTTGGATCTGTGGCTCGGACGCGTGGTTGGCCAGCCCCTTGCTGCTCAGAGGCACGGAGTCAGCCGCGGTCCCACCGCATCCTCATCTCAGTTGTCTTTTCCTGGCATTGATTTTCTTTTTGTTCCTTTGGCAAATGCATATGGAGGGAGATTCTGAAACATGCAGCTGGCACAGCTTCTTTTCCCACCATTCCTGCCTCCTGCTCGCGCCTGCATTGAAGGAGCTGCAGACTGTTGGCTCCAGGGGAGAGCAGGGCTGTGTGCCGAATAATGGGGATGGTAGGGAGAGGAGGGGTGTTCCCGCGGGTCCCGCGGCTCTGTGGAGCCTGAGGCCTTTCAGGGGCCACGGGGAGGGGTGGAGTGGCTAGGCGTGAGTTGCTGGTGGTGAGGGGCATAGCGCTTTAAATGGAGGGAAGAGTGAGCGGAGGTGGGCTCTACTGTGCATTTGATCATGTGAAGACAGAAACTTCTGAGTTTACAGGTAGTCCCTTAGGAATGAGTTTTCTATGAGATCTGCTAGCTCTGTTTGCCCTTAGCTCTACTTTGGAAAAGTTCACACGAGGATGTATATGTTAGTAGAGAACCTCTCACTCTCTTTATGCTCATAAATTTGAATAGACAAAATGATTTTATGCTCTGCCAGAGTGCGCTCAGCCATCCCTTCTTTGTTGAGTTTTCTTTCTCCAAGACCGGATTCTTAGCCTCACCTGAGCATCTTTCTGGGTTCACAGACTTGTGGCCTCAGGTGGGAGAACTTGGTGTGAGGGCCTCACTTAAAAAGAACTTTCCATCCCACTGGTAGAGGCCTCCCCTGCCCTCGTTTTTTTTTTTGCACTACCTTTCTACAAGAACATAACCTGGATGCATGAATCAAAAACATGAACAGCATGAAAGTTTCCTGGGCCTTGACTGGAGAATGCAGAGACCTAGTTGTCCAAGCCTGGGGGAACTGTGTGACGATGGAAAATACCAGGAAACAATTCGTTGTTGTTGTGTTATTGTGAAGTAGCATTTATTTCTCTATAAGATGATATTAAGTCATCTACTGTGTTCTGGTTACCTGAATCGTCTTCTAACGTGCCTGGTGTCAATGATGAAAATAAGAGACTAACCTCGTAGAAGTTGTTTCCCCTTCTTTGCGTAAAGGAGATCAGAAGTTTCCTGTGAGCTTTCTGAACTTCCTCTTTTTGTTTCAGAACATTTTCCAGGACATGAGGAAATAATACATCAGTATTACAGTATGGGGTATTTGACCGGGAGGCTCTTAGCACAAGGACTGAAATATGAATATGAGTCATCTTTACTATTCATTGTGTTATTTGCTGAAAGGGACATTGAGGAGCATGATATTTATTGCTGGCCATCTTTTTCTGTTTTGGTTTCTCCCCTGCCTTGTCCTATACATGTGGTAAACATCTTTAATGCACATCCCAAACTACACATGAATCTGGTCCAATCTTTCTCTTCTAGCACTTCACACTGCTTTCAGACATTTGGGACATATCTGTCCACCTTATCTTCCCTCCACTGAAACTAATGTGGGCTTTAGACTCAGAAAGATATGTCTGGATGCTGGCTCTGCCCACTGCTACCTCTGTGATGTTGGACAAGTTACTTAAATGTCTCTGGGCCTTAGTTTCTTCAATATAAGATCAAAGTAGTGGCACCTGCTTCACAAGGTTGCTGTGGGAATGAAATAAGATAGGGTATGAAAAATACTTTGTGGCACAGGCATTTAATATGTGCCATTTTTTTCCTCTAACATATAATAATAAGTGCAGTTTGGTTGATCCTTACTATATCCTCAGTCTGTTTCTTATAACTATTATTTTTTATAAAATACAAAATGTTTTTTATTCTTTAATCTTTACATAAAACCCTGAAAGATAAGTATCATTGTTTTAAACCCCATTTTACAGATGAGAAAGTTGACGCTCCCTAGTTTAAGAGATTTGCCCAAGGCCACACAGGGTTAATGACAGAGTGATCCTGGATTTAGACCCAGATATGTCAACCTTCCATATACTTTACTGCTGTTCCAGTACTTTCCCAGGTGATGACTTTTAAGATGGCCTAATACCATTCAGTTCCAACCACCTTTGAGCACCTTTGAGCAATCCCCTTCTCTGGTCATGGTCTAGACAGTCTGGGCTGGATCTTTTTTCTTTGTTGTCTTTGAAAAGCTACACATGGAGCAGTGCAGAATACAGGTTTCAGTCCAGAGACCTGAGTTCAGTGCAAGCCTGGCTTCTTGCATATGATTTTAGACAGCTGCTGCAACCTGGAGCCTCAGTTTTCCCTTGTTGAAGTGTTCATAGAATTATAACCATTGCGTTACAGGGTTTTTATGAGGATAAAACTATGGACTTTTTTTTTTTTAATGAAATATTTTCTGCCATTTGCTGACCCTGGACTTGGTGTTGGCATATGTAGAAAAGGAAAGATTTTCCTCTGCCCTCTTAGTTTCTGTGCCTGGTCCTGATAGCTAAACTGACAAAAGGCATATTAACAGAGGAAAAACATACACATTTTATTTGATGTTAATGTTTTTATGTGTACCACAGAGGGCTTCCTATATAAGAAATAAAGACCCGAAGAAGGGGAGAGGCCTGAGAGTTTATAAAGCATTTTAATAGAGAAGGATAAATTGTGGAAATGTGACAAGACAAAGGAAAAAGGGGGTTTGGGCTGGGGCAGTCGATTGTGAGAAAGTGGGAAATGTATGGGGAAAACTAATGGAAAATAGGTGAGTGTTTTTACTAGAGATTTATTTTGGTGTTGACTCTCCATCTTTGATCATAAGAATGTTCTCCTCTTCCTGGCACAGGGAAGGGACATTTCTCATGGGAAATTTTATGCCTTGCTTTTAGGTAGAAATGGGGAGGTCAGAAAGCCCTTCCTGTATCTGCTTTTTCTCAATTGCCTTTAGCTCAAAATAATCAATATGCCAAAGTGATATATTTTGGGGTAGCCTGTTCTGATTCCTTTTACATCACAAGATGCATAAACCATTGACCCCATTCTCAAATGGCTTATGGTTTAGTAAGGATGATAGAAAAGTAAATGAGTGCTTAGGTTACAATGTGAAGAATAAAACTACATAGGTCCATGGAGGGCATAGTAGAAGCATGGAAGGAGAGAGCAATTACCCCTGTCATTGGGTAGTTCAGACAGGCTTCCCACTGATGATATTGGAGTTGTGTTTTGAAGACTAAATAGGATTTACTATGACGGAGCTCGTGTTTTAGAAAGATAAGTTTTGAGGCAGTGCCAACTTTGTTCTGTGGGCTAAGACTTTAATCTTCTCAATGAATTTTGCAGTAGATTTTACTATCCATTTTTACAAATGAGAAAACTGAGATAGAGAGATATTGATTAAAGTATCATTATTGCCTACACAATAGTGACCCTCACTAAGAAGAGACCCCCATGCTGTGGCAGCTAATTTTGGTCTTTTAGGGGATATGGAACTATCCCCTCAAGGTGCTGTGCATGCTGAGGGCCCATTCTGCCAATGCATAGCGCTAGTTCTCGTAACAGAACGATGATCACTTCATAATCATTTAATTTAGGAATTCAGACTTCACATTGCCTGGACTTTAAAGCCAGAAATATGTGACTTTTAATTATGGCTCCACTCCTTATTGATTATAGAGCCATAACAAGTTTCTTGATTTCACTACCTCAGTTTCCAAAATGGGAATCATGCATTCCTCAATGGGTTATTCTAAAGGTTAAATGAGATAATCTGTATATTAGTTATATTGCAGGGGGAAAAAAGAAACTCTGAATCTTAGCAGGTTCATTTCTTGCCATGCTCCTGGTTAGGCAGCTCTCCTGTGTAGCTCTACCATTGAATAAAGAATCAACTCAAGGACCAGTCTCTTTATTATTATTATTTTTTTTTGAGACAGAGTCTCACTCTGTTGCCCAGGCTGGAGTGCAGTGGCGTGATCTTGGTTCGCTGCAACCTCTGCCTCCTGGATTCAAGCAATTCTCGTGCCTCAGCCTCCCAAATAGCTGGGACTACAGCTATGCACCCCTATGCCTGGCTAATTTTTTGTATTTTTAGTAGAGACGGGGTTTCACCATGTTGGCCAGGCTGGTATTGAACTCCTGGCCTCAAGTGATCTGTGTGCCTTGGCCTCCCAAAGTGCTGGGATTACAGGCATGAGCCATCGTGCCTGGCCTAGGACCAGTCTCTTTTCATTAAGCAGCTCTGATGTCTTCTTGGGCCCCAGAGCCCTTGTCAGATTCTCTGTTTTCAGCAGCTCCAGGAGACAGATTACAGGGAAGATCTCGTGGGGTTGTTTAAAAAGTCTCTCAAATTTGATAGACAGGAAAACTCTTTGCTTTAATTTGTATTTATTTGATCATTAGTGAAGTTAAGCTTTTAAATTTGTATTAGTCATTTGTCTTTCTTCTTTTATAAATTATAGATACTTTAAAATTTTATGCAAGAAAATCTATCCATATTTTCTTTTATGATTTCTACCCTTGGTCAGCAGGTACATTTTCAGCACAGTGTCTTGTACACTTTCATTTTTAAAAAATATAGGTGAATTGTATTAACTTTTATATTGGAAGTGGACATTGAGTGGACATGTAGACACAAGATCCTTGAGAATCATTTCTGCCTTCGAGAAGATTATGGTTTTGCCAGGTTGATGAGGCTTATGAACATGAAGCAGTTAGCTGATACGATAGATGCATGACTAAGCCACAATTACCTTCTCTCCAGTGACCTGTCCTCATATATTTATCTTGATTGATAGGTAATTAGATGAATGATGATACCAAGTTAGGAACTTGGCGTCTTCTCATTTCCTCTTCCTCCCCCTGCCCCAGATCTAATCCTTCTCCACAGTGCATCAGTTCTGTCTCAGGAAAACCTCTCAACTCTGCCCCTTACTTTCCATCCTTACTCCCCCTGCCTTGTTCAACTCCCACTTTAGAGTCACATCTGTGGTCAGGCCATCCCCTGCCTCAGCAGGCTTCCTCTGTGCTCCTGTGGTCTTAGTTCTTGTCCCTGTAGTAGCAGGTATTACCATGTACTGTCAATAAACTGCTTTCATGCCCAGCTCTTCTTTGACTATCAAATGTTAGGGAGCCGCGGCCTTCCAGTGTTTACTGAGCATCTGTAATTGAGTTCTGTTCTTACCCTAAGTGAGATTATAGACTCAGTGAGAAGGCAAATAATTAAACTAGTAATTAAAAGTATGCGAGGAGTTTGAAAATTACACCTCATGGTATGGGAGTATATGGGTGGGGTGTTGACGGTTACTGAACTGAATGTAAAAGGCAGAAAAGGCTTTGTTTTATTCAACTTGGTATTTCTAAGAACTA
The DNA here is from genome assembly GCF_000001405.40 of Homo sapiens. NCBI lineage: Eukaryota > Metazoa > Chordata > Mammalia > Primates > Hominidae > Homo > Homo sapiens. The sequence continues at coordinate 76,080,238 of NC_000001.11, forward strand.
GCTTGGCTCTCAGTAGGTGATCCTTAAGTGTTTGCTGAATGTATCAGTGGTGTTATTAATTTTTTTTTATGTCAGTTATAGACACAGGTCCAACCTGTCTTCTGAAAACAGCTGAGCATTTCAAGGATGTGGCATGGATTTTTTACTCTAATGTATAGCAGGCAGATTAGAGCTTGTTGATTAGTTTGCTCCTTAAATTTTTTCTTAGTATGTTTCTTGTAGGTAGGTCTGTTACCATTCCTCATATAAAATCTGGGGCCAATTTAAGATCTGGGGTTGGGGGGATGGGGAGATGAGAGAACTGGACTAGAAGGAGGGAAAAAGAGAAGTGTAGGCGTGGTTTAACTTTTGTCATGATCATTTTGGTTCCCCAGATTAACAGAAACAGATAAACCAAAAAAAAAAAAAAACAATCAAAAACCAAACACCCACAACCAAATGATTGTGTGGTTCTCAAACGATGAGGTCTCAAAGCATTTGAAAACAGTATGGCTTCACTGAGACTGGAAAGCCACAGGGACTTCACAGGTACACAGATGATAAATCTGAAACCGTAGGATAACCCTGGCAAGTAGACAAGTCACTTCATTTAATAAATCTGCTATGACATTTCTTATTGCTGCCCAGGAAATGCTGAATTCTCAGCAGCTGCCTGGCCTAATTTCCAGTCTTACAGTGACTGAGCAGATGCTTTTGCTACGTATATCAGCACATTGTGGGGAATGAGTGGCTTGGGTAAAAGTAGTGCTCTTTGGATGGATTGATAACAACAGCAACAATAGGTGCCATTTATTGAACAGCCAGAGTGCTCAGGCTGGCTTCTGTGCTAAGTAAACTTTTATTACAAATGAAGACACTGAAGTTCAGAAAACCTAAGTAAATTGTCCGATGTCCTGTGGTCAGTAAGTGATGGAGGTGGGGTTCACCCTGACTTCGTGTGGTTGTAAAGCAGGGGTGTTCAAACTTTTGGCTTCCTTGGGCCACATTGGAAGAAGAATTGTCTGGGCCACACATAAAATACACTAACACGAATGACAGCTGGTGAGCTAAAAAAAAAAAAAAAAAAAAGCAAATCGCAAAAGAAATCTCATAATGTTTTAAGAATGTTTACAAATTTGTGTTGGGCCACATTCAAAGCTGTCCTGCGCTGCGGGTTGGACAAGCTATAGAGCTTGTCTTTTACCTTCAGTGCCAATTTAGTAAATATTTATAGGGATTCTGAATTTATTTCACCATCTTCTACCCCAGACAATATCCAGTCTAGACAACTTCCTAATCTGGTGGCCTGATGGGGACCACTTTTAGCTGTGTCGTTTTTATTTGTTCCTTTAAGTTTCCTTTGTGACAGAAGAACTAGAGGAACTAGAGGGGCTGCAAAGACTGAGGAGATAAGAAGGCTTTAATTCTGTTTAATTCTGAATAGATCTTTGACCCTGGGCAAGTTATGTGAACCTATGTGTCCTTTTTGGGGGTGGGAGTGAGGGAGAGTTGGATTTACCCTGAACGCAAGCTTCAGGGCCCTTCCAAGGTTCTGGGAAGAGACACTAGCATTTTGGTATTTATAATTTTATATTCATTTTATCAAGGAATCCCACAAATCGTATACATTTCAGGCTCCCCAACATAGATCTGTCCCTTGGGTGGTGTTGGAGAACCAAAGAGATAATGCTTGTGAATGCACTTTGCAAAGCAGAGTGCACTGCATAGGCATGAAGTGGAAATGGCAAAAAACGTTATTAGTATTATTAGTACTGATAATAGCTGGAATCGAGGAAACCTTTGTTGAAGGACTAGTGGGAGAAAGAAGGGGTTTAGGTCTGAGGAAAACAGGGAAGCCTATTAAGCTTTCTAGTAAACGACTGAGCGAAGTTATGAAAGCTTCTCCCCAGGAGAAAAATTTCTGTTTGTAAGAATTTAACACACACTTATGCCTGAGGGCTGGGAGTTGAATGAGGTTCTTTTCTGTTTCCTGGCTTTAGGGAACAGTGGAGGAAGGCATTTTTCTAATTGGAGGGAGTAGATTTACAAGTGCTACCTGGATCCCATTACCAAAAGCTGCAGTTAGCTCCTGGTTATTAAAAGGCTCATTATTCAGTTTATGGATTATCCAGACCCCATTTGCCTCCAGCCATTCTGATGTACACGTTTTATGCCTTTTACTGCCAATTAGCGCCTTCACCTGAGCAGAGAAAAAAGGGGGTGCTAAACCCCAAATTTGTTAATTTCTCTCCTTGTTAGCAGCTCTGTAAAGGTTTGTCAGCAGGAGAGTGGGCCTAGGAAAAGGTTCAAATGAGGTGAAGGGATTATCTGCGCTTTCTCTATTGCTGTTTCTCTCAATTCAAAAATTGAGACTAGGCTCTGGTTCTGACTGTAAACTGATTTAAAGTCACTAAGTCAGAGACCTTGGCCTGGGATATTAAGAGACTTTAATAAACAGCAGCCCTAGGGTAGGTGACATTCTTTGAGAAGCCCCTTACCCCACACTCCATATCTCCAGGCCTCTCTTTCATTTCCTGTGTGATGTGGAGGTGTGGGGGCCAACAACATCTGGTACTTGAGAGAGTGAGGGAGAATTTACTCCTAAACAGATTTGTCGGAGGCCAGAAAAAGAGGATACTTGGGTCGTTTTCGTGTTTTTTGTTTTTTTTTTTAAAGGTGTGTTTCTCTGTGCACACATAGCAAATATAAATATACATGCACATTCATTCAATCTTATCTTAATATTTACTCAGATTTGAAAACTATCGCACGTAAAATCCTTTTCTGGAAGGGACTTCTCTCTGATTTCAAAGGCTATTTGGTTTCTTAGTGAATTTATTGGCTGTGCATTTACTACACACGAAGTAAAAACTTCTTTGGTCAGCTATGGAAACGATTTGCATCTTGCTCTGAGAAGATCATGATCACAAGGGAATTGGAAGTAAAATGTGTATATTCTGGGTTGGAAATGAGTCCTGATCTGGGATTAAAACCTGGTTGCAATACTCATCTTAGATTTTGAGAACTAGAATGAGCAAATGACTGTCGTGAGTTGATCCCTCTATTTGGGACTAGTGGGATATGCACTTGCGGTGAGCAGGGCTGTGATTCCTGGTGCTGTTTGCTGCGCGGCTGGCCGCGACAATGGGCTGGACTCGAAAGAAAGAGAAGTGAAAGTCTCTCTTTGTGAAGCGTTTGCCTTATCAGAGAAAGTGGTACCAGAGAAGAGACACGAGAACTGCTCTCTAGGGTGTGGGCAGTAAGAAGACTGTGGGGTGCAGAGGTCAGAGCTAGACCGACTCTGAGTCCCATCCTGGCTTTGTGATTAATATGAATAAAACAATAATACCCTTATTTCATGGTCTGTAGCAGTGCTGTCCAGCAGAAATATAATGTAGGCTTTTTATGCAATTGTACATTTCCTAAGAGCCATTATTTTAAAAAAGCAAAAAAGAAACATGTAGAATTTAATAATGTGTTTTATTTAACTTGGTATATCCAAAATACTTTCATTTCAAAATGTACTCAATATAAAAATTAATGAGATATTTATATCTTTTTTTTTACAAACAGTTCTTAAAACTCGGTGTACGTTTTACACTTATAGCATCTCTCAGTTTGAATTCTAAATTTTTCATCAGAAATATTTGATTTGTATTTTGATTTTACTAATTTAAAGTAAAAAAGTAGGTTCACTCGTCTAAGTTGAATTGTGCTTAGACCTTTTCCAGTAGCTGAATGGAACATTATTTTTAAAAGGTAAATTAATTAAAATGAAATGAAATTTTAAAAATGTGGTTTGTTGGTTATGCCAGCCATGTTTCAATGCTCAAAAGCCACATGTGGCTAGTGGCTACTGTATTGGACAGCATGCTCCTTCAGGTATTCATCTTCACTATCAGAAGAGACCACTAGACTCAGACAATGAGAGTAGCGTAAGGGGCTGCAGAAAGGATTGGCTGCTGGGTCAGGTTCAGATGGGGAGGACACACCTGTTGGCTGGACTCCTGGCAGCCAAAGGCTGGCGACTGATGAGCAAGTAATGAGTGCCTGACTCAGGGACACATCTGAGCGTTTGATGAGCCCTTGAAATTTTATCTGAAAATGCAGTCCTCAGTTTCACCATATCCTGAGCCTAATTTTACCCCAGATGTTGTGCAGCTGTGAGTTTTCCCAAGGGAGTGCTGCTTTGTGGTATGTGTGAGTTGGCTCTTTGGTCTCAGTGTGGTAGTGTGAACTCCTGGAGGCTTTGAGGGCAGACACAGACTTGAAGCACTTTTATTTGAGTTGTTTCATTGCTCCAGGAGGGTATTACACATATGGGAGCAATTTAAATGTCCAGAACAAACCACATGTCTTCTTTTAAGTCCAGAGAGCAAGGTGATTGCAGTTTCTTTGTTCGGTTTGCTTATTTTTTACTGCTTATTTCTGTGTGCATAAATTCAGCGACATGCTAATAGACATATGGCCAATGGTGCTTAGAGAAAATCTGTTTGTAAACCTGAATCTCTGTTTTGCCTACACATTTGCATTGTATTCCTGCCCTGCTCCAACTCGTTGTCCTAGACCATCCAGTGTTAGCATTTTTCTCATGAGATGAACATTTCGTTATAATAATGACAGTAGCTGTCATTTGCTGAGGGCTTTCTGCATGTCAGGCAGCCTACTAGGTAGTTTACAGATATTTATTGTCTCACAACAACCTTCAGCATGGGCAGGATTGGTTTCATTTGACAGATGACAAAACTCTGGCTTGACAACTTTACCAGCATGAGAGTGCTAGACTAGGGTCAGCAAACTACCTCCTCTAGAACAAGCCCGGCTTGCTGCCTATTTACATGCAGCTCCTGAGTAAGAATGGCTTTTGTGTTTTTAAATGGTTGAAAAAAAAATCAAAAGAAGAATAAGAGTTGACAGGTGAAAATGATATGAAATTCAAATTTTTCACCCATAAATAAAGTTTTATTGAAACACAGCCATGCTTATTCACCATATCTGCTTTCATGGCACAAAGGCAGATTTGAGAAGTTGAGATGGGTACTGTATGGTCTATAAGGCCCAAAATATTTACTACCCATCTCTTTACAGGTAAAGTTTGCCAACCCTTGTGCTAGGCTGTTGAGTTCTTTCAGTGGACTTTAAGAACCACAGTGAAGAGCAGTGTGGTTCTTTCATGTCTGGCCAGCACCAGGCCTCATGCCTCACACTCTGAATGGTGGGGATATTTACTGAGCATAGAGCTAAATACGGTACGTGGAAGAGGAGACTGAAGCTTAGAGAGGCCAAGTGACTGCCCAAAGTCTCATAGTGGGGCTGGAATTCAGACCCAAAGTCTGAACTCCTAACAGTTATGTTGACCTCAGTGCTGGAAAACTTGAACTACATCAGGACCACTGGAAGGGACGGTTGTACTAGAGTTTGCTAGGCCTTACCACTGTTTCTGATTCTTCCAGTCTGGGGTATGACTCAAGAATTTGTATCTCTAACAAGCCACCAGGTGATACTAGCACTGCACATCTGGGAACCGCACTTTGATTAGACCTACCATATGACATCCAGCTCAATGAACAGTTGTTGAGTTATGGAAATTGCAGAGCATGGATTCAAACCCATGCATTCCCCAAAAGAAATTGACTAGAAATTTAAATCAATTTAGCAATTTAAGTGCAGTGTACTCCAGTCAACTTTCTTGGCATTGTAATAATTTGATTTCTGCCTTCATTGTTTTCATTAAACTCAAGATTTCTTCTGATGCTATGAGGCTCAGGCCACTATGCACACTGAAAAACTTTTGCCTTTGCACGAGCTAGGGGCTGGGACTAAAATTAACCCCTCACTGGTGGCACCACTTGTGTCTGGAAAAATCAGTTTGTGATTATTTCTAAACCAAGGAATTTTGTTCCTGCTGATTGCATATCAAATCCTTTCTCACACTTTGGACCCCCCACTTCTTTGCTGGCTAACAGGGAGAATTAGGGGTGCAGGAAACAGCTTTCACAGTTAGATTATGCTGGCTTTGGTTACAAAAGTTAATGCATTAGTGCTAGAGTTCACTATCTTAATTACTGGGTTAGTCTCATATTTAAAAAGTCATTATTTAAGGATTAGGAATGGGGAAATCGAAGACTGGTGAAAGACGATAGTTTTTTTTCGTGTTGATGATTCATAGCCTTGTTTTAGACTTTTATAAGTAATAAAAAGCACTGGATACTGCTGATTTAGTCTCTTCCTAGAGGCTCATATTTGTGTAAAGAAGGAAATTACTCTGTAAGTTTTCCCTTTTGCTTTTTCCTGGCTCTCTCTTTCTGTGCCTTTGTCTATATTGAAGCCTATTTTTCTGATGTTCCTTCTTCATCTCCAGCCTTCATGCCCCTTCCCAATACAGGTGTTGCAGGGATCGTTAGCTAGAATGTCTAAGGAACCATACTATCAACCCAAGAGAAGGGAAGCTTGGTGAACTCTTAAAACCAAGTAGATGAAACCTTCTTGCAGAGTCCCGGGATATAAGCCATTCCATTAGGAATCCTTCCCTGGGAAATATGAATCATTGCTATGCCTGATATAAAATCACTGACATGGTGTTCATGACAGCTCACCATGTCATCCCTCACACCTTTGCCATGGCCTGGAGGCTGACTACACTACTACTTGTGTTTGTTCTTTTATTGCTGACCTTGTCAACCAGGTCATTCTTTCTCTCTTCCTATTTCTAAGAGAAAATTCATTCCCCAGAACCAGCAAGTACCTGAACCATTGCCACTTTATATGTGCTGCCTTATTTATTTTTCATCTCATTCTTTGGCTGGGAGTAAAAGAACCTTTCTCTCCTACCCTGGTTTATGTTGCCTGATTATCTGTTCGTCGGCTGGTTTGATGTTTATTTAATTCTGCCATGCTGCTTAACCTTAGAAGCCTGGTTTTGTGGCTTGATTTGAGCCAAGATTTCTGCATGTGACTTCTAACTTGTGGGTAAATTAAGGTTTGTTTTTCTCTCACCCATCTTTGACCCATGATATTAAAACGTTATTTGAAGAAAGGACATCCAACCCATATACCACTCTAGGTTTCTGTGTTAAAACTATTGAAATCCACTATACATTATTTCAGATTTATGTAGGTTAAAGGGATCTGGGTTTGACCTTTTCCCCACTTATCTTCAGCAAATAGAGACATGTGAAGAGGAAGTTTATTTATCAAGCACTTATAGAGAATCTAAGTACTGTGGGTAAGAGGAGGGGTAGAGAGAATGGAGATAAAAGATTCACTGAACATCTAATTTTTTTTCTAGGGGAATTTAGGGTGTGTATGAATAGTAATAATAATTGTAACAATAGCTTACATTTACTGAGTGCTTACCTGTACTGTGTTGGGGCTTTATATTTGTGGATTATCTCATTTTATCCCCACAGGCTCATGAGGTACATCCACCTAGGTGAGGAAATGAAGGCTTGGAGAGGCTAAGTCACCTCTCAAAGGTCATACTACTAGTAGAAGAGGGGTTATACTTTGAATCCAGGTGTTTGGCTGAAGTAAAATACATTTCCTAGAGTATATTACTCAGATCATACATAGATAAACCTATTTGTAACTTGCCCATGATAATAATAACTTTAATGATACAATAACATCAGCAAACATTTTCTGGACACTTACTATATGATAGGCACTGTATTTAATTCATACACATGATTTATTTTAAAGTTTAACAATCCTATTAGAAATCTATTTTATCTGAGGAAACTGAGGCTCGGAGAGAACTTAAGTTCTTTGTCTGAGGTCATGTGGCCAGTGAGTGGAACACCTGTGGGGTCATATTATTTGTATAATTGTTATTGTTATTAGCTAACAGTTACTATGTGCAGTAAGGACTAGGCATTGTTCTCAGCACTTTACATTTATTAATTCACTTAATCCTCATTTTACAGGTAAGGAAACTGAGGCACATAGTGGTTAAAGTTACAAAACTATTCTGTGGCAGTGGTAAGATTTGAACCCAGGCAGTTTGACCCTGGCATCTATAACAGATGCGCCTATGACCACAGACTTTGTTTCCTTTGCCACTTTGGTGGTCTGTCTCCTAGAGCAGAGAATCACTAGTACTATTACAAACCATTCCAGTAACAAATTAACCTACTTAAAAGGAGCTTGCGGAAATGAAAATATAACTTGAATTTTGACTTGAAATAAACTGAACTTTAAAAATCCTTTGAGGCTTTTTAAAAAATGTATTTGAAGAATTTCCAATCAGATCAACTTAGGAAGGCCCACTTAGGTCAAATCAGACATGGAGGAATTAATTTTCTTGTGGAGCTGGTGTTGAGCCTAAGTCCATCGTGCTGCCTGGGTGGGGAATGCCAGGCAGCTTTCCTTCTTTGCTTTCCCTGTTCTCTCCTCAATCACTCATCTCTCTAGATAAGGCCACAGAACAGCCAGAGTGATCTTTTAAAAAGTAAATAAGATCATGGCAGCCTATTTGTTTGTTGATCTGTCAGTCAAAAAACTAAAAGGATCACAAAAAAAACTAAAGGGATCACAACTGTTTTGCTTATCGCTGTGTATCTATCATCTAGCACAATGCAGTCAACAAAAGAATGATTAAATGAATTAATTTTAGGCAAAAAAATTAGCATGTGCAAAGATCCGGTGGCATGAAGGAACAGGACATTTTGGGAAACAGTGAAAAGTTGTGTATGGCTGGCATTGAGCTGGCTTTGGGAGCTGGAAGAGATAATACAGTTGGGTCAGATCATAAGGATCATGTAGATTCTGTCAAGGAGTGTAGATTTGATCCTCTAGAAATGGGGAAACACTAAAGGATTTTGTTTTTTTTGAGGTGGAGTCTCGCTCTGTCACCCAGGCTGGAGTGCAGTGGCACAATCTTGGTTCACTGCAAGCTCCACCTCCCGGGTTCACACCATTCTCCTGCCTCAGCTTCCCAAGTAGCTGGGACTACAGGCACCTGCCACTACGCCCGGCTAATTTTATTTTATTTTATTTATTTATTTATTTATTTTTTAGAAGAGACGGGGTTTCACTGTGTTAGCCAGGATGATCTCAATCTCCTGACCTCGTGATCTGCCCGCCTTGGCCTCCCAAAATGCTGGGATTACAGGCATAAGCCACCGCACCCGGCCACACTGAAGGATTTTTAAACAGAGTCCTTGGGTTGGCTCTGGCCATTGTATTTTGTATTTGGAAATTATTTGTCTCAATGATGATTTTGCTACAATGATTGCACACGGGTAATTTCAAACAGAACTTTAAAAGTTAAAATATGCTAAAGATATAAGTGTGCTTGTTTATGACAGAGCTTGGAGTTGTATGTATCAAAAGGGTCAAGCCAATGACAACATAACTAAACATTTTATACAAATAAGTTATTAGTTGTACAGGTTGTTAAATTTTCCATTTGATGAAGGGAATCAAGTTTGAGCATTATCTCTTGGGTCATTTAGACGATACATTGTGGATTTATGGCTCCTTTTGGTAGAGTCAACTCTTGACATTCGGTTGACAGTATTGCCCTTAAGGAGGATGCTAGGTGGTCCTTCCCTCAGAGTCACTATATAGCAGCTGTCTGTGAGTCCTGCCTTGGAAAGACAATATTATTCTTTCAGCAGCTATTATTTATTGAGCACCTACAATGTGGCAGATGAACTAATCATCTTACCTTATGTGAGTAAACTTTATAGCATCTCTTTGAGGTAGATGTGTCCCCATTTTATAAATGGAGACACTGGCTCAGAGAAGGTAAGAGTAAGTTAGAGTGCACTTACATACACCTGGGTGTGCACTGAGAGTGTATTTATATACACCTAGAAGTTAAGAATAACTTATCTGAGCCACGGTTTCTCCATTGTAAGTGCTAGTGGGGCCAGGGAATAAAATTCAGATCTGTCTGACCCAAAATACCTTGCTTTTAACCATCTGGTCTTCTACCTCTGTAGAGGAGAGAATCATTTAGGAAGGAGCCTATGGAAATAATTTTGATCTGAATTAAACTGATTATCTTTTAAAAGTTAAGGAGTTCTTAGAACTTTTCTTTGATGTTAAGAACTTTTAAACTAGATTATACTTAAGAAGACAATTTATTTCACTTGCTTAGTTCAGGTCAGACCTGGTGGAATTAGTCTCACTGATAAGCAGATACTTGAACAGAATCTTGATGAATAAGCATGAGCATTAACTTCAGACTAACTGGCCGGATGGCTGTGCCTCCTGGTCTACCCACCTACTGCTCTCCCTGCCACAAGTTCCTCTTCTTCATTTGTCACTCTTTTATCTGTTCTTGGCACAGCAACCAGAAGGAATTTTAAAAGATGCACGTAAGATGATCTCATTCCCTTTCTTATCTGGTCAGTGGCTTCCTTTTTCATTTGGAATATATTACGATCTTTGAATCATGACTCCACAGGCCTACAGGATCCCTTTCCAGTCTCCTCCAAGGCACTCAGCCTCTTATTATTTTCTAGCTACTCTAGGGTCTTTTCAGGCCCTGAATCTGAAACATGACATTTGTGGAAAATGATGGGAAGTACTTTATGGCTAAAGCTTAGTCTGGACTTTGGGGGCTGGTGGGACATTAGGTAGACTAAGGGTTTGGACTTGACCTTGTAGGTAATGGAACACTTTTGAGACATTTTTAGCACAAAACTAAACGTAATGGAGCCACTGAGCTGAGGAGTAGAATATTCTTCTATTGTCTTTTTAGAGTGCTCAGAGTCCCTGCATTGCCACTGGTCATTGCCCTTTGTACTTGGAAATGACTTGTTCCAATTATGACAGCCTTGCAATTGCGCAGGCCGAATGTTTATCAGAAAACTGTAAGTTAAAACATGGCAATGACATCTCTCTCCTTGTGTGTCATATTTAAGGCACATGTTCTCTGAAATCAAGAAGCTGGGCTAGGATCTTGCACTGGCCCCAGACCATATTCTGTTGTGACCATGCTTCAGTGAGAATGTGTCACGTGTAAAATGAAGATAAGCAAGAATATCAGTCTGTTTGAAAGTGCTAATAAAAGTAAAATATTCTTGGCAAATAAAGCTATTAATGTAGGTGTTGAAATTTTCATTTAGTCAGAGCAGTCCTAAATTTAAATGTAACCTTTTGAGCCCTTAGATCATTGAGTTAAGACTCTTTCTCATGCGGATGAACAGTAAATGCTTGTTATCTGAAGATGTAAATTGGGAGGAGTAAGGGACTTCTGCCCCATTGTGCATTAATGCCTACTGTTTGTTTCCCTGACTTAGAATGTGGCTCCATATTTTTGCCCTCAAGGCAGCTATTGATGGAGTCATCCTATGCTCCAAACCTTGAGCTAAGCACCACATATAGTCATGTGCCACATGACGACGTTTCAGTCCAGTCAATGGCAGACTGCCTATATGACAGTGGTCCCATAAGATGATAATATCACATTTTTACTGTATCTTTTCTGTGTTTAGATATGTTTAGATACACAGATACTTACCATTGTGTTACAGTTATTATACCTATAGTATATAGCACAGTAATGTGCTGTATGGGTTTGTAGCCTAAGAGCAATTGGCTATACCATGTAGCCTAGGTATGTAGTAGGCTACACCATCTAGGTGTATGTAAGTGCACTCTATGATGCTCACACAACTACACTTACGGATGTGGTTCTCAGAACATATCCCTATCATTGAGCCATTCATGACTGTATGTATATGTCAGTTAAAGCTTATAACAACACTGTGAATCTGTTTTTTCATCCTGCTGTGAGTTTGGATTGTTTATGAGGAAATGCGGGCTTAGAGAATTTAATTGCTTAAAGTCAGAGAGTTAGGAGATCCTTCAGTTTTGACTGATGTCAACCTCCGTGCTCTTAACCCCAGCTCTGTCCAAGTCATAAGACCATCCTATAGACAGGCCAGAATGGTACAAGTGGAAACACAGGAAGAGATCTTCTTTCCTATAGACCTTAAATAAAAATGTCTCTTGGATCATCTTGTCTGAAAGCCCATCTTTTTGGGTTTATTTCTCTGATTAGAGAGATACTTTGTTTTGCCTAATACGTATTTTTAGAAAGTAGTACAGGCATCAGTCTTTTGTAAACTCTTTGAGATTTAAATAAGGAAGTTTGCTGTTTGAAGGACTTTGTGGCTAATCCCTTGGTAAAGAAGTATCTTATAATTGACTATGAATGCCTTAGTAGCTATTCTGTTTCATAACTTGACTTTCAAAAAATAATAATGGCAAAAGATGACATTTTTTGATAAGCACCAGGTGCTTTTAGAAGCAATTTTTATGGGAGTTTCTAATCTAATCATCACAGCAACCCTTCAAAATGGGTGCTATTATTGTGTCCATTTGACAGAGAAGTAAACTGAGGTGACAGTGGCTAGATGCAGGGATGGCTTCGTGGCATGTGACCTGCATGATCACACAGGACCCCATGCTTAGAAGGGCCCCATGCTTGGTGTAATATTCTGCAATTATTGTCGTAGAAGACTTCATAATTTTGAACAAGGGCCCTGCATTTTTATTTTGCATGGGGCCTCATAAATTATGTGGTTGGTCCTGCCTAGCCAAATTGTCCAAGGCCATTCCATGGTGAGCAGCAGAGTTGAGGTTCAAACCCAGACTGCCTGGCGTCCAGCGTGACTGCCTGGCCTCCAGAGTGATTGCCTGGCCTCCAGGGTGTGCTCTTCCATTGTGTCCTCCTGCTTCCCATATTCCCATGTTCTTAAGCACTGTCCTCCATCTTGTTTTTCTCTGGACGTGTCTTTAGAGGCAGAGGCAGGTGGTTTGACTCATGTCTGTTGAATTCTAAAGATTCAGAATTTATTTGTTGAACTGAATGTTTGTTACATACAATTTCCTAATTAAGTTTGTGGGAGTGCAGTAGTAAAGATTTGAAGATATGGGAAGAATTGCATATCCTGGCTATAGTGAAAAATCATAGTCTAAAAATAAATGGGAATAAAGTGGAAACACTGTAACATGTTTGCTTTGTACAGCTTTAATGGAAAAAGGAAAGGAAAGAATACATATGAAAAGAAGGCAGTCCCTTGGCACTGCCTGTCTCAATGCTGTGTGCTGTGGACTGGGGACACTTAATTACCACGTACAATTTTATGGACTGTTCATGAGAAGCTTCTTTTTAACTTTTCATGGATTGCAGTAAAGGAAAATATAGAAAGATAGAAGAGGATTTTCATCACGTTGGCAAGAACTGTTCCTCCATGATCTATGGCTAGAGCCTGAAACTGCCCAAGTTCCATCTCTCAGCATTTTCTGAGAACTTTCTGTGAAGAGAAGTTCAGAGGCCAGTAAAACAAGTGTGGTCACGAAAGGAATCAGAACATGACTCCCCCAAATCTGCCTCTTTGACATAAAATTATTTTTGAGCTGAAGGAAATTAAGAAGCAGTAAACAGGGGAAAAGCTCTCTCTATCCTCCCCATTTTCTGCCTGAAGACAGGATATAAATCCTCCTCTACTGGAGACAACTCTAGACTCATCAGCTGAGAGACAACGCCAGAGGAATCTGCAAACTAACCTCACTTCATCAGTTTTCTCCTGTATATTTACCTTCCCACAGTTTCCCATCCTTGGAAGCCCAAAACCTCACTTCTTTGTCCTGTCTTTTCTTGACAACTTTATTGTTCTTTGTTGAACATGCCACATAAGCCAGATGCCACATAAGCCAGAGTTCTAAGCTGCTGCTGTGGGTTACCTTTCATTGAGGTTTCTCCTGTGTGATGTACACTGCATGCATTCATAAGTTGTTTGTTTTACTTCTGTTAATCTGTCTTTTATTACGGGAGTTCATCCCAACTAAGAACTTATGAGGCTTGGGGGAAAAGTTATTTTTCCTCCCTGACAGTCACTGCAGGGCAACTGACGTTCTGACAGAGGGAGGCATCTGCCACAGGAACACGAGGAAAGCAGCTGATAGAGTCAGGAGGAGTCTAGAGGGGTCAGGGGAATTGTCCATGTAGAGAAGAGGGACAGAGTGTTCATCTATGGAGGGAACAGTAAGGACAAAATCACGGAGGCGAGGGAGATCACGGTCAAGATGAACTGCAGTATTTGGCCCTGGGGGAAGTGTTAGAAAGGTAGGTGGGGACCAAATGCTATTGTGCTAAGTTAAGGAGTGTGGATTTATATATCCCAAGGCATTAGGGATGGTGATCATAATAGCTAGCATTTATTGAGAGCTTCCCAAGTGCTAGGCATGATTTAGTCCCATAATATCCTTATTCTCCAACACTCCTTTGGGGTTAGTTACTAATCTCATTTTACAAAGAAGAAAACTGAGGGACAGAGACTTTTAATAACTTACCTAAGGTCACACAACTAGTATGTTTCAGAGCCGGGATTGTGAACTGGGAAGTCTGGCTCCAGAACCTGTGTTCTTGATGGCAATTTTATACTGATTCCAGTGATGGAAGAATTTTAAGTAGAGGAAACGTGTATATGATTTACATTTCCAAAGATTGTTCTAATGGAAGTGTGGCCTGCTAGGTGCAAGGAGATGAGCATCTCTGGTTTTGCCACCACAGAAACTATGAAGACATGTTCTTTAAAAATGACTTCTCCTCTCTTCCCTTGGTATATGGGTGCAATCAATTCTTGCTTTAAATACCTTCTCCCTGCTCTTTCTATCTCTGAACAGATTCCTCACCCCCACCCCCCACCGTTCCTTACTCACTGAGCTTTATGCTACTTGACCATCACTCAACATCACTCACCAACCTAGCCTTCTTTCTTCTTCCTCTTGGTACTGCTCTCTAGATTATAAACATCCATGTGATTTCTGGTCACCTGTATGTATACCTATTAGGTGATACGATATGTACACTCAGTGGTCATTATTAATACATGAAATGGCTGAGGACTCTAGAGGCATGAATGGAGTTAGAGTCCTTTCTGTGATATATATACCCCTGGGATCTGGGGGGCAGGCAGCAAACCTCTTTGGACCTTAGAGACAAACTGGGCATAGTAATCATATCTGCTGTACTGGTTGTTGTCAGAAACAAAATGAAATAAGATGATATACTTTGTATAAATAATGTTTATACAAAGTATAACATTATACTTTGTTATATGGCTACATTGTCTCTAGTGTAAGCAATTTTATTTACAATTTGTACTCTACTTGTTTTGATATCATTTATGGCAACTTTATGTATTATAGCATTTCAAACCTGGAGGGATCTAGGCAGACTGTGGTTGATTAGTTGATGTTTAGAAAGACTGGTTAATTCACTGCCAGAATGCAGATGGGGTGGTTGGGGAGGATAACTGTTTTCTCCAGGCAGTGGGTCAGACTGTTCCCAAAGTGTGATCTTACCCATATCACTTAACCTCTCTGGGCATCTGTTACCTCCTGGAAAATGAAGGCAAAGCTGCCTACTTGTAGGGCTGATCATGAAGAAGATTGAGATGTTTTCTGTAAAGTGCTTGGCACTTAGCAAGTGTTCTATAAATACTATTATTATTTTCATTCCTGAAAAGGAAGGAGTTAGTATTCTAGTGTTGAGTGTCAAAAGACTGGGGGAAGGAGTGTGGGAGGGGTTTATACACTTTCCTTCCCATCCTCTCAGTTGTCCTCCCTCATCTCCACTCCCTCCATCTCCAATCTTTTCTCCCCTCAGGGCTGAATGAAATTGAATGTCTTGTAAACGTGTGCAGCCTTTGCCACCGGGCCCTCGGACATGCCCTTTTAACATTCTGACATAATGGATGAAAACATGAACAGCTGACAGTCATTGGTTAAATCTCCAAACTTTTCATTCCCTCACCTGTGGGGATGGTGCCCTCTGCCTGGTGAACCCAGCCCAGGCAGAGATTGCAGGAGCTGGCTCTGCTGGTGGTGGGCCTGGTTACCTAGGCAACGTTTACCTGTGCTGATGACAAAGGGCCTGTCACTGCCTCCTGATGCATGCAGAAGAATATTAAGTTTGCGGGGAGATGGAAAGAAACAATTTTCTCTTGAAATGAGGTAGATGCAGGTGTTAATTTCTTTGGAGTGAATTTTCTGTTTTCAGAGAGGCAAGGGTAGAGCTTAAACACAAACTTCTGGCTGAAAATATTTAGTTTGCGAACCTGGCAAGCCTCTTAAGAAAAAAAACAATCCTGGTGCCGGGACTGTTAGGCTTCCTGTCTTTTCAGCAGCTTATTGCATTTGTTTTACTGCTTTGAAGGATTGGAAGTCTCTGAAGGCCATTTCTTTAATGACTTGGAATATTAATGTAAAAACTTGCTTGTTGGACAATACAGTGAATACTATAGCTTTGCCTCTAATTGGCTTTTCAGTCCTTCACGCTGTAAAGCCCCCTTCTTTTAAGACATTTTCTTTATTTTGAAATATATTTTATATTTATAAATTTTATTTATAAAATATCTTTATTTTATAAATAAATTAATAATGAAGGAAAGTGCACCAAACAATTAAATAGCCCAATGATTTATCATGAAGTGAATATATTGATGATTGCTGCCGTTAACAAGGTGAGGACAGAACATCGTAGGTGTCCCAGAAACAGTCCTTCTCCCCACTTTCAACCCTTCCCGTCTTTCACTCTCCCAAAGGAGATTGCTGTCTTGGCTTTCCAAAGCAAATAAACGAAGTTCTTACTAGAGGTTTTGTTCCCTAAGTGTTCATTTCTAAACACTCTAGTTTAGTTTTGTTTCTTTTGAATTTCATGTAGAGGAAGTCATAGAGCTTTTTTTTTTTTTTTTTTGAGACAGAGTCTCGCTTTTTTACCCAGGCTGGAGCACAGTGGCGTGATCTCGGCTCACTGCAATCTCCGCCTCGCGGGTTCAAGCGATTCTCCTGCCTCAGCCTCCCAAGTAGCTAGGACTACAGGCATGTGCCACCACGCCCGGCTAATTTTTGTATTTTTAGTGGAGACACGGTTTCGCCATGTTGGCCAGGCTGGTCTTGAACTACTGACCTCAGGTGACCCACCCACCTTGGCCTCCCAAAGTGCTGGGATTACAGGCGTGAACCACTGCGCCCAGCCAGAGCATTGTTTTATGTATGGCTTCTGATATGGTTTGGCTGTGTCCTCACTCAAATCTTATCTTGAATTGAAGTTCCTATAATCCCCATGTGTCATAGGAGGGACCTGGTGGGAGGTGATTAAATCATGGGGGTGGTTACCTCCATGCTGTTCTCGTGATAGTGAGTGAGTTCTCATGAGATCTTATGATTTTATAAGGGGCTTTCCCCCTACTTTGCTCTGCACTTCTCTTCGCTGCTGCCATGTGAAGAAGGACATGCTTGCTCCCCCTTCTGCCATGATTGTAAATTTCCTGAGGCTTCCCCAGCCATACTGAACTGTAAGACAATTAAGCGTCTTTCCTTAATAAATTACCCAGTCTTGGGTATGTCTTTATTAGTGCATGAGAACAGACTAATACAGCTTCTTTTTTTCAGTGTTATGTTTATGAAGTTCATCCATGTTGTGGTGTATAGCTGTAGTTCATTCATCTTACTTGCTATATTTCATTATAGGAATATTCCACTATTTATCTATCCATTTGGCCATTGATGCATATTTGAGATATTTCCAGTTTTTAGCTATAAATACTGATGTTGTGAACATTCCTGTACCTGTCTCTTGGGGCACATGTGCATGCATTTCTGTTGGTTGTGTTCCTAGAAGTGGTATTGTTGGGGCATAAGATATATGTTATCTTTGGCCTTAGTAGTATAAAAAGGTTTTGTTATTTTTTTTTTTAACAAAAAGCAAAATAATTGCTCTCATACAAATACACAATGAACGTGTGTGAAAGATGTTATTTAACTCATTAATTAATGAGGGAACCAGTACATGTTAGCAGCTGGTTCAAAGGAGAATGGAAAGGTCCATGTATATGTAGGCAATAAGAGATGAGGAAATGAATTTATTAATAAAAGTGAAATGGGTCTATCCACAAGGCAATAATTTGTTGCATTTCCACCATACATATTCACTTGCGTTTCTATGGACGGGAAGAATTTGTATCATTATCAGTTTTCTGCAACTTAAATAGTTGTAGAATAGCAGAAAGACATAGAAAGGCATAGTAACACAGTAGGGTGCATTAGACTGCACGATCACAATGCTTTTTTTTCTTCCCTATTCTAAATCTTTCACAATTTTTCCTGATGGTAGATATTACCAACCTGTTTTCCAAAATTAGTGTATCAAATTACTCTTCCACCAGAAGTATCACAGAAGTTCCTTTTGCTTCTGGACAACAATTGGTTTAAACTTTTGCCATTCTGTTAGGTAGGCAGTGGTATCTCTTTGTGGTTTTAATTTGCATTTCCTTGATTAAGAATGAGGTTGAACACCTTTTAGATATTTATTGGCTATTTGAATATCTTCTTGTGTGAACTGCCTGTATTAGTCTTTTCCCCATTTAAAAAAATGGGTTCTCTTTTACCTTTTAGGGGGGTAGGAGTGTTTTATATATATTTTATGCATTAATATATATTTTCCAATCATATGTGTTGCAAATATCTTCTTCCACATTTTAGCTTGTCTTTTCATTCCTTTACTGGTGTCTTTTATGAACAAAACAATTATACTACAGCCTATTTTCTTAATTTTTTATTTTACAATTAATAATTGTTAAAATCCCTCCTTAAGAAGTCTTTCACTAGTTTGATTTCTTGAAAATATTTTAGCATATTAATGTCTAGAAACTACATTATTTTGCCTTTCAAATTTAGATTTAAAATCTATTTCGATTTTATTTTTCTGTATGATGTAAAATAGGGCATCATTTTTTACCCCAATATGGTATCCAATTTTCCTGGCATCTTTCATTGAAAAGACTGTGCTTTCGCTACTGCTTGGCAGAGACACCGAAATGTTCATATGTTTGAGTCTTTTTCTGGATATGTTGCTAAATTCTAGTGATCCATTGATCTATTTGTTCATTTTAATACCAATGTCACACTGTAGTTTTTTATGATAAGTTTTATGATAAGTCTTTATTTCTGATAGAGCCAAACCTCCCACCTTGCTGTTTCTCTTTAAGGTGATCCTGGCCCTTTATACTTCCTTTGAGTTTTAGAATTAGCTCATAAAATTCCACAAAAATTGTGGATCTTATTTACTGAGTTTTTATTTAAGACTGCATTGAATCCTTAAAAATTCCACTTCTAGGTATTTATCCAAGTGAAATGAAAACGTATGTCCACAAAAGAGTGGTACATGCATATATTCATAGCCCCTTTATTCGTAATTGCTCCAAACTGGAAACAACCAGTATGTTTATAAAATGTAAAACTACTAAGCAATGAGAAGGAATGCACTGTCGATACATGCAACAATGTAGATGAATCTCCAAAACATTACATTAAGCAAAAGAAGCCAGACATGAAAGAGTACGTAATACGTGATTCTATCTATATGACGTTTATAAAAGCCCCAACTCTACAGTGATATAAATCAATCAGTGGTTGACTGAAGTCAGGGATGAAGTGGGCAGATTAGTGGGAAGAGCTTTACAGGGGCATGTGGGTATCAACTGGGGTGATGATTACAGAGATCACTAAACCACATCCTAAAAATGTATATATTTTATTGTAAATAAATAATACTTTATTAAGTTTTCTTTTAAAGACTCCATTAACTCCATAGATTCGTTTAGGAAGGACTAACATTTTTACAAATTGAGTCTTCCAACCTAGGAATATGTTATATAGCTCCAAGTACTATTGCATTTCAATTCTCACATTAATATTCTTTTGCTTTTATGTAGAAATTTTTCATATTTTTCAAAGAAATATCCACTTATTTTGAGGTATTGTTAAGTATTTATGATACAATGGAAATTAAAAAATTAAATTTAATTTTGTTTATAGCTGGTTTATAAACATGTAGTTAGTTTTTATTTACTGAAAATTATATCCAGCAATCTTGCTATATTGACTTATTAATTTTATCTGTAGATTCTTTGGATTTCTACATCCACAATCATATCATTTGCTAAAAATGGCACTTTTGCTTCTTCTTTTCTAGTTGTGTTATCTTTTATATCTTTTTTTACCTGATTGTACTGACTCCAAAAATTAATACGATGTTGATATCAAAGAGAAAGTTGTCAATATTTTATCACTGTGTTAGGTTTGCAGTAGTGTTTTTATAGATATATTTTAAAGGAATTTCCCTTCTATTCCTCCTTTGCTAAGAAGTTTTATTCATTAATGGATGTTGAATTTTATCAAAGCTAATCTTGCATCTATTAAAATTATTATATGTATTTTCTGCTTAATTCTGCTAATGTAATGAATATTTGTAAAATGTTGAACAACCACGCATTTCTGGAAGCAACCCAATTGGGTCAAGATGGATTAACATTTTTATATGATGTTATATTTAGTTTGCTAATAATTTGTTTAAGCTTTTTGCCTCTATGTTCATTAATGAATTAGACCTGAAATTTTCCTTTCTCATAAAGTCCATGTCAGGTTTTGGTTATCGAGGTTATGCTTAAAGTGAGTTAGGAAATGTATTCTCTTATTGTTTGGAGGTATTTGAGTATGATCAGTATTGTTTTTTCTTTAAAGTTCTGGTAGAATTATCTGGGGAAGTCATCAGAATCTGTTTTTTTTTTTTTCCTTTGTGGGAAGTTTTAAAATTATGCATTAAAATTTTTTAATGGACATTTTTTTAATGCCAGTTTTAGATTCACAACAAAATTGAGCAGAAGGTACAGAGATAACCCATATAACCCTTGCCCCATCCGTGCACAGCCTTCCCTGTGACCAAGATCCCCCATCAGGGTGCTATATTTGTTACAATTGATGATCCTAAATTGACACATCATTATCACCCAAAGTCCATAGTTTATACTAGGATTCACTCTTGGTGTTGTACATCCTATGAGTTTTGGACAAATATATCCACCATTGTGTCACGCAGAATAGTGGTACTGCCCTAAAAACACTCTGTGCCTGCCTATCCATCCCTCCCTTCTACCGTAACCCCTGGAAACCACTGACCTTTCTTTCTGTCTCTATAGTTTTGCCTTTTCCGGAAGGTCATATAGTTGGAATCATAGAGTATGTAGCCTTTTCACATTGGCTTCTTTCACTTACTAATATGCATTTAAGTTTCCTCCATGTCTTTTCACAGCTTGATAGCTCATTTGTTTTTAGCACTGAACAATATTTCATTTTCTAGGTGTACCAGAATTTGCTTATCCATTCTCCTACTGAAGGCCAGCTTGGTTGCTCCAAGTTTTGGCACTTATAAGTACAGTTTCTGTATTCGTAAACACAGAATAAACACCTATATGAAGATTTGTGTGGTAAGAGTGTTTTCAACACTTCCTCATGTTGATCTTTTATATTGTATGCTTGTTTTCACTTCAGTCACGTCTGCTCTTTATCCATTTCCTTTCTTCTACTTTCTTTTGTTTAAATTGACTGATTTTAAAAAATGATTTCTTGAAGTGGTTAGTAGATTCTCAAATTTTGTCGTAATGTATTTACACAATAGGGTTCCCCTTAAGTACTGTTTTTGCTGTTTTAGATGAAATCATTTTATTATCATTCAGTTAAGAGCAGTTTCTAATTTCTACCAGGGATTTTCTAGCCATCTTTTCATTATTGATTTTTGGCTTCATTGCATTGTGAGGAAAGAACACGCTTTGAATGATTTCAGTGCTTGAAATGTGTTGAGATGTGTTTGATTTCATAACATCTGGCATATTTTTATACGTGTTTGCTATGTGCTTGAAAATAAAGTATATCCTCTATTTGTTGAGTGCAATGTTCTATATGTTTATTTGGCCAATTTTGCTGTTTATGTTCTTCAGATTTTCTGCATTCTCACTGATTTCTTTTGTCTTTTTTTGTTTTATATGTTTCTGAGAGAGATATGTTAAAATTCCATAATATGACTGTAGACTTGTCTTTTTCTCAATTACAAAGGATCTTCCATATACCTAGTAAGACTTTCTGCCTTACAGTCTATCTTATCTGATATTAATAAAACCACACCAGCTTTCTTTCAGTTAGTATTTGCCTGGTGTGTTTGTGTGTGTGTGTGTGTGTGTGTGTGTGTGTGCCTATTTGAATACTTTTAGCTCCTGCATTTCTATAGCATTATTTTTAGATGTGTCTCTTGTATACAGCATATGGTTGAGTTGGACAGAATTTGTCTTTTAATTGCAGCATTGAGTTTTCCTACTTTTAATGTAATAATACACGGGTGGGTTGAAATTTATTATTTTATTAATTTGCTATCTTTCTTTTAGTCCTGCTTGTTCCTTGTTCCAGTTTCTCCTCTTTTTCTCCCTTCTGTTGAATTGAGGATTTGTTGTTGTTGCTTTTAACCATTCCACTTTTTATTTGTCTATTACCTTGGAAGTTGTATATTCTTTTATTATTATTTTGGTGCTTACACTAGAGATTATAGTATGCATCTTGACTCAGGTCTTAGACCACTTTAATGGCATTTATCACTCTCTTGACTTCTGTGTCATTGTTATGTATTTTACTTCTATACCTTTCAGATGCCCAAGACATTATTATTATTATTGCTTTATTCAGTCATAATTCATTTTGATTAATCATATATTTATTCTTTTCTTTGTTCTTCATTTTATTTTCTTGTATTATTTATCTTTCATCTGGGAGCACTCTCTTTTTGCCTGAAGAACATCATTCACTATTTCCTTTATTGTAGGTCTGTTGGTAACAAATTCTTTTGTTTTTTGTTTGAAGTGCTTTATTTTACTATCACTCTTAGGGATATTTCCTCTGGGCATAAAATTCTAGGCTATCTGTTATGTTCTTTCAATACTTAAAAGATATTTTATTTACTTCTGGCTTTCTTTATTTCTGTTGATAAGTTAGATAAAAATCCAATTTTTGTTTCTTTTTCACCCTTATGCTGATTTTTAGTTTTTTTTTTTTTTTCTTTGTGGTTTTAGCAGTTTTATTGTAATTGGCCTGGGTGAAGTTTTCTTTTTACATTTCCTGCTTGGGGTTTCTAGGATTCTTTGTCTTGGCTCCTTCTGAGGCCTGATATCTTTCTTCAGTTTTGGAAAGTTCTCAGGCATCATTCATCTTGTCAAATATTGCTTTTCCCCATTCAGTCTCTTCTTTTCCATTTCCATGGGCTATAGTTACATATGTGTTATACCTCCTCACTGTATCCTGTAGTGTCTTATCCTGTATTTTCCATCCTTTTGTCTTTCTATACTTTATTCTAGTTATTTTCTTCTGGCTTCTAATTCCTGCTTCTGCTGTGTCTGTTCTTCCTTTATTAAGTTATTAATTTTAGTTAATGTATTTTTAGGCCTAAAATTTTCATTCGACTCTCTCTGTTTCTGAGTTTCTCATTTTTATGAGTTCCATAGGATGGCGTAGCAAATTACTAGAGACTGGGTAGCCTAGACAACAGAAATGTATTCTCTCACTGTTCAGGAGGCTGGAGGTCAAGGTATCAGCAGCCACACTCCCTCCAAAGGCTCTAGGGAAGAATCCACCCCTTGCCTCTTTTAGTTTCTAGTGGCTGTTGGCCTTCCTTTGCTTGTAGCTATCTCTCTGTCCCTCCATTTCACATGGCCTTCTCCTCTCTGTGTCTGTCTTAAAATTTCTTCTGCCAATCTCTTATAAGAATACATGTGATTGCATTCAGGGTTCATCTTGATAATTTAAGGTAAGTCCTCCTCTCAGCACCCTTAATTCAGTCACATCTTTTTCCATATAATGTATTATTTGCTCCTTTGCTACATAAGGTAATATTCACAAGTCTCAGAGATTAAAATGTGGACATATCTTTTTTGGGGCCACCTTTTAGCCTGCTATACCATTGTACGTTGAAATTCTCAACTTTATAATTTTCTCTTTCTATAAATAGGAAGACTTTTTACAAAAAGTCTGTTTCAGATAATTCTAGTATCTGGAGGCTTGTGGGTGGGTTTCTATTTCTGTTATTTCTGCTGGTTTTGTTTATGTCTTCTTATCTCCTTATGTGCTTGGTTATTTTTAATTGTGTGTGAGACAGTATATTCGTACAATTTTTTACAGATATAATTTGAGGTCAAGATTGAGGTTTCTCAACCCCAGAAGGGATTTACATTTGCTTCTGCAAGCACTTGGGGCATTAGAATTCTGGAAGCATCTGATTTTAGTTTCAGATATTGAGATGGCTTGAAGATGATCCATAGACCTCTGCAAGGGCCTCTTAGTTCTCTATTCTCCCTTCCTGCTAGGACACAGCTCTTTGAGGAGCCCAGTCCAAAACAAATGATACACCTGGTCAGTTCCCCCATCCTTAGCAGGACTTAAACACAAATCTTTATTTCCTTGGCTCCTCAATATGTCGTTAGGGGAGAAATAGGCCCAGAATGCCAGCTTCTTTTGTCCAGACTTCTTCCTTCCCTTGATCCTGGCCTGACGCTTTTTTTTTTTTTTTTAGATTTGAGGTGTTTTAAAGCATTTAATAAATGCTTTTTCTCTCTTTTACTTATCTTCAATGGGAAGGTGTATTAGTCTGTTTTCACACTACTGATAAAGACATACCTGAGACTGGGCAATTTACAAAAGAAAAAGGTTTATTGGACTTACAGTTCCACAGGGCTGGGGAGGCCTTACAATCGTGGTGGAAGGTGAAAGGCATGCCTCACCTGCGGCAGACAAGAGAAGAGAGCTTGGGCAGGCAAAGTCCCCTTTTTAAAACCATCAGATCTTGTGAGACTTATTCACTATCATGAAAACAACACGGGAAAGACCTACCTCCATGATTCAGTTACCTCCCACTGGGTCCCTCCCACAACACGTGGGAATTCAAGATGAGATTTGGTGGGGAAACAGCCAAATCATATCAAAAGTTTTATCTGGCATATCTAGTGAGTCATTATCAGAAGCAGTAGTCTCTCTGAAGCTTTTCTCATCTATCCACCTTACATTTTTATGATTAAAAATTCCAAAAATTACAGAAGTGGAGGGAATAGTCCAAATATTCCCCCATCACTCAAATGCAACTCTTATCAAGATTTTGTCACAATTTGCATGGAAATATTCACAACCTATAAGAAGAGAAAGTTTTAAAGCAAGGCAATATCTCAACTCACAGCCATCCACTTACCTCTAATGGCCAGCATCAGAGACAAAGACTTCTGCCTTGGTTACTGCTGTCCTGAGCTTCTAGCACAGGTGTGCCCCTAGATGATTTCAGTGAGCTATTGTTAAATGAATGTGAATTCACTGAAGAACCACAGACTGTGGGAGCTGGAGGAAGTCTTGGCTTGTCGTAATGAACCACAGATTACAGATGGAGATGCTGACATCCTGAGATTAGGTCACAGAGGTGCATGGGAGAGTTAGGCCAAGGTCTCAACTCAGGGCTCTCTCCACTTTTCCACACTTCCTCCTCATTTTGCTAGCTCATTTAATTACCACTTTTTCTTCCTTTCTGATAACACTGAAGTTTAAGAGCATTTCATTACAAGTGTGATGATACAATGTGGTATTAAGACATGACAAGGCAAGTTTTATTGGCCATTACTATTTGCCTCAAGTGAGTGGCAAAGCCTTTGACCACTCGAGGCATATATTAATAGCCCTATAAAATACATCCTGGATTGCTAGTGCTATTACCGTCTGGCTATTACATTTAAAAAAATATTGTACAAATACCACTTCAAATAATTTTCTTACTCTTTTTTTTAAACTGGAACGATTAGCTTTTTTTATGAGAGACAATTCTTCACATGATGGAGAAAATAGAATTGTCAGGTAACATGGAAAGAGTATAAGCTTTGGAGTCGTACCAAACTGTGTGCAGGTATTTGCTCTGCTATTTATCATCACTGTGACATTAGGCACTTTTCTTAAACTCTCTGGGTCTATTTTCTTCTCTGTCAAATGACAACAAGAATGCTTGTCTTTTAGAATTCATATGTATATGAAAACACCTGGCATAGGGCCTTGAACATAATGAGTGGTCAATAAATCTTATATTTTTGTTGTTGTTATTATTGTCATGATAATGAAATCCAATGGGAAATTTTTTCTTTTAATTAGTTGATTTATTTGTAAGACTAAAAATGTTGTTGTTATAACAGATCCTTGTCTTGCAGGGCAGTCTTTCTTTGTTTCCTCTCTAGCCCTCATCCCTTGGAAAAATGAGCTGAACCATGTTGGTTGGTGCAAGAGGGGCTGACAGAAGAGAGTTTTGATAAATCCACAAGATAACTTTGGAAACTCTTTGCCATTTTCCCTCCTACTCAATGCTGCTGGGACTTTGAGCTCGCTGAGGCAGTCTAAGGCTGTGCTTTGACTTCAGTGCTGTGCCTTGTGCTTGGGATAATTGTGTTTTCCATTTGATGGCCCCCAATGCTTTGTGTAGGAATTGGATGGTGCACCCATGCTCCTCAAATGCTGAAGCAGTCATGTCACTTGGTGGGGTGAGGTGGATCATCAGCAACAACATACTTTTCTTTTCTTTTTGAATTAAGCACACGGAAAAATCCATAATCTAAACATGAGGGACATTAAGTTTTGGATGGAAGAGAGTGAATTTTGCAACAATAACAACTAAAAACCCAGGACACAGAACAATTATTGAAAACAACTTGCTGAAGTATATAAATAAATAAAAGTGTCATTTCTGAAGTATCTTTCCTTCCCTAGGCTCACTGCCATTGTCATGGGAAAAGTGTGCATGGCAGCATTTACTCTGAGGTAATAACATGGATACATTTCCCGTTGCTCAAGACTTGTACATAGAGTCTGAAGACAAATTCTTCCTATCTTGCTGAGAAATTAACTTCTATTTTTCCATTCCTGTGAGCCAGAAGGGTAATTACCACATGCTGTTCAGTCATGAGTTTATGGAAAGAAACACAGGCTTCATTCAGGGTCTTCACCAACTGGGTGGGGTTGGGTTGGTCATGGAGAGAACTTACATTGTGGGTTTACAGCTGTACTGCAAACATTTCTTCAAGTCTGGAGCAAACTCAGCCCCTCTTTCCTGACTAACTTCTTCCCTGCCTAATCCAATGAAGACAATGGTTGATGAGAATAATAGCAGTTATTGCATATTAAGTATTAATCAGACATGTTATTCTTTAAACACACTTTTGCTTTTTTTTTTTTTTTTTATAATAATCAGGCATCCAATGAGATCTGTCCTCTTTTTATCCTCATTTCACTGAGAAGGAATGGTGGCTCTGAAGAGTTAAATAACTTGCCTAAGCTCACAATTTTAGAAGGTATGGCCAAGACTCAAACCCAGATTGGTCTGATTGTCAAAGTTGTGTTCTATTCTTAACCAATTTTCTACTTTCTTTGGTACCATGATTATCTCCTTGCCTTATAAATATTCTTGTATGTGGTATTATCTTTGTCTTATTATTCATAGTACACAGGGGCTTTTTTTCTTCCTACTTGCATTTCCAGTTCCTTCCTTATTAATCAGTGTGAGCTTTTTGCGATTGAGCCCTCTTTTCTCTTGCCCCACCCGCCAGCCCACCTCCTGTTCAAATACAGCCCTGCGGGTGAACACTATGGGCGACCCATGTGTGTGGGCTCATAGGAAGATGCAATGTGGAGAAGAATGGAAGCTTCTATGGCAGATCTACATTCTTTTTTCTGTCCTCTCCCTCTCTCTACACCCAATGTACTTTATTTTTTGGCCCATTTTTGCTCCTATATGCCCTTTCATCATCCTCAGAACCTGTACCCTTGGCATTTTGTCGGTAGACATTTATATTTCCTGGCATTGAGGCTATAGATCTCTAATACTTGAATTGATTTTCAAAATTAGGGAAAAGAGCTGCGATTTTAGCTATATATTTGGGCTGTTTGAGTTGAAAATGATGAAGAGTAAAGTAATGTTTGCTGTAAGAGGTGGGAGGCAGGACTGTGACACGGTCAGCTGACTCTTAGATGTGTAATAATGGTCTGGCACCACCAGTCTCTCACTGTCTTCTTGAAATCACCTCTAAAGAAGAGTTTGATCTGGAAGGTCAAGCCTAGCAGTGAACTGAAGCTGTTCTCTCTGAGTGCATTTATTCATTTATTCACAAAGCAGTTACTGGTCTATGTGCCTCAAGATTCCTAAATCTCATTGAGCCACCAACCCTTTTATTGAAAGCTACAGGCTCTTTTTTTCACAAAAATTCACAGAATACATAACATGGTTTTGCATGCAATTTGAAGGGATTCACAGATCCTTTGAAGCCCATCTGAGGACTGCCAGCCAGGACCCCTAGCTTGGTGCACTACCTTTCTTGTTTAATCACATTCTAATCTCCAAATCAAGGCCTCTTCCATTGTGAATAGAGATAGAAACTCAGCTCAGATTCTTTGATGGAACTGTGTTCAGCCAAGTTGTGTTTGCTCATCACTGAAGCTTTAAGAGATGGTTAAAGAAACAAGGTAACTGTGTGGAATTACTTATGATCACAAAGGCATCTGTAGCAAAGGATCAGTCTTTACAGGAGTTGTCTTCTGAGCCTGGGTATGAAGGGTCTCTAAACTATTTTATGGGAAATTTAAATCCCTCGATCGAAACAAATTATCATAGGAGGGAAGAAAAAGTAAATCTCATTAATGGTTAGGTGTAGTGGGTTAAGTATTTGCAAAAGTCTTGGTCATTTTGAAAATGGTAATACCAGTGCAATGAGTTCTGAAATCTGTAGACATAGTGTGTGTGTGTGTGTGTGTGTGTGTGTGTGTGTGTGTTTCTGAAGAAAATAAAAATTTTCACATCTAAAATAAAGGCTCAGTTTCCTTTGGGGTGCCTTAGTTCACAGCAGTATGACAGCTAACCAGAAAGCTGCCATACTGTGATTCTGTTTTTATATTATTTAATTAGATGATTTAAAGATTCTCTAAAAATTCTGGTGCAGCCTTTGTGTTCCTGGGAGGAATCTTACATAACTTGGAGTCCTAGAATAGAGGAAGAGAACAGTGGTACCCAGGCCTCGTTTGCTGTTATGGTTTATGTCGCAGACTTGCTAGGTATGACTTCCAACAACACAAACAGAAGGTGACAGGTTACAAAAGAGTAGATAAAATTTTTTGCTGACTTTTCTCCTGGCTACACTCTCCCTACTTCCTCCCCATTAAGAGTAATGGGAGAGTTCCTGAACTAAAGTTGCATTGTGTTTCCATGCAGAAAACCAAAGACTCCCCGTAAGCTGAGCTGAGGTAGGCAGGGCATGAAACCGAAGGGCTGCAGGTTTGTCATTTGTTGTTAAGAGCTGTGGCATATTTGGCCAAAGGGGCTCATTGTCTACAGCCTTCTGTAAGTTATTCTGCAATATTCCATTCAAAGGAAAAGCAGCCAAGTTCTGTTTCCACCTTTCTAAAGGCTTTGGTGGTTCCTGTCCATTGGGTGTGTGTCCTGCCCTTTGCCTCACTGTCTCAATAAAGCATGTGAAGACCAGCTTCCTCTCCGGTCTGGCGGATCTGTTCTCAGGCTGAGCAGAGAGTGGCAAAGGCTGCATCTGCGTTGCTTGCTCCTGGCATTGCCTGCCTGCCAGGGCACCACACAAGAGCTCGGGCTTACAGGCACACTTTGGGTGAAGTCATTCTTCCCTGAAAACTGAGATGGGAAATTTATCCTGACATGTCAGAACTGATGAAGAAGGCTAAGCAATGGCTACCTGAGCATTAGTCTTGGGAGTGTGTTCTTTCAAGCACAGGTTTAGGTTTGCCCTTCTATTGTTTCTTCTACTAACACATTATGAAGGTAGATTTCCACTGGAAAAAAAAGACCAGAATTTGAAAATGTAATAGAGTGCATATTCATTATTAAGATTATAAGAAAGCCTTTGAGAGGATCAGGCAGTGAGCTGAGAATTATCACTGAAGTTTAATTTGTTTATTGGATATCTGGATGGAAACCAGCAGGACTGGCCATGCCCTGTTCCTCTTTCACAGCCCTGCTTCTGCCCAAAGGGCTCATTCAAATTCTTTTTCATTCTTTCAGCCCTCCACATATGCGGAGAACTCTCATATTTTCCACATTCCTTTCTTCTTTGGAATCCTGCTCTAAGGAAAGAAATAGGTCTTGGTCACCTATACCTTTTACACCTTACTGTGAATGTCAGGATAGTGTATAACCTGGATATTGATACTCCTGGGGCATTTGAGTGTTATCGTTTACTGTGAGTTAGAAGACTTTGACTTCTTTAAAAAGGAAGTAGAAGCCATGCTTAAATGCTTTCAAAAACAAACCTGCACAGTTTGTGCTTTGCCCTATTTTTGAATCATTTGTATTAATGCTGTGACATTGTGAGCACAGTGTGTGTGAGTCTTGGGAGAAGTGAGGACCTGCAAAGTTCTGGCTTGCCACTAACCTGCACTGTGGCTTTGGGAGTGTCAGCTCCCTGCATCACTATAAAATGAGTAGGTTGTATTAGGTGATCACCAGAGGCCCTGCTAGACCTGACAGTCCAAGGATAAAGTTGAGTGCTAAAGGAGCAGGCTGTGTAGACAGATTGCAAGTGTCCACCAGTGGATGGTCTTGGCACAACAAGGCTGCCTCCTCATGGTCTTTGGTCCCAACAAGTTCAATATAAAATGGAGGAAATGTTATAATTTTAAGCACTGATACCAGGGTTTCCTTAGGGGGAGAATTGCCTTTGTGTGGGAAAATACCGTGATAAGACATTTGGAGTAGATTGTGAAACACTGAAGACATTAGTGTCTGGGAACCTAAGCCAAAAAAGAGATGATTAATCTTTTGTACACAAGAAAGTAAAAGGAATTTGTGCTTTGTTCAGCCTTATGCAGAGGTAGAAAAGAAAATAGAGGAGAAGAGACAAGAGAGGAAAGAGAGAGAAAATCTGGAAAGATGGCAGAAGACTGGATGCTGTGTGTCCTAAAAGCCTTAGTAAGAAAGGCTTAGAGATATTAGGAACTGTAATGTCTAATGTGAGATATTAATTTAGTTTACTGTGTGTTTTGCTCTCTAGTTTCTGTGACTTACCAATCTCTAATAACTCAAAAATGGTTTTTGAGTGAATTATTTTGTGAAGACTAGGGAAGGCAATGAGGATTTTTTTTTGCCTAGATTAATTGGAAACAGCTTGTATGGAAATAAAATATTACAGGCAGAGGTGACTAGAAAACATAGCCCCACCCAGAAAACTGTAGACGTCTTAGTGAGAGGTTTGCATCTCCACTGGACATGCAGTTTGGAGGTCTCTAGCCAATGTCGTCTAGATCTTCCAGGGCTGGTCAGGTGGGAGGTTCCCAAATGACATTTTTTTTTTTCATAATAAAATAATTTTATTGATCATTCTTGGGTGTTTCTCGCAGAGGGGGATTTGGCAGGGTCACAGGACAATAGTGGAGGGAAGGTCAGCAGATAAACAAGTGAACAAAGGTCTCTGGTTTTCCTAGGCAGAGGACCCTGCGGCCTTCCGCAGTGTTTGTGTCCCTGGGTACTTGAGATTAGGGAGTGGTGATGACTCTTAACGAGCATGCTGCCTTCAAGCATCTGTTTAACAAAGCACATCTTGCACCACCCTTAATCCATTCAACCCTGAGTGGACACAGCACATGTTTCAGAGAGCACAGGGTTGGGGGTAAGGTCACAGATCAACAGGATCCCAAGGCAGAAGAATTTTTCTTAGTACAGAACAAAATGAAAAGTCTCCCATGTCTACCTCTTTCTACACAGACACGGCAACCATCTGATTTCTCAATCTTTTCCCCACCTTTCCCCCCTTTCTATTCCACAAAACCGCCGTTGTCATCATGGCCCCTTCTCAATGAGCTGTTGAGTACACCTCCCAGACGGGGTGGTGGCCGGGCAGAGGGGCTCCTCACTTCCCAGTAGGGGCGGCCGGGCAGAGGCGCCCCTCACCTCCCGGATGGGGAGGCTGGCCGGGCTGGGGGCTGACCCCCCCACCTCCCTCCCGGACGGGGCGGCTGGCCGGGCGGGGGGCTGACACTCCCACCTCCCTCCCGGACAGGGCGGCTGGCCGGGCAGAGGGGCTCCTCTCTTCCCAGTAGGGGCGGCCGGGCAGAGGCGCCCCTCACCTCCCGGACGGGGCGGCTGGCCGGGCGGGGGGCTGACCCCCCCACCTCCTTCCTGGACAGGGCGGCTGGCCGGGCAGAGGGGCTCCTCACTTCCCAGTAGGGGCGGCCGGGCAGAGGCGCCCCTCACCTCCCGGACGGGGCGGCTGGCCGGGCGGGGGGCTGACCCCCCCACCTCCTTCCCGGACTGGGCGGCTGGCCGGGCGGGGGGCTAACCCCCCGACCTCCCTTCCGGACGGGGCGGCTGGCCGGGCGGGGGGCTAACCTCCCCACCTCCCTTCCAGATGGGGCGGCTGGCCGGGCGGGGTATTGACCCCCACCTCCCTCCCGGACGGGGTGGCTGCCGGGCGGAGACGCTCCTCACTTCCCAGACGGTGTGGCTGCCGCGCGGAGGGGCTCCTCACTTCTCAGACGGGGCGGTTGCTGGGCGGAGGGGCTCCTCACTTCTCAGATGGGGCGGTTGCCAGGCAGAGGGTCTCCTCACTTCTCAGACGGGGCGGCCGGGCAGAGACGCTCCTCACATCCCAGACGGGGCGGCAGGGCAGAGGCGCTCCCCACATCTCAGACGATGGGCGGCCGGGCAGAGATGCTCCTCACTTCCTAGATGGGTTGGTGGCGGGGCAGAGACGCTCCTCACTTTCCAGACTGGGCAGCCAGGCAGAGAGGCTCCTCACATCCCAGACGATGGGCGGCCAGGCAGAGATGCTCCTCACTTCCCAGACGGGGTGGCGGCCGGGCAGAGGCTGCAATCTCGGCACTTTGGGGGGCCAAGGCAGGCAGCTGGGAGGTAGAGGTTGTAGCGAGCCGAGATCACGCCACTGCACTCCAGCCTGGGCACCATTGAGCACTGAGTGAACACAACTCCGTCTGCCATCCCGGCACCTCGGGAGGCCGAGGCTGGCGGATCACTCGCGGTTAGGAGCTGGAGACCAGCCCGGCCAACACAGCGAAACCCCGTCTCCACCAAAAAAAATACGAAAACCAGTCAGGCGTGGCGGCGCGCGCCTGCAATCGCAGGCACTCGGCAGGCTGAGGCAGGAGAATCAGGCAGGGAGGTTGCAGTGAGCCGAGATGGCAGCAGTACAGTCCAGCTTCCGCTCGGCATCAGAGGGAGACCGTGGGGAGACGGGAGAGGGAGGGGGAGGGGGAGGGGGAGGGGGAGGCCAAATGGCATTGTTATGGGGTCTTATCTGCAAACGCAGAACTCCATTATGTTTTAATGATGGATGAGCCATTTTTACAAATTTGCAAGATTCTAGAAGAAAGAACAATCTGGAATGTGTTCTTACATACTTTTTTTTGGTTTATTTTGTTTTTCTGTTTTTTTTTTTCCAAGATGGACACTCAGTGTGAATGTTCTTATGTACTGTTGATTGTACCTCTAAGATGATGTAATGACCTCATCTCATCTAGCTGTCAACAATGGCCCCCTTTTGGCCAGAGGTTATTTGACTGCTTCAGAGAGATCTGGAAAACACAATTTCTTAGTTTTATCTGTGGCCAATTGTACCTCTGTAATGGCTGTTTTGTCCACCATTGTTTTCTGGGATTTCTGAGGAAAATTCTGAGACAAGTAACTCCTTTGTTTGTGGAAGTTAGTTTTGGAAATTACAAATGAAGTATCTTTTTTTTTTTGAGATGGAGTTTCGCTCTTGTCACCCAGCTGGAGTGCAATGGCATGATCTTGGCTCACTGCAACCCCACCTCCCGGGTTCAAGCAATTCTCCTGCCTCAACCTCCTGAGTAGCTGGGATTACAGGCGCCTGCCACCACGCCCGGCTAATTTTTTTTTTTTTTTTTTTTTTGGTATTTTTAGTAGAGACGGAGTCTCGCCATGTTGGCCAGGCTGGTCTTGAACTGCTGACTTCAGGTGATCCACCCGCCTCGGCCTCCCAACGTGCTGGGATTACAGACATGAGTCACTGTGCTCAGCCAGACAAATGAAATTTCTATCCTAAAACAGCATGCATTACCTAATCCCAGGTGGTTAAAAAAATGTATATATATTTAATGGTTGCTCTGAAAAAATATAGACAGCATGGGTTCCAAAATATTAACTATAGTAAGGAGTCCCATCATGGTTTTCATAGCATCCTATCCTGTACTTGTACTTGTATGTTGTTGCATTTATAAAGATTGAAATTCATTACTAATGTAGTTGGTTATCAGTTTCTTTCCTAGAACAGGGAGCACCTGTCCTGAACCAGGTCCAGGGTAGTGTACATGACACCTCAGCAATAGAGTGATTTTCTCTAGTTTTACAGTTTCTACAGTGAACATATTATTTTTCCTAATTACAAAATATAAATCTCTTTAAAATGACGCATGCATAATTAGGTACTCAGTATTACTTTTAGGAAATTATATTTGTGCAACTGAAGAAAAGACCTACATGGGAAGAACTAGAATGGAAAGGAACAGGTTGAGGGATGTATATAAATGGTAGGTTTCTCACTTTGGGAGGCCAAGGTGAGCGAATCATTTGAGGTCAGGAGTTCGAGACCAGCCTGGCCAACGTGGTGAAACCCCATCTGTACTAAAAATACAGAAATTAGCCAGGCATGGTGGCTTATGCCAGCACATGCCTGTGATCACAGCTACTTGGGAGGCTGAGGCGGGAGAATCGCTTGAACCGGGGAGGCAGAGGTTGCAGTGAGCTGAGATTGCACCACCAAACTCCAGCCTGGGCAAAGAGTGAGACCTTGTCTCAAAAAAAAAAAAAAAAAGAAAAAGAAAAAAAAGGTAGGTTTCTGCTCTTGGATCTAAGTGCTCGATTGTAGAGAAGATATCATAAAGAGAGTCCAAAGTGTGAGTTCATACCCACAATAGCCAGTAATTGACATGGCAGCTTTGTTTTGCCTTCACTTAAAATACTGGCATGGTGTGTATTTTGTTGTCTG
The DNA here is from genome assembly GCF_000001405.40 of Homo sapiens. Lineage (NCBI taxonomy): Eukaryota > Metazoa > Chordata > Mammalia > Primates > Hominidae > Homo > Homo sapiens. Next base: position 76,115,109 of record NC_000001.11, read on the forward strand.
TCCTTCAGAATTGGATTTTGTTTTTTCAAGGAGAAAAATAGATGAGACTGCTACTATAGGATCCCTTGTTAGATATATTACATTTCAGGATATATTTCCAGGCACTTCGTGGTGGAAATCTGGCTCTCGGAGCTTAGGCTTGGTTTTGGGATATTTTCTGCATGTCAGTATATTTCAGTATGCCTCTAAGTAAACCAAGTAGCTCCTCCTCCCCCTCAACACCTGGTATGATTCATGACTGATTTGGGTAGCTGTAATTTTTCTAATGTCAGTTAGAAGGGAAAGAATTTAAATTTACTACATGCCAATCATATTCCAAAGCCATACTTAGTATTAAAACCACAGAAGGAGTCATTTACATTTAACAGGAGCTGTGGGTCTTAAGCAATGATCATTTGGTAATGTATGTTTTGATTTTAGGTTAAAAAGAACCTTGATATTGTGGGATTTCTGGTTTTCAGATGAGTGGCTAGTAGCCTGTTTTTAGAAAGACATTGGGGATGGGAACATGTATTTGGCTTCTTTGAGTACAGAAATTCTGCTTCTTGGTGGACCACAGTTTGACTTTGTTTTCGGGGTTACCTTGGTGTAACAAAGCATCCCTTATGCCTTCAGGGCTGTCCTTACCACCCATCACCTGCCAATTGGTTCCTGTCTATGTCAGTGTTTTGAATCAGAATATGAGGTGTGAAAAATACTTCATTCGATTTTAGACCACTCCTACCTTTTGGGTAGTATTACATTTGAAAGTTTAGGATTTGGCCTTGTTCACTTGTTTATATTTTTACTCTAAAATAGGTGTTAAATATATTTTGAGCATTTACTGTTGCAGGGCACTGTACTAGGTACTATGGAATTACATACAAACTGGAGAGATAGGCTCTGCTCTCATTAAGCTTGTTGTATGATAGGAAAGAAGGAAAACAACAATGAAAAAGCTACATAGCCCTTTCATTGCAGAGTGGTCAGTGCTATGGTGTGGACAGAGTGTCCTGAGGGAGTCTAAGTGGAAGATAAGTTGAGGGAGAAGTGGATAGAGAGTGTGTGTGACCTTATGCAAAGGCACTGGAGTAAAAAGGTGCATCTGTCATTGAAGAGAATGAAAAAAAAAGTTCAGGGACAGGAGCTCAGTGAGGGAAGGTGAGTATGCCCAGACCATGAAGTCTCCTGGGCTACAGTGAGGACTTTGGACTCTATGAGCTAGGAGTGTTCTGCCCACTTAAAAAAAGACATGTAGGGGACACACATTATTTTATTTGCCTGAAGCTTGACCACCTCTCCTTTAGCTCCCTTCCGCATTCTGGAAAATGCTTCTCCATTTCTGTAGCTCCATGGTTACCATGGAGGCAGCCACGTTGTTTTAAGCTACTCTGTGTCCCAACCACAGATGATTGATCCAGGGATTTTATTTGATTCCTTGGGGGTGTTGGAATTGGATTATAAAGTGAAGAGCTGTTGGAGACCAAGTTCTGTCAAGCAGCCTAAAGAGCAGAGATGGAAGAATGAAGCAAGACCACAGAGAGTATTTAAAGTAAAATCTGGCTGGGTGCGGTGGCTCACACCTGTAATCCCAGAACTTTGGGAGGCCAAGGTGGGAGGATTACATGAGACCAGGAATTCCAGACCAGCCTTGCCAACATGGCAAAACCCCGTCTATACTAAAAAATACAAAAATTAGCCGGGCCTGGTGGCATGTGCCTGTAATCCCAGCTACTCAGGAGGCTGAGGCAGAATTGCTTGAACCTGGGAAGTGGAGGTTGCAGTGAGCCAAGATCTTGCCACTGCACTCCAGCCTGGGTGGCAAAGTGAGACTCTGTCTAAAAAAATAAATGAATAAAAATAAAATAAAGTAAAATCAAGCAGAGATAGGATATTCCTGGGCTCTCCACATGCTCCAGGCACTGGTTCCAGACCTTTCCAACATGAATCCTAGTCTTGGGTTCTATAATATAACAGTATTCCCCTAAAAAGTTTTCTGTCCCCACTTTCTGTTTATACTAGCCACAATTAGTTTCTGTCACTAATGTAAAATTATTTTCTCTATATGTGCAGGTATTTGTAGATATTTATAATAATTTTGCTTTAGGGCAATCTTCGGATTGTAAATGGGCCTTAAAGCTTCTTAATTCATGGAAAGTCAATTATCCTCTAGTTTAGTTTGAGGATACAAAGGGACAGGAGAAGTTAAGCTCATCTCATATTTCCCAAGAATGTAAATGTGATGAAAGGGAACTTTGCAGTCTAAGCAAAAACACTTGGACAAGATAACTTACGGACTTGAGTGTAAAAACTTAAGAAGTGAACTTTCACTTGTAGCAGTTCTCTCTGATGTGAGTCTTGCTAGTCCACTCAGGTTTTATTTCTTTTAGAAGGTGATGCAAACAGCAATATTATTAGCTTAAACCTAAAATGTGGTTTATTTAATGTAACCATGACCAACTGCATTTTCATAATTCTGTCTTTGCTGCATTATCAGCTGGCAGGGTTATTCACGCTGGACTAGCTCTGAGCCTGCTAATTCAAATAAACAGTCCTTGCCAACCACTGCTGAGCTTTGAGAAGGTCTAGGCTAAAGATGGGCAAATTAAAGACAATTCCACACTGTGGTAAGATAATCAACTACTCTGATTACCTAGTAACTAAGCTAATTGGGAAGCAGTGTAGTATATGGGATAAGAGCAGGCTGTGTGGATTCAGACCTGTGTGGGAATTCCACCTCTGCTGTCTACATGCTAGATGACTTCAAGCAAGTTCCCTGGTCTTTCTGAATCTCAGTTTTCCTGTTGATAAAATGAGGTAATAATAGTACCTACTTCGTGGGACTATTATGATTTAGTAAAATAATATTTATAAGACACAGTAAGTTCTTTTTTTTATTATTACTTTAAGTTCTGGGATACATGTGCAGAATGTGCAGGTTTATTACATAGGTATACATGTGCCATGGTGGTTTGTTGCACCTGTCAGCCCATCATCTAGGTTTTAAGCCCTGCATGCGTTAGTTATTTGTCCTAATGCTCTCCCTCCCCTTGCCCCCGACTCCCTGACGGGCCCCGGTGTGTGATGTTCCCCTCCCTGTGCCCATGTGTTCTCATTGTCCAAATCCCCCTTATGAATGAGAACATGCGGTGTTGGGTTTTCTGTTCCAAGACACAGTAAGTTCTTAAGTATTAGCATTATTATGGATATTATTTTGTAAAGCAGTTACCATAATGCCTAGAATTTGATAAATGCTATTTGCTCTTTTACCTTAAAAATGTACCTATCCATATCTTTGAAACTTCAGTAAGTAAATGTCTTCCCTGATTTACCTGCCTTTGGGCAGCAGGTTAAGAATCCCTGACATAAACTGACCTTCTCATTTTATAGACAGAAATTGCAACCCCAAAGAGTAGCAATTTTTCAGGGTTGGGCAGAGCTGGTCTGGAGCTTAGGGGTCTGTCTCCTAATTCAGTGCTTTACCCACTACACTGCCTATTTCAAGTGCAGATGACCTAGGGCATTCTTTGGCTGCATCAATATGTATAAAGAGACACATGATGCTTGCAAAAGGTACAGTTAGAGACTTTTACAAACCCCCAAACTTGTGGATATGGAAATGCTTATATACTCCTTATTTTTCCCCAAATCATATTTCTATAAGGATTCTCATTTCCTGTGCACATTCCTTTTTTATGTGAATACAGTTTTCCTGAAGTATCTTCCCTTGCTTGATGGCAATTTTTTCTTTTTGAGGTGGAGTCTCACTCTGTCGCCCAGGCCGGAGTGCAGTGGTACGATCTTGGCTCACTGCAACCTCTGTCTCCCGGGTTCAAGCAATTCTCTTGCCTCAGCCTCCTGAGTAGCTGGGATTACAGGCGTGCGCCACCATGCCCAGCTAATTTTTGTATTTTTAGTAGAGACGGGGTTTCACCATGTTGGTCAGGCTGGTCTCGATCTCCTGACCTTGTGATCCACCCACCACGACCTCCCAAAGTGCTGGGATTACCAGCGTGAGCCACTGCACCTGGCCGATGGCAAGTTTTTACAAGGAACCTGAGTTTGTAGTCACTTCACAGGCATTACAAGGACAAGGGAGGAATCTCCAAGTTTTATTGCCAGAAAGATGCTGGGCCCTTGGGACCTACATAGCTATTCTAAACACTGGATACATCAACCACAGAATCCAAGTTTGCATCTCAGTGAAATTTCACACTAGAACATATTCTTTGGAATTCCTCGTGAATAATTGAAACAATGATTGTTAAGTCCTTTAATGCTAAATATTTACTCTATAATGGTCCCATTCTACTGGACATTGGTCAGACTGCCATGTTCCATTGAGGGTCGTATTTAAGAGAGCTGTGGCCAAACCTAAGTTCACATAACAGCATGCAGTGAGGATGGAAAGGAGTTCTAGGAGTTGAGTTATGTGAGGGATGGTGTATTTGGCCTGCATGGGAGATGAAGAGGAGTAATAAAAGGCACCATCAAATATTTTAAGTCTGTCAGGGGAGGAGGGATTTTATTTACTCTATCATACTGGATATTTCAGAGAGGCATATTTTAGGCTGTTTATTTTAAAAAGTTAGGTGAAACTTGAACAACAATAGTAACTATAACAATTAAGTCTTCCAGTTATTGAGCATTTAGTGAGTACAGAGTCCTATGCTAGGTGCCCTCCAGGGATTGTAATCCCTGTTTTATAGATGATGATAATAGATATATGTAATAGATAGATGTAATCCCTGTTTTATAGGTTTGGGAATTGGTCCTTAACTGGCAGGTCCGTGGGACTGTAAAGCCTCAGGAAGAGCAATTGCCTCCATCACAGAAAGCATAAGAGGTTGTAGGAAGAATAGATTCTGTGGGCACAGGCCTGCCTTGTATTCCACTCTACCCGGAGTGCCCAGCACTGGGCCTGGCCTCTGCCAGTGGTCAGCAAATGGATGTGCAATGGACACATGAACAGACTCTGCATTTGGTGGGAGCTTTGAATTCTCTGACTGGACTTGAAGGACCTTCCAAAGTCACTGACCATTTAGATGGAAATAAAATATACATCCCCATCACTTGGCTGTTAAATATAAGCTCGTCACAGTTAAAGTCTGGCAAGGCTGGACTGGGGGAACAGTGGCAGTTCCTGAGAGTGCTGAGGGTGGGATTTTCCTTACAGTTCTATTAATTGGATGTGTCCAGAGTGATCTCGTGTTTCCTTGAGAATTGTGGCCACATACTGCCCTAAGTGCTGCTCTCTGCATTTTGTGGCAGTTGATGGGATATGATGAGTTTGTGGGGACAAAAGACTTTAAAAGGTCTCTGTGAGAAATGACTCCTATTGCCTTTGGGTGAGAGGCCAATTTATCAGAATAGCAAATGCCTTATGTTAGTGGCATACTTTGAACACTTGCCATAGAATGTCTCCTTTGATCCTTGATAGATAAAGAAGATATAACCCCCATTTTGCAGAAGACACTGAAGCTCAGAGAAATTATAGGAATTGCTCAAGGTCACATGAAATTCCAATCTTTCTCTGAGCTCCAGGGTCAGTTATCACCTGCCTACTTGATAACTCCACTTGGATAGCTAATGGGCACCTCAAATCCAGCACGACCTAAACAGAGGTCCCAACTCCTGCTCTTTCTCTGAAGAGCACTGATGCTCTCTGTTTCAGTAAATGGCATCCCAGGGAACCCAGGTACATTAGTCCTATTGCTGCTGCAACAAATTACCACCGACATAAAAGCTGTACAAATTTATGATTTCACACTTCTGGAGGCCAGAAATCTAATGTGGGTCAGCTGGGCTGCAATGCTTCTGGAGTCTTCAGAGGAAACTGTTGTCTTGCCTTTTCCAGCTCCTAGAGGCTTCTGATATTCCTTGGCAAGTGGCTTGCATTACTCTGACCTCTGCTTTCATCATCACATCTCCTTCTCTGACTCTGGCCCTCCTTTCTGACTCTGCTTCCAGCTTTCCCTTATAGGGATCCCTGGAATTACAATGAGGTTCACCTAGATATTCCAGGACAATCCCCCCATCTCAAGATCTTTAATTTCATCACATCTGCAAAGTCCCTTTGGCATGGAAAGTAACATATTCACAGGTTTTGGAGATTAGGATGTTGGCATTTTGTGGGCCAATCTTCTGCTTACTACAAGGGATCACCCGTTGTTCTTTCATCCAGTCCATCAGCAAGCCCTGCTGGGATCTCCACCACCACCACCTTACCTGCCACCCTCACTCACCTGGGCTATTTAAGCCAAAACATCCCATCTCATCTCCCTGCTTCCAGCCTTGCCTCCCCACTGTCTGTTCTCTGTATAGCAGCACATTAAAAATGTGGGTCAGGCCAGGCATGGTGGCTCACGCCTGTAATCCCAGCACTTTGGGAGGCTGAGGCGGGCAGATCATGAGATCAGGAGATCAAGACCATCCTGGCTAACACGGTGAAACCCCATCTCTACTAAAAATACAAAAAATTAGCTGGGCATGGTGATGGGTGCCTGTAATCCCAGCTACTCTGGAGGCTGTGGCAGGAGAATGGCATGAACCTGGGAGGCGGAGCTAGCAGTGAGCCGAGATTGCGCCACTGTACTCCAGCCTGGGCAACAGAGCCAGACTCCATCTCAAAAAACAAAAAAAATGTGGGTCAGATCACACCACTGCCCTGCACACAAACCCTCCAGGAGGTTTATATCATACTCAGAAAAAATGTACCTGTATTCCTTCTAATAGTTCTGGGCCTTACTGTCTGCCCTTATTGGCCTTACATTTCTGAGCTCCTCTCTTCCACTCTCCGCCTCACTCACGCTGTTCCAGCCCTCTTGCCGTTTAACCATACCTGGAACATGCCTGGAATGTTCTTCCCTTAGACATCTGCATGGCTCCCTCCCTCCCTTCTTTCATGTCTCTGCCTAAATTTAGCTCTGCAGGGCTGTCTTCCATGTCACCCTGCCTGACCTGACACTGTTTTATTTTCCCATCCAAGCACTTGGCACGACTGACCATGTATTGTGTATATAGTGCTTGTAAGTGTATCATCTACCTTTCTCCCTCAGAGGGTAGTTCCATGAGGGCAGATAATTTGCATTTTCTCAGAAACTGGAATGATTACTTGCGCATAGTAAGAGCTCAATGAGTATGTAGAGGAAACCTGAAGTTTAAATCTAGGTCTTCTGGTTCTGGGTAGAATGTGCTCTTCTCTCCCCCATGCGTTATCTTCATAGGTGGTTAAAGAAAAGTATGATTTTGTAATATCAGCGAAGTGTTTGTTTTCCTAACACCTTCCAAAATATCAGTCAGCACAGGTCAAACATGCCCCTATGTCTGCTCAGAGGCAGGCAGGTGAACAAGTGAACAGCTCTCTCTCTCTCAAGCCAATGAAGAGCCGTCCACTCTCTGGCAAAGCACTGAGCTATTTGCTGAGAGTTTCCCAAGGTGAACCGAAGACTCCTTGAAAGCCTCCTTCACTGGCTATGCACCACTTGTAATTATGTGCACACATTTTGTAACCCTTTCATGAGAGGTGGGATCGTGCATATAGTGTTTGCATATCCCAGAATTGCTCCCTGACCAGCACAGCTTTTTGGGTAAGTTTAATATGGGGGTGATTATGCTTGAGAATGTTCACTGGACCACAAGGCACCTCCCATATTCTGGAGATGTGTGTGAGCTGCAAAAGGGGTACGTGAGCTCCAGGAACAGGTAGCATCATTTCCATCAGCTCAGCCAGACTCTGTTGTGCATATGCGGCATGCTGAGGATTGAGACGAGAGCTACAGACACAAAGCTCAAACAGCTCCAGTTGTTGCTCTGGAGGAGCTTGTAGTCTGCGTCAGTGCTACTTAGAGTGGGGTCTGTGGACCAGCAGTATCAGCATCACCTGGACATTTATTAGAAATGCAGAATCTCAGGACTCACCCCAGATCTCTTGAATCCAGATCTGCATTTTAACAAGATGTCCAGTGATTCCTCTGCACATTAATGTTTAAGAAGTTTTGCTGGCTGGGCACGGTGGCTCATGCCTGTAATCCCAGCACTTTGGAAGGCCGAGGCAGGTGGATCACCTGAGGTCAGGAGTTCGAGACCAGCCTGGCCAACAGGGTGAAACCCCGTCTCTACTAAAAATACAAAAATTAGCTGGGCATGGTGGCAGACGCCTGTAATCCCATCTACCAGCTACTCGGGAGGCTGAGACAGCAGAATTGCTTGGACCCGGGAGGCAGAGGTTGCACTGAGCCGAGATTATGCCATTGCACTCCAGCCTGGGTGACAGAGCGAGGCTCCATCTCAAAAAAAAAAAAAAAAAAGCTTTGCTATAGGGAAAGTGACAAACACATAAGCAGATAATTACTGTGCACAATGAGATTGTGTTAAGAATGGGAAGAGTAGGAAGCACAGCTGCCCAGAGAGGAGCGTCCACTCTAAGTGAGTGTGTGAGTGCATTTTTTGTGTGTGGCCAGTAAGGGGGTAGGTATAGTGCTTGGTCAGGAATAGCTGGCAGAATGAGGTCATAGCTGAGGTAATGTTTGAAGGAAGGAGTAAATATTTTAATAATAGTAATCATAGCTTTCACCTATCGAATACTGAATAATAGTGTAACAAATAATAGTAAACACAAGTAGTTCTTAGCATGCTCCAGGCCCAGGCCTACTCATTTTAATTTTTTTTTTTTTTTTTTTTTTTTGAGACAGGGTCTCACTCTGTCACCCAGGCTGGAGTGCATGATCTCGGCTCACTGCAACCTCCACCTCCCAGGTTCAAGCAGTTCTCATGACTCAGCCTCCCAAATAGCTGGGATTACAAGCACATACCATGACGCCTGGCTAATTTTTGTATTTTTTGGTAGTGATAGGTTTTCACCATGCTGGCCAGGCTGGTCTCCAACTCTTGACCTCAAGTGATCCACCCACCTCAGCTTCCCAAAGTGTTGGGATTACAGGCATGAGCCACCATGCCCGGCCTCATTTTAATTTGGAATGCATTTGTTTTAAAACATTAACTCATTTTAATCTTTACATGTCTAAAAATGAAAAGAAAAGAAAAGGGGCACGCAGAATTTAGTGGAACTCCCGACTACGATTGCTGGAGTGCCAGGTGAGCCCCAGCTGGGCAATTCAATTCATCTCGTGCCTGCCCTTCCTCTTTGGGGAGACTGCCTTGCTGCTGATGAAATGGAGGTAGAGAGCTGTGAAGCTGAGTCCCGTTAGCATCCCCGTGATGAACAAATCATGCGCATTCTTTCAAGGTGATGTGAAGAGATGACTAAAAGGTTTTGAAAAGTTCCAGATAGAAATCTTCTTAGATGGCATTGACTGGGCTGGGGAGGGGCCTGTTTCTGTGGGTGAGTTGCAGTCCTCCCTACCTGACCTTGCGCAATGTAGTCTGTCCCTGGTTGGGGATGTGCCGCACTCCACCGACTGCATATTAAAAAGCTGTATTGACTTATTCCTAACAGGGAACTGGCTCTGATTTCCATTTCACAGCAGCTGTCATCTGCTCTACTCTTCAGCAACAAACACGGGGTCAGCCTGGCCCCAACTTTTTTCCCTCTTGTGATAGTGTTAAAAAGCTCCCTAACTGTCCCAGTCTTTCTTTATGTGGATTTGATATTCTGTCTGCTACCTAGGCCTTTCAGAGACCTCCTTTTGATCATCTATTTCTTCAGGGGTTTTTATTGTTGAAATAAAACTTGGGGGTAAAATATTTGTATACAACTATTAATCTTCATTGTCCAATATGGTAGCTACTAGCTGTATGTGGCTCTATTGAGAACTTGAAATGTGGAGCATCTGAACCAGATGTGCTACAAGAGTAAGATACACACCAGATTACAAAAGACTTGATTAAAAAATGCAAAATATCCCATTACTAACAAGAAGGTAAAATAGCTCATTAATAATTTTTATATTAACTAGTGAATATTTTGGATCTATTGGGTTAAGAAAATATATCAAATTTAATTTCACTTGTTTCTCTTTACTTTTTGTTAATGTAACTACTAGAAAATTTAAAGTTTCCTATGTGGCATGTGTTTGTAGCTTGCATTACATGTCTCTGGGGCAGCCTCTCTCTAAACCCATTTGACCAGGAGCAGCCAACAAGGTTTCCATCTGCTGGAATCCATATTTAGAGTCAAAGGTCAGTCAGTTTAATTCCACACATGGGATTTTTCCCTCACCCCCTCCTCCTTACCTGTTCCCTGGACCTCCTTATCGGATCTTGTTCAGGTTTTGGGCACTGCACCTATTGATTGATCCCTCAGTGGCTGCTGGTTGGCTCTTTGTCCCACCTTCACCATCATCTGGTCTTTCTGGGACTCCTCAGCAGGCTCCTCTGGGTGGGCTAGCCCTAAATGTGAGTGATCCTCACAGTTCTGACCCCTCCTCCACCTCTCTCCCCTCTGCTCCTCTTCCCTGGTTTGGGACTCAGATTCACATTGAACCTTTTTTAACTGGCAGGGCAAGCCTCTGTGGTCCATCTGGAAAGAACCACAAAGCATCCTTTGTCATCCTGTTTTAGTATCTAGAATACACTCTGAAGATCAGAAGCAGTCTCTCTGTACAAGACATGTGTTTCCCATCAGCAGACAGCAGACTCTTTTGTAGCTGGGTTCAAAATCTTTGTTGTTGACCGCTTCTGGCATCTTAGCTTTTGTGAATCTGGGGTGATACCTTTTGGTTTCCCTGCCTTTTCTTTAACACCAGATCTCCTTCATCCTGATGCATTTTTAAACACCAGTCAGGATATGCCATTTATGTTCATGCTAAAGTCTTCACTGACACTCACCACACCAATCTACTTTTATTCCCAGTTACTATGTTAGAATCCTATTTAGATAGATGGAGCCAATTGAGCGGGCCCTGCAGAAAGCCATATTCAGTTAGTGTAAATCTTCCTGCTGGTGTTGGAGACAGCAAGGTCCCCTGGGATTCTGTCTGGAAATCTTATTGGATTTTCAAGACTTAAGTTAATATAGAGACCCCCCAAGATAGTATAGGGCCTCATTTCTTTGCCTTGAAAGATGTTTTTAGAGGTCTGTCTCAAGAGTCTCGCTGATAAGGAAGTTACTTCAAATATTTCAAGAGAAACAACCACAAAGAGTCTTCTATTTTCTCAATATTTTTTCTCTCCCTGCCCGTCCATCTTTTTAGTATTTTTTAAATGCCTGCCCTCTATATTTATTTCCCTCTTTCTCTCATGCACTCATTAACCTTAGGCCCCTGTTTCAAATGGAATTAATTAGTAACCATAAAACTTGGTAAGTGATGGCCTTAAGGGAAAAGTCTTTCTTTCTTCTTTCTTTCTTTCTTTTCCCTCCCTCCCTCCCTCCTGCCTTTCCTTCCTTCCTTCCTTCCTTCCTTCCTCTCTCTCTGTCTCGCTCTCTTTCATGACGAATGAATATACCTTGTAGACATAAGTGAATACATTTCATGATACTGTACTTTTTTCTTTTCTTAATCAAGTGAACATCTTCCTTAGTGACATATAGGGTACTGTCTCCTGACTTTTGCTCTGAGACGCAGCACTCAGCAGAACAGAGTGTGGGCTTTGGATTCAGAGCCATAAGTTTGAGTCCCAGCTCTCCCTTTATGCTGGGCAAACAGTGTCGCTCTTCTGCAGTTCCATTCCCATGTTAGTAATATAGGCACGACCATTTCTGCCTTGCCATATTGTGTTCAGAACTAAAGGTGATTGTGCATGTAAAGTGCCTCACTCCCAGTGGGCTTTCAGGCATCCCCAGGTGCTGCGTTTTATTCAGTTAAAAAAGTCAAAGGAAGAGTCTAAACACCTCCCACCAGGGTCGTTGATAAATATCTTGTCTCAGCCTTCTTGAGTCCAGCAAGGATGTGAATGTCATACCTTCAGTAAACTAGATTTTGTACTTCTAGAAGACTTTTATTAGGCACATAAGAAAATGATGCTAACAAAGTTCAAAGTTGCTCCGTGTTGCAGTGATCTTTTAAAAGGGAAGTTTTGAGGTAGTTTTGAAGCAGATTTCTGGAATCATCTTCAGGACTTTCGTGAGCTCATTGTAATGTGTTATGTGAAATGCATGTCCTCAAAACATGGGTGGTTGTATAAATGAGGAAGCTGGCCTCATGGAGCCAAAGCAGCATGGAAAGGCCCAAATAACTTGCTGTGGGGAAGACTGACTGCCTCTGGGGTTTTTAATCAGCATGAAAAGCCACCCAGGGCCCCAAATCATTAGTAGCATTTTAATTGGCAGCAGAGTAATACTGTGTCTACTTTGGCTTAAAGATATAAATTTCCTGCTCTCTCATAACAGATGGTGATGAGGTGCATGGTAGGAAGCATGGCAAGAACTGTGTTACTCAAAATGTAGACTTAATTGCAAATTTGAAATGGAAATAAAGTGAAGGTTCTGTCTTTATTTACAATAAATTTCATGTGTTAAATGGACTTGTCTAATTCTTCTATTTTACCATGCGATTGAATAATAAACATTTATTATGTGCTTCTGGCATGCACTGTGTTAAATATTTTACATGGATTATGTCATGGATCTCTTGCCATGATCCTGAGGAAAGTATTATTGCTGCTTTTAGTAGCATCGAATGTTGGAATAAAGTCTGCAGGGGCAGCTGGTAATATGTCAGCAATGTCTGTCTTCTGAGATGAGACAGTGATAAAAGGGCTGACTGCCCACCTAGGGAGGCAGTCTCATCTCTCATTAGTGCCAGGAGCCATAGAATGTGAGCCTGGAGGCTCTCACCACCAGGTAGGTGACCCTGTGCACACCCTCCCATTGCTCTCATCACATTAGAATAGCATCTGCAGTCTTTACTCTCACCTTTAAGGCCCTGCATGACCCAGCTTCATCTTCTGCTATTCTCCCTATGTTCTTTTTCCTTCCTCTGCTTGATGTTCCTATGTAGCAGTTATTCCTACCTGAGATTATGTTATGTGTCAAACAGGAAGATCAGGCTGCCAATCCCAGGTGGGGATTATCAACCTGTGGAGGATGGCAAAGAGTATAACACCACCAATCACGAGAAGTCGGAGCCCATTGACCTTGGCCCCTGCATTGCCTATGGGCTTGGAATCCCCAAGGAGACCTCAGCATACAAGGTGCTTGTTGGAACAATGCTTTATTCACAGAAAGGAGAAAAGGCACAGCAAGATCAGCATCTGCAGCACGTGCCAGTCTCCCATGGTTAGCAGAACTCTCCAGATAAAGTGGAAGACTGTACCCAGGCTGCTCTACTGCAGGAGAACACCCCGTTCCCTCCTCAAGGGGAGCAGATATACAAGTGGACTGGCCAAATGCCATATGATGAATACACTTAAGCGGTAGCAGAAAGTTGTGTCTCCAGAACAAGGAAAAACTTCTCCCAGTGAGGAAGAAGAATCTAGGAGCCAGTGGCAACTCCAGATGAGGGAAGTTTCCTGGTCCAGGCCACTGACTGGGCAATCCTGGGGAGGGATGACAGGCTGAGCAATGGCTGCTTCCCCGACAGCACATCCCCAGACCTTCATCAAGATGCCAGGACAAAAACCTCAGGCATGTCACACCCAACAGAACAAACAGCTCCCCCAAATATGGAGTGCTTCCATAGTCACCACCGAAGATGGAGGTGTTTTCAGCATGGTCCTAGAATGAGTCTCATGGCTCCCTGCCCAACTGAGATAGCACTTTGTCAGGGCCAGTCCAAGAAAGATGATCAGGCCTCCCTGGTTCTCAGCCCTGAGCCCCAGGTGCTGGGATTTAGTCAGTTAAAAAAGTCAAAGGAAGAGTCTAGTGGATACACAGGTTTACAGACAACAGCCACCCTGTTTGAAGGTAGATTGCTTTTCCTGAATACTTGATGTACACACAGCAAGATACGTTGGCAATAGCATGGACTCTGCCCTGGAGAGTCACCCAGGCCATCTGTCCTAACCCAAGGGCTACCACCTCTGCAGGAACACATTGCTCTTGCTGTTTCCCCAAACCTCTCTGCCCTGATCATCCAATCGAGGCAGTGAGGTTATGGCTTGTACAAATTTTGCGTGTCCTATAACATCACCCACCTGTACAGGGGAGTTGGGAGTTCCTGATGCTACCAGGGGGATTTTGGTATTGTGGTGTTTTATGACCCTCTCCTTTCCTGTGGGGTCCCAAGGAGGTGAACAACCTAGGGCAGCATAACTTCCAAGTTAGAGTAAGGGATGGGCGTCCCTGTCAGGCACTACCACTGCAGGGACCACAGACCACTCCGGGCACAGTGTTCCAGAAGGAGAAACTAAAGGAGTGGTTGGGTACACAGATTGGGATGCCTCAGTCACAGCCTAATCAGGTGACTGCCTGCTCCTCTACCCCTGCCAAACTCAGGATTCTCCAGTGTGGATTTCAGTGCCGTTTCCCTTTGTCTGGAGTGCAGTGTCAAGAGTCCAAATGGCCCCAGTGAGGTGAGGGTATCACCCTGTTAACAATCCTTCTTTACGTCCCTTCTTTAACTGTTGATTTAGTCTTCCATTCCACTGTTCTGTGGCTCTCTTAGCTTATGGGTGGTGTGAATGTGGGAGGTGCAGCATATGCCATGGGATTGTGTCCATTGTTTTGTGGCTTGTGCTATCAAAGAAGTGCCCTGATTTGATTGGAATTCAGTAGGGTACCCAAACTCATGGCAAAGATTTTTTTTCCAGGGCAACTATGGTGGTACCAGCATTCACATGCAGCACAGAGATGACAGTTCTAAACCTTAAGTAGGTGTCAGCTGCTGTGAGGCACCAGAAGAATCCATGGCCGGGTGTTAAAGATCCAGTGTGATCCATCTGCCAAACGAGCCTGCTGATACCCCTCACGATAGGTCATCATTCTCGTCATACTGTTTGGGCTGATTGGTGGGAATTGCACTGCATTCTTGGCTTCTGTGTCTTCTCGGATTACACCCATGGATTTGGCCCATTCCTGCATTTGAGATGGGATTCCATGACTGGTTCATTAAGGCACCCAGCGTGTGGCCCTTCCAACTTGTTTTGGACAGGCTCTGATACCTTAGGAATTCCCCTTGTGTTCTTATTTAAGAGGCACTTTGCTGGGAGCATATACATGAGTGATAAAGATTTGCCTATTTCATGCAGCAAACTTGCCATAGTCCCTGTTCCCACACAGATTTTTAATAGTTCAGTCATGTAGTTGCCAGTCTCCTGACGAAATGGCTAGACCACCACCCAGGAATTGGCAAAGATGTAGCAAGGTGTGTGGGGTAGGGTGGCTTGTACACCATTACCACCACATGAAATTCAGCCCCGTGGGCTAATTGTTCTCTTCCAGTTTCAGGTAAGAATGGCTCTCCATGGGGTGGGTGGCTGTGGGGGCACAGTGGACTCCATCAACTCATTTTGCAGAAGCCTGGGTAAACTAGGCCATGCCTTCAGCTAGAACCTCTTCAACATGGCCCAGGTGACTAGGGAAGGGACCAGCACTGTGCTCCCTCTGGCAGGGTGGCCACCTGCTCATGTAGTTGACCCCTTGGGGTCCTGGCCTGGCTCAGTCTTAGATGTAACATTTCCATTTGATGATGGAACCCTCCTGGGCTTTTCCAGTTTTATTAGTGAGATTGGTGAGGACCCAAGTAAGGATGAGCACTTGAGGCCTCAGAACCACATAATGTGCTTTGGTAGTGAGATGTTCAGTCTCCACCAGAGCCCAATAGCAAGCAAGAAGCTGCCTATGAAGGGTGTGTATTGGGCAGCAGCTTCAGGCAGCTTGTGTGTCCAGAATCGCAGAGGTTGCACCCCGCTCAGAGGTGGTTTTCTGCTGCTACTGACTCAGCATGTTGGGTGCTGTGGACATTTGAAGTTTCATGCAGGCTCCAAATATCCCACTCAGAGTCAGGGCCTGGGCCATGGCTTGTTGAATAGTTTTCACTGCTCATTGCTGAGAAGTGCCCCATTTGAAGGTTGCTGTCTTTTGTGCCACCTTGACAAGGGGGCCAGAAGGATACCCAGATGGGGTATGTGTTGTCTCCAGTGTCTGAACAGATCCACCAGCTGCTGTGCTTCTATTTTATCAGTGGGAGAGCCAGGGGCTGTAACTTCTATTTAACCTTCTCCGTAATACTCTGTTGATTTTATGCTCAGATGTCCCTGAGAAACTGTACTTGTTGGGTGGGTCCTTGAATCTTATCTGGATTTATGGCCCAACTGGTGTTAGTCCTCGCATTGGTGATCGAGCGAAAAGCCAAGGCCACTTGTTCTTCAGTGGGATCCACAAAGAAGATGCCATCTATTAAACCTGACTTGGGCTTGCTGTAAATCAAGCCCTACCCATTGCTGACAAATGGCAGGGTCATGAAGGGACCCCTGAGGGAAGACGGAAAAAGTGTATTACAAGCCATTCCACAGGATGCACATTGATCCTGGTCTTCTTGCCCCTGGGAAATTGAGAAAAAGGCATTGGCCAAGTCCGTGACAGCATACCAGTCTCCAGAATAAGCTGCCACCGACTCAGAAAAACGGGATGATCGCCAGCACTCAGGGGCCAAGGCATTTGGCCTGCAATAGTCCAAGCCAGCCTCTGGGGCACGGAGGCTGATGTAGTCTCTCAGTCTCCCTGTGTTGGTGACCTTTTTGACCAGGATATTAAATTGTGACAAAGTTGTTTGATGCACTCCTGCTTGCACCAGGTAATTTATTCTTGTATTAAAAGAGTAATGTCTTTCTTTCCACAATGGATAGGGGCTTGGGCAATTCTGGAAGGAGGAAGAGGAGGAGTGTATTTGGCCCACATGGCTTAAATATTGCTCTGGGTAGGTGCAGTGCATATTCCTGCAGGTGACCCTGGTTTTCAGTGTCATGGCTACCAAAATGTCATTACCCATAGCACATGATGCAAGGGGTACCATGATCATTGCTGCCGAAATGGTCTTGCCCATAAGTACATGTTTATTTGTTTTCTATGGGCTACCATGCCCTCCCCAAAAACACACAATGCCACCATTCCACTCCTCCCTTGTGGGGGCTTGGTATAATAATCACTAAGCAACAGTGTCTCATAGCCCCATGCTTGTTTTCATACTCTCCCCCACTTCCATATTTCCCGTCCACCCCCACAGGGCACAGAGCTGCAGGTCACTGTGGGAGCGTGGAGCCTTTGGCCCTACCCCAATCATTCTTTTTAAAAGGAGTCAGAATATAGGTAGCACAGCTCCTCCTCTTTATCTGAGTCTAGCTCATAATTGGAACCACCATTTTCCTCACTATCTGAGCTGGGTATTGGGAAACTCCAGCAGCAGCTTGCCTTCCCTCCAGTGGGGAGGAGGGGGGAGTATCTGAATCTTCAGGGGGGCAATCCAAGACTCAAAATCCTTCCAATCCGGTGAGCTCCCCTCTTCCTGTTCCTTAATGGTCTGCATGAGGTCCTTCATCTCTAATTTAGGGGGTTCTCTTTCCTCTTTATGTGTGGACAAAGGTCTTCAGTGGAGACTGCCTATCTGAGTCTTATCTATCCTTTGTTTAGAAGCCACAACCACATTGCACTGCACACGAGTCCTGCCCCTCTGATTGTCTCCCTTTTGGGCCCTTGGAGGACCACTTGTAGAGGTCTCTACTGCTCAGGTCTCATCCACAGCTACAGTGGCTTCCACCTTGCAGCTCCCTCCATCAGATGATGGGACATGGCAGAGATGCGTCTCCACCACCTCGCTCATTGTCATCCCAGGGACAGAAGAAGGGACAAGGAAGTCTTCCATTGTGGGGGATCCTGCCTCTTAAAGGCCTCTAGGGCTGTACAAGATAGGACAGCTTCATCTACGTCCTGTCTGGGGGAGGGTCATACAGCCAGGTGTCAATGGCCTTTATCTTAATGGCCATAATGGTTTTCTGAACCATTTTCCAGGGAGCCTTGCTTCCAAGAAATTCCCCTACAGTAGCATACACTGTGATTATGCTTCCAGTCACCCAAAACTAATAGTGGCATCAGTTTGTCTCGGTCAGGTCCTGTTAGTTATTCTCTGTGATGTAGGTGAAAATATGCTATAGTAGGGGGATGGGTTGTCAACTTCCCCAAACTACATCTTTCTGCTGGAGTCACTTGGGTCTGCAAGGCCCCCTCATCCATCAGGCACACCAACCAGGTAGCTTGGGACTCTCCTGGCCTCTGCCCACATCTATTCTTTAATTTCCTTATCTTGCTGCCAGAAATTGAGCACATTTCCATGGTTTCATCTTCAGGGACACCATTAGTCCTTTGGCATTGTTGGAAAATGGATCTCATCTGCCTGTGGCTGCAGAGCCTCACTGGTTGGAGCTCTGTCCTAGGGGCCTTCAGTCTGCATTGGAGCTCCTAATTGTTGAGCCATCGGTGTATCAGCAGTAAAGTGGCCAGCAGTCAAGGGATAGTTTTCCTGCTCGTCTTATATCTCCGCCATGGGTTCCACCCCCTGTCTCTCCACCATATGACCCATTGGCCCAAGTCATCCCAGTCTAAGGGAAGATTTGGTAAATCTCATTTGTCCACCTATATCCAGAGAGTGGCCAAAATTTCTGCCAGCTGGTTACCCGCTGGAGAGCTGGGGACAGAAACATAAGCCCTTGCTTTTGGTGAGACCGCAGTAAGTATCTTTGGCAAACCTGCTGACTTCCAGAAACTGTGCAGCAGGAAGATCCAGCTGCTGATCTCAGGGGAGGATTCCATTCATGTGTAGGACAGCAGAGAGCATATATTGTTGACTTCCAGGAGGAGGATCCCACAGACTTTTGCTCACTGCATCTTCTACAGGTTTGGAGTCACCAAGAAGGACTCCATGCACAAGGGCTGGTTGGAAAAACACTCTACTTACAGAATGACAAGAAGATGAGCCCCTCCCGATAACCAATGCAGGGTGATAGCCTGCATGCAGCCCTTTAGGTTACAGGCAACGACCCCAATCCCAGCACTCCATCTAGTCATATAGATAAGTGGAGCTGTCCAGGAGCCATTGACACATGTTTAAGCAGTACAAGGAAATTCACCGTATACCCAGAACAGAGAAATATTTATCCAAATAAGGAAGAAGACTCTGAGGCCAAGGAATAGCTGGACACCTGGCTTCTAAATTAGGGAATGTCCCAGGCCCAGGGCACTGATTAGGCAATCCTGTGGAATGGCGGACAGGTCACAAGATGGCTGCTTCCTCAGCATTATACACTGTATGTTTATTTCTTTTCTTCCCCTATACATTCTCCAGAAGGCAGGTGCTTTGCTCACAGCTGTATCCTTACTCATTGAAACTGAGTAATGTCTGGCTTATAGTTGGCACTTTCCATATAAATTGTTGACTGAATTGAGAATGAGTAAATGCCCTTCACCTTTTCCAGGCCTGAAGCTCCTAGTCTATGAGATGAGGGCACTGGACAGATGACACCGGAGTTATCCTCCAGCTCTAACATTCTGTCACTGCCATGCTGTGGAGGGGTGTCACACATCAGCCAGTGGTTTAACCATGGGTTAGGAGACAGGTCAGAGACAGGATTGGGCTTTTTCCTGCTCAGTTTTCAGATGTCCCTTTTCCCTCATCTTTTCTTCCCTGTGAGTCCCTTAGGTGTGAGCCCCTCTAGAGGTGGCCACTGCTTGTTTCCTGTTTGTGCCCTCCTGACAAAAGGTGCAGCACCTGAACTCCTGCATGGGTAGTGTTTTACCAGCTCTGGGGCAATGGCTCTTGCCTTGTGTCTGTGTCATGAAAAGCACTGTCTTCAGACAGACTGTCTCTTTCAAGAACGCTCAGGCTAAGTAACTACCTGTTACTAAAACTATAACATTTTGCCATTATAAAAGTAATACTTTCTGGCCAGGTGCGGTGGCTCACGCCTGTAATCCCAGCACTTTGGGAGGCCGAGGCAGGCAGATCACCTGAGGTCAGGAGTTCGAGACCAGCCTGGCCAACATGGTAAAACCCTATCTCTACTAAAAATACAAAATTAGCCAGGCGTGGTGGCATGCACCTGTAATCCCAGCTACTTGGAGGGCTGAGGCAGGAGAATCACTTGAACCCAGGAGGCAAAGGTTGCAGTGAGCCAAGATCGCACCACTGAACTCTAGCCTGGGCAATAGAGCGAGACTCTGCTCAAAAAAAAAAAAGGAATACTTTCTTCTTAAAAGTAAATTTGGAAAATAATAAAAAACTTGCTAATATGCCCTCCATACAAATGTAGCATGGCTAAGATTTAGAGGATTTGTTCCTACTCTGTTTTATGTTTGTTTGCTTTATTGCACAAAGTAGTGTTTTGCATTTGTGTTAATCTATATTTTTTTAACTTAGTATGTAAGTATGTTCCATGTTGTTGTGTGACTTGCTTTAAAAATGAACCAAATATTGAACATCTACTGATATGATGGAAACTGAATTGGGTATTTTTACATAAATTAGCTCATTTACTGCAGCACTCTAGTGAGGTGGACATTATTATCCCTATTTTGCAGTTGAGGAAACTTAAGGCTCAGACTGTTTCACCTACTCAGATCAAATAGCTAATAAGGACCAAAGTCAAAATTCATTGGACATGGGGCTGACTTGAAAAGCCTGTGTTCTTTTGGGTATGCATTTTACTGGCTACCAAATATCCCATCTATCATGCCATGTTGTGACGCAAATCGAACATCAGGTGAGGGGCCCCATAGTGGAGCTACCTGTCACCCAAGATAGGATTTCTCCTTTCAGGCAACTTCTTCAAAGCCTAATTCAGCACACAGACATCAGGTAGAAAGGTGATTATTTCCTGCCTGGATAGGTTTCCACCCATGCGGCTCTCCTATACTCTTAGGTGTACATTATTGATTCCAGGAGTCATATGTGTCCCTATCTGTGTTGTGGGTAAGGAGCCCCACAGTCTTTTCTCTTGAAAGACTTGGCTCTGGCTCAGCTGTGCCTTGAATCTGTGATTCTGTCGCATACCCCAGGCTTTTCTGCTCAGGATGGGGCCCTTTTGAGACCAGGTCTTTGGTGCTTGCTCATGTGCAGTCTGGAATCAGCTGCACAGGGCTGGGAAGCTGCACCGCCCACCTCTAACAGGCTCACAGCAGAATTCTTAACACAGGTGCTTTATTTTAGAAGTTTATACTCTTCATTGTAAATAGCTAATAAAAAGCGACAGCTACAGCCCATTTATAAATGCACTTCCAGAAACCAAATTCAAAGGGTTTACTAAATGGCAGGAACCTGGTCAACAGCTGTTTTAAATGCATTTATTTCTGTCGGGAGGCAAATGTTCTACAAAATAGCTTTGTTGTCAATAGTCTCTTTGTTCTTTGATGTACAGCTTACAAATAAATGCATTTATAGGAACTGCTAATGTGTGAGGGTTTTGATATTAGTGCTAAATTTGCAATCTATAATATATCATCTAGTCATCTTTGACAAACTCAATTGTAATCTAATTAAGTGGCGTCTTCTGTGATTCTGAGTAGAGATCCCTAAGGTAATTCTATCCTACTTGGTTTTCACAGGAGAAAAAAAAAATCCCTAAGAGTACTGTTCAACAAAGTGTGTGTATGTGTGTGTGTGTGCATAAAATATTCCTTTTAGATGAGCAAAGCCAAGAAGATACCTAGTAATAAATAGCTTTCACAGTTGGTTAAATATCAGAACTGGGGAGGCATTTGACCCCGAAATCATATGGCATCTCTAGAGCATGGCAACTCTGGGAAACTGATTGTTGCTTAAAGAAAGTTTAAAGTATTTGGGAAGTAATTTCTCTTTTATTTTTACTCCCTTAGGAAGATTTGGATTTGCAGCCTTTATCACTAACTTGGTGAGAATTTTTTTGTAAAGTTGTCAAATCTATAGGCCTCAGAAATGGCAGTTCTCATACAAATCCCAGTAACGATGCTAACATCATTCATCCAGTGTCAGTCAATCCTAGGTGCTTGAAAAACATCTCATTTAGTCTTTACAATAGCTTATGAAGTTGATACTTTTGTCTCAGTCTTTAAATAAGAAAGCCAAAACTCAGATTGGTTTAGTGATCTGGTCAATATTACAGAGCCAGGAAGTAAGAGGAGGAATTGAAAACAAGGTCTGCCCGCCTGGGAGTCTGTGCTGTTTTAAGTCACTTTACTGTCCCCTGCTCTGCCACACTGCCTGTGTTTTCAGAGAGGAGGCAACCACTAGGCTAAATGACTATCTGGCAAAAATCTATGTGGAGTTGGTTCTTCCTATTATATTGCATCTGTCTGGGACACCTGAGTGTTTGCAGAGATTCTTGCCCCGATTTTCAGCACCCTCAGCTGTTAGCCGTGCTATGGATGTGATGTTGGGGAATTTCTAAGATTGAAGTGGCCAGTTGCATGTAGATGAGAAGACTTTCTTTAATTTGCCCTAAGTAGACATTCTGCGCAGTCAGTGTGTTATAGAAAGACATTTCTGGGAGGCAGGTGATCCAAGGGATGGTGGTCAAGAAGCACAGAATATATAGAGATGGGATAGAAACAAATGCAATGAAAGATCAGGACATTTTGTTCAAAGTAGAAATTTCAAGTAGGGAATCTTCCTCCCACCTACCGTCATGAACTCCAAGGAGATTATGATTTAATAATCCTTGTCTTTATGTGTATTCTTCAGTCTATGAGTAAAACATGTTACTGGTTTCTCTTCTCTGTAAGTTGCAGTCATGTCCCTGCAAGGGAGCTAGTTTGTATGTATTGCTAGGGGCTTTAAGATGGTGATTCTCCAGGCTAGGAACCCTTCCAAGAGATTCTATCACTTACCCAAAGCCGAAACACTTGTCCAGTTTAGCAGGAAATATCTATATGATTTTGAATTTCTTGGTTTCGGCCATTTGTGGCTCTGAATTCACTGTTGCCCTGAGGAAGCCATCTCTGACCCAAACACTCCTTGTTAAACCACTGGCATAGCTCAAGTGACTTGGAAACCTCACTGTAACTACTATTGCATAACTTCAACAACAAACCTTCATTCTGTTGTGGTAAAACTTCGCTCTATATTCAGCCACACATTAATTAGTACTTATATTTTCTTAAATGTACACTGTGCATCATGACATGTCCTCAGGATATGGAGATAAAATACTTCATTTTTGCTCTCAAAGACCTAACAGTCTAGTGAAGAAGACTGCATTCTGAAGTCTCTGAATGTCAAAAAGTGCTGGTTGAAAATATTTCATTTTTTTGATAAACATGAGAATAGGTAAAATCATTTTCAGAAGGGCTTATGGAGGGGAGACATCTGGTCCTTTACAAAGACAGGGTCACTGAACCCTTAGTGCTTTTGTGAGGTGACAGAACACAGTGTCCCCAGAGTGATGTATTTCCTTGAAAGTTTTTTTTCTTTGAGAACATAGGGTGGGGTTCTTCCTGAGGAAAATATTGATATTGCCAGCCTGCTCCTGGTGAAATTGAAAAAAACCAGGAAATTTAAACAAAGGCATGATTCAAGACCAATATTTAGGAGGAAGCACTCACCACAGGACCAGAACCTGACCCATGGACCCTTGTACTCTGCATCGCTGCAGTTCCCATGCTCTTCCCAGCACCTCCCTAAAATGGGTCATTCTATGCAAATCCCAACAGCCTTCCAAATAGAATGTCACTGCCCTGATTAACAAGTATTTGTATACTTTTTCTCTAAAATGTCTACTTGACATATCATATCTTTTTGTATGTTTCTTCCAGCTTCTATTTGTTCTTTAGAACTTCAGTAGAGTGCCTTTTTACATTTACCAAACAATGCAAAGGACTTCCAGGTAAGTGGACCCCTAGTAAACTCTCCAGTGGGATAGATGCATAGCTTTGTAATGGCAGCCAAAACCAGTTTGTAAAGATCTCATTTTCCCCTTTTTTACCCCTGAGAATAAAAGGAGGAGTTTAAAAAAATCTATGCACTGGCCGGGCGCAGTGGCTCACACCTGTAATCCCAGCACTTTGGGAGGCCGAGGCGGGCGGATTACGAGGTCAGGAGATCGAGACCATCCTGGCTAACACGGTGAAACCCCGTCTCTACTAAAAATACAAAAAATTAGCTGGGCGTGGTGGCAGACGCCTGTAGTCCCAGCTACTAGGGAGGCTGAGGCAGGAGAATGGCGTGAACCCGGGAGGCGGAGCTTGCTGTGAGCCGAGATCGCGCCACTGCACTCCAGCCTGGGCGACAGAGCGAGACTCCGTCTCAATGGAAAAAAAAAAAAAAAATCTATGCACCTACACATACATGCACAATCACACAAACATAAGCACACATATATGCACACTTAAGCACACAGATTCACACATACATTCACAACTCATACATACATATGTATATATATAGCACTCACATGCTCTTACAAATATACATATAAACATATACACATATAAACATACACACATAGAAACACACACACATATAAACACACACACACACAGTTGTACATGGACTGTTTCTTGGGAAGAAATGCTCATTCGGCAACAGTGGCTTCTTTTTCTCTCTTTGTGGATTTGCTCCTTGGCCTTTATCCCTATAGGAAGCCAAGCTGAAAGCTTTTAAACTGGTATAGCTTTTGTCCTGACACCTATGTCTGGGTGACATAGATTCTCAGAGAGAGGGAGAGATATGAAAGGAAAAAAGTCTCTGAGGAAATCGTAATCTTTCCCGAAGAAGTTCTTGCCTAGTGCCAGGTTTCTGGGCTCAGAGCAGATTAGCGAAACAAGCACTCAGCTAAGAGTCCAGGGCCTGGTTTCTAGTTCTGGTTGTGACCCTAATCAGCCGGGCAAGTCACTTATGTTCTCTGAGCCTCAGATTTCTCGCCTGTGCAATGATGATCTTTCAGATTCTAACTCTAAAATTCTGTGCATGTCTCTTTTCCAGTGACTGAGGAAGTTCAAAGTAGAATAGGATGGGGATGACACATGAATAAGCTCTGAATCCTCACCTGTCTCGAGGAGGAATAAATTCAATCCTAATGCCAAAACGACAGAATCTCTTTACTTCCTCACTGCTTTGCCAAACGCTCATTTAGATGTATCTATCAATCACTGGTTTATTCATATGGTGCCTCTCACCGTGAAATCTAGGTTCTGGAACAATATAATTGGCCTAATTTTGGTTTTCTGACTGCAGAAGTGGATGCTTCCTCTGCCTGTCTCTACTCTCAGCTCTTATTGTTTTTTTTGGTGAAAGAGATTAATCCAATGCTCCGTGGAAGTAGATATCAAGAACTCTTGAGCAGAGAGAAGTTTTGCATTCTGCCTGTTTGACATTTACAAGGTATTTCATTAACACTGTGGGCGATTCAATCCCCTTTTATTTTTGGCTGCCCTTGCTGTGCCTCTGAAGGAAGGAAGGCCATTCTTTTGCCAGGTAAGGGGCAGGAAAATGTGTGACTCCAAAGCTACCTGGAGCCTGATGGGGGTTAGGTTGGTCCTTGCTGCCCCTGCTGGTCACATGGTCCCTGCTTACTCTGCTTGCCTTTTGTCTTCCTCTTTGTGGACTCCTATTGATCCTTGTACTTCCTCTGGCAGAGTGTTTATCAGATTATATTGAAATTGCCTGTTTACTTCTGCCTCTCCCACAGAACAGTAAAAACCTCAAAGACTGGGGCTCTTTCTTTCTTTCTTTTCTTTCTTTCTTTTTTTTTTTTTTTGACAGGTTCTCTCTCTGTTTTCCAAGCTGGAGTACAGTGGTGCAATCACAGCTCCTTGGACTCCTGGGTCAAGGGATCCTGCCACCCCAGCCTCCTGAGTGGCTGGGACTACAGGCATGTACCACCATGCCCAGCTAAATTTTAATTTTCTAATTTTTTTTTTTTTTTTTTTTTTTGGTATAGAGGGTCTTGCTAAGTTGCCAGAGTGATCTCAAACTCCTGGCTTAAAGTAATCCTCCCACCCAGGCTTCCAAAGTGCTGGGATTATAGGCATGATCCACCGTGCCCAGGCTTGTTTTTTATTGTACACTTAGGGACTTGCCTATGGTAGGTACTCAGTAAATGTTTCTTGAAATAATTAATGACTTGGGTTGATTTGGATGAAAGACGGAATGGACGGAGGGCATTTTTTAGTAGCCTGGAGACTTGGTTTCCATGCACCATGCTGGGATGTCCCTGGCAGCCCATCTACTGAGCTGGCACCAGCATGCTTACCAGTCTCCTTTGTGACAGTCCCAATGGATATTTTTATTAGCCAGCATGATTTATTTCATAATGCTGAGTTGCAGCACCCTTCATGGCTAGAGATTTTTGCTGTGGAGATAAGTTCTTAGAACTATCTCCATTTCCAGAAAAGAGAGGGTTTCTCTCGTCTGTTGCCCAGAAAAGAAGTCAGTTTACGTATGCATCTTCCCTGGGTCAGGCTAAGAAGTAGCCCCAGCACTGGCATGCTAGACTTGGAGAGTCTAATATTCTTCCAGCCAAACCCTGAAGCAAACCACACCTCCTAGGTCCTGCAAGTCCCCATTAAGTGTGCTTAAGTCATTTGAACTCCTAGAGAATCCATGTCAGAGGAGGAGAATCAGCATTCAACAAAAGATAGCATGTAGTTTTTTTTTAAAAAGTGAAAGACTAAAGCTTGCCTTTTCTATAGATCATCAACATGTTTACTTATAGCAAAAAAAGCATGTACAGATGGATTTTTGCCATTTAAATCATTCATTAAAATCCCTATTTTAAGCCAAGATTTATAACAAAGTTTTTGGGGAAATAACACATACATCCCCTCCCATCTGGAAATGAAAAGAACAAGCAAAATGGATCTAGCATCTTCATTATAATAGCACCTTAGCATGTAATTCAGTCTCCTCATGACAACCATTATGTAAGGATAAGGAGAGGCTCTGCAAGCCACCCATTTCTACACTGCCCTAGAGTTGAGATTCAACCAAGACCCCTGCTTCGGTTTAGGTTTCAATATACACGTGAAGACAGGGAGGAATATACTCACAAGACAAAGTCCTGTGCTCATTGGCACCTGATCAAGTGCTAAGGCTTCAGATGAAAAGGGCAACAGAATCTCCAGGGCAAAGGGATCAGTTAGTGGAGGATTCTTTAGAGAGGAGGGAAGAGACCCCCTGCTGGGCCTTGGGGGATGGAGCATTTAGTCAGGAAGATGACATCCCAGTAAGGGGAAGCTACCCCTAAAAGCAAAGGTATGGAGATGGGAGGGAATGCGGAGAGGGGTGGAGAAATTCCATCTTTGTTAGGGCAGCAGTCAAGGATGAGTGAGTTAGCCTCTTAAGGAAGAGGCTAAGCTGTTAGAATAAAGAGGTTTACAACATCAGCGGCTTAAATCAAATAGAAGTGTGTTTCTCTTTCACATGACAGAGTAGATGTGGCCTGGCGTCTAGAAAGCATATTTGTCTCTGCTCCACTGTGTCTTCCAGGGACCCATTCTTCTCTTGTCTTCATGCTCCATCACTTCCTAGGGTGTTGTCTACACCTGCATAGCCATAGCTAATTTTCCATTCTCAGCACCAACCAGGGGAAGAGGAGGAAAGGTAGCCTCCTTTTCATGATAGGTGTGAAGTTATGCAGGACACTCTCAGGGTGAATGGACCACAGTGTGGCTCCTGACTGGGCAGGGAGGAAGAATCTGCTGCTAGAGAAAGAAGGGAAGACAGTCATCTTTGACATCATGAGTTGCATAAGATGGGAATAAAAACTGGAAAAGACCTAAATCACCATATTAGAAAACTCTAGCCATTCTAAAGACATTGAAGAATCCTGTTTGGACCTTTTTAGCAGTGAGGAGCGTCCAGCTGTGGTTATCTGGAGAATGCAATAGGCAGAACTTGCTGGTAGAGGCCCCGCTTCCTTGTCTTGAATGCCTGCCTTTTTTTTTTTCTTTTAAATTTTTCATCTGCTTCTGGATCACATTGCTGTGAGCCACATTGGGTCAATTCACATGGAGGATTAGATCTGGGCACACCGTATCTTTTATGTCTTTTATTTCTTTGACTTTATTCTGCTGGAAAGTGTTGGCCCACAGCCAGAACCGGCAGAGGGCAAAGGAGGGATTACTTTCTTATCACAGGGAAATTAAATGCCTGAGACAGCAACATAGTGATTTTTTTAAAACAAATTTTTAGGAAAATTGAACTCACCCTGTTTACTTTCATAGAAGGCTTTTGGGCTGTGGGAAGGAACCTATTTTTGTACTTAATGAAATGGATCTTGGCAGTAAAGGGTTTAAAACTAACTTTGGATTTATTTAAAAAGTAATATCCTTGCCACTAACTTGTCTTCTGTCTTTAAAGGAAAGAGAATTTTTACAGTGCCTATAGAGCATGCCATTCCTCACCAGTCATTTGGCAGTCCTATTAGCAAACTCATTTGTCAAAGCCTCATTAGGTGATTGCAAAAGTACTCTCCCAGGACCCACTTTGGACTTCTTACCAAGTCGTGTGTGTGTGTGTGTGTGTGTGTGTGTGTGTCCGTCTGTGTGTGCATGTATTTGAAATGGAAGTGTGGGAACATGACAGTGTAGACAAGCTTACAGCCCCCATTTTTCTTTGAGTGGCCCCCTCTGATAAAAGGTTATATACTGGAAGAGGACTTAAAACCTTTGAAAAATCAAATTCTCTTGGAATATAATACCAAAGTGTTGTTGTTGTTTTTCTTGCATCTACATGTTCCATGAATATTTTCCAAACAATTCAATACATTACTCTTCAGCCCACGCCCATGCTGACATCAAAAACTTTTGGGAAGAAAAATTGTTATCGAATAGCAGTGTCGCACCAAGCAGATGGGGTCACTGTCCCCCAGGATAAGGCATTTCTCATGTGCTTGAGAAGAAGACTGTGGATCTGAAAATATGATAGGGGCTGCGGCTTATTGAGGCCTCACTATTGAGAGGGGGCTTGGAGTTATGGGGAACAGTGGGCTCTAGTGCAGGACTGCTGGGGTCTTAAGCCCACTGGACCACTTCCTAGCTTGCCAGCCTTGGGCCAGTTTATAGCCTTTTGGGCCTCAGTCTTCTTATCTGTGAGAAAGTGTAATGTCACCTCCCATGTCACTGTGAGCAGTACATAAGTGGATCTGTGTAAATAGCTTGGAGCATCATGTAGCATGTGGAAATGCTCAGTAAATGAACCAGGTCTCTCAAACTCTAGGGCCCATGTTTTTCCCCTTCACCACTAAAACCTCATGAGAAGCATGGGCTCAGGAGTAGCAGGAGGCTTCTGGCACAGAATGAGAAGATGGGAAAGCGTGCTGCTTGGCCACAATGGAAGGAGGAGAAAGGTCAAGGAGCTCGGTCAGTAATCCCCACTCTGAGGCCAAGGAAAGAGGATGGAGGAAAGGGCAACCAGAACATCAAATACCACATAAGCAAGAAGCCATAAGTTTCTTTCCAAACTAACAGTTAAGAAAACAGACCTAACCACTTCTACTCAGGGACTACATCTTATTTGTTTTTGTATCCATAGTGCCTGGCCTCTAGTTGAACTTGACAAATATTGGAGTGTGTTGGCCTGTTTCTTGTTCACTCATTTGTTCAGTCATTCAACAAATATTTAAGTGCCTATCATGGAACAGCCACTGCTTTGAGAGCTTACAATCAATGCTGAAGAAAACAACACGGAAGGATTCCCCCTGCCTTGGCTTCACCTGGGAGGGGAGATGGGCAGTGAGCCCATGCTAGCTTCTAATGCACTCACCACTTCTTTTAATAAATACAATACTCTCCCCGCTTCCCCTAATGATTCTGTGAAGCAAACTAGTCTATAGTTCCTGGTATCTTCTTTTCTTGAAAAGTTGACATAGATGACAGTTGTGTCCTGAAGTCTGATAGCTTCTATGAATTTCTCAAACATTGGTTACCAACTGGTTTGGGGATCACCTTGACAAACTGTGTAATTTAGAGGTGAGGGCCTCCTTTATTGGAGTCAGGAGACCTCTTGGATTTGTGTCTTCACTCTGTTATGAGTTGAGTGGCCTCAGGCATCTTCTGAGTTTCTCATTCCTTTACTGAAAATAATAATGCTTATCTTAAAGTAGCTTGTTCAGAACTTGCCTTGTCTCAAGAATCAGCCAGACATTTATAAACAAATCTGAATCCTGAACGTCAACCCAGGCTTGTCTAAGAATTCTCCTCTTTATAATTTTTAGCTGCTCAGAGTAGAGAGCCTGTCACCAACCCTCACACTGTTATTACAGTTTCCTGTTTCTCCTTAACATTTATTCCACCACATTTTGCACATATGACTTTAGACCTTGAACTTTCAAGTCTTTCTAGACCAAAGGACAACAATGCTTTCCAGAGAGTCCAGCAGGAATCACACTGGGAAAGCTAAAAAAGCAACTCAGTCCTTTTCACCCAGTCTATTTCATCCAACCCCGCTGCCCCTCCTTGAATCCTGGAAGGATCATCTATTGCCTTTCAACTCAAAGTGTGGGACGTGTACTAGCAGCATGGGCATCACCAGGGAGCTTGTTGGACACGTGGAGTCTCAGACTCCACCTTAGACCCACTGACTCAATCTGAATCTTGACAAGGTTCCTGTATATCATGCATGTTACTCTTTGAGAAGCACCAGCCTGTTGAATACCTCTGGGCCAAAATACTATTCAGATGTGTTGTTCTTTTTCAATTACGGAAATAATTAGTGACTTAAAACTCACTTCTGATTCAGGACTGCATGGCTGTTTAAGTCGATATGTCTGCGTTAATGCTGTTGTAATGACATCACAGAATTGAGGCATTTATGAACTGGAGAGTAAATTCTATATGTGTTTAAAAATTAGATAAATAAGAATTTACATGACAGTTTAATAGGGGCTTTAAAAATTTAACACGGATAAGTCATCTGCTTTTTCAATGGATTTTCCTGAATAGTGGGATCACAAAAGAAATTTATGTGTTTTTCTAAGTTTCTTTTTCTTTTAATGTGGATTTACAAGTGATTAATTTAAAAATTTGCTCTCTGATTAGCAGGTAACATTTATAATCTGGACCTGTACCTAAGATAGCTTAGCAAATGAACACAAATGGCTTACTAGGTCTTTGCTTTTGAAAACGTATGGCCATCTAAAAGTAGTAAAGGCAATTTAATAAATACAGACAATCTGCTAAGCAGCCAAGGAAAAAAGGTGCCTGAATTATATATGTCTGCATGAGTGGACAAGACGTGCTTTTCAAGATTAATGATTTAAGCTGTTCTTTACGTTCCCAGACTGATTAAACAAGGCTTAATTCTAAACAACACTTTCTCCTTTTCTTGCTTCTTCAAAATTCACTGTCCTTCTCTATCCCTTCAGGATTGATTGCAGGGGTGATCCAGGATGGTGTCTGTCTAAAGCCTTAACTTCTCTCCCTTCATAAAAGGAAGATTATCCCTTTTTTAATTCCTTGTTTTCATTGATGTCAGATGAGAGGCATTCAGAAGGAGTGTTAGCATTCACTGCACTTTCCCTGAAAGTGGCTCAACTTTTGATTGAGATGTTCTTGAAGATTCTGTTAGTGGCATCTTGGCATGCTCCTGTCCTCTCTGACTTTGACGGCTCCTCCCCTCCTCCTTCTTTTCTCCCTCACACTCCTGTCCACACTTCCAGTCAAGTGCTTTCCAGAGCCTGTCATTCAGTTTCTTTTCTCTCTCCCAAATCCATCGTCTTTTCCCAATTTGTAGGATTTTTTCTTTTTCCCTCTTGTTCAGCATTTCATAAAGTTAGTCCTGCCAGGTTTTAATAGGGGTTCCACCCCCCTCACCGCTAAAAAAAATTGATCAGGACAAAGTATAAAATATTAATTTAGACAGTTAAATATCATTTTGTTTGTTGGTTTAGCCTCAGGACAAATTAGAACTTTTAATATGCTGCCAGGAGGGGTTGGGTGGTTTTCTCATTTCTGAATTTATTTCCCTGTAGAACCTTCTTTGAAAGTATCTAGGAAGACCAGTGTTTGATGAAATGTACTTTCCGACCTCCTCCTTGACATCTCTCCTACATGCTTCTCTCCATCTCATGCTATGTCTAATGACTCCGTGTACTGCTCCACGTGTCACATCCTCAAATACATCCTAAATTAAACACTACCAACATTAGCTAACTTCTACTGATCACTCCCCCCACTTCTTTTTTTTTTTTTTTTTGAGACTAGTCTCACTCTGTCTCCCAGGCTGGAGTACAATGGTGCCATCTTGGCCCACTACGACCTCTGCCTCCTGGGTTCAAGTGATTCTCCTGCCTCAGCCTCCCAAGTAGCTGAGATTACAGGCACCTGCCACCATGCCCAGCTAATTTTTGTATTTTTAGTAGAGACAGGGTTTCCCCATGTTGGCCAGGCTGGTCTCGAACTCCTGACCTCAGGTGATCCAACTGCCTCAGCCTCCCAAAGTGCTGGGATTACAGGCGTGAGCTGCTGTTCCTGGCCTGATCACTCACTTTTACTGCTAAGGCTTTTAAAAGTATTTTGCCTCTTTGATTGTCTATGAAATCAAGCACAGATATCTTAACCTGAGATGCAAGACCATGTGTGTTCTTGGACCAACCAACTTGCAATCAATCTTCCCCCTTCCCCAGCATTTAACATTCTTCTCCATGCTTGATTTTTCTTTATGACAGAGAACTTTACCCCTCCCAATATTCTATACCGTTTACTTACATATTTTGTTTGTCGTCTATTTTACCTCAACTAGAACGTAAGCTCCATGAGACTGGGATATTTGTTTGTTCATGCTGTGTCCCAAGCACCTACAACAGTGTCCAGCAAATGGCAGGTGCTCAACACGTGTTTCCAATACAGGCGGAATGAATGAGGGAGCCTTCTCAGTTTCATCTCTGGCCTGTGCTTGGTCTTTATTCCCTACTCTTCTCTTGCCTTTTTTTCACTCTCTTTTAGCCCTCAATCTTCATCTGTCATCATCTCTCTTCACCCCTCAGAGCCTAACTCTCTAAGTAGCATTTCTTCCAAGGAGCCTTCTGTATTCGTGACCCTTCTCTCTTTGTATGGGTCCCTGTCTTTGGAATGTTGTTGTTTATACCTGTTTTACCAGTCAGTTACATTCTGCCTTGTAGTAGAGTTCCTTTTAAGCTGAAAAAGGATAATGGGGTATTCATGTTTGCCTCTTACATCACTGTGGAATATGCTCAGTAAATTTATAATTAATAGAACAAACCCAACATTGTGCTTC
The DNA here is from genome assembly GCF_000001405.40 of Homo sapiens. Lineage (NCBI taxonomy): Eukaryota > Metazoa > Chordata > Mammalia > Primates > Hominidae > Homo > Homo sapiens. The sequence continues at coordinate 76,148,123 of NC_000001.11, forward strand.
CAGGAAAGTAACCCCCACGTGTGCCTCAGTCTGTACCATGGGGACTGCTTGACGCATCTGTTTCCTCAGTTGAGCCCTTAAGATGAATGCTTGATATCCTCAAGAGGCTATTAACGAGAATTTTTATTTCCCCAAAGTTTCTTTTTCCCTAAAAGGCATTTCTTTGATATATAACAAAGCTCTGTTATAAAAATTTCAACTGCTCATCCCAGTAGGAGAGAATGTTCTACGAATTCAGATATAGGAAGGTTTCCGGGGCTATATTTTCTTTTCTTTTTGGGTTTTCATGTTCACATTTCATCTACATTTCCCCTCTTGGGCAAATAGGTTGCCCAATTTAGGGCAAATTTGTTTGGTTTTCCTTCCGATATCTTTATTTATTTTTCTTTATTATTTGCTTCCTCTCCCTTCCCTCCAAGAGAGTTCAGATACTTACCACAATGGATAAACTTATGCTGGGAAATTGCAATGCTTTTCTTTTTTTGCAAAGTACAGACCTCATGTACATATGAAGGCTGCTGACACTAGCTTTCCATCTGGCCACAGGAAAGTGTGTCATCTCTTTCTTCCATTGCCTGTCTCCTGTCCCCAGGGGCCTCAGTGGAGGCCAGACAGTAACTTTTCTCTCTTTCAAAAACCCACCCAAATCCCCAGACCCTTTCTAATACAGCTTTTCCACGTATTCATGTATCACCACCTGAAACTTGTTCCATTCTAAGTTAAGGATTAACTAAATGAATGAAAATTGTATTTATTTGGGAGACAGAAGTAGCAAAGGCTTAGAATCAGGCAGACTTGTGTTTCATCCTCAGATTCTCCTATTTACTCATTGTATAACCATAGTTCAGTCAATTCCCGTTGCCGAGCCTTAGTTTCTTTGTCTGTCAAATGGGTATAACAATGCTTGCCTCATCATATTCTTGCAAATAAGGTCAGATAATTCATGTAAAGCTTGGAGCACAGTGTATGGCACCTGGTAATCGGTCTCTCTATGATGAAGATTTGCTGATGCTGCTGCTTACTTTTCTGGCTTATGGGGCTTAGGTTCTGAATCTTTATAATCTTTTTGTGCCTGCTGCATATGGTCAAATCATGTTTGTTTGATAGACAGACATGTGGGGTTTTTCCTTAACAAGCCATTCAACCATGTATAGTGAAGAATTGCTCATGGTTGGTCTGTTTTCCATGTCTAGATATTAGAAGAGAAGGCTCAAACATGAGGTTACTCTCTGTAGTGCAGTGGGAAAGAGTATATTCCCAGGGAGCCTGGCATCCCCCATTAATCTGTAAGCAGACCTATAAGCAAAGGAAGGGCTTTAGGATAATCCCCACTTCCCCGCCCCACCAGCTTTATTGAGGTATAACTGATGAATAAAAATTAGATGTATTTCTGGTGTACAACATGATATATATATATGCATTATGAAATGATTACCACAATCAAAGCTATTAATGTATCTATCAGCTCACATAGCTGTCCCTCCAGGTTCATCCATGTTGGTGCAAATGACAGGATTTCCTTCTTCTTTAAGGTTAAGTAATATTCCATTGTTCCATTGTGTATTTTTATCACATTGTGTATTCATATTTCTGTATTCATTCATTGTTCCATGGATATCTAGGTTGTTTCCATATCTTTGCTTTTGTGAAGAATGATGTGATGACCACAGGGCTGCAGATACCTCTTTGAGATACTGATTTCATTCCTTTGGATATGTACCCAGAGGTGGGATTGCTGGGTCATAATGCCATTCTAGGAGTTGTTTTGCACGTTGCTAGATGTTTCCTGAATGATATGAGAAGATTCTTAAATAGAGGGAACCTCCCTAGAGCCAGAGCTCACCTGGTTGATTCCTCCTAGGAGGGACATGGTGGTGGAAAGAGCTCTGCTGGGAAGAATGGGGACTCAGCTCTTCTGCATACTGCAGTGTGACTCAGGCAGACACTGCACATTTCTGGGCTGCGTTTCCTTCTCCTCAGGATGAGAAAGCAAACCTAGACTGTCTCTAATATCTTACAGCACTGCAGATCCTACCCCTGCCTTTTTTTTTCCAGCCTCCATCTGAGAGCCTCTTTCTGTTTCTGGTAAGGGTATCTTCACCCGTCACCACCCTGGTGGGCTGGCTTTTACGTTGAGTGCTTTGGTGTGAAAAGCAGGCTTCGTTCAAGTTGACTTCAACTTTCCTCTTTAACCTTTTATCATGTGTTCTTGTTCACTCTCTTCCTTCATGGTGTCAAGTAAAGCCAGTAGGGATGAATCAGGTTCACTGTTCTTTTGGAGATGTGAAATCCATGAATGGGGCTAGGTTTCATTATGTCTCCCTCTGGGTAGACCCAATTCCCTCCTAATTGCCTTTTTCCTGTTGATCATTCACATCTTCTGCCTTGGAATTTCTTTGAAGTTTTATCATGTTCTCCCTTCATCATGTCCTTCCCTTTGTGACTTCAGATTTTCTGTGGGTAGCTGTAATTTCCTGCAGAACAGTGTCTACTAGATTCCCTCTGAGCATGGCTGGTGCAGTGGTAGGATTCTGTGAAACGTTGTCAGATGTGTGAGTGTGCAGATTGATAAAACAGCGTACACTCCCTGCTTCGTTCCCACCTCTGTTTTATGTGGATGATGACAATTACAGCACAGCACCTCATATCGGTGCAGAGATTTCTCCTGCTGTGATCTAATGGTGGTCTGTGTGCATGTGGACTGGGAACCAGAAGGTGGCTTTTTCTAGGAGATCTTGGCTGCAGGCAAGCCTATTTCTGCCAAGCTAGGGATTGTCCGGGTCTTGATAGAGCTAGCTGTTTTGTACCATTGTTAGTAGCCAGGCTGTAATTCTGACATTTCAACTACTTGGACTCTGAAAAGGTGTGGTTGGGCCCCAGATCATCAGCCAAGTCTTCCACTCAGCCTGCTTCATGACCTGACATGCTTAGCATTTGGGCCCCTTTCCAAGAGTGAAGTAACACACTGATGGGGAGACAAGAAAGTGAAATAGTGGCCCCTTGGTTCTCACGGGGAAGAGGGGAGATGTGTTCAGGCCTCCCCTTCCTCCGCCTTCATTGGTGGTTCCTAGGTGAGAATCACTGGGAATCAGGAGGATCTATCAGAACTGGGAATCAGGAGGAACCTTCAGATGTTGTGGGCAAACAGGGGGGCAAGGGGTGACGTTAAAACTAGGCTTTGTCACTTTCAAAAGTCTGCATTACAGTCAGCCATGGAGAAAACGGCCTACTTTCTACATCACAGGCGTGGCTTAAAGATATAAGGCCAGGCCATTTGAAAAGGTTTAGTCCCTCGTAGAAAGGCATACAAATCACCCCTCCTAGTTTGGGTTCCCACAGAGGCAGGATTCCAGTGTACATAGTTTATGTGGGAGATGATCCCAGGAAACTTGGGAAGGGGAGTGGGGAATGAGAAGGGGAGGAAGGAAGCCAATAAAGGATGTGCTATCAAGCTCGCCATCACTGTGGACAGCTGCAGCTCAGTTCCACTGGGAACGTCTGGGAAAGAGTGTAGCACAGGTGCCTCTGAGTGATCACACCTGAGAGGGGAGGTTCTGCTGGCCAGAGAACCTCTGGTAAGGAGGTGCAGGGGCTGGCAGTTGGTCAGGCCCATGGGCACTGTTACAATGAAGGCTGAGGGAAAACGGGTGGGGCATCGATTGCTTTGCTGCAGGTCCCATCCCGGATTCACCTTCCCAGGGATGCTAGATGGGAGTCTAGACATTGTCTCTACAGAGGATGAATCTGGAATTCAGAAAGATGATGGAGGCCCACTGTGGAGAAGCCGGTTCTTGAGAGTTGGGTGAGAATCCAGGCTTCCTGACTCTTGCTGCAGTGCCCTTTCCACTTGGCTACTTAAGGCAGAAATTTAAATTTGTGATGACTTTTGAGGCATACTGTACCTGATTCATGGAACAATATTGTCCTTCCCACCATGGGCTCTTTAGTCTTTCTTGGAGTGAAAAATTGTCAAAAGATTAAATCCTATTTGGGAGCCAGAGAAAAAGCAAAAGAATGGCTGAGCGTGTAAATAAAGTCTCCTAGGAAGATCATATTTTTGAAGGTATTTATTATTCATATCTTTTTGTCATTGTCGTGTTGTAAGTGTTTACCTGGGCTTCTAGCTTTTTGCTTTTCCAAGGACACTGCTGATCCATCCTAGAAGAAGCTGACAGCCACCACCTTGACACTGGCTTATTGCTGTCCAGGTTATTTAAGATGCGGAGGAAATCTTATCACAGAGAAGCAGCTTCTAAACATGTCCTGCCAGGTGGGTGATGAGGTAAAGACTGCCCAGGCGGCCTTGTGCACACCACATACTTGTGGAGCCACTTTGATGAAAGGGTCTGGATTATTTGCAAAGTCTTGTGCTAGGTGAAGGTGGGCTCTTTCTTAAATTCTGAAATGCCCACGAGTCTTTGGTAATGTTCATAGTGAAGCATCTGAGCTGAGCCTGAGGCTTCCCAGGAGGCTGTGCCAAGGACAAAACACACTGAGGATGTTGACCATGGCCTCCTGACAGAATGAAAGGCCCCCACAGTTTCAATTTAAACCGTAAACATTTAAATAGAAAATGAAGTGCTGGTGTATGACTCTGAACTTGTGAGACTAGCTGAAAACACCATTTTGACCGTTGGGCAGAGATTTCCCATCATGGGATCAGCCATAGACCATATCCACTGGGAACATGGAGAAAAGGTTTAGAGGTTCCACCAACATTTTCCTTAATTCTTAGATGCCTTTTGGTGGTTGAATTCTGTCCTTATTTTCTTATTTCCTGAAGCCCAAAATATAAGCTCTATAATGTGGTCATTCATAAACCTTTAGGGATATTCCTATTGGAAAATGTTGTGCAAGTCTTATTTTAGAGTTCCCAGAAGGGAATTACCGGACCTTAAGATATGCACGTTTTGAAGATATTGGATACAACTGGTCTCCAGAAGTGGGAAGACCATTTTTGCTCCTTTTAATAGTGGTGTCTGGTGTCTCTTTCCTCAGATATTCAGTAATGGATATGTCATGCTTTTTCATTTTGCCCTTCTGATAGGTGGAAAATGACGTAACATCCTTAATTTAAGTTACATTTTTTGGATGCCATTGTGAATTTTTTTTCCCCTATAGCTATTGCCTATTTGCATACCCTCTGAAGTTGCCCGTTCTTGAAGGACACTGATAATGTTCTCCTCCCCTGCCCTTTCCTTTTTGTTGCCAGAATAACCTAATCTAAACCAGAAACTCCATCTTTTCTTCCCCAGGGCTCCTATAGACCCATAGGCGGCTAGAGTGTACCTGTGAGCCTCTGGGGAGATGTCTCACCGCCAGAGAGCTGTCCCCAACTCAGGACCTCACCTGCCTGTGCGTGCGAAATTACACCTGAGATGGAGTGGCTGTGTCCAGCTAACAAAGCCGTTTGGGGAGGGGATTTCAAGCATGGCTATTCCTTGTTCACTTTAATAAAACATGGCATGAATTCAGGCAAAGGGACTTACTCCTTACTCCCTCACCTCAGATTTTTCTGTGTTTTGCTGTTGGTATAACTTGTCCTGTGTTGCTAAGTTTTAAACATATCTATATTTTGTTTAAAACACTAACCATGGCTTTGTTTGAGTGGCTTATTTTTATGTCCTAAGGAGTTGACCTAGACAGGGAACAGTTAGTCATATTCTGTTTCAGGCCAATGCCTCTGAGCCCCTTCCCTTCTCGTTTTTCTCTGTCTGAAATGATGCTCTTGGCTGGCCCCATTTTGCTGTTTGTCCAAACGGGCGCCCCTCAGCAATGGGCAACTTTCTCCATTTTGGTGTCTTATCTAAGACCTTGCCCACTGGCTTAAAGAGTTGGCTTGGGTTCCGTCACAGTGATGAGTTGCCTGTCCCGCCGTCTGTAGTCGGGAGGGCTTTTTCCGTGATGAGAATGAGCTGCAAACTCAGGCAAACACTGATCAGGAGAGACATGAAACCCAACCTGGCCCAGTCGGCTTAAAAATAGTCCAGTCATTTCACCCCTGGAATTTTCTCTTGCTTATGTGGGTGGACAATTCTCTTGGAACACCACCAAGATCATGAGGAGGAGAAAACAGAGCAGGCACCAACCACATGAATCCAACCCAGGCTGACCCCGTAGCCGGTGGTGCATTGGCCCTCACAGGTTTGCACCCTGCATGCAGGGCCCTTTCTCCCCCACGAGAGGGCGCTCTCGTCACTCTTAAAGCAATCGTACTGGGGAACACTCAGGTTGTTTCTTAGTGAAGTCCCCGAAGAGCACTGCATTTAAGCTGCTACTTTGTGTCTCAGCTTCTACTTTCAAGGTTTGTTATGAATGTAAAGACATTCTCCAACTCAAGCAAGTGTGGGCAATATTAGTGTCTGGAAACGCCTGTTGCAAATGAAGCACAGCCACTGCTTGTTTGTGTTTCGTTAGTGAAACGTGATTGTAACCCAGGGTTTTTGACGCTCACAGAAGCATCCGCCTTGGTAATGCTGTACATCCAGGCTGCTCTTCTTTGTCCCTAACCTGGTTGCAATGTGGCCGTAGCATGCTTGTGTTGACATCTGACAGGAGATGAGGACTTGACTTCCTGGGCTGATCTTGCTTATTTTGGGGAGAGCAGGAGTGCCCGTGGTTAGTGTGGATCAGCCTGACAGGAGATTTTCTATTGAGGGAGGATTTAAGACTGCATGCAGGCAAGGGAAATACAAGCCATATTTCACCAGCTCAATACACCAGGGAGCGCTACCATTTAACGAAAACCACCATTCTGACTTCCGGGTTTTTAGGTCATCTGGCAGCCACTGGGTGGGGTCAGTTTCTTGGCCCTTGATTAGAAGTTCCTTCTGATTACAAAACACCTCTTGATTGAAATCTTTGCATTTTCTTTGCATTTGCATTTCCACCAATCTTTTTATTTTTTATTTTTTTTGCCTTGGAGGATGTGTGTATGTGAGGGTGACCTTCTCTTTATTTGTGGGAATCGGGGAGTGCCCTCCTCCCTACAAAGTCACTATAAAGCTACGGGCTTTGCTGCCCTTGGTACAGGGTCTAGAAGTGGTTGTTGGGTGGTGACCAGCACAGTGACAGTTTATTTCCTGGACCTTTGAACCTAAATTCCCACAGGAAGAACATAAAGGACTCAGCAAATCTTGCCCCCCGACCCCCGTCTCCTCCATGCGCCTACACTGGAGCCATGAGTACTACTGCTACCGTCACTACAGCCAAATTATTATAGAGAATTACTATGTGCCAGGCATGGGTAATTTTTGGTTGTTTTAATCAACTTTGTTTCAAACAGCTTTAGATTTGCAGAAAAACTATGAATATAGCAAGAGTTCCCCCACTTTCTCCTTTTTTTATTTATTTTATTTTATTTTTTTGAGACGGAGTCTCTGTCGTCCAGGCTGGAGTGCGGTGGCGCAATCTCGGCTCACTGCAAGCTCCGCCTCCCGGGTTCATGCCATTCTCCTGCCTCAGCCTCCCGAATAGCTGGGACGACAGGCGCCCGCCACTACGCCTGGCTAATTTTTTTTTTTTTTTAATATTTTTAGTAGAGACAGGGTTTCACCGTGTTAGCTAGGATGGTCTCGATCTCCTGACCTCGTGATCCACCTGCCTTGGCCTCCCAAAGTGCTGGGATTACAGGTGTGAGCCACCGCGCCCGGCCTCCTATTTTTAACATATAGTTTCTCCTGTTGTTGTTGTTTTAATCATATTAGCATAACACATTTGTTACAATTAGTGAAGGAATATTGATACATTATTATTAACTGAAGCCAATACTTTATTCGGATTTCCTTTATTTTGACCTAGTGTCCTTTTTCTGCTCCGGGAGCCTACCCAGGATACCGCCTTACCTTAGTTGTCATGTCTTCTTAAGATCCTGCTGGCGGTAGTGGTTTCTCAGACTTTAAACTTGTTTTTAATGACCTTGACAGTTTTGAGGAGTACTGCTCAGGAGTTTAGTAGAAGGTTCCTCTTTTGGAATTTGTCTAAGGTTTTCTAATAATTAGACTGGGGTTATGGGTTTTTGAGAGGAAGAAGGCAGAGAGAAAATGCCATTCTTATCACATCATATTCAGGGTACATATTATTAACATGATTTAACGTTGTAGATGTTGAACGTCATCACCTCGCTGAGACGGTGTTTGTCAGGTTTCTTCTCGTAAAGTTACTGTCCCCTCTCCTTTTTTTATACTGTACTATCACAAGAAAGTGACCACGTGTAGTCCACACTTAAGGAGGGGGAGTTATATTCCACCCTCAGAGAGCACAGTACCTATAAACATTTTTGAAATTTCTCTGCACAGAAAATTTCTCTCTTCTTCCCCATTTATTTACGTATTCAATTGTTTATTTCTATCAATATGGACTCATAGAGATTTATTCCATACTTTGAGTTATAATCAAATAGTATACTACTAGATTTTGTTTGGTTTTTTTTTTGCCTCTGGGAGCTGTTTCACGTGACTCCTGTGTCCCTTTGACACACCCCCATCATTGCGGGTTTTTGTTTTTGAGGTGTTTCTTTCTTGCTTTCTTTGTGGCACTCACTACAAGATACTCCAGGATTATCTTGTACATCTTCTGCCCTAGTCCTTGAATCAGTCATTTCTCCAAAAAGCCCTGGCCTTTTTTTTGAGACGGAGTCTCGCTCTCTCGCCCAGGCTGGAGTACAGTGGCGCGATCTTGGCTCACTGCAAGCTCCGCCTCCCGGGTTCACGCCATTCTCCTGCCTCAGCCTCCCAAGTAGCTGGGACTACAGGCGCCCGCCACCACGCCCGGCTAATTTTTTGTCTTTTTAGTACAGACGGGGTTTCACCGTGTTAGCCAGGATGGTCTCAATCTTCTGACCTCGTGATCTGCCCGCCTTGGCCTCCCAAAGTGCTGGGATTACAGGTGTAAGCCACGGCGCCCAGCCAGCCCTGGCTCCTTTTATTGGAGGGTGGTATTAGAATAGGGTCTGGGCTCCAGGTGTGCTGGTGCTTCTGGTTGCTGCTGCTTTATAAGCTCTCAGCTGACAGCAAGAAAACATGTGCATGTGAACCAATCTATAGATGCCTATCTACTGATCTACAAATATATCTGTATGTAACCATTGGTATCTGTATTATGCTAAACATGTGTTCACACTGACGTTTCCAGCTCTTAAGCTGTTACATGTCTCCAGCTCTAAGCCATTATCACGTGGATCATTCTAGCCTTCCCCCTTGCCTATCTGTAGCCTCCTACTCCAAAAATGATAAACTTGGCTCTCAGCATCTGTCATGCATTTATTTAGTTGTTCAATTCCAGTATACATATGTAGCAGTATCAAAATTGTTAACTTATACCCCCATGGAAAATAGCCTCGTCAACTAGAGTACAGTGCTTGTGTACGGTTTATTTTGCCTTAGTTTTACAGACTGCATACATTTCCAAAGCCACTTAAATAGCACCTTTTTCTTCCATCCACTTTAGTGAGGGTTGTTCACATATGTACCACAGATTGCTTTGTCACATGCTGTATTTCATTCCGGGATTACCCTGACTGCCTAAATGATTTTTTTAAAGTTTATATATGTTAAGATTTGCCCTTTGTGCTGTAAATTTCAATGGGTTTTCACAAATGCATAATATTATGTACCCACCATTACAGTAATGTACAGAATAACTATACCACCCTAAAAATTCATCTATTCACCCATTTAACTATCCTCCATACCTGGAAACCATGGATTTTAAAAAACTATCTACAGTTTTGCCTTTTCCAGAATGCCATATAATTGTAATAATATAGGATATGCTATTATGTCTCCACTTTCCACTTGAGGACTCTGACCTTAGAACTCATGATTGCCCACGGTTTCTTGGCTTGTAATTGGTGATGCTAGCGTCAACCCAAGTCTCTGATGTTAAAACAGGAACTCTGAAACTCCCCACTATGCTGCCTATTTTCCAATGAAATGGGTCCAGGAAGCCATCTGATAAATATTTTCACTAGGTTGTCAAAAATTAATAAACATGCCTCTTTCATTACCTTCGGAGGCCATCTGTGGGGTGGTTGTGAGTCAGCCTCTGCAGCCATGCTGCCAGAATTTGAATCCTACCTCCTTCACTTCTTACCCATGTGATTTGAACAGGTGGTTTTACTTTTTTTTTCTGTCTTTCCTGGCTTACTAAACAATTCTTCCTTTTTAGGAATATATGGGAGGAGGGATCTGTGCAATGCAGTTCTACACCCTGGACATAGCAACCGACTGAGTCAGGCCAATTAACTTCTCTAGCCTAGCGATTTGAAACCCAGAGCCGGGGCCCTCTGACATGAAGGCACCTTTATATCTTCAGTCTGTAGGGCAGGTCATAACACCTGCAGCCACAGTTCCTGGGGTGGCCCCAAGTCTGGATGCTTAGGGATTTATTAATTTTTTGAGCAACTCCAGTATCTTAAAAAGAATTCATCCTTCTCTTCCTTTTGTTGTTGTTCTTCTTTTATTCTTATTTTTAAAATTTAAGCGAGGTAAAATCAGCCCCTCTTGGCTACAGGTACTTTAATTACTACAGGAGATCATAGTAGCTACCTCACTGGTCATAAGGGTTAAATAAGATAATGTATAAGACAGTTAGCACAGGGAATGAGGGAATTGTCAGGGAATAAGTACCTGGTAATTAGTAGCTTTTACTATTATCTAATAATAGTTCTTGATATTTACTTAGTGCTTTGTAATGTGAACCATACACTCCTGTGTGCTTATCTCCTTGACAATTGGGTGGAAATGGCATCCACATTTTATGGATGAGCAAATGGCCATGCTTTGGGGTTTGCCCAGGGTCACAAAGCTGGCAAGGGACTGAGCCAGGATCCCCACTCAGGCCCTTCGTCATGTCATGTATCCAGGGTTCTCTCCAATGTGCCAGGGTCGTGTGGTTTCCTGGGGGTGTGATGGAGAGGGAGGCAGTTTCCCTTTCCCATTTTAGGGACAAGAGTGGAGATGGGAAAGTACTTTCCTGGGGACAGAGGATGGAGGTGAAGGTGGTGGATTTCTTTAGTTATGGGGAGTTAAGTTGGGAATGTTAGGCCTCTAGTCCTTTCCTTTTCTCTTTTCTTTTCTTTTTTTGAGACAGAGTCTTGCTCTGTCAGCCAGGCTGGAGTGCAGTGGCACGATCTTGGCTCACCACAATCTCTGCCTCCCAGGTTCAAGAGATTCTCATGCCTCAGCCTCCCAAGTGGCTGGAATTACAGGCATATGTCACTGGCTAATTTTTTGTATTTTTAGTAGAGACAGAGTTTCACCATGTTGACCAGGCTGGTCTCGAACTCCTAGCCTCAAGTGATCTGCCTGCCTCGGCTTTCCAAAGTGCTGTTGTTACAGGCATGAGCCACCGCACCCGGTCTGGGCCCTGAGTCAGTTTCTGACCTGCCTTCTGAGCTCTGCATGGTGCCTGGGGTCAGCCTGCTTCTGGCTTCACCACTCTCTGTTCTACTGCATTTATTGTGCAAACAGTTGATTGAATGCCTGTTTATGTGCCAAACACTGTGTTAGGGAAGATGAAAGGATAGATGAGACCCATTAAGGTCTGCCCTTTAAAAGCTTGTAATATGTTGGAGAAACCAGACATGAAAACAACTAAGTATAACACAACATAATGTCTGAAAGATAAAAACAAGTGTTTTCAGAACACAATAATTCACAGAATACCTACACATGCCATAAACTGTGCTAAGGGTTTTCCATGGATTAGCTAATTTAATTTCCCCATCAACCCTACAAAGGAATTACTGTGGTTGTTCTCATTTCACAGATGGGGAAACTAAGCACAGAGATGTTAAATCACTTGCTCAATCTTTATAAAGATAGGAATTGTAGAGTTAAGTTCCAGAGCCTGCCCTGTTAATGATGGCACTAAACTGCCTTCCAGAGAAGGTCAGAATGCATAGCTCTTTGTAGGATTGTTGGTGAAACTTGCAGAGAAGGTATTTTCTGAACTGATATTCAAGGATGAGTAGGAATTTATAGGTGGATAGAAAAGGAATTGTATTCCAAGTAGAGGAAGGAATGTGAGTGGACACACAGATGGATGAAAATATATAATGTGTTCAGGGAATGGCTAGTAATCCCAGAGGTCAAGAGTGGCAGGCAGTGGTTGGCTATTACACTTAAAAGGTTAAAGCTAATGCCGTAAGCATTGGGGAGCTCTCAGAGGATTTTAAGAAGGGGAGTCTGTGTCTAGATACACTTCAAAAGGGTTCCTGTAGTAGCAGTGTGAAGGCTGGTTTGGGCATGTGTCAGAATCATTTGAAAGCCAGGAGGGCCTGCTGGAAGGCCTCGCAATAGTCTAGGTGAGATCATGCATCGGCTTTGGGATGTGGCAGTAGAAGTGCTGGCTTCTTGTGGTTTTGGGGGTTGGTGCTTCACAGAGTGAAGAAAGAGGTGTCACAAGGGTCATTAAAATCCCACTGGTGTGCCTGTTGATATAGGAGGCACCCATCTTACTCTCTAACGGTGTTCTACAAACTAGCCAGGCTGTGAACTGTTCATTACTGTTTGGGCCAAAATAAGGGGCTTGCACCAGAATATAAATCAATGCATTGCTTCCATCACGGAGAAAATCTTGGTGCACACACACACACAGTCTACTGAAGCAAAAAGTGTGCTTAGTGACAAAGTTGATTTGGATTCTAGTGCAAGCTCTTATTTCCTTGCAGCCCACAAACAACATGTGGACTTTCACCAGTCCACAACCATAAATAGAGTAATGCTGCTGTATAATCAACATATCTTACTTGCTCTATACTTCAAATATCTTCTTCTCTACAGCTGAATTTTGTAGATGAAAAATTTATTTTAAAGTTTCAACATTTTAAGAGGTTTCTTTTTACTCTACAGGCAAGCCACTTATGTAAAGGACCCATCTTTTAATTTTTGAGTTTTGGAAACTTACATGAGTACTTAACCTTGATTAATAATTGATAACTCTTTCTGTAGAGATGGGCCGGTGACCTCTTGCTACTCTCCAGCATTGTTAAGTGCTATTGCCTTTCAGACTTCAGATTCTTTCCAACCTCTAACACTTGGGCCATTATTCCTTCTCCAAGGTTCTCAGAAGTGATAGAGCACTGGAGAGGCAATGAAATCAATGATTTCTCTATCACTTGAGTGTAAAGTGTAAACTAAATTATCACTTAGCAGCCATGTTATTAAAGGGATTCAAACATTGGTAAAGTGTCTGGACTAACAGACTTTCAAGATTCTTTGCAACCCCGAGGTTTTCGATTTGTCGGAGGTACAGAACTGGTAAGCGGCAGAGAGCGGCAGCACCTAGGTTTCCTGACCCTTGCTGCTTGCTTCCCTGCCGCTCCCCTCAGTCCTTCATCAAGAGCTGCAGAACAAGTTCCACTCTCCCTGGAGGATAGGTGCTGTGGGTCTTCATTTAATGGTGGGACCTCTGGAGATTTTTCTCTCTGCTAATCACCCAAGGATGCTTTACATACTCTACTGAGATCTAAATTTATATTGCAGATGGGCCGATGCTGATGTCTTAAAGTACTTGCTGGGAAGATAATACCCAATCTCTGGAGAAAAGAGCTTTACATTTCTTTTTACTGAGGGCTGTTCTGTAATTTGGCTCTCCTAACTCTGGCTTGCCCCAACAATGAGCTACGTAATTGGCCTTAAAGGGACACCCATTGATTTGGACAGGGTCTGTACATACACCAGTTAAACACAGTGCCTCATGCTGGGTCTGTGTATTTCTACTGGGCTTTCTTTTCTAAATGTTATTTAATTCCAGAGTTTGCATTAGTGCTTCAGTCAAATATTGTCAGGCTTTGGTCAAAAACCCTTAACTGAAGATCAGGGTTGGTCATAAAAAGTTGGAAATCGACATTTGCCAATGCCAATTGGCAGACAGTTGGCACTCAAATTGGGGACAGGGCCAGGCAAAAAAAGGTCTTCAAAAACTGTGCTCCAAAATCCTCTAAAATCCACTGTGGTTGCATCATTGCCCAAACTTACAGCTTAATATGTTGGCTTTGCTGCTTAACAGCTGTGTGAATGGGCATGTTACTTAACCTCTGTATTTCTCCATCATAAGATAGACATAATAAATTTAAACCCATGGGTTATTGTGAGAATAAATAAGATAATCCATGTAAAAGATGCTCAGCCTAGTCCCTGGCATATGGCAGGTACTCAAGAAATGTTTAATTTGAATCTGTTGCATGCGCATTCTCCGTTGTAGCCAGATAAGTCTCTCTGCACCATGAAATGCCATTCTATCCCTGCCTTTATGCTTTTGTTTATGAGCAGAAGGAAAGTATGACCTAATGATTAATAACATGGCCTTTGCTGTCAGGCACACCTGGCTGAAGTTTTGTTTTCTCTGTTGCAGGACGCGGGTGAGTTAATTAGCTATTTTAAGCCCCAGTTTCTTCACCGTATAATGGGGGAATAATGGTACTGACCTTACAGTGTTGTAGTGAGGGTTTAAATGAGATAAAATTTGTGGATGCCTGGTTAAGACAATCATGAGCCAGCTTATTGAGCTCCTATTATGAGTTGGTCCTGGAGGTAGAGTGGTGAGCACACCCAGCTGGGTCTAATGGATGTATAACCATAAACAGTTACAAGCCTTAAAGTAAATATTTACAAATAATTACAAAGGGGCAATGTATGTAAGTGCCAGGTGAGCAGTTAGCAAGGGGGCCCAGCTAGGTCTAGGGGTCACATAAAACTTCTCAGTTACCTTGAATACCATACAGGATGTAGTATTAAAGGTTGACGTGAAGGACAAAGAGGAGGTGACCAGGCCCAGAGCTGGGGAAAGACTGTCCAAGGCAGGGGAATAGCATGTGTGTGGACTCAGAGACCGGAGAGCATGCGCTCTGTTTTGAAGAGCTGAGAAAAGTCCTGCGTGGGTCTTGTAGGTGTTCAATCAATGGCAACTGTCATTATTCTAGATTCCCTCTCAGGGTGCTGAATCCTAAAGCAGCTTGAGTGCCTACCTTAAGTCTTTTTCTCTTTTTAATGAAGCTTCCTTTGACTAACTCAGAACTGATTCCAATCTACTCTAAAACCTTATAGTATTTTAGTCAGTGCTATATAGATCAACACTTAGTTATATGATTTTAAAAGTTGTTCTTGAAGTTTTATGTATCTTTCCTGAGTCATCAAATTGATTGAAAATTCACTGAAGAGCCCTGATTTTGTATTATGAGTCTCCAGAGGGCTTAGCACAATGCTGAGTCCACAGTGATTAACAAATATGTAATGCTTGTTGCAGAAATATATCTTCCACCTAAAATTCTGTAGTGTACCCTGGGCAGTGTTGGGAGGGTGTACACTTGGGACCCAGATTCGACAACTTAACCATTTTCTATGTGTATAATCTTGGGCAAGTCATTCTTTTTAAGCCTCAGTTACCTTGAATAAAAAATGAGGATAGTACCATAGTTCATTTACTGTAAGACTCATTTTCTTTTCTTCACATTTTAACATCTCTAAAACTTGAATGTGTCTTACAATAAATGGCATGTTATAGTTTAATTGGCAGTATTTTTTTTCTGTGTTGGTGATTATAAAATAATGGTGTGTCTTAAATTCAGTGACATTTTAGGTTTGATGAAATAAATACAACTTTTACATTTTAGGATGGTTATGAAAATTCAAGCTAATTTACACAATTCATTTGTCCACAATTCATTTACCTGATGTTGGCATGACAGTGAAGAGGTAGCTGCAGACAATCAAAATCATTCCTGTGATCCAGTACAAGCTTTGCTAACTGCCAAAGTTAAAAACTGTTACGGCCGACATGCATGCCAGAACTCAAAAGCCACCTACCTTTAGCCTCAATTCCTCCAGATGTATTTTGCTACTTTTACACATTGTTAAGTTTTGTGGCATAATGCTTAAGATGTTGGATTTGTTGAGGAGTTCCCACCCTCCTACCCTAGTTCTAAGCCAATTGAGAAATAAGGTGAAAAACCAACAGATGAAGAATCAAAATGTCACTAAATTCTAGATTGTAGTGTGTAGCTTATATCTATGGTTAAGTGGGCTCTGTGATACTGAGCCCCAGAATTACCTGTGCATTTAGGGATATGCTGATAGGCTGCTGCTGTGAGGGTGCAAAGGAGAATGAGGATTTCTGTGGGCAGCCCATTCCAAGGAGAGAGGGAAAGAGCTGGGAGCTAGACTATACATGTCACTCACAGATCATGTAAGTCAGTCTTCAGGCCAGTAAAGAAACTCCAATAGGGCCCTGCCCAACTAAAGGGAACTTCTGGGGTGGGGCAGCACCTGGCATAGAGTAGGCTTTTAGTAGATGGTAGCTATTAGGGAAAATCATGGCAGCTTTTGAGAAGAAAAAGAAGTTATCCCAACCTTCAAAAATACTCTGTTTTTTACATTATGTACCCCTTAAGCAGACCTTTAAGGGCATGTATGTTTGTCTAGGATTCCTAAGCATTATTTTCATTAAATATTGTTAGTCCAGTGATTACTTGGTTGGTTATGCAGTTCTCAAATCAGGTGGATTTTAAAACATTAATATCTCAGCAATCTTTAAATACACTATTCAAATTATGTACTTACAGTAAGTCCATAATAATAGGGTGTTGCAAACACAGGAATTGCTATCATAATCTTAAAGATAAAAATAATTTGAGTAAATAAATTAGGAAGGGGAAAGGCTGATGTTAGTCAATGCCAAAGCTGATTTTGTAGAGCCAGAATGAAAAAAAATATGTGATTGAAAAATGTAGGCATCTATCTGCAAGACTTTCTAAAAAAAATGCAGATAGTAGTAATAAACTGCATTGCTGGAGAGAGGGGACTAAAATGTGTGTGTGTGTTTTTAAGATTTAACTTTTAAGTTCAGGGGTACATGTGCATATTTGCTATATAGGTAAACTTGTCTCAAGGGGGTTTGTTGTACAGATTATTTCATCACCCAGGTATTAAGCCTAGTATTATATAGGTAAACTTGTGTCATGGGGTTTGTTGTACAGATTGTTTTGTTGACCAGGTATTAAGCCTAGTACCTGTTAGTTATTGTTCCTGATCCTCTCCCTCCTCTCACCTTCCTTCCTCTGATAGGCCCCAGTGTATGTTGTTCCCTTCTGTGTGTCTGTGTGTTCTCATCATTTAGCTCCTATTTGTAAGTGAGAGCTTGCAGTATTTGGTTTTCTATTACTGCCTTAGTTTGCTAAGGATAATGGCCTTCAGCTTCATTCATGTCCCTGTAAAAGATATGATCTTGTTCCTTTTAATGGTTGCATAGTATTCCGTGGTATATATGTACCATGTTTTCTTTATCCAGTCTATCATTGATGAGCATTTAGGTTGATTCAATGTCTTTACAAGTGTGAACAGTGCTGTAATTAACATACATGTGCATGTGTCTTTTATAATAGAATGATTTGTATTTATTTGGATATATACCCAGTAATGAGATTACTAGGTCAAATGGTATTTCTGTTTTTAGGTCTTTGAGGAGTCACCAGTGTCTTCCACAGTGGTTGAACTAATTTACACTCCCACCAACAGTGTATAACCATTCCTTTTTCTCCACAACTTCACCAGCATCTGTTATTTTTGACTTTTTAATAATAGACATTCTGACTGGCGTGAGATGGCATCTCATTGTGGTTTTGATTTGCATTTCTCAAATAATCAGTGATGCTGAGTTTTTTTTCATATGATTATTGGCTGCATGTACATCTTCTTTTGAAAAGTGTCTGTTCATGTCCTTTGTCCACTTTCTAATGGGTTTTTTTTCTTGTACATTTGTTTGTATTTCTTATAAATGCTAGATATTAGACCTTTGTCAGATGCATAGTTTGCACAAATTTCCTCCCATTCTGTAGGTTGTCTGTTCACTTTGTTGAGAGTTTCTTTTGCTGTGCAGAAGATCTTTAGTTTAATTAGATCCTGTTTGTAAACTTTTGCTTTTCTTGTAATTGCTTTTGGTGTCTTCGTCATGAAATCTTTCCCTGTTTCTATGGCCAGAATGGTGTTGCCTAAGTTGGAGTTTTTCTAGTTTTGGGTTTTACATTTAAGTCCTTAATTCATCTTGAGTTAATTTTTGTATATGGCGGAAGGAAGGGGTCCAGTTTAAGTATTCTGCTTGTGGCTAGCCAATTATCCCAGAACAACTTACTGAATAGGGAATCCTTTCCCCATTGCTTGTTTTTGTCATGTTGAATATCAGATAGTTGTAGGTGTATGGCCTTATTTCTGGGTTCTCCAGTCTTTTTGATTGGTCTGTTTTCTCTTTTTGTACCAGTACTATGCTGTTTGGTTACTGTAGCTGTGTAGTACAGTTTGAAGTCCAGTAGCATGATGTGTCCAGCTTTGTTCATTTTGCTTAAGATTGCCTTGACTATTTGGGCTCATTTTTTGCTTCCATATGAATTTTAAAATTGTTTTCTCTAGTTCTGTGAAGAATGTCAATGCTAGTTTAACAGGAATAGCATTGAATCTATAAAATACTTTGGGCAGCATGGCCATTTTAACAATATCGATTCTTCCTATCCATGAGCATGGAATGTTTTTCCATTTATTTGTGTTATCTCTGGTTTCTTTGAGCAGTGTTTTGTAGTTCTCCTTGTAGAGATCTTTCACCTCCCTGGTTGGCTGAGTATTCTTAAGTATTTTATTATTTTTATGGCAATTGTGAGTAGGATTGCGTTGCCTATTCGGCTCTTGGCTTCACTGTTGTTGATGTACAGGAATGTTAGTGATTTTTGTGCATTTATTTTGTAACCTGAGACT
Organism: Homo sapiens; assembly: GCF_000001405.40. Lineage (NCBI taxonomy): Eukaryota > Metazoa > Chordata > Mammalia > Primates > Hominidae > Homo > Homo sapiens. The sequence goes on from NC_000001.11 coordinate 76,166,866, forward strand.
TTGCTGAAGTTGTTTATCAGCTTAAGGAGCTTTTGGGCTGAGACTATTGGGTTTTATAGATATAGGATCATCTTGTCTACAAACAGGGATAGTTTGACTTCCTCTCTTCCGATTTTGATGCCCTTTTCTTCTTTCTCTTGCCTGATTGATCTGGCCAGGACCCAATACTGTTGAATAAGAGTGGTGAGAGAGGGCATCCTTGTCTTGTGCTGGTTTTCAAGGGAAATGCTTCCAGCTTTTACCCATTCATTATGGTGTTGGCTGTGGGTTTGTCATAGATGGTTCTTATTATTTTGAGGTATATTCATTTAATACCTAGTTTATCGAGAGTTTTTAACATGAAGGGATGTTGAATTTTATGGAGAGCCTTTTCTGCATCTATTGAAATAATCATGTTTTTTGTCTTTAGTTCTGTTTATATGATGGCTCACATTAATTGATTTGCATGTGTTGAACCAACCTTGCATCCCAGGGATAACAAGCCTATTTGATTGTGGTAGATAAATTTTTTGATGTGCTGCTGGATTTGGTTTGTCAGTATTTTGTAGTTGATATTCATCCAGGCTATTGGCCTGAAGATTCCTTTTGTTGTTGTTGTGTGTCTGCCAGGTTTTGGTATCAGCATGATGCTGGCCTCATAGAATGAGTAAGGGAGGAGTCACTCTACCTCAACTTTTGGGAATTGGTTCAGAAGGAATGGTACCAGCTCATCTATGTACATCTGGTGGAATTCAGCTGTGAATCCATCTGGCCCTGGGCTTTTATTGGTTGGTAGGCTATTTGTTGATTCAATTTCGGAGCTCATTATTGTCTGTTCAGGGATTCAGTTTCTTCCTGGTTCAGTCTTGGGAGGGTGTATATGTCCAGAAATGTATCAATTTCTTCTAGATTTTCTAGTTTATGTGCATAGAGGTGATCATAATATTCTCTGATGGTTGGTTGTATTTCTGTGGGGTCAGTGGTAATATTCCCCTTGCCATTTCTGATTGTGTTTATTGGAATCTTCTCTCTTTTCTTCTTTATTAGTTTAGCTAGTGGTATGTCTGTTTTATTAATTTTTATCAAAAAACAGCTCCTGGATTCATTGGTCTTTTGAATGATTTTTCATGTCTCAATTTTCTTCTGCTCAGCTCTGATTTTGGTTATTTCTTGTCTTCTGCTAGCTTTGGGATTGTTTGCTCTAGATTCTCTAGTTCTTTAGTTGTGATGTTAGGTTGTTAACTTGAGATCTTTCTAATTTTTTGATGTAGTCATTTAGTGCTATAAATTTCCTTCTTAATACTGCCTTAGTTGTGTCTCAGGGATTATGCTACATTGTATCTTTGCTCTCATTAGTTTCAAAGAACTTCTTGATTTCTGCCTTAATTAATTTTTTTACCTCAAAGCCATTTAGGAACAAGTTATTCAATTTTCATGTAATTGTATGGTTTTGAGTGAATTTCTTAGTCTTGATTTCTAATTTGATTGTGCTGTGGTCTGAGAGATTGTTATGATTTCAGTTCTTTTGCATTTGCTGAGGAGTGTTTTATTTCTGATTATGTGATCAATTTTAGAGTAAGTGCCATATGGCAATGAAAATTGTTTTTGTGTGGAGAGTTCTGTAGATGTCTATCAGATCCATTTGATCTAATGCTGAGTTCTGGTCCTGAATATCTTTGTTAATTTTCTCTCTCACTGGTCTGTCTAATATTGTCATTGGGTGTTAAAGTCTCCCACTATTATTGTGTGGGAGTCTAAGTCTCTTTGAAAGTCTCTAATAACTTGCTTTACGAATCTGAGTGTTCCTGTGTTGGGTGTATATCTATTTAGGATAGTTAGATCTTCTTGTTGAATTGAACCCTTTATCATATGTAATGCCCTTCTTTGTCTTTTTATCTTTGTTGGTTTAAAGTCTGTTTTGTCTGAAACTGAGATTGCAACTCTTGCTTTTTTCTGCTTGGTAGATTTTTCTCCATCCCTTTATTTTGAGCCTATGTGTGTCATTGCATAAGAGATGGTCTCTTGAGGACAGCATATCAATGAGTCTTGGTTTTCTAATCCAGCTTGCCACTCAGTGTCTTTTACCTGGGGCACTTAGCCCATTTACCTTTAAGGTTAATATTGATATGTGAGGATTTGACACTGTCACCATAATGTTAACTGGTTATTTTGCAGACTTGTTTATGTGATTGTTTTATAGTGTGACTGGTCTATGTACCTCAGTGTGTTTTTGTAGTGCTGGTAATGCTTTCCTTTCCATATTTAGCGTTTCCTTCATGAGCTGTTGTAAGGTAGGTCTGGTGGTAATGTATTCCCTCAGCATTTGCTTGTTTGTAAAAGATTATTTCTCCTTTGCTTATGAAGCTTAGTTAGGCTGGATATAAAATTCTGGGTTGGAATTTCTTTTCTTTAAGAATGTTGAATATTGACCCCCAATCTCTTTTGGCTTGTAGAGTTTCTGCTGAGAGGTCTGCTGTTAGTCTGATGGGCTTCCCTTTGTAGGTGGCCTGACCTTTCTCTCTAGCTACCTTTAACATTTTTCCTTTCATTTCAACCTTGGAGAATCTGATGATTATGTGCTTGGGGATGATCTTTAGTATTAGTAAAAAGAATTTTACTGGGGTTCTCTGCATTTTCTGAATTTGAATGTTGCCCTCTCTAGCTAGGTTGAGGAAGTTCTCATGCATGATGTCCTGAAATATGATTTCCAGATTGGTTGCATTTTCCCCATCTCTTTCAGGGACATGAATATGTCATAGATTTGGTCTCTTTACATAATCCCATATTTCTCAGACATTTTGTTCATTCATTTTCATTATTTTTCTCTATTCTTGTCTAACTGTCTTATTTCGGAAAGCCAGTCGTCAAGCTCTGAGATTATTTTCTTCACTTGGTCTATTCTGCTATTAATACTTGTGTTTGCATTATGAAATTCTTGTAGTGTGTTTTTCAGCTCTGTCAGGTTGGTTACTTTTTAAAATATATATATATACTGGCTGTTTTGTCTGTCAGCTCCTGCATTATTTTATCATGATTTGGAGAGGTGATGCAGTCATTTGGAGGAATGAAAGCACACTGACTTTTTGAATTTTCAGGGTTCTTGCACTGACTTCTTCTCATCTTTGTGGGTTTATCTACCTTCAATCTTTGAGGTTGCTGACCTTCAGATTTTTTTTTTATCCTATTTGATTATCTTGAGGGCTTGATTTTGGTATAAGGTGGATTCAACTGACTAGCTTCATTTCTGGAAGATTTTAGAGGGCCAACATTCAGCTCCCAACTCCTGCACTGTGTACTCTAACTCTGGGGGACTTCTATTGGGCCCCAGCTTTGTTCTTTGGCTCCCCAAGGTTAGGAATCCACTGCGGTGAAGGGGCCTGAGGTGTGGCAGCTGTGGCAGAGTGCTAGCAGGTGTCGGGGTGCCTGCCTCCATGTGGGTGTTCACCACAGTGGCAGAAACAATGCAGCTGTTGGGGGAGCTCCTGCTGGCAACTATATGTATGGTTGTGCTGGACATGGTGTTGGCTTGGGGGTGGGGTGCTGGCAGATGCAGGCCTGGGTGCCTTCTCTGTGCCCCATAAGCAGGAGTGATTGGTCAGCATGGGGGAGGACTGTTGTTCTCTGCAAAAATGTTTAAAAAAGAAATTGTTTCAAAAATCTATATAAAGCTTTGGATTCTGTAAATCCAAAATTCATTACTGGTTTATTACTTTACTGGCCAGGGATTATGGCACCAGAAGAGAGATCTGTGGTTCTGACAATAAGCCATGAATGTGGTTTGCCCAGTACATGGTTTAGCTTTGTTTCTGTATCAGACACGCTAGTTTAATTTACAAATGGAGTTTTGATATACTCAGGACTGTGAATAAGTATTGGGGGGTGGTGTCTGGTGAAAGGCAGACAAACCACAGTAGCTCATTTCCTTTTATTGATCCGAGCACAAAGCATTGTTGTTGCATCTTAGAAATTAAAATCCTCATTTACAGAATAGTGTGGTGCAATCTGGAAAGATGTTGTTGTGGTCTCTCAGGAGTGAATAATATGAGTTTTTAAACATTTTCCAAGAAAAATTTACATGATTTCAAACATTCTAAAGCATAAGGATGTACAGTATTTCTTACAGTAGAGGAAACTGCCAAATATTTTGGAAAAATATAAGAAAGGAACTGTACATTGGTAAGAATGCATTTTCAAAGACTATTTATTTTGTTTGTTTTTAACTGAACAGTTATTCATTGAGAGGGGTGTGTGTGTGTGTGTGTGTGTGTGTGTGTGTGCTGAAGATAGTATTATCCCAAATAATCATATTATATAGAGGCTACAACTCAGTCTTGCAAACTGCTCTTACTTGCAACTGACAGCTACCTCCCACACCCTCTTGGCATTTCTCTAGTGAAGCTATTGATGTAATTATTGCTTTTAGGGTTCTGTATTAAATTTAAAAAACAACTTCTTTTAATTTTGTGCTTAATACAGAAATCCTAAAAAATCATAGAAAAACACAAAGGAAAAAAATCCAGCATTAACCACTAACTAAGTGGATAACTAAGATCAGAGAAGAAACTAAAACAAGTAACTAATAACTAAGATCAGGGAAGAATTGATGGTGATAGAGACGTGAAAAATCCTCCAAAAAAATCAATGAATCCAGGAGCTGTTTTTTTTTTGAAAAAATTAACGAATAGATAGACCATTAGCTAGACTAATAAGGAAGAAGAGGGAGAAGAATCAAATAGACACAATAAAAAATGATAAAGGGGATATCACCACTGACCCCACAGAAATACAAACTGCCATCAGAGAATACTATAAACAACTCGATGCAAATAAACTAGAAAATTTAGAAGAAATGGATAAATTCCTGGACACATACACCCTACCAAGACTAAACCAGGAAAAAGCCGAATCCCTGAATAGACCAATAACAAGCTCTGAAATTGAGGCAGTAATTAATAGCCTACCAAAACAACAACAAAAAAAAAAAAAACAAGAAAAAAAACACAGAAAAACAAAACAGGACCAGACAGATTCACAGATTCACAGCTGAATTCTACCAGAAATACAAAGAGGAACTAGTCCCATTCCTTCTGAAACTATTCCAAACAGTTGAAAAGGAGGGACTCCTCCCTAACTCATTTTATGAAGCCAGTGTCATCCTGATACCAAAACTGGGAAGAGACACAACAAAAAAAGAAAACTACAGGCCAATAAGCCAAATAAACATTGATACAAAAACCCTCCATAAAATACTGGCAAACCAAATCCAGCAGCACATAAAAAAAAAACTTATCCACCACGATCAAGTTGGCTTTATCGCTGGGATGCAAGGCTGGTTGAACATACGTAAATCAATAAACGTAATCCATCACATAAACAGAACCAAAGACAAAAACCACATGATTATCTCAACAGATGCAGAAAAGACCTTTGATAAAATTCAACATTCTTCATGTTAAAAACTCTCAATAAACTAGGTGTTGATGGAATATATCTCAAAATAATAAGAGCTATTTATGACAAACCCACAGACAATATCATATTGAATGGGCAAAAGCTGGAAGCATTCCCTTTGAAAACCAGTACAAGACCAGGATGTCCTCTCTCACCACTCCTGTTCACCATAGTATTGGAAGTTCTGGCCAGAGCAATCAGGCAAGAGAAAGAAATAAAGGTATTCAAATAGGAAGAAAGGAAGTGAAATTGTCTCTATTTACAGATGACAAGATTTTATATTTAAAAACCCCATCACCTCAGCCCAAAAACTTCTTGAACTGAAAAGCAACTTCAGCAAAGTCTCAGGATACAAAATTAATGTGCAAAAATCACAAGTATTCCTTTACACCAACAATAGGCAAGCAGAGAGCCAAATCATGAATGAACTCCCATTTGCAATTGTTACAAAGAGAATAAAATACCTAGGAATACAACTAACAAGGGATGTGAAGACCTCTTCAAGGAGAACTACAAACCACTACTCAACGAAATAAGAGAGGACACAAACGAATGGAAAAACATTCCATCCTCGTGGATAGGAAGAATTAATATCATGAAAATGGTCATACTGCCCAAAGTAATTTACAGATTCAATGCTATTCCTATCAAACTACCATTGATATTCTTCACATAATTAGAAAAATCGATTTTAAATTTCATGTGGAATCAAAGAAGACCCCATATAGCCAAGACAACCCTAAGCAAAAAGAACAAAGCTGGAGGCATCATGCCACCTGACTTCAAATTATACTACAAGGCTACAGTAACCAAAACAGCATGGTACTGGTACCAAAACAGACATACTGACTAATGGAGCAGAGTAGAGACCTCAGAAATAACACCACACATCTACAACCATCTGATCTTTGACAAACCTGATAAAAATAAGCAATGGGAAAGAATCTCCTATTCAGTAAATGGTGCTGGGAAAACTGGCTAGCCATATGCAGAAAACTGAAGCTGGACCCCTTCCTTACACCTTATACAAAAATTCACTCAAGATGGATTAAATACTTAAATGTAAAACTCAAAACCATAAAAACCCTAGAAGAAAACCTAGGCAGTACTATTCAGGACATAGGCATGGGCAAAGACTTCATGACTAAAATGCCAAAAGCAATTGCAAGAAAAGCCAAAATTGACAAATGGAATCTAATTAAACTAAAGAGCTTCTGCACAGCAAAAGAAACTATTATCAGAGTGAACAGGCAACCTACAGAATGGTAGAACATTTTTGCAGTTTACCCATCTGACAAAGGTCTAATATCCAGAATCTACAAGGAACTTAGACATATTTACAAGAAAGAAACAAACAACTCCATCAAAAAGTAGGCAAAGGATATGAACAGACACTTTTCAAAAGAAGACATTTATGTGGCCAACAAACATACGAAGAAAAGCTCAACATCACTGATCATTAGAGAAATGCAAATCAAAACCACAATGAGATACCATCTCATGCCAGTCAGAATGGCTATTATTAAAAAGCCAGGAAACAATAGATGCTGGTGAGGCTGTGGAGAAATAGGAAGACTTTTACACTGTTGGTGGGAATGTAAATTAGTTCAACCATTGTGGAAGACAGTGTGGTGATTCCTCAATGATCTAGAACCAGAAATACCATTTGACCCAGCAATCCCATTACTGGGTATATACCCAGAGAAATATAAATCATTCTACTACAAAGATACATGCACATGTATGTTTCCTACAGCACTATTTACGATAGCAAAGACATGGAACCAACCCAAATGCCCGTCAATGATAGAATGGATAAAGAAAATGTGGTACATATACACCATGGAATACTATGCAGCCATAAAAAGAAATGAGATTATGTCCTTTGCAGGAACATCATCCTCAACAAACTAACACAGGAACAGAAAATCAAATACCACATGTTCTCACTCATAAGTGGGAGCTGAACATTGTGAATACGTGGACACAGAGAGTGGAACAATGTGCACTAAGGCTTGTTGTGGGATGGGGGTGAGAGGAGGGAACTTACAGGATAGGTCAATAGTTGCAGCAAACTACTATGGCACACGTATACCTAGGTAACAAACCTGCACATTCTGCACATGTATCTCATTGTTTTTTTTTTTTAGAAGAAATAAAAAAATTTCAGTGTTAATGACTGTTTACATTTTCGTGAATTCTTTCCAATATTTGATATTTATACATATATAATAAAATTATATCTACCTACCTATCTGTCTACCTATCTATCTGCTTTCTAGTCTCCCTTTTTCTTTTACTTAGCTCAGATCATGAAGATTTTTTTCCATGTCAATAAATATATTTCTTCTCTTTTCTTTTTCTTTTCTTTTTTTTTTTTCTTTTTTTTGAGATGGAGTCTCTCTCTGTTGCCCAGGCTGGAGTGCAGTGGTGCAGTCTCAGCTCACTGCAACCTCCACCTCCTGGGTTCAAGCGATTCTCCTGCCTCAGCCTCCCAAGTAGCTGGGATCACAGGTGCCCGCCACCATACCTGGCTAATTTTTTGTATTTTTAGTAGATACAAGGTTTCTCCATGTTGGCCAGGCTAGTCTTGAACACCTGACCTCAAGTGATCCATCTGCCTCAGCCTTCCAAAGTGCTGGGATTACAGGCATGACCAACTGCACTCAGCCCAATAAATATGTTCTATAATACGCTACTTAATGATACCTATTACATTATATTGTATGGAAGTTCCATTACTTACTTAATCTGTTCTTCCTGGACATCTGATTTTTCTTTATTGTAAAATGTGACATCTTAAACATCTTTACATATTCATCTTCTTCCACGTCTTTGATTACATCCTTTGTATAGCTCTTAGTAGTGTTTTTGCTGGGTCAATGTTTTTGTAAATAAAAAAAAAATGTTAAAGACTTTAGACATGTATAACCAAAGTGCCCCAGCAAGAGATTGTAATCCGCTTACACTGCCTCCAGGAGTTTTTTGGGAGTACTTGTTTTTTCCTACCCTCTCCCACCAGATAATATGATTCTTTTTACCATTTTTAACCCATTGGATAGGAATATATTTTCATGTTTTTATTTGCATTTCTTTGGATTTTTGAGGCTACGTATTACAAAGCTGTTATTTTAAGGCATACCAGAGAACATGAAATCTTATTTTATCCATATTTTGGTTTTATCCATTTGCTTTGAACCCCCTGAATCAGCTGCCCTGATGGATAGTTTTTTTTTTTTTGGTGTGGGCTTGGCCATGATGGGGAACTTGGTTGAAAGATGAGTGAAGTTAAGGCAGTTCAAGGATGTCATACTTTTTAGAAGTACCAGACAATCAGAAAAAAGTACAGAATAGGAGAAACAAAGAAATCAAATACTTAAAAAATATATTCCCCCAGGTCAATGCTTTGCCATGAAAAGGAGAAAAAACAGTTCTTTCTCTCTAAGCTGCAGTACCCCTTGGTCACTGTTCCAAAGCTTGGGGCAGACCATTTGTCCTATACTATGGCTACATGTGGATGAAGTCATTTTTGTGTGGTCTTTTAAGACTGAAGGTACTAATCACAATTTTAACATTGCTTCTCCAGAAAAATACTTTCTGAGTTACGAACTTTGGGGACACAAACCTATTGGTCATTTGGAGATCTAGTTTCCCTTTTATTTTTCTAAATTAAACATTAAACAAGACAATCTGAGCTTTGCCTTTTTTTCTTTTGGGTAACTTGATTTCCCAATTATAAATAATGATTATTTAATGTCTGTTAATTCTTTCACAGTTTAGGGTGAATTCTAATTAGCCATCTCCCTAAGATATGTGGTTTGTGGCTTGAAAAGTTTTCTAATGCCTTCCCTCCCTAGAACTAATGACTCAGAACTGAGAAAGACTGACACAGAGCTTCATCTTCTGCTGGGGCTGCAAATGCTCTGGAGATTGCCCACGCCCTCTTGCAGCCACTGCTAGATGAAGATGAAAGCCCACTGCCCAGACGGCATCAGTATTTCACCTGCTCAGTATTGCACAGAAAAGTCTTGGTTTGACTTACAGCCTGCTCATTGCTGGAAGGTCACAGCACTGTTTTTTGATGGAGTTTTGAGTAGTCATTTTTTCTAGTGCTTTAAACAGATTAAAATGTGGTTTTATGGGTAGTCATTTCCTAGATGCTTGTGAAAACAATTCTAATCCTAATTGATGGTAGAAACTGATTCGGAGACTCAGTAAAGAAAGACATCTGTGACGTTCAGTTCAAAATAGTTAATTATTGATTGATCACCCACCAGCATTAGCTTATAGATACACCTGAGGATTAAACATGACTTTCTGGAACAAAATAACTTTTTTTTTTCCTAAACATAATGTACAAGCTGAGCTTAAATGAGTGAAATTATAAAAGGAGATAATCTCAATTTTGCCCTATATAAGAATAAAATATCAGTCAAAATATTTAAAGAACAGAGATTTCTGTTTGGTGCAATTTTCTGGTTAAGAGGTTAATGGAGGGGAATGGAAAGTTATTGTTTTATGGATGCAGAATTTTAGTTTTATAAAAGAGTTCTGGAGGTAGATGGTGGTAATGATTGCATAACAATGTGAATATATTTAATACCATTTAGCTGCACATTTAAAACTGGTTAATGCCTGGTGCAGTGGCTTGAGCCTGAAATCCCAGCTCCTCAGGAGGCTGTGGTGGGAGAATCACTTGAGCCCAGGAGTTCGAGACAACAGTGAGCTCTGATTGTGCTACTGAACTCTAGCTTAGGCAACAGAGTAAGACGTTGTCTATTAACAAAAAGTAAGAAGAAAAGAAGGTTAAGATAGTAATTTTTATGTTATGTGTATTTTACTACAATTTTTTTTTAAAAAAGAGTTAAATTGGAAACAAAAGTCTTTTAAGAGCCTTTTGGTCTGAGCTTTGACTTAATAAATACAATATTAAATGAAATTGTGCATTTACTAAATATTTGAGGGACATTATTCTGGAAGCCAGGTCTCATTTTCTAGGACTGGAGAAGACAGAATGTGTTTTGGACTCAGGATGTGTTTGTGAAAGAGCTTAAAATTTCTTTAGGTGATTGTGCATTCCTGTGATATGCATTTTCTCCAAAATGTACAGAAAGAAAAATAATTTGAACCCTAATTAATTGGGTTCTAATTGGTCTGTGTTTTAGGCTCTAAAGGATCTTAGATCCTTTAGATCTTTATTAAATACTGGTAATTCAGTATTTAATTGTAACTGATTTTTATGCAACTGCGCAGGAGAAGAAGTGTTCAGGTGCAGCTTTCTTCCCATCCGTGCCTTCCCTAGGCCATTGTGCTTTGTGTTCTTAAGACTCGGTGAATGTTTCTGAAGGTCAGCTAGAGTGCAGAGGAGAATTAATATTAAAATGCATTTAATAAATAAGCTGTCAGATGATTCCCGAAGATACCATAAGCAGCAGAAAGTCTTCTTTCCTCTTTCATTCAGATCGCTGTGTACAGAGGGAATGATGGTTAATATAGTCTCTGTTGGCATCTCCTAACGGGCTTTGGTAATCATTTCTAGCCCAGCCGTGCTCCACGGATTTCATCACTCTTGAGTGACGGGGCCATTTTCTCACAGAATATGGACCCTCCCTGAAAAAGAGGGAGCAGAAATAGTCATCTAGCAGTGTAACAGTTAGGGAATAGAAAGAAAATGACGGATTTTGCAGAGAAGGTCTGCAGAAACTGATCCAGCATCCCTGGCAGTTTGAGTAGAGAATGGGATTTTGGTCTTTACTTTGAATTGTCATAATTATTTAATGTCAAACCTATGGAGTGTTATGAGGCTGTAAGATTTTGAACTCTGTGCCCTTCAGAGGCTCTGCCTCAGGACACAAACACAGGAAGATTAAACATTAATTAAAGTAACCACACAGGAGAATAAACAATGTAAAGAAGTAGAAAAAGACCTGGCTTCCCCACCAGGGTAAGCCATTTTAGAAAGAGAGATTTTGTATTGAACTTACGAGATGGATGAAATAGGCTTCACTAGACCCAAGGGCATGGAGTAATTTCTCAGGAAAGTATTCTGCCATTGATTCCTGGAAGAAAAATTAGAAAAACTCAGTGGATGATGGACCAACCCAGAGGCCCTAATGGTACAGAGAGAAAGGAAACATGACCATGTTCAAGTTACAAGTTGTAGCTGACCTTGATGTTTATCGCCAGACCGTGGGAGGTTTTGGAATCTGACTGATGTCTTTCTTCCCTGTAGATTGTTATTCAGTGCCTCGGATGTGGGCCTAGGAACCTGTATTTTTAAAAGATTATCTGATGTACAGCCGGGTATGAAAACTACTGATCAAGATCAATAGTTTTAATTAAAGTCAGGGTGGAGGGAGTAGGAGGGAGGGAAAGACAGAGGGAGAAAGAGGGACAATGAATGAGCTTTGGATTCCTTTGTTCAAATATGATCATCTGAGAAAGAGAAATTCTGAACTGTCAGTCGGTTCAGAGCAGAGCTCTGCTGGCTGAATTGGATGTGGGAGATTTTTCTTAGGTTCCCAGGGCCACAGAAAGGAAGCCCATGCTGAATAATCCAGATTTAAGCCTTACCCATTGGCCTTGGATGCCTATTTCTGTCTTCCTTGTCTACTACTGTCACTGTCAACCCCTTGTGGCTGTTCCATCCCCATGTGTCAGCTCTTTGTGGGCTGGTTTGCCCCCGGAACTATTGCTCTGAGTTCTTCTGTCCATTCCCTGCTCGGCTCAGTGGGCTCCTGAGTTAGCCTTTAGCATGTCACCTTTCTGGCATCTCCATGGTACCAGAACCTTTACTTTTCACGTGGGCTCCAACCAGCAGCAGCTCCCAACTAGGAGTGTCCCAGCCTGGTGGAAAGGACTGGACACACAAGATGGGTCGGAATTGAATATTAAATGAATTTCAATACTTGGTGTACCTTTGTGAAGTAGCACATTGATTTTGAGAGAGCATTGACTTTAAATCTGATAGATTTTTTTGCAAGCTTCTTTTCAGCAAATGGCTTACTGTCCTTCCATTTGCTGAGGTCAAACTCCTTGGAGTCATTCTTAATTCCTTTCTGTTTTTCACACCCCATGTTAAAATAGTGAATCCCTTAACATATGTAAAGAAGCCATCTCTTTCCCCCACCTCCATTGTCAACATCTGGGTCTGTGTCACCACCATGTGTGGCCTGGATTATTGCCACAGTCTACTAATTTGTCTACCAGTTTCTGCCCTTGTTCCTTGAGTCTTTTCCTAACATAGTCATGTAATGATCCTTTAAAGATATGACTCAGGTTCCTCCCTTTTACTCAGAACTCCTGTCTCTTAGAGTGAAAACCAAAGACTTTATAGTGTCCTACAAAACCCTCCATGACATGGTGTTTCCCATCAGGATCTACCTTGATCTTAGCCAAAAGCCCAAGAAGCGATCTTATCCTGATCTCACCTCATCTCCAACTTATTTGCCCTTCAGTCACTCTGCTCTGGCCATAATTTCCTCCTTTACTCACTTGGCCAAGCATGCTGCTGCCTCTGGGCCCCTCCCTCATTTCCTCTGGCTGAAAGATGTTTTTGTAAGTTAGGTATTTGTATGGTTCCCTCACTTTTCTTCAAGTCTGACCAATTTTGCCTTATTAGAGTCAGTTTCAGACCTGCCTATATTAAAATGGAACCCCTTTGTTAATTTCATATACTGTTTTCCCCTTACCATGCTTTACTTTTCTTCACTGCACATTTCATCATCTGACATTCCACTAATTTATTTTATTGGTTTATTATTTATAAAGTGCTAACAAATACTTTAATCCAAACTCTTTGGGGGCAGGGCCCACATTTTGTTTACTGCAGATCCCCAGTGTTTAAAAAGAACCTAGCACATACTAGGTGTTCAGAAAGTATTTCTTAAACAAATGTATTATTAGTAAATCTGAGTTTTAAATATAGTTTTGTCACTTCTTAATTATGTGACACTCAGTAAGTTACTTCTCAGATTCAAGTTTTCTAATGTTAAAAATAAAGGTAACTTCCGTTTCATGGAGTTGTTTTTCAGAGTAGAACTAACGTTTAATCTTCCCAACTAAAGTGTGAGATCAAATTTGCACTAAAAATATGTTATTATTATTGCTGTTGATGCCGACGGGAGACAGGGAAATACTGGGTGGAAGAGGGCGGTTCCCTTACAAAGGCTCCACCCTCAAGCCTGGATATCCCTGTCCCCAAGTGAGAACAGACATTCCTGTTTTCATGCACAAAATGTTGCCTTTTAGCCCACCATGCCCCCTATCCTATACCCATATAAACCCTGAACCCCAGACTCCAGAAGCAGATGAGGAGACGAACAGATGAGAAGACGAGCAGATGAGCAGACAAATGGCAGAATGTTGCAGCAGAGAAGGAGAGAAGAGAAAGAGCGCCTGAATGTCAGCAGGAGTTTGTCTGGAGATGGTCAGAAAATCAGGTGCTGGATGGCCAAACTCCAGGGGAAGATCATCTTCCCATTCCATCTCCTGTCTAGCTCCCCATCCATCCTGCTCAGAGCCACCTCCACCACCCAGTAAAACCCCACATGCACCATCCTTCAAGTCTGTGTGTGACCCGGTTCTTCCAGGATGCTGGACAAGAGCTCAGGATATGAAAGGTGTCACGCTGGCCCTCTGCCCTTGCAAAAAGGCAGAGGGTCCACTGAGCCAGTTGACACTTAAGCCATGCGTGGATGGCAAGGCTAAAAGAACACACTGTAACATACACCCAACTGGGCTCCGGGAGTCACAGGCTCCCATCCCTGGACGCTGCTGTGGGGCCAGAGCCCAGCATCCCAACCCCTGCACCTGTCCGTCTGCATGCTCCCACTCCTGTAAGGGGTTTGAGCGATGGTGGTGACTGAACAGACAAGCCAAACCCCTGTTGCAGGTCCTGTGAGAGTCAGGGAACCCCCCTGTTTCACCGTTGTTAATATTGATAGAGCTTTAAGACTGAATTTATTCAGACATGGATAGAATTTCAATGGAAGTGGAATCCAGGAACTGGCTTTAATCCTGTGTGACTTTTCTAGAAAGAAAGTCTTGATTGCCTCTATTTTACTTCTAAAAAAGTGTAGGCTACCTGCTAATGGCTCCCAGATTTCTGCTTGAATGATCTTTGAATAAGTAAAGACGTTTTGGATGTAAATTTTCCCATTGTTCTTAAGCAAGTCATTAAAATTAAATATAACTATGAATGGAGAGTGTTTTATTCTTTCAATTACATAGGGTTTGTGAAGAGTCATTCTTTGTCTACTTATATTTAATCAACATGCAATATTTTATGTGCCTTATTACCATGTGTTAAGAAGGTAATATTCACGTTACCTAGCTATTTTTTACATTAGCCAAAAAAATATGGTTATGTGCAAATATTGTGAAGAACATGCATGCAAGTAGTTTGCTTATTAACCAGGTTTGGTGTCAGCCACACACTTATAAAGCTAATAATTGCTAGCTATTAATATTATAACTTTAGTTCAAATATTACTGATGTCTGTTCTTCTAAGACTGAATGTTAAGATTAGAATTTAGAATTTAGTACAAGTATGTATAAATCATTTCAACAGAAAAAAATGAATGCAAATCAGGAACCAGCTGGAGGCAGATTTGCATGATTATTTTAATGCTGTGACAGGACGTGAACACTCAGAAATTCGAATTAGGATGCTTATTTCTCATATCTACAATGAGCACTGAGTCTCTCTTATGATGTGGCCAGCTATCACCCTGTGTTATCAGCAAACCCTACTAATAGAAATTTGAGAGTCTAATATCAAACTTACTCTTCCTATTTGTTTTCTCTGAGCCCTGGGTTAGAAGACTGATATGAAATAAGCATTTTTACTATACTGAGCTATACTTATCATTTACATTATTGGTGTTGCTTAGAAATTACTCCACAGGTTTTCAAAAGATAAATCATGCCATTTGATTATCAGCAACCATTTGTCCAATCAGCACCCAAATGCAGTGTACTCTTTGCACTGGGCAGCCACTCTTAAGAGAGATTTAAGAAGTAACAAGGCCATTTTTGTGGATAAGTCTAGACAATAGTCTTTTCTGTAGCATGAAACTAATATCTGGTCTTATTGCATGATCATTTTTCTTGCACCTGCTAAATCCTTTAGTGCCATTCATAAAACTTTTCATAAGAATGACTTCATAGAAGTTTCTATTCTTTTTAGAGATATGATTACCTATCTGCTTTCAGTTTACACTATTGCACTTGTGTGTGTGTTGTGGGGGGTATCCTCTGGTCTTGTGCAATTATTTTCATTTTAGTTACTCAAATGAATTGCTGATTAAAAAGTAAATTTTGATGGCCATGTAAATTGGAGATGATTCTGGCTTAAAGGGATAACTAGGCAGGTATTTTTGAAAATTAATAAGCAAGGCTATCACTCCACATAAACAAAGCGATTTTTTAAGGAACAGAACACTTGATATACTGGTTGATGCTTCAGTCTGGTGTGGTATTTGAAGAGCATAAAGTCGTAACATAGATTTTCATTTTAATGGGAGTGTTGTAATACCTTCATAATTTTTTTTTTTTACTTCTCATTAGTTTTTACAACCTACGAATTACCTAAAACAACTTTAGTCATTTGAATTTTGACTTGCCACTTATTTTACTATGTGCAAAATTGTCCCATTTGAGAAATGGAATCTGTATGTATGGTATTGGTGTCTATGGCTAGACATTAGGACTATTACAGAGTTTGCAGATGTCACTATGTCTAATGCAGTTCTAATGCAGATCTGTTTGGGGTTTTGTTTAATATATGGTTATGGAGAAGTCTAGAAAGGAATGACAATGAAGTAGTAGTTACTGTAAATCTTGTGGTCACGTAATGAAAATTTAGGAGACTTTTCTGTACACCACTTTAGCTCTGCTCTTTGTAGATTGACTCATCTAGAGGAGATTTTGTACAAATTTTTTTCAGCTAATTTCTCCAGTTCATTTGTTTATTGATATAGTATTACATTATTATTTAGTTAAGCAAATGGTCTACACCACATGACTTCAAGCCTCAATGTCTTCTTTTTTGTTGTTGATTTGTATACTAAATTTCAGAAATGGCTTTTTATGGGGAAGGTTGGAGACAAATAATGACTATATACACATATATTTCACATATATATGTTATTGAAACATATGAGTGTCATATATGTGTAAGTGGATGTAGACAAGTAATGAGTATATATACATATACAGTCATGTGTCACTTAATAACAGGGATACATTCTGAAATGCATCATTAGGTGATTATGTTATTGTGGGAACATCAAAAAGTGTACTTACACAACCCTAGGTAGTAGAGCCTACTACATCATACCTAGGCTATATGTTATAGCCTATGACCCCTAGGCTACAAACCTGTACAACATGCTACTGTACTGGATACTATAGGCAATTGTGACACAATGGTAAGTATTTGTGTATCTAAACATATTTGAACCTAGAACAGGTACAGTAAAATTATGGTATTATAGTCTTATGGGATCAGCATTGTATATGCATTCTGTTGTTGACCAAAATGTAGTGCATGAATATATATATATATATATATATGTATGTTACTGAATATGTTATATATTTGTTATTGAAACCTACTTTTATTATTATATATATACATATACATAAATACATAGCCCCACTTCTTCAGTCATGTGAAGTTACGCCTACTGATACGTGTATTAGTCTATCTTGTTTCTTCTTGCCACTTTTCTCTCTACTCTGAGCCCATTCACGTAACCCATTTTAACAATTACTTATAGATTATTTCATAATTTCCTTATTTTAGTTCATTTCTAATCATTAACTGTGTTATTGATTACCCCTTATGTGAACCAAAAACATCTCCATAGGGGCATTTCTTTGAGAGGATCAGTTCTGCTTTATTAAAGGTAAGTCAGCTTATCCAAGTCACCAGAACTGAGTTAAGAAACATATGGGGCTGGGTGCAGTGGCTCACGCCTGTAATCCCAGCACTTTGGGAGGCCAAAGCAGGAGGATCATTTGAGGTCAGGAGTTCAAGACCAGCCTGGCCAACATAGTGAAACCCTGTCTCTACTGAAATTACAAAAATTAGCCGGGTGTGGTGGCGCATGTCTGTAGTCACAGCCACTTGGGAGGCCGAGGCAGGAGAATTGCTTGAACCCAGGAGGTGGAGGTTGCAGTGAGCCAAGATCGTGCCACTGCATTCCCTCCTGGGCAGCACACACACACACACACACACACACACACACACACACACACACGAAACATATGGGCAATCCAGGGGATTCTAGCTCTTCAGAGTTTGCCCGGGACTAAAAATGGCAGTACAAAATTGAGCATTGGCCCTTTGAGATCACTGGGAGCAAACCAACCAATGAGGACCACCCATGGGAACAGATGGAGTTCAGAACTGGACTTTAAATCGGGGCTCACTCTACAGAGGGTATTGTGGCTGGACAGAGGATGCTCATTGCATGAAAAGGAATCTGTTTGTCTGGGTCAGTGGGGAAGAGTTCTGGTGTGTCAGACTGTCTTATTTTGAGTTAAAAGTTTTACAGGTAAAGATTTGCTTTAATTTTCTACTCATGTTGTCCAGTCGAGTATGGCCATGTGTGCTTCTGTCTCTGATGAGAAATAATAATGATAAAGATCATGAGAGCAGCAGGTACCACTCTGACAACGAAGTGCCCTTCTCTGTCCTAGTTATTTTAAAGGTAGCACATTTTTTTTAATCCTCGCACAACCCTGTGAATCCATATTGCTTTCTTCCTTTTACAGATAAGGAAACTGAGGATCAGAGAGGAAAACCAACTTGCTCAAGGCCACCAGGCTAGTTAGTGTTAGACCCGAGACTCAAATCTAGGACTGCAGGACTTCCTATCCCAGGTCAACGTTATCTAGTGCTTCTCGACATTTTGAGATCAGTTTAAATACTCCTTATTGTGCTTTTCTTGTGGATCTGCAGGCACTGGGTCTGGCACTGAGGAATCAGCGATGACCAAGACTTGGTCCCTGCTTGGAGAGGTTCACAACACATGCACCATTTTATTGGAACATCACATTACATTATGTTTAATGTGACATAATACGAGCTCCAGATGAGGAGACCTTTTCTTTATTTTGTTCTTAAAACAGTGCCTGGAACATAGTCAGCACTCAATGAACATCTGGAAAACATAAAATATGTCACGAAATCCTGTCATGGAGGAAAGCACTCTTTGCTTTGTCTGTGGTTTCATCTGTGCCTCACTCTGAATTTTACTCTGGGCTCCTCACCCCTGATGCATTTGCCCACGACCTCCTGGCATGCCTTGCTGCCCTTAGCATTCATTCTGCAGAAACTTTATGGAGCACATACTGTGTTCTGTGCATATACTGCCAGCATTGTGCTGGCATTAGGGACACAGAGACGAACAGACCAGACATGGTCCCTGCCCTCTTGGAGGAACACAACTGCTCTGTACCCATGGGTTCTGCATCCATGGATTCAACTAACCTTGGATCGAAAGTACTCAGGGAAAAAAATATATGTCTGTACTGAATACATACAGACCATTTTTCCTTGTCATTAAGTCTGAAACAATACAGTATAACAAGTATTTAGCATTTATATCGTGTTAGGTATTATAAGTAATCTAGAGATGATTTAAAGTATACAGGAATATGTGTGTAGGTTATATGCAAATACTATGCCATTTTATAACAGGGACTTGAGCATCTGCAGATTTTTGTAGTTTTGGGAGGTCCTGGTACCAATCCTCCACAGATATGGAGGGACCACTGTTCTCTTATACCCAGTTCTCCTTCATGGTTCAGAATTTAGCTCAGCTCTTCACCCACACACATTACACTCTTCCACCCACTGCCCCATGTCATTAATAGGATTGATTCTTAAGTGTGTGAATGGCAGTCAGAGCCCATGCACCTCAACTCTGACTTGACCAGATGCCACACCCTGGAGTTTCTCCATAAAGACCTCCTGCCGTGGATTCTCATCCACTTCTTTGAGCATATGGAATGTCCATGGTGGAAAGAAGCAGACAGGTCTAAATAAACCCATTGACTACTGAGAAAAGAATTAACGTGTATGAGACCCCCGACTATGTCTCAGGCAATATTCTAGGGCTTTTCCTCCTTCATTCCATTCTCATAGTAATCCTGAGGGAAAAAAAAAGCAGTATTTTCTTTGTTTTTCTGGATGAGGTCCACTGAGGTTAGTGGGGTGTCCAAGCTTGGAGAGCTAGGGAGTAGTAGACAGCCGAGATAAGGAATGCAGGTCCGTCTTTGTACAAACCTGCTTATCTCCATACAAACCTGCCATGTATTCTCAAGGTTATGAGAGAACCAGGGAGGGCTGGAGACTGAGCTGCCTGGTGGTGCCTATTTATATTCATGCTCTGGAAATTGTACATGTAACTCATTACTGTGGTCATCTGCTTTCTGCAGCCTCGTGAGGGGCCCTTCTCATGTTCCTCTGTAGATTTATGAGCTTGTACATGGCACCTCCATTCTACGGCAGTTTTTAGAGTTCCCTGAGGATTCTTATAACAATCACAATTATTTAGGTTCTAAATTACCCTTGTCCAGTGTTAAGCAGATGAGCAGTGTTTTCACCTTCTAAACAATGATTCCTGAGGCAACTGCTGCCATAATATCACATTTCGTTTCCAAGGAAACTGCATATCCATCCCTTCCTCCCACCCTTCCCACTTCCTTAAGCATGAGATTTTTTAAAACTCAAAATGTGCCATTTCAACCTCTTGTTACTGTGAAAGTTTTAGTTCCGGCATTGGTTCCTAGGAAATTACAGTTTTCCTTCTGATCTTCTTCTTAATGTGTTGGATGCTTTTCTGCAGAAAGCTGTGCATTCTAAATGGCATTGAAATAAATTACTGCCTTCATTATGACACACAATAGATGAATGTATTCTACTTCAGAGTCACAGCTTCTTTAGCCAAAATACCTTGGTTGTTTTCCATCCTGAAGTTCTATAATTGCTTACTTGATATTCCATTGTGAGATCTCAGAATAAAGTAAAGGTAGGCTGTGGTATATATGTGTCTTTTACTCTCAGGCTGTACGTGCATTCAAGTTACCTGACTGGATGGATTCAGTAAGTTTGTACCCTCCAGATAAAGTAATTACTGAAACTAAGCATCCATTTTCTATAGATTATGTTACTAGTGACTAAAAAATATCTCCAGATATTGTATAAATCATGGAATTCAGGCAGCTATGTTTACTACAAGTGGCAGTGAAGCATTTACTTACTCCAAAGGAACTCTGGAGTACTTTGCAATCCTGCTGGAAGGCAGGGGAGATGTGGGTGGCCACACAGAGTCAGAGGATGTCAACATGCAGACATCTGTGTAGGCATCTGAGTTATGCTGATCGAAGACTCTCTTCTCACTCTTTAGTTTCCCCACTCCAAACACACACACACACGCACACACACACAAACACACACAACCTCAGAAAACCGTGGTGAGCAGCCCTGTGTCTACAGATACCCACTCCTGGCAATGTCCATGTAGCTAACTTCCGGTCACCATGTCCGTCCCAGGATTGCCTTGAGCCTCTATACCTCCCTCCAGCCTCCAGGCTTTTGATATAGAGACCTAGACATTTGGATTTTGTTTTTGTTTTTTTCCAGAAAATCTCTCTGAGACTCAACGCTTAGGTAATGTGGAACTCAGAACCTGACTATTTTTTTTCAAAGAAAGGAGCAGTCATGAACAGCCTATGAATAGATATAAGTAGATGCAGAAATAATCTGTATGGGCCAGGCGCGGTGGCTCACGCCTGTAAGCCCAGCACTTTGGGAGGCCGAGGTGGGTGGATCACGAGGTCAGGAGTTCGAGACCAGCCTGGCTAACATGGTGAAACCCCATCTCTACTAAAAATACAAAAATTAGCTGGTTGTGGTGGC
The DNA here is from genome assembly GCF_000001405.40 of Homo sapiens. Taxonomy (NCBI): domain Eukaryota; kingdom Metazoa; phylum Chordata; class Mammalia; order Primates; family Hominidae; genus Homo; species Homo sapiens. The sequence continues at coordinate 76,188,231 of NC_000001.11, forward strand.
GGGTGCCTGTAATCCCAGTTACTCAGGAGGTTGAGGCAGGGGAATTGCTTGAACCCGGAAGGCGGAGGTTGCAGTGAGCTGAGATCACACCACTGCACTCCAGCCTGGATGACAGAGCAAGACTCCATCTCAAAAAAAAACATCTGTATGTATTTAGTAGGTAAGGGTGAAAATGATTATTATAGTGTGTGTGGGAGTGGGAGGAAATTAGCCCATGTACTATTGGACTGGTGATGTTTCTAAGGGATTGTTGTATATGCGAAATTGATCTTCCATTTACCTACTCTTTTAAGCACTTGGGCCTGGTCAGTTGACAAGGTAAAGTTGACCCTTGAACAATATGGGAGTTAGGGGCACTGATCCCTATACAGTGGAAAATTTGTGTTTAACTTTTGACTCTCCCCCAAAACCTAACTATAATAGACTACTACTGACTGGAAGCTTTACCAGTAACATAAACAATTGATTAATACATAAAAATGTTATTAAGAAAACCATAAAGAAAATAAAATGAATTCATTATTCATTAACTGCCAGTGGATCATGATAAAGGTCTTCATCCTCATTGTCTTCATGTAGAGGATGAGGAACCAGAAGAGGACAATTGGTCTTGCTGTCTCAGGGTTGTCAGAGGTGGAAGAAAATCCACATATTAGTGGGCCTGCACACTTCAATCCCATGCTGCTCAAGGGTCCAAAGGAACTTTGGAGTACTTTGTAATCCTGCTGGAAGGCATGGGAGATGTGGGTGGCCACACAGGGTCAGAGGATGTCAACATGGAGACCCCTGCATAGGCATTTGAATTATGCTGTACTAGCTTCTGGTGGGCAGCAGGCCTGGAGCCAGTCTCTCTGGTAGAGTTGGATGGGGCCAAGAGGGTATAAGTCTTACTCCTTCTTCCCATAGGAGAATGGAAAGGGAGCTTCCTTAAGGGATCCTGGCCCTGCAGGGCTGTATGGTCTCACAGGCAAGGGTGCCTATCTGCTGGGAGAAAATGCTTTGTGTGCTCATATTCATGCAAGTAAGTTCTTAGATTATTGTCTTACATAAAGTGATTTGTACCCTTTGCCTATGGTTACCACCACCACCCCTGTGATAAGTCCATAGCTTCCCAAACTCCAGGCACATAGAACCTTTCTGCCTTTTTTGGATCCACCTCTGTATGCAGTGGCTCTGGACTTCTTGGTGTCCCCACATTGGTCTGGGCTGAACCTGACAGGCCAATAGACAAGGGAGTGAACTATGGATGTACTCAAGTTCATTAAGTCACACGTCATTGTGCTTAGTGAATGTGGCAATCTGAGACAAATACGCCCTTTGATGAATAGAGAGTAGAATGACTAATAAGAGATCAGAAGCCAGCAAAGAGTAAATCCAATAACAACAACAAGAATGTAGAGTTTGAAATTTCTTAAGTTTAAATGAGAATGTTAGCTTATTTTGCAAATAGCTTTGTCTTTTTCTGACCCCTCCTCCCACCATGTGGAGGTATGGAGGAGAGAAAGGCTCTTGCAGAAAAGTATAAGCGGTGCAAGTGGAGAGTGCTGCAGAGATGGAGATGGAGGCCAGGTCTGCTGGTGAAGGGTCTTATAGTCCAGGCTAAGATGTTAAGCATACCTTAGAGGCATGAAAGAATCTCTGAGGGCCATTAAGTGGGGACCGAAATTCTAAAAGCTCAATTCTTAGCCTGGTTGGGGGATCAATTTCTAGTTATTGGATCACAGTGGACTGAATTCTGAGAGCTCAGTGTGACAGATAAAGGAAAGTTTGTCAGATGGATACTGTTTTCTTTATAAGAATCTTCTGACTTTTGGGGTAGAGTTTAACCCCTCATTTTAAAGCAACTCATTATGTCTCGTTGGTATTTAATGAAACGAAAATAATGTAGTATGTGACACTCATGACATTTCACCTGTAAAGTAATTTATGGTAATTTGTCCTAGAGTGTTCTATCATAGGTTGATAGGATTCAAGGACTATATACTTGTTTTCTACCCTAATAGATAGGAGGGTGGAGTAGGATGAGAGGCAGGCTCAGAGATAGGAAGAAAGGATTTTTTCATAGCAATGCAAAACTGTTAGAAAAGTGCATGGTACTCCAACCTTTCAGCCTAGTGACTTCTTGCTGCCGTGGAGTGGCTGCAGTTTCCTTCTTTGCAAGTTTGGAGCATACGCCCAGATGCTGGAAGGATTTGGTTTACATTATATTGAAAAATAAAACAAGACAAGTCAAGTAAAACAAAACATTAGCAAATAAAACCCATAAGCAAACACAAATAAAATGATTTAGTGAGGTAATTTCTCACAAATTTCAGAATTTCCCACAATCGTACAGAAATGGTTCTTGCCTGTGGCTCACATGGGCTTCAAGAATTTAATTTACCCGTGTTGATCAGATGTGTAAAATAATGGTTCCATCATTGGTTGCAAAAACTTCAGGTGTTGGATTTTGGAAGTATTTACTTACAGAGGTCTCATCATTGTAAGGTAAAGCTTTTTAGCCATCCAGGCCAAATGGTGGGATTGAGATTCCATCTGCCATTGTTCTTACGGACATCTAAAAAGAGCAAGAAAGGGGTTTTTATATTTATTTGATATTTATACTCCCATCCCCAGAAGCCCATTTAAAAATTGGTATTGGTTCTGGTAGCAGAAAAAGTGGAAGTGAAATTAGAGTATAGAAACTTATTTCTCAAAGTGTGGTCTGCAGACTGGCCACATCAGCATCACTTGGGAGCTTGTTAAAAATTCAGAGTTGCTGGCCCCACACCATCTCACTGAACCAGAAACTGCATTTTACCATGATCCTCAGATAATCTGTCTGCACATTAATGTTTGAGAACCACTGAATGGGGAATACCTTTTTAGGAAGCATGGTCATGAAGAAAGTGGAGTGGTTGTGGAGAAGGTCCTAGCTAGAGATGGAGCATGAGGTCAGGGCATTTGTTTGTCTTAAAAAAATTTAGACAAGCCTTGAGCATGTTTATACTTGTGGAGAAGGAGACCTTTGAAGTAACCAGACACCAAAAGACAAATACCATATGATCTCACTCTTACGTGGATTCTAAAAAAAAAAAAGAATTGATATCATAGAAACAAACCGAGTAGAACCACAGTTACTAGGATACTAGGAATTGGGGAGGTATGGGAGGCGAGGAGGATGGGGAGAGGATGGTCAACAGGTACAAAGTTACAATTAGGAAGACTGCGTTCCGGTGTTCTATTGTACAGAAGGGTGACAGTGGTTAACAGTTAAGATGTGATATATTATAAAATAGCTAGAAGATAGGCTTTTGAGAATGTCCTCACCATGTATAAATGATAAATACATGAGGTGATGGTCATGCTAAATACCATGATTTGACCATTATACAACATATATATGTATCAAAACATCAATTGTACCCCATAAATATGTAAAATTACAATGTGTCAACTAAAAAATAAGAAAAGAAGTTGAAGAGAAAGAAGAGGTGGCTGAGGTCCCTGGGGAGCTAGAGGGCTGAGATGTGGTCATAGGAGGGAAAGTAGACTAAAGTGGATGAATGACACTTGTTCTCCTGAAATGAGAGGGAAGGAAGAGCGGGTAGGCTGCATGTAAATTAGCTTGTGTATTGAGGAAACTGGAAAATTGAGAGTAGTAAAAAATGGTGACTTATTTTTACCGATGATGGAGGTGGAGTCACTTTTTGAGCATAAAGGGGCAGACCTGGTCATGGGATTTCAGAAAAGTTCAGGGCCCCTTAGAAAAACACACTGATGGGTATGGGAAAGAACAGGTGGGGGTAAGGGGGCCTGAGTTATAGGTTGCTTTGGTCTCCCCCTTGTACAATTCAAAACACCTTTCAGATATGTAGAATGGAAGAAGTACCCAACATTGATGTATATTAAATTCCAGCCCTGAACATCATATAATTAAAGAAACTAATATAATACTGATATAAAATGTGGGACTGTTTTGACTGTATTGGTACTTTCTTTTTCCCAAAAAGGCAGAGCTGCTTTTGCATATGAACTCATTTTCTTCAAAATCCATTATCCTCATGTGAGAGATGTAGAATTTTGGGCACAGAAAACATGACAAATTTTGCCTGTAGTCCTGAACTGAGATTGGTACCAGGCTCTGCTGGCTTCCAGCTATTTCATTTCATGATTTATCAAGAGCTGCTCTCTAGTCGACTTGGAAAAAGAGTTTTTGAAGAGTCCTGCTCTCACAGGACATCTGTGAGAATGCCGAAGGAGAAGGTAAAGAGAGGCACGCTTCAATATTTTATTATCTCAACCCACAGCCTTAAAGGTCTCCTCGATTGTCTCTGCCTACAGGAAGGCTCAGCTGCTTTTTATCATTCCGTTGGGGCCTTGTTTCAGGGGCTTGTGTTTTGGTAAGAAGATGTTTTGTTTCTGAGGACAGCTGGTTAAAATGCACTGCCTTAACTGGAATATTCACAGGTATGTTCTTCTCGGCACTGTGAATCATTTTTCAAAGCTTTTCATGGCTTCTGCTCTTTGATCAGGATAAATCATGCCACAGTGAGACTGGAATCCACTTTCATAGACTCCCAGGTGTCCTTGTTCTCACCCACTGGTCTTTACTTCTCTGAAGAGCCTGACCTTATGAATTAAATTCTTTCCGATTGTAACATTAGTCAGAGGAATTGGGGAACTGGGGACTTTTGTTTATTAATCCTTTTATCTTCTGCTTTTTTGCCCAGAAAGGTCATTTTTCAATTTCCCCAGAAGGTAATTCTACTTCTCTTAGTAATTCTCAACAAATGCTAAGCTTAGGACATTTATATAAAAGCCAGAATAAACATTAAGTTTAGAAGTGTCATATAAAAACTAGAAACAAGCTTTTGTGCTTCTGAGTATAACTTAAATTAGGTAGAAAAAATATCTAATAATAAAAGTAGATTCTTCTACCCTGTGTAGGGTCCACAAAGGAAAAAATATGGCCTCTTCTTTTTAGGAGTCTAGATCCCACTTTCTCAAAGTGCCTTCCTTCATGTGTAGCCACCCCACTTCCAGTCTACATTGGGGACCCCCACCATTAGAAAATGTCTTTATTTATTTATTTTTAATTGTCAAAAGATTGTATATATTTGTCACACACATGTTGTTTTGAAGTGTGTACATTGTGGAATGGCTAAATTGAGCTAATTACCATAAGTACCAACTCACATTAAGCCTCCCTTCTTTATCTTCTCTTAGCGTCCTTGATTTCCTCCACAACATTTAACATAACTACGGTATATTTATTTGAATAAATATTGGTTTAACTGCTTCCTCCCTGCCACCCCAGACTCTGAGTCCCATGATGGCAAAAGCCTTGGTAGCTGTAGTAGATACTACATATATCTTTGTGGAATGAATAATAATAATACTAGTGGAGAATATTTGTTGTGCTTATGATGCACCAGGGACTGGGCTAACTGTGTTACTCATCCTATCTTACTGATCCTCTGTCTTAGCCTGCTTAAGTTGCCATAACAAAATACCATAGACTAGGTGGCTTAAACAACAGAAATGTGTTTTCTTGCAGTTCTGGAGGCTAGAAGTTCAATATCAAGGGTCCAGTGATTTGATTTCTAGTGAGGACTTTCTTCATGGCCTCCTTCTTACTGTATCCTCACGTGGTAGAGAGAGAGTGAACAGGTTATCTGGTGTCTCTTCTTACAAGAACCTTAATCTTATAGGACCAGGTCCCCACACTTCTGACTTCATTTAATTTTAATTACTTTCTTACTCCTAATATAGCCACACTGGAGGTCAGGACTCCCATAGATACATTTTGAGGGAACACATAGCAATCCATAAAACCCACCTAACCACCCTAATGAAGTAGGCACTATGATCATCTCTGTTATACAGATGAGACCCTAAGGCTTAGACCAGGGAGCTTTCTCAAGGTCACATGAGTAAGTGAACAAGCTGGGGCAAGGTTGTAGGTCTTATTTACTCAAATCTGGGTTCATAAAGATATAAAGATCTGAACTGGTTACATATACTTTCTGTTTGGAAGAAATGTAATCTGAGATATAGAGTACGAGCTTAAAGGACTATTATATATGCAAGGAAGAAAGTTTATAGGCTAAAAGAGTGGTTCTCAAACCTTGCGTTTTAGGACCCTTCTACATTCTTAAGAAAAGTATTAAGGATCTCAAAAAGCTTTTGTTTATGTAAGTTGTATCTGTTGATATTTATAGATAGCATTAGAAATTAAAACTAGAAATATTTTTAAATATTTAATTTATTTCAAAGTAATAATAAACCCATTACATGTTAATACAAATAATATATATTTATGAAAAATAATTATATTTCCCAAAATAAAAAATTTAAGACATTTAAGACATTTTTTGCAACTCTGTCTCAGGTCTGTCTTAAGAGAAGACATAGATATGGATTCTCACATCTGCTTCTGGATTTACTCTGTTGCAATATGTTGTATTGGTAAAAGTAGATGAAAATTCAGCCTCACACAAATGTTATTGGAAAAAGGAGGAGTATTTGATCAGCCTTTTCAGATAATTGTGGACATTCTGTTTTGTTACTACAGCAAAACTCCAATTGGTAGTTTTCTAAAGGTTAGTTGCGATGTGAAATCTGAAACGGAATCAATGAACTTTTCATATTCTGTTACTTTGAAATCCACTGGTCTAGCTTGCACTTTGAATGGATTTTTCACTCATGCATGATTTTGTAACATCTTGCATTGGTCATTTGAAAATATCAGTTCACTGAGTTAATACAGATCTTTGAGATGTTGACACATTTCATTATACAATATCCAAAAATCACATTCCTTAATATTACCACTCAAATATCTCATCAGAAAAGGCTTTATGTACTGGGAAGCTTTCAAGCCCATGATGGCAGATGTGAGTTTTACAAAATCCGAATTTTTGCTTGAAAACAAGGTTTTTATCATTGGCATCAATGACTATTAGTTGTTTTTCTTAAAGTGTTAAGATTATTTCATTCATTTAGAAGAAAACATCTGCCAACTGCCCACATATAAATAACTTTACTTGGTTAATTTTCCTTTCAGGAAAAAATTATGTTCATGAAAAAAGCAATTATTTGAGTTTGCAACTCAAACAATTGCACAAGTGCTTTTCCTTGTGACAACCACTGTATTTACGTGTGTAGTAGAAGTGCTTTATACATTTTCCCATTTCATCACACAGAATATTAAAAAGAATGTGTACTCAAGGTTTAATAAAATTAATAATTCTTACTTCTCCTTCAAGGACATTCTTAATTGAAACTAGTATTTATTTTATTGAGAGTACCTGGCTGTGAAGAGTACATGGCTGTGAAGAACACATGGCTACTAGCACAGTTTGGAGCCACTGCCTTAATTTGTGCTAAGGCGCTAGCAATTTTACTGACCATTGCTTTTGTATATTTGGTGCAAATGTCAACATGGTTAAAAAAATAAAAGGCAAATACACTTTAGTATTCTCACAAAGACAGTTTTGACCTTGTGGTTCCCTAGTAAGGTCTTAGGGAGCTCCTAACATCCCCTACTCCCCAACATTCCTCCAGGATCAAGGGCTTCTTCCATGAGCATGAGTTCTATAAAGGAAGTCAGGAACAAGCATGGGCTTGGTTGGACTGTACAGTTCAAGAATTAGGGAATTTGAAGGAGTATGGGTGAGGAATAGGGAAGCCATTAACTGAGGTTGGTAAGAAGGAGAAAGGTTTTTGCAAGGAGTCTTAGAGCTCAGAAGCTCAGATTATGAGGTGATTTCTCTTTAAGGAAAATCAGGAGTTTCTGTAATTTGTTGAGACAAAAATGACACTGTCCATGTGTTTCCTTATCTGTAAAGTGGGAATATAAGAGTATTATTATTGTGTGAATTAATGTATAAACAGCTTAGAACAGAGCTTGGCACACAGTAGGTCCTATATAAGTGTTATTATTGTGAAAATGGAGTTTTGCTCTAGTTATATGATGAATTGGAGCAGCTGTTCTTACACTTCAGTCAGCAGCAGAATGCCTTGGTGGGATTGTTAAAATACGGATTGCTGGGCCTTGCTTCTGGAATTTCTGACTAAGGAAGTCGGAGATGGGGCCATGATTTTGCATTTTTATCAGGTTCCTGGGTGATACTGATGCTGCTCCTCTGGGTAGCACACTATAAGAAACTGAATCACAGGAATTCACACAATGAATACTATAAATATCAATAGATACAACTCATATAAGCAAAAGCTGTTTGAGATTCTCAATACTTTTTTTTTTTTTTGAGACGGAGTTTCACTCTTGTCACCCAGGCTGGAGTGCAATGGCGCGATCTCGGCTCACTGCAGCCTCCTCCTCCCGGGTTCAAGCGATTCTCCCACGTCAGCCTCTCGAGTAGCTGGGATTACAGGCTTGTGCCACCATGCCCGGCTAATTTTTGTATTTTTAGTAGAGATGGTGTTTCACCATGTTGGCCAGGCTGGTCTCGAACTCCTGACCTTAGGTGATCCGCCCACCTCGGCCTCCCAAAGTGCTATTACAGGTGTGAGCCACTGTACCTGGCCTCTCAATACTTTTTTTAAAGAGTGTAAAGGGATTCTAAGATGCAAGGTTTGATGCCCTTTTCTTTCCTAGCTACTCAACAAGCCAATGCCTCTTATTCATATCCATGTATGGAAAGTGATGTCTACTTATTCTTTCACTTGTTTTCATTTAACTTTGCTCAAGAACTGAAGTTTACCCCGTGTTTTTATTTTTATCTGAACAATAAGCTGGGACTGTAACTGGTTCAGTATTTATATTTTTTCTAGCATGTCCTATTTTGCTGTGCCTAATTGCTATTAAAGCCAGATGGCTGGGTTCCAAAAACTTGTCTGATTTGCCAACAGTTTTACTCACCTGAACAATTTTCACTGGCTCTAAGCTCCCTGACTTATATCACAGGCCATCATTGCCACTTTTCTGAACTTGCCAGAGGTCTTAGAAATGTAGACTAGTTGTTAAGATTGCTGATGAAGATGTGCTAAATGAAGAGTGTTGGTAGTTTGATGATTACCAATGATGTTGATTTTAAATCCTACATTCACTTAACAAATATGTGTGTGCCAACTGTATGCAAGGCTTTGTGCTGAATGCTGGGAACCAAACCGAGGAAAAAATATGCATGGACTCTGATTGTCAGTCTGGGAGACACTAAATCAACAGGCAATTATAAAACAGTACAATGTCACAATGTCAAGGGAAGGGCAGGAAGATAATTGGGCTGAAGGGGGGATCTAATCCATGGGGGGCAGGGAAGGCTTTCTAGGGTAAGTGATGCCTGAGCTGAAAACTTAGAGGAGGCTTTGAATTCGTTAGGTAAAGAAAGCAGGCAAAAAGCATGACAGTATCCCAGGCTAAAAGGGACAGAGTGTGGTAAGACCTAGAGGAGAAGCAGCACACACCACTGTCTTTGAGAAGAAGTTTAATTTGGCTGGTTCACTGAGTGTAGGTCAAGATGGGGATGTAGAAGGTAGGAAATGACAAGAGGGTAGAAAGATTAGGCAGGACCCTCTAAGCCTTTGGGGTTTCTCAGCCTTAGCACTATCAACATTTTGGGCTGGATAATTCTTTGTTGATGTGGGGTGGGGGACTGTTCTATGCATTATAGGATGTTTAGTAGCATCTCTAGCCTTTGTCCTAAATACCAAGAGTGACTCCCATCCCTCCAGTTTTGACAACTAAAATGGTCTCCAGATATTTCAGGTATTTCCAAATGTACCTTGTGGAAGTAAAATTGCCCCTGGTTGAAAACAACTGTTACAGAGTTTTGCCTTTATTTATGTTTTTGTTGTTGCTGTTATTTGTTTGTTTGTTCTGAGACAGGGTCTCACTGTGTCACCTAGGCTGGAGTGCACTGGCACAATCAGGGCTCACTGCAGCCTTGACTTCCCAGGCTCAAGTGATCCTCCCACTTCAGCCCCCAAGTAGCTGGGACTATAGGCATGTGCCACCACACCCAGCTAATTAAAAAAAATTAGTAGATATGAAGTCTTGCTATGCTTCCCAGGCTGGTCTCAAACGCTTGAGCTCAAGTGATCCTCCTGCCTCTGTTTCCCAAAGTGCTGGGATTACAGGTGTGAGCCACCATACCTGGCTTTGTCTTTATGTTGAGAACAGTGGTGGGCAATTATAAGATTTTATTCAGGGGATTGACCTAACCAGATTTATACCTTTTGGACATTCATTTATAGTAACAGTATGGAAAATGAACAGAGGGTTGGCAGCATTTGAGGCAGGGAAACAGGATGTCACTGTTGCAGCTTGGATGTATCTAAAGAAGTGGCTGTAGGAATGGAGACAACTATGTACACTTAAGATATAATTAGGAGATAGATTTAACAGGGTTTGGTGGCTAATTGGACATGAATGGTGGAGGAGAGAGAGGAATCAAGTCTGCCTCAAGGTTTCTGGCCTTGGTCCTGAAGAAGATAGTGGTGCTTTTCACTGATGAAGGGAGCACAAGAGGAGGGACATACTTACTTGGAAAGTCAGGAGAGGATTGCTGGTATTTTAGATATGTCGGATTTGAGGTGCCTTGTGACAGCCAAGTGGAGATTTTCATCTGTAGGTAGAGTTCGGTTTCTGGAACTTAGGAGACAGAACTGAGCCAATCAGCAACTAGAGGGTAGTTGAAACTCTGGGCAAGGCTAATTAAGAAAGGCTCCACTGAATGGGAAGGCCTGGGGACTAAGAGCCGGTCCTGGGTGACACCAGGTAGATCATGGCAAGAGGTGGAGGGGCTGGTGAAGAGGAGATTTCAGAGGAGGAAATCTAGGATGTGGCAGTGTCAGACAAGTTCAGAAGAGTTAGCTCTGTGAAGAGAAGCAAAGTTTCCATCCATGGCTCAAATTCTTCCCTTTCCTTCAACAAATTCAAGTTTCATGTGGTTCTAGATGCTCATTAGGGTTCTTCTGAAACGATTGGATCCTCCAAGACATAGAAGGTTATGACTGGTTATAAAAATTGCCACATTTACCTCTGGTATAACCCAAATAGAAGCTCTGCATCATAAAATTTAGAGTTGAAGACAGATGCTGTAACTTAAAAGGATTGATGCTGGGCCAGACTGCTGAATTCTGTAGAGGCTTTATAATGGAGACACATCTTTCTAGGCAGATATCACTTGTCACTTCCATAAGGAAAATTCCCTGGAGTTGATGAGTAGTAGAGCTGTGCTTCTGCTTTATAAAATCCACTTTTGATGAAAAATTAACATTTTAATTCAGAGGTGTGTAGCTATCACCAAAGGGTTATGATGTCATGTAACTAAGTCTCAGATACCAACATTGTTCAATATTGTATAATTTTTTCCAGAGTGGTATGTGCTCCAGATAACTGACCTTTGAAGGTAGTAATGTATTATTTACATGAAACTAAAATCCAGTGCATTCTAAATGGCTGTGATTTATCATGACCATTTTGAAATTGGGTCCTGTGGCCATATGCTAATTTGACTCAAAGGAAATTCTGTGCTGTGTGCTTGGATTTCATGCTTAAAAAATTCAGCAATAGTTTCAATGCTCTTTTAATTAAAATAAGATGCTTTATAACATTTCCCACATGATGTGGAATGTACTCTGTAGCTCATATATGAATTAAAACCCTTAGAAGATTTACATTTTCTGGTCTGGCAACCTTCATTTTTCTAATTTATGTGTCCTGTTTGTCCTGAAGGAGTTGGGAAGTTGAAATTTACAGCCATCCCAAATGAGAGAGTTGAGATTCTTGATTAAATGAGAGCTTGTTTGTGTATTCAAATGGAAAAATGTGGGTGGACAAAATTAAATTTGTAGTGGGTTATCTCCTGAACAGTTTTCTCTTTCCTGGTAATTTCACACTGCCCAACTATGCACATGGTAAGTATGGGAGAAAACTTTTTTGTATAATAAAACTTTTTAGCAGTAACTGACTGGACCATGGTTGGGCATCTATTCCAAGTTATTCTGATCAGCACCTGCATCTGAGACTTTGTAATTGGCTCTATCATATTCCCAGTATGCCTTTTGTGTGTGGCCATTTTCTGCTATGTAAATAGGAAAACTGAAAAATCAGGTCTGCAGAAATTGAAGAATGAATGGGGAGAAGCAAAGACAAGCAACAGAGAGAAAGAATTCCCAGTCATTCCTGGTGCGCTGCAGTCTCCAGTTTCTGTGAGTTTCCAAGACCCAGCTCATCCATGCCTTTGGGGTCTTTGAAAGATCCCTCTATCTTTCAGGGGTCTTTGAAAAACCCCTGTTTATTTCAACCAGCTCAGATGGTTGCCTGCATGTGGGAGCAATGAAATAACCTATATTGCTTAGATTTCTATTTTCTGATTAGATGGTGGCTACCATGCTATGTGTATATTCTTAAAACAAGCCCTTGTACATAAATTAGATAATATTGGATGGTTTTGGTTGAGCTGGTCTTTGGCTTAAATGTTATTGACATTTTTCTGAAAAAATATAATAAATATAGGACATGTATAATCTCACACAAGTTTGAAACTATTTAATAGACTCTTAAAACAAAGGAAGGGTGTCTATGTAGATGTGCTGATTGGTTCCAGGTCTAGGAATCCAGGCCATTTGCAGTTTGATTTGTGGAGAAGGAAAAGAGACTACAATCTCTCAGTGGTGGTAAGGAGGCAGGATGGAGTGGGGACCAGAAACGCCTCTGAGATACAATGTCCCAAGGTCCAGTGTTTTTATGATTGGGAGGAAGACTGCTCTAAAATCTTTGACATTTGAAGATTATTAATAATAAATGTCCTCACTAAGTTCCTCTGTTCATAGGATAGTAATACAAAACAAATTGTACCCCAATGCAGCAGTGTGAAAAAAAAAGAAGGAAAAAAGGCCAAGATTATTAAATTCTTATGTTCAGACTGAGAACCAGAAAGCAAAAGAGAGTTAATCATTGAGTTGTGTATTAGTCTGTTCTCTCACTGCTGATAAAGACATTCCTGAGACTGGGTAATTTATAAAGGAAAGAGGTTTCATTGACTCACAGTTCGACATGGCCAGCGAGGTCTCAATCATGGTGAAAGGCAAAGGAGGAGCAAAGTCATGTCTTACATGGTGGCAGGCAAGAGAGAGGGCATGTGCTGGGGAACTCCCCTTTATCAAACAATCACATTGTGTGAGACTTACTCACTATCAATGAGAACAGCATGGGAAAAATCCACCCCCATGATTCAATTACCTTCCACCGGGTTCCTCCCACAACACATGGGAATTATGGGAGCTACAATTCAAGATGAGATTTGGGTGGGAACACAGCCAAACCATATCACGTTGGAAACTGAATGTATAGGTGGTCCTATGGCTAGATGTCACTGATGACAACTGTTTGCAGTCTTCTGTGTCTGGAAAAAAAATAATAGCTTCCCTGCTTAGGAAGTCAGAATATAGGCGGTAGGGAGAAAAAACTGTTAAAAAAAACTTCAAAGACTGGAATAAACTACATTTTTGTAGAGCTACTATATTAAAATATAAGAGGAAAAAGAAGTGGAAAAGCCGGGGAGTGGAAATCGCAGGCCTCTGCAGAAAGGAGATAAACAAGTGCCTTTGGGTGGGATCATTTGTGATTGTAACAGAAAGACATACAAAAAGACAAGACTATGTCCTTAGAAGCAGAGTGGCAACTTCAAGTTTATAATTACTAAGAACCCCTATGTACACAGCATTTGGCATATGCAAAATATATTGGCAGATGCATTAGTAAAATTTAACTATCGTAAAGCCTCTGGGAGCATTGACTTGGTAAAGTAACAGAATCTCCATTAAAGCAAAAGTAATGAACTGACTCAGCACTCCTGAGTAAAGTGACCAGATGTCAGAGGTACCCTGAAGGACACAGAGGGCAAATCAGGTGTATTTTCTGGCTACAATCGGAAGGGTGGCACAGAGAGAAACAAAACCATGAATACATCTTTGATTTCAGGTTTAACTCAAAGGCAGTGATATTTACCTGGAGAGCAGAGGAAAGCATTGATGCTTCCAAGCCAATTCTTTAAAGAGGTGTGGGTGGAGAGTGTGTGTGCATGCATGTGTGTGTGTGTGTGTGTGTGTGTGTGTGTGTGTATGTACATACACACATATACAATTAGCTCCAAGGCTTTAAATAAATTCAACACAAGTATTTATTCAGACCTTTGTTGTGTAAGGCCTCCACCAGGTCCTGGGAGGGAATACATATGTGTGTGAAGCCCTAAGCTTTGTTTAAATAAAGCTAAGGGTCAAAGAAGAGTGAAGAGCACCCCACCTCCACCCCAAGTTCTCTCCCCCAGCCTCTTCCAGTCATGGCTCTTGGGAAACCCTGCAGTAGGAACAGATGAATGTGTGTATAAGTAGTTGGAAAGGGAAGTAGAGATGATACTTAGACAACATAAATGAGAGAAGTGTGAAGTGTTTGCAGTCAGAGTACCTATTCCCAATAGCCTGCTTTTCATGCTGATAAAACCATTCAATCTTGGATGTTGAGTTCAATTTTTTGTCAGTGAAAAATCTGCCCAGAGTCTTAAAAAATGCAAGCAAGTCATCTGTATATAGCCTCAGAGCATTGTATTTTCAATGTACTGATTTGCTAGGTATATATTGAAGTGGCCTTTGGACCCTGAGTGTTAAATATGGAGATCTGAATGTTCTTCAGTTCATTTTAATTGTGACGAAATCAACTATTGAGGAAGAACACACTTCCTGATATAGTCTGCAGCCTTATAGAGAGCCAAGTATGTCACCTTTAACATATAATTCAAGTTCATTTGTTCTGATTAATTTGTGGGGAGTTGCAGGATTGGAATTTAGAATATTTTAAGTGAAATTGTTGGATTACGGATTAAAAAAATTACAAAAGTCAATTATGTACAAGTTCTGGGCTAGGTCCTAGGGTACATGCCAAAGGAATGTGAGGATATTCCCAGTCTTCATTTCAGAGCAGAGTCACCTGGAGCATTTTAGAAAACTCTTGAGACTCAGGCAGCACTCAGATCACTGGAGGGGGCACTTAGCTCAAATAAATCAGAATCTGCGCAGGGGGTGCCCATGCATTACTCAGTTGTAGAGCTCCCTCCTCACCGGGTGATTCCAAGTGCAGCCATGTGTGAGAACTAGATCAACAGTCTGGAAAGCTTATAAAACTACTTAACATCAATTTAAATATAAATCTCTGGGCATTAGTCTGCGGTTGGTAAGTTTTACAGGCTCTCCAGATGATTCTGTTGCATGTGGAAGATTTAGAATCAGTGGTATAGACCCTGCTCTACAGATGATTATGGTCAAATGAGGGAAAAGGTGACTTGTGTATTTTTTTTGGAAAATTACAAGAAAGTTTATGTTTAAATGCCAAAAGAATAAAAGACAATAAGGAGTGATAAGAAAATGCAAGAGGTAAATATTTAGTGAATAAATTAAAAATGATTTGTATTTAGCATGTTTATTCAGATGGAAATAGTATTTTTAAAGTGTATAAATTTTTAGAAATACATTTTTATTATATATTTTCACTATGTATTCTACTATATAGATATAAAATTACCTAATAGGTATACATATTTTCAGGGTACCTGTGATAATTTAATACACACATATAATTTGTAAAGATCAAATCAGTGTAATTGGGGTATCCATCACCTTAAATATATGTCTTTTCTTCATGCTAGAAACATTCAATTTATTATCTTCTAGCTATTTTGAAATATATCATAGATTATTGTAAACTGTTGTCACCCTACTGATCTATCAAACACTAGCTTTTATTTTTTCTATCAAACAGGGTGTTTAATCAACTTTTATCAACCCTTTAATCAACCTTTGTTTATCCCCTTACCCCCACTACTCTTCGTGGCCTCTGCTAACCACCAATCTGCTCTCTATCTTCATGAGATCCACTTTTTTTTTAATTCCCCACAGATTAGTGAGAACATGCAATTGTTGTCTTTCTGTGCTTGGCTTATTTTACCTAACATAATGACCTCCACTTCCATCAATGTGGCTGCAAATGCCTGAGTTATGGCTGAATAATATTCCATTGTATATATATATCACACTTTCTTTACCCATTTATCCATTGATGGGCACTTAGGTTGATTCCATATTTTGGCTATTATAAATATTGTTGCCATAAATATGGGGGTAGAGATAGTAGATGAAAACTTAATCTTCTTATCTGAAGAATTACTTAAAATTCTAAAGTAGAAGAGTTGGAATTGAGAACTAGATAGATCATTTAGTCTCTGATGATCTGTCTGTTTGCAGAGGGGAGTTGGGTGGAACTGGGTGCTCTGGGAGTACTCTGATGGTAGAAAGAGTCCTTTTTATTCCACTGTGGAGGTGGGGATATGTCCTTGGGTGTGGTTTTGAGCCTGGATATCCAGAAGCAGTGTTTCTCAAATGGCACTATTCTGTATATTCCTATTGCACGACGTGTATCTTCTTGCTAAAATCAGGCAGTATCACTATTTTTCTATGGGATGTGGGGAATATTTGATAGAAATATTGGTAGAACTTTCTTATTTTAAGTTTTATTTCCATAATCTTCTCTTAGCCCTTTGGTAACTATTACTGGTAGTCTCAAGAAAATCGAGTGAGAGATAATATGGGAGATTTCTTTAGATTTTCATAGCACTTCATCTGAGTACCAATAGCCTTGGATTCTTATATTAATAACAGTACCCTAACTCTTAGGGTTCTTTCGCAGACTTAGATGAATTGATATATGCAAATGTGCTTAGGAAAATGCCATGCACATAGTGAGCCCTCAGTAAATGTCAGCAATTCTATAACTTCCCTTCCACTGCTGTTATTCCCAACGTCATTTGCTTCCTGAACTGTGGGACCCTTGAGGTCAGGCCAGATCTTTTATCTTTATATTCCCTGTCTCCTAGCACAAGGTTTGGTGCAGTATCAACACCCTTCAACATGTGCTGAATGAAGGATTGGCCAGCTTAGATCTGATTTAACCCTAAAGAACTTATGCAGTTATTTTAAGAGTATTGTATCAGTGTTTCAGTGATTTTCTCCCTGAGTGAAATGCTTCCAAATGCCCTGCTATGTTAACAGTGCAGAGAATGGCTGCTTTAGAAGAAAGAGCCCCTTGTACACTCAATAGTCCACAGCCTCCCCCTTTACCTTCCTGATGGTGGGCAGGTCACTACATCTCCCCATCTACCTCCCTGCTTGCTTAGGGTTCCCTGACACACAGGTCAGCCCTGATTCATCATTCCCTACAGAAGACTGACCTTGGGGCCAAAAGGCTGGTGGATATGATAGAGGGGATGAGGAGAGGAAATGGATCAGTGACATTCCAGCTGGACACCTGAATCCCTTTTCAAAAGAGCATCTTGTTTTGTCCCCTTAGGCATCCCCTAAGGGAAAGTTAGCATGCAGTTATGAATGAGACCCTCGCTGCTGTTTTGATGTTGTAAAGGAGGAGGGAAATCTACAATGGCATTGAGGAATAATGCAAGTGCATATATTTTTCCTCCCAAAGAACCCAAAAGCATTTCCACCTCTATGTTATCTGATGCTGCTGATTTTATGCTTCAAAGAATTGAGAATGAATACCTGGCAGTAAGTACTAAATCTATGTGTGGTGACTGACAGATTAAGCACTAGGGATGTTAAAGATTAGACCACGGATCCCCAAACAGTGAATGTCAGTGTTATTTTCCATCTTGAAATGGAATGAAGTTGCCCTCATGATTCTTACCACAGCCAGCACTGTTATATCCTCCCAATTTGGTTCTTACATTACTTCACTCTTCAGAACATCATTCATTTATTTAAATGGTATTTCTTGAGCTCTTTTCATATTATGGCTTGGTTCTAGCTACAGAGAAGGATATAACAAAATGTGAGACATGGTCTTTGGACCCAAGAAGCTTCTATTTCAAGAAATGGAAAAATAAGGCCGTAAAAGTCATGATTACGTGCTTAAGTTCTATGATTCCATGGTGAAAGGATATTTTGAAGTACAGGGAACAGCACAGAAAATAATGCTACCTTTCAGGATAAGTCTAATTATACCTCTTTTGTTGTCAGCCTGTGAGAGCTGAGGGTTTGTGGCTTTTAATTCTCCTTTAGGCTGTGGAAGGCAGTGGGGGTGCGGAAAGAGTGTGACCATTAGAGTTAGTTCTGGATTCAAATCCCAACTCTGCTGCTTTCCACTTGTACAGATTAGGCAGTTGACAATATTTCCTAGCAGAACTAAATACATCCACATCTTTCAGAGATGTGAGGAATTGCACTAATGATCACAGCTGGAAAAATGCTGTTGGAGTTGGGCGGATCATGAGGTCAGGAGATCAAGACCATCCTGGCCAACATGGTGAAACCCCATCTTTACTAAAAAATACAAAATTAGCCAGGCATGGTGGCGGGTGCCTGTAGTCCCAGCTACTCGGGAGGCTGAGGCAGGAGAATCGCTTCAGGAGAACCCGGGAGGTGGAGTTTGCAGTGAGCTGAGATCGCGCCACTGCACTCCAGCCTGGCGATAGAGCGAGACTCTGTCTAAAAAAAAAAAATGCTGTCGTTAGAAAGGCCTTCAATAGATGGTGATTGTTATAAACAATGATCACTAACAGTAAAGATACTGCTTTTATGAAGCTCATGCTTAAATGATAACTTCCAGCAAAACAACTCCATTTAAGCTGTTTTCTTTGTACTACAGAATTAGCACTTTTCGTCCCTCTAAATAGACAGACAATATATCATGGAGAGGTGTTTCCTTCCCTTGAGGACGCAATATGCTATTTTATTTTTCATTCCATTGACATTTCTTAAGAATTCCCAAAGAAGGAAGTCTCAGCTGGCCTCCTTCCACATATTAAGAGAGAAATGTTACTCCATTATGTTGGACTTCTGATTCCTCTTTCTATAATTTTAATAGTCACTGTGTTGAGTAGTTTGCACTATTTTTCTCATTTAACTATCCTCAGAGTTCCACAAAGTAGGTGTTAACCCCATTTTACAAATTGGAGCCCAAATTGCCCAGCCAGCTAGCAAGTCATTAAGTGGGATTTGAGCTCTGGCAGTCTGGCTGCAGAGCCTGTGTTTCTCACTGTGATGCTAGGCTCGCCTGCCTGTGTGCCTGTCCCACCAAGCTCAGGGCTGCACTGCCTCCACAACTGCTCCTTCTGCTCCTGCCTATATAGGCTTTAGTGCCATTTGTGAGAATACACAGTAAAGGTAGTGTCTTCGTTAGCTTTCTGTGGCTATAACAACACAGATTGGGTAGTTTATCAAGACAAGAAGTTTACTTAGCTCACAATTCTGGAGACTTGGAGGTCTAAAAGCATGGCACTGGCATCTGGTGAGGTTCATCCCAAGACAGAAGGCATCACGTGGCAAACATGTGAGATAGAAATGGGACTGACCCCACTTTGTCGACAACTAGCCCACACCGGTGATCATGGCATTAACTCATTTATGAGGTCTCTGGTCTCATGAGTTAATCACCTCTTAAAGGCCCCGTTACTTAATAGCATTACTAAGGCAATTCAATTTTAACATGAGTTTTGGAGGGGGACATTCAAACCATACCAGGTGGTTACCCACAACCCCCATTCAAATTGATGGTAAATAATGAATGTTAAATTTATCTTCTCTTCAGTATTGATTCCCATAGTCCATATTCTTTACTGGCTGTTAGATTTTCACCTTACATGCTCCAATGTGCCTAACATAAAATGATCTTAGAACCTACTTTGTGAAGATGCTGCACCATCCTGAGATGGCACAAGAGGAACCAGGCCCTGAGTTCTGCTGCTGTGCTTCAGGGGGGGCCTGCATTAGCCATCTCTGGCTGTTCCCACTCAAGAGTGCCCCCCCCCCCAAAAAATAGTTCACCCAGAACCCATGCTAGTCCTTTCATGCCTCAGGGACTCAGGATCCTGTAACCCACTTAAACATCACTTACCTCATCTCAGGGCCTACCAAGACCTATGGCCTGGGCCTGCCCTCCTGAGGTCTGCCTGGCACCACCAGTGGGAGCACCCCTAGACCCCAGGGATATACAGTAACTATTGGGATGATGCTATAACTTGCAGGCTGTCCTGATGATCATTAAAACAGTGATTCAGTATGAAAGTGCTTTGCAAATGATGAGATGTCACACAAATTTAGCCACTGTTTGGTCATTTTCACTTTATCTTTGAAAGCTCGTGTTTATAGCTAAACATTTGGTTAGAAGATTAAAGTCTATGAAAAGATTTGGATCCAGTAGGTCACAGCTTACTAGAAACAGAACAGAGACTTAAACCATGTGCCTCTGTCTTCTGGAGTTGGACTTTTACCATGAGGTTGCTTATCTGGATGAAATCTGAGGGCTTTACAGTCTAACTTTCTGAGGGAGTCATTCAGGGAACGTTTTAGTGTCAAGCCATTAAATCACACCTCAAAAGGTTGGAAGTGGCCCACATATGAGTCCATATAGGTGGGTCTGGAAAGGTGGGGCGAGCAGGAATCTCTTTCCATTATGATGATGGGGTTTCTAAAGTAATTATTGCTTTAAAAAAAATCTGCCTCTGCCATTTTCCAGTCACACTGTTCTTGGAGCGAGATGCATCATCAATACTTTTCATACTAAACGTTCTCTCCTATTGGATTTACCTGGATTCTAGGGGTATTTTTTTCACATTTCTCTGGAGACAAGTAGTGCTGATAAAGATTTTATAAGGTCTCTCTTGCTCTCAAGCTCGTTTTCCTTAACTTTTCTTGTCCCAGTTACCAGTTTATTTGGTCCCCAGAAACCTTCTAATCTTCATCTTTAATGATAAATTTATCTTTTGTAGTTCTCCTGTCAAAGCTTTTGTGTCTAGTGGCTCATTTTGCTTAATTGCTGGAGTTTTCTCTGGCCTTTTGTTATTTGGTCCTGCGTATTTTCAAAGATTCTGTAGAATTTTCAGACTGTTACTCTGATGTTTACTTGGTAGATTGATTGCTAAGTTGCATTGTCTTCAGAGGAGGTTTTTGAGGTTGTGTCTATTATAATGTCTGCTTCTACCCGGAGTCCATTGCACTTGGAGTGCTTCTTGAAGCCCCTGAGCTTATGCTGTGATAAAAGCGTGAATGTTTTACTGTGTCAAAGCACTGTGGCTCATAAGGCTTCATAAGCTCTGGCTTTTATATCAGAGCATCTCATATGGTTGTGCAGATTGCATCCTGGTCAAGCATGCCAGGATGAGGGGCCAAGGGTGTACTGAATGCCAGCCTGTGCTTCATTTGCCAAGCCTTGCATCTGATGTAGGACTGTATCCTCACAGGGGACACCTTTTCCTAATACACACAAAGGTATCATGTGGGCTAGCAGCTGTTCTGCTATAACTTAGCTAGGTGTCTTTACAGGAGAAGGTAGTGGAAGAGGTGGTGGTATTTCTCCTCGGGAACTGAGATTAGCTTACTCGACGGGAATCTTGAAGTGTCCCAAGATGAAGCCATTGGTGCCCCACTCCCCCAACAGTTGTTTAAAAGTTATTAAAGAACCAATTGACATTTGCTAGCATTTTAAATGCTCAGGATGACTTATGAGGCTATGTCAGTTATTCTTTACTCAGTAGGGGACTTGGAGCTACAGGTCTGATTTCAGCCTCTGTGCAGCCCCCGGGCCACCCTTCCTGCTGAATCTAAGCCCCACTCTCTCTAGAGGATTATCTTGGGGTTTATTTTGGCTCCTGGCTTTGAATCTGAATTGCTGCCCCTCAAGTTATATTCAAACAACTCTATTAAGATAACGTTGTCTCCAGGGGCTCCAACCAGCCAGTTTCATTTTCCAACTAGTTTGGTTGGTCAGTGCCCATAACAGGTCCACTTGAAATTAGAGCTGCGTTTTTTTTTTTCTTTTCTTTTTTTCTTTTTATTATTTTACTTTAAGTTCCAGAATACACATGCAGGACATGCAGGTTTGCTACATAGGTATATGTGTGCCATTATGATTTGCTGCACCTATCAACCCATCACCTAGGTTTTAAGCCCCACATGCATTAGCTAATTGTCCTGATTAGAGCTGCATTTTCTAGAAGTCAACAACATAGTGTCTTGAAAGCCTTCTTTGTCATATTGCAGTTGTGTCTGAGACCTTTATGTACCTTAGTTTTTTTGGGTTTTCCTTCCCCATGTGAACCACAGTTACCCTTTCTCTGACTAGTATGCTGAAGTTATAGTACATTTCTATTTAGCAGGTGTTTCCTGTGGTTGCCTTTTGTTCTAAATCTATGATTGAACCTTATCTATATTGAACCAAGTCTAATATCTATTTGCCTGGACACCTGTACTAACATAATATGATTCTTTTTGTATCCACCCTTATATTAATCTGGTAGGATTTCCATAACAAAATACTGCAGGCTGGGTGGCATAAACAACAGAAATATATTTCTTACAGTTCTGGAAGCTGGAAATCTCCAATCAAGGTGTTCGCATGTTTGCTTTCTCCTGAGGCCTCTCTCCTTGGCTTGCAGACAACTTCCTTCTCTATGTGTCCTCACATGGACATGGACTTTTCTCTGTGCATATATTCCTACTGTCTCTTCCTCTTATTTATTTTTTTGAGATAGGGTCTCGCTCTGTTGCCCAGGCTGGAGTCCAATGGCATGATCTCAGCTCACTGCAACCTCTGCCTCCCAGGTTCAAGCAATTCTCCTGTCTCAGCCTCCCAAGTAGCTGGGGTTACAGGCACCTGTCACCACACCTGGCTAATTTTTGTATTTTTAGTAGAGACAGGATCTCCAACTCCTGACCTCAAGTGATCCACCTGCCTTAGCTTCCCAGAATGCTGGGATTACAGGCATGAGCCATTGCACCCGGCCTCTCTTCCTCTTCTTATGGGGACACTGGTCCATTGGATTAGGGCCCCATGCTTATGACCTCACTTACTCTTAATTACTTCTTTAAAGTCCCTATCTCCGAAGGATATGAACAGACACTTCTCAAAAGAAGACATTTATGCAGCCAAAAGACACATGAAAAAATGCTCATCATCACTGGCCATCAGAGAAATGCAAATTGAAACCACAATGAGATACCATCTCACACCAGTTAGAATGGCAATCATTAAAAAGTCAGGAAACAACAGGTGCTGGAGAGGATGTGGAGAAATAGGAATACTTTTACACTGTTGGTGGGACTGTAAACTAGTTCAACCATTGTGGAAGTCAGTGTGGCGATTCCTCAGGGATCTAGAACTAGAAACACCATTTGACCCAGCCATCCCATTACTGGGTATATACCCAAAGGATTATAAAACATGCTTCTATAAAGACACGTGCACATGTATGTTTATTGAGGCACTATTCACAATAGCAAAGACTTGGACCCAAGTCAAATGTCCAACAATGATAGACTGGATTAAGAAACTGTGGCACATATACACCATGGAATACTATGCAGCCATAAAAATGATGAGTTCATGTCCTTTGTAGGGACATGGATGAAGCTGGAAACCATCATCCTCAGCAAACTATCACAAGGACAAAATACCAAACACCGCATGTTCTCGCTCATAGGTGGGAATTGAACAATGAGAACACATGGACACAGGAAGGGGAACATCACACACCGGGGCCTGTTGTGGGGTGGGGGGAGCGGGGAGGGATAGCATTAGGAGATATACCTAATGTTAAATGATGAGTTAATGGGTGCAGCACACCAACATGGCACATGTATACATATGTAACAAACCTGCACATTGTGCACATGTACCCTAAAACTTAAAGTATAATAAAGAATAAAAATAAAATAAAATAAAGTCCCCATCTCCAACATAGTCATACTGGGAATTAATGCTGCAACATATGAATTTTGGGGGGCATAATTCAGTTCATAACAATTTTCACTTGCCAGACTTTCTTATTTAAGCATATCCAGTAGATATTAGAACAAAAACAACGTTTAATTTATACCTTTTCTGTCCATTTGGGCTCATGGAGCTATGTTAAAGACTTCATTTCCATCCTCAGAAAAACATTCCATTTAGCAATAATTATACTTTGGATCTTGCCCCTTAGACAGCTTCCTAATTGTTATTTCCAAAAATCTAAGCCTCATTTTTGGAAACTGCTCCCCTATGTTAAGTATAGTGAAACGCTTCCAGACAATCTCATTTTGTTAAAATTAAATTGGTGTTTTCTGGACCATGTTTGTCCCATAAGCAGCATTCTCAAAGGGCTCGGCAGGCTGGGGCCCCCAGCCTGTGCTTGTAGACATCATGTTGATTTTTAATCAAAAGCCTTATTTTGGCAGCTTCCGTTTTTTTGATTGTTTGAAAAATACTTCCTGATGGCTTGGAGTTTAGATTCTCAGTTGTTGGATCCTGAAGAGGAGTTTGAAGCCTTAGTTTTTCAGGAAAAAGCACCTGACCTGTGTATCTTAAGCTGCTAAATATTTAGGAAGCATCAGGGCTTATTTCCACTTCTACCACACAATATTGAAGCAATTCAACAATTGAATTTTTTTTTCCCCGCTAGAAAAGAGGGTTTTTCAGGCCACTTTGAAATTCAGGTGGTTGATTTAAAAATGCAAATTCTTTGGGAATTAATCATGAAATGTTTCAGGATTTTTATAAGGAAGCTCATCCGCTCAGTGAAATAAGGGATGCTTTCTTGGTCATGAATTTTCTTTTTGTACTATTTTGTTAGTTACTTGGTGGGCTAGACAGTATTTTTGGGTGCCACTGGCAAGTCTAAAACACAGGAAGGGAGAAAGAAAACAGCTGACACTTACAAAGTCTGACCCGTTCTGTGCTGGAAACATTTGGTAAATGGTTAAATTTACTGCATATGCTTGAAACGAATAGCTGAATTAATAAATGAATGACTTTATTAATTCAAGCTGTTCTATTTTTCAAATAATCCGAATTAGGGATAGTGGCAGAGACCATGTATGCTATGTGATCATTTTCCTCCTGGGCACATAATGGGAACTGTGCAACTCACTCTCAAGTGTTGTTGGGTAGGGCCATGGGGTTGGATTCTGGCCAATGGGATCTGTTAGGAATGACATGTGGTACTTCAAAACCTAAAAATCCTCCTGCATGATCCTCTGCATTTTCTGACTTCCTTTATCTACTGACTGGAGGGTGCTAGGAGATGGTGGAGGCATAAGACAGAAGTATGCTGTGTCCTCGAAACACAACATGGAGCAGAGCCCCTATCAATGCACATGAAGCCACAATGTGATTGAGCAAGAAATAAACCTTTATTGTTTTAAGTCAAGGAAATTTGATTGTGGGTTGTTTGTTACAGTAGCTTGTGTTAATTTTTAAAAGTTTCATGATGGTGTAGTTTCTTAGTATCATTATGCTGAAAAATATTTGACCTGAAAGCAACAAATACTGCAATCAAAGTACCTATGCCAGTTTCTGTTCTATTAAAAACAAATTCCCTTGCTCTATTTATTCCAACTAAAATCACAGAGATGTGCTAATTTACAGGCCAGCAGAGTGCTTGTCACATGCACATTAAAATGGTGAACATGCAATCTTTTAGGGAGGTGAATAGTGGCAGGTGTCTATTCTTCCTCTAAATCCTGCCCAGGAGACTGCCTTGCCTGGGCATAACCCAGCAGATGAAGTCATCTACCTCTCCTGGCCACCATCATCTGATTAAGGGAATTCAGACTACATGCTTTAGATGGTGAACATCTCACAAAAGGGATATGTTATCAGAGATAAAGTGTATGAATTCCACGTATGACCACTGCATCATTTGTGAATGCTTACCGTATATGACTGTATGAATGGGCCACCTGCATCTCAGAATGTTTTTGGAAAAAGGGATTAAATATAATTGAAAGAAACCCAAGAAAGAGCAAAAAGCAAAGGCTATAAGGAATGAGTCTATAAGGTTTTATTTTTTTTCTTCCCCTTTGAGAGGTAGTCAATTCATAACCTAGATTCCTCCCTAGCCGCACAGCCCAATATGGCAGCCACTACTCATATGTGACTATTTAAATTTAAGTTTAAGTTAAAATTAAATAAAAAATTTATTTTCTCAGTCACACTAGCCACATTTCAAGAATACAACAGCCACATGAGTTAGTGGTTGCCATACTGGACAGCACAGATGTAGAACATTTCTGAAAGCTCTCTCAGTGCTGACCTAGAGCTAGCTTTGGTATTTTCATCTTTTCATGATGCAATACAATTGCCAAATTTCTTACTTCTCATATACTCAAAGCAACCTCTTGAAAAAAAATTTTTTTTTTGAGATGGAGTCTCACCTCTTGAAATGTTTTTAAGATTGTTACAGTATAAATTCTGGAAAAGGTTCTAGAACAAATTACAAAAGATTGATTTCTGAGTACACATTAAGGGAAGCTGTGATAATTAGAAGCCACCAAGCATTCACTAAAATTAAGTTACTACACATTTACTTCAGTGACTGGAATAAAAATCTAAGCTTCAATGAAAGAAAGGAATTATTTGTTTTTATTGCCAAATATTTGCAGTTCTTGCACACAGTAGGTACTCAACAAATAACTTTTGAATGACTATTAGAGAAATAAAATTGATATAGTCAGTTTCAGTTTTCATCAAGTTAAATTAGAAAAGTCCTTATGCTGTCATTGAAGAAATGGTTACTGGGTCGTAGGGCAGTTGGGTGAGTTGCCAATGAGTTAACCAGTCATGAGAAGTAGCTGACGAAGAGAGCATGAGACTTGAAATTAGATAGGGACCTACCTTCAATTCTTGGCTTTCACTTAACCTGTGTAATCCCAGGCAGCCATTTCACTTTTCTGAATCACTGTTTCTTCATCCTCAAATTGGGCATAATAGGGTGCTCATATCAAATATGGTGATATTAAAAGCTAGCATGAACATAGCCTGGAAGGTTTCTAGTAGAATGTTGTGGAGTGGTTCTTCACATTTAGCTAGCCAGTGCTTCTGTCTCTGACTTCAGTAAGGATATACTGATTAAATTTGTGGATGACCCAAGATGGAGTAAGAATCAGAATTCAGAGGGACCTTAGTAGACAAAAAGATAAGCTGAATACAATCCTTAAAAGTTTCATATGGGTAAATAATAATTAAGAAAACTGCAACAGTAATTGACAGAGGACATGTAGTTTAACCTCATTGTGCAACAGACTTGTGGATTAAAAAATAATGTCATTCACTGTGTGATGTGGCTGCCAGAATTTAGATTTTAGCAATAGGAATAAGGTATGCAGAGTAGCACATCAGAACGCCTAGGAAGTTAAAAATGCCAATGGCTGGGTTATTGCCAGAGATTAATTAATTGATGTGGGATGCAGCTTTGGCATTGGGATATTTCATGCCCCTCCCCTGCCCCGGGTGATCCTAATTTGAGAACCACTGGTTTAGGCTGAGGGAGGTCTTGACGATTTCTGTTCGCTCCACTTTTACGTAGTCTATTAAGTTACTTGCATGGAAAAATGCATGCTGCATGTAGTTCCGAATGCCCCACCCAAATCTTGGAGCGTATCAGGAAGAGTGTGGGGACAGTGAGTGGATGGCAATTATAAGAGACATGTTGAAGAAAACAAAAAGTTTGTCCTGAAGAAGAGTAGGAAGAGGTAACCGCCTTGAACATTGCCTGCTTGGTCTATTTTAGGAAGCTGGGTTCAGTTCTTCTCTCTGGTATTCCAGAGGATAGAAAGCAGTCCACTGGGTGGCAGCTTCAGGAGATGGATGTAGGGAAGCATTTGCTTACTACAGTGCTTTCTAGAGATGGTGGGCTTGCCAGGCGCTGGAGATTTACAAAGACCTCACAGATTTTGTTGAGAATTTAAAGGGACTTAAATGTTTATTGGCAGATTCAACTTCCAGAAGGTTTCTTTTCATCCCTCTCCTCATCTCTTACTCTTTTGCTTTCATCCACTGCCTTGGCCACACTGGTCTCATAGATGTTATTTAAGCCCCGCCATGCACCATCTCAGGGTCTTTGCACTTGCTGTTCTTCTTGGTTGAAATACTTCACCTCCAGATATCTGGACAATTTCCTCTCATGTTTTTGCTCAGATTACAACCTTTCCCTGGACTCCTTGTCCTTCTTTCTTTTTAGTGTTTCTCTATCCCCATCTCTCTTACACACACACGCACAGACACAGACTCACACACACAAATACGCATATATGTGTATGTTTTCCTCTAACAAAATATAAGCCCCACAAGGGCCAGGACTTTTGTCGGATGTGTTTGCCAATGTATCCCCAGGGCAAGTATAGTGCCAGGCTTTCAGAAATGCTCAAGCAATAATTTGTTGTTGAATAGATCTCTGGGATCTTCTGGTTCCTTGGAATTTCACCAGTGGTAGCTTGAATTTCCTATTCAGGCCTGGACAAACATCCTGTAAAGAATGCCACCTAATTTGTATCTTTGAAGGATGAATCCAATAATATGTGGGTACAGTGACCACTTTCAAGCTTTTCTTCTTTCTTCTTTTCTCCCCCTGCATCAAACAGGAACAGCATCTTCTAAAAACAAAACTTTATTCATTGGTCAGCAGTTTCATGCAACCATTGAGTGAAATCCAATGTGGAAAGGAAATCCAAAACTTTACTGCAGTGTAATTTGTTTCTTCTGTGTTGCTTTGTGTACAGTAAAGGTCAATAATGCACAGGAAAGCTAGGTTTAATTTCTTTGATGTGTAAAAATTAGTGCTTTGTCATCAGTTACAGTGGCAGGAGGACAAATCACTGGCACATAAAGTTGTTCCTGCTACATAAATTACAAATCTTGTTCGGAAAAAAAATACTCACATCATCCCTTGTTATTTTAAAAATGCCAACACTGATAAACAGTCAGCCTTGGACATGTATTAAAATCTTCAAATTGTACTAAAATAAATTTAGCCTTTTAAGATAACACCTCATTTTAATTTCATACATGATTAAATCCATCAATTCAAAGGTCTTTTAAGATGTAAGTTTTGAAATCATAATAGTACCCTCTAACTCCCTGCGAAAAACTTAAACCTCTTTCTACTTCATTAATAATGTTCTTGACAGACAAAATTTTTAAAGAAAATCCTCAGCTTTGTTTTGTGTTTTTGTGTGTTTTTCTTGAGAAGAGGAAATTAAATTATGATCATAAATCCCTTTCATTTTTAGAACTAGATTTTTCTTTTAATCATAATCCAGAGGAAGTGGAAAAAGCTTTGTGAATCAAGTTTTGTATTTCTAACATGATGACATAGTCTAAATTATTGTCCAATATTCAGCAAAATCTTTATTTCTATATGTGGCAGAACTGAATATTTTAGTCTCAGCATAAATAGTGCCTCCTCTTCCCTATCCAGGTTGATGACTGCTTCCTTGTGACTTTGCAAACACAACTTCTTCTTATTATTATTATTTCAATAGGATTTGGGAGAACCAGTGGTGTTTGGTTACATGAATATCTTCTTTAGTAGTGATTTCTGAGATTTTAGTGCACCCATCACCCAAGCAGTGAACACTGTACCCAATGTGTAGTCTTTTATCCCTCATCCCCATCCCACCCTTTCTCCTGAGTCCCCAAAGTCCATTGTATCATTCTTACGCCTTTGCGTCCTCATAGCTTAGCTCCCACGTATGAGAGAGAACATACGATGTTTGGTTTTCCATTCCTGAATTACTTCACTTAGAATAGTAGTCTCCAGTTCTATCCTGGTTGCTGTGAATGCCATTATGTTATTCCTTTTTATGGCTGAGTAGTATTCTATGGTATATATATACCACATTTTCTTTATCAGCTTGTTGGCGGATGGACATTTGGGTTGGTTTTATATTTTGGCAATTGCAAATTACGCTGCTATAAACATGCGTGTGCAATTTTTTTTTTGTATAATAACTTCTTTTCCTCTAGGTAGATACCCAGGAGTGGAATTGCTGGATCAAATGATAGTTCTACTTTTAGTTCTTTAAGGAATCTCCACACTGTTTTCCATAGTTGTTGTACTAGTTTACATTCCCACCAAGAGTGTAAAAGTGTTCCCTTTTCACCACATCCATGCCAATATTTATTATTTTTTGATTTTTTTGATTATGGCCATTCTGCAAACCCAACTTTGAATAGACTATCAAAGGTTGGGGCTGGATATGGATCTGATTACTCACCCTGGCCCCGGAGGCCACCTTCAGGCAGAGCAGTCCTGCAGCCTTTCCAGAGGAGGCAGCCTCCTGCCCATGTCAAAGACCTTGGAGGCTAGAGTATTTGCCCTTCTGCTCTAATCAAGATCTCCTTGGAAAGAAAGCTCAATCAGCAAATCTTTATTGAGTACCTTCCATCAGATAGATTCTCCAGCCCCAAGCTGGTATGGTGAGGATAACTATATCTACTGTAAAATACCTGACCTAAAGAAACAATGCAACATGTGCATATACAATTTTAAAAGAAAAGCTGTTCACCATTTTCTAAAGGAAAAATTATATCTATAATGTATGTATTCACATGTTTATTTTTATATATCAACATTTATCTGCTTTTTCTTTCCATGCCTCCCCTCTTTCCGTCCTTTCTTTTCCTCCTGGATACATCCATTCCTGCAGCTTAATTCTTATTAGCTAAGGGTTATATTGCAGATGTATGAATTAAGAGCAAAGGCTTTAGAATCTGGCAGATCTATGTTTGAATCCCAGCTCTGCCACTTCACAAAAAGATTGTTCTATTTGTTATTGTTACTGGCACTTTTATTGCCATCATTTGTAGTATAGACAATAATTACTTGTGCTATTTATGTTTATTAGTTATTTACCATATCAGGCACTAAGGGATTTGCATGTATTTTGAATTTAATCCTTGTAACAATTATATAGTGTAGGTAGTATTATCCCCATTTTATGGCTAAGGAAACTGCCTTGAGATTTTAAGTAATATGTTGCCCAAGGTCACATAATAAGTATGTAAAGGAACTGAAACTAGCTTTGTGTTTTGAACCTACGGAGATTCTCTTTATCCTCTGTAAAATGGAGATACTGATTCCTGCCATGGTAGCTAGTTGGGATGATTCAATGATATGGGATATTTCGCATTTGCAGTTTGGTTCCCTGCATATAACATATGCTCACACAGGATATGGCTGTTCCTGCTCTGCTTCTGCTACCTCCTTCAAGGTTGAATAATCTTTCTTTCTTCTCTCTTAGCTATTTCCCAGCCCCTCACTTAAGTTTATAACTATATTCTTTTCATCAACCTAGAAAACCAAATGAAGCCTGAAGTATTGAGAACTCAGGAAATGTTTTTGAGGTCCCATGTGATTCAGTGGCAAAGGCAGAGCAGGTGCAGATGCAAACCTCTGGGCTCTTAGATGTGAACCCTCTGCCTGGTGTTTTATCCTAGCTTGTCTCTGCAGCAAAGCAGGTGCTGGAGTCTGAGGGGGTCCTTGAGGCCAGCTTCCCCTGGGCACAGAAATGTGCTCTCCCTAGAACCATCACATGGCGATTTTCCTGGCGATCAGGGGCCCTAAATGGTGAAAGGGTTTTGGCCATACATCACTAAAAGTGTGTTAGTAAGAGGCATGAGGCCCCTTGGGACTGGATGTGGTGGATGTGTCATATCACATATGAAGTGGCATGATTTGATAGTGTGCCATTTTCTGTCTGTAACTAAATCAAATTCTGTGGTTGAAAAGGACTCATACATAATCTTGGTGTCCTTTAACGCAGTCATAGTTCTTGTGTTAAATAAGTTAGGATTGGAGAGTTGCATTTCTAGACCCGAGGGGAGCGGTTCTGGATCTTGCTCTGGTTTCCTGAGTTGCTGCAGCACCCAACCCTGAGCAATTCCTGTGACTCGTGGTGGTTGTTATAGAGAGGGTACACAGTGGTGAATGAGAAGGAGGCTTATTATTGTTATCTGTAGGCACCACTTTTGCTTGAAAATGTGTAATGGCAAACTCAAAAGTAGAAATACTTATTCCCTATTAATTGTCTTTTTTGTCATAACTTTTTAAAATTTTTTGGGTTCTTTGATTCAAATTTCACAAGATCTCACCTAATATGCTGGTAAATTTCACCAGAAGTATGAAGACAGAATAAACTTTCTTGAATTTTTTTCCCTGCAATGTAACAGTCTGCTTCTAGATGACTTCTTGAAGAATTATCTACCTAATTTGTATTTTTTAGGAGACATCAGAGACAGAAAAAAATTCACATTAAGGAAGATATGTGTATTATATAAGTAAATCCTCTTTGCTTACAGTTCTTTTTTAAAACAAGCATTTTATACAAAGTAAAATAACTTTAGCAGTTTGGTTCATTTTTAAAATATTTCATGCCTGCATGCATGATTAATTGAGACAATCATTCCATTTAACTAATATTTGAGGGCATACTATATGCCAGGAAATGGGGCTACTCAGGCCTTCACAGATCTTGTAATCTATCAACCAATACAAACAAATAATCAGGCCATTATAATTTAGAGGACAGTGTTTTGAGGGCACATGGCAGGATGATCTAATGCTGACTTGGTGGAGGACGCAATGACTTCCTCCTGAATGAAGTAGGGTTTAAGCCAGGTCCTGAAGGAGAGTGAGTGTTAACCTGGTGGAGCTGTTGGGGCAGGCTAGGGGCTTTGGACTAGGGAATAGCTCATGTAAATGCCTGGAGTGGGCAGCCAGCCATGGTGTTATTGTGTTCTTCTTCTTCTCAGAGATATTTACATGGGCAAGAACTTCAGATTATACTTGATTGTGACATTTGCACTTTCAAAAAACATTGCAAAACTGCCTGGTGAAAACCATCCCAGTCTTGACAGGTGCATAGTCTGATATTTCCAAAGGTAACAGTTGTCACATAGGTGGTCCTGCCCTGTTGAGACACAAGCCCGTTAAGCAGTTTATTTTCACCCCATGGCCAGATTGGCTTTGGAGCAATCAATGCAGCCTGGTGCAGCCTGGAGAAGAGATCCTACTGGATAAGGTGGGAAGCCTTTGTAAATCAAAGGTTCTAAGACTGCTCCTACTGGGAAGATAGAAGTGATGGGTGGAATGGATGGATAAGTATAAAGAAATTCTTTGGTTCTAGAACCCTCAATGTAAAAAACATTAGAGGCACACAGGTCATAATCATGTCGCATAATTTGATTAATTTCCTAAGAAACCTTAATACTACAAAGTCATATTGCATCATAAACTTACGTTTTATGGAGCAAAGAGCCCTGGGCTTGGGAAGGGTCCACAGGGTCTGGGTTCTAGTTCCAACCACATGCCCTGGGGTCAATTATTTAATAACCTATAATGAAGCTGTCGTATTCTATCACCACGACATGGATCTGGTTGTGCCAAGGTAGACATTTGAGATTACATACCGTAAAATACCGTGGAAAATAACTGTGGCTCTCACCAGCTCTAGCCTCTTTCTGGGCTTCATAGCTCCCCTTCCCCAGTGCTCCCTGAGAATGTATCATTCAGACCATCTTCTGTCCTTCATTCATAGTCATAGTCCCATGCCTCAGTGATTCAACAATCAGGCTCTCTTACCCTATTTTTGCTTACCCTTCTTTTTTCTTTCATTTCAGATGTTCAGTAACTGAAAACAAAAAAGGTTTAAGTATGATAATGAATTTTTTTCCACACTCAAGAATATAAACATTGAAAAGATTGGCCTCTTTATGCTCCCTACAATGAGTGACAGGTTCTGACTTAATTCAACTTAACTGTAGAGATTATTGGCATAAGAGTTATTAATATAAAAGTCATGACTCAAAAAATATCTCCACTATTAAATATCCCCTGCAAAACTTTATTATCCAGGTCTTGGCGTGAGCTTTGATTGTGTTGAAAGAATGAACTTGTGTTTTTGGCCCTGTAATGTGAATGATGGACAGGAGAGTGATTTTTCTGTTACTGGGTGGTCATCCTCTTGAACAAGAGGATTCTGAAAGTTTCTTTTTATATATTTGTGTATGTATTATTTTTCCTTTTCCATTTTTGATTGTAGTGAAAGTTCTATCTCTAAGCATTAAAAATTAAACATTTAAAATGTGCTTTTGCAATGGGGAAAGGACTCCCTATTTAATAAATAGTGCTGGGATAACTGGCTAGCCATAAGCAGAATAGTGAAGCTGGACCCCTTCCTTAGAAAAATCAACTCAAGATGGATTAAAGACTTATATGCAAAACCTAAAACTGTAAAAGCCTTGGAAGATAACCTAGGAAATACCATTCTGGACATAGGACCTGGCAAAGATTTCATGATGAAGATGCCAAAAACAATTGCAATAAAAACAAAAATTGACAAATGGGACCTAATTAAACTGAAGAGCTTCTGCACAGCAAAAGAAACTATCAACAGAGTAAAGAGACAATCTACAGAATGGGAGATAATATTTACAAACCAGGCATCTGACAAAGATCTAATATTCAGTATGTATAAGGAATTTTAAAAATTTACAAGCAATGCTTAATGACGAGTTAATGGGTACAGCACACCAGCATGGCACATGTATACATATGTAACTAACCTGCACATTGTGCACATGTACCCTAAAACTTAAAGTATAATAATAAAAAAACAAAAACAAACAAACAAAAAAATAATTTACAAGCAAAAAGCAAACAGCCCCTCTAGAAAGTGAGCAAAGGACATGAACAGACAGTTTTCAAAGGAAGACATGCAAACAGCTGACAAGGGATATGAAAAAATGCTCAATATCATTAATCATTAGAGAATGCCAATCAAAACCACAATGAGATACCATCTTGTACCAGTCACAATGGCTATTACTAAAAAGCCAAAAAACTCAGATGCTGGCAAGGTTGTGGAGAAAAGGGAACACTTATACATTGTTTGTGGGAGGGTAAATTAGTTCAGCCATTGTGGAAAGCAGTGGTGATTCCTCAAAGAACTTAAAACAGAATTACCATTTGCCCTAGGAATCCCATTGTATACCCAAAGAAATATAAATCATTCTACCATAAAGACACATCCATGCATATGTTTACTGTATCACTATTCAAAATAACAAAGACATGGGATCCACCTAAATGCCCATTGATGGTAGGGTGGATAAAGAAATGTGGTACATATACACCATGGAATACTATGCAGCCATAAAAAAGAACAAGATCATGTCCTTTGCAGCAACATGGATGGATCTGTAAGCCATTATCCTAAGAAAGCGAACTAATGAAGAAACAAAAACCCGAATACTGTATGTTCTCTCTTATAAGTGGGAGCTAAACAGTGAGAACACATAAACGCGAACACAAAGAGAAGAACAACAGATACTGGGGCTTATTTCAGAGTGGAAGGTGGGAGGAGAGAGAGGATCGAAAAACTACCTATCAGGTGCCATTACTGTGCTTATTACCTGGATGATGAAATAATCTGTACACCAAAACCCTGTGACACACAGTTTACCTATATACCAAACCTGCACATGTACCCCTGAACTTAAAATAAAAGTTAAAAGAAAAAATAAAATGTGCTTTTAGAAGTATCCAGACCAGGCCAGAGCTTGTATAAATCCATATTACTATCTTGCAGTTGGTCAAAGTAGTTAAGAACCTGTGTAATAGTGTTTTCTGGGATGTTGCAACAACTTTCTATCTTTATTGCAAGGGCTTTCTGTCTTCCTATTATACTAATTAATTCTTTCAGTCTTTCCTGATTATTGATGCCATGATGATTTTTTTTTTAAGAATTTGATCCTGCAAACTTTTATGCCTAAAATCTCTCTAGCTTTACTATTGCCTCCAGCAGGAATTTTTCACCTAAGTTCATCAATTGCAGTCAGGAAACTGGTAAACTCTGAGTCTTTCTGCAAACTTCTGTGTGTAGAGGATCCAGAGTTTGAGTCAGACCCTGAAAGCTATCCTTGATCAGATTTAGAATATCCTAACTCTTTAGTAAGAAATAAACCCGTCTAGCTTTACATGCAGCCACCAGCCGTGACGTGAGACTCACCCCACACTGACCTATTATTCAACATTTCCTGATGCTTCCATACTTCTCTGCCTTTGAACCTGATGATCATTCTACTTATAATGTCCTTTCCTCATCCTTAGCTTTGCCTGTTGAAACCTTCAAGATTTTACTCCAGAGCCACCTTGTCTGGAGAGATTTTATTTACTTTGTGAGGAACAAAATGCTGCTCTTTTATCTTTTCTCCTCCTTTATAACACTCATCACCTCTCCCCACTAAGTTTGTGGACAAGGAATGTATTCTGTTTATCTATGCATTCCCAGCCCAGAGGAAGGTACTGGCCCAGAGTAAATGCTCATTAAATATTGTGAATAAATGGGCAAAAGGATAGAAGACACATTCTTTACTTAGATGGAGTTGAGATAAACTTAGAGAGTTAGTGCTAGAATCAACATTGCCTTCTTGCAGGCAAATGATTTACATAATCTGGACATCAAGTTGCCTGTCCCCTGGATGAGGTATCTCAGTCTCCTATGTTAAATAATAGTAAATTGATTCTTTCTTCAACACAGAGTATAACAAATACCTCTAAGTATTCTAAGTTTTATGAAACAAAAGATTTCTGGTGCTGGAGATTGATTTTGGTAGTTATAAGCTTCTCAGGATATCTCCAAAGAGACAAGGGGCCTAGGTGGATAGAAATATTTCCCTTAAATCAGCCTGATAAAAAGTTCTCCATGGTAAGGTAGCCTTTGTCTTGTATTAAAACGCAGTTTTCTCACCAAGTGACTTTGGCAGGTTGGTGAATCCTTTAAGAAAAAGAGATCTGGTCTGGAGTTGTGGTCCCCCGGAGATTTAGTTGCTATTGTGATCATCTGATGACAGCAGAAAACCCAGGGGGATCAGCATGGTTTATTTCAGACTGCAGGGATGTCAGCCTGTTATTATAGGAGTGGGAGCTACCTAGGCAGATGGATGCTTCCTGATTTGTGGATTGGGAACACGAATTGAGCAGCAGCCAATGCAGTGACACTTGTAATACTCTTCTGAAGCCCTCCTTTTTTTTTTCTGTCCACTGAGAAACAGTACCCACCTGCTAATCTACAAGGCAAAGCCATCCTTATTTCAAAGTGTATTTGATGCAACAAAATTCTTTATGCTGAAAGGCTTTAAAAGGCCTCTAAATTTCTAGAAATGAGATTTAATCTGATATTTGAATCTTATGCCTTATATCCAAAGAACAGTCTCTCCCTAGTCCCCATTTCTATATATAGATGCAGAAATTTCATAATTGGAAACCTGTGACTTTAGCTTATGGCTTGGTCCCTTGTGAAGAATGTATTGTGCTTTTTAAGTGATGTGTGTATTTGTCTGAATTAGTCTATCAGAAGTTTCTTTTTGAGAATAGCCATTAATGAAGATGAGAAACAGAGCTGTGAGGGACATGAGGAGGAAAACAAACCCATTAAAGAGAGGAAAGAACTCCCTGCCCCAACCCCACCAACCCAATAGCATTTAAGGCCACCAAAGGGAACGTTTTCTGTGTTACTGTTTATTCAGGAGCTGGCTTCTAACCTGCCATATGCTTCACTCTATTTAGAGAGCCTAGGTAATGTTCTCTCATTTTGTAAGGAGATAATATTACTTAACCTAAGAGCTTGTGCAAAACTGGGGGAAATAGTTGGCTAATAAGTTACATGCATCCATGAGTTGCACAATAGAGATGAAATGATGACAAATTGGGATGAGAGGCAATGAGTGTTGTATGGGAACTACAGGATTTAAGATTTGAAAAGAGGCATTTTAAGAGCCCATTTTTTTGCTTTTTCTACTCAGCTTAGGACCCCAATTATTACTTACTAGCCTCATTTCACTGGACTTCACCCATTCACACACCTGTCACCCAAAATACTACCAAATATTTTCTTTAATGTTATTTTTGCATTTAATCCTCATGAAGGTTAATAAAGTCTTCTCTCTCTATGTGGTATGAAAGCATAACTGATGACTTTATTGGTGCAGATATATTATGGCTGCTTTTGACGTTTATGTTTTCCGTCCAGATAGATGAATGATTCCAGTGAAAGTAAATCAATTGCACCCAGACTGTGGGTATAAAACACCACGCTCAGGGTTTTCCTTCTTGTCTGGCAGATAGTAGAGGGTGTGAAATATTGAAATTTGACTTAATGCTGTATGTTTCTTCTGAAAAAGAGAATTTCCTTTGACTATCTCCTAAGGTACATCTGTGATTGATATTTGCCCTGTCATTTAGTGCCAATCCAGGGAGGGGATGCCCCTTTTGTGGGGCCTGTTTGCTCTCCAAGGGAGCCTTCATGGCTTCCTTCGGTCTAGTTGGAGTAACCTGTTTTTTCTTCTAGAGGATTGAATTCAATTAACAGGGATTACAAATTCAGTTATTAGGAATTTATCAGTGATGGCAAATGGAATTTTACTGGTGTATTAGTCCATTCTTGCATTGCTATCAAGAAATGCCTGAGAGTGGGAAATTTATAAAGAAAAGAGGTTTAATTGGCTCACTATTCTGCAGGCCGTACGGGAAGCAGAGTGGCTTGTGGTTCTGAGGAGGCCTCAGGAAACTTCAAATCATGTTGGAAGGCAAAGGGGGAACAGGCATCTTACATCGCAGGAGCAGGAGGAAGAGAGAGAGTTGGGGGTGGGGTGCCACACCTTTAAACAACCAGATCTCACGAGAGAACTCACTCACTATCACAAGAACAGAACCAAGGGGATGGTACTAAACTATTCAGGGAGGATCCATCCCGCCTACACACACCCATTTCCAATCACCTCCTCACCTCCAACATTGGGGATTACAATTCGACATGAGATTTAGGTGGGGACACTGATTGAAACTTTATCAACTGGATTCCCAACAACTGGAAACATGAGAGAGTAATTTCAGTTTCTAGGATGGGTTTAACTGGCTTTCATGATAAAAAGAGAAATATTTCTTGATCCACAAGAATAAAGGTTTTTGTTGTTGTTGCTGCTGTTTTTTCCAAAAGTGATTTGAGTTCCTAGTGTAAATCAAAACCAGACGCAACTGTAATTGCCAATTGATGGTACAAATGGACAGGTAAATCCAAGAAGTGTATTTCAATTTTTAAAAAGTTCTGTACCCTGGAATTCCCTTCTTCAGCTTGCCTTCCACCTCTGCATTCAGGAGTGCTATGGCCCTGATCAATCAAAATGAACACTGGCTGTAAACAACCAGCATGGTGGTGGTGCTATGCCTGAATGTCAGCCTTTTCTGGTCCTTTGAGCAAGAATTAATTGCATTCTCATTAGGGGTCCTGGGAACTTCAGGGTCAATCTTTCTTGTGGAATTGAGCACATTGTTTTAAAGCTATTTGTTTATTTGTCCAGTTCAATTTCCTTCTAGACAGTGAAGCACTTGAGGGCAGGGACTGTATTTATCTACCTTTGTATCTTTATCACCAACTTGGTGCCTAGCACAGAGACAGTTCTCAGTAAATCTTTGCAAAATAAATTAAAATTGTAGAGGATATTTAGAATTTTTATTCTAAGATAAATGCAAATGTGTTATTGTGTCAAGCACTCATCTGTATTTAAATCCCAATTACTGGAATGTATTTTAACAATAGTTTAGTCTGTACCCTAACATTGACTGTGCGAATTTCTGACTTATAGTTT
Organism: Homo sapiens; assembly: GCF_000001405.40. NCBI lineage: Eukaryota > Metazoa > Chordata > Mammalia > Primates > Hominidae > Homo > Homo sapiens. Next base: position 76,227,703 of record NC_000001.11, read on the forward strand.
AAAAGTCTCTAGGGAAGAAAATTTCAAAACTTCCTCGTTGCTCTTTTTAGAAGTTCAATTACAGTAATAATCAGCACCTACTAACTCACTGGGATATTTCTAGTATTATTTGCTCTCATGTGACCATATAGCATGTATCTCAAGTGCTGCACAAGATTTGCAGCTGTGACTGTATGGAAAGCTTGGGAAATATTGTGCTGAGCTCCTTTTGTAAGGGATGTGGTTTCTAGATTCTGTGTTCAGGGAAAAAAAAGTCTAAAACCTGCAAGTACTCATTTGTGGAACATTTAATTTCATTACTTTGTTAGCAAAGCGTGTATCTGGAGGTAAACACCAATCAGCTACAGTTGGCTTCAGGCCCAAGAGAATTGAGGTTAGGAGTCAAGACAGAAAGATGGCTATTGCAGGAAAATACGTCTGCTCTAGACTAGGATAAATTTTCCTATTGAAATATGAAATAGACCATTACACAGAAGTTTGCCTACCACTAAAAGTGTTCTAGAACATTATAGTTCAAGGGTGCCAAATTTTAAGCAAAGTCCTGTGGTTTCAGTGATGCTATTTTCAAATCATGATTCCTGTAAGAACAATCTCTGCCACTAAAGTGTAGCTTTCTCTCACACACTTATTCATATATTCTGGCTGTCCTCTGTCTTCCACTAATCTGAGAAGTTTATGGCACAAATCTGATTCTTTTCCTTAAATACTTGCATTAGGTTAATTCTTAGGTGGCCCAGTAACCTTGCGAAGAAAGATCAGTTTGGGGCAAACCATGTGAAGCCCCCTTTCAAATTCATTTCTGCCCTACTTTCTGTCTGCTTTAATCCACCACATTTCCTTGTCTATTTTGTACTCTAGGTCAAACCACAGCAGCACATTTTAAAACCTGGTAGGAAGCGGGTCTCAGAGCTCTAGAGGAACTATTATGCCAGTCTTACAAATTATTTTTTAATTATCGGTTTCTCAGACAACTCACTTGGTTTACTTTCAGGAAAAATGTTATCGCTGTAAATGAGTTGTACTTTCTTCTGTCAGAAAACATAAAGTGTGTAACCCCTTTTATTTTAGCTGAGTGTGAATTTTTAGATTCAAATTGTTTGCCATGTATTTCTTAGTTTGTAAATTTGAAATGAAGCAACATAAACAACGGTTTCTGCCCGGAGAAGGTCATGCCAGTCAGGACCCTGCGCATTGATGGTCATCTTCAGGTGATTAACGTTGATAGATATCTGAGCAGAGAATAGTGCAGGATGGAGAAGGAGCCACCCACAGACAGGGTTTAGCACATTCAGAGTAGACTCACCAGGCTAATGCTCATGGGCCCGCTCTGGTTTCATTTAGGGCTGAGAGACTGATTATATGAATGGACAATGGCCAGACCCTATATGAAAACAGAACCCTGACCCACAACCTGCAGCAACCCGCCCAGGAAACTGACTCCTTATTCTCAATAAAGAACCCAGAAAGCTAGCCTGCCATGAGTTAGACTTGTAACAAGTCAGATTGCAATCTCCAGTAACCATCTAGGAAGCTAAACAATAACTTCAACAATTGACCTCAAGTGGCCAGGACTTGATCAATAACTGGCAGCTTCCCTAATTTTGTGTCCCCATTTTTAACTTAGGATGAACGAGAGACAGCCAAATAACACACCCCTAACAAATCAGACAGGATGCCCCACTTCCTGTTAGACCACCTACAGCTTCCCTGCACCCATAACCTTTAATTAGGGCACATCTGAAACCTTCCTTTTTTTCAGGATAAAGCTTTCCCACTTCTCTTCCTGCCTTTGTGTCTCCGCCAAAATGCAAGTGACAGTGTGGCTGACTCCCTGCCTCTAGCAAGCTCAGAATAAATAGCCTTTGCTTGTTCTCATTTGGTTGGTCTTTGTTTATTTCCAGAGGGCCTAGTTGGGCAAGAAATGATATTGTCCAGGAGCACGTTTTAATTTCATGGTCTCTGTAGGTAGGTGATTCCATGTAGCTGTTGTTCCTTCAGGTACATTAGCATTTCCTAGCTTTGGGGTGGGGGCTGTGGCTGACCTGTGAGAGATGCAGCCTTGCTCCCACTTGCTGTTCCACGTGTGGAAAGGGCAGAGCAGTAAAGCACATTGCTAAATGTCAACGCATGCATTAGGTATTACCATCTCACGGTGAACCCCATTCACATGGCGCCCAGTAGGGAGGAGCAGAGGGGCCTCTTTGCAACAGAGATCAATGGCCAACAGCTTTTCTTTTTTTAAAATGTAAAACTATAAAGGAAAACCTTTTCAAACATTATCCTCAAAAGATTTGGAAATAGGAGATCTGAGATTAGTGGGTCACTGAAGGGCTAGCACTTGCTTATAGATGACTTAGCTTAGAAACTCCAACTTCCTCATACTTTTGTTTCTGCTGATAATAGAATGCAGTACAACAGGAGTGAAAAACAAAGCCAAATTATTTCTTTATCTTTTTCTAATGAAAATTCAATGACATTTCAGCAGTGACTTCTTCCCAAACCTTAAGGAGTACATATAAGCGTTAAGATGAGAAGTTGACCAATTGCCTAAGAACAGTTTGAAGCATATCACACCTTATTTTGTTATTATATTTGGTTTCTACTACGTAGAGTTCATTATCTGTGTTCTCTCTGTTATTACTATATTTGAGAATTGTAATTATGGAGCTTTAATAGGATGAAAGAAAAGAAGGATGCAAAAATACTTAAATACTGTTCATGATGAAAGATCTACATTATTTTCAAATTATCTTTTATTTTATTAGCTGAGTTTTTAGGGTCCTATGGCAATATACTAGAGTCCAAGTATTTTTTCAAAGTAATTTAATTTTATGTTGTTATGATTAGGTAAGTCTACTGAATTGAATCAATTTATAGGAAAAGTATGAGATTAGTATTATTAAATTTCATACTGTAGTCTGGTTTGCTTTAATATACCTATATATGTATGTGTGTGTTTATTTAAGACTTTAGTTGTGAAATATAGACTCCTGTTAGTAACTGATGCCTTTTCCTTTTCTCTTTGATTAGAAGAAATACATTAGAAAGGTATCAGAATCAACTCATTTGCCAGTTGGCAAACATTCCTGGAATTTTAAGAATTGTAACAACAATAAAACAATAACTGTTTATTAAGTGCTTACTATGTGCACTGTCCTTAGTGCTTTACTTCTGTTATTTTAAGTGTTAGATTATTTATAGAGATCACAGTAATAATCCTTTCATTGTTTATGCACGCACATTTGCAATGTAAATTTGCTGTCTGCCCCACCTCCTTCTGTGAGGGAAGTCTATTTTCCCCTTCTCTGAATCTGGTCTGGCCCTTTGACTTTCTATGGTGAATAAACTGTGGTGAAGGTGATATTTTGCAAGACAAGGCCTTGGGAGACACTGCTGCTTTCTCTCTCAGCTTCTTGGAACCCAGAGCTGGGATGAATGACCATGGAGGGAAGAGGCTCAGCCACAGAACTAGCACAACCCCTTGATATGCAAGCGAGGCCATCTTGAACAAGCCAGGTCCAGCTGAGCTAACAGATGGCTACAGGCAAGACCCAAACCAAATGGTACCCCACAGAATTATAAACCAAGCAAATGTTTGTTTTTTAAAATTTTTTTTTATTATTTTATCGTTAATTGTAGTAAAATACACAGAACATAAAATTTACCATGTTAACTATTTTTAAGCGTACAATTCAGCAGTATTAAGTATATTCACATTGTTGTACGATTAATCTCCAAAACGTTTTCATCTTGTAGAACTGAAACTCTATACCCAGTAAACAACAACTTCTGTTTCTCCCTCCTGCCATTCCCTCACAATTACCATTTTACTTTCTGTTTCTGTGAGCTTGACTATTCTAGATACCTCCTCATACAAGTGAAATCATGCTATATCTTTATGTGACTGGCTTATTTCATTAAGGATAATGTCCCTCAAGTTTTATCCATGTTGTAGCATATATCAGAATATCCACCTTTGTGAGGCTGAATAATATCCACTATAGGTATATGTCACTTTTTTTTCATCCATTCATCTGTCAGTGGACACTTGTGTTGCCTTTATCCAAATGGCTGTTGTAAATAATGCTGCTAAAAACATGGGTGTGCAGATATCTCTTTGAGACCCTGCTTTAGATTCTTGTGGATATTCCCAGAAGTGGAATTGCCAGATTATATGGTAATTCTATTTTTTAACTTTTTGAAGTGTTGTTGTTTTAAGCCATTCATAACTGAGGTGATTTGTTCTGTGTGATAGCTGAAACACCTAACTGAATTTTGACAACAAGGCTTCGAGGTAGTTTCTACCATTCTCATTTTTCAAGGGAGAAACTTCACTTACCCAAGGTCGTATGGTTTGGACAAACAGAACCAGGCTTTGATACCATGAAGTCTGGTACCAGAACCTCACTCTGCGGCACACTGTACCACTTTACAGAAAGCATGTTCAGAATTGTTTTACCTATAGTGGTTGACGCTGGACAGAAAGAAACATCAGTAACCAACAATATTGAAAAGATCCCTATCTATGACTGATGTAGTTCAAGGAAGTATACTTTTCCAGAGTTTGTAGTATTTATCCATTGTATGGTGGCCTCTGAGCTTATTTCTGTGTTGTCAGCTAGGCTTACCCTGGTGGTGTTGGAGGGAATAGTACTGGATGATCTACAGGGAGGTCCACTCACCCCACTCCAGGGCTGCTGGGTCCAGATGGGCAAATTGGGTTCGAACAAAGGGCCTTGCCAGAGTGGGCTGGAATCCAGAGCCCATCTGGATTCCACTCAGGTGGGACCAAGCCTGTGCTCTGGCCATCTGGGAGTAAGGGGTCCTTTTTCTAATGGATCCTCCCCGGAAAGGCTCCTTTGTGCAATTCATCTGACCGGAGAAGGTCCTCTCCTTAAGTCCTTCCTCTTCCCTCAGATAGCGGGGCTGTTGTTGAACTGTATCACAGCTCCCTGTCCTCCCCATCACCAAGTCCCTGCCCCTTAGTGCTGGATGACTGTTGTTTCTCCTCCATCAGGGTAACCTGTGTTGTTGAAGAAGCCACCAGAAAAAACTGTGGTTGAGCAATAATGAACTCTTGACTTGAGCGTTAAAGCGGGGCCCCAGTGGTTTGCAGGAGCCGGTCAAGTAGAGATAGACCGAGATGGAGATGAGCCACTGTCAGCTGAGTGTGTAATCCAGGAGGCTGTCTTTACACAGTCCTGGGCTTTGAAGTTGGAGCAACTCCTGGCTTTACCACCTAGGAACCATGTGACTTTGGACACTGTACTTAACCTCATCAAGTCTCTGAGACACAGGTACATGAGAAATGCCTGCCTTACAGGACTGCTATAGGCTCAAAAAACAAAGTCTCTAAAGGGACTGGAAGAGAATCTATTAAATAGTCAATGTTCGATACATGTTCATTGTTACCACACCCATTCTTCCTCATTACTTCCTTCACCTCCTCCCAAATTCTTCTACAGTAATAATAATATTACTATTACAACTATTATCATTAAAACCAGAGGCCAGTTTAGTTAGATTTGGTGGTATCTGATATGATTCACATTAAGAGAGTTATAATGAAGACCTGCTTGTGATTGCAAAGGTTCACTTGCAAAGGGATAGGATGAATGGGATGTGGATTAGCAGCAGCATTATAAAAAACTTTACAAGTTTCAGTTGAGAATAATCTAACATGCTTCGACCTAAAGAAGCATACAAGTAAGCCCAAAAACAAGGAGTAGGGAAGGGCATCCACCAACCACAAGGCCAAGGGAAGGCCTAGGTATCTCTACAGGACAGTGAAGAATTGTGACCTATAGTTTAATCCACCACAAAGGGCATGCACTGGTATGGTTGGACAGTTTTTAAAGCATTTATCCATCCTAAATGGGCAGTCCCAATGCTTGATTAGTAGTGCCAGTGTAATGCCTATTGTTAAGTATTTTGAGTAGCATCCTCATTGCTAAGAACTTCATCTACAGTATATCATTTACTCTTTTTCTTTCTGCATTAGTCTTTATATTAGATACTTATCTATGTATTTATGTTTATTTAAATAAACTTAGGGGTACAAGTGCAATTTTGTTACATGGATATATTACAGTAGTGGTGAAGTCTGGGAGGAAATACCATTTACTTTTAACAACAACCATATACTTTTTGTATATATAAAGCACAGATACATGTGCAGTATACAAACAGATACACAGTATATCTGTGATATTAAAATTTTATGTGGGGGAGCAATTAGAAAAAATGTCTAAAAAGTGTCCTTAGAGGGACGATAATGAAAACATTTAAGAATTACTGGCAATTGATATTTTTATTAAATAAATGTGAAAATATAGGTTGAGAGGTTAAATAATTAGTCCAAGAACATAAAATTATTAGGTGTGAGAGCTCTGACTTATACCCAGGTTTGTGCGATAATGAAGTGTGTGCTTTTATCCACCTTACCACCTTGCTTCCTTGCCCTTCATTCAGCTCTCTGAACCTCTGCTTCCCTCCATGTGCTTTACTGCTTCCCATCCTCCCAGATTTCTCTGTACCCTCCCCCGGTAGTGGCCTAGATTCTCCTAAACTGCTCTGTCCCCCTTCTAGGATCTGAGATCCCACCTCTTTGGTTTCATTGTTAGTGAAGGAATGCTTCAAGGGAAATTTCTGCTCTTGGGTTGGAGGAATGAGTGTTTGCATTTTAATGCCCATTCAGAGACATTTCTCAAAGGACTGAGTCTTTTCCAGTGGGACTTCAGGATCTCTCACATGCCAGTGGGAAGCAATTTGGAACTGTGTGCTTTGCAAACCCGTGCAAATCATAGCAGGAAGGCCGATGCCTATCTCTAGCTAAAGCCTTATGTGCTATATATCTTCATGTGAATGTCTGGACAAGAATCCCCTGCTCTTATGCCATAACCTGGGCTCTACACCTGAATTTCTCCATGTAGCAATTCCAAGAAAATTCAATCTTCAAAACACATTTTTTAGTAAATAGAGGCAGCCATGAGAAACATTTTGTTGTTGCTCTGAAAAGTTGTTGTTTTATAAAATGGAATAGTCAATCTCAGCTTTCTAAACAGAGTTTCTAGGATCAATTTATCAGGAATGAGTGGATTCCTTTCTCTTCCTCCCAAAGGGTCTATGGAAGATGAAGAATACAAGCAATAATAGCAAATCAATCAAATTTACATTGCAAAGAGTCCTTCACAAAAGTACCTGAGAGGGCTCTACCTAGATAATCAGATGCTAACATTACCTTTTTCCCAAATATAGTCCACCTCTGCAAAGAACCAAGGAGTGTGGGCTTCAGCTTCTCTACAGAGTCGCTGGTGGTTAAACTCAAAGTAGCAGGGCCTCACATTTGGGCACTGCTGTGTAGGAGGTGCCAAGAGTCAGTCACTCAGCTGATGGCCTCTGGTTTCCAAAGGAAAAACAAAAACTGTTCAGAGCTATTGTTCAAAAAGGAAAAAAGGATTACTCCCCAAATTTTAGCACCCAAAAGCATACATGTGAGTGTCAAGTGCTAACATTTGCCCAAGTCAGGTCTGGTGGCTCATGCCTGTAATCCCAGCACTTTGGGAGGCTGAGACAGGAGGATCGCTTGAGCCCAAAAGTTCAAGTCTAGCCTGGGCAGTATGGTGAGAACCCATCTCTACAAAAAATTAAAACTATTAGCCACGCGTGGTGGTGCCTGCCTGTAGTCCAAGCTACTTGGGCAGCTAAGGTGGGAGGATCACCTGAGCCTGAGAGATCGAGGCTGCAGTGATCCATGATGGTGCCACTGCACTCCAGCCTGGGCAACAGAGCAAGATCCTGTCTCAAAATAAATAAGTAAAATAAAATACAATAAAATTTGCCTACATTGAATGCCTACAAAAGCCAAGGTTATTTCTTAGGTTATTTCTCTCATTTGATATAATGGATAAATTCATTCAAATGCCTCAGTTTCCCTATCTTTAAATTGGGAATCATAGGAATACCCACCTGCAATAGTTTACTAGGGCTATGGTAACAAGGTGCCACAAACTGGGTGACTTAAATGAGAAACTTACTGTGTCACAATTCTACAGACTAGGCATCCGAGATCGAAGTGTCACAGCACTGTTTTCTTTCTCAGGGCTCCTGGCTGTGTGCTGGGAATCTTTGGTGTTCCTGATCTCTGCCTTCATCTTCACATGGTGTTCTCCCCTGTGTATGCCTGTGTCCCGTTTCCCCTTTTAACAATGGTACCAGTCATGTTGGGACAGGGACCCATCCTACTCCAGTGTGACCTCATTTTGTTTTTTGTTTGTTTGTTTGTTTGTTTTTAGACAGAGTCCCACTCTGTTGCCCAGGCTGGAGTGCAAGGATGTGATCTCGGCTCACTGCAACCTCTGCCTCCCAGGCTGAAGCGACTCTCTTGCCTCAGCCACCATGCCTGGCTAATTTTTTGCGTATTTTTAATAGAGACAGGGTTTCGCCATGTTGGCCAGGCTAGTCCCGAACCCCTGACCTCAGGTGATCCGCCCGCCTCGGCCTCCCAAAGTGCTAGGATTACAAGCCTGAGCTACCGCACCCGACCAACCTAATTTTAATATAACAAATTATATCTACAATGGCCCTACTTCTAAATAAGGTCAGACTCTGAGGTATTGGGGTTTAGGATTTCAACATACGAGTTTTGGAAGAATACAATTCAACCCATGACACCACCTCACATGGTTTGGTGTGGATTAAATGAGTACAAAAATTGCTATGTGAGGGTTTGCTCTAATTATTATTAGTAAGTAGATGTCTTAAAGGATAACAACATAAGCAATGATTACTACTTGAGAACCTACTAAGTGTCAGATACTATATTGTCAAAAACTTCTAATCCTCGTAGAAACCTTCAAAGTGTGTTTTTTATCTCCAGTATCTTCAGTTTACAAATGGGTAATCTGAAGCTTAGAGAGGTGAAAAGATTTTGATGTACCTGAGGCTTCACAACTTGTTTATGATTATAAACAAGACTATAATCTCTACTTGATGGTGAAACTCTTTGAATAATGGAAGAAGGTTTTAAAAATTCATACCTCCTTACTTTAGTTTTTGTGTGCAAATGCAATCTTCCGTATAATGTATTGAGTTTGCATAATCAAGGTTCTAAAATAATTTTTTAGATAGGAAGCTTAGCTATGGATAAAAACTGCCAATTCAACAGATAAAAGATAGTCATTTTGATCTTGTCAATAATTACTTTAAGACAGTGGCAGGTACCTGATTTAGTTAACATTCAGTGAACAGAGTCCCTGAACCTGTGCTAGGAATCCCAGTCCAATAAAACCTTGCTCCTGCCTTCAAAGAGCTCACAGTTAGTTTAGAGAGTGTGCTAAGGGGATAGGCCACGGGGCCAGGCAAGATTCACGGGGCCACGGTGAGGAAGATTCAGGTTTATGATGCGGGTGTGAAATAACTTACTTGGGATCAATGAATCATTGAAGAATTCTGTTTTTTATATTCTCCCCACCCAGGCAAGAGTGCAGTGGCACAATCTTTGCTTACTGCAACATCTGTCTCTTGGGTTCAAGGGATTCTCCTGCCTCAGCCTCCCAGGTAGCTGGGACTACAGATGCCCGCCACCACGCCGGGCTAATTTTTGTGTTTTCAGTAAAGGCAGTGTTTCACTGGGTTGGCCAGGCTGATCTGAAACTCCTGACCTCAAGTGATTCACCCGCCTTGGCCTCAAAATGCTGGGATTACATACGCCTGGTGTGGAATTCTTTAATGCAGTGAGAGGAGATGAAGGCCACTTTAGCTAAGCCTTTAGGTTCATTGAAGAGGCCATTCAAAAAGATGAAAGGTTTGACATATACTTCCCTATATCAAGCCATGCCTGATTTTTCAGAAATAAGGTAGAAGTTTAATGGATGTCATAGTCTAAAAATTTGTAAGGTAATCACTATAAATGGAGGGAAAAAAACCCAGTTATTTTCTCTTAGGGCCATTTCTCATGGGAATTCAGACTAGAATAAAAGGAAGTTATTTATAGGATGTTTAATACCCAGTCCCTCACCAGGATTCTAGATAGAAAAAAAATATTTCTGGAGATGGAAACGCTGGTTTCAGTGTCATGTGGAAAGTTTTGTTAAACACCTATCATGTGCAAAAAATGAATATCTTCTCGATTTAGAAGAGCATATAGTCTAGCAGAGGAAGATAGATACTTCAAACTCTCCACCTCACTTGCCTGGATATGAAATACTTCCTGCTTTTGAATGAATTACATTGATGTTGATTAATGATAATGGAATAACATTACTTTGCATTTGGAGGATGCTTTTAACATTTCAAAGTGCTTTCCGAATTATTTCTCCTGTCAAACTGTCCAACAAGCCTGGTGTGGATGGGGGCTGGGCTGACACTGGCACTGGCACAGGGCCCCCAGGAGCCTGTCCTAGCTGCTACTTTTCTGGCAATGCCTTTCCCTTGCAATTTCTTCCCAGCCCGCACCTTCTACCTTTTCTCTCTAGTTCCCACACTGTGCTTCCTTTGTTTTGGTCTTCCTGGCTATTGCCTTGGATTCTCTACATATCCTGCCGTGCTCTTTGAAGCAAAGCTATTACAGAAATGTAATAAATAATAAATTTCATCACTCAGACAGATCAATAAAATGCATGATAAGAAGAGGCCATTATGGAGAGTGAAAAATGCGCAAGAGGATGCCCACAGCATGAGTCAATCTTTAGCCAGGAGATGCCAAATACCAGGCAGGCCATTACGGGGTATTTTAAGCTTTTATTTGTTAGTACATCCACAGACATTTGTTGAGGGTATTTTTCCCGCTATGCCCAGGGCTAGGCACTGGACATTCCGAGACATACTGTGTCCAGAAGCTCAACAATTTAGCTGAGGAGATGGATGATGCAGCCATAACTAATTGTAATGCAGTGCCATTGCCTCTGTAGACAATAGGCAGAGAGCAGTGAGAGTTCAGAGGGGGAAGGAACCAGCTTTGGAGAGGAGGGGAGAGGGGGCTTTTATTAAAGCGAGGAAATTGGACTTCAATTATACAGTAAGAGCAGGATTTTTCTCAGGTGGAAGAGTTGAAGTAGGTGTGAGATAGATTATTTTCCTCGGGCAGGAAATATCACATGCAAATATGATGGATCCTATACTTACTGACAACGTCTAGGGATTTTTTTTGGTTCACAATTTTTATTCAGGTATTTAAAGTCTTTCTCAATCTGGGACAGTTTAGATAAGCAGCCTTACTTTTCCACTAAGCCTGTTTCCCACTAACCTTTTTTTTTTTTTTTTTTTAACTGTTTAAAAGGATAAGGCCCAGTAAGATAGAAGTGAGCACAAAAGCAAGGGGCTGCTGGGCTCCATTGGCATAGAATATAGGCAGAGTGGGCTTGGGCCACCAGCTGTCTCCTGGGGTTCTCAGGCCTGGAGTCCTGGGGGAGCCTCTTGTCCTTTTCGCTTCTCTAGCCTCCTTGAAGGAAGAATCTGAAGGGAGTGATCCAGCCTTATTATCATCCTGGTCACATGGAGAGAAAAGATAGAAGGGTGATGCTCTTTCTTCTAACACCCTAGTTTTTGAATATATGGCCCAAGTCAGCATCCTTGAACTTGACCAGTCAGTGACAATACTCCTCTTCCGTGGAGGAAGGGGGAAGGATGTGGAGAGAGGATGTATTAATCCATTGTGCATTGCTATAAAGGAATACCTGAAGTTAAGTTATTTATAATAAAAAAAAAGTTTTATTTTGGCTCGTGATTTTGCAGAGTGTACAGGAAACAATGGTGCCAGTGTGTGCTTTTGGTCAGGACCTCAGGAAGATTTTACTCATGGCAGAAGGCAAAGGGGGAGCAGGTGTGTCACATGGTGAGAGAGGGAGCAAGGGGGGAAGGGAGAAGATGCCAGACTCTTTAAACAAACAGCTCTTGCATGAACAAACAGAGCAGGAACTCACTCATTACTGCAAGGGAGGCACCAAGCCATTCACGAGAGATCTTCCCCCGTGACCCAGCACCTCCCACTAGGTCTACCTCCAACATCAGGGATCACATTTCAACATGAGATTTGGAGGGGACAAACATCCAAACTATATCAGAGGAGCACTGAATTATATGGTACGGAAACATCAACTTCCAACCACAACTTTGTTATGAAATTGGATACAGGGCTGAGATAAGATGCAAAGAAGGCCCTAGGCTAATAGAAGTTTAGTCTGTTACCTCCTTAATCTTTTTCTTCTGAATTATCCTCATTCATTTACTCTTTATTCTCACCTCCCAGGCACAATGCTTTAGCCTCTTTTGCATTTCTGCCTTTTCCTATTAAGGTAGCCATTGATAAATTAATTCTGGAAAAGGAGTATGCACTTTGGAGTCAGAGGTGGGTTCAAATCCAAGAACTATTACTAACTTAGCCTCATGACCTTGAAAAAGTTGCTAGGAAAATTAAATAAGATAACATAGGTATAATACACAGTACAGTGTCTTGCTGTACAAGCATTCAATAAATGGCATATATACATATATTCACTGTTAGTTTTTCACTAGTGATGTGGTATGCTGGAAAGAATAAAATATGTAGTATGATGTTTTACGTAGAACTGCTTAAAAATGCCTGTCTCTTCTCCTCTTTCAGGTCTCTATAAAGTTTCTAACTTGTTTTACTTTTTACCAGCAATTCTGTCTCACTTCCTGGCAGACTTATATTTAGTTCTCTAATGCTGAACACAAACTGCTAACTGTCCAGCCAAATCCATTCTCTTGTTCCCCTTTAGTCTGATCATGTCTTCTCCATTTCTCAGCCTTTTTATAGTTAAGTGTGGCCATCAGACTAAGTGTTCATGGGTATGGAATGTAAGTAGAAGTGATGTGTGCCATTTCCAGTCTTGGCCATTAACTTCCTACAAGCAATTCTCTGTGTTCTTATCTTCCTTCCAGACACCTGGGATGGGGATGCCCGGAGCAATCTTGGAAGCCAGTCAGCTGATCTGTCCCTCAGCTGAGTCCCTGAATGACTGTTGAGCCAATTGCCTCCCACAACATACAGATACATTTGTGAGCAGGCACGTGCACACACACAGAAACAAAACATTTGGAAATAAACTATTGCCTTCAAGCCATTTAATTTGGGGTCATTTTGTTCTGTCAGTTTATCCTACCTTAATACCCATTTTTATCTATCTCCAAGTTTGACTGAGATCGCTGGAAAAACCCAAATTGTAAGGTACTTTTGAAAGAGCACTGAACCAAAAGCAGAACTAGGTTTAAGATACTTTTGCACCTAACAGCTATATAATCTTTTTATTTACCTATTCAACCCTTCTCTTTCTTACTGAAAAAAAATTATAATAATCTCTGTGACTTAGTTGAGCTATTTAACTTCCTGGTTACCAGGTTACTCACTTGCAAAATGTGTCATGGAATTATTGTGCAAAATTATTAGGATAGTACATGTCATAATTTTAAATTTGTAGAGTCTTCTACAGCTTCACTGTCCAAAATAGTAGTCACTAGCCATATGTTGCTATTGAGTACCTTTCTTAGTCTGTTTTGTGTTGCTATAAAGGAATATATAAAATAGGTAATTTATACAGAAGAAAAGGTATCTTTGGCTCGCAATTCTGATATCTAGGAAAGTTCAAGGTTGGGCATCTGATGAGGCCCACAAACTGCTTCCACTCATGGTGGAAAGTGAAGCAGAACCAGTGTGTGCAGAGATCACATAGTGAGAGAGGAAGCAAGAGAGAAAAGTGGGAAGTGCTAAGCTCCCTTAAACAACCAGCTCTAGCAGGAATGAAAACAGTGAGAACTCACTCACCCTTTCCCTTCCCCAGGAATGGAATTAATCCATTCATGAGGGATTCTCCTCCATGACCCAAACACCTCCCATTAGTCCCCATCTCCAACACTGGAGATGAAATTTCAATAAGAGATTTGGATGGGACAAATATCCAAACTATAGCAGTACCTGAAATGTGGATAGTCTGAATTAAGATACTCTGTAAGTGTAAAATACAAACTGTATTTCACAGGTCTAGTACACAAAAAGAATATCAGATGGTTCATTAAAATTTAAAAATATTGATTACATGTTGAAATGATAATATCTTGAGTCTAGTGGGTTAATAAAATACGTTATTAAAATGAATTCCCTTTTTTTCACTTTTAGTGTGACTACCAGAAAATTTAAGATTATGTGTGTGACTCACATTACATTTCTATTGGACAGCCTGCTCTAGACATAAAGTATTGTAATTTAGTGCAGGCGGATATCCTCTAATACTTCTGAATGTGAGTCTTGAGTAGTAGGAGTTAGAAAGCAAGATTTCTCTAAATGGGATTGATCATCCTTACTTTGCAGGGCTGTAATTGGGATTAAAAATCATATATGCATAGTGCCTGGTACATAGAAGTCACTCAGCAAATACTAGCTGTTGTTCTCCCACCTTTTCCTTTCATTCCAAAAGCAGCTTCCACAATCACAGGCTATATGGCTTTGGATTTTTCTCATTTAGGAAGAAATTATTTTGTTTCCTCTTTTAAATTCATTTTTTTTAAGGATTGGAAGAACATTTGTAATCACAAAAAAAAGAGTACACTGAGGAAAATGAGATAAAGGAAAACCCTGGGGGAGAGGAGTGCTGGTTCCTAGCTGGGATGAGCTAGAGTTGGGGGGAAGATCTTAGCGGTCACTGCATGCTGAGTGCATCACGTCTGTAACAGAGCTGGGAGCAAGTGTTAGGGTGATGTTGCCAGATACCTTCTTTTCCTTTTTTTTAAAAAAATTTACTTTAAGTTATGGGATACATGTGTAGAATGTGCAGGTTTGTTACACAGGTATACATGTGGCATGGTGGTTTGGTGCACCTATCAACCCATCATCTAGGTATTAAGCCCTGCCTGCATTAGGTATTTGTCCTAATGCTCTCCCTCCCCTTTCCCCTCACCCTGCAACAGGCCCTGGTGTGTGATGTTCCCCTCCCTGTGTCCATGTGTTCTCCTTGTTCACTCCCACTTATGAGTGAGAACATGTTGTGTTTGGTTTTTTGTTCCTGTTTTAGGATGCTGAGAATGATGGTTTCCAGCTTCATCCAAGTCCCTGCAAAGGACATGATCTCATTCTTTTTTATGGCTGCATAGTATTCCATGGTGTGTATGTACCACATTTTCTTTATCCATTCCATCATCAGTGGGCATTTGGGTTGGTTCCAAGAATTTGCTATTGTAAATAGTGCTGCAATAAGCATACGTGTGCATATGTCTTTATAGTAGAATGATTTATAAATCTTTTGGTATATACCCAGTAATGGGATTGCTGGGTCAAATGGTATTTCTTGTTCTAGATCATTGAGGAACCATCACACTGCCTTGCACAATGGTTGAACTAATTTACATTCCCACCAACAGTGTAAAAGTGTTCATATTTCTCCACATCCTCTCCAGAATCTCTTGTTTCCTGACTTTTTAGTGATCGCCATTCTGACTGGTGTGAGTTGGTATCTCATTGTGGTTTTGATTTGCATTTCTCTAATGACCATGATAATGAGCTTTTTTTCATATGTTTTTGACCACATACATGTCTTCTTTTGAGAAGTGTCTTTTCATATCCTTCGCCCACTTTTTGATGGGGTTGTCTGTTTTTTTCTTGTAAATTTGTTTAAGTTCCTTGTAGATTCTGGATATTAGCCCTTTGTCAGATGGGTAGATTGCAAAAATTTTCTCCCATTCTGTATGTTGCCTGTTCACTCTGACATAGTTTGTTTTGCCAGGCAGAAGCTCTTTAGTTTAATTAGATCCCATTTGTCAACTTTGGCTTTTGTTGCCATTGCTTTTGATGATTTAGTCATGAAGTCTTTGCCCATGCCTATGTCCTGAATGGTACTGCCTAGGTTTTCTTCTAGGTTTTTTATGGTTTGGGGTTTTACATTTAAGTCTTTAATTCATCTTGAGTTAATTTTTGTATAAGGCATAAGGAAGTGGTCAAGTTTCTGTTTTCTGCCTATGGCTAGCTAGTTTTCCCAGTACATTTATTAAATAGGAAATCCTTTCCCCATTGCTTGTTTGTGTCAAGTTTGTTGAAGATCAGATGGTTGTAGATGTGTGGTGTTATTTCTGAGGTCTCTGTTCTATTCCTTTGGTCTATTCGATTTGGTACCAGTACCATGCTGTTTTGGTTACTGTAGCCTTATAGTATAGTTTGAAGTCAGGTAGCATGATGCCTCCAGCTTTGCTCTTTTTGCTTAGGATTGTCTTGGCTATACAGGCTCCTTTTTGTTCCATATGAAATTTAAAGTAGTTTTTTCTAATTCTGTGAAGAAAGTCAATGGTAGCTTGATGGGGATGGCATTGAATCTATAAATTACTTTGGGCAGTATGGCCATTTTCACAATATTGATTCTTCCTATCCATGAACATGGATTTTTTTTTCATTTGTTTGTGTCCTTTCTTATTTCTTTGAGCAGTGGTTTGTAGTTCTTCTTGAAGAGGTCCTTCTTGTTCCTTGTAAGTTATATTCCTAGATATTTTATTCTCTTTGTAGCAATTGTGAATGGGAGTTTATTCATGATTTGGTTCTCTGCTTGTTTATTGTTGGTGTATAGGAATGCTCGTGATTTTTGCACATTGATTTTGTATCCTGAGACCTTGCTGAAGTTGCTTATCAGCGTAAGGAGTTTTTGGGGTGAGATGATGGGGTTTTCTAAATATACAATCATGTCATCTGCAAACAGAGACAATTTGTCTTCCTTTCTTCCTATTTGAATACACTTTATTTCTTTTTCTTGCCTAATTTCCCTGGCCAGAACTTCCAATACTATATTGAATAGGAATGATGAGAGAGGGCATTCTTGTCTTGTGCCCGTTTTGAAAGAGAATGCTTCCAGGTTTTGTCCATTCAGTATGATATTGGTTATGGATTTGTTATAAATAGCTTTTATTGAGATACGTTCCGTCAATACCTAGTTTATTGAGAGTTTTTAACATGAAGTAATGTTGAATTTTATCAATGGCGTTTTCTGCATCTATTGAGATAATCATGTGGTTTTTGTCATTGGTTCTGTTTATGTGATGGAATACGTTTATTGATTAGCGCATGTTGAACCATCCTTGTATTCCAGGGATGAAGCTGACTTGATCACGGTGGATAAGTTTTTTGACATGCTACTGGATTTGATTTGCCAGTATTTTACTGAGGATTTTCACATCGATGTTATTCAGGCATATTGGCCTGAAATTTTCTTTTTTTGTTGTGTCTCTGCCAGACACAGGATGCTGGCCTCATAAAATGTATTAGGGAGGAGTCCCTCTTTTTCTTTTGTTTGGAATAGCTTCAGAAGCAATGGTATCAGCTCCTCTTTGTACCTCTGATAGAATTCCTCTGTGGATCCATCTGGTCCTGGGCTTTTTTGGTTGGTAGGCTATTAATTACTGCCTCAATTTCAGAACTTGTTATTGGTGTATTTAGAGATTTGACTTCTTCCTGGTTTACTCTTGGGAGGGTGTATGTGTCCAGGAATTTATCCATTTCTTCTAGATTTTCTAGTTTATTTGTATAGAGGTGTTTATAATATTGTCTGATGGTAGTTTGCATTTCTGTGGGATCAGTGGGATATCCCCTTTATCATTTTTGATTGTGTCTATTTGATTCTTCTCTCTTTTCTTCTTTATTAGTCTAGCTAGTGGTCTATTTTTGTTAATCTTTTCATAAAAACAGGTCCTGGATTCATTGATTTTTTTGAAGGGTTTTTTGTAGGTCTATCTCCTTCAGTTCTGCTCTGATCTTAGTTATTTCCTGTCTTCTGCTAGGCTTTGAATTCATTTGCCCTTGCTTCTCTAGTTCTTTTAATTTTGATGTTAGGGTATAGCTTTGAGGCCCTTCCAGCTTTCCAATGTGGGCATTTAATGGTATAAATTTCCCTCTTAATACTACTTTACCTGTGTCCCAGAGATTCTGGTACATTGTTTCTTTGTTCTCATTGGTTTCAAAGAACTTCTTAATTTCTGCCTTAATTTTATTATTTACCCAGGAGTCATTCAGAAGCAGGTTGTTCACTTTCCATGTAGTTGTGCAGTTTTGAGTTCTAATTTGATTGCATTGTGGTTGGAGAGACTGTTATGATTTCCATTCTTTTGCTTTTGCTTAGAAGAGTTTTATTTCAAATTATGTGGTCAATTTTAGAATAAGTGCCATGTGGTGCTGAGAAGAATGTATATTCTGCTGATTTGGAGTGGAGAGTTCTATAGTTGTTTGTTAGGTCCACTTGCTCCAGAGCTGAGTTGAAGTCCTGAATATTGTTATTAATTTTCTGTGTTGTTGATCTGTCTAATATTGACAGTGGGGTGTTAAAGTCTCTTACTATTATTGCATGGAAGTCTAAGTGTCTTTGTAAGTCTCTAAGAACTTGCTCTATGAATCTGGGTGCTCCTATGTTGGGTGCATGTATATTTAGGATAGTTAGCTTTTCTTGTTCCATTGATCCCTTTACCATTATGTAATGCCCTTCTTTGTCTTTTTTGATCTTTGTTGGCTTAAAGCCTGTTTCTTCATAGACTAGGATTGCAACTCCTGCTTTTTTTTGGGCTTTCCATTTGCTTGGTAAATATTCCTGCATCCCTTTATTTTGAGCCTATGTGTGTCTTTGCACGTAAGATTGGTCTTCTGGATACAGCACACCAATGGGTCTTGAGTCTTTATCCAATTTGCCAGTCTGTGTCTTTTAACTGGGGCACTTGGCTCATTTACTTTTAAGGTTAGTATTTTTATGTGTGAATTTGATCCTGTCATCTTGATGCTAGCTGGTTATTTTGCACATTAGTTGATGCAGTTTCTTTATAGTGTCATTGGTTTTTATATTTTGATGTATTTTTGCAATGGCTGGTACCGATTTTTCCTTTCCATATTTAGTGCTTCCTTCAGGAGCTCTTGATTTGGCTGTTGATACTTGTGTATGCTTCATGAAGTTCTCATGCTGTGTTTTTCAGCTCCATCAGGTCATTTATGCTCCTCTCAAAACTGGTTATTCTAGTTAACAGTTCCTGTAACCTTTTATCAAGGTGCTTAGCTTCCTTGCATTGGGTTCGAACATGCTCTTTTAGCTCAGAGGAGTTTGTTATTACCCACCTTCTGAAGCCTACTTCTGTCAAATCCATCTCATTCTTTGTCCAGTTTTGTACCCTTGCTGGAGAGGAGTTGTGAATATTTAGAGGAGAAGTGGAATTGTGGTTTTTGGAATTTTCAGCATTTTCGCACTGGTTTTTCCTCATCTTCATGGATTTATCTACCTTTGATCTTTGAGGCTGATGACCTTTGGATGGGGTTTTTGTGTGGGGGTCTTTTTTGTTGATGTTGTTGTTGCTTTCTGTTTGTTAGTTTTTCTTTAACAGTCAGGCCTCTCTTCTGCAGGTCTGCTGCAGTTTGCTGGAGGTCCACTCCAGAACTTGTTCACCTAGGTATTACCAGTGGAGGCTGCAGAACAGCAAAGATTGCTTCTTACTCCTTCCTCTGGAAGCTTTGTCCCAGAGGGGCACCAGGCTAATGCTAGCCGGATCTCTCCTGTATGAGGTTTCTATCGACCCCTGTCAGGAGGTCTCTCACAGTCAGGAGACACAGGGGTCAGGGACCCACTTGAGGAGGCAGTCTGTCCTTTAGCAGAGCTGGTGCACTGTGTTGGGAAAATCCTCCTTGTCAGGATCAGCTGTTCTCTTTAGAGCCGGCAGGCAGGAGAGATTAAGTCCACAGAAACTGCGGACTTAACCACAGCCACCCCTCCCCCTAAGTGCTCTGTCCCAGGAAGATGAGAGTTGTATCTGTAAGCCCCTGACTGGGGCTGCTGCATTTCCTTCGAAGATGTCTTGCCCAGTGAGGTGGAATCTAGAGAAGCAGTCTGGCCACAGCTGCTTTGCCATGCTGTGGTGAATTCAGCCCAGTCCAAACCTTCCAGTGCCCTTAGCACTGTCAGGGGAAGACAGCCCACTAAAGCCTCAGTAATGGCCGATGCCCCTCCCCCTAGCAAGCTCAATGGTCCCAGGTTGACTCTGGACTGCTGTGCTGGCAGTGAGAATTTCAAGCCAATGGTTCTTAGCTTGCTGAGCTCTGTGGGAGTGGGACCTGCTGAGTGAGAACACCTGGCTCCCTGGCTTCATCCCCCTTTCCAGGGGAGTGGACTGTTCTCCTGTCTCGGTGGGTTTCCAGATGCCACTGGGATACGAAAAAACTCCTGCAGCTAGCTTGGTGTCTGCCCAAACAGCCGCCCAGTTTTGTGCCTGAAACCCAGGGCCCTGGTGGTGTAGGCTCACCAGGGAATCTCCTGATCTGCGGATTGCAAAAATCTGTGGGAAAAGCGTAGTACCCAGGGCAGGTAGCACAGTCCTTCATGGCTTCTCTTGGCTGGGCGAGGGAGGTCCTCTGGCTCCTTGCATTTCCTGGGTGAAGTGAAGCCCCACCCTGCTTCTGCTCACTCTCTGTGGGTTGCACCCACTGCCTAACCAGACCCATTGAGATGAACTGGGTACCTCAACTGGAAATGCAGGAATCACCCTCCTTCTGCACTGGTCTTGCTGGGAGCTGCAGACCAGAGCTGTTCCTATTTGACCATCTTGGTCCCTCTCTCGCCAGATGCCCTCTTTTAAAAATTCTTAAATGTATTTGCAGTATCAAAGTTGAGACTACTTTTCTTCTCCTTTACAGCCTTTTCAATATCACCATCTCCCTAAGTATGCAGTTACAAGAGGTAACTTCTCTCTGTATCTTATCTAAGGAAACTGAGAGCAGTTAGCTTCTTTGGTATGAGGAAAATGGGTTCAAGTCTAGCAGTTCCTATTTAAAGACCTTTCCTTAGCTAATGCTTTTCTTTAATCAAATCACCGCCCCTTAGATTCTAAAGGAAACAACCATTATCCTAATTTCAGGAATGTTTTATTTTTCTTTGTTTTTGGCTGAAGATCCATAATTTTGACTGTCTAATATGAAGCAGGTATTTTCCAATACTTCTCTCTCAGAACCAAATACTTGTTTTCTCCTCATATCTCCTCTTGTCTTCTCTCCTTTTCCTTCCCTTTTACCTCTTCCCTCTTCTACCCTTTTCCTTCTTTCCCTTTTTCTTTCTCTCCCATTTCCTCCTTTCCTTCTTCCCTCTTTCTTTTCCTTTGTTTGTTCACGTGACAGAGGTGGAAAGAGGATGACACATTAGGAAGACTGAGAAACTATCCCATTTGTGGCCACCTAGAAACCAGAAGTTACTAAGATCTAGCACTAATCAATTTCTTCTCAAAGTACCGATTTACCTTGTATTAACATGGCTTTCAAGATACTCTTTAGACTAGTGTTCCCCTCTTACTTTCTGAATGAAGACTATTTATGTTTTCACTTGAGGAGGTGACCCTGAGAGATTAGGGTATATAGTCATAAGTTACTTTTTTAAATTATAGCTTTATAGAGATAAAATTCACTTACTATAACATTCACCAGTTTGTAGTATGCAGTTCAATGGGTTTTAATATACTCACAGCGTTGTGCAAACGTCTCCACTCTTTAATTGCTTTATTTCTTCAACCTTCTACAAACTAAGTATCTATTAATAGACATTTTCCTTTGCTTTCTTCTCCCAGAAACTGCCAATCTACTTTCTGTCTTTATAAATTTACCTACTCCAGACATACATTTTCTATAAGTGGAATAATATAATTGTGACTTTTGATTTTTTATTTTAATTTTGTGATTTTGTGACTGGGCTTTTGTGACTGGCTTCTTTCACTTAGCAAAATATTTTGAGGTTCATTCATATTATAGCTTGTATCAATACTTCATTCTTTTTATTGCCACATATATTCCATTCTATAAAGTTACCATATCTTTTTTTTCTACTTATCAGTTATAGCCGCTTTTAGGATGTCATTAATAATGTTGCTATGAACATTTATGTACAGGTTTTGTGTATATATGTGTCTTTAATTCTCTTGGGTATATACTTAGGCTTAAAAGTGTTGCATCATATGGTATGTCTATGTTTAATTGCCAAACTGTTTTCATAAGTGGCTGAATCATTTTACAATCCTACCAGAAATGTATGAGGGAAACAATTTCTCGACAGCCTTGTCAACACTTACTATTGTCCATCTTTTTTATTTTAGCGATGTCAGTGACTATGAAGTGTGTCTTGTGGTTTTGATTTGCATTTTTCTGTTGATTAATAATGTTTAACATCTTTTCATGTGTTTATTAGCCATTTGTATATAATCTTTGGATGAATGCATATTCACATTCTTTGTTCATTTTTGAGTTGTTTGTCTTTTTTAATTGTTGAGTTGTAAGAGTGCTTTGTATATTCTGTAATATAAGTTCCTTATCAGATATATGATTTGCAAGCATTTTCTTCCATTTTATGTTTGTCTTTTCACTTCCTTGATGGTATCTTTTGAAGCATGAATTTTAATTTTGATGAAGCCCACTTTATTTATTTATTTATTTGTGTCACTTGTACTTTGGGTGACAGATCTAAGGAATCAGAGCCTAATCCTTAGAAGTTTCTCTCATGTCTTTAAAAACACATATACATAAAATAGGATGGTTTGCAATTTCTAAGCAGTTCTTGTCAGGCTTCAATGGCTTCCAGACAAAGTTTTGGCTGTGCTAGCAAAGAAGTGTTAAAATCTTATTTTCATAGCTAGCCGGTGGTGTGAGGAGGGCACAGCTGCTAGGCATTTGGACACTGCAGCAATTGCTTTAATTGGACATTCCTCACCCCTCTAGTCTGACTTGTTAATGGCTTTTTAAGTGAGACACACCAGCCAAGTGAATTAGACTATTTGGCAAGTCAATTCCTGCTCACTTGGAAGCGTTAATCCATGGAAAGTAAGCAGAGGCCTTCAGCCAGGAGGAAACCTGAATTTCATTTGCAGAGGTGAAAGAGAAAGAACTATTGTCTGCAGTCTCAGGAGTTTCCAAGTACACTTCCAAGGGCTGACTGGAAGAAAGGTCTTCTTATCTAACTGGCTCTCTCTCTCTCTCAACCCCACTTTTTCAATTCAGCACATATTTATTTTTCCCTTCAACATGGCTATGAAGCATACAAGTGAGGTCTGTCGTGGTGCCTGCCCTGTGAAGCATCTATGCATG
Source organism: Homo sapiens (assembly GCF_000001405.40). Classification (NCBI taxonomy): domain Eukaryota; kingdom Metazoa; phylum Chordata; class Mammalia; order Primates; family Hominidae; genus Homo; species Homo sapiens. The sequence continues at coordinate 76,250,780 of NC_000001.11, forward strand.
AGAAACAGGAGAAAAATACACATACAAAATAATTAGCAATAATTTGCTAATAATGTAATCTATTTTCTGTTCACTCCTTGACTTAGCATATTCTGACTTCAGTCAACCACTCTACTTAAATTGTTCTCTTAAAAAACAATGACACTCACCAGTAACCTCTTAGGTATCAAACTTGATGATTTTCAAAATCTGCATTTGTAGCTTCGACCTTTCTTCTGGGCTTCATCCTGAATTTCCCCGGCCTGTCACACATCTTTACATAGAAATCCCAGCAGCACATCTTTCACACATTGAAAGTCAAACTTCTCCTACCCTTTTTTTTTATCGCCTTTTCCACCTTCAACAATGTATTCTCCTCCTCTGATCATGGCTAAACAACTACTTTAATTAGCAAATTCTCCCATTATCACCCGCATGTCACTAGTTTTAGTCCATTTACGTGACTTCCTTTCTATTCCCACTCCTTCGTGTAAACTTTCTCTTTCCTAAATAATACAAGTTAAGGCCTCTTCCACACCCAACTTCTCTAATCCTTTGTCTACATTTTGGCTAGAATCATTTTTCAAAACCACAAACTTTATCCTGCCAGTTCTTTTTTCACACATCTTCAGTTATTCTTCAGTGCCTGGAGAATAAGGTCGAAATCTTTGAGCTGCTTTTGTAGACCTGCTCATTCTTGCCTCAACCTCTCTTTCTAGCCTTGTCTCACATAGCACTAAACCCTTCACTGTTCTCTCCTCACATCATGGTCATCTGTACATCCACTCTCTTTCCTCTCCCTGAAATACCCTTTCTTTTGACTGTTTGGTAAACTCTTAGTCATTCTATAAGTTCCCCAATCCAAAGTGAACTTGGAAAGTCTTCCTTGAGATCCACGGCAACTTGCGTAGACTTCTGTTATGATTCTTATCATACTTCTTTGTGCACAAATTTTTCTCTTGCTCCAATCCCTTACTCTTGTCTCCTCTGATGCATTTTTCAATCTCTTGCTCTTGTTTATTCCTTTCTCAAACTCTCTCTACACCATACCTCCATCTATAAACCGTTCTGCTCCTAGATAAGCAGGGACTGTCCTGCCTGTGCACCTTGCTTAGTGCCTCACTCAGAAGATACGCTCCTTAAAGGGCCTAAGGAAGGAATTTGCTGAACTAATTATGATTAAAACTATGATTAAATCTCACCCATCTAAAGGCAAACATGCTCAGGTTTCAAATTAGTCTGAAGTGTGGTTTAAGGGGCTTTTTAAATGTGACAGTTTTTGTTGTTGTTGTTGATAGATGGTGGGGAGCGTTGGTATGGTGGGAAAAAAACCAGAAAAACCAAATGTGAGGAATTTAGTGATGCAGAATTGCTGATGGAGGGCCAGAGGCCATCCCTGGAGTGGCTCATCTGACCCTGTATACGATGTTCGTTTGGATGGGTGGCTGTATTGTAATAGTCACTTGGACACTGGCTTTAGAAGTCAGAAGAGATTTGACTCAAGGCTTTTATAATATGTCTCTTTCATGGTCATCTGCCTAACTTATCTGAACTTCAGAATCTACTACTGTTATATAAATGACCTCCCCCCAACCTTGAGGGTTTTGTGGGAATAAATAGGATAATGCTTATGTTGTGTTTAGTCAAGTTCTTTCATGTGGCAAGCACTTACCAAGTGGGAGCTATTTCATGTTTACGTTTAAAAAAGTGTGTATCTGTTATCTAACCAGCCTGGGAAAATACAGATGATATTTCTATTATATTTTACCAGTTCCCTTGAGGATGGCCCCCCCTTTTTTTTTTAAATTTCTTGGGCTGGGGACCAAGCTCTCATTCCTGAATGCTATGAGTACTGAGAGAGATGTGCTGTCAAAGCCAATGAACGGCAGTTGTACACACTGACATTTTTTCAGAATTTGTCCTTGGGGGTATTTAAGCAGCAATGTCCAAGACTGTAAACACAGCTGAGAAATGCTGTTATTACATTTAAGAATCTCTTTTCTGTAATATTAAGACATCTTGATTTAATTGGTAAGCCGCTCTGTGATAGCATTCAATTTAAATGAGGTTTGTCGAGTGGAGAATCATAAGGCAATCTCTCATGGACCAAGGATTGCTGATGAGGTCTACCTTATTGCCATGTGTCAGAAATTAAATCACTGTCTATTATCATGAACCAGTCAATCAGATTCTCTTTTTGATTAGAATGCACTAGTGGGGGAGGTAGAGAAGTGAGAATTTAAAAGAATTTTACCACTTCCATATTGTGTTGCTTACTTCATGGTATTAGAAATGCTGTTGGCTCACTATACTAGAATATTATCAACCAGTATTTTCATAGGAAACAAAAATATAGACATACACACATATATACACTAAAAGAATGGAAATCTGAAGGAAATAGAGAGGAAAATATAATTTTGTCTTTAAAAAATCCCAGAAGCCCTTAGACTCCCATGATTAGGATTATATTCAACTTATACATTCTTCTGTGTCATTCTTCCTTCAGTAAATTAGGAACAACTAATATGCTCTGCCTCCTTTCTGAATAAGGAAGTATAAATGGATGTTACTGAATTCCCTCAAGTCCTGGGCAAATACACTATCACAATGTCTTTGGTTTGCATGAAGATGGAGGCGCTCATTTATAATGTGAAGCCTTTCACCGTTAAAGCTTCACGTGAACCCGAACTGACACAGAATCAAAGCTTTCATGAGAGCAAGATGGAAAGAGATTATGTCAACACACCCCATCCCAAAATGTTGTAAAGTGCCAGACTTCTTAGGGTATTCCATGACACTGCTAGAATGTTTCTCATATTCAGTCACGTAGATCATTCTTTTACTATTTGTTTTCTTTTAGATGAGTTCAATTGGAGCCTGCCCGCTATGGAAAATTATTGATGCAATTACATTAATCCTGATCACCATGGTGATGTATAGTTATAAAATTGGCTTAAAATACTGTAAGGCAGGAAAACTAGGCAACCTTAACTCTTTTAGCACAGGTGGCCCTCTTTGCAGAGCATTCTGACTTTCTTAGTTTCCAATATTCTAGCAGATGGCATGGGTAGTTGGGCACAATCAATTTTCTTGCATTGCCTCACATCTTCCAGTGAGATTTTGCGGAAGAATGGTGTGTGCACCACAGATCTTGGGATCATTCAAAGGATTCTCAAAGCTCCTCAATGGCCAATCAGCAGTGAAGAGGGAAATGGTGGTAAATGAGGTAGAAGCCCTCTGTGAATGAAGTAATGTTCTGGAAGGGGCTATGCATTTGGATTTTCATTCTGGTAATTTTCTCTATGACCTTGGAAAATGACTTTATTTCTTCGCTTTTGCAGATGGAATGAATTATAAAAATGGTTCTGTGAAACCTTGAAACCATAAAATGCTATACAGATGCTAAATATACAGAATTTAGCACGCGATTTTCCTCTGTTCTTAGGACAGTTACTATTTCTAGATCCAAGTGGATCAGGGAAGAATAGTGCTCTAATGCTCTGAGAAGGAAACGAGTGTTAAGCTGGATACTGGTGTGCTTAGCTGCAATTAAGGAAGCTGCTGTGGAATTAGTGACTCACCCTTCATCAGGATGGAAAAACTGTCTCATGCCGTGTTTTTGATTTCTCTCCCCTATTCAGTTTGTTTGAAGTCTCTTTTGTGATAGGAGAAAATGACAATTACTCTCCTCTTGTGTTTCCATTTTTGGTAAGCAGTGGGCAGAGTTTACATTGGATGAAATTTCAAAAGCTGTTTTTATGAAAAATCACTTCCTCTGAACAATGGGAAAATGGTGAGAGAGAGACGATAGTTGGCTTTTAGTCTACCAGGTTCAACCTCCTGCAAAAGCTGAATTCAAGACTGCCCTATAGGCATTGGGAATCTAGTTAATGCCACTATCTGCCTGTGAATTTCCTGCCTTAAACTGTCTCGGATTATACATTAAGCTGGTTTTTTTTCCCCTATAATGTGTCAGAAAACAAAAATTCAACAAACTGAGCTTACAGATCTAATTGGCTTTTATTAGTGATTCATGAATCCGTTCGCATCCCATCTGTGAAGCAACAAGGGCCTCTTCAGGGTGTGGCAGAAGAGTGGTTTTCATAAGGCAACTTGAGCAGGAACAATGAAACAGCAAGTGCAAAAAATGATTGGTTAACATCATATTACTTCAGGTTACTTTCCTTGTATAGGCTAAAGCACAGGAGGCTTCCTTATCATCCTGGTTCAGCTAGCCTTCTGCGTGGTTTCTGCAAATCTCTCTCTCTCTTTTTTTTTTTTTAAACTGGCCCATTTGTAAGTTCAGTTTGATTATGTGGCACCTAGCACAAGTGACACCATTCTGGTTTGGTCTGGTCTGTTAGAGCCAGGAGCCTAGTCCAAAACATTGGCATCCCATAAATTTTATTCAATGAATGTTTCCTATACCCCTGTGTCAATTTCATCTCCTACATGAATCCATCCCCCTCCCTTTCCCTGGCCCCTTATACTAACTGAGTTGTTTGCGCTTGGGAGGAATACAAAGTATTTTCAATACATGGCTAGCATGAACAAATTATAGTTAAATGATACATTTTGTAGAAAAAGCAATGCACACTGAGGTCATTTGCCTGCAGATGTTAAATTATCTGCTTTTTTGTGTTACTATATATGCTGTAGCACTTATCCACTGGTGTAAATAAGAAAGTCAATTGAACTCTCTCTGTCTGGAGAGAGAGAAAATGAGATTGAGAATAAAGTCTTGCAGAGGTTGCAGATGGCCCTGTAAGGCTGAATTCAGCCCTTGCGTATATTTTGTTCAGTTGGTACAAAGTTAAATTTAAATGCAGTTAAGTGGCTTTCAAATGCACTTTGCTACAGTCCCCACTGCTCCTTAGTGTCTTATGCCCTATATGTTTCACTACTTTGTTGCCTACGTAGTTTCTGAATGAACTTGAACTTGCAACCCCTCGTTTAAAAACTTGTTCCTGTTATGAAACTGTGGGTGCTTATGCTAAGGACTTAATCTTTCTCTCTTGCGTGGGAGGAAAGGATATCTATAACAGAACAATAATTGTAAACTAGAAGAGTAGAAAAAAGGATGAAAGAAAAGGGCAATATAAAAGGCAGGAAAAGTAGGGGTATAAGAAAATAAAATAAAGATCAAATACATTTATTACTATGAGAGCTTCTATGCGGGAAAAGGAAAAACAAAGTATAATAATACAAGGCAACCACATAATTAAATAATTTTTTCAAAAGACTGTCAGTGGTAACACACACACACACACACACACACACAATTAGGAAAAGCTACAAAAGAGCCCCAAGTCTAACTTGGCAAAATTGAAAGTATGTGATAGTTTTAAAATAAAAATTAAAATACTTTAAACTAGTTTAAAAATATATCTCTACTTCATGTACATCTGCACTGTTTGACATGTTATAAGAAGTGCTAAATTATCTTAATAATTTAAGAAGAAAAGAAAAGTAATGGTCTTCCTTCTCTCTCTCCAATTCTAATTCCTTGGAATAGTCGTTTCTAAATAGATTGCAGATATGTTCACTTTTCAACATTGCTTATATAAGAGAAGGCAAGGTATTTAGAATTTTTCTTGATCATAACAAAAAGACACTGAAACTCAGAGGCAGCAAGAGGCCCCATTATGGGGGCAAAGAGTAGCAGTGGAAATGAAAGTGAGTTCCTGAACAAGTTGCTTCCAACAGGGTAGGTGTATTTTGAAGTGGCGTTGTAAGTGGCACCCTACTGCTTCCATGAGTTTAAATTGTATCAACTGAATATAAAGTATAAGCCAATTTTAAAATGAGAATTTGTAGAATTCATGTGATTAGATTAGAGGTTTTTAAAAAGTAATATTTGAATTTTGCCAGGGGGGTGGGGTGGGGTATGTATTATGTGTTCACGGGATGACAGCAGATATCTTCAAGGAAGTGGTTTGGAGTACATTAAGTTCTGAACACATAAAATGACTTTTTTTTTTTTTCCTTTTTGGTCTTCAGGAGACTTGAGAAAACAAGTGCTGTGTAAGTTATAAACAGGATGAATGGAATAGTGATTTCACAGGAGTTAGAAAAATACTCCAGTCACAAAAGTTAAAATTAGAGTAATCTGAGGCATTCTCAGTACTTTGGATACCCTGTCCACATTCAGGGCTACTGATTATATTTCCAAAGAAACTTATAAAACCAGATGTCTAGCTGGCAATTGGTTTTGATGAATCTCCAAATCTCAGCAATGAGAAAATTTGACAGTTGTCAGACAGCAGCTAGCTATTACGAGTGAGCCAGGGAATTTTCTTATCTGTTACAAGTATAGAACCATTACAGGGAGATACTGCATCATAGTGTCATGTTTATAAAGAAGGCTTCAGAGCACATGGTTTAATCCCCAAATTTCTAAGAATGACAGTTCATTTTCTTGGATGTTGAAAGGTGCTTTAATACCTATACAACATGAAGATGGTTTTATTATCACCAATCAAAATGTCTTGGTATTTCTTAATTTAAACAAATTCATTTTATAGGAATTACATTGCTGAGAATTCACACCATGACACTGACGGGACTTATAATAGTGGTTCTAAAGCCTGCATGTGCGTCAGAATAATTTGGGGATTTGAGGTGACTTGTTAAATGTACAGTCACTGGGTAGCCCCCTGTAAGATTCTGATTTAGTACATTTGGGGTGGAATCCAGGCATCTACATTTTTAAAAAGCACCATGGCCAATTCTGAATCATGGTCGGGTTTGAAAAGCACTAAGTTTGGGCAGGCCTGATTTATTTCAAAGAATTTTCAAGCATATTTAGTTGTGCCGTTCAGTAATAGTAGCTTCTCTTATTACTGTGTGTATCCCAGTAAATCTCTTCCCCATTTACTCTTTCATCGCCCCACTTTGGGTTCTTCTGCTCTGCCGCCATCTATTTGGCCTGTACCCACTGTTCACTAATGAAAGCCCGTAGCTTCTAAAATGGGCCAAGATTCACAGTTGATATAAGCTGAGAAAGACTGACAAGTTATTCTGCCGAATGATACTGGAAAAAAGAATAGGATAGAGGGCTAATGATGTTATTTTATTTTTGTCCGGTATCTTTACACCCTTAGTTGCTTTTTCATTTGTCAAATGGAATCTCATGTGGAATCTCGCTCTATAAAGCAGATGAAAAAATGTGGACCCAGTCTGGCTGCCAGTCCTGCCCACTTGGTTTCCCTCTGACTCAGACACTGGTATCCCAGGCCCCTTTGTCTCATGTGCCCCTGAAAACTGCTGTGACATTTAAGCTTTTGTGTCTCACATAAAGGCAATAAGCATATTGCAAGGTTTTCTTTTCTTCAGGTTTCAATACTCTAACAGATATGTTCTCAAAGTAGAATTAGTCCTTGGTTAAAATGAGTCACATGTAATCTAAAGTGTTTTTCCTCATAAACCCATCTCCAGCTTTTATGGTGAAATTCAATTGTAAAATAAGATGAGGTGTTAAGTTTAATTTTTTTGAAGAAGACGTTCATTCCATAAATATTTATCAAGCACTCTCTAGTTATGACATAATTCAGTTTCTAACGTACAGTACACCTCTTACAAAATTGCATAATCTTTAAACTGAAAGGCCAAATATCTTCATCAAATACTGCTTCTTCAGATCTTTGCTTCCTCAGCTCTTTAAAGAAATGGGCACCTTTGGCATGGATGGGTTTATATCCAGATGATAATTCCAGAGCCATCAGGGTTTCAGTTTTTGCTGGCAAAGAAATCAATTTTATTGCTACTCGAAGGCTCCCCTGGGATGAAGCAATATTGGAGGAGGCAATGCATTCTAGAATGTCAACTTTCAGAGGTTTGGAGTTTGCTCAAAAAATAAATGATCTCTGACTTGATTAAACTTCTTTTGAGTTCCTACTATATATAAGGGCCTGTGGAAGGGCTGGGTACCCCGGCATTGTAAGATGTGACTGCAGCCCTCAAGGGGTTTGCAGTCTAGCTGGAAAGAAGGATCTGGCAATAAGAAAGCACAGTGAGCCCAAATGAAGTGTTCAGATTCCACATACTACATACAGAATGCATCATGTAATTGAAGAAATAGAAATCACCAGGTTACATGGCAGACCTAAAAAAATTCAGCAAGTCTTTTTGAATGTACTTGTGACTGTCAACATTTACATTGTCCAAAATTTTCTTGTCAGGTGAGGGCATCAAAGAACTCTTAAACGCTTTCAAATGTGGTGGGAGCATCTTGCTTCTGTGAGAAGATTTATATTCTCCCTACCTTCTCAATTCTGTTTCCCTATCTTATATGCTATAAACAAAACCTCGCTCACGAAAATAAAAGATGAATGCATGTTCTGAAAGAATACAGAATCATGACAGCTGAAATGGTCATGGTTTCTTTTAGGAGATGAAAAAATTAAATACACAGGTGAAAACATTAGAATGCAATTCTCTAGGTTACCATATGCTTACAAAAAATCAAAAGGAGCTGCAGAAATGGAAATTTCTAATGACAGAAGAAATCAAACAGCAGATACAGTAGAGACTTTAGAGATAAATGGGTGTCAATAGTGGTAAGAACACAGGTTCAGAGGAGATCCAATGTTCCATCTAAATCCTGGTTCTGTCACTGAGTGGGAATGATTACTTGATCTTTCTGTGTCCTCGTTTCATGTGACAATATCTATCACATGCAGTGTTGGGTAAAACACTTAGCATAATGCCTGGCACCCAGTCAATGTGCAATAAATGTTGGCTATTATCATCATCACCACCTCCATCATCATCATTCTCTAATAAAAGTTAAGCCCTTCTCTCTGTTGAATACACCCATCAGTTAATACCAGTGGCTCCTTTTAAATAGCTTAAAAGCAACCAACATTCTATAGATTTCAGTGGGGAAGATTGTAAGTGAAATGGGTGTTGTGACCTTTCTTGAAAATAACCCTTCTCTCTATTAGTATATAAATGCTAGTGCTGAGTACACATACTCTGAAGTTGAACTTAATTAATTTGGGGCAGTAGCATTTTCACTGTTGATGAGCTTGTATTTATTTTCTTTGGTTTACAAAGCAGCTGGTGTTGTCCAAAAATTTAGAAACCCCTTTCCAAAATTTAAATGACCCCCTTCATTCCCTTCATTTACACTGTTGTTCTAGAACCTGGGATGACACTCTGCAGGGTGAATGGAGACTGGTCCCTCTGTCTTCTTTTCCATCTCTCTTGCTTTAGTTTTGCTTTCTTCTTCTTCTTTTTCTTTTTCTTTTTCTGACTGAAGCATGGAATAACTGGCTGGTGTTCATTGAGCTAATTTCCTTACCTGCTTCAGGGCCTTTGAACCCAAAGACCTGTAGGTGATCTGTGACTATGGCAAGCAGGAAGCCTTGGGGACCACTCTTCACATTTGGAGTAATCCTGGTTTGAAAATGTGTGAGGGAAGCCAGGCAGGCAGAGAGCACTATGTGGCTGCTGAGTTAGAAAATGCTGAAATGGAAAGATGCTGGAATAGAAAATCAAATGCCATTTATTCATTGGCCTACACTTTCACTAGTACCTTCCTGGCAGCCTTAAGCGTATTCTTTGTGGTGGTGGCCTTTTGAATGTCAATCTGTGGAAGGACTTCTGTTTTTAGCAAAGGCTGATCTTTAAGGCAATTAGGTAACAGTTAAAGTAATAGTCCCCAGTTATTGAACACTTGCTATGTACAGGGTACTGTGCTCAGCACTTTCCACTATTTCATTCAATCACAACAACAGCCCTATGAGATAGGGTATTATTATCATCAGTTTGTAGTTGAGGAAATTGAGGTTAAGGGATAAGTGACTTCCCCAAGGTCACAGGAAGTAAGTCGTGGAGATGAGATATGAACCTAGCCTTTCTGATTTCAAAGCTTGTGCTGTTAACCACTTTGCTATACTTCCTCATGTGTGTTTAATAGGGTCCAGTTTCTACTGAAAGGATATTTTAATTTTGTGATAAAACAGGACAGGCCTAAAAAATTAGGTGCAGACTCTGAATAAATTTAATATATCTACCCATCTCTCTTATTCCTCTTAAGCTCACTTTAAAAAATCTCTTTTTAAAAGGAGGTTTTCTTTTTAAACCTAACAATAAACCAAGGACATCCGTCCAAGTTAATAAATATGTGCCTTTTTTAAAAAATAGAAAAAAGTCTAATTGACAAGTAAAAATTGTATATATTTATAGTGTACAATGTGAGGTTTTGATACACACACACACACACACACACACACACACACACACACGCTGTGAAATGGCCAAATCAAGCTTATTAACATATTATTAACTCAGGAGTTTATTCTTTATATTATATTCTTAAAATCTAATTGCTTTGCTATTTTTAAGTATATAGTGTTATTATTAACTATTATCTTCATGATGCACAGTAGGCCACTTGAATGTGTTCTTCCTATCCAAATGAAGTTTAGCCCCCCTCCCCACTTCAAGTATCTGTCTTTTAATGGCTACATAATATAGTTTGGATACATTATATTCAATTAGCCTTTTGTTGATTTGGATATGCCATAATCTACTCAAGCATTCCTTTATTGATGGGCTTTCAAGTTACTTCCAGTTTGTTGTCAGTTAAGTAAATTGTTTACTTGAAAGCTTCCATTGTCTGGGTCTCTACCACTATGGGACCCATTTTGAGTGTTGGTGATGCTCACACAACAAGGAGACACAAGCCCGGAGTTGAGCTCCTAGGTGAGAGAGCCATCCAGTAGCCATTCTGGTCCAAGTCCTGTCCCTACCACTTACCTGCCACGTGCCTCTGCACAAGCCATCTGGCCTCTTTTAAGTCTCAGTTTCTTCATAAGAAAAATGAGAAAAACAGTGCTGCTCTCAAAGAATGACCATGAGGACAAACAGAATAATGTGCATGCAGGGCTGAGCACAGAACCTGGCATGAAGCAGGTGCCAAACAGCAGAGCAACTGCATTGCTGGAACCCAGCAGAAACATCCTCTCACTGGAGCTTGGATGGGAGCTCTCTGAGGGCCCTAACTCCCCTCTTTTGGCCTAATGCATTATAGGGACTCCGTAAACATTTGTTAACCAAAAAATGTTTGGAAAACTACTACTGTTCTGAGCGGTATTTTTCGTTTCCTTTCTATATTTTTATTCTAACAGTCACTAAACCACATTTTGAGAGTATCTGGAATGGAGAACCTCCAGTGGTTTAAATAGTTTTACCAAGGAAATGTTTTTCACGCGGAAAGAAGACTGAGATGAAACTTATAGAGACCTTGCCTCACCCTTTCATTTGCCGAAACCATGTATTTTTGAATCTAGTGTCTGAGCTCTTAACCACTAAGTCATATTGCTTTAATAATGATGATGTGATAATAGGTACCATTTATTGAGCACTTACTGTGTCCCAGAAAAATGTGCTCAGCACGCTTTACCAATGATCCCTTAATCATCACAGTAATCCTGAGAGAAATATACCCTCATTGTCTCCATATTCTATTTGGGGAAATGGAGGCTTAAAAAGATTTACCAAATTTTCCCAGGTTAGTGGAACCAGTACTCCAACCCAGCTCTGCCTGACACCAGTGCCACTGTGCTAATTCCATGGCAGGCTGTGGTGACTATGTATTTATTGGACTCTGTTCATATGGAAAGTTGTATGCATACAGAAACAGGAACATTTGCTGTAATACTTAAGGGAGTGAAAGAGGAATGTACAGAAGGCTAAAAGAGGTGAGTATTGCTTTGTCAATTCTAATGTCTTTCTATGATGTTGATATTTGGATCATCTAAGTAAGTGCTATGATGAAAATAATATTCAAGAGGCTGGTCTGGCTGTCTGTAGAATGAGGTAGATGTAGTGAAAGCTGGAATGGAGGAAAGCAGCTAAGAAGCTATTGTAGTCGTTAGACATTGAAGTAAGGAAATGTGGAGGAGAAAGATGGCAGTGGAATTAGAGACAAATTGACAAACAAGCGGGTAGTAATTAGACCTTCATCCAATCACTTGTGGGGAGTGGGGAGCATGGTTCATCATCCTTCAGGATGGATCTGTCCCTGGAGATTGGAAACATGCACGCACACATTTCTTACTTCCACGTTCAAAACTATGGTGAGCATTCACAGCTGGTATTTCACAACCTCTTGGATTCATGTTTATTATATCCTGGATGAAGAAGCACTTCCTTTCATCTGAGGCTCACTGGGCCCAGGGTTGTGTGGTGACCTAAAGGCCGTATCTATGAGGATTTTGTCTAAGAGTACCTCAGGTAAGGGCTCTCAGGAACAGCTTCTTAGCTGAGCCACCATGCTCCAGATTTGATCTTTAATCTTATGACTATAGAGAATGAATATTTTCAGGTGACTCAGTTCAGTCTCTACCTCATGAAAATTAAATTGAAAAAACAATATAGAGATTATAGTTCAAGTCCTCTGCTACTGTTTAACTGTGTAAACTTGGGTGAATGATTTAATCTCTGTCAGCTTCAGTTTCCTCATATTAGCATGGGATGGTCCTTGTAAGATACTATGTTGGTTAAATGGGCCCACGCATGCAAAGCACCTATAGTGCTTGGGACACTGCCAATACCTAATAAATATTATATGCTAATATTTTTATGATTGAACTATAAATCATAACTACCTTATGTAATATTTTTTTATATGGGTATCAAGTCTAAAACCTCCATATCAAGAGCTTTCTGAGCCCTTTTTGTCACCTCGTCTTTCCCCTACCCCAATTCTTGTGTTGAGGTTATTGGGAAACTGCACTGTTAATCAGAAGGTAGCTCAGTTAAGTGTGGACTCAACGAAGAAAGAAGATCATTGAGATGTGTAATATTGAAGACCTGGGAAAGTGACAAAATATTTATATCCTACAATAGCAGAAGCCTTTATGTCAATGGAATTGATTTGGTTTCTCAGCTCCACTGTCTCATTCTTTTGGAGACTTCTGGGTAAACACATTTTGCTCCTCTGAACACTGTATTTCTCGAATGTTCCTCCCTGGCAGTCGCCATGTTCTTTCTGTGAATTTGTTAGAATCACTTATTAAACCAAAGTCAGGGTCACCCCTTGTGGGGCTTAGAAGTGCTTTTTTTTTTTTAAGCCTTTTATCTGTTGATGAGCTTTCGTTTCTGAATATGAATGGTATTTGGTCAAGGTAGGAAGAGGTTTGAACTAGAACAACAACTAAAAGGCACTGGATGGACAAATCATATTTAAATGTAACGGCTGTAATCAGGGAAGTTGAAATAGGGAGATAAGAGAGGTTATCCAAAGTTCTGTGTTGGTTGGATAAGACATTCACCGTTATTATTTTGTACAATATACAGAAACAATTGTCTACTCATACAGCTGGAAGGAGCCATGGAGATTACCTCTATTCCCCACATTTTACAGATGAGGAAACTTCTCAGCGAGTAGATAATAGCCTGAAATTCTATTACTTAGAGCAAGCAGGGAAAGTGTTAGGAGGGAGTTGGGGTTAGCTCTAGGCAGCCACATCAGCATAATAGTAGTGGCTTCAATTTTTCTTCATATTGCACTGAATTCATTTGTAGTAATGAACCTATCTGTCTATCTATATTATAGTCATCAAATTATCTTCAGTAACTATGTAGGTGTTATTAGTTTAAACCTTTAAGACCCATGAAAATACTTGGGTTCACCAAGCACGTCTGCCATATGCACTTAAGGAGATTCTTCACTGAATAGTAATTGTAGTAACTGCTGCCCTGCTCTTGTAATATCTTCTATAAAAATAATAATTTGCACTTCAAATGTCTCTTTCTGTGAGGTGCTCGGCGTACCTTGCAGGAATCGCTTACCTAAATCTATCCTTCAAGGTGGTGTATGGAATAGCTTCCAGTGGAGTAGCTCAGTAGGAGGAGGGAAGAGTGCTGAGAATTCCTAGAATGCAAACCTAAACCTGGGTTTGTTCAGACATAATCCTTAGTTATCACATTAGAATAACACCTTATATTTTCAAAGCTCTTTCATACTTATTGAATTAATAGAGCCATTAAACCTCTCTGAAATAGTAGTAGTGGATAGTGTGACAGGTGATTAAAACCAGATGGAGAAGCCTTTTTTGACCCTAACAACACCAAACTGATTAGTGATAAAGCCATACTTCAAGATGCTTGACTGTAACTCTAGTGCTCTTTTTTTTTTTTTTTTAACTAGATTATATTAGCTAGAGATTTTTCTTGATAAGACAGTGGTACTTTTAAGGCCTTTATTCCTCTGGATTACAAAAAAGTAAGTTACCTATTCCTGATTATATGAAGCAAGTTAACTGTTTCAGGAACATCAAGAGACCTTTACCACATCACAATAAAACTCAAGGTCATTTTGCTCCAGGAGTACTTATACAGGTGATATTTGACGGTAGTACATATCTTGAAGAGAAAAAAAGTCATTTTGGCTAGGGTAAGCACAGCTAAAGTTTGACACGGCAGCTTCAATGAATCATGCCTCTTTTTATGGCACAATTAAATTTTTTGAGACCAACTGTGATTTTATCAGCTATCCAGGTCATCTGTAGGCAGGTCATGATTGTTACATGGGGTGGTGATAATTGGTACAAGGTCATGCCCTAAGCATGTTATAGACTAGTAGCCCAGCATTGCTAATCATTTTAAATCAAGACTACAAAATTCAACTGTAGCATTTCACTTCAGAGCAAAAACATTGCATTTGCTTGTTCATGTTGCTATTTCCCTTCCCCTCCATGTCTTTCTCTCCCCAATTCTCTCAATTTGATAGGCTGTAAGAAGCTTCGTACCCACCAAATGCAACCATATTTCCCCTCAGCTCTTTATTACAAACATGCACTTTTATCAAAAATTTTTTAAAAGACTGAAAATGAGACTCAGAATCTTTTATTTATCACAGAATGGACCCTGGCTCAGCTGCTTATTGACTGCGTAACCTTGTTTGAATCAGTTTCCGTACTTAGAAAATAAGGAAAGTAATACTTGCCTCATAGAGTAATTGTAAGGATTAAATGAATATATAAAATCTCAAGCTTAGGGTCTAGAACGTAGTATTTTTTCATAAATGTAAGTCTCTGTGTTTCTCAAATAGTTGTGTGCATAGGTATCACCTACATTGCTTGTGAAAGCTTCAGATTCTTGTGCTCATTCCCGCTCCCTAAGGATTTTGGTGCATAGGACTGGTTAGGACCTAGGAATCTGCAGCTGCACAGGTAGATGGTCTGAGGATTATAGTTAGAAGTGCCATGCTGTAGGTTCAAAGCAAATGGGCTGTATAACACATTCTTCATAAATTTCTGGGTTATGGTCAAATTTCCTACGTTTTTCAGAGAAAGAAATTATAGTGTTCAGGGGGCACTTAACTGGAAATAGGTAGCAACAGAAAACTGGATGTTGTTGAATTTATTTATTAATTCACCGTATGTTATTGGGCACCTTCTCTTTGGCAAACTTTCCCATAGCTGCAGGGAACACAGTGATAAACGAGGTAGAGATGGAGGCAGAGCACTAAGTGAGTAACTCCTTTTCCTGGGAGCCCAGGGCTCTATTACCCAGGGTATGCTGTCTTCAGCATAAGGATGACTCTATCAAGTAGGTCTGTAGATACTTCCAAGTCTTTACTGCCGAAACTCTCGCCCTTGCCCTAGAAAGGTGTTGGGTCTCAAAGGGAGTTGTCTCAGAGGAAGGGCAACCTGCAGCCTTTATTTTATTGGGACCAGACCCAGCATCCCTGGCTCAGATTCAGATTTACTGTTCTTATCATCAGATGTGGAATAAAGGCTTCTGGAACAGCAGATGTGGTTTTCTACCTATGAAAGTAACATTCTCTAAAGCCTAGAGGATGGAACTTGATCTCTAGGGATAAAAGAGCAACAGTTGCTCTTAGGATCTTGTCTAACAATTGGCTTAGTAGGTGCTAACTCCAATTCTCATCTACCTGCTCCATCTTGATTTTAGCCACCCATCTAAGCTTCCACTTGCCACCCTTTCTGTGATTATGCCAGCCACCGACTGTGCTCTCTTTGGTCCCTCTTGGGGCAGAGACAATCCAGAATGTTGGGAATTACCTGAACTCTCATCTCATTTGTCTCTCCAGCCATGTGTTAGGCTCTGTGGCCACCCACAATCTCAGGCCCAGCTGTTCTGTAGGACCAGCCCTAAGTGGCCCAGAGAAATATTTTCTTTGGGTTATATCCAGTAAAAGGATATGCGGATATGCTCGGGTCTTGTTGAGAGGCAGCCTGGTAAATGGAGTGAAAACACTAGAAGCAGGCAATGCCAATGTGAAGTCCCTCTGCTCCAGCCAGCTTCCCAACCTTGGCCAAGTGCCCACTTTCTCAGGAGTATCCCACCTCCCTTCCAGACCAGAAATGCCGTAGGGCTTGACAGCCAATTTGCGCTCTCTTTCCTACATCCTGACCTCTTTGACTCAGGTCCCGGAACTTTTGATCCGCAATTATGAATCTCAATATACAACCCCTTGATCATGACCCCTTGCCTCATGGAACTCTCTGTCTCCTCTGTCTAGCCCCTGCTAAGCTTCGT
This sequence comes from Homo sapiens, assembly GCF_000001405.40. Classification (NCBI taxonomy): domain Eukaryota; kingdom Metazoa; phylum Chordata; class Mammalia; order Primates; family Hominidae; genus Homo; species Homo sapiens. Next base: position 76,267,280 of record NC_000001.11, read on the forward strand.
GGACTTTGTCACTAATCTACTTCACCTATGGTCTTGCTAAGTTGCTTCCTCTGTCACCTCCCTTCCCAGCCCACTCGAGCTCTGTCCTGCCACTGTCCAAAGTCAAAAGAGGCAGAACTACCTTCCTTACTTTATTTTCTTTCTCCTCTACTTTGCTCTTTCTTTCTCTTTACCAGAACAGAGCATCTGCAACCACTCTCACTGCATTTTTTTACCACGTTTTCTTCAGAGTCTATCTGAAAATGAAATACAGATTTTTTTGATAAATATATTTTCATACTGAGGTTGAATAAGAATCTGATCTTTATGATTCTTAGACTTGAAAAAATATATATTTTCTGAAGGAAGTAGACTGTTATCTTCATTATCACCTCCGTAAAATTGCAAATGGTCAAAACCATAAAAAATGGCTTTGCTCTATGTGTAATAGGCAAATGAAGGGAATTCATGGCAACTGAAACCCTTGCTTTAAAGTCAGCTCTTTGTGAATGGAAAGCAGCTGATATTCTGTAAATCCTCCCCAGATAGGGTTTCTTACAGAAATACTGGCAGACTCTCTAATGACTGTGACTGCTTTGATATGAGGATGTGGTCAATATCTCAAGAAAAAAGACTGCAACTTTCTACCTTCTGCAGTATAGAGAAGAGAAAAGGAAGTATATGATGTTCTCACATCCATCTAACTGAGCAACCAAAATGCTTTATAATTTTTTAATTGATTTGTCTGGAAAGAGTCCGTTCCCTATAGGACTCACAGATCTCCATTTATGTAGGGAAGAAAATTGTAGTCCTATCCCCATGGCTGCTTGAAATTCCATTATTGATGTGATGAGCTCTTTGTTCCTCATTTTGATACAGATAAGATATTGAACTGAAGAAAATGCACAAAATATATCTTTCTCCACTAATAAACCGAGAAGTGGTAGTGGTGCCGTTTGTTAATTTGGGATTTATTTTGCTTTGCCAAATGGATTTGCCATTAATTTCACTAAGGCCACACAAAACTCTACATCAGTGACATGCAGAAATAGAGGTGAGATTGTCCAGTAAGTAGTTGCCAGAATTTGTCTTGATGATGCTTGATGCAGATTTAAGAGAGAGAAAGCAGATGCAGTGTGTTTCACTGGGGTGCCAGAGCCAGGGGGACTGAGACTGCCACAATGTGTGGGACCTTTCCTTTCTGAGCACAGCCTGGTGGCAGTCAGCCTTTCCCTCCAGCCCCCACACAAAACAAGTCGGTCAAGCCATGCACGAGTGATCTTGATTTGAAGAGAGAGAAAGAAATTTGATCCCCAAGTCTCAGAGCTGAGGTACTTATGCACTGAACTCCAAGAGGCATTTCATTTCTAACTAGCTTAGAATTTCCCACAGTTTGACAGCAACCCAAATAAAGAAAATACTTGAGGAAGCAAAGTAGATGTGCTGGAAGTTGAGGGCATTACCTGATGGCTGAATGAATTTGACAGGCTTTTCTCCTGTTGTTTTGACACAATTGTATTTTCCTCTACACCGCTGATGGAGTGCTCTGCCTAACCACGATGTACCCACCTTCCGTGGCTCAGCTGAGGGCCACTTTGTCAAATATCTCCATCTTACTCATTCCTCGCCGTGGCCCTCTCCCACCAGGGACCTCCCAGATCACTCTGTCACCCCCAAGACTACACATTTCGGCACTTTATGCCGCCTTGTCTTACCCTTTTTTTCATGTTTTATTGCTGCATGGCATTTAATGTTATTACTACAGCAAAACTGTATTTCCCTAGAGGGAGGGAATTTGACTTGTTCTGGTCTCAAACTCTAAACTCCGGTCAGTTGTGAAGAAGCCTGGAACCAAATTTGCAGCCCATCTCCAGGAAAGTGTATATAATTGTGTGGTGGATACTGTGGGTCATGACCCTACTCACGGCTCTATCTAATTGTTTCTTCTCCCTCTTCCCCCTTCCTCCTTGTTGTCAGTCTTTTCTAAGTTTCTTTCAATCCTTTTAGGGATTGTATGGAGTATAAATAACCTTCCATATGCTAAGCCAGAAGTTACCAACATGGGTGTTTCCTGACGCCAGGCAAGTAATGTAATATAATGACTCAGCCAAGGGAAGAGGGCAGGGCTTATCTCTGCACAGCTGCAGTCACTTGTGGCCATGCTGGAATGAGGGCCCTTTGTTGCCAAATTTTCAGATTTTTCAAGAGAAGTTAGAAATACAGAGTCTTAGGCAAACTTCACAATATTTAAACATAGACAGCTAAAGTATGGGAATATCCTTGGTGATTCCCCTAACCTGGAAAACATATTTGGGTGCCATATTCAGTTTGTGCACCACCGGTTTGCACAACCTGCTTTAAAGTTTCATTTGGTAGGTATCCAGTTATAATGGAACTGACTCTCCTACTGTGGCTTTCTTAGTATAAGGCCACATGCCATGTGCTGATCAGCAAACGCTGTTGAAGGATTTTGAAAAGACTGGAAAAAAGAAAACTGGTTGTCTAGTTATCTGAAGACCCTGGGCTGTGTCACATCCACTATGAATACACCCTCCAAAATCTGAGACCTTGTTAATGAGCCCTGTCTTCTCTCCCAGATTCTAACTGCTCTTCAGCGTTGTGACTTAGAGGGGATGCCGTAATGCATGTGTGCCTGGAACCCAGGGAGGCAGAGGTCCTCTTTTTCACCCTAATGTGAAGCATGAAGTTAGAATCATCTCTGTGCTCCCTAATAGAGCCTCATGCAGAGCTGTTATCATTCTGGATAAGGGATTCATGGGCATTTGCATCCATACCCCCCAAATAGTGGTTCCTGAGAAAATTTCTCTGACATGCTGAGAAAAAATAAAGAATTCATAAAGTTGAAATTATTGAACTTATTTTGATATTAATGTACTTTTTTACTCTGGTTGTCCCAAAATATCTCATTGGGTATATTTACTTGACAAAATGAAAAGTTGGCAACTGGCCAGGCACGGTGGCTCACATCTGTAATCCTAGCACTTTGGGAGGCCAAAGCTGGTGGATCCCCTGAGGTCAGGAGTTCAAGACCAGCTTGGCCAACATGGTGAAATCCCGACTCTGCTAAAAGTATAAAAATAAGCCAGGCATGGTGGCAGGTGCCTGTAATCCCAGCTACTCAGGACGCTGAGGCAGGAGAATTGCTTGAACCTGGGAGGCGGAGGTTGCAGTGAGCCGAGATCGCACCACTGCACTCCAGCCTAGGTGACAAGAGTGAAACTCTGTCTCAAAAAAAAAAAAAAAAAAAAAAAAAAGTTGGCAACCTTAGAACAGTTCCTGTCATCTCTCTTTATTGTTTCATTTCTAAAAGAGTTTCATTTGGTTGCTACCCAGTTATAATGAAACTGAAATCCACAGTGGTCTGTGAAATCCAAGTCTGTGGCCAGATTTGAGCCACACCCTCAGTTAATGACAGGGCCGGGAGAGGGAGGGAAGGGTGGAAATGACCAGGAACACCAGGTACAGATAGAAAATGTCCATCCTCAGTAAGACGGGTCACCTCTGTGAGGGGTACGTGTCCTCATTCAGTCCATACTCAAAAGAGATGTATCCAAAAGCTGTTGTAAGCAGCTCAGGTTTTGGGGGCAGGGGCTGACCTTTTCTAGTCTTTGAAAGATAATGTATTACTCTTGAGAAATGTAGAATTTTATTGTCAGTGTGCTTGAATTCAGCAAACAGACCCGGAGATGAACCCAAGGGACAACGGGCTCAAAGAACATAGATGATACCATGGAACTTTGACCTATTTCATATGAGCATTCCTGGGCCTGCATTTGGGACTGGCTGCCTTGTTTGTTTTATAAATTGATCCTCATATTGATTCCTTACTTGATGGCTGTGGAAAAGAAGTCTCCTTCTTGTTTGAACTCATGTCTTTGTGAGCTGCCTTTATGCTTATTACATAAAAGTCTCCCTGATTCTTGTTGATTTGGCAAGAGACTTCCTTGCTGAGAATTTTGCGGGCTGTGGTATGGGTGTAAAGTGGTTTGCTGTAATGGAACAGCTTCCAGAAGAGAATCCGGTCTCCGTTTTGAAATGCCACTTCTTGGAACCAGAAGAATTTATTCTAGGAGGGAGAAAAGAATTATTGATAAGTTCATAATTATTCACAATTATTTATTGAGTACCCACTCTATACCAGGTTGTATTTTAGACACTAGGGCTATAGTAACCACTAAGCAAAATGCACAGAAATGCTTGTCTTCAGTGGTCCTATGCTTTATTGGGACAAAACAGATCAGAAACAAAATAAAACTCACAACATATAAGAACATTACATAGTATGTGAGAAGGAGACAATTCTATCTGGAAAGTCTAGCAGAGCAAGTGTGATCAAGAGTTTACAAGAAGGGATTGCTGTTTAAACCAGGGAAGTCAGATTAGGTGTCCTTGATTAAGTGATAGTTGAGTGACAGTGACAACTTTATTTATGCTTTAGAAAGACTACTCTGGCTGCTTTGGGAAAAGACTGCTGAAAAGCATGGAGACCTGTCAGGAACCCATTGCAAAAGTCCTTGCAGGCAGCTTGGAGCAGGGTGGTGGCAGTAGAGGTGGTGAGAAGAGGTTAGATTTGGGATGTATTTCAAAAGCAGAGCCAATGTGGATTTCCAATAAACTGGACCTTTTAATAAAGCTGAGAGAGACTTTACAGATCATTTAGACCCCTTCCGAGGCCAAGTAGGTAGCACAAGGGAGTGAAACTAGCTGCATGACAATAGAGGCTCTTAGAAACAGGGTGCATTGTCTTATTACATTAAAAAAATTAAAGCCGGGCGCGGTGGCTCACGCCTGTAATCCCAGCACTTTGGGAGGGTGAGGTGGGTGGATCATGAGGTCAAGAGATTGAGATCATCCTGGCCAATATGGTGAAATCCCAACTCTACTAAAAATACAAAAATCAGCTGGGTGTGGTGGTGGGCGCCTGTAGTCCCAGCTACTTCGGAGGCTGAGGCAGGAGAATCGCTTGAACCCAGGTCGAGGTTGCAGTGAGCCGAGATCGCGCCACTGCATTTCAGCCTGGGTGACAGGGCAAGACTCAGTCTCGGAAAAAAAAAAAAAAAAAAAAATTAAAACACCGTTCAAGCCAAATTATATCTGTAAAGTCAGCCTATGAACTTCTAAACTACATCCTGTAAGAATCAAACCCATTCTTTTTACAGATGAGAGATACGGGGTCTTACAAAGTTTATTGACTTCTCCAAGGTCATTAGAGGCAGAATCAGAATCGAAGCCTCAGGCTTCCTCATTTGTAGTTCAGAGTTCATTCATTCCATCTGTACTCGAACCATGAACAGCTTTTCCTCCTTGGTGCTGCTCTGAGTGGATGCCACCCATGTAGAATATTCTTTTATTTTCCCACTGGTGTAGCGTGATGGGTCCATTTTATTTTTCTCTTCATCTCTATCATCAGGTGTCATCTTTTAAAACTTGTGAGCCCTTGGCTGTCCCAGCCACCCCCAAAGAACACCCTTGGGATTTACTGATTGGCTCACAACAGTAATTGTGAGCAATGAAAGAATAGGCTAACTTAGCCTCCTCCCTAGTTTGGTTGATCACAGCAGAGAGAGGAAGACTAACAAAGAAGGCCTATATAAAATGGGAACTGAGGGCTATCTTTTGCTTTTGGCGTCTTGATGGATGCCTAAGGTGGATCAGTATTTGTGTAACATAACAGGGGTACTTTACCTGTGGGGAGAGGAGTGACCACTGAAAACACTGTTCAAAGGGGTCATTCATAGTCGTGCATTTATAAATTTTTTTAAAAATAGCTTTCTTTTCCTATTATAAAAGACATGTATCTTGGTATATAGAATAATTTGATATATTTGATAAAGAAGGTATTGCCTGGGAAAGGATGTTGAGAAGATTAGCTATCCAGGGGAACATTAAGTTGTATTTTCATTTTACATTGTTGACAGAAATAAAAACCTTCATGGATTAAAATTTAAACAGAAAATACTTTTAAAAACTCTAAGGAAATTTAACCAATATTTATATAGAGAAAGCTTTTGAAACTTTAAAAGCAATGAAAAAAATAGGAAAAAAAAACAAGTAAGATTTATCACATGAAAATTAAAACACAAACCCAGAAAAATATTCACAATAAATAGTGAATAAAAAGTTAACAACCTTAATGTGCAAAGTTATCTTTTTCTTGGATAAAAATCCCATGGCATCAAATAGAGCTGAGAGGAAGAGCTCACAGTTCATGAAAGAGGAAATACAAATATGGCAAGTAAACTTCCAAGAAAAGGTGGAACTTCCTAGTAATCAAAGAAGACAAGTTAAACTAAAATGAAAACCATTTTTTTTTGTTTGTCAGATTGGTAAAGGTTAAATAAAATTTTTAATACGTAAAGTCAGCAAGTTAAGACAGCAGACCTGTTTACATATGCCTGGTATTAACATAACGTGGCATATCGGTCTGAAAAGCAATATGGCAACATGCACTGAGAGCCTTAAGATGCTGATATTCATCAATCCATGAATCTCACTTTTGGTAGCAATCTAAATATCCGCTCGTAAGATGTATAAGTAATTTTTGCTATAGTTATGTTATGGAATGATGTATCTGGAAGTTTATTTCCCTCCACACATACTCTGTGCCACTCCTGTGCTTTATGGGAGTCTATTGTTAAAAATCTCACTGCTTCATCCAGTGGTAACATGTTTTATGGCCCACAGGTGAGAGTCCCATTTATCACAGAAACTTTGGAGTATACATAAAACTAAAAGAGAGAAAAAGACCAGCCATAATCACAACATTCGAAGTCAGCATAGCTAATATTTTCATATTTTCCTTTCTAATCTTTGCAAAGTACATTCATAGTTCAAGAGAGTTTTGCTTAGGTGTCATCTCTCAATAATAAAAACTTCTCAAACTATGGATCAATTATGCATATGTGCACCTGTGGGTACATTATACATTTATATATGATTATATATAAGCAAGTTTATGTCCTATTAGTCTCTGAACCTTTCCATCACATCTTAAATTTTTAAAGTTTTTATAAAAATTCTAATTTACCCTTTTAAATACATACCTGCTGTGTGACGGGATGTTAGAGAACCCAACTCTGTATCTATTTTAACAGCATGGTGGCTTATAGCAAGCATGGGCAATCTTTTATGACTTTGCCCCCAATCTCTCCCAATCTCCTGTAATTCAGGCATTTCACTTTGCTCAACCTTATCTCTGATCAGCCTCCTCACCCATTACTCATCATTTCACATCAGGAATCCACAAGTAAGCAATTCAAGAACCTTGAATGGAACATGAGTGAAAGCTATTTCTGCAGCCTAAACCCCTTCAATCAATACAAGAATGTCAGCAATTCTAGAGTCTAAACTTATTAAATTCTCATATTATTTTTAAAATGCTAGCCCCAGTCCTCTTTGTCTGATTTCTAATCTCTGAAAGAAACAGTAAATGCAAACATAGGTATTTTAAAGAGATAGGGTGGAGGGGGGTGCTTTTCCAGGGTACTCTCTTATCATTTTCCTGACAAACTTATGTGATTTAACAGTTACTGGTAAAACCTTTCACCAACAGTTTGTTACTGTGACAGCAGAAGCACTCAAATTCAGGGAATGTCGAACTTCATCTTGTGAATTCAGACCTGGCAGAAGACCATTTCTTCACTAGAAGTTGGAAAAATGTCACTCTCTGAGACTGCAATAAATGGAGCCCAGGGTTCTGCTTTGTGTACTGAGTGAGAGAATAATAGTGTGGTGTCCCTGTAGACAGAGAAGCTGACTATGCTCTACGGAGACAGTGTTTTCCAAGATGTGTTAAGTGCAATTCCAGCTTCTCGGCTTTTGATAGATGTTCCTCTAGAAATGTTCATTGCTCAAAGGCATTTAGGAAAAGATTCATTGCAGGACTTTAATATGCTAAGGTGCAATATGAATCAATAAGCACAAGTTGTAGCACACAACATTTAAACCTGTATGAGCATGAAACCCTTCTTCAAGGGAGACTAGTGTTTTCCAAGGCCTGCTTTGGGAAATTCTTCATTGGGCACTTTGCTTATGTAGCAGATTTGAATCTTAGTCTGTAAACTCAGATATGCAATAAATAGAACATTTCACATTTTTGAAATATTAAACTCTGATTTTGATGTCCCCATCCCTCCCAGGTGGCAGGAAGCTTAACTTTGGCCCTTCTTGGAGTTCTGCACTGACCTGTTAGTACCATGCCAAAATTCTGGTCATTGCTTATCTGTCACACTTGGCTAGTTGCCCCTTGACTCAGACAGGGCCCAGGATCCATCCTAAGGTCTTCCCTCAGGATGCTTCCTGGGCAATAATTGAGTCTCTACTGGTGGGGATGGGGTGTAATCTTTTTTTCTGTTTGCCTTCCTGATTCTCTCTCCCTGTACTCCAAAAGTCTTCCTGAGTATACCTAGCATTAGGTTTTACTGTTTTATTTTCTTAATTGATGGCTAGTATTTAAGAACATTATCTCCCTTCTGTATTATGTATTTTAAATAAGAGTATTTACTGTCTTGTATATACTTGTATTGTCTTGTATATACTTGTCTTGTAAGAGCATTTACTGTCTTGTATATCTGAATGGGTCACATGTAGTGCAAGCTTCAAGACTGGTTTGATTCAGCGGTTCAACAGTGTCATCAAAGTACTCGTTTCATTCTTCCTTAATGTTTTGTGACTGTGATATGACATTGAATCTGAGATCTATTCCTTTATGAAGGGGAAATAGCTAGCATTTCCAGGTTTTATATTTGCAACCCACATCTTCCAGTAGAGAGACACAATGGCTTTGGACAACTTTTCAGAATGTTAAACAATCCTTCTCTCGTAATAGCTTCCATCAAACCTCTACTAACATCTTATTGACCTTCATTGCATCACATAAGTTAAAATTATTCTGAAATATTTTATATATGTACTATATATATATATAACATTTAAGATATATGAAGAAAAATATAATGCGATTTCATAGCCCCCTTTTAAACTTCCTTAGCAATGCCTCCTATATCCCCTGACAGGGGCAACGTTTCTTTGTGTTTATCAATATTTTGCTTTCCTGTATAATTTTACCCTTTATGTATACAATCCTAAACAATATATTTTTTAGTGTTGCATGATTTTAGATTTTGTGATAATGATATCATCTATGTGTATTTCTTCTGCCACTTGCCTTTTTGATTCCACATGATTTGTGAGATTCATCCATGCTGGTGGATGAATCTATTTCTTAATTTGTACTGTGATATAGTATTCCATTGTGTGATTAAGCCACAGTTTACTTATCTATGTGTTGTTGATAAACTGTTAAGTCGGCTCTAGTTTGGGAGTGTTAGGAGTAATGTTGCCAATCTTCTCTTATACATTGTTGTGCCTGCATGGAAGGGGTGCCCAAATGTACATACATATATAAGAATGGCATTGCCGAATGAAACCATGAACAGTCTTTAATGTTACTATATAATGCAAAATTATTTTCCAAAATAGAATAATATTTTCAATATAAGTAGAATATAAGAACTCCTGTTTTTCCACATCTTTGCCAACACTTGGTTTTGTCAGCATTTAAAAAAGTTGTCAAATTGGTGTGTATGAATTTATACTTTACAGTTCAATTTACCATTTTGGCAAATCAATTAGGCTGAGAATATTTGCATTTTTAATTGATATTTTTATTTCATCTTTTGTGAAATGTCTGTTTATGATTTTTACCCATTTTGATTTTGTGTTGTTTTCACCTTCTTAATGGATTTGTAGAAGTTCTTGTATGTTCTGCTTACTAATCCAGGGTCAGTTATACATGTTGCAATATCTTCTCCCAATTTGCAATGTACATTTTCACTTTTTGAGATAAATTCTTTTAATAAACTAAAAAAATAAGGTGGTCAAATTATCAAACTATTCCTTATGGTTGATATTTTGTTGTCTTATTTTTAAAATTATTTTCTACTCCAACCTCATATATATTTGTGTATGCCTATGTGTGTGTGTGTATTTACATATGGGCTTATATATTTGGGCAATGTGGTACTGATATATTTGGGCAGTGTGGTACTGACACAAAGACAGACCAATGAGACACAATGGAAAGCCCAGAAATGAATCCATGCATATATGTAAATTTGGTAGATGACATTACAGATAACTGGGAAAAGATAAGTGGAAACAATTAATTTCTATATTCAAAAAATAGATGGAATAAGACCCCCTCCTTCATAACAGGTCAATTAAAGACATATATGTATATGTTTATGTGTATATATATATATATATATATATATATATATATATATATACACACACACATATGTTTATGTGTATATATATATATATATATATACACACACACACACACACACACACATTTCTACATATGTAGCTGTATATACACGAATATACACATATATGTCTTTAACTTAACGTGAAGGAGGAGTCTTATTTCATCTGTGTTTTAATATGGCTAATAATTGTCTCAGCATCATTTACGTTTCCCAATAATCTGTAATGGTATCTCTGTCATCTACCAAATTTCCCCATATGCCTGGATTTATTTCTGGGCTGTCTGTGGTGTGCCTTTGGTCTGTTGTCTTTGAGTCAGTACCATATTGCCACTAGCTTCTATACATTTACAATGAGCTTTAAGTCTGGTTACACAAGTCTCCTCCCACATTCTCACGCCTAGACCTTATTCTTCAGGAATGTCTTGGTCATTCTTGGCCTTTTGCATTTCTACAGAAATTTTATAATAATCTTGGAGATTTTTAATATTTTTATGAAATTTCATTAAATTTATAGTTTTGGGGAAGAGTTGGTATCTTTGTAACATTATAATGTTGAGTCTTTCTATCTATATTTCTATCCAAATCTACTTATTTAGATCTTCACTGTCTTTCGTCACTATAATAAATGGTATCTTTCAGTATCATGTATTCTCATTATTGCTAGGCATTCTTTTTTTTTTTTTTTGAGATGGAGTCTCGCTCTGTCATCCCAGGCTGGAGTGCAGTGGCGCGATCTCGGCTCACTGCAAGCTCCGCCTCCCGGGTTCACGCCATTCTCCTGCCTCAGCCTCCCGAGTAGCTGGGACTACAGGGGCCCGCCACCATGCCCAGCTAATTTTTTGTATTTTTAGTAGAGACGGGGTTTCACCGTGTTAGACAGGATGGTCTCAATCTCCTGACCTGGTGATCCGCCCATCTCGGCCTCCCAAAGTACTGGGATTATAGGCTGCTAGGCATTCTTTTTTTTAATGGATTTCAGTGTTTAAAGAATTCAAGAAGAGCCTTTGATATCTGGTTACCTCTACTTTTTGAGGAAACCAAATCCCTGATGCAGAGAATGAAAGAGTTTGTCTATCTGCTTGAACGGAGAAGAAAAGAAAAATAAACAGAAAATGTTGCAATTTGAAAGTAATTTTAGTAAATTTGCCTGCCACACCTACATAATCTTATTTAATCCTCACCACAACGTTCGAAGTTAGGTGTTATTTGTCCTATTTTCATGACAAGGGAAACCAAGGTTTAGGAAAGCCAAGTAATTTACTCAAAGTCACAGAGCGAATGTGTTTATGGTAAAGCCAGGATTTAAAATCAGGTGGATTTCACACCAAAATAGTTCTGTTCATCGCGTAGTACTTTCCCTCGGGCAAGAAGAATGTTCACAATTTTCTAAGCATTTGAGTACAATGACCGGAATGGATAATCCTTTCTGTAGACAATTATGTGGCTCTGTCTCCCCTCACTAAGGTCAGCAGACATTTGATACAACTTTATCCATCTCTTCTTGTCACTGTTGCTGGCTGAGGGGGCCACTTGGCTCCCAGGGAGGAGATTTTGCACACCTGAGGAAACAGACAGCAGACAGCACCAACATGCTTCCCCTAGACTGCATTTGGACACACACAGCCAGGCAGGGGAACTGAAATTGTAGAGCAGCAGTCTGTGTGGAGTCATTTTAATGTTTTCTTAAACAGTCAGTGATGGAAAACTTTGATAACAACTCAAGTGAAAGCTTATGGCTGCGAAAAGCCTCCTCTGTGGATCTGACTGGAAAGGATTCTCTGCTGAATATGGCTTAGATGCCTGAGCCCCGTGTTCTTTGGTAAGAAAATTACCGCAAGTCATTCGCCATCTGTGATCCTCAGGGGTGGAATCTTTTGCTGGAAGACACAGTTATTATCAATCAACCTGTGCTAGCCAACAGGCCTCCAGAGCTTCGCGGGTGGGGGGAATGTTGTTACAGAAGAAACGGGAAAGAGGAGCCTTTGTGGGAAAGGGTGGTTAGTATTCTTGATGGCTTGTCAGAGGCAGTAGTGGCCATAATCACGTGAGTGCAGCACTTGAGCTGGTTCAGAGCTGCAGTGCCTGGAGTCGTGTCTGCCGGCAGCTGCCGGAGGCGGAAGTGGCGTCCATGGTAGCCACTTCGTCAGGAGGGCTCCTCAGGTTTTAGAGCCAGAGCACAACTGTGACTCCTATACCAGGCACACTGGACCTCAGGAGCCTTGCTGGAGTCTCCTCAGAATTCACAAAAGAAATATGAAGAATTAGGAAGAAAGTTAAAACTTAGTAGAGATCCTCTTTATAGATGCAACTTGAGAAACAGCGCACAGATATAGGTTACTCGACTGGAGGAGTTCTGTGTTTGTGTTTTCCTATTATAAAGAGTTCGGGAGAAAGTGGGGTGCTTGCTAACCATTGGTTCTCTCTCCTGTCTCTCTCCTGTCTTTTCTCTCATCTTGCCCTTTCTCTTTTGCCATTGCCCCTTTTCTCATTTTTCGTTCTCTTATTTGTTCTTTCCTTCTCCCTCCACTTCTCCTTCGCCTTTTCTCTCTTGCTTCTTTCTCTGCTTCACTTCATTCTCCCTGTTCTGTCCTCTCTTCCAGTCGCCCTTTTTTCCAACCCACCCTTTGCTATGTTCTGAATTAGTGATTGCCTAAGTGGAAAGATGGAGACAGTTTCAGAAATCCTATTTATTTTAGTTCATCAGTTGTTACTGCTTACTTTTTGTTTGAATATATTTGGGGTATATTCTCAAAAATATGTTGATAATGGAGTACAGAAATTCTGGTGACTGTTACTCTCCAATGTCTCTCTTTTCTTCCTAGAACTAACTACTAGTCCTTTCCAGTTCGGGTAGATGGATTATATTTCTTGCATAGTACTTTCAGCATTTATCATTTTTGGTAAATGAATACCTAATGTGCCGCTAGGGAAGCTAAATTCATACCTATTTCAGCTGGGGTGAGCACTGTGACCTTCTGTTACACATACCTATTGCTGCCACCAGAGACAGAAGATTGAGTTGGATGCACTATGGGTAGAGACAAGGGCTGGTGCTACTTACTTATCAGAAAGGATTCTTGTAAGAATTAAATGAAATAATGGGCATAGAATTTAGAATTAAATAATGTTATGTGCATGGTATGCTACAAAGATTTGGATTCAGACCTCTTTACAAATCTCAGATTCGTCATTTACTAGCATGCAAACTTGGGCAAGTCACTTTATTCTACTTGAACCTTTTCTTTTCTATAAAATGAGGTCAATAAATAATATTCATTTACAAATTGATCATCAAGGCAAATGAGATAATACATGAAATCTCCTAAAATAGAGTAGATGCTCACTGAATATCACCTTACTTCCCTCCACCCAACTATGCATTTATTTATCTGTCAAACATTTATATTATGCTCACTTTATGCCATGCACTGTTCTAAGAGCTTTATAAATTTAACTCTTCAATATCATCATAGTCTTTTGAGTACTTACTATTACTATCTCGTTTTGCAGATTGGTAAGCTGAAGCAAAGGAGGTTTAATAACTTGTTTAAAGCCTCATGGATAGTAAGTAGCAGAGCCACTAACTGATATTTTTGTGCCGACACCTTAATTCAAGCTTTTTTCTCCTTTAACTGAAGATATTATTGCCCTGAGATATTACCTTGAAATCGATATAGATTTTTTTCTTGAGTTTGCAAATTTTCTCTCTTAGAAGGCCTGAGGAAAAAATAACATTAAACAAATGCACACTTAATTATGAGTTCATTTTCTGTGTTAATGTAGTAAAGAGGTGAATGAATGTCATAAAATATACTCTCATTTGGTTCCACCCTGAGAGAGCCGTTGGATTGCAGCCCCAGTGCTTTTCAGCAGGGAAGCTGGCCAGAGATGCCTGCAGCCTGCTGGGGAGTGTGTGGGTAGCTCCTCCAGCAGTGTGCCTGCACTCCTCATCTGCACAGAGCATGCACAGTGTTCAAAGGCACACAGATGGGGACTCAAGTGGGGCCAAGATCACTGGGAAGAGTGTCGGAAAATGAAACCTGGCCAACAGACAGCACCCTTCTGTTTAATCAGAATGCTGGAGCCAGGTCCAGAGAATAATGACTACAAACTGGCTGTGCCTTGGGCCTATTCAGCATCTTGTTCTCATTTTCAAGTGTTTGGTCCTTGGGAAGGTCTCAAAGTTCACTTTGCTACTCGATTATGCTGCCTATTGAGGAATTTTCAAGGCAAAGTGAATTCATGTGACCTGGATTCATTATTATTTAAGATTATTAACACATTTTTAGACCGAATTGGCAGTAAGGAAAGGGAGGAAGGAAACATCTATTGAGGTCATACCAGGTGCTGGGTGCTGTAGTGGGCACTTCTATGCATGTTAGCTCAACTGACGATACCAGAGAAGTGGAAATTACTTCAGATTGTCATGAAAAAGACAAATGGAGAAGGTGGGATGCATGAAAAATAGACTTTTAAAATTCCTAAATCAATGCCCTCAAGTCATCTAAAATGATTAGAAACAGTCTATAGTTGTCTTTTATGAGGAGACAAGAATTATATGTGTTCCTTGTTTTTTTCTCCTTCTGCTTGCTGAAGAGTTCTGGTTTCACTTGTCTAGTCCTTTTCCTTCCCTTTGTCCTGCCTTGAGAGACTGGTTATATTAAGCTTTTGTGAGGAATTTCAGGTGAGAGGGAATGGAGGAAGAAAAAAGAGACTTAGGGACACATATTCATACCCATGTGTGTATGTGTATTTATGTGATATATGTATAATTTTATATATGTGATAAATACATACACATTACAAATGCAATTATACTATACTTAATCTTTCATATGTTTTAAATCCTTCAAGTTTATTATGAACATCTCCCCATGTCAACACATTTAAAACCACAGTATCATTATTAATATTGCCTAAAACTCTATACTCAGTATATGTCAATACTTGATTATTGGATATTTAGGTAGTTTCCAGTTTTAGTTTTATCAATAGTGCAGCAGTGACATCTGAACAAAGTCATTTAAAATGGCACCAGTTACTGTTTCTCAGGGATCAGCTTTATTGTGATTTTTCTTAAATTAGAGGAATCGCCTATATGTTCAAACTAATTTTTTAGATTACTAGAAATATTCTTGTAACAATGTCTTATGGAGAACCCACTGTATAAAACCCATAGAAGTGTACTTCCCCAGCCAGATGCAGTGGCTCACACTTGTAATCCCAGCACTTTGGGAGGCCAAGGCAGGTGGATCACTTGAGGTCAGGAGTTCCAGACCAGCCTGGCCAACATGGTGACATCCCATCTCTACTAAAAAAAAAAAAAAATTCAAAAATTAGTTGGGCCTGGTGGCACACACCTGTAATCCCAGCTACTTGGGAGGCTGAGGCAGAAGAATTGCTTGAGCCCGGGAGGTGGAGGTTGCAGTAAGCTGAGATCAAGATCACGCCACTGCACTCCAGCCTGGGCGACAGAGCTAGACTGCCTCAAAAAGAAAAAAAAAAGTGGTACTTTCCTCCATGGGTTGCCTCCTGCCCCTGAACGCCCCCATCCCTCAGTGACCTCTGAGCTTCCACAGTACCCAAGAGTGCTCCGGAACAATGGTAAGACCACTGAGCTAGGAACTAGCTTTGTTTTGTTTGTTTGTTTGTTTCTATATTATTATTTGTTGATGTTACAGAGTATAGAAAATTGGCTTTTTTTCTTTAAAAGAAGAAACTATGTTTTCTTTTTTTAAAACAACTCACATTGAGCTTTGCTATACTACTTTGTTACCTGAATTGGTAATGGTTTTCTTTTTTTCTATGTTATAATAGAATCTTTATATTTAAATAAACTTAAATACTTTCAGGCGCTGTGGTCTAGAGCTCACTGAAAGTGTTATGTGTACATGAGCAGGACCCTCAAGAGCCAACCTGTGTTTTTTGTCTCATTAACTTGGAGGAAGGCATGAGGGGTCAGGGCCTACAATATCACTTGGAAACAAGGAATATAAAGAAAATCTGGCCTGTTTGGTAAAACTGTGCTTCTCCATGTCTTGCCTCTTTTGATCTCTTGCCTAAGTTTTGTTTTGAAAGGTTAACACTATTCATCTTGTCATGACTTTAAATAATCAGATTACTTTTCTATGCAACAATGCTCTGTTTTTCCTAAGTTTCCTATTTCTTCAGTGATTCTGGGGTGGGATGGAGAGTGAATAGAAATACAGGCATCAACTTTAGTGTTTTCATTGCAATTGTTTTATTTGTGCCCCTCAAGTTGAACCTCTCTGAATGAGTGTGATCATATATCTCACATACTTGGTGTTTTTTCTTCAGATGTTGGGATTCAAATTGTTTGGAAATTTCACATGTTGTAAACCTAACTTAGTGACATCATGTGACCATGTATAAGGGAACCTTTATCATTATGTTATTAGGAACCTGATCTCTTTGTCATTCATCTATTTTTTGCCCTGGCTTGTTGGGATTGGATCAAACCAATGGAAATGCCGGAGAACTGAGTTAGAAATGCATAGGATGTTAAAAGAACAGAAATTTATGCTTTAAAGTATTACTACTATTAGATTTGTAAGTTTAATTTTTTTTCCTCTGGTGTTAAATAAATTGCTCAAAGATCTCTGACACCAGAAGGAAATTAGAAGGTAAATGTATGTTGATAACACAGAAGGATCAGAGAGGGAAATCCACTAGCAAATAAAAGAAAATAGGAAGAGTAAGTAAGTACATCATTGTAAGCAAAAACTGACAAAAAGGAAAGTTTGAAGCCAGAAACAGTCAAAAAGTTCTTCTAAAAGTAAGAAAATGTTTATGAGGGGCACATTGGACATATTTTCTATTCTATTGGGGTCTGGAGAGATAGGCAAGTATGAATGAACAGGTGGAATTTAGTTGTTTTCCAAAACTTGAACAAACAAGAAAGGGTATTTTGGGGTCCAATTAGCAACATTAAGATAAATTTTATATACTGGCTTCCTGGGATTTGTGCCTTCAATTTACAAGTTTTGCTGATAAAGAAGAAAATCAATTTTATTTTATTCTATTTCCCAGGGAGATAGCAAAATGCTTGAGGATTTTTTTTGCAAGAGACTTTTTAATTAGGACTATTATAGAAATGAGTTAAACAGCCAAATATCAAACCTGAAACGATCTCCTGAGGCAAGAGTGTACATGATCATTAGGTTTGGAGGCAAACTATTGTTAAGGATTCTCATATAAGGTATCTTAGTCTCCACAAGCAAAGGTGATCAAATCCAGTTGAACTTGCTTCACACCATATGCCATTGTCCTTCAGTCCCCCAAGCAGACAAATCAAGCTTGATTACATATGAGATACCAAGGCATCCAGAGAAATGATAGTGGGTGTAAGTCATGCCACAATAGGGTGTGGATAGGTGTTTCTGGATACGGAGATAGATGGCCACACAATCCTGCTGCCTTCACCCAGCCAGCTCTCAGCTTAAGAGAGGTAGGAAATGAGGCAAGGAAAGGAAGATCTGAGCCCTTCCTGGAGCTCAGCTGCATCCTGAGGCAGATGTTTAATGGACTAGAAATGATCACATAGAGAATTCCTTGTGTCTAACCTAGAACTAAAGCCTGTGAGAACACACTCTTAATTTATTTCCATACTGAAGCCCTAACCAGAAGCTTAGATCTTTGCATTCCAACATAAGAAAGAGACAGGGGTTACCAAACTAATCTGTGAGAAGTAAAAGAATGTGTGAAAAAAATAACATGAGCCCCAGAGTCTAGAGCAGAAGTGGATAAGATGACCTTACCTATAGTCTTCTAAGCTGAGACAACAGGAGGCCAGGCCCCTGGTCGGGAGGATGGTGTGTGTGTGTGTGTGTGTGTGTGTACATGTGTGTGTAATGTGACTTACCCATTAGGCACCATAGGTGCGGTGCCTTGGGGCCGTGGCAGTTTTAGGGCTCCACAAAAATGTTTTAATCTTTTTTAAAATCAAGAATAAAAAATGAATCTAATAAAAATAATGAATATTTATTAATGAATTCAGCATAGATTATATAAACTTGCCTTATGCCAATGTAGTCCTAAAATATGTTTTCATATTTTTTTCTATAGAGGAAGGTACTCATGAGGGCAGAAGTGACTAGGGCCAAAAAAGTCATTGTGCAGCTCTGACAGATTGAATGACCATGAGAGAGACACAGAATGACAACCTCCTGATAGATAGATGCAGAGAGATTGGCAGAGAGGAACAGAGACAGAACAGCGAGAAACAGATACAGGAAGATACATGCAGAGTGAGAAACAGGGACAGAGAGACAGAGGGAGATGAAAACAGACACACATGCCCACACACAAAGAGAGAAACAGGCAGACACACACCCCCGCGCCCCCTCCCCCATCTGGACCCGCCCCACCAACATCCTGACAGATACAGGAAGGCAGAGAGAATGAGACAGATGGAGACACAGGAAAGACATGCAGAACTAGACTGACAGCCATAGGCTAAGATGTCACAGGGAACATTCTACTGGAAGGAGGCAGCCATCAGCTTGGTCTTACTTGTTTCAGCCTCCCAGGATCAAATATGTCTGAAGAGTAACAGGCCTTTCCATCCACTCTTTATTTTTAGCCACAGAGGAAACAGTAAGAGAGAAGAGGGCAGATGCTTCTGTTTACCAGGATTTTAATTGGCTACCTTTGGAGCCTGTGGGCCTAAGCTATGACTATTGTCTAGAAGCTTTGGGAGAAAGGTAAAACCACAGTGTAAAATCACAGTGGAAGCTTGGAGCTGAAATGATTATTGTATCTTCTCTAACCTTATACCCAGTAATGATGTGTTTGTAAGGCCAGTGGTCCAATTTTTTCTGCAGAGTGAACAAACCAGTGGCTCCCCCACTACCTCCATAGAGATGTTTTAACACAGACACATTCTAAACAGCAAACTACATCGGACGCCAGTCTCCTATAAATGCTAGAGAGTAGGCCTCCTCCTGGCCTTTATTTTTCCATGTTCCTGGATATATGAGAGTCTCAAGAGGGAGGTTTGATGCCAACCCCTGCCCTTGACCTTGGGCAACCTTCTTCCCCTTTGTGGGTGGAATGAGGTGCCATGACTTGTTGCTTTTATTCACAAAGTGCCTCACTTGTTTATATGAAGCCACCGGCCTCATGGCCATGCCTCAGCCAAACCAACTGGGAATTATGAAGATTGGTTTGAGGCAGGAAGTGTCCTGGCTCTAGACCTAGGACAGCTGCTTTGATTGTGAGTGCACCAGGAAAGTGGGACAATTGAAGCATGAGGACCTTGTCATTTAATTGAAAGTCACAGAGTTCCTTTTCACCTGTGTCATCTCTGGAAAACTGGAGAGAGATGATCTATACAAGACCCAGTAAGATACACACCATTTAAAATGCCCTACAAGAAGTCACAGTGAAATGAAATAATTTACACCAAAAGGTGTATGTTCTTCAATCTTCTCTGAATTCTGGACTTCTGATCTTGCCAGAGATAGTTGTTAGAAGAAATTGATGATAACTTTTTTAAAAAGAAACAAGTTTTAAAACTAGAACTAGCTCAGCCTTCCCTTCATTCAAGGTTGGATAAGCAGTAGTCAGTGAGAACTTGGGAAAATAGTCTTGAAGAGGAACTGTGTTCACATGTCCTTAGTCATGAAAATCATTTTTAGGTGAAGTGATTTCTCATTTTGCACAAATGATTATAGAGTGTGTCTGTTTGTGAACTTGGTCATAATTGCTGCCCAACATCATTATGGCGATAATTTGTTTAGCTAAGAGAATAAGAGCAGTTGAAGTTATTTTTAAGTTTGCATTTTGTCAGTTGTAGGTTTTCTTTTTTCTTCCTTTTTTTTTTTTTTTTTGCATTTGATGGCACCAGCTGAGTGTGGGATGGTGCACAAATCCCCTCAGAAATGGAGTTATTTGGTCACAGTAAACTGAAGCCTCTCCCCAACCGCCAAGATAACAGCAATTACTTTGGATTCATTTTAGTAGGTGTGAAAAGCTCATCTGTTTAAAAGATGAGTACTCTGGTTTATATAGGATCCTCTGGTAGCAGCAGGTTAATTAAAGAATGATTCTATCATCCCTAGCCTAAATCGCAGGCATTATAAAAGCCAGCCTGCTTTATGACTGTCATGTGAGAAATGTGCACACTGATACCCCAGAATTTGAGCATTGTTAAAAGTTAGTCCATTGGGTGTGTTTGTTCTTCACATTATCCAGAGCATCTGCCAGTTTCTTCTTTCTTGATTATATGCACCTTTGCAAACAATAGTACAGTTAGCAACACTCTTCTAAGTGTGCCACATTTAATTTGGGGTGAGAATACAGCTTTAATTCCATTTTACAGATGAAGAAATGGAGGCACAAAGTTGTTAAGTACCTTTGTCCAAGGTCCTAGAGTTTGTGAGCAGCAGAAGGGGTTTAGCAATCAGCCTGCCTTGGGAGCCATGTGCTTATTACCTACAATTCACTGCCCAACTGAGAAGTAGCATGGGAGATCACCTCTCCCACTCATCTTTGAGATGCTGATTCATTATTTGACTAAGAGGCCAGACTCTTCTGCTTACCAGGATTTTAATTGGCTACCTTTGGAGCCTGTGGGCCTAAGGTATGACTGTTGTCTAGAAGCTTTGGGAGAAAGGTGAAATCACTGTAAAATCACAGCGGAAGCTTGGTGCTGAAATGATTATTGTATCTTCTCCAACCTTATACCCAGTAACGATGTGTTTGTAAGTCCAATTTTGTGTTTGTGGTCCAATTTTTTCCTGCAGAGTGAAAAAAATAATGGCTCCCCCACCACCTTGATATGGATGTTTTAACACTACACATTCTAGACAGCAAACTACATCAGAGACCAGTCTCCTCATCCCTGGAGGCATCACACTGTGTGCTGGGCTCTGGACAAAGTAACTAGAAGTATAAGTTCTAAGCAGTCCTCACCACTAAGTAACTTGTGGTATAAGAGAGGGAATGGCACACATAATTGTCAAGTCAACCCTTACTGCAAAGAAGTTCAGATGGGTGGTGCAAGCAGTAACTGCTGTGGAAGCTCAGATGAGGAAGAAAACAGGTCTGGCTGAATGGTATGGGTCTCCAAGAAGAGGGCAGGATGTGTGCTTGTCTGAGTTTGGGGATAAGATTCAATTTTATTCTAAAAAAAATTGCACTTGGATGAATAGAGAGAAGAACATGCCATGTGCAGAGATGTGAGCAGGACTCTGTGAATGTAAAACACAGGTGATGGTCAGAGTCAGATGGGAGAGCTCTATTTTGGGAGTCCTGGATGAGAGGCTGAAAAGATACCCACCGACCCATGCTCTATTATAGCGAGCAGAAAAATGAACACATTGTGGTTTGCTCATTTCATATATGAAAGTGTGGGGCTCAAAAATCTGATTACTGTGTATGTCACGTAGAACCACACTTCCCCCTCCAAAGTACGTCTCATGCCATTGTATATTCACATCTTGTCTAAGAAGAAACTGTATCTCTAAGTGCCATAAACTCCAATAAAAGCAGGTTTGTTCTTTCCTCCCACTTGTGTTCCTGAAACCTATGTTTATAGGACCTTATGTTACTTACACTTTGGTGTGTTACCTTTAATCTCAACCTCTATTTGCTACAAACACCACTGAAAGGTGACAGTTTCATGTGGGATAAACTCTATTGATCTCTGTCTGTAAGGCAAGATGTTTTTCTCAAGCATTTTTGGGCACATTTTCTCTGAGAGGTAGCATAGGGCAGTGGTCATGAGCATAGATGGAAGTCAGACTGTCTGGGTTCTGATCCCAGCCCTGGCACTTATTGCTAGGCAACCTATGGTATGTACTTAACTTCTCTGTGCTTCCGATTACTCATGTTTTTAAAGATTAAATTCAGGCACCATGCTTTAAGAAGCACCTGGCACATAGTATGGAATAGTTAGCTTACATCATGGGTTCCCAGCAGGGGTGATAGCACCCTCAAGGGGGCAAAAAGTTTAAATTCAGGAATGGTTTCATTAGGAAAACATTTGCTTAGTGAGGCTTCTTGTGGGGCTGAGGGGTAAGAGGGATGAGTGGAGAGGAAAAAAGTGGTCCAGAAACCCCTGGGTTGCACCAACCCCATTAAGTTGGACCTGATGAAGCATTGATAGAAGGAATCCCAAAAGAGGTTTACATGTTGTACTTGGAGGCCCGTAACCAATAGAGGGTTTAATCAACAGGCTTTTTACCTAGGGCCTGATGTAGGCTCCGCCTTAAGGCCATCACATTCACTGCTTGGTTATGTGCACAGGGAGGGAACCAGTGGAAGCCCAACCCCCCTTCCACAGGGTTCTTGAAGCTAGTCATGAAGGGAACAGAGGGAGGAGGGAATGAGTTGCTTTGCCTGCCTTGCCTGAGGTGGAAATGGCTGTGATAGATGTGGTGTGACCTGGGCAGAGTGAATAGTAAAAGTTCACATCTACCCAGGATTTTCTGTTTTTCAGAGTAGTTTCACACTCATTATCTCACAAGCACTCTTTCTCTTTTGAAATAGTTTTTAGTTACACATGTAGTAAAGAAATGCATTCCTTTGTAAGAAATTGAAGTATTACTGATAAAAGTAAAAATGCCCCATGAGCCACATCTGGTTCCAGTTCCCTGCTCCCTCCACAGGATTAACCCCTGTTAGCACTGTGTGTGTCCAGCACTTGTTTCTATTCATTTATGCTCAGGTAAGACTATTTTAAAAAGTACACTATTGCTGTGTAGATCCTTTAACACTAAGGATATCAAACTATATGTAATTTTCTACTTCAAGCTTTTTTTAAAATCATAATATGTCTTGGAGATGGTTCCATAATAAAACATTCAGATCTACCTCACTCCTTTCAATGACTGCATGCCCATGGAATGAATACCTCATTATTTATTTAGCCATCTTACTTTCTGGTAAATACTGATATTGTTTCTGTTTTGATTTTTTTAACCACAGCTACGAATGCCACCTCTTTGGGTATGTGGGTACGTGTCTACAGCTGCTCATTGAGGCAGATATTATCTTTACAGCAAAGGAGACTGAGGCTCAGAGAGGTGACACAGGCAGTGAATAGCATGTCCAGGACCAGAAGCCAGGTCTTTTTTGTTTTAAATCCAGGTTTGATGGATTTTCTTCCCTCATTCCACAGCTACCTCCCACCCTTATCTCATACTGGGACATTTGCATTTGGCAACTGATTTCCTAGCAGTAACATCCCTGGGGTGGCCCTACATGTCGCTGCTCCTTTTCTCACTGTAGATGATGGATCAGCTGCTGTGTGTCCCTGAAGGAAGGCAGCTTTCAGGAGGTGGACAGCTGTGTGTGAATAAAACAGGGGAGGAGGGGATCCACACATACCTGTCCTGACCTATTTACCGAGCGAGCTGTTGAGCCAAAGCAGCACCGTGTTATCTAACCACAGCTAAAATTTGAAAGGTCCAACTGAGAAATGTCAGGAGGAAGTAACACTTGAATTATTAAGGAAGTAGGTACTAAAGGAGATGGAGAAGAATAACCTATGAAACCGGCTTGTTTTGAGCAGGAAAGGAGGAGATGGATGTTCTAAGTGACCGCCATAACTTGAAAATAAAGTGGTTCCTGGGGCCTACTAAATGTTTAAATTTCAGAGAATCCAAGCTTCTTTTTGATGAGCCTTCTTCAGTATTTTACAACGGCATATCGAAAGGGTTTCTTAATTAAAATCCCCAGCACGTTGGAGGGGCGGGCTGATTGAGGCTGCAGTGCCTGCAGGCAGGGTGCCCACCTCCATCAGCCACGCCAGCCGAAGGGGCATCCTGCAGCTCCTCTGTCAGAGGGATTCCTGCCGGAGCACCTCCTGGCAGAGAGCATGAGGCCCGGCCAATTCAATGTGGCCTCGCTGCCCCAGCCCAGCCGGGACACTCCCCAGGACCCAATTAGCAGATTGGAAATCGCATCCAAGTATGTTACAATCACCAAGTTAAAGAGGAATAACAGACATGAAAGAATCAAGTGGGAAAAGAACATTTTGGATCCCGAAAGAGCAGGCTGCTTGTCGGAGTTCTAACGAACCGAAACAAAATAAGTAGTAGCTCCTTAAGCCTCTTTTCTAACACTGCTGGGATTGGTTAGTGTAGAGAAAAGCATTGAAATTGCAAAAGAAAAAAATGCTTATTGTTCCTATGTTCAATTTGTTATTTAATATAACTTGTTTTTTAGGAATTTAATAAAAAAAAAGGGAGGGCATCATTAATTTTACATTCTGCAAGAAAATGAAAAATGATCTGCTGATTAGTGATGTGCAATTTGTTCCTTGAACATCTCCAGTAATGTGTGAATGTCACATTACATAACACTTATAATGATTAAACCAGAAGATGAAATAAGATAGGATAGATCTTGTGTTCTTTCCTTGACTGGTGGACAACTCATCTCATTAATCTCTCTTTGGCTTGCAGCCTTAAATTGAATAAGCCGTGTTACTGGGGGAGATTTATGGCCAAAAGACTTAGCAGCCTCACTGAGGAAATCTTATAGCACCATTTTGAGAGCTCTCCAAGATAATTCTTGGGATTTGTATTAATTGTAGCTTGTCATAAAACATTGCCCAAACCAGAAATGAGCAATGAACCTTCTCAGGAACTTAATATTACAGCAACATTGAAAATATGCACTTCTTGATGTTCCATCTCATGAGATGTTAAAACATTCTGAGTCCCAATTTAAAATTATTATATTAGAAATGGTAGCTTCAGTAGAGTGGGAAATGATAGCTTCAGTAGAGTGGGAAATGATACACTGATACACCTGGGCACTGAGGAATGTTTGTAGAAAACCAGTGGGCTTTCAATATCACAAGGGCAGTCCTTCGCAGAGCAGTGAGCAGGATGTCCCTATGAAATGTTTGTAGAAAGAATGAACCAACTGGTAACCATGAGTCCTCTTTTTAAAATATAAGTTCTCTTTGTGGTTGAATTTCTGACACTTGGTGTATAAGTACCAGTAAGTAAGATTGGCTTACTTGTTGCAATTTTTAAAGGAAGTGCCTTGCCACAGCCAGAACCAGTGGCCTGGAACTAAAGTTGAAAAGAGGTTAGATTTAATAAGTCATCCAATATATACAAGATTTCCCTTTAGCAGTCATCAGTAAGCCTTGCTTGATGACTTATTCCATTTGGGGTGTTCACTTCCTCTCACCGTAGCATGTTTATTACTGGACTCTGGGCTCCTTGAATGCGATTCTGTGCCCTTTTCTGTAGCCCCACATGTCAGTTATGCACAGGACACACTAAATGCTCAACAAACACTTTCTGATATATAAAACCAAAATTATTGTTTATATGAAGTCAAAATCTACCTCCTTGAACTTCCATTTGGTGGACCTAGTTCTATCTTCTGCACAAAAATAAACATGTCAACTCCCTCTTCCCTGTGAGTATTTTGAGGCTTAATCACTCCTCAAGTCTTCTCTGTGCCAGATTAATCCCTAGTTCCCTAAATTAATTATTTTCTTAAGCTGCCATGTCAATCATTTTGTGCTTCCTGGTCAACTAAAACCTCAGGTTTTTCTTAAGTAATATAAAGGAAACATTTCCCCTCATCTTTTATTGGAGTCATGTTTTCCTTTTAATCTTTTTAACTGAATCCTACTTACCATTTTCAATTTTAATGATACTGCTTAACCAATCTTTCTACCTTACTGAGAGTTTTTCAAATGCTGATTTTGCCAATAATGCTGTTACCATGGTGTTGTATCTTTTGCAGATTTGATCAACAGTACTGGCATCAGAAAAACACAGATGCTTTGGTAGGTGTCATCAGGGTCCTCATCTCTCCCTATGCTGGCATTGATCTATCACCTTATGTGATCTTTAGCCCCATACAAATTCTCATATGGCATTAGAAGTAACTTTAGAAAATATTAAATCCATTTGTCCTCTCTATTGATACTATACATGAGGAAACTGAGTCCCAAAGAGCCCATGGCCACATTACTGGTTAATAGAAACACTCATATTAGAACTAAGGTCCAAGTGACACCAAAGGCAGGTGTCCTTTCCTGTTTATCATAGCTGCCAGTCTTTATATTATTCACAAGGTCAATGCAAGAAACATTTAAACATCTCGTTGGAATCCCAACATATTGTGATAGGTTTCCTATTACGTGAGGGTTATGTACCACTGTCAATTAGAAGATAAAGCAAAGTGGTGGCCTTTTTTATCTCTTATTCTAAGATCTTCAGTAAAATTCCTTCTGTTTCTAAATATAAAGCTTTAAAACAGGCTATATTGATGTTGCGAAAGAACTGGTACATTATAAGTAGAAGTGTGTGTGTATGTGTGTGAGGGAGGGGTATACACATATGCACGTGCTTTATATCATAATTAAAGAGTGGAAGAAACAGGATTCTTTACTGGTCAATGAAAACTTTTCAGAGGAAGGCAAACTGGTCATTTATACAAAACCGTTTGTGGAGCATGTAGACTTCCTTTGCACTCACTAAGAAAGCACTCTTTTTAACGAGGGACTATACATTTGTTCAATGAAAAGAAAATAGCTCTTTGTACCTTGCTAACGGAATTGCTAACTATTCTTCAGATAGGAGTCTCATTGTTCCCACTATTCAGTATTTAAATACACATAATGTCATGTCTTTACTGCCATTAGTCAGTATTTTCAAAGAGCTCTTTTTATTAAATTTCTGAAACCCAGGACCAAAGAACACTTTCTCTTAGGTATATATTATTTGTTAGAATGGAAACAATCAATACATTTTCAGAGTCAAAAAGCACTGGGAAACAGTTTCTTTTTTGGTCTGAGCATATTTTTTATTAAAAAAAAAACCTTTGAAATATTTTGTTTTATCAGAATTGTTTGTAGGGAAAATGTAAACCTCACTATTGTTTAACTGCAGTCCAAAGAGGACTATCATATTGCACTTCTAATCAAAAAATAAATTGAACATAGTGGTAGGCTTACAGAAAGAGAGAGAATTAGATTTGATTAGATTAGCTTTAACCTGCCCGGAATAAAACTGTCTGCCTTTCCTGTTATTTGTCAGTGTTTATAGCGGGTTTCATCTACAATGCTTTCACTATTATTTCTGGGCGGTAAAAGGCAGTCAAGCAGAAAAGACACTCATAAATGTCAGAAAAGAGTAAGTTTTTTTTTGCATTTCAAGGGCTTTGAAGGTCAAGTTCAACCCACTTAACGGAAGCAGAGTGATGGGTATGTGGTAGCATGTTGTTAGCTGCTGCGTTTAGGCATATAATTTATGTGAAGTTAATGCACTTGTCCATCACTCTAAGAAAGCAAAAGGTCCTGGGAAGATTCTATTTATTTTATTCATTTTGTTCAACTTTTAGAAGGTAAAATAATTCAAATTTCCATAATTTGTGATGGAAAAGTCACATGTTTAACTTGTTAACAGCTGAGCAGGGTAGAGCACTGTAATACTTCCCTGACTCTTCCTGTTGTAATTTGTTTCTTCTTCTGAGCAGCTGCCCCACTCCATGCTGGGCAAAGGAAGAGCTCTGTTAAGCATTTTTGCAAACCAGTGGGCATTTTTTTTTTCCTCTGGAAGCCTTTATTGAGATGTTTTCTTTTTCTTTTTCTCTATGAGGCTTTATTTTTTCCCACCAGGGAGCCTGAGCAATTATAGTTTAAAGCTACCGAAGATAGGTATGTTCTTTGATATCAAAGAGCTTCTTGAAGATTTTTCAAACTAAAGAGACCCAAAGGTTGTATTTTAAGGTGTTACTAGCATGGCCCTTTGTAGTTGAAAACTCTCAGAATGTCTACCAAGTGTATTATGCTTTGTTTGGAAATGTTGGACCTCGGTACTATTGCATTTGGTAAAAGGCAGGGTGTTAGAATCTGTGTGTATGTGTGTTCCTACTGCTGCTCAGTGGAGTCTCTGTAGTTGCAAATTGTTTCCCTAGTGATGTAGGATGACTAGAGAGAGAATAGGGAGTAAGGAATAAAATCGACATTTATTGAGCACTCACTATGTGCTAGAGGCATAATGTATGTAGGGGATAGAAAATCTTATCTCTATTCTTTTGGTTTTGTTCCCACCTTGAATTGAATTGACATAGACAGATCAATGGGAGAAAAATGTATTTAATACAAATTTTAGGTGGCACAGGATCCTTCATGAGGAAATGAAGACCCAAAGACACAGTTATTGTTGAAGACTTACATACTGAACTGGAAAAGGAATAGTGAGCTGTGAAAAAGAAAATAATTATGTGGAGAGACTAGAAGATAAGACTTATTTTAACAAGGTTAGTACAGAATTTTCTTAGTCTCAGCTTCCTGTCCGTGATGATAAGAATGTTGCTTTCTTTCTACTATAGGGAGGGATCTTTCACATGAAATCCATAGGGGAATTTCACCTCCTGCTTTTGGGAAACAGATGGAGGGTCGGAGTGATCTTGCACCTCCTATTTTTTAAGTGCTTTTAGCTCAAAATAATTATGCCAAAGTAGCATATGTGGGGGTGGTGTGTTCTGAACGTTTTTATGCATCTTATTTCTTTCAATCCTCATTTACTCTGAGAAATGGCAGGTTACTATCCTCATGTTCCTGATTAGAGAATCAGAAAGGGAAAGTTTACTTGCCTTTGAGTCAAAACTGGTTTCTTTAACATCCATGGTTGCCTCACTAGAATAGTCTCCAGAGGGGAGGAAGTGGAGGAAAAAGAATGAAAACTAGGAAAGCAAAGCAAACTTCTTGGGAAGTGTGTGTGTCTGTGTGAAAATACATTTTTGTGCAATGAAATGGTTTGAGTACTGTAGCTCTGAGTTCTTTCGTAGCTTTGAGAACTTTTACCACTAAATGGTAGAAATTCAGTTGTTCTCTTTTCTTTCTAAGGAAATGTCTTTGGGTCACCCCATTGAGGTGCTAACTTGCTGCCTCTTTCCTGGACTTCTTTTCTCCCATCGACCCTTCTCTTCTTCTATTCGTCAATTCTCAATCTGCAAATTCCTGTTGCCTTTCATATGTAGAAAATTCAATTCTCTCTTTGTTTTTACTGTCCATTTCCAGACCATGCTTTATCTTAGAAACCCCAAATGTCCATAGCAGTGTTTTACTAAACGATGAACCATGAATGTGTATTTAACCAATGAGTGTTGAGTGCCACCTGTATATCAGATATTATACTGGGATGACATAGTGGCAACCAAAACAGACACAGTTCCAGCCCTTGTAGAATTTCAACTCTGATGAGAAAGAAAGGCATTGTGTTATTTTATAATAAATATATTCTAGTTTTTCCCCTTTATACTTTCTGCTGCCATCAACTTTATTATTTTGGGAGAAAAGATTAAATTTCAACCCTATATCTTGTATGGTGCAGTTGCCCCATAAATGTGTGTTGATTGGTGAAAAACATCAAATCTCTTTAGCCCTCATATTTTCTTGTCACAAAAGTATTACTAATATTTTGTATTAAATGGTCATTGAAGAAAATCATCATGTGTAGTTGAGCATCAGCATTGGTCAGCATCTGTATAGAACTTGAAAGCCTATAAAGGGAGGACTTTTATGGACTTTATCAGAAGCAAGCTTCATAAATCTGTGGAGAAGGGGCTCTTCTCTCCATTTTGCAGTTGAGAAATCAGTAGATAGGAACTAATTTGTCCAAGGTGGAGATGAGAATCTCATCTCTCCTGTCTCTAAATCATCTTTTCTTTTGACTATATTGTCTCTTGACAATAATTTAAAAGTATCTCAATATCCACAGCAATAATTATTTTTTGCCTGAAAATTACAGGAGCAGATTATTTCATTCATTTAATGTATTGATTCACCAACATCTCTTGCACATCTAATATGTGCCAAATAATAAGTTTCCAGAGCCAGGGGTATGTTGTCCTTTTCCTTAAGGCATTGTATTCTAACTTATTGGGGTAGACAGAAATATGACTAAATAAATACAGGATCCTTATTTAGGATATAGAAGGACACATGACATAAGTATAGAATAAGATATCCTTGTGGTATAATGGAAAGATCATTAGCTTTTTAGGTGCGCCTGGTTTGAATCTTGACATCACCAGTTACTAGCTGTTAATTTGAGCAAATCATTCATCTTTTTAATGAACAGTTGTCTCAACTATGAAGTGGGGGATAAAGGTATTTACATACATTGTAGTTGTAAAGATCAGAGGTGATATGTGTACGAGACCTAGCATGATTTCAGAAACATAGTAGATGCTCAATTAATGGTACTGCAATTTTATCATGTCTATTATACAGATATATAATTTGTACTGTATCTGTTTGTTTTTTACCTACATATCTAAATTTTCTTCTCTATCTATCTGTCTATTCCTCAAGAATCAAGAGACTAACTTCCCGAAGAGACAGAAGAACAGCTAGGAGAAGTATCAGAGAAGTAAAGTTTCTAGGGTTGTACAAAAACTTAAGTTTTGTACAGAAAAAAAAACTATACTAATATATGTGGCAATTGAAAAGTATGGAATTTATCAAGAACCACAAAAAGCTTACCATGGTTAAAGTATAGGGTACAAGTTTGGGAGGCTGAGAGATGAGGCTGGAGGAACAGTCAGAGGTCAGATTATGAAGGGGCTTTTATAACATGTTAAGACACTTGGACTTTATCTTGCCATATAGACAACTCCCTCTCACCTAAGTAGGAAATGACAAGCTGGCAATTAAAGTGCTTCAAATAACGTATCTTAGTATGTGGAATCCTTAATTGTGTAGAAAGAGGAGAAAATCTATCTAAAAACTTACCCAAGAAACCAACACATGGTATATACTGAACAAGAATCCTTACGATTGATGGGCAAAGGAGAGGTGAGATTTCTAGTGAAATATAAAATTAGAAAGTATCATAAACCAAATCCCAGAAGCAGCATGCAGGGCTGAAATGTTATAGGCCAAAGCACCCTCGGGCAAATTTTGTCCATTACATGGTAAGTTCTAAAGCAGCAGGGACAAGGCTCAGAGTAACTAAACCCGGATGGAACACCTGCAGTTTTTCCCTGAACGTCAGCATAAATATTTGACATGTCTTCCTTTCTGTGAAGGGGCCCTGTCCCAGTGGGAGTGGTGTCTGGTATCCCTTAGCAGAAGTATTTGTTTTCTTAAGCTTTTCTTTATGTCCTAGAGGTGGATTCTAAAAGTCCCTAACGTATTTTGATTTTGAATTTTCACAAAAGTATTTTTTTCTTTCACAGTAATTCAGTATAAAAGGCAATAAAAGTGATGTATCCAGAAATATTCAGGACCTGCTATCAGCACCACATGGGAATAAACTATCTTGCCACTTGCACATCCCATGGGAAAAAAGAATCACAATCCACATATAGGAAATATTGCATGTGTTTGCCTCCGTTTTGCTTGTATTGTCTGCTCTGCTGAAAGGCAGATTTTTTGCAGATAAAAGCTGCCCTGCGTTGGTGAACTGCTCACCTATTTTACTCAGGAAGAAAAGGCTTTGTGAAAATCAGGAGCAAAGCCTGATTTGCAGAATACCATCTAAAAATAAAATGCATAAAAATGTCAAAATATGCTAAGAATACAGGGCCACCTTCATGCTTTGAAAAATTACCTAGCAAATTCAGCAAATGCTGTTTTTAAGTGAATGTAAATTATGTGTTTTCGAAGTTTCATCTTGTGAATTGGTGGCTAGGTGCTGAAGGAGACATGAGGGTGTGGAGGCGGCCTTTCTCTTCTTGCTGCACTAGGGCAATAGATCTGTGGTTAAAGCAGATGAACTGGGAAGCTCTTGATCAGGCATACGAAATACCCAGATTCTTGTATATTTTCTAGTTTGTGTGCACAAGGCTTCTGGCTTGGCTGCTTTTGCCAGTGGGGAAGCATTAGTGAACAAAACAGATACAGCTTCCAGTTTTCAAGAGCTCACAGTCTAGCAAGTCACTGCAACTTTAAAAAGGGGATGTACATGTGTGGTTTAAAGTATGGTGGGTAAAGCCTTTAGGGGTTGTAAAAGTTCAGTCACTGGGGCCTAATTCTGCAAAAGAGAAATTCTTCCCAAAGCTGGGATACATTGAGTGTCTTGGGCACCAGAGCAGAAGTTTTAGTTAAAATATTAAGATCCAGCACAAAGTTACCTCCCACCAGTTGAATCTGTTTTTGAAATTTGGAAAAATGGCCTCTGTTTCTCCACAACTATGTATTGGTAATTCTTCCCTGGGGACTAACTTCATATATATATTTTCACAATAATGCATACTGAATAAATCTGAATATTTTGCTTATGGAATCAACAAATAATCTCCAGAGAAAGTTTCATTATGCAGTCATATATAAGATATGAAACAGATTTTTTCCCTTTATTTTAAGAAATATGCATAGCATAAAAATTCTCAGGCTCTCTTTGCTTTATGTAGCACCATTTCTGATAAGATACCAGGTTTCAACAAACTGGCTCAGTGGACATTTAAAATTCCCATTGTGAGTGCCAGGGCTTAGTGGAAGATGTTTGACCATGTGCGCTAACCTAT
The DNA here is from genome assembly GCF_000001405.40 of Homo sapiens. NCBI lineage: Eukaryota > Metazoa > Chordata > Mammalia > Primates > Hominidae > Homo > Homo sapiens. The sequence continues at coordinate 76,300,030 of NC_000001.11, forward strand.
CAGTGTTCATCTACATATTGGGAGACTGAACCTGATCTATTCTGCACAACTGGACAGAAAAATATGGAGGTGGGTTCTCAGCCAAGGGTTAAAAAAGGAAGTAATCTCTTTTGCTGTAAACTTTTTCTCAGCAGGTGTAAAATAGCTGCAATCAGGTAGGCTTTGGTAAGTGGCAGCTGCTATCTGCCCAATTGAAAGATCAGAAATTCTCACCCTATTTCTGTTTCAATTATGTAGACAGTGGCTCCAATTTTCAAGTGTCTAAAGGCATGCCTAACTCTGTGATAAGAAATGGATGTGGGCCAGAGTGGGAGCCATGTGCAAAGCTGTGCTGCAAACCCTTTTTCTAGTGATACCAGCTCTAGACAATCAAGGTCCCTCGGTTATCATTATAGAGTCATTAAACTCAGGAGCCAGCAGTGATCACTAAAAAATGGATGTACAGATGAGGAAACTGAGGCCTAGAGAGGTTAATAATCTGACTTGTGGTCAGACAGCTTGTAGACTTATCTAGATATAGCCTCTGTCCTTAAGCTGCTGCCTAAGGACAGCTAAGTGCTAAGTTTATTGCTAAGTGGTAAACTGATTAGTATCACAACCACCTGCAACATTATGTTGAGAGGATTCTGAAGTTGCATCCTGATTCAGGTGGAAATAGTGCTATGATTGATTAGCAATGTCTGCCTGGGGAGAAGGTGGGATATGGTTTGCTGTGTATTTGCTGAATTTGGTTGAATGATGATGGCTGCTTTGTAATCACGATTGCTACAGGATGTGAAGTGTGCTTCAGTCAGAACAAAGCGCTCTGAATCTTCTTGGAGGGGCAGGACGGTTTCACAGAGGAGACAACATTTGAATTTGATCTTGAAGGACAAGTAGAAGTTTTCCTGAGAGAGAAAGAGGAAGGAAAGGAAAGAAGACATTGCATGAGGAAAGAATAGCTTATGTAGGCAACCTGATATGTGGATAAAAAAAGGAAATTGATGATCATTGATTGTCTGCTATGTAATGGGCACTAAGCTAGGCCTTTTCTGTGTTATCTAAGTATTTAATTTTCATAATGACCCTTTGGTTTTACAGATGAGGAATCAGAGAAAAAGAAAATTAAGATGTCTGAGGTCATTCAGCTATTAAGTAGAGCTAAGATTTTAATTCTTGGGGCTTCAAAGTAACTTTAGTGGCAGCAACTCAGAGGAACAGTATAGGTAAGGAAGAGTGGATCAGAGAGGCAGAGATCATTAGTTTGGATTTGGACTATTGAACTTGAGTTGCTTCTGGGACATCCAGATTGGGATGGCTAATACTGTTGGAAATCTGGCACAGAGTGATCTGGTGATGGTTTAAAAAAAAAATCAAAGGCTCTTTGATAACAGACCTTGTGCATTTTACATCTAGGTTCCTGCCTAATAGTGGAGATGTTTCTGCCTTTGCTATTCTAGCAGGGGAAACTATACGTAATAAATGCATATGCTTTATATTGTTTTAGTGATTCAAATGACTGTCAATGCAATATTAAATTCAGAATTGATAGGAAAACTGTCCTACTTAGAAATTCAAGAGTTCTTGGCACAATACTATTTATTATCACCATGAGACCTGTGCTGTAGCAAAACTCTGCTTGTGTTTCGGTGAAAGACTGTTTAACATGCATGTTTCACTCTACCGAGGTTCAACTTTGACCTATAAGAGGACAGTGTATATTCCTTAGAGAGATGCTAGGAGGTACCACAATTGATATCTATGTATGAGAAGTGGGTGGGATATGCCTGCATGAGCAACATAATCTAAACCAAGTTCAAAAAAAGAAGTTTTTTTTTTTTCCACAGGTGCAATCTTGACAAGAAGAAAAATCTCAAAAAGGTATTTTGCATTGGTAAATTCTGATGTCTTGGGCAGCTCCAGGACTGTTTGTCATGCTTTCCTTATGGACTTCTGGTTATGCCTCCTTAAGGATGTGGGCTGAGGGATAATCATTTAAAATAGTCCAGGCACCATTTCTGATTCTTTGTTCCCTAGAATGATGATGGTGGTGGTGGTGGTGACCACAACGGTGACAACAATGATACCACCATATTTCATTGATTTTTAAAATGTTTTTCCACATTTTCAGCTATCTAAGAATACTTATACTCAGTACTTCCTTGCAGTCACTGTCAGCCTGCAACAAAGTTAAATTTGTCCACAGAGGATTGGCATTATTTCACATGGTCACCTGGGGTCACTACCAACCTGAGACCATTTAAAGTTATTTGCTGAGGTGTTTTGTTTGTTTGTTTTCGCACTGTCAGTATGAACTTGTATCAGAAACCTGCATGAGTATCTGCTTGTGGTTCAAGTTCTCAGGGAAGATTATTTTTCCTCTTTCTCTTCTTGCTGTGCCTTTCTGAATGGAAGCTTTCTTTCTGGCATATTCTAGTGCTAAGGGAATAGCTGTTTGGTGTTTCAGCTTTTTGCAGAGGTCTCTTATTAGACTCCCATCTTACTTTTCTTTCTTATTCTATTTAGAGTAACAGTGTGACTAACAATCGATGGTCTCTTATAGCTGATGAACTACTGTAACAATAAAAGCTAACATTTACTTAGCACTTTCCTTTTACCAGGCAGTGCTCTAAGGGCTTTTTATATGCGATAACTCATTTAAACCTTCAATAATTATATTAGATGGGTACTCTTATTTTCCCCAATTTTAGGTAAGAAAACGTATGCTGTGTGCCCAGGGTTGCACATATTGACTCACTTAGTGTTACCAGTGGAGGGTGTCCAGGTTCTGGGCGTTTTGAACAAAGAATTGCACAAAACACACAAACAAAGCAAGGAAAGAATGAAGCAACAAAAGCAGAGACTTATTGAAAACGAAAGTACACTCCACAGGGTGGGAGTGGCCAGAGCATAAGGGGCTCAAGGGCCTGGATGCAGAATCTTCTCAGGTCCAAATACCCCCTAGAGGTTTCCCATTAGCCTGATGTAAATGAAGTGGTGTTCACCTCATGTAAATGAAGTGGTGGTCTGCAACCAGTCCGATTGGTTGCAGAAAGCAACCAATCAGAGGCTGAGTTACAAAGGTCACAGTCCTATGCAAGTTTTCTGCAACCAATCAGAGGCTAAAGTGATGTTACAAAGTTACATTTCTATGCAAACGAAGACTTGGCCCACAATCAGTCTGATTGGTTGCAGACAGCAGTTAATCAGAGGCTGAAGTGAAGTTTCATAGGTCACACTCCCATGCAAGCATCTGATTGGTTGCAAAAAGCAACCAATCAGAGATACTTTCCATTTTCAATCTGCCACCTAGAAAAAGTGGGGTTTTGCAAAGGGAGTGGTCTCTGGTCCTTTTGTTACCTAGCCAGTGGAAAGTTAGGGTTTTTCTTTCAATTTAGTCCTAGGAAGTCAGCGTGAAACGGCCTTAGGTTCCCTGCCTCCAGACCCTATTCTCTTGCCTCATTAGTGTAACTTGACCACCTGAGTCTACCGGTACACCCCTGGTGAGAATCCACTTTTAGCTTTGTAAAGTACTTGGCATAATGCCTGATACTTGCTGAGTACATAGTGAGCTGTTGCAAGTCCCTTCCACTAAAAAATAAGCTATTGTCCTTATCAGAAGAATAGGATACTCTTTTGTTATCTATTTCTCATTCCATGATATAGGATTCTAGCTTTAAGTGTTGTCAATCTCAGACAAGAGTTGATTATCTAAAAAATATGGATTCTTGTAAGCCTTTTCATTATGTGCCATATAAAAAATGTTGCTCCAAGCAGGTTTACTAGTTTATCACCATTCAGATTTACAAGTTCTATCAGGAACTTCAAAGCAATTTCCTAGTAAATTTCCTAGTAAAAAGTCCAGTTTAACAAATGTTTAAATTTTTCTCACTTCTCTTTATATTTTAAATTTTTCTCACTTCTCTTTATATTTCACACCCTAACCCTCTCCCTCACTTTCCCATTCCCCACCACATTCACCTCAAATCTACACAGAAATCTTAAAGTGAGATGAATTAAGAAAAAAAAAGAAAATTGCCTTTTTTCTTTTATGAAAAAACATATTTTTATAATAATCTGAATCTGAAATTTTTGAAATAATTTAGGACTTATATTTAGAAAAAATCATTTAATCCCTCTGTCCTTCCTTCTTTCTCTCCTTCATTCTTTCATTTCTTCCACAAATATTTACTGAATATTTTCTGTTAAAGACATTGTGCTTGATACTGCCTTATGAGATATATTTCTCAGATTTTGTTCATGTCCTGAAGAAATTTTCAAAGACAAAATTAAGGGGGAATCTTTCTCTCCTTCCCTCCCTTCCTTTCTCCCTCCACTCTCCCTCTTCCCTCTTTCCTCCATCTTCTTTCTCCATCCACCCCATCCCACCCCACCCTTATCCATGAACTAGAAGCCAAGGAGGAACAAATGCTTTATGGGGGAAACACTCTGAGCAAGTTATATTGGAACTTGCAGAGATGAGGATGGTAGAATACAGCAAGGGGGCCAGGAGGAGCAGCATGAACAAGGTCACAGTAACTGGATAGCAAAGGGGCTTTAGAGAAGGCTGAGAAGTCCAGCTTGAAACATGGAGGACAGGAAAGGGAGAGATGGGAGAGGAGACTTCCCTTCTCACTTCACTTGTTACAGAGAGATGCATGTGAGGTGTGAGGATAAATGCCATTTAATGTAAGGTCATGTAGATTCACAGAAAAATAAGAGATTCCAGCTGATGTCATTATCATCGTAGTCATTTTCATCATTGTCGGGATGCCTCTGGCAGGACTTCCTCCCTAATGACACCAGGACCACCAGAATTTACACTTATGCTCTGCTTCTGTGTCCTGAACACCTTGGAGGTACGAATGGATTCTAAGAGACAAACTCATCTCGTTTAGAGTGAAAAGATGACAAGCAGAGGTTCGCAGAAGCCACATACAACCAATGAAGCCTATAAGGTAGCTGAGAATTAAACAAAAGCACCTGTTCCGATTACCTTCATTGTTCCTGGTTAGTTAGCACCTCCCTTTCCTCAACAGAATGCCCGGCGCACAGGGGTGGGATCTGAGTGAGGGCAACAGGTGGATTGGAGAACATTTCTTCCCATAAGTAGTAGGATTTGATGGAAAAACAAGTAACTTCAGGGTAATAAAATGATGGAAAGTCCTGATGGGTCAGGTCCATATCTAATCTTAAGAAGGGCAGCCTTAGGCAGCATAGTGGGTGCTAGAATCATTGGTACCATCAAGAAAAGAGTAGTAATGTGAATTTCAAAGAAGATCACTTTGGGATAATGAACAGCATGACAGAATCCGGGAGCCTAATGAAGAAGATGTGATATAGTAAAAGAAATATATTGAGTGTAGGCTTTGAATAGGGCAGAAGGAGTGGAACTAGAGAGGCAAGAGGAGATGTGATTATGGAAGGTCTTGTATATCATACCAAGGGTCTGCACTTACACTGTAGAGTCCAGAGGGATCTAAATGTAGGATAGACAGGATCAGGTTTGATTTTGGAAAGCTCAGTCTGGAGGTGGTGTGGCCAATGTTTGGGAAGTGGTAAAGACTCTTTCGGGAAAGACAATATCAAGAGCAAACATGGACTACTTCATCAGGTATCACCAGCAGATATTAAATTATCAGTACAAAACCCAGCAATTATTACTTTCAGATCGGCCTTTTTTCTCTTACTAGGAGAATATAGTCCAGATAGAGTGTACGTGCATGAATAATCATCATAGTCTTAACAGAGGATGAAGTTTAATGAGTGTTATCAGTTAGAGAATTATTTATATAATCTCAGTTTTCCAGACAAAGAAATAGAGGCATAGTGAGATGAAGTGACTGCCCAAAGTCATAGATGGAGAAAATGGTAAAGATGACTTGAACTCTGATATTCTGCCTCTAGAGCCTGTGTTCTAGTGTGTGAATTAACTAAGTTGTTAATTGTTATTCATACTAATGGGAACATTCTCATATAACTGGTTCAGAAATTTTAAAAACTGGTACCAGCCTTAGGTAGATTTTGTAATGCAGTTTGTCAGTAACCAAAATACCTAATTCATATGGAAAATTAAGAGGCTGGTGTGAAGCATGATAATTACATTTACTTTGAAATCAGCAATTTGTGGATAAATTTAATTCATTTTGCCCAACTCTGGCTTTATTCCCGGTATTAAAAAGACAACTACAGGGTGCACTTGGTTAGCACTCAGGGAAAATAAAGCAATTATTCTTCCACTTCTGCTAGAGAACACTAGGTACCCTTTGACAGTCAATTGTATAGACTCTTATTGTAGGCAGTTTGTAGGAACCAACCTGATGGAATGGGTATGTCTTCCTCTTTCAGCTCCACAATCCAATGACCCTTTTGTTCAACAAAAACACAACTAAACAACAAAATGTTGGTAGTTAAAAAAAAGTTTAAAAGTAATAGGACGCCTTCAACATGGTAATCTACTTTAAGAATTTAGAGCACATGTCAGTATGTCACCTTCAGACATGGTTATAGTCCAGTAAGAATTACAAATCCAACAAACAAAAATCAAGGCAATAGAGTTTTCATGGGTACCACTGTAATAAATTCTTCTGTGCAAAAAGCCAGTCCTAGAGAAAAATTATAGGTAGCAACATTTTCTGAGGAACTTTTTTCCCAAAGGAGTTTTTTTTTTTGGGGGGCGGGGGGTGCAGACATTATTGAGAAGTTCAAGTTAACATGAGCATTATGACTGTATCAGATGACATGATAAGAGGTTACATTGAACTTTCTAACACCTATTCTTAAATTATAATAAAAAAACTCATTGAGTTTTTAACATGCCTGTACATTTTCTCATTTTATTCAGGGAGTAGATTTAGGTTTTTCTGGCCTGACTGGATTTTTAAACTGCTACAAGATAACATAAAAATAATCATGGCTATATTCACTGAGTTTGTTTCATTTTGTAAAATTATGAAAAACAAGTTTATCTCATTCAGTCTCTTTAGCATATTGATTCAGTATATCTCCCTTTATAGAAAAGAAAGAAAGCAAGGATTTTCACAAGATAGAGCTGAAGACTGATATTGAGTACATAGAATGAAGAGCCCAGAAAGCAACGTCTCTCAGTGTGGCTGGACAGATAGACACAAATAAATTTCATCCAAAGGGTTAGTTCTGATTATGAGAACATGGGAGCCTTGGGCCTTCTTTACTTACCCATACCCCTAACAAATTAGTGGGGTTTTTCCTAGAGTTCACTATAGTTTAATAAGCGGGATACACCCAGATTTTTGATTCAACGATGAAATAAAATGAATGAAGGTTTTATTTATATACTCTGTGCTTTGCTACTTCAACTTTGTGCAAATGGAAAGAAGCTTTATTGCATTCAGAGAGAATTAGATTTGGAACTTGGTCAGTGGCACAAGATAGAACTATAACATATTGATGAGACAACTTTTTATGTGGGAAAATAATTAGCGTTTGATAAAATCACAAAGAAGCAATGGGTAGGGACTCATCAATGTGTGAAGTGACTGAGCACTGATACACATAACACAGTTGACATTGTCTTTAATATTTATTATTGAATAAATGACAGCATGTGAACAAAAGTGTATGCTTTTCACACTAGTGAATACTTGGTCATTAAACAATAGTTAAATAAAAAACACAACTTTATACCATTGGTTATAATTTAGGAAAAAGAAAACAAAAACATCTGACAATAGACTGGATTAAAAGTTAAAGATTTTATTTTGTGGTTAAAGACTACTTCTACAGTAGAAAGAATAAAAACATATACATATTAATATAGATTGCAAATTTGCTAGGTCCGGATCTTTGCACTTGTGTTCTCTCCCAAAATAATGGATTTTCTGTGGATTTTATTTTGGAATAGGTATTTCTCCTATGAAGTCTGATAAATGATATTCCCACTCTAAAGAGCAAGCAGCTAGAATGCCATGTTTTTGATGCATATTTTTGCAGCACAGAGGGGATTAAATTCTAAATGTCTCAGCTGTTAAAGGCCCCTTCAGACTTGCCCAAAATGAAGAACAAAGAAGGAGAAAGCTTTCCCTAAAGCAATTCATCAGATCTATTTGGGCACAGTGACATTTTCTCAGAACTTATATGGATAAGTTACACTGAACAGTTCAAGGGTTTGCAGCTGCTTGGAATATTTAAGAAAAAAATATCTCTAGTTCTTATGCATTTCATATGGTCTGACCAGTGCTCAACACTAGCTAATGTTCACTGAGGCTGTAACCATCAGTAGTTATGTCGTAATAGCTTTTGTTTCTCGAGAGCTCATTATGTGCCTGGTACTGTGTTCTGCATTTTCCACTCATTGTATCACTTAATATTTATGCTTCTGATCTTAGGGGAATGACTGTTTATATTGCATATATGCCATTTTTTTGCAGTATGAAAAATTTGTTGAGCCGAGTGTCATACATTATAAACTGACATGTACTTACTGTTGTTTAATCTAATTGGTGGTTGTTAAATCTAAAGGATGTTCTGACTACTTCAATAAAGGCAGCAGCAATCACTTCCATAAATAAATCATTAGACGTAGAACACATGTGTAAACAGGTAGAGTCTTCTAATTTGCTAAGTGTTGATGGACTCAAAACAGTTACTAGAACAAGCCATAGATGGAATACATTTATTGATGGAATAAGTCAAACAACTTGAAACACGGCATTGTGGTGTCTTAAATGGTAATTCAAATAAAATGAAGTGATTGATACATTTTTACTTGTTTGGAAAGTGGAGAATATTTTAGAATTGCAAAACATTGCACTTTTATATACATTTATCCTTTCATTATCCTAATGTAGGGTAGATAGGACAGTTGATTGCATCCAACTTCATTTATTTGGCTTATTATCTTTTGTTTTATGATTTTAACTCTGTCTAGAATCATCTCCTACCACTTAGAGTCTATGTATTCTTCTGACCAAATGACTTCAAGTTTTCTGACCAAATTAATGGCCTTTCAAACTGTTAAGCCCTCTGCCTGGAATGCCCTTCACATCTTCTCTTGGCGAGGCCGCCGCGGTCCTCAGGACTCTGTTGGAATATCACCACCCCAGACAAACATTCCCTGAACTGTTCCTCCTATACTTACCCTTCCTCTGGCCTCCCACAGCACCCTGTGTATACCCACATTAGCATCATTTGACACCTGGTATTATAGTGTTCTATTTACTGGCCAGCTGCACCAAGTTGTGACTCTTTGGAAGCATGGTGTGTCTTTTATGGTTTTATTTCGGTTTTTTCAGCACCTAGCCAAGTCTACACAGAGTATGGACTCAATGAGCGATTGTGGCTTGAAGATGTAAATTCTTTAGTATGTATTGCATGATATACATGTGAGACATGCATGTATATCATGCATATTAGTACTTTGTTCACTTCCCCACCTCCCACATCCCTATGACACACACACATTCTCATTGCATTCAGCGATGTGTAGCCTTCTGTCTCATCCATGGTTTTCATTGTAGTTGCTGAAGCTTGAGGTCACGATCTGGTGGAAGTGACTACTAGAAGAAGGCACATGTGCATTGTATTCTGTTGTACTTGTCATCTGGAGCACACAGTGTACTTGAAGGTATGCCTTTTCTAGTGGAATTTCAGAGTGGTTTCATACTAGCAGTATGAGAACACTTTCATGCTAAACAAGAAGGGCAAAGAATCAAACCCGGGCAATGTAACAGAAACTGAGCTGGGGGCCTGAGCTGCAGAAGGAACCTCTGTCCACTGCAGAATACCACTCCCAGTGGCACACAGAGGAGAGGGTGTCTGGCTTCTGCTCTCTGGTTGCTCCCTTCACCCTCTCTGTGCTCATTACTTGGTTCCCTTTGATAGAACATGAGAGGCAGACATGGGTTGCCAGGGAGCAGGCTTTTACAACTGCTATTTCATCCTGTTTTGAAATTTCTCTCAAAATGGTTGACTTATTTTTCTCTCACGTATGCATACGTATGTGTTGCTGCACACAACAGTGGATTCAGAAAGGCTATCCACATCTTTGTCCCCAAACCCCCAGCCATGCAATGCAATATAGCAACCAAGAGAACCAGAGAGCCGTGCTGAGCTCTGAATAAACAAAAGCACAAATCCCATCTGGGTCTCCTTCAAAGCAAGCTGCTATTTTGCAACAAGCTACCAAATGACGATTAAGAAAAAGGTTCTTACCTGTTTACTTAATGGGTGACTGGCCTCTTTGCTTTTATTTAGCCATCTGTTCTGGTCTATGTCCCTTTAAACTTGTAAGATCCATCACTTCATTAAACTGTTACCTTGACACATTGCAATGTTGTGGACATAATGATTCCACAGAGGAGCAAATTAAAACAGTTTTTCATGATTAGAAGCTTAAATGAGGTAAGGCTGTGGTAGTTAGTGGTGAGATAAGGGGTGTTGAGGAGGCAGAGCTCAAGGGGCTTTCAGGCGATTGGAAGATTAGGCTGGCGAGATGGAGGGCTGGGGCTTTTCCAAATTATGGGAGGTGAGCAAGAAGCAAGACTGCCTTTGGGTATCGCTGACTCCTGGGGGCTGGTTCCATTGCCCATACAGAGGCTGTGACCCTGGCCCTGGGAGGATACAGGAACTGCCTTCAGGTTTCTTGACTTCCCTAGGAGAGTCTGCGAAGAGCAAAAAGAACTAATTCCACCGGGTAGTGGTAAGCTGAAAATGCAACAACAATAAACATTTTGGTCTTTCACAGAAAGTTATGTGGCTTTCCTTAAGTTCGAAGAAGAATCAGGGGGCCCAGCCCAACTATATGAAAGAATATTTTATTGTGTCTTTACCCTGCACTTCATGGCTTCAGCAGTCCTCCTTCTTGCTCTAGACTTACCTTCCACCTGACTCCTTGACAGTTGCTGAAAACTAGAAAGTCAAGGGCTTTATCTTTTTACTATCTTATGTCAGTTCCTGCTCTGACAACTCTGGTTTCTTCTGATATGACCCATAATATTGCCGTCACATGGACCCCAAATCTGAGGAATCTCTGAATTTTCCGTCAGCCGCTTCTGTCCTGTCAGTAGCCCAAGTTCTATTTCTCCCACCTAAATCAAGTTTCTCACATCTTTTTCCACCTTGTTATTTCTTCTTCTTCTGCCCTAGTTTTCATCCCTCATTACCTCTGTCCTAGGCAATTGGGATAGCCTCCTAACTAGTCACTGCCTACCTATACTCTCTCCCTGCTCCAAAGCATCTTAAACACTGATGTTTGATTATAACTCATAACTTCCCCCCACCCCGCCTTTTTTTTCTTTTTTAAAAAAATTATACTTTAAGTTCTGGGATACATGTGTAGAATGTACAGGTTTGTTACATAGGTATACATGTGCCATGGTGGTTTGCTACACCCGTCAACTAGTCACCTACATAAGGTATTTGTCCTAATGCTCTCCCTCTCCTAGCCCCCCATTCCCTGACAGGACCCGGTGTGTGATGTTCCCCTCCCTGTGTCCATGTGTTCTCATTGTTCAACTCCCACTTATGAGTGAGAACATGTGGGGTTTGGTTTTCCGTTCCCATGTTAGTTTGCTGAGAGTGATGGTTTCCAGCTTCATCCATGTCCCTGCAAAGGACATGAACTCATCCTTTTTTATGGCTGTGTAGTATTCCATAATGTGTATGTGCCACATTTTCTTTATCCAGTCTGTCATTGATGGGCATTTGGGTTGGTTCCAAGTCTTTGCTATTGTGAATGGTGCTGCAATAAACATATGTGTGCATGTGTGTTTATGGCAGAATGATTTATAATCCTTTGGTTATATACCCAGTAACGGGATTGCTAGGTCAAATGGTATTTCTGGTTCTAGATTCCTGAGGAATCACCACACTGTCTTCCACAATGGTTGAACTAATTTACACTCCCACCAACAGTGTAAAAGCGTTCCTATTTCTGCATGTCCTCTCCAGCATCTGTTGTTTCCTGACTTTTTAATGATTACCATTCTAACTGGTGTGAGATGGTATCTCACTGTGGTTTTGATTTGCACTTCTCTAATGAATAGTGATGATGACCTTTTTTTCATATGTTTGTTGGCTTCAGCCAAAACAGATAAATAGACAAATGGAACAGAACAGAGGCCTCAGAAATAATGCCACACATCTACAACCATCTGACCTTTGACAAACCTGACAAAAACAAACAATGGGGAAAGGATTCCCTAATTAACAAATGGTGTTGGGAAAATTGGCTACCCATATGCAGAAAACTGAAACTGGACCCCTTCCTTATACCTTATACAAAAATTAAGATGGATTAAAGACTTAAACATAAGACCTAAAACCATAAAAACCCTAGAAGAAAACCTAGGCAGTATCATTCAGGACATAGGCATGGGCAAAGACTTAATGACTAAAACACCAAAAGCAATGGCAACAAAAGCCAAAATAGACAAATGGGATATAATTAAACTAAAGAGCTTCTGCACAGCAAAAGAAACTACCATCAGAGTGAATAGGCAACCTACAGAATGGTAGAAAATTTTTGCAATCTATCCGTTTGACAAAGGGCTAATATCCAGAATCTATGAAGAACTTAAACAAATTTACAAAAAAAAAATAAAAATAAAAAAATAAACAGCCCCATCAAAAAGTAGGCAAAGGATATGAACAGACATTTCTCAGAAGAAGACATTTATGTGGCCAACTGTCCCCTTTAACAAAACAAAATTTCTTTTGGCTTTCCATCACCTAGCAAACTTAGTATAGATGTATTAGCTTGATATCTGAGGCAATTCAGAATAAAGTTATCATTTGTGTTTCTAGCTTTTTCTCCTTCTTCGTGCTCCAGTAAGACAAACTACTGTACGCCTATGAGTAACTGTATGTATTCTTGTCTGCGTGCTGTTTCCTCTCTCTGGAAAGCTCTGTTCACACATATCTGTCAATTAAAACACATGCATTTTATCAAGCTCAATTTCAAAGACATCTTTGCTTTCTCTCTTCTCAATCGGATGCAGTTGTTCCTGTTTTTCTTCCATGGCAGTATGTTTAGAGGAATGTTCTGCTGCTTGGCATAATTTTTTTTTCCTCTTGTTACTTTTTTGAATCTTACTTTTGCAAATCCTATAGCACAGGCAGAGTTTCCTACTCATACAGGGTGCTAGATACAGAAACAGAAGAATGAGTGATAATGATACTGTGTCTACAAGAATGTGAACATCCATTCATTCATTTATTTATTCATTCATTTGTTTCACTCAAATGTTCTTTGAATGCCTGTAGTATGTAAGGTACCATGTTAAGAGCCTGGGATACAGAGATCAAGATGACACAGTACATTCCAGTTCTCTAAGAACTCACAAATCCATGTAGGAAAATCACATAAATAATTACACAGTGAAAAAGTACAACAATAGAAGTGTCTTTAAATTATGGGAATGATGGGACTTTACCTCTGTTAGAGTGGATAGGTTGGGGGTCAAAGCATGGTGGTGAGGAGGGGATTGAGCAATTAGAAAAGGTTTCCTGTCATTGGAAATGTCTGATTGGGGTTTTGCAAACTGAATAGGAGTGTACAAGGAATATAGTGAGATAAGGAAGGGTGGAGATGCAATGGAAGAGTTCAAGAAAGCAGCTCTGCTTGCTCTCAGCAGCCCAGCACACTAGGACAATTTGGTCACCAAATAATTATTTTCCATTTCCAGGTAAAATATGCTGAATGACAGAATCCTTCGACCCCTATGAAAGAAAAAGAGAAGAATAAAGGAACCTCCTTCTGTGACTGCCTTTGGTTGAAAGTCATTCGTTCTTCTTTTTGTTTTTTTAATGTTTTGTAGAGAAAGTCTGTGATTGCTGTGAGCTTCATAGCAGCGTTCCTTTTCCTGCTGGTTGTGCGTCTTGTAAATGAAGTGAATTTCCCATTGCTACTAAACTGCTTTGGACAACCTGGTACAAAGTGGATACCATTCTCCTACACATACAGGCGGCCCCTTCGAACTCACTATGGATACATAAATGTGAAGACACAAGAGGTAAGATCCCAGAGGGTTACCTAGCAGTTGGAGAGTATCCATGGTAACAGCTTTTCTTTAGGAGCCAGAGGGCTTCCAACTCACTGAACTTACTCTGTCTGCCCCGGAGAGCTTGCTTGGGTCCCTGACAACATCTTCTGTCTTATTATTCTTAGACATTTACTGACAAATGTCTAAATCTGCCACCCCTCCTACATTAAATCTTCTGATTCACTGGCTTCATATGGAGTCAAGGAAGCAATTACTTGTTTTCCTGGTGGTTTGTGGCACAACGTACATATCTCTCCATTTAGAAGCTCTGATTAGCAGTTACCAGCTGGAGAACTAGCTGGCTTGATTTCCTGTAGGTCAACTGGTTGGGGAGAGCTCTTTATAGAACTTCAAAAATGCATTTATACTCCTTAAAACTCTGTAATCCTTAGACCTGGAGCTAGAAAAGGCCAAGCTGATTTTAAAATTTGCAGTGGCTGCAGAGATAATGGGATTTAAAGAGTTTTCAAATTTAAAGGGGTTAAAATCGTGTAAATCCTATAATCACAGAAGCTTTAAATCTTTGTAGCCAATTGGTAGTACAGGAGAGGATGGAGGTATATTGACAACTAGAAAGTGCACACTATGCTAGCGCTTTTGCAAGCAAGCATTTGTCTCATAAAGTAAAATAAAAATAATGAACCTCACAAAATATGTGATGTATATAGAAGTGCTTAATAAAATTGTTTTCACTATTCATTTCTATGGAGTTGGATGAATGTGAGTTTAATATTCAGAGACACAAAGTCCAAGCCTGTTTGAAATTGTTGGTAACAAAGGTACAAGCTACCAGTGTGTCTACATTACTAGGGAGAGTCTTGGATCAGCTCCCATCGAAAGGTCATTTTGTAAAGATACTAGAGGGTAGAGTCATGCATGGAATGCTACTCCTGTCCTGAGAGTTATTCTTAGCATTCTGGGAGGATGCTAAGCTTGGTCTACCCCCTTTTGTAGTCAATCTCATATCTGAGTCATTGCTTCTGGTTAATTTGATTCTTCGAAAATTGTTTCTGTATCTGCAGGATTTACAGGCCTTTATTAGAATTTTATAGTTGAAAAAAAGCACCATTAATAACACATAAATTCTTAGAATCTTTGATGTTTATCCTCTAATTGGTTTTAAATTAATTTTTTTACAGTGTCTATTGCTTGAATTTGTTGAGTGTCCTAATAAATTGATTACCTATATAAAAATGTATCTCTTTGAGGAGAGTTTGTCTCACCCTCATCTTTTGTTACTTTTATTTCTGGCTATCATTTAATATTCTATAACTCTACTGTATGGTGTTAATCAATTCACAAGTGCCTGTCACAGGCTGAAAATGAAACATGTGACTAAAATGTCTCACGAAGTATTCTCATATGGGAAATCCCGTCAAATATCAAAGACCCTTTCATTTCTTTAAATATTAATGAATTTGATTTCGGAGTGTGAAAGGAAAAACTGACCTATGGATGCAGTTATTTAATTAGTTCTATTAACTGGGCTATCTTTGAAATTATTTTGATGTAGTTTTTAATACAATGATTTTACAAAAGAATATTGAATATTATTTTGCTCCTGCAAAGGTTATTTCTTAGGAGAAAACATAGTTACTGGAAAGAATCTGGGCTTTGGAAGCACACAGGCATGGTTTGAGAGTCAGTTCTAACATTTAATGAACTTAAGCAGTATATTTGCTTTTGGGTAACTTCCTTAACCTCAGAGCCCCAATTTCCTTATTTGCAAAATAAGGATAACAACATCAGCCTAGCAAAATTATTTTGAGGATAAAATAAGTCGAAGTATATGAGGTTCCCAGCTCCAAATTGCTATTCAATGAATGAATTGCTTTTGCTTTCTCTGTACTTTCCAGTATGGCATAAAGTGTTCAGTATGAATAACATCAAATTATCACAGTCCAGAGTACCAGAATTTATATGTACATTTTAAAGATCCTGGACTTGGGGGAATAAACACATGTAGGGGTTCTCAATCTCATTAGTAATCATGGTTTTACAAATTAAAACCACAATGAGAAAAATATTTAAAAATCACAAAGAGATACTAATATACATGAAACGCCAGATTGGCAAAAAATTAAGAAGTCTGACAATACCAAGTGTTGACGAGGATGTGGAACAACAGATACTATTGTATACTTGTAGTGGGAGTAAAAATTGTAATACCCACTTTGGAAAAAACAGCTCCACTGTTGTATTGAGCAAAGTTGAAGATTTACATGCTGTATGCCCAACCATTTCTAGTCATGGATATCTACACTAGAGGTGCTCATGAACCCGTGCACTGGAAGGCATGGACAGAACATGTAGCAGCATTTTTCCTAGTAGCCGGAACCTAGAATATACCTAAATATTGATGAGTAGGAGAATGAATTAGAGTCGTGCCACATACATTTGGAATACCATACAGCAATGGCGATGAAGAAACTGCAAGTATATGTGACCACATGGAAGATAAAGCAAAGTACACAATGTGATTCCGTTTATGGGTCACAAGAAGAGACTAAACTAAATAATGTTGCTTAGGGACATATACAACGGTAAACTAAAAAAGGAAAAAAAAAGCAAGGAAATTATTATTATGAAAGGGGGTCTAGCGGTTACCTCTGAGAGGAGTGGGCAGCTTGTGATCAGAATGGGTTTCTGGGGATTTAGCAATATACTATCTGTTGATCCTGTTGGAGGTTACACAGATGTTCACAGTCCATTTATTAAGTATAAATTTATGGTTTTTGGACTTGTATGTCTATTTTATTAAAAAATTCAAAATATATTCTGATCCCAGGAAGGATGTTTATTTACCATTTACCATGGGGAAGGAATCATACAAAACAATTCACCTAATTCAGCAGCAGGAAATAACTAAAAAGAAGCAATGGGATATTAAGCTATCTAAAGCAAACTAGGAATATTTGAAATAGGCAATTTGATTTTCTATAAAGACTAACAGACACATAAGCAACTTATTTCTCTAGTTCTGGTCTATGCATGATAGACCCCATATTGCATCATGAATGCAGGTGATAGAGCAGAAAATTTTGCATGAAAGTTGAAAACATTAGAACACTCAAAGGGAATGACAGATTTTCTCCTAAATTCAAGTAGTTCTAGGCTAACTCGGGAGAAAATAAAAACTTTGTGACTTTTTACCACCCTTCTCAATGATTTCATCCTTTGTTCTGACAGTCCCACCCCTACCACCATGTCTGTGCCATGCTCTTACTCCCAAATGATTGTGCATTTGTTCTCACTGTAATGTCCTCAGGCGCAATCCGTTGCAGAAATGGTTACATTAAATAAGAGACACAGTATGATAAAGCTTTCAAGAGCCAAAGTAATATAGCTGAAATGATAGGTGGTGAGTTCAGTGTTCTAGGACAAATAGCTTAAATAGTGACCACAAAACCATGCTTCAGAGATTATCACACACTAAGTCCCTATTCATTCTATTCTAATTCTGAGAAGGTCAATAGGCTTAGCTGAACTGAGTCAGGTGATCACCAAGCTGATCTACTTATTTCAAGATCTTGGCCCTTAAAGTTTTCTCAGAAGACTTTCCCCTTAAATGCATATGGTTTCTGGAAATTACTAAACTTCTTAGTATTTTTTTAAATATGCAGGCATGCCAGCAGTGATTTCCAGACCTAGAGCATCTGCAAACACCATGGCTGTTAATGATGGGTTTACTGCCTGATGCTTCAGCTTGGCCAGAAGTTGCTGTAACTAGTCATAGATTTTATGAGCTGAAATGATTACAAGAAAGAATGTCTCTTTACTACTGTCTAAAGAAAAGTGGAATGGGAGGCAGCAGAATTAGGTCAAACATCTAGTGGACACTGTGGAGTGTAGGGTTGCTTAGGAGCAAAATCTGATTCTTTAGTTATCTTTTAAAAATAGATGACTCTGGTCCCTTTGGATTGGCACAAGTGAAAATATAGCTGGTTTGTGAATCTATGACAGCCTGCCCTGAAGGCCCCACATATAGTAAATTATACCCAGTTTAAGCTCTGCTTCATTTTATCAATTAATCTGTTTTTTTTAAAAAAAATAATCTGTTCCCAGGGGAAATACAAAAATTAAAATAAAAGGAACACAGGAGAGATGTGGTTTTGCTTATATTTCAAGCTGTTTATTTTTTTCCCTGATGTAGATCCATAAAAAAGAGCATGTGAAAACTGTGATGACTATTATAAAGGGGTTAAATAGAAAGATCAAAATATTCCTCCCACTGTAATAATGATGATCTAAATATAACAGAGTTGGTGATTGGCTTTAACTCTTTACCTTTACCCAGTCTCCCCTTCACTTTCTCAATGAGTGTAAGCTAAGGTTCTTTTCTATGGGGGAGGGGAAGTCTTGAGAAGCAGGGAAGAAAAATGAGTGCCAACTAACTGGGTGAGTGCTGAAATTCTGAAAGTCTTCGCTGGCCACGGAGCCCCAAATTTCTCATCAACACGTGTTTAAGCTGATAGCAACCATGATTTCAAACCAAAGCTTGGATCAGGAGTGATTTAGATTTTGCAACAGACCCTGCCCTCGCCTCCCTGCTGTGTCATTACCGTGTCTATAATGCAATCCCCCATTTTAAAAATGACAATGTGGAGATTCCACCTATAGCATTATGGCAGAATTACTGTATTATCAACTGGCTTTGGATATGGTAAAAAGTATATGTCACCCATGTATTTTTCCAGAAAAAAATTAAAAACAGAAACGTGCTTCACAATATCCTAAAACCCTATTTTCCCCTTGAAACAAATGCTATTTATTTTAAATTATTAATTATAGCAGACAGAGGAGGTATAAAGGACTAAGGTAGTCCAGGGCTTGGTTCAAGGTAATCTTGCTTTCTCCTGTTGAGATCATGGCAGATTTTTGGGAAAAAGGAGAAAACGAACTTCAAGCTAGGTTCTATTTGTAGTTGCCTATGAGGGACTCAGTCATTGTGTTGTCTTTTTTGTTGTGTGACCTGGTGTGAAGACATTGCTCAGAGCAAGCAGCCTGCAGTTTATTTGCATTTACTGCTAGATGAAAGGATCCAGCTTGGGTGATCAATAGGATGCCAAGGCCAGATCTTATTGGTAATCAGTGAGGGTGACAGATGTCTTCCTTAGACCTGATAGGATCTTCCCCTTAAGATGCTGGGGCTACAGAGGATTTCTGGTATTTGGGGAAGAGTGCCCTTTCCCTGGGTGCCTGAAATGTGCCAAGTGGAGAGGTGCAAGATTGCCAGAACACAGGAAGCAAGTGCAGGGCTGCATACTGACTTACTCGACAATTTAATGAGGCTGAAGTATGCCTCTTTAAAAAATGAGAACGTTTTAAAACCTCAAGTAGACTAAATAGGAATATTTAGGATCAGTTGCTGTGACAGACAGGCCACACTAGCCTAATTAAAGATGTGCATAACATATTGATGTTGCAATAGAATTTCCCAAATTATGGTTATAGTAACAATTAAGGAAGAGAGCTGACTTTCTTGGTGATAAAAGCACACACTCCACACATTTAAATAAATGTACACATGTAACTAAAGCTGACATGAATAGGTTTTCTATATTTGGTAATAGAGGCTTTGGGTTTTACGTAAGTATATTGAGAGCAATTATGTGCAAATGTATGTCCCAAAAGTTTAAAACTGATCCATTTAATTGTTAATTAAAATCCGAACATTCCCATTTATGTAATCATAAAGCAAAATGAAATTTGAGTATTAAATGTTATAGAAAAGGAAACAGCTAAATTAACATATAATAAATCAAAACTTTGTGACTTTTTACCACCCTCCTCATTGATTTCATCCTTTGTTCTGACAGCCCCACCCCTACCAGCATGTCTGTACCATGCTCTTACTCCCAAATGAATTTGACATGTGTGTATTGGATTTGTCATTTTAAGGATAATTTATCATTTTTCTCAAGTATGAAAGGATATATTTTTTGAGTGGAGAAGAGATGACTATGTTTCTCAGTCTGGTTGTGAAATAGCAACTTTCAATCAATGACCATATCTCCAGACAATCTATGAGTGCCAGATGAGAAGGACAGATGCCACTGTGGGTTAGAATATTTCCAGGAAGCTTTTGTGGGAGAGGTGAGACATGTGCTTTGGAGAAAGATTTGGATGGGACAGAGGAAGAAGACAAAGCAGAGTTGGGTAAAAAAGCAAAGGTTCAGAATATGTATTGTGCATTTTCCTTCAGCCCCTATGACTCCCAGTAGGCCAAGGACACTATATGGAAAGCTACAGTAAAGCCCTAATGTCTATGCTGGTAATCGTCATTGCCTCACACTTGGTGGATCCATTTCATACCTTTCTCTGGATTCAATACCTTTAGTCCTAATCGTGTGGCTCTTCTTTTTGTTTGGCTGGTTATCTAGTCTTGTAGTGCTCTTACCTTGGCCCTACTGCCCTGCATACTATGTAGGGGGTCACTTCTAATAATGCTTCTCTCTGTGTACCCCTGACATGGACACAACTCCCCATTTCCAAGGGGCCCCTGAAGTACTGCCCAGGCCTCTGCAATCCTCTGACTTCCAGAGAAGGAAGTCAGGCACATGTACAGGTAATACATAGGTCAACCTGGCTGGAACTTACTCTGGAATATAGAAGAAGATAGAAAATGCATTCATTGGGTAATTATGATCTGGGAATGTGAGTGGGATTATGGAAAGACCACACTCCTATTTAGACATAGGAGTAATACATACATGTAATATATATATACATTCATAGTTATGAATCAGTATATACAAGTATATGGAAAATACATACATGTATGCATGCATGCAGCATATACATGCATACATGTTCACAGATCAAGTTCTAGCCACTTAAATACAAACATACATAGAATATATACAACATACTATGTTATACATTAAAATGGTATGTAAAATGGTGTGTAAATGGTGTAAAATGGTATATATATACACACACACACACACACACATTATATATATATATATATAGTCAGGTAGGTGTATAGTGTGCCTTTTGCGGTTGTCTACTCTCCACCTTCCCTTTATTAGAGAAGGTGGCCCTTCCTTTTGACCACAAGGGTGAGCAGAAAAGTCAGGCTAGTGATTGGTCAATCAAGTGATTGGTTGAGGGGTGGGCTCATGGCCCAAGATGAGCCATTCTGAAGCCTTCTCAAATTTTATTATGTTTTTCTGGGACACACTGGCAGGAAAGGCCCCCTTTTCTCTGGTGGTAAAGCTGTTGGGATGTGATTCTCTGGATGTCAGTAGCTGTGTTCCCAAGACAGAATGAGACAAAGACACTGAGAGAAGCAGAAACAAGTTGCAAGGCTAATGTGAAGACCCAGACAACACTTCAGGTCCTGAGCTCAATTCTTGAAGGCAGCCTCCCCTCCCATCCCCCATGGTTTGGGTGTATAAGCCAATATATTTGTCTTCTTTTTACTTTTGCTGGTTTGAACTGTTTTTGTCCCTTGCAACCAAAAAAGTCCTAGCTGATATATTGTAGTTATTTTACAGCCACCACCACCAAATGTTCAGTAACTCATCTTTAAACAAGGTGCCATCTGAAGGAGGAGAGGAGTAGTCTTTCCAAATCTGCACTCTCAAACCTGCTGGGGGGCCAAACACAAGTCACATCCATCAGTCAGTGCAGGTGTCTGCAAGGGGTGAACGCTGTCTATCTTTCTGCTTAGGTGCATATTGCTTAGTAAACTAGCTTATCCTTTTGTGGTAGAAAAATGAAGGTCAATTTCCCAAGGTTATAATGCCAGAAAATGGCTGGACAAGACTGACTACTACCTGAATTGCTAGTCGTACTCAACTGATAAATCATATAGTTTCATTATAATTGTTAGATGAAAATTTCTCTATTGCTGTGAGGCATCAGCAGTCAAACTAGATTGATTTTCACTTTACAAATCACATTTTTTATTGATGAAAAATCCATTATTATCATAGGTTTTAATGTAGTGATCGGTTCCTCAGGAAGATATACCGCAGTTTTATTTATTACAGAGCCTTAGGTAGAAAAGTCCCCATTTGCCAACTATCTTGTTAACGCACTTGAAAGGGGCCTATTAGAAATTCAACTATCAAATTACCTCATTTGTGACAAGCAAAGGAAAACAAAACAGTGTATCTATCACAAATACCTTGATTTGAGGGTTGAAAAAGATGATAGAACTCATGTCCTGATGTAGAGAGTTTTTCTATAGCTCTTCTCAAGCTGATGGCCTGGCAGAGTGACTAGTGCGAAAAGCTTTCATCAAATGGCAATTGGTATTAACCAAATACCAAATATTTTGAAAAGTGCTTATTCTGTTCCAGACATTGTGCTAAGGATCAGCAATGAACTGTAATTTAAAGAAGTGTTAAAATTGGGGTTCACCAAAGAAGAGAACAACATGGACCCAAGTTAGGAGTATCCTGGAACAATACCACCTAGAAGGTGTTTGCATTGCAGCCTGTAATGATGATGGCTGAGTAACCATCTTACACAAGAAATTCATTTCACTGTTCTTAAGAATAGTGAACATTCAAGTAATTTCAATTAAACACTTATATTTAATGTCTAAAAGGTAATTTGTCACTAAGTAGATGGCATCAAATTGTGAGTTCTTATTTTTCAGAGTAGCCTTACAAAGCCTTATTCACAAAAGAAAGATAGCCATTACAGAATATTTCATTTCAAAAATAACTATATGCTTTTATATCAAATGTTATCCACCACTGCCCCCCACCCCCCCACAAGTTTGGGAAATAGTATGTCTGGTTAACCGAGTCATCTGACTAATAGGCATTTGCCAAGTATTTAATAAATGGATTCTTTATTTATTCATTTATTGACATGGAGTCTCGCTCTGTCACTTAGGCTGGAGTTCAGTGGCACGATCTCGGCTCACTGCAACCTCCACCTCCTCGGCTCAAGCGATTCTCCTGCCTCAGCCTCCCGAGTAGCTGGGATTACAGGCACCTGCCACCATGCCCAAAAATTTTGTATTTTGTAAAAATACAAAAATTACCTCTAGAAATACCCTGCTGTGGTGTTTCATAATATGTGTATTTGAGTATTTGCTCTGTTGTCTTCTTCAAATATGAACATTTATGAATCCCAAAGTATACCTGGTTCAAATGATTTTAGATAAGGGATTGCAGGCCTGTGTCAAACACAGACTATAAAAATGATTAAGAATGAATAAAATACATGGGAAGCAAAGTTCTAGCAAAAATAAAATATCTCTGAAAAATAATTGAATATAATGACTAGAAATAAATAAATAAAATTGTAATACCTCAGTGGTTAGGTTAAATGACAGTCACTGTGTTAAGTATTTTATGTGCCATTTTCTTTTAGCTCTTACAGAGTACATACTATTTTACTGATTTAACTAATTTTTCAAGGCCCCCAAAGTATTGATTCTATGCTAGTGTCTTTCATTGTCCTGTGTGGCAAAACAAGAACCTAAGACTATCCTAGTCAACAAATTCCTTTAAATGGTTTCACAGAGTGTCTGCCAATTCATGAAGTCAGTAAGTTCATGGAATCCCATTTGTTGAATTTACTACATGCAACGCACTGTGCTAGGCTCTGAAATTGTAAAAAAGAAAACACTTTTTGCCTAGGGATAAATAAAATTTTTTCATAATGTTAAAGGCTAATAAAGAAGGTAGAATAACATGTGAAAGATTATTTTAACTCTTTAAATGTAGTCATAGAAAGAAAGTTTGGAGATAATACTTCAAAATATTAACTGTGATGGTCTATATCTGGGTTGTAAATTTTAGAATTTTTTTAAAAAACATGTTTTCCAAATTTTCTACAATGAGCACATATTGTATTTATTACTAGAATTTTTTTTTTTTGAGATGGAGTCTCATTCTATAGCCCAAGCTGGAGTGCAGTGGTGTGACCTTGGCTGACTACGACCTCTACCTCCCAGGCTCAAGTGATTCTCGTGCCTCAGCCTCCCAAGTAGTTGGGACAACAGGTGTGCACCACCATGCCCGGCTTAATTTTTGTGTTTTAGTAAAGACATGGTTTCACCATGTTGCCCAAGGTGGTCTCGAACTCCTGAGCCTGATCCGCCCGCCTTGGCCTCCCAGAGTGCTGGGATTACAGGTGTGAGCCACCATGCCCGGTTGAAGAAGTATTTTTTAAGCAATGTATATCTGTGAAACACTCTAGAACTTTCACTATCATTTAAAGAATAGGATTTAAAATGTCTAGATAAATATATTGTTTGGAATACTTTAAAAAGTGAATATTCTCCCATTCCTTAAATGTGGGTTTCTCCTAGTGACTCCCTTAATAGGACTACAATATGGAAAGGAGAATAAATAGTAACTGTGGTGGAAAGGCTGACAAACACTATCTCAGCTAAGTGATCAAGGTTAACATCAATAGTGACAAATGGTGTTGGTAGTATATACCCTTGGTATGATGTGATGAAACCGACACTTTACCACTGAGGCCATCTTCCCCAAATCCCATAAGCCTGTTTAATCATGAGATAAATATCAGACAAATAAATATTGGGGGCCGTTCTACAGAACACGTGATGACAACTCCTCTAAACTGTTCAGGTTATCAAAAACGAGGAAAGTCTGAGAAACCCCCACAGCCAAGAGTGTCCTAAGGAAACATGACAACTAAATGCAATGTGGTATCCTGGATGGGCTCCTGAACAGAAAAAAAGACATTAGATCAAAACTAAGTATGAGTAAAGTATGGACTTGAGTTAATAATAATTAATTGTAACAAATGTATTATACTATACGAGATGTTGATAATGGAGAAACTGAGTGTGGGCTATATGGTAACTATCTTCTCAATTTTTAAATAAATCTGAAACTATTCCAAAATATAAGGTTTGCTTTTTTTATTAATTATTGCACTTTCATTTTTTTAATTTTTCACATATATATATTTTTATTATACTTTAAGTTCTAGGGTACATGTGCACAACGTGCAGGTTTGTTACATATGTATACATGTGCCAAACACTGCATGTACTCACTCATAGGTGGGAATTGAACAATGAGAACACTTGGATACAGGAAGGTTTGCTTTTAAAAAAGGTATTTAGGTTTTTGACCTGTGCATCTGGAAGGTTGGAATTGTCATTGACTGAGATGGAGAAGACCATAGGAGAAGGTGAATTGAAAAAATTTGAAATATACTAGTCTAGCCCCATAGGGCAGGGATGTATAAGATACATGCATTGTGAATACATCACTGTTTTAATATTCTGTATTTAATACAATAAATATTTTGGCAGAGAAATAGTGAGTATTCTAGAAATAATTCCTGTCCTCTTTAAGAAGTACAAGTTCTTCAAAGATTCCCCAGGAACAGCTGTGCAAGTCAGTGTGGCTTTCTAATCTCTTTCATCTATACTTACACACTATAACAGTTTTTTCTATTGCAATGCAGCCCAAGTTTTTTGCAAGGTAAATTATTTGTGATATTCTTAGGAAGAAAAGGTAGAAAGTAAATAACTTTTTGGTGGCTTGGTATGGTGTTGTATTTTGCCAATAACTATTTATTTCCAATAGTGTTTAATGATATTTATTGGATTGAAGAAAGTTAGCTATCTTTCAGGTATCTTTCCCAGAGCTCACAGGACAATATTTCCAGCATGCCCCCGGAATGGTAGACATGCTGAAAATATTGTCCTGTGAGCTCTGACAATCTAGTACTTGTCACAAATAATTATTTTTACAATTATTATTACTATTATTATTATATTATTGCTACCATTGGTATACATACACACAAATATATATATATATATTTGGTCTTTTTGTGCTCTTTATTTTGTTTCATTGATCAACATTTTTTTGGTAAATGCTATTTTTATATAATTGTTGCTTGTAGTATTAGACCTACTTCTTTTTGCTCATCTTTTTTCAGAAATCTTTAATAAATTCACCTCTGTATGAATTTCAGCATCATTTTATTAAGTAGATGGGAAATCTTGGGTGTGTCAGAAAACTATTTGCATAATAATGCTGTGTAAGAAATCACCCAAACTCAGTGGCTTAAACAATTGTTTATTCTTGCTCATGTTTTTGTGGACCAGTTGCCATCCAGGCTGAGATCGGCTGTGCTTAGTTCCAAAGCTGCAAGTTGGGTCCTGGTCTGTTTCATGTGTCTCTCTTCACCAATGACCATTGAGCCACCTGGGGCATATTCTTCTCATGGTGGAAAAAGCACAAAAGACTAAGTTCAATCTTGAAAGCACATTGCAAGCTTCTGGTGGCCTCACATCTGTTAACATCCCATTGATCAAAGGGAGGCCCAAAATGAAGGGGGGAGTAAAGTGCACTTCACCCACCATGAGGTCAAGTCAAGTTACATGGGCAAGTCCAACATCAATGGAGTGGGAAGTATACTCCTCCTATGAAGGTGAGAGTAGAGAGAGTGACTATTTGCCAAAAATAATTTCATTCACCATTCTGGTGGAATATTTATGGGAATTGCATTAAATGTTAACTTGAAAACAGACACTATTAGAACAATTGCCTTTTCTACTAATATCTTATCTACACAAGTAATTGTTAAGTAATTTGCTAAAAAAGACTATGAATGTACATTTCAAGTAGACTTCCTGTGGTATCTAGTAGGAGCTTAAAAAATGTTTGCTAAACTGTTATTCATGGATATTTTGTATTTTTCTTATCTTGAGTGCCAGCTCTTAAAATGATATGTGTAACTATTTTAGCATGCAAAAATACTATTAATTTTATATATGTTTTCCTGCATTTGGTTGCTATACTGAACTCTTCTAATTAAGTTCTGGAAGTTTTGGGTTTTTTTTTTTTTTTTTGCATTGTTTAGGTATGCAATCTCAATGTTTTTAAATAATCTTTTTCTCATTTCTTTTCAATATTGATTGCATTGACTAGAGCTTATCAAACAATAGTAAACAATACTGTAAGATTTTTAAAGACAGTACTTCTAATGTTTACTCACTTAGTGTAAAGCTGACCTGACCTAGTTTTCTTTACCATATTAAGGAAGAATTCAAATGTTTTTAAAATTATTTTTCTAAAATAATGCCTATGTGTGTTGAGTTTTTATCAGATGACTTCCTGGCATCTATTGAAATGACTGGATGATTTTTCTCTTGGAACTTCTCAAGGTTGTATTTTCTTATTTTGAACCACCACTGCCAATTAATTTCTTTTTTTTCATAGTGTGTATATTAGTCATTGTTCTCTAGAGAAAAAGGACCAACAGGATGTGTATGTATATATGCGTGTGTGTGTGTGTGTGTGTGTGTGTGTGTGTGTGTGTGTATGTGTGTATAGAGAGAGATATTGAGAAGGAGATATTTTAAAGAATTGCCTCATGAGATTGTGGGAGTAAGCCAGTAGGCTGGAGACTCAGAAAGATTTGCAGTTTGACTCCAAAGGCGATCTGCTGGCAGAATTCCTCTTTGCTCAGGGACACCAGTCTTTGTTCTATTAAAGCTTTCAACTGATTGGATAAGGCCTATCCAGTTTATGAAGGATAATCTGATTTACTCAGAGTCTACTGACATAAATGTTAATCTCATCTACAAAATATCTTCACAGAGCATCCCATTTTGAGAAGCAGCCTCACTGTGTCGCCCGGGCGGGAGGGCAGTGGTGCAATCTCGGCTCACTGCAACCTCCACCTCCTGGGTTGAAGCAATTCTCCTGCCTCAGCTTCCTAAGTAGCTGGGATTACAGGCACCTACCACCATGCCTGGCTAATTTTTGTATTTTTAGTAGAAACAGGGTTTCACCATGTTGGCCAAGCTGGTCTCAAACTCCTGACCTCAAGTGATCTGCACTCTTCAGCCTCTCAAAGTGTTGGGATTACAGGCGTGAACCCCCATGCCTGGCCCAGAATAATGTTTAACCAAATATTTGGGTACTATGATGCAGTCAAGTTGACACATAAAATAAACCATCACAATGTATAATTCTTTTAATGAATTGTTGAATTTGAATATTTCTCAGAAATATTCTTTGGGTTATACAAAATTATTATCCCATATAAAAGAAGAGGCAGTTGAGGCTAGGATAGGTAATACAACTCACCCAAAGTCACACATGCTCAAATTGGCAGGACTGATATTTGTCCCTGGCTCCAAAGCCCCAGGTTTTAGTCATATAATCAATTACACAGAAAGGACATCCAATATGCTGATACATTATTCTTCAGACTGGCCTTACTTCCTTTGCTCGGGAGTCACCTGCCTATAACTCTCATATGTGATTTAATCTTGATTGTTTTTGTTGAATTGGGGAACTTCACGAATGAGAAGTAGAGGAGTTGAGATTTTTACTTTCTGGCATGAGCTACCGTTAAACTGATTATCTCGCTGCAGTCCACATCTGGACCAAGTACAAAAGTGAAGCCTGACTTCTTACTCTGTGGTGCTGATAGGAATAACAGCCACAACACCACCATTTTTGCCATCTTGCTGATGAATTGACCTCATATTTCTCTACCTACATTTTTCAAAATAGTGCTCTTTTATGAGTTACTCAAGCCCCATTTTAAAAGCAGTGTGGTTGATAAGTATGTTTCATACCTGCTTGTACTGAGCTTTTTTAACCTTGTGCTCTTGAAATAATATGAGCTTTTGGACACTATGTATTCAGTACAGACTTTCAGAGTGAAAATGTTGATTTTCCCAAATTAAAGAACTAGGGGATATGGTAATATATGCTCTCAATTTTGAATTAGGTGGAAATTGACATCGTTTGTCAGAAATATACTGAGGATAAAAATGAGGTAAAGTTTTAGGTGCTGAGCTGTGTGCCAAATAGCCCTTGTGTTTCTTTCTTGAACATCTACTTCAAAGAAGCAGATTTGCCTTTGATATCCCTGGGAGCCACATGAATATGAACTGACTCCAATTGCCCTCATCATCTCCAGAATTTATTTTTTATTTTTTTAGGGCATGAGTCTGTGGTCAATTTGCTTATTTGCTTCTCCAAACCAGCATGATCATTATAATTCTCCTTTTCATGAAATAACCCACTCTCAGCCTGTTGTTAATCCTACCTAGAGGTTGGGAGTGGAGTCACCTAACATGAGGGCATTCATCTCTTCAGTAAGTGGTGTGCTTGTGTCAGAAATTTTTATGCAGACAAAAACACAGGAATCATCATGGCAACAGAATAATATTCACCACCTGAGCCACCTTGACATTTCTCAGCTAGTAGGAAGCTTTCTTTTTTCTTTTGTGCTTTTAACATAGAAGAATGCCTCCTAAGTTTTGCAGGCTACATAGTCATGCCCATGAGCCTCCTCTTTTCAATGCATCCTGCCCCCATAACCATTTTTCTCTGTAAGTGATGTTAACTATGCAGAAAGCCAATTAGGAGATTCTACTTAGAATTCCTTCTCTTAACTGTTTCTCAAAGCTTATGTGGTATAACTGCTAGAAAAAGATGTTTGAAAAATAATAATATATTCTATATTGGCCATTCAATGTCTCACCTTCATGCCTTAGCTCAAACTGGCAAGCTTCTTTATGCCATCTCTACATGTAGAAAAAGTCTACCGATTCCTTAAAATCCCATCCAAAGGCCATTTCCTCTGTGGTGGTTTGCCTGTCTCACCTCCTTAGCAGTCACGGCTCTCTCTCATGAGTCCTTTTAACACTTTAATAATAACTAATAATTATAAACACATGGATCATTCTTTAGGTTTTACAAAGTTTGTTGACACATCATTTCATGTAACAAATAATCTTGTGGCTTTGATTATATTCTCCATTTTTATTCTCTTTCTCTCTCTTTATTTATTTATTTATTTATTTAT
Organism: Homo sapiens; assembly: GCF_000001405.40. NCBI lineage: Eukaryota > Metazoa > Chordata > Mammalia > Primates > Hominidae > Homo > Homo sapiens. The sequence continues at coordinate 76,329,822 of NC_000001.11, forward strand.
TTTTTGAGATGGAGTCTTGCTCTGTCACCCAGGCTGGAGTACAGTGGTGCAATCTCTGCTCACTGCAACCTCCATCTCCCAGGTTCAGGTGATTCTCCTGCCTCAGCCTCCCAAGTAGCTGGGATTACAGGCATGCACCACCATGCCCAGCTAATTTTTGTATTTTCATTAGAGACGTGATTTCACCATGTTGGTCAGGCTGGTCTCAAACTCCTGACCTCAGTTGATTCACCTGCCTCCCAAAGTGTTGGGATTACAAGCGTAAGCCACCATGCCCAGCCTATATTCCCCAACAATGGAGAATATTAAACAAATAAACACAGGAGGGTTAAGTAATTTTTTTTTTCTTGAGACAGAGCCTCACTCTGTCGCCCAGGCTGGAGTGCAGTGGCGTGATCTCAGCTCACTGCAACCTCTGCCTCCTAGGTTCAAGTGATTCTCCTGCCTCAGCCTCCTGAGTAGCTAGGATTACAGGTGCACACCATCATGCCCGGCTAATTTTTGTATTTTTAATAGAGATGGGGTTTCACCATGTTGGTGAGGCTGGTGTCAAATCAAACTCCTCACCTCATGATCCGCCTACCTCAGCCTCCCAAAGTGCTGGGATTACAGGCGTGAGCCCGTGCCAGGCCAAGTAATTTGTTAAGTGACACACAGCTGTCCTCTGTCTTCTGACATCAAATGTCTTCCTGTGCTAGCTATATACTGTTGGTCTCAAATTATCATTATCTTAGCCAACCGTTCTGGAGGACATCTGTGTGCTAGGCATTCTTCTAAGTGGTTTATATGCAGCAGCAGTAATAGCCAACATCTTCTTGCCAGATATCCACTTAGTCTTCAAAGCAACCCTATGTAATAGATACTATTATTATTCCACCATTTAGAAATGAATAATCTAAGGGACAGGGAAGTCAAGTAACTTATTCAAGGTCAGATAACTACAGGAGGCTGCTGCAAGTGTCGGTCTTTCCATATCCAAAATCTGGTGTCTTAGTCAGTGAAAATGCTGCAAAACCTCAAAATTGACAGAGGCCACCCTTTAGACATAATTGCTACAGGAATATTGATCCCATCTCCTCTTGTATTTCAAATCTTCAGAGTGCATTCCACAGCCTTTTGCCTGTGGTATCCAAGACCATAGAGGCAAGAATGTCTGGGAAATGTAGGTGTTAGATTGCCAGCCTCTGCTGGGTAAGATGGCAGAAGAGCATAGAGGAAGGTAAAAATGAATACTGGGTACCAGTAGACAATATCTAGCATACTCGTGATAATGATGTAAGACTACTGCCATTTCTTTAGAATGCGATCCTGGTGAGATGGCCAATGAATGTTTAGTCACTCAGATATGCAGTGGTGTCCCCCTACCACTAGGGGGAGATGAACAACCGGCATAGTTTGATGTCTTAAGAAAGATTATTTGTTCATGAGTAATGGAAAAAAATACTGAGAAAGAAGTGGTTGCTTTCTATGGCTTATGAGGAGAAGCTTATGCTGTCTTTAATGAAAAATTAATCAGATAAACAAATGTCCAGAGGAATATATCCAGATGTATTCCTATTTACAGTCACTTAGTGGATGTGCCAGCATCCAAATGCTTCCTTAATCTTTCAACTATCTAAGTAATGATTGAATAGAACCTTTGCTCCACCTTTCCTGCTTAAATGCTACTTTATTAGCATTACTTCTTGTCCATAACCATCATTGCCTAAGTGCTCTGCAACTTACCTATTTAAATACTGGATAGATTGTCATCAGTTCCTCATCTGACCAATCATTTGTTTCACCAATTACTTGCAGATTCTCATTCTCGTAATGGTCCTACCATGGAACTGTTGCATCTCCCTGTTTTCCTCACCACCTCCAGCTAATCAGGGTAGAGTTTGCTCTAATGAGCTTATGTCTCAGGAGGGCAGGTCTTTCTGTGAAAAACTGTCAAAACTCTTCTAATGGGAAACAAATATTAATGTAAATGTAGGCATTTATTTGCCAAAAGAGTAGTAGCTCAAGAATTGCTAGCAATAATTACCCTACTTGCCAGTGTATTGTGTCTTTTTTGATTATTCCTCTCTTTCTATGTAGAGACCTGCCTAAAATATCTCATGAATTTTTCTCCCTCAAGTGTGCATTTGTGAAGTTTCTCGAAAGATTGATTGGAACACAAGGATTTCAGTTTGTGGCGTCCTGTTAATCAGGTCAGATTTGTTAAAGTCATTAGTGTTAAAAATTTCTTTGTACTCACAATTCTCCTTACCCAGAGTTAGTTCTGTGGCAGTGTATTAGTGTGGGCAGGGTATCTTCCATCAACTTAGTGTTTTTAATGGAGCTTACCAGAGTTAATGACAGTGGCAGTCCCCCCAGGGAAAACAAGACAGTTGGCTCAGATGTCTTGTGGGAGCTGAACCTGCTAGAATGTTCTTCTGGGGGTTTCATCACTAATCTGCCAACAACTGGAGTCTGTATCCTATTAGTTTCTATTCACTGAAGTTGTGAGATGCCATGTACTTTCTTTTTCCAGTCATCTCATTTTTCTCATCTTCTAATTCGTGAAAGGGACACAGAAATATTTAGAAAAATTGGGATTCTGCAAATTGTGAGATTGATTTTCCTATGTTCATCTCATAGTGTTCAGATTGAGATAAGGTACTAACTTCACTAAGCTCTTAAGTTGTCCACTATAAGACAAAGTCAATACTACTTCCTTGGAAAGAAATAAGGCCATGATGAGTTAGGTTTTCACCATGTGTAGGTTATTCTAAGGGTTTCAGGTCTAATGGCATCCCCTGAGGTAGTAGGTAGATAAGCTGGTCATCAGGTTAGAGCCTGTATTTTGAATCAATTCATGTGTAGTCCTTACGACCATTCATTCTACAGATTCTGGTATCTGCCCACCTCTCAGGCCCCTCTCTCATTGCGCCCTGTACCCACAGTACTCATGCTTTGCCCATTCTGAATCATTTTGAATCCTAAATTATACAGTATACTTTATATTTAATACATTTCTGAATTTTCAAGTGCCAGCTCCTCCCCTCATTTACCTGGTAAACTCCTTACCTTCTAGGTCTTTTCTGATTGTCTTCTTCTTGTTGGTGTGCTCAGGTTCCTAGTGTAGCTTATACCTGATTCAACCAGAACACCTATAGCAATTTATTGCCATCACTTTTGTGCAGAGCTCCTCTTATATAACCATAGGCCCCTGAAAGGCTGGACCCTCTTTGCATCTCAAGTCTTCTTCTTCCATTCCCTGCCTGCCATTAGTGGTGTCTCCATGCAGGAAGAAGCATATCCAAAAATATTTTAAATTATGTAAATTTCAATAAAGTATTTATTTCAACCCTCAGAGAAAATGAGATCAGATTTGTACAGAGATGTGGTTCTCCTCAATTGTGGTAAGTTTAATGGGTGAGAATGCTGAGCAAGATTTGCATTGCATACAAATCACAGGAATTAGGACCAGTGATTGGAAAGTTCAAAGGAAGATTTAAGCTCAGTATAAGTAATAACTTTCTGGGCATTAAGACTGTTCAAAAATGGAATGTGCTATCTTTTCAACTAGTGAGGTCTCAATGACTGGAAGTATTTGTACCAAGACTCATAAGGATGCTATCATATATGTTCTCATATTGGTTTGGAAGAGATGCTTGGCAGTATCTTTTCTAATCTTAAGATTCTATTTTTATTTCTGTAAATCAGTTCAAATGTTAACTTCTTATAATTGCCAATTATGGCTTTTATATTCATCATTATTCATTTGATATTCATCATCAGTTAAAATTTTTCTATTAATCAGTCAATGAAAAAATTATCTTTTGCCTCACTCTTCAGTGAATCTGGCTGTCCTTGGTTGTCCATATTTCCTTTCACTTCTTTCTATATACACTATAAAATTAATGAGACTTTTAAAAATCTTTCAATTTTAGTCAATAAATATTTGAATGTTGGGCCAGATGCAGTGGGAGGTACAAAGAAGATATAACATTGATTACAGTAGCTAGTGTTTATCAAGTGATTACTGGCATTTTACATATATGGACTCATTTGTTTCTCACAATAATGCTATATGGTAGGTACTATTTTCCCATTTTATAGATGAGAATCCTGAGGCACAGAAAGATTAATTAATTTTCCAAGATCATATTGCTCTTAGATGGAAGAACACAAGCAATCTAACCTAAAATCTGAAGGTGTAACCATTAAGCATTACTGCCTCTTGATGAATAAATTTAATAAGATACCATCTCTTGCCTTCAAAGATGATTCCACCTGGTAGAATTACATGTATTTATTATTCACTGGATAAGGCTGTTCTTAATTTTACTTGTTGTAAAAATTTATTCTTTCAAACTTGTCTGCATTGTTATCACTTGATAGTGTTCTGGCACTGGCCAAACAAAAATCCATGTTTATCTAATTTACACCACTTATGATATTCTAAACTTGCTGTGTAACTATATATGTCTAGTTTGAACTCAAGGTGATATGATTGTATCTCCATGATTATGTTAATTATCCTTCCCTGAGACTTCTCCATTTACCTTTTGCTTTTGTGGAAATCACAACAGCATACAATAATCCAATGACAAATAGACCTTTTGATTTGGATATAGCCATCGTTCCCACGTATTAAATGCATACTACATGCAGAATGTCTAGGAGGAAGTAGAAGATACATACACCCAACAAAAGATACCATGTTAGAAGTACAAATAAAGCGATGTTGGACAAATGAAGTGAAATTAGTAGTCACAGAAATGAGATTCACCAATATGCCTTTCTGAGCATCTTCGTTGGTATTTGTTTTGGAGTGGTCATTATGTTGGTAATCTCACAGTAGGCAGGTAATAAGTTACAGTGATTCTTCCCAATCTTGCCTGAACAGACTCCTCCTGTAAACACAGCTGAAACCCTAGAAAGTATAATTTAGAAAAGCAATTTTTAAATTTTAATATGCATCAGATTAAACTGAAAGATGAGGTAAAACACCAATTGATGGGCCCCAGCCCCAGGGTTTCCGATTCAGTAGATGTGAGGTCAGTTTCAAGAGTTTGCATTTGCACTTTGAAAGAGCTGGAATAATACTAAGAATATGCATAACTCCTGGGTGTGCATTAGAATCACCTGTGATTCTGGTCACAAAAACAATCACCAAACTTCTAAATAAAGACCCAAAGCTCTTCTAATATTAAACCCTGAGATAAATATGAGCTGTATATATACTTTAAAAAGATGAATAAAATAAGTAAAGGAATCATTTACCCAATTTTTGATGAATACGTGAGTGGCAGCAGTTGCGGTGGTAAGTTAAATCAGGAATAAATGTTTGCAAAGTGAAAATTGTAAGAAGCATCTCCTCTTACCATGCAGTTTATAAACAATCACAAATAGGGCAGGCTTGCTGAGCTCCTTCATACCTGGCGGGTTATTGTCATGAATTTGTATGATTATTGTGTACTTTACAAATTTTTGTTTTACAATAATTTGTATTTATTCATTCATTCATTTTCCAACCCATTTATTCCAGCTCAGCCGTGAGGATGGCTGGAGCCTATCCCAGCTGCTTAGGGTCCAAGGTAGTAACCAGCCTGGGACAGGATGTGATCTCATCACAGGGAACACACACACACACACACACACACACACTCACACTCAGTCAGATTGGGACCATTTAGACACACCAGTGAACCTCACGTGCACAGCTTTGAGAGGGGGGAAGAAACTGGAGTTCCAGAGAAAACCCACACAGACATGGGGAGAACATGCAAACTCCACACAGACGTTGGCCCTGGCAGGAAATTGATTTTTTTTCTTCATGAACATAATGAAATGCTGTTAAATAAAATGATGTCGTTCAAGGACTTGCTGTAATTAATTGAGGCTTTTAGTATCTCCTTTTCCAATTATGTTTTCCAATTACCAAACATTGCTCATCACATAATAGATGCTCAAGTAATGTTTGTTAAACAAATGAATATCTCTTACGATAAAAAATATTGCACCAGGTGGGTTGACTGACCAGATATTTCTAACCATGCTGGAATGACTTATTTCTGACAAAAATTATTAATTTTATTGATCCAAAAGGAGCCATGTAAAATTGTTTTCCTCTTCTTGCTTGCTATTTTCAATTTTTCCAATTTGGGCTCAGCTAGCAGTGCCACAGCTGAAAAAAGTGCATGGATTTTAATAAGGACTCCTATTGCTGAGAAGGATAATAAGTGAGTCTGGAGGGCAGGGTCATACTCTCAAAGCCTTTCTGATGGGAGCCAAGATTAAAATGCACAGCAGGCTGAGAGGGCTGGGAAGAAGCTATGATTTCTCACTGTGGATTTCCTCAGAGTGCCATTAGTGTACCAAGGAGAACACAGGGGAGATTGCATTTACATGAGGAAAGCAAGTTAGAGTTCAGTGATCTTGAATTTTTTGGCATTATTTCAATTATTTGTTGGAATAATTTAACTTTGGCCCAAAACATGTGTCTTAGTATTGTATAGATTTGCAGGGCACAGAATATTTCTGGTTTTCCCCTAATGATTGTCATGGAATGCCCTTAAATTTAATGAATAAGTGAATCCCAAGACAATGGTATAGAGGTCTCTAATTCCAAACAGTAATGTATTTTTGTGAAATAAACAAGGCTCAGTATTTCCATTCGATTCGGTGGCATTGATGGAATCTGAGCACATTGGGCACTTCACAACACAGTCATATTCTTATTCAATCTTCATTAGAAATTCATGAGATAATCATTGTGCTATTAACCTCATTATATAGGTGAGGAAACTAAGTCACTAAAAGTTTAAATGACTGGTCCACATGAAAACAGCTGATGAGTGATGAGGGCTGTCAAGACATCTCAGGTTTTTTCTTCCCTGGCTCAATGCTGCTCTACCCAGCACCTCTGTGGACAGGAACTCCTTTTATCCCCCACTCATTTGATGAGAAGTATATGAGGCCAGGGAAAGGCAAGTGACATGGCCAAGGGCAAAGGGCAAGGCATTGTGAGAGTCTGTTCGGGAATCACATCTGAATCTAAGGAGAAATCCACATCGCCTGCCATCCTAAAGAGATTTCTTAGTTGCTCCCCCTCCTCATTGGGTCTGTGGTGTATTTGTGAACAACAGCTGCATTTGCAAGTAGCCAGGACTTCCTCCAGATGACATATTGCGCTGCCAGAGTGGAGACAAGCGGGGCTGACTTCACAGGCCAAAGAGGGCATCTGCATTTGCCACTCAGCCCCAATTATTCGAATCTGCTCATGGCAGGAGGAATGGTGGGTCCCTTAGGCACAGAGGCCAGCCTCTGATCTCCAGACTCTCTCATTTCTCCTAGATCCGCCCCCTCATGTTGCTTAAGCAAAAGCAGGGCTAACCCCCGCCCCTTGGACAAGGGGCACATCATTCCTGCATTCCCCAAGCACTCTCTGGCTGCTGTATCAGCAATTGGATGCTTGCCCAGGCTCTGCAGGACTCTAGAGTCTAGAGCCTGCTGGCCCAGAGGCAAGAGGGGTGCCAGATGTGCGAGCTAGCAAACCGCGGAAGCTACTGTAAGATTAGAGTGGCACAGAAATAGTCGGGAAATTACCCTTTCCATTGGGCTTGGAATCCAGGGTAACTGAGGCAGCAAACAAACTTCTGTGTGTGTGAGGTGTCCCAGTGTACCAGTGTCCTCCATTCGGGGGTGTCTTCTTCTTGGAAGGAGGACTTTTTCTTTTAACCCCTAAAGTGTCAGGGATCTAAAAGCTGGTTGGCAATACTTGATGCCTAAATTGTGGCCTGGGGGTCACGATCTCCTGGGTGCTAGTTAGAAATGGGGAATCCCCTGGCCCAGTCCAGACCTATGGAATCAAGATCTGCATTTTAACAAGATCCCAAGGTTTATTTGCATATTTGAGAAGGCCTGCCCTAAACAACACTCATGAGCCTGGGGAGAATCTTAAAGGCTTGTGAGACAACTTGAGGGTTGTGACACTTCCTAGGTACTTTTGTAGCCTACACTGGTCCTGTGTGATTGGGATCTACGTCTAGCACTGGGTCTGTGGCGATACTAACTTCCCTGTCTTTCCTGGCCCAGACTGACATTTCCAAAGGGCTGCGTGAGGTGGTACATACTCAGGCAAGGCATTAACAGTCACACAGGCGCTCCAGGGCTTTCTCCTGGCAGTGCTTGAGCCACGTGGCCCTCCATGGAGCACCTATCTCTATCTTGGACCTTTTAGTTAGAAAGCCAACAGCTGCCCTGCGTGGGGGAACTGCACAGTATGCTAATGAAGGAGCAGCATACTGAAAATGATGTTGTGGCTATTAACATTTTTATGGGTGGACTGCTTTGCAAAGCATAGGGAAAGTATTACTCTTCTAGGATTAATATATTTAACAAAAAGTCTGCCAGGAGAGGAGGTTTTTGCTGATAAATATAATTCTGCTGTTGATTTATTTAGTAATGGAGACTTGAAATTACAGGAATCAATGTGTATATGGAAGCCATTGTCATTTGGTTAATTATGTTTTGCCAGCAGGATGGGGAAGCACTTTATGCTCGATGCAGCCAAATGTATTTCAGCCAGAATCCTGTGTTATAAATGACGAACACATAAATGTAGATAAAGAGAAAGACCCCTATAATTCTAGATTCCTGGACACTTGATCCTCCAGAAGCTTGACATCCCTGGCCCCCTGCACTGGGGCTGTAGCATGTAGCATAAGTAGGTCTGCTTCCTCTATAGCAATACTCCTTAACGGGGCTTATTTTGCACCCATGGGATATTTATAGATGTCTGGAGACATTTTGTTTATCATAGCTGGGCAGGGAAGATGGGCAACAAGAGAGTAGAGGCCAAGGATGATGCTGATGCTAAGTAGACCTACAAAGCAAAAGATGGCCCCCACCCCCACCCCTAATGAAGAATTATTTGGCTCAAAGTATCCATAGTTCTAAGGTTGAGAAGCCCTATTCTAGGGCATTCCTATTTGAGATTCTGACTCAAAGAAATGGGGTGAAGTCCATATTCTCTTTGTTGACAAATAAAGAAAATAAGGTGTGGGCATCACATCTGGTTATGTAGTATTATCTTCCAAGATATCCACCCAGGATGGAGTCAAGATGAGTGTATAGTAGGAGAGTCTGGAATAGCTCTCCAACCACTGTCACTTATCTGAAGAGGTCTAACACTGTCAATTGGTCGCCATCCTATTGTGAAGATCATCCCCAACCTTCCTTTCCCTACATTCTGATGAACCAGCTGTGGTTTGGAAGGCATAAACTTTGCTACAGTCACAGCTGTGCTATTTACTGAGTGATCCTGAGAGTGGTAGGCAGTGTAATGGCCCTCAAAGTTGCTCACATCCTAATTCCTGGAAGCTGTGACCTTTCATGGCGAAGGGGACTTGCAGATGTGATTTAGTCAAGGATCTTGAAAAGGGAAGATTCCCCTGAATTTTCTGAGGGGGTCCTTGTAAGTAGAAGATGAAGACAGGGGAGTCAGATTCAGAGATTTAAAGATGCACTGCTGCTGATCTTGAAGATGGAGTGAAGCTGAAGGAAGGAGCCATGAGCCAGGCATGTGGGAAGTTCCTAGGAAAAAGAAAAGACAAATAATCAGATTCTTCCCTAGAGCATTCAGATGGAACACACTCCTGCTGATACCTTGATTTTAACCCCCAAAGACTCATTTTATACTTGTGATCTCCATAACTGTAAGATAAAAGATGTTAGTGGTAATTTATTACAGCAGCAATGGGAAACCAATGCATTAAGGAAGGCATTTTTCCTTTTGAATGTCCCACTATAAAATAGGGCTTTATCCACTATAAAATAGGTGTTGCTCATTTATTTGTTCCTTTATTCATTCAACAATCATTTATTGAGTGCCTACTATGTGTCCACCATTCTAGGCACTTGGGAGAGAGCAGTGGACCACAGAGACCAAGCAACTCCTCTAATCTAGTGACAGGAGACTGATAATAAACTTCCAAAAAAATACAGAAATCTACAGTGATAAATGTTATGAATTCAAGTGAAGCAGGGTAAGGCAACCGGAGTCCACATCTATTTCTTACAAATCATTCAGAGCAGGTTCTGTGATAAGGTGACATTTAGCAAAAACCTCAAGGAAGTGGGAGAGAAAGTCATACAGATATTCAAAGGAAGAATATTTTTAATAGAGGAAATGGCAAGAATACATTCCCTGAGCTAGGAGCTTGATTCTGAGATTCAAAGAGCAAGGGAACCAGTGTTGATAATGATAATAATTACCTCACAAGGCTGGTATGAGAATTTTGGGCAACATACATGAAACCCCCTGGTGAATTTCAAAACACTATGCAAGTATTTAGTCATCATTGCATGGTCCCTCGGAGTGCATTTTGGGGGCTGCCAAGGGATGTGTAGGGTGACCTTTATTTTGTGTCTATATAAAAGCGAAAGGGAAATAGCTATTGGCCTCAGGCCATGGAAATTATGCACAGAGGCCTAGAAATAGGAGTATTTTCCCAACATGGAGCTGATGATTGATGATGATTCTATGTGTGTCCTTCACAGTGGCAAACCTTCAAGGGGCAGGGACATCATTGCTGCTGTAGTCCTTAAACCCTGTGGTCCAGAAGGGTGCTCCCAAGGTGCCAAAGGGGGCCCAGAGCAGTCGGCTTTTCTGTCATGGGGGCATACAAAGAGAGAAATCATCAAGAAATTCAAAGACCTCAACTCCTGCCTGGCCAGGGCCCAGAGAGAAGCAGTTAGGATAGCCTCTGATACCCAGCCTTGCCAGCAACTAATCTGCCAGATGATGAAATTGAAATATTTGAAATATAATCCATACATTCTTTTTCCAAGACAGGTGGTGAAATGGTCTAGTTTTTACAAAAGGCTGAGAAAATTAAAATACTAAAATGTTGCACATCTTTGTGTTTGGGAGTAGGACTTCCCCTGGAAGCTGGGGTGGGGATTAGAGAAGGCTTCCCCTGGAAGCTGGGGTGGGGATTAGAGAAGACACCTCTCAGAATCTAGAGCTGGCCCATTAACACCTTAGGTTTAAGGAGCTTTCTCAGCCCATTTTGTATTTCTAATCTTAAAATGACCAAGGCAAGGTCACAGATAATATGTGTATTTCATCCTTCTTTATGCTGAAGAATCCGCTTGTAACTGAAAGGTATTTTGTATATTAATTGGATTATCAGGTTAGATTCTTTTTCCTAAATGAGTTTCTTTAGGCCGTTTCTGCTTGCTTTTAAAAAACTTTAGTTTTAATTTTAGATTTAAATGGTACAGGTAGAGGTTTATTATATGGATACATTGCGCGATACGGAGATTTGGGCTTCTGATGATCCTGTTACCCAAGTAGTGAATACAGAACCCTGTAGGTAGTTTTTCAAGCCTTGGCCCCCTTCCTCCCTCCTCCGTTTTGGTTGACAGAGTCTGCAGTGTCTAATGTCCCCATCTTTGTGTGTGTGTGGACCCAATGTTCAGCTCCTGCTTGTAAGTGAGAATATGCAGTATTTAGTTTTCCATTTCTGTAGTAATTCACTTAGGATAATGGCCTCTAGCTTCATCCGTATTGTTGCAAAGAACCTTATTTCATTGTTTAAAATGGCTGCATGGTATTCCATGGTGTGTATGTGACACATTTTCTTTGTCTAATCCACTGTTGATGGGCACCTGGGTGGATTCCATGTCTTTGTGAGTAATGCTGTGATGAACATACTAGTGCAGGTGTCTCTTGGTATATACTCAGTAATAGGATTGCCAGCTGAATGGTATTTCACTTTTAGTTCTTTCAGAAATCTCCAAACTGCTTTTCTTTCTTTCTTTCTTTCTTTCTTTCTTTCTTTCTTTCTTTCTTTCTTTCTTTCTTTCTTTCTTTCTTTCTTTCCTTCTTTCTTTCTTTCTTTCTTTCCTTCTTTCTTTCTTTTAATTATACTTTAAGTTCTGGGATACTTGTACAGAATGTGCAGGTTTGTTACATAGGTATACATGGGCCATGATGGTTTGCTGCACCCATCAACCTGTCACCTACATTAGGTGTTTCTCCTAATAGTATCCCTCCCCTATCCCCCTGCTTCCTAACAGGCCCTAGTGTGTGATGTTCCCCTCCCTGTGTCCATGTGTTCTCATTGTTCAACTCCCATTTATGAGTGAGAACATGTGGTGTTTGGTTTTCCGTTCCTGTGTTAGTTTGCTGAGAATGATGGTTTCCAGCTTTATCCATGTCCCTGCAGAGGACATGAACTCATCCTTTTTAATGGCTGCATAGTATTCCATGGAGTATATGTGCCACATTTTCTTTATCCAGTCTATCATTGATGAGCGTTTGGGTTGGTTCCAGGTCTTTGCTATTGTGAATAGTGCTGCAATAAACATACGTGTGTATGTGTCTTTATAGTAGAATAATGTATAATCCTTTGGTAATATAACCAGTAATGGGATTGCTGGGTAAAATGGTATTTCTGGTTCTAGATTCTTGAGGAATCACCAAACTGTCTTCCACAATGGTTGAACTAATTTACACTCCCACCAACAGTGTAAAAGCATTCGTATTTCTCCACATCCTCTCCAGCATCTGTTGTTTCCTGACTTTTTAATGATCGCCATTCTAACGGCATGAGATGGTATCTCATTGTGGTTTTGATTTGCATTTCTCTTAATGACCAGTGATCATGAGCTTTTTTTTCATATGTTTGTTGGCTGCATAAATGTCTTCTTTTGAGAAGTGTCTGTTCATATCCTTTGCCCACTTTTTGATGTTTTTTTTTTCTTGTAAATTTGTTTAAGTTTCTTGTAGATTCTGGATATTAGCCCTTTGTCAGATGGATAGATTGCAGAAATTTTCTCCCATTCTGTAGGTTGCCTGTTCACAGTGACTGAACTGATTTGCATTCCCACCAACAGTGTATAAGCTTTCCCTTTTCTCTGCAACCTCACTAATATCTGTTTTTTTTAATTTTTTATAGTAGCCATTCTGATTGGTATGAGATGGTGTCTCATTGTAGTTTTGATTTGCATCTCTGATGATTAGCAATGTTGAGCTTTTTTCATATATTTGTTGGCCACTTGTATGTCTTGTTTTGAGAAGTGTCTGTTCAGTTTCTTTGCCCACTTTTTAATGGGGTTATTTGTGGTTTTTTTCTTGTTGACTTAAGTTAATCTTATAGATTCTGGATATTAGCCCTTTGTCAGATGCATAGATGTAAATATTTTCTCTCATTTTGTAGGTCGTCTGTTTACTCTGTTGATCTTTTCTTTTGCTGTGCAGAAGCCCGTCCGTTTAATTCAGTCCCGTTTGTCTATTTTTAATTTTGTTGCATTTGCTTTGGGGATCTTCATCATAACTTATTTGCCTAGTCCAATGTCTAGCAGAGTATTTATTAGGTTTTCTTCTAGTTGTTCTCTATTTTTTTGATAAAATAAATGCCTACATTTTGCAGAACTGAAATATTAATGTGTACATGTTATTGTCTGAGTAAACTTTGTTTTTTTAGACTCATAGTAACAAAAGGAAAATAGACATCTTTAGCAACTCTTTCAGTAACAGAACATCTTTTGTATAACCTGAACTTTTATGTCAGTTCAGGAATATAAGAGGAAAAGAAAGGAAGGCTTGGCAAGATAGGTAGCTCCCTATCAGGAGAAACGAAAATGAAAAGACCGTCGGATCAGTGTATACTCTGAGTTCTGTGGGAGCTGAGTCTGTATCCTAGAAAGCATGGAAAAGTAGTCTAGGGCAGAAATAAACCAGGCATGCTGCCAGGATGAACAACTAGAAAAACCCTTTGGAACCATGGTCTGTCAAATGCTGATGTGCAGGCAGCTTCCTCTGTCCCCAAGGTCAGAAGAAATTCCTATATCGCTACTTCTTTCTTCTCCTCAACATCTGAAGCAAAACCCTACAGAGTACAAAGGTAAAGTGAAGACAAAACAAGTCCTTCTAGCTTCAAAATGCTTTGATATTCTTTGTCTTTTATTTTCATAAGACTTGATAGCATGTTAATGCCACAGAATAGCAGGATTCCCTTCCATTATATGATAAACATGCTAGTGAAAAAGAATTATAAAAAAAAGTTTTAACAGAGGAATTATGGCAACCTATGAGAATTGCTTCAAGTGGAATATATATTCATGTATTCATCAAAGAGTTGTGGTATCCACTAGATGTCAGGCATTGAGCAAAGGATTGGACAAGGGGCAAGTAGGGCAAGGCCCTATTCTGGGCTCCTGGAATTCATAATATAAATGGCAGCATAGACAAATATGCAAATGAACAAATATGCAGTTGAGTTACAAATTGTCAAAGGTGTTATGAAAGAAACAAACATGATATTCTGCTAGAGTTATGACTGACAGGTAAAGGGTGAGTACCCAGGAATGGCCTTGCTGAGATTTAATCTGAGAGCTGAATGATGAGAGGGAGCCAAGTACATTGTTATAGGTCAGAAACAGAAACAATTTTTACTCTGGCTCTTCTGGGAAGACATGAAAGCCTGTGTTTACAAAAGGAGATTTTGACTTACCTAGTCACATGATCTAAAGAAACGCTTTTACTCTTATTCTTCTAAAGCGACATTTCCTGGTCCCCCACCCTCCTGACCACATTTCATATTCTTTTTCCCTGCATTATTTTTTTCTCCCCAGGTATTATAAATATATGACATACTTTTTCATTTACTAATTTGCCTGGTTTAATGTCTGTCTCCACCACTAGAATGTAAACTCTATAAGGAACTTGTTTCATCCATTTTGTTCATGATGGCTGTCTCTACTGCTTAGAAGAGTAACCGGCACATAGTAGATACTCAATGAATATGATTCCTGCTATACTAAGCTATTTCTTTTTGCCCCTGGAGAGGGAGATATGGAATTTTGAAAACTGCCAGGTCTGGAAGAATATGCTATACTTTCCAAGGTTGTTAGATTTGAATGAGAAAAATATACACTAAAGTGAGTTCCATGCTGGTGTATAGTAAAGGCTGAGTAAATATCATTCTTGGGTACTTCCCTGTCTCTTTTTTCCTAAGCACACTCAGTGAGGTGGGAGCTGTGAAACGTTATGAGGTAGGAGAAGGTGATGTCTAATGTTTCTCTACTGCCCTGTTGGCGCCCCCCAACCAAGTATCTCTCAGTGCCTTTGCCCAGCCTTCCTCTGCACACACTACAGCTAGCTCTATCATTTCCTCATGCCCCATCAAGTCCTACCTGTCTTCGCAGACCCTCAGGTTCCTTGGCTGTGGCTTACAAGGGACATCTGATTAATCTGTAACCAATTCATGTTGATCCCCTAGCTGATTGCCTCTTTGTCACCATGAGGCCAGCTCCTTACCATGTGTGGGTGCAGCAAGCAGGTACACCATCACCCTGCTTGTGGGATCAGGCTCCTTCTCCCCCGGACAGTGATGAGGAGACACTGTCTTCATTTGCCTCTTTACCTTTCCCATTTTAAAGCTGTTGACTAACTTCAAAAAGAATCTTTTTGAATTCCTTTTACTCATAGAAAGCAGAACAATGGAATAGTAAGGAAGAAAAGAGAAATCAAGGCTGCAGAAGAGAAGACAGAGGCACAGGGAGAGCACAGAGTAGAGAGTAAGGGGTAAGAGAAGAGAAGACAGGAGAAAAGAGAATGAATAAAAGAACAAGAGAGAAGAGAAGCAGTGGGTAAACAGCCTGTTAGATGGTGGCATAGCTTTTACCCACTGAAAAGATGTTCACAGCAAGGTCTATCAAAACCCTACCACAGTATAGCAGCTCTACCTTGAAATAGTATTTCTAATGATAAAAATAATAACACAATAAAGTTTAGTAAACAGTATGCTAAGAGCTTTGCATATGTTTTCTCCTCCATGATCCTTTTGATTGAAGGCAAATTTTGTCATCCTATGCTCAAAATTCTTCAGTCACCTCTCATCTTACTCTGAGTAAAAGGATGGGGATCTGCTCCCCACCCTTTCTTCCAAGTAGGACCCGTTCCTCAGCCCCAGCTCAGACAGTATGCCCCTCCCACTCTCTCTCTTGCTCCCTCCATTCCACACACACTGGTCTCCTTGCTATTTTTGATCAAACCAATTGTCCTTCCTCAGGGCCTTTGCACTGGCTATTGTTTTGCCTGGAAGAGTCTTCTCTTAGATGTCCTCCTGACTCTCTCCCTTACATCCTGTGGGGGACTTCTTCCTTTGCTTCTTAAGCAAAAGTCTCCCATGGCCACCCCCTATAAAATGTCAGCCCCCACTACCATCTCTTCCTCCTGCTAGCTACTCCCCCACTTTGCTTTAATTTTCTCCATACTACTTATCACCACCAGGGGTATAATGTTATTTTATGTCAATTGTTTGTCTTTTGCCTCCAGATTATGAGTACAGGGATTATGTCAGCTTTCTTCTTGATTCATACATCGTCGGCACTTACGCCTCGAAGGTGGATACTGTTTTTCCTTCCGTAGTAGAGGGGAAAAAGTAAGCTCACACCAGGTAAGTAAATTTTCCAAGGTCACAGACAGGAGGTGGTGAAGCCAGGTTTCCAACAGAGCTGTGTCCATGTCCAAGGCCCATGCTTTCAACCACTGTGCTAGAGGATTCCCCAACGGCTTTCCACACTGTTAGGACACCTGTCCGAAAGGGTAGGTTGGCATTTCAGGAGATGCCTTTCTGTGCTCAGTCAAGATCAATGCAGATGTAATTGTGTAAAGCAAGACAGGACTATAAGGCAGATATAACTGCGTAAAGCAAAACATAGACTTATAAGGCAAGGTTGGTACAAATGCACATGGCTAAAGCTTGACCTGTACGATTTACTTTGGCTGCAATGCACAGCTACAGAGGCAGTGGGGTATGGTGTGTGGTGGTTAAGGACATACGTTTTGTGAGATAGATGTGGCTTCCAATTCCTACGGTGCCACTACTTAGTTTTGAGACCTTGGCCAAGTTACATAATGCTCCTGAGCACCCAGTTCCTTCTACATGAAATGGGGCTGGATAAATGGAAATAATGCCTACCCTTAGAGTTGACTTAAAAATTAAATAAGGGAATGTATACACTGTTCTTAGCATAGTCCCTGGCTCATGTAAATATTCAATAAACACTAAATAAATTACTATTATTATAATTATTATGACGTTTACTTAGTATATAGACGTAGAGAAAGTTTTAGTTGAAATTGTATCTGTTAATACATTATTATTTTCTGTTAAGAATGAACATCTACATTTGGAAATAGAACAAAAAAAGAGCTTACTGCATATCCTTTCACTGTCATGCCACAGCATTGTCTAATGAGCCGTCCTAAGGGTCATCTCACTCTGTCAGACAATGTAATTTTGTTTGGCTTAAAATTACCACTGATTACAGTCTAGCCTCTGCAAAGTTGATGTTAGCATGTAGAAAATTAATAAGATGCAAATCACTGCTGTCCAATAGAGAGGCAAATGATTTCTAACAATAGAGAATAAAACAGTAGAGAATAAAATGTTAGGATTTTATTGCCCTTTAGACTATTAAGCAGTTTTGGATATATGACTTAAAAACGTTATTCCAGCAGTCTTTTCCCCATCCATCCATTCATCCACCCACCCACTTACTTACCTACTTACCTATCTCAGTTTCTTGCATTCTCCTTGAATCCACTTTATTATTTTGTTGGTTCCTTTATTAATGATTTTAATATATCTTTGATACATCCCCCTATGTATTTGTATGAGAATAAGTTTATATATATATATACCAAAATACAATACAATACTTACATAATATAGATGTACTCCTAGAAAGCAATTGATGGTATCTAAGCTATTTAATCTTGGCAAACCCTATCAGATACCTAGTTTCTGTGCTGCTACTCCTGATGATATTGACTCCTTATAAGTTTTACTGTACTTTTGCTTACTAAATATCAGAAAGGTATAACATAGTGTTTAAGATCAGTGGCTCTGGAGTCAAACTTCCTGGGTTCAAGCTCTTGCTCTATCTATCACTAATTAGCTCTATGATCTTGGAAAGTTGCTTAACCTACCAACAAAATGAGGCCATATGAATACCTCTTATCTCAGAGAATATTTTGAGGAGTAAATGCAATAATGTATATAAAAGTGCTTAGCATGGTGCCTGGTCCATGGTGTTTAATAAGTATTGGTTATTATGATTTATGATTGATCTTCATTTTGGAACTTAATAAAGAAAATGAAACTTTGCAATTCTATTGTGAATGTTTGATTTTAATACTTCCTCAGCAAACTCCGGTAGTAATTGCATAATACGACAACTGTTTTTCGTAGAAGCCTACCAACTAGAAGTTCTGAAAGCAAGTGTTTACCATGAAAGGTGTTTAACTCTTAGAGAGCCCTACAAATTAAAATAGCCTACACAGAATACAACTGAAAAATGGCCTCTACTGTTTATTTTCTAACTTTCTACACTATGGTACAGAGATAACTTATTGTTTAGTAGTGACTGGTCTAGTCTGTTTTATTGACTTGTGCACTTTCTGACCCTGTCTAATTTAGTGTCAGAGATCACCTGTGATTTTTGTATATTTCCGAATGTGTAAGTATCTTTCCCAGTAACTTGTACATTCTGATTTCCTTTGCACATGAGAATTGATGTGGAAAAGGCAGCTGAGCAGAGGTTGGCAACCTTTCTGAAGTGCTATGCCAACTTCCCATTTATTCACTCTAATTTAAGGTTTTCCATGCCAGGATGAACCTCCTATCATCCAAACCACTGGAGACTGAGAACTTCCAAGACAGAGCAAGGCTACAGAAATTGAAATTTTCATTGTATGATAGATTTTCCAACTTTTTTTCTTTCCTGAAAACCAAGAACTTTGAAAATGCTGATGCCAATTTTATGCAACCCAGACAGAACGATCATATATGTAGGGAAGGGGTTGGTGAAGATTGCAGTTCCAAAACCTCCTGAAGCTTTTCATACAACATTTATTCATTCATGCATGCATGCCTATATATATATATATGCATTGTGCATTCATTTAGTAATTCATTCATTAAATCAATGTTGAGCGTCTAACAATGTGCCAGCCACTCTGGTTATGTATTTACATATACAATACTTAACTTTTTTGACTAAGTGAGAGAACATACTTCATGCACGTAGCAGAGTGCCTGGCTCATAGTACATACTCAGTAATGAAAACCATTAGTTTTAATCTTCTGTTTAAAATTTTACAAAAGTAATAAATGTACATAGTAAAGAATCTAATAGTGCAGAAGAGTTGAAATAAAAAGCAGCAATTCCCCATGCTGCTTCTGTTTTCTCCCAATCATATTCTCCAGAGCCTTAATTTTAAAAAAATCAGTTCTTCTGATATTTACATATGTAACATTAAATAATGCAAGTACCAGTGGTGTGTATCCTCCCCTAGACTCTCATAGGGAAATTCTCTGCTTGTTCAGCCTAGGTTCACCTTGGCCAGGGGTAGAGTTCCCTCTTATCACTTTTCTAATGAGATTCTTAAAAGTGTCCATGACTGTTGAACACCAGACTTGTTGTCTAGGGGAATAAATTGGCGTGGAGGAGACCACTCTGGAGGACAGCTCATCTTCTAAGTCCTTTTTGCATGCACTGCTTTCCAGACCTGTGTGGAAGGCAATATCCTTTTCATCCCTTCAGAATTTCTTCTCTCTTCTTGTTGCCTCTTGCTTTTCTTACATGTTTCTCTGTGTTCTGGGCTTTCCAAGAAAAAACACCCTGAAAGCCTCTTAGTCTGGCTTTTTGAATTTTTGTTTTCCCCCTTGGTAAGGACTGGGGGTGGTATGGCAAGAGGAAAATGACCCAAAAGATTTGGAGGGAAATGCGCAGAAAACAGCTAGATTAATATTTCAAGATAGAACCATCCTGATATATTTTCTTATTTTACTATTCTTTGATTTATCAACTTCAGACATTATTTATTGACTCCTCTCTATAAAAAAGGAGGATTTATCTCATGCTTCTTTCTATCTGCTCCTCTCCTTCCCAAAGTTGGATCATTATGTTAGCATTTTGGTTCTTCTGTTGTTTCTCTTTCTAGGTTTAAATAACAAACTTAGATCTCTTTGCATCACCTTGAGGCAGTGTCTCTTGTCTGTCCAGCAAGATGAGGGTATTTGCTCCCCTATGCTTTTCTCCCCTTTTTCATTGTCAAGGTTGCTAGTGTTCTATTCTATAGATGTATTTAAAGTTTCTAAGTTTTATATATAGATAGCTTGACTATAAAAGTTGAAAAATGGTATACAAGATTTATTTTATAATGTCGCTTAGAAAAATTTGAAAATTGACTGTGTATTAGAAATTATTCACTCAAATGCATTATTCATGTAACATTTCTGTTGGTTTTTTTTCAACATAAAAATTTCAAGAGAAAACCTAGCTCATTTCAAAATCCAGATTTTAAAAAGGTTATTTTTGATTTTTATTTTTTAAAGCAACGGGGTCTCCCTATGTTGCCCAGGCTGGTCTTGAACTCCTGGGCTTGAGTGATCTTTCCTTCTGAGCCTCCTGAGTAGCTAAGATGACAGGCGCACATCACTGTCCCTAGCACAAAATCCAAATTTTCAAACAAGTTTTAAATAGGTAAACTTTATCATGCTTTTATCTCCCTCACAAGATTTACTAAGCATTGGGTTCAAAAAGAAATATTTAAGCTTTAATTTTTAAAGGAATAACTACTGACAGTTAATAATATTAAGAAAAAGAACATGAAAATGTCTTTTGAATGACACATTTTAAAAACATTAGTTTGAATCCGATTTCTTCAGTTCAAGTGCAATTAATAGTCTAATAAAAGAATCATCAATAAGATGGGTAAATGTGTGAATCATGTCTTAGATTTTTAAACTAAGACAAGTTGAAAATAAACACATTTTCTGGCTTCATAGATAAGCCTTGTGTTATATCAACTCTGTGACATAGATTAAAATTACAATAATGGATTAAAAGTATTATTTTATCTCATCTAAGACATGTAATATTAGTACTGTAATGTCTTTTAGTACTTACACTAATATATGGGCTGACAGTGGTGAAACAAATACTAGGTTCCTGAAGCTTTCCTAAGCATTATAATTCTGATATATGATCATATTATTTTCAACACCACATCTCAATTTTCTGACACATTTTTTACTTTTATAATTCTAGGATTTGCAGCATCACATTCTTCTCTAACTCCTTGCTTATGTGACTAAGAAAAGTGTTTAACTAAGTACAAAAGTTCAGAGTGTAACTTAGTGTTAAGAAGTAAGCCAGATTTTGTCCCAGATCTTACATACTAATCAGCTTTCACTGAGAGATTAATTTACTAGAATTTCTTTTGAGTGTGCGTGTCTCCATTCATACAAAGATTCGGCTACATTTTTCTTTTTTGTGTATTAGCTTTGTCAAGTTTGGCATTAGGCTTATGCTGGTTTTATAAAATGAATAACTTTCTATCTTTTTGTTCAGCCTGGGAACAAATTATGTAGCATAGTCATTTTTTGAAGATTTCAAAGAACGTTTTTCAAAGAAATGTGTGGGCCTAAATATCCTTTTGGAAATATTTCATTTATAACATTTTCAAACATTTTCATAATTATCTATATTGTTTTAAACTCCTTCCTGAGTCAGTTTTAAACACTTGCACATTCCCAGAAAATTCTCTTTTTATCTAAATTTTCAATTTTTTTAGTATAAAGACTATATGGAGATCTGTGATATACTTTAAAACTACTATAACTTTTTTTTATAACTTCTAACTTGTTTTGTGCTTTCTTTTTTTGTCTTTGTTAGAGTCTCCATGTTTGCCCATTTTGTTCGTTTTTCTGACAGCCTAGCTGTTGAATTTATTTGTCCACTTTAGAATTAAAATATTGCCAAATTTATTCTTATAATTAAAATTTTTTCAGAGTTTATGAGAAGTAGGATAATCATATATCCCAGTTGCCTGGCATATTCTGGTATATGCCTTCTATCCCAACGTAATTATTAGTAGTACTCTCTTTCCTCCCCAAAATACATCAGTTGGGTAATAAATTATGTGGCCACTCTAATGATAAGTGAAACATACATTTTCCTCTCAATACAATAGCAGGCTATAATTACAATGCATAATTATAATTACAGATATTGTCTCATCCCCTGGGATGTGAAAATTCATGTTGAGGAGGTTGGGGTGGGGGAAGGTCAAAAGGCTTTTGATATTATAAATGTTTGTGGCCATCCGAAGGGCCATAGTACCTAAGTAGATAACGAGTTTAACTGCAGTATCAAATTTCATGTGGGAGGGGGTATAAGTAGGATAAAATTGTCTTAACCAGGCTCCTTAGAGGGACAATAATGAAAAAAGAAAAGGTTGAGAAAAATGTTATAATGCTGTTTGAATACCACCATTGATTAGTTCATTTTATTTTTCTCCTTAATAGTCATTTGGTGTTTTCTAATTTGTAAGTAAATATAGTTTCTGTTTAAACAATAAGTTATTGTTTCAACACTGAAATACCCTTGTTGACATCATCAGTGGTCAACATTGTCAACACATTGTTCTGTGTTTTTGGCTGACTCTGCTTTTCAATACCGTCTGTCCAACTTGACTATTTCCTCCTTTTTTTTTTTTATTGAGAATATTATTGGGCTCATAGGATTAAATGAAATAAGATAGTAAGGCATTCAGAACTGTGCCTGTCCCTCCTGCTTTCCCTCTGTCTCACTGGTTATTTTCAAACTTTTTGGTTTCCTTTTTTTTTTTTTTTTTTTTTTACCTCCGGCCAATCTCTAATTGCTGGAGTGCTAAAGAGCTTGAGCTCTTTTTCTTCTCTATCTGCATTTTATTCCTGAATGACCTAATCTAATTACATTGCTTTAACTCCTTCTGTATAACTTTATACCTCCAGCCCTGACTCGTACCATGAGCCTCTGACTTGTATATTCCATTACCTGCTTGATATTTCCATGTGGATGTATAATAATTATCAGAATTAGGTACAGGCTCAAAACTGAATTTTTTTCTTCACATCTGTTCTACATTCCTCCTCGTTCCTATAAATGGTATTGCCATTCACTCAGTTTCTTAAGTCAAAAACCTAAGATGCATTCTAGACATTTCTCTGTCTGCCTTCCTCCACATTCCATCTGCCATCATGCCAGCTGGTTATATCACCAAACCTGTCCACTTCTCTTGATTTTCCTTGTTACTCTAATCCAAGACACCATCTGCTGTCACCTACATTCTCCACTGGTCTCCTGCTTCCACTCTCATCTTCCAGCCCTCACCCTCATCATCCATTCTCCAAAGAGATCTCTTAAATATACAACTAGAATTACTCCACTCCCCTTCTTAAATTCTTTATTGGGCTTTCACTGCAGTCAGAATAAACACTGAACTCTGTATCATGGCCAATAAAGAACCATGCTCCCATCTCCTCTCCAGCCACCCTGGCCTTCTATTCCCTTAACATGCCTAACCAGTTTCTGTCATGGGCTTGCTTGCTGTTTCCTCTCCCTGTACGTTCTTCGGGCCCACGCGTTTCTGTGGCTGGCCATTCTTGTCTGAGCAGTCTCAGCTCAGTTGCCACCCCTTCAGAGAGGCTTCCAACCTGGCACCATAACTAATGTCAGCTCCTTTCTACCAATGATTATTGAGTTGCCCTGCCCAACTTTTTTTTTTGTCAAATCATTGTTCGTTTGTTTTGAACTGGAGTGTTTATTGCAGAAATTTGGCCAAGGTTCCAATTGAGTGACTCCAGCTGAGGTTAGACTGGGGCCCCTTGCCCAGGGCTGGGCACCTGAGACAGGAAACAGTGAAGGGATCTGGGCCTCAGAGCTGTGAGATAGAACTGGGGACCAGGCTGCAGGTGAGGCCTGTATGGTCAGGTTCATGCAAGGCCTTCACCACACCATCCTCTATCACCAGGAAGAACCTCTCAAGCTCTCATCCTCAAAGAGTGGCAACAGCAAATCATCTAGTAACAAATCAGTCTCCTTCCCAGAGGCCCCAGGGCTGCCACCCATGAGCTGGCCTTGGCCTTCTGCACTGTGGCCTGTCCCCACTCACCAGTCACAAAGACACAAAGACAGTGGCACTTAAACATGGATCTGGCCCCCCTTTACCTTCAGAACCCCAGCCTACTCCCCAAACCCAAGCAGGTGGGTCTTTGACAGTTGGGGTGAAAGCCCCAGGGATTCTAAACAGCACACCCTTCTTTCCCTGGCATAGTTCTGTCAGGTCCACCTTGTTCCCAGGCTCCCTTTCAAACACCACTAATGCCAGGATAGCATCTCCCACCATGACAGGTGCCATGGCTGCAAAGTTACTGCTGAAATCGTGGGTCCCCAAGCATCCACTCTCCTTCTCTTTCTAGTAGTCACGCTGCTCCTGCTGCTGCTGTTGCTACCACTGCTCCTGCTGCTATGATTCTATCATAGCAGCCCC
Organism: Homo sapiens; assembly: GCF_000001405.40. Taxonomy (NCBI): domain Eukaryota; kingdom Metazoa; phylum Chordata; class Mammalia; order Primates; family Hominidae; genus Homo; species Homo sapiens. The sequence goes on from NC_000001.11 coordinate 76,354,192, forward strand.
AGTGAGGACCAACCCAGTTCAATGTTTCAGGGCGCACAGTTGTGCCAGCTCCAGGCTGGGCCCTGTGGCTGCGACAGTCCTGTCTCTGTGGTTAGGCACCACCTATCCTATTCAGCCTTCTTAGGGTTATCTTAGTATTTGGTATAGCTCCTTCTTTTCTGTTGTCCTCCCAGCGCTATCATGTCAGTTCCGTGAAAAAAGAGACCTGTTTCTTCATTCACAATGCACATGTTCTCAGTACCTGGAACAGCTCCTGTCCCACAGTAGGTATTTGTGTGTATATTTTATGTAATAGATTTTTGGCTTAATTCTCATGGAGTCAAATGATGAATGTGAAATTCTTAAATGCTGAAGGTTTGCTGTATTTAGAAGTTTTTGTTGACTGATGGGTTGGTTGGTTGGCTTTAAAGTGAAGTAATCCATCAGGTTTTATGTATGTGAACTTTTATGGAATTTGGTGAAGTGTGTGCCTGTGTAGATTAGTATATAGGAGAGAAGTTTTTATTTCTTTTCAGATGATTAGTTATGCTTTGCCAGTATTTCCTCAGAACTTCTAAGAGTGTTGGTTTGGGGGGATGTATTCAGTATTGACAATTCCACGTTTATCTACATTCAGCTGTCAGGTTGGTTATTTAACCATTCCGAGGCTTTTCTTTTCTATTATGGTCACTTAAAACAAAGTAAAGCAAAATGAAACTAGACTGTTTTGGTAAGCTTTTATTGAAATAAGAGGGGAAAATGTAAGGGGTAAAAATTGCTAAATTATTTGAAATTATTTTTGGATGCAGAGGTTGACTTTATTGACTGAAACAGAATTTAAGTCCTTAGCATCTTATCTGGATGTTAAGAATTGCCTATCTTTTGGTTGTTTCCAGAACAATCATGTAGGTTCCTTTTTGCTTAGACTGAAAATGATTTGGGATGAAGTAAAAAATTCACTCCCTCACAATGGATTAATTTTTTTTCTCAGTGGAGATGCCATGCGGTCAGAATTTCTTGAAAATGACCCACAAGCTTATTACTAAGCAGCTTTGGGCCAATGAGCAGTCTTTTAAAGAAAACATTTTATTTATTTTTCTAATTGGAGAATAATCTATGTTCATTGTAAAGAAAGAAAATAGAAATTATGTATATTCCTACCAAAGACAATTTCCATTTTAGTGTATTTCCTTTCAGTTCTTTTTCTGATATACTATCTTTTCTCTTCTGCTTTGAGATGTGCATTGTGACTTCCCTTTGTGATAAAGAGGATAAATCTGCTGGCTCATTTCCTTTTATAGACTGCCACCTTCTCTACCAACGAAGAAAATGTGCATTTTGGATTTTGCTTGAGTTGAAACAATTTATGCTGGAACAATTATAAAAAGTAGCATCTGTAATGTGAATTTGGCCCACTCTGTATCAGAAAAAAATAACTTCCACCATAGCCCGAGAGGAAACTTTAGGTATCTATCACCGATAGAGCCAATGCTTTTAATACATATTTCATGATCACAGCTGAGGCTTTTCCAAACTCAGAGTGCTGTATCATTCATTCACTCCTTTAAACTACAAGATTATTTTTGGCTCTTTGTGTTGGCACATAGGCCTTTCCATTGCTGATCTGCATGAACCATTTATCAAGTCAAGGGTTTAATCTATCAAAGTCAGAGTTTCTTTTTTCTGCCTGTCTCTGTCTCGCTTTCCCAGATGGTATTGTCTCATATGTGTACACTGTTGGCTTAAAAAAGGCTATTTGGAATGCAAAGGTTTATCAAGTTTCTCCATTTTTTTTCAAAATAATATATTATGGAGCAAAGTGATATTTTATAGGCAATAATAATTATAGTGTTGATCAGGTTCTAAAACATTACATTAACTATAATGTCCCAAACCTCCTTCTTGGCTAATATTCTGGTTCCGTTCTTGCCAGTAGCTCCTATTTTCTCTACTCACTCATTCTGAAAACTTGAATCATCTTTGATTTTCCTCTCTCCCCTTTCCAAACATTTATTGAATTGTCAAATTATTTGGATTGTATCTCCTGGATATTTCTTGAATCCATCCTCCATTGCCTTTGTGTACTGGACTCATGATGTTGCCTGTTGTCTTCAAAGAAGCAGGCAATTCATTTTGAATGCTTTTGATCGGATCCAAATATAAAGGCCAAAACAAATTAAGTAATTTATTTAATAACACTGACTCCTTGCCGCATGCCAACCCCCGATCTAGACTCTGGTGATATAGCAATGAACAGTAGGGTTAAAAAAAAAAAAAAAAAAGCCTAATAGAATTTACATGCCAGTGCAGGAACAGGGGAGAAAGGGACAAAAATAACACTAGTAAGTAAATTATAGGATGTTGGATTTGTTAATGTTGTTATGAGGAAAAGTAAAGGGATGAAAGGCTGCAGTGAGACCTAGGGTGGACAGGGAAGGGTTAGAGTTAAATCAGGTGGTAGGGATGATAATGAAAGTTAACTAAAACTTAAACAGGCATCATAAACAAAGAGAATACATCAAAAAGCATTCTAATTATGTCAGCTAGTGTCCTGAATCCCCCAGTCCTGATACCTAGGATACATAGATAATGCACAGGGATCTTCGGTGCCTGAGCATAACGCAATGAGAACTATTATAATAGCCACCAAGCTGTTCTCCCTCTCTTTGAGCCATTCCCTTCCCAGGTCAGCACTTTCAGCAAAACCGTATTGCGGTCTAAACATAAGAATTGTGCTTAGGAGAAAGTGCTAAAGTTGATTCAAAGAGGCATGTCCACAATAGGTAACCCAAGGTACGCAAGAAGAAATTCCAGGGGCCACAGTAAGACTCAAATCAAAATCAAGAATAATATTTAGTGAATTCTTACTGTCAAATGAAAAAGTCTAAAGTCTTTAGCCTAATATTCATGGCTCTCCAGAAAATAGCTTAATGCTAGTTTTCTTTTTTCTTTTCTTTTTCTTTTTTTTTTTTTTTCATTTTTGAGACCGAGTCTTACTCTGTTACCCAGGCTGGAGTGCAGTGGCATAATCTCAACTCACTGCAACCTCCGCCTCCTGGGTTCAAGTGATTCTCATAATTCAGCCTCCCAAGTATCTGGATTTACAGGCATACACCACCATGCCCAGCTACTTTTTTGTATTTTTAGTAGAGACAGGGTTTTGCCGTGTTGGCCAGGCTGGTCTCAAACTCCTGACCCCAGGTGATCAACCCGCCTTGGCCTCCAAAAGACCATGCTGGTTTTCCAACCTTATTTCCTAGCACTCATCTTCACATCCTTCCACATGTCTTCCAATTTCCTTCCTTGTTGTCTTTATTTGGATGGAAGATCTTCTACCACATTTTTAGGTTCCAAATTCTATCCTTCCAGTGGGACTCAGATCAGATGTTTCCTCTTGTATGAAAGCTTGACAGAAATCATCACCTCCTCTTTAGAATGTTAATAACAAACTCTTTTCTGGCATCTGGTATTATATTTACTATATGTGTGTGCCTCAACATTTCTGTTAGACTAAAGCTCTTTGAGGGTAGCCATCTGGTCCGGCTGTTCTTTGATCCTTTCCCCTTGGCCCACACAGTGTTCAGCACAGATGAGGGAATGATAACAAAGTGCTCAGTGGTATTTTCAATGGCCTAGTTTTTCAATGGCAATTCAAAAATATTGTTGCACTGGAGTGCCTCCAGATGAAGGTCCTAGAAATGGTAAAATGTCATGAAATACCTAATCAGTCAAAGACAGGGAATGTTTAGCTTGGAGAAGAGAAAAGTAATAATAGGCAAATTTTTTCAGTATTCAGCCCCCTACCTGCCTCCCTGCCAACATACTACACCTTTTTCATTATTTTTATTAACTGACCTTCTGGCTATATTCATCAGTGCTCACCACTTCTTTTTTTAAAAAACCATTTTCTCCCCTCAGTGCATAGGGTATGTCTCGAATCTCTCCATCTCTTTTGCTGGCTTTTTTGCCCCTATCGAATCTTTAAATGTTAGAATCTAAGCTCAGTCTTAGATGCCCTATTCTCAGTTCTGATTAATCGATGCTTGTGGCTTCAATTTTAACCTACATGGTGGAGATTCACAAAAGCATACATTCAACCCAGGCAAGATGTCAGAACTTCCAACTACCAACTCAACATCTCTCTGAAAATGCTTCAGAGGACCCAACATGTACATATGGAACTCACGAAACCTTTCCACACTTTCTAATTTTAATGAATGACTTTGCAGCCTTCCCTGTATTAAGTCAAAATTCTGGAAGTCACCCTTGACAGCTTCTTCTCCCTTACTCCTTATAAAAAATCCATTTCCAAGCCTCTAGTTTTTACCTCCTAATGTATCTAAAATCTACTTAGAGATAGATCATTTCCTCATATAGGACACCATTGTCCCTTGCTTACCTAGATTTCTGCAAAAACTAGGCTACCCCCATCCACATTTGCCTCCTCCACTCTGTTCTTCACTCCTCTACAGTTACCATGGTGATTTTTTGAAATGCAGATTTTATTGCCTTATTTCCCTGGGTAAGAGTCTCCGGGATTCTTCTGTGCCATCTCTAAACTCCTCTGAATATGGCCCACAGGTCTCTGCTTCATCTGGACCTCCCTGCCACTCCAACCTCATCTCATACCATGTTGCTCTTATCTTCCTTTGGTTCATCCTTCAAACATAGAGGACAAACTGCGTCTTCTGTCTGGGATGCTCTTCTCTTCTGTTTCCACCTATTTAGATCTTTTACCTCTTAGATCAATCATCATTCCCTTGAAGAAGCACCTTCTGATCTTCCTGAATAGATCAAATCCACTATTAGAGTCTGTACTGGCATCAGGTTATTAAAATACATATTGCAATTGTAATTTTACATTTATTGCTGAGTATTTCTGAGAGTAGGGTAGGAAGAAGGAGAGCTGCAAGACATGAAACAAGAGAGGACCTAGGGACCAGAATATGAAGCACTTAGTAAACCATGTTAAGACATTTTGGATATTATCCTGAAGACAGTGGGGAACCATTTTAAGAGGAAATGACAGGATCCTATTAACATTTAAAAAATATAGTGGTTGAATTATGTCCCTCCATAATTTTTATGTTGAAGTATCAATCCTTTTACCTCAGGATGTGAACTTATTTGGAAATTAGGTTATTGCAGATGTAAGATGTAGTAGGATGAGTAAGATTAGTAAGATGAGGTCATACTGTAGCAGAGTGAGCCCCTAAACCAATAAGACTTGTGTCCTTATTTTTAAAAATATCATGCGGAAAGATAGAAATTCACACAGGAAGAATGCTATGTGAAGACTGGGGTTATGTTTCCACAGATCACGGAACTACCAGAAGTTAGCAGAGAGGCCTGGAATAGATTCTTCCCTAGTACCTTCAGAGGTAGCATAGTTCTGCCAACACATTGATCTCAAACTATAGATTCCAGAACTGGGAGACAATAGAATGCAGTTATTTAAGCCACTCAGTTTCTAATACTTTGTTACAGCAGCCCTAGAAAACTGATATAGTAAGGATAATTCTGGCTGCAGTGTAGAGAATGTTTTGGAAGTGGGTAAAACTGAATATGGTGAGACAATTTGAGGCTACTAATATAAGAGATGACAGCAGCTGTGGAAAAGATTAGAGAACTAATTTGCAAGTAGAATCAATGAAGATAGGTGAATGATTAGACTTACAGAGTGGAGAGAAGAATGGCTTGAGAAATGATGGAGGATTTTAAATCCCATTTATTGAGTGATGACTCCCAAACATACATCTTTAGCTAAGACTTCTCTTCAGTCTTCCAGATTCTTATATCCAAATGCCAGTTAAGCTACACTTGGTTTTTCCACAGTCGCTTTGATGAATGTTTAAAGAAAGAAATTGGTAACTAATAGTTAATAAGAGCTACCATATAGATTACAAAGGAGAATTAATGTATTATTTATCTGAATAACTGTATGTTAAAGGAAGATAAACTTTCATTCTACCTGGGAAAGAGCTTTTAATCAACCATAGCTCCCAGGAATAGAATGGAATAGAAAACCTACCCTTGTGAGGTAGACTTCTGTCTCTGATTACTTCATGCAGGGTCTAAATGTCCATAAGTCTACAACTTCAGCCTGTTTATCCTTCTTTTTTTCATTCACATGGTTCTTTGTTTACAGCTCTCATGTTGTTCTCTTTACATTCAGGTTATATAGAGGCCTGTGATAGTCCTCATATGATGGTAAGGTTTCTCACAGCAAAGACCAAGCTTTGTTAATTTTGTCAGCATATGGTGCCTAACACTAAGCTGTATACCTAACCAGTTAATAACTGCTGCTTTGTTGAGAATGAAAAAGTTTAGGCCCCAATTTCAAATATTTTCTACCCCAACTATGTTATGCAATATATTAATACTAAATATGCCAGTCTATTTTCTTGCTTAGTAATAAAAATACAACGTGTTGAGATAAAATATTTCTGGTAGCTAATCAATATTCCAGTTCTCAATTATCCATGCTAGATTATATTATGCATTAATTTGATTGCATGCTCTGCAGTATATTGTGTATGTGTTGTGCAAAGGCATAATTGCTCATGTTCATACATAATAAGTAGGTTTGGGAATTTGTCTGGAGGTATATCTTAGTTATTAATAGTGATTGTCAAGTGCACATTTCAAGTTTAGAACCTCGTTGGCCTTCTGGGAGTCAGAGTCTCAATTTCAAGGAAAATTTAAACCTTTCCTTTCATGTATTCCTGTTCACTTAATCCTGTCAAAATAGAAGATTTTGTGTCTAAGAAGAAAGAGCTAGAGGCTAATTAAAGGAGTGAAGGCCAGGGTTTCATGGACCTCTGATTTCTCTCCAAATGAGTGATGAATTAAATGTAAATAAGTCAGAAACATACCTTAGGTTTTGCTTTTTTTTTTAATTGTTATAAAAAATTAATGTAAAATTTAGCATCTTAACCATTCTTAAGTGTACAGTTCAGTAGTATGAAGCATATTTGCATTGTTATAAAATAGATCTTCAGAAGTTTTTTCATCTTGCAGAACTAAAACTCCATACACATTAAACAACTCCCCATTCCCCTGTCCCCTCATTTCTCTCTTGGTAACTACCATTCTCCTTTCTGTTTTTATGAAATTGACTACTTTAGATGCTGCACTACTGCATGGAACCATGCAGTACTGGTTTTTTTGGTGACTGGCTTATTTCATTTTATATAATGTTCTTAAGGATCATTCATGTTGTAGCATGTGACTTGATTTCCCTCCTATTTCCCATATAATATTCCATTTTACATATATACCACATTTTGTTTAACCATTCATCTGTCTATAAACATGTGGGTTGCTTCCACTTCTTGACTATTGTGAATTTCTTTTTTAACTAAGTGTATTTGAAAATATACAGTTTCTGTATCAGTTCCATTTTAAATTTTCTCTCTATGAAGATGAAGGAAGAATATTTTTATACACTTGAAAACTTAAAACTCTTTGTCACTTAAGCCTTCTGTATTAGTACATTCTCATACTGCTATAAAGAAATACCTGAGGCCCAGGCATGGTGGCTTATGCCTGTAATCCCAGCACTTTGGGATGCTGAAGCAGGTGGATCACCTGAGGTCAGGGGTTTGAGACCAGCCTGTCCAACTTGGTGAAATCCCATCTCTACTAAATATACAAAAATTAGCCTGGCATGGGGCACACGACTGTAATCCCAGCTACTCGGGAGGCTGAAGCAGGAGAATCACTTGAACCCAGGAGGTGAAGGTTGCAGTGCGCTGAGATCACGCCACTGCACTCCAGCCTGGGCAACAGAGTGAGACTCTGTATCAAAAAAAAAAAAAAAAGAGAGAAAGAAAGATACCTGAGACTGGGTAATTTATAAAGAAAAGAGGTTTAATTGGCTCTGGGTTCCATAGGCTGTACAGGAAGCATGACACTGGCATCTGCTCTGCTTCTGAGAAGGCCCCAGGAACTTTACAATAATAATGGAAGACAAAAAGGGGGATCCAGCACTTCACATGGCCAGAGCAGGAAGAAGAGAGGCGGAAGTGCTACACATGTTTAAACAACCGGATCTCTTGACAACTCACTCATTATCACCAAGACAATACCAAGGGGGATGGTGTTAAACTATTCAGGAGAAACTGCTCCCATGGTGCAATTACCTCCCACCAGACCCCATCTGCAATATGAGGGATTACAGTTCGATGTGAGATTTGGTAGGGACGTAGATCCAAACCATATCATTCCACCCCTGGCCTCCCAAATCTCATGTCCTTTTCACATTGAAAAATACAACCATCCTGTCTCAACAGTCCCCCAAAGTCTTAACTCATTTCAGCATTAACTCAACAGTCCGAAGTCCAAAGTCTCATCTGAGACAAGGCTCATACTTTCTGCCTATGAGCCTGTGAAATCAAAAACAAGTTACTTACTTCCAAGATACAATGGGGTTATAGACATTGGGTAAATACTCCCATTACAAAAGGGATAAATTGGCCAAAACAAAGGGCTACAGGCCCCAGGCAAGTCCTAAACCCAACAGGGCAGTCATTACATTTTAAAGCTTCAAAGTAATCTCCTTTGACTCCATGTCTCACATCTGGGACACACTGATGCAAGGGGTGGGCCCCCAAGGCCTTGGGCAGCTCTGTCCATGTGGCTTTGCAGGGTTCAGCCCCCATGGCTGCTCTCTTGGGCCAGTGCTGAGTGCCTGCAGCTTTTCCAGGTGCAGGGTGCAAGCTGTCAGTAGATCTACCATTCTGGGGTCTGGAGGACAGTGGCTGTCTTCTCACAGCTCCTCTAGGCAGTGCCCCAGCAGGGACTCTGAACATGGGCTCCAACTCCACATCTCTCCTCCACATTGCCCTGGTAAAGGTTCTCCATGAGGGATCTGCTCCTGCAACAGGCTTCTTCCTAGACATCCAGGCTTTTCTTTTCTACCACATGGACAGGCTGCAAATTTTCTAAACTTTTATGCTGTGCTTCCCTTTTAAATATAAGTTCCAGTTTTAGGTAATTTCTTTGCTCACACATTTGAGCATAGGTTGTTATTAACAGCTGGGCCACATATCGTACACTTTGCTGTTTAGAAATTTCTCCCACTAGATACTGTAAATCATCACTCTCATGTTCAAAGTTCCACAGATCCCTGGAGCAGGGGCACAATGCAGCCAGGTTCTTTGCTAAGGCATTGCAAAAATGACATTTACTCCAGTTCCCAATAAGTTCCTCATTTCCATCTGAGACCTTCTTGGCCTGGACTTCATTGTTCACATCACTATCAGCACTTTTGTTGAAACCATTCAACAAGTCTATCGGAAGTTCCAAACATTCCCTCATCTTCCTTTCTTCTTCTGAGCCCTCCAACTGTTCCAATCTCTATCCATTACCCAGCTCTAAAGTTGTTTCATATTCAGGTATCTTTATAGCAATGCCCCATTCTGTATTCATTTTATGTATTAGTCAGTTCTTGTGCTACTATAAAGTAATACCCGAGACTGGGTAATTTATAAAGAAAATAGGTTTAATTGATCCACAGTTCTACAGGCTATGCAGGAAGCATGATGCTGGCATCTCCTCTGCTTCTGGGGAGGCCTCAGGAACCTTACAATCATGGCGGAAAGCAAAAAGGGGGAGTTGGCACTTCACATGGCTGAAGCAGGAAGAAGAGAGAGAGGAGAGAGGTGCTACACACTTTTAAACAACCAGATCTCCTTAGAACTCACTCATTTTCAAGAAAATACCAAGGGGGATGGCATTAAACTATTCATGATAATCTTCCCTCATGATTCAGTCACCTCCCACCAGCCCCACCTCCCACATTAGGGATTACAATTCAACATGAGATTTATTGGAAATACAGACCCAAAGCACCTTAGCTTCTTATTGTAGATTGTTATTCTCTGATAAAAACTGGTACCAAATATTTTTAGACAGAATAATATTATGAAAGTCAGTACAAGGAACGTATAAAACTCTGAAAACAGATATTAGATTTGTTTGGCAGATTGGTGAATAGGCAATGGAAGTGAATGACTCTTTATCTCCTGAAGGACCAAGGAGGCTTTGAAGAGAATTACTAAGACACACTCATACCTTTTAAAAAGTAACTCTTGGTCAGGCGCGGTGGCTCATGCCTATAATCCCAGCACTTTGGGAGGCTGAGGTGGGTGGATCACCTGAAGTCAGGAGTTTGAGACTAGCCTGGCCAACATGGCAAAAACCCCATCTCTACTTTAAAAAATACAAAAGTTAGCAGGGTGTGGTGGCAGGTGCCTGTAATCCCAGCTACTCGAGAGGCTGAGGTAGAAGAGTCACTTGAACCCAGGAGGTGGAGGTTGCAGTGAGCCGAGATGGTGGCACTGCACTCCAGCCTGGGTGACAGAGCGAGACTCCACCTAAATAAAATAAAATAAATAAAATAAAAAATAATTCTTCAAAATTCAATATTTTCCAAACTTATTAGAATCTACAAGGAACTCAACAAGAAAAAAAAACCTCATTAAAAAGCAGGCAAAAGACATGAAAAGACATTTCTCAAAAGAAGACATACAAGTGGCCAAGAAACATATGAAAAAATGCTCAATATCACTAATTATGAGAGAAATGTAAACTAAAACCACAATGAAATATCATTTCATACCAGTCAGAATGACTGTTAAAAAGTCGGAAAATGACAAATGTTGGAAGATGTAGATAAAAAGATATGCTTATACACTATTGGTGGGAATGCAACTTAGTTCAGGCACTATGGAAAGCAATTTGGAGACTTCTCAAAGAACTAAAAATAGCACTACCATTTGACCCAGCAATCCCACTATTGGGTATACAGCCAAAAGAAAAGAAATTATATTTAAAAAACACCTGCATTCATATATTTATCACAGCACCATTCACAATAGCAAAGTCATGAAAACAACCTAAGTGTTCATCAATAGTGGATTGGATAAAGAAAATGTGGTACATATATACCATGGAATACTACGCAGCCATAGACAAAAAATGAAACCATGTACTTTGCAGTAACATGGATGGAGCTGGAGGCCATTATCCTAAGTGAAATAGTTCAGAAACTGAAAATCAAATACTGTGTATTCTTCCTTATAAGTGGGAGCTAAACAGTGGGTACCCATGGACATATAGAAGGAAATAATAGACACTGGGGACTCCAAAAGGTGGAAAGTGGTTGGGTGTGAGGGTTGAAAAACTACCTCTTGGGTACAGTGTTCACTATTTGAGTGATGGGTACACAAGAAACCCAAACTCCAACATTATGCAATATATCCATGTAACAAACCTGCACGTTTACTTCCTGAATCTAAAATAAAATAACATTTCAAATTTAACTTCTTTTCCACCTTTATTAAAGGTAAAGCTATTACTTTTGTTTTAACACTATAGTGAATAGAATTTTCTGTGTTGTTTTAAATAATTCCGTGATCTAAGTATCTGATGCAGAGATCTTTACCAATGAACATCAATGGTTTTTCCACAAAATTAAGATCTTTTCTAAGATGAATTTACAAGGGCTTTGAGTGTGTATGTAAAAATAAGTCCTAGAATTCTTTTACAATAATGACAAGCATGGCCTTTCAATTTTTCAACATTCTGAAAATTGATAAACAAAGTCATTTACCCTGTCTCTAATTTTCTGAAGATTAGATTCATTAGTTTAACTCATGGTTATAGTTTTTGTGTCAACCGTATTGATGTATACATCAATAAACACAATCTTTCACTTTCACTCACTCTTCTGTCTCCTCCATCTCCTTCCAGTTCCTACATTATTCAGAATCCTTGGCAATTCATATGTGTTAGGTGTGAAGATATGGAATTGTCAGCATCAGGAAAAGCTATTACCTTGCTACTTCAGACTGAGTCTTTCTCTTTTCTTTGTTTACTTTAGATGATTTCTTTTTTTTAAAGACTGAGTTCTTGAATTCTTATTCTCTGACTTGCTTCATAATCCATTTCAGAATTTCTTGCTCCTACACTTTGTTTCTTTATGAATCAGTCTGTGCATGAGATATTCCATTTTTAACCCAGCTTAAATTTCTCCAATGTACCCTTGTTTTGCTTTCAAGACAGTTAGCAACTCTGAATTCAAGCCTATGATCTTCTTTTAGAAACCTGATCTGACAGACTCCTGCAAAATTCTACCTTTTTTCCTGGCTCTTAATTTAGCTTTGAAAATGAAGTACATACTATTTATCTGGTTATACATTTTAAAGTAGATTCTAAGTGCAAAAAATGTGCCTAGTCAATTCAAGTTGACTCCTGATTTTTTGAAAAAACATTAAGAATTGAATAACAAGAATAAGAATAAATATAAGGCTACTGACTGAAATGTGATCTTTCTCTTATTTTGAACATCTTATTTCACAAAGTTCTAAGTCCTTTTCTATTTGGCTTGACCGCTTCCATATGATCATGGATATAAAACGATTAAACAGAAAGTTCACATTCAGCAAATATCAAGGTGTTCTTAATATCGTAACTTGAAATCAATGAAGAAGTCACATTTTCTGCTTTGTAAAAACTGCCTCACATGTCCCTGGTCTGGCAAAAAAATACACACACAAGTACTGAAAACAGAAGATGATAGCACCAGCTAAATAGCACCATTGCTAGGCATAAGATTTGAAAGCCAGCACTTTGCAGGGAAAATTTGAGTAAACAACCTCTGTGGAAATACAGTTAATTAAATCTCGATTCTATAAACTGTGAACCAAAGTTTATATAAAAGAGAGACTAAGAAGTCTTTGTTGTAAGTATTAAAAATTCTGACATAAGGAAGTGACCACTCTAGCCATATCAGTGTCAGAAAATGACAGTGTGGGGCTCCAAGGCTGAGAATCAGTGGGGCTGCAAAATCTGGACAAAGAAAGGCAGAACAAGACATAGACTACAGAAAAGAGAACATTATCTGAGCAATACCAGGCTAATCCCTTGGTGTGAAGAAAATAGGAGTTAATACCAAAAACATATGGCTCATTATTCATGTAATTATGCTTGCAAGCTATATAGTAAACTATATGTGAAATTTTCATACCATAGTATAAATTCAGTCATTAGTTTTTCCTTTTCATATATACATTAAGTAAATATGTATTGAGGACCCTCAGATGTCTCAGGCATGGACCTATAATGGTGAAGGATTCAGCTTTGCCCTCAAGGATCTTACAGGAATGGGGCAGATGGCAAGGAAAGAAACAATACCGTGTGGTAAGCACAGGGCACTAGGGGAACAGGAAGTAGTGATCTATTTATCTGGATCCTTGTGGGCAGAGGAAATAAACATAACTAAGAACAATGAATGATAAGTTTACAGGAGGGTAGGGGAGAAGATTCCAAGTAGAAGCATTGTACTAAATTTTGAGTGGGGCAAAAGTTCAGTGAAACTTTTATTTTTATTATAAACCCACCAAAGTAAAAGTTCTCAGCTTACATATTATAGATAGCTCTCTGAACTGGATGAATGTCAGCTGTGATTTCAATCAAGCAATGATGATATGGCCAGATGGAGTGTGCCACCTCCCTTCAGCATTTTGTCTTAAGAGGGTTTCTAATATGGCTTGTCAGACAGTATGTGTATTCCGTGTGTTGCTGGAAATTTGAAGCTACCGTCTAGAAACAAAGGTCTTGGTCTCAGCAGCATTCAGTGAGTTGGTGCCCCCCAGTACCTTGGATAAAAAAATGTATCCTATAAAGGGCTCCATGAAGCACAAATGTAAAAACATGCTACAAAAGCATCTCTTCTTTTCATTGTGCCACAGGGGCTATCACTGTGAGTCTGACTTGCAAAGTGCACAGCAAAGCGAACCTGTGGTCTCACTACTTTGCTTTATACTATTGCCCACTCCAGCACCTGCATAAGGCTGAAGGATATCCACCAAGAGAATGCTCATCACTTTGCCAACTGCCCTCTGTGCTCTAGCCCAGGGTGGGCATTTTTTTTTTCTGTGAAGACCAGCTGGCAAATATTCTAGGTTTCATGTACCTTACAGTCTCTGTGACAGCTAATCAACTCTGCCGTCGTAGAGAAAACCAGCACAAAACCATCTATAGGCAATAGACAAATGAATGAATGTGGCTGTGTTTCAATCAAACTAAATTTGCAGAAACATGCAGTGGTCCCAGGCCATAGTTTGCTGATCCCTGCTCTCAACAATCCTTTAAGGTGTGGTATCTGGATCCTAGCATATGCTGTTTCTGTTTCATGAAACATTCCTCCTTCATCTCTCTGCCTAGCTAGATTTTAGTAATTCTTCAGCTATTAGCAGAGGTTATTTTTTGAGGGCAGATGCCTCACTGATGCCCCAAATCTGATGGTATGCCACTTCCTCTCCAGAGTACTGACTGATTTCTGGTTGTCTGGAGACTTGCTCTCTGCACTTCAGAGTATGAGCTTCCTAAGGGTAGAAATCTGCTTCCCTTTCTGCCTGCTGAATCCCTGGCACCTAACACACAATGCCTGGGACATAGAAGTGACTAAATACATATTTGTTTAATGCTTAACAAATGAAATTACTTACATCTTCCTTACTTTGTTAGGATCATAATTCTAGCAGGTGAAATTATTTATGGTCTTATAGTTTATGAGCCATGTCACCATGTTATCACATTGTAACAAAGCAAAGGTTTAACTATATCTCGGCTCCAGTGGCATTCAGAGGGCTGTGGAAATCAATAGTTTTAGCTTCATTTAGCTAAGTGGAGAATGCCATTTGGGCAGTCTGTGTCTACTAACAACTTGGTCCACACCCACTGCTCTGCTGTCTCGAGGTGGAGAATAACACCTCTCTGTCCCCATCAGTGTCTTCCACTCTTTTTAGAAGTACTGCCAGCACAATGCTGTCTATGCTCCAATGCTTAACAAAATTTTTAGTGAAATGTTGCTTACCTTTTTGATATATCTTATTATCATCCTAGAGCCCAGAGAAGTGCATTAGATTAACATGGAATCAGAATCCGATGTAACCAGAATAACTTCCCTCCACCAAGACTAATGCTTTGTTACTGGGTCTAAAATGTTGGGCTCAGTTCTTGGGAAGACTTACTTCCCAGGAAGCTCCTCTGTGTCTCTTAGGCTCACACTTCAAGGAGGCTGCTCATTAATTTTTCAACATGCTCAGGTATCACTGTGAATCCTGGCCAGAGCAAGCTGGTACCTTGACTACTCTTTTTTCCTCTTCCACTTGCAGGTAGAACAACAACTAATAACAAATGTATATATGTAGCTCACTATGTGCCAGGTATTCACCATCTGTAAGTGATTTACCAGTAGTAACTTAATTGAACCTTGTGGTGATTCTATTGCATTATCTTTATTTCACCAAGGAAGAAGCTGAGGCACAGAGATGTTAGTTACATTGCCTAAAGTCACACAGCTAGTAATGATGGAGCTAGGAATATAACTCAGACACTCTGGTTCTGAGTAAATGCCCTAAACCCATGCTGCTGGTGCTGTGATAGCTGAGTCTCAGCCTCTTCCTTTCTCCTACCCCTAAAGAATATACAGTCTTCATTCTACCCACTTCTCTCTCAGAATCTCAGAAACTAGGAAAAAAGGAGGGGTAGAAAACACATAACAGTGCATAACTTATGGTACAGACTGAGACTTGAGGGGAAATATTCAGAGACCACTTTAGATATTAGGCAATGCTAGCTCTATAATAAGTAGAAAATTCCAAATTCAAGATATTCTGAGCCTTGAAAATCATGAGGGAAATAAAAATGCCCTTGAATGGCTATGCTGCTTTCTCTATTCAAAGAGCTAGCTTGGAACACTAAAAGGATGTTCTTATTCACTAAGTGTTTTTCACTGTTTGAGTCTGCAGTGGAGTTTTAGCCACAAATAAATGTTTTTCCTAAAATTGAAATCAATTTGTAAAATAATGTAGAAAATATAAAGCCTCTTGCTGTTTTTCTCAGTGATAAAGCAGCAGGACCGCAGCAGGAACCAACCATGAAAAATGTGGCCACCTCGTTGAGCTTTGCACTAGGAAGCTACTTCATTTTCACATACAAGGATTCTCCCTATTCCGTGTTGCAAATAAAAATTAGTAAATTAGTAGTACTAAGTTTAATGAACTCTACTGAACTCTGTGTGATACAGGAACTGACAACTATGGGTCTGAAGATATTACATCCCTGTTGCTTTGTGAAAATTATCTTTACTCCAGACTTGATAGAATTAGCGTAAACAGATAACTCATCCATCTTTCAATTTAAAGACCTTCCTTTTCCTCCCATCTTTTTCCTTTTCATCTTCAATGGTTAATTCTCATTTGAAAGGATCATTCCCTTCATAGACATATCCCCGGACTAAAACATGCTCTTTCTAACCTAAAGAAATGGTTTCTTCATAAACTCATAGGCATTAACATATTTTTGTAAGGTCACCAAGAGTGACTTGTTCGGGGTACCTGAAAGTCAATATGGCGATAAACTGAAGAATCAGATTTTTCTTCCTGATTTTTCTAAGATTATTGTGGGTAAGATGAACCATCACTTTTTGGGCCCTAGAAACTGATTTATATAGAGACTAGAAAATGTTTTACATAGAGAAACTAATTTATATGCAGATTAGAAAATGTTTTTGGAGTTTATTTTCCCACTAGTAAAGCCAATTTTTTTCTATGTAATGAATCCATTCACCTACCCATCTACCCATCAGTCTACCCATTCACATGTCCATCCATCCATCCATTCATCCATCCATCCATCCACCCACCCAGTCCAATCTATAATTCTAACCATCTTGACCCTTTTTATATTGCTTCTCTGCTTCATTTTTATCTTTGCCCTTGTCATCTTTTACTATTTGACACAAGTTTTTTATTTCATTTATTGTCTGCCTCACACTTTAGAATGTAAATTCCATTAAGTCAGAAATTCCAGTCCATTTTGTTCATGGTGTATCCCCAGCACCTAGAACAATACTTGACAATAAATGATAATAAATGTGAGAAATGTTGCAAGAATTTTTATTAAATATTTATTTAGCATTTACTACTTTTAAAGCACTGGATTGAGTGCCAAAAAGGATCTAAGATGAAGCAGATATGGGTCTCACTGTCAAGGAATTCCAGGCCAAGAAAGCTATCACCAAAATATATTATTTTAATGGCATCATTATATAGGGGGCAAAGTTGTTTTCATGAGAAAAATGAAGCATATGTGGTATTTATACTGTGCCTGAGTGAAAGGCTTCCCCAAGGAAGTGACACATGACATTGAATAAGGGGAAGTATTTGAAAACCGAGAGTTGTAGTGGAAGGGCATCCTAGAAAAAAGTGACAACTGGAATTAACAAGTGGAAGTGGAAAATGCAGGATATGTTGGAGACAGAAAAGCAATTGGTTCAGTTTAGAGGAAGCCTAGAGGCCAGAAAGATAATAATGGAGAAGATCTATTTGGAAAGAGTGGTTGGGTCAGATTATGGAGGATTTTGATGTCACCTGTTGGCAGTAGCGAGTCCGAGATTCTCTCGTATCTGAACCTCTCTGTCTCCCCTATATTATAACTTTTGAATGACAATATTTTATGCTTCCTGTTCTGGTTTCCAAAGCAGCAATGTGGCCATCCCAGTTTGCTAGAGCCTGGAAGGATTCTTGTATGAAATGCAAATTCAGTCTTTGATCTACATTTTGTAGGTCAACAACCTCAGTTTCGTGGTGGTAATTACAGGGCTCACAAGGATGTTGTTCTTGAGTAATGAATCTAATATATTAGTCACAAACAGTAAGCATCTCACTTCCCCTACTCCTCCTTTTGGTTAAGGAGCACAAATTGTCCCCAGTTCTTTGAGATTTCTTCCGGGTTCATCTGGAGCATGGATTTCTACCTTTGCAAACATTTAACTTGCAGCCCTAGAGCTGTGTAATAACAGATAGTATTTTCTACTCCTAGCCTTATCTGGGGAGAACACACACAAAAAAGTGTTTTTTATTTTGGCATGTGAGACTATCGAGTGTGTCCTTGTTCCATAAGTGTACTTTGGCACCAGGAAGCAGAGACAGCAGCTTTCAAGTGATGGGAGAAACAGACTGATTAAGAGCTCTGCCTGGGCAGACGGTACTGAAACTGGGTGTGTAGTCCTTGCCTCATCATTTCAGTTTTTTTAATGTAAATTTTTATTTTTGATTGAAAAATAATAATGTATGTATTTATGGGGTACAATGTAATGTTTTATTATACACAGACATGCACACACACGCGCACACACACACATTGTATTGCAGTATTATTCACAATCGCCAAAACAGTTTGGGGGTTTTCATGAAAAAAATTCCAATTTTGGGTCTGTTAGTATATTTTATCATTTCCCCCATTCTCAATTCTTTTTCCTCTAAATTCCTTTCCCTCTCAGTTAATGACACCACTGTCCTATCTTTCCATATACCCAGAATTAAAACTTCAGTGTCAATGGGAAAAACTGGTCATAACATCATCTATTTTAATTAAATTTAAGTAATTTATTTACTTAAAAAATCAAGATGAAAATACCTAATTTAAATTACCACTGAAGGCTAGCATTCATTTCCATGGCATGGCCATTTATTTGTTCTTTGACTTCATCTTCTCCTATTATTTTCACTCCTATCCATTGAATAAATTCTGAAATGGGAATAGTATCAAATGGGAGTGTTACTTCCACACTTTGCTGGGTGGAGCAAACCTATCTCCTCACAAAAGGGATAGAAGTCAGTTTGCAGTGACTTCCCTGATCCTACCAGCCAGACATGCTCCTTGCCTCTCTTCTTGCCTCCTCCTTTAATATTTAAAATATTTTTTTTAATTTTATTTATTTATTTACTTTTTGTAGAGATAGGGTCTTGCTATGTTGGCCAGGCTGGTCTCTAAGTCCTGGGCTCAAGTGATCCTCCTGCTTCAACCTCCCAAAGTGCTGGGATTATAGGCGTGAGCCACGGTGCCTGGCTTCTGCCTTTTTGTGATAACAGATGGTAACAGGAATGACACCACACTTATTTGTACCACTGTCATGGCTCTAATGATTATGGCTTTGAAGTAGCATCATTTGTTTAAAGAGCTCAGGTTGGTGGCCCAGCAAACTCGGGTTCAAATTATGCCTCTAGTGCTGACTTAATGACATGGGGCATGTCGCTTGACCTTGCTGGGCCTGTTTTCTCATCTGTAAGATGGAGATTACAAAAACTTTCAAGGTCCTTGTGGGAAGTAAACAAGTTAATATATGTAAGGCACATGCACATAGCCTGGGACCTGGTAAATAGGTGCCAAGGGTAGTTATTACTGTGGTTGTTATTGTTAGAGTTTTTGTTTTACTTGTGCTAAAAATAGAAGATTCCCAAGGACAGAAGCTTCGTCTTCTACACCTTGAAGGGTAGTGTTTTTAATAAGCAAAGGTGAGTGTGTGAGGTGTCAGGTATGAGCACTGAGCTGTGGAGGCTTTCTTGATCTTTTGCTTTGTATTTTAATAGATTTCTTCTTCCAGTATCCTGCCTCCTGGTAATGAGAAAGGGGATAAGGTAACTTACACATAAATTTGGTTCAGGTACATCATTTTTTGTCCCTAGATCATAGATATCTATTTGCAAGGATGCAATCTGTGATAGCTAAATGTTTGCTTTGTTTTATAAAATCAAGCTAAGAGAAATAAATGTTAGGTTTCACATAAAAAAAGTCCTTTTCAGAAAGAGGGTGCTGTAAGTATTTCCATTCTCTCAAAGCATTCTAGAGACAGAAAAAGTGTTTTCTAACCCCTTCCCACCCCCACCATTCTTTTCTTTTGGTGCCTGGTGAAGAGTACATTAAAATAGGAAGGAACATTCCAGAGTGCTCAATTGCCTCTGTTCAGGGTCCACAGCTGAATTTCTAAGTTCTTTCTCCTGTGGTTTATGCAGCCTATACTTTGACTACTTCTAGTTAGACAGAAGGAAAGCTCACACATTTTGCAGTGAGCCAAGGTAAAAGAGAACTCTTTTGTCAAAGTAATAATAACACTTAGCACTTATATAGGGCTTTTTATCTTCAAAAGGCCTTGCAAACATTAGCTAATTAAGAAGTCTGCTCAATGTGCAGCAGCTGTTGAAAAAATAAATGTGATGCTTGGGTGTATTAAAAAGAAGAACGAAAACATGAGGACATCCTATATCAAGCAGCTGTTGTACTCCGTCTAATTTGTTTGCTTCACCTGGTGGAATACATCAGACGCTAAAATAGTCCTGCCCCATAGAGTAATAATGGTTAGGGATGAGGCAGAGCTTGTACATAATGGAATATTGCAAGGGCTACTGGATATTTACCGGAAGAGGAAAAACCAAAGAAAAGCTGCATCGCCTAATTTTTATTACACTTTTATAATCATGGGCTCATGCAGCACTAATGAAACAGACATCTGACATGTCTAATGACATGAACATATCGTAGATTCTTTAAGAAGAACCTATTTGCAAGAGCAAGCATTCTCATTTATTCATTCAAATTTACTACCAAATATGTATTGAGTACTTACCAGACACTGGAGACATGCATTTATAAATTACTTGGGGACAGTTTTGAAACAGCTGTGGCTCTATCATCTTACATGTTATTTACCTATTGTACCTTAATTTTACATTAATATTGACACACATCCACCCAGACCCATATTAAATTCAATCAACATTTTTATTCGTTGATTCTTTGGCAGAAATGAGCTAATACACCATTGCAAGAGCTGAGCTATTATTTTGGTGATGAAAACAAAATTTAGAAATAACCAAAAAATGTTTTTTTTGTGGTTTTCTGCAATGGGCATTTGGATATGGTCCTCTTTTCTTTTTCTTGGTTTTTATAACAACAGTCATTGAGCTATACCTGCTGTTCTGTTTTAAATACCTGTTTCAAGAGGTTGCAAATTCCAAAAACTTGCAAATTTCAAGAGGTTCCAAATTCCAAAGGAGGTGGTACATGAAGAGAAAAGGGACAGAGATCATATAATGTCAAAATGTAAGTGCCTGCATCCCATTAGAGTATACCCCATGTTATTTATCAAAGTTTACACACATGCAAGGCGTATTAGAATACCTTACTTCCATTGTACAGAAGGAGATGGGGGAATTATACTTTGGATTGAGTTGATTGTTAAAATGGGGTTGTAAGAAAAATTATTTCCTCATTCAAGGAGGACAAATTATAAAAGAGATAGCAAGGAAGTGAATAAAGAAGAGAAGGTGTTCTAGGTATTGGGAAAAAATTGAAACAGAAAATGTTCCTAGACAGGAGAAAAATGTCTGAAGGAATTAGAAATAGGTTTATTTTTGCTAAGGAAAAGTTACAAGCCACCAAATAAAGTAAAGTAGCAAGGAGAAGCCAAGTCATGCAAAGCCAAGGCCATAGTTACAAAGATAAAAAAGCATCTACTTGTCATTTCCCAAGTTCAGAGGATGGAACAGCGTGAAGTGACTAGAAGCCCAGGACCAACGGTTGATTTTCAAAGGTAAATGGTTGGGGAGGGGTTGACTCGGTTAGAAAAAAAGTCAATTTCAGTGATCACAGGCTCATCCTGGAGCATTGCTTACAGTAGGAAATATTTGGAAATAAATCAAATGTCTATTTTTTGTTCGATCATATTTTTCTGAGAAGAAAGGATTGATTAAATAAATCAGGATTTATTCATAAAATGGAATACTATGCAGCTATTAAAACAAGGAAGCTCTGTCACTACTCAAAGCTCAAATATAAGTTGATAAAGCAAGGTAGGGGAAAGTGTGCATAGTGTTAAAACTTGTGTGAAAAATATAGATCCAAATGTGTGAGTGCATTCATGCATATTTATATATGAAGAGACTATAGACTAACTCTGGAAGGACATGTATGAAAATACTACAGTGGTTACCCCTAGTGAAGGGAATGGAGAAATTGGAAGACTAGGTAGATGCTAGACTCTTACTTTTTAGTGTATATTTCCTCCTTCTCCCCTAAACCTTTTTTTTTTTAAAAAAAGAAAACATTTTATTATGAGATAATTATAGATTCACATGCAGTTGTAAGAAATAATACAAAGAGATCCCATATATCTTTCATCCAGTTTTCTCCAATGATAACATCTTATGTGAGGAGTTTAATGTCACAATTAGAAAGTTGACATTAATATAATCCACTGACCTTATTCATATTTCACCAATTTTACATGCCTTTGTGTATTTGCATGTGTGTGCATGTTTAATGCTATATAATTTTATCACATGTGTAAGTTAGTGTAACCAATACCACAGTCAAGATACAGAACAGTTCTATCACAAGGATATCTCATGCTACCCCTTTATGGCCACAGACAGCTCCCTCCTTCTCTCCCCTCCTTACTCCTGGCAACCACTAATCTGTTCTCCAAAGCCATAATTTTGCCATTTTAAGAACGTTGTATAAATGGAATCATGTAGTATGTAACCTTTTGAGATAGGATTTTTATATTCAGCATAATTCCCTTGAGAGTTATCCAAGTTGTTGGGTGTATCAATTCTTATGAAGGGCATGTTGTTGGATTGTTGTTTTTATCCACTCTGCACTCCACAAATCTGATTTTTAATTAGTGTATTTAGACCATTTATATGTGAAGTAATTATTGATATGCTAGGGCTTAAATTTGCCATTTAATTGTTTGTTTTCTGTTCGTTTCCACCATTTCTCATGTTTCTGTTTGTCTTTTCTTATCTTCCTCCGGGTTACTTGAACATTTTTTGGATTTCATGTTTATATATTTACAGTGATTTTGAGTCTATCATTTTGAATAGTTCTCTTAGTGGTTACTCTAGGTATTATAATATACATATATAAAGTAGTAATATCTATGTGAATTATATTCCTTTTTTACCTTTTGGGCTACTTTGTCTTACCTACAAGTTAAATTTAAAAATAAATAAAACTAGCAAACCAAAACACTCCTACATGTATACCTACTTAAAACAAATAAAACTCACCTCTGTACAGAAAGATTGTAGACAAGAAAAGAAGTGAAAACCAAAGCACTTCAGAAGTCATGCAAAGAAATCTTGAATAAGAAGAAAGGATTAAACCAAAACTTTTAGGGCATGACTGAGAAATTGAAAACTGGGGGCTGTCCAGGACATTAGAAGCCTGGAGCAGAGAAAGCCATGTTATTGAGTATGTAAGTTTGTTCTCACATTGCTGTAAAGAACTACCTGAGACTGGGTAATTTATGAAGAAAGAAGGTTTAATTGACTAATGGTTCCACAGGCTCTACAGGAAGCATGGTTGGGAGACCTCAGGAAACTTACAACTGTGGTGGGAGGGCAAAGGGGAAGCAAGCACATCTTCACAGGGCAGAGAGAGAGAGAGAGAAGGGGAAAGTGCTACATACTTCCAAATAACCAAATCTTGTGAGAACTGTACCATGAGAACAGCAAGGGGGAAGTTTGCCTCCAATAGTTAAATCAGCTCCCACCAGGTCCCCCCTCCAACCCTGGGAATTATAATTCAAAATGAGATTTGAGTGGGGACACAGAGCCAAACTATATCATTGAGTATCCAGGCCTTGTTTTTTTATGACCTACTGCTTACCACCTGGTAGACCTCATTTCATTTCTTAAACTCTTTAGGTTTCAAATATAAAAGGAAGTTAATAATGGAACCTACCTCGTAGAATTGTTGTGAAGATTCTCAACATGTATGTAAAGTTCTTAGTGTCATGTCTGACACATAGACAAACTCAAGTAATTGCAATCATATAACTGAACCTTTTCTTGAGTGTCTACTGGGGTCGCAGGGGTTGCAGGTTACAATGATATGGTGCCATTCCTCAGAATGAGAAGATAGTGCCCCAGACATGTTTATAGACCCTTTGATACTTCCCTCGTTGGATGAAACCCTCTTTTCAGTTTCTTTCCACTAAGGATAGATTTCAGCATATCACTATGCTTGAAGTAAAAAGAGCTTACTCCAGGCCTCTTGGCTCTTGTCCCTACCTTAGACTGATGGCCTTGGTATTTGGTATGTGAAGTAGCAGTTTGGATATGGAGTACAAAGAGTGAAAAAAAGGTTGGATATGGATTTTTAGACTCTTACTTTGGGAGGATGAGAAAAAGTTCTCAGAATTGATAACATTGTCCCTAGTAGTAAGAAATATCATTTTTCCTGTCTTTCTAGGCATCCTTGTTGATAGATCTTTGGATAGAATTTTTTGCAGAGAATGGATGATGTTTACTTTTTTTATATGTAAATGATTCTAAAAGTTGCTTTTTTAAGGCTGAGCACGGTAGCTCACGCCTGGAATCCCAGCACTTTGGGAGGCCAAGGTGGGCAGATCACCTGAGGCCAGGAGTTTGAGACCAGCCTGACCAATATGAGGAAATGCCGTCTCTAATAAATATACAAAAATTAGCTGAGCATGGTGGCATGCGCCTGTAATCCCAGCTACTCAGGAGGCTGAGACAGGAGAATTGCTTGAACCCAGGAGGCAGAGGTTGCAGTGAGTGGAGATCACACCACTGCACTCCAGCCTGGGCAAGAAGAACGAAATTCCTTCCCCCCCCCAAAAAAAAAAATTAAAAATTTGCTTTTTTTAGTGTTTTTGTACAAAGGATCATCGTGGTATGATGGCGCTTCACACATGCAGAATGGTCATCTTAGGCTATTGTAACCATGTAGAGAGCAATTCCTTAGGGTGGTGTTTTTTTGTTGTTTTTTATTTCCTTCATTCCCAACTTTTATGGTGTAGAGCTCTGGCTCCATTTCAAATCAGCGGAAAAATTATCATCAGACCTAAGAATGTTTTCTTTTGAGATGGCGTCTCACTCTGTCGCCCAGGCTGGAGTGCAGTGGCGCGATCTTGGCTCACTGCAACCTCTGCCGCCCGAGCGGCAAGTGATTCTCCTGCCTCAGCCTCCCAAGTAGCTGGGACTACAGGTGCCTGCCACCACGGCCGGCTAATTTTTTGTATTTTTGTAAAGATGGGGCTTCACTGTGTTAGCCAGGATGGTCTCCATCTCCTGACCTCGTGATCCACCTGCCTCGGCCTCCCAAAGTGCTGGGATTACAGGCGTGAGCCACCGGGCTCGGCCAAGAATGTTTTATATTTCCTAGTTTCTCTTCCTTTTGTGGGTCCTAATCTTTTGTTTAACAATTGATTTCTACTTCATTTTGACTATATATTTTCTTTTCAAGCCTTTTTCTCCCTGCATCTTGCCAATATCCCTAACCCCATTCACTCTCGGCAAACTCGCCTAAATCTCCCACCATGAATTTTAGTCCCAGGTTAGACTTTTAACCTCATCTCCCATTGAACAAACTGCAAAAAATATTAATACAAAGGGCAGTTTAGAGTCAACAAAAATTGAGAACATTTGCAGCTGATGGTACCATCTGTGCCTGTCAAACTCTGGCCAAGTAGTTTTCCATGGTGGAGAAAGAGAGAATCTCATGACGGCTTTTGGTTTGGGGTTATTGAGAACTGAGCCTGCACTGGAGGAAGACTAGAAGAGCTGGGAGGCAGCTCTTTCTCTTTGTGGTGTGTGGCTCATCTCCCAGAAAAACAGGCCTCTCCCAGAAAGTGGTCAAATTTGGCATCTGAGACCTGAGAGTGGCCTCCTGTGGGTCCTTTCTCTCCTAGCCCATCTGCGAAAATCAATCTGTGCCAGGTGCTCCACATGGCAGAGGGGAGTGGTGGAGTCATGAAAAAGAATTAAGCAAACAAACAAACAAGCCTCACAGAGCACACAAGAAATTTCTGAAGAGAAGTTTCCCAGGCTTTTGATGAGGCGAAACAGGAGGACCATAGAGCAGCAGAGGAAGAGGAAGGGGGAGGATATGGAGGTTACCTGATGGCCTAATTGGTTCCGACAATGCACTCCTTTGTTGCAGAGAATCTGAATCATGGAAGAAGCAAATAAATAAAGAAAAACATATGGCAGCTAAGTCATATCAATCTACATTAAGAAAAATAAATGAGAGGATATTAGGGAGAAGATCCTGAGAGGAGAAAGGCAGATGGGGACTCTTAGAAAGTATTCTTAAAATGGGCAGGAAATGTGAAAAGGGACTTTAAAAAGAGGATTGTGGGATGAGCAATGAATAAGTAAAAGGGTACTTAACCTCATCACTCATCAGGGTAGTGCAAATTAAAACCACAATGAGATAAAAATACTACCAGAATAACTAAACAAAAAATGATGGATCAAACCAAGTGTTGGCCAGGATATGCAGGAATTGAACTGTATGACAGTGCCGGTGTGAGTGTAATTAGTGCAACCCCTGTGGTAAACTATTTATTGCTATTGTTAGAATTGAACATATGCATATCCTACATCATGGCAATGCTATTTCTAGGTGTATACCCAGGCACAATGAGAACATATGACCACTGAGCATCATGTACATAAATGTTTATAGCAGCTTTATTCACAATAGCCATATTTGAAAATAATAAAAATGTCCACCAACAGTAGAATAGATAAATATATTGTATATGTCATGGAACACTATGTAGCCTGAAATGAATGAAATGAGAAAGAATGAAATGTGGATGCGTCTCACAAAGATAATAACAGAAAAAAATCAGATGACCTGGATGACAAAGAAGCATAGTGTTTGGAGTGTTACATGTATTTAGCACATTATGGAGAAAATAGAGTGATAACTTGAGTTCTAGTGAGCTCCAAAGGGATGGAATGATATGTAAAAATCACCAGAAATTTGTTTAAGCCATACTGAACCTTTCTATAATGAGACCTAAATAGAATAAGGTACTGGGTAATGAATGTTTCCCAAATTATGGCATGAATGTTTAAGGACTATTTCATTTTAAGAGATGCAGTGTCCAGAAATTGTCACCATGGTAGTAGTTTTTAAAATGTGTTCCTCAGAGCTGATTGGCTCTAGGAGTGTGTAACTCAGGAGTGTCATCTACCATCTGTTTATCTATCTAGTTAACTATCTATTGTAGAGAAGGTTGTGGTGGAGTAAACCAAACAGGCAGCTTGGGATTCATTTGTTGGGGATCTGCACAAGATATTGTTAGAAAATAGTTTGGGCTGCTAAAAAAAAAAAAAAAAAAGAAAAAAAAAAAGACCACTTCTTTAGAGAACTGTTAGTGTGATGATAAGAGATTATAGGGCACCAGGAAAATCTAGCAAATACAGCCATCTAACCAAAAGGCAGTATTACCATCCTTGCTTTGCCAGGGGCAAGTGTTGATATAGACAACATTTGGAATTTGGAGTCTGGAGTGAGGACTCCTCGGAATATGACACTTAAAGAAGCCCCTGATAAAATCTAGCTAATAGGTAGCAATAATAATATTAGTAAACATTTATTGAATATTTACTATTATTTAGTGATGTCTGCTATTTTTATACATCATTTAATCTTCACAAGAGCACAGACCTTGTAGTCATGAAGTAGCTGCTCTCAGGCTCACCCTCCCACCAAGAAGCTGAATAAATTACTGTTTGTAGGAATCAGAGTACACCAAAATGGGCTAGCATTTGAAAGATCAAGAATTCTCAAAGAAGGAAATGCATTGAGGTGAATGGGACCTCTGTGGGTTGTTTCCTGTGATGCATATGCAATACTTAGAAGAGGCATAGTAGCCTAGATCTTACAGGAATTGCAGTGGGACTGGTAGATGAAAATTCATGTTCAGGGATAATAAGACAGCCACAATATGAGGGACCAAGATTCTGGAGAGAAGGAACCACAGAGATCTGAGCCAGAATTCTGCACGTGACTTTCCCTGAGGAATTTGCAGATTTCTACACCACACTAGCAGTGAGATACTGAGAAGCCAAGAAGAATGCAGTAGTTTAAAAGGCCAAAAATCTAAGCAGAAATGTAAGCAATCCCAGAGAACTGAAGAGACAGAAATTGTAGTTCAGAGCCTCCCAAGCAAGAAGGATCTTTATAAACATGGCAGATTCTCAATTGAGAATCTGAAGAGCTAGATTCTAATAGTATGGGCAAACTGAACATAGACCATTCTCTAGTGGATCAAGATAACCTGTGTATGTTCTGTCTTCCAGAAAAAAGTGGAATCCTCTATGTAGGATTTCAGGGTCTAAATAATTATTTTACTTACCATGTATGATAGGCAATAGAACATTACCAGGCATGTCAGGAAATATAACCAAATAAATGAATTTCTTAGTGAAAACAAATAAACTGTAGGTTATTGATATATTGGGATTATCAGACAGATTTCAATACAACTATGATTAATATGTGTAAGAAAATAGATATCAGATTGATTATTTCACAACTGGAATCTGTAGACAAGAATACAGGGGAAATTCTAGAAGTGAAAAACTTAAGAATCTAAGAGATATGTTTAATAGCAGATTATGCATAGTAGAAGAGTTGATTAGTAAAGCTGAAAATGTTTATAAAAATAACGGATCAAAGCATCAAGATTAAAAAGGTGAAAGATAAAGAAAAGAGCATAGCAGACACCCAGTGAAAAATGGTGCTTCTCAAAGTATGGTCCTGAGACCACTTCTGGTGCTGGTCCCTGACAACATAGAGTGTTCATAAATGTTTATAGCAATTGATTTTGCCACAACATTTTAATAGCATATTTTATGACAAAATTAGACTCTAAGGGATTATAAATAAAAAGGAAAAATATTAATCACGACTAGTTTCAGAAACATTGGTATAACATAAGTATGTTGGAGTCCCAGAAATGGGGAAGAGAAAGAATAAGGCAGAAGTAACATTTGAATCTCTATTGGCTAAGAATCTTTCAAAACTGATAAAGCCTCAACACACAACTTCAAAAGGCTTCATGGACCCTAAGCAGCATAACTACAAATAAAAACTTACCTAGGTACGTTAGAACGAAACTGCTGAAAACCTAAGAAGAAGAAAAGAAAATCTTAAAGTCTGTCAGAAAACAAAACAAAAAAAACCAATCTTCAAAGGAACTGTAGTTCCTGAAGCTGCTGCCTTTTCAATGGAAATGGTCTAGAATCCAGAAGTCGATGAAGTGGCATCTTCAAAGTACTGAAAGGAAGTAACCACCAACTTAATTCTATATCAAGTGAAAATATCTTTCAAAATAAAAATAAAATATTTGTGGATAAACAAAAGCAGGTAATTTGTAAACAGCAAACCCACATTAAAATATTATTTATCTATTTATTTATTTTTTTTAAAGTTGTAGAGACAGAGTCTTGCTCTGTCACCCAGTCTAGAGTGCAGTGGTATGACCAAAGCTCACTGCAGCCTTGAATTCCTGGACTCAGGCGATCCTTCTACTTCAGACTCCTAAGTAGCTAGGATTACTGTTGCATGCCACTATGCCTGGCTAATTAATTTTTTTTTTTTTTTTGTAGAGGCAGGGTCTCTCTATATTGCCCAGGCTGGTCTTGACAGGCTCAAACAATCCTCTGACCTCAGCCTCCCAAAGTGCTGAGATTTACCGGCATTAGTCACTGCAATTGGCCCCCACACTAAAATATTGAAAGAAGCTGCTCAGGCAAAAGAACATGATCCCAGATGGAAGTACAGAAATGAAAGAAGCAATGAAGAGTAAGAGAAAGGTTTAATATAAAGGAGCATATAGATAAATGTTGTGCAAAACAAGTAATAATGTCTAGTAAGATTAAAATACTATGCATTAATAGCCAAAAATGCAGGAGCAGGGTAAACTATTAAAATGTTGTAAGGCTCTTGCAATGTTTCAGAACTTATGAAGGCATACATTATATTATATTCTAGTAAGCCAAGAATTAATAATGCAATTTTAGGATGATTACTAAAAAGAATAACAAAAGAATTTAGATGTAACAAACTAAGAGATAATAAATGGGAAATTTTCTTAAGTACTTGATAAATTTTTTAAAAGCCAGGAGAAAAATATAGGACCAAAGAACAAATGAAATAGAGAACAACTGTGAATGTGTTAGATTTAAATTCAAATATGTCTGTATTTACATTAAATATAAATGGCCTAAACATTCTCATTAAATGACATATTGCTTAACTATGTAAAAAATAATTTTAGGCTACATAAAGAGACATACTCTTAAATATCAGGCACAGAAAGGTTAAAAATAAAATAATGGAAAAAGATATACTGTGCAAACACCAATGATAAAGAAGCTAATACAGCTGTACTGATATTAGGCATTATAGATTTTAAGGAAGGAAATCATGTTAAAAATAAAAGATGCCATGACATAGTGACAAAATGGGCAATTTGACAGGAATATTTAATGATCCGAAAAGATATGCATTTAGTAGCACAAAATATTTAAAGCAAAAACTAACGAAACTAAGAAGAGAAGTAGATAATCTGACAATCATAGTTGGTGGTTTTAATACCCTTTTCCTTCTTTAACTATCAGCATTAGCCAACAAAACTATGAGTGAAGATTTAGTAGATTTGAATAACACAATTAACAAACTTGATCTAAATGACATATAGAACTCTACATCTAAAAGCTACAGAATGCATTTTTTTCAAGTAAACATAACACCTTTAACCAAATTAATCACATACTGGTCAATAATGCAAGTCTTTAAAAAATTCAATGAGTTGAAATCACACAGAATATTTCCTCTGATCAGAGTGGAAATAAGCCATAAATTAATAACAAAAAGATAATGAGAACATACACTTAATGCTGTGACCCAGTAATTCCATTCCTAGATACCTCACATTCATGGGTACATTTGGCATGAAAGGAAGTATACAATCATGTTCATGCAAATCAAAAATAACCCTGTGCTCATTAACAGTGGAATGAAAAAATTATATGTCAAAATGATACATCATATATTCATATAATGAAATAGTGAATGAGCTAGTGGTATGCACAGCATGCATGAATCTTGCAGATACAATGGTAAGCAAACAAAGCCAGATGCAGAGAATGCATACCATAATATTTCATTTATATAAGCCAAAACAGGTAAAATTAAGCGATAGTGATACAAGTTGGAATAGTGTTCTGTTTTCCTTGTGGACTTGTTATACTTCATTAACACATGTTTAAAAAAAACCCAAAAATATCGCAAGATAAAAAATGCAGAAGCATTTTCTGGGTAAAGAAAGATGGGCAAACATTACAAACAGAAGGAAATTTGGGGGGTTCAAATTCTGTATCAGTCATGAGACTTCTTTCCTCCAAAAAACTTACTTTTGAACTTTTAAACTCTATTAACATTCTTATCTATTATTTATTATGGAACTAGATATAACCACTTATAGTAATTGTCTCAAATCTGATTTCTTTCCATCTATATTACATGTAGGGTAGTACGATGTAGTGGTTAAGGACACAACTCTAGAGAGAGACTGAGGTTAAATCCCAGTTCAAACATTTGGGCAAGTCACTTAAACTCTCTGCATCTCAGTTTCTTCACTGTAATGTAGAGGTAATAGCAATATCTATGTCAGAGTGCTGTTTTGAGAATTAAAAGAATCAATATAATTAGTTACAACAGTATCTGGCACAAAAGTAAGCACTCCGTAAATATGTGTGATTGCTACTATAATTACCTTGGAGGATCGGATCATTCCTTATATTTGTTTTAAATCCCTCGAATACCTAGAACTATACAAGCAATCAGGAAGACGGGCTTTCTGGACAGCGAGAAGGGAAGATATTTTGGAAACTGACTCTGTTTTCTCTCTGTGGGTGAGGATGAGCTTACATTGATGACAAGTTTGGCTTATGAACTAGGACCTTAAGTAGAGCTGCATAAATTAGTGTAAGTGTTATTAATAAGATGGGAAGAATTTGCTTTCTCAGTTCTGGCAGGAATTTATGACCCTGAGAGTCACTTTATGACCCTGAGTTTGCCATAATCAGCTTAGTGTTCTGATAGGAAACCAAATGGTAAATGCCAAGACGCTGGGGCATTGGTCTCTTGTCTGCATAGTCACCTTACTTTCACTAGGATCTTTATTCATGTTCTTTATTTAAGTTGGGAACTTCTAGCAAGGTTATGTGTGTGTCGTCTACAGATATGTAAGCAACCTGGACTCTGAAAGCCTATATATTAAAAAAAAAAAGTTTATGGATTGAATTGAATTGAATCATACTGACTTGAACTGGAGTGAATCTTGAGAGATGGCTAAGAACCAGGAAGGCTTAGTGGCTTAACTTGTAAGGCTATGAGTTTGATTCACTAGATATGTAAATTTTCACAAGACACTTAACTTTTCAGGCCCTTAGCTTACTCCTTTGTAATTTGTGGCTAATAATCATAGGAACCCCACAGGGTTGTTGTAAGAACTAAATGAAAAATGTGCCTGGTACATGTATTAAGCATTCAGTAAATTATAGCAATTGCTATTATTGCGGTTGCTATTTTTATTTCTCAGCCAAGAGGCTCAAGCCAGGGTGAATGAATTGTGAAGCTGCAAGCTTTTCAAATGTGCTCCTTCCTTATTTTAAAATCCTTTTTGTTTTTATTCTCCTGACAACCCTGAGAGCTTGGACAGGGTAGGGGCTATTATCTACAGGTGGCATTTGAGATAATAACATAGAGAGATAAAGTGATTTGCCTAATGATCTCATAACTGTGGGTGTTAGAGTTAAACCTAGACCCCAACATTCCCTAGAGCCAGCCTTGAGATTTTTATTAATTCCTGCTCTATCTACCTGCTTATCTCCTGATAACCAGCAAGAGATTATTCTTCACCTCTGTGTAGAAGATTTCTGAAAGAGGAGTATTATCCAAATTACCAGCAAAAGAAAATCTTATCTTTTCAGATATGATAGATGGCTGACATAGATCAGTAGAGGTTTTTAAGAGTTCTAAAAAGTTAAACATGGAAGTTTTATTTTAGGGCCTGGCATCCTCACTTACCCATACTGGGACTCATTTTACCCTTAACCTCTCTCCAGCATGGTATTTCATCTTACTGCATTCTTCTTGCTTTATAGTGGGCTTTTTCCAGTTCTCTGCCTAACTTAATGAAGAAGATTATCTCAAAGTTCCCAAGATTGTTACTTCTCATTTCAAGCTACCAGGAGAGACTCAGCAATAAATTTTTATATTGGGGATTCAGTTTCCTTGAGAAATCTTTAAGTCAATAACCAAACCCTTTAAATTTCCTTAACAATGGTGACTGTAGGGCTGTGGGAGGTGTTCTTTTACCTTCCCTCTCGGCACTAAATGTAAGCTCCCTGAGGACAGGGACTTTGTCTATCTTCCTGCAAAATTCCTCAGGGGACAGTACAGTGCCTGGCACATAGTAAGTGCTCCTTACATATTTGCCAAATGAAGGGATGATGTCCCAACTCCAAAATTTGTTATATTTTAATTAATTTCATATCTTTGTTATCTTTTGCTATATGGATAGATTTTTAGCTTAGATTCTGTTTAGATGCTTTTTGGTTTGATTCTGGTTTGGGCAGCTTGAGAAGGCTGTAGAATTTTTTCGTGTTCTAGTTAGATTTTAAATTTCCTAGCTCCTCAGTAGAGTTTTCTGCCTCTCCCTTGGCCCAAGTATTTAAGTCCCCAAATTTACTTGCTTTTGAAGACTGGATTTTGAATGTAAATAAATGAAAAATAATTATTTTGTCTTAATAATAATAATTAAATTATAGCACTAAGTAATTTAGGAAATTTTAGATATAGGTAGGGTATTCTGTTGACTGAGGTCATAGGATATTCTTAAAATTGGTTTTTTGATCTGAGATACAGCATTCTATTCTTGCCAGGTCATATAAAATAGAATTTGCTACTATTACTTGTATTTGATTTCCCCTGATAGGCTATTCAGCTAGGCCAGCCTTCTATGACTGAAAAAAAATCTTTAACAAACAAAGCTGACAAAACAAAGTAGTAAACTAGCCTGCTTTGGGTTTCAAGGTGAGTCTCCGGTGGACTCTGGAGCAGAAATCCTAAGTTTCTTCTGACTCCTTGGCCTGTCTGATGCCATAAGAGGGTGCAGGGGGAGATTTGCTCTGCTTCTCTTCTGTGTCAAGGCAGACTGAGAAGCTTTTAATCCACTATATTTCAAACAGTTGCAAGTAAAAAAAAAAATGTCATGGGAATACCCAGATGTGGGCAGATAATAACCCTACTTTTTACTCCCACTTATTAATCCATAAGAAGGAAGGGGGTGAGAAATAGTCTTTGGACGGTCAGCTATCCATGTACAGTAGTTGGATGCTGAGCCCTTTTCAAATGTACTCAGAATAAAAGTGAAACCCTACTACTTGTTTTGCCCATTAGATAGCATTATCTCCATGGAACGCCAATTCATATCTCTTTGTGCTGTGTGTGGTTCTCACATATGGGATTTTAATAACCTCCATGCTGTGCTATGAATTTATAAGCAGAGCTGATAGAGGAAAAGCACCACAGGACTTTATTTTTTCATTATTACTCTTTTGAAAAACAGGGTCTGCCTCATTTCTGTAAGGTTCTCACAGTACTGGCAATGTTGCAGCCAGAGGTATAGTTGTTACTATGGAAAGGACTAAGCTCTTTATTTATTTGCTATCTATTTTTTTCCAGACTCCCTTTCCCACTGCTGTCCTGCCTTTAGCCACCTCCGTAATATCCACTGGCATTGTACTTGAAGCTTCAGTGAACTGATTGCAAGGAAATAGGCTCCATTTGTTCTCTAGCTCTGTGGTTTATCTTACATTCTGAATGTTTTTTCTGCCCATCCTTTTAAATGTGGTCACATTTCTCCTCTGTATAATTCTGCAGGTCCAAGTATCTTATTTAGTGCAGTGGCTAAGACAACAGGCTCTGTAGTCAACTAGTCATGGATGTGCATGCTGACATTGCTCTCTGATCCTTGAGAAATTATTTGAGTTTTGTAAATTCATCTATATGATGGTAATGATAAACCTTCCTCCTAAGGTTGGTGTGGTTGTTAGTTGGTATGGTGTGGTTGTTAGTTGGTATATTTCCTTTTTTTTTTTTTTTTGAGACAGAGTCCCCCTCAGTAACCTAGGCTGGGGTGCAATGATCTTGGCTCACTGCAACCTGCATTCTGTAAAAGGGACTAAAGGGGAGGATTTACCCTAAGCTTGATTGAGTGTTCAGGAAAATACTTCTTTGAGAAGCTGAGCTCTGGGCTAGGTCCTGCATGATGAAAAGGTATCTGCAAAATGGGAGGATGAGCAGAAGACAAAGAATTTCAGGAAAAAGACAGAATAGTCTCAGTCCTGAGGCTGAGACAAGAACATGGCATGGTTGAGAAATGTAAAGAAATTAAGTGTGGAGGCTGACCATGACTGAGATGGCCAGAGTCCAGGGCACCTGGAGCCACATGAAGAGTTTTGAAGTTTATTCAACATGGAACAGAAGCCTTGTTGATTTGGGGGTTAACACAAGTAGTGAAGCAGTTTCCTCCAGGTTTCTTCTACCAAGGAATGCCAGAGAGCAGTGTCTTGCTTTGTGTGATTAGTGTTTTGATTCATTACTTTTATGGGTTGATATGTCTTGTGAGAATATGAGATGTGGATTCCAGAGCTTAAAATCTGCACGTTTAGTTTGAATGCTAATTACCACAAATATGTTTTTAATTGATAACTGTGTTTCGACATACTTCATTACGTTTGACCTTTAAGATCATTTTTAACTCATCCTCTTTAAAAAAGTTCTCTTTGAAGAAAATATAACACACATCAATGGCATTTTAATTGTTTACCTTTGGAATATTTTTGTGTTGGACACAATTTATCCATCAAATAAAAAGTGAAAAAAGTCATATTTTGAGAAAATAACACAAAATAGGGCCAAGTGCCAAACAT
Source organism: Homo sapiens (assembly GCF_000001405.40). Taxonomy (NCBI): domain Eukaryota; kingdom Metazoa; phylum Chordata; class Mammalia; order Primates; family Hominidae; genus Homo; species Homo sapiens. Next base: position 76,389,858 of record NC_000001.11, read on the forward strand.
CCTAATATATTTGTTTTCTGCATGATTTATTATTACGCCTTTTTTGGTACCATTTACTAAGAATATGTATGACTTAATTTTTCATAATAGCCAGCAATTTAAGGCAGCAAAGTATTTGCTTTCTTCCACTGATCTAGTACCGCCTATCATTGTATCATACTGACCTTTAATCCAGCTCTTACACACAAAGTCAGTTATCTGTATACTTATCGTTTTAATGGGTTTTGATAGATTTCCCCATGCTCATTTAGTTATATAAATGATTTATTATTTATGTTTGTTTTATGATAGTTTTTATGGGTTTTGTTTTGTTTTGGTGAAGCCATTTTGTAGTCTAACAAATATTTCTTAATTGGGTATGCATGAATTTTGGCTAAGTTGCTCCATATAAATAAATGTTTTGATTACTTCTACCATTGTCTACAGCTGTTATCATCTTTAACCTCCAAGTTTTCTTAATTTTCAAAAGGAATTTATTGAATTTAATCTGAGCCAGTAAGACGGGCTTTGATGTTAAGTAATAGAGATTAGTTGCCCCTCTCTGATGTCTACGTTACTGAAAAATTATTAACTACCAAACTCCTGTGACACAGTATCCTTCAAATTCCAAAACTTAGCTACAGTTTACCTTACTAAAATCTCTGCTACTGGTAATCAGCCTTTTAGCCAGTGCAGCATATATTCAGCTTTTGCCAGAAGATGGTTTGCTCCCAAGGGCTTTTGGCTCCAAAGACTAAGTGTTACTTGGTGGCTTTGGCAGGATTCAGAGGAGCCTGGCTGCTGGGAACTGACATGCTCAGAGCTTGCCAGCCCCAAACCATTGTGTACCTCACAGCTCTCAGTGCCAGGAGTTTGTGTGCCAAGAAAACAGAAACCTGTCTAGAAAATAAACTGTTTTCTCTTGCACATGTCCTCTAGGAAGACAAGAAGAGGTTGAACCTGTAAATTGTTTTGTGGTTAGAAATGTTTTAGGTTTTTACATGGGAAATATAATGCTATAACTTCATATGTAAAACAAAATGGCACATTATTTATGCTCCTCAAATCATTTTACCTCCAATTATTAAAATGCTTATATATATATATGTATTTTTTTTTTTGAGATGGAGTCTCGCACTGTCGCCCAGGCTAGAGTGCAGTGGCACGATCTTGGCTCACTGCACGCTCCACCTCCCAGGATCACGCCATTCTCCTGCCTCAGCCTCCCGAGTAGCTGGGACTACGGGCGCCCACCACCACGCAAGGCTAATGTTTTTGTATTTTTAGTAGAGATGGAGTTTCACCGTGTTAGCCAGGATGGTCTCGATCTCATGACCTCGTGATCCGCCCATCTTGGCCTCCCAAAGTGCTAGGATTACAGGCTTGAGCCACCTCGCCTGGCCCAAAATGCTTATTAATCTTTTAAGTGATCAATATAGTTGTTATTATGATGACAGTCATTTCAGCTCTTGCACTGAGGCAGTTCCTGTGTGTGAAAAGCTTCTAATGTGAGTGTGTGCTGTGGATGTATGGAGATCACCCCAGTTGGGTGGTTGTACATGAATGAATGTGGGTTATGTGGGCAGGTAATGCTGGAGAAGTCAGTGGAAGGTGAATTAACCAGCTAACAAAACATTTGGATAATTGAATGTTCTTTAGAAACAAATCGTAAGCCATTAGGAAAGACCTTCCTTCCTTCCTTCCTTCCTTCCTTCCTTCCTTCCTTCCTTCCTTCCTCCCACTTCCCTTTCACCTTCCCCTTCCCCTTCCCTTCCCTTCCTTTTCTTTTCCTATAGCACATAACATTGGAATTGACTCTACTCACTTTCATCCAACTATCCCTACCTCTTCTTCCTACTTACCCTAGATTTTTATTTCTATTTCTCTACCAGTTCATATTTTCCTCCATCTAGTTTTCATCAGAGAAAATTTTCTGCTTCATCAAACACAAAACTGAGATATAAATGTGGGAGCATATGAAATTAGAGCTTGACCTACATTTAGTACAATTAGTATTATTCTAAGGAAGTAGACAGTTGTGGAAAAATGAAACTTGGAACACAGAAAAGGTTAAATTCATGGCGCTTATGTAGCTTATTTTCATTAGGCCTGTTACCTAATTACTTATTAGAATTTCTTTCTATCTTTTAGACCTTAGTTTCTCAACCTTAGCACTATTGACATTTTGAGTAGGATAATGCTTCGTTGTGGGTAGGGGGCTGTGCTGTTCTTTGCAGGATCTTTAGCAGCTTCTTGGCTTCCATTCACTAGATGACGGTAGTATCCCCCAATTGTAACAATTGAAAAATGTCTCCAGACATTGCCAAATGTTCCCTAGGGGACAAAATTGCTCCCTGGTGAGAGCTGCTTTTTTTTAGATCCAGGTGCTTAGACAAATGATGATATAAATCAGTACATTAAGTAGAGAAATTTTTTTAAAAATCAGTTTCTAAAGACTAGATTTCTCAACAACTTATCACATTATTTCCAACAACATTCAAATTCAAAAGCTGATGCCCAATGCTAGCAAAGTATGAATAGATAGAAAGTAAACATCTTCCTTTGCATTAGATAAGATGCCCAGCAATGGAAATCCCTGGATTTAAAGACCTTGTTAAGATGTATTATGTCAGATGAAAAGTGCTATTTTAATAACTCATTGTTATTCTTAGCATGGATCTTTTATTTTAGAAAAATGGATAATTAGCATTTTGGCTTATCACTTTCCCTTAATGAATACAAATAATTTGATAGACAGACAACCAAGAGAGACTTCATTAAATAATGGGATTAATCAGCCTGGGACTGGAGTAAATTAGAGGTTAGACTTCCAGCCTGAGAGATGGAATTCAGGGTTTGGTGGCAATGTCATCCAATTCATGAAGGATATTTTTCTTGATTGACCTAATGTTGCAGTAAAAAACCAGAGCAAGGGTCAACTGGCCAAAAATAAAAGTCAAAACTCAGCTTGGGAAGTTATAGGCTACACTGCATTTAACTTGCAACTGGATAATTGCAAGAACACATTCAAAGCGTCACTGCAAAGCCCTTGTTGTTTAGCCCTAGCTGCTTCAATTTCTAGATAATGGTCCATTATTAATGTGGAAGTATTAGAAAGTTTTCCAGGGAAAAATATCAACCTGGAACCATTCCCCTTTGCATGCATTATACACTTCACTGCCATCTGGTTATCCATAATATCCCCAAACCCCTACCAATTTTCCAAAAAGAACTACAAATAACGCTTTGTATTTTTAGAACAGTCTTCCTAACACCCAGAGAGGAAATCTATTGTGAAGTTAATTTTCTTTTTCAAATGTTTTAAAGTAAACTATTCTTTATTTCTAAGAAACAAAACCCAATGCTATGTTTAAGCAGTGATTTGGAACTGTCTTACTGTCACTCAGAGAAGACAGGTTAGTGGAATCTTTAAGGCCGTGGCTGTCTTTTGAAGCTTATAGTGTAGTCTTTAGAAAGTCTTCAGAAAAGATCATGATTCTTATGGAAGGTTATTTCTGTGGGGCAGTGGGAGAACTTAGATCTGAGAAATCATTCTCATCATGAGTTAGAGGAATGATTTTATTCACAATTCATACTCTTCATTCATTATCCAACCTACATAGAAGCCTTAGTTCTGTGTATCCTTAAGCTGCATTTGACATTTTACCTCCTGATATTTTTCTAAGTAGCATTTTTCTACCAACAGACTCAGGTGAAAAAGAAATGAAGGTATCAAGTATATGATGTGTACACATTTAGCTTTATTACTAGCATCTTCTAAGAAAAATAGCAAAGAGCTAAAACGAAAACAGAATGATTCTATAAGTCCTGAAGGGAATCCTTCTGTGATACAATACAAGCAATAGAAAGGCCTTATTTCTCCCTATAAAATGTGTGTAATTGTGCTTTTCCTTATTTAATCACATGATTTGTCTTTAATAAACCTCTACTGGCTCCCAAGAAGTGTGGATCCTGGTAACAAGAGAGTCTTTAGTGCGCTGAAGGAGTGATGGTTGTGAGGATACAAGAGTGGAGAAATGAGAAGAGATAAACTACTATACTTTACTAAGAATTGGAGAGAAACAAAGAGTCTAGGGTATGTGGTTTGGAAGAAATAAAGATTCAAGAGGGGAGGGTCTTCTTCCATATCCATAGAGCATCTTAAACAAAGTTTATATTGTCCACTGATGCTCTGTGGGGTGGCTTTCCTTTTGTGGAGTATGAGTAGCAGTGTTGAATTTTACCTCAAGTTACTATGGGATAGATAGGGAGGCTGCTCTTGGATAAGTAATAAATGCGTTGCAGAAGTTAAGAAACAGATTCCAGAAGTAGAGAAATCTATGCAGAAGCATATAGCTAGAAAGTAGCAGAGTGGTAATTGAACACAAATCTGATGACAGAGCCAATGCTTCCTTTTATTCTAGCATGCTGCTAGAAACTGGTTCTTTTATAATAGTCTTAAAATACCTTAAGTCTTTGAGATGAGATGAAAGTGAAATATGATGAAATGTTGAAGATTGTAATTGAAATTATACAATTACATATCTCTTTCATATTAAACTTTCAAAGTCCTGGTACTAATAGCTTGTATTTTAAATTATGTCTTCATTGTTTAATCCATATTGAAAATTTGGCTTATGCAAAATTATATGCCTTTGACACCAAAAAGATATAGAAAAGATATGGCCACTATATGATAAATTTCTTATCCTCTCTAATAAGAAATAAATATTTAGTCCCAGGTTTTGAGGTGTTATCTATACTTTTTCAAGCCTAAAACTTTACACTTGAAAATTAGTGATAAATAGTTATTATAGGTAATAGGTATGTATTGACAAGCACTTGCTTGTTTAGATATGATACTAAATGGTTATTTATTTATTTTTATGGTCAGGTTTCTCAATAATATATCCATTCATAATTCATTGGCTTATTAAATAGGCTCTATATTTCAGATATATGGCTACAGATAGGAGCCCTGGTGTGAGGCAGAGGGGGGCTGTGATAATGACCTTTGTTTCAGCAGTGACTCAAGGACAAGATTCCAAGGCTCAGAATTTTGCTTTTATTTTCTCTGTATGAGTGTTTTTGTCTGTCAGTAAACCTGTTTTGTGAAATGAAACAAAAAAAGGTTTGTTTACATTTTGGATTGCCTTTGCATTAGCATTTTATGGCAATTGGTCTGGTTTGACTTAAAGTCCTCTTTTTTCATCTTTAAAGTGTGAGGTTGCTACAATATTAAGTGCTTAAGATATGCCACTACTGCTCTATCAAAATTATCCATGCAGGTCATAAATTCGAGTTCCAAAAAATGTAAAGGAGGTCATCCTTTTGGGCCTCCTTCATGAGGCCCCAGCATACCAGACCTAACCAGAATGGAGTCTTCTCATGCTAAGTGCCATGTAATCAAACTGAACTTAGAAACTAGCCAGTTTCGAAAACAGGAGTTTCACAGCACCAAATCCAAAGGTGCCCTGTCAACCTGAGCTCTTATACACTGTTGGTAGAAATGCAAATTAGTATAGTCATTATGGAAAGAGTATGGAGATTTCTTCAAAAACTATACATAGAACTGCCATATGATCCAGCAATCCTACTACTGGGTAGTTCTCAAAAAGAAAGCAAATCAGTATATCAAAAGTATACCTGCATCCTATGTTTATTGCACCACAATGCACAATAGCAATGACATGGATTCAATCTAAGTGTCATCAGTGGCTGAATGGATAAAGAAAACGTTACACACACACACAGACACACACGCACACACACACACGCACACACAGAGGAATATTATTCAGCCTTAAAAAAGAATCAGATCCTGCCATTTGCAGCATCATGAATGGAACTGGGGGTGATTCTGTTAAGTGAAATAAGCCAGGCATAGAATGACAAATAGCACATGTTCCTACCCATATGTGGGTGCTAAAAAGTTTATGTCATGGAAGTAGAGAATAGAATGATAGTTACCAGAGTTTTGGAAGGGTGTGGGGCTGGGGATGAAGAGAGGCTGGTTAATGGGTACAAATACACCATTAGAAGGAATAAGTTCTAATGTTTGATAGCAGAGTAGGGTGAATATAGTTAAAAATAAGGTATTGTATTTTGCAAAATAGCTAGAAGCGAGGACATGAAATGTTCCCAACACATAGAAATGAAAAATACTCAAGGTGATGGATACCTTAAATACTAACTTGGTCATTCCACATTCTATGCATGCAACAAAATGTCACATGGATGCCATAACTATGCACAAATATTATGTATTAACAAAAATACTTAAAAAAGAAAAAAAGTCCCCTCTGCTTTAACCCTATAAGGAAAGTAACTTTGAAATGACCAATTGGGCCAGGCATGGTGACTCATGCCTGTAGTTCCAGCATTTTGGAAGACCAAGGTGGGAGGATTGCATGAGTCCAGGAGTTCGAGACCAGCCTGGGCAACATGGCAAAACCTTGTCTCTACAAAAAATATAAAAATTATCCAGGCATGGTGGCATGCGCCTGTAGTCCCAGCTACTTGGGAGGCTGAGGTGGAAGGATCACTTGAGCCCAGGAGGTAGAGGCTGCAGTGAGTCGAGATGGGGCCACTGCACTCCTACTTGGGCAACAGAGGGAGACGCTGTCTCAAGGAAAATAAATAAATAAATGACCAATCCACTTCTTATTCCTTGTTTCTTCTTTCTACAGCCCTTTTTTTCCCCTATAAAAGCCTACCTCTGTCTGCTTAGCTCATTGGAGCACCTTTCTATTTAGTAGATGGGATGTTGCTCAGTTTATGAATTGCTAATAAAAGCCAATTAGGTCTTTGAAACTAAATTTGTTGAAATTTGCTTTGTTGATGCCACTATTGCTCTTTATCAAAATGATCCCATAGATAGTCTATAGTCTTTTCTTAGTGTTTTCTCCCAAATCTGTTGGGAAGATACTAAGAAAGTTCCGTAAGTCTGAAATCTGGTCCTAAAACTGTGTCCAGTAGGTACCATTGTATTCAATATAGCATTTTGGTTTAATCTTGATCTTCTAAAGTCTGAGTATGTTCTTTAGTTTGTCTAGTTTCTGCAGTCTTGTGTACTAAAAGGGTAGTAATTTTCAGTTAGCTAATTACTATGCTTTACACAGTTATAGGGACGAAGCATTTTAGAATGGCACTTCATTAAAGCAGTAAAAATACTGTGGGCTCAGTAATCTCATTTACTGGGTCAATAGCCCATAATATCTAGAAGAAGATTTAAAGTAGTTTAAAAATAATTATTCAAACGAGAAAGGGATTTCAAACTATAATTACCATAGCAGTAAAGGAATGAATGACTCCAAAGCAAATATAAATATTATATTTAAATCTTAATATCTGATTGCTGTAACTCAAAGGGTTTAGCTCTTCCAATACTAAAGATCACAAGATCTTAGACCTGAAATAAACTTCAGCAAGCAGCCAGTCTTGGTGTAGAAATTAAATTTTTTCCTGAAAAACCACTTGTAGTTAAATATCCAGACTGACAGGCTTTTTGCAGCTCATTCTTCTATAAGATGCTTTTTTTTTTTTTTTTTCTGAGATGGAGTTTCACACTTGTTGCCCAGGCTGGAGTGCAATGGCGATCTCAGCCCACTGCAACCTCCGCCTCCTTGGTTCAAGTTGTTCTCCTGCCTCAGCCTCCCGAGTAACTGGGATTACAGGCACGCACCACCAGGCCCAGCTAATTGTTGCATTTTTTTTTAGCAGAGATGGGGTTTCACCATTTTGGCCAGGCTGATCTCAAATTCCTAACCTCAGGTGATCTGCCCACCTCAGCCTCCCAAAGTGCTGGGATTACAGGCGTGAGCCACCATGCCCGGCCAAGGTGTTCATTTTTCTTAGAGCATTTGCATATCTCTTACTCAGTTTTTTCCCATGTATTTGCATTTTCGTTGCTATTGCATGTTAGATTTCTTCTACTGTGGTCTGTTTTTTGTATTGTTTTGTTTTGTTTTGTTTTTGCTGATGTACTGTTGGCGATTTTCTGTATCCATGTTGTGGCTGGTTACCATTTTTAATTCTCCTATTAGTTCTAATAGTTTTTCTCTGGTTGCTGTGTTTGCAAGGAGAACTACTGTGTCATCTGTAAATAATGATTTTTTTTCTTCTCTATTTCAGTATTAATACTTCCCTTCACCCTGCCTCTGGGTTTCTGTGATTACATGGAGTAGAGCTTCCAGAACAGTGTAAAATAAATATTAGTGGACATTCTTATTTTGGTTCCAGTCCTAGTAAGAATATGTCTAGTTAAGAGCTTCTAGATTATGTTCCAAACCATTATTCCACGAGATGTTAATTGATTTCCTACAAAAAAAAAGAGAGTCTTCTAAATAATTTCCTTGAACTCTGAATTAACCAAAATGAGACAAATCTCTTTAGTGAATGGGCTTTTATAACCTTTACTATTTAATATGCATTGACAATCTCCTAGAGATGGAGAAAGTATGTGACTTTTCCCAATATATTTGTCATAGAACACTGTTTTTGAAGAACATTTACTAACATCTTATAAAACGATACATCAGTGGTATCTTTCTGGTATTGTTCTGGTAGGGTACTGTTAATTGTGATGTTTGGGGTTTTTGGTTTCAAAATGATGTTCTTTACCGTGTTAAGAAAATATCCTACTTTTAGCTTACTTAGAGTGTTATATAAATCAAATCTTTTACTATATGCTTTATTCTATCTGGCTTTTGCTGAATATAATGTTTTTTATATTTACTGATGTTGTTTATTTGTTTTCAATGCTGGATAGTAGCCCTTACACAAGTATCATAAAAATTTGTGTGGTTTGCAATTTGAGGGAGTTTAAACAATGCTGCTCTAAATGTTTGTGTACATGAAAATTGGTACACAAAAAGAATACATTTTTATAGGACATATAGCAGGAAGTAGAATTTCTGGGTCATAGAGCATATATACATTCAGGTATACAGTAGAATGCTACAGTTTTCAAAAGTGTTAATGAAAAGTTTACACTCCCGTTTGTTGCCTGAGACTTCCAGTTGCAGTGCATTTTTTTTAAACACTTTAACTTTTAATTAACAAAATAACTCTTAATTTCAGGTAACCTGGTATATATGCAGTAACATCTCGTTTTTAAAATTGGCATTTTCTGGATTATGAATGATAAGGACCTTTTCTTGTGTGTATTTGCCATTGGATTTCCTCTTTAATCAATAATTGCATCTTATGCCAATTTTTTATTGTTTTGGCTGATTTTATTATCTATATATAGGAATTTGTTATGTATTTTGTATATTAACCCTTCCTATGATTGTGTTCTCCCTCTCCATAGCCTGCCTTTCACTTTTAATGTCTTTTGAGGGATAGTATAATTCATTTTATCAGTCTTTTCTTCTACTGTGAGTGCTTTTCTATTTTGTTTAATAAAAATGTTTCCTACCTGATGGTATGAAAATTTTCTCCTGCACTTTCATCTTAAAGCATTACTCTATTGTATTTCTGATACAGGTTTTCAATTCACCTAGAACTGAAATTTGTGTATAAGTAAGGGTCTAGATTCACCTTTTTCCATGAGGTTATTCAGTGTTTTTAAAAATGTCTCATTTCCTCTGCCCAGTACTCTGTTTGGCACTTTCATCACAAACACTTGGGGTCTTTATTATGTTGCATGGGTCAATGTGTCTGCCCTTGTGTCCACACCATCTTGTTCCTCTTCATCAAGGGCATTAGCTTTCTTGGCCCTTTGCATCTCTATAAAAATGTTAGGATCAGTTTGTAGAGTTCCATGGAAGAAATCTTGTGGTATTTGGGGATTTTGATTGAGATTATCTTGAACCTATAGATTCATTTGAGGATAATTTACCTCTTTACACCATTGAATTTTCTATTCCATGTATATGTTATGTCTCTCCAAATATGTAGATCCTTTTTAATATTTCTCAATAAAATGGTGTTATTTTCTCCACAGAGGTCTTGCACATCATTTATTAGACTTATTCCTAGGTATTTAATATTTTGAGGCAGTAATGAATGGCATCTTTTCTTAAATTTTTAGCTATATTGAAATACAACATATTTGGATTCTGATTTGTATCTAGCAATCCTAACTCTAATAAAAACTATAACAAATTATATATGAATTTTTAATACCATGATATAATCTGTAGATAATTATATTTTTGTTTCTTCTTCAATCTTCAAACTTTTTTTATTTTTTCATGACCTCAGTATAATATTAAATAGCAGCGGGGATAGTGGAAATTATTGTTTTATTCCTCATTTTGAAGGGATAGCTTCCAAAAATTTAACATTAAGTATTAAGTACAATGTCTGCTATAGAATTTTTGTTTAGTAAAAACATTTTATCAGACTAAGGAAGTCCCTTGTTGTTTTCCTTAAATAACAGTTTTAAATTATTAGTCAACATTGAATTTCCTCAAATCCTTTTGCTGCATCTGTTGAGACAATCAAATGATTTTACTTTTGAGATGATCATTTGATTTTACTGTTAATATTGCAAATTACATTAATTTATTTTTCTCCCCAACTTTTTTTGTTGTGAAGAATTGCAAAGAGTTGTAAGTTTCTGAACACCATTTTTACTTGAAATATAACAGCCAACAGACAAACTATGAATATTTAGATTTTGGCATTTGGAAGACATTTTCTCAAAAATGAATGAAGTGGGCCTGCCTCTTCAGGAAAATAACAATGATTTTTTAGAATATAAGTGAGATTGGGGACCAAAAGTTTGAAAACTTCTGTCCTCTTAGAAAGTGTAATGTTACGCTGGGCATGGTGGCTCACTCCTGAAATCCCAGCACTTTGGGAGGCTGAGGCAGGCAGATCACCTGAGGTTAGGAGTTTGAGACCAGCCTGGCCAACATGGTGAAACCTCATCTCTAGCACAAATACAAAAATTAGCTGGGCATGGTGGTGGGCACCTACAATTCCAGCTACTCAGCTACTCGGGAGGCTGAGGCAGGAGAACTGCTTGAACCTGGGAGGCAGAGGCTGCAGTGAGCTGAGATCGCACCACTGCACTCCAGCCTGGGTAACAAGAGTGAAACTCTGTCTCAAAAAAGAAAAAAAAAAAGAATGGAAGATACTTAAAACACTTCTAATTTTATACCTCCTCTCAAGTTGTATGCTATTTTATAATTTTCATTATAAAATTTCCTCTTTGTTTTTGTATGATGAAGCTTTACTATAATGTTTACATGTGGATTTATTTTACTTGAGAGTAATTGAGCCTTTTGAATCACTGAATTCTCATAAATTCTGAAAAATTTTCACTGACTTGCCTTTATCCATTTTATCTCTTCTCTCCCTCTGAGATTTCAAATAAATGTATACTAGTCCTTCTCATTGTATTCTGAGTCTCTTATCTTATTTTTTTAAATCTCATGTTTCATTCTGAGTACTTGCTTCTATCTTCTCTTTCATTAATTCTTTCTTTAGCTTTATCTAATTTGCTGTTAAATTCATTTCTTGAGTTCTTTATTTCATGTATTATATTTATCAATTATCGAATTTCTAAGTAACTATTTTACATATCTGCTCCATCACTTTTTATAGTTTTCATTTCCCTGCAAAATTTTTCACTAGACTCCAATCTCATTGAACATCGTAAACATTGTTTTAGTCTATATCCTGTAATTCCGTATGTGGAGATTTTATGTGAGTATTTTTGTTGGTTTTCTTTAATGGTGGTTTGTTTCTTTTTATATCTGAAGTTTTTAATTGTGTATGGGGCATTGTGCTTAAAACTTTATTTGTAACAGTGATTTGAGACCTAGGATGATATTATCTTCCTCCAGAGGAGATTTTTCTTTGGTTGTTCTAGGTGTCTAAAGTCAATAGAAGTTCAGGAACACACAATAAAATTTTCAAAACTGAGGTTATCAGACACAACAAATTGACATAAAATAGGTTGACAGATTTTATAAGACTGGTTTATTTTCAGTTCAGACTTAATCTTACAATAACTCTAGGAATCCTAGTTCAAAGTGAATGTTTGTTTACCCTTGGGCTCTGGATTCTGATTTCTATTCTTCTAGGCCCAACATGCTTCCAGAAACAGAGCTCACCTATTCCTTCCAGAATTACTAATGCCCCTGGGGCAAAAGCAGATTTTAGTGTTAGTGAGCTCTAGTCTTCTCTAGGCTGGTAATTTCCTACCATCTTGTTAAGTCTTCGATGGTTTAGAGATGAATTTATATTTTTTTTTGCAGCTAAGTTATTTTCCATAGAAGGGCAGTCTGATATTTGAAAGTTAACATTGTTGAAGTCAAAGTTCTCATGATGGTACTTTTTAACAATAATGAAGTTGAATATCTTCTGTACTTTGGGTTTTCATTTTGAAACTAGAAGGCGTACTTATAGTACAGCTTTCCTGGAGCCTATCCCATTTGCAATCACAGACCTTTAACTCAAAGTTTATGCAAGCCACATTCTTCTCCTTATTCCTAAAATAAGCCTAGTCTTAGAATGTACAATGTAAATATATCTCTCCTTGCCTCCAAGGAATGTACATAACCCCACTAAGACAGTCATGCTTCCCTATCTTTTCCATTTACTAATTTTGCCACCATTTCCTTCCACTTTCAGTGTGGAATCCAGTTGCTAGTGCCCATGACTATTTCTCAACTTCCAACTTTCAGCTTTCAGTACACTACGCACCATGATCTCCTGACTAGCTGCTTTCTTCATTCTTGCCTCTGTGTTCCAGAATATTATTTAGGCAGAATACATACCTTACAGTAGCTTCATCACATATCTATAGTTTGTAAATTCTAGCTGAAACATCATTTGCAATCATTTTTATTCTCAACTCTCTTACTCAAAATATTCTTTTTCAAAAGTTCATCCTATTTTAAAGTCTGTTAACTGTAACTCGAAGTACCCTATCTCTCATCAATTAACACTTGCTTCCTTTTAGAAATATAAGAGAACCTAGAGTGAATCTAGTTGAAGTCCTTTCTTATAAAGTAACCTGTTTCTTCTCTCATTCTTGATTCATTGTTCCTGTTTCCAAGAAAGATGTATTTCTGCCTTTCCAAAGGGTACCAATCTAACTATACTCTTAAATTATTGAGTCTTATCTTCCATGTATTCTCACTCCATCAGTGGTCCTTCTCTTGTATCGTCAATCATTCCATCTTTACCAACCTCCTCCTCTCAAACTATAAGCCCTTAAAGTATCCTTCAGCCCAGAAAGCAAAACAAAATGAAAAAAAAAATCTGTATTGAGTGAATGGCAATGACTGTTCCATTTACCACTAGCTTTATATGCTGGCAGGAATCCCACATGAAAATTAAGAAAATTTATTAGGTAGTATGATTTTCCTTACCTCCAAAGAAAATTCTAGCCAGAGAATTGATAAAACCTCTAATGCTATATAATTAAAAATAACTCTGTAGGAAATAGAAGTTCTCATGCTTGGCACTACATGCAGACCTCCAGTATACTCTCCATTTGCTCTTCAAAATGTCTGACTTCTAGGGCTGACTTCATGTGTAAGTGCTTCTTGTCAATCTGTTAGTATTTGAAGGATAACTAGAAGGATTTCCTACCCCAGCATCTTCCCTAAGGATTCAAATTTATTGTTTTGTTTTCATCCCTTTGATCAAACATTATGGTCTCCTCTCTTATTGTTTTTAATTCTTCTAGGAGAATGTTTCTCAAACCTAGGCATCTATTGGAATCACATGTGGGACTTAAACAAAATTATGTGCAGGTGCCATCCTCAGAAATTGTCTGTCTTATTTGGTCAGGGGTGGACTCCCGCCATTGCCATTTTTAAAAGTTCTCCTGGTCATTGTAATGTATAGCCAGTTGAAAACTATATTCCTAGTTGAGTGACATGCAAGTACACTAATACCATATAGCAAGAATCAGTTTTCTTACCTTCTTTTTGTGACATTCCTGTGTGGCATTTTAGCAGCACGTCCTGAGATCATCCTCCTGAAAGGAGAAAAAAATAATCAAGAGGTAAGTTGGCCATAAAATTATCCAAGTTTTACTGTGACCTAATAGTAATAATAGGATATGAATTATTACCATAATTCACATCCATATGAGAAAACTCTTTCTTGGTTTGAGAAAACGTGTTTTTTGCCTCCCAGTCTGGAGAAAACATGTTGCGTTCCTCTGGCACATGTACATGTTTATGCAGATCCATTCCCTAGAGGAACTTCCAAATAAACGGAGCATATTATATATGGCAACCGAGAAACATAGCTTTATGTTGCCTGTTGTAGAATTATTTCATGACATTAACATTTTTATGCACCCCCATATTAAGTTTTATGCTTAGATTTAATGTCACCAGGTAGGAACCAAGGTAAATGCCACATCCCAAATCCACATAGAGTCAGAGCTAAACCATCAGTTATCAAATCTGTCTTTTTATGTGCTGTGAGATTTATACACATTGCTTTAGAAAGCTGCATTCACTGGAAGATGCTGGTTTGTGGAGGGGCAAGGAAGTACATTTACAGGTTAGCTTGGCTGAACTGTGTTGATTTCTCTGCAGAACAGTCTTCACAATTCTTTGCTCACAGTTAAAGGTCTGCTGAAAGTGACTCAGTGTAGATGAAAACAGCTTGCTTAATCATTCCTGAAACACGGGAAAAATTAAAATACATTTTTTTATCAAGCAATAAAAACAATGCCAGATTGTTAATGCCTCTTTTGTACCTTTCACTTAAAAGACCTCAAAAAGAACATCAAGGAGAATAAAGGCAAAATCTATTCCCCAATGCCGTCATTATACATGTTGAAGCCTCTAAAACTAGAACTCTAAAGACATTCAGGAAGAGCAGGGGAATAAATGACAGCAAACTGAAGAGTGCGTCTCTGGAGCTTTGTTCAACCTGCTTTGTTCAAATTCATTCAAATTGGATAATGAAAAGCAAAGATCTTTTTTGTTTCAACATTAAAGTAGTAAATTAGTGAGTGGTGAGTTGCTAATTGTTCTGTAAAGTATTTAAGGTGCCAGGAGTGTCCCATCTCCAATTTTTAAAATGGCATCCTTATGGTTGAAATGAAAGGAACCATTAGAGTAGTGTAAAACAATGTTTTTAATAATTTATGCTGGTTCAATTGAAATGATTTTCATTTAGAAATACTCATTGAAGTTCTTGTTTTTACTTGAGATAAGCAAGTTTTATTTTAGACTTCAAGATATCAAATAGAAATTCATTTTCCGGATGGGGCTAAAGTAGAAAGATAGATTAGAGCTATCCAATGTTGTGTTTCAAATCTGGCTGTTTCTACTTGCTTTGAAGGTATAGAATTAGCAGGTTTGGTTAAATTTTACTTGAATTTTGGGTGACCTTTTCTAATCCTGACTGTTTCATAATTTAGTGTCTTGACCTTCGTTTTCCATAGAGCCACCTTAGTGATAAATGCAGAGATTTAATAACTAGAACCAGTTGACAGGTGACCTTTCGTACATGGCTGTTCCTTTTTGCTGTGGAAACCACTGTTTTGCAAGTTTTATTATTTCACAAATTTTAATTATTTATTCTATTGTCTATAAGCTTATTCAGAGAGAAAAAAGTAAAGGTTAAATATTACATTATTCTTACTGATTAAAATGTAAAGTGCTTGGCACTTGTCCCAATATATCACTCAGAAAGGATAGGGCAATTTGTCAGGTTCATACCCAAAGAAGAGAAAGGGATGGTTTTCCCAGGGTGGTTGGTAAGGATGAAACTGGCCTAGGAGAGTGAGCAATCACATCAGCTAAGTGAAGGTAACAGATGTGTGTGTGTGTGTGTGTATTTGTGTGTGTGTGTGTGTGGTGTGAATTTTGAATGGAGGAACAGAAGGGTTCTTTTACTGTATGTGTACCAATTTAAAGAGAAAAGTGACCCTGAGTCAACGAGAGGTGAAACTTGCCAGTCAGGGTGAATAACCTGTCAGTTTTGGCCATTTCTCTCTCTCCCTCTCTCTCTCACTCACTTTCTCTCTTACCCAGGAAAGAATTGGTTAAGCATATCATGGTAAATTGATTTCTGGAATCTATGTCAATAAAATATATTGTTTACAAACAAGGAAATAAGGCTGAGTAATTATAAAAATGCTAGAGACTTTTAGAAAGAGTTAAGAATATCTACACTTTCCCCCCACCCTACAGTATCAGAGAACATAGGACCTTCACAGGGAATCAATTCCTCTGTACTTACATTCTTCAGTATTTTTCAGAACAATTCATTTGTATGCCTCTCAAATACTCATGCTTATAATAAAATAAAAATAAAAACAGGCATGGTATAAAAAGACCCATCGTGTGAACATAGTACCCCAGTCAGCCATTGTCCTGGATCCTCATAGAAGAGAAGAGCCATTCATGAGTTAGAGACCTCTTGACAGTCTTCAATGAACATTGATTCCCAAGGACTTGCAAATGGCCACTGTGAATTTCTAAAGTGAATTTCTGAAGGAGGCTTTTGGGCAGTGGGGAGGTATTATTCCCTTTAGTCCTGGAGACCAGTTTAGAAAATAATATCATCTGCCATGGTCTTTTTTGCCCGACATGGACAGTAATTATTTATTGCTTGAGAATCTTTCACTGCTGTTGTGAAAGAAACAGTTTGAAAAGCAAATTGAGTAAGCAGATGTGAAGGACCATTTAAAAGCTAATAAAATTGGTCATGATTAGTTTATCTTAGACTGAAATTTCAGCCATATTTCAAGCTGAAAATATCAACAAAAACATTTTCAATAATTTTTTATGTCATGCTAGCACTATTGCCAAAAAGGAATAGTGGTGAAGTTATTGATTACAAGCATGTTTAAAGCATTAATCTATGATTTAATTAAAATAATTTAAATATAATAGTGAGCAAGATTTGAGGTATCTGCATATATGTATATTAAGAATAGTGAAAATCAGTAATAATTATTTCTTTGATATTCCACATTTCCTAATGCTGCTGTGAGTGCATTTCCTGAAAGTTAACATATGCTCTTCTTTTTAACCTGAAAAATATCTAGTATCCTTTGGACATCATGTTTATCTCAACTTCCTCAACTCAGTAATGGAAAATGAATTAAGGTAACTTGAAAAATCTGCCATGAAAATTATGTGGAATAATGTAATAAAGTACTGAGAAATATGACTGACCTGTAATAGGCATTCAATCATGTGTATATCAAAAATTCTACTACACTATACTTATAGGTCTCTCTGGTGCTGTTTCTTCCCTTCCTCTCTCTCTCACCTTCTACCTGTGCCCCAGCCAATAATCAAGTCATTTTTTCCTGTAAGGTGGCAAAATGTCGAGATTCATTTTAGCAGAGAAATGACTTGTTTTACAAAGCCATTCCTTAGGCTTCTAAAACAGCATACGAATTGACTCTAGTTGATCATGAAACTCTCCCACACAGCTTAGCGCTGTGTGCTGAGATTAAGTTCACACTGATTAGAATTTTAAAATTATTTTACTCTTCACAGTGCCTTGCACAGAATAGGTACTAAATAAAAATTATGTGGTTATTCAATAGATGTCACCAAATTCTTAACTCCTCCCAAGCTGATTGTTTTGAAACCAGATGTGCTGGTATAGAGTTAGTATACTTTTGCAGAGGAAAAAAATAGCCAAAACAAATACAGTGCTGTTACCATAAAAGAAAATCAATATTTTAGACCTTAAATAAAAGGAAGTGTTTGACATTTGTGGCTTTCTTTAACAAGGACATAGGGACCCAGACAGGGTTGGCTGAATATTTGTGGTGCTCTCAGTTTATAGACACAGCTGAAGCCCAGTGAAAATATTTTGAATGTACAAGATGTTTTCAAAGATGCTTTGAGTGCACAAGAGACAAGATGAAGAAGACAAGTTTGTTTTTAATGAAAAAAAAAAAGCAAAAAATAGAGACAATTCAACTATAAAGGGAGAATTCAAAATTTAGATGTGGCTTGATAAAGTGGAACTAGATAAATCTTAACAAAGTTCTTGGAAAATCCAGGACCTCAGTCTAGAAAGAAAGAGTAACTGCCTACTGAAGCAGAACTGAGTGAGTGAAGACATATGGAATAAATTTTCAAGCAAAGCCCCCAAATCAAATAATATGAATGAGTTGAAGAAATAGCAGTACACTTTAACAGAGAAAGTTGAGATCAAAAGACGTAGTAATAAAGCTAATAAGAAAAACTGAGATAACTAGATAAGAGCAGATTTTGGGTCAAATTGTCCATTTGTGCCTAGGTATTTCTTTCTTTTTGTCATGGCATACTGTAGTTTGAAGGTGCCTTCAGATGTATAAATGAGTCCCTTGGGCTTTGCAAGCAAGCTTTTTGTGCTACCTGAAGCTCCTGATTATGATTAGGAATGTTCCATTTGTCTGGCCCCCACACTCTTGTCATACTTTAAAGATGGTTCCTGCAAGTAAGTGGTAAAATAGAGCAATTATCATGTTCATCCATGTCTCCTGGTACCTTATTCAGGAAGGCAGATGGCTAGGCAAAACTATTACCCAGAAGTATAGACCAAGAAGTACAAACGTCTCTTAAGATGACGGCCATGGTGACAGTAGGGCCAAGTGAATAGTCAAACAAAAAAACAAAGTGGCAATTTTATAGATCACCATCTACCCTCAAAGCCGTTGCATTCATAATACTCTACCCAATGACATATTTGTCACATAAACAAGAGGCTGTTGTTCCCAATGTTTGCCCTCAAGTTGTTAGTTAGCTGCTGACCTCATAATCTGCACAGCTGTGGCATCCCAATGTGTTGTCATGAAACAGATTGTGATGTCTTAATTGATCACTTTCAGAGGTTACAATTGTCAAGTGAGACCAGTGTGCTGGTCTCACTTAATTCTATATTAAGCCTTGTTACAGCAAAACTGGCTAATTCATTATAATGACTAGGAAATCCAATGTAATTTGCTGCATTTTATAGATTTGAACATATCCAAGACTTTCTTTTTCTTCTTTTTGATTGTTTAAATTTGTGGAGGCTATACCCCAACCATGCTTTTATTACACAACGAAGCAACTTCTTGGAATAGCAAATGGAATGTAACCCCCCGCACCATATGCATCTTGGTGATAAGTTGGAGTATGCCATATGATACACACAATTTAAATCAGGCATTGATTTGCATGACTGTAAGTGAATTGGAGGACTCAGCTAAGAGTAATGGATGTCAGGCTCTGCTGCAAGCCGTCTGGCAAGAAGAATATTATGTTCTTCTCTATTGTGTAAAAGAAGGTAGGCTCCTAAGAGGTTGAGGAAGGGTCTTAAATCAATGCGTGACCCCAAAGGGCACTTCCTTGTGCCTCCATTTTGGTCACTGGTGAAGTCTTCACTATGGCACTAACCTATAAAACTCTCTTTTCCAAGTGTCCTAATACACTCATTCACCTTGTATGGATCTATTCCCATCTGGTGCCTGGACCACCTGCTACTCACATTAGTTGAGAAACCTTACTGTGTTAGGGGTGATGAACAGTCCCTTTAATAACAGAGTTTTAAGACAACTCATAAATGGGCCTTTGTGCATTCTGCAAGTCAAGTTTTTTTCAAAAGTTTTATCTTTGACATTTCAAATAAACACATGCCTTTGTCGGTCTGGCACATTTTATAGGAGTACAAATAAAAATGAAATCAAAGAAACTAATTTAAGTTAATGTAATAACTGTTAGCATCCAAAATGCAGGAGGAAGAACAAGCATGTTTATCAAAGCACTTTTTTATAGTAGAAAAAAAAACAGATAATAGCTAAATGCCCAGCAGTAGGCAAATCGGTACATATGGTATATCCCTATAATGGAATCTTGTGCAGGCATAAAACTATCTCTAAGGGCTGACATGGGAAAGGCTGATGATTTTTGATTAATGGTTTCTCATTAAGTAAGAAACCAAGGTGGCCAAAGAATATAAATGGCATTTCTCAACCTGTCTAAAATAATATCTATAGAAAGGAAAAAAATATGACAAAAATCGGTGTAGTGTTATTGAGTGATGAGAATATGGAGAATTTTTTAAATCATTTTGTCCATTCTTTTTAGTTTTTGAGTTTCCCATATTACTTTACTAATTAGGGGGAAAAAGTTTTTAAAGCAGTTTGAGTAGTTTCAATTCAATAGGCTGTACCTTCAGAATATTTCCAGAACATAAGCGGCTTCTCTCCATCTCCTTTGCTACTCAACATGGTCCACATCACTATCCTCTCTTGCTGGGATTGTAGCAGCGGCCTAATCTCCTGCTTCCACCCTGGCCTCTTTTTTTTATCAACTTTCCACACAGTTGCCAAAGCTGTTAAAATGTAACTCAGCTCAGTCATTCCTCTGTCCCGAGCCCTTCAATGGCGCTTCATCTCACGCAAACTGAAAGACCCCAAGTGATTTCTCCCCTGCTATCTGTCTGGCCTCAGTACCTACTTGGCTCTCCCCACTGGCTCTGCCAGGCTACATTGCTCTTCCTATTCCTTTCCTGCCTCAGGGTATTTGCATTGGTTTTTGCATTTGCTCTGCAGGAAAGCTTTTTTCCTAAATATGCTCATGGCCAACTCTTTCACTTCATTCAAGTCTTTCCTCAAAGATTATTTTCTCAGCAATGTCTTTTTCTGGTTACTCCACCAACTCTCTCTCTCTCACACACTCACACACACACGTGCACACACATACCTCTTAACCTCCTTTCCTGCTTTAATTTTCTCGATTTAGTACTTAGCAAAATTTAACATATTATATGGGATGATAGTTTATTTATTGCCTTTCTCCTGCACCCAACTTGAATATAAGCTCTATGAGAACAGGAGTTTTTGTTTATAGTTTTCACTGCTGAATTCTAACCCCTGGAACTGTGCCTGACACATCGCAGGTGCTCTATGACTGCTGTGAGTGCCTACCATTGATAGGAACAATGGTCTGTTACAGTTGTATGATGACTAACTGGTTGATTTTTATGCAGTATCTTACCTCTCAGTGTAGTTATTTTAATTCAATTGCTTTCACTTCCTAACTTAACCAACTGAGCCTTTAATGTATTCCAGGGACTGACGGGGGAATGGAGTTAAAATGAAAAAGATAGGCATTGTTCTGACATAGTTTACTGTCTAGTGGACAGACATAATTAAACAATAAAGTCCAACACAATACATAAAACAAGGATAGTACCCAGTCGAGAGAGGCTACTCACCAACAGGCACAATAAAAATTCAAGATCGAATGTCAGATGCAAAATGTGGAATCTCATAGAAGGGAGATGAGAAAGATGTATATCAAAAAAGCACATTGCTTCTTTATTACTGTTTTAAAAGAAAGGGTGACTATGTGGGAGAGAAGCAGCAAAAGCAATCTATTTGGTTGTTTTAGGAGAACTGAAAGCAAGGAATAACGGAAAGGGCAGTGGGCTTAGAGTTAGACGATCTAGATTTGAATCTAACACTGCAGCTTTATCATCTCCAAGTCCTGAAAGCTGATGCTTAACTTCCACGAGTCTCTATTATCTCCGTGGTTAAATAAAAAGGGAGAAAGGGACTTAGACTAACTATAGAGACTGTCTGTGTATATACCTTCCCATCTAAAAGGAGGCCTTTCCTTATCCATCTAGGATAAACATAAACACAGACGCCAATTAATATGATGACTTGAGGGAATCTCTGAAGGGTCTCTGTAATATTTCTGCTAGCCTGGGACTTACCTTAAGTAGTTACTGGTTCTGAAAATCTGTTTTATAACCTCATTGCTTGCTGAACTCTTCATATTTTTATCAATTGCTCATAACCATTCATGCATACAGGTAAAATACATAATTGATCCCTGGATATGTTTCTTTTGCATTTCCTTTATAGCCACCAACCTTATTACAAAGATCAAATCTTTTCGTATTTTCTTATTTCACCTGAAATTACAGTTCTGAATAAAAATATTTATCATTTAGAGTGGAAAACAAATAACTATTTTTTGCCTATAATTTTAAACCAGGGCGTGGGGATTATAGAAATTAAAATTATTTTTTGACGGTATACTTTTTCTTTTTTAATGGAAGCATGCTGTTAACTTGATAATCTGTGGCAGCGACTGTAGGTTTGGTATTTGTAGGTACTTCAGAGATATTTCCATATTTGGTAATTATACAATATATGAACTTTTGTTTTCCCATAGGAACTTGTTTGACTAAGTGGAATTTACTAATTTACATGCCTTCTTTCTCTATTTTTCAGCCTTTGCAACTGGACTGTGACCTTTGTGCCATAGTGTCAAACTCAGGTCAGATGGTTGGCCAGAAGGTGGGAAATGAGATAGATCGATCCTCCTGCATTTGGAGAATGAACAATGCCCCCACCAAAGGTTATGAAGAAGATGTCGGCCGCATGACCATGATTCGAGTTGTGTCCCATACCAGCGTTCCTCTTTTGCTAAAAAACCCTGATTATTTTTTCAAGGAAGCGAATACTACTATTTATGTTATTTGGGGACCTTTCCGCAATATGAGGAAAGATGGCAATGGCATCGTTTACAACATGTTGAAAAAGACAGTTGGTATCTATCCGAATGCCCAAATATACGTGACCACAGAGAAGCGCATGAGTTACTGTGATGGAGTTTTTAAGAAGGAAACTGGGAAGGACAGGTGAGCCCTCTCTGAAGCAGCTTTATTGTCTTTTATTATCTTTTATGCTAAATCTTCGCCAATTCCTTTTGCAGGATATAAAATGAACAGTTATTTATTTACGCTGATTGTTATATGTTTTGACTATTATGATTACTTGATAAGCCAGCCTGAGGTCTCATTTATTCCACCTATACTACCTCCTGTTCTTTCCATTCTGATTGGTTTGAGTCTCCAAGAAACACTGGATACTTCCCCAAGGTATCTTTTGATCTTTTTTTATTTTGTTCCATTTGCTATTGATTGAGTTGGATTTCAGCTGAAAGAGGAAGCCTAAACATTTCTGTTTCAAAACCTAGTAATGGTAAGGAACTTTAGGATTATGCATTAATCTAAACTCCTCTGGGAATTTTGCCAAAATTTTACCTGAGACCACAAACAGAACAGGCTACTGATTCTCCAATAAGATTGTGTAGCTTCTTGCATGCAAATAGGCACTGTGATCCTGAACATCATAACTTGGTATCTAACTTGTTCAGCAGAATACCATATTGAAATTATACGTCCCTTAAAATCATTAGCAGTTGAATTATTTTAAAGAAATGAGGTATAAATACTATTCATTCAATTATCCAAAAACCAATTTGCATTTTTTATTACATCCATGTTTTTTCTGTAGCATTCTGTAAACTACACTTCGCACTTTTTTCCCTTGAAGCCTGCTTTCCCCTCCCCTTCCTTCTCCTATTTCCTCTGTTTGCTCCATTTCCAGCTCCCTCATCTCTTCTGTAACTGAATTGTGTGCCATGTTTTCTTTCTTTTTAGAAAGATAACTATTAAAACAGAGAAAACAGGAATTACAAATCAGACAATCTTAGTTCTTATATCTAGCGCTAATAAAGAACTGTTAAGGGAAGATATTGAAACCAATAGCTAAAGTTTTAAATTATCTGTGAATTTTGCTTATTTGTGCAATATCATGGATAAATTGAGCATCTGCTATAGTTCCAATATTAGCATTCCAATTTTTTCAAAATGTATGTATTTCACTATTCAATATTATCAAATCTAAGCTTTTAACTATATTGAGCTATGTGCTCAGGGAGGTGCAGTTTCTGATATCTCTGGATGTAATTTGAATGCTGATGATTACTTAAAAACCTTAGGTGGATCAACTCTCCTTTGGTAATGTGGGTTGATCTGAATTTAACATTTTCTACTTCTGAGCACCAAAAATACACAGCTTCATATGAAATACAAGACAGAAATAGCCATGAAATACTAGTTCCTCGGACTGTATGAGTTAGCAAGAAGAATCCCAAGGGTGAGATTTGAATCAATGTAGCATAAACTGTCCAAAATGACAGGCAGTAGAGATGAAAGGGATAGGTATGGTGCTTCAAAGAAAAATGGTCATATGTCACATTATTCTATATAAATATGAAGCCTATTCACAAAGGGCTTTGGAAATTTCTGATCTCTCCTTAGCCCAGAGCAATGCAATTAATGAAATGTATTTTGGTTTTTCATTAGTTAGAGTTAGCCCTCAGGGTATCACCCAGACATACCTATAAGCCCTAGAGTCATTTGCGGGGAGGTATCAGAGAAGAGCTTAGCATGCTGTTGGTTCATGTTTTTATGTGTTTATTTCACATTGACTTTTGCCGTGAGCTTTGAGGGAGACAACACCATCACATATGTGTAAATTGTAAAAGAATTGGGAGAGAATAGCTTTGGGAGATCATTTTCTTACTGGCCATGATGAAGAAAGCTGTATCGTAGGAAAATTACTAGGTAATTTTACTCACTTGATAAAGTTAATTTGCAAGGTATCATTCGATTGGTAGAGTTACCAAAATGAGAGTTAAAGAAACAGAAATATGGTTTCAGTTTATGGTGCATTCTTATCTTTTTCACTGAGTCTATTTCTGTCTGGTTGCTTCACTTAGTACTCCAACCAGACAAGAGAAGACAACTATGCTAGTGTTTTAGAAATGGACAGAATGGGTGATTTAAGTAGAGCCTGGTTGGATAATAAAATGTTGATCAAAATGACCTCAGAAGCTGCTGTTCCCAATCTATATCCTAACCCCATCTATGTTAAAGACTTTTATTGTCTAAGAATTTCCCATGACAATCTGATATTCATTGTCAAATTTCAAACTAGAATATATTTTTCAACTTTTCATGAAGGAAAATGTCAAACTTATAGAGACACTAGTGGTGTAATGAGCCTCTGTATAACCATCACTTAGCTTGAATAATTATTAATTCATGACCAGTATGGTTTCATCTATACCCCTACACACTTTCTCTCTCACCAAAGACTATGTTGAAACAAATCTCAGATATCATATAATTTTATTTATAAATATTTTGGTGTATACCTCTAAAAGATAAAAAGTCTTAAAATCAATACAATACCATTGCCCTACATAAAAATCAACAATTCTGCCTTAATATCATTATATATTTAGTTTGCAAATTTCCCAATTGTCTCATTGATATATTTTTCATAGTTTGTTTTAATTAGGATTAGCATAAGGTTTATACATAGCAATTGATTGATATGTGTCTTATATTTCTCCTAACCTATATAGAAACTTCCCTGTCTCTCCTTCTCTCTTCTATCTCCCTCCCTGCCTGTTGTTGAAAAAACCTAGGCATTAGTCGTACAGAGTTTTCCACAATCTAGATTTGTTAATCACATTCCCATGATCTTTCTTTTTCTGCTACACTGGTATTTATGTATTGAGGCTTGGTTGGATTCATGTCTTTTTTTTTTTTTTTTTTTTTTGCCAAAACCATTAGGTGGTTCTTCTCTCAGAAGAAATACTCTCTAGTTTTCTCTTTTTTTAATGTTAGATGCCATTAATGATTATTTGCTAGATTATATAATGTATTAGGATTGC
The DNA here is from genome assembly GCF_000001405.40 of Homo sapiens. Classification (NCBI taxonomy): domain Eukaryota; kingdom Metazoa; phylum Chordata; class Mammalia; order Primates; family Hominidae; genus Homo; species Homo sapiens. Next base: position 76,415,309 of record NC_000001.11, read on the forward strand.
ACAATGGTGCTATTTCATCTTATCCTTTTTATTTATTAGCTGATATATTTTATTAAGAGTAATTTACCCTCTTATTCATTTGGTTACCATGAGATAGAAACCAATCCTGTTCTCCTCTTTATTTACCAGTTTTAATGTATTAGTTTCCTTGCATTCTCTATAGGCGTCCACTATTATTAATATTTACATATTGACTTACAGACTTAAACATACTTGAAGTATTTTAATTTATTAAAATTATATCCTTATGCTCAGATTGCCCTATTTTGGCCTATGGGAACCTCTTCAAATTGGCTTTGAGTCCTTTTGACATGCCCTTAGTAGTCTTTGATAGCTTCTTTGTTTCCTGGTATTATGGAATGTTTCAGGCTTTTTTTGTACATATTCCGAGGCAGACCTGGATTCAGACATTTCTGCAAAGAACGTCAGTTTCTTTTAGTAGTTAAGAGAGCATAATATTAGCACCATTGCTGCTCATTGCTACTGGATTGGTCTTTGTTTCTTGGGCTTTACAGAGGACAGAGGTAGTATGTAAACAATATATACTGTGTATATTGTTTAAAGATAAAATCGTTATGAGTTCAAACCGAAACTTTCAATTCAAATCCAGGGCTATCAGGTTTTAAGTTTACATCCTCTATCTTATATCTGTTCCTTCTTTTTACCATGCTGACAATCACAGGTCTCAGAGATTTCAATGTAATTATTCATCTGCTTTATTCCACAACACACACACACACACACACACACACACACACACACACACATAATCTTAGAATAAGAATAACAGCACAACAAGCAATATAATTATGGTAAACACTTTAAGGATATTTTGCATCAAAGAAAACATTTGAATGGCAAACATTTATGTGGATCTGTGCTCACAAAGTATATGTTGGTAATAGTCTCCAAAAAAGAACATTTTTCTCCTAAGTAAATAGGAGTGAATTAAGTGGTATACATCACTGAAGTCATGAGGAAATAGAGAATAAGGGGTGTCCATTTAATTTTGCTTTAACTGTAAAGCTATTTTGTTTGATTTGCCTGTAGTTATTAGAACTTTTTAGCAAGTAGTTATTTTCATCATCAAGTTTTTAACAGAGAGACAATGTCATCATTATTATGTATAATTTATAGAATTAAAAATATGTCACTAGTAGTTAAAGTGATTCATGATAGGAAAATGATTACATGGAGTTCCTCAAAGAAAACTTTGCTTCTCAGCTTGCTTCTTAAAATTGTAAAAATACTTAAAAAAAAATATAGCCCTTCCGTTTAAGGTAGGCATCTTTTCACTTTTCCAAGTATTGTGGGTTTTGTTTTTTTTTTTTTTTTTTGAGACAGAGTCTCACTCTGTCACCCAGGCTGGAGTGCAGTGGCATGATCTCTGTTCACTACAACCTCCGCCTCCCAGGTTCAAGTGATTCCTCTGCCTCAGCCTCCTGAGTAGCTGGGACTACAGGCACGCACCACCATGCCTGGCTAATTTTTGTATTTTTAGTAGAGATGGGGTTTCACCATATTGACCAGGCTAGTCTCGAACTCCTGACCCCGTGAGCCATCTTCCTTAGGCTCCCAAAGTGCTGGGATTACAGGCGTGAGCCACCACGCCCGGCCAGCATTGTGTTTTTTTTCTTAAGGAATTCCTCACTGAGGAAACATGAAGCAGTAGAAGAAATATGTATATCATTTAAATGTCTTAGAATAAGTTTAGGCCAACTCACAAACATATTGGAATACCTTTTTGAAGCAAATGGAATTTAATTTGCTTTCTTTTTAGTTACTGTCTAAAATTATTTGGCTTGTCAATTAGACAGGGTGACCTTGTGGGAAAGGCTAAGAGAGCAGATAGAGTAGGTTGCTTTCCCTTTCTGTCTTTATCTTCTGGGGCCCAGTTGTTTTTTTTTTCTTTCTTTCTTTTTTTTTTTTTAATTCTAGGTTCATTGGTTAGTGGTCACTTTTAGATTGTCACCTACCAATATACTTCTGGAAAACAAGTATTGTGAATTCTACAGAACTTTCATTTCTTCCAGAAATCTTTGAAATTAAAGGTTTTATATTCAAAACAACCTGGACCAAAATACCTTTTCCCCTTTGAATGATTGGTATGCATAAATAATACTAGCCTGCTGACATTTACACATTTGCATTAATACATCTTAAGACTGAAATATGATGGAAATGCTGTAGGGCTGATAGTGGCACATTGTGCCACACTTAACAATGAAGAATGTGATCATGTTCCTGGCACACACATATGCAAAAGGAATGTTAACTTTTCTAGAGAAGCAGTTGAGAGCCAATGTGAGATATTCTGCTTTCCTATGGGTAGGTGGGCAATTGCAGCTTGGATTTCACTTTAGAAATATGCTTGCAAATATAGGCACATTATTTAATTAAGTAATAATTGAGAAAGCGATAGTCCCCATTAAAAGAGCAAAGCTAATTCTGGGCTGTTAAAGGACTCTGAGCTGCCCTAAATAGGTCTTAATTAGCTGGTGCCAATGTGGCTCCACCTTCAGGGATGGATGAAATTAATGAAAGCTAGCAGCAAATAGAATCAATATTTCAAGATGTTCCTGCCTCAGGTGAAGAGGATGAAAAGAAAGGGAGTCATTTTCAAAGACTGTTTAGGAAACAATGCACATAAATCAATTTCTAAAAACATAAAATGGGACACTGATTTGTGAATACAGTATCAAGATCTCTACCTGGCTCATCTTTGCCAGCCTGTTCCATCCATTCCCACTCAATCTTAAGGAGAGAAAAAGAAATCAGCGATGTGTCATTCCTCACTATCTTTGGGGGTGACAGTTTTATAAGCTAGCAAGGGTTTTAAGGGCAGCCCAGGTTTTGCTATTTCAGCTTGGCCATTTTGAAAGTTTCTTGTGTCATTGCGTGGTCAAGTGTAGAGATGAAATTGGCTCTCATCCCTCAGGTTTGCAAACCTTTAGTAATATCTAGAGTGGAAAGGGGTTTCAAGTCTTCTTCCTTGAAAATTTGGGAATCCTCTTGTAGGTCCCTCTGTCAACACACAAGGAAGCCGCCTTAACACACACAGTGTAGCTTGAAGGTGGAGGGCAAAAACCAAAACCAAAATAAAACAACTATGCTAGCCATATCTTAGAGTCGCCATGGGGTACAGAAATGTGCATAGTTTGCCCGAAGAAATGCCATACCTAGATTCCACAAACAAAGATGTCAGGTTATTCCTAACTCAGAATAAATACCTGCTAACCCCAGGAAAACTTCGACCAAGAGATAATAGGCAAAAGACAGTATTAAAAACAGTATTTTCCATTTTTTTTTCATTTTGAAGATGGTCTTTGCAAATATAAGTATCTCAGCACTTTTTCAGGAGCAATGCTGACAAACCTCTGTTAGAATGAATTAATATCCCCATCCCAGCTGGTGTATTTGGCAGGAACAAAAAGTTCATGCAGCAGTCATGGGCAGATCCATAGGACTCCTTAGTCAAAAAGCATAATACTGCATTCAGGGTTGTGTTTTCACGCTAACAAGCATTATGAAACAGGGGAACTTCCTTTTTACCATTATTTATGATGGCATTCAGTGACCTACATTAGGCCTCCTCTGTAATACAAATGCGCTGGAAATTAAAAATTCAAAAAAAAAAAGGAACGATCTATTTTAATAATGGGAGGTAGGGAAGGGCATTTGTAATTTATAAAGATATCAGTACAAACCTTTCATGTGTTTAAAAACACCCTCATGTGCACACACACACACACACACACACATATACAAATGCACTGGGTGAAACTCTGATGTATTTGACAAGACAATTTAGGATTAAAACAAGAGCAACATCTCAAGTTCAGTGATCATATTTTAAAGCAAAAAGCTGTGCAGGACATCAGTGGTTGTGGAAATCAAGACTTCCAAGCAGTCTACTGAGTGAAATAAAGTTCTCTGGGCCAGAGGATGACTTGACAGAAGGCCAGATTCTCAGAAAAAATTATACTGTATAGAAAAAAAATCCCAGTAGACATGTATGCTCAACAGTTCTCTAGATGTAGTGGCTTTTAAACCCCCAAAGGGTGTGAAACTCAAAGGCAAAAGTAGGCCTTAAATGGGAAGCTTCATTAAAATGTATACAGACTTTTAAATTTTATACAGGCTTTAAAGGGTTTATTTATTTATGCATCATGGGATCTATCTCTGTAGTTGACTTACTTCTCTCTTACAATTATTTCTCCTCTCCTTAGATTTTTTTTTGACCTATGCCTCCTTCTTCAAGTTTAGTTCAAAATTAAGACAAGTAAGGATAGTTACATTCTTGTCTTTAAAACATATGAGCCAGCAGCAATCTCTGTTTTTTCTCTATTCTTGGATGCTTGACTCTTTTTAAGACAGAGTTGGTTGTTTTGAAAATTTTCATCCTATACTACGCCCATCTGTACTACTAGATGTTTAATTGCTTGGGCAAATATTTCAAAATACCTTTCACTGTGTCTGGGATGTTATAAGAGCTCTACAGATGTTTGCCGAATTGAATTTTTGCTTCTCTGTAAACAGACTTCTTATTAGATATGGTATTACTGACCTACATGGACTCCTCTAGTTAGCTCTTTTTCTTTCTTTCTTTTGTTCTTGTTTGTTCTTTCTTTCTTTCTTTTTTTTTTTTTTGTTTGTTTGTTTCAAGGAGTGGAAAGTTTAATAGGCAAGAAAGAAGGAAAAAGCTCCCCGTGCAGAGACAGAGGGAGGGGTGCTCCGAGCGGAGAGAGAAAAACCCCATAGCTCCTTTTCTTAGTGAAGAGTAGGTCCTCTAGATCAGTACAGTGCTTTTCAAACTTTAATGTACATCAAGCCACCTGCTGACCCAAATGATTTGAGGCAGGGCCTGAGAATTTTCATTTTTAACAAGTTTCCAGGCCCGGCCATCCTGTTCATCTGCAGATGGCACTTTGAATTATGCTATTAACAAAGTAAAAGACATTCATTTTTTCTTGAACCAAATAAATACACAAGTCAAGAATATCTGTTTCCCAAATAGCTTTGTAATCTGCTTGTAGTTGGATCCTAACTTTGTGATCCTGCCCTATTCCTTAGCAAATTAATAATGGGGCTCAGAGAAGTCCTTAAGAATTCAACTGGAGACTTGTGTATCTGAATTGTGTTTATGTGTTCATTTCTTTCATTGAACAACAACACATGTCCTAAGGACAGGGACTACACCCATCTCCATTTTATTCTCAGATCTAGCATAGCGGTGGTTAGCCATAAAATACAGTACCAAAAGAATGTATTATTTTCACTCTCTGTCTTTCAGTTAAAGGGGCCATGGATGTTTCAAGTGTCCTTAAATTGACCTCAGCAGTAACTCCTTTTCTTTGTTCTATTATTATCACTACCACTGCTCTAGTTTAGGCCTTCTTTACCTCACACATACGTGACTGCTTATCTAGTCCTACCTCTATGTTTTGGCAGAGATAGTTCCCTCTGCCTAAATTGCACTTCCCCCTGTCACCATGCACACACATGCAGGCCATACTTTATGAACAAGTCAAATGTTACCTTTTCATGAAGCCTCTTGTAATATCCCTACAGAATTCCTACTTCCCCTGAAAATCGTAGGGTTATGGACTTCCTTGTTATAGAAATAATAACTTTCTACCATGCGTTATTGTTATTTATGTTTAATCTCTTCAAGTGGTCCATAAACTATTTGAGGGAATACCAGCCTTGTTTCTCCAAGCACCTTGACATAATGCTTGACTTTAATAGGTATTCAGTAAAGATTTAATGGGTGAATGAATAAATAAATGGACGAGTAAAAGAAGAAATAACACTTAATATCTTTTTTAAGCTTAAAAGTCCCTTTGCCATTGTTGAAATACCAGTGAATTTCAAAATACTTTTTTTCAACAAGAAGGGTCACAGCAATGCCAAAGAGGCAAGTTCTAGGATTGGATTTTGATAGAAAAGTTTCCACAGTTCTATTTAGAGAGACCACGTCTTACTTTACTTTACCCAAAGGCTGGCAAATCTATTACCTTCTCTAGGGATTTTGTGATTGGGCACTGGGTTTTTAATAAGTAACTGGCAGAGCCATTCCTCAAATACAGGTTTCCATTTTAGTTTCACTTCAGTTGTGAAGCAAATTCCAAGGCTTCACTCACAATTCTGTTAGCTGTCAGTTGCCTGGTGAGAAAGCAAATCCTAGTACCCAAAGTCAAAGTTATACTCTTGGGCTTCAGGAGGCAAATATAAGCACCACCACAGAAGTCAGAAAACAAAATACCCAAGTAAAGGAGAACTGAAAACTCTCATAAAACAACCTGAGCTTCTCTACCAAACTTTAAATTGCCCTCCAGAAAATATTTTCTTCTTTGGTAACAAAGAAAATAAATTGCCTTACTTTTTAAATGCCTTCATGATGAACATAAAGAAAAGAAAAAATTGGTAGTTGTGTCTTTCAACCAACTGCATAAATGAAGAATAAATTTGTATATAGACTAAGAGGAAAATTAATGAAAGCATTTCTGGCATATTCAGATCATGTCACTCTCCTGCTCAAAATCCTGCAATAGTCCTCCATTTTCCTTAGAATAAAAACACGTGTTTACAGTGACTTCCAATCACTTCTGATGAGTCTACCATGATAGCATTTAAAATTGAAATCCTTACCTCACATACCCAGCATTCCCAATTTTCCTTACCTTGTTCTATTTTATTTTTTTCTCTTATAGCATTACCTTCTAACATTCTATATAATATACTTATTTATTTTAATTTTTAGTGTTTTCTATGTATTTCTCCTACTGGGATATGAGTTCTCTAAGGCCAAGGATCATTGTTTTGTTCACTAATATATCTCAAGCACCTAGAAGAATATATGTTGTGTAGTAGACACTCAATATTTGCTAAATAAATGACCTAGAGGTGGAAAAACAATTGAATAAAGGATTCAGGCAAACTTGCAAAAAGTTATCATGGGGGTCTTTAATCGCTTAAAGAAAAAAATGCATCCACTCAGAAACAGTGCAATTAAGTTACAAGTTTAAGGCTGTTTTTTCTGCTGTTGTTTTACAAAAAGGTGCTAGTATTGAAGCTGTCTTATCCAAGAGATCATCATTGCACTCAAGGAACTGGTCTGACTGATTTTTATTCTTCAACACATGGACCAGTTGTTTAAACAGAATTGATTTCTGATTTCTTTGGTATCCAGGGGAAACAGCAAAAATGTCTCATTCTTATTTGGATTAGTAGAACAGCGGTTCTCAAACGTGAGCTTGCATCAGAATTACAAGGGGTGCTGATTAAAACACAGATTGCTGGGCTCATTCCTGGACTTTCTGGGTTGGTATGCTTGGATTGAGGCCCAAGAGTTTGCATTTCTAACAGAATTCCAGGCAATGTTGCTGCTGGTCCTGGGATCACACTTCAAGAACTACCGTGATAAAGAATTCTAAGATATCAAGTCACATTCAATTATTTTGAACATTTGGTCCTATAATCTTTATTCTATTGGCATATTGTTGCACGAACATCTAGCACTATTTTTGTTATGATATTTTTCACGGCGAGGAGTTTTTTAACCTCCTGTGAAAGTCCTACTGCAACTCTGTCATTTTATTCTTCACTTTCTTAAGATCTTGCTCCTCTGTAATTATACCAGATGGTGCTGCTCAGTAGCTTATAAGGGAGTGATGCTTCATCATTCTAGACAGAGAGACAAATCACTCTGTTCTCTGACTTTTGAATCAAGAATCAACATTTGTGTGTATGTTCAACCTGCTATTTGCTTTGCAATTTTGCTCATTAGGTATTTATTACCCTGACAGTGTATGAGTTAGTCATTTTCCTTCTGCCGTGTAGTTCAGATTAGCACTGTTTGACAACTGCCATCATCACAGCATTACCTCCAATAATATGTAATTTCTTTTTTGCCTATGTTATCTGGGTGAGGTAGTTATCTAGGAAGTATATCTACAAACGGAAGATCACAAACAGCATTCAGTTCTCTGACTTATCATGTTAGAAATGGATAACTAGGGCCATTTCCTTGGAGTTTCTAGCCCTGCGATTGGCATTGCTGAAAAGAAAGGAATATTATGACCAAAGCCAAGCGTTCTTTTTCATTTATTGTATGCTTTTTTTATGAAGAAGGTGGTATGAGGGAAGCATACAATTTAATGAGAAGCATTGAAAAAGAACAGAAACATTTATTAAGCTCTACTGGCAAAATGGATAGGCAACCCTTTACAGAAACATGGAAACCATGCAGAGCAGAGAACTGGTTAAAATTTAGAATGTGGAAAACAGTCTTATCTGAGATATTCAACAATTGGAGCAAAAACATATTTTCTTTTTCTTTATAATCTTCACTAAAAGGAGAACTAAAGTTATTACTAGATAACTCATGCAAAGGCACTATTACAGGCATGTAATAACATTCTTCTGACGTGAATAGGTTGTTTATTCTCTCCTAAAATACTTCTCTACACAGTTTTAATATTAAACTTATGAAATTTTCTTGAACTTTTGTTGATTGGAGGGTAGTAGAGAGAGAAGGGGATATAGTTGGGAGCTTTTGGGAAGGATTGTCAATCTATCTTAATTCTTCTAGTTGATAGTAGATTTTTGACCATTAAATCTTTACTAACAAAGGTGTTAATATCCTCGTAATGAAATGAGTGTCCTACACTACATCAGCTGTATCATTGTGGAGGTACAAAAGCTCCGAAGGTAAATGCAAAACAAAGAATGGTTGCTATTCCAAGGTGACTTTTTCATGACATGTTCTATATTTCTGATATGTCTTCTAGTCTTAACCTGTGAGTTCATAGCAAACACAGTTGGTTTTATTTAGGAGTGCATTAAATTTTATTCCATTGAGCAAATTTCACTTTTGCTTCATAGTGATTGTAATTAATTTGCTCTTTATCTTCTCTTTATCTTTACTTCACTCATTACTCATCTGACAGCTCGCCATCCCATCTTAATTGGGAGAGAAGACCCTTCCAAAAGTGAACCATTGGCAGTTCTGTCATCTGGAAAGAGATACATAAAATGTGTTAAGAAACAGAAATGACTATATAACTGGTTCATCATATTTCCTTAGCAGGTGGATTCTTGGTGGGCAAAGATCATGTTCCTGGTGCTTTTGCTGCCAAGCACATTGTGGGTGTTCAATAAATATTAAATAATAAGAAGAGTTTCCTAATTAAGATGAACATTTTTCTCTATTAAGCAGATGGTGCTCAATAGGAGTAACCCATTATTTATAAGTATGACACAAGGTGCTGGCAATTGTTGAGGAAATGTGGCTCTCACTTCAGATGCTGATTATATGTTAAAGCAAACTTTTGTGACAAACAGCTTGGTCGATATTAGTTAATGTTTGTGATTAAAACTGTTACTAAAGATGGACTTGTGTATGTAGGTCTGTAATTCTGCTGTTTTGATTCTTAATATTGGCTTCACCTATTCAAGTATTTCTGGCTATTTGATGCAAGGCAAGTTTGGGCAAATCAGTGTATACCTGATTTTACCCCATAGGTTCACCATTTGATTTGAATTCTCATCCTTGTCTGATTTCTAAAGAGATTTTTGTTTTGAGTCCTTTGAGTCTCTTTGTGGTTGCTAAAGCTAGATGTGAACACCTCCGTGATATTTGCAATGCTTATATTCGTAGCTGAAATCTCAGTGGAACTAAGGAGAGTTAATTAGGCATTCCCAAAAATACACATCGTTTTATGATTTTGCAGATCACCCCGATGAAAATAACAGTTTAATTTTGTCAAGTCATGTAAATTATAGTGAGAGGGATGATGAGAGTTCTCAGCTCTTTGGAGAAGTTAATTTTGTTGTCAGCACATCCACATTTCAAAAATCACAAACTAGAGGCAGAACTTTTCAGTGCCAGTGAGATTTGGTGATCAGATACTGTTTTCATTTCTAATGTCTGCCTTCTGTATAGCGCCTATGCAAATAGGGGCTTTCAAGGATGCAAAAGTAGCAACTTCCCCTATTAGGAGCGTAACTAGCAGCTGCTGTGTTTCTCATAAAAGAGAAAACATCCTGTTTACTAACATACAACCATACGCCCTCACCCGCGTACACTCACACCAAGCTCTTTTTTTAAGGCAGAGCTTTTATTTTGGTTTGAGATAGGCAGCACAGAAATGCAGTCTTTTACAAACATTCCTTGAGCACATATCCCCTGGGTGCTAAGTAGGTGTCAGTCATTGTTCTAGATGTGGGGAATCCACTGATACTTGAAACACATTCTCTAATTTTACTGGGAACTCGTCGGAACTTCTGACATTCATTGGCAAGTTCTTTGCATCTGGTCTCACCTCCTTATTTTTAATATTTATAAACCATGTTCATCAGGATGTCAGTAGAGAAGAAATGAAAGTAGCTGAGAAACCTTGCCGAGAGAGACCAAATCTCAAAGTGAACTAAAAATGTCTTGACCACAAGGATAGAAAGTGAACTAAGATATGTTCTTGAGGCAGCAAAAATAAGTATTGTGCCAAAATCCAGGCTTTACCTCAGTGTCAGATAATCAATGGACTAGAGATTTCACTGTGTTGCCCACAGCCCTGTTAAGAAATCAAGACCATGTGCTTTGTCTATAATCCTGGAGTCAGCCCAGAAGATGAGCTCATAAATATGTTAGCTTAAGTAAAGTTTATGATAATATAGACGATGAATCATCTTCCTGTTTTGAAAAGCATATATTCTATAACTCAGGATTTCTGGAGTCCCTCCAGAAATCTACATGACTTTTGCCCCATTTTCTTTAGGTCTTGATTCAAATGTCGCCTTATAAGAGAGCCCTTTTTTGACAACACTCTCCCACCCCCAACTCTCCCTTTTCTGCTTTTCAAACTCTATTTTCCTTTATGTTACTTGTTATGGCCTGATATGTGTTTGCTATTTTCTGTCTTCCCTTATTAGACTGTAAGCACCATGAGGGCATAACTTGTTGTTTACCTCTCTGCCCCCTCAAATAGCATCTGACACACATAGGTGACACTACCCAGTTGTTGAGTGGGTAACATGAGGTTGTTTGGGATTGTTAGTTCATTATCCTAGGCCTACACAGGGTCAGCATCACCAATATCGCTGTCTTCCACCTTCACATCTTGTCTCACTGGAAGATCTTCAGAGACAACAACATGCATGGAGCTGTCATCTCCTATGATAGCAATGCCTTCTTGTGGAATACTGCCTGAAAGACCTGCCTGCAGCTGTTTTACAGATATATATATATATATCTGTACATATATATATATATAGGGAGAGAGAGAAAGAGAGAGAGAGAATGCCCTCTAAAATAATGATGAAAAATAAAGTAAATACATAAGCCTAGTAACATAGTTGTTTATTATCATTATCAAGTATTATATACTGTACATAATTGTATGTGTTATACTTTTATATGGCTGGACATGCAGTAGTTTACCTAAACCAGCATCACCACAAACACATGAGTAATGCGTTGTACTATGATGCTATGACAGTTACGACATCAGTTGGCTATAGGAATTTTTCAGCTCCGTTTATAATCCTATGAGACCATGGTCATATATGCGGCTCATCTCTGACTGAAATGTCACTGTGTGGCACATGATTGTTTAACTTTCATGAGAGATTCTGATAACCAGGGGAACATTGAGGTGATATAATTTAATCCAAAAAAGTAGATGTTTCAAATAAGATTTTGTATTGGGTAAATAAATGATTACTGTTTGGCTTTTTGGAATTTCATGCATAGCTCAAGAATCTCTGTTGCCAACTTCATGGTCTCCTTAGTGGTACAGAGATCTCAGCAAAGAAACTCAGAAGTGAGCACAACACACTTATTTAATGGGTAAGGAAACCTAAGACCAGGGCAAATCTAGTGACTTTCTCAAGTCCCACCTCTTGTAGTGAAACTTCATTCATGGGGTCTTATGAATCCTAGGCTAGTGTCATGTTTACTGGCTCACAAGGACTGCCACCATTGAATTGAGCACCAGGTTGAGTATTTCTCAAATGTGCTCTGGGGACCATCTGCTTCAGAATCTTCTGGAGGGTTCTGCTAGAAACATAGCCTCTCAGCCCTGTGGATTCAGAACCTCTGGGAATGGCTCTGCATTTAAACAGTTCCCCAAGTGTGTCTTACACATTCCTATGCCTGGAGAACCAGTGACCCAATATGTGCAAGGATTCTTGATTCTCCTCCATGGAAAAATAAAAAAATTAATCGTATCTCCAAACTATATGAGTACATATCTATCGAGAACCTGGACCAACAGTTTTTCTTGGGGAGGGACACTGGTCCATATTAAAATTAGGTTAGTTTTACCATCAAGTTGGATAATATGAGCTACTTTGAACTTTTGGGCTTAAATCTATCTAGTTCATTAATTTCTGCCACAAAATTTTTAAGTGCACATTGCCAGGAATTCAGAGATAACTGAGACAACCCCATTGCAGTTGGGGGAGACAGATATAGTTTCACAGGGCTACAGAAAAGCCCCGAAGGGCCTGTCTTGTCTCCATGTGAGACCTCAGAACCATGTAATGCAACCAACCTTAGTTGCATAGTAAGTAACCAACCAGGTGTGTATAGTAAGCTGCATTCCTAAATGTCTTTCTATAGTTCTGGACATCTCTCTAAGTCCACCAAATAGTCTCAGTCTTCACACAAAGAATAGTGAGGAGATCTGTTTATTCTCAGAGTTAGTGGACAAAAGCAAATATTCTATTAGATGTTATTAGTATTATTATTGTTATTATTTTCAGGACCTACATCCAGCCCCTTGTTGCCATAATCGCTATCCAATCACACTGCCCTTTTCCTTTGTTATAATAAATTTCTCCCACTCTTCATCATCTTTGAGGATGAATCATACGGTTCATCAGCATCTTACTTCCTGACATACAACCCTGAAATTGAACAATTCAAAAAATTTCCCAGAAATGACTTTGTGGGATTTTAATCTAATTCTCTGAATGGTGAAAACTCTTTAAGACATTTTTCAAAGGCCAGGTTTTTAAATATTTCATACCATGGAAACTGTCTTAGGAAAGAGTTGGGGACTTAAGGTCACAAAAAATGAGAAAAATTATACTTGAGAAAACCTTGTAAACTAGAACTTCTTGTAAGAATATTAATATGTTATTTTTATCCATCTTAAAATTTCCTCAGGCGTGTGCTGAATGAGCCTACTTCATGGTTGTAGTTTTGTTGTTCTTTCCACGTTATTTTGCAGTTCTCCCTGTGGCCATCATATTGATTTTAACACTGTGGTCATCATTATAGGAAAATGGAGGCATTAATAACTTGGTCTCTGTGGACAGATTGTAATAGAAAACCTTATAAATAATTGCCCACTAATGGGAAAATTGAAAATATGCACTGTATTATAATGGTCATAATGTAATCATTAAAATTATAATTATGTGACAATGAAAGAACTCATTATGCATTAGTTTATCTTTACATAATGCTAATAGCTAATGAAAGTGTGACAATTAGATCTAATTAAGTTTAACAACATTTCTGCACTTCTCGTAAACAGGCTATGTTTTGCCAGAAATTGTATATGCGGAGACATTAGTGATACCGAGGTCCATCTCATATAATATGAGTTTTGAAATGTAACCATCAGTCCTATGAAGAACCTTAACTTTATAATGCCTTTTTGTTAAATGAACTGGAAGTATGAGTCTTTACTAAGGGTAGCTTTATAAAAAAGTTTCTCAGATTGTGTCATGTTTTAGTTAAAAATAACAATTAGTCCTTCCTCTTCTACTAATCTGTGCTTATATATTTGTGTGTGTGTATGTGTATGTATGTACTTGACTCATCTGTGTTTTGTTTTTAACAATAGAATTGTTATACTGAATTCTCAAGTTAGAGGTTTGATTGATTGATGATAATGAATCAAGTAGATGTTGGTTTCTTGTCATAGATTATAGCATATAACAGTCCACCATGTCCTATCTGTATGATCTAGGTCAAGTGTAAACTCTCTGTGCTTCAGTTTTCTCATGTATAAAGTAGTGTCTATACTTTTGTTAGAATTAAACTAGAAATTTATAAATTTCTTAGCCTGGGCATAGCACATGGTGCTAGTATTTACTATTATTAGTAGGAATTATTTTATATCTATATCATAATATCAAGAAGAATTCCAGCTAGTATCACTTTTCCTCCACTGACATTTTATTGCATTGCACATTTAGATAATCATCCAGACTTTTATTTTTCCATCATTTAGAAAAATCATTACATACATCATATTGAAAACAGTATAGGGACCTTCAATATGTGCTCAACATATTCTTCAGAGTGGAGTTTTAAGACTCTTGAGCACTGGAAGACATTGGCCTTGTCACCAGGGTTTCCAACTGCTCAGGTTTCACTTACAGAATGATAGACTGTGAGCTCAACTATGAATGACTCTTGGCCGCTCTCATCAGTCTTGGATCATCAGGAAGCCTCAGAAAACAGAGACTGTTCAAGTAAATACAGGTAGAAATTGGCAAACTCAGTCACTTGCTACCATGCTTCCAAAAAGCCATGATACTGGTCTTTACTTTTCTACCATTCCTTTTATTGATATATGTTCAGTACAAATGAAACATTCTCTCCCCAAGAGGACTCATTCACTTCCATAAGTCAACCATCACTGCTACGTCTTGTCTCCATCTCTGCTATCACTTCTAAACATTGGTCTCTAAAACTAGGTTGGCCTTTAGGCATTTTCTGTGTGAAATTCAATCTGTTTAAATTTGACTTATCTTTCCTAACGAAAATGTAATTGAGTTACCAAGTCCACAGTCACTTACTTCAAAATATTCTTTGATTATATGCTTTGTTTCTATCTCGAGGCTCTCATTGTCTCAGGTCTAGACTATGAAAATAGTCTCCATCTATTCTCACTGCTTTCCATCTTTTGCCCTTCAATCTGCATTTTATACTTCCACCAGATTAATCTTCCTAAATCACTTTTACATTTCATTCACCTACCCACAAAACTCTGATGGTTCTTCATTGCCTTTAGTTTCTTTTATCTGGCATTCTTGTCCCTCAAAGAATTTTGTCCAGCAATTTTTCTAAGTTTGTTGCCAACTAGTCCCTACAGTTGTTCTCTGGCCCAACCACATGGGTCTGCTCGTTATCTCCAGATACACATTCTAAGCTTTGCATCTTTGCTGACCCTGTTTCTCAGCTGAAATGCTGTTCCTTTTCTACTCTTGTCAAATAAATCATTTAAGGCATAGCTCAAGAGTTGACTTTTTCCATGCAGCTCTCTCTAACAGCCCCATTTATCCCTCCCTCCTACGAATTCCTCAAGCATTTATTTTTCTCGCCCTGTATCTTGCACTTGTACAGGCTAGTTTGGCTGCTTCTTATCTTTTATGTACAGTTCCAGCTGGCCAATGGGATTGGCAATATTGGAAGCCCCTCAAGGCTGTTTTTTCATCTCTCTGTGCAGAGTTCTCAGTGTATATTAGGTCCTTAACAAATATTTTTTTATGAGAGTGTCAATTTCGTAAGCACTTGAAGATAGTACTAAAAAGCCTTCTTGCCACTTGGTTCTGCCTGGAGCTGATTTCATACTTACAAAGTAATGATTTCTGAGCCTTCTGCTTATAGAAATCGTGTAAAGCCTCTTGGTAGAATGAAGCATGATGCCCTCTACCCTGAACTCAAAGACCTTTTTGGGAAAGTATTATTTTAGCTGAGAGTTTAAGGGAGAGGACAGACAGATTCCTGTGATGCAGAGATCAGCATCACAGCCCTGGCAGCCCCCTCCTCTTGCTGAGAACAGCTGTTTCAAATGCCCATTTTAGAAGGGCCCTTAACTTTCCTTAGGGCTGCTAAGAGCAAGTTCTGGATCACCTGTAGCTGCTGCTGCTTAGATAACCCCAGAAACAAAAGCAGGTGAACACTGGGTATGCTTGCCTCAACTTTGCCACTAACTAGTTAAGCTTGGGAAGCCAGCTCACTTCCAACAGTCTCAAATGCTTTATCTCCTCTGCCCTAAAGTGGGTGAAGAGCTCCAGAATTAAAATTTGATAATTTTTACTTTATTTTTAAATCAAAGGTAGCTGAAAGTTGAATTTTGATTAAAAAAATAAAATTCAAGACAAATCCACCTGAATTTTGTAGCTCTTCATTTCATAGATGTAAATCTATCACAAATTATCATTCTGTCTTTCTTTCTGTCTCTCAGTTCCTCTCCCTTTCTGTCTCTCTCATACACATGCACACATATACACAAAATATTCCATAAAATCAGTTTTTACCAGAAATCTCTTTCATGCTGGTTCTCCTCTATGTAGAAAGAGCTACAAATGAAATGGAACATGGGAATAGAACAAGAAGCTGATTCTCTTTTAAATTGCCTTATTTGTTTTTTCTTTGGGAAGTCCGAATTTTTGAAGACTTAATACAACCCTGCCCCAATATAAACTGTCTCTCGCATTATTAACATCCCCCCCGCCCAGAGTGGTACATTTGTTACAACTGATGAACCTGCAGTGACACATCATTATCCCCCAGAGTCCACAGCTTACATTAGGCATCACTCTTGGCATTGTACATACATTCTATGGGTTTATACAAATGTATAAGGACATGTATCCACCATTATAATACAGAATAGTTTCACTGTCCTAAAAGTCTTCTCTGCTCTGTCTATTCATCCCTCTCTCTCCCCTAACCCCTAACAACCAATAATCTTTTTACTTTCTAATTGTTTTGCCTTTTCTAGAATGTCATATACTTGGAATCATACAGTATGAATCCTTTTCAGACTAGATTCTGTTACTTAGTAATATTACACTCCTTTAAATTTCTTACTTATTACACCCATTTAAAGTTCTTCCATGACATTTCATGGCTTGATAGCTCATTTGTTTTTAGTGCTGAATAATATTCCATTGTCCGAATTGTACCACAGTTTATTTATCCATTTATCTACTGAAGGACATCTTGGTTGTTTCCAAGTTTTGTCAATTATGGATAGAGTTGCTATAAATATCTGTGTGCAGGTTTTTGTGTGCATGTAAATTTTCAACTTGTTTGGGCAAAAAAAATGTTTTATGTTATACGCTGAAAAATGCTGGCTGAAATATGTAGCTAAGTTGCCTTTATTGCCTTTTTTTTTTTTTTTTTTTTTTTTTTTTTGAGACAGAATCTCACTCTGTTGCCCAGGCTGGAATGCAGTGGCACAAACATGGCTCGCTGAAGCCTTGACCTCCTGGGCTCAAGTGATCCTCCCTCCGTAGCCATCCAAATAGCTGGAAATACAGGCGTGTGCCACCATGCCTGGCTAATTTTTAAATTTTTTTTGTAAAGACAGAGTCACTCCATGTTGCCTAGGCTGGTTTTGAACTTCTGGGCTTAAGTGACCCTCCCACCTTGACATCCCAGAGTGCTGGGATTACAGGCGTAAGCCACCATGCCCAGCCTACTTTTGTATTCTCTTATAATGTTGAGTGACTTACCTTTTGGGAGTTATAGATATTAGATACAACTTGAAGTCTTTTTCCTTCATTTGTACCATCAAAAGATGTTTTCGGTGTTCAATGAAAATTGTTTCAAAAGGAATTTGGCAGTCCCCAGGCTTCTACAGGCGGTTTTGAGGATGAAATGTGGGGGCATCTCCATTCTCATTATGTTGATTTCTCCTTGTGACAAAAACCTTTTGCCACCCCGCCTGCTTCCCCTCTTGTGCTCTGTCTTTTCTCTCCTCTTTCTTTCTGCTACCTGCTCACTCTGTTTTCTCTGTATCTCTTTGTTCTTTCTCAGAGCTCTTGCCTCTGACACACTTTTTAGTGCCATCGTTTTTTGAGACAGCCTGATTTGATCACTGTCTTTTCTCTCTCCCTTTGAAAGCTTTCTCTGTTCTGTGTATTTCCTAGATTACTGGTGATACTTGTCATTCTGGTTAGATTTTGTTCCTGTTTTGATTTCATTTTTCCGTAAGATTTTTGTTTGGTTGATTTTTTTTAACCTTAAGAAAAAAAGAGATTTTTTTACTTGCATTCCACTTTTCTTTCTGTTCTGCTCTGTAACGTGAGTGTGCAATATGCTCTAAAGTCCAAAAGGATAGTTAACACAGTGGGTGGTGGGGCTATGCATAATTTCTGCCATCTTTCTTATAGCATTCTGTTTTCTGAAATTGTTTCATGGTGCATATGTACACATAATAAGAAAGAAAAAGCAATGAAACGATTTCTATTTTGACAAGGAAAAAAATCTTAATGAGAGCCTGGCTTTGGGTCTTGCCTCTAGCTCTCCATGAAACCTTTTTCTTATCTGTCTTCACCACCAAGCATAACCACAATGGCTGGCTGAGCTGGAGATGGACAGCAGTCTGTGGGGATTGTGTAAGTGATCCAATGGTTAGCTGGAACCTACCAAACTGCAAGTCATGGGTCACTTCTGTTGATTCCCCAAGGCTAGGCTCTTACTGTCAATTGTTACTAAATGGAAAAAAATGCAGAGAAATAGCACTGACTGCCTTATGAAATCTAGTACCCTTTGTTCAATATGACAATTAGTTTTGAAAGCTGCTGATGATAGCAGACAGGGGTGACATGTGATAATGCTTATTCATTATGGTAGCATCACACTGTGATTGCAGCGTTTACTTTTTATCTATTTATTCATTCATTTATTTATTTTAGCATTCTTATTGATTGCTCTTACTGATTACTGCATGCTCATTTAAGTTGCATGACAAATGCTGTTATTTGCTCACTCCTCACAGAAGGCTTCGAAAAGCAAACCATGGCAGGTCACCCAGAAACCAAGGTGGCAGGGCACTGAATAAAATGCAGCCCCCCAGATTTTCTTCCAAGTGGTGTAATCGTAAACATGGGTTAGCTCCTTTCTAAGGTGGCAGGAATCAAAGACAGAGGTAATAAACTTTGGCCAGAGAGGAGGCCTGTTTTTACATGCTTGTAAAGTTGTTTTTACATGCTTGTACAATGGAGTGTTTAAATTCACAGTCCATTGTGAACATAGGCATGGTATTTCATGACTATAAACTGTCATGTTTTAAGCACTTTGGTCTGTCAGGCTAACTAAATATAAGCCCCTGTCCTAAAGAATCAAGCTCACATAGTATGACAAATCAGCATTTTATTTATTTGTGCTAAAAGCATTTATTGAACAGCTGTGTACTAAAAATCCTGCAACAAGAAGTAACATTGAAATTTCCTTAAAGAGCTTCTTCTACTGAGGAATGTAGACATATTAACAAATAAATACAAAGTAGGATTATAAAAAAGTATTTTAGAAGAGGTAGCTATTTACAGGATAGAGTAAAGGGAGAGGTTAAAGTTAAAAAGTTAAATTAAACTATTTTTTATTGTCATATGAACAAAAGTATCTTCATGTTAAATTAAATACAATTAGCTGATATTTGTATGCATCTGCTTTTTATGAGCTGTCACTAGAAGATGACTTTTTACTGCCTTTTTTTTTCTCTGTTTTTTTTTTTTTTTTTTTTTTTTGAGACAGGGTTTCACTCTGTCACCCAGGCTGGAATGCAGTGGCAAGATCTTGGCTCACTGCAACCTCTGCCTCCCAGATTCAAGCAATTCTCCTGCCTCAGCCTCTTGAGTAGCTGGGACTACAGGCATGCATCACGAGGCCCAGTTAATTTTTGTATTTTTAGCAGAGACGGGGTTTCACCATGTTGGCCAGGCTGATCTCAAACTCTTGACCTCAGGTGATCCACCCACCTTGGCCTCCCAAAGTGCTGGGATTATATGCCTGAGCCACCGTGCCTGGCCACCATTTTATATTTTGATAATTCATATTTAGTACTCTCAGTCACTTAGTTACTCAACATCTGAGTTTCTTTATCTATAAAATTGACTTAAACGTCTATGTATTCAATATTCAAAAAGTATATTGGTTAGGAATATTTTAAAATATACAACAAAGAGGTGACTATGGAATCTAAAATCAATTTGAGAATACATATAAAGTTAAAGGTATTATAATTCTTATTAGCTTATATGTGGGGAAAACAAATGATTAAATATATGCATGTTATGAAAGAAAAATTTATGAAGTAAATATGTAGAAGCTGCAAATGGTGAGAATAATCCAGTGTCTCCTTTTTGAGAAATAAGGAATATTCTTTTTCATTTGCTAGAGCAAAGGTTAAAGAAAGTTTTAAAGACTTGATATTCCTGTATTTGGATAGATCATAGATAATCATTGTCCTGAATGCTGAGTAAACAATTGAATACATCTAAAAATGTGACATGCATTATGCTGAGACCCTGGTAGTACTCTCTCTGAATAATGTTATTTGGGCAGAGCTAAAATGACTTAACTGTAATTCCCCTAAAATTAATGTTTCTTTTTTCTTTCTGAAAAAGTAGTTTTCATAGGATTTAGACAATATTTCAGCATAACTTCAAAATAATAATAAATTTGATGTGTTCATGGTTGCATTGGTAATTAGTTTCAGCTGATAAATATCTGTGGCTCATAGAGAATAGCAACCAACAACAGACCTATCCCCTTATGCTTCAATCTTTTCTTTTTTTATTTTTTTTTTTAATGTTTTATTTCCATAGGTTATTGGGGAACAGGTGGTATTTGGTGACATGAGCAAGTTCTTTGGTGGTGATCTGTGAGCTTTTGGTGCACCCATCACCCAAACAGTACACACTGCACCCAATTTGTAGTCTTTTATCCCTCACTCCCTTCCCACCCTTTCCCCCAGAGTTGCTTCACCCTTTTCTAAAACTCTTTAATATGGAGTAAAAGCCAAAATCACTTTTTTTCATTTTTAAAACACCTTTGAATAAAATTTGTAATCCAATCTCTTTTGTATTAAAGCATTCGAATGCAAAAAGTGTAAATTTTGTCTGTGTGTGTCAGTTTGCAATTTCCTAAACTCACTTAAGCTCAAATTGCTAATAATTAAATGAGACTGAGTTCGAAGATAGATTAAAGGACAGCTGATTGAGGATGGCAGTAATTCCTAAAGGACCCAAAAGTTCATCAGAATATCACATTTAGGAAACTGCTGGTCATTAAGGTGTTAGGTTGTGAATTTGAGCCTCAATGGATGCTGCTTTCTTTTAGAATGAATTACCAGGTGGTTATTGAGGTATACTGAGTCAGGATTTTTTAATTTAATGAGTGCTGTGTAACACTTAAGAAATCAAGGCCAACATTTTTATTTTTTACCTGTTTGTGGTGCATCAGCCATTATTTAATACATTAAACATTGGAAATAAGATCTTAACCAAAAATACAGATTTTAACCAAAAACATAAATGTTGGGGCTTTTTAAAGCATTTAATGAATCCTTAGTTTTGTACCAGGTACCGTGCCAATTATTTTTCTTACATTATATCATTTAATTCTTACAATAATTTTTCCTTCATGAGGAAAAATATCCTCCCTCCCCTTACAAGGAATTGAGACATAGTGATGCTGTCTTGAATGCTGGGTAAATAACTGAATAAAGTCACATTAAGTAGAGTCCAAACTTAGCTTCATTTAGGATAATATTCAACACATTTGGGGAATTTTTTTAAGTTGTTCCCATTTTGAAAACTGACATAACTATAATGTCATCATCATTTTTAGGAAATGAACCTTGGCATATCCTAGGAATTTTGTTTTCAATCTCCAATCCAGGTGGCATTCTGGAAAGTGGACTGTTACTCTGACCAGACATTCAGCCTGGGTGAGCTTTGCTGTACACTCAGCTGACCTACTTGTTTAAGGGTTTTTAAAACTCCTGTGTTGACAATAGTAAGCGTGACTCCCCTCTGTGTACCTGTGATCAACTGAATGTACAATATTACAAAATAAGGGCTTCTTCTTGGTTTCTTTATGTTTTTTCCTTAAGTCTTCACATCCTTAAAGGAAATGTATTTTATAAAATTAAGTCTGAACGAGAAAGCAAAGCCCCATCTAACAGAAGAGATCGTGTCCTTGGAAGATGATTTCTTCATCTCAGCTTTCTCAGGTCTCTCGAGATATTTATTCATAGCCCTCCTATGGAAACACAGGGTTCTCAATGTGAGCAGCTCTGTTAGGTTTCATGTCATTGCCTCTCAGCAGCCCTGTTCAGTAAGATTTTCAGTGTCTGATTGTTCTTATAATCAAATGTGCTTTTCCGATTTCCAAGGTAAATTTGCTTTCTAATAAATGTAACATTCGTTGGTGCCCAATGAAGTCTTTTTTTTTTAACTTGTCAAATTACTTAGTACAGAAAAATAGCTATAATTCTTTTCTTTCTTTTTTTTTTCTCTTTTTTTTTTTTTTGAGACGGAGTCTCGCTCTGTCATCAGGCTGGAGTGCAGTGACATGATCTCGGCTCACTGCAACCTCTGCCTCCCGAGTTCAAGCTATTCTCCTGCCTCAGCCTCCTGAGTAGCTGGGACTACAGGCACGCACCACTACGCCCAGCTAATTTTTTTATTTTTAGTAGAGTGGGTTTCACCATGTTGGCCAGGACGGTCTCGATCTCTTGACCTCATGATCCACCCGCCTCAGCCTCCCAAAGTTCTGAGATTATAGGCGTGAACCACCGTGCCTGGCCAAAATAGCTATAATTCTACATTAATAATAATATTAATCATTTTGTTTCATTTGGAACTTTTTTCAATTTTGCATTTTCTCAATTTCTTAAGGTCGATTCTAAGAATTTACTTGGTAAATCACAGGTTCTCAATAAGTATTTTGAAAATTAACGTCAAAATAAAAAGAACTGAACACTCCAGGTATAGAGAAGGGTTCATTTAAACTTATTTTCTCTAAGATGATCGATCTTCTACATTTTTTAAATGAAATGAGATGCTATAAAACAACATATTCTGACTTTTTTTTTTTTTCAGTGAGACAGAGTCTCGCTGTGTCACCCAGGCTGGAGTGCAGTGGCGCGATCTCGGCTCACTGCAAGCTCCACCTCCCGGGTTCGCGCCATTCTCCTGCCTCAGCCTCCTGAGTAGCTGGGACTACAGGCGCCCGCCACCGTGCCCGGCTAATTTTTTGTATTTTTAGTAGAGACGGGGTTTCACCGTGGTCTCGATCTCCTGACCTTGTGATCCACCCGCCTCGGCCTCCCAAAGTGCTGGGATTACAGGCGTGAGCCACCCCGCCTGGCCCATATTCTGACTTTTTAATAGATTACTTAATTATATTTAATTCCTAGAAACCTCTTCAACATCCTTGTATGAGATTCACATCTGTAGGTTCTGCCTTTCTTATATAAGGTAGGATAAAATCTTTTTATTCTTTCTCTTCCATTCTTCTCTTTTTATATCTTTTGGCACCTTGTGCTCTAATATAAGAACACTTTAAGCTTCTCTTCTTGCCTTTATGCTCCTGAATACGTTTTCTTCTACCTATAATTCCAGTTCCCATCTCACCTCCTCAGTACCTCTCCTCTGAGCCAAATCTGGTGTTTCCTTGATGCTCAGAAATGGCACCTCCTCCACAAACCCTCCCTGCTATGCCCATGTCTAGGCAGAATATTTCCTTCTTTCCTCAGGGCTGTTACCTTTCTGGAGTACTGGACAGGATAGTTATTAAAACAAATGGTTTTTTAGTCAAATGGTTATTTGACCTCCTGACCAGCTAGAATGTGAGCTTTCTGAAGAGCAAGGGGCAGTTTTATTCTTTTTGTGTCTGCAACACTATGCTCAATAAATATTAATTTGGAAGTGAGAAAAGTGATGTTATGATGAGTTAAAGTTTTCATGGTTCACTTTTTCTTCTTTGAAATAAGGACTCAATTGTTCATTGCTGCATACCTTTCTTGAAGCCTGAAGTAGATGTTGAGATGCTGTCTTTGAAAATGTCTGAAGATTTTTCCATGATAATGTGGAGACTCTCTACCTAAACTGTTGTCCAGGATAAGTGATCTCCAAGGGAGGGCATGAAATGGCACATATCACTGGTTTCCCTGTGACAGCTGCAGGAGGAACACCCTGGAGTAATGGTGCAGTGGAGAGTCTTTGCCAAAGAGTTACTGTCAAAACTGAACTAAGCTGTTCCAAGAGGCTCTTAACTCTCCCTAATACGTATGGCTTAAAATAAAACGTGGTGTATACAAATGAAAAAAGGAAGTTTGTTTAAAAAGGTCCGGGGCTTTGAAAAGCTATGCTTTATGTTTTCAATTTAGGAGTGTATAAGGCCTTTGGTTATTGCTGCAGGTTGAAGAATGTGCTTTAACAAAAGTATACCAGCTCAGAAACCATTTCTGTCCTCTCATCTACCCACTTTCCTTTCCATTCAGGTGCCACTCAACCCATTTTGGCAACCAACTAAAGATACAATAGCATACACCCTGTTAGGAAAATCTGTAGAAAATGTAGCTACAGTTTTTTTTATCTGGGTTCATGCAGTTAGTAAACACTAGTTAAGCACAGACTAAATGTAAGGTACAGTGCTGGGCAGTGAGGACTGAAGGGCAAATGAGATAAGGAGCTTGTCACACACCAGACTGAACAAGTAGCAAATACAAGAGTCTACAGTAGAAAAGATGGCAGAATTAGTTCTGACTGATCAGAAGCAGCTTCCACTTACCATCAGTGTCACTTTGTACACATTAACCTCTATGTGCCTCACTTTTCTCTTTCATAAGTAGAGATGATAATACTACCTCATAGGATTGTAGTAAAGATTAAATTAGTTTATATGTTGTTATAAACGTGTTTACGTATGTTACATGTAGTAAAGATTAAATTATTTTCTATGTTCAAACAGACCCTGACATCTAGCATGTGCACAAGAGAATATAATTATATTTCGTTTTACAAAAGATATTGTGGACTTTTTACAAGGCAAATGGCAAAGAGCTTCCTAGGCAGAGGCCAATAACCTGAGTAAAGAGACGAAGCATGGAAGTATGAAGTGTGCTGAAGGAGTTCAGTGTTGCTAAAAATTTCTTTAATGGAAAAGAGTGGAGAGATGTCCTGGAAATAGACTTAGGTGCCAGATCAGAAAGGGCATATGTGTCAGATCAAGAATTTGTGACCCTAATGTTTACATTTTCGAAAAGTAAGCCTTGTGGCAAAAAATGGAGTTTTGTGAAAGAATGTAGCCATGGAGCTCAGTGACTAACTGCTTATTATAACAGCCCAAGTTGGAGATGATGGGGCCAGAATGGGGACATGCTGTCCATGTCGATGACAACATGAACTAGGATTTGAAAGCAGAGATTATGCCAAGGGCAAAATATCCACTGCAGGTGTATCCTTTCCCTTTTCTAGAAAATAGAACTGTATTTTGTAGAATCTTTTTGTTCTTCATCAAACTCTGTTTTTAGACTTTTACCTTCAAACCACCCAAGAACATTAGAGCCTCATAAACTATAAATGATTAATTTTATGACTCACTATTTAAAGCAAATGGAAATTTTAAACTTGTTTTTATCATGAGAGTCCCTGTCTGGCAATAATTGGGCAAAGAAGGCAAGATAAAAAACGGATTTTTCTTCAGGATCTGCTAAGTAGAAACAACAACATAGAGGCTGGGCGCAGTGACTCATGCCTGTAATCCCAGCATTTTGGGAGGCCAAGGTGTGTGGATCACCTGAGGTCAGGAGTTCGAGACCAGCCTGGCCAACATGGCAAAACCCAGTCTCTACTAAAAATACAAAAATTAGCTGGGCATGGTGGGGTGTGCCTGTAGTCCCAACCACTTGGGAGGCTGAAGCAGGAGAATCACTTGAACTTGGGAGGTGGTGGTTGTGGTGAGCTGAGATCATGCCACTGCACTCCAGCCTGGGCGACAGAGTGAGACTATGTCTCCAAAAAAAAAAAAAAAAAAAATAAGAGAAAGCAACATAGATGCTGAACTTTAAGGAAATGTGATATAATATGGACTTGCTCAACATAAACTATTGAAAAATGTGTGTAGTTATAATTATTATTGTAATGATCATAAATATCATTTACTGGGCCCTTACTATATGTCAAGCATATATTATATTACTTATGTAACGTGTAGTTTATTACCTACATTATCTCATTTTGTCATCTCAATAATCCTATGAGGCAGGTATAATTATTGTCTTCATTTTACAATAAGGCAAGTGAAGCTCAGAAAGATTATGAGACTTGCTTAAGCTAGCAGAGGAAGGAACTATAGGAAAAAAATGTGGTCAAGGCAGAACTCCAACCCAGATCTGATTTTTTTTCATTTTTAATTTTTATGGAGAGATAGTAGATGTACATATTTATGGGGTACATGAGATGTTTTGATTCAGGCATGCAATGTAACGTAATTACAGCATGATGAATAGGGTATCCATCCCCTCAAGCATTTATTCCTTGTGTTACAAACAATCCAATTACACTCTTTTAGTTATTTTAATATGTATAATTAAATTATTGACTATAGTCACCCTTTATTCTATCAAATAGTAGGTCTTATTCATTATTTCTAATTTTTTGTACCCATTAACCATTCCCACCTCCCCCCACCCTTCCACCAGATCTGATTTTAGAGTCCACACACTTACCTGTCCTGCACTGAGAGCACCCAAAAACATTAGCAGCAAATCTGGTTCTTTCTCTGGCCCAGCTCCCTGAGGACACATATTAAAAGGATAAGCTTCTTTGATGTCAGCCACAATCTTCAAAGTCTTTTAATTTCTCTAAACAATGAGTAGAAGGTCTCTCATGCAGGAATTTATCAGAGGCTTTGTGAGCTTATTTATGTTCATCCACTGTAATAAATACTAGTGTGCAGGTGCATGGGGCAAGTAGTGCAACTGAGTGAGAAAAGAACTCAGAAACATATGAGAGGCTGAGACCTTGAATTGTGTGTCCTGAGTCAGGTAAATTTATCTCAGTTGCAGTTTCCCCTTCCATAAAATGAGTTTATGTCCATTTCCCTTTATAATTCAATGATTAGTCAACTCTAAATTTTGCCACCTGAAGTGTATCTACAGAAATACTCCATTCCAGATTGATTCAGTCCTCTACCCAAATTGTCTCCCCCATCAGTTGATGTGTATGTAAGGACTACACACTAATTTTCACATTTCCACAAGCAAAACACAAAGGTAAACCTGATGCCTCCCAAGTAATGCTGTATCTGCTATCACCAAACATAAATGATTTTCTGATTTTCCACTCTTTTGGAATATCTGCATCACTGTTGGCTTTCATTAGCATGACAGTTCAGAGGTGATTGTACTAAATTTTACTTTGTACACATCCTAGTGGCAATGTATTTGTGCTGTGATATAATTCATTTCATGATTTAGTGAGTCATGATGGAAAAAAGTATTAGGTACTTCTTTTTCTCAATCAACCAAGAACACATCCTACTTTTTCCATCTGTTCCCGGCAACAGATGTGTTATTTGACAAGAACCCACTGATTTGTACCCTGCCTGGCATATTAGACTCATACCACTGAACAACAAGGTACCTGGCTTAGTGGGCACCTTGGCATAGTCCCTTTTAGGACCCCTCCTTTGGTTTTCATAAACAGAATGTTACTGCCAATCATAATATGTATTTTGTAATGGAATTTAAGATTCAGAGATTTGAGTAGAAACAACTTAGCTATTCCTCCTCCATCAGACTCCTGCTGGATACAGCCCTCATTTTCTCACACGTAGGACTGATAAGGAAGATCAAAATGGTCTCCTACTGTGTTTAAAATCTTTACTTTTCACTCTTTAAATTACTGGCTTTCTGTAACTTCCTTCTGTGTTTTCTGACATCTACAGTTTCACAATTATTATTCTTCAAGATTTGTCTTCCTTGAAGTCTCCATTTTTGAAGTCTGGGAGGAGCACCAAACTTGGTTTTATTCCATCACATTTAGTGATAGACTTCTTCTTCTGTTTTTTTTGTTGTTGTTGTTTTGTTTTGTTTTTTAAAGACAGGGTCTCACTCTGTCCAAGCTGTAGTGCAGTTGTGGTGGATCATAGTTCACAGCAGCCTCAATCTCTTTAGCTTAAGCCACCCTTCTACCTAAGCCTCCCAAGTAGCTGGGACTATAGGCATGAGCCACTGTGTTATCTATGGATAAACTTTTCAATGAGAAGATCCAAGTATCTTGGCCAAACCAAAGCCAAAGGCAGACCTCTAATGAATTCAAACAGTTCTAGGGACAGCTTAAGATAAACAGTGTGATCCTACTCGGCCTTAAGAGTGAGGACGCTATCGGTTCATTCAGCCCAGAGCTAGGAGGAGTCTGCTTCCTGTCTGCAAGATGCTATTGCAGGGTCCAAGGCAGGATTTCTCAGAATTGTTGACTGGAGCAGGGAACTTGTGGCCCTTTGTAATTCCTAAGCATCTTCCTCCTTTTCTACCTTGCCCTCATCAAGAATCCTAAACCAAAAAGTATTTGGCTAAAGTGTGAAGGAGACTGTGATTCTGCTTTCTTGAAATTTTTCAAGTTCTTAAAGCACACAATATGAAGCTCTATAAAAATTATTTATGATTTCAAAAGAAAATAATTTTAAAATTAAGATATTATGATAGAAAGTAGCCTTCTAGTCTTGCCTTAGGCATGACAAAGAACTCAAGTTCCCACCTGAGAGAGATGGTGAGAATTGTACTTCACATAAATACTGTTTACTTTCACTCTCTAGGAAACTCTATAATGGGTGCCATTTGGCATTCTAATAACTGTTAGTGCAGAAAATAGTGTTTCCAATTATGTGTTCTCAACACACATTTTCATTAGAGTAGTTGGAAGCAAGGTTTCAGGTAACTGGAATTGACCTCTTACTTCTCACAGAATTAGAAGTCAAGAAGTTGGCACCTTTCTACAGATCAAGTTTTAATTTATGACAGACTTGGTCAACTACCTGGCTTTACTGTGCCTACACTCTGAGTTTCTCCTCTCCCAGTGAGAAAACTGATAGCCGCTGGCATGGCAGGCGGTCTTCCACATTTATCTTTCTAAAAGTGCACCAAACTATAGAGCCTCAGAGTTAGATTAAGGGATACTAGAAAATCCTTTCTCAATTTTCTGAGGCTGGAGTAAAGACATTTTTTTCTGTACTCTACATGTGTTCTCAAATTCTCCCAGATGGCTCCTATAACACTGGTCTAGACATTCACTTAACAATTTTCACTCAGTACCAATTCTGGACCTGACACTGTGCTAGCCACAGAGTACAGTAAACAACAGGCAAGTTCATGAAACACTGTAATGAAACTGGAGAACTCATTTTGGTTTTTTCCTTAAGAAGCAAATTAAAACGTGAAAAAGAATAAATGAGAAACTAACTGGCCAACTTGTAAGTAGAGATTAGTTTTTCTGATGCTTCCTTAACATCCTAAGTACCTAGGGATGTCCTTTACATGTCAGACACCATTGAGTACCTAGAACAGTGTCTGGACTCTGGTAGGGAGCCACTGAGGTAAGCCCTTCTCCACTTTCCATAGTTGCTTCTTCTCTGGAGAAGGAAACAGAGGAACAGCTTCTAACAGTGAGAAGAGTAACATTAAGGAACCCTCTCTGCTCTCTTGTAGCCAGATTGCAACTGTATGTCCTCTCCTTGTTAGACTGAGCCAGGACTCCCTTGCAAGGGCCCCAGGCTTACTCTGTACCCTCCCAGCCATCCCTGGCTTGGAAGATTTTGGTCATCAATCTACATTTCATATGCAATAACTTTCTCATTTGTCCATTTCCTTAATCAAAGGCATATAAAAATGCCAAGCACAGCTGCTGATTTGTCTGAAATAACCAGTACTGACTAGAAAGTTCTAGTCTAAAGCAAGGGAACATTATGTTTGTGGTTAGTATGTGCAACCTCATAACTGGTAAATCAAGAATTTCCATTAACATTTGTCAGTAGTTTTATGACTTTGTGACAACTTCAGAGACTACTGAGAACCACTTACGATGCAACTTGGGAGTGTCTCTACTAAGAAGACTTCCCTGATTCCCATGCTGGGCCAAGTGTATCCAAACACTCTGTATATAACAATCTTAGTGTTCTTGGAAGTGTAGTCCCAGATCAGCAGTAGCAGCATCTAGCATCTCCTGGGTACATGATAGATATGCAAATCCTCAGGTCTCACCCCAAATCTGCTAAATCAGAAACTGGGATGCAGACCTACAATCTTTATTTAAATATGCCCTCACAGTGATTCTGATGCACACTCAAGTTTGAGAACCCCTGCATCCTATTAACAAATACATCATGTTAAAACTATTATGTGTATGTGTTGAATTAGAAGTTGTTTGAGAGCAGGGACCATGTATTCACAGTATAAATACACTGTGTATGGGTGTGCATTACACAAACAGAACGAAACAATATGTACTATTGTGACATGCTTTTATTTTCTTCCAGCAATATTTTGTGAAAATTCTTTATTTTGCATGCATATATTTTGTGATATGGTATCTGATGGCTGCGTAGTATCTTACTGTGCCAGTTACATCAAAATTTCTTTGATCTTCTAGTATAGGACACCATAAAGCTCTTTTTAAAACTAGCTTTTATTTTTTATGAAAATAATGCATGCATGTACTTAAAAATCTGTTTTAAGTAGCAGCCCACTCCACCCCTCGTCATGTCTTATTCTTACTTTTAGCAGCAATCACTTCTTGGTCCTTTAGCTGATACTATTTATGCCCATGGTTCTAAATGATATACATATACTTCTGTGCCGTTTCAATTTTAGACATTATCTATGAAATTCC
Organism: Homo sapiens; assembly: GCF_000001405.40. Lineage (NCBI taxonomy): Eukaryota > Metazoa > Chordata > Mammalia > Primates > Hominidae > Homo > Homo sapiens. The sequence continues at coordinate 76,445,960 of NC_000001.11, forward strand.
TGTGATGCAGTTGGGAATTTATCTCTCTCATGTCTCTCAACACCTTCTTTTTCAGTCTTCCCAATATAGCTTTATCAAATTTTTGGTTAAAGCAAAAGTTCAGTGTTTATAACTGTATAAATATTATTCCTTGTACAGCCAACAATATGCTATGGTTACATTTATTTTGTTGAAAATATTTTTTTCAGATGATATTGTTCTTTTTTCTAAATAAGCTTCTTTTTTAAACAACAGTTTTAAGTTCACAGCAAAACTGAAAGGAAAGTACAGCATTATCCCATATACCCTTATCCCCACATGCATAGCCTCCCCCATTATCAACATCCATTACTAGAGTGGTATATTTGCTACAATTGATGAACCTATGTTGATGCATCCTTATCACCCAGCATGCAAAGTGTATGTGAGCATGTACTCTTGGTGGTGTACTTCTTAAGGATCTGGACAAATGTGTGGTCACATGTATCAATATTATAGCATCATAAAGAGTAGTTTCATTGTCCTAAAAAGTCTCTGTTCTGCCTATTCAGCCCTCCCTCCTACTAACCTCTGGCGACCACGGATCTTGTTACTATCTCCTTAGCTTTGCCTTTTCCAGAATGTCATACAGTTAGTTGGAGTCTGATATGGTTTGACTGTGTCCCCACCCAAATCTCATCTTGAATTCCCACATGTTGTGGGAGGGACCCAGTGGGAGGTGATTGAATCATGGAAGCAGGTCTTTCCCATGCTGTTCTCATGATAGTAAATAAGTCTCATGAGATCTGATGGTTTTAAAAATGGGAGTTTCCCTGCCCAAGCTTTTTCTTTGCCTGCTGCCATCCCTGTAAGCCTTGATTTGCTCCTCCTTGCCTTCCACCATGATTGTGAGGCCTCCCTAGCCACGTGGAACTATAAGTCCATTAAACCCTTTTTCCTGTATAAATTACCCAGTCTTGGGTATGTCTTTATCAGCAATGTGAAAATGAACTAATACAGTAAATTGGTACCAGTAGAGTGGGGCACTGCTGAAAAGATACCTAAAAACGTGGAAGCAACTTTGGAACTGGGTAACAGGAAGAGGTTGGAACAGTTTGGAGGGCTCAGAAGAAGACAGGAAAATGTCAGAAAATTTGGAACTTCCTAGAGACTTGTTGAATGGCTTTGACTAAAATGCTGATAAGTATATGGACAATTAAATCCAGGCTGAAGTGGTCTCAAATGGAGATGAGGAACTTGTTGGGAACTGGACTGAAACAAAGGTAACTCTTGTTACATTTTAGCAAAGAGACTGGTGGCATTTTGCCCCTGTCCTAGAAATTTGTGGAACTTTGAACTTGAGGGAGATGATTTAGGGCATCTGGCAGAAGAAATTTCTAAGCAGCAAAGCATTCAAGAGGTGACTTGGGTGCTGTTAAAAACATTCCATTTTTAAAAGGGAAACAGCACAACAGTTTGGAAAATTTGCAGCCTGACAATGCTGAAAATTGTCAGAAAATCCCATTTTCTGAGGAGAAATTGAAGCCCTGCAGAAATTTGCATAAGTAACAAGGAGCTGAATGTTAATACCCAAGACAATGGGAAAATGTCTCCAGGGCTTGTCAGAGGTCTTCACAGCAGCCCCACCCATCACAGGCCCAGTACCCTAGGAGGAGGAGATGGTTTCGTGGGCCAGGCCCAGGACACCGCCCCCTCCCCGTGTAGCCTAGGGACATGGTACCCTGTGTTCCAGCTGCTCCAGCATGGCTAAAAGGGATCAATGTACAGCTTGGGCAGTTGCTTCAGAGAGTGGAAGCCGCAAGCCTTGGCAGCTTCCATGTGGTGTTGAGCCTGCGGGTGCACGGAACTCAAGAATTGAGGTTTGGGAACCTCCGCCTAGATTTCAGAGGATGTATGGAAACACCTGGATGCCCAGGCAAAAGTTTGCTGCAGGGGTGGAGAACCTGTGCTAGTGTAGTGTGAAAGGACAATGTGGGGTCAGAGCCCCCACAGAGAGTCCTTACTGGGGCATCACCTAGTGGAGCTGTGAGAAGAGCACCACCATCCTCCAGACCCCAGAATGGTAGATCCACCTACAGCTTGCACCATGTGCCTTGAAAAACCACAGACACTCAACGCCAGCCAGTGCAAGCAGAGAGGAGGGGGGCTATACCCCGCAAAGTCACAGGGTGGAGCTACCCAAGACCATGGGAACCCACCTCTTGCATCAGCGTGACCTGGTAGATGTGAGACATGGAGTCAAAGGAGATCATTTTGGAGCTTTAAGATTTCACTGCCCTGCTGGGGACTTCCATGGGGCCTTTAGCACCTTGGTTTTGGCCAATTTCTCCTTTTGAATGGCTGTATTTACCCATTGCCTGTACCCCCTCTGTATCTAGGAAGTAACTAACTTGCTTTTGATTTTACAGGCTCATAGGCAGAAGGGACTTGTCTTGTCTCACATGAGACGTTGGTCTATGGACTTTTGAGTTAATGCTGAAATGAGTTAAGACTTTGAGGGACTGTTGGGAAGGCATGATTAGTTTTGAAATGTGAGGACATGAGATTTGGGAGGGGCCAGAGGTGAAATGATGTGGTTTGGCTCTGTGTCCCTACCCAAATCTCAACTTGAATTACCACATGTTGTGGGAGGGACCTGGTGGGAGGTAATTGAATCATGGGTGCAGGTCTTTCCCTGTGGGAGCATGGTTTCCCATGCTGTTCTGGTGATAGTAAATAAGTCTCACAAGACCCAATGTTTTTAAAAAGGGGAGTTGCCCTGCAGAAGCTCTCTTTTTGCCTGCCACCATTCATGTAAGACTTGCTTCTCCTTGCCTTGCACCATGGTTATGAGGCCTCACCAGCCATGTGGAACTCTAAGTTCATTAAAAGCTTTTTCCTATATAAATTACCCAGTCTTGGGTATGTCTTTTTTTGTTTTATGGAGTCTCACTCTGTTGCTCAGGTTGGAGTGCAGTGGTGCAATCTCAGCACCAAAACCTCCACCTCCTGGGTTCAAGGGATTCTCCTGCCTCAGCTTCCCGTGTAGCTTGTGGCACCATGCTTGGCTAATTTTTGTATTTTTAGTAGAGACAGGGTTTCACTATGTTGGCCAGGCTGGTCTCAAACTCCTGACCTTGTGATCTGCCTTCCTCAGCCACCCAAAATGCTGGGATTATAGGCGTGAGCCACCACACCTGGCAGGTATGTCTTTATCTGCATTGTGAAAATGGACTAATGCAAACACACATAGTATGTTAAGTTTTTTCAGTTGGCTTATTTCACTTAGTAATATGCATTTATGGTTTATCCATGTCTTTTTATGCCTTGATTTATTGCTCATTTCTTTTTATCACTGAGCAGTATTCTATTTTCTGAATATGACAGTTTATTTATCCATCCACATACTGAAGGGCATCTTGTTTGCTTCCATGTTTTGGCAATTATGAATGCAGCTGCTACAAACATTCATGTGCAAAATTTTGTGTGGACATAGTTTTCAACTCATTTGGGTAAATACTAAAGAATACAATTGTGGAAGCATGGGTAGCTTTGTAAGAAACCATCAAACTGTCTTTCAACATAGCTGTATAAGTTTGCATCCCTACCAGCAATGAATGAGAGTTCCTCATGCTCCACATCCTCACCAGCATTTGATGTTGTCAGTCTTCTGGATTTAAGCAATTTTGTTAGGTATGCCATGATATTTCATTGTTACTTTAATTTGCAATCCCCTAATGCCATATGATATAGAACATCTTTTCATATGCTTATTTGTTATCTGTGTATCTTAATTGGGTTGTTAACTTTTTATCATTGAGTTTTAATAGTTCTTTATATATTTTGTGTAACGGTCTTTTGTCAGATTGCCTTATTTATTCATTTATTTTAATCAATTTATTTGTTTTGATTTCAATAGGTTTTGGGGGAACAGGTGGTATTTGGTCACATATATAAGTTCTTCAGTGGTGATATCTAAGATTTTGGTGCACCCATCACCCAAACAGTGTACACTGAACACAATGTGTAGTCTTTTATCTCTCACCTCCAATTATTGATTGATGGGCATTTGGGCAGGTTCCATATTTTTGCAATTGTGAATTGTGATGTTATAAACATGCATATGCAAGTATCTTTTTCGTATAATGACTTCTTTTCCTCTGGGTACATATCCAGCAGTGGGATTGCTGGATCAAATGGTAGTTCTACTTTTAGTTCTTTAAGGGATCTTCATACTGTTTTCTAGTGGTTGTACTAATTTACATTCCCACCAGCAGTGTAGAAGTGTTCCCTTTTCACCATATCCATGCCAACATCTACTATTTTTTGATTTTTTTATTATGGCCATTTTTGCAGGAGTAAGGTGGCATCACAAAACCACAATGTGGTTTTGATTTGTATTTCTCTGATCATTAGTGATTTTTTAAAATATGTTTGATGTCCATTTGCATATCTTCTTTTGAGAATTGTCTATTCTTGTCCTTAGCCCACTTTTTGATGAGATTGCTTTTTTCTTGCTGACTTGAGTTCCTCGTAGATTCTGGATATTATTCCTTTGTCAGATGTATAGATTGTGAAGATTTTCTCCCACTCTACAGGTTGTCTGTTTACTGATTGTTACTTTTTCTGTGCCTTTTAGTTCAATTAAGTTGCATCTATTTATCTTTGTTTTGTTGCATTTACTTTGGGTTCTTGGTCATGAAGTCTGCCTAAGCCAATGTCTAGAAGGGTTATTCCAATGTTATCTTCTAGAATTTTTATGGTTTCAGGTCTTAGATATAAATGCTTGAGCCATCTTGAGTCGATTTTTGTAAAGTAAGAGATGAGGATCCAGTTTCATTCTTCTACATGTGGTTTGCCAATTATCCCAGCACCATTTGTTGAATAGGGGGTCCTTTTCCCACTTCATTTTTGTTTGCTTTGTCAAAGATCAGTTGGATGTAAGTATTTGGCTTTATTTCTGGGTTCTACATTCTGTCCATTGGTCTATATGCCTATCTTTATACCAGTAACATGCTGTTTTGGTGACTATGGCCTTATAGTATAGTTTGAAGTCAGGTAATGTGATGTCTTCAGATTTGTTCTTTTTGCTTAGTCTTGCTTTGGCTATGAAAGGCTCCTTTTGGGTTCCACATGAATTTTAGGATTGTTTTTTCTAGTTCTGTGAAGAACGATGGTTGTATTTTTTGGGAATTGCATTGAATTTGCAGATTGCTTTTAGCGGTATGGTCATTTTCACAATATTGATTCTACCCATCTGTATTAGTCCATTCTCATGCTGCTAAGAAAGACATACCTGAGACTGGGTAATTTAGAAAGGAAAGAGGTTTAATGGATTCACAGTTTCACATGGCTGGCAAGGCCTCTCAATCATGGTGGTAGGTGAAGGAAGAGCAAAGGCATGTCTTACATGGCAGCAGATAAAAGAGTGTGTGCAAGGGAACTGCCCTTATAAAACCATCATTTCTCATGAGACTTACTCACTAACACAAGAACAGCATGGGAGAAACCTGCCCCTGTGATTCAGTTACCTCCCACTGGGTGTCTCCCAGGACACATGGGGATTATGGGCACTATAATTCAAGATAAGTTTTGGGTGGGGGCACATCCAAATCATATCACCATCCATCAGCATGGAATGTGTTTCCATTTGTTTGTGTCACCTATAATTTTTTTCAGCAATGTTTTGTAGTTTTCTTTGCACAGTTCTTTCACCTCCTTGGTTAGGTATATTCCTAAGTTTATTTATTTATTTGAAGCTATTGTAAAAAGGGTTGAGTTCTTGATTTGATTCTCAGCTTAGTCACTGTTTGTGTATAGCAGACCTACTGATTTGTGTACATTAATTTTGCATCCTGAAGCTTTGCTGAATTCATTTACCAGTTGCAGGAGCTTTTTGGATAAGTCTTTAGCATTTTCTAGGTATACAATTATATCATCAGCAAACAGTGACAGTTTGACTTCCTCTTTGCCAATTTGGATGCCCTTTAATTCTTTCTCTTATCTGATTGCCCTGGCTATGACTTCCAGTACTATGTTGAATAGAAGTGGTAAGACTGGACATCCTTGTCTTGTTACACTTTTCAAGGGAAATGCTTTCAACTTCTCCTTGTTAAGTATTGTGTTGGCTGTGGGTTTGTCATAGATGGTGATATGGTTTGGCTGTGTCCCCACTCAGATCTCATCTTGAATTTCCAAGTGTTGTGGGAGGGACATGATGGGAGGTAATTGAATCATGGGGGCAGGTCTTTTACATGCTGGTCTCATGATAGTGAATAAGTCTCACAAGATCTAATGGCTTTATAAGGTGGAGTTTCCCTGCACAAGCTCTCTCTTTGACTGCTGCCATCCACGTAAGATGTGACTTGCTCCTCCTTGCCTTCTGCCATGATTGTGAGGCCTCCCCAGTCATGCAAAACTGTAAGTTCATTAAATTCTTTTTCCAGTATAAATTACCCAGTCTCAGGTATGTCTTTATCAGCAGTGTGAAAACAAACAAATACAGATGGCTTTTATTGCATTAAGTTATGTCCCTTCTACGCTGATTTTGCTGAGGGTTTTAATTATAAAAGGATAGTGAATTTTGTGAAATGCTTTTTCTGCATCTATGGAGATGATCATGTGATTTTTGTTTTTAATTCTGTTTTTGTGGTGTATTACATTTACTAACTTGTGGATGTTAAACTATCCCTGCATCCCTGGTATGGAACCCACTTGATCATGGTGGATTATCTTTTTGATACACTGTTGGATTCAGTTAGCTAGTGTTTTGTTATGGATATTTGCACCTATGTTCATCAGAGATATTGGTCTGTGGTTTTCTTTTTTTTGTTATGTCATTTCCTGGTTTTGGTATTAGGGTGATACTGGCTTCATAGAATGACTTAGGGAGGATTCTCTCTTTCTCTATCTTATGGCATAGTGTCAGTAGGATTGGTACCAATTTTTCTTTGAATGTCTGATAGAATTCAGCTGTGAATCCATCTGGTCCTGGACTCTATTTTGTTGACAATTGTTTGATTACCATTTCAGTCTTGCTGCCTGTTATTCGTTCATTCAGAGTTTCTATTTCTTCCTGCTTTAATCTAGAAGGCTTGTATCTTTCCAGGAATTTATCCATCTCCTCTAGGTTTTCTAGTTTATGCGCATAGAAATGTTCATGGTAGCCTTGAATTATCTTTCATATTTCTCTGTTGTCAGTTTTGATATCTTCCATTCCATTTCTAATTGAACTTATTTGGATTTTCTGTCTTCTTTTCTTGGTTAATCTTGCTAGTGGTCTATCAATTTTATTTATCTTTTCAAATAACCAGGTTTTGTCTCATTTATCTTTTGTATTTTTTTTGTTTCAATTTCATTTAGTTCTGTTTGGATCTTGGTTATTTCCTTTCTTCTGCTGGGTTTGGGTTTGGTTTGTTCTTGTTTCTCTAGTTCCTTGAGGTGTGACCTTATATTGTCTGTTTGTGCTCTTTCAGACTTTTTGATGTAAGCATTTAGGGCTATGAACTTTCCTCTTGGCACCGCCTTTGCTGTATCCCAGAGGTTTTGATAGGTTTTGGCACTATTATCATTCAATTCAATGAATTTTTAAATTTCCATCTTGATTTCATTGTTGACCCAAAAATCATTTGGGAGCAGGTTATTTAATTCCAATGTATTTGCGTGGTTCTGAGGGTTCCTTTTCGAGTTGATTTCCAGTTTTATTCCACTGTGATCTGAGAGAGTGCTTGATATAATTTCAATTTTCTTAAATTTATTGAAACTTGTTTTGTGGCCTGTCATATGGTCTATCTTGGAGAATGTTCCATGTGCTGATAAATAGAATGTATATTCTGTAGTTCTTGGGTAGAATGTTCTGTAAATATCTGTTAAGTTCATTTGTTCTAGGGTGTAGTTTAAATCCATTGTTTCTTTGTTCATTTTCCATCTTGATGACCTGTCTAGTGCTGTCAGTGGAGTATTGAAATCCCCCACTATTATTGTGTTGCTGTCTATCTCATTTCTTAGGTCTAGAAGTAACTGTTTTATAAATTTAGGAGCTCCAGTGTCAGATGCATATATTCTTGGGATTGTGATATTTTTCTGTTGGACAAGTCATTTTATCATTATATGATGCCTCTCTGTGTATTTTTTAACTGCTGTTGCTTTAATGTTTGTTTTGTCTGATGTAAGAGTAGCTGTTCCTGCTTGCTTTTGGTGTTCATTTGTTTGGAATATCTTTTTCCACCCCTTTACCTTAAGTTTAGAAGAGTCCTTATGTGTCAGGTGAGTCTCTTGAAGACAGCAGATACTTGGTTAGTGAATTCTTATCCATTCTGCCACTCTTTACCTTTTATGTGGAACATTTAGGCCATTTATAGTCAATGTTAGTATTGTGATATGAGGTACTATTCTATTATTCCTGTTATTTGTTGTCTGAAAATTTGGTGTTTTTTAAATTGAGGTTTTGTTTTATAGGTCCTATGAGATTTGTACTTTAAGGAGGTTCTATTTTGGTGTGTTTTGAGGATTTGTTTCAAGATTTGGAGCTACCTCTAGCAGTTCTTATAGTGCTAGCTTGGTAGTACAAATTCTCTCAGCATTTCTTTGTCTGAAAAAGACTATATCTTTCCTTCATTTATGAAGCTTAGTTTCCCAGGATGCAAAATTCTTGGCTGATAGTTGTTTTGTTTAAGGAGACTGAAAATAGGGCCCAAATCCCTTCTAGCTTGTAAGGATTCTGTTGAGAAATCTGTTGTTAATCTGATAGGTTTTCCTTTATAGGTTACCTGGTGCTTTTGCCTCATGGCTTTTAAGATTCTTTCCTTTCATCTTGACTTTAGATACCCTGATGACTATGTGCCTAGACAATGATCTTTTTGCAATAAATTTCTCAGGTCTTCTTTTAAACTGGCCTTTTTAAATGAATTGTGCTAGTCTTCAGTGAGCAGTTTGAATATGGAGTCTCTAATTCATTTTTAAGTTCTTGAAAGTTTTCTTGAATTATTTACTTGATAATTTTCTCCTATGTATTTTTTTTTTCAGTTCTGTTTCTGTAACTACTGTTAGTTTTGTATTACATAGGAATTTATTCTCTAGATTTCATTTTTACAAACATTCATCTCATTGTCCTTTTATTCCACTTTCTGGGAGATTTACTTAAATATATCTTCCAATTATTTGACTTTTTAATACTCATCTGTTAATTTTTTTATTTTCAACACTACTTTTGCATTTTCAGATTGTTTCTTTTTCATAACAACCTGTTCTTATTTTATGGCTACAATATCTTTTATTATTTACATCTATCATTATTTTCTGTTTTCTGCATATATTATGCATGCATTTTTTTTCTATTTCCTTGTTTTCTGTTTCTTTTGACATTTGACTTTCATTTTGGAAGTTTCCCTCAATTTATGATCATCTTCTGCTGCTGATTCATATTTAAGAATAAAGCAAAAAATAAAGACAGATTTTGAAATGTGTTTGAGTGGAAGGTTTTATGTTCACTGTAGCTTGGTCTTGCTGAGCCAGCCCTTTTGGAGGATACCTGATTTAGTGTATATAGGTTTTTCTCTAGAGAGACATTGAATTTTTTCAGAAAACACCTCATACTCTTGCTTGGGAACATAACCCTTGCTTCCAGGAGGCTGAGGATCTCACCATTCTGTGTATGGATTTGGGGCTTTCAGCTACAAGTTGAAAACCAATTCTCCATTGTGTCCGTTGCTCTCTTTATTTCAAGTACTGAGGGAAAAAATTTTTTGCCTTCTCTCTGGGAGAGGACTACAGTTGCATGCCTATTCTCTAGGTATTGACTTTCAACCAGTACTCTGTTCCTCTTTTACCCCAGCATTTTGTTGTGCTTTTTAAGATATCCTGGACTCTTAGTCTGACTTACTACCTCTATAAATGAAAATTGCTTGAATTTTCAGAGCCTCTTTACCCTTATCTGTAGAATGTCCACCTTAGGAATTGAAAGAATTATTTATGTAAAAATACTTTATGGCTGGATGTGGTGGTTCACACCTATAATCCAAGCACTTTGGGAGGCTGAGGCAGGCAGATCACTTGAGGTCAGGAGTTTGAGACCAGCCTGGCCAACATGGCAAAGCCCGACTCTACCAAAAATACAGAAGTTATTCTGCACCTGTAGTCCCAGCTACTCCAGAGGCTGAGGCAGGAGAATTGCTTGAACCCACGAGGTTGTGGTTGCAGTGAGTCAAGATCATGACACTGCACTCCAGACTGGGCGACAGAGTGAAACTCTGTCCCAAAAAGAAAAACAAAAACAAAAACAAAAACTTTGTGAAGTAACTGTAAACCACAGTACAATTCAGCTATATGACTGTGACTTCTTTCTATGCCATTAGATGAGAAACTCATATATGACAGCTACACTGCTACAGATTTATATGGTCTCTTTTTTCGTTTTTCTTTTCTTTCTTTCTTATTTATTTATTTTTTTGAGTCGGAGTCTCATTCTGTTGCCCAAGTTGGAGTGCAGTGGTGCAATCTCGGCTCATTGTGGCCTCCGCCTCCTGGGTTCAAGCAATTCTGCCTCAGTGTCCTGAGTAGCTAGGATAAGAAGCATGTTTCACCACATCTGGCTAATAGATATTTCTTTTAAGTTTTATATAATCTTAAAAGTTCAGGCAAATCAATAAATGTAATCCAGCATATATACAGAACCAAAGAAAAAAACCACATGATTATCTCAATAGATGCAGAAAAGGCCTTTGACAAAATTTAACAACCCTTCATGCTAAAAACTCTCAATAAATTAGGTATTGATGAGACGTATCTCAAAATAATAAGAGCTATCTGTGACAAACCCACAGCCAATATCATACTGAATGGGCAAAAACTGGAAGCATTCCCTTTGAAAACTGGCACAAGACAGGGATGCCCTCTCTCACCACTCCTATTCAACATAGTGTTGGATGTTCTGGCCAGGGCAATTAGGCAGGAGAAGGAAATAAAGAGTATTCAATTAGGAAAAGAGGAAGTCAAATTGTCCCTGTTTGCAGACAACATGACTGTATATCTAGAAAACCCCATTGTCTCAGCCCAAAATCTCCTTAAGCTGATAAGCAACTTCAGCAAAGTCTCAGGATACAAAATCAATGTACAAAAATCACAAGCATTCTTATACACCAATAACAGACAAACAGAGAGCCAAATCATGAGTGAACTCCCATTCACAATTGCTTCAAAGAGAATAAAATACCTAGAAATCCAACTTACAAGGGATGTGAAGGACCTCTTCAAGGAGAACTACAAACCACTGCTCAAGGAAATAAAAGAGGATACAAACAAATGGAAGAACATTCCATGCTCATGGATAGGAAGAATCAATATCGTGAAAATGGCCATACTGCCCAAGGTAATTTACAGATTCAATGCCATCCCCATCAAGCTACCAATGACTTTCTTCACGGAACTGGAAAAAACTACTTTAAAATTCATATGGAACCAAAAAGGAGCCCGCATCGCCAAGTCAATCCTAAGCCAAAAGAACAAAGCTGGAGGCATCACACTACCTGACTTCAAACTATACTACAAGGCTATACTATACTACAAGTAACCAACTATACTACAAGTAACCAAAACAGCATGGTACTGGTACCAAAACAGAGATATAGATCAATGGAACACAACAGAGCCCTCAGAAATAATGCCGCATATCTACAACTATCTGATCTTTGACAAACCTGAGAAAAACAAGCAATGGGGAAAGGATTCCCTATTTAATAAATGGTGCTTGGAAAACTGGCTAGCCATATGTAGAAAGCTGAAACTGGATCCCTTCCTTACACCTTATACAAAAATTAATTCAAGCTGGATTAAAGATTTAAACGTTAGACCTAAAACCATAAAAACCCTAGAAGAAAACCTAGGCATTACCATTCAGGACATAGGCATGGGCAAGGACTTCATGTCTAAAACACCAAAAGCAATGGCAACAAAAGCCAAAATTGACAAATGGGATCTAATTAAACTAAAGAGCTTCTGCACAGCAAAAAAAACTACCATCAGAGTGAACAGGCAACCTACAAAATGGGAGAAAATTTTCGCAACCTACTCATCTGACAAAGGGCTAATATCCAGAATCTACAATGAACTCCAACAAATTTACAAGAAAAAAACAAACAACCCCATCAAAAAGTGGGCGAAGGACATGAACAGACACTTCTCAAAAGAAGATATTTATGCAGCCAAAAAACACATGAAAAAATGCTCACCATCACTGGCCATCAGAGAAATGCAAATCAAAACCACAATGAGATACCATCTCACACCAGTTAGAATGGCAATCATTAAAAAGTCAGGAAACAACAGGTGCTGGAGAGGATGTGGAGAAATAGGAACACTTTTACACTGTTGGTGGGACTGTAAACTAGTTCAACCATCGTGGAAGTCAGTGTGGCGATTCCTCAGGGATCTAGAACTAGAAATACCATTTGACCCAGCCATCCCATTACTGGGTATATACCCAAAGGACTATAAATCATGCTGCTGTAAAGACACATGCACACATATGTTTATTGCGGCATTATTCACAATAGCAAAGACTTGGAACCAACCCAAATGTCCAACAATGATAGACTGGATTAAGAAAATGTGGCACATATACACCATGGAATACTATGCAGCCATAAAAAATGATGAATTCATGTCCTTTGTAGGGACATGGATGAAATTGGAAATCATCATTCTCAGTAAACTATTGCAAGAACAAAAAACCAAACACCACATATTCTCACTCATAGGTGGGAATTGAACAATGAGAACACATGGACACAGGAAGGGGAACATCACACTCTGGGGACTGTTGTGGGGTGGGGGGAGGGGGAGGGATAGCATTGGGAGATATACCTAATGCCAGATGATGAGTTAGTGAGTGCAGCGCACCAACACGGCACATGTGTACATATGTAACTAACCTGCACATTGTGCACATGTACCCTAAAACTTAAAGTATAACAATAATAAATTTAAAAAAAAAAGAAAAAAGGAAAAATAATCTTGTAAAAAAAAAAGTTCACATGAATCTTGCATCTTGCTCCATAATTTATCTGTTTTAATGTAAAAATAATGTTCTTCAATCTTTTATCATGGAGCCAAACTGACAATTCAGGAAGATATGTGTATTCCTTTTGGGATTTATGTGCCTCCCAGCATATTGGGAGATATCCTTAGCAGTTTATGTACCCCTGTTTAAGTTTTATAGAAATAATCTCTAAGCCATTAGTTCTGATAAATTTGGTTCCTTCCAATCCTTTGTTTCTAAACTTTGATTCAGGATGATCTGACAAATTAAATAGCACCCTTAAACAATAAGGCATCATGGCCCAGTATACAGAGAAATATGGAGATAGAATAGAATTGGCATGGTGTCTCACGCCTGTAATCCCAGCACTTTGGGAGGCCAAGGCAGGCGGATCATGAGGTCAGGAGATCAAGACCATCCTGGCTAACACAGTGAAACCCCATCTCTACTAAAAATACAAAAAATTAGCCACGCGTGGTGGCGGGCACCTGTAGTCCCAGCTACTCGGGAGGCTGAGGTAGGAGAATGGCATGAATCCAGGAGGCAGAGCTTGCAGTGAGTGGAGATTGCTCCACTGCACTCCAGCCTGGGCGACAGAGCAAGACTCCATCTCAAAAAAAAAAAAAAAGAATAGAATTGACTATGGGCTGTTGAGGGAGTAGCTTATTACAAATGTGTAAACCTACTTGTGCCTTGTTGTTGTACAGAACAGTGAAAATTGCCAGGGGAGTGGAGAAGAAAATTAGCAGTGTCTGCCTATTCTGGATATTTCACATCAATGGAATCATACAATAAGTGGACTTTGAGTCTAGATTCTTTCACTTAGCATGCATGATTTTTCAAAGTTTGTGTTTTAGCAAATATCAGTACTTCATTCATTTTTATGACTGAATAATATTCCATTGTATGGATATAACTCATTTTGTTTATTCAATCATCAGTTGATAGATGTTTGATGATTTCTCTTTTGGCTACTGTGAGTAGCGTTGTTATGCATATTCTTGTACAGGTGTTTACTTGAATACCTGTTTTCAGTTCTTTTGGGAATACTTAGGAGTAGAATTGATGGATACAGTAAGTCTATGTTTAATTTATTGAAGATCTGTCAAATTGCTTTCTACAGTGATTGAATCATTTTATATTCCTACTAGCAACGTTGAAGGTTCAAATTTCTTCACATTCTTGCCAACCCTTGTTATTTTTCATTTTTTTAAATAGCCATACTAATCAGTGAGAGGTAGAATCTCATTGTGGTTTTTGTTTTCATTTTCCTAATGACTAATGACATTGAGCATTTTTTCAAGCGCTTGTTGACCATTTATATATCTTTAGAGATATGTCAAGTCTTTTGCCCATTTTTAAATTGGGTCGTTTGTCTTTGTGCCGTGGTGTTTCAAGCATAAATCTATAGACAAAATAAAAGCTACTTGTTGGCTGTTTTATTGGAAATCACACAACTTGGGAAAGTCTCAAGGATAAATTTTGCTAAATTCTTTGTCCACTATTCACTAAGAGGGTCCCTTACCCTTTCTTTTCCTTTGATCATTGGTTATCTGGTTTCACCTGTCAAGAAATAAGCTGCCCTTTGATTGTGGATAATAGGTGAGACACCGCAGAATCAAGTTACACTGTTGCATCTGTAAAGTTTCATCACTGTGTGTTTCCAGGAGTCAGGATTTGCCATCAAAGTCAATTGCCGAATGACTCTGACTTTATTATTCTTTATTTGCATTAACAATTGCTCTAAGCAGTAACACGATTATAACCCAAAACAGCAGCCTGTTATCTATCATTTATTTGATTTAATACATAGAAATGGATGTCTTTCAAAGAGCATTTATTTTTTTCTTCACATTCTCTTCCAAAATCATTCTCAGTGGAAACATTTAGCCTTATAACATGGAGGAATTCCTTTGTAAATCCAGTGACTATGTGGGAGACTAAGAATTTCTGATTTTATTAAGTATTTTGGATAAATGGGTAAAGAGAGGAATGGTGGCAGATTTTACAATGGTTGGTTTAGGCTTCTGTAGGCCTTGAGTAAGGTGAGTAGGAGTAATGCCTGTGGTCATTTCATTTGAATGGCCTATTTATTGAAGTAAATTCATAGTTCAAAAAGATCCAACTTAGAAAAGCCTGAGGCAGAAATGGAATCCTGGGAGTGCAGATTGGTCATTGTTTTATTTAATCTGATTCCACTTTATTCTCCTCACGGTGAAATTGTTCTTTATGATACTCTGTATCTACTGGTAGTTCACATCCTTCACAGAATCCTCTAACTATGCAAAACACATAGTGAACAGTTATCATTTGAATCTTAGTACAACTTTAATAAGCTGTGTTTTATATTTAAGTAGTTTCTCCCCTGGTGGTTGCCCGTGGCAGACTTTGGAGTTTGATAGCTCTTCACTCCCTATTTTATACATCTCTAAGTAATTATACCCTGTGCCCTTAAGCCTCAAAAGCATAAAATTATTTAAAAACATACAATTAAACACTTCAGATGACAGTGTTAAAACTTCAGAAGAAGACACTCACTTTGGAAGAATGGTGCTTCGTGCTGGAGCCTTTATATCAGCTCCTTCTTCTCCAGAGACTTTGGGCTGAAGTTTCTGTCTCAGCATGGGCATCTGCCATGCTTGTTACAGGCTCAGGATGACCCAGCCTCAAAATTCTATTAACTTGGGATACCATTTTGCAAGGGAATTCTTGTCATCAGCTTTGAGGGAGGGGAAGCATAATGATATACCTGATGTTGACAGTAAGTGTTGTAGTGGCAGTGACCACGTGTTATACTCCTGATGGTATGCTAGGCTCCCTAGGTACATTGTTTTACTTAATCCTATTGAAACCCCACAAGGTGATTGTTATTACCCTCTCATTTTACAGATGGAAAGACTGGGGCTTAAGTAGTTGTTTGGTTAGTGAGACAGTAAAAAGCAGAATAAGGATCCAGACTTAGGTAAACTGACCACAGTTCTGAAAAAGCAAGCTGGGCAGGGTCTTGATGGTGCATAGCATGTCTTCAGCATGGTCTCCTCTGGGCAGTGTGTCTGACTTTCCTAGTCAGCCTGACCACATGGCCTCCTGTTTCCTTGGCACCCTGTACGTGCTTCTTCTGCAGCTGTTGTCATCGATATGGCAACTCCCTCCAAACCTGTCCCCATCCCCCCAGCCTGTAAACTTCTTGAGAGCAATGATGCTGTGTTGTTTACCTCTGTATCTTCAAGACTCAACACAGAACAGGAGTTCAAAGTTTGTGGAATGAATAGTGGAATTAATGGTAAAAAAAAAAAATGTGTACATACGTGAATTAATAGGTTGTTTCCTGCTCTCTCCCCCAACTCTTAATATAAAATGGGCCCAGCCATTTTCATAAGTCCCTGGGTAAATCATTCCATTATTTTTCCCTTTACTTTGTTCAGTCCCCATAATTCCTTTTTTAGACTGCCTTGTGCATTCTTATTTTCTACAGTTGGCACTTATCTGTGATCCAAGCCACATACAGCCTTTTAAAAGTGTGAGATCTTACCCATTAGTAGGTCTTGAAATTAATTTTGAGGGTGGCAGCCAGCATTTTTTTTTTAAATGAAGAGACTAGAAAAGAATACAACTTCTCAGCATGCATGGCACATAGAAAGACACAGTATTTGTTTCAGATGGATAGATAAATAGAGGACATATATGTATCACTAGCACTTGTTTGACCACAAGTCACACACTAGGACATCATTTAAGACAGTGAAAGACATTTAGGCACATAGACACAGTATTTGTTTAAGATGGATAGATAGAGAACATGTAAGTATCACTAGCACTGATTAAATATCATACGTGCAGCCATGTTTTAAGAAGGCCAAATGCTGCAGGGATGCTCATTAGGGGAGTGTATTGCAACAACCACTATCCACATTTTAAAAAATTGTACATTGTGACCAATTACATATCTGCTGTGTACCAGATTGTACTCTGAAGTATATTCCTTATTGTTGGAAAAACACTGTCCTAAATGACGTCCCAGTGTGTGACTTGTGGTCAAACACCCCTTGCTCTGCTAAAGTAGTTCCTAAAGTCTTATATTTTGTAAAAGCTATTATAAAACTGTCACCAAAGTTTAGAAAATTTAATCCCAGTGCAATTATTTTAATGATGTTAAAGTATAAATGCTGCAGAGAATTTAATAGGAAAAACACATAGAAAGTTCTAAAAATTTTAATAGTGGGAGCTTAACTTTGAGGTTTGCAGAATTATTTTATTTTGTACTCGTCTTTAAATTTGCTTCTCCAAATGTTCACCTAAAAGTCCCGCTGCTTTAGGTAAATTGCGGGGGCTACATTTATATCAGTCAGTGGCATTCATGTAGGATTTCAACTTCAACTTGCTGTGAAGGAGCCAGACTTTGCTGTGGAATGCATTCATGTGCAGAGCTGCCTTGCACAGCTCATTGGAGATAAGACAGTTTTGACTTCACATGCCAAACTTTTGTCACTTTGTCTATTTTCGTATTTCTCTATGACTCTGCAGAGCCAAGCTTTTGATCGGTTGAGCAGCAAATTGAAAATGCTCTTCTTAAAAAATCTAATACTAAAGTGAATACCAAGCAATACTGCATTTCCTGAAATGAATATTTGTTGAGTGCTTACTCTGAGCTAGCCAATTGTTGTACCCTGGGGTTATAAAAAATGAATGAGATTCACTTTCTGCTCTGAAGAGTCTTCTGGTCGAGGAGCTTTCCTACCGCAGGGTTTGGATTCATCTTGCTTGGGTCTACGGGTAGACTGAAGATCCTTCGTTTGCCCTCCCAACTCATTCTGGGCCTTTCCCCACCTTTGACCTGTGAGGCTGGTCAATATGGGCTGCAATCGAGGGCTCCCTTGCTGTCTGGCATCTGGTTAGGTTTAACCAGGGGGAGCACTAGCAGGAACTAGAGGGAAGGAGAATGGAGAGGTTAGCATATGTGTTCTCCCGGCTCCCTCCTTGCAAGGTCACCCAGGTTGGCTCTGTCTCTCTACTAAAAGTCACAGCTTCATTCAGGTGTCCTCTCCACACTGTTCTTTCTGTTTCCATGTTCTAGTGACTGCTCCCTCCCCTAGCTTGCCCTCCTTTCCCCTATAGGGTACTGTGCCATCCCTTGTGGTTTTGCTATACCCTCACCACAAACTCCTAAATCACCCTTTTGACACTGACTTAGTACCTCACTGAACACGACTTTACTCTGAACTTTTTCCTTTAGGTCCTTTCAGTGCTCTTGACTTATGCCTTAGCTAATTTTCTGCCATGATTTCAAAAGACTTACGTATTTGTACGTTTCCAGGAAGCCATCTTATTAATCAATATGGAAAGTTATTTAAAACCACAACCTCTGGTTCTTACAAATATGTGTTAGCTCTATGAAATTGATACTTGGAAAGCTCAATAACTATTTATAACTGTGGGTGATGTTGATCATGACCCATCAATAGGTCAGAGCCTTCATTGTTAATTACCTAGTTCACTAGGCTTTGTTACAGGCTGGATGGAGGTAGGTATCCCGGGAGGAATAGTCTTACAGAATAGTAGGAGAACTTACCACTTTGCTGACAAGTTGACCACCAGTCCCCACTTTGTGAGTCCTATTTTAAGTGTTGCCATCTGTTCTCAGAAAAGAATTAAAAAGGATGAGATAATCATTTAAGCCCCTGGCAACAGCAATAGCTGAGTAAGTGGTCATTTATTCATTGCCTCTGTATATCAGGCATTCTACTTCACAAGCATCCTACTAGAATCTTTAAATTATCATTATATTTAACAATTACAATTACCCTACGAGGTCATTCTTAATTCCACTTTATAGACAGAGAAGCTGGGAGTAAAAGAATGTAGGTGACTTTCCCAGGGAAGCACAGCTGGTTATTTCCAGAGCTATGATTTGAACCCAGCTCCATCAAACTCAGAAGTATTCCTCCCACTATTTCATCTCCCCAAATCTCTTTCTTTTTGCCTTCAATGTTGCCAAAAGTCATGTTTGGCATCAGGTTTAAGATTATTAAAACTTCAAACTTTCTTTTTTCAAAATCAGGCGTTCTATAAATTAAAAACAAAATCTGATTGGGATTCATCTCCTTCTCTTCCAATAGAAACAGAGTAGAGGGCATGGAATTTGAGGGAAAAGGAGGAAGAATAAATGAACAGCATATGAGCAAAGGACCTGGGGAACCCCCAAGTGACTAACAATCAAAAATAGAATTTTCTGCATGTCAGATATTGAGTCATTCGCTGCATGGCCCAATTAACCTTTCTTCTGATTCCAGATTTTGAACTTGTGTCCTTGGAGAACAAAATGCTTACCCATTGCCTTGGCTGAGTCACTTCTGTGCAGTTTTAGATGAACCCTGCTTGCACATTATTCCATTGGAAACAAGCATTTTCACAGTAGGTTAAGGACTGGGACTAAAAGAAAAGAGAAAGCTAAGATGTCCATCTGAAAACTGTCAGTGTCGTCTCAATGGAAAGTTATGATGTTTTACTTCTCTGAAAAAGCTAAAGAAAGCAATCTGGCCAGTTATAAATTTAATTTATGAAAATAATACCACAGGCCTAAATCATCCAACACTATAGCTATTGATTCTTCTTTCTAGTTCCTTGGGGAACAGTTGCTGTATTTGAGAAGGTAGAACTACAATTGTCTTACTTTGTCATTTAAATGTCATATTAGCCAAACACTGAGCACAGCTGAAGGGTTGCAAACTGACTAGGAAAGAATGGGATAGTATTTTTCATTTTTTTTTTAAATGTAATTGGTAGACAGATTTTCCTGTTGGTGAGGGCTGATTTTTTTTCCTCATTATTTCTCTCTCCTTTTATTTTCTCCACAATGTTGCATTTTCTTGGTTTTCTGTGAGGCATTAGGAAAGGATAAATCATGACGTTCTGGGTCTATGGTCTTTTTTAATCTCTCAGATTATTTTCTTTAACAGAATTGTTGGAAAGTTGGCTGTTACCTGACAGAAAATAAAACAACCAATTTTTCATCGCAAGTTAAATAAACATTGAAAAATCAGCATTCTACAAGGACCATTAGCTTATGTATCACTGTAAAATGTTTTATGACTCTTGGTATAAAGGATGCTCATATAAAAATAAATTGTGTCATAACAAACATTTCTCCCAGTCATGGTTTGTAATAGCCTTAATCTCAAATAAATCTAGGTTGAACATTGTAGTCTCCAGAAAAACTGACCTTCAGTTTCAAATAGTTGGGTTAAATCATTGTGATGATGACATAGTCTCAGATATAAGGAGATATGAACTTGTATCAGCTCCCCAGATAATCTTTTATTTAGAAGAGGAGAGATGTCTCAATGAACTGAAATTGCTCTTGAGTGAACCATTTTATTTATATATCTTCTTATTCTGACTACCAGTTCACACACAGTGCCACAGAGAATCCTGCACATAGCTCCCTAGGGTTCCTGAGAGAGCAATCCATGGAAATACATAGATTAAAAACCATGAGCAATTGCCATTTTACATCTGTCAAATTAGAAAGCATTTTTAAAGTGCAATACTGCTGCTACAATGTTGGTGAAGTGACTGGACTCATATACTACTGGTAGCAATATAATTGCTTTGGAAAGTATTTTGGCAATACATCAAGTGTTAATATACTTTGATACTACAATTACACTTCTGAGAATTTTGTGTAAGGAGTAATTTAGAAGAATTCAGAAGGCTAAGATGTTCACTGCAGAATTTTTTATACTAGTGAACAGTTAGAAACAACTACGTGCTCAACAATGGAGACTCTTAGTCAATTTTAAAAGTCTGTAATGGGTTATTTGCATGAAGTCTAATTGGCAACGTTTAAAATTTTGTGATATAGAGCTCAGTAAAAAGTACTAATTATAAGCATATAAAATTATTGCATATAGATAAGAAGCAGACTTCGCTAAAATTGTTCAGATTTAGCTGTTAAATGATATTTTAGCTTTATAATTTTTGTATTAAACAATAAGATCTAAAAACTACTTGACTGTGAAGATTAATATTAATGAAAAGATGTTTTTATTCGCACTTTCCTTAAGATGTTTTAGTTGTTCAAGTATGAATCTTTGAGACCTGAAAGTGTCAAGGATTCGGAGAATTGGCATTTATATGATCTAATTTACAAAAAAAGAAAAGAAACCAAATAAATGAACAAAAGAGAGAGACATTCTTCCAGAATAATGAAACCTCCCATTCTTGTTCTTTTGGGGATTTTTAATGTTGGCACTTGGAGTAAGAAGATCTCATCAGATAATTTAGAGAGAAGTCATTCCTTTAACATGATGAAGCAGTGTAGCTTGTGGCCATGAACCGTGAAATGTCCTGATATGAGTGGCGTAAGTAGGCTTTTTGGAAGGGGCTCTATCCCAAAGAGCCATAGGACAGAAGAAAATGTGAATATAGGTGATCCATCCCTGCTATGCTTGAATCAGATCTATAAACATTGCATAGGGAAAAAAGAAAACTTTTGGAAATAACCTAAATGCCCAACAACTGGGGATTAGTTAAATAAAGCATGGTATAGTCAGATGATGAATTATTAAGTAGGCATTGAGAGTAAAGTAGAAAAATATTAATATTAATATTAATCTGATTAAGTGTCTGCAGTAAAGTTATGTGAAAAAGGGAGATAAAAATTATGTATACAATATTAAAAAGTTGTAAACTTATCAATAGTGGTTATCTGGATGTTGGAATAATAGACAATTAATTCTCTATTCCTGTCCATATTCTTCAATTTTTTTTCTCCTATACTGTGCATTACTAAAATAATTAGGAAAAATTTTTTGCAATTATTTTTTCTTAAACTGTATGGGTACCCAAATACATAATGAATGAGCTATTGCCTGAAATAATTTAAAAAGTGGCAGCATATAAATTGCAATAAAATGAAATACAATTTTCACTGTATAAATGGAATGAAAGTCTAAAGCAGTACTCAGGTAAGGACATTTCGTTTTAATGTAACGCCAGTGAGGAGCTTGCATTTAAGTGCCAAATATTGGTATTTATGTATATGAAAGCTCTTCTTTACTCTCTTATATTTTCTTTTTTTCTAAAATTTTTTTTTTGCTAAAATTAGGGTGTCATATATACCAGAATCAATCAATTCTTCCTTCTCTCCTTCTTTTCTTTCTTTCTTCCATCCCCCTACCTTTCAATTCTGCAAAGATAGGCAAGTGAGTGAGGGTGGGTCTAGCTTAGTGTTTGCCCATATGTAAAATGTTTTGAGTTCATAAAATCCTGAAAAAATTAAAGCAGCAGACAGAAAACAGAAAAGACCCCCACTTAGATACTGATTAGCAAATAGACACAAACATTTCCTCTAAATACTTCAGTGCCTGTGATTTAAGTAGCTACTTGGGACACATTGAAGAGTCTGTTGTTAGCTTTCTGCATTCACATGATAAGAAACAAAGAATTCTTTAGGCTTGACCTTTGCAAATAGAAAATCCTGAAAACGAGAATGCTGTAATTTTTCTTTGTGAAGCTCAAACATATATTGAAAGAGATTGGCCTCGAATCTGTCACCTTCTCATCACTAAATATGGCAGCCCTGAAGTTAATTAAATAATGCAAATGCTCAAGGCGGCCTTCACTCACTCCTTTCGATGCACTGATAAATGGAGGATTTTAGTTAGGGGTTTGTTCTTGTTCTTACTCATTTTTTTACCAAAAGATTTTGTCTTTGCTTGTAATACTTGAGGATCTACACTCCCATTATCTCAATTGAGGCTAAGGGACTAAGGGATTCCCTGTCCAGTGTGTGATGGGCCAGTGTAATCATTATAAGTGATTTCAAATCAATATAATTTGGCAATAGCAAAAACTATGAGAATTTCTCCTCAACTTTTTATTGGTTTTAGGTAAATACTTATGAAGTAGAGGAAAGAAGGTAGGACATGTGAATGGAAGGAAGGAGGGAAAGAGAAAAATACTCTGAAGTCATGCAGGAAAAAATAATTTCTTTCCTTGGCCACTGAACCTGTTGATGTGGACTCATTTGTTTTTTCTCCCTTGGTGGTTTAAAAGAGAAAGCCTCACCAAAGGGTAATCAATTGATTATTATAATATTATTAGCTGGATTAAAATAATGTTATTTGTGCAGAAAACAATTCTTGCATATGTTTATTTTAAATTCCTCTGATTATGTGTTGTAATGGCTTAGCCTAGGAGTTAGCCAAAAATGATGTTTTTCTAACACAAGACTGTTGTTGAAAGACTTCTTTTTCCCTAATTATTTATTGTGATCCTAACACAACACACACCCTCCTGTTTCCTCCTTCATGCCATCATCATTTACATTTTTGTTACCTCCTTGTGGATTTGAGGGACGATATCTAATAGTACAGAACATAGCATTGCTCCAGGACCTAGCACAATGTCTTGCCTAGTGTAGGTGTTTAGTAAATATTGAATGAATTAAATTCAGAACCCTGAGGGAGAAAAGTCACAAATTTATCAAGTAATTCACAAAGAGACATATCCCTGACAGCTAATCCAGTTAAAAGTATTAAGGTAAGCTGAAACCAGAATATGTTTCAAATCATTTCTCTTCTTATAAGAGTTTTGTTACTGGCTGGAACAGTTGTTTCTTGGTATGCTGATCGAATGTGACTTGAGCCAGAAAGATTCACAATGAATAACACCAGGAGGCTTATGAATGATGTATAAAGCCAACCAGTCTAATGACAGGTAAGGCAGAGGTGAGCAGTTACTTTATTTCAGAGCAGCCAAAGTCTTGGCAATGTAATGCAACCACGGGAATAGTGAGTGGTTGTGACCAGTTTGTAGTAAACTTCTAGAATGAAACAAGCTTTAAATGTTCTGATGGATATTTGATCTTTTGTATTAATGGAGCCATTGCTTCAGATGAGCACAAATGAAAATGGCCCCTCTTGCTCCTCTAGTATTTGCCCAGGGGTTACAAGGATCAGCTAAGTGCTATGGAGGGTATTAATCACTTTTTACTTGCAGTGAAACTATATTTGTTTTTTGGTAACTAGCAATTCTAATACAGTAAAACTTCAACTACTAAATAAATATCATTAGTATTATGACTTTAATTGAAGACCAAGGTGTCACCATCTTGAAGAAAATGGTGAAAGTTTACTTTCTGTTCCCTATTGATACACCAGGGCCAACACTGATGACCTGTTAACAATAATGATATAATTTTTTTTTAATTTTTCCTGAATTTTCTTTCTAAAATCTAGGTTCGGCAACAGAATAATCAAAGGATTTATTGCTTTGCCATTCTGTGCCTAGCACTGTGAATCTCTGTAACTGACTTGATAGAAACATAGATCATAATATTTTTGGGTGGAAATGAATCACAGCTTATGGTTGCAAAAGATTCCACATGAAGCTAATGGATTGTAGACATCTGGGAATGGGAAATGATATGGTAGACTGGCTAGCTGAAGACTGGGATCTACTCCCACTGCATGTGTTTCTGTATATAAAACCAATTGCTCATGCTTCTGTTTATTCATTAAATGAAACTCTTATTTTATCAGGTGGGTTCCTTTTCAGTGGCAAGTTAAAATAAATTAGAAGAACTAGAAAGTGATGTCACAAACATGAAATACATTTTCTCCTGTGTTGTCTCCCTGTTGAAAAAACCTTTTCAAACAGATTTTTCCCTCATGGTTCCCCAAATCCAATAGGGGGGAAAAATCCAGGGTTTCTTTTCCCCTGGAGTTTGGATAAAAACTCAAGGCTTGATCTCTTTAGTCCAAATGAGGTCACCTGTCCATTCCAAGAGGCCATCACTGAGGCCAAGAGAATACCTGGGTCACAGTTCTCTACTGGAAGTGGGATTAGCTCCACATAAACTGGGTTGAGCACAGGGCGGGAATTCTTATGCTGAGGTGATTTTACCAGAAGTAGAAATTGGATGTTGTAGGCACATGACAGATATTCACTGTGCTTACTGGTAGCCAGGTCCTTTACAGATTGTTGATACAAAGACAAACATGACTTGATCTCTTTCCCTCTCTGAATCTCACCACCTGATCTTTGTTAATAATACCCTGTGGTCAATTTTTCTTACGTCATATTTCTAATATTGTCCTACCCTTCTTCAAAAATGTTTCTGGTTCTTTATCATCTATTGATTAAAATATTAACTCCTTGGTTAACTTTCTTCAATCTACCTCTCAATCCTGGCAAAAGTGACTGATTACATATCCTTGGATTTTCCTGCCTCTGTGAGTGTCCTGGAATGTCTTCCTCCATGCTAATCACTGACCATCTGAATACCGTTAAGGTGTAGTTCAGATACTGTCTTCATAAAACACCCACTGATTTCCTTCATCTACTGTCTATAGCACTTAACATGAACCTATCTTAAAGCACTTACTGTTTGTTTAACAAGTAGTGCCAAATGCTTACTATGTTCTTATTGTTTTTCTGAGTGCTTAAAAATATGTTTTTCTACTTTGTATCAGTGTTCTTGGTGCTCTTGTCTTTTATTCCCAGTAAGCGATAAGCTCAGTGAAGCCGGGATTCTTAAAGGCAATGAGTTACCTACCCATAGTGGGCAAACAACATATTTATACTGGATAAATACATGTTAATCCAATTTGCACATTTATTGAGCACTAGCACTTCAAACCTAAGAGAGTAGGGCCCTATTTTCTTTCAAATCTCTCTCTGCACATAGTATGGTGACATATATGTGTTAGGCATTCAATAAACATTTGCTAGGCCTCTAAATGTGATGGAAATTTCAAATATCCAGATATCTAAGAATGAGCCATTTCCTTTTGTTTTACATTCTTCAGTCTTTAGGCATCATTTTTGAAACCTCTTGTCATTTTGCTCTTCCTAACAGTTTTTACAAGAATGTCTAAGTTCTACTTTCTAAGTTGAGCAGGATTTGGGTCCCCTTTTTTTTTTTTAACAACAGGGACATTTTCAGCAATTGCAAATGCCTATGCTATTGAGCCATTGCTAAAATACTGGGTTTTATAAAGTGCTTCTAAGGGCCAAAGAGCTTTGCTGGCCCATGGTCTGTGCAGGTGTTCATGAGTTAAAGCATTCAATGGCCCTAGCAAACATGACATTTAAGGAGGTAAGCATTGATTTGTAGAGTCACTTTCAAGTACAATAGAACATCTTGCCTTCATTTGTGAGTTTCTTGTTTGAAATGGCCGACATTTTAGGTGTTTCCATGTAGAAATTTTGTCTAAAATATGTAAAGCATAAATGGGTAAAAGAAAAGATTCATTTACTTGATCTCATCCATGCTGGACAAGGACAAGGCTTCCATGTTGTCTTTCTATTCTGAACAAGAGATTGGAAGCCTTTCTCTCTCTTTTTTCTTTTCTGTTCTTTTCTTTTCAGTTTTCCTCTTTTGTCGTTTCTCTTCATGAATAACTTTTCAACCAAGTTAGATGAATGCCAATAGCTGTCAATTGCCACTGACAACTAGAATGGCCTTGGTGATCTGTGTGAGAACAATTTTAGGGAAGTGGTGAAGGCAGAAGCCAGATGACAGTGGATGAACAGTTGACTCAGTAGTCTGGTGAGTGAGATGTGAGCTCCGGAAAGGGACCACCCAAGCTAAAACCCAGACTCTGCTACTCACTAGCTGCTGACAATAGGCATGTTACCAAAGCGCTCACTCTCCCTGCCTCAATCTTTTCCTCTATAAAATGGGAATAAAAATAGAACTATCTCAAGGTTGTTATGAGTAGTAAATGAGTTCACGTGGATAAGATGCTTAGAACAATGCCAGTTTCATTATAAGTACTCGGTAAAAATTAGCTGTTGTTTTTGGTGCACGTGCGAAGACAGCAAGTTGAGACTACTTTTGAAGCTTAATTATGAAAATTGGAGAGAAAAACGAGGCCAGAGGTAGATACAGGCCAGGAATTAGGTGAAAGGTGATTATTTTATATTCTGGGGGAAAAGAAGTGGCTCTCGGAGAGTGACAGATTACAAATGGGGGAAGAAGGATTAATTGATGGAGTAATAGTGCTGAAAGGCGAGTGAGGATGGAATTCAGAGAAGAGGTGAATAGATGGATGGATAAATCTTGGATAGAAGGGGCTTCTTGTTCTCTAAGGCTGAGGCTAAAGTGGAGGTAATAAGGAGGAAAGGCTAAGAATGCATGTCTTTGTGGGTGGGGAGTAGAGAGTTGAAAGGATTGAACCCTAACAGCTTACTGTCTCTGTGAAATAGAAACAAGCTCATCTGATGGGAGACAAGAGGTTTCAGAGTGAGGAATAGAGTAGAACTCATAAATGAAGGAGAAGTCACACAGCAGTAACTCCTAGAGACCCGATGACACTAGCCAGAATGTATAGTCTAACCAAAGGATTGAGAAGTCAGGTATGATAAGAAATTGTGCTCACACAGTGAGACACTGGCATTTGCTTCCACAGGTGGGACATTTCTAGGTGGTGACAAATCTGAGATGAACCATTTGAAAATTTTTGTGGTCTGCAGTGTACAGCTTGAACTTAAAAAATATTTTTACCACAAATAAATGATTGATTATATTCATACCTTTCTTGAGTTATTAAATTATCTTCTGTTTCCTATACATTTGCAGTGCTATTGGGATGGTAGACTTTCAGAGTTGAATTATATCCTGCCTCTATTCCACCTAATGCATCCTTGAGAATAGTTATAGATGGGAAAGTCACATTTTATTGTGCTTATCATGTTATTCTTTAGTAGACATTCCATTAATGTAGAAACATACATGGTGTGATACGGATTTTATCTTGTGATGATCAGATGAAAAGCCCTCCTTTCCTGCATACTCTTTTGCAATGTTATTTCATCACTCTTCCCATCAAGAGGTGGAGTCTACATTTCCTCCTATTGAATCTGAGCCAGGCTTGGAATTAGTTTAACCAGGATAAGGCAAAAGTAGCACAGTGTGACTTCTGTGCCTAAACCTTAAGATACATTGCACTTTTCATTTTTGCCATGTTAGAATCCTGAGCTAACAAGAAAAAAAAAAGCTTTAATTTCCCTGGCCTGCCAGAGAGAAAGGCCAGGTAGACAGAGACCCAGGGGATGAAAAACCATAGAAAGAGATAGGGTGAGACAGTGAGACAGCATCAACGAGTTCAATCACCCCAACAGAGACATTGGACATGTTAGTAGGACCAGCTTGCCTCAGTCAACACATGTGGCACAGAGACAAACCATTGCCATAGAGCCTCCCCACAATGCAGAATTGTGAGCAAAAACATGGGGACTGTCACTTTAAGCAGAATAGTTTTGAGAGCTTTATTATGCTGCAATAGGGCATGAAAAGAAAGAGCCTCAAAGCAGAGAGACAAATTACAAGACCACTGGCATAATCCAGATGTCAGGCAATGAGCTGGAAAGTATAGAGAGAAAGGTAGAGGAAAATGTGGGAGAGCAGTAGGTGGCAAGGTTCAGCGGGACCTCATGATTGGATCTGGGACAAAGGAGAAAGAGAAATAAAGATTACTATGACACTCTGTTTCTAGGAAAATAAGATTGTGAACAGCAATATGGTCTAGATAAAGAACTGGATTTTGGGGGAAGATAAGTCCAATTGGCAGTTGTTATTTCTTGATGTGATACCACAACTTCTATGTAAAACACTCCTAAGCAGCTGGAGATACAGACCAGAAGCAAAGGATGGAGTCAGGTGATTAGAATAGCTATTAACTGTTTTTGTTTCAAACAAAAAGATGCAGTCAGCTCTACTTCCCTGTTGTTCCAGCCTAAAGGGTGTTTTCTAATTTCCTTCTAACTCCTATATTGAGTAGGAAAGGTAGAGATGTCAAGAGAAGGCGGAAGAGAGAAAGAGAGGAGAGGGAGAGGACTCTTGTGAAGAGAAAAAGCCAACTCGCATCCTGTGGGATTGCACCTTATTTTAGTTGCACCTCTTGGAAGCTTCACTGCTTATGTAAAAATAAGAAAAGCAACATACACGCTCAACTAAAATTATCGTCATTCAAGAGTCCTCCCTTTAAATAGCACCAAATGAAAATAAGAAACCCTAACCTCAGCTTTTTAAATCACAATGGAAGGATAAGAGATGCTTTCCATTTATGGGATCTTAGAACCTTCAAAATGGTGCTACTTTTGTTCCGTGTGTGCATAGGGAGGAAGCTGGGAATGCTGAGGTGGCGAGGTTTCACCTGGCAGTCAGGATTGCTACTTCCCACTCACCAAGTTGTGCAATATTTGCAAGAAGAGCAAAAAATAAAAGATAGTGTCTCTTTAAAAGGGAGACAGTGTAGTTTAAAGAGGCTACAGTGTAGTGTAGCGGCTTACGCTCTGTGGTCAGCAAGAACTGAGTTTAGGTCCTTGTCCCATCACTTACTAACTGTGAGACCCTGGATACAATATCAACTCCTAAAAACCTCAGTCACTTCAGCTGTAAAATAGGGAGAATGCTGTATACTGGGGTTGTTTTGAAGAGTAAAGCAGAATATGTATGAAAAGCACTTAGTCTGGTAAGGGCACAAGTTACTAAGTGGTAACTATAGTCATTGGAATTAGTAATTTGGGACTTTCACATATTTGGCTTATCATTGAGACTATTTTCCAGGAATGTTTACAATAAGAAACTTGGGCCAACTGCATTTTAGTCAAGGATTAAAATGTAACAAATGTGTAATATTATATTATGTAACAGCAGATGATTTTAAAATTTACAAGTGTCATTAAGATTTCTCTCCTAGGGTACAAATGTTGTTGTTTCACAGAATTTTTAAAAATTATTTTATTTATTTTTTATTCTACTTTTATCTCTGGGATACATGTGCAGAACTTGCAGACCTGCCACATAGGCATACACGTGGCATGGTGGTTTGCTGCACCCATCAACCCATCATCTACATTAGGTATTTCTCCTAATGCTGTCCCTCCCTTAGCCCCCAGCCCCCGACAGGCCCCGCTGTGTGATGTTCCCCTCACTGTGTCCTTCTGTTCTCATTGTTCAACTCCCACTTATAGGTGAGAACATGCGGTGTTTGGTTTTCTGTTCTTGTGTTAGTTTGCTGAGAATGACGATTTCCAGCTTCATCCATGTCCCTGCAAAGGAAATGAACTCATCCTTTTTTATGGCTGCATAGTATTTCATGGTGTATATGTGCCACATTTTCCTTATCCAGTCTATCATTGATGGGCATTTGGGTCGGAATTTTTATAAAACTTCAAGCAAACCGAAACTGACATACTGGCTACTTATTTTTTTTCTTCATAATTCTGGATGTCAGAAAATGAACAATGTTCTAATGCAGAAGGCAAACTTTCTATGAAGGACCAGACAGTAAATATTTTAGCTTTGCAGGCCACATACGATCTCTATCACATACTTCTTTGTTATTTCTTACAACCCTTTTAAATGTGTAAAAACTATTCCTAGCTCATACAAAAACAGGCTATTGGTGGGATTTGCCTCATAGACTGTAGTTTGCTGACCCCTGCTCTAGTATAAATTTGTCTTGTTTATTACTAGAGTGCTTATGCCAGTAAGTATTTTTTAAAAGAGAGAGAAAATGCATTAAGTAAATAACATTTAAGTGATTCTTTTTCTGATTCAGACATTTTCTGGGATGAAATGAGACCATTGATCATTTTATTTGATGGAATAGAACTGTTTTTCATTGCAGTGCAATGAGGTTAGGTATGATTTTGAGGACTGGGGACCATTCAGCACATTAGTTCTGAACCATATCCTTGTGCTTTGCAGAATTTTTTTCTCTTCCTCAGAGGAGCAGTTTGAATACAGGGCTTTATGGCATCAGGCATAAGCTGCCATTAAAACCTTCAACTGAAAATTGTGCTGCCCTTTATGAAAATGAGCAGCTGGTCAGCCGGACCATCGCCCACCCTCAGCTCTACTCATGTTGTGTACAAGTAGCTTGAATAGCCCTTCATGAGCAGGTCTTCTACAGACATTTTCCTATCAGTGTTGGGAGGGAAAGCCAGACCAGCAGCTAGTGTTTCTTTCAGCCTGTGTTGTGCCTTGGCATCTGACTCTCTGTGGACCCAGGAGTGAAATATCTTCCTGGAAGTGGTGATCCAGGTTAGTCTTGTCTCTCTGACTCATGTCCCAAGTTGCTTCCATAGAGATACCTGTGGCATCTTTTCCCCCTTTACTCTGTTTTCCTGAATTTCCCTCTATTTTTCACTGACTACAAAGATAAAGAAAAAGAAGAAACAATTTTAAAACATATAAAGTACTTTGAAATATTTATCCTTGGATAACTGGAGACTAGATCACATTCTTATCTTTTCATCCAGCATTTTTTTTTTTGGTGAATACCATATTATGTGTTTAAAAAGACATATGGAGACCTGACTCACACTCTGAATCTTCCAATTTTCCATTGACCACATTCTTAATGCCCTGAGAACACAAGGTCAGGCAAAGGAGCCTCTCAGCTGAGGTCCTGGCCCCAGGCCCTAAACAGGTCTTCTGTGAGCCAGGCCACAGAGTTCCTTTTGGTTGGGGTCAGTCTTAGCAGAATGTAGATCCTGGAGCAAATTTGGTCAAGCAGCTTCCTTTGCTCCCATCACCCTAAGCCTGCACTGGGGCCTGACTTCTGGCATCTCACCAATCCAGTCATGAGGGATGGCTGGCTCAGAAAGAGCACCTTGTCAAGGAAGAAGCAGCTCAAGATCACGAAAGCCCAAGCACATTTGTCCCTGTGCCCAGAACAGAGCTAGACTGGTCTGCCTCTCCCTGCATTCTTGGGGCTCTTCACTCTGTGTATTCTCAGGGCAAGGGTTGTACCAAGGGAGAGCACACTGTCCAGCCTCCTCTCACCAATTCATTCAGTCATTTACCCACTCAATACAGATTTAGTGAGTATCTGTCATATGCCAGACACAGTTCTAAGTACTGAAGACACAGAAGTCTTTGCTCATTTTACTCCATAACTTGCTCTGAAGAGGTGCCTCCAAGGATCTTACTCTTTCATGGGCTCTGTTCTCGATCACTTTTGCTCAGTATTGTGAAACCTATGGGCCTGTGATCAGAAAAAAAATGTCTTTAAACCAGTCTAATCCATGTCAAGGTCCTCTTTGGAAGGGGAGTAGCAAGGACTGGTGAGAAGGGAGCTGTGAGTGCTTCTTGAATGTAGGACCTGCTCCTTACTGGGGAGAATAGCTCACTCATTTCTACCTTCCTCCAGGTCTCATGAACATGCACAGTCCTGTGTGTTGCATCTCCTAATCTCATCTGATTCTCTGCTGTTTGCCTGGTCTTGGACTAATTTCCCTTTAGCCCACATGATGATCTTTAAGTTAAGTCTCAGCCTATTTAGACTCAGGCTGCCTCACTCACCTTGCAGTTGCCATCTTTATTATATTATGGCAGTCAAAGGTTATTTTGTTTGGACAGAGAAGTTACTCTACTGTATGGTGGACTACCTGTCCTGAACGTTCGCAAACATATCCTTTTGTTTTCTGGAGTTCCTCCTGGTTTGTTTTCTGATGGATTTCTGTTGACTCCCAGATTGAACCAATGTTTATCCTGTGTTTGGTGTATCAGGCTTTTCTGTTCTGGTTGATTTCCTGTAGCTAATTTCTAGGGAGACTTCAATTCCTCACTGAAGTCAAGTTCCTTGTCATAGAGGCCCAGTATTTCTAACTCCCATTCAGACAGAAAATTTGTTTTTATTACCCACAAGAGAAAATGATCTGGCTTTCCTGCTCTAAAGATACCCCTAGTACTACTATTTTTTCCAGTCTTGTGTTTTCAGATATTTTTCTTTAATTGACCTTCTCTATGGTCAGATTCGTGACTGTATTCCTTCCCCTAGTTTATTAATTCTTTTTTTTTTTTTTTTTTTTGAGATGAAGTCTCACTCTGTCTCCCAGGCTGGAGTGCAGTGGCTCGATCTTGGCTCACTGTAAGCTCTGCCTCCTGGGTTCATGCCATTCTCCTGCCTCAGCCTCCTGAGTAGCTGGGACCACAGGTGCCCGCCACCACGCCCGGCTAATTTTTTTGTATTTTTAGTAGAGACGGGGTTTCACTGTGTTAGACAGGATGGTCTCGATCTCCTGACCTTGTGATCTGCCCACCTTGGCCTCCCAAAGTGCTGGGATTACAGGCGTAACCCACCATGCTCTGCCTTATTAATTTCTAAGAGTCTTCCTAGAACACTGTAAGTATGCTTAACCTGGTATTATAGAGACATGTAACAGAACTAAATACTTTCCACTCCACAAAAGAAGAGGCTATTTTGAACTACATGTATCTTCACAGAGGTTACTCCAGTAAGTAACTTGTGGAAGGGAGGGTCATTGGAATATGGAAACAGACAAAATAAAATCTGTTCCCTTTTCCTCAAACCTCACATAGCCTCATACAATTAAATGAGATCTTGGTTACCTCTCAGCCTGTAAAGATTCCCCTGAGTGTGTATGTGTCAACTCCTGTCTTGGTTCATTTTATGCTGCTATAACAGAATACTGACTGGGTAATTTATAATGATCAGGCTGCGTGACTTATGATGAACAGAAATATATTTGGGTTATGGTTCTGGAGGCTGAGAAGTCCAAGAGCATGCTGGTGGTATCTTGTGAGGGCCTTCTTGCCATGTCATAACATGGCGGAAGCCATCAAACGGAGTAGAGAGAACATGCGCAAGGGTGGGATAGAAGGGGGCCAAACTCATCCTTTTATCAGAAACACACTCCCATGATAACTCATTTCCCTAGCAACGGTATTAATCCATTCCTGAAAACAGAGCCCTTATGATTGTACTGCCCCTTAAAGGTCTCACCTCTCATCCCTGTTGCATTGAGGATTAAGTTTCCAACAGATGAACTTTGGGGGACATATTCAAATCATAGCAACTCCTTATTACCCAAATTTATCATTATACTGGTCAACCTACACATTACAAATTTACATTTAAAAAAAGTAATTAAGATTTGCTAAACTTAAAAGATTTATAAGCTGTAAAAAAAATCAAAAACAAAAACAAAAAAATAAAAAGCAAATAATCTTTAAAAAATATGTACATTTTTTAAATACAATGTACTGACCTGAAAGTAGTCAAGTTATCTATAGCTACTGGTTGATAAAGGCAACAGAATTGACAGCTCCCACGTCTGTAATTAAATGTGTGAAACTAACAAATGGAAATAATAGAGAAAGATTATTTTTCTTTACTGGTCATGTTGTGACATCAATTTGTTTTAAATGATGAGAAAAGAACTTAAAGGATTTGCTTTTTATTATAGTGCAAATTAATATTCAACTACTGAACTGAAATAGATTTGCATAAGAGTTATCACTATCAATAATCATTTGAAATTCATTTTTCCCAGATAAATTAGAATCTCCAGTGATAACAAGCAAGAGTTATCTCCTGCATTTTTGAAAAAAGGTTAAAATAATAGCTATTTCCTATAACTAGATCTTGAGATTGGACATAAACCTTATACGTGCAACTTTCCTTATCTGATTTTAAGTTTCCTTTAACTGTAAACATGAGCTAATGCCACATGAAACTAGGAAAATACGATGGAATTTGAAAATGATGTTAGATAGATAAAAGTAAGGAAATCCTAGATTTGAATGACATGGAAATGTCACCTAGTTCAGTCTCCTGTAGGGGTACATAGTGCCTCTAGCTGCTATCATCCTTAATGATCTCCAAGGAAGAAAGTAGATAAAGATCCTTTCATCATCAGTTGTAGGACTGCCCTCAACCCTGCCCCAAATATTAGATCTTTGAACTCTCTTTTAGCAGTAAATGTTATGTAGGTATTAATATATATCTTAAATAACATATATGACAGAGATGATAGAGGTAATAATAATAAGTAATCACTCTCCTTATTACTCTGAAAATATTGTATATAGCAGTAATATCAACCACAATCAAAATGCCATATATTGAGTATTTGAATGGGCTAGACTCTCCTCTGATCCTTTTTTTAAAAGCATCATTCCACTAGTTTCCATTGCTATTATCCATGAAGAAATAGAGACTTAGAGAAGATAAGTAATTGGCTCATTTCCACAGTTTGTAAGGGACAGAGTTGTAATTCAGGAGCAGACCACATACTTCAAACCCTCCTGACCTTGCATCATCATACAGTAACTGTGTATCTATTGAAAATCTCTAGTTAGGTCCCTTCTGAGCTTTCTGATCTTTGAATTAATTATTTTCCATTTCTAACATTTGGCCATAGTGTCATTTTCCAGCATTAGTCACTTACAAAGATGTAGGATGTGCTATTATTTTAAATCCACATTCATCAAGAAAATAGGCCTAATTGGAGGGAATTAAGGTAGCTGCAATTTCCTGATGATTAAGCACTAGAATATGTTGCTAGGAGAAACTGGAGAATTTTCTTTTTTGAAAGTCTGAAAGAAAAGTACAAATAAGGTTTCAACAAACTCTAACTTGAACCCCAGTTTCCTGATTTGCTAAATGAATGGTTTAGAGTAGGTGATCTCCCTTGGGTCTCCCCAACCCTAACAACCCACAAGTCTGTAACTTTAAGTAGCAATTGGATGTTATAACCTCTCAAGGTCATTTTTAGACTTCTATATTTTGCTTCAATGATTCTTGACTCTCTTTGGTTCAGCTCCACATTCTGGAGTTTCTTTCAAATGGAGATCTCATAAGAGCTATTATTTAACAGTATCCCAAATGTGCAATGTACAGAATTAAATACAACCATGCATTTAAGACTTTAACAATCATAGTTCATCAGCACTATGTGTTCTTTCTCCTATTTGATTAAGGTTAAACAACAAGATGATGTTTCCTCATTGGGTAGCATTTTAAAGTGTATTGTGTATGTGACAGATGAGATCTTATAAATGCATTAGGCATGCTTATTTTAATATCTAAGCATATGCAAAAGTTCTAGAAATATTTTACATGCAAATGTCTGGGGCTCCACTAGGGCCCATAATAGAACTCCATACTCTGTGACTTCAAAGCCCTAGTCTCGACAACTAATCACTTGGCTATTTCCAAATCAAATTTCTTCAAACAAATCAAAGGCATTTGTCCTACCCAAAAACCAAGTTCTGTGGCAAGTTTCACATTTCAAAATCAAGCTGCTTATTGAGATATTCATGCACTGAAAAAGGCACACAGAATTTCCTTTAGGAGATGAGACACACCTTTTTATGCTCCAATGAATTAGAAATTTCTCAAAGAGAATTTTAACAAATTTTCTTTACACACACACACACACACACACACACACATGCACTTCATCTTAGCAGTAAAAGCCAAGATTCAGAATTTCAGCCCAAGAGATCTTTCATTTTCTGAAAGGTTATGAGCCCCTGAGATTTCATTCCTTTCAGAGTCATAATTACTGTGTTGCTTCTGAGTTGTTAACAATAACACTGATTAAAAGGAAGACAAAAAAAAGAAGAGATCGTTCACATACCCGTATTAAGTGGCTTCACAAACTAGGAGTATTTTTAACACCACAACATTTGTGGTAAGTACAACAAAGTGTGTAATTCACTGGGAAGCAGAACAGAAAAGATGGGAATGATAATGTCAAATAACTCACTTTACCCAGGGCTCCCTGTGGGCAAGGCACTGGGCCAAGTCCTCCACAGGCATTGTTGCATTTAATACAACAATTTTTAACAATTTTTAATAAAAGCCCTCCAATGAGGCACTTTTACTGTAGCATTTTTACCCATGAGGAAACTGAGGTTCAGAGAAGTTGAATAACTTGACAAGAGTCACCCAGACTCCCAAGCCTCTGTTCTTAATTGCTCAACTATGCTACTGCCTTTTCTTTTATTTTTATTATTATTATTATACTTTAAATTCTAGGGCACATGTGCACAATGTGCAGGTTTGTTACATATGTATACATGTGCCATGCTGGTGTGCTGCACCCATTAACTCATCATTTACATTAGTTATATCTCCTAATGCTATCCCTCCCCCCTCCCCCCACCCCACCAGAGGCCCGGGTGTGTGATGTTCCCCTTCCTGTGTCCATCTGTTCTCATTGTTCAATTCCCACCTATGAGTGAGAACATGTGGTGTTTGGTTTTTTGTCCTTGCGACAGTTTGCTGAGAATGATAGTTTCCAGCTTCATCCATGTCCCTACAAAGGACATGAACTTATCCTTTTTATGGCTGCATATTGTTCCATGGTGTATATGTGCCACATTTTCTTAATCCAGTCTATCACTGATGGACATTTGGGTTGGTTCCAAGTCTTTGCTGTTGTGAATAGTGCCGCAATAAACATACGTGTGCATGTGTCT
This sequence comes from Homo sapiens, assembly GCF_000001405.40. Classification (NCBI taxonomy): domain Eukaryota; kingdom Metazoa; phylum Chordata; class Mammalia; order Primates; family Hominidae; genus Homo; species Homo sapiens. The sequence continues at coordinate 76,483,201 of NC_000001.11, forward strand.
TTATAGCAGCATGATTTGTAATCCTTCGGGTATATACCCAGTAATGGGATGGCTGGGTCAAATGGTATTTCTAGTTCTAGATCCCTGAAGAATCGCCATACTGTCTTCCACAATGGTTGAACTAGTTTACAGTCCCACCAACAGTGTAAAAGTGTTCCTATTTCTCCACATCCTCTCCAGCACTTGTTCTTTCCTGATTTTTTAATGATTGCCATTCTAACTGGTGTGAGATGGTATCTCATTGTGGCTTTGATTTACATTTCTCTGATGGCCAGTGATGATGAGCATTTTTTCATGTGTCTGTTGGCTGCATAAGTGTCTTCTTTTGAGAAGTGTCTGTTCATATCCTTTGCCCACTTTTTGATGGGGTTGTTTGTTTTTTTCTTGTAAATTTGAGTTCTTTGTAGATTCTGGATATTAGCCCTTTTTCAGATAAGTAGATTGCAAAAATTTTCTTCCATTCTGTAGGTTGCCTGTTCACTCTGATGGTAGTTTCTTTTGCTGTGCAGAAGCTCTTTAGTTTAATTAGATCCTATTTGTCAGTTTTGGCTTTTGTTGCCATTGCTCTTTGTGTTTTAGACATGAAGTCCTTGCCCATGCCTATGGCCTGAATGGTATTGCCTAAGTTTTCTTCCAGGGTTTTTATGGTTTTAGGTCTAACATTTAAGTCTTCAATCCATCTTGAATTAATTTTTGTATACGGTGCAAGGAAGGCATCCAGTTTCAGCTTTCTACATACGGCTAGCCAGCTTTCCCAGCACCATTTATTAAATAGGGAATCCTTTCCCCATTTCTTGTTTTTGTCAGGTTTGTCAAAGATCAGATGGTTGTAAATGTGTGGTATTATTTCTGAGGGCTCTCTTCTGTTCCATTAGTCTATATGTCTGTTTTGGTACCAGTACCATGCTGTTTTGGTTACTGTAGCCTTGTAGCAGAGTTTGAAGTCAGGTAGCATGATGCCTCCAGCTTTGTTCTTTTGGCTTAGGATTGACTTGGCAATGTGGGCTCTTTTTTGGTTCCATATGAACTTTAAAGTAGTTTTTTCCAATTCTGTGAAGAAAGTCATTTGTAGCTTAATGGGGATGGCATTGAATCTATAAATTACCTTGGGCAGTATGGCCATTTTCACAATATTGATTCTTCCTATCCATGAGCATGGAATGTTCTTCCATTTGTTTGTGTCCTCTTTTATTTCGTTGAGCAGTGGTTTGTAGTTCTCCTTGAAGAGGTCCTTCACATCCCTTGTAAGTTGGATTTCTAGGTATTTTATTCTCTTTGAAGCAATTGTGAATGGGAGTTCACTCATGATTTGGCTCTCTGTTTGTCTGTTATTGGTGTATAAGAATGCTTGTGATTTTTGCACATTGATTTTGTATCCTGAGACTTTGCTGATGTTTCTTATCAGCTTAAGGAGATTTTGGGCTGAGACAATGGGGTTTTCTAAATATACAATCATGTCATCTGCAAACAGGGACAATTTGACTTCCTCTTTTCCTAACTGAATACCCTTTCTTTCTTTCTCCTGCCTGAATGCCCTGGCCAGAACTTCCAACACTATACTGAATAGGAGTGGTGAGAGACGCATCCCTGTCTTGTGCCAGTTTTCAAAGGGAATGCTTCCAGTTTTTGCCCATTCAGTATGATATTGGCTGTGGGTTTGTCATAAATAGCTCTTATTATTTTGAGATACATCCCATCAATACTTAATTTATTGAGAGTTTTTAGCATGAAAGGCTGTTGAATTTCGTCAAAGGCCTTTTCTGCATCTATTGAGATAACCATGTGGTAGTTGTCTTTGGCTCTATTTATATGCTGGATTACGTTTATTGATTTGCATACGTCAAACCAGCCTTGCATCCCAGGGAAGAAGCCCACTTGATCATGGTGGATAAGCTTTTTGATGTGCTGCTGGATTCGGTTTGCCAGTATTTTACTGAGGATTTTTGCATCGATGTTCATCAGGGATATTGGTCTAAAATTCTCTTTTTTTGTTGTGTGTCTACCAGGCTTTGGTATCAGGATGATGCTGGCCTCATAAAATGAGTTAGGGAGGTTTCCCTCTTTTTCTATTGATTGGAATAGTTTCAGAAGGAATGGTACCAGCTCCTCCTTGTACCTCTGGTAGAATTAGGCTGTGAATCCATCTGGTCCTGGACTTTTTTTGGTTGGTAGGCTATTAATTATTGCCTCAATTTCAGAGCCTGTTATTGGTCTATTCAGGGATTCAACTTCTTCCTGGTTTAGTCTTGGGAGGATGTATGTGTCCAGGAATTTATCCATTTCTTCTAGATTTTCTAGTTTATTTGCATAGAGGTGTTTATAATATTCTCTGATGGTTGTTTGTATTTCTGTGGGATCAGTGGTGATATCCCCTTTATGATTTTTTATTGTGTCTATTTGATTCTTCTCTGTTTTCTTCTTTATTAGTCTTGCTAGTGATCTATCAATTTTGTTGATCCTTTCAAAAAACTAGCTCCTGGATTCATTGATTTTTTTGAAGGGTTTTTTGTGTCTCTATCTCCTTCAGTTCTTCTCTGATCTTAGCTATTTCTTGCCTTCTGCTAGCTTTTGAATGTGTTTGCTCTAGCTTCTGTAGTTCTTTTAATTGTGATGTTAGGGTGTCCATTTTAGATCTTTCCTGCTTTCTCTTGTGGACATTTAGTACTATAAATTTCCCTCTACACACTGCTTTGAACGTGTCCCAGAGATTCTGGTATGTTGTGTCTTTGTTCTCATTGGTTTCAAAGAACATCTTTATTTCTGCCTTCATTTTGTTATGCACCCAGTAGTCATTCAGGAGCAGGTTGTTCAGTTTCCATGTAGTTGAGCAGTTTTGAGTGAGTTTCTTAATCCTGAGTTCTGGTTTGATTGCACTGTGATCTGAGAGACAGTTTGTTATAATTTCTGTTCTTTTACATTTGCTAAGGAGTGCTTTACTTCCAACTATGTGGTCAATTTTGGAATAAGTGCGATGTGGTGATGAGAAGAATGTATATTTTGTTGATTTGGGGTGGAGATTTCTGTAGATGTCTATTAGGTCTGCTTGGTGCAGAGCTGAGTTCAATTCCTGGATATCCTTGTTAACCTTCTGTCTCATTGATCTGTCTAATGTTGACAGTGGGGTGTTAAAGTCTCCCATTATTATTGTGTGGGAGTCTAAGTCTCTTTGTAGGTCTCTAAGGACTTGCTTTATGAATCTGGGTGCTCCTGTATTGGGTGCATATATATTTAGGATAGTTAGCTCTTCTTGTTGAATTGATCCCTTTACCATTATGTAATGGCCTTCTTTGTCTCTTTTCGTCTTTGTTGGTTTAAAGTCTGTTTTATCAGAGACTAAGATTGCAACCCTTGCCTTTTTTTTGTTTTCCCTTTGCTTGATAGATCTTCTGCCATCCCTTTATTTTGAGCCTATATGTGTCTCTGCATGTGAGATGGATCTCCTGAATACAGCACACTGGTGAGTCTTGACTCTTTATCCAATTTGCCAGTCTGTGTCTTTTAATTGGGGCATTTAGCCCATTTACATTTAAGGTTAATATTGTTATGTGTGAATTTGATCCTGTCATTATGATGTTAGCTGGTTATTTTGCTCGTTAGTTGATGCAGTTTCTTCCTAGCCTCGATGGTCTTTACAATTTGGCATGTTTCTGCAGTGGCTCGTACCGGTTGTTCCTTTCCATGTTTAGTGCTTCCTTCAGGAGCTCTTTTAGGGCAGGCCTGGTGGTGACAAAATCTCTCAGCATTTGCTTGTCTGTAAAGGATTTTATTTCTCCTTCATTTGTGAAGCTTAGTTTGGCTGGATATGAAATTCTGGATTGAAAATTCTTCTCTTTAAGAATGTTGAATATTGGCCCCTACTCTCTTCTGGCTTGTAGAGTTTCTGCCAAGAGATCAGCTGTTAGTCTGATAGCCTTCCCTTTGTGGGTAACCCGACCTTTCTCTCTGGCTGCCCTTAACATTTTTTCCTTCATTTCAACTTTGGTGAAACTGACAATTATATGTCTTGGAGTTTCTCTTCTAAAGGAGTATCTTTGTGGTGTTTTCTGCATTTCCTGAATTTGAATGTTGGCCTGCCTCGCTAGGTTGGGGGAGTTCTCCTGGATAATATCCTGCAGAGTGTTTTCCAACTTGGTTCCATTCTCCCCGTCACTTTCAGGTACACCAATCAGACATAGATTTGGTCTTTTCACATAGTCCCATATTTCTTGGAGGCTTTGTTCATTTCTTTTTGCTCTCTTTTCTCTAAACCTCTCTTCTCGCTTCATTTCATTCATTTGATCTTCAATCACTGTTACCCTTTCTTCCAGTTGATCGAATCGGCTACTGAAGCTTGTGCATTCATCGCGTAGTTCTCGTGCCATGGTTTTCAGCTCCATCAGGTCATTTAAGGACTTCTCTACATTGGTTGTTCTAGTTAGCCATTTGTCTAATCTTTTTTCAAGGTTTTTAGCTTCTTTGAGATGGGTTCGAACTTCCTCCTTTAGCTTGGAGAAGTTTGATCATATGAAGCCTTCTTCTCTCTACTTGTCAAAGTCATTCTCCATCCACCTTTGTTCCGTTGGCTGGCGAGGAGCTGTGTTACTTTGGAGGGGGAGAGGCACTCTGATTTTCAGAATTTTCAGCTTTTCTGCTCTGTTTTTCCCCCATCTTTGTGGTTTTGTCTACCTTGGTCTTTGATGATGGTGATGTACAGATGGGGTTTTGGTGTGGGTGCCCTTTCTGTTTGTTAGTTTTCCTTCTAACAGTCAGGACCCTCAGCTGCAGGTCTGTTGGAGTTTGCTGGAGGTCAACTCCAGACCCTGTTTGCCTGGGTATCAGCAGCGGAGGCTGCAGAACAGAGAAGAATAAAACCAGAAGTCCTGGGAAGAAGAGTGATATAGTCTGGATATTTGTCCCTGCCCAAATCTCATGCTGAAATATAATCCCCCATGTTGGAGCTAGGGCCTGGTGGAAGGTGTTTGGATGATAAAGACTGATCCTTCATGAATGGCTTGGGACATCCCCTTTGTGGTAAGTGAGATCTTGCCAAGTTCACATGAGATCTGGTCATTTAAAAGTGTGTGGCACCTCCACCCCCACTCTCTCTCATTTGCTCCTGCTTTTGTCATGTGATGTGCCGGCTACCCCTTCACCTTCTGTGTTGATTGTTAAGTTTTCTGAGGCCTCCCTAGAAGCCAACCAGGCGCTAGCACCATGCTTCCTGTAAAGCCCGCAAAACCATGAGCCGATTAAAACACTTCTCTTTATAAATTACCCAATCTCAGGTATTTCTTTACAGCAATGCAAAAACAGCCAATACAAAGTGGTAACTAACAACATGAAAACCAGGGTAAGCTTAGATCCATGCTGTATTTATACAGGCTGGCCCAGAGCCAACACTTAATACATATTTGTTGAATAAATAAATTCATGGGTGAATTCAAGACATTGTAAAATAATTTATGGGGCATACTGGCCCTTTGACCCCCACTAGTCATCCAGTCCATTCCAGCATCTGTCAGTTAGTTGTCCATGAGTCTGTAATGGAACCTGGCTTCCACTCCCAGAGCCAGCTCTGCACAAATTTGTGAAGAACAAAATGCCTACCTGGCAGCCTCTACCTTCTCTTGTTCTTTGCTGGGACTGCTATTTTCCAAGCCTGTGTTCTCTTTCACGCTGGCCATTGACTGTCCAGAACTGGCTGTTGACTGTCCAGCAGGCCCAGGGCAAGCTCCACTCATAGAAATTGTGTGATCATCTTTCTTCTTCCTTTCTTTTCTCTATTCCAGTCAGAATTTCAGCATTTCTGGAAGCAATTGCTTGTTTGCTTATCTGCCTTCTTCTTCACACAGTAAGATATGTGAAGACAGGAGCTGCATCATTATTATATCTCCAGTGCCTGGCATCGTACTTGGAAAAAAGTAGTTGTTTAGTCAACATTTATTACTTAAATTAATGAATGAATGCATGGATGGATGAGTGTTCTCCATTGCAAACATTGCTTATCAAGATTGCAGGTATTTGAGTACTATTACTATTAATTGTTATGGTAATATTGAACTTATTTGGAAGTATTACTGTTGGAAGAAACATATTTTGCAGGTGTGTGTGTGTGTGTGTAAAACTATTATGTTCCTCATTTATTCAACAAATATTTATTGAGTATGTACTATGTGACAGGCACTAGGGTATATTATTATGTTGTTGTTGACCATTATCTTCCACCATCCCTTTAAATATTTTAGGAGAGTTCTCTCTCTCTCTCTCCCTCTCGCTCTTGCTCTTGCTCTCTGTCTCTCTCTTCCCCTCTTTCTCTTTTTGCATGTGGATGAAAATTCCAAAAGGATCTATAATTTTCTGCATAATAGACATCCTGAAATGCCTTGACGTCAGAAACACAGTCTCAATTCAGGAAATATGATTTGCAGTTCCATGGAATAATCAAAACTCTGAACTTGAGTAAATATTAAGCCTTCTCCACTTCCAAAGGTGGAGCCCTGCTTCAAGGAGGGGTCACGGGACTTAGGTGCGTTCTCCGCCCTCTCCATGCTGACCTCTTTTCTCACCTGATCTGCCCAGCTCAGGGCTGGACAAGAGGTGGGAGGGAAGAAAAGTGGATAGGACCTTAGTCTCACTAGTTCTTACTCGCTGTTAGTTCTCTGAGCCTGGCGTATAGTTCCAGTTGTACCTGGTTGAAGAAGCTTTTATGTCCTCTTCAGAGATCCCCCGACAGGCCATTTCTGGTGATTCTTCCCTAAGCCCCAGGTAGCTGGAGGGCACATACCCTCGGTGTAAATCTTCCAGACAGACTTTCAGGTATGATGTAAGAAAATCCCACACTTGCTGTCTCACTCACATGGCCCTCATATGCTTCATGGGAAACATTTACATCCCTGCCCCGACAGCCTCTGGGAGTTAGGGGTCAGTTAGGCATCAGTCCTCTCTATCTCCTGACCCGAAAATAGCCCACGGACCTTTCGATGACCCTCTTGCATGTCCCCTCTCCAGACCTGAGGTAGAAATAGGAAGGTGGAGATGGCTAGAGAGGCGAGAGTTTTCTGATGAGATTCCTCTCCTGACTCTCCTGCTCACCACACTCTAGGCCTACTTGAATTCTCAAAGCAGATAGTAAGTTCTAGGATCCAGAGACTTAAAAAAAAATCTGCATTTAGTAGGTTGGCCTTGGAAATTTCCATTTTATTTTGTAGTCTCCTTAGACACTTCAATTTTGGGCACATTATTGTATATAGTATATGATATATACTTATATGTTATATATTATATATAAGTTATATGAGATATATATTTATATATCAATATATTGTATAGATAGTGTGTGTGTTTCTATGTATCTCAAGTGTTTTGAACACAACTTGCGGAATGCAATAAAATTATTTTGCCACCTCTCCCTTTAAAATATATTCAGTTCTTTCTCTGCTCCTGGATGAATACTCCACTTGGGCATTCTCAGAGCTTTTCTAATATCTCTTGGAGAATAGAAAGTATTCTGGTCTCTTAAAGAATAAAATGTTGCCACAATTTGATATTTTAAGTGTCCAGTTCCACGTAATAGTCAAACCTCCCATCTTCATTCAAAGTTACACCTACTCCCCGTCTTCCCAGTGGGCCTGCAGTCTGGGAATATGATGCATTTAGTTTCTTTTTTTTCTTTTTTTCTTTTTTTTTGTTTTTTTTTGAGACAGAGTTTGACTCTTGTTGCCCAGGCTGGAGTGCAATGGCGTGATCTCAGCTCACCACAACATCCACCTCCTGGGTTCAATTGATTCTCCTTCCTCAGCCTCCCAAGTAGCTGGGATTACGGACATGCGCCACCACGCCCGGCTAATTTTTTATTTTTAGTAGAGATGGGGTTTCTCCAAGTTGGTCAGGCTGGTCTCGAACTCCCAACCTCAGGTGATCCGCCCACCTTGGCCTTCCAAAGTGCTGGGATTACAGGTGTGAGCCACCGCACCTGGCCAATTTCTTTTCTTTTTCTTGCTCCTCACTGCCCTAGCTAGCTGCTATTTATAGACCATTTGGAGTTGAAGCAAGAGGGTTGGAGGAGAGGCAAGATCTTACATCAACAGTTTTGCTGTAAGCTGGCCTCATATTTTCTGGGTCTGGCCAATATTAAAACTCTTTGTCTCATGGGATACTTTCAGAGGTTCTTTGAAATGCCCATCCCACCACTGTGCTGGGAAACTTTCAGCAGCACAGTTCTCTTGATACAGATCATGTATTTTCCTGACTTGTTTCCTACTTCTTCCACAGTCTCTAGGAATTGGGAGGTGGTGTTCACCCCTGGCTTCCACATGCTGAGTTTTCAGTCTCCCATCTCAAAGGCCCCATTGAGCAGGATGGAGTAAGCACAACCTCATTCTGAGTGCCTTGTTTGTAGGCCTGTGTTTAATCTAAGGGAAACATAAAACCTCTACTCCTAGAAACTCTAGGAGACACATCTGCCATTGTTACCACTGGAAGTGAGATGCCAGTTCACTATATCTCCCCAGCTACAGGGCATAGATACCAAATTTCCAAGAGATTTTGTCAGAATCTCTTTCACTAGTAGAAGTGAAGGGGCAAGCACTCCTTTGGAAGAGGGACATCAAAGTACAGTTCTTGCTAAAGAAATTCCCCCTCAAATTCTTTCTTCTCTCAAACCTTTTATATCCTCAGTGTGCCTGAATTGTCTACAAGCCATGTAATTAGTTTTTGTTATCTCTTTTTCAAGTCCTACAGGCTGGCCTGTTGCATAGATCATTTTCGTCTCTGATAACCGTGAAAGCTGAGTGTTCAGCCAAAATTTCCAATTAAACATCCTGATATGTACATAATTAGATATACACAACTGTCCTGTGGCATCAGCAGCATATATTGTTATTCCTGTTTGATGTATGAGTAACCTAAAGTACAGACAAGTGAAGTAACCTGCACCATGACTAGTTGGGTTTTCTCACTCCATGTCTTCACTCTTTCCCTGACTGAGTTAACACATTGTCCTTTTAAGAACGGACTGAAGGTCCAGCGAGTAGATGAACAGAAGTAACCTTATTGGTGTTGCACAGGCCTACAAAATTACTAAGAAGTCCTTACAACAAATAAATATAACACATATTTCATGGGAAGTAAAATAAAATAGTAGACTTAATGATGGTTTAGAATAAGTAGTATTAAGTAAGGAAAATAGACTGACATAAAAAAGAAACAAAAAAAGACTGAAAAATATAGGTATAGTAAAAATTAAAAGAAAAACATTATCTATTATTGAAAATTAAGCATCTGATTATGTGATAATAAAAGCTTAACGTAGTTTGCCCAGGTTTGAAAGAAAACTGATTGACAGTCGCTTATCACCAATAATGAACCCCACCTGTGCCATAGAAAGTGTCTTGGGACACCAAACCACCCGCCAACCCCCATGTTGTAACATCACAGTAGTACAAGGATGTAGATGCACCAACCTAATTTGAATGTGAAGTAGTCCGTGGTATAGGACAGCATACGTACAAGCCCACCCTGAGGGAAATACTGAGCAAGAATCTAGGTGGGCTGAAAATAAGAGAATGAATAAAGGAAGGAGAACAGGGTTAAATAAATATGTGAGATGAAGCATATGGTTTGAGAAGTTTTGGGGTCCCACAGATCTATTGCAGGGTACTACTGGTAATGACACTCATGAACCATGTACCTTCACCTGTTCTACTAACTATTTTCTTGAGTAAAGAGGTCATCTTCTGGTGCCTTGGGATTGGGACTGCTTAAGTCATTTCTAACCCTACATTCTTACTTCCCTTTAGGGTTAGGCCTAGAAGGAGAAAGAGGAAGGACATGAAACAAAGAGTTGACACCTTCTTTTTTTTTTTTTCTTATTTTAAAGGTACCATCAGACCTCTCTTATACTTCATTTTACTTCCCACCACATTCAATTTCAGATTTTTTGTTCAATTGCTTATATCATTTAGCAACCATTCAAAATTGAATGCTGCCTTTGGAAATAAAGAACATCTGCTCTAAATCTTGTTGTGCTGGAGATTTTGCAAGAAGCTAGAGAGGCAGATGCTGCCATATAGAGTTGGCAAAGTCCAAAAGACATGACTTACAGGCACACCAAGCCTAGAGAAACTGATAAGAAGTAGTGCTGCAAAATAACCCTTAGAGGAGGACTTGTAAAGCAAAGGAATTTAGAGGATACTAGAAGTAGAAATGTGATCCAAGTATGAAATAAAAACACAATAGCTACAGCTATAATACCTTCGCCTCTAGTCTCTTTTCTCAAGCCTAGTCTTCACTCCTGATTTTGCACTGTGATCTCAAAGTACTGATTCCTGATTTTGATTGACCATTTCTCAAATTTCCCCTATTAATTTGGAATCTTCTAGTTTTCTACATATGGGCCTTCCTGGACCATACACAGAGAATGCCTCTCTCTCTGTTTTAAATGGGATAACAGATATAGATGTTATCTCCCCAGAATAAAAGAGAGTACAAATGTTGGGTCTGACTTCTGTCTTATTATTATTCAGTTTGGTCTGATTTCAGGATCTGTTTAACATGTATTGATTTATCTGTTAGGCCCACTTTGTCATTTTAACATGCATATTAAAAAAAGAAGAGGTATTGAATTCAGCCATTCAGATCTTTTTCAAATTGGAAGCAACTTCAGAAATCTCCACAATCTGAAAATGTTCCTGTGTGTAGGGCCATTTCCTCAGGGGATATGAACAGTTTCATGAAGATGTCCCACACCTCCAGATTTGTCCTCTTTTTCATCAGAGCTCCTTTCTTATCTTTGCCTGGGCCCTTAGGAGGGCTTTCTGCCATGTCAGTATCCTGTCAATTTCTACAACTCTATGAAGTTTTTCACATAGTAGAATATATTGTCAAAATGTCTTGATGTCTTATTACAACCTTTACCCAATCTCGGCAGCAGGATTTCTGAACACACTCCTGGTGCCTTTTTCCTGATACATTTATTATCTATTGTGAGAGTTAAATGGTATCTCGACCACATCCTGTTCTTCCTAGAATCCATATCACCTTAAACATCTAGTAGTCTCATTTCTGACATTCTGGTGGGGAAACCTATTTTTAGGTAAAGTTGCTTATTTTTGTTGGAGGAACGTTTGATTTTACTAAGTCTCTTAAGTTTCTTGAATTAGGTTTTCTAATCTATTTGTTCATTCACAAATATTTATTGAGTGTATATTAGAGTTCTCCAGGGGAATAGGACTAATAGGATGTGTGCATGTGTATATATATATATATATATATATATATATATATATATATACACACACACACACACACTTTCCCTACTTTCTTCCACTTATTACCCTTGGCTGAAGCATGAAAATATATTTCATGTGTATAAACACACACACACACACACACACACACACACACACTTTCCCTACTTTCTTCCACTTATTACCCTTGGCTGAAGCATAAAAATATATTTCATGTGTATGCGCACACACACACACACACACACACACACACACTTTCCCTACTTTCTTCCACTTATTACCCTTGGCCGAAGCATGAAAATATATTTCATGTGTATGCACACACACACACACACACACACACATATATATGTAGGAAGAGATTTATTGTGAACTGGCTCATGTGATTATGGAAATTGACAAGTTCTAAGATTTGAAGTCAGCAAGTAGGAAACCCCAAAGAGCCAATGGTATAGTTCCCATTTGAAGGCTGGCAGGCTTGAGACTCTGAAAAAGCAGATGTTTCAGTTTGAGTCTGAAGGCTGAAAAACATGATGTCCCAGCTCAAGGCAGTCAGGCAGGAGGAAATTCCCTCTTACTCATGAGAAGGTCAGTCTTTTTGTTCTATTCAGATCTTCAGCAGATTGGATGAGGCATCCCCCACATTAGGAAGGGCAATCTGCTTTACTCAGTCTACTGATTCAAATGTTAATCTCCTCCCAAAACACCCTCACAGACATGCCCAGGATAATGTTTGACCAAATACCTGGGTACTCCATGAGCCAGTCAAGTTGACACATAAATTAACCGTAACATGTACATACTGTGTGTATGCCAGGTACTTACTTAACAGATCCTTTTTTACTGTTAATTTTATTATTATAAATGTGGCTGAGAAAACAGTATATTCTTCGTAATATTGTTGCAAATGAATCAGGCAGATATTTAAGGGTAGGATTTCTTGTTCTGTTGGGAAGATACGTATGACTGCCTTTGTCATCTCAAACAAAGTTGCAAAAAGTGTCATGACTTAGGGTAACTAATGGTAAGTACCATGGTAATCAATCCCTAAATTTTCTAGTTTAATTTAAAAAAAATTATTTCTAACTTACTTCACTGTCTGATGAAGGCCAGGAAACTCTCCTAGGTAACTTACCTCCAAGTTGTAGAATTCAGGCCCCTTTCATGTGTTTAAATATAACCTTTTTTTCTTCCCCTCCAACTCCCCTTCCTAAAGATAAACTTTTAAATCAATAGGTATCTCACAGTACTTTGTGAAGGAAGGTAAAATAAAGTCAACTCGAAAATTGTATATTTAATTGATTACTGACCTCTATAATTTAAAAGCTGCTTGATCTTGGACAAATAATTCTTTTTCATTGATGATCTTGGAACCCAGTGGGAAAGAACTACAGAACGAAATGGTAAATCAAATATCGAAGATGTTTTGTTACTTGAGGAATCTTCTGTTAGGTTGGTATAGCGGAGGAAACCTTCCAATTGAGTTTTGAGTTTAAGTAACAAGTTTTGCTCATCAAGCTGGGCAATCTGGGCAAACCAATTAACCACTCTGGGCTTTGGTTTCCTCATTTGAAACTTAGCATGTTAGCCACACTGATTTTGCTAACATCACTTCCAAATCAAAATTGCAATTATTCTAGTAGACCATCTCTTTAGATCTGGATTAAGGATGAGGCCTACTTGGAGGTGAAGGAATCAAGTAGAAAGATGTGAAATGGTCCCTCCCTCCATATGGAAAAATCTGCCTGAGATTTAGACAGACACTATTCAAAACTGTAAGTCCACTGAGCACCAACTGCGGTACAAAAAGTTAAGTTCCCAGGTCTCATTTACAGAGTAGTAGCTGCTTGTTAGTTATCACACGCCAGTGATTCAGCTGGAGAAGCTAAGGCAGAAGGCAATTATGTAACCATCACAAAAGGGTATGGGGGAAGCACTTGAACCCATACCGGGCATTCTGGCTTCTGGTCAGATGCGAGGGATGGATTCAATGTCATTTTAATCTTTATTCATTGTTTCAATCTGTTAGAACTGTTATAGTTTGGAGCTCCATACAGAATGCAGATTTGTTCAAATGACTTCCCAAGAACTTGTAGCAAGAGCACTTGGAGCCATCCTGGACAGGCCCATGCTGTGCCTCACACATGCACAGCATCTTCAAGGGGTCATACAGAAACTGCCTCCAAACCTCCCCACCCACTTCCACTTTGCCACAACCCCAAGAGAGGACACCCATCTCAAAAAGGTTTGCTTTCCTGTGGAGTAAGAGGTATAATTAAATTGTGTCCCAGCAGTGAAGGTTCCTTAATGATAATGAGCCAAAACTAATTGTATTGATTTGTTTATCACCGGCTTAGGAGGCCCATCAAACAAATGGACTGAGACTATTTCCATATTCTTATCTGTTAGGTAAATGAGAAACAAATGACCTCTCCCTATGTCTGCATCCTGAAGTCACTGCCCTCTAAGGCTGAGTGCTCTATGGCTTCGGGTGGGAGCTTTGTCCAAAGCTGGGGCCATTCTGCCCTCTGGCTTCTTCAAATAGGTGAAGAAAGTTGAAAATTTTGGTATTCATTCTTCTATTTTTCATTTATGTAGAAGGATTTGTTTTTAACAGTTACAATTTGGATCCTTGCCAAAGGTGCCAGATGGCCTGCTTTCTTCGGGAGAGCTGGTCATGAGTATTAATAACCCTAATTTGGAATTCTCTGTGGAAGGGGTAGCCACAAGATTTGGAGTGGGAGGAAATGTAGAATCATTGATAACAAGTGAATTCAGAGAAAAAGACTCTTGAATCTTGGTCAGGAGTGAGACATAACGGTAGGCAGGCAGCTTTGGGGGGCCACAGGAGAAGCCTGATGTACCTGCACCTACCCCTCTTAGTCTTGGGGAGCCTTCCCAATCTACTGCTCCACAAATTAAGAGAAATAGAGAGAATTAAAAGAGAGCTCTGGAAGAGCCATAGCAAAGTCCAGAGTTAGGTTATTGAGCTCAAGTGGAAAGGGATAAAATAAATGGCTTCCAGAATGTGAAGAAATTAGCTGCAAGAATGTGAAACTAAACAGTGGATCTGTGACTATTCACTTTCACTGAGATGAAGGAGCAAAGCTCAACCTAGTATTTAGAAAAGATTTAGGGGGACATAGAAAGAAAACCAACATCTATTGAGTTCGTGTTCTCCTCCCGTTACTTGGCTAAAGAGTGGTTAGGAGTGAGCCTGACATATATTGTTTCTTTAATTCTTTTGCCTAGCCCAGCAGGTAGGTATACATATCCCATTTTGGAGAGGAGGCAGCTATGTGTCCAGTTAATGTTTGTAAATTTAAAGCCACTATCATCTGCATCAAAGCCCATACTCTCAACGGCTGAAGACTGATATCTCACTCTCCTTCCTCATCTTTCCAATAGAAAGCAAGGAGTTCCATTCAGCACCTCTATGTGGGCAGTATTGAAGAGGATGAGCCTTTCTTCCTGTCTCACTTGCCCTTACGCTCTTCAAAGGGAGGGCCTCATCTGAAAAGGGAGATAGCCTGAAGCCCTTTGACTGCATTGATCAGGGACAGGACCATGATATTGTTACATACCTAGGTCACCCTATGGCTGAGCTCTCTCTTATGCCCTTTACACCAATCTGTGTCCTGCTCCAAGGGCCTTGCCCCTGTGACTCTTATTCAGTAAACAGGCCACACAGCTGCTTCTGGTAGCCCAGGCAGAACTCTGAGCAGAATCCTGGTCTCTGTTTCAGTTTGCACCTGGTGGCCAAGTCAGAGTTGTAAAGTCCCAAGATTTAAGTTTAGAGAAGGTTGTCAGAGATCCTTTCATATTCCCCAATTCCTTTTATCATAAATACAGCTGATGCTCTATTTTCATCACCAGTTTGCTCTTTCTTTTTATCCTCAATTGATTAGATTCCCTAGGAAAAGAGGAGTGAGTACATAGGTAATTTTTCTAAACACCAATCTCTACTACTGATGAGACAAATGGGGAGCTTTCCAAATGTGAGGGTCATTCAGGTGACCTGATGGCTTATGGTGACTGGGATGGTTTAAAGAGAATTTTGATTAACAGGAGAAAGAGTTTTTTAGGAAACCTCTAAACTTGCTTGAAGCTGATTTAGTTGATCCTGCAAAGCTGCGCTATTTTTCACCTAATTCGAGAGTTTATTTTAGAGGTATTCATCTTCTAAAAATATTTTACCTTTAACCACCATTTTCGGACATAAACTACTTTATCATTTATGTAGACTTTGAGGAGTTAAAAGCTTTTGGTAAATCTTGCCTCCTTTGATTCGCAACAAAGCAGAAAAAAAAAAAACGGAGAAGAAATTTCCTCTTTGTAAAGGAAAAAATTTATTTAATTTTAAATGACTTGTCCAAGGTCACTTGGCTGGAAAGTGTCTGGGAAGAGACTCTGCTTTTCTGTGTTCTGAGTTGGCCTTAAATTATTGCAATACTTCACATACAAAAATAAAAAAGAAAGATAAATTTGATTATATAAGAATGTAAGTCTCCTGCACAGCCATAAATATTAATTAAACAATATAAGATAAATAACAAATAGGGGAGTAATTTACCCCACTAGACAACAGGGTTAATTTTCTTAATATATAACAATCTCCTTGAATAGCAATAAAATGTATAAACAACCAAATACAAAATAGGCAAAGAAGGAAACATGCAATTAGTCAATGACCATGAAAAGATGCTTAAACTTATATAGTTAAAGAAATGCCACTGACTTATCATTTTTCACTAACTGGCATAATTAAAAATCTTGATGTAATGTTGGTAAGAATATGGGGAAAAACTGTTGGTGGGAGTATAATTTGAGACAGCTTTTCCGGAAGGGAATTGGCAGTATTTATTGTAACCTATTAGTAATGTCTGCAATATCTGGTAGGGTGTGAACATTGAGTTCCATTAGCAGAAATAAAGTATTCCTGGAGTTACAGGATAAAGCACTTATCAAACCACACAGAGTCCAAATCATGCAAATCAGAAGGCTTCCTCTCTAATCACCTTATTAATCCCCTCTCTTAGCTTCCTCCACAGCTGGTCTTTTTATCTTTCAGGTCTTTCCCAGGTTTGCAGCTTCCACGTTCTCGGTTCTACTCAGTTCTCCTTTGGTAGGAGCCTGTTTTGTTCTTTGGACCTTGGGCTTTAGTGGAGGGGAGGGGTCCTTAGGACCTTCACAGTGAAAATGTACTCAGTAATAAAACATTTCCCTTGCTGATTTTGACTACTACTTATAATTCAAATGTGCTATGCTAATAGAACCTCCCTCTTAGTGTGCAAGAGAGAAAATGAAGGAGGAATGAAAAATTATAATCAATTACAATATAAAGTGGCCCAGAATTGACAGATGGAGGAATCTATTCCATGGATGTACTTGCAACAGTATCTGAAGATACATCTGAGAAAGTAATTGAAACTTTGTAATTGCAGAACATAAAATGTAAATAGCCGTAAATAGACAACCGACAAAATAAAGCATGGTGAATTTCTAACTGGAATACTATGCGATCCTTAAGAATGGGGCAGATCTTCCATTATGCTCTAATAGAAAGTTACCTAGAATACAAAAGAATCTCATCTTCTTCAATGTGGAGATTTAAAAAAAAAAGCCTTTGGCCAACTTAAATATACATGCTTTTAGAATCATAAATGAAATTATTGAATGTTTACTTATATTTAATTTATTAATCTAGTTACACATTCACATTTAAGATTGCATATCATATAACCTATTACTTCAGAAATATTTCTACTTTTTGCATTTCTTGAATCAGTATTATATGAATACTTCACATACATTTTTGACATTAGTCTTTTACAAGCTGGAGCTGCTTTCTGAGTCATCTGATACATATTTTTTCAGAGTACATTTTCCTTATTTCCATCTGTTACTTGAGATACAGCATTTGTTGACCCACATATGATGCTATCACTGGCAATTTTATCACAAACTACAAGTACCCATTCATAGAACATCAGTAAAACTGTTTTATTAAGATTCATTCTGTAGGGCTGTATGTTGGATCTCACAACACAACTACTTATTCTGTTGCTTTGTAAATAATCTTTGAAAGGCTTGTTTTTACAATTTTAAGCTTGAAGCTTTTTGTCTTACTCCAAGAAATAAAGACTAATCTGTGATAAATTTATTTTCCCCTTTTAATCAATGTCACAGGTGACCACAATAGGTATACAAACTCATGTTGACCGAGATTGTTTCAGGCTAATGTGTCTTTCCCAAACAATAATCTTTAGTTCAAAATTAAGTAATAAAGAAAGCTTCTCATAATCTCAGAGACTTTGCAAAGACCTGGTGATAATTCCCTTTCTTTTCTGAAAGATAATTTTAGCAGAGTAACCTCATCATTTACTCAGGCATTTGTGGAATGTATATAGATGTACACTCAAGTATTCAAGATATATTCTGAAGTAAAAGGACAGATTGTAGAATAGTATTTACAGTGAACCCATTTGTAGAAAATAAAAAGGCTACACCAGTAAATGTTATCTATAATTATATGTAACTACATATTCATAAACCCTTCCTGGAATAATACATTGTGATTAATCCTAAGGTAGTGGGGGGAAGACCCCAGGAGGAGGAGGAAGACTGGAATGTTTTCTCTTTTTACCCTTGTTCCAATGTTGTCAGTGATGTATTAAATGAAAATTGGTTTTAAAATACATGCCTTTCCTTTTACTTCCTCCCCTCTCCCTCCCCCTACAAGCTATTTCTCATTTGGAGTTTTGCTTGCTATTATCTTGAGCCAAATTAAACCAGTGATCTCCTGATGGAAAAGGCCAGAGCCTGTTCAATGACTCCAGCCCCTTTCCTGTCCATTCTCCTCTGGAGCCATCACCAAAGCCCTGGTCACACTCTGTAATTTGTAAATCCTGAAATTGTGGTTTGCAAGGCAAATGATTCAGAGCAAGGGCTTTATCCCGGGATCTTATCCTCCTAGTTGCACAAAAACAAACACCAGGGACAAGAAAATTCCTTCCTTCCTTCCTTCTTTCTTTTTTCGTCTTCTCTTTTTATTCTGGGTAAAGGGAGCTAAAAAGCAGGAGAGGAGGTCAGTTTGTGGAAAATGAACTGAAGGAAGTGAATTGTAAGAGATGGGTCAAAGAAAGAAAAAAAACCACGCCTAATAAGGAAGCTAACTGCAGTTTTTCCAAATAAATTAAACGAAAGATAAAGAGGCAGGCTATCAAGGCAGCCTAAATAAGGACACCTCAAAAGGAAGAACGAGGAACAAAGCTTCAGAAGCTTCAACAGGAGAACAAAGAGGAAGAGGAAGCGGTGTTTAATGAGTGCACAGTATGAAGCCGGAGGCTGACTGCTTTGGTTTGCTGTTAGAATCTCCAGCTAACAGTGCCTAAACAATAAAAGTTTATTTCTTCTTAAGACAAGCAGTCTGGATATAGGCAGTCACTGGAATTGATTCAACAAATCAATGAAATCAGAGCTCCTGATCAGTTCAGCAATTTCTGTGATACTTTTCTCCTCTTCAATGTTCCCACGTTCTGAGACGGCTGCAGCAGCATCAAGCATCACATACTCCCACAATCCACTTTCAAAGCCTTGAGACAAAGGGCAACACAGGCCAGTGTTGCTCCTCCTGTGCGCCTCTTATCAGGAAAAAAAATATCTTTCTCAGAGCCCCACAGCAGCCTCCCTTTATATCTCATGGGCCATAGCTCTGTCACAAGCTCACCCTGTTCCAGGGATTGCCTCTACCTATTTGAGATCAAGGGATCTCTTCCTGTTACCTAAAGAAAAATTAGAGCACTGTTAATTAGCAAGAAAAGGTGATGTCTTGGAAAAAGCAGCCAACAACTTCTGCCACATTAAATAATCTCCATAAACCACCTTTTGAGGTAACTATTATTATTGCCATTTGAATTAGTTTGCTAGGGTTGCCAAAGAAAAAGACCACAAACTGGGTGCCTGAAACATCAGAAGTTTATTGTCTCATAGTTCTGAAGACTAGAAGTCCAAAATCTGGATGTCAGCAGAGTTGGTTCTTTCTGAGGGCTGTGAGGGGCAGATTTGCTCTAGACCTCTCTCTTTGGCTTGTTAATGAGTCTTTTCACTATATCTCTTCACATAATCTTCCTTCTCTGCATGTCTGTGTCCAGATTTCCTCCTTTTATAGAGACAGCAGTCAGATTGGATTAAGGCCCATCCTAACAACCAAGTAAGTTAACAATTTCAACTTAATTACCTCTATAAAGACCCTATCTCCACTTTCTGAAGTTGGGGGGTAAGTATTTAGACGTATAAATTTTAAAAGGGCACAATTCAACCTGTAACACCATTGTACAGAAGAAACCGGGTAGTAGAGATTAGATAACTTGCCCAAGACCACAGTAGCTCCAAACGTACACCTGCCTTACAACAAACTTGTGTTCTTTCCACCATAACACAAGAAAACAAAAGTTAATAAGTGAGAAATAGAGTGAATGAACAATACTAAAATATTTCTAATGCATATGACAGAGGTGTAGGACTATTATAAGGATGTGTGGGCAAAAATACAGATTTTCAGCTAAAACATTTTAATTCGTATCTCAGTGTAGGTAAGGTTGAAATTAAGAGTTGTACGCTAAATAACCTGAAACGGAACTTACAAGTTGGGTGCTTTAAGCTCTATACACCAAAATCAATGAAGCCATGAAAAGAATATAAGGAAGGGGGCAGAGAGGATAACTGGCTGGCCAGCACTGTCAGCAAGCAGGATTTGCCAAAGAGAAAGTCATCCAATGGCAACACCTCTCTCAGAGCTCACTCTCTTGCCTTCACTTCTTTGTTCTGAATGTGTGTCCCACTGATTCTCGCATTCCTACAAACTTGCATCCTGACTGCCCAACTCCCCTCCATTTGGCTTAGCTCTGCCGCAGTCAGGCAGGAAGAACGCCCACTGGGGCCTGCTCATTTGCTTTTACAGTTTTATACCACTGCAACTTGCTATGCCTCTCTTTCCCACATCTAGGGCACCCTTTAGATAGGAATGCTGGGTTCATTCCTGCTGAGGTGTTACTGACTGGTAATAGCAAAATCTGTTCCTGTCTTGCAGGATGAATGTGTACTTTTACAGAGAATACAGTCTCAATTCAAAGAATTCTTAATATTTTTTTCCCACAAAGTGGGTAGTCTAATAAGATGTAGAGGAGAAGGAGCTTTGAGAAAGCTGGAGAAGTCTTGAAATCTGGACAAGTGTGCTAGACACTGTTAGTGACTGCCTGCTCTAAACATTCTGTTCATTGCAGTAGCAATAGTAGTAGTAGTAATCAGCTGAAATGTGTGTTTGGTCCTAATCAGGACTGAATAATCTGGAAAGTCTTTACAAACTCGGCTCAACCATCCCCTCTTCCAGAAGGCTTCCCTGACTACATCTTGTTCACTTTCTGGGTTGGTTGTCCTCTATGGCATCCTCACAGTTCCCTATCCATTCTAATGCATTGTCACTGTTGGTTTATTGGACATTCTTCCCCAGGCAACCACAAACTTTTCAGAGGAAGGAACTGGGTTTTTTATCTCTATATGGCAAGTACCAAGCCCAGAACCTGGCATGTTGCTGATATTTGTATTAGGTTCCTAGGCTGCCATAGAAAATTCGGTGGCTTAAAACAACAGAAATTTATTCTGTCACAGTTCTGGAGACCAGAATTCAGAAATCAAGGTGTCAGCAATGTTGGTTTCTTCTGGAGGCTCTGAGAGGCAATGTGTCCCATGCCTTTCTCCTAAATTCTATGGCTGCTGACTACACCTGGCATTCCTTGGCATAAAGCAGTGTAACTCCCATCTCTGCCTCCTTCTTCACATGGAATTTCCCTGTGTGTCTTTTTATCTGTTTCTTCTTCTCTTATAAGAACTTGTGATTGGATTTAAGGCCCACCCTAATCCAGGGTTATATCATCTAATAATGATCCTTACCTTAATTACATCTGCAAAGGCCTTTATTCCATGTAAGACGACATTCTGAGGTTCTGGGTGGACATAGTTTTGGGGAGCCACCATTCAACCTGATACAATATTGAATAAGTATCTGGGGAATAAATAAATGAACAGTCAACATGGCTCCAATATCTAGTGTGAAGAATTATACTTTCATACCACATGAAAGTAATCTGTATTTAAAGTATACAAGAAACCCAACTGATGCTCGAGGAACCTTTATATGCTTGTGTTAAATGGTAAGACTAAGTTACTTTGGGCTTTCACTGTATAGAGTCTTAGATTTGAAAGAACCTAATGTGTTCTTTGGCCCTGGAATGTGATAGATCATATTAAAGTGAGGTTTTAATATTGTAAGATTTATATGATTTGCTATTTGAGCTTTTCTAAACTATTAAGTAGTAGTATCTATTAGTGTCAATACTAGGTATTCAGTTATTTTAATAAGAAGCATATTAATAGGATCACATGCACTGTCATTTTTTTCTATCGTACTTCAGATGTGGCCTCATTCAAGGATAGAGCAGTCAGAGGCTTCCAGTATTTCTCTCTCATACGGTAATTTCACACTTGAAACTCAGCATACACAATGAGGAAATAGATATCTTTCCGTCATAGTCCTGCTAAACAGAAAACAATTCTCTATTAGTTAATGTGGCCAAATATTTTCTGGTACCTAGTAGAAGCATTATTTTTAGTAGCGATAGAAGCAGGAAATGGGAAGCCAAAGCTTTTTTTTTTTTTCAGACAGAGTCTCGCTCTGTCACCCAGGCTGGAGTGCAGAGGCGCGGTCTCAGCTCACTGCAACCTCTGCCTCCCGGGTTCAAGCAATTTCCTGCCTCAGTCTCCCGAGTAGCTGGGACTACAGGTGCGTGCCACCATGCCCAGCTAATTTTTTGTATTTTTACTAGAGATGGGGTTTCACCATGTTGGCCAGGATGGTCTCGATCTCCTGACCTAGTGATCCACCCACCTTGGCTTCCCAAAGTGCTGGGATTACAGGCATGAGCCACTGCGCCTGGCCACCAAAACTATTTTTAAAATTTGGGTATATGTCAAATAGCATTTAGACATTAATCAAACTACAGCTTGTCCTACATCATCAATTATTGACACCACAGGGAATGATTGTCATTCACTTATAAATAGCTCCAAGCAAAACCTAGACAGGGTCCAGAATGGCAAGACTCAGTCTAACTTTAGAATTTTATTTCCAAAGAAGCAAAGATCTCAATAAGTTTGGAAGTAGAATCACCTCAACATCCCTGGAGAAGCAGATCTAGTCCCTCTGGCTGTGCATTGCTTGAAATGCAGTGTTGTATCATATATTAAAACACTGAAAATGGAGTTCAGCATGGAGAGCCCTAGGCTACACTATCATGAATCTTTCACCTTTGCTAATCTTAAAGTCAGAAATAATTTTAAAATAGATGCATGGGGCAACGTGTGCATGGGGAAAGTGGGTGCAGCTTAAATTTCAGTGCCAGGAACAGTGTCGATTTGGCCATTCATACCTGTCAATAGCTGCTGAGGGTAACCTTCTTATTTAACTGCAGAGAAAAAAAAAGATGAAATATGTTCATCTCCTACCTTGAGACATAATCATTATTTAATAAGGCACTATATATGAAACATGGGCTTTATTTGACACATGGATATGCTAATAAGCTCCAGAATATTGCTAGGCTCTTTGAAATGGAGGCTGTGAGATCATGATAGTCAGTCGCTTGTTTACAATACATGTAGAACCCTTTACTCTGCTGAATCTTGAGGCCCTTGCAAATTTGTATTAGCTGATGTCTACGTGGTGCAGGGAAAGCAACCATTTCTGGTACTACTGACATACGACAGAAGTGATATTGCATTAAAATGGAAAAGAAAGAGAAGACTCATATCCCAGGAAGGAAGGAATCTGGGCCTGTCTCAGGCAAAACTGTGAATTAAATGAAAGATCTCTAAAACTTCATATCTTGGCCTAATGGTCACTTTTTTCTTTCAGTGGTCTGCTTAAGCAGATTTTAATTGCCCTGAGGCTTTCTTTCCCTGGCTGTGTGCATCTTCCCAGTCACCTTTGCTGAGGTTATCAACATAGCAAAACCCTCCCTAGGTTGTGCCACATGCTCCAGACTTTCCCAACCCATTTCTCAAAAATATCAAGTAATTACTGCGTTTGGTTCCATATTGGGGGATTTATCTAGGAATATATCGACATGCTTTTCTTTCCAAGACACATTTATACTTGAAGGTAGACTGCGAAGTTTTATTCCAAAGGAGACACTAATAAAGGGCGTTTCAGGTTCCAGGCAGGTGCCTTGGCTAGTGAAAAGAGGCAGACCGCGGTAGACAATATGTCTAAAGAAGCTTGGATCAGATGACAACACTCAAATCATGTCACAAAGGCAATCAGCTGTCACCTCTCCATGTAGGGAAGGCCGTGGAGAAATGACTGGAAGTCAATAGAAGTAAATATATATGAATGTTGACATAGTGGAGTGGAGCCTTGGAGCATGAGTGAAATAGCAGAAATAAATATTTAAAGTGAACATTTCTTTGGGAACAATGAAAAGTGACATGCAGTTGAGCTCTGGCAGAAGTTTTCAGAAAGAAGCAAGCAGGATCAAACACATGCCTCTGCTGTTCATTATTTCACAAACAGACAAAACTCAAATTCTGACTAGTCCAGAGCTATATCGCTCAGGAGCTGCTGCTAGCTTCAATCCTGTTGGTCCTAAGTATAAGGTAGGTGAACTTGGAGGGAGAGGTCGCTGGAGGAGGTAATATGGTCAAGTAACCAGTGACACAGCTCAAGAAATCATCTTTATTGGACATATTTATTCTTTTCACTTCTTTTTTCCTTTTCTTTTTTAAAATAAAACAGCTTTATTAGGATATAATTCACATGCTATATAATTTACCCATTTAAAGTGTATAATTCAATGGCTTTTAGTATATTCAGAGTTGTGCAATCATTCTCACAATCAATTTTAGGACACTTTCACCACTCCAAAATTAAGCCGCATACCTCTTAGCCAACACCTCTCAGGCCCCCCAACACTTGCTGGGCCCTTGAAACCACCAATCTACTTTCTGTCTCTATAGGTTTGCCTATTCTGGCTATTCCATATAAATGCACTGATAAATATGTGGTCTATTGTGAGTGACGTAATGTTTTCAAGGTTCGTCTGTATTGTAGCATGTATCTGTACTTCATTCATTTTTATGGCTAAGTTATACTCTGTCATATTATGGAAATACCACAGTTCATTTATCCACTCATCCTCTGACAGACATTTGGGTTATTTCTACTTTTTGGCTATTATTATCATGTGGTTATGAACATTCCTTTACAACTCTTTGTGTGGACACAGGTTTTCCTTTCTCTTGGGTAAATACCTAGAAGTGGAATTGTTAGGTCATATGAGAATTTTATGTGTAGGCTTTTGTGGAAGTGCTAGACTGTTTTTCAAAGCAGCTGTACCCTTATACATTCTCACCAGCAGTGTACAAGGGTTCCAATTTCTCCACATTCTAACCAATATTTGCTATTACTTGTCTTTTTTATTATAGCCATCCTAGTGGATGTGAAGCAGCACCTCACTGTGGTTTTGATTTGGACTTTCCTGTTGGCTAATAATGTTGAGCGTCTTTTCATGTGCTTATTGGCTCCTTTCACTTCTTTACCTTGACTAGTAGACTCGCCTTAGATCAGCGGTTTCCAACCTTTTTGGCACCAGGGACTGGTTTCATGGAAGAAAAATTTTCCATGAGGTGTGGATGTGGGGGATAGCGTTAGATTCTCATAAGGAGTGCACAACCTAGATCCGTCGCACGCAGAGTACACAACAGGATTCGTGCTCCTGTGAGAATCTAATGCTGCTGCTGATCTGACAGGAGATGGAACTCAGGCAGTAATGCTCGCTTGCCCACCGCTCACCTACTGCTGTGTTGCCCAGTTCCTAACAGGCCAGGGACAGGTACCGGTCTGTGGCCCTAGGGTTAGGGACTCCTGCCTTAGAGGAATTTGGCCCACTACTATAGTTATATAATGACAGGAAAATTTCAACATTCTAATCTCTGTGGACAGGACAGCTCCCAGAGTCTGCACAGAAAGACCTAGGAAGGCAGCATTGTGTTTGAAGTTCGGCACCTGGGACCCAGTATTGCTGAAGCATAACCCCCCGGAGTCTACCCCTACAGCCCCAGTGTTGCTGAGGAAGGCATCCAAAGAGACTTCGGGAAGGGTAGTCAGAGAATGCAGAGAGCTTCACAGCAAGCACCAGCCAGGGGCTTAGCTGGACCCCAGGTTTCTAGGTGATCATCAGGTAGCATATACTCTGTGATCTTCTTTCATCCTCCCCATTTATTCTCTACAGTTTTACAGCTACCGGAACACACTGTCACTTTTACATTATGGAAAAGTTGAAAATATTCAGCTGATTTCTGAGAAACTGGGCATATTTCTCATTGAAGAACCAATAAGAAAATTTTTTGTCACATCAAAGTAGACATAAATTTCCAGGATAAACCAGATGGTGAGTTTAGAGTGTCAACTTAGTAAGGACAATATGCATTTAGAATAAATACTTTACCAAGTAGGACAGAATAGGCTAGGTCTGGGATGCTTCTAACATGAGTCTAAGAGTTGAACAGCTTGTCATTTTTCAACTCGTCGATAAATGGGAATGGAATTATTTATTCTGGAAACACCAACAGAGTTGTTCGTCAATTGTTGATGTAGTGTAAAATGATTTTAATGCTTGTGGTCTAAGAAAGTATCTCTATCACTCAGTGCAGTCTAGGACAAATAAACAGGCAAACAAACAGGAAAACACAAATTGGAAGATAAATAAAAGGGGCAGCAGGCAGTGAGTAGTTGTTACCTAATTTGCATTCAAAGAATGGTTTAAAGAATATTGGCAGGAATCCAGTAAACTAGCTTGAGTCAGATGAACTTCATATTAAGAATGGGTGGAAATTTATAATATTGGGGTTTGGCTGATGCTACAGGATTTTCTTGGTCAGAATCATAAAAAGATAGAGAAGCCATGCTAATTCTGACACTTTGAAATGTAAGAGCAGTTCTTGAGGTATTGAATCTACATGAAAGGGATGGAATAAACTGGAAATGATTTATACCAACGAGATTTGAGTTAGGGGAATGTGTTAGTTTTCTATTGCTGCTATAACAAATTATCACCAACTTTGTGGTTTAAAACAACACAAAGTTATTTTATACAGTTCGAAGTTAGAAGTCTAAAATGGGTTGTTAGGGCTGCATTCCTTCTGGAAGATCCAAGGGAGAATCTATTTCTTTTTCCAGCAAAAAATGCAAGACTGCCTACATCCTTGGCTCACGGCCCCACTCCACCAATTTCTGCTTCCATTCTCACATATCTTTTCCTCACATTGCTGTTTCTCTATTTCTCTTTTAAGGACCCCCATGGTTACATTGGGCCAGAATAATCCTTCAAATTCAAGATCCTTAATTTAATTGCACCTATGAAGTCCTTTTTGGCATGTAAAGCAACATATTCACAGGTTTCAAGTATTAGAGTGGGGATATCTTTAGGGAGCTATTATTCTATCTAACACAGGGAAAAAAAGGATTTTCTCAGTCCTTTAAGTATCAGCCTGACGGTGACAGAAAGTAAGTGTTTGTTTTCTGAGGGCTGAGACTGATCCTGTAGGGCACAGTTAAAACATAGTGGTTCTGCCCTGAAGTGTCATCTGCTGCTGATGAAATCAAAGGCTTGGATGGCATAGCTTTTCCCTGTTAGAGTAAGTAATCACAGCATTAATAGGTAGGACATGATTTAACCCACAGCATACTAGGAGCTCTGGCCAACAACTTTAAAATGGGTCTTCACCATTTGGAGGCATGATTATGAGCTAAAAATACTACGTGTAAGATATTGTGGCCTTTGATTTCTACCCTTCACCAAAAATATCTTGAGGACTTTGTGCCAGGTGGGTGCTAGGAAAAAAAAAAATGAGACACAGCCTTTGCAGTCTAGAAGCCAGCAGCCAGTTATTACACATAAAACACAAGAACATATTATATAGGAACAATAGAGTGAGGTATGGAACCAGAGAGACGGAACCTAGAAGGATGGTCCAAGAAGTAGAAAGTGAAGACAGAGTATAGTGGACCCAAGAATAATAATAACAACAGACAGTTATATGGTGTTTCCTCTAGGCTATGCACTATCTCAGATCTGTACACAGATGCTCCTTGACTTATGATGGGGTTATATTTGGATAAACCCATTGGAAGTTGAAAATAGTGGAAGTCAAAAATGCATTCAATACTGTACACCTAAATTACCAAACATCATAGCTAAACCTGGCTTACCGGAAACATGCTCAGAACACTTAAATTAGCCTACGGTTGGACAAAAATCACTAAGCACAATGTGCATTTTATGATGAAGTGATGAATGTCTCATGTAATCTGTTAAATACTGTACAGGAAGTGAAAACCAGAATGGTCGTATGAGTGCTCAAAGTACAGTTTCTACTGAATGCATGTTGCTTTTGCATAATCATAAAATTAAAAAAACTGTAGGTCAAACCATCATAAATTGGGGACTATCTGTATGTATTAACTCATTTAATCCTCATAACCCAAGCCTGGTAAATTGGCTTCCCAGATGGGGTTTCTCAAACACATCTCTATTTTCCCTCCCAGCTGTTACCACTGTAGTTCAGGACATCAGGGTCTTTTGCCAAAGCTTCCTATCTAGTGTCCCTGCCCTCTACTCTTATCCTACACCAAAGTGATCCATTTATAAAGTAAATCTAACTGTGTGACTTAAAACCCTTCAAATCTTGCTCAGAAGAGAGCTGACATCCTTTAACTCTCATTTGAAGCCCTCAAGTGTCTGACCTCAGTCCTCCTCTCTGACCTCACCTCCACCTTCTCTTTTCCACCCACTCTCATCAGTTACAATCCAGAAAGAGTGGATTCCGCCTCCTGGCAGGCAGCTGTGCTGTTTCAGGCCCATGGACCTGCCTCCACCTTTTACCTTCCCCCACTCACTAACTCCTGCTGCTGCTCACATCCCTAGCCTGTGTGCGGTGCCCCTCCCCTTTCCTCCCACAGTGACCTGAGCACAGCTCGGGTATTTATGCCTCTGTTCTCCCCGGTAGGTTTAAAGATTCTTTAGAGCAAAGATACAGAATTTTCATCTTCCCTTTTCCAGCCCTTGTGCAGTACCTGGCACATAAAAGCCATTCAGCCAATGTTTGTTAAATTCAGCTAAACTGAGCAGGAAACGTCTCCCTTGTGTGTGGCTGTGCCTTTTTGCCATTCAGAGAGAGGCAGTACAATCATGGTGATTTGAGGACACTTAAAAATGGAAAGGGCTCCACATCGAAGGCCTCTTGAATATAGTGAAAATGAATATCAAAATCAATATGCCGTTCAGTTTAGGGATATGAATAAATGATTTCAAATGAATTCAATTTTCCTCTCAACATTAAGTGGTGAAGGAAAATAAATTATTGGATAATGTATTTGAAGTAATAGCTCTCTTCTAACTGTTCCTACAATTTGTTGTTACTTGTCTTTGGACCTCTGTGTGTCATGTGATACTGTGTGTCATGGCGATCTGAGAAATATTTATCTCTCCTCACCTTCTAAAGGTCAGAGACTGTATCTTAGGATCCAAGTTTGGAATTATTTCCTGACATTAATCTCTTCTTCCTCTGTGCTCCCATAACATAATTTCTTCTTTTTAAATGGTTGTTTTAAATAGAAAAATGTCGTACTTGAATATTTTGATTTTTATGGGGGAAAAATTTACTACTATGAAAAAAATAGAATAAAACTATGTGAAAGAACGCCTCCATTTCTCCTTCAAACCCACACTGCTGTCCACAGGTAATCCCTAATAAGAGTCTGTTCCTTTTTCTATGCATGTATGCATCCATGCATACACCATGTATTTATGTGTTGTTTTTTGTTGCTTCTTGTTAGTAGATAAAATTAAAATTATACTCTCAGTATTATTCTACCACTTGAGTTTTTTTAAGATGATACTTCTAAAACTTTTTTATTGACACATTTTATAATTACACATATTTATGGTGTACAATTTGATATTTTGATACACATATGTTGTATAATGATCAAATCAAGGTGTTTAGTGTATCCATCACTTCACAGTGGTGGAACATTCAAAAGCTTCTCTTCTAGATATTTGGTAATACACAATACCATCCTATTAACAATTGTCACCTACTGTGCAATAGAACACCAGGACTTATTCCTCCTGTCTAATTGTAACTTTGTACCCGTTGACCAGCCTCTCTCTATCCTCCCTTCTTGCTCCTCTCCCTAATCTCTGGTAACCACTGTTTTACTCTCTGCTTCTATTATATCAACTCTTTATTTATATACACACAAACACACACACTTTTTTTCTTTTCGATAACAGCCATTCTAAATGGAGCAAGGTGATGATATCGCATTGTGGTTTTGATTTGCATTTCCCTGATTATTAATGCTGTCAAGCATTTTTTCATGTGCCTATTGGCCATTTGTGTGTCTCACTTTTTCTTTTGAAAAATATCTATTTAGGTATATTGGGTTTTTTTTCTTTTGTTTAAGTCCCTAATATATTCTGGATATTAACTCCTTGTCGAATGTATAGTTTACAAATATTTTCTCCCATTCTATAGGTTGTCTCTTCTCTTTGTTAATTGTTTTTCTTGCTGTGCAAAACCTTTTAAGTTTGACATAATTCTATTTGTCTATTTTTGCTTTTGTGTCCTATGCTTTTGAGGTCTTATTTTTAAAATCCCTGCCATGCCCAATGTTGTAAAGCATTCCCCCTATGTTTTCTTCTAGTAGTTTCATAGTTATAGACTTTACAATTAGCCTTTAATCCATTTAGTTGGATTTTGCATGTGGTGAGAAGTAAGGGTCTAGACTCATTCTTCTGCTCGTGGATATCCTATTTTTCCAGCACTGTTTATTTAAAACACTGTCTTTTCTATAATGTGTATTCTTGGCACCTCTGTTGAAAATAAGTTGAATGTAGCTAGGTGAATTTATTTCTGGGCTCTCTATTGTGTTCCATTGATCTGTGTGTCTGCTTATATGTTAGTACCATAATGTCTTGGTACTTACAGCTTTGTAATCTATTTTAAAGTCAGGTAGTGTGATGCCTCCAGCTTTGTTCTTTTTGTTCAGGATTGCTTTAGCTATGTCGGGCCTTTTGTGGTTCCATATAAATGTTAGGATTTTCTTTTTCTATTTCTTTATTTTGATAAGAATTTGGTATTTTGGTATTTTGGTATTTGGTGTTTTGATAAGAATTGCATTACATCTGTGGATAACTTTGGGTAGTATGGACATTTTAACAATATCAATTCTTCTAATCTATAAATATGTGATATCTTTCCATTTACTTGTGTCTTCCTCTATTTCTTTCCTCAGCGTTTTATAGTTTTCAGTGTAGAGATCTATCACTTCCTTAGTTAAGTTTATTCCTAGACATCTTAATTTTTGGAAACTATTGTAAATGGAATTGTTTTCCTGAATTCTTTTTCAGATAGTTGGCTTCTAGCATACAGAAATGCTACTGATTTTTTTGTATGTTGATTTAGTGTGCTGTGACTTCACTGAATTCATTTATTAGTTTTAACAGTTTTGTTGTGGAATCTTTAGGGTTTTCTATACATAAAATCATGTCATTTGTAAATGGGAATAGTTTGACTTTCTTGTTTCCAAATTGCATGCCTTTTATTTCTTCCTCTTGACTAGTTGCTCTGGCAAGCACATTCAGTATTGTGTTGTGGGTTTGTCATATGTGGCCTTTCCTGTGTTGAGGTACATACCTTTTATACTTAATTTGTGGAGAGTTTTTATCACGAAGGGTGTTGAATATTGCCAGAAGCTTTTTCTCCATTTATTTAAATGATCATATGGTTTTTTTCCTCTTACTTTTTGTTAATGTGGTTGTATGGTTTGGATATGGTTTGTTTGTCCCTACCAAAGGTCATGTTGAAATTGGATCCCCAGTGTGGCAGCACTGGAAAGTGGGGCCTAGTGGTAGGGGTGTTTTGGTTATGGGACAGATCTCTCATGAATGACTTGGTTCTATTCTCAGTGAGTTCTCACTCTCTCAGGAGTGGACTGGTTCTTGCAGAAATGGATAAGTTCCAGTGAGAGTGGGTTGTCATAATGCCAGGATGCCCCTCAGGATTCCCTCTCTTTACACACATATGCTCTTCCTTTGACTTTCCCTGCCATGTTGTGACGCAGCAAAAGCCCTTGCAAAAGCCAAGCATGCTTTTGAACTTCTCAGCTTGCAGAACTATGAGCTAAATAAACCTTTTTTCTTTATAAATTACCCAGTCTCTGGTATTCTCTTATTACAACACCAAATAAACTAAGACAGTGGTGTGTCACATTTGTTGATTTGCATATGTTGAACCATTCTTGCATCTCTGGGATAAATTCCACTTGAACACAGTAATTGATCTTTTTAATATGCTACTATATTCTGTTTGCTAGTTTCATGTTGAGAATTTTTATGTCTATGTTTATCAGGAATATTGGACTTTAGTTTTCTTTTTTTGTTGTGTCCTTGTGTGGCTTTGGAATCAGGGTAATGCTGCCTCATAAAATTAGTTTGGAAGTATTTCCTAGTCTTCTATTTTCTGGAATAGTGTGACAAGCATCAGTATTGTTCTTTAAATGTTTGATAGAATTCAGCAGTGAAGCCATCAGGCTGGGCTTTGTATTTTATTTTTTGATGGAGGGTATTTTATTACTGATTCAATTTCCTCACTCATCATTGATCTGTCCAAATTTTCAGTTTCTTCATAATTTAATCTTACAATCCTTCGTATTTCTGTGATGTCAGTTGTAGTGTCACCTTGTTCATCTCTGACTTGAAGTTTTGGGATCTTATCATATTTTTTCATAGACTAGCTAAATGTTTGTTTATTTTATCTTTAAAAAAACCAACTCTTTTGTTGTTTTTTTTAATTTTTTAGTCTCTGTTTATTTCTGCTCTGAGCTTTATTATTTCCTTTCTTCTACCAATTCTGGCTTAGTTTCTTCTTGTTTGTCTATTTTCTTGAGGTGTTTGGTTAAGTTATTTATCAGGAATCTTCCTTATTTTTTGATGTAGGCATTTATTGCTATGAACTTTCCTCTTAGAACTGTTTTTGCTGTGTTCCATAAGTTTTGGTATGATGTGTTTCCATTCTCATTTGTCTCAAGGAATTTTTAAATTTCCCTTTCGTCTACTTACCCAGTTGGTTACTTTGGAGCATGTTATTTAATTTCCATGTATTTGTAAGATTTCCAAAGTTTTTCTCGTTGTTGATTTCTAGGTTTGTACCATTATGGTCTGAAAAGATACTTGATATGATCTCTATGTTCTTAAATTTTTAAGTCTTGTTTTGTAGACTGCAGTATCATTTATCCTGGATGTTCTATTTTCAGTTGAGAAGAATGTGCATTCTGTAGCTGTTGGATGGAATGTTTTGTAAATACCTGTTAGGTTCATTTAGTCTGTAGTGTAGTTTAATATGATGTTTCTTTGTTGATTTTCTGTCTGTATGATCTGTTCATTGTTGACAGTGGAGTGTTAAAGTCCGATACTATTATTGTATTGCTGTCTATCTCTCCCTTTAGAACTAATAATACGTACTTTATATATCTGAGTGCTCCAAGCTGGCTGTGCAACCATGGATGGGCATGCATATGCTGGAAAGCTGCACAGTGCCTTTCTCCAGTAATGTAGGGCTGACTTCAAGCCAGCTGTTGTGCTGGAAATGGGTATGTGCAGGCCAAGAGGCCTTTCTGATGTCAAATTCTTTGAGTTATTTTTTTAAAATGTTACAATATGCCTTGGAGATTATAGATATACATACATACATGTATGTGTGTATACATATATTATACATTTCCTTCTTTTTTCTATTGTTTGCTTTTGATGAGCATATGCTTTTCCTGTTTGCTTTTGTTTGGTTTGGCTTAAACTTTTTAAAATAGGTTTTTATAATTGGCAATTAAAAATATACTTTTTTGCTATTAATGAGTATATATGTCTTTCGTATAAATGCAAGCTTTTTTACACAAAAGATTTCTAGAAGTGAGCTTGCTATGTCAGAGGATATTTGCATTTTATATTTTGATAGCTACACTCTGACAGATAGCTTCAAAAAGAACTGTGCTTAGATAACATCTGAGCTTGCTCTTTTCACCACATTTTCAAAAATAGTATCAACCTTTTTCTTATATTCTCAATCTAATGAGCAAAAAGTTACTGTCTTCTTATTTTAATTTTTATTCCCTCTGCTAGTGAGTTAACAAACAAACACAGCATATGTCTCTTAGTTCGTGTATATTTTCTCTTGTAAATGGTCCTTTGTTCAGATTTCTATTAGCTTGTCTTTATATTTTTTTGAAAGAGCTCTGTATAAAATGAATATTAAACCTTTGTATATTATAGATGTTATGACTGTTTCCTCCTAGTTATCTTTTAACTTTGTTCACTGTAGCTTTTTCCACATGGAAATTAAAATATATGTATAGTAAAATCTTTCAGTCTTATAAAAATTTTTTCTAAGTCCTTTTATCATTTTCTTTTTAAATTTGATATCTGGTGAGACAGATTCCAATTAATTATGGCATAATTTAAAAATTTCTTTGGGATTCTTGCCTATTTTATTGTTCCATATAAACCAACAAATTATCTGTTTAAATTGATTAATAATCATTAGGATTTTGATTGAAATTTTATCTATAGATTTATATAGAATCAATACATTAAAATATGGACTCTCCCCACCCAAGAACACAATATATTGTTTTATATGTTCAAGGCTTTTTGAATGTCTTATCATACAATTTTTTCATTTTTAATATAGATCTTACACATTTTTGGTACCTCTATGTTTATGTGTTTTAATGTCTTATTGTTCTAGTCAATATGACTTTTTAAGTATAATTTTAATGTTTTATTTTTGTCATATAGTCAAGCTGATTTTTAAAATTTTATCTAACTTTTATATAGTTTTTCATAAACTTGTCAATTTTTTATAGATTTTATTTATTCTTGCAGAGTCGCCTTTTGCTGTGATTAATCAAGCCAACCTTGATTAATTAAACCTTTTAAATTTAAACCTTTTAAAGGCTTACTGTAAATTATTGCTGTGTTTATTTTCCACCCTTATTAATTATTTCCTTCAACTTTGTTTTACTTTCTTTGTTGTTTATTAAGTTGATTATTTAATTATTTTCAACATTTTTGCTATTAATTGGTACATTTTTAAGGCTACTTATTTTTCCTTTGAGTTTATCTTTGCAGTAGCCTATTTTAGTATATATTCACAGCGACTCAGTGATTTTAATTTTGAATTCCTCTTACAGTCAAGATTTATTAAAATTGAGATTTTAAATGTATGCAATTGGAGAGTTTTCTTGTCGTTCTTTGTTTTTGCAGGAAGGAGGTGTTCATTTTTACTATTTATTTATTTAGCCAGAAAGTGTGGACCATAATTTCTACTGTTACAAATGTGTAAAATTATTTTGTGGCCTTATGTAGTCAATCTTTTAAAATATTCTGTAACTATTAAAAATAAGTCATTTTTGTTTGTTGGATATAACTTTTAATATTGAATAATCTATATTGCTGTTTATTTCTGACTACTTCATATCATTGATTTATAATTTGTGTCCAAATACAACAGTGAACTTGTTTATTTCTCCTTATAAAATTTTAATAAGTTGACCTTATATTTTTGATGCATGTTGCTAAGTACCTATGATGTATTATCTTAATATTTTTTAATTATTTTCATCTTATACTCAAGTATATTTATGATTGATAGGACCAGTCTTGATTTATTAGTGAATCTTCATGTTCGACCATTCTATGTCATTTTCATGTAATTATGATTCTAGTAAAGAGAATGTAGCTAAAATTATTATGTATATCTGACATGGCTTCTATTTTTAATGAGGAGTTTTACTTAATTCACATTTGTTGTAATGATCGAAATATTTAATCATGTATAACCTGCTTGTTTATTTTTCTTCTTCTTTTGTATTAAGCTTATTTTATTAGGGTATTTTTTCTTCATTCTTTCTTTAGTAATTCTGCATTCCATTTTTCTCACATCGTGTTTGTTTAAATACAGTATGTAAACTTACAATTTCCAATTCTATGTTGACATTAAGTATGTCCTAAAATTGCTCTTTCTGAATTAGATTCTCAGTAATTTTTCATTTTCTTTCTACTTCCCTGCCCCTTCCTGTGTTTTGTTAAAATGATCATCAACATATATATTCAGCTTATTTGTTCTTTAAAGCCATTTTCTTAGGAATTATTTCCTGGAAATTGCCCTTTAAAGTGTCATTTAGTGGGGGCGCAGTGGCTCATGCCTGTAATCCCAGCACTTTGGGAGGCCAAGGCGGGCGGATTACTGGAGGTCAGAAGTTCAAGACCAGCCTGACCAACATGGTGAAACCCTGTCTCTACTAAAAATACAAAAAAATTAGCCAAGCATTGTGATGCACGCCTATAGCCTAGCTACTCAGGAGGCTAAGGCAGGAGAATCACTTGAACCCGGAAGGCAGAGGTTGCAGTGAGCCAAGATCGTGCCACGAAACTCTGTCTGGAAAAAAATAAAATAAAATGTATCACTTAGCTTTATTATCAATACTTTTTAGACTTAAAAACATGCATTCTGGTTAAATTGTTGACCGTCTTTCCTTGTATCTCACAGTGTCATCTTTTTTTAGATTTTTTTTTGTTTTTCCTCAAATATATCCTCAAATATTTTCTTCAAAAGACTCCTATTAGATAAAGCTTCCTGAGACCCTGTGACTGAAAATGTTACCTCAGCCTTCACACATTAAAGATAATTTCAATGTAAAATTCTAGGTTAAAAATTATGTTTTCTCAGAATTTTGAAGACATGCTTCTACAGTCTCTTTGCATCCACATTTTCTGATGAAGATAATGGTATCAATCAGTTCCTTGTTTCTTTGCAAGGAATTATTCACTGCACTGTCCAAAACACAGCCACCTAGCACATATGTCTCTTGAACCTTTCTTTGAAATGTGAGTAGTAGACTGACGAACTGAATTTTAAAATTTCTTAAATTTTAATTAATTTAAACTTAAATGTAAATAGCCATGTGTAGCTAGTGATTAGTGCAGCTCTACATCACGAAGATACGTATAGTTGGTTCATTAATCTTTGTGGATATGCAGTATGGGCATTCTCCATGAGTTAATTCATTTTTCATACTTTTCAACCCTTTGTCATCTGTACTCTTTTCTAGGAGAATCCCTCATTTTAATCTTCTATTTTATTATTCTAGTTTCAACTATTCTGCTGATTTATTAAGTTTATGGTAATTGTGCTTTTAATTTCCAAGGATTCTGCCCATTAATTTTTTATAGCAGCCAGTTGCTTTTATCATAAATATTTATGAAAATTTTAAAAAGTGTATAAATATATATAAATATATACATGCATGCATGCACACACACTGTATGTATATTTTCATATATATTTATACACTTTAAAAATTATATATTTTTACACTTATATACACTGAAGTGTATATATTTTTAAATATACACTTTAAAAAATTAAATACATATTTCCATTTTATTTCTGTTTCCTCTATATTAACTCTCATTTTCTTAGTGGTTACCTTTTTGCTTGTTGAGTCAGTGACTCTTTTTTCATACTGTGATTCTATCAAATGTTTAGTAATTGATTATGTCTTGATGGAAAAGTATTGATAGTGTCATCTTATTTACTCAGCACAAATGAGAAGTAATGGTAAATACAGGTACTAGTAACAGGAGCCTTCGTTCTATGTACTAGACAAGGGAAGAGAGACACATAAAGGGCCCCTCTATAAGGATAGGTCATAGCCTCTTGTATTGGCACAGGAGACCATAAGTTATCAGAGGTACTTCTCAGAATTCCCATTTTATAAAGCTGTATTTACAGCATAATCCTAGAAGCAAACATTGAGGTCAGCTGCTCTGAGGACAGGGAATTGGCATAGTATACACACACATACCATACACACACATACACACATACACACACACACACAATAATAAACATACTGGTCCAACCACCCATAGTTTTCTACTTCTAGCCTTCACTACTACTTCTGATCTTGTGCTTATTTGTGGTTCATCTGGAAAAAATTACTTACTTTGGAGGCTCTTTTATCTGCATGGCTTATAGATTTCAGAGACCTGGCTAAGTTTTTTTTTTAATTGGTTGCATTGAGATTTAGAATTGGTATATATCGTCCTGGTGGACGGACACCTTATCACTGTGATATGACCTTGTTTATTCCAAGTAATGCTTTCTGTTTGACTAATATCAATATAGCCATACCAGTTTTATTTGGTTTGTAACTACATGGTACACAGTACCACTCTACTGTTGTACACACATATAAATTTTAAAAATTAGCTTGAAAATATTAATCTTCTACTTGAATTATTTTGTTTGTTAATGTACTTATTGATGTATTTGGATTTATATCCACCTTATTATTATTTAGCCTACCTGATCTTTTTTAAATGCCTTTGGTTTTTCTTTCTTTTAGATTAATCAGGTGATTTGTCATTCAATAGTTTATTATCTTATTATTTTTACATTTTAAACAATTCTTTTAATGCCTAAGAGATAAAAATATGTACCCATGTCTTATTACAGCTTAATTCAAATGATTGCTTTCACCTCTTCCACAATAAGGATACAACCTTATAACACTTTAACTTCATTTATCCCTTTGGTATTATTGTCATGTATTTTAATTTTATATATATTTTAAATTCCCCAAACATAAACATTGTTATTTTGTGCCATATATATACAGACATATATATATATATACACACACACACGCGCGTACATACATGCATATACACACACACACACAAACACACATGGAGAGGAAAAGAAGGTGGGAGAAAGGGAGGGAGATTGATAGAGAGCCTCACTATGTTGCTAAGTGGGCAACTGAGCTTATCTCAAAACTTCTGGGCTCAAGCAAACCCCCTGCCTTAGCTTCTTGAATAGCTGGGATTACAGTTGTGAGCCATGGCACCTGGCTTATATTCACTTATGTTTACCCAAGTATTTATCTTTGTATTGCTCTTCATTTTTTCCTTCATTTCTGCATTTTCCTTTATG
Source organism: Homo sapiens (assembly GCF_000001405.40). NCBI lineage: Eukaryota > Metazoa > Chordata > Mammalia > Primates > Hominidae > Homo > Homo sapiens. Next base: position 76,521,600 of record NC_000001.11, read on the forward strand.
ATTGATTATGTTATTTATGAAGAAGAAGTTGACTTAATATTTCCTTTAGTACAGTCCTACCAAGAGGAATTGTTTTGATTTTTGTTTTTCTGGAAATATTAGTATTTCATATTTATTTTTGAGATATATTTTCATTGAGTGTACAATGCTAGTTGACATTTATTTTTAGCATTTAAAAAATATTCCAGGCCAGGCGTGGTGGCTCACACCTGTAATCCTAGCACTTTGGGAGGCCGAGGCAGGTGGATTGCCTGAGCTCAGGAGTTCGAGACCAGCCTGGGCAACACGGTGAAACCCCGTCTCTACTAAAATACAAAAAATTAGCTGGATGTGGTGGCATGCACCTGTAGTCCCAGCTACTCGGGAGGCTGAGGCAAGAGAATTGCTTGAACTCAGGAACTCAGGAGGTGGAGGTTGCAGTGAGCTGGGATCCCACCACTGCACTCCAGCCTGGGTGCCTGGGTGACAGAGTGAGACTCCATTTCTAAAAAAAAAAAAAAAAAACACCATTCTAATTTCTTCTGGCTTATATCATTTCTACTGAGAAGTCAGCTGTAATCTTATTTCTGCTCCTTCAAAGATACTGTGTATTTTTTCCTTTTGCTTCTTTTATGATTTATTTTACTTCTGTATTTTTTAAAAATCAGTTTTTCTATGATATGCCTTAATGGTTTAAAAAGTGTTTATTATGCTTTTAGTTTGCTGATTTTTTTGAATTTATGGATTGATACTTTTCTTCAATTTGGAAATTTTTTTTGCCATTATCTCTTCAAATATAGTTTCTTTCCAATTATTTTCTCTCTTTCTGATATACAAGTTACATATATGTGATGCAATTTCTCTTTCTCTCTATTCTTGCCTCCTCCCTTTCTTTTTCTTTCTGTGTTTCCACTTGGGTCTTTTCTATTGACTGTCTTTGAGTTCATTAATCTTGTCCTCAACTCTGTCCAGCTTGGTACTGTATGTATCCATTTAGTTCTTATTTTAAGACATAACACTTTTTATTTCTAGAAATCCCATCTCATTATTTTGTATAGATTCTATGGTGGCTTTATATTATGCCAACTAGGTTAGGCTGATCTACATTTCTCACAGTTCTTTTTCTTCCATGTTTCCAATTGAAGTGGGTCATGAAAGACATTTCATGTGAAATTCGGAAGGTGGAATTAAAGCGGTGATCAGATTAATTTACACCTGGAAAGTCATGAACAGACTCAAATGCTGTTGCAGCTCACACATGCTGTCATTGATCTGTTGGTTCACATCATTGGTGTTGAGCAGCAGACAGGCCTTCAGCTACTCCTCTTTCAGCTTCTCGGAATCGTTAGCCAAAGGTGTGCCAACTGTATGACAAAGGCTTTTAACTTCTTGTGCGCAACCATTCCCACTGATGGTAGAAGTAGTGAGAAACTGGAAGGAGCCTAGGTCCATCCCCATGTGTTCCAGTTTATTCCTGTGGATTCCAGTTTATTCTCACTGACCCAACCTTGATATCTGTTCTTTTTCCTCAAATGTTTAACCTTGAGACATGAACCTCCAGTATCAGATACAAAGGCGTCAACCTTAATGTGACTTCTAACCAACTAGATAGAACATGACTGGTTCAGATTTTAATTATCTGATAAAATTCTCCAACATTTTATCTTTTTGCTGTATAATTTATCTATTTTTCTTATTCATGTTATTCATTTTTTTTATAATGTTTGTCTTAATATCTACATCATGTGTGGATTTGTTTCTGTTGCCTATTTCTTTTTCTCTTGGGTTTTGGACCCATGGCCCTGTCTCTTGCCATGCCCAAAAGGATTTTAATAAATGCAGAACACTGAGAATAAAGACTACAGAGGCTCCAGATGTTGTGATCTTGCATTAGAAAAGGGTTACCCTTTCTTCTGCCAGGCAGATAGAGAGGCTATCACCTTAATTTATCCAGGAATAGGCTGACTTTAGACATGCTAGAAGTTTTGATTAAGATTCAGTCTATCTTTGGTTTCCTTTGTCTGTAGTCTGGAGATCTCTGTGGCTTGCAATTAAGACACTACTTCATTCACTAGCTCATTCATCCTAGCAAGTTTTTGTATTCTCAGCACTGGGAGAGTACAAAATGTCCCACTCCACCACTCAGGGTTTGTAGCTTAGCTCTTTAGCTCCACCCTGCACACCTTCAATATTTGGCAAATATTTTGAGGGGAAAATCAGTTGTGTCTTGAGCCTCTTCAATTCTCCAATTTTTTGACTCCAATCCTTGTAAATGCCAAAATGTCTAATGGTTTCTGTGTCCCCAACGGTGCCCCCTTGCCATTTGAAAGCCTACTTTCCCAGTCTACCCATGTCAAGAATCAGCACAATCTTCCAGAAAAAAATGCAGCTGAAGATCATTATTACACCTGTCCAATAGCCTTCCTTTCCAATGATTTTAGCCTCTCTAATACTTATTATCTACAACTATCTATTGCATACCTTTAAACAGATGATTTTTGTGTTTGTTTTGTTTTAAAAAAATCAACAGGTAAATCAATCTACTTAAAACTAATCTTCATGCAACAAAAAGCCTGCCAATCTGTTCTTATTTATATCAAACTGAAATTTCTATTAGTTTACTGCTCTGCTCTTAGGATAACCAGTTCCCTAGTCTTACCATGGCTTTTACAATCATATTATAATGTCTTGTCAGTAGTAATTTGAGAGGGAAGATAGGTGAACATGTCCCTTCAATAAGCCATCTTGAACTAGAACCCCCAGGGCATTTTGAACCTTCTGCCTGTATTACAGTTATCTGATTATATTTGTCTCTACTGCTATGTTATACATTTCTTAAAGGTAAAGACTATATATGTTATAGTTATCTGATTATATCTGTCTCTACTACTATGATATACATTTCTTAAAGGTAAAGACTTTATGTTATTCATATTCATGCTTACCATAATACTTAGCATATGTAATCATATATAGTAGGTATTCATCATTTATTTATTAAAGAACTTGTGAATAGATAACTGCATGAAGTTCAGAGTCAGTGGCTTTCTTGGTATCTTTCACATGATGAATAGTATTGCTTTTAACAATCCAAATATTGTGTATAATATTATAGAAATAGAGGCAAATATTTCAGTTTTTTTTTTTTTTTTACAGAACGTGGTATATTCTATGCCCCTAACAAAACTCAAGCAATATTAAAAACAATTTGCATCTAGCTTCTGGGATTTTTGAGAGAATTCTTTAAAAATGAAGGACTTTAATCATCTGGTCCCTCTAGATTTTATAGTAGTTGAAGAAATATATAAAAAAATTTTGTGATATATATTTTGGTTATCTCCTAACATTTATATTTCCCTTTAGAAAAGAAAAAAATCCCACATGAAAAGGGAAATTGAAGAGAAATATTACCTACCACATAAAAAGTCATACTTTTGTAAGATTATATTTCCATTTCTACATAATATTCTCTCATTATGAAATCATCAGTGCATTTTTTAGTCATAAACAAGACAGTGAAAAGAAAATGAGTAACAATATAAATGACTTTCTGGAAAATGAGGTCTATTCAAATTTCAGGAAAAAAGTTAACTCTGAAGTATTAATTGATCATAATGAGGAGGCCAAACTTCAGATACACAGAGGAGCCATGGAACATTTCCCATAGGCCTGCAGCTTGTGAAGACGTCTAGGAACACTGACATGAAGTTAAATTTAAAAGTAAATAAAAATAGATAAGACTATCAGACTGTCAACTTGAAGAACTTCAACAAGGAATGCTATGCTCTGGCTTTTTGCAATTCAAATATACAGTAGGAAGAAACATAATCCCACTAAAAAATACAATTGCCGTCATTCTTGGCCACTAGAAAGAAATTTCAAAAAGGTCAGCCTCTGCTCCTTTCTTCCCTAAGAAGTGAATCGATGATATAGATTATCTCATGAGCCCATGAACAGATGCCCAGTTGTTTTGGCAGAATTTCAACCCTCGGGAGAGAATCTTAATCTAGTATCTTTCTCACTACTGGTACAAGAGGCACCACCACTTTCTACAAACTTCCCAACCCTGTTTAATCTTCACATTCTGGTCTTCTCCTTTGACATTCCACCTGAATATTACATTTTTCATTAAACAACTATATATATGTGTGTGTATATGTATATATATATGTGTATATATGTGTATGTGTGTTTGTGTGTGTGTGTGTGTGTGTATATATATATATATATATATATATATATATATATATGACCGTTTTGCAGGGACTAAGACAACTCATTCAGTACAGCTCCTCCAAACACCAAATTTTTATTACCAAATGCTTCAGATGGACACCTCTTTAATATGTACCTGTCTTAAAAATGGAAGCAGACTCTCAAGTTCCAAACTTAAGAGCAAATACCAAAAACAATGACAAACTCAGTGGCTGTGCAATACACTGACCATTCAGAAAGAGAGGCTTGATCTTTCTTCATCTTACATTGTCTTCTGAATTCACTACCATTAGATTTTGGAAGAGCATAAATTTAGAAGAATGAAGACTCACCTTCCCTACTTCCTTTGCCTATCTCTCCAGGACGACGATAGAATTTTCCCTTCTCTCTGACACTTATCCTGACTATATAATATGCAACACTCCCAGATCTTCTCAATGGACTAGTGACCACATCACTTCCATTCCTAGCACCATTTATCAAACAGTGACCTATGGAATCAAAGTTTAGCAAAATTTTTTAGAACCTGGCTTAAGAAAACCAAATCCCTTGTGGTTACAACTTCAAGTTGTTTCATGCCCAGAGAATGAGCTACAGTCCTTTCCAGATATTCATGCCTGAAGCTCATTAATAATTTTCTTCTCTCAGTAAGTGAAGACGAATCCTTTAATTTGAAGTGGCCTTCACACTAATGAGTCATGTCATTACTCTGGAATCCTTTAAGTTGATTTTTTATCTTGTTGACTCAGTGAGGTAGAAATTAAGGACAGCTCCCATTAGCTTTATGTATTTCTTGAAGCATCTGCTCATGATGGCAAACTGATCCATCCTAAATATTTATTTGCCTATAAATGCCATGGAGTCAACACTTCACTTTCAGCTACTTTCTTTCTTTCTTTTCTAACCCAAACATAAAATTTCTTTAAAAGTTCTGTCAATAACATCACTTGCAATTTAAACGCTTTAAAAATATGATCCTTTTTGCTGTGTTTTTGAATACTTCCTTCATATTTAATTGCTGTAGACACTTTAGTTCCTAATTAAACTGTATTGTTTATGATGTTCGGTCTTTAATAGACATGATAACAAAAAAAGCCAGTTGTAGAAAATTCTCTGATTGTTAATTCCAGTCTTAATCTTAATACTTTCCATAGCCAGTGAACTCATGGGGTTGAGAGGAGAATGGGTAGAAAATGAGATACAAAGCAAATACATAGTTCATGTTTTTGAGGATTTACTAGATGTTCTGGAAGACAAGCTTGAATTAGACTTGAATTGAATTGAACTCTATGATTTGTAGGGGAGATTAGCTTAGAAATAGTATCTCAACCACTTGCAAGATAAATATCCTCCTTTGTCAAGTCTCTTTTCAGCACATCCCCAGGTTTCGCGTTGGTGACAGAGAGGAGCATATATTGCACACAGAAAGCTTGCTTCATCCTCAGAGCCCTAAAATACTTTTATTGTGAGAGAATGGAGACACTTGATGAATCTGATGGGTTCTGGTCATGGAAAGATTTGCTATGAACCATTGCATCAAGGTTGAAATGCCCAAGAGGCTGACAAGCTTATTGTCCATTTCAAAGATTAAATAGTTTTGGAAAAATTTTCTCCCCTGGCAGTTGTAATTGTGTCCATGAAATAAGTGTTCATTCTGCTTGAGCCCTGTGGTTTGAATGCTTCCTTCTATATTTCCCTCCAGTGGATTGATTCAAAAAAAGATTTACTTTTTTAGACAATGCAAATTAACCCTGTGAACCTGATAACACCTCCCCCAAGTCCTAACATCCTTGCTGTGTCCCATGCTAATAGGCAATCAGAGACACTGTCAAGTCTCTTTATCATGGATTATCTTTGTATCTGTTTGAAGGGAGGGAAAGGAACTGAGAAATCATTCTTCTAGGTTAATAATGTGGTTCTAGGAAATGGACAAAAGCTGCCATTAATAACCTTGAGAGCCTTGTGCTGCCAGAATAGCACTCATGAGTTGGTAAAGTGGCCATTTAGTTGTGGGACTTCCAAGACACCTGAAAAGGCCTTGATTGTCCCACATAAACTATAGGGAGGATAACGTCTCCAAAAGAAGAAAGAGGGTATCAGCAGAAAAATAAAATACAGGCTCATCATAAAGCAATCAACTGTTCCCTGACTTTGCCCAGGGTCAACATTACATATTAGTATGCTACGTGCTGACAAATATTTGACCTTTTGAGTGACTTACAGCATTTCTGTTTCTAACCTGGTTAGGTAAAGATCATTATGTGTTAACACAGACCACAACATATTCCTACTTCACAGGTAATTATATCTAGAATTCTTAAGTTTATCATTTTACAATAGCCTCAATATCATGCCTTAAAATTGAATGTGAGAATATCAAAGAAGCCTGGGGACAGTTAATGGTATTTACTTCTGAGCATTCACTATGTCCCTGGCACTGGGCTAAGCCTGTGAGTAATTATTTTGTGTAATCCTGTAACAATTCTATGAGGTAGGCTCTGGGGCTATCCTGTAGAAACTGACACTGACACTCAGAGAGATTGAGACGCTTGCCTAAGGTCACACAGTTAGTAATTCACTGCATCAGTTTGAACCCAGGTCTTCTTCGGGATCCTGGAATTGGAGCTCATTCATAACTATTGTCCTGTACTACCTTCCTGTACTATCTCAATCCTCAGTGTCCTGAGATAGAAGGATAAGCTAATGCTAGAAAGAAGATTCTTTACTAACCAGACGCATACATAGTATGTCGACTCTTGTTGGATATGATTTTTGTGTCATTCTATTATTAATAAGAATAGCTTCTAACTGTTTTTGAAAATGTCGTTTGTGGCTCGAAAGCATCTTAGGATAGTGTTTGTTGCCCTTGTTCAGGTACTGTTCTCTCTCCACATTTTTGGGTCTTCAGAATGATCAGCATCCATGCCTGAAGTGAGGCAATGGTGGTCCACATATACGAGTGAGAAAACAACGAGCAAGAATATCTTTGTTCAGGTGGCTGGCAAAATCAGCTCACCATAGTTCTCTAGAAACTATGAGCCAAATAACAAGGCAACATTAAGGAAGCTATTAATATATTGAACATGACTGAAGCCATACTAGATATTAGCATCAAGCAGATTCTTTTCTGTGAAAAGTAGAAATAGCAGTGGGAAACAGGACTTGGAATATAAGTATGCCAATATCATGAACACTGACAACTAGAAGCACTTTTTAATTAATGGAAATGACCATTGCTGATATCCCAAGTGATCTGTGTGCAGGCATCACCTGTTGAAGATGAAGATGAAGGCTGATTGGTGTTTTCTTACATTTCCACCAGTCAGAAGTGAATAATAATTGTTATATGAATATTGTATGCTGAAATTCATGTGTTGAAGACAAACCTCCGCAGAGCCAGAGGATTTTCTTTCACCTTCACTGCCCACAAGTCTCTGTCATTCTTGGCTGCACGTGTTTCCTTGCTTGATTTATCTAATTATTTTCTTCCTTCTTTAGTCGACCAAGTATTTAGATACCAGATGGTAGGGAGATCAGAAGCAGGAACCTTTTCTGTCTCACATGGATGTTGTAGGGATTAATGAACTAACATATTCTAAAATGATTTTAAAAGGTGAAGTGCTATATAAGTGTCAAGCATGATTAACTAGCAGCCAAGTTATTAGGCACCTGAATATTATGCATCTTTTCTGAATTTCAGAAAAATGGATGTACATATTAATTTTCAACAGCACTGTTATTTGAATGATATTCATACACTCAAATAAAAGTTTAGCCCAATCCCAATTATCTCTACTTTTCTCATACCAGTCATGTAGGCCTTAAGGATGGAATATGTATGCAACTTTGAGTAATACAGACACAATTACCAATCTTGTGGCGTTTTTAGTGCCTCAAGGAAAAGATACACAGTAAAATGCAAAATATTACAGGAAGATTGAGGGACAGCAATGAGTATGAACTGTAGCTCAGACCCTCTGGTTCCAAACTCTGGTTTAACCACTAGTTCTGTGACTTTGGGCAAATTGTTTTACCTCTCTTTGCATTAGTTATTTATGCAAACATTGGGGTGGATGATAGTACCTACTTCATAGCTCATACATATAAAATGCTCACAAAAGCAGTTCCTCACATGCAGTGATTGCTCCTTAAATATTAACTATTATCATTATAATTGTCACTAACACTGGCCTTGGCTGGTTTCACCCTCTGAGAGCGTTAATAAATAAGATGTGTAGTTACTTGGCTAGGATTCATGTATAACTTTTAGTAGTTTACAAAGCCCAGTTACTTATAATCCTAACCTATGATTATTCAACACTTGCTTGTGCCAGAATCCACAAACCTCGGTGAAATAGGTTAGCAAAATGGTAGCTTTTATTTTTGCCTTATTTGCTCAGCAAGGTTTTTATTTCCGTTCTTCTGGTAATACACTCTAACCACTACCTTTTATCCCAGGTACAGGGGCGGACAAAACTTCATACCTGATTAATCGTAGTACTTCTTAACCTAAGGCAAACATGTAAACCAGCAGGGCTGACCTGAGGCCCCCTCTGACATACTAAGTAAGGATTTGATTTGAAATAAATAAAAATAGCCTTGCCTAGGGGTTCATTATACTTGAAAAATGTGAGATTGGGGTTAAAACTGACCACGTTCATTGCCACATGAAGAAAGTCCAGCTATAGTAAAAAAGAATGAAGCCGAACAGAGCTGAGCTGAGCTGAGAGATGGAAAAGGGAGAGAGTTCTCTTAGCTTTGAGTTTTGATCCTAGCAATTGAGACCTTGATCCCTATCCTTTGATTTGGTCAGATAGCACAGTATCCCTTCCAGCCATGTGAGCCAATAAATGTTTTCTTTTTGTTTACTTTAAAATAGTTTGAACTGGGTTTCTGTCTCTTGAAACTTAAAGGATCCTTACAAAACAAATGCTATAATTCACCCATTTCGTGGATAAGGGAATTGAGGCTTAGAGAGATTAAGTGACTTGCTCATGGTAACATAACCAGTGATTTTTCAGAGCCAGAACTTCATACCCTATTTAATGACTCCAAATGCTATATTCTAGTCAAGACAACAAGGCCAGGGAGCTGGGAGATGGAGCTGGTCATTAATGAAAGGGGCAGAGAAGTTATAGGGCACCATCAAATTGTGGCTATCCTCGTAGCTAATTCATGCACTGGTTCATCACATATTTGTTCTAAATATGTGATGCACAAAGAAAAGAAAATCTAAGGCCAGTTGTTTAGATAGAGAAAGTGAGTGATCTGCAGGTACCCTCAACCCTCAAGGGTGGCTGTCTGCTGTCAGCTGCTGTTACCCAGCAAGGGGTGAGAAGCCACAGAGCCAGCCTACTCGTGTCTCCAAGTTGCTATTCCAGTGAATGCAATGTATGCAGAACATGTCAAACTCTTGGGCCGCTCAGAAAATTGATTATGGAGCTTGCCCCTTCCTTAAAAAGCAGGCTTTTGTTTTTATTAGCATGTGTAAATATGGAATAACTTCTAAATGCAAATATGGATGACATTTGATTTTTCTGACATGTTTGGAAGCAGCCTGGGGCAAGGTGGCAGTGAATCAGTAAACATCACGGGAACTACACTGGGAATGTATCAACTGTGCATACTATTAATGGGTTTATGCCATATGTTCCATAATAACATGTTTGCTAACATGGGATTGGACTGCCTGGTTGTATGACAAAGCTGCCACGTCAGTTTTCTGATGTATAGAAACTGAGTCTGTTAGCCAGATATAGAAATCTAGCAAGGTCATTTTAGGAGTAATTTCCATTTTGTGTGCTTTTTTCCCCCTCATTGACTGTAAGAGAATGTGATTTGCCTCATTACAATACAATTCCAGGTACAAAATACAATAATGACCTTTATGCCAAAGACTGAAGTTCATGTAATTGATAAAATAGACTCAGTTCTGCAGTGTTGGAAACCATTAGCTGGAGGCAGGAACCGTGTTAACTTCATGACGTGGGAGGTCAAAGGTCAAGGTAAAGGCCCAGGCTGCACCACTTCTGGACTCAGAAAGAGGAAAACAGGGCTGCCCAGCAACATTGGAGTTTGCGGCGCTCCCTAGGTGTGTCAGAGACATCCTGGGGCATGTGGAAAGTGAAGGAAAGGCCTGTTATTAAGGTGAGGGTCAAAAAGAAACTAGCCAAACACAGCTGCACAGTAACAGACTGGAACAATGGGCCTTATGAAGCAGGGATACTGGGATAGCTGTCGCTCCATTTGTCTTCTCTTTACTGACTTCATCTGCTTCATATCTGACCCCAAATTATACTGCCCATTTGGAGGCATTGCTTCTTTTTCCTCTCCTGGATTCTTGATTGTTGGTGCTCTGGTGAGAAACCAGAAATGTCTTATGAAATCTTTATAGCTACGTAGGAAACTTGAGCCTGCCATTTTCACCCACCCAGGGAAGGTATTTGCCTCCCGAAACCGTAGGGTGGCCTGACATCTGCTTTTTATTGAAAGTAGCCAAACAAATCACGTCCACCATGTGGTGATTATGACAAGTGTATTGATTGACATTTTATGAAACATGCATTTACAAATGGCATCTGAATACCGAATGCCACTACGGACCTTAGGACTCTTCCTCAGGCAGCTTGGTCGGAGTGAGATATTGCCAGCATTCATTCTCCCCTTCACTCTGATTCCACTCTGATTGAGAGTGCATTGTTTAATATCCCCTACGAACGACAACAACCCAAACGTAACATAGAAATCGGGAGTGAAAAGGGACTGTGAAGAGTCACATACTATATGAAACTTGCAGCTTATAAAGAGAGAATTAAGAAAGAACCAGAAATGTATATATTTGGTCAGAAGGAAAGAGAAGTGTGAACTTAAGGGTATTAAGCAGAGGAAACTGCCTAAAATGATAAATAAAATGGTTAGTTCAGTTGTTTCTTTACATCCCTGGAGTTATAAGTATCTCCATCTGACCATGAGTTAATGGTATTGGGTATATTTACTGTTGTATGATTTTCAGAGCTTCTAGCCCAAAACTGGAGACAAAAGCTCTATGTTCTACCAATGCTCACAGATGAATAATGCTTTTTTTAAAAATATCACCAATTCTGCTGTCATTTCAGACCTCAGAGACTCTGCTTATTAGGATAGGAGGCAAGCAAAGAAATGAGGTGGGCATAGAGGTGGCAGGGGTTAATTTCATATTTATCATGAGATCTTGCATGATTTCCCTAAAAGATATTTAATTTCCACTGGGCATAATAACTTGCAGCTGCCAGAATGTGCTGTGTACCAGTGGCGAGTTCTTGTCTTTGGAGACTTATGCAAGTCATTATTTAAAAATAGAGATCCGGGAGTTACAGCTGGCTAATTAATCTACCACTAAGGAAAGCTAAGCGAGTGACCCACTTAACTGCTTTCAGGAACCATGGCTACTCTGAAGCAAACTTTTGAAAAAGTCCTGTACAAAGAACCAAACTGATACATCCTCATGGCACTGTCGTGGTCTTCTCAGGGAACATGTTCCTTCTCCATCTGCTCCTCATTCCCACAAACAAACACCACTAATTCAGACCCTTATCCATACACATGTGAACGTCCACAGTGTGGGTTCCCAGATACTTTGCCTTTTGGGTCCTTCTTTCTGAGGTTGCTGCCAGTCTCTTATTCTTCTCTTTTTCCTACATCACCCGCCTGCTCAGGAACCCCGCTTCAGTCCATGTTCCCTATTACTTCCACTCTGAGGCTTCTGCCTGTCTTCTGAGGATTCCCCTAAGAGACTCACACCACATAGTTACCCATATTTCTTCCATTCCCTCCACTGCACCTTTCCCTCCAGGCAGAACAGGTCTCTGCCCTCTCATCCTGTCCCCTTACCCAGACCACCTTTCCCATTCCTCTCTCAGCCTGAATATGGTCCGTACATCCTGCAAAGCTCTACTGTATCTATCCCAGGATATTTTTCCTTGGACTTGATAGCAGATGGTTGACATAATCAAATCATGACACATTTTCATCATTGGTCTGTGAGGACCCTAACCTTATTCTTCAGTAAGTCTATTGATATATTTATTATTTTTCTTCCTACTCCTTTCCCCCTCCCTGCAGAGGCAGGCATTCTATTATATTTTATATACACCTTTTTTATTGCACACACCCTTGTCAAAAAATTATTGTCATACGTATATGTATTTTAATTTCCATAAATGACATGTGTTAAATTTCATCTGTTTTTTACTTTATTTACCCAGTCCTATATCTTTTTTCTTTTTTTTGAGACAGAGTCTCACTCTGTTGCCCAGGCTGGAGTGCAGTGCCGTGATCTTGACTCACTGCAACCTCCACCTCCTGGGTTCGAGTGATCCTCCTGCCTCAGCCTCCTGAGTAGCTGGGACTACAGGCACCCACCACCACTGCCGGCTAATTTTTGTATTTTTAGTAGAGACAGGGTTTTACCATGTTGGCCAGACTGGTCTCAAACTCCTGACTTCAAGTGATCCACCCGCCTCAACCTCCCAAAGTGCTGGGATAACAGGCTTGAACCACCATGCCTGGCCCAGTCCTATACCTTTAAAGTCCATCCATGTCTCTAATACTCCATGGTAGGCAACCACCACCTTTAACTCTTCGCTGTCTTCATAATGTACACATCGAGATCCCTCTCACCCCCTGTAACTCCCCTTCTCTAAAATCCCCTGGCCTTCATTTACTATAAACTAGACTCTTAATTATATGCTGTTTTGTATTTTCCTAGGAAGGGTTTATGTTTCTCCCTTGTCTCTCATGTAATTCCTTTGAGATCAGAGACCACCTCCTATACTCTTTCCTTTCCTACTCCACCCAACACTACTTCTGTAGATGTTCTTTGGAGCTCTGTGCATAATTGATATTCAATAAATCATTGTTTATTCAGTGAACTGAATAGTGTAACTCCATGAAGGTAGGTATTTTTCTTTGTTCATAACCATATCTCCAGTGTCTAAATTGTACATGGCATGTCATAGGTGATCAGGTAATAGGCTTGAAGAAAATGATTGTCTCACCTTTCACATAAGAAAGGGTTATGGAATAATAGATTATACAGGGGTCAGGATACCTATGTTCTAGTTTCTAGTTTGCTGCCAACTAGATTGTGTGACACTGAGCACATCAGGTATCTTCTCTGGATCTTGGTTTGACTGAATTATTTCTCATATCCTTTTCCAATCTAACTTGCTAAGACTGATTTTATTAACAATTTTTCAACATGAAATAAAATAATCTTCAATGTAAAATCATCTCTAGAGATAGAATAATCATACTCAAGGCAGTAGGGCATGGGATACACAGGGTTAGGGAAAGAGATGAGAAAACATCCTATGGTTCCAATCTTTCGCTTTCAGAATGATTGGTACAACAAAATGAACTACTACCTGTAAAGAGCTTAGAAAAGTTCCTGGCACACAATAAGTCCTAAATAGTGTCTACTATTATTTTTATAAACTTAAGAAATTCTACTAGCCTTTATGATAATATTTTACCTGGCATTTGGAAGTTATCACAGTTATAAACCAAACAATACCAGGAATTCTAGTATCACTACTGAAATTAATAGGTTTCTTTGATGGGACAGTAATCACAAGACACATTCTGATTTCTTTAAGTATAAATATTTTTTTCCCCAGGTAATGGACAAGTTCTAATTCTCATGGTTTTTATAAGGTGAAGTAAAGGAATATTGTCCTTCAAGATCAGTTAGCAGCCAAGAATGATATTTGGGCCAGAATCCTGAGTTCTATATTTGCAATCTATTTTAAAAAATGACTATTTCTACTATAGAGCAGTCACTTAAAAATGGAAACAGAATAGAGCTGTGAATTTATTAATATCATATGAGGATGCTATTTTTCCCTTTGGTAAGGAAGTAGTAACTAAATAACCTAATCTAGTTTCTCTTATCCTCAGGGAAGTGAATCCAAATATTGGATAAACCATTATTAAAATTCTAAACAGCATTTAAAGCATGAGCTTGTTTGTTGCTATAAGGCTATTTTTTTTTTCTCTAGGTCGAGAGGTAAAGTTATTTGTCTTAAAGAAAAAATCATTAAATGGTATTGGTAATGGGCTGCAGGTTTTATAACTTAACTATATTTGCTTCACGAGCAAAAATAGCATTTGATGGCTATTTTATTCTACTCTTCTTGGGCAAAAGAAATCTTAATCAAACATCATTTCAGTTTAATGCTTTTACATGCAAAATTCAATTTGTGAATTTATCTGCTATCTAAATGTTAAGATAAAATAAGATAGAAATACAAAATAAGGACTGGAGACTCCATATAAGCTAGAAATTTTTGGACAAAGGAAGGATTACAACTTCTACTCAAAGGGTTTGAGAAACAGGTAGATAAAATATCTAGTTACCAATAACGACCTAGGAAAATGATCACAATTCAGTTGTTTTAGAGCTCACAAACACTGGAGTAAATTATAATACTTACATGATGTCTTAGTCTGTTCTCACACTGCTATGAAGAAATACCTGAGGCTGGGTAATTTATAAAGGAAAGAGATTTAATTGACTCACAGTTCAGCATGGCTGGGGAGGCCTCAAGAAACTTACAATCATGGTGGAAGGGGAAGCAAACATATCCTTCACATGGTGTCAAGAAGGAGAAGTGCAAAGCAAAAGCTCCATATAAAACCATCAGATCTCATGAGAACTCACTCAACATCATGAGAACAGCATGTTGGAAACCTCCCCCATGATTCAATCATCTCCACATTGTCACTCCCCCAACATGTGGTGACCACAGTTCGTATTACAATTCAAGATGAGATTTGGGTGGGGACACAGAGCCAGACCATATCACATGGTGAAATGGAAAGCAAAAAAAAAAAAAAAAAAAAAAGCAGGGGTTGTAATCCTAGTCTCTGACAAAACTGACTTTAAACCAACAAAGATCAAAAAAGACAAAGAAGAGCATTACATAAAAGGGAACAATTCAACAAGAAGAGCTAACTATTCTAAATATATATGCACCCAATAGAGGAGCATCCAGATTCATAAAACAAGTTCTTGGAGACCTACAAAGAGACTTAGACTCCCACACACTAAATAGTGGGAGACTTTTACACCCCACTGTCAATATTAGACAGATCAACGAGTCAGAAAATTAACAAGGATATTCAGGACTCGAACTCAGCTCTGGATCAAGTGGACCCAATAGGTATCTACAGAACTCTCCACGCCAAATTAACAGACTATACGTTCTTCTCAGTGCCACATGGCACTTATTCTAAAATCAACCACATAATTGGAAGTAAAACACTCTGCAACAAATGCAAAAAAACTGAAATTGTAACAAACAGTCTCTCAGACCACAGTGCAATCAAATTAGAACTCAAGAATAAGAAACTCACTCAAAACCACAAAATTACATGGAAATTTGAATGACTCCTGATTAAATAAGGAAATTAAGACAGAGATAAATAATTTCTTTAAAACCAATAAAAACAAAGAGACAATGTACCAGAATCTCTGCGACATAGCTAAAGCAGTGTTAAGCGGGAAATTTATAGTACTAAATGCCCATATCAGAAAGCTAAAAAGATCTCAAATTGACACCCTACCATCACAATTAAAAGAGCTAGAGAGGCAAGAGCAAACTAACCCTAGCAGAAAACAAGAAGTAACTAAGATCAGAGCAGAATTGAATGAGATAGAGACATGAAAAACCCTCCAAAAATCAATGAATCCAGGAGCTGCTTTTTTGAAAAAATGAACAAAATAGACCATTAGATAAACTAATAAAGAGGAAAAGAGAGAAGAATCAAATAAATAATGATACAATATTGTGTACCATCATTTTACATTTCCATATAAAAGCGTTAAACACAATAAGAAATGATAAAGAGGATGTCACCACTGATCCCACAGAAATGCAAACTACCATCAGAGGATACTATAAATACCTCTGTGCAAATTAACTAGAAAATACAGTAGAAAAGGCTAAATTCCTAGACACATACACCCTCCCAAGACTAAACCAGGAGGAAGTCAAATCTCTGAATAGACCAATTACAAGTTCTGAAATTGGGGCAGTAATTAATAGCCTACCAACCAAAAAAAAGACCATGACCAGATGGATTCACAGCCGAATTCTACCAGAAGTACAAAGAGGAGCTGGTACCATTCCTTCTGAAACTATCTTAAACAATTGAAAAGGAGGGACTCCTCCCTAATTCATTTTATGAAGCCAGCATCATCCTGATACCAAGACAGGGAAGAAGCACAACAAAAAGAGAAAATTTCAGGCCAATATCCGTGATGAACATCGACACAAAAATCCTCAATAAAATACTGGCAAACCGAGTCCAGCAGTACATCAGAAAATTTATCTGCTATGATCAAGTCAGCTTCATCCCTGGGATGCAAGTCTGGTTCAATGTACACAAATCGATAAACGTAATCCATCACATAAACAGAACCAAAGACAAAAACCACATTATTATCTCAATAGATGGAGAAAAGGTATTTGATAAAATTCAACATGACTTCATGTTAAAAACTCTCAATAAACTAGGTATTGATGGAACATATCTCAAAATAATAAGAGCTATTCATGACAAACCCACAGCCAATATCATATTGAATGGGCAAAAACTGGAAGCATTCCTTTTGCAAACCAGTACAAGACAAGGATGCCCTCTCTCACCACTCCTATTCAACATAGTACTGGAAGTTCTGGCCAGGGCAATCAGGCAACAGAAGGAAATAAATCATATTCAAATAGGAAGAGAGGAAATCAAATTATCTCTGTTTGCAGATGACATGATTTTATATTTAGAAAACCCCATCATATCAGCCCCAAAACTCTTTAAACTGATAAGCAATTTCAGCAGTCTGAGGATACAGAATCAATGTGCAAAAATCACATGCATTCCTTACACCAACAGTAGACAACCAGAGTGCCAAATCATGAATGAACTCCCATTCACAATCACTACAAAGAGAGTACAATACCTAGGAATATAGCTAACACGGTATGTGAAGGACCTCATCAAGGAGAACTACAAAACACTGCTCAAGGAAATAAGAGAGGACACAAACAAATGGAAAAACATTCCCTCCTCATGGGTAGGAAGAATCGGTATCACAAAAAGGCCATACTGCCCAAAGTAATTTATAGATTCAATGCTATTCCCATTAAATTACCATTGATGTTCTTCATCGAATGAGAAAATACTACTTTAAATTTCATGTGGAATCAAAGAAGACCCTACATAGCCAAGACAATTTCAAGCAAAAAGAACAAAGCTGGAGGCATCATGCTACCTGACCTCAAACTATACTACAAGGCTACCATAACCAAAACAGCATGGTACTAGACCAAAACAGACATATAGACCAAGGGAACAGAACAGAGACCTCAGAAATAACACCACACATCTACAACCATCTGATCTTTGACAAACCTGACAAAAACAAGCAATGGGGAAATGATCTCCTATTCAATAAATGGTGCTGGGAAAACTGGCTAGCCATATGCAGAAAACTGAAACTGGACTCCTTCGTTACACTTTATTCAAAAATTAACTCAAGATGGATTAAAGACTTAAATGTAAAACCCCAAACCATAAAAACCTTAGAAGAAAACCTAGGCAATACCATTCAGGACATAGGCATGGGCAAAGACTTCATGATAAAAATGCCAAAAGCAATGGTAACAAAAGCCAAAATTGACAAATGGGATCTAATTAAACTAAAGAGCTTCTGCACAGCAAAAGAAACTATTGTCAGCGTGAACAGGCAACCTGCACCATGGGAGAAAATTTTTGCAGTCTACCCATCTGACAAAGGTCTAATATCCAGAATTTACTAGGAACTTAAATTTGCAAGAAAAAAAAACCCCATCGAAAAGTGGGCAAAGGATATGAACAGACACTTCTCAAAAGAAGACATTTATGCAGCCAACAAACAGGAAAAAAATCTCCACATCAATGATCATCAGAGAAATGCAAATCAAAACCACAATGAGATACCATCTCACATCTGTCAGAATGGTGATTATTAAAAAGTCAAGAAACAATAGATGTTGGTGAGGCTGAGGAGAAATAAGAATGCTTTTACACTGTTGGTGGGAATGCAAATTAGTTCAACCACTGTGGAAGACAGTATGGTGATTCCTCAAGGATCTAGAACCAGAAATACCATTTGACCTAACAATCCCATTACTGCGTATGTATCCAAAGGAATATAAATTATTCTGCTGTAAAGATGCATGCACATATATGTTTACTGCAGCACTATTTATAATAGCAAAGACATGGAACCAACCCAAATGTCCATCAGTGATAGACTGGATAGAAAAAATGTGGTACATATACACTATGGAATACTATGCAGCCATAAAAAATACTGAGATCATTTCCTTTGCAGGGACATGGATGAAGCTGGAAGCCTTCATCTCCAGCAAACTAACACAGGAACAGAAAACCAAACACCACACGTTCTCACTCATAAGTGGGAGTTGAACAATGAGAACATATGGACACAAAGAGGGGAACAACACACACTAGGGCCTGTTGGGGAGTGGGGGGTGAGGTGAGGGAACTTAGAGGACGGATCAATAGGGTCAGCAAACCATCATGACACACTATACCTATGTAACAAGGCTGCATCTTCTGCACATGTATCCCATTTTTATTAAAAGAAATAAAAACAAGCATTAAAAATGGAAATTTGTTTTTAATCATAAATTTAATTTTGGGGAGTACCATAGTCTTCTATTAAGATAAAAATGGGCTATATTCTAATAATGTTATTCTGTGTTGTGGGGCTATATTATCACAATAGTTCTTAGCTGAAGCTGCCGTTTTTTCTTATATGGTATAAATTGTGATAAAATAAGCATTTTGAACACCCATGGAGTGTTGCCATTAATTAAAGAAGATAATATTTAGAAAGGCAATTTGAAAAATCTCAAGTCCTATACACATTTGCTTCTGTTATTATTTTATTCAATACAAATCACAAAAGTGCCTATTGTGTACCAGAAACTGCTTTAGGCACTTGAACATTTATGGAGAAATAATAACACTGACCTTTGCCTTTAAGGATTTCATAATGTTGGGGAAACCAATATGTAAACAGAGAATGCCAATGTAATGTGGTAAGTGTGATGATAGATACATGCCAAGGTGCTTGGGAGCATAGAAAGGGACCCCTAAGTAAGTTTTTAGAGTCAGAGAGTTCAGAGGAGGTTAGAGAAAATACAGGAAGGGAGTTTCAGAGGAGGAGGTGGCAAGAATGTAGCCTTCAGGTGAAAAATAGCATAGTATATTCTGAGCAGTAAAGAGATCAGCATTCCTAGAGCTTAAAATATTGAGCAGAGAAAGCAGAAGATGAGTCTCTAGAAGTCGGATTACAGAAGGTCTGTCTATTATGTTAAAGGTTCAGATTTATCTGCTTGGTGATGAAAAGTAAGGAAACAATGGGGTCCCTCCGGGGGAGTATGGAACGTGGATCCAAGGGTCAGAGAGAACAGTGAAGAGGGTATTGCTGAAGTCTAGGGGAAAGAGCCTTCAGTTATTCATGTTTCCATGCTGTTTCTTAGAGGCTCAGCCCAAGTATCTGATCTTTCCCGCATCTATGCATAAGTTTTCTCAAGCAGTGCTGGTGATCTCCACACCGCATCTTCCTCCTAAAATATTTACTGATTATCTGCATTCAAGTATGTTATAAACTATTTTAATTTGAGATATAAATATTAGTCATGCAGCTAACTGCACCCACCTTTCCAGGAGCATCTGCTTTTTGTGACAGACACTGTGGCTTTCAAGGGCCTTGCCTTATTACTTATTACTTATTGCACCCCACTATTCAACCTGTCTTCCTACTGCACTAATATGCACCCTGTGCTGCAGTCATGCAGAAGTCTTCACTGTTCTAGAAAATGAAGCACATGCTGTGTGTATCACATGGCTGGAGTAATCATTTGGACAGTGAAGATTTTCTGAGGTGTCCCCATCATCTCGTCACACCTGTTGCAGAATGCCACAGGCAGCTCTGTGAGGCACGTGCTGCTGCTTCTGAAATGATGCATTCCCACTCAATTACCTCATTCATTACAAGTTTTCAGCTACAGATTAGGAGTACTATTCACCCCTTCTGTCTTAGCAGAATGTTAGGAACATTTGAATCAGTGGTACTTTTTAAAAAAAATTAGATTTTACTGCTGTTTGCTGTTTACTATTACAATCACAGAAGTAAAGGCTAAGCCATTTTCTTCTTTAAAAAATAGTGTTTTCCAATATGTTCAAACAATCTCCAAATGAATAGAAGAAAAAAATGCCCACAGAAGTTTCTTAGACTCACTGTCATATCTGGATACTTTAATCTCAGATGTTCTGGCTCTTCCCAGGCTGATAGGATGGCTGGGCTAATAATACAAATACCTTAAGGGCTCTGTTCTCTACTGAGTCTGGACCTAGAATGTGCAGCTTTAGGATTAGGGGTACTAGTTTTAGAGTCAAACTGATTCCCTTCCTGATTACCACTTACAAACTGTGAGATGTCTTTAGGGTGGTTGGAGGGATTAAATGTGATCATCTGCACTGCTAGTATATAGTAAGGGCTCAAAAAATGAAGCCTGCTATGGAATTATGACTATTAATAATTCATGCTCTAATTTAAGAAATTGCCTGGTTTAACTAGCCTCAGGCAGAGGCTGGGACTGCTTTCTCATCAGGCCTCAGCTACATGGCTACAATATAGAGAGGTTCCTTTTCAGATATGCACACACACTTGCTTCTCTCATCACTGATGATGCTTGCTCTCTCTAGTCAATTAATATGATCCACCTCTCAGGGTAATCATTTCCCTAAGGACCAAATGTGCTTACATTCAGTTGCACCCATTGTAATGCAATTAATTTTTCCAATAATATCCATCTAATAGATAGGTACATTATAAAGGAGAGCCATAATAATAAGCTACCTCCTGTTTGCTCATTTTGAAGAGACTCATTACGGACAATGGTCCTCAATGTTAATGAAGTGACACAATCCAATTAGAAGATTGCAGTTACACATGGTAGTGGTAGAATGAGAGGAATTGCTACCTAACAGGTAATGTCACTGTTTGTGCCTTGTTTTTGCCCTCTGTGGGGTTGTTTCTGCTTTGGTCCAGATCTCACTCTGTCCTTGGGCCTACTTTGGGATTCTGCCATCTTCTGAATGCTGGTAAATGCCTAAGCTGTAAACAGCTTGCTTTTCTGCAGAACAGCTCATGCCTGAAAAAGTTGATAATGATTTCAAAATTTCTTTTAATTGAGTTTTTAATTACAACACAGATAGCAAATAGCCCTATCACATGTAATTTTGACAAAGATAACAAGCAATTTCATATTCTTTGGAGAATGACAGTGTGGGAGCCTACAGTTAAGTACCGACTGCCTTGTTTTTAGACAGGAATATCTGACAACCACTCACTCAGGGAAGGTCGGGAACTGGAACATCTGGATCTCAATAAATTGTTCAATATAACAATCCAAGTGCTATAACACAAGCTGCTACTGGGAATGTAAATCTGACTGGCTGGTTTAGGATCTTGTCTTTCTAATTAATAGACCACGTATTATGAATTGGGATACTGTAGAGCCAGTTGGTGTATGGGCATGCCTTCACCTTAAATAAATATTTTTATCTTCAGATCTTATCACATCAGAAAAAAATATGCAGATAAATTATTCCAAAATGCAAAGCTTAAATTTGATATGGGTGCCGTGTTTCTTCATTACTTTTCTTTTATTGGCATTTACTTAAGAGTTCTAGAGCCATGCCCAGAGTTCCAGAACTCCAGAGCTAAAATTAGACAAAGAAACTTCTCCATCTCAGAGAGCAGAGAACTCGCCCACATTAGCTGATCTACTGGCACCTCCCACAGACTCACAAAGGCCATTTGCATAACTCCCATGCCTCCTAGTAACATCCAAAGGCTCAAGCCGATGTATCTTTTTCAACCACAGAGCAGTAATTATCAGACTTTTGCATTTCAAAAACCTGGAAAACAAAAATTCTTCTTAATTCAAGTCCTACAGAGTGGTCAACTTCTTATTTTGCTAAGTAAAGATCATTAATTTTTTTCCTTTTCACTCATTTGTTAATTCAGTGAATATTTATTGAGCACATACTATCTGCAGCTACTAAAGTATGTCTGGGAATGCGATGAAAATCAAAGCTAGATATAGCCCATGACCTCAAGCATCATATAGTCTAGTGGGGGAGATAGTCATCATTAATTAATTACATTTATATATATATATATATATATGAAATTTAAATTGAGCTACGTACTCTACAGGAAATAGACATGGTTCTCTGCAAGCATGTAATATCATATATTAATTTTATATGGAAAGAGAGTATCAGGGAAATATTCCCCTTAAAATTAATGCTTCCACTGAACAAATCTCAGACTATGCAGGCCATGGTAAGGATTTTGAGCTTCATGTTAAGAGTAATAAAAAGTAACTAAGGAATTTTAAGCAGGATTGATGTTTTTAAAGAATTCCTCTGGATGCTATTGGGGAATGGATTGGAAGAAAAGCAAGAGTGGAAGGAGTGAGATCAATTGAAATGACATTTCAGTGGCCTAGATATGACCTGTGTGATGGCCATGGTGCAAGTAACTAGTTGGATTTAAAACATATCTTGAAACTAGAATTTTTGAGACTCTGACAAATGAAGAGAGAAGAGAGAAAGAGAGAAGTATCAAGGATGATTCTCATATTCCTGGCAAGAGCAACTTGCCATTTAATACACCATTTACTGAGCTCTAAAGACCAAGAAAGGAGCAGGTTAGGGGAGGAAGGGGGAATCAGAGGTTCCTTTTGGGGCTTGTTAAATTTAAGGTGCCTATGAAATATCCAAGGCAGGAAGATACAGGTGTCAGAAGATTAGAGGAGGATTCTGACGCTAGATATACATTTAGGAGTTATCAGCGTATCGATGGTATTTAAAGCTATGGGAGTCAATAACATTTCACAGGAATAAGCATGATGGAAGTTATAATATTTTTGAGGCCTGATACAGAAGGAGAAATCTTCAGAGCATCTTTCCATGAAAGGGATCACATTTTAACACCCACAAAGTAGAAAGAACATAATATCAATTCTTTAATTTAAGGACATTTAGCTGCATGAAATCCTCTCTCCATTGTCCTTATCTTTCTCATTTTGCTGCAGATCAGTGAGAACTTTGTTATAAAACAGCAGTGGCAAACCACTACCGTAGCGTTTCTGCAACTGCCTTAGGCAGGAATTACCTCATTTTGGTAGCAGAAAGTCTTGTCCACATCCAGCCTCGCCTCACCTCTTAGATTTTCCAAGCTTAAAACACATCTGGAGATTCTGAATCAATTTAGGACGGACTAAAAGTCACAAAGTAGCACAGATCCTACATTATGACATCCGTTCTGTCCTATCCTACATTGCAAAATCTGTGTCTATGCATTTTGTAGCATTCCTAAGTCAGGGGACTACATTGCAAATTGTAATATTGTTAGTCATATATAGGGTCAAAAACACACTTGCATAAATATCGCCTCTTCCTGCCAATCACAGTACTGTCATTCGTCGTAGTATTCTTTCCTACTGAACCTAATATAAGTTTCCAGATCCTCCTGTTACAGTGTCCAAGACAGTCCTAATCAACCAGGTTGAATATGGGAGGTAATAGTAATAATAAAAATAATTATATTATACTTATAGCTGTTATAATTAATAACATTTTTTGTACTTTGTCTCATGCACTGCACTAAGTGTTGTCTATGCCTCACCTTATGTAAACATTAACTGCAACTTAGAAGATTGCTAAGAGATGAAGAAACTTTTTTTTTTTTTTTTGAGACGGAGTTTCACTCTTGTTGCCCAGGCTGGAGTGCAATGGCGCACTCTCAGCTCACCACAGCCTCCGCCTCTCAGGTTCAAGTGATTCTCCTGCCTCAGCCTCCCGAGTAGCTGGGATTACAGGCATGCCCCCCCACATCCAGCTAATTTTTTTGTATTTTTAGTAGAGACAGGGTTTCTCCATGTTGGTCAGGCTGGTCGCAAACTCCTGACCTCAGGTGATCCACCCGCCTCAGCCTTCCAAAGTGCTGGGATCACTGGCGTGAGCCACCGCACTTGGCAGAAGAAACGTTTTACAGATGAAAAAACTGAGGTTGAACAATGAGCATCCCAGGTGTACATTTCATTATTGTTTCTACATTGTGTTGTAATTATATGAAAAGTACAGATTGAGACTCTGTACTTTCCAATTTGGAATCTTAACACCTAACAGTGCTTGGCACATTTAAGGCACGTATTAAATGTTGAATTATGGAAGGCCTTACATACGCTATAGTGATAGAAGCTTTTCAAATGGAAGTGGTTATGTCCTGCGTGATTTGGACCCTCTTACAGCACCTAGCATAATACTCAATAAGTATTTGGAAGGTTGAGTATATGGATTTAAAATTGGCTGGAAAAATTCCAGTAAACTCAGAGGTTTTGGAGTGATGGTGCTAGTAGTGGGATCACTACTGAAGAAGGATAAAGAAGATGAACCTCCTAATATGCTCTTGCCACAACTGTGGGTCTGACTCTTATTTAAGCATTCTTATTCATGACCTGGATGGAAAAAAAAGGAAGAAGCTGCTCCTTTTTAGAATTCACTAATGATTCTAATTTGGAAAGTATCTTGAGCAGCTCGGGCAACAGAAATAAAATGCAAATGACCTTTGAGACATGAGGTATGTAGGCTGGGAATAATAACTTTGTGAGCATTTGAAAAAGGCAAGGCAGTGAATACACCTGGGGAAAGAGAATCCAAACACAGAGCTGTTCTGGGAAGCAGATGCCAGATCTCAGTGATGCCAAAGTAGGCCCAGGAGGCACAGTGGTTGGCAAATTAAATTCAGGCCAGCCATGCAGTCTGGCAGGATGAAAGAGAAGTCCAGGTTGAGGCTGCCTGTGCAGAAGGGCACGGAATAACAGTTCCTCTGTGGACAGTTGTAGCTGAGCAGCACCTGGCACCACACGTTGTGTTCCCACCACTTCATTACTAGGGAAGCTCAGGCAATTTGGAAGTGCAGAGAATAGCAATAAGAGTGAATGAATTCAAGAGCCCGAGGAAGGATGCGGATGAAAGATTAAAAGGATTGGATAGCTGTAGTTTAGCTACAGAAAGCTAAGGGAAGAGAAAGGAGAGGCCTGGAAACTAATAATAAATATCCAAGTCTGTTCTAAAATAGCCAAGAAGAAACTTGCAGAGTAACCATTAAATTAAGATTTTTCAATTGAAAATGGACATTTTCTTCCAAGCCATAGGCTTCTTGCCTAAACCAGCACTCTGCCTACGCAGGTGCTTAGTAAATACTATCTTATGGAATAACTTTTGTTTGCCAAAAGAGTATATGATCTGGGAACTAGACCAACCGAAAACACATTAAAAAATCAGACAACCCATTCCTTAGCGCCCCGTGAGGACAGGATTAAAGGAACTGGATTTTTGTTGTGTTGTTCAAGTCATACTCTTCAACAATGAAGTTACCTCTTCCCATTCAGACAAATAAAGAACAAAATAGAAACCTTTGTAGCACAGGGAATGCCTAAGACACGGTTGACTAGGCTCTGGTTAAATCCCAGTATTGCAATTTACTTTATGTCAAAGGGAACAAGCAAAATGCTAATGCCTACCCTCTCAGACAAACCTTCCTAGGCAATGGAGGGGGTGTAGAAAAGGGTGTACTTTCTGGACTAATGGTGTACTTGGTGGACTTCACTTTTAAATGATCAACCACTTGGGAGGCGGAGGGGAGTGGATCACAAGGTCAGGAATTTGAGACCAGCCTGGCCAACATAGTGAAACCCCATCTCTACTAAAAATACAAAAAAGTAGCTGGGTGCGGTGGCAGGTGCCTGTACTCTCAGCTACTTGGGAGGCTGAGGCAGGAGAATCACTTGAACCTGGGAGGAGGCAGAGGTTGCAGTGAGCCAGGATCGCGCCACTGCACTGCACTCCAGCCCCAGCGACAATGCGAGATTCTGTCTCAAAAAAAAAAAAAAAAAAATCAACCACAAATATCCAAGTAGATAAGTTAGAGGTAATTTCTTGTTTTATAGAAGGAGTCTCTATAAACAGCCAGCTCCCCTTGCTTTGAGCCATTCTTTGTTTACAGATCATTAACCACACCTTTCTTAACTTAGTGCCTGGGTAAGAAAATAAAGTATTCAGCTTCCCAGCCAATTGCAAAGCCTTCATAGTGCCATTGTTAAGCTCCAGGCTCAGAGGGCTTCCTCAAACAAGCCAGACCTTTGAAACATACTGCTCCTCCCTCTGCTGGTCTTGTTTATCCTCCCACTTCTCTGCCCCATTCTTGCTTTCTTCCTGGCTGGCTCCCTCTCATTCTTTTCCTCTCAACTTAAATGTCCCCTCTTCTAAAAGGCCACCCTATGTGTGTTTATCTGCTTGGGATGATTTTGGCTGCAAATAAGAGGAAACTGTATCGATAGTGGCCCAGGCCAGTAGATATTAATTCACTTGCTTGAAGTCCATAAGCACATAGTTCAGCTCTGGTACCATGGCTCAGCAATGCAGTCAAGGACCAGGCAGCCTTCTAGCTCTCTGCTTCATCTCATACCATTGGCTTCCATCTTTATTATTTCAATATATATGCTTCACCCCAGCATCACTTCCATGCCCCAGGCAGGATGACATAGCAGGAGTTAAGGGAGCATAAAGTCTTTCTTACGTGAGGCGTTGTTGCTTTTTTCAGGAAGGAGAATAGTCCCCAGAGACTCCTAACTATCTCTGATTGATTAGAACTGTGTCACGTGCAAGATAGTCTGAAATATCATGATTAGCTTTCCAACCTCTATAGTAAAGGAAGGCAAGGGCCAGGGGTCTGTGGATATCTTTTAGGCAGCCAAACTTCAGTGTCTGCCATGGTATATGCCTCTCCCTCTCCTACCCCCCATTTACCCTCAGTCATGGTTCCATATTTTTTTCTCTTCATGGCATTTACCATGATTTGTAGTTGTACATTTTAATCCCACTGGGATAGATATCTTCCATAGCTGGCTCTGCCGCCACTGTATCCCCAGCCTTTAGTGCCCTGTGCCTGATGAATAGCAGGTACTTAATAAACATGGTTTGATTTGTAGCTTAGCTGGCTGCTAGATGAAAAGAGAAGAGAAGTTATTTCTGAAGTTATCACACAATCACAACATCCTGGAAAAACAGGATTCTGGTTATCAAAATTTGATTTACACATACATCCTTTGTATTTATTATACCATGTTTCAAATATAAAGAGATGTATATATGAAATAAAATAACGAACACTCAAATTCCCACCATTCAGCTCTATCAAATTTACAGATTTTGCCATAGGCCCTTGAGGTCTGTTGATACTGTTATATTTTAAGAAACAAAACATCTCAAATCCAATTGATGTCCCCGTGTCCCTTCCCTGTCCGTGCTCCTGTCTTTCTGTCTCCAGAAATAACCATTACCCTGAATTTGAGTTTACCAGTCTAGTATGCATTTTTATACTATGACTATATATGTACATAGTCATAGCAATTACAGGGCATTATTTTGCAGGTTTTCAAGCTGTTATATAAATATTATATTTTGTATAAAATTATATAGATTATATAAATACTAAAAATATTATTACCTTTTTGGTCTATTTGTTTAACTACATTTTTGCATATAGCTATGTAGTGTTTTGTTGTATAAATATACCACAATTTATTTTTCCATTTTTCTGTTGATAAACATTTTGATTGTTTACAGTCTTCCCCTGTAATAGGTAATGCCACATACAATTAACATTCTTTTACATATTTTTTTTTGTCACACATGTGAGGGTTTCTTAGTCTAAGATATATACCTAGAAGTAAATTTACAGGGGGAAGGAGGTAGGATTGCTCTGATTTTCTTTGATTCGGCCAAAGTGTTCTACAAAACAGTTGTGCCAACTGATGCTTCCACAAGCAGTGGATGAGAGAAGCTGTTTCAGGTTTCAGCAGTTGGTATCATCAGACAGATCTGTATCAATCTTTTAGTGTGAAATGGCATCACATCATTTTATTTTGTGTTTCCCTGACAATGAGGAAGGTCGAAGATCTTTAAATAGGTATCTTGGCCAATCAAGTTTTGTTTTATAAAAATTTGTGTCCATTTCCCTTTTAGAGGGAATGGGTTTTGTTTTCTTATTGATTTATACAGTACTTTATATATTCTGGATAGCAATTCTTTGTTGTTAACATGCATTGCAAATGTCTTTTTCCACACTGTTGCTAGGCTTTTCATGTTGTTTATGATGTTGCTTTATTAATAGCAGTATTCAATTTTAATATCATACAATTTATCAACCTATTACTTTGTGGTTTGGGCTTTTTATGTCTCATATAAGAAAACCTTCTTCATTTCCAAAATTCTAAAGATTCTACCATATTTACTTATAAAAGCTTTACAGTTTGGCTTTCTACAAGTAGTCCAGCTGGAATCATTGTTATATAATATAATGGGCTCTAATTTTATTTTATTTTTTGCTGCATAGGTAACTAGTCATCTCAGCAGCATTATTGAATGCTTCATTTTTTGGTCACTGATTGATTGATACCAAGTTTGCATGTATGTGTGTGTCTCTTTTTGGATTCTGTATTATGCTTCAGTGTTCTATTTTTTTCCCCATGACAGTACTACTCCTTGATTATTCCTGTAGCTTTAGAGATATTATTGCATAGGGTTAGGTGTAGGGGCTTAGTAGCCATGCTGCTTGAGTTTGAATCCTAACAATGCCACTGCCTAGCCATGGGATCTTGAAAGAGTTCCATAATCTCTTTGTGTACCAGTTTCTTTTTTATCTGTAAAATGGTGACAATAATCATATCTAACTTATAATGGATAAAAAGCTTTTGCCTGTTTTTTGTTTTGTTTTGTTTTTTGAGACGGAGTTTTGCTCTTGTCACCCAGGCTGGAATGCAATGGAGCGATCTCAGTTCGGTTCACTGCAACCTCTGCCTCCCGGGTTCAAGCGATTTTCCTGTCACAGCCTCCCGAGTAGCTGGGATTACAGCACCTGCCACCACACCCAGCTAATTTAATTTTTGTAGTTTTAGTAAAGACAGGGTTTCACCACGTTTGCCAGTCTGGTCTTGAACTCCTGATCTCAGGTGATCTGCACCCCCGCCCTGCCTGCACCGGCTTGCCAAAGTGCTAGGATTACAGGTGTGAGCCACTGTGCCTGGCCTTGCCTGGTATTTTAATAAACCTTAAAAGTTAGCAGTTTTAGTCATAGTGTGAGTATCAGCATTATTATTACTAATTGTGATATCTGATAGGTCAGGTCACTTCTACCCTTTCTTCTTCTCCAAAATGGTCTTAAACATTGTTGACCTTTTGCTCTTTCACATGAATTTCAAGATCAGCTTATAGTGCTTCATGACAAAGTTGATTGAAAACACAAATGTCATTGCATTGACATATGGATTAATTTGATTCTCCTTATCCGTAAACTTGACATAACTTTGTTTATTCAGCTCTTTTATGCCAATTAGAAAGTAATTTTGTAATTTATTCCACAGAGGCCCACACATGTTTCTTAGAATTATTTTTAGCTGCATTGCAGTTTGTTGTTGCTATTGTGAATAAGATTTTTTTCATCTTATTAATTATTATTATTACAGCTTGGATTCTGGTGTCAATGCCATGTTCTTTTTTATTGATACATAATATTTGCACATATTTATTCAGTCCATGTGATATTTTGTTGCATTCATAGCATGTGCAATTATTAAGTCAAGGTATTTGGAGTATCCATCACCTAGAATTTTTACTATTTCTGTGTGTTGGTAACATTTCAAGTCCTTTCTTCTAGGTGTTTTGAAATTTACGATACATTTTTGTAAACTATAGTCATCATACTCTGCTGTCATATATTAGAGCTTATTTCTTCTATTTCACTGTATGCTTGTATTCATTAACCAACCTCTCTTCATACCCCTCCCAACCCCCACCACACACACACTTCACAGCCTCTGGTAACTATCATTCCACTCTGTACCTCCATGAGGTCAACATTTTCAGTTGCATGTCAGCTCCACTGTTGGGGGCAGTGGGGTCACTGCCAATGGTTCATGCTTTGGCCCTGGTGACAGCAGCCAGGAGCAGCAGCTGCTGCAGGTGGGGGAGGTCAATGGGTTTCCAAGGGTGTGGATATGCAGAGACTGTTGCACCCTAGGGCAAGATGCAGTGTAGCGGAGGCTGGGCTCTAAAAATGGCACCTTGCTGTAGCTAGTTAGGACTTGGGGTATGTGTGGGACCCAATGTGAGCTCCCTCTCTGGAGCAATGCTGTCATGTGGATTCCAGGCAGCTCCCTATGTTAGTCTCAGGGCCCACAAAGATCAAGGGACTCTCTCACGGCTAGGATTGCTGGAGTCTGTGGTGGGAATGTGGACCACTGAGGGTCTCTCACTTACCCTTTCCCCCACATTGGAGAGCTTTTGCAGGCTCTGAGCTGCTCCCTACTGAATTGGATGCCTCACTTCCCTCTTCCTTTGCTTTCCTTTCACTTTTCTGCTGAATTCCAGTGTCCTCTCTTAGATGACTTACTTGAAGTGTGATTATCTGTTCACTCTTTTGGCTCCTCTTTGTGGAGGAGGTGAGTACCAGATACCTCTAGTCAGCCATCTTGAAGCCCCTCAGCGTTATTATTCTTGAATGAGTTGTTACTGCTCTGTAGAAATTCTGTTGTTACCTTTATGTTGATCATGTATCTGGCCACCTTGCTGAACACTGACTAATGTTTATGGTCTGCAGATTCCCATGAATTATTTATGTAAACAAACCATTTATGCTTTAATATAGCTTTGTTTCTGTCTTTCTAATATGTGCCTCATATTTATTTTTATTTTTCTTTTCTTAAAATGTTGACTAAGAACTCCTAACAGCATTAAAGAGGAGTATTGATAGCAGGCATCCTTATCTTATTCTAACCCTAATGGTAACTTTATGTTGCATTATTAGGTTTGATTCTTGCTATCGGTTTTTGGTAGATAATATTTATCAAGTTTAGAAAGTTACCTTTTATTTCTAGTTTACAAAGATTTTTAGACATAAAAGAATGTTAAATTTCATGAAATATTTTTTGGAGTCTCTTGAGTTTATCATGGATTATCTATTTTTAATTTGTTATTATTGGGTAGTACTTTAATAGATTTTCTAATGTTGAAACATCTTTTTATCCTAGGATAATAATACACATTGGTAATCAATAGTGTTTCAAAGAAATACTTGGGTCTTTTCCCAAAGGACAAAAAACCTGAAGGTTTCAAGCAATTACTTTGATTTGATTTTACATAAGTTGTTTTTAGATCTTTGTAGGTACCATTCCTTTATCTCTGTCATCTTTTGGCATTTATTTATTTTTTAATATGGAGCATGTAAAACGTGTATAATAGTAACAAAAGATATGAACAGTGGGAGATGAGGAAGGTGGAAATGTTAGCTCTACTTATTTTGGACCACAAAATGAGGGTTGCTAGAATCTCCTCTGAAGTACTGGATTTGAAAATCGATCAGCCAAGAATTTCTGGAGTCACTCAGGCCCGTGCCATATAATTACATTATTTGCTGAGGAGGTTAATCAGGCTGGCCATTTGTCTAAAGACCTGGTGACACCTATATCCAAAATTATTTTCAAAACGAGCCCTTAACTGCCCCGCATAACTGGGTCCTGCTTGTGAGCTGCAAGGGCTTGACTTCTTAGGAGTTGTCCTGTGTGGCACTGATGATACCTGGTGATGGAAAATGTGTCTGCTCTTATTCCCTTACAGCCACTTTGTTTTCTCTCTATTTTTACTCGTCTTTAGTAATTACATGATTTTTGAGACTAACATACATGTAAAACCTTTTGTAGATCTGATGCTAAGCAAAGAAACGATGTTCTGCTCAATAAGTAGAGTTTCCATCTTACAAAATTATTTCAGTGCAATTGCTTTTGGTGGTAAAATGCCAAGCATTGTAGAAATATGATTTTGATGGTGGTTGAGCAGTACTGTTTCTGTCTAATTACACTCACGTATTCATACAATTACTGTGAAATTACTGTACCAAAAGCAGTATATACACATAGTAATAATAATGCAATGTTCTGATTGGCTGGCTTTTTAAAAGATTTCAGAAATTGATTAAAACATTTAATGGTTCTTCTTTCAAGTATTTGTGAACCAAATTTCTTATTCCAATTGAAAATATGTTACAAAGAGAATATTCATTTCTCCTTCCCCCTTCATCATGTAGAACATAGGGAGAAAGATACGGAACTCCTGGGAGTTATCTCCTTGATTAACTATGAAGTAATAAACAGAAGAAAACAGCAACAATTCATGTAGTTGGGTACTAAATCTACACCTTTATGGCCTGCATTTGCCAACTGTCTCCATATTTGACAGATAAAGTGCATCTGTGAATTTTAAGTCTCTCGGGTTATAGTTAAGATATGTAATTAGAGTTCCAGATATACATCTTACCTAAAAACTTCTGCTATGGGGAGGGGAGAAACCAATTAAGTCAGTTTTACTCAGCTTCAAAAAAAACCCCTCAACCTGAAAACTGATGAAATAACTAATGAGGACACTTCATGTGGGGCATGTTATTTCTTGATAGAGCAAGTGTGTTCTGGGACAGAGGCTCTTCTTTCCCTGAAGGCTGGAGTCAGGAGGTTTACTTGGTTAATAAAACCACCTCCTTGAGACATGTGACTTGATGTGTGTGTGGTGGAGGGGGTAGAAACTAGTATTTTTGAACATTTGTTATATATAGTTTCCTAAGCATTTATACTTATCAGAAGAAAGTTAGCTATCTGAGAAACTCTATTAACTTAAACAGGCCAATGAAGAGCTGCTTCAATGCACTGAAGCACAAATGCATTACAATCCCTGGGCTGCTGAGGACTAATTCCAGACTAGAAACACTTCTAATAATTCTAATGACTATAATGACAAAAAGTAACTAATATTTCCTGAGCAGATAGTACATGCAAGACTTACTAAATGTTAAGTAAGTGTTAACTTATTTAATATTCAAGAAAAACACATGGTAGGTAATAGGTCATTAATAGTTAGAAACTGAGGTTCAAAACAGTTAACTAATTTGCCCAAGGTACTATAAATATCTCCTTTGATAGGTTAAATCATTTTTCTTCTGTAAAATGGAAACAGACCAGTTGATTATTGCCATTTATAAAATAGCCTTAATGCCCTTAAAAATAAAAACTCCCTTGAATAATATATGAGGAGAAGGCAGGAAGATGCTAGAAATGTCAGCTTATTAGAGTAAGTATGTATTATATTGTTAACAGCCACCAAAAATTCACATAGAAAGAAGTTACTAGAGATCTTCAGGAAGATTACAATCTAATCAGACAGATAAAACACACACACAAGAAATTACTTGAAATAATTAAATAATAAAATGTCAACAAATGCAAAGTAGATACATAATTGGAATTGAATTCTAGTTTCTGTGGAATTAATATCATTAAATCAGATACAAAATGATGGGGCAGGGAGAGAGTGGGTGACTCCTTCTCTTAAAGGATTCTTCCTGCTTTCAACATAAGCTGGTGATTCCAATGAGTGCATGAGGACAAATCAATGTGAAGGGCCCAGGAAATGCTGACTGATCCAAACAAAGTGAACCTGGTCATTAATGTTCTCCTAAAGGTGAGATTTGAGATTCAAAGAAGGTGAGACCCATTGATCAGTTCAGAGGAGCCAAGGGATATTCTGATTTGAGGATAAGGTGGAGAGAGCAGATTAGGCTATTGATAGACTGAAGAACGAGTGAAAAAGTAGCAGGTGTAAAGGAGGGAGGCAGGAGTGAGAGATGCAATAAATTTTTCTAAAGTAGCTGGGTCAGGAAAATTTGAAGAGCTAGATAAAGATTACAGTAGAATTCCCAGGGTTCTATATTTTTAGAGGGATTCTGGGTACCAGGAAAATTCAATAAGAAATTCTGGGGTTAGGACATAATTTTTATAAAAGATTTATTAAATATATTATTCATATACCATACAACTCACCCATTTAAGGCATATGATACTGTGTTTTTTAGTGTATTCAGAGTTGTGCAACCATCACTGCAACCAATTTTAGAACATTTTTATCACTTCAAAAGGGAACTATACCCATTAGCAGTCTACTCCCCCGTCCTCCTAATAACCCTAGCTGTAAGCAGCCACTAATCTGCTGTCTCTATAGATTTGCCTATTCCGGATACTCCATACAAATGGAATCATACAGTACGTGGCCTTTTGTGTCCAGCTTCTTTCATTAAGCATAATATTTTCCAGTTTCATCCATGCCATAGTATGTATCTGTACTTCATGATTTTTATGGCTGAATAATATTTTATTCTATGGACATATACACATACATTTTATTAATTAATTTATCAGTTCATGGACATTTGGGTTGTCACTTTTTGGCCATTATGAATAATGCTGCTATCAACATTCATGTACAAGTTTTGGTGTGAAAATAAGTTTTTTTCTTTTTTGGATAAATACCTGCCTGTGAGTGGAATTGCTGGTGCTTATACTAACTCTATGTTCAACATTTTCAGGAACTACCAGACTATTTTTTAGAGTAGCTGTACCAGTTTACATTTCTACCAACAGTTTATGAGGGTTCTGATTTCTCCATATCTTAGCCAACTCTTGTTATTATCTATCATTCTGATAGTAGCCATGATAATGGGTATACCTCATTATGGCTTTGGTTGCATTTCCTAGTTGGCTAATAATGTTGAGCATCTTTTCCTGTACTTACTGACTATATATCTTCTTTGGATAAATGTTTCTTCAAATCGTTTGACCATTTTTAATTGGGCTATTTATCTTTTTCTTATTGAGCTTTAAAAATTCTTTATATATTCTACATGCACATCCTTAATTATATGTATGATGTGCAAATATTTTCTCTCACCTTGTGGGCTATCTTTTCACTTTCTTGCCAGTGTGCTTTGAACACAAATGTTTTTAATTTTGATAAATCCAATTTATCTGTTTTTTTCTTTTGTCACTTATGCTTTTAGTGTCGTATTTAAAAAGGCTTGCCTAATCCAAAGTAAGGAGTATTTACTCCTACATTTTCTTTTGAGAGTAGTAGAATTTTAGCTCTTATGCTTAGGTCTATTATCTATTTTGAGTTTAATTTTGTGAATGGTGTGAGGAAGGTGTCTAACTTCACTTTTTTTGCATGTGAATATACAGTTATCACCGAACCAGATGTTGAAAAAATTACCCCCTCCCCGACCCTCACCATTGGATTGTCTTAGCACTCTCATAAAAAATTGATCATAGATATATATTCTTATTTTGGGACTCTTAAGTTTATTCCATTGATCTTCATGTATTTCCTTCTTCCACTGCGTGCAGTTTTGATTACCATAACTTTGTGGCAAATTTTGAAATCAGAAAGTGTGAATCCTCCAACTTTTTTATCCTTTCATAGGATTGCTTCTGGCTATGCTGGGTCCCTTGAATTTCCGTGTGAATTTTAGGATTAACTCATCAATGGGAAATTGGGATGCGGGCTTCTCCAAACTCTCCAGGCAAAACTAATGTTCCATCAGGATTGTAAACCACAGGTAAAGATCTGAGAGGAGGCAAATAACATTTACTGATTACCTACCATGCATCTAAATTCTGCAGTGGTGAATTTATATGTCTTATTGTTTAATCCCCATGGTAGCCTTATGGAGCAAATACTCCAATTTTCAGGTAATAAATATGAGTCTAAGAAAGGTTGTCTTGCCATAGTTTATAAATAGTGATGTCAAGATTTATCTTAGGTTTCCACATTAGTTATTCTACCTCTCTCCCCAAAGAAAAGTAGAGTAGATAGGCTGGAAACTAACCCTTCCACTCCTATGAATAGCCTTTGCATCCCATTAGGGATGCAATGTAACATTTATGTTGTATTAGACTTTATACATATATTTCTTCCATTTGTAGAATGGGAATGTGTGGAGTCATTCCAGCCAAAAGCAGAAGAACAAAAGAAAATGAATCATACATTTTCAATATGGCTACATCATAAAGTTATATAAGAGGAAGAATACAAAAGATGAAACATGTTAGTAAGAGGGAGCTATGGTGGTTCCCAAATGACAAACTATGATAAATATTTCCCCAAAAACAAAACTACAATGAGACACCCCCTCACAAAAGTCAGAATGGCTATTACTACAAAAACAAAAAGTAGCCAACATTGGAGAAGTTGTGGAGAAAAGGGAACACTTATACACTGTTAGAAGGAATGTAAATTAGTTCAGCCACTGTGGAAAGCAGTTTGGAGATTTCTGAAAGAATTTTTAAAACAGAACTACCTTTCAACTCAGCAATCCTATTACTGGGTATATACCCAAAGGAAAATAAATTGTTCTACCAAATGACACCTGCACTCATACGTTCATCACAGCACTATTCACAATAGCAAAGACAGGGAATTAACCTAGATGCCTATCAACAGTGGGCTGGATAAAGAAAATGTACATATACACCATGGAATACTAAGCAGCCATAAAAAATAATGAAATATTGCCCTTTGCAGCAACATGGATGCAGCTGGAGCCCATAATCCTAATCAATTTAACTCAGGAACAGAAAATCAAATGCCACATGTTCTCACTTATAAGTGGGAGCTAAACATTGAGTACACATGGACATGTAGAAGAGATCAATAGACACTGGGCACTGGGGACCCCTAGAGTAGGGAGAATGGGAGGGGAGGAAGGGCTGAAAAACTACCTACTGGGTACTATGCTAACTACCTGAATAACAGGATTATTTGTACACCAAAGTTTAGTGCTGCAATTTACCCATGTAACAAACCTGCACATGTACCCGTAAACCTAAAATAAAAGTTGAAAATAAAGTAAAATGGCATAAAATGTTATAGATACATTTATCTATGCCAATGTTTTGAATTTGATATTTTACTATAGTTACACAGGTATAGCTCTTGGGGAAAATTGGGTAAAGAGTATGTGGGACCATTCTGTATTATATTTTCAACTTCCTATAAATACACAACTATTTAATAATAAATTTTTAAAAAAGAAAAAAGAGGAGGCAATGTGCTGAGTTTTCAGTAAAGCTAAAATTACTTAAATACTTCTGAAATTATTTTCCTTCCTGGTGTGTGACTATATATGAAAAATATCTTATTAAATAATAGAGAAAATGCATAGATAATATATCTTTTTCCTTTTTCTCTCTTTACTTGGAGTAATAAAAAGTTTGTAACCCTTGGTAAGTCTTCCAAAATTGTTAATTTTACTTTGCTGGTTCAAGAAGGCCAAATCTAGAAACCACTACCATAGATGACGGGAAGCTACTGAAGAATTTTGAATATTAAGTGGAATGAATCTTTAGACTTATGTGTAAGACAAATCACCCTTCCAACAAACGACGTTAGGACAACTGCACATGCAAATGCAAAAGAATGAAGTTGAACCCATACCTCACACAACCCTCCAAAATTAACAAAGTAAATTATAGACTTAAATGGAGGATATAAAACTCCTGCAGGAAAACAGAAGAGTAAATTTCCATGATCATGGAGTAGGCAATTACTTTTTACATTTGAAATCAGAAGCATAAGCAACAACAATAAAGAACAATAGATACGTTAAACTTTGTCAAAATTAAAAACCTTTGTCCTTCAAAGGGTACCATCAAGAAAATGAAAAATCAGGACTTGGGGTGGAGCAAGGTGGAGTAGGAGTCTCCACTGATCATCCCTCACACAAGGAGATTAATTTAACAACTATGTACACAGAATAAAACACCTTCATAAGAACCAAAACTCAGGTGAGCATTCACAGTACACAGTACGTGGTTTTAACTTCATATCAATGCAAGAGGCACTGAAGAGGCAGGAAAAACAGCCTTGAATTGCTGATGCCGCCTCTCTCCCATGCCCCAGAGGTGACAGCATGGTGGAGAATGCTACTGTGTGCTGGCAAGAGGGAAATCACAGCAACTGTGACACATTTAATAATGTCTCAGGGCATTTAATAATCAAACTCCCAAAGGTCAAGGATAGCATAAAGATCATCCTAAAAGCAGCAAGGGAAAAGAAGCAAATGACATACAATGGAGCTCCAATAAAGCATAGAGAACCCAGAAACAAATCCATGCACCTAAAGTGAACTCATTTTTGACAGAGGAGAACCAAGATCATGCACTGGGGAAAAGACCATCTCTTCAATAAATGATGCTGGGAAAACTAGATATCCATATGCAGAAGAATAAAACTAGACCCCCTATCTCTCACCATATACAAAAATCAAATCAAAATGGATTTAAGACTTAAGTCTGAGACCTCAAACTATAAAACCACTACAGGAAACATTGGAGAAACTCTTCAGGACGTTGATTTGGGCGAAATTTTATTGAGATACCCCAAAAGTAGAGGCCACCAAAGCAAAAATGGACAAATGGGATCACCTCAAGTTAAAAAGCTCTGCACAGCAAAAGAAATAATTAATGAAGTGAAGCGACAACCCACAGAATGGGAGAAAATACTTGCAAACTACCCATCTGACAAGAGATTAACAACCAGAATATATAAGGAGCTGAAACAACTCCATAGGAAAAAATCTAATAATCCAATTAAAAAATGAGCAAAATATTTGAATAGATATTTCTCAAAGGAAGACATACAAATGGCAAACAGGCATATGAAGTAGTGCTCAACATCGCTGATCATCAGAAAAGTGAAAATCAAAACTACAATGAGATATCATCTCACCCCACTTAAAATGGCTTGTATCCAAAAGACAGGCAATTGCAAACACTGGTGAAGATGTGGAGGAAAGGAAACCCTTGCACACTGTTGGTGGGAATGTAAATTAGTACAATCACTGTGGAGAACAGTTTGAACGTTCCTTGAAAAACTAAATATAGAGTTACTGTATGATCCAGCAATCCCACCGCTGGGTATATAACCAAAAGAAAGGAAATCAGTAAATCAAAGAGATATCTGCATTCCCATGTTTGTTGCAGCAAGAACTTGGAAGCCAAAATTTGGAAGCCAAAACTTGGAAGCAACCTAAGTGTCCATCAATAGATGAATGGATAAAGAAAATCTGGTACTTATACACAACAGAATACTGTTTAGCCATTTAAAAACATGAGATCCTGTCATTTGCAGCAACACGGATGGAACTGGAGGTCATTATGCTAAGTAAAATAACTCAAGCACAGAAAGACAAATATTGCCTGTTCTCTCACTCATTTGTGGGATCTAGAAACCAAAGGAATAGAATTCATGGAGATAGAGAGTAGAACGATGGTTACCAGAGGCTAGGAAGGATAGTGGGAGGGTTGTGGGGAAGTGGGGATGTTTAACGGGTACAGAATAAATAGAAAGAATGAATAAGAAATGGTGTTTGATAGCCCAATAGGGTACAATAGTCAGTAATAGTTTAGTTGTGAATGTTTTAAAAAGACAATGAAAAATCTACTCACAGAATGGGAGAATATATTTGCAAATTATATATCAGATAAAGGACTCACATCTAGAATATATAAATAATTATTACAATGTAATTTAAAAATTTGTCTAATGATTTTAGTAGCCATCTCCCGAAAGAAGATATATAAATGGCCAATAAATACATGAAAAGATGCTCAACACCATTAGAAATCTGAAAAATGCAAATCAAACCACAATGAGATACCACTTCACACCGGCTTGATGGCTACTGTCAAAATGATAGATAATAAAAATGATTGGCAAAGATGGAGAAACTGGAATCCTCATACACTGCTGATAGGGAATCAAAATGGCACAGCAGTTTTGAAACATAGTCTAGCGGTTCCTTAAAATGTTGGACATAGAGGCCACACATGATTCAGTAATTTCACTCTGAGAAAAATAAAAACACATCCACACAAAAACTTTTACATGCATTTTCAAAGCAGCATTATTTTTACAGTCAAAGAGTGGAAGGAACCTACATGTCTGTCAACTGATTAATGGATTGAAAAATGTATGAGGTCCATACAATCTAATATTATTCAGCAATTAAAAATACAGATACATGGTACAACATGTATGAATCTTGGAAACATTCTAAGTGAAGCAAGCTAGTCACAAAAGACCAAATATTATATAATTCTATTTATATGAAATGTCCAGAATAGGCACATCTATGGAGATAGTAGTTTAGTTGTTTCCTGGGGCTGGGACAAGGGAGTAGGAGCAGGAATAAGAAATGACCATAAATGGGGACAGTGTTTCTCCTTGGGCTGATGAAAATGTTCTAAAATTAGATTGTGGTGATAAATGCACAATGCAGTGAATATAACAAAATGCACTGAACTCACTTTAAATGAGTGAATTATATGGTATGTGAGTTTTATCAAAATAAAACTCTTAAAAAAGTCGGGGGAGGATCACTAAGTGTCACAGTGGAGGACAGGATGTAAGAAGCTGAGATGATAGACAAGGATATAAGCAAAGACCATGTTTACATAGTTCAGGAAAATTAAAAGCAGGGCTTGAACTACCATAGTGGCAATGGGAATGATATAGTGGGAACAAATGCAGGATGATGTGGTGGTAACTAGGCACACTTTCTCTCTACATCATCAACACCCACTTGATAGCCACTTTCACCCACTTGAGCGCTACTGTCTCTGATGGGTAGAAACCTCACTTTATTTGAAAACACCCAGAGCCAAACGTCTGTCCACCATCTCCTGAGTTGGCCTGCCTATGTGGAGAATCATTTAAATTATTTTTACTATTTGAGGCAAAATGTGCTTGTCTGCAACATCTACCCATTGTCTTTCATTGTGCCTTGTAAAAGTAAATATATTACTATGATAATGTTTGAAAACGTTTGTTTAATAGATGATCCAGATCTGCTGGAGATTATAGACTGTATCAATATTTGTACAATAAAGGTCAGAGAGACAATTCTCAAGTTAGAATTTTTGAAAATCTAAACTGTTCATCAGATAGGTAGATGAAGAGACCAAGCCCTCATGTGGTGTCAGACCAGCTTTCTCATCCCAAATATTAATACATTTTGGTTGCACATAGAAGGAAGGCATAGGAACCCCATTGCTATGTGGGGCTTTTACTGATGGCATCTTTCTGGAATCCTGAGAAGGTACTATCCACACTCCTGTCATTCAGTTTAATTGAAATGTGACCCTTTCAGGCAACCTAACAATATGTTTACATTACACAGAATTTTTCACTTAAGATTCCCCTTAATATTTAACTAACACCACTAAAGAATAATGCGACTGGCACTATAGCTGTATCAGAATGGGAAATCAATCAGTTTTCAATCTTGTTTGGCAACCCTCTCACTAACCCAGGCAGACAGAGACCCGGGGAAGGGGAGAAAGGGATGTTAGGCCTTGAGCCAGAGGTGAAATTAAATCTGCTTTGTATCTATTGTGAAATCTGCCTCACTTTCCAAGTGCTAACAAAGGGACAAACTGGGAGAGGCAGGTGCCTGATGTGTCTTCTATCTGGAAAATCGGGAGGTATCCCAAGAAGTCACGCTCATTGCTTCTGACACTTTCTTTAAAATATTGCTCTTTTCACCCATACAATTTTTGTCAGTAATCCTCAAAGGAAGATAATACTTGGAATTTCAAATCAGCAGCACCTTGATGGCAAAGTCAGGTATTTAGAACCCAATTTAACTCTTATGCTCCCAAACAGTAGAAATAAAAACAACAATAACAATAATAAAGTTATTTTACATTAAATTATCATGGTACAGTTACAAAGTACTTCACATATATTGTCTTAATTTACCCAGTGGAGAAAACTGTGCTGTTTAGCTATTCAATATATGTTTTGTTTGATTTTATTATGAAAATATATGAAGCAAAAAGTCTTTCTCCATAGAAAAATCAAGTAAAGCCCATAGAATAGTTATTAGCCTAGCATATATGAGAGTGCTCAGTGTAGGTTCTTTCTCCCTTCTGCCCCTCTAAAGCTACTTTGGCTAATAGGCAGTAAATGTTCCTAATACCTTCAGCAGTAGAGATTAGTTATCATTTCCCCCATTATGTACAAGAAGGATCCATTAAGCATCCCAAGTCCAGGGAAGGGAAAGGGATGCCAAGAAGTAGACAAGAGGTACGAGAGTACCACATCCCCCTTTCTCCCACAAAGACAATCATGCCAAGACAGTAGGCTGTGTTCTTCTGACCTACTAGTTTGCTCCTAGTTAGACCGTAGACTTAATCTTGCAGCATTGGTTCTTGTGGAAAACAGGATGATCTGTTGGAATAAACTGAGTACCTGAGATACAACACAAAGCAGGTGAAGCTTGTGTCAGCGCCTCTCCCTTGCATGGACCCAGTGGGAGATAAAGAGATTATAGAAGAAAAGAAACTGAATTACCAGGTCTTCAATAATTTGTTGTGATCTATTTTTTCATTCTATTTACTTTTAAACCTACTTTGTATTTGTAATTTTATTTTTTCTTAAAGATTCTCACTTCCTTCAGTAATATAGGCCACACAAGCTAGATCCACCCTTGAAGAGAACTTAATTCAAAAGAATCCCACAGCAAATGACTGCAACCTTCACAGCCAGGCCAGATTCAGGATTCAATGCTAAATTAGTGGTGGATTCACTGGTGATGCCAAATTGGTGATATCAAAAGACAACAAACCAGGCTCAAATATGCAAGTTGAATGCAGCATTTTTTTTTTTTTTTTTTTTTTTTTTTTGAGATGGAGTCTAGCTCTGTTGCCCAGGCTGGAGTGCAGTGGCTCTATCTCGGCTCACTGCAAGCTCCGCCTCCCGGGTTCACGCCATTCTCCTGCCTCAGCCTCCCAAGTAGCTGGGACTATAGGCGCCCACCACCACGCCTGGCTAATTTTTTGTATTTTTAGTAGAGACGGGGTTTCACCGTTAGCCAGGATGGTCTCGATCTCCTGACCTCAAGATCCGCCTGCTTCGGCCTCCCAAAGTGCTGGGATTACAGGCGTGGCAGCATTTTTATTATTCTGAAACTGATCTAATTTTGATGAATTTTTACCTTCCTCCTAGGTGGCAGAAAAAGTTCAACTTGTTAGTTCTGTTTCTTATTTTTGATTCCACTTAAAATGCTCCCCTGCAAGAAAATTCTTGCCCTTTTCAGAATTCTTCCCTTCCCCATTTCCGTTTCCAAAGATGATTGCTGAGTACAAGGGTGGGAGGATGTCTCTCAGTCCGGTGTCCAACGGGAGGGGCCCCTCTGATCTCATGGAGGGTGCCTGTGCCTTTTGCTGGGCTCCCATTGGGTCAGCATTAAGGGGGCTGCCTATGCTGACAACAACTGAGGACACACCCCTTTAAAGCTCACCAAACACTGTCCTCCTGCTATTGACGTCTAGAATGCAGAGGAAGCTCCTGGATACCTTCTACACCACACAGGCGTTAAAGATTTTGGAGAGCTAACCTCAGGGCATGTTACTTTGGTGGAGCTACCACTGTGATCTCCTCCCAGAGCACAGTTGTCCCCCTCCCCCAGGAGGCATCAGGATGTGTCTTCTCTCTCCCCTAGGAAAATTCCATGTCTTCATTTCTCCCCACAGGAAAATTCCTCTGGAAAATAGCAGGTCCTTCCGTTTTCTCTTCCTCTCTTGAACGGGCTTCCTCGAAGTCATCTCCTTCTTACTGGGTCACTAAGCCTCCCAGCTCGGTAGACATGGAAGAAAAGGTGTCCTTCCTGCATTATAGAAAAAGCACAGATATGCCAGATGTGTGCTTCAGGCCTGGTTCTTGATGTGTTAATTGAGGCTAACAGGTTTTAGATGATTCGTTTCATTTCTAACAGAACCAGTTGTTCAAAACTATTGTCTTGTTTCCAGTGCCAAAGCTGTGGATATTCAATGATGTTTATCACTCTCCCCCTGCCGCTGCAGTCCTACCCTGCACTGCTAATCCTCCCTCAGCAAACAGATGCCCCTGGAACAATGTAGGGGTGAGCACAAAGAAATTCAGGAGAAGAAAGTACATTCATGTAATTCAAAATTGTTATCTCTATCATAAGATTAGTAAAAAGCCTTTGTTCAGATTTTTTATTGTGAGCAGTGTTGTATTTTTTGTTATTGTTTCAAGGGATAGGTTGATATTTTGATATCACTTAGAACCGAGTCGGTAAACTACATATTTATCTTTGATCAACTAAGATTCTGTTTTTAAAGAAAAGAGGACATCTTTGGCTAGTAATGATTAGGTAACAGTGAATGGCAGGTGCCATATGGATCCTTGGAGCACAGACGGACATCAACCAGCAAGTATTTCTCAGATTCTACCCTAAAATAGTGACAGTATGTCAGGTGTGGACTAATATATGTAATAGCTTTCAAAAGGAACTGAACAACTAGCAAGTAAAGAGTAATTTATATTAAAAGATCCCA
The DNA here is from genome assembly GCF_000001405.40 of Homo sapiens. Classification (NCBI taxonomy): domain Eukaryota; kingdom Metazoa; phylum Chordata; class Mammalia; order Primates; family Hominidae; genus Homo; species Homo sapiens. The sequence continues at coordinate 76,566,281 of NC_000001.11, forward strand.
ATAATAGATGGACTATGGCAAGAACCTCTGAACTAGTCTCTCTGCTTCTTCTCTACCTCTTTACAGTGTATTATCTACACTGCAATCAAAATCTTCCTTCCAAATGTAAGTAACTGTTCAATGGCTTCCCATGGGACTCGGAATAAAAGCTCACACTCTTTACAATGGCCCTGCAGGTTCCTCATCTCCTACCTCCAGCATCTTCACTGTCCCTCTGCTCCAACCACACTGCCTCTTTCTTATTCCTCCAGACCTCCCAACACAGCCCTGCCCCCAAGACCCTTCCAATGACTCTGATCCTCTTCCCTGCGCTACCCAGTGTCTCACTCCATCGATTCCTCCACATCCTGCCAAATGTCACCTAACCAGAAAGGCTTTGTTGAACCACCCCAGATAAAATAAAGTCCCCTGCCTTTACCCATCACTCTCTCTTGCCCGGTTTAATTCTTTCTAGCACTTACATTGTGATAATTTCTTTTCTGCCTCCTGCCTCTTTTCATTGGAAAATATATTACATGAGAGGAGGTTTGCTTTATTCATTGCTGAATGTTCAGCACCTAGAATAATACCTGGCACAAAATAGGTCCTCAATTATTATACCCAATTCCTCCCAGTTCTCTTGGAAGTTTCTCCATTTTACCATTGAAAATTCCACATCCTTGTGATTCACTTTGTCCCAGTGAATTCCAAACAGTTGGCCATCCTACCCTTAATAGATAGTTGTTGAATGAAGGAAAGGAATGAAGAAAAAAGAATGAGGACAGGGAAGGAGGGAGGAATCTAGGACAGAAAAGAAGGGAGAGAGGAAAAAAAGGATGTTAATATTTTCTTGTTCTATATGTAGAAAGCAAAAGAGTATTTTTGTAATCTTTTTTCAGCAAATGCCTGGATCAAATTCAATATGATTTTAAAGCCATGAGACCCTCTCATTCTTGGTTTTGATGTTGCACGGTATCATAATACATCTGATTGGAATTTCAATATCAGGTTTAATATACTATGCAAGCTGGTATAGGCTCTGAAATTATGCATATTCATGAGAGCAATCACACCCTTACTTTTGATATAACTGGCAAAGTAAGGTACCACAAGAGAACAATAATCAAAGAAAAAGGGAGGACTACCAGTTGTTATTTACTTATGACATTTTACTGGAAAAACTTAAGCAACATGAAAGACTATTTCTAAATGAAGTACTAAAACTAACAAGACAATGTTATAAAGTGTCATATTTTCTTTCCTTTTATACAATAAAACATTGAAAAGCTCCACCACTATGCAGCCACTTCACCAGATGCAATAATATCCAAATGTGAAAGTAATTAATAATATTGTAGTTTTAATTCCCTTGGTATTTCAGAGATATCCTTTGAACAGCCTAAATCAAATCATACTGGTACTTATGAGAAATAGATATCTCTTGTGAGTCCTTATATTGTGCTTCCCAAGAACCTACAGTGCATTTCAGTTATTTACCTTGAAAATTCTTCAGCCCATCCAGAGTGGGTTTGGAAATTTGTAATCATTTTGTAGAATGTGATAAGGGAGGACCTGTCTTCCTAAATTCTCAAGCTTGGAATTTTCAAGTCAGTGTCAGGACCATAGGCTCTCTAATGCATATATATTTGCCCTGAGCAAATAATTATTTATCTCTGTGCTTCGGTAGTTGCATCTGTATGTTAAAAATAAGATTATTGCTATGTTGATTTCTTATGACATGAGAGAAGAGGCTTTAAAAATTAAAGAAAAGAAGAAAACACTTTAAACTTAAGATGGGAATCATATCTTATTCTTTCATATTCCCAGCGCCTAGCAGAATGCCTGGTTAACTCACCGGGGGCATTAGCCAGTTCCTTGTCTACTACATCATTCCATCTTGTATCATTCCACGCTTTGAAGCAGGTACTATTACACCCTATTTGTAAGGCTTAGAGAGGTCTAGTGGCTTGCCCAAGAACAGACCACAAGTACACAGCAGAGGCATGATTAGAACCCTGCCCTTCTAACTGCAGTCTGGTGCTCTTTCCTGGACACCTGCACATCTCTTCCAGTAATTGAACTGACCTGCATGTTAAGCATTTCACATTGCTCTAACACACCAAAGCCTATCTACAGAAATGTTCAGAAAGATTTGTTCCCAAGCCCTCTTCCATGTCATGTATGCACTTTGTTCCTGGCACTCTTTGCAGACCATCTCTCTCCCAGCATGAAAGTTGTCTATAAACCCTGTGTAGTCGAATTGCAATTTGGAATCTCTACAGGAGCCCGACTACATTAAACCAATGCATGGATTAACACCTACTTCAACACACACAACCATTCTCCACGTACATGGGCAGTTTTTACCCAACCAAACAATAACAGACAGGTTCTACTCATACAGAGGAGGCATTGAAAGGCACAGTAGAAACACAGACACGCAGTATAGTGCTTCGTGTCCAGGTGCATTAATGAGCTGTGGCCTCAAATCCCAGGTTCGCCAAGAGTGTTTCTGCTCATGTATCAAAGCAAAGTCATCCTGGGTGTGAGTGGAAATGCTAGTTGCATTCATGTCAGCACTAGACATTTCCTGGAACCCATTAAACAAGATTCATTTTCCAAATGGATTTTGTTAATTTATTTTTTTTTCCTTTTGTAGTTAGAAACCTAGGGGAAAATTGAGAAGAATAAATGTGGTTAAACTGCCCCAGGGGATGGCTTGTCTGTAGAAGCATCCCAGGCATACCGAATGGCGTACAAAACAGACCTTAATGAGTACTGCTTGTCAAAGGATCTGATATGCATTTTGCAGAATAAACATAACTCCTTTTTCAGCAGTTGATCCACTATTCTCTAGGGAAATGAATGAAGGGCCATATACTGCTGTCTTTGCTGCCCAAACATACACTTGTTTGAAGGGAAAGCAACAAAAACAAAACAAAACAAAAAACCCTGCTGGTTTCTCTATTTTCTAATTACGTTTTCTTTCCAAGACATATTTTGTTGTATTGGTACAAAATACGTTCAGTAAATTCAAGGAGGAGAAAACATTCCAGTCTGAAATGGATTTCAGCTTGGCAAAAATGAATTAATAGAGGCATGGCAGGTCACTTATTTAACTAAGTACAGGGGCTGCCCTATTAACCTTGAGTGAGCTGAGAGAACTAAAGAAAATTCTTTGTTTGTCCTACTGCAAAATTGGCCAAGGCAAATCAAAACAAGATGCCTGGGCAAATCAAAGTGACACGTTCAAAATAAAATCATGTTAATACTGGTTGCAAATGAAACTTTATTAGCAAGTCAACTTTAGTAGAAGTGCTGTCTGAATGTAAAAATCTGACTGCTTGAAAATAACACGCCCCCAGTAATTAACTCTCCTAATAGGACTACAATTAAGATCTCGTAGGACAGCATTTCGGGAATTTCTTCCTGCTTATTCTCACCATATATATTTCTTATGGCTGCAGGTTAGTTTATACCTCCAAATATCATATTTCTCACTAGAAATAGCACTGAGTAATTGGGTGCTGCAGGGCTTACTGTTCAATACTGAGTCATTTTGATTAGACCCATATTTTATCACTTGTGCCATTAGCATCAGACATTTTTTTAAGCCATGAAACTCCTATGTTCTTGGATTTGATGTTCATAAAATTAAGGAAATCAGTTTCTACCATCTATTTTTCTCTTCAAAAATCAAATTACGTGACATCTCATCCATGTCAAGGCAGTCTAAATCACTGATCATTTTCCATCTGAGGCTAGGTGTGAAGCTAATCCATTTTCTGTAATGAAGCAGCGAAGCTAAAGAAGGGCTGAGCTATACTCTGAACTATGGAAATAATGGATCTAATTTAGATAGTTAATCCAGCCATTTCTGAATAGTGTGCACTCATGTTTGTTGAGCTAATAATGTCCATCTTAAATCAAGAAGACATTTAAACCTTTATGGAATATCTTTATAAAATATCAACCTTTATGGAATGTTATTAAAAATGTATGTATGGTAATGGACAATTCTTCACCAGTGCTTTGGATATTCTGCCCTCAGACCAAAGATGCTTATTTTTCTTCCTTCCCTCTCTTCTTCCTTTTCTCTCCCTCTCCTCTTTCCTTTCTTTCTCTTAGATCTTCAGTAATTTCTCTGTACTCCATGCAGCATGTGCAGTTGCTTAATTCAATCCATCTTTTCTTTTTAAAAATTTTTCCAATCTCATACCTTCCTCTATTTACTATGATAAAACTCTTCTATACTTCATAGGAAACTACTTAAAAGAAGTATGTACCTTCAATGTCTTTCTCCCTAAATTTTCACTTACTTCTAACTCAAACAGTTGATTCTTTATACTAACACATGAATAAACTTGCCAATGACATCTTATGTTGCTAAGGCTTATGCGTGCTTTTATTGTGTTTGTTTTTACTCATTTTTCTAGAGCATTTGACATATCTCCTTGTCAAAGTGTTCTCTTCTCTTGCCGTGGGGGACACCACTCTGGTTGTTCTTTCTTCATTTCCTTTCTTGGATCTCCTTTTTCACCCAGAAATATCGTTCTCTCCAAGGACTTTTTTCTTGGTACTCTCCTTTAATCGCTCAATGATTTCATACAGGCCCATGTCCTTAGGTGCCACTTCTTTGTTCATATTCCCAGCCTGCTGAGACTCAAATACCAGTGCTCTTCTAGATGTCTCTACTTCAGTACCCTTTTAGACAACTAAAACCTCAAACTGTCCAAAATTAGCCCCTCCTTTCCTCTCTCGAAATTGCTCTTTGACTTATTTTCCTAATGTTGCTAATGGATGAGGCTTCTATCCAGGCCTAAAACTAGAATCTCAGTTATCCAAGTGTCTTTTGCATTTAATTTTACACCAGATATTATCTATTCTATCTCCTATCTGTGTACGTCTTCCCATTCATAATGCCTTTTAATTGTCATTTCTTCAGTGAATTACAAAGATATCTTCTGAAATATTATCCCTTCTTCTGGTATGGCTTCCTGCAATATTCAATTCCAATGTCATGCTCTTGATTAAAATCTTTCAGTGGTCGCTCACTGTTTCTAGACCTTAGCTGGAACTCTTGGACCAAAAAATGTGAGCTACCTCTGTATCCACCTACTTTTTTTAAAAAGGCAACTTCCGCACTTATAAGGGACAGTAATCCTTGTGCCAGTTGAAATATTTTCACAGCCATGATTTTATCACAGACTGTAGGAAACAGATTCTCTTGCTTCTAGAAAGCATGTTTTGTTAGGGAACTGTGTTGAATTCTTCACCTCAATTAACCTTTATTTTAAACCTTCTGAGCATCAGAAGTATTTACTATCTTATATTATAAATGCAAATACTTTTTCCTGGATCAAATAATTGAAGAATAACTAGGATTATGAATGGGAAAGAAAGGTTTCCTATGCCTGAGTGAGTTGAGTTGCTGTTCTTTGCTTATCATATATAAAGAGTGAGTGAATTTATTATCATCCTGGTATGTACATGTTAACTCAAAATTATTGTGGTACTCACTGTACTTTGTACTATTGGGTTCCAATGGTTTGTAAGCTAGTGATTTATGCACATAAATCCTTAATTCTTAACTAAGAAAATTTAGAAATTTTAAAATTTAATACCCTATTAAGAAAAAAGGGTGAATTTTCCTGTGCTCTCTTATAGCAATCATCTTATCAAAAATTATTGCCCTTTTGAGAAAAGTACATCATGATAACATCACTTTGTATCTTCTAGCTTTCTCTGATGTTAGGCATTTTTTCTTAAACAAGTTAAATATTCCTCATGGAAAAATAATTAGCCAATTCCTTAAATTTGACAAAAACATCATTCAGAATTGTTGCTATCATTCCTTTTTTTTCCTCTTTTTTTGGATATTTTATGTCCAGGCAAATGGGGGAATGATTGGCTTTATATTCTTTACATGAACTGTCTTTTTTCCTGCCTATCCTAGTAATATCACAGCATCTAATTTATTTTCTTAACCACATAACATATCCTTTCCTCTTTTCTAATAAGAGAATATAGTTAACTTAGGCAAATGAAGCAGTGCCTGTGACATATTAAGTGCTATTAAATGCTCAATAAATGTTTCATGACTGAATAAACTCAAGGCCAGGTAAACATAAGAATAGAGAAAAAATAAGAGTGAAGCTGTGATTGGTAGTTTTTTGTTTGTTTCATATCTATAACCTCTTGGTAGCTTCCCCAAGAATAGTTAATTGTCCATGTGACCAGGACTTTATATCCTTATGTCACCTACTTCTGCTTCCTTCCCCCACCAGTTTCTGGGAAGAATTTTGCCAGATCACCAGATGCACACAGTTAGCTACTAAAGAATCTCTTGTCTGTCTCTTTAGCTTCTCCATAAATACACACATTTCTTCATTTGTTTTTAAGGCAATGCTGTATGTGTAATCATGTGTGAATCTTTATTGAACACTTATGGAATAAGCCACCTGTTCTTACAAATTAGCTGAGTTCTCAAGAAGGCCCAAATTAGTGAATTAGTTGATGAAGGAAATTTGTTGCGGAGACAGCAGGCAGCTAAGAAATTTTTCAGCTTGTCAAAGGTATTGTTAGTCTCACAGCTTGGCAAGGAGAGAAGAAGATACCATTTTGAAGAATTTTAGGTAGTGTCTTAATACCTTACACTCACTAAGGACGAAAATGAAATTGCTTGTCTTATCAGTTAAAGGGAAGCTTTGCTGATGTCAGACCATAGCCCAGAAAGTTAACTAAAAGTTTTGTAGAAGTAGATAATCTTTTCCTGGTGATCGATGTGGTGAGATTGGAAGTGAGTTGCCAGGGGAGTCATGGGGAAATAGGCTTAATCATTTTATTTGTATTTGTGCTGAAGGCAGTGCTGAACAAACCTCTGAAGTCACTTAGCCATGTCTTTTCCAGGGGGCATGCAAGGCGACTGCTGATTTCTACAGACACTTTTTAAGCGATTACCAGTGCTGGCAAGTGGAACTACCTTTCCGGTCCTCTTACAAGCATCCAGTCACTTGCTGAAATGTCATAAGCGATATAAACCTGCTGACAGGCCAGGATCATTGCATCTCCTGCCTCCTCCTTCCACGTAACAAATCTCATTGTTGATTGGCATATGGCAGCAAGCATCCCAACACCCAGAGTGGTGTTCTTATTTCTGAGGGAGCAGGGTCTGTGTGTGAATTGCACACACAGGGAGCAATCCCCTGCCCTGATACAGGCAACCTGAGTGCTTAGTTCCTTCTCTGCTCAGAACTTAGTGTGACTATGTGGCCTACCTCACATTGTTTGTGTTACACCTACACAGGAAAAAGGAAAAATGTCCTTTTGATTCCATGCTTGTAGAGATGTTCATCCAATTTGAATGAACATGTAGCCAAGGTAGTGTCTTCCCCCTTTCTTCTCCTTTTTTTTTTGTCTCATAGGTGTAATAACATTTCATTTTAAAAATAAATATGAAAAATGGAAAAGCATAAATAAAAAATAAACACATTTGTGAGTTTTTTATGCAGATATAAATACTGTTAATATTTTAATTTTTATCCTCTGGCCTTGTACTTCTAGGAAGTAATGAATGGTCTGGTTCTTTGGGTCCTTGGAGCCAGTGTGGGTAGGAGTGGGGTTGGCAGGGACAGTAGAGAAGGATGCAAGGAAAATATTTGCTCTGGATAGATAATTTTGTCTTTTTCATCCAATCTTATGGGGAAGAAAATGTTCAAAATTCAATAAATATTCATTGAACACCTACTATGTGCTAAGGACTATTTAGATAGTAGAAACACTGCAATAAATAATGCAAAATGCCTTTGTGAAAGTTATAATCTATGGAAAATGGAAGAGAGAGAGTAGAAATACCCAGTATGAAACTTGACAATTCAATACAAAGTAGCCAAATTATTTAAATAAACACTTTAAGCACCTGGTATATGGCACAGTTTTGAGTGATGATGTGTTAAATTCAAAATCAGGAATTTTTATCTAAACTGTGTATCTACAATAATGGATTATATAAAATGAGACAGTCTTATAAGCCTTGTTTCTAGATATTTTATAGCCTTTTGACAATTATTTAAGTCTGCATGTAGAATTTATCACCACTTAAGTAGAATCTATTAGGACCGTAGAATCTCAGAGATGAATTTAAATGGTCTACCTTCTCTATTTCTATTATCTATACTACACTCCTGCTCCCATGGCTGAATCCTCTCCCTGATACATTAAGCAGTAATTATCAGCCTCTTTTTGAAATCTTCAGGCACAAAAAGCTCTCTACTTCCTGAAGCAGCCCATTCCACCAACCAGTAGCTCCAATTTTCAAAATGATCTTCCTTATATTAATCTGAAATTCAAGGGCCCATAGTTTCTTCCGCTGAAAGTATGTGCAAGTCTCTGGGAACTATCTCAGGCAGTTGAAGCCTGGGGATATTTCTTTTCCAAGTTTCAAAGTTCAAATTGCCAGAAAGAGCCCTGAAAGGGTCTAAGGTGTTAAAGGTGTCCGTAAAACTGATGAAGAAAATAATAGCTTGTATCAAAGAGCACCAGTAGCATGTGGAAGAATGGGTTGTTAGGGGATATGGCTTTGATCTGCCACTCGCTTGTCAGCAGAGTTGATTCACTCACTTGGCTAGTTGAGAAGGTGGCCCTTCCTCCATGTGTGGTCTTCCTCAAGCCCCATGCTAAGGCAAAGAAGTTGACCTAAGCTCTGTCTTCCATAGGTCAAAGGTACCTGAATAGTTGAGTTATTTTAGTAGAAACTCTGAATATGGAATTGCAGTTTGAAGCAGCCAAAATATTCATTTTTATAGCTGAGAAGAGACTCTAACATGCAGAACATGTTGTCTTGGAGAAGCCAGTGATGAAATGTGTTGGTTTGAGCCATAGCAACAGTTCACCTTTATATGCAGAGGAAATGGAAATCCATTTTAATCATCAATGAAAAGATAATCATTCTAAAGTTCCTTTCCAACATCTATCACAAACATACTAAGTTTCCTTCTAAAAATAAAACAACTGAGTTTTCCCTCCATCTTGTGATTTTCAATGGAACCTGAAAGCTGGTGTCCTATCCTCTTATGCCCTTGGTGGCCAGTCAAAAGAGAACAGGTTTTATTCATTAATTACATCATTGATTTATTCACCAAACATGCATTGAGCACTCACGCTGTATCAGACACAATCGTTAGTACTAAATGTAAGAAATCCTGAGATCCTCAAATAAAATAGCAGAATATGGGTGGATTTGAGTAGACTGGTTTAGAAGATATTGAGGAAGGTGATTTGATGGTAACTAAATATGAGAGTAGTGAGCGCATTAAGATTAACTCTCAAGTTTCTTATATGAGGAGTTGGGGAGATGGTGGTAAGTCCACAAACTTGGGTAAGGCACCCAATTTTACAGGAGCAACATACTGAAGGAAATCCGTAGGGAAAAGGTGAAATGGTGTATTTACCAATGATGGTATTTGGGCATCAGGGTCTGGAAGCTCTTCTTCAGATATGGAAGCCCAGGCTTGGTAGTGTAGTGGACTTTATGGTAGAGAAGTAGCATCTTTTCTATAAAGAACCAGATTTTCTTTTTTTTTAAATAAGAGCTCCTGGTTAAAAGCTGTGTGTCAGATCCCATATGGGGGCTCTAAGATCTAATTTTACTTAAGGGCCCCAAGGCACAGAGGCTAGCCAAGATTCTGAGAAGATACCAAATAAAAATCTTGGAACCAATAGAAAGCAATTTTCATAATTAGGAGGAACACGGCACCCCATATATCATCATTAGTCTGAGACAAGGAACAGAAGGTTGGGGAGGGAAAGGATGGTTTCTCTAAACAGGGAACAGGTGGCCAGTGCAGTCAGGGCCAGCTAGGGAAACCTTAGGCAACTCTGCTCGAAAATTTCTCTGTTCCTCCCCTAGAAACTCTCAGATACAGAAGAAAACAGGATGATTAGTTATTGGCAATTAGTTATTAGTTATTGGCAATGGGTGTTTGCCTCCATGATAGTGTTTTTGTTCTTAACAGAGACACAGAGAAAGGCCAAAGGGTAGAATTTAATGGCACCCGTAGACACTGTGGAAAATGAAGTGTTTTTGTATGTCCTGATAAACTGAAGTTTTGATGTTACAAAATGTCCAAAATGCAATTTGGCTTTCATTTGAATTGCTTCCTGCAAAGTTAATTGTTTGCTCCCAATCCATAATTGATGATAGCTTTTCCCCTATTGCAGTTAGACCAAGGAATCTTGGCAGTCTAGTGCTATAGAAGCCAGACACATGCAGGTAATAACACCCCAAGAAGAGCTGAAATATTAGCCTTCGGAGACACAGGCTGTGCAAATTTCTCTGGCTTACAAAAGAGACATCAGTTACACCTTAGAGCCTGTCTTGTAGACTTAGTTTCATAAAAGTTGTATAATAATTTTGGAAAGTACAGATGACATGTCAGAAAAAATGCCAGAGGAAAAGCTCTGGGGAGCCTGATTAATCAGTTTCACAGTAGGTATAAGGAATGAGGGGGTTCTGATAGCTAAAGTAGTGATTTGCATGTCTAACTAATTTTCTTCTGCCATTTCTTCTCCATTCCCATGATATCCAGTACAGAGTGACCATGCAGTGTTGATTGATCGAACAGCAACCACCACATACATGTCCTGCCCCACCACAAAAGGAAGGAAGGAATAAAAGAAAGAAAGAAAGAAACAAACAAACAAACAAACAAAACTAAGCAAGACAAAACAAATACCCATGTCAGTGGTTCAAAGATTAAGATTGTGGCTTTGTGTAAAGTTCTTTCCCTTTGTAGACTTGCTGCATAATTATTCAGGTATGATGGTTACAGTTTTTAAAAAGGAAGGGAAATTGTGGTATGTGGTATGTAAATATTTTTAAATGTTGTCTCTCTGTTTTGATCAGTTTTTGTTTTATTCAATTTGTCTTTATTAAATCTTATCAAAGCAAAACTTGTTCTTCCCATTTCTCTGTTTTGATTACAGGACTACTGAATGGAGAGCTTTCTGATTTCTCCAAGGGAATTGTTTTGTAGAAAAGGCCATGCTAGATTTCCCTTGCCACTGCCTCTTTCTGCTTGGAAGGTAACCTTTACCAAGAGCTATAGCCTCTTAATCTTTTAGTGGAAATCGCTCTTGTGAAAACGAGCCCTGATAGTATCTTGGCTCACTAATTCATGCCATGCCGCTCAAAATTAAAGCATTAAAATTTCATAGATATAATACCATTTATAAATCATGTCATAAAAACATTCATTTTCTTATAGACCTTGAAAACTGGGCATGTATTCCTCCTCCAGCTGTTGCTTAAAGTTCATTACAGCACACCAGTATTTGTCAAAAACAAAGCTCTGGTAAAGTGGGGAGATATTTAGGAGCAACACCCTCAGAGCATCAAGGCACTGTCCTCCCAGCATTGTGCACATGTTCCTCCCATTAGTGGTCATGGAAACTGCAAGCCCACCTCTGTGTAATCAGAGATTCCCGGCAGAATTGTATTAATGGAGCAAGTGGTTCTGGGAGGGTAGCTTTATCATTCTTTATGTCCTTATTCTGTTCACTTGGAGAAAGAGACTATTTACCATTTTCCCTAAATTTATCTCCTATAAAATTTCAATATGTTTAGTGGATGAAGGCAACAGACTAATTAAGTAGACGGTAAACATTTGCCACATTTCAAAAAATGACAATGACAGACGATTCTTTTTGCCATTTACCCTTAGGCAGCAGATGGGGACTTGATAATTGTTTAAGCAGCAGAAATAACTTGCCCTAATTTACTATCTAGTTTTTTGTTTGTTTGTCTTTGATTATGCCTGAATAAAAACCTTTTGTCCATTTGAAGTGGTGGAAATTAGAATATCCATTTTGAGGTGTTTCTGGGATGTACATGCCACATATTTGGCTTGCAGATGCTAATGGGTATCTAATCACATTTGCCAACCATAAAATCCCTATTGGTAAAACACTTACATCTGCAATAATCTGCCACTTTCTTGAAACATGCTAATTTTCTTAAATAATGTAGAGGCCTATAAGGACTTCTATTTTATGTAAACAACTAGATGTAGTAAACAATCAGTTGCAAGAGGTCATTATATCATAATCTGGACTTTGTTACTTTTCAGAAGTTTGGGGTTTTTGTTTGTTGGCTTGTGTTGTCTTGTTTTAATTTCATCGGGCTAGCATTTCATAGTAGAGTATTAAGATGGATTCTTTGACCTTTGATATGAAAAGTAGCTGAACCATCTTTTTATTGCTTGATTTGTTGGATTGGAGAATATTTTATCTATTCAGTATTAAAGATTAGCCCTAGGAAACTGGGAGCTGCTCTAAAATATGGAATTTCTAAGTCGAGTGCATTTTCTCCAGGCTAAAATAAACCTAGACACAGATATTTGATAGTGTAGAATTCCCTTAATCTTTTAGGCACAGCATCTGTATGCTCATTCACATGGACTCGTTTTACATACACTACCTACCCATGCCACCAGGATCATTTATCTGGTATGTAAAATCTGATACGTGTTTTTGTGCTAATTGAAATATTGGTTTGTTTGTTGTCAGCCTCAGATGCCTTCTCCAACAAGGCTAAAAACAATTTCAAGCAGAATATAAATAAGACGCATCTGAGGATATACCTATGCATACACAAATTTGTGTGTGGGTGGACATACATATATTCTACACAAATGCACTGAGGGAGAGAGCAAGAGTGAGTTTCTATTTTCATTCTGTCGTGCTTACGTATATTCATATGATTTCACATTGGGTATAGCTTTGGATCTGAGAAAACCAGACTATTATATGTCTGGTAACTTCACTGGAAAATCTGAAAGAATCTAAATTAGCCAGTCCTGCTGATCTTTTGGATACATGAATTCATATGTCCACTAATTTGTTTTCTTTTTGCTTTTTATTGTGGAGAGGGGAGAAATCCAAACATACACAAATATAAACAGAATAATATAAAAGAAACCTCTATGCATCGATCACCAGCTCCAGAAAATACCAACTCATTGGTCTCTGCAGCCCCATCTTCATCATCAGTCACATCTTCCCAACCCTTCTCCCACCTGTTTTTTTTGAGGCAAATCCAATAGCATATTATTTCATTTCAAAATATTTTATTATGTACTTTCCTAAGATAAAAACATAGTTTTTATATATGAGTAGAATACCAATCCCACACTAAAAAAATTCACCGTAAGTCTTAATGTCATCAGATCTCCAGTCAATGCAATTATCTAATGCATCATACATTTTTTAAGAAATCATAATTCAAATAAAATACATACATTGCTTGTCCATAGATTGATTTATCTTGAGACTTTTTAAAACATATGGGTACTCCTCTCCTTTTCTTTTTTTCTTCTTGCAGTTCATTTGTCAAACTGCAAGGGAAAAAAATGATTGTTTGTCCTGTAGCTTCTCACAGTCTAGTTTTTGCTGATTGCATCCCCACGATATAGCTTAATATGTTCTTTGGTCTCTTATTTACTGTACTTAGTAGTTAGATCTAGAAGTTTTATTATATTAGATTTTTGTGGGGTTTTCTTTTGATAAGACATTTACATATGTGGTCTTTTCTACTTAATAAAAAGCACACTATATGCTTTATCTCTTTTTGAAGTGCTAGCCATTAATGTTCAATGCCTAAATCCATTAGTTGATTAGAGATTACAAAATACTGGTATTCTTATCTTCTCATACCTTCATCATTTATTAGATGTGATATTTTTATAATAAAAATTTCCTCCTTTTTATTCTTTGGTGACCAGTAGTACAACTAGTGTAGCCAAGGGAGGTTAAACTCTTGATTCTTTTATTTACAGTTTTCAAAATTATCATTAGTTCCCTACAGTATCCCTCGGTACTCAATAATTTTTTACTATCATGAAGAACACATGGATTTAAAATTTGTTGAAGTATTTCAATCTATTGCATTTACATCATCCCTGTTGATGCTCAAATTGTCCCATCTTTGGCCTGTAAGAGGCTCTAACAGGTTGTTCTACATTCTTTTGACAGATTCATGTCCACTCTTCACTCTGTAGGGGATATGGAATCCCAGGGATTTTGGAAATTGCTGCTACCCTCTCCCTTTCACTAGGCCTACGCTTTCTGTTTCTTGCTCTTTCCGGATGTTCTGTCACATGACTTTAACTTGGAGATAGCTCCTGAAGGAGCCAGTGTTTATATGTAAATTATTGAGAAACACAAAAGTGCCAGAACACATTAGTTTTCAACAACCTGTTTTATTCTTCTCACATTTTTATGTTATCTTAGGGAACCAGCTTCACCTGGTGTTTGGAATTCTAACTTTTTGGTAGCCCCTTAGCCCCAGGTAGCAAATTGCTGTACTCTTTTTGTGTCTTCATCACTGTGTGGCTTGTGGTAGTCACTTGAATACTTGTTGAATGTATCAGTGACTGAAAGAACAAATAAACAAATAAGCTCATGATCTCTCTTTAATTTAAGGCATAAATCTATTTTAGATATGGTGCCATGAAACAGAACAATCTTAGCTGATAAGAGAGAGTTGATATTGCATGTGCAGGGTGAGAGTACATTTCTGAGTCATTTGGGAGAGGGGCTTCAATAGGAAACTGTCCCTTGAATGGAAAAGCATTCCCTGTACAGTCTTTCAGACACTAATTTTGACAAGCACCAAAGCAAGACACATGCTTTGGAGTGTTATGGGATTTTATGCCAAGAGGTTGAAATAATTTAATGGATCTGGAGAGGGTGGAGGTAGCATAGAATTATGGTTGCTTTATCCATTTTTTTCTGATCTGTTTAGGTGATTTATCTATTCTGATTTCCCTGAATTGTTTAGTGCTGAGATTTCATGGAAATAGGTGTTCTAAAAACCACTAAATATTGTTTTTTAATTACCTCACGGCCTCAAAGGAACAAGTAATCCTCATCTTCTTTTTATTGGCACTAAAATTCTCTATAACCACCAGATCCCATAAAGATCATTCTTTTTAAAGCCTTGTTTTTTACTAAGGAATGTTGATTTTCTAGATACATCACTGCAGGATGGAGTCAGGCAAAGAATAATTATTGTCATTCAAGTCAGTGTTTCATAATCTATCTGGGTGCTAAGAGCCACCCCAATTGGGAAGAGTGCATGTGTTATAATAAAATTATCTATTCACCAGACAAGGAAAGCAATAACTTTGTAGCATGTCATATGTCTGTGTTCACATATATACACAGCTGGGGAGCAATGGTAAACAGTTTCCTAAACACTCACTAAATTCATGCTTATCAAGTGTCTTATTCCTTAAACCAATAGTCTACACAGACATTTTTACTGTACTCACTCCAAAGTAAATAATTTTTGAGCATTTAACCTCAGCAAATTAGGTTGAACCATATGAAATTGACAATTTGTGGGTCAAAAATACTTGAACATTGGCAATTTCATATTTTTCAACCTTCTAATTTTATTAGTTACAAATATGTACATATGTTACCATCATCATTAATTAATATAACAAGCACAATAACTCTTTGGGTAAGGATCAATAATATATTGGGTGTAAATCTGCATTTCCAGTAGTCTCTTGGGTAATTTCTAAATCATTGAGTTAGTTCTGATGAGATCAGACCATCACAGTTTTTACTCTGATACTGTGGCTAGCTAGAAACTTGCCCTAGGAGATATGTCAGCTCTGACAGTTTCTTCTTGTGTCTAATGTGCTTGCCTTGTTACTATTTTTAGTCAATCTATGTTTTCTTTGCAGAAATCTTTTTACGCCGCTTGTCCATTTTGAGAGGGCTAATTGATAAGTTGAAACTAAATAATATAATACATATATAAACCAGTTTGACTAGACCATTTTATTCAGAATATGTTGCACAGTACTCAAAGAGAAGATTTCACATGTTGACTCTGACGTGCAGATGAATGATGGTGCCGTAGACAATTAGGATATTAGATTTTAGTAGAACTTAATTTATTTCTAATTTTTCCAGTGACACAATGGATATAAATGAAAGTTCAAACCTAGTTTGAGTTGTGCCTCCCACAGGCAGTCTTTCCATGTGGCTTGGATTTATAACAACTTGGTGGCTGGGTTCTGAGACAGAGCATCTGAAAAGCAAGCATTCCAAGAAATCAGGTGGACATCGGATAGACTTTCATGACCCAGCCTTGGAAATCACATAGTGTCACTTCCTCATCCTTAATTAATTAAAGCAATTACAATCCCATGTAGATTTAAGAGGAGGGTACATAGATATCTCTATAGAAGGAATGTCAAAGAGTTTGTGGCCACTGTTTATAAACCACCACACCACTCAATGCATAAATCCCTTAACAAATGGTCATCCACATTTACTACCTCTACTGACAAGGAGTTCATTATCACAGAATGTAAACTATTCCTTTTTTGGGACAGTATTAAGTATTAAAAATATTTTCTCAAGCGGAACAAAAATATGCTTTCTTATTACCCAGTTTTTGTTCTCCCTTCTGCCCTCCGGAACACAGCAAGTCAGCTTTCCTTTTTGCTTGGAAGTAGTTTTCAAGTGAATTGTGTTTTCTTTTGGATGTTCACACTCCTAGTTGCTTTGACTCTTTCCTATTTCTCTCATCATGTGGTTATCTTCTAAGCAGACAATACTTTATTTCTATTTCTCTTAAAGTACTACTAAATTTGAACCCATGTACCATTTAATACTGCCCCTGCAGACTGGGTTGTTAAAATACTATTTGCGTATGTAATAGTTTCTCAAAAGAATTATCTATAGAACAATTTATTAGTGCAAACTGTTAATATATAATTTTTCAGATACTCAGAGTGCCAGCATACTCTGAGCCAATGAGAGCTGATTTGGGAGACTATACCGGATGCTGTCAGGCAGCAAATGTTTGTGCCCCATATGGCAAATGTTCTCAGCCAGTGAATACTCTATTGTACCATACTCAGTTGAAAGTCTTCAGCAATGTTTGTTATGTACCCCTCAGGAGCCTTTCTTTCTGCCCTATATTTTTGTGTTCTAGTGAACTGTTTGAAACCATAATGGCCGACAAAATGTATGCAAGTGATAGTGCTGAGACTGAGGCAATGAAACCCAGGAAGAATATTCCACTGGCTATTGACATGCAGGGCTTCCAGCAGTTTGAGAAGCCTTTGATGAAAAGGTCAAAGTAACAGATGGTAAAGATCAGCAGGAAATTAGGGATTGGTATAAGTCCTTTTGACATTCTGAAGGGCATTATAAAACATCCCTGTAGGATTGCCCAACAGTTGTTTGAAAAATTCCTAGAAGAAGAAACTAAGGTTGAATTATGTCATGACTTCTAGTGATTTAACAAAAATGAAAGAGTGCCTGCCACTGTATAATGATTTAACAAAAATGAAAGAGTGCCTGCCGCTGTATAATGCCAGGAACTCATCTTTACAGGAACTATGTGCTTAGGACGCTGTGTGATGCAGATATACTAGCTACTCTTTCTTTTTCAGAAATGAGTGTCCCACACCACAATCATATTTCCATATTCTAGGTAAATTTTGATCAGAGAAGACTGAAGTAGAATTAATTTTCCTACAATATGACATTTTTCATCAACTACTTAAGGTGACTTTAGCTTTTTAAACAGCTACATAACAATGTTGACCCATCTTAAGCTTCTTCAACAAAGATCTCCATATTTTTTTCAGGTAAAAGTCTACAAAGCCCAATTCTGTTCCTCACCACCACTCTAATATGTAATCTGATCATGGTGGTAATGAGGACCATGACTAATGTTTATTGGGCACTTGCTTAGCTCCAGGCACAATTAAGTGCTTTTCACTATTTCAGGAAATCCTCACCACAAACCTATGAGGTAGTTGCTTTTATTATCCCTATCTTTTGCATGGGGAGTATTATAGAAGCTGGATAACTTGCCCAAGGTCTTATAGTTAGTAAATGGTGGAGCTGGGATCAGTGGAGCAGTTGGGATGATGTCAGATGTTGAACATGTCATTTATAATGTCAAATATCTATCCCAGGTTGGATTGTATTTGTAAACTACATGACAGCAGGATTTGATCTGAAACAGTGCTTGCTTGGTTCAGAATAAACGCTGAATGAATGAATATGTTGTAAGCCTGTTGATCCATGAATTCACTAATAAGCATCTGTGATGCAAAGCCCAATTCCTCCTGCTGCAAATCATGTCTGTCAATCTTAATGTGTACAGAAAATGTTTTTTAAAGCCATGATTTCATAATTGTAGGGTTCCAGGAAAACATCCTCTTGGGAGAGTCAGCAGCATTAAGGCATAGCAATATTTTTGTTCAGGATGCATTAGGTATCTCTGATTTTCCAATATCTTAAATGCTAGCAGCAGCTTCAGATATGAAATTACTTAGTAAGCAATTCTAATAGGAGAAACAAGATCTAAAAGAGAAACATATAAGGAATCCTACTTCTGGCTCTCAATGGAAACTGGCATGAGTCATGCTAGCTCTAAAGAAATATGGTATCCACCACTGAAATCATGCAACAAAAGAAACTTAGCTGAAATGGTTGAATTGAGCTTTCTCAAAGGCCAATTGACCTATTTTGTCCGATGGTATGTGGAAAGAAATGATATACGCTACTTCCCAGCAGAAAATTTCAGAGGCCTTATGTAATATATTGCCACATGGGGCTTTTTCTCTGTCACGAGGCCAGCAATATCCCAAATATGAGTGTTAGCCTGGGTCCCAGAGTGAAGAAGACATCTACCCAGCCCATTATGATAAAGCAGTACTAGCAAGAAATAAGCTAAGTCCTTGAGGACTTGGGATTGTTACCACAGCATGTGTAACCTAAGCTGACTAAAAAATTATAAATATTCTTGGCCGGGCGCAGTGGCTCACGCCTGTATTCCCAGCAATTTTGGAGGCCGAGGCAGGCGGATCACCTGAGGTCAGGAGTTCGAGACCATCCTGGCCAACATGGTGAAACCCCATCTCTACTAAGAAAACAAAAAATCAGCCGGGCATGGTGGCACGCACCTGTCATCCCAGCTACTTGGGGGGCTGAGACAGGAGAATCTCTTGAACTTGGGCAGTGGAGGTTGCAGTGAGCTAAGATCATGCCACTGCACTCCAGTCTGGGTGACAGAGTGAGACTCCTTCTCAAAAAAGAAAAAAAAAAAAAACTATAAATATTCTTAAGGAAATCAGGGCTGAGGGTGGAGAAACATGTTAGGCATAAGAGGAAGAACAACACCTTGCAGTCCCAGGCGCTTCCAGAGAGGCGAGAGCCTAAGCGCAGACACCACCTCCAAGGCATAGTTGGACACACTGGGTGGAAGGGCAAACACAGAGTAGATGCACAGTTCATGCTGGAACCAGATCCACAGTTGAGGGCCCAGGAATAATATGAAAGAAAACAGTATCTTCATGTGGCAGAAAGTGAATAACATTTATTTTAGCATTCATTTCATCTAATCTTATTGCTCTTCCCTATCATAACCAACCCATTCCATAAGCCCTTCCTTAGAAATACATAGCTCTCTACCATCTGTCAGTACCTTAAAATCAATCAAATACCCAGTGGATTTTTATTTTACTTATTTATTGCTTAAAAGAATAGCTTTAGATTATGCATCTCAAAGTCTGTGGCATTGAGAAGTCACTGGCCTGGAATACCCTGCCACCTGCAAAAATCAACTAACCTATCTCACTTCAATCCATTTCAAATATTTAGTTTCTAATTAGATTTCATTTGTGAAAAGGGTTCTACAACCAAAAATGCTTAAAATTACTGCTTCTGACGAGGCCACGGGCTCATTTCAACTACTTTGAAATGATTATCATCAAATTCTGTGGACTCTGTTTTGGTCTGTCCTAATCTCAACCCTTCTTTTCAGAGCATGTGGCAGAAGCAGCTTCACTACAGAGATAAATATTCATGTGCATTGCATTTTGCTCACAGGCACTGTATAAACTATATTTAGAAGTCTGAATGTTGAGATGTACTGTGTCAACATTGAAATTTAATTACTGTGATGGACTTTAAATCCATGGACCTTCTTGCACTGCGGAGTGAATATTACCTCTTGTGTTTCTTCATTCTCCTTTACATTCCTATAGAAGAGGGTTGCAATCTGCTTAACTAGAACACCCACCTGCCCTTCTCCTCCAAGTGAATGAAATGAACTCTCAGTTTTACGACTGTTTTATCTTTGTGTTGTGAAAAAGAAATATTGTCTTGCTAAACTCTTTGGACACTTCCCAATATGCACTATCTCTCTCCTACTCCTATTATCACTCATTCTGGTAATAAATGATAATGTTCATTGCTAGGATTTGTAAAGCACTGTCAAGTTAGCCCATTATTTTAAACTCAGGTTAAAGTAAGGATTTTAGATTTATGTAAGCCTGGTGCAGTTTCATTAAGAACCAAAGGCATTTTAATTTTTCTCCCTCTACCCAAGGGACTTTACACTTCTTAATGTGACATTAATCAGTGTTTTAATATTTCTTCAAAATGTATCTATTCTCTGCATGCTATTTACCGTCTTTGTCAAAGTCAGTGAACAGGAATAAAAAGTAACTACATGATATAGAAACTATGGTCTTCTTGGCCCTTGTGTAATAGCCAAGTGGATGCTGTTAAAAGTGAATCTATCCATGGTGCCTTTCCTATTTCTGTACAGGATTTTGATTTCATTTTAAATGAATGTCATAAACCCCAGGTCTGAAAACTAATAGAATTTTTGCATTTACCTACTGATCCATAACCTTTAAGTTAGACTGTGTGTCCATTTGCAGTCAGTTCGTTGGATGATGCAATGCTTTAACACTGAATGAAAAGATTTCTGCTATATTCCAGACACCAGATATGAAGGCCAGTTTGGGTGGATTATTCTTAGAATGACTTTATATTAGTCCTGATGGGTAGTACAGAATAAGCTGTAGGAGCTAGCTACAGTCCCTTAAATGAGAGGAGACAAGGAAAGAGACGTGTTTGATAACATGACACCGACTCACTTTGGGAGGTGGAAGGCTAATTAGGAGTCCAGGGATTGGCAGAACATATTGTCTGAGTCCTGGTCAGTACACAGTGAGTGTGTACACTGTTGCTGACTGGCTGGTCCCCATGGAGACATTACTGCTCGATCAGTTCTCCTCAGCGCCTGTGTGTCCAGAGCTGTGACTGTGGCTTTGAGATGCCTGGCTGACGGGCAAAGTTCTCTAGATGCTGAGAGTCCGGCGAACATGTGGAGGAGGCTGCATTCTGCTGCCCGTCCTGGCCCTGGGCAGTGTGATGCAGCATATGCTTGCACACAACGAATCAGGTCCAAATCCCACTTCTAGGCTTACTGGTTGAGTGACCTTGGGAAAATTATTTAATCTCTAAATTGGTCTCTTCATCTGTAACCTGATGTTGGTGTGAGGATTAAATATGATAATCCAGGAAAAGCATCCCGTCAAGTTCTGGGCACGTAATGGCTCTTGATAAATGGAATTTAAAAGGAGAGCCTGTCCCTCAGGCAGTTCAAATCTGATCTAATGACTTCCAATGGATCAAGAGACGTGGCATGTGGGTGGAAAAGCCTGAAGGCTGGGATTGGTGAGTGGGACGCTCAGGTTACCAACAGGTGTAGACAGGTCCTGCTACTGGCTGTGGCAGCACCAGTTCTCCATAAACATCCATCGGTTAGGATCCACCAGGCCTTGAGGAGAGTAAAGAGGGCACTAGGGGACCTATCCCTGGGAGACCTGGCATAAATCCAAAGGAGAGGAAGGTGGGAAACAGGGATGATGAACATACAGAGCACATGTTTCTTCTTTTCCATTTTTACCGGCAGCCAGTCTGCTCCTGACCAGACCAGATCTCAGCCTAGATCCCATTCCTCTTTGTACTGCATATTCCCCTAAAGACATCCTAAAAGAGAATGATAGACCCAGTGAATGCTTAGTAGCCACAGGTAGTTTTTTTGTTTGTTTGTTTAAATAGGGCCTGTCCAAAGAAATATCACTTAAAAAAAATAAAGCATTCTACCTAGTTTTTTTTTTAATGTAGCCATATCCAAATAAAGTGTATGATCCCTTCCCCACCTATCTCCTCCCTTTCATGTTTTCTTGGTTTCTGCTTTTCTACCACAGAAAACTCCAGTGTCTTTGTGCTACGTAGAACACAAGGGATGGGTGAATCAAAGTTGCTCAGAAATATAAGCTAAGGAAAAGAAGAAGTGAATTGAACTTCAAAACTAATAGCACAAAAGTAATGCACTTGATATTTGCCATGGACAGGATACTGTAAATCAGTGCGTGTGCTAATTGGCCATTTGCCTGTGTATCCTTAAATCCATTTCCCTCCCTTCCTCTACTCTGCTGTCAATCACAGGAAACACCATTTGGGGGCTCCCTTGACAACTAGCTTCTAGTAGTTTTGACAATCACGGGTACTAGCAGAAAACTGTAGGATGAGGAAAGGGGAGAAGTCACCGTATTTCTCCCTCTGCCTTGGGGAGGCATTTCCAGCAGGAAGAAGCTGTGTCTTCTGTGGCTCCACTCCCAGTAGACATCCCTTTCCTTCATGGTCCCAGCTTCTGCCAGGCAGCCACTAGGCTCCACTTGTTCCAGCCTGAGTAACTGGTTTCTGGAAATACCACATCCTAGAAGCAGTGGCTTCCTGTTCTTATATATCTTTGAATTGCCTCCTCTGTCCCTGATTAGCTTTTCAGGTCATTTATCATCTATGTAACCAATTCCAAGTATTAAATTTTCTCTGTTTAAAGCACTTAGAGTAGTTTTTATTTCCTGTGTAGATCCTGACTGATACACTGGTGATTTGAATCTATTCTGCTCAATGAATTAGTAGAATGGGAAAGTTAATGTATTTAAACAGCTATGTCTCTGTGCGGCTCTGAATAAAAACAAAAATGCATAAATAATGTACTAAGACATTTCATCACAGCAAAACACTGCTTTGGTTTCTGATATTTCATGCCATTTGCAAATATCTCCTTATTTGTTATTCTGGGGAGTTTTCATTAGGGCTAAACTATTTCACATGACAAGTACTTTTACAGCAGTTTGCAAAAATCATGCACTTTCCCAGGTTAAAAAGAATAACCCTGAACTAAATTTTACCTTCACCTTGTGCTTCCTGACATAAGTCTCATTTCTAACCAACAGACCTTCCCAGCACCCTGGTGTAAAGGAATCTACCTGGCCCACAGGACAAACGTGCCCTGACCAGCTTTCCACAATCCCCTTCTGAGCTGAAAAAAAATGTATTAAGTGGTTAAAGAATAAAACTTGGTAATTCTTATAAGAATTCAGACAATGAATGGCTTATAAAATGGGCCGTTAAAATAATTCATGTCTGAAATTCAGCATTAATATGATGCAACATGTCAGGTGGGGGAACTGACTCCTCAGAGCTCTACTCCTAACTGCTTGGCTACTTGAGTAATATTAAGAGAATCCATCTGAAAGAAAGGGAATAGAAATACTGACTTGTTCTAAGGGTAGCTTAAATAAGCTTTGCAAATAGCAAGATCCCACTACAAGCAGATGAACTGGGCATTCAGATACCTAATGAGTTAGAAAGCAATTCTTCCTTGATACCCAGCACCCCTTCATGCATCTAGTTTTTGTCCATACCAAACTTGGGAAGTAGGGATCAACAATCGTCCTTACATTCTCCCTGAGAGGTGGGAGGAGGGCTCCAGTTCTGCTCTCGTAATCCATTTTTTATTCAGCGTCACCTTCTCTTTCAATGGGCTAAGTATCCTACAAACTGGGGATGCATCTTAATTAATTCTGGCCAGGTTCAATGGCATTTAAGAGCAGGATTGGCAAGTGGCCTTGAAAATGTGCTCAGTACAGCCAAGTTGTACCCTTGAGGACCTCTATACTTAAGATGTACCTGTGTTTCTGCTCCCCATCAACTGGGATCCATAGATCTCTCTTTGTAATCAAGACCCATACTTTACTGAGGTTCTGAGCAGCTGCTCAACGTGACCACATTTCATCTGCCATTACTTTTTAGTGTCTTTTAATATGAAGGAATGCATTCATTCTGTAAGAAAAATGGGATTAGAATTTTAGGAAGGCTCTCAAATAATGCAACAATAAATTCTTCAATACCCAGTTGTCAGATGTTTCAGTAAATTGCAAATATCAGATTACTTTTTAAAAATATTTCAAACACACACTTGGAATTAAACAAGAACCATATATTAGAAAAGGAAATAAGCTTACCTTTTCTATTGTAAGACTCCAAGCACCCACATGGATCTTCATGGTGGAGATTTTAACAACACTGCTAATACTGACTTACTTCCAATCAGAGCTGAGAGAGCAAACAAAGACAAACTCTCTATGGATGTACTCATTTTTTTAAACCCATATTTAAAATTAATAATTTTCTTAGGCATTCAATGTGAATAATAAAGCTGAACTCATTTATTTAAAGTTGTAAATTTTTAAAATAGCTCTAAATTAGTTCTCTGTGATACAGGAAACCAGCATGCAGAAAGCCAGTAACTGCCTCACTGTTTCATCCCTAACTGTGGGATCTTGGGCAAGTTACTTAATTGTACTTGTGTCCATTTTCTCTGGAAAGTGCATATGATAACAGGGCTCACCTTGGTTGGTTATTATGAATATTAAAGTAGATGATTCATTTGATTATTATTCAATAAATATGCATTGAGAGTCTCCTGTGTAACATACATGGAGCTTGCCCTGTTGAACTTATGGTTTGGAAAAAGAAATAGAAATTAATCAAAGAATAATATAAATAAGTGTAATTATAGCTAGATAAAAGCTACTAAAGGAAGATATTTGATGCTCTAAGAATACATGACAGGAGACTGCACTTAATCTGTGATGATAAAGGTTAGGAAAGGTTCCCTAAAGAAATACAAAGGAGATATGAAAGATTGGTAAGAGTTAACCAGGCTGTGTGCGTATGTGTGTGTGTGTGTGTGTCTCTGTGTGTATGTGTGTGTAGGGGCTGGAGTGGACATTTCAGGCAAAGGGAATAGCTGGCATATATACCCAGGTTTCCTCTGGAAATTCACCACCCTGAGGCAACCACTGTTAGCCTCCCTTCCAGTTATGTTTATCTTTTATTTTCAGCTAAATAAATTTTATTTTGATTCAAAAGTCTGGGGAATTACTTTGACATTAGGTGTGTGTGTGGTGGAGGGTCCTCTGATGATGTGCCTGTATTTTTTCCAGAGAGCCCAGGGCAAGTGTGTATGATGCAGATTTATCCTGGACATACATCATGGGCACATATTATCATTCATTCAGAAAATATTTATATATTTATCAGGCACCTGCTTCATGCCTTGCATTACCCTAAACACTGAGGATAAAGATGAATAAGACACAGGCTCTGTCTAGGACTTTAACCCTCAGTTGAGTGAGGGAAAGAGATAAGAAGACACATATTTGTATTATGCCACATCAGAGTTGTGTATGTGAGGTAATAAATTCTTGTAGCATGGAAAATGGCCTGGCTGCCTCTACCTGGGAGGGCCATGAAGACTACACAGAGGAGGTCATATGTGAGCAGAATTTAAAGGAAGCCTAAGAAGGACGTTCCAGAAGAACATGTACTAGGGCACCTCATCTATGTCCCTAGGACCTAGAAGAAGAGTGCCTGGCATGTCATACCTCAATAATAAATATCTATCTAATTTACAATTGGCACGGAAAGAAGTTCTGTGAGTTATTCTGAGTGGATCAAACATAGCATGCAAGTAAAGGGTCAACCTGCAGAGAAGTGGCCAGAAATGTAAAGAGAGATAAAATTGTGAAGATGTTCTTATGTAAGGTGAAGAATCCCAGATTTGATTCCCTAGTTTAAGTGATGGAAAGCAACTGAAGCCTTTTAATCAAGGAGAATGACATAATCAGCTTTGCTTTATAGAAAACTCACTGTGTCAGCAGTTTAGGGGATGGAAAAGTGGGAGAAAAGACTTAAGCCAGAGAGATCGTCAAGAAGAGATTATACTTGTCCAGAACAGAGATGATGAGGTTTGGAGGGAAGGAAGATGGAAAGAATGCATTTCAGAAACATTTTGAAGTAAAATCCATCAAGAATACATGGGATTAAGGAAGAACAAAGAGACGGGGTGATGAAGAAATGTTTCTGGCCTACATGACTGCTGACACCATTCATTGAGATGGGAATACAGAAATGAGAAAAGGGTTGAGAAAATGCAAGATCACTTTGGGGCATGGTATGGATAAGGTGCATGGGTGTATGCATGAGGGAACTGTCCTGATGGAGAGACCACTGGGCGTCTTATACAGATTTGGGAATCATAAAATTGCTTCCCAGGAGAAAACAGAGAAGAGAAGGCACCCAGAAAGCATTTGGAGCCCCTGACCCTGGCTCTATCACCGCCCACTCCTCTTCACCTCAGACTTCCTGGTCACTCCTTCCTACTCACTGAGGGCCCTGTGGACTGGCTCACATTTCCCCACTGCCCAAATTCCTGCTCTTGCTCAGCCGTTCTCCCTTGACAAACTAGCTATCATATCAGGTATTGACCTTTTCAGGACAAGAAAACCAGAATAAATGCCAAGAGACATCTTGCCTTCTCTAGCATAGCATTTGGGGACGCAGAGGAGAGGATGTGTGCCTTACATAACTTGGAATGGTGGGGAGTGAAAAATCTTACAGAGAAGCCAAAGACTATTTTATACAAATCCACTTTTAAAAGGGGAATTCTTTTCCACATACAAAGAACCAGAAATACTCATTTTGTCCTCCTTTTTTTTTTGTTTAATGTATATGCACTCACAGTTGCTAAGAATTAATACTGAAAACATGATTTTTTCTAAATAACTCCTTGAG
The DNA here is from genome assembly GCF_000001405.40 of Homo sapiens. Lineage (NCBI taxonomy): Eukaryota > Metazoa > Chordata > Mammalia > Primates > Hominidae > Homo > Homo sapiens. The sequence continues at coordinate 76,593,083 of NC_000001.11, forward strand.
AAGGCACTTAAAGCCTCCATTTGTTATCCAAATGTAACATGAGGACAAGAACAGAAGAATTATTTCATAAAGAAAATAATCAATGAATCATTTATCAGTTTTCCTACCCTTTGTATGACAAATTGTAATTAGTATGATGTCTTTGTTGGCAAGTGCTTATCAAACAAAATGCAGTACAGAAGCAAAGGAAGATTCTGTAAAGAACTGTGTTGTTTTGAAGACCTAATTGTGATGTTATCTCTGGAATTTTCTGTGATTACATTGTTAATTTTTAATCTGGTATCCTTAATAGCAACAAGGTTATTAGCACCTACCTAGAGTTCTGAATGCCCACATTAGATAACACAATCTTGGCATGGTGAACCCTTGGAAATAAGCATTTGCCTAAGATAGAAAAGAGATTCAGAAAGCTCTGATGGCCTTGGACAGGGCAGAATTTTGAGAAATTGAATGTGGCAGAATAAAAAGAGGTTTTATCAAGCATCTTTCTAAAGTGCTTTCATAAATTTTCTCTTTGGTAAAGAATGTACCACACCCGATCAAGAGTGTTAGAATTGCTTCTCAGACACTTTATCTGAAATTCTTTACTCTACTTTCCCCAAAGTTTGTTTTCACTCCAATAATTAATTTTTGAGTGCCTACTCCTTGTGATACTTGTTGGAAAATCAAAGATAAATGGGACCCAGTCTCTGCTTTCAAAGCACTCACACTGGCATCTAGTGGGAACACAGGCCTGTAAACAAATGGTTTCAGTATGATGTAAGAAGCATACTGATGTGGCGATCATAGGAACAGGGATGGCAGAGGAGGGAGACCTACTCATTTGAAATAAGCCACCTACTCATTAATAGAATCTCTGAGGATTACTACGATTCCCACAGAGCCCATCACAAGTAGCATGAGAAAGACCCCAGGGTGGAAGGGGGCCCTTGTGCTGCCCCTTCTCCCCTTATTTAGTCAGCATGGAGCCCCTGGACTGGCTTTGAACATGGCTCTGAACAGGGCTTAGGGGATAACTTTCAGTGACTGCTGAAATCCAGTCATATGACTATGTGATTTTAGTCATGGCTCGTGGAAATAAATATGCTTTTTTTAGGAGTATAAACGTAAAAAATACTAACAAAAAATGAAGCTATTTCTACATATCCAGAACTATTTTTTTTAGAGACATAGCAGTCTCATCAGTCAATATTACAAATATGACATTCTTTTATTTCCATCTGCAAAATTGTTCATGAATAAACAGAAAAGAAGAATACACCTCATCTACCCAACTCTTTAAAGGTTATAGCCTGCTCTTAGAAACATGTTTGTCCCTTATCTCAATACCTATATTGACTTTCAATACCTTCTAAAGAACCAAAGGTCTCTAATACCCTCTTGTTCCTCTGTTTTCAGAGGATGTGTGTTAACAAATTTAACTGTGTAATAAGTTATTCTTAATTACATTCGGATATTTTCTCCTCCTAAAGGAAAACTAAATAACAATAGATAAATAGATGGATGGATGAATGGATGCATAGATTAGCTAGCTAGCTAGCTAGGTGATAGAATAGATAGATGTAGATAGATAAATACATAGACAATAGATAAAGCTGCTCCTTTGGGCTCTTTAACCTCTTTGATCATCTTTCAATAAACTATGTTACCACTTAATTAGCCTGAATGAGTACCTATTGCAATGCTGATTCTTGATTTTATTTATGTGACCACTCAACAGATATGTCTAGATATATAAGAGAATATAATACACCATTCCTCATCTGTCTACAGCCTTTCCAAGGAGGTAATTGATCATAGTATAGATAGTGTTGCACTGTATCCCACATCCTGTTTTCCCTATTATTAGCATTTTACATTAATATTTTTCATTTGTCACATTGATACATTACATTATTATTAACCAAAGTTCAAATTTCATTGAAATTGTCTTAGTTTTTCAAAAAAAGGAGAGCTGTTTTGCCAGGTATGTCCTGCAGACCCTGGCCGAGCAATGGATGAAAGGGGTACTCAGACACAGGTATACAGTGTAAGAGCAGCTAGGGGACTGCTGAAGAGTGAACAGTCTCGATAAGCTGGGGCTCCTTGCTTTTGTTTAGTACAGACATAATGCCGAAAGCCTGAAGCCAACACAATCTGTGGGTAATTAACATTATTGTTCCTCCTTTCAGGGAGCAGTCTTGTGCTGGCATGGTCAAAGGTCAGTTCCTGGTTAACATAAGTAAACAAGCCTGTTTACGCTAAATTCCCCTACACTTCCTTGTACCTACTCCTTGCCCTCTGCCTCAGGGTAAGAGAACAGCTGCCCTCAGCTTATTCTCCCCCAAAGCTATGCAGAGCCTTCTGACCTTTCAGAAGGTTTGCACCCTTTCCCTGTAATTTCTCCCACCACTCTGACTGATCTCCTGCAATGTTTAACTGGTGTTATATTCTAAGCTTAATCGATTGCACACTTAAAATGTTCAGAAAACACTCAGGATAGTGGACAAGAATCATTTCAAGTCCCTGAAACCTCAAAGTCTTTAGCATATACTAACCTTCAGGTCTACATACTGATGTGTAATTTTCAATGCACTGTCAATAACTATCAATAACATCATACACACGCACACACACACACACACGGCCATTTTGGATTTGATTTTTACATTGCAGTTACATATATAAAAGTGAAGTTATAGATTTTAAACATTTGCATATTTCTTAAACTTTCTTTTTAAGGATATATAGATTTGATCTCTCTTTTACCCTCCCCACCAAATAATGGCCCACTTGACTTAGGGCAATGGGGGTGTCCTGTAGTTGTTTATTATGAAGAAGTTGTTCTCAGGCCTGGAGACATGATTAGAACCAGCTGGGGAAATTGCTTTTGAGTAGCAGTGACTGAGTTTTACTCAGGGGATGCAGCTTTAATTGATCTGTGCAGTCCCCTCATCCCATCTTTTTATAAGCTCCCCAGGTGACTATAATGCGCGGCCAAGGCTGGGAACCACTGCATTGGAAAATGCAGAATTTATCTCTTTAATTCAGACAAACATATGAAATGTGGACCTTGTGTATTAACATGAAGCCTGGAAGACTGCTAGAAAACTCTTCGACCTCCTGCTTTAGCTTTGTTTCCCCTTTGCACTCAAGCAGAATTAATTACTTCCTACCTAATAACGTAGTCATGCCTCTTTTATTTTACTTATCATGTAGAATTATAATTATTTTTTCAGTGCCTGTCTCTCCAGTTAGACAGTTGGTTTCCGAGGCCGAGATCATGTCTTGTTTATGTGAAATAGCCTCAGCTTTTAACACAATTCTGGCACATAGTAGTTGCTCAATAGGTATCCTAGAAAGGGAAGGTGAGCATAAATCAGAAAAAAGATATAAAGTGTAGTTTAGTATTAACTGAAAATAATTTCTTCTTGGATAAGCACTCACTTCTAACTACAGGAAATGTAATGTAGACAAATTTGTATTTTCTTGTATTCTGATCTTCGTCAGAAATAATGGCAGCTATCAATTTTTTTATTTAAAGAATTTAACCCAGCATCTCATTTCGGGAAATAAAGCAACATATATTGAGGTAGGGATTGCTAACAAGTGAATGGCTAGTTCTGTTAAGCCATAATAAAATTGAAATAATATCAGCCTGGGACTTTTCTCTACATTTCCTATGTCAGAACATTTGCAGTAACTGTTGCTATCAATGGATCATACTCTTGACCAGCTGGGATTGTCTGAGTTTCCACACACAAAGAGATGGATGGGATGCTATTAGTTAGTCTCTTTAGACCTGAATTCAATTTTGATTGAACATGTTTATACTTGTGAGCTTATAATTATCCTTGAGTTCATTTTAAGAGATGGTTTTAAAGATTTCTTTTTTCCCTTCTCACTAACTACTGCTGTGTTTTCAGAGAGATTTACTAGCATAAAAGATTTCTGGGGACATTCATAAAAGGGAAGAAAATCCATAGTTTAGTCTGAGTCTAAAAGCATAAACCAGAGGGGATGCCAGGCATCTTTCTACTGAGTAGCTTCCCCGTTGATCAATGTTAGGAAGCTTGCTAATGACACTCTCATCCAGAACTTTTGGAGAGTAGGGAGAAACTAACAAAATAACAGAGAGCCGAGGAATTCCACTTTTACTAATCATTCATTTTGAATAATCTCACTTATTTACTCAGTAAATATATGTTGCTTGCTTACCATATATTTATTTCAGTAAGTATATGTCGCTTGCTGGGTCCTGGTAATGACAGTGGTGAGTTTCCTTCCCTTGTTAGTGGGATCTACAGCCACCTATAACTTAAGATTCTCCCCCACACAGCCCAGACATACACACAACGCTAAGATCTGAATGCCTGTGCCCCCAAAAATTCATAAGTTGAAATCCTAACCCCCAAGGTGATGTGAAAAATGTACCAAACCCTGTCCAGAATTTTGGAATCGCCTCCCAGATACTTTATCTAGAGACTCTTTGTTCTACTTCCCCACAAGTTTTTCATTCCAGTATTTAATCATTGAGTGTTTCTGCTTGTGATACTTGTTGCAAAGTCAATGATAGTCAAAGAAGTTCAAAAATTGGTTACTTTGGACTTAACAAGCAAATGCACTTCTAGGTGGCTTTTGAAAACCAAAAGTACACCTAAGTAGAGAGCTTCTGTTTTTTATAGTGATTATATGAAGAGTAATGGGTGAAAAGCATCAAAGCTGGAATTGGAGCTCTGGGGTCTACACCGTTTCCAATGAATCATTCCTAATGTGATGCTTTCATCCATGCTCTTGGCTCTGTCTGGGATGTCTCCTCTCCGCCAGGCCCTGATTTCAGTCATCCAGGCCGAGTTTAATTATGTATAACTGTCTTCGTTTATTTGGGGCACTAAAACAAAAATAACAAAAATACTATAGACTGGGTGTCCTAAACACCAAAAGTTTATTACTCACAGTTCTGCAGGCCGGGAATACCAAGATTAGGTTATCTGCAGATTCTCTGGTGAGGACCTGCTTCTTAGTTCACAGACAGCATCTTCTTGCTGTGCCCTTCCATGGTATAAGGGGTAAGAGAGCTCCCTGAGATCTCTTTTAGAAGGGCACTAATCCTATTCATGAGGGCTCCACTCTCACAGCCTAATGACCTCCCAAAGGGCCCAGCTCCAAACACCATCACGACAACATATGAATTTGTGGGAGATATAAACATTCAGCCTATAGCCATAACCAGATGTTTTTGCAACCAAGATGGTGAATTCTTCCTGAGCACGTGCCAGTCAGACTCCAGGAGAGCAGGGATCCCATGCACTTATGTACTTCCATCCATCTCACAGCCTCCATCGCTTTCAGAAGGTTGAGCTGCCCCCAGGTACCAAAGCAAGGACTGGAATATAGCTGAGAGATAGAAATGTTTTGCAAAATGTTGCTTACAGATTCAGAACTTAAACTGATTTCGATCTCTTGGGAAAGAAATATGAATTCTAATCTGATTTCAATCTCTCTGGAACAAAAAACCTTTTGTATCTATCTTTCTTCAATGATGGGAAAAAGTAAAATACCTTCCAAGCCTCCACTAATCCTTCTACTGATGTCTTCTATATTCGTGATTCAGATGTGCCTTGTAGACAAGCACAGATCTTCACTGCTCACTTCTGCCATAAATGCTTCACAAATTAAAAAAAAAAAAATGGTAAGCCTCCGTTAGACAGAAAGAAAATGATTCTTTTCACTGTGTTTAAGAGGACTGATTAGGGCATTTCTTCAGTAGTACCAATGTCTACCATATGCTTCTTCCTAAACTTATATAAAAATAAATTTCTGACAAAAATATGTAAAATCTAAACATGTCTAACTAATTCTCACTGCATTTCTATGCTTTTCATGGAAAGAGAAAATAACGATGAAACTTAAGAGTATTGAAATATTTATTTTTCAAAAGTAATCTACTTTATTAATATTATTTGCTTCTTTTTTCATGGTTGTAGGTTCATTGCATTGCTTTTTTCTTACAGACATTTTGATAATTGTTGATTTTCATAAGTTTGATAGAAGAATGCCATTAATACTTCTCATTTATTTTTCATTATCTGTTCACATTAAAATAAATTCTCTCTTGTAATTTTCTTATGTATACAAATAATTGGAATATTTATGTAAGATTTTGTGTTTTTTTTTTAGTTTTAGAGTATGAGGTTATTATAAGGGAACTGTTGTAGATTAAACTTTTTTAATTATACTTTAAGTTCTGGGATACATATGCAGAACGTGCAGGTTTGTTACCTAAGTATACATGTGGCATGGTGGTTTTCTGCACCCATCCACCCATTATCTAGGTTTTAAGCCCCACATGCATTAGGTATTTGTCCCAATGCTCTCCCTCCCCTTGCCCCCCACCCTCCGACAGGCCCCAGTGTGTGATGTTCCCCGTGTCCATGTGTTCTTATTGTTCAACTCCCCCTTATGAGTGAGAACATGCGGTGTTTGGTTTTCTGTTCCTGTGAGATTAAATATTTCATGATGAAAGGAGCAAAGTGCTGTGTCTACATGTGAAAAATCAAGTTTAATTCAATCTAGATGGATGAAATACCTGGAATATCCAAGTAATTCTAGTAAAATTCGTTGTTTGATTATTTTATTCCTCCCACTACCGTATCGTGTGTGTGTGTGTGTGTGTGTGTGTGTGTGTGTGTGTGTGTGTGTAATGTTGCTCAGAAAATATAGATAAATACTTCCATTCTCCATCACAATTTATTGTTTTGGGTGATGCATATCAATGAGGTTATGATTATTCACACACAATTTTCAGAATATACAATTTTATATCCTATGTGCTGTGTTTGTTCTCTGCAGCTGGGAAACTGACCTGGTGAGAAGAAAAATAGGTAGCCCTTAAAATCTATTTTAGAACAAAAGTTATTTTAAGATAGATGTTACGGACTGAATGTTTGTGTACCCTTAACATTCTTATATTAAAATCTTGCCTCCCTACTGTGGTAGTATCAGGAAGTGAGGCCTTTGGGAGGTAATTAGGATTGGAAGAGTTCATGAGCGTGGGGTCCTCACGATTGGGATTAGTGCCTCTAGAGTCATGAGAGAGCTTGCTTCCCCTCTCTGCTCTCCACCATGTGAGGATACAATAAGAGTCACAGTCTATACACAGAAGAGGGCTCTCACCAGGACTCAACCATGTAGGCACCGTCATCTCAGACTTCCAGCCTCCAGAACTGTGGAAAATGAGTTTCTGTTGTTTCTAAGTCACCCAGTTTATGGTATTTTATTATAGCAACCCAAATTGACTAAGAAAGTTAGACTAGTCTGGAAATGGGACCGCCTTCACCTTTCCCAAGTGAAAAGTCAAATTTCAACCCCACCCCTATTATTCACTCCATCCAGCCTTCACTGAGTACTTACATTGTGCTGGGGACTAGGGACACAAGAACTGATAAGACAGGACCCTGCTCATTGTCCTCTGCTCATTCCCCTCCAAAAAAGTCTAGGATCTGAATGCATGCCAGTCTCCACCTCATCCAGTGTATAAATCTATTCCAACCCTGTGGTTATGTCACTGTGCTGAGAGTGCATTGTGCTATGTCTTGAAGACGTCTGTCTTGTACGTTTTAAAACATGTCAAGGTTATTATAAAATAAATGCATCAAAGCAATACTTTTGCCAGCTTTCAACTTATGAATATGGATTGGCTTTAATAACTAGATTAGGACACTACTTCAGAAGCCATTTATCTAATGTATTTTTCCAAATGTTATTTCATCAAAAAATTTCCTGGAAATGAACAAGATATATTGAGGCCAAGATGCCACCTAAAAAATATTCCCTTTTGGTGGGGCATGGTCACTCACGCCTGTAATCCCAACAGTTTGGGAGGCTGAGGTGGGTGGATGGCTTTAGCCCAGAGTTTGAGACCAGCCTGGGCAACATGGTGAGGTAAGACTCCATCTCTACAAAAATAAATAAATAAATACAAAAATTAGCCAGGCATGGTGGTGCTTGCCTGTAGTCCCAGATACTCAGGAGGCTAAGGTGAAAGGATCATTTGACCTGGGAAGTGGAGGTTTACAGTGAGCTGAGATCATGCCACTGCACTCCAGTCAGGGCTATAGAGCAAGATTCTGTCAAAAACAAAGAAGGAAGGAAGGAAGGAAGAAAGGAAGGAAAGTATTCTATTTCAGGAAAATAGCAAACTAAATTTCACTAATTTTTGTTATTTTTGCTCTTTATTTTCTAGTATTTTTTGGAATGTAACTGGATAAGTTAAATGAAATGAGTAATGTAATTTGATGGAAGTATGTAGTTATTTTCAGATGAATAAAGGAATTAGGACTTGGGTCTTGGTTTCCAAAAAGAGAAAATTAAAGGGTAAAACTACATAAATCATTAGCTCCGGAAGTAAAGGAATTTATTTTTCAAAGTTGAAAGAGAGGATTAAAGAAGAGGAAATTAAATTGAAGGATAAAGAAAGAAAATTTAAACCTATAGAACTCCTACCAAGTGCTGGCCTGAAGCTAAATTCCAAGTTCTATGCTGTATTTCATTAACCCTCACAACAACCTAATGAGGTAGGGATAATAATTCGCATTTACAAGGAGTAAACAACCAGTCAGTGGCCAAGCCAGGGTTCAAAGGTAGATTTCCTGAAGGAAACCATTTGGAATCAGCGATCTAGAGACTAAGAAGGGGGAAGAAGCCTTTTGCACTGGAATGAGTAAGGAATGGGAAAGGAGATAAAGAGACTAGCACAGGCAGTGCTGAACATGACCAGTTGAGAGCAAGGAAAGGAGAGATTTCAAAGCAGTTAAGAGGAAGTCCTGCTAGAAGTAGACAGAGCAAAATCCAATACTGGGTCCTGGATGGCGAGGAAGGTATCCTTCTAACCAAATGAATGAAAACGTAGCAAATGCAGACAAGTTCAAGGAAGGAGGGGAAGACTGGGAGGAAGACATTTAGAGACTCTGAAATAGTCTCTAATTGCTTTGCAAAGTAAGGGATGAGATCACCATGTGAGTGAGGGAGGATGTTAATGGGACTTCAAGAATAAAGAAAAAGATTTGACAAAACTGAGAGGCCTAACTACAGACAGCTTGGTTAAGGATTGCATGTACACATAGGAATGAGTTTCAGTGTGCAAGTCTGACAGGGTAGGTTCACCTGAGTTACGAATGGGGAATGTGTCAGTGGGGAGGCAGAACTGGTGATGTGGAGAGAGGAGAAAAGGGTCAAGAACGTGTGTTCATGCGCGCACGTGTGTGTGTGCGTGTGCATGTGCGTGTGCCTGTGCATGTAGAAGAAGATCATAAGTGAGTGTGGGTGGGTGAAAAAAGTGTTTAAGTGGATCAGTCTAAGGAGGGACCAGGAAGGGGAATGGGGAATAGGAGCAGGAAAGGCAGAAAAGTAAGCTTGAGAACTCCCAAACCGTTTTGTTTGTAATTTGTTAGTACAGTATAATAATACTAAATAATAGATTTGTAATTCTAAGTTGTAAGACAAAGAAAATATGCTCGTTAAAAAAAAATCTTAAATTTGATAGCAAGTTAGGGATTGATTTCTGAAAAACAGCCCCCAAAGCACAAACAGTAAGAGAAAAGATGGATGCATTTGATTACTTTTACTAATTTATTTTTAATTTTATTAATTAATAAATTAATGTATTGGTTTTTTAATTTAACCAATTTGATTAATTGATTAATTTTAAGTTAAAATGCAATGTTTCTGAGATAAAAAGCAAACACACAAGCCACAGTAGGAGGAAATAATTATAACACATACAAACAAGAGTAGCATAAAGCACACCTAAAAAAAAAATTAAAGAAAAGACAAACGATCCATTGCAAAAAAATATGCAATAACCTGAAGAGGCATTTCACAGAAGAAGAAACATGAATAGCTAATAAACATCTGAAAAGATTATCAACCTCATTAGTAATCAGAGCAATGCAAATTCAAAGCAAAATTAAATATCACTTTACACTCACCAGATTGGCAAAAATTTTAGTCTGAAAATATAAGTACTACTGAAGACGAAGAGCAGCAGGAGCTCTTATATGCTGTCGATAGGAGTATAAATTGGTCCCAATCCCTTGGAAAACAATTTGGAATTACCTTGTAGTTGAACATTTGCTTACCTTTCTACCTAACAATTCTACTCCTAGATATTTCCCTAGAGAAGCACTAGTACAGGTGTGTGAATGTTTACAGAGGTAATGTTTGCAAAAGGAAAAGGAAAACTGGAATCATCTCAAATATCCATTGACAGAAGGGTGGCTAAATAAATTGTTATGAATGCATAAATGGATTTTACTATGGTAGTAAAAAAATGAATGAACTGCAGCCATAAGCATTAACAGAGATGGATCTCACAAACAAAATATTGAATGAAAAAGACAAATCACAGGAATACATACAAAATGATGCCGTTTATGTAAAGGTGAAAAACTCACAAAACCAAATATTTTGTTCATGGACACGTACATGCACAGTAAAATGACGTTGAAAAATATTGAATAATCCAAAAACTAAAATAACAGTTACTCCTGCCAGGGAGAAAGAGGATTGGAATGTGTCTGAATGGACAATGCTCTGTCTGTTTTATTTACTCATTTTTAAATTTTTTTAGAGATGAAGTCTCACTCTGTCACCCAGGCTAGAGTGCAGTGGCACAATCACAGCTCACTACAGCCTGGAACTCCTGAGCTCAGGCAGTCCTTCCACCTCAGTCCCCTGATTAGCTGGGACTACAGGCACAGCTAATGCTCTATTTCTTAAGCTTGGTCGTTTATTATTCTATGGGCCTATGAACACATTACCTATAGTCCTTCATATATATGAAATATTTCATAATAAATGCAAATCAAGGCAAAAATTAAAAGGGGAATGAAAAGCCAAGTATATAGAAGAAAATTTGGTGTTGGTCTAAAACATAACACATTTAGTTTAAATATATAAATCTTGTGACCTTCACTCTGAACTACATACAGAATTGGCTGGGCCTTGCAAAGTCGCAGTCCTTTGAAAGAATGGTTGAATATTTGAAAAATGGGAAAAAAAATAAAGTTAGTGTTTCATTTTTAATAGGTAAGAAGTACTTTATTATAATGAATCTGTCAGTTTAACCTCTGTACATAAAGAACACAAGATTACCAAAACAATGCAGTTATCTCTAGAATATGTTCTGTGAAACACCAGACGTTAAAGGTTCTGTAATCAAATGTGTTCAGGAATGCAAGATACTATACCCCCTCTTAGAAATTCGTAAGTAAGCACCTAATATGGCTGCTAGATTATTTTTTCCATCTTGAAAATTCAAATATTAATGAAAACTTAAGTATTCTCTATGAGAGATGTAGAGAATCTATAAATGAAATCTCTTGCAAGGTCTAAGAAAATCCTGCCTCAAATGACATCTCTGACAATGTTCATCTCATTCTTTGGCTCTTTTCCCTCTGCTCACACCTCAAATGTTAGTGTTCCTTAGGCTCATTCCTGTTCCTCTTCTCTTCTCAATCTCTTTGCCTCCTCTGCAATCTATAATCTGATCATTTCAAGATCTCTCTATTCAGACCTCACTTTTCCAGACTCATACTCTAAATTCATATTGGAATTTCTCAAGCTATGATCCCACAGACATTTCAGATTTAACACATCCAAACCAGACTCTGTTACTTCACATCCTAAAATAACTTGGTCTCTGGATTCTCCATTTTCATCATGGTGTCACCATCCCGTCTTGTTTTCAAATTAGAAATCACTTTAATTGGACTCTTGCATCTTCTTGCATTTATTTTGCCATTTTTCAGGAGTGTTCCTTGGCTTGAGGATTAGAGATCTTTATTTTCTCTAATCCTTTGTCACATCTTAGTTTCCAGCTTTATTTTGTCTTAATTGGGTCATTCTGTCACCAATATTTCCCATATGCAGTTCATAATTCACATAGTATTAACATAAGCATCTAATCATGTTATTTCTTGTTAACATGAAATAACATGTTCTGTTATTTTTCCTGTATGGAGAGCCTCCAGAGACTCTATACAGGTGATAGACAGCCTGTTAAGGTGATAGACAGTACAACGTGTTAGGTTATACATGGAGGGCCAACAGATTTTTGGTAGTTTAGAAAAGGAAGTGACCATCAGATGTTGATAGAAGATGATATTTCTGAGTATTAACGTATGAGTAGGAGTTTGCTTGTTGGATGAAGAGGGACAGAGACAGCTACGGAGTCTTGACAATTTCTCTTTGTCTCTGCTTCTGAACTAGTGGTGAATTGACTACAGAAAGTCTTGATTATCATAAGGGCCAGTACTGTCATAACCCTAAACTTTGTGTACAATAGAAAAAGATGATTCTGCAAAAGAAACTATCATCAGAGCAAACAGACAACCTACAAAATGGGAGAAATTTTTTGCAATCTTTCTATCTGACAAAGGTCTAATATCCAGAGTCTACAAGGAACTTAAACAAATTTACAAGAAAAAAAAACAAACAACCCCATTAAAAAGTGAGCAAAGGGCTGGGCACAGTGGCTCACTCCTGTAATCTCAGCACTTTCAGAGGCCAAGGCGGGTGGATCACCTGAAGTCAGGAGTTCAAGACCAGCCTGGCCAACATGGCGAAACCCCGTTACTACTAAAAATACAAAAGTTAGCTGGGTGTGGTGATGGACGCCTGTAATTCCAGCTACTTAGGAGGCTGAGGCAGGAGAATCACTTGAACCCAAGTGGCAGAGGTTGCAGTGAGCCGAGATTGTGCCACTGCACTCCATCCTGGGTAATAGAGGGAGACTCCATAAAAAAAAAAAAAAAAAAAAAAAAAAAAGGATGGGCAAAGGACATGAACAGACATTTCTCAAAAGAAGACTTTTATGTGGCCAAAAACCATGTAAAAAACAGTTCAACATCACTGATCATTAAGAGAAATGCAAATTAAAACCACAATGAGATACCACTATCTCATGCCAGTCAGAGTGGCAATTATTAAAACATCAAGAAACAACAGATGCTAGTGAGGCTGTGGAGAAATAGGAACGCTTTTACACTCTTGTTGGGAATGTAACTTAGTTCAACCATTGTGGAAGACAGTGGGGTGATTCCTCAAAGACCTAGAACCAGAAAAGCCATTTGACCCAGCAATCCCATTACTGGGTATATACCCAAATAAATATAAATTATTCTTTATAAAGATAGAGGCATGCATATGTTCATTGCAGCACCATTCACAATAGCAAAGACATGAAGTCAACTCAAATGCCCATCAATGACAGACTGGATAAAGAATATATGGTACATATACAACATGGAATAGTATGAAGCCATAACAAGGAATGAGATCATGTCCCTTGCAGGGACATGAATGGAGCTGGAAGCCATTATCCTCAGCAAACTAATGCAGGAACAGAAAAGCAAATACCACATGTTCTCACTTATAAGTGGGAGCTGAACAATGAGGACATGGACACAGGGAGGGAAACAACCCATACTGGGTCCTGTCAGAGGGTGGAGGGGGAGGAGGGAGAGCATCAGCAGAAATAGCTAACACATGCTGGGCTTAATACCTAGGTGATGGGTTAGTAGGTATAGTAAACCCCCATGGCACACATTTACCTATGTAACAAACCTGCATGTCCTGCACATGTACCCCAGAGCTTAAAATAAAATGAAAAGAGTGAAAAAAAAAAGAAAAAAAGAAAAGGAGGTCCTTCTAGGTGAGGTATTACTAAAAGGCAACTGAAAGAAAAAAATGTTTCTCTATACTTAACAACAATTCTGGACACCAAATGTGTGGGTTTTTTTTTTTTTTTTTCATGCCGACCGATTCTCCAACACCAGCTGGGTCTCCTACAACCCACCACAGTTCTGACACTAGCTACCCAGAGTTAGCATAGACCACACAGGTAAAGGCCTCAGTCCCATAAGACTGCCCTACACTTCAAATGCCAGTTGCAGACCTGGGCCTCTCATAATTTCTGACCAACCAACAATAAATCAGGGGTGCTTACTACTTCCTCCTTGGGTTGGATAATTTGCTAGAATGGCTCACAGCACTTAGGAAAGCAGTTTATTCACCATTGCTGGTTTACTATAAAGGATACAACTCAGGAACAGCCAAATGGAAGAGATCCAAGGGCAAAGGATGTGAGAACGGGAGCTGTATGCCCTCTCCGGGTCCACCACCCTTCCAAAACTTTCACATGTTCACCAACCCAGAAGTTCTTGGAACACCATTGTTTAGAGGTTTTATGGTGGTTCCATTATGTAGGTAGAATTTATTAAATTAATGGCCATTGATGGTTGAGCTCAATCTTGAGCTTCTCTCCTATCCCCTTACACTGGGGATGAGGCTGAAAGTTCCAATACTGTAATCATATAATTGGTTCCCCTGGCAACTAGCCCTATCCTGAAGCTGTCTAGGGAGCCCATCCACTAGGCATTCATATTACTCTGGAGATTCCAAGGGTCTTCGAAGTGCTTGTATCAGAAACTAGGGACTAAGGCCAAATATTGTAACAAAAGATGTTCCTATCGTCCCTATCACTCAGGAAATTACAAGAATTTTAGGACCTCTCTGCCGGGGATTTGGGACAAAGATCAAATGTTTATTTCTTAGTACATCACAATATCATAGTATTTCTTCCTCTGGGTTGATGGAGACAGAACCAAAGTGCAAGTCTTATACAAACAGGATTTCAGGCCACACACACTTCCAGTCTCTACCCACCCCGTAGCCCAGTACCTGTGTGTAGGGGACACGCTACACAGCCATAATCTGCAGCTCTGATTCTGACTCAGCAGTCCTGTACATTATATGGCCCCATGATTGCCCCAACCAAATGTAGCATTTGCAGCTCTTATCTTTTGCAGCTATACTATCTTTGGCAGCCAGCCTGCTGCTAGGTGACAGTTTCTTTTAAACTACTGAGATGAGCCAATCAGTCCACACAAACGGAAGTTTTCATAGGCCTGTGACAGACTCCAACTAAAATGTGGTTTTCTACCCAAAGCTTTAGTGTCCTGCCTCATATGAAGTACAATTTCATTACAAAATAGCAAGTGCTTCCCAAGCCAATGAGGTATCTCTAAGTACATGGACCTGAGGCATGAACATGCTGATGTGAATGTAAACAACAGTCACACATAAAATAAATTAGTCAGTGTGCAATGAATTTAGAAAATACTTCAAATAAATAGAGGAGACTAAATGGTATTTATTCATTTAATCAACAAATATTTATTGAGCCTCTATTATATGACAAGTATTACCCTAGATACTGGGAAAACAGAGATTAACCAAATAAACAACACTCATGAAATTTGCAGTCTAACGGGAGGAGAAAGACAACAAATTTAAAAATCTCTACTATGTTGAGTGGTGATAAATGTTGTGGATAAAAGTAAAGTTGGATGAGAAGACTAGGGAATGCCCTGGTGAGGCATGAGGGCATTTGATACTTGATATAGGATCGTCAAGAGAGAACCCTCTCAGAAGGAGCTGTTGTCAGGGGAAGATCAAAAGCCCTGAGCTGGAAATGTGTGTGTGTGTGTGTGTGTGTGTGTGTGTGTGTGTGTGTGTGTGTGTACCTGGCCCACTTCTTTTTCCTTCAGTGTTTGTCTTTTTATAACCTGTTTAAAAGAGCAATTTTTATATTAAAAAATTAACCCTTTGAATTCCGTTTATGTTACCAACGTTTTCCCCTCACTTCGTCAGTGTATTTCTCTTTTGTGATATTTTTGCACCAGTGGAATTTTTATCAGAATTGCACTCAAATATATTAATTATTTGGGAAGAATTTACATGTCTGCAGCCTTCAGTCCTCCCATTTAGTAAAACTGGTGGTCCAGTCTTAAAAGTACCACAAATTTTTATTAAGATGATTCTTTGGTTTTTAAAACTATTTTTGCTGTTATTATGAATGTAGGATTATTTTGGTCCATTGTACTTTCTAACTGTTGTTTCTGGTTATAAGAGAAAATTATTAGTTTTTGGAGCACAGTGGCTCACACCTGTAATCCCAGCACTTGAGAAAACTATTTGTTTTTAAATGTGTATGTTTTTGTCTTCAGCCATTTTCTCAAACTCCCTTATTCGAATAGTTTTTAGTTTCTTTCCACTATTTATAAACAATTATTTCATCTAGGTATAATATTTCTGTTTCTTCTCATCATTAACATTTTATGTCTTAATTCTACTCACTAAAATTTCCAGGACCTTAATGAAAAAAAGATAACAGTATACTCACTTTTCTTGTTCTTGATTTTAATAACATATATCGCTAGTATTTTTACAATTACTTGTGATGCCAGCCTTTAGTTTAACAGAGGTGTTTTTTATTAGGTGTTAAAGAAATATCCCTTTAGTCATAGATTTAAACATTCTTATTTGGAGTGGATATTGCATTTTGTCAAATTCTTTTTGGTATCTGTCAAAGAAATGATAAGTTGTTTCTTCTTTAAATGGCTAATACCATAAATTAATTTAATATAGGGTCTATTAAGATGTTTTTTAGAGAACACTTTTTCCACAGGCTGGTCCATGAAAAAAATTGGGGGTGGGGAGATTATTGTCTGATCAAATCATTTGGAGGAAATGCTACATAGTATATTTTCTTCTTAAAGATTAATTAGCTCATTAGCATATTAAAGATACTGAGAAGTCCAGTAGTGAAGAATTCCATTAACTTTGTTAAACCCTTCATTTCCAAATATTACCTGTCCCCCCTCCTTCATATAGCATTAATTAGCACCCCCCTTGACTTGGGTTCAATCTAACACACTTGAGAAGTGTTATATTAATAGCTTTCCTTGTATTAAATCATCCTTGCACTCCTGGAATAGAAACGCCTTGGCCATAGAGTGTGGCTTTTTAATCTAGTGCTAAGAGTGCTAAGTTGGTTAGGTTTTAACTGAGGATTTTTGAGTCTGTAATTATAAGTGGGATGTACTGTCATTTTTTTGTCTCTGCCTTCTTTTGGCTGTTTCTCTTATTTTAGTATCAGTGTGATTCTGGATTGGTGATATGTATTGGGAAATGATCCATATTTTTCTGGGCTCTGGAACAATTTATGCTGCATGGGGAATTATCATAGGATTTTATTTTCTTAATTTGAAATATTTTCTACAAAATAGCCAAAAGAGAAATGAACCCAAACACAGTGCTAACTGGTTGTCAGTGAGCTTGTAATTAAATCCCCTGTTAGCTTTATTTTCTTTACTGATGAGGCTTCAAATGTCTTCATTTTTCCTCTTTGTGGGTAAACATGATTGCTCTTTGCCCCAAACGGTTGACGGTTCAGACAGCCTACCCTGCTTAGAAGCAATCATTCCTTGCTCTTGTCACTCCAGTTCACTGCAGAACAGGGAAGCATCAAAGTTAGGTCAGGGAAGCAGGAAATGATAGAATCCCAGGCAGGAGAACCAAACTTCTCCATGAGTATGTTGTCCCTGAGGCTGGGAACAAAGTGGGGTGACAAGTATGAAGGCCTGGAGGGAGGGAGGCAACAGAGGCAGGTGAATTGTGAGGTCTAGAATCCCAAGAAGAGGTGAAAGAGTATCGATCCTGTTTTAAAAACACTTTCTTTGAGGCCGTGTTGAGAGAATGTTGGACATTTACAGTCTGTAAGTGGCGACAGGGAGTGCTAGGTCCACTTCTGAGGCCAGTTCCTCCCCAAGTCACAGAACTCTTTATTCAGAGAGATGCAATATTATTATAGTCAAAATACTTCACACAATTAAGGGTTTAGGCATGAAAACACATAAAAATGGATATATACCTTCTTTCCTGGTATGGGGATTACTCCACATTAAAAAGCGAAATACCTTAGCCATGCATTCCAGCCTCATAGCAGGCGCCCAGCTACGTGCTAGGTATTTGTGACTAAGTACCTGGTGTTTGTTCAATAAAGATGTGTGTTGTCTTTCCTTGTTTTTATGCAATAGATGTGTTTCTAAAAGGTGGGGCATACATTAAAATTAGAGAATTAATCTTTTTTTCCAGGTGAGGTATATATATATATATACACACACACATATATCCTTAGGCACTAAATGTGTCTGCTTTTTAATCCATCTTTAGTTAGTGTTTCTGAGCATGGGAACTTTTTAACCTCTCCTTATCCTGGTACTCTTAAGGTATAATAATGGTCTCAGATACTTCAATATATTAAATTTTAAAAATTATTATATTAATATTCAAAATAATTTTTTTCTAAATAAGTTGATAAGTTGCCAGTGTTCTCTATTTGTTTCTTCATATGCTGGGTAGCTTGCACCTCCATCTAAAATACAAATTGCACATAATACAATTCTTTAACCAAATATCGGTTGTGTTTCTTTTGAGACAAAAAAAGAAACTGCTAAGATTACATGTCTCTGAGTTATTCTCTGTAATGTGATGAATGCCAAAAACAAGAAACATGTATAGTAGAGGAAAATAGTGGTGATCAACAGCAAAGTGGTTCCCTCCACTCTTCTCCATACCCCTCTCCTCCCTTCAGAGAAGCACATTCATCTAAGTGAATTGTTGGGAAAAACTTATAGTCCATTCCTCCATCCAAGGATCCCTCTACGTTGCAGGCATATGTTTAACATGCTTATTAAATGCTATTTTTTCTCTAGTAATGTACAGCAAAAAATAATAATAATCAAAGGAAAATTTTGGTGGTCTGTTGCAATATGAAATCAGGATTTGAATGCCTGTAATATTATAACCAACACTGAGTTCTTTGAAGTTCCTTGATTCTCACAAAGCTAAAAATCATTCCTTACCCTTGATTAGAGAAAAATCTGATTTTCCTGTTGCATTGCCTTCTTGAAAGAGATGATATGAGAAAGTGCCACGATGAATTGTTGAGGTTAAATCAGACGATATTGATTTTGTGTCTAACCCAGCTGTACTTTCTCAGTTCCAACACCTCACAGGGAAATACATACAGGCCATTCCACAGTAAAGACACCTGCGACTTGATAAAATTATTGGGTAAGGACATGGGAAAACATATTTTTCTCCATAGCCATGCTTGCATGTTTTTCTTTTTTTATTTTTATTTTACCCCTTTCCCTGCCTCCCCTTTTTGTGATTGTATAGAATATGCCAACATTTTGAAGGGACATCTTGGGAGGTGAGGCCGGTTCCCTGGGACCAGATTCTCTGTTATCGTGAGCCAGGTCACCATTTCATTCCCCTCTGTTAACAGTGACTGTAGAGTCCACAGATGTTCCACAGTGGGTGGAGGTAATAATCTGAGGCCTGTACCCAAGCCACCTTGTGGCCCAGGTTTTAAAGTTGTGTGGGAAGCAAAGAAACAGATGCAAAAGACAACATGCAGAAAGAGTGAACACAACTCAGTGACTAATGGGGCATGCAGGATCAGGAAGAGCTAAAAGTCAAATGACATTCATATCCTGGAGAATGAGGTGCCCCCATCAAGTTAATCCATTAATTAATCAAACATTCAGGACCTGGAGCCATTCACTCTCTAACATATTCTTTGGCTGTATTAATATGGCCATTAATTCCTGAACAACAAGCAGAAGGAAACAGTACTTAAAACCATGGTTGAGAGCACTTAGTTTTTCTTCTCTGACGATGTGCAAATCGGCAGTTGCACTTTTAAAAAAAGCCTTTCATATAAATCTGGGCACCATCCTGAATGCATCAGTCCTATTAACAGCATGCTAGTTTTGGAGAATTGCTACAAACCCAGCCTGAGGTGAATGGCAGCTGCTCTTCTCTGGTCAGGGCTACTTAAAGAAGTGGCAAGTCCAAAGCCATTTAGAAACTGAAAAGTGGCCTTCTGATAAATAAAACGACACTTCTGAAGCTGAACATCAAGGAAAGAACTTTGTGCTGACGGAGAACTACAGAAGCTTTCCTATGGGAGGCTGGCATGCAGATGTCACCGTGGGGCTTTGTTGATTATGAAACTGGAAGCCATAGCAGTAAGTGGGTGCATGGGGGCAACCAAAAGCAGGAGGATGGCCTTGCCTGTGTCTGTAAGACGACTTGAGACAGTAGCTGCCAACAGAGTCCCTTAGGTGTGTGCTTTATAACTGCAGGATGGTACAAATGACACTCTTAATTTTCTGAGAGTTTGCTTTGCAGTGAAGATTTAAGACACTGAGATTAATTTAGTTAAATTGATATTTCCCCTCGTGATTTCAGGGATTAAACAGTAAATAAGCCTCTTGATGTTGATCTATCTCCTGGGGGGTCCAATAAATTACAGAAACACTTCTTGCCATTTTTTGGAGCTTCCTCTTCATTTATTCTCCTTCCTGTGGCATACTGTGTATGGCCAGGCCTTTGCTACAATTTGTTATTTATAAAAAGTACAGAGCACATTTCAATCCTACCAGATAAAGTCAGAATTCTAACTGAGCTATGGGTCAACTAACTAGAAAAAGGAGTTTAAGACCCAACTCTGGATGTAAATGATGACATGGCTGTCTGTGAGGGATATGGTTTGGATTTGTATCCCTGCCCAAATCTCATGTCAAATTGTAATCCCCAGTGTTGGAGGAGGGGCCTGGTGGGAGGTGACCGGATCATGGGGACAGACATCCCCCTTGCTGTTCTCCGGACAGTGAGTGAGTTCTCACAAGACCTGGTTGTTTAAAAGTGTGTAGCCCCTCTTCCTTTTCTCTCTTCTTCCTGCTCTGGCCACGTAAGACGTGCCTCCTTCCTCTTTGACTTCCGTCATGATTGTGGGTTTCCTGAGGCCTCTCCAGCAATGCTTCCTGGGTAGCCCATGGAACCATGAGCCAACTAAACCTCTTTTCTTTGTGGATTGGCCAGTCTCAAGTAGTTCTTTGTAGCAATGTGAGAATGGACTAATACAGTAAGGCTTATGGAACTTCAAGTGGTGATTTGGGTTGGATTCCTGACATCTCCTTGGTATATCCTTAGACACATCATGGAGTCTCTCTGTTACATCATCGTTGAGAAAACATCAGCAAAATGCTTAAAATGTTTTGGGAAAAAATATGTTGGCAGAGTCTTACTTAGGAACAGGCTGCATTCCAAAATTATTCAACTAATTTGGACAAATTGAGTGTCTACTATGTGCCAGACATAGTTGACTTCGATAGATGGGGCACCTTTGCCAAAAAGTAGCCCTTTACTGGCAAGTTTCCAGTTAGTTTGCAAGTCAGCTGTGTATAAATTGGGATACATTTTCCTAAAGAGACAAATTTTGAAACAGTGGTTAGATTCTCAGGCCAATTCTCAGAAGCTAAGTTAATTCATAATGAAGTGGAACTCAACTTCTAATGGAATTCTCAAACCTAACTACCATTTACACAGTGATTTTTAACCCTTTGCTGCATACCACATTATAACGACCTAGGAATTCTTTAAAAATTTAATAAATACCAACCAGGTGCGGTGGCTCACGCCTGTAATCCCAGCACTTTGGGAGGCCGAGGCGGGCAGATCACGAGGTCAGGAGATGGAGACCATCCTGGCTAACACAGTGAAACCCCGCCTCTACTAACAATACAAAAAATTAGCCGGGCGTGGTGGCGGGCGCCTGTAGTCCCAGCTACTCGGCAGGCTGAGGCAGGAGAATGGTGTGAACTTGGGAGACGGAGCTTGCAGTGAGCAGAGATGGCGCCACTGCGCTCCAGCCTGGGTGACAGAGCGAGACTCCATCTCAAAAAAAAAAAAAAAAAAAAAAAAAAAAAAAAAAAATTAATAAATACCAATACGCAAACTATGCCCACAGGACAATAAAATCAGAATCTATTACCGGTAGCAATGGTGGAAAATGGACCTTAGGAAAGAATAGAGAGGAATGGGAAGCAATGCCTCTAGGGAGATCAGGGCTGTGACTGGGGGGTAGGGGCTAGGGTTCCAGGGGGTGCAGGGTGTCGTCTGGGGTATTGTGGCATTGGTGGCTAGAATAACAAGAGAAGATGCTTCTGGAAATAGTAGTAAGACTGTGGGCTTGTACCCTATAGGAGATTTTTGTCTTTTGACAGTAAATCATTTTTCAGGAGTACGAAGATGATGCAGGGGGCTAGAATATTCAGCTCCAGAAGCACAAGGATTGGTGCTTCAATGATAAGGAGGGAGCTGATAAGAACCTAAGTGGTCAACATCACTCATCAGTTTCCTTTTGTCCAGTTCATGAGGAATGAAAGAAGCTACCTTCAATCCACCTTCTTATTTTGGGGTGAAGCTTTCACAAAATGCCATGCCTCATGTTTCTCCTCTGAATATGTAGTTCTTTTTATCATCTTGGCCTGATTACAGGCCCTTAAGACTCAGCAGAGCTAAGGGGAAGGGAAGGGAATTGAGGGAACCACCAAGAGAGCTCCAAAAACAAGAGTTGGCAGGTAATTCTGTTCATCCACGCCTGCTCTGTAACAGCTTTCAGAGTTCAGCTCTTACTTTCAGTCACTTCCTTGCAACCCTTGCAGTCAGAATTTCAGGGTTCAGAAACATAGGCCTAAAGTGTTATCACCAAGTGGTGAAAGCAAGTTTGCTGGGTGGAGGATCTCCTCGGCTATTTTGCCAAGTTCTTCTCATTTTTATAGCTGGGCATGAAGATTTCCTTTTTTGACATTCTGTGACTGTTACAATGTAGGAAAATCTGTGGAGATACAACATTTTCATATTTCAAGTAGCTGCTCTCAAATAAGGGACATTTTCTAAGTTCTACTGTTTATTTTTCCCTGGAATTTTCTAGGATATATTGCTTTAGCTCTGTTTTCTAGTTTTCTCTTTATGACATTTTGGCTTCTCCCGGTCAACAAAAATACTGCACTGGAAGAATTCCAGAGACATGTGAAAGTTATCTGTCCTGCTTGAGGGAAAGAAATTACTACTGTTTTCTTCCCTCTGAGAGAGATGGCCCTTAAAAGTGTTGGAATGTATCTCTTTTCTTGACATTTTCTGATGTTCCTGATTCTGTTTTCCTGGTGAGGGCAAAATAAATTATTGTGAAAAAAAGGAGGTGAGGCCCTGGTTCTACAGGTTTCTAGAGGTTCTGGTATGGGGAGGGTGTGCACAGAAGAACTTCTTCCAGGTACTGATTTACTGTAAGCAACAAACAAACAGATCTTTTTTCTCATAGATTGCCAGCCGAACTGTGTAGCAACACTATGGAAAAGACCCCAACCACTTCCACAAAAGAAATTCTTCCCTTCACTAAGTGAGGAGTTTAACTCAGTTAGAAAATCTGGATGGACCTCAAAGGAAGAATTTTCTCCTTTCAAACTCAACCCATTTCAATAATAGAGAGAAAAACAGATTTTTTTAGAACTGAAATTCCTTAGCAAAATTTAATTGGAATAGCATTCTACCTTAATGGGCAATCAGCTTATTTAGTAGGTGAGACTCCATTAATTTTGACTGTTCAAGGAGATTTCATAACCAAGTCACTTAACTTCAAGTATTCTGATGGAGCAGATAGCTCCCCATTTAGGAATTTTCTTGTGCTGGAGTAGGAAAATGAGAGCAGCGCCTGCCTTGATATGTTGATGATACCCTTTTATTTGGCAAAGGTATTATTCATAAGGTAGTCAATTAATGTCAGCCTATTGGAAAAATGACAGGCTTTAAAGCTTCCTCTTTAGATTAGAGACTCTAAAATTCTAAATGCCTGCAGATCCATATGTCAGTTGTTGCTTCTGACCTTTCCTAATTGAATTAGCCTCCTTCTAGTGAGCCTGATTTAAAAAAAAAATTAATAGATGGGGTTGCTGGGGGTATCACTTAGATTTTCCTATTGAAAATAAATATTCCCCTCCAAGTAGTTTATTTCCGGAAGTATTAAGCCAAAGTCAGAAAAGTGGCAATAGCTTCAAATAGACAGGAAGTGGCTGTAAAATTAGCCTTTCTTAACGAGAAGGTCAGAGCTGCTTTATATTTTTTTAAATTTCACTTTTATGTGTGGCTCATTGCTTAGGCTCTGGCTGAGGCTCATTTAACAATGATCCCAGCAGTACTGGAGCCCTAAGCAACAAGACTTGGAGACCTATCCTCCTTCCCTGGGGTGAAATCACCTCAAATCATTCTTAAATACTTGTTAAAATTTTCAGTTGCTTAAAAGTTATTTTAAATGTAAATTTTCATTTTGAAAGCAAACAGGGACTCAGAAATGATTTTTGTCAGAATAAGTTTGGGTCTGATTCTCTCCTATAACCATTTCTAAAGGAAAAGCTTGGTTTAATTCAATCTCCAGTTAAGTCAAAAACCTAAAGAAAAGTGAGTCATTTCATTTCTCCTCTAAAAACTAAAGTGTCAGGAAAAGTTCTTTTATCTGTTTCAATATATTCCAACCTGTTACAATCTTTTTTTTTTTAAGTCATAGGAAAGTATACGAAGAAGGAATGGCTGATAGGTGAACTAAAAGAGAAAGCCAAAATCTTTAATTACCTTTATCAGGTTAGCAGGGAAACAGGCACCTATGCCTTAGGTAGAAAAAGGTGATTAGCATTCAGAATACTGAAGCCCACATCAATTCAGAAAGGGCATGATTTTAAGATAAGTTGAAGGGTAAGTTAGGAAGAAGCAACTTTTTAAAGCTTAAGTATAAAACTAGGATGAGATCAAAGATGGATTGTTAATAAGAGTCAAGGATTAGTTGGAAGTAAAGTCCCTAATCATACCCAGAGTATTTAATAGACTCAATTGTGTTAAAGAAGATCTTAGAGGTCATCCAATCCAACTTCGATCTTTGATTGCAAGGAACAGATGTCTCCTCCAGCTGACACTAGCCAAAGATGGGAATTTATTTAAAAGTTATATAAACTAAGCACTGAAAGAAAGCCAGGCCTAAAGAATGAAGGAGATTCCAGAATTTGATCTTTATTTCAGGACCTATCTCTTTATTTCTTTGAAAATTAATGCATATATCCTCAGCAGCAGCATAAAGCTATTGTTTGTACATGACTATGGCTGAAGTTCTAAAATGTGTTTTGAATCGTGAAATTACAAGCACAGATCTACAAAATGGTGATAGTGTCTCTATACTAAAAATACAACTGCACATTTTCAATTTCTCTAAAATGAACTATGTTACTATGTAATTGCAATTACAGAACTGCTGTTAATGATGAAAGACCCTACGCCTACCTAGACCAATCCTCTTATTCTACCATTAGAGAAACTGTAGCCTGGGAAGAAGTGATATGTTCATAATTTCCCAGAGGTTTAATAGTAGAGCCAGTAGAAGAATGGAGATCCTTTGATGGCTGCTGTATCAGACATGATGCTTTGTGCCACACTGGGAGCAGTGGCCAAGAAAGAACTTAGTTAAGAACCTGAGTTCTCTAGTGTCAGACTGTCCTCGGGCAAGTACTTTATACCTTTCTGAGCCTTCATCTGTGTAATATGGATATTAGTACTCCCCACAGGATGGGGTTGTTGTGAGGATTAAATGAGACAACAAATGCACAGTTATTAACACAATGTCTAGTACATATAAATGCTCTAAAAACAATACAATTATCAATCGAAAAATATTAGCTTTTTGCTGCATAACAAACAATCCTGAAACTGAATGATTTGCAAAAATATTTTTATTTCCTACTTATAAATCTGTGATCAGCTATAACTCTGCTAAGCTTAGCTGGCCGTGGCTCCAGTTTTGGGCTCATGTTGATCCCATAAGTTTCCTCATCCCAGATCCAGGCTGAAGGAACAACCCCTACCTTGGATGCGTTGTTCTCACGATAAAGAGGAATATAAGAAATGGGAACCATGTGATGCTTCTTAAAACCTCTACTGGACACCATCACAATGTTGACTCTTCGCATATTATACCTATCACAGCAAGTCATTTGGCCAAGCCCAAATTCAATGAGGCAGAAAAGTTAATTGCATCCACAGGCAAGCTATGTTCTAGGATGGAATGAACAATATAATCTAGCACAGAAAGGTTGCGAGAAAATCTGTGGTCACTGACACAAGAAGCTTGAATAATCTGAAACTATAAACTGCATAGGCCATCTGTAGTAGCTCAAGTCTTCAAAATTATGGACTGTTAAGAAAAAAATCAGAGATCTAGGGAAGGCAACAAAGTTATTTTGGGTACAGACAGGATAAGAGGGTATATAATACCATTCCTTCTCCCAGAAGCTTCAATAGGTAGAGGATATACTGATTTAGAGGTCATTTATTTCAGTGTTTCCAAACCTGAAAGGTATTTCAAAGGGTTCATATTCTTAAAGCAGCAGTGGTATGTGTTTGCATTTCCACTAATTTTTTAAAAGCTCAATACATTTAACGTTTATGTAAAAACTGTTTCCATTATAAATGGAACACATCGAGAACCCCCAGGTGTATATGGAGGAAGCCTACTTGGTGGTAAGTGGAGATTAGATGACTTTGCTCGTGATTTGTAACTTAGTTTATAACACAGATGAGCACTACTAGGTGCATCCTTTATCATCATACATTTTTAATTGTTTTATTCTTAGTCATATGTTGTTTACATTTCATTCTCAACTCTGAATTAATGAGGAATTTAATGAAGGAGAAAAACATAATTCTGTCAATTTTCTTCTGGATACTTTTCCCCAGATCCATAAATTTCTTTCATCTGAGAAAATAACTATATGAAACATCAAGATATCTCTAATATTTCAAAACATAATGTAAAAAAGAAAAATAAATTGGTGCTATTTATGCATCCTGTCTGTAACCAACAATCTATTGCAGAAATAAACACTGATGATGCTTTGAGGTCTGTACCAGGTTAGGGGATAGATCAGAATGACTGTGTTCCTATTATTTTTACACCTCAGTACAACATCACAGGCCATTCCTTCTGCCTGAAAAGCCCTCCTTCTTCTCCCTCCTCTGCCTAATGTTCCACTCAGCCTTAATCCACAGCTCAGCTCTTACCTCCTGTTGGAGAAGAAATTATCCTCTTCAATTCCCTCAGCTATATTTGTTGCTCTTTCCCCAGTATTCCCATAGCACATGCAGGGGAATTACCTCCTGAATAGCCTTGGTTTTGAAAATAGTCACTGAGTCTGTCTTTCTGAGTTAACCCTGAGTTGAGATTGGGGCAATTTGGTTTTCCAGTGCCCAGCAACATGCCTCGCACCTAGAAAGTACTCAACACATCTTTCTTGAGTGGATGAGAGTAAACGGAATTGCAGCTTGATATATAAGATTGAAAACTGGAGAGGACATTGAAGAGAGCATTTCAGGAAGAAGAAAAGCACACAGAAGTAAGGAGTAAGAAGACAGAGGCTGAGATGCGCAAGTTTAAGGAGCAATAAATGAGCCCATGTGACTAGACCAAAGAGTTTAAGAAAAGAAGTCCTGGAAAAAGCAGTGGGGAGTTTAGGTGTGTTGAGGAGGGTCTCAGGGGACACACATTGTCTTGGTCTGCCCTGGCCATCGTATGTCAAAATATCACATAGCTTAAACAGCAGAAGTTTATTTTCTCACAGTTTCGGGAGCTTGAAGTCTAAGATCAGGGTACCAGCATTACAGGTTTCTGGTGAAGGCTCTCTTCCTGTCTTGTAGATGGCTGCCCTCTGGCTGTGTTTTCACATGGTGGGAAGAGGGAGCACTCTGGTGTCTCTTGCTTTTCTTATAAGGAAACTAATCTTATCCCCGTAATCTCATCATATGACAACTCACCCTGCTAATCTCATGTAAAGCTAATTATCTCCCAAAGGCCCCATCACCAAATACAAAATACCACCAGACTGGGGACTACGGCCTCAACATATGAATTTGGGGGAACAAAATTCAGCCCATAGCATCCACCCATATTGAGTGGTTAAGGAACCGGCCACTGATAAATGAAGTGGACCCTAAAGATTGCTATCATCCTTCTGCCATTATTGGGGTTCCATTGTTCAGTTAAGAAAGTGAATGAAATCTAGAAAATCAGCATTTCCAATTAAAAAGGCGTTAAAGCCTAAGGACATGAAGAAAATAACCTTTTAATTTCTGAGATGAATGAACAAAGAAATTTTTCTAAGTGGTATCTTCTATTTCTATAGCAGCCATAAATCATACCATTGGGAGCTGTACCATTTTACTTTTAAATGTACGTTTTTGAAAAGAACACAGTCGTTTCTTATTATTCTCCTTTTGTACAATTTCATTGCATTCATAACCAGTCAAAGGGTCCTGATGATTCTCCGGCAGAAAAACTATTTGTTATATTCACAGTCCAAGTGCCTACTGATTAGCACAGGTATTTTGCATTAGCTGATTGGGATAGAAGTACAGTCTTCCTCTAAGCTTTACTGCTTTCTCCATTTTCCATTTTTTGTTATTTTTCAGGCCTGGATTCCTTTCACTTGGTTCATTCTCTTAAGAATTACCAGCCACAGAATGATGTTTTTATTTATTTGAAAAGTTTATGTCCATTTGCAAATGATTCAAGACAAGACTGAGAATTCCACTGCCTGATTTGCAGAAAGTTGTTGCTGCCTGAAAATGTGCTGGGCATGTCCTGTTGATAGATAGTACAAATAAACAGTGTTAATACAATGGGCAAACTTCAGAGCATTTCCATAGCTCCCGACTATTGAATGATATACAAAAATATATGACTTGGGGACAGCTGAAATTGTTTCCACACTTTGAGCTCTGCTTCCATTAGACTGGTTCACAATATTAGATTGAATCCCAAGGTGCTACTGATAATCATCAGCTGCTTTTCTTGCCAAGAATCTTTGTTTAAATGTATTCTTTCATTATCCATGTGCTTTTGAAAAAAATGAGGGAAAGAATGCTTTTAATTGAATAATCTGTATTCTGTCAGGTATTTCTTCTCCGTAGGAAGGTATCTGAAAACTTACTTTACTTTGCTGTTTTTATTTATCCTGCCAGTGTAGTATATTGATGAGAGAACTGAGGTCCAATAGTGTTAAAACAAGACATGAAATATTGATTAATTCTTCTTTTAAATTCTCTTTTTACCCCTGAGTATAACAGATTTCAGAAGCTGCTGCCAATACCATGCTCTCCAATAAACCTCCATTATTGGAAGGGGGGTCTTGATACCCTTCAGGCTTTGATAAATGATTATTATGCTTTTGAAATGTTAGCTTTGAGTGCCTGAGGCTTGACTTTCATCAGTTCAAGAAAGAAACAGTAGAACTGAAGCTGCAAAGTTTGAGCCAAAGGCCCCCAAAGGAACCATTTCATGAAAGGAGTTAACCATAGATACTGTGGCTTCTGAACTCGTTGTCCTTGTCCCACCTGATACTTTTTCTGCATTCCTAATTGTACATTCCCCCATTGCAGGCTAAGACTTGCCCTTTGGGTCTAGGCCTACTGAGTTTGCTGATTTCTAAGGTTAAAAAGTAAGATAATGGGTTTAGATGGACTTGTAAAGAAGGGAGAAGGAAGTACGATGCTTGGTTGGATGAAGAAAATCAGGGGACTGTGAATGAGCAGAGTAGGAACTGGAGATTATAGGAATCTGGCTGTTTAGGGTCAAGGACGCCCTCAGAGCAATCACCCTAAGGCAAGAATAGGCCCTGGGGAGTCAAGAAATCCACTGCCCTCTTAGGACCCAGATGAGCTTGGAACAGAGGGGAATCTGATAAAATGTATAAGAGAACTGCACAGGACAGCCACTGCACAACAAAGAGTTATCCTGTCCAAAATGTTAATAGTGCTGAGATTGATAAACTCTAATCTAGAGAAAGTGCTACAATTTTTTGCCATCAAAGTATGAATTTCTTGAGTTCAGAACCCAACTCATTGAGCTATTGGTATTCAATAATTAGCAGAGCATCCTGTGAATAGATAATAAATCCAACATAATCCAGTTCTCTTTTGAAAAGTAGCCATTTCCATTTCCTCAGTTCCTCCCCTGAAATTATCTGAAAGGGAAATGTCACTCAGTTAGAAGGCTCCAGCTTGCCAGATAATGGGAGGAAAGTGCTTCACGATATCTTTCCAGAAATGAGAAGAGGACAGAGTGTGCTCAGAAACAGAGGTACAGGCAAATGAAGGTTGCTGACAGCCAAAAACACTGAGACTGGTAAACATCATGATAGCTGAACAGACGAGGAATCCCTGTATCCATGTGATGGCCTTTCGACATGAAGGAATAGGGGTAAACATCAAGGGTAAAGTAGCTTATATTTTATTGAAATAAACTAGATGAAAGGTCGTATCTTAAATGATATGTCTTCAAGCATGTGCTACATCAAGGTCTTGACGGCATCATTTTCCCAAGAGATATGCCAGTAAATTTAAGTAGTTTCCAAGTTGTAAGTATCTTGATTACCAAGGAGCAGCAGGGTGCAGAGCCTGACCGGTAAAATCAAAGGATTGATGGCTTCCTCTTCACACGCCTGCCTTTATTTTCCCCTGCATGGCCCATTATTCTGCTGCATTAATTTAAGCTTTCCTATTGCACAGAATTAGGGGCTTAAATTCTCTTATCATCCCTGTGGGAATCTTGATTGTTTATTTGTGGATGAGAATAATTGTTTTTATTGATCCCCAAATGTGGAAGGTAAAAAAAAATGCTATGGTTGATGGCCAGCTGATACATAGTTAGTGCTGCGTGCATGAGTGACAAATTATGAGACAGTATTTGGCCCCAGAGGATATCCTTTAAGAATTTTTAAGGCATTTGATAGTTATCACTTTAAGGCATTTGATAGTTATCACTAAGTCTTTCCAAGCTGGAAATCATAAACAATTTCACATACATCAGGTAAAGTCTTTTTGTTGTAGTTTTCATTGAAACTTAAAGGTCTAGTTGTGTGTAATTTATAATTTCTCATTTCCAGTATGCTCACACAGCAACTCGGTAGAGTTTGGAAATGGTACGGCTACAAGACATTCTGGAGCCAGTGCTATCAGGCCAGTGAGTTCCTCTAGGGACCCAGATTACTAGGCATTTATTTGGAAGAATTCCTGGATTCATCCAGAAGTTGTCATTATTCCACTGCAAGCATCATTGTATGGACATTAGCTCCAAATAGTTAGAGAAAAGAACTACTTTGCTAGCCCTAGCTTGTACTGTGGGTAGGAAACCCCCTGCCATTTAACATCCCAAATATATCAGAGGCATCAGGGAAAGGAACTGCAACTGTCAATTAAGTGCTGTTTGTAGGACAGGGCACTTGGGCAGTATGAGCCTCCCCCATCTGAATCAAATGCAACACATCTTGTTTAAAGAGCTATTGAGCTAATTAGCATGGCATGTCTACACAGAAATAAAACAAATCAGGTTAGGTCCTAAAGGAATCAAGTATCAGAAATGTGGTAAAGTTTCCTTATTAGGTGGTAAGATGGCAAGATCCTTGACCAGATGCCAAACCCTGAAATTCTTGATCTTCTTTTCCTGTGCTAAAGAGAACATAGATATATAGAGAAGCCACTAATGACCATTGTATCTTCTTTATTCTTTGAGGGCTGTGTTCTGGAAGCTTACTGTTGAACCTTCAGAAACGACTGTGTGGGCTAGACCAGAATGAGTCAGGAGAGCTTGCTTGTTTCACAGAATAAGTGTCCATATGTCACAAAGAGGATCTTCCTCTTTTTCCTGGGGATATCATATTATCTTTGTCTTTGATAATTAGCACCTCTGTGAAGGGACCACATCAAAGGGAGGATGATTTTTCCTAATTATGATTTTTTTTTCTCACTCAAATTCACCTTTACCCTTAGCACTATGGTTCAGTTATGGCCTTGGCCTTCGTCAGCCATTGCAACACCTTCCATGAGTGGCAGTGTAAAGGAGGGAATCATGGAGTTCTCCCCACAAAAGTTTTGTGACTATTGTCACTACCATTGCAAGGTAAAAACTTTATACCCAGCTTATATTTTTATATATACCCCATACATTTAGTGTCATGCCCATCACACAAGGGAGCATGAAATGTGATCTGACGTATTCACATGTTTGCTCATTACAACATCCAATATGCATAGAGCATGGTACCGCACAGTGGTTAAAACTTAATTACAGACTGTTGAGGGTGATGATCACAGAATCATAGTTCAACCATCTCATTTTAGACACAAGGAAAATAAGACCCAGAGAGGCTAAATAAGTGGCCAAAGCCTCATGTTCGAGTAGCAGCAGAGCTGCAATATGAAACCAGATATCCTCACTCCAATTCTAACTGCACTCTGTGTTGACTCTGAAACACATGGCTGTGCTTTGTTGCACTGTATTGTGATCAATTGTTTTAACATGTGTGCCTCCCTCACTAGACCATGTACTCTTAAGAAAATATTCATCACCAGCTTCCTAGCACAGTCAGTGGCACATAATAGGATCCCAATAAATGTTGGTTGAAAAAGTGAATAAATGAGTAAATACATGAGACCTGATTTTTTCCTCATCATATAGAAACAAACAAATGCCGTAACTTTTAGTGATCTCTATGAGTGCTTGGTCAGCCTGATAATGAAGAATAGACAAGATAGGGAGTGAAAGGTAGAAAAAAATAGTATGAGAAAGAAGAGAAAAAAAAAGAATATACAATTCCATAGGAATAATAACCAGACAAATTCAGTACATAGACAAAATATTTAGATTCAATTTGGGAGCATTTTGTCAAGACTCTTGCCTCTTCTGATCTCTTCTCATTTTCAAATAAGGGCTTTTTAAGCAGATGGTGCTTTAAGCAATTCCCATCATTGCTGCTCCTCCTCAAACCCCAGAATGCAGGATTGACTGCAGGTTAAGTTGTCTAAAAGGCAAAGTTGTTCGTTACTGTAGCTCACTTCCCTGAGATACGTCTTCCCATTCATTTTGCATCTATTGCTGCCCCATGTTGCTGCTACTGTCACAGAGGAAAGTGCATGTAACTCACTGTGATCTAGTTTCTGGGATATTTTCCATACACCAGAAGATGCGAAGGAATGGCTACTTAGGTAGTAACATTTCAGACTCAGTGACAAGTATGCAGAGAGGATGTATATGGGCTGAGTCTGTGTATCCTTGTAAATCACCCAAAGTCAATGCAAGTAAAGGCTAAAAAATCCAATTATCAACCCCCACTGTGAGTTTGTGTTTTTCCTGAAATGCTGGCACATTGTAAGTAATTTGACACTAAGTAGTGCCTGTTAAAAAGAAGCAGCAGCAGCAGCAGCAAAGGATTCAAGGCTCCTAATTATAGCACACTGATGGCTTGGTACTGGGATGTGCATCAACAATATTGAGCATCAGTAGGGAGCAAGTACTGGCTGGAGGGCTGTATCCAGAGAGCGGTTATCAGTATCTAAGTGTCAGTTTGAACTGGCTGTGCTCCTGTAGGCCAAGAAGTCTATATGGAAGATAGACCATTTAATCTTTTTCAGAGGTGTTGCTACACAGCTATCAAACAAATTGGGGTGCTCCAAATGCCCCCGTGGAGAGTTTTAAGGAGATGGACAGTCATCTCTTTTGAATGGATTGAGTCACACTGGCTAAAGACAAATATGGAGATCCAGCTTTTCATTTAACATTCCTTTGAACCATTTGGAACTTGGCAGATGCCCAATCAGCACTTCATCCAAGTACATCACCACCTTCCCCTTCAGTTCCTGCATTTCCCAGCTCTTCTTTGAACATACCAACCATACTTCCATATTTGTGATTTTGTCCTTGCCCTTCCCTCTTCCTGAAATACCTTTTCCTCATGTGGTCCAAGTGGCTTCTTCCTCCTTGACCCTCCCCTCTGTCTTTTTCAGATCTTTGTTCCCATGATCAAAGAAGGCTTTCCTAGCCAAACTTTATAATATAGCTACCTCCAAATCCAACCCACTGGCCTTCACAAAGACAGAAGGTTTGGTTGTTTTGATCGTTGTTGTATCCCCAGCCTCCATAACAGTGATTACCATGTAGCTTGTTCAATGGAAATACAATGAAGAAGTTGGTAACATAGGTCTTAAAAAGGAAAAGTCTTGTCTTATAATGCCTGGAAAGCAGTTAAGAAATCTTTTCAGATGCTTTCATTTCAAGTTATTCACATACACTGCATGTAAGTTACACTTAGAAACCCAAGCAGCCTTCAAGAAAGTAGTAATATGTCCAGTTAAGCAAGATAGCACTATTATCATTCAGTTCCCATCTGGGCTCCAAGCAACTTTAAGAGAATCTTTCCTCTGATAGACAGGACTAATTTGTGTCTTATGGAAAATTAAATAAATTATTTTTCACCTGAAGGGATAAGATTATTTGACTTCAGATATTTGCTATATGGCTTCTCTTCCACACAACATAGCTTTGAGGCTTAAGGTAGTAAGAGCAAGAGCATTCCTATAAATTATTCAGAGATAATTCAAAACAAGTGTGCATCTTTGACATATTGTCAAGTTTCTCAACTCTTTTTCCTGATAACAAGTGCTATGTTTTTGATGAAATGTTGCTCGTTTCTCACACACCTTATTGTTCTGTGTGTGTGTTCTGTGTTTTGTTCTGTTTGTTATTGTTTGTTTTCATTTCCCTCAGAGTCCAGTCTGGCTCATATCTCAGCACAGGGTGGTTTACCTTCCTTCTGGCCATGGACGCCTGTTATGGCATTCACGTCTACGGGATGATAAATGACACCTACTGCAAGTAAGATCACAAGAAATTATTTTTATGCAGCTCCAATTCGGAGATCTTGTCAAAATATCACAATTCATTTTAATACCATAAATCTGAGAAACAGATAAAGCAACAATTATTTCCCAGTGTTCTTTGCTGACATGACATTTTATTGTCAGTGCGTCAAGTTGTGACTTCTAGGGGTGAGAAAAAGAAAAATATTTACCAGTCTAATGTCAAATGTCAGGAGGAACACTTTTCCCTTAATCAGTGGCATAGCAGGGACTTTTGGCTTGAAAATACAGAAGAAGTTTAGTGGTTGTGTAATTTGCAAAAGCAAGTTTGTCATTTCTGCTGCTCTGATGGCTTGATGGATAGCTATCTACTCAATGGTTAGTTAGATTTGATCATGAAGGACAAAATGTCCTGCAGCCTCAGAGAAACTGACAGCTTAACAAGAATTCCTGGAAATTATACTTCACTAGTAAGTGAGTAATCTGCCAGATCCTTATTTAAAATGAGTGTGTTTACCCACAGTATATCCTTGCTGGTGGGATAGTTTCTAATTAGATAATGAAACAAACCCTCCATGCTTCATCAGGATAATGGAATCTATTTCCCTACCAACAATTGGCACAATATAATTCACAGACTGTTTTAATCATAATGTCAAAATGGTAACTCTCAGCCACAGTCTTCATGAACAAATATTTCTTCCCTAACTATAAGCATAATGGAGCTCAGATGAGCCAATATCTTACTGTGAAAAATCACAGTTTCTTCAAGTTCTGCAAGAGGCTATCTAAAGTTTCTTCAATTATACACCATTTCCTTTTCAAAAGATAGCCATATGTTTGAATGTAATTGGCATGATATATAAATTTTATTTGATCTATTAAACCACTAAAAACTTGGTACATCTTCCTAAAAGCTTTCATACATATAATAGCTTTTAACTGAGTTCATGGACAAGAATCATGTATGGGTTTGTGAGTAAATGCATTTACTGGGCACATAATGGATTCTTGTAAATGAGTGCTTCATTCTTCATCTCAATCTTTCTCTCCTTTTCTTTTTTTTTCTTTTCTAGGACAGAAGGGTATAGAAAAGTCCCCTACCATTATTATGAACAAGGAAGAGATGAGTGTGATGAATATTTTCTTCATGAACATGCCCCATATGGGGGTCATAGGTTTATCACTGAAAAGAAAGTGTTTGCTAAATGGGCCAAGAAGCACAGGATAATATTTACACATCCAAACTGGACATTGTCTTGATAATGGTTTTCCTGATCTTGCCGCATCACTTAATGTGATCCCCATACTGCAACTGTGATGCTGATGATGCTAATGGAGATGATGGTAATGATAAAGACAACAACAATGATTATCAAGTTCCTGTACACTCTCAGATGTGGATGGTGACTCTGCTAGTAATTTAAACTTGGCATTTCATGGAGGATGGTTGTGCTCATGATGTTCTTTCTGGAGGTTCAACACTACGTACCGCACTTTATAATTTAACTGGAATTGAGATGAAGGCCAGTGACATGACAACTGTGACCTAAGAAATGGGAAGATTATCTTTCAAGATAGCTGCCTAGAATTGTTCAACAGTGAGTAACTTCCAGAAGCCAAAAGAGTTTGGCTTCATGAGGCAAGGTGATTGACTCAATGGCTTGTTGAATCTCAGCAGTTCCGCCATCTTGAAGAATGATTGATTGTCAAACACTGACCCAAGAACTGCTATCAGGGTGCAAGTATCTTACTACTTAGCCTAAGGATGGGAAAATATCTCTTCCTAATATACCATCTTTCTACAGTATTTCCTACAGCTAAAGCCTCAGGCCATTGCCTAATTAACAATGAAGATTTCATGGACATCCTACACTTCAGGATTACTTGACTATCTCAAACACATAAATCAAAATGGGCCAAGTAGCAAATCTTGATGAATTTCCACTCTTACCATCCATTCTTACTACCAACAGTATAACTGAACATGTGATTAGAATGATCTATATTAATGTTTAGTTATTTTTGGTTGAGTGCTAAATATTTCAGAAGGCTACTTAACATGTAAGATACCAACTTCAACACTGTAATAACATATACTGTGAAAACATTCCTAAAAAGTAACCAAAGGGTTTGCTAACTCTGCTTCAACATCCAACAACACAAAACTATATGATTTTTAAAATCATGAAATAGAGACAGCAAAGCATATTTTTACATCAATTTGTATCCTATCATACTTCATAATATATATTTGTATATTCAAATTTCTATTTTATAGGCCCAAGGTGTGTTTCTCCAAACATTACATTCTCATTGCCAAGTGCCAGCTGTTACACATGGAGAGGAAATGATTCCTTATATTAAACCTGACCAGAGCTTTTTGCCTTCTAGGGATTTATTTTTCCCATAGTGTATCAGTTGTTATGCCACAATAACAACAATAATAATGTTCTTAATGTCCAAAGTGCTTTGTCATTTAGAGTCCTTTAACATCTGTTATACCATGTGATGCCCTTGAACACCCCATTGGGCTATTGTCTGTGTATTCTGCTCTCTTTAGCAGATGATCTGTAATTTGGTCATTGTTCTGTTATATTCCAGATTGCTCTACTTGCTAATATTTGTATAGAATAGAATTTATGTAAACTAGTAACCAGTTGATCTCTGTGCCAAATACATTATATCAGGATTACACAAAAAGTATCACAAAGGATGGTCTTGGCCATATGCTAGGGCCCCTGTGAAAATAAGTAGTTTTGAGAAGTTTTTCTATATACGTATATATACACGTGTGGTTCTATTTAGGTGGGGAAAAAATGAAAAAGCAGGGACAACAGGAGGAAATGAAGGCAGAGAAATATAGTTTCCTTTCCTAGGATTGAGACAATTCTATTTTTCATATACTCGTTGCTCATTAAATAGTAAAGGGTTGATTTGCTGCAAGAGTAGCTGAGAATTCAAAAACATCCTTGCAGAATGATTCAAAAGACAAAAGCCAGGCTCAACTTATAGAATGTTTTGGAAACTGGAAGTAATGATACATTTCACTTCAGAAGCACTTGTAGGTCTTTACTAGTGCTAAGTATTATGGTGAGCTATCATTAAAGTGTGCCATCTTGGATAAAGGCCTTTTGCCTACTCTCTTCTGCAATTTTGACACCTCAATATTCACACCCATAAACATTACTAAGCCCCAGTTCTATCGTTGGAAGGAGTTGTTATTCTTTTGTTGTTCCCTTATGCAATTTTTAATTCTATGAATGTTAAGTTTTTTTGAGCTAATGATAGATAGAAATGCCCACTCAAAGAAAAATAAACAGAGACAAATGTTAAAATTGCCATACAGACTGTTTTTCCCCCTGTTGTTTCACTTTAAAATAAAAAGAAATCCTTGATTAATCAGAATGGCTTGGGACATGAACTTAATTTATTTAGTTTTCTAATAAATGAAGGGCCAACTCTTATTTGTTCTAGCCCCTACTGATGAGAAACATTTGAAAACTTGCTTGCTCTCCTGCCTCGTTGTAGCTTTCTCTGATGAAGACTTCTGCAGTATATTGTATCCCTCACTCTATAGCAGAAGGTGTGTGTGGAATATGTAGACTCCAGTGTTTTCTTAGGAGGGGTGGGAAAGGGCTTTCTTTCCTCTCCTCTCCTCTCGTCTCCTCTTTCTTTCCTTTCTTTTTGCAACTAAACTGCTACTCTACACTTTTTATTGTTGTTTTCTTTGTCTTTTTCTTTCTACAAACAGGAAACAAAAAAAAAAAAAAACAAGTTTTTCTCAATTTGGAGACTCAATTGAATAATTTCCAGTATAATCAGCATTTTGATAGAATCTCACAACTTATTTTTCTCTGCTTTTATTTCCTGTTTTTCTTTGTTCCATCTTTCTAATTCTAGTGAAAATGCAAAGTCTAATTTCTCCCATGTTGAGAATAAATTTTTCATCTATGATTTGCTGATAGAGAAGAGCTTGGTAAGGGAGCAATTCAAGGAAACTATTTTGCCATGCACATTTCTGATCAATTCCCACAGATTCTGGTCAAATGAAAGATATTCTATCCAACATTTAAACATTGAAAAATTTAACTGAACTTACTTATCACTGATGTGTATTTATCCCAGAAATTAATTAATATCTGTGAAAAATAAAAATATTTCAATACTATCCGTGCTTCTTGGAAAATGAACTATAAAAAAGGGTCACAATTTTTCTGAAATTGGCATGAAAACATTCAAGATAAAAATAATAGACTAAACATTATTTTCTGTTATGCATAATTCTATGAAAAAGCAAGGTAATTTAAAAAGAGTTTTAAAATGTGTGTTTGAATCTTTTCCAATTTAACCAAGTGAGAAGTAGCAATGATTTACATTGTTATGATGATAATGTGAATAAGAAACCTTTTAGAGTATATGATTTTACATTGCTATCAAACCTATCAAAGAAAAGGCAATTGGAATTTGGAGGAATGTTT
This sequence comes from Homo sapiens, assembly GCF_000001405.40. Taxonomy (NCBI): domain Eukaryota; kingdom Metazoa; phylum Chordata; class Mammalia; order Primates; family Hominidae; genus Homo; species Homo sapiens. Next base: position 76,632,025 of record NC_000001.11, read on the forward strand.
GTATATATGCACATAGAGTCTATTTGTGTGTGTGTGAACGCACATATATATACATCTATATACTTATAACTATATATAAAAGCATATATATAATCCTATATTCTTCACTGGTGCATGTGAATCACAGAAAGCCCTATTTTAGACTTCATCTGAAATTCGTTGGGTTACATTTTGAATCCTGATGAAAAAAGCAAAAATCCAAATTAAATGGACTGATTGCTAAGAGTACGTAAAATCATATTCAAAAGCTGGCCAGAAGAATAAAGCTAGAGAAGCTGCTAAATCTAGAAAACACAATCAGATGCCACAGTTGTCACAAATCAGACTTGTAAGTATAGCAATCTGTATTGTAGGTTCTGCCGATTGCAGGCTTAGCTAAAGTCACATTGAAAAACATTGCATCAAGCTTCATTCACACTGAAGTAAATGAACATTGGTCCTCCTATTCAAATAAGCCAGTCTTTAGCATAAGCAAAATCCAGATTTGCATGATTTTTATTATATAGCTACAGAACTGTGACCACTGTGAAAAAGGAAAATTATACAAGGAGATTGCTCTTGGAGGATTTGGTATGAATCAGCTGAGGTAGGAACAAGAGTCTGAATTGGGGACCTGCTGACCTTCCAAGAAGTAGAAGGCCATCAGAAGAAAATCACTGTTACTTAGAGAAGAGACAACACTAAAGTACTTCACCTGGTAGTGTTAATTGGATGTTAATTATGAGCTCGGTTTAATTTCAATAAGCAAGAAAATATAATCAGATGACTGATTTAAAAAAAAACAACAACAATGTGCCCATCTAGCCTTTAATGTGACATGTCAAATGCAAATAATAAATTATGTTATTCAGTATCAGTTGTTTGCATGTCTTAGCACAACAAAGGATTTACAGTCTGAGGGCCAAGAGAGAAAAAATGCTTTTTTCTTAAAACAGCATATTTAAAAGACAAGACCTCATCATTTCAGTAGTGTACATAGATTAGTGACTGAAGGAGCCAGTGCTAGCCTTTTTAAGTAGGTCAGGCTTTTAGAGCTGAAAGAGATTTTAAAGACCAGCCAATTCAACTCCTACACCTTGGAGCTGAGGAAACAGACAGAGGTGAAGTGACTTGCCTGTAGTTATAAACTGGACTAATGGCAGTACTGAGACTCAAATTCTTGTCTCATGTTTTCTTCTCTAGTGCTTTTTCCACTACACTTTTTAGACAGAAGAGTAGCTGGAAAAAGAATGCCTAACTGATTTACTAAAGAGTCTATTCATGGAATCCAAGGGCTCCAAATTGTGCTAATTCTGCTCAGGATGAAACAAATCCCCACGCTGAAGTGGAGAAATATTTTCATAATTGAAGGAACATATCCCATTGATTGTCTACACTTTCTTCTCTCTGTTTGTTGCTATTGGTAAGGCTAGGCTATGTTCTGTTATCACAAAATTCTAGGACTTGTTTAAAGAACTTAAAGGTCAGTTTCTTAGTTTCTCTTTGTGATTGAGGATGAGCAAGCCATTGATACACCAAGAGCTGCTGAGTGTTGGAGGTTGCCTGGTGAAACTGGCAGGCCCTGTTGTTGACATTTCCCCAGAGCTAAAATGTCCTCATACTCAAACCAACTGTGCTGCCCAAGTTAGTGAAATTATCCATCAGCACTAACACCACCCTTTGGGTTCATGCTCATCCCTGCACTCCATGTGACCTTTGAGCCCAGATACCCTTCTAGAAGGTGAATGAAAGCCCCACATGTCCCGCAAGACTTAGTCTGCATAAAAGATTTAAAAGGATTTTTTTTTCTCTACAGTCCATTTATATGATACTGTTAGAAGTGAAGAATTTTGAAACTACATACACTGGCCTCTGAAAATGGTTCTTGTGGCTCAGAAATAGTATATTGTTCTGTTGCTTGTTTTTGCTGAACTGTAGAGAAAACACCAGAGTAAAATTCCATGTAAATTGCTAAGGCATCGAATCAGAACTGTCCTTGGGCGTTGTAACAGTGCAGAAAATCTCATTTAGTTTTTTTCTTTTTTTTTTTCAGTTAACTACTTGTTTGTTTCTTTTCAGAATAGGCACTTTTTTTTGAGTAGAAAACCTCTTCTTTCTCCACAGATACATCTCTTTTTGTTCACGCCTTGAAGACTTCAGAAAAATAGAAGCTCACTTCCTTCCATAAAGGTGAAGAACATCTTGATGAATAAACAGTCAACTACCAAGTTCACATATTTGCCTATGAAGTGAGAGCTATTTCTAAGAAACTTCAAAAAGATCAAAACGAGGCAATTTTATAGCTTTTTGTTACCTAATCTACAAAGTACTAATTTCCTTGTGTTTAGCTTTGTTGTCACTGTTACTGAGTAAATACCCATTTCTGTTACATATGGTACATTTTTTGCTTCACTTATTTTCCTGAGTTCCCATGATTTTTTTTCTGTAGTTTCTCATTCATTTTAAAACCCATAATCTTCATCTATTTTTAGAAGAAAGTGTAAATGCACAGTTGTACGTTTGTTGAGAGTTTTTATGGCATTATAGTGCTTTATTTATAAGCATTGTGTCTTAGAATAAAGCTTACAAAATGGCAAAGAGCTATTGGCATATTTCAGTTTGTTTTACAACAGGACAAGTAAGGATATGTTAATAAAGCCAGAGGGAAAAGGCGGTATGGGATTTTTTTTTTTTTTTTTTTTTTTTTTTTTTTTGAGACGGAGTCTCGCTCTGTCGCCCAGGCTGGAGTGCAGTGGCGGGATCTCGGCTCACTGCAAGCTCCGCCTCCCGGGTTCACGCCATTCTCCTGCCTCAGCCTCCCAAGTAGCTGGGACTACAGGCGCCCGCCACTACGCCCGGCTAATTTTTTGTATTTTTAGTAGAGACGGGGTTTCACCGTTTTAGCCGGGATGGTCTCGATCTCCTGACCTCGTGATCCGCCCGCCTCGGCCTCCCAAAGTGGGGATTTTTAATATACTTGATATCCAAGTCGGAAACATATCCAGAATACTACTATAAACAATAACAAGAGAAAATGTTGGTCTGCCTCTGGAATTTGTTTTGTCCATATTAACTATCTGATGCTGACATATATTTCTTTTTTTGCTGTGTCAGACATATTAACAAAGTTGGGTTAGCACATAAGCTGCATAGAACAAAGAAGTCTTCCTTCTTTCCTCCCTTCCTTCCTTATTCCTTACTTTCCTCTCTCCTCTTATTTTCTTTCTGCAAATCTCAACACTCTTGCAGTTGAATGTCAAATTTGGATAATTTTTCTTTTAACAAATCAGCTTATAGTTATCTATCCAACTCTATAAGAGATCCATATTTGGAAATGATCTCAAAATGAGAGTCATCTTTGGAAATAATAACTTCTACTTATATGCCAGGCTTATTAAAGGGCTGTGTATCTCATTCAGTTCCCCCAATACTTTATGAGGTACATAATGTTACTATCACCATCTCATATATAAGGAAATTGAAGCACTAGAGAGATTAAATAGCTTACCCATGGTCACACAGCTTTTGACGAAATGAGATTGGAACCAAGGCAGTTTGGCCCAGAGTCCATACCTATCTGGGGAAGGCTAATAAATGTAACCAATAACCCCCCAAATTTCAGTAGCTTAAGAGAATAAGATTTGTTTCTCCCTCAAACATAAATTCTACATAGATGCTCCTCTCCAACCAGCTTGTTTCCAAGGGTGACTCAGATACAAAGACACCTTCCATCATGTGGCTTTGCCCTCCTTGAGGTCCTTTGAGTCCTCTCTATTCGGCCTGCTAAAAGGGAAAGAGCAAAAAGGATCTTGTGCTGGAAGGTTTTATGGGCAAGCCTGGAAGTGATGTATATCACTCCACCCACATTCTATTGGCCAGCCTCACTCGCGTGCCTTGGTATGGGCAATGCTGTCTAAATGTGTAGGAAAAGAATTTGATGAACATGTAGCTCTTTCTGCCCTGATATTCTTAGTCATGATGACATAATAGCTGAAAAAGAAAACACTGAGTTTTGTGCAACTCTATGGGTGAGTTGTTTGTTTTGATAATCCTTGTTCAAGCACTAGAAACTTTCAGAAAAAAATTTTTGTGTATGGATATCAGTACCCACATCAGAACCAGAATAAACTAAGGAACAATATATTGCTCTAGGTCATATTATACCAAGAGAGAATATGGTTTCTTTTGCCCAAGGAAGCAAGAGAGAAACTGGCACACAAGAAACACTTCTAAGTGACTGAACTCTACCCACAATAGAAGTAACGTGACTTTTAATGTCTTAATGATCTGTGGTTAAAGTAGGATAGATGTGCCCTCACCTCTGATCAACCGCTTGTTTTTGTGCCTATTTCCCTTTCAAGATGTCACAGAGATTAGCCTTTTTTTTCAGCTCTCCTTTGGTATTCAGGTCTATGCAGTACTGTGATATTTTTACTGCATAAAATATAATTGCTATTTCTTGAATCTTAAATTTAGGAATTTCTCTCATCCATCTTTTTTATTTAACATTGGCATATGAACTTAATAAAAGTACTAATATGCCTTAAAAAGACTAGACACACCACAACATCACAGGGCATATTTCTATAAAGAGAGGACCTTATATGCATTCTCTCCCTCACTCTTCTTTACTTCCCGAGACTTTCTACTCTTTGACTTCATTTTCTTTAAGCTATCTAGGAATCCTTTTCCCTTAACACTAATAGAATTTTGCATCCTAGAAGTTTTTTTTTCACCTAATACGAAACTATTTGCTATCTTGGAGAAAGTACTTCGCATGTTAGCATATAAATTTTCTTAGTTTGTCCATTGAGAAAGATTAGCTGGGACTCTAAAAGCAATATAATTAGAGAAGAGAATCTGCCAATGTTTACCTTCTTTCAGAATAATGTGAAATTTCTTTTAAGGACAAGAAACTTTAGTGTCTAGTTGGTAAATGACATAGGTTTGAATCTCTTTCTAAGAGTTGTAATTGATGATAAGAATATTCTGTGGTTCTTTACAGGGATAAATTGTTTAGTTTAATCAGAGTGGTGGCTCTCACTATCCATAAGTCCATGGGCAAAAGTGTTGACTAATACGATCATACAGTGTACACCAGCCACCTTACACCATGCATTGTTGAGAGTTCTTGCTCTATATTTGATAACACTTTTCAAATATGCCATTTTCCGTGATTATAAAATTGCTTAAATATCTATATAATCTTTCAAAATAATTTTCCTACAAATGTCTAAATTTCTCTAGAAGTACAACATATACAATCAGATTTACTTGGAATGGTCTTCCTTAGTCAGTCATGTTTTCCTGCAAATTAAAATGGTTTGGACAACACATCTTTTGGTGATGCTGGTTATGATGAGTTTCCTTCCTAGTAAAAAAAATAAAAATAAAAAAGGGGGTGGGGGGAAATACTCCACAATCTTTGATGGATAAAACGGCATTCATGTTGGATGAGGACAACAATATCAGGCAAATGTATCAGTGAAATACGCAGAACTGTGCCTGGCCGTTCAATAAGGAACAACAGAAAAAAATTCAAACTTTCAACAGCACAACATATGGACTCAATAAAACGAAATGAAATTTGATAGGAACTAATGTAAAGCCAAACAAAAAGGCTTTTAGCTTCAGAAAATACAGGAGCATGACTTAATAACAGTAGTCACGGAAAATATTTGGAGGTTATAGGACACTGTAATAGAAGATATAGCAATGAAAAGGTCACTATGACCCTGATACATACACAAAGAGTCTAAGAACAAAACAGCAAGGTTCAGGACTGATCAGAAAACTTCTGGAAGTGTTTTTAAACCTTGTTTTTTGTTTTTGTTTTTGTTTTTGAGATGAAGTCTCATTCTGTGGCCCAGGCTGGAGTGCAGTGGCACAATCTCAGCTCACTGCAACCTCTGCCTCCTGGGTTCAAGTGATTCTCCTGCCTCAGCCTCCCGTCTAGCTGGAATTACAAGTGTACCCCACCATGCCCGGCTAAGTTTTGTATTTTTTGTAGAGATGGGGTTTTGCCATGTTGGCCAGACTGCTCTTGAACTCTTGTCCTCAAGTGATCCATCCACCTCACCCTCCCAAAGTGTTGGGATTACAGGCGTGAGCCACCGCGCCCAGCAAAACTTGTTTTTATTCAATGTCTGATTGGACAGATAATATATTTTCATTGTCAGAAACATTGAAGATGGAAAGGTATGATACCTATTATTGCACTTCCCAGGGTTCATTCGGTGTTTTTCTATAGATATTATTGATAAAAATACATATATAATGTTGTTTTATAGCCTGCTGTGTCTTCTTAATAAGGAATTACAAGCATTTTCTCAAAGTCATTAAATTATCCTAATATTCAGTAGCTACATTGTGCCCTAAGCTATTTAACGATTTCTCCCAGTCACTTTTCTTATATGCTAAACAGTTTTGTTAATGAATTTTTGAACATTTCTCTGATTATTTTTTTCTTTTATTGCATCAGCATACAGTAGTGCCTGCTTCCCTGAACCCTTGCCAAAAATGATGGGGTTCTTCAACCTTGCCGACTTCATGTATGAAAAACAAGGTTATCTTCTTTTAGTTAGCATTTAATTGATTACTATGGAAATTTAAAATTTTGCATATTTATAGGAAACTAACATCTCTTCTTACACGAATAAGCTCTTCCTATACTTTGCCCATTTTTCTATTGCAGCAGAAGTCACCACAATATAAAGAAACAGACAATTGAGAATTCTTTCAAAAAAGAGGAAACAGGTTGAGAGCAACCAGGATCATGTGGAAACTAGAAATTATATCACACCAGGAGTTGGAAACACTTAGCCAGATTAATAGAATGTTTTAGAGAGAACAAAATTCAAATACTTAAAAGGCATTAATGCAGGTGCAAAATTAGTTTTAAACTCTATGATTCTATTCGACATAATAGAGCCAATGAATAAGATTTCAGATTTTATCTCAGGAGAGCATTTAGAAGAGTCTAAAATTAGAGTGTGGATTTTTAGGATGAATGAAATTGTGTTATTTGCAGATAGATCACCCCACTTTTCACTAATTCATGTGTTTATGTATCTAGTTGAACTCAATGACCAATTAGGTCCCTTTCAAAGTACACGTTCTATGAAATAGGATGCAACTTTTATGCACAAAGGCCAGGTTTCACACTGAAGCTCTGAAAAAAATACACTAAAATGTTTACCCTTGTCTTGGCAGCAACATATTCAGAAGCCATCTCTTAAAAAGGTTATTTCTGATGATGGCAGATTTCACCTAGTTCATATTCAGAACTGGTTCCCAAGTTCTGGAAGTGCATTCAATTAACAGTAGGTATATACACACACACACACATACACTCCTTCTCTCCTTGACAACCTCCCCGCACCAGCCCCCAGCTCTACTACTGCCAATCATGATTTCATTCTCATAATACCTCACAAAAAGGTGTAAGTTCCTTTGCTTCTCAGTGCGAAAAATTCATTCACATTTTATACATCCATATTTTTATATACTTTCTATGTGATATGTATTTGAAATGTAATGACTCAAGAAAATTACATTTAGTATTATAGCATTTCTCATGTTGGTAATTTATGATAATGGTTGTCACTGTAGATTTAGGAGTCATTTATATTGTCCACCTTTTCCTATTTCTGCTAGATTAAATAAATTCTTCATATCGAGTTTTGTTGCATTTTTCAGTTTTCTTGTCTGTACCATTCCCTTTCAGTATATTTATAACCCTTTTATCTGGTCTTTGTAGTTTCAAAATGATGCCTTGGATATTTTAAGTTTAGAGCAATCAATGTCTTTTTCAAATTGCCCTCTTAAGATTTTTGTAAAATAATATTCTCCATAATACAACTTTAAATTACCTACCTTTTCCTTTACTAGACTTAATCCAAGAAGGCTAATTGAACATTAAGCATTTTAATCATCCCACACTGTCAAACCTGTCTTCTCATTACTGAGAATTGGATAGTTCATGAGCTTAATTGTGTTCCTGGCAACGTAACTAGAATGAAAGGTTGATAATATGATTTGTATATATCTAAGGAATTAGTCCTGGTCTTTATTGATAGCTAGGCAAAAATATCATCTCAACAAATATACATTAAATATAATCAAATTAATGGTACTTCATTAAAGCTTTGGAGAATACAGAGATGAGTAGAATGCAGTATTCATACTTATGCAGTTTACTGAAGAATTTTTTTAAAAAAACAAAACTTCCAAATAACCACAAGATGACTCAGAACAAGGTAATGGCCACAAAAGTGATGCAAACAGACAATGTTACATGTAATACAGAAGCAGAAGTATAAGGACACAATGATTCAGATATTAAAATTGTCATTGCATTATATGCACAAGTAGTGTTCAAATGTACCTATAGGGTGACTTAGACTCTCAGGATGGCACAGTACATGCTGGATTTCAGGAAGTTCATTTTGAACTGCTATTAGCAATGCCTTATAGAAATGGTTAATACAGAAGACAGTGCCAAGACATAAAGACGCTTTTATCTAACACAACATAAGGATCCCATGACAGCAGTGTCTTGTAGAAGAGCAATATTTGTTTGAAAATATAGGGCTTATTTTTGACAAATGAAATGAGAACTTTCATAGCATAGTAAAATGCTGAGAATTCTCCTATCTTGTCTGGAATCTGCTAGGGGGCTACAGGGTTCAGACAAGGCTCTAGTACTATTTTTAAATGTATTCATTGAACAAATAGCACCTTTCAAAGACATTTTAAAGTGAGCTGTGAATTCAAATAGCATATGATGTGAAACCAATGTAGGTGTAAATATGGATCCATTTTATCCCTTTTATCCATGTAAATCAATTAGTCTTGTATTATTATTCTTGATATGCATTCACTCTCAGCTTTAGGAGTTACCATGAATGTGAATTATGCTGATTATGCTTTTTCTTATGACAGTTTCATGTATACTTATCTAGAGTGCTTGAATGAAAATTTTCTAATGTAATGATAGCTATATGCATCTAATTGGAGACTTCAGCAGGGCCAAGAAACAGACTGTGAAAGCAAAAATCATAATATGCACCTGTCTCAACTTTTACCTGTTGTCCAGAGAAAATGTAACATAGGAACCACACTCTTTTATTTTATTACATAGATTGCATGTTCCAAATAATCTAGTCATGTCTTCCTGGAAGTTATCTATTAAGTCCCAGAAAAAAAAATTATTGTCTTACATAGTAGGTGATTTACTCTAGGTAGGCAAGAAGAGTAAAGGAAAGAAAAGATGGCTAGTTGCAAGATCATAAAGCAGTACCCTTCCATGTCTCTTTTCAATTTCTGCTGAAGTCTACTATTCTTTCCTAATGAGTCAACTTCTTTATATATTAGCTGAATTTCTCACCTAGGTGATCTCATGAGCTCCTGTCACTTCTGTAACCTACAGTCCAGAAATAGATCCATATTTGATTGATTTTTACTTTAACTGATTTTTTATAGCAATAACAAAATAATTCAATGAGAAAAAAATAGTCTTTTGACATGTGTTGCTGAAAAAACTGGAATCTGTATGAAAAGAAAAATGAAAAATTAATATGAAATGGATAATTTACCTAAACAGAAAAGATGAACCTATAAGAAAACAAAGGATAAAATCTTCATGATTTGGGTTAGGCAAAGATTTCCTAGAACACAAAAAGCAAAAATCATGAAAGAAAAATATTAACAAATGAGAGTTTATCAAATTTTTAAAATCCTTTTTGAAAGAGACTATTAAGAAAATGATAAGGCCCAGCCACAGACTGGAAAAAGTTTGCAATACACATAGGAGATGAAGGGTTCATATCAGATAGATAGATGATACATAGATAGATAGATAATAGATAGATAAACGGATAGATAGATATTAAAACTCAACAATTAGAAGACAAACACCTCAATTAAAAGTGCACAAAAAATTTGAACAGGCACTTCACAAGACAAGATGCACAAACAGCTAATAAGCACATGAAAAGATACTCAACACCAGAGTGAACAGGAAGTACAAATTAGAACTGAACATTCTTCTAGGTATAAGGGATTCACTGCCAAAAAATTCCAACATAGTTCCTGCTTTTGTGGAATTTACAGTGTAATGAGAGATACAATTAAATAGGCATTTCTAAACAATGGAATAAGTGCTGGGATGGGAGAAATACAAGTGTTTGGGGGATACTGTCTGATGGAGAAAGTCTTAACGTAGACAAGAGGTTGAGTAGTCAGGCAACCCAACATCGTTGGGTAGGCACACAACTCGAGATTGCTAAAATAGGCTTCCTTGGCAAAGTTAATTTAAACTGAGATCAGCATAATGAGTGGAAATGAATAGAGCAAAAGGGATGTGAAAAAGGCCAAGCATGGACTATGAATGGAATAATACAGGGAGTTATAATAAAGAAAGAAGGCATGACAAGTTCCAGAATTTGAAAGAAGTTTAGTATGACTGGTTGGAGGATGATATAGTTTGGATGGCCCCTCCAGATCTCATGATGAAATATGTTGGTGTTAGAGGTGGGGACTGGTGGGAGAAGTTTGGGACCTGGGGGAAGATCCCTCATGGCCTGGTGCTGCCCTCACAATAGAGACTGAGTCCTCATGAGATCCGGCTGTTTAATTGTGTGGCACCTTCCCCTCTCCCGCCATCTCTCTCTCTTGCTCTTGCTCTGGCCATGTGACATGTGTGCTCCTGCTTCACCTTCCACCAGGAGTAAAAGCTCCCTGAGGCCTCCACTGAAGCTGAGCAGATGCTGTCACCATGCTTCCTGTACAGCCTGCAGAACTGTGAGCCAATTAAACCTCTTTTCTTCATAAATTACCCAGTCTCAGGTAATTTTATGGCAATGCAAAAATGGGCTAACACAGAGGAAAACCACCGAGGTGAGAGGTGGAAGGTGGGGTGGTTAGAGATAAATAAGCAATTTAAAATCGAGATCAGATCACCCAAGTCTTACAGGCTGTAATATGGAGTTTTAACTTTATTATAAGAGCAGTGCAGCAGAAGTATGGAAAGGTTTTAAACAAAGGAGTATTATATTTGATAGGCTGCTTCGAAGGATCGTAGAAAAGGGAAAGAAACTAAGGACAATTCATATGTTTTTGGCTTGAATTGCTGGGCAGACATTGCTACTACTATCTGATAGAGAAAACATAGTAGAAGAAACAGTTGGAGATGAGTTAATTTTTAGACATGGTCAACTTGAGACACTTATAGGACATTGATTTACTTATAAAGCTCAAAAGATAGGTTTATCTTAAACATTTAAACTTGGGAGTCATCTACATAATGGAGAATAGGATATGAGAAGTGGTATGATAGAAATATGTACAGAAATGCCATAAAACCACAAAAGAAAAAGTAGCCATCTTTATTAGTTATCTATTGCTGTGTAATAAACTATCACAAATTTAGCAGCTTAAAATTATACCACAGTTTCTACAAGTCATGGAATACAGACATGGTTTATATGGGTTCTCTTCTTTGGGGTCTCTCACAAAGTTGCAAAGTGTCAACCCGGACTGACATTTCATCTGAAAGCTCCACCATGGAAGGAATCACTTTCGAGCACATGTGCTTTCAGCCATATTCAGTTCCTTGGTGGCTGTTAGCTGGAGGCTGTGATTAGTTCTTTGCTATGTGGGCCTCTCTGTTGGGACGGCTCACAATATGGCATCTGGCTTTATCAAAGTCACCAAAGGAGAGGATACTCTAGCAAGATAAAAATTACAACCTCTCGTAATCTAATCATGGACATGACATCCCTTCAATATTGATTTATTTTATGAGTCAGAGCCAAGTTCTTCAAGGAGAGAGAATTACACAAGGCCAGAAGTCAAGATAGTTGGAGAGGGGGGATATCTTATAAGCTACCTCCCTCTCTTAGTCTGTTTTCTTTTTTTTTATTATTAGTATACTTTAAGTTTTAGGGTACATGTGCACAATGTGCAGGTCTGTTACATATGTATACATGTGCCATGTTAGTGTGCTGCACCCATTAACTCGTCATTTAGCATTAGGTATCTCTCCTAATGCAATTCCTCCCCCCCTCTTAGTCTGTTTTCTCTTGCTATAACAGAATACACAAGATTGGGTAGTTTATAAAGAATAGAAATTTATTTCGCTCATAGTTTTGGAGGCTGGGAAATCCAAGAGCGTGACCTAGGCCTCTGGTCAGAGTCATCCCATGGCAGAAGGCAGAAGCAGGAAGTGGGCATGCTAGAGAGAAAGCACGAGGAGCTGGCTCCCTTTTAAAACAACCCTTTCTCTCTGTGACTAACCTACTCCCTTAGAGATGACATTAATCTTCATGAAGGCTCTGCTCTCATGACCCAGTTACCACCTATTAGGCCTCACCTCCCAGCATTGTTGCATTGGGGATTAAGTTTCCAACACGTGAATTTGTGAGACACATAAAAATAGAATACTTCCCGGCACCCAAAATTTATGTCCTTTGCATAATGCAAAATACATTCATTCTCCAATAGCCCTCAAATCTTAACTCATTCAGTTTCAACTCAAAAGTCTAAAGACTCGTTCAAATCAGATATGGGTGAAACTAAAAGCATGATTCACCTTGAAGCAAGGGATCTCCAGCTGTGAGCGTATAGAATCAAAACAAGTTATCTACTTCCAAAATACAATAGTGAGACAGACACAGGACACACATTTCCATTCCAAAAGGGAGAAATGGGCCGGAAAAGAGGGATACTTGGTTCCCAAGTAAGTCTGAAACACAACAGGGAAAACTACGTTAAATCTTAAAGCTGAAGAATAATCTCTTTCGATTCCATGTCTCACATCCTGGACACACTGGGGAGTTGGGGATTGGGCACCCAAAACCTCAGACAGCCTCGCCCTAAGGCTTCACTGGGCTCAGTCCACTCAGTAGCTCTCATCAGTTAGAGTTGCATGGTGGTGGCCCTACAGTTCTGTGGTTTTGGCAGTGGTGCTCTCCCTACAGAACCTCTGGGCATTGCCCTAGTTGGGGACTCCTTGTGTCTGCTTTGCCCCTGTAGCATGTCTCTGCCTAGGTCCCCAGGTTATCTGCAACATTATTTGCAATCCAGATGGAAGAAGCTGTGCCTACAGAATTAGTATCCTATGAACACTGCCAAGGTTTACAGCTTGTATCTTCTTGAGCAGCAGGTTGAGCCACACCTAAGCCTGCTTGAGATGCAGCTAGAACAGCCAAAGAATGCTTCATCAGAATGTGGGGAGCAAAGTCTTGAGGTATCTCTGGCCAGCAAGCTCTTGAAGGTCTTCCTGGACCCATTTCCCAAAAGCACTCTGCCCTTTTAGAGATCTGAGCCTATAATAGGAGGGCAGCCTGGAAGATCTTAGAAATGCCTTCAGGATCTTTCTCCCCTTGTCTTTACAAGTAGCACCTGACTTCCTTCTATCCATATTAATCTCTTTAACAAAAGGTCACTTGGTCATACAAAAGTTTTCCAAACTTTTCTATTCTGCTTCTTTTTTAATTAAAAATTTTACCTTTATTTTTTTCTCTTGCATGTCACTGTATGTGGTCAAAAGTAACAATGCAGCAGCCAGAGTGCTTGACTGATCAGGTATCTTTTCCACTAGATAGTCTAGCTCATCATATTCCAGCTCTTAAGTTCTGTATTTCATAAAGTCCTAGGACACAGACACAATTCAGCCAAGTTCCTTGCTACTTTATAACAAGATGGCCTTTTATCTAGTTTCCAACACCTTGTTCCTCATTTCTGTCTGAGACTTCATCAGAAAGACCTTTACTGTCCATAATAGTCTACCAACATTCTGGTCATAACCACTTAAATCATCTATAAGTAGATTCAGGCTCTCTCTAGTTCTATTGTCTTCTGAGCCCTCACCAGAATTGCCTTTAACACTTTATTCACTGCAGTATGGGTGTTTTTCTAGCTTGTTCCTCCAAATTCTTTCAGCCTCTACCCATTATCCAGTTCCAAAGCCACTTAACATTCTCAGGTATTTGTTAGAGTAACAACCCACTTCTAGATACCAAATGTTTTGTTTTAGTCTGTTTTCTGTTCTATAACAGAATAACTGAGACAGGATAGTTTATAAAGAACAGACATTTATTTGGCTCATGGTTTTGGAGGCTGGGAAGTCCAAGAGCATCTAGCAAGGGTCATCCATGGTGGAAGGGCTGAAGGTGGAAGTGAGCATGCAAAAGAGAAAGCACGGGCAGATCTCTTTTTATAACAACCCACTCGTTTTATAACTAGCCCACTACTTCAGTAACAATGTTAATCCACTCATGAGGACTCCACCCTCCTGACACCATCACCTCTTGTTAGTCTCCACCTTCCAATAATGTTACATTGTAAATCAAACTTCCAAGCCATGAATTTAGGGGACACATTCAAGCTGTAGCACCATCTCTACCTAGAAGATGTAAAAAAACCTTCTCAATAAGACACTTAAATCTGAGAAAACATATGTGAATTCTATATACTCAGTAAAAAGGAGATAGAATACTGATGACTTCACTTTCCATCTTGATCTACCTAGAAGACGTAAAAAAACCTTCTCAATAAGACAGTTAAATCTGGGAAAACATATGTGAATTCTATATACTCAGTAAAAAGGAGATAGAATACTGATGACTTCACTTTCCATCTTGATGTTTATTAGCAAATCCATATTTACCTTATGTCAAGATTGATCAAGTACCAAAATAACTAAAATATACAAAGTTGTAATAAATCAAGTATATAGTCCGAACAGAATGAACCCAGTTAGAAATAACCTTAGGTAGTTGACTTTGCAAGGAAAACCGAAATCATTAGGGGGAAAAGGGGACTTTGAAAAGTTACCTGTTTAAAAGCACGCAAATAACCTGTAAAAATAATACAGGTTAAGTATCCCTAATATGAAAATCTGAAATCTGAAATGCTCCAAAATCAGAAACTTTTTGAAAGTTGACATGATGCTTAAAGAACATGCTCATTGGAGCATTTTGATTTCAGATATTCACATTAGGAGTGCTCCACCAGTAAGTAAAATGCAAATGTTCAAAAATCTAAACTTTTAAACATTTTTGATCCCAAACATTTTGGATAGGGGATATTCAAATTGATTACACTTTTACAGTGGAGGTCACGGTGGTGAAAGGAAGTAAAGAAGAATGACGAAGTATGAATAAAAGTGTATTAATTCAATCTTTATTGACAGTTAAAGAATTAAAATCTGTTGCTAAACATGAGTTGTTTGTAATTTGGCTTCCCAAACAGGAACAAACACATTGTGAATTGAGAATCCCAGACACATTGGCACTGGATAGGTGCTGAGATGATGGAAAGACAGAAGTAATGAGAAATGCTTCAAGTTTTAAAAATTGATATGATGTCAGTAATACTGTTTCCAGAAATGCATAAGTCACAGGCTGGAAAAAAAAGAAGAAAAAGCTGAAATGACATTTTAAACTTAGGTTGAAGCATGTACACCAATGTGTATAGAGAGGAAATTATAAGATCTCAAAAAAGACAAAATATCTTTTTGATATTTGATATTCTGAATCAATAATATTTATTAGGCACCAAACATTCATTTATGCATTTAGCAATTTACTAAATGACAGTTGAAAGTTTAAGCAAAAAATAGTTTGGGACTTTTTTTCAACATAGGAAATCATATTTCAAATTAGTACTCAAGTCCGGTGCCAGGTTATCTATATCACAGCTGGAATGTGGCTAAGGGATAGAGAAAAAAAAATAAAATAGCTTCAGATCTCCACCACCTATAGCTAAAATAAAGTTGAGATTTCCTTTCTGGCTTTAATGATAGAAAGTATTCCTGACTTATGGATACAAAGTGACAATTTAGAAGTCTTGACAGAAAGAAGAAAGTTAACTTTAGAATACATTATAAGTAACAATTTCAGAAACTTCTCTCGTGACCTCTATCAAATGAAAAACTTGATGGAAAGTATAGGTATGAAACTGAATAAAAAATAAGAGACCTGACCAAAAGAAAAGATAGGAAAATAACCTTAAGTGAATTATTTCTCATTGCACGTATTAATGTTGGGTAGCTGTTAGTTTACTTTCTCCATCCAACATACATTCTTTTCTTTTCTTCTTTTTTTTTTTGAGACCAAGTCTCACTCTTGTCGCCCAGGTTGGAGTGCAATGACATGATCTCGGCTCACTGCAACCTCTGTCTCCTGGGATCAAGCGATTTTCCTGCCTCAGACTCCTGAGTAGCTGGGATTACAGGCACCTGCCACCACGCCCAGCTAATTTTGTATTTTTAGTAGAGACGTAGTTTCACCATGATGGCCAGGCTGGTCTCGAACTCCTGACCTCAGGCGATTTCCCCCAGCCCTGACCTCCCAAAGTGACATTCTTTTCTTTCTCTCTTCATCTAGTAACAAAATATGGTCATAAAAGTGGTTCTATAATCCAGGATGGGTTAAACTTACCATATCATATTGACCATGGGGATCGGTTGGAATAGGCTTCTATTCCAAGCGTGGACAATCAGATTTCTTCCCTGTGATGGATGTATAGATTCTTGGAGGAAGAACTGGCTCTTCCCAGTGATATTACTAGGAATATATGTTAACAGTCTATCTGACCAACAGCTATCTTACCGTAAATGGGAAAAATGCCTATGCTGCAAAGAAGTAAAAAGACAAAAGCTAGCTGGTGATCTTTTGAAACTCCCCCAACAAAAAAATTGTGACTGATGTTTATTTAAGAATGTTATTCCCAATTATATGAGCCAATAAATGTCCCTTTTCTTTTTTGTTTCAAACTGTCTAAGAACTAAATTGGATTTTTATTATTTGGCTGTTTACTGCCAAAAGAATCTAGACTAAGAGAGTCTACCAATAATATGACACTCCATATTTTGAAAGATGTTGTCTACTATATTGCACTTATTAAGAAACAAGTAATTTGTTTTCCACTTCTTATAACTGAGCAATTTTACATCTATTCTAAACTTCTAATCAGAATGAGAAAATTAGAATTACTAATGGAATTAACAGAATTCCAGCCAAAAGGAAAGAAGTACAATGCTTTATTTACTTTTAGAATCCAATCAAAGGTAAAGCATATGACATTTGTTAAGTTTCTCAAAATATTACAATACTTTTAGGACCTGCATGACTTCCCTTAAAGCATCCTAGGTTCCAGAGACCCCATTGTAGAAACTATGCTCATAAGAACAAATCTCTCACATAGCACTTACAATATAACAATATAACAGATTATTTACATGTCTATCTTCTATATTAGACCTTGCAATTTTTGAAGGTAAGGATAGTGGTGCTAGCCATTCCCTAATATCTATTTTTTCCATTCTTCCATATGGCCAGAGCCTCTACTTTTTGGCTGAACATATGGTTATGCACCTGGCAAGTGGGTATGGTCCTATTATTAAGATCTGGTCAAGGAAGTGTAAGCATGAGTGTTGTGTAAGCATGAAGCTGGAACCTCGCTAAGGGATAGCTGGCAGGCTGGGTGCAGTGGCTCACACCTGTAATCCCAGCACTTTGGGAGGCTGAAGCAGGTGGATTGCCTGAGGTCAGGAGTTCAAGACCAGTCTGGCCAACATGGTGAAACCCCATCTCTACTAAAAATACAAAAAAAAAATAGCCGGCATGGTGGCAAGTGCCTGTAATCCCAGCTACTTGGGAGGCTGAGGCAGGAGAATTGCTTGAACCAAGGAGGTGAAGTTTCAGTGAGCCGAGATCACACCACTGCACTCCAGCCTGGGCAACAGAGAAAGACTCTGTCTCAAAAAAAAAAAAAAGTGATAGAGGTTCCATTTAAGAAGTTGGCACAATCCATCCTATCTCCTACTGATTACAGCAAAAATTCCTAGAAAAAAAATTAAAGGAACTATTTGATAACTGAAAAATAAATAATGACAGTTAGACTGGGGATGGAAACAAAAACTTGAAGAACATCCCATCTAGCAATAAATTCCTAATTTTTGCTTTATGTGTGTGTGTGTGTTTCTCATCTCTCCTGGATTACACTCTAGTGTGGCCAAAATCCCAGAATAGTACAACATTCATGGTCAGATAAATCTCTAATAAAAATTCTTTCTTTCTCCAATTAGAGGAGCAGGCCCCTGCAGGATGGAGCTACAGTAATGAAGCTGCATCTCTACACTTGTGGTGGCAGTGGCGGCAGTGGCACTGAAGGTTCTTTTCTCTGAATCCTCCACTTCCAGGTAGACCCAATTGAGGGAAGTGCAATGCAACTCAGGGAGGCCAACCGCCTGAATGTCTGGACAGAATACCAGAAAAAGGTACCTCTGAGAGCCAGAGTGTATGACAGAAATCACAGAGATGAAGAAAGTAGAGAAAGGGATTATTCAAATCTGTATGAAAAATGGCATCCCTAAAAACTGACAACCTAATGTTACATTGAACGGGGAAAGGCCGGATGCTTTTCTTCTACATTTTGTAACAAGGAAAGGATGACTTCTTTCATCAATACTACTTATCACTTTGTCAGAAGTTCTAGCCAATGCAATAAGACAAGAAAAAGAAATAAAAGGCATAATATGGGAACAAAGGAATACAACTCTCTCTACTCCTAGATTACTAGATTGTTTATGTAGAAAATCCCAATAAATCTACAAAAAAAGAAATTCTAGAAGTAATTATGAACATTAGGAATGTTGCAGGGAAGAAAATTGGCACACAAAAGCCATTTGTGTGTGTGTGTGTATATATATACATATACATATATATGGACAATGAACAATTAAAAACTAAAGAAAAGAAAGATCATTTACAACAGCTTCAAAAACAAAAAAGAAATACTTAGGGATAAATTTTTGGGAGACAATTCTTCATGAGTATATCACATTATTTTATGTCTTGCAAGCAAGACACTGGCTACTACTTTTTCCAAACTATCCTTTTAAGGACATTTATATATTTAAGAAATATAAATAATATTTCCAGCAGGATTTTATTGTACATATAGACAAGCTGATTCTTAAACCTTATGGAAAGGCAAAGGAACTACACTAGACAAAAATCATTTTGAAAAAGAACAGAGAAGAATTACATTACCCAATTTAAAACTTACTATAAAGCTATAGTAAACAAAATAGTATGGTATTGATGAAAGGATAGATATAATAGATCAATAGAACAGAATTGGGACTCTAGAAATAAACCCATACACATCAGTTGAATTGAGTTTTGTCAGAGGTACGAAGACAATTTAATAAAGAATGGATAGTATTTTCAACAAATGTGCTGTAACAATTTTACATTGTATTAGTCACAGTTATCTAAAGGGAGAGAACTAATAGGATAGATGAACTTATGAAGGGGAATTTATTAGGAGAATTTACTTAGACAATCACAAGGAGGAGCCCCAAAACAGACCATCTGCAAGCTGAGGAGCCAGGAAGTCAGTCCAAGTTCCAAAACCTCAAAAGTAGGGAAGCTGATAGTGCAGCCTTCAGTCTGTTGCTGGAGGCCTGAGAGCCCCTGCCAAATCACTGGTGTCAGTCCAGAGCCCAAAAGCTGAAGAACTTGGAGTATGATGTTTGAGGGCAGAAAGCAACAAGCATGGGAGAAAGATGGAGGCCAGAAGATCAACCAGTCTGCTCTTTTCATACCTGTTTTTATGCTGGCACCTGATTAGATTGAGGGTGTGTCTGCCTTTCCACTGACTCAAATGTTAATCTCCTTTGGCAACATGCTCAGACACACCAGGAACAACACTTTGCAGCCTTCAATCCAATCAAGTTGACACTCAATGTTAACCATCACATATATTATTATACATTGTAGAAAAGAATACAAAATGGTACAGCCACATGGGAAACAATTTGGCCATTTCTTATAATATTAGATGGATACTTACCCTATGGCCTGGCAATCTTACTCCTATGCCCTTAAGAAAATAATTTATGTTCATAACAAAAACCTGTACATGAATATTCATATCAACATTATTTGTAATCAACCCAAACTGGAAAGAAAAAAGAAATATCCTTCAATAGGTGGGTGAATTAGTTGTGAACAGCCACACAATGAAATATTACTCTTCAGTAAAAAGAAATGAACTATCATTCACACAACAGCATGGATAAATCTCAAATGCATTATGCTACAGGAAAGAATCCAGTACTATATAATTCCATTTATATAATATTATTGAAAAGGCAAAATTATGGGGATGGAGAATAGGTCAATTTTAGCTAGGAGTTGGGTGGGTTAGGGAGTGACTCCGAAGGAGCGGCATGAAGGAATTTGGTGGATTATGGGATTGTTCTGAATCCTATTTATGGTGGTGGTTGCAAAATCTACATATGTATTAAAACGCAAAACTAAACACATAAGTGAACTTTATTGTATGTAACTAAAACAACCATAACAAAAAGTAAAAACTGGACAGCTGACACCCCTCCTTTGCCCTTTTACTTTGTCCTAGGAACGTGAATGCCAACTTGGACCACGGCGACATAGACGGTGGAAATTACCTGGAAATAGGCAATATGCTGGCTTATTCTTTTAGGGTTTTCAATTCCTAGCAGTCAAAACTATTGTAAATAATAGAATCTTTCATTTATGAGTCCCCAATAAGCTCATAAAAGCAGTAGACACATTGTGTGTACTCAATTAATACAAGACAAAGAAGGATTAATTTAATGAAGTGCTTTCTCTTCATTATCAAAACATTATATTCCTCAGTTTGGACAGTAAAAATATTCTTGGAATGATTTCATCAGTGAGTTGAAAGAGAAGTGCTGGCCGGGTGTGTTAGCACACACCTGCAATCCCAACACTTTGGGAGGCCAAGGTGGGTGGATCACCTGAGGTCAGGAGTTCAAGACCAGCCTGACCAACATGGTGAAACCCCGTCTCTACAAAAATACAAAAATTAGCTATGATGGCAGGTGCCTGTAATCCCAGTTACTCGGGAGGCTGAGGCGGGAGAATTGCTTGAACCCAGGAGGTGGAGGTTGCAGTGAGCCGAGATTGTGCCACTGCACTCCAGCCTGGATGACAAAGCAAGACTCTGTCTCAAAATAAATAAATAAATAAATAAATAAATAAATAAATAAATAAATAAATAAATAAGAAAGAAGTGCTTACCACCATCATTCTTCTTCCCTGGTAAAATAAAAGATTTAATTGAGCCCATCCTGAATAAGTCATGCATTATATCCACGGACCAACCACATCAAATAATCCATTCAACTGTTGTAAAACCATTCAATCTAAGGCAGTAAGACTCTCTCCTGGATGAGATTTCTAGGACTGACTGGTTAACTATGGGCTGAAGTGTGGAGCTTTCTCTTCTGAACCTGGTTGCAGTTTCATAATCCCCAGAAAGAGTTCCCTACCCATATTTTCCTGGACTGACCACCTTAGATTAAAACTGCTGTTTTAGAAACTGTGAGTTCCCAAATCTTCCTGTCTGTTGGAATCTTAAAATCTCTTTCTGCATTGACAAGAATAGGCATAAATTTAGAGTTGTTTTTGTTTGGAAATAACGTTTGGCCAAATCCTGTAAGCCTAACTTATCATCTTCTTGTGACTTCAATTGAAAGCAACTCAGACCTAAGCACTTTCTGCAGCAATCAGAAACTGCACTCCACCAATTTTCTTGAAATCCATTTCTTCATTCAATAATCATATATATTCCACAGCAAGGCTTCAATCTGGAATTTGGAAGCTGGCTCTGGTTTCCTTATGTCTAAGCTGTTTACTACAGTCTTCATCATATATATTATCTCTCTCTCTCTCTCTCTCTCTCACTCTCTAACACATACACACACACACACACACACACACACACTCCTGAGAGAGAGACAGAGAGAGAGAGATGGAAACAAGGGTTTGTTTTGGAAACAAGGGTTGTATTGAATACTTTTTTATATCCCTCTTTGCATCTACTCAGCCCTAGTATTTGCCTGGTAGTTAGTCTGTAATAAACACTAAAAATATTTCTTAAATAACAATTAAAAAATTGTTATTAAAAAGACTAGAAAAAAGAAATAAATATCATTATGCCAAGTAATAAAAGAAAAGGAAGAAGGAAGTAGCCAAACATTTGCAGCCGTGCATTTATCAGTTGTTTACCCCTCACTGGGCTTTTGGTCTATGCACAATGATTCCTCTGGCTCCATGGCTACCACTGTACTCTAGAGATCAGGCCTCTTTTCTAAAACAGATCAAAACCTGATTATAGTTTTGGATAAAAAATCAGAGGAGCACTTTGAGGCCTTAAGGCTTCTGAACTCTGACAACACGAGGATGTTGGATCAAAGTGTCACCAGGAGAACACCTATTTCATGTAGAATGAATTAATCCTGGGGAGTTAAAGGTTTTCAGAATTTCTGTATCTGACTCTCCTGACATTATTTTAAAGCTTTGATGTAGTTTAGCTGGTTCACTTTTCTGAGTCTATATTCATTTATCACAATGGTTCTTCAATAGCATTTTATGTTAGAAATTTTAACTTCTGAAAAAATTGAGTTTAGCCTTATTTCTTTTAATGGAAGACATCCAATAAAAATTTATTAATTCAGTCAGTAAATATATGTATATATTGTATGTAAGGCCAGGTGTTGCAAATAAAAGTACATATACCTACCATCTAGGAATTTACCACCTATTAGTAAAGATAGGATATATACATCAAAAGTTACAATTTGAAAAGCACAATAAGAGTTTCTGATCCCAGTGATGGCATATTAACTTTTATAAGACTAACCTTTACTGCCAAGAACAGCTGACAAGGCTGGATAAAATATGAACCAAAAAAAAAAAATCTGTTGGAAAACACCAGGGAGCCATCAAGAAACAAGGATATTAGGCACCAAAGTTCTCAGAGGGAAGTGCGAGGAGGTGGGCCTGACATTTAGTTCTGCGTTTCCCTTCAAAGCACTTGCTGATTTGTAGGCAGCCTCTAGAGCCTGGAAAGCTAACCAACGTTTTTAGCAGTCTCATAAGGATTGGGAGCAAAATGTTCAAGTTCAAGCCCAACAAAGAAAAGAGGCTCTGGGAAACATTCATAGCTTTTGGTTAAGACCCTTGAAGCTCAATAGAAGAAAGCTAACAAGATATAAACTAGCCCACATGAATCAACATTCTAATCATCTCAATCTGAAATTGAACTGCCCCCAGCCTAACTGCCTGCCAAGAAAAATTAAACCCTCTCTGAAAGAAAATAATATCAGCCAGAACCAAATTATTTCTGTATTTTTTCATATATGAAAAAAAACACAAAATCTAAAAAATAAATACATAAAAATCAACTACACAAACTAGTAGAAGAAACAAAGTAAATAGCAGACAATAAGACAATGAACATGAAGCTATGAGAAATATAAATATTGGAGTTATCATATATAAAACAAAAATTACTGTGTCTAGTATACTCAAGAAAAAAATACAGTATGATAAAAATTCAGCAGATAACTAAAAAATTAAATAGGAATTCTATAATTGAAAACTTCAAAAATTGAAAAAAAAGAACTCAATATAAGAGTTTCATAGCCAGCTAGACATAGCTAAAGAGAGGACTAAAGGGTGAACTAAAAGGTAGGTCAGTAGTGAATATCTAGGCTGAAGTACAAAAAAAGACTAACATACTTGTTATTGAAGTCTTAGATGAAGTAGACAGTAAGAATATTTATATATGGCCAAGAAATTTTCTAAAACAAGAAAACATCAATCCATGGGTTCAAGAAGTACTTTAAATTCTAAGAAGGAAAAATATAAAGAAAACAACACTTAGGCACTTCATACTACAACTGGAAAAAAAAAACAAGTGCAAAGAGAAAATCTCAAAAGCAACTAGAGGAAAAAAGATACATTAATTTCAAAGAAACAACTATTTTACAGACAGCTGGCTTCTCAACAGAAATGATTAAATCAGAAGATAATGTAACACTATCTCCAAAGTTCTCAACCTTGAATTTTATAACTAGCAATGATATTCTATAAATATGAAGTCAACACAAAGAAATTTTCACAGAAATTAATTTTTCACCAGTAAACCTGGGTTGAAATAAATGTCACATAAGATCTTAAGGCATAAGGTAACATGTCACACACAACTGGAAACAATGAAATGTAAGAAGCAGTAAAGAGTAATTGAAAGGATATATATGTAAGTAAATATTAATGGCATAAAACAATAGAAATGATAAATTGGTAGAATTTTAAATATATGTTCAACAGAAATATGACATAATAACTAGTAGGCATGAGTAGGGTAAACCAAGTTAAAGTTTTCCAAATTCCTTATACCATCCAGGAAATGGTAAAAGTACAAATTTATACTATATTTTAAAGTCAAACATTAATTGTAATCATGAGGTAACCACTAAAAAAATAAATAAAAGATTAAACACCTAACAAGCTATCCAAAATGGTAAAATGTAATAATAGGTAGTAATACTTAATCCAAAAGTAATATTTAATCCAACGAAGTATAGATGAAGAAACATACAATAAAAGGGACAAATACAATTGAAACAGTAAGATGACAGGTTCATATATATATCAATATATCAAGGAAATAAATGAAATAGGTTACATGACAAATAATGACATACACAAAATATTCTTTTTATAAGAGATACACCTTAAAGATAAATACACAGAATAGTTGAACATAGAAAAAAAACAGATACACCATGCAAACACCAGTCAAGAGACAGCTGATATATCTGGACCAATATCAAAGTAGACTTGAAGGCAAAAAAAAAGAATTACTTTTTCATGATAAAATGGCCAATCTATCAAACAGACATAACAGTTTTAAATGTGTATTCACCTAATAACAGACCCTCAAAATAAATATACAGAGTGAAAACTGACAGGAATAAAATGAGAAGTGAACAAGTTCACAATCCTACTGAGAGATTTTAACAAACTATGCTCAGTAACATAGAAAAAGCAATTGAAAAATCAATGTAGCCAAAAGTTGGTTATTTTGAAAAAACAAATATCAATAGGCTGTTTTGATTCGTGAGTCTTATCAAGGAACAGAAGATACAAATTGCCAGCATCAAAGATTAAAAGGGGATAACACTGCAGATCTTAGAGATAGTAAAAAGTTACTTAAAGAATATTATGAGCAGATTAATTCCTATATATTAAACATTTAAGATGAAATGGACAAATTTCCACCAAATGATAATTTATCAGGGATCTTGAGCCCCCTCACCCCAGAAAGACAATATAAAAGAGCATTTAGAGGGTGAAGAGAGAATTTGGAGGAAAAACTGTGAAGAAATTTCTTTGGTGAAAGCTATTGCCCTGTTTGAGTT
Organism: Homo sapiens; assembly: GCF_000001405.40. Lineage (NCBI taxonomy): Eukaryota > Metazoa > Chordata > Mammalia > Primates > Hominidae > Homo > Homo sapiens. The sequence goes on from NC_000001.11 coordinate 76,657,295, forward strand.
CTACCTTCTAATTCTAACCCCAGTAAGAAACATCTTAGGAAAGCTTCGAAATTGATTTCCTGATGTGGAGAAAAATGGAGAACTGGTGCCTGACCCCTATAGTGTGGATATTTGTCCCCACCCAAATCTCATGTTGAAATGTAGTCCCCATTGGAGCTTGGGGCTAGTGGGAGGTGTTTGGATCATGGGGACAGATCCCTCATGAATTGCTTGGGCCATATCCTTGGTGATAAGTGAGCTCTCTGAGTTCCCAGGAGATCTGGTTGTTTAAAAGTGTGCAGCACCTCCCCTCCCCCAAGCCCCTCTCTCTCTGTTGCTCCTGCTCTGGGCATGTGATGATGTGCCTGCTCCCCTTCACCTTCTTTCATAAGTAAAAGTTCCTTGGGGCCTCCCCAGAAGCAGATGCCAGTGCTATGCTTCCTGTACAGCCTGCAAAACTGTAAGCCAATTACACCTCTTTCCTTATAAGTTACTCAGTCTCAGGTATTTCTTTATAGCAATACAAGAACAGCCTTTACACTGACACACCCAAGACAAAAGGGTGTGGACTAGAGTCCGATTCCTAGTGGAAAGATCTGGAGGATGAAGAAAGACTCCCTGCCTTCTTTGGTGGCAGGGCCATGAAAGCAAATCTCTACAGTGATATGGCTCCACTCCCACAGCTTCTCAGAGCAAGGGGCCCACACAGAATATAGATCCATCAGCCAAGTCTGGCGAACTGCAGGAGAAAGGGATTGTCTTAATCTGCTCTCATGCTGCTTATAAAAACCTACCTGAGACTGGATAATTTATAAAGAGGTTTAATTGACTCACAGTTCAGCATGGCTGGGGAGGCCTCAGGAAACTTAAAATCATGGTGGAAGGGACAGCAAACAGGTCCTTCTTCACATAGCAGCAGCAAGGAGAAGTGCCCAGCAAAAGGGGAAAAAGAACCTTATAAAACCATCAGATCTCATGAGAGCTCACTCACTCTCGTGAGAACAGCATGAGGGTAAACACCCCATAATGAAATTACCTCCTACTGGGTCCCTCCCACAACATGTGGGGATTATGGGAACTTCATTTCAAGATGAGATTTGGGTGAAAATCCATATCAGGGATTCTCTAGAGAACGTTTGAAGAGCTCCATAAGAAGGAGGGCCAGCTGGTTCACATCTCTGAAGCCAACAGACCCAGAAGCCACATAGTCAAATAAGAACAGGTTTATTCCCTTACACTTTCTCCCTTCACACAGCCAACCCCAAGACCCCACTGGGAGTCAAATGGCAAAGAAAATGGGAGAGGAGGTTAGCAGAAGAACAGTAGAGAGTAGAAGGATCTAACCTGAAGCCAGGAAGAAGATCTGGGGAAACAGAGGAGATGTGACTGCTAAATAATATTTAGATCATTGAGTGTTACATGAGACAAAACATTTTAATTTCTGAATTGGAGCTTATTTTTGACATAGGTGACCACATTATATTACCTGAAAATGAACAGAAAAGTTGGTGCCTGTCAAAGTCTTCATCTTAAGACAGACGGAAAATCACCTCCATTTAATAAAGTTTAAAGGGATTGTAGGAGACACAAGTGTGTGCTGATCATAATTTTAAATTGCTTGTTCAATATAATAGTCACAGAGGATGATGATGACAGCTAAGATGGAAGAAAATGTAGAAACCTCAATGATCTGTGTATGGTGAGTTACCTATAACAAATAGGTAACAAAAATTAGAAGTAGTCAGGGATAGTCAAATGACATGAACTTCATAGAAAGAATAAATTTTGCCAAAATGTTGAAGAATAGTAGGCTGGTCCCATATGAAGGCCAGCTCCACCTCACAGTCAAAAGTTAAGTGGAGAACAGTGGCAGGGGCACATAGAAAGAAGAGAGAGAATGAGCAGCATCTGGCAGCCCATGGCTATACTTACCAATCCAACCCTCTCTGTGGTTTTCAAAAGACCTTGACCTTTAATCTAAAATTGGTATCTGTGCTGGAATCCTGTGTGGGAAATTGGTAAGCTGAGAACCTACATGGGTTCCAGGTCTGAACTTTTCAATCAGCCCCAACCTCTGTGGTCAATCTGTTGGCCTGGCTTCAGGCCAAGGCATCTGATTCCCACCCACTCATCCTGGGATTAGGTCCTTGTCCTGAAATGCTGCCCAATTATAAATTCCTCTCAAGACATTACCATGGCACTACTGTCAGCAATCTTTATTTTCTTTGGAAGAACCCTCTGAAGCACAACTCAGATATCACAAGACACTAAGAGCCAGTACAGCCAGAAATCTTCACTACCAGGTTCTGAGTTCTTCACAGATGGAACTCCTTAGAAAATAATACGGCCCCAGATTGGATTAGACTTGGCTTGGGACCACGTGATTTGTGATCTTCCCTAAGGAAGGCTCTCTCGGATTGCTCAGTTTTCCTTATCCTTCCCCTATGTCACCCTTAGCTCATATTCCCCACTCCTTCCCCATGGGAATTGTTGGCATGCAAATAAATACCATGACTACCCCTCAGAAAACCACAAGAAAATCTTTGTGGACAGGAGGAAGTGACCCTGTGGTTAACGTAAAAAATTGACAGGAGCTCTTTAAGGAAAGATGATGGATGAGTATAGGAGGTTCTCAAGCACAAGTCCCTAGGGGTGTTAAACAGGTGTTTAATTTATAATTTATTAAACTTTACATTGATGTGCCCTGCACTTTTTGTATGGGTATTGTATTTAACAAAAAAATATAGTTTTTAAGAAAGAGTGCGGAAAAATTTCTTGATAATAACCTGACATGGTGGAAAGGAAGATCAAGAGAAGAACAGTTGGTGAAAGTAAGGGATGGGAAAGATAAGTGATGAGTTTAGGGGAGGAGAAGGTGCTATTAGTAAGTAAAACAAATAAAAAGAGCAAGAACTTTAAAAGTGTCTATTATTTCAAGTATAAAGATTTCTGGGTCCTCTATTTTAATCCTCATGTTAAGTGCTATCATTACCCATTTACAAATGAAGAAATGAGGTTCAAAGAGGTTAACTATGTTGCTCAAGGACACAATGCTAATAAGCAACTAAATACAATTGTATTCCAGGCTGACCCCAAAGGCTGAGCTCTTTTCAAGTTATCAGAAAGCATAAGGTCTTCGGGTAGAAGTAAGAAGGCAGTTGGAGGAGCATAAGAAAATCAAGCTAGAACTTTGACACAAACTTGTTTCAACAGCCCAGTCTACCACAGCCAGAGTCCAGAGTATCCTGTAGGCTTCTGATTTTCTCAGATGCTGGTTCTCCTGCTTCAAATGCTCAGACTTGCCAGAGTCTGAGAGCTATTACCACCGTATGATCACAAGAAGACTTGCAATATGTAAAAGATGAGTGAAGCGGCAAAGGGAATGGGAATTGCAGATGACCTGAGAATAATGTTCAATAGGTAAGCAAAGCAGAGGGTCAAGAGGCAGGGACTAATACTTAGGTATAAATCTAACGAAACATGTTCAAGATCTATATGATGAAAACTGCACAACTCTGATGAAAGAAATGAAAGACTAAATAAATGGAGAAATTATTCCATGTTCACAGATAGGATGACCCAATAGTGTCAAGATGTCTGTTCTTGTCAACTTGATATATAGATTCAATGAAATCTCCCCAATTGATATTTTGTGGATATCAACAAAATAATTCCAAAGTTTATATGGAAGCAAAAGACCTAGAATAGTCACCGTGATATTGAGTTAAAGGAATAAATTTGAAGCACTGACATTACCCAACTTCGATACTTACTATAAGACTACAGTAATCAAGATTGTGTAGTATTGGTAAAAATAAACAAAGAGAAGAATGGAATAGAATAGAGAGTCCAGAAATAGGCCCACATGAATATATTCAACTGATCTTTGACAAAGGAACAAAGGCAACACAAAGAAGGAAAGAAAGTCCTTTCAACAAATGGTGCTGGAACAACTGGACATTTACATGCAAAAAAATCAATCTAGACACAAGCCTTACACCCTTCACATAAAATAACTCAGAATGAATCACAAACCTGAATGTGGAATGAAAAACTATAAAACTCCTAGAACATGAGATAGGGGAGAATCTAGATGACCTTGGATTTGGCAATGACCTTTTTGATATAACACCAAAGGCACACTTCATGAAAGGAAGAATGAATAAGATGGACTTTATTAGAGTTAAAATTTCTGCTCTGTGAAAGGCACTGTCAAAAGAATAAAAAGACAAGGCACTGATTAGGAGAAAATATTTGTAAAAGACACATCTTCTAAGGGATTGTTATCTAAAATACACAAAGAACTTTTAGAAGTCCACAATAAGGAAACAAAAAACAGATGAAAAAATGAACCAAAGCCCTTAATGGACACCTTGCCAAAGAAGATATGCAGATGGTAAATAAGCATATGAAAATATGTTCCACATCTTATGTCGTCAGGGAAATGCAAATCAAAACAACAAGACACCACTCATAGTGGTATACTTAGTAGAATGGTCAAAATTCAGAAGACTGACACTAAATTCTGGGAAGGATTTTGAGCAACAGGAACTCTCATTCATTGCTGGTTGGAATGCAAAATAATATAGCCACTTTGGAAGACAGTTTAGTGGTTTCTTACAAACGTAATATACTTTTATCACACAATCCAGCAATCATGCTTCTTGGCATTTACCCAGGTTGAAAACTATGCCCACATAAAAACTCACACATGGAGTTTTATAGCAACTTTATTTATAATTGTCAAAACTTGGAAGAAGCCAAGACATCCTAGGTGAGTGGGATAAATAAACTGTGGTACATCCATACAATGGAATTTTATTCAGCACTAAAAAGACATGAGTTATCAAGCCATGAAAAGGCATGGAAGGACCTTAAATGCAAATTATTAAGTGAAAGAAACCAATCTGAAAAGTCTACATGACGTGTGATTCCAAATGTATGACGTTCTGGAAAAGGCAAAACTATGAAGACAGTAAAAAGATGAGTGGTTGCCGAGGGTTAAGGGGAAAGAGGGACAAGTAAGTGGAGCACAGAGGACTTTTAGGGCAGTGAAGCTACTGTGCGTGATACTATAATAGTGAAGACATGTCATGGTACATTAGTCCAAATCCACACAATGTACAACACCAAGAGTGAACCCTAATGTAACTTATGGACTCTGGGTGATAATGATGTTAACAAATGTACCATTCTGGTAGGGAATTTTGATAATGGGAGAGGTTGTGCATTAGTAGGAGCAACAGGTATATGGGAAACCTCTGTACCTTCCACTCAATTTTGCTGTGAACCTAAAACAGCACTAGAAAATAAAGTATATTTTAGAAGCAAAACCAGCAGCTGGTATTAGGCCAACGAGATAAATGGGAGGGAAGGCTCAGGTAATTCCTCAAGTAGACCCCATCACCCATTACCAGCTTTTGTGTGCATGATGAGTGAGCTGGTTGTGATGAAAGGGACAGTGTTAGAGCACGATTGCCACACTCACTGCTGTTCTGTTACTGCTACTGCATTTCTTTTTTCTCTCTGACTTCTTGGCTTGATGCTTTTTTTTTTTTTTTTTTCAGATTTGTGTATCTTTTATTTCCCTTTATTTTTCCTGTGATCCTTGAAGTCACCAGGACACTTTAAGGAACCTCATTCATGAATGGCAAAGTCCATGAACTTTCTGGTCACATCTCTCTTCTTGGTCTCGCTGACCATATTAGTTACTCGCTAAACTGATTAGTTAGTAGACATGGAAGACTACATGCAATATTCTGGTCATTACCTGCTTCCAATTTGACTGATATCCACAGGAATTTCTGATGGCACCCCTTGCATTCCTCTTTGGTTGGCAAGTCTGCTGGTCTGCTCTTAGCATACCATCTTGTCTCAGGTTTGGGGTTGCCAGAAAAATCTAGTGAGCTATTTATGAAGAAGCCTGCCCTTCTGGAAACAACATATTCTCTCTTCTACATTCTATTTTGCTTTTGTCTCTTAAACGTTACTATTTGTCAGATCTTTCTGCCAGGGATTAAAGCCATGCCTCTAATCACACCAAAGCCCGCATAAAGTATATTATAACACTTTTAAAATTACAGGCAGGAGAGTAGTAATTTAAAATCGAGGCTCCATAATCAGAAGACATGGATTTCAAATCCTGACTCCCATTTACTGTGTGACCTTGTACAAAACACTGATGATGGTAAAAGTTGTGCTTGTCTGTGGTGTGATGGGTGCTTACTCTGTGCTAGGCATTGTAGCTAAAAAAAAATCAAGTTATTTCATAGAGCAGCAATAAAAATCAGAGGAAACTCAGTAAACACCCACATTTTTGGATGAGAAATCTGAAGCTTTTCAGATTCAGTATTTATAAAATGTATGACTTTGGGCAAGTTACTTAATCTTTCTAAGCCTCATCTACAAATAAAAATATCTCATTTCTGTAGCTACATGATTAAAGGACTTGATTCCTGGAAAGAACTTAGTCCAAACTGAGCCAATATGTTTTATCTGCTAAAACTACTGTTATTACTTTTCAATCTTCCATATGTGAATTACTTATATCTGATATACAAAAAGAAAAAATTACCTGGCCAATTAGATCCAAAAGGAACAACCAAATTGAACTGTTCAGACCAAAGTATTCATTTTGGAGATAGTCAACAATATGCATTTCAATTTGCAGTATGAAAGCAGAATCCAACCAAGGCATAAGAATAGGTGTCAGGTTGGAAATAAGCAAACAACCTGGAATCACTTTAAAAATACTGGAAATGGCCAGGCGTGACGGCTCACGCCTGTAATCCCAGCATTTTGGGAGGCCAAGATGGGTGTATCACGAGGTTAAGAGATCGAGACCATCCTGGCTGACACGGTGAAACCCTGTCTCTACTAAGAATACAAAACTTAGCTGGGCGTGGTGGTGCACACCTGTAGTCCCAGCTACTCGGGAGGCTGAGGCAGGAGAATTGCTTGAACCCAGGAGGTGGAGGTTGCAGTGAGCCAAGATCATGCCACTGCATTCCAGACTGGCACAGAGTGAGACTCCATCTCAAAAAAAAAAAAAAAGTACTAGAAATGTCCCTGGGTCACTTAGTGATAGATAATTAGGCAGACAGATGTTCTTTCCCACTTGCTTCCTCATTCTTACTTCTACACTCAACTATCTGAGGAAATTCCAGGTGCCATAGCCCTTAATCCAGTTCATAGTCTCTACTATGGTACATCAAGCCACCCACATTCAGCTTCCCCATTGAGGACCACATATATGTAGTCACTCTTGCTTAGTCGAGTGTTTTGTTTATCAACCCGGTTTCACAGTTTCAGAGGAAGGAATCAATGTAGTAATACTTCATTGAATGCCAGACATTGTGGACTTCATTCATTGGAGTATTATACATATTTGTAGGTCTATTAAATATTTTTGATCTTCAAAAAGTGTGTGAAGGACATGAACAGACACTTCTCAAAAGAAGACATTTATGCAGCCAAAAAACACATGAAAAAATGCTCATCATCACTGGCCATCAGAGAAATGCAAATCAAAACCACAATGAGATACCATCTCACACCAGTTAGAATGGCAATCATTAAAAAGTCAGGAAACAACAGGTGCTGGAGAAGATGTAGAGAAATAGGAACACTTTTACACTGTTGGTGGGACTGTAAACTAGTTCAACCATTGTGGAAGACAGTGTGGCGATTCCTCAAGGATCTAGAACTTTAAATACCTTTTGACCCAGACATCCCATTACTGGGTATATACCCAAAGGATTATAAATCCTGCTGCTATAAAGACACATGCACACGTATGTTTACTGCGACACTATTCACAATAGCAAAGACTTGGAACCAACCCAAACGTCCAACAATGATAGACTGGATTAAGAAAATGGTGGCACATATACACCATGGAATACTATGCAACCATAAAAAATGATGAGTTCATGTCCTTTGTAGGGACATGGATGAAGCTGGAAACCATCATTCTCAGCAAACTATCGCAAGGACAAAAAACCAAACACTGCATGTTCTCACTCATAGGTGGAAATTGAACAATGAGAACACATGGACACAGGAAGGGGAACATCACACACCGGGGCCTGTTGTGGGGTGAGGGGAGAGGGGAGGGATAGCATTAGGAGATATACCTAATGTTAAATGACGAGTTGATGGGTGCAGCACACTAACATGGCACATGTATACATATGTAACTAACCTGCACATTGTGCACATGTACCCTAAAACTTAAAGTATAATTAAAAAAAACAGAAAAAAAAGAAAGTATTAGTAACTGAAAAAAATAACGTCTTTTCTATAGTGGACATCATAAACCTTACTGTGGCTCTCTCACACAATTATGAATATCTAATGTGTTTTCCAAATTAAGTTTCATAAGAATTCTGTATAGTTTTTTAAAAATTGAATTTTGATTGTTTTTTGGAAACCATTTAATCTGTGAGATAATTTTTTGCTACTTACATTAATCTAAACATACTTTATATATCATATTTTTCTATTATTCCCTTAATTGATATTATTAATTTCCTGGGGTCAAATAGGTTTGGAAATGCTAAACTAATAATGTAAAAGTACTTTGAAACCTGTAAAATGCTTTGTAAATGAAAGATTCTATTATTGTAAAAAAAAAAAAAAAAAAAAAAAAGAATTCCTAGGATGCCAAGCAGCAAGAAAATGCGAAGAAAAATCAATTAAAACTGACCGGGAGTTGACACAGATGTTAAAATTAGCGGATACAGAGATTATAACTATTGTTAGAAGTATTTTCCACATGTTCAAAAGCCAAGTAAAGACATCAAAGATAGTTTAAAAGACCCATATCACATTTCTAGAGATGAAAACTGCAATATATGAGATTTAAAATACACTGGATAGAATTAACAATAGATTAGACTAATTGCAGAAGAAAAAATCTAGTGAGCTTGAAGATTTGAAGGAGGCAGAGATGTAGGCATATGGATATCTGAAGGAAGAATGTCCTAGGCATTACTAGAAATTATAAGTGGAGAGATAATGATTTTAATGTACTTAACATAGTATTTAGCATTTAACCAGCATTCAAAAGACAAAAGTTTATATGTATGTATAATACCCATATATATATGTGTATATATGTATATGTATGTATGTATATGTATGTATATTATATATACATATATGCATATATATGTATGTATAATACCCATATATATATATATATATATACACATATATATAAAACCTCCTGTAATCTTCACAAGAACTCTGTAAGTTAGATAACCTCATTTTATTATTAAGAGAGCAGAGGTTCTAAGGAGTTGAAATATATATTAATGCAAGGTCATCCAGAGACCAAAATAGACACACATTTTGACCTCAGACTAATCCCAGCCCTCAAGTCTGAAGTTCAGCTGATCTACACTGGGCGTGGCTCCAACCTCAGGGCTGGGATCAGGTCAGCTCTATTCATATTCCTTGGATTAGCAGCTTCCTGGAACATGCTCTTCTCATGGTGAATGGCAGAAACATAAGAGAATGAGCACAAACACATGATACCTCGAAAGCCTTGGCATTGAACTGGCCCACTTTCACTTCAGCCAACATTTTGTTTGCAGAAACAAGTTGTATGGCTAAGCCCCACATTAATGGAGCAGAGAATCAGACTCTGGAACTCTTGGGAGATGTATTCACAAAACTCACATGCCAAAAGGTATGGTTGTAAAATTATAACATATGGAGAGGTAAAGAATTAAGAATAAGAATCTAATCTACCATACAGAAATAGAGATATACAGTTTTACAGAATTGGAAAAGCCTGCATCCTAATTTTAATTCTTCCAAACACTATAAATTATTAAGAAATGTAGAAAGATATGAGGAGGAATAACATTTCCAACTTCTTTTACTTTTGGTAAAAGTTTTAAAGTTTTTTCATTTGCTATTTTGCAGTTGTAAGTTTCCCCAGGTGAATTAGTCCATTCTCACACCGCTATAAAGAACTACCTGAGACTGGGTAATTTATGAAGAAAAGAGGTTTAATTGATTCACAGTTCTGCAGGCTATACAAGAGGCATGACTAGGGAAGCCTCAGGAAACTTACAATAATGGCAGAAGGTGAAGGGAAGCCAGCATTGTTCTCAACATGGTGGAGCAGGAGAGAGGGAGAGAGAGTGAGAGGGAGGAGATGCCGCACACTTTCGAACAATGAGACCTTATGAGAACTCTGTCATGAGACAGCACGGGGGGAATGGTGCTAAACCATTAAATACCATGCCCGTGATCCAGTCACCTCCCTGCAGGCCACTCCTCCAATACTAGGGATCACAATTCAACATGAGATTTGGGTGGGGACACAGAGCCAAACCATATCACCAAGGATCAATAAAAATAATTATGAACCTAAATTTACTGTACTACAGGAAACCTAGGCAGCAAATAAGGAACACTATGAAGGGGTGACTTTAACTTTCCAGAATACACAAAGATATATTATTAATTATTCTGAGAGAAATAATTTCCAAACTCCCCTGTTAACAAAAGATAATGAAATCTTCAGACAAAAAGGGAGAGCTTTATTTTTACACACAAATGCACACAAACACACATGCGCACTCACACACACACACACACACACACATCTGCAGACTAGGGGGGCATAGCTTTTGGTGAAAGTGAAAGTGTGCTCTCTAAAGAATAAATGGAGGATCTGGCTTAAAGTTCTCACCCCAGTTGGAAGTTTGGTCCTTTTTGCAAATGAAGGATTCGAACTTGTTCTGCTCTGATTTGTCAAAATAGTCAAGCTTTGACTGAGTGGCTTCCAAGCCCCAAACCAGAAGTCTTTGTCAGATGTTTCTTTCAAATGTCCGTTGCGGGTAGTGGGGAGGGGCTTCTAGCCACAGTTTATCTTGGCACTGACAACAGAAACTAGTTTAGCTTGATTGTAGAAAGCGAGGTCCTGTGACACTTTTACAACATCCTTCTGAGAATACAGAGCGCATGACTGCTCCCTCACCCATCCATGACCAATTGGTTCTGTTTTAACTTCGAGCCTCTCACTTAGCCACTGGGAGTCCATTTTGTCTGTCAGCCAGGGGCACACTTTAACAGACCCCAGAATAGATGGACCATGTAGAGAAAATGGCCTATATTCTCAAGAGATTCTAAAGCAACCCCAAATGAAAAGACTGAGCCTAACAACAACAACAACAAAAAGAATCAAGAAGGAGGTGAAAAACACGACTTTTTCTGCTTAAGAGGGAGACTTTTATAAAATGCTTCCCTTTGCCCAAGGTCAAAAACAAAACAAAAGAGAATTTTAGATCTATTATATTCAGGCCAACCAAGAGCTTCTTCAAGCCTGAAATATTTATTTCCAACCTAGATTATCAGACAGCAAGAGTTAGAAATATAAATCTTGTGTCTTCAGATAGCCATGTTCCTATTAAAATGCAATATAAAGTATTGATAAAATGAAATTCCAGTTTGGGAACTGCTAGGTGCCTAACCTTTGCCCTGAAGAGTATTTTTGGGAATAGTATCAATTTATAATAGTGATGGTATAAACCCTTTATCTTCTAAATGCTTTGGACTCAAAGACCATGGGATTAATTATACACTGGGAGCAACAATTCATGAATATTTAACATCCTCATCTATACTTAATGAATAAATTTGCATTTTGACACTATTATTTAACGTGCTTTAAGGAAATACTGCTCATACCTTTCAATTTGGTAGATTAGTTGAATGTAATCAGAATGATAAGGCAAGAGAGATATAGTATTATTTAAATAACCTTGTTTTTTATGACTGCTTCTGCTTCCATGAGTTTGTTTCCCCCGTTTTCTTTTATGCAACTAGGTTTACTTCATTTTACTCTGGCTGTTCTGTCTTAATCATTTTGCCTCTGTGGTTCTTGCAGAAAGGAGTTTCTTTAGATTCATGGAAAAACAATGCAAATTAAATAATCAGTGTTTTGCTTCCCTATGTGTGTTCTGTAACAGGGCATTCTCTCACACAAAATATCCCAATGCAATTGGCAGTAATTGCGTCCTGAGCTGGCAGTCTCAGCAAGGCTGCCACGACCCACACAGCAAGCTGGGAGAGTGGCAGAATCAATGGCAGTGAGCAAAGGTCTCTGAATTTCCCTAAGAAAAATAGAATCTCAAGGAATCAGGGCTGAGAAAAACTGACAAGGATGTTGTGGAAGATAAGCTTTTGTGTTTGCTTGTTTGTTCGTTTGTTTGTTTTTTAATCTTTGGCTTATTGTGCGGGCTTTTTTTTTTTTCCACAAGCAATGAATTTTTTCTTTATGAGGTGGGCACCTAATATACATATCCACCTTAGGGAGTTTAGACACAAGAGCTTGCCTTTAGAAATCTGATTTTCACGAAGAGCCCATAATCTTTCCAAAAGGAAGGGGGCTTTGAGACCTGTGACCAAGCTCTTGGAAGTCAGAATTAAGACTTGCCAACAAAGATGAAGGACAAAATTGGACAAGAAAAAGAGGAAGGGGAAAGAAATGAAAATCTAGATGCCTGACACTGTGCCAAATGATTGCATATATAATCCTATTTAATCCTTTCCTGTGAGGTTTCTATTATCATCATCATTACCACTTCACAAATGAGGAAACTGAAGCTCAAACAGGTTAACATCAATTGTAAAAATTCAGGCTAGAATTTGAATCCAGTTCTGTTGGAACCAAAAATTCACTTGCTTTCCTCCATTCTCAATTAATGGGTGCTTTAAAGGAGCTTGCTGTCAAATATACCAGATGCCTTAGTTCATTCAGTCTGCTATAACAGCACACCATAGACTGAGTGGCTTATGAACAACTGAAATTTATTTCTCACAGTTCCGGAGGCTGGCAAGTAGAAATCAACTCGCAGATTCAGTGTCTAGTGAGAGCTTGCTTTCTCATTCACAAATGGCTGTGTTTTCACTGTGTAGAAAAGATGAAGAAGGAGCTCTCTGGGGCCTATTTTATAGAGATACTAATCCTATTTTATAAGGCTCTACCCTCCTGACCTAAACACTTCCCAAAGGCTTCATCTCCATCACATTGTGGGTTAGGATTTCAGTACGTAAATTTTGAGGGAACACAAACATTCTGTCTATAGCACCAGGGTTGAGCATGAAAATGCCACTTGCTCAGGAAAATACTCCCAGCACCCCTGTCCTGGGTCAGGTTCTATGTTGATCACAATGTGTGATTATGTATGTGTCTATGAGATATCTACTCCTTTCCTCCACACACTTGACTGTAACTTCCAAGAGGGCAGTGTATTAGCCTGTCCTTACATTGCTATAAAGAAATACCTGGCTGGGTGCAATGGTGCAAGCCTGTAATCCCAGCACTTTGGGAGGCTGAGGCAGGTGGATTACCTGAGATCAGGAGTTTGAGATCAGCCTAACTAACAGATGAAACCCTCTCTCTACTAAATACAAAAAATTAGCTGGGCATGGTGGTGGGAGCCTGTAATCCCAGCTACTTGGGAGGCTGAGATAGGAGAATCGATTGAACCTGGGAGGCGGAGGTTGCAGTGAGTTGAGATTGTGCCATTGCACTCCAGCCTGGGCAACAAGAGTGAAACTCCATCAGAAAAAAGAAAGACAGACAGACAGAAAGGAAAAGGAAAAGGAAAGGAAAGGAAAGGAAACGAAAGGAAAGGAAAGGAAAGGAAAGACCTGAGGCTGCATAATTTATAAAGAAAAGAGGTTTAATTGGCTCATCGTTCTACAGGCTGCACAGGAAGCATGATGCTGGCATCTGCTTCTGGTGAGGCCTCAGGAAACTTACAATCATGGCAGAAGGTGACAGGGAACCAGTATGTCACATGGGGAGAGTGGGAGCAAGAGACAGAACAAGGCGGGGGAGGTCCCAGACTTTTAAACAACCAGATCTGATCTCAAGTGAACTAACTGAGTGATAACTAACTTATCACCAAGGGGATGGTGCCAAACCATTCATAAGGGATTTGCCCCATGATCCAGTCACCTCCCTCCAAGCCCCACCTCCAACCTTGGGAATCACATTTCAAGATGAGATTTGGAGGGGACAAATATCCAAACCGTATCAGGCAGGAACCACTTTTGCTCACCATTGTATCCCCAGCACCCAGCAGAGTGCCTGACAGGAAGTGGGTTTTCTGTGTGTATGTGTGTCTCAGTTTCTTCATCTTTAAAATTTTGGTGAAAAATATCTATTTCACAGTGTTTATGTGATAATTAAACAAGAGAATTTACATAATGTGACTTTCACAGAGCCTGGAAAACAGAGTGCTCAATAGACAGTAGTTTTAAAAAGTAAAGATGTGTACGCCACTCTGGGCCCATGGAAAAGGGCCAAGGCCAGGTTTTGAGTCTGGGTATTATACTTGAGGGGCTCTGAACCAAATACAGATGCTCTTAATCATTCCCAAGACTGGTGTGACCTAGGAAACCAAGTAGAGAACTATAAAGAATATAGAAATAGCAGGTAGAAGAATCAGTCTTACCCTTAGGGTAAGATGTGAACAGACTAGATAGCATAAAAGTCAATAATGACTAAATTTCAACCCTCTGTCTTCATGCAGCCTGTGTAGCTACTCACTGTGTTACCCAAGCACAAATGTAATAGAAGTGGGGAAAATAAAACACTTTTACAAGCTCTACCACAGCCCACAATTCCACTACCCTTCTTTCTGATGGAAGGATTCTAGCTTTCTAGGTTAGCTTCAAGGTGTCATTTACAATATTTCAGAGTTGAGGCTGACAAACTTGTGAGTAGAGATGCACAATCTAATCAAATGGCATTAAAATGACTTAAAAAATTGTGACTCATTGCTATAGAAATTCAGAGTTCACTCAAGAATTGAAAGTTTTTGAGCAAATGGCTCCTGTTGCCTGCTATTCAAAGCAGATGTCCAAGCACTTCTGTCCACTGCATCTTGGCATCAGAGTCACCATGAAAAACACAACACAATCAGGCACTGGACAGAACAAAACTTTGCTCATATAGAGAAGAGACAGAGCAAGATCAGCTTCAGCAGAGGTGTCAGCCCCCTATGCCCAAGGGGTCCCTCCGGGCAGCAGATACCAGGCAATTGGCCTGCACTCACCCTTCTTGCTGCAGCAGAGGGACCGTCTTCTCACACAGCCTAGTTGTGGTCAAAAGACTGCATGCATGGAACTGCCTTTCCCAGCAGAAGTTAACTGACATCTGAATAAAAATTTTTTTAAGATTCCTAGTACCCTAGTCACATGAAATAATTAGGAAGCGTGTGACCTTTCAATAGACATAGGGACTATTTTTTTTAAAGGACTAACCGTATCCATGTATGTTTCAGATCGAATGACTTGAATGCATATAGTCTGCATATCTCCCTTAGCCTACCCAATATGGTGATTGTAACATGAGGATGAGCTGAAGATACAGTAACATTAGCTAACCAAACATAAAATTGTCCCATAGGTGGGTGCCTTTTCTACCCTGGAAAAGTTTGAAAATAAATACAGAAATGAATAAACAACTCAAAGCTATAATATAAATATTGTTGTCTTATGTTCAAGCTAATCCATATTTCTTTATTTAAACTGCTTAAGATAACCTTGGCATATTGAAAAATCTGAAAATTAGCCTTCTAATGCCAAATCCAAATCAGTAATTGATTTTAGAGTTATGTTTTAAGTTGAATGCTCTGTAAGAATTTGACTACGTTTGTAAACACATTGAAATGCTTATTTGCACTTGAAATTTCCTATATTTATATACTTACCTTATTAGATATACAAACATTGCTTAACTATTTGGGAAGATTTTGCTTACTAAGACATTTAAGTTTGTTGTTGCAGGTATTTTGAGTGCTTAAAGTGAAGATTAAATGTATTAGGTACAAATGTAAAATTTTAAAGTCTAAGCATATTGAATGAATTAGGTGCATAAATGAGGCTGCTTGTTTAACCCATGTTGTGTGACACAGTGTGCAAATGGGTGTCCAGATGCCACATCCTGTATGGCAGGCAGGGTCCAATCAAGAGATAGAAATCGCACAGCCATTCCCCAGGGAAAGTTAGATACAGAGTTATTATCTATAATAGGGGATTAGAATAATAAGGGACTCTCTAGTAAGAAGTAAAGAGGACCATAAAGACTATAGGAACAGCAGACATAAGAAGCTGTCTTGGCCGGGTGTGGTGGTTCACGCCTATAATCCCAGCACTTTGGGAGGCTGAGGTGGGCGGATCACGAGGTCAGGAGATTGAGACCATCCTGGCTAACATGGTGAAACCCCGTTTCTACTAAAAATACAAAAAAAAAAAAAAAAAAAAAAAATTAGCCGGGCGTGGTGGCAGGCGCCTGTAGTCCCAGCTACTCGGGAGGCTGAGGCAGGAGAATGGCATGAACCCAGGAGGTGGAGGTTGCAGTGAGCCGAGATTGCACCACTGCACTCCAGCCTGGGCGACAGAGCGAGACTCCGTCTCAAAAAAAAAACAAAAACAAAAAACAAAAAAACACCAGAAGCTGTCTTGCCCTTAAGTGAAATGTAGCACACAGGAAGAGGTCCACCCAGGGCTGCGATCCAGAGCTTGCTGGAGAGGGCATGATCATGGCTCACTGGATGGTAGAGAAGTTACTGTGGTGCTCTGTGGTGGGACTTTCTGGAAATCCACCCTCTGGAACTTCCATAAATCCGCTCTCTAAGACACCAACTGTTTATGGGAGTATGTTGCCAGATGCATGCTGCTACAAAACCTCCTGAGAGGGTGCAGGGGAGGGAAGCTTCTGGCTATCAGGTGCTGCTGACTGGGAGCCTCCCAAGAGGAACACACTGGAATCAGGAAGAAAAGCCCTGTCCCACTGCGCCCAGTGCCCACTATTGACAAAGTGAAACATCAGGCCATCTGGCAAAGAAAAAGATATTCAGAGGGCTCATTGAGGATGGACTTTGAAAGAGCAAATAATGAAGGATAGGGCATGTAACAGTCCAACTGATAATAGTCACAGGGAATTTAGTCTGTTCACAACGTTAATAGTTTTTATTTTATGCTACAATTACTAAACTCATAAATAGAATAATAAGACTTGAAGTTCAACTTAAAGGCTTAAAGAAAACTGAATTTTAAAATTATGACTGATTTACATAAACTAATTTTAATTTAAAACCTAGGTAACTATAAACAAAACCAAGTTCTTTCTACACTCAAAATCTATCCTTGGTTATTAATAGTTCATATTGACACTGGGGTCTTACTTATTCTGAAAAATTCTGTAAGTGTATAGAGTAAGAAAAAAATGAAGTGAATATATAAAGAATAAGAATGTAGCAAGGAAGAGAAAACAGAAAAGCAATTATGAGAGTGGTAAGGAGACTCTGGCAGAGTTTTGAGCAAAAAGGCTTAGGAAGCAGCCAAGGGTGTGAAAAAACTGGAGAAGAACAAGGAGGATTTATAAATAAGTGCTTCTGTATTTTGAATTGGATTCCTTTTACTGTCTCTTAGGAGATGCAAGTAAAAATTGGAAGTGCAGTACTTTTTAGTCATTTTTTGTTGCTGAATTGTGTTTTGGTACATGAGACATTATGGTGAAACCAAGTGATGTGAAAAACTGGAGCTTATTTGGATCTCACCTAAACAATGAAGTCTGACAAATAATCTATTTGAAATCAAAAATGCTGCCAAAGCCCTTCCAAGATGATGACATCACCAGCCTGGCTGAAAAGATGGCTGCACCAGAGGGCCACATCATCTACAGTCTGCGTCCAAGGTGTGGCCTCTGGCCCCTCACATGTACACTGTATGGTACAGCTTGAGCTAAAGGAGTGAGAAAAAGCTTCCCACCTTCACCTTTAAGTGTTTGAGAGCACTAATTCTTAACACCCCTCTATCTTTCCCGCCCAATTCGTAAATTAGTAAAGAGAGAGACCCAAGAGTCTAATTACTGATGAAAGCTAATATTGAAGAGTGGGTGACTCAGGTCTACTGGCCAAATGGGCCTGCTAATACATTCCCCCTAGTTAAACAGACTTACCCATTTACAGCTTTGGAAGTACTGAACAGCCACAGGCTACCCTGGAAGGGAAGTGCAAAGCAGAGCATAGTTTATATTTTCTGTCTCTAACTGCCTCCAGAGACCCCCCAAGGAGAGGAAGGGGCTAAATTGTGTGAATGAAATGCCCCTGAATCCATTAATTCTTAGAGGTTCATTCATAAGGTGACAAGAAGCTGTAGAAATGAGGTTCTCCCTAGATATTCCCTAACCTAACACTCAGCCAGGAATGTGGCTACTCTCTTGAGGGAGGAAATTGTCCTAACCACTAATGGGACTTTAGATCCTGCCTCCAACCCAAGAGTCTGAAGTGGGTCAGAAGAGTACAGGACAGGATAAGACAGTACAAGGTCATTCTACAATCAGGGTTGAAAACTTGCTCTGCTATTTGGCTCCCCACCCTATATTATGTCCAGTCACAATGTCTGATTTCGCTCATTAGTGTTCTTGCAGTGAGATTATATGCCAATTACATGAGATTACGGAAGAAAAGTGAATTATTCACATGGAACTTTGCAACTCTTCTCCTTCTGTTTCTTGTTCAAACTCAGAAACTTTACAGCCCCCTTGGATCCATCCCCTACTCAATAATGGCTCCCATCCCCTGCTTTCCTTGAACCTAGGAATCCTGTATCTATATTGTCTTTGCCATCTCCATTCTGTGGCTGAGTTTAGATGTCAATTCATCAACTTCCTATAATCTCTCAATCTCATCACCCCAATACCAGATCTTAACTTCTAAAAAATGTGTGCAAAGATGCTACTTAACAACTAGATGCTGTAAATTATGTTAAATATACAGTTTCTAAAATTTTATCAAAAAACAAAAATCCTTCAGTGATGAAGGAAAATACCAAAACCTATTTGAGCACAAAGTACTACATTTTTGTTTTTAAAAAGTTTTTCTTGTAACCAATAAACATTTTTATTTCTCTTTGGATAGACCTCTTTAGCAAGAGAAAAATTAAAAGGATTGGTCAACCAACTTCGGCAACTCTAGGTTTTATAACCCTGGATCAAAGGGGCAAGATTATATTCTTAAATTCTTACTTCCAGCTGTGGTTTCAGAGGTAGCAGCTACTTGAACGATCAGTAAAAAATGGTTTTGAGACTCATTCTAGTGCCCTCCTAGCACCAAGTACAGCAGTCCTTCTGACAATTTTGAAAGCAATCGAGTCCCCCATCTTAAATTCTTTATTGTTTTAAGTATTGAGAGTGGTTCTGTTTCCTGAATGAATTTCTGACTTATCATTATCATTTTCCTTAGCTCTAAAAGGCAAAAGATTTATATGCGCTGAAGACAGCCCAGAGTCTATCACCTTAGCTCTAAAATCACATAGCTCAGCCAGCTGCTAACTCTCTCAGTGTGAATTCAGCTACTCATGTTTTCCTTAGAATTTCACTTTTCTTCCACTTTTGCACTTAATGCTGTGCATGGCTTACCATCCAGGTTCATCTGGGGCCCTAGGACAGTAGTTTTGCTGGGACAACCCTTTGTTCATCTTGGTGGAACTAGGAAAAAAAATCTAGTGATTTTGCTGATTTAATATTCAAAGCAAAAGTGTGGTTTGAACCTTTGAAACAGCCAGCATGGATCTGGAAACTGTTTTCCCTAGCAAAGATATTAAAAAACTAACCCTTAAAGAATGAATTTTCCAGGGAATAAATACACTTCAGCAAATGTTGATTACAAATTTTAAAAGACAAAGTAGTTGAATCCTTTTAACAAGAGACAAAGGTGAAAACGAGTGTCCATCACAAATGAATGGATAAACAAAACGTGGTCTACACATACAATGCAAAATTATTATTCAGCCATAAGAAGAATGAAGTTTCTATGCATGCTACAATACGGGTGAAACTTGCAAACATTATAGCAAGTGAAATAGGCTGGACACAAATGGACAGATATTATATAATTCCCCTTATATGAAATATCTTGAACAGGAAAATTTGTAGAGACAGAAAGTAGATTAGAGGTTACCAAGGACTGGGGAAGAGGAAATATGCTGAGCTAATGCTTAATGGTTACAATGATTCTATTTGGGGAGATAAAATTTTTTGGAAATAGTAGTGATGGTTGCATAACATTGTGAATGTAATTAATGCCACTGAATTGAATGGCACAATTTAAAATGTCTAAAATAACAAATTTATACTATATTTATATAAAACTACAAGCACCACAAAAGATTAAGTAAATGGTAATTATATATAAAAACAGTGTTTAATTCTCTAAAGGTTTCTGGTAACAGTTCTGGGAAGCAATGATGATATGATGCAGTTTTCACAAACACGTGGGCTGTGCATCTGGAGACCATCTCTATAAAAGATGATTGCAGAAGTCAGTCTTATCATGTAAAAAGCACGCCACTAAAAAGTTTTTCCAAACTTATAATCAGCACCCAAAATAGCCTTCAAAAGTGTGGGAGAAGGACAATTCATTTAAGCAAAAGGAACTTAGAAAAATTCTTTACCTTAGAAATTGTCTTTCAATCTCTCTCAGATCAAAATACAAAGCTTCATTTGCTTGCCCGCCTACATATTTTTTTCTTTTTTAAATCTTAATGTCAGGATAGCATAATAGCCCACAGACAAATAAATCTATCTTTGACAAAGCAGCTTTACCATTATATATGCCAATGCTGGACCACACCGTGGCTCCTGTAAGATCAGAATCTCAAGGTTAAGTAGGATATTAGTCATTGCATTCTAAAAATAAAAATGGTATTTCTTGAAATTCATCATGCAGCTGAAGGTAATTTTCTCCAGATTTATAAGATTCTCTAGACTGGTATTCTATTCACTGACCTTTAGCCCTCCCAGGTGATTTTTTGGGCTGGAGCATTTGTTGTTTAATCTATGCAACTGGCTTTCACCAAGATAATATTTTTTCCACATGACCTATTAATGTGAGACATGGTTGAAAGTGTGTCACCCACAAGCTGTGGGGTTAATAGGGGTACTTCTGCCTGGTACCTGGGGATTCTCATTTTCACTATCCCCAAGTTCATTTACCAAAGAAGACTACCTGCATGTGGCTGGTAAATCATCATTTTGGAGACTTCTTTTTATAAAATTGACTAAACCTCCCAAGTAGGAAAAATCGTATGAAATAAGTCCCTTCCCAGAAGCATGTTTTTCTACTTTGTAACACTTATCATCCTCTATCTCCCTTCACCCTCTTCAGAACCCCCTCCCTGCCCCTACAAACATAACTACAATCTACACTAATCAAGGAATTATTTTACACTGTACTCCTTTGAAATAACTGAGGGTTTTCCTATGACAAAGACACCATTAAATGGGAAATGTGGCAACCCTTATTCCATTTTAAGTTGCTAAAAGTTAGAGGAGCCTTTAAGATAACAAATATATCCAAGGCAAAATCAGAGATAATGTGCTGGTGATGGGTACTAGGTGAAAAGAATTATTAAGATCATAATACTTTAGGCTCAATACCTTCTTGCAGAGCTGGAGAGACCTTGGAGACTGTTTTTCGTTTTAGATCAATTTCTCCCTTTTGAAAAGGAAGGATGCCGAGGTACAAGAGTTGGAAAATCTCTCAATTTCAGTCTAGCCAGACACTGACTCTCTATGATGAGTCCCTTTATGGATTGGGGCCTGCTGTGGGTGGTACAGCACTTGCTCCTGACCCACATCCACGTGCTGCCTAACATTGATTATGTGATACCATAATGAAAGGATGCTGGAGTGAGCCAGAAGTAGAACAGAAGTGAGCCTGTCCTTCATACTTCGAGGATAAAGAGGCTACTTTAGAAGTGTGATGGCGTCTCACATACCTACACAGTTTAATAAGGTTATTCTGGCTCAGGATGCAGAAAATGCAGATGACAACCTTGACTCTGGCACTCATTGCACCTGCCTCTCCTTATTTCCTCTGCAAGAGTTTTCCCAACCTCAATTCTCAACATCTATAGCAGGCAAGAAGGAGTCTAGATACCTAACTTACCTTCACCAGGTAGGTAGAAAAGCACTTGCTTGTCATTTAATAAGGTCTCATTTAATAGGATGATGAGAAGAGAGATTTCTGTTGGAGCAATACAGAAAGGATAAGTTATTTTCTACTAGGCACAATGGCTCCGTTTCCTGCATCAAGAGTTAAATTAAAGAGAATTCCACTATCACAGTTATCGTGAATAATACATTTGCTGGAGTTTACAAACTTTACAGATCCACTGAGCTTGAGAAGAGGAAGAAGAGGTGGGAAGAAAAAAAGTGAAACAGAGAGACTGAGGAGAAAGTATGTGTGAAAGAGAGAGGCACAGGGAGAATTTCTGAGATTTTTAAATTCAAGAGAGACCTTATTAAGTCATTTTTCCCCTGTTAAATACTAAATTGAGTGCTAAGCAAGTGCTGTCCCCACCCATGCTATGGCTCTGCCTTGCTAGTTAAATCTCTCAGGACAAGTTCTTTTTGGCCACTTGATTAAGAACACTCCCTCAGAGAGGTTATATAACTTTACACTGAATTCCAAGCTGAGGCAGGTTGCATTACAACAATATTCTGCAATGAGCATTTTTAACTGGTCTTTAAAACCTGAAGCAGTCCTGAATTAGCGTACCTGATGAATCTCAGGGCTGGGCCCACTCAGGTCCGAGTAACTGTGTGTCCACATTTGATCTCATTGCTCGGTTCTTGTTAGCGGAGGAGACTGACACCTGGGTCTGTGTATTTTATTCACGGCAACACAGTCATCTCAAGAGGAATGCTTTTCTTACACTTTTCATTGAGACTGATTTGAGAGTCACTTGGTATTCTATTGCCAAACACAAAGGAAATGCCAGAAGACCGTGGCCTGCTGTTTACCCGTCACAACGATTATGGTCAGAAGGACTAAATTCCTACCATCTTTATACTAGCATTGTTTGAATGTAATTATTCAATATCAAAATGAGGCAGATACAGGGTGAGCTAAGATGGAGAGACGGGTGGATCCCCTAAACCTCTAGAGTCCAGGCCAATGGTTCCAATTCTAAAAGTTAGTCATGAAGTCAACTGGGCTGGAGAAATTGGGAGTGAACTAATCCATGCATTTGTAAAACTCTCAAATGTCCGCACATTTAGCCTTAATAATCATGGAAACCTATCTCTCTGGTACTGAGGCCACTTACTATATATGTGACCCCACCTAAGTCACTGGATGTCTGCAGGTACCTGTGGGGCTTATTGATGTCACCATCATCTTCTTTATTATCCTCATGGGACTTCCTAGTCAGAAAGAACGTCACTGGGAGATTCTACCTTCAGACTCTCCAGGACATCCTATCTGGGTAATCAAACTGCCAACAAAGGAGGTGTGAAACTTCATCTTTCTCTGATAGACCTCTCAAACATGGAAAGACTGCCTGCATGCCAGCTTATTTGTGTGAATGCCTCCTTGAACAAGTCCAGAAATTTAGGAATGAATGGGGGTCATAGCAACCATTCACAATCAGCCTTATTAATCAAGCAGAACCAGAACGCCTCATTCTTCTTTCAAACAAAAGACAACTGGGCTGGTCCCTGGGCTTGACAAAGAAAGCCACAGGAGCCCCCACTTCAACACCATTCCAAAGGACTCAGTTCTCTGGCTCTGATGGTGGGGGGTGGCATTAGGAATTCACTATACATCACATCCTGGAATGAAACAGAGTAGAGTTCCAAGACCCACTCTTGCTCTAAGAAGACCTCTTGAGAGGCCACATAACTGTCCTATCCATGGGCCAGGTGTGCTCTCTGGTAGTGCTGATAGCTTAGCACCAAGGAAAAGAGGATTTTCAGTTTCCGTGTCTATAAGGATGACCCACAAAAATTCATTTCTCCAAAAAGATGGTACCCTGATGCCATCTTTGCCCCTGAACATTGGTGGCAATGGAGCAAGAAACCCTGACCTCCTCTGCCTGGGCAATAAAGCCTCCAGTTTGAATCCAACATGGAGGGTTCTAGCATTTCTTCACTTTCATTAAATATTTGCTTGGGCTTGTACAACCAAAAGTATATTCAGGAAATATGAGGACATGACCTGATGTCCAGTTCTTACTGCTAGGAACCAAGAAGAACCTCTTGGAGAATTGAGTCAGAGTTGGGTAGATGGGCATCAAAGGAGGGTGTAGTGTAGTAGGATCCCAGGTTGTACTCCACTGAGAAGGTTCATATATTGGGCAGCCTAAGTCTACTGTAATAAAAGTGTGTGTGGTAAAACAGCTCTTACAATTTAATGGGACTTGGTATCTAGGTCCCCTTTTGGTATGCCAAAAACCTGTTTGTTAGCCTTGAAAATTAATAAGGATGACAAAATATATTAGATTAATATACAAGATGAAAATAAAATAAAGGCCTCAAGTGAGAGACGTGGTGACCTAATGAACTTGTCTCTTTGGGTAATAGCCTGTACTTTCTAAGTATACAACGTTTCTAAAAGAGACTATAAGGGCAACCCACACACATAACATGCCCTCACCTTCTCGACGTATCATTTAAAATTCTGCAACACCTGAACCCCTTCTTAGGAAATCTGTCCAAGTCTGCAGTCTCTGCCCACAGGCCCAGCCATGCTCTGCACCACCCGACCTCAGTCTGACCACAGATGATTGCTTGTTCCAAGATGGGCATCTCTCTCAAGGGCAATACAAAGTAAAGAAACCAATGACCCAAGATTTACATGGCCAGGCTCAAAACGCTTAAGCCAGCTGGGCCAATGAGATTCCTCAATACATATTGGAACTGGGAAACTGAAAGGCTGTGGATAGTAGTCTGGGGCCACTGCAAATAGAGTAACATAGGCTCAGGGTGATCCTGGTGGGCCATGCATTGATGGAGCTAACAAAAACATGAGTAACAGAAACACGAGTAAACAGAGGGGAGTGATAGTGGAAAAAGGGGAATGGAGCCAGTAAAGGTACAAATAAAATGCTGCCAGATGGGAAAGATAAAAGAAAAGAGAGCCTTGAGCTATCCCTACTCCCCTGCTGTTCCTAGCTTTCACATCCTTCCAGGCAACTCCTCTCTTCTTGCATCTAACACACACAAAAGCTGTATCTAAAACACCACCTCTGGTCACTCTAGGGACAGGCTGGCATTTGGAGGTGCTTTGCAGGCATGTCTCTCAGTTCCCAGCTAGATGGGGATGTCTAGTTTCTTATACTACACAATTTTATTTCCTATTCTTCACAGGCAAAAAGTGCTTATGCTTGCACACTCTTGACATTAAATATATGGTACGTACTTCCAGGTCAGTTGGTGGAAAGCAGTGGCCTTTACCCCAAAAACTGATTGTTTGATCACAGACTTATTAGAGTTGGAAAATATCACTTTTGAAGTGATTATTTACTAACTCTCAAAAACAGTCTGATTTTTCTTCCTGAGGGACACATTTTAAAGAGCCAGATGGTGCATGGCTGTGGCACAGCTCTCTGTTCTCCCCTCCAGCCCCATGGATTAGCCGCAAATACTTTCTTTTCATCCAGAGAAAAAATTTATGTGCATTTGTTTAGCACTATTTCAAATATCTCACTTGGCCCTCAAGCAATGAGTCGATGGAAGTACATGAAATATTATTTCTTACAAATTTAAGACTAGGAATCTAAGGTACAGAGAAATATAGTGACTTCTTGAAGGTCACACAGCACTAACAAGTAGTAGAATAGAGACTTGAACATTTTGATGTATAGCCAGTGTTCTTTCCAGTACAACAAAGAACATACCAGGTTTTATTTTGTACCAAAGTTTTTCCATTAAATTTACGATCCTAAACAGCGTGATTGGGTTGAACCAAAGGCCCTTTGCCTTTGAGTAGAATATACTTAGAGCACACATGTACATTGAATATAAAGGTACACACTGGAGCACTTCACTACTCATCTCTAGAGGCCAAATAGAACTCAAACCCACGACCCCTAATTGCCAATATCTTTAAAAGCCTTAAAGTGTTCATAGTGTTAATTGTAGTGTTCTTTCAATTATTACTTTATTTAAAATATATGTATTGTGTGTATTCTGTGAGCCATAATTATTGTATGGGCTAGATGCAAACACATGAATTAAATGAGGCAAAGTCCCTGTCTTCATGGAACTATCTTCCCCAGGGGAGACAGAGTTAAAAGAAAATACATAAAGTCAGGTAGTGATTACTACAATTAAACAAAAACAGAGTAAAGAAATAGAGAGTGACAGGGAGATAATAAGGTAATCAAGCAAGGGCTAGGGAGGTGGTGTTTAGTTAGAAACCTGAATGAAGTGAGGAAGCAACACATGCAAAAATTTGAAGAGAGTTCCAGATGGAAGGAACAGCAAGTGCAGAAGCTCAAGTTGGGAGAAGGCTTGGTGTGTTGGAGGAGGAGCAGGGGTCAGCAAGGTTAAAGCTGCATATTTGAGGAGACAGTGGTAGGAAATGAGAAAGGAGAGCAGGATCTTACAGGTCATCATATGGGCTTTGGATATTATTTAAGTGTGATGGGAAGAGATCATTACAGTATTTGATTTAAGAGGTGCATACTCGGGATATTTGGAGAAAACACCGCAGGATGCAAGAGTGGATGTAAGGAAACAGTGAGAAAGCAACTGCAGTAGTCCCTGAAAGATAGGATGATGCTGTACATCTATCCCATTGCACTCAAACATACTGTTACTTTTCCGTTTATCTTGACTCCATGTTTCCCACCAGTTCCTGCCTTATTTCTCTGCTCCTCTTTGCAGCAAATCTCTTCCAAAGAGCAGTCTGTATTCACTGCCTCCAATTTCCCTGCTCTCATTTCCTCTTAAACTCTTAACATTCATGGATTTGTGATACCACTCTTCCAAAATGACTCCTGTCAAGGTCATTAATGACATCCACGTTGCTAAATTTGGTGACCAAGTCTTGGTCCTTATCCTACTTATCAACAATGAGAGTCACCATGTACTTTCAGGTGCCAGTGCATAGGTTGTAACTGTCCAAGGGCACCTAAAAGAAGGGATCAGTGGCAAGGTAGGGGGGAATCTGATCCACACTGTAGTTGCTGACTTGCTGGTTAGAGGGAACACATTCCCAAGAAAGGGTGCCTTTTTCTACTTTATACAAGGCACTATCTTGACTAGTAGCAGTGATCATGTTAACAGCAGTTGACATAGTTAACCAGTCTTTTCTCTTTAGTGTATCTTCTTTATCTGGCTTCCAGGACCCCATTCATTTGGTTTTCCTCCTGACTCACTGGTGGCTCCTCTCAGTCTTTTTTGCTGATTCCTCACCATCTGTTGTTGGGCATGATGGTGTAGGAATGCCTTGGCGCTTTCTATGCTCTTCTGTTACCTACTCACTTATAATAATGTGATCTTATCCGGTCCCTTGACTTTAATGCTGCCTATTTATTCATAACTCCCAACATTATGTCTCTAGTGAAGATTCATATTTCTATCCTTGAATTCCAAGCTCTTAAATCCAATTGCATCCTCAATATCTCCAGTTGGATGTTTAACAGACATCTCAAAATTAACATGACCCAGACTGAATCCCAATCTCTACCTCCTAAAGTCTGCTCCTCCCACAGACTTCCCATCTTGCTACAGGGTAACTCTCCCCTTCCCATTGCTCAATCCAAAGACGAGGAGTTGACCTTCCACTCTTGTCTTTCTCTCAGACACCACATCCTATCCAACAGCATATATCAATGGATACGTTAAAACTACAATATTTGCACCTACTATGTACCCACAAAAATTAAAAATTTAAATTAAAAAAATCTATGGATAACATCAAAATCACTGGATACCTTCAAAATCTATCTAGAATTGAACTTCTTACTACCTCCATTATCCTTTCCTGGTGGAAGCCATCCTCACTATTGCTTGCTTCACTGAAGTAACCTCCTAACTGGCCTCTTCTCTCTGCTCCCACCTTTGCCCCTTACCTTCTATTTTTGACATAGCATTCAGGCAGATCCTGTAAAAACAGAAGTCAGATCATGTCAATCCTCAGCTCAGAACACCCCAGGGACTCCCAATTTCCCTTAGAGAAAAAGGCAAAGCTCTTTAAAAGGTCTTCCAATTTCCCACTTGACCTTCCCTCCTGCCTTCTGTGACCTTGTCCTACTTTTCTCATTCTACTTCACATGCTCTGGCCACCTTGCTATTCCTTGAACAGGCCAATTACACTCTGATTTGGAGGTCTTTGCCATAGCTGTTTCCTCTGCCAGAGACATTTTCTTCAAAATATCTATATGGCTAAATCCTTCTTCTCCTTCAAGATTTTATTCAAATATCACCTTTTAAAATTACTGCCCTGTCCTCCTACTTTCCTGTTACTCTCTCTCCTCTTTATCCAGCTTTATTCTCTCCCATGGTGCTTATCATCTTCAAACATTTATACATTATGCTTAAAATTTTGTGATCTGCCTCCCACTGCTACAAATGAAGTCCCATGAAAGCAAGAATGTTGTCTGGTTCCCGATGCAGCCCAGGTGTCTAGAATAAATTCTGGCACATGGTAAGTGTTCAAAAAATACGTACTGAATGAATGAAATAATGAGAGTATGCTATTGGATGTTGTCTAATTTTTACTCCCAATGTGTCTACAAATGAGTAGCTATGTCAAATTCTCATATAAATATAGTTAATGGCTTGGAAAGCTATTTACAATCCAGTGCTAAAAGTTTTACAATCAGGTTTCAGACAACTAGGTACAATATGCTTCACTTTTATTTTAAAAATGTATATATTTGCATTAAAAAAGAATGGAAGGAAATATTTATTCAACATATATTTCTTAAGCACCTACTATGCACCAGGCACCCTGTGCAAGTTAACACTCTAGGCTGTGAGAGTATACATTGCTTTTATTTCTTCTCTTTGATTATTTGTCTTTTCTGTATCTCTACACTAATTTTCTATTAATTTTATAATACAAAATTAAAGTGCTTTTATTTGCTTATGTGCTTTTGAGTGGTCTGTCTTTGGGGAGCACATTTTCAGCATATATGAATGGCCCTACCTGCATACTAGTTTACCACAGTATTAGTAGAAGAAGCTACAAATGAAGTTATTCACCCCAAATCTCATTGCCCACTCAAGTAAATGCAGGGAGAGATATGACATCAGAAATCAACACTCCTCCAGCAGCTAACAAGATATTCTAGGCAATTTATAAACTATGAGGATAAGAGTAGACATTTTATCATTGCCCACCCATCCCTGGTCTCTCAGCAGTTTAATTGCTTGTTAGAAAGACACTTAGCAAATCCTTGAGCATGAGAAAGACAACACACAGTAAACTTCAGTATAATTTTCTTGTATTCATTAAATCACTGCCAACTTGAACATGATTTCCTCTGTACTGAGGTACACTTATCATTTCTAAGAACAGTAAATTTTATGTACAGGTTTGAAGAGCGAACTTTACCTAGAGTTTATTCCCTGGAGGTATTTCTATAACGTGCTATTTGAAGATTCCTCTATTTCAATTTTTTAAAACCTCCATCTGCAGATGTGGTCCTAGGCTGTGAAATTCTCAGGATTAGAGTGGGACAGATGTTTCCCAGTGCTGATTTTTTCTCACTGCCACTTTGTGCTTTGTTATATCAGTCAGACAATGAAATGCTTAATTAGCTCTTTCCTTTTGCCACAGGATCATTTTATAAAATGGTAAATTAAGAGCTTTCAAAATGAGAAATCTGCACTTAGCACTCAGGTGTCTAAGTTCAGGTGTGTCTCCTAACCATCTTTGTCTAATTGAAATACCCATGCAGGGTTGCTCATGATTAGACATCAGACACCAGGCTTCTATATACACATTGGTTGCTGGGAATGGTGTCCACACTAGCTCACACTAGGCTACTTAGAAACTTTGTCTCTCAGATTACATCGACCAAGAAAGTCTTCACCCATCTTACTATCTGTGTGGAGCAATCCAATGGAAGAATCAATAGCCCTTTCCCTAAGGGTTCTTCTGCCCTGACTGCAATTCACATTGTCTGCTGTCCCTCAATTTCTCTAATCTTAAAAACAGAGAAGTTATTTTCCTTCTCTCTACTCCATCCACCTTGTCACGCCATATGCCAGCCTTTTCAGTTTGCTCATTATACAGGTGATGTGCTCAGCCAGCTACCTGTCCATGTTTCCTTTCCTGTTTAGCCTCTTTTCCCTGGAAGTGAACAAAGGTATTTTCTGAACAGGAGATTATTTTCTCTGCAGTCAAACTGGAATTTCCAGTGTGAGCTTCCTCCACCACTTTCCTTGAATGGCAGACATTTGCTCAGGGAAAAGCTAGCAGGCAAATCAGCTGACATATCGCCTGAGGTGACCAGTCAAAAAATAAACATTATCAGGATGTTGCTATAACTACTATTTTTGGCAAGTAGAGGCATTTTTTCTGCTAGTAAGTATGGCAATTTAGTTGGGTTAGGTAGCTCCACAGGAAACAAGAGCTCAATGCTGATCACTGTTAAGCAGACAGGGATGATGGTGCATGCAGTGATCAGCTGATTACATTAATGCATCAGCACATTCGTTTAATGTAGTCAAGGTCAAGGAAGTCTTTGTCTCAGTGGTGCTAGACAGGAAACTCAAAATATTATGTATGCCGGCAACAAGTGCCATGATTGATTTTTGTTATGGAATTAATCTGTCAAGAGTTGCAGTTTCAGGTTCGCTGCCATGAATTATATCTTCAGTTCAGCTGGAAGACACAGTTCCAGAGCAGAGGGCTAAGCCATCTGTAGCTATTTGCCTTAGTCAGAGCTTTGTTAGGTGCTGCTGCTGCTGCTGTTTATAGAGAGGTAAGTGTGAGGGTTGGAGCTAAACATTATTCCATTAAATTGTAATAAAAAAAAGACACCCACCTCCTGTAGTGACAGCCAGGCCAATGCGGATGGAATTGTTGGGTTGAGTTTCTTAATTTATGGGTCCTAGCTTCAGAGACTCTGATTTAATACATCTGGGGGTGGAGATCAGGGACAAACATCATGGGTAGTCAGCGGCCTCACTTGGAAACAGGTGTAAGATGTTAGGACTTCACCACAGTTAATAATGAATTATTAAAGAAAGAATTTACATGTCATGCCACAGACTTATGGGGAGTCCTTGAGGGGTGTTAGGAAGGGGTGAGTTGGCATTCTAGAAGAAACACTCAGGCAGGAGCATACAAATGGATTGGAGACTAAGGAGACTAAGACGGGAGAATAGTGAGGAAGCTGTGTGCAATGAAGAATTATTGCATTTCCCCCCTGATGGAGACACCCATCAGACTGCCATCCTGACTCCTTAGGAAGCTCAGTATTCACAATCAAGGGACATGTTTACCATGGCCACAGCAATTGTCCTTCGTTATGTCCTCATCATATCACAGAGTCTTTTTATAAACTTCTCTTCTAAAACAGACTTAACTTTGACTCGCATCCTTCTCTCCTTTCTATCTTTACCTCTGCTGCTCGTATATGCCCAAGTGCTGGTTTTGTGGGGAGCTGTTTTCTTTTGGAAGTCACAGAATAATTGTATGAATAATTGTTCAAACATGCTATTCATTACTATTCAGGAAAGGATGGTCGAAGATTTTTTTAAGAAAAATAATGATTTGTTGTTATTGTCACTTTGTTTTTGTTTTTCAAAAATGCCTAAGCTAGTGCTTAATTGGCAATTTTAATCTTTTGTGACAGAGTATATAGAAACATAGGATTATGGGATCTCAGAGGAGGAAGATCCCGTATTGTTCATCCAACCAAGCTCATGTAAAGCACAAGTTCTTTCCACAACAACACCTCCAATAAATACTACCACTAATAAAGTCTAAAGCTTACATAGCACTAATGCACTTTACATTTGTTAATTATAGGCATTGCTTTTATCTCCATTTTTACAAGTGGGGAAACTGAGGCACAAAAAGGCACAGCTTGAAAGGGGCAGAGCTGGGATTTCAACTCAGGCAGTCTGTCTCTAGAGTGTGTGTGTGCTCTTAACCATTATGCTATATTACCTTCAGTGCAAGTTTCACTTGATTACTTCCAGGCATGGGTGTTAATTAGCTCCAGAAATGAATGGCCGACATCACTCTTGTCAGTTCTGGCAATTAGACATGTCTCCCAATGACCTAAATTCTTCTCTATTTCTCCCCCATGAGTCCTCTGGAGTAAAAGTTTAATCTGTTGCCAAAAATCTTTTTGTGGGAACACAAATTTGTCCTCCAATCCTTAATTCTCATGTCTTTTCCTCCATGAAGTTTGTGTGTGTGTGACAGTTTAAAGCCAATGTATTTTTTTCTTTTACATGAAGTTCTGTAAAGTTCACCCTCACATGAAGTTCACCCTCTCTAGGTGTGTATGTAATTACTATGGCACCTGCATGCTTAGTGATGTAAGTTTCTTTAAACCATGAGTAGAATGTTATATATTTTCTTATTAAATTCCTTTTAAGACCAAGCCTATTTGCTGCAATCTATTGAGATCTCTTGGGATATATATCCTGGTATCTCAAACATTGTCCACTAGTCCTGGTTTCATGCTATTCAAAAACTAAATGAAAAATGAAGAAATTGAGGCTCAGAGACGGTGAGTTGCCCAAGCTCTTAGTAAGAAGAATTCACACCCAGTTCTCTCTGATTTAAAAATGCACGCTAATCCCACTGCTTGCTCTTGCTGCCAGGTGTGCTCTTTGCAGCCTCTGTTCTGGACTTGCTCAAACTCCAGCCCTGGCCCCCAATAAGTGTGAAAAGGGCATGGTTCAGGCAGATCGCCTTGTCTCAGCAGCCACCTCACTCTCCATTCCTCATTTTTATTTGACTTGAATTGGGAGAAAAGGTGTTGTCCTGATATATGGTCTAATCATAGTGTAGCTTTTGGCTTGATACTGACTCTTTTTAGCCATCTCATCTGTATTATCTGTGATTATGGTTTTTTTAAAAAAAACTTAATTAAAGTCATAAATTAATTCATGGCTGTGCTAATGTTCAGAAAAATATATTTCAAAGACCAACGTGAATTAGTAGGAGGGTTTTTAAATCTGTGTTCCTGGGCTAGGGGATAATACAGAGTCAACTGCCAGCATTATTTTCTCAAGGCAGAGTAGAGTGTAGCTTAGGAAGGCATCTGCAAGTTGTATAAACTAGAGAGAAATATGCAACTGTCAAGCAGTTTGACAGCTTGGACTAAGAGGAAAGGGCGTAGTGACAGTGGAGATCACCTTAAAGATCACTTTGAATCCTAAAAATAAGGGAAGTAATAGGGAAGTAAAAAACAGAAATAGAATTCTCTCTTCAGAATCTTGAGGTAATTTCCAGTCTTCTCCAACTTTACTCTCCTTTTGCCCTTACTGCAACACATCTGTGGACATAGGGCATTCTCGACAATCATTTGGAAGTACTTGTCTCCATTTTCATTTTAAATCATTTTCTTCACATCCCTTCTTCTCTAATGAACTTAAGACATGACTAGGAGCTAACTATTATCTCAAAACTATGCTAGTTGCTCTGAAAGATTCATATAATGATAACTACAAGACCCTTTTCAGAATTTGAAATCTGTTAGTAAGACAGAATATGCAGACAGGAAATAGCCCTACTGCTCATATTCAATATATCATTCAGGGCTAAAACCATCGTGCTAGATACATATTCTATGAGAACTGGGGAATTTATTCATTTTACCTGAAGGAATTCAGTGAATGCCTGCATGTGTAGGGTTCTGGGGCAGACCTAGAGAAACAAAGATGACTCAGATATTCCTCCTGACCTCGGGTTCATATGCTGCTGGGAGAGACAGAAACACACACAGATGATTAGAAATCTCCATGAGTTGGTCTTTGTGTTAGGTCTGGGAAGAGAAGTAGGATTTTGCTGTATGTGGAACAGAAGGGAGCTGGTATTATGACACATTTTAGCTCAGTAGAAGGACGAGAGAAACACAGGAGGGTAGTAAGACACACCACCCGGGTAAGGAAGGACTTTTTATTTGAAGAAAGACTGTAGAGGAATGAAGAAGTAAGGAATACCACCTGGGTAAGGAAGGACTTTTTATTTGGACAAGGACTGTAGAGGAATGAGGAAGCCAACCTGGTTGGCAGGACCACCCGTGGGTAAGGCAGTTAGGGTGGTTACTAGGGCCCTGTGTTTTGGAAGGAGTGCAGCAAAATGCTATGCCTTACAAAAGCAACACCTAAAGCATTTTTAAAAAATGAATTGTCTTTTGCACACATATGCATTGTTTTATGACATTCTTTAATATACATACGAGTCTTAATAGAGTCCCCCCATATTCTATATTCCATCCCTAACATTCTGTAGGGCCCAGAGTAAGACATACAAAATAGTTTAAGTATTTATAGCTTATCAATCAATCTGACAAAATGTCAAATGAAAACAATTTTATATTTTTACCTTGATAAATATACCTTCATAACAACCATGTATTAGCCTGTTCTCACACTGCTATAAAAAAAATACCCAAGACTGGGTAATTTTTTTAAAAAAAGAGGTTTAATTGGCTCTTGGTCCTGCAGGCTATACAGGAAGCATAGTGGCTTCAGCTTCTGGGGAGGCCTTAGGAATCTCCCAATCATGGTGAAGGCCAAAGAGGAGTGAGACATCTCACATAGGGGGAGCAGGAGCAAGGACAGCAAGTGGGGAAGGTGCTACACAATTTCAAACAACCAGATCTCATAAGAACTCACTCACTGTCAGGAGAACACCACCAAAGGGATGGTGCTAAACCATTCATGAGAAACCTACCCTCATGATCCAACCACCTCCCATAAGGCCCCACCTCCAACATTGAGGACTACAGTTCAACATGAGATTTGGTGGGAATACAGATCCAAACCATATCATTCCACTCCTGGACTCCCAAATCTCATATGGTTCTCACATTGCAAAATACAATAATCCCTTCTCAACAGTCTCCCAAAGTCTTAACTCATTCCAGCATTGACTCAAAAGTCCAAAGTCCAAGATCTCATCTGAGACAGGACTAGTCCTTTCTGCCTATGAGCCCGTAAAATAAAAATACAAGTTAGTTACTTCCAAGACACAATGGGAGTATAAGCATTGGGTAAATACTCCCATCCCCAAAGGGAAAAATCAGCCAAAATAAGGGCTACAGGCCCCACACAAGTTCAAAACCCAGCAATGCAGTTTTTAAATCTTAAAGCTCCAAAATAATTATCCTTTGAGTCCATGTCCCACATCTAGGGAATATGGATACAAAGGGTGGGTTCCTAAGGTCTTGGGCAGCTCTGCCACTGTGGCTCTGCAAGGTTCAGCCCTTGCAGCTGCTTTCAAGGGCTGTCATTGAATTCCTGTGGCTTTTCCAGGTGCAGGCTGCATGCTGCCATTGCATCTACCACTCTGGGGGCTGAAGGATGGTGGCCCTCTTCTCATAGCTCCACAAGGCAGTGCCCCAGTAGACACTCCGTATGGGAGCTCCAACAGCACATTTACCCTCTGCACTGCCCTAGCAGAGGTTCTTCATGATGGCTCTGTCTCTGCAGCAGGCTTCTGCCTGGATATCCAGCCTTTTCCATACATCCTCTGAAATCTAGGCAGAGGCTCCCAAGCCTCAACTCTTGCACTCTGTGCGCTCACAGACTTAGCACCACCTGGAAGCTGCCAATGTTTATGGCTTGCAACATCTGAAGCAGCAGCCCAAGCTGTAACTAGTCCCCTTTGAGCCATGGCTGGAGCAGGAGTGACTAGGATGCAGGGAGCAATGTTCTGAGGCTGCACCAGGAAGCAGGGCCCTGGGCCTGGCACACAAGGCCATTCTGTCCTCATAGGCCTCTGAGCCTCTGATGGGAGGGGCTACTATGAAATGCCTTTGAGGCCTTTTCCCCATTGCCTTGGTGATTAGCACTTGGTACCTTTTTACTTATGCAAATTTCTGCAGTCCGCTTGAATTCTTCTCCTGAAAATGGGCTTTTCTTTACTACCACATGACCAGGCTGCAAATTTTCCAAACTTTCACACTCTACTTCCCCTTAAAATGTAAGTTCCAACTTTAGGTTATTTCTTCGCTCACCCATATGAGATAGGCTGTTAGAAGCATCCAGGCCCAATCTTGAATACTTTGCTGCTTAGAAATTTCTTCTGCCAGATAGCCTAAATTATTGCTCTCAAGTTCAAAGTTCCATAGGTTCCTAGGGTAGGGGTACAATGCAGCCAAGTTCGTTGCTAAGGCATAACAAAAGTGAGCTTTACTCCAGTTCCAATAAGTTCATCATTTCCATCTGAGATCTTGTCAGTCTGGCCTTAACTGTCCATGTCACTACCAGCATTTTGGTCATGAACATTCAACCAGTCTCTTAAAGTTCCAAACTTTCCCTCATCTTCCTGTTTTCTTCTGAGCCCTCCACACCCTTACAACTTCTGCCCATTACCCAGTTCCAAAGTTGCTTCCACATTTTCAGGTACCTTTCTAGCAATACGTCACTCTTTGGTACCAATTTTCTGTATTAGTTTGTTATCGTATTGTTATAAAGAAATACCTGAGACTGGGTAATTTATAAAGAAAAGGGGTTTAATTGGCTCATGGTTCCACATCCTGTACAGGAAGCATGATGCTGGCATCTGCTCAGTTTCTAGGGAGGCCTCAGGAAACTTCCAATCACGGTAGAAGGCAAAGGGGAAGAGAAGCATCTCACATGGTGGGAGCAGGAGCAAGGGATGGGAAGAGGTGCTACATACTTTTAAACAACCAGATCTCACAAGAACTCACTATCACGAGAACAGCACCAAGGGGACAGTGTTAAATCACTGAGGAGAAAACCACCCCCCATGATCTCATCACCTCTCACCAGGCCTTACTCCCAAAACTGGGCATTACAATTCAACATGAGATTTGATTGGGACACAGATCCAAATCATATCAACATGTAAGATCAGTCTTGAATTTAAAAGCTGTTAGAATTGTCCAAATTCCATACTATCATATGGTGGTTTAGGGAAATATTATTAATAACCCACTGCCCACTCTTCCCAATCTGATTTCATCACACACTATGGGATGTTCAAATATATCTGTACACTCCTGTTCACTTGCCATGTTCCATCACATCCCTCACTCCCACAAACAGTCACTCCTTGGCCACACCTGGGGCCTATAGGGATGGTGATTTGAGGTATGGTATACACTTGGGAAGACAGATTCAGAAGAAAGATGTGTACAAGCCCTTGTAACAGGCTTTCAGCCATGCGTCCTAGGTACCCAGATGTGACCTAGAAGTTGGAGGTTGGGGGCAGTTGCAGGTTCCTGGTGGGCCCGTTCCTTTGTTCCCAGCATGCCTACCCCAGTAAGGAGGGGTGTAGACAGAGAAGTGTCACATGAGGTGCCCTAAAGTATAGAATGCAAGGCAGGTGCATCTCTTATCCAAGTCTAAGGGCAGTACTTTCTCCAGCATCCTTGTACTGGTCACATTATCTTGGGACCTTTACCCTTCTAAGGGAAGCCCTGACTGTTAGAACTAAGGACTGTTTATGCTGATGTTCCCGAAGCTTCCAATAAGATGGCTCCCTCACTCAACTGTTACATTTTTAATCTCCCCCTAAAGGCCTGTCTGTTGCAGCCATCTTCCTCCAAGACATAGCCAAGAGCCAGTTTATGTATGTGTGAGAAGGAAGAGTAAGTTGGGAAATTTACCTTTCTTACAGGTTAAACATTATGAATTGTTAAATATCAAACACTAAACTCTTTTCAAATTTCTTTAGGTTATATTTTACCATTGCTTCTCCACCAGTGTGAAAAAGAATAACTTCTTTTATCATTGAGGCTAGAAAAGGAGTAAAATAATACAATGTGGGCAAAGAAAAATAAGAACCCTGCTTCTTCTGACTGCAAGGGAAAGTTGAGCAGGAGTCCATCAGAGCAAGCAAGGGGTAGCAGTGAGAGCATTATGCTGTGAGCTCCATCCTGGGGAGGAGGAAAGTATTTGGATTATCAATCAAAACACTTTGACGGTACAAGGACTCTTACCCCACTCTCTTTATTGACTTCTGGAAAAGGCTACCTCACCACCTTTTGCAAACCACAGTGGGTACAGCTATATCAAAGCAGAGGTAAATGTGTAGCAAGGTTAGCAGAGACAGACAGCCTGAGTACACTTATTAGACTTACCTTCCCCTTAGCTCTTTGATTGCAAAGTTAGGGCCCCAGCACCCTGAATTCTGGTAGATTCAGACTACTAGTAAGTAGTCTGGTACCACTGATATATAGACTTCTGCTGCCATCAATTAATATGCATGGCTAAAACGACCATTGGGTTTGTTCTATTTGTCATCTTGGTCATTCAGCAACATTTGATGCAGTCAAGCACTTCCTGCTCCTTGAAACCCTTTGTTCACTTGACTTTCAGGATACCACTCTCTCTGGGTTTATCTCCTACTTTACTAGCTTCTTTGAGTCTTTTTTTTGTCTGTTCCTTCCTGTCTTCCCAACCTATAAACACTGTTGTGCCCCATGGCTCAATCCTCAGGCTTCTTCCTTATTTTTGCTCTGTGTTATCTAATCTCTTGGCCTGACAGATCATGTAAATGTGATGATTCCCAGGTCGGAATCATATGTCTATCTGCTTACTCAAGAGTTTATTTGAAAGTCTGTTATTAACGTAAAATTGAATATTGCCAATCCACTAACATAATTGGGTACTTAAACATAGGGTTTTCAATTATTGATAGAATGAGCAGTCAAAATTGAGAAAGGATAGATGAAACAGCCCAATGAACAATTTATGAATACCAGGAACATTGTACCCCAAAACTTCAAAGCACAGATTCTTTCATGATACACATGGAATATTTAGGAAAATTAATGGTGTTCTAGGCCATTATAATAACTTCAATAAATTTCAAAGAATTAATACCAAGTGCAACTTATTTTCTGACCACGATGCATATAGTTAGCAATCAATTTTAAAAATATCTAGAAAACTCTGTTTGCAAATTAAAATCATATAGAAATAGGACATATTTACAACTGAACAATCATTGAAGCAGTATTTATCAAAACTTATGGTATACAGTCAATGCCTTACAGCTGAAAATTAATAAATTAAGTATTCAACCTCTTTAGTTAGAAATAGAACCTAAATAAATCTTTAAAAGCAGAAGAAAGGAAATAATAGGAATAAGAGCAGAAATGGCGAGCTACCATAAAGGGTATGAACAAATCAAATACAGTCTCTTTAAAAATGATACGTTTCTTCCAAATAGGCAAAATTCTGGAAAAAAAAATCAGGGAAGAAAAGTTATAAATGAATACTTTTTAAGAAGGCAAAGTGTGGAATACCTACACATGGAGGAGAGATTAAGAATATTATGATCAGTTTCATACCAAATAAACCCTGAAAACTGAGATAAGATGGGTAAATTCCTAGACAACTATAACTTTCCAAAATTTACTCACAAATAAGTAAGAAAATTGAATAGTCCATATCCATTAATAAAATCAAACCAGCAAAAAATGCTGGTTTTACTGGCATTATTATGAAATATTCAAAAGGCATGTTATTCTAATTTTAAACTATTCCTAAAATAGAGAAAAAAGAGTAGACTCTCTTTTTTATTTATTGAGGCTGGCATAACTTACATACCAAAATCTGACAGTGATAGTACAAAAAGGAAAAGCTATAGTCCAAAATCTCTTAAGAACATAAACATAGAAATGCTAAATTATTAACCAGCCAATTCCAGACATGGTTAGATAATGTTTTCATGACCAAGTTGCATTTATCTAAAAATTTCAAAATTAGATTAACACTGGCAAATTAACAAATGTAATTCACTGCATTAACAGATGAAAGAGAAAAATGATTTGGTCACCTTAATGACTTTAGAGAAAGCATTGATGATTTTCAACAAAGCAAGAAACAAAATTGTCATTATTTGCCAATTATATAATTATGTGCATAGACAACCCAAAAAATTCTACTGTTATTAAAGTAAATGTGCATAGTATTTCTACACATATGCAAAAATTAGCTAGAAAATATCATTTTAAATATCTATTTATAATGTCAAGAATATATAAACTAGTAATAAACTTAAGAAAACATATAAAAGACTTTTACGGATAAAATTTTACTTTTATTGAAAAGTCTTAAAATATACAAATAAGTGAACGGTACCATTTTCATCGATAGAATAACCAATATCATAAAATTGCCCGTTTTCGATAAAGGGAAATTTGAAAAATTTGCCCTATAAGATATAAAATTATATAAAGCTACAGCAATTAACAACTTTGTATTGGCTCAGGAACAGATAAGTAAACCAATAGAACAGCAAGAGAGTCTAGCAATAAATCCATTTTATGTGGAAACCTGATATATGAGAAAACTGACATTGCAGATTAGTGAGGCAATGACAGATTAGTTAATAAAAGGCACTGGGACAATGGGTTCTTCATGGAACAAAAAATGAAATTGGACCCTTACTTCATGCCCCACACAAAAATCAATTTCAGGTAGTTTTAAAGCATGTGAAAAGAAAATTATAAAACTTTAAAAACAGAAGATAGGAAAATTCCTTTATGACCTTGGGATAGTCAGGATTTCTTAAATAAGATATAGAAATTCAATATGTGAACTAAAAACAATCAATTCGACTACATGGAATTTTTTTTTAACTTCTGTTTACCAAAAGACACAATCAAGAGAGTAAAATTAGACTCTAGAAGCTGGCAAAAAAAAAAAAAAAACTTGCTACATATATATAAAACAATAAATTTAGTATCCCAAATGAACAGTAGAAAAATATGTTGGTAATTATGGATACAATGAGAACTCTTATAAACACTTTGTTGGGTTATAAATTGGTACAGCCTCTTTGGAAAACGCATTACATAGTGAATTTGAACATTCCCATTATTTATTACCCAGTATTTCCTCTCCTCCTAGATATAGCCAAAGGAAATTTGTACCTGTGTATGAGGAGGCACATACAAGAATATTTATAGTAACAAAACCTAGAAATAATACACTCTGCATTTACAGTAGAAAGGATAAATTGTGATGTATTCAAAATATGGAATAATACACAGCTGTAAAAATGAATGAACAACAGAAATATACATTAACAGGAATGGTTTTCAAAGAATAATTTTGAATTTAAAAAGAAAGTCATTGAGGTAGTATATAATTACATATATAAAAATGCAAATAAATAGCAAAATAAGACATATATTTTCAGGGATGTATACACATATAGTAAAATTATAAAGTAAGCAAACGAAATGAATATTATAAAATTCAAAATGGAGGCTACCTCAGGAAGGTGAGAAGAGTAGGTAGCACGATGGATAGGGCAACACAGCTGGGCTTCTGTTATACAAGTCATGTTCTATTTCTAAAGCTGAGTGAAAGGTACATTTTTAAACTGTAGATATATATTTGGATTTGCTTCATGTGTTTCATCATAAAAGAAAAAATGTACATGA
Organism: Homo sapiens; assembly: GCF_000001405.40. NCBI lineage: Eukaryota > Metazoa > Chordata > Mammalia > Primates > Hominidae > Homo > Homo sapiens. The sequence goes on from NC_000001.11 coordinate 76,698,668, forward strand.
ATGTCTTAGAAAATCTTGATCAAGATGTCATTTTATATCTGCACTGTCATATTCATTGCAACATTATCCACACTAGCCAAGAAGTGGAATCAGAGTGTCCACTGGCAGATAAATGCATAAAGAAAATGTGTGTGTGTGTGTGTGTGTGTGTGTGTGTGTGTGTGTGCGCGTGTATCAATGTAATACTACTTACCCTTAAAAAAGAAGAAAATCCTGTCTTTTGTAACAACATGGCTGAACCTAGAGGACATTATGTTAACTGAAATAAGCCAGGCACAGAAAGACGAAAACTGCATGAGCTCACTTATACTGTATATAGGATCTAACAAAGTTGAACTCAGAGGCCGGGCGCGGTGGCTCACGCCTGTAATCCCAGCACTTTGGGAGGCCGAGGCGGGTGGATCATGAGGTCAGGAGATCGAGACCTTCCTGGCTAACAAGGTGAAACCCCGTCTCTACTAAAAATACAAAAAATTAGCCGGGCGCGGTGGCGGGCGCCTGTAGTCCCAGCTACTCGGGAGGCTGAGGCAGGAGAATGGCGTGAACCCGGGAAGCAGAGCTTGCAGTGAGCCGAGATTGCGCCACTGCAGTCCGCAGTCCGGCCTGGGCGACAGAGCGAGACTCCGTCTCAAAAAAAAAAAAAAAGTTGAACTCAGAAACGGAGAGGAGAATGGTAGTTACCAAGGGCTGAGAGGAGGTGGAAGGTTGGGGAGATATTGGCTAAAAAATACAAAATTTCTGGCTGGTATGGTGGCTCACACCTGTAATCCCAGCAGTTTGGGAGGCCGAGGCGGGGGAATCACCTGAGGTCAGGAGTTCAAGACCAGTCTGACCAACATGGAGAAACCCTGTCTCTACTAAAAATACAAAAATTAGCCGGGCGTGGTGGCCCATGCCTATAATCCCAGCTACTTGGGACGCTGAGGCAGGAGAATCGCTTGAACCCGGGAGGCAGAGGTTGCGGTGAGCCGAGATCACACCATTGCACTCCAGCCTGGGCAACAAGAGAGAAATTCCGTCTCAAAAAAAAGAAAAGAATACAAAATTTCTTTAGCTAGGGAGAATAAGTTTAAGAGAGCTATTGTAGAGACACTGACCTTCAGCGCCTCGGCTCCAGCGCCATGGCGCCCTCCAGGAAGTTCTTCGTTGGGGGGAACTGGAAGATGAACGGGCGAAAGCAGAGTCTGCGGGAGCTCGTCCGCACTCTGAACGCGGCCAAGGTGCCGGCCGACACCGAGGTGGTTTGTACTCCGCCTACTGCCTATATCGACTTCGCCCGGCAGAAGCTAGATCCCAAGATTGCTGTGGCTGCGCAGAACTGCTACAAAGTGACTAATGGGGCTTTTACTGGGGAGATCAGCCCTGGCATGATCAAAGACTGCAGAGCCACGTGGGTGGTCCTGGGGCACTCAGAGAGAAGGCATGTCTTTGGGGAGTCAGATGAGCTGATTGGGCAGAAAGTGGCCCATGCTCTGGCAGAGGGACTCGGAGTAATCGCCTGCACTGGGGAGAAGCTAGATGAAAGGGAAGCTGGCATCACTGAGAAGGTTGTTTTCGAGCAGACAAAGGTCATCGCAGATAACGTGAAGGACTGGAGCAAGGTCGTCCTGGCCTATGAGCCTGTGTGGGCCATTGGTACTGGCAAGACTGCAACACCCCAACAGGACCAGGAAGTACACGACAAGCTCCGAGGATGGCTTAAGTCCAACGTCTCTGATGCGGTGGCTCAGAGCACCCGTATCATTTATGGAGGCTCTGTGACTGGGGCAACCTGCAAGGAGCTGGCCAGCCAGCCTGGCGTGGATGGCTTCCTTGTGGGTGGTGCTTCCCTCAAGCCCGAATTCGTGGACATCATCAATGCCAAACAATGAGCCCCATCCATCTTCCCTACCCTTCCTGCCAAGCCAGGGACTAAGCAGCCCAGAAGCCCAGTAACTGCCCTTCCCCTGCACATGCTTCTGATGGTGTCATCTGCTCCTTCCTGTGGCCTCATCCAAACTGTACCTTCCTTTACTGTTTATATCTTCACCCTGTAATGGTTGGGACCAGGCCAATCCCTTCTCCACTTACTATAATGGTTGGAACTAAATGTCACCAAGGTGGCTTCTCCTTGGCTGAGAGATGGAAGGGGTGGGATTTGCTCCTGGGTTCCCTAGGCCCTAGTGAGGGCAGAAGAGAAACCATCCTCTCCCTTCTTACACTGTGAGGCCAAGATCCCCTCAGAAGGCAGGAGTGCTGCCCTCTCCCATGGTGCCCGTGCCTCTGTGCTGTGTATGTGAACCACCCACGTGAGGGAATAAACCTGGCACTAGGTCTTGTGAAAAAAAAAAAAAAAAAAGAGAGAGCTATTGTACAACATGGTGAAAATAATAACTTTAAAAACAATATATTATATTCTTGAAAGTCACAAAGAAAATAGATTTTAACTGTTCTTATGAAAAAAATGATAAAATGTAAGGTAACGTGTATGTGAATTAGCTGGATTTAACCATTTCACGATGTATACATATTTCAAAACATCATGTTTTATATGATAACTGTATATATATATGTTTTTGTCAATGAAGAAAATAAATTTAAAAGAGGAAAATAACAAAACAAGAAAAAAAGGATATAATCAGACAAAATGTTAAAAGTTTATGTGTTAGAGGTTTACTAGGGCCTTGCAGATAATTGTAAAAAATTGTAGAAACAACATAAACATTCATCATTAGAGATTTGATTAAAAGATAAGCAAATCCATAGAAACAGAAAGCAGAGCATAGATGAGTAGGAGCTGGGGGAAGGGAGAAATGGGAAATGACTGCTAATCAGTGCAGCATTTCTTTTGGGAATGATGAAAATATTTTAAAATTAGATTGTTGTGATAGTTGCACAATATATTAAAACCATTGAGTTGTACAAAATGACAATCAAATTGGGTGTGGAAGAGACAACTTTAAAAGATAGAGGGAGTTGGAAATTTGCTTCTTTAAGAAAAGTAAAACGTAAAATTGTAAAAAGCACATACATGTAGTTTATGCAGGAATGAAAGGTTGTAATTTAACCCAGCAGTCCCCAACCTTTTTGTCATTAGGAGCTGGTTTCATGGAAGACAATTTTTCCATGGATGGGGGCAGGGGATGGGGAGTTTCAGGATGAAACTCTTCCACCTCACATCATCAGGCATTAGATTCTCATAAAAGACATGAAACCTAGATCCCTCACATGCACAGTTTACAATAGTGTTCTCTCTTTTATGAGAATCTAATGCCCAGGCTGATCTGACCACAGTTTCTCAGGCACTCTCACCCAGCGCTCCCTTACTGCTCTGCTACCAGGTTCCTAACAGGCCACAGACTGTATAGTCGGCGGCCCAGCGGAGAGGGGGGTGGGGAGGTGGGGGCTGCTTTAATCAGTACATCCATATACAAATGAAAGTCTTGAATTTATATTAAAAATCTAGGCAAAACATTGTGCATGTATATGTTTTAAGTTAAAATCCCTAATATACTTAAAAGTCTGTTTCTATGATTTCCTGCCTCACCAAACTTTTTCAAGTAACCAACCAAATATTAATAATGAGCACATTAGATAGAAGGCTTCTATGGTATTTCTTCACTCAGTTAAACTAAAATTTAGTTTCTTTTCTTTTTCCGTTACCCAGTGAATGGCAGCTTGTGAAAAAACAAACATGAATAGCTTATAGAGATAATGCCTGTGTATAGTGAGAGTAAAAATTTTAAGTCTGTTAACAAATATGATTTTTGTGAATGAATACCTAACTTTTGAATATCATGTCTATTTAATCGATGTTTAGTATTGTGACAGAGACTGTTTTACTTTTCTCAGAATGAAGGCTAGAAAAGATTTTCCAATTGCCCTGTAACTGGATATGGCCATATGACTAAATTTTGGCCACTGAAATATGAGTAGAAATGGTGCTAAACAACGTTTAGGCTTGTTAAAAAAAAAAAATACAAAAACCAAGAAACACAAAAAAAAAACTACCCTAAAATCCTCCCAGGTAAGATCTTCCATGATACACTCTCCATCCAGCTGACTCAAATGGAAATGACCGTAAGTGGAACCTGAGAGCCAAGGTGAAGGCAGTGGAGCTCTGAAATGGAAGGAGCCTTAGTCACTGTAACATAAGTTGCAAAAGAACCTACCTGACCAGATCACCAGTACTGGAGGATGCCATGCGCAATAAATAAACTTCACTGGCATAAGATATTTCAGAGATGTTGGGGTTTACCTGTAACAGCCACTAGAATTTACCCTAATGAATATCAGTAAAGCAATTTAAGAAAAGGGGAAAAGGAGAGAGAGAGGGACAGAGAGAGAGAGAGAATACGGCTACAGTTGGATGTCTTTTTCTTCTCCCTAGATAACAGGCCCAGCTAATTCCATATACACCAAATGGCTGCGCAGTGCCAAAGAAGGAAGAGGGCAACTCTCTCTCTCTCTCATTTGTTCCCCCAAAATCTTTATGAGCTGTGGTGTAGTCTGTGACCAAAGTTGTGTTGTTACTGGTGGCCCCATCAACCAACCAGTAATAGGATATAAGGCTATTAGAGGCTTGAATTGAATCAGCATGCATTCATTGATTCAACCAATATTTAATGAGTAACTATTACATGTCAAAATTGTAAGTTTCTGAGGCTACAGTATTGTAAAAGTGCTTTTCAAAGTGGAAATACCCAGAATACAAATATTTCATTAGCATTAGTAATGTCAAAATCATTGATCATATTGAGTCTAGAATTCATTAATCTAAATAGCCCACCACACTCTTGGGAGAAAAGATGATTTCTTTGTTTTGTTTAGCTACAGATTGAATTTTGCTTTTCCCCTTCTCATTAGAAATAGTTCTAATTTTTTCTGAAATATGACTGAGACTGTTCCTACTCATAAAATACTCATGATCCTTACTGTATTTCTTGCCCTTGATCAAGGTGGGGTCATGTGGCTAATTCCTGCTAGTGGATAATTAAAGAACGTCTACATCTTTTCTGATCTGAGGCAAATAAGAGTAGAGGTGCCGTCTCTATACACTCTCTTTCTTTCTTCTAGCCAAGAGGCTGGAAGCAGAGGATTCTAAGATTTCCAAGTTGCAAGATGGAAATAGCCTTGTCCCCAAGTCACGGCTTAGATAAGAGTCAGGTAGGATTGCCTCATGACCCACATTGAACTGAGCCATGTGCAAGGAATTGATTCTATTAATCCAAGGAGAATGGACTTTATTTAATGTAGCAGTGTCCTGATAAATACATAAGACTGAGTGATATACCAAGACAAAGGAACAGTAAAAGATGAATAAGATTTATTAAAATACTAGAAAAAATCTATGAAAAAAGTACAATCTCAACCCTACTTGTATACTGCTGAAGAAGCCTTTAATTGAAATTGGCAAGTCAAAGTGCAAACTCCAGACCCTTTAAACACCTCAGGAGCCTGCTCTTCCTTTCCTTATGGCTGATTACAAAATTGCTGCACATGGAAGCTGAAATAGAGGGGTTTAAATTGTCACATGCAAAGGCCTTATTTATTTATGAGGTCTCTGTGGAAGTTTGAAAACTCAGCCCTGAAATAATTGGAAAATTTTTGTGAGTTAATGCGGAATTACTAATGATTTCTTTTTAACACAAGGGAACTGACATAACTGCAAAAGAGAATTAACATACTTTATTAATATTGCTAATATAATGATCATTAAATATTATCAACACACCAGCAGTGATATGTGTAGTGATATGTTACAAAGAGAGCCAATGAGAAAAAATAAAGGCCTTGCTCAATTTCTGATTTAAAAGACTATAGCTATTCCCTAGTGCAGGAATTTTTGTATTATATTTGTAAAAGAAATCTGTTCTTTTCTCCAAGTCTGCTAAAGATGAAGGAAGCCAAGAGAAGGGTACATTGAATGCAAACAGCTACTTTCCTCACCAAGAACATTGAATGCTAGTGGAGAAAATATTGAAAATATGATGCTGCATGTTAATAAAACAAGTTTCTCTGCTTCCCTTTTTTGTAAAACACAGTTTACCTAGAGCAGCATAGGCTTGAAGAGTTTCTTCTGAATACTCTTACTATTTCTTAAAATTTCTCTGTCAATAATCAACAAAGCCTCACTACTTATTCATAAAGAGCCATGTTTTTTTAAATTATATGCATTCTCTAAGAATTATGCTGATATCACTCTATTGATAGCTGCATTTATAAGCCAATTCAAAATCCAAAATATTTGCCTCAGATGTTAACTACAAGGAGTACATATTCATAGAGATATGTTGCTGCGGCATAATTTTCTCTTTCTTATTAATCACCTTTTTGAGCACCTTGTTTGCTAGACTTTAGTTTTATTTCTGTATTTTGTAATCAACAAAATATACTTCCTAAAGAAAATAGCTTGTGCCATTTACTGCATGGCTGAAAGTTCCAGTGCAAGAAAGCACAGCTGGTTGGTTCCTTCAACCAACTCCCACTGTGATATGATAAAATATATCTAAATATGTAATCATAATCTCCAGAGGTAAGCTAGGGCTGGCTTCAGACTTCTAAAAATCTCATCATGGCAACCTAGGAAAGGACTGATTTCAGCTTAGAAATTTGAATACATTTCTTAATAATCACAAGCAGTACTGCTTCAATTGTCCCTAAGACCAAGTTCCTATTACTCTGCACTGATATGCCAAGTGAAAATAAGCTATTGATGTATTCAGAGAAACAAGAAATCCACAGTTGTATCCTTAAATATTAATTCACCTTAGAAATGTTGATACAGTATACTTAGACAACAAAATATATACCACTGAGGTTTGCATCATATGGTGTAAACAGCATCATATTGGACAATAATTTAAAATCGCAGAATTATAAATATTTAGATCTAGAAAATATCTTTCAAACCACCATAATTCAATGGCTTTATTTTCAGAGGAAGAAACAGAGCTCAGGAGAATCAAGTGACTTATTTAAGATTGATCACACAGCTAGTTCAAGACAGAGTTGGGACTAAAAACTCAGGTTTTTTGACTAGTCAGACATTTCTATTGTACATACAGTGCACAAGGTTGACCAGATGAGTCATGAGTGAACAGATGCCAGTACACTACCCAAATGAACCATGAGGACACCTGTAGCCACAGCTATTTGCATTGATTTGCTCCGGGTATTTGGAGACGAACTTGAAAATGCACGACTTTGTCAAAACTGGCTGACTTATATTCAAAATGATGAATGTTTATCAAGACTTTACTATGTAAAGTGACAGAATCGGGGAATTTAGGCACTTTATATCTTAGTATCCAATAAAACCCTTTGGGATATTCCCATGGGAGCTACACCATGTCCTCGGCATATTTTAGTTTGCATATATTCTTCTGTACTATCAGCTGATAGGACTAAAAACAAAAGGAGCATTTCAATTTTTGACAGGGGAGATGGAGGAGATGGCAAAGGGATCACAGGCAAAGAGACCAGATCTCTTCATCGGCACCTAAACCGAATGACCTGTCCTTTTACGTTTTTTCCTCCTTTCTTTCCCCTTTTCCTTTCCCCCACCTTCCTCCCTCCTTTCTTCCTGCAAGGCTTGTCAGAAATAGATAGAGGTCTAGGGTATTTCAAAAAGAGACAGAGGTCTGGGATATTTCCTTTTTTAAATTTTTTTTCCTTTTTTCTTGAGGCTTCAGGTATATGAAAATAAAAAGATGACAAATCAGGATACATATATTAAATGTTTTCGTTTAACAAACCGACAATTTTAATACACACACAAAGCAATATAATTGTACTATTCATAAGATAATTATGATTTTTAAAAGAATTATTTCACTGCACAATAGACACCATGATGAAACAGTGCATACATTTGAAAGTGTAGAATGGATGCCTTCTTTCTAACCTGCATTTCTAACCTCTTTCTAAACTGTCTGTGTAATTGGATGGGAGAAGCCAGAAGTTTAAATTTGACTACTTCTGTGCACATGCTGACCAAGTACCTTTCTCTCCCTTGCTTCTGTCTTTGCCTTTCTTCTATTGCCAAACCCCAGGGATGGCAGAATGTAGGAGTCTCTGGAAGCACAAAATCAGGACCACCCTCAGGCCCTCTATTTAGGTTTCAGTGTCAGCGTAGGGCTGGACAGGATAGGGGACATTAGTTGGTCAACTGCAAACTAAAGAGGAGGGTTTGCTCAAGGAAGCATGAACAACTGTTTCAAGGGAACAAAATCTAAGAGCAAACTAGGTCAAAAAGTAGAAGAGGTCCACAATACTTTGTTTTCAAGGCCACACCCAAAGTTCAAGACAAAGCTTGAATGAAGGGTCAAGGAGTGTGAGTAGCAGGAAGGCAGGTCAGATGAGACACCAGGGGCACTGTGAAAACTCCACAAAGGGCCTGGCCTTTCCACCCATTGTTACTGGCCCCTGTATTAGGCCATTCTTACATTGCTGTAAAGAAATACCTGAGACTAGGTAATTTATAAAGAAAAGAGGTTTAACTAGCTCATGGTTCTGCAGGCTGTACAGGAAGCATGGCACTGGGCATCTACTTGACTTCTGATGAGGCCTCAGGAAACTTACAAACATGGCAGAAGGCAAAAGGGCAGCTGGCACATCACATGGCAAAAGCAAGAGAGTTGGGAGGAGGTGCCACACACTTTTAAACGACCAGATTTCACGGCGATTCACTATCGTGAAGACAGCTCTAAGCCATGAGGAATCTACCCTGGTGACCCAAACACTTCCTACCAGTCCCCACCTTCAGCATTGGAAATTACAAATAAAGGTGAGATTTCTGTGGGGACAGATATCCAAACTATATCAGCCCCACTGGAATAAGGAGTTCTCATTACTTCCTATCGTCCTGAACTTGGATAGAGAAAAGGTTGGTTCAGGGGGAAGGCCAGAGTTGGTAGGAAAAAAATGGACAAAATTATTATCTAATTTTTCATCTCTTCTCTCCCTCAAGACTAATAATAACATTCATTACTCAGGATCTGATCACATAAAATCCTCTCTCTTTGGCCACTCACTGGACATTTGTTCTCCATTGTTCCCTCTTCCAGAATAAAATGGGAAGAAAGAGGGTGAAATCTGAACCAGGTAGAAACTGACTTGTTAGGAAGGCTAGGAAACTATTAGCTATGATCATTTTTTTTAATTATGTGAATTCAATTTCACCACTATAATTGACCTCATTAATTCAAGTGTTTGAGAACCAACAGTTGCATACATTTTTCTGGACAAAGAACTACAGAAGTTGATACTGGCCTCTTCTTACATAAGCCTCAGTCTTGGACTGCAAACTTCCTACTAGGTTTCTAGCCCTGAAATTTCATGCAAACCCAGTATGTATGTGCATTGTTTCTCATTTTTTTCTAGGATGAATGTCTGCAGATTACACTACATCCGTAGAACAGGTTTGTGACCCTAAAACTATAAAAAACATCTTGCTTTATTGCCTCATATATACTCTCTGCCCTAAACAACTTCCTTCCAGGTAAAAAAAAAGATAATTTATTTTGCTTTTCACACATGTGTCATACATGAAAATGGTCCTAGACCAGACAGAAAGTACCATTAAAAATAGTGCCAGGCCAGGCATGGTGGCTCACACCTGTAATCCCAGCACTCTGGGAGGCCAAGGTAGGTGGATCAAGAGGTCAGGAGTTCAAGACCAGCCTGGCCAAGATGGTGAAACCCCATCTCTACTAAAAATACAAAAAATTAGCCAGGCGTGGTGGCAGGTGCCTGTAATCCCAGCTACTCAGGAGGCTGAGGCAGAGAATTGCTTGAACCAGGAGGTGGAGGTTGCAGTGAGTCCAGGTTGCGCCACTGCACTCCAGCCTGGGTGACAGAGCAAGACTCCGTCTCCAAAAAAAAAAAAAAAAAAAAAAGGTGCCATCCCACATAAGCTTGATATCCAGTGGGTACTGAGAACAGCTAGCTTAAAGCTCTGGGCAGGTGAGTGGATTGCTGCAAAATGCAGGCAGGACCGGGTAGGGCATCTTTACCCATCTTACCAGGCTTTTCCAGGCAAGCTGAGGTTCAAGTCCTGGTTACCATGCTTTTTAATCATGTCTTCTAACATTGTAGGACAGTGATAGAAAAAGGGATCTGAGCTTGAGTTTCAGGTAGACTTTTCCCACAGAGAAGGAGGTACATAATTATTCTCTTTATCATAAACACTGAGTCTTCTTTGGTGAAAGACTCAAAATGGAGGAATTTCTCCCTCTATTGTGGATGGCTTGAATATGGTCCTGCCAGGGGCAGAGGAATTGACCAGAGGACTTCTCCAAAGATCTCTGAATTTCCAGTGTTCCATGTAGTTTAGAGTTCTATTTTATATTCCTCCAACCTACCTTAAAAATGGCCAGAAATGACACCTTGTTGCAAGAATGCATCTTCCCCTCCAAAACCAATCTCCAGGCAGGTGCCAAGACCTTGAGGAGCTAAGCCGTCTCTCCATTCTGTCAAATCCACTTAGGTGGGACACTTTTTCTTACACTTCAACTGCTCTCCGGTGCCTGACCCTTTGTCTAGATTATTGTTTTCATCCAGTGTGGTGTTTGGCCGACTCCCAGGGTTCTGATAACTACATTTGAAAGGATATATCTGAAAATGGAGAGGGCCATACAAATTGTACTTAGAAGTGTATACATTTGAAAATTTAATGGGACATATCCATCACTCCCAGACACCAAAATGATGGTTTTATAGATCACGTAATTGTTCTGAACACCATTTCTTGAGAACCTTCATCTTTGAACCGTAGCTATTTCATTTATCGCAGCTATTTGGATCATTTAAAATTTAGCCCACTTTTCTCCAGGTGATTTATTTAGTGTTTATAAGTCCATCTTGACATCTTCTTTTATTTCTTCCACCAAAAAAAATCTTATCCTTATGGTCTTAGTGGAGGCATCATTTACATCTAGAGAAGCATATCTGAAAATATATTACCTTTAAATAGTAGGATTCATCATATCTGAGTTCATATGTCTGATAGCCAAAAAGCACCATTTCATTTCAGAAGAAAAATTGCTTCTGTCAGTGTAAACAGAATGCATTACCCCTTTTTAATAACCATTCTTAAGTATGCTGCTGTATTACTTTTTCACAGCTGTATTCCAATAAGCTGTAGAGTAATTGCCAGTTCTCCTATCTAATAGGTTCATTATTCTTTTGCCATAATTGCAGCCATTAAATGTTCAATTGTTAAATTTCCACTCCTACGTTTACTTAGCGTTACATTTTATAATGGGGCATGTCATTACAGCACCCCAGTGGCCATGGCTGTTCTTCAAAGTATTTCTAAAAGTCAGTGAGATCCCTGTGAAATTTGTCATTTTTTATTTGTTCAAATATCCACCTGTCCTCCCCAAAGTCCCTTCTTCCCATTTTTAGACTTTCTAGAAGTAGGCTCTTAGAAATTGTTAACTTTTACTAGAAGTTTAAGAACCTGACCTAGACTGGGAGACATAAAGCTGAGCCCTCAATGTCTCTGAGCAGTGCTTTTCTCAGTTTAATGTCATGATTCATATATAATAAGGTGATAGAGTGAAGATTTTACTAAGGAAATTAACACTTAAGACTTAATGGTTTTTTCAAGAGCTCTGATTTGTCTTTTATCTGTTAAATTTGTGGGGTTTTTTCCTCAAATGAAAGATCCATCGGTCAGGGGTTATGGAATCACTAACCCCTGGTCTGCGATGCTTATGATAATAAGGTGAATGCCTTACTTTTATTGCTTGACATTTCTGGATATGCCACTTCCTCTGGTCTGGGCTCACCTATTCTGTCTGATGGAGTGGATTGAGTTATGTTGGCAGGATATATTAATAAAGATGAATAGGAAAATAAGAGATTTTAACTCACTCACTGTACATAGTTGAGTATCTCCTGATTCGCTTGAGTTATTTTTTGTCTATTCGCTTGCTTTGGGGTTTCAGTATAAAGCTAGAAGTTCTTTTTTAAGACACCTAGTATTTTTAAGTACTCAAATATTAGCCAAAAGCTTTGATTTGGGTCATATTTCATTTTAAATAGTTTTCTAATAATCTATTCATCAGTTAATCATCACTTTCAAGGTTATTTTACTTCACTTCCATTCATTGCATTAACTTTTATTTCCTTCTGAAGCTGAAAATAATTTTTATAGTCAATGAGTTAGTATTATAATTTTGTCCAACTCATTTCAGCTCTATTTGGGAATCTGTTTCAGTTCTTTCTGGAATATTCTATACTTTAGAGTAGTTTTTTTTTTTGTAAGCACAGTAGAACCTTTTTATTTAATAACATGGTTCATGGTATCAGATGTGGCATAGATCAACTTGTATGCCTTATACTATAACCATTAGACACAGAGCCACTTCCCCTGTTCATTTTCCCTGATGTTGGTAACAATAATAGTTAACATTTGTTGAGTGTTTACTGTCATCCTGTCTCTGTACCATATGATTATATGTATTTTCTCATTTTATCCCTATGAGGTAGGTACATTTATTATTCCCACTTTATGGATGAGGAAACTGAGACTCACAGAGGTTAAGTAACTTGTACAAAGTCATAGCTAATAACTGTTGAGTCCAGAGCCCACACTCTTAACTTCTATTTGACACTGTTATAAAGGGGGTGCTTCTATAAACAGTGAAAGAAGCTAAAATATTTATAAGGCAGCAAATATTAAATAACCAAAGAATTCTGCCACTTGCCTGGGCAGACAGAGGGAAAAACAACTTGCCAAAGTTCACAGGGAAAAACGGACACCCAGCACAGAATTCTTCCACTGTCATTAGCCCTTCACAATATTAGCCTGTCCACAAAACAGACCAAAGGAAATCACTATAAAATTGACTTCAGACTTGTTTACAGTTTATTAGTCCCAGTAACTTTCCTATAAAGAAAAGACTTGACTTTAAAATATTTAATATGTATATTTTAAATATTTATACACACACACACACACACACACACACACACACACACACACACGTCATCCCAAAAACTCCATCAAAGTTTCCCATCCCCTAAATTCTACCATCCCTAAAACTATCAAAGTGTCAGAGTATTTCTGTCTTTCACATTTTGGCAAAATAAATTTTGTGTTAAGACCTTAGATATAATTTCATTGCTGATAATGAAAACTGAATGACACTTCTTTTTCTCTTCCTTGGCTATATTGGCTTTGCAACATTACTAAGAGTGAATATTTGTTGTCACTAAAGCAGTCAGCTGTGTCACTTGGGAAAGGAAGATATATGGAATAGGATAGTGTTATTTTGACAATTACTTTGTTTCAAAGCAATGCAGTAAGTGTATCTTGTTTTGCTCCTTTACTTACAAGACAATGGCCAACATGGAAAAAGAAAGAGCACAGCATAGTTAGGGTCGATAAGAAAGCCATATTGTGTGATAAACTAAAAGAGGCACATTACCTGATGAAGTCAAAGGAATCACCCAGGGAGACTGTGACTACAATGGCTGCAGAAATAACTGGAGAGAGAATGAAAAGACAAGCATCCACCTGTCTGAAAACAGATTTCCTACCTGTCCAATTAGGCAGGTGGTCTTTTGGTGGTGACATATTTTAGAAAATGGTCAGTGACCACAAAGAAAAGTAGTAAAAGATTTGTCAATCAAAAAGTGATTATCGTTAGAGTTTATTTAGTGCAAGGTAAAATTAGCTAATCAAGTCTTGGAAATTTTCTGAAAGAATTGAATATAAAGTAGTTCAAGAGAAGGGAATCTTTTCTGGTCAAATTATCTTTAGATTTGAGGCATCAGAGATAACCAACACAACTGAAGAAAATATATACAAGATCCATTGTTCTAATGTACTTAGTACATTCAAAAGCTTTTATTAGACCTTTAAGAGTTAGCTCTAATAACAAGTATTGTGATAATTTGTTTAAACTACTATTCTAAACTGCAGGGTGTGGACAAAATACTTATTTCAGATACATATCTATGAAGATTGCAAGTGGTAAAACAGAAAAAGAAATGGGATGTTGATTTTCCCCTATTCTATGGAAACATTGAATGACTTCAACCCTCATGTATCCTTGTTTCCTAAAAAAAAATAAATACACACATATTAAATACAGATGACTCAAAAAGGTTTAGAAAAGTCTAAACTGAATCTTTCTATTAGGTGGAAAATTTAAATGGATATGATTCCATTCTCCAAGTCCAATTCTGGAGAGATCCAATGCCATAAGAATTATGGTCCCCAGATGTGACAAAAGCAAAGTGAGAAACCCCTAGAAAGACAAAGATAGGTGGTTCCCAGTGTGTGTGTTGGAGTGAGATGGAAGTGCTTTTTCACCCAGGGTGAAAGAGGAGCCAGGAGGTGAGACAAAGTTTTCTCGTAATGCGCTTAACTTCACCTTATGTTGCCCCAAGTAAGGGAAAAAATCAGCAGCTCCAACCCAACAAACTGGATGTTCTGTCTATTGCTGGTAAAGAAATGCTATCTTTTTCTATATTGATCCTGTATCCTGCAAACTTGCTGGACTGCTATATATTTAAGCAGCTCCACTGTGTACCTTTTAATACATTTTAACATCTCTGAAATTAAAATGAATCTTCTAATCTAATTTATAATCATTATTTTCTAGGTAGAAATCATCAGTGCTAGTACATGAGTGAACTTGGTCATAGCTATCATTTCAAATGAATGGTGAATATAGTTAGTACTACATGTGCTCAGTGTAACTGTCAATTAAACTGTCTTTACAATAATTACAATATTATTAAGTTTTGGAAAGAAAAGTTATTTAGTACACCAAAAGGCACAGAAACAGAGTAACAAAGCATAAATTAGATACTAACAGAGTAAATATTAATTACGGAAGGAATAATCAAAAAACATTATTTCCTTACAAAATAATAACTAAATGCTATACAGAAAGAAAGGAAAATGTCCACAAGTAGATGAAAGCTGTGTGGTATGTTATTACTGCAATGAGTGGAAAATAATTACCCATCATATGTCAAGTAATAAAACCAAGGGCTGGGGAACTTCCCTGATCACTGCAAAGACTGGAGAAAATGACAAATCTCTCTGTAAAGTGAAAGACACTAATTCACATAGTGGGCAGGACTATTGTCAAGGCAGTTTCAGAATTTAATTGACATCGCTTTTTTTCTTTCTTAGTGGTAGAAAATAACGATGAGTCATAACAACTGATAAAAATTATAGACTCAATGAAAATCTGTGAATTCTAGTTATGTTCATTACCACAGTTGAAAATGACAGCTGTGCTTCTTTATAATACTTTTATTTTTTTTTCCTGCCTTATTATGCTCTCTGGGATCTCCAACAAATACTAAAAGGAGAGAAAATAGAAGCCTGTTCCCTTTTGCTAATTTTAAAAGCAGAGCTTTTAATATTTCACTTTAAACAGGAGGTTCAGTTTTTTAAAAATTGTTGTAAATACCTTTAGGGGTTAAGAGACCTCCCTGGTTTGCTCAGAGTAATATCATAAAGGATGTTAAACTTTGTCAAATAATTTTAATGCATCTGTGGATATAATTATGTGAGTTTTTTTCCTTCTATCTATTGATGTGAAACTTTACATTAATTTTTATAATGTTAAATCAATCTTCAATTGTTCAGTTAAACCCAAAGTGACCATGATGCATTTTCCTTATATTTTGCTGCATTCATTTTGTTACTATTTTGTTTAGAGTTTTTGCATCTATTTTTATAAATATCCTGTCATTTTCTTTTCTTGATTAATTCTCTTCAATTCTTAGTATCAAAAGTAAACTAGTCTCATAAGGTAAATTTGAGAGCAGTCATTTTCTTCATATACCTTGAATATTTTGTGATTGAAAGTACTATTTCCTTGAATACTGGATGAGACTTGCCTAAAATCATCTGTTGTTGAATTTGCGTTGTGGGAATAATTTTGGCTGCTAATATAACTTTTTAAATGTGTTTATAGTTCAGGTTTCCTATTTATTCCTGAGTCATATTTGGTGAGTTATATTTTTCTAGAACATTACTTATTATATTTTTATTATACTGTAACTTGTACTTTTAATAGAACATAACTTATCTCATCTATATTTTGTAATTTATTTTAATGAAACTACCACTAAATTAATAATTTTTATTATTTATTTCATGTCTGCAGCTTCTATATTTATGTCCCTTTTTTCCATTCTTAATACAGTTTGTGTCTCTTTTTTTTTTTTTTGCTTTTTCACTCTCACTCACAGGTTTGTCAATATACTAGACTTTTCAAAGAACTTTTTGTGTTTTGTTATGCTGTATATTATAAATTTTAATTGTATTCATTACTTTCCACTCTTGTATTTATTTTTTTTTGTTCTTCGACTTTATTTTGCAATTATTTTCTAATTCTAATTTAGATGACTAGCTAATTAGCATTTTTAGTTTTCCTACTTCTTAAATGTCAGCATTTTAACTTTAACGCAATGTATTTCACTCAAAATTATTTTTGTTGAATGTTATAATATTTGACATGTAGCATTTTCATAATTGTCAATTCAAAATTTTTTCTAATTTCCAATGCGATTTATTTTTTGATCCATGGGTTTACTTTAGAAGTGAATTTTTTTTAATTTCCAAATATATAATCTGTTTTGGCTATTAACATTTCTTATTAAAGTATAATTGACAAATAAAAAAGTCTATATTTACATGTACAATATGATGTTTTGATATACGTATACATTGTGAGATAGTTAATCAAGCTAATTAACATACCATCACCTCACCAAATATAAAATTTTAAATTTATTGAGCCCTGGGTTTACTTTATTGTGGTCAGAGGATGTCTCTGATTCCAATCTGTAAATATTTGTAGAGATTTGTTTTATGAACCAGAAAATATTCAAATTTTGCTTTGTGCTTGAGAAAATGTATTCTCTGTAGTTGTTGGATGCAGTGTTCTATACATGTCCATTGGATGAATTTTGTTAATCATATTGCTTAACTCCAGGAAAAACATCAGTGAATGTGAGTGTGATGCAATTGTCATTAATGATGAAACCATATGGCAAGGACTAAGTGGTTTAGAAATTACACATGTGTGACATTTTGTTCACACCTCCATTGGTGTGTCCAGTTTTCATCAGCAATGTTACAGAATTACTGATCATAAACGGAATGATATTAAACTACTTCTATCATTTTCTCACCAAAGTCATTCTCCATAACACACAAGAGGTTTTGGAACAGCCTTATATTGTACTAACACAAGATGTGTTTTTAAATATCAGAAAAGCAGCTAATACATGGTAATGGAAGAAATAACAACAGAAACTTTAATACCATACAATGCGGTAAACAATATCAATAAAGCAGGATGTGCCAGCACACAATGAAATAATGTATTTGTTGGAAACTGCTGCGGAAGCACCCAAACTTGTACGCCTTCAGAAAGCAAGTATTTCTTACCTGACACCTGCTGAAAAATTTTTCTCATTATTCTCTTCTAATAAAGAATCTGAAATTACTGGATATGCAGTGAACGCTGAGATGAAGGTAAAAATTTCCGTATAACTTCTTTTCTTTTGTAAATCTTGAAAGCCAATCATATTGTTGCAGTCTCGTTTCTAAATCCAAAGCTTAAGGAAAATTTTTATCAACTTGAAGGCATAGGAAAAATTAAAACCAAAAAATTAAAAATTTAAAAATATAAGTGAGTACATTAGCCTTCAGTTTACTTTTGAAAACAGTGAGACATTATCTTCAAGCAATATCCAAATCTTCCATTTCTTTCAATGGAATTACATCATCACCATAAACCAAATTTTCAAGTCCATGAATTGAAGTAAAGTTATATCTTTATAATAGCCCACTACTGCTAAAAAGAAGAAAAACACACCCATAATTTGTGCCAACATTCTTATCAGAGAATTCCATACTGATAGAGTGATACTTTACTTCTCCTCTGACCCTGATTCAAGGTGTCTATTGCAAAATTGCAATATGGTACTCATAGCATCACTGACAGAACTGAGAGTAGTCAACAGCACTGGGAAATTAGTATACCATTTCAGATATTTAACATTTAATCACCACACATTTTAATCATTAAATTGTGATTTACAAAAGTTCAGATGTTATTCTTGTATAACAGAATTGATTCTATTATGACAGCATTTATGTTTGGTCTCAATTTGACTGAAATTTGATTTCAAAACCCCGTCAAAGTGTACATTTGGTGTACCTTCAGAATATAACCTAGAAAAACTCCTGGACAGTGTACATCTAGAGACATGTTTCAAATTGCTCATAACAGCATTGTTCATAATTCTAAAAACCGTTAACACAAAGGCCAATCAACATGAAATAAAATAAATACATTATTGCATATTTCATATAAAATCATATACTACTTACAGGTGAAAATAAACTGTAGATATACCCATCAACAAGGATACATCTTATAAACATATTTAATAATTTTAGGGAATTTAAGGAATCATAGTGCCAAGGAATATATGTGGTATAATTTTATCCATGTAAATTCAAAACCAGACCAAATTAAACAAATATTGTCTGAAGATATATATGTAGTTGGTAACTATTTCCAAAAAGAGGAAGGAAAGAATAATATACAATCAGGATCCTGGATACCTCGGCAGGGGAGGCAGTGGAATGGTATAGTTGAGGAGCAGATAAGAAGTTGCAATTTATTGGTAATGACCTAGTTCTTTGGTTGGGTGATAAATTCATTAGTTCATCATGTTATTATGAAATGAAATGAAATGAAATGAAAATAAAGGGCTATGCATAAGCCAATTATGGTTGAGTGCCATGAACCAGGAATTATGATTAATATAATTCTGTACATGTAAAACCAATGAGGAAAAAGCAAACAAAACAAGGGAATTATTATCCCCCAAAAAATCAGGGTAGTGCTTCCTGATCATGGCTACCACTAACAGGTGAGAGAAGGGGTGGTGATTGAAAGCTTCTAAGGTACTGGCAATACTCCAGCTTCCAGTCTAGGTGGCCTTTATACAAGGGTGCATGTTGTAATTATTGGTTAAACTGTGCTTATATATTTCAGATATTTTTCTGTATGTATAAGGGTCCATACTTTTTGAATGGTAAAACATACACACACAAACATGCATACAGACACAAGGATACATATTCAGTTGTATAAATTAAACACGTGGTAGTAAGTTTTGGTGGCAGTGGACGTGGTGGTAGTCAATGGGATGGGGGTCAGGAATCAGCGAATCTGTTCTATTCAATAAGCTTGTCATGTTGTCAGTTCTGCTTCCACTCCATCTCTATAACTGATGGTGACATGAAGAAAACACGACACTTGATGCTAAGGCTTAGAACATCTCCACTGGACTCACATAACCCAGGTAACCATTTTTATTATAAAACATAGTTGATATTACACATACTTGCAGTGATTTGCCTTCACTAAACTAAAACAACAAAATCTCCACAGGCATCAGATAGATTTCCACATAACCCCTTTACCCTATTATTTACCATTGTTATTAGGTTTGTGCAAAAGTAATTGCGGCTTTTGCCATTTTAATGGCAAAAAATCTAACCTAATATTTTCCTTAACCAGTTCTGTTTCCATTGAATTTCATAAAAATATATTTATAATTTATTAGCCACAATTTTGAAAAGGAAAAGAAGACCACTCACAAGTCCTCCAAATTAACGTAGCTATATTCATCTCTGCAAATTTTCTTCCCACATAGGTTATTTTCAACAGATGCAGTCATAAGGTCATAGCATTTTAATTCCACTGCTTTCTTTTGACATCATAGTGTAAATGTTTTTTCTTATTTTTTATGGTCTTCATAATTATAATGTTAGTGGCTGAAAAATATTTCATAGACTTAATTTCTGTAATTTACTAAACAATTTCACAACTGTTTCCTGCATGTGTTGTTTCTCAGAGAACTTTTTGCAGTTGTTATGAAAAGCTGTGACAATGAATATTGTCTTGCATATAGATTTTTTGCTATTGGGGAATTATTTGCTTAGGATATATTCTCAGGGTGAGATTCCCGGGTGAAGGACTTCACCCACCCTCCAGTTCTTGCTTTGTGTTGCCATAATGCTTTTGAGAAGATCATACTAGTTCACTGTTGTCACCGGCAATGTACATCATGTTTCAATAGAACCAGCTGGCATTTGTAAGATTAATCATTTCTGCTGACCTAAATTATTTTTCCCAAGATAGAAATTCTTGACTCTGTTTTTCTCTCTTTTTGAAAAGTTAAAAACATCTTGAATCTGGCTTGTCCGAAGTTCCCAAGTTTCTTGAGCAATTAGATTGATTGACAGCACAACAGTTTGGATTTGGCACAACTGAGACCCTGCAGGCCTCCATCTCCACCAGGCACTGGTTCTTCTGTGGCAGGAGCTCATACTGGCTGTAGAGAGGCATTTGCTATGAGGAATCCATGTTGCGCGGGATTCCTACCTTGCCTAAGTGCATCTCAATCATTTCTTAAAAATATTTTTTAAGATCTTCATTCCCAAGTGGGCTTTCTTCAGCAGATAGCATGCTGATTTTTTCTATCAAAATCTTGGACCTTTGCCTTCTCTCTACACCACGTTTAGCACGTACTGTTGAAAAACATTTCTTTTCAAAGGAATCCTACTTGCCTACCAGTCTTTCAACATGGGCAGGGCTGTTTGAAGTTAGCACCCTAGCAATCATTGTTTCCTGCCCTTCTCATTTTGAAGCAAAAGAGCTCTGGAGATCAGGGTAATGGTGCATTGATTAAGCCTAGGCTTTGGCTTCATTCCATAGGCAGCCTTCTGCACCAGTATTCCGGTGGCATTGCCCGTGGCTCCCTGTGTCTCCTCAGAACACCCCAACACACACATGCTAGTGAAAGCTCAGAGAAGGCCACAAAACTGATACCAGAAATTTGGAGGCAATTTTACCCTGTTTTCTAAGGTTAATTCCTAAATATGTATCT
The DNA here is from genome assembly GCF_000001405.40 of Homo sapiens. Taxonomy (NCBI): domain Eukaryota; kingdom Metazoa; phylum Chordata; class Mammalia; order Primates; family Hominidae; genus Homo; species Homo sapiens. The sequence continues at coordinate 76,719,602 of NC_000001.11, forward strand.
TCTTATATTTTCTATTTTATTCTTCCAATTACCTTTTGCATTTTCTCCCCTTCTAGGGTGTACAGTTAAACTCTGCAACTTGCTCAGAGCCCCTAAAGAAACAGAACCCTTAATAGACTCTTTCTAGTGCTCAAGACACATGGCATTGAAAATACTTTGTGCTGCAGCCATAGAAAGGAACACCAACAAATATTGCTGTTTAACATTTTTAAATGAATGCTTCATTTTAAACAATATTAAAATCTCAAGAGAAGATGGCTTATTTCTTCTCACCTCATATGTTGGATCAAACATTTGTGAGAATGTGCTGCAATAGAATGATGTTGACACTTACAATTCAGGAAACCACATTCTTACAAAAATCATCTGCCCTGAATTATTTTCTATCTTTTTTTGCTTTTCTGCTAAATATTTGGGAAAGGAATAGTCATTCCTTATGCTATATAACAGAAGACATACTAGGTTAAAAAATGTACACACAAAGGCATTGCTGTTTTAACTGTTTTTAATCAACAGCTGTGGCCTTCCATAGAATGGTTTCAGTTTTGATGGCATTACATAATTTGAGAACATTCACAAAATGAAAATGGGCATTGTAATGTTCCCTTTGATACACCATGACCCTCTAATATGCTTTTGTGTCTATTTAAAGCTCAAATTAATTTTTATAGGCCATAGCATTTACCAGTTAGTATATGTCATCACCATATTGGAGACTGGGTTTCCAGCCAATAGATTTTTCTTTTAGACCTAGCTGTAAAGTTGGTATCCAATTTTAGAACATTAGTATACCTAATTGTGAAACCCTATAAGTGATAATGGATAACTCTCTGACAACTCTTTAATTCTCTATTAAGGAAAATAAAACTTTCAGCTTATGTTTCTATGCAGAACAGAAATGACTGCTAACTAAACAAGGAATATAGACCTAGTTCACAGGGCTCAATAGCCTACAAAAGTAGGGAAAAATCATTGTCAGACTGGATGAGGAAGTTCAAAGTAATGAGGAGGACATGAGCAGGAATACTCGGGACAAAAGCAGGCCTGAGGCATCAGAGGGAGCCTGTGTGTGACAAGGAGTTCATAAATATCTGTGGGGGTAAAACTGTTTTTCACAGTTTTTTTCCATAATGCTTGATTTTAAAAATATCTTCCTGCATCCTCTTCCCATCAAAGCAAATGAGTTCTGGTTCATGGAACATATGCATTTCTGAATTCCAAGAAAAACAAAAAATTCTAAATGCTTCTAAAGAGGTAAAAACCGACTCTCAACAAATTGCTATTAGAAATATTATATGAAACATTAAATTCTGGAAAACAATAGAGCAATGTCTTTAAAGTATATTTATTTTAAACATAGACGTGTTTGCCAAGCCAGCAAAAGAAGGAAAGATGGGATAGTTTTAGACACGCAAAGATTTTTAAAGTGTATCACTGAAGAACTACTTCTGCCAGAATACACTTCCACCAAATAAAAATAAATCCAAGCAGAAGGAACGCATGGGACAACAGAAAAAATGTTGACCAAAGGACCAATAAAGCTAAAAGCTGTCTATATCTATGTCACCTAAAGTGCAAAGGCTTCTGTTTCTGGCCATGACAGAGTATCAGGGACTGGAATAACAACTGGAAAAACATGCAAAATAGATGAAACATTAGTTTTCAGCCATGGAAAACTGACAGTACAGGATAGTGCTGCCTGAAAGTTCAAAAAAAGAAAAGAAAAAGATGGGTTCTATAATTTTCCCAGTTTACTTCTTGGGGTGACTTTCCAGGCCTCAGTGCAGGGACACAGAAGCCAAATATCTCAGCAGTTTTGCTAAGTTCAGGAGATATATTTCATAATATAGCGATGTTAAATGGCAAGAATTTGTGGGGCAAAATACTAGAGATGAGAGAGTTGCACAAAAACACAGCTGTAGAGATCTGCAGAGAGGTTCCTCAAATCTCATTCTGAGTGCTAATGTGCACATGCATGATAAGAAATTTTTCAAATCTGGAGAAGAAGCACTGGAAAGGAATAGATGGAATAATCGCAAGAGATCACATAGGATCGGGAATGTTCCAGCCAGCCAAAGTGGAAAAACCTCTAATCCATAGGGCAGTGGCTGGAGTCCTCAGAAGGGTGTTACATTCCTAGTGGAGCCATATCGGTGCCTTTTAAAGACTGCTCTAGAGCCCCCTTCACAAAGCATAAAAGTAAGCCTTGAAAGAATCAGACTTATTCCAAGTAATTTAACTACATCCCAAAACAAAACCCCACAATATTTAAAGAAATACAGCAAAATCCAGCACCTTTTACAAATTTCAAAATGGCTAGCTCTATTAAAAAATTAGGGGTCACACAAAGAATCCAGGAAATATAATCCTTGAGCAAGAGAAACACCAGTTAGAGAAATGACATCACTAAAAGTAATAAAGTAAGAAAATCCAAATTCTACCCCTCCATCAAAACAAAAACAAAAAAATTGTAAAAACTTTTTGAATCAACTTCTGGAAATTAACCAAAGGCTTGCAGCAATCTGGTGCTGAGGTCAAGACTTCTCCTCCGGACTCCACTTCTGGGCAATCCTGAAACTGGCTGAGTTAGCCACAGCTTTCTGCTTCCCTGATGATTCAGTGCTTAGTTGTAATTAAAAGTGCACCTACCTTCTCTTAGCACCATCAGGAAGAGGGGTGAGATTTTTAAACACCTCTGTTCTTTAGCAAGACATCTCAGCATAGTACTAGGTGCTAACGTAGCTCTTGGTGTGTAATTACCTGTCACCTGGAGGAGCTATTAGTTTCCTTCTCCTTCCTCAAAGGACAAATGTGAAACACAAAAGCATCCATCAAGATGAAGGATTAAAAATATTTTAAGTGGTGTCATTATTTACATAATACATGGCCCTTAACCAGATTGACAGATCAAAAGTGGGGCCCAATGAGTTGACAGCTTGAAATCTCAAAGCTTTATCCACCAAAGAGTGGCAGCAGGATTTAGTGGACAGTAGGACAAGCAATAACTGAGAGTAACTCTTCAAAGTGTTTTAGTCTGTACATAATGTAAATGTGTCCACACAGAAATAGCCTTCAGGAAAGGAGTGTTATACTGGTTGTATAGACCAATGAATACAAAGCAATGAAGGGAAGGAAAAAGAATGTTGGGTGTGAGGTGCTTTTTGCAATGACCATGTCTATCTTTCACAACACCCTGCAAGATAGGTAACCCGACTTCCATTTTGCATATGACAAAACTGAGGCCCTGAGAAAGAGTGCAGACATTCACAAGGACACACAGCAGATGTCAGACCCGAGATTCAAACCATGTTTCTCTTTCCACAACTTCTGCTCTCTCTTATATCAAGGAATTATTCCATGAATATAAGACTTTCCCCACTACTGTCCAAATATTTCAGCAAAACAAGATTTCCACACACGCCCCACTTAGAAGACATTTGTCTCAGTAAAAAGGCAGTCACTTAGATTCTAAATCTCTCTCTCTCTCTCTCGTGCCTCACTGTAGAGAGGAATACTAGCCAACAACATATGAGGACAGATAAAGAGAGTGATTAGAAGAAAGGGTGTGAAAATAAGCTGTACGAAGGCATGAAAGTCAGGTTCTCTACTTATAATTGGCTTCAATTGAGAGTTAACTGCATGAAAGAGAGTCTAGACCAACCCTTTTATGTGTAATTATCAGAAAAGTGATTTTGAAATGACATCTTCTTACTCTGTATAACTGCTCCAGCCTGAGACCCTGTGCTGCTTGTTTTCATATTTTAATAACATTCCACCGTAGTTCAGACTATATAGCCTTTACAGCTATGAATACCCACTGGATTTCATCCTTTTTTTTTTTACAGATTCCAAACAATTAGCTAATTTCTACTAATGACAGAATACTGGAGGAGGTAGCTGATTTTGTCAAAGGTGGCAGTCAGTAAAAATTTTTAATGGTCTTACCACTCACCACAACCACTTGACTTCTATTTTTCTTACTTATTTATTCTCATGACTTTTCTTTTGTTCCCCTCTTCCTTGTTTTCTGCTCACATTGTCTTTTTTAATCTCTCCCTCTAGCTAATAGAGTTTTTTTTCTTTCCTGATTAAACTATCCAAAGTTTCATATGGGTTTTCTTCTTCCCAAGAGCCTATTGCTAGATTCTGCCCATACATTCTTTACCTTTGGAATAAGTTAATATTTCTAGATGATATGAATAAACTATTCCTAGAGTAATGGCCTCAACTCCCTGGTTCAAGCCATTATCATCTTTCTCAAGAACTTTAATGAACTCTTCAGTGGCATTCCTAGTTACACTCTTTCCCCCCTGCAACCCCATTCTCACATTTTCATGCAGCAGCTAGAGTTTTTCCTTTTTTCTTTTTTTAATACAAATCCATTCTTATTATTCCCCTCTTTAAAACCCTCCAATGGCTTTGATCACACACAGAAAAAAGCTGTGTAGGAACAGCTAGTCCTTTGCCTCCCTCTCCATCCCCATCTTATACTTCTCTTCTCTGTTTACTCTAGCTAGAAGGCCTCTCTCTGCTCCCACAGCCCAGCAGCCTGGTTCCCTCTTTAAGCCTTTGCATAAGCTGGTTTCATTCTCTCTGTCAGGAATGCTGTTCCTGAGATATTTCCATGGCCAGTTCATTTTGTCATTCAATTCACTGTTTAATGTCACTTTCTGAAGGGGTCCCCCCTGCCCATCCAAACAAGAGTGTCTCTGAAGCTCTATCATATCAACCTGTTGTTTTCATCATATTTTCTTGTTCATTTATTTATTTTCTGTTCTCTCTACACACAGAATCACTGCCTCCACGAAATCTGGAATTTGTCTTTTGTTCCCAAATTTCCATGCTCAGAATGGCACCTGGAACATAAAGGGTGCTTAATACACGTGGAATAGATTAATACACATTTATTTAACTATTTTTTACTATTTTAACAAGAAAAATATAGGCTATAAAATAGTGCATCTCCATTTTTGCAAGTGTATTTGTGTTACATGCCTCTGTGTGTGTGTGTGTGTGGCATATGTGTATGTACAAAGTAAATATTAAGGTAGCAAAAAGAGTAATAGTGGTTATTTCTTGATGATTATGAACAATTTTTTATCTTTTTATTCTGTTGTATAATGTCTATCATTTCTACATGTTCTTCAGTTACCATGAATTTGCATGGGTTCACCAGGCCAGACTTACTCCTCAGTATTTCTGATGAGTCTGCCCAACAGTGTAGAGTGAGGACCAGCCCACCTCCCTATTGCCCCCATAACACCTCCTGTACTGGAAGGTTATGGCACCTAGAATTTCAACTGTGAAATTGCTCCCCTCAGTCTATGGTTTGTGTGAGAGCATAGATGACACAGTCACGCACAATGACAGCCATGAAGTCGAGCAGAAATCTAGCTGACAGTGAAATGCCTACCCCAGGAAACATCCCCATGGCACTGTCAAACACAAATGGAAGCAAGGCATATACAAATCACACAAACCTGCAGCTCCTAGCAGAGGGCTTGAGACATGCAGGCACTCAATAAATCATTATTGAGTAGAATGGAATATTACGAGGTTTATTGTTCACAATAAAATAAGAGGCACAACACACAGCTTGATGTCCCTATCCCAGAACAGCCCTGAGGTCTGTGACCTTGGCAAAATGACCTCGGCAAAATGACCTCATCAACCCGTAAACTTTGAGGTTTGGAGAGGATGGGCATTGTGGAATGGAAGTAAAAGTAGTCATGGTCCTGGTGTCTTTTCGCTGTCGTTTCCAAGATATCTTCCTCTCACTTCACAATGAAGAGCTGGCAAAACTGCTCATCTGGAAAGGGGAATTACATGTTTTTGAGTTTCGCCTTCCTTAACAGTTCTTTAGGGGTACGTGACATTAACCTGCAACCACTGCCATTTTTCTTTGCACAGGAATGACAGCCAGATCAGCTTTGGCTATGTGGTTATATGGTTATGCAAAATCAATTGTTTAGTACCATAATTATCAGCTATACTGAAGAAATTGAATTTAGCCATGAGAGTCAGCAAGCCTGATGCATATGATACATTGGGGAGAAAAGCATGAGTTGTTAACTGCTCAGTGAACATACTTGGGCCTCTGCAATTTTCATTATGACGAATTGTTGACCCAGGAGAGATTTTCTGGCTTGTCCTCTACCATATCGTTCTGCTAGAGCAATTCCATTGCAGGCAACGGTGGCTGTTACTGAAAGTTGAAGGGAGAAAATGAAGCTAAGCATTACCAGGCTGAGGCATAGCCTGTTTTCAGATCAATAATCAGCACTTGTGCAAGTGACATTGGAATATATAGAATGAGTCTCTCTGGTTCATTTTTATTAAGGTGAAGTGAGTTTTATTGCAGCTGTTATGATCAGTTGAAGGCAAATAAGGAGAGAGAAACCTACTCAGAGGAGAGGAGGGGCTCCTCTCAAGGGCAGCTAGAAATCCATCACAGAGGCCTAATCACTCCCAACACACTGTGATCCTGGTGGTTCTTTCACAAAAAGGGTTTCCATCTGGACACGAGCAAAGGAAATGGTGCATGTTTCCTGCAAGCTAACCAACTGCAGAAAGTTCCCTGTAAACGTATCCATCCACAATCTTACTTAAAACTGTTGTGTGAGATAACAAAAGGAACATTCTTATGGCTGAAGTTGGAATCATAATAACATGTTTTCTACTCAAGTTCTGCATGATTATGCACAACCCCACCCTATGGGGGAAAGAGGGTGGATCTGTAAACAAAACAAGCCAGATTCACAAAGTGAAATCAGAAAGCAGATGGGAAATGTATGATTGCTCCACAAACATGACAATGAGCTACCCATAAGGCATGTGACTCAAATTCTGTCTCCTTCAACATTTGTGCCAGCTCAGCTTTAACTTGTTTGTGGAGGGAGTAAGTGATCGTGACAGCAACAGCTTAGCACAGTAAAGCCTCATTAAGTCCATCGTCACTTATTTGAAATTTCCTGGGTCTGAGAGTGCTTTGTTTTTGACAGTCTCTTCCCACCCCGGAAGGCCTCCCTTTCTGGCACTGCCTCCCTCTCTCCTGCCTCAACTGTTGGCCCCACTCCTTTCTTGGACCTCAATATGGCTCTTGTCGGCCCCTGGATCAGAGCTTCTTTCCCACGCCCCTGTCCCCAGGTGGCACTTTGTTCTTGCTCCACGCTCAGGTTTCCCTCCAGGTCCTACCCTGCCACTCAAAAGCCATGCAGCCATGGAGTGACTTAAACTCTCAGTGCTTGAGTAAAGCAGGAATAATAATAGTATGGTCCTCATCAGGCTTTGTGAAAATTAAATAAAATAATGCATATTATTTAGCACTTGGCACCATGACTTATGAATATTATTTTTTAATAAACATTATTGTTGCTATCTTTTTTTATTATAACGTAAAAATTTCTTTTAGGAAACCAATTTCCTCTGCTTAGGAAGTCATTTCCTCTGTGGCTCAGGTGCAGCAGATAAACAACACCTAGATATCCCCTCCTTTTCCAGGGCACACGACTGACATAAACCAGGTCAAACCAGAGCACCTGTCTCTCTGGCTACAGTGATTGGTTCAAGGTTTGGTGCGTCACCCCAAATTACATGGGACTATTGGGAAAGAGAAGGCTTCTTTCCACTGGGTTTTCTGAGTGGTAAGATGTAAGCTTGGTACTGTTGTTGCCACCAGAAAAAGACATCCTTTCTGGAAATGAAGCCAACACAGCCGAAATCATTGAGAAAGAGAGAGACTTCATGGGAAGGAGACAAGATGACAGAGTTTGAACATCTGAATGCAGTTGTGCCTGAAAATAATAACTTCAAGTGATTGGCAGTAGAGTCCCGATTAAACAAGCTTCTCTTCTGCTTGTTCCTCTGGGATTTTGAGGTACTAATGAACACAAACCTACCCTGCCACACAACAGTGCCCACCACTATTAATTATGCAAAAGAGGGGCTCAGTATCTTTTGACCTAACTTGTTTTAAAATCACCCAAGCTCCAAGTGACCCAGTACCTGAAGCCACATGTCCTCACAGGCCCAGTTCTCATCCTCCAGGCTTGCCCTACTGCTGAGTCAGCCTGTTTTTGCAGGAGAGAGAGCAGTGGCCTGAAGGTCACATGTCCCATTCCTAGTAAGCTGCCCCTCCACAGCCTCCACACTCATGGAACTGCCCTGGATGGAGAGCTGCCCTGCAGAGCCCCTTGGCCTTCCTCCAGGCCTACACCATTCCAAGTGATAGAAGTAAAGAGCTGCCTAGTGACTGAACCAGAAAATTTCCACTGATTACTTTCTTTCCAGAGACAATGAGGACTGATCCCAGGAGACCTCACATCTCGAGTTTCTTCAGGCACCATTCGATAGCCAAGCCCATCATTTTATTTCATTGTCGCATCCCTCCCTGTTCTCCCAAAACTTCCAGACTGCCCTCTACCATTCATTTTGTTATAGCAATCTCCTCATGCCCTCAACCTCTTCTCTGAAACTTCTGGCTCTAAGGCACTGATTTCTTAGAGTATGGTCTGTGGACCAGCAGCATCAGCATCACCTGGGAATTTGTTAGAAATGCAAATTCTTAGGCCTATCCCAGGTCTACCAAATCGTAAACTCTGGGGATGGGGCCCAGCAATGTGTTTTAACGAGTTCCCTGTAGGATTCTAATGCTCTAACGGGAACCAGGATTTCCCCTGAAAACACTGCTTTCCTAGCAACTCTCCTAAAATTGCGGCATTTCCTCCTCTATCTTCCCTTGGCCTGTATCTTGGCAGTAGAGGTGGGTTATATCTTGCTTAGTCCACTTTGTTGGTCTCAAGCCAATTATCCTTCTTTCTCCTAGACCCTTTAAAGTGTAAGTCATCAAATTTGGTACCTCCCATCCTTCTTGGTTGCTGCTATCTATCAACAACCAGGTCCCTGCTCCTCAACCGTGGTGGCTATAGAATCTTAGCCTCTGTCTTCATATCCACCTCTTTTCCTGCCATTATTCTGAGTGACTGTAATATCCCCCAGAAGGATCAATAGCAATTCCCTAACATATCCTCCACCCTCCTCCTCAGCATCTCCCTCCCATGCTCCTAACTTAGGCATCATTTTCACCAATAACAAACACAAACTCTCAATTACCCTACTCTCTGAATATTCCTTCCACCATCCACACCTCCTACTCTGGTCCTCTCAACCTAACTCTCCTTTGATCTTATAGGAATAGTCAATCTGCTGACCCGTTGTCTCCATTATTCATGACTTCCAAATCAACATCTCCAATCCTAACACTGTCATGAGCTACAGACATACAATTATGACTACCTGTGAGATGCCTCTATTTGGATGCCTAAAAATCTACCTCAAATTTAATGTATTCAAATATGTTCTTGTGTTTTACCCCCCAAACTTGTTATTTTCCCAGTGTTTCCCCATCTCAGTAAATGGCACCACTCAGGAAGTTCAAACCAAAAACCCAACACTGTCATCCTTAATTTTTTTTCTTTTTTACATATATTTTATTCAGTCTTTCAGCAAGTACTGTAGACTCAGCTATCAATGCATAGTTCAACCCAACCGTCTCCAACTGCTAAAGCTTCAGTCAGCTCTTGCTTAGGCTATCACACAAGCTCCTAATTATTTTCCCGTTTCTTTTTTTTTTTGTCTCCCAAATTCCATGCTCCACACTGCAGCTAGAGCAATGTTTAATGTATACATTAAATTACATCAGCCACCACTGCCTCTCCATTGCTAGGGTCTTAGGAGAGGCTTAGTCTGTTGCTGACCTCATCTCCTCCTCTTTCTCTCTCACTTACTCATTCTAGCCATATAGGCTTCTTTTCTGTCCCTTGAATACATCATTTTCTATTATGTCTCAGGTCTTTACAGATGTTCTACCCACTGCCTAGAGTCCTCTGCTTCCCAAATGTTAGTCTGACTGTCTTGCTGTATTCATTTTGATCTTCGATACTTACATCAACTCAGAGACCTTTCCTGATGCTCTAACTGAAGCAACCTCCATTTCCCCAGGCATTCCCTATTCTAAACTTCGCATTTAGTATTTTTTACAATACTTAGTGATATAAAAATGTGTTATTATAGTAACTCTTGTATCTCACCATCCACATACACCAAAATAAATGAAAGCCCCATGAGGTCAGAAATTTAGGCTTACAGTTTATGCTTTATCTCTTAGGCCCAAAATAGTGCTGAACACAAAGCAGACCCTTGATAAGCATTTGTTGAAAATGAAGTCACTAACATCAAATTGAGAAATGGCCTGCAATTTAACTTTGTACTAACAGAGATAAAGTAGTGTGCTTCTAGAACAATGAAATGTATAAACAAAATTTTGAGAAAGATATTGGCTGCATCATAGAGCAAAGCTTTTGAAAGCTTTGGAAGCATCCATTTTCATACAAACTGTGATTATCTAAATTCTTATGCTGATGCTTCCATTTAATAGCTATAGGTAATTTTTTATTTCTGTGTTAGGTCGGGATAGCTATCCAGAATCATGTTGGCTGGCATAATTTCTGACACAGCACAGAGTGAGCATAGTGACATTTTTAACTGTTTTAAGAGCCCAGAGTTCAGACATTTTACCATGCATTCCAAACTGGAATTGTTTTTCCAGACATGATCTTTGCACTGTATGATGTGGCAGGTGTATTATGAGTACCCAACAGAGGATGGCTAAAAGGCTATTTCGAGGAGGCCCATCCCACCAAGGTGGTCAAGGAGAGCATGCTAAATATTGGTAGGCAGCCACCACACTTTTAATCTCTGTCACTTTTTCAGCATGTGTCTATAGCAACATAAAAAAAGATTGATAAATTGTTGGAAATCATTAGCTAACAATTGACAGAACTTGCCTGGAGCTGTGCATAGACTGGAATTGCACTGTCTTTCTAATCAATGTTTAAATTTACTCTGTACCAAGTGTGTTTAAGTAGTACTAAAACATGTTTGACAGTATCCATTTTGTTTGGAAACTGAAAAAAATTGTGAAAACATTGGACAAAAGACAAATTGCTACTTATAGTCCGTAAAAAAAAAAGGTAGTTCTTATTTTAAAATATATCCTATTAAAATAGGATAATATTCTATTATAACCTTCTCCTCTTCCTTCTCCTGTGATTCCCTAGCTCTTAAGACTATTTGCCATCATCAGGTAACCCAGGATGAAACCTTGCTGTCATCAGAACTCTCCCTTCCTCTGATTGCCTCTTAAGCTGAAATTTCTTCAACTCCATTGGTTCCTACTTGTGTGTATTTTTTTTCCCTAGTATTTCAGAGATCACCTAATTAAATTACTTCTCTGCCTGCTGTAACCAATTCTCTCTATTCCAGACTTTGAAGATTGCAGAGCTGGGGGGAGGTAGGTGTTGGTGAGGTGTTGCAGAGAAACAAGGCTGAGTCCCTAAAGGCATGCCTAACACCCTCACAGCCTCATTAAATTGTCAGGTCAGAGGACTCAATGAAAAGGGCCCTTGCTCTTGCCCTGTGAAATTCACTGTTGAATGATCAGATCATCCATGTCAGGTAATCTCCATTAAAGAAAAACTTCATGAAACAGAACAGAAGCTTTTCCTGACACGCTCTCCCCACTCCCAGGGAGATTAGGTACCACTCTTCTCCTCTATTTCAGCACCTAGGCACACCTTTGTCGGGGGCCTACCTGCCACAGTTATGGAGCTTATACAATTAAAGCTTTGTCTGACCCACTTAAGCCAGAAAGCCAGGTACTTACCATTTTGTCTCTAGTACACAATACCTAACACATGATCGGAGCATAGAAAAGAATCTGGTATGTAATATGTATGCAATGTCTTTCTGGTTAATCAATCGATTAATTATTGCAGACTTAGTTAATCAGATTGTTCATGGGATGGGAGGAGATGATATTAGGAATTTAAAACTTACATTTTTGGAAACACAAAAGATGTGACATTGAGAGTTCAAAATAGAATTTGAGCAGCCAATGATCTCAGTGCTATACTGTAAAATAAAAACACTAATTTTTTTAAGAGCTCCATTTTCATATGTCAGGTAATATATGCTGCCTTGGGTATAGTCTTAATTCTCTGCGTTTGCTCTATGCTTCTTCAGAGCTCAGTGAATGATACTTTATGGTTGATTCAACAAAGCTGGTTTAAAAATCCAAGGTTCTCTAATGAGTCAGAAAAAGAAAGATGTTACATTCTCTACCATCTGATCACTTTCAGCCATTGCTCGTTTCTGAACACATATTTACTTATTTTTTTTATAACTGCATGTAATTTTAATTTGTGCAACCTTTCCATTGGGTAGTGGAAACTCGGTATCAATTAATTCAGAGTGTCCTCTGGCAATTTATTTTATTGTGGTAAAAACACAACATGAGATCTATATTTTGAACAAACGTTCACAGTGTGTAATACATTACTGTTGTCTGTAGGTACAATGTTGTACAGAAGATCTCTAGAGTTTCTTCATCTTTCTTGACTGAGACTTCATGCCTGTCAATTAGTAACTTCCCATTTCCCTCTCCTCTCAGCCCCTGGTAACCACCATTTGACTCTTTTAGATACTTCACATAAGTGGAATCATACAATATTTGTCGTTCTGTGCCTGGCTTATTTATTCACCGTAATGTCCTCAAAGATCATCTATGTTGTCCCATATTGCAGAATGTCCTTCTTTTTAAAAGGCTGGAGAGTGTTCCATTGGTTATATTACTACATTTTCTTTATTCATTCATCCATCTATAGAAATTTATATTGTTTCCACATCTTGGCAACTTTAAATAGTGCTGCATTGAACATAGTTCATTACTAATATCTCTTTGAGATCTGATTTCAATTAAAAAAATACCCAGAGGTGGTATTGCTGGATCATATGGTAGTTCTACTTTTAACGTTTTAAGAAACCTCCGTACTGTTTTCCATAGTAGCTGCACCATTTCGCATGCACACCAGAAAGGGTTACAATTTTCTGAACATCCTTGCCAACTTATTTGTGTTGTACAATAACCATTCTAACAAATGTGAAGTGATAGCTCGTTGTGGTTTGAATTGAATTTCCATGATGATTAATGATACCGGGCATTTTTTCATATGTCTGTTGACCCCTTGTATGTCTCCTTTGGAGAAATGTGTATTCAAGTTCTTAGTCCATTTTTAAGAGGGTCTTTTTACTACTGTTAGGTTTTTTTTTCGTGGGGGGGGTAGTACTACTGAGTTACAGAAGTTCCTCAGATATCTTAGAAATTAATCCCTCTCCTGATAGTTTGCAAATATTTTCCCCTCATTCTATAGGCTACCTTTCACTTTGTTGTCTCCTTTGCTATGGAGAAACTTTGTAATCTGATGCAGTCCCACTTGTTTTATTTTTTGTTTTTGCTACCTGTGATTTCAGTGTTATATCCATTAAATTATTGACAAGAATAATGTCATGAAGATTTTCCCCTCTGTTTTCTCCTAGGAGTTTTGTGGTTTCAGGTCTTAGGGTTAGGTCTTTAATCCAGTTTGAGTTGATTTTTGTGAATGGTTTAAGAGTCCAATTTCATTATTTTGCATGTGGATGTCCAGTTGTTCCAACACCATTTGTTGATAAGCCTATCCTTTCCTCACTGTATATTCTTGGTACCTCTGTCAAACGTCAGTTAACTATATATGCACAGATTTATTTCTTGGCTCTCTATTCTGTTCCATTGGCCTCGTACCTGTCTTTATGTCAGTATCACAGGTTTGACCACTAGATTTGTAACTTATTTTGAAATCAGGAAATTTGATGCCTCTAGCTTTTTTCTTCCTTCTTAAGACTGATTTGGCTACTTGTGAGTTTCTTTGGTGGTTCTAGGTAAATTTAAGTATTGGTTTTTTATATCTATTCCTAAAAAAACTTCAGATTTAATAAGAATTCTGTTGAATCTGTAAATTGCTTTGGGCAGTGTCTCAGTCCATTTGGGCCGCTATAAAAAATAACATAAACTAGGCGGCTTATAAAAAAACAAAAATTGGCCCAGTGTGGTGGCTCATGCCTGTAATCCCAGCACTTTGGGAGGCTGAGGCGGGTGGATCACGAGGTCAAGAGATGGAGACCACCCTGGCCAACATAGTTAAACCCCGTGTCTACTAAACACACACACACACACACACACACACACACACACACACACACACACACACAAAGTTAGCCGGACATGGTCGTGGGCACCTGTAGTCCCAGCTACTCAGGAGGCTGAGGCAGGAGAATCACTTGAACCTGGGAGGCGGAGGTTGCAGTGAGCTGAGATTGCGCCACTGCACTCCAGCCTGGCAACAGAGTGAGACTCTGTCTCAAAAAAAAAAAAATATTTTTCACAGTTCTAGGAACCAGAAGGTTCAATATTAAGGTGCCAGTGGGGTCTGTGCCTGCCTAGAGCCTGATTTCTCATAACTGGCCATCTTCTCACTGTAATCTCACATGGCAGAAGAGGTGAGAGATCTTTCTAGAGCCTCTTTTATAAGACACTAATACCATTCACTGAGGCTCCATGAATGAATCAAAGGTCCCCCCAACCCCCAGTACCATCACCTTGGAGGTTAGAATTTCAACATATGAATTATGGATGGGGTGGGGGACATAACTATTCAGACCATAGTAGGTAGTATGAACATTTTAACAATATTAAATCTTCCAATCCATCAGATTGGGTTGTCTTTCCATTTGTTTGTGTCTTATTAAATTCTTTTATCTATTTTTATAGTTTTCAGCATACAAGTCTTTAACTTCCTTATATTAAAAGTCTATTCCTAAGTATTTTATTCTTTTTGGTGCTATTGTAAATGAGAATGTTTTCCTAATTTCCTTTTCAGATAGTTCATTGCCAGCATATAGACTGATTTTGCGTTCTGCAACTTTTTAGAATTTGTTTATTAGTTCTAACATTTTCATTGAGTTTTTAGGGTTTTCTACATATATGATCTTGTCATCTGCAAATAGGGACAGTTTTGTCTCTTTTTTATTTGAATGCCTTTTTTCTTTCCTTATCTTGCCTAATCACTCCTGCTAGGACTTCCAATTGAATGGAAATGGCAGTTGTGGACATCTTTGTCCTGTTCCTGATCTTAAAGGAAAAGTTTTCCGTTTTTAACCATCCAGTATCATGGTAGCTGTGGGCTTTTTATTTTTATTTTTTTACTTTGGAAAAGTTATTTATTTATTTTTTAAATTATACTTTAAGTTCTGTGATACATGTGAAGAACGTGCAGGTTTGTTACACAGGTGTACACGTGCCATGGTGGTTTACTGCACCCATCAACCTGTCATCTACATTAGGTATTTCTCCTAATGCTATCCCTCCCCTAGCCCCTCACCCCTGACAGGCCCTGGTGTGTGATGTTCCCCTCCCTGTGTCCATGTGTTCTCATCATTCGACTCCCACTTATGAGTGAGAATACGTGGTGTTTGGTTTTCTTTTCTTGTGTTAGTTTGCTGAGAATGATGGTTTCCAGCTTCATCTATGTCCCTGCAAAGGACATGAACTCATCCTTTTTTATGGCTGCATAGTATTCCATGGTGCATATGTGCCACATTTTCTTTATCCGATATATCATTGCTGGGCATTTGGGTTTGTTCCAAGTCTTTGCTATTGTGAACAGTGCTGCAATAAACCTACATGTGCATGTGTCTTTATAGTAAATTGATTTATAATCCTTTGGGTATATACCCAATAATGGGATTCTACATGTGTCTTTATAGTAGATTGATTTATAATCCTTTGGGAAAATACTCAGTAATGGGATTGCTGGGTCAAAAGGTATTTCTGGTTCTAGATCCTTGAGGAATCACCACACTGTCTTCCACAAAGGTTGAACTAATTTACACTCCCACCAACAGTGTAAAAGTGTTCCTATTTCTCCACATCCTCTCCAGCATCTGTTGTTTCCTGACTTTTTAATGATCACCATTCTAACTGGCGTGAGATGGTATATCATTGTGGTTTAGATTGGCATTTCTGTAATGACCAGTGAAGAAATGGAGCTTTCTTTCATACGTTTATTGGCCAAATAAATGTCTTCCTTTGAGAGGTGTCTGTTCATATTTTTTGCCCAGTTTTTGATGGGGTTGTTTGTTTTAGTCATGAGGTCTTTGCCATACCTATGTCCTGAATCATATTGCCTAGGTTTTCTTCTAGGGTTTTTATGACTTTAGGTCTTACATTTAACTCTTTATTCCATCGTCAGTTAGTTTTTGTATAAGGTGTAAGGAAGGGGTCCAGTTTCAGTTTTCTGTATATGGCTAACCAGTTTTTCTAACACCATTTACTAAATAGGGAATCCTTTCCCCATTGCTTGTTTTTATCAGGTTTGTCAAAGATCAGATGGTTGTACATGTGTGGCGTTATTTCTGAGGCCTCTGTTCTGTCCCATTTGTCTGTATGTCTGTGTTGGTACCAGTACCATGCTGTTTTGGTTACTGTAGCCTTGTAATATAGTTCAAAGTCAGGTAGCGTGATACCTCCAGCTTTGTTTTTTCCTTAGGATTGTCTTGGCTATACAGGCTCTTTTCTGTTTCCATATGAAATTTAAAGTAGTTTTTTTTTCTAATTCTGTGAAGAAAGTCAATGGTAGCTTGATGGGGATAGCATTGAATCTATAAATTACTTTGGGGAGTACAGCCATTTTTATATTGATTCTTCCTATCCATGAGCATGGAATGTTTTTCCATTTCTTTGTATCCTCTCTTATTTCCTTGAGCAGTGGTTTGTAGTTCTCCTTGAAGAAGTCCTTCACGTCCTTTGCAAGTTGTATTCTTAAGTATTTTACTCTCTTTGTAGTAATTGTGAATAGGAGTTCACTCATGATTTGGCTCTCTGTCTATTATTGGAGCATAGGGATGCTTGGGATTTTTGCCATTGATTTTGTATCCTGAGACTGCTGAAGTTGCTTATCAGCTTAAAGAAATTTGGGGCTGAGACGATGGGGTTTTCTAAATATACAATCATGTCATCTGCAAACAGAGACAATTTCACTTCCTCTCTTCATATCTGAATACACTTTATTTCGTTCTCTTGCTTGATTGCCCTGGCCAGAACTTCCAATACTATGTTGAGTAGGAGTGGTGAGAGAGGGCATCCTTGTCTTGTGCCGGTTTTCAAAGGGAATGCTTCCAGCTGTTGCCCATTCAGTATGATATTGGGTGTCGGTTTGTCATAAATAGCTCTTATTATTTTGAGATATGTTCCATTGATACCTAGTTTATTGAGAGTTTTTAGCATGAAGAGGTGTTGAATTTTATCAAAGGCCTTTTCTGCATCCATTGAGATAATCACGTGGTTTTTGTCATTGGTTCTGTTTATTTGATGGATTACATTTATTGATTTGCATATGTTGAACCACCCTTGTATCCCAGGGATGAAGCCAACTTGATTGTGGTGGATAAGCTTTTTGATGTGCTGCTGGATTCGGTTTGCCAGTATTTTAATGAGGATTTTCACATCAATGTTCATCAGGGATACTGGCCTGAAATTTTCTTTTTTTGTTGTATCTTTGCCAGGTTTTGGTATCAGGATGATGCTGGCCTCATAAAATGAATTATGGAGGAGTCCCTCTGTTTATGTTGTTTGGAATAGTTTCAGAAGGAATAGCACCAGCTCCTCTTTGTACCTCTGGTTGAACTTGGCTGTGAATCCATCTGGTCCTGAGCTTTTTTTGGTTGGTAGGCTATTAGTTACTGCCTCAATTTCAGAACTTGTTATTGGTCTATTCAGGGATTTGACTTCTTCCTGGTTTAGTCTTGGGAGGGTATAGGTGTCCAGGAGTTTATCTATTTCTTCTAGATTTTCTAATTTGTTTGCATAGAGGTGTTTACAGTATTCTCTGATGGTAGCTTGTATTTCTGTAGGATCAGTGGTGATATCCCCTTTATCATATTTTATTGTGTCTATTTTTTTCTTCTCTCTTTTCTTCTTTATTAGTCTGGCTAGCAGTCTATCTAGTTTGTTCATCTTTTCAAACAACCAGCTCCTGGATTCATTGATTTTTTTAAAGAGTTTCTCGTGTCTCTATCTCCTTCAGTTCTGCTCTGATCTTAGTTATTTCTTGCCTTCTGCTAGCTTTTGAATTTGTTTGCTCTTGTTTCTCTAGTTCTTTTCATTGTGATGTTAGGGTGTCAATTTTAGATCTTTCCTGCTTTCTCCTGCAGGCATTTAGTGCTATAAATTTCCCACTAAACACTGCTTTAGCTGTGTCCCAGAGATTCTGGTATGTTGTGTTTTTGTTCTCTTTGGTTTCAAAGAATTTATTTATTTCTGCCTTAATTTTGTTATTTACCCAGTAGCCATTCAGGAACAGGTTGTTCAGGTTCCATGTAGTTGTGTGGTTCTGAGTGAGTTTCTTAATCCTAAATTCTAATTTGATTGCACTGTGATCTGACAGACTGTTTGTTATGATTTCCATTCTTTTGCGTTTGCTGAGGAGTGCTTTACTTCCAATTATGTGGTCAATTTTAGAATAAGTGCAATGTGGTGCTGAAAAGAATGTATATTCTGTTGATTGGAGTGGAGAGTTCTGTCGATGTCTATTAGGTCTTCTTGGTCCAGAGCTGAGTTCAAGTCCTGAATATCCTTGTTAATTTTCTGTCTCATTGATCTGTCTAATATTGACAGTGGGGTGTTAAAGTCTCCCACTATTATTGTGTGGGAGTCTAAGTCTCTTTTAGGTCTCTAAGAACTTGCCTTATGAATCTGGATGCTCCTGTTTTGGGTGCATATATATTTAGGATAGTTAGCTCTTCTTTTTGCATTGATCCCTTTACTTTATGTAATGCCCTTCTTTGCCTTTACCAGTATGTAATGCTCTTCTTGTCTCTTTTGATCTTTGCTGGTTTAAAGTCTGTTTTATCAGAGACTAGGATTGCAACACCTCCTTTTTTTGCTTCCTATTTGCTTGGTAAATATTCCTCCATCCTTTTATTTTGAGCCTGTGTGTGTTTTTGCATGTGAGATGGACCTCGTGAATACAGCACATTGATGGGTCTTGACTGTTTATCCAATTTGCTAGTCTGTGTCTTTTAACTGGGGCATTTAGCCCATTTACAAACACCCCACTGTCAACATTAGACAGAGCAATGAGACAGAAAGTTAACAAGGATATCCAGGTATTGAACTCAGCTCTGCACCAAGTGGACCTAATAGGCATCTACAGAACTCTCCACCCCAAAACAACAGAATATACATTCTTCTCAGCACCACACCAAACCTATTCCAAAATTGACCACATAGTTGGAAGTAAAGCACTCCTCAGCAAATGTAAAAGAACAGAAATTATAACAAACTGTCTCTCAGACCACAGTGCAATCAAACTAGAACTCAGGATTAAGAAACTCACTCAAAACCGCTCAACTACATGGAAACTGAACAACCTGCTCCTGAATGACTACTGGGTACATAATGAAATGAAGGCAGAAATAAAGACATTCTTTGAAACCAACGAGAACAAAGACACAACATACCAGAATCTCTGGGACACATTCAAAGCAGTGTGTAGAGGGAAATTTATAGCACTAAATGCCCACAAGAGAAAGCAGGAAAGATCTAAAATTGACACCCTAACATCACAATTAAAAGAACTAGAGAAGCAAGAGCAAACACATTCAAAAGCTAGCAGAAGGCAAGAAATAACTAAGATCAGAGCAGAACTGAAGGAAATAGAGACACAAAAAAACCTTCAAAAAATCAATGAATCCAGGAGCTGTTTTTTTGAAAAGATCAACAGAATTGATAGACCACTAACAAGACTAATAAGATGAGAAGAGAGAAGAATCAAATAGATGCAATAAAAAATGATAAAGGGGGTATCACCACCGATCCCACAGGAATGCAAACTACCAGCAGAGAATACTATAAACACCTCTATGCAAATAAACTAGAAAATCTAGAAGAAATGGATAAATTCCTCGACACCTACACCCTCCCAAGACTAAATCAGGAAGAAGTTGAATCTCTGAATAGACCAATAACAGGCTCTGAAATTGAGGCAATAATTAATAGCTTACCAACCAAAAAAAGTCCAGAACCAGATGGATTCACAGCTGAATTCTACCAGAGGTACAAGGTTAATATTGTTATGTGTGAATTTGATCCTGTCATTTTGATGCTAGCTGGTTATTTTGCCCATAGTTGATGCAGTTTCTTCATAGTGTCAATGGTCTTTACAATTTGTTATGCTTTTGCAGTGGCTTGTACCGGGTTTTCTTTGCATATTTAGTGCTTCCTTCAGGAGCTCTTGTAAGAGAGGCCAGTGGTGACAAAATTTCTCTGCATTTGCTTGTCTGTAAAGGATTTTATTTCTCCTTCTCTTATGAAGCTTTGTTTGGCTGAATATGAAATTCTGGGTTGAAAATTCTTTTCTTTAAGAATGTTGAATATTGGCCCACACTCTCTTCTGGCTTGTAGGGTTTCTGCAGATATATCTGCTGTTAGTCTGAGGTGCTTCCCTTTGTGAATAACCTGACCTTTCTCTCTGGCTACCCTTAACCTTTTTTCCTTCATTTCAATGTTGGTGAATCCGATAATTATGTGTCTTGGGGTTGCTCTTCTCAAGGAGTATCTTTGTGGTGTTCTCCGTATTTCCTAAATTTGAATGTTGGCTTGTTTTGGTAGGTTGGGGAAGTTCTCCTGGATAGTATCCTGAAGAGTGTTTTCCAACTTGGTTCCATTCTCCCTGTCACTTTTAGGTACACCAATTGAACGTAGGTTTGGTCTTTTTCACGTAGTCCCATATTTCTTGGATGCTTTTTTTGTTCCTTTTCATTCCTTTCTCTCTAATCTTGTCTTCATGCTCTGTTTCATTATGCTGATCTTTAATCTCTGATATCCCTTCTTCCCCTTGATCAATTTGACTTTTGATACTTGTGTATGCTTCACGAAATTCTCATGCTGTGTTTTTCAGCTCTATCAGGTCATTTATTTTCTTCTCTAAACTGTTTGTTCTAGTTAGCAATTCCTCTAACCTTTTTTCAAGGTTCTTAGCTTCCTTCCATTCGATTAGAACAAGCTCCTTTAGCTCGAGGAGTTTGTTATTACCCACCTTCTGAAGCCTATTTCTGTCGATTCATCAAACTCATTCTCTGTCCAGTTTTGTTCCCTCACTTGTGAGGAGTTGTGATCCTTTGGCAGGGAAGAGGTGTTCTGGTTTTTGGAATTTTCAGGCTTTTTGTGCTGGTTTTTCCTCATCTTCGTGGATTTATCTACCTTTAGTCTTTGATGTTGGTGACCTCCAGATGGGGTTTTTGTCTGGATGTCCTTTTTGTTGATGTTCATGTTATTCCTTTCTGTTTGTTAGTTTTTCTTCTAACAGGCAGGCCCCTCTGCTGCAGGTCTGCTGGAGTTTGCTGGAGGTCCTCTCCAGACCCTGTTTGCATGGGTATCACCAGTGGAGGCTGCAGAACAGCAAAGATTGCTTGCCTGTTCCTTCCTCTGGAAGCTTCATCCCAGAGGGGCACCTGCCAGATGCCAGCCGGAGCTCTCCTCTGTGAGGTGTCTGTCGACCCCTGCTGGGAGATGTCTCCCAGTCAAGAGGCATGGATGTCAGGAACCCACTTGAGCAGGCAGTCTGTCCCTTAGCAGAGCTCGAGCGCTGCGCTGGAAGATCCACTGCTCTCTTCAGAGCCAGCAGGCAGGAACATTTAAGTCTGCTAAAGCTGCGCCCACAGCCGCCCCTTCCCCAAGGGAGATGGGCGTTTTATCTATAAACCCTTTACTGGGGCTGCTGCCTTTCTTTCAGAGATGCCCCACCCAGAGAGGAGGAATCTAGAGAGGCAGTCTGACTACAGCAGCTTTGCAGAGCTGAGGTGGTCTTCGCCCAGTTCAAAATTCCCGGCAGCTGTGTTTACACTGTGAGGGGAAAACCGCCTACTCAAGCCTCAGTAATGGTGGACGCCCGTCCGCCCACTAAGCTCAAGCGTCCTAGGTCGACTTCAGACCACTGTGCTGGCAGCAAGAATTTCAAGCTAGTGGATATTAGCTTACTGGGTTTTGTAGAGGTGGAATCCACTGAGCTAGACCACTTGTCTCCCTGGCTTCAGCCCCCTTTCCAGGAGAGTGACCGGTTTTGTTTCACTGGCATTCCAGGCGCCACTGGGGTATGAAAGAAAAACTCCTGCAGCTGGTTCAGTGTCTTCCCAAACGGGCACCCAGTTTTGTGCTTGAAACTTAGGGCCCTGGTGGTGTAGGCACCCAAAGGAATCACCTCGTCTGTGGGTTGCAAAGACCGTGGGAAGAGTGTAGTATCTGGGCAGAAATGCACTGTTCCTCAAAGCAGAGTCCCTCCCTCACGGCTTCCCTTGGCTAGGGGAGGGAGTTCCCTGACCCCTTGCACCTCCTGGGTGAGGCGACGTTTCACCCTGCTTCAGCTTCCCCTCCATGGGCTGCACCCACTGTCTAACCAGTCCCAGTTAGATGAGCCAAGTACCTCAGTTGGAAATGCAAAAATCACCCACCTTCTGCGTTGATCTCGCTGGGAGCTGCAGACCGGAGCTGTTCCTATTCCACCATCTTGCCAGCCACCAGCTGTGGGCTTTTTATATATGACATTTATTATGTTGGGATAATTTTTTTTATTCTTAGTTTGTTAAGAGCTTTTATCATAAAAGGATGTTGAATTTTGTCAAATGCTTTTTCTGCATCTATTGACATAATCATGTGATTTTTATCCTTTATTCTGTCAATGTAGCAAATCACATTCTTTGATATTCATATGTTAAAACATTCTTGCATCCCAGAGATAAATCCCATTTGGTCATGGTGTATAATTCTTTTAATGTGCTGTTGGATTCAGTTTGCTACTATTTTATTGAGGATTGTTGCATCTATGTTCATTAGAGATATTGGCCTATAGTTTTATTTTCTTGTGTTGCCTGTTTTTTTGGCTTTGGTATCAGGGTTATCCTGGCCTCATAATATGAGTTTGGAAGAATTTCCTCCTTTTCCATTTGTTGGAAGAGTTTGAGAAGAATCAGTGTTAGTTCTTCTTTAAATTATTGTTAGAATTTGCTAGGGAAGCCATCTGTCTTGTGTTTTTCTTTGTTTAGAGTTGTTGTTATTATTATTATTACTAATTCAATCTCTATACCAGTTACAGGTCCTTCCAACTTTCTATTTCTTCCTGATTTAGTCTTGATGGGTTGTTTGTTTCTAGAAATATATTCATGTCTTTTAGTTTGTATAGTTTGCTGGCATATAATTGTTTAGAATACTCTCTTATGATCCTTTATAGTTTGGTGGAATCTGTTGTAATGCTTCCTTTTTCATTTCTGATTTTACTTATTTAAGTCTTCTCTGCTTTTTTCTAAGTTTGTCTAGCTAAGGGTCTGTCAATTTTGTTTATATGTTCACAAAACCTATTCTCAGTTTTATGATTTTTTTTCTGTTACTTTTAAATTTTGTATTTCATTCATTTGTCTCTAGACTTTGTTTTCTTCCTTCTGCTAATTTTTGGCTGTTTTTTCTTCTTTCTTCAGTTCCTTGAGGTGTAAAATTGGTTTGTTTATTTCAGATCTACCTTATTTTTTAATGTAAACATTTATCACTATAAAATTCCCACTTGGTTCTATTTATTTTGTGTCCCATAAGTTTTGGTGTGGTGTGTTTTCAGTTTCATTTGTCTTGAGGTATTTTCTAATTTCCTTCTTGATTTCTTCTTTGACCCAATTGTTGTTCAAAAGTGAGTGGTTTAATTTCCATATATTTGTGAATTTTATAAGTTTTCTTCTGCTATAGATTTCTAGTTTTATTCCACTGGGGTCAGAAGAGACACTTAGTAAGATTTCAATCTTAAATTTGTTACATCTTGTTTTGTGACTTAACATGTGATGTATCGTGGAGAAAAAGTCATGTTTGCTTCATAAGAACGTGTATTGTATATTCTGCTGCTGTTGGGTGAAATGTTCTCTATATGTCTGTTAGGTCCATTTGCTCTACAGTGTTATTGAAATCTTTTGTTTCCTTTTTGGTCTTATGCCTGGGTATTCTATCCATTATTGAAAGTGGGGCATTGAAGTCTTCTACTATTATTGTGTTGCTATTTATCCCTTTAGTTCTGTCAATGTTTGCTTTATGCTTTATATGTTTAGTAACTCTGACGTTGGGTGCATATATATTTATAATTATTCTATCTCCCTGGTTAATTGACTCTGTTATCATAAATTATCTTTCTTTGTCTTGTAACATTTTTTCATATTAGAGAAAGATAAATTAGTCATCTGGATAAATAGAGCCACTTCTGCTCTTTTTTGGTGACAATTTATTTGTACGGAATAACTTTTTTTCATTTATTCACTGTAAGACTATATATGTTCTTAATTCTACAGTAAGTTTCTTGTAGACAGCGTAGAGCTAAGTCCTGGATCTTGTTTTGTTATCCACTCAGTCACTCTTTTGATTGGGGATGTTAATCCATTTATATTTTTAAAAGTTACTTACATAAAAAAATTAATATTGCCATTTTGTTCATTGTTTCCTGTTATTTTTGTAGTTCTTTTACCTGCCTTTTCCTCTTTTGTTGTCTTCCTTTGTGTTTTGATTTTTCATATAGACTTTGATTCCTTTCTTTTTTTCTTTTGTGTAAATTCTACAAGTTTGTGTGTGTGTGTATGTGTGCCTGTGTGTGGGTGAGCATGGTTACCTTGGTGATTTCATAAAATATCTTATAGAAATAACACTCTATTTTAAGTTGATAACAAGTAAAAGTCAATATCATACAAGAACTCTACACTTTAACTTCTCCCCCCCCCACTGTATTTTATTGTTATAAAAATTTCCATCTATTTGTATTGTATAACTTTAAACATATTTTTAATTAGAGTTATTTTTAATACTTTGTCTTTTAGCTTTTATATGAGAATTAAAAGTGATTTAGCCACTGCTATTACAATAGTACAGTATCCTGTATTTGTTTACATATTTACCAGTAGCAACAAATTTCATACTTTCTTATGCCATTGTGTTGCTGTTTAGCATCCTTTCAGTTCAACTTGAATAACTCCCTTCAGCATTTCTTGTAAGGCAGGTCTAGTGGTGATGAATTTTCTCAGCTTTTGTTTGTCTAGGAAAGTCTTTATCTGTCTTTCATTTTTGAAGGATAGTTTTGGGAACAGTATTCTTAGTTAGCAGTATTTTTATTTTCAGCACTTCAAATATATCATTCCACTCCTTCTGTCTGCAAGGTTTCTGCTGAAAAATATGGGGATTGTCCTATGAAAGTTCTTTTGTATTTGACAAGTTACTTCTTGCTTGCAGCTTTCAATATTTTCTTTGCCTTTAAATTTTGACAATTTGATTATATGGCTCAATATGGACTTTTTTGGGTTCAAATTATTTGGTGCCTTTTGGACTTCTTAAACCTAGATGTCCTCTTTCTTCCCCAAATTTGGGAAGTTTTTAGCCATTATTTATTTGGATAAGCCTTCTATTCCTTTCATCTATTTTCTTCTTCTGAGACTCCCATAATGTTTATATGTCTGCTTGATGGTGTCTCACAGTTTCTTTATATTTTCTTCACTTTTTACATTCTTTTTTTCTTTCTGCTGTTTTGACTGAATTATTTCCAGTGACCTGTTTTTGCATTTGCTGATCCTTTCTTCTGCTGTTGAATCTCTCTAGCAAATTTTTCAGTTCAACTATTGTATTCTTCAGCTCCATGATTGCCATTTGGTATTTTTTAATATTTCCTATCTCTTTATAAAATTTTCACTTTGTTCATGCATTATTGTCTTGATCTCCGTGAACATCTTTATGAGAATTATTTTTAATTCCCTGTCAGGTAAATCATATAATTTCATTTCATTAAGATCATTTTCTGGAGATTCTTCTTATTCCTTTGTTTGGAACACTTTTTCCTGGTTTTTCATTTTTCTTAACTCTCTGTGTTGATGTCTGTACGTTAGACAAAGTCGGCATCTCTTCCAGTCTTCACAGACTGGCGTTATAGAGAAGAAAATTCCACCAAATAACATGGTCAGATTCTGGGGGCCTCCATCAACTCTTTTTCTCCCCAGAAAGAGGTCGGAAGTTGTGGTTTTGTCCATGTTCTCTGTTATGACCCAGAAGGGAAAGCTATGCCATCTACCAACCCAAGCTGCTATCTCCATTGTACCCCACGTGGCTAGAATGTGCCAGATCTATTGGTGCTCCAGGGTTGATGAGAAAGATGCTATTTCTTTGGGCAGCCCCAAAGAAGTTGGAATGTGGGATCCATGAATCAACTCTTCTGTCCATGGGGAAAGGGAGAAGCTGAGAGCTGGGATTTTTCATCCACTCACTCTGTATTGAGCAGTGGGGAGAGTCGATGGCATTTACCAGGCCAAGCCACTGCCTCTGTTCTCTTCCAGGTGGCTATACTGTGCCAGACCCATCAGAGCTCCAAGACCGACACGGCACAGCCACTCCTCTAGGGAGTGGCTCATAAAAGTCAGAGTGCTGGATGTGTAAAACAACCCCTGCCTCCACTGAGTAAAGTTAACAGTGAGGGATTCTCTTCTTGATCATATGATGCTGCAATGGGGTCAGGGTCTCTGGTAAGAACATATCCCAAATCTCCCTACTGGCTTCAGTGAGTTGCTATTAGTTCCTCCCAGGATGCAAGAGCCTTTCAATTAGTTTCTGGTTTCTCACAAAGGGAATTTGTCTATGAATTATTGCTTTATCTATGTGTTTGTTGCAGGGAAGGAGGATCCAGGTCTTCCTACTGTACCATGTTGATAACATCACTCTCTGAGACATTTATAATGAGCACATACTGCACACTAGGCTCTACAGTCATCCCTTTAGATTTATCATAGCACTTAGTCATCACAACATCACCACAAGATAGGTTTTATTATCATCCAGATCTTACAGACAAAGAAATTGAGGTTTAAGAAAGTTGAATAAATTGTTCACAAAGCTAGTAAGTGCAGGGCAAGAATTATAAACCAGGTCTGTCTAACTCCTAAAGCATGTCTTAAGCACCATGATATTCTGCCTTTGCACAGAAGATGAGAGGACATACGGAAGAGAGCGGGGAGACAAGCCAACATTTTCCCAGAGGGAAGCAATGCTCTTAGGTAGGGCCAACATCATCAGTCAGTCTAGGACTAATGTCAGCGTTATCTACAGGAGAACAGCATGAACCCCTACACTGGGTTGGTCAATAGTGAGTCATATATAGACACTTATGTATGCCTTGAATTGTGCTATGTGCTGGAAGGAACAAAATCAGTAAGACATGGTACCTGCCCTGGAGAACGTCTTAATGTGAAAATAAGATAAAGATATGTTTCAAATTCTCAGGAAACACTGGACATATTCATTTGGTCCAGTCTGGAGTCTAACAAGGCTTCCCAAAGAAGCTAATGCCTAGGAGTTAGGTATCAGAAGAAAAGTAAGAAAGGGTTTCCAGGCTAAAGAAACAGGATGTGCAAAATCTCAAAGGCTTGAAATCATATGGTGGGTACAAAAACCTAAAAATACTTGAGTACTACTCAAGTGCTTAAAGTGGAAATTACAGAGTGGGCAGATGAATACAGTGACCATATGTCCAGGTTTTCCTGGGATGCTACAGTTTTATACACATTGTACCAGCTAAGTTATCAATTACACCCACACTTCACACCAAAAAATATTCTGTTTTGGGTGAAAAATTATATGGCCATCTTATAATCACCCTATAGATGAGGCTACCCGGTGAAATAGAGGCCAAATCACAGAGTCATTTACATCATGCTAAGAAATTGACTTAGGGGGTATATGTGCGGGTTTGTTACATGGGTATGTTGTGTGATATTTACACACATGTTTACTTATCTGGACATAACCTCATCATAAGTCAAGGAGTATACTGAATATGTGTAGCTTTCCTACCACTATAAAGTCAAAAGTCAAAACATCAAAAGTTGGGGACCATTTGCACTAGGTTTACCACTGGTAAAAGGGAGGTGGCTTTAGGTAATAAACTTTTAAAAATTAATGATTTTATATGTATTTTAATGTATGTTGGGGGAGAGACATAGCTAGCACATTCAACGCATGACTTCATGAATATTATTGCCCTGGATAAACTAAAATATGTATTGCTCTGGTGATGCATACTACCTAAACCCATGAGTTTTAAACCCAGTGCTCTTGCATGAATGTTCAATCCTTGAACAACTGAAACTTCTCTTTCAACTTTGGAAGGTTGAAAAAGTACATGATATGTGTTGGTCATATGGATTCTCTTATATTGAATATCTGTGGGTATCAATGTATTCTTTCCAGCAATACACTGAATATCACTTTCAGTGGTATAAAACTATGGCATCAATATCAAAGAACTATGAAAATGGCTGAAATCTAAGATGCATTATGGGAGACTGGAGGGGGGTACTGTCAAAGGGCTCTAGGCCAGGGATTTCCATGGGAATCTAACCAGTTTGATCTCCTGCTTAAAGCTCTACACTCTGGTTCCGGGTTGGACTTAAGTAATTTTGAAAGAAGAAAATCTAAGAGGGAAATGATTTAGTAATTCAGTTAAAAGGTGGTAAAGATTAAACTGAAAAAATGAGGGTGAGCTGGAGGGAAGAGAAATTTTTGAGATGTACTTAAAAGCTAAAATCAACGGGTTTGAGCAGAGGTGGGAAAGAAAAAGTAAATAGTCAAGTTTGAGTCCTAGGTCCCTGTCTCAAGCAACTTGATAGAGAATGGTTCCACCAACCAAGCTTGTACTGTAGTCCAGGACTATAGAAGAAGCATGTTTAAAGTGAAAGACAACAAATTCACCAGCTCTCCAGCCACAGTGTAACCATATAGAAATGGGAGGGAGATTAGTTTTCCAGAAAAGAGCATCATATTTAGATTTAGAATAACTTGGCTCAAATTTTAGTTTTTTTAGTTGCTTTTTCTGGGAAATGTGTATAATATATTAGAAGGTTGTTGTAAAAATTAAATGAGAGGCTATGTGTGAAAGCACTTTGTAAATTGTAAAGTGTCAGTTGTTATTTTGAAGTAAATAAGCAGAAGTGATAATGAATTCTAAGAGTTTGGAGATTATAAGGCTCAAAGGCACACTTAAGGAGGAAGACCACATGGTCTATTCTTAGCATACTGTACTTAAACTACCTCCAACAGATAAGAATTTATTTTGTTTTTTAAAACTCCTAGAGTAAGTAACCTTATTAACCCATTTTAGAATTTTTAAACGCTCACTATTTAACAGTACTTAACCTAACTTTATTATGCTCCAACTCCTTTTGTGCTATATCCATGGTTCCCTTACATTCTTGAAAACCCTTCATGAGAGCTTTCAATCTTTTCTTTAGTAGGCTAAATGATACTTTATCTTTTAAACTATCTATAAGCTATTGCATGCATGTGTTACTCAGAATGGCCAGATTAAAGTAATAACAACTTCTCATCTCCTTAAATCCTTTTTTGAAAAAAGCAGGCTGTAAATAATGAAAGCTTATTACATACTGCTTTTTTCAAACCTGAACATCAAGCTTTGCCAGTTGTAATTTATATGAGCTTAGATCGGTGACCAGACATCCAAGCTTTAGTTTCTTTATCAGAAGTCAATTCAGTGATGGCCGTTCTCTACTAGAGATGAGGGGTGGGACTAGAGTAATAATGGAGTACCAAAGAGAAATTATGAGGACTAGAAAGTCAAGAAGGGCTGTAGAACTGAAAGCACTTTGCAAACCGTAAATACCTACACTATGCAAAAACTGTTTATCATGCATTATCTTATTTGACCTTCTTTATAGCCCCATGAGGCATTGGCATGTAATGTCACCATTTCAGAGTTGGGGAAAAGCAGATATGAAAAGGTCAAGCCATGTGCTCAAGATCTTGAAGCCAATCAGTGATGATGCCAAATCCCAGATCTACTGACTTTGACTGCATTCACTCATCATTAAACGTGTTCTTCTCATGTAATCCCAGCACTTTGGGAGGCTGAGGCAGGCGGATCACAAGGTCAGGAGATCAAGACCATCCTGGCCAACGTGGTGAAGCCCCGTCTCTACTAAAAATACAAAAATTAGCTGGGCTTGGTGGCACATGCTTGTAATCCCAGCTGCTTGGGAGGCTGAGGCAGAAGAATTGCTTGAACCTGGGAGGCGGAGGTTGCAGTGAGCCGAGATCACACCACTGCACTCCAGCCTGGTGACAGAGCAAGATTCTGTCTCAAAAAAACCAAAAACCAAAACCAAAACAAAAACGTGTTCTTTTGAGCTCTTACCATATGTGATGTATTAGGTGCTTGGGAAAAAAGAAAACTACAGACCCTACTGTTCCTCACTGACTCCCCTACCATTCACCAGAGCTCATGGTCCAGTAGGAAAGAAAAATAGATAAGGCCCTTGAGATCTACGTCTAACATCCACGCCATCTCTGCACAAGGAAAAATTTGATAGAATCTGGTTAGCTGTTTTCTTTATGTTACAGAAGCTTGAAATAACTTCTATGATGAATCATTTGGAGTATGAATTTGGGAAAAATATTTATTCCATATGTTATAGCATGAGGAAAATATAAGCTGCCTAACCAATAACTTTGCCAATAAGATATCATCTATATTTCTCACCAATAGGGTCCTGGATTTGTCTGAAACAGCAAGAAAAAAACATTCGCAACTCTTACAACCTACTTTGCTAAGTGTGGCCATTTGCTCCTGTTCTGATCAAAGAAATGGAAGTAGAAATTGACTCAGTTAAGATTTTAGGAAAAGTATTGCCTTCCTGATAAAAAAGGACAGACTCAGCCAGCTTATCTCTTTTGCTTTTTATCTTCCCTCTTCCCACACTCTCTGCTCTTTTTTCTTGGAATTGGATGTGATGCTCAAAGGGAAAAACAATAAAAGCCATCTCAGAAGAAAGCCATAAGGAAGAAAGTCAAGCAGTAAGGGAATCAAAGCAGAAAGGTAGGTAGAGCCTGGGTTCTAGACAACACCATGGAGCTACCCTAAAGAACTAGAATTTGTACCTCCATACTTGAGTACATAAGAAAAATAACACCCTACTCTATTAAACCACTGAGGTCAAATTTCCATTACATGTAGTCTAACACAATTACCAATATAAATGCAGCCCATATTTTATTAGCAATGAGGAATACCAGCTAGCACTCTCTGACATAAAAGGACATTGACAAATGTCACAGAGCTACCTGAACTTTGGTTTTGTTTCTGTACTCCACCAGCAATTTGGAAATAATAAATGAGAATAGTCTATAACAGTGAGGGTTCTTAATTGAGATCTCTAAAATTTCTTTTAATATGGTTGCTAGATCACAATTTTTGGAGTAGTACAGATATCCCTAGGGTGATTGGACTGTGTCTGGTCAGAACTGTTTGCTGTGTGCCTTTACCCTATTTGTTTGATACTCCACTGCCATGACACAAAGAGATAGATGTATATGAGATATCTGAGACACAGTATCTTAGAACAGATGCTTGTATAGTCTGATGATGGAGATGCAAAATAGATTCTCTTCAAGATTAGTCTATTTACGTGGAGTTATAGATTCACACCGTCTGGATACAAACACAAGCAAGCATTAATGTCTTGGTCCTGCTGAAGTCTAGTGGGAAAGAGAATGGAGGATCCCTGGCAAAGAAGAGATGAAGTCTTCAAATCTCAAACCACTCCAGGCAGAGTGTGGTGCAATTGTTCCGATAGCCACAGATCCTGTGAGATCTGGATCACTTTATCAGTGGATCCCAACTGGTACAAGAGCAGCAGCGTGGGTTAGCTGAGTGCCCCACTGCCTCA
This sequence comes from Homo sapiens, assembly GCF_000001405.40. NCBI lineage: Eukaryota > Metazoa > Chordata > Mammalia > Primates > Hominidae > Homo > Homo sapiens. The sequence continues at coordinate 76,751,324 of NC_000001.11, forward strand.
GGCTGTGCTGGAGAGCTAGCCATAGTACCATCCTCTAATAAGGCCGGAGGAGATAGTCCTAACCCTTGTCAGAAGTAGCAGGGCAAGCAGAGATTGGGCTTCTAGCTTCACCAATGGTAATTAACTGTGCACATGTTGTACCGACAAGTATCAAAAGTGGCTAGGCATTCATGAGCAGGAGACCTCAGACTAAAGTAACTCATTCTCCAATCTTTTAAAAATGTATACCTAAGAGCCAACACACATTGCTTTTGAAAAAAACTGATATGTTAAGCTCTGGTTGCATGGTTGCAACCGCTGGTTTTATACCCAAGCCCTAAAAGCTTTTTTTTTTTTTTAAACTATTTCAGGGTCAATCTGAAGAGTAACGAGAGGAAGATAAAAAGCATGGGAAGAGGATCTCTGTGCCTTCTTCCCAAGACAGCATCCAATAAAAATGCTGAAGAAACTATTTGCAGATTTCCAATAAGATAAGAAATCCTTCCTTCAAATGCAAAGAAAAAATCTTTTTATTCATTCAACAAATATTTATTGAATGCTGATTCCATCAGGCTTGGTGCCTTTAATTATATAATTTTTCATTGTGCATTTATGAGTTTACACCATACAGGTTACACGTGGCAAGCTTTTACCCTGGCCTGACTTTCCAGCCAGCCAACATGTTTCTCCGCTCCTTCTCTCTCCCCATATACTTGTCTTTCCTTTTCTCCTACTCTCCTTTCATCCAACTGCTGCCAAATATCTTCCAAATGCAGAAGGACTACAAACTAATTTTACTATTAGCTTAAGCAAAGCAAATAAGATGTAAATCCTCTGCCAAAAAAGTCAAAGAGTGCATTCCAAAGTCCCATTTTTATAAGCAATTTTTAAATAATCTTTGATTCATGACACTGTTCTTCTTCCATTAACTGAGAGTTAATTACGTGACCTCTTCTTTTTACCACCTGAGATTCTAGAATTAAATTCAGCATGCTAAGAGTTCCTGTTACTTTCTGCTGGGGTGAACAGCCACCATTATTATACTAAAATACACAGAAAGTCAGCTCAGTTCATTAGCACCTCTACCCAATCCCACCCGCAGTTTGCTTGGTGCTTGTATATGACCTTTGAGAGTTCCCATGGCACAGGCAACTTTCTGGATCACTAAGTCCATATGTCAGCACAAAATTTCATGAAAACCACAGGTGAAAACATGGTGAAGTAGCTCTGAAACTAATATTGTAAGGATCCAAATTGATATCCAGAGATAGAGCATCTCATAACCCAAAACTTGTGCCAGGAAATTCTTCTAGTCCATTTAACCTTTGCTGCCTCTCCAAGTCTCTCCCTCTCATTGAGATGTATCTGCTTGGTTCTCTAGAATTAACTCTCCTAGGCATTTGTTTTCACAAACCTTTAATTCGTATCTTTTTTTTCTCTTCTTCTCTTTCTCCTCTTCTTCCTCTTCCTTCTTTCTGTTTCCTTCTTTTATTCTTCTGATTTCCAATTATTTTTAAAATCCCATGCCTTTCTTTTCTCCAAATGACATTTGCTAATGCTGTCAAATGAAGTCCAAAACTAAATTTAATTTTCTGATTGCCACTAGAGATGTTATGCACACAATGCTGCCAGAGTGTCCTTCCAACATGTAAATAAGATCATATTACTCTGCTGCACAAAATTCTTCAACTATCCTTATTAGGATCTCAAAGTTAAATCAAGCTTCTTTACCAAGGCCTTCATGTATTCATTTGATCAAATGAATGTATATTTACTGAGAGACTATTATGCATGATTCTAACACATACAAATATAATATTAAACAAAATGTCATGCTTGCTTTGGCAGCACATATACTAAACTGGAATGATTCAGAGAAGATTAGCATGGCCTTTGCACGTGGATGACATGCAAATTCATGAAGTGTTCCATTAAATCAAAATGCCTTATATCCTCATGGAATTTACATTCTAGTACGGGGAGGCAGGGGAGAGACAGAGAATATAATTTTTGGTATAAAATATGAAGAAAATAAAAAAGTTATAAGGGGAAAGAGTGACTAAAGGAGGGACCTCTTTAGCTAGGATGGTTAGGGAAGGCCTCTCTGAGGCAGTGACAGTTGACCTGAGACCTGAATAACAAGAATAATAAACTCTTAAGATTAAATTGTTAGTTACCTGTGAAATTCAGTTATAAAAATGAATTTTTCCCTTATAATATGAATTTTACTTTGTAAGAAATATTTTGAATAGCAATCTAACTTTGTCTATTTTTATATACTGCTTCCTTGCAGACTAAATCTTTGTATTTGTGTGTGTCCTGTAAGTTAATAGAATTTTACAGTCCAAGAGAGCAAACTCCCTTCCTTCTAGTCAGTCCTGCTGCTACTCAAAATATGGGTCTTATGGGGCTTGTGACTCCTAAGCATTGTGAGACCTTGGGCAAATGGGTTTCCTTTTCAGGCAGAAAATGAGAACAGCTACTATCTAAGACCCCTTCCAAGTCTAAAATATCTAAAATGACATTATTTCACTTTGAGTCATATGTTTATGATCTACAAAAAACTAGCACCTAAATTGACAAAAATCTATTCATCTATGAAACAATGTTTTAATGGCATAGAAGGTAATTAATAATGATTGATGTATTTACTAAGTTTTAAAAATTAATTTGTCAGTTAACCTCTTCTAGATCTATTATGTATGCTAAGAGGTTTAATTCTTGAATGTTAGTGTTTTGGCTTCTTGTAAATTCCAATGGCTGTAGTTTTAGAAAACCTAATGAATGGCCTTATCTTTTCAGTTGCAAATAGGATAAACAAAAGGAAAATTGGACAATAATAGGTAACACTGATTGAGGTCTTATTACGAACCATGCTCTGTTCTAAGTCTCCTTATGTGAAAATTAACTTACTCCTCACAGCACTGAGATAGGTCATTATACTCTTTTCACAGATCAAGACATCAAGGGGTGATTAATAATTGAAAACTATTCAATGGTAAAGCTGGAATTTGATCACTAGCACTCTGATATTAGGGGCTATATTTTAATTACTACACAATACTATACTCTTAAACACTATACTGAAAAGACCCTAGGTAGATGAAGGCAAATTTGCACTTAACAATAGGGCTATGAGAGACAGAGAAATTACAAAAGTTCTTACAGTTTTTTAAAGATAAATTTATATCTCCACCAAAAGAAATAGCAATCACTGTAGTGGACAAATATATTATATAATGCCCTTTGCCAAGTCATAATATACAGGTAAGAGGAAGAGTGGAAGTGAAATTCACATACTCCTTTAGACCTCTGTGCAGGCAAGGGATCAAGACCACAACTAAAACTGAGAAGAAAGTACATGCTAATACCAGTAATTAACTTCTTGAATTAGCATGAGTTATATCTATGGTCAACATGAATTGCATTTTTTCCCCATTTACCACCTATCTTAGGTTATATCTAGCCATAGATACAACTCAAGCTAATTCATGAGGTGTATCTCACAAGTTATATCTATGGTCAGTTTCAGGTTTCTTGATTATAACTTAATAGAGATATGATCACTAGGGTCCTGCCAAATAGCAGTGAAATATGACTCCAGGAACCATATTACACACATGTCCAATAAGCATTATGTAAAATTAGGCCAGTGGGCATGTATGTTTAAGAAATAGATGCAAACTAAACACAGGGTTTGTTTGTTTGTTTTGCATGTACATAAAAGAAAAGAGATTCACAGGAATAAGTCAGCGTGTTGCTGGTTCTAGGGACTACTTTTTTCTTTCTTTCTTAACAAAGAAAGAAGTTCTGTCCATTTGGCTGAAAAGAGGAATCACATTGGGTCCACTATCATAACTCACCAGAAGACCCAATAGGCACTGTGATGCAAACTATTATTGTTCAGTGAATGGACTCTGATGGGGGATTCTTAGAGGAGGGATTGCCACCATCACTCTGGCTATTACTGACCAGTCTCCTAGACCTAACAGACAAAGCCTCAGAAGGAACATGATACTGCCTAAGTCTTGATTGTGAGAGGACACCTGTTCTTTCCAGGGTTTTTCAGAGTTGCACAGTCCACTACCAGGGATTGGTTTAGCCCAAGCAGCTATAAAGGTATATTTACCTCCTGCTCGAGTCAATTTCATATATAACCTTTACCACGTGCAAGGCATTTGAAATGAGGCATTAGCAGAGGATAGAAATGAATAAAATACAGTCTCTGCACTCAAAAATCTGCTTTTTAACAAAATATGTAACTATAATACAAGGCAAAGTGAAATTCATTCTAATGACATTCTCGGAGAGGAGCTACAGGAGGACAGAGATTTGAGATCCTTAAAATTTAGTGTATCACATGGAATTAGGATGAATCACTCAGTTGCAAGCAAAAGACAACATCTCTAGCTAATGTGAGCAGAGAATAGTTTTAATAAAAGGGTATTGGGTATCTTACAAAAGCTCTAGAAGGGCCAGGTATGGAAGCTTGGCAAACAAAAGCAGTGTCCAAAATCACATACAGCAGAGCTGGTCTGATGAAGACACAACTGCGCAAGAGCTGGACACAAAGTCCACAATGTGTACTTCCAACTCATGGGCAGTAGGCACATATTCGGTCCCCAGAGCCACTTTCTACTGCCTCAGAAAACTCAGTGTTGCTGCTGCCATTCTCTCCAGAACAGAGTCCATGCGGTCCTTCCTTTTCCATGTTATCAGCATCCAGCTTTGAGCATGGAGTGGCTATCCCTCATTGCCAAGGTCTGGGTCACGTGCCCACTCCTAAGCTCCCAGGGTCTAGGCGAACAATTGTGATGTTTTCAGCTTCTCTAGTAGGAGCCAGCTCTTTATAATGTAATGGAGGGTGGGGGACTCACAAACATATGAAGAATGCTCAAATGCTGGGAGACCAAAATTCATTGCAACCATCCATTCCATGAAGGAAGCCACACCAAACACTCAGCTTAAGGTCAGAAGATCTGTAGTCAGCCCATTTTGGCTTTCATGTCTTCTTTCCTTTGTTCAGTGAGATAATGCTTTTTATCTCTCATTACCATCCTCTATTTCTTTTTGTCTTAGAGCATTTTACAGTTTCCTTGTTGAGATAATCTCAGCTGGGACTCCTAAGATTTATTTAATCATGGTATTTTCATTTGGGCCCAGGATTATAAACAAGGCAATATTGAAGGGCCAAATGTTTAATTAAAGGAAAAAATTATAATTCTTTGAAATTAGAAGATGATGTAGAAGAAAAATAGGTACTATGGCATATATTTTCAAAGAGACAATTGGCAATAATTGATGGAGGTGGATCGTTCATCTCACAACCAAGGTAAGTTTGACATTACAGAACTAGAGGTGACACAATCAGCTATTTGTTTCCAGACAATAAGCAACATGCAATACAATAAAGTTAATGATGCAGAATGATTTTAGCAATGGAAAAATGCAATAAAGAGGAAAACCTCACCCAAGCATTTAACAGGATAATATGGAACAGGTTTCTCTAAGAGGCTCTGATTCACTAATAGACACTCCCTTGATTTCCTCTAATTATTAAGTGAAAAACTTTTACTAACTAAAAAGAATTTTAAGTCAAATAATCATACAGCACAAAAATAGAAGATTTAAGTCATTCCCTCTGAATTTCAGGCTCATGTATACAAATGTCTACTAGAAGTTCTACTTAGACACTCTTAAGTATATCCCCCTAACTGAACTCATTATCTTTTTGCCAATTCCTGTTCCCTTTCTAGAATTTCCTATTTAGTGAATGATGCCCCGATATACCCAGGCAACCAACCAGGTACTAGAAAGTTGCCAGCGAGTCTTCCCTTGCCTAACGTCCTCCATCTAATCTATCCCAAAATTCCTCAAATTTTATATTCTAAATATGTTCACAGTCTCCCTGCTTCTCTTTGTCCTCATCATCACATCAACATACCCCAGCTGAAATGACAGCATCTTGCACAGGAATTATGGCCATGTGCTCACACCTGCCTTTCCAGTGGGCCTGGAAACCAGGGACCAGAGAACCATCCCCACACTGCAGTCAGAAAGAAAGCTGCTGAAATACAGTGCACTTCATAGCTCCTCCTTGGGTGGATTTTTCTTTTTTCTTTCTTTCTTTCTTTCTTTCTTTCTTTCTTTCTTTCTTTCTTTCTTTTTAATTCAGATGAATCTGTTTTCGAATTCTGACTTTTCCACTTATTAGTGAGATGGTCTTGGGCAAGTTACTCAACTTCTAAGCCTCAGCATCTACATTTTAAAAATGAAAAATAATGCTTTTTAAAATGGAGATTAGTCTAAGGATTAAATGAGAAAATGTACGGAAAATTCCTAGCACAGTAGCCAGCATAAAGTAAATCTTTCAGTGAAATTTTTCATAATCACTATCAGGAATTAAAGTCTTTTTGATGTGGGTTCCCAATCAGAGGAGAATTCTAATACAAAGCAGATTTCTTTGCTAAAATAAAGAAGCAGAAAGGACCATGGATAAAGAGTTATTTGCATGCCATAAGAAGCACCATGTAACTTATGACACCCTTGGAATCTCCTAAGGGAAAAGGCAAAAAGGAGGTTGTTTACTTCTCAGTGGGAATAGTGTTCAAATGCAAAAAAGAATTCCACTGAGACGCATGAGAAGTGACAGAAGAAACAGCTGCTGTGCCATTAAATGTTTTACAGGTATTTATTCATTTATGTATTCATCAAACATTTATTAAGCACCTACCATGTGCTCTATGCTTCTCACTGGAAATACCAACAATAGAATTCAAAGTATGCTTTTAGAAAAATTCACAGAGAAAACCATAATTTCACGTGCTTTATATGATAATACAAATGCACTCCACGTCCTTTGAGATCTACAAGACAAACATAGAGAGGGGAAGGAATTGAAGGCAGTGACCAGAGTACAAGGAAAAGGAAGGGAGAAGGAAGGGAGAAGGAAGGTCAACTGAGTCAAAGAGTAGCACCTTGACAAACTCAGATATTGGAGTTCTGGTTGACAAGTCAGCGATGAGTCCAAGGTGAGTCTTTCGATGTCGTTGAAACATGCATCTGGTTGTGGCAGGCCCTTGCTTTGTAGTGGGATACCAACCTGGGGCAATAACATAATAAGTTTAGTACTATTGGCTCTGGAGCCCAGTTTCATCTGAGTGCCTCTAGATCATGCATTTCTCCATATCCAAGCTTAGTTCATTCAAAAGACCAATATCTCTGTAGCTCCTTTACCACTAAGACACACAAGAGGGATTAAATCAGCCCTTCTTCAGGGCCACTCTGTGTGTCTGCTTCTACCTGACCAAACTCTCATTTCTGATATCTCTCTCTCTGTCCCTCTCTCCCTCTCTCTCTCTCTATCTCTATTTCTATCTTTATGTATTTCTGCCTCTCTCACTCCCCTTCCCCTACCCTCTCTTCTGCACATCACCCCTTCATATCTCCATTTAGTCACCCAACTCCCCCTCATAATATTTCCTCCAGTATCTTCTTGCCTCAGTTACTCATGGCATTCTCTTCAGCCTGGTTATTGAGAGCCCCAGAGAAAGAAAAAGGAAATATAGCCCCCCAGTTCCAATCTCATCTCCTTCTCGGTGAAAACTGTGGTTCCCCTAACTTCTTTACTAATACTGAAGTCACATTACCTGAATTTTAATTCCAGACCTACCTCTACCTGTAAAACCTTCAGAAAGCTATTTAACCTCTGTGCCTCAGTTTCTTCATCTGTAAAATGGGGATAATCACAGTATCTTCTAATGCTGTTTAATGATTAAATGAATTAATACATATAAAGTCTTAGAATACCTATTATATATTGAGTGGTAAGTGTTATTATCTCCTATGAAGAAGAACACTTTAAAAATACTCATTATATTCATTAACATTCCTCAGGAAAAAAATCCATATCTTTGGAGGAAATAACATTTTGCCAGTAGACACAGTGTTAGATTAACTCTTTAGGTTAACTATCTCACCCCACCCCCGCTTGTACTGAGAAACACTTGACTGCTCCTGCTTGACATGAGCCTCGCTGAGGTATAAGGCATGCCAACACCTTGGTATTCACCTTGCTGTCAAGACAGAAAGGCACCAGCTTTGATGCTGCAGCTCACATTCAATCCTTTGTTCTCTCAGAGCTGATTCAAAAGGTCTTAAGAACACCATGAGGGTTCATCGATCATACTAGTGTGTTTGGATTTTAATTTCCAGGCAGTGGGGATGCACCAAGATTCTTGAAGGAGGAAAATGCTGATCAAATTTCCATTTTAGAAAAAGAAATCTGGCAGCAATTTATGTAGCTGTATTGAATTGGAGGTAGGAGAAGCTGGAGGCAGGGAAACCATGCAGTGTGCTGGTAGGAGTGAATATAGCTCAGCGGTAAGCGTCTGACAGCACACTGAAGGCACAGTTGAAATAGTCTAGGTGTGAGATGCTGAGGCCTGGCCTCAAGCATGGCAAAAAGAAAAATGGATTTCTTCTGAAGGAGACATGCTAGAATTTAGATATGCAGAAAAAGAACAGGTAGGTAGTGATACATGCTCTAAGAAAAACCTAAAGCAGGTAAGAGGATCAAAAGTGATGGCAAAGAGATGGGCAAAGGGGGTGCACTTTAGATAACAGTGTTCAGGGATGGCTTTGCTAAGAAGTGACACACTCAGATATCAGAATGAAGACAGAGAGAGCCATGCAAATGTCTGGAGAATCGTAATCTAGGGGCAAAGGCACCAACACATGCCAAGGCTGTGAGATAGACTGCTGTTTGCACAACAGTAGTATGCCACTGTAGCTGTGATGTGGAAGCAGGGGGAATGTAACAGGAAATGAGGCAAGAGATTTGGCCCCAGGCCAACCCATGCAGGATCTCGCTGAGAGGTCAAGTGTAATGACTGAGAAGATGCTATTGGATTTAACAATTAACAGGGCATTGATGACCACCGCGAGAGTAATTCAGTCAAGTGTTGTGGAAGGAAGCCAAATAGACTGCAGGAGTTGAGAAGTGGATTGCACAAGAGAAAGGAGAGATGGCTAGTACAAATTCTCCTTCCAGATATGTGTCAATGAAGGAAAGGAGAAAAGGCAGGTGCTTGATCAGATTGCAGGGTTGAGAGAGGATAGGTAAACTCCTGTGCTAAGAGTGTGAGAATTGGATACATGTGGGAGCCTAGGAAGGGTGGAGAAAAGATACAAGGAGAACAAGTGGCCTGGAACCAGGAAAGGGGTTGGGAGAGTGGCGGCCCACACCTAAGACATGTACAAAGACAGAAATCCTGCAAGACAGCTTGAGAGGCTCTGCATCCAGTGAGGGTCAGTGCAGGACCCTGGGGAGCAGAGGGAAGTGGGTCAGGCCAGAGAGGACACCAGAAGGCAAATGGGAAGAGACAAGAGAGAAATAAGAATCATTGAGGAAGCTGATGGCCACACACCCGTGTCAACCCCTAGTGAAAGGAAATTGGTGATTAAGAGGAAAATCCACACTGTACAATCTCTATGCATTTAACATTGCATATTCACAGCTAATTCAATTCATATACAAGTTGTCTATATCCAACTATTTCCTTTGTGTCTGAAGTTCTGGTAAAGCATCTGCCATGTATGCTTGACTGACAAATACTTAAAATGGAACGTATTTCAATTTCAGTTATCAGGACGCTATAGAGTAGTGACTAAGAACATTGTCTCTGGCACCAGACTGCTTGGGTTTGAACCCCTCCTCTGACAGTTACCAGCTCTGTGATCTTAAACAAGTTATTTAACCTCTATGCCTTATTTTTCTCAACCATAAAATGGAAATAATACTCATACATACCCTCACAGAGTTATTACGAATATTTATAAATCACTTAGAACAGGGTCTGTAAATGAACACTATATAAATATTTATTAAAAAATAAAATTAGTGGTCAGGGAAGGTGGGTTACACCTGTAATCCCAGCATTTTGGGAGGCCAATCCAGGTGGATCACTTGAGCCCAGGAATTCAAGACCAGCCTGAGCAACATGGCGAACCCTGTCTCTACAAAAATATAAAAATTAGCCTGGTGTTCTGGCATGTGCCTGTAGTCTCAGCTGCTTAGGAGGCTGAGGTAGGAGGATTGCTTGAGCCTGGGGAGACAGAGGTTGCAGTGAGCTGAGATGGCACCCCTGCACTCCAGCCTGGGTGACAGAGAGAAACTCTTTCTCAATACAAAAGTAAATAAATAAATAATATAAAATTAGCTTTTGAGCAACACTACTGCTAATCATTACACATAAATCAGCCTAATCCTCACAAAAAAAAAACTATAAGATGGGCTATTGTTCTTATTTTACAAATGAGATAGGATAGCTAAGTGACTCCTGTCATCTGAATGTCTGTGTCCTACCAAAATCCATGTGTTGAAACCTAATCCCCATTAGGTTTTAAGAGATTAGGCCTTTTAGAGTTGATTGAGTCATGGAGGTAAAGCCCTCATAAATGGGATTGGTGCCCTTAGAAAAGACCCTGGAGGACTGCCTTGCCCTTTCTACCATGTAGCAACACAGTAAGAAGGCACTATCTGTGAAGAACAAGCCCTCACCAGACACTGAATCTGATGGGGCATTGATCTTGAACTTCCCAGCCTCCAGAACCATAAGAAATAAATGTCTGTTGGTTATAAGCCACCCAATTTATGGTATTTTGTTATAGCATCCTAAATGAACTACAAAAGTGACTTCTCCAAGATCACACAGCAAGGAAGAATAAGAACTGGAATTTGAACTCTGTTTACCTGACCCTAAAGCATGTGCTCTTTTCACTAAATTGCTGCAAAAGTTTTCCCTTGCAAAGGTTACATTTATGTGACAATTTCCAGGTATAGAATATCACTTATGTACTTAATGCTATGCTTTTTTGAGTGGTTTGTGTGGTGTGCTTTCATATACATCCCCAGCAATGGAATCCAAATCATCTCATACCACATGCACACATGCATGCACACACATACACACACACACAAACATATACACTCCAAGCTGAACACTGAATCACATCCCAAGTTTTGAGGTTAAGTTTAAAGTATATTTATTTTGGTTTGGTTGTTTTAAACCTTTAATGGCATTTGATACATTAACTTTCTGCCACCCTGAAGTATTTTGAAAATGTCAACTGAAATGATTGATTTGCACTCACCTTTTAGAAGATTGCTCAAGCCCTACCACAAAACGTAGATGGCTTATTAAACAAAAATGAGCTATTTCCTTTATCTGTCTTAGGATTTCCTCCCATAAACAGCACAGGACATTTACATTCTGGATCCCTTGCTGGGGTGCAGCCTGCAGCTGCAGTCTAGGGCTTCCTAAATTCCGGTCCAGACTGCTCTGTGATGATGGTATCACAGATCTGCAGCAAAATGAGAAAAAATAAAAATAAAAATATCCACATGCACTCACCCCCAGAAACATCTGAGTATGTTTGCTGAGGTTTCTTTTTTGGAAAGAATCATATTAGAGATGCAAGATCATATGATGCTCAAGATCACAAAATCATATATTCCAGAGCCTATCTTGCAGATTCAACTCCCAGCCTTACCATCTATCAGCAGATGACCCTAGTCAACTTCTCAACTCAGTGCCCAATTTCCTCTCGTATAAAATTAAGATGTTAGTTTCAACCTTTTAGTCTTTTTGTGAGGATTAATAGAGCTTATGCATATAAAGCATTTGGAACATGCCTGGCACATAACACTCAAAACACATAATCCATTGGTATCATTATGACATGTTGTTATTTCTACCTTTTTGGTTTTAGAAATATCCTTTACTTTTATATATAATATCACTAATTCATGGTTGTTATAGAGGTTGATTTTGTTTTTTGGTATGTTTAGTTGTTGATTGTTTTAATATTCTTACTTGGTACAATTAAAAGGTTTAAACAATGTCACTAGCACATGGTGGTTGTTGATTCTTGTTCATTTTGTCAATTGTTGTTTTAATATACTTATTTGACAAAAGAAAAAGTTTGCAAACCTATGTCACCTTCAAATTATTTTTTAATATTTACTAGCCTATGAATCCCTTAAATTTGGGCATCAGTATTCATCTTTAGAAATTCTTTCAATAAAATAGCTGCCTTACTAGTTCATGTGCAGTCATGAATTGTATCCAATTTTAATCCATCCATTTTAATCCAACCAAGTGGGATAAAAGAATACAGTACAGACAGGCTAGTGTAACTCCTGGAACACTTTCATCAACCTATCTAATTAAAGGCTGCAGCAGTTATTCAGGCAAGGCAGAAAGATTGTATCGGCTTAAGTAATGAAACTAGGTTTATAATTTGAACATTTGAGGATGGAAGAAGGCAGTCTGTTCATTTGCTTTACACAATATCTCATGTAGTTGGCCCAATATTTTTCTTTTAAATGTGAGATAACATCAATGTAGTCAGAATTTACTCTGCCTGCAAATATACAGAAGATCCTAAATTGAGCCTAAAACTTCTTAAAATCTCAGACTTCTGCAAATATATTCTCAGACGATTATATCTGTTATTGTGGTAAGCCTGTTAAGCAGCATTTCTCAAAGTTCCTCAAAACAGTATTCCATTACGTAATGCATTAGTTCCCAGGGCTGCCATAACAAAGCACCACAAACTGAGTGGCTCAAACAACAGATATTTATTGGGTCACAGTTCTGGAGGCTAGAAGTCTAAGGTCAGCGTGTCATTATGGCCATGCTCCCTCTGAAGGGTCTGTTCAGTCCTCTCTGGCAGCTTCCAGGAGTTTCTTGGCCTGTGGAAGCATAACTTCAATCTCCATATGGCATTCTTCTTCTGTGTGCATTTGTCTCTGTGTCCAAATTTTCCCCTTCTCTAAGGATACCAGTCATCTGGATTAGGGGTTCAGCCTACTCCAGTATGACCTCATCTAGACTATCTACATCTGCAATGATCCTATTTTTTAAAAAGGTCACATTATGAGGTACTGGGGATTAGGTCTTCAGTATATGAATTTTAGGAGACACAATTCAACCCATAACAAAAATTATTTCAAATTTTTGAAAGAATTTTTTTAAAAATATTTTCAAAAATTTGAAAGAATAGAAAAAAAGGATTCTAAGGCCAAAAAGTTTGCAAAATTTTGCCGATTCTATTCACTATCCACATCGAAAAGGCACAACAGCATCTTAAAAATTTTGAGCCACTTACAATACTGATACTTTATACAATTAGAAAACCCAATGTTTCTCAAGTTTAGGTGACCGGGGAATCTATTTCCATAAGTGACACTCATTTACGTCCCTCTAGTGTTCCATGAAATAACCCTCAGAAAATGCAAACAGATTTCAAACAGCCCTATCAGAGAGCAGCCCAAGACTTAAACCCTGATCATTGTCTATAACAACAGTGAAAATAAATTTCAGGCAAGCCAGCAAGCTTATGACAGCCCATAACCCTGTCACCTCTTCTTGCCTCTTTGGAAGAAGAGTGGGAGTGTTACAAAGTCCTGAATAGAAGCTCTTCACTGCAATTATAACAGACTCAAAATCAAGTGGCAAAAAGGAACGCCATCATTAAGCGAGGAGGGGAAAAACATGACGCTGACATTCTGCCAAAGCTCTTTAAATGAGGTCATGCACTCGAGCGCACAGACTATTGCTGATAACCGGCAGCGCAGGAAGAATTGTTAGGAAACAATAGAGCATGCATGGTGTGGCTGTTTCATGAGTGGGAAGGAAAGTGAGTGTGGGGCGAGCTGTGGAGCTGCCCTCGCTGCTGCCGATAGTCAAATTCACAGCTGGCTGCCCTGGGCAAATGCATCGGCCGATCTCGGCGCCCCAGGCACACGCGGGCCAGAGCTCTGCTGCCACCCGGGCAGCTGCCGCGCTGTGGGTTGATGCCCTGCTAATCCCACTCTGCACATCCCCCTGCTTGACGGAGCAGAAGAAAAGTCACTGTGCAGCGGCTGATGTGCTTTCCTTTTCAAGCAGATGCTGCTTTATTGGACGCCTGACTTTGCGATTAACTTTGGCTTATTTTTTGCTGTATGCCTTTTCCAAAGCTGCTTTAGTTCCGGGTGCAAGCTGAGTGCCTGTGATTTCATTAATCCGGTACTTTCTGCTCTCAGCAGCCTGGTTCACCACCGGGTCTGCAATTGGCATTTTGCTTGTGTCCTGGCTAGAACAATTGCTAGCCTATTTGTCTCAACAGGCTTATTATAGATTTGGCCCATGGACTCATCTCAGACACTGCAGAGGCACCGTCTTCATTCAGACCTGATAGAAAAATATGCTAACTATGACAACACCTTTGGAGTCTTCCTTAGGCCTGATATGGAAGGGGAAAATGAACAATTGTAGTGCAGAGAAGAGGACAGCCAACCAGAGGCATTTAATTGGAAAGCAAACTCGCCTCAGGTATGTGAAGATGTGGGAAGTGATACCCGAATGTTGATGAGAAACAAATATTGAGTAAATCATTTTAAAAGAGATGGGAGAAGAATACAAAATCCGGTGTTTTTTTTAAAGAAAACCCACTCAACTGAGCTCTTCCAGGTATACATAAAGAGGGATATGATCTCCTATAGAAAGCAATCGGCATCCTCTGGTTAAAAATGAGGCTTTGAAAGTAAACTTCCAGGGCATTCAATTCCATCCTCTAAATCCCCAACATATCCACATGAAACGACTGCTAACCAGGTTAAACGATTAGCTGAGCAGGAGAATCAGAGATTGATATTCCAATGCAACGTGTCATAAAACCCAAGCCAGTAGTGTCTGTAGCATAAGCCTGAGCTCCCATTTGGTCATTATTTGAAGCCATACAAGAAGATCCTTATTCTTCCCTTTTCCCACACTCCAAGGGACTCAAGTGCACACATATGCACACACACACACACACACGTGTACATGCAAATACACACAGAAACATAGCTGAAGTTTCTGCCTCCTTACTTAGAAAAAAAAAGTAAAACATCTGCTTTTAAGACCGTCTATAAGAGGGGTCTATATGTTTACCTGCCTCCCCTCTCCATTCCATCTTAAGGGAAGGCATGGAATAAAATTAGCATGAAACACATTGGGGAAAATTGTGGGGAAATATTACTTGGTTCTCCTGGTGAGAAATTGAAACCCAAAAAGACTATTGTATAAAATTCAGTTGTTCTTCAGTCAGTAACATATCATAAATTCTGCCTTAGAAACCAAACCAAAGGACTGCAGAAAGTTTGAAGATCTAGAAAGAAAACAAAACACCAGAGAGTGATTAGTGATTCTCTCCAGGTGGTCTAGAGTACTGTTTAAAGCCGCATCATTATGGCAGGCTCCCTCCAG
The DNA here is from genome assembly GCF_000001405.40 of Homo sapiens. NCBI lineage: Eukaryota > Metazoa > Chordata > Mammalia > Primates > Hominidae > Homo > Homo sapiens. The sequence continues at coordinate 76,766,599 of NC_000001.11, forward strand.
GGCTTTCTCTAAGCAGTCCCATCTAAATGCCCTGAGAGTCTAAACATGTTTTAAGTTCAATGAGGAATGAATTTCTGAGATGGAATATGCAAACTCTTTGGGATCTATGAACCAGAGGGTGATGCAGGACAGCATTTGATGCTAGGCATTAGAATTGCTGCAAGAGATAAAATATGGTGGAATCCAACCTTGTTTCGGCAAAATTTGCAATTTTTTGCAAAATGTTCACAAGCAAACAGAAAAAAAATCAAAGCATTTTCTTTCTAATTGCATTTCTCTCTTTCCTACCCCAATGCTACCCAATTTTTGTTTCCACTAATAAACCACTTTAACAACAGTATAGATGTACCAAGATGATGAATTTCAATTCAAATGCACTCTATTTTGCTATTGAGACTAAATGTGAGCCAGGCATGCTATGGACCCCTCTGGACCCTTTCAGAAGGCAATATTCTCAACCAAGTGGTTGTAAATCTTGGCTGAACATTGGTATCACCTGGGAAGTATTTTTAAAATACTGCTGCCTGGATCCTCTGTCTTCAGAAATTTTGGTTCATAATTGGTCTGGGCTACAACATGGTTTTTAAATTTTCAACCAAGACTAAGAACCAATGTAAGAGTAACCTATATTATTTGAGTTTATCATTCTTTCAGATATGTTTCTCTGGTTCTGGCCCTTTGGGGATTCTCCACAGACATCACTCCTAAACCAATACTGATATCATAAGTCAAGCCATAGCCCAGTGAATGGACCTGATATATTTTACAAGATGCACCAGGACAGTGCCCTCTCCCTGCTGCCTGACCTCTCAGTCTCTCTGAATACACCAAGCTATATTAGACAGATTGATAACAGAAGGGTTTGGGCAATATCAGAAAAGAGTTACAAATCTAGAAAACAACAGGAGGTTCTACTAAATTGGACTTTTCTGAGCCTCAAAAGGAATATCCCTCATGGGTATTTTCCCCACTGTTTACCAGGGTTCCCAGCCATCATGTAGCAAACTTTTTCCACCAAAGGGCTTCTGTCTAAAGTCTCTCTGTAGAAATCTCTATCTTTTCTAGGAAAATTCCTCCCCTTCCCACTCCCAGATTCTCCCCATCCCCACCTCATACACCATTTTCCAAATTAGATTCCTACCATCTTAAGATGCAACTGCATGTGTAAGCCAGATAAGCCTCCCAAGCCTCTCTACTTGCCAGGGGAGAAATGGGGTCCAATCTCATAGGCAAGGGTGGTCCTGGATCCTCCAATTGAGATTTTTTTTTCTGTAGCTCACCACTAGAGCTGTAGTCCTGCCAGTGACTTCAACAAGAACATCTTAATTAGGCAATTTATCCCAAGGGTGGATTAATTGTTCCTCCTGATCACCTATGCACACCACTACAGTAAATTTAGCTAGGGGTCTCAAACTGAAATGACCTCAGAGATCTGGGAGTTAAGAAATGAGTTAATGGTCTCGGTATAAGACAGTAGAGAATGTTGGGAACGGAATTCATTAAATACTATTTAGTAATAAAGGCATAAAATATAAAAAATAACTGTGGCATTCAAACAAAATACAGTTGAGGACCTAAGCCAGTCAACTGGCCCATTTTTGAACACTAATCTAAATTCTTATTGAGAAAAAAAATATTTTCATTCAACTTTCAAGGCATATGCCCTAGACTTAGAAGGAATAGGAGTCACTGTGGAGCTCATAAAGGGATTTTGCTTGTTCCTGCCCCGTGAGGAGGTAGGTCCACCTAAATCAATGAAGGGCTATATTGGCATTAGTGGAGACACTCCGTCCTCGTACCCACCTGTGCCACATGTATTCCCACTTCTACACTTTCCATCAAGCTGCTCCCTTTAGCTCTACCACCCTTCCCACCTCCCTTCACCTGGCTAATGCCTATTTATGCCTCAAGACTCAGCTTAGGTATTACTTCCACAAGGGATCCCTCTCTACCACACCTCCCAGACTAGTTTGGACTTTCCTTACACATTCCCATAGCATCCTGTATTTGCTTGTTCATAGAACACTTCACAACATTAAATATCTGCTCTGCACCCACTGGCCAGATTGTAAACAATTCAAAGCCAGATGGTATTATTTGTTGATGAGATTGTGTAGCAACATGAACGGTTTAACATTGCTGGTGGTAGTGAAAACTTAAACACGTAATAATACAGGAATTCAGTTCCTAGGTATAAACTTCTAAAAATTCATTGCAAATGTGTGCAAGGAGATATTGATGAGAATGTGCATAACAGTATTGTTTGTAATGTCCATTATAAGGAAAATGGATATTTAAATTGTGTTAAGTAAAGTTTATCCATAAAATGGACTATTACCCAGCAATGAAAAGGGAATTATTAAAGCTACATGTGCCAAAGGATGAATCTCATAAACATCATTCTCAGAGAAAAGTTTAAGTCATTGAAGAATACCTGCAGCATGGTATAACAATATAAAGCTTTAACATGTGTAAACAAAATTATGATTAGTTTAGGAACACATACAGGTATAATAAGTTGTGTTAGTTTGCTGGGGCTGCTGTGACAAAGTACCACAAACTGGGTAGCTTCAACAGCAGACATTTATTATCTCACTGTTCTGTAGGATAGAAATCTGAGATCAAGGTGTCGGCAGCGTTGGCTCCTTCTGAGGGCTTTGAGGGAAGGATCTGTTCAAGACCTCTCTCCTAGCTTTGGGTGGTTTGTTGGCAATCTTTGATGTTCCTTGGTTTCCAGACGCATCATCCTACACCTTCTTTCATGTTCACCTGGCATTCTCCCTGTGTGCATGTCTGTCACTATATCCAAATTTTCCTGATTTATAACAACACAGTCATATTGGGTTAGGGCCCACCTTAATGATCTCTTCTTAACCAGACCATTTGCATGCATGTTCTTTCCAAATAAGGTCAAGTTCACAGGTACCAGGGTTAGGACTTAAACATTTTTGGGGGAACGCAATTCAACTGATAATGTAAATATATAAAGAAACACATGGTAATGATAAATGCCAAATTAAGAGAAATAATTATTTCAGGGTTGAAGGAGGAATCTGTGTTCAGGAAAGGGTTAACAAGGGTTTCAACTGCCATAGGAATATTTTATTTCTACAGCTGATTGTGAATACACAAGTGTTTCCTCTATTAGTCTTTGTAGCTCTTTTTAAATCTAAAATACTTCATGGTAGTTATAAAATATATATTTTATAATAATTAAAATAGATATTTTTTCCTGTACATCTTCACATTACACTGTGAAACATATGAGGGCAGGGCCGCTGTATCACAGGGGAGCACAGTGCTGATAACAGCAGGCATTCAACAAATCCTTGAATTAACTAATGAGGCCGACTTTATTTATCGCTACCTGGGTGTGAGGAACTGAGAGGACATGGGTTTTGATTGCATTATCCTGTGGGTGATCAGCAGCATTAGGACTTTAACTTAAGTAATCTAACCCTCCAAATATCATCATCTCTCTTCCTTGATGTGGGGGAGGAAAACTGAGTACTACAGAAATCCAAAGGGTTGTTTTTGCTTCTTTATTCTTGTCATTGGATACCCAACAGTTAAGTTGGCAGAGACACTCAGATGTTACTAGGCCTCAACATATTTAATTACAAACCCACTATTCAAGGAATTCAGAGACCAAGATGTTAATATGTGGAGATTCACAGCCACTGTAATCTCAGTGCTTGCCACCATATGAACCTGGCCTGGGTGCAGATAGGTAGCCTTAAAGAATTACAGTAAACATACCTTCCTTATGACAAAAGCATGTAAATAATGAACTAGAGGAATCTAGGAGAAAAAAAGAAGGGTATACAACAGCACATTACTGGGGATAACAGTACCTGGTAAATTTGCCTAGCTCCCATTTGTCCCCACTTATTTGGGAATTATCTCTTGGTCCGCAGAAGTCGGTCTTTCCATCAAGTTATACTTTGTGTTTTCACGTCTTCAATTGCATTTGATGGGACCAGACATGAGCACCAAACCAAAGCTTACCAATCAGATGCAGATGAGAAACTGGAACTGAGAAGTATTAGTCTCTGCAGCTGAATAGAATTGTAACATCTGAATTCAGGCACTGTGGGGTGGCCACATTCTACTTTTTGGAAAAAAAAAAAACTAGAAAGAGGGTCTGCAGAGGAGAGAAAAAGAGAGAGAGAGGACCAGTGAATCATGAGAAGATAAGAGATGAAAACAGGAGAGACTCGAAGCCTTTCCAGGTGCTCATTCCAAATCCTTCCTGAAATCTACCTGTGTTCGTGTCCTCAGGTTCCATGAAGGTTCCCTGTATTGTTAAAAGAAATACCTATTTTATTTAAGTGAGGTCAAATTAGTTCCTGTTACTTGTAACCAAAGAGACCTGACTAATATAGCTTGGCAGATGGTGGGATAAAGCACAAAACAGAAAGGAACTGAATTTCTCAGCCTAACAGGTGGCAGGAATGATGCACCCGGTCCCATTCTTTCAGCCCTGCCCACCCACTACCTTTCCATCCCACTCAGCAGACGAATTTCCATTTTTTTCAATCCAGAATGGGAAACAAATGAAAGATACAAAACCTTCCAGATTATTAGCACAAGCCAAATGGAGCTGGACAGCCTCCAGCTACCCACTCAGCCACCCTCAAGCAGCTGTCTCCAAGAGCTAAATGAGAACAACCATGACAATAAGAATTCAGCTTTGGAGCACAATAGGAGCCTTTCCTGGAGCCAGGAAGGTGGAACACTGAGTGAGCCGGGGGAGTGGGAAAGGGTTTTGGGGCTGAGAAGTTTGAGCAACAAAGGTGGGAACTGGGAAAAAAAAAAAAGAGACTGATGGGCAGAACAACCAAATGCCTTCTTTAGCCTCTTTAAGAGCTCTATCAGTCACTATTAAATTAGTCAGTGACAGTTTGCAGCCAAGAAGAAAAAGAAAAATGCCAAACTCACTTATTGGTATATCTCCATGCCTACCAGCCACCCCACACTGGCAACAGGTATATATTAGATGAACAACATCATCTTTAATGAATTACACAGAACTAAGCTGTATTTGGATTGTGAGCACCCATAATCATATCTTGTTCAACTTTATATCACCAGTAACTACCCTGATTCTGGGCTTAGAATTGGCACTAAATATATGCTTGGTGGATGTGATTACATTTACTTGAGTGTGCTGTCAAGATGCCCAGTATTGGTGCTGCAGCTTAGGAATATCCTCTTGATTATTGCAACCAGAGGTGAATGCCTAATACTAATACATGGAACTCATGTTTCTGCCCAAAAGAAAGAAAATTAAAAAGCTACTTTTCTACCAGGAAAGTTTAAAATGATGTCTCCTATAGTGCAGCATAACTAGGAAGACAAAATATAGAAAGAGGGCCTAGAGTATCCAAACTATAAAGAGATAAGAGTTTCAGTTTCAAGCCCAGTGAGACAATGAAGCATTCCCTACATAACTGGAATACATTTCTCCAAAATGCCACCATACCCATGTTTCCTTCCACACTGACCATATGCCTATCAGCATCATAGGCTTTCATTGTTTGATTAAGAGAGCTTGTGAGTGTCCCAGAAGGGTTGAACAATTGGAGAATGCCCATTTAAGACAGTTCAAATGGAGCTCAGCAAAGCCACACTTCTGATGGACAACCCGCCAATGACAGGTGGGCTAGAAGCCATCACCAAAAGGATCCCACCAGGCACACAAAAGGGCTAATGTGACTTCCTAGCCCAGATAACTGGGCAGTGCTTCCTCAGATGTTGCTGGGTGGTCCGGAGGATTGATCTGACTTCCAGGAGGCCCCACTGCACTGCACTGGGAATCAGTGATCTTTTGTTGCTGACTTTATTCCTTTGCCTGTGGCTCCTTTAGGGGGACCCCTTCTCCAGCTACTTCTCTATGCCCAAATTCCCTTCCATTTTCTACTCCCCTCCAGGTCTCACTGACCCTCATTCCAGTCCCTTAGGAGCAAGATCATCTGATCTTTTTGCTTCCCTTTCCAGCAGGTTATTCTGACATAACCTTTAGGTCCACTGTGCTCTAGGGCTGACCTTGGGATTCTCAAAGCCTTTCCTCTCTTAATTAGTCTCTTCTAACAAAAAAGCTTTTCCTTTTAAAATTTATTTTTGCTGCCAACGCCAATAGACTATTTTGGAAATCAGAAAACCTCAATTTGAGTCTTTTTCTTCTTTGCATTTCTGCTACACCAATTCTAATTCTTCTCAAGGTAGTGTGGATATTCCAACAGTCTAAGGAACATGTCACTCATCTTCAAGTAGATGCTGAAAATAGATAGGCTCATTTCTTGTTATTATATTCACATATGATCTTAACAGGAACCAAGAGACCAGCATTTTGCAAAATATTTTGCAGGAAGAAACCTTGGAAATGTTATTTCTGAAGATGGTACCTAAAGGAATTCCAAGTAGGACCACAAAAAGAAATTTTAAACCACTTGTAGTCTTTTCTAAAGTTTTGTAGACAAAATCTGAAGTCCCTGAATCCTAGCTTGGAATGAGGCTTCTGATACATAGACATCCAAGAGACACCTCAGAAAATGCAAACTCTTAGTCACTAGCGAGGCTTCACCTCCTTCTTGCTCTCTCAAGTTTTCTGTCCTAGTGAACATAGCTGGTATTATGAAAATTGCAAGAATAATTTTTCAGGCTGAAGTCGAGGCTCGTTGTGGAGGGTCTACTCCCTCCTATCTTCACTTTGGGGCCCCCTTTGACTCCTTGGACTTCCAAATGATGACAAGTCTAATAACCCAGATGACCTCCAACATCAATGCTATATGATATGGAAAGAACAACGAAAGAGAGGAAAAGAGAAGAAGAGAGGGAAAAGACAGCCTTTTAACTCTCTTGTCTCTTCCAATCCAGTTACATCCCTATCAGAGAAGTTCCACTGTGTGTAACTCAAATATTCTATGTTTTCCTTTATCTAATCAAAGTTTCTTTTTCTGGACTTGCATCTTTCTAGTGTGGTAGCCACTAGCCACATGTGGCTATTTAAATTTAAATTTCAACTAATTAATATAAAGTTAAAAATTCAGCTCCTCAATCATGTTAACCACATTTCAAGAAGTCTAGAGCCACAAATAATAGCTACTCTTTGGAGAGCATGATATAGAATATTTCCATCATTATGGAAAATCCTAATGAACAGCACTGTAAATGTAGACAGTGAGAGAATGGGGAGTCCTTAGAATGGAGAGTTCCTTAGAACTTTATGAATGTGACCGATAAAGCAGATTCAGCTAGTAATGGTAGTAGTAGTAATAGCTTAACATTTATTAAGCACCTCTCTAGGTTATTACAAGGGTTATTTTCATTTTACAGAAGGGCTTAGGAAGACTATGGTGTGTGTAGTTTGAATCCAGCAAGTCAGGTTCCAAGAGCCCATTCTCTTGGAACTTTGATGTGCAATATAGAAAAAGTATCAACCGGACTTGAAAGAAAAGTCACCCACACCAAACCAAACAGAGTCTACTACAGTGATATTTGAAAATGAATGAGGCTATGCTCTTGCAAACACTGGCTACAGGTTTCCATCTGCTACTTAGAGAAAAGGGTTAGGACATCCATATCAGAATCCAGCAATGTATCATTTGTACAGATGTCAGTATGTTGTAAAATGCATGTTCATTATTATTCCATAATCTCTAATTTTCCCTTAGCTGTCATCCTAGTCTTCTTAGATTGTAAGTTTCAAGGAGGTGGGGATTATGCCTATCTTTAACATGACTATATCCCCAATATGTAATACCTGTATTTAACGTAGTATAGAGTATGTAATAGTCTCTCAATACATATTTTTGCATGAATAACAAGAGAATAAAAATAATCTTTCCAAGTTTTTTTTTTCTTTCCAAGACCTACCTGATCATAAAGTCAGGACTTTCGTGTGTACAGTAGGCAAAAAAAGATACTCAGTACCCTTTTCATAATGCCTTTCTCATGTAATGGGCATTTGTTGATTTAGTAACTCAGGCTACATTCTCTCTTCCTATGGTACAACACCCCAATTTCTATTTAGGGAATGACTAATTCCCATTGTGTGCAATCTTAGAGTACTACCAGTCAAGGATATCTGTACTCCTCTAGCCAAATGGCAAGCCAAGGTAGACCAACTCTCCTTCCAGACGGAGACTGCTAAGTGGAGCTGCACAAACTTAAATGATCAGTTGGAACAAATTCACTCAAAGTGTGATGCCCATAAGATTGCCCTTTCGTTTCTCCACCTGAATCCCTAGAACTCCTGATTTCTTTCTCTTCTACATCTATTTTCTCAGCTTTTCCTTCAGTTCTACGAGTACCCTGCATTCTCCCCAAACAAAACAAAGTAAAACAAAATGTTTTTTATTAAGTTAGCCAAGTTAGTTTTTTCTCTCTTTAAACCCCCAAATTCAATCAGTGCATCTAAGAAATCTTCTCCCTACTTGCACCCTCATACCACCTAGGGGTGGCCACATAACTTGTGCAGCCCAGTGCACTATGAAAATTTGGAACCCCTGGTACGAAAACAGGGTAACAGTGTCATTAAAGGTACTAAAATATAAAGCTCTTTCTTTCTTCTGTAGTCTCTTTCTGTGCTCATCATAAAGTTTGTTCTTTCATATATAATGTTTGAAGTAAAGACAAATTGCAATTTTAAATTATTATCATAAATTTTATCATTTATCTTCATTGTATAATGCCTGTGTTAAGTGCAATAGCAGACCATTTAACTGATATCCAGAATTACCAAAATTACACAATTCTCATTTCATAGTTCATACATGTGTATGTATTTTGTTCTTACTAGAATAGTAATTAAACAAAAGAAAAACTTACTCAAACTGATTTTATTTCACTTCTTGATACATATACATTACACTTTTGGACTTACTGACGAGTAGAAAGAACTGAAAGGAATGAGAATTACAGAAACCTTCCCTTTTATGTCACCATTCCCAGCCTGAGTTTCAGGGATGTAACAGAAGTAAAAAAAAGAATATCATAAGGTTTTTTGGTCTTTCATATTTATTGGAACATCATTGCTTTCCTTTTGCATTCAATATAAGTTCTGGGTACAATCGAAAGTGTAGACTCTAATGCTGTCAGTGCCCTTGTTTACTCAGTTGTAAATGTACTACAGTTAACATTATATGGGCTTTGAATCTCACTGAACTTCCACATGTTGTGGATCCACCAGAATTCTATCCTCACAGGGCATCAGGAAGGCTATATATGGATGGGGTGCCAAGGAACAGCAGCAAACCCACATTGCCTTTATCTCCTCTGCTTTCACACCTACTCTATTATTCCATTGAACTTGGCTTATGAAATATAAGTTCGAAAATAAAATTATTAAGAATGTCAGGATAATGACAGCAGACTCCTAAACCACTTCTAGGCATGGGATCCCAGGCAACTGCCCAGTATGATGCTGACCCTGACATCACAACTTGCATTTGGACCAACAGTAGTCAAGCTACCTATCCTTTCACCAGCTTATGCCCTCAAGTCTGCTTGACCTGTGGACATCTCATTGCAAGAAGATGTCCCTGCATGATGGTTCACTCTGTCCTTTGTGTGAGACTCACTGAGAATAAGAGAAGATGGAGTTTCAAACAAGGGTTTTGTGCTTTTCCTATTTAAATGAGTTTCAGAGAAGCCTGTATAGCCCTACTTAGGAAGGAACAAAGAAAAACTCCTGAACATTCTACTGCTTTCTATAAAGGCAAATGAAGGGACATTTCACAGGGCAGGAGAGGATCTAATAGTGACTGTCTAGGAGAAAAGATTAGAACATTACAGGAAATATCCTCAGAGAGAAGACCAGAGAGTGACCCTCCTCATTCCCAAAGCCTCCATTCTGTCCTGCTATGGCAATTTAGATGCTATAACATTTAAATCCCAAAATGGAAAGGACCTTTGAGGTCATCAGATGCAACTCTTTCATTTTACAGATGAGGGTAGGTGACTTTCTTGATGTCACCATGCCAGTTACTAGCAGCACCAGGCAAGGGCCTTAATTCTTAACTTTTACCCCCATAATTAGCCGAAGGATTCTTTCTCCTAAAGATAAAAATAAAGGGTATACTGTATGATTTTATTTTTACAGCACTCTTGAAATGACAAAATTATAAAAATTGAGAACAGATTAGTGATGACCGGGGGTAGAGATAAAAGAAGGTGGAGGGAAATGAATGTGTCTATGAAAAAGAAGTGGAGGGTCTTTATGGTGAATCTGTGTCTTGCTGTATCAATATTAATATCCTGGTTATAATATTGTACTATAATATTAAAAGACACTCTTTTGGGGAAACGGGGGAAAGAATACATAGGATCTCTGTATTATTTCTTACAATTACATGTGTCTACAATTATCTCAGTTAAAAGTTTAATGTAGGCTGGGCATGGTGGCTCACGCCTGTAATCCCAGCACTTTGGGAGGCCGAGGCGGGAGGATCACAAGGTCAGGAGATGGAGACCATCCTGGCTAACACAGTCAAACCCCGTCTCTACTAAAAATACAAAAATTAGCCGGGCATGGTGGCGGGTGCCTGTAGTCCCAGCTACTCAGGAGGCTGAGGCAGGAGAATGGCGTGAACCCGAGAGGTGAAGCTTGCAGTGAGCTGAGATCGCACCACTGTGCTCCATCCAGCCTGGGCGACAGAACAAGACTCTGTCTCAAAAAAAAAAAAAAAAAAAAAAAAAAAAAAAAAAGTTTAATGTAAAAAATTAATAAAAGACACATTTAAAGTTTGACTTCCTTCACTTAAATAATAAGCCAAACACTAAATTGATAATAATTGAACTATTGAAATGAATCCTATTATTCTCTTACATGAGTGATTTGATGTTGTACCTGGATTTTTGTTTTGTATGCAATTCCTGCTTTTTTGTATCACTATTAGACCTTACTTTTCAGAGTCACCTCTTTTCATAGTCTATCTGACAACACTCATCCAAGAGGGCAAGAAGTCATAGCCCCAGAATACATACAATGGAGATGACATGGATGCCACTGGTGACCAAGAATGTTTAGAATCCAGAGAGGTGATGAACATCAGGCAGCATATCTAGACGACATTGTTTCATCTCTTCGGGATCTCTCAATGCAGGAGAATAAAAATTTTAGAAAAAGATGTTCATTGACTGCAAACCTAACAAAGATTAGTAAGGCCATCTGGGGCTGTTAGGACCCATTCTGAAAGACCAGAGAAATATTAGAGTGTTCCAAATGTGTCAGCCTCATCTTAAACTAAATGAATCACTAAAGGATGGTGCCACTTCTCTGAGTAAACACACTCAGCCATCTGTACCAACTACCATCAAAAAATTATTCCTCCCTTGATCAGACACACCCTCCATCACAGATGTTTTGGAATGTAACTTTAAGGAAAGAGAGAAAGAATGGAAACATTAAAATTCATAACAAGAATAATAAATTGGCTTCAAAGGAAGTTCTAAACAAGGAAGTTCTTTGTTCTACAGAATTCCCAGTGGGTCACCTTTGATTCTATTTGGAGGTACAGCTAAAGCACATTGAGGAAGAACCAGAGTATATTCAAGGGTGGATGTGCATTGCCTTTTCACAGACATGATTGCTTTGTAAACAATCATGAAAAAGAGATTACATACATTATTAGAGTAATTAGAGTTGTAGATACATAAACAAAAAATATCAGCTCACCACTTTGGGTGTATCCATATTTTGATTTTATTCTAGCATTTGAGACAAAATGAAGATATTTTGGTAAACATGGACTTATTGACTTAAGAAAAAAATCTTTTTCCTTCTAAGAAAAAAGAGAAATACAATTTTTGTTTCTCTTATTTATTCATTGATTCCTTTTATTCCCAACTCCTCTACATAAGCACTATATTAAGCTTTGAGGATACAGCTGTGAAGAATAATAACAGCAACAGGAGTTTATATAGTTTATATAGGTGTCAGACACTGTTCTCACAAATATTAAATCACACAGTTTTTCTAATAGCCCCGTGAGGTAGATATTACTATCATCCTTGTTATATGGCTCAAGAGGCTTAACTTTCCCAAGGTTACAAAGCTAACAGATAGATAGTGAAGCTGAGATTTGAACACAGTAATCCTAGCTCCAGAGCCAAATTCTTAACTGCTACACTTAGGTAAAGATTCACTGATACAGCTCCAATTTCATGGAGCCATTTGGTTTATCAGGGGAGACAGACATTAAACTAATAATGTTCATGAATACTAACAACTGGAAGTTTAGGGTATAGCGAGAATTAGCCAAGGAGAAATGGTCCTCTCTCATTCTCTTTTCCCAAAATATCTTACCCCTCCACCTTGTTGGGACAGACTCCTTTCGCTTTCATGGTTTTTCTCATTGGTTAAATCAAGCACGGAGCAGGTACTTGCCTTGTACTGGATCCTGGCTATCTTCAGCATAATGCATCTGGAAACTTGTAAATTCTCCATAAGGAAAATTATCTCTGGTCCATGGTAAAGAGCAAAGCTGTAAAACGTGCCTGGCAACCGAGTGTCAATTTCCAAGCTGCTTCTTATGGGCATTAAAAAATCTTGCTGTTAGTATTTTCTATTTCTTGCTGCTGATATTTCCACTGAAAACGATTTTATTAATGCGAGGATTCAAAAGGACAACGTGAAATGAAATTTAAATAACTTTTTCATATTACAATAAACCTTCATGTGGGGAACTGATGGTTAGAGCTCAATCTTCTTTGCTCATTGAGGGCCCCACAAGCCTAATTAACACTGGCTTGCAATCAAGGCTATTATTTGGTGGCTACTTCCTCCACGGACCTGCCACCACAGCATTTCTGACCCCACATCTTGTTTTCAAGTTCACACAATAGATCTTTTCTAAAATGTCTCTCTTTCCCTTATGAGAATGAAACTAGTGGTATTAGCTCTCTCCCCTACTGCTTTTCTTTGCAGATTCCTCTTTTTTTTTATTCCTAGGGCTCTCTCTGGAATGAAAGTACTTTTTCTATTTTGCAAAGGCCTCCTTTCACACTGGAAAAAAATGGAGTTTGGTACTAAGTAAAGTGGAGGCCCTCTGACAGTAAAATGATTAGAAAGCACTTTGTTCAGAATTCTAATCCCCTGCCCCACTGTGAGAACAGGATTACTCCCCAAAACACGTTCAAGGGGCCCTGCAGGAAACTGGAAGGACACAGGCCTCAGAGTGAGATGGATTTAATTTTAAATTCCAAATCCAATACTTTCTAGTGCATGACCTTGGACAAGTTAGCTGAACCCTCTAAGCCTAAGTTTCCTCACCTGCAAAATAGAAGTTCTAAAGTCTACTTAGCAAAGCTGTTTTCAAGATTCAGTGAGTACAGAACAGGGTCTACAAAAAAAGTGTGGTTTTTTCTTCTTTTTGTTGGGGGAAGATGAAGGTCAAGGTCAGCAGTTAGAGCAATCAGATAGAGAGTAAAAGGAAGACCACTTTATAAAGAGCCAGGGTGTGGAGGTCTAGGAATTAGTGACGGCAAGAAACTCACGACCACAGCACAGGCACCTAGTGTGGACTGTAGTGTGGGGGTCCATGTTGAACATCACCCGCCAGTTCTGGAGTCAGACAGACCTGAGTTCAATCCAGTCTCTGCCACTTTCTAGCTGTATGATCAATCTTTCCTTCTCCTATAAGTTGGGGGAATTGATACCTGTTTCAAAAGGTCATTATAAAAATAGTAATAATAATAAAAGTCCGGGCACACCTGTAATCCCAGCACTTTGGAAGGCCGAGGCGGGCAGATCACCTGAGGTCAGGAGTTTGAGATCAGCCTGGCCAACATGGCGAAACCCTGTCTCTGACAAAAAAACAACAACAAAAAAAAAAAAAAAAGAGAAAAAAAAAAAAAAACAGGAAAACATCATTATAAGAGTTAAGTTAGACAATATTTTCAACATGTTTAACCCAGTGCATGGCACATGGAACTCTCTTAATAACTCATAACTGTTTTTACTATTATTGGTGACAATTAAATGCCAGTTTTACCTTAATTAAATTTCTAAATTTTTCCAGGCCTTAATTTTCTCACCTCTAAAATTAGATGTAATAGAAGCTACTTTGTATGGTTATTGTTAGAATTGAGGCAACCCACTTAAAAACAGATGGTAACATATTTGGCACCTAGTGGGTAATCAATAATTGTTTCTTTTCTTGCCCATTCTGACAATTATAATCATAGCTGGTAATTGCCCCCTTGACTTTATGAAAATGCACCTCAATGAATGAATATTCTGTTACTTGCATCTACTTCTCACAGTTTTCTTTGTATTTCTCTCCACCTCTTAGAAACCTTGGTGTTTTTTGTTTGTTTGTTTGTTTGTTTGTTTGTTTTTTCATTCATTCGTTCATTTTCTGTCATTCTTAGAATGAGCCCTTAGTGTGGCAAAATTGCTGGTGACCTGGAAGATGTGTCTAAAGTTTCCCAGGAAGATCTTCCTTCCAAAAAATGTCTCTGCCAAAGATCCCACATTTCTACTATTAGTAATTTATTTCGCCATGTTCTCTATAAAACAGAAATTCATTTTAACACTGCAGTTGGCGTGAGTTTTATCAGAAAACTCTGCTTCTTGACAGGAAAACTCAGGATCCTATAAGGGACTGGATGCTTGAGTAAATGAATGGTGAGAACATAGAAGAAAAAGCTTTACAACAAAAGGCAGGCAAGGGAAGCAGTTCTCAAAGGACACCAACTTCGTATTTTCACAATGTTTTAAGGAATAGATCAACACCTTCTAGAATTACTCTCTGTTCTCTCCTCTCCCCAATCCCCGGCTTCCTTTCCCTCTCTCCAACCATCTCTTTCTCCCTTCCTTCCTTTTCTGATTTAAATTTATTTTGTACATTTAAATAACTGTACCTGCTTTCTCTTTCTCTACCAGAGTATTGGAATTCATGTTTATTTTTTTCCATCTAAATAAATATACCTGCTTTCTCCTTTTCTATCAGAGTGTTTTAAACTGGTTCCCATTTCCCCTTCTTAGTTTCAAACACCATTTTTATTTCATTTGCAATCTATATGCTGACACAGCACCATTCCCCTCCCTCTTTTTTCCCTTTTATATCAAACACTATGCAGAAAATTCATCCTGTTCAGTGTCAAATGCCAGATCCACTTTGGATATGCATTATTTTTGTTCAATGTATGTTTTATTCCCACTCTTTTCCATAAACCACCACCCCACCTTCTCTCTCCCTCTCTCTCTCTGTCTCTCTCTCTCTCTCTCTCTCACACACACACACACACAGAGAGAGAGAGAGAGAGGCACGTTCCCCACCATTACCTGCCCAGTAAATCAAGAAACTGTCTATTTTTTATACCCTTTGGAGATGGGTGGAAATATTAGATGGTGAAAGCTGAATCAGTTCAGAATGAATTAGTGCCCAAAAGCTAGAAAGCATGGAAGCTGGAAGCTTATCTAATCAGATTTCTTTTTTTTCCCCTGAAACTTATCCCAGCTTTTGAATTTGTAAAGTGAATGAATAATTTGGTGAGAAACAGATTTCTCAGAAGATTTGCATCATCTTCAGCTTCTCTTTAGGCTGAATTTTCAACTAAGAACATTCTTGTCTTCTGGCAGTTGGAGAAATTCAGGTCCAGGAAAACAGAATGGACTCACGACCAAAGGACACACAGCTGAAGGAAACACATGTGCTATCAGAAATATTAGGTGAGTCCGTAGTTACCTCCATTTGAGTCCAGATTAAGGCTAATACAGAGATCAATGTCTACTCTGGTGTTAACTTTCATTGGATTGAAGATCTAACATGTAATCTGTGAACAAAATTATTGGAGAGTTCAATTGAAGAAATGCCCCCAACCCTGAATCCAAAAACAAATAATTCCTTGGGGACACAAATGTGAAGTGCTTTGGTATATGATAATTACATTCCTTTGTCTCACTATGCCCATCAGACTCTAGTTTCTTTGAAGGAAGATTGTGTGTGTGTTACTAATATTCCTGACCATTGAGTCCCCAGCACAGTGCACATGGCATGTTTGTGGTAAATGCTTTTTGAGGCGAACTGAACTGAACTTAGCGGATGTTTGCAAAGCCAATCTTAATGAATGATGCTCAAGATGAATAGACTAAGGTTCAAAATACAATAGCTAGCCTCTTATCACCTTCCACTATGTAGTCCCAGCCAGGTTCAACACAAATCTAGACTCAATTTAAAGGCAGATACAGTGGACAGAAAAAAATTGCCTTTCTCTCAGGTTATTTTCCATTTTTTTTCCTTTTGTAACAGTACTATGCATGTTACATTTATTTGGTTTGTTGCTTCACTGAATTGTGCAATGCAGTATCACCAGACTGTAAGTTGAGACAGTCAATTTATGTGCAACCAGAAAGATCCTTGGAAGCAGTCATGTTGCACCGAAACAGCTTTGTCCTGACAGGAGGCTATTAGCAATGAGCTCCATCACTTCCAGGAAGATTTGCCTTTCTAAGATTGCAACATGGTTATCCTTTGGAGTATCATTTTTTATAGACACATGGAGTTGGAATCAGGAATCCTGATTTGCATTTCTGCCTCTTCCCACACTTGGCTTTGGGAGTTGAACAGGTCATTAAACCACTCTGGACCTCTCCAGAGACACTGTGAATTTGTGCTTTTGCATGGATTATCTCATATTTTTTTCCTTAATACAGCTGTTTAGGTTAAATGTTTCCATTCTTATACTACAGATTTTTTCAACAGCAAACATTTTTGAGCACCAACCATGTGCCTTGCACTATCACATCCTAGGGATGATCAGTCTTAAGACTCACAGGAGTTTTGTAGTAAGGTCATTACCTATAAATTTTTTACAATGATGGTGTTCTAGGTAATTTTAATCAACCCTCTCAATGAAGACAACAAAGGGAAGGATTGAAGTATAAAAAGCACCTTTTTTAAAGTACCTAAAAGTTCACAGCATCTCAAGAATGACTCAGCCACAATCTAGGAGGAGCTGAGGATCCGGAAAGTAAGCGTAGCACTCAAAGCAGCATTTGTCTCAGCATGGTTACCTATTTGGAAGAAATAACTTCAAAACCAAGTTGTGGTTCTGGTGGCCTTAAAAGATGAGGAGGAAAAAATAAAATCCCAGGAGTTTCCCAGGCTGGGGGAGTCTGACAACCCCTGCACATTAAGTTGAGACCTCCAAAGGGCTACAGTCTCAGGAGTAAACCAGAAATAAAACAACACGTGCTGAACTTGCAGCCCAGGTTCATAGCAAGTAGGAGGTCCAGGGAACTTCAAAGAATATACTCTGATGAATGTTATCCAAGATTAGGATTACCCACCAAGCCCTTGGAAGAGGCCAACAAAAATCTTCATTGGAGAAAAGTAGCTTTATCCTAGGCCTCCAGTTATTTATGTAAATATTTTTAAATATAATGTCCGGTACAGAAATACAACCAGAGAGCCAGGAAACATGATACCATAAGCAAGACAAGCAGAAAAAACAGACAACAGAAACACAACATCTTAATGTTGGAATGACTGAGTCAAGGGTTTGAGTGGTGGGAACCTATAAAGGAGTGGAGAAGTGACACGTGGAAGGGAAGGCAGCCAATAAAAAGCATACATCCAGATAGTTACTGCTATGGGAGATTGGAGCTCAGTCCTGCTATGGGACCTCTGGGATCCAGCGAAGACACGAGCTTCAGAGTTATTCACCTTAGGGTCAAGACAGCAGAGGAAAAGCTTCTCCCAGCCAACGTTAGTTGTGTAATACTTCTGACCTATGGGTTTAGACCACCATAGAAAGCCTCCAAACAAAGAGATGCAGAGGCTGGCACTGGGCCAGCATACACTCAAATGGTAAGGTCTGAGGAAATAGGGGTGAGGCAACAAGGGTATTTTCTGTACTCACAAACACTTGATATCCTCAAGTTATCAGACATAAACAATGAAATAACACATTTTGCTTACCATGTTTAAAGAATAAAAGGCATGCTTAAAATATCTATAAGAAATAGGAAAATTAAGAATTTACACAGCAGATTTGAAGAGGAACTTCTACAAAGCTACTAAAACTTAAATTGCAAAAACTGAAATTAAGAACTAAATTACTATATTTAACCATGTTAGACCCAGCTGAAGAGAGAATTGATGAGCTGGAAAATAGTTCAGAAGATATTCTAGCAAATGTAGCACAAAAAAAAAAAACAACAAAATACAGAGTATAAAAAAGAAAAGGTAAAGTATATAGAAGATACTATGAGACTTTCTAACACATATTTAAAGTAGATTACCAGAAGGAGAGGGGAAAAAGAATGGAATGGAAGCAGTATTTGAAAAGATAACAGCAGATGATTTCCAGAAATGGGAAATTAAACTCAAGGCTTACAGGTGCAAATTCTATGCTCTTTCATGGTGTTTGGAAGAGACTTGGATCCCTTTATCACAAACTTTATTCATTTAACATTTACCTTTATTTTCCCTTATTTATTCTTCTTATATATACTTTCCCTGAAAAAGTCTGGTCCTCAGAAGAATGGTGATGAGGTAGCTCCCCAATCTCTTAAAGAAAGAAATAGGATAGAGGACTTACTGAGTAATTCACAAAGAGTTCATTACAATGCCAAGGGATTCGTGCTACAATGAAATGTTTTTTAAAAATAGTGCTATGAGAACATAGAGCAGGAAGCAACCAATTCTGTCACTGAAAGTTTGAAAATCCTTCACCAAGGGGATGACACTTCAACTGGGTCACAAAGAGTCTTGAGGGATAAGCAGGAGTTTGTCACACTAATCAGGCAGAATGGGCATTGCGGGCAGAAGGAAGAAAATATGTGTAGTCACTAAGACATGGTAAGTCATGGAATGGTAAGGAAAAGGAAGCAATGCATGTGGCTGGAGGACAGATTATATGATGGGGAGGAAGAAAGGTCTGCTGAAAAATTAAGATGACGTGTAAATGGAATGGATATTCCTTTAAGGAATTTGGATTTTATCCTATAGGCCAATATTTCTCAAACTGAAGTCCATGGACCCTTGAGGCAGAGAAAGTGAGGGCACACTTTTGGGATGCATAGGTTCTCTCAGAAAAGTTTTTTTTCCCACTTAGTTTGATGAGAATTTAAGCAAAATGAAACAAAAACAAAAATCCTAAAATGAATACATATGTTTTCTGGATCATTTAATAACAACCATGCTTAGTGCCCATGGTTACATTATAGTCACCTTGGATACAGTATGGGAATTAAATACTCAATGGGTTCCATTTTATAAATAAATGATCATACACTAACTATAAAACTCTCAAGAGTGATAGAGCCCATGGTATATTAGAGATTATCTTCCTCATTTTTTAAAGTATTCAAACATGATTTTAAAACTAATAACTCCATGCAGTCCAAACAAAATACTGCACCACCAGTTTGCAAGCCTGACCTAAAGTGAGTTTTCAACTTTGAGAATGTGCTAGTAAGTGTATTTGATTGTATGGGGTTAGATCGGCACATCAAGTGACAAAATGACAACTGTCCCACAATGAATTCACTGTATTCATGTTGAATTATTTTACCAGTTATAATGACAAAACTGTTCTTTCTGATTGATAATTGGAATAAAATACATTTTCCTAAAATATGACTTTTGTTTCTTAAGGTAGACAATAAATTGAAACTCATGTGAAATCATTATAATAATATTGCAGAGAGGAGTATGCCCCATCCCCTTAAGAGTTTCCAGCTTATAACAAATGAACAGAGACAGATTTATTAAGCAAATGCTTTGTTTATGCCAAGTAAAGGCCAAATTACATCATAGGACACTGTATAAAGGAGGCTTTTGCTGTAGTTTAAATAGACTTTCTTCTAAATTTCAGACAAAAATGGAAACAATGGTAGAAAATTTGATTTATGGCTAAGCCACTTCAAAATGGTCTGAATGAGTCACTTCCAGTATTTACTGATGTCTTTCCACTGGCTCTGTGCTGGGGCTATGAATATTTTTTCAACAACTATAAGAAACCAAAAGTAACTTCAAATATTATTTTCCTGTTCACTAATCCAGTAATAATTGGATTAGGTAATTGTTTAATGCAGATTTAAATATGCCATAATGATAACCTTATCTTTAAGTCAACAAGACAGATTCATAGGGATCAAGGGAACGGCTCATTAAAATTGGCATTTGTTGATTACTCCACAGGCCGAATTAGGGTAAGTGGGTGGTCTGAATACCCTCAAACAGTAACCAAAACTGTGATGCTACTTAATGTCATTATGAACAACATTCTTCAGTAAACAGCATTGCCCTCTTCAGTACTTTTAAATTTAAGATACAGAAATAGATTAAAGATAGAACATGGAATATAGAAAGATTTAGCTTTAGCTTTGTGCTATTAATCTTTCACATAATTAGAATTTTATTGATTTTTATCTTTTTATATTTAATTATCTGTTTTTGGATTTAGATTTGTATATTATCCATGAGGAAAAGAAATCATTATATCTAGTCTTATGTGTCTGTAGACTTTATTAATATTACAATAAATAATTTCAGTCAATGCTGGGAGTTTGAAAGAATTTTTTTTTCCTTTAAAAGAGAGACATTGTCTTAGTACCTATGTTACTACTAGAAGATTTTAAAAGGGGAGTAGGTAATCAGGTTTTTATTTTTTTAATTAATTAATTTATTTATTTATTTTGAGACAGACTCTCGCTCTGTTGCCCAGGCTGGAGTACAGGGGCGCCATCCCAGGTCACTGCAAGCTCCGCCTCCCGGGTTCACGCCATTCTCCTGCCTCAGCCTCCCGAGTAGCTAGGACTACAGGCATCCGCCACCACGCCTGGCTAATTTTTTTGTATTTTTTTTTTTTTAGTAGAGACCGGGTTTCACCATGTTGGCCAGCATGGTCTCAATCTCCTGACCTCGTGATCCGCCCGCCTCGGCTTCCCGAAGTGCTGGGATTACAGGCGTGAGCCACTGTGCCCGGCCCAGGTTTTTATTTTAAATTTACCCTCAGCCATCATATGAAGGTTAGGATGGGCAGAGGCAAGATCGGAGGCAGGAGTCCCACTAGGACGCTCTTCCAGGAAGCCAGTCGAGAGGTAACGAGAAGTTTAGCAAAAGAGGTTGTTTTAGGGTGGTAGAGGAGGGGCTTGAAATGTAGCATGCCAGGTAGGTCCCTATGGCTCCCTTCCTTTTATGTACCATGATTTGAGATATATTCCACAAGGGCACATGGCAAGGGTTAAGGAACAGGCTTCCTGCATGAGGAAGAGGGTAACTAACAGGCTGAATCAAGACACCAAGAAAAGGTCAGGGTCTCTGGATCTCAGTATTATTCCAGAGATGGTTATGCTGTGAAATATTTTCTACCAGACAGGCATTTTTAGTCTCTGTGCCAGTGGAAAGGAGATCTCCACTCAGCCGTGGGTCTCTCTTTCTATAGGATCAGCTTGAGAAAATAGCCTTGCCATTGGAGGAATACACAGGCTGCCTGGTACAAGACTGTCTGAATTTGAGATGCCAGCAATTTAGGAATTAACTAAGAATGTTGCCTCTTTAGAATTTAGGCCCATGAGATATTGCAGTTGACCCTGCTGCCGGGAGGAAATCTCTTGACCCATGGGAAGTAGAGCTTGGGTGCAGCCTTTCTCTCTGGAAGAAGAGACCCTAGTTACTGCTGGCTCATTGGTCAATGAAGGTAAGGCCAGGCGCAGGGATTCATGCCTGTTATCTCAGCATTTTGGGAGGCTGAAGCAGGAGGATCACTTGAAGTCAGTAGTTACAGACCAGCCTGGGCAACAAAGTGAGACCCCATCTCTAAAAATAAAATAAAATAGCCAGGTATGGTGGCACATGCCTCTAGTTCCAGCTACTCTGGAGGCTAAAGCAGAAGCATTGTTTGTGTCCATAAGTTTGAGACTGAACTGAGCTATGTTAGCATCGCTGCACTCTGGCTTGGGTGACAGAGCCAGACTCTGTCTCTAAAGAAAAAAATGAAATGAGGGTGAGCTTCCAGCATCACTTTTCTGTTCATCACAACACAATTCAAAAGTTATTTTATAGATAAAATTAATCAGACTTGGTGATGAAGTGGATTCAGAGGAGTATATGATACAAGGAAAGAGAAGTCAAGAATTACTCTGAGGACTATACCTTGGCTAAATGAAAGTATGATGATTTCATTAACTGAGATCAGCAATATAGGAGAAGAATAGACTTTGTGGGGGAGATAATGCATTCACGTTTGGATATATTGAGTTTGAGGGATCTATGAGACATCCGTCTGAAAGAAATGTAGGGTAGGTAATATTAATTTGAAAGTCAGATGTATTCATTATACTTGAACCTTGGGAGGTGAATGACAATGACATTGTTCTATGTAGACTGAGAAGACAAGAGAAGGGAAGGGAATTTTAACATTTAAAAGGCAGTTCAGTACAGTTGGTCAACTGTTGAGTGGGGATAATGCTGGGGATGGAAAGAAAACAAACATGATTTACATTTTAGAAAAAAAAACATGACTTCAGATGATAATGAGCTGTCAACAACATGAACCATTCAGATAATGTGAGAATTTGTAGGAAAGTAGTGAAAGCATGTTTTTGCTTTTGTTTGAGAAATGACTGATTTGGGAAAGGAGATGGCTTCTTCTCAAGAAGTTTGCTGATGAAGAGAAGAGAAAGAGGGAAGATGGGCTAGGAATCAAAGAAGAATCAAATAGGAGAAGATAATACTATTTGTTTTGCCATAAAATCATATTAAAGAAATACCTTATAAAGCTTTGGGTTCTCATTCTATAATATACATAGGATAAAGTTGGGATATATTTGCCCACCTCAAGTTTTTTTAAAATGATAATTATGTTTTAAGGCATTTACCAGAAGAGATTTTACTTTAAGTATAAAGTGGATCTTCAATATAGTCCCTCTATTTCAATGCCCTTCTATAGCTTTCCCTGTCTTCATTTTTAACCCCTCCAAATCAGCCCTCTCCTAATTCCCAAGACCATAATAATTGATCAAAAATAAAAATGTAGTTACATTGCTAGATGTTCATGCCTTACAT
The DNA here is from genome assembly GCF_000001405.40 of Homo sapiens. Lineage (NCBI taxonomy): Eukaryota > Metazoa > Chordata > Mammalia > Primates > Hominidae > Homo > Homo sapiens. Next base: position 76,789,623 of record NC_000001.11, read on the forward strand.
GATCTGTTTCTTGCCCAGACTCAAATATCATTTAGCACGTATTTATTACTTACCTTTATGTGAGGTGTAGTGCAGAAGACAGAAAACTAAATGAACAATCATAATACAGCATGTTGCATTCTATAATAGGGAGAAGAATGGCAAACCAGATCTAGAGAGTCCTCCAATGGGGTCATGGGTGAGCCAAGTCCTAAGGAAATGTCAGGAGTTGCCTTCATCTCCCACACATGTCCCCGCTTTGCTATGGCCTTTCTGTTTCAGATATCTGTGTCTTTGTATGTGCTGTTCCTTCCAAATGAAATGCCTACCCTCACACTCATCAGCCTGTGGAACTCCTATTTATTTTCAAGACTACACATACATGTCACCTATCCTTAAATCCTTCACTTATACCTAGGATCCTAGGCTGGATTAGGTGTCCTGATTTTGTGGTCCCAAAGGATGCTACAGCTACTTCTGCAGAGACATTCCTCTCCATATACACCTAAGAATGTGCTCTTCAAAGGCAGGGTATGTCTTTCTTCTCCAATTCCTCTCTTCCAGCATAGTGCCTGGCATATAATAAATGCTCAATAAATGTTTGCTAAATGGCTGAGTGAATACATGTTGTCTGTATTCTAGAACTTTTTAGGATTTGAGGCAAGGGAATGCTGTGACCCTTGAAAAACTTCTCTCTCCAATCTTCTCCAGCTCTGTGTTTGGCTGTTAATTACTAAGGTCCTTTACCACAACAAAAGCCTGTGACTCCATTTGACTCTGTGTCTATAAACATATATAAGATTTGATTACTCAAACATGTCTGCAACTGGCAGAGTCTGATGAACTAATTCATTTGACTTTCAACCAATATTTATTAAACATTTACTCTGTGCAGGGATCTGTACTTAGCATAACTATCAACCATGCAGCAGACAAAGACCTTGTCCTCATGGAATTCGTGATTTAAGGAGGGAAACAGTAAAGAAATCAACTTTTATATAAATACAATTTGGGATACAAGTAATGGAAGAAAAATAACATGATGCACCCAAAGAGATTAACAGGGGAGGTCTAATTTAGATTATGGAGTCAGAGTAGGTCCATATGGTGAAGTGATGAAAACTAAGACATAATGGGGGTATGGGAGGTGAGGAGAGTGTAAGATCATTGCCTGCTGAGGGGAGGCATTTGAGAGGGCCCTTTGTCAGGAAGGCTGGCATGACCAGAGCCTGGTGAAGGAGAGGCAAGCCCCTCCAGATGAGGTTAAAGAGGTAGGCGGAGGATGCTGTGACTTTTGGGCCAGGCTATAGATTGTGCAATTATTTCTACGAGTAGTAGGAAATTATTGAAGGACTTTGAATAAGAAAATCATATAATCATTTATGTCTATGGCATAGAAAGTGGATTTGAAGAGGCAAGAGGGAATATGAGAGCCCAATCAGAAGATCTATTGGTTAGGAATTTGGATTTGGTTGCTTGTAATAGAAAATCTCAGAGAAGAATGGTTTTAGAAAGCTGGAAGTTTGCTCTCCTCTCATGTGAGCGGAAACCTAGAAGAGACAATCCAGGCTTGGAGTGGCTTGTCAGGGCTGAGACTTCTTTGATTGCTTGGGCCTTTCTCTCATGGGGTGGGAAGATAAAGCATCCGCCAGCACATTCACATTTCAGGCAGAAAGAAGCGGAAAGCTTTAAGGGCAAAGACGGAACATGTCAGCCTCCGTCTATCCCCTGCAGCCCCTGCTTTGAAAAGACTTTTCTTTCCCAGAATTCCACCCAACAATTTTTACTCACATTTGTCTACCCAAAGCTATGTCACATGGCCACGCTTATCTGCAAGATAACCTGGAAAATGTTGAATTTTTTAAAAAAACTGGATCTGTTACCCAGCCCAGCAAAATTAGGCTTAGTAAGGAACAAGAGAAAAATGAATATTTGATAGGCAACACGCTATCTCTGCCCTGTTCACCACTTTCCATCACTCAAAGGGAGAGTAAGTGTGGTTTGCTTGTGTGAGGGATGGTTGTACCCTGTTAGGCGGAAGCAGACTGTTGTTTCTAAGTTTAATCATGGGAAGAGAAATGTGCTAGAATGTAAAAGCACTGAAGAGGAGGCCTAGCAAATGACTATAAGTTGGCTCACTCAAAACCCACCCTTCTAACTTACCTTCCTGAACTAGATTCCTTTGGCACATTATCTGGTTTACACCTCACATGCAGAGTCATCCAAATTTTGGATACAAAAGTGAGCAATGTATAGTGGCATATCCATACTTATAGGGATATCAGCTTCTGTGGCAAGCAACTGACAGACATATCTGGTCCTCCTGGCGCTCCCAAGTTCTGGGGTCTCAACCTTAAGCTTAACAGGGTCTAAACAGTCCAGGGGTGGGTGTGCTTAGGCATTCTTGCTGAGTGTGTTGCCTGTAACTGTGATGTTTATTGCTATAAAGTATCCAAAGGTAGTCCTCTAGCTCTATCATACGTTATTTGAGGCAATTAATTTTCTGTAATAAATACTGTCCTGCTACAAATAGCTAGAGTAGATTCACTTGTCTACAACTAAGGACCCTGAGCAGTATAGAAAGTACTAACCTATGGGCCAGTGTATAGGCAGTTTCTTGTATTGTTATGAATATAAATTGTTTATATATTATTATGAATACATGGCATTTTATTAAAAGCTCACTATGTGCCAACTACCTATTGAACTCTCCTCTTGGATATCCCAAAGATACCCCACACTTCGACAAGGAACTCCTGATTTTTGCCATTCAGCATTGTTTTTATGGCTTTGGGTTATGTAATCCAGAAATCCAGAAATTTGGGAGGCTTTGTAGACATCCCTCTCAGTGTACACATTTATTCCACAACCAAGTTCTATTTTGCCTCCTAAATACTGTATCTCTGGATTTTAGACACTTTTCTACATTTCCATCATCATCATCATCATCATCATTCTAATCAAAGCTACCATGATCTCTCACCTGAACTACTGAATTAGTTTCTTAACTGATATAATTGCATCTTCTCTGGACCTCCTCATATCTAGATTTTATAATTTTGCCACAATTTTTAACATGAAATAAGATCATGTTTCTAACTGGTTAAAATCCTCCAATGGCTTCACATTGCTTGTGGGATACAGACAAATTCATGAAGTTCCTGCACAGCCTGGCCCTTGCCCTCCTTTCCCACACTGCCCCTTGCTTTCTATCTGTCCACATTCTTGTCACACTCCCAGCCCTTGCACATGTCATTTTCTCTTCTAGAATATTCTTCCTTCCTCTCTTTTCCTAGGGAACTCTCACACATCCTTCAGATCTCAGCTTTAGCACAACTTCCTACTTAACTAGGCTCAGAAAACCATCCTTTATAGCATTAATCACAGTGGCAATTTTAAATGTATTTGTCACTATTTGGTGGATGCCTACCTACATCCACTAAACTGTAAGTTCTATGTAAAAAGGAATAGTATTAGGTCCCTTCTGTACCATATATTGTTTTAATTCATATTTCTTTGATCACTGAGGTTGAACAAGCATAGCACCTTTTGAATAGTGAATAAAAGAATGATCAAGCCAGGTAGTTGTATGTATAATTGATAATTTTGATGGCAAACTTGCAAAGTAGGCATTATTTCCAAATCTACAGGCAGGTCCCAAAAGCAGTATGTGACAGGAAAAGGTGGGACATAAATCCAGGTCTGTCTGAATGAACCCTAAGTCTGAATTCCTCCTACTTGACCATGCTGTCTTCCCCTCTTAAATGACACAGAGCATGTGAGAGGACTTTGTGAAAAATATTGTTGTTTGGTATTTTTTATCCTTATTATCTAGGCTGGGAGAATGAATGAAGGGCGGTACTGCTCCCCATCATCAACATAAAATACCAAATAATGAAGGGAAGTATCTAGCATAACCAGTTTGCACAGCACCACACTGGCAGCATCCTTGTGTTTCAGTTTGGCTGGCAGTCTCAGGAATTTCATATTTTATTAGGTGTCTTGTGATAACAACCACTCAAAACACAATTCGTCTTGATTATTAATGTCTTCAGTATTTCTATAATAAATATAGTGTTCTGATCTGAACCAGATAAAACTAAGACTTTATTCAACTCTCCACATCTCAGAAACCTATAAGTCATCAAGGATGTAATGTGAGAGGCAAAGAACAAAGGGGTAGAAAGATGAGTACAGACAGAAACAACTCATCATTTTCTTATTTCTGAGGAATGTGCCCTCCTGTATTTCTGACTAACTCTAGCCAATTACTTTGATTTGCAGCTGTGGGAGGGGATTGGTTTCCTCCAGGTAAACGCATGGTCTACTCCTTCTACTTAGGAGAGTAGCAAGAGGGAAAGTGCATAGCTCCTTACAGTCTTAAGAGGACCCAAGTCCTGAGGGAAATAACAAGAGAGCAAACAGAATTTGGGAAACACTGCCAAGGGCAGGAGGAGTAGGGACTCTGAGGACTATAAATGTCAGGCTAACTGATGCCCAGCTACTCCAGTCCCCATCTTAAATTAGGAAAGGGAGGAAACAAAATCAGAACAGTTTTTCCAAGATATTCAACATGACCAAAGTTACTTATTAAGTGGTGACAGATATTAAGAAGAATGCTCTGGTATATTGCTTTAAAAAATATTAGTTTTTTTTCTTTGAGTTGGGGTCTCACTCTCTTGCCTAAGCCAGGGTGCAGGAGCACAATCATGGCTCACTGCAGCCTCGACCTCCCGGGCTCAAATGATCTTCCTGCCTCAACTTCCTGAGTGCTGGGACTACAGATGCACACCACCAAGCCCAGCTAATTTTTGTATTTTTTTAGAAATGGGGTTTCACCATGTTGCCCAGGCTGGTCTCGAACTCCTGGGCTCGAGTGACATGCCTGCCTCAGCCTCCCAAAGTGCTGGGATTACAGGTGTGCGCCACCACACCAGGCCAACATTTCACTATTTTTCTATTGAGGATTTGAAAGCTGAGATATTATAAGAAGCAGAAAGCTGTCCATTAAAAATCAACCAATAATGGTGCCACTAGAAATAACCTCTGTTAAGTTTTGATCAGACATTTTGCTTCCAGTATTATATGAATCTCTTCACACAGCTGTTAACAGCCTAAATATACAATTTTGCATCTTTTTTATAAGATATAGTGGTATTATTTTACCATGTCATTAAAAATTTTTCACAGACACAATTTGAATAGACAGCATAGTATTTAATTATACAGATACACATACCCTACTTAACCCTAGCCCTAATTTTAAGATGTTTTTCTTGTTTCCTTTTATTATATAGCACGATAATAAACATTTTTGTTGCTAAATCTTGTCTATATGTGTCATTATTTCCTTAGGCCAGATTCTGTAAGGGGATTTTTGCATCAAAGGATGTGAAAATTAAGGCTTCCAATACAAATTTCAAAATTCCTTTCCACTGCCAGCATGAGTTAATCTCACTTTAAATATTAGCAATTTAGAAATCTTTTAATATTCCAAAGAGTAGTAATAGTCTTCTTTTTTCATTTATTACTGAGAGTCAATGAGAATATTATATTTACAGTTTATATTTCTTCTTTTAGAAAATATGTTTATGTATCCTTGGCCTGTTTTTCTATTGGACGTTGTTCATTTTCTTAAAGATTTATGTAAGCCCCTTGTATAGCTAGAACATATATAGCTTCATAAGACTAAGGTCTATGAGTAGCTGTGTTTCCTGAAAACAATAGAGTTTGACAATTCAGTTGGCTCTAATTCATCTAATTTACTATTAACATTTTAGAAGATGGCCAACGAGATTAAAGAGATAATCAAGACTAATCAAGCAACTTTAACATTTTGTCTATGATAAGTGATCTTTCTGTAACCAGGGCTCAGATAAAACAAGCATATTTTTAGGAGGAAAGAGGAGTTCCAAAGACCCTCAGGGTCTGAAGGGAATTCGTGTTTGCATTCAAGGTAAGAATTCCACTTCCATTTGACTTCCTATCTAGGTGGTGACCAACTACGTGTGTTTAAAATGCAAACTGATCAGCGAGTTAGAAAATTAAGATGAAAAGGCTTGAGCAGTTCCTTCTATGTTGCTTTATATTGCTAGAATGACGTGTTCCCAGACAAGGTAAAATAAGTTATACAAAAGTCAAACAATAAAAAATAAAGGTGCAGAAAAAAATGTAAATCAAATTATTAAGAATGGCCTGGAAGATGAGAATCGGGGAGTTTTTTATTTCCATCATTATGCTTTTTTGCATTTGTTTTAGTAAGTATGTATACTACAAACATATTGTCAGAGAAAACAATAAAGCTATCAAAAAGTGGCCTGAATTTTTGGCAAATTCAACAAATTTAATGGTTATTCCTCAAAGATCTAGAAGCAGAAATACCATTTGACCCAGCAATCGCATTTCTGTGTGTATACCCAAAGGAATATAAATCATTCTATTATAAAGATACATGCACACATATGTTCATTGCAGCACAATTCACAACAGCAAAGAATAGGAAATCAACCCAAATGCCCATCAATGATAGACTGATAAAGAAACTACCATCAGAGTGAACAGGCAACCTACAAAATGGGAGAAAGTTTTCACAACCTACTCATCTGACAAAGGGCTAATATCCAGAATCTACAAAGAACTCAAACAAATTTACAAGAAAAAAACAAACAACCCCATCAAAATGTGGGCAAAGGACATGAACAGACACTTCTCAAAAGAAGACATTTATGCAGCCAAAAAACACATGAAAAAATGCTCACTGGCCATCAGAGAAATGCAAATCAAAACCACAATGAGATACCATCTCACACCAGTTAGAATGGCAATCATTAAAAAGTCAGGAAACAACAGGTGCTAGAGAGGATGTGGAGAAATAGGAACACTTTTACACTGTTGGTGGGACTGTAAACTAGTTCAACCATTGTGGAAGTCAGTGTGGCGATTCCTCAGGGATCTAGAACTAGAAATACCATTTGACCCAGCCATCCCATTACTGGGTATATACCCAAAGGACTATAAATCATGCTGCTATAAGGACACATGCACATGTATGTTTATTGCAGCACTATTCACAATAGCAAAGACTTGGAACCAACCCAAATGTCCAACAATGATAGACTGGATTAAGAAAATGTGGCACATATACAACATGGAATAATATGCAGCCTAAAAAATGATGAGTTCATGTCCTTTGTAGGGACGTGGATGAAGCTGGAAACCATCATTCTCAGCAAACTATTGCAAGGACAAAAAAACCAAACACCGCATGTTCTCACTCATAGGTGGGAATTGAACAATGAGAACACATGGACACAGGAAGGGGAACATCACACTCTGGGGACTGTTGTGGGGTGGGGGGAGGGGGGAGGGATAGCATTAGGAGATATACCTAATGCTAAATGACGAGTTAATGGGTGCAGCACACCAGCATGGCACATGTATACATATGTAACTAACCTACACATTGTGCACATGTACCCTAAAACTTAAAGTATAATAATAATAAAATAAAATAAAGAAAATGTGGCACATATACACAACGGCATACTATGCAGCCATAAAAAGGAATAAGATCGCATCCTTTGCAGGGACATGGATGGAGCTGGAAGTTGTCATCCTCTGCAAACTAACACAAGAACAGAAAACCAAACATCACATGTTCTCACTTATAAGTGGGAGCTGAACGATGAGAACACATGGACATATGGGGGGAACAACACACACTAGGGCCTGTTGGGGGTGGAGAACATCAGGAAGAATAGCTAGTGGATGCTGGGCTTAATACCAGGGTGATGGGTTCATCCGTGCAGCAAATCACCATGGCACTCATTTACCTGGGTAACAAACCTGAACATCCTGCACTTGTGCAGCGGAACTTAAAATAAAAGTTGACTTTTAAAAGACTAAAACAAAGAGAAAATGATACTACCAGAGCTGTAACATGTGATTATTAGTGGAGGGAAAATTTGGAAGCAGCATTTCTACTAACACCAAAGAAGGGGCATGTATTCAGTGATAAGATAAATTTCCTTGCAGTTACCAGAAGGGAAAACTAGAGAGCGTGATTTGGAGTCAGACAGACCTAGACCTAGACCACTACTCATTAACTGACTAATCTTAGAAAAGCCCTTTACTCTCTGATCCTCATCTTCCTTATCTGTAAAACAGGGGCTAAGAATACCCACTTGTAGGATAACTGTGAAAATTAGCGCCAAGATATGCAACACATTTAGCATAGGCGGACACAAAGTAGGTACTGAGTAAATGGATAAATTTTATGTTTATTATAATTTTCACATGCTGATCACACAATTTGTCCTGACACAGTGAATCAGCAGAATACTCACTGACTTCCTGAAGGGAAATCCAAGATAGGTACCTAGCAACTAGTCCAGAGCCTAGGATATCTTTTTGTAGGTATTATTTAAAGCCACTACTTACTGAGTATTCACTATGTGCCAAGCATTGGCATAAGTGCTTGTTATGCAGCACCTTATTTTAATCCCCAAATAATTATTTGAGGCGCTTTCTTTCCCCACTTTACAGATAAAGACACTGCTCAGAGAGGTTAAATAACTTGCCCAGGAGTTGGCAAGTCATGGAATGGGATTTGACCAACAGATATTTAGCTTCATAGCTAGGCTCAGAACCACTAAGGTGCTCAATACATGATATTTGAGTGAATGAATAAATATTGAATATGATGATAATATCCCCAAAGCCAGTTCTGCAATCAAGAGAAACCTGCATTCTATCCTGGGTGAGTTTGAAGTTCTAGCTAGGAAACAGAAGGACTTTGGGACCTGCATGCATTTAACTTTTTTTCCCAACAGACGTTTCTGACTCTGTATGAAAAAGGACTCCTTCTAGTCAAACCTCCATACAGGGTGTTAGATGAACAAGATTTAGCCATTAGATAAAATTTGTGTCAAGAGATAAAATACACATCACAAAACCTGGGAAAAATATGTTTGGCAAAAGACACAGTAACCTGACCAAGAGGGTTTTAAAATGAGATGTGGACAAGAGAAAAGTAAATAAATAAAACCACCAAGGCACATTCAATGGAGGACAGCAGGTATGACAAAGAAAATCACCATCATGAGGTTGCACCTAACAATTCTCAAGGAAAGACTGTGAGAAGTGGATCAGTCACAGGCCTTGCAGCACCAGGCATTTTGACATGGCCAAGGGAGATAGGGAGGTGCTCAGGAAAAACAAACAGTATGTGAAAGCACGCATGGGATGAAGCAGGGGAGACGACATAGCACAGTAAAGGGACTGTAACTGTGTTAAAATGGTTGTATGGAAGGATGTCCACAGGGAATTATGAGAGGGAATCTAGAAAGACTGGCAGGATTCAAACTAGGAATATCTAGTCTGGCATGCTTTGAAGTTTGCGTTTTTTCCTGATGAAGAAGAGGAGCCACTGTCAGATTTTAAGAAGAGGAGCCACTGTCAATGATACTTTCAATTTTGTGTGTTTTTAATGGAAATTGGATGGAGAAAGTAGTGACAGTTGGCCATACTGGTGGTTAGGATGCCTATGAAGTAATTAGGGCAAGAAAGCATGATGATCTAAATGCAACACTGTGTAGAGAAACTGGAAGGAATAAGGCTGGTTCATGAGCTGTTTAGAAAATAGAAGCCATAGACCTGGTTGTGTGGGATGCAGGAGGAAGAAGCATTGCATATGACTCATCAAACATGGAACATCCGCACTTGCTTCCTTTTTCTCCCAATGTCTCAGTTAAAATGTCATTCCATCAGAGGAGTCTCTTACCACATTATTAAAAATAAATCCCTTTCCCATTTTCTGTCTATCACATCATCCTATTAATGTTTTTCTTAATAGCAATCTCAATTGGCAATTATTCTACCTATTTATTTACTAGCTATTGTTTTTCTCTCTCACTAAGTCATAAATTCAATGAGAAGAAAGATACTTTTTGTTGTATTCATCACTACAGAGCCAGACACATACTAGGCAGTTATGTTCATGATTCTAACCTGGGCAACTGAGAGATAGTAGTGCCAATGACAAAGTTAGAAAATACAGAAAAAATAACAGATTTTGGTGGGGGCAGAGGATGAAGTTGAGAAATTCTGCTTTGGAAGTAAATAGTTTTAGGTGTTTGTAGAAATTACAAATGGGGTATCTAGTGGCCAATTGATCAAACGTCTGTGAAACTCAGGGCACAGACATGGGCTGGAAATGGGGGTTGAAGAGCCAACTGTATTTAACAGCAGCATTGAAACCATTCATATGATGAGGTTCTGTGCACACAGGCACTGATCCAAAGAGATAAGTAGGGGCTGAAATCCAAGCCTGGGTCTGGCTTGCCAAGCCTTATGCCCTAGAGCAAATCTAAAGCCCCTGGAGAAAAGAATGTTTTATTCTTCACCAAAATCTCCTGTTGGCTGGACAAGCCACATGACCAAGAAACTGTGACACCTGCCAAAGCGAAGAGGAGCTCCTTTCTCTAATTTGCACAAAATTACAGTCTAGGCAGACTGCATGCCAGAATATGAAGAATATTCTGAGTGTAGAATGGACAACAAAGGACTTACCACAAGTATCATTCTGTTTGGCTAAATTTTGATGCATGGGTGATTTCAGCTGAGAATCTATTGGAGGCTGGGTGCGAGCTCCTGGGTGTGAGTGATTCCATTCAAAGCCTAGCTCCTTTACTTACTACCTGTCACCCCAGAAAAGTCACTTTATCTTTCCTGGTTTCAATTTTCTTATTTTTAAACTTGGGAAAACAGCAGTCCTCATCCCACAGGCTTCTAGAGAAGATGAGGTAAAATGATGTCAACAATGCATGTAGCACAGTGCTTGGCACAGACCAAGCCCTGGGAAATGCTGATTATCATAGTTCTGATGAACTATGGTGGCCGCCTGATATGCCACCACACAGACTCCTCTTCAGGAATAAAAGATTTTTTCCCCCCAGTGAAGAGTGCTGCTAACAGAAAGCTCTTACAGCTTCTACAGAGATAGCCATGGTCCCAGAGAACCATTTTACCCTAGGTCACACATCGTCCCCAGAGAAACCAGCATCCAGTGAATAGTCCATGTGTAACATAGAAGCCAAGCCCCTTCACCCAAATTCAGAAAAACTCTGAAGGCTTATCCCAGCTTTGGAACTCCCCTTAGGGTCTCTCAGCCTCTGTGGTGACTGTATTACAGCTCCAACTTCTCTTTCTGCACCCTTAGTTTTCCTTTCAGAGTTGAAAACATCTCCAAAAAAGATCATGCACATTAATCTCCAACTCAGAACCTGCTTCCCAGCAAACCAAATCTGAAACAGTTGGTGCTGAGAGTGATTGGTGGAAGAGATGCTGCGACGAGATTTTGGAGCTTGCTTACCCACCATCTGATGGCAACGAAAACCCAATCACTGGTAGCAGGTGGAACACAGATAGTCCCTGATTCGTGGTGCAATTGTTAAAACTTCTACCAGTTTTAAAAGAGAAGGCACACTAGTGGAAGATAATGCATCAGCTGGTTGATGTATTAGGCTTTTATGAGATATGGAAGAAATAGTAGCTATAAGTAGAATGCAATTGGGTGGCCATTGCTAAATCAAACTGACCTCTGGAAAAAGATAACAAGAAGTCAAGAGTGTTTAATCAATGACAAGCTTACTATGAAAGTCAAAGGGCTTCTTTGGAAGGAAACAAAGATGCTCTGACCTCCTACAGTGGGAGGGCAGAGAAAGCTAAGGACCAAGCGTAGGACTTCATTGGAAGAGTAGCATAAATCCAAAGAAAGTTAAATTCCTAACCAAGGAAGGTCAGCTATGCCAAGCTCAGGGCCTTGGCAAGAAAGAATGTGATCCTGACACATGGGACATCTATACATCTATGTTGATGCACCTGCAAAAACTAACTCCCAGATCCTCTGAACCCTCTGAGCCTAAGGAAGTAGCCCTTCTTTAAGAACTAGCATTTCTCCTTTGCTTGTTACAGAGGCAAGGGAGGATGACCCACAGCCCTCTCTCCAAGATGAAATGTGTTCCTCTCCAGCAATGCCTCACCTTCCCTCCCAGTCACTACGCAAATAATAAGTGTAAAATTACACCACAGCCTAGCTGGAGACATGCTGGGCTTGATAAACAGGAAAGGGAGTATATCCCAAAGAAGCCACAAGACATAGCTAGCATGTAATGACAGAGTCTGGGATAATACACATGGGACTGGATTCTGGGGATGCTTTATCAAGGAAGTTGAACATAATGTTTGATAAGGAAGAGCTTATCAATTTGGGAGCACTTTCTCGGGATATAAGATTTAACACCCTGGAAAGGATTTTGGAAGATGATGTGAGCATGCTACTAGAATAACACCTATAAGCATGGTAAAAATGATGATCCACACAACACGAACTGGAATAACTATGACATATGGTGAAAGGAAGGAATGAAAGACTCAAAGAAGTGGGCCGTAATAAAGTGGATATATTCTTCAAGGCCAAAACCACAACTAGAGGACTATGTTCCATGGGAGAGTCCAAATGATACACCATTTACCAAAGTAATAAAGAATACACTAGTGAGATGGGCACCACTGTCACTAAGCAGTTTAGTGGTGCCTCGCCTCTGCAGGCCAGAGCTGACAGTTGGAGATTCAATTACAGGATTGGGCTCACAAATAATCAGGCGATAATAAGACCTGAAACATTAAAGACCAGATGCCAGAAGCCATATGGATTCAATTACGTTGAGTGACAAAGTCAGAAGAACTGCCAGGGGGCCTGACCTACAGAGGATATGGAGATGGTTAATTGTGTATGACATTCCTGAGGGGGAAATAGATGAGTAGTCAAAAATAATACTAGTCAATACAACCAATCAAAAAAATGAAGGACAGATGAAGTGATACTTTGTGAAGATGAGAAGGAAGAAATAGGGAAGTCACTCCAATAAAACGTTACAATTAAAACTTGCCCAGTTTCCAAGCCTAAGCTAGGTTTCAGACCCAGAATCCACTGACTAAGAGATGGTGAGCCACAGGAAGAAGGACCCTATAACCAAACAAGTGTACATAATAATGATTGCCCCTTAGGGACTATTTTAACTGAAAACACTTTTGAAACAAAACGTGTGGGATTCTTCACCCATGCCAGCCAATTTAAAGACACCAGCTGGGTGTCCTGCAATTTAATTCAATTCTGACACTATGTACCTAGAGTTAGCATCAAATCCTACAAGTTAAGGACTCAGTTTCACAAGATCGCCCTTACTTCAGATGCTAATCACCAGTCCCATGCCTCCCATCATAAATTGGGGGTTCCATGACTCCATCCTCAGGTTTAATAATTTGCTATAACCACCCACAGAATTCAGGAAAATAGTTTACTTGCTATTACTGGCTTATTAGAAAGGACACAACTCAAGAATTGCCAAATGGAAGTGATGCATAATGCAAGATATGGGGAGGGAGAAAAGTGTGCAGAGCATTCATGCCCTCTCTGGACATGCTCCCTCGAAGTGGCTTAATATGTTTGCCAACTCAAAATCTCTCCAAGCTCTGTCATTTAAGGGTTCTATGGAGATTCCATTACATAGGCACGATTGATTAAATCATTGGCCATTGGTTATTGCACTCAATCTCCAACCCCTCTTCCCTCCCTGGAGGCTGGGGGATAGAGCTGAAAGTTCCAAACCTATAATCACATGGTTCGTTCTTCTAGCCACCAGCCTCTGATCTGAAACTATCCCGGGGCCCACCAAGAGTCATCTCATTAGCATAAACTCAGATATAGTTGAAAAGGGCTTATTAGTAATAACAAAGATTCTCCTTTCACTCCGATCACTCAGGAAACAGTGAGGGTTTTAGGAGCTCTGTGGTGGGAACCAGAGAGGAAGACCAAATATATATATTTTTTATAGCACAATATCCCACCCCTAAACTGACCTTCAGCCATTTACTCGAGTGGCAGTACACTGAAGAAAGATTACCCAAACACTGAGAAGGCTCTTGAACCCAGGGTCTGGGTTGACACTGATACCTGGAGACCCAAGGTCATATTATAGTCCTCTGCTAGCATGAGGATATAGAGGGACAAGGCAATAAATGTAGTCCTAGCCTAGTTTCAGGTAACAGTGGGTCCATTAAGTTCTTGGACCTACCTAATATTCATTTTCTCAGTCCCCACATGTACAATTAGTATGTACACACCTAGCAGTTGGCATAGCTGACACAGGGAATGCTCTGCCTATAAGACAAGAGCTATTATGGTGGGGAAGGCCAAGTGAAAGCCTCTGAAATTGTTCCACACTCTAAGGCAACATAGAAAATTAAAAATAATATTACATCTCAGGGAGAATGGAAGAAATTCATGTCACTCTTAGACCTAAGAGATGTAGAGATGGTGATCCCTATCATAAGAGCATTTAATTTATAATTCTGACCTCTATGAAGGAGTAGATGAATCCTGGAGGATGATAGTGTGCTCCTGCAAATTCAAAGAGTAGGAACCCTATTTGTAACTGCTATACTAGATATGTTATCTATACTAGAGCAGATTAACACAACCTCAGATATATGCTATGCAGCTATTGATCTGGCAAATAAATTCTTTTCCACCCCTATCAGAAAAGAGGATCGGAAATAGTTGCGCTCACTCAAACAGACAGCAATATATATTTGCAGACTTGCCCTAGGGCTTTGTGGAAGAGACAGAACACAGGACATCAAATGATCATGCAGTCCGAACTGTCCATCATGTCAGACTCACCAACTCATAAAATTGGATAGGCCCAGCAGCAATCCATCTTAAATTGGAAGTGGTACAGCCAAAATTGAGCATAAGCAATTTTGAGGTGCACAAGCAGGCTATGGGAGGAGGTAGGACAGATCGACATGCCATCCACCCCGGTTTTTGCACCAGCAATTCTCCCTCACCCATTCTTCCACACCTATGGCCCCCTGGGCAATCCCTGATGACCCACTAATGGATGAAAAAAAGACCTCCAAATTTGGTTTATAGGTGTGTCAGTTTGCCATTGGAGTGAAAGCTGAAAATAAACAGTGGCAGCAATATGATGTCACTTCATGGTGTCCCTGACAGTAATGAGTGGAAATCCTCTCAATAAGAGTTTTGAACAGTTTACCAGGCCATCCAATCTGTGTCAAAAGTGAAGTGGCTCAATGCAAGAGTATACGTGGACTCGTGGACAGTAGCAAATGGTGCCCCTGGTTAGCCAAAGGCCTGAAAAGAGAAAAATAAGAACATCAGAAACAAGGAATTATAGAGAAGAGGGATTTGATAGTGAGCACTAAGTAGTTGTAATCTATCAAGATTATATTGCCACTTATTCTGTCTCGGCACAGTTCTTCCTTCTGCCCTTCATGCTCCTACATGGTGAACCCAAGAACACAACATAATATATCTTCAACTGAGAGTCTGCTACCTAGGGAAACCAACCTACAAAAAATACCTCAAACATTGAAATCATAACTTTGTTTTCTGCTGTATTGCCAGTGCCTAGTTCTGTCTGGCACATATTAGGTTCTTAATAAATACTTGTTGAATAAATTATTAAACCTCAAGGAAGCTGATTTGACAATACCCATGACAGAACTATTTCTGAGCTCTGTACCCAAATGTAAATTCTTGCCTCCTTGGTCCTAATGTAGGTTCTAGCAGCCTGAGGAAGACATAAAATGGCAAGGGGAAGAGGATCATTCTTACTAAATTTTGTAGGCCCAAATTGTCATAACCACAAACACACATACACATAGGCACACACACACACTCAAACAGACATACCAAAACACACACTTTTGTCTGCATTTTGGACAGCCATATTATATATTAATAACTTATAAAATCATTAATAACACAAAAATATCATTATAAAAGAATAGTTATTGAACTTCTTGATAAATTGTATTAGAGAAAAAATAGCATTTTTGTAGATCATTAGATCTTTTAAACCCACAAAAAAGAGTCACTTGGTTGTCATTCAATATTGCTGGCTTAACATTTTTTCATGGACACTCAAATGCAATGCATCAGTACAGTTGAAAATGTGCTACTTGTTGTAAAAATAATTTATGTTCATATATTCAAAATAACAGAGATATAAATTTTAAAATATATATATGTAGTGTTAGTTGAAGGCCAAACTGGAAGGGAGTTTGAGAAATGTTCTTGGTGATATTTGATGTTATGCATAATAGCATCTGCTGTGGTTTAAATGTGTTCCCCAAAGTTTATGTGTTGGAAACTCAATCCCAATGCAACAGTGTTGAGAGGTGGGACATTTAAGAGATGATTAGGTCATGACAGCAGACCCCTCATGGACTAATGCCATTATCATGGGGTTGGGTTAGTTAACATAGGAGTGGGTTTCCTATAAAAGGTTGAGAGTCAGCCTCCTCTCTCCCTTTTTCTCATGTGTGCACTCTCTTGCCCATATAATGCTTTCCTTCATGTTATGAGCTAACAAGAAAGCCCTCACCAGATGTGACCCCTTGATCTTGGACTTTCCAGCCTTCAGAATTATGAGCCAAATAAGTTTCCATTCATTATAAATGTTGAAGTCTGTGGTATTCTGTTATAAGAACGTAAAACAGACTAAGACAGAAAATTGATACCAAGAAATGGGGCTGTTTTTATAACAAATACCTGAATTTGTGGAAGTGGTTTTGGAACTGATTGAGTGGGTAGAAGGCTGGGAGAGTTTGGAGGAGCAGCCTAGAAAAAGCCTAGATTTCTGTGAATGGATAGTTAAGGACAATTCTGGTGAGGGCTCAGAAGAAGACAAGAGCTATAGGGAGAGCTTAAATCATAGAGATGCCTTAAGTGGTCAGGATCAGAATGTTGGTAGAGATATAGGCAGTAAAGGCCATTCTAGTAAGGTCTCAGAAGGAAATGAAGAACAAGATATTGGAAACTGGAGTAGAGGCCATTCTTGTTATGAAGTTGCAAAGTCCTTGTCCATGTCCTAGTACTTTGTGAAAGGCAGAACTTAAGAATGATGAACTAAGATATCTGGTGGAAGAAATCCAAGCACTTTTAGATTTCTCATCTTTTTCTGAGATGGATCCTCCCTCTGTTGCCCAGGCTGGAGTGCAGTGGCACAATCTCGGCTCACTACAACCTCCACCTTCTGGGTTCAAGCGATTCTCCTGCCTCAGCCTCCCAAGTATCTGGGATGACAGGTGCCCGCTGCCATGCCCAGCTAATTTTTGTATTTTTAGTAGAAACGGGGTTTCTCTATGTTGGCCAGGGTGGTCTCAAATTCCTAACCTCAAGTAATCCACCCATCTCGGCCTCCCAAAGTGCTGGGATTACAGGTGTGAGCCACCGCACCCAGCCACGTTCTTAGATTTCTCAGCAGCAAAGTGCTCAAGGTGATGCATAGCTTCTTTTGGCTGTTTAAAGTAAAATGAGTGAAGAGAGAAATGATTTAAAGATGGAATTAATAATTTAAAGGAAAGAAAAATGAAAAGATTTGGAAAACTCTTGGCCTGGCCTTGTAAAGATTTAAAAAGCATGTTTGAGAAAGAATACCAAGGGCGTGACCAAGCGATTGTTTGCTAAAGAGATTAATATGGATAGAAGGAAGCTAGGTTCTATTCACCAAGATAAGGAAATAATGGCCCTGAAGGCATTTCAGAGATCTTTAAGGAAAGCTAAGACCTTGAGGGCAAGGTTTCCAGAGAGGTGCCCAAGGCACATCAGCATTTGTTGCCTTACACTGCTTCAGTAGTCTGTCTCCCTATATTCCAATACAGTGCCCCTCAGTCACCCCAGCTGTGATTCAAGTGTTTCCAGGTGTGGCTTAACTTGTCACTCTGAGAGGTGCAAGCCTCTGCAGCACCCAAATGGTGCTAATTCTGCAGTTGTGCAGAATGCAATAGCTGTGGGGCCATGGCAGCCTCCATCTATATTTCAAAGATGTTTTGGACAGTGTGGGGCCCTAGGCAGAGACTCATCACAGGGCAGAGTCACCACAGAGAATCCTCACTAGAGCAATTCCCAGTGGAGCCACGGGAGAAGACAACCTCCAAAACCTCTGAACTGTAGAGCTACCAGCATGCAACTCCAGCCTGGGGAAGCTGCAGGCACAAGACTTCAACCCATTTGAGCTGTAGGGTGGAATGAGACTCGCAAAGCCATAGGAATAGGGCTGCCCGAGACCCTGGGGGCCCAACTCCCACCCTAGTGTGTCCAGGATATGAGACATGAAGTCAAAGATTATTCTTCAGCTTTAAGGCTTAATATTGTTTTCTCTGTTGGTTTTTGGACTTGCTTGAGACCAGTTTCCCCTTTCTTCCTGCCGATGTATCCCTTTTAAAATGGAAATGTCTTTCTTATGCCTATCCACCACTGTAATTTGGAATCATGTGATTTTTTTTTAACTTCACAAACTCACAGCTGGAAAGGAATTCTCCTCAGGATGAGTTTCACCCACATCTGATTCAGATTATACTCTGAACATTGGACTATTGAGTTGGTGCTGGAATGAGGTAAGACTTTGGGGCTACTGAGATGGAAAGAAATTCATTTTGCCTGTGAGAAGGACATAAATTTTGAGTGCCAGAAATGGAATGCTATGGGTGAAATTTGTGCCCCAAAGTTCATGTGTTAGAAACTTCATTCCCAATGCAAGAGTGTTGAAAAGTGGGATCTTTAAGGGGTGATTAGGTCATGAGGGCTCTGCCCTCATGAATTGATTAATGCTGTTATCGCTAGAGTGGGTTAGACATCACAGGAGTGGGTTCCTGTAAAAGGATGAGTTCAGCTCCCCTCTCACACACAAGCATGAACTTGTGCACTTGCTCTCTTGCCCTTCCACCCTCCTCCATGAGATGACACAGCATGAAAGCCCTCAACAGATGTGGGCCCTTAGACCGTGGACTTCTTAGGCTCTAGAAGTGTAAGAAATAAATTCCTTTTCTTTATAAATTACCCAGTCTCAAGAATTCTGTTAGAGCAGCACAAAATGGAGTAAGACAGCATTCCTCCTAAAATGTGACAAATTAACTACTTGCTTTTTGTCAGGTTCCCTTCCTAACTTGCTCTCATATTCTACTTGCCTGAATAGAGAAAGAACTGAAAGTTCTGCTTGCACTATTATTTGTGAGATAATAAAAATTCTAATTTTAATCAAAATAATTTTCTATGTAGATGGGCCAGAATAAGTTGATTGAATATGAAGCTTGGGATCTCATATAATTTAATAAAACTGTATTGATCCAGCCTGAGT
This sequence comes from Homo sapiens, assembly GCF_000001405.40. NCBI lineage: Eukaryota > Metazoa > Chordata > Mammalia > Primates > Hominidae > Homo > Homo sapiens. Next base: position 76,808,828 of record NC_000001.11, read on the forward strand.
GTAGGAAAGAGCTTCTACTTATCTGAAGGCTGTGGTGGTGACAGCAGCAGCGGCAGCCTGACATGGTACTTTAACTTGCAACATAGTTGTCTGGGACATTGAAGTAGCAGCATTTTAATTACCAATTGTAGATGGCAGTTAGAAATTCATGTATCTCAGTATTTTTTGGGCTGCATGATCACTAAAATGTTAGGTTAATCTTTATTGCTAATCCATCTTTCATTTATTTATTTTTAAGTATTTGGTTATGTTTACTATATTTTAAAGTAATATTTACACACTATAAAAATGCTAAAGCTAAAGTTATGGCCCTCCTCTTCCCTTCCCAATTCAATCCATATTTCATTATTATGAACAGGGAATGTATGTGTGGGGGGGTATAAATATTTTATATACATTCATTTTTATATAAATGAATTGCAGATTTGTCCTATTTTTTATATTTTTTCAATCATTTGCTAGATGGTCTATGATATGGCTTGGCTGTGTCCCCACCCAAATCTCATCTTGAATTGTAGTTCTCATAACCCCCACATGTCATGGGAGGGACCTGCGGAGAGGTAATTTAATCATGGGGGTGGGTTTTTCCCATGCTGTTCTTGTGATAGTGAATAAGTCTCACGAGATCTGATGATTTTATAAAGGGCAGTTCCCCTGCACATGCTCTCTCTTGCCTGTGTCTATGTAGGACTTGCCTTTCCTACTCCTTCGACTTCTGCCATGATTGTGAGGCCTCACCAGCCATGTGGAGCTGTGAGTCCATGAAACTTCTTTTTCTTTATAAATTACCCTGTCTCGGGTATGTCTTTACTAGCAGCATGAGAACAGACTAATATAGTCTATATTTTGGTTTTATTTTGTTTCATAAATTTTCATTTCTGACATGCTTTTAGTTCTTCCAGTGTTAATTTTGTAACCACATAAAATACATAGATGTCTCTGTTTCTTGGTTTAACAATGTTATTTTGAATCTGTTGTCTCTAATATGAAAGGTGAGAACATTAGCATGTATACCTCTCTCCTTGTTCCTCTCCAAATCTCCACCACCTCACAACCTCAGTTTTGTCAATGGTATTATTACTTTTTCACCTTGTCAATCATAACAACATTTATAATTTGGTTTGCAACCGTAATTCTAATAGTTTGTTAGCCCCTTCTCTTTTTGTAATAGCTTTCTAATGCCAGAGTTCTTCATTTCCATTCTCATAATTGGCATAATTTCTTTATTAATTACAGCTCAAATGTTTGAGAATATATTACTCCTGTATTTATTCATAAACAAATTGGCTTGATACAAATTCTCGGATTACCCTTTATTATCTCCTCTTAGACCTCTAAAACTATTGTTACATTATCTCAAAAATTTGAGGCCATTCTGATTTTTCCTTTCCGTATGCACTTACTCTTTCTACATGGATATCAATAGGGCTCTTTTTAATTTTTTCCTGGAGTTCGCTGCCTCAGCACACCATGCCTTGGGGTTATTTTTGTATTTTTTCTTTTGTATTGTTCTTTCTGGAACAACCTGATGTAAGAGAACAACACACTCTCCTGGAGGTCAGAAGACCTGGGTACTAAAACTTGACATAAATGGATGATTTTGAATAAGTTATTGAAGCTCTCTGGGACCCAATTTCTATGTAGTAATATAGGAGGAAACATTACATTATCTCCAAGGAAACTTCTAGCTCCCAAAGCCAATGATACCCATTCAGATGCATGGCTTTATGCAATATTTATTAAGCTACTGCAATTCTTGATAAACTGATGCTATCATAATAAATTTAAGTTAATTATAACAAAAAAGAGAGAATAGATGTGAATATCTCTTTAGCTCTTCCTTCTTGCTACAGGTTCAGTTGGTTAACATTTAACATAAATGAATGTTCATACGTGATGCTATAAAGGATATGGGAGAATAAGTAGGAGAAAGAAACAAAAAACGTTCAAAGCCTCAGGCTTTATTCTTAGGGTCAAGGTTCAATCTTGCTTGGAGTCATCATATCAGTGGGAAAATCGCTGGGCTATGAGTCCAAAAATCTGGATTCTTGTCCTATTAATGCAACCGACTCATTGGTATGAATTTGGGCAACTGAGTTAGATAAACCCAGATTTGAATCCTGGCTTTGCCATTTCTAAGCTGTGTGATGTTGGACAAATTACAACATTTCTCTGAGCCCCAGTTCGCCCATATGTAAATAACAATAATTATTCCAATGTTCAAGTGATGTTGTGAGTATTAAATGAAGCACATTTATTTAAATGGATGTTTGGTTCTCCACCTCCAAGCCACTTTCTGTCTGAGTGCTCTTCCCATTTTAACATTCTGTGAGTCTAATTAAAATTGGGACAACATAACATATTGTTCATTTCCCCCCATTTCTCTGTAATATTTTTATAAAGCACTTGTCATTATAGTTTGGGTTTAACATTTTTCTATTACTTGGAAATCTCATTTTTAATAAAATATTTACTGAAGATCCATTTATGGTCCCTAATTAGGCATGACTGATGGGTATCCTTGAGACCACCATTTAGTAATTGCAAAATAGATACCATAAAAATACATAAAGAGGAAGAAAACTGCCTCATAGCAGCCAGATTCTCCTCATTCCTCTATTTAACAGTTTCATTAGATCTGGGGAATTCTCTGAGGTCAAAAATAAATTAGATTTGTGAACAAGAAACTTGACATTTTGTTTCTAAATAATTCATCTGCAGAATCTGAATTTGACATGAAATCTTGTTCAATTAAAGAAAAGAAGTTAAATATAGTATTTTGCAAACAGAAAACAGGTGCTGGTTAATATACTATATTCCGGTTCTGTTAAAAATGCAAAAGAGAAATAAACTATATGCTTAAGTGCTTTAACTTTTAATTTTGTTTCCTGAAGCCATACATCATCTGGCTAGGTGGTGGATGGTATCATTTAAACTCAATTCTCAAAAAAAAGAATAGTCCATTAGGTTGCAAATAAAATTGTCATATTTTCCATTGACAAAAAGAAAAGGTAAGAGATGAATAAATTAGCAATCTAGCATTCCTCCTCAGGGAATCTGGCATTAAATATTTTTGAAGTAGTGAGCAGTGTGGTGGAATCAACTCTAGGATGAGCTCTATTTACCAGTAAGGTGACCTCAGGAAATGGCTCCATCTCTTTGGGCCTCATTCTCTTCATCTATAAAGTGGGGGGGAAAAAACTTCCAAAGGTTGTTTTAAAGATGAGACTAAGATAGTAATTTAGAAAAGGCATTGTAAAATAAAATGGCATCATTAATAATAGCTAATAATTAAAATGAAATCCTGTCATCTTTTCATGCTTTTTATTTCATTTTCCTACAGCCCTAAATCCAGAAAATTTTTATTTCTTCCTTTTCTCTCAGTTTGTAGGGGAAAGTATAAATTTTAAGAAACTATCACATTCCTCTAGATTTTAGCTCCAAATTTAAAGCCTTAAGACATATCCATCTAATCAAATCAACACATCTTTGGGAAAGAAGGAATGCCGAGGCATGTTAATTTATGAGACGTTATAAAACAGAATCACATTAAGCAAAGCCTCTTCAGTAAAGACGAGGCTGAATATTGGAGTCCTCCTTTGAAAAGGGACTTATTCCAAACTCTTTTTTCCAATCTCTTTTTTCTAACGCCTTGAGCTGGATGTCTTCCTTTTGCTTCGCCTTCTTGTTCTCTGCCTTCAAATGCTGATCTGTCTGCCTGTAGCAGCAGTCTCCCCAGCCCTGGTTGACTTCAGTCAAAGAGGAGCCTCGCAGGAGACTGGAGGCAGGAAGGAGGCTGAAGGTGATATATTTCCGCAGCCCCTCCCATGGACTGGCCATGGCCTTCAGCTAAAGGTCACAGCTTCTTCTCTGTTTCTACTCTGGGGATGGCTCCTTCCTCCACCCTTGCTCATTTAGCGGCATTAATGGTGTCTGGGCACTGTACCGCCCTTTATGGTTTTCCTACACTCTGCAACATTGTACACAGGCTTTTTAGTAAACTCTCCTCCAATTGCTCATTTTGGACACAACTCCACTTACTTTCAAGCCCCTAATGACTACACCCTTTTATTCTCAACCTTCCACCCAACTCTACCTAGCACCCATCCACTTCCAATTCTAGGTCTTTATAGGAGAGGAAATATTTCACCTTTATTCTGTTAGAATCTCTAGCTGGGCTTAAGAATTTAACATAAGACAGAATAACTGGAGAAAAGTATACAAGTTTCCTTTTTTTTTTCTACATGTTCGTGAGAGTTTCACAAGAAAAATGAAGACCCAAAGAAGCAGTTAGAGTTGAAACCTTATATACTAAGTTGGACAGAGAGTAGTAAATTGAGAAACATGATAAGGCAAAGGGAGCTGGGCTAGGGTAGTTAATCTTGAAGAAGTAACTAGGAAGACAAAGGTTCCTTTGATAAAGCTTGTTTTGTATAGATTTCTGTCAGCCTCAGCTTTCCATTCTTAGTGATAAGAATGTTTCATTCTTTCTGATATAGGGAAGGGATACTTCACAAAGTCGTTTCATCTCCTGATTTCAGGAAGAAAAAGAAAATTCCAAGTGTCCTTCTTGCATCTGCTGTTTTTCAAGCGCTTTCAACTCAAAATCATCAATATGTCAGGGCAGTGTATTTGGGGGTGGTATGTTCTGAACTCGTTCGTGCTGTTTGGTTTGGTGCCTGAACACCAGCATTTCTCAGACTTAGGGATTTGAAGACCCCTGAGATTACATTTATGACATCTCAGGAGTCTATGGATACCAGTCGGGAAAGCATTGTTTTGTCTATTATTCCACCCTCACTCCTCAGCATGAGAGCCCCATGGACTAACTCTTTTTCTATTTAAAGGAAAATGAACTTACTAGGAAGAAATCAAAATAACAATTCTATGTTGCTGTTTCATTTTCATAACATTACATATTACAAAAATCCAATAGTCTACATGACCTTAGATTTTTAGGACTAAGACAAAAACATAGAATTTAATGCAATGTTTTTATTTTATAAAATGAATGAATTAAGATTCAAAGAAGTGAAGTGATTTACTCAAGGCCATACAGCTGTCATTGACCAAAGCTGTAATCTGCTTCCTGAGTCCTAATCCAATGCTATTTTCTGCCCAACACCATGCCCAGTGTACACTATCTTATACATAAGATAATGAAAAACATAATGTGTGCCTGAATAGGAAGATTTTTCTAAGAATCTATTCCTAGGAGTGAAGAAATTATAAATTTGTGAGATATTAGAGCTAAATAAAAGATACTTTAGGACTCCCTGATTTTCTAGACAGGGAATCTGAGCCCCAGGAATCATCAATATCTTGTGCTCCCTACATTTCTTGGATTATTTCTATAGCATTTTCTCCATCACTTTCAGGATCTCTAGGGGAATTCTGAATAATTTTATAACCAGAATGTCTCCATAAATCTGTCATTTTTCTTGATGGTAGGATTTTAAGGCTCAAAGAGGTAGAAAGCTACAGAATGGAAAAGCAAAATATGCCCTCTGATAGTGAATATTACAAGAGCTGACCTGTAAATTGAAATATGAGTTAGTTAGCAGATCCCTTTATACCAGCTTGTTGGCAACTGACAAAGGCTCTGTGAAAAGGACGTCCTTGACCAGTGAGCCCACAGAGTCCAGGTATCCTTGGTAGTGCATGTTCTATTAGTATGTACTCTGGTACTAACAAATACAAGGAATGCTTTCGCCAGTGCAAGATATTCAAGATAAAGTTTTCAATCTCCATCTGAGGAAGGAGCAACTACCATTCAATCCATGGGAACACTTACTCAGCGTCAAAAGATGCTATTAACGCTGAGCCGGCATCATTTTTCATCTTAAAGAGGGCACTAAATAAGCACAGTAAATTCATACCAGTGAACCTACATGTACTAGCCATAAAATAGCACATTGTTCAGGTTGAATTCCTTTATTAATGCTTATTCTTTGAGTCAATTGGCCAATAACTTTGCCAAATTGTTAATATCTATATTGAGGAAAGCCATGAAATTGAGGTCCAGGACCCCCACTATGTTATAATCAGCTCCAATTTTCCTTTTCTGCCATAATCAGTGGGCACACTGGAATTTGGAGAGAGACACCTGCGTTTTGTCCTTAGGTGTCCCTTTCAGACAGTGCAGGGCTATTCATCCCTGGTATCTTGTCATTGCATTTTGCTCACCTTTAGAATAGAAAGACCTTTTGGAACACAGGCATTTTGCTCAGTCAGGTTAGAGCTTCTCTATCAAAAAAAGAGACTGGAGGGGGGAAAAGGAAGTGAGATGTCTTCATGTCTGAAATCCTATTGAGAAAATTCATAGATTAGGAAGGCGATTTGATTGGATAATCCTCAAGGTCACTTCCAACTCTCTAATCCTCTGGTTAGGAACTACAGTGTGCATCTCTGCCATGGTCTACAGCTGAATTAATCCACCAAGGTTTGCCACAGAGTAACCTAGACTTCCATGTGTCTCACTGACAAACCCTCCAGCCCCTTTCTCCACTCCACCCTCTATCCAGAATGCAGTGCTATGACTCTCTGAGACTTACCTGACCAAAAGAAGGTCTTCTACAGCTGCAGAAGATTTCTCAGGCTCTTCATTCTGTTTGAAATCTTTAAACTGTCTGCAAAACAAGAGAGTCCAGAGGTGCAGCCCACAAAGACCACTAGGGTGCTTAACCCAGTCTATTGCAGAGTGGGAGCCTCATAATCCTAAGTTTGAATCCTGGTATAACCTTGGTCCAGTTAATCACATTCTCTAAGGACCCATGCTGTCATCTATAAAACTGAGCACAGATACCTATCTAGTGGGGTGTATGAAAGAGTTAAAAGAGATCATATATGAGGCTTGCACTGAAGTTCATCTCCAGGCCTGGGCTTTAGTCAAAATCTGGTACAGAGCTTCAGCTTTAGCCCTGATCTTTAAAAAGCATGATAGACAATTTACCTACTTCATCAGCATTTCTTGCATCCCTCACCTTGAAAGTGGTCAATGATTGTGTGCTCTGATCAGTAACACAGGATCAATACAACACACAACAAGATCGGTAATGAGAATAAGGGGTTCTATTCAGATTCATCATTAATATCTTTATATTCATTTTCTAGTAGGCTAACATTCCTGACCCTGCTTTATTTTTCTGTCTAGTCCTTATCACTACTTGACTCAATAGCACGATGATATTTGTGTTTTCTACACATTTTCTGTCTCCCTATCTAGTACATAAGCTACACCAGGGCAGAAATTTTGTGTCTCATTTATCGCAGTTTCCTAAATGCCTAAGCAGTGCCAGCCACTTCACAGGCACTCAATAAATTATTGTCAAATGAGTGAATAAATGAATGAATCAGCAGCAGGTCCTAATCTCTATCTTCATACTCAGACCTGCAGGAACAATCTCTTTTTTATTCCCCTGTAACTGAACTGAGCTGCTCTTCACCAGATTGGCAGTGTGGGATTCAGCCCCTTTTCTAAGGTGGGTCTATTATATATAAGGTCTGGGCTTTACACAGTATAAAGGCGTAGGGTGGCACCAAGACCTCAGAGTAACCTTTCACTTTACCATGCTGATACCCACTGTCATTTTTCCATACTGTTACCCACAGATATATTCATTCTAGTAGCTGCCATGTCTTTTCTTCTATTCCACCAGACTTTGAGTAGCTCTCTTTTACTGCTGTTTCTAGGCCACTCCTGGACACCCAGGAAACACTGTGCAACTCCCATGCCACATTAGAACTGAGGGGAATCCTGCATTTCTGAAGTCCAGTCTGCCTAGGCATCACACAGTCACTCTTCTTCTAGTGTCTATCACTTAACGAGGGCTCTAGCTAGGAGAGGACTCAGAGACCCTCTGTTTTCAGATTCAACAAGTCCATCTGAGTTTTCCAGTGGTCCAGAAAGCAGGGCACACACAGCTTCTTCCTTACGGACTCATTGGTGCTGCTTCTCTAGCTCCTATCCCTAGTGAGAGAATTCTTAAGCACTCTTTGTTGAGCATTCTGGGAATCTTCTCAGAGTCTCTGCTTTTGAAACTCAAAAACCAGGAAAGCAACTCCCTTTTCTCTTTTCTGTGTAGGAATTTTCTTCATCTAGTCCAGTGAACACAGACTAGTTTAGTTTGTCAAATGTGGTAGAAGAGACAGGTATAAGAGGAAATATAAGAAAGAAAATATGTTAGCATTTCCAAAGTATCATCCCCACCCACCAGCATACACACATACAAAACTGAGCAAATTTAAAAGTATCAGTTCAGCTGTTTCAGCCTCTCAATGAAAACTCGCATTCTCTCTTATTTGGGAAATAGCAGACCAATTTACGTAAGAGCTCTCAAACCCTCCTTCTAATAAACTTGTCTAGGAATTGTCAGCAATATCTATAAATAGATATTATGGTATCAAACTCTCAACATCAAGGAACGCAAAGGAGGCTTATTCTCCCAGACCTGCTTTACTATCACCTCCTCTGAGAAGCCTTCCCTGTTGTCCCAATTAAAAGGTCACCAGTCCCTCCTTAGTGTCCTTCACTATATCCTATTGCATTAACCAAATTAAGTTAGGCTGCAAGTTGCAGAAAATGCTAAAGAATAGTAGCTTAAACAAAATGTATGCTTATTTTTCTCTCATGTAAATGAAATGTGAAGGTAAGACACCCAGGCTGGAGGCTGGCCTCATAGTCACCAAAGGATCTAGATTTGGCAGTAAATCTACTTTGCTGCTGCAATATTCTCTCCCTGCAAGACATCCAGCTCAGAGAGAAGACGACTGCTGAAGCCCCAGCTATCACTGAGAGCAGCGAAAGAAAAGGAGACTAAAGAAATATCTGTTTACCTTCAGGAAACATTCCAGATGTTGCGCACAAATCTTGTGTTTATCTCTCATTGGCTATAACTTACTTGCAAGGCCATACCTAGCTATAAAATGGAGTTGGGGATATAGTATTGTAGCCAAAGGGCAATGTTTTCAACAAAAGTTTGGAATTCTTGTTTGTAGAAAAGAAGAAAAGATGGACACTAGAAGGCATCTCACACTCTTCCACCTCTTATTTTTTTTGTTCGTTTTATTGTTGTTGTTTTTTCACCCCTTCTTATAAAATGGTCACCATGCTTTTTACCTATCTTCTGAGCCAGATAGTCAGTCTCTCGAAGAAAAAATAAAAGAAAATAGCATCTCATTTATTTTTCTTTCCCAGATTCTAGCACAAGACCTGATTGGAGTAACACTCAGTAAATTCTTATCAGTAAAGGAGAATTTGAAATTCCTGCAATGTGTCAGGCACCTGATATATGTAATCTCCAGTTCCTAATTAAAATACAATACCAAAACCAATAAAAGTCAGTTTAAAAAGAACCTGCTTCTTTTTTTGTTTTTTTCTAAAAGAAAAAAAAATACGGGAACACTTTTTTCCTTTTCCTTTTCCTTTTCTAAAAGAATCCCATTTTAGGGGAAATGTAGAAAATAGACTCAGAAATATTAAGTCACTTACACAAGATTTCATGTCCTCTAAGTGGCAGAGGTCAGAATTAAAGAAAGCACTGCCTGATTCCAAAGTCACACTCCTCCTACTTCATGGGTGTCCCTATTCACTGCTTCTGGGATTTTCTTCCCTCCCACTATGGTGACAGTACCAGGGAGGTAACATGGGCTTCTGAACCTTGGTTTACTGAGCCCTATGATCAGCCATATCATGACCACTCTGGTGGGAAAAGTGGCTGGTGAGAGCAGTGCACCACCCCAGGCTCTTGAAGGTGAAAACTTTTATTTACTGTGAAAACCCTTCCCCATTTAATCTCACACTTTACCGTCTATGCCAACCATTCCTTTACTCCATCCCAAGCCCTACTGTAAGGGCTGGATGATATAAGTCTGTTCTATTCTGCCTTGGTGACTTCATTTGCATGTAATTTTGCTCATCTTAGTGTCTTGAGATAAGGAAAGGCTTTGGACCACCAAGAGTGATGCCTGCCAGGTCCATGCTTACCCAAGATTTCTGCCCATTTAATGAGATGCTAATTGATGTTCTTGGCTCTCATCATTGCTATGGTCACAAAAACATAGAACCTCACAGCCTCCTCCTCTCCATCTTAATAGTGCCTTAAAACAGCTAACTATCTAAAATCTATTCCCCCAAACTCACTGATTCATTATATTTTATTTCCATTAATATAGCACAAATTATTTCCAAGCATACATAACCACATAATTATATCTTTATAAACCCTCTAACCAAATACATTTTATATGCTTATTAATTAAACTAATCAAATTTCCAATAAAATTTTATACAGATCTACATTATACATCACACCACACTATGTTGTCTCTCAAACACAGAAATTCTTAACCACTTTTAGCCTATGACTATGCAACTGAATTCAGTCGCAGATCAGGATTAGAATGTGAGGTCTTTGGAAAAATTGACTATCTGTACATCTTCAATGCCCCTATTCTCTGGCCCCCTCCTTGCCGTGCATCATATCAGCTCTCACTTATTTCTCAGACTGATCCATATGGAATAACAAAGGCTTCAGCCAGTGATCAGGCCTGGCTCTAAATGTTCTTTGTCTTCTTGCCAAACTAGATCTTTCAAGAAACCAGTAACACTCAGGAAAAGAAAATTTTGTTCATGTTTATGTCCTCTATTTTCTGACCAAGCCAGGTGGTAATAACATCTGAAGAAATGTTTGACTAGAATAGCAAAGTGCCCAACCAAGGGTGTGTATTCCTTATTTTCTTCAGGCAGTGTCTCTAAGGGTACTGCCATCATCTCAGTAAGCCTTGATTACAGCCAGTGACAGACAAGTCAAATACCACTGGCATCCTCTAGGCACATATTTGAGACACAAATTTCAGGAGCTTTCAAGGAACTGGAACCTGGAATAGGTCTAGAAATTCTAATATATATATATATAATCATAAAAACAATCCAACTTTGACTAAATTCAATAAATATGTATTGAGTGCTTAGTACATACCAAGAACAATACTGGGCACCAGGGAGGGTCAGATAGATGAATAAAACACACTTTCCATCTTCAACAGGATTACAGACTACAGAGGGAGATAGAAGTATATATAATTAGCTGATGCATGGCACATTGTAGCATGCATTCTAATAGAGGTATAAGAATATGCATAAGAACAAGAATAATAGTATAAATATAGATATAAATGCAAACATAAACATGGCAAATATTTGCTGAGTGCTTACTGTGAACTCTAAATGCATTATCTTGTTTATTCCTCGTGGTAACCTATAAGGTAGATGTCAGTCATCTCCATATTGCAAACAAAGACATGCCATTGGGATGAACAGAAGGGAGCAGCAAATTCTGCCTTCAGGCATTGGGAAAGACTTCACTGAGAAAGTAACATTTGTTGGTATCATCAAATCTGGTTCCTGGTACAGTCCCCAGCAGGCAGCAATGAAACTTCATACTAAAGCCACTAATAGAAATTACATACTGGGGAATTTCCAATGAAATTGCTAATGGGGAAACTGCCTATATTAGATGACCAAATATGCTGTTCTGGGTCATTAAAATTGTATTATGCATACGCTAAGGTTGGGATTGGCTGCAGCATTATAGAGGGCTGCTAATCTGATCACTAGACCATGTTCAGTAAATTTGTTCAGGGATGAGCTAAAGATAAAAGTATAAATCCAGCTGTAAATAAGGAAATAATTGGACTGCCTGAATCAGTTGATGGGAGTCTCTGGCCAGCTGGAAACCTTTAAAAAATGTATTTTTCATAAAATATTTCATACATTCAAAAAAGGATGTATAATGAATGCCTAAGGTATAAAGAATAATTAAGTGAACATCCTTGTGCCCACAGCCAGCTTAAGAAATAGAAAATTACTAATTCTGGTAAAGCCCTTGATATTCTTCTCCATTACTTTTTTATTTCCCTTCCTCTACCAGAATTATGGTTTTAAAAAATAGTAGTAATGATCCACTAAGTATTATCGCTTTTAAAAATAGCATTATTACATGTGCATATAACCCAAAATTATAAACTACTGATTTTTATACATCTAAACGTTATGTAAGTGAAATCATGCTCTGTGTATCTTTTGTGATTTGTTTTCTTCGCTCCACATTATGTTTTTTATTCTTATCCATGTTGAAGCATGTAGTCGTATTCAATCATCTTTACTGCTGTATAGTATGCAATTTATTGATACATTCTTCTGTCAATGGACATTTGGGTAAACATAGTAGGAATATTGTTATACAATGTGCACATAAGCAAGAACCTCTTTACAACACATACCTAAGAATGAAATTGCTAGGTAATAGGATATGATTTTCTTCAAATTAAAAAAAAATGCCAAATAATTTTCCAAAGTGATTATACATTTACAGTCCCACAACGTCTAAGTGTCTCACATTCTCATCAACACTTACCCAGTTTTACCAGTCTGATAAGTATAAGATGATAATTTACTGTTGTATTAATTTGCATTCTTCTGATTACTAATTAGGCTGGATATTTTCTTCAGATATTCACTAGCATCAGGGTTTCTTGTTCTGTGAAATGTTTTTCATGTCTTGTGCTCATTTTTCTCTTAGGTTTCTTTTTATTTTTCTCTTTTCTGATAAGCACATAATTTTTTGTCAGTATGATCGAATGTATTGCTTTTTAAATTTATGATTTATGTTTCATGTGAGTTGTTTAAAAATACATCCCTACTCTGAGGTAAATGAAGATTTTTTTCCTATATTCTCTTTTAAAAGTTTAAAGATTTATTTCGCTTTTAAACTTTTAATTCACCTGAAATAGATATGTTTAGAATATGAAGTAGAGTTCCAATTTCACTTGTTTCCACACGGATAGTCGGTTGTCCTAGCACCATCAGTTGTACAGTCCATTTCTTCCCCTTGGTGTGCAATGCGAGCTCCCTGGGTAATAAGCTTCCATAGATGGGTTAGTCTGTTCCTGCTCTGTATTCTGTTTGGGTGATCTCTTTATGTACCCACATAGGAAGCTAATATAAAGCTTTATCATAAGTCTCCACAGCTGGTAGTTCAAGTTTTCCACATTTTTCTCTTTTTAGGATGTTCTTTGCTATTTGTTTGGGCTTCCCTCTTTCATATACATATTAGATGGCATCTACCAAGTTTCATAAAGAATTCAATTTATATTTTAACAGATCAATTATGGGAGATCTGATCACTTTATCTAGGAACACTTCATGTCTCCATTTACTTAGGTCTTCTTTTCAGAAAAATTGTGGAGTTTTCTGACTGGCATGAAATGGTATCTCATTGTGGTTTTGATTTGCATTTCTCTAATGCTCAGCAATATTGAGCTTTTTTTCACATGCTTGTTGAACACATGTATGTTTTCTTTTGAAAAGTATCTGTTCATGTCGTTTACCCACTTCTTAAGGAGGTTGTTTGGTTTGTTGTTGTTGTTGTTGTTGTTAATTTGCTTAAGTTCCTTAAAGATGCTGAATATCAGATCTTTGTCAGATACATAATTTGCAAAAATCTTCCATTCTGTAGGTCGTCTGTCTACTCTGATGATAGTTTCTTTTGCTGTACAGAAGACCTTACATTTAATTAGATCTCATTTGTCAATTTTGCTCTTGTTGCGATTGCTTTTGGTGTCTTTTTCACGAAATCCTTGTCCGTTCCTTTGTCCGGGATGGTATTGCCTAGGTTGTCTTCCAGGATTTTTGTAGTTTTGGGTTTTACATTTAAGTCTTTAATCCATCTTGACTTGATTTTTGTATATGGTGTAAAGAAGGGGTCCACCTCCAATCTTCTGCCTCGCCAGTTATCCCAGCACCATTTATTGGATAGGGAGTCTTTTCCCTCACTGCTTGTTTTTGTCAATAGCTATTATTAAAAAGTCAAAAAATAACAGATGCTGGTGAGGTTACAGAGAAAATGGAACACTTCTACACTGTTGGTGGGAGTGTAAGTTAGTTCAACCATTGTGAAAAACAGTATGGCGATTCCTCAAAGAGCTAAAAGCAGAACTACCATTTCACCCAGCAATCTCATTACTGGGTCAGTATATTCCTCTGGTGTATATTCAGAAGGATATAAATTATTCTGCCGTAAAGACACATGCATGCAAATGTTCATTGCAGCCCTACTCACAATAGCAAAGACATGGAATCAACCTAAATGCCTATCAATGATAAACTGGATAAAGAAAATGGGATACATATATACCATGGAATACTATGCAGCCATAAAAAGAATTAGATTATGTCTTTTGCAGGAATATGGATGGAGCTGGAGGCTGTTATCCTTAACAAACTGACACAGAAACAGAAAACAAAACACCACATGTTCTCACTTGTAAGTGGGAGCTGAATCCTGAGAACTCATGAGCACAAAGAAGGGAACAACAGACCTGGAGTCTACTTGAGGGTGGAGAATAGGAGGAGGGAGAGGAGCAGAAAATATAAATATCAAGTACTAGGCTTAATACCTGGGTGATAAAATAATCTGTACAACAAACCCCCATGACACAAGTTTACCTATATAACAAACTTACACATGTATATCAAAACCTAAAATATACATTTTTAAAAAATCTTTTAAAAAATTATGTACTTTTCTACATAAATGACTTGGACATCTTTTGTTTAAATTTATTCCTTGATCATATGTTTTCTTCTATTTTTAAACATATTCTATTTAAAATGAACACTTTGTGTCTATTGGCTGTTGTTGTATAGCTATGCAATTGACTTTTTTAAATTGATCGTATATGTAGCAATCTTATTAAACTCGCTTAGTGTATTTATGTGTGCGTGTGTGTGTGTGTGTCTGTGTTATATATCTATAGTATACATTAGATCTTCTATTTGGACGATTGTTATGCTGTCTCTGAATAATCAGTTTTCCTACCATGGCAATTTTTATCTCTTTTTCCTGCCTTCCACCAATGGCTGGAGCCTCCAGTACAATGTTGAATAAAAATAATAATACTTGGCTTGAAAAAATTAGAATGTTTCAATAACGTTCTTACACAGGAGTCATGCTAATATTCTTGGACTTACTCCATTGTTAGTACATGTGCTGCCAAAGGGAGATACAGACAAACTCTGCTCTCCTAGGTAGCAATTGACCACTCCCCGGTGGACCTGCAAGGACCTGAGGAAAAGACTGTGCAGGTGGGGTCTGTTTTCTGAAAAGAGAGAGACTGCCTCCAGGACAAGAAGTTCTAGCCCTTGGACTGGAATCATCCTTTTCACAATTGACTCCCTCTGGCCCATCCCCTTGAATATACTCTGCATCTCATAAGTAACCATGAGATTTGTCTTGTGTTCCCTTACTTTAACCACCTTGAAGAGTGAGCAACATTTCTGCCACACAATGAGCAGAGATCCCAGGAGAATAGATTCTCAATCCTCCAGAGGACCACATTTGCAGTAGGTACTAACACACCTGATTATTTTGCCAGCCCCAGGTGTGTCATCTTTATTACCTAAGTAACCAAGTGAATGTACTTGGGCTTTTCAGCATGCAGTGTTTTGCCTTTCTTTCTAAATCCCTATTACACAACTTGGAATTTCAGCAGCCAAAGGCAGGTTTTGGTCCATGCTCATTTTTCTGGTTTCTAAGATTGAAATTGAGCACATCAGTGTTAACTCTGCTGGCTATATAATTTAATGCATAAACCTGGACACTTTTGAGAGTGGAAAGAGGTGCTAAATACATAAGGTGGCTGAGCATAGGTATAAACCGGGCCTCCCCTGAGCAAACTAGGGTATGCAACCACTCCAGATATAATACTTTCCTAAGTCCTTTTTCTTTCTGTAGCTCCTCTCCCACGTAGCATTTCTGCCTGTTATATTTCATCCCTATTTCAAACATTCCTCAGTTCTATTTTGGGAGGGATTCACCCAACCACTGTCCAACCTGTTAGTCCTCTTGAAAACAGTGAAGCCACAAATGAGGTATAGCTCAAGTACCTCAAGTAAAATGATTTCAAAGAACCTCTGACTGACCTCTAATGCTGTTCCACATCCTTTGTAGTACTACAAAAGATAAGCCTCTAATCTTCTCATCTGCACTCTTCTTTCTAAATTGTACTATCCAAATGTCCTGTTACAGCAAACAGCATACATTACTTAAACACACATACATACACATAAAATAAAACAAAAATGATGCCTTTATCCCTGATCAGGGAAATTTGCTATAAGTGGCACCACATCAAAATGTTCTTGGGTCATGTTTTTTGTGCTTTATTGGTGACACTCAAAGTAAAGCATTTCAGTTCTTTTCAAAGATCATTTAGTTGAGTTTCTAGCTTATTCCACCAAAGTGGCAGGCATGCTGGGCTGCTTGTCTCAGAATGCCTCTGCCACAAGCCAACATCATTCTACACCACAGTTATTATTTATTAATTGCATTTTAATTGGTCTAGCTATTGCCAGCTAATGAGGAGATGACTATCAAATGTGACAGATATGAACTTAAAAGAGTGGAGTAGGGACTACATAGAAATGGCCAATTTGAGAACGGGCTTCTCTGAAAAAGGCAATATAACTTTCAGAAGCCACATTTCCTGATACTCCAAAATGGTCTCCTGATGGTCTCCAGTTTTATATTTGCACAGGAAATTATGTTTATCTGCCAGAAGGATGGCTCCAAAGAGTCAGATTCAAGACTTGCACTGAGTCTAGTGTTCTATAGGTGCATGGAGAATGACACACTCACAAAATAGCAAATGATAATAACAGTTAACATTTATTGAATTCTTGCTATGTTCCCAATACTTATCATGTCAAGAGCTTAATATTTATTATGACGTTTAATCCTCAGGTGACTATGTTGTAGGAACCATTGTTAATCTTCAGTTTACAGGTGAAAAACCTGAATAACTTGCTATGGTCATATGGTAGAGTGGGAGAGATGGAGTTTGATGACAAAGCTGATGCCTCAGTATACAGTATGGCTTGCACTATGTTTGCATTAAGTGCCACGCTATTGATGTTTGTCTTTGGAGCCTCTTGCTATCATATTCTGCAGACTCATCCAGCATGCTGAAGAATACTTTTTACCCATGGCCCCATGAATATGGCAATATAAAACTTATTTACTTATTCACACATCCATTGATTCGCCAAAAATATACATTGCTACGCCAAAAATATACATTGCTACAGCTTTACAAAGAAGGACAGTTTACTTTCAGACTGCAATAATAAAGCAAGATTTCACAGGTGAGGTTAGAGTTAATCAATTTCTTTTAAAAGTTAGGATGGGAATCTTTCCAAGCAGAGGAAATAGAATGTACAAGACACAGAGTTAGGAAAGCACAAGAACTGCTTAAGAAACATGGTGGTTCAATGTGAACACAGCATAATATAATGTGATGGAAAATCCATTTGGAAAGGTGGGTTGAGCCAGATGACAGAATTTATTAGACTAAGCCAGGCATCCCCAGAATGACTCAGATTTCCTTGGGGTTAGAGACTATGATTATTCATCTTAGTGACTCCCTCTTCCCAGCAGGACATTGCATGATGTCTGGCTCATTACGGGCATTTAAAGATACATATAACATATAAAGGAATGAAGTGTCAATCTTACCAAGACATTATGTTTTTTAAAAACATGGATCTAAATCATAAAGGAAATATGTTCAAGTGGTGTAGTTGGAGTATCATAAGAAGATAGAGAAAAATTTAGGAAGTTTTCAGTATCTCACTAGAATTCCTAAAATTGGACGAGCTAATAATAACTAACATTTTCTGTGCTTGTGCTGTGTGCTAGCCAATGTCCTTGGTGTTTCATTTAGCATCACACTTAATCTTCACAAATCCTAAGAGTACATACCATTATTATGACTAGTGTCCATTTAGGGATACGAGGGAACCATTAGTAATCTTTGTCACATTAAACTAAAATTATGTGTTATCAGCATTTACAGAGGCCTTTAATTTAGTATTCTATTAAGTCTGACCACCCTTCAAGGCTTGGCAACACTGGGAACATTCTACTGCATGGACGTATAGTAGTTACAATTCCCACTATTTGTGAGATGAAAACATGTCATTAGAATGTTACTAATGTTGTCTTGAATGACCAGGATTTTCCAAGGCTGCTATCCTTGCTTTTAAATTAGCATTAGTTTAATTTCATTGTTTTTACTTCAAAGTTTTTATCAGTTAATTAACTCTAAATTTGATCATGGCATTTTTGGCTTATAATTTTTCAGTAACTAACATGGAAGAGTTTGACTGTGGTTTTTATTATTTTGTTCTTCTCCAATTTTTTGTCACCGTGGAGTATTTTTTACACTAGAAATTGGAAATGGATAAGGTATATGAATCAAGGAATCTTTTGATCCACCTAAGCAGGCTTCAGTCAAAGATTAAAAAAAAGAAAAAAATGACCTAGAAGAAGGCTGCTAAACGAATACCATCCATAACCACCTCCTGCTCTCACAGCTGACATTGCTAATTAGTCATGGCACTCTTCTCACTGAGCTAAAGTGCAGCTTCAGAATCCTTCTTAACTCAGCATTCTAGATAGCATGTGAGTAGAGAGTCAAACCCTATTTTCAATCTCTATCTTATAGCTATTACTCTAATCTTTGATTGGAAAAAATCTGCAACATAATTATTGCTTGTAAGTTATTGTTTTGCCTGCCACACTTAGGACTATCCAGCATAATCAACATCATCATTACCATAGCCATGTTTAGGCATCATGCTAAGGGCTTCATATGTTATCTCCTTTAGTTCTCACAGTAGCCATATGAGGCAAGTACAACCAACAACCACTTTGTGATAGTTTCGTATTTTAATTCTCAGAAGTGAATCTTATTTCCAAGCTATTGACTTCACTGTAGTCTCCAGATCCTAACAACTAATGGTATCTCAGTCTTTGGGCAAAGGATGAAGACCCTAGAAGAATATTCTGGAAAAGCTTCAAATAGCAAATGTCTAAGCAGTCCTGAAAAAATATGAATACAAGATCAATGAACAAAGCATATTTGTAAAAGATAAGAAGGCTATATAGTGGAAATGTTTTAAGGCAGGCAAAGTTAGAGCTGAAATTAAGCCTCTAGTTATAATATAGATAAAAAACAGAAATATTCGCACAAGTGTGCATTATATCAGGGAATATGACAAGTTGTTTCATCACAGCTTATCTCCACAACTATCTAGAAGGTAAGTACAATTTGAGCATCACTTATCCAAAACACTTGGGACCAGCATTGGATTTCAGATTTTTTCAGATTTTGGAATATTTGTGTATAAGCTATTTTGGGGATGAGAGCCAACTCTAACTGTGAAACTTATTTATGTTTCATATAAACCTAATACACATAGACTGAAGGTAATTTGTTCAGTATTTTTAATAGTTTTGTGCCTGAAACAAAGTTTTGACTACATTTTGACAGCTACTCATGAGGTCAGATGTAGAATGTTTTACTTGCATTGTCATGTTGGTGCTCAAAAAGTTCCAGATTTTGAAACATTTTGGATTTTGGATTTTCTGATTAGGGATACTCAGCTTGCATTATTAGCTCCTTCTACAAAGAAGAAAAACAGAATTCAGTGAGATTAAGTCACCTTTCAAAGTCTTACGATCAGGAACCAGGATTCAAACCAATTTACCTTTCCCCACTCTGATGAGTAACTAACGTGGAAGAGCTTCAGTAAAGTATAATAATAATAAAATAAAAAAAATAAAAAAAATTTAAAAAAAAAAGAATATCTCGAGATAAAATGGGCTGTTGGAGGCGCAGAGTTCTCACAGTGAAAATGTTTTTCAAGCTAGAAAACTCCTTGGTATTGGTTTCAAGACTGAGATTCTGTGAGTCCATAAATGTAAGCAGTAAAGCCACCATCCATGCCCCCAAAAAAAAAAAATTCATTATTTTGTTGCTTGATGAGGCAACCTGAGGGGAAAAAAAAACTAACGTCAGCCCCATGTAATTTTTTGCTGGGTTCAAAATGCACTGACATTACAATTCAGATCCACTAGGTCCTACAGTTTGGGAGTGACAGACTTAAGAACAAGATCTAAGCAAATTTTTTAAGTGTTAAGTGTAGGGTTAAGTGTTGAAGAGGAAAAAAGAGATCCATTCTTTGAGCACTTTTGTCCAATACTTCTTTAATCAAATATTTCTCCTCTCTAATAGAAAAAAACTCTTATCCTTTCTCACCCAAAGTACAGGTGCCAAGGGCCATCATCATTCATTTTACCCCATTGTATTGTCATCAGACAAATAATGCTAGTGATTATTTCTGCTCAAGACTTGCCAGTGAAAAATGCATCAGGAAATGTCAGCCTTCCATTTTTCATCTTAAAGACGACAACACTAAATAAGAACAGAAATTCACACAGGTAAACCCATCTGTGCTGAGCATAAAGCCACACAGTCTTCAAGATGAATTATTTCGGTGTGTGAGCCTTTGAGTCAGATGGCCAACTTTGCCAAATTATTAATGCGTTGGGTGTTTTTATCTTCTCTCAGAAAGAGACTGAATTCAGAAGGAAGTTCTCACTTATACTCCCTTAGAATCTGAAATTTAAATCTTGGGTTTCAATGGCTAGATTTTTCTGACAATTTGAAAGCAATCCGGGTTTAGAGAGTCTGTATCCTTTTTCTTGTTGTGCTACATTCAAAAAATGTGTCTCCTGTCAATCTCCTAACCAGTGGGCAGCTCCAGCATAATATGCTTCTTCATTTTCCCCCACCCTCTGCAATAATAACATTGGTCAAACTTCATTGAACTCTCTCACTTACTTGGCATTACAGACATTGCAGGGAAGTATAAGATCACTATGAGGGTCAGGATTAGGAATCTGTTCATTTTTCCTATGCTGCACTTGGTCTTAATTTTTTTTAATTGAGGACAAATATCCTTCCCTTCATAAAATACTTCTCTAAATGAAGTGCAACTTATAAAAAAATAAAATGTTTTAAGTTCCTCCCCCAGCAAGCAAATTTAAAAAAATAATTACTTTTATACTTATTTAACAAGTAGATTGCTCAATTTTAGTATTATAGCCATTTTAAAAAGCAATCTTTTCAGAATTATTTGTCAAGTCTTCCATTTTATGCCATATATAATAAGACTTAAAATTAGGAGCTTACGCATAAAAATTAGTCTTAAACATAATTACCCAATTCTTTATCCCCTAAATACTCTCTTTAATTATTTTCTTATCACAAGAGCAATATATGCTTCTTGGAAAAGTTTTGCTTAAAAATAAAATTCACCCATAGTCCATCATGTAGAGTTAAGCTCTGCTGATATTTAAGTGTAGATGTCACTTTCACTTTTCCCTAGGAATTAACATATAGATAATGCATTCACTGGATGTGGGCAGAAGAAACCTAATTGAAGTAATTAAAGCAAAAGGGAGATTTATGATAAGAATAGCAGAATGTCTCCCTGACCTCACAGTAAAAAATGCACCAGGCCTTAGAATCAGACTTAAACACTGCTGGGAATTGGGAAAATATCTGTTCTCTGCATTCTTCACCTCTCTTTCCTCACCCTGTGGCAAAAATAAAAATAATAATAATAATAAAAATAATAATGGTTAGTAACAACATCTTGTTATTTTAAATCTCCCTCTGCTTAAGATAACTGCCAGACTGAGACCGTACATTCTTCGTCACAATCCCAAAACCCTCTGGGTAGGAAATGAGGATTGGTCAGAGAACCCATCACTGATTTAGTCAGCTGTGGACAGGGCCGTGCACATATTCTATAAATATGACTGCCTCCATTGAAAGTGTCTGTCTGGGCTGAAGGGGGACAGGAAACAGAAAGGAGACATTACTCTGAGCTAGGGAGATAACCACAGATATTCACCGGTGATAGATTTGACATCTTTATTTTGCGAAAGTGAAAATAACCACACGTATTGTTTTGTAACTTTCTCCCCTCACTTAATACAAAATGGCTAATGTTCAAATGAGCTTCCTTCATTTCCCCTTTATTTTTGTTATTAATGAAACTTTCTCTGTATATTTGTTTCCCTAATGCAGTGCTTCCAAACTTCTTTTACATTATGACACACACACACACAGAAAACAATACTTGTGTTGCATACTCAGTAAACTGGAGGAAATATGAGGGCATATATACGGCTTAGTGCAAAATATATTTTCTTTATATTATAAAAGAAGTAAAATATATTTTCTTTATATTATAAAAGAAGTAAAATATATTTTCTTTATATTATAAAAAGTAAAATAGTACAAACAGTAAAATTGAGGAACACATTAAATATTAAATTACATAAAGCCTCTAATTAAAGTATTCTCAAGATGTTTGATGAAAAATTTGAGCTTGCTTCCACAACTCTTTTATTCATGTCAGATTTTATGCTTGAAATAACTACACAAAATTCCTGATGAAGAATTTTCCATGATGATATTTTCAAATTCTTTATAAGCACCATCGTGAGAAACTTTGCACATGTAGGTGATAAAAGAGAGTAAAGTATTTTTACAATTATTCCAAAATGGACACATTTAAATTATACTTAAAGAAACTAACAGCTCTTCCTTTTATCTATTAATGTAATATTGAAATTTCTTGTGATAATGTGAATGGATTTTGAATCCATCGAATTTTTTTCATATTAAGTATCTCAAAATAATGGTAATTCTCTCATTTTCAGAATGAGCATATGCTCTTAGAAAGGCCATTCTGAAGCTAGCTAAGTCGCCACTAAAAAGGCACTCTGCCAGAAATGGACAGAAATATCGGATACATGTGAAGGCAGAGATTGGGGTTATCACAGGGAGCTGTACCCACATGGGCCCAACCCCACCTGGAGCTAGTGCTATACTCTCCCAACAACATCATGTTAACATTGGCTGCTGAAGGAGATCCAGGTGATAGCAGTACCTCCTTGTCAGTACTATGCACATCATGGTGGGGCAGAGTGAAAATGAGTGAAGACACATCGTCAGCCTGTGGGGACTGAGAGCATACTATCAGACCACTGCACTCTGGATGAGGCAGCTCCAAGTCGAAGGCTATGGGACTCCAGCAGCCCCAGGCCTGCCCAGCTACCCCATGGTCAGAGATCAATATCTCATGGCAAGCTGTAATCCATTCATAGCAGATTGGCAAAAGTTGTAGTCTAACAAAATGGAAGTTTTATTGATTTTATCCTACTAGTGCAGTGGTTTTCAAATTTTGGTCCATGAAGCAAAATCTATGCAGGATCTTGCTACAGGGCTCTGAAGCAAAATACAGGTGAAGAGAAAGCCCAGGGGTTAAAGTCCTGGGTTTGCTGCTCTGTCTCAACCAGCACAGTCTTCACTGTTTGTTACCTTTTCTATATTCAGGTGTGTGGGTGCGTGTATAGGGAGGGGGGATTTTAACCACTAAAAACAAAAAGCTTTAAACCTGCCATACTGATGTCCATCCTTAAAACTTTTTTAAAAAATAAATGATTATATATATACATATATATATATTTCTATAAATATCAAACACGACACAGCAGTACTCCTTCATGTAAAATGTGAAATTTCACATACACATCTCAACACTCAGTTTTTGTTGAAATGATCTAGGATTTTAGATCTCGATTCTTTTAATACATTTTGACATTAGGTATCTCCTGTTTCCCTTTATTTTTGACATTTGCAGTAAGTTTCATAACTACATTAGCATTAGTAATCTAAATGTAATACTATTTCACTAGCTCCATCTTTCATTACATTTCCTTTGATAAATCTTCCTGATTTCTAAATTCTTTATTATGACTAATTTCTTGGTTCATTGGAGCACTTATTCAAGTAATTTTTTCAGGAAGAATACACTGACAGTATGCTTTCTGAAGCTGTGCACATTGGAACTTGTTTTTCCTCTACCCTGCCATTTGAAGACTAATGTGGGTAGGACTAGAATTCTGGGAACATATTTTGCCCCTGGAAATTATGTGGACAATGTGTCATTGTTCTCTGACAGTGTTCATTTTAAACAGAAAAGTTCTGATGTCAACTAGATTATTTTCCTTTATAATGAATCCATTTGTTTTCCTCAAAATTGCATTCAGGAATGCTTTGAAGGATTGAGAAATCATTGAGATTTTAAAACTTTGGGATAGAGTCATTTTAATTATTTTAACTCTAAGATTCATGTTTTTCCTCCATTTAAAGATATTTTCTTTGACTAGTTCTTTGGTTACTTCCCTCCACCTATCTTCTCCTAAAGACATTTCAATTACCTGATGTCAAATCACCAGGATAATGTCCCACGTCTCTTTTTTGTCATGATTTCCATTACTTTATCCTTTTCCTTCATGTCTTGTGACAAGTTATAAAGCTTATTTTTTATTCATTAATTGAGTTTTCTACTATGTTTAACTTATTGCCTGCTTCCTCCACTGTATGCATTCAGAGTTCATGTTTTTCTTCTCCAAGAAATGTTTTTTACTTTCAAGACTGTTTTAAGGACTGCCTGCTTCTGTATTATGAATGAAATACTCTCTTATTGAGAATACAAATGAGTCATTATCTGGGAGTTCCCTTCTTCTTGTGACTTGTAGGGTAACAGTTGCCCCAGGTGTGTTAGCATATCTGCTGTCTTTTGAGCCAATGCCTCTTCTAAAATACCCAGTGAGTTTTCCATTTTCCTGCTCTGCGGAGAGATGGCTGTTTGCCCAGCATGAGGAATTCAGGCAGATTCTGCCCCAGAGGACATGGGTCCCTGATGAAATATTTCAGACTCAAGACAAATAAAAAAGGAAAGGATTTAGATTGACTGTAGTGTCACTTTGTGAGATGAGAAGTCTAGCTGCCCAGGGAAATTGGGAAGAAGCTACAGCCCCAGGGCTATCACTTCGGGAGCCTCATCTCTGTGCCCATGGTTCTGATTCTTTTCCACGTGTGATGTGGTAGCTAGAACGTGAGCTGGGGCTCTTGCTTTCCTTCTCCTCTAATAGGCACAACCACCTTTGTTAAGAGTCTGCACAATTTAACTGATCATCTGAGTCAATTACAAGCCCTTAAGTGAGTACCAGGAGGGAGTTAGTTTTCTCATCTACACATGGGGATGGTAGTACTTACCTCATGATGGTGTTGTGATGATGGAAGGAGTTACTGCATATAAAGTCCATAGAACACTGCCTAGTGTGTAGTAAGCACCACGTTATAGTCTGCTATTTTCATACTGGCCTGCACTCCGGGAATTCCAATAACAGCTGCCTTTCTCAGAGGTACAAGTGAATGAAGATCTCTCTCTCTCACACACACACACACATACACACACTCACACACCTGTCACATCATGTGTCCTGCTGTGTAAGCTGGTGGTGTTGTGGACTTTCACTGTGTCTCTTCTTCTCCACCCACACATTGGGCTCTTCCTTCACATATAGCAATTTCAAAGCTGGGCAATGCTTCCCTCAACCTGGCCACACCATCTTTTCCAATAACATGAATTTGCTCCTTTCAATGAAAATTTGGAGAAGTGAGTAAGATTTTGCCCCATTCTGACAGTACCTGGCACATAGTCAGTTCTTAATTTAGTTCTGTTAAAGGAAAGGCTATCCATAGCATCAATTCCCTTTGTGAATCTAAAACTTTCCTGTTTATAAGTGTGAGAAGTGACCTAATGTCATCTCTAGAATGTCAAGGCTTACTGAAAACAGTTTTATCACAGCTGGCAGCAGCTGACACCAATCAAAGTACAATTAGTCAATGAGAATGTCAGAGAAATGATTTTAGACTCCTTTAGGGTTGGAAGTTGGAGCAGCCATCGGTCAGTTGTGATAGACAAGAGGCTTGGAAAATTACTGAAGAGTTTTTAAAAGAGTTGGAACACCTAAGCGAACATTCCTGATCAAAGACAGACTGAGCTGCTAAAATCTGTTCAAAGGCTTTTAGAGCTTCAGCACTGAGCTAATTTTAATTACCATCTTTAGATAAGGGAGAAGTAAACAGATCGCTTTGGTACATTTAGAAATGCTATGTGAGTTTTGAGCATTTTGAGCAAAGAGGTAGAATCTTGAGTCTAAACCTTCCCCCATCACACCAGGATTGCAGAGGCCCAGATAGCACTCTACATCTTGAGACCAATACTTCAGTGCAGTTCCTGGAATAAGTTCAAAAGAATACTGAATTTGGAAAGCAGTATAAAATTCATTTTGGACCAACCAAACTAATCCTTCTTTAATGATTAAAAACATAGTACATCCAAAATCAAAACAAATCTCAAAATGGCAAGAGTCAAACTATGTAAACAAGCTAAGAGGATCTGAAATACAAGAAAATAAAATAATAATTCAGACCTTCATGAGGTCCCATCTCAGTGGATTTGGTTATACATGATCCAAATAGAAGCTGGTCAGGTAAGTTCAAAGCCGTAGTTGTTCATGACAATTAATTTAGCAATGCCTAAAAGAAGACTGTATCCTGGAGAAAATGGAGCCCCCTCTAGCCTTCCCTAAATGAGAACATTAAACTCTTTTATGCCAAGCCACTGAGATTTTGAGATTTATTTATTACTGCAGTGTAGTCTCACAGTGTCAGCTTTCACTAAGTTATGCTGGGAAAACAACCACAAAATACCAGTGGCTTATAACACTATTAGATGTTCTCCCATCAGATGTGGCTGTGGATTGGCTGTTTCTCTGCCATATGAGTCATCTTCATTCACAGGTTCAGAGGTAAGAAGCAGCCCTTTTCTTGAATACCATTGTTCAAGACATAGAAGAGGCAAGAGAACTGGTGGAACTACATGAAGGCTTTTACACCTTCTGTTCAGAAATGGTACATAATGCTTCTGCCTTCATTTCATTGTTCAAAAAAAGCCACATGACCAAGCCTTATTACAATGGGGCAGAGAACTGTGTGATCTTTTCACAGGGAGGGGTAACAAATAATTGGGAATAATAATACAATCTATCACATCGTCTTACCTTGATGAATACAAATATTGGAAAGAGAAGTGGTGAGCCACCACCAAATAACAAAGCAAAAACAAAAACTTAAAGCTAAAATATGTGGCACTGGCCTAGCCATGAGTGTTGAGAAACCTGCTGTCTGAAGTTGGAGAGATGGAGATCTATGTAATGTATTTGGTGGAACCATCTTCAGAGGTAGCACAGGAAGCAGGTCATGTGTCTGCTGAGCAGGCATCTTAAGAAGAGAGGTTGGAAAACTAAAATTTAATAGTTGTTGTTATTGGCCATTTGGCAATATTACAAAATAAATAATATCTCAGGAAAGAATTGGGCAATTTCAGGCAGAAATGAAGTAAATGGAAAGTCCAAAAATGTGGGGTCTTGCAAGACCAGTAAAACTGATTGCTTTCAGACTCCAAACAGTAGAGATGGAAAAAATGACCTTAAATGGCAGACTAAAATGGAATTTTGATCTTTGGAACAGAACTGTCTACTCATCTTGGTCCTGTTACATGAAGAATAAGCTTCTATCTATGGTGAGCTACCGAGTTTCGGGGTCTCCTTGTTACAGAAGCTTAGCTTGCACCTTGACTAACAGATAAGTGTAAAGTCACTCTGAATACCAAGATTGCTTTCAAGATTGGTCTCTTGGAGTCCAGGACAATTGGCTGGGCTTCTTTGGCATCTAACCTAACCTTAACTAACTTCTTGTTCATTTAGACTTTGTAACTCCCCAAAGACAGGATCCTACCCAATATGAGTGCCATTCTTAGGGAAATATCAAGGAATTCAAAGCAAGCTCATTGCTCTGCAGAAAATTATTATCTAGTATATAATTTGCATTTAATTTAAAGAAAGCAGGAGATGCAACACCAAATGTAGGTGTAATCAGGCATCACTGACCAGGATACATTCTAAGAAATGCATCTTTAGGTGATTTCATCATTGAGTGAACATCACAGAGTATACTTACACAAAACTAGATGGTGTAGCCTACTACACACCTAAGCTATATGGTATAGTCTGTTGTTCCTAGGCTACAAACCTGTCCAGCATACTAAATACCATATGCCTACTGAATAATTGCCTACTCTACTGAATACTGTAGGCAATTGTAACTCAATGGTAACTGTTTGTGTATCTAAACATAGAAAAGGTAATGTAAATATATGGTATGAAAATCTTATAGGACCACTGTCATATGTGCAGTCCGTTGTTGATTTAAATGTCATAATTTGACATATAACTATACTGACATTCTTGCCAATCTAGTTCAGTTCTTCATTTATTGAAAAACAGACAGACAGAGAGATATGCAGTTTTTACCCTCAAGAAGGTGTCAATAGATTCAGGGAAACTTATCTTACACATATAATGATATAGTGTGATAAACTGTATTGCAGAGAAAAGTAAAAGGAATGTCTTGGAAACGCAGCTATAGATGCCTATCTCAGTTGGAGGCAAGGGCTCAGGGCAGGTTTTGCAAAGAAGGCGGTGCCTCAACAGAGTCTTACAGAAAAAAATGAAGAAATTATTCTGGTAAAGAGGGAGATAATCGTGTTCCTGGCAGAGGGAGCCATGGGAGCTAAGTCAAGTATGCAACAGAAACATCCTTACTGCTACTCCAAGGTCTGCATTGAATACTGAATCCAGATCTGTCACTCTTTGAATACCAGGTCTCTGAGACTCTGAAAGCTGCCTGATATGCTTGCCTTTCCTTTCTTAAGGAAGCATTCTTAGACAGCCAGTCTTAAAGAGTGTCCTTAGGTACACTTGGTCATGTGTGTAAAGTTGATAAAGGCTTAATATTCTTTCTCTTAGATGTCAGTTGACAATTCTCCATGGTGTTTCTGCATGTCACCTATCAGCTTTTGTTCCAGGCTACCTTGTCAAGGATGTTTGTTAAACAAGCAGCCTTCGAAGATAGAGATAGTGTCTTCCTCGAAAACAGAAAACATGTATGTTTCCTGACCTAGCATAATAAAGATAATGTCTCCAAAGTTGAGCAGGTTTACAAAGAGCCTTTGAAAGATATGCATTTTTTCATATAAGGTGTAAGGAAAGGATCCAGTTTCAGCTTTCTACATATGGCTAGCCAGTTTTCCCAGCACCATTTGTTAAATAGGGAATCCTTTCCCCATTTCTTGTTTTTGTCAGGTTTGTCAAAGATCAGATGGTCGTAGATGTGTGGTATTATTTCTGAGGGCTCTGTTCGGTTCCATTGGTCTATATCTCTGTTTTGGTATCAGTACCATGCTGTTTTGATTATTGTAGCCTTGTAGTAGAGTTTGAAGTCAGGTAGCATTATGCCTCCAGCTTTGTTCTTTTGGCTTAGGATTGACTTGGCAATGTGGGCTCTTTTTTGGTTCCATACAAACTTTAAAGTAGTTTTTTCCAATTCTGTGAAGAAAGTCATTGGTAGCTTGATGGGGATGGCATTGAATCTATAAATTACCTTGGGCAGTATGGCCATTTTCACGATATTGATTCTTCCTATCCATGAGCATGGAATATTCTTCCATTTGTTTGTGTCCTCTTTTATTTCATTGATCAGTGGTTTGTAGTTCTTGAAGAGGTCCTCCACATCCCTTGTAAGTTGGATTCCTAGGTATTTTATTATCTTTGAAGCAATTGTGAATGGGAATTCACTCATTATTTGGCTCTCTGTTTGTCTGTTATTGGTGTATAAGAATGCTTGTGATTTTTGCACATTGCTTTTGTATCCTGAGACTTTGCTGAAGTTGCTTATCAGCTTAAGGAGATTTGGGGCTGAGACAATGGGGTTTTCTAGATATACAATAATGTAACCTACAAACAGGGACAATTTGACTTCCTCTTTTCCTAATTGAATAAATTAATTCAAGATGGACTAAAGACTTAAATGTTAGACTTAAAACCATAAAAACCCTAGAAGAAAACCTAGGCAATACTATTCAGGACATAGGCATGGGCAAGGACCTCATGTCTAAAACACCAAAAGCAATGGCAACAGAAGCCAAAATTGACAAATGGGATCTAATTAAACTAAAGAGCTTCTGCACAGCAAAAGAAACTACCATCGGAGTGAACAGGCAACCTACAAAATGGGAGAAAATTTTTGCAATCTACTCATCTGAAAAAGGGCTAATATCAAGAATCTACAAAGAACTCAAACAAATTTACAAGAAAAAAACAACCCCATCAACAAGTGGGTGAAGGATATGAACAGACACTTCTCAAAAGTGTCTGTTTATACAGCCAACAGACACATGAAAAAATTCTCATCATCACTGGCCATCAGAGAAATGAAAATCAAAACCACAATGAGATACCATCTCACACCAGTTAGAATGGCAATCATTAAAAAGTCAGGAAACAACAGGTGCTGGAGAGGATGTGGAGAAATAGGAACACTTTTACAGTGTTGGTGGGACTGTAAACTAGCTCAACCCTTGTGGAAGACAGTGTGGCGATTCCTCAGGGATCTAGAACTAGAAATACCATTTGACCCAGCCATCCCATTACTGGGTATATACCCAAAGGATTATAAGTCATGCTGCTATAAAGACACATGCACACGTATATTTATTGTGTGGCACTATTCACAATAGCAAAGACTTTGAACCAACCCAAATGTCCATCAGTGATAGACTGGATTAAGAAAATGTGGCACATATACACCATGGAATACTATGCAGCCATGAAAAATGATGAGTTCGTGTCCTTTGTAGGGACATGGATGAAGCTGGAAACCATCATTCTCAGCAAACTATCACAAGGACAAAAAACCAAACACTGTATGTTCTCACTCATAGGTGGGAATTGAACAATGAGATTACTTGGACATAGGAAGGGGAACATCACACACCAGGGCCTGTTGTGGGGTGAGGGAAGGGGGGAGGGATAGCATTAGGAGATATACCTATGTAAATGATGAGTTAATGGGTGCAGCACACCAACATGGCACATGTATACATATGTAACAAACCTGCACGTTGTGCACATGTACCCTAGAACTTAAAGTATAATACAAATATATATATAAAGATATATATATATATAAAGATATGGGTTTTTTCATTTGCAGTGTGTACCCACCATGTGCACATCATCACCTAGGTGTGCCACCAAATCTCCCCACTGGGATTTGACAGGTGAAGAGAACCAATGTAAATATGAAGTTCATGCTGCTTGTTGGCTTGTTGTGCTTTCAATAATAAATAAAGTCCTTTGTCTCTGACCCAGGAGTCTCATATCTCCTGCCAGTATCCATGAAATTGTGGCAGGGTAATTTGTTTGGTTCTGAGTGGGTAAAATCTCAGATTTCTCACCACTCTTGATATTCCAGAGATATTTTCATTTTGGAACAGAAAACGTTCCCCTAAAACAAGGTGATGAATTTCCAATTTGTGTTTTAGAAGGATGAATTTTCTTTATTAAGAATTTCAGACACTAATGAATGATTTTTAAGCAATAGACCTTTCCATTGTGTCCCTTAACCAGCTTATATGACAACCTGGGTGGAGTGCTTTGGCACTAGCTCACCTCCTGAAAGTAAAGGACTAAGAATGTCAGGGTGAGCAAAGCCTTTAGAAGACAACGGATGCATCTCAATATATTGTAAATAAAATGTTCTAGAAGCCTGGCAATATATTGCTAATATATTTTCTATTGTTGAACGCATTGTGTCTGGCTCCAGAGTATGATCTGTGGTTCAGTTAACTTTATGAGAAACCATACATGTCAAACTCCCTGGCTTCTGAGTAATAAGGGCTCTGTCATCTCCTAGGGAGTAGTCCTAGTCACATCATCAAAGCTATCTCAGAAGCACAGTGTTCATTTCCAGCCAGTGGGAAAACAGAAAGTGAGTACCTGGAAGGCAACCAAATTTCTTTAAGGAAAGTAATGGAAGTTGCATACTTCCCTTCCATTCATACTCTTTTGGGAAATGTGATCATACCTAGTTGCCAGGAGAACTAGGAAATGTTGCCTTTAACTGAATGCCTCTAGCTGTGTGCCCTGCTAAAATATGGTGGAGTTGAGTGAAGGCTCTACAACCACAGAAAGAAGGAGAGAAAGAATATTAGGAGACAGTTAGCTGTCTCTTTCACGGACTGAAAATATATTAATAATAATCCACTCTACAGTGAATCTTTGCAATAAACCCAATTATCAAAGGTATCCTGGATGAGTCAGTTCCTTAAAACGTCCAACCAGTACATGTGTAGGACCTCAACAAGTGCTTTTTAGTTAACCTGAAGGGTTGAAGAGGTCCTTTACCTTTATACTATAAGCAGAGCAACTACAACAGCAATTGTGAGTATTCATGATAGGCCCAAGGAAAGATCCAGAGCTGATGCCCACATAGAAATGAAAATCCCTTGTGTGCCCTGGCCAGCTAGACTTACTCAGCAGTGAGTACCCTTCACTCACGCTGAAGGGTAGCAGACTCTTCTCTCTCAGCATCACCTTATTAAAAGCCACTGTTGGAAGGGGTGGTGGGGAGGATGGGGTTAATCCTCCCTTCTGATCTGAGTGAGGCTGATTGGGGGAAGACATTATGATGACAGGAAAGCATGGGGGGAAACTTTCTTTCTTGGATGCAGGTTGTTCTAGAATAAAAAAGAGAAGTGATGTCCAGTTAAAACTGGTCTGTTTTCTTTCTCAGTAATTTATCTAAATAATTCAGCAATATGTTTTCTTGCTTGATGCAGAGGATGCAGTTCAAAAGGTGCCAAGCAGAATTTTACATGATATTTGTAAGAATTTGAAATGAGTTACTAAATTGGTTTGGATCCCAAGAGTGATTTGAATCTAAGTTTAAAAACAAAACAAAACTAAAAAGACCAACAAGCCCTCCATCAGTATTTATATGTATTAAGTGAAAACGTACTCCACGAAATGAAGACTAAGTTGGGAGCCTAGTGTCATCAGCATAGTCCCCATTAACAGCTTATAGCTTGAGGGAAAGACACCTCTAACAGCTTAACCCTTCCACAGGCAGCACAATTGCTATCAGCATCTGAAATAAGCCCCTTTCATAGTGTAATTTTATTATGCTGCTTTAGGTTGTTGGCTGGTTTTGCTCTGTGCTGCCAGTTCTAAAATGACTCTCTCCTCATCTCAGGCATCTTCTAGCTGTATGTTTCTCCTTCCTCTGAATTCTCTACATGGTGGCTGGAATAATACTTCTAAAACACAAGTCTCATCATGCCACTGCTCTACTTAATTTTCTTCAGTGGCTTCTCCTGGCCAAGGACAGTGCCTGTCAGTGTTTTTCCCCTGCAATACACAAAATAAATGTCATTTAGAAACAAGAATCCACCTATTGCTGGCCAAAGCCTACTCCTCTCACTTTGTGCCAAGCAAAGCAAATACTATCACGAATAATTATCAGAAGAGCCTCATGGACATGTAATCAGCTGAACATCTCATTTAATGAGAAAAATATTGCTAAATACTGCCAATTTTTATTTTTAAAGAGGGACTGGGCTTCCCCTCTTCCCTTCCCCAGGACCATGAGGTTCTTCTCAGTTTCAGGGCCTTTGCAGCCTCTCAGATCTTCACACAGTTTGCCACACACACTGGCAAAGGCAGATCTCCCCTCCTTCCAGTTTCTACTCTGTTGCCACTTCTTCAGGGACACCTACCCCGACTGTTCCAGTCAACACCATCTGTTCCCTTAGGTACTTTAATTTTCTTCCGTGCATTTGTCACTCCCTGCAATTTTATCATGCATTTATTCATTTGCTTATGTGTATTCTCCTTCTGCTAACAGAATATAAGCTCTTTAAGGGCAAGATTTTTCTTTTATGGCTATATCCCCAGTAACTACAAGAGTAGGTGAAAAATTATATTTGTTGAATAAATACATGTTGATACACTATTCACTGTCTCCCAAGCTAGCATTATTTTTATGCCCAAACTTTTAATTGAAGTTTAATATACGTACATAAAAATACATTTACAGGTCCTAAACTTACAATGTAATGAGTTTCACAAGTTGAACACATCTGTGTAACCAGCACCCAGATCAGAAAACGCATTATCAGCAACCCCAAAGCCCTCTCCGTACTTCCTTTCAATCACCTACCCCCATCAAAGATAATTATTATCTGAACTTCTAGAGCATAAATTAATTTATTCTGTTTTTGAATTTTATCTAAATAGGATTATATTAATAAGTACAGTCATCCCTCAGTATCCATGAGGGATTGGTTTCAAGACCTCCCTCAGATATCAAAATTCACAGATGCTTAAGTTTTTTTATGTAAAAAGGCATAGTACTTGCATATAGCCTGCCACCTGCACACATCCTCCTACATATTTTAAGTCATCTCTAGATTATTTATAATACCTAATACAATGTAAGTGCTGAGTAAATAGTTGTTATGCTGTATTGTTTAGGGAATAATAACAAGAAAAAAATCTGTACATGTTCAGTACAGGCACAATTTTTTTCAAATATTTTTCCATCTGCCGTTGGTTGCATCCATGGATGCAGAACCCATGGATATTGGGGGCTGACCACATACACTGTTTTGCATCTGACTTCTTTCATGAATTATATTTGTGAAATTCTTATATATTGTTATATGTAGTTGTAGTTCGTTCTTTCTCTTTGCTGCATAGCTTTCCACTATATGAATGTGACATTATGTGTCTATCATTACCCTGTGTTGATGGCAATGTGGTAGTTTCCAGTTACAGGCTACTACACTCCGTGCTGCTCTGAACTATTCAAGGTCATGGTTTTGGTGCATATAACCAATGTGTAACTTAGGAGTGAAATCCTAAGTCATAAAGTTTGCTATACATTCAGGTTTTTGTTTTTTGTTCTTTTTGAGACAGAGTTTCACTCTTGTCGCCCAGGCTGGAGTGCAATAGCATGATCTCTGCTCACTGCAACCTCCACCTCCCTGGTGCAAGCGATTCTCCTGCCTCAGCCTTCCAAATAGCTGGGATTACAGGTGCACCCCACCACGCCCAGCTGATTTTTGTATTTTTAGTAGAGACAGGGTTTTACCATGTTGGCCAAGCAGGTCTTGAACTCCTGACCTCAGGTGATCCACCCGCCTCTGCCTCCCAAAGTGCTGGGATTACAGGATTGATCCACCGCGCCTGGCCACATTCACTTTTAATAGATACAACCAATCTTTCCAAGTATTTGTACCAATTTACATTCCCACTGAAAAGGGTAGGCAGGCTGGTTTCCTTATTTAATGTGGTTTAGAGCAAAAGAACAAGAGCCCCTTACTCAAGCTGTAGCTTATCTAACTTCCAGTCAATCAGCAACAAAGGACCCAAGAAGCTATTAACCACAGGTTCCTGTGTTAGTGGGGTAGGGACTTCCCTGAGGGCTCCCACATGCACAGTTAGACTTAAACTTCATGCCTGGGATGGAGATTTAAAATGCTAAGGTTGCATACAGTATACGAAGAACCATGTAAAGCCACTGCGCATGTGTTAAAGAAACCCCTCCTCTACATGCCCTGATGAAACCCTTCCCTATGGAAATGTCCTATGAAACGAACCCATATACTACCATGGGGAGCAGCCCGCCATTTTCCTTTCATTGTGCTCGCTTTCTTGTGCACAAACTCAAAAAACTTTCACTTTCTCTTTGTTACTATGTCTGGTGATCTCTCTTGATTTTCTATCCTGGGAGATTTCAAGAACCCAGAGTGCAGTGCCAGTAACATTACCATCAGTGTATAAGAGTTCTAGATGCTTTTAGCAGTTCATAATTTCAATGATTATATATTTTTTCCCTAAATATATCTGATTGTTTTTGATAGTCTCTTGTTCTTTGCTTTCTTTTCTTTTCATTTCTTTGACATTTCATACATAATTATTGTACTGGTTTTCCAGGACTGCCGTAACAAAGTACCATAGGCTGGGTGGCTTAAACATCAGAAATTTATTGTCTAACAGTTCTGGAGGTTAGACGTCCGAGATCAAAGTGTCTGTGGGGTTGATTCCCTCTGAGGGCTGTGAGTGGGATCTATTACAGGCCTCTCTCATTGCCTTGTAGATGGCTGTCTTCTGCCTGTGTCTTCACATCATCTCCCCTCTGTGCAAGACTGTGTTCAAATTTTCTCTTCTTATAAGGACACTAGTCATATTGGATTACAGTTCACTCTAATGACCTCCTTCCCACTTAATTACCTCTTTAAAGACCCTGTCTCCAAATGTAGTCACATACTGAGATATCAGGGCTCAGGATTTCAACATATGAATTTGGGGGAGGGACACATAATTCAGCCTGTAATAGGTGTATTATATTATGTCTCTGATAACCCAAATATCTGAAGCTCATAGGGCTCAAATCTTTGATTGGTTATTTCTGTTGATTTTCAAACATATGTTTGCTAAGATTGAGTTGCTTAAAACCACGAGCTCATATAAGGTCTGGTTTTCTCCAAAGAAGATCTGAAAAAGTTCCGGATGCCAGAACCTGTTGAATTTCATCTGTTAGCTATTTCACTGGCCACAGAGGTCATATAAATTTGAATTCCAAATACCACATGAGAGTAGGTCAATGGTAGCAAATTCCCAGAAGATACCTCTGTTTTTCCACCTGGCAGAGATAGGCCAGTTTCAGTGTCAATTTCTAGCCTACTCTTTCAGTGAGAGTGTGCACACTTATAGTGTCCCCAGTGAATGTGGGAGTGACCCATTCAGCTGCCTGCATTGCAGAGGTCTCAGTTTAGTATTCCTCATCCCTGTATGTGTCATTAATCTCCAAAGTTCTATTTTAAGGGTAACTGCATTTCTTTCCCCTCCCCCACGCAGGACATCCCCAGGTTGCTGTGCCCCTGGATCCCTCTGGTTTCAGCTCCTGACGATTTAATTTGTAATATTCCTTTATTTATTATGTTGTTGGGGTTTACTGGTCTTGGGACAATCCCCTTACTTTTTGCACATTTAGTAATGTATTTATAACTTTTTTGTTTGTTTGATTTTAATTTACCCATCATCGAGATGTTTGTCAGCGAGAGATCTTTTCAAAAATATGCAATCTATCATTTTCCCCAAAGCCCGAGTCTATGCTTGACCTCTTAACTTTTAAGAAAGAAGCGCTTCCTCTTTCTTTCCTTTCTCCTTCCTCTCCTTTCCCTTTTCCTTGGAAATGATGGCCTAGCTGGCACCAGGAAAGGGGTGGAGCTGAAAGGCTGCAGGACCAAGGAGGGCTGGCTACAGGGTGGGAGGCCCAAGGAGGCAGTGGTGCTGTGGAGGGGGGCAGTGAGACCAGGAAGTGCAACAAGGCTAGAGAGGCAGCAACAAGGCTGAGGACCAAAGAGACAGCTGCATGACCTAAAGGTTGGTGCAGAAGGATTGAACAAATAAATAAGTGTATTGCAAATAATGGAAATAAGTTTCCCACTGTCAAAGAAAGGATTACAAATATAGAAAGGGGGAAGACTAGAAAGAGCTCTAAGGTGTTAGAGTGGAATGGGAGATATCAGTGTGAACTCATGGTTTTTAATGGATATATAGATAAATATTGATGTATGTGTGTATAAATATATGTATATATATGCATACATGAATGATACCTTTTTAAAGGCTAAATATATATATGTATATATATATGTATATATATGTATATATATGTATATATATGTATATATATATGTATATATATATATGCACCACTCTTTTTATTCATTCGTCTCTCTATAGATACTAATATTGTTTCCATATGTCAACTATTGTGAATAATGCTGTAATAAACATGGAAGTGCAGACATCTCCATTTCCACTCAGTATCTTTGAGATAATGATTTCATTTACTTTGGCTATACACCCAGAAGTGGAATTTCTAGATCATATGGTAGTTCTATTTTTAATTTTTGGAGGAACCACCATACAGTTTTCCATAATGGCTAAACCAATTTACACTCCTATCAACAGCAAATAAGGGTTCCCTTTTCTCCACATTCCTGCCAACACTTATCTTTTGCCATTTCAGCAAACGTGAGGTGATATCTCATTGTGGTTTTGATGATGATCAGAGATGTTGAGTACTTTTTCATATACCTGTTGGCCATTTACATGCCTTTGAGAAATTATCTATTCAGGTCCTTAGCCCATTTTGTAATCTGTTTTTTGTTTTGTTTTGTGTTTTTTTGCTATTGAGTTTTTTAATTCCTTATATACTTTGGATTTTAACCCCTTATCAGGTGTATGGTTTATAAATATTTTCTGCCCTTCCCATATTGCCTTTTCATTCTGCTGATAGTTTTCTTTGCTGACCATAATAAGCTTTTTAGTTTGGTGTAATCTCATTTGTCTATATTTGCTTTTGTTGCCTGTACTTTTGCTGTCATATCCAAAAAAATCATTGCCCAGTCCATTGTCAAGAAGCTTTTTCCCTATGTTTTCTTCTAGTCGTTTATAGTTTCAGGCCTTATGTTTGAGCCTTTAATCCATTTTGAGTTCTTTTTTGTATATGGTATGATAAGGGTCCAATTTCATTCTGCATGTGGATATCCAGTTTTCCCAATATCATTTATCGAAGAGACTAGTGTGTGCTCTTCCCTTCCCTAGTGTGTGTTCTTGGCACTTCTGTAAAGATCAAGTGACTTTAAAGGCATAGATTTATTTTGGGATCCGTATTCTGTTCCATTTAGTTCATATGTCTTTTTTTATAATGCCAGTATCATGCCATTTTGATTAATGTAGCTTTGTAATATGTTTTAAAATCAGGGAGAGTGATGCTTTCAGCTTTATTCTTCTTGTTCAATATTACTTTGTCTATTCATGGTCATTTTGGGATCTATATGAATTTTAGAATTTTCTTCTATGTATTTAAAGATAGCCATTGGGATTTTGATAGGAATTATATAGAATCTGTAGATCACTTTGGGTAGTATGAACATTTTAACAATATTCTTTCTTAATCCATGAACTTGGATGTCTTTCCATTTATCCGTGTCTTCTTTAATTTCCTTCACTAATGTTTTACACTTTCAGTATACAAATCATTCAACTCTCAGGTTAAATTTATTCCTAAGTATTTTAATTTTTATTGCTATTGTGAACAGGATTTATTTCTTAATTTTCTTTTCAAATATTTCATTGTTAGTGTATAAAACTAAACTAATTTCACATTTTGATTTTTGTATCCTGCAACTTTATGGAATTTATTATCTAACAGTTTTATGTTGAGTCTTTAATATTTTCTTCATATACAATCATGTCATCTGCAAACAGAATTTTTCTTGTTCCTTTCTTTCAGCTTGAAATAAACTATTATACAATGTCACTTCTTCCTTTCTGGTTCAGATTTTTTTTCCATTTTTCTATTTTCAGATGTTTATTTCTATTTATTTGGTCTAATTGCACTGGCTAGAACATCCAGTACTTTGTTGAATGTAAGTGGTGAGAGTGGGAATCCCTGCCTTGTACTGGATCTTAGAGGGAAAGCTTTCAATTTTCATTGATAATGTTAGCCATGGGCTTTTCATATATGGCCTTTCTTGTGTTGAGATAAGTTATTTCTATTTTGTTGAGAGTTTTAATTATTAATAGATGCCACACTTTGTCAAATACTTTTTCTGTGTCTATTGAGATAATCATTGTTTTTTTTCTTTCATTTTGTTAATGTGGTGTATCACATTGATTTATTCATGCATATTGAACCATCCCTGCATCCCAGGGATGAATCCTCCTTGGCCATGATGTATAATCCTTTTAATGTGCTATTTAATTTGGTTTGCTAGTGTTTTATTGAGGATATTTGCATCTATGTTCATCAGTAAGTTTTCTTCTGGTGTCTTTGTCTGCGTTTAGTATCAGTGATGCTAGTCTCATAAAATGAGTTTGAAAGTATTCCCTCTTCTATTTTTATAAAAAGTTGAAGAAAAATCACCATTAATTCTTTAATGTTTAGGAGAATTCACTCATGAAGCCATCTGGTCCTATGCTTTTTTTTGTTGTTGGGAGGTTTTTGTTTCCCATTTCAGTCTCCTTATTTGTCGTTGGTCTGTTCAGACTTTCTATTTCTTCTTGATTGAGTTTTGTTAGAATGTATGTTTCTAGAAATTTATCCTTTTCTTCTAGGTTATCCAATTTGTTGGCATATAATTCTTCATATGCCAACATATGTTCCTTTTTTATTTCTGAGGCATCTATTGTAAAGTCTCCTCTATCATCTCTGGTTCTATTTATCAGTCTTCTCTTTCTTAGTCTAGCTAAAAGATTGTTGATTTTGTTTATTTCTGCAAAAAAAAATCTTGGTTTGTAGATTTTGTATTTTTTTCCATTTTCTATTTTATTTATTTCTGCACTAATCTTTATTATTTTCTTTCTTCTACTAATTTAGGGCTCAGTTTGTTCTTTCTTTTCTATGTCATTGAGGTATAAAGTTAAGTTATTTATTTGTAATCTTTCTTCTGTTTTAATGTAAACATTTAATGTTATAAATTTCCATCTTAGTACTACTTATGCTGCACTGCATAACTTTTGGTATATTGCATTTCATTTTTGTTCCTCTTAAGATATTTTAAATAGTCTTTTTTGATTTTCTCTTTGATTCAGTGATTGCTCAAGAGTGTGTTATTTAGTTGCCACATATTTATGAATGCTTTTATTTTCCTACTGTTGTAGATTTCTGGTTTCATTTCATTGTGGTTAAAAATAATACTTGGAATGATTTCAATCTTCCTGAATTTGTTAAGACTTCTTTTGTGACCTTACAGGTGGTTTATCTTGGAGAATATTTCTTCTGTGCTTTAGAAGAATGTATATTCCCCTGCTGTTGGGAATTCTATTGGAATTCTACTGGAAAATTCCACTGGAATTCTACTGGAAAATTCTACATATATATATATGGTATATTTCTGTGTGTATGTATATATACAACATATATACACATATATTTATATATACACACCATACATATACATATATACCATATATACCATATGTGTATATATGTGTATGTATATCTGTATATGTTCTATATATGCCATATATATACCATATATATGCACCATATATATACCATCCTTATATACCATATATATGGTGCATATATATACCATCTATATATACAGTATACATGTATACACCATATATACCATATATATGTATATATGGTACACATATATGGCATATATATCTGGTATATAAACTATATACATATATACATACATATATGTCTATATGTCATATATGTTTATACATAT
The DNA here is from genome assembly GCF_000001405.40 of Homo sapiens. Taxonomy (NCBI): domain Eukaryota; kingdom Metazoa; phylum Chordata; class Mammalia; order Primates; family Hominidae; genus Homo; species Homo sapiens. The sequence goes on from NC_000001.11 coordinate 76,849,881, forward strand.
GGTATATATATGGTATATATATGGTGTATATGTATATATGTTGTATGTGTGTATATATAGTATATATAAATATATGGTATACATATATATGGTGTGCGTATATATATGGTGCATATACTCATATATTTTGTACGTATATGGTGTGTATATATGGTGTCTGTGTATATATATGTACATATAGTCTATATGTATATATATACACACATCATATATTTATCTATATGTTATGGTGTATATGGTATATATGTATATATGGCATATATGGTATCTCATGTATATACACACACATATGATGCCATATATATGTATAGATGATGTTTCATATATGTGTGTATATACATGAGATGTCATATACACCATATATACATGTATACCATATACACTATATATACACAACATGTATCTATATGGTGTGTGTGTGTATATATGTATATATCACTTATGAGAAAAGATGGGCAAATGTGGTAAAGCATAAAATGTTAACAATTGGGAAATCTGAATAAAGGGATTTTGAAAATTTTTTTTAGTGTTCTGTTAGCTTTTGTATGTTTGAATTTTTTAATAATTTAAAAATGTACCCATGGATAAAATGAAAAAAAAACATGAAGTGACAATGAAACTGCAACTCACAAACACCATGACAATGCATTATCACTACAATCATCAATGTCACAGCAGTACCGGTGGCTCATCATGCTCTGTGACTGAGATAGGATAGATGGTGATTTGTGTGCAATTATTGGAGCCACAGTTAAAATTCTACTCCATTGTCTTCCATTCAAGGAAACAAATCAGAATGCAAATAGTCAAGATAGATTAAAGAAAAGTCAGCCTAGAATATGCTCTAATTCATAAAAGAAACAATGAACCTATAAACCTTGGCATTTCAACTAATATTAGTATCAAATTGTGCCATGATAGACAAGCATGTTAACCATTTTACAGTTGAGAACAGCTGAGTTAGATTAAATGGTTCCGTACCACTTGAATGGTAAGACTTCCTGTACTTCAAATTTTTTCACAGAATAGTACATGAAAGTAATTCCATGGATTTTTCATTCAGTCTATAGATGATGTTTGACCACATATGGATTCTTAGAAACTTTGTTTTTTAGACTGTCCAATACCCTTTGGATTCATATCTCACCTACTGGGAATTACCACACAAGGATAAAAACTCCTTTAGGATTAATTTTGCACTGACTCCTTGGTCTGATCTACTTGGAATTATCCAGACGCATCATACTGCTTGAGAAAGTCATCAGTTTACTCATGTCTTCCCTATGTCAGGAGAACTTATCTCTCCTCTTCCTGCTTGCTTTAAAAGCTTTTCCATTCTGATGTACTTAGGATTGTTAGATGCCAAATCTCTGATAAACACAAGACAAAATAAATTTTTTTTGGAAGGCTATAGGATAGTTCCCAAGATTGAATGAATATCAGAAGAACCAGGCTCAGAAAGGGCAGGAACCAGGTCAGCTCCAGAAATCCTATTGGAAAAAAGTGAAACATGAGTACTGCCACCATGGGGATGAGTCCACTTCTACCAGTCTTTGTTTCCATCTGTGCATCACTCTGCTCAAGCTCTTAAATCCTGGGGAGGGAAAGTGTGATTGGCCTAGGACATGTCGGCCCACTCATTGGCTAGAGGAGGGCAGGGCCCTTTGATTAAGAATGCCATCTAGCTGACACGAATGTGAAAGAACTAATGCCCCAAAAGAAAACCAAGAGAATAGATTCTGGGCAGCAAGAAAACTAACAAAACTTACCTCCAAAATGTTTAAGACTTAGTTCAGGTAGTATCTTTATCAGGTAAAATAAAAACATATCAAACCAAAAGTGTACTCACTCTCTCACCCCAAAATGAAGAATACACCAATGTAATATAATATGATTTTTTATTGACTTCTGTCCTCCACCCAGCTCCTATTCTAAAATCGGGCCAAACAAAAATTCTTATCTTCTTGAGAGGGGCGAGGGGAAAGGTCAAGTTAGAGAATGACTGCCTTATAATCATTTGGGACTTTCTTAGTTCAGCTTATAGGACATATTGTGTTAGTAATTATTGGTGTATTTCCCATACAACTAATAATTTAGGATATTTTATTTCATAATGACTGAAAGACCAACTGTTTTAGTTCATTTTTGCTACTCTAATGAAATAACCAAGACCAGATAACTTCTGATCAGAAATATATTGGCTCAGTTCTGAAGGCAGTAAATTCCAAGATCTAGGAGTTGGCATATGGTAAGGGCCTTCTTGCAGCATCATCCTATGGCAGGAAGCAGAAGGGCAAGAGAGAACAAGAGGAGGATGAACTCATCCTGTCATAGTAGCTCCATGCCCATCTATCAGGGTGGAAGCCTCATAAACTAATCGCCCCTTAAAGGTTCTACATCTTAATACTACTACAATAGCAAGTATATTTCAATATGTGTTTGGGAGGGGACAAACATTCAAACCAGAGCACCAAGTAATAAATACTATTTTTTCACCAATCTCAAAATAATATAACTTTTTTTAAGTTTCGGGATCCACTTTTCATGTTATGGTGCTTTAATGTGTGTGTGTGTGTGTATCTATATGTATATAAAGACACATGCATACATACACATATATATATACACATATGCATACATATATAGAAATATATAGACATATGCGTACATGTGCACATTTGTATGTGTACAGATATATACATATATCTGTGTATATATGCATATGTCTATATATATAGTCAGATATATATAGAGAGAGACACACGCGTATCTATCTATCTATATATGTCTATCTACCTATCTATCATCTCTACAGAATAGCAAGGAAGGGAATACTAAGGAAGGTCAAAGCTACACATTCTATGTTCTCTTACTTTGAATCATCAATTCAGTCATTGGGGTTCTCTGTCCAGTTAATTAATGCAGACTTTCATTATTTAGGGATTTGAACCCTTGGTGGATCTGCCTATGAGGGGTTGTAACAGTCTTCTGTTAAGATTCCATGCAGAGTCTACCATTTCCATACTTTCTTCTCTCTATTCTCACTATATAACAGCAACTCTATTTTGCCTTGCTACTCAAGTTCAACCAGCCCAGCTGAAATACAACTTCTTTTTGTGTGATCGCCTCGTGGCATAAAGAACAAGAAAGGCAAAGGGGGCACTGGCAGACTCCAATTTAAGGGAATAATTATTATGTCTCCTGGTAGAAATAGAACCCAGAGTCAAAAGGACAAGCAGCACAAATATTGCTAGGAGGTCATTAGATGCAATAATGCAAAACACCACTCCCTTCTAGCTGTCGGTTCCCAAAAGTTCACATCTTACTCATGAAGAGTAGTAGTAGGAAAACAATATTTATCAATCTCTGATTTATAGCAACATCTAGAAGAGCAAACCAGCTTTACAGGGTGTTGGCATCAACCAACAACAATAGTCTTCAATATTGCATTCCTCCACTGTGGAAGAGTAGCTGCTCGTGGGTGTTGAGGCATACAATGGTACCAGTGATTCCCAGGAGCATCAGCCCATTGCCCTTTATTCTGCTATGATTTGCATTCTTTAGCCCAACATTGCATAGACCACCATAATACTACATATGGCATTGGTGTGCCCACAGTTGGTGCCAGCATAGGCATGATGGGTGGGGAAAACAAATCCAAATCTTCTTATCAATACTATAATATAGGTATTCTTATTATTTCCACTTTACATATGAGGCAATTAAGACATAAGTTAAATAAAACTTGCCCAAGGTCACATAGTCAGTGGTAGAGACAGGATTCACATCACTGTCTGGGTCCGGTGGAAGATCTTAACCACTGGGCCTCTTTGGAGAAATTAGGTGACTCAACCAATGCAATAACCAAGACACTGGTCCTCTAATTACTGCTTTATCACTGTGTACTCTCTGCTATACTACCTGCTTGCTTTGTGGGTGCAGGAAAAACACTAAGGATTTATAACCCTAGAAGAGAAAGAGTAAACATTTTTTACATAACCATTGGTAGTGCTAAACATATCATGTTGTTTATCTTACAAATATGAAATGTGAAACCTCATTAATTTTTAAGTAGCTTAGATTTAGTAACATAGGTTTTCACCAAACAGAAGTAAACTGAAATCATTGTCACCCTCCTATGTAAAACCCTTAAGCAATTCCCCACTCACTTTAAAATAGTGTCCAAATTCCTTAGCCAGGTGAATTTCATGAATTGATCCCTGCCTACACCACCACCCCTACACCATCACTCCAGTCTTACTGCTCCTGTTGTATCCTCACTACGGGTTCCAAATATATGGAAACACAAACAAATTCTTCCATGTACCTGGGCATTTGTGTAAGATAAACCCTCTGCCCAGAAAGTTCTTCTATTTCTGGTTTAGGCCTCTGCTCTGGCCCCATATAGTCGTATTAACCATGTTTTTTTTATTTTGTTTATTTTGACACTTTGACATTTTAGGCCTTGCTGTCTCCCTGGAGGGACTGCCCCTTCAAGGGTTAGCTAATTCCTAGTGAGAGCAAACAACTAGCCTGGGAGCATGCCTTTGATATGCAAACTACCAATCCAGAGGCTGTACCCCCAACTGCCTTCTTTATCAGCTCTCATCTACCTGCCGGAATCACCCCAGGGCCAGGTACCAGACAACTAGAAACAGCCCTTACGCCAGAGACTGCTGAAATTATTCAAACTAGCCAATCCTAAATCTGCTCACTCTGCTTTGTCTAATCACAAGAAAGGCTGTTGCCCACATTGCCCCTTCCATCCTCCTCCACCCCCACCTCCTGATCGACCCTAGTGCTTCCCCACATGGCCTCTCATAGCACATTGTACCCTCTCCTCTTGAAGTTTCTGAGTGCAACTATTTTTTCTATCTATTCATCTCCTGATCTGTTGGCCTCATCATACCTAAATAATAACAAAAACTTTATTTTAAGATATGATGAGTTGATTGCTCCTGCTTTTTTGCTACCACAGTACCATAAAGATACTGCTGTTGTACTTTCCACACGCCACACAGCATTTCTTTATGGAACTGTCTCTGCTGATGGCCTATGAACTTTCTGAGAAACACTTCCATGTTTGTACTATCAGCACCTAGCCTACTGCCGGTCACAGCACAGGCTCTCAGTACATGCTTAATAGATTAATTAATTAAGTAATTATTCCTAAAAACCATGGCATGTCAAGTCGCTTCTATTCAAATCTCACTTTTCAGCTGCCCTGTCCATGTAACAATGCTTATAAATCCAGGCACCAAATTTATGCATGAAAAATTAGAACTCAACTCATTGGTACATATAACCAGTTAATATAAGTATGAAACAACTCCAACCATGGTAGCAAATGTCCAAGTCAAAAATAGGCTTTACAACTGGAAAATATTATTATTAGCTGCAAAAATGTGTGTAAAAGAAGTTCAGAGCAAAAGTACAGACTGTGGCTTTATTGCTTTAATTTTAAACTCTTCATCCCAACCCCATGAATCTGAGGGTTCATAAATTCTATTTGATGATAACTTACAAAAGGAAGAAATGGCTTCCATATATTTAAGCCCTAGATGTATAACAATACATAAATGGTAAATGATCTCACAGTATTTCATTTCAGCTACCATGTTGCTAAAGAGGGGAAATGACATGTAACTGAGGGCCTACTATGTGCCAGGGCCTGTGCTAGGTGTTAAATGAGTTATTGAGGTTAAGCCTCATGATAATCTAGCAAATTCAGTGCTGTGGCAGCCCTCTCCCTTCAAAGACACCACGTTAAATGAGCTCCTATCCTTCTACCTGATGTGGAAAGAGAAATAAATTTACATGTTAAGTTAGTCCTGGTTGGAAGGCAGTGGGAGGGCGGGACTGAAAATAGAGAATGAAACGATGCATATGCTTTACTGGAAGAGAAAATAGAAGCACCACCGAACATATAAGTATACGTAGGAAAAGATGCCAGTATCTGGGTTGAGAGGGTGCAACAAAGTAGTCATCCAAACTGCACACAGAAGGAAATAAGTAGGCAGGGTGGGTGGTGCGGGGACTTGCAAGTGCCAAGGTGACATAGAGGGAGGAGGTGTAAGGGTCTATAGCTGGGTTTCTGCTTCGATATCTTCAGCCCACACTAGAATTGTGTCTGATTCATTATTTGTACTCTCAATATTTGTTGAATGAATGAATGGATGAAACAATGAATTAACATTTTTCAAACAGTTTAAATTGTCATTTAGGCACAACCTTTAATGCAAAACCATCTGGTTGTGCCACTGACATACTTATGTGTGGATCTTATAAAAATGGGTCCCCCAGAAAACTGCTGTCATGGCTCTTGTCTGTCACCTTAAGAGATAACAGCTGTCTGTTTGTGGAACAAAAGGAGACGTAGTTACTTCTGAAGTGTCCATAAGACAGTACAAACAGAACATAATGTACAGGGATCCATCAGCCTGTTTTCACTTCTTTTTATTAATGTTTGCATTTCTCTCCCAGCATTAGGAAGTCTTGTTGTTTCCAAGGTACGCTTGTTTTCCAAGGAAGTGCCTCGGTGGCCGTCTCATGGGGCAGAAAAAGATCTGGGCTTCCTAATCCGATGTCAACCACAGCAGCTTCAATTTAAATTCATGTCATCAGCCTCCAGGTCAGAGTTTTACAATAATACTTAATATGATTTGTTTTAAGTTAATTATGTGCCAAGGTCCAAATTCTGACACTACCACTTAGTAACTGTGTGACCCTGGGCTTTAGTGTGACCTTAGGCAAGATGCTGATCTGTGACTCAGTTTTCTTATCTGTAAATGGGAGATAATAACAATACCTACCTGAAAGAACTGTTATGAGGATTAAGTATATGGAAATGCTATACCGTATACATTTTAGAAACTCTTCTCATTGTCTCATTTAATCCTTAAAATGGTCCCTCTGAGGAACTATTGCCACCTCCCTAGCATAGATGAGACAACTGGCATTTAGAGAGATTTAGTATCTTTTTCAAGGTCACAATCTATAAGTGGCAGGGCTAGGATTGAAACACAGACCTAGTCAACAGTGAAGCCTGTACCCATAATCTTACACAGAGGTAAAATGGAGGTAACACAGATAAAAAGACATTTGAAAATCACAAATTTAGATCTTTTGATGAGGAGGCAAGGTTCAAATTGACTCTTTAAATGAATGTTGACTTTTTAAAGTTTAACATTTCAATGCTGCTTAAATAAAATCCGCTATTTTAAATGGCATATGCAACATTTCCAAACAAAAGTAAGAAGACACCAGGATGATATAAATTAACGTGTGAAAAGAGGCAGAAAAACACATGTAGATCAATCATGCCTTTTACATTAGCAGAAATATTGCAAGGCCACTCAAGAATGCTTGTTTAAATTCATTTTGAAAACTCGAACTAATTTTCCTTCCTGCAGCTGCTACCCCTTATGTTGCACGCTCTACTAAAAGCACAAAAGAGCCTGCCTTCCTCAATGTGTGCCGTCATCACCCTTGACTCCCTGGTTTAGCCAGGAGCGCAGGGAGTTTACAGCACAGCTTCTCATTCAGCTTCAGATTGTTATATTGGGTCCTGCAGGGATGGTCCCTTGTCTTTAATATTTGGAAGAAATATCTGTTTTCTTTTAGAGGGAGTCACAGCATTTGCCCCTATTTATCTTTCCTCATTTTACTTTGAGACACTATAAATAATAAAATACAATATCTATTCCCAATGTGAAAAGCAGCTCCCCTTTCTGAAGTGTCCTGGTCTTCCTTCATAGTTGTTGGCCTATCCTCAAATACGCCACATTTAATATGCCGGTGGGGTTTATGAATCCCCAACAGAGATTAGGCATGCTTTCGAGAAGAAGGTGGAAGGGCTGAGTTCAAGCCCTGATGCCACTAATCGGATGGGTAACTTTAGATACGTTGCTTAGCTCTCTCAGTCCTAAGCTTAAAAAAAAAAAAAAAGTTAAAATGGTGATGATGATAATAATCATTCAGTTGTTCATTCACAGTCACATTTTCTAAGCACCTACTTTTCGCGAGGCACTGGAAAACAAAGGTGAGTAATAAAAAAATTTCTAAATGCAACTGCTCACAATCTAGATCAGGAGACAGGAATCTAAACAAATCAGTAATGAGAAAAAGGAGAAAGGCTGTGACAAGAGACATCTCTATTTGGAACATCAGCTGTGGAAGGAGGAGGAGGAACTGACCATTCCTAAGAGATACAGCCTTAGTTGGAAACCACACATATTTCTACTTCACAAGGTTATTGGGAGGTTCCAGTGACATAATGAATTTGATTCCTTTGAGAACTTTACAGAGTAATTTCCATGTGCAGCAGATGTTGTTGATGCCCCGCCCTCATCCCTGTGCCTTTACCACTTCAGTGCAAACTGGGGACTTTAAACTTCCAGCACCTGCATGTCTGCCTGAGGGATTTTTCCAGCCTCCAGGGCCCACCTGCTTTTCCACCTGTTCTGCCAAGGAATCAACGCCCACCGCCACATGCCCAGAGCAGTCCTCAACCAAATAAATACCACTACTCCCTCACCCCTCAGGTGGAATAACTGAGGCCTGAGTGCCACACTGGCTGCCAGGAGGTTCCCAGCAGGATTGAGCTCCAGTTGCCTATAGTAGTAACTTGTTTGATAATGCAGCATGAATTGGCCGCCTTCCCTTCCTGTGCCATTTCCCTACTCTCCCAATGGGGTTTCTTTCACCTGCCAAATATTACTGCACATGGATCCTTATCCTAGGGTATGCTTCTGAGAGAACTCAAACTAAGACAAGATGTAAGCCATTTTTTCTTCTTATCATGTATCATTTTGAAATTTGACCAGAATTATACACACCATTTTGCATGGAAAAAAGCACACTTTGTATTTATAAATCCTCTTCACAAAGTTAGGATTTAATCCACTTTAGCCATTGTAACATAATACCTGCCTAAGAATTTCTCGAATCCATCCCAAGCCAACACTGATCTGGCTGAAGCCTTCATCTCTCACTTGAATTTCTACAATAGTCTCCTAGCTGCTCTCTGACTCCACTCTTTCTCCCAACAAATCCACACTTCTCACTATCTATCTTCAGTGACATTCACCTAGAAAGAAATTCTGAGCAGACCACTCCCAGCCCAAATAATACTTTTATGCATATTTATATAGGCCCCTGTTACTTGCAACACTTTACTTTTATCTACTGGAAAATTGTTGTGACGCTCTGATATCAGGTAAAGCAAAATGCTTAAGTGTCATCTTCAAGGAAACTGACAGAATAAATACACGAATCTGCAACATGTACGATGGGTGATGCCTATTTAGATGTACATCCTCAGGCACTGCACATCCTGCGCAACTGTATAGACCATCTTGGCTCTGACAACTCCCTGCTTCACTCACGAAGTGCTTGTCTTTTCCCAGCACCTACCACGAGGCTCCATGCCTCTGTTTATGCTGTCCTCTCTGCCTGGAAACACTGACTTCTCCTGGCTTGCTTCTGATGTTCCTTTAAAACCAGCTGAGCATTTCTTTTCTGCCAGAGATTATATGTGAACCACTCTCACAAGGCTGCGTGTCCCTCTTCTGTGCCCCTTCCACTTCTTCGTTTGTAACTCAATCTTTACACTTAGCACATTGGGTTAGAACTATCTGCTTACATGGGCTTAATACCTAGGTGATGGGTTGATCTGTGCAGCAAACCACCATGGCACACGTTCACCTATGTAACAAACCTGCACATCCCACACATGTACCTGGAACTTAAAATAAAAGCTGAACAACAACCAAAAAGCAGTATCTGCTTATCGGCTTGTCTTCCTCAGTGAGGGCTGTCTTACTCTTCCTCGCAACCCCAACATTTAGAGGAGGGCTTAGCCTAGAGTCAGAACATTTTGGAAACAGTGGAGTGTGGAATGTGGAGTACGTGAGAGAAGGCTCTGCAGTGACACAGACCTAGCCAAATCTTGATCTGTCAAGTTCTGGCCAAGTGACCTTGGGCAAATGGCCTCACCTCTCTACATCTCCATGTCTTTGTTGGTAAGATGGAGATGACACCATTACCTGCCTCAGACAGTGACGGTGAGGGTGAAATAAGCTGCTGCCTGTATTGAGCACAGTGCCTGACAGCAGGCACACACGTCCATACTAACTCTTGTTTTTTATTATAAGCTCAATAAACATTTGAAAGATGAATGTGCCTCCCTTTATACCAAACAAGCAATCCCTTATGGCAAACCTACCTTTAGATGGACCCTTCTGTATACCCAAAATTGTGATGAACACTTTGCATACATTAGTATATTTTGTCTGTACAGCCACTTTGCTAGAAAGGTTTAATGACCAGCCTGTTACAAATGAGGAAATTGAGAACAAAAAAATCAGTGGCTTCTCTTGGTGGCACGGGAGTTAAGTGTGAGAGGCTGGGCCAAACCTGGTCTGCGTGATACAAGCTTGTTCTCTTAACCAAACTATGGAAGCATAAAAGAGGAGCCTCACTATTCTACTGGAAGTTGAGGAAGTAAGGGAGGCTGATGGAGGGGCACAGGCAGACATGAGGAGAGAGGAGGAGGTGGAGGGGTGGAGGGACTCCTTAGAAGACTCAATGAGTGTAAAGACTGTGAATTCGAAGAACAGGTTTCATGACTAGTTCCAAGGGTTCTTGTGTAGAAATTAGGAGGTGAGATTAAAAGGGAATGGTGAGTGCAAAGTCAGTAAGGATCCCGTGTGCTAAGCAAAGATTTGAGTCTTTTTTTTTTTTTGAGACGGAGTCTCACTCTGTCACCCGGGCTGGAGTGCAGTGGATCTCGGCTCACTGCAAGCTCCGCCTCCCGGGTTCACGCCATTCTCCTGCATCAGCCTCCCGAGTAGCTGGGACTACAGGCTCCCGCCACCATGCCCAGCTAATTTTTTGTATTTTTAGTAGAGACGGGGTTTCACTCTGTTAGCCAGGATGGTCTTGATCTCCTGACCTCGTGATCCACCCGCCTCGGCCTCCCAAAGTGCTGGGATTACAGGCATGAGCCACTGCGCCCGGCCAAGATTTGGGTCTTTATCTTGAAAACTGTATAAACCTTTTGAAAGGCAAAGGACACTAGAAAGACTGACCACATCAAGGGCTTGACAAGGATGTGGAACCAACTGGAACTCTCATTCATTGCAGGTGGGAATATAAAATGGTACAACCACTATGGAAAACTGTTTGACAGCCTTCTAAAGTTGACTAGATGCCTATTGTATGATACAACCACTCCACTCCTAAGTTAATAGTTTTGCTCGTAAGAACCCCAAACTGGAAACAAACTAAATGTTCATTAACGGGAGGAAGGATTTTTTTTTTAAATATTGCTGCAGTCACACAGTAGAATAGTATTCAACAATAAAAAGGAATAAGCTATTAATACACTCAACAACATGGATAAATCTCAAAAATATTATGCTAAGTAAAATAAGTCAGAATAAAAGGTATATGCTGTATGATGTCATCTATATTAACTTACAGAATAGGCAGATAAAACTCAAAACAATGTCTCTGTGTTTGCCTTTTGGTTGGAGGTAGTATGACTCGTAGGAAGTATGAAGGTATTCTCTGGAGTGGCAGAAATGATCTATATCTTGACAGTGGTGGTAGTTAAAAAGTGTATAATTTTGTCAAAACACATCAAACCATACACTTAAATTCTGCACATTTTATTGTATGTATATATCTTAAAAAATAAAAGTAGCAAAAAAAAGTACCTCATAAAATGAGGAACTGCCTTTGGTTATACTATCTAAAGGTTGGATTTTAACTATACATGCAGTATTCTTGTAAATCAGACCAATTTAGGGTTCAGTAGAACTTGGTTATTGGAACTCTCGGAAAGCTTCTATTCATTCTTTTGTCTTTGTTGCATTGTTGTTGAGACAAGGTCTCACTCTGTTGCCCAGGCTGGAGTGCAGTGGCCTGATTTCGGCCCACCACAACCTTGACCACCCATGGCTCAGGTGATCCTCCCACCTCAGCCTCCCTAGTAGCTGGAAATACAGGTGCAGACCACCATGCCTGGCTAATTTTTGTATTTCTTGTAGAGATGGGGTTTTACCTTGTTGCCCAGGCTGGTCTTGAACTCCTTTGCTCAAGCTATCCACCTGCCTCAGCTTCCCAAAGTGCTGTAATTACAGGTGTGAGCCACCATGTCTGGCTTATTCATTCACCGTTTAACAAAAATTTATTTGTTTTATCAAATGTTTATTTAGCCCAACGCTACCATCTACTATCTGGGTGACTTTGAACAAATGACTCTTTGATTTTCAGTTCACTCATTTGTGAAATGGGGATAGTAATAGTACCTACTTCATGAGGTTGTTGTAGGGACTAAATAAGTTGATACAAGCAAAGTTCTTAGAATGGTGCTGGTGCATAGTAAGGGCTAGCTAAATGTTAGTGATTAATATTATTATCCTCAGTTATGTGCCAGCCTTGGTGGATATAAACAGTAATAAGACATAGAAAATTTATAGTCTAGAAGAGAGGATCAACAATAAACATGTGAATAGATATGACTAAATCTGCTTAGTGCAATAATAAAATTTGAAAAGTGCTTTGAGAACATAAATGACTGTGTTGGCATGGAAGAATCCATTAAAAATGAAAATAATCAGCCACCTAAATCAAATCAAGTTCTGATAGTCATTTATTGTTTTTCAATACTGTGGTTACTAAGATTCCTCCTTTTCTTGGCAACTGAAACTTGCAACTCTCAAGGCTCAGGCCTGTGACCTCTTCTATTCTGTGGCTTATTCCTAGGTGATCTCATCCATTCCACTTGTGATACTCATTTCACATCTCTAAGCCCAACATCATACTGAACTGCAAGTGCCTGTGACATCTCACACTGATTGTGTCTACATCCAAATTCTCCCTCCACAGCCCCCTAATCCTTCTCTCACAGTGTTCCCCATACTGGAAATAGCAGCTCCATTCTCCAGCTGCCCAGTCCACAAGCCTTGCAGTTTTCCTCCCCTCCTCTCTACTTCTATTATAATGTCTCATACCCAGTAATCACCAAATCTTGAATTCAGTCACTTGTAAAAGTTCTATGACCTCCTTTCACCTAGACCATTGCAATATAGCCAAACTGATCTCCTTGTTTCCACTCTCCCTTCTCCAAAAGCTATTCTCAGCACAGCAGTCAGGTGATCTTTCCAAGGCATTACGGATCCATAATCTTCACCTGCCTTAAACCTTCAGGTGGGATTCCTTCACACCATCTGTTTCATGGCTGACAAGGTCCTAGATATCTGGCTCCAGACTGCCTCTCTGTCATCCTCCTCTACCACTCTCTGGCTCCCTTTATTCCAGCCTCACTAGCCCCCTTGCTGTCTCTCCAACATGCCAAGCAAGGTCTTAGGCAAGCTCTCTCTTGTCTCATGGTCTTTGCACGTGATGTTCCCTTTGCATGGGATGACCTTCCTCCAGATAGCCTCATGGCTCACTCTCTTACTTCACTCATTTATCTGCTCAATTGTTGCCATCCTAGCTACAACAGCTCCTACACTTCAATCTCTAACTGCTTCCCCTGCTTTTCTTCCTAGCATCTGACATTCTTTTTTTCTTGACACGGGGTCTTGCTCTGTCAGCCAAGCTTGAGTGCAGTGGCACAATCATGCCTGACTTCAACCTCGACCTCCCAGGCTCAAGCAAATCCTCCCACCTCAGCTTCCCAAGTAGCTGGGACTACAGGCATGCACCACCTTGCCCAGCTAATTTTTGTATTTTTTTGTAGAAACAGGGTCTCACCATGTTGCCTAGGCTGGTCTTGAACTCCTGGGCTCAGCAATCCTCCCACCTCAGCTTCCCGAAGTGTTAGGATTACAGGTGTGAGCCACCATGCCTGGCCCTATTGTATTAGTTTATCATCCTTGCTTAAATATAAACCTGATGAGGCAGAGTCTGTGTGTGTCTTATTCATATCTCCATGACCTAGAATAATACCTGGCACACAGTAGATGCTCAATTCATATTTGTTGAATTAATGAATGAGTTACTATCACCTTAGTTTATGCAGAGCTTCACAGTTTACAAAGCAGTCACATACACAATATCTTAATAAGCCCTCTAACGATTTGTGGTATAGGCTTTGTTATATCCATTTTATAGATATGTTGACAGTCCCTTGCTCAAGGTCACACAGCAATTAGAAGTAAAAGTCAAACTCTGGTGTTTTGCCTTCAAGCCCAGTTTATTAATCATAAATATAAAATACTATTAGCAATTTATTGGTGTTGTTCAAGACATTTGCATCTCGTTTAACCTTCACAACAATGCTTTGAGGTGGGTACTATTTTGCAGATGTGGAAACTAAATCCCTGCGAAGTAACATACCCTAGGTCACAGTGCTGAAAAATGGTAAAGTCAGAATCTGGGTCCTGACAGCCTGATTCCAGGAGCTTATTCTCAACAGATGGACCCACTAGGCCTAGCCTGTAAAATAAAGAGAGTTAAGGAAACTGCAAACATAAATGGACAAGAATCAAATTTGTTCCATGGGGACTTTCTGCCATTAATAAAATTTTTGCTCTTGCTTCATGTAGTAAAACTTTCTTCTTTTTCTTTGAGATCATAATGTGGAAAGCAATTGTATCTCAAATGCAGTTCATTATATTGTTTTCTGGTTTTTATCCATCTTTGAAATGTTTGAAACGTTTGTTTCTAAATTGAGAAGTCACTTAGGAATTTTAGGAATTGTGGGCAGAGCTTACGGATTTCCAGCAGTCTGTCTTTCTTCCTCCTTTGGTAGCTTTGTGCTGCCTTTTGTGGCATGAGCATAGGCTAGCGTTCCCTCTGAGCACGGATTCCACCTGCTCTCTCACCGCCCTATGACATGCCTTGTTTCATCAATTCTCACCTTCATTGTATCACATAACCTACATTGCAGAACACTCAATTTATTTTCCTTTCTTTTTTTCCTTTTTTCAAAAGGAAGAGGCTATTTGATTGGATGTGATGGCACCAGAGGCAGAAATGTGGCAAAATTTTAAATGGTGAGAAATCCATCTCAGCTACCTGGATTTTGAGAAACAAATTGTGATTTCTCGACTCACTTTGAATTGAACTGTGCAAGTTAGATGAACTAAAAAAGCTTCATTGACTTGTCTACTTGTCCGCTTGTCTCCAAGTCAGTCAAGTGTTTGTGAATGCTGCCTGTTTTCTACCCTGTATAATTATTCAAATGATTAACTTAAGGGTGAATATAAAGGTATATAAACATAAGTAGATGCCCTTGAAATAACAAAGCCCTCAGACCTTACATAAGCAGGCATTTAGAAGGTGAAAAACAAATCAGGTGTGTTGATTGTTCCTAAAGATTGTAACAGAAAGATTCTAAGCACTTACCTGGGAATATACTGTGAAGAGAGCATGTGGTCTATTGATCCAGGCATCCCTAATACCTGGCACATAGTAGGTACTCAACAGAGTAAGTGCTTAACATAGGAAGTGCTTGATAAATTTGTGTTGAATCTATAGTACTCTGTCTTTTATTGCCTAGTCATGAACTTGTCTCAACACACGTGCATACACACACACATATTAGGTTGTGAGCTCTTAGAGGAGAAGGTCTGTCTTATTCACCACTGTATTCTCTAATACAGAACCACCAAATAAGTGGCAATCATTAATGATCATCAAATTGAAGTAAATTCTATGACTTGTTTTCTTTATCTCGTTTCCCTCACCCTATCTTGTCCATTTGGCTCTCAAGCCAGAATGCCTGAAATGGCTGCATTAATCTAATCAAATATGTAAAAGCCAAGACCTTGAAATCTTTCAAATCAAGCTCTGAATTACATTTTTAAATTTACCCTGGCCATTTCATAAGTAGATTTAGCAACTAGCTAACTGCTATCCCAGGAGGGGAAAAAAAAACCCATAAGCTTAATGAATTTGGTCAGACATACAGTGTAACAGATGTCCAACATGCTGCCATGAACTTAAATCATAGATATGATGCCTCTGTTTGGCATGGCAAAATATATTAGAACTGTTTCATCAGTCACTGGGCAACTTGCTAGATGGAGGGGGAATAATCCTGAAAAATGCAGGAGCTGCTTCTAATAGCATCTAAAAGGATCCCTGGAGAAACACAGATAATCTGCTTGCAGTGATTCATCAAGTTGGTCCTTTGTTTCATTAATTTGAGTGTCAAGTGCAACCATACAATAAAGAATTGCCAAGACCTGGTAAGATTCTCCTCTGGCTGCTGCTTTTCCTGCCCTAACAACTGGTACTATTCATGCCTAAAGCACAAACTGAATAAATAGTTTCAAGGCTGGCAATGTTGGACAGTGCTTCCTATTTTGCTTTTCCTTGAAAGGCTAAATCGTGTGCTTTCTTGCCCTCTCCCAAACACGTTGCACTGATATTCATTATTGCACCAATAATTTTAACTTTCTTAATACTAAGTATGGAAGGATGCCTCATAAGATAAAAATAGTTCCTGTTGTATCATCAGTCCAGCAATAGATTAGGGAAGATTAAAAATGGATTGTAATGCCTTCTTTGGCCTTGAGAAAGCTCTTATTGTGCCCATGGTTCAGTAGGCCTGCTGATCATTTCCATCTTAATGTAATCTTTAACATTACACTGCTACAGGTGAGATGTTAAGTAATACATTAAGACAACTATTTTCACTGAGCAATTTCACAAGAAATATGTTTTTAGCTAAATTAGACATTTAACAAATGCCATTTGTAATTCAATGCAGAGGAGACAGCATCCTTAAAACAAGCTATTGATGTGACTTTCCCAACATAAAACAATACTTATGTTTTTTTAATTTTAATTGAAGTCCTGAATGTGAAACTATCGCCGTCAGTGCAGTAGACCAACGGAAAGCACCAAATACCTTAGGATTATGAAATAAGCCATATGCAGTTTTATCTCTAGCAGACAGAAATTCTTCATCCAAATTAGGAAGAATCTACAGGTCAAGTTAATCATGTAGCTGTGACGTGCTGAATGTTTTTAAAACTTTAAGATCATTTAGATGAACACTAGGAAACTCAGAGGTCAGGCAGAAATGTAAATTGTAATATTCAATGAAAATAATAAATGAAATAATTGAGATGAAATATTATCTAAAGAATGCATGAGAATAACTGAATCTGATAAAGTAAAATTAAAATTAAGAGAGAAGAGAAAATAAGAAAGTGAGCAATTGAAAAACGGAATAATAAATAATTTTTTAAGAAAAATAATTTCATCATGTATTTCTCTATGCTACGTACATAAACGCAAACGCTATAAATAGAGTTATTGACATTTGGGAGGTTGATTTGTTTTTATCAACATCGCAAAACAGAAAATTTAGGTTGCAGATTTTCACATGGCTATCACGTTCAGAATCCAATCAGGTTCTCCTTCTTTACTACTTGATGACTTCTTTAAAGATAAATAAGCCCGCGGACCAAGAAGTGGGTACACTGGCTCGGTTAACTCTCTCTCCCCAGAAATTTCACTACTGAAAAGATTATTATTTGGGGGCGGGGAAGGGGATGTAGAGGTCTTTAGGACCCAGCAGGCGGCGGCAGGCGGCAGTTGTGTAGATCGCTGAGAGACTACGAGGGTCCGGTTCAGTTTTAATTCTGTCTCTAATCTCTGCAACAGCCGCGCTTCCCGGGTCCCGCGGCTCCCGCGCGCGATCTGCCGCGGCCGGCTGCTGGGCAAAAATCAGAGCCGCCTCCGCCCCATTACCCATCATGGAAACCCTCCAGGAAAAAGTGGCCCCGGACGCGCGAGCCTGAGGATTCTGCACAAAAGAGGTGCCCAAAATGAAGACCCTGATGGTGAGTCAGTTGTGGCAACTCCACCGGGCAAAGAGGGGGATCCCCGGGCTCAGGGTCCACGGGACGCACCGTGGAGACTCCGAGACGCCTAACCCTGGGCCGCGAGGTCGCCTGTTACAAAGGGACAACTTTCTACCCGCTCCGCGTTCCCTCCCGATTCTCCAGCTCTGCCTGGCTCGGAATCCCAGAGCCAGGATGGGAACTCGGGGTTGCCTCGCCTCCTAGATCTCCGGCGAGAGGTCCGAGGGGGTGGCGGAGAGCTGCAGGAGCGATGGAGGAGTGGGCAGATTGCTCAAGGGATGGGGGTGCCCAAAAGCAACAGCCTGCCAAAAACTAAGAGGGACGGGGAGGGGGGACCTTTGCAGACTTTCTTCGTTTTCTTAGATTTCAAACTTGCAAGGATCGCAAGGATCCAGGGCCCCAGGAAAGGAGGGGTGTGAAGGACTCAAAATTCCAGCAGCTTGGCTGGGGTGGCTGCGCCAGACGGGCCCTTCCCCAAAGTGCAAACCCACCCCTGTCCTCGGCCCCGGCGCGCTCCCTCCCTCAGCCCGGGGCCGTACACCACCTGCCCTCTACCGAGAGATCTGGGCGGCGGCGGCCGAAAGCAGCGACGCGCCCGGAGCATCCCTTGCGATACGCTAGGGGACGGTGCTTTCTCTGTCCCAGTTGCGTGCGGCGGGGCTGGGGCCCAGGCCGCCCCAAATCTCCCCCACTAGAGTGACCACCGCACAGTTGTCCCCGCTGGGCGCGCTCCTCCGGTGTCTGCGCTCAGCCGCTCTCCTCTTCTCTCTCCCGCCCGCCCGCAGCGCCATGGTCTGGCAGTGTGTTTAGCGCTCACCACCATGTGCACCAGCTTGTTGCTAGTGTACAGCAGCCTCGGCGGCCAGAAGGAGCGGCCCCCGCAGCAGCAGCAGCAGCAGCAGCAACAGCAGCAGCAGGCGTCGGCCACCGGCAGCTCGCAGCCGGCGGCGGAGAGCAGCACCCAGCAGCGCCCCGGGGTCCCCGCGGGACCGCGGCCACTGGACGGATACCTCGGAGTGGCGGACCACAAGGTGACAGCATGCCCGCCAGCCCGCTCGCCACTCAGCCTGGGGATCCCGCACACCTGAGCCTTCCCCCTTTCCCGGGGCTGGGAGGCGCTGTGAGTAGGTGCCGTTCGAAGGCTGGAGGGGAGTGGACCCGCTGGGGTAGGGTGGGCTAGTTCCAACTTGGTATGAATTCTTATTTGGAGAAAGACACAAAGTTTTGTAGAAAATAGGGGTGAGGTGCGTGGACCCCAAAGCCTAATTTCCCAGCAGAAATCGGCCCTGGAACTAGAACTCCCTGATCCCCAGAATTGCAGCTGCGGATGGAGGTCCGGTTCCTGAAGCCTCGGGTTTGGCCGCCGAGTCGCTGCCTGGTGGGAGGAAACTGGGGTTGGCGCGGGTACCAGCCTGAGCGTTCCTCTGACCCGGAACCGGAGGGTGAGCGCAGCCAGCCCGCGGCCACTGCTCGGGATCCAGCGTTCCCCTCTGATCTCTCCAGCGCATTGCTTTGGGCTGAATTCTCTCAGCCCTGGGGAGTGGTGCCCAGGCAGGCATGGAAGACTTGAGGGACACACTCAGCTTCCATTGGTTTGAAACTCATCATTGTGAGCCTGTCTTCCTCTGCCTTCCGGGAAGCTGCTGCATGGGGTGGCTAATAACTAATAAGATGAATTTTTTAAAATTGGGCCTCCTTTCCCTGGAATAATAAATATCTGGTTTCAGTGTGTGAAGCCTCTGGGAGAATCCTAATCAAGTTTGCTGATTCTGAAGATATTTTAATACAGTTTAAATGTATCCGCCATTATTTGAAGCTGCTCGTATGTTTTTATTAAAACACAATTCCACTCTCTATCTGCTTTATAAAGCTAGAGGATTTCTTGAAATCTCCCAATTATTCTTTTTATTTTACTAAATTTTGTGGTTGTGAACCGAAGTAATATATAGTAGATGCTCCTTTTGTGTGCAAAGGTCACTCTAACCATGCGTGAAAAAGCCAAACTTTTTAAAAAGTGGCATTCAAAATATTGCCACACACCTGTTTAATGCATAATGCTAAGGATTTGAAAGGTATAAAAGAATTTAAGGCAGGACCCAGTCTTACGGATCTTTAAATACCTGAGGACAGAACAATATACCATGAAATGTGTGTAGATGGATAAACCAATAGATAAAAATGTGTAATAAATGCTAGATATGAACAGTACTGTAGGGGTGCAAAAATGAGAACGATGACTTCCCTGGAAAGATCAAGGAAAGCTTCTTTGAAAAAGTGGAATTTTGCAATGAGAAGAATTCAGGGAAGCAAAAAAGGAGGAATCAATTTCATTAGGAAGTGATTATTTATTTATTTATTTATTGTTGTGGCAGGAGCAGGGGTTGGGGGGTAGGGGTGTTAGTAGACTTAAAATCCAAAAGCAGAAGGCTATCAATTTTACAATTACAGCTTTTGTTTCCGCTCTTAGTTGTTGATTGATTACATGCTTTGTATCTGCATGTGCAAGCAACCGATAAGGGCTGGAGTTCTAGGAAAGTTTAGACATTAGCTTCTGACTGTAGATGGCTGTGGTGTTTATGTGTAACTGGTGTATGATGGATATACTGAGATCATGGATTTCCATGGCTATTGTTTGGTGGAAATTACTGTCTAACACTTGTGAAGCTTTGATTAATGGCAGCATCAAAAGGTAAATTTGCTGAAAGTTTTGATCAGCTTTTGGGAAGAGATTTCTAATACTTTTCTTCCTGTGTTCTTCTGCTGGACAGACACCAGCTAAGAATATTGAGAGCTTAATGCAAAGTATAATAACCTAATGCTTATGTTCAAAACAATGTTTATTGACCACAAATATGTTTGATTTCAATTTTTGTTTATCAGAGCTTTATTTTATTGAAACAAAGAACAGTCCTTTTCAATTTGGAGGGCGGGATGTTGATACCCTACATGGGAAATTGAAATGATATGTAGTAAAAGGGTTTTACAAATTGTGAAGTGCTATATGAATGATAAATATTGTGTGAAAGTCATTGGAATTCCTAGTAGAAGAAGGTCTTTGGAGATAATTATGAATATCAATGAAATTATCTCATGGAACACCAACATCTCACAAAATTCTATACCCAAAGGTTTTGAGGGAGTTCACGTCACCACAAGCAAAGGAAGAAAGGCATATCTTAAAGTCTATGTCTTCTGTTTAGACATTATCCCAATTGTCCCACTGAACTAAATGTAAACTTCTCAGAATGCCTTAACTGATTCTCTTTACCGCTACTATTTATCTGGCTGCAAATTGGGCAGAGTTCCCTTACAGATGGTCATATGAAGGTGCATGTGTAAAATGTTGTTTATGTTCTCTCCAAAAGTTCCTGTTTAATTAGGTTTATTTGATATCTTCCTATATTCTTGCATAGGCAGAGGTGGAAGACATTGTTAGAATATTGCTAGGAATTTTTTTCCAATTATGACAGGGGAGGGTAAGAAATGAAAGCCTTTCTATTCTTATTATATTGCCAGATGATACTCGATTGCTAATTTTTTTTTACCCTCACATCAGGCCTCAGGAAAATGATGGAATATGCTGGATGTGATGACCACCAAGCCATATGCTGCTGCGTATTGAATCAGAATTCCAACAGCCTTTTTTATCTGCCATTGTTTTACATAGTCTGGAGAGAGTTACAGATATTATTTAGGAAAATGTTCACACCTCCATAGCTGGAGGCCCCAAAGACTGATAAATATGTAGTGTATAAGCTCAGTTACATGATGTTGTTAACATTAACAGTTCCAAGATTAAATTCAACAGGTGGTCCTAATCCCCAGCACCTGAATTTCACAAATTACAGCCTGTCTGCAATGATGGTCTTGTCTCATATGGCTGCAGACTGAATTACTGTTGAGATTAAATCACTGTGTGCTTTTGTTGAAATATATGCTGCAAGTCAAGTCAGTGATGAGCGGCATGTGTTGAGGCTTAAAATATCACTTTTCATGGTCATATTCTCTACTTCCTCTTTCACAAACTATGTGAGCTGCAATTGTAATTTCAGTATCACTAAATGAAGGCTACATGGAGTTTCTTGTCATAATGAAGGCATTTTCTGTTTGAGTCTTTCTCTTCTTTCCCAATCCCTTTCCCCAGACCAATTCCCACAAATGTTCCACCAACTCATTTCCATCGTGTTACATGTCTGTGTCTTCAGGTACTATATCTGTATTCTAACATTACTCTCTCAGTCCCGATTTGTGGAAGCCAATGATAACAAGATTGCTTAGGTACAACTGAAGAAGCCAATTTTCATGGCTTTGGGAACCTTCTGCATTTAGAACTGTAGCCTAATGTATAACCAAGCTAACACACACACACACACACACACACACACACACACACACACACACACACACCACACACATTAAATCAAGAAATACTCAGAGGAAAGCTCCAAGTCTTATAGCAGAATGGAAGGGAACATGGAACACAGTTCAGTTTCCAGTCTGGATCTCGTCTGGGTAGATGAGGTCATTTGCCATCTGGTAGACCCTGTGAAATGAAACCGTGAGCTAATTCCCATTTCTAGAGGACAGGCTCTTATCACAGAAGGCCCACTATCACCCAGACTGCCCTTTACTGAAATGGCTTATGAAAGGGCGGTGATCAATGGGGTCTACAGCTAAGCAGCTATCTCTTTGCTTCAGAAGTAGCCCCCAGGGATGGATTTTACACATACCAATAACATACTTGTCCTTGGTTCTTTCCATTTTTAGGCACTCAGTTATTCAGACAAATCAAAATTGCTTAGTGGTAATAGTACTATTACTATTAACTGGTAACTATCTGGTTGGAGTGGTAAGACAAGTGAATGCAAGAACTGAAAAATAGTCATCCAAAACCGGAATTTGGATAAATGCCATCTAACTTATTTTAAAATTATGGGATGAGTATTCCCCTTTTAGAAAAGTATATAAATTATCAAACACAAGTTTACATAATTTATTTGACCACATTTTATGACATTTGAGTTGTGAATGAATGACTGAAATGAATGCTAATCATTTGAATCTCAAGGAAATTCAAAGTGAGCTAATTTTCAATGCTCAGGTATTATAAGATGTAATCTGCCAATGATGATGAAACCCTGTTACCACAAAGCATCAAACCCCCAAAATCAGAAAAAGAACACTATTTTGTGGGTGAGGAGTTGCAATAATGTAGTCACTTTTAACAGGATAAATGTTTTTTATAACATTTATTAAAATACTTAACCTTCCTTAAATCTGTGACAGCCAGGATAATTTTTCCAACTTCCCACATGGGTAATTTCAAGATATCACTATCCTCCTGTAAATGGCAGATGAGTTTGACCAGGCTCACTCTTAAATTCCAGGCATGCTGGCTTTCCTGCTGATCTGTGAACATTCATTCTGCCTCAGGACCTTTGCACATGCTCTTCTCTCTTCCTGGAAAGCTCTTCCCCAAGGTCTTTTGCATGGTTGATTCCTTCTGGTCATTCAGTCATCAGGTCACATGTCATCTTCTTATGGACCACATTCTTTAACTAGCCCCTCCTCAACAGTCATTCTCTGTCATATTAGCCTGTTTTATTTTCCTTATAACACTTAACAATATCTGAAATAATCTTAAAGTTTATTTGTCTATTTTCTGCCCTTCCCCCAACTAGAATCTAAGTACTGTGACAGCAATGTCTTTGTACATCTTGTTGACCAGTTTAACCCCAGGACCTACAACAATATCTAAAATTTAATGGGTACACAATAAGTATGTATGGAAAGAAAGAAGGGAGTGAAGGTGGAGGAGAGAAGGACAGACCTACTTACCTATGTCAACTTTTTTCTCTACAAGAATCATCATTGCAATCTCAAGACCCTAGTATGTCTCATTTTTCCAAAATTTGTTCTGCCCACAAAAGTAATTCTAATAACAGGGAGGAAGAGGAGGAAATGATTTAAGAGGAAAGACAAAAGAATCTTTGGGAATGAGATTTAGGGGTCCATGTTTAATAAGCTTCCTTTTTAAATATTGCACACATTAAACTTTGAGAAACACTGTTTGAAATGTTTTTAATCATCACAATGTGTAGTTCTGTAGCTAATTCATTTCTAGGTTTTTGAACTAATCATAGCCCTTGGTAAATACTTGTTGAAGGCCTAGTAGTTTCAAAATTGAGCATTCTGGAGGAAGAACACAATCCCTACCCTCAAAGAACCTTTGATCTAATCGTTGCAGAGAAAAGACAAAGAAGCAAGAAAAGTTCAATAATAAGGCAAGCACTGAATAATAATTTGAAATCAGGAAGCAATAAATCAAGGCACTGACTCTAAAAAGGAGATAATTTCTGTGATCTTTCTCCATCTATAAAACAAGTTAAATTCTATTATTACCTTAGAAGTTTGTTAAGCTTTCAAACTAATATTCCACTCTTTATTAGCCTCATATCTCTTCATGCATGTGTGCAGGGTATCCAATGAATAATTACTGAACAAATTGGATATCAAAGCAACTTCAAAGTGGCTTGATTTTAAATTCAAAATATTGTCTCTTTATGATTTTCCTCGGCATGACATAGGGTCTTCTGCACTTGTTAAGTTAAACCTTCTTGAATGTCTCTGTAACATATGGTGACCACCTTAACCAAGCTAAATCTCATAATTCATTGTACTAGTCAGGGTTCTGTAAAGAGATAAAGCTAATAGGATATTATATTATATATATGGGAGTTTATAAAGTATTAACTTACACGATCACAGCTTCCCACAATAGGCTGTCTGCAAGCTTGAGGAGCAAGGAGAGTCAGTCTAAGTCTCAAAACTGTAGAATTTAGAGTCCGATATTCAAGGGCAGGAAGCGTCCAGCATGGGAGAAAGATGTAGGCTGGGAGACTAGGCCCATCTCACCATTTCACATTTTTCTGCCTGTTTTATATTCGCTGGAAGCTGATTAGATTGTGCTCATGAGATTAAGGGTGGCTCTGCCTTCCCCAGCGCACTGACTCAAATGTTAATCCCTTTTGGCAACACCCACGAAGACACACCCAGGATTAATACTTTGTATCCTTCAATCCAATCAAGTTGACACTCAGTATTAACCATCGCAAGTCCACCCCTTGTCAACTTGAACCCAAACACATCTCCTGAGATCATACATAATCTTCAAATAAAGACAATAATGAGGTCATAATAATGCCTAACATAATAAAACTATCCTTCATACAACTGGAAACACACCAACCCCCAACCCAAATACTATTACAAAAAGTTATCAATACTTAAATGCTGATATGCAGTCAATACATCTTATGTCACATGATAAAGGAAAAGGAAACAAAATTAAGATATTTTCTTAGTACAAGTGTATACATGCACAAACGTTTTTAACAGAAGAAGGAAGAAATACTCATGACAATTACAGTCCTCGTTTCTGCAGCTGCTCAAGTAGCTAGTAATGATTACTACCTTCTTCTACTACTCATTGTCTTCCCTTTGCCTTCAGCAAGCACCTCAGCAGGTCATGGTTTTTTTTCCTGGTGGAGTGACCCAAGCCTTCATTCCTGAGGGGTCTGGGTCACTTGTAGTCCTACCTGGATTGGGCGGTTGTAATTTCCCATTGACTTTAATCACAGGGCATGGTAATAACCTAATGGACACCCTAAAGGATCTCCCGTATCCCATGCATACTCTTTCTTACCTCCGTTGTGGAGTAGTGGACTGATTTCATCTTGATAGTCTGGGTCAGTCACCCCAGCCAACACTGTAACTCCCTTCTTAGCCTGTTGACTTAAAGGTAGGAGGAACCCAAGGTGTCCAGGTGGCAATCTTAACTCTCAGTTTAATGGAATCATTGTTGTGTCTCCAGATGGCAGCGTTCCTCTCTCTGGAGCTAAGACCTCTAGGACAGCAGAACATTATGTTGCAGGAACAGGAAGCAAAACTTTTGCTAGTGGATCACTAGGGGTGATGGTGAGTGGTTCCGCTTCCACTTCCACCTCTTGATTCCTGGACCCGTGCATCCTGGCTATGGGAGAAACAGTACCATATATTGGACACTGATGCAGAGCATACATCCCTGCCACCATGGCCTTCTGGAGAACTTTGCCCCAGCCCTGCAAAGTACTGTCACCTAGTTGGCATTGTAATTGTGACTTCGAAAGGCCAGTCCACCGTTCTATAAATCCAGCTGCTTAAGGATGATGGGGAACATGGTAAGACCAGTGAATTCCATGAGCATGAGCCCACTGCCACACTACTTTAGCTGTAAAGCAAGTGCCTTGGTCAGAGGCAATTGTGTGTGGAATATCATAATGGTGGATAAGGCATTCAGTGAGTCCACGGAAGGTAGTCTTGGCAGAAGCATTGTGTGCAGGATAGGCAAACACGTATCTGGAGTAAGTGTCTATTCCAGTTAGGACAAACCTCTGCCTTTTCCATGATGGAAGAGGTCCAATATAATCAACCTGCCACCAGGTAGCTGGCTGATCACCCCAAGGAATGGTGCCATATCGAGGGCTCAGTGTTGGTCTCTGCTGCTGTCAAGTTGGGCACTCAGCAGTGGCCATAGCCATGTCAGCCTTGGTGAGTGGAATTCCATGTTGCTGAGCCCATGTGTAACCTCCATCCCTGCCACCATGGCCATTTTGTTCATGGGCCCATTGAGCAATGACAGGGGTGGCTGGGGAAAGAGGCTGAGTTGTGTCCACAGAATAGATCATTATTAAAATCCTCCTCTGCTGAAGTCACTCCATGTGAACACTCACACGGGATACAAATATCTTCACATTTTTTGACCCCTCAGATAGGTCCATCCACATACCTCTTCCTTAAATTTCTTTGTCACCAATTTTCCAGTCGTGCTTCTTCCAAGTCCCTGACCATCCAGCCAAACCATTGGCTACAGCCCATGAATCAGTATATAATCTCACATCGGACCGTTTCTCCTTCCATGCAAAGTGCACAACCACGTGCACTGCTCAAAGTTCTGCCCACTGCGAAGATTTCCCTTCACTGCTGTCCTTCAGGGATGTCCTAGAAAGGGCCATAGTGCTGCAGCTGTCCACTTTTGGGTGGTGCCTGCATAACCATGCAGAACCATCTGTGAACCAGGCCTTAGTCTTCTCGTCTCTGTCAACTGATCATAGGGAACTCCCCATGAGGCCATCTGCTGGGCTGAGGGAGAGAAGGCAGGGTGGCAAGAATGGAGACCATGGGCATTTGAGCCACTTCCTCATGTAACTAACTTGTGCCTTCAGGACCTGCTCAAGCCCGATCACGTATACACCACTTCCATTTGATGATGGGATGTTGCTGTGCAAAACCCGCTTTTTGGCTGGATGGGCCAGAAAACACTCAGTTCATGATAGGCAATTCAGTTTGCATGGTGACTTGATGACCCATAGCCAAATGATCAGTTTCCACCAAAGCCCAGTAACAGCAAAAGGAGGGTAATTATCTGCAGATGGCAGGGCCTTGCTCCAAAATCCTAGAGGCCTCTGCGGTGATTCACCTTTTGGGCTTGCCAAAGGCTCCAAATAGCATCCCTATCTGCCACTGACACCTCAAGCACCATTGGATCTGCTGGGTCATATGGCCCAAGTGGCAGAGCAGCTTGCACAGCAGCCTGAGCCTGTTGCAGAGCCTTCTCCTGTTCTGGACCCCACTCAAAACTGGCAGCCTTTCGGGTCACTTGATAAATGGGCCAGAGTGACACACTCAAATGAGGAATGTGTTGCCTCCAAAATCTAAATAGGCCCAGTAGGTGTTGCTTCTCTTTCTTCATTGTAGGAGGGCCCAAATGCAGCAACTCATCCTTCACCTTAGAAGGAATATCTCAACAGGCCCCTCACCACTGGACCCCTAGAAATTTTACTGAGGTAGAAGTTCCCTGAATTTTAGTTGGATTTATTTCCGATCCTCTGGCATGCAAATGTCTCACCAATAAGTCCAGTGTGTTTGCTACTTCTTGCTCACTGGATCCAATCAGCATGATGTCATTAATGTAATGGACCAGTGTGATATCTTGTGGGAGTGAAAAGCAATCAAGGTCTCTCTGAATAAGATTATGACACAAAGCTAGAGAGTTGATATGCCCCTGAGGCAGGACAGTAAAGGTATATTCCTGGCCTTGCCAGCTGAAGGCAAATTGCTTCTAGTGGGCCTTATGGACAGGAATGGAGAAAAAGGCATTTGCCGAATCAATGGCTACATACCAGGTATGAGGAGATGTGTTAATTTGCTCAAGCAATGAAACCACATCTGGTACAGCAGCTGCAATTGGAGTCCCCATTTTGTTAAGTTTATGATAATCCACTGTCATTCTCCAAGATCCATCTGTCTTCTGTCCAGGCGAAATGGGAGAGTTGAACAGGGATGTGGTAGGACTCACCACCTCTGCATCTTTCAAGTCCTTGATGGTGGCACTAATCTCTGCAATCCCTACAGGGATGCGATATTGTTTTTGATTTACTATATTTCTAGGTAGAGCCATCTCTAATGGCTTCCATTTGGCCTTTCCCACCATAATAGCCCTCACCCTACCAGTCAGGGAGCCAATGTAGGGGTTCTGCCAGTTACTAAGTATGTCTATGCCAGTTATGCATTCTGGCACTGGGGAAATGTCTACAGGATGAGTCTGGGGACCCACCAGACCCACTGTAAGTCAGACCTGAGCTAAAACTCCATTAATTACCTGACCTCCATAAGCCCCTACTTTAATGGGAGGACCTCAACGACATTTTAGGTACCCTGGAATCAATGTCAGCTCAGAGCCAGTGTCCAGTATCCCCAAAATGTCTGATCATTTCCCTTTCCCCAGTGCACAGGTACCCTGGTAAAAGGCTGGCGATCTCCTGGGGAAAGGATGGGAAAAAGAGTCACTGCATAAATTGTCAGTAATGTAGTGGGGTCCTTCCTCAAGGGGATCCAGGCTCCCCTTCATTCAAGGCGTTCTGGGTCTGTAAACTGGCTCAAGTCTGGAAATTTATTGAGGGGACAGGATTCTCTGTTTTTACAATTCAAATTAGTCTTTTGTCCATTTGACTTCGAAGTTTTCTGCTTGTATAAATTAAGTAGAAATGCAGTAGGCTTCTTATCAATTTCACTTCTAGGAACACCATGATTAATTAGCCAATGCCAGAGCTCTACATGAGTCAGGCTATTCTGATTGCTGCTTTGCCTCTGCTGTCCATTAAGGTAGCTATGCCCACCTTGCCTTTGACAGTTGAGTGCCATCACTTGGCCCCTGCCACCTCAGGATCCAGTTATTCCCACTGTATTTACATTTTGTAGTTGAGTGACTTGGTTCCCACTGTTAGATCTGACATACAGAGAAGACCAATTATAGGACTCTTCAAAAACATAAGTGCTGCCCTCATAAATCTATTTCACAAGGCATTGATCAAGGGTATGTCTTCTGGAACCTCCCAGCTGGGATGAGTATGTCTAAAGTGACTAATCCACTCCACCATCCCAATCTCCCTAAGCCTTTGGGTCCCTTCCTCTACATTAAACCAGGGGAGACCAGGCATTTCCAGCTCACTCACAGTGAGTCATCTTTTAATTCATATTTCATCTAACCAAGCAAATAAACTATTAGAACCTTTTTTTAACTCCCTGAGCTGCAGTATTAAAAGCAGAGTGGGCCCAAATCAATAAATTCAGCCTGATCCAACTCTATGTTCCTTCCACCATTGTCCCATACCCTTAATATGCATTCTTATGCCTGTTCTCCAGAATGCTGTTTATATAAATTAGAGAATTCAAACAGTTATTTTCAAGTGTAGCACACCTCCTATTGGGTCACACTCTCAACCTCATCTCTAGGGGTCCACTGGGACTTTAGTCTAGTTACAGGTCTAGAAGCAAACAGGGGTGTTGGGGTGGCTCCTGAGGAGAATCAACATTATTTGGCCTGGTGAGTGCCTCAGGGAGGCCATCACTGTTGCCTCAGGCAGCACAGGGTTTATGTCCTCAGACAGATGTGGAAAGGCTATGGCAGTGTGGGTCAGGGAGGAGATGTTGCCACTACTGGGGATGGGGAAGCTGTTCCTTCTGGCAAAAAAGGTCCATCAGAGTTTACAAACTCAGTATCCCCAGCTTCATTAGGGTCCTCCACACATCCCATTCCAAGTTGCAGGGTCCCATTCTTTTCCAATCAATGCCTTTAACAGTAGACACTGGGTGAGGCTGTGCATGCACCTTTTGTTGCAAGTCAGCCACTTGCACGATAAGAACTTGTGTCTGTTTTCCACAATTTCAGCTCTTTCTCTACGGGAGATAAGACTCTCACTCAGGGCAGTCTTATCAGATTTAAGGCTCAGTATCTGCTTCTGAAGCCAGGAGACAGAATCCCTGAGTTCATCATTTTCTTTCATCACTTTGTCCACTGAACTTAGGACCAACCAGCTTCATTATGTTCTTTGGTTCTCCACATATGGTCAAAGGTATTAGGTATAGTCACTAAACTCCTTGCCTCTTAGGAGCGGTGAATCAGGAGTGTCAAATGCATTTATTTTGCATAACTCTCTAAACAGTTTATGCCAAGGACTATCAGTGTTTTCCATAGTATTAGAACTAGAGTTCTTGGCATTTTGGGGTCTAATCATATTAAGCAGCCAACTTCCCCAAAACCAACAAAAGAACTCCATCCTTAATATTCAGTTCCTCTAGAACCATTCCTGCTACAAAAATCTGTATTAGTCAGCATTCTCTAGAGAGATAGAACTAATAGGACATATACACATAATACTTAATAGTTTATTAAGTATTAACTTACACAATCACAGGTTCCACAATAGGCTGTCCACAAGCTTGAGGAACAAAAAGAGCCAGTCCGAGTCTCAAAATTGAAGAACTTGGAGTCCAGTGTTCGAGGGCAGGAAGCATCCAGCATGGAAGAAAGATGTAGGCTAAGAGGCTAGGCCGGTCTTGCCAGCTTTGCTGGAAGCTGATTAGATTGTGCCCATCAGATTAAGGGTGGATCTGCCTTCCCCAGCTCACTGACTCAAATGTTAATCCCTTTTGGCACACACACACCCAGGATTAATACTTTGTATCCCCCAATCCAATCAAGTTGACACTTAGCATTAACTATCACACTCATGCTATGGTGAATGTGGATATAATTGTGTTGACCACAAGACAGAATATTTGCAGTCAGGTCTGTCTTAGAAACATGATACCTATTATAAAAGAGAATTTCCGTAACCTGTAGGGTGAAGTGTCAGTACAATTTCTGCTTTGCAAATACTAGGATTATGGAAGATTAAATGTGTGAAAGGACTTTGAAAAATTAAAACATATCATTAATCAACAAGTCATTCCTTAAAACCTCTTATTCACCTACTATATACTCTTTGGACAGCTGTGTAGGGTCTTAAGTATAGAATGACAAGGAGTGATTATCTCTTAAATAATATTGTCATCCGTATCCCAGAACTTGATCCAACGGAAGAACTCTCATGGGAGTCAGTGAATTTATGATCAAATGATTGGTAAAACTTTTGGGGGGAGGTATGTGCATTTATGAGATGTGTTCAAATTCTTCTCCATAAGCTCCGAGTCTTAAACACTTAGTCTGGGCCTGGGACAAATAAATATATTTATTGCCTGTTCTATTCAATATGTCTTTCTAAATAAAAAATCACAGGAATGCATAGTCTCAGCATAGACAGCCCATCTGCAGTGAAACCTTCCCTGACTTATAGCCCAGGTTTGATCTGAGCTGTATGTTTTGTCTTCATAGCTGAGATCCCATGACAATACTTATTCCACTTTATTGTTATTTCTTGTCTAAAATTGTCTGCCTTCCCTACTAGACAACCAGCTCTTGGAAACCAGGCATTTTTTTTTCTCTCTTTTTCTGTCATTGTAGTCCCAGCCTTTAACATAATGCCTGGCATATAATGAGTCTTCAATAAGTACTTGTTGAATGAATGAGAATATCTACATAAAGATTTTGTGTTTCTTCTAAAATAAGCCTACCTCAAGAGTTTCTAACCATTTGGAGTTACTGAAAAGGAATAGCTGCAAGTCATAAATATCAATTCCTCCTGCCACAATTTGTAGGCCTGTAACTAATTCATTTCTATCTTCTTGTACTAATCAGATCTCTTAAAGCATACTCAGGATTTCAGAGCTAGAAGGAAAACTTAAGAATTATCAAAAGGAATTCCAGAGTGGTTGTGTGATTTGCCCAAGGCCATGGGTTAGTGGCAGAGCTGGGGCAAAATGTCAGTCTCTGATGTGAACATCATTACCATAAGAGAAATTCAGTGCCAACATCTTCTAAGCAGTGACTCAACATTATTTGGACAGAATTTATTAAAATGAAGAGCCTAGGCCTACCCAGTTATTGAAAAGGAATAAATATTTAAACATCTTATTATTCTGAGATGAATATGAGAATATGCCTCTGGATAGTTAAAAAGAGTCTTCCACCAACCACCAACTTTGCAAATGGGTGTTTCAGAGACCACACATAATGCATGGTACTAATTAATTGAAACAATTTTCAAACCAGAGTAGATTTTTGCCTTTAAAACATAAACCAAGCCAAAAGGAGTGTCATGCTTAATTATCTGCATAAAATTTTCTGACCAGAGCACTCATTTAGCTGAATTACCTTCTCCACAGTGGAGAAGAAAACATCATCAGGAGACTTAGTTAACCAAGTGTTTGAAGAACTACCATTCTGCAAATATCATTGACTCCCCCCAAATTCTGAGATGTAATACTTACTCTAGGATGGAATTACTTTAGGCAAATAAGAAAGCATTTTACCTATCATAGGGAAAATTAACCCTGATCATTGCTACAGCTCTTGAAAAGGAAACTTTTTTAGTATATTCACTCTTAATGGCTAAGGAGGTGTCTGTAGAGTTCCTGGGAAACTGCACAGAGTCTGAGTATTCTCTGGCAGACTGAAATGCAGTGCCAAATAATTTTTTAATAAGAAAGCATATTCTGGAAATTAATTGCACATATGAGACATCTCCATTGACTGAACTGCAAACATGATTGCATTTCCAACTTACAGATCTTTTCATGTTCCTTGCGTGTTTCCTATGGCTTCCCATTGCCTACAGGATCAAGTTCAGACCCTCAGGAAGGCTTGCAAGGCCCAACAGGATCTTGCTGGCCTAATTCTCC
The DNA here is from genome assembly GCF_000001405.40 of Homo sapiens. Lineage (NCBI taxonomy): Eukaryota > Metazoa > Chordata > Mammalia > Primates > Hominidae > Homo > Homo sapiens. The sequence continues at coordinate 76,882,871 of NC_000001.11, forward strand.
AACCCTACCCCCACCACTGCCCTCAGCCTAGGCACTACGCACCCAGGGATACCGCTGCCCTCAGCCTAGGCACCACGCACCCAGGCACCGCACATACCTTGCTGTTTTGTTCTTGTCTGCTTTACCTTCAGCACCTCCTTTCTAAAGTTTTCCCAGATACAACATCTATGCAGAGTATACCCAACGTTCTCTTATGTCAGCCACACATCATTCAGTCAATCACATATTGACTGAGTAGCTACCGTGTGGTAGGCACAAGGGAGGAAACAAGATAAAGGACCTTGTCCCTACCCACAGGAAAATCAGTGGAGGAAATAAATGTTATAATTACTATACCTTGGTAAGTGCTAAAATATTCTCTGTATCTTACACATGCTTCTGATCACACAATATTGCAATCATTTTTCCACATGCAAGTCTCCCTGACTAGGTTTTACCTTTTTGAGGCTAAGAACATAACTTATCTTGGTATCCACAGAATTGAAAACTGTATCTCAGACATATGAAAGCTAAATAAATATTTGTTGAATGTTGGGTAGGCAAAGTTCTATTTTAATTGTATGTAGTATGAAGAAATTTGACCAAGTCTGGCTAATAGACTATTAATTATAGGAATGGACAGAAATGATAAGTAAGGGCAGAAGGGCTTCAGGTATCTGACATACACATCTTTAATTTCTGTTTCCCCTTTGAATACAGAGCAACATCTCCTGACCTTTCCAGAACAGCTGACCAGATGTGGAGATGCAATGATGCCCATATTTGAAAACAGTATAGTACCATGACAGGCAGGCAGGCCCAGGCTATTTATTTGTTGTGAGCTCTTTGGCATGTCATAACTTCTAGGCTTGATCCAGTTTATAGAAGAGAAAGTTAAACTATATTCATTCATTCCCTCATTTATTAAATAATATTGTGTTTCTACCATATGCCTAGCATTGTGTTCAGGACCCAGGAAGCAAGGAACAATGAATGAGATGTGATCCTCAACTCCATGAAACTTATATCTGTTGGGAGAGGGAGAAACACACATAAAATTTCAGTGCAGATTTGGAGAAGTATTATGGGCTGTGGAGATTGGATTTTATCCTGAAAGCATTGAGGAAGTCTTTAAAAGGTAAATTAGAGGAATAACTCCATCAGATATGTGTGCCAGTGGATCACCCTGGCTTCAGTGTGGCATGGGTTAAAGTAGCCATAGGTTGTAGGAAGAGGGACCAATTAGCAGACTGTTGCTTGGTTTGAGTAAGTGGCACAGCCAGAGGATGATGAAGAGACCTCAGGTTTCTGCCTGCCTTAAGTTTCTATGATTGGCCACCCTCCTGTGTCTGTGCAGACAGTCTGAATGCAGATTCTCCAACAGAAGGTTTGTGGTTCAAGATTGCCTCACAATTGCTGGTAAAGAGAGCTGAGGATGATCCCAGATGGCACTTCAACTTTCTCTAATTTTGAACCTTGCTGTGCACCTGAATACCACATACTGACTTGAGCAAAACAGTAGTGTTATTGTTAGGGCTGAAGCAAGCTGTTTGTCGAGACTCCATAATGCATATTGGTGACAACAGGAATTAAACTCTCCACCTGCAGGACAGCCAGCCAGTGGGGTGTAGAATAAGTGTGCTGGCAGAGACTTTAGTATGTAAAAGTGCCGCAGGAAAAGGGGGCAAGCTTTATTCTAGAAGAGTCCCATTCAAACCATAGCAGATAAAGATATTATAATTAGAACCAGAACCAAGAATAAATACTAGAGTAAGAAATGACACCAGTTTGCTTCTTCCCAGTATCAGAGAGTGTCTCTTTCTGGCTATATGGACATGAAATTTTGACTGGGTTCCAGAAAGGCAAGAAAGGGTGGTTTGTCATGGGCTTTTCAATGCCTACGAAGGACTCAAAGTTATTTGAGATATTACATTTGAATATGATTTGATGTGCTGTTTGATAAAAGAACATCAATGGGCAAAAGAATCACTTAGTCAAAAATAAGTTCTTCTGACTAGGACTTATGACAACTAGGGAAGAGTAGTAACCAGGCTTTTTTCTGGAATAAGAACTATGGTGTCCCTCTATGATGAGCAAGATCAGGTCCTCCAAGGAGTTATACATCGCAATACTGACTGGTCTGACAAGTAAAAGACCATTCTTAGTACCCCCACAGAGCATGCTGATGGTATCTCAATCTTTAGAAGGTTTAAAGGATGGGATGGCGCCAGACCTTACTTTATATCTCTTTCAGGGTTTTGTGCCAACCTATGAACACCAAAACTCAGCACTATTTTATGCAAACTATGCCTGTAGACCATATTTAAGAGTATGGAATGACTTCTCTCTGGAAAGAGTTTCCTCGCCTCATCCCCAGTATAACATGTCGAAAAGAAATAAGGAAGAAGAAATCCAGGATGCTAGTTTTGAAAATGAAATTTTGTTCCCTTCCCAATTTTAAATGCAGGTATACTCATTGTCTTCTCGAAATGACAAAAGGAAAAAAAAAAGAGGAAAGTTACAATTATTCATAAATCTACCAATAAAATGTAATTACTGTTGGTACATGAATGTATTTTCATACAATCAACACGTGTATACACGACATTTAAATGTACTTCCTTCTAGTTTTTTATTCATCTATGTTGGATATGTGGGGTTTATGTGTACATTGATTTAGCAGTGCACGTGATCAGTGGTTTAAAGGAGGGGATGGCTTTGCTGTTAGATCCCAGTTATAAAGACTTATCTTGTTTAATAGTTTGAAACCAAAATCTATTTCAATTAGAGTTGGAATAATTAGGAAATAGTCTTGATACTTACGCTAAATTATCCATTTACTAATCCAGAAGATATATTCATCCCTCTAGTAGCTTAAAAACCCCTTTCTTTCCCTGCTGTTTACAACCCTTAGCACTTTTCAATTGTGGCATGCTTCCATCTCTTTCATCCCCCACCTATATGCTCAGACACAGAATGTGTTCAGGCAATTTTTAAGTTTTGTAAATCATTCCCAATAGTCCCTTAATCCTTCTTGCCACTTTTCTCTAAATCCCTTTCAGTCGATCAGTAGCTACTTGGAGGGTATGGCCTGCGATAACCTGACACAGGCTTCCAGGACACTGTTAGAGGTGATCGCCATCTTCATGGGCAGTGGGGCAGTCCTTTGTACATATGCAGCCTCACGTTTGCCTTTATTTTCCCGGCTTCTGCTCCGTGATGCAATTTCCTGTCCATAAATGGTGCAGATCTAATTCCCTGACCACCATATAGTAAAGGTTTACTTTGACATATTGTCCTTCCTAAAAAGAAATTTTACTGCACAGTTATAATTATCACATTTTTCTTAATTAGCAACCTCTTCTGATTTCTTTTTCATCTTCTAGTTTTATAAAACATTTTCTTTATCTTATTTTAACCCAACTTACTGAATTCTATGACTATTTTCTTAGTTCCTTTTTTTTGTACTTGATAAGATCTCTGAGCTACTCTTTACTGCTTAGATTTTTCAAGTATATGGTATTATATCTTGATTTTGGTGTAATCTCAGAACTCCAGCTATTCTTCCAGTCTATGGGTAGAATAATTATGTCATTAGAGACATTGGAGCCTGCCTCTCCCATGACGGCCAGCTGGCAGGGGATATATATTATATGTCTTGGTTGATGGCTTTCAAGTAAAAGGGTGAATCTGCGAAGACCAGTACTCCTTGCCAACAAGCTCTTTATAAAATCAACTATTTCATTTTGCCGCCTGAGCTCTCCTTTGGCCGTTAGATTGAACAATCACTGGATGTTTCCTAAATTTGTCATCACCCCAAACGGAGACTCTGTAATATTAAGTAATAACTCCTTATTCTCCTCTTCTACCAGTCCCTGGTAACTTCAATTCTACTTTCTGTCTCTATGAATTTGGCTGTTCTAGCTATTTCCTATAAGTGGAATCATTCAATATTTGTCATCTTGTGTCTGACTAATTTTATTTAGCATAATGTTTTTTAAGGTTCATCTGTGTTGTAGCATGTATCAGAACTTTGTTCCTCTTTAACACTGAATAATATTCCATTGTATGGCTATACCGTACTTTGTTTTTCCATTCATTAGATGATGGACACTAGGGTTATTTTCACCTTTTGCCTATTAAAAATAATGCTGCGATGAACACTGGTGTTCCCATTCATTTTGTAAAGTAACCCCCTCTTTTTTCTTCCTTCTCAGCCACATGGCAGCACTTGAGTCTCCAACTCTCATATCCATGGAGGCCGTGCTACTTCCAGCCGTTCCCACCTCCACACACAAAAGTAAAATAGAAATTTCTTTATAAGGGAGAAAAGAAGCTATTAATTGCCCTAATTGTATTTCTTTGTTTAAAAATTATATATGTTTTTGAAAAATATAGAAAAAATAAGAGAGGGGAAGTGTTCCCATACTCCTACCACTTTGGTGTAAGTAATGATATAATTTTGGTTTATTTCTGTCAGTTTTTTTGCATTGCATTCTTTTTCAGACCTAAATGTGAGCATGTTATGGTTCAGAAGTCTAAGTCTGTTTTTGTTTTTGTTTTGCTGAAATTAAAATAGCCATTAAGATTTCCTTTGGTCAGTGTTTGCCTTTTATATCTTTTTTCATCCTATAATTTTCAGTCTTTCTGTGTACTTATATTTCATATATGTCCAAGTCTGCTCCTAATATTTGCAGAGCCTGAGGCAAGAGTACAAATAGAGGCCCACATGCATTCTAATTGCTTTATTCAGTAATTATATCTTCATTTAGGAAAGATTTTCAAATTACAAAGGCCTCATCTGACCGATTCCAGTTACAAATTAGATCAGAATAATTCTCTTGCTCATTTTTATTATTTTGGCTAGTAATTAAATCCTCATTAAATATAAAATGTGTTGTTTGAAAATTTTTTATGATGAATGCTTGACAGAGATTTACCCACTTTCATTATTTCTAGTTTTTAAAAATGTCAGTAGACTGCTTATTTGTGTATTTTATTTTTTTGGCTTTTTTCCTCCTAAGATTTTTTTTCATAGGTTCTCTTTTATCATAATCTCAAATTCTTCTCATTCTATTTCCCCTCCCACCATACACACTGTGAAGCAGTGACTAGCTCCTTCTTAGCTGCGGTAAAACCTGCAAATCTTTACGGCATTTGAACACAGTGACCATTTGTTTCAAGGATTTAGGGCAAGGAAATGTGGAGAAGTACTTTTTCTGGAATGTGAATGGTATTAGACACAACCGTGGATGTTTAGGATTATAGATCATGCTGTGACAGAATGACAAAGGTGTCAATGTGGTCTTTAATATAATTTGTGTGTTGGTGGTATGATGTGCCATTTAAAGCAGCGCTTCTCAAACATTAATGGTACATATGCATCACCCGGAGAAGCTTCTTAAAATGCAGATTCTGAATCTTTAGATCTCGGATGGGGCCTAACAGTCAGCATTTCTAACAGGTGCCTGAGTGATGCTGTTGCTGTTGGTCCGAGATCCATCTCTTGAGTTGTAAGACTCTGAAGCATAGGACCAAGATCAGGGGTCTCTCTCATCTGATATTAAGAGTAGTACTCTGTATGTCCTATATGAATACACTATAGCTGGAATTGATTTTTAATTTGAAATTATAATCATCGCCTTTTAAGAGTCATGTTTAGTTTATTTACATTTATTGTAATTTTCTAAGTTATTGATATATTGGGATTTTTTCCCTATTATTTAAACACTGGCTTTGCATTTTATGCATTCTGTGCTTTGGGCTTTTTTTTAAAACTCTCCTTTTCCCCTGGACCATTTTTTCCCCTTCTTCTTATTCCATTTTTAGCCTGTATTAGTTTAAAAATTAAATGCTTGATTTCTATTCTTTCAATGTCATTCTTAAAATTTTAACATGTATATTACCAAAGTCCTAAATGAATTAATTTATTTTTAAATGGCAAATAAAAATCGTATATATTTATTGTGTACAGCATGATGTTTTGGTATATGCATACATTATGGAATGGCTAAATCAAGGTTAATTAACATATGTATTGCCTCACATACTTATCTTTTTTTGTGGTGAGAGCACTTAAAATCTACTCTGTTAGCAATTTTTAAAATACAAAATATTGTGATTAACTATAATCACTGTGATGTACAATAGGTCTCTTGAATTTATTCCTCCTGTCTAATTGAAATTTTGTATCCCTTGACCAACATCTTCCCAGTCACACCCCCATCCCTCTGGTAACCATCATTCTACTCTAGTTGTATGAGTTCAATTTTTTTAGATTCCATTTATAAGTGATTTAATTAATATCTTTATCCTCTTTCCAGATAATTCAAGGACCTTAGCATTTTAACTCTAGTCAACTGTAATATTACATTCCATCGTATTGCAGTATTTTAGTCTTCTTCTATTAAGCCTTCCAAATTGGATATTAGCATTATTGTGGTTGTTTCACATTAGCATTATTGTGGTTGTTTCAGATAGTCAATATTGATGCAGATTTACCTGAATATTACCCATGATTACCATCATTCCTTCTTTCTACTTAGATTTCCATCATCCTTCTTCTTGAAATATAATTTTTAAAAGGTCCATTGAAGAAGTTCTGTTGATGGTAAATACAGTTTTACTTTCTTTGAAAATATCTTTATTTTGCCCACATCAGTTATTTTATTGTTCAGTATTAAGAAAACCTAATTCCTGTGTTTTCTTCCCATCATTGTTGATATTGAGTTGTGTGCCATCAGGCAAATGTCATTACTTTTTAGATATTCTAAACTGTTGTTTCTTTAAGTAAGTACATTGTCTCCCCTTAATCTGTTCTCTTCGTAATGTTTTATTTATTTGTCTCACTATAATGAATTCTGGACAGTTTCTTCTGGTCTTTCTTTCAGTTTGCTAATTCTCTATTCAGCTGTATCTAATCTGCTATTTAATTCATCCATCAAGTATTTTTTCCTTAGTATTTTGTTTTAATAATTTTATTTACTATTTCTAGATTTTTTTCTAATCATCCTGGTCTTTGTCATAGTATCTTCTTCTTTATATACATTTTATTTATGTATCTGATAACATTAATAACTTAAACCTTTGTAAGTTATAAGTATGTTTTTAGTTTTTGTGCTGATTTTGTTCAAATAAACATATTTTGTATGTGTGTTGTTTGTGTTCTTGCAGATGTGTATGTTTATCATCACTCTACACTCATCTGGACTATATCTTTGGGAATTCTTCATGTCCTATATTGAAAATCCACTTCTTCAAAGAAAGATTACATTTGCTTTTGCCAAGCCCCTAGAAGCCCTACAAACTAGAACTAAAGCTTTACTAAAATAAGCCTAGACCTTCTGCACACATGCCAATAGTATGAATGCAAATCACAAATCTACATCATTTTTATGAATTCTAAACTTTTATGAAGCAGAGAATTTTTTTTATTCTTCTTCACCCAGAACCAAGGACAAAACAGACAAGTTTTCTTTTACGTTCCCTATGCTTGCTGGATTTTCTCTTTCTAGTTTACTCATTCCTTAGGGTCATGGTTTTTCAGGTCTTCCCTCATTGCTTAGGGTCAAGACTGTGCCCCTTGTCCCTCCACATGGTTGTTGAAATGCAAAGCTTTAGGTTAAAGGATCAGCAGTTACCCTTAGAGCAGCCACTGTCTGCAATGCCCATTCATTATGCTAGATTTTTACTTCAGTTTTTTTTTTTTTGAGCTCTGTGGAGTTCTTTTACTTAACTGTTAACTTGCTTAATAAAAACAGATTTAAGAAACATTTTGAATGTTTAAATACCAGCTTTTCTTGGTATTCTATAATGTGAGTGCTTGTATCAATTACAAATTTTAAAATATTATTTGTAAATTAAGTGGTTACTATGGTTAATTTAGAAATGCAGAAAAATAGAAGAATAAAAAATTTTAGAATTTTGTAAACTAGAGATAGCATAACCATTATAAACATGTTAGAATTTAAGATTTTTTTCATATACATTTTTACATAAATGAGATTACACTACATTTATCGATTTGAGCATAAGATATTCTCAAGTGAGAAAGTGAATGATTATATTGAGAGGTTGGCAGCAAATAACATCAAGTCTTTCCAAATGAAAACCTCAATTCTCATATCATTAAATATAAATTTTTCAATGTAGTAATTATTCATCATGTATATTTTTAACAATAAAACTTCTATTTGTGGAAGTACAAGTTTGTGTAGGGGACACATGTTTTCACTTCTCTTGGGTATATACCTAGGAGTAGAATTGCTGTATCATATGGTAACCTGAGTCTTAGCCTTTTAAGGAACAGCAAAATGGTTTTCCAAAAGGCTGTACCATTTTACAGTCCCACCAGTAAGAAGAGGAGAGTAGGACACAGAGACCACGTGAAGACACTTTGCCAACACATGTTATCATCTCTCTTTTTAAATCTTAGCCATCCTATCAGGTATAAAGTAGTATCTCCTTGTAGTTTGAATTTGCATTTATTTAATGAAGCATGATGTTAAACATGTTTTTATGTGCTTATTGTCTATTTGTATATCTTTCCTGGATTATGTCTATTCAGATTCTTGGCCCATTTTTATTGGATTGTTTTTATTTTTGAGTTGTGTTTTTAATATATTCTGGATACAAGTTCATATAAAATACATGATTTGCAAATTATTTTCTCCCATTCTGTGGGCTGTCTTTTCACTTTATTGATGGTGTTCTTTGAAGCACAGAAGTTTTTAATTTTGATGATGCTAATTTATCTATTTTTGTCTCACTTATACTTTTGGTGTCTTATCTAAGAAACTGTCATCTAATCCAAGATCATGAAGAATTATTCCTATGTTTTCTTCTAAGAGTTTTGTAGTTTTCGCTTTTACATTTAGGTCTATGACTCAGTTTGAATTAATTGTATACATGATGTGACAGAGAGGTCCAGCTTCATCTCTGGCATGTAGATATCCAGTTGTCCAAGCATAATTTGTTGAAAAAACTCTGCTTTCCCCTATTCAATTGTCTTGGCATTTTTATAAAAAATAAACCGCATATCTATGTATTTTAAATTCAGTTATATATACTGTCACTAGCCATACCAGGCATCATATGTACTTACAAGCTTAAGACTAGCATGGAAATGATTATCACGGGCCATGGCAAAGAATAATGATCTGCTATTTCCAAAGATTCTGTGAAGATGACTGTGCAGCCGAGAATTTATTTGGTTTATAGAGACTAAAATTCCGTCTGCTTTGTTCACTATTGAGTTAGTAGCTAAACAGTTGTAAAATTTCTCAAGTCTCTCAGAGCTCACACTTGCAGGAAGCTTGATTTCACAACTTGTACATGACAGTCTCACATAAAAGTACTCTCGTGAGAGTGTTACTATGGACAGAAAAAAAGACTATACCTCTTTTATGACTGCTGTTGTTATTTAGGGCTTCTTTTTTCTTGATGTTGTTTCAAAAGGTTGCATTTTGCAATAAGCAGCAACACCTTAAGATAGATCTTAAACAGAACCATGTTTAAGGCTTTTTTTTCTCCCCTTTAGTCACAGTGATTTTCCATTTGCCCTGGAAGGCATTCAGCATTACTTGTAAACAGCAAAGATAAATGTGGCTTCTGATATTCATCTTTATGAATAGTCCATATGTTTATAAATAGGAATAGAACAAAAAGCACTGTCCCAAACTTTCCTTTAAATTCTAAACATCTAAATGTATTTTAAATATTCCACCCCAATTAATCTCACTTTTAAATAAAACATTGCATGTCTAAGGTGGAAAAACAAAAGACTCTTCGACAATGCCACACAACTGCATATGTTTGAAAATAGGGTGGTCACTTTTAATTGATATAGAGGAAATTTGGGAAAGAAGAAAAGTAATCAACTTTCCTATATCTGGAGTCCTTTAACCAATAAACAGACAAACCAACATAAAGCACACATGGTAAGCTCAGCACACATAACTGAATTTCTCTTTTTACGTTTTTGCACCTCAGCCTGTCCAATTGTGCAAAGAAGGGGAGGAGGATTAAATATGCAACTGAGTAGCCAGGGCCTCTAGCTGCTGGTAGTTCCTCAAAGCTGTACATCCCTCCCTCACCATAACTTGTTTGTTCTCTCCAGCAAATACCATTTACTAGGGTGCCCAGATTCACCTCTGTAGGCCCAAGACTGTGAGGTTCCTAGACAACAGGATTTTGCTCTGAATATCATCCATATATGCACTCTTTAATTTAACCCCGTCTTGGCAGGCATAAGGAGTAGCACAATGAAAAAATGTAGATCCTGCCCCCAACAACTGTGTAAGCTTAGGAGACCAGCACTCAGAAGAAATTTTAGCATAGAGTAAGTGCACAGTAAAAGTTTGTTAATAAGGAAGGAAAGAAAGAGGAAGGGTGTGCAGGAGGGAGGAAGGACAAATTTGGATTTCATATGTCATACCAGAGAAAGATGGAAGCAGCATATTGAGATATAGAAGTGGTGTAAAAGACAAGAAGAAATCAGTTTAAGAAGGCATAGGAACCAGAAGTGGAAAATTAGGGTATAAAACTTAAGTGTCTTTGGAGACAAACTGGATTTGAATCTTAGATTTGCCATTTGCTGGCAGTGATTTTGGGCAATTTACTTAATTATATTTGATCTTCAATCCGCTGTATAATGTGTAAGGAGTAACTATCCACGTCATTGGAATTATTAGGAGGATTTAATAAGATAATAAGTTTTACCAATTTAGCACAATTCCCAGCACATAGGAAGGACTCAGGAAATATTAGCCATCAATAGAAGACACTATCTATTCATTTATTTACTTTTATTTACTTATTTATTTATTTTTGAGACAGAGGCTCACTCCGTCACCCAGGCTAGATTGCAGTGGCGCGATCTCGGCTCACTGCAACCTCTGCCTCCCGGGTTCAAGCGATTCTCCTGCCTCAGCCTCCTGAGTAGCTGGGACTACAGGTGCGTGCCACCAAATCCGGCTAATTTTTGCATTTTTTGTAGAGACAGGGTTTCACCATATTGGTCAGGCTGGTCTTGAACTCCTGACCTCGTGATCCACCCACCTTGGCCTCCCAAAGTGCTGGTATTACAGGAATGAGCCACCGCGCCCAGCCTAGAAGAGACGCTCTTGATATTCAGGTTTTCTTTAACCCTGAGATGTGGCCATGGCACACAAATGTAAACATTTTCAAATCAGTCCCAGGTGGTAGGCTTCTAGATTTTTGTTTTTTACCTTTGAAATCGGTTCAAGACAATGCCATTATGGAAAGCCTCTGCAGAAGAAACTATTTTTATTGTACCAATTGCCTTTCTAAAATCTGTCAAATCTTTTAAGTTTCTCCCTTGACCTTTTTGGAAGCTTAAACAGGAACTGAATCATCATAAAATTTTTGAAATTTGCCTTGAATCTACTTTGGAGCTGCATGAATTGAGATCTCTTGGTAACTGACCTTGTGTTGACCCAGATAGGCCTGTTGCAGTGTACGGCATGTACACCGCACACCTGCCACCACCCCTGTGGCAGCAATGTTTGCGAGCCTGAAGAGTTTTGTGTGGGGAGTTATGACAGAAGTCAGCCAAGTGTAGGTAATGATGTCAGGTAGCATGGGAGGTTGGAGCGCAGGAAGAGGCAGGGGGGGGATCTTTAAGCAAGGAACCCTTGTATCCAGCTGTGCCAAATGGGCCTTCCCTGAGGACTTGATAGGCACCCTATTGCCACTTGTAACTCAGCAATTGAGGTCACAGTCAAAGAAAAAAACCTTTATTTTTCACAATGTCATCTTTCAGCAGTACAGCTTCATAAGTGAAGATGGTGATGTTCCAACAGTTCATCTAAACTCTTTAAAATCCTACCAAATACGTTGCAGGTGGTGGGTATGTAGTAAAAGTGGATAGGAGGAGGGTAAGTATTGAAATCTGTTTGAGATATGAAATTACATGAGTAAGGTTTGGGGTTTTCACCACAATTTCACTCGCGTCCATGTGAAGAGACCACCAAACAGGTTTGTGTGAGCAATAAAGCTGTTTATTTCACCTGGGTGCAGGTGGGCTGAGTCCGAAAACAGTCAGTGAAGGGAGATAAGGATGGGGCCATTTTATAGGATTTGGGTAGATAAAGGAAAATTATAGTCAAAGGGGGGTTATTCTCTGGCGGGCAGAGTGGGGGTCACAAGGTGCTCAGTAGGGGAGCTTTTGAGCCAGGATGAGCCAGGAGAAGGAATTTCACAAGACAGTGTCATCAGTTAAGGCAGGAACAGGCCATTTTCACTTCTTTTGTGGTGGAATGTCATCAGTTAAGGCAGGAACCGGCCATCTGGATGTGTACGTGCAGGTCACAAGGGATATGATGGCTTAGCTTGGGCTCAGAGGCCTGACATTCCTGTCTTCTTATATTAATAAGAAAAATAAAATGAAATAGTGGTAAAGTGTTGGGGTGGTGAAAATTTTGGGGGGGTGATATGGAGAGAGAATGGGCGATGTTTCTCAGGGCTGCTTCAAGTGGGATTAGGGGCGGCGTGGGAACCTAGAGTGGGAGAGATTAAGCTGAAGGAAGATTTTGTGGTAAGGGGTGATATTGTGGGGTTGTTAGAAGAAATATTTGTTGTGTAGAATTATTGGTGATGGCCTGGATATGGTTTTGTATGAATTGAAAAACTAAATGGAATAACAGAAGGAGAAAAACAGGTATAAAAGGTCTAAGAATTGGGAGGACCCAGGACATCAGATTAGAGAGTGCCTAAGGAGATTCAGCATAGTCCTGCCAGCAAAGATTATTTATTTACTTCAAGAGTTAAGAGTGGCAGTTTGGGGATAGCACCAGGAGATATCAGCTGTGATGGCTTGGAGAAACAGTGTAAACTGGCAGTGTAAACAAGAGCAGGGCATGTATGAGTAGTTGAGAACGGTGAATAGGAGTATGACTAGACAGAAGATAGTAGGGATGACAAGTTTTTTGGGGGCACAGTCTAAGTTGGTCTGGCGTCTGGAATGAGACTGGGGCCTAATAAAAAGGACCGTCTGTACAGGAGCTCAAATGGGCTGTACGCTGTAGCATTCTGAGGACAGGTCTGACTTCTGAGAAGGGAAAGTGGTAAAAGTATCATCCAGTCCTTTTTAAGTTGGTGGCTGAGCTTGGTGTGGTGTGTTTTTAAAAGACCTTTAGTCCGTTCTACTTTTCCTGAAGGCAGAGGACTGTAAGGGATATAAAGCTTTCACTGAATACTAAGAGCCTGAAAAACTGCTTGGCTGATTTGACTAATAAAGGCTGATCTGTTATCAGACTGTATAGACATGGGAAGGCTAAACTGAGGAATTGTGTCTGACAGAAGGGAAGAAATGACTATGGTGGCCTTCTCAGACCCTGTAGGAAAGGCCTCTACCTATCCAGTGAAATTGTCTACCTAGACTAAGCGGTATTTTAGTTATCTGACATGGGGAATGTTGAGTAAAGCTAATTTGCCAGTCCTGGGTTGGGGTAAATCCTCGAGCTTGATGTGTAGGGAAGGGAGGAGGCCTGAATAATCCCTGAGGAGTAGTAGAATAGCAGATGGAACACTGAGAAGTTATTTCCTTGAGGATAGATTTCCACGATGGAAAGAATATGAGAGGTTCTAAGAGGCGGGCTAGTGGCTTGTACTATAGCATAGCCTGCCTTTGGTGGTGTGTGGCGATTAGGCCTGGTGGAACTGCCATCAATAAATCAAGCGTGATCAGGGTGAGGAACAGGAAAGAAGGAAACATGGGGAAATGAGGTGGATCAGAGAGATACAGTCATGGGGGTCAGGTGTGGTATCAGGAATAATGTGGGAGGCCAGATTGAAGTCCGGGCCAGGAACAATGGTAATTGTCGGACTTAAAGAGTGAGTACAGCTGAAGGAGCCGGGAGCAGAAAGTATATGCATCAGGTATGAGGAAGAAAATAGATTTTGGAAGTTATGAGAAATGTAGAGAGTGTGTTGAGCATAGTTTGTGATTTTTAGGGCCTCTAAAAGTATTAAAGCAGTGGCAGCCACTGCATGCAGACATGAGGGCTAGGCTAAAACAGTAAGGTCAAGTTGTTTGGACAGAAAGGCTACAGGGTGCAGTCCTGGCTCTTGTATAAGAATTCTGACCGCACTAACCATGCCTAGGAAGGAAAGGAGTTGTTGTTTTGTAAGGGATTGAGGTTTAGGGATTAATCAGACACGATCAGTAGGGAGAGCACATGTGTTTTTATGAGAATTATGCCGAGATAGGTAACAGATGAGGAAGAAATTTGGGCTTGACTGAAGTAATGGGGGCTGCCTGTGAAGCTTTGCGGCAGTACAGCCTAGGTAATTTGCTGAGCTTGATGGGTGTCAGGGTCAGTCCAGGTGAAAGCAAAGAAAGGCTGGGATGAAGGGTGCAAAGGAATAGTAAAGAAAGCAGGTTTGAGATCTGGAACAGAATAATGGATTGTGGAGGGAGGTATTGAGGATAGGAGAGTATATGGGTTTAGCACCATGGGGTGGATAGGCAAAACAATTTGGTTGATAAGTCATAGATCCTGAACTAACTTGTAAGGCTTGTCTGGTTTTAGACAGATAAAATGGGGGAATTGTAAGGAGAGTTTATAGGCTTTAAAAGGCCATGCTGTAGCAGGTGAGTGATAACAGGCTTTAACCCTTTCAAAGCATGCTGTGGGATGGGATATTGGCATTAATCGGGGTAAAGGTGGTTAGGTTTTAATGAGATGGTAAGGAGTGTGTGATCAGTCGCCAAGGAGGGAGTAGAGGTATCTTATACTTGTGGGTTAAGGTGGGGGGATACAAGAGGAGGACTCAAAGGAGGCTTTGGATTGGGAAGAAGGGCGGCAGTAAGATGTAGCTGTAATCCAGGAATAGTCAGGGAAGCAGATAATTTAGTTAAAGTGTCTCTGCCTAATAAGGGAACTGGGCAGGTGGGGATAACTAAAAAGGAGTGCTTAAAAGAGTATTGTCTAAGTTGGCACCAGAGTTGGGAAGTTTTAAGAGGTTTAGAAGCCTGGCCGTCAATACCCACAACAGTTATAGAGGCAAGGGAAACAGGCCTTTGAAAAGAAGGTAATGTGGAGTGGGTAGCCTCCATATTGATTAAGAAGAGGACGGACTTACTTTCCACTGTGAGAGTTACTCAAAGCTCGGCGTCCATGATGGTCTACGGGGCTTCCGAGGCAATCGGACAGAGTCAGTCTTCAGCCGCTAAGCTAAGAAGATCTGGGAAGGAGTCAGTCAGAGAGCCTTGGGCCAGAGTTCCAGGGGCTCTGGGAGTGGCTGCCAGGTGAGTTGAACAGTCTGATTTTCAGTGGGGTCTCACACAGATGGGATACGGCTTAGGAGGAATCCTGGGCTGTGGGTGTTCCTCGGCCCAGTGGCCAGATTTCCAGCACTTGTAGCAAGCTCCTGGGGGAGGAGGTTCTGGAGGAACCCCTGGCAGCTGCGGTTCAGGCCTTTGGAGTTCTTGTGTGCTGGAGATGTGGCTGGGGTTTGTCTCACAGTGGAGGCAAGGAATTGCAACTCAGAAATACATTGCTACTTGGCTGCCTCTACTCTATTATTGTACACCTTGAAGTTGAGGTTAATTAAGTCCTGTTGTGGGGTTTGAGGGCCAGAATTTAATTTTTGGAGTTTTATTTAATGTCAGGAGCAGATTGGGTAATAAAACGTATATTGAGAATAAGATGGCCTTTTGACCTTTTAGGGTCTAGGGCTGTAAAGAGTCTCAGGGTTGCTGCCGAACGAGCCATGAACTGGGCTGGGTTTTTCATATTTGATGAAACAGCCTAAACGCTACTGATTTGGGAGAGGTCAGATAAAGAAAAAGGAGCATTAACCTTGACTATGCCTTTAGCTTCAGCCACCTTTTTAAGAGGAAATTGCTGGGCAGGTTGGGGAGGGCTAGTCACGGAATGAAACTGTAAACCGGACTGGGTGTGAGGAGGGGAGTTGATAAAAAGATTATAGGTTGGAGGAGCGGAGCCTGAGGAAGAATTCGGACCTAGCTCGGCCTGGCGAGGAAGGGAGAGGTCAGATGGGTCTGTAGAAAAGGTAGATTAGAAAGACTCAGTGACACTTGGGGTTGGGACTGAGGGGACAGGTGGGAGGGAAACAAGGAAGATTTGGGATGAGTTGCATTGGGAACAGAGACTAGGGAGGGACTGATGTGTAAAAGAATGCCTGGACATCAGGCACCTCAGACCGTTTGCCTATTTTATGACAAAAATTATTTAGAACTTGTAGGGTGGAAAAATTGAAAGTGCCATTTTCTGGCTATTTGGAACTACTGTCGAGTTTGTATTGGGGTCAAGCGGCATTGCAGAAGAAAATAAGATGGTTAAATTTTAGGTCAGGTGAGAGTTGAAGAGGTTTTAAGTTCTTAAGAACACAGGCTAAGGGAGAAGAAGGAGGAATGGAAGGTGAAAGCTTGCCCATAGTGAAGGAGGCAAGCCCAGAGAAAAGACAGTAGAGACACAGAGAAGGGGTGGGGGTTTCTTGCCCTCCAGAAAAGCAGAGAAGGGGTCGGGGTGTGGAAATAAGGGGTTGGGGCACAGAGATAAGAGGTCAGGGCATGGAAATAAGGGATCGGGGCACAGAGATAAGAGGTCGGGGCACAGAAATAACGGATGGGGGCACAGAGACAAGAGGTTGGGGTTCCTGCCCCTCCCCCAGAAAAGCGGGACTTGCCGCTAAGGGTGAAGGACCAAGGCAGGCGTCCCTGCGTGGTCTGACACCACTGAAACCTGGGTGAATAATCAGAGAGGCATCCTTGCAATGATTAAACACCAAGGGACGGCTGCCTTCCCTAGTCCGTGACTGGTGCCGGAGTTTTGGGTCCACAGATAAAAGTGTCTCCTTTGTCTCTACCAGAAAATGAAAGGAATTGAAATTAAGAGAAGGGAGAGATTGAAGTGTGGCGCCAAGATTGAAAGAAGAAAGACGTTGAGGGATAGTGAGAGAGGTTGGAGAAGAGAGTAAAAAAGGCTGCTTATTGGATTTAAAATTGGTGAGATGTTCCTTGGGCTGGTTGGTCGGAGGACCAGAGGTTGTAGGTGGATCTTTCTCATGGAGCAAAATGCAGGAGGACAGGGGATTGATCTCCCAAGGGAGGTCCCCCGATCCAAGTCACGGCACCAAATTTCACTCGTGTCTGTGTGAAGAGACCACCAAACAGGCTTTGTGTGAGCAATACAGCTGTTTATTTCACCTGGGTGCAGGTGGGCTGAGTCTGAAAAGAGAGTCAGCGAAGGGAGATAAGGGTGGGGCTGTTTTATAGGATTTGGGTAGATAAAGGAAAATTACAGTCAAAGGGGGGTTGTTCTCTGGTGGGCAGAGTGGAGGTCACAAGGTGCTCAGTAGGGGAGATTTTGAGCCAGGATGAGCCAGGAGAAGGAATTTCACAAGACAATGTCATCAGTTAAGGCAGGAACAGGCCATTTTCACTTCTTTTGTGGTGGAATGTCATCAGTTAAGGCAGGAATCGGCCATCTGGATGTGTACGTGCAGGTCACAGGGGATATGATGGCTTAGATTGGGCTCAGAGGCCTGACATTATCATTCATAATAACCAGAACTTTATATTCTTAACTACAATTATTAAAGATTTTATAGGTTACAATACACTGGGATATACCTTTCTCAAAGAAACATTTAATGTTATCCCAGAATTAAAATATACTTTTGCAAAATAAAATGTTTATCAAGTCTGCCAAAAAGAGAGCCAATTATTTTGGTTTCTCTCTAGGATTTTAATAAATTCCTTTGATACCTAGTCAAAGCAGTTGAGCATCCTCACATTGAACAAAATGAAAGCAAGGAAGCGATCAATCTCATTTGAAAAGTGAACAAACATAAAAATCATTATCTTTTAAAATTTTTCATTTTTACATGTTGCAAAGAAGAATAACCTTTCTTATGTTTCTTGCATGTTTCTTATTTCCTCAGTAATTAAAAAATCATATTTAGATACATTTATTACTAGTGAATGCTTTTTCATAGTTTTAATCACATTGATTTGTTGAGAATTATCAGAAAACATAATTATTCAGATAAGGAATTGTGAACAGTCTTATGGATTAATACGTTCTCAGAACATCAGTGTTTTAGCAAATAAGATATTATTTACAGTGAGCACATTGTTAGCCTCACTAGATGTCAGTGTAGTTCTAAGTAAATATTTTATATAGTTCCTCAGTAGTGTTGAATGAGAAGATGTTTTGCTTTAGAACTTAAAGATTGAGAAGATGGAATAGTTGCAATAAGTGTTTGTGGTACATTAATTCCAACATCCTCCTCTGATGAAAACACATAATTGGTAAATTTATACACATCAACACAGGGCCAAAAAATAGTCCAAGGATGTAAATAATTATGGATTCATAGGATACATTGTGCTTCCTTAGTCACCAATGTATTTTCCGTACATTGAAAAGTCTTACTGTACATCACAACATGCTGGTCAGCCTTTTAGGGCTTTTCCCAATTGCAAAGGGAGCATGGTTACTCCTCCTGCCATGAGAGGGCAGCACTGAGATTGTCTCCAGCCCAGGAAGCAGTGGGCACTGTTTAGTATGGGTTAGCACCTAGGTTTTTATGTGGAAGCATTCAAGTCAGGCTGTGGTGATATATGTTCTCAGAGTCTACCATAGTATCATTTTAGTGCTTTTATTACAAGTCATCAAACACTGTATCTGAGAAACATGAGGATAAATTATGGTACATTCAAAAACTGCTGATAAATAGCAAAGAAGAGAACAGGGTACTTTGGGAATATAAGGCCTTTTGCGTGAGAAATGTTTTGTGCTAGCTATGAGTGAATTTTCTACAAGCAGAGAAGTTCCATTTGGTCCTCTGAACTGGTTAACATTTTCTTGATTCTTTGCTTAGTGTAGCAAATAAAATTCTGTTTATTCTTTTTGAGAGTTCCCAAAATATCTTTATTGATTTGGATTTTGCTTTTTCACTTTATTTTATAGTTGATTTTAAGTTTTTCTTGAGTGTGTTCATCAGATAGCCATATAAAATGGAACAATGCATTTGTAATAACAAATATTATACATGATATTTTTTTGGCCAGCCCAGTTGCACAGTCAACTGAGAAAGTGGAAGTTATCACTTTCCTCTTAATTCCTTTTACATATTTTTCCTCTGGATGAGAAAATGTTACTTTCTCATATCCAGAAAAGTGTTATAAAATGATACATTGAGATCATCTGATTCCCTCTTTATTGTGATTGTTTCTTTAAAAGAAAAAAAAGCAGAAAGGGGCCATGAACTTACAAAGAAAGTTTTAAAGAATACACCAAAAATTGTTAAAACAATAAATGAGTTCATCAAGGCTGCAGGGCACAAGATCAATACACAAAAATTAATTATATTTTTATATACTTGAAATAAATGATCTGAAAATGAAGGAAACAATTCTGTTTACAATAGCATCTAAAAGAATAAAATATTTAAGAATAACTATAACAAAAGAAGTGTAAAACTAATACTCTGAGAACTATAAAACATTACTGAAATAAATTACAGAAGATCTACATAAGTAGAAAAACAGCCCATGTTCATGGACAAGAAGATTTTAATCTTGTTAAGATAATAGTGCTCCTCAAATAGATCTAAAGATTCAGTACAATCTCTGTTGCAACTGGGATTCTCTAGGCCAGTTGACTTCTTTGTACAAATTGATGAGCTGATCCCAAAATTCATATGGAATTGCAGGGGACTCAGAATAGCCAAAACAATCTTTAAAAAGAAGAATAAGTTGAAGGCCTTTCAAATTTCATAACTTCCCAATTTCAAAACTTACAATAAAGTGACGATAATCAAACATATGTTACTAACATAGGGATAAACATATAGATTAGTGGGATAGAATTGAGAGTCTACAAATAAATCTATATGTCTTTGGTCACCCGAATTTAACAAGGGCACCATGGTTATTCAATAAAGAATATTTTTTAAACAAATGGTGCTAGGATGATTGTATATCCACATGTAAAACAATGAAATTGGGCCCTTACCTCACACAATATAGAAAAATTAACTCAAAGCAGATCAAAGATGTAAATCTAAGATGTATGTACATATAAATCTATTAAACTCCTAGAAGAAAACTCAGGGATAAATCTGCAGGACCTCAGATTTGCCAACGAATTCTTAGGTGTAATTCCCAAAACATGAGCAACAACAACAACAAAAAATTGGTTTTCACCAAAATTAAAATTTTCTGTGCTTCAAAGGATGCTATCAAGAAGTAAAAAAACAACCCATGGAATAAGAGAAAATATTTTCAAATTATATATCCCCTTTGGAACTTGTATCCAGAATATGTAAAGACCCATACAACTCAATAATAAAACAAATTAACCCAATTTTAAAATGGGCAAAGAATCTCAATAGACGTATCTCCATAGAAGGCATACAAATAGACAAAGCACACGGAAAGATTCTCAACATCATTAGCCATCAAAGAAATGCAAATCAAAATCACAAGGAAATAACTCTTCACACCCCGTAGGATGGCTGTATTGAAAAAAATATAACAACAACTTTTGTCAAATGTGGAAAGAAATTAGATCTCTCATACATTGCTGGTGAAAATGTAAAATGATGCTGTCACTTTGGAAAATGGACTGGCAGTTCCTC
This sequence comes from Homo sapiens, assembly GCF_000001405.40. Classification (NCBI taxonomy): domain Eukaryota; kingdom Metazoa; phylum Chordata; class Mammalia; order Primates; family Hominidae; genus Homo; species Homo sapiens. The sequence continues at coordinate 76,903,484 of NC_000001.11, forward strand.
AAATTGTGACACATAGAGTTACATGTGTCCCAGCAGTTCTACTCCTAGGTATATGCCAATATAAATGAAAATATCTAGCTACAAAAAACTTGTACACAAAGGCATTATTCATAACAGCATTATTCATAACAATCATAAGGTAGAAACCTAAATGTCTGTTAACTGTTGAATAGATAAACAAAATGTGGCATAAAATATGGCGTATCCATACAATTAAATGTTATTTGGCCATAAGAAGCAATGAAAATACAGCAGTTAGTGATAGATGCTACAATAAGAAGGAAACTTGAAACCATGAAACTATTAAGCTAAGTTAAATAAGACAGCCACAAAGGACCACATACTATATAATCCCATTTATATGAGATGTCCAGAATAAGCAAATCCATACAAACAGAAAGTAGATTAGTGATTGCTCAGGGCTGGGGGTGATGGGTGGGTAGGAGAGTGATAGCTAAAGGGCAGAAATGTTCTGAAATTGACTGTGGGGGTGGTTTCACATATCTCTGAGTAAATTAAAACCATCCAATTCCGTGAATTTAGTGGGTGAATTCACATAGCTGTGAATTTTATCTAAATTGTGAAAATAAAACAGGAATGTGATGCTCTAACCAGCATAGGCCCAGGCCGCATGCTTCTGGGGAAGAAATTCCACCTGAATACTTGGGCTGTAAATAGGTCATTTTCATGGGAAAAGGATGAATAGATGCCAGATGGTAAGAAGGGTGAAAGTCTACTACACATGTCTGCGAGGTCGGTAAGGGATCTGGTCTTTGCAAAGGAAGGTTATATTAGAGCTCAGTTGAGAAGAGAAAGGGAAAGGGACTCAAATTCATGCTTAAGGGTGCTGTGACAGGTATCCATACCTTTATTAAAAGACATGTACAGGAACGTTCATAGCAACACAGTTTATTAGCCCCAAATATCCATCAATATTTGAACAAATAAATTGTGGTATATTCAAAATGGAATACCATATGGCAACAAGAATGACCAAACTACAAAAGCATACAATATGAATGAATCCCATAAACCTAATATTGAATGAAAAGAGTTATTCAGACAGATGTAGTGCCTCAGGCTTGTAATTCAGCACCTTGGGAGGCTGAAGCGAGTGGATCACTTGAGGTCAGGAGTTCGAGACCAGCCTGGCCAACATGGCGAAACCCCATCTGTACCAAAAATACAAAAATTAGCCAGGCAGGATGGCATATGCCTGTAATCCCAGCTACTTGGGAGGCTGAGGCAGGGGAATCACTTGAACCTGGGAGGCAGAGGTTGCAGTAAGCTGAGATTGTGCCACTGCATGCCAGCCTGGGCAACAGAGTGAGACTGTCTCAAAAAAAAAAAGAAAAGAGTCATTAACAGACAGACAAACAATATGATTCCATTTACATAAAGTTCAAAAATAGGCTAAATGAATCTATGCTGTAGGAAGACAGATTAGTATATATCCTTGTGGGGGGCTGTGAATGGATGAGTACAGGAGAGGAATGACTTTGGGGTGTTGACAGTGTTCTGTTTCTTGATCAGGGTGCTGTTTATATGAGGTGTTCACTTTATGAAAATTCTTTCAGTTGTGCACTTGTTATTTACTCACCATTCTCTATGTAAGTTAGATTGTGACAAAAGCGAAATTAAAAAGAAACTAAATACCCTTGTTGTTGTTTACTTTCCCTAAAGATAGAGAGCACATCGTGTTTATTTCTAATGCTTATTCAAAGGGGTAGAGACTCTGAGAAAGGATGAGGTGGCGGGATAACTACTTACAAGAGTCACAGTTACGGGGCTATTATTTCCTGGGCATGGAAAGAGTAGATCCCTTCCAGCCTAGCCATTTCATTCTTATTGTCTTGGAAGCAAACTGTCCAGCTGTTCTTCTTAACGTCAGGTTAACAATGATTGTGGTCATTCCCTGCTGCATGGGTCAGGCTGTGAGACACCCTCCCCTTAAATTTACATAGAGACAGAAGGTATAGACAGGTGCAAATGGGAAGGGAACAGCGTATTTCTCCACTGTGTGCTTATGTCCAAATTGGAAACCAGCCTTATTCTTGCTCACTAATTATTAAGGAAAATAATTTTTAACTATCAGGACACTGTTCTTCAAATGGTGATTGGGTGAAGGAGATTTTCTTTGAGTTCTGTGAAATACTAAAAATTCTATGTGTTGATAATGACTAAAAATATATTTTCCACTTGTAAAGACAAAACTTCTGTATTGCAAAGTTATTTTAATAGAATAAAATCTTAGTTTCTTGAGTCAGTCTTTTGCAAATAGGGTTCCATGTATAAACTATCAAGAAAATATTTCCAATAAATGCACTGGGGTAGGTTTAGATTTATTTGACATATACAGGAATATTTGAGGGAAGGGAGCAATAAATTCATCTCTTTAATTTGCTGCAGGCTTTCCTTAGAGGGAGCGCTTTTTTAGCTGGTGTTAAGATGGAGAAAGGTGCCTTCTATCGTGCTGTTGCTGAATTCCCTGCTCCAGAAACATGCAGAACATTAGCATGACCCAACTGCTTGAAAGCAAACAAGATGCTCTTGTCTTAAAAAGCATCATTTCGGAGGAAGAAAAGCCATAATGAACCCTCCCTTTTTCTTTTTCTTAACTGAGGAGTAGCAAATGGTATTTAAGCTGTTATCTGGCAACAAAAGTTTCAAGTAATGTTTTTTAAAAAAGCCTGCCAACACTTCTTTCTGCTGGGCACTGATATAGCTGAGTTAAAGGCCCTTTCGAGATGGAGAATATGACAAGAAAAGTTGCACACCCCTAACCAAAGTGGGCTTTCCAAGAGCTAGAATAAAGCCACTTCATTAAGGTTTCTCACACTGGTGTTTTTTGGCAGCATTTTTCAAGGATCATTTCCTCCATGGGGGAAATGAAGTGGCAGTGTCTTTCCTAACTATTGCTAAAGGTGAAGTAAGAATTTGAATTGAGAAAGGCAGTTAAAATAGTATCTGAACTTTTGAACTTCCTGATCAGATAATTATTCTTGAAACTCTGTATAAGATGGAAAAGAGAATTAATGCCTCTTAAAGTGTTTAATTTTAGAGGACTATCATTATTAAATAGTACTCCTTCTATAATTTTTTGATTGTTGAGTACAGGCATGACAAGAATTTATAAAGATACTTCTGATTGATAACATAGGGTATAAACAGAAAGTTCTCTTAAATAGGAAGGTGTATATGTTTGGAAATTGGACTTGTCTCTTTTGCTTAGACGTGTGTATAAATTAATGCAAGATATTTGTCTATATCTCAACTCCGGGTCTCCCTCCTGCATATCCAACTACTTACTAGACACATTCCCTTGAATGCCCCGTAGGTACTTTATTTCAACATATTCAAAATAAAACTCATCATCTCAGCCTTCTCCTGCTCACCCACCTTGGCCCTTTACTACTGTTTCCTCATTCTTTTTTCTATTAATCATCGTTAAGCCAGTTTCCAAAATCAGGCATCTAGGTATCAACCTTGGATTCTGCCATCACTGATGCCACATACCCTAATAGGCCACTTCTGGTAAATTTCCTAAATCCACTCACTTTCAGCAACCCACTATTGCCCATCTACAGGGGACCACTATCATTCTACCACTTGACTCTTTCAACATTCTGCTAACAAGCCTTCTTGTAGCCCTTCACTCTTTTGCCTCCTTCAAGCCATCACCACGAGAGGGATCCAAGACTCAACTCTCCTTTTTTTTCATTTCTATACCAAAACCATTCTTTGGGTTTCTGTTCTTAGGATGAACTCCTCAACATGGTGTGTAAGATTCTATATACTCTGATCTTGACCCTGCTTACTACTCTCGCTGATGTGAAGCCTCCTGTTCCTATTATCTCTGAGAACACCCAACCCTGCTTGGTGGCAGCAAGGGACAGAAAAAGCACTTGAGGCAGCAGGCTGTCAGATTTGCTAATAGTGCAACCCAACTCATAAAAACCACCAAGTCCAAGACAAGGCCTCTTTTTGTGAAGTAACAATAACAAGTAGAACAGACATTTAGTCAGTTTTCACTGGCTGTAACTGTACTAGTGAGAGAAAGCCCTGCTCCACAGTTTCTTGCATCACTACACTCTGGGAAGCCCCAGTACTTTACCATGCAAGTGTAGCCCCACATCATCTCACTCTTTGCCGTGAGTTTAAATTCCTCCAACTCTATCCAAGGGTCCACGTTCCCCTATCCCTGGATGCCATGTGTTTCATTGACATGAGTTTTCCTCCTATTAAGCATGGAGGGGTCTTATAAGTGGCGCTGTGAGGACAGATGCTTGCACTTTGTCTTGACCTCTGCTTCAGCAAGTGTATTGTAGCTACATCCTTAGCTCACTTTGGTTTTAGTCTCAAGATCATCCCAGTCCCCTCCTCTATATTTGGTTCATGGTTTCATATACTGTTAACCAGGAATGCTAAAAATATTAATTTGGTGCATTATATTTATGCGAACACTTGAGATGTTTCAAGCATGCAGGACCACCTGCAGAATCTCTGGAAGGGTTTATTTCCTATGCACACAATTAGCCCAAAATCTTTTTAATACAATAGATTTTTTTATGATACTATTTGTTACTTACCTTTTACCATTTTCCTTATCCCACCTATGGCTCCAAGCAGACTAAATTTCTCTCAGGTTCTTATTTTTGTTGTGCTCTCTGTCTTAGTATTTTCAGGCTGCTATAACAAAATATACCATGAACTGAGTGGCTTATAAACAATAGAAATGTATGTCTCACAGTTCTGGAGGCTGGGAAGTCCAAGATCAAGGCAGTGGCAGATTTGATGTCAGGTGAAGACCTGTTTCCTGGTTCATGGATGGGGGCTTCTCACTATGTCCTCACATAGTGGAAGGGGCAAAGCAGCTCTCTGGAGCCTCTTTCATTCATAAGGGTACTAATCCCATTCACGAGGACTCTGCCATTACAACCCAATCACCTCCCAAAGGCCTCACCTCATAACCTTATCACATGGGTGATTAGGTTTCAATATGTGGATCTGAGGGGGACAAAACATTCAGATCACAGCAGTTTCTTTCAAGACTTTTACACACAGGTTGCCTCCAGATCACAAGGCTCTTACCCCTCTTTTGTTCTTGGCTACTTTATAACATCCACTTAGACCTCACTTCCTTCAGGACACCTAGGTTAGACCTTTGCCTGTGTGCTTCCCTAGCACCTTCCACTCCCTTCACATAGCACCTAACACACTCTGTTGGGTTTCTCTGAGGTATGTAAGCTCTGTAACCGCAGGGTTCCTGTCTTTCTTGTTCATCCTTGCATCTTCAAAGCCTGCCGCATTACCTGGCCCAGAGCAAGTACTTAATGATCATTTGTTAATGAATGAATAAATAGATTTTTCCATTAATCATCTAATCAGTGAATTTACAATTCTATGCAATTCTTTGATGCTCTAAGAAATTGAAGTTTTATTTTCTGAAGTTATATATTAGTTTTATTTCCTAAGGAATTTGATTTATCCTTACTTTAAATCATAACTACCCAGTGGTTATTATAGCTATGCTGCCATATGGTAAAACACATGAAGCATCTAATATTGCCTTAAGAAAGCTGTTTCACAGTAAAAACTCTTCAGGCCCTTCTCTCGGCACTTTTCATTTTATGTTGAAATTATTGGTGTTTGTATCTCTCTTACCTGTAAGACATTAGGTGCCTCAAAGGCAGTGACCATGTGTTATTCAACTTTGTATCCTCACAACCTTGTATCTAGTGCAGTGTTGGAAGTCAGTAAATGTTTATATAAATGCTTAAGATAGGCCAGAATCCACATCTTGGCTCAAAAACTGTATAACTGCCAACACCCATCTCTGTACTTACACTCCCAAAGCCTCAGTTTCTACATCTGTAAAAATGGGGATTCTGCTGTTTAAAGGATCATCTTGCAGGGTTGTTATGAAGTATTACATAAAATATAATGTAAATAAGGAACTCAGCATAGTGACTGAAATATAGGAATTATGAATAAGCTAGGATGGGGATAAATCTAAGTTTCTTTGTGAAGACATATGGTGTGTCAAAATGTTAATTTTTCACTGTCACAGGCTGGCAAGACACGGTCTTAGATCTAGTAAAATTGTTGCAAAAAGAAAGCAAAGAGGCAAACTTCCCAACTTTTATATTAAGAATATTTGTCTGAAATATAAAACAAAGTGAGAAATTCAATGCAAATAAAATACACTACAGGAAAATTTATAGAGTGCTCAAATGGATGAGTTGCATAATTTGTCTTATGAATATTTACTAAAAGCAAAATAAATTGGACAAATAATATTCTTGGACTGTAAATCATTGAAAATGATATATACAGTTGGAGAAAAGGACAAGAAAATCATAGCAGGACCTACTCTTTCCTAATTACAACTCCATAGAGTTGTCTATAGTGTGCTTGTTTTTCATTAATTTTGTGATTATCCTTCCCTTTTCTTTGAAATAACAATAAGAAAACACCAAGGAAAAAGGTTCTGTAGTCATAATATGCTTAGGAAAGTCAAGATGTTAACATTCACATTCTAGGACTGGGAAACAAATTTTAAGGAAAAATAACTTTACCCTTAAGCCTTAAGCCTCAGGTCTCCCAGTGTAACATGTTTCAATTTGCTGAGACTAAGGTGTTTGGCTGGATTGTTTGCTGTTGTCTGATAGAGTTCATCTTAAAGTAGTTTCTATTCTTGTATGGGTTTGTCTGACAATTTTCATATCATTTAGTGAGAATTTGTATTTTTTTCAATTGTTGCCTATTCCTCTGTAATTATTGTAATTGCATCTTATTATATAATTTGCGTAAATATATGCAATCATGGAATTAGAAAACGCGGGTGGTGATATGCAGTGTCACAACTGCAGTGGTTAAAGATGTGTGATTTTTTTAATCTTTGAAAAAAATAAAAGCGAAGTAAATATTGTAATTTCAGGGGAAAGCGTTTTAGCTGTCTAAAACTGATTGCCCAGAGAAATCAACCAAACATTTTTATTTAGACATAGATAAGAGGTTTCATGTTTTTGACTGTTCTAACTCAGAGATTTGGAAATCTTGGTTTTAAAATATCAGTTTGATGACTGCTCAAACACTTATAAAGTTTCAATATTAACTTTAAACTATAAAATACTGAGGATCGTATGCTTCTAATGATACCTTTTCTGTAGGTTGTTATCAATGTGAGTTTGAATAAGCATTTATTAATACTGTGAATAAGATGCATATTATCAATATTAACGTCTGCATCCATACAGTTGGAGGTATTTATGTTGATGTAGACAAAGACACAGACAGTGGAAATTTATATGCCTTTCAAAATCCCAGTGACTATAAAATTCTGCTCCTCTGACTATACATTAGGTAAATGGTATATTTAAATAAGTGGTCAAGGCAAAAAAAAAAAGAGCATAATTCAAGTTCAGCACCCACTGCAATTGTAGATGATAAAAATGAGGCATTCATCAAGCTAACCCTTTCGCCTCTAGAATTTCATGTGCACTGAGAGAAAAGTCCATTGATCTACATTCAGCTCTTAAAAACTGCACTTGCTGTTAGAAGACAGAACATACACTCAGGAAAAACTTCAGGCTGATACTGCTAAGATTTTAACACATTTATAAAACTTCCCATCAATACCTAATTTATTGAGAGTTTTTAGCATGAAGTGTTGTTGAATTTTGTCAAAGGCCTTTTCTGCATCTATTGAGATAATCATGTGGTTTTTGTCTTTGGTTCTGTTTATATGCTGGATTACATTTATTGATTTGCGTATATTGACCCAGGCTTGCATCCCAGGGATGAAGCCCACTTGATCATGGTGGATAAGCTTTTTGATGTGCTGCTGGATTTGGTTTGCCAGTATTTTATTGAGGATTTTTGCATCAATGTTCATCAAGGATATTGGTCTAAAATTCTCTTTTTTGGTTGTGTCTCTGCCCGGCTTTGCTATCAGGATGATGCTGGCCTCATAAAATGAGTTAGGAAGGATTCTCTCTTTTTCTATTGATTGGAATAGTTTCAGAAGAAATGGTACCAGTTCCTCCTTGTACCTCTGGTAGAATTCGGCTGTGAATCCATCTGGTCCTGGACTCTTTTTGGTTGGTAAGCTATTGATTATTGCCACAATTTCAGATCCTGTTATTGGTCTATTCAGAGATTCAACTTCTTCCTGGTTTAGTCTTGGGAGAGGGTATGTGTTGAGGAATTTATCCATTTCTTCTAGATTTTCTAGTTTATTTGCATAGAGGTGTTTGTAGTATTCTCTGATGGTAGTTTGTATTGCTGTGGGATCGGTGGTTTGATTGCGTCTATTTGATTCTTCTCTCTTTTTTTCTTTATTAGTCTTGCTAGCGGTCTATCAATTCTGTTGCTCCTTTCAAAAAACCAGCTCCTGGATTCATTAATTTTTTGAAGGGCTTTTTACGTCTCTATTTCCTTCAGTTCTGCTCTGATTTTAGTCATTTCTTGCCTTCTGCTAGCTTTTGAATGTGTTCGCCCTTGCTTTTCTAGTTCTTATAATTGTGATGTTCAGGTGTCAATTTTGGATCTTTCCTGCTTTCTCTTGTGGGCAGTTAGTGCTATAAATTTCCCTCTACACACTGTTTTGAATGTGTCCCAGAGATTCTGGTATGTTGTGTCTTTGTTCTCGTTGGTTTCAGAGAACATCTTTATTTCTGCCTTCATTTCGTTATGTACCCAGTAGTCATTCAGGAGCAGGTTGTTCAGTTTCCATGTACTTGAGTGGTTTTGAGTGAGTTTCTTAATCCTGAGTTCTAGTTTGATTGCACTGTGGTCTGAGAGACAGTTTGTTATAATTTCTGTTCTTTTACATTTGCTGAGGGGAGCTTTACTTCCAACTATGTGGTCAATTTTGGAATAGGTATGGTGTGGTGCTGAAAAAAATGTATATTCTGTTGATTTGGGGTGGAGAGTTCTGTAGATGTCTATTAGGTCTGCTTGGTGCAGAGCTGAGTTCAATTCCTGGGTATCCTTGTTAACTTTCTGTCTCGTTGATCTGTCTAATGTTACAGTGGGGTGTTAAAGTCTCCCATTATTATTGTGTGGGAGTCTAAGTCTCTTTGTAGGTCACTCAGGACTTGCTTTATGAATCTGGGTGTTCCTGTATTGGGTGCATATATATTTAGGATAGTTAGCTCTTCTTGTTGAATTGATCCCTTTACCATTATGTAATGGCCTTCTTTGTCTCTTTTGATCTTTGTTGGTTTAAAGTCTGTTTTATCAGAGACTAGGATTGCAACCCCTGCCTTTTTTTGTTTTCCATTTGCTGGTAGATCTTCCATCCTTTTATTTTGAGCCTATGTGTGTCTGCACATGAGATGGGTTTCCTGAATACAGCACACTGATGGCTCTTGACTCTTTATCCAATTTGCCAGTCTGTGTCTTTTAATTGGAGCATTTAGTCCATTTACATTTAAAGTTAATATTGTTATGTGTGAATTTGATCCTGTCATTATGATGTTAGCTGGTTATTTTGCTCATTAGTTGATGCAGTTTCTTCCTAGTCTCCATGGTCTTTACATTTTGGCATGATTTTGCAGCGGCTGGTACCGTTTGTTCCTTTCCATGTTTAGTGCCTCCTTCAGGAGCTCTTTTAGGGCAGGCCTGGTGGTGACAAAATCTCTCAGCATTTGCTTGTCTGTAAAGGATTTTATTTCTCCTTCACTTATGAAGCTTAGTTTGGCTGGATATGAAATTCTGGGTTGAAAATTCTTTTCTTTAAGAATGTTGAATATTGGCCCCCACTCTCTTCTGGCTTGTAGAGTTTCTGCCAAGAGATCTGCTGTTAGTCTGATGGGCTTCTCTTTGTGGGTAACCCGACCTTTCTCTCTGGCTGCCCTTAACATTTTTTCCTTCATTTCAACTTTGGTGAATCTGACTATTATGTGTCTTGGAGTTGCTCTTCTCAAGGAGTATCTTTGTGGCGTTCTCTGTATTTCCTGAATCTGAATGTTGGCCTGCCTTGCTAGATTCGGGAAGTTCTCCTGGATAATACCCTGCAGAGTGTTTTCCAACTTGGTTCCATTCTCCCCGTCACTTTCAGGTAAACCAATCAGATGCAGATTTGGTCTTTTCACATAGTCTCATGTTTCTTGGAGGCTTTGTTCATTTCTTCTTATTCTTTTTTCTCTAAACTTCCCTTCTCGCTTCATTTCATTCATTTCATCTTCCATCACTGATACCATTTCTTCCAGTTGATGGCATCGGCTCCAAACCCACAGGCAATATCATACTGAATGGGCAAAAACTGGAAGCATTCCCTTTGAAAACTGGCACAAGACAGGGATGCCCTCTCTCACCACTCCTTTTCAACATAGTGTTGGAAGTTCTGGCCAGGGCAATTAGGCAAGAGAAGGAAACAAAGGGTATTCAATTAGGAAAAGAGGAAGTCAAATTGTCCCTGTTTGCAGACGACATGATTGTATATTTAGAAAACCCCATTGTCTCAGCCCAAAATCTCCTTAAACTGATAAGCAACTTCAGCAAAGTCTCAGGAAACAAAATCAATGTACAAAAATCACAAGCATTCTTATACACCAATAACAGACAGAGAGCCAAATCATGAGTGAACTCCCATTCACAATTGCTTCAAAGAGAATAAAATACTTAGGAATCCAACTTACAAGGGACATGAAGGACCTCTTCAAGGAGAACTACAAACCACTGCTCAATGAAATCAAAGAGGATACAAACAAATGGAAGAACATTCCATGCTCATGGGTAGGAAGAATCAATATCGTGAAAAATGGCCATACTGCCCAAGGTAATTTACAGATTCAATGCCATCCCCATCAAGCTACCAATGACTTTCTTCACAGAATTGGAAAAAACTACTTTAAAGTTCATGTGGAACCAAAAAAGAGCCCGCATCGCCAAGTCAATCCTAAGCCAAAAGAACAAAGCTGGAGGCATCACGCTACCTGACTTCAAACTCTACTACAAGGCTACAGTAACCAAAACAGCATGGTACTGGTACCAAAACAGAGATATAGATCAATGGAACACAACAGAGCCCTCAGAAATAACACTGCATATCTACAACTATCTGATCTTTGACAAACCTGAGAAAAACAAGCAATGCGGAAAGGATTCCCTATTTAATAAATGGTGCTGGGAAAACAGGCTAGCCATATGTAGACAGCTGAAACTGGATCCCTTCCTTACACCTTATACAAAAATTAATTCAAGATGGATTAAAGACTTAAATGTTAGACCTAAAACCATAAAAACCCTAGAAGAAAACCTAGGCATTACCATTCAGGACATAGGCATGGGCAAGGACTTCATGACTAAAACACCAAAAGCAATGGCAACAAAAGCCAAAATTGACAAATGGGATCTAATTAAACTCAAGAACTTCTGCACAGCAAAAGAAACTACCATCAGAGTGAACAGGCAACCTACAAAATGGGAGAAAATTTTTGCAACCTACTCATCTGACAAAGGGCTAATATCCAGAATCTACAATGAACTCAAACAAATTTACAAGAAAAAAACAAACAACCCCATCAAAAAGTGGGCAAAGGATATGAACAGACACTTCTCAAAAGAAGACATTTATGCAGCCAAAAGACACATGAAAAAAATGCTCATCATCACTGGCCATCAGAGAAATGCAAATCAAAACCACAATGAGATACCATCTCACACCAGTTAGAATGGCAATCATTAAAAAGTCAGGAAACAACAGGTGCTGGAGAGGATGTGGAGAAATAGGAACACTTTTACACTGTTGGTGGGACTGTAAACTAGTTCAACCATCGTGGAAGTCAGTGTGGCGATTCCTCAGGGATCTAGAACTAGAAATACCATTTGACCCAGCCATCCCATTACTGGGTATATACCCAAAGGACTATAAATCATGCTGCCATAAAGACACATGCACACGTATGTTTATTGCGGCACTATTCACAATAGCAAAGACTTCGAACCAACCCAAATGTCCAATGATGATAGACTGGATTAAGAAAATCTGGCATATATACACCATGGAATACTACGCAGCCATAAAAAATGATGAGTTCCTGTCCTTTGTAGGGACATGGATGAAACTGGAAATCATCATTCTCAGTAAACTATCACAAGGACAAAAAACCAAACACCGCATGTTCTCACTCATAGATGGGAATTGAACAATGAGAACACATGGACACAGGAAGGGGAACATCGCACTCGGGGGACTGTTGTGGGGTGAGGGGAGGGGGGAGGGATAGCATTAGGAGATATACCTAATGCTAAATGACGAGTTAATGGGTGCTGCACACCAGCATGGCACATGTATACATAGGTAAGTAACCTGCACATTGTGCACATGTACCCAAAAACTTAAAGTACAATAATAATAAATTAAAAAAAGAATGAAAAATAACAAAAAAAAAACAAAAAAACAAAAAACTTCCTTGGATAATAATAATAATAATTTTTTTCTATTTGAGAATTTGGAATGTTAACAGAAAACATGTTTTCTACCAAAATAAAGGTAACAGTGATCTGGCCATCTGCATTTTAAAAAAAAAAAACTCATTGAAATACTCCTGTAGAATAGATTGCTCACTTTTCCTTGCTTTTGTAGTTCATAGTTTTTAGGAAAAAAGTATCTTTTACCTTTAAACCAAGAAGGGTATCCAAATTTTGATTGAAAGCACTCCTGTACCTCGGTTCTCTTAAGTGTTTCTGAGACATGAGTTTGCAGGTAGGAAGCTGGTACGGATGACACAACTGGGACAGACTGGACTAAGCCAGCCTCATCCAGCTACATGCAGCTGCTTCGCCTTTGTCTCCAAAGGACTCATCCCTTGTTCCACATTTTGAAAACAACCATGCATTTACAAAGAAATTCTCAATCTTCTTGTTTTCTCTTTAATTCTCTTTAAAGGAAGGAAAAAAATTCTGTATGCCCTATTCAAGTGCTATACATTGGTCTTAGGGACTGGAACTGAAAACTTTTATGATCAAAAAATTTTCTCCTCCAGTTGCCATTCTGTTCTAAATTTTACTTTATTTTTTGATGTAGGAATGTTTCTTTAAACATCAAGATTTTAGTTTCCAGTAGAAAACTAATGAATTATTAAAGGATGGGAACTTGAAGCAATCTTTAGTGCTTAATAAGGAGAAACCACAAGGCTTGAATAAACTGTTCCATATTTCTCTTTTAATGCTCCGTTTAAAATCTAGACGGTGTGTCATAAGCCTTTTAAAAAAAAACGATTGTGTTTACCAATATAGAATATGAGATTTTTGTTTCTTTTTAGGTATTTTTCTTGCAATTAGGATATACTTTGATGTTACCATGGCTATGGCTTCACGTTCCAAACAATGAGTTTTTTCTTATGTTTGATTAAACCAAAATAATGTTAGTATAATTTCCCTGTAAATTATTATTTGTTGACAATCAGTGTTAATGCCACTAAAAATTGAGTATAAATATCAACAAAGTACATTGGTAAATGATTAACAGGACAAATGAAAAGAAAAATAGAAATTCTAAATAGAATTGCTATACTTCTCCAGAATTCATTCCTCCTAGAATAACTCCCTCAGGGTGAATGAAAAGTCAGGTGGGCAAAGCTGTGAGCTCCACCTCCTTCAACTATACAAATTTTGATTTGGTAAAGGAAATTTTGACCTCATTATTTCACCCTGCTTTGAACCAAGTTTTTATGCACCTACTTTATTATTGCTCTTTGCATGTACATTAAAACAAATATTTTATTTTGACTTTAACCTAGAATGAGCACTACAGTTATAAGCAATTGACACAAGATAAGTCTAAAAGAACCAAAAAAACATAGAGTAAGATTCGTGATAGACAAAAAGTGACTTGCTGGCAATATTAAACATTGCTAAACTCAAGCAACGAAAAATTAGGCTAAATATTGTCAACAGTGTCAAAATGTTCTCCATTCATAATCTATTATTGATCTACGATAACTAATAAATCTGTACACTGTGATTCATGTTTTTGGAAAATTGAACTCCCAACTTACACACAATATTCCAGTTGCCTCTGAGGAATGAGGTTATAAATAATTTAAAATTTTGATGTCTTGTTTTTCTTTAATAGAAAATTTATTGCCTAGGTATAGTAGTGTATTAGGGTTCTCCAGGAATCAAAAACAATAGGCATTATAAATAAATAAATATATAAAAATATATATTTATATTTGTATGTGTGTATTTATTATAAATAATTGGCTTATGTGATTATGAGGCTAAGAAGTCCTAAGAGCTATAGTCTCCAGGCTGGAGACCCAGGCAAGCCAGTGGTATAAGTTCTGATACAAAGGCTAGTAGGCTGAAGACCCAAGAAGAGTCTTGAAGTTTTTCAGTTTGAGTCCAAAGGCAGGAAAAGACCCATGTCCCAGCTCAACAGTCAGTAGTAGGTGCTCCCTCTTACTGGGACTTTTGGTGCTATTCAGGTCTTCAACTGATTGGATGGGGCCCACTCACATTAGGGAGCAGAGTAAGCTTTACTCATTCTACCAGTTCAGATGGTTGTCTCATCCAGAAACACCCAGAATAATGTTTGACCAAATGTCTGGGCACTCCATGGCCAAGTCAATTTGACACATAAGTTAACTGTCCCACTAGGTAACATATGAAGAATTGTTTTAAAAAAAGTTATTCAGCTGGGTAGAAATTACCATCTGTCTAGAAAATAGAGTTGGAGAAGAGAATGAAGCTGATAATGTGCCTGAAATCTTTTTTCTGGCTTCTATTCCAGTCTGAGAGTCAGGAAAAGAAGAGATCTCTAATAAAATGCTTCTAATGTTTGGGTCATTTTTACCACAACATCAGTAATGGAAGAGAAAGTCAAAAGAATGAGGCTCCAGGCCAGGCGCAGTGACTCACACCTGTAATCCCAACACTTTGGGAGGCCAAGGCAGGCGGATCACAAGGTCAAAAGATTGAGACCATCCTGGCTAACATGGTAAAACCCCGTCTCTAATAAAAATACAAAAATTAGCTGGGCATGGTGCCACATGCCTGTAGTCTCAGCTACTCAGGAGGCTGAGGCAGGAGAATCGCTTGAACCCCGGGGGCAGAGCTTGCAGTGAGCCGAGATCACACCACTGCACTCCAGCCTAGTGACAGAGTGAGACTCCATCTCAAAAAAAAAAAAAAAAAAAAAGAATGAGGCTCCAAGATGAGCACCTGAGCACCAAGCAGTCCTCATCCTTCTCACTGCTTTGGAGTTTGCCAGATTTGGGTACTTTGATCCCTAGGGAATAAACACTCCTTAGCTGGACAGCAACACAAATAACTCTTAAATGAACTGCGTCTGTTACACACACACAGGCACGCATAGAGTTTCAATGGGGTTTATTGAAATAAAGTGGCCTCTACACTGAAGAATTGTAAGGACTGTATTCTATCCATTTCCTGTTTACTTCTCCATTTATTTGTATTCATAGGTAAGGTTTACTAGCACATCATTAAGATACTGTAAAACAGCATTAAAATCCTACCTTTTAATTTCCTCAGGTAAGCGCCTCTCTTGTCTTAGCAATGCCTCGGTTCTCAGGCCTTGTTTATCTTTCTCTGTAATTGTGAGTGAGGAGCTTTCTGAACTGGATAACTGCCTCTGATTTTACCCCTTCAAATTCATCTTCCTTGCAGCTGATTGAGTGATCCCTCTGAAGAACAAACATGATTGATTGAAGAATAAACGTGCCCTCCCAACTTAAACAGCTTCCAGGCCGCCTCAGTAACGTGAGGATTGAGGGAAAATGCCTCAGCCTGGCTCAGACAGTGCCTCCCGTCTTGGGCTGCTTGGCTCCTCTCTTCCCATTCAGCCTTGTTACTCTCCAGAAGTACCAAGCAGCTTGTAGGTTTTCAATGCCCCAAGGAATGTGTGCGCCATTCTTCACACTGTTCTTGCTCCTAGATGGCTCCCCACATGCTGAAAACCCCCACCTTCTTCCCTTAATGGGTTTCGATTTAGTCTTCAAGGCATGTCTCAGGCATGTTCTTTTCCCAAAAGTTTTCTGACACTCCCTCTGTTAAAGGACAAGGTGCCTTTCCTCTGTCTTTTGGAGGAAATTTACCAGTGATCACACTGAGCATATATCCGATAGTCTCATCTCCTCAGCTATAAAGTCTTTGGTTTTAGAACCTGTATTAATTCATCTTAACATCCCCTGTGCCTAACAGAGTCTAAGTGCTGAGTAAATGGGGGCTGAACTAAGCTAAATTCCAAAGATCAAGCCAAGAGTTCTTAGTTACTTGAAAAACAAACAAACAAACAAACTTCTGACCTTTCTTCATTATAATCTTGGCAAATCAGAATTCCTTTGCCCTAAAATAACTGTAATCAAGGAGTTGACGCTAAAGTGATGATGAGAACTGTAGTATCACTACACTAATGAATCTTTTAGCCTTGTACAAGAAATAATAGAAAAATCCATAACCAGTTTCACAGAGAACTGCTAATAAAAATCAGAAAACACTATAAATACGGCATTAAAAAAGGTAAAAAGCTGGGCTGAAGCTTAAAGATGGAAATATTTGCAGAAAACTAAGGCAGTGAGAAATGATGTCCTGTATCATGTTTTGATGTGTTATATTCATCTTTCTGGTGATGACTTTATTTCACATGTAAATTAGGAAAAAGGGAAAGGAAAGCATATCCATATCATTCATGTCCAGGGAAGGAAAGTGAAGTATCTTAGAACAGCTTCTCAAGTCAGCTCTACATAGCTGGGCTTTTGAAGTGCTGGTGAATTTTTTTTAATCTCGCCTTCTACAAAGAAATAACAAAGCTTAGAAATTTAAAAATCCAGGCTACTGTCAATTCTGTGACTTTCCATGAATCAGTCTCGTTATTCTTTGACATCTTAAAAGAAAACAGCCATATGACTGATAATCTTTGGTGAATTTCAGATGCATGTGCCATAGAAACTGTGAAGAAATTTAAATCTTAAAGTACTGATCTTTGGGCTTCTTAAAAAACCTTCCAGTTCAGATATAATGTCTGACACTAAATAATCAACTTATCTACTTTACTAAAAATGGCCAGTACCCCAAACTAACACTGTAAGTTTACCCAGTTGGGAATTTTAAATTGTGGCTTACTCTGAGTGCTTCATAGAAGTTCCCACTCTTACCTCCTTCTGAAAAGTTTTTTATGCATAGTCACATGCTGTGTACCTGCATTACCTTCTAATACTGGTCACATTGCATTGAATCAGGGAACAATGGCTGGCCCAAAGTCAGCCTGTGGGCTAATCTTATAAGTAGATATGGCCAATCTGGCATTTATACTGGAGAGTAACTGACAAGCCAATCAGATACTCTCTTGAAGAGTTTGAATATGGAAACACAAATAATAGAGTAATGCCCAAGCCCCCAAACAGAAAACATATGGTGGAAAGTAGAATAGAGAGCTCAAGGTGGGTTGCTGTAGTGTAAACCATCATTTAGTCATACTTAAGGTACGGTCATGAGAATAGGAAATAGCCATAATGAATGAGAAGTGAACTGCTAATGGCAGAGAATGTAGACTACCTGCTTGAGAGATTTGGTGAAGGAAAGCAATAAAGTAATATTTTAGTGGGAATTATGCCTGAGAGACTTTATTTAGAGTAGACTGGTAGTAGGAACAAATTTAGAGTCTAAGGCATAGCTTGAAGATGAAAGAAAAAAGAAAGTTACAAATGTGGCATGGCCGCAGAGGAGAAAACTGAAACCAAACTGGGAAGACAGAGTTTATCCTTAGAAAGAGAGAAAAACATCCTTTCTCTGACACAGAAGGAATGGAGAAAAGATAGTGGAAGACACTAAGAACTGGAAAGAAAATGAGTGAAAAGGGGCTCTTCTTTTCCCCTCTTGGGGACTGATCTTCAGTACAAAGAAAAGTAAGAAATACAGAACAAGAAAACAACAGAGAAAAATCAATGAAACAAAAAAATGATTCTTAAAAACAGTCAGTAAAACTGATAAACCTCTAGTAAGACTCACAAAGTTATAAAACAAGAAAGAAGACAGAAATCACCAATAGCAATAATAAAATAGGGATTTCAATACAAATTCTGCAGCCATTACATGGATAATGGGATACTGTGAGCAGCTTTACATTCATAAATTTGGAGAAATAGACCAATTCTTTAGAAATTACAAACTACCAAGCCTCAGCCAGAATAGTTCTATAACCATTAATGAAATTGAATTTGCAACTGAAAAACTCCAGAGGTATGCAATACTAATTCACCATTTGAAAGTCAATAAATCATTAACAGAGTAAAGGAGAAAAACATGAGTATCTCAACTGACACAGAAAAGCATTTGACAGTATCCAGCACCCATTCGTGATAAAAGCTCTCAGCAAACTAAGAATGAGAAGGGAACCTACTCAACTTGATACAGAACATCTACACAGAAACCCTTACAGCATATATCATACCTAACAGGGTAAGACTGAATACTTTCCTTTAAGATCAGAAACAATGAAAGGACGTTTGGCATCATTCGTATTAAGTATGGTGCTGGAAGTTCCAACCACTGAAATAAGGTAAGAAAAAGAATATAAAAAGCATATGTATTGTAAAGGAAGAAATAAAACTGTTTCTATTTTTAGATGACATGATTATTCTATTTAGGAAATTCCAAGGAATCTACAAAACAAGTACTGCTAGAACTAATAAATAAATTCAGTATGATTAACAGGATGAAAGAACAACATGCTTAAAGCAATTGCATTTCTGTATTCCTACGATGAACATGTGGAAATAGAAATTTAAAACGTAAAACATTTACAATCACTCCAAAGTAAATGAAATACTTAGGTATAAACCTAACAAAAAAATGTACAGAATCTGTCTGTGAAAACCACAAAATGCCATAAGAGAAATCAAAGATCTGAATAAATGGGGAGACATACTGTATTCATGTATCAGAAGAGTCAGTATAGTAAATATGTCAGTTCTCCCCAAATTTATCTATAGATTTAATGTAATTCCTATCAAAATACAAGCAAGATATTTTTGGAGCTTATTCTAAAATGTATATGGAAAGGCATAGGCCCAAGAATGCCTGAAATGATCTTGAAAAAGAAACAAAGTGAGACTATTCACTCTACCTGATATAGCTATGGTTATCAAGATAGTGTGGTATTACCAGAGGTATAGACACATTGATCAATAGAATAGAATGGAGAACTCAGAAATAGACCCACACAAATATATACAACTGATTTTTGACAATGGTGCAAAAGCTTTGCATAAGAAACTTTTCAAACCAGCCTGGGCAACATGGCAAAAAGTCTCTACTAGAAATACAAAAATGAGCTGGGTATGGTGACACGCACCTGTGGTCCCAGCTACTCGGGAGGCTGAAGAGGGAGGATCACTTAATCCCAAGAGGCTGAGGCTGCAGTGAGCTGTGATCACACCACTACACTCCCGCCTAGGTGACAGAGTGAAACCTTGCCTCAAAAAAAAAAAAAAGAAAAAAGAAAAGAAACTTTTAAGAAGAAAGTAAGAATAGAGGGATGAATGCATCTTAAATAATGTTGGTGCAATTGAACATCCATAGGCAAAAAGAAAGCCTATAAAAGGGCAACTTGAGGGATCCTTATGGCAATGAAATATTTTCTATCTCAACTGGATCAGTGTCAGTACCCTGGTTATGATATTGCAGTATACTTTTGCAAGATGTTACAATTGGGGAATACTGGTAAAAGGCATATAAGATCCCTTTGTATTATTTATTGTAACTGCATGTAAGTCTAATTATTGCAAAAAAAATTGCTTTAAAAATTAAACAATATTACCTAATGAAAAAAAAAAAGGAGTGAGTGGACAATCAGGAACAGAGAATGGAGACTTACAGCCATTGGACGGGGTTTGGAACAGTCCATGTGGAAGTACTTGTTTGTCAACTGGAGATGAGTAAAAGGATTACCCACAGCCGAGCACTGTGGCTCACACCTGTAATTCCAGCACTTTGGGAGGCTGAGGCTGGTGGATCACTTGAGGTCAGGAGTTCAAGACCAGCCTGGCCAACATGGTGAAACCCCGTCTGTACTAAAAATACAAAAATTAGCCAGGTGTGGCGGCAGGTAGCTGTAATCTCAGCTACTTGGGAGGCTGAGACAGGAGAATCGCTTGAACCCAGGAGGCAGAGATTACAGTGAGCTGAGATTACACCGCTGCACTCCAGCCTGGGAGAGAGAGAGAAACTCCATCTCAAAGAAACAAAACAAAACAAAAAAACAAACAAACAAAAAAAACAGTTCCGACACTAGTCCCACTGAGGTTAGATCTCATGGATTTGCAGCAGAACAATTACGTGTATTTGGAAAAGCCTGATCTCAAGATATGATGACTTCATATCACATCTCGTACATACTATACTGATATTCACAGAAACTATAAACTATCAGCTCCAACACCTTAAAAATTAATGGACATTCCAAAGAAAATATACAGCATGCACTTTCCTGAGCTTTTGCAAATGCATCAAATGAAAATTCTATTGAAAATATGGTCAAATAAGCACAGCATGATGGTACAAAAATGTGATGCCAAGGAGTAGGAGAGACAGATTTCTGCTGGGTTGTCTTAATCTGTGAGTGTGTGAGAGTGGGTGAGTGTGTGCATCTATGTAAGTTGAGGGGTAAGGAAAGGACCTTTACCTCCAGATAAAGAAGTAATATTTCTATCTACAAAGCCCACAAACCAGATTCTGTTCAGTAGCATTGTTTTCCCATTCCACTAAGCCCTTCCATTCCAATTTCAACTGCGAGATGTGAAATGCAGCACATTGAAGAGATACTCTGAAAGTATCTAGAGATCATGCTTCTATTGGGAGGAGAAGATTAATTTGACTTAAGTTTCTGGAGAGCAGATCCATTTTGTGCATCTTAATATCCCCTCCACATTTACTTTTATGTAAGAACACACAAGTATCTTCTGAGTGACTGGATGAATACACTCCTTTTAATAGATCAAACTTTGTGTCTAACATTTATCGGACTTAATGGAGGATACCAAGGCATTTAATATACTGTTCTTTCCCTAAAATATTCATAACCAGAATTTTTGCCTGTCACCTTTTCTCTACAATGACAACTTCGCTGAAGAATTAGTTCAAATGTGTTTCTTTGTTTCCTCATATACTTTCATATATGTACCAAAGTTCCATCTACACCATATCCTTGGTGTACAATGACTGGAGCATCCACAGTTCTATGAGCTCAAACACCTAGGGTTTCAGACCAAGGGCAATTTCAACTTAGGTAACCAAAAGCTTCCAAGAAACCCTGAAGAAATGTGTAGTCCTTTGCGTCCAAACATTCCTGACCTGTACAGACCCATGAGCAGCAATTAGATTTATTTTTCAGTGTTTTGAAACTAAGGAGAGTAAGTAATTCTGGATGGCCTGGTGTGTTAGTCTGTTTTTGTAATACTATAAAGGAATACCTGAGACTGGATTATTTATAAAGAAAGGAGATTTAAGTGACTCACAGTTCTGCTGGCTTCACAGGAAGCATGGCACTGGCATCTGCTCCTGGTGAGGGCCCCAGGAAGCTTACAATCATGATGGAAGGTGAAGGGGGAGCCAGGGCATCACACGGCAAGAGCAGAAGCAAGAGTGAGGGAGGGGGAAGGTGCTACCTACACTCTTTTAAACAACCAGATCAGTCTCATGAACTAACAGCAAGAATTCACTCATCACCAAGAGGATGGTGTTAAGCCACTCATGAGGGATCTGCCCCCACGATCCAATGCCTCCCAGCAGGCCTCACCTCCAGTACTGGAGGTCACATTTCAACATGAGATTTGGAGGGCACAAATATCCAAACTGTATCACCTGGTTTTCTTAAAGCAATCTATTTGAACTTGTCAATTCAAAGCCAAAGACATAGTTTATTATTACCATCAGAGTCACTCAATCTTGAAGATGATAGGGCTGAGAGGACCAGAGCTGAGTCCATTTTCCTTCCTTTAGTCATCACTGCACTGAAATTAGTTCAGATTAAAAAGAGTGAGTTCTTTGCTTTAAAATTTCAAATGACAGAGGCTCTCATGGAAATGCCTTCAGGAGTTTCAAAGCCTCCATCATTAGGTGCAGCCATCCAAGGCAAATATTTGATACTTCGTGAAGAGAAGCGATAAGAAGATATGTGTGTCCTACAGGATACATTCCATAATGGATGATAATGTTTTAAATATATATATATACAAATAAAAACCGAGATTCTAATTTTTTCAGGTGTTTCATTAGTAAATATAAACATTTCTTCCATCTCTTGAACTGTAGGAAATACAAATTTCCTTTTCAAAGACTCTGTTTTGCATTTCTCAACATTAGAGAGGCAATATTTTAAAAGGTAACTAGTGATAAAACTCTCTAGAAGAGATGGCTAGGACCTAGAAGGACATTTTGATCCATAAGCCAGCAACACTGAAACCAGGACTTTCAACCCACATGCAGCTCTTTAGGTACCACATGCAGATTTGATGGGCTCTCTGGTTACAGAAACCTGGCCAAGTTCGCAGAACTCTGACAGCTCCGTGCCTCCCACTCCAGCTGAAACACTTGTGGGAAAACTGAGCAAATGGATCTGCCTCGCAGGATCAGAAGAAGTAGGCACCAGCAATTCCATGGCTCTTCTCTTCCTTGTAGTTTTATTTTTCTTGTTATGAAATAAAGCAAAGTAATACAAAATTTATAAAGTACAAAGCAAATTTTAAAAAGTAATGAATGCTCTAAAAGAGAAGTCACTTATAATTCCACTATCAAGTGTGAATCACTTTTATCTTTGCATATAAATCTTTTGCAAAAGTTAAAATAGCATGCTTATTTAGAAAACTCAACTATCACCCAGCGGCAACCATTGCTAATCTATTGGTGACCACTTGGTCATCTCTTTATTCATACCTACACACACAGGTATCTCTGTAATTTATGTAGGGGTCACTCTCTATATCATGCCTTGCATCTGGCTCTTTTATTCAGTTGAATTTCAGAGAGATCTTTCTATTATCAAGAAATATTAAAAAAAGTATTTTAATTGTTGCAGAGAATTTCTTTAAATGGACAGATAGATGTTCTAGAATGTACGCAGCTAATCCTTCATTTATGAGTATGTAGGTTGTTTCTAGGTTTCTCTTCTCTGAAATAATGCTTCAGTGAAGCTCCTTGTACATGCATTCTTGTGCTTAACCTAATAGCTCCTTGATATAAATTTCTAGAAGAGGAATTAGTGGTTCAATTTTGATAAGTATTTCAGGACTGCCAAAAGAAAGGTTGTGAGGACGTATGCTGTCACTAGCAATACAGGAAAAGATGGATTCTCCATACCTTTATCAGTATTACTAATATTTCTCTAATTTTCTAGGAGAAAAATGAAATATTAACCTCATTTGTTAGGTAAAGATGATGGGCCATTTTTACTGGTAATTTTTCATTAATAGTACAATCAAACATCTTTTCAGATATTCATTTACCATTTTATTTCTTTTGTGAACTGCTCATTTTTAAATTGTGATTTTCATCTTATTTAAAATTGCTTTGTAAAGGTTTACTTTATATTATAAATATACACTTCATGTCTGTCAGGTATTGCAAATATTTTCCCAATTTGTTATTTGTCTTTTGATTTATGATGTCCTTTTACTGTATACAAGTTTTTAAATTATGTATATATTTTAACACCTTCAAATAACACCTAGTACATAATTTCATATTTGGCTTTTGCATTTTTAATATTGTATTGCTTTTGTTTTTCCTTGTTATTCAGAGTTCTAAAAAATATTTTCATGAATATATAAAATATATTTTAGGAATGTACCATTATTTCCTCAACATTGGCTATATTGATATTTCTCAACACTAATAGTGCTGTATTGGAGGATAGTGAGGCGATGAAGAGAGAGAAAGATACAGAGGAAGAGAGAAGTAGCTGTAATTCAAAACTCTAGTAAGAAGAGAAAAAGCAAAGTGAAACTGTTTCCTTTATCACTATTGGGAAAGGGACAAAGAGTTAGCAAAGGCCTGATAGTGATATCTTGAAAAAAATGAAGAGAGGCATGTTAAGAAAAAGTAGCCCCTGGGGAAAATAAATAATTCTTTCTTCTGAGTGGCAGAGAACTATAGCACATTCAATTTGTGTGTTTTAGTAGACTTATAATTTTAATTAAGCCTCTGGGTTTTTTCTTTGTGCTTGTCCCTTTTGTTTTAATGGGACATGAGGTCTTTTCTTTTTTTCCTTATTTGTAGGGTCCCCAGTGACCTCTATTGCATTTTGTTACTCTTGGCAACAATAAAATGTATCTATTCTCTTTAGGCTTGTCTAATAAGTGGCATTATTGCATTATTCAAGCATTTAAATTTGATTGATGAGTTTATCCATAAGGTTGTTCACAAATCTGTTAAAGTCATTTATTTTTTATTCTGATATAATTGTGCATGCCATTATTAATGCTGCTTTCCAGAAGAGTAACCACATGTTGTAGGGCCTAATTTCAGGTTCAAAATGGAAAGTGGTGATCTTCTCAATGTGTGATTTATTGGAGGAAAATGGAGCTTGATGGGGACAATCTGGGAGTACATGGTTGGGAGGGAACCCCCAGATAGACTTCATGTTACTTTGCTGTTACTCAACAGTTTGCATTGTGGGACTTCCAGTGCCAGTCAGGGTGAAATATAGTTTCACATTTTACTACCACCTCTATTGTTTCTCTCTCTTTTCTCTTCTAAGACCAGGGAATAGAACATAAAGGTCGACAGCTTTATCCTAATCTGAATTGTTTTGAATACTGCACTTGTATTTTCATCCTTCATTGATTTTTAATGCAATGTGATGTATTATAGCCATATTCATTACGGTGTGCTGCACCAAAATTGTGCTTTTGGAAGTGTGGCTTTTAATAAAAGGAAACACTTGTGATTATTTGTGCCATATCAGCTGTGTCACAAGTCCTTAATATACGTAATTCAGTAGGGGTTCTTTTCCCAATTTCATAGCAATAAAGGTAGCACATTGGCTCCATTGCCTTACTTAGGTTTCAGAGTTGTTTGGAAACATTAAGGATTCTGATTTTAGTTTCCATGCCATTTCATTTACATCAGATGAGTGAGTCCATCCCAAAAAATGAGTTGGGTACGTATTTGGACAGCTACAATAAGTGAGAAGGGTGCCTTATTTTGCAAATGGGCATGTCTACTCCTGCCTAGCCTCATCATCTGTCACCTTTGCTCTTTAGAATGTGGCTTCTTGCCACCCTCACCCTACTATCCCCACCCCTCTGCCTGAAGCTGATTAATCACTTCCAAGGCTGTTTAGGTTCTGTTCCACACCTACACTGCAAAGTTAAAGTGTCTGTCTCCCTTATGTGCACTTTAAGGACAAGATCCGGGCCTGTCATCTGCATTTCCTCCAGGGCTTGCTGCTTACCATAGAGTCCAGCACAAGGTAACATTTAATGGATTCAATTAAGTGAGCCCAATGTCACCATCTTAGCATATTGAGCCATTAATACATGGAATTGATTGTTAAAATACGGAGGCCAGCTTCCTTCAAGCCTTACTTTCTTTCAAAAATATTTGTTGAATACTTGCTGTTTTGGCACAGAGAACATAGTGGTGAGATGATAGAAATAATCCCTGGCTTCAGTGAGTTACAATCTCATGAAATAATTCATTAGTCTTGTTTCTCCAATTCACATCCTTTCAAGTTTCAGGTTGGGAAAACAAATCAAATCTCCCCTCATATTAAAAAAAAGTAAACTAAAATACTGCCTCTAGATGTCCAGGTGCAGGGACTCACACCTCTGGTCCCAGCATTTTGAGAGGCCGAGGCAGGAGGATGGCTTGAGCCTAGAAGTTGGAGACCAACCTGGCCGAGACCGTGAGACCTGTTACTATAAAACATTAAAAAATAGAAGGGCATTGTGTTGCATGCCCGTAGTCCCATCTACTTGGGAGGCTGAGACAGGAGGATTCCTTGAACTGAGGAGTTTGAGGCTGCAGTGAGCTATGATCATGCCTCTGCACTGCAGCCTGGGCAATAAAGTGAGACCCCATCTCTAAGAAGAAGAAAAAAACTGCATCTGGAGCTTTGCTACTTGGATCATAGTGTAGCAGAGATGCATGGTATAGAGCTATCCTGTGCATTACGATAGCTGCTAGCCACATGTGGCTGTTAACACTGCAGTGTGCTAGGTCTGAATTGAGAGGTGCTGTCACTGTAAAATACATAACAGGTCTTGAAGATTTATATATTAAAACCTGTTCATCATCTCAATAATTTTTAGATTGATTATATGTAGAAATAATATTTTTGTAGTTTGAATTTAATAAGATATTATTAAAACTGGGGCCAGGAGTAGGGGCTCATGCCTGTAATCCCAGCCCTTTGGGAGGTCAAGGTGGAAGAATCACTTGAACCCAGGAGTTCAAGATCAGCCTAGGCAACATAATGATACCTCATCTCTACAAAAAAATAAAAATTGAAAAATTAATTACACTTGGTTGTTTTCATATTTTTGTGGGATTACAAGATAAAATTTGAAAAATAGATGTAGCTTGTGTTTGTGGCTTGCATTATTTTGCTATTTGAAAGTCCAAGTATAGAGTGAGGCACAGCATAGACTGGAGGCACATTGCTTCACTTCAAATCCTGATCCTTCCCCCTACTCGTTTTGTGGTCTTTGGCAATTTACTAAATCTGTCTTTCATTCTTTGTCTTATCATCTTGTAAAATCAAGATAGTGATAGTACCTAACTCAAAATATTGTTATGAGGATAGTTTATATGTCTAAATCATTTAGAACAGTATCTGGCATAGAGTGCATACTCTTCAAATGTTTGTTGAATAAGTAAATAAACCCACTGGTCATGTGCACCTTCACTCAGTAGGTAGAATTATCAAAGAAGTAATGCAGTTTTTAAGTAGCAGTTTCGTGAATAACCTGTATTTTTCTAGGAGCAATAGTAGCAATTGTAGACTGACATGGTGAACATTTTTGATGGTTTATTAGTTTAATTTCCTTCTCCTCACTTTCTTCCTCTCTCCAGAACAGGTGGAAGGAAAGGAGCAAAACTCAAATATATTAATTTCATTACTCTCTAGTAGGCTTTTTGGGAGAATGATTCTGAAATGGATGGCAAGTCAGGAATTTTTTTCTTCGCATTATGGCAGTTTCCTGTTACTTTATGTAGGTACCTTGAAATAAATCTAACATATGAAAACTCAAGCTTCTATGTTACAGAGTGGATTCTTTGGATCCATTGAAGAGCATTGTCAGCAGCCATCCAGACACCTCCATGTATTCATGTATTCATTAACTAGAGAAGAGACACTTTGAAGTCAATCAAAATTTAAAATATTTATGAAGCCTATATATAAAGGGAAGATATATTGGTTGTGGCAGAGACACTCTTAAAGTGGCCTCCAATTCTTGTCTCCTGGTGTTCACACCCTTGCGTGGGACATTCCTCTTGCAAGTAGGCAGGACCTGTAACTTGCATAACCAGTACAATATGGCAAAGGGGATGGAATATTCATGATGACACATATGCAGTAACATGAAAATAAGATGTCAGCACCCATCCTTCTGGAGTTTCTCCTTTGCTTGATGGCTTTCAGAAAGTATGCAGCCCTGTTGGGGGACCTGCATAGCAAGAGACTTCTGGCAGCTTCTAGTGACTGAATGTGGCCTCTGCCAACAGCCAACAAAACACTGCCAAGAATTAAGTTCTCCCAACAACTGGATTAAGCTTATAAGTGAATCCTTCCCCAGTCAAACCTCTGATGAGACCACACCCTGCCAACACCTTCATTTCAGCCTTGTAAGACCCTATCAGAGGACTAGGTATAGTAGTGCCAAACTCCTGGCCCACAATACATATGTGTTCTTTTAAGCTGCTAGTTTGTGGTATTATTGTTATTCATCAATAAATAACTAATACACTGGCATTTTTACTTTCCCAAATTTAACCTCCAAGCATATTTTATGGCAAAAGCAAGACATATGCATTGAAATTATTGGGTGATTTTTCCTTTTCTTCTTTTTACTAGCATCAGAGGGATTTAAGTATATGATACTTAGCAGTAGAATCAGTCACTATATTTATAATATTTCACAGCATTTAAAACAGTATATACACCAAAGACTTTAGGTTGGCAGACAATGATTCAGTTATTCATATGTTGATCTGATATAACTATGTTGTTAGGAATGTATGAGACACATATATTTGGGTTTCTGAAGACAGATATGAACTGAAGACAATTTTTTCAAGTTATTAGCATCTTCCAGGTGGTAGTTGGAATACTGAAATGGATTAAATCACCTGATCATCTGTAGACATTAAAGAAGGCTAAGGACAGAGTCCCTGAAGTAACAACATTTAAGGATCATGCAGAAAAAGAATCAGCAAAAGAAAAAACAAACCAGGAAGGTAAGGAAGATTTAGGAGAGTGATGTCAGAGATGGAAAGAGTTTCAAGATGAAGAGAATACGAAAAAGGAGAAGCAAAAATGAGACCTGAGTTAATTGGATTTAGGAATTAGGAAGTGACTATTGACTTCAGCAAGGTGGAGTGGAAGTTGGATTTCAGTGAATCACTAAGTTAGGAATAAAGAAGTAGCGGTGAAATATTCACTTAGGTAATAACTAAAGGGAGACATTGAACTAAGGAAAGAGTTTTCCTTAAATGATGCAAGAGATGTTTATGTCTGTTGGCCTTGACAAGTTACCAGAAGAGGTTATCATATGGGAAAGGAAAAGAGTAATTGTTAAAGTGAGGTCCGGGGGTTGAGAGGGAATATGCCGAGTGGCATCACAAAGAATTAGCTTGAGATGGAATAGAATACATCTTTCTCTGACTAGAGGGGAGGAAACTAGCCTACATGAGGAAGTAGATGCGTCACAGGTGTGGGGGATAAGTCAGAGAATGCACATGTCTTCAATTTTCCCATTTGCTGAGAGTAACTAGGGTAGGGTTGAGTAGGGCTTTAGGTAAGTATGTAAGTAGGTAAAACTGCTGATGGTAATTAGAGGGAAAGCTCACTAAACACAAATGAGAGTCTTGCTGAGTAGAAATGAACTTCTAAGGGGCATTGAGAATTTCACCAAATCTGAAAGTAATATCATTATGAAATCTCCCTTGGAATTAAAGGTGAAGAGATTTCGGTTTGTGTCCAGCAAAGTGAGAAACCTGAACTGGGGAAATACCCTGCAGCCCCACTTCCAAGCTGTTGCCAAGGCCATCCCTCTTGCACACATGCAGACTTTGCTCATGCCTCTTGGCTGACAAACTAGGCTTGTGTTGTATTTTACCTTAGTATAGTTAGAGGAAGAAAAAATTAGGATTAGTTCTTCAGATTGGAAATAAGGAATTCCATATGTAGGAGATACTCTTTGCAATGGGGTGTGGCATGCCCACTTTCTTCACTAGACAGTGTATTGCAGCTTTGCTTTCTTCTTCCTGTTGGAAATATATTTTCAGTCACCATCCCTGTTTTCCCCCAATTTAAGCGAAACAGGCAAGAGCCATCCCTCATCGTTCTCTGAGATTGCTTCTTTTGGAAACTGCACACATTATATTTCTTAGAGGTAGCTTTTTTAAAAAAGAAGAATCTAAGACCATGAAACTGGAATTTTTGTCCATTTAATTTCTTAAATGGAATCCTGAAATTTTGTGTCTAGGGAAATGGTCTATAAAAAAGGCATCTTCTATATCTAGATGATCTGTGTATGGGTGGAGCTCTGGCAATAGTTACTACAAAGGTCGACATTCAGATCTTCTGAAATTATTACAGCAGTTTATTCTTTCATTTAGTATAGTGATCAAATACCTGCTATCTGCCTGGTGCTATTCTAGGCTCCAGATAAGGACCCCTGCTTCAGGGAGCTAACATTGTTGTATGCATGCAGAGGGGAAAAGGAAAGGGAGTGAACCTGAAAATAAACAAATATAATATGTTTTAAAAAAAGATACATTGAATCATGTTTAAGTATGAACAAATTAAAATGAAGAGAGGTGATGGACAAAGGCTAGGAAAAAGAGGCTGGCTTTAGACACCTAAAATCTACAGATTTCAGAAGATTTTTGGGTTGTGACCAGACAGCTAAACAGTCTGTGAGTACTTTGGCAAGAACATAAATGGCGTAAGAACTGCTGTGTCCATATTTTTGAAAGCTGACTCTAAGTCAGGAGAAATAACTATCTTCTGTGAACCCGGGAGAAGAGACGTATCCTTGACATTAGCTGAGGTCAGTATGGCCAGTCAATTCTTTTCTCTGCCAAAAAAAAAAAAAAAAAAAAAAGCCCAGAAAGTAAGGAAAACAAGAGGGCAGGAGCCTCATAGATGAGGAAAATCATATCTTTAAAACACAGTTTCTTGTTGATAAATAATCCTCTTACTGCACTGGCAACAGGACTCTCTCCTGCCACTCCCCCTTTGTCTTACATTCTTAATCAGTTGATTACATACCACTAAAAATACACATAATGCCACTTCCTCCTTTCCTGATCACAGCCACAAACCTCCATTTTCCTTTTTTGTTGTTGTTTGGGCTTTTGGTTCTGAACTTTGTGTTTTTAACTACATTTAGAGTCTGGGAAATGGAGGTTTCTGAGGTTACCTTTGAAACATCTTTGAGTGACAGGCTCCCTTTGGCCACACAGAATATCAAGAGTGGAATAAAAAGTGTGGATTCAGTTCAAACTCCGGTAGCTTTTTTCAACTCAGAAATGGAATCTGGCTTTGACTAGCCCCAGGGAATGTAAACAGAACCTTACCTGTAATTAACCTAGGGCTTCTCTTGTTCTCAATGCAAATGGAGTTACAATTGTATTTCTCTTAGTAGAATAGAAAGGCTGTGTTTCAGAGGGGAGCTGGCAGTTGAATAGAGGACAAGTTATCTGTCTAACTGTGACAGCTCTCTCCTATCTCCTTCTAGAAAAGCTGAATGATGATAAAACTGTAGTTGCATTTGATGTAAGACATATGGTAATTACTATAATAATATTATCACCCGGGTTCTGCAGTGGCTTTGTCAGTGAGGTGCAATTTCACATATTGTCTGCGATAAAATCCCCGTTTTTGGTTATTGATAGCAATGCCTTTCTCAAATGCTATAGGTATTTTGTGACAGC
Organism: Homo sapiens; assembly: GCF_000001405.40. Taxonomy (NCBI): domain Eukaryota; kingdom Metazoa; phylum Chordata; class Mammalia; order Primates; family Hominidae; genus Homo; species Homo sapiens. Next base: position 76,934,618 of record NC_000001.11, read on the forward strand.
TGCGAAGTTCCTGCTTCATATCCAGGTAATTGGGTTGAGAATAAGGCCTGCATGCTAAAACCTGCCGATGTGAGAAGTAGTGAAAGCCCAGGGAGTACTGTGAATATTTTGGTAGTTATTAACTGACTAAATGGGAAGCCTTTGCTAGTCAGTGCTTCTGAAGCAATCCTAGAGAAAAAGAAAGAAAAGAAAAGAAATAAAGGCAATCTCCTTTAGAAAGCCTCTGTTGGGTCTTCAATGACGATGTGCAAATTTTGAGCTAATCAATTATATTATGAATCTATAGATAATATTTAAAAGCTATATACAGATTCACAAATTAATTGCTTTCATGTCATTCTGCTATTGATTGTTTCATAAGTCAAATTTTACTTGGCTTAATTACTGGTTTAATAGAAGTTATTTCAGCATAATAAGTATGTGACCATGTAATAAACATTTTTATTTATTTGTCACAGAAGGAATTGGTTCTATAGTATATTAGCCTGAGCTTAGCTGTATATATTTAATTTCATGGCTGTTTCCAGGGAACTGAATTTTGAAGACACTAACAGCATGTTAAAATGGACTACTATAAATCCTTTTTTGGAAATACGTGGGAAATAAATAATAAATAACGACAGTGTGTCAAAGTGATTTTATTGCTTAGATTAATAAAAGGAAAGTAATACAATGTCTGGATAGGGGAAAAAATCAGATTATGGGGTTTTTTCCTTGTTAATGTTATCCCTTGTGCAGAATTCATTTTTTAAAAATCCCACCAAAGACCCATAAAACAGTGAGCTCTATTCTGGAGTTATTATTTAGGCACCGATAATCAGTAGTGGCAACATTCAGTGAGTACGTCAGAGCATACTCTTGTTGAATCAAATAAATATGTATATGTAAAGGTGCAGATTACAAGTTAATTCTACTATGAAGTGCTAAATAACTAGAAATAATGTGATTAATTTGGGGATAAAATTGGTGTTGTATTGGTTGGTTGTTATGATTTAAATTCCTTGGTTAATTCCTTTTTTTCCTCATAAAGGGGAAATTGCCCAGTTTTTGAATAATTGAACTGCAAAGTTAGCACAAAAACTGAAGACCTTTGGCCCTAGCATTTATAGAAAAACACTTGGGATTTCTATAAAAAACCTATAGCAATGTGGTAATTTAAATCATTTTGATGCAATTCAATTCAAGGGTTGCAATTATTAAATGCCTGCAAAGTCCAGACACTTTCTAGCCCTTGGGATACAGCGATGAACAAAATTAAGTTCTACTTCCATGAGCTTACACTGATTAGGCATGGCTTCTGTGCCAGATTATGGGTATAATATAACATCTCAGGAATACTTGCTAATGACACACCAGATGAAGCTGAGATTCTGAGTGGCCATTTGTTACTAAGAGAAAGAACCAAGAATTAGCTCCTGTTTGACTCCCCAAGCACTCTGAACCCTAGTGTAGTGGAAAGATTATCTTCTGCAGAAGTAAAAATATTCTGGATTTCCCAAAAGAAGTTTGCTAACATAACAGGCAATAGATACCTCTAGTTGGGTGGCATATTTTGCACACGTTTGTTAACTCACCGTATTATTTCCTTCTTCAAATTGTTCTTTGACTATTTTCCAAGGGTCTTAGCATTTTTACATTCATTTGAAGCTCATTATACAATTAAGGTATTATGCCTTTTTCATGTGTACTATAACTAGTGTTCCCACCTATGATTTTCTTTATTTTGTTGGTATATACCTTTTTAAAGCAAATGTCTGATTCATTGTCTTTAATTTGGAGCAACAGACTTATCTTCAGATGGAAGTAAAAACTCAACTTGTAGCTTATTTTGTTGTTCATAGTCTAAAATGTAGTAAGAAAAAGGTGCACCCCAAGAATAATGGCCAGTGTGAATGAGCCCTTCTTCTTGGAGAAAAGATCATGGGCCAGTTTCACAGAAGGACATTCTTTCTTTGAGATTTTATACACATGTGCTATTGAAATTTGAAGGAGAAGAAATATTTTCTATGGCGTAGTTCCCTTTGTAGGGTCAACCCTTAATTTACAGAACATTATTATAAGATAATACGATAGTGTTTGTGAGGTTGTCCAAAGGGAATAAATTTTATAATCACTTATCTTTTGAAATTGCATTAATTGTTGAACTACTGATAATGAAATTTTGATACTAAAGATTTTTTCTAAGGCAGAGGTTATGTGGTCATGTGGTGGAAGGAGCATTGGACTTTGGACTTTGTACCAGAGGATGTGGGTTTTCACTTAAAAATGAGGATATGAACCTGATGATACTAAGACTGAAAAGACAATTCAAGTCAGGAGACTGGAAGAGAAGCAGGGTGTGTGTGTGTGTGTGTGTGTGTGTGTGTGTGTGTATGTGTTAGAAAGGGGAGCTATAAGAGACATATTTTGGATACATTCCTCAGAGATGCCGTGTTGAGATGTTTTGTAGATAACTGAATATCATCTACCTCTCAAGAGAGTGGTATGGGTGATAGAATATAGGTCTGTTAACAACATAGCAGCACTAATAGAAGCCAAAGAGAAAAACAAATGACTTGGGGAGAAGGTGTGAAATGCAAGCCCTAAACTGACCCTGCAAGTGGTTTTTATTATTTTCCTTGTTTCTTTTGGTTTTTGATGTTTGAACATACATCTTTTCTCAAAGATAAAAGTTTTGCAAAATCACACAGTAAAAATAATAGGACTTATGGGGAAAATTGGGATGTGACAGATCACTCAAAACTCATAGATGTGTAAGCATAACACTAACAAAAATAACAATAACCTTATTAAATTATCAGCACCCTTAAAAAGCATGTTAACTTCATGATGAAGTTTTTAGAAGGAAAATATTTGATAGCTTACTGGAAGATGGTGTAAGGAAGGGTTGAGGCGTCTGAGTTATAGAGGAAAGAGCAGAAGCAAACACTCAAGGCACTTCCAAGTCAGAATACATGCACACATAAAGGAAGGATGGAAAATGGATGCAGTCAGCTGGCTAGTGCACTGTGTGCTCAGCTGCTGTTACTTGTTGGAGCAAGATGTTAGGACCGTGAGAAAAACCACTGTGAACCTGTACCTCACACTGATGTTAGCCCCATTGTTACCAGAGGAGCACATGAAAGAAACACTTTTCTTTTCCTCTGACCTGCCTGGCCAAATAATATTTATAATTCATTACTTTCAGTAAGGACAAGAGAACAGAACTCTCTGTATTCCAATTTGAACGCCTTATGACTAGGGTATCAATATCTATTTGCCACAAGCTCCACCACACTCTATTGTCTTACATCCCCTCATCTCCTATCCATTTCACACACGTATGTTTCCTGTCGGATTTAGTTTGCAGGCCCTTGTGTAGGGAAGAAAAGAACTTAGAGGAAAAGGTTACATTTAAGGGTAGGCTCTAAGAACTGATCATTAGAAAGGTAGAAAGAGCATCGAGAAGAAAATGTTAGATTGGAAACAAAAGGAGGAGATAATTTCAGAGTAGAGTTGTGAGTATAAGATCCTGCAGAGAGGTCCATTGAGATTATGGCATCTCTCCAGTAAGACAGCACTAGTACCTTTGGTAAGAAAAGTTTTTGCATGGTGTGGTGAAGGCAGAGCCAGGCTGCCATGCCAGGGAAAGGGAGCAGCAAAGGGTGAAGAAAGGAATATGCTCCACTCTTTCAAGAAGTTTGATGTGGAAAGAAAAGAGAAAGGAGGACTGGCTGCTTTTATAGGGAGACATGCTGAAAGAGTTTTCTTTGTATGGCAAGGAACACTTAAACGTATCATTTGTAGATGGAAGAGAAGTAGCTACTGGGGAGGAAAAGGGAAATGATTGAAGATGAGAGAGCAAGAGTAAGAGAAGAGACTAAATAGAACAACTCTCCAGAGAGCTTATTTCCATTACATAATTCACTCCACAAATGTGGGCTCATCTTTGTTGCATTTCTAGCTCCTTCTGACTGGAAGTGTGATTTCTAGCAATATATTTATAGAATCTCCTCTGCCCCCCTTCAAACACTTTTCAATAAATGCTCCGTGTGGTTCATTTGTAAAGCTATCTCTACTGTAGTAGTTTCTACCAGAAGACATCTACAGATAATGCAATTCACCAAGTCAGCATGAAGGGTTGAATCCCTGGAACAACTAGGAATTTTTGCAGGCTATTTCTGCTGTGACACAGCCCTGAAGTGGCTAGCAGATATTCAGCCTGAGTGGACCCCCTTTATTACTGATCTATTGCCTGCCTAATTGTGCATAACATTCCAAATATTATTAATTTTTAATTATTTACGTTTAATTATCTGCATTACTTAAGCATTCGAATTCCACAGCTAATGTTCTCAATGAAATATTTACTAAACAGTCAAACCTCTTGGATTCCACAGAATTAAATGTTTTCAATTTGCAGCAAACCTTTCCTCCAGGAGGCATTCTTTGCACTCTAGTGTTCTGGAGGTGGCTGCAGTCTGGGTGGTTATGGCTTCAGCCTTACCATCCTTTTCATCTCAGGGACACTGTCAACTCTAATGGGATGGATTGCTCTGCTTGGCATTAGCATTAGGAGGTTGAGTGCCGTTGGGACACTCGTGCCATCTCTCTTCCCACTTCTCTTCTGTTAGGGCCAGAAAATGCATTAACAAGGAGCCAGTTCTGGCGATAGGAAAGCGAAACAACATTATTGTGGTCAAAAGGCAGATGTGGTCAAAAGGTCAAGAGGCATGATGAAAACTAATAATAGCTCTGACAAGAGAAGATTACTCACAGCTGATCAGCCAGAAAGCTTTTCCAGAGCAAAATCAGGACCCACTGTCGATGGAAATGCTGTTTCCAGAACAGAGGCCAAGGAAACAGGATTATCCACCCCAGCATTCCTGACATAAATATTCTCACCTCTATTATCCTTTGTACAGAAGGAGGGGGCCCATGGTCCACAAAATGTGAATTGGTTTCAGTTCATTTTCTAGGAGTGGAAATGGACAGAATTGTGCTAATGTACCTATGCTCACTAACGGTGTCTCCCTTCTCACCAACTACAAATCACTGAGAGGGTTGATGATGTGATCTGTACGCATAGTGGTTAAGACTGAGGGATATACATTAGACCTTCATTCATTCCACAACTATTTACTGATCACCTGCCGTGTGCCAGGCACTGTGCTAGGCACTTGAGAGACAGAATACAGCAAGACAAACATAGTTGCTTCCTTTATGGAACTTATAGTCCAGCAAATATGAGACTCCCTGGATTTGAGTCACAATGGCTGCCTCCTAGCTGAATGACTTTGGGGAACTTACTTAACCTCTTCAGACCTCAATTTCCTTATCTTTAAAACCGGAATAATCATAGTACTTTCCTCATAGGGCAGTATGACTATTGAATTGTTGATATGTGAATGCATGTGAAACTCATAAATCATAAGATTGGCACTTACAGCTTGTTTCACTGGGTTGTAGATTAGGTGTGCATGTATGGTTTCACTAAAAGCTTGTACTTGAGGCCTAACAAAATTAGCAATTTAATTATGAGTGTTTAATAAACGCTATAATTACTGGACACGACTCTAAGTAGCAGAAGATATGGCCGGGGCGAGCAGATAGATGTTAGAGAGTACAACTTTCTGAGTTTGGGTAACAAGAAGACACATTAGTCTTATACCTGGCATGAAATAAGTGTTCAATAAATGTTTATTGTTGTTACAGTTGTGATTATCATTATTAGGCCCTGAGGGCTTCATATTAAGCTGAAATTCATGTGAGTTTGTGCCTAGTAAGTAAAACTGACATACTGGAGCACTGGCGTGGTACTTGTACATGTCAAATAGTAACTGTTAGCTGATGCACACATGCAGACCCACACAAGCACATACATGTTAGTGTGCATTTTTATTGCAGGCTATTAAAAGCATTTGTTAACTAGAAGGGACCTTAGAAATGATATAGTATGGCTCCCTCAGGATGATGAAACTCGAGACCTGGAGAAAGGGAAGCAACTTGCCAGGCCACACAGTGAGTGGTAAACCAGGGACCAAAATCTGGTTCTTTGCCCCAGCTAGAGAAAGTCTGCTGGACCCCACCCTGCCTCTCTTCTAACTACTTTACATCATGTGCAATAACAATGACAGTAAGTAATATCCACACCCCGCTGACAGTCTGCAAACGCCTTTCTCTTTCATGGCAAGCTGAATTAGAAGCTTTGGAGTGTACTGATTTTGCCTTCTCTGTCTCACCACCTTCCTGCCACCTGTCTTTTTGCATTCCTGATGAAAATAAAACCCAAATGCATAAATCATATGACTGATAGTCATAACTGGTTTCTTTAGATTGCTGTAGCTAAGTTATGCATGTATAGATTCACTGAAAACTTTTTTTGACACCTCATAAAATTAGTATGTAAATTGGGGGTAAAATTGAATACCCCCAATTTAAATTGCTGGGCACAGCTCTAGTTAGATAATATTTGGAGACAAGGCTTGGAGACAAGATGTAGCCAGGGTGACCAGATGTCAGGATTGAGAACTCTGTGAGCTTAGGCAATGGGTTCAATGTTTTGAAATTCCTTGTTCCCACAAGCCTCATAAATACTACCTTTGTGCCTTCTTAAATACACAGTGTTTTGCTTAGCTGTTTGCATCAGGCATGTAACAGGCGGCAATATTTAGAAAGTTAGAGGGCAGCACCTTCCAAAATGGACCTGGATTTACCTTTTTATCATGTTTTTCTCCTGCTGAGGAGTTCACATTATCACTTCATCATTGATTGTTTTTGTGTGAGGTAATCCATAGAGTTTTGCTTGAACCCCACAAATTGAATTAAGAGAACTAGCTGCTGTTCTCCCTTGCTACAGTGGGTGGCTCCCCCAAAAATATCCCACCTCCTAATCACTAGAACCTATAAATGTAGCCTTTTTCAGAAAAAGGGTCATTGCAGCTATAATAAATTTAAGGCTCTTCAAATGAGATTATCCTGGATTACCCAAGTAGACCTGAAATCCAATGACAAGTGTCCTTACAAGAGACAGAAGAAGACATGGATACAGAGAAGAGGAGAAGGCCATGGGAAGACGGAGGCAGAGACTGGAGTGAGGCAATCACAAGCCAGTTATGCCTGGGTCACCTGAAGCTGGAAGAGGAGCCTTCGGAAGGAGCCTTTGGATGGAGCAAGGCCTGGCCAACAACTTGATTTCTGATTTCTGGCCTCCAGAACTGTGAGAGAATAGATTTCCCTCGTCTTAAGCCACCAGGTATGTGGCAATTTGTTACGACTGCCTCAGAAAACTAATACACCTGCCAGCTGCAAGGTGGCCCTCCTCTGAATGCGAGGTGTTAGAAGGGACAGTGTCTCTCAGAGTCAATTCTGAAAAACACTAGTTGTGTGGGTGAAGAGATAGGCGGGCCTTAAATGGCAGAAGGAGTGAGTGAGATGAAAGTATGGAGAGGCCAGACATGAAATCACTAGGCGGATTATTTATGTATTTTTCTGTACGGGTGCATCACTTCTAAAAGTATTGTTTGTTTGCTTGTTTTCACACACTTGCTTCCATTTATTCCCTCTTCTCATGTACATGGTGGAAGAACACTCATAATTGGCCTTTTGTCTTCTAACCTGTAACATAAGAACAACTTGAACTTCAGAACCAGCCATTTTGGCATGCAGTATTCCTGAAATTGGTTTTAGTTATTTCAATTAGGTATTTAAATTAGCATTTGTTTCTCTTTTACCATTCATTCTCACACATTGGTCACATGAAGTGTTGATGTTCTTTTAGGTTTGGGAAGTTCACTTGCAGTAGATAAATCAGTCACCTAAAATGTTACTGTCCAAAATCATTGGAGCAGTTGATACCGCCAGTATCCATGACTGACTGCGTTCCTTCATTTGGTCTATGGAGATACTTATCAAGCCCTGTATGTGCCAGACACTGTGTCTGGAATGAAGTGAACAGTGGGGCACAGAACAGATATGGTTTGGCCCTTCTGGAGCTCTAAGCACAGCAGCACATCTTCTAGATCTTGGCTGACTCTGGAGTTGGTGTTGCCCAAGATCTCTTCAGGATCTAACTGAGTTGGTTTTGTCTTAGACTCTTCTCTCTCCCAGGCTGAATTAGATAAACCAGACTCCAAAAGGCAGCTGGATGAGGTCATCTATGGGTTTCTGGGGATGACGTGTTTGGCAGAAGTCCCCTCTCCTGTCATTCTCCACCTCCACAGACATTTAGAACAGCTCTATCCAGCTGCATATCTAGACAGAACTTGACTCGACATCCACAGTATCTGATTTATACTGAATTTGCCACAGATACATAGAATCTGAAGTTTCCCTTCTAAAGGGGTATTTTGAGCCATAACAAATTCCATGAAAAACAACTCTATGTCCTCCCTAAGTGATAACAATATTAAGAGTGGAAATTGTCACTCACAAAGAGCTTGACTAACAAATTCCCATTCTTTCTTACAGGCAACTTTTGTCTCCTCTCCTTCCTCTAGCCACAGTTAATGTTTGCTGAGATGTAAATTCACCCTCCACTGCTCTAAATATATTAGAGGTATCAATTCATTTGTTCTTCATACAACCAGAGATAGGTGCTATTATTCCCATTTTACAAGTGAAGAAACTGAGGTAAAGTTACTTGCCCAACTTTCAAGGACATTATGTATGAGTTGGGACTCAAATTCAGATAGTTTGGCTCTAGGGTCCACAGTCTTTACCATTATGCTAGACTGCCATCACAGAATCAGATCAACATGCATTGTTAATCTATCTGTGACTGATGATTGTTTAGCCAATCAGTAACCAAACTGCAAAGAACCAGAGTTCTTCGACTACAGGTACTAATCTCTCTACTCTGAGCCATGTAAAAAAATAATTGTAGAAGAGAGGGAAATTAAAAATTAAAGTGTGGGGGTATTGCATTGAAGCTGCACATTTACGTGAGTTAAGAGTCCCTGATCACAGAGCACCCTCTCCAAACAAGCCTCCCATCTCCTGAAGGATGAGACCCCACTGACTGACTTCGACCACAGAACATGCAACCTTTGAAACATTTCCAGAAACAATACAGTCCTTCATAACAGTGTAGGAATGAAGCTATCTAATTCCCTGTATCAGCCATCAGAGGTACAAGTGACATGAAAGTTTAACTGGAATCTTTTTTTTTCCTTATGTCTCAATGCATACTTTGCACTTTTAATTCAGTATTGTGTCAAGTTCATACATCTAATTCATGGAAACTACTTATAAAATATGAAGACACATTAGCAACTAAGATTTGGTTAATACACATTTCAAATGTTGTTGGATTTCTTTGGAGTACAACAATACCTAAATGTTGCATTATTTAACCAATGTTGGGGTGTGGGTTTGTGCACATAGGGTTCCCAGCAGGTAATTTATCTAGTGATCATGTCCTGATGAACACAAGGGCCCTATTGCAGGCAAATCAAAAGAGGTAGGACTATGTCCCAAGTGTTGCTTCTCTTACCCCAAGGTTGCCCAATGCAATAGTTTTCATTCTGGTACATGCAAACATGTTTCCTCTAAGGTGCAATGCCAGAAACCTAGAGGAAAATGTGTCTTGGTTTTATCTGAGAAAACTGGCAACAATTCCTTTGGAATTGATTCCTTTTCTTTTTATTATTTTAAAGAGAGAATAGATGGTTATTATACCACTTACGCAGCTAACAGTTTGTAGGTCAAGATGACCTAGAGCCAAGAATGTGATATTCATTATGATACAGCATGAAAAAGAGAAAGTTCTGTTTGTAAAGGATTTTTTTATGAAGTCACAGGCCCAAGGGAGATGAGTACAGAAAGCTATTTAGGGTACCAAGAATAAATTGGATGGCCCCCTCTCTATTCCCTTTTTTAATCCCCCTAATTATTTATTCTGCAACTTCTCCCCCAACAAGTATGTAAGCCACATTAGGGCCGGGATTTTTGTTTAATGTGGCATCCCCAGTGCTGGTATGTACTCTGTATTAAAAATATATTAATGAATGAGTGAATGAATGAATGAATTTCATCTGAAGAATGAGCCTTCCAGACGAATTCCTTGTTAAAATAAGCCAGCACATTGTCTATAAAGCAGCTTCCTTGATTAAGGGGCAAGGTCTCAGGTTAACGTGAGATAAGAGTTTCTGATTTCAGCATCCAGCCAAATGATACTGTTCTTTGGAACGCACTCTCTTCTTCCCTCCACTAGTTTTTCTTCCCTAGCATTTGTTTTGGATCTGTAGTTACAGCATTTTCTGCTCAGAATTCAACTGAGGGAAAAAAAAATGTGTTTTGAGTAATACTCACTAAGGTGAAAATCTGACCATATTTTGAGAAATAAGGGGTTTGGAGGCTCAGGACAGACCATCCCACTGCTGTCTTAGGGACATTGGGCTGCTGGAGCCTGGCCCAAAGAAGGTCTTCTGGGAAATCAGGACTGAGTCTGGGCAATGCTAGAGTCAGTGGGTAAAATGGCTTTGGAGTGTGGCACACATAGTAACGCTCTGTGGAACCCTCCATATTGACCTGAGCCTGGCCTGATCTATGAGTCATCTAAACCTAACAAAAGGCATCTAGAGGACTTGGGGTTAAGGCCGAGTTATTCTTCAAGTACACAATTATGGTTGCCAGTAAAATGAATTTCATGCTTGAGGTGATATTTGTGGGAGAAAAAAAAAAGGAAGATTAAAAAGGCTGTGTCAAAATAGTGTTTTGATTAGACCAGAAGCATCATTCTAGAAAATGCAAAATAGTAGGAACGCAATAAAACAAACAAACAGACAAAACCCAAACAAACAAAAAATGCTTTGGGCATGCCTTTCAGGAATGAACGATGAACCAAAGTCATAAATCATCCCCCTCTATTCCCTATTTTTCAGGTGTTATGTTTCTCTATTTTGTAGACTTTCATGTTCTACATTGTGAAAAAATAACTAATGCACAATCCCATATATTTAAGCTTGTATGATTACTAATATTTGTCATCTTTTTAATTTGTAGAGGATATTTAATTTACTCTTTTCTGGAATATATGATAATCCTGTGCTTTACTTTCTCATGAAGGAGAGAGAGTAAAACAATAAGCACCTTGGTTTAAAAAGAACTAATTAGCAAGTTTCCCTCCGGTTCTCCAGGCTTATGGCAAATAACTTTCTTCCTGACAACTGAATGTTACATCCCAACCTCCATTAGTCTTAATAGAAGTCATGCATTCTCTCCCACTTGCTGTGATATAAGAATAATTTTTCTTCTGAGTAGAATAATGGTTGTGAAGTCATTTAGGTAGTCACAGAAAAAAATAGCCTTTTATTGTTGTTGTTGGGTTTTCTTTGATTCCGGGAATGAGGCTAAGAGAAACCTTGTTCCATTTTACCGTAAATACTATTAATCCAGAGATGAGTCCTTAGCATACAGAAATGATTGATTTGCATTTAAATGAGTGAATATTCAGAGTTTCTAGACTCAGATAAAACATCAAAATTATCCAGTGACCTTGGCTAAATTTTAGAGTTAACTACTTAGGTGGCCTAAACAAAAGCTTGTATTTTCAGCACACCTACCATATGAAAAAAAAGACTAAAAGCTACCTTCCACCATCCTGATGTAAATTAGACACCGAAAGTATACACTTTACCTCCACTATTATTGATTTATTCATTTCTGACCTCGTTCCCAAGACAGCTCACTCATTTCCTCCACCAGGTCCAGGACCAATATCTTACTTTAAGTAAAAAGTTTTCACTCAGAAAAGTCTGGTTGACTATTGTATTTGACAAAGTAGAAAATAGAGTTATGGTGCTGTTTTAAAAGAACTGGGGAGGTCTGATTCCCAATCTGCATAATAAGGCTGTCTTTAGCACTGTGCATTAGCAGCAAGTAATTACCTCCAACTAGAATGAAATGAGGGTCAAGAATGGTTCCAAGTAATCCAGTGGAAGTGTTACTTGCTTTATTGAACATGCTAATACAAAGCTGTATTTGGAAGAGTCAAAGAAGAAAAAATGCCCCAAACCCAAATTGCCTTATGAGCTTTTTCACAAGAGCAGTCCAGAGTGGTCTGTACATGATAAATTTAAGAGTTGCGGTTGTTTAGTTTTACCACTTTAAATTAATTCACCTAAGAATTTAAATGATTTTGGGCTTCTGCTTTTGTGTCTAAATTTAATGATGCATTCTGTGAATATAAGGATAAACACACACAGATTTTTATACATGTAACTGACCTATTTTCAAATAGGTGTGCCTATTCCTGAATAAATAGATTGATGTCCTACCAGATTACAAATTAAGTAGATACGATTTATATGGTTTTAGTATGTGAAAGTATTAGCTGATTCTAATTTCTTCTTGTGAAATACTAAGCGAATGAAACATACTTATTAAAACTCAAACTGTTATTGACTTATAGTCATCCATAGTTCTAATCTGGGTGGGTGACAATTCAAAGTCATAACAATAATTTTTTTATTAGCAGCAAATTAGCTTTGAGAACAAAAATGCAATCAGCTCCAGAATTCATACATTTTTTTCTTTCATTAGACATTAACCAACCAAAGTTTAGGGTGAATATGTTTTATACATCTAGGTCAATGATAATACAAAGAATGCTAGCCTAATAGCAATATCTTGAGCTTTTTACCCCACTAACATACAGCAGAAAGCACGTAGAAAATAAGCTCTTTCAACGAAATAAGTAATTAGAAATGACGGACTGTTCAGATTTAAATTTGATGATAATTATTTAAAAATGACAGAAGTATTGGAAGTTTATCATTCAAACCACCTTAAAAGTTTTTCCTAGTATACACTACAACAACAACAAAAGGAACATTACAAAAACTAAGACTTTGAGAGGCCAGACATGGTGGTTCACACCTGTAATCCCAGCACTTTGGGAGACTGAGCGGGGGAGGATTGCTTGAGCTCAGAAGTTTGAGACCAGCCTTGGCAACATAGAGAGACCCCATCTCTAATAAAAAATTTTACATTAGCTAGGTGTGGTGGCATGTGCCCATTGACCCAGCTACTCAGGATGCTGAGGACACTGAGTGGGGAGGATTGCTTGAGCCCAGGAGTTCAAGGCTGCAGTGAGCTATGATCACGCCGCTGTATTCTAGCCTCGGTGACAGAGCTTGACCTTGTCTCATAAAAGGAAAAATAATAATAAGACGTTGGGAAACTTTTAAAGCAGAAGAGAAAATGTGGGCATATGTATAACTTCCCCTCAAATACCTCTATCCTATGCTGACACACTCATATTCCTAAGAAAGATAGCCGGAGAGGATTGCCAGACAAATGCAAACTTTTTTTATCCTGCAGAAGTTTCCTGTCCTGCATTCTTGCCTTCTTATCATCCTCAGATGAGAGGAGCTTAATACATCAGAAAAGTCAGGATACAGTAGGCTATGTTTCAGTAACAAATAAACCCCAAAGAGCGAATTGTTTAACACACTAAGTTTATTCTACACTCAAAGTCCAAAATGAATCAGATGGCCCTCTTCCATCTTATAGCCTGCAAGGTTGCTGTGTCAAGAAAGAGAGAGCTAAAAGTTTCCATGAGGCGTGTCTATAAGGGCCAGGTTTAGAAGTGCCTTGTGAAACCCCCCACCTTTGCATGCATCAGGGCCTAGCCATGTGATCCCAACCTAAGGCAAGGGAGATTGGGGAGTGGGTGGCCCACAAGAGGATGTGAAGTGGATCTTACCACTGTCTCTGCTGCGGGAGACCTTCTAGCTCCCTTAAGCTCATCTGGCTTAACAGCCAGCTCTGTCTTCTCTCCTCAGGGCTGTGCTGTGGGCCCTCTGATTCTCTAGAACCAACATCCCTTCAGAGAAAGAGAACGTTCAGTGAAAGAGGAAGAGAGAGAGATGGAATGACAGCACTAGCTCTCATACAAAGTCCCAAAAGCATGGAATTCCAGAATGGAATTCATTCTGCACATCATTTTCTTCAAGTGGGGAGAGAGAGAGAGGTATGGGAGTGGGGACAGAGAGAGAGAGAGAGAGAGAGAGAGAGAGAGAGAGAGAACTACTGAAATAAGAATTTACCCTTATATTTGGAATAAGTAAGAATATAAATAAGAATATCCTTCTCACTCTACTTTCCTTCCTCCCACATAACTACTCCCACCATAGTGAATATGATAGAGTGTATATCTGATTTCTTTACTCCAAAAAGATATCAAGAACCTTAAGCTTTCTTTCTGAGCCACTCCTCACTAAGCTTATCCTCATTTCTTAAAGTATAACTATAGCTGGGCCATTTTACATTCTACTGAATATTCTGTGACACTGTGGTCATCAGCATGAATGACACTTTGGGGACTCATCTAACCAATATTTTGGATGTCTCCCAAGTGCCAAGTCTTGTACTAACTCCATCCTGAGGCTGTGCTTCTCTCAAAGAGCTTGTGGTCTAGCTGGTGTCATCCAAATACTGACAGATACATTACAGGAAACACAGCTACTGTTGCTTGTAACCCACACCCTGAGGTGTGCTGCCAGGTATGTGCTCAGCCACACATCACACACAAAAATGCCTTCTGAGGTACCAGTTGTGTACTGCTCTAGAGTAATCACATCCAAGATGGGATGGCACATACATTAAAGACCAAAGCTTTGCTCTTCTCATGAGTGTTAAGAACTGGGAATTCGTTTCTTCCCGAGGCCAATTCTCACAGTCTTGATCTGTCAGAACTTACTGGGGTTGAGGAGAAAGATGATGTTCTGAACATGGCCTGTTTGGGCCTGTTTGGGGCTCAGTTTTGCCATCAGAGATGTTCCTTGCTGGCAGTGGCACTGGCCCACAATGGATAGAGCTGGCGTGAGGAGTGGAAGCTGTAAACCAGGACACCAGAAGTTGCCCTTTTTAGACCCAGCTCTTCCACTAACTCACTCTGTGACCTTGGAGGTGTCCTTTTGGCCTCTCTGAGCTCCAGTTTTCCTCATGTGTAAAATCAAATGTTTGGACTAGACAAGGGCTCTTTCAGCTGTGACACCCTGTTATTCTGGGCATCTGTGTTCCTGCCTCTGTAATTGAGGTCATCAGTCCTATGTCATACTGGGTCTGCAGGGAGGATGAATTGGAGCAGAGTCACCAGGTTGATCAACTCGAGAGGCATCCCTCCCACAGTGACTCACCAGGAGAAAAACCATTAGACCCATCACCTCTGGGACTTGTTGACACTGATTTTCGTTTTTTTCTATAACTTCTAAATGCTCACAAACTGAAGAAGGCAATAACCCTTTTTTAGTCAGTGCAGCTACCAAAATGGAAAGAAAGTACCTTTGCACCTGTCGCTGAGCTAGCCTCTCCAAAATGTACTTAGCCCATTGCTGAGGAAGTCTGTGGGTTTAGAGAGAGGACTTTCTAGAAGACAGAGCCCTGCCTGTCACTGGAAGCCCAGCTTAGCATGAGGGGACTTGTCACACAGTACTGTGGAATTACACACCTTTAGAGCTGCCAATAAGTTCAGCCTTCTCCTCACCTTCACACAGATTTCTTCACACACATTTTGCACACAGGGAAGTGAAGCCCAGAGAGGTTGATTAAGCCAAGGTCATGCACGGTATGAAGGACTGAGATGAGAACTGGCATCTTCTGACTCCTGACTGTTAGGCCAGTGCTCTTGCACTCTACCGTGCTAAATAATTCATAGACACATGAATCTGGTATCAAGAACAGTGACATGATAATGGTACAGCCAATAATGGTAGTTACATATACCACATATTTATTTTACATGTATATAATATGTGTATTATATGTAATATATATTCTTTAGTCCCAACTTATAGGTAAGAAACTGAGACACGTAGAGATGAACTAATTTATTCATTTGGTGACATACAGCTCAGTTGTTCCATTGAAGCAATTTTTTAAGTGCTTGTCATGAGCAGGCATTAAACTAGTCACTATGATGGAATTTAGAGTTAAATTAGAGCTCTGCCCTCAAGGAGATGATAGTAATGTATAACCTAAGCCAAAGACATGGGTAACAGTTATATAAGGGAGAGATGGGACCGATGTCAGAAGACAGAGCTGGCTAGATTTGGGGAAACTCAAAGAAAGGGATGTATTTTTTTTTCCAGATTGAATGGGTTAGAGGAGGAAAGACAAGGGTAGAGGTAACTGAACTGAATCTCCAAAGAAGTGTAGGTTGTAGGGCATAGAATAGGGAATGAAAAGCCAGAATGGGCCAAAAATATCTGCATGAAGCCAAACAGCACATCAGTTGACAAGTTTGTTCTTTGACAAGTGCGCAGCCACAACCAAGGGATAGCAAGTGTAAAATGCTTAGTAGTAGGTGAAGACGAGGAATGTGACTAATCTCACGAACCACCTGTGATAAAGAAATCTTTGCTTTCTGATTTTGTTACACCAAAAAAAAAAATAGAAAAGCCATTAGAAAACTTGTAAACCTGGTATCTAAACTACAAGCAAATTGAAACTGACCCAGCTCACTGTTAAGAGTCTCTTTGTGAGGGAAACCAGAGCATTTTCCTGTAAAGTCAACAGGGTTTACAGTTGTAATAGGCCATTGATTCTGAATACACAAATCTGAACAAACCACGGATCAAATCAGTCTCCCTGAAAGATGGCAGCTTCAAAAGGTAAAAGCCAGATGCAACAGAGTTAACCTCCATCACCACTTTAAAGAGGAGCAGAGCTGTGATTGTCTCCACTGAAGAACAAAATGAAGATTGGGTTTAAGCCAGTGTTGTGCTGGTAAATATTTGAACACTGACTGTTTAAAAATGTGTGTGTGTCAAGGACAGAAAACCAAACACCGCACATTCTCACTCATAAGTGGGAGTTGAGCAATTAGAACACATGGACACAGGGAGGGAAACATCACACACTGGGGCCTGTTTTGGATCTGTAGTTATTGGGAGGGTCAGGGGAGGGATGGCATTAGGAGAAATACCTAATGTAGATGACAGGTTGTTGGGTGCAGCAAACCACCGTGGCACGTGTATACCTATGTAACAAACCTGCACATGTACCCCAGAACACAAAGTATAATAGATAATATTTTAATGAAATATTAAAATTAAACTGCCAAGAATGTATATTTAAAAAGGTGTGTGTTTAAGCTTATTATTAATTTTCCCAATAAAGAGCACATAATTTACAAATAACAATAAAATGTTCAGTATTCTTTGTTCTAAATTCCATGTACCCAATCGTTTCTTTAAGAATGTTTTTATTGATTTTTGCCAAATTATTGTATCTATAGCTAACCTATGGGTGCAACTGATGAATGAATATAGTCCCAAAATAATATGGTTAGTATTTTTGGTTACCTTAGTAGGTAAGAAGAAGGTGAAACCAAAAAGACCTGTGTTGGAACCTCATTTGCTCCTCCATAATATTAGTAACTTCCTTACTGAATCAAATAACAGTTTTCAAATAATAGACCACCACTATTTTTCCAGTTTTGTGCTGCTCATGATGTAATGTCTACAAACACAGCACACTTTGAAGTTTAATATGTAATATTTACATTTTCTCCATCCATTTCTAATAATCAACAGTATAGCAAATCAAGTCCTGATTGGTGGTGTTTGCTTATTTCTATGATATAATACTTCCTTACAGCTGGTTTCCAGCTCCCAATGAGATATCACTGAATGCAGAGCTGGAAAGAGAGGTACCGTAGCAGGCCTTATATAACATTTTCACTATTATGCACTGAATATGTGCGTGTATGTCCCCAAGTCTATATGTTGAAGCCCTGACCCCCAATGTGATGGTATTTGGAGAAGGCTCCTTTGGTAGGTAATTAGATTTATGTAATTAGGTTTAGATGAGGTCACAAGTGTGGGGTCCCCATGATGAGATTAGTGACCTTATAAAAAGAGACCGGAGTATCCTATAACACTGTAGTTAAATATGAACAGAATTAACAATAATACATAGATTTAAATAGCTAGAATGAAGATATTGAATGGTCTCAACCCAAAGAAATGATCAATGTTTGAGATGATGGGTATGCCAATTACCCTGATCTGATCACTGTCCATCATGTGTATTGCAACATCACTATGTACCCCATAAACATGTACAATTATTATGTGTCAATTTTTTAAAACTAAAAAGTTTAAAAAATTAAAAATAATTGTAGAAAATAAAAACACCATGGTCACAAAAAAATAAAAATTAAAAAAGAAACCAGAGTTTGCACTTGTGCACCCCCTCGCCTGCCCCATCACCATAAAGGAACACCCTCCCTGTGCTTCCTCTTTCTATTGTTACCACTTACTCCCCATCCTCTCACAACTACTAATCTGTTCTCCATCTCCATAGTTTTATTTCCAGAATGTTATAAATATAAAATTATACAGTACATTAACTTTTGAGATGACTTTTTTCACTAAGAATAATACCCTAGTTTCGTCTACATAGTTGCATGTATCATTTCTTTTATTTCTGAGTAGTATTCCATTGTGCAGATAAACCAGAATTTGTTTAACCATTCACCCATTGATAGACATGTGGGTTGTTTCCAGTTCTTTGCTGTTATGGATAGAGCTGCCATAGACATTTGTGTATTTTGTATATAGATTTTATGCGAATATAACTTTTCATTTTTCTGGGATAAGTGCCTAAAACTGATTGCTGGGACCTATGATTGGCGCAAGAAACTTCCAAACTATTTTCCAGAGTGCCTGTATTATTTTCCTTTCCCACCATCATGTATGAGAGATCAAGCTTCTCTGTATTCTCACCAGCATTTTGTGTTGTCACTGTTTTCCATTTTAGCAGTTCTAATTGCTATGTGCTGATATCTCATTGTGGTTTTAATTTGCATTCTCTAATGGATAACGACGTTGGACATCTTTTTATGTGTTTATTTGCCACCTGTATCACCTCTTTGGGGAAATGTTTCCTCATGTCTTTTACCCATTTTCTAATTGGAGTTTGTTTCTTTACTATACAGTTTTAAGAGTTCTTTATATATTCGAGATGTAAGAAATTTGTCAGATATATGGTTTGCAAGCTTTTTCTCCCAGTCTGTAACTTGTCTTTTCATTCTCTTAAAAGAGTCTTTTGCAGCATAAAAGTTTCAAATGTTGATAAATCATATATCAATTTTTGGTGTCATGTCTAAGAACTCTTTACTTAGATTTACATCCTGAATATTTTCACTTATTTTTAAATAAAAAGTTTTAGAATTTTATATTTTCATTTAAATCCATGATCCATTATGAATTAATTTTTCATGTGGTGTGAGGTTTTAAATCAAGGTTCATTTTTCTGCCCATTGGTGTCCAATTGTTCCCGTGTTGTTTGTTCAAAGTTATCCCTTCTCCAATGAAATTTTTGTTTTTAATATAATTCATTTCATTATAAGTTTTAAAAATAATGCTTGTGCGTAACAACTAGCTCACAAAAATTTAACAATCAGTTCTGGGAGCCAGCACAGGGTGGCTCCAGCACTTTATTGGTTTAAACTATATTGTATGTTATTGATTAGGAGGGAAAAAGTAGTCATATGGATGGTTAGAAATGATGAGTGTTTACCTAAATGCCCATCAGTGATAGACTGGACAAAAAAAATGTGGTACATATACACCATGGAATACTGTGCAGCCTTAAAAAGGAGCGAGATTATGTCCTTTGCAGGGACATGGATGGAGCTGGAAGCCATAATCCTTAGCAAACTAATGCAGGAACAGAAAACCAAACACTTCATGTCCTCACTTATAAGTGGGAGCTGAATTATAAGAACACATGGACACATGTGGGAGAACAACCCACACTGAGGCCTGTTGGAAAGTGGGAGGGGAGGGAGAGTATCAGGAAGAATAGCTAATTGATGCTGGACTTAATGCCAAGGTGCTGAAATGATCTTTGCAGCAAACCACCATGGCACACGTTTACCTGTGTAAAAAGCCTGCGCATCCTGCACATGTACCCCAAGCTTAAAATAGATGTTGAGAGGAAAAAAAGAAAGAGTGAGTGTTTGTAAATAAATACATATGTAAAACATTATAAGAACATAAGGGCCCAGAGGTAGCATTAGTATCATTTTGTAGAAAATTAAAACTCAGGTTTGAAACTCACATTTTACTAGCCTCAGAGGGAGGAAGCAGGAATGGGATGTAATTCATGCTATTACTTTGAAATTGCTTAATTAATAGATTATTTTCAAACTAATTGGGTGGCCAGGAAGCTTAGTAGAATAATCATGGCCTCTGTGGTCAAATGGAGCTGGGTCTGAACCTTGGCTCTGACATTTACCAGCTTTGAGGAAATGCCTTATTCACTATCAGTTTCCCTTAGTGTTAAAATGGAGAGAACTCCAAGAATCAAAAGCTATATTCATTAATTTAACAAATACTTGATGAGTTCTGGTCTATGGAGAAGGGATTGGGGATACAGCAATGAGCAAAACAGTCATGATTTTTGCCCTCAAAGAGTTTACAATCCAGTGAAGAGGTGGACAGTGAACAAATAAGCACATTAGTGAAATGGTATTACCATTGTGAAAAGCGGCATGAAGGAAAAAAAGCAGATGTAGTGGTTTAAACAGACAAACCCAAAACTTAGCACTTTTCCAAGCACACAGAGTTTGCTCAGTGGCAGCTATTCATATTACTGCAGATTAGGGTACGATTAGTGTGGTCCAGGCAGAGGTTTGGAGGCCTGTCTGGGGACCTGACCACTGTCATCTATGTTGCATACTGTAATGCTCATTTTGCACATCAATCTGAATTGGATGTGCTTCAAGGTCCTCCTCTTACTCTAAAAATCTGTGTTCCTTAGGTGTGTCAAACAGGGATTAGTTTAATTTCTTACAAAAGGTGAGGGTAAATTCAGCAATCAGTATGGTAGTAATTGACTCAGTTGCTATATGTGTTTACATTTTAATAATGTTTTTCTGTGATATTCCCCACTCATGCCTTTTTTAACATAGAGTAAATTATGAAAAAAGACTTAGGGAGCTAGAATCCTAGGACAATGAGATGACTCTGAAAGTGTTTACAAACTTTACTTCCAACTACTGGCACACATTGAGTTTTGTTTGGAAGTAGGTTATTATTAATCAATGTTTTTTTGTAATGAAGTCCATAAATCCACATTAAATACACATCCAGACTTCTTGAGGTCCTTTTGATTTTGCATATTTTCATCAGAATAATTCACTAAACTCAATCTGAGTCTTTTTCATTTTAAGTTTTTGCTGATTTTCTACTAAGTGTCCTCTGACTTATTGAGCAACCAGTGCAGCATTGGCTGCCTGGGCAGGGAAGGAAACAGCAGGGGTTATATAGGAATCTGAGTGATTCTGCTTCTTGGCTCTTGTTCTTATGGTTTAAAATAGAAGGAATAATCTTTTCACCACTGTCTCCACCACCTCCAGTTTTCAGTGGGAAGATGAGGAGTAAGAGGTACATGGTTAGTTATTTTCTGTTTCCCTTCTCTAATTTCTTTTATTATCAAATTGGTACTGCCTTATTGTAGGAAATTGGGAAAATAAAAACTAAAAAAGGGAAAATAAAACTTATCTGTAATGTTACTGTTAGGAGTCATCGTCTCCCATACTTTGAAACCGGATATGATAATTCCATAATTTCAGGGTTAGACTCTATTAAAGTCTCTACTTATGCCTCTACAGCACTTTAAGACCAATAGAGGAAGCCATATACCTAAGTGAGGCCCAAGATCCAGAAAAAAAAAAAGAAAAGAAAGCATAGGTAAGAGCCATATAATGCTGTGTTACAGGAACTATTCTAAATACATTGCAAATATGTTTCTTACAACCACACTCTATTATTACCCTCATTTTTCTATAGTCACAAAAGCAGTAAGAGGTAGAACCTGAATTCAGGCCCAGTAAGACTGGCTCCAGAGTCCACAGGCTAACAAACTTTGTAATACTACAGAAAGCTGAGTAACCATTTCCAACTTCCCTCCTCCCCTAGCTCATTCCCTCCTGTGGGAAGCCTACACTTTCATTGTTTCTTTGTCTCACTCATGGCCCAATATTTACTTTGTTCCTATTTTGACTTGTTGTGTGATGTCTGTCACTCCTGTCAGTGGAGGAACTGTTTTGTCCCATTATTCTCTTTCTAGAACTTTCCCTCCACTCACTTCTACTGAAGGCCAGCTGTATTTCCATGACCTGCCAATACAACTCACAACCATCTCCTCCAAAAATCTGGTAGTTTTACACAGTAACCAAAGTCACATACAATCTTTAGCATAGATTTGGGGAGGAGGGAGGGAAATGATTAAGTGCGGTGTTTAACATGGGGTTGGGGAGGTTTTGTGAGGTCACTGAGGGTCCGACGACTCCTTCAAACCATCAGGGAGATAACCTCTATTGATTGGTGTATTTTTCTTGAATTTTTTTCTATGCATACACTTTTCTAAAGTTTATTTTATTTATTTTTATTTTACCCAACTTGTAATTTTGAAATAACTCAAACCTGGAGAAAAATGGAAAGTATTTTAACTGAAGACTTTTTACCTTTACCTACTATATTAGTTTCCTGGGACTGCTATAACAAATTACCACAGACTGGGTAACTTAAAACAATATAAATGTATTGTCTCACAGTTCTGGAGGCCAGAAATCTTAAATGGAGGTATTGGCAGGGCCATGCTCCCTCTGAAGGCTCCAGGGAAGGATCCTTTCCTTTTCCTACCTTCTGGTGATTGCCGACAGTCCTTGGGTTCCTTGGCTTGTAGAGGCATTCCTCGAATCTTTGACATCACATGGCACTTGGCCTCCTTCCTCATGGGTCTCTCTGTCCCTCCTCTCTTCTTATAAGGAATGCAATTGTATTGGATTTAGGGCCCACCCTAATTCAGTATGACCTCATCATAATTTAATTACATCTGCAAAGGTCCTATTTCCAAATAATGTTACATTCTGCAGTTCTGAGAGGACATTAATTTTGGTGGATATTATTTAGCTCAGTACACCTGTAGTCACCAATTGTTAACATTTTGACACATTCGTTTTATTTTTAACTCCAACTGTCCACCCACCCACCCACCCATCCATCCTCACACACACAGATTTTGTTAATCCATTTGAAAGTACTAGACATGACACTACACCCCTAAATACTTCAGCTGCTGGTATCTATTAGGCAAAATAACATTTTCGCTACATAACCACAATACTACTATTATCTCATATTTAATATGAATCCCATAATATCCGATATAGAGATCATATTCATATTTCCCCATTTTTTCTAAAAACATTCTTTATAGCTGATGGATTTTTCCCCCACAAATCAAGATTGAATAAAGGATCAAACATTGCACTTATTTATTATGTTTCTTTAATCTCCTTTTAGCTAGAAGGATACCTCGCTTTTTTTAATTTTTCATGATACTCATATTTTTGAAGAGTCCAAGCCAGTTGACTTTGAGAATGTACCATATTCTGGGTTTGTCTGATCATTTCTTCATTATTAGATCAGATTAAGCATTTTTGAAAAGAGTTCCCCGCAGGAGACGCTGTCTACTCTGGTTGCCTGACATCCTGAGGCTCATGATGCCCGTTTGCTCTGCTGGTCATGATGCCACATGTGACAGCTTTGCTGGGGTGGCGGCAACCGCTTCTCTGCACAGTCATGCACATTGTTTCCCAGTCTTTTCAACTCTCGCTTCACATCGTCTTTTTATTTGTCCTTTTTTCTTCAGAGCTTTTGGATTTCTGATTAGAAGTGTTTAGAAAATATCTGTAAGTGCTTTTTTGTACACATTTAACTCAGTCCGGCAGTAGTGTTAGTTTTCTTCCGCTATGTAGTTGTTTGGAGGAAAAAATTTTCACCTGCTGAAATGTTTTGACTCTCATTTTCTAAAGTTTTATATTGACTTTGTGGGGATGTCATCACTGTTTCATGTTTTAATTATCTTGCGTTTTCCTGTACCAACAAAACCAGATGATTCTGTGTAGACAGCAATAAGGTTTTAGAGAGACTTAATTGATTTCTTGGATCAAGAACACTGTCTTCTGTTGACACAGTGAAGTTTTTTGTTGTTGTTTTTTTGTTTTTTAATAGTAGATGGCACATTTTGTGTGATGGGATGGGGGTGGTAGTGTGCTGTCTCTTCTTCCTGAACAACCCTTAATTTCATGATCATGGTATCTCCCCTGCCAGGTAAGTATGTCATATGGCCTCCTTCCTCATTGGTCTCTCTGTTTTGAATGCTTACTTTCTTCTGCTTCACCATCTAGGCTCCAAGGGCACCTCCTCTCCCAAAAAAGCCATGCCTGGACCTGCACTCTCAAGCCTCCTCCCTTTGTGCCCCAGTAGCTCTGATCCACCAGGTCATTGACCTTTCTCTCTTTATCCTCTCAGGTGTGACATTTTCTTACCGGGAATGATTTTATCTGTGCTCTTCCACTTGCTAGGCCTCACTGCCTCCTCCTCTGCCTCCTCCTCTTTGCCAAGCATTCACCGGCTGACTTTCGGCTCCAGCAAGGCCTTCAGCGCTGGCTCTGCAGGTGTCAGATTTTTATTTCCCCACCTCTGTGTAAATTCAGATTTGTAGCATTCTCAGTCTCTTACTTATGTTGTAGACAGGGGTTATGGGTGGTTTTATTTGCTATCCTTGTTCATCTCTGTAGGTTTCAGAGAACATGTGTGGAGAGATCCATATTTAATGTCTAGAAACTCCAAGCCTGCATATATTTATTCTTGCTGCTTTGATGTTTTGATGTAAATACAATTATATATTTCACATTTTAAAATTCTGACATGGTATAGTATAATTGTATCTATCTTTTTCTCTCTTTTTGTGGTTTGCTTTTTACATTTAACTCTTTCATTCTTCTGGAATTATTCTTTGCTTTGGCTTGTTTATCTAGACCTTCTGTTCTTGCCTATGGGCACAATAGAACATAAGGAAACATGGCCTAGTTTGCTTAGCAATGGACAGATGCTTAGAGAAATGAGGGGCAAGCTTTGGCCTTGTGCAAATGTGGTGGATGCTTGCTGAAGCGCAGAGTGGACAGGACCAGGGATGATCTGACTGTGAGTTTCTTAAGAAAGTTGAGTGTTGGTCTCTTGGCACTTGAGGCTCTCATTTCTGCAGAGTTTGTCAAGGACCAACGGCCCATCAAATCTGGCTGCTTGTCAGATGCTTCAGAACAGCTTTATGTCTTGTCACATTCTTAGTCACTGGCTTATGCCCCAAATTCTCCACTAACGTTTCAGCTTCTCATGAGCAGTGACTACTTCCTTGTCTCAGAGGACATCTAGCTGGAGCCTTGCCCAAAGTGGGTTCTCAGAGACAATTCAGTCACCTTTGAAAGCTTCTATCCTGAGATCACAAAAGGGGTTACAACAAAAGCAGTGTATTTTCCTTTGGAGACGGATAAGAAAAGAAAGACACCTGAGCGGGAGTGGGTAGAAGAAGTATTATGCAGCCTCTATGAGGCCTGACCCTTTGACAGCCTCAGGTCCTCTTCATTTTCTTCAATACCCCACTTTTAAATATACACTATGTTGGTATATTCACCAGTAGCTATCAGGGAAAATTCAGCCAGATATCGGGTGAAATTCACCCCCGATATTTCACGTAGTTTCTTTTCTATTTTCCCTAAGTGTCAGTCGGTCTGAGAAATAAAGGGACAGAGTACAAAAGAGAGAAATTTTAAAGCTGGGTATCCGGGGGAGACATCACATGTCAGCAGGTTCCGTGATGCCCCCCGAGCCATAAAACCAGCAAGTTTTTATTAGTGATTTTCAAAAGGGGAGGGAGTGTATGAATAGGGTGTGGGTTACAGAGATCACATGCTTCACAAGGTAATAGAATATCACAAGGCAAATGGAGGCAGGGCGAGATCACAGGACCACAGGACGGGGCGAAATTAAAATTGCTAATGAAGTTTTGGGCACGCATTGTCATTGATAACATCTTATCAGGAGCCAGGGTTTGAGAGCAGACAACTGGTCTGACCAAAATTTATTAGGCAGGAATTTCCTCGTCCTAATAAGCCTGGGAGCGATATGGGAGACTGGGGCTTATTTCATCCCTACAGCTTCGACCATAAAAGATGGCCAACCCCCGAAGCGGCCATTTCAGAGGCCTACCCTCAGGGATGCATTCTCTTTCTCAGGGATGTTCCTTGCTGAGAAAAAGAATTCAACGATATTTCTCCCATTTGCTTTTGAAAGAAGAGAAATATGGCTCTGTTCCGCCCGGCTCACCAGCGGTCAGAGTTTAAGGTTACCTCTCTTGTTTTCTGAACGTTGCTGTTATCCTGTTCTTTTTCAAGTTGCCCAGATTTCATATTGTTCAAACACGCATGCTCTACAAACAATTTGTGCAGTTAACACAATCATCACAGGGTCCTGAGGCGACATACATCCCCCTCATCTTACGAAGATGATGGGATTAAGAGATTGAAGTAAAGGCAGGCATAGGAAATCACAAGGGTATTGATTGGGGAAGTGATAAGTGTCCATGAAATCTTCACAATTTATGTTCAGAGATTGCAGTAGAGACAGGCATAAGAAATTATAAAAGTATTAATTTGGGGAACTAATAAATGTCCATGAAATCTTCACAATCCATGTTCTTCTGCCATGGCTTCAGCCGGTCCCTCCATTCGGGGTTCCTGACTTCCTGCAGAAAGCAGCCACCCAGATCCTGCCCGAAGTTGCCCATAAAGCACTTTTGGAGAGGCTAGATTATGGATCCAATTAAGAATCCCTGTACTGCAAATTCTAAAGTTCTGGCCTAGAGTCCTGTGAGCTATCCTGCTTACAATTGTTACTAGCAGCACACACATGTCTCTGGAATGCGAAGAAGAAAGAAAAAAAGACAAGGAACGTGAAAATTGGGTGATGTCAGCCTCCCTTGGATAAAGCCCATCAATGGTTTTCATTGTCTTGGGGTGAGGAACAAATCCTTGATAGAACTAATATGATCCTCCATGATCTGCCCATGCCGCCTTCTCCAGCATCATCTGCTACTCCAACTCCCTTGCTGCCTGTGCACCAGCCCCTGGCCTCATTTCAGTTTCTCAAACATTCTGAGCTTCTTTCCACCAGAGGGTGTTTGCATATGCCGTTCCCACTCCCTTGAATGCAGCTACTCCCTCTTTTTCCTTAGTTAATGCTTGGATATCTTTCAGATCTCAGGTCAAATTTCACTTCTTCAGAAAGTCTTCCTTGATTGCCCCTGTTAAACACACATTCTTGTAGCAACTGGTATTTCCAGGGTATTTCTTGCAGTTGTAATTTTACATCTTTTGCAGGGTCCTTTTACTAATAATGTTCTTCTCCCTACCCCACCAGGCTACAATTTCCATGAATGCAGAAAAAGAGTTTATTTTTGCCAACCATTGAAATCCATGTGCTTAAAATAAAGACTGGCCCACAGAAGATGCTGAATAAAATGTTTGTGGTATGCATGAATGAAGTGATTAATGTAAAGCAACTGGTGAGGGCTAAATGTCCAAAGTGAAACAAACACTGAACAATCATGTAGGCAGATAAACAGTTGGCTGATTTTTTTTAAGAAGTGATTCTTTGGTAATCTCTGACAAAGATGCTGATACAACTGAATATATACATAGCTGAGAGACAGATGGAATAACTAAGATGAAAGTTGAGGAAGAAGATTGAACAAAACATGATAAAAAATTCAGAGCTACTTGCTGGTTGTGTCTGAAAGTAGTGTTCATTTCTAGTCATATCGCTGCCATAAGGAGTTGAAAGACAGTGAGGAGAAAAGCCTAAGAAGGGCAGCATGGATGACCCCAGATTAAATGTCAAGCCACTCACAGAAAGTTTAGAGACTTACAGTGGAAAGTCAAAAGGACTTGAAGGAGATGTAATTACAGATTCAAAGCTCAATGACTGTATGTGATAATGTCACCTGCTTTCATTTTAACAGAGACCTATTTACACAATGCAGATCCTAAAGTGCAGATTTGGAAAATTCCAAGTAAATTTATGAAGGGTTTTTCAATAGCAACAAAAGAACCTAAAAGCATAGGGTAGTGGAAGGTATTAAAGTTGCTATGTGAGAAGAAACACTTGAATCTGTGAATGAATTCTCTTTCACCCTCACTCTCTGTCTCTGTCTAGTGCATGTGCACACACATTTATATTTTAAGAAAAGTATTTTTAGAAGGAATCTAACAAAGAGATGGTGTTAATTTGGATCTTTTAAACCAAAATACTACATATTCATTTTGCATTTTAATCAGATTTTTTCATAATCTGAAAGAAACAGATATATGGCTGCTGTTTTCCACTCATTAGTATATTCTATTGACTCCAAAACTAAAGGGAGATTTATAATTCTTTACTGTTTACCAAGAGCATTGAAGGAAAAAGCTGAACATTGACTTTTTTTATAGAGTTGTTATATTATACTTCATATTGGTATGGAGATGGAATTGGCTTCTCAAAGCATCATTCTTGAAATATATCTCTTCCTCCCTATAGAAAATTTGTGCATAGGATTACCAGGGACATTTGTGGAAGATCTGGTGAGAATAGAAAACCAGGGAGGTGGGATGACTAGGAACAGACTGAGCTAAGGCAGGGTTAAGTGAGACCCTGATAGTAAAGAGAGATTGCCTGTTAGCTAGAAGTTATTGAAATACTTATCACATTAAAGAATGTGGCTAAAGGCTCAAATAGCCATATTTTTTCCAGCTAGAAAATAAATCAAATTTAACATGACCAGCCCACGCTTTATTGATAATAGACTAAGATCACACAGCGAGTGCTCTGGCTAATAGGATTGCTGTGCAGTTACAACCATTGCTATTACAGCAGATACAGTTCTGCCTGCAAAGGCACCATGGAATTGTGCATGACCAAAGACTTGAGTTGTCCTGAATGTCTTTGACCTTGAAAAGAGGAGATAAATGGGACTGAGCAACATGGGGACTAAGGAAGACATTCAGGACAGACCTGAATTGAAGAATGGGGTGTCCAAATCACAAGCCTGGTCTGGTTTAGGTGACCATCATATACAGAATGGATTGGGAGTCTTAATTTAGTAGGCAGGTGGAGCTGCCAGAAGCACTCAGGCTGCTTCTCAAAAGCAGGTGAATACTTTATGTCCTCTTTTGTCCATTTCCACCTCTACATTTGTGGTAGACAGAACAAAGGTCCACAAAGATATCCATGTCCTAATCCCCAGAACCTTTAAATGTGTTACCTTACCTTACCAAATAATTTACCACGACTTACTAAAAGGGACTTTGCACATGTGATTAAGGTTAGGGGCCTTGAGATGGGGAGATAATCCTGTATTATTCCATTGTGAACCCAACCTAATCATATGAATCCATAAAAGGGGAGAACCTTTTCCCACTGAAGTTGAAATCAAAAAGAGATGTGCCCCCAGGAGAATGGTAAGAGAAATGCAATGTTTTTGAAGATAGAGGAGGGGGCCATGAGCCAAGGAATGTGTGTGGTCTCTAGAAACTAAATAAAGTGAGGAAATGGATTATTTTTTGGAGTCTTCAGAAAGGAACACAGCCCTGCCAACACTTTGATCTTAGCCCAGTGAGGCCTGCTTTGGACTTGTAACCTACAGAACTTTAAAATAGTAAGTTGTATTGTTTTAAGCCCCTGTATTTGTGGTAATTTGTAACAGCAGCTATAAAAAAAAATAAAGTCTCTTAATCCAAGTTGATAACGCCACTTGTCTGAAGTACTTACTGCAGTAATCTTACGGATTTCCCTGCTTCCAGTTCTGTCCTTCCACAACCCACAATTGTTCAGAGTTGTCCTCTTGAAAAATACCAGGTCAGTGATATTTCGTGGCTCAAAACTATCCAATGAATCCATGGCCCATAGCATGAAACCCAGAATTCTAAATGGCCCCTTTTCAACCTCTTATCACACTACTTTCTCTCTCATGGGCCCCGAAGTTCCCCCTCAGAGATAAAGTTTCTGATTTTTATAATTGCTTGCTTGATATTTTTTCATAACGTGACTGCCTAGGTATAATTTGATTTTGTCAGTTTCTTAAACATTATATAAGTAGGATAATACAGTAACTATTTTTTATAATTATTATACTTTAAGTTCTAGGGTACATGTGCACAATGTGCAGGTTTGTTACACAGGTATACATGTGCCATGTTGGTTTCCTGCACCCATTAACTCGTCATTTACATTAGGTATTTCTCCTAATGCTATCCCTCCCCCTGACCCCACCCCATGACAGGCCTCAGGGTGAGATGTTCCCCACCCTGTGTCTAAGTGTTCTCATTGTTCAATTCCTACCTATGAATGAGAACATGTGGTGTTTGGTTTTCTGTCCTTGGGATAGTTTGCTCAGAATGATGGTTTCCAGCTGCATCCATGTCCCTGCAAAGGACATGAACTCATCCTTTTTTATGGCTGCATAGTATTCCATGGTGTATATGTGCCACATTTTCTTAATCCAGTCTATCATTGATGGAAATTTGGGTTGGTTCCAAGTCTTTGCTATTGTGAATAGTGCCACAACAAACATACAAGTGCATGTGTCTTTATAGTAGCATGATTTATAATCCTTTGGGTATATACCCAGTAATAGGATGGCTGGGTCAAATGATAATTCTAGTTCTAGATCCTTGAGGAATTGCCACACTGTCTTCCGCAATGGTGGAATTAGTTTACCACCCCCCCCACCAACAGTGTAAAAGCATTCCTATTTCTCCACATCCTCTCCAGCATCTGTTGTTTCCTGACTTTTTGATTATCGCCATTCTAACTAGCGTGAGACAGTATCTCATTGTGGTTTTGATTTGCGTTTCTCTGATGACCAGTGATGATGAGCATTTTTTCATGTGTCTGCGGGTGCATAAATGTCTTCTTTTGAGAAGTGTCTGTTCATATCCTTTGCCCTCTTTTTGATGGGGTTGTTTTCTTCTTCTAAATTTGTTTAAGTTCTTTGTAGATTCTAGATATTAGCCCTTTATCAGATGGGTAGATTGCAAAAATTTTCTCCCATTCTCTATATTTCCCATTCACTCTGACAGTAGTTTCTTTTGCTGTGCAGAAGCTCTTTAGTTTAATTAGATCCCATTTATCCAGTTTGGCTTTTGTTGCCATTGCTTTTGATGTTTTAGTCATGAAGTCCTTGCCCATGCCTATGTCCTGAAAGGTATTGCCTAGGTTTTCTTCTAGGATTTTTATGGTTTTAGGTCTAACATTTAAGTCTTTAATCCATCTTGAATTAATTTTTGTATAAGGTGTAACGAAGGGATCCAATTTCAGCTTTCTACATATGGCTAGCTAGTTTTCCCAGCACCATTTATTAAATAGAGAATCCTTTCCCATTTCTTGCTTTTGTCAGGTTTGTCAAAGATCAGATGGTTGTAGATGTGTGGTGTTATTTCTGAGGCCTCTGTTCTGCTCCATTGGTCTATATATCTGTTTTGGTACCAGTGCCATGCTGTTTTGGTTACTGTAGCCTTGTAGTAGAGTTTGAAGTCAGGTAGCGTGATGCCTCCAGCTTTGTTCTTTTTGCTTAGGATTGTCTTGGCAATGTGGGCTCCTTTTTGGATCCATATGAACTTTAGTTGTTTCCAATTCTATGAAAAATGTCATTGGTAGCTTAATGGGGATGGCATTGAATCTATAAATTACCTTGGGCAATATGGCCATTTTCACCATATTGATTCTTCCTATTCATGAGCATGGAAGGTTCTTCCATTTGTTTGTGTCCTCTTTTATTTCGTTGGGAAGTGGTTTGTAGTTCTCCTTGAAGAGGTCCTTCACATCCCTTGTAAGTTGGATTTCTAAGTATTTTATTCTCTTTGTAGCAATTGTGAATGGGAGTTCACTGATGATTTGGCTCTCTGTCTGTTATTGGTATTTAGGAATGCTTGTGATTTTTGCACATTGATTTTGTATCTTGAGACTTTGCTGAAATTGCTTATCAGCTTAAGGAGATTTTGGGCTGAGACGATGGGGTTTTCTAAATATAAAATCATGTCATCTGCAAAAAGGGACAATTTGACTTCCTCTTTTCCTAATTGAATACCTTTATTTCTTTCTCTTGCCTGATTGCCCTGGCCAGAACTTCCAACACTATGTTGAATAGGAGTGGTGAGAGAGGGCATCCCTGTCTTGTGCCAGTTTTCAAAGGGAATGCTTCCAGTTTTTGCCCATTCAGTATGATGTTGGCTGTGGGTTTGTCATAAATAGCTCTTATTATTTTGAGATACGTTCCATCAATACCTAGTTTATTGAGAGCTTTTAGCATGAAGGCTGTTGAATTTTATCAAAGGCCTTTTCTGCATCTATTGAGACAATCATGTGGTTTCTGTCATTGGTTCTGTTTATGTGATGGATTATATTTATTGATTTGCATATGTTGAACCAGCCTTGCATCCCAGGGATGAAGCTGACTTGATCGTGGTGCATAAGCTTTTTGATGTGCTGCTGGATTCAGATTGCCAGTATTTTATTGAGGATTTTTGCATCAATGTTCATCAGCGATACTGGTCTAAAATTCTCTTTTTTTGTTGTGTCACTGCCAGCCTTTGGTATCAGGATGATGCTGGCCTCATAAAATGAGCTAGGGAGGATTCCCTCTTTTTCTATTGATCGGAATACTTTCAGAAGGAATGGTACCAGCTCCTCTTTGTATCTCTGGTACAATTCGGCTGTGAATCCGTGTGGTCCTGGACTTTTTTTGGTTGGAAGGCTGTTAATTATTGCCTCAATTTCAGAGCCTGTTATTGGTCTATTCAGAGATTCAACTTCTTCCTGGTTTAGTCTTGGGAGGGTGTATGTGTCCAGGAATTTATCCATTTCTTCTATATTTTCTAGTTTATTTGCATAGAGGTGTTCATAGTATTCTTTGTATTTCTGCGGGATCAGTGGTGACATCCCCTTTATCATTTTTATTGCATCTATTTGATTCTTCTCTCTTCTTCTTTAGCAGTCTTGCTAGCAGTCTATCAATTTTGTTAATCTTTTCAAAAAATCAGCTCCTGAATTCATTAATTTTTTGAAGGGTTTTTTGTGTCTCTATCTCTTTCAGTGCTGCTCTGATCTTAGTTATTTCCTGCATTCTGCTAGCTTTTGAATTTGTTTGCTCTTGCTTCACTGGTTCTTCTAATTTTGATGTTAGGGTGTCAATTTTAGATCTTTCCTGCTTTCTTGTGGGCAGTTAGTGCTATAAATTTCCCTCTACACACTGCTTTAAATGTGTCCCAGAGATTCTGGTACATTGTGTCTTTTTTCTCATTGGTTTGAAAGAACATCTTTATTTCTGCCTTCATTTCATTATTTACCCAGTAGTCATTCAGGAGCAGGTTGTTCAGTTTCCATGTAGTTGTGCGGTTTTGAGTGAATTTCTTAATCCTGAGTTCTAATTTGGTTGCAGTGTGGTCTGAGAGACAGTTTGTTGTGATTTCTGTTCTTTTACATTTGCTGAGGAGTGCTTTACTTCCAACTATGTGGTCAAGTTTGGAATAAGTGCGATGTGGTGCTGAGAAGAATGTATATTCTGTTGATTTGGGGTGGAGAGTTCTGTAGCTGTCTATTAGGTCTGCTTGGTGCAGAGCTGAGTTCAGGTCCTGGATATCCTTGTTAACCTTCTGTCTCGTTGATCTGTCTAATATTGATAGTGGGGTGTTAAAGTCTCCCATTATTATTCTGCGGGAGTCTAAGTCCCTTTGTAGGTCTCTAAGGACTTGCTTTATGAATCTGGGTGTTCCTGTATTGGGTGCATATATATTAAGGATAGTTAGCTCTTCTTGTTGAATTGATCCCTTTGCCATTATGTAATGGCCTTCTTTGTCTCTTTTGATCTTTGTTGGTTTAAAGTCTGTTTTATCAGAGACTAGGATTGCAACCCCTGCTTTTTTGCCTTCCATTTGCTTGGTAGATCTTCCTCCATCCCTTTATTTTGAGCCTATGTGTGTCTCTGCACATGAGATGGGTCTCCTGAATAGAGCACACTGATGGGTCTTGACTCCTTATCCAATTTTCCAGTCTGTGCCTTTTAATTGGGGCATTTAGCCCATTTACAGTTAAGGTTAGTATTGTTGTGTGTTAATGTGATCCAGTCATTATGATGTTAGCTGGTTATTTTGCCCATTAGTTGATGCAGTTTCTTCCTAGCATTGATGGCCTTTACAATTTGGCATGTTTTTGCAGTGTCTGGTACAGGTTGTTCCTTTCCATGTTTAGTGCTTCCTTCAGGAGATCTTGTAAGGCAGGCCTGGTGGTGACAAAATCTCTCAGAATTTGCTGTCTGTAAAGGATTTTATTTCTCCTTCACTTATGAAGCTTAGTTTGGCTGGATATGAAATTCTGGGTTGAAAATTCTTTTCTTTAAGAATGTTGAATATTGGCCCCCACTCTCTTCTGGCTTGTAGAGTTTCTGCCAAGAAATCCACTGTTACACTGATGGTCTTCCCTTTGTGCGTTACCCAACTTTTCTCTCTGGTTGCCCTTAACTTTTTTCCCTTCATTTCAACCTTGGAGAATCTGATTCCCT
This sequence comes from Homo sapiens, assembly GCF_000001405.40. Taxonomy (NCBI): domain Eukaryota; kingdom Metazoa; phylum Chordata; class Mammalia; order Primates; family Hominidae; genus Homo; species Homo sapiens. Next base: position 76,969,052 of record NC_000001.11, read on the forward strand.
TCCAAAATGGCCAAATAGGAACAGCTCCAGTCTGCAGCTCCCAGTGTGATCAACGCAGAACACGCATGATTACTGCATTTCCAACTGAGGTTCCTGGTTCATCACACTGGGACTGTTGGACAGGGGGTGTAGCCCATGGAGGGCAAGCCGAAGCAGGGTGGTGCATTGTCTGAACCAGGAAGTGCAAGGGTTCAGGGGATTTCCCTTTCCTAACCAAGGGAATCCGTACCTTCGCCAAAGACTGTACCTGGAAAAACAGGACACTCCTGCCCAAATACTGTGCTTTTCCAATGGTCTTAGCAAACGGCACACCAGGAGATTATATCCCATGCCGGGTTCAGCAAGTCCCACTCCCATGGAGCCTTGCTCACTGCTAGTGCAGCAGTCTGAGATCAACCTGCAAGGCAGTAGCCTGTCAGGGAGAGGGGCATCTGCCATTACTGAGCCTTCAGTAGGTAAACAAAGCAGCCTGGAAGCTCAAACTGGGCGGAGCCTACCACAGCTCAGCAAGGCTACTGCCTCTGTAGACTCCACCTATGGGGGCAGGGCATAGCTGAACAAAAGGCAGCAGAAACTTCTGCAGACTTAAACGTCCCTGTCTGACAGCCCTAAAGAGAGCAGTGGTTCTCCCAGCATGGTGTTTGAGCTCAGAGAACAGACAGACTGCCTCCTCAAGTGGGTCCCTGACCCCCGTGTAGCCTAACTGGGAGAGACCTCCCAGTAGTGGCCGACTGACACCTCATACAGGCAGGTGCCCCTCTGGGACGAAGCTTCCAGAGGAAGGATTGGGCAGCAATATTTGCTGTTCTGCAATATTTGCTGTTCTGCAGCCTCTGCTGGTAATACCTAGGCAAACAGGGTCTGGAGTGGACCACCAGCAAACTCCAACTGACCTGCGGATGACTGTTAGAAGGAAAATGAACAAGCAGAAAGGAATAGCATCAACATCAACAAAAAGGACAAAAAAGGACATCCACACCAAAACCCCATCTGTATGTCACCAACATCAAAGACCAAAGGTAGAGAAAACCAAAAAGATGAGGAGAAACCAGAGCAGAAAAGCTGAAAACTCTGAAAACCAGAGTGCTTCTTCCTCCTCCAAAGGATTGCAGCCCCTCGCCAGCAACAGAACAAAGCTGGATGGAGAATGACTTAGAAGAGCTGACAGAAATAGGCTTCAGAAGGTCGGTAATAACAAACTTCTCTGAGCTAAAGGAGGATGTTCGAATCCATCACAAGAAAGCTAAAAACCTTGGAAAAAGATTAGATGAATGGCTAACTCGAATAAACAGTGTAGAGAAGACCTTAAATGACCTGATGGAGCTGAAAACCATGGCACGAGAACTACATGACTCATGCACAAGCTTCAATAGCCGATCCAATCAAGCAGAAGAAAAGGTATCAGTGATTGAAGATCAATTTAATGAAATAAAGCGAGAAGAGAAGTTTAGAGAAAAAAAGAGTAAAAAGAAATGAACAAAGCCTCCAAGAAATATGGGACTATGTGAAAAGACCAAATCTATGTGTGATTGGTGTACCTGAAAGTGACGGGGAGAGGGGAACCAAGTTGGAAAACACTCTTCAGGATATTATCCAGGAGAACTTCCCCAACCTAGAAAGGCAGGCCAACATTCAAATTCAGGAAATACAGAGAACACCACAAAGATACTCCTCGAGAAGAGCAATCCCAAGACACATACAGTAACTATTTTTTTTAGTATGACTTTCACTCAACAGTATCATTAAGAATCATGTGTTGCATGTAGCTGGGGTCTGTTCATTTTCATTCTAATAACTCACCTTTGAATTCTTTTTGATGTGTTATGTAATTTGTAGCACTACATAATTTGTAGATGATGTGATTTACAGATAATTGCATCATATGTAAATAAGAAAATATTTTTTTTTCCAAAACCACTTTTATTTCTTGTTCTTTCTTGATTGCACTGTAAATGACCTCAATTATGATAGTGAATTGAAATGGTAACAGCCACTGTTTTTATCTCATTCTCAATTTCAGAAAGAAATGTTTCAGAAGGTCATTATTAGGGATGAGCTTTATTGAAAGTTACTTTTTGTTTTGTTTAGATTTGTAGATAGCATTCCTCAGAGTAAGGAATTTCTCTCCTGTTTGCTAAATATTTGCAAAATTAAAAAATTAAATGTTTGCTAAATAGGGTGATAGACCCGTGATGCGTCGTGATGTCTTATTTAAGGGGAATGCGTGGGCAATCTTAGTTTCATGGCCGTGAGGTAGGAACCAGATGCCGGATACAGTTCAGTATAGCTACCCCCAAGTGTTACGGGCCCAGAGCGAGGAGAGTAGCACACTTGCGTGGGATATTGATTTCACGGAGGATGGTGAGTGAGAAACCACTAAATATTTGCTAAATATTTTGGCATGGATGAATGTTGAAATTTATATAATGATTTTTCTATATTTATTAAGATGATTATATCACATGATTTTTCTCTTTTAATGCTATGATCTTACAAAATGGTTTCTGTTCTTTCCAATTCTATATTTTTCCCTGTTTTTTGCCTTTTGTTCAATTGATTGCATAGTTTTTATTATTCCATTTCGTCCCTCTATGAGTTTATAAATCATATACTCTTTCAGAATACTCACATTAGTGTACAGTTGGGCAAAATCATCCAACACAAAGCCTGTTTTGTATTGAATACCGTACTGAAAGTGAAAAAAAGGATAGTTCTATTGGTAATCAAAGTATAATTTCCACTGACTCAGTATCACTTTCACACCATCGTAAAGTCAAAAAATCTTAAGTTGGAGACTGTCTGTAGACACATTGTTCAATAAATATCAGAAAGTGTAAAACATCATACAATGAAAAGTCCTTTTCCTGCTTTAGACCTGCATTCATCCAGTTTCCATCCCTCTCAACATAATGTGTTACTTTTTAAAGTTTTCATACTGATCTTTCCCGAAATATTTCATGCATATGTAAGTCAATATAATCATTTTGTATTAGTCTGTTCTCACACTGCTAATAAATAAATACCCGAGACTGGGTAACTTATAAAGGAAAGAGGTTTAAGTGACTCACAGTTCCACATAGCTGGGGAGGCCTCACAATCATGGTGGAAGGCGAAGGAGGAGCAAAGTCACATCTTACATAGCAGCAGGCAAGAAGAGAGCGTGTGCAGGGGAACTCCCCTTTAAAACCATCAGCTCTTGTGAGACTTATTCACTATCATGAGAACAGCATGGGAAAGACCTCACCCTGTGATTCAATTGCCTCCCACCAGGACCCTCCCATGACACGTGGGAATGATGAGATCTACAATTCAAGTTGAGATTTGTGTGGGGACACAGCCAAACCATTTCAAATATGTTACTACTCTTCCATTTTTAAGTAAGTGATACATACTTTACACATGATTATGCATCTTCCTTTTTACCTTATATATTTAAAAGCATTTCATAGCTACACATAGAAAAATCTTTATTTTTTCAATAATGTATACGTTTGTCCCATATTATATATTATACTTAAATCAGTCCCTTACTTATAACATTTTGTGTTGTTTCTGATCCTGTGTTTTTATAAACCTACAAACATAATACAGATGTCATTTTGCACATGAGAGTTATTATCTGTAGAATAAATTTCTGGAAGTGGAGTGCTGAGTCTACAAGCAGGTGCATCTGTCATCTTGATAGATAATGTCACTTGCCCTCCATATGGGTTATACCATTTTGCACTCCCATCATCAATAATTGAGTCTGCTTATTTTTACCTATCCTCACCCACAGTGCCTAATACATTTAGATTTTTGTCACTTTGAAACTAAGAACAATAATTCTGTGTAACTTTTTTTTTGTAATTATGAGTGACAGTGATCATATTTTCATAAGTTTAAGAGAGATGTGAGATTGTTCATCTCTTTTGCCCATTTTTCCATTGGTCTGTTGGTCCTTATTGATCAAAAAATGATCATTCTCTAGCAAGGGTATTAGTCAATTGTCTGAACAAATGTTTTTCCTAGTTCATGAAATGTATTTGAATTTTTTGATGGGTAGGGTTTTTCTGCTTTGTGTTATTTGCTTGCTTCTGGTTTTGTTTGGTATATAGACAATTTTTCTTTGTATATGGTAGAATTTTTCATAATTCCTACAGTGTTTGTCAGTGTTCTTCAGACAAACAGAACCAATAAGATATATATAATTATATAAAGAAACTTATTTAAAAGGAATCAGCTCATACAATTAAGGAGTTTGGAAAGGCCAAAACCTGAAGGATGGCCTGGCAGGTGAGAGACCCATGGAAGAGTGGATGTTGTAGTTCCAGTATGAAGATTGTCTACTGGCAGAATTTCCTCTTACTCAGGAAGCAGTCAGGTTTATTATTATTATTATTATTATTATTATTATTCAGGCAAGTAATTGGCCCATCTACCTTATGAAGGTTAATCTGCTTTACTTGAAGTCCACTAACTTAAATGATAATCTCATCCAAAAACACCCTCATGGAAACATCAAGAATAATGTTTGACCAAATATCTGAGGACTGTGACCCAGTCAAATTGACACATAAAATTAACTATCACACACCCTTTATGGCTTCTGAATTTTTGTGTCATTTTTGGAAGATCCACCCCCACTCCAAAGTTATAAAAAAATCCCATTTTTATCTCTAGTGCATTATGATTTCATTTTTAATAGGTATATCTTAAATTCTCATGAAATGTTTCTTGTGTGTGTAACCAGACTCAATTGTCCAAATATTGTGGATTCAATATAATCATGATCATCTTCTTCTGATTTAAGATGCCAACCTTTTCCTAAAGTTTCATGTGCATTTAGATATCTTTCCAAGTTTTATGTTCTGTTTGGATTATTAGCCTTATTATGAAACAGAACCAGACTGCTTTAATTATTGAATATTTATAGAATATTTTAATTTCTGATAAAGTTAGTCTTTGCTCTCTTATTTGGTTTCTTTACTATTCTAGTATATAAGAATAAAAAAACAACTAATTTTATTACACTAAAATGCCATGTGCCATACTGGTGTTTCTATTAGATTCAAATTAAAATTACAAATTAGTGAAGATTGACATCTTTTTTAAATCTTCATTTCTAAAAATGTAGTATGTCTTTTCATTTGTTGAAGTATTCTTTTGCTTTTCACTTTTTTTTTTTTTTTTTTTTTTAGAAATAAGGCCTCGCTCTGTCTCCCAGGCTGGATTGCAATGGTGCAATCATAGCGCCTCAAACTCCTGGGCTCAAAGTGATCCTCCTACCTTTGCCTCCCAAGTAACTAGGATTATAGACATGCATCACCACACTCAGTTGATTTTTTAAATTTTTTTGTAGAGAAGAGGTTTCTCTTCCCAGGCAGGTCTCAAACACCTGGCCTCACGCAATTCTCCCACCTTGGTCTCCCAAAGTGTTGGGTTCCAGGCATGAGCTACTGTGCCAGGCTTCTTTTGTATTCTTTAGAGCTATTTCAGAAGCTTCTTTCTTCTTGATATAAGTCTGTAAATTTTCTTGGTACATTTTTGCATAGTTATTTTATTATTTTTGTTGCTGTCATAAGTGTGGGTCTGGTGTGAAGGTTATTGAATTCTGTATGTTAGTTTATAACCTGATACATTTCTGCATTTTCATACTGCTTGCAGTATGAAATATAAGATAACAGTCTTATAATTTCTTCTCTTTTCCAATTTTCATATCTGTAAGTTTTTTCTTTCTTTCTTTTTTTTTTTTTTTTTTTTTTTTTTGAGGCAGAGTTTTGCTCTTGTTGCCTAAGCTGGAGTGCAATAACGTGATCTCAGCTCACTGCAGCAACTTCCGCCTCCCGGGTTCAAGTTATTCTCCTGCCTTAGCCTCCTGAGTAGCTGGGATTACAGGCATGCACCACCATGCCCGGCTAATTTTTTGTATTTTTAGTAGAAACGGGGTTTCACCATGTTAGCCAGGCTGGTTTTGAACTGCTGACCTCAGGTGATCTGCCTGCCTCAGCCTCCCAAACTGCTGGGATTACAAGCGTGAGCCACCGTGCCCAGGCTTTCTCTTAAAATTTCATGAGATTCTAAGTCTAGTACGTTATTAAATAATAAAGTTAATACTTAATATCCTTTTCTTATGAGGATACTTCTAGTATTTCTCCATTAATTTTAACACTAGCTTTGGGATAGAAGTAGATACATTATCCCATAGTTAAGCTACTATTCATTGATGATTATTTTCTTGAGTGTTTATAAAGAATGGATTTGGATCATTCAAATGATTTTTTGTATCTATGGAGATTATTATATTACTTTCCCTTACTGAAATAAAAGTTATATCTATATATTTCTTGATATTGAACACCACCTTTCCATATCTGGAGTAAACTGCACTTGGTGAGAGTGATATTTTTAATTCAGCAGGGTGAGAATGTTTAGTGAAGCATTATACGTTCAAAAATTTGAAATAATCTACAGGTTCATTAACAGATAAATTGGAGTTACTTTAATAGGTGGATATATGTAAGTGGGATTAATATTGTATGTGAATGGAGATTAACAGATTATAAACATATGTAGCAAGGTAGATAAATCTTATAACTTTGCATCCTCTGACCCCTCCCAAAAGAAAAGCAGACACAAAAGAATATGTACTGTGTGATATGATTTGCATAAAGTTTAAACATGAGAAAATTTAAATGATAGTGTTTAGGAATGCGTATTTTAAGGAAATAATTATCATAAAAGTCAAAATATTAGTTACCTTTAAAAAACAGAGTGGGACTGGGCACGGTGGATGGCTCACGCCTATAATCCCAGCACTTTGGGAGGCTGAGATGGGCAGATTGCTTGAGCTCAGGAGTTCCAGACCAGCCTGGGCAACATGGTGAAACCCCATCTCTACTAAAAATACAAAACTTAGCCGGGCTTGGTGGCACATGTCTGTAATCCCAGCTACTTGGGAGGCTGAGGCACAAGAATAGCTTGAAACCCGGAGGTGGAGACTGCAGTGAGTTGAGATTGCACCACAGCATTCCAGCCTGGGCGACAAAGCGAGATCCATCTCAAAAAAATAAAAAATTAAAATAAAAAAATTAAAGAAGAAAGACAGAGACAGAGACAGAAAGTGATTGGGCAAATGAGGGACTTCCAGGGTGCTGATATGTTTAAATTCTTGACCTGGGTAGTATTTGCAAAAGTATGTGCTTTATAATAATTCATGGAGTTTTACATTTATATTTAATGTATTTTTCTCCATATGTGCATATTGCATTATGAAAAGAATTTAAAAATTATTTGCTTATAATTTATTTAAAATTTTCACATCACTATTCAGGAGTGAAGATGTCTATAGTTTTCTCCTGTTTTTATTCTTTTTTTGAGGTTTGATATGTTGATTATATAAAAAGAACTTGAAGATTTCCATTATTTGTCTTGGCTCAGAAAATGTTAAAAAATCACTGTATAATTACCCATTCTTTAAAGATTTAATAAAAGTTCCCTGTGCCTTCATCTGAGCTTGTTGTTTTTCTTGTTCATTGAAGAGATAGAGATTGTAAAATTTGGCCCATTTAGGTTTTTGCAATACTATGGGTCACATTTGATAAATTATGTTTTCTTAGAAAATTGTCTATTTTATCTAGGTTTTGTATATTTGCATCAAAATAAATAAAGTAATGCTGTACGATCTTTTAATTTCCTCTATTTTTATAGTCCCCCCTGAGCCCCCATATCATTTACTGGTTGTGAATTTGTACCTTCTCCTGTTCCTCCTTGATTAATGAAACTAACAGTTTTGGGATTTTTTTTTAAGAACCAACATTAGCCTTTCTTTATAAATTTATCTGATGATTCGTCTAATTCAATCCTTCTCAAACTTTGATCTCTATACAAATCACCTGGAGACCTTGTTAAAATACTGATTCTGATTTAGTAGGTCTGAGTTGGGGCCTGAGATTCTGCATTTGTAGCATGTTGCCAGTGATCCCAACATTGCTGGCCCCTACTTTGAGTAATAAGGTTCTAGCACATCTATTTATTCTTTTATATGTTTCTATCTATATTAATCTCTTTCTTCACTTATTTTTCTAATTTCCTGAAAGATATTTAATACATTTCTTTCCACTTTATTTTTCATTACTAATAAGTTTTTTATTTATAGTTGACATAATAATTGTATATATTTATAGAGTGCAGTGTTATGTTTTAATGATTGTATACCTTGTATAATGATCAAATCAGGTTAATTACCGTATTTGTTACTTTAAACATTTATCTCTCTTTGTGGAAATATCATACAAAATCTTCTCTTTTTGCTGTCTTGAAATGTACACAACATTGTTATTTATTACAGTTGCCTAGCTGTGTTATAGGACACCAGAACTATTCTTCTTGTCTAACTATAACTTTGTACCCACTGACCAACCTCTCCCCGTCGTGCTATCCCCTACACCTACCTTCCCCAGCCTCTGATAACCTCTACTCTCTATTTCTATGAGGTCAACTTTTTTAGAGTACACAAATGAGTGAGATCATGCAGTGTTTGTCCTTCTGTGCCTGGCTTACTTCACTTAACATAATGTCCTCTAGGTTTATGCTGCCACAAATGATAGAATTTCGTTCTGTTTTATGACTAAGTAGCATTCCATTGTAAACTATTCCATTCTATACACCACATTTTCTTTATCCATTCATCTATGGATAGGCATTTAGATTGATTCTATATCTTTGCTATTGTGAATAGCACTGCAATAAAAACAGGAGGGTAGCTATCTCTTTGACACAAATGATTTCATTTCCTTTGGATATATATAATAATGGCATTGCTGTATCATATGATAGTTCTATTTTTAATTGTTTGAGAAACTTCTGCATCCTTTTCCATAATGGCTATATTAATTTACATTATTACCAACAAGTCATAAGAGTTCTCCTTTCTCCACATTCTCTCCAGCATTTGTTATTTTTTATCTTTTTGATAACAGCCGTTCTGACTAGGGTGAGGTAATAGCTCATAGTAGTTTTGATTTGCATTTCCCTGATTATTAGTGATATTGACCATTTTTTGTCATATACCTGTTGACTATTTGTATGTATTCTTTTGAGAAACATCTCTTCAAGTCTGTTGCCCATTATTAATCACATTGTTTGTTATTTTGTTATTGCATTGAGTTCCTTACATATTCTGCATATTAACCCCTTGTTAGATGCATAGTTCACACATACTTTCTCCTATTCTGTAGGTTGTTTTTTCACTCTGATTTTTTTCCTGTGCTGTACAGAAGCTCTTTAGTTTGATGTAATCCCATTTGTCTATTTTTGCTTTTGTTGTCTGTGCTGTAGAAATACTCGACAAAATACTAAGAAACCAATCTCATCAACACATTAAAAAGATGATTCACCATGATCAACTGATTCATCCCAGGGATGCAAGGATGGTTCAATATATGGAAGTTAGTAAATGTGATACATCACATTAACATAACCAAGAATAAAAACTCTATGATCATTTTAATAGATGCTGAAAAAGCATTCAATAAAATTCAACGTCCTTTAACGACAAAAACTCTTAACAAATTGCATATCAAAGGAACATGCTTGAACACAGTAAAGGCCACATAGGACAAATTCATAGCTAACATCATACTGAACAGGGAAAAATTGAAATCTTTTCCTCTAAGACTTGAAACAAGACAAGAATGCCCACTTTTACCACTTACATTAAACACAGTACTGGAAGTTCTAGGCAGAGCCATTAGGCAAGAGAGAGAAATAATGGACATCCAAATCTGAAAGGAGGAAGCCAAATTGTCCCTGGTTGCAGATGACATGGTCATATTTATAGAAAACTCCAAAGATTGCACCAAAAAACTGTTAGAACTAATAAATAAATTTAGTAAATTTACAGAATACAAATCAACATATAAAAATTAGTAGTATTTCTATAAACCAATAGCAAACTCTCTGAAAAAGAAATCAAGAAAGCAATTTCATTTGCAATAGCTAAAGAAAAAAACCTAGGAATAAACTTAACTGAGGAGGTGAAAGATCCCTATAGTAAAAACTATAAAACATGGATGAAAGAAATTGAATAAGACACAAAAAAAATGGAAAGGTAACATGTGATTATGGATTGGAAGAATTAATATTTTTAAAATGTTCGTATTACCTAAAGCTAGCTGCAGATTCAATGCAATCCCTACGAAAATACCAAAGACATTCTTTACAGAAATGGAAAAAAAAATCTTAAATTCATATTGAAATGCAGAAGACTCTGAATACTCAAAGCAATCTGGAGCAAAAAAATAAATAAATAAAGCAACAGGTATCACACTACCTGATTTTAAAATACACTACAAGGCTATAGTAATCAAAACAGCATGGTACTGGCATAAAAACAGACATATAGAATAATGAAACAGAATAGAGAACCCAGAAATAAATCTATGCATTTACAACCAATTGATTTTCACAAAGATGCCAATAACATACATTGGGGGAAAGAGCAGCCTCTTCAATAAATGGTGCTGGGAAAAGTGATTATATTCAGAAGAATGAAACTAGACTCCTACCTCTCACGATATGCAAAAATCAACTCAAATTAAGACTGTAATGTAAGACTGGGCATGGTAGCTCATGCCTGTAATTCCAGCATTTTGGGAGGCCAAGGCGGGCAGATCACCTGAGATCAAGAATTCGAGACCAGCCTGGCCAACATGGCAAAACCCCGTCTCTACTGAAAATACAAAAATTATCTGGGTGTGGTGGCAGGTGCCTGTAATCCCAGCTACTTGGGAGGCTGAGGCATGATAATCAGAGGCATGATAATCACTTGAATCTGGGAAACTGAGGTTGCAGTAAGCCAAGCTTACCCCATTGCACTCCAGCCTGGGGGATAGAGTGAGACTCTGTCTCCAAAAAAAGACTGTAATGTAAGACCCAAAACTATGAAACTACTAGAAGAAAACATAAGGGATATGCTTCACAAAATTGGACTGAGCAAGGATCTTTTTAATAAGACCTAAGAAGGACAGACAGCATAACTATTTTATTTATTAATAATTTATTAATTAAGATTAATTTTAAAAATTAACATGAAATTAATGATTTATTAATATACATGTTTCTATGAATTTCCATAAGTCCTGCTTTAATAGTATGTAGTAGGTTTTGACCTACATACTGTGGTATTTTTATGATTTCTTTCTCTAGATATTTTGATATTTCAATATTTGTACCCTGTCTGAGCTAAGAGTTGTCATAACAGAAAACTTTTTAACATTTAGGTGCTATTGACCATTGTTTTCTGAATTTTGTTAATTTCTCATTTTTTGCATTGATGATACTGTTTCTACTTCTTAAAATTTGTTGAAGTTTTCTTTGAGGCCTAGTGGGTGGTTAATTTCTATGACTGTTACACATAAAGGTGTATACTTCATTATCAAGGTATATTTTGAGGCATATCAATTAGACTATATCTATGTCATTTAGCACTATATATTTTGCTACTTAGTACTTCTACACCTTGACTAATTTTTCCTACTGGATGTGTCAAAAACAGAAAGAAGAAAATTAAAGCCTCTTTAAATGGGGGAAAGAATAGGTTTTTCAACAAATGCTACCTGGACAACTGCATATCCATATGAAAAGAAGGGAATGGAACCACCTTTCCACTCCATACACAAAAATTAACTCATAATGAATCAAAGAGCTAAATGTAAGAAATAGCACTATGAAATTCTCAAAAGAAAATGTAGGTATAAATCTTTATGACCTTGATTAGGTATGGATTCTTAGATGTGATACCAAAAACACAAGCAACATAAGAAAAAATAGAGAAAGTGGAAATAATCAAAATTAAAAACGTTTTTCCTTCAAAGGATACCATCAAGAAAATAAAAAAATAACCCAAGGATTTGGAGAAAATTTTAACAAGTCATATATGTGATAAGGGACTTGTATTTAAAATAATATGTAATGAAAAAGGGGGGCACATTCCAAGATGGCCAAATAGGAACAGCTTCGGTCTGCATCTCCCAGCGTGATCAACACAGAAGACAGGTGATTTCTGCATTTCCAACTGAGGTACCTGGTTCATCTCACTAGGACTGCTTGGACAGAGGGTGCAGCCCAGAGAGGGCGAGCTGAAGCAGAGCGGGCATCGCCTCACCAGGGAAGCATGAGGGGTCGGGGGATTTCCCTTTCCTAGCCAAGGGAAGCCGTGACAGACTACCTGGAAAAATGGGGCACTCCCACCCAAATACTGTGCTTTTCCCAAGGTCTTAGCAACTGGCAGACAAGGTGATTCTCTCCTGTGCCTGGCTCGATGGGTCCCACACCCATAGAGCCTTGCTCACTGCTAGCACAGCAGTCTGAGATCAATCTGCAAGGCTGCAGCGTGGCTGGGGGAGGGGCATCCAACATTGCTGAGGCTTAAGTAGGTAAACAAAGCAGCCTGGAAGCTCAAACTGGGTGGGGCCCACCACAGCTTGACAAGACCTACTGCCTCTAGACTCCACCTCTGTGGGCAGGGCATAGCTGAATAAAAGGCAGTAGACAACTTCTGCAGACTTAAATGTCCCTGTCTGACAGCTCTGAAGAGAGCAGTTGTTCTCCCAGCATTGCATTTGAGCTCGAGAATGGACAGACTGCCTCCTCAAGTGGGTCCCTGACCCCCTTGTAGCCTAACTGGGAGACACCTCCCAGTAGGGGCCAACAGACACCTCATATAGGTGGCTGCCCTTCTGGGACAAAGCTTCCAGAGGAAGGATCAGGCAGCAATATTTGCTGTTCTGCAATATTTGCTATTCTGCAGCCTACATTGGAGATACCCAGGCAAACAGGGTCTGGAGTGGAACTCCAGCAAACTCCAACAGACCTGCAGCTGAGAGACCTGACCGTTAGAAGGAAAACTAATGAGCAGAAAGGAATAGCATCAACATCAACAAAAAGGACATCCACACCAAAACCCCATCCATAGGTAACCAACATCAAAGAACAAAGGTAGATAAAACCACAAAGATGGGGAGAAACCAGAGCAGAAAAGCTGAAAATTCTGAAAATCAGAGCACCTCTTCTCCTCCAAAGGATCACAGCTCCTCGCCAGCAATGGAACAAAGCTGGATGGAGAATGACTTTGATGAGTTGACAGAAGTAGTCTTCAGAAGGTCGGTAATAACAAACTTCTCTGAGCTAAAGGAGTATGTTCAAACCCATCGCAAGGAAGCTAAAAACCCTGAAAAAAGATTAGATGAATGGCTAACTAGAATAAACAGTAAAGAGAAGACCTTAAATGACCTGATGGAGCTGAAAACCATGGCATGAGAACTTCGTGAAGCATGCACAAGCTTCAATAGCTGAATCAATCAAGTGGAAGAAAGGGTATCAGTAACTGAAGATCAAATTAATGAAATAAAGCAAGAAGACAAGGTTAGAGCAAAAAGAGTAAAAAGAAATGAATGAAACCTCCAAGAAATATGGGACTATGTGAAAAGACCAAATCTACATCTGATTGGTGTACCTGAAAGTGATGGGCGGATGAAGCCAAGTTGGAAAACACTCTTCAGGATATTATCCAGGAGAACTTCCCTAACCTAGCAAGGCAGGCCAACATTCAAATTCGGGAAATACAGAGAACACCACAAAGATATTCCTTAAGAAGAGCAACCCCAAGACACATAATTGTCAGATTCAACAAGGTTGAAATGAAGGAAAAAGTATAAGGGCAGCCAGAAAGAAAGGTCGGGTTACCCACAAAGGGAAGCCCATCAGACTAACAGCAGATCTCTCAGCGGAAAGCCTAAAAGCCAGAAGAGAGTGGGGGCCAATATTCAACATTCTTAAAGAGAAGAAATTTCAACCCAGATTTCATATCCAGCCAAACAAAGCTTCATACGTGAAGGAGAAATAAAATCCTTTACAGGCAAGCAAATGCTGAGAGATTTTGTCACCACCAGGCCTGCTTTACAAGAGCTCCTGAAGGAGGCACTAAACATGGAAAGGAACAACCAGTACCAGCCACTGCAAAAATATGCCAAATTGTAAAGACCATCGATGCTAGGAAGAAACTGCATCAATTAACAGGCAAAATAACCAGCAAACATCATAATGACAGGATCAAATTCACACATAACAATAATAACTTTAAATGTAAATGGGCTAAATACCCCAATTAAAAGACACAGACTGGCAAATTGGATAAAGAGTCAAGACCCATCAGTGTGCTGTATTCAGGAGACCCATCTCACATGCAAAGACTCACATAGACTCAAAATAAAGGGATGGAGGAAGATCTACCAAGCAAATAGAAAGAAAAAGAAAAAGCAGGGGTTGCAATCCTAGTCTCTGATAAAACAGACTTTAAACCAACAAAGATCAAAGGAGACAAAGAACACCATTACATAATGGTAAAGGGATCAATTCAACCAGAAGAGCTAACTATCCTAAATATATACGCACCCAATACAAGAGCACCCAGGTTCATAAAACAAGTCCTTAGAGATCTACAAAGAGACTTAGACTCCCACACAATAATAATGGGAGATTTTAACACCCCACTGTCAATATTAGACAGATCAACAAGACAAGTTAACAAGGATATCCAGGACCTGAACTCAGCTCTGCACCAAGCAGACCTAATAGACAGCTGCAGAACTCTCCACCCCAAATCAACAGGATATACATTCTTCTCAGCACCACGTCGCACTTATTCCAAAATTGACCACATAGTTGGAAGTAAAGCACTCCTCAGCAAATGTAAAAGAACAGAAATCACAACAAACTGTCTCTCAGACCACACTGCAATCAAATTAGAACTCAGGATTAAGAAACTCACTCAAAACCACACAACTACATGGAAACTGAACAACCTGCTCCTGAATGACTACTGGGTAAATAATGAAATGAAGGCAGAAATAAAGATGTTCTTTCAAATCAATGAGAACAAAGACACAACGTGTCAGAATCTCTGGGACACATTTAAAGCAGTGTGTAGAGGGAAATTTATAGCACTAACTGCCCACAAGAGAAAGCAGGAAAGATCTAAAATTGACACCCTAACATCAAAATTAGAAGAACTACAGAAGCAAGAGCAAACAAATTAAAATGCTAGCAGAAGGCAAGAAATAACTAAGATCAGAGCAGCACTGAAAGAGATAGAGACACAAAAAACCCTTCAAAAAATTAATGAATTCAGGAGCTGGTTTTTTGAAAAGATTAACAAAATTGATAGACTGCTAGCAAGACTAATAAAGAAGAAAAAAGAGAAGAAGACTCAAATAGATGCAATAAAAAATGACAAAGTGGATATCACCATCGATCCCACAGAAATACAAACTACCATCAGAGAATACTATAAACACCTCTACAAAAATAAACTGGAAAGTCTAGAAGAAATGGATAAATTCCTGGACACACACACCCTCCCAAGACTAAACTAGGAAGAAGTTGAATCTCTGAATAGACCAATAACAGGCTCTGAAATTGAGGCAATAATTAATAGCCTACCAAAGAAAAAAATTCCAGGACCAGAAGGATTCACAGCCAAATTCTATTAGAGGTACAAAGAGGAGCTGTTACCATTCCTTCTGAAAGTATTCTAATCAATAGAAAAAGAGGGAATCCTCCCTAACTCATTTTATGAGGCCAACATCATCCTGATACCAAAGGCTGGCAGAGACACAACAGAAAAAGAGAATTTTAGATGAATATTCCCAATGAACATCAATGCAAATATCCTCAATAAAATACTGGCAAACCAAATACAACAGCACATCAAAAAGCTTATGCACTACGATCAAGTCAGCTTCATCCCTAGCATGCAAGGCTGTTTCAACATACACAAATCAATAAATGTAATCCATCACATAAACAGAACCAATGACAGAAACCACATGATTATCTCAACAGATGCAGAAAAGGCCTTCGGCAAAATTCAACAGCTTTCTTGCTAAAAACACGCAATAAACTAGGTATTGATGGAACGTATCTCAAAATAATAAGAACTATTTATGACAAACCCACACCCAATATCATAGTGAATGAGCAAAAACTGGAAGCATTCGCTTTGAAAACCAGCACAAGAAAACGATGCCCTCTCACACCACTCCTGTGCAACATATTGTTGGAAGTTATGGCCAAGGCAATCAGGCAAGAGAAAGAAAGAAAGGGTATTCAATTAGGAAAAGAGGAAGTCAAATTGTCCCTTTTTGAAGATGACATGATTGTATATTTAGAAAACCCCATCATGTCAGCCCAAATCTCCTTAAGCTGATAAGCAACTTCAGCAAAATCTCAGGATACAAAATCAAGTGCAAAAATTACAAGCATTCCTATACACTAACAGACAAACAGAGAGCCAAATCATGAGTGAACTCCCATTCACAATTGCTACAAAGAGAATAAAATACCTAGAAATCCAACTTACAAGGGATGTGAAGGACCTCCTCAAGGAGAACTACAAACCACTGTACAACGAAAGAAAAGAGGACACAAACAAATGGAAGAATATTCCATGCTCATGGATAGGAAGAATCAATATCATGAAAATGGCCACACTGCCCAGGGTAATTTATAGATTCAAGGCCATCCCCTTAAGCTACCAATGACCTTCTTTGCAGAATTGGAAAACTACTTTAAAGTTCATATGAAGCAAAAAAGAGCCCGCATTGCCAAGTAAATCCTAAGCAAAAAGAACAAAGCTGGAGGCATCATGCTACCTGACTTCAAACTATACTACAAGGCTACAGTAACCAAAACAGCATGATACTGGTACCAAAACAGATATATAGACCAATGGAACAGAACAGAGGCCTCAGAAATAACACCACACATCTACAATCATCTGATCTTTGACAAACCTGACAAAAACAAGAAATGGGGAAAGAATTCCCTATTTAATAAATGGTGTTGGGAAAACTGGCTAGCCATATGTAGAAAGCTGAAATTGGATCCCTTCCTTATACCTTATACAAAAATTAATTCAAGATGGATTAAAGACTTAAATGTTAGACCTAAAACCATAAAAACCCTAGAAGAAAACCTAGGCGATACCTTTCAGGACATAGGCATGGGCAAGGACTTCATGACTAAAACACCAAAAGTGATGGTAACAAAAGCCAAAAGCCAAAATAGACAAATGGGATCTAATTAAACTAAAGAGCTTCCGCACAGCAAAAGAAACTATCATCAGAGTGAGCAGACAACCTAAAGAGTGGGAGAAAATTTTTGCAATCTACACATTTGACAAAGGGCTAATTTCCAGAATCTACAAAGAACTTAAACAAATTTACAAGAAGAAAACAAACAACCCCATCAAAAAGTGTGCAAAGATATGAACAGACACTTCTCAAAAGAAGACATCTATGCAGCCAACAGACACATGAAAAAATGCTCATCATCACTGGTTATTAGAGAAATGCAAATCAAAACCACCATGAGATACCATCTCACCCCAGTTAGAATGGCAATCATTAAAAAGTCAGGAAACAATAGATGCTAGAGGATGTGGAGAAATAGGAACACTTTTACACTGTTGGTGGGAGTGTAAATTAGTTCAACCATTGTGGAAGACAGTGTGGTGATTCCTCAAGGATCTAGAACTAGAATTACCATTT
The DNA here is from genome assembly GCF_000001405.40 of Homo sapiens. NCBI lineage: Eukaryota > Metazoa > Chordata > Mammalia > Primates > Hominidae > Homo > Homo sapiens. The sequence goes on from NC_000001.11 coordinate 76,986,640, forward strand.
GACCCAGCAATCCCATTACTGGGTATATACCCAAAGGATTATAAATCATGCTACTATAAAGACACATGCACACGTATGTTTATTGTGGCACTATTCACAATATCAATGACTTGGAACCAATCCAAATGTCCATCAGTGATAGACTAGATTAAGAAAATGTGGCACATATACACCATGGAATACTCTGCAGCCATAAAAAAATAAAGGATGAGTTCATGTCCTTTGTAGGGACATGGATGTGACTGGAAACCATCATTCTGAGCAAACTATCCCAAGGACAGAAATCCAAACACCACATGTTCTCACTCATAGGTGGGAATTGAACAATGAGATCAGTTGGACACAGGGCAAGGGAACATCACACACTGGGGCCTGTTGTGGAGTGGGGGACTGGGGGAGGGATAGCATTAGGAGAAATATCTAATGTAAATGATGAGTTGATGGGTGCAGCAAACCAACATGGCATGTGTATACCTATGTATCAAACCTGCACCTTGTGCACATGTACCCTAGAACTTAAAGTATAATAATAAAAGCAAATAAACAAATAAACAAAATCAATAATAAGAAAATTTTTAAAAAGTAGCTATTACAATTCAATAATACAAAGACAAATAACTCAATTTTAAAATGAGCAAAGGATTTCAACCAACATTTCTCCAAAGAAGATATAAAATGTTAGCCAAACACACGAGAAGATTTTCAGCGTCATTCATCATTAGGGAAATGCAAATCCAAATCACAGTGAGATATCATTTGACACCAGTTAGGTTGGCTATATTCAAAAAGACAAAAAATAACAAGTGTTGGCAAGGATGTGGGAAAATTGGAACCCTCATACGTTGCTGGTCAGAATGCAAAATGTTGCAACCTCTTTGAAAAGCAGCCTGGCTGTTTCTCAAACGATTAAGAATAGAGTTACCATGTGGTCCAACAATTCTACCACTTGATATCTACCCAAGAGAAATGAAAACATGTCCACACAAAAGCTTTTGTATGAATGTTCATAGCAGCACCAGACACAACAGCCCAACAGTGGAAAAAACCCAAATGTCCATAAATTGATGAATAGATTAATAAAATGTAGTAACCCATATAATGGAATATTCATCAGCAATAAAAATAAATGAAGTACTTGATGCTTTTGCCTCACAACTCTTAAGATTCTTTCCTTTGTCCTGACTTTAGATAATCTGATGACTATGTGCCTAGGTGATGATCTTTTTGCGAAGAACTTCCCAGTGTTCTTAGAGCTTGTTGTATGTGGACGTCTAGATCTCTAGTAAAGCCAAGGAAGTTTTCTTCGATTAGTCCCTCAAATATGTTTTCCAAACTTTTAGATTTCTCTTCTTCCTTAGAAACACCAATTATTCTTAGGTTTGGATGTTTAATATAGTCCCAAACTTCTTGGAAGCCTTTTTCATTAAAAAAATTTTTTTTTCTTTGTCTTTGACAGATTGGGTTAATTTGAAAGCTTTGTCATCAAGCTCTGAGATTCTTTCTTCTGCTTCTTTGATTCTATTGCTGAGACTTTCCTGTGCATTTTGCATTTCTTTAAGTGTGCCCTTGATTTCCAGAAGTTGTGACTGGTTTTTATTTATGCTATCTACTTCACTGAAAATTTTTCCTTTCATATCCTGTATCACGTTTTTGATTCTGTCACTATCTTCTGTGTCCTTGCCAATATTTTAATTAAATTATTCACTCTATGGTCAGTTATCTTCACTTTGTTTTCTCTGTGAAGTTATATTTTTGTGCTCTTATTAGAGCATTTATATTTTTATTATATTAGTTATCTTTATAGTTATAAATTGATCTTAGTCCTCTGGTGTTTGTTTATTCTTACTAGTTATAACTGTGAATATTATTATATTTCTTCCTTTTCTCTCCTTTTATCTCTGGATCCAGCAGCATACTGATTTTAGTCAATAATTTCTTTTCTGGTGTTTGCTTTGATATAACTGTGTTTCTGATTTATGACTTGATTTGCCAACTTTAAATGAAATCCTTTGACTTCCAGCTGTTTTAAATTAAACAGTAAACACATTTTCTCATCATTTCAATTTCTTTCCCTCTTCTCCTCTCAATGTTTCAGTTATGTTTTATCTGCCACTCTAACTCACATTTTTCTAGTTTTAGTGGTACTGTTAAATATATAGTCTCCCTCAATCTTTTCCCCAAACTTATTGATTGACTGAATTTTCTCTTTTATTGGTTCCCACAAAAAGACATCAACAAAATAATATTGCTCCAGTTTTTGAACTCTTATTAAAACTATTGTTTGTAGCCCTTATACTTCAAGAAGAGTTTGCATATATATTCTTATCTCAAAGTCTCTTTGCTTGAGAATCTCATGGGATTGTATCTGGTATTCAGAGTTGCTGTGTAAAAACAGGAAGGCAGCCTGAATTCTTCTTTCTTGTAAAATTGACCTAGTCTTTTCACCTGTCTGCCGAAAGGATTCTTTATCTTTGAAGCCCAGCAACTTTATTGGGATATGTCTCATTGGTCATTCTGGGTCTTTCTTTATTTCTTCTATTCTATCACACCAACTTTGCCATTCTCAACCTCTGTGAATCTCCTGTGATTTTTATACTATCTGATTCTTTTGCCCCATTTTGTTTTTATTTCCTTAATTCTTCTATTTTTTTTTTCTTGGACTACACCTTTCCTTAGTTGTGCAAGCTCATATCTTATCTCTTCCTGCTATGCTACCATACTTTCCCTGAATTATTCCATTACTGTGTTATATATCATCTTTCATCCAGGTGATCACTTTAATTTGAAGGATTTTTTTTCCTCCAAATTCATGGCAAGACATTTGTTCATAACTTTCATTGGTATGGTAATATTTTACAGAAGGATATACTTTATTAATACATTTTTTGCCTTTTTTCCCTTTTGTCTTGGAGTATAGATATAATTTTTATTATTCATCTTTGAATGGTTTTCATTTTCCTAAGCTCTGTATTTATAAGGGCTTTCTTGAGGCAGGACCAGGTCAGCTTTCCTGTCTAGCATGCTTGCCCAGTGCAAAGGTTCTTCTTTTCCACAGTCTCCACAAAGGTAGAACGCTTCTCAAAAAAATGTGCCTTGTCTTTCCAAATCTTTATTTGGCCTTGCTTCTTCTTTTTTATGAAATTCATTATAGTCCCATTAGGGTAGAAGGTCACATCCTGCTTCTGCCACACCTTTGCCAGCAAGGGGTACAGCTTCTGACTCTCAAGACATACCCATCACTTGCGGGAAGGAAATTGTTAGTAGTGTGTTCTGAGATCTGTCATGGCTGGTCTCCTACAACTGAGGTCTTGAGATCTGTCTTTAGCCTTTCCCAAATTCTTCCCAGAAGAATTCAGTTGCTTTTAGAAAATCTTAAAAGTATTTTAAGATTTAGGATAAATACTTAAAAGTATTTAAACTCTCTCCTGAAGTTTATTTAACAACTGAGTTTTTGTTCTGAGTTTTCCATTCTTTATTTGCCTTAGGGTGGTTCCAGGGAGAGAAGTTTGGAGAAGGCTGCATGACGCAGCCATGAGTATACACTGGGAGTTTCCACTCCATCCCCAATCTCCACCAAAAAGACGGTGCTTCTGAAGGTATTTTTTTCCTTCTAATGCCTTAGTTTCTTTATACAGTGGCCAAAAATAGTACAAGAATATCTTCATGGCAACTACAGGCATTGCTCATTGTATGGCAAGCTGATTTATGGAACTTTTCCACTACAGAATTGATGGTTCTGAGCATGAACTCAAACAGCAGTTACCTGAAAATCCAGACACATGAGGTCTTATCCCCCAATCTGTCAGTTCTGTCAGGGTGAAATGTGCGCCTTCTCAGCCTTCTGTCTTCTTTGGTGCTCATTGCTAAATAGTTCAGTAGAAATGCCTCAGAGGAATCATCTTGGTGCTGGCTCCAAGGCTCTGTGCAGTCAGCCAGGCTATGAAAGAAGGCAGCCTGTGCCTTCTCCAGACTCATTCCTGCTCCATCCTCAACCTAATCTTCCTGAATACACTCTCCATTCAAGAGCCGATGGAAAAATGGATCACTGACAAATAACGAATTATTGTATGAATTAACCTCTTGCTGGCAACTGGGCAGTTTGATAGCAGACTCAAACTGGGTGATTTGAGAATTTAATAAAGGGACTACTAATTCATCCTATGCTAATATGAACCCTCATTTAGGGTTGAGAGAGAGTAGCCAAGGGATAGTGCAGTAGTTGGGGATTTATTAATGGCAGAGAGCCTTTACCATTTCTTGACCTGGAGGGGCTAAATGGCACAGGAAACACCCAAGAGTATTGCATAGCTAGGGCTTCTGGAAAGGAGCTTCAGCCTTCAGTAGTGGGCTATAGGCTGTAGAAGGAGGGAAGTAGGGAAAAGAATCTCACCCTCTCTGTGTCACCTTCTCAGCTCCTGCCAGTGCTTCTCATTGGCCAAACCAAATCAACAGCCAGATAGCAAATGGAGTTACTTGATTAAGTCCTCCTATGATGGGGGGAAGACAGTGGATATGGAGGGGCAGAAAGAAAATAAACAACCCTACAGGGATCCACCAATTGCTTTTATTCAGAATAAAATTTTATTCAGAATAAAATTTCAAAGCTATTTTATTCTGTACCAAACATTGCAAATGTTGGCTTGCGGAAAGCAAATACAAGATTATTCTAAAGAAAACATTAAGCCTGAGGCCATATATCAATTACAAGGTGAATTTTAGGGCTCAACACAGTTATATATCATCAAGTTCAAATGAACAAATGCCTGGATTTGAATGCTAAGGCATAGGATTATTTCAATATGCACACTCTGAGCATTTTCTGAAAATCATCAAGCTTTTATTACCATTTTATCCTAAATCCCCTGACCACTTCTCATTCAATTTGCATGAACAGGCCTCCTCTTTCCACCCTTATTTTAATCCTGGAGTTTCCTAACTCAGCCTTCTCCTCTGCTAATTCTACTCCTTCTCATAGACAGGTAACTTTTTCTATTCTTTGACATCAGTTTCCACATCTTCTCTAGTGAGATTTCATACTATTTCTTTAGCTCAGCCCTCCCTTATGAATTCTCAGCCCACAGAACATAGCTGCCAACTGGACATTTTCACCTGGATGCTTTATAGACATCTTAAATCATGTTGAAAAACTAACTCATTATCTTAAGCATTCCCAAACAACCTTCTAACTCACGCGTGTGCGCACACACACACACACACACACACACAGACACCCTGCCTATTCCTGAATTCTCAAACTTTTAAAATATTTCATGGCCTTCATTTTTGTTTTCTAACAAAAATAGATAAATGTATGAATGGAATGTTTTTTTGGCAGAGAAATAAGTAAATATTTTTAAAATTTCTTCAGTGTTTTCTACAATGAAAAGGAAATCAACAATTTCTATACTCTACGTAGGGGTCAGCTTCCCAAACCCATGACCCATTAGTAATCATCAACACCTTATCCCTGGTCTCCCATATCCCGGTGGTTATAAATTCATGGTTAAGGCACATAGCTCATGTCTTCCCTGCTTGGAACTGTATGCCCATGTCTGGCATTAAAACAGCTATTTCTTGAATGAGTAACTCTATGTCTTTTAGCTCTATGCTCTAACTATCTCCACTGCCAGCCCTGCTTCATCTGATTTTAGTCAATAATTTCTTTTCTGGTGTTTGCTTTGAGGACCTATGTCAAGATCTGCTGCCACCACCTTCACATAGGTTCTCAGTGTCTTCCTCCTATAGCACCAAAGGGCCTTCCAGAGGCCTTCCTGCCTCCAAATATTCCCTCTCTAATCCTTTCTCTTCACTGCAGCCAATTACCTTTCTAAAGGGCAATTGTGGTCCCTCTTTAATTTAATTTTATTTTATTTGAGACCGGTTCTGGCTCTGTCACCCAGTTTGGAGTTCGATGGTGCAATCTCAGCTCACTGCAACCTCTGCCTCCCAGGCTCAAGCTGTCCTGCCACCTCAGCCTCCCAGGTAACTGGGACTATAGGTGCATGCCACCATGCCCAGCTAATTTTTCTATTTCTTTGTAGAGATGAATTTTCACCATGTTGCCAGGCTGGTCTCAAACTCCTGAGCTCAAGTTATCTGCCCACCTCGGCCTTCCAAAGTGCTGGTATTACAGGCATGAGCCACTGAGCCCATAAATAATAATAAGAAAACTCACTACTTCTGCCTTGCTGGCTGGGCCACAGACGATTCCTGTGTATTTCCCAAAACAGTATGCACACACTTGCATTTGCAGGTTAGAGACAAAGTATGTCCACTCTAGGTTCTTGCTGCCCTTGAGCTACCTTCCAGTTTGCTACCTCCTATCTACAGGACTAAGACCCAAGTTCTTAGCATGGAAATCAGTTTTCCTTTTCAGCCTCATTTCCTGCCTTACCCATCCACTCACTTAGAACTTGGATTCTTCAACCTCTTACAGTCCCCTAAAATGTTTTCTGTGTGCCATGCCCCTTTTGCCTTCCCCAGGAGTTCCTATTTATGCTTCAAGAAGCATCTCAAATATCACTCCCTCCATGATGCCTTTGCGAACTCTCTAGCATTAGCTGCTCCTTCCTCTGATGTTGTCCTATTTTGTCTATCTCTGTGTTGTGCAATAATTACATCTTTACATTTCTGTTGGCCCAGCACAAGCCCTACAGGCCAGGGCTGTATTGTAGTTTTCTTTGTCATCCTACCCATCAGTGCCAAATTTGGAAAATAGCAAGAACTCAATCAATAGATGCTAAACTAATGAACACTTTATTAGCCTACATTTATGGAGCATTCTTGGTACCCATTAAACAGTTTCATCTCTCTCATATGTCAGTGTTATGTTTCACTGCAGCTTTCCCTAAGGAATTTTGTGAGAAATATGGAGTATTGCAGCACTATTCTTTGGTCACATGGGGGTTTAATTCCTATTTATACTTTTCTTGTATTACTAGAAATAATGACTGTAACTACTTATCTGGCAAATCTCTGAAATTTCTTTTTAAGGAAATTGTTATTGTTGGAGAAATTTGCAAAGCCCGACTCTGCCAGGGCTCTATTCCTCATATCTAAGCAGTTAATTCTCTACTACGTTACGTTTAGCTTTCGGCTCTGGAAACACTCTTTGAATGCCTCCTTTGTGCAGATTTATCCAACTCTCTCCTCTTTCTTTCATTAAGCTTGCCCTGTAAAGCCATATTCCTTCTGTTTTCAATTGTGAATTTATTTCCTCTGGAGCTTTCTGACTTAGAATCTATTTGAACTTCTATAGAAACTTTGGTTGAAAAGGAAAAAAAGAAAAAAAAGGGCCTATTTTTAAAGGTTTTCTCTTTCACCTAATATTAGAGGGGATTTCTTTGTGATTAAACAAATTTGTTATAAAGTAACACACACTGTGAAATATCCAAACAACTACAATGTCATTATAAATATATTTTTCTTATCAGAGAAGGCAACAGGCAAATCAGCCACTCTTGCAAGGTCATATTTCACAGAGACAGCTGAATTCACCCACTGTTGAATTATGTTATAAAGCCAGTGATTTAGTATTGTCATCTATTTTGATTGACACCAAAAGCCTTCCAGGACAGTAAATGTAAAGATGTTAGAAGAAAATCACTTACAAAATGGCTTGATAGTTCATGTTAATGAGTTTTAAAATGCGGTATAACAACTTAATCAAATCAGACAGCTCCATAAAAGAATTAATTTGGTCATTGGCTCTCTTTCCAAAATGACTTTGTTGTACTGAGTAAGGTGAGAATTTTTCTGTGGCTGAAACATTCACAACTAGATTCGAAATGACATAGCCTGGGATAAGTTATGGATTAACCAAAGTTTCTCAGGAGTTATTTATATTTGGCCTCTTGTTAAATGAGATGCATGTCTTTTCTGAAGTTTCATTTTAATGAAAGAGAAAGAAGAATATGAATGACATGTATTAAAGACCCCGAGCCCACACTTAAAACCTCAATTTTGGATAACTTGTGTGTTACCTTTTAGAAATTAGAGTGTCATTGGGTTGCTATTATGGGTCGCCAACAGAAGGGGATTCAGGAATATCTCCATACTGCCCCAGACCACAGCAATAATTTTCTGCAATGTCAAGAGAAAAACACAGGACAATAACCAGTTGAAAGCAGCAAAGTTCTGCATTATTTTTTGCTGTCCTCTTGTCCCAAACTCTAGAGGAGATTATTAGAAACGTAGTATCTGCCCCTGTAGAATTATGGGCTTATGACAAGACTAGAGACCTAAGGAGACTAGTTTCTTGTCTATCCGGGCTCAAACACCAACCTCTTTCATGCACTTCCAGACTGAAGTTGTTTCTAAGGTCAGCTTTAAGGAGAAAATTACATATAATCAGAATTACCCTCCAGAATTCATAAATCACCTTCCATTGGTATAGATCACTGTCTCTTGGATTGAGCAGCAGATTAAGTAGTCAGATTGCATTTAGGTTTACATTATATAAAATTTAATATGTTTTGGCTGGGCGCAGTGGCTCACACCTGTAATCCCAGCACTTTAGGAAGCCAAGGTGGGAGGATGGATAGAGGTCAGGAGTTCAAGACCAGCTTGGGCAACATAGCAAGACCTCATCTCTATAAAAACTTTAAGAATTAGCTGGACACAGTGGCACATGCCTGTAGTCCCAGATACTTGGGAGGCTGGGGCAGAAGGATCATTTGAGCCCAGGAGTTTGAGGCTGCAGTGAGCTATGATCATGACACTGCACTCCAGTCTGGGTGACAGAATGAGACCGTGTCTCTTTAAATATTAGGAATCACCTTCAGAATGGCATTGAAAGGCAGGAAGTCTGCCAGGCAGTGCGTGAGGGAAGAGCAGAGTCATAGACTCTCCTCAGACTATCTTATTGACGGACAAGTTACAGGTACTTTTAAAATCAGTCTCTCCTTCCTCTCTCTCTCTCCTTTTCTCAGCTTTCTGTCTCTCTCCTAGAGTTAAATTTTAATGAAAAAAAATAATGTGAATTATTTGTGTGTTATATATGTGTAACATTTCTATGTATTTATATTATTAATATGACATAATAATATAATATTTGTATTATTAATATTTATTTAAAACCATCAGCACACACTTAGAACCTCCGTTTTGGGTAATGTAGTTATTACCAACATTCCTACCTGACATTTATTTGTGTATTTGTTCAGTGTATATCTGTGTCTTCTGTGAGACTGTGGGGTTTATGAAGAAAGGGACTATGTATCTTTTGGCTCACCATTTCATTCCCACGACTAGCATGGAGCCGAAGAGGAGATGAAAACATTTTTATCAAATGAATGGCTAAAGGAGAGAGACCATTAGACATTACTACCTTTGGAAGTTCTCTTAGTAACTGTGGCTCAATCATGTTGCAGTGTTATAGACACCTTTATAATTTACAAAGAACTTTCACAAACATGGCCTCATTATAAAGGTGACAAGCATGATTGTCCCCCATACCAGTCTGTAGAAGAAGAAACTGAGACTTGGAGAGGCTAACCAACTTGTGCAAAGTTGCACAGCTAACTTATGACAGAACTAGGTCTTGAACCCCTGTCTTCTAACCCTTAGCCAGACCAGTTGGAGTTCCCCATCCCCAGTGACCTCTCCTACATTTATGGGGACTCTTGTGTATCAGAGTTTGTGACTCTGTGCCCGTGTAAGGCAGTGATCACATCTTGTCCCTCACAACAGAGATGTATTAAGTGCCTACTATGCGCCAGACATGCAAAAAACTTCCAGGACGCAAACAAGAATGAGATGTATGTATTTCTTGCCATCAAAACAACTCACAATCTAATGCAGCATAGTGTTAAACATGTACATTTCTAATATACTGTTGAATATGTTTGTGGATGAAATCCTATCCTGCTTGCAGTTGCAATAATCTGCAGGTTAAATGGAAGGAAAAGCAAGGCTTGCTGGTTTGCACAAACGTTAACAACTATTAGCTCAAGTTCGAAACAAGATTGTAACCATTCTGCACAAGTGTTAAGGAGTGCATATTTGCAGAGCTGAGGCCAGGAGGCTTAAATTTTAGAAACAGCTGTGGAACTCCTTTCAGTATGTACAGTTGGAAGGAGGCTGGCATTGTCAGGGAGTCGCTCTGGAAAATACAGGCACTGAATATATTTTATCTTTTCCCTTATTCCAGTGTTAGTGTCCCCATAGAATTCCAAGTGAGAAAATAACCTGCAAAGGTGTGAGGTGGGAATCATATTACAACATTCAAGCAGGTGAGATCCTCAGAGATGAAAGGGGAAGAAAATGGCACTTTAATGCATGAGAGTAATCTTCCAGGATTTGTACCAGGATGTGTTATATTTTAACAAGAAGAGTTCTCAGAAGGGTCAGTTTCAGGAACATCACATGAACCCCTGGAGAAAAGTAAATGGTTGATTGGCTGTCACACTTACTGTTTCAATATGCTGGGTAAAGCAAAGCGAGGAAAGGTGAGGTCTCACCAAGTGCAGATTACAAAACAAATGCATTCTTTGTGTGCTTTTTTCATAGTAGATGATTTTGAAACAAAAAGAGAAAAATAAACCTGTTGAGTAGAAACTTGGGAAGTAAAACTGAGTGATAGAGGATTAGTTTTCACATGTAGGCGGTACACAGAGTTTGTACAGTTTCGTAGTTACAAGACAGGGTAGAATGAATATTTAAAGAGAAGACTGTTAGGAACAATGGTTCAGAAGGATGAAGGAACTCAATAAGGTTGTGAGGGATTGAGAAGGAATGTTTTGCTTGAAACATGGAGTATGGCAACAATGAATGAGCCTAGTTTTGAATCAAAATGACCTGAAAAACTTCTGTAGAAAGTTTCCAACAAAGCAGTGCTGTATTATGGAAGATCCTGCCATATGGATTGAAACTTTTCTAGAACTTTTAATAGACGAGCCCTCATAAGTAAGATCCAGGCAACCAAATTACTACTCTTTGAATGCTATTGTGGGTATCATGTCAAGATCCAATGTTTTCTTTCCATGTTATACTAAAGAAATAAAACTTAATGTCTATAGTTCAGGTTATATTTGAAACTTTAATAGTTCTAGATTGAAGCTAGCATAAAAACACTGTATACTGAGCATGGTGGCTCACACCTGTAATCTCAATGCTTTGAGAGGCCAAGGCCAGAGGATCACTTGAGGCCAGGAGTTCAAGACCAACCTGAGCAACATAGCGAGACCCCATCTGATATGGTTTGGCTCTGTGTTCCCACCCAAATCTCACCTCAAATTGTAATAATTCCCATGTGTTAAGAGCGAGACCAGGTGGAGATAATTGAATCATGGTGGCAGTTTCCTCTATGCTGTTCTCATGATAGTGACTTCTCATGAGATCTGATGGTTTTATAAGGGGCTTCCCCCTTTTCTCAGCACTCATCCTCCCTCCTGCTGCCCTGCGAAGAGGTGCTTTCTGCCATGATTGTCAGTTTCCTGAGGCCTTCACAGCTATGCGGAACTACGAGTCAATTAAACCTCTTTTCTTTATAAATTACCCAGTCTTGGGTATTTCTTCATAGCAGCATGAAAACAGACTAATACAGTAAATTGGTACCAGGAGTAGTGGATCACTGCTGAAAACATACCCAAAAAATGAAAATAAAAAATTAGCCAGACATGATGGCATGCTCCTGAGGTCTAGCTATTCAGGAGGCTAAGGCAGGAGGATCGCTTGAGCCCAGAAGTTTGAGGTTACAGTGAGCTATGATTGTGCCACTGCACTGTAGCCTGGGTGACAGGGTGAGACTTTGTCTCTAAAAAAGTGAAATTAAAAAAAAGAAAGACTCCATAAATGACATTTTAAAGGGAAAAAATGTTTATGACAATTATATTGTATATTCAAACAAAATGTATTCTTATTTCATAACCAATGAAAATCTGTGTTGACTGGAAAAGAGATTAATTATGGTCACTGAGAAGCAGAATGTAAAGCATTATTTGCAGGAAAAGAAAGCCTAGTTTCCTTTACATGCCACTCACATATTGGTATTTTCTCATTATTAGAACTTACATTTTTTTAAGTTCAGAGTTTTAAAATTCCCCAGAGACTTCTGCAAAACCTGAACCATCATTGAGTAATCCATCAAAAATCCAGAGGCATTAAAAGTTCCATGACTAATATGTGTGAAATGTTTGAAGATGAAACTCTCTTTTGTAATTATAGACCGCAGAATGTGGAATAGTTTCTGCCGTTTGAATTACCTACCTGAGGATACTACTTGAAAGTTCCATCTTCCGTAAATAACAGCCAGCCTGTTATAGAAGACAGGCAGTGTTTTCATACCTGGAATAGAAATTATTTTAGAATCATTTCCATGCAACATTTTTTCATTATTACTAAGATCTGGTGACTATGAAAGGGAGTAAACTTACACAGCTGGCTCTTTTCAGACAGAGAGATTCAATTTATTCTTGTTCCAATACTGTAGGAAAATAAAAAGGTTAAAATTACCTTTTGGATTCAATGTGATATTTTCCCTAGATACCTAAACAAATGGAAGACAGGCAGCTTTCCCAGCTTTGGAATAGGGGACAGTAAGGGATTTCCCTTGTAGCGTGTTGTGTTTTATCTGAAATCTGGCCCTTTTCTGTAATTAAAAAAGGGATTTAGGTACTGAATTTAATCCTTTAAATGGCCAATATCTTGTAACTTTTCCAGATATTTCCCTGGTTCATCAAGAGGCAAGAGACTTACTTTAATTCTGATCTAATATGTACCTGCCTTTTAATTATGTGCTAAAACAATTTGGGAGATGGGATGGTTTGGTACAAACTTGCTCCTGCTGTGGAAATGGTGACTTGGTTGATCTAGGTTCTGGTCCAGAAATGTGCAGGTTTGGGTTTGTTTTTTTTTTTTCAATTATTATACTTTAAGTTTTAGGGTACATGTGCACATTGTGCAGGTTAGTTACATATGTATACATGTGCCATGCTGGTGCGCTGCACCCACTAACTCATCATCTAGCATTAGGTATATCTCCCAATGCTATCCCTCCCCCCTGCCCCCACCCCACCACAGTCCCCAGAGTGTGATATTCCCCTTCCTGTGTCCATGTGATCTCATTGTTCAATTCCCACCTATGAGTGAGAATATGCAGTGTTTGGTTTTTTGTTCTTGCGATAGTTTACTGAGAATGATGATTTCCAATTTCATCCATGTCCCTACAAAGGACATGAACTCATCACTTTTTATGGCTGCATAGTATTCCATGCTATATATGTGCCACATTTACTTAATCCAGTCTATCATTGTTGGACATTTGGGTTGGTTCCAAGTCTTTGCTATTGTGAATAATGCCGCAATAAACATACGTGTGCATGTGTCTTTATAGCAGCATGATTTATAGTCCTTTGGGTATATACCCAGTAATGGGATGGCTGGGTCAAATGGTATTTCTAGTTCTAGATCCCTGAGGAATCGCCACACTGACTTCCACAATGGTTGAACTAGTTTACAGTCCCACCAACAGTGTAAAAGTGTTCCTATTTCTCCACATCCTCTCCAGCACCTGTTGTTTCCTGACTTTTTAATGATTGCCATTCTAACTGGTGTGAGATGGTATCTCACTGTGGTTTTGATTTGCATTTCTCTGATGGCCAGTGATGATGAGCATTTTTTCATGTGTTTTTTGGCTGCATAAATGTCTTCTTTTGAGAAGTGTCTGTTCATGTCCTTTGCCCACTTTTCGATGGGGTTGTTTATTTTTTTCTTGTAAATTTGTTTGAGTTCATTGTAGATTCTGGATATTAGCCCTTTGTCAGATGAGTAGGTTGCGAAAATTTTCTCCCATTTTGTAGGTTGCCTGTTCACTCTGATGGTAGTTTCTTTTGCTGTGCAGAAGCTCTTTAGTTTAATTAGATCCCATTTGTCAATTTTGTCTTTTGTTGCCATTGCTTTTGGTGTTTTGGACATGAAGTCCTTGCCCATGCCTATGTCCTGAATGGTAATGCCTAGGTTTTCTTCTAGGGTTTTTATGGTTTTAGGTCTAACGTTTAAGTCCTTAATCCATCTTGAATTGATTTTTGTATAAGGTGTAAGGAAGGGATCCAGTTTCAGCTTTGTACATATGGCTAGCCAGTTTTCCCAGCACCATTTATTAAATAGGGAATCCTTTCCCCATTGCTTGTTTTTCTCAGGTTTGTCAAAGATCAGATAGTTGTAGATATGCGGCGTTATTTCTGAGGGCTCCGTTTTGTTCCATTGATCTATATCTCTGTTTTGGTACCAGTACCATGCTGTTTTGGTTACTGTAGCCTTGTAATATAGTTTGAAGTCAGGTAGCGTGATGCCTCCAGCTTTGTTCTTTTGGCTTAGGATTGCCTTGGCGATGCGGGCTCTTTTTTGGTTCCATATGAACTTTAAAGTAGTTTTTTCCAATTCTGTGAAGAAAGTCATTGGTAGCTTGATGGGGATGGCATTGAATCTGTACGTTACCTTGGCCAGTATGGTCATGTTCACGATATTGATTCTTCCTACCCATGAGCATGGAATGTTCTTCCATTTGTTTGTATCCTCTTTTATTTCCTTGAGCAGTGGTTTGTAGTTCTCCTTGAAGAGGTCCTTCACATCCCTTGTAAGTTGGATTCCTAGGTATTTTATTCTCTTTGAAGCAATTGTGAATGGGAGTTCACTCATGATTTTGCTCTCTGTTTGTCTGTTGTTGGTGTATAAGAATGCTTGTGATTTTTGTACATTGATTTTGTATCCTGAGACTTTGCTGAAGTTGCTTATCAGCTTAAGGAGATTTTGGGCTGAGACAATGGGGTTTTCTAGATATACAATCATGTCGTCTGCAAACAGGGACAATTTGACTTCCTCTTTTCCTAATTGAATACCCTTTATTTCCTTCTCCTGCCTAATTGCCCTGGCCAGAACTTCCAACACTATGTTGAATAGGAGTGGTGAGAGAGGGCATCCCTGTCTTGTGCCAGTTTTCGAAGGGAATGCTTCCAGTTTTTGCCCATTCAGTATGATATTGGCTGTGAGTTTGTCGTAGATAGCTCTTATTTTGAAATACCTCCCATCAATACCTAATTTATTGAGAGTTTTTAGCATGAAGGGTTGTTGAATTTTGTCAAAGGCTTTTTCTGCATCTATTGAGATAATCATGTGGTTTTTGTCTTTGGCTCTGTTTATATGCTGGATTACATTTATTTATTTGCGTATATTGAACCAGCCTTGCATTCCAGGAATGAAGCCCACTTGATCATGGTGGATAAGCTTTTTGATGTGCTGCTGGATTCGTTTTGCCAGTATTTTATTGAGGATTTTTGCATCAATGTTCATCAAGGATATTGGTCTAAAATTCTCTTTTTTGGTTGTGTCTCTGCCCGGCTTTGCTATCAGGATGATGCTGGCCTCATAAAATGAGTTAGGAAGGATTCCCTCTTTTTCTATTGATTGGAATAGTTTCAGAAGGAATGGTACCAGTTCCTCCTTGTACCTCTGGTAGAATTCGGCTGTGAATCCATCTGGTCCTGGACTCTTTTTGGTTGGTAAACTATTGATTATTGTCACAATTTCAGTTCCTGTTATTGGTCTATTCAGAGATTCAATTTCTTCCTGGTTTAGTCTTGGGAGAGTGTATGTGTCGAGGAATTTATCCATTTCTTCTAGATTTTCTAGTTTATTTGCATAGAGGTGTTTGTAGTATTCTCTGATGGTAGTTTGTATTTCTGTGGGATCAGTGGTGGTATCCCCTTTATCATTTTTTATTGTGTCTATTTGATTCTTCTCTCTTTTTTTCTTTATTAGTCTTGATAGCGGTCTGTAAATTTTGTTGCTCCTTTCAAAAAACCAGCTCCTGGATTCATTAATTTTTTGAACGGTTTTTTGTGTCTCTATTTCCTTCAGTTCTGCTCTGATTTTAGTTATTTCTTGCCTTCTGCTAGCTTTTGAATGTGTTTGCTCTTGCTTTTCTAGTTCTTTTAATTGTGATGTTAGGGTGTCAATTTTGGATCTTTCCTGCTTTCTCTTGTGGGCATTTAGTGCTACAAATTTCCCTCTACACACTGCTTTGAATGCGTCCCAGAGATTCTGGTATGTTGTGTCTTTGTTCTCATTGGTTTCAAAGAACATCTTTATTTCTGCCTTCATTTCGTTATGTACCCAGTAGTCATTCAGGAGCAGGTTGTTCAGTTTCCACGTAGTTGAGTGGTTTTGAGTGAGATTCTTAATCCTGAGTTCTAGTTTGATTGCACTGTGGTCTGAGAGATAGTTTGTTATAATTTCTGTTCTTTTACATTTGCTGAGGAGAGCTTTACTTCCCAGTATGTGGTCAATTTTGGAATAGGTGTGGTGTGGTGCTGAAAAAAATGTATATTCTGTTGATTTGGGGTGGAGAGTTCTGTAGATGTCTATTAGGTCCGCTTGGTGCAGAGCTGAGTTCAATTCCTGGGTATCCTTGTTGACTTTCTGTCTCGTTGATCTGTCTAATGTTGACAGTGGGGTGTTAAAGTCTCCCATTATTAATGTGTGGGAGTCTAAGTCTCTTTGTAGGTCACTCAGGACTTGCTTTATGAATCTTGGTGCTCCTGTATTGGGTGCATATATATTTAGGATAGTTAGCTCTTCTTGTTGAATTGATCCCTTTACCATTATGTAATGGCCTTCTTTGTCTCTTTTGATCTTTGTTGGTTTAAAGTCTGTTTTATCAGAGACTAGGATTGCAACCCCTGCCTTTTTTTGTTTTCCTTTGGCTTGGTAGATCTTCCTCCATCCTTTTATTTTGAGCCTATGTGTGTCTCTGCACGTGAGATGGGTTTCCTGAATACAGCACACTGATGGCTCTTGACTCTTTATCCAATTTGCCAGTCTGTGTCTTTTAATTGGAGCATTTAGTCCATTTACATTTAAAGTTAATATTGTTATGTGTGAATTTGATCCTGTCATTATGATGTTAGCTGGTTCTTTTGCTCATTAGTTGATGCAGTTTCTTCCTAGTCTCGATGGTCTTTACATTTTGGCATGATTTTGCAGCGGCTGGTACTGGTTGTTCCTTTCCATGTTTAGCGCTTCCTTCAGGAGCTCTTGTAAGGCAGGCCTGGTGGTGACAAAATCTCTCAGCATTTGCTTGTCTGTAAAGGATTTTATTTCTCCTTCACTTATGAAGCTTAGTTTGGCTGGATATGAAATTCTGGGTGGAAAATTCTTTTCTTTAAGAATGTTGAATATTGGCCCCCACTCTCTTCTGGCTTGTAGGGTTTCTGCCGAGAGATCTGCTGTTAGTCTGATGGGCTTCCCTTTGAGGGTAACCCGACCTTTCTCTCTGGCTGCCCTTAACATTTTTTCCTTCATTTCAACTTTGGTGAATCTGACAATTATGTGTCTTGGAGTTGCTCTTCTCGAGGAGTATCTTTGTGGTGTTCTCTGTATTTCCTGAATCTGAACGTTGGCCTGCCTTGCTAGATTGGGGAAGTTCTCCTGGATAATATCCTGCAGAGTGTTTTCCAACTTGGTTCCATTCTCCCCATCACTTTCAAGTACACCAATCAGACGTAGATTTGGTCTTTTCACATAGTCCCATATTTCTTGGAGGCTTTTCTCATTTCTTTTTATTCTTTTTTCTCTAAACTTCCCTTCTCACTTCATTTCATTCATTTCATCTTCCATCGCTGATACCCTTTCTTCCAGTTGATCGCATCAGCTCCTGAGGCTTCTGCATTCTTCACGTAGTTCTCGAGCCTTGGTTTTCAGCTCCATCAGCTCCTTTAAGCACTTCTCTGTATTGGTTATTCTAGTTATACATTCTTCTAAATTTTTTCAAAGTTTTCAACTTCTTTGCCTTTGGTTTGAATGTCCTCCCGTAGCTCAGAGTAATTTGATCGTCTGAAGCCTTCTTCTCTCAGCTCGTCAAAGTCATTCTCCATCCAGCTTTGTTCCATTGCTGGTGAGGAACTGCGTTCCTTTGGAGGAGGAGAGGCGCTCTGTGTTTTAGAGTTTCCAGTTTTTCTGTTCTGTTTTTTCCCCATCTTTGTGGTTTTATCTACTTTTGGTCTTTGATGATGGTGATGTACAGATGGGTTTTTGGTGTGGATGTCCTTTCTGTTTGTTAGTTTTCCTTCTAACAGACAGGACCCTCAGCTGCAGGTCTGTTGGAATACCCTGCCGTGTGAGGTGTCAGTGTGCCCCTGCTGGAGGGGTGCCTCCCAGTTAGGCTGCTCGGGGGTCAGGGGTCAGGGACCCACTTGAGGAGGCAGTCTGCCCGTTCTCAGATCTCCAGCTGCGTGCTGGGAGAACCACTGCTCTCTTCAAAGCTGTCAGACAGGGACATTTAAGTCTGCAGAGGTTACTGCTGTCTTTTTGTTTGTCTGTGCCCTGCCCCCAGAGGTGGAGCCTACAGACGCAGGCAGGCCTCCTGGAGCTGTGGTGGGCTCCACCCAGTTCGAGCTTCCTGGCTGCTTTGTTTACCTAATCAAGCCTGGGCAATGGCGGGCGCCCCTCCCCCAGCCTCGCTGCCACCTTGCAGTTTGATCTCAGACTGCTGTGCTAGCAATCAGCGAGACTCCGTGGGGTAGTACCCTCCAAGCCAGGTGCGGGATATAATCTGGTGGTGCGCCATTTTTTAAGCTGGTCCGAAAAGCGCAATATTCAGGTGGGAGTGACCCGATTTTCCAGGTGCGTCTGTCACCCCTTTCTTTGACTCAGAAAGGGAACTCCCTGACCCTTGCGCTTCCCAAGTGAGGCAATGCCTCGCCCTGCTTCGGCTCGCGCACGGTGCGCACACCCACTGACCTGCACCCACTGTCTGGCACTCCCTAGTGAGATGAACCCGGTACCTCAGATGGAAATGCAGAAATCACCCGTCTTCTGCGTCGCTCACGCTGGGAGCTGTAGACCGGAGCTGTTCCTATTCAGCCATCTTGGCTCCTCCTCTCAGGTTTGGGTTTTTTATGATGGTAAAATATACATATTATAAAATGTATCACTTTAATTGTTTTTAAGTGTACAATTCAGTGGCATTAAGTACACTCACATTGTTGTGCAACCAATACCACTATCCACATGCAGAACTTTATTCTCATCCCAAATTGAAACTCCACACTCATTAAACAGTAGCTGTCCATTTCCCTCTTCTCTCAGCCCTTGGTAACCACTATTCTAGTTTCTGTCTCTGTGAGTTTAACTATTCTGGGTACCTCATATACATGAAATCATACAGCGTTTGTCCTTTTCGATCTGGATTGTTTCATTGAGCATGTTTTCAAGGTTCAGCAATGTTGTAGTTTGAATCAGAATTTCATTCCCTTTCAAGGCTAAATATGTTCTACTCCATGTTATACACATTTTGTTTATCCATTCCTCCATTGATGGGCATTTGGGTTGTTTCCAACATTTGGCTTTTGAGAAGAAAGATGCTATTGACATTGGTATACAAAATTTCTTTGAGCCCATGCTTTCAGTTTTTTCTATATATCTCTAGAAGTGAATTGCTGGATGATATGGTAACTCTATGTTTAATTTATTGAGGAATTATCATTCTATAGAAATGTGTAGTTTTTTTTGTTGTTGTTGTTGTTTTATTTGTTTGTTGAGACAGGGTCTTCTTCTGTTGCCCAGGCTAGGCTTCAGTGGCATGATCACAGCTCACTGCAGCCTTGACCTCCTAGGCCCAAGCAATACTACCACTTTAGCCTCCCAAGTAGCTGGGACTACAGGTGCATGCCACTACACCCGGCTAATTTTTTTTTTTTTTTTTTTTTTTTGAGACAGAGTCTCACTCTGTCACCCAGGTGTGATCTCGGCTCACTGCAACCTCTGCTGCCCAGGTTCAAGTGATTCTCCTGCCTCCGCCTCCTGAGTAGCTGAGATTACAGGCGCCAGCCACCACGCCTGGCTAATTTTTGTAGTTTTTTATTTTTTAGTAGAGACAGGGTTTCACCATATTGCCCAGGCTGGTCTCAAACTCCTGAGCTCAAGCAGTTTGCCCACCTCAACCTCCAAAGTGCTGGAATTACAGGCATGGACCACCATGCCAGGCCAGAATGTATAGTTCTTAATCAGCATTCCAGGTGATGTTATGATCAGATAATTTGAGAAACATTTATTTGTCAGTTACCTATTGCTATGCAACCAACCACTCCAAACAATTAGTAGCTTACAACAACAACCATTTATTTAGCTCACAATTATACTGGGTGGCTCTTCTGGCCTGGGCTGGGTTTGTCTGGTCTCTGTTGGCCTAGCTCATGTTTCTGTGGTCATTTGGCTGGTCTTTTGGGTGCTGGCTGTTCTCAGATGGCCTCAGTCATATATCCAGTGGTTGCTTGGCTATAGGCTGAAGCAATGGCGTGACTAGGCCTAGAACCTTTCCTTGTTTAGTAAGCTAACCCCAGCTTGCTCCCAGGGTGGCAGGGTCCCAAGAACAGCAAGAGAGCAAGCTCCAGTGCATAAGCTCTTTTCAAGTCTTTGCCTATATTATGTTTGCTTGTCCTGTTGGGCAGAGCAAGTCACCTGGCCAAGCCCAGTGTCAGTATAGAGGGCACTACCAAATGGTGTGGACACAGCGAGGCAGAAAAAGAGCTGAGACCATTACTATTATTATTCCACCACAACTTAACTGCTTGATTCAGTATTCTGACGTGAACTCAGGGTTATCTGAAAACTTTCTCCTGCCGTAATAAATCTGTGAATGGAGCATAATCATGTCTGAAGTTGCATAGAGCCCTCTGAACCACATGCCCCAGCACCTCTGCAACGCTCTCCATTTGAGGGTTCATTCATTAATTTAATAAATACTTATTGTGAATCTACTCATGTCTGGAACTCTTCTAGGACCTGGGTATACAGCTATTGACAAAATAGTCCAAGTTCCTCTTCTCCAGGGACTTACATTCTACTGCAGGTGGAAAAGTTTTAGGAGTGAGAATAAATGTTTGGATCCCTAGCACATATTCAGGAGGTTTTGTGGTTGTCATTGTTTAAAGAGGAAGAAGTTTGAAGAATGTTCTTTATTCCCTATTCTTCACCACTATGTGCTTTTACTAATATTTGAGTAGAGAAAAATATTTTGGTTAATTAGAATTTCCAGGTATTTAAATGCCAGAAGGCAGATGCAAACCTGTGGGAGGATATTAGGATTGACTTTTAACTTGTAATCCTTATAGCTTGGTGCAGAAGTAACCGTGGCTTGCCGTAAGGGCAAAAGCCACAATTACTTTTGCACCAACCTAATACAAGACTGATGGATTCGCTTCTCACTTCCTTTATGCTTTCTGCAAGGCTTTGTGGCTAAGACTTTTGGCCCCATAGCTACCTGAGGGAGGGCTACTGATCTTTACAGCTCAAAGGGCACTGAAGAGTCACATCCAGCTGAGCAGTGATGGATGGCTACAACAGACATTTTCTTTGGATACTTCTTTATTTTATTATTATTATTATGTGTGTTTAATCCTATGGGAGTAGACCAGCATTCTATATTTTTAAAGTAGCACTAGTTTGTTGGAAAATTTGACTTTTATAAACTGAAAGTGTATGTCATCAGTACCTGGAGATGAGATGGGTTTAATGTCCAGCTGGTGCTCAGAGGGGCTGGGACTCTCTGCATGGGTTAGTTTGCCAGCTAAAACTCACTTCATGCACAAGAGCTTTCATTGAACAACAGTCAAGCTTTGCTTCAGGGTAAGCAGGTATTTCAGTGGGGGAGAATTAGGAGACAGCATGTAGTAGTATTCAAATTAGGATCTTTAGAGTCAGACAGATGTGTCCGTTACTAGCTTGGACCTTGGGCAAATGACTTAACCTCTCTGAGTCTCAGTTTCTTTATCTATAAAATGGGATAATAACACTATCTGCCCCATAAAACTGGCAGCACTAACAGAAAGCATGCAAAGCTTGTAGCATAGTGCCTGCAGTGGACACTTGATTAAAAATGTTAGCTAAAGGCTGTTATCTTTTTTTTATTTTTTTAGATGGAGTCTCACTCTGCCTCCTAGGCTGGAGTGCAGTGGCTCAATCTCGGCTCACTGCAGCCTCTGCCTCCTGGGTTCAAGCAATTCTCCTGCCCCAGCCTCCGGAGTAGCTGGGATTACAGGTGCCCGCCACCACACCCGGTTAATTTTTGTATTTTGAGTAGAGACTGGGTTTCACCATGTTGGTCAGGCTGGTCTTGAACTCCTGACCTCAGATGATCCACCCGCCTCAGCCTACCAAAGTGCTGGGATTACAGGCGTGAGCCACCATCCCTGGCCTAAAGGCTGTTATCTTAATAAATGCTGTTCTGATCTACAGTTACATCACCACAAACTGATGCCTTTGGCCTGGCCCACAGTGCCAGAATCTGAACTACAGGGGAGTTACTCTTTGAACCACCCTAGCACCAATCCTAGCTGAGAAAAAGACATTTATGAAACTGATTTGCCATTTGTGTGTAGCCAGTCAGGAATTCCTACTTGGGCTCTTGGCCACTATTTGAGCAACTTTTCTGTAACACTGAACCATAGAAGCAGCCCATCCACCACCACCACAACAATAAAAACTAGCACTTCACACACTAGCACCTTACCTGGAATGATTTTAGAGGTGTTAGAGAGCCCCAGAATATCTCCTGTGTAACTTTCCACCAGACTTTATGGACGAGCCAACTACCAAGCTGTAAATTGATTGAATCTTGTATTTTCCTCTTTGGACTTAGCTGGGCCCAGTGAGAGTTTGGTTGAGAGTAGATTTTGGTGGATGGGAACAGGAGTTTCATGAGGTAAGAGGAGAAGAGAGAGAGAATTTTTGTTCATGGGTATAGGAGCCATGTAAGTTGTATAATTTCACTATAAACATGGCACGCAGGGAGAGGGTGAATTGTGCCCAGGTAGGCAGGGGAAATTGCAAGGCTTTGGTGTTGGGGAGAGCACAGAGATAAAGAAATTACGGGTAGGAGAGGGATCCAAAGGGGAAATGAAGGAGAGTGAAAGGCAAACTTTTCAGCTGAGTTACATGAGCGACATCAACTATAACACAAGGTGGAAAAATCCCATCTTCCTGTCCTCCCCCATGTGACAAGAAGCTGATCTGCCTTCTTGGATTTATTTCCTTCTGGGGCTGTATTTCTCTCCTTGCGCTTTGTCTCACCTCCTACCTTGTTATAGGCGATCTTTCTCCCCCTGAGGAAATCATAATTCTATCACTGTGGAAATTGAAGTGTCTTCAGCTTTCTTACCAGTCTTAGAGTATTTTCTTAGGCCAAATTGCCAATTTCCTCTTTTATGGAAAATACTAAAATACTTTTTTTTAATAGAGTGACCTTGATCCTTTCCCATTTGCTATTCTTTCCAATTTCTAGACTGGAGCTAGAAAAATTGAATGAAGTTGTCAGCCTAGTGGCAATAACCACATTAAAATGTTTCTCTGAAAGTCTTTGGAGCAGAGTCCTTGGGCATTTTTACCAGTGACCATCCATGAAGTGACAGCACTATAGACACAGGGTTTTGTGTCCAGAGAACTTTCCACCAGCCCTTCTGGTATGATTTACTGTGTCTGTCTTATCCAGGCCCTAACACAGGGCTTGGAGCACAATCAGTGATCAATAAGTGTTAACTCAGTGATAGGGCAGATGGTCATTGATTTAAAAATAACAACCTTGGGCCGGGCAGTGGTTCACACCTGTAATCCCAGCACATTGGGAGGCCGAGGCGGGCAGATTACCTGAGGTAAGGTGGTCGAGACCAGCCTGACCAACATGGTGAAACCCCATCTCTACTAAAAATACAAAAATTAGCCAGGTGTGATGGCACACACTTGTAATCTCACCTACTCAGGGGGCTGAGGCAGGAGAATTGCTTGAGCCTGGGAGACAGAGGTTGCAGTGAACCAAGATCGTGCCACTGCACTCCAGCCTGGGCGACAGAGCAAGACTCTGTCTCAAAAAAATAAAAATAAAAATAAAAATAACCTTGCCTCGTACTGTTGGGGTACACACTTCCAAGCAGTGACCCTTGGCAGCTCTGGGAAGCTCTGAGACGTGTTCTTCCTTGGAGTAGTCCCTCTCAGCCTGCGACACTGTCCATCTAAATCTGTGGCACAGGTTCTCCAACTCTAGGAGGCCAGGAGGCGCTATGTCTGACAATCGTTTGACCCTGTGGCTCCAGGACACCCCAACACTCTGGACTAAACACACTGCACCACTCCTCTCCTTAAAGATCTTAAGGATTGTGCTCTAATTAGTTTGGAAATGGAATTTCTTAGACTATTTCTAAAAGCAGCTGCAGCCTGGGGACAAATTGACTAAATTCACCAGTTCTCCTGAAAATGATATTTGAAAGGAAAGTTGAGCTGCTTCTATCTTCCCAGAGAAATCTACATGTCATTCAGATGTTGGAGACCCTCAAGAGGCAGAAATGTCTTCATCCCCTGCCGTTTGGGTACTGACTAAAACCGTTGATCCTTTTCCTTGAAGTCTGAGGTTCTGCTGTTGGCCTCTGAAAAGCAGGGGACAGAATATTCTGGCAGACTCTGGCAAGTAGATGACCCCTTGCTGGGAGTAAGCTTCAGCCTTTTCCAAGGTCTGCCACAACAGAAGCAGTAACATGAGAGCGGCACTCAGTAGGACAATGACGATGAGGCTAATGAGAGCTTTTGGCCGTGAGAAACACTGCCTCCCCAAGCAGCATTCAGATATGTAGAAACGGTCTTGTTTTACGTGCCTTGGTGCCTCGGGCCTGTACAAAGTCACCAACACATTCAAACTGGAGTGGAGAATTGGGGATTTAAAAATGTGATTGCTGAAGGCAGCACCATCTTAACCCCTGGAGTCATCGAGTGCTCATTTGCTGCTAGGGGACAGAAAAGCCATTAGAGATATTCCCTGGGTATGTAGCCCAGTTATTTTTGTTTTTTAACATATATCCCAAGTGATTCAAGAGCATGACAAGGTTTGGGAATTACAGTCCTTGAGCACAATCTCCCATTGGTACTTTACAAGGTTATACTTTAGACTAATTGAACTTGTTTTATTTTTATTTTATCTGTAATGATATTTGATATTCATTTTGTATATAAAATAATTTTGTTTTTATATTTTGTATATGTAGTATGTAGTACAACATAATTATTTTGTTAGTAATATTTTTATTTTATAATATAGTGATAATGATAATACAGTAACTGCATATAAGTACTTATATACAAGATATTGTTCTATTGTAATACAATATAATCATTTTGATAGTAACATTTTTATTTTGTAATATAGTGATAATGATAATAATATAGTAACTGTATGTAAGTACTACTTATTATATACAAGATATTGTTCTGAATGCTTTTACATACATTATCGCAATTAATCTTCACAATGACTTTTTGAAGGAGGTGGTATTAGTAACATCATTTTACAGATGAGAAAAGACAGGCACAAAGAAGCTAAATGATTTGCCCAAGGTTCCATAGCGGTCAAGTGGTGGAGCTTGAATTTATACCCAGACCTGGCGATTCTTAGGTCTGAGACTTTTAACTACCACACTGTGCTGATCCAAGTGGCCTGAAGCTTTACAAAATTTGATTAGAGAGAGTTGCATCACTAGGAAACAGAGAGATATAAGAAGTCTGTGGGAAGGGAAAGAAAGATGCCTTCTCTGCAGAAATAATGTTTAAGAGTTTTTTAAGCCTTAAGTAAATTAGACCATCTGTTTGTGGCCAGGAACATACTCAGTGGAATAATGTCCCAGCCAATAGAAAAATAGACTTTGCAGAACCCCAGCAGTCAGTTGCTGACATGAGTATGGAATCCACAGGAATTCCAGGTTACTCCTTGCTCCGGAAATAAGGAAAAGCACTAATATGAAGTAGATCTTGGCTTCACCCAACCTGGGAGTGGGAGGAAGTCTGCCTCTGAACGCCAGAAAAAACCTAGGGATAGTAGGGGACACGAAATGCAAGCAGATTCCTCAAATCTCCACTTGAAAGCTAGAAAGCTTCACTATGTATTCTGCACTGACAGGGAAAGACAGGTCCTAATTGGATCGACTGATCCTTCTCTTGGTGGGAGAGGCCTTGGCCTTTGTGAACCAAGGAAGAGATTTTTATGACAAACTTTTCTAGATGCTTTTTAGCTGAAGTTAAAGAAGATTATGGGTGAATTAGAAAAGGGATTTATAATAGAACTTTGGATTAATTTATTCATTCATAAACATTTATTGGGTGCTTTGGCTGAATTAGGCAGTACTCTAGGGGATACAGGAATGAAGAAAAAAATGGTTCGTTCCCAAGAATCTTACAACTGAGTGGTGGAGACAGACAGCAAAACCAGCAACAGCTTAATGTGGTGTTTCCATAGACATGTTTGAGAATTCCTATGGTCTATCAGGCAAGGGCACTTTAAACTTCTTAAGGGTTGGGAAAGTCAAGTGCAAAAAAGCCCCCAAAGAAGGAGGCTTTGCATTATGTCACAAAGTAGTTGCAGTTACCCAGGCTGATATGCAAAGACCTCCCTGGCAGAAGGAGCAGTGTGTGCACAAGAGGACAGAAGGCAAGGGCACCCCACAGTCCTGCGGGTGCACGGTGAGCAACCAGAACTAGCCAGCTGGTCCCCCAACTCATGTCCTCTTTTGGTGGAATCTCCACACCCAGCTCTACAACCTCAAGAATCCCAAGCCAGGGTCTAGGTCTCAATATGAAGTCAGACTCTGTTTCTGAAGCCTACTCTGTGATTCTATGCACAATTTCATGCTAATATTCACCTGGACAATGGAAGGCATGAAAAGCCATTCAGCCTCGTTTGTGAAGTTAGAATTGTCAAGGAAAGGGGCTGATACTTCTCAAGTAATCAGGCATGGGGCTAAAGGCTTTCTGAGTTTTGGCCAGGAGGTTGTTGTTTGATTTTACGTATCGTCTTTATTATGAGCTTTCTCACCCAACTGTTGCTGTCTGTCTTAATCACTGAAAACCATCCTCTCCTAACCTGCAGTCATGTTACGATTTGTTTTCTCCTAGTCTCATATTTTCTCTGGATGCATTTCATCCCCAGTGTGAGGAGAAGCCATCCCTAAATCCTAACGCTACATTGTGTATTTCTAAGCACTTGCCTCAAGGCCCCACTCCCAGCAGCTATTGATCCCTGAGAGACTATTATATTTATTTGCATTGACACGGGGGCTCACCACCTTAAGTGAAAGGATAAACAATTAATGTCCCAGCTCCTGGAAGTCGGATGGCCTTTCTGGGATGCCATTAAGACTTGTCTTGGAGAGGGCTGTTTAAAGTAGCTGCTCAGACTGAACTTTAACTAATTATTCAATCAACGATTTGGCAGGTCAGTCAATGGGAAATGATGCACAGTTTGCTGAAATTGATCACACTTCATTTCCCATCAATTGTAAAGCCAAATTGTGGGTAAAGTCATAAGTAAAGGATCATTGCCTGCCATTCTTAGGACCATGTTTCCCTATCCCTTCCATTTACTTAAACCCCAGCCTCATCCATAAAAGCAAGAGAATTTTGCACTTACAGAGGGAATCAGTATAAAATGTTTACCACCTTCTGAGATGGAAGGGGAAGGGAGAGTGTTTTCTATTTCATAATTGATATGTTGCAGCCACATAATCCTCTAACCTTTTCCTCTAACCTTTTCGGCAGCTCAGATGTGGAGGCTGGATTTTAAATCCCATGATCCATTATGCATCACTTACTTCCACATCTATTACCATTCCGTCAGCCAAGTGACAGGATTCCCCATCAGGGCCTTTGACTGTGTGGGGCTCTTCAACTTTATGCTGGCGGATAGGCATGTGGAACTTCATACATGGGTGATTTACAGACAATTAGCAGGAGGCAATGGCAGATTAAGTGTAGCTCTTCTGAAAAATTATGAATAAAGGATGTAAAAAGGAAGGTCCCCCCACCCAGGCCCTGCCCAGGAAAAGGCTTAGAATGATCCAAGCAGTGAATTTTATGACAGTAACTACCACCCTCTCAGAAGATGCAAAATGGAATGTGTGCTTGTCCACATTGATTGGCAGCTTCTGAAACCAATCACCGGCCCAGGTCAGTAGAGCCCCACTGGTAGGCCAACAGATCATGAAGAAAGCAGAGACACAGACTCGGATTTCCACATAAGCTTCCTCACCTGCTTTGTTCTCCCAAGCCAACTGGCCTTTTTTCTTGCACACTGGGACCTGATAAAAGCCTCTGGTACTTGAGATGAACCACTAGACAATAATCAGAATGGAATTTTCTGGGAAATGTGGCCATATGAAAAAAATGATCACTTTTTCCTCACAAGGATTTGCAAAGTGGAAAGAGTAGGATTTTAAAAACTGTATTTTGTAGCAGAGAAAACTAAGGTTTAGAAATTTGAATGACTTCCTTAACAAATATTTATTGAGAACTTGCCATGTGCTAAGCACAATATTAAGCACTGAGCTTACTCGGTATTAGTCGGAATTCTCCAGAGAAACAGAAACAATAGGACACTCGCACACAAACACACACACACACACACACACACACACACACACACATGGAGCTTTATTATGAGAAGTTGGCTTATGCAATTACGGAGGCCAAGACATCCCATGATCAGCAGATTGCAAGCTGGGGACTCAGGAAAGCCAGTAGGGTAAATCAGTCCAACCTGAGACCCAGGGGAGCTGATGATATAAATCCCAGTCCAAAAGCAGGAGGAGATGAGATGAGATGTCCTAATTTAAGCACTGAGGCAGAAAAACAGGTTGTTAATCCTTTCCTTAACCTTTTGTCCTGTTCAGGCCCTCAATGGATCTGATAATGCCAACCACACTGGGTAGGACCAGCTACTTTACTGAGTCCACCAACTCAAATGCTAGTCTCATCCAGAAACACCCTCAAGACACACCAGAAGTAATGCTTACTCTGTGAACCCTGTAGCTCAGTCCTCACAGGGCTCACAGTCCACCCATAAATATGTACATATATTATGTATCAATAAAAATTGTTCTAATTGTTTTAATTAAAATGAAGAGCTAGTAGTCTAGTGGAGGAGACAGACCTGAATGCAGGCAAAAATGATACAAGGTGGACAGAGCTGAAGCGGTTGAAGTGGAAGTGCTTTGGGGGTTCAGAGGAGGGGCACCTGCCTCAATTTTGGGGTGGCAGAGGGTCCAGCAAGGTCTGTGCTGAGGAAATGACATAAGGCATCAAGAACAAGCAGGAGTGAACCAGGTGGAGAAGGCTTTTCAGGCAGAGGGAACAGCATATACAAAGCCCCAGAGGCAAGACAGGGCTTCACAGGCAAAAGGTTAGAGGCCAAAATACAAGGAGGAAAAGGGGAGAGAGGTGGGCTGGAGAGACCCAGGGGCCTGTTCGGGGAGGCGTGTGTGAGCTTGTAAGTAGCTTTCTCCTCAGAGCCAGGCCTCTGATCCCAGCATCCTGAAAGGCAGGGGGCTCAGTTTCAGCTCTAGCCAAATTCACCCTCCTCCACCTCCTCCTCCTCTTCCCCTCAAATCTCCTTCATCTACCCCCACATCCCCTCCTTCTCCACTCCTCCCCCTCATGCTCCTGTATCTCCTCCCTCTCCTCCTCCTGTATCTCCTCCCTCCCCTCCTGTATCTTCCCCTCCTCCTCCTCCTGTCCTCCCCCTCCTCCTCCTGTATCTCCTCCCCCTCCTCCTCCTGTATCTCCTCCCCCTCCTCCTCCTGTATCTCCTCCCCCTCCTCCTCCTGTATCTCCTCCCCCTCATCCTCCTGTATCTCCTCCCCCTCCTCCTCCTGAAACTCTTCCTCCTCTTTCTCCACTCCTCCTCATTCTTGCTAGACGGAAAAAATAGTTATTTATTTTTTATTGATACATAATAATTACACATATTTATGGAGTATGTGTGCTATTTTGAAATTTTCCTTTCGGTCACTGTCAAGCACTTCTGGAGGTAATGCCTTTTCTACAAAGTGCACAATGGTCATTGCACACTCAAACATCCCCCAACCCCCTGCCCCCTGAAAGAAGGCCATATGGGCTAAGTGATCTGATCAAAGTCACTTGGTGCTAATTAGAGATGGAGCTGGGATTTAAGGCCAGGCTCTCTGTCCCAGCTGCTTTCATTGTGTAAACTGAACGCTGACTTGGCCTCTTTGTATGTCACTCAAAAAACTCACTGGGATGCACACCCTTTTAAATGACATCTTTTTCTTTTTAGAATTGTTTCATGTTGGAGAAAATAACATGGTTCTCAAGCCTTTCAACAGTCCTACATCCACAAAAGGGGAAAGGGACACTGCACTGAAATTAGAATCTTCAACAACTTCTTCAATCTTCCCTTTTTAATTGGGTGAAAGTAATGTACTCCTAATTATTTGAGAAATGATGTGATAAGCCCCATTATTAAGACCTCTTTTTTCTGAGTGACATGAGCAATTTAAAAGGAAGGGAAATTAACAATGGCATGAATGGTGCATTATGTGCTCCAAGTTCGGGTACAATCATTGAACCAAAAGAGAGGGGGCAGGGGAATGAGACTGGGCTTTCTCGTAATATTTCTGAGTTGGTGAGCATGAAGGGAGAAAAAAGCCAGTCCAAGCTTGTGTTTCAGACTCTGTAATCAGGAAAAGGCAAAAAAAAAAAAAAAAAAGGTAAAGACACAGTATCTTTCCCTTCCTTCTCAAGCAGTAAACACTGGGGGACACTTCTAGTGAGTGCATCTGACATCAATTTCTATTCTTCAGCATCGGAATGTCAATGAAGTAGAACAGGGGATGTTTCCACAAGATATTAAGATGACAGACAGTCTTACTCTCTGTTCACTGGAGAGTAGAATTGGTAGCTCTCCAACTGGTATGATTTTAGGGGGTGCAAATACAAATGCCTAGGGGAACCAGGAAGGAGCTCTCCATGGGCAAGGCTGGCATGGGTGAGGGTCAAGGGCACGGGAGCATGGCCTCTCTGCACGTCAGGGCTGCTGCTCCGCTCTGCATGACTGTCATCACAAGCAAGAGGGACCCAGGGATCCAGGTCCTCTGAGTTTTCAAGGGAGGCCAAAGGATTCTAGGTTTTATCTTTATGTGTTTAAATGACAAAGCTCCTCATTTTGAAATGTTGCAGTGCTGTTGACACGTTACTAATAAGGTTTGTGTCCTTATGTTGTAGAAGGAAAAGTAATGGTTTGCTGAATATTATTAAAAGTTCTTACGTAGGATTTTGTAAGTCTCAATAGTATGAGAAAGAATGAATGTGAGATAGGGATTTGGTATTAAATATTAAATACAAGTCTTCAGAATATGGAGGTCATATTACAGAGATAATATGTAAAGAGACATAATATAGTACAATGGAAAGAACACTACACGTGGGATGAGAATTACTCAGGATGTCCACAGACAAGGGCTTCATTAGCCCTGCCTCAGTTTCTTCATCTGGAGAGCCAAAGATTCAATTCACAGTCCATCTAGGCTCTCTTCTAACCTTAACCTTGGTGACAGCCCTAGACCCACACTGAAATCCATCAGAGATCCTTCATTGGCGCTGAGCAGTTTATGTTTCATTCTGAATGATGGAGTTCTCTTCCATTAGGCAACTTCAGGCAAGAAGAAGAAGACTGTATCAGGGGTTCACAAAATAAAGAAAAAAGAAAGCAGGAAGGAGAGTTCTAGAAAGAGCCACCCTTTAGAAAAATTCTGGTGCACCTTCATCTTCTCACCATCACGATACCCCCATTTTTGCTTCTAAGTCTTTATAGATCATAAGTCAACTTCCTACCAACAGTTAAGAATCTTAACAACAGTTAGAAACTCAGAATCCTAGCAGCACAGGCATCTTCTGAGTACTCACCATGCACGAGGCACTGTGCCAGGTACAAACATTCATATTCCTCACAACAACCCCAAGTGATAGGTTTCTAGAGAACTGTTACTGTACACATCTTGCAGATAGGAGAACTGGGGCTGAGAAATGGAAAAGCCATTTGTGCAAATCCACACAGCCAGGAGGAGGCAGATCACCCAGCACTGACTCCACAGCCATTGATCCTAATCACTCCCAAGAGGCTGAAACATGTGCTACACCAGTTGGGCTCTGGGAATCTGGCCTCAGTTTAAATCCTGCGTCTGCCACACAGTGAATGTCCTTGAAAAAGTAATTTAACCTCTTTAAAGCCTCAGTTTTCCGACCTGTCATTGAGAAGAATGAAGTAACTGCCACAAGTTTTGAGGATTAGTGAGCTCTACATAAGGGATGTCAGGTACATTATAAGCGTTCAATAAATGGTGGTGATTATTGTTATTAGTCCACTATCATTCTTAAATATCTTGTTTCTTACTGAACTGCTAGGAGTTGCAAAACCATCCTGTTAAGCAGGAAAAGCAAGGAAGCCACTTAACAGATGCAAATGGCATTTCACAAGGGAGTCAGAGACAGGGGCTGAGAAGGGACTCAGATGGCTTCAGCCCAGCTCCTAGCTGACTGAACAGATCACTTCCTTGAAGCCTCTAGAGGAAGCAGTGAAATGATATCAATTCCCCTGAGCTTTGGAAGGGAAAAAGATTCTATCTTGCTTAAACTGTTCTACTGTAGAGAAATCATATGCTTTAGATGCCAGGGCAGGGGGGAGATACCCCTGGATCTTCCCAAAGGTCATTTGTTGCAGGCAGAGGGATTAAATACTTACCACTGCTTGCTGGTATGGAACACTGAAAACACATCTTCTCTCTAGATAGAATATATGAAACAAAAAGGAGGCTCCCTTCTGCCAGCTGAGGGAAATTGCAGGGCAGTGCACTTTGTCATCACTGTGGAAGTGCCTGGTAGAACAGGTGACATTGGGCAAGAGAAAGCCCTTCAGTGCCAGATTTGTTTTCATCACTGTGTTCTGTTCTCATCATATTGTGGTGTGAGACTCGCAAAATCTCATGCATTCTCACCACGGGAGCCTGCATCTTCATTGCTGAAGGGAAGTGGAGAGCTCAAAGCAGTTCATGCAGGCAATTCCTCCAAAAAGTTCCCCAAACTATCTGGAGCATCATCTCATTCTCCACTTCAAGTTAATTCCAAAGGCTGGCCTGGAGGAACTTCTGCACAGAATTTATAATTAGCCCAGCTTTGTGGAATAGTCAGGCC
This sequence comes from Homo sapiens, assembly GCF_000001405.40. Lineage (NCBI taxonomy): Eukaryota > Metazoa > Chordata > Mammalia > Primates > Hominidae > Homo > Homo sapiens. Next base: position 77,019,649 of record NC_000001.11, read on the forward strand.
TGAGTCCTTTGTTCATGCTGATATGAGTAGCAGAAGGGTTTCTGCAAGTTCTTGCCCAGTTGCAATTGAAGTGTTTAGGCGGTTAGCTCTTTCTGCTAGAAAACTCACCTTGGGTGTGCCTGCCACTCTGGCACATGTCTTCAAAAATGTGCTTTGTCACATTTAAATACTGATGTTTTGTTCCTAGTTATGGAAATGTAGGAGTGTCTGTCTGATGGTTCATTTCTAACCCCCAAATTCCTATCTTATACTTTAAACTGCCCTGAAAATCAAAAGCCCTTGGAATCAAACTCCAGATACACAGCCACATTGCCAACACACTACTTTAGCAAAAGATCCAGAACATATTTTACATGAAAACCTGTCAGACTGGTTTTTTATTATAAAAATAATGTAAAGAATTGAGCCAAGCACCCATGTTATTCTGATGACAAAGAAAACTAATTGTGCTAATAACACTAAGCAAAGTCTTCAGCAATCATTCTGAGCTGTAAATTGGGCATGCTTTTTTAACTGTGGAGCCTCTTTATGAGGTATATGAAGATAACAAGCATGCTTTTGAGGGGATTCTTGTGTAATTGACATTTTTTAAGTGCCGAGAATGTGGTTCTAAGACACATTTGAGACTGGGGTCTTGCACTCGTTAGGCAGTCCAAAGTATTTTTAGCTTCCTTCTCATTGGAGAGCTAGCATTTGGGGCGTAGGGAGAATGAAGCTTATGCCATGCTTTTGTTTCCTTTGTTGTTTGTTTGTTTGTTGGGGAGTGTGGGGATACAGGATCTCACTTTGTCACCCAGGCTGGAGTACAGTGGCACAGTCTCAGCTCACTGCAACCTGCACCTCCCAAGCTCAAGCGATCATCCCACCTCAGCTCCCCAAGTAGCTGGGACCATAGGTGTGCACCACCACACTCCTCTAATTTTTGTATTTCTTTTAGAGATGAGGTCTTGCCATGTTGCCCAGGCTGGTCTTGAGCTCCTGGACTCAAGAAATCTGCCCACCTCAGCCTCCCAAAGTGCTGGGATTACAGGCCTGAGCCACTGTGCCCGGCCTTATGCCATGCCTCTTACTGAATGCACCTAGTAACAAACTACCCCACACTTGGTAATTGTTCATTATTATTATCTCTCAGAATTCTGAAATTTGCAGTTAGATGGAGGCTGAGGCTGGAATCATTAAAGGCTCCGTTACACCTCTGGGGGCTGATGCTGGCTGGTGGCTTGCACCTCAGCAGGAGCTATAGGCAGGAACACCTACAGATGTCCTCTTGTTGTTACCCGGGGTTCCGCACAGCATGGCTGCTGGTTTGCAGCATCAAGTATCCCAAGACAGAGAGCCAGGCAGAAGCCACATCACCAATTCTAATCTAGCCACAGAAGCCACACAGTGACACTTTCCACTGCATTCTGTTCTTCGCAGGTGAGACACTAAGGTGAGCCCATATTTAGGGCAAGTGAAACTAGATTCTACCTCTTGATGGGGAAGTGTCAAAGAATTTGAGGAGATGAAAAACTTCAAATCAGTCTTTTTTAAAAAAGTAGTCAAACCAGTCTCTTTTTAAAAAAGTATTCAAACCTTTCTTCCATCCCCTGCTTGTAAACTCACATCCTGAGGAATAATGACTTGAATAATTCTACCAGAATCCAAGAAACCAAATTGGTTGGGGGCAGGGGGTATGTTGCTTTTATTGTTTCCAAGATGAAGTTCTCTGTGAAACTAGAATGTGGTTCCTCTTATAGAACCCTCTGGAATTAGCAAATGATTCCCAAATAGTACAGGTAAGACTCCTGAGTATTAATGACTTCATTATATTTTGTTGCCGCCATACTTCAAGTCAGGATGCTTGATGACTTGATGTGATATGTGTGTGTCTCCTCCCATCCACCTTAAGATAAGCAATAGGCAATATCCAATTGTGTGAGAACCTGCATTGTTCACATGAGCCTTTGTCCTGGATAACAGCTCCTGTTCATCAATATGATACATTGCACTCTGACTTTCTACTTCTGTCTTTCTTTGTGGATATTCCTTTCTCCTCTCTGATTGCTTTTTCTTCTTAGACCATTACTCTAGTTGATAGTGCTAGGTTATCATTGGATCCCATCTCCCTCTCCAATAAGCCTGTGATTGATACTAATCTTCCTCATGGGACACATTTTATAGGATGCACATTGGAAAACCACTCTCTAAATCTTAGCTTTCTATGTGCTGACAATTTACAAGGTTGCACCTCACACACATCTCAGGAGGCTTAAGGGGAAATTTGAGAGCCATGTAATCACACCTCCTAATAAGAACAGAAATGCCTTTCATACACAGATGCTGTCATGCCATTCAGCAGTCTGTGCTGCGCCCCCCGTTTGTCTTTTTTCCCCCAGCCAACAAAATGCACATCTAGGGAAGTGCTATCTGGGAAGTGGCCAGTTCCTAGAAGCCCAGCATGAATCATTTCTCTCTTCTGCAGGAGAGTAGTGTTTTAATTATTCTAATGAAAGCTTTCACTTGCCATTGAATCCATAAAAGCAGAAAATTAAGGAGGTTGCGAACACCTCTCTGAAGCAGAAACCTTGCTTTATAATATACCTGCACCTTTCCTAGCAAAACTGAGACCCCAAGAAATTTATAGACACAGGATATTACCCTTCCAGTTTAACACATGCTTTGGCATTGAAATTTTACCTTTCCAGACCCAAGAAAGTATTTTGTGAAAAGTTTTAATTTCTCATTTGAAGTTTGTACCCCTAAAATATGCCAGCCAAGAAAGCCAATATAATGCAGTATTTGCTTACAACAATATTAGATTCAGTGTGTCCTTTAAATGAAGGCTTGTGTCCAGAAAATAGAGGGAATCATGGGACTCAAAACTTTAAAGCAACCTAGGCTAGATTAATGATTTGATTATTAGTTTATAGGAAACTCAAAGGAGGATGCTGTGGTCTCTTATACCTCAGTAAGGTCACACTATGGACCAGTAAAGTTTAAGCATTAAGAAACTGGGTTTGTTTTGCATTTTAACTTAAAAATTCAGACCCAGTTATATCCATTGTGAAAAAGTAAATATTTAAAAACTTGGGTTTTCTGGAATTGCGAGATTTCATTCCCAATTTTGTTCTCACCTCTGAAAATGGGATACTTTTTTGTATTGGCCCTTTTAGGAGAAGTGACATCTCAGACCCCTCCTGTCTTTCTTCCTCTACCATCTGTGTTCTTTATGGATATATATTTCTTGGCAAATTTGGTGTCATGGGCCACATTGTGTCTCCCCAAATTTGTACGTGGAAGTCCTAATTCCCATTACTTCAGACTGTGACTGTATTTGAAGATGCAGGACGTACTTAAGGAGGTAATTAAGTTGAAATGAGACCTTTAGAGAGGCCCTAATTCAATATGACTGGTGTTCTTATGAGAAGAGGTTGGGACACTGAAAACACAGGCCAAGGGACCATGTGAGGACACAGTGAGAAGGCAGGCCCCTGCAAGCCAAGGGAAGAGGACTCAGAAGAAACCCAATCTGCCAACACCTTGATCTTGGACTTCAGCCTCTGGAACTGTTGCGGGGAGGGATTCTGTTATTTAAGCCACGCAACCAGTGGTATTTTGTTATGGCAGCCTAGCAAACTAATACATTGGGGATTTCTCCTGCATATAATAGAAACTCATTTTTCCATATAACAAACTAAAACCCCCTTGCACATCCCTAGGTACAGCTCTGTGCATGGTGACAGTGGCATAAAGCTGTAATACTCTCCATGACTTAGTTTCAGGGCCACCGGCACCAGGCAGAGACTGGAACCCGGTAAGCACCATTGAAGCTCTTCCAGCATGGGTTCCCACTGAGAGGCAGGCAGAGCAACTGGAGGTTTGTGCTGACAAAGCGGCATGGAGCTATAATGTCCAGAGCCACTCAGAACTGCAGGATGGCACAAGTCAAGAAGGAACTGTGTCAGAGCAGAGGTGAAATCTCGGACAGCTCAGAAATCTTGGCACTGAAGGAGGCAGGAGCCTTCACAGTTAGATTGAGAGTGGGCAGTTTTTTCTCTATCTGTTGCACTTTATTATATTGTTTTTTAAAATTATTATCATATCCAGCACCACAGGGAAGGGTGAGGCTGAGCACAGGGGCCTGGTAGAACTGGGTCATTGTAGCGCCAACTAGAAGAGTGTGAGCTACAAAGCAGGAAGAACAGTTTCTCAAAGGGGCCGGATGGGGGTAGTCATTGGGGTGCCATGAGCAGGTGTCCTGTGCTGATGCTGGCAGATTAAGCCCGCATGGGTTTGCTTCACATTTTAACTTCAAAATTCAGCCTCAGTTATATCTACTGGAGAATATACACATGAATAAAAGGGTCACTGTTAAGGAGACAGATCTGAGAGAGCCCAGATAACAAGCTGCAACCAGGCCCCAGGCAGCAGAGGAAAGGGCTGCTTGGTCAGTGTGGGCCTGGAAGCTTGGGAGCTTCCCAGAAGCCAGGACCACAGCTTTATTCCAACACCCTGCAGCTGACCCAATGTGCTCCCCACAGAGAATGTTCTCGTAAGACCTTGTACTTTTCTTTCATAGCATTGGCTGCAGTTGTAATTTTGCATTTGTGCAATTCTTTGGTTAATATTGGTCTTCCCCACCAAACCGCATGTTGGTGAGGGCAGCTGGGGCTGTTTTACTCTCCACTGTATTCCCTGTACCTAAGGTGGTCCTTGGAAAGAGCTGACTCTCAGGATATTTCTTGAATGAATGAATGAATTGATTCATGTTAATATCACCTCCCCTTCTCCAAGTACTCAGAATCTTGCTACTGGTACAGGAACTTATAAGATGCGTGGAAGGCCAAGGACAGGAGACAGCATCTCCCAGGGGCTCACTGAAAAGCCTGTGCCCTTTTCCAGCCTCCGGGCCTCATATTGCAGGTGCCTCCAGGCGGGCTGGGGAGCATCTCACCTCTGCCTAGCACTGTGTGCTCTGGATGGCCAGGGAAGGTCTCCAGGGCGGGATCTGATTCTAGGGATTTCGCAAGGGACTTTGATATGTGAGACCCAGAAGCTCCCTGCAGAGAACAAAGGGGCAGTGTGGACTGCCTGTGGAGCCTGAGCCAAGATATGATCTGGGCCTAAGAAGGCACCATGGCATGGCTATTCAGTAGTCCACAGTCCTGCTCTGGAGCAAACCAAGACCTAACCAGCCACAGAGCACCAGAATCCCCAGCTGGTCAGTTCAGGGATTTAGAGAAGCTTCCTTTCTCCCAACTCCATCTGCTGTGACCCACCTTCCTTAGTCAGCCCCTCACCAGACAGGTCCTCTTTCTTGCCTCTGCCCTTTCTACCTTCTTCTGTATCCTTCCCCCGCTCCAGGCTCTCTCTCTGTCTGTGGATTCTCTTTGTCCTGGGTATAGGCATAAACATAATAGGCATTAAGAGGTACTGGAAAGCCTGATCGATTCTGAAGTCTTGCACTCCCCAGCCATCCTATTAAAAATTTTAAAATACCTAATATTCCACCACCATTATCCCTTTTGGCTTTAGAATTTACATTCTTACGCGTGGACACAATTTACTTTGTGAGAATCAACTGTGTCTATGAACCTGAAATAGTCTGTTAAAAATGGATCATGGAGCCCGTGTGCTCACGCTTGTAATTCCAGAACTTTGGGAGACCAAGGTGGGTGGATCACCTGAGGTCAAGAGTTTGAGACCAGCCAGGCTAACATGGTGAAATCCCCTCTTTACTAAAAACACAAAAATTAGCCAGGTGTGGTGGCAGATGCCTGTAATTCCAGATACTCTGGAGAATCACTTGAACCCAGAAGGTGGAGGTTGCAGTGAGCCGAGATCACACCATTGAACTCCAGACTGGGCGACAGAGCAAGACTGTCTTGAAAAAAAAAAAAATGGATCATAGAGTAGATCAATTTTGATCAGAAAATGTCACTAATAAAGGTCTGGAACATGGGGTGCATCTGTAGCCACATGGGATCCTTGGGTGGCCCGGAGGCTGTGGTGGGGTGACCAGTTGGGGGTAACATGGTAAGGATGCTTGGAAGAAGAAAGTGAGAGAAGGGGGTCAATGGAAAGACATAGGTCAGTGGGCTCACAGCCTCGTCCACTGTGCCGGGTCATCCAGTCCCACTCAGGCTCCCTCCCTCCTGCTGCCCCTCCTCCAGGCAGTCTTCTCCCCTGCAGCTACAGGGCCCCAGCTGCCAGGCCCCAGAGACCCACCCACCCTCCACGGGTGGGAAACATGAACACAGGCAGGTCAGCTCAGTCTTCTATCACAAAGCTCACATACATAGGGAGGCCCAGCCTCGTCCAAGGCTGATTTCAGGAAAGAAGATTATTCTCCAAGATTTTCTCTTAGGAGGCAGCACCACAAAATGGAAGAGGAACTGACTGTAAGTTCTAACCTGAATTCTAGTCTTGGCTTTGGCAGTAACTCACTGGGTGACCTTGGGCAAGTTCCTTCGCCTCCCAGGGCTTCTCTTTCTTCCATGGCACTTATGTGGTTTATTTTAAAGGTCATGCATGCTATCTTTGACCTGTCTGCTGCCATTTTCTTTGGAAAAAAGAGCCCTGGGAGATATGATTAAGGAGAGAGTCCTGGCCTGTTAGCCAGGGGAGCCCTCCTGCCCAGACCCTGTAAGCACTCTGGATAACCCTCTGCTCCTCTTATGTTAATTTCCTCCTCTTTCTCACCTATCCTGCTGTCTCCATATAAGGGCACAGCACGGCCAATTGCATTTAAAATTGCCTTCTAAAAGGCACACACATGCATCCTGGCTGGTCAGTCTTTGTGTGGAGCTGGGACTGATTCATCTCAGGGGCGTAATTCCAGCTTTGGCACTGGCTTGTGGAGGTGTCATTGAGAGGGGTTCAGAGGGCTAAGCTTACCAACCCCCCAGAAGAGGGGACACATAGCCTTGGCTCCATGTGCCAAGCAGCAGCATAATATGCAGGGCTCTGCAAAGTCAGCAGAGAAAGGACAGCAGGTGTCAACCACTGCACATGTTTTACTTATTTATTGATTTACAGTCCATCTTCCCAGTTTGTATATAGCCTCCTTCATAGTAGAGATTCAGCCTCATTAGCTGTCTCTGGCATCCTTAGCTTGCAGAATGGTGCCTGGAAGATAGTGGACCACTAAAGAACACTTTCTGAATGAATGAATGAATGAATGAATGAATGAATGAATGAATGAATGAAAATGTGTTAGGTACAAGTGTTGTGCTGTGGAACACACTCCTGGATTCTGGCTCCTGCCCCACAGGCTTGTCCCCAAACTGATGAAGAGCAAGGCAGGCACTGCGCACAGTGGTTTGGGTCATCAGCAGTCCAAGAATGTTTTCCCCAGTGTAGGTGCTCCCCCAGGTTGATGGGAGTCTGGGAGAGGTGGTGCTGACAAGAGAGTTTCTTCACCTCCACTCCAAAGACAGAAAGCAACGAAAGTTAATGACAGAAGCAAGCAGCAGGTGCCAGTGCCAGCTCCACTGCTCAGTGCTTCTGGATCCTTTCACGGTTCTGTAATGTACTCAGTCCCCAAAGGTATATCTCCTGCCTTCTAATCACTTACAACAAAAACACATGTTGCCCTTTACACCAAAGATAAATTGAAAGGTGTTCAGGTTCTCTTCTACTTGGGCTTATGACCAAGTCTCAGAGCACCTACATTAGGGGGCAGGGGTGAAGTATACTTTCCCATTGGCCTCTTCCAATTGCTGGAAGTGCGAGCTTAAGAGGGGTGACCATTTATTGAGCGTTTACTGTGTGTGTTGAAAACTGTGCCAAGCTCTGTAAATAAGACAACATCCCAAGGCAAGGCGACTGCAATCTCCTGAGAAATGCTGGCAAACAAACCACCATTATAACCGAGTTGGAGTAATTCAGGGCAGAGATGGTGGAGGGCTGGACTGAGGAGCACAATGGGAACTGGGAGACGCAGAGTTGAGAGAAATTGAGGGTTATAAGACTTAATGATTGATTTGTTGAGGAGAAGGAAAGGGAGGGTTTAATGTGACTCCCGGGTTTCTGGCATGGGAAGCCAGGTGGGATTACAACCTTCACTGCATGGAAGACAGAGTGGCAGATCTGGGGAGACTGAAGTTGAGTTCAGCTTTAGACGTGTTTGGTGGTGATGTTCTGATGTGCCGTCCAAGTGGAAAATCTCATTAGGAATTGGAATTATTTAATACCAGATATCATTTAATGAGTGGGGGAGTTTTATTGTTTCAGTATTTTTACACTTCAATAGTGCTTTAGAGAGACATGTCCTCTTGTGTTTGACAAAACACTGATTTGCAGTTCTGGTATCCCTCCTGAGTAAGTCTTATTTTTGAGATAAACATCACATCAGCCCCGAGTGCAACTAAAAATGAGCTGGGCCAGGGCAGTGGGGACTGCAGTCTGTCAAGGCTCTGTATTTAACAATGCCTTTCTCCAGTGGCCTCTGCCCTGTGCCTCCCACACTGTCAGCTCTAAAGGATATTTAGTCCTTGCAGCCTCAAATTCTTTAACCCTTCTTTGGCCTCTTAAGACAAGCCCTGGGTATCACTGAAACCTAAGGCATGTCCAGAAACAAGCACAAAAGAAGAATGTGACCACTGCTGCTTAACCTGGCCAGAGAAATTCACTAAGTCTTGCACCTGAAAAACCGAAACAAAACTTCCTAGCAAATCAGGTTCCCACAATCAAAGGATGGAAAATCTCACTGGAGGTTGGAAAAATGATCAGAGCCTCTTCAAAACTTCAGGACATCAAAAGACCTCACTGTACTCTTATTAGAAATCAAGCTGGAAGGAAACATCATAGTCCTTCAAGTGACACATGAACGAATGGAAAGCCGAAACCCACTTTCTGCAGCTTCAGAAATTCATATTTTTATTCATTCAACCAACATTTATTGAGTGTCTTTTATATTTAAAACACTTTGTGGGACAGTGTGGGACACAAAGAAAAAGAAAGTTATTCTGTCTCCCAATGAAGTGACACACAAATGGCTGAGTTTGGTGAAGAAATAACTGCAGTGAGTAGTGGGGTTTGCTGATAGCAGTGGAGGAGGTGGAAGCTCCTCTACAGATTAGCTTATTGAACCCTCACAGCTTTATGAGCTCGGGTCTAGCATTACCATTATTTTATAGGTGAGGGAACTAAGACACAGGGAAGTTGAGAAATTTTCCCAAAGTCAACAGTTGGTAAGTGATGGGATTTGAACCCAAGCAATCATTATTAAAGACAACTCTGCTGAATAAGTAGCTTTTACATAGGACCTGGAATGTTGGGTTGGCTGTCAAAAACTGCAGCTGGGACAGCTGGGAGTGCATTTCAGATGAAGGCTATTCTAACAGGAAAGGCAAGGACAGGTTACATTTGGATACGTGGGTGGTGGTCCAGTGTGGGCATGTGTAGAGTTCTTGAAATGGATCAGTGGAAAATAAGCTATAAAGGGTCACTTTTAGAAATATAGACTTCCCTCTTTAGGGATGAGGGGGTTACAGAAGATCATTACGTTGGAGTGACATGATCAGAACTGTATTTTAGAAAGAACACATGACTCCTGCACTCTAGCCACTTAGTACAATAAGTGGAAAAAAGAGAAAGTTTCCTGGCTTCTGAAACAACGAGTATAGTTACATTGCCTGCTGTCACAAAGGGATCCCCAAAGATGTGTAATAGCTCAAAAATGACAGCTTTTGTCTTGTTCACATGGTCAAAAAAGTGGGAGGTTCTACTATGTCTCATCCAAACCATGGTTTAGGGACTTGGTCTCCTTCTGTTCTTTGGCTCTGTCACGTTCAATGTGTGGCTTCCAATGTTACTATGCCATGTGTATCAAGGTGTCAGAAAGGGAAAGAGAGTGGAGAAGACAGTTGCTTCTGAAGTTTTCCAATGACCTCTGCTCCTGTTCCATTAGGAGGCACAGGGCTCTCCCTAGAGGCATGGGGACTAGAAACGAAGTCCCTGACTGGGCAGCCACTTCCATCTGTGACTCCATACTGTGGAAGGAAAGCATGAATTTTGGTGGAAAGTTAGTCATCACCATCATACCTGAGTGAGGAAAGAAAAACACATTTACCCTTCAGCAGTAACTTTTCAAAGTAGTCTGACACCTCATTTTGAAGCCTGGTTGAGAAATGAGTTTTACGAGCAAATGAGGCTTAAAACAACATAAGCACAGTCCCATTTAGCACCAAATCTTATTTGTCTAAATTATTGTTGAAGGTTCCAAATTGATTTTATACTTTCCTACCTAAGTGAACAAAACTTAATTTAAGCTTTTCTTGATGACTTAGGATCACCATTATGAATGTCATTTATGGGAATGCAGTGTGTTGTATACCAGCAGCTTTTGAGTGGTGTGGAAATGTTAGTTCCTGGGCTGAATGCCTCCTGAATTCTAGGCTGTTCCATTAAGTCTCTTCATTAACCTCTTGGGTCCCTTAGAATTTTTACAGTCACTGTGTATTCTCAATACCTCCCATTTCTATGTTTCTCTGCTTTCTGATTTCTCCTGCCATTTTTATTATTTACTAACCCATTCATGTAGGTTTTCTTTTTTCTTCTTTAAGACTCCCCAATCCTCTTTTCTTTCCAGTCCTTTCACTGATTTTGTTTTGCATATTATGGTGGAAAGAGCAGGCACACATGTGGGAGTGGCTTTGGCCTCAGCACTGACACTAGCTGTGCTGCAGAAACTATGACCTTGAGCAATTTAACCCCTGAGCCCCTGTTTCCTCAATATAAACTAAGGTGGTAATATGGATCTCACAGGCTTACATTGGGGTTAACTGAGATGCTAGTAATAGTATAAAAATTCATCTGTAAAAATTGATCGTCATTATGACTGTTATTTTGGCAGTTGGACCTGGTTTTTATTGTCGTCGTCAATAGAAATAGAAAGAGTCCATAGGACTCCAGGGAGTTGGAATCCAGACATGAACAGAGGAATAGCTAGAATACTCGAGACATCTCTATGGAGTGGACAGCTGAAGCCATGAGTCAGGCTCCTGAAAGTCTCCAAGAGGTTATAGATCTACTAATGTGCTTAAGCAGAATCTCAAGAAAGGTCTAATATAAATGGATGAAGCCATAAGAGGAATATCAAGAAAAGAAGACTGGATAAAAATATTCCCTGTTTCTAAGAAAAGAAGAAGTTTTCTAAACCTTGAAACTCTTTTAAGCTATCAATCCTATCTGCCACCATTCACTCCCAGCCTTCTTGAAGGAGCAGGGGGCCTCCATCTCTTCTTGCCAGGAATCTGCTTCTTGTATTTTACAATTCCTTGCCAAATCTGGGCAGAGTCAGCGGAGTGAAGGCAGTTGTGTCTGGGCAGTCTGCCTAAGAGTTTCCATTACATAAACAGTAGGTGCTTAATAACTTGCATTGTGCACATAAAAGGGAAAAAGAAGAAAATGTGATTTTTCACTGCTACAGAGTAAACCATTCTGTGGCCCCAGAGGATGCATCATGTTTAGCAAGATTAAAGCAGGTGGCAAAGTCCCTCCCCAGTGGGTACATCACAGCTAATGTCCATCAATGATTAGCAAATGAGTAGACGGTGCCTTTGTCAATAATCCTGTTTCTACCCTCATGCTTTATTTATTTAGCTAATGGCTGCCTAGCTGGTAGCTCATCAAGATGGTGTTTACTGAGCTTGGCAAAGTGAAAAATTATGATTTTGTTTACTCATGTGTTTCCAGCTGGGGTGCTGAGTTGTTATCCAGGCAGCTGATGACCGTTCTTCCACTCTCAGAGCCCCTAACACAGGCAGTTCAGTAAACAAACCATCAGCTTGAGAACCAGAGCATCAACACTGCCACAATCTGGTTATTTGCTACTTTGCAGTCGTCAGTGTCCAGAACCTCAAATGATGACTCATTCTGGAACCTCCCTTATACTTAGATAATAAAACAAATAGAAGTCAGGTTAAGTGTAATTGGTTTAGTTTGAGCTATTCAGTTGTTTATGAGAAAAATGAGTATTTGCTCCAAATTAAATATTTGATTTGGGATAGTTTTGTCTCTTGCTCTATACTCAAGCATGTAAAAATAGAATGGAAACCCAAACAGAAAACCTGGGAGAGACTATCACTCTGGAATGGTTCTCACACATGCACTAACTAATTTAGTTATTTGTACAGCAAATATATAGTGAGTACCTACTGTGTATTAGGTCCTGGGGATATTGTGGTGACTTAAACCCAACACAAACATGAACCTAGTTCTTCAGAACCTTGCAACTTTGTAGGAAAGAGAGACATTGAATCAGTGATTGTCAATATGATGAGAATTATAAAGGGAGAAACAGGGTGCTTCAGTAGTCTTGGAGTTTAGGGAAGGATCCTTGAGAAAGTGATGCTTTGAATGGGAGATGAAGGAGTTCCAAAAATCATAGACAGCGAAAGGCAGAGAGGGTAAGCTTAAATATTATTATTATCTCAGTTAAGTCACAAAATAACTCTGCGAGGTCAGTATTATTGCTCCGGTTTACAATTGAGGAGACTTGGGTTCCAGGGGAAGCACGTGCAAAGACCTGAGACCAGACTTTATGAATAGTGCCACTTGGAGCTACAAGGTCGAGCAAAGGCAGTGTGGCTGGAGTAGAGAGGAACCATGAGAGGCATGAGATACAGAGGGACTTGCCAAGGAGTTCCTAATTAAAAGTGCATTTTAGAAAGCCACTCTGGCTGGTATGGAGAATGGATTGAGGTGGATGTAGGAGGACTGGCTTAGAGGCATGGCAGTGACTGGGTGAAAAAGATAGTGAGTTGAACCAGGGGTGGAGTCAGGGGAAGCAACCTGCAGGAAGATAGAAATGATTAACGTCAACAGACATACAGGAGGTTGGGTCAGCAGGGTCAGTGAGTGGCTGGATATGAGGGGAGAGGCACTGACAGGTTATTCTACATGGCTCTCTTTATATCTGTAACAATTGAGCCATAATAATACTAATAGCTGCTCCTTACTGAGTGTCTACCATAGTCATTCTATAGATGAGAAAACTGAGACTGAGAGTAGGGAAGTACCTACCAATAGATGACTGAACTGAGATCTGAGCCCCAGCCTGACTCCCAAGCCAGTGCTCTCTCCACTCTAACACTGTATTTATGATTCTGGTCAATTCAATATTTTTCTCATTTGGTTGACTGAAACCTCAGATTTTTCCCCCAATGTAATTCAGCTATATATACGACTCCAAGTTCTCATAATTCTTTTGCATTTGACCATTAATTCTCAGTTATCTTCCAGATTTCGAGCCATGCTATGTTTATCTTCAGGCCATTTCAAACAGCAGAGGCCAGAGAAGCCAGTTTTGTGGAATCGGGCTTGTCGGGCCACATTAAATATCACCTCACTCTAATGAAAATGCAGGTTTTTGTTTGTTCTAATGAGCGCAGGGGGCCTTTATGTCCAATCTCTTCCTAGAGGAAGTAATTGCATACGAGTGACCTTTGAAGGAAATCACATCAGGGAGTTATTTGAAGGCACTGAGGTGAGCCAGTGCGTAACATCAACCAATGTACTAGCATTTCAGAAAAGAAACAAATAGGCCTGTCCCACTGACAACTCATCCATGCCCCCTTTGGACAGAGAAAAATCATCTACTGCTTGCTGAGAAAGTGAGGCACTGAGGCACAGAGATTTCTTTAACTATTTCTTGAACACCTACTGTATGCCATGCACTGTGCAGAATCGCTGCCTCATGGCACTCCTGTTTTAGTGGCAGGGAACAGACAATACAGAAATTTTTAAAAAGTTTAAATCATTAAAGATTTTGATAATTACCATGAAGGAAACAAATTGGATCATGAGAGGTGGTGAACTGTACCTCAACTTCCTCATCTAGTTAAAAAGGAGAGAATGGTGGAACTTGCCTCTTGGGGCTGTCTTCAGGACTAGGTTAGATAACGTATGTATTGGGCTCGGAAGAGGTCCTGGCACATTAGTTGAACACTTAGTCGTGTTATGTGGGGTAACATCGTTGTTATAGAATAAGTGGGGGAGGCAGTCAGGAAGGGCCTCCTGGAGGAGGTGACATTTAAGCTGAGACCTGAGCGATGAGGAGCCAAGCTTATGAACAACTGGGAAAGCAAAGGCTGGAGACCAGAGAAGGAATGCTTACTGTTTCCCAGGAACAGAAAGGAGAGGGAAATCAGCCAGGCCGGAGAATAGAGAGTAGGGTGGGGAGTGAAATGAGTGAGGGCCATGAGGCAGACAAGATTCCAACCAGGTAATTAACTCAGTTTTACTCTATAAGCAGGGGAAGGGAGTGGTGTGAGCTATGCTTTGAAACCCCACTCTGGCAGCTGCGCAGAGAATGACCTGAAAGGTGAAAGCTGCAAGACAAAGGAGGAGAACTGCAAAGTCGAGGCACTGGTGGGAGGGTGTTAGGCAGAGGGTAGCGACCTTGTTGGTGGCAAAGTATTAGTTTCTTAGGGCTACCAGAATAAATTATCACAAATCGGCTGTGTAAAAACCACAGAAATTTACTCTCTCACAGTTCTGGAGGTTAAAAGTATGAAATCAAGGTGTTGGCACAGCGCTTGTTCCCCCTGCAAGCTCTAGGGAATGATACTTCCTTGCATCTTCCAGCTTCTGGTGGTTGCCAGCGAATCCTCCGTGTTCCTCACCTACTAGATGCATCACCCCAATCTCTGCCTCTGTCATCACGTGGTGCTCTCCCTGTGTATCTCTGTGTTTTGTGTCTCTTCTTATAACTTCACCGGTGACTGGATTGAGAGCCTACCCTCATCCAGTATGACCTCACCCTGACTTACATCTCAATTACATCTGCAAAACCTCTGTTTCTAGATAAGATCATATTCACAGGTACCAGAGAGTAGGGCTTCAACATAGCTTTTGAGGGAAGCAGAAAACCCACAACAGCAAGGTGAGTCCTGACTGTCCCACCTCTAAGGGGATGTCCTGGCTTGAAAGTAGCCCCCCATGGCCCAGCTTCTGGGGTAAGCAAAACCGCCAGCCATGCACAAAGGCATTCAGCATCTTTCCTGTAATTGGGGGTTGAAATGCTGTATAGCGATTCCCAGTTGCTTATTCCAAATAAGCAGGCAGGTGGTGCAGAGGAAGGCAGCCTGCAGAGTGAGGGCAGCATGTCAAACAAGGGATGTTCCTTCTTATTTGTCTGTTTCCTTAAAACCACTTACACTTCTAGGTTGCAACTTAAGTGTACTATTATTTAAGGATTCCTTTTCGGTGAGTACCCAGTGACTTTGAACAGTCTATGGATACAGGTGGATTTTCTTGGATTTTTAGAAGTGAGGAGACTTGGGGTTCATCCCAGATGCTACCTTTCGTGTATGGTTTTGAACAAATCCCATAGCCCCCTGAGGTTCCACTTCTTCTGTAAAATGAGGATGCTGGCCCAGCCCAGTGGTTCTTAACCTTGAGGATGAATCAGAAGCACTGGAGGGCTTGGGAAAACACAGATTGCTGGGCCCCATCATGGAGCATCTGATTCAGAAGGTCTAGGGCAGTGCCTGAATATTCACATTTCTGGCAAGTTCCTAGACTTTGTTGTTGCTGCTGGCCTGGGAACCACACTGTGAGAATTGCTGGCCTAGATCATCTCTGAGATTTCTGCAACAATATTATTCCATAAGTCTATGAAGCTCATTTTAATGTAAATGACTAGATGAAGTGAATTTTCTAACCTTAGCTAGCAAAATTTGGATCCCATATAAAAATATGTCCCAGCTACTGCTCACTCTGTTTTTCACTTTGGGTTTACCTCTCTAGACTTAAGGGTGTTGTACAGAGAATAGAAAGAGAGAGGGGCCATTTAAACAACACCCTTAAGTATAGAGAGGTACCCAAATTTTGCTAGCTAAGACTAGAAAATTCACTTCATCTCCTGTGGCTAGTGGGGCCTCCACATACAAGGCTCCCAGAGAAGTCAGCTGAATGTTGGCTTGGAGCCCAATAGAATCACTTAGCTTTGGTGGCACTTATTTAGGGTGGAGGGTGGGGCATAGTAGATGCAATTGAAAGCCTGAGAATAATGGCATAAATAAGCCCATGAAAAGATGTTCATCATTAGTCACTTGGAAAATGCAAATCAAAAGCACAGTGAGGTACTTCTTTTCACCCATTAGAATAATCAAAAGAGACAGTACTAAGTGATGACAAGGATGTAGAGAAATTGGAACTAGTGGGTGGGAATATAAAATGGTGTAGCCACTTTGGAAAGTAGTTTAGCAGTTTTTCAAAATGTTAAACAAAATTGTCATATGACCCAGTAATTCCCCTGCTAGACTTCCATTCAAGAAAAAAAATGAAAACATATGTCCACATAAAAATTTGTATGTGAATGTTTATAATACCATTATTCACAATAACCAAAAAATGGAGACAAATCCAATGTACATCGAATGATGACTGAATAAACAAAATGTGGTATGGACAAAAATAATCAAAGTACTGACACATGCTAGATACATATGTGTATATGTACAAGATGACGCTGAATTTTGATGAACCTCAAAATTACTATGCTAAATGAAAGAAACAAGACACAAAAGACTATATATTTTATTGTTCCATTTATGCGAAATGTCCAGAAAAGGCCAATCTTTAGAGATAAAAAGTAGATTAGTGGTTGCCTAGGGCTGGACATGGAAGGGACAGTGACTATAAATGGACATGAGATTTCTTTTCAGGATGATGGAAATGTTCTAAAATTAGGTCATGCTGATGGTTGCCCAACTCTCTAAATATACAAAAAAATTATTTTTAATTCATGTTTTAAATTGAGGGATTTTATGGTTTGCAAATTAATCTCAATAAAGCTGTTAAAAATAATTTTACAAATAGAATGGAATTAAATAAAAAAACTAATGGGATTTCCTGCACCTCCCTCTGAAGGTCATTTAGTGCTGAAGGTGGTTATGACATATGCAGATTCCAAATACTGGGCTTTAGAAAATATTATCCTAGTTACCCAGTCAGAAAAGATCAGGAACTGCTTACTGGAAGAATGGGGACACTTAAAACACAATAAACACATCTATTTCACACTCCTTATGTGCCAGACACTGTGGTTAAGTGCTTTACATGGCTTATCATTCACTTATTCTTTGCAAAGTATATTTGTTGAACACCTTCTATGTGCTGGGCACTGTCCTTGGTGCTGAAGATACTGTGTGAATAACACAAAGTCCCTCCTTTCGGGGAGCTTAAACGTGTAGATGTACAAATATTATCTTAAGATTATTTTAGGTAGTGATACATGAATTTAAACAAAAACCTGGATGATGAGAGGTAGTTACAGTAGGTGGGAAAGGGAACAGTTTAGATTGAGTGGTCAAGGAAAGCCTCCCTGGGGAGGCGGTCTGAGGTAACACGTGGAAAAGTCATCATGCAGACATGAGGAGAAGAGTGGCTTGGGTGGGAGGAATTGCTAACATAAAGTATATCAGACAGCAAGCAGTAGAGAAATGACAGTGTAAGCAAGGGAGAGTTCTGTACAGGATGATGCTGAAAGGATACACAAGGATAGAAGCTGCAGATCTTGAGAGCCATGACACAGAGCTCAGTTTAAAGTTTGGCTTTTCATGGAATAGTATACAGCCATGAAAAATGAAATCATGTCCTTTGCAACAACAATATGGATACAGCTGGAGGCCATTATCCAAAGTGAATTAGTGCAAGAACAGAAAACCAGATGCCACATGTTCTTACTTATAAGTGGGAACTAAGCATTGGGTGTTCATGGACATACAGATGGCAAAATAGACACTGGAGACTACTAGAGTGGGGAAGGAGTGATGGGGCAAGAGTTGAAAAAACTATTGAGTACTATCCTCACTACATTTGTGATGGGATCATTCATGCCTCAAAACTCAGTATCACACATTATACCCATGTAACAAATCTGCATGTGTACCCCTGCATCTAAAATAAAAGTTAAAATTATAAAAGTAAATATAAAAATAAATATAAAATAAAGTTTGGCTTCTTATTCCAAAAGCAATAAGAAGCAAATAGTAAGATCTAAGCAGGTGAGTGACATAATTTGATTTACATATTAAAGGGGACCCTAGGATCTACATAGGAACAGAAATATAAAAGATAGAATAAAAGAAGTGAACTTAAGAGCTAAGAGTGCTGCAGGAACTACAAGACAATGGGGGCTTAGATGAAGATGGTGGCAGCAGGGATGGTGAGAAGTGGTAGGATCTGGGGCATATGTAGTAGGATAGACCCAACAGGATTGTCTGAGTTGTAAAGGGCAGAGAAAAAGAGGTATCAAGAAAGATCCTTGAATTTGGGCTTGAGCACCTGGGTAGAAGGTGCACCATTACTTGAGATGGCAAAGCTTCCCTTTGAGTTTGGCTTTACTATCTTCGTGTCATAGATGAAAAATGGGGCTCAGAAAAGCTAAGCAACTTTGCTTCAAATTACCTTTCTAATGAGTAGAAGAAGCAGAGTCAAAGTCAGTGACTCAAAAAACTATCTTCTAAACTGCTCAGTACTGCCTTCTGCCCACGGATTTCTTGCATCCTTGGCCAGCCAGTAGATGGAAATCAGATGAGGTGGCATTCACTGGGTGGAGACAGAAAGACTTCTTGGCAGTGAAGGCTGGTGGGTGGGCTTGTCATAGAACAAAAAAGAAAGGAACAGCTTGGAAGAGTAACACTTTTCTAGTGAATCACATTAAATAATCAGCATGGCTTATACCCAGTGTCAGCCTGAACTGAGATTGACAGCTAATAAAAAGCACAGTAATTACAGGAAAACATCAGATTGGAAAGTACAGAGATTCTTGAAACACCTGAAGCCATTTAATATGTCTTATGTTTGCTCCAGACTAACAGGCAGCTCCCAGAGCAAGACCGGTCTCATTACTGAGCTAATGGACATTATGCTCTGAGGTACTTTTCCCTCTGCCAAATATATCAGAATTTTAAAAACGGAAGCCTGATATTGCCATGCTGCAAATGTTTACAAGGACATCGCTGAGTGTTTTAGGTGTCAAGTTTAATTTCAGTTGGCCTGGCCTATTCTCTTAAGGAAGGCTCCAGAGCAGTCAGCCAGGTCACAGGGAGAATTCCTTCTGCTCTTGCTCTTCAGGCTGTGACAGAAATCAGACCTTGATTCCCTGAGCACGCTTCCCAAGAAGGGATTGCTCCTGTCACCACAGCCCAAAGGAGTTAGTTGTGATGAAAGTTGTCATGCTTCGCTATTCCATTATTTTAGGTATGTTTGGGGGTTTTGTTGGTGATGGTGCTGGTTTTTGTTGTTGTTGCTGGGGGTGGGCAGGGGTGATGGAAGGAGAAACTCATTCACACATTCTAAAATATTCATGAGTCCTCCTCTAAATTGCAGATAGTATCTTAGATTCTGGGATGATGGCAAATACTTAAAATTACCAAAGCACAAAAGAGACAGCAAAAATAAAATGGTAAGATCTGAGTGTGCATTCACATGTGTGTGTGTATCTGCACACTCCCTCTAGAGACCCCACCCACCTGCCTCCCACTGGCTCCTGTACAGCATGCTGGCTTCTGGGGGCCTGGGCTGTAGCTCTGAGCATCAGCAGCCTGGAGAACAGTCACTCTTCCATGTGCTGTGCATTTTCCTGGGCATTTTTCACCTCACAACAGCTCTAATGACCTTGGCATCAAGCTCTTACTGGGGATTAATAACTGGCTGGGCTTAATGGTCCTTACTGTGTCCCGGGCCATTTTCCCAGCCAGCCATTAATTCCAGGCAGTGCCCTGGACTCTGGTCATTATGGTTCCCTGGGCTGAGAGGCTGCCCAGTGGCAAATGGCCACAGCCTCCTCTGCAGACAGAGGTTTCCACAGCCTACCACCCTTTCTCTTTGTGGCATCTTTAGCAAGGCCTGGGGTTTACAGCCAAATAATTGGTTATGGCATCACATTATGTCTACTTTGTATGTGGCAGCAGGTAGGTTTCTCAGAGGATAGATAAGGCAGGGGGTTGGGTTTCATTCACTCATTTATTCATCCATCTATTCAGTATTAATTAAATGATTTTTCTTATGAGTCAGGATGGAAGAGAGACTACTAATCTAGGAGTGAACTAAGATAGATGCCTATGTTTCCTAAGAAGGAACAGAGTGTCTCACCAAATGAGGCTTTACGGAAAATGTTCCAAAGAATCGGGGAGGCTGAACACTATGAGGAAAAAGTCAGAGAGAAGGCCTTGCTCAGCGGAGAGCCCGCTGGAGCCACCTCCCCTCTTGTGTCTTCGGCAGTACATCATCTCCCAGGCCGACGGGCAGAGATTCAAGTTCACCTCCCTGTGTTCCACTTAGTGATTCATCAACCCAGCATCTGAATGCTTAAGGGAAGAACATGTAAATATTGCATCAGGAATCTTGACTCACCAAGGCATGAATATTTCCACCCATATCATTAAGACACTAAAGGTTATAATGGTACTGAGAGTGTGGGAGCATGCTTCTCTCAGAGGACTGTACCAAATCATGAGGAACAGGGTCGCACAATTTGTACAATTTTTTGCCATTCTGCCTCCTAAGATATCATCAGTCCCCCTGAATACAAGAAACAGACTTCATTTTGTCCTTTGGAAGTGGGTCAGCCTTTAGTACATGCTCTTCTCAGCTGCTGGAATTGTAACATTATGTTTAGAACAGCTATTGTCATTTTATTGGCACGCCTTACCAAAAGCACCTAAGGCATACTTCAGACTTCGATCTTTTTTGCATTGTTTGATGCATCTGCACAACTCAAAGAACGAGTGTTAGTGTCTGACATAATCAATACCAGAGCTCAGATTTCTCAGGTAGCAGAAATCAAGAGGGTGGCTTTTGGGGACTGGGTCAACCTGGCATGTTCTAGTGGTGCCCACTAATCACAGAGGGTCAGTATGGCAAGGTCAGGAAACTTGGCCTTCTCGGAAAGAGTGTTCAGCTGGCCTGCTCTGGGCAAAGAGAAAAGAGAGAGCGCCAGGTCCTTGGAAGGCCCCTAAGGCGATGTGTTTCACCTGCCAACCAGTCTCTGTTCTGAGAATCAAAGCAGAATAATTAATTAAGGGGAAAGAGATGCTACTGGGACCTTTCTTCAGAATGTTTTCCCTAGTAATAATGACTACAGTAAAATTACAGATCCAACCGGAAAATTCAGGATAATTCTAGGTGAGCGTGATGAGAAAAAGCAGCTTCCCATGGCCTTAGGGTCCACTGGGATGAACTTACAAAGTAACCTTATTAAGCAAATGTGCTGAGTTACACAGAACCTCAGGGGTGTATTAAGTCCTCAGTGAAGGTCTTTAGAATGAATGAACAAATCAATGTTGTCTGGCCACAAGTATTTAGTGTCAAAGTCAGTCCTGCCATGCTCCACCATCAACCCTCTGTCAACTCTTTGCAGTCAGCTGTGGTCTCTACTTCCTCAATCCGACCACGATCACACTCTTGTCACTTCTGTTCAGCTGAGACTATTTTGGCCGAAGTCATCAAATCCAAAGCACATTTCCCAAGTCTTGTTTTACTTGTCCTATGACACTGTTGACTACTTGCTCCTTTTTAAAATTGTCTCTTCTGCTGGTTTCCATTACATAATCCTTTCCTGGTTGTTCTCTCACCTCTCTGGCTCTTCTGGATAGGCTTAAATGTTCCCTCATCTTTGGTCCCATGGTCCCTTGTGCCTAATTGCATTATAGCACTTACAGCACAGTTCTGTCATGGTTTGTCTGGGGGCACCCTCAATGTGGACTGTATGCTCTTTTATTGTGTTATTAAGGTTGGCGCAAAAGTAATTGTGGTTTTGGCCATTACTTTTAATGGCAATTAGTTTTGCGCTAACATAATATCTGTAGCACCAGGTTCAGTGCCTGGTACGTAATAGGAATTTCACCATTGAATAAATTATCATGGAACTCTTCCCTCTTCATCATTTATGTATGGGATGTGCAAGTAAAATAAGGGAAAGGAAAGTTAAGCATTTCCTCCATTTTTTGGCCACTGAAATTGCCTCTCATCCCAACAGTTCGCCCAGGGATTCAGGACTCCTTACTCCAGATTTCAGTAGTTTTCTGAGGGGAATAGGGGCCACTTTCTGGACATCTGGAATGTGGCACTTCCTAAAGAAGGTTTGGTCTCAACCACATTTCAGCATCATGTACTTAATGTTCTAGTTAGATGAATCTATTTCAAATGATCCTCCAAGGAATGGAGGTCTTTGGTAGAAGATTCTTGTCACTTTACTGCATCCACTGAGCCCAGTGCCCTCAGAGTGGTAACAACACTACTGATTAAAAAATAGCATCACTGAATTTCTAAGAGGCAGGAAAGAGGCAATGAGGTAAGAAAACATCCCATAACACTGATTCTGCTTATTCTACTGCACTGTGTTGGCATCATGGTGAATCCCTTTGTCTCTGCAGTCAGGTTTCTTGGGTTCAAATTTCAACACTGCCACCGCCTTACAGTGTGATCTTGAGCAAACTGCTTCATTTTTCTACCCTTCAATATTCTCATTTGTAAAATGGGAGTGATAATATACTATCTTAGAGTATTATTTGAAGGATTAATGGAATTATATTTATAAAAAATCAGAACAGTGCCTAACACAGTTGTGGCTGAAAAGCACTCAGTAAATATTAACTGACTGGCCAGTTTTCCTTTGTGCCCCCAGCTTTGCTGTGCTCTCCACAGCCCCTTACTCCGACTTCAGCAGAGCCTCCTCTCCTTATACTGTATCACACTGTATTGTCCTCCTTTACTGACCACTGTCCCTCACTAAAGTGTAAGCTTTCAAGGCTATTTGCCCCATTTTTGCATTCTGACTGCCTAGCACAGTGCCTGTCATGTAAGAGTAATTAGATGTTGGGGGAATTATGAGAATTTGCAATGGTAGAACCTCCATTTCATAAGCCCTGCATCAATTATAAACCCTAAGTGTTCACTGCTGATATCGTGAGTACTTATTGTACAATTACTTTATGGACCCCTGCATTCTCTTCTAAATGGGTGATAGGAACCCTGGACAAGAGCAAAAGGCTCCGCACTGACCAATAATCCTAATAGCACCTAACATTTAGTGAATGATCACTATGACAATCCTATGCTAAAGGTTCAACCGTATGCAGTTGCTATTTTTGCAGGCCAAATATTGGCAGTTTCAAAGGGCTCAATCGAATACGGTATCTATCTTAATTTTTTTTTATTCTACCATAGTAGAATGAGGTTTTAACCTCAGTTAGAGATGAGAAAACTGAGACTTGTGGAGGTTAGTGTCTTACCAAGGTCCCACAGCTAGTAGGTGGTGGAAGCAAGGCTGGGCCCATCCTGCTACATCCCAGAGCTGATGCTTTGAGGCACCACAAGGCAAGGGAAGTTGGCTGCCCTCGGGTGCTCTCAGTGTAGTTCTGAAGACACAGCCATGTCTCAGGAAACTCCCAAAATAAACACAAAACTGAATATATGCACTACTAAGTTGGATTCAATTTCCTGAGACAGTACAGGAAGCCAGCGTGTCCTGTTCAAAGTTAACAGAGAAGAAGCGCATAGACTCTGGAAAAAATCTAACAATGCAACATCCCTTCAGAACATCTTGTTATTTTCTTGTACATTTGCTGGCCTTGGCCTCGGGCCGTAATTACATTATCTTCAAACAGCAACTAGAAATATTGCTCATTAAACATGAACACGGGAATGTTTAATTTGTTAGGACGTAGGTGTTTTGAAAGCAAATCATTGGTTCAGGGCATTGAACTGAGTGCTGCCATTGGAGTTGTCTTTGGTGAACACCATGTCCTGGCCAGAACTT
This sequence comes from Homo sapiens, assembly GCF_000001405.40. Taxonomy (NCBI): domain Eukaryota; kingdom Metazoa; phylum Chordata; class Mammalia; order Primates; family Hominidae; genus Homo; species Homo sapiens. The sequence goes on from NC_000001.11 coordinate 77,043,407, forward strand.
TGCCATGATGCGTGTTCACTGCAGATGAGAGAAGGACCTAGGCCCTGCAATTCCTAGCTGGGGTCTGTGGCTCTGAGCTTGACGCTTTCTTTATGTTTATGAAAATGGGACAACTCAGTTTCTCTCCCTCATCCGTTAAAATAGAAGAAGCAATCCTAATGTCACTTCAAAATTATGGCCTCTAAGGGGTTACAATCAGCATGTCATTTCCCATATGATGCTTAGATGATGTGTATTTGGTACAAACATATTTGTACAGCATCCAAGAATTTTAATCAAGGTTTAACTTTCAATAAGGTGAGTTAAGAGCATCACAACTAGTGTCACAGCAATTTGCAGGATAGTCTTTGCTTCAACTTGGGAGTAACTTTGGACTCAAAAATACCTAGTTTTGAAAGCCGGAAGCACAACTTTATTACTGGCTAGGAATAAAGGGCAACTTTGGACAAATTTGTTAACATCTCTATGCTTAAGTATCTTCATCTGTAAAATGACCACGAGAGAAACCTTGCTGGGTTGATGTGTCGATTTGGTTATTTAATATCAGTAAAGCCCTTAGTTCAGTGTTTGACAGGTCAGTGCTAGCTCCCTTTTGCTCTTGTCCATTGTTCCCTGTCACCCATTTAGAAGAGAACGCAAGGGTCCATAAAGTAATAGCAGAAGGGATATACTCTGACATGATGGGGAGGAGAGAAGAGATGGGTGCCCTTCTTCAAAGGCAGGGAAGTAGCCTGCTGGTGCTGAGTGAGGGTTAAGCCCTTTGCCCCTGACAGTGTCCTTCTCCCCCTGCCTTCCAGCCCCTGAAAATGCACTGCAGGGACTGTGCCCTGGTGACCAGCTCAGGGCATCTGCTGCACAGTCGGCAAGGCTCCCAGATTGACCAGACAGAGTGTGTCATCCGCATGAATGACGCCCCCACACGCGGCTATGGGCGTGACGTGGGCAATCGCACCAGCCTGAGGGTCATCGCGCATTCCAGCATCCAGAGGATCCTCCGCAACCGCCATGACCTGCTCAACGTGAGCCAGGGCACCGTGTTCATCTTCTGGGGCCCCAGCAGCTACATGCGGCGGGACGGCAAGGGCCAGGTCTACAACAACCTGCATCTCCTGAGCCAGGTGCTGCCCCGGCTGAAGGCCTTCATGATTACTCGCCACAAGATGCTGCAGTTTGATGAGCTCTTCAAGCAGGAGACTGGCAAAGACAGGTACAAAGGCACAGGGAAGAAGATGCAGGGGAGGGTGAGGATAAGTCATCACTGGCTGACTCACCCAAAGCAAAGCTTTTGCTACAGGCTTTTGTTGTGGGCTCCACTGCTCATGTCATTGCTAGAGTTCACTTGTAGGGTCCTCTGCGTGACTGGGCTGCTCAAGCTGACTTTACAAGACAAAGTGAAAAGAAGCATGGAGATAATTATATGGATATTTCAGGGCCTTATTTTTGAGGAAGAGGCTACACAGCTCCTGGCCTTCATTGGTTAAAAGTGCAGTATAACAGCTTTATTGCATTTCATTTTACTTGCATAAACCCTCACCAAAAAAAAAGTATATGGGTTTATTTTTTCCCATTCAAAGGCAAACATTTATTTAGTCAACCAATATTTCTTGAGTGCCCACTACTTGCTCATCACTGTGCTTGGCCCTGGGGAAACAGTCAAACACAAGTATATAAAGCCTTGGACACTTACCAAGTAGTAGCCAGTGCACTGAGGGTCTTGAGAGGGAAGAAAATGGTGCTGTAGATGTGCCATGGGCCCTAGCCCATGGAAACCCAAACTGTTAGCTACAACTCCATATTAAGACACGAAATCAATGTAGTGAGGCACTGAAAGATTTTTTTTCTAAAGTAATGGGAAGAATGGGATAAAATGGAACAGAGTAGAATAGAAAAGACATTATCAGCATTCATCCCACATAGTAAGTTAGGTAAGGTATTGTTTCATGAAACTTTTATTTCAGTTTGATAGAGATGGAGATAGATGGATAGGGATTTCTTCTCAAAGTGATGAAAATGTTCTGAAATTAGTGGTGATGGTTGCACAATCCTGTGAATGTAAAATAAATATCACTGAATTACACACTTTAGAAAATGAAATTAAAACTGTGTCTGTGTGTCTCAATCATGATGTAAAAATGTATTTTTCACTATAGGTTGAAAGATTTGGAAATTACTGGTCTGGGAGATAAGGAAAATGCTTTCTCAAAAAGATGTACATAAGCTGAGACCCAGGGCAATAAGTCTTGGATAAAGTAAAGGACCTGGGGAGTGGGAGGGAGAAACCTCCCTGGAGGTCCAGGGAATCAGGTGTGAGAGAACATGCAGTGGGTTGGAGAAAAGCCCCCTGTGGCTGCAGTCAGGAGAACTAGGGGGTGGGGGTGACACAAGGTGAAGAAGAGAGGTGAAAAGATGTCAGCTGGACAAATCTAGGTGAAGAAAGGACAATGAAGAATCAAGGGCCACTAGAGAGTACAGCTCTGGGTTGGAACTCTGGCTCTGTCACTCTCTAGTTGTGAGGGCCTGGACAAGTTATCTAACCTTTTAGAGACTCAGTGACCTTACGTGTGAAAAGGGAATAGTGACTACTAATCGCTGGATGGACTGGTCTAATAATCAAATTGCCTCATTTCCTTAATTCTAAAACCTGTACTTTCATACGTTTGTGATGTAATTTACCCCTCTTACAAAAACTGTTACTGAGTCAATTGCTTATCTTTAAACTAAAGGAGAGTCAGACTTAGTGGTGCATGCCTATAATCCCAGCTACTTGAAAGGCTGAGGCAAGAGGATGGCTTGAGCCCAGGAGTTCAAATCCAGTGTGAGCAACATAGCAAGACCCCATCTCATAAAAATTGTTTTAAATAAAGTGATATGATAAATGCAATAAAGAATATAAAGTAATAAATCCATTCTTTGGCTAGCAGCTCATTATTAGAGAATAGTCTCAAAGAAAGACTTAAGTACAGTGCCCCCAAATTCTTTGTGTGGAAGAGCTAGATAGCTTTTAAATCCTAGAAACCTTGTGACTAGTCAAGGACTGCACCAGGCAGGAGGCATGGGTCTGGTGGAGGAAGGAGAAAGAGCTGGCTGTTGGCACTGTGGCCTTCCTCACTGGAAGGCCCAGCAGACCCCATGGGCAGCCCAGCCAGCAGATCACATTGGGGATTCTGATCATCATCTCCAGCTGCCACAAAATCCAGTCATGCATTGACCTTTGCAACTCACAGATAAGAGAGACTGTCACTCAGTTGAATGAGTTATTTAATCAAGAAAACATTTTATAAGGAATCAAGAAGGAGGGGAATTATTTAGTTTCATTTTTTACTTGTTGGAAAATTTGAAATAAGTAGAAACCATCTCAATAGAAAACACTTTTCTCTTTTTTAGTTTAATGGTTGATTGCTAAATAAGTATTCCTAAAACACTGCCGCAATGTTAGCTATTTAGTATAATTAAACATTGTTCTGGACTCCTTGAGAAATCATTTTAAGCTGATAAGTTAGATACTAAGTCATCATACCCTTTGGCCACTCAGGATCTTTAGGAACCCTTCTCACAGCAAGGCATATCCTGCTCACTAAATTCACTAAATACTGGCCAATGAGAAGCTTTTTCTCACCAGGTCTTTCTTCCTGGTCGTCCTGGCTGGTACGGAGGGAGCCAAAGCTTTGTGGAGTGGCTGGTGGGACTCTTTCCACAGACATCCATCTGCCAGGGTCCACGTAGTCCCTACTCAGGGGAATCACACTTATGAATGTGGAGGATGCCAGAGTACACTGCTGCTTCCAGAAACTTTGTGCCTCTTGCCTTCGGGAAACAGTCTTAAAGAAGCCAATACTCTATTGACTTAATATTCTTTACCTGTAGCCTGCTCCAAGCTAAAAGAAACAAGTCAGAAATGGCCATTCAGGACAAAACTATTTCTGTAAATTAAAACCTAAAACATTTAGGGTGTAATGGTATTTCTCAATGTATGCTTTTCTTCAAACCCAACAAAACAGTAGCATATGATACATAAAGTACAGAATATCTAACTTGCAGATCTCATGATCAGGACTTTCCTTTTGGGTGAATATTTTGAAGAAATAGGGTCATTTAATAGATTGTGATTGATAGAAGTTTCACCCTCCTTAAAAGTGGAGAAAAAAGTGGCTCAGGAACAATCTGCAATTAAGAAGCATGACAAATGACTTAGATGGCCAAGTGGTATTCTTTGATATTAAAAAGTAACTGTACTTGAAAATAACTTTATAATTGAATAAGGGTACATTAGGAAAATATGATTCAGAACCAATATTATAGTAATTAGATAAAGGAAGCGTAAATGAAATAACTGCAGGAAGAATATTTCCATAGAGATTATAAATGAGATTCTGGTGGAGCAGAAAGGCCCTTAATTGTAATTTAGTATGCACTATAGAATTATCAGCTCAGTGTGTTACTTCATCATATAAAAGAATATCTGATAATTTTCCCTAAAAAGCACATGACAGCTCTTCATATTCTTTCATTACAGCTGATTAAGTGTAAAAACAGTAGATATTCCTTTGTTAGAAAAAGAGTTCAACAAAGAGTTTTAGAAAGACAGCACAAAGTGTTGCATTTCTATAGCACGTGACCCCAGAAGGCTGTTATTTAGGAAGTCTGGGGAATTTTAAGTGTTACTTTAAAGAACTCTTCACTTTAGTTTCTTTCGTCCTCTACCTTGCATTCTTTTCCCCATTTTACCCACAAAGCCTTTTCCTGTGCAGCCACATCCTCCTGTATTCAGGCTGTGGTTTACAATCTCTACTACATCACATAAAACAGAACCAGAGTTATGGGAGAGTTTCTGCCCTTGGAGAAAGCCCCCTTTGGTGTGTCCAATAGCTCTAAAAGCAGAGGGAATATAAGTGTGATTCCCAGATTAGGCTCCTGAAGCTGTAAGTGAGCTGTCATCCTCTTCCTGGGTTCCACATCCTCCCAGTTATTCACTCACCCAGATTAGGTCTAGAACACATGGCCAGTGCATTGTCGCAGCCCATAGGTGAAAACAGCTTCTAACTTAAGGGAAGCCACTTCCTCTTCTTACCCTTTGCCATTCAGTCAGCTCTTCTCCATTCCAGCTCCTTCAGTCTCAAAGGTCTTATGAATATATAGCCTTAGTGAGAAAGAAGGAAAATCATTAATACCTATGTAGGCTGAAGGCTTCTGAATTTCATAATTCCTGCCCTGACTACTGATGGCAGTCCCTACACAGCCCCCAGTAGCAGAATGTTGGAAGAATTTTCTTCATGGTTGCTAAAAAGCACCAAAAAGAATGGTGAAATTATTTACCTTGATTGCTCAACCTAGAAACTAAAAGAGGAGGAAGAGATGTCAACGTACCAACATACCAAACTTGGTGCTTTTCATACATGCTTGCTTATTTAGCTCTCAAGTAGCCCAGGGGACAGAGATTCCTATGCCTCCTTTATAGATAAGAAATGAAGGGCCAAAGATCAACAATAACTTGCCTCAGGTCATCCAGCTGGTTATGATAGAAACAGGTAAGATTCAGCCCACTTATTCCCATCTTTAGGAGCTTTTAAATATGCTTTCTGGGATGTTACTAGGTCAAAATACAATGGAATAGGGGAATGAATGAGCAAAGGGCTTAAGAAATAGAAAGTTGAAGCCATGATCCCCAGGAATAACTAAGCCACCCATGCTGTCAGGTATTGGACAAAATGAAGGACTCCTTAAAAATGTCCTCTCTCTATTTTTTTTTCTTTTTTGGTCCTTATATGAAATGAAAATAATGATGCAAACTGATAGACAGAAGGTTTTCCTTCTTCTCAAGGATGGGTGCCACACAGTGCAAGTAGAAAAGCCTTCCTGCACCTCTGTTATTCACATCACAAATGATGCTATGGCTGGGCAAAGTCAGACAGTCTGACCTTGGGGATAAGGTGTTTGAAACTGGCTAATGAGGCATGCCGTAAGTACTGAAGGAAAAGTAAAAGCAGCAACCCCCGAAGAATTGAAATTAATATCCACAGTAGTGTAGCATGGTAGGCTGAGTCATTCTCACAGGATCAAATTAGACCTTGGTGTTATGTCTCCACAGTTATCCTAAGGTGTAGCATATGGTAGAAGCTCATTACAGATGTCTGAATGGGAAAATTAATGAATGGTGGGGTGCACCAGTTCATTCCTTAAATTTTGTCAATTTTTGGTCTCCTAGTAAAAATTTTCTGATATGTAAAATGAAGCAAATGTTCAGTTAAATATAAGCATTCCTGTGGCTCTTTTCCTCTGGTCATTAGCCCATACCCAAATGAGTGTACCCTTCTTACGGAAAGATATTCAATCAAGATGTTGGTGTTAGTCTACTTGAAGGCAAGCTTTCACCCTAAGTTCAGTCAATCAACCAATTGACTAATAGATAGATAAATACATGTGAATGTTTATTTATATTTAATAAGCTACTCATTATCTAGCCTGTTTGGGGAACAAGGAGAATTTCTAGTTACTCAAGTGTTCTCGTTAAGAAAGAGTTGTTAAACGGGGGCTGTCATAAGAAATTGAGTTGTGGTAACATACACTTAAACATTTAAACACTGATCATCATCTTTGATGATGCAGAAGTCCCTTGAGCATCTTTCATTGTCACAAATTCAGCATGAGCATTAACATCAATTATGATTGTACTGTGGAATATGGTAATGTTAGTAAGAGATGTCAATTTGATAAAGTTCCAGATATTTACCAAATGGAGGAGAGAGGGAGAGACTCTTGTTTATAGTTAGCCTTACTCTAGGAAAGAATTAAAGATGGTAGTGGGTATAATGGTTACTTTACCAGCTTGCAGACTTAATTATTGTTCCTTCCAGGAAGATATCCAACACTTGGCTCAGCACTGGCTGGTTTACAATGACAATTGCACTGGAGCTCTGTGACAGGATCAATGTTTATGGCATGGTGCCCCCAGACTTCTGCAGGTAGGATTTATTCTGCAAGTGTAAATCATCAGCCGTGTTGTGCAGGATTTATAAATATCTGATTCTGAATATCAACCATGAAACATGTCTAACTGTCTTCTTGAAGCAATTAATTAGCATGTCCCAAGTTCTCATTCTAGAAACAACAAACAGCATTTAATTATGTTATATAAAATATTGAAAGTTTTTGTTTGTACTGCTGGAGAATAAATCCATCTTGTGGGCTCCATTTATCCTCTGAATATTTATCAGCCAGAAGTAATGCAATAATTGGCATAATATTAACGATGAACAAGCATTAAGAAATATTAGTTTTACTCTCATTTCAAAGGAATGTGATAATTTTTTAATGAATTAAAGAGAGCAATTCCTTTGACAGTGAGGGCTTTTTTCTAAAATTAAAATATTTCTCTGAGCCTCCTTCCCTTGCCACATCAGTGGCCTGGGCTTGCACTTCTAAGGCCAAAAGCACAGGCATAAATATTTTGAGGTGTCACTTTAAAGAGAACATGCATACATCTCTGTTGCCACCTTAACTTTCCTCCTGGCATGTGCCCAGGCAGAGTTCAGGGCATACCACAAATGCACTCAGCAATATTCAGGGCCTGATTTTTGGAAGCCTGCTTGAAAACTCGCCTGTAATTTAAAATAGTGAGACCAGAAATTCCAGAAAGTACCCTAGTTTTTGGGAACGCCTGATGGCCTGCACATGGACTCAATCCTGATTTTCAAATGGCAAAAGCTGGGGTGGGGGGCATTTAAAACTTGCTTTTTAAATTGTGTGCTTACTTATACTATCTGGTGTTTTATTTGTTTATTTTTTCTAACAATGTCTCGAAGGCCATGAGTCTTTAGGCAAAAGCTGCAATTTGGAGGTTTAAAGCAAAGATGAGAAACAGCATCTAATCATCCCATTAACATTTTACCACTTTTCTCTCTTTTTAACCCAAAGATCCAACACAGCAACAATACTAATTGATATGGAAGAGTCAGGCCGCAAAGGAGGAGAGAGAGGTACAGATAGAGCAGACCTTTGATGTAAGGTCAGGGTCAAAAATGCTGGGGCTAGGCTGCACAGGTGTAAAGCCTGGCCTGGTCACTTACCCACCTAGTATGACCTTGAAGAAGTCACTTAGTGTCTCTAGGTCTCAGCTTCCTCATCCATAGACGTGGATGTGATAGTAATAGACTCTGCCTCAAAGGGCTGTAGGCAGAGTAAATAAGCTAATACATGTGAAATGCTTGGAACAGTGCCTAGTAAGTACATGGCAAGCACAAGGCAAGTTAGCTTGGATCCTCACCCAGTGCTGCCTCACTTAATTCACTGGCCCTGTGTCCCTGTTTAACAATCTATACACAAAAAGTAAGTAGAATGGCCTAAAAAGGCAAACTGCCTCCTCAAACCAACAGGCTAACAGAGACAGTGAGAATGGCACTTATGGGCATGCAAAGAGCCATCAACGTTGATGGGTATACAGCAGATATAATTATGCAATATTGCCATTAGGATGCCAGAAAGAAAAAGCATGAATAAATTGAAATGTTAATGACTTCAAGTGTTCAAGGAAATATTCCATTTATTATGGAAAACAAATGAAAGGCAAGTTAACCTGTCATTTCTCCTACTCAGAGTTAGTTCATCATGACTTCATGTACGGTAGGATCGAAACAATTTATGGAAAATACTAACAAAGAAATTAAGATAATGTCAATGCATTACATATTGCCACTGGCTCTGAGTTTCTCTTCCTAAGCTATCATCCCCAAAGCTTTGATAGTTGTTTGCACAAGACAGTTTCAGCAAGAACTCTTCAAAAGGACCCCTACGCCCAAGTTCTGTCAGAGAAGTGAAGAGTGTCATCTGGAGGAAAGGTTCAGTGCTGGAGAGAGCATTCTGCTCAGTCATAAAGCCTGTTAAAGGAAGGTTAAGAAGGAAGACCAGGAGTAGCACAGATGGATTCTACAGTTCTATTCATCTGCATTTCCAGGACATGTTGACTGGACCACCAGGCATCCAGTTTCGACTTGTTGGGTCTTGAGGCTTGTTTTCCTTGTTTGTAAAATGGGGATAAGAAAATAAGAAGACGAACAAGCAGGTCATGGTGAGAATTAAATGAGATAATAGATGTAGAGTGTTGGATGCAGTTCCTAGCACACAGTATTCAGGAAAGAGTATCAATATCATTAATATTAATAAGATATGTAAAATAATTTATATTATTAATATTATCCCAAGCACTTGAGAGTTTCCCTGAAAGATACCAAGAATTCTGAGCAGGGGGCTGGTTCACAACTATAATCCCAGCACTTTGGGAGGCTGAGGCAAGCAAATTGCTTGAGCTCAGGAGTTCAAGACCAGCCTGGCCAACATGACGAAACCCTGTCTCTACAAAAAATACAAAAATTAGCCAGGCATGATAGTGTGCACCTGTAATCCCAGCTACTCGGGTGGCTGAGCATGAGAATCGCTTGAACCTGGGAGGCGGAGGATGCAGTGAGCCGAGATCATTCCACTGCCCTCCAGCCGGGGCGACAAAGTGAGGCTCTGTCTCAAAAAAAAAAAAAAAAAAAAAACAATTTTAAGGGGGGCTTCAAAGACACAGCTTCTTGCCTCCTGGAGGCTTATAATAAGCCTTACCCATGCCAAAATATAAAGAACACAGCAAAGCCACTTACCATGTGACTATAAAAAGATGCAGCTTTTGCAATCTTCATCTAAGAGTTAAATGAGTCTGTAAACAGTACCTTCCTCACCACCAGAGAATGAAAAAGCAACTGGTAGGCTAGTCTGCTACTCATTTGACCATTCCCTCTTTTATCTTTATTTTGAAAGAAGCAGAGAACTATTTGGGGCTGAAAACATGGTACATGTATCATGAGCTCTATGGCTTAAGGAGGTAAGCTATCGCCAGGGCCAAAAATGGTTGTGGATGGTTTTGTGTGGTGGCAGAGCTCACATTGGCTGGGCCCATTGGAATATAGCCTCCCTGAGGGCAGAGTTCTGTGTGTTTACTTCAGTGTTGTAGACCTAGAACACAGGACAGTAGATATTTACTCTCCTGGCATATGGCAGATACTTCATAAATATCAAGGGAATGAATGGCTGTGTCCTCTACTCTCCGTAGTGCTATAGTAAAGGGTGTTGTATATGGATAAAAATAGCCATTTCTGCCTCTCAGAAACTCTGACTTTGAGAAAGTTACCTGACCTCACTGAGCCTTAGTGACTGATATTGGGCAAGCTACCTAATGCTCCATCTCAGAAGCCTTACCCACAAAATGGTGATGACAATTATCATATAAACTCTCTTGCATTGAGAGTTTATACGATAATTGCATGAAGTCATAGATGAGGAATGCTTAGCAAAGTCTCAGGGCCTGTTCAGTACACAGAAAGTTATGGGGTGAAAGGATTCACTGATCTGCAGTTGTGGATGCTCATTGGCGCATTTTACAGAACTGGCATTATGTGGCCTCCAGCTCCTTGCAGGACATCTCATGGGCTGCTCAAAGTGTGCCTGGCCTTTCTACAGCTTCCCTAAGTTCCCAGTGTCTCACTGCAATGAAGAGCTAGCCACGTGGAGCCAGATTTCAGCAGGCAAAAAGAGAGCCAACTCTTCAGTTTGGGCAAATTAACCATTTCAGACCATAAGACAAAATTAGTACCCTCAAAAAAGTCACTAACTAAATAAACCACAAGCCTTTTATTCATTCAGCTAACTCGTGTTGGGTACCAGGGAGGTAATCAGAGATGAATGAGACAGGGTCTCTGCCTTCAGTTGCCTGAGACTCAGTTGACCACAATTAAATCATGAGGTACAGAAGGTTACTCGAGGTGCCTGTGGGAGAAGATGTTCACTCTCTGCCTGTCAGCAGCATCTGACCCACTGAGCTTTATTGGACCATCTGTCTCCAACTTTCAAACTGGACTCAGAGAAGTCCTTGCATTCCACTGATTCTATCAGGTGGCATAGGGATAAGGAGCCAGGACAACAGGAATATTGGACCCTTCCACCCGACTTGGTCAGGGGCAGACCCAGTTGGCTCTGTTTGCATCTGGACTATTGTATAAGATTTCTTTTCAACAAAAGAGCATTTGACAAATAAGAACTTTAACAACCTCTGGTCTAAGACACAACCATGATGCTTTCCAATCTAAATCAAACTCTTTCACACTTTTCAGGAGAGTAGAATCATCACCTTATTATTGTCCCAAAGAGAATGTAAGCTGTCATAGGCATGGTGTGAGGGAGCAGAGGCAGTGGGGCAGAGAGAGAAGGGCTAAATTATATCTTGGGGGAGCAAACTGCCAAGCAATCCGTGAGTGCCTGATCCCCAAGGGGAAGTGTAGGTAACCTGGAGAGTCATTTCCCATCAGGTGTCCTGGAGGTCTGCCTTCTCATCTCACCCAAAGGGCCTGAGTTACTTCTAGGAGTCAGTCATTGGCAAGAAAACTAATTGTACCCCCTAAAAGTATTAAGCCCATGGACTTCTTAGGAAGAAAGATAGCATTGCATTCACATTTAAAACCCCAAGTGGAAGTGGTGGGCATATAAATGGCCATGGTGGCAGATGACAGACATATCTCATTCAAGATCTGGCAGAATCTAACTGACTCAAAGTCATTTGAATGGCATGCAGCATCTTTCATTTGGTACTGTGATGGCCTCCTGGACTGCTCTCTCCATCACTTGTCTTCTTCCTCTCCAAACATGACTGCCTTACTAGATGACAAATCTGACTGTGAAGAGTCACTTAAAACTCCTCAGTGACTTCCCAAAGCTTTGTGAGCAGAGTTCATACTCCCTAGCTTAGCACACAAGACCTTCAGGATAGGGCTTCTGCATACCACTTTAGTCACATCTTCTCTACTGATGCATTTATGTGTTTATTTGTTTATTCAACCTTACTGAAAAATTCATAAAGGAACTCACCCTGCAGACACCTGTTCCTATGACCTCAGTTTGGACTGCCCATCCCCTACTTCCTTAAGCTGGCTGGTTTTCCACTGGCTCTTTACTAATAACATTAATGGCTGATATTTGTTGTGCACATACTTCATGCTGGCTCTGTGCTTAACATGAACACATGCATTATTTTCTTGAACCTTATAATAATCTTATGAGGTAAGCATCATTAATATCACCATTTTACATAGAAGGCTTAAAGACATGAAACAGCTGCCCATGGTCATAGGGCAAATAAATAGCAGAGCTGGAATTTGAATGCAGTCTGCAGGGCTCAAGAGCCAATGCTCTTAATCCTTCAGTTCATTGTTTCAGATACAGTGGCCCTTCTTTCTCAGCTCTCCTTAGCCCCCTGTCTGAGTCAGACCTACTGGGCCCACTGGGCATCCCTCTTCCTCTGCCTTGCCCCATCTCACTGATTGGTTTGTCCATCTCCTTTGTTTGACTCTAGGCTCCTTAAGAGGAGGGCCCTGTCTCAATCCACATTTGTATCATTAGCACTTGTCATTGTGTCTGGCATAGAGTGTATCTTCAGTACAGATTAGTTCAATGAGAAACAAAAATAAGCCCTGTCCATGGGGGTGTTTAAGAGATTGATTCTAAACGTTATTATTGCAAGACCAAAAGTGCCAGGCACATTAAAACTATAACTAGCAAATTCAGATTTTGAGAAGTCAATGAGGGCCACATTGTTTTATTTTCAGCCAGAGCCAGCTCTGGGTACTCAAAGAGGGGCTCAGGCATCAGCCCCCATCCTGCCTGTATCACCAGACTTCAGGCACATCAAAGTTGAGAAAGCTGGAGAAAATTAATGCCATGTTGCACCAGAAACAGCATCAAAATATATTATTCAGTGGACAGTGGACTCTTAAATCATGCCATATCCATACTGTAAGCCAAATTCATTCTCTCTAGATGGCCTATAAATTGCGTGAAAAGATCTGTTGTCGTTGCTTTCCAAACTAAGTTATGCTAAGTATTTAATCTCATTTTCCATTATAAATTATTTGTGATAATAATGGGCCAAGCATTTAAATTCTACCTAATAATCTTATTTCTGGTCATACTTAGCACATTACCAAGTTTACAACTCTCTGTTACCCACCATTTCTTGAGTATTAATTAGCGGGGTAATGATTCAGAGTGATCACTGTCATGGAACTAAATTAATATCTCATCCGCAATATGAAGGACATCTCAAAGGTATCATGAATATCAGAGAGTTGATGCTGCCAGAATTATTAGCTAGCGAACATTAATAAAGCTGCCAGCCTAACAGGGAAAGTTCTTACTTGGCGACAGTCCACCGGGTAGAATCGGAAGCTTACTCACAGAAGACGGGTGTGGAATGGCAATGCCGCCCATGTGGTTTATGTTTTATGAAGTAGACTTAAAATATATGGTTGTGTTTCTCCCAGGGTGAGGGTGGGGCTTGAGTGATTCACTGTGGCTCTTTGTCCCATGAACTGTGGGCAGCTGCAGGCTCTTGGTGCTCCATGCGCCTAGACACACAATGCTATTCCATGGGCTTCCAAGGTATACAGCTCTTTTCCTCCCATAAGAAGATCCAAGGACCAGAAATCAAGGCAGCAGAATAAGGGTGGCTCAGGGCACCTCCAGGACTGTGACAGATGCTTGGGAAGGACTGCTGCAGGAATGTTTTCTTCTCAATGCCTCATAGTGTCACCAAGCCCCCAGAGCAAGCCAATTGCAGAACAACCTAGCAGCTTCACAGCTATTAATTCAACTCTATTCTCTCTATTCTTCAAACATTTCCTGAGTACCTACTATATGCCAGGTACTGCACCAAGAATAGAAATGTGTTTAAAGAGAGTGTCTAAGAGTTCTAGAGAGAGGCAAAGACACCATTCTTTCCTCAGGATATTTGCAGCCTTCTGCATAGTCCAGCCCCAAACCCAGTGGGCAGGGTTAACCTAGATCACACTATAGGAGAGAAAAAGTAATTTCTTTTCCTCATCCATCATAGGTTCTTTGCTGAGACTCCTAGGAAAAAAAGACAGATTAACAAGAGAAAAGCATACACATTTATTTAATATAAATTTTACGTGACACCAGAGCCTTCAGAAATGAAGAGCCAAAGAAACAGGGAGACCTCCTTATTTTTATGCTAAGCTTGATGAGGAAGTGGATAGCTGTGAAGAAGTAGGATTGGACAAAGCAGGTGTGATCTGATGGTAATAAACCAGGGTGGGTGGGAGGAGGTAGCAAGGTATGTTTGTTCAGATTCTTTTGACATTTCCTTGTCTTTGAAGATAAGGATGTTCATTTCCTCCGGATATATGGAGGGTACCTCTGGAATGAAAGTTTATGACCTGCTTTAGACGAGGGCAAAGAAATCTTTTATGAACTGCATCAGAGGAGAACAGTGAAGGGAGGTGAAAGTGATCTCCCTGCTTCTGTTGTTTCCTCAAATGCCAAGGTACCATATTTTGGAGCAACATGTCCTAAACCTCGTCAGTACCCAGAAATGGAAGTGTCTTCCCTTGCTTGTTAGGGTTATGAGGTTTTTTTCAGTTGTAAAACTTAGCTTTAGAAGAGTCAAAAAGTGGAACATTACAAACCCCTGTTGCCATTAGCACCGATGGGCAGAATTGCACATGAGCACAAAGCCTCTGTTTAACACCCTGAGCAGCTCGCAAGCACCACACATGGGGCTCCTCTGTAGCAAGAGCTCGGAGGAAAGCGGCAAGGACAAGCTGCTTTCAACCACACACTGTTGATCCCAGGGAAACCTGGGTGCCATTAGTACAGAAACCCCACCTGGGGGAAAGGAGTTTTTCCAAGACACAGAACCTCACTCTTAAGAGTACAGAGTCAACTGGAGTCAACTGGCTTTGGTCCAAACCTTGGCTGCGAAACTTCAGTTTTTCTGTGCATGAGTTTCCTCGTCTGCAGAGTAGGGGTGCTAATAGTAGCTCTCTGCTATAGTTTGGATATGTTTTGTTTGTTCCCACCAAATCTCATGTTGAAATTTGATCCTCAGTGTTGGACGTGGGGCCTAGTGGCAGGTGTTTGGGTCATGGGGGCAGATCCCTCATGAATAGATTAGTGCCCTCCCTGGGGCGGGGCATGAGTGAGTTCTCACTCTATTTGCCCCCAACAGAGCTAGTTGTTAAAAAGAGCCTGGCACCTCCCCCTTTCTCTTCTTCCTCTCTCGCCTTGTGATTTATGCACATGCCAGCTCCCCTTCACTTTCTGCTAGGAGTGGAAGCAGCCTGGGGCTCTCCCCAGATGCCCAACCTTGAATTTTTTGAGACATCAGAATCATGGGCCAAATAAGGCTTTTTTCTTTATAAATTACCCAGACTTGGGTATTCTTTTCTAGCAACACAAAATGGACTGACACTGTCTTATAGGGGTGTTGTGAGGACTAAATAAGTGAGTGTATGTGGAGTGCTGAGCACTGTGTTCTGAGCTGAAATAGTCAAGTCCAGCAGCTTGGATGGACAATAAGTCAGGTTGTGTGCTGAAAGCCAGGCAGTGGACTGTCTCCCTGGGTATCAGATGCTCCCTATCAAATGGGAGCTGCAATACTTGCCTCAGAGGGCTGATGAGGATGTAAAGGAGATCACATCAGTTAAGCGCAGAAGCTGAGCAGGTACTTACAAAATCAGTTGTCTCAAACTTAGCTGCATATTAGAATCTCAAGGAGCTTTCCACCATTTGAATCTTCTAAAAAGCTTTGTTGTTATGATATGTATTATTTAAAAATATGTTTATTTTTGTTTCAAATAATTTTAGAGTTACAGAAAGGTTGCAAAAATAATACTGAGAGTTCATATAACTTTTATCCAGCTTCCCCTAATGCGGATTTGCATTCCTATGGTCCAATTATCAAAAGTAAGAAATTAACATGAGTATAATGCTCAGCTAAACTACAGGCATTATTGAGATTTTACCAGTTTCTCTACTAATGTCCTTTATGTCCTCCAAGAACGAATCCAGGTTCCCTTTGCATTTATTTATCAGGTGTCCTCAGTCTCTAAATCCATGGCCGTTCCTCAGGCTTTCCCTGCATTTCATGACACTTTTGATGAGGACTAGTCACGTATTTCATAGAATGTCCTTCACTTGGGGTTTATCTAATGTTTTCCTGTGCTTAGATTGAGGTTATGCATTACTGAGAAGGATACCACAGAAGCCATAGGCCCTTCCCAGAATCTCATAACAGGAAGTATGTGATGTCCATACGTCTTATTACTGGCAATGTTAACCTTCATCACTTGGTTAAGGTAATGTCTGCTGGGTTTACCTATTGTAAAGATAGTATTTTTCCCTTTGTCATTAATAAATAACTTGGGAGAGATACTTTCAGGTTATGCAGGTAGCCTATTTCTCCTCATCTTTTTCCCCATTAATGTTCTGTTCATTTGGTGCATCTTGCCTGCGACAATTACTGCAACGTTCTGAGGATGGTTTCCTAGTCCCTCATTTTTTCTACATTGTTTATTGGAATTTTTCTGTCTTGAAATGCTGTTTCTTCTCCTCCATTTATTTGTTTATTTATTCAGTTATTTATTGAAATTATCATGGACTCATGGATATTTATTTTATTTTATTGGTTTTATAATCCAATACTGACATTGTTTATTTTGGTTCAAACCTAAGACACTTTCTAAAATACCTGTGCCTGAGTTCCTCTCCAAGTCATCCGAAGCAGAGTCTATGGGGTTGGAGCATAGGTATTTCCTTAAAGCTCCCCAACCGCACTAAATGTTAGTTCCCTCACTCTCCCCACCTGCTTCCTCTAAAAAGAAAAAAAAATTCTTCCTCAAATCATTCTGCAGGGCTTGTTCTCAAACTGGCTGTCAGAGTGTGCATGGCAGGCTGCAGCCACTTGGGGAACTGGTTCTGTGGTTATCTCCATTCCTGCCTCCCCAGCCCGCATATCCTTTCCTTCAGCTCACGGGGCCCACAATGGGAACTTGAGTACCAGAATTCCTTTTACAACTGCTTCCTCATGTGGAAATTCCGCTGAGGTTTATTGTAGTTTTCACTGAGGTCAGGTGAAGGAAGAAAAAAACTAGGGCAGTCTTTAGAAAGTCAGGTTTGAGAAAAGACCCAAGGAAGTATGACCTTCAGCTAGGAGTGTCTTTCTAAATGGCATAGTGAATTTAGTGAATTCCAGCTGATGGCAGGCTCACAGCTGGGGTAG
This sequence comes from Homo sapiens, assembly GCF_000001405.40. Classification (NCBI taxonomy): domain Eukaryota; kingdom Metazoa; phylum Chordata; class Mammalia; order Primates; family Hominidae; genus Homo; species Homo sapiens. Next base: position 77,060,508 of record NC_000001.11, read on the forward strand.
ATGTTCCTGCAGTTTCCAGCGCTGCCTTCTGAGTCCCAGAAAGCACTTTTCTGCTGCTTGGACAGAGTTTTAACATGTGGAAACAACTCGCTTACATGAATAACTTATCTTGACACCTCTGAAATCACAGTAACCAAATATGTAAATTTAATTCTCTTTTTAGGGGATCAATATGGAGTCAGATAAGTTTTTTTTCCAAAGAGATGGTCTTCCTGAATAAGGAAATTGATCCTGTAGCATCTTTAGCTGGTTTCCAATTGCCCCCTACTCCTAGGTGCCGAATCAATCTTATGATATTTTTAGAAACCTAACTGTTTCTTTAGTCAGATTGATGCCAATAAAATGTCCAAAACTTAGATGAATCAAATTTAAAGTGATTTGTGATGGAATAAAAGCTTAACCCCAAGCATACCATGGCAACATGAAATTGGCATGGTTCCCCCAAATTATGCCATATGAATATGGGAAGATATGTCTCACAAATTCTTATTTTTTTCTTCATAGTGGTCAGCTTCAACCTGAATTTTTGTTAGAAGGCATTTTTTGTGTTAAAAACACCTTCTATTAAAATTTTAATGGGATTCCAATTTCTAGGGTAAGTAAATTAATAAAATCTGCAATAACTAGTCAGGAAAGGATCCAGTGTTTCACTACAGAACATAGAGATAATTCCAAGACGGGCATATTAGAGATGCAAAGTGTTAATTCAGCATAGCATCCAAACCAGGATAAGGAATGTTTAGATGCTGCATGACAAAAATAAATCTCTCTTCCTGGAAGAACTTTAACCTAAGAGGAGAAACAGCTCAAAGGTTTATTGTTGTCAGAGCCAAAAACATGACACCCCTCTTGATAAAAGACTTCGATCCCTGACCCCAGTAGAGTTGCTACTCTAAAAGCTATTTGTGTATTGATCTCCTCTGAAGAAAACGAATAGGTGTCTGGCAGGATGAGCATCTTTGGGAAACCAAGTTATTATACTTAGAGGAGAGCCCAGGTGACCAAAGTGGGAACCCTAGGGCATCAGGCTCTGAAAGATGATTTGCAAGATGCTGGGAAGCCTGGGCCTTTTCTCTTCTTAGTCTCTGCAACAAGGCCAGTTGCTGAGCATAGCTCAAATTAGGAAAGTTTGTCTGCCAAGAAACCTTGACTAATCTTACCATTCATTCTTCAAAAGACAGAAGAGGTGGGCTAGACTGGCCTGTTTTAGAAACCAGTCTGAGACCAAGACTCTTTAGTGCGTAAATATTTATTAACCCTCAAACAAGGGCACCTACCACCCCCACATGTTAATCCTATGCACACCATCTTGAAGAAATGAGCCAGTACTTCCTGTTTGAGGCTGAGACAGAGATATAGAGGCAGAAAAACACTCGGAGACTCTCAGGCCACCAAACAAGGACTGAGGATGTAGAGTTTCTGGACTAAAAGACTGTAGACTTTGAGTACATAGGCCCTCTGAAGCATCAAAAGAAAAATCGTGGCCTCTTGTTTGCTGTCTTCCTTTTTCTCCCATAGGATCAAACTAAGATCATCAACTTTCCAAACTCAGAGAAGAAATTTGCGTTTAGCTGCTAATTCCATATAAATTTAGAAGTTTGCTATTTAGCTGCTAATTCCATATAAATTTCTTTCAACAACATAATTTTTAAAATTATTTATTAAGCACCTACCAGGGACTGTTCCAGGAATAAGACAAAACACTGCCCTCATGAACACCCAATAAACAAGTAAACAGCAACAACAATTCCAGACAGCAATTGATGCTATAAAGAAAATGAATTCAAGTGAGATGAAGTGAGGGGAGCAAGTGTCAGGTAAGGCCTCTCAGAGAAGGATATTACTTGAGCTGACACCCAAAGGTGAGGAGTGAACTCAGAGAGGGTATTCCAGGCAAGTGACCACCATCAAGTGCAAAGGCCCTGAAGTAGGGATGAGCTTTGTAGAGTTGACCAGAAAGGCCAGTATGGTGGGAACATACTGGGAATCCACAAGGCTGGGTGGATTAGGAGAAGACTTAGAAGGGGAGCCACATCATAATGCATCCCAGCAGCCATGCTCTCTGTATAACTGGAAGCCTCTGGAAGCTTAGTGGAGTGGGGAATGGGAATGACATATTTTGTTTTGGTAATATCTCTGCAGCTGCTTATGGTAAATAGACTGTAAGAAGAGTGAAAACAATACTATTGTTGTGACTTATTAATATGTAGGGTCTAAATCTGAGGAGACTGAATGTTCTGCAGCTCATTTTCAATCTCTTTGATGAAAATGATGGGCACTGATTTTATTTCACAACCTCAAAACCTCTCCACTTCCTTATTGTGTAATCAGAAAAACCATTTGTTCAAACTCATTTAACTAGAAAATACAATTTTTATCAGCTTATTAAAGATAACATCTTACCTCAATCAGTCAAAGGAAAAAAAATTTTTTTGCTTTAATCAGTTATCTCAATTTCCTCCTACAGGGATCCCAATCACCCTTCAGTACCTTATCATTATTATGAACCTTTTGGACCTGATGAATGTACAATGTACCTCTCCCATGAGCGAGGACGCAAGGGCAGTCATCACCGCTTTATCACAGAGAAACGAGTCTTTAAGAACTGGGCACGGACATTCAATATTCACTTTTTTCAACCAGACTGGAAACCAGAATCACTTGCTATAAATCATCCTGAGAATAAACCTGTGTTCTAAGGAATGAGCATGCCAGACTGTAATCCCAGGTATTCACTGCATCAGACACCGAGACACTGAACTTCCTGAGCCACCAGACAGGAAAGGGTAGCAGAAAACAGCTTCACTCCTCAGGAAGTACCATGGACAGACGCCTACCAGGGGTGACAAAGCAGTGCAGTTGGATTGTAAGGAAAAATTCCGGAATTAATGCATCCTAATGAATGTTGTCCCCTTCAATGGTGTTACCTTAGGAGCTGAACATTCAATTCAGTTACACCACTATGACTAAAAACAGTTTGGATCTCTTAGTATTGCCTTTGAAACTGCAACATAAGCAACTCAACAATATTAGTTGCATTCCTTTATAGACATACCATGTCAAAGACGTTTTTCTATCAAGTTGTATTCTTTCCTGTTCTATAACCTTTGTCATCTGTTAGACTCTGTATGTGTGATTTGTAAAAAGCAGGCTGAAACTATGGACATGATTTCTGAAGAGCACATCTCCACTGACTTTCATAAAGCAAATGTCCAATATTTATTTATTGAGAGTTTTTTAGTGCAATCTGGGCCAGTATTTTTATAGATTATGATTATGTGGTAATTTATCCTTCCTAACTCTTTAATCCTGAATGATGGTTGGAAATGGCCTAGAATTAGGTTACTCTGTTCACAATGCTCATTGTTAGCATGCAATTGGTATTTGACTTGGAAGTGTTGTGTTGTATTTTTTGAACCCCTAGGCTTCAGGAAAACTGCTCTTTTGTAAAAAGAATAGCGATGACATTTTCTAATGTGCAGAAATGTTCCAAAAGGACAAAATTGAAAACCAAAAACTATGTTATTAAAACAAAAAAATGCTAACAAGAGAAATTTAAAGGTAGTTTTCTTTAGTAATAATTTATGTAAGTGTCCTCTCTTGAGCCCTAGTTTCCTTTTTGGCAGAATGATGTCACTGTACCAGACAACCTCTTAGGTTTCATCCCAAATCTAAACTTGTGGCCTCTTCTTGACCCATTTGAAGACTCTGCACTTGGAGTGATGGGGCCCCAACAGTAGCAGGAACTTTATTTTGGGGAGCCTTATCTACATTCATATTACTTATATCACTCTTGTGGTTAAAACTACACTTCTTCCTGTGTCCACATGGGCTAAAATCTACCCCCTGCTTCTCTCGAAGCATCACCATCCGCCTCTTCCCCAGCCTCTCAACACAAAAACACAGGATACACACACACACACACACACAAAAGACATAGCTCCAAGGGGTTCCCTGGCTACAATAGCAAACAGCTGCCCTTCTGTGAGGAAAAGAGACTACAAGGACATGCCCTATCATTCAACTCATTTATGCTATGAACTGTTTAGACTCACTACAAATCTTCTTAGATTATATTCATTACCATTCCCTGGTCTGAAGGAGTATAAAGGACTTATTTTATTCAGAGCCAAGATAAATTCATATTATAGATTTTTATTTAAACAAGTAATATTGTTCAAAAATAGTCTCTTATAAATATACTAGTGTTTTCTTTACACATGACTTAGAAGGCATTAGTTTCTCTAATGCCAAATTTGAAGGCACCAGCAAATATTATGTATGAAGACTGACATTGTTTTACAGACATGACCTGGCTTATGATAAAAGAAGTTTTATCGCATTACCACTTCTTTTCCCTTTTCTTAATTAGTACACTAACTAGTACTATTAATTACACGGAGTATTGTTGTTAAAATGCAAACACAATCAGGGTACTCACATAACATAAACAAAGTTGATATTGATGTGTATGGCTTGGGCTGTTCAAAGCCAGTAAGATTGAAATGGCCGTCCAAAACATACTGGAATATGTTCTTTAAGTTTTCTCATAGTTTTTAAAGGGACTATGAATTTTATTCCAACACATTGTCTTCCACAGCATGGACTCTGAACACATCATACTTTATCAACATATGAAAAAGTGTATTAATTTTATACAATTTACTTATAGGCCACCTTTATAATCACTTGAAGACGTTATGTTGCTCAAACATAAGTGGCTCCTTTGGCAATTTCTATATTTGTGGAAATTTGGAAAGGCATAGTTTCAACATGCAAGAATGTAATTATATTGCTTCATCTAATAATATCTCACATATCTGTCTATCTTCAGATTTTAGATTTTCTTTATTAAAAAAACCATCATGGTAGCTCCATCTCGTTTGTAACTTCTCCCTCTCAAATACTCAGAAGAATGAAGAGGCCAAATTCAGAAAATCATGGCTTCACTGGGAAATGTTTTAAATCTACATGTAGCTAGGATATGTGATTTCATATTTTTTAAAAATGTGGTGTAAATAAGTGTAAAAAATTACCACTTGCAAAGTGGTTTTATTACAGCGTTAAAGAAAATGACTAGAATTCTGATAGATTGTGCTGATGAACCTGGTTGTGGGCAATTGAATTCTTGTCTTCCCACTACCATTTCATGACTGTCGTCTGAACACTATTCAACACCATTAAATATAAACTCTGATATAAAAGATGACTACAGAACCATGTTTATAGACCTCGGTGATTTCAGTATCTGATTGTGTTTGATGCCTAAGTCATACTCGTTATGTTACATGCCTTTTTCCTCTCTCCCAGCTGTGTCATCAGCTCCCTCCTAGCTTTTAAGACCACAGTAATACAATGCCACAGCTGGTCGATCCATGGCTTCTGTTATTTCAACACAAGAACATTTGGCAGAGGCCATTACAATAGATAGCCATTATGGGCAAAGATACGGGAATTTGCAAACAAAATCAATCACTTCAAATGGCCCATAAAAGGAGGAATCTCAGATTTAATATTCTACGGTAAATATTCACCCAAGAAAGCATACATTAAAAGAACATTAGGAGGTAAATATTCAGCATGCTGCATGGAGACTTAGCTGTGTGATTTCCATTACCGTTAATGGGCATTTGGCAACTAAGTCCCTGTGCTTTGCTAACCCTGGTGTGTACTCCTAAGGGCTACACATAAAACCTGAGCAATTCAGAGACTTCTGAGGTCATCAGATTTCAGAGTAAGATCTTTTCTTTAAAAAAAAAAATAGATGAAAGCAAAACACAACGTATTGTACCTAAAAGAGAAATTTGTGTGGTCTCTCACAATCCTTAGGTTACTACCAGATTTGTGTATCCTTTGTTTTCTGAAGTTCTCTCCATTACTGATCTATTTGAATGACATGAGAATGGAGGGAAATAATCTCATTTTGAAATAAAAACTCCCCTCAAAAATTAAAATTACCGACTTAGAAGATGATAAATGCTAAGTAAAAGTAGAAGGAGAAAGTTGAAATTCTATTAGGATTAAGACAGTGTTATTTAAAGGCACATGCACCCATTTAGTACCTGCCTAAATATTTGCCCTTGTGTAAGAGCAAACTCATTTCAGAAATATATCCTGAATTCCACCAGGGTGATGGTTCAAATTGTTAAATAAACCTACTCTGAAAGAAGGGTCCATGTTCCTATTCTCTCTCTGCAGTGTTGGGAGGTGATGTTAACACTCTACATGTTTTGTATCTGACCCAATCATTTCTTCCATTCTCATTGCTTCTCTCTTAAACCTCATTGTATCTCTTTACTGTCATTTTCTCCCAATTGTCTTCTTTTGTCTACAGTGTGCTCCTAAACCAGCAGTCTTTGGTGCTGTTAAGGTCTTCCTTGTAGGTTTTTAAACTAAAGATCTATCTGGGAAACAGATTTGGGGTAGGTCCTGCCAGAGTAATGACCATGGTAGGTGGGAGGAATATATCTGGCTACCATACAAGGTACTTCAGAAGTACCATTATGGTTTGCCCAGGGCCAAGTGGGGAGTGAAGAAGAGGGGTCCCCAAGACACAGACTTCAGTGCTAAAACCAGGGAAGTCCTGGGCTCCATGACAGTGGCTCACCCTATCAGAAGGCCACGTCAAAGAGAACTATAATAATAAGCCCTGGGGGGCAGGATGTGTGAACCAATTGCCTAGGTGTTAGCACATGCCAGAAGGTACTTTGGAATGGAAAGAGGTGAGAGTGTCTCAAGGTTTAAAAATGAGCAAGTGTAGCCCCTCTTTTGTAGCTCACTCATCCCACCTTCTCAGGGTGTTGAAATGCAAATGCAAAAAGGCTGAAACCCTGTTTCTTTCTACTCAGTGCCCTAATATTATATACTACCTTGAATTGTGCTTCGTCTTTTTATGCATGTGTCCTGTTAGTCTAATTAGATTGTAAGCTCCTTGAGGGCAGAGACTCTTTCTCCTTTGTCTCTGCAGCCTATACCTAGTATAGTGCCTTGCACACAATAGGTGCTCAATAAATGTCTGTTGTTGATCATGACCTCTTAATGTTGACCCACTGGATTAGTAATTGGGTATAAACACATCCTTCTATTTTAAAAGTACAAGAAATGCAATATGTTATGATACAGTAAAATTTTAAGTGAGTTTTTATAGGGTTAGTTCTTAAACCTATAATGTTTTTAATCAACAGAGCTGACCTAGATTTCAGTAGGATAATGTTGCTGAATTCATTACATTTGCTAATCCTGGCTGTACTAAGCACACAGGTGAAGTAAAGTTCAGCAAGCTTTGTGTTTTCGCTGTTAGTGAACTGCTCTTAGCACAAATTAAATTTAATATTGACAAATGCTATGCCATCTGCAGAAAGGCGGAAGAACAGCTTGGGCTCTGACTTCTGTGGTTCAACGACAAAAGGAAGGCTAAAATGAGACAGGTTATAACCTGCTTTAAACTTGACAGCTTTCTAAAGCTGCTGGGAATCCAACTGGTGGTTATTGAAGGTCTATAAAAATTAAGTATACATTTATCTTGAAAATGAAATGAAACAAACAAACAAAAAAACATTTTGTTTCCATGAAGCAGATCCAAAATGGTTTCACCTCTACCAGAATGTGAAGGGAAAGGAGAGCCCTTGGGAAAAGCTGTCCTCAGGCAGAGCATCGCAGGCTCCTGAATCACCACCTGGCCAGAACCCGGTGTTCAGTTACATCCCAGCTACAGGAGAGGGCAACAGGCAGGCAGTAAAGGTGAGTCAGCTGCCACCTTTACTTCTACAAAGGACCATATCATTCCCTTCTTGAGCATGTGGACACTCTAGAATTCCTCTTTCATCATCTACTCTTCCACATACTTATTTAAATGTGTGATCTCAATTTCATTTTTTAAAGCACAGGAAAAGGGCTAGAAGATACTAAACTGAGAAGACTGCTTATTTCTAAATGGAGAGGATCACAGATTTTCTAGCATTTTCAAAATTTATATTATAATCACAAAATGTTATTTCATAAAATTTTAAGAATGTCTTTGCTCACAGCATAAGTTATCTCAAGAGTTAGTGTCTTTAGTCCTGTACCATGTGACTAGCTCTTTAATTTCAAAACCAAATATAGGAAATCCATAAGATTGAGTCAAAATTTTTATAATTATACTCTACCTACTGAATATCTTCTGTGTTTTGCACGTCTTTTGTGACATACATGTTATTTCACCAAAATCCTATTATCCCATTTTGCAGACAAGCAAACTGAAACTAACAGAAGTTGTGTGTCTGGCCCCCTGGGTGATGAAGATGAGAACAGACACACAGCATGTCTTGTACCGAGCATTCTTCTATGTGCTTCAGGTATATAAATGCATTTAGTCCTCCCAATAACCCCATGACATAGGTTCTTTTATCATTCCCCTTTACAGATGCAAAAATTGAGGTACAAGGCACTTCAGTAACTTACCCAAGGTCATGCCTCCATTAAGTGGGAAAGGCAGGTTAGAAGCCAAAGGGTCTGTCTCTGGAGTGTCTGTTCTTTGTCACCATGTACTTCTTGGCAGAAATTTAATCCTATAGGCAACAATTTCTATTAGGATATTCATTATATAATATTCGATACACACCAAATAATGTGATGAGTATGTATATTATGAAGGAAACATAAAAAGAACATTATCACTACTTTTGAAGCTACCTGAGTATTTCTTCTATTGCCTTGAATTTTTTTATTTACCATTTTCTTGCTTTCTGAATGGTTTTATTACATACAGATGTATATATAAATACTATATCATTTAGTTTTGTATATTTACAAACATTATAAGCCTGTTAAAATGTTGTATATAGTCTTCTGAAACTTGCTTTTTCCCAAGATTTATCCATATCCTTTGCATATACAACTCCAGTTTATTTGCACTACTGTATAATGCCATCATGTGAATATACCATAATTTACTTTTATCCATTCTTTTAGTAAATATTTGGGATTTTTGCTTGTTACTAATATGTACAATGCTTGTATGAACATTCTTAGAAAATTCTAGTACGTTTGCAAGAATTTTGTAGAGTGCATACCTAGGAATCAAATTGCTGAGCTGTAGAGTCAAACAGTTCACATGTGCACGATATTGCCAAATCGTTTTCCAAAGTGGTTGGACATTTTATAGTTCTAACAGTAGTTGTCCACATCCTTGCCAACATTTGGTATTTCCAGACTGTAAATTTTTGACCAACTGGTGGATGTAAATTATATCTCATTATGGTCTTTACGGGTATTTCCCTTATTTTTTATGTAGTTTAGCATTTTTTCCTATTGTTAATTCTCTATGAGTGTTACTTCATCTGTGAAAATGGCTATTCATCTTTGTTCACTCTTCTCCTGGGTTACTTTACTTTTTGATTTAAAGAATTCTTAGTATATTCTTGATACTACTTTTGTTGATTCTATGTGTTATAAACATCTCCTTCCAATTTGTGGCTTGTCTTTTCTTTTTCTCTGTGGTGCGTTTCAAGGAACAAAAGTTTTACATTGTACTGTTTATGTCAATTTCATGTTTTCTATCTTACATCATTACAGCTTCTTATTCCTTATTTAATAACTCTTCCACTGTTCTTAATCATTAACTATTTTCCTATATCTTATTCTAGAAATTTCAAAGGTTTTGTCTTTCACATGGCAGTTAGGGATTTATTTGCTTGTATGATGTGAGGTAGAACTCACTTTTGTTTTTATATAGATACCAACTGTCCCAGCCAGCACAATTTACTGAAGAATTTGTTTTTCCCTAGTGATTTGCAATCAAATTTTCATATATGTGGGAATTTATTTCTGCTCTCTGTAATCTGTTCAATTCTGATCAAATTGACTATCTCTTTACAATAAAAATCATGGTCTTAATTACTATAACTTTATAATAAATCTTGATATCTTGTGGTAAAATTTCTTCCTCACCTTATTCTGCCTTCGGGGAATGTCTTGCTTATTCTGGTTTTTTTTTTTTTTTTTTTTTAGTTATAAATTTTTACCGAGGTAAAATTTTCATTCAGTAAGTACACAAATCTTATGTTTATAGATTAATGAAATTCTGTATGTCTATGCACCTGAGTAACCACTACGAAGGTCAAAATGTGGTATGCTTCCATTATCCTGGAGGCTCACTCATGTCTCTTCCAGTCAACCTTTCCATCCAGAGTAACCATCATTCTGACTTGTATCCATGTAGATTTGCTCTGCCTGTTTTAAAATTTCATACAAATGGAATCATGTGTCTCATATATATATATATATATTTTTTTTTTTTTTTTTTTTTTTTGAGACAGAGTTTCGCTCTTGTTGCCCAAGCTGGAGTACAATGGCACGATCTCACCTCACTGCAACCTCTGCCTCCCAGGTTCAAGCGATTCTCCTGCCTCAGCCTTCCAAGTAGCTGGGATTACAGGTGTGCACCACCACACCTGGCAAACTTTTTGTATTTTTAGTAGAAACGGGGTTTAACCATGTAAGCCTGGCTGGTCTTGAACTCCTGACTTCAGGTGATCCACCCACCTTGGCCTCCCAAAGTGCTGGGATTACAGGCATGAGCCACCACACCCGGCCCATGTGGTATATTTTTATATCCAACTTCTCAGTCAAAATTATGTTTGTAAGGTTTATTCCTGTCAATAGTTATTCTTTCATTGCTGTGTAGTATGGCATTGCACTAGAATTACTAATTCTAATATTGATGGTCTTTTGGGTTGCTTTCATTTTAGGGCTACTATGAATATAGTTGTTATGAACATTCCTAAACATGAATTTTGGTGGACTGTCTTGGTCCATTTGGACTGCTATAACAAAGTGCCATAGACTGAGTGGCTTCCAAACAGCAGAAATTTATTTCTCACAGTTCTGAAGGTGAGAAAGTCTGAGATTGGGTGTCAGCATCTTCAGATTCTGCTAAGAGCACTTTTCCACATTGCAGAGTCATCTTCGCATTTTATACTCAGCTGGCAAAAACATGGCAAGAGAGCTCTTTGAGGTCTGCTCAGGGATTCTTCAGGCCCAGTCCCCATTTTAATTTACTCCAACACACTGATTTTCAAATGTTAATACAAACTTGCATTAGTAGGGAAAAAAACCACTTAGTCATGATGTAGTATCATCCTTTCTACTTATTATATTTTAGCACTGTTTTTTAAAGGATTTTTAAAAACGTTTTCACAAGATAGCATGGTCTGTAATTTTTCTTGCTTGTATTAACTTTTTCAGGTTTTGATATCAAGGTTATGCTAGTGTCATTAATGGATTAGAAAGTGTTTCCTCTTTTTCTATTTTCTACAAGAGTTTGTGTAATGTTGTTATTATTTCCTCCTTGAGTGTTTGAAAGAATCGAAGCCATTTGAAACTGTAATTTTCTGTGTGAAGATATTTTTAATTATAGATTCAGTATCTTTAATAAATACAGAAATAGATTTTCTACTTCCACTTCTGTCAATTTTGGCGAATTGTGTTTTAAAATAAATTTGTCCATTTCATCTAAATGAAATAAAGTTGTTTGTAATATTCTTAGTCTCTTTTTAATTTCTGCGGGATAGCTTGTATATCTTTTTCTCTTTCCTGTTAGTGGTTCTCCCTGTCTCTCTCTCTCTCTGTTTAACTTGACAGGAGTTTCTTGTAATTGTTTGTTTGTTTAACATATCCTTGAAATTTTTATATTAATTAGTGTTTTCCTCCTCCTGTTATTGGGTTTAATTTGCTGTACTTGTTCTAGCTTCTTCAGGTAGAAGTTTAGATCTGTGATTTTTTTCATTCTTCTTGGCTAATATCTGAATCTAGAGCTATAAATTTTTCTCTAAATTCTGATTTAGCTACATTTCACAAGTTTTGATATGTTGAATCTTCATTAACATTCACTTCAAAATATTTTAAAATTTCCCTTGTGATTTATTCTTTAATGCATGAGTTATTCAGATATATGTTGCTTAATTTCCAAATATTTTGGCATTTTCTAGAAACGTTTTAGTTAATTTTTAACTCTGTTCCATTGTGGTCAAACATCACAATAATACTCTGGCAAATAATACTCTGTATTATTTCCATTCTTTTTTTGAAATTTATTTAGACTTTTCTTAATGGTCCATAATGTTGTCTATTTTGATGAATATTCCACGTGGACTTAAAAATGTGTACTTTAGGCCGGGCACGGTGGCTCACGCCTGTAATCCCAGCACTTTAGGAGGCCGAGGCGGGCGGATCACGAGGTCAGAAGATCGAGACCATCCTGGCTAACATGGTGAAACCCCGTCTCTACTAAAAATACAAAAAAAAATTAGCCGGGCGTGGTGGTGGGCGCCTGTGGTCCCAGCTACTCACGAGGCTGAGGCAGGAGAATGGCGTGAACCCGGGAGGCGGAGCTTGCAGTGAGCCGAGATCGTGCCACTGCACTCCAGCCTCGGCGACAGAGCGAGACTCCATCTCAAAAAAAAAAAAAAAAAAAAAAAAAGTGTGCTTTATTATGGTTGTGGATAGTAATCTTTATGTGTCAATTAAGTTGATTACTAATGTTGTTTAAATCTTTTTTATACTTAACTGATTTTATTGTCTGTTCATTCTATCATTTACTAAGGGGAATATATGGAATCCTACAACTATTTCTCTGTGAATTCCTGTTTTCTCTTTTAGACTGACTTCTGCCTTGAAAATGTGTTGTTGGGTGCATACATATTTAGGATTGTTATACCTTCCTTTAGAAGTGATCTTTTTGCCATTATAAAATGTAGCTCATTATCTTTAGTAATGCTGCACTCCTTAAAGCCAATTTTGCCTGGCACTGGTATAGCTACACTTGCTTTTGTTAATGTTTTTATGTTTATATCCTTTTCTACCCTCTAATGTCCTTTTAATTTCAATTGTCTTGTGTTCTTTCATTTAAATTGTTTTTCTTATAAACAGCAGTAATTTACTTTTGTTTTTTATCTTGTCTGATGCAAGATATTTTTACTGAACACTGCATTTTACTTTGACAGGTTTTTTCCTCAGCACTTGATGTCATTCCATTGTCTTCTTGTTTCCATAGTTTCCATTTTTATTGTATAAATATTTATATACACACATATACATATATACATGTCTGTATTTATACATATAAGTACATATGCATTTATATATACATATATGTACAAAGAGAGAGAGAGGGACGTTCTATCAGTTTTGTTTCTCTGAAAAATCTTGACTAATAGAGGCGATGTCTTAGGTTTCTTCACTGTAAAGTTACTCTTTTCCCCTTTGTAATTGTTAAGAATCTTGCAGGTTGATACTTTGAAAATATGCAAATATCCTGTTTTTTATCATACTATCACTCACTTATGTTAACATCCATTGATGATCCTTGCTGCAAAAATTATTACTGTGGTGTTTACCAAATAGTGATTTTTTTTAATTTTCATCACTTATTCTATATTTTGTCTGGAATCTGGAGTTGTACTGTAAGGAAGAATCACCTCTTTTCCCCAGTTATTCAGATATTTTAAATTTCCAAATATATAGGACTTCATTAATCGTTTTATGTTGATAGCTAACTTAATTGCTTGTGGTTAGATAATATGGTTAGCATTATGTTAATTGTTTTAAACATTTGAGACTCGTTTTATATAGTACATTGTCAACTTGTGCAAGTGTTTCATGTGTATTTCTCTTTAATATTGGGGCCCAGTTTTCCATAATACACCCATTACATCAAGCTTGCTAATTGTGTTGTTCAAATATTTTATATTTTTACTAATTTTAGTCAGTTAGGTCAAACCATAATAGAAAAGCATTTTTTACTTACCCAATATGATATTGAATTTGTCATTTTTCCTCTATACATCTACAAATTTTTTTGCTTTAGTTATTCTGAGGTGTATACAAGTTTTTCATTGTTTTGAAGTTAGTTTTATCATTTGGTATTAACCACTTGTATTCCTAATAACAGTTTTACCTTAAAGTTTGTATTTTTCTGTCATTAATACAGCTGAATGCTCTTTTTGTTGTTTTTCTATAAATATCTTTAAAAAACACTTTTTTACTTTCAATCTTTTGTGCCCTTATATTTTAGGTATTTCTTATCAACAACATAAGCAACATAATGTTTTTTCTTTCTGAAATCTGACAATCTCTGTCTTTTATTAGAAAGTTGACTTAACTTCCAATTTGGGGGAATTAATAATTTATTTCGACTTGTTACTATAACTTATTTTGCAATTTCCATTCATTCATTCTTCTTCTAAGCCTTTATCTCCTTTATTGCCCATTTCTTCTAACTGGTCATGTTTATTGTTACTCCACTTTTCTCTTTCTGTTAGTTTGGAAGTTAGATACTTTTTCTGGTAATGGTTACTCTTGAAGTGAAATTTTACCATATATACTTAACAACTTAAGAAATTATATGATTAATCAATATCTTCAAATTCCTCCTCCCTGCCTGAATAATCAAGGACCTTAGAAACCTTTAATTCTCAATGATATCCTTCTTACATAAGTTAATTCTATATACTTCTTTTTCAATTCTACACATTAGAAATTAGTTTAATTTTATACACATTTTACTTGTTTACTTTTTTTTTTTTTTGCTCTCCATCCCTTTTTTCATATCAGAAATTTTCACTGCTTTTTCCTGTTGTTCTTAAATTCTTTAGAAGCTTCATTGATGAAGATTTATTTGTGGGGAAACTACCACATTTGTATGCATGAAAATGTCTTCCATCCTTCCCTTGCTTTTCTGGATACACAATTCTAGGTTAATAGTGATTTTTTTCTCACCTGTTTAAAGATATTGTTCAATTATCTCCTGATTTATGTCACTGTTGAAAAGTCTTCTGTTGTTGCTTTATTATTCCTTTGTACAGTCTCTGGCTGCTTGTGTGATCTTGTCTATCTTCGGAGTTCTAAATTTTCACTACAATATGTCTAGATATGGATTTTCTTTATTCTGCTAGTTATGTAGGTTAATTCCTACATCTACAGAGAGACATCTTTTATCATCTCTGGAAAACCTTTAACCACGATCTCTTCACCTATTGCCTCTCCTATATTACCTCTATTCTCCCTTTCAGTACTCGAGTTAGATGCATATTAGATCTTCTGTTTTATCCTCCATGTTCTTAATCATTTTTCCATGTTTTTCATCTCCCTGTCTTTTGTGTCACATTCTAGGTCATTTCTTTAATTCTGTTTCCTAGTTTGTTAATTTTCTCTTACCTGGTCCACGCTATTATTTAATTCAATTCAACCCAGACCATCTGACCAATTCAAAGCAATATCCTTTGGCTCAAACCTATATTTCTGTTAATACATTTTTTTAGGATGCAACATTCCTTTGTAGGCTTCTCATCAGACACGTATCTGTATAATCTATGTAAAATCACAAAATACCAAAGGAAATATACCAGCATAAGGGAGATTCAACAGAAATAACAAACAACAATTTAGAAATGTGAATTATTTATCAGATAAAGAATATACAATAATTACATATGGAATATTTAAAAATACTTAAAATGGATTTTTAAAAGAGCAAGTTGTCATAGGATCAACTACATTTCCCAGTAGCATCTCAGTCAGTTTGGGCTGCTATAACAAATTACCATAAACTGGGTGGCTGAAACAAGCATTTATTTCTCACAGTTCTGGAGACTGAGAAGTCCAAGATCACTGGTGCTGGCAGATCCGGTGTTTTGTGAGGGCCTGCTTCCTGGTTTAGGGATGTCATCCTCTTACTTGAATCCCACGCTTCCTCCTCTTTTGAAAAGGGTATTGATCCCATTCATTTAGGCTCCACCCTCATGAGCTAATTATCTCTCAAAGGCCCCACCTCCAAATATCATCACATTGGAGAATAGGCTTCAACATGGAAATTTTGGGAGTGGGAGTGCACAAACATTCAGCCCATAGCAGCATCTTCTTATAATCCTGTATACTAAGCCATAGAAACCTCAACAGAAGAAACAATCAGCCTAAATAAAGAACTTAACATTTATCTATGTTAACTTTAATTGTACTGGTGTCAGCTTGTCAAAATAATTTTAATTCTGTCATCTCTTGGACATCTAATCCCTTATTGTTTGTGCCACGTGTAAAGTTGATAAGCATATTATTAGGAGATGGTAGTCCAGCCACAGATTCCCTGCAGGATAATAGAAAGCTGCTAATTTGGATATGACTGATCCACCTGGTATCTGTTACTTGATCCAAAGCGTATTTCACTTGATTTTACAAGGATGCAGTGGAAGGCTTTAGCAAACGTGTTGCTGAAATACAAACATTTTCCGACTATATTATCCCCCTGGCCTGTCACCAGCCTAAAAAGAAAATCAAGTTGGTACCTGGTGAGAGCTGCATTCCTTCTTGTAAGTTCTTGCTTCAAACGTAGAATTTTCAAAGCCCTTTTTTGGTGTCTTCATTCATTTTACAGCATGATTGTTTCCTGCAGTATTCTACTATGATTTCAGCTTCCTCTTTTCTTGGACTGTGTTACAAACATATTCTTTTGCCTCTGGTGCCCACATGTTAGCCTCCTTCCTTTCCTGGATTTCAGACATATGAGTCTCATTTGAGCTGGCCTGGCATTTTTAATAAGGGATTAAAACCAGACAAGATGTTGGGAGGGTTACCTTGATTTTTCTCATGCCCTGCTGTATTATTCCACTCTTACTTTGCTAATAAAGACATACCCAAGACTGGGTAACTTATAAAGGAAAAGAGGTTTAATGGACTCACAGCTCCACATGGCTGGGGAGGCCTTGTAATCATGGCAAAAGGCGAAGGGGCAGCAAAGCCACATCGTGCATGGCAGCAGGCAAGAGAGAAGTGTCAGCAAAAGTGGGGAAAACCCCTTCTAAAACCATCAGATCTCATGAGAACTCACTCACTATCATGAGAACAGCAGCATGGGGGTAACCGCCCCCATGATTCAATTACTTCCCACTGGGTCACTCCCACAGTACATGGGGATTATGGGAACTACAATTCAAGATGAGATTTGGGTGGGGACACAGCCAAACCATATCACCTGCCTTTTCGCTACTAGTACTTGTCATTTTTGAGTTTGTAACAAGATATGGATTTGACTGTTACCAAAATAGGCCATGCAGCTAATAGGCTCTTCATGAGACTAGAACTATCTTTTTTCATCAAATCCAAGATCTTGAAGGAGAGGCATCGCTAGCCAGGCTCACTCACAGGGTGAGAGCAGACCATACTAAACTGGCAAGAGATTTGTGTCACAATGTGCCAAATTGGGGTGTTAGTCCTCAGAATAAGTTTTTGGATTTTGGCCAAGTATTTTCAGCGTAGACAGTATTGTCAGTAGCAGCAGGTTTCACTGAGGAGCCAGGGCTGAAATTGAAGGTAAGCAGAGAGAAGCAAGCACAGACAAAGAGGAGGGAAACTCTCAGGGGTGGAGAAGAGAGCTTGGAAATAAAACTAGAAATCTAGGTTGTGGTGACATTATTGCAGACATTGAACTCCAAGCTAAAGGGTGTGGACTTGGTGACATTAGCAGGATATCTCTGAAGATCATTAAGTATGGCAGTCACATGAATAAAACAATGCTTTATGGGATTCTAGGAATATTAAAAAACTGTTATTTTAAAGAAAGACATTAAAAATGACTTCAAGTATAGATGTTTCAATTTCCTTAAATTACTCCTTGTTCTCAGTATAAGTGTCTCTAATGTAGGAGAGAAACGAATCTTGCTTGTATTTTAGTAATAATAAACCTGTAACACCAGATGTCTTTCACCATAGATTACCCATTATTCTTGCGTGTGTGTGTGTGTGTGTGTGTATGTGTGTGTACCGTTTATTCTGTCTATAAAAGTCTTCTTCATTGAACAGGTGTCAAAACTGTTGGGCTTATGCTGGCACACAAATAAAGAAGTGACATAGCAACGGACAAAAAAGGGATCCCAAGTTGTCTGATTCAACTCCAAAAGGACAGAGTCACTGCAAGCAGAGAGCAGGTAGAAGCTGTACGCTCCAGTGCAGCAAAAGATCTGTAAGCCAGCCCATCTCTCAAGGCCACTCCAACCTCCCTTCTCAGCTGTGTGACTCTCAATGACTTTGCTAAACCTGTTTTCTGTAAAATTGGGTTTCCCCCTAGCATTTCCATTATACAGCATTGTAGTAAAAATTAAATAAGCCTTGGGAGGCTGAGGCAGGGAGATCACTTGAGGCCAGGAGTTCAAGAGCAGGCTGGGCAACATAGTGAGACCCTGTTTCTACAAAAATACTTTTTAAAATTAGCCTGGGGTGGTGGTGCGTACCTGTAGTCCCAGTCACTCAAAAGGCTGAGGTGGGGGGATTGCTTGAACATAGGAGTTTGAGGTTACAGTGAGCTACAATTGCACCACTGCAATCCAGCCTAGGCAACACAGCAAGACCTTGTCTCTTTAAAATGAAATTAAATAAGAATATATAAAAATCTGTATAAACTCCAAATTTATATATTGATTTTTTACCAGATGACTCAGTCCCAGCATGGACAGAGGTTGAGCCTATTGCCTGGATTCAGGCAACTTAGAGTCCCCTTAGAGTTTCTCTAAGAAATTGCTACGTATTTCTGAAGACATCATGAGTTCAAAGTTGCTATGGCATTCTTCATGTTCAAACATCCATCTGCCAGATAAGCACTTTCCAATGACCCTCCTTTCTCCTGCCTTCTTTGACTACTTGTCTTTTAAGACTTGTTATTAAGTATTGCCTCTGATGAAGCATTTCCCTTTCTTACTGCACACAGCGGACCTCTCCTCCCACTGCACTCTGTGCCGATGTCTCTCCCAGCACTTGTTAAATGCCTTGCTTCCCACACTAAACCAGAGCCTCCCTAGGTTCAGGTCTAGCTGGGATTCATATCCATATCCCAGCTCCAGCCATAGTGCTTGGATCCAAGTAGAGGTGCTTGGGAAAGAGGAAAAGAAATTATTTTACTCAACCTGAAGAGGTTTCTGTCACCCCAAACCCTCATCATAATCTAGTGGGTAATAAAAAATGCATATATGTAATATTTGATGGTTTGAATCAAGGTTCTATAAGATAGGGATGAGAAGAATTCTGACCATGGGGCTCTAGGGAGAGAGACCTCTGGAGCCTGTTTGGTGACTTAGAAATGTCTTTGTTTCATTTCATTTGTTGCAAAGTAATTGAACCATGTGATGAGACAGACTTCTGTAATGAGTTACATAACTATTGGTTTATTTTTTTCCAACAGGTGGTTTCTTCCTTTTTGAAAAGTAAAGCTCTCAGGAATTATTTGATCTTTGTTTGAAGCCAATTAAATATTGAAGGTTCTCTCCCGCCTTTGCATAAGTCAACAGAATGGAAAGTTTCATGGGGTGATGGGATAGAGGGGCACAGAGCTTTGGAATCAATTCCTCTCCTCTCTCTACACTCACTGCTACCCTGTTTGGCACTCCATTAACTCTTGCCTGGAATACTGTAATCTTCCAGGATTGTCTTTCTCCAATGCATTTCTGTCCCATTTCATTAATGCAAAGTTAATCTCCTACGGTGCTAATTTTACTTAAAATCTTCCTCTGAATTCTGACTAGCTGTTAAATTTAGTTTTCAGTCTGTAGCCTGGAAATCAGAACCCACAGGCTGCTTTATCAGCTCTCGTCTCATCTCTCACTGCTCCTCAGTGTGTGTACTGAAGCTCCTGCTACACCAGATGACATAAGGTGGCCCCTGGCCTCACTAGTGCTGCTCCTTCCACCTACAGTGCTGCCCCTGACCCATGCCTGCTGCCCACTGACAAGGCTTCCCCACCACAACTTTTTTTCCTATCTCCATGCTGCATTTGAGGCTCAGTGGAGTAAGCACCTGCCCTTGGCAGCCCCGCTTCCATTTTCCCATCTTCCAAGTCACAGTTCTCTCTTTATTTTCTTTGAAAAATCAGTCCCCCCCCTCTTAATCATGTGGGAGATCCAGGAGTAGGCCCTGACTGGCTTACACCTATTGGCATATCCTGTCTCCCCAGACACAATAATTGGTTCAGGAATGAGAACATGACCCTAGGCAGAAACATAAACTTTTCCTCCAGTTCATGATGCTTTAGGGTTTGGAACTATTATGGTCATATTTGCGACCACAAGGGGAGCCACCTTGAGAATGGGGATATTTCAGGGAAGCAGAGCTGAGAGATGCATCTTAGAATATCATTGAGTCCTGGATCAAGCTGAGCCTGAAGACAAATGTTTCCTAAACATTCAGTTATGTAAATAAATTCTACTTTTTATTTAAGGATACTCGAAATGGATTTTCTGTAGCTTCCAAAAAAATTATGACCAACAGATACTCTAATTTAATGACATGTAGAAACCCTTCTAGAGCTCTCTTCACTGGTATCCTGGCTTCCCATCCCCTATTGTAAGTACCTTACAGATAAAAAGTATTTATATTTCATATATGTTGGGGGAACAAAGACACAATATATAGACCAGATCGGCAATAGGGAGTAGTAAAGTGCATTTTCAGTACAAAGATGTTGTAGTGATTCTACCACCCTTTTGGGCACTTTCCTTGCCTGTGGTTCTCTATGCTGTCATTGAATTGGCTTGGTAGGAATCCTGGAGTTGCTAATGTAGGTAGATACAGCTGGGAAGCTGTAAACAGAACTATAATACAGTAGAATACAAGAAGAAAAGATATGCTATTAGAAGAAAGAGTATTGTATTGTGAAACTGTTAATTATATAGATACATACACAT
Source organism: Homo sapiens (assembly GCF_000001405.40). NCBI lineage: Eukaryota > Metazoa > Chordata > Mammalia > Primates > Hominidae > Homo > Homo sapiens. The sequence goes on from NC_000001.11 coordinate 77,081,210, forward strand.
ATGTGTATTGGGACACAATGTTAAATGTATTTCTTAGTGTGGATGGAAGTACTTTTTTTTTTTTTCTTTTGAGACAGAGTCTCACTCTGTCACCAGGCTGGAGTGTAGTGGCACAATCTCGGCTCACTGCAACCTCTGCCTCCCGGGTTCAAGCAATTCTCCTGCCTCAGCCTCCTGAGTAGCTGGGACTACAGGCATGTGCCACCACGCCCAGCCAATTTTTGTATTTTTAGTAGAGATGGGGTTTCACCATGTTGCCCAGGATGGTCTCTATCTCTTGACCTCTTGATCTGCCCGCCTCAGCCTCCCAAAGTGTTGGGATTACAGGCATGTAATCCCGTGCCTGGCCAGCAAAATATTTTTAAAAACCATTGCTCCAGCTCCCACGAGACAATTCTGTAATACACAATACAAAAGAAAGTAACAGAGGGCATGATATTAGAGAGGGTATTTATTTTACAAAATTTCTTTTTCAGTTATATAGATATATACGTGTATGTATGTATTGAGTCACTATATGAAATGTACTTCTTATTGTGGGTGGTAGCCCAAAAGTTTGAAAACCACTGACTTGCTCTCTACCTGTGGCCTGAAATGTTACAGAACAGTACGATTGTCTAAACTGCAGCCAGGAATGTGAGGAGAAGAAGGAGAGTCCTTAATAACCTCCGCAACTAGAGCTATGTAGGCAGGCAATATATCTGTAGAGTGATTCCTGGGCTTCCTGGCAAGCAGTGAAGTGCTTGTCTACAGGACTGCTTGCAGAGCCAAGGCAGACAACAGAGCTGGCCAAGCCAGGGTATGTATCTTTCCAGCCTGTTTCCATGGCCAACTCCTCAAGGTATCTAATTAAAGGCCACGCAGACACAGGAGACAAGAGCCTTTGGAGAAAGAGGAGCTTGAAGAGGTTAAACATTTTGAACTGCTTGCTACCTTCGGCTTTGGCCTAAAGGAACCCTGAGGGATGCTTTGCAAAGAACCTGGCCTCCGGAATCAAAAGTACAGAGACAATCTACTGGAATGTGTGGCTGCTTTAGTATTTGGAGAATAATAATAAGAAAAGCCAGATGTCTTTAAAAAGCAGGTAATTTGCTTTTCAAAAAAATGTTTGCTCTTCTCATGTTTTAAATTGTTCAGCTCTTGTCTTCTATATTTAGGTTGTTTTGTTCTCTAAATGTTTAGCACTTAGAGAATGTTATATTCCTTTGACTAGATTTTCGCTTAGTTTTTATCTTCCTTTAAAATGTTTCAGCTACCTGGCTTACTCTTTCTATTCCATTTAATTTTTTCCTCCATTGTTTTCACTTGAAAACATTGTTGTTTCCTTTTCTCCTTAAGCTTTATTCGCAACTATATCCTTGAAATTCTACGTTTCTGATTTTAACATCTAAAATTTTAATTCTTTTATCTCATTTTTCCCTAGTTATACTTCTAATTTCTGAGTTCCTGGTTTTCTTTTTTAACCCGTTCAATGTGTTCTGTATTCCTTTTGTTTGATTTCTCTTATTTCAACCTCCATTTTTCTCCTCCACGTTTGGTTTTCTTGGTTTATAAATGTATTTTCTTATTTGTAATTTTAATCATTATGTTCCTTGTATAGTGTACATTTATCAGGCTGACAAATGACAGAAATACAAAGCTTAGGCTTTTAACCTCTATACCATTCAGGCTTAATCTGCAAACAGCTTTGTAGCTAACTAAACTAGAACATTTCCTACACCGATTGGCCGCTAACATGTTTTTTTCTCTTTTGACCTATCTCCCTTATTAGCAGGGTTACAGGGGGCTCCTCCTGCTCCTGAATCTTTCCATTTCCTGTACTTGTCAGAAGAAGCAAGGAGAGGCTGCCTAAAGCTAGAAGAATTCAGGGTTACTAAAAAAAAAAAAAAAAAAAAACAGTCGCTCAGACTCTTGTGGGATGGCTTTCACATATATGATAGGTCTGTGCGTCATATAGACCAGCTGCAACTCCCAGAACGATATCAGAAGGTGGTGCCTTTTCACATCTTTCTTTTTTTAACTTTTATTTTAGGTTTGCGGCCACATGTGCAGGTTTGTTACCTAGGTGAACTCGTGTCACGGGGATTTGTTGTACAGAATTATTTCATCACTCAGGTATTAAGCCCAGCACCCAGTAGTTACCTTTTCTGAGCCTCTCCCTCCTCCCACCCTCCACCCCCAAGTAGTTCCCAGTGTCTTTGTTGTTCCATTCTTCATGTGTTCTCATCCTTTAGCTCCCATTTATAAGTGAGAATATGTGGTGTTTGGTTTTCTGTTCCTGCATTAGCTTGCTAAGAATAGCCTCCAACTCCATCTATGTTCCTGCAAAGGACATGATCTCATTCTTTTTTATGGCTGCATAGCATTCCATGGTGTATCTATAACACTTCTTCTTTATCCAGTCTATCATTGATGGGTATTTAGGTTGATTCCATGTCTTTGCTATTGTGAATAGTGTTGCAATGAACATTCGCATCGCAGGGAAGCCTTCAGAATTAGGGAAGGTGGTCAAGAATGGGCTCTGACCCTTTGTTCATCTCTTTTGGAGAGAATAAGACTTTTCCTTAAACCCAGAGGAATAATCTGAAAAATTTAAATGACCATGGCCAAGAATTTCATCATGTAATACCATCTAGTTTCTTTAAGAACTTGTATCAGTGAAAGTCCAATCAGGACACAGAAATCACATAGTAATTTGAAGAAAGAATTAGAGTAAAGGGGCAGTTGCTAGTGAGAGATAACAAGTACTCTAAAGAATATAGGAATGGCAGGCATTCTCTTGAGCTTTGCTACTTTGGAGGTCTTTGCCCCCAAAAGGGGGAATTCATTAGGAGACAAACAGTAATTTCACTGAATTTGAAGAGAAGATTGCCACCTGGTCATTTGAGGCTGTTTATGTCACTAAACCAATGGGCCAAAAATAAGGAGTTGCTTCACTGGCTGGAGTGATTGATCCCAATTACCAAAGGGAAATTGAATTGGCAGCCCCCTCCCCTAGGACTAAGCCAGAAGTCCAAGGAAGAAGCCAACTCCTCCCAGGGCTGAGATCAGACATCGTTGGAGAGGGCATGGCAAGGCACACTGGCAGAGAAGTTCACTGAAGTGTCGTTGTCAGTGGAGCTTGCTGGAAAACTGCCCTTTGGAGTGCTAAGGTCATATCCTCAGGGAGGAGCCATGTCTCAGAACTCACTGAAAAGCCACCTGAAGGAATGTGGGGAAAGTTGTCCAGAGGAAGGTGCCCTGTTAGCAGCTCTCTGCAAGGAGGTATGCTGGGGGAAGATGTTCATGAGAATGTGCCCACCATCTGTACCTTGCTTAAAATGGCTGGAACCAGTTGCCTGAGGCAGCCATTCAAGTGAAGATGCTTTGCTGGTAGCCCTCCCACTATAAAGTTGTCCACAGGAAGGTGCTCTGTGCTGCCGGCCACTGGGCACTGCAGAAAACACAGAATGTGTGCACACACACGTACTCTCTCTCTCTCTCTCTCCCTCCCCCTGCAGGAGAAGATCACCTGAAACAAGAAGAAAAGCTCCTTTTTTCTGTGATCCTCCAGCACTGTCTATTGACAAAGCTTAGCAACATGTTCACTGTAAAGAAGAAATTCTTAAAGGGGTCAGCTCCATTATCATAGAATGGTAATAAGTGGATTGGGGGTTGAGACAATGAGTTGATAACTGGGAACAGTACATTCCTTTAGCTACTCATTTTCCATATTTACCCTTCACTCATGTGAGTTCTGTACAATGAAGCAACTCTGTGTTTCCACCTAACAAGATATTGCTATTCTCACAAGTGAAGAAATTCTCACCCTTCACAAAATAAAGAGATGCATAGTCCTAACCATCACTGTATCCATTGGCAGCTATAGTCATTACTCCTCAAATTCTATCATAGTTTCATTGATTATTTTCTTGCCTAAAGACTATTATGTATGGTTAAGCACCACTAGTTTGTGTAAAAACAAAAATGGAAAAAGGAGAAACAGCCTACACACATAAACATATAATAGCCAAAGAGAAAATACACAAAGCCACTACAGTCCTCATTTCAGTAGCTGGGCACAAGGCCATAGTTGATACCTCTGGCTTATATTTCTTTTGCCCTTGGCCAGAAGTTCAGCGGGTCAATTCTTTATCCAGCAGAGGGACCTAAACCTTCCTTCAGAAGGGTAAAGTCCTTAGTCATCTGCCTTTTTATTTTTTTTGGTTGTTATAAGAAGTGCTAATGGGCACCCCAGATAATCCCCTGGATTCCACATAATCCTCCTTCTCCCCAGTGTGTAGCAGCAACTCAATATCCCTTTGATAATTGAGATCAATCACTCCAACCAGTGAAGCAACTCCCTATTTTTGGCCTGTTGGTTTAGTGACATAAACAGCCTCAAATGACCAGGTGGCAATGTTCTCTTCAAATTCAGTGAAATTGTTGTATCTCATGATGAAAGCATTCTCCCTCTTGGGGGCAAAGACCTCCAAATTAGCAAAGTTCAAAGTTTCCATTGGATTTGGCAGTTCCATCACTGATAGCAGTAAAGGAAATCATTTCAGGGGAGTAGTGGGAACAAAAGCCAGATTACAAGGGGGTTTACAATGAAGAGAAGGCAAGGCAGGGAAGCCAGTAAGTGAATGCAGCCCACTCTTTCGAAAGAAAAGCTATGAAATTAAGTAGAGGAGAGCTCTGTAAAGCACTCAGAAGAGGACACAGGATTTTGAGAGGAATTTTTAAAATGAGGAAAACTTACACATCTTATAAAATTCAAGGGGAAGCTCTTCTATGTAAAAAGAAATTGAAGGAAGACATGAGTAAACAAGCTCCCAAATGGGATGGGATCAATAACTCAAAGCAGAGGCATCTCTGCCTCAGTATCTGAGCCCAAAGAAGTGGGGTAGGGGTGTGATGGGAGAAAATAAAGGCAAATTTGTAGAAGGTGGAGCAGGAAGTTGAGCTGGTTACCTTCTCCCAGTTTAATTTTCAGATTACAAAGCAAAGCCTTTTGATGAAAGAACTAAGTTGGTAGAGCAGGAAGACTGAAGAAAATGCACAATTTTGAAAAGAACAATAGTGGAAAATAGAGAGGGGCAAGAGATAGAGAAATCTAATCTGGTTGTCTATAAATCATGACTCAAATTTTACTTCCTCCTTGATGTATGCTCTGCCTCTTCAACTGATAGTAAATAAAAGATTAATAATATATCTATATAGCAATTAAAAACAGAAGTTTCTCTTTAAGTGCCTGTCCTATAGCTCTTACATAGCACTCGTCATTTTCTGCTATGTAGTTTTTTTCCTTTCTATAATCCACTGGTAACTCTTTAATTAATTAGATTTTTGTATCCCTCATAAGCATCTACTAGAGTGTGTAACTCATTAACACAGTGTTTCAATAACTAATTGTTGTACAACAAACCACTCTATACTAATGGAGTAAAATAACAATCTTTTGTAATTATTCTCTCTCATGGTTCTGGGGATAACTAAGTGGTTCTCACTTGGGGGTCTCTCCTGTGGTTGCAGTCAGGGAACATCTGGAGGCTCCTTCCTGCACATCTCTGGAGTGTGATGTTGGCTCCTGGCTGGGACCTCAGCCGGGAGGCTGCCCTCCACAATACACATATGTGACTTCTCCATGCGGCTTGGGCTTCCTCAGGGGATGGTGGCTGGGTTCCGAGAGCAAGTGTCCTAGAAAAGAGCTGGGCAGGTGTTATAATCCTTTTTATGATCTCTGAAGTCATGCAGTAGTATTCGGTAACACTCTATTTATTAGAATTAAGTCACTAAGGCCAGCCCATATTCAAGGGGCAGGGAGTTTAGACTCCATGTCTTGATGAGAGGAGTGTCAAGGGATTTGAAGATACTACACATATAAATGCTAATTAGCTGCTTGTTTTAAGCATTTAGTGTATTTTGAAAAAGCCTCAGAAAGAAAGAGAATGAGAGTGGTACACAGTCTTACAAGGTCTGAATAGAAGTCAGGAATAATGCTAAAGAGTCAATTAACCATAAAAGATGCTACCCATGGCTGCTTATTTCGCAAGTGTTTGTGATCTTCTTTTACAATCTCTTTTTAGGAGATAAAATTGAGCTATTTTGTCTAGAAAGGTGTAGTAGGTCAGTGCTTCTCCTACTTTATGGGCACACAAACTCCTCGGGATATTGTTAAAATGCAGATTCTGATTCAGTAGGTCTGAGGTGGGCATCACATTCTGCATTTCTAGGAAGCTACAGGGGGGATACTGCAGCTCCATGAGCCACCCATTGAACAGCAAGTTAGCAGAAAGTAATAAGGGTAACTGCCTGGCTCCTGTGATCCCATCCTTCTCTGGGAGGAGTGCTAATGGGGTATGCCACCAGAGGTCCTTATGGGCTTACAAGACCTTAGCCCTCTGGCCTGTGAACCTGTGATGCCAATAAGGTTAATCTATTCTTCCATAAGACTTGTAGAACTGGAATTAAAGGAAGACAGTAATTTACCTCTCTCTTGTGGTAGAAGCATGGGATATGAGGTTCTATCCATCATGTGAGAAAGTCAGTTTCCAGGAGGAATAAAGGGAACACAGAGAGAGAGAGTGAGTCCAGGTGATACTCCAGTGCCTGATGAGGCTCAGACCTGACCCCACTTCTGAAAGATTATACAAAATATCCTAATATTCTTCTGGCAAATTCCCCTCTTGGCCTACATTTGTTCTACTTTGGTTGTTATCATTTGAAACTAAAAAAGCTCTAACAAAGGGTAGGGAAAGTAGGGGATATGTTCTCTTGGAAATGTAATGCTCACTGTTTTGCAGTACTAGATTATTATCCAGACATCTGCAACCTGAGGGTGAGGAAAGACTGTCCCTTAAATCATGTTAAAGGTATGTTCCCAACAGAGTGGACTGAATATGAAAAAAGAAGACAGTGGAACACTAAGGCTGAGGGAAGATGAGAAAAGCCTCAATCTACCTAAAATAGGAGAAAAATCTAGAAAAGGGAGGCAAGAGAGTCTATGGATTAAAATCGTTGGATAGTATCGAAAGAAACTGTTACCCAAAATTTATGCCTGCTGAAAACAGATGGGAAAAGGACAGTCTAGGAATAGCAAAGCTAATGTTCTCTAAAGAGTGACAAGACCCTGGGCCTGAGTGGAAGTTAAAAGCAAGATAGTCCTGCCCAGCAAAGAACAAAACATTGACTTTTCCTATATGTCAGACATTGTGTGATTTGCTTTACATTTTTTTTTTTTTTTTTTTTTTGAGACGGAGTCTCGCTCTGTCGCCCAGGCTGGAGTGCAGTGGCGCAATCTCGGCTCACTGCAGGCTCCGCCCCCCGGAGGTTCACGCCATTCTCCTGCCTCAGCCTCCCGAGTAGCTGGGACTACAGGCACCCGCCACCTCGCCCGGCTAATTTTTTGTATTTTCAGTAGAGATGGGGTTTCACCGTGTTAGCCAGGATGGTCTCAATCTCCTGAACTCATGATCCACCCGCCTCTGCCTCCCAAAGTGCTGGGATTACAGGTATGAGCCACCATGCCCAGCCAATTTGCTTTACATTTATGACCTTATTAAATGACCCCCCCTAAGAAAGTTTCGCTCATGTCCGTCCCTGAAACTCTAGCACAGTCAAAGCTGGCACTACCATAGTCAAAAGAGAGAAAACTGAACGTGGGTCGTATCATGTGATTCCCACCTGGCAGACCCTATGACTGGGTATACCTCAGCAGGCAAATCTCAGAGTCCTCTGAAGTCTCTGAGACTGCAAACTGTGCAGGTGACACAAGAATGACACTGCCACCTTTCCATGTTTGGAGTAAATAAATTTTTAATAACCAGTTTCTTGGTTACAACTTCATCTATATAAATCCCCTTATTCTAGGATCTACACAGTTAAACCTAATATTTCACAGCACATTTCCAAAACAGTACAGTTTTTACACTAAGAAAAAAAAATAAAAATAAAAGCCTGGTTACCACCAAGGTGTATTGTCCATGAATTGAAAGGCTTTCCTATTTAAGTAGCAGGTACATGTGTAAATAGGGCAGGCAGCAACAGAACAGCAATATTGGAGAACTCTTTCTTTGTAGTAAATGCCCTTGAGTATGAGATGTGACACTGAAGCAATAAGGCCAATTCTTTAAAGCAAAAATGGATACTGATCTCATTGTTTTATAGCCATATCTTGTGGTATGTTTATAACGTATTTCTTTCACATGTTAAAACAGTATCTACTAAAGATGGGCTTAATTTTGGTAAAGTCAACTGAAAAAAGTTATATGTTAATGCAACATTTGTTGTAAAGATTCCAGAAACACAGGAGTCAAAATTTCAAATTATGATTCCCACAGTAACTGTAACTCTGGTATACAACATACATAATGGAAGAAATGTTATCAATATATACCATAGTAGAAAATACTCAGTAAGCAGAAACAAGCTGAGTTATGCTTCTTGTGGGAATCATCATTTTCAACTAGCTGGGAATATATAAAAATCAAAACCATAAATGCATGGATTATTTTTTGCATTTAATTCTAATATTTCTTGATCCAATTTAATCAGCTTTGTATCCAAACTACATTTTCCTTTCATAAACTGCAAATGAATGTCTTTCGTAATTTTAAAATCCACATTATTTGATTTCTTTTTCTCACACAGGCTGCCTTTGCAGGATGGCATCATTATACCCTGTCCCTCCCTGAAATGTCAGGACACATCTGCAGGGATTCATTTATCTACATTCCTTTTCTCTCTGAAGGACACCATGGGGGAGGAGAAAAAGAACAGCAAAGAGAACAAGAATCACATTGAGTAGCTTAGAAAGCTACATAAGTGCACTGTGACCATTAACTTCCCCTTTGGTATCCTCCTAAGCCGACATAAGAACAATAATGCCACCATATATTTACAATTTCAGAAGTGTTTAGTCAAAATACTATCTCATCTGATTCTCACCACAACACTGTGAGAAAGGCAAAAACAAAACACCTTTCTGTTGTTCAGCTTTTGTGACTCAAGTAGAATATATTTAAGGATTTGTTTTTATGATACTGTTTAAAGTGTAGGCCATTTAATTGCACTGACAATATTTCCTAAACGTACTCATCTACCACATGCAGAGGATTTAGTTATTATGAAGGCAGAGTATGCTCTATGTAAAAAGATTATGGTTATAAGTGAAACATTTAACATATTTTAAGCTTTTGGCTTTAACTATATTCTGAAGATTCAATAATGAAACAGAGGAACAACTGCCCTTTGAAATTCTGCTGAGGCAAAATTTATCCTGAATATTTTATCCAGTATTACTTTTCCCAGTTTGGTTTTAACTAAGAAGGGCACCTTCTACAACCTCTGAAGACGAATCCTTTTACTTTCTAGCAGTCTTTACAGGGTATGTTTCATTATATTCAAACTAAATTACTTTGGCTCAAGAACAATCATAATTCCTTTACCACCCTAAATAGCTCCGCCTCACCGTGGTGTCCACGACCTTGTATGAGTGTCTGGAGGGCAACATGGTCAATCTTTTTGTGTCTCAGTGCTACTATAATCAGTCTATTCAATTGCAAGTTTATTTTCCCTTCTTTTCATGTACAGAAAGATCCTTCACATAATCAGACAAAATTTTTCTTCCTCATTTATATAACACATCAATAAAAAGATCAATTAAAATAAAGATTCAGAGCTGGCAAAAAGCCTCAATATCATTTGTTCTAACTAGGGAGATAACACAGTCAATCCTTTGCCTTTTGAAAAGTATGACAATCTTGCATGCAATTAAAAGGTAATATTATAAGTGCAAAAGGAAAAACAAATCTTAAGGAATATTAATTTTAGGAGGTTTTCTTGTGGAGGAAGAGTTGTCTTAATGTTACCTACAATTATAAACAAAATTTAAAAAAAAATCTTTGCACTGAATAAAGATGAACACATAAATTCTTGCATAAAACAGATAAGACACCTGAAGGTATCCCCCCAGACATAAATACTTAACTTTTAGGCTTTTCCTCTACTCATATGCAAAAGTTTGAAAAGAAAAAACAACATCAGGGGTTGGTCATAGCACAGTCTCAATATTATTTCCAAACTAAAATGTCAGTGATGGGGATATGAGCTCTTGCATCTTACCAGAGACTAGAAAAGGGGCTTACTGCCTTATAGGATACATCAGCCAGACATGAAGGCTAGGCCATAAGCATACATTTTCTTCACAGGTCCATCCACTTTATGGGATTTTTCTCAAGGAAAGTATAGATACAGCCAGTGGGCAAGGAGGTTTACCTAAAACAGAATGAAATAAAGTCCTTGTTGGCTCTCTCTTTCAAGATGGAAAATGAAGAGGACGTGACCAATTGTAGAAGATCACAGAACGCTTACAAATGAAAAACAATGGGGTATGTTTCTCTTGAGCAGTCAGTACGTGAAATTATCAAAGGTCTAAAATTTCCCAAATAAACTGACAACAAACATATAAGGTCCTGGAGATTGTCAGTGCCATAGATTAAAAAACCAATTTTTCATCTTTGCTTTTAATTAAAGCTGCAGGATTCCATGAGTGACCAGCAGTAAAATATTAATACATTAAAGAATAAACCAAAGGAAAACATTTGGTACAATGTAAGTGGTCCAACAATAGAAGACTGTGAAATGAATTAAATATTCATAAAGTGAATACTATGCAGTCATTCACAATGTATTTTTGAGAGGGAAAAGGTTGATAATACATTGTAAAATGAAAAAAGACATTACAAAATAGTACATTCCATATGATCTCCATATTGGGAAAAAATATGTGCATAAGTCAAAAGATTGGGAGGATATACAAAAAATAATTAACCAAAGTTACTTCTGTTAGTGAGAATTTAATGTCTTCACAATTGTTTCTTTTCCAAATGAAAAGGGGATAAGGGGAAATTACTATTTTCAAAAACAGTCAATGTATTCTGATCTCTGTCTCATTCGCTTTTATAATACACAAAATACAAAACTGGAATATATTTAGTGCCATTAAGCAGTTGCATTAACAATTATTTTTCTTTAAGTTATAAAATTAATAGTTGATTCAAATTTAGTTTCCTTATACTTATTTCCAATTCATACAAGAGAAACACATTTTTAAAAATATATAATGACATAAATTATTATCCAAGTTTGCAGTCCTCCATGCATTCTTCATTCATCATCAAGTCTAAAAAATGAACTTCATATGCTTAATTCCATAAGTTTTGAAGAAAACCATGATAATAAGTGCCCATAATCCCAGAATAAAGCCCCCAGGAGGATGCCAGTCTTTCAGCTTCGGTTTCTGCAAAACAAGAATAACATGATAAATTTTATAACAGGTAAATAATTCAGCAATCAATAAAGCAAACATTGATGAAAAAGATAAATTTCACTGGTTGTGTTTGAATGGGGACTAGTTAGTCAAATTAAACACATTGGGATAGCAACAATGGTAAAGACTTCAGACAGGGTAAATATCCTACAGGGTAAACTGGCTCCTAACAAAGATCAGTTTCAGCTTATATTTTGTTTCCTCAAAGAGTCCTTCCCTGACTACCTAATCATACCATCTATCCTCACTCAAGTTACTCAGTAGCCTAACAGTCTTTCTCACTTTGGATTTATATATTCATTAATTTGTCGGTTTTATCTATCTCTATTAGACTGTAGTTTCATGACGGTCATCTTATTATATTCCCAGCACCAACCTGCCATGGTGCTTGCCATTCAGGAGGCATTCATATATCATAGTGAGTAAATCAGTGGAAGAACAAACGCTACCCAATTCCATTCAGCTATTCAACACACACTTGTTTAAGTGCCAGTGCCTTGGGTCATGTTTTTCCCTTGAGGTAGAATGCTCCTTAACCTATTCATTGTGCCTATTCAAAACTCACTAACTCAAATGCCTCCTCCAGACTCTCCCACCTGATATGTTATTTTCTTTGAGTTCCCATAGTACCTGAACTATAACTCCTTCTATTGTTACTCCTATTCACTATTATATTTATCTTTATCATTTATCTCCCTGCACACTCCCTGGGATCAAAGTCCATCTAAGTCAATTTTTTATCCCCCTTCTCTATTCCCCACCCCACAAGTGTCACGTATGCTTTTTTGTCCAGCAAGACCAGTCTTCTCCATTTAGTTGTCATTTCAACAGCTACATTACAGCCTTGTAATTGGAAGTTTGTGACAATGATTTCTTTTCTACTTACTGAATTACTGGCCAAGACTGTAATGACAGTTATGATATTAGAATCACATTTTAGACAATAGGGGAGAGAAATAGTAAGCTAAAATTTGCTTTAGTCATCATGTATAATGTCCATCAATTCAAAATTAACTTTTCAAACTAAAAGGAAAGAAAGCTACCTCAATATTTTAACTTGAATCATAATTCTAGAGTTTTCAGAGCTTTTAATCAAATGCTTAATATAAACTGACCTACCAACGTTTAAAGTGGTTACATTCCATCTTCATTCCTATGCTTACCCTCAACCTCTACCAGTCCATCCAGAAAACTCCCCCAAAATTTATCCCAAAATATTAAATCCAATTTTTCTCATGTTATTTTCCACTTAAGAGTCTGCAGTGGCTTCCACTCAACATGTGTGATGATAATGGCAAAAGTCCTTGCCCTCTAATATCCTACAAGACGGTAAGTTCGGTGGTTCTCAAACCATTTCTAATGGCAAAGCTCTTGGAAGTTACAGTGCTTTCTGTGCAATACTGTGACAAATCTTAATTCAATTCCAGTAGAAAATCTAGAATAATTAATAAAAAGCAAAGCTATATTAAAGATAAGTAATATAAATATCACAAGCACGTGTCAATGAAAAAATAAGTGAGTGAACTAAACAAGACTACTGCTCAGTTTTTGTCCTGTTTATTTTCTACTAGTCAAACAATTTGTAATTCACACAAAAGGGTTGAAAATGTTTAAGATCTAAAACTACTTTTCCACATACCGGGAAAAGGTTACCGTTATTCATTATTAGTGGAAGCACATTTTATACAACCTATAGATATTCCCTGAAAGCCCAGTTTAAAAGCACTGACCTAGTTTGAGAGATCAGATACTGATTTTCCCTAACAACTAGGAGTCCCTCATTTATATGGCATTTAAAAACACTCACAATTAGGTTACTACTGTAAAAAAGTTAAATACATATTGTCAAAATCTGGCACCAATGTAAACTCTTAACTAAGGAGAACAGGCTATAGACAATTGTTCCATAAATCCAATTAATGAACTTCAGTGCTAAAAGACTTAAGAAGGCATTTAAACCAAGTCATGTTTTTCAAAAAATGGTGAACATCATTCAAGCTCTACATTCATCAGAGATTATAGAAACAATAATCAAGTAGTTATAGCACATCTTAATTCTGCAGCTGTAATAACTCCAGTTACTTTCCAATGAGATGGACTCCCTGAGGTTGTAATTTTACTATTAAATCTTAAACTTAGCAGCCAGAAACAGTTGCCAGAGATAAGACAACTATGGAAAAAATAGCATCTTTGAAAGTAACTATCATTTTTCCAAAGATTCAACAACTAGTCCTGGCAGCTATTTTGACCCATTATTCCACAGGCTGGCTTGGAGAATTCTGGAGGCACTTCATTCTGGTCTTTCAACCTCCTTGACAGGTATGTGTTTCACATCTAGACCGCTGATGGCCAGGGTAGGAACAAAGAGAAAATCAAAGTGCTATTTCTCCAACAGCAAACTTTAAAAGTAATAATGGAGGACTAAGAAATATATGTAATTTCTGCAAAATTATAATGGAACAGTAAACTTATTCACATGATAACACTGCATAAGCTACCAAAAGCAGCAAATCCTGGCCTTTCAAAACTGCTCTTTGCAGTTGCTATGTTTCTTAATGTTCGTTCAATACATTTTTTTGATTAATAAAAAATGGAAAATGCATTATGAACTAAATGCACTTTGGACTCAGCTTAAGAAGGTATCTGAATAGAATCCCCTAGTGCAGTCTCTCCCACCTTCTCACAATAATCCATACAAAGGCACAGAAAAAGACAACAGCACACCCTACCAAAATTCAGTTAACCTCTGATGAGAAATCTCTGACAGTTTCCCAGAAACAAGGATTAGAAACAAATTAATGGTAGGCTTAGTTTTCTGTTTGGTATATACCATGCAACGGCTTGCTTTGCTCTGTGAAACACAATACTTCTGCAGCTGAGTAAGGGACTTTAGCTCACTCCCTTTTTCCACCTGCTGTTTAACAGACACAGTGCTTATGCAGTAGAAAGATGGCTTTATGAGGCAGCCAGAGTTGTGTAACTCATTCCCAGTTCCCAGTGGCACACCTCTTTATATGTCCATTTAAATATAATTCCCAGCAAGCAATATGACAAAAGGGTAGGGGGGCACTGACAATGGTTCACTGCTTCCTGGAAGGCTTAGTATCACAGGAAAAGCTCTGCAGAGACCAGAAAATGCAGGGAAAACCCTGTTAGTAGTACACGTTTTAAAAATATGTTTTTTTCCATATACTTCACCTTTTTTTAAGTGCCCCAAAAAACAGGCATAAGTGGCATGGTAGCAGATGATCCTAGTTTAAGCCACATTTAGAGTGGTCTAAGAACCAGTCACTTGGAACCATATAACAACCTATTCCTCAGATACAGATTTGAGAAGGCATTTAAACCTAAGTGGATAGTGAAAACCATCCACACACTCTGTTGGCAAATACCAACAGTGTCCAAATAAAAAGGAAAAATTGAGGTGGGCTCTATGAGGAAAAATCCTCCCAAACATGAGAAATAAATTATAATCTGAAGAGGCAGAGAAGATCTCCCTGAGAAAAATTTAATAAGGAACCAAAAATTAATTTTAGACAATTTTTATCTGGCATGGATTTGAATAAAGATTCACAACGAACCAAAAATGAAAGAACAATATAAAGAGAAAAAGAATACATGATACAAAGACAACAGGCTGAAATAAAAAGGGAGCTGGATGACATAATTTTGTAACAGCAAAATTAAAATCCACATTTACAAGGAACATAGTGTTCTAAGCACATCTTCGAGTCCTTCATTCATCCAATTGTATGTTAGATTGATGGGCAAACATGGCCCTAATTACCCATTCTTGGCTGTGTCCATACCCTCTGCAACGTGACTTTATAGAAGCTGTCAGCAAGAGGTAGAATCTATATCCCTATCCTTTGAATCAGCAGGTCTTATGACTTCTTTTGGCCAACAAAATGCAACACAAGTAACAATGTCCCAGCTCTAAGTTAGCCTCAAGAGGCTTGGCTTGCTTCTGCTCTCTCTCAGACCTCTTCCACCACCAGGAGAAAAAGCCTACACTTCCAGCTACAGAAGAGCCGAGCTTCCCTCCAGCTAATAACCAGCCAACTATAAGGGCAAAACCATCTTACTAATCAAGTTGACCACACCACAGACTCATGACGGAGCCTAACTGAGAACACAACTGCCCAGCTAAACTCATCCTAAATTGCCAACTTGCAGAATTGTGAGCTAAATAAATGACTGATGTTTTAAATTACTAAGTTTGGAGTGGTTCATGATACATCAAAAGTTATGAAATACATCCACAGCGGTGACAACGTGAAGAAAAGAAAAACCCTGATCCTTTATCACCATAACAAAACAGAAAAAGTTCCCATCTCCATACTTGTAGCTTCGGGTTTTTCTTTTTTTTTTTTTTTTGTTTTTTTGTTTTTTTGTTTTGTTTTGTTTTGTTTGTTTTTTTAATTATGCTTTAAGTTTTAGGGTACATGTGTTTATTGCGGCATTATTCACAATAGCAAAGACTTGGAACCAACCCAAATGTCCAACAATGATAGACTGGATTAAGAAAATGTGGCACATATACACCATGGAATACTATGCAGCCATAAAAAATGATGAGTTCATGTCCTTTGTAGGGACATGGATGAAATTGGAAAGCTTCGGGTTTTTCTAACAATGGCATAAGAACAGCATGACGGGCAGCAAATCAAGCCCTCAGTTTAGTGGAGATGCAGTGCTGCTCTCCTCTAGCTCTCCTTTATAGTCTTCCGGAAAGAGAGAAACTCCAACTGCCACCATGCCAGGAATTGCTTTCAAGGAAATGACGGTGACACAGGGGAATCTAGAAACTAACTCATCTAGCTTCCCTTTAGGCATCTTCCAACTGAAGTCTAGATCTGAAGTTTGGTTCCTCTTCCCTTTAAAGTTACCAATTAGAGGTAATCACATGTTGCGCCCGTGCTGGAGAAATGCACACTACCCAAGATCTTTATGTACCTTTTTCCATGATAAATGTGCAAGGCAGTTAATGTAATCTAGAAAATTAAGGATGATTTGTTTTCAACTATGATTTGGGTTTTAATTGAAAGATGACCACAGTTTTTCCTTAATCGTGATTTTAACTTTCCTGTGATAAGAACACCCATTGTTAACATTATTAGTTAACATTACTCTGGAATTTCTAGCCAATCCAGACATAACATGTAGGAAGGGAAAGTAAATTTTCATTACTCATAGATATGATTATTAGATATCAAAAAGCTCCATAAAATCAATTCTTACAATTATTGAGAATAAAGGGCTCGGATTTCATATAAATATTTTAAAAAATCATTATCTTTCAAGTATGTCAGCAAATATGAGTCAGAAAATAGAAAAAAATGTCATTCACAATAACAATTAAAAAAAACTATGAATACCCATAACATGAGATGTAAGGTAAACAATCTACATTACTCTACAGAGAGGGGTAAACAGTCAGAAATATTAAAAAATATATATAACGCTAAACAATAATGTGATTCCAATGCAAGTGTAGAAAGACGAATAAAACAGAATAGAAACTAGACAATCAGTCCAGTATCCCAGGATTTAGTATATTATAAAAGGGCTATCACAGATCAGTGGGAAAGGGAATAGTAGTCCTACTGGTGCTGTAAACAATGGATTAGCATTTGGAAACAAAATCAATTTTGTTCCTAACCCAACACTGTAAACAAAAACACACTTTACATGGTTCAGAATTAAATGTAAAAATAGAAGAAGAAAAAAAAGAGATAAAATGTAGGAGAATCTGTACGATAAGGCTATTAATAAGCCTAAAGGCAGTGAGTGAAAATAAAGAGAAGGTGGAGGAAATTTTTTTTTTTTTGAGACAGGGTCTTTGTCACACAGGCTGGTGTGCAGTGGCATTATCTCAGCTCACTGCAGACTCCTCAATCTCCCAAGTTCAAGTGATCCTCCTGCCTCAACACCTCCCTCAAGTAGCTGGGATTACAGGTGTATGCCACCATGCCTGGCTAATTTTTGTATTTTTGGCAGAGATAGGGTTTTGCCATGTTGACCTGGCTGGTCTCAAACTCCTGAGCTCAAGCAATCCTCCACCCACCTTGGCCTCCTAAAGTGTTAGGATTACCAGGGTGAACTACCACGCCTGGCTGCAAAGGTATTTTTACAAAAGTTTTTGGAAAGATCTGTATTTCAAAATGTATAGAAATCAAATTAAAAGGCACATAAATGGAATTTATGACAGAAAAGGGGATAAATTCAATACATGAGGGTCTCCCGCAAATCAGTAAGACACAAGGGTATATCAATAAATGGAACAGGGAAATATTTTCACAAAAGAATAATTACAAATGGCTAACACTTGAAAAAAATCATTTTTCTTCATCATAAACACAATATATTAAGTATTTCTTTCTCTTCTTACAATTAAACCAGTAAATGTTAATAAGGACAGTTAACTTTTCTGGAAAATAACCCATTAACATGTTTAGAGGTCTTTAAAATATTCATTTACTCTAATTCCTAGGATTTGTAACACTTCTAGGATCTATATTAAGGAATTCAGAAACGCTCACAAAGGTTTTCTTCTCAGTGGCTACATAATAAAAAACAGGAAGGAATCTATAGTCACATAATACAGGAAACATTGTACATCCACATATTAATCAATAAAAATATTTTCAAATAATTTTAATGATTTGGAGATGCTTATACTAAAATAGTAAAATGGAAACAAGATGCAAATTGAATCTGAAATATGATGTTTCCTATAACAATATTCAAAGAAGGGAAACATACTAAAGTCTTAGTGTTTTTCTGGGGGAAGCAGGAATACAGTTGGCTTTAAATCTCTTCTCTATACTTACCTAAGCTTTTGAAAATGTTTTCTACAATGAGTATGTCTTACTTTAGTTATTTTGGGGAGAAATTGGATTATGCAGCAAAAATCTGTATTGAAAGACTCCACCTAGAAGAATCTTCATATATTCCTTTCCAAATAGGAGAAACACTGCAGCAACACTGTTTATTACTGATGTCCAACTTTAAGAAAAAGTAACCCGGATAGCATTACAGCAACATAATGTAATAAAGTGCTTTTTCAGTATGTGTTTAATGATATCGCTGACATATGACAACAATGCTATTTTTAAAACAACTATATGTAACCTTTTAGACATTTTACAATGATTTTACTTACAATCAAGTGACAAAATTGGTATAATTATTGCATTTGGCAGTATAACTGCATTTGAGGTAAGTTCATATTAAAGCATATCTTGTAATTTCATTTGTGTCCATTAGAGCTTCTTAAAAAAATGACTGACTTTATGTATTAAGGTACTCTAGTGACTGCCATTAAATGCACTCCTCTTTTTTTAAACTTTCACAATAAGTTACAATACAAAGGTGAAAAGCGTACATAAAACACGGCAATATGTTATAAGCAAACACTTAAAAGCTTAAGGGCTACCCTCTTATTGAAATGCCTTAATATTTCAAATTTAAAAGAGAGGTAGCTAAGCAACACTGTACTTCCAATTGCGAATAGTACTCAGTTTCCCCCTCCATGTTGCTAGGAGAACATTACCACATAACTTTAAAAATAGTTAACAGAGCACAGATCTAAGTATTAAAATTATGTAAAAAGAAAAAACTTAGGATTTTGAAAACTGTACACATTTATTGGGAAGCAAATGGAAAATTTCCAAGGTTTCAATGAGATTCTTAAATGTATAATGAGCATATGAGTTCAGTTAAATTGTATTTTAAGGACAGAAAGTATAAAACAATCTACTAAGGTTATAGTTATAATTATTTCAGAAAATAGCTGTGTTCAACTATTTAATTAGTGGTGGTTTATTAGTATTTCCAGTCTATCTATATCCTTTATATAAAATGCAATTTGTATTTCTCTAATTATATTAATAGTGTAAGTCAAACTGTGGTAGGCAGAATGTAAGACAGCTTCTAAGATTCCCTCAACCTGGGATAAATGCCCTATATAATACCTATCCCTTGAGTCTGGACAAGACCTGTGAATATGATGCACTATCACTCCTATGATTAGGCTGAATTATATGGCATATGAGGGATTCTGAGGATATAATCAAGGTACCTAATCAGTTGATTCTCAGTTAATAAAAAAGGAGATTATCCAGGGCATAGGGAAAGAGGTGGGAAATAAGGCACTGATCTAATCAGATGGGCCCTTTAAAAGGAGGTCTAGATATCAGAGATTGAAGTTGGAAAGATAGATATATTCGAAGTAGCCAAGATGCTCTCCTGTTGGCCTCCCAGAATCAAGCGGCCGTGTTGTACGGTGCACCAGACACAGAATGGCAGACAGCCTTTACAACTGACTGACACCCTCAGTCCTACAAACACAAAGAACTGAATTCTTTTAAACAGTAGGCTTGGAAGAGAACCCTGAGCCTCAAATAAGATTACAGTCCTGGTGGATGCCTTGATTAAAACTTTGTGAGACCCTGAACAGAGGAACTAACTAAGCTATGCCTGGACTCCTGACTCATGGAAAGTGCGAGATAATAATGGTTTTAAATCACTAAGTTTGTTATACACCAATAAAACTAATTCACAAATAAATCTGCCAAACCTGGATGAATAAACAATACATGAACAAGACATGAAACTATTTATTACATCTGATACTAAAAAAAATGCAAGGAATCTACTTGCATTGTTGGCAGAGTTCCTTGGGTGGAATAACACTTAAAGTTATGACATTACCTTTATGTTTTAAAAAAATAGAAGTAAAGAAAAATAGCTGAATTCTTCCTAGTCTTCCATACCTATTTATTATTCTCTAAGACCTACCTCAAATTTCACCTCCAGGTTAAGTCTATTCTCATACCCCAGTAAGAATTAATTTCTTCTTTTCAGGGCACTGGTGATATTTGGTTTATTATCTCACACTACAGCTAATATATGGGTGTGATTCTACTACATTTTGATCTGTTTGTGATACCTATTTTTGAACCTGATCAGGTCCTCACAAGCTCTGGATACAACAGGCCAATTTGTCTTAGTTATGTATTATTTTCCTCTTGAAGACAAGAAATATAAAATACTCAAATATAAACATCATCTATTAAATGCCAATTCATTAATGTTCTTGGTTTTAGGATTTAAGGAAAAATTAAGAATTATAGTGATCAACTGTATAATCTAGTTTAGGATTCCACAGTGAGAAGTCATAAATTAAAAAATATTCTTTTGGCCAGGTGCGGTGGCTCACACCTGTAATCCCAGCACTTTGGGATGCCAAGGCGGGTGAATCACAAGGTCAAGAGATCAAGACCATCCTGGCCAACATGGTGAAACCCCATCTCTACTAAAAATACAAAAATTAGCTGGGCGTGGTGGTGCATGCCTGTAGTCCCAGCTACTTGGGAGGGGGAGGCAGGAGAATCACTTGAACCCAGGAGGCGGAGGCTGCAGTGAGCTGAGATGGTGCCACTGCACTCCAGCCTGGCGACAGAGTGAGAATCCATCTCACACACAAAAAAAATTCTTCTAAAATCATGTAAAAGATAGAATTCCAATGGAGGAGATTAAAAGACTTTCCAATTGGGCAAAGTAACTACAGTTGGTGAAAACATTCAAAGGTGGCAGCAAGACCTGTTGTGGTATTCCATTCAGTGGATCTCATTTCAATGTATTACTTCATTGTGCGATTAATGAAATCCAAGAATCTCCACAGGAGAGGCATCCACTGAAGAGGCATCCAGGCTTAGTTTCCTGGTGACCACTCCTAATTATTTGGATTCTATTATATTTCTAGAGGCAACACCCTCCAATATTGTGAGTGGTATGCTTTAAAATTGAAGATTATGGATGAAATTAAATTTGCTAATCCATTGACCTTAAAATAGTGAGATTATACTGGATTATTTAGGTGAGCCCAATAGTATCACAAGTGTTCTTCAGTGTGGTAGAAGGAGGCAGAATAGGGAGAACAAGAGCGATGACAACTTAAGAAGGGACTCCGGCTGACTTTGAAGGTGGAGGAAAGGGGTCATGAGCCATAGGATGTGGGTGGTCTCTAGAAGCTTGATAAGGCAAGGAAACTGATTCTTCCCCACACCCTCCAGAAATGACTGACATCTTGATTTTAGCCCAGTGAGACCCCTGTTGGACAGCTGACCTTCAGAACTGTAAAACAATACATCTGGGTTGTTTTAAACCACCAAATTTCGGTAATTTGTTACAGCAGTGATAGAAAACGCATACAACAGCAGAAGCTTTTGATGCAGATAGTCCAGATGTTTATTATATGTCTACATTTCAGCTTTTATATTTAAATTTCCAAGAGCTCTTTCTCATACAAAGAAGCTTTTTTTGTTTGTTTTATACCATCCTAGTCTTCTTTAGTATATAAAATAAGGGTCAGATGGCAATGGCATTCTATCTTTAATTTACTTTGAAGAAAATAACTCATCCTAGGATTCAACACTGAGGGTGAAAGAAAGAGGGAAGGAAGCAAGAAACCAAAGTAAAGTCCAGTTGTTTGTGTAAATGCCCTTCAGTTTGGATCCTTCTGATGTTTTCTCATGATTAGATTCAGGTTATGCATATTGTTTGTTTATTAGAAATACTTTGTAAGTAATACTGAGTCCTAATTGTATCACATTATGAGGCATACAATATCAGTTTGTTCCATTATTGGTGATGTTGGCTATGGTGGCATCCTTCAAGTTATAATGCAATAAAATTACTATTTTTACTCTTTGTAATTGGTAAGTAATTTATGGGACAATAACGATTCTCTTTTCTACTCAAAAAAAAAGTAAAGAATTTGAAGTTCAAAGTAAATGAATGTATTTTTTAGTTCTTAACTGAGAAAAATAACCCATAGTCCCCTCAAATAAATAATAAAGCTTCATTTATCAACAGTGTCTACCAGTGTCTGTTTAGGGGTAATCAGAGTTATGCTTCCACCTATGACAAATTAAATGCTAAGGAATTATCTGCCCATCTTGAACAATTAGAAAGTCAGACAAAAGGTAATAAACAATGGTTTTCAGACATTGGACAATTTGCACCAGTTTTCTGATCCCTGAGAAAAACGAAACAAATGAGTCCTTTAATTGCCCCAAGCTCATTGCCTGTAGGCAGTTTCCAAATTACAGCACAAGAAAAGAGACCCAAACACAGCCTGGCAGTCTTCCTGAGTGGAAGTGACACAAATTAGAATTCAGGGAGGTTTAGGCGGTTAGAATTTGCAGGATAGAAGAGGAGGGAGCTGCACAGAAAGAAATACACGAAGGAGCTCCAGAGAGCTGCAGAGGAATCTACCTGCGTTTTTGGCAGAGTTCTATTCTATGCATGCATGACAAGAAACTACCTATAGCTGGTAGAAGGGAAAAAAATATCAAAAGGCCAAACAATTCCCAAAGCTCCTTCAGGGTTGGGAATTGTTCATGTACACACTTAGAGAAATGGACAGACCTTGTAAGATACAAAAGCATCAGGTCACAGCTTATAGTGAGGCTAAATCAGGATAGTGGGGCTATCTTAAAAAAAAAAAAAAAGACTACTCTGGATCTGTTGGTAACAACTTAAGAGCAATTCTTAAAGTGATCAAACTTACCCTCAAACAAAATTCATCACTCACTATATAAATAAAACAAAAATCTAAAGTCCAGCAGCTAACAGCAACAAAAAAACTAAAAACATCTAGCATCCAATTTAAAAATCCAGGCATGCAAAAAAGAGATATATGACATACAGCCAGGAGGAAAAACAATTACTAGAAAAAGACTTATGAAAAAGATGATGATTTCAATGGACAGGGATCTGAAAGCAGATATTTTAAATCAAATGTAAAGAAAAACATGAACACATGAGGAGAGAAATAGAATATTTAAATAAGACACATATAAGATCTTGAGATAAAAAATATGAAATTTCATTTCATATGAAATAAAAAATACATTGGATGGAATTAACAGCAGATAATACACTGGAAAAGAAACATCAGAGAACAAATAAAATAGCAATAGAAATTATTCATAATGAAGCACAGAAGAAAAAGGGCAGGGAAAAAAATAAACAGAGCCTAAATAAGCTATGGCAAATATCAAGCAGGATAATATTTGCCTAATTGGAGTCCCAAGTAGGAAGGGAGAAAAATATCTAAAACCAATAATGACACAGGATTTTCTCGCGCCTTCAACAAACTCGCAACACAGGCACCCTGTTTACTCAGCCCACCATGCTCAACTCCTTGTGGGAGGGAGCATGTGAGCAAGCGAGTGTGGGATCTGACTGGCCGTTCCAGGCACTGGCAGGAGAAAGCTCCATGCAAGGCCAACAGCAGCACCCAGGTGAGGGTGCCCACGACTCTCAAGCCCCAGAGTGGGTGTTACAGTGTTCTCTTAGTTCTGCTGTCTGTAGACAGCAGTGTGTTAGCAGCTCAGTTGGCCCCTTGCCTCAGTGCATGGAGCAACGGGGCGACTTCCCTCTACTAGCGAGGGTAAAAGGCTGGTGTGAGAGCCTTTCTAGGTACCCACGCTTGGTGGGTCCTGAGCTCTTGTCTGGTGTCCAAGAAGAATAAGGTTGTGTAGACAATTGAAGGATGGTGAAGGTAGAGAATGTTATTGAGCAATGAAAACAGCTCTCAGT
The DNA here is from genome assembly GCF_000001405.40 of Homo sapiens. Classification (NCBI taxonomy): domain Eukaryota; kingdom Metazoa; phylum Chordata; class Mammalia; order Primates; family Hominidae; genus Homo; species Homo sapiens. Next base: position 77,105,133 of record NC_000001.11, read on the forward strand.
GGACAAGGGAGCTGGAGAGGGGACAGAAATGGCATGTCATCTTCCCTGAAGTCAGGTTATCTCTTCTTAAGTTCAGCCGTCTCCCTCGAAGTCCAGCCATCTCCCTCCCTACCAACTGAGTCTGGGGTCTTTATAAGCACAGGATGGGGGTGGGGCAGGCCATAGGTAGTTTTGGAAAAGGCAACATTCGATTGGTAAAAAGGCATTATTCAGAAAGAACCAATTGGGAGAGAGTGGGCAAACTTTGGGCCATGGGTTTCAGGCTGTTTGCTTTTTTGGCTTGAAGGTGGGGTTTCAGTGGGGACCCACCCCTATCTGCCTAGAATTTCTCGGTCTCCTGCCTCTATCAATAATAGCTGAAATTTTTCAAAATTTCATGAAAACTAGAAACTACCAGATCCCTAAAGCTCAACACCAAGCAGAAGAAACACAGAGAAAACTACACAAAGGGACAGCTTAATCAAAACACTGACAATGACAGAGAATATCTTTAAAAACAGTCAGAGAAAAAGGGATTTGTTTTTACAGAGCAGGGTTCAGTAAACTACAATACACATGATGGACATCTGTTTTTATAACTAAAGTTTTGATGTAACATAGCCATGCTCTTTCATTTACACATTATCTATTGGGGCTTTCACACTATACCAAAAATTGAGTAGTTGTAACAAACACCATGTGGCCCACAGGCCTAAAATATTTACTATTTGGCCCTTTAAGAAAAAGTTTGTAGTTCCTTGCTACAGAGAAACAAAAATAAGAATGACTGAAGCTAGGCTGTCAGAAGCCATGGAGGGCAGAAAACAACGGAAAGACATCTTTAAAGTGCTGAAAGAAAAACTAAAAATCTTAATCTTGAATTATACGGAAAATGCACCAAGTTAAAAATCCAAAAAGTACATTAAAACTATATTTTACATGGTATCAAAAGAAAACCATCAACACACCAAAAATGAATAATGCTTGTTTCCCGTTACGCAAATATTCCTAAATGGGCAAACAGTTAATGGGACAAGTTTTAAATTTACTATAACAGGATTTTGTTACTTTGCTACTTAAAAGGTAATTCCAACTCCTTGTTTTTAGGCAGAATTTCTTTAACTTCTTTAATATGGATCTCTCAAGAGAATCATCACATGCTTTCAAGTGGAAAAGGAGGACTGGCATCCTCCTTCTGAGATACATAGGCTGAAGAACAAATCATTAAGCCTCCCACTGTGCTTAAATGAAATCACTCTTGGGAGAAAATAGTTAATTTCAGTCAAATTAACTTTTTGGAACACTATTTACTTGTATTAAAAATGATCATAAACAACATTCCTTTTAAAATAAATTATCTAAAGTTTGAAAAAGTATTTTTAACAAAAGTAGTCACTTTCAGTCATGGTAATCATACAAATGTTTAACATATTTGTACAACAAAAATGAATCTTATAATTACTTTTCCCATACTCTACTTATAATGATCTTTCCCATGGATAAAGGCCCTCTATGTGGTTTACTCAATGACAATAACCTGAAACAGTCCTTTTCTGCTTCTATATACTAGTTGAAGACAGCACGCTAATGTTTATTGTCTATTATAATAATTACTTGATAATTTAGTTATACTAGATACAGCTATTTAGCACGAGGAAAATGTTTAGCATCTACATATCAATATATAATTTATACATCTCTCTCTAGCAATGTTACAGATTGAATAACACTACCCTTTAAAAGTAAACATTAATTTATTTGCGTAGAGGTGTTTATAGTATTCTCTGATGGTAGTTTGTATTTCTCTGGGATCAGTGGTGATATCCCCTTTATCATTTTTTATTGCGTCTATTTGATTCTTCTCTCTTTTCTTCTTTATTAGTCTTGCTAGAGGTCTATCAATTTTGTTGATCTTTTCAAAAAAACAGCTCCTGGATTCATTGAATTTTCGAAGGGTTTTTTGTGTCTCTATCTCCTTCAGTTCTGCTCTGATCTTAGTTATTTCTTGCCTTCTGCTAGCTTTTGAATGTGTTTACTCTTGCTTCTCTAGTTCTTTTAATTGTGATGTTAGGGTGTCCATTTTAGATCTTTCCTGCTTTCTCTTGTGGGCATTTAGTGCTATAAATTTCCCTCTACACACTGCTTTAAATGTGTCCCAGAGATTCTGGTATGTTGTGACTTTGTTCTCGTTGGTTTCGAAGAACATCTTTATTTCTGCCTTCATTTCATTATGTACCCAGTAGTCATTCAGGAGCAGGTTGTTCAGTTTCCATGTAGTTGAGCAGTTTTCAGTGAGTTTCTTAATCCTGAGTTCTAGTTTGATTGCACTGTGGTCTGAGAGACACTTAGTTATAATTTCTGTTCTTTTACATTTGCTGAGGAGTGCTTTACTTCCAACTATGTGGTCAATGTTGGAATAAGTGCGATGTGGTGCTGAGAAGAATGTATATTTTGTTGATTTGGGGTGGAGAGTTCTGTAGATGTCTATTAGGTCTGCTTGGTGCAGAGCTGAGTTCAATTCCTGGGTATCCTTGTTAACTTTCTGTCTTGTTGATCTGTCTAATGTTGACAGTGGGGTGTTAAAGTCTCCCATTATTATTGTGTGGGAGTCTAAGTCTCTTTGTAGGTCTCTAACGACTTGCTTTATGAATCTGGGTGCTCCTGTATTGGGTGCATATATATTTACGATAGTTAGCTCTTCTTGTTGAATTGATCCCTATACCATTATGTCATGGCCTTCTTTGTCTCTTTTGATCTTTGTTGGTTTAAAGTCTGTTTTATCAGAGACTAGGATTGCAATCCCTGCCTTTTTTTGTTTTCCATTTGCTTGGTAGATCTTCCTCCATCCCTTTATTTTGAGCCTATGTGAGTCTCTGCACATGAGATGGGTTTCCTGAATACAGCACACTGATGGCTCTTGACTCTTTATCCAATTTGCCAGTCTGTGTCTTTTAATTGGAGCATTTAGCCCATTTACATTTAAGGTTAATATTGTTATGTGTGAATTTGATCCTGTCACTATGATGTTAGCTGGTTATTTCGCTCGTTAGTTGATGCAGTTTCTTCTTAGCATCGATGGTCTTTATAATTTCGCATGTTTTTGCAGTGGCTGGTAGTGGTTGTTCCTCTCCATGTTTAGTGCTTCCTTCAGGAGCTCTTGAAAGGCAGGCCTGGTGGTGACAAAATCTCTCAGCATTTGCTTGTCTGTAAAGGATTTTATATCTCCTTCACTTATGAAGCTTAGTTTGGCTGCATATGAAATTCTGGGTTGAAAATTCTTTTCTTTAAGAATGTTGAATATTGGCCCCCACTCTCTTCTGGCTTGTAGAGTTTCTGCCGAGAGATCTGCTGTTAGTCTGATGGGCTTCCCTTTGTGGGTAACCCGACCTTTCTCTCTGGCTGCCCTTAACATTTTTTCCTTCATTTCAACTTTGGTGAATCTGATAAATTATGTGTCTTGGAGTTGCTCTTCTCGAGGAGTATCTTTGTGGCATTCTCTGTATTTCCTGAATTTGAATGTTGGCCTGCCTTGCTAGGCTGGGGAAGTTCTCCTGGAAAATATCCTGCAGAGTGTTTTCCAAGTTGGTTCCATTCTCCCCGTCACTTTCAGGTACACCAATCAAATGTAGGTTTGGTCTTTTTACATAGTCCCATATTTCTTGGAGGCTTTGTTCATTTCTTTCTATTCTTTTTTCTCTAAACGTCTCTTCTCGCTTCATTTTATTCATTTGATCTTCAATCACTGATACCCTTTCTTCAAGTTGATTGAATTGGCTACTGAAGCGTGTGCATTTGTCACGTAGTTCTTGTGCCATGGTTTTCAGCTCCATCAGGTCATTTAAGGACTTCTCTACATTGGTTATTCTAGTTAGCCATTCGTCTAACCTTTTTATCTAGAAGAAATGGATAAATTCCTCAACACATACACCCTCCCAAGACTAAACCAGGAAGAAGTTGAATCTCTGAATAGACCAGTAACAGGCTCTGAAATTGAGGCAATAACTAATAGCTTACCAACCAAAAAAAGTCCAGGACCAGATGGATTCACAGCCGAATTCCACCAGAGGTACAAGGAGGAGCTGGTACCGTTCCTTCTGAAACTATTCCAATTAATAGAAAAAGAGGGAATCCTCCCTAACTCATTTTATGAGGCCAGCATCATCCTGATACCAAAGCCTGGCAGAGACACAACAACAAAAGAGAATTTTAGACCAATATCCCTGATTAACATCAATGCAAAAATCCTCAATAAAATACTGGCAAACCAAATCCAGCAGCACATCAAAAAGCTTATCCACCATGATCAAGTGGGCTTCATCCCTGGGATGCAAGGCTGGTTCAATGTTCGCAAATCAATAAACGTAATCCAGCATATAAACAGAACCAAAGACAAAAACCACATGATTATCTCAATAGATGCAGAAAAGGCCTTTGACAAAATTCAACCACACTTCATGCTAAAAACTCTACATAAATTAGGTATTGATGGGATGTTATCTCAAAATAATAAGAGCTATTTATGACAAACCCACAGCCAATATCATACTGAATGGGCAAAAACTGGAAGCATTCCCTTTGAAAACTGGCACAAGACAGGGATGCCCTCTCTCACCACTCCTATTCAACATAGTGTTGGAAGTTCTGGCCAGGGCAATTAGGGAGGAGAAGGAAATAAAGGGTATTCAATTAGGAAAAGAGGAAGTCAAATTGTCCCTGTTTGCAGATGACATGATTGTATATCTAGAAAACCCCATTGTCTCAGCCCAAAATCTCCTTAGCTGATAAGCAACTTCAGCAAAGTCTCAGGATAAAAAATCAATGGGCAAAAATCACAAGCATTCTTACACACCAATAACAGACAAACAGAGAGCCAAATCATGAGTGAACTCCCATTCACAATTGCTTCAAAGAGAATAAAATACCTAGAAATCCAGCTTACAAGGGATGTGAAGGACCTCTTCAAGGAGAACTACAAACCACTGCTCAAAGAAATAAAAGAGGACACAAACAAATGGAAGACTATTCCATGCTCATGGGTAGGAAGAATCAATATCGAGAAAATGGCCATACTGCCCAAGGTAATTTATAGATTCAATGCCATCCCCATCAAGTGCCAATGACTTTCTTCACAGAATTGGAAAAAACTACTTTAAAGTTCATATGGAACCAAAAAAGAGCCCGCATTGCCAAGTCAATCCTAAGCCAAAAGAACAAAGCTGGAGGCATCACACTACCTGACTTCAAACTATACTACAAGGCTACAGTAACCAAAACAGCATGGTACTGGTACCAAAACAGAGATATAGACCAATGGAACAGAACAGAGCCCTCAGAAATAATACCACACATCTACAACCATCTGATCTTTGACAAACCTGACAAAAACAAGAACAAGGGAAAGGATTCCCTATTTAATAAATGGTGCTGGGAAAACTGGCTAGCCATATGTAGAAAGCTGAAACTGGATCCCTTCCTTACACCTTATACAAAAATTAATTCAAGATGGATTAAAGACTTACATGTTAGAACTAAACCCATAAAAACCATAGAAGAAAACCTAGGCAATACCATTCAGGACATAGGCATGGGCAAGGACTTCACGACTAAAACACCAAAAGCAATGGCAACAAAAGCAAAAATTGACAAATGGGATCTAATTAAACTAAAGAGTTTGTGCACAGCAAAAGAAACTACTATCAGAGTGAACAGGCAACCTACAGAGTGGGAGAAAATTTTTGCAATCTACTCATCTGACAAAGGGCTAATATCCAGAATCTACAAAGAACTCAAACAAATTTACAAGAAAAAAACAACCCCATCAACAAGTGGGCAAAGGATATGAACAGACACTTCTCAAAAGAAGATATTTATGCAGCCAAAAGACACATGAAAAAATGCTCATCATCACTGGCCATCAGAGAAATGCAAATCAAAACCACAATGAGATACCATCTCACACCAGTTAGAATGGCGATCATTAAAAAGTCAGGAAACAACAGGTGCTGGAGAGGATGTGGAGAAATAGGAACACTTTTACACTGTTGGTGGTACTGTAAACTAGTTCAACCATTGTGGAAGACAGTGTGGCGACTCATCAGGGATCTAGAACTAGAAATACCATTTGACCCAGCCATCCTATTACCGGGTATATACCCAAAGGATTATAAATCATGCTGCTATAAAGACACATGCACACATATGTTTATTGTGGCACTATTCACAATAGCAAAGACTTGGAACCAACCCAAATGTCCATCAATGACAGACTGGATTAAGAAAATGTGGCACATATACACCATGGAATACTATGCAGCCATAAAAAATGATGAATTCCTGTCCTTTGTAGGGACATGGATGAAGACGGAAACCATCATTCTCAGCAAACTATCGCAAGGACAAAAAACCAAACACCACATGTTCTCACTCATAGGTGGGAATTGAACAATGAGAACACTTGGACACAGGAAGGAGAACATCACACACTGGGGCCTGTTGTGGGGTGGAGGGAGGGGGGAGGGTTAGCATTAGGAGATATACCTAATGCTAAATAACGAGTTAATGGGTGCAGCACACCAACATGGCATATGTATACATATGTAACAAACCTGCACGTTGTGCACATGTACCCTAGAACTTAAAGTATAATAATAAAAAATAAAATTATAAAGAAATTTTTAAAAAGTAAACATTAATTATTTCACAAGACTAAGATATCTATTGGCATATTTTAAACTAGAAACACCTTAGTAAATCAAAACTAGGTAACATGGATACTATTCTGTCTTCGCAAAGTATTAATAGCCTTGGATATAGAATTGGTAAATAAAAAAGATACACAAAATCAAATAATTAAATACACTGATTAGGCACTGCTAAATATATATGAATGTAGATTAAATAAAATAGTCTTTTAAAGGAAAATCTGTGTTTATCTAAGAATGATCAGAAATTATAATCTGAGATAACTGACATAATACACAAGTTACCCACCAAACATGACTGGTATGATAAAATGAAAGTTAACTGTGAATGTTAAAAATCTGTAACTAAAGATATTGATTCCTTTTATATAAAATGTGACTTTTCTGACATGCATATACCAGTTTTAAAGAGAATGATAATCTTAACTCTTATCAGGAAGCACATTAAGGTGATTTCAGGTCAACTTAGATGGCAGATTAACTAACTCCTAGTTACATTATTTCAATCAGCTGCAAGTCAGTATCTAAACTACTGCCAAGAATATAGCATGAGGCTGAAGGGAACTGTGTTTTAATTTGTCTCTATCCAGTCAGTTTCTGTATTTATATGAGAAGAGATCCCCCGTTACCAGTGATACTTCTGGTAATGTTTTTGGTGGATCCCTGGATTTGAGTGATGTTAAGATAGGCATATAATAACAAATGGATAAAAGTAACAATGTATTTTCCTCACTTTTTGCTTTTATCAATTTGTTATTATATGCCTATCTTTTTCTTTCCTTTAACTAAGATGTTAACTTACCTTATTACGTTGTAAGTCAAAACCATCCCACTAGAAAAACAGGATGCATTGGGCATGAGTAATTTCATTCTATTTTCTTCACTGTATAATGCACCTTTTTTTCCCTGTACAGTTTCTCTACCTTAAAAGCAGGTACAAATATACAGCTAGAGAACCAAGAAGCACCACTTTTCCATTCCCTGGAGCTGAAAATGGCCCATTTTCTCACTTTCAGTACTGCTTACCTCAACTTCCAGAAAGTCAACATTTATTAAAAACCAACAATCCTCCAGCAAAGCATACATATGCCCCTAATACTATGGTTTACACTTCGCCCTTAAAACAAATACAGTTAGAAAAACCTAATAATATATCAGATGCTATGTGATACATTTTGGCATAAGGGACAACAGAAAAAGAAAACATTCTTCATATTTGGCATAGTTATAAAATTGCAATGAATTTTAAAGGATCAAAACTCAGTTTAGAACAGTCATTATGATTCTATCATGTCTTATTAAAATCAAAATCTACTATAAAGCATATTTAATGTCTTTAATATTTATAAAAAATTTTTAAAAGAAAAAGAAAAATTTATTACATATTATTTGTGAAGAAGCACCAAAAACTTTTCTGAAAGCCTCTTTCTTAGTAACTAAGTTGATGAAGATGTAATAGAAAGGCAGAAAAGTTAATTACTACCAAGTATCTTAATATTCAAAGCAATACAAAGGGTCAAATGTCTAATATTCTTTAGGGATGTTTGTATTCTAAATGTGATGAACCCTAAATTACTATGACTTGTGAAGATGTGTATCTGTCTAGTTGTTTTTAATTACTAATTGTTTTAGTTGTATGTAGCTAATTCTTAAGTATTCAAGGTCCACTCATAAGTTAATGCTTATCAAGGCTCTTTGACACTCATTTTTCTCACAACTTTGGACATTCCACTATGAGCTCCCCACAGTAGTGGGAAAGAGATTTAAAAAAAATAGTACAGGCAATCTTCAACCAGTGAATGAGTTATATTCTAAACATTCTCCTTATCATCAGTTTTATGGAAATTAAAAATGATTTTATTGAAAATTGCGTTATGAATGGTGGCTAGATTATCCAGATAGTTCAAAAATGCCTATTAAATTCTTAAGGCCATTGCACTACTTAAACTACATGGAACCTCAGAATAGGTGACCACATAGCAAAAACTTTCTCTTTTCAAGTGAGCCATCCATAGGCAAAATTTTAAATAAGCAAAGATAATCTTTAGCACTCTCCCCTATCATTTTTTGAACCCACATCTCTTCATATCTCTACATGTCTTAAACCCTCTTTGGGAAGTCAAGTGCAGCTGGGGTGAAGAAAGCAATTGCAAACAGCATTGAGAAGGTGACTCTCTTTAGCCCAGTATCTAAATAAATGGATACTCATTTGCTGAAGAATTTTGAACTAAATCTGTTGATATTTATTCTTCCAAAATACATTTTCAATTCATCAGAACATGAATTACACCTGTTGACACCTCCTTCATCAAAATTTTCTGGAAACAAAGCCTTTGTGAAAAAATGTTCATAAGGAGGAAGTATACCACAGTAGTTAAGAAGATAAATTTTGGAGTCAAACAGACCCAGAATCAAATACTGGCTATCCCACTTATAAGATAGAAGATCTTAGGCAAATTATTTAAACTATTCTGAACCTCAGTTAATTCATGTATAAAATGGGAACAATTTCATCAACGGTACTAGTTATTTTTGGGTGATCATTATCATTATCAACTGTAAAATATGTTTTGCACCTATTTACAGTTGTACAACAAAAATGAAAAGAAACAGATGCTTCCTCAACTATTCTTAGTTTAAAAATCTTTATAAATTTGGTGAAAACAGGTATCTGTTTCTGCTTGGGAATACTTATGACTAGTGACACAATTTCCATTTCTATTATAGAAATTTCACATATCAGAAAAGGGATGTAATGACAAATTTGTAGGTGGACCAAAAATTTTCAAACTTAAAAGTTGATGATAATTATTAAAATGTTGATTGTCATTCTCAAACAGCTTTACCCTTGCATTTATTCCTTGATAAGTGACATTTTTGGAAGTGGCTGTAATAAGTTATAATATGAAAGCTGAGGTTAATTTATATTAATTTAAAAACATATCTGATATTAAGAGATTAGCCCATGACCTTCAAAAAGTTTAGTTTTCATTACTTGCCTTATCACTTGAATAAAAATAAATGAAAAATGTATTATTTTTCACTAGACATCAGTTTTAAAGTTGCTATGGTTAGGGAAAGCGCTACAAGATTTTAAAGCAATATAAGTCAGTCCTGAGGCAGACAGAGTGCTAGGGATTCAGCATCCTTTTGATGAGTTTCCAGATATTGATAATTCAATAGGCACATTTTTTAAAACAAGGTGGCAGAGATTTCTACTTGATAGACATTTCAGTCAACCTTTAGTAAAGTTTAGCTGTAATGGGGTAGGTATTACTGTAATGGAAAAACACTAAAATGCCAAAATTGCAACAGTGGAACAACATGAAGAGTAATGATAAACAAAAACAGAAGAATTGAAAAATTACCACAATCCATGTCATATAATGTAAAGAGCTAGAATTACAGAGCCCGGGACAACATTTCAGGATGCAGAAAAGTGAGAAGAGATTCTCAACTATATATATTTTGAAATATCCCAATTACAAGAGTAAGAGGCTAATTATACAAATAAAATGTTTGTGTATGGGCAGAGACTGCAAATAATTCAAATTACCTGTATTGGTCCTCAACCTGAGGTGGTACTGTGTTCCACAGGCGGGGAGGAGTTCAGAAAAGGTGAGGGCATTTTTTTTTTTTTAGCATCACAATGACTAAGCAGTGCTATTGGCAACCAGTATTTGGAAGGAGAAGGGATGCCAAACATCCTGCGATGCACAGATCAGTCCTGCACAATGAAAGAACTGTCCCATCCAAATACCTAGAATACTCCCAAAGAGCAACAACGGACACACCAGGATACTGTATGAACTGGTTACACTGGAAAAAAATACCTCTAGGACTAAAAAGGAGTAACAAAGAACAGATGAAACAAGACTTTGCAAGATAATCTTCTATGTTTTAAGCAAGAGTCTTGCAGGAGACCCCAGTACTTCTCTCCAAGAAACTAAATCTGTAATGGATACATAGCTCTAATCTTTTGTGCAGCTTATCTTAAAAAAAGAGAATAGTAAGGTGATACTGTACCACCATCATGTACAGTGTGCAGAGGGGCATTAAAAATAGAAATCTTGCAACGTATTAATCTTATCAAAATATTAAAGGATTTGTAGGAGGTCTTGTATCTGAAATAGGGGGAACCAGAGAAAGCCTAGAAGATGGTTAAGAACACAGTGGGGAAAACAATAGATATTTCTCCACCAAGACAAGGTATTCACTGATATATAACATTTGAGTAAGTTAAAGTTTTTTAAAGCATACATGGGTTTATGGCTTTGTTTACACGGAGCCTCTGCCTTAGTGGAGGGACCTAAATTCATGAAGATAAAATTGACTCATAATGGTGACTCCCAGAATTGAATCTCTCACACATCTTTCTCTTTTTTTTTTGAGACAGAGTCTCGCTCTGTCGCCCAGGCTGGAGAGCAGTGGCACGATCTCGGCTCACTGAAAGCTCCACCTCCCGGGTTCACACCATTCTCCTGCCTCAGCCTCCCAAGTAGCTGGGACTACAGGCGCCCACCACCACGCCCGGCTAATTTTTTTTGTGTTTTTAGTAGAGACGGGGTTTCACCATGTTAGCCAGGATGGTCTCGATCTCCTGACCTCGTGATTCGCCCACCTCAGCCTCCCAAAGTGCTGGGATTACAGGCGTGAGCCACCGTGCCTGGCCGAATTTCTCACACATCTTAAACCCCAGCAGGCAAGCATCTACCAAAAGGTTTCTAAACAAGCTGTTTAAATGTGTCTCTGTGTGTGTGTGTGTGTGTGTGTGTGTGTGTGTGCGCGTGTGTGTGTGTGTGTATGCTTGCTTAATATAAGAAGCTGAGATACTAAAGATAAACTTAGTGTCACAACAGAAATAATAGTCATCAGGACCAAGAACAGAGAGACTCCTGGGATGTTTAAGTTCAGTACTTAGTTTACTGAGTTCACACCATGCTGCTGATGCCTTTCATAGCATAGTACAGTCGAGTAATCATATTAACAGTCGAGTCATCATACTTACCATCACACATTTTTGTTAAATAATTGTTTCATAATTATAACTATGTAACTATTGAGACATAAAATATTGATAATATATCTTTTCTTGTATTAACGTAACTTTTACTACTGAAACTACTAGTTGCTTCATTACCCTGTTCACTTAATTTTCTGTTGCTCTAACTAAATCTACTCAACTTTAAAACTTCTTTTAGCATGGTCAGACACATTAGATAATTTGCCACCATTCCACTGACTGCAGACACCCATCTTGGAGTCCTTCATTGTCTTGCTCCAATTTGTACTCTTTACTCTTTAAACTTCTACACAATTGTCACCTCAGGATGCACTTCACCATAAACTTGAGAATTTCACTAGCATCTCACCATGATGGCACAATCTCTTATGCCTTGGATAATTTCCCCTCAGGATTTTTGGTTTGCTCTTTCATTTAATGAATCATATCTCAAGTAGCTTCTTGACAAAGGATGAATAAGAAAAATTATCTATTGAGACTTGGAATGTCTTTCCTATTTTATGATACTTAAACCATAATTTGGAAATGAACAGAACCTTAAGTTGGAAATGATTTTCTCACATAATTTTGAAGACATCACTCCATTGCTTTCTGGTTTGACTGGTATCTTCGGGGAGGAATTCCTCAATCTTCTGCTAATAAAATATAAGCCTAAATTCCAGTGTTCTGAAAGCTAAACAGGAGGAAGACACTTTGGAGGAAGACAAGAGGGTGTTTCTCTTTGCACCCAATCTCTGAGGTGCCTGGTACCTACCTTCCCAGAGTTCTGCAGTATAAACTGGCTGGTTCTTATAGGGCTCCTGTGTGATGGAAGTTAGGGCTCAGCTTTTCCACTCTGCTAAATTGGTTATCATTTATCCAACTACTTTCCTCCTTCCAAATTGTGTTACCACTCTCATCTGTCATTCTCTTTTCCATTTTCTTTGTCTTTTGGGGTTTATCTATTTTTATGTCTTTGTTTTCATTTTAGTAGTGTTCTTCAGGAGGGTAAAGCATAAAAATATGTCTTCAACCTGTCATGCTTAACTAATTTATAAACATACTTGCAAATGTTGGTACCAATTACCACAGTGTCCTCAATTTATGCCAATTTATACTCTCCTCCAGTAGTATCACTGCCTCAGGCATCACTGAGTATTACTACTTTTCATATATTTGCTTGAAGTTAAAAAAAAATGAAACTTTCTGATAAAAATAAACAATTCTAACATCATTAATGAACATCAACATGTTTTTTATCAGTTTATTATGCTCTGCTATTTCAACTTTTGAGGCATGTCTGTGTGAGTCTATGTAAGTTCATTAGGCTGTTCAGTTTTTTGTCATTCTGTAAGAGCTCTTTATATATGAAGGTGTTAATTCCATGAGGAAAATATTTTTCCACTTTGATATCTGCCTTTTCTTTTCTTTCTTTCTTTTTGAGACAGGATCTCACTCTGTTGCCCAGGCTGGAGTACAGTGGCGTGATCGCAGCTCACTGTAACCTCAAAAACTCCTGGGCTCAGGGTATCCTCCTGCCTCATCCTCCTGAGTAGCTATGATTACAAGTGCCCATCACCATGCCTGGTTAATTTATGGTTTTTTTGTAGAGATGGGGTTTCACTCTGTTGCCCAGGCTGGTTTGCCTTTTCATTTCGATGTATAGAAATTTAACATTTTTACAAAGTCAAATATATCAATTTTCCTTTGTAGTTTTTGCCACAATTTTCATGCTTAGAAAGTTCTCATCCAAAAATTTTGCCAACATACTTTTCTAATTGTTTTGCCATTTCGCATTTTTTGCATTAAGCTTTAATCCTATTGGAATGTACTTTTCCATGTATTATGATGCAAGAACATAGTATCCCCCTCCAGTAGTTAATCAACTCTCTCAGCATAATTTATTGAATGATCTTTTAATTTCCCATTGATCTGTGATGTCACCTTTATCATTTATATAAACCATATACGTATTAGGGTATCTAGGTTTGTGATGGTTAGTACTGAGTGTCCACTTGATTGGACTGAAGGATGCAAAGTATTGTTCCTGGGTGTGTCTGTGGGGGTGTTGCTAAAGGAGATTAACATTTGAGTCAGTGGACTGTGAGAGACAGAACCACCCTACACATCAAAAGTTATTACGCATATAAATATTTCTTATCATGAATTGGAATCCATAAAGTTTGAAATTCACTCCTCCATGTGTTCCACTGATCCTCTTGTCTATTCCTTTGTCCATATAATATTTATCTGATTACAGCTGCGTTAGGCTAATATTCTGATATCCGGTAAAACCAGTGCCTCTCTTACATACTTTCTTTGGTTATTCTTGGACATTTGGTCTTCTACATAAATCATGTGGTCATTTTTTCCTAACATTAAAAAAGAAAAACTTGTTTCTACTCTAATTAGAATTGCTAAATTGGGAGAATTTACACTTATACTTTCATCATGTTGTTTATTTGGTATGTCTTTCTGTTTCTGAAACATAGTACTTTCCATGATTCTTATTATACAGGTCTATGGTTTACTTGTTAAATCTAATTGTAATTATTTTATAGTTCTCTTCACTGCTGTGACAGAAAAATTTTCCCATTTTCATTTCTGTGTGTTTACTGCAAATGCAGAGAAGCTATCAATTTTATTTAAGAAGCCAATTTTATTTGGCTATCTCATCACATTCTCTTATTAATTTTATTGTTCATAACTTGAGTCTCCTGGGTTTCCTAGGTATACAGTCATATTTTCTAGGATGGCTAGAAAAATGGTAAATAATTTGACAGCATAAAATGGTAGTAGTGAGAATCCTATCTCCTGATTGTAAAAAGCAGTTTAAATATCACACACAATAAATGAATTACTGAAATGACTGATGCTCATTCCTCTCTCTTCTGTTTCTCAAGTTTCTCCTTCTGTTTCAGCCTCTGTCCCTGCTTTGAAAGCCTCCATCTCTCCTGCAGCTTCTAAGTTGTGCTACTAGTGAGAGTCCTTGGCTTCTGGTGCCTGGGTAGTAGGGAAAAGAGGTGGTCCTGGCTTTCAACATACCATTAAAAATACGTTATCTATCCATTTATCTATACGTTATCTATCCATTTAGAGATATGTATACATAGTACAAAGCAAGATGCTAAAAGAAATATCAAGAAACTGAGACTGTCCAGAAAGATGATAAAATAGGATATATAAGACATAAAAATAAGTAACTCTATTTTAAATAGAAATGACATGAGCTCCTAAACAGGTGTAGGTAAAGTATAAGATTATTTCTCATGAAAATAGTTACAGGGGGAGATTATACACTACAATAATGCTATAATTTAGATATAGATCAAAAAGCTTTTGTGAAACTAGCTAACCTAATTATCACATGTATTACTGTTCTCTTAGGAAAAAAGTTGCATGCATTCATTTATTTATCAAGACAGGGTCTCACTCTGTCACCCAGACTGGAGTGCAGTGCCACAATCTCAGCTCACTGTAGCCTCAATCTGGATCCCAGGCCCAGGAGATAGTCCCACCTCAGCCTCCCGAGTAGGTGGGACTACAGGCACGCACCACTAAGCCCAGCTAATTTTCTGTATTACTTGTAGACATAGGGTTTTGTTATGTTGCCCGGGCTGGTCCTGAACTCCTGGGCTCAAGTGATCCATCCACCTCAGCCTCCCAAAGGGCTGGGATTATAGGCATGGGATACCACGTGCCCGGCCAAAATTTGCTTTTAAATAACGGACTTATCAGTTAATTTCTGGCAACGTAACTCTTATGTTTCTAAAAGACCAGTTGGACCGGCTAATGGTAACAGTCCTTAAGTTGTAGTACTGTCAAAAAAGGGAAATAACAAAAGGAATAAATGAAGAGTCTGCTATTAACAATGACCTGTCCTGACTATTCTTTAACTGAGAACAGAATTCATTTTATTCAATAAAAATAAAATACATAAATTCCTATTGTGTAAAATTTCTTAAAGATAGGTATTTAGTAAAATCAAGTGCTACTGAATTTTAATATAATGTTTGTAATTCAGTGTTAAAATTAACAAAGTCTCTTGTACTGCCAAAAAAATCACAATCTAAAATTTTCACCAGGGTCAAAAATTTTTTATCTTGGAATTCACACAGTGTATAACAGTCAAATGCAGCTGTTACATAAACCAGGTAGTTTATTGGTTCATCCATGCTATAAAAATATTACTGACATTTCATCTGGTCAACCATCTTAAAGGTTAATTCTTGTTTCCTCTTTCAGATTTTATTCTAGGTGAACTGTTCTGGGCAGATTCTATTTACCAATTCTGAGCAAACCACAAACTGTTTCATCGCTCACTCTTACTGTTAAGAACATATTGACTTGCTGCCTGCTCTGCTGTTTAATTCATTTATGCTGAGAGTCAGGCATGAAGACAGAATTTTAAATGTGACATTCGCAGACTGTTAGGTCATTTAAGCTCTGACAACACTAGGGAATTCCTGACATATAAACTGGACCTGATTACCAAGCACAGACGAGCTTCCCAAAGGTGTAAATTTCTGATCATTTTTTGTAATTTCTCACAGAATTGCAATATTAAATTTTAATGTCAATGAAAAATATATATAGCCAACATTTTAAAGTAAAAGCCTCTGTTTCTTTTAATAAAGTTCTAACTGGCACTTCTAATCAATACATATCAGCTAAATAAAAATTATTTTGATGGAAAAAGGCATATGGAAAAACTCACAATAACAATCAACATTCATAACAATTCTGAGAAACTCTGCCATTTAAGGGCTTTAAATATTTACTATAATATGTAAGTTTCTGAAATCTCTGCTAGGTCTAAAGGCTATAACTCTAGTCAACAGAACATTTAAAATTATTAGATTCTGGCACAGCAGGGCAGAGGTTATATGCTGTCAAATTATAGTACAAAGTCTAAGCTTACATGCTTACAACACTGCCTTCTCAATGATTACAGTTATGTAGAACGGATGATAAAATCATTATAATTGGAAATGAACAAATTGCCCACATGACATGCAGAATTATACTTTGCAAGGGTTGATGATTGGGCAGGGTAAAGGATGCAGGGCAAGATTGTTTTCTCTTTTTAGTGACTCCAAAAAATTACTCTCAATGATATTTTTGCAGCTCTTTTTCCTTGTCACTAAGTACTATACACAATGGGTCAAAATGAAAGTTTTCTGAAATTAAATTTTATAATTAAATAATGCACAAAAGATAATCCTTATTTTATCCCATATTTTATGTAAGTAAGAATTCTAGTGTTAAACAGCAAGTAGCCTTTTAATATTGTGCTTTGAATGGGACTTTCAACTGTAATAGGGGTAGTCTAAATAGGGATAGACAGCCCAGAATGCCTTTCAGCTATAGCACATTGATTCTGAAAAACCTAACAAAAGCAATTACTTCTCAGCGATTAAAAATCTTGTTTCTTTCAAAAGAATAAAATGAAATGCAAACCTGGTGTATTATCTGAGCTACAGGAAGTTGTTCAGCATATTTCAGAGGTTCCATTAGTTTCTCATCCATCTGGTCTTCCTTATAGCTGGAAAAGATAATTTAAAAACACAGAGCTAAGGCAAATACTATTTTGAAATATAGCAAATATTTAAATATGTCAAATATGAAATATAGTAAAATGCATAGATTTTTTTTGAAATAATCAGTATTTATCAATAATCTTTGAAACACTACCATTGAAAAATTTTAAATGACTATAGAAGTATTCAGACTACATTAAGTAACTATGCAATAAAATGAGCTAGCATCACTTAATGTTCTCAGATCCTGTCTTTCTCTGAGACAAAAATGTTTCAGAATTCTCTGTCCAAAAGAGGGTGTTTCTTTCATAGCACTTAAAGGTCTTCAAAACCTGGCTCCAACCAAACTCAAGCCTCATCTCCAGCAACCCTTTCTCTATTTAACAGTCTACTGTTTTAGTTATATTTAACTACTGGCCAAACCCCATTGGGACTTGCACCTCCAGGAGTCTCTCAGTTTCCCCGTGCTGTTATATCTGTTTGGACCAACCAACAATTCTCTTCTTTATTTATTCTTCTTTTTAATATATTAATTTGTTTATCGCCATCTAGGTATATTATTTTCACTTCCTTGAAGATGAAACCCATGTCTTCTTCTTTGTATATCTAATATTTATCAAAAAGACTCAAATGTTTATTGACTGAATAATAAATATATGAATAAAATGAAATAAAAATAATTCTGAGAGGTTATTTTATATAGACAATATTTCTAATATCTACATGTACAATGAGATACAAAGCTGATATAATCCATATCTAGGACAATATGAAACAGTAAATTTAAAAACTTTTCAAATGAAGAAAATGTAGTATAATGATTTTTAAAATTACTGACCCTTTCAGAAATAGCAAGTAAACATTTGATTTCAAGACAATAAAACCTAAAAACATTTAAACTTCCTTTTGCCTTTTCTGTGAATTACACATCAGCTTATCAACTTAAAAATTACTAAACTTTAATTATCTTGAAAAATAAATGAAACAAGATTGGCTAAGTCTCTAGGGCTTCAGTTAAGGAATCTAATGAGAACTCTAGAATCTCTCCCATGAAAAAGGCAGATATACAAAAAAAGACAAAATTTTCATATGATTTAAGAGCTTCAAGAACCTCTTATCTAGGTAAAAGTTTGTGGATATCTTGCAGAATTTGCATAAAAATAACTAGCTTAATTTGAGAGAACTCTGAAGATTCTCACTAATGATGGAAAAAAAAAACTGCCTCAAAACATGTTTCACAGAGACAGAAAGCAGAATGGTGGCTGCCAGGAGCTGGGAGGAGGGGACACTGGGGAGTAATTGTTTAACAGATAGAGGTTCCGTTCGCAAGATGAAAAAAGTTCTGGAGATGGATGGGGGGATGATAGTTACACAATAATATAAATGTATTTAATGCCACTAAAGTGTATACTGAAAAATGATTAAAATGATACGTTTTATGTTATGTATTTGTTATGGGCTGAATTGTGCCCTTCAACAAACTCCAAAATTCACATTTTGAAGCCTAACCACCAGTACCTTAGAACGTGACTGTATTTGTAGACAGGGTCTTTAAAGTAGTAATTAGCTTACATGAGGTCATTAGGGTTGATCCTACTCAAATATGACTGGTATCTTTATAAGAGGAGGAGCGCAGGACACCGAGACAGTAAAGATCACATGAAGACACTAGAGGAAAATGGCCATCTACACGTCAAGGAGAGAGACCTTAGGAGAAATCAATCCTGCTGACATCATCTAGCCTCCAGACTGTGAGGAAATACATTTATGTTGTTTAAGCCATCCAGTCTCTGGTATTTTGTTATGGCAACCCTAGCAAACTAATATCTATTAGCATTAGATATTTTTACCTCAATTAAAAAATAAACTAAAGTAAATACTCATTGACCAAAAAAAAACACAACTTGCTTTAAAGCATTTCACAGTGTATCTTTTAAAAGTTTATTTACATTATGTATAAAAAACACATACAGGCCAGGCACAGTGGCTCACGCCTGTAATCCCAGCACTTTGGGAGGCCGAGGCGGGTGCATCTCTTGAAGTCAGGAATTCGAGACCAGCCTGGCCAACACAGTGAAACCTCGTCTCTACTAAAAATACAAAAATTAGCCAGGCATGGTGGTGCGCACCTGTAGTCCCAGCTGCTTGGGAGGCTGAGGCAGGAGAACTGCTTGAACCCGGGAGATGGAGGTTGCAGTGAGCCAAGACTGCGCCACTGCACTCCAGCCTGGGAGACAGAGCAAGAGTCTCAAAACAAACAAACAACAAAAAAAAAAACACACACACGCAGCAACAAAAGAAAAAGCAGACAAACTGTATAGACATCATCAAATTTCAAGACTCCTTTGTTTCAAAGGACACAATCAGAATGAAAAAACAGTCTACAGAATGGGAGAAACTTTTTGCAAATCATATAACCAAAAAGGGACTTGTATTAAGAATGCATAAATACAACTCAAGAATAAAAAAGCGAACAACTCAATATTTTTCCTTCCTTATCAAGGACATTCTTAAGTGCAAATGATGTATTTTTGTTTGTTTCTTTTCTACTGTGGTCAATGGTGGGAAGAATACAGTGACCACTTGTGCAGTTTGATTCCAGTGCCTTGATTCCTGTTAAGGCACCAGCAGTTTTAATAAATATCTTCTGAAAAAATAAAAATTAAATCACTGACATTAATTCTAAGAGTATAAAAGAAATATGACAAAGTCACTCTTCATTGGCTCTTCCAAAAATCTAAAACAAGATGAAATACATTTTTTTCTCACAAAATGTCTCTTACTCAATATAAAAGATATTCTTTAGGTATACAAAAATATTTGAAATCTGGCAACTTGTTTTGAATAACTTTTTAAAATGCCATGTAGCTGTTATGAAAAATTCCAAACATGTTTCTGTATTTTTTATATTATTTTCACGGAAACATTTAAAAGTGAGCTGCAGATACCATGACAGTTCACATCTAAATATTTCAGCAAAATGTTTATCAACCAAGGATATGTCTGAAATGTTTCTTAATAACAGCAGCACTTTTTCCAAATGCAATTCACAAGTAATCTTGAGTATCACTGTGGATATATGAGTATTTTACTTATCCAGTGTTTCATAATCAATTAAAATGATTACTCATTTTTATAATTTCTTAAAAACACATGTCCATTGCTTTCTTGCTTTATTTTGATATCAAGAAGTGTGATGCTAAATTGGTTCTATGTTAATTATTTTCATTTTTAATTACTTTTAATTTTTAAATTACTAATTTATTGGCTTAGAAGCTCAGGCAGCTTTTATTTTCCCTTTTGTTTTAAGGTCTAATACTATATCTTAAAAGTTGATTGTTATAAATCAAGTTTCCCAGGTATACAGGAAACAGGAGTCCTTTCAATATGGAAATTCAGATCTCATTTTATTTCAAAAAAAGTTTTATTATAACTTTAAATACCATATCTGTTAATTTTCCACTTGTTTCCTAGTTCAAGGTGTTGAACTAAATATATGGAAAATTCTCTTTCTGATCCTTTTTATTTCTCTTATTGCAGATTATTTTCTTGGCTCTTTCCATTCTTTACGTCTTTTATTGAACTTTTGGAATATCTATCTTCCCTTGTCTACCTTGTGATTTACTTTTCATTTCTGAGATGATTTTTGTCTTTTTTCACCATTTACTTTCCCGAGTTCAGTCAGCTGCTGTTTCACATATCTTCCTGTTTGTCCATTTCAACTGTGAGTTTTTGAATGTCTGATTCATGGTGTCCTTTCATAATGCAATTGCTTGTTTAATATAGGTTATTCGTGTTCAGATGTTTCATTTCAGTTTTCCTGTTTTGTAATTTTTCTTTGATTTCTTCCCTTTTTATTTGTGCTTTCATTCTGTGTGTGTGTAATTTACTAAGAAGATTTGATTTTAATTTTGTTTTATACTTACTGTGACTTTGTAAAGGTGCTGGCTTCTTTTTCTGTTGAGGATTATTTGTATTGGCTTTTTTAGAATGAGCAGTAACAAGTTATCTTGCAATGGAGGGTGAACGGAGGTAAGCTGACTTACTAGGTTTCTCAGTTCAACAGCACCCTCTTCTGTGGCTTCACTGAAGTGTAGTTGCTTTAATAAGTGGCACTTTTTGTGGTGGGAGGGACAAGATTTGTCTTAAAAAAAAAATCATCTTGTTCCCATAGTGCCCTTATCTTCAGCTGCTTTCTTCTTTCCTTTCACCACCACGACTCCAAGGGACACCACAGCCCCACTCTGTCCTTTGCAAGGTGTCTTCCATTATCCCAGAATTCATGGTTTCCCAAGATTGTCACCTTAAGGTCATCCATACATTCTAAGCCCCATCTTGCAAATCATTATTAGTCAGGTCTCTGACAAACCATATATAATTCAGAATGAGAAAACTACAAATATTAATTTCAATTTACATGTGGCAGCCATCCTAAAGGAACCTGGAACTTTTCTCCTGTAAAATGGTAAAGTTCTCTTTTCTTAAAGTCATCCAAGTGTTCCTTTTACTTAACATTTTGAGTCATTTCAGAAGCCCCCCTAAAAGAATGTTCTTTTTCCATGATCTCTTTCCAAGGTCCTTCACTAAGAAAATCTACTTAAATAACTTAATAAGGGAATAATTTCTACATGGAAAAAGCTGTGCATTCCTTATTTTGCTTTACTATTTTTTTAAATAGAGATTTTGTAGAAGACAACACATGGTATTTGCTTACTTTATAATAGGATTTTGACTCCAATAGAGTCATACTACCATCTCAAATGAAAAGACAATTAAAATACTGTCCAAATCCTCTGCATAAATAAAATACTCCTGGCAAATTATGAAGCCTATGAAGTTAGTCTTTACAATCCCCCTGTGCTTTCTGTATCCTTTTTCTCTTTCATGTTTATCCAGTGCCTGAAAAATCTTTCTCTTCTGTGCTATCCAAGTACTCCTAAAATAACACTGTAAAATTATTTACTGTGTCCACACAGAAGGTTCTCTCTAACTCAGAAAGAGTAAAGTTTATATTCTATAGTGCCACACTGAGATCAGACAATTCACGTATAAAATAACATACAGCCAGGTATGATGGCATGTTCCTATAGTCCCAGCTACGTGGGAGATTGAGGAGGAAGGATCATTTGAGCCTAGGAATTAGATACCAGCCTGGGTTACATAGTGAGACCCCATCACAAATAAATAAACATAAAATTACATAGTTTATTTCAGGTAGAAGGCCAAAGCATCTTTCCAAACACTGGAAATAAAGCCAACAAAACGAACAAGAAAGCAGAGACACTGTGCTATGCTAGAAACAAACTAAAAATTAAGAATATCAATAAATAATTAAAGACACATCATCTAGAGTAATCCAAAATCATTAGGAAGAAATTCTCTACACATACCAAAAATAGGAAGGTAGCCCAATAGTTAGTATAACCTGTTTTGAAAATGACAGCTCAAAGAAGCACTTGAAACTAAAAGGAAATAATAGAGAAATCAAATTAATTTCTTCTTACAATCTTTGGAAAAAAGGATAGAAAAGTTCACACTCCTAAACTGCATTTTTAAATGTTCATATAGTTATATAATAGATAACACATATTGTACAAGATATAATTGATAAACCTGAAAATTTAAAGACACTCCGAGTGAAGAAAACTGAAGTTTATTGGTCAATGGAGACAAACACAAAATGCTATTACAAATTCAGAAAGGTCCCAAGAGTCACTAAAGATTATTTTTGTGAAAACAGATTATACAGCAATGAGAAAACAATTTAATACATTATTTCCCTCAAAATGAGATCCCCTCCAAACTCCCTGCATCACTATTTTTCTAATTATCAAACTAAAAACTTGTGAGAGAAGATATGAAAATAGAACTTCAGTTAAAAGCTACTTTAAAGAAGCACAAGAAAGATGGTAAGCCAGGGAAAAAAGACATAATATGAGGCAGAGAACAGCAAGTTAAGTCCAAAGAGAACTAAGGTTACACTAATTTATGGCCCAACTGTTGATACACATCTTATTTACTGTCAGTTTCCAATGTAGTATAAAAATGCACACACCAGTTAAATAAGAAGACCTGCCAAGCAACTCAGTAAAGCTGATATAATAAAATCCCAGAAAAATAAACTCTTTTTCTCATTTGAGAGACTTTAAAAGTAACTTCTTGTATGGTAAAAATTATAGGCAGGCTTTCCAGAAGTTCACACAACCAGCTAACCTGAATGCACAAGGAACTATCTGTGTAGAGTCAAAGGCAATTCTAAAATAGTAGTGTAGAGTTCTGGGGGATGTCAGAGAAAAAACTTGTCAAAATCATTGAGCACTTACTCTGAACTCTACTAAATCTATCAGGAGTTAATGTATATTGTTCCAGTCATTTTATTTTGCTTTTACACACATATTTATATACACATGAAATATATATAGAATATCTACAAATCATTTCATTAATAAATTATACAGTGTAATTCAGCCACTAGCTTTTTTCATTCAAATGTGAGCTCAAATGTGACCTGTCACCTGTTTCTGTATGTCCTGTTAGCTAAGAATGGCTTTTATGTTTTTGAATGGTTAGAAAAAATAAGTCTAAAGAAAAATAACATTTCATGACTAGTGAAAATTACACAAAATTTGAATTTCAGTGTTGCACTATAACAGCAGAGCTGCATATTTACAACTGAGACCATATGGCCTATGACCTACAAATGCTTTAAATATTTACTATCTAGCTCTTTCCCTAAGCAGCCTGAGGTAATCTGTGAAAATGGTTCGCTACTCACTTGACCCGGAGAACCCCACGAAATCATGCAAATCAAGAGGTTCCAATCTTCGTGTTCACTTTAAGAACACTCGTGAAACTGCTCAGGCCATCAAGGGTATGCATATACAAAAAGCCACGAAGTATCTGAAAGATGTCACTTTACAGAAACAGTGTGTACCATTCCGACGTTACAATGGTGGAGTTGGCAGGTGTGCGCAGGCCAAGCAGTGGGGCTGGACACAAGGTCGGTGGCCCAAAAAGAGTGCTGAATTTTTGCTGCACATGCTTAAAAACACAGAGAGTAATGCTGAACTTAAGGGTTTAGATGTAGATTCTCTGGTCATTGAGCATATCCAAGTGAACAAAGCACCTAAGATGCGCCGCCGGACCTACAGAGCTCATGGTCGGATTAACCCATACATGAGCTCTCCCTGCCACATTGAGATGATCCTTACGGAAAAGGAACAGATTGTTCCTAAACCAGAAGAGGAGGTTGCCCAGAAGAAAAAGATATCCCAGAAGAAACTGAAGAAACAAAAACTTATGGCACGGGAGTAAATTCAGCATTAAAATAAATGTAATTAAAAGGAAAAATAAAAAATAAAAATAAATAAATAAATAAATAAATATTTACTATCTGGCCCTTTACAGAAAAAGTTGCCCAACCTATACATTAGAATAATTATTTAGAAGTGGACTTGCTGGGTCATAAGTTATGTACATTTTAAATTTTGCTAGAAACAAGTAAATTGCTATCCAAAATGACTGTATCAATTTATACTGCCACCAGAAATGCATTAAGTTCCTATTTCCTTTCATCATCACCACTTAAATTTTTATAAGAAATAGTATCTCATTGTTTTAATGTCCATTTCCCTTCTAAAATCACCTTTAGGTGATCACTAACATGAGTCTTTTCCTCTTCTTAAACTGTATTTCTTTTTTCTTCTATTTGGTTTGTCTTTTAAAAAATTAATATGTGGCGTTATTTCGATAATCTAGACAGAAATTCTTTGAAATAGATGTTACAAATAACGTCACCACACTTTTTCTTCTCTTTTAACTTTGTTTGCATTGTCTTTTTTTTTTTTTTTTGCTATATATGATATTCTATTTCGTTAATCTTTGACAATCTTTTTCTATTAGCTGTGATTTGGGTAGTGTGACACCTTTCCCTACTCCTAAGCAAAAAAAAAAAAAAAAAAAAAAAAAAAAAGACATTCTGCAATAATTCTGATGTTTTCTTTTTGCATTTTTATCTTTAATCCATTTGTATTTTGTTTTTACGTACAGTGTAAAGGGGAAATCTAATTTTGTTTCTCCATGGCAAACCAATTGCTTCAACGTAGAATTTTTTGACTTACCTATCCTTTCCTCCAAGTAAAACCATATCTATCACACATATATCGTTATGCATGAGTCTGTGGGGGCTTTATAATATGTTGTATATTTATTTACCTAATCTGAACCAATATCACATTATCTGAATCATCACAACTTTAAAATAGAAAATGCTGGTGTCAGACAGACTAAATGCCTCTCCCACCACTACTGTTCATACTCCTTAGTCATCCAAATGGCTTTGGCTTTTTCTTCCTTTACTAGTCCACATGAATTTGATAGCCAGCTTATTACGTTCCATGAAGAATCCTAGAAAGGCAGAATGTAGTAATAGTTAAGAGAGCATACCTGGAGTCAGACAGCTAGCACTTCCACTTATGAGTTGTGTGACCAGATACAAACCTCTCCACATCTGTAGTCACATATAAAATGACTACATACTCCACAGCTGCTTTGAGGATTAAACAAGTTAATAAATTCAAAGTGCTTAGAATAGTGTTGGGTATTTATTAAATACTGGAAGTTTAAGAGAAATTGAATTGTATTTATTTACAGATAATTTAGATAAAATTATATGATAATTTATTCTTCTCATCCCTAAACATGTTCCACCTCTCCATTTATAGGTGTTCCTTTATGATCTATAATTAATTTTATTTTGTCTCCATAAAGAAGATGTACATCTTTTAAGATGTATAATCGGGTGGCTTATAGCTTTTGTTGCTTATTTTGTATTAATACATCTATAGACACATGCATATATCTATTATATATAAATAATATAGGAATATATACTATTGATTTCCATGTAATGATCTTTTATCTGGCAATCTTACTAAACTCTCTTATTAAATTTAATATTGGTAGATTCACTTAGATTTTTCCATTACATAGCATCTGTGAAAAAAAGGAAGGGAGAGTTCCTGATCCTCACACCTCCTATTTCTTTTCCTTACTCCATTAGTTGAGACTTTTTGTGCAGTAACAAATAGATGGGATTATAGCATGTATTCTTATCTTGTCCCCGATTTTCATCGAAATGCTTCTATAATTTCACACTATATAAAGTTTGCTGCTAGCTTTAGACACATTCCCTTTATTATCTCCCATTTATCTGCAGTGTCTAAGCCACATTGCCTTTTTAAAAAACATTATCATTTATGATTAATGATTTTATTCAAATGTTTTTTCTGTATCTACTGAAATAATTACAAAATATTTCTCATTTAATGTATTGATATGATGAAATACACTAGTATATTTTCTAATCCTGAATCATTCCTGTAATTTTAAGATAATTTCTATTTGGTCATGAAATGTTTTTATACATTACTGAATTTGAATTTTATTTAAGATTTGTACATCTGTGATCACAAGTGAGGCTGACTCTCTATTTTCTTCATTCTCTCTGTCTTGTTTTGGTTTCAGAATTATATTCGTTCCACCAAATGAGGTAGGAAGCTTTTTTATTCTGTTCATATTATGTCAGCACCTCAAGTGGTTAATAAATGTCAAATGTAAAAACCATCTAAGTCTGCTGTCTTGTTTGCAGTTTGTTGGGAAAGGGTACATGTTTTATACAATTAAAAAAGGAGTATCCTTCAGTTGAAGGCTTAATTTATTTCTTTTACTTACTTTCTTTCTAAATCTAAATATTACGTTAGCCACCTCCAAAGTGATTTTTATATCCTTATACTGAAAATGTCTCATGTAAATAGCACATTTTTAGGTTATGTTTTTAATTTAGTATGACTTTTTTCTTTGAAATAGGGTACTTGGTCCAATTACATTTAATGTAATAAGTGATATAGCTGGATTTACAACTACTACCTATTTTCTATCTCCCATCTGTTTGAATTTCCTTTTTCTTCTTTTGAATCAGCCAAATATTTTATTACATCTTTTTTTCTGCTATCAACTTGATAGGTGTATTTTTACCATTATCGTAACAATTACCTTGGACATTAGAACACCCAACTTGGACCTGGTAGTCTAATCAAACTGTTCAACATTACCATTTCTTCAATAATAGTAGTACCTTACAACACTTTGACTCCATTTGTCCTCCTGCCTTTGACCTTATTATTGTCATACATTTTAATTCTATGAATACTTTAAACTCAACAAGATGGTGGGGTTTTTTGTCTGATTAATAGTCAATTATTTTAATTGATATATTTACTGATTCTGGCTCTCTTCATTCTTTACTGAATTTTGTTGTTTCTCTTTATAATCATTTTATTTCTGGCTGAAGAATTTCATTTAGTTTTATTTTATTTCAAGTGCATTGGCAACAAATTCTCTGTCTGAAAAACATTTTGATTTCATCTTCACTTATGTAAGATATTTTTGCTGTGTAGAGAATGATAGGTTAAAAGTTTTCTTCCTTTCACCACTTTAAACATGTCATTCTATTGTTTTATGGTTCTGATTGTAATAATATGTCAGTATTAAAGATAATGTCAGGCTTTCCTTCTCTGTCAGGCTTTTAAGTTTGTTCTCTATGTTTTTTCAGCATTTTGACTATGATGTGGCAAATTGTGGTTTTCTTTGCATTCATTTTGCTTACAATGAATTAACTGAATATGTGGTCCGATATATTTCATTAGTTTAGGAAAATGTTTATTATCACTTTAAATATTGTCTGTTCTTCCTTATTTTCAATCTGTCATCTAGTTTGGGATGTTATTTACACACATGTTGGACCATTTTTCTGTGTCTAACATATCTCGTACTGTTTGTTTTTTCTGTGCTTCAGTTTCAATATTTTCTATTGTACTGTCTTCAAGTTCACTAATTCTATCATCTTCTGTATCCAATTTGCTGTTAAGCCATCGATTGAGTTCTTAACTTCAGATACCATATTTTTCAATATTAGAATGTTCATTATTTTAGTTATAAGCTCTGGTGAAACTCCCCACCTTTTCATCTATTTTCAAGAATATTTTTCCTATTTTCTTGAACATCTTAAACATAGTTATTTTAAAGTTTTTGTCTACTACCTCCAAGTTCTGGATCACTTCTGAGTTTGCTTCTATATTCTGTGTTTTGTTTTTCTCTTGGTATATGATTACGGTGTACTAGTAATTTTTAATTGATGGATGTAGGAAACTGCATACTTAAGAAAGGTTATATACAGTGTTATTTTCCACTTAAGAAGGTCCATGTGTTCCTCTGCTGGGCAGTTAAGAGTGATACTCTGATCACTTTTACTCATTCAGGGACTGAGCTGAATTTAGACCACCTGAAAATTTTGATAAAACTAATTCATTACACCTTAATGTGGCCCTATTCTAATGGTGAGGCCCTTCAAGGTTTTCAGTTGAAAGCCTGGCAGGTCTTTGTCTCAACACAGAGAGAGTAAGACTATAGAGATTTCTAATATAATTTTCAAAGGTTTCTGACTTACATTTTTGGACTATTGTCCTGCACAGCTTAAGAATTTGGCATGCCAGCCTCACTGAACTGCCAAAAGCTGTACTGATCACTCTGTCCCCGTTAGTAACCCTTTATCAGAGGCCAAGCCCAAATTCTCACCTATAGCGCAGAGGTATGTGACTTTTCTATGCAACTAATCACCTCAATCATTATAGTATGAAAGCAGCCATGATGATATGTAAATCAGTGAATAAGGCTGTTTTCCAATAAAACTTTATTTTAAAAAATAGGCAACAAGAAGATTTGGCCCATGGGCCATAGTCTGCTGACTTCTGCTTTTGCTGCACCCGGAAAAAGCAAGTGTACCCAAGAGAAAAAAGTGGCTAGAAACTGTCAGCATTAGTTCACCACAATCTCCAGAGCTGTCACCTCTTACCTGGTACATTCTTAAGGGGCTCTCATCCTGAAGATGTTTATCTCCTCAGTAATACAAGACTAGTAAATTCATAGCTCTGGTTATCAGATGTTTTTTGCTTAGTAATTTAGTTTCCCTTTAGTTTTAGAATTTGGCAAGTATTTTGAAAGGAAAATTGGTAATATGATTGAGGCAAATATCTTGAAAAGGAAAGTTATTTTGAGTGAATGACAATTATGTCACTCTAGCCTAACACAGTCACCAAAAATGTTGCTGGTGAAATTTCTCTATACTCTAGCAGTGGCCCACTGCCAAGCCCAGATTCTCAACCTTTGGTCTACTCCCAGAATTGGCGAATGATTACAGAGAAAAATTGGCTACAGATTCTCAGCTCATCTCTGAGAAGTTTCCCCAAATCTAGATTTTTAGATTCTCAGTCCTCATTGCTTCTACATCTGATATTTTTAAAAATACGATTTAATCTGCCTTTCCTAATTGTTCTTGGTGAGCTCATAAGCCTACTGCAAATTATTCCATCCTGTTCAGAAGTAGAAATTGTACACTACTACTTTTGATATTTTCATTATCACTTAGTCCCAAGTATTTTTTTAATTTTCATAGGTTTTTAAATATTATTCTAAGAATTATTCAAAGAGTGTTTTCAAATTCCCAAATATATGTTTTAAACAATTCTTTTTTACTCATGATTATAACTATTACACTGTGATCCGAAAAAAAATGCTCCTCAAGATTCCAACACCTTATGTTATTAAGACTTACTCTTTTGGCCTAGTATTGGTTAATATTTGTAAACATTACAGTTGGTCTTAAAGAGAATGCTTATTCCCTAATTGTTCAATTTCTTGGCTCAAGTTTATTGATTATGTTGCTTACATTTTTAATTTTAAAACTTTTGGATGGCTCTTTTATTGGTTTCTGATAATGTAATACTGAAATATTCCATTATAATGATAAACTTATCAACCTGTTTTTTAAATATGTAAATTTTTGTTTTAAATATTTTGTGGTTATATTACTAATTAAGAGTTTAACATGCTTTTCTCTTCCTGATGAGATAAACCTTTACTTAGTTATCTTGCTTATGATTAATAATGTTATATGTTATATACTCTATGTACTATGTACTATGTGTATACACATATATGTATATGTACTATGTATATATTTTACACTATAAGTATTTAAGCTTTCTTTTGGTGAGCAGTAGTTGCCTGTAATCCTTTCATTTTCAACTATTTAATATCATTATATTTTCTGTCTGTAGTTATGCCTCTTTTTATCCTAATGCAGTATTGTTATAAACTATTATTATTCACTTATTTAAAATGTGATTAAAAAATTATCATTATTTCTCTTCACTCCTTTTACTGCCTTCTCATTGATTTTTTAATTTCACTTTTTCTCCTGCAATGTTTCTGATCTTATTTCCTCTATTTCTATTCATTTATTAATCACTCTAAAAATGTAAACTGCATACTTTCCTCACTGTCTAAAGCTATTAAAATTTACAACCCTTTTCCCAAAGGAAAAAAAAAAAAAGCTGAAACTCCAGAATACTTTAACCAATCACTTCCTCTTCTCTTACACAATGTTGTTATTAAATACATTAATACTTTGGTTTATCTTACTCCCCAAATAATTATTGTCATTGTCATTATCATCATAATTATAAAATATATTCAGTTTTTGCTTAAATTTACTCACATTTTACCAATTTATTACAGCGTTCCTATTTACACTCAGACCTCTTTTCTGGTTCATTTCCCTTTTTCAAAAAGTGCATCCCTTTAGGTATTAAGGTATTTTGATACCAAACACTCTCAGCTTTTGCATGTTTGAAAATGTCCTTATTTTTCATTCAGTCCTTAATGGTAGCTTAGCCAGCTTAAATTCTAAGCTAATAGTAATTTTCTCTCAGTACTTTATTGGTATTACTGTACTATCTTTTGGTTTCCGCTGTTGCTATTAAGATGTTTGCTGTCGGCCGGGCGCGGTGGCTCACGCCTGTAATCCCAGCACTTTGGGAGGCCGAGGCGGGCGGATCACGAGGTCAGGAGATCGAGACCATCCCGGCTAAAACGGTGAAACCCCGTCTCTACTAAAAATACAAAAAATTAGCCGGGCGTAGTGGCGGGCGCCTGTAGTCCCAGCTACTTGGGAGGCTGAGGCAGGAGAACGGCGTGAACCCGGGAGGCGGAGCTTGCAGTGAGCCGAGATCCCGCCACTGCACTCCAGCCTGGGCGACTGGGCGACAGAGCGAGACTCCGTCTCAAAAAAAAAAAAAAAAAAAAAAAAGATGTTTGCTGTCAACTTAGTTGTTACCCATTGTAGATGCCATTTTTCTCTTTGACTGATTTTTAAATCTCTTATGTACTTAGGGAGTTCTAAAATGTTCACATGAAGTATATACTCCCTGTATTGTGCTTTGGATTTGTTGAACTACCTTCAAAATGCAAAAGTATAAGCCATTATCTCTTATATTGCCTTTTGCTCATTCTATATTTTCTTCTCCCTGGAACTCTAATTAGACATAGCTAACAGTTTCCAATATTATCTTCATGTCTCATAACCTGTCCTAACACTTTCCATCTCTCTGTCTATATTTCATACTGAGTTATTTCTTTAGATCTATCTTATTTTACTAATTCTCCTTTCAGGTATGAGAAATCTTACAAAAATCATTAAAATCTTTTACTCTTTCCTGTATCTATTCATACCTTTTTGAGATACAACTTTGTAGCTCCTTCTAAGAAAAGATACAGTCTGCTTTTCCAGCCCTTGAATTTTACTTGGATTTGTGATTCCTTCTGCACAATAGGATGCAGCAAGAATAACAGGGCTCCAGTTTCAAATCTAGGCCACAAAACGTCTTGCATGCTTTTGGGACCCATGGATAACCTCCTGGAGGATAAAGGACCACATGGGAGCTGAATCAACATCAAAAGCCCCAGAAATGTGAGATAGTATAGCCAAAATCAGAAGTCACTCACTCAACCCAAAGATGACAAATTCTGAGAAAGCACAACATAAGCTAGAAGAACCATGAAGGTTGAGCCCATCCTACATTGTCAACCCTCAGAATCAAAAGCTAAATATGTGGTTGTTATTTAGACATTAAGTTTTGGAATGGTTTGTGATGCATCAATACCTCAATAATATGTCTATTATTTAATCTGTTTATTACATTTTTAATTTGAATAATTGTGGTTTACAAATATGAAAGTCTATTTGGCCTTTTCCAAATATGCCTCATCATTCTTTATCATGTAATCCTTGTGTAATCCTTCATTTCTTTCTTTTGTTTTTATTTTATCTTATTTTCCTCTTTTATTTGTATTTTATTTTATTTTGAGACAGAGTCTTACTCTTGTCACCCAGGCTGGAGTGCAATGGCACAATCTTGGTTTGGCTCACTGCAACCTCCGCCTCCTGGATTCCAGCAATCCTCCTGCCTCAGCCTCCCGAGTAGCTGGGATTACAGGTGCATACCACCACACCCGGCTAATTTTTGTATTTTTAGTAGAGACGGGGTTTCACCATGTTGGCCAGGCTGGTCGTGAACTACTAACCTCAAGTGATTTGTCCACCTCGGCCTCCCAAAGTGCTGGGACTACAGGAGTGAGCCACCACGCCTGGCCCCTTTTATTTCAAAAAATAATTTAAATGGTTATTTTGTATTTTGTAATTGATAAGTCATATATCTAATGTTCTTGTAGGTCTAATTCTCCTGATTATTCTGTATTGTGGTAAGCAAAATTCTAAGATGACCCTCAAGATTCTTATCCCTTGGTGTTCATATGCCCTGTATTGTCCACTTTCCTGGAGAATAGGCAGGACTGTGAATAAGATAAACTTCACTCCTATGATAAGGTTATGTTATATGACAAAAGTGAGGGAATTTTGCAAATATAATTAAGGTCTGAAATCAGTTCACACTTAGTTAATCAGAAGGAGACTGTCCTGAATGGGCTTGACCTAACCAGGCAAACCATTAAAAGGACCATGCCCTTCCTAAAGTTAGACAGATTGAAAATAGGAGAGACTCTACTGCAGGCTTTGAAGACACAAACAGCCATACTGTGAACTGCCTTTGGAGGGGCCATGAGGCAAGGACCTAAGACAGCTTATAGAAGCTATGGATAGTGTTTGGTTAATACTCATAAGAAAATGGGATTTCAGCCCTACATGTGCAAGGAACTGAATTTTGTCAACAATGAGTGAGCTTGGAAGAGGACGCCAAGCCTCAGATGAGACCACAGTATCAAGTGGTCTTTTTCAGCCTGTGAAACTTTAGGTAAAGGACCCAGCCAACCTGTACGCACACTTCCAACCTACAGATACTGTGAGATAATACATGGGTGTTGTCTTGCACTGCTGAGTTTGTGGTAGCTTGTTATACAGCAGTAGAAAACTAATACTCTCACGGGATTAGCTTGCTTTCTCAAATTGTCTGTAATTTAAGAACATGAACACCTTAATCCGTGAGGATCCTGAGGAACCTCAATTGAGAATGATTCCTAAATCGAATTTGAGTTTGCTTCTGTCTTGCTTTGGGTTACTATCAATCTAGTATCACTTCAACTGAATTGCTCAACTTTAAATTTCTTGGGCCAAGAAGGTTAACCATGTTAAATCACATGAGAGTATGACTGATTACATATTCCCAGGGAAGCCTCTTTTACCCCCATATCTCTAGCCAAGGCAAGAGAAACGTCCTCATTTTCTTCCCCTCAGGCTGTTAGATTTTATTCCAGCCCACTCTCTGATTGAGGGTAAAGCCTTAGAAGTTAATGGTTTTATGTAGAGGTCTTAAGCTCAACTGTCAACAAATGGATCCACAGTCTTTTCTCCTAACCCTCACACAAAGCCATTCTAACTCAAAACTCTAGGTTTCTATATTAGTACATGTTAGGCCGTCCTGCCTTCCACATTCATTCGGCACTTGAGTTTTAGCGTCTATGTGTTTTTTCCCAAGAGATTTCCCTACTGTTGAGCAAAGTGGAGCTTCCTCTGTTGCAAGCCACTGTTCAGCAATAGGCTCCTGCGAATACTTTCTGCTACTAGATAAAAAGACCAATAGCAGGATAAGTCACACAGTCCCCTGTAAAGGTTTCTTTAGATGAAGGTGCAGCTGGAAACACCATGGGTTGGATCAAGGAGGAAATTACAACCCTAAATCACATGAGAGCCCTAAAGCAAGAAAGGGCTCCCATAGACACTCCCGCTTTTTAAAGTAAATCTATACTGTCCTTGCAAAAGGAGACAGTCTGAGCTTGCTGCCAACTGCTCAGGGAAGCTGCATGTTTAGAACACCAGCTGTTACTATCTAGAAACACTGTAGGAAGTAGAACCCATGTAGTCCTTACCACTGAATGAGGGGGTGCCACCAGCTCTGCTTCAATGTGGAAGAAGCCAGCAATGCTATTCATCAAATGTTGTTTGTCTCTACACACTTACTTTCTTGGCAGCTCAGCTAAGCATTTAAAAAGATCTTTTTAAAATATAATTTATAGTGCATCTAGGTATCTTGTAACGGAATAATTTTCAGAAAAATCCTGTCAGCAACATTACAAAAGTGAAGTCAATTGATTATTCTTTATTATTAACTTCAAACCATCCCTCTAAACTCATTTACATTAATTTTTTGTTCCGAGAAAGTGAAATGTTGTATCTCATTCTAATATTACAGGGTGTTCTTTTATTGAGAAATGTTTCCTTCTAATGAAATGTGAAACTATGAATGCCAAAGGCTACTGAATTCAAGCTGTATTTTTATATCTGATATAGTTTAGATATTTGTCCCTGCTCAAATATCAGGTTGAACTGTAATCCCCAATGCTGGAGGTGGTGCCTGATGGAAGGTGTTTGGGTCATGAGGGCAGATCCCTCATGGCTTGGTGCTGTCTTCACCATAGTGAGTGAGTTCCCGCAAGATATGGTCGTTTAAAAGTGTGTGGCACCTCCCCAGTGCATGCTCACACTCACTCACTCTTTCTCTCTTGCACTCTCTCCCAAACCCTTGCCTTCCTCCCTCCCTCTCTCTCTTGCTCTCACTCTCTTACTCTCCCCCAACCCCCCTGCCCCGCTCACTTACACTTGCTCCGGTTCTCATTCCTATTCTCACCATATGATGTGCCTGTTCCCCATTTGCCCTCTACCATAATTGGAAGCTTCCTGACGCCTCCCCAAAAGTAGATACCCCTATGCTTCCTGTACAGACTGCAGAACAATAAGCCAATTACCCAGTCTCAGGTATTTCTTTATAGCAGTGCAAGAACAACCTAATACAACATCTAAGGTAAAAGTGGGTTTTTTCATATTTAGTGTTAACTCATGGGAACGTCATGTACTCTTTTATTACCAGAAGTTACCTAATTTCTGGATATTCAAGGTTTTACTATATCTAACTTTCAAAGAAATAGCAGAAAAACAAAACAAAAAAAACCACTACATTTGACACTAAAACCATACAAGATTAATTTTAATCATTTTCTATGATTTAGAAGATACGTATCAGTGTTTTTACATGCAAAAGAGAAATCATTGTGAATATCACTTATTTTTTAAAGCATAAGTTAGAGCTTTCCCTTTAGTTAGATATAAGCTTTTAAAATACCTTGCTTATGCATAGCAATTACAGTAGTTACAACTGTATGTCACACTGTATAGTTCCTTATCACCTGTTTCAGTACCTTAAAGGAAAAGTACCAAAGATTGCTATAAAGCATGCAATCTTTAAATCACCTAAGAGAAATATAAAATACTATTTTCTTGCTCCATCTCTCAATATACATGCTCTAAATATACACATCTTTGCTATAAAGAAATAAACATTATAAAAATTAGATATATTAATTTTAATAAAACCCAGTTTAAACTGCTTACCAAGTATCTCTGAATCTCTGGCTGGCAATATAGTTCAGGCCAAGCAAACTAAGTCCATTACTACTTGCAGTGTAGTACAATATAATTCTCAGCCAGCACACTTAGTTATCATGTGACATAGGTATTCTGAGATCATATCCTAAGAACTCTTATATTTCATTATTTTGTCTGCTCTTTACTTCTTGGGAAATCATACTAGAACATATTAATATTAGAAGCTGATGCCATCAGATAAGGAACAGAGAACGGCTCTTAATATTGAAGTTAAAATGAAGGAACTGAAAAAGGCATTCCATACAATATAAGCTGCACGCTTCCCTTAGTAAAAGTACTTTCAGAATAATAAGTCACAATTTCATCAAATTAAAGAAAGTACCAAGCCTGGAATATCTTTGAGTATAACAAGAACTTTGTATATAATGAATGAATTTAAAGCAGAGAAAGATGGAGCATAATACAGCTCGTCAATGTTGGTAAGTCCCCTGATTTTCCTTTATTTTTATGAGAAAAATAATTTCAAAATGAAAATCTTTAATTACTTGATAGTAATTTATCTATAACATCTGTAGAAAAACATACTTTAAACAATATTTACTATATTAATTTAATAAAAGCTCACAAAAATAACCTTACTTTGACTTTTTAGGTCCACTTTGGCATTATTCAAAAAATTTTTATTATTAAATTTTGATTTTTTTGATTAAGCCCTGAGAAATCAGCTTTCTAACAAATAAAAGTTAACAGCTGTGACCCAAAATTGGTATCCAACATCAAGGATATCATGAGCAAAGATCACAGATCCGTATCATTTACCAGGTCCATTTTTCCCCCACAATAAAAGCCATAAATAGTTCAATACTAATATGGCAATGTCAGAATGAGTATTAAAAAAGACTAATAGGCTATAATACTGAATTAACACTAGTAAGATAAAAACATAAAGAAATAGGCATAAATCCTGAAATTGAGTTGTTTTTTGTTTTGTTTTGTTTTGTTTTTTAAGTCAGCTACACTGGTAAGTATGGGAAAGTCAGGCTAATAATAATTCCTGTCAGAATGGGCTATAGATGGCATGGCTGATAAAAACACAAATCAAGCTATAGAAACAGAACTATAATACACCAAATAAAGATGGCATTGTATTGCTCATTGTATCTCTTGCACTGGAGGAAGACATCAATATGACTGTGATGAGTTTTAGATGGCACACTTTTAAAAAGGCATTGACAAAGTATGTTCATTTTATATACACTACCTTCAATCTTCAAAATAACTCAGAAGGTAGAGAGTAGATCACCCTATGACAGATAAAGTATCTGAGTCTTAGAGAGATTAAATAAGGTACTGTATTAGTCCATTTCACACTGCTATAAAGAAATATCCAAGCTGGGTAATTTATAAAGGAAAGCATTTTAATTGACTCACACTTCCACATGGCTGGGGAGGCCTTAGGAAACTTACGAACATGGCAGAAGGCAAAGGGGAAGCAAGGACCTTCTTCATATGGTGGCAGGAGAGAGAAGTGCAAGCAGGGGAAAGGCCAGACACTTATAAAACCATCAGATCTTATAAGAACCCACTCACTATCACAAGAATGGCATGGGGGAAATCACACCATGACCCAATCACCTTCCTCCTTCTCTCCACACATGGGGATTACAATCCAGATGAGATTTGAGTGGGGACACAGAGTCAAACCATATTGGGAACCCAAAAAAAGCAAAATTTGAATGCAAGTCCATTCATCTCCGTGCTCTTTCTACTAGATCATGTTGCCTTAAAAGTTTCTTCTAGCACTAGGAGGGGGCAATTTGGCCATACTTCACTTGTAGAATATTTGAAAACCCAGTAGCAAGGCACACCATTATGCCAACAAAAATTGACATTTCTGAAATGGGATTACAGATTTATATATTAATGTAAATGTCTTTTCCTTCTTGTTTTACCTAACAGCTACAATCCTAAAGTGTTATTGTATAAATCAATTTTTAAAATGGAATACACTTTCCCCAATGATAAGCTAGAAATAAAGATTGTCTTATTACTAATTAGTAATAAATAATCCTCACACACAAACACCCCTTAACTTTTTTTGACCCTTCAATTTCTTGGTCAAGTATTTAATAACATGGAAACTAATATCTAAAAATATGCCATAAGTATCTGATAGATTCATCTATTTCATAGATAAACTTCCATATTGTTAGGTTTTTTTAAAGCCTACACTTACATATAGAGAGAAATTTTTACCATCCTTTATAAAAAATTTTTGTGACCCAAAATTGATATCCAACATAAAGGATATCATAAGCAAAGACCGCAGGTCTGTATCATTTACCAGGTCCATTTTTCCCCCATAATAAAAGCCATATAAAAAAATTTACATATAGAGAGAAATTTTTACCAACCTTTATAAACTGACAATTCAATATCAAAATTATTTTTCTCTACCAGTTGCCTGAAAAAACAACAATCATAATTTATTTGAAGGTATAACCTACCTTGATCGCCAGCATTTAAAAATATTAGACAGTTCCCTATATACAAATATATGATACTACTGCCATCTTCTGGTACAACACAATTTCCAAATTCTGTATAGTATTTCTATAAATGAGAATCCACCAAATATGAAATAACTAGTTTATATTACTGAAAGCAGAATTGATAACCAGCTAAATGGCTAAAATGCAGTTCAAATAGAATTCTAGCAATAATTAATTTTTATCAGTGTGTGAGATAAGTTCTCTCAATAATACTTAACACTTACTGAGTGCTTCACTATATTTGAGGCATAGAATTAAGTGCTTTCTAAGCAAAATAAAAATTACTTTAATAACTATATGAGGTAGAGTTATTATTCTCATTTTACAGATGCAGAAACTGAGGACAGAAGAGGTCCAGTAGTTTTCCCAAGGTTACATAGCTAGTAAACGGCAGAGGATCTGAATTTAGGAGCTTATTGATTCCAATGACTTTGCTTTTATTATTATATTGTAATATCCCCTATAATGTCAGATAGTAGACAATAAGTAAGTCTGTTAACTCATTTAGAATGGTAAGATTTAATTTAGTGGAGTGGAACAATAATATTACAATTAGTGCAAAGATCAGAAGAGTCACATAAATCAAAAAGACATAAATCAAAGAACTAAAAGAAACCTTAAGGGTCTCAGAATTTATTTTTCCATATGATACAGAACTTTATCGTCTAAAAATCCAAATGAATTTGCCTCTAATTGTTTTATAAATATCATATGATTTGTAGATTTTATACAATCAAAAAGTTTAGGTGCTATGCATTTAGTGTTTAAATTAAAATTAACTTTGCTTTGACATATTTAAGAATATTAATAAACATTAGTTGGAAACTACTACTCCTAGTAAACATATTTGCCAATTTATATTTAGAGATGTTTTATTAACACAAAGGGATATGGTACTATGTTGTGCTATACTATTTATATATACTGATTTCTTAGAAGTCATAAAGCAACTCAATAGACGCTTTTGTTAATTACAGATAGGGCAGTGAAATAAACTGCTAAAAAACAAAAACAAAAAACTACCCATGATATGACCAATCCATTTTGAAACTATAACAATAAGAACTTTATCCATATGCAAAATGACAAAATGAGTAATTTAATTATGTTTTGGTGCCTTTATAAATTAAACGAATCACATCTAATTTCTGAAATTTCATTTTAATGAGCTTTTGAATAACTGAAGTGACAAACAGCTGTAAATAACAATATAAAATAAATGACAAAATAAAATGCTGAGATAATGTGGAATTATACTGATGAGTAAATTAATCACTTTGAAAAATATAGTAACATGTAGAAAAGTATAGGAGAAATCCTGTCAACTGTTACTTGAATCATTTTGGTGAATTTTTGGTTCATAAAGTTTTATAATTGTATCAATTTACTATCAGCAATTTTAAGCGAATCATGTGATCATAGTTTCATATTCTTCACAATCAATTTTACCCGAATCTCAAAGAGATGTTACTATTGAATATGTAAATTTAACTTTTGATTTAATTTCCTAGTAAATATTATAAATAGACTAGAATCCATATGTTCAATAATGTAATATATACTATAGTAGGTCCTTTACATTTCCATATAAATTTTGGAATCAGCTTGTCAATCTCTACCGAAAAATAAAAAAATAAAAAGCCTGCTGGGGTTTTGATTGGAATTGGGTTGACCCCAAATCAATAAGATCTCAGAAAAACAGTCAATATAAAATCAATTGTAATACTTCTGCATTTGAGCAACAAACAAATGTAATGTTTTAAAAATAACATACAAAATGTTTAGGAATAAATTTAATAAAATGTGTAGGAAATATCTACAATAAAACAATATAGAGAAATTACATGAGATCTAAATAACTGTAGAGATATACTCACGGATTGTGAGGACTCAATACTGTTAAGCTGTGATACAGCCCAATATAAAGTTAATTCAATCCCAATCAAAATCCCAGTAGGCTTTTATTCTTTTTCTTTTTTTACTTTAAGAAACCTACAAGCTGATTCATAAACTTATATGAAAATGCAAAGAACCTAGAACACTGAAAACAACCTTGAAAATGAAAAAAAAAATTTGGAGGACTTATATAATTTCAGGAGTTTCTATAAAACTACAATAATCAAGAATGTAATAGTGGTATAAAGATAGAAATATTACAATGCAACAAAATAAAGTCCAGAAATAGACCCCCAAAACATGATTTTTTGACAAAGGGATCAACATAATTCAATGAGGAATAAATACAGATGCTGCTCAACTTATGATGGAGTTATGTCCCAATAAACTCATTGTAAATAAAAAATACTGTAAATTGAAAATGAATTTAATACCATGATAAACCCACTATGAAGTCAAAAATGATAAGTCGAACCATTGTAAGTAAGTTGGAGACCATCTGTAATTTTTTCAACAAATGTTACTGGAATATTTGGATGTCCATATGGAAAAAAAAATGAACCTTAACCCCTACCTCACACAATACTCAAAAATTAATTCAAAATGGATCACAGACCTACACATAAAAGCTAAAACTATAAAACTTCTAGAAGAAAACAAGAAAATCCTAATGACCCTGGTTAAGCAAAGACTGCTTGCATAATAGGTACTAAGCATAAAGAAAAAATAAGTGGATTTCACCA
Source organism: Homo sapiens (assembly GCF_000001405.40). Lineage (NCBI taxonomy): Eukaryota > Metazoa > Chordata > Mammalia > Primates > Hominidae > Homo > Homo sapiens. The sequence goes on from NC_000001.11 coordinate 77,146,336, forward strand.
ACATTTAAATTTCTACCCTTCAAAAGACATCACTAAGAAAATGAGGCTTGGCACCACAGCTCATGCCTCTAATCCCAGTGCTTTGGGAGACACAAGCAGGAGGATCGCCTGAGGCCAGTAGTTTTAGATCAGCCTGGATAACATAGCAAGACCCTGTCTCTAAAAAAAATGTAAAAGAGGCCTGGCAAGATGGCTCACACATGTAATCCCAGCACTTTGGGAGGCAGAGGCAGGTGGATTGCCTGAGCTCAGGAGTTCGAGGCCAGCCTGGGCAACACGGCGAAACCCCGTCTCTACTAAAATACAAAAAAATTAGCCAGGCATGGCAGCATGCACCTGTAGTCCCAGCTACTCAGGAGGCTAAGGCAGGAGAATTGCTAGAACCCGGGAGGCGGAGGTTGCGGTGAGCCAAGATTGTGCCACTGCACTCCAGCCTGGGCGACACAGCGAGACTCTGTCTAAAAAAAAAAAAGTAAAAGAAAAATTAGCCAGGCATGGCAGCTTGAGCTTGTAGTCCCAGCTACTTGGGAGGCTGAGGTGGGAGGATCACCTAAGCCTGAAAGTTCAAGGGTACAGTGAGCTATGACTCTGCATAGGCAAGAGAGAAAGACCCTGTGAGGGAAGATGAGGGAAAGAAGGGAGAGACAGGAAGGAGGGGAGGGGAGGTGCATTAGTCTGTTTTCACACTGCTGACAAAGACACACTCGAGACTGGGAAGAAAAATAGGTTTAATGGACTCACAGTTCCTCATAGCTGGGGAGGCCTCAAAATCATGGCAGAAGGCAAAAGGCGCTTCTTACTTGGTGGCAGTAAGAGAGAATGAGAGGGGAGCAAAAGCAGAAGCCCCTTATAAAGCCATCAGATCTCGTGAGACTTATTCACTACCATGAGAACAGTATGGGGGAAACCACCCCCATGATTCAATTATCTCCCACCGGGTCCCTCCCACAACACATGGGAATTAGGGAAGTAAAATTCAAGATGAGATTTGGGTGGGGACACAGAGCCAAACCATATCAGGAGGAGAGAGGAGGGAACGGGAGGGGAGGTGAGGGCAGGGGAGAAAAATTCAGACTAGGTAAGTTTCTTCTAACCCACTAACATAAGAGGTGAGTGTTTAGAGTTCATAATGTCTTAGATTCTGTTTTTCCTTAGGTAATTCTATAGAATTTAGACTTCTACAAATTTGGTAACACTAAAATGTGCAAAATTTTTACAGTCACAACCTGGAGGATATCTTCCTAATACAGAAAAGATACAAAACTGGTAACCTCAGTAAAAGGTTTTCTGACACAGAATTACCACCAGATTCAAAAAACCCAACTCTTTGAAGAGGAAGAGAGTTTATCTGTCTGCATACTTATCCAAAGCCAGCCTATGTATACTACGATGAAGCTGTTTAAAATCAAGTTACCTAAGCAAAGCTTATTACAATCAGTCCTTATTTTACCTCATCTGCTCTTGCAAATAAATTACAACACAATTAGTAAGACATATGCAGAAACAAAGGGTTGTTACTATATAACTTTATCTTACTTAACATATGTAAGTTTCAGAAGACACATAAAAACAATTCTTATTTCATAAAGGTACTCCCAATCAGTTTTATGTACTAAAGTTCTCCATCATATCTGATTTTACTCTAGTGTACTACACAAAATATAAAATATGAATAACTGAATCAATGGACTCCACTGTTTCCCTAATATGTGTAGAAAGTATTTCTAACTGTCAATTTTAATAACAGTGTGTTGATAATTTAACCTAAGATTTTTTTAAATGCATATATACTCCAGCCTATAATTTCCTTAATAAAATAGTTTTTTATGATATCTGATCTCTCATTATATACTTTAAATAAACTTTGGATTGCCATTCATATTTGCATGCAAACAGCACCTACATACAATGAGATAATATTTATAGCATCTATGTAAAAATTCCTGAACCACTGGGAGCCTGATTCTCATAAATTAACTGAATAAAGTACACCAATAATTATGAAGCCATCTGGTAAATAGCAACATTGTAAATAAAATTTATTTATAAACACTAGAGGGTGCTCTAATTCAACAGTGCTTGATATCTGGCTGTGATATTTAAAGTAATTTTCTCCTTGATTAAAAACAACAATCTTCGGCAATGACAATTTTTGCTACTGTGCTAATACATACAAATAATTTAAGAGCCAAATTCCATTCTTCCAGAACATATAACAAAACAATTTGTCAACATAGGCAATATAAAAAAAACGCAAATTGTGACATCAAAAATTCAAAATGTCGGGGGAGAGGGAGTTAATGTGCACAGGTTTTGGTTTGTTTGTTTGCTTCTTTTCTCTTTTTTGGTGATTGAAGTTACGTTAGCATCAGTTTTTGTTTTTTGGTTTTTTTTTTTTGAGACAGAGTCTTGCTCTGTCGCCAAGCTGGAGTGCAGTGGCGCGATCTCGGCTTACTGCAGCCCCCGCCTCCTGGGTTCAAGCAATTATCCTGCCTCACCCTCTTAAGTAGCTGGGACTACAGGTGCGCACTGCCACGCTCAGCTAATTTTTTTGTATTTTTAGTAGAGATGGGGTTTCACCATGTTGGCCAGAATGGTGTTGATCTCCTGACCTAGTGATCTGCCCACCTTGGCCTCCCAAAGTGCTGGGATTACAGGCGTGAGCCACCACGCCCAGCCATATCAGTTTTAAATAACTTATTAGAACTATACGATTTTTAATGAACCTAATGGTAACCACAAAGCAAAAACCTATAATAGATACACTAAAAGCAAAAAGCAATGAATTAAAACATACTACCAGGGAAAATCATTTAATCGCAAAGGAAAATAGAAAAAAAGGAAGAGAGGAGTTACAAAATAACTAGAAAACAAATAACAAAATGGCTACAGTAAGCCCTTACCTACCAATAATAATACTGAATATAAATTGACTAAATTCTCCAATTAAAAGACATCATAATTAAAAGACATGACTAACTGGATTAAAAAACAAGACCCACCTATATGTTGCCTACAAGAAACTCACTTCACCTATAAAGATACAGACAAAAAATGAACAAATAGAAAAAGATATTTTATGTAAATGAAAACCAAAAAAGAGCATGAGTAGCAATGCTTATATCAGATAAAACAGACTTTAAGTCAAAAACCATAAAAAGAAACAAAGAAGGTCATCATATAATGATAAAGGAGTCAATTTAGCAAGAGAATATAATAATAGTAAATATGTATATACCCATTGCAGTATTACCCAAATATAAAGCAAATATGATTAGATCTAAAGGAAGAGGCAAACTGTAATACAATAATAGTATAGCACTTCAACACCCCACTTTCAACAACAGACAGATCATCCAAGCAGAAAATCTACAAAGAAGGATTGGAGTCTATACTCTAGACCAAATGGACCTAATAGACATTTATAGAACATTTCAGTCTGCTGCTGCAGATTATACATTTTCCTCATCAGCACATAAAACATTATCCAGGATAGACCATATGTTAGGTCACAAAACAAGTCTCAACAAATTCAAAAAAGCTGAAATCATTTCAAGTATCTTTTTCTGACTATAAAAAAAAAACCTAAAAGTCAATAACAAGAGGACCTTTGGAAAACTATACAAATACATGGAAATAACATTCTCCTGAATAACAAATGGGTCAATGGAGAAATTAAGAAGAAAATTTAAAAATGTCTTGAAACAAATGAAAATACAAACACAACATATCAGAATATGGGATACAGTAAAAGTAGTATTAAAAGGAAAGTTTATAGCAATAAACGCCTACATCAAAAAGAAAGATTTCAAATAAACAACTTAACTATGCAACTTAAAGAACTCAAAAATCAAGAGCAAAACAAATCCAAAATTAGTAGAAGAAAAGAAATAAGGATCAGACTGGGCGCAGTGGCTTACACTTGTAACCCCAGCACTTTGGGAGGCCAAGGTGGGAGGATCGTTTGAGCCCAGGAGTTCAAGACCAGCCTAGGCAACATACGGAGACCCCCATCTCTACAAAAAATAAAAAGAAATTAGCCTGGTGTGGTGGTGCATGTCTGTAGTCCCAGTTATGTGGGAGGCTGAGGCAAAAGGATCGCTTGAGCCCAGGAGTTCCAGACTAGCTTGAGCAACAGAGCAAGACTCAATCTCAAAAAAAAAAAAAAGAAAGAAAGAAAGAAAAAGAAATTGAGACTAAAAAGTATATAAAAGATCAACAAAGCAAACTGTTAGTTTTTTGAAAATATAAAATTGACAAACCTGTAGTTAGACTAAGAAAAAAGATTAAGAGCCCAAATAAATAAAATCAGGGATAAAAAAGAAAACATTTCAACTGATACCACAGAAATACAAAAGCTCCTTAGACAATATCGTGAACAAGTACATGCCGAAAAAACTGGAAAATCTAGAAGAAACATATAAAATCCTGGACACATACAACCTACCATCATTGAACCAGAAAGAAACAGAAAATCTAAACAGACCAATAATGAGTAACAAGATCAAAATAGTAGTAAAAAATCTCCCATCAAAGAAAAGCTCAGGACCTGATGGATTCACTACTGAATTCTGCCAAACATTTAAAGAACTAATACCAAGTCTACTCAAACTATTTCAAAAAACTGAAGGAGGGAATACTTCCAAATTCATCTATGAGGCTAGCATTACCCTGATAACAAAACCAGACAAGGCCACCACACACACACATAAAAAATCTAAAGGCCAATATCTCTGATGAACATAAATGCAGAAATCCTCCACAAAATACTAGCAAACTGAATTCCACAGCACATTAAAAAAAGACCATTCCATCATGATCAAGTGGGATTCATCCCAGATATGCAATAATGGTTCAATACATGCAAATCAATAAACATGATACATGATCAACAGAATCAAGGACAAAATCCATATGATAATTTCAACAGATGCTGAAAAAGCATTCAATAAAATTCAGCATCCCTTCATGATAAAAACTCTCAACAAACTGGATTAGAAGGAACATACATCAACATGATAAAGGCCATACATAACAAACCCACAGCTAATATCATACTTAATGCGGAACAACTGAAAGACTTTCCACTAAGATCTGGAACAAGATAAGAATGTTCACTCTCATCACTTCTATCCAACATAGTACTGGAATTCCAAGCCAGAGCAATTAGGCAAGAGAAAGAAATAAGGCGTGTCCAAATTGGAAAGGAAGAAGTCAAATTATCTTTGTGTGCAGACAACATGATCTTACACTTAAAAAAACCTAAAGAGTCCACCAAAACATTCTTAGAACTGATGAACAAATTCAGTAAAGTTTTAGGATATAACATCAACATACAGAAATCAGTAGCATTTTTATCCAACAGTTATCAATCTGAAAAAGGCATCAAGAAAGCAATCTCACTTGCAATACCTACCAAAGGAAAAAATAATCTAGGAATAAATTTTACCAAAGTGAAAGATCTCTACAGGAAAAACTACACAAACCTGATGAAATAAATTGAAGAAGACACAAAAAATGGAAAGACATCCCATGCTCATGGATTGCACGAAATAACATTGCTAAAATGTCCATACTACCAGAAGAAGTATATTTATTGATCTATACATATGCAATAATCTCTATCAAAATTCCAATGGCACTTTTCATATAAATAGAAAAATCAACCCTAAAATTTCTATGGAACCACAAAAGACCCAGAATAGCTAAAGCAACCCTGAGCAAGAAGAACAAAGCTGGACGCATCATACTATTTGATTTCAAATTATACTACATAGCTACAGTAATCAAAACAGCATGGTATAGGGATAAAAACAGACACACAGACCAATGGAACAAATAGAAAACTCAGAAATAAATCCAAGCACTTACAGCCAACTCATTTCCAACAAAGGTGCCAAGAATATACATTGGGAAAGGACACTCTGTTTAATAATCGTGCTGGGAAAACTGGATATCCATATGCAGAAGAATGAAACTAGATCCCCAACTTTCACCATATCCCAAAATCAAATCAAAATGGATTAAAGACTTAAATCTAAGACCTGAAACTGTGACACTACTAAAAGGAAACACTGGGGAAATGTTCCAGGACATTATTCTGGGCAGAAATTTTTTAGGTAAAACCTCAAAAATCATAGGCAACAAAAGCAAAAACAGAAAAATGAAATTACATCAAGCTAAAAAGATTCTGCATAGCAAAGGAAACAATGTTTAAGGTGAAGAGACAACGTACAGAATGAGAGAAAATATTTGCAATTCATCCACCTGACAAGCAATTAATAACCAGAAAATATAAGGAATTTGAAACAACTCAATGGCAAAAAACAAAACAAAACAAAACAAAAAAACAAAAAAACAAAAAAAATCTAATTATAAAATGGGCAAATCATCTGAATAGACATTTCACAGAAGAAGACAACAGGTATATGAAAAAATGCTCAAAATCACTAATCATCAAAGAAATGCAAATCAAAACTACAAGATATCATCTCATCTCAGTTAGCTTATAAAAAAGACCAAAAAATAACAAATGCTGGCAAGGATGTGGAGAAAAGGAACACTCATACACTATTGGTGGGAATGCAAAATAGGACAGTCATTATAGAAAACAGTACAGAGGTTGCTCAAAAAATTAAAAATAAAACTACCATATGATCCAGCAATCCCACATCTAGCTACATATCCAGAAAAAAGGAAATCAGTATACTGAAGAGTTATCTGCACTCCCATGTCTATTGCAGCAGTATTCACAATAGCCAAGGTATGGAATCAAGATGTGTCCATCAACAGATTAATGGAAAAGGAAAATGTATATATACACAATAAAATGTTATTCAGCCACAAAAAAGAATGAAATCTTGTTATTTGTAACAACATGGATGGAACTGGAAGTTATTGTTAAGTGAAATATGCCAGGCACAGAAAGACAAATATCACATATTCTCATTCACATGTGGGAGCAAAACGAGTGGATGTCAAGGAGGTAGAGGGTAGACCAGAGGCTGGGTAGGGAAAGTGTTTGGGAGGAGAATGAAGAGAAGTTGGTTAAGCAGTATAAAAATACAGTTAGAAGATATAAGTTCTAGTATTTGACAGAATAGTAGGGAAATTATTAACAATTTATTGCATATTTCAAAATATCCAGAAAAAAATAGTAATGTACCCAACACAAAGAAAAGACAAATGTCTGAGGTGATGGATATTCCAGTTACCCTGATTTAATCATTAAACACTGTACACAGGTATCAAAATATCACATGTACCCCAAAAATATGTACAAATATTATACATCAATTAAAAAAAAAGAAACTGTTGTAACTAGAATCAAAGAAAAGCATCTTGTGCCAGTGTTTGAATTTATTCCTACAACATTCATAAGCTCAATTACAAATCTTTGAAATTTTGAAAATTGCTGTAATTGTATATATTGCCATTTTTCAATCCAAAAAAGTTCCCTATAGTATGAGTTTCTAATAGATAGCAACAGATAATCACAAATAACAAAGTTTCATGGCTAACAACATATGCCATTATATATTTCAAGAAAGTAGCTATTGACTGACCCATTATTTATTTCTAATAAAGTATTTTACCTTTAAAAATGGTTACAGAGAAAATAAAACAAATTATAAGTATTTCTAAAATTCACATACCCAAAGTGAACCAATGTCTCCCAACTTCCTCTCTCTTACAAATGTCTGTACTCACTCACTGCTCACTCACATACAATTCACTCCCCAAGGCAGTACCTGGTTTACACTTCTCATTCCTTTCCCTAATGTTACCAGGAGGCCTAACAGAAAATTATGGCGCTGGGATAGCCAGTTATGGGAAAAGTTTTAGGCCTTTGTGGCAAGTATCAAACTGAACCACTAGCAAGATTGTCTTTTGGAGCTCCAACATAATCCTAACGATGATCTTAGTTTCCACTAATATTGATAGTTTTTACATATAAATCTGAAAAGCATACAGCCTACATAAAGTGAAGACTGGGTATAAATGTGTAATTTTATTTACAAACACCAACTTTTGCCTCTTAATACAATGTTTCAAAAAAATGTACAAACTGTGAGACTAGTATTCTATTCAAATAATGGTTTAAGATGAATACCTGCTTTCCATGATTTCTGAATCCTGTTGCAATTTAATAGTCTCTGTTGTAATTTCCACTTTCCGTACACTTCCAAAGAAATCAGTTATCAGTACATTTTTAGGATCCCTCTGAAAAAGATCAGTGCGATGTCCAGGAGTAGACACACACAGACTTTTGGGACATACCTGAAACTGAAAAAATATATAATAATAAATGCATGCATCCACACACATACCACATTTATTAAATCCAATCACATAATTCACTAAACTATAGTGTATTTTTAAAACTCTCCCAACCTAAAGAAGCTATGTGTTCTAAAGACCTTAAAGATTAAAGTTTCATTCCTATCATAATGCTTGGAATTTTAAGAAAACTATACAGACATTAGGACAGTAATAAAAAGGTAGCTGGCCACTGTGGGAAAAGGCATACTCACTTTCTTGAATTATATGCTTCAAAGTGTATTGTGAACCCTTAACTCTGAGAACTCATACTCAACACGATGAAAACAGAATTGCTCTTTTTCTTTGTCTGTATCCATCACAGTGCAGTGTTCTACTAGAATGGTTTTCAAACGTTTTGTAATCATGCCTCTTGATTCAAACTTCAAATTCAAATAAAGTAGTACATGGAGCCCCAATATGTAAAAAACATTTAAGTGGAGTTGCTCTGGATTTTAGAAAACTGAAGCACAGCCTCTCTACTGCATATCCTCTTGCTCTCTGTTGTACTCCTATGTAGCATTTTATATATCAAAGCACTTTCTTAGTTTATTTATGAAAATAAGCCCAAGCTACCTCCACAAATACTCCAGTGCTCCAAAGAATACAGTCTGAAAAGCCACAACTTCACTGCAAAACAGACATCACAGTAATTTTTCTGTTAATCTTATCACTGATACTCCATGTCAGTGAATTACCAAGGACAGACATATATTCACTCACTCAGCAAAGCATATAAAGTGTCTATTACATAGAATTCATACTGTTACTTTCCACAGAGGATACAAAGATTGATAAGACATGGTCCTGTCCTCAAGGATTTAAGTCTAGTTACAGATGAATAAACATAACAAGGTAGAAAAAAATGATAAGTCCCACTTCAGAAAAGGATAAACTTCTTATAGTTTGAGGATGGGGAAAAAACAGAGAGTGAAATTCAAGCCATTTTTTTTTTTCTTGAAGGAAAACGAGGACTTACTGGTGGGAAATAAGAGCATTCCTAATAAAAGAGCAGTTGCAGAGACGTGCAAAGCAAATTATTTAGTTTGGCTGAAGCATGAGAGATATGAGGAAAAATATTATAGGCCTGCCAGGAAGGGTCCAGGCGCACAGCACCTATCCACCTGTAGAGATAAGACTGTCTGCACTGGCAATCACCAATATGAAGGCAGAAAGGTGGAGAAGGGTAGAGCGGCTACAATTTATAAAACACAGTGTTCCAAGCACTGTGCTAAGCAGTTTGCAGATATTCTCATTTAAGCCTACCAATAACTCTGAGGTATACAAAACTTATATCTCCACTTCAAACTAAGGCTCAAAGAGATTAAGTAATTTACCTAATACCACACTGCCAGCAATCCTTGTCATCCCTATTCAGGAAAGCAGTACAAGGAAACACAAAGAAGGACTCAGGATACAAATTAAAAAGGAAAAAAAAGTAAAATGCCAAACAGGAATAACAGATAGAAGATTGGAGAAAAAAATGACAGATAAAATAAAATAAGCAGAGATAAAGTTGAAAGTCCCAAGAATACTGAAGATCTCTTGGGTATTCCTGTATGAACAACTTGATGGGCTTTCTTAGGTACCAGCAGAAGAAAACATTTAAGAGTATAGTCAAATGGGCCTGGGAAACACTGAATAATATTATCCTATTCTTTGCTGCCAAAATAAACATACTTCACCTTATTATGAAGTCACTCCTTTCTTTTAAGAATTTTTATCATATCAATCTGATTTCCTTAGCTCACATAACACAATGACCCACAGGTCCCATATTACTCAGTTTAATTTTCAATAATCTCCTTCAATTACAGAATGTCCTCACTCTAGCCAGGCCATTATCAAAGATAAGAATCATCTATTATTCCAACTTCTGTGTATCTGCACATATTCTATTTCCTTAGTGTATGCTATACCTCTCTTCCTTCAAACCATCCTTCCTTCAACCCATTATCAAAGAAAAGGATCATCCATTATTCCAACTTCCATGTGTCTGCGGGTATTTTATTTCCCTAGAGTATGCTATACTTCTTCTCTTCCTTCAAACCTGTACTTACTTTTCCAAGAAAAAGTTATGACTAATCTCACTATATTTAAAGGAACCATATAAATTGCATTGTTATCATGTCCTTTCATTCATTTAGTAGATATTCAATGAGCATCTACAAATAAACCAGGTACTGTAATTAAGTTCTGTGGAGTGTAAGATGAATATAACATGGTCCTTACACCTCGCATTCAAGAAGCTCAAAGCCTTGAGGAAACATCACAAATATAAACAATTACAGTGCAATACTAAAAGTATAATAAAGGTACATGGCAAGAGTTATATGTTCACAAAGGAAAGAAAATTACCTGGAGGATCCAGACATTTCACATAACAAGTAATGTTTTATAAATGTGCTCTTCAACTGTCACCAATGACACTATAAATTTTTAAGGGGCTAACACCAGGTCTTCAAATTTTGCTACTCCTAAAGCAACTAACATAGTGCTGTGAATACAGCTGATACTCAGCAAACTTTACTATACACATATACTCTAATAGAAAATAGGTATTATTATACAATTGAGCTAGAGATAGGTTAAGTCACTGCCCCAGTAAACTGCCAGAAAATCAATCATTCTTATTGAATAAGATTACAATAGTCATCATTAAATCTTAAAAATAAAGGTGGTAGGGTAAGATGAGGTATTAGTGAGGAATGTTTATTAAAAACTAAATAGCAATTAAGAGCAATAAAAAAATTAGTTTCCTTAATCTTTCCTGTATAATCAATAGAAGTATTTTTTAAACGATCATTAGATATTCAATGTGCAAGGTACATATATTTAAACTTTCGAGATAGCATGTCATGCCTTACATAAATTATAAAATGTACAATCCAAAAATGAGAACTTTCAAATTGAAGTAATTGGAACTTAGGTGACTATAATTTTTTTACAGTTAAAGTAGCATTATCACAAGTTTTAATATTCAAATTCATATCAAGATTTAATAAACATCAACATATATAATCTTCAAAACGAAGTTAGAAAGTAGTTGATATAGTTTGGCTATGTCCCCACCCAAATCTCATCTTGAATTACAGCTCCCATAAGTCCCACATATTATGGGACAGACTTGGTAGGAGGTAACTGAATCATAGGGGCAAATCTTTCCCATGCTGTTCTCATGACTGAATAAGTCTCACAAGATCTGATGGTTTTATAGCGGACAGTTCCCCTGCACATGCTCTCTTGACTGCCACCATGTAAGATGTGCCCTTACACCTCCTTTGCCTTCCACAATGATTGTGAGGCCTCTCCAGCCATGTGGAACTATAAGCCCATTAAACCTCTTTTTTGTTATTTTTGTTTGTTTGTTTGTTTGTATTGAGACAGAGTCTCACTCTGTCACCCAGGCTGGAGTGCAGTGGCGCAATCTCAGCTCACTGCAACCTCTGCCTCCCAGGTTCAAGTGATGCTTCTGCCTCAGCCTCCCGAGTAGCTGGGATTACAGGCATGTGCCACCATGCCCAGCTAATTTTTGTATTTTTAGTAGAGATGGGGTTTCACCATGTTGGCCAGGCTGGTCTAGAACTCCTGACCTCAAGTAATCCGCCCACCTCAACCTCCCAAAGTGCTGGGATTACAGGCATGAGCCACTGAGCCCAGCCTAAATCTCTCTTTTTTTTTTTAATAAATTACCCAGTCTCAGGTATTTCTTCATAGCAGTATGAAAATGTACAAATACAGTAAATTGGTACCAGCAGAGCGGGTTACTGCTATTAAGATACCCGAAAATGTGGAAGTAACTTTGGTACTGGGTAACAGGCAGATGTTGGAACAGTATGGAGGGCTCAGAAGAAAACAGGAAGATGCGAAAAAGTCTGGAGCTTCTTAGAGACTTGTTGAATGGTTTTAACCAAAAAGTCCAGGCTGAGGTGGACTCAGATGGAGATGAGGAACTACTGGGAATTGGAGCAAAGGTGATTCTTGCTATGCTTTAGCAAAGAGACTGGCAGTATTTTGCCCCTGCCCTAGAGATCTGTGGAACTTCGAAATTGAGGGAGATGATTTAGGGTATCTGGTGGAAGAAATTTCTAAGCAGCAAAGCGTTCAAGAGGAGACTTGGGTGCTGTTAAAATCATTCAAGTTTATGTATTCATGAAGATATGGTTTGGAATTGGACCTTATATTTAAAAGGGAAGCAGAGCATAAAAGTTCAGAAAATTTGCATCCTGACAATGCAATAAAAAATAAAAACCCATTTTCTGAGGAGAAATTCAAGCCAGCTGCAGAAATTTGCTAAGTAATGAGGAGCCAAATGTTAATTGCCAAGACAATGGGGAAAATGTCTCCAGGGCATGTCAGAGACCTTCACAGCAGCCCCTCCCATCACAGGCCCTGAGGCCTGTGGATAAAATGATTTTGTGGGCTGGGCCTAGGACCCCCTGCACTGTGCAGTCTAGGGACTTGATGTCCTGTGTCCCAGCCACTCCAGCTGTGGCTAAAATGGGCCAAAGTACATCTTGGCCCATAGCTTCAGAGGGTGTAAGCTCCAAGCCTGGGCAGCTTACACATGGTGTTAAGCCTGAAGGTGCACAGAAGTCAAGAACTCAGGTTTAAGAACCTCCACCTAGATTTCAGAGGATGTATGGAAATGCCTAGATGTCCAAGCAGAAGTTTGCTGCAGGGGCAGGCCCTCATGGAGAACCTCTGCTAGGGCAGTGCAGAAGGAAAATGTGGGGTTGGAGCCCCCACACAGAGTCCCCAGTGGGGTACTGCCTAGTGGAGCTGTGAGAAGAGGGCCACCGTCCTCCAGGTCCCAGAATGGTAGATCCACTGACAGCTTCCACTGTGTACCTGGAAAAGCCACAGACTCTCAATGCCAGCCCGTAAAAGCAAACAGGATGGGGGCCGTATCCTGCAAAGCCACAAGGGCAAAGCTGCCCAAGGACATGGGAGCCCACGTCTTTCATATGTGACCTGGATGTGAGACATGGAGTCAAAGGAGATCATTTTGGAACTTTAAGGTTTAATGACTGCCCTATTGGATTTCTACATGGGGCCTGTAGTGCCTTCGTTTTGGCCAATTTCTCCCAAGTGGAACAGGTGTATTTACCCAATGCCTGTACCCCCATTGTATCTAGGAAGTAACTAACTTGCTTTTGATTTTGCAGGCTCACAGGCAGAAGGGACTTGTCTTGTCTCAGATGAGACTTTGGACTGTGGACTTTGAGTTAATGATGAAATGAGTTAAGACTTTGGAGTACTGTTGGGAAGGCACGATTGGTTTTGAAATACGAGAATAGGAGCTCTGGGAGGGGCCAGAGGCAGAATGATATAATTTGGCTGTGTCCTCACTCAAATCTCATCTTGAATTGTAGCTCCCATAATTCCCACATGTCATGGGAGGGACTTGGTGGGAGGTAATTTAATCATGTGGGGCAGTTACTCTCATGCTATTCTCATGATAGTGAGTTCTCATGAGATCTGATGGTTGTATAAAGTGTAATTCCCCTGCACACGCTCTCTTGCCTGCCACCATGTAAGATGTGCCTTTGCTCCTCCTTCACCTTCTGCCATGATTATGAAGCCTCCTCAGCCATGTGGAACTGTGAGTCCATTAATCTTCTTTTTCTTTATAAATTACCCAGGCCCAGGTATTTCTTCATAGCAGTATGAAAATGAACTAATACAGTAGTTCTATCAAATTTCACAGCCTATAGCAGTGGGCTTCAGAATCTGAGAATTTACCTAAAAGATTTATATATAATTAAAGAGATCAATGCAAAGCTGCTTGGCTGAAGTGCTAGAGGACAGAGCCCTGTCTACTCAGTCTCACCTTCATTCTAAGTCCCATGAAAGCAGGAACGGCATCTGCCTCTTTCATTAGGAACAGCCTGTGCTTGGCACTTAGCAAACACTCAAGAAACATTTATGAAAGAATAAACAGACTATAAATTAATGGAGAAAAGAATGAAAGTCATTGACACATAGTAAATTATCCAGTCTAGAATTGTTGTTTCAAGCTTTTTGTTATGCCTACTTTCAACAGCAACTTCAAAGTAGATTTAATGAAAAGAATCAGCACAAAAAAATTCAGGAAAAAAATCTAAATTAAATTCAACAAGCCTTGTCAAATGACTATACTATAAATTGTAGGGCCCACAAAAATATGTAAGAAAAGGTCTCTCTTTTCCAGGAGTTTCCCATTCAGTGAGAAAGACTTACATTCAATTAGTAAGGTCAATAAAAGACTGTGGTAAATGTTACCAAGGAGAAATAAAGGTCTATGGAGGCTCTGAAAAAAAACAAGAAATTCCCACAGGGAAGAATTCGGGGAGACTTCCTGAAGGAGACACAATCTGAGGTGGCCCCTGAAGAATATGTAGAATTTCAAAAGTTGAATCTAAAAAAAGTACATTTCTGGTAAGGAAAAGAAAATGAGTAAATAAAGGAAAACATCAGGCCTCTTGTAGAGAGACAGAGAAATACTAATATACAGGTAAAAGGTAGATATCAAATAGTTTTAAAAGCTATAATTCAACACATAAAACAAGATCCTCTAGGAGTGCAGGGAATAATACACTTCTTTTCACATTAAGGTTAGCATACCTATGTGCTATAATCAAATCAAGTGAATACTTACAAGGTCATTCATATTAGTTTGGCTAGCTGGGTTAATTTCTTCCAAAAATTCCAAGACATAAAATGTGTATCTATCCATAAGATGGACTCCAATTGCAGGATCAGGTTGATGCTATGGAAAGGGGGAAAAAAAGTATTTCTAACAGTATCATTATAACAAAATGTTTTAAATGTAACCAAAATTTCCTTCTAATGTATTAGTCTAAGAAAGAACAGATACATTCATAAAGCATTTAATTGGTTTCAGAAATAGCTGCACATTCCAAAGACACAGTTTACAAATGGGGAAAATGCACATACCGAGAGTGAATCTTCTCCCACTTGACTACTAGCTAGAGCCATTATGTTAGGAGAATAAAATCGTTCATACATGGATGCTCCTTGGCAAGTATCAATAATAAACAGTAGCTCATTGTAGCTGAAAGAAAAATGATAACATCTTTGACAAGGATCATGCTGTAAATCATACACTAATATTTCTACAATACTTTTGTAAGATGTTTAAATCATATCTTAGTCATTTCATTAGCTAAAAGTTTTCAGCAGAATTCCCAACAGAAATTTGACCTCAGAAAAGTTAAAGGTATAAATTTGTCCAAGGAAACCACAGCGAGTCTTATTGTGCCCAAGGTGGCTGCCCCAGCTCTTTTCCCTCTTCCTTGTCTATGCCATATAATTCAGAATCTAAATGAATATTCCATTCAACAAGCACTTATTTGGCACCCATGCTGTCATAGAAATTGAGCTAGGTTCAGAAAAAGAAGTATGACTTAGTAACTATACTCAAAGAGCATAAACTCTAAGTGGAACACAGACAAACATACAACTACATTGGAACGTGATGAGTACTATAAATATATATTGAGTGCCTACAATGTGCCTGATATTATGCTGGAGATGCAATAGTCCCTGCCCTCATATAGCCTAGAGTCTAACAAAATCAAAGTGTTGAATGAACACTGAGAAAGGACTAAGGAGGAACTGCAAAGAAAAGCAGATCAGAGAAAGGTGATGCCCAATACGGACAATGAGGGATGTTATTTTGTTTTACAGAGAAAAGAAGATGACATTCCAGCAGAGAGAAAAGCACATAATGTAAAAAAGTATAAGTGCTTGGGAACAGATCTGTGTAGCTAGGATTTAAAGTAAATTTGGGAGAATGGAGGGAAATTGGTTTCAAAAAGGTAGAATAGGTTCAATTTGTAAAGGATACCATATGAAGTCTGGATCTTATCCTATAAGTTTGGAGAAACCATGAAAGGTTTTTGTTTTTGTTGTTGTTTTAATGAAAGAATAATATAATCAGGTATCCATTGCACAATAAGCTGGCTAGCTGGCAAAAGTTAAAGTAGAGAGGAGACATATTTTCTGGGAAGTTTTTCTCAGACACTGGGTCTAGGTAAACAGCTAACATGGAACCTAGAAAACAAAGCATTGAATCTTGAACCACAGTATCATCGAAGAAAGTGACAGGAGACACAATTAATATGACACATTTGTTCTGTGGCAAAATATGTGGAGGCTCCTATGCATTAGAAACACCCAAAGTTAGGAGAGGTTGTGGAGTAAACAAGAGAGCAAGCTCTAGGACTGAACCATTTGGGCATGAATCCTAGCTGTGTCAAGTTTGGCAAGTTACTACTAGCTGTGTAAAGTTCCACAAGTTATTTAATCTTTCTGTGCCTCAGTTCACTCACTTGTAAAAAGGGAATAATAATAGTATCTACCCCATAGAGTTGTAAAATTAAATGAGACAATAGATGTAAAATACAGTATGCAGCCCCCAGTATGCATTCTATAACTGTAAGCTATGAATAAGACATAATCAGTGCCTAGTAAAAGCTTCCTCAACACTTCCACACATTGCTTATGCTTTTATTTTAACATTACAGTATTTATTTTGTAGCATCATTGTATACATATTTCTCTTTTCCATTAGATTGTAAACACTTTGAAGGCAGAATAAGCATCATATTCCACTTTCTGCCATAGGAATGGAAGATAGCCTATAAGTGTTTATTGAAAGTAATCAAGTTAAAAGTTTTTTCACTTACAGTCATATGCATGACAGCTTCCAACTAAAGAGATGCTTAGCAAGGGTTACTAACAATCATCCTTAATGTGAGTTGTTACAAATTTTATGCTAATCATAATTTCAGCGATTTTTTTTTCCATAGAAGAAATACGTCTATAACATTAGGGGCCAAAGAATGAGCTAGAAAGAATAGGTACAAGTTGAAAAATAAACAGATGTTCATAATCTCCATAATAATAGCTAACTTGGTTGGAGGGACACTTATTTCCTCTAAAAAAGATGCTAAATAACAAGAGATGGAATCTTAAAAGGTTAACTATTTCATGTTATAGAATAACTCTCAGTTTTTCTTTTAAAAACAACCCAGTTCAGAGGAAATAACAAATGTAAATTTAAAAGAGTCAAAGAAATTGTCAAAATAAGTTAAAAATCTTAAAAAATAAAAATTACAAATCTACGAACCATGTGAAAATTAGGTATGAATATAGCTTATGAAAAGAAGTAATTTGCTAATTACCGTCTTTTCTGCCACATTTGTTCAAAAGCATCCGCGAGTTCTATGTTGGTAATTTCTTCAGAATCTTGAAATTTTAAGAAACCATTTCCACCATGCCCTTGTATAAAGAGTAAAAAAGATCAATAGATTTTTTAATGCAAACTGCATATATCTAGATATATACATTTACTTCATTCATTACATTTTGACATCGCTTGTTATTTTATACTCTAAAATGTATACTATGAAAACAAACAAATTGAATTTTCTACTATGCCAATTAAAAAGAGAATGATAGACTATATAAAATAGCAGATATAATATCTTTAATAGGGTTTCTAATATTCAATTACAGAAACCTATATTTATGCTCTTCCACTGGCTCCATTATTATATCAGAAATGAGTTTCCATTCACAAAATGTTTCAAATACCAGGCAAACATTTTTGATGAGAAAGAAGCTGAAGACATTAGCTAGTCCCACATTTTTACTACAAGAGGTGGAGCAGAAGATTGTGCTATTTGTATGCAATCTAGAGGCAGGTTGCCTGGATTCAAATGGTAACTATGCCATGTTAGTTTAGGAAAATAATTTAATATTTCTATGCTTCAGTTTCCTCAGCCATAAAGTGAGAAATGTATCTGCAACACTATCATTAGCTTACTTATACAGTTGCTTTGCACAGGTTTTTAAAAGGTACTTTCAACTGGGCATGAAAGTAGAAAAAAAAAACTAGTCTCCTCACCTTCCTCTTGGATACATGCAGCCCTGCAGGCTTACAAGTGGTTAGTTGACTATGCCTTTGTGGGAGAAAAAAGTATCCCTCCCTTCCATTAGAATACAACCCTGTGGTAGGGCAGATCGCTTAGTAAGTGTAAGCACATACGAGATTTCAGTTCCCACTTAACACCCTGGCCAGATTCTTGGGTGCACTATACAACCCACACAACCACATACAGCAACCTTGAATATCGGCACCTAAGTCAATGCACTGCTGTGAGAATGAAATGAGTTAATAGCCACAATGATTTAGAATACTGCCTGACGTATACTATGCCTCCATAAATATTATTATCATATTATCATAATTATCAACGTTTTTATTCTCTTACAGACCCTGGCAACCTTCTACAAAAGATCAGGTAGTAAATATTTTTGGCTTGTGAGCCATATTGTCTCTAGCACAACTACTGAACTCTGCTGTGGTAGTATGGAAGCAGTCACAGAAACTGTGTAAACCAAATGGATGCAACTGTGTTTCAATAAAACTTCCAAAACAGGCAGCCAGTTCACAGGCCATAGTTTATCAAATCCTATCTTCAACTACTGGAATTTGTTCCAAGCCTGCAGTTACCCTGAAAGAGTTCCAACAGAATCAGGAAACAAACAAAAAATAATAATAATAAATCCTTTAGTTTAGTACATCAAATAAAGCTAAGCTACAAAAAACTGCACTTCATCTTGTTTGCCATAAAAGCTTGAAAATTCCTTGTAATTTTCAGATAAAGTAAAATAAAATTTTTCCTGGCTTCATTAACTCTATTGAGTTAATTTATAAAGTTTATAAATTAAGCCTTGAAAGTTATAAATAAATGCAACACGATAGAGAAAAGCCACTAAGTAGGGGTCATTAACTATGTTGACATGTGATATCTAAGAATCATTCTGCACCTGCTTTATCATCAGTTGAATGGAATGCCCTCCAAAAAATTTATAGAACATCTTTTGATTAACATCCATATTTACCGAATACTACTACAAGACAGGCAACTGGTGATAAAAAAAAAAAAAAGCAAGAAATATATAATCAATGACATCTTGGAATTCAAAATACAGTGAAGGCAACAGATACCCAAACAATAAAGTAATAGTAAGTTAAATGCTATGAAAGAAACTAAAAATTAACATGGGCATGCACAGAGGAAAGTCCAGACCAGCCAAGGAGAAGAGAAATATCTTTAGATAAGAAAAATGTAAGCTGTGTTATTCATACCAATTCTGAAGGAGAAAGCAGAAACTATTAATAATAACACTGGGACAACAGGTGTAAACTACAACTGTCCCAGGTAATTGGAAACATCAGTCACCCTAGACTTAGAAAGGAAGTCATGGAAGGGAGTGACTCCTGAGCTAAAACTAAAACCATATGGAATAATCAAGCAGGCAAAGTGGACTGAAAAGACGTCATAAGCAAATGCAAGAGCTTAAACAAATGTTTGAAGGACAGAACATTCAAGCTTGGAAGAGAATTAGAAAAAGTATTAAGAACTAAGACAAACTAAATAATATAGCTAAATCATTACATATATTATTATGTGTAATACATATGATAACTATATTATATTATGGTACACTTTATCTCCAATATTCCTCAAAGTATAATCAAAAGACTACTGTATCTCATATCTGAGGAGTATATCCACAATGCAATTTCATGAATCCCAACCCAGATGAAAATTAAGTAAGAATTCTAAAATAAGGCCTAAGTATCTACAGTTGGTAATCTTCATGTACAGCAAAATTTGAGATGGAAAACCATTATAAAGTTTTAAGCAGAAGAGGGACAGATTTGCAATTTCTATTAGACACTTTCACAGGATGATTAGCAGGAGAACAAAACTGAAGGATGCTGTAGCAGGATACCAAGCAAAAGGTGCTAAGTTTACCAAGTCAATAGTAAAAAAATATAGAGATAAGAAAATCAGGAACAGCACAAAATGTTATACTGTTTTCAGATATCATCTCAAATAGTTCTACATTATGGAAAATATAACTACATGAGAAACCATTTTAACCAAAAATCATTTCACGTGTTTAAATTTCTTTCCATTTGCCTTTCTTTTCAAAGAGTTTCAATATACTCTACTATAAAAACTCTAAATTATGAAATTACCTGTCATATAAATTAGAATATTGCTTCTGTCATCAGAAAGAAGACGTTTTGACCGAGGAGTACTAGGTGGGATCCTCCCAGTTAATACCCGTAAAAAATTCTCCACAGTTACCTAAGGGGGAAAAAACAAGAAAAATCAGATGAAATAAAACCTGGGAAATCTTGACAAATTACTTTTTACTTTCAAAAATGTTCATTGTTCTTTCTCCATATATTACTCAGCACCAACTGAAAATAAAACACCCAAAAATTATATAACTCAATTAAAATATATTCATTTAAACATATACCTCCAAGTAACTTTGTTACTATTTTTAAAAGTACTAAAAACTAACAAAGAAGGCAGGCCATGGTGGCTCATGCCTATCAACTCAGCACTTTGTGAGGCAAGGCAAGAGGACTGCTTGTGGGCAGGAGTTCAAGATCAGCCTAAGCAACATAGTGAGACCCCATTTCTATGCACACACACAAAAAATGTTTAAAATAGCCAGGTATGGTAACATGCTCCTGTAGTTCTAGCTACTCAGAAGGCTGAGGCAGAAGGCTCATTTGAGCCCAGGAGTTCACCACTGCACTCCAGCCTGGGCAAGAGAGCAAGACTATGTCTCTTAGAAAAAAACAAAAAACAAAAACAAGCAAAGTAAAACTACCTTGGAGAAAAATAAGTTCTGAATTTAAAACTTTAAATGCTATGTGAAGTGCTGCCTTTAAAAACTACTAAAAAGCTGCAAAATTATTTATCTGGCTGGGCATGATGGCTCACACCTGTAATTCCAACTTCTCAGGAGGCTGAGGCAGGAGGATCACCTGAGGCCAAGTGTTCAAAAACAGCCTGGACAACCTAGTAAGACCCCCATCTCTGGAAAAATAAAATAAATTAGCCAGGCAAGGTGGTGCACACCTGTAGTCCCTGCTACTCAGGAGGCTGAGGCAGGAGGATCACTTGAGCCCAGGAGTTCAAGGCTGCAGTGAGCTATGACATGGCCACTATACTCCTACCTGGGTGACAGAGCAAGACTCCAGCTCTAGCAAAATAAAAAATAAAAATTATTAATCCCTCTGCATAGGCAATTCTGTGGGAAGATACAAAATATAAGAATTTTTAAATAAATTCAACTACATTATTGCAGCTAATCTGTACAACTACTTAGTCAATTATAGATTAACCATGAAATAAAATAGTTCCATGTTCACTACCTGGGTGACAGGCTCAATCATACCCCAAACCTCAGCATCACACAATATACCTTTGTAACAAACCTGCACATATATCCCCTGAATTTAAAATAAAGGTTGAAAAAGAAAAAAAAAAAGTTCCATATATATTTCCCCAAAATTACGTATCTTTAATTTTTGAATGCACTTTGTTGCTCAGATTTTGTTAGTGGTATCTTTAACATGTAAAAAATTCATAACACTTTAAACGAGATTTTCCCAATCTAGAATTTCTATCCCTCTGGGATTCTTTGAAGGCATATTTAAAGTTATAGAGAGTAAAACACTGATTTAAAGCCAACAGCTGAGTCATATATTATGCATATCTACATTTAAAAAGTAGAAAATCTATCCAGTTTTCTTGTTCAACTATTTCCTAGAACATGAGTGTATAAATTGTATGTATACACATTTGTGCGTGTGTAAACTGTTTGATTTACATTTTTCCTGCAAGACAGCAAAATGCTAATTGTTTTAACAGGAATTCTTGTTGGCCAACAAGGAAGGAAAATGTTTGGCCTATATTTTCCTAAAATATGACTAAATAAACAAGTAAAAGGTTAAACATACATATTTAATTCAATGAGCCAACATTTTTGAGTGCCTAACACCAGGCTCTAGGTACTTGCCAGCTATATGATACATGAGACACAGGCCCTCTTAGCTTACAGTCTAGGAGGAGATAGATATGCTTTTAAAATTGCTTCAAAAGTGGTCTAGGAACACACAGGAAATTGTGTCTTACTTTTGGTAGGCTTGGTAAAAGGGGAAGGATTATCTAAGAAGACTTCATAAAAGAAGACTTCAAATATTAAGCGTATTCACAATCTTTTATATTTAAAATGAAGTTTCAAAGGGAGAAAATAGAGTATAATACCATTTTTTACATTTACATTTTTATTTCTTATCACATATTCATAAAAAACACTGGAAGTATATTGAAACTATAGTCACTATAGTTTTTCCACAATTAATACAATTACTAAAACTAATAAACTTGGAATTTTAGGTCAAATATGAAAAATACACATTTACTATAAAATATATTTACTGTAAAAGAAAGTTGACACAGGAAAACTCACTATAATACTCTAACATTGAAGCCAATATAAAGTTTTTCTGTCCTAGATAAAAACATAAAATGTTCATGTTTTAATATTTTACTTATATATCATTGCCTTAATATGAACTTCAGAGAAGTTACATCAAGGCTTCAGTGACAATTAAATTTAAAGAAAAATAATAAGACAATTTTATTCTGCCATTGTTTTAGAGCCTAAAAGTAACAATGCCATTTTAAAAATGTGGCTAGATTAAAGAATTTACCTCGTAACTTCTATAATCCACTTCCACATCATCTCCATACACATTTAGTTCCATATTCTTGTGACTAAACACTGTAGCTGGTTTGGGATTTCTAGGATTACAGGCCATATCATCTGCAAGCATTAGGACAATGTGACTAGGGAAAAAAAATCCAGTAAATATATAATTTAGATAAAAGGAAAAAGTTAAACACAAATTTATTTATATCATGTAGCTACTGTGTTCATTTTTCTCCTCCTTAAAAAAAAATTTTCAACTACATAGTTGAAGGCAATTTAATTATTTTTTTCATATCCTTGTGTACTATATATTTTAAAGTAGAGAAATTAGTGCAATCTGGCATAAAGTTATGAAGGCACTTTAATTATTTTTTTCATATCCTTGTGTGCGATACATTTTAAAGTAGAGAAATTGGCGCAATCTGGCATAAACTTATGAACAGAATTTCAAGTTACAATGTTTTTCTGAACAATGTATACTTTATGCCACATAGCAAAGGGAAGCTAAAGAAACTGTCTTCCTTAAGCATCAAAAATATTTTTTAGTAAAATTTTACATTCTCAAGACTTACAGAGTCCACGTTAAACTATGATGTCCCAAAGAATTTAACTTTCAGAATCCCAAATGCTTGAGTATAAAAACATGCAACTGATCAGCAAGTACAATCAGTTTAGCACAAGAGCACACCTCCAAGCCAATCACTCCTCACAAGATCCACAAATCCACTCCATTTCCCTAACACCAGCAACCACCATCTTCTGGCTAGATGCTGGAATAGCTCCCTACCTGGCATCCTGCTTCTACTCTCACCCTCTTTCAGTTCATTCTCCTAATAGCCCCCAGAGTGATCTTCCTTAAATAAGTCAAATTATTAAATGTTCCCACTTAAAAGTTTCCAAGGACTCCCCATTATATCTTTTTTTATTTTTATTTTTGTTCACCTGCAGTTCCATGCATCCCCATTGCATTTAGAGAGAAACTGCAACTCCTTACATCATCTAAAAGGCTCATATAATCTGGTCTCTGTCTCTCCAACTTCAGCCTCTACCACCCACATTCTCTATGCTACCTCCACACTGGCCTTTCTGTTCTTAGAATATGCCAAGCCTTTCCCACTTAAGTGGCTACTGACCAAATTTAGACTTCACTCCTCCCAGATCTTCATATAATTCCAGCCTTAGCTATGGTACTCTATCTTATTGTGTGTTTTATTTTCTTCAGGACATCTATGAATCTGAAATCCCCATCATCTCCTATCACCACCACCCCCATTAGGATATAAGCTCTCTGAGGGCAGGGGCTATATCTGTCCTGTTCACCACTGTATCACTCATACTACATACTAGGGCCTGACATACAGTATGTACTCAGTAAATAATTTTAAGTGAATGAAATGTTTTAATTTTTGCATATAATTTCTTTAGAAGGAAATAAAATCTCTCTTTGATACTTCTCATCTTCACTCTACCATTAAAACTGGTGAGTAACAATCAGGAAATTCTCCATTCTACCATATCTTGAGTTTCCCAAGCATAAGGGAAAAATTAATGTGGCATACGTAATTAGTTTGGCAGGAGACAGCAAGAAGAAAATGTTCTGCTACATATGTTCCAAATACATTAAAGTTCAAAACTGAAACATTATTTTTCTTGAAAATTGGCTAGATTTCTACTTTGAAAGTGTTCCAACCCTGTCACGTTCAAAGATCAGATCTTCAGCTGTTACTGATTCATTTTCACAGAATAGTGAGTCATTCCTCTTAAAACAGAAAATACATCTTCTCTTTTTTAAAACTTGAGATCATTAATTTACATTAAATAAATATCAATCATATATTCCTTTGTTAAACAAGACTGAATTGACCTCCAAATGGCAATATAAAAATGAATATTTCTGGCCAGGCACAGTGGCTCACGCCTGTAATCCCAGCACTTTGGGAGGCTGAGGCGGGCGGATCACGAGGTCAGGAGATCGAGACCATCCTGGTTAACACAGTGAAACCCTGTCTCTACTAAAAATACAAAAAAATTAGCCGGGCATGGTGGCAGGCGCCTGTAGTCCCAGCTACTCCAGAGGCTGAGGCAGGAGAATGGCATGAACCCAGGAGGCGGAGCTCGCAGTGAGCCGACATCGCGTCACTGCACTCCAGCCTGGGCAACAGAGCAAGACTCCACCTCAAAAAAAAAAAAAAAAAAAAAAAAAAAGAATATTTCTTTAGGCTATGTTTTCTGTTTAGGGTTAATTTCACTCTGTGAAACTAAATAATTATTCAATAGCTATATAATGTCAATATCAATCAGAAAGAAGTACTAACTTCAACTTAAAATCATAAATGTAATCAACATTTCTCTTAGAGATAATTTTAAGCCTCAATATAAGTACTATGACCTGTTAACATAATCAATATATTATAAAACACTGTACTTGGAATAATACGGAAAAAGAGAAGTTGGGAAACAGAATGGATTTCAAACGTTTTGAAGTCCAACCACATATTCTAATTCACTGTTTCTAAAACTTAAGAAATGTACAGAACTCTTTTCTAGAGAAAAAAATAATTCTCATTTGATCCAAGTGTTAAATTATTTATATAACAGTACTTAAGCATATAAATGCAAACAAACTACGTAGGCTTATAGTTCTTACAAAACTATGAAATCAAGAGAAAATTATAAATTAAATTCTAACAAAACTAGCAAACTAATAATACCCTAAAAACATTAATCCCATTGAAGATGACATTATTTTCCAAAAACTAAATGCCTGCTGCTGTGTTTAACAGAAGAGCTTCAAGTCTGGTTCTACATTTAATTTTTTTTTTTTTTTTTTTTGTATTTTGACATCCTTAATTGTTTAAGCAAACTAAAACGGCCTGATAAGGACTCCATACTTCCATATTTGAGTCCTGGTGGACAAACCACAACCTAACTTAATAGGTAGACAAGATTGAAAACCCAATTTAGGAGTATGCACCTGTAACAATGACTGAGTCTTGGCCAATCCCAGCAGCCATACTTCAACCACCCATATACTGCCAAGTGCTCAAACTGTGTTCAAATAAGTAAAATGCCAACCTGTAACCAATCCAGTTGTTTCTGTATCTCACTTCCAATTTCTGTACCTCACTTCGCTTTTTTTGTCTCTAATCTTCTTCCGCCATGTGGCTGCATTGGAGTCTCTCTGAATCTGCTGTGATTCTGGGGGCTTGCCAATTAGTGAATTGACAGCAACTGACCTGGGTGCAGGATCAAATTTGATCCAGTAATTAACTGACTTGAATCCAGTTAGAGGCTTCTTACATCTGAATGGGTCAGAAAGAAACTGGTAGTAAGTGGTAATATTGCAGGGGCTATAAAATTTGGCTTTTAAAAATTCGCAGGGGCCAGGGGTGGTGTGGCTCACACCTGTAATGCCAGCATGTTGGGAGGTGGAGGAGGGTGGATCACGAGGTCAGGAGATTGAGACCATCCTGGCTAACACGGTGAAACCCCGTCTCTACAAAAAATACAAAAAAATTAGCCGGGCGTGATGGCAGGTGCCTGTACTCCCAGCTACTCGGGAGGCTGAGGAAAGAGAATGGCATGAACCTGGGAGGTGGAGATTGCAATGAGCCGAGATCACGCCACTGCACTCCAGCCTGGGCGACAGAGCGAGACTCCGCCTCAGAAAAAAATAATAATAATAATAAATTTGCAGGGATTTTTGTGTTCTACCCCTTTGTTTCATTTTTCTCGTGCACTTAGGTAGGAAAAGAAATCATTGGCTAAGTTAATCAAGGGAACCCAAGAGCAAAGCCAATATTTTTGGTAAAAATGAGATTCTTAATTTCTGAAGAACTGAGTTCCTTCTGGCTTATACATGCATAAATAAGTGTTAGGCCCCAGAAGCAGTGAAGTCTTACAGAAATGGTGAGATCTTACTAAAGATAACTTACAATAGAACATTCCAAATGAACAACGCAGTGAAATGCATTTAAAACAATGAGGCTCCCAAATTAGTCTCATCTACGGATGCCTACTGATATGCAGAAACTTCTAAAAAGATTTCAATATTTTTATTTAAAGCACACATATTTTACTCTGGCCAGAATGGAAAA
This sequence comes from Homo sapiens, assembly GCF_000001405.40. Lineage (NCBI taxonomy): Eukaryota > Metazoa > Chordata > Mammalia > Primates > Hominidae > Homo > Homo sapiens. The sequence goes on from NC_000001.11 coordinate 77,173,356, forward strand.
TATTAGAATTCGGGTCCCCCATACAACTGGTTGGGCAGCAACTTGCAAAATTGAGATAATTTTGCCTGTGGTTCCATTATTTTCCTTTGTGATGCAGTTTGGCCCCCAGAACTATGGTGTGGTAAGCAGGGTCACTGAGGCTACTCAGGGAAGGGGAACCCAGAAACCTGACAAGCCAGCAAAAGGGCAAGAATTTCTTACCAGACTTCTGGCCTCTCTCTGTGCAAACTGGTTAAATGAATGGTAAAAATCACTGTTTAGTTCCTCTGTAAAGTTTTAATTAATGCAAAAAAAGGATTCTGAGGCTATTCTTAAGCTGTAGCAAATTTGGTGTCCTTGTCTTTCTGTATGGTTCTGTTATAAAGAGTACTTTAGGAATATAACATAGGCTTAGGACCCCATAAGCTCACTATTAAAGACGGCCCAGCAAGCTGGTCAATAACAAACGTTGCTGCAGTTCCCTGAAACAAACAAAAAAACTGCCTGAGGTCTCCATCTTGTTTTGTCCTTGGGAGCTTAACTGTGTAATCATGTGGTGGTACTTTCTCTTAGTCTCCACCTTCCAGGGAAAAGGAATTTTGGGGTTCATGTCATAGCTAGCTCCGAAAATTATCTTGAGCAGTTAAAAGCCTTTGCAAACTCAAAATTGACTGCTCTAGACTTCTAGGAAGAGCAATGGAAGCTATCCAATATAGCTCAGTAGCTAAGGCCTTGCCTTTTTACAATGGTGGCCTGAGTTCAATTCCTGGCTTAGGGAACGAGTCCTTTCTGGTTTGATATCTGTATGAAACTTACCATCTGTTGATTCTCTTCCCCTCCATAAACTGTATTACAATTTTCTTTCTCTAAGCGAGAAATATTGGCTGTTTTGCCTGGCTAAAGTGGGGTAGTAAGAAATTTAAAAGGACTTTTATAGAGGGCTAGAGTTAAAAGTCAGCTTAATTAAAAGTGGATATTCAAGCTCTAACAGCCTGGGACTCCTTGGGAAAAGCAGAGGAGGCACCACACACCGTGTTTTGGGAAAAACCTCTGTTTTCCTCAAGAAACCTCAGGAATTAAAAGTGGATAGATCCCTCTCAAAATCTAAGACTCTGTTCTGTTTTGTATTGCTTTATCTGATGTTTCCGACTTTGGGGAGTATCGGAAATGACTTTGCATCACAAGACAGCTTTGGTGTGTAATAATCAGGTAGGAAATATACTTTTAGGGATAGCTAATGGCAGTTATGGGGAGATACTCAGCTCTGCACATTTGGATCAGAGAAAGCATGCTCTTGGCCACCTAGAAGTTATGGAAATGTCCCCACCCACCACTAAGAGATAAGACACCCATGGGAGCTTGGCTGATTCCCCCTTTATGGGATCCAGGATCTGATATAAAAATGAGAATGAGACCCTTAATTTCTGAGATCTATTTTTCCTTCCAGCTGTGCCTGCTTATTATATTAATCTGTAGAAACTGCATGTTCCTGGCCCTGTTCCTCCAAGGACTCCACTCTAAAGCCAGTAATCCGATTAAAAACCTTAAAAACTGGCAAATAAAAAATCTTACAACTACTGGATCTTCTTCTGTCTATCTGTATAGTTATGTATGCGTTCTGTGTGTGATGTTTCTATAAAAGAGCTCTAATTAATTGGCTTGAAGAAAAATAGGACCTTAAATCAAATATTTGAAAGAAGAAACCATAAAGCTTTTTAGTTCACGTAACTTTAGTAATCTTTGGGAAATAAAAAATTTTAAAGATTATTGGTAAAATAAAGACATTTGTTCTTAATCAGGCAGGTCAGATATTAGGTTTGCTAAATGCTTTAAGGTCATAAACTGCTTTGACTTTTGAAAATTGTTCAATTTACCTATCTTGGAAATGATAGATTCTAGATAAGGCCTGGGGAAATGTGGAATCAGCCACGTCCTCTAGCTATGCAAAGAAGGTTATAAAGAAAAGAGATTTTATATAAGAAAGGATCCTGTATGGTAAATTCTTGTCCTGAAGTAAAATAACTGGTTGGTTAAAAACAGGGATGCTTAGGACAAGTCAGAAAGTCCAAGCATGACGTAGGTGGTCTGTGTAAGTCATGAAAGGATTCATGAAAGGAAATTTATGCACCAAAAGTAAACGCTGCTAAGAGTTACTATTATAACATGTAATTGAGACTACTGAAATAACAGTTTTACATGCAAGGTGTATAAGGAAAGTAAAATTTGTTTTTGGTAAAAAAAAATTATAAGAAAGCATGAGAATGTAAATTTTTGCCTAGTGTAGAGGGTTAACAGATTGTTTTAAATTAGATAAGACAAAGCTAAATGTTGAGCAAGTTGTGGAAGGTTTGTAAAAATTAATTGTAAAAGAGATTCTGTGTGTAAACATATTGGCTACAGTTAAAGGGATATTATTCAGTTTTTACATAAAGTGAACATTTAAAAAAAAGCACAATAGGTTTTTCTTAGAGCACTGATCTGCTCTTTAACAAAAATTCTAAAGAGTTATAAAAGGTTTGTAAGAATCTCACCTTATGGCCAAACTGATTAAGATTGATAAATTTTTCTATAAAGTTTTATTAAAAATTGAGGTTGACATTAATAGTAGACTTATGAAAGGGTGAAATTTGGCTCTCCCTGAACAAGATTTTCATGTAATATTAAAGGATAATAAAAAAATTTTGTTTGCCTTTTGAATAAACTAGGAAAAAAAGAAGGGAAAGACAAAAGACAGATGGTTTGGAAAGCTAAGTCTCCCCTCTATCAATGAGTAAAAGGTTTTTGCCTTTTTAGAAATTCTTCATCATTTTGGCTAAATGAATGACTATGGTGTCCAGTAATTCTATTTCATATCAAGTGTTTAAAACTCTAACATGTTTGATAGGCTTCCTAAAATCAAATTTCAGCTTCAAAATTATCTTTTCTGACCTCTAACTTTGGGATGCTACAGAGGGCCCCTGAAGAATCCAAAAGACAGGTAAACAGGATTATTTGACATGTTATTTGGGAAGCACTGTAAAAATAAAAAATAATGCTTAACCTTCTTTAGGTTATATTTTAGTGTATGTCATCAATATGTTCCAATATTGCATGGGATTTCTAAAATTCTAATATGTCTAAGTAATGCTATCAATCATAATTATGGTTATTATGTTATTATAGACCACAGAAATTGTCCTTGTCAGCTGTGTTTTTAACTATGACTATTTAAAGTCACTTCCAGTTAATTGCTTAATGCTCCTGCAGTTTCTCAAAACTTGACAAGCACACAAAATCCTAGAATATGGTGTCTTTTAGGAGGTTCATGAAAGGATGGAAAGAACCTGAAAAGCACTCTTGAATACAGGTTCCTGATAACATAAGTCAAATTACCTATGATAACCCATCAGTTAGTTATCAGTGCTATACACCTAAATTGGAAAAAACAACTGGCATTCAAGATGACATAAGTCCAATGTCAAGCATGGACTCTTGGAGAACCAGAACAGCCACCTTGTCCTTCCTGAGTCCTTAAAGTTTTTGTTATTAAAAGTTATGCATTCCAAAACATCATGGAAAAGAGAAAATAATTCAAATTAAATATTGGTGTGGTAACTTACAAATTGCTAAAATAGTTTATAACCAATGTTTGGTTTGTCAAACCCATATTCATGGGAAAACAATCAAAGCTTCAGCTCCATTTGGTTACCTGACGGTAACCAGATGGTTGGGCCACTTAAACATTTTATAAAGGGATTTCATTCAATTGTCATTTTCAATGCATGTTTTCTGGTTGTATAAAAGCTCTCCCATCCAAGTGGGCTGACGTTATAATGTAGACTATTATGCTACAGTGTATTTTCACCAGGTAAAGAAAGCTTTTTATGGTTCACTGAGGACAGTCAACCCCTTCTGTTGGGAATAGGCCCCCAAATCTGCCATAAACTGGCACCAAAACTGGCCATAAACAAAATCTCTGCAGCATTGTGACATGTCTTGAGATGGCCATGATGCCCACACTGGAAGGTTGTGGGTTTACCAGAATAAGGGCAAGGAACACCAGGCCCACCCAGGGCAGAAAGCCGCTTAAAGGCGTTCTTAAACCACAAACAATAGCATGAGCAATCTGTGCCTTAAGGACATGCTCCTGCTGCAGATAACTAGCCAAAGCCCATCCCTTTACTTCGGTCCATCCCTTTGTTTCCTGTAAGGAATACTTTTAGTTAATCTATAATCTATAAAAACAATGCTTATCACTCCTTGCTCTCAATAAATATGTGGGTAAATCTCTGTTCGAGGCTCTCAGCTCTGAAGGCTGTGAGACCCCTGATTTCCCACTCCACACCTCTATATTTCTGTGTGTGTGCCTTTAATTCCTCTAGCGCCGCTGAGTTAGGATCTCCCCGACTGAGCTGGTCTCGGCACCCTTCTGTCTAGAACCCAAAGACTGGATCTTCTGAAAACATCAGAGAAACACTGCCCACACCATCCACACTGCAACAAAACTTTGGAACCTTGAACTTTGGATTCATAATCTCACAACTGGGAAAGATTCCTCCACACTCTTAGAACTGTACACCCATTTGGACCCTTAAGGTAAAGCTAACCAGGAAAGTTTCTCCCCAGAAGAAGATGGCATCTTTTCCCAAGATGACAGCTTTTCCCAAGATCACGAATCAAGACTTCTCTACTATCATGACACTCTTATCTTTGAATGTTTTTTCCTTGTTTATGCCTCTATGAACAATAGAAATAAAAAGGGGGTCTCTTGTGTGCACTTTGGGTATACTTTTATTTATGAAGGATTTTGCAGCCAGTCTTATATACAGATAAACTTATGCCTTGACAGATAAAAAATGAAGGCCCAATGTACACGATAAACTTTAATGGTATATACATTGCCTCATAATCAGTCAGAAACAGACCATTGGTTCATTCCTCTTAACCCACATCACAGGTTAAAGAGAACATTGCCAGGAGGCCTTCATACTTCTAGAAGGGCATCATTTGTTAGGTCCTTTTTCCATGGTTTGGAGTAAAAACGGCAATGATTAGAAGTGTATCCTTAATGATAGGCTCTATAGCAGATTCTACTGTAATATGTATAGTTACACAACAGACTTTAAATTCTCTTATGAAAGGTATGCTAAATAACACAATTGGCTACACAGAAAAGTATCTCTGCAGCTGCTGGCATTTGTGGTCTAGGAGAAATACATCAAACGTAGATTATAGAGATTCAGTTTTAGGGCATTAACGGAGAGACTGCTTAGTTAAGTGAGTAGACTCTTTATCTAGCTCATTCTTTAATCTATTTGATTTTAGGTGATTTGGTTTATGGGGACCCTGGGTAAGGAGCATATTCCAAACTCTTCATATTGTCCTCCTGATAGTCATAATAATAGTCTCCTTGGTGCGCTATATTTTCTCAAAGGTTTTAAATGTTTACAAGTCAGCCATCTCTAAAATGTCAAATGGTCTCTCTTCAACTGGAATGACAAGAGCTGAAAGAAATGTGTGACCATGAGGACACCGTAACCTATGACTGACATGCTGAGACCAGAAACCCAAAATGATGGTAACTGAGAGTGGCACTAATGCCGTAAGTTTTGGTCACACTCTCACCTAAGTGAGAACCTGACTAAAAAGGGGAAATTTTTTTAAAAGTTATGGGTGGCCACTGTTTTGGACTGAGATCATGCGCTAGGCCCCAACAGACCACAAAAAATGGAGCTGCTTGTGCTAAATGGGACAATAAAACTAAGACTTTAAGGAAACACACAAATCCTAGAACAGACCAGGTTTGTTTTCCTCCTGTTAACAAGACGTTCCAACATCAGGAGGTACCCTCTACTCAGTCCTTGGTCCTACCTTTGCAAAACTCACTGTTCTACTGTTTCCCAGTGGGTTTCAAGACCAAATAAGTACATTTATGATAGTGACAGTGACATTAATGATTAAAGTTTTGGTCAATCTCTCAAAATTGAGAAAATAACCAAAAGGGGGGAATTGGTAAAGTGAACTAAATGTGGTCTGAGAAGGACTCTGCTACATTTGAGTCCTTGTGGACAAACTGCAACCTAACTTAATAGGTAGACAACACTGAAAACCTAATTTAGGAGTATGCTCCTGTAACAATAGCTGAGTCTTGACCAATCCCAGGAGCCATACTTCACTCTTATACTGCTGAGTGCTCAAACTGTGTTCAAATAAGGCAAACGCTGAGCTGTAACCAATCCAGTTGTTCCTGTTCCCATTTCCAATTTCTGTACTTCCTTTCCCTTTTTTTTCTCTATAAATATTCTTCCACCACATGGCTGCACTGGAGTCTCTCAGAATCTACTGTGATTCTGGGGGCTGCCTGATTCATGAATCGCTCATTGCTCAATTAAACTCCTTTAAATTTAATTTGGCTGAAGTTTTTCTTTTAATACACTATAAACATAATTTGATGATATAGATAATGTCTGTTCATAAAAGTATGTTGTACACTATGTAATTCATAATTTCCAGGTTCTGTTTACTGTTCAGAACAATCAGATATTATATTTACATAAGCTTTTGCCAATAAACATTCTTTGAATGCCATTTATCATAAGGTCTCATTTGATAACTCAAAGTGTCTTTTTCACTTGAATACCAGGTCAGCATCACAGCAGTTATTTAAATCTGCACTGAATAAGCATCAAGTCAATCACTGCTGAAATCAAGACTCAAAAAAAGAAGCTACTCTAAAGACATACTACTGCATTCCTATAAATAACAGTAACAAGTTTTTGTATCTTATTAAAATGATAAAATTCCCAAAATATCCCCAATAGATACAAGAATATGTTGTTTTTATAGTTTGGCAACCCTATTCTACCATGCATGATGATTCAACTCACACTTTATTCTTTTCAAGCCCCTGCAAAACCTATTTCACAAAACACAGCATACATAATATGACCTTCTCTCAACACAAAGCCAAAAGAAAAAGTGGGCACTGGAATTGTATAGCAAGTGTAGTTACACAGTAGTTATTTATGTAAATAGATTCCACATTTTCAAAATCATGCATTCCTATTAGTTAAAAAAAATGGGAGGGCACATACATATACATCTACTTATTTATAAGTCATACATATTTACTACTTTAAGTATATACAATAAATACTAGTGAAGTGTGAACCCCCAAAATATGAGACAGGTCTCAGTCAGTTTAGGAAGTTTATTTTGCCAAAGTTAAGGACACGTGCCCAGGACACAGCCTCAGGAGGTCCTACCAACATGTACCTAAGGTGGTTAGAGCACAAGTTGGTTTTTATATATTTTAGGGAAACATAAGACATCAATCAACATATGTAAGATCAACATTGGTTCCGTGGGTAGGGAAAGGCAGGACAACTAGAAGTGGGTGGGGGTGGGGGGGGCTTCCAGGTCATAGGTAGATAAGAGACAAATGGTTGCATTCTTCTGAGTTTCTGATTAGCCTTTCCAAAGGAGGCAATCAGATATAGATTTATCTCAGCGAGCAGAGGGGTGACTTTGAATAGAATGGGAGGCAGGTTTGCCCTAAGCAGTTCCCAGCTTGACTTTTCCCTTTAGCTTAAGTGATTTTGGGGCCCCAAGATTTATTTTCCTTTCACAGAAGCATAATTTCTTTCTTCTTTCCTAGATAAAAACAAAGAAAACTGCTAATATTTTCTTCCCTTACCACTTTTTGGTTACTTCATCTAAATAGAATATCTGGATCATGCCTATATAGATATTTTTAAGATCATCATCAATATAAAAGTGAAATTTTAAAAATTCTCAAAAAAAGTAGTCAGGAAGCCCAATCTGATAAACATATATGAAGGGAAAAATAGCCTAAAATAATAATTTCCCATTATTATGTTGCCCAAACACTGAAAAACCAGGTAAGCCCTTCATCAGGGCTGCTAGGCCATTCTTTACCTGCCTCCCTGAAATTCCTCTGCAGCCCAATCAGGAACTAGTGACCGGTAGGTAAAAAAAATATACATATTTCAAATAGATGAACAATCTTTCACAGTCCTGGACCATTAGAGTGTGAAATTTCAAAAAACACAACTTTTCGTTTGTAATAAACTGGTATTACCTTAATAAAAAATTTTCACGGAATGAAATTTAAATAAATTGTATTGGTTAAAATGTTTTTAAACTGTTCGCTTAAAAATGTTATATATAATAATATATAATGTTTTCCACAGCCATGCCTAATCACATACTACCTTAGAGCATTGTTTAGCTACTAGAGCTAAGATCTTCAGGCTTATCTTCCAGAAAAGCATCATCCCAAGCTAGAATAGTAACTGAAATTAACACAGCAGGAAATATGAGGGTCACAGGAATCTCTGATGCCCTCTTAAATTTCTGGGTTTCTGCCTCATAGGTGTTGCTTTTCCCCCTGACACAAATTATTAAGGATACTCTGTAGATTACTGGTTCTACAGCAATGTAATTAGGTCAAGCAAATTCAACAAGTCAAGCTAATCAGCAGCTTAATGCCAGGGTAAATTACCTTTTGGTTTTTCTTCCTCCTCCCTTCCCATGTCTTGAGGAATCTTCAAGTTAATAACTCTAGCCACCAATGCACTGTGAAATTCATCGTAATAAATCTACTAACCACAGATGCTTGACCATCAAGATTTTCTGAATTACTTTCAATTTGCCAAATGTTGAACAATTAGCATTCTTCGATACATGATTCCAGGTATTCTGTACTCATATTATCAGAAATAAAAACTGAAAAAATTGCACTGCAGACAATTACTGACAGACTCATCAGTAAGCAGACATGTTATCACAGAGACAAATTACATGAGGGTAGAGCTAGCTAGCTATAGGCTCATATATTTAAAGTTACATGTGGTTGAATATAACGAAGATAACAGCTAACATTTATTGAGCACTCCTGTGATGGTTACAACTGAGAGTCAACTTGATTAGATTGCGCAAGGGCAGGAAGCATCCAGCAGGGGAGAAAGATGTAGTATTGGAGGCTAGGCCAAGCTAGTCTTTTCACATTATTCTGCCTTCTTTATATTCTAGCCATACTGGCAGCTGCTTAGATGGTGCCCACCCAGATTAAGGGTGGGTCTGCCTTTCCCAGCCTCAAATGTTAATTCAAAAGTTAAACCAAAGGGTTAATCTCCTCTGGAAACACCCTCGCAGACACACCCAGGATCAATCTATCTATCTATCTATCTGTACACACACACACACACACACACATATGTGAGTTTATTAAGTGTTATATATATTTGCATACTATTAGTTCTATCCCTCTAGAGAACCTTGACTAGTATAGATTTTGGTACGAGGAGTGATCCTAGAGGAACAGAATATTAAGGATGGAGTTCTTTCATTGGTTTTGGGGTTTCTGGATTTGGCTGCTTAATATGATCAGTCCCCAAAATGCTAAGGACTCTACTTCTAATAGTATGGAGAACACTGATAGTCCTTAGCATAAACTATTGTGACAGTTATGCAAAATAAATTCATTTGACACACCTGATTCCCTGCTCATGAGAGACAAGGAGTTTAGTAACTCTATACATAATACCTTTGACCATATCTGGAGAACCAAGGAACATAATGAAGCTGGTTGGTTGCTCCTAAGCTTGGTGGACAAAGTGATAAAAAAATGATGAACTCAGGGATTCTGTCTCCCGGCTTCAGATACTGAGCCTCCCATCTGCTAAGATTGCCCTGACTGAGAGTCTTATCTCCTGTAGAGAAAGAGTTGAAATTGTGGAAAAACAGACACAAGTTCTTATCATGCAAGTGGCTGACCTGTAATGAAAAATGCATGGACAGCCTCACTAGGCGTCTATTGTTAAACTGAGGGCATTGATTGGAAAAGAATGAGACCCTGCAACTTGGAATGGGAACATATGGAGGACCCAGATGAAGCTGGGGTCACTGAGTTTGTAAACTCTGATGAACCTTTTCTGCCAGAAGAAACAGCTTCCCCATCCCCAGCAGTGGCAACATCCCCTCTCCGACCCATGCTGCCATAAGCCTTTCCACCTTTGTCTGAGGAGATAAATCCTATGCTGCCTGAGGCAACAGTAACGGCCTCCCCTGAGGCAGTTGTTAGGCAAAATAATGTTGATTCTCCTCAGGAGCCACCTCCAACACCCCTGTTTGCTTTCAGATCTATAACAAGTCCTGGCAGGCCCCTACAGGTGAGGTTCAGAGTGTGACCCATGAGGAGGTGCACTACACTTGAAGTGCTTGAGTTTTCTAATTTTTATAAACAGAAATCTGGAGAACAGGCATGGGAATGGATATTAAGGGTGTGGGATAATGGTTGAAGGAACATAGAGTTAGATCAGGCTAAATTTATTGACTTGGGCCCACTAAGTAGGGACTCTGCATTTAATGTTGCACCTCGAGGAGGGGGAGTTCTAATCGTTTATTTGCTTGATTAGCTGAAATATGGATTAAAAGATGGCCCACTGTGAGAGGTGGAAATGCCTGATCTCCCTTGGTTTAATGTAGAGAAAGGGACCCAAAGGATTAGGGAGATTGGGATAGTGGAGTGGATTAGTCACTTTAGACCTATTCATCCCAGCAGAGAGGATCCAGAAGATATATCCTTGACCAATGCCTTGCGAAATAGATTTCTGAGGGCAGCAACTGCATTTTTGAAGAGCCCTGTTATTGCTCTTCTCTGTATGTCAGATCTGACAGTGGGAACCGCAGTTGCTCAACTACAAAATTTAAATACAGTGGAAATAATGGGATCCCAAGGTGGCAAGGGCCAAGTGGCATCACTCAGCTGTCAAAGGAAAGGTAGGCATAGCTACTCTAATGGACAGCAAAGGCAAAGTGGCAATCAGAATATTCTAACTGGTGTAGAGCTCTGGCACTGGCTAATTAATCACGGTGCTCCTAGAAGTGAAATTGACAGGAAGCCTACTGCATTCCTACTTAATTTAACAAGCAGAAAACTTCGAGGTCAAATGGACAAAAGACTGATTTGAATTACAAAAACAGAGAATCATGGCCCCTCAATCAATTTGCAGACTTGAGCCAGTTTACAGATCCAGAATCCCTGGGATGAAGGGGAGGTCAGGTCCCCTTGAGGAAGGACCCCACTACATAACCAACAGCTTATGCAGTGAATCTTTCTCCCATCCTTCCCACAAGAAAACCTCCAGCCCTTTACCAGAGTAACTGTGCACTGCGGAAAGGGAAATGATCAGACATTTCAGGAACTACTGGACACTGGCTCTGAGCTAACATTGATTCCAAGGGACTCAAAACATCATTGTGGTCCTCCAGTTAAAGTAGGGGCTCATGGAGGACAGGTAATTAATGGGGTTTTAGCTCAGGTCCAACTTACAGTGTGTCCAGTGGATCCCCAGACTCATCTTGTGGTCATTTCCCCAGTGCCAGAATGCAAAATTGGCACAGACATTCTTAACAGCTGGCAGAACCCCCATATTGGCTCCTTGACTGGTAGGGTGAGCACTATTACAGTGGGAAAGACCAAATGGAAGCCATTAGAGCTGCCTCTACCTATAAAAATAGTAAAGCAAAAACAGTATCACATCCTGGAGGGACTGTGGAGATCAGTGCCACCATCAAGGACTTGAAAGATGCAGGGGTGGTGAGTCCTACCACATCCCTGTTCAACTCTCCCACCTGGCCTGGGCAGAAGACAGATGGATCTTGGAGAATGACAGCAGATTATCATAAACTTAACCAAGTGGCGACTCCAATTACAGCTGCTGTTCCCGATGTGGTTTCATTGCTTGAGCAAATTAACACATCTCCTGGTACCTGGTATGTAGCCACTGATTCGGCAAATACCTTTTTCTCCATGCCTGTCTACAAGGCCCACCAGAAGCAACTTGCCTTCAGCTGGCAAGGCCAGCAATATACCTTTACTGTCCTGCCTCAGGGGTATATCAACTCTCTAGTTTTGTGTCATAATCTTATTTAGAGAGACCTTGATCCTTTTTGCTTCCATAAGATATCACCCTGGTACATTACATTGATGACATTATGCTGATTGGATCCAGTGAGCAAGAACTGGCAAACACACTAGACTTATTGGTGAGACATTTGCATGCCAGAGGATGGGAAATAAATCCAACTAAAATTCAGGGACCTTCTACCTCAGTAAAATTTCTAGGGATCCAGTGGTGTGGGGCCTGTCAAAATATTTCGTCTAAGGTGAAGGATAAGTTGCTGCATTTGGCCCCTCCTACCACCAAGAAAGAGGCACAATGCCCAGTGGGCCTAACTGGATTTTGGAGGCAACACATTCCTCACTGGGGTGTGTTACTCCGGCCCATTTATTGAGTGACCTGAAAGGCTGCCAGTTTTGAGTGGGGTCCAGAACAGGAGAAGGCTCTGCAACAGGTCCAGGCTGCTGTGCAAGCTGCTCTGCCACATGGGCCATATGACACAGCAGATCCAATGGTGCTTGAGGTGTCAGTGGCAAGCAGGGATGCTGTTTGGAGCCTTTGGCAGGCCCTCATAGGTGAACCACAGCGGAGGCCTCTAGGATTTTGGAGCAAGGCCCTGCCATCTTCTGCAGATAACTATTCTCCTTTTGAGAGACAGCTCTTGGCCTGTTACTGGGCTTTGGTGGAAACTGAACATTTGACTATGTGTCATCAAGTCACCATGCGACCTGAACCGCCTATCATGAACTGGGTGCTTTCTGACCCATCCAGCCATAAAGTAGGTCATGCACAGCAGCATTCCATCATCAAATGGAAGTGGCATATACGTGATCAGGCTTGACCAGGTCCTGAAGGCACAAGTTAGTTACATGAGGAGGTGGCTCAAATGCCTATGGTCTCCACTCTTGCCACCCTGCCTTCTCTCCCCAAGCCTCCATGGATGGCCTCATGGGGAGTTCCCTATGATCAGCTGATGGAGGAAGAGAAGAGGAGGGCCTGATTCACAGATGGTTCTGCACAATATGTGGGCACCACCTGAAAGTGGACAGCTGCAGCACTACTGCCCGTCTAGGACATCCCTGAAGGACAGCGGTAAAGGGAAATCTCCCCAGTGGGCAGAACTTCGAGCAGTGCACCTGGTTGTGCACTTTGCATGGAAGGAGAAATGGTCCAATGTGTGACTATATACTGATTCATGGGCTGTAGCCAATGATCTGGCTGGATGGTCAGGGACTTGGAAGAAGCATGATTGGAAAATTGGTGACAAAGAAATTTGGGGAAGAGGTATGTGGATGGACCTGAGGGGTCAAAAATGTAAAGATATTTGTATCCCATGTGAGAGCTCAGCAATGGGTGACTTCAGCAGAGGAGGATTTTAACAATCAAGTAGATATGAGGACCCGTTCTGTGGACATCACTCAGCCTGTTTCCCCAGTCACCCCTGTCATCACCCAATGGGCCCATGAACAAAGTGGCTATGGTGGCAGGGATGGAGGTTACACAGGAGTTCAGCAACATGGATTTCCACTCACCAACGCTGACCTGGTTATGGCCACTGCTGAGTGCCCAATTTGCCAGCAGCAGAGACCAACACTGACCCCTCAATATGGCACCATTCCTCGGCATGATTAGGCAGCTACCTGGTGGCAGGTTGATTATATTGAACCTCTTCCATCACGAAAAGGGCAGTGGTTTGTCCCCACTGGAATAAACACTTACTCTGGATATGGGTTTGCCTATCCTGCACACAGTGCTTCTGCCAAGACTACCATCTGTGGCCTCACAAATGCCTTATCCACCGTCATGGTATTTCACACATCATCACCTCTGAACAATGCACTCAGTTTACGGCTAAAGAAGTGCAGCAGTGGGCTCGTGCTCATGGAATTCACTGGTCTTACCATGTTCCCCATCATCCTCAAGCAGGTGGATTGATAGAACAGTGGAATGGCCTTTTGAAGTCACAATTAAAACACCAACTAGATGGCAGAGTTCTCCCAAAGGCCATGTATGCTCTGAATCAGCATCCAATATATGGTACTGTTTCTCCCATAGCCAGGATTCACAGGTCCAGGAATCAAGGGGTAGATGTGGAAGTGGCACCACTCATCATCACCCCTAGTGATCCACTAGCAAAATTTTTGCTGCCTGTTCCTGCAACATTACGCTCTTCTGGCCTAGAGGTCTTACCTCCAGCAGGAGGAACACTGACACCAGGAGACACAACAATGATTCCATTAAACTAGAAGTTAAGATTGCCACCTGGACACTTTGGGCTCCTCCTACCTTTAAGTCAACAGGCTAATAAGGGAGTTACAGTGTCAGTTACAGTGACTGACCCAGACTATCAAGATGAAATCAGTCCACTACTCCACAACAGAGGTAAGGAAGAATATGCATGGAATACAGAAGATCCATTAGGGCATTTCTTAGTATTATCACGCCCTGTGATTAAGGTCAATGGGAAACTATAACAGCCCAATCCAGGCAGGAGTACAAATGGCCCAGACCCTTCAGGAATGAAGGTGTGGGTCACCTGTTGCGGGAAGTCAGGGACCCCAAACGGATGGACCGGCTGAAGCCATGGCAGAAGAATGTAGATTGTGAAGATTTTATGGACATTTTATTAGTTCCCCAAATTAATACTTTTATAATTTCTTATGCCTGTCTTTACTGCAATCTCTAAACATAAATTGTAAAGATTTCATGGACACTTATCACTTCCCCAATCAATACCCTTGTGATTTCCTATGTCTGTCTTTACTTTAATCTCTTAATCCTGTCAGCCGAGGAAGATGTATGTCGCCTCAGGACCCTGCACTAATTGCATTAACTGCACAAATTGTACAGCATGTGTGTTTGAGCAATATGAAATGTGGGCATCTTGAAAAAAGAACAGGATAACAGCAATTGTTCAGGGAATAAGAGAGATAACCTTAAACTCTGACCACTGGTGAGCCGGGCAGAACAGAGCCATATTTCTCTTCTTTCAAAAGCAAATGGGAGAAATATCGCTGAATTCTTTTTCTCAGCATGGAACATCCCTGAGAAAGAGAATATGTGCCTGGAGGTATAGGCTTATAAACAGCCCCCCCAGGTGCGCCTGTCTCTTATGTCGAAACTGCAGAGATGAAATATACTCCAGTCTCCCATAGCACTCCCAGGCTTATTAGGAAGAGGAAATTCCCACCTAATAAATTTTGGTCAGACCGGTTGATCTCAAAACCCTGTCTCCTGATAAGATGTTATCAATGACAATGGTGCCCGAAACTTCATTAGCAATTTTAATTTCACCTCGGTCCTGTGGTCCTGTGGTCCTGTGATCTCGCCCTGCCTCCACTTGCCTTGTGATATTCTATTACCCTGTTAAGTACTTGATGTCTGTCACCCACACCTATTCACACCCTCCCTCCCTTTTTGAAAATCCCTAATAAAAACTTGCTGGTTTTTGTGGCTTGTGGGGCATCACGGATCCTACCAACGTGTGATGTCTCCCCTGGATGCCCAGCTTTAAAATTTCTCTCTTTTGTACTCTGTCCCTTTATTTCTCAAGCCGGCCGATGCTTAGGAAAAATAGAAAAGAACCTATGTGATTATCGGGGCAGGTTCCCCGATAGTCACCCCACTAGGAAAAAAACCAAGACTTGTTAAGGTGCTTGCTGAAGGCAAAAGGAATACAGGATGTATAGTAAAAGAAAGTAGTCATCTATACCAGCTATGATCATGTGACCAGCTGCAGAAACAGGAACTGTAATTGTCATGAGTATTTCCTCCCTCTTTTGTTAAAAACATGATTGTGCATGTATACATTTGTACTTAGAAAATATCTTCAGTTTATTTCCTTTTTCCTTTATCATATGACATAAGATTTATTGACTTCATATCAGCATTTAAGTATTCTTAACTTTATACAACAGTACATTTGGGTTTGGGATTGATGTGTTTCCAGTTGTACAAAGGATAGTTGTATTATGTTAGGCAAAATTATGTTTTTAGGCAAAAGACTTATTATTGTCTTTATTTGAAGATTACATATAATCTCAGATGTGTATGGGTTCAAGTTGACAAGGGATAGACTTGTGATGGTTACTGAGTGTCAACTTGATTGCATTGAAAGATGCAAAGTATTGGTCCTGGGTGTGTCTGTGAGGGTGTTGCCAAAAGAGATTAACATTTGAGTCAGTGGGCTAGGAAAGGCAGACCCACCTTTAACCTGGGTTAGTACCATCTAATCAGCTGCCAGGGTGGCTAGAATATAAAGCAGACAGAAAAACATGAAAGACTAGACTGGCCTAGGCTCCCAGCTGACATCTTTCTCCCATGTTGGATGCTTTCTGCCCTCAAACATTGGACTCCAAGTTTCAGTTTTGGGACTTGGACTGGTTCTCCTTGCTCCTCAGCTTGCAGACAGCCTATTGTGGGACCTTGTGATTGTGTGAGTTAACAATAAACTCATATATATATATATATATATATATATATATATATATATATATATATATATATATACACACACACACACACACACACACACACAGATATACAGATATACATATACGTATATGTATATTTGATTAGTTCTGTCCCTCTAGAGAACCCTAATACAACTCAGTATGTCTCAAGTATTGCAGTCATAAAATAAGCACATTACAAGCATTATCTCATACACTATTTTTATGAGCTATATGTTATTATCATCTCCATTTTACAGGTTATGTGATGGAAGCACACACATGCCCCAGGTCACACAGCTAGCAAGTAGTGGCGTTTGAATTCAAACCCAGATTTGTCTGACATGAACGTCTGCTTTTAATAACTTTGCATTATGCTGAAACTAAGAGAACTGCCATTTGAAAGCATTTAATAGCCGGGCATAGTGGCTCATGCCTGTAATCTTGACACTTTGGGAAGCTGAGGTGGGAGGATCGTTTGAGGCCAGGAGTTCAAGACCAGCCTGGGCCACTTGGTGAGACTCCATCTCTACCAAAAAAAAACAAAAAACAAAAAAAAATTAGCTGATTGTGATATCGCATGGCTGTAGTCCTAGCTACTCAGGAGGCCGAGGCGGGAGGACTGCCTAAACCCAGGAGATCGAAGTTACAGTGAGCTACGATCATGCCATTGCACTTTAGCCTGTGCAACAGAGCAAGACCTTGTCTCAAAAAAAAGAAAAAGAAAAAGAAAAAAGGATTTAATGATATGTTTTTGTCTTAAATTGATAATGGACTCTGACGATTAGGTTAGATACATGACCTCATCATTGCTGTTTAATATTTATGGCACATAATTAAAATAAAACAGGCTCTTGAAATTCTAAATCAAACCATCCAGAGACCTGAGTAAAAATTCTCAAAGAACAGCACTAGAGCATATAATTTCACCTGTAAATGTAGTAAGATACAAATGAAAAATCTCAGTGCCTCAATTGTAAAACTAAGATAACAGAACTTCAAAGAGATAAAGAGGCTAATATTCTAGACAGTCTCCAATTAATTCCCCAAAGCCCCTGACTCATTTCTACAGAGAGGTATTGGGGCTGCATCCTGCTGCTGGTTCTTAGCCATCAGTTCTTTTCAGCCACCAGGACTGCCACTTTCACTCTCAACCATGTGTACCAGTAGCCTACACCTTAAATCTTCACTGCTTCACCTCTACCTTCAAATATTCCCCAATGTTAATCAGTCTTCCAATAGCAGGAGAGGGGGCAAACAGCACAGCCACCTCACCGTTCCCTTCCCCATTCCTCTCAGGATGAAAATCAGTACAGCGTTGACAAGTTCTCCATCTCTTTCTTCCTGTTTTCCATTGCTTAACTCCCCACTAATTAGTTTACTAACTTACTAAAGCACACAAACCTCAGGCTTATAATTCAAATCTGTGCATTACATTACCAAAATTACAAGTTACTATCTTTCTGATCATTTTGGATGGCTCACAGAAATAGTCAAAATCAAGAGTGTTGTAGTCATGAATGTCACTGATCTAGCGTAACTTTCTTTTTGCTAAAATGTATAGGACAAAATTTTTTAAAATCTTCATACATTGCATACAGTCTATCATAACTTAAACTACTATGTGCAATCTTTCACATATTCTCACGTTCAACAGAAATTTTACTTTTGTTATTTTTCCAATAATGATCTGTACTGACTTAGTCAGTCTCCCTAACTAAGCTACTATAATAAAAGTATTTTGGAACCTTGCTTAGCACCAAAAGATTTTAACAGTCTACATCTAACCTCTTTAGAGTGCTGCAAGCAATTTCCTAGGACTTGACCACATCCTGAATTATACATTTTGCCTAAAAAATGTATGCAAACATCACTAATATGCCTTTTATGATACATTTCTAGCGTCAAATGGCAAGAAAATCAAAAGATCTGCTTAGTTTTCTCCAGGCGGAAAGCAAGATAACAAAGATATTCTTTTCATTAAAGAACTCAGATGTCTATTTTTCTTCTGAGCCATCACTTTTATCATTTTCTTAAAAATCTTTTGGCAATGGCCAGGCACAGTGGCTCATGCCTGTAATCCCATTACTTTGGGAGGCCAAGGTGGGCGGATCGCTTGAGCCCAGGAGTTTGAGACCAGCCCAGGCAACATGGCAAAACCCTGTCTCTACAAAAAATACAAAAATTAGCCAGGCATGGTGATACCTGAGTAACCTCCCACTCATGCTCAGGCCAAATTCTTAGAAACCATTAATATAAAACTCTGTGGAATATCTTCCTCCAAAGAAATCGAATTCTATTCACAAATGTTAATTTCACTTTTGTCCCAGCTACTCAGGAGATTGAGGCAGGAGGACTGCTTGTGCCCAGGAGGTCCAGGCTGCAGTGAGCCGAGACCGCGCCACTGCATTCTAGCCTGGGATACAGAGCAGGACCCTGTCTCAAAAAAAAAAAAATCTTTTGGCAAGGACTAAATATAGGGACACAACACTAGTCGTGAAGAGTACTTTGCCACTGCTCTGCTCTTCAGTTTGATCATAAAAGCCAACTAAGACAAAAATTAAAGGGAAAAAATATAGAATGAGGACTGTCACAGATGAAATCAAATTAATTAGAAGATATTAACAAATCTCAATTAAATGTAATTCAACAATACATACATTTTAAAAGCAATATAATGGTGTTCATTCTCATGAATTTGATTTAACTATTACACATTAAATTGTTCAGGCACTTACTTTATCAATATTTTAGATTCCACATTGCAATAAGATTATGGAAAAATAAAATTAAACTTTACGGAATAATGGAAACAAGATTACAGAATTAGCCAGCAAACTTCATTTTCAGGGAGTAGAAGAAAAAATTGGTTTAAACCAGTTTTCTACCATATTGAATAATATGGTAGAGATGACTTGTGAACACATATTTTTAGTAGATAACCACATTAAAAATAAAAGAGAAGGCAGAGTTCTGGATAAGAAACTTTTAAAATTTCTTCCACTTCTAACATAGAAGTAGTGATTAAAATTTAGTCACAACATGCTAGAGTTAATGGGTATAGAGTACAGGATGGTGGAAATAAATACAGAATAAGTCTTAAAATACATTTAGGACTAAAATACATTAGTCCTAAAAATAAGCTCTCTAATAAGATCTTTCTTGATTGTCCTTTGCTTCTTTTCTTTAGATATCCTGTATGGTGAAAAGTTGACAGGTTCTGATTAATATAGGTTTTACTTTCTAAAACCATATCTGAATTTCATGATTGGAAGGCTTAGAGATGGATACCACTTTAAATATATAAGTTAACAGACAGATGTAAGGATTTAACATCAGAGCACCTTTTACTGAATTGAGTAACTTCCCACTCATGCTTTGGCCAAATTCTTAGAAACCATTAATATAAAACTCTGTGAAATATCTTTCCTCCAAAGGAAGCAAATTCTTTTCACAAATGTTAATTTATCCTTTTAATTTCTTTTAAAGAGATATAACATAACACAGTAAGAACAGTTTCCATCAGACTGTTAGCTGACAGTGTGGCATGAGAATGTGTGTGTGTGTGTGTGTGTGTGTGTGTGTGTGTGTGTTTCTCCTAAGCTTTGTTCTTTCCGGTGACAACTCAGGTAGGAGGAAAAGAGAATTACAATGGCTGAGCAGAATATCCACCTTTGCGTAGAAGTTACATGCCACACTGGAGTTTGTGCCTTATGTAGCAACTCCATAAATACAGTTTTCAGGGTGTCTAAAAGGAACAGACTCAATTACAAGAATCATTGCACTCTGGAAAGCCCGAAGATATGTCTTTCTCCTCAGGCATTCATCATTTATTCATCCTAGTCCAGTTGTAGTCATCTAATGAATAAGGGAACATTTTTACCATAAGCAACATTGCCTGCCTTTGTCATATTTCCAAGGGAACAAAGTTAGAAAGCAAACACAAGTCAAATTCTTACACAGAAGGAAAGGGCTTTGTTAACCCTTTTCTATATCTTAATATTTATTCTAGTCATTATTTTTAATTGCAAGGAATCACTAAAGCTAGATCAAGAAAGAAGGATATACTATTCTGGACATAGGCCCTGGCAAAGATTTCATGACGCAGATACCAAAAGCAATTGCAACGAAAACAAAAATTGATAAATGGGACCTAATTAAAATAAAGAGCTTCTGCACAGGAAAAGAAACCATCAGCAGAGTAAACAATCTACAGACTGGGAGAAAATGTCTGCAAACTATGCATCTAACAAAGGTCTAATATCCAGAATCTATAAGGAGCTTAAAAAAATTAATGAGTAAAAAATAAACAACCTTATTAAAAACTGAGCAAAGGACATGAACAGACACTTCTCAAAAGAAGACAAACAGCCAACAAACATAGGAAAAAATGCTCAGCATCACTAATCATTAGAGAAATGCAACTCAAAACCACAGTAAGATACCATCTCATGCCAGTCAGAATGACTATTATGAAGTCAAAAAATAACATATGCTGGCAAAGTTGTGGAGAAAAGGAATGTTTATACACTGCTGGTGGGAATATAAATTGATTCAGCCACTGTGGAAAGCAGTTTGGAGATTTCTCAAAGAACTTAAACTACTATTCAACCTAGCAATCCCACTGGGTACATATTCAAAGGAATATAAGTCATTCTACTTTGCTGTTATATAAGGGATATATAATATCAACCTAGGTGCCCATAAATAGTGGATTGGATAAAGAAAAATGTAGTACATAACACCATGAAATACTACACAGCCATAAAAAAACACACAATTTTGCCCTTTGCAGCAACATGGATGAAACTAGAGGCTATTATCCTAAGTGAATTAATGCAGGAACAGAAAACCAAATGCCACATGTTCTCACTTATAAGTAGGAGCTAAACACTGGGTACACATGGACACAAAGAGGGAAACAACAGACACCAGAACCTATTTGTGGGTGGAGGGTGGGGGGAGGGTGGTGATCAAATAACTACCTATTAGGTACTATGTTTATTATCTGTGTGACAAAACAATTTGTACACCAAACCCTGTGATACACAATTTACCCATATAACAAATCTGCATATGTACCTCCTGAACCTAAAATAAACGTTGAAAAGAAAAAAAAAAAAAGACTCAGTGACCAGGTCATCAAGATTCTGGGCACTGAGAAACGGAAAAAGAACAAAACCAACCTGATATTTCGGACAGGGAACCAGGTGGTCAAATGGATGGACAGAAGTCATGGAACTGAAAAAGCACTGACTACTCCTGCTTAAGTGTGGAGCAGAGGATCACGTGGAAGCAGTGAAAAAGCTCCAAACTCCACCAAGCTCCTGCAGAAGAATAACCTGAATCTGCTCAGAGACCTGGCTGTGCACACTGCCCATAGCAGGAACAACCCAGACTGGTGAGGTGTGGTCATATTACACAGGAAGGAGGGTGATTCAGAGTTCATGAATATCATTGCCAATGAGATTGGGTCAGAGGAGACCCTCCTGTTCTTAACCGTGGGCGATGAGAAAGGTGCTGGACTTTTCTTACTGGCAGGGCGACCTGCAGCTGTGGAGACCTTGGGGCCCAGGGTGGCTGAGGTCCTGGAAGGCAAAGGAGCAGGGAAGAAAGGCTGTTTTCAGGGCAAGACCACCAAGTTGAGCCAGCGGGCGGAGGCACAGGCACTTCTCCAGGACTACATCAGCACGCAGAGTGCTAAGGAGTGAGAGCTTAGGGTGCTCACTTCCTGTTTCCACAGGAATCTTTTGGTCAATAAAATAGTTTGACTCAGAAAAAAAGAAAAGAATGACTATTAAAATGGCACACAGTTTTACGGAAATTCAAGAATAAGGCCTTACAGAGATTACAACTCAAAAGTAGTTCTAGATATATCAACATTAACAACTGGTGGAACTTCACGGGCTCCAGTATTTTGCCACTAATGTGCTAATGTGACTAGTTATTCTGCAAACATCTGCTTCTTTCTCCTTTCCCTGCTAATAGGCTTATTATTCCTGTGACGTCTGTACACAAGTCATCACTAAAAATGGCTCAACTTACAAACATCTACTTTTTATGACCTTTCATATATATACAGAATATATAGAATCTAGATATTTATATATCTATATATTTAAAGTATAAATATATACATTTTTTGACTTTTATTTTGCATTCAGGGGGTACATATGCAGGTTTGCTACATGGGTATATTGTGTAATGCTGAGGTTTGGGGTACTAATAATCCTGCTACCCAGGTACTAAGCATAGTATTCAATAGGTAGTTTTTCAGCCTTTGCCATTCCCCCCAACTCTAGAGGTCCCCAGTGTTTATTATTCCCATCTTTATGTGCATGTGTACTCAATGCTTAGCTCTCACACTTATAAGTAAGAACATGTAGTATCTGGTTTTCTGTTCCTGCATTAATTCACTTAGTAAAATGGCCTCCAGCTGTACGCATGTAGCTGGAAAGGACATGATCTTTGTTCTTTTTATGGCTGCATAGTATTCCATGGTGTATATGTACCACATTTTCTTTATCCAGTCCAATGTTGATGGGCATGTAGGTTTATTCTATGTCTTTGCTATTGTAAACAGTGCTGCAATGAAAATATGAGTGCATGTGTCTTTATGGTAGAACAATTTATATTCCTTTGGGTAGGTGCCCAATAATGGGATTGGTGGGTCAAATGGTAGTTTAAGTTCTTTGACAAATCTCCAAACTACTTTCCACCGTAACTGAACTAATTTACATTCCTACCAACAGTGTAAATGTGTCCCCTTTTCTCTGCAGCCTTGCCAACATCTTTTATTTTTTGACTTTTTAAGTCATTCTGACTGGTGTGAGATGGTATCTCACTGTGGTTTTGATTTGCATTTCTCTAGTAATTAGTGATGTTGAGCACCTTTTCATGTTTTTTGGCCGTTTGTATGTCTTCTTTTGAGAAGTGTCTGTTTATATCCTTTGCCCAGTTTTTAATGGGGTTATTTGGTTTTTGCTTGTTGAGTTGTTTATGTTCCTTATAGATTCTAGAAATTAGACCTTTATCAGATGCACAGTTTGTAAATATTTTCTCCCACTCTGTAGGTTGTCCGTTTACTCTGTTGATAGTTTCTTTTCCTGTGCAAAAGCTCTTTATTTTAATTAGGTACAACCTGTCAACTTTTATTTTTGTTGTAATTGCTTTTGAGGACTTAGCCATGAATTATTTGCCAAGGCCAGCATCCAGAATGGTATTTCCTAAGTTTTCTTCTAGAATTTTTAGTTGGAGATCTTACATTTATATCTGTAATCCATCTTGAGTTAATTTTTGTATATGCCTTTTTATGATCTTTCTAATGATATTTAACACTCTCACAGTAATAATAAAACTAGTATTTGGCATCATTAAATTAATGCCAAGTAAGTTAATGCTAAACCAATGCAATCAACGTAATTAGAAAACATGATAGGCTGATTCAGGAGATTATATAATGAAGCAAAGGAGAACAAAGCTGGGAATTACAGCTGGGCCAGCCAACCAAAAATATTCACCCCTTTTAAGTATTGTTTCCCCTCTAAGTATTGTTACAGATGAAAAAACTAAGGCCAAGAGAGATTAATTTTTCCAAGATCAAAAAATGAATAGTGACATTCTCAGGCTATTTCCAGGTTTACTGAAGGCCTGATGATACAGGAAGAAGTAAAACATGTAAACATGAACCTCAGGCACAGCGAAGAATTGTCTTACGTAATAATAGGTAGAACTTCAGGTGACAAAGCAGTTGTTCTACAGACTATTCTGAATTCCTCTGCCCTGTCTGATTTCTTACTCTCTGCAGGCTGTGCCAACTGCTAAACTTCACAATCACCACAGTGAGAAACAAGGGAAGTAGAGAGGCAATGCAGCCACTCATGTTCTCGTCACATATATGCTTTGTATTACTTCTTTGTTGGTTTGATAGTAATCTGAGTAAAAGCAACTTAAGTAAAGTCATCATTTTTGCCCATCTCTGAAGCAAGGCTAAACTTTGTGGTCTGGCCTAACTCACTAACAGAACCATGATTTAAACTAAAGTAGTCTGATTCTGGGGCTTATATTCTGAAACACTATTAACTGCCTCCCATCTAAGTTGTCATATTCTTATGTTTACACAATCCTTGAAAGCACCTGAATTTTAAACTAGTTTATAATTTATTTTAAAGCAACCATTAAACAAAGTTATTTAACAAAGCCATCACAGGAAACCAAGTTTTTGTACATTATGACATAAATATTAGATATAAGACACCAATAGGTTCACCTTATTAGGAATACCAAAGTGAAAATAAAAATAGTTTGCTGAGTTATCCTCAAATGGAAATAAATAGCTCTAAAGAAAGCTTATTAAAGGAAAAAGCTCTGAAGATAGGCTACTGTAATTTTGGTAAAGTTATTAGATTATTTATTAGTAAATCAAATAAAAATTATCATGCAGACATCAATTTCATAAAGCATATTGGCATTTATCTTTATTTTCAATGAATTGCTTTCATTTATCCTTTTTCTTTATTATTACATTTATTTACACTGATGAATTTGGCAACATAGTATAATATAATCTCAATACCCAATTCTAGTATTAGGTCTGCCACTATGCAGCTGTTAACTGTAAACATCACGTTACCTCTCAATAATACATTTTTCTCATGTATAAAATAAAGAATTTATCTGCACTATTAGTTTTGAGGTCTTTAAAGATTACTTTTATTCCAAATTTTTTAAATATGAAAAGCTTTTGAAGATTAAAGAATGTTTTAAAGGTACAAAGATTTGAAAGGATGAAAACTCATTGTTTGAAGATTTTATGGCTATCAAAAATAAAAATTTATAGTCAATTATTAGAATTAATAGGAGTTTAGCAAGTTGCTAGAACAATATATAAAAATCAACTGCATACACAGCAACAGAAGTTAGAAAATGTATTTTTGGAAAGGTACCATTTACAATAATAACAAAAAATAAGATAACTTTAAAAAGCTACCAAAGATGTTTATGGAGAAAAATTAAAAAATTATAAAACTTGAATGCTATTAAACCCGTAATTAAATAGATAAACCTTATTCATAAATTGAAAGACTTAATACCAAAAAGAAGCCCCTTCTCTCTAAATTAATCTATAAACTCACTGCAATGCCAATGAGAATCCTAACAGGGATTAAGAACTTGACAAACCAATTCCAAAATTAATATGGAAGAACAAGACCTAAGAATAGGCAAGACCATTCTAAAAAAGAATAAAGCCAAGGAAATGAAGTTAACAGATATAAAGATAGTGACAGTAGTAAAGACATTGTGGTATTGGTGAAGGAATAAGCATCTTTCTCTTCAGTATCAAAATCTTCCTATCTATTTACAAATCAATAAAGAAATTTCCCCTATGCTTCATAAACCCCATTCATGGTCTTGTTAGACTTGCAAATTGGTCCTACATATGATCTAAACATAAGAGCATCAAGGTAGTGGCCAAACTTCTCCTTTTACCTTGTCACTGTTCTCCTCAGAACACATTTCAACTTCCTAACTATTCTAAGTGTTTCTCTATTCAAGATATTATACACTTCTCCACAAGGAACATCATGTAGAGTGGCAGATCAGCTGCCAATATGTGAATAAAATGACAGATTGTTCAGAATACATAAGTATACTTATTCAAACACTATTATTTATATTTTTAGGAAGTATTTTAGAAAAAACTGTTGAGAAGTGATAGGAGACAAGAGAAGAACATTCAAAGGCATGAGTTAAAATTATCTTCACAATAACTATGATTGTACATTGCAAATTATTTACAAAACTTATTGCAGGATGGAAAAATCCTTTTGTTCATAAAAAATGAGACAAAATCACCAAATATGATTATCAATATATTAAAATAACATAAAATAGTAATATAATAAATGTAAAATACATTTAGAAATTTTAATAAATGAATTGTAATGGCATAAAAATAAAATCAGTGACCACCCTAATCAGAGCAATCTATGAAGTTCTACACACAGGGAAACAAAGGAACAAAAGATATTTAGATAGAAAAGAACACAAGATATTCTAGGTTTTCTAGGTTCCACAGCATTTACTTATATCACAGCTATCTTCTCCCCAAGAATTACAACAGTTAATATTCATGTAACATTTACAATTAGAAAATTATTTTAATATACATTATCTCATTTTATTCCTATGACACTATACAGATTGGTATAATTATGTGCACTCATCACTAAAATACCTTATTAAATTCTAGGTGTGCTAAATCACCAAAAACAGAAATGAAAGTAACCATGTAGTAGTTGTCACAACAAATCAACAAATGAAAATATTGAGTTGGAATTAATAAAGTAGTTAAGGCCTGAAGCCTGGATGAAAATTTTGGATTTGTTAGAAAGGCAACAGAGTTACTGCAGGTTCTTAATTGTGGAAGTGAAAAGATGAAAGCAGTGTCTGAGAAATAATTCTAACAGTTATGTGTAGGATGAGTTGGAGGGGGAAAGGGACTAGAAGCAGGGAATAAACAGCTACAAAAGGGTTGAAGTACAGAAGCACGTACCATAGCTACAATGTATATTGAAGTACATGAATACTGAAGAAGCATGAAGTACATGAAGCATGAAATAATAAAGTCTTAGACAAAAGTAAAAATAAAAATATGAAAAAAGTAAGAAAATGATAAAATCAGAGAAGCATTTCTTATATTTATTTAATATTAACTATTTTTGCACACCCCCTAGTCACCACATTCAACATATACACATTTTAGAATTTAATAAGGTATTTAATGATGAGTATGCATAATTATACTAATATCTATAGACTGTCATAAGAATAAAATGAGACAATGTATATTATATACATTTTAGAATAAGGTATTTAATGAGTGTGCATAATTGTAGTAATATCTATAGATTGTCATAAAAATAAAATCAGACAATGTATATTAAAAGAATTCATTCATTATAAATGTTACACAAATATTAATTGTTTTAATTTCTTGGGGAGAAGACAGCTGTGCTAAAACAGTAATGCTCTGGCCATAAAGTCAGAAGACCTGAATTCAAATTGTGATCCTATTTTTATTAATATTTAATTGACCTTAAGCAAGTCATTTAACCACTCTGAGCAACCATTTTTAGTATGTAAAATGTGAAAAAACAATCTCTCATAAAGGTCTCAAGGAATAAATAAAATAATTCATTATAAAATTCCTAACACAGTCTCTGAATTATGGTGGATAGTGAATGTGTATTACAAGAGAGGGAGGGGAATCCATTTTGGCAGCTGTTATTGAACAGAAAGCCACAAGTATTTTTAAAGAAGCATTTTAAGGAATTACCATACAGTAAGATTGCTAAACAGCTTATTAACGCTCCACTTCAAACAATGTCCTCTTACGTATAAGGCCAAATCCACAGCAGCATAAAGAGCAATAGGCAAAAGCTATATGATCAACATGATTTAAAAAACAACAATAACAAAAATTAGTGACTTTTTCTACTTACAGAAACATTACCAGAATTTACATAACTGACCAAATAGCTCCTACTTCTAATTCTAATATTTATTAACTGGGAAAGAAGTTAAAAGGGACAAAAGACAAAAAGGAAACAAATGCATCCTGAAGGAACTTAAATGGTAATACATAAGGTCAAGGGTGACTTGTTTTGGGCAAGACTCTTACGGATTTCTGATAGAAATAAATCAATTGAAGTGCCCTGGTAAGATTGCCCCAGCCATAGATCCCTCAAGAATAAGTTAGAAGACAGTTCACAAAAATCAACTATAGCTGGGCACAATGGCTCAAGCCTGTAATCCCAGTAGTTTGAGAGGCCAAGGTGGGTGGATCACTTGAGGCCAGGAGTGTGAGACCAGCCTGGCCAACGTGGCAAAACCTTGTCTCTATTAAAAATACAAAAACACACCTGAAATCCCAGCTACTCAGGAGGCTGAGGCACAAGAATCCTTTGAACCTGGGAGGCAGAGGTTGCAGTGAGCCAAGGTTGCTCCACTGCACTCCAGCCTGGGGTACAGAGCAAGGCTCTGTCTCAAATATAAAAAACAAGAAAAAAAAATCTACTATAGCTCAGCACAGTGGCTCAGTGCCTGTAATCCCAGCACTTTGGGAGGTCAAGGTGGGAGGATCACTTGAGCTCAGGAGTTCAAGAACAGCCTGGGCACCATTGTGAGACATCAACTCTACAAAAAAATTAAAAAATTAGCCAGGCATGGTGGTGCGCACCTGTAGTTCCAGCTACTTGGGAGGCTGAGGAGGGAAGATCACTTGAGCCCAGGAGGTTGAGGCTGCAGTGAGCCGTGTTTGTGTCACTGTAACCCACCCAGGGCAATGGAGTGAGACAATCAAAAAAAAAAAAATACCTGACTAAAAACAACCAGACTATACAGCACTGTTAGCTCAGTGGGGGTTGAGAAACAAGATTAAGAGAATATAAGTAAATGGTATTCATAAAAGTTTCCTTTCTCGTCTAGACTAATGAGGTTCTACTTAGCTATGGGTCTTTAGCACACTATTCATTCACTCATTCACTCTGCAACAACATACCAAAGAATGCACTGTGAGAAATACATAGTATAACATCCAGCCTTGAAGATATAAGATCAACACATGTAACAAAGTGCCAAAAGAGAGGCACAAATACAGTATTTATGCAAGAAAGACCCAGAAAGCTTTAGGGAATTCATGGATTGAATCTGGACATCAGAAAACTAGAGGGGAAGGAGAAAGAAAAGAACTGTAGGTGAGCGACCAGTGCAAGGTAATGAAGGACAATACAGTGACTAGGAAGAAAATGGCTGGAGCGTAAGAGACTGAAACTGAAAGATCAGAATGTCAGATTTGGAATCAGACTGCAAAAAGTCTTCAGTACCAGGATAAGTGATTTGAACTTTATTCTAAATACTCTAAAAAGCTTTGAGTAAGAGGAAATAAAGAATAAAAGTTTTAAATTAGGAAGATTAATCTCACAAAAGACTGAAATACAGAATAAGAAAAAAAACAGTGTTAGATGGACTCAGAAAAGCTATTGGATTTTATAGAAACAATGCATCAGACAGGGATCACTACATAAACTCACATCCACCCAACCTGTAGTAGAGCTAAATTGTATTTTTAAATACATTATATAGACATTTTACTCTGTGAACTAAATCTTTTGCACTCAGCCAAAAGAGCGTGACAGAGACAGATTATGTCTCTCAATCTAATACTAAATGCATTTATTCCCTAGAGTAAACAGGAATGGGAGCTATGATTCTACATTCCCTCAGTCAGCCTCAATTCCCATGTGCTTCGCAGAGCATGGAGAACACAATTCTAGTGTTAAAGATATGTATATTTTTTCATAAACATGGCTCTAATCATAAGTAAACCACTTTATTCACTGTGCAAACGAAGAAAATAGTAATAGCACTGGAGGAAAAACTAGCTGTGGTAGACTTGATGAAAGACAATACTAAACTGCAATTTATGTGCTATTTGGGAAACTTTCAGGAGTGATTGTGGCTCAATGTTTGCTTCACATACTAACCTTAGAACCTAACCCCTACTTAATGCCTTTTCTTCATCTTAATCATACTAAACATACTGAAGGTAGCTAAACAGGGATTTAGTCCAAAACAATTATTTGAGGGCAGAAAATTCCCTAAAAATAATGAAACATTTTAGGAAGCTAAAACCAGGCAAATAAAAACATAATCTCCATAAGGTTAGAGATTTGTGTGGGTACAAAGTACAAAAACCTCACCTGCATGGAACTTAGATAAGAAACTGGTCATACTCGAGCTACAGAGCACTTATGAGGGTCTTATGAGTGTATCTTTGCATTTTCTCCCAGAACCATAATAACCCTTTTCCCTGAGTCAATATTTTCAAATATTAGAAAATTCTGGCAACCTATTTATTAAAATATCTTTAATATCATACTAACATTTTCTAATGCTGGGGGAAGTCAGGGACCCCGAACAGAGGGACCAGCTGAAGCCACAGCAGAAGGACATAAATTGTGAAGATTTCATGGACATTTATTAGTTACCCAAATTAATACTTTTATAATTTCTTACACCTGTCTTTACTGCAATCTCTGAACATAAATTGTGAAGATTTCATGGACATTTATCACTTCCCCAATCATTACTCTTATAATTTCCTATGCCTGTCTTTAGTTTAATCTCTTAATCCCATCATCTTGGTAAACTGAGGATGTATGTTGCTTCAGGATCCTGAGATGATTGTGCTATCTGCACAAATTGTTTGTAGAGCATGTGTGTTTGAACAATATGAAATCTGGGCATCCAAAAGGAATACAATGGCTGCGATTTTCAGGGAAGAAGGGAGATAACCTTGTTATCTCCTGACTAGGGCCTGACTGCCTAAGGGGCCAGACAGAACAGAGTCATATTTTTCTCCTTACAAAAGTGAATAGGAGAAATATTGCTGAATTGTTTTTCTCAGCAAGGAACAGCCCTGAGAAAGAGAATGCATTCCTAGGGAGAGGTCTCTAAAATGGCCACTCTGGGAATGTCTGTCTTATACGGTTGCAGATAAGGGATGAAATAAGCCCAGTCTCCTGTAGCGCTCCCAGGCCTATTAGGATTAGGAAATTCCTGCCTAGTAAATTTAGGCAGACTGGTTGTCTGCTCTCAAACCCTGCCTCCTGATAAGATGTTATCAATGATAATGCGTGCCCAGTGGGACATGAAACTTCATCAGCAATTCTAATTTCACCCTGGTCCTGTGATCTCACTCTGCCCCCATTTGCCATGTGATATTTTATTGCCCTTGAAGCATGTGATCTCTGTGACCCACACCCTATTCGTACACCCCTTCCCTTTTGAAATCCATAATAAAAACTTGCTGGTTTTGCGGCTCAGGGGGAATCATAGAACCTGCCGACATGTGATGTCTCCCCTGGACATCCAGCTTTAAAATTTCTCCCTTTTGTACTCTTTCCCTTTATTTCTCAGACCGGCCGACACTTAGGAAAAATAGAAAAGAACCTACGTTGAAATATCAGGGGCTGATTCCCCTGATATTCTAACACTAGACTAACAAAATTTAGGGGATATAAATATTTTACTTTTAAAATACAAACTGTGTTTGCTTTGCACAACTGATAAAATATTTCCAAATCATACATTTATTTATTTACCCAATACTAGCTGAGCAGAATCTTTTCTATTGATTTCTATTTATTAAATAACAAATGGCTTAAATCACCAACTGTTTAAATCCTTAATTACCCCACTACAAAGACTTCATAAACACAGTTATAGATAAGCAATTATTTGAAACAGAAATAAGCTTTTAAATAACATTCTTCAGAAACCTAAGGACAAACCTACTAAACATAATATACAAAATACATCCTATTGCTATTGTCTATTCCTAAAAACTCCTTCCAAATCTAACTTAAATCATTTAAATATATCTTAATGATTGACTCATAGAAGAAAGATTAATTTACCAAAGAAAAACTATTGCCAAGCCATGCATAGTGATTCTCTAGAAGAGTATATCCAGTATAGACGCAAGAGCCGTTAAAGACCAAAAGCTAACTACATAGGCCTATTTGAGAAAAACCAATTGACAAATGACAAGAATTATATCTATACACTTGATATAACAAATCAACCTCCTTCTCAGACTTAATGTAATTTTAAAATAGTAATATTATCTAGTTGCCATGATTTCCAGATGAAATATGGAAATTATAGTTTTGTCAGTTACTCAGACTGAAATGATCTATTCACAAAGACTGTAATATAACTTTGTTTCCTCAGTCATTCACTGCTTCCTTTCTGTTCCTGCAGCACTTTATGCATAACTCTTATTTGTTTTTACTGGAAGTACTTGAATCCTGAAAGAAGGTACTATTATTACCATGTAACAAATGAGAAACAAGCTTATTATGGTAAAGTGACTTAAAGAAAAATCACCATTAAAGCCAGATTTCAAAGTCATATCTAACTACAAGGCTCTTTCCACACTGACTCACTGGTACTAAATAAATCAAACCTAAATAACTGAATTGACTACAGTTTCTTGCTATAGCTGCTTTGGTAGTAGGAAAAACAAATCTATCATGGACAAAACAATGTAGAAGACATGCTCTGAGTGAAGGTGTGGGGATACCGCCTATTACCTAAACTCACTCCCTACAAGTAGGAAAATTCCCACTTTACGAGTCTTCATATAAAGCAAAGCCCACCTTCCTATATAGAGGCTAATAATGCCATATACTAGCTCTTCCAGTCACCCTGCAGCACAGACATGGGTGCTGAACCTAGACTTTACCAATATAACATTCCCACCAAGACCTCTATAAGAGAGACAGTAAGAAGTTGGGACAGCAAAGTTCAAATTTTGGCAGCAGGAGGCAATAGCAACATTAAGTTTCAAAAGGAAACAAACAGTAGCAGCTATGCAGTAGCTGAGTCTAGGCTTCAGCAATTTGCAGCTCCATTATTGTCACCAGACTGTTTTAGGTCATTTTTTTGCTATGTCTCTTCTAATATCTAGGCTTCCTTGTTCCTGGCTATTAAAGGATACAACCTTCTCACTAATTTGGCAAGGTAATCAATATGCTTTCAATAAATCCCTTTTCCACTTGAATCAATCAGAATTGCACTCCATTATCTGCAATTAAAAACCCTGACTGAGCCATTTACTAATTAAATACATTACACTAAATAATTATATTTTATCCAATCTTTTTACCTTAGCATTTGTTCTTTTATATAATTTGTCATTATGGTCTTAAGTAACATCTAATTTATACATGGTAGTATGCTCTAATGAGAACAAAAAATCTTCAAATCAGATTTTTTTTTTTACCTTTTTCAAAAGTAACACAAAATACAAATATAATAACAATTATCTAAGGGTTATTTTCACTGAAGTTCAAGGTTAAGCTTTATTAAGGCTTCTTACCTGTCAGGAATACCTAGCCTCTTGACACTTCTATAAACAGAAAGGGTATTTGCAACATGTCGATAATTAAACCAGAATCGGGATGTACACACCTGAAGTATTAAAACAAAAACAGAATTTTTATGCATCAAGGCTAACCATGGAGCTGCAGAGTATTTTTCTTTAAGTAGGATACAGAGATCTCTAAGAAACAGTATGCCATAATTCAGGCTTTAAAACAGCAAACACAAAAAATTGTCAGTAAAGGCCAGGCACAGTGGCTCATGCCTGTAATACCAACACTTTGGGAAGCCCAGGCGGGAAGATCACTTGGGTCCAGGAGTTCGAGACCAGCCTGGCCAACATGGCAAAACCCCACCTCTACTAAAAATACAAAAATTACCCAGGTGTGGTGGCGTGCACCTGTAGTTGCAGCTACTTGGGAGGCTGAGGCATGAGAATCGCTTAAACCTGGGAGGTGGAGGTTGCAGGGAGTGGAGATGGCACCACTGCACTCCAGCCTTGTCGACAGAGCAAGACTCTGTCTCAACAAAAAAAGAATTGTCAGTAAAACTAATCGCTCCAAAGAGAAGTCTTTCATAACTAGTATTAGATTTTAAAAAACCATTCAGCTTAAGAGAAAGCATATCTTTGGGAAATTAAATCAAATACTGAACCAACTTAGTTATCACAATTTCTGTGACTCAGTAACATTCCTATTTCTAAAAAATTAAATTCTTTAGAATCAAAGACAATGCCCATAATTTCTTCACAGAATAGAGAAGAAAATTAGCTACATAGGGTTATACAATATTTGTTTCATTCCACATTGCTTCCTTTATTGTGAGAAACGTAGGACACAGGATAAAACATAACATATAAAACAGTTGTAAATGTACATAAGAGAGTGCATTATAAAGAAGCTATTGAACTCAAGAGAAAATTAGAAACAATCCAACCAAGTTTTATAGTTTAAAAAAATTCCTGAGAATTATATTAAAGGTGCTAGGAAAATCTAATTCCATGCCTCAAAAGTTAGTGTTGTTCAGAACCCATTCTAAGGTAGGTAAATATAGATTGGGGTCACTTGGTAATATATCTACCAAGTACAATCCCGGCTTCTATCACATGCCTGTGCCTTTAGTAGGTATAATGACAATTTTGAGAACAGCATAAGTGTTCTTGCCCCTGACAAACAGAAAGGAACTACATGGTTTTTTTTTAAATTAAGTTTTCAACCTAGAATCCAATCAGGAAAAGACTAAATTTTTGACTATATAAAAATGTAAAATTCCATATATCAAAAATATCATAAAATTCTAGCTGGACACAGTAGCTTACACCTATAATCCTAGCAGTTTGGGAGGCCAAGATGGAAGGATCACTTGAGGTTAGGAGTTAAAGAACGGCCTAGGCAACACAATGAGACCCCCATCTCTACAAAAAAAAATGTAAAATTTAGCAAGGAGTGGTAGTTTGTGGTTGTAGTTCTAGCTACTTGGGAAGCTGACGTGGGAGGATCACTTGAGCCCAGGAGTTCAGGGCTACAGTGAGCTATGATCACACCACTGCACTCCAGCCTGGGAGACAGTGCAAGACCTCATCTCCAAAAACTCCCTTTTTAATTTTAAAAAATAAAATATAATTTATTAAAGTTTCACTATACTAATATGTAAAATATTGGACAAAAAAAAGAAAACTGTAGTTGTAATACAATGCTCAGTAATGTTTCTTTTTCATCTTTTATTTTTTACCAGGTTACTGAAATTGAAGAGAGGTTTGGTTAGAGGTTTCCCAGAGCAAGGAAGGCTTTCATATGTGTGTCAGTATAAGCTAACAGTATTTTAGTTCCAAAAGATAAGCCCTTTGCAATTGGTGGTCTGCACATAGGCAGTTATTGCCTCTTGAACATGGAGGGGCTCCTAGTTTCCTGTAGAAAAAGTTTATCCTGTCAAATTGGTAGATGATGGCCTGGCTCCCAATAGTTCTCCTTACTTTTAAGTAGGCATTGAAATCCTCTCTCCTTATCTTTAGCAGTCTTTTCTCAGTAACTTCAGAAAAATTTCTTGTGAAGGGTAGCATATATAAGAGGTTTTTTTCTTGAAGAACAAGAAAATGAGCCATGGACCCATGTTACACTGTCCTATTTAATCACAATGCTATTACATTTAAAACAAACAAGTATAGAACTTGGAATCACCCTATTTACTTATAGGAACCTATAGATAATTCATTATCTATATTTTTATCAAATGTGTTTGTCAAATGATTCTCAATAAATTTACAAAGCCTCAAACTTCATTTGGCGTCAGTAAGTTAATTATAGTCTTGCATGTTTATTCTGCACTTTAAGCTGAATTCCTCTATCCATCTCCTTTACATTCCCACTATATTCTTACCATTTATAATCCCCAGTTTTCTTCCTTTTCCAACATGCATTACTGGCTTTGAGATGCTGTACATTCTCTGCTCCCTTTTTCACAAAATCAGCTTCCTTTCCTGCCTCTTTGAACCTATTCTCTATTTCCCCATTGTTTCTTCCAGTCCAATCCTTGTACATGTTTTTTCATTAAGTCAACATTATATTTTCTAATCATATAAATGCCATTAAATGAAACTCCAGTAATGAAACTATTATCCAAATATTTTCCAAGCATAGGAAAAACAAATTTGATTATGTGAATTCTGTTTGAGGAATTAAAACTACAAATTTCTGAATCCAGAAAAATTAAAGATGGTAATTCACACTAAGGTTGGGCAAAAGGCAGAAGAAAAAAAAAGGGCCAATAAGCAGGCCTTACTAAAAATCAAAACAATGCAAATTAAAACAAAATGTAATGTGTTGACCAGCAGTCAAAAAGTTAAGATAAAAATTAAGAATACATAGCTGACTTGAATTTAGAAAAAGACCCACAGTCTTTCTGGAGGCAATCATGCTCCATGACTTCACATTCTTACACTTAGGAATTTATCCTAAAGAGAAAATCAGTCAGGTCACAGAGTTATGTGTATAAGAATGTTCAACACAGCCCTGTTTACAATAACAAAAAATTTAGATTCTAAATGCCCATAAACTGGAGGTTACAGTACATTCACAAAACAGAAGAAAATACAGCTTTTGGAAAAGATTATATGTCTCCATACCTACTGGCAGGGAAAGATCCCTAAGATAATACTAAAGGGTTGCAAAATAGCAGGTATAATATGATCCCAATTATATAAAATCATATATCTATATATCTTTATGCTTATATATGAAGAGGGAAAGGGCTTGAACAATGCTCACCAAAATATTAACTCTGGGATGTGGGACTTGAAGCCATTTTCCCTGTCTTCTTTAATTGAGGTGAAATTCACAAAACAAAATTAGTCTGCCTTCTTTAAACTTTTCTGTATAACTTGAACTTCTACAGTGGTCATTTATTATTTTTATAAGCAGAAAAAACAACTGAAAAAATTTTAAAAAGTGTAAGTAGAAAGTATCTATCAACTAATACTATAAATAACAGATGCAATTAGTAGTTTCCAGCATTAAAATATTTCTACCTCTTATAAAATGTTTCCTTTAACAATAGCATTCCTAATTTATTCTTACATTTATTTTCAGATCACCACTTGACAGATATTCTGAGGACAAAGAATATTACTAGATTATTATAGTTGATGTGGTCAATTTAAAATATAGCCAAATCAAAATAAAGAATTTCTGATATAAAATGTAAAAAAATAAATTGTATTTTCAAAAATTTGATTCACACAAATTTCTCAGATACATATCTAATGTGAACAGCAAGGTATACTTTTACAGTATACTTACCAGAACAGCCCAGTTGTTTGTATGGCCACTTCTAAAGAATTGTTCTGCTTGATCCTAAATAAAGCAAAACAAATAGAAGAAAAAGGCACAATTTCTCAGAATAAAGACTGATAATGGACAGTTGAGACTCGTGTAGTTTTTACAGTTGTAATAACAATCATCTTACGTAAGTTTATGAAGATTCCAGTATTTGTCATTATGGACTACACAAAGAATCAAAAGAGCTTATTGCTTAAGACACTATAAGGACAAAAGTCCTGAACTGGAAATCTGGAGAACTGGGTTTCATTCTTGGCTTAGACACCAATTAAACAGAGTAACCTTGATTAAGATACTTAACCTCCCTGGAGACTCAGTTTCCTCATGTGCAAAATGAAAGCAATGCCAATCCTACATCACAGGGCTCTTTTAGAGAACTATAAGGTATATGTGCAAGAGCTTCTGCTTTAAAATATTATTTAGCATTACTCAAATGAAAGCATACTTACTATATAACTCATATCTTTCTATTTCCCGTACCCTGAGAATTATTAAGAAAGTAGAATGTATGTTCAATTAAGAACGTACAATCTGCTTGTTCAACATTTAACAAGGCTATTATTTAAAACTGCAACCTCGCCCCACCATTTTTCTTACTATAATTTATTTTTTCTACTGTGTTTATCATCTTCTTACATTATATATATAATTAACTTATTTATTATGTGTATTAATCGTCTGTCTTTCCCAAAACAATGTAAGCTTCAGTAAGGCAGGGGCTTTCATCAGTTATATTCAATGATGTATTCCAAGTAAGTTTGGCATATAGTGGGTTTTTAATAAATATTTTTTGAATTAATGAATCCATGGTCCAAATGCCTTTACTCTCGGTGAACAAATCAAGAGTCATCTATGGAAAACTGAAACCGCATGGTTGATAGGTTCAGAATATGGTAAGAAGGTTATTACATAAAGGTTGTACTATAAAGTTGTAACTTTCAAAATCTCCTTTTAGGTTGTACTCTGATAATTCCTCTATTAAAGTGATCACTCTCTACAGTGAGAAGGCAAGGTAAAAATGCATATGCCAGGAATTTAACCAAAGATTAATATTTCACTTTTAGTAATGCCATACAGATAATTTTTATCCTCGTGAATTGCTTGTGAGATATAATCTCCCTACATCCTCAACAAAAACAAAATTATCACTCTTTGAACTTCTCATAGACATCTTTTTAATCCTTTAATCATTTAATAGTCATCTCAGTTGATTCTCTAAAATCTCTGCAATTATGTTAACCAATTCTTTAATATTGGTCACAATATTAAAAATTAAAGATCAGACAAATGTGCTACAACACCCATAAAGATTGCTGAGGTTTCTTTCTTTCTTTTTTTTTTTTTTTCTGGGAGATATAATTGAAAGAGAGAGGGGCCTGATTGCTTTTAAACATTTTTTCTCAAACACAGACAGGTCTTCTTCATATGCTTCTAATTTTCCATTCAGTCCTGTAATTGTGAATGACTTATTTCATGTCTTCATTCTACACATAAGTTAATATGCTTCCTGTTAAAAATTTCATTCAGTATCCATTCTTACTAGGTACTTTATTTGAACTCACCAATATAGCTGATTGAGCACATCCTCTAGCATTCTGCCAGGGACCACTTCACCAATCTATTAAAGTAAGTCTAAATTATATTTGCCATCTCAAGACACTAAAATTTTCTAACACCATCCTGACACCTAATGAACATGATTTTGATTATATATTAAAATAATAGTGGATATAAGCCATACTGACCTCAGATCAGCTCCCAAACATTAATTACTAGACCTGTCAGAATGTCTAGGTTCGAATCTGGGCTCTATTACTTACTAGGTGTATAAACAGGAAAGTTCTTTAACTTTTCTGTGCCTCCAAATCTCCATCTATAAAACAGTAATAATATTATCTGACTCAGAGAATGTAGGAATAGTGACTGGAACATACTACTAGTCTGAAAAACATTAACAGCTTTAATTTTGAGCTAACAAGAAAATTTCAGGGAGAATAAATTTAAACTTCCACTTGTACACACATCTGTACCTGTGTGTACAAGCACACACACAAGTGTAAAGACCCAAGTATTGTATATGCTGCCTACAAGAAACTCACTTCACCTATAAACACGCATAGACAAAGTGAATGAATGAAAAAGGACATTCCACACAAATGGAAAACAAAAGGGAGCAGGAGTAGCTGTACTTAGATCAGATAAAAGACTTTAAATCAAAAACTATAAAAAAGAGACAAAGGTCACTATACAACGATAAAGGAATCAATTCAGCAAGAGAGCATACAATTATAAGTATGTATGCACCCAACACTGGAGCACCCAGATGTATAAATCAAATGTTATTAGATCTAAAGGGAGAGAAGAGATCACAATACAATACTAGGTGGGGACTTCAACACTCCACTCTCCATTGGACGGATCATCTGGACAGAAAATCAACAAGGAAACATTGAATTTATTTTATTTTTGAGATGGAGTCTCATTCTGTCACCCAGGCTGGAGTGCAGTAGCATGATCTTGCCTCACTGCAACCTCCACCTCCTAGATTCAAGCGATTCTCCTGCCTCAGCCTCCCGAGGAGCTGGGACTACAGGTGTGCATCACCACACCCAGCTAATTTTTGTATTTTTGGTAGAGACAGGGTTTCACCATGTTGGCCAGGCTGGTCTCGAACTCCTGACCTCAAGTGATCCACCCGCCTCAGCCTCCCAAAGTGCTGGGATTACAGGCAAACAGAACTAACAGACATTTACAGGACATTTCTTCCAACAATGGCAGATTACACATTCTTCTCGTCAGCACGTGGAACATTCTCCAGGACAGACTGACCATGTGGTAGGCACAAAACAAGCCTCAGTGAATTTGAAAAAATCAAAATTATGTCAAAAATCTCTTCTGACTACAATAGAAAAGAACTAGCAATCAATTAACATGACAAATTTTGGAAAATGTTCAAATATATGGAAATTAAACAACACGCTCCTGAACAACCAATGGGTCAAAGAAGAAATTAATAAGAAAATTAAAAATTTCCTTTAATACATGAAAATAGAAACACAACATAACAAAACCTATGAGATACAGCAAAACAGTACTAAAAGGTAGGTTTATTGCAATAATCGCCTACATCAAAAAGTACAAAGATTTAACCTAATAACACATCTCAAGGTACTAGAGAAGAACAGACCAAACACAAAATAAGAAAAGAAATAATACAGATCAGAGCAGAAATAAACAAAAGAGAATTAAAAAATACAAAAAAAGTCAATGAAGCAAAAAGCTGGCTCTTTAAAAAAATAAACAATATCAACAAACCTTTAGCCAAACTAAGAAAAAGAGAAGACCCAAATAAATATATTCAGAAACAAAAAAGGAGATATTACAAATGGATCACTGAAGTACAAAGAATCACTAGAGACTATTATAAACAACTATACACAAATACACTGGAAAATCTAGAAGAAATGGATAAATTCCTGAACACATACAAGCTACCATGACTGAATCAGGAAGAAAGAGAAACCTGAATGGACTGAGGCTGAGTAATGCGCTTGAAGCAGTAATAAAAGTCCCTCAATGAAGAAAAGCCCAGAACGGGATGGCTTCACTGCTGAATTCTACCAAACTTTTAAAGAACTAACACCAATTCTTCTCAAACTATCCCAAAAAAACTGAAGAAGGAATTCTTCCCAATTTGTTTTATGAGGCCAGCATTACCCTGATAACAAAACCAGAAAACAAGCATACAACAAAAAAAAGGAAACTACAGGCCAATACCCGTGATGAACATAGATGCAAAAATCTTCAACAAAATACTAGCAAACTGAATCCAACAGCACAACAAAAAGATAATACACCACAATAGAGTAGTGTTAATTGCAAATCAATATACATGATGTATCACATCAACAAAATGAAGGACAAAAAACATATGACTGTCTCAGTAGACACAGAAAGAGCATTTGATAAAATTCAACATCCCCTCACGATAAAAACTCTCAACAAATTGGGTATAGAAGGAACACACCTAAACACAAAAAGGCCATCTATGAAAACCCACATCCAACATCATATTGAACAGGGAAAAGTTGAAATCTTTCCCTTTAAGAACTAGAACAAGACAAGGATACCCACTCTCACCACTCTTATCAACATACCACTGGAAGTTCTAGCCAGAGCAATTAATCAAGAGAAAGAAATAAAAGGCATCCCAACTGAAAAGGAGGAAGTCAAACTGTCCTTGTTCACAAACAACATGATCTTATATTTAGAAAAACCTAAACACTCCACAAAAAACTCTTAGAACTGATAAGACTAATTCAGTAAAGTTGCAAGACTCAAAAATCAATAGACAAAAATCAATGGCGTTTCTATATACCAATAATGAACTAGTTGAAGAAAAATCAGGAATGCAATCCCACTTACAATAACTACAGAAAAATTAAACACCTAGGAATAAATTTAACCAAGAAGTGAAAAATCTCTACAATGAAAACTACAAAATATTGATGGAAAATGAAGAGAACACAAAAAGATGAAAATGCTTCCATGCATTGAATTGGAAGAATAAATACTGTATTGTTAAAATGACCACATCACCTAAAGTGATCTACAGTTCAATGCAATCTCTATCAAAATACCAATGATATTCTTCACAGAAATAGAAAAGCAATCCTGAAATATTTGCAAACTATTCATCCAATAAGGGATTAACATCCAAAATATACAAGGAACTCAAACTTATGCTAACAGCAAAAAAAACCAAATAATCTAATTAAAAACGAGCAAAGGATCTGAATAGATATTTCTCAAAAGACATACAAATGGCCCACAAGTGTATGAAAAAATGCTCAATATCACTAATCACCAAGGATATGCAAACCAAAACCACAATGAGATATCATCTTAGTGCCTATTATCAAAAAGACAAAAAAATAACAAATGCTAGTTAAGATGTAGACAAAAGGGAATTGGGAATTCTTATACACTGCTGGTGGGAATGTAAATTAGTATAGCCACTATAGTGAACAGTATGGAAGCTCCTCAAAACACTCAAAATAAAACTACCATATGATCCAGCAATTCCACTACTGGGCATATATTCAAAGGAAAGGAAACCAGTAGGCCAAAGAGATATCTACACTCCATATTTATTGCAGCACTATTCACAATAACCAAGATATAGCATCAACCTGAGTGTCTATCAGTAGATGAATGGATAAAGCAAATGTGTGTGTGTGCGTGCACACACGTGTATATATAAAATGGAGTATTATTCATCCATAAAAAGAATAAAATCCTTTCATAAACAGGTACGTGGATGAACCTGGAGGAAATTACATTAAGTGAAATAAGTCAGGCACAGAAATTTAAATTTTTTAATTTCAATATCACCCAGATACGGACATTTTTAAAAACTTGATCTCATGGAAATAGAGTAGAATAGAGGCTGGGAAGAATAGGAAGGTGACGGGGGGAGTACAGAGAGACATTCGTTAACAGATACAAAATTACAGATAGCAGGAATAAGTTCTAGCCTTCTATAGCACTTTAGAGTAACTATAGTAAACAATAATTTATTATATTTTCTCAACTACCTAGAAATCTTTTCTAACATTTTGAATATT
This sequence comes from Homo sapiens, assembly GCF_000001405.40. Taxonomy (NCBI): domain Eukaryota; kingdom Metazoa; phylum Chordata; class Mammalia; order Primates; family Hominidae; genus Homo; species Homo sapiens. The sequence continues at coordinate 77,216,102 of NC_000001.11, forward strand.
ATCAACACAAAGAAATGATAAAGTTTTGAGGTGACAGATATGCTGATTACTCTGATTTGATCATTTCATATTGAATATGTCTGAAAATATCACACTATATACCCCATAAATATGCACAATTATTGTGCCAATTAAAATATACATATTACAAAAAGAGAGGCATCGCTTAAAGAGAATACAACATTGGTCAGAAAGTAAAGTATCTATTTCTGGAGATTTGTGAAATATCATTAACAGATTTTAGAGTGTACATGTAACCCTCAAGAATATCAATTTTCATTAGAATATCATTTGCTGTAGTAATACAAGTTAATTCTTACGTTAACTACCAATAGAGATGGAAAAAACTGATCTCTGAAATTACTATGGCTAGGATAAAATACCCTTAATTTAGCAAGGCAATAACATAGTATTTCACATTAAATGAAACTATAATGGGTTGTCTATTGTTAAGCATTGTTTCTGATAAATTGACATGATAAATATAGAATAATAACCTGAACAAAAAGTGTGTGTGTGGCATGTGTGTGTGGGGGGGTGTGTGTGTGTGTATTTTTCCCCCTCCAAACTCAACAGCTGCCTGGATGTTAAAGAAAGCAATGTGCTACAGTGGTTAAGCATTGATTTGGGAATTCAAAGACCTAAGCTAAAATTTAGGTCCTATCTCGCAACTGGCTGTGAAATTGCGGTAAGTCATTTAGCTCTTTAGACTTGACTATCCTCATGTCTCTAATGTGCCTTCCACCTCCAAAGTTCTTACTTCTTTCAGACCTTAGTGAAAAAATTTAGATGGCAAAACTTTTTTGTGGTTGTCTAGACAATACAGTCATTATAAAGTTATTCATTCTACATACAGTAAATGCAGCACCTATTATGTGCCAGATACCATTAATATATAGTGATACAAAAATCACTAAAAAGCATGCTGCTTTCTCTCAAGAATCCAGAGTTCAATAAAGAGGAGCATGCAAACACATTACACTATAATTATTACATTCATTAATTCATCACACTCATTGGGCAACATGCCAGTCACTGCCCTGAGTGCTCCAAATACAATGCTGGGCAAAAATAGCCATAGTACTGCCTTCAAATAGGTTACTATCTAATTGGATAGATATACATTTAACAGATAAGGAAAGACACACAATATAATAAGAGTACAACAGAGGGACCTGACCTGGTCAGGAAAGTTTTCCTAAAGAAGTGACTGTTGGGTTAAAATCCAAAAGATGAAGAAAAGAGGAAATACAATTCCAGACAGAGGGGAGACAGCTCTAATGTGAGAAAAAGCTTAAAGGTTTTGAGAAACTGAAAGAAAGTTAGCCTAACTAGAAGTTTGAAAGAGAAAGAAAAAATTTGAAGTGTAGTCAGGGCCCAAAAAATATGCAGGGTTTTTGTTTGTGGGTCATGGTGGAGAGTTTAGAGCAACATTAAGGTGATCTTTTGAGCAACATCAAGGTCCCTGGGTGACATGATTGGAACTGCATTTTTAAAAGTTACTCTGGCTTCAATTTGGAGAACAGATTGAAAGGAAAAAACAACGACTCAAGGCAAAACATTTAGGAAACTGTTGCTCCTATCTCTAAGTGAGATATGATGGAATAACAGTACAAACCATACACGGGTTATAGTAAATGAGTGCTGTATCAAGTGTACAAATTACAAGAGTAAAGGCAAAGGTAAGAGATAGGGAAACGTTCTACAGAGGTTATGCCTTTACTGTATCTTAGCACATGAACAGAGGAAACACAATGTATAAAATATTGTAATGTGAAAAAGCACAGCAATTATGTAACTACAAAAAACAGTAATAGTATCCAAGATGAAGCAGTCAAAGTTAGAATAAAGGAGGGAAACAGAACTTCTATTTACTCATATTTATGTTCTCTAAAAATTATGCTATATAAACATCAAATATATAAATTAACAGTAATTCATAAATATATATGAAGTTCATGCTCAATATCTTTTTTTAACTGATAGGGTGTGTATTCAAAAAGTTTGGAGTCCACTGGTCTAAGCTCAAGGTGCCCAGGTGGTGGGGAGAAGAGGTTCCAATATGGAACACTGGAAAAGTAGGCAAGCACCAGGTCATAACGTTTAGACTTTATTCTGTATGCAATTAATAAATATTTAAAAGATTTCATCAGAAGAATAACCTGATCAGGCTTACATTTCGTGTAGACGAATCTAGCACCAAACTCAGGGAGTATGGAGGCCTATGGAAAACAAGATAAAGTAATCGCAAGAGTCTAGACAAGAAGTGATCACAGCCTGAATTAAGTCAGTGGAACTGGAGAGGTGAGGGCAATTTTAAGAACTCAGATCACAAAATTTAGTGATAATTAGAATATGGGATAAAGAGATTAAGACTCTCAGGTTTCTAGCTTAGGAGCAGCACATCTGGTTGAGAAATGGAGGAGAAAAGGGGTGCTTAGTTTTTCAGTGTCTTTTTAAGAGGAGGTAGGATAAGCAGAAGATAAAACTTTGCACACGGATTTTCAAATGTCTCCTGACTATCCCGGATTCTTAGTCAGCTGGATATGCAGGCCTGAAAAAGATACCAGACATCTAGATTGTAGACCGGGACTGAGGAATCATCAGAGTATGGTGAATAGTAAAAGCATTATAGAGCACCAGAACATCCTGTGTCCACGTTTAAAAATGGGAAGCTGGAGGAGCCCAGGATAAAACTAAGCACCCCTTTTCTCTTCCATTTCTTAACCCAGACGTGTTGCCCCTAAGCCAGAAACTTGAGAGTTTTAATAAACACTTATATTTATCCCATGTTCTAATTATCACTAAATTCTATTATCTGGATTCTTAAAATTGCCCTCATCTCTCCAGTTCCGTCTGACTCCTATCAAAACAGAGGGCTGCAGTTGAGTAGTAGGAAAGCAGTTGCTGCACACTGACATTTCACGAGCCTCTTGCTCGTATTTCACCTAAGAACTGCACACATGTAGGAGCAAAGGATCAGGTCCTCCTCTGTCTCCGAGGGTTTGATTATTTCAATTCATCGTTTTAAAACGCTGAAACAGACCAACAGTGTCCTAACCCGTGCCCAGTGATACCCTCCTCAAACCCAGCCTGGGTCAGGGGCTGATTGACTCCAGGAGGCGTCCCTCAGCTACTGTGTATCGGACATCTGCTGGAGGGCTCACAGCCGGCCTCCCGGCTGTGGTCAAATGAGCCTGACTCCTACCTCGATATGACTAGCGGCCACGCTGCCGAAGGACAAGAGCAACACAGTTGCCAAGACAGTCGCAGCCCGGCTGAGGCTGTCGGTGACGGCCATGTTTACCGGCTTCAGACTTCCCGCACCTGAAGGGGCGGAGGCAGTGCCGTAAAGTAGCGCTGCGGGTTTTTGCGACACCATCCGCGCCTCTTCGAGGTGGCCCTCTGGTCCGGCTTTAGAACTCTGCGGTTTTGTGGAGCTCGAGAGTCCGGGACAAGGTAGACGCAGGATATTGACCTTTTTATTTTTAACTGCATTTTCAGTTTGGAGGTTGTAAAATAGGTATAACATTTAAGAAAAAAAATTGAAAGGTGAGTGGAGGGAAAACCCGTAACTCCTTAAACTTTAAAAACTTATTTCTCTGTTCCCTTATTTATTTTATTTATTTATTTATTTATTTATTTATTTATTTTGCCGAGTGCTGCCAATTCTTTGAAAATATGAAGCTGGATGTGGTGGGAAGAACAAGCGTTTTGGCACAAAAAGATGATTAATTGGATAAACTATAAATGGAAAATGTGGGTGGGCGCTGCAATTTAGAGGCTTGGGGTCTACTACCTGGTGAAAGGATTAACATGGGAAGCTAGTTACGTTTTTGTTTCTTGAGTATCTTCTGTAATTATGGAACTAAAGCCTATCTGGAAGAGACACAGCTGGTGTATATGTATGGTCCACCATTCTCTTTATTATGTGAGTTCAGTTTTAATTTATGCATTTCATCTAGTATGACATAAACGTTTCCACGCTGCTTCCTCACAATTTTAACATTTAATGGTGAGATAAAATTCCATCCATTATTGATGCCTCAGCCAAAGTAATTGTCCCTCTGCTGCACAATGCAAAGTTTTTAAGTTTTACTATGAAAATAATATTGTAAAGAGTATCTTTTGTGTGTTTGGCTTTTTAAATCTGTTGAATTATTTTGTTTGTATAATTTTCCTGAACTAGGAATTTGGGGTCAAAATATTCCAAAACATTTTAATAACTATAAATGATGTTGCTTTCCAAAATGAACAAGCTTACAGCACTATCAGAATACACAACACCAAACCATACCATTTTTTTTCCTTTAAATTCTTTGGTATGAAATGTTACCCCTAGGTAACTATACTTATAATTCTTTGGTTACTATCAAGATCTGATGTCTTTCTTGTGTTTCTAAACTATCTCTGTGTCCTCTGATGTAAATTCTTTGTTTATATATTTATGTTTTGCATATGAATTTGAATAATATATTTATAAATAAGTAACATTAGCCTTTGCCATATTTTATGCTATTGCTTTTCCCATTCTCTTGTCTCTCTTTTCCTTTTATTTGTTTCTTTTGCTATTGCACTTTGTGAGAGGTTTCATGCTATTTAGTCAAATTTAGGTTTTCCGTTACGTGAATCCTAGAAAGTAAATACACTGCCAGAATATCTTCCATGTATTCATTAATTCAACAGATATCTATTGGATGCTGATGATTATGAAACAAAGTAGCAAAGATAAGAAGCCATTTGCTCATTCTGCTCCTTTGCCAGCAATATTTCACAAAGCCCCTGACTCATTGACTGTGAGCAGCCTTGTGGAAGAATGCCTTGAAGACCATAAGCAGGATAGGGAATAGGTTTGCACATCTCTTGCCTGAATCACTGAATTTTTACAAAAGGTAAGTTTGGTGATCCTAGCCCTTGCCTCTTCCTGTACATAAGATAATGTCTGACAAGATTAATGATTATGCCTCAAATTCATGACCAGATGTAACTTCATACCCACACTTTGATGAGACTTTACTTGTATTAACCCATTTTCATACTGCTATGAAGAAATACCCAAGACTGCATAATTTCTAAAGAAAAAGGCTTAGTGGACTCACAGTTCCACATGGCTGGGGAAGCCTCACAATCATGGTAGAAGATGAAGAAGGAGCAAAGGCACATCTTACATGGCAGCAGGTGAGAGAGCATGTGCAGAGGAACTACCCTTTATAAAACCATCAGAGGCCAGGTGCAGTGGCTCACACCTGTAATCCTAGCACTTTGGGAGGCCGAGGCAGGCAGATCATCTGAGGTCAGGCATTCAAGACCAGCCTGGCCAACATGGCAAAACCCCATGTTTCAAAATTAGCTCAGTGTGGGGGCACATGCCTGTAATACCAGCTACTAGGGAGGCTGAGGCAGGAGAATCGCTTGAACCTGGGAGGCAGAGGTTGCAGTGAGCCAAGATCACGCTACTGTACTCCAGCCTGGGCAACAGAGCCAGACTTTGTCTCAAAAAATAAAATGAAATAAAATAAAAATAAATAAATAGATAGATAAATAAAACCATCAGAGCTCGTGAGAACTCACTACCATGACAACATGAGGGTAACTGATCCCATAATTAAATTACTTCCCATCAGGTCCCTCCCTTGACACTTGGGGATTATGGGAGCTACAATTCAAGATGAGATTTGGGTTGGGACACAGCCAAACCATATCATTCCACCCTGGCCCCTCCAAAATCTCCTGTCCTCACATTTCAAAAGCAATCATGCCTTACCAGCAGTCCCCCAAAGTCTTAACTCATTTCAGCATTAACTCAAAAGTCTACAGTCCAAAGTCTCATCTGAGACAAGGCAAGTCCCTTCTGCCTATGAGCTTGTAAAATCATAAGCAAGTTAAGTTACTTCCTAAATACAATGGGGGTACAAGCATTGGGTAAATACACCCATTCCAAATGGGAGAAATAGGCCAAAATGAAGGGACTACAGGGCCCATGCAAGTCCAAAATCCAGCAGGGCAGTCAAATCTTAAAGCTCCAAAATGATCTGCTTTGACTCCGTGTCTCACATCCAGTTCACGTTGATACAAGAGGTAGGTTGCCATGGTCTTGGGCAGCTCTGCCCCTGTGGCTTTGCAAGATACAGCCTCCTTCCCAGCTGCTTTAACAGGCTGGCATTGAGTGTCTCTGGCTTTCCCAGGCATATGCTGCAAGCTGTTGGTGGATCTACCATCCTGGGGTCTGGAGGATGGTGGCCCTCTTCTCACAGCTCCACTAGGCACTGCCCCAGTGGGGACTCTGTGTGGGGGATCCCACCCCACATTTCCCTTCTGCATTGCCCTTCTGCCTTAGCAGAGGTCGTGCATGAGGGCCCTGCCCCTGCAGCACACCTCTGCCTGAACATCCGGGTGTTTCCATACATCCTCTGAAATCTAGGCAGGGTTCCCAAACCTCAATTCTTGACTTCCGTGCACCCACAGTCCCAATATCACATGTGAGCAGCCTGAGACTGCACAAAGCAGCAAGGCCCTGGGCCCAGCCCATAAACCCATTTTTCCTCCTTGGCCTCCTGGCTTGTGATGAGAGGGACTTCCAGGAAGACCTCTTACATGCCCTGGAGACATTTTTCCCATTGTCGTGGTAATTAACATGTGGCTTCTTGTTACTTATGCAAATTTCTGCAGCAGGCTTGAATTTCTCCGCAAAAAATGGGTTTTTCTTTTCTATCACGTCATCAGGCTGCAAGTTTTCCTTTTATGCTCTGCTTCCTCTTGAACGCTTTGCCACTTAGAAATTTCTTCCCTCAGGTACCCTAAATCATCTCTCTAAAGTTCAAAGTTCCACAGATAACTAGGGCAGGGGCAAAATGCCACCAGTCTCTTTGCTAAAGCATAGCAAGAGTGACCTTTATTCCATTTCCCAACAAGTTCCTCATCTCCATCTGAGACCACCTCAGCCTGGACTTCTTTGTCCGTATCCCTATTAGCCTTCTGATCAAAGCCATTCAACAAGTCTCTAGGAAGTTCCAAACTTTCCTACATCTTTCTGTCTTCTGAGCCCTCCAAGTCTCTAGGAAGTTCCAGAGTTTCCCACATTTTCCTGTCTTCTTCTGAGCCCTCCAAACTGTTCCAACCTCTGCCTGTTACCCTGTTCCAAAGTTGCTTCAACATTTTCTGTTAACCTTATAGCAGAGCCCCACTACCTCAGTTCCAATTTACTGTATTAGTCCATTTTCATACTACTGTGAAGAAATAGCCAAGACTGGGTAATTTATAAAGAAAAAGAGGTTCAGTGGACTCACAGTTCCACATGGCTGGGGAGGCCTCACAATCGTGACAGAAGGCAAAGGAGGAGCAAAGACACATCTTACCTGGCAGCAAGGCAAGAGAGAGAGCATGTGCGGAGGAACTGCCCTTTATGAAACCATCAGATTTCCTGAGATTTATTCACTATCATGAGACCAGCAGGGGAAAAACTTGCCCCCATGATTAAATTACTTCCCACCGGGTCCTACCATTGACACATGGGGATTATGGGAGCTACAATTCAAGATGAGATTTGAGTGGGGACACAGCCAAACCATGTCATTAATGTAATTTCTGAGCACATTTGATGTAACTTCTTAACACATGCAGAGCAACCACCACCTATGTTTAAGCTATGGGGTGAATCAATGCTTTGCAGCAATATAACAAACTCTTTGAAAGATTCTCCCAGGTTGCAGTACTCAGTAGGACTTCTGAATAAAATTAACTTTAATTATTTAAAAGCCTGTTTTTTTTTCTTTAGTTGACATAACATACCAGGATATTGTAGCTGGAAATACATAGGAGGTTCTTGCTCTCACGAACCTTACATTCCAGTAAGGAAAACAGACAATAAGAAAAAAGAAAAATGAATACAATAAATTCTCATGGTGATACAAATAAGGTAAGATGACAGAAACTGAAGGGAGAGGGAGACACTACTTCAGTGAGGTGGTCAGTGAAAACCTCTCTGCAAAGGTGGTGTGAAATCTGAGACCTGAATGACAAGAAAGAACTAGCGATGCAAACATCTGCGGGTGGCACATTTCTAATATTTATTTTTTACTAGTTTTATTTTGTGTTAATTTTACGTTTAACTATCTGGAATATATTTTGGTACAGGAGTCCCCCTTATCCAAGGGGGATATGTATCAAGCCCCCCAGTGGATACCTGAAATCACAGATAGCGCTGAACCCTATATGTACTGTTTTTTCCTACATATATGTATCTATGATAAAGTTTAATTTATAAATTAGGCATAGTAAGATATTTACAAAAATAATAATAAAATTGAACAGTTATAACAATATACTGTATAAATCTTATGTGAATGTGATCTCTCTCTCTCTCAAAATCTGCCATACTTACCTATTGCCAGACCACAGTTGACCATGGCTAACTGAAATCATGGAAAGCAAAACCACAAATAGGGAGGGCTACTGTATGTTCTATAAGATAATATGTGAATTGTCTATTGCTACATAACAAACCACCCAAAACTTTGTGATGTGTCCAAGCCCAAGGATGCAAGGTTTCCAAGCTTCCAGATCCCAAGGATACCAGGAAACAGGATTCCCAGGAGGCCATTGCTATAATGATCTACCACTATTTTTACCAAAACTGGTATTTGTATTAGGCTGTTCTCCCATTGCTGTAAAGAAATACCTGAGACTGGCTAATTTGTAAAGAAAAGAGGTTCCATAGGCTGTACAGGAAGCATGATGCTAGCATCTTCTCAGCTTCTGGGGAAGCCTCAGGAAACTTACAATCATGGTGGAGGGCAAAGTGGGAGTCAGTACGTCACATGGCCAGAGCAGTGAGAGAGGAGGGAGGTGATACACACTTTTTAAATGGCCAGATGTCAGGAGAACTCACTATCCTGAGGACAGTACCAAGGGAGATGCTGCTAAACCATTCATGAGTAATCCACTCATCCACCACCACGATCCAATCACCTCCCACAAGGCCCCACCTCCAATATTGGGGATCACAACCCCACATGAGATTTGGGTGGGGACACAGATTCTGTATCAGTGTTGTTATTCAAAAAATTTTGTACATAGTCCTTACCTTTCCCATTTCCTTGTGATATTCCTTTATGAAATTGTTAGAAGAAATAGAATATTTCAGCTGGGTGCAGCCGGTAATCCCAGCACTTTGGGAGGCTGAAGCGGGTGGACCATATGAGACCAGGAGTTCTGAGATCAGCCTGGCCAACATGGCGAAACCCCATCTCTACTAAAAATACAAAAATTAGCTGGGCGTGGTGGTACATGCCTAAAATACCAGCTACTTGGGAGGCTGAGGCACGAGAATTGTTTGAACCTGGGAGACAGAGGTTGCAGTGAGCCAAGATCGCACCACCGCACTCCAACCTGGGCAACAGAGCGAAACTGTCTCAAAAAAAAGAAAAAGGCGGTATTTCTAGGTATTCTGTTCCTTCTACACAACTATTTTGAGGCCAGTGCCATGTTAATTATTGTTGCTTTTAATATGTCCTAATATTTAACCATTAGGGCTAACCATTTTGCTATTTCATTTTTCACAAAATTATTGATTTCACCTGAAAATTTTCTAACCAAATTTTACACAAATTTGTTCAAGTTAAAAGAAATGCTACTTGGATTTTTAGTGGGATTATACAAAATCTATTAATAAGTTTAATAGAAACTGACATCTTTATATTTACTCTTCTCATCTGAGAACATGGAGATCTATTTATTTGAGAGATTTTAAAAAATTATTTTTGGCCAGGCACAGTGGCTCACGCCTGTAATCCCAGCACTTTGGGAGGCTGAGGTGGGCAGATTGCCTGAAGTCAGGAGTTCGAGACCAGACTGGCCAACATGGTGAAACCCCATCTCTACTAAAAATACAAAAAATTAGCTGGGCGTGGTGGTGTGCACCTGTAGTCCCAGCTACTCAGGATGCTGAGGCAGGAGAATTGCTTGAATCCGGGAGGCGGAGGCTGCAGTAAGCCAAGATTGCGCCACTGCACTCCAGCCTGGCGACAGAATGAGACTCCATCTCAAAAAAAAAATTATTTTCAGTAAAACTTTAAGCCACAGATATCGATGATTAAACTATTTCCTAAGTATTTTTAACATTCGTTAAAACACTTAATGTATTTTTTTATTTGGTAGGAAATATATAAAAATTATTATATATGTGTGTAATATCTGTAATATTCATTATATATTCAAATCAGTTATTGCCAATATACAGATCATATTTCATGTCCAACTGTTCTTTCATTATTTTAATAAGAATTATTTTAATAATGAAAATTATTTAAAAACTTTTGTTCAACAGACTGGACTTTTCTAGTTCTACAATGTCTGTCAATTATCTTTTTGTCCCTTTATAGTATTCTTTCTCGATTTCTTTTTCACAGCTTGTTATGGCTCAATATTTATAAAGTTGATAGCAAGTAGCTTTTTTTATTTTGTTTTTGTTTTAAAATTAAGGTTTTAGCAGCTTTTCATTAAGTTTATCATTAGTTATTGGATTAGAATACTCATTATCATGCTAAAGAAGTAGATTTGTATTCCTCTTTATTTGTTTGTTTGTTTGTTTCATTAAACTGCTGATTTTCAAGTGCAGGATAGAGGCAGCTTCCTACCTAAATGAAGGACATGAGCAGTTGTAAACACGATTCAATATTGGAAATAATAATTCCTTTTATCTGTGAGTATATGAGATAGCATTGTTTATAATTTGTATGGTTAGAATTGTTAACCATAGTCTGCGTTTAAACTAGAACTCAATTTAGTTATTCATTAATTTATTATTGAGATATTCATTAAGTGAGTTAATACAATTTGGCAACTAAAACCAAATATGAGTATTTGATTGATCAAAATTACACACACACACACACACACACACACACACACACGCATATATATTTCTGGCTTCTCTAATAAAAGTTTTTATAACTGACCCTCACAGTAAGTCATGCCACAAAGCCTATCCATGCTGTTTTTACTGTTGTTCTTCAATCGAATGACAACTTAAGATTGACCCTACAGAATCTAAGATCACAATTAGATCACTCTTTATTTTATTCTTGCCCCCTCCTCTTACCTATATCCCTTCCATATCTTCTTTTTAATTCTCTTTTTCCCTCTGCTTCCTTATGCACCAGGAACACAATTGTGTTACTCATTCACTCAATGAATATTTATTAAGCACTATGTACCAGGTATTGTGCTAGGCACCAGCAATACAGGAGAGAGCAAAAATTGAACAAGTTCCTGGCCTTACAGAGCTCACACACAGTCCAGGGGAGCCAGACGTTAATAATAGAAGCATTTATAGAAATGTAAAATTCTAATAGGAGACCATTTAAGAAAAATCAGAGTAAGTTTCTCTGAGGAAATGGACTGAGCTGAAATTAATGAGTTAATGAGGTAGATACGGAGAAGAAGGAAGAGCTTTCAAGGCAGAGGAAACAGCCCTTCCAAAGACGTGTGGCATAACAGAGCTTGGCTTATTAGAGGAACTTACAGAATTACACTGGTCTTGCAGTTCAGAAAACAAAGGGGAGAGTGCTAAATTGCTAAGGGGAGAGGCTGAATTGCTAAGCAGGTACCACCTCTCTCCATGGACTTGTGGGTCAGGTTAGATTTTGGTCTGTATCCTAAGGGCAAAAGAAAGCATCACAGTGGGAAAGATTATGTTGCTTCCAATGAGGAGAACTGGGAAATGCTTTAGGTACAGCATTTAAAAGGCCACTGCCACAGTCCAGGCAATGGTAGCTTAGACCAGAGTGTTAAGAGTGGAGATGAAAAGTGGAGGGAACCAATAGGGATTTTAGAATTACAACTCAAAGAACATGATGATGGATTATATTTGGGAAGTAAGAGAGAGGACAATTTCAAGGACGACTTTTAAATATCTGGCTTGTACAACTGAATGCATGGCAGTGCCATTTTTTAAAGCATAGGAACCACAGGAAGTGGAGCAGGTTTAGGATTTATATACAAGTGAAGTCTGGTTTAAATATTTATCCAGAGCTATTTGAAAGGAAAATTTACATAAACCTATTATAAATACTTTTGTGACTGCTAAATAAATGTTGTTACAAAATAAAATAAGTGGAAAAGATACATTTAATCAGGATAAGAATATAGACCCTGAGAGAGATTTTACAATATATTTAATACTATATATTGCTATAGGCAATTCTGTTTGCTACAAAAATCTGTGCCAAAACTATTTTATGGAAGCATTTCATATCTAACAGTCAAAATGTTTTTGGGGGCCGGACATGGTGGCACACACCTATAATCCCAGCACTTTGGAAGGACAAAGCGGGTGGATCACTTGAGGTCAGGAGTTCAAGACCAGCCCGGCCAACATGATGAAACCCCATCTCTACTAAAAATACAAAACTTAGCCAGGCATGGTCGTGGGTGCCTGTAATCCCAGCTACTCGGTAGGCTGAGGCACAAGAATCGCTTGAACCTGGGAGGCAGAAGCTGCAGTGAGCCAAAATCGTGCCACTGCAATCCAGCCTAGGTGACAGAGCAAAACGCCATCTCAAAAAAAAATGGTTTTCAGAGCAAGGTAAAATTCAGTAAAAGGAAAGTATATATGTAATAAAATACAAGTAGAAAAAAGTAAGTAAAGCCAAAGGGCTTTCATTCTAGTGTATTTATACCATTTCCTTGTATTTATATGTATTTCCTATCATGATCTTGATATTGCACCACCTTAAATTCCTTTTCAGTTTGGCCTGAAATACTTTTCTTCCCTCCTTCCAGTGAGCCATTTAACAATAGTTTGTTATTCTGCTATAATCCATTTCCATCTCATGACCTTCTCATTAACTTCAGACTAAGCCATAATAACAGTGCTTCAATACAAGAATAGAGCAACTGCCCTTCAAAGTCTCATTTTTTGAAATCCTGTGCTATTATAAAATGCCATAATGACCTGAACATAAAGCCATGTCAAATGCTTTAGCAATGTAAAACTTGCTGTCTCATTAAGAGTATAGTCCTCCATTGTTAAACAAGAAACCACCAGCTCTGTTGGCATAAAGCCAATCAATAGAGAGTTTAGTTCTACATGAGGCTGAGAATTTTCTACAAGTGCAATTAATTTTATTCAGTTGATTTTTATTCAGTTGTACATTGATTTTATTCGTTAAGCATCTTGTGACACTCTGAAATCCCAGGGACATTTAGTAGATATTTTAATCATACCACATATTGTAAAGTATGGGACATCCTGAAAGATCTCTCTTAGGAAGATATTAGAATAATGGAAAGGGTAGGGAGGAATGTGTGTGTTTTATAGAAAATTGCTAGAAATGTACCATGGTAGGCAAAATAGTGGCTCCCTGAAGATGTCTATGTCCTAATCCCTAGAACTTGTGAATATGTTACCTTATATGGCAAAAGGGACTTTGCAAATGTATTAAAGTAAGGATATTGGGATAAGGAGATAATAATGACTTATCTGGATAGGCCCAATGTAATCACAGGGGTTCTTTTAAGAGGAGGGCAAGGGGGTCAGAGAAGAGAAAGAGATGTGAAGACCAAACCAGTGGTCACAGTGATGAAGGGCCACCAGCAAAGGCATGTCTGTTGCTTCTAGAGGCTGGAAAAGACAAAGAAACTAATTTTTCCCTAGAGTCTACAGAAGGAACACAGCTCTACCAATCCAATTTGGACTTCAGACCTTCAGAGGTGCCAGGTAATACATTTGCTTTATTTTAAGCCACTAAATTTGTGGTTACTTATTATGGTAGCAATAGGAAACTAATACAGGTACCTCAACTGTTAGCCGTGGTTACTCCCTAGAGGTTTGGAAATGAAGATCAGAGTTGAAGAGGACTTTTATTCTCCATTGTTCATGTTATTTGAACTGTTATCATGGATTTATGTTGGTTTTATTATGGATCTATATTGCTTCTTAAATAAAAATAATTAAGAGCAGAAGTAGCTAATATTAAGTGAAAAGATAGTGTAGAAAATTGTATAAAGGGTAATTGTTCAACCATGAAAAAATAGAAAAAAAATAAGAAGGAAACTTACTAAAATGTTATCCAGTTGTTTTTCCTGAGTATTAAGAGTGTGCATGTTCTATTTTCATTTATCCTCTGAGTCACTCAAGTTATTCATTAAGCATCTACTCTGTGTTAAAGAATGTGCTAGGAACTGAGAATGCAGTGGGGAATAAGAGAGACACAATTTCTGCCCTCATGGAACAAGGCAGATTAAACAGATGATCAGACAAATTATTAATTAATTATATTGTAATAAGTTCAATATAGGCAAGATACAGACTGAAATCACCATGCACTAGGGCAACATAACGTAGTCAGGGAATGCTTTCCTAAGGAATTTCAGCTTGGAATTAAATGAGAATTTTCCAGTCAGAGACAGGAAATAAAATTTTTTACAAAGAGGACATACCCCCTTTTTATCAGGAGAAAAATGAACATTTTAAATTTTTTTTAAAAAGAAATAGTTAACATTTCTCTATCCTTTTATATCTGGTAACAGCAGCTGCTCAGTGCTGGAAATGGTCTGCTTTTTCTGCTTGATTTAGCCAAATTCAGTTTAATGATCAGACTTTTTTTTCTCTTGTTCAAGCACTTCAGGCAAATGAAATATTTAAGTGAATAAATTGAGGCCACTAGACAAAAAAGTAAAATAATAATGGTTAAATATCTTCCGTATCCAGAGCTCACATTATTAAACTATTAGATCTAATACTTTTTGGTTGTCAATCTATCAAAAAAAGCTTGTGATAGGCCCTTAATATTGATTGACCTTGACAGAAATAAGACCCGGTGTCTTTGCCAGTTGAAGTTCTGTTTTTATCCAACCAAAACTAAGAAACACAAATGAAGAAGCAAAGAACAAGAATTATTTTGAAATCGACATAAAATGTATCACTAATCGAATTTTTCTCAAAAGAATTTCATAGATGAAATCTGTATCACTGGGTACTAAAAATTAAGAATTTCAAATTTCTCAACTTTAGAATCTTCTCTTATAATTTCCAGATGAGTAGTAATTTTCCAGATGATGGTTTGGGATTACTTTCAGCACAAGAGCAGGGAGAATAACATCTCTGTAATGAATAGGCACTAATGATTTCATAGTTAATGATTAACATCTCTGGAAAAAAAAACAAAATAAAAATAGAGAGCCTATTAATAAATGTCATGCCACCAAAAATCACTACGTGAAATTACGTTAAATTTTTTTTGTTAAAAATTTTATTTACTTGATCCTTTTTGTTTGTTGTTTGCTTGCTTTCCAGTATACTTATGTGTCTGTAACACTTAGAGCAGTAATGTCCTTTAATGAAAATCAGAATAAATATGACTATGTTTAACAAAAAATGTATCATAATGTAGAATTGACTTACAATGACAATGATGTAATGAGAAGTTATGTACTGTATATGACAGAGATTACTAGGTAAATTGCAAATAGAAGATACTATAAACATATCATTGAGAATGTCATGAAAATGGAATGTTTGAAGTTCAGATATTCTTTCTACAAATGCAATAAAATATTTAGAATTTTTAGTTGGTTGAATAGTGTTCCCCCCAAGTTCATGTACTCCCAGAACCTCAGAATGTGAGCAAATTTAGTAATAGAGTCTTTGCAAATATAATCAAGGTAAGGATTAATATAAGATCATACTGAATTATAGTGGTCCCTAAATCCAATATCTGGTGTCCTTAATAAGAGGAGGAAAGGACACAGACATAAACAGGAAAAAAAAAAAGGCCATGTAAAGATGGAGGAAAATATTACAGTGATGCAACTACAACCAGAATGCCAAGGATTGCCAGAAGCCACAAGAAGCAGGAAAGAAGCAAATAAGGATATCTTCCCTAGAGTCTTCAGAGAGCCCATAGACCTGAAAACACCTTGATTTCAAACTTGTAGCCTCCAGAACTGTGGGACAATTAATTTCTGTTGTTTTAAGCAATCTAGTTTGCAATAATTTATATTGTAACACTAGGAAACTAATACAGGATTTAATATAGATAGCCATTTTCATAATCAAGTATTTTTTAGAATTATGTTATCTGCACTCATTCTTCCTCTTTAACCTCTTTTATGGTAGAAAGGGAGATGGACAAAGAGAACAATTTGTTTTGTGATGTTTGTAACAGTTGTATTTGTTCAACAAAAATTTGAGCACTGAATCAGTTAGGATGATTTTGCCCATGAGTAACAGAACCCCTACTAAAAGTGACTTAAGATATAAGGTTATTTAATAAACTGACAAGACTAGCAGTCCACTGAAAGCTTGTTTCAAAGTAGGTGTGCAAACGCAATGACTTCTTCAATAGCCCTCCTGCTCTGCCACCTCAGTATATTGGCTTTGGGATTCTGATTTGTTTCTCATGGTAGCAGAATGTCTGCTGAAGCTCCAAATATTATATGCTTGTCTTTTATCAAGGAACACATTCTTAGTAGCCTCCTAGAAGACAGCTTCTAATATTTGATTGTCCAGGGTTTGGTCACATGCCCATTTCCAGACCAATCACTGACAAACAGTACAGGATTGCTAGAATTAGTCAAGATCAATCACTGTTTGTCCAAGAGGGCTGGTGATGTTGCTTCAGAAAAGGAGTTTGGGTTCTTTGAGCAAGGAAGAAAGAATTGCCAGGTTAAAAGATAGGCATATTTAATTTGAATAGGTGGAGCCAGATTGCTTTCTAAAAGCAAATCTCCATCTAAACTCCCACCAGAAGAGCATGAGGATTCCTATATCCCCACACTTGGCATTTCTCTTTTTTGTTTTTTTCCCATTCTAATAGGGGAAAAGTGATAGTTCAGATACGCATTTATCTGATTACTAATACTTTTGAACATGTTTTCATATGCTTGTTAACCTTTCAGATTTCCTCTTTTGTTAATTACCTGTTCATACTGTTTACCCATTTTTAAGTTGTGTTTTCTATCCCTTTTTTGGTCTATTTGCAGTGATTCCTCACATAGTCCAGATATTTAATCTTTTGTTGGCTTTATATATTTCAGATAAGTTCTCCCCACTCTGTCCTGGTCTTTCAACTTTTTCTTTTCTTTTCTTTTCTTTTTTGGTTTCTTTTTGAGACAGAGTTTCACTCTTGTTGCCCAGGCTGGAGTGCAATGGCACGATCTCAGCTCACTGCAACCTCCGCCTCCCGGGTTCAAGCGATTCTCCTGCCTCAGCCTCCCGAGTAGCTGGGATTATAGGCATGTGCCACCACACCCGGCTAATTGCTGTACTTTTAGTAGAGACAGGGTTTCTCCATGTTGGTCAGGCTGGTCTTGAATGCCCGACCTCAGGTGATCCACCCACCTCGGCCTCCCAAAGTGCTGGGATTACAGGCGTGAGCCATGGAGCCCAGCCCTCAACTTTTTCTATGTTACCCTTCATTGACCAGAAATCCTTAATTTAATAAAATTGAAGTATGCATACCTCATGGAGTTATCGTTAACTTTAAATATGAAGATGTACCTAAACCTCTTGGCCATAGTCGTAAGTACAAAGTAAGAACTCAATGAATAAATCTCAAATATTATTAATTGTTATG
Source organism: Homo sapiens (assembly GCF_000001405.40). Taxonomy (NCBI): domain Eukaryota; kingdom Metazoa; phylum Chordata; class Mammalia; order Primates; family Hominidae; genus Homo; species Homo sapiens. The sequence goes on from NC_000001.11 coordinate 77,233,678, forward strand.
GTTGTTATTCATTTGACCCTACCAATTCCAAAAGGATTGCAACTCTCTTTTGTTCCCATAACGCCCTACATGTATTTCTATTGTGGCATCTATTATATTATCTCACATGGTGGACAGATTGAATTATTTCCAGCCAAAGACATCAAAGGTCTTATTCATTTTGTAATCTTGTATTCCCACGATCTAGGACAATGCTAAAAGGTGCTTAATAAATATTTGTTAAATAAATATACACACAAATGAGTTTTCAAAGAAATTCAATGAATAAAGAATACTAATTGAAGAGAGGAATAACTCTAGAAATCACAGAATAATTTTAGATTGAAACAATGAAATAGAAAATATTTCCAAAGACACATCTGGTGAAAGACTTATCTAAAATATACAAGGAACTTATAAAAGTCAGCAACAAGAAAACAACCTGATAAATAAGCAAAAGACCTGAACAGACACTTCACCAAAGAAGATCTACAGATGGTAAATAAGTATATGAAAAGATGTTCAACATCATATGTTATTAGAGAAATGCAAATTAAAAGAACAATGAGATACCACACATACCTATCAAAATGACCTAAACACTGAAATCCTAAACACTGAAAACATCAAATGCCAGCAAGAATGTGGAACAACAGGAACTCTCATTCATTGCTTGTAGGAATGCAAAATGCTACAGCCACTTTGGAAGAACATTTGGCTGTTTCTTACAAAATTAAACATAATCTTACCGTATAATCTAGCAATTGCACTTCTTGGTATTTAACCAATGAACTGAAAACTTAGGTCCACATGAAACCTGTACATAGATATTCATAGCAGCTTTATTCATAATTGCCAAAAGTTGGAAGCAACCAAGATGTCCTTCAAGGGATGAATGGCTAAATAAACTGTGGTACATTCAGACAACGGAATATTATTCAATACTAAAAATAAATGAACTGTTAAGCCATGAAAAGACATAGATGAAATTTAATGCATAATTACTAAGTGAAAGAAGCCAATCTAAAAAGGGTACACATTGTATGGTTCCAACTATATCGCATTCTGGGAAAGTCAAAACTATGGAGACAGTAAACAGGTCAGTGGTTTCCAGGAGTTGGATGGGAGAGAGAGATGAATAGGCAGAAGTCAGAGGATTTTTGAGGCAAGGAAAAAGTTCTGTATGATACTACAGTGGTGGATATATTTCATTATACATGTTTCAAAACCCAGAGAATGTATAACACCAAGAGTGGACCCTAATGTAGACTATGGACTTTGGGTTAAAATGATGTGTTAGTGTAATTTCATTTATTATAACAAATCTATGGCTGTGGTGAGGGATGTTGATAGTGGAAATGGTTGTGTGTGTGAGGCAGCATGGAGAATATGTTAATTCTGTACTTTTTGCTCAATTTTGCTGTGAACACTAAACTGCTAAAAAAAATTCTATTTAAAAATGAAAGACATCAATAAAAAGTACAGATCACGTGATTGTCACTAAAAATAGACAATTGGCAAGGACTAAATTAAGAGAATGAATCTTTTTTAAAAATGACATGGTATATGAGAAAAAAGCAATATGAGTCTATCAGAAAAGTGGGGATATTTAAAAAGATAACTGTAGAATATATAATTTTATTTTGACTAAGTGTTATTGTAACTCCTAACAAATATTTTTAACCATGTCTGCTAACAATTAACAAGATGGATAGATTTTAGTTGCAAATAAACCAAGCAATTATATGGAGCAGTCAGTCAGTGAGAAGGAGAAGAGTAGAAGGGCATGGGCCATCCGTGTGCATAATCATTACCTAGACCTTTAGTGTTGGCTATATAATAACACTTGACAGATTCATCAACTACTGAGAAATTGAGACTCACAAAATTTTTCATCAGCCTAAAACTTCTGCCCAATAAGGAACCTGAATTTACCCAAATGTTACTATTTGCTTGCAGAGTTACACTCACCATTTTATATAGTTTCCTTGAACATATATGAATGAGCAAATGGTCATCCTTCATGCTTAAGGAAGTAAGGGGTTTAAATTTTAGTTCGATAGATTTAGGTTAGACATCAAAAAGAAATTCATGACCATAATGATTTTTAAGGAGGTTGTGAGCTACCCTAATGGTTTTGGCCTCTTCAGTTGTCATCTAAAATTGTATTATTCTATGTGTATGTCTTAATCTTTCTATTTGTGCATTTGGTGTTCTTATTGTTTAAGGAGCATACCTAAAGTGTGGGGCCCCTTCTAAGGACCCCAAGACCAAGAGTCTTAACTAGAAGTGTTTTTCTCAATTTTCTATTTGTTGAATTTCTAAACTTGAACCTAACAATCTTACATATAATCACCATAAATTACTGTTTATGGAGGCCAGTGCTGAATACAGAATCACTAGAGCTCCTCATAGGTCTCTTGAGTCTGTTGTAGCATAGTGATTCAAGGGCAGCGACTAGAGTAAGGACTGCTTGGGTTTTGGTCTAAGCTGGACATTACTAGCTGTATCTCTTTGGGCAGGTTATATACTCTTTCTGAGCTTTGGTTTCCTCATATATGAAATGGTAGTAATAAAAATGCCTATGTTATGATTTGAATGTGTCCCTCAAAGTTCACGAGTTGGAAACTTGATTCCCAATGCAGCAATATTGAGAGTTCCATGCTAATGGTAGGCGTTTCGGTCATGGGAGCATCACCTTCATGAGTGGATTAATGCCATTATTGCAGGAGTGGGTACATTATTGCAAGAGTGTTCTCCTTATAAAAGGATGAGTTCAGCCACCTCTCGCTTTCTTTTTCTTGCACCCTTTCTTTGCTCTTCTGCCATGAATAATGCAACCAGAAGGCTTTCATCAGATGTCAGCCTCTCAATTTTGAACTTCCCAGCTTCCAGAACCATGAGCCAAATCATTGCTGTTCATTATAAATTACCCAGTCTGTGGCATTCTGTTACAGCAGCACAAAATGGACTAAGACAGCCTACTTCATAGAGTTATCTGAGATAATGCATATATACAAGCTAAAGACCTTAGCTCAGTGTCCAGTACATACTGAGCACTCAGTTAATACTAGTTATTGTATTAGTCCATTCTCACACTGCTATAAAGTTAACTGGCTAATTTATAAACAAAAGAGGTTTAATTGACTCATAGTTCTGCATGGCTGGGGAGGCCTCAGGAAACTTACAATCATGGCAGAAGGCAAAAGGGAAGCAAGGCAAGTCTTACATGGCAGCAGGAGAGAGACAGAGATCAGGGGAAACTGTCACTTTTAAACCATCAGATCTCATGAGAACTCCCTCACTATCATGAAAACAGCATGGAGAAAACCACCCCCATGATCCAATCACCTTCTACCACGTCCCTCCCTTGACACTTGGGGATTACACTTAGAGATAGATTTGGATGGTGACACAGAGCCAACCATATCAGTTATTATTTTCCTCTTCTGTCCCCCATTGCCAGCTCTCTTCACTGTCTCTAGCAAGTTTGCTATCTTGTTCTCTCCCTGCCCTACTAGAACACCACATTGCAAGTCTCTGGGGGCAAAAATTATTCTGGTAGTCTGACTTTTATCTGCATTGCAAAATTTACTTCCACTGCCTTCCTGAGTTTCAGTTTGATGATTAATAAAATCATTTCTTTTCAATGTTCTTGTTTATCCCAAAACATTGAGGAAATCTTTATAAAATTCATATTAGTATTTCTAATATTTATATCAATGGAAGTAGCAAAATAAATAGAGTTAAGTTATAATTCACATGGCCAGACATCTCTCTTTGTATTAGCGTATTCTGGCAAAAAAAAACCCATAAAATTTTCATAAAAACTAGATCTTTTATAGACTTTATAATTTTATCTGTCAGTTCTGATGAAAAAGCCTAATCTATTCATATGTGATTTCAAAAGCTTCCTTTCTAATAAGAAACAGATTGTTTTGAATAGAGAAGTACCCATCAGCGAAAGATACGTAGGGCTATAATGTCAGTTAATTTCTATAGCTGCAGTCTTATTGTTTAAAAAATACAAAAATTACTTTAGTTCTTAAGGGCATCATTAAGTATAGAGGTCTCCAAACAAATTTAATGCATTTTTACTCATTTTGTTTTGTGTCAGTACTACAAAATGAATATGAATGCTTTGTTTACATTTTTCGTTCTCTTTACAGTTGGAGCTTTTTATCATTTGAGATCAAAGTCAATTTTTTAAATAAATAAAATAATTTTTAATATCTCCATGTGGTACTCTTTTATTTTCTCCTCTTCTATAAAGGGATTTACAATTATTTATTCAAAAGAAGGTAATGAGGCAATTTTAAGCCAGACTTAATAATTCAAGGACATAATTTTAAAAAGTTATCTAAAACTGACTTTGGGCATCTTAGTAAAAACCCAAGTCATGCAAGATAAAGCACTTTCTGGCTAACTACTATGTGCCAGGCATCACAGTGAGCCCCAAGAATAAGAAACAGAACTGCAGTTCTTAGTTGCAAAGGCTCATTCTGCAGGAAGAGAGGCAGAGAGCAGCCTCTTGAATAAATAATTGTTCAACAAGGTTTTAGAGCCATAATAAAGCTATATCTGAAGTCCTACTGGAATTCAGATAAATTGTTCATTCTAGTTAATGTAGCTAACTTTTTTCTTTATTTCTATAATGGAGACTAACATTACCCCTATCACATAGGATTGTTAAAAAGGTTAAATGAAATAATAAATGTGAAGTGTTCATTACAGTGTCTGGCCTATGGTAAATTCTCAAGGAAAGCCAGTGTCATTTTTTTTTTTAGTATTGCTATAATTATTATTAGGAGTCAGGGAAGACTTTGCTGGGGAGGCAACATTAGAACTTATCAGGAAAGGAAAGAATAAGAAGGAGTAAGGGGCCTGTTTGGAAGAGGCAAGGGGCATTTCAGGCAGATGTACAGAATCAGAGAAAGGCATGTTGTGAGCTTTTGAGGAAGGATGAGCAACCCAAGTAACTGAAACAGAGAGCATGGGCTTGAGTAATAGGAAATGGTGCTCATCTGTGAAGAACCATGTACTCTGCCAGAGTGCTAAACTTCTTCTTGTGAATAGTCCACAGCTATCAATTCAAGCAGCCTGAAATGGTGGCATGAGCCTGTAATTCCAGATGCTCAGCAGGCTGAGTGGGGAGAATCTCTTGAGCCCAGAGTTTGAGACCAGCCTGGGCAACGTAGTGAGACCCTGTCTCAAAAAAAAAAATTAAGCATCAGGGTAACATGATCAAATGTATATTTTAGGAAGACAGCAATAAAGAGACTAGAAATAGACCATAATAATAGTTTATGTGAGAAAAGTAATGACTAACACATAATGCTCATTATGTGCCTATGTTAATTGTTTACCATATATTTATGTGCATTAATTCTTGTAACAGCTTTATAAAGAAGATGTTATTATTTTGTCGTTTTATATATGTACAACTGGGGTATACAGTTTTTATGTAATTTGCCTCAGGTTCCATGCCCAGTAGGTGTTGAAGCTAGGATTCAAACTCAAGTAGTCTTACTCTTGAATTTGCACACTTAATGAACATCCTTCACTGCTTCTCAAGTAAGTGTCAGGCTAGAGTGCTGGCAGGGTGGCCTGCACCCGTATACCAGCTGGTCAGGAGGGTTAGTCAGGAGGATTGCTTGAGCCTAAAGGTTTGAGGCTGCAGGGAGCTATGATGGAACCACTGCATCCAGCCTGAGCAACAGAGCGAGACTCTGACCCTAAAACAAATTTTTTTAAGCTACTTAAAAAAAAATAGGCTAAAGAAAAAAAGTACAAATCGGAAAGGGAAGTTGTATTCAACAGAATTGACTAGCTTGTTTTTTAATGCCATAAAGACTTACTGGGTTCCTATCACCTGGCAACAATGTTGCAGCCATAACAATGAAAAAACAATTTTTAAAAAGCACCTACAACAATACAACAATGAAAAAACCATCAAAAAGCAATGAAAAGGCCTGTTCTTATAAAGTCTGTTTGCCAGTGAAGGAGCAGACAATATGTGGGGCGGAGGCACATTGAAGGGAGGAAAAGTAAAATTTTACCTCTCTCCCCTTAGGGCTTTTTGGCTACGGCTGAGAATTAAATTGACATAAAAGAAACAAGTAGGAGAAAAGCATATGAATTTATTTAATACAAGTTTTATGTGGCACAGGGGGCTTCATAAGAAAGTAAAGACCCGAAGAGCCAATTAGAATCGAACACTTACATACTGAATTGGACAAAGAGTAGTAAATTATGAGACTGTAATTAGGCAAAGGGGCTTGGGCAAGGGTAGTTAACTGGGTAGAGAAGTGAGTAGGAAGATAAGGGTTAGTTTAACCAGGTTTGTTTGTAGAGAATTCTCCCCCCTCAACTTCCTATTACTGAAAATAAGAATAGAACTTTCTTTCTGGTACAGGAGGATTTTTCCATGTAGGGGTTTTATCTTCAACTTTCAGGAAGAAAAAGGGGAGGATTAGAGCGCCTTTCTTGCAGCCACTGTTGTTCTTTTTCTAAAGTGCCTTTATATCAAAATAATCCTTATGCCAAAGTGGTGTATTTGCAGATGGCATATTCTGCCATCCTTCATTTCCCTCCTTTGAACCTTCCCCAAGAAGTTTCATAGTTCAGAAGCTGAGTTGATAGATTGCAACCTTATCTTACTGAAAATCTCTTACTCCTGGAGAACAGGTCAGTTCCATTAAACAAACAGTTGTGTTTCATTTCAGGAGACAATGTTGCAGGTGGGTTCCTACCAAAGTTAGGCCTCCATATGGTCCGAGCAATCAGGCATTCCTATGGAAACAAACAAACAAACAAAAAAATCTGTTTATGAGTCCAGAGGGCAGCCAGTCAAGAAGATTTCTAGATATTGGGCTCGAAGCATCTTCTTTTGCTGTCTGAAAGTCTCTGGTGATGTCACCAGGTGATATGGGTGAACTTTCTGAGTAGTCCCCACAGCAACAGGCATGAAGCTTGTTTATATGTTTATATATGAGTTTTTGTGGTGATTTCTATGAAGTTTATATCAAGTCACCCAGCTTCGGCTTGCAAGGCTTTGGGAAAGGGGCAGTTTTATTTTTTGGTATTTCAAGTCAGAAAGGTGGGAGAAAATTGGAAATGTTAGTTTGGAGAGTCATAGCCAGATATTGGAGGAAACTAGAAGAATTCAGGATACAGTCCAGTTTACAGAAAGATAACAAAACCTCAAAGACAATGAACAAGGCTAGAATTGAATTACTATAGTTTTCTACAGTGCACATAATTTTTCTGTCTATAGTCACCCTCATGTTTCACAAACATAATCATAGTAAGACTAATTTGTTTGTAAAATAAGTCTAGTCTCATTAAATTTGGCCTGATTATTTAAATAAGCAAAGCAAGAATAGTGACTGGTCATATAGACACTTTTTAAATCTGCTTTGCTGGAACTTTTAATAAGGAATCTCTGATTAGACTTTTAAAAGCCTCTCCATTCCAGACTCAATGGTGCATGCCTATAGTCCCAGTTACTCAGGAGGCTGACGCAGGAGGATTGTTTGAGCCCAGGAGTTCAAGACTCGCCTGGGAAACATAGCAAGACCTCATCTCTAAAAAAAATACAATAAATATATATACATACATAGTTAAACATAGAATTAAAAAATAAAATAAAGGCTGGGCCCAGTGGCTCATGCCTGTAATCCTAGCACCTTGGGAAGCCAAGGCGGGTGGATCACCTGAGGTCGGGAGTTCAAGACCAGCCTGAGCAACATGGAGAAACCCCATCTCTACTAAAAATACAAAATTAGCTGGGCGTGGTGGCGCATGCCTGTAATCCCAGCTACTCGGGAGGCTGAGGCAGGAGAATCACTTGAACCTGGGAGGCAGAGGTTGCAGTGAGCTGAGATCACGCCATTGCACTCCAGCCTGGGCAAGAGGAGTGAAATTTCATCTAAAAATAAATAAATAAATAAAATAAAATAAAAATAAAAGCCTCTTCAAGCTATAAAGCTAAGCTAGGGACTTTGCATTAGACTTCACCTACCTATAGATTTAGGTGAATTCCTCATTTCTCAAGGCTCTCAAAATATTATCAGCCTCCTAGGCCTACCAGGAAGTGATGTTCCTTACTCACCTGTAAGGTTGGAATCCTTTGAAGCCAGGTACTAGTCTTTTTTTTTTTTTTTCTAAGTGGCTTTATTGGGTTCATAAAATCAACCTTAGTTCATTAAAGCTGTCTGGTTATATCTGATCCTATGCATATAATTCTCAAATATGACATTCTAGTCAAAGCCTTGGTAATATAATCAATGTTTCCAATTATATCATGTTACAAAGAAAATATATTCTTATTGATCTTATGTAAATAACTATATTGCCATGAAAATAATACTCAATAAGAGTTTCTGAATTTTGGAGGGATCAGGTAGGGAACAGATAAATGCTTCAAATCTGTTTCCAAAGTATACTTTACTAGATTGCTGCAAGCTATAACTAGCTTAAATAAAAACAGAAAAAGTGTTCTTCACATCTGGAAAACAAAATATTAAAGCATTAATATAATGGTTTAATAAAGTCATAAAAATAATAATCATCCTCATCAGTTTATTTACTCCCACTAATTACTTCTCGTTGTGCTTAATCCTGGGTTAGAAGTTTTATGAATCAATCAGTTTATCCACTTGATTTTTAGAAATTCTTATCAAGCTCAGTGGTATGATCTTATAGTTATCAGAAGCCTGCACTTGTCAGAGTCTTTTCTGTGAATCTCTTTAACGATAAAGCAGTTTTGTCTGTAGTTGATTTCAGGAAAACATCAGAGTAAAACAACTATCTGTGAATGACAAATGCTTTTAAATGGCCATGGTCAAAAATCTCATGAGAGATCATTACAATGCAATTGATAAGAAAATTTGGTTATTTCTGTGACATGCAACATTTTAAGATAATAACTAGGATTATGACTGATGACATTATACCAGGACATATCAGATTTCTAGAAATTTTATATAATTTCTTTAACACTTATATTAATAATATATATTCCTACAAATAACACATAACTCTAATTATTTTAATATCTCTCTTTCAGAAAGATAAAAAACAAATCTTTTGAGATTTTCCAGGGGCTCTCTGGAAAATCCCAAAGTTACTTTGAGGTCAAAAGCACTTTAGAATTTGATCCTGGGAGTTCAAATATTGTCAAAAATGTCAAAAGGTTTAAAACTCTTGATAAAATAGGATCACAGATCACTTTGAAACAATACTCAGTTATCTATTGTATTAGTCTGTCTGTGTTGCTACAGAGGAATACCTGAGACTGGGTAATTTATAAAGAAAAGAGGTTTATTTTAGCTCGTGGTTCTTCAGCCTGTGCAGGAAGCATAGTGCTGGCATCTCCTTCTGGTGAGGGCCTCAGGAAGCTTGCAATCATGGCAGAAAGTGAAAGGGGAGCCAACATATTACATCATAAGAGAGGGAGCAAGAGAGTTGGTGAGGAGGGGGGCAGGCTTTTTAAAGAACTAGCTCTTGCATGAACTCATTACCGCTCACTACCACAGGGAGGGAACCAAGCCATTTATGAGGAATCTGCCCCCATGACCCAACACCTCTGGCTAGACTCCACCTCCAACATCAGGGGTCACTTTTCTTTCTTTCTTTCTCTTTCTTTCTTCCTCTTTTTTTCTTTCTTTTCTTCTCTTTTCCTTCCTTTCTTTCTTTATCTTTCTTTCTTTCCTTCTTTCTTTTTTCTGAGACAGGGCCGAACTCTGTTGCCCAAGCTGAAGTGCAGTGACACCATCTCAACTCACCGCAACCTTTGTCTCCCAGGTTCAAGCAATTCTCCCACCTCAGTCTCTCAAGTAGCTGGAACCACAGGCACATGCCACCATGTCCAGCTATTTTTTTTTTTTTTTTTTTTGGTAGAGATGGGGTTTCACTATGTTGGCCAGGCTGGAGGGGGTCACATTTCACCATGAGATTTGGATGGGACAGATTTCCAAACCACGTCATCTATTTAACCACAGTGACAAAGATTTCAAAGACAAATACACAAAGTTGCATACTTGTAAAAATAAAACAAAAACTTTGCTCTTGTAATGTCTTTTGTGTTGTTGTTGAGACAGCATCTCACTGTTGCCCAGGCTGGAGTGAAATAGTGCAATCATAGCACACTGTAACTCTGAACTCCTGGGCTCAAGCAATTCTCACACCTTAGCCTCCTGAGTAGCTGAGACTACAGGTGTGCACTATCATGCCCAGCTAATTTTTCATTTTTTGGTAGAGACCAGGTCTTGCTATGTTGTCCAAGCTAGTCTCAAACATCTGGCATCAGGCATTCCTCCCACCTCAGCCTCCTAAAGCATCGGGATTACAGGTATGATTCACCATGCCTGGCCTTCTTTCAATATCTTTTAATATTTTGTTTTCTTAAGTAATCAAAGACCTGATAAGGACAACAAGGAGAACAAAAAAATTATTTTGATAATTTGATTATTTGACAGGTAATGAAAACTCTTGTACAAAAATCAAGAAAACTTTGTTCTTTCAACAGAGAAAAGACCAAATTCTAGTTTGCTCACTTGCTTGCTTGCTCTTGGCTCTCTCTCTGCCTCTCTCTTTTCCCACCTTTCTATATTCACTTAATTTTTGTCTTTTATTCTTCTCTTTTTAAAATTACAAAACAATCTTTAAATAACCTCTAAACTAGGATAAAATTATTCTCCTTTTCCCTCAACAAAATTCATCTTTTTATACCTCACAACTTTTCTTGCCAAAAACACATCCTACTTTCATTACGTTCTTTGCATACAGAGTTTTGTTTCTTGTTATTTCCAGTAGTTTTATGACATATTTTTGTTTGAATTTTAACCTTAATAACCCTAATTCCCAGTAACAACTAGAAATAAGCAATTGTGAACTTCGTGTTGTGTACTAGCATTCTGTCATAGATTAGGCAAGTTGTGAACAAACCATTTCATAATTTCTGGAGGCGTAGGCCTCTTTCATAGCTTAATTTTTTTAATGTAACAAGAAGAACACATTATTAACAGGTCCAAATATCTTTTGTCTTTGTATCAATTAAGAAGCTCAAGTAGATGAACTTATATTCAGTAATTAATGTTTTGGTATTTCATCTTATTTGTAAATGATCTAAATATTCAATTAATATTTATCATTTAACTTAACATAGTATAACTTTAAGATTTCAAATTTCCAAAAAGATTTTGGAAACTATTTTTAAGCAGATATATTTTTATAAAACATAATCATTATTATAAGGTTTATTTGTAAACTTTTATCCTATTTACATGTATTTAATTGACTTATTCTTTAAAATTATGTTTCAATTACTCATGAAAATTCCATGAGATATTAGACAAAGTTAGTCCTCATTTTAAGCTCTTTTTCTTATCGGTAATTTTTATAACCTATTAGGCAACCATCAAACATCATAGAAGCAAAGCACCAGAAAATTTAAACATATAGCTTTTTTCCCCTTTACCATCACTCTAGACATACATTAAGAAATTTACTTTTGTTGTATGTTTCATTTTTAAGTTGAATTTATAATCTTAAAAACTTAAATGTCAAACAGAGATAACATGGTTTGTTTGACTAGTAACCCCAGATAGAAAAAAATTATATATTTGAATTATATTTGACAACCTGAAGACATGCCTGTTTTTATTAAACCAACAAACTTGAGCTAGCTTTATTTACCAAAAATTATCCCACCTCATATGAGCTTGGAAAACATGTGAGTTAGTCTCTATATTTCTCTATATATAAGCATTTATGTTTTTTTCTTTAAGGCAATTAAATAGAGCTCTTTTACAAGTTACTTTCGGCAATACCATCCAGGGGTAGAAAAAATATTATATATATCAACAATCACACTCATACATAAACGCATAGCCCAGATGCAAACAGAGATATTATAGCTTTCATTCTAAAATTTTAGCCGTGAAGCAGGTATAATAACACAGAACTCACTAGTTTATCACTAGTTTATAAAAGAAAAGTTGGTGCTAAACTGTGTTTCAGGCAGATGGAAAAAGTTAAGTTCACCTGCTCAGATACAGATGACTTTTTAAAAATATTTGTGGAGAGACTTTTAAGATTTTTTATTTGCTTTTGATAGGTAATCTCATGGAGGCTATGAACTAGATTGGGGGAAAGGAAATGTTCCTCATGGTTCGGAGTTGTTTGGTTTTTAAGCCACTTTTTTCTGTTGTTTTTTTAGTTGCAGCTGGGCTGGGCATAGAAATTGTTTTAGTTAACTCCTCAGATGTTTACATTGTGAAGACATAGTAAGGTTTACATCTCCAGGGGACTGAGAAAAGATGTGGGTTTTCTCCAAGAAAGACTTTTGGAATATATTTGCCTATTATTAGGCATATAGGGTAATTTTTTCTTTTTCTTAAATATTTATATTACTTTGAGTGTAATGAGATGCTTCTTAGTGTTTCAAGATGGAGAGTGAATTGGTGTTGAGAAAAGGGGAATTGCTGAGGAGCAGTTGAGTATTATTTCAGAACGAGTGACTAAGAAGATGATGCTGTTTTTACCACAGATGGTGAATACAAATTGGGTTGTGAGGGCTAATAGTGAATTCAGTCTCAAACATTTAGAGTTTGAATTACTTACTTAACCTCTAAGCTAAAAACATTGGTCTATACTGACTTACTAGTAAAAGAGTCAAGGGCAAGCATCAATATTTGTAAGTCATAAGGTGATCCATAAGTGATAATTCCATAAAGGGAGCACCTGCAGATCAGGGCTTAGGCAGAGAAACATCAAAAGCCAATGTGAGGCCGGGCACGGTGGCTCATGCCTGTAATCCCAGCACTTTGGGAGGCTGAGGCGGGCAGATTGCCTAGGTCAGGAGTTTGAGACCAGACTGGCCAACATGGTGAAACCCCGTCTCTACTAAAAATACAAAAATTAGCCAGGCGTGGTGGTGGACACCTGTAATCCCAGCTACTCGGGAGGCTGAGCCAGGAGAATTGCTTGAACCTAGGAGGCAGAGGTTGCAGTGAGCTGAGATGGCGCCACTGCACTCCACACTCCAGCCTGGGTGATAGAGTGAAACTCAGTCTCAAAAAAAAAAAAAAAAAAAAAAAAAGCCAACCTGAAAGGAAGCATTCAGTGAGGCAGAAGGACCAAAAGAGAGGTGGGAGGTGTGCTGAAGAAAACCGAGTAAGAAAAAAATCACAAGGAGAGAAGGAGTAAAGAGAGTACATGCAACAAATGTCAGAAAAGGAGAGGCCTGGAAATCAGGGCTAGATTTGGGGATTCCGATGTCATTATTATCTTTGCAATTAAAAATCATTCTTCATTTTCCACAGAAACTGATGCAGAGCCTCATCAGTTTAATTTCTGCAACAACCAAAAAAATTACTTACATGCAACTGGTATAGATAGATGTTGTTTTTATATTTTATGTTTCTGTTTTATGATTATAACAATTCCTTGTTTTACTTCCTGTTATTATTTTGTGTTTCCAATAGAAAAGGTTCAATTAAGTGGTTGAAAAGCTTCAGGAAGAAATTTAAGCTAAATTGAAATGAGGGAGTAACATCAGCAAGATAATGAAATGGAGGATCCCCTACTATCACTCCCTCCATAAAAATACAACTAGAAACTACTTAAAGACAAGAACACAACCCTGAGTTCACCACAATTCAAGGGAGAATTGAAGAAACCTCCGGGGCCCTCAGAATTGAGAGAAGCTGTGACAGGTATGAAAAATGGCTGTTTCAGACATTGCAGCCCCCTCCATCAAGCTGGCATAATGTCGCTCATAGAGAATTTTCCTAGACTCATGGTTTCTAAGGTAAGAAGAGGGAGTTGGAAGTGGACATACGATCTCCCCACCAGTCTGGGAATCTTCTCAGGAAGCCCACTTCTGCCCCATCCCATGGGAACAATTGGGAGTGTCAGAAGGGCTGACCAACCTTGGATGAAATGAGACAAAGAGTGGGACACTGATCATAGTGACTGGCACGTGGATCTTGGCAGTTAACTCTTCACTCCAATCAGTATGGACACCACATTGAAGAGACTGGCTGGCACCATAGTGCTATAGGGGACACAGTCTGTGAGAAGGCCTGAATCCCTGGACAGATTTCAACAAAGACTAGGTGTTCCCATGGAGCCTCCACTGGACCAGAAACAACTAGAAACGTTGGGATTGAGTTCCAGTGACTGCTTAAGTCTTCCACAAACTGGGAGACAGTGGCAGGGCAGCCACATAGCTCCAGAGCATTGTTAACTTAGTACTCACAATAAGTTTTCCCCACACTGGGAAATAGTGGCAGGGCAAAAGTTAGTTCCAGTGCAGTGATTTAGTTCTGGTACTCACTATAAATTCTCCCAAAAAAAAAAAAAAAAAAAAGAATATCAGCAGTTAAGTTCTGATACTAAGTAGTAAAGGTCAAACACCACCAAAGAATACCTGCAAGTAATGGAAGAGGTAGCTATCTCCTAAAATGTGCAGGTATTAAGGCAAACCCACAAGAATTGTAAAAACCCAGGGAAATATGACCTTACCAAAAGAAATCAACAAAGCTCCAGCAATGGAGCTAGAAGAAGTGAAGACCTAGGAAATGTTAAACAGACAATTCAAAATAATCCTCTTAAACAAATTTAGAGAATCATAAGAAAATATGGATAGAAAAAAAATAAAATTTGGAAAGTAACCCAGGAACAAAATGAGATATTTGACAAAGAAATAAAAGAAATAAGAAATAAAAACAAACAAATCCATTATTTCTAGGGTTTCTAGAAATAAAGAAACCGTAACTAAACTGACACAATAACTAAACTGAAAAACTCATTGGAAAGCTTCAACATCAGACTTGATTAGAGAAAAGAATTAGCAAGTTTGAAGACAGCACATATGAAATTACCTAATCAGAGGAGAAAAAAAGAAAAAAGAATTTAAAAGCATAAAAAAGAACTTTTTAAGAATTATGGCACATGATCAAGCAAACTAACCTCTGCATAGTAGGAATTCCCAAAGGAGGCAAGAGAGAAAAAGGCCTAGAAGACATATTTAACAAAACAATGGTGAAAATTTCCCAAAGATGGAGAAAGAGGACACCATTCAGATACAGGAATCTTGGAGGTCATCAATCAAATTAAACCCAAAGAGGAAATCCCTAAGGCATATCACAATCAAATTAGCAAAAATCAGAGACAACAAAAATACTCAGTGCAGCAAAAGAAAAGAAAAATATTACATTAAACAAAGCACCAATACAGCTTTCACTGGATTTCACAGCAGAAATCCTACAGGCCAGGTGAGAATGGGAAGCTTGAAAGTGCTGAAAGAAAAAAAAAAACTGTCAACCAAGAATAATGTGCCCAGCAAAGCTATTAAAACAAGAAGAGAGATAAAGACTTTCTCAGACAAACAAAAACTGAGGGAATTTGTCAGCACCAGACCTGTGTTACAAGACATGCTAAAGAGAGTTCTTCAATCTGAAAGAAATGGATGCTAATGTGTAACAAGAAACAATCTGCAGGTATGAAACTCATTGGTAAAAGAAAGAAAACAGACCAATTCAGAACACATCAATAGTGAAATTAGGGTAAGTAAATGACCTATATCTTAAATATGAAGATTAAAAGACAAAACCACTAAAAACAATAACTACAATTTATTAAGAGATGCACAATGTAAAAAAAGTAAATTGAAACACAAAAAAGTCAAAATGTGGTGAGAGGATGTTATTAAAGTGTAGAGTTTGTTGTTTCTTATCTTTTCTTTGCAATAAAATATAAGTCACTATCAGTTTAAAATAACTTATTATAAATATAAGAGGGTTTTTGTAAGCCTCACGTTAACCATAAAGCAAAAACCTACAATAGATATATAAAAATAAATAGCATGAAATAAAAACGTACTACCAGAGGAAATCACTTAACCACAAAGGAAGAGAGTGAGAGAGGAAAAGGGAAGAATTCACAAAACAACAAGAAGTCAAGTAACAAAATGGCAGTAGTAAACCCTTACTGTGAATAATAACTTTGAATGTAAATGGATCAAATTGTCCAACCAAAAGACATAGAGTGGCTGAATGGATTTAAAAAACAAGATCCAACTGTATGCTATCTACAAGTACTTCACTTAATCTATGAAGACATTCACAGACTAAAAGTGAAGGAATGAAAAAAGATATTTCATGCAAATAGAAACCAAAAAGGAACAGGGATAGGTTTACTAATATCAGATAAACTAGACTTGAAGCCAAGAGTCATTTTTAAAATGACAAAAAAGAAAGCCATTATATAATGATATAGGGGACAGTACAGCAAGAATACATAACAATTGTAAATATATATGCACCCAATACTGGAACACACAAATATGTAAAAAAGTTAATAGACTTAAAGGGAGAGATTGACTACAATAAATAGTACTAGGAGATTTCAACACCCCATTTTCAGTGATGGCCAGATCACTCAGACAGAAAAGTAACAAAGAAACATTGGAGTTAAAATGAACTCTAGACCAAAGGAACATAACAGATATTTTATGTTATGTTATATTTTATTTTATTTTATGTTACAGATATTACAGAACATTCCATCCAACAGCTGCAGAATACACATTTTTCTCAACAGCACATAGAAGATTATCCAGGATAGATCATATGTTAGGTCCCAAAACAAGTCTTGACACATTCTTTAAAAATCCAAATCATATCAAGTGCATTTCTTACCACAATTATTCCAATTATTCTACCATTCTGGAATAAAACTAGAAACCAGTTTTAAAAAAAGGAACACTGGAAATTGTACAAACTCATGGAAATGAAACAACATACTCCTGAACACTGAATGGGTCAACGAAGAAATTAAAAAGGAAATTTAAAATTATCTTCAGACAAATGAAAATGGAAACATGACATACTAAAGCCTATGTAATATATCAAAGCAGTTCTAAGAGCAGTTCTGTAGCAATAAATGCCTACATCAAAAAAGTAGAAAGACTTCAAATAAACAACCTAAAGATCACCTCAAGGAACTAGACAAGCAAAAACAAACAACACTCATAATTCAGATAAAGTATCTATCTGAACAATACAAAAGATTGAAGTAGCAAAAATTGCATTTTTGAAATAATAAATGAAATTAACAAAACTTTAGCTAGACCAAAGAAAAGAGAGAGGACTCAAATAAATAAAATCAGAAACAAAAAAGGAGATATTACAATGGATACCACAGAAATAGAGAATCATTAGAGATTATTATGAATAACTATATGCCAATAAATTGGAAAAACTAGGAAGAAAAAGATTAATTCCTGGGCCCTTACAACCTACCAAGATGAAACCAGGAAGAAATAGAAAACCTGAACAGACCAATAACAAGTAATGAGATTAAAACAGTAATAAAAAGTATCCCATCAAAGAAAAGCCCAAGATCTGAAGGATTCACTGTTGAATTCTACCAAACATTTAAAGAAGAATTAATGCCAATTCTACACAAACTATTCAAAAATCTTAAAGAAGAAGGAATACTTCCAAACTCATTCTATAAGGCCAGCATTACCAAGATACCAAAACTAGACAAATATACAATTAAAAAAGAAAACCACATATCAATTTCATTGATAAACATAGATGCAAAAATTCTTAACAAATATCATCAAACTGAATTCCACAACATATTTTAAAAGATCATTCCATCATAGTCAAGTGAGATTTATCCAAGAGATGCAATAATGGTTCAACATATGCAAATCAGTAAACTTGATACACCACACTGACAGAATCAAGAATAAAAATTGTATGATCATTTCAATAAATGCTTAAAAAGTATTTGATAAATTTCAACATTTTTTCCATGATTAAAACTCTCAACTAATTGGGTATAGAGGGAACATACTTCAAAAAAATGAAGGTGAATATGTGAAAAACCCACAGCTAACATACTGAATAAGGAAAAACTGAAAG
Source organism: Homo sapiens (assembly GCF_000001405.40). Classification (NCBI taxonomy): domain Eukaryota; kingdom Metazoa; phylum Chordata; class Mammalia; order Primates; family Hominidae; genus Homo; species Homo sapiens. The sequence goes on from NC_000001.11 coordinate 77,251,602, forward strand.
CCTTTCCTCTAAGATCTGGAACACAACAAGGATCCCCATTCTCACCACTTTTTCAATAGAGTACTGGAAGTTCTAGCCAGAAAAACTAGACAAGAGAAAGAAAATAAAGGACAACTAAATTGGAAAGGAAGAAGTCAAGTTATCTTTGTTCATAGATGACATGATTCTAGGTTTTGAAAACTTTGCAATTCCATGAAGAAACTATAATAACTAATAAACAAATTTGGTAAAGTTTCAGGATACAAAATCAACATATAAAAATTAGTAGCACTTCTACATGCCAGTGGAAACAATCTGAAAACAATCAATAAAGTAATCCCATTTATAATAGCAACAAAAAATTGAAATAGCTAAAAATAAATTTAACTGAAGAAATGAAACCTCTCTACAAGGAAAACTATAAAACACTGACGAAAGAAGTTATAGAAGACTCACAAAAAATGGAATGATATCCCATGTTCATGGATTGGAATAATCAATATTGCTAAAATGTCCATACTACCCAAAACAATCTACAAAGTCAATGCAATCCCTATCAAAACACCAATGATATTATTCACAGAAGAAGAAAAAAACAATTTTAAAATTTGTTTGGAACCACTAAAGACCCCAAATAACCAAAGCAAACCTGAGAAAAAGAACAAAGCTGGAGGTATTACACTGATTTCAGAATATACTGCAAGGCTATAGTAATAAAAACAGCGTACTGGCATAAAAACAGACACTTAGGCCCAATGGAACAGAATAGAGAACACAGAAATAAATCCACATGTTTATAACCAAATCATTTTTGACAAAGGTGCCAAGAACATACTTTGGGGAAAGAACAATCTCTTCAATACATGGGAAAGCTAGATATCCATATGCAGAAAAATAAAATTAGATTTCTATCCTTCACAATATTCCAATACCAAATATAAAGGGATAAAAGATTTAAAAATAAGACCTGAAACTATGAAATTACTAAAAGAAAACAGCGAGGAATCACTTCAGGACATTGGTGTGGGCAAAGATGTATGGGGTAAGACCTCAAAAGCACACACAATAAAACCTGGATATAGACAAGTTGGATTACATCAAGCTAAAAATGTTTTACATAGCAAAGAAAACAATCTATAAAGTTAAGAGACAACCTACAGAATGGAAGAAAATATTTGCAAAGCATCTATCTGAAAAGTGATTACTAAACAGAATATATAAGGAACTCAAACAACTCAATAAGAAAAAAACAAATAATTCAATTTTTAAAATGGGCAAATGATCTAAATAGACATTTCGCCAAAGCAGACATACAAATGGCAAAGAGGAATATAAGACAAGTGTTCAGTACTGCTCATCATCAGGGAAATATAAATCAAAACTACAGTGGGATATCATCTCACCCCGGTTAGAATGGCTATTATCAAAAAGACAAAAAATAACAAATGCTGGCAAGGATGTGGCGAAAGGGGAATGGTCATATACTGTTGGTGGGATAGTAAATTAGGCTGCCTCTATGGAAAACAGTATGGAAGTTTCTTCAAAAACTTAAAATTAATCCACAATATGATCTGCTGAGTATATAGCCAAAAAAGAAAGGAAATCAGTACACCAAAGAGATATTGGAGGAAGAAGCAAAGCAAGATGGCCAGATAGAACCCTCCAGTGATTGTCCCCACTGCAGGAATACCAAATTGAATAAATATCTTTGCAAGAAAACACCTTCATAAGAAACAATAATATGTTGAGCCTTCACAGTGCCTGGTTTTAATATGGTATCAAGGAAAGAGGAACTGAAAAGGATAGGAAAGACTGTCTTGCATCGGCTACACTACCCATCCCCCATCCTGGGAAATGCATGGAAAGAAAATCTATGTGCTTGGGGGAGGGAGAGTGAAGTGATTGTGGGACTTTGCATTGGAACTCAGTGCTGCCCTATCACAGAGGAACCCAGCACAGGGAAGAATTCTACCATTGCCCATGGAGGGAGAATATAGAATAGCCTCAGCCAGAGTAGAATCCTCTGCCCCAAAGAAGTTCCAGCTAGCTCCACCATGGACTCACTACAGTGACCTAGAGTCCTGAATATATTTGAAAGGCAGGCAGGCCACAAGGACTGCAGTCTCTAAGCAAGTCCTGGTGCTGCACTGGGCTCGAAGTCAGTGGACTAGTGGACTTGGGGTGCAGCAACCCAGTGAAACATCAGCTGCTACAGTTAAGGGAAGGCTTACATCACCCCTCCAAAAACTCCAAGCAGTACAGCTCAAGTCGACTCCTTCCACTTGCAGAAAAGAGAGGGAAGATTACAGAGGACTTTGCCTTGCAACGTGGGTACCAGCTCAGCCACAATGAACTAAAGCATCAGGCAGATTCCTGAAGCCCCTGATTCCAGGCCCTAGTTTCTGGACAAGCATTTCTAGACCCACCCTGTGCCAGAAGGCAACCCAATACCCAGAAGGCAAAGACCCAGTCCTGGCAGGATTCACCACCTGATGACTAAAGAACTGTTGGTCTTTGAATGAACATCAGTGATAGCCAGGCAGTAGTAACCATGGGCCTTGGGCAAGATATAGCAATATGCTGACTTCAGGTGTGATCCAGCACAGTCCCAGCTGTGGTGGCCAGGGAAGTGCTTGCATCACAACTTCCCCAACTCCAGGCAGCCCAGCATGGAAAGAGAGGCTCCTGTTTGGGGTAAGTGAGGGAAGAAAATGAGAGATCCTGCTTGGTAATCCAGGGGATTCTTCTGGATCTTACCCAAGCCCTCTTTGAGCCTGCAAGTGTCACAGTGTTACTGGGCTCAGGGTGCTCTCTAGTCCAGATACAGCTGCAGTGACCAGAGACTTAGATGACAACATTCAATTCTCTTTGAATATCCCAAAAGTCTTCTCAAGAAAGATTGGTACAAACAAGCCCAGACTGTGAATATTAGAATAAATACCTAATTCTTCAATGTCCAGGCATCAATAAACATCCATAGGCATCAAGACTATCCAGGAAAACATGACCTCACCAAACAAACTAAATAAGGCACCAGTGACCAATCCTGCAGTGACAGAGATGTGTGAACTTTCACACGGGGAATTCAAAATAGTTACTTTAAGGAAGCTCAACAAACTTCAAGATAATACAGACAAGGAATCCAGAATTCTATCAAAAATTTTTAACAAAGAGATTGAATCTTTTTTAAAAAATTAAGAAGAAATTCTGGAGTGGAAAAATTCAACTGACAAACTGAAAAATGCATCAGAGACTCTAAACAGCAGAATTGATTAAGCAGAAGAAAAAATTAGTGAGCTTCACGACAGGGTATATGAAAATATACGGTCAGAGGAGAAAAAATTGAAATGAATAAAAAAGAATGAAGCATGCCTACAAGATATAGAAAACAGCATCAAAAGGGCAAACCTTAAGAGTTATTGGCCTTAAAGAAGAGGTAGAGATATTGAGCTAGAAAACTTATTCAAATAAATAACAGAACTTTCCAAACCTGCAGAAAGATACCAATATTCAAGTATAAGAAGGTCATAGAACACCAGGAAGATTTAACCCAAATAAGACTATCTCAAGATATTTAATAAAACCTCAAAGGTCAAGGATAAAGGATTCTAAAGGCAACAAAAGAAAAGAAGCAAATAACATATAAAGAGCTCCAATGTGTCTGGCAGACTTCTCAGTGGAAACCTTATAGTCCAGGAGATAGTGGCATGACATATTTAAAGTGCTGAAGGAAATAAAATTTTTATCCTAGAGTAGTATATCCAGTGAAAATTCCTTAAAACATGAAGAAGAAATAAAGACTTTCCCAGACAAATAAAAGCTGGCTGATTTTGTCAACACCAGACCTGTCTACAAGAAATGCTAAAGGGACTCCTTCAATCTGAAAGAAAGGGTTGTTAATGAGCAATAAAAAATTATCCAAAGTTACAAAACACTGGTAAGAGTAAGTACACAGATAAATGCAGAATACTCTAACACTGTGTGGTGTATAAACCACTCATTTACTGAGTAGGAATACTAAAAGACAAAACTGTCAAATACAATAACTACAACAAAGTTTTAAGAGGCAGAGTGTATAAAAAGGTAAGAAACAACAAAATGTTTAAAAAGTCAGGGGGATGGAGTTAAAGTGTAGAACTTTTATTAGTTTTCTCTTTGCTTTTTTGTTTTTGTTGTTTTTCTGTAATCAGAGTTAAGCTGTTATGAGTTTAAAATAGTTATATCATTTACAAGCCTCATGGTAACCTCAAATTAAAAAAAACCTACAACAGATACACAAAAAATAAACAGCAAGAAATGAAAGCATACTACCAGAGAAAAATCACTTTTACACAAAGAAACCGGGAAGGAAGGAAAACCAAAAATCAACCAGAAAATAAATAAAATGGCATTAGTGCCATGTGATCCAGCAATCTCAATGCTGAGTTAGAAAAGATAGGAAATTGGTACATCCAAGAGATATCTGCACCCCCATGTTTATTGCAGCACTATTCACAATAGCCAAGATTTGGAATCAACCTAAGTATCCATCAACAGGTGAATGGATAGAGAAAATGTGGTACATATACACCAAGCTGGTCCAACCCATGGCCCATGGGCCACATGTGGCCCAGGATGGTTTTGAAGGCAGTCCAACACAAATTCATAAACTTTCTTAAAACATTATGAGATTTTTGTGTGTGTGTGTGTGTGTGTGTTTTTTTTTTAGCTCATCAGCTATCATTAGTGTTAGTGTATTTTAAGTGTGGCCCAAGACAATTCTTCTTGCAATGTGGCCCATGGAAGCTAAAATGTTGGACACCCCCAAATGGAATATTATTCAGCCTGTCATTTGCAACAACATGAACGGAACTGGAGGACATTGCGTCAGGCACAGAAAGACAAATTTTGCATCTTCTCATACATATTTGGGAGCTAAAAATTAAAACAATGGAACTCATGGAACTAGAAAGTAGAATGATGCTTACCAGAGGCTGGGAAATGTAGCAGGGAGTAGAAGAAAGACTGGGGATAGTTAATGGGTATAAAAATATAGTTAGAATAAATAAGATCTAGTATTTAATACCACAACTGGGTGACTTTATTTTTTTTTAAGTTCAGAGGTACATGTGCAGGATGTGCAGGTTTGTTACATAGGTAAATGTGTGTCAAGGGGGTTTGTAGTACAGAATATTTCATTAGCCAGGTATTAAGTAAGCCTAGTATCCATTATTTAGTTTTCCTGATCCTCTCCCTCCTCCCACCCTCCGAGAGGCCCCAGTATGCATTGTTCACCTGTATGTGTCCATCTGTTCTCATCATTTAGCTCCCACTTCTAAGTGAGGACACATGGTATTTGGTTTTCTGTTCCTACATTAGTTTGCTAAGGATGATGGCCTCCAACTCCATCCATGTTCCTGCAAAGGACATGATCTCATTCCCTTTTATGGCTGCATGATATTCCATGGTGTATATGTACCACATCTTTTTTATCCAGTCTATCGTTGATGGGCATTTAGGTTGATTCCATGTCTTTGCTATTGTGAATAGGGCTGCAATGAACACACACGTGCATGTGTCTTTATAAAAGAATGATTTCTATTCCATTGGGTATATACCCAGTAATGGGAGTGCTGGATCAAATGGCATTTCTGTCTCTAGGTCTTTGAGGGATCATCACACTATCTTCCACAATGGTTGAACTAATTTACACTCCCACCAACAGTGAAAAGCATTCCTTTTTCTCCACGACCTTGCCAGCATCTATTATTTTTTGACTTTTTAATAATAGCCATTCTGACTGACGTGAGATGATATCTCATTGTGGTTTTGATTTGCCTTTCTCTAATGATGAATGATGCACAACTGGGTGACTTTAGTCAACAATAATTTATTGTATATTTAAAAATAACTAAAATAGTAGAATTGGAATGGCACTAATATAAAGAAATGATGAATGTTTGAGGTGATGGATACTCCAATTACCCTGATGTGATTATTACACTTTGTATGCCTATATCAAAACATCACATGTACCCCATAAATATATATACCTATTATATACCCACAATAATTAAAAATCCATTTTTTTAAAAAAACTGGTGCAGTGGCTCATTCCTATAATCCTAGCACTTTTGGAGGCCAGGGTGAGAAGATCACTTGAGATCAGGAGTTCAAGACCAGCCTGAGCAACATAGCAAGACTTTGCCTCTAAAAATAAAAATAAAAAATTAACCAGGTATAGTGGTAAGCACCTGCAGTACCAGCTACTTGGGAGGCTGAGGGAGGAGGATCACATGAGTCCAGAAGTTAGAGGTTGCAGTGATCTATGACTGCACCACTGCAATCCAGCCTCAGCAACAGAGTGAGACCCTGTCTCTATAAAATTTTTTTTTAATTTACAGAGGTATCTGCACTTCCATGTTTATTGCAGCATTATTCACAATAGCCAAGATGTAGCAGCAACCTAAGTGTCCATCAGTGGATAAATGGATAAAGAAAAAGTGGTATATATACACAATGAAATATTATTCAGCCATAAAAAAGAATGAAATCCTGTTATGTGCAGCAACATAAATGGAAGTGGAGGACATTTTGCTAAGTGAAGTAAGCCAGACTCAATAAAATAAATATTGCATGTTCTCATTCATATGTGGAAGCTAAAATGTTGATATCAAGAAGAAATAAGCCAGATTCAATAAGACAAATATTGCATGTTCTTATTCACATGTGGAAGCTAAAATGTTGACATGATGAAGATAGAGAGTAGAATGATGGTTACCAGAGGCTGGGAAGGGAAGGGGCAAAGGGGATATGAAGAGAGGCCGGTTGATGGGTACAAACATACAGTTATATAGAAGGAATAAGTTACGGTGTTTGATAGCACAGCAGAGTGACAAAAGTTAATAATTTATTGCATATTTCTAACTAGAACAGAAGATTTGGAATGTTCCTAACACAAAGAAATGATAAATGTTGGGGGTGATGATTATCCTAATTATCCTGATTTAATCATCATGCATTGTATGCTTGTATCAAAATATTACATATACTCCATAACTATATATAATTATTATGTATCAATAAGATAAATAAACAAATAATAAAATCAAATTGGAAGTAAGTGTATATTTTCCAAAGGGAAATGGGGGAGGGGGTATGGTGGAGGTACTTCAGATATCTGAAAAGACAGATGTCCAAAAGCAAAAAGTAGTGGAGAGGTGGTAATTAGACCAATTTAGTGGACTGGCTAAAGGTTCTTTTATGAATGTTGTTGGCAGTAAAGCTAGAAAGCTCATTAGTGACAGAACACAGAAGAGCTTACATGTAAGACTGAAGATTTTTGTTTATTCTCCTGCAATATACAAACATGTTGTATACTGTATATATACATGTTGTATATACAAACATGAGGGATCCGCACAGACTAGGAAGTAAGGAAGACAAAGAACCAAACTACCATTAATGTGAGGATGGTGTGCAGTAGATTGCGGGCAGCAAGGCAAGTTCGTCTGAAGCCTTTTCCCAGTTAGAGAGAGGTCAGGTGAGAACTAGTCTCTATCAAGTGGAAGTTTCATCAATCAAGTCACATCTAGAGTTGGGACAAGAGACTGAAAAACAAATACTCTGTGAGACACTTAGACCCAGAGCCAGGCTAGAACACCCAAAATCTATTTACCCATCTAAAAAGCAAGTTGAAATGTGGAAACCAAGGTGTAGAGCCAAAACAGGGTAAAAGTAACCGAGAGATCCAGCCAGGATGGACAGGGCAGAAGGAGGCAACAGTAGGAAATTCCTAAGTCAGAGTGCAACTACTGGGCTAATAGGCTGCCACAGGCCCTTGGGGAGAGTCAGAATGCAGATGGGGTTGCAAATATAAGAGATATTTCAAAATAATAATGCATGAGATTTGATGACTGTTAGAAGCCAAAAGCAAGAATAATTGTCAACACCGTGACCAGAAAAATGGGGAGGAAAGTGAGAGTTAGTTTTGAAAGGTGGGGAGAAGATGAAGAGTATGTTTTTGGACACGTTACTTTGAGGTGATGATAGGCCCTAGTAAAAATGTCTTCATGGTCATTGAAATGTGAGATTGGAGGTCAGGATGGTAACCAGGCATTAGTTTGTATAGATATACCACAGGATCGTATAGAAATGCTTGAAGTTTCAAAAAGACAGAGGGTAAGAAGGGAGAACAATCAAGAGCCAAAATCAGAATCTCACTGTTTGGGACAAAACAGAGAAAAAAAAGTAGAAACAGAGAAAAAAGAAGCGACTGAAGTGACTGAAGAGGTAAGAAAAAACTTAAAGCAGACTGATGAAAAAGGTAGGAAGAAAATTAAAATAGATGAAGGTAGTAGAACCTGGAGAGGAATATACAAATGGCAGTGTTCACTAGGTCAGAGTAGATGCCGTGGGATAATAGCTTCAGGTACTCACCAATGTGTCTTCCAGTCCCTTCTACATCCTCATCCTCTGCCCATTCCCTAGCACTTCCTCACATAAGTAGCTCCCACTACTTGGTCAAGACATCATTGCCTCCAGGGGGTAGCAGAAAGAAATGGTCAACACTCATATTTTGAATTTCAAACTAGGCTCTTGAAGTTAATAGGTTTTTGAGTTTTAAGAGACTGAGCTGTAGAACTGAGGTCTGGGATTTCTTCTTATAAAGAGCCAGAGTAATACGCACTTGCCGTCCTCTCAGAAGTTTCAAGAGCAGAAGGAGAAAGCTTAGTCCCTGACAGGTCCATATGGAAGGTCTTTTTCCGGCCCACTCCAAGAACTGGTCTTCGGGAAGTGTGGTGGATACCAGGCCCACCATAAAACTTTGGGGGATTTCCATAAAGGAATTTGTGTCTGCTTCATATCTGCAACTCTGAAAATGAAACACAGATGACCTCAAAGAAGTGCTTTGAACACAATGAGAAGAAGTAGTGGGACAGATAGCCTGATGGCAGCTCTGGGTTGTTCATAGCCCCAAAGAGGGATGAGGCTGACCAAACCTTCCCTTCACTCCAGAGAATAACTTATACAAAGGAAACAGCGAGAGGCCCAAATATCTTATAGTCCATGAAGACCACATCTGAAGATACCAATGTGGACTGTGCAAATAGGAAACCAGATGCAGACCCAGTGTATGTGAGCATGCACAATTACCAGCCACCTCAGTAAATTCCAGAGCAGAATTCTCTGCGTATCCAATGCCATAATGCCATATGCGATGCCCCCAGTCCCTGCCCCCTCGCTAAAAGAGATGCCATCCTGGGAGAAGGGAAGAAAAGAAAGTGCTCTGAACTGGACTACATTTAAACCTAAATAATTGGGAAATTACTGTATTCTCCTGAGTTTACCTCAAGTAACAAGATAAAGCTTTCTGCCATCAGGAGGAAACAGGAGCTAGAAGTAGAAATGAAATTTAGTTATGGGAAAATAAAGTGAGTTGCCATTTTTGCACACATGAATTTGTGTCTGTGAAACTTGTATCTGCTACACATACAAGCCTAACAACTATTTTGATCCATGAAAAATCACAATATTCTATTTTTGATAGAGACAAAAAAAGGCAAAAAATGCTAAAAAAAATTAAGGACAAAATTGTGCCTAAGCAATATGTAACAGTGCTGCAGCATTATATATAAGGTTATGGGTGTTGGTGAAAAATAAATTTGCATTCTGTTGTATATAATTGATACATTCACTTAGTTTTTTATTACTGCTCTTCCAGCGATGGCTATAAAGGGTAGCAAATATCATTTGTACAGCTTAAGTATATGAAATACCATTCAATTTCTATTCTATGAATATATAAATGGAATCTCCCAGAAACAAGTCAATAGAATGTTTTTGAAATTACTTGAACAAAAGATCAGTTTTTACCTCAAAATATCATATCGTGGAAGAAGGTGCTTTTAAAAATTTATTCATTATTTCATCTGAGGGATGTAAGTAAAGTGTAGTGTAATTTAGACTAATGAAAAAAGCTTTATAAAGAAAATCTAACTCCATTTACTACTCTGAATTAATGTCATAGAATACTTATTAAGATAAAAGGAGCAGTGTGCTACTTCAGTGTCAAGCAGTGTTAGATTTAATCAATTTCAGATGTATACAACCCTGGCTTTCCCAGGCACCCCAACCAGATAGCAGAGAGGCAAGGGGGTGAGTATAGCAAAACTAGGTAATGAATGTAGTCTTTGGTGCTGAACTTTTACCCAGCAGAATTACTGAAATTAATCGGTTTTGCACTGCAAAATTTCTCAGGAACCTCAACTCTCTTCTATTTTAGTGTTAATTCCTTTATCAGACAGGGGACTTACTGAGAGGTTCAGGAAGTCTTTGTTCCCCACTGTTTGCTCAAGAGTTCTAGTCTTACCATGCCATTATCAATCTAGATAGATCCTGTCTAAATTTCTGATTAGTCCTTTCAGGTGTCCATTACAGAAAACCCATAATGGGTATGTGGATTAGTTCTACTTCTAGGTGCTTCCTATAGTAGACAAAATGTATTAACCCTAAAATACAAAAGGCATTTCCACTGCAGAAACCCAAAATCCATTCTCTGGCACATGCCATGATACATGATTTATCAAAGCCTAGAAAGCTCATGCCTGCCAGGGGGCTCTCAGAATAAGACCACCATGCTCTCAGCCTCTATTTATCCAATGGCAAGAGTAAGGAGTGGAGGCAGAAAGACTTATGTCCTCTTGAACTCACAGTCCATCATCAGCAAACTCTTATTTTCTCAGTCTCTTCTGTCAACATTTCTCTCACCTTCTTGCTTTACTGTAAACTTGGCTCTCCCCAGAGCCCTCTCATGTGGTAGCTGTTTTTCTTTCATATTCTGAAAATATTATGCCTGCAGGTAACACAGAAGTAGGCGTCCTCCTTTTTTCACTCCAAATAATTCTCTTTTCATCCTCCCTAAAACTCTCTAACTTTGAATCTCATATCACCTGACTAGACAATACCATTGCCTCTTCTTGTTGCAGGCATCCACCAGATTTCAATTACAGATCATGGTCACCCTCTTCAACATTATTACTGTCTTAATTCTTAGTGATTTCAAAATCCACATAGATGATCCTTCCAATACTCTAGCCTCTAACTTCCTTTACCTCCCCTTCTCCAGGATCCTGTTTATCACCACCATTGCTCATTCTTATGGTATATCTTAGACTTTAAAATTACCAAAAATTGCAACTCTTCCTTAACCTAAATTTCCACCATCCGTCTTCCCACCGCCATCTATTTACCTTCCCTCCCCTCCTATCTCCTGCCCTCCCCTCCCCTCCCCTCCCCTCCCTTTCCCTTTCCTTCCCTTCCCCTCCCTCCCCTTCCCTTTCCTTCCCTTCCCCTCCCTTCCCCTCCCTTCCCCTCCCCTCCCCTCCCCTGTCCTCTCCTCCCCTCCCCTCCCCTCCCCTTCCCTTCCCCTCCCCTCCCCTCCCCTTTGCTGACAGTCTCACTCTGCATCCAGGCTGGAGTGCAGTGGCACAATCTCTGCTCACTGCAACCTCCTCCTTGTAGGCTCAAGTGACCCTCCCATACAGCCTCCCAAGTAGCTGGAACTACAGGTGTATGCCACTACACAAGGCTAATTGTTGTATTTTTTGTAGAGACAGGATCTCATTTTGTTGCCCAGGCTGGTCTCTAACTCCTGGGCTCAAGTAATCTGCCTGCCTTGGCCTCCCAAAGTGCTAGGATTATAGGCATGAGCCACCACACTGCCGCTATTTTTCTTAGAACCCTGTCTCCAAAGGTAAGATTTCTGACCATGTCAAAGCCAACAATCTACTGACTCTGCCACCTTTTCACTTTCCCTCACCTCATCAAGGTCCTCACAGCCCTCTTCCTGTAACTTAACGTCTGTGTTCAATTATTATAATCAGTCCTCTTGTATTCATGCTTACTTCATCATGCTTCAGCATACAGCTTACATGCTTGGCTAAAGCCTAAACCTTGTTAAATCCAACTCTTGATTGATAACATGGTCACATCCCATATCGAATCCATTATCAAACATGTCTTCAGAATATAACCTAAATACAACTGATTTTTATCACCTCCACCATCAACAGCCTGGTTTTTATCACCTCCACCATCAACACCCTGATCTAAGCCACCATCATCTCTCTCTGGATCATTGTAATAGCCTCCTGGTTTCTCTGCCCTTGATCCCTAGACTCTGTGCTCCAAACAGTAGCCATAGTCAATCTGTAAGTCAGATCATGTCATTCCTCTGCTCAAAACACTCCAATCACTTCCATCTCACCCAGAGTAAAAGCTAAAGTCTTCAGAGTGACCTACAAAGGCATATCAAACAAATATTTGCAGTAAGTAAATATTTGTTGAATGAATGAACATGTATGCATAAGGGACCATTCAAAAACTCATCCATAGCATCTGGGGATGCCTTCTCTGTGCTCTCCTCCCTTCAAGGCTAAGAACTGCAGACTCAAAATGCATCTGACAGGCTCAAAATTGACATCTGATATACCCTCCAGACCATTAGTGGAATTTTTTTTTTTTTTAATTCGACTTGAACTCTGTGAGGTCAAGATTCAGATGTTTACTTTTATAGCCTTATCACTTAACATGGTGCCTGGCTCAGAGTAGACATGCATATATTTGCTGTGTACACTGCAAAATAAGATATGTTGGGGAGGAAAGGATCTATGTAGAATTGGCAAACCTGCCCAGAGTGGTTGGAGAAATTTAGGAACCAACATTATATAAATAAATCCCTGTCGCTACTCCTCCTAAAGAGTACTGCAAAAAACTCTCACCTGAGAAAGATCTTCATCAGAAATTAGCAACTGCAATTTGAAGGGCCTACCCCTATGAATTTCCCATTGGGATCCACATCTGAAATTCTAGTCTGGTTTCTCTGTCCTTGATCTTTTAATCTGTGTGGAACTTCTTCCAGTTGGCAGTACAAAACAAACTTCCTGTACGTCAGTGTCAGTTGCTTTAGAGGATAACTGCCTACTCTTTTGGAATGACCCATTGGCTTCTCCAAAATGAATTTCATCTCTGTTACACAGTCTGTATTTTAAACCAACCCATCTTAAATGAATTCCTCTCAAGTGTGATGGAATATCGCCTAGGTATTTTTGTATGATATGGTAACAGAGACAAATAGATAGAAACTTCATTCTATTTACATAAAATAAAAGCATATGCTTTTATATTTATAGATACTTTCTGTAAAGAAAAATAAGACCCTACTAATAGTAGGTACCCTTTGGCAATGGGATAAAATGTTGGCATAGAAGGTGAAAAAGTAGAATTTTCTTTTTCACTTCTATATCTTTTGAAATTTTAAATCCTTGAGTCTATATTCTTGATTTGTTAATTCTTTATTCAACAAATATTTATCAAGCATATAATGTGGGCAAGGTGCCTACTTGGCTAGACCAAAAGATAACTATCATTCAGCAGAAAATATAATTTCAACAATAAAAATCATTTAGTGTGCATGGACACTGGAATGTATGAGAGGAGAGGAAGAAATCCCAGGATACGAAGAACAAGATTCTAAATTCAGTTTAGCAGAAGTTCCAGAAGCCAATAGATGTTAGTGAATATTTACCTGCTGCCACTGATGTGGGGTAGTAGCTTGAATTTCTTCATTCACCCTTCACAGTGACATGGAATGTCAGGCTAGCATCTAGCCTGTGCTAGACCACATGCTGGATTCTTCTTTTGACCTAATGGAGTAAGGGGCCACCTGCTGCTCCAAGGAGGCAGGGGGACTCATGGTTCTCCTGCAACCAAACCCTGCTATTGCGTCTCCTTCAGCTTTACTGGGAGTTTTCACCTCCTGCAGATTCTCAGCACACAGGGCATACATACTATATCAGCTGGATTTACACTTTTCTTTTCCCCTAGAATAACACACAGAGGGGAAGGTCAAACTCTCATTCAATGGTGCCTTTTCCCATTAAATCCTCACAGCAGGTGTGCAGAGGAGCTCAATATCATCCCTCCCAGCCACACTTAGTGGTCACTTCTGCTTCTCAGCCTGCATGTCCTTGCTATCTGAACTCCTCTTCTCCTGCTAAAGCCCCTGCCTAGAGTTCTCTTCAATTTGGGAAGAAAGTTGTATTATTTGTATATTTTGAAAATAGCTTAAATTAAGAAAAATCCTGAATTAATCTTTATAGAAATTCTGCAGATGTACTTTGTTTCTGTGTTGCCTTGTCCACTGGTCTCACTGAAGCCACTTCACAATAATAATAACAGCTAACATTTAATGAACACCAATTCAAGCTTTGCATGTATTAACTCATTGAATACTCACAACAACTCACTACAGTAGTACTAATTTTATCCGCATTGTTCAGATGAGGAAATTAAGGTATTGAGAGCTTGAGTCACTTGCCAAAGAGCATACGTGACTTGCTATAAAGGGCAGAGCCGGGATTTAGATCCCATCCATCAGACTCTAGAGTCTGCCTTCTTAACTAGTATACACTGCTTCTTCTTATCCAAAAATTAAAAAGAGATTTTTCTAAGAATAAAAAATAATGAAGTGGACTTTAGTTCATTGCAGGTTTTCAAAGTAAAATTTTGGCCAGCTAGTTTCTATTCCACATTGGTTAAAATACAATGACATATATATTACAAACAAATTAGTAATAAAAAAAGATCCCCAAATCCTGCACAGGGGTGCAGGACAGTTGTCTCGGTGAACCTGGTTTGTGAAATTGGCACAGAGAGAAGGGTCTGGTCTGGCAGAATCATGGCTCTAGGGCAAAGAAAGATGGGCAATACCACCCATACCCAGCCCAGAGGAGAGACACCAACCTGGGGCAACAGGGGCTGTACATGAAGCTGAATGATCTATGGAGAAGAAAGGGTGATGAGTGGGATGTAGAAACAGGATCTTGCTATGTTAACCAGGCTGGTTTCTAACTCCTGGCCTCAAACAATTCTCCTGCCTCAGCCTTCCAGAGTGCTGGGATTACAGGCATGAGCCACCATGCCTGGCCTGGAACTTAGCTTCTTACTGGGAGAAGGCCATCCAATAGAAACTATAAACAACAAACTGTCAAACTGTATAGTTTGTTAGGTAGTGATCAGCAGTATATAGAAAAATAAGACAGGAGAGAGGAATAGGAAGTTCTGGGGCAGTCAGGGAAAGGAGGTTTACAGTTTAAAATAAGGTTGTCAAGGAAGGGAAGGAACCACCGAGAAGAGGACATTAGAGCAAAGGCATGAGGAGGTTAGGGAATAGACCACATGGTAATTTGAGGGAAGAGCAGTCCAGGCAGAAGAAACAGCAAGTGAGAGGCCCTGAGAAAAGAACATACCTGGAGGGACCTGGGAATCACAGGGAAGCAGAATGAAGAAGGCAGAGAAGGATGGGAATAGTAGGAGATAGGTCATGAGGTTAGAACAAAGGAGTGGAGAAGTATAGTTGTGTGTGTGTGTGTGTGTGTGTGTTTAAGGGTGGGTTACATAGGGCACTTTTGGCCACTGTAAAATAATTTTGGGTTTTTCTCTGATGTGTGATGGGTTTTGAGTAAAGAATGACAGGATTGGACTTAATTTTTGACAGCACCACTCTAGTTGCTGAGTTGAGAATAGAGGCAGGCAGCAGAAAGTGAAAGCAGGGAGACCAGCAGGAGGCTACTGCAAAAATGCAGGTGAGAAATGATGGTATTTGGATCAAGGTGGTGGTAATGATGATGGTGAAGAGAAGTTAGATTCTGGATACGTTTTGAAGCTACAGTCAACAGGATGTGAGTGATGAAAGAAAGATTCAAGAATAACCCCAAACTTCTTCTGGCCTAGGCAACTGGCAGAATTCACTTGCCATTAACAGAGGTGGAAAAAACTTCATAAGGACTAGGAGAAGAGGGGATGATCAGGAAGTTGATTTAGGAATATTAAATTGGAGGTGCCAATTAGACTTTAGAGTGGAATTAACAAGTAGGCATTGTATACAAGAGTTTCTGTAGTTTGAGTAAATGTCTAGGCTGAGGACATAAATTTCTAAAGACTAAGGGCATATAGATGGCATATAAAGCCATGAGGCTGGATGAGATCACAAAGGGAGTAAGTCCATACAGAGAAAAACAAGGTGTCCAAGGGCTGAGTGCTGGTGCCTTTCACAATTAGCAGTCAGGGAGATGAAGAGGAAGCAATGAAATAACAAAAAAGGAACCATCAGCGAGGTAGAGAAAAATGTGGGATGTATTATTCTGCTGACACTTGAGTTTATTGCTAATTTGAGTATTAGACTTCTACATGATTCATATATTGATAATGTAAATCAACAACTGATTCTGAACTCCATCTGATTTTTTTCATCTGCTTTTAAAAAAGCAAATATGACAAAAAGACAAGGTGAGGCAGAGCCTATAGCTAGAAAGCACTCAGTGCTCATAGATGAGTGGGGAAGAGGGACTGACAACAGAACATTTGAATTTGCAGGTGCCTCAGAACATCCGGGAGTATGATTGCTATAGTTGTAACATAGAAGAGAGTCATTGTAATCACAGGCAGCAGAAACATCGGGGCAGTATTGAAATTGTGAGTACACATGATTAGGAGATCAGATCTGAACTAAGAAAATTCAGACAGAAATATTTTTATTTAAATAATAAACGATAGATATCTAGGTATAGGAAATATCTGGATGCTTTACAGCTTCTCTATTTTCATATCGATGGTGTGGGTTTGCGTACATTATGTCATCCTGAATTAAGAAGCTTGAATGATGTTTGTTTTTGCTGTTTTTTATTTAATGGATGTTAGTAAACATCTTTTTTGGTGTAGAGAAATGCTATGGATAAATAGGAAAAATAAATTACCAGAAACAAAATCTCAGTATCCTTTGTTATTTACGTGATTATAGAATTGGTAAATTATACTATTTTAGGAATACATTCTTGTTATTTGTTATTCTTTTCACAAATAGCCTGTTTTCTCCATACTTTTTCCATCTAGACATGTACCTATTCAGCTCTTTAGAAGGAATTAAAATAATTTTTTGATGTTTCAGGACAAAATACTCCTACTAGTTTGGAGGAGAACTGGGAGCTAAAAATAATCTAATTGGCAACCTTTTGAGAATTAAATAAAAAATTCTCATCTCTCCATTTCCACTGTCTAAAAAACAAGTCTCAAGGATTTCATTAATGTCTAAAGTTTATTTTCACATTTTATTTTTATTTATTTACCTATGATTTATTAAGGAAGTATATTTTAGCTTAAAGATTCTACAAAGTAATACCAATAACAAACAGACTTTAACCTCAGTGTGGTTCTTGGCAATGCAGGCTGTCTATAATATATAGTAGGAAAATTGGCTAAGAGATTCATCAAAACTTATTCATACAAAGCAAATAGTAAGCAGGGACCAGAGATTCTGACTTCCCTGTTATAGAAAAAGTAAGACTTGCGAGAAAGGTGGGGGAAAAAAGAAAAAGAAAAGTAACACAGCCACAGCATATAGTAATCATACTAATAGTAATTGCCATTGTTTGTGTGTCAGGAACTGTATTTGAACTCTGTGCACGTTATTTTTAATCCTTATACAATCCAACAGGGTAGCTATTATTTTATCTTTTCTAAAGATAAAGAAATTGAGGCAGATAGATTAAGCAATGTGCCCAAGACCACATACATAATAGGTGACAGAACTGAGAAATGAAGCTGCTCTACTTCATTTCAAAATAGGCTCTATCATAGATCGTTTTTCTGCATCACACTACTTCTACAATACATTGCTTCTTAAAACAATGTAATTATTCAGACTTTTTGTGATCCAATTTTTTCTTTACTCAATGTGTAGGGAGTCAGAAATCCAGACTTGAAAACCCAGCTATACAACATCAATATACATACTTTATTTTGTTTATGACCATTCTAGACTTCCCCTGAACCCCTCATTCATTGTCTTAAAGCTTAGTGTCATATAATCATTTAAATACCCATTTGGGTAGTACTCAGTCTTAGATAAACATATATCAGCTCTTAGGCGGCCTTCCCTTGCCTCCCTTCCTGAAATCATCATCATGTGATGAGGGCAAGATGTGGCCTGGTGAGGATGTGACAGAAAAAACTTCTCAGACACCAGATCCTCTGCCTCCTCTGGTCTGCTGGATGATGTCCTTTGTTTAGCTGTTGCTTGACCTAGAGCTATTAGAACCCAAGATCTGAAGCTCATACAATTCATGATCTGGAATCTACTGGCTTAGTTAGGGGTCAGTCTCCCCAACTAACTCTGCCTCATCTCAGGGAAGGGAAAGGGATGAATGTATTCTTACTAGACTACCCAGGGTTACTGGATTGATGCAGTCTTTCCTGGATGTAACCACTGTGCTCTTTTATGACTGCTTCCACCAGTGTGGTGGCAGAGTTGTTGTCCCCTTTCTGTGATTTTCACCATTGATCCAGCTTCTGACCTACTGTCTCAGTATGGGATGAGTGGGGACCCAACAGACTCAGATCCCTAAAACTCTCCATGGTCACTGGTGGTACTTTGTGAGACTGGGCCTGCTCAGTTGGAGAATACCTATTTAGCATGAGGCTACATCCTTTTTATGCAGGGCCCCTTCCTTTCATGCTGCAGCAATCCCCAGCAAGCCTGTGCTCCCTCCCATCTCATAGACTCTCTGCTGTATCTCTTGGGAGTAGTGAGCTTGCAGGGAAAGTTCTTCTCTCAGACCACCTGGCTTACTACAGTGATACCATCTCTTGCCAGTGATCTCTCCCTCACTCCAATAGCCCTAGGGCAGAACAGCAAGCCCTGGGTCCGCAGACAACCACCAGGATTTGAGATGTCAGACTTTTCTTTTCTTTTTTTTTTTTGAGATGGAGTCTTGCTCTTTCGCCCAGGCCGGACTGCAGTGGCCTATCTCGGCTCACTGCAAGCTCCGCCTCCCGGGTTCACGCCATTCTCCTGCCTCAGCCTCCCGAGTAGCTGGGACTACAGGCGCCCGCCACTACACTCGGCTAATTTTTTGTATTTTTAGTAGAGACGGGGTTTCACCGTGTTAGCCAGGATGGTCTCAATCTACTGACCTCGTGATCCGCCCGCGTTGGCCTCCCAAAGTCCTGGGATTACAGGCGTGAGCCACCGCACCCGGCAGAGATGTCAGACTTTTCTTCTGCCAGCCCGTCCACAAACTTTAGGAGGGCATCTCTTGGCCTACCTTCCTTCAGCTTCAAGAAAGGGAAGCATTTGAGTGTTTCCTTCTTTCCTCCATGAAAGAGGAGGAGATAATCCCTAAAACACTCTACTCTCCCAGTCCCCCGGGGCTTCTTATCTTTCTCACTGGTAAAGATCATCAGTTCAGTTTGGCTTCTTTCACCTGGGAATAAACCAGAAGTCTCTTACCAAGAACAGGGCCTCTGTTAAAACTGAGCACTACAAACTTCAGTAATTTTATTCTCAATCAGGTGTTATCTCTTATAACCCCACACTATTTGTCACCTGGAGCTGGAAAAGGTCTCCCATAATACTTCACACTGTCCTGTTAGTCATCCAAAATGATGTCAACTCATTTAAGATTCAAGACATTTTATTCATTTTTCTTCAATTCTTAATATAACTGTGTTTTTGTTTGTGTTTTTTTGTTTGTTTAACAGATTTCTTTCATTTCCCTTCATGTGGTGGTTTCCATTATGGTCACTGAAAGTTTGAAAATTTATAAAATAACTGCCTTCTGATCATTGTTACTGGTATTTTTTAAGGAATAATTTTAATCAGATGCCCTTTGTACAAAACACAGTTTTTCACAAAGCAAGCACAGAATCATAAAACTCAGGTGTAAAAGAGATGTTACACATCAGCTGAACCAAATTTCTTCTTTTACAAATGAGAAAACTAAGACTCAGAGGGTTAAGTAATTTGGCCAGTGCCATATTGCTAGTTAATTAGCAGGGTTTGGTCAGGACTCCCTAGTCCTTCAGAACACATATAAATCTTGTAGCTGGAATTATTTGTGTAATTGTGAATGTACAGTCTGACTTACTCCACCCCCAAACACACATACACACACACACTTAAGCTCTTTCCAGGGAGGAATTATCTGTTTTGTTCTCTGCTGAATCCCCAGTGCCTATCACAGGCTCTTGAATATAAATATCTGTAAAATAAAGGAATGAATGAATGAGTGGATATATTCAACAGATATGTGTGCAGATACTACTATTATGTAGATAGCAGTGCTTGGTTTGGGAGATGTAAAGATGAATAAGACAGGGTCCTGAAGAGAGGCGGACACAGAAACCAAGGGCACAGGAGCCCAGGGGAATGATTCATTCTGGGAAATTGTGTTTCTTCTGGTCCTGCATTGGGAAGACAGCTCTAAGGAATATGTACAGAGAGCTGCAGCCCTGAAGACCTTCATCACCTCCTGCAAGATCCAGCACATAGATCTCCACTCAAGACCTTGCACACTATTTCCTCTTAGACAATTGCATATTGCATTTCTGTTCTGTTTTATTCTAGAAGAGTGGCTCATAGTAAGTTAAAAATATACCAATGTGTCCACAATTTCAGTGGAACAGATGACTCACAGTTCAAATCACATGAAGGGAAATGATTATAAGTCAGCTGTGAACTTATTGGTTCCAGAATAATTTAAGGCACTAGCCTGCCTAGTTCAATGAAGACACTGGTGGAATTTTTTCCATATGTGGTTCATAATCACATGTAGAATTGATTTCCCAGTCTCCTCAGGAGCCTTTTGATGTTGCTATGTGGTGCTATAACATTAGAGAGGCTATGTAATAGTCAGGTTCAATATTTTTTCCATCAGTGAGGGCACCAAAGGAGAGAGATCAGGTTCCTTCTTTTCTGTGTTCACATTCAAACTTCCAGTCATGGGGCTGTGAAGAAGGGAGTGCTCTCAGCTCATAATAGCCACTCAACAAATTATTACCAGATCCTATTTTCCTAACAACTAATGAGAAAGTGGTATGTGCCACTAAAAAAGAATGGTGAACACTTCCCCAGGGGCATAAGTTATGCCCATCTATTAGATTTACCTTCTCTCAGGAGGATGCCCAGGTTGGGCACTCCACCCTATGACTGAGGTAAAGGTGAAGGTGCAGCTGCTATATGTAGAAACGGTTAAAATAGGAAACAAGTTTATATCACCAGTTCCCTCGTGCTAATTTGGGTCAAGTATTTCAATGTGAAATGTCTCATATAGAAATTTAGCAGTGGGCAATGGCAATCAGCAGACTGTTTTCCAAGGGTCATTTGGGTAATATAAGCCTTCTGTATAGAGTAAAATAACTAAGAATGCTGGTTAAATGAAGATAACAGATAAATAAAGAAAAAATGCATATCAAATCTTAGAGAATATGGGAAATATGCAGCAGAGATATTCAATAAAAAATCTTTTGTTAATAAAAGATATACAATTCTAGAGAACCTGGAAAGTAAAAAATAAGTTCTTTGGCAGTATTAACAACAACAAAAAGGGGGTATTTATGCTATATAGTGTGTTTTGGCTGGTAGAGAGAGATAAAATGACCAAGATCTTGAAATTCAATGTCTAGAGGTGCTAAATCAACAGTGTTTTAAAACTCCTGCTAATGACCAATGCAGAAACAATACAAGAAAGCAAACAAAAAGACCTTTTGCTTCAGTGCATAGAGTATGAAAGTATATCTGTGAATTGGGATTAATACGGTAGAGTTGTTCACAGAGTTCATTGGAATCATTTGTACATATTCATATGTAAACTCATATTATACATAATTCAGAGTAGAGATGATAGTTTCTCCTGTGAGAGGAGGTATGATTAGCAGTATCGGTGGACATGTAAAACTATCTGCAACTGTCTACTGGTTTGGTTCCAGTACCTGTGCTCCTTGCCTAGTTGTTGATGACTGCCATGAAATTGGCGATAGTTCACCATAAAATCATATTTACTCCTCAGAGAGCCTAGGCATTTAGTAGAGATCAATGACATTTACTAATATTTGCACAAACACAGAAAGTGATTTTGGTAATAAATGATTTAAATTATTATGTATTCTCAAAGTCCTTGAAATCAAACTTTCTAACAACAATGAGTACCAAATTGCTTCTATAAATATATTTTTTATGAAGATTCAACATATTTATTGGATGAGTGGTCTAATGGCATATGAAGCAAATTAGATTACAGCGAAATCCACTCTTCATTCAATAATTAAAACATTCCTAAGCTCTAGATGCTAACATATTTTCAAGTATTCAAGACTTTAGAGAGATGGTTCAAACAAAAATAAGCCAACAAACCCATGTTTACTAAGAACCAGGGTAACAAATACAGCTTAAAAACACCCACTTTGAAGGTGCACATAAGGACTTATATCAGCTGGTTTTTATATCTGGTTCATTATCACCATTTCCAATTTGCTTTAGAATCAGCTTCCTGAAGAGAATGAGAAGGTAAATGTGGGGAAGTAGAAGTAGCAAGGGCTGACTGAGGGCTGGCCATGGAGAAAACTGATCATCCCTTTTCCACACTCCCTTAGGTTCTTTTCATTTCAAAGTGAAGATTGCATCACCACATCTTTCTCAAGCTCAAATGACAAACTATTGCTACAGTTATAATGTTTTTGATGCACTGATATTAATTACCATTCTTATTCTAGTACTCCATGTACCTTGCTTCATAAAAGCATATTTTTAAAAAATGCTGCAGGATTTTATGGGAAGCAGTTATTTCATGATGCAGAAGCCAAGAAAGCTTTATGAAGAAGATGATATTTCAACAAGATCCTTGAAGCAGGAAGAATTTAGCCACGCAGAACTGGGGAGGTATTCCAGGCAGACAGACTACTCAGAGCATCAGACAAGTGCACCCAATCAATTCAACGTGCATTTACAACGAGGGAGAGGGAGTAATGGTTAATGAGGATCAGGGTCTTCAATGATAGATTAAGAAATTCAGTAGGCAATGAATTGGAATTTGGAGGCTGAGAATTAGATTTAGTTTCAACTCTGCACTTACCAGCTCAATTAACCCTCACAACAATTCAGTGAGCTAGGGATTAATATGCTCATTTTCATAAAGGAGAAAACTGAGGCTTGGACTCGTTAGTAAATTGTGGACATCAGATAGCTGAGTAAGAATGAGACAAGGCTAGAAATTATGACTCCACAGCCTATGCTGTTTCTACTCTGTTTTTATAGTCTCTCTGGTTTAGTAGCCTTTTCCTTTGGGGAGATCATGAGCATTTTGCCACACTGGCTATGACTTTGTTTCCTAAAAACCTAGCACAGTGCTTGGCATATAGTATGTGATCAATAAATGTTAGCTAAATGAAACTATGGATATCTAGCAACCCATTGCCACGGCAGAAGTGGAGCACAGAAAAGCCAAGGCTGAAGATAAACAGGTAAAAACGTCGCCTTCTGAGAGGCCATTGGTGTAACTATAAGATAGATGAGTTGAAAGGTGTTTAGAATACATTTAAAAAGTATTTAATGAATACTTCAGACTGAGCATAAGAATACTTTTTCCTTTTACTCTTATCAAATTGTAGATATGAAATGCCAGGGTGATTGTCCCCATGAAGCCACCAGGGCCATGTTAGGAAACACCTTCTTTTGAAAGTGGGTGCTCAGGATAACAGAGATATACAAAAACTTCTCTTCTGCTTTCATAAAAGTGACAGAGACAGGAGATAACCAAGGATCCCCGGCGAAATCCCACCTTCAAGCCTAAAACAGCCTGAAGGCTGACAGAGCAGACTGCTGGTCCCAGATGAAACCCAGACCCAGAGGGAGAACTGCCCCTGTTTACCCACCCTTTCTCAACTAATTCTTTCTGAATAGTGCCCACATGAGCACTGGGGGGATGGGGTGGAGCCACAGGAATTCGTTCCTTGCGCAGCAGGGAGGAGCCTGGCCTCTTCAGCCCATGGGTGGTGGCCTGGCGTTCTGTTCAATCTGTGAGGTGGGAGCCTATTAGCAGGACCTCTTCTTTTTTTGCTGAGAGCTTTCTTTTAATAAATTCTGCTCTCCTCACCTTTCAATGTGTCTGCATGCCTAATCTTTCCTGGTTGCAGGACAAGAACCTCGTTTTAGCTGAACTAAGGAGCAAAAATGTCTGCATCAAAAGTAGTTCCAACATTGAGACTTCCAACATTTCATTAGCATGAAATAATCTTAACAAATATCACCTTCCAATTTCTGAAAATTACAAACAAGAATATTGTGGAAGACAAGAGGAACACAATACAACATTTCCTTAAAAGGAATATGCCATGGGCTTGTGTTGTATTTTCTGGAGGTGAGATGATTAATGACCTCTGAGAATCTATTTGGAGCTTGTAATTTGAAAATAGATTAACTGATGAGAAGCTTTGTTTTGATCCAAATAATGGAAGTGTAACAACAGGCTAGTTTTTAGAAACGGCACGAACAAGCTCATAACAATCTTTTTCTGTCCTAATGATTGCGATTCTGTAAAACTGGTGACCAGGGACAGCTGGATGGGAAGGACACCTAGCACCAATTATCAGGGATTAGTAGACACTCTATTTGTTTGATTTAAATTGCATCCTGTTTGTTAGCTACAGGCATGAGAGATAATCATGAAGGCAATTCAAATACTCGAGCACAAATCATAGTCATGAATAGAGAAACTTGGGTCTATAACTTGCTGCAATTAGTCTTCTTTTCCCCGACATCTCAAGATTAGTTAATGTTGATAGAATTTGAAAATGATAACCCTAGAAAATAACGGAGCAAATACATTTACAAATTCAAAGCACATCAAGCAATGGGGCTGCATATGCTCACAAAACAGAAGTAATATTTAAATGTATTATAAATTATTCAAATCATAATTTTAGAGTATTTATTATGTACATGATAAACTGCATAAGGGTAAACCATGAAGACACATTTTTGGGTCAAGGCAGATGAGAAAAACAAAGGTACATAAATAAGGAAGAAGGCAGGATAGAGGTACAAGTAACATTCTAAAGAGGATAAAGGAAGAAATCACTTAAATCCATTAGGGCTAAATAAAGATGGCTTTTAGAGAGAAGGTTGTCTTTAAATGGAGCCTTGGAGGTATGGAAATATTTGACTAAGTACAAAACAGGAAACTAATTGTATTTGTCAGGTTGGTGCAAAAGTAAATGCAGTTTTTGCCATTAAAAATAATTGCAAATGGCAAAAACTGCAATTACTTTTGCACCAATCTAATATTTAAGTGTAAATAGCCATGTGACGCTAGTGAGTACCATAATGGATGGTGAAGAAAATGGTGGCCACTCAACATTTTTGCACAAGAGAGGGACATTCTTGGAGAAATGTTTTGGTATTAGTTTTCCTCTGCACAATCTAAAATGTTGATTTATTTGGGGAAGGGACCTCTTTAACTTAATCACTACTCATATATCTCCAATAGATCTTTAATTTTATGATTTCATCTGATTAGAAAAACAGTGTAAATGTTAATTGTATTGCAGAAGGACAATTAATAGAAGAAACGTGGTTAAACAGACTAGCTAAAAACAGGAACAGATGGTAAATTCTGGTAAGTTTTAAAATTTTCCAGCACACCAACATGAATGCCTTGTGACTACTGAGAAAAAACACATTTTATTCCTTGGATGGAAAGATTTTATCTTACTCATCCTCGGCTGATTAGTGTATGCAACACTAATACATTGTTCATGAGACATATAGTAAAGACAAAAATAAGCAATGTAAACAACTCAGAAGGGCATACTGGTCCTGATACATATGTATGACTTAGAAATTTTAGGCCTCTAGGCTCAACAGAATTGCTGCTTGTCAATAATGATAAAAATAATAATATAATAAAAACTTAAATGTGTTATTTGCATTCTGTGAAAACAAATTTTTAAAAATCTGTTTTAAAAAATAATCTGTTAAAAATGATCTGTTCGTTTTTCTCTAAGACCTCCAAAAGCTTTTAGTTCTAAGCATATGTTAGAATATTTCTTTAAATCAAAACAATAATGTTTCTCTCTGTATTTTACCTGCAGCTTTGAAACTTAGAGGGTCTTTGGAGTTCAAGTTGCTCCCTTATTTATATCTATCATAGCCAAGTTAGGATTACTGGTTGATGGATGAAGACTAGATTTGATGGAATTACAGATTTCGCATGGGCAGGTAAAATATTCGTGCAGAATGGACATTGAAGTTCTAAAACATTTAAGTTGAAAGCATATCCTGAAGCAAGTGTAAATTCCCCTCTTCCACTTGCACAGAGGTTGTACAATGTGTGAGTCAACCTAACATGTAGGTTACCTTTAGAGCTCAAATGGCTGCTATAAGCCAAGGGTTGCAGATGAAAATGAAGAAATACGGTCAGTAAGCAGTAGGGAGAACCTACCATCTGCCAGACTCCCTTCAGAGCCAGTTGTCCTGTTGCTTCTCTGGGTTGCATAGAGTTCTTTACCATCTAACTATTAAATAATTTTGTAAGTTAGTAAGCCTCTTGAGGCCAATTAATTGTCTCCACACTATCCTCAGGCCAAAAACCATGAAGTCATACTTGAGGATTTCTTTTTCTCTCATATACTACATCCAAGCTGTCAAGAAACCCTATTTGTTCTATCTTCAAAATATATCTAGGATTTAACCAGTTCTCATTGTCTCTGCTGCCAATATTTGAGTCCATGCCTTCGTCACCTCACACCTGAGTCACAATAGCCTTCCAAGTGTTCTCCCCACTCCTACCTTTTCTCTCTTACATATACCTAAACCAGCAGACAGAGAAGCCTTTTAAAATGTAAGTCAGATCATATTAGTCTTGGCTTGAAACGTTTCTCTAACTTCCCATTAGAGAAGAACTGACAATGGTTTACAAGGTCCCAAGTGCTTTGGCCCCATTCCTCTCTGTTCTTCTCCTTCCTCACCCTGTTCCTGCTACACTAGCCTCCTTGCTGTTGCCAGAAAGTGCCAGGAATCTGCCCTTGCTAGGACATTTGAAGTGGTTGCTCTCTCACTTTCTCAAACCTTTGCTGGAATTTCACCTTCTCAATGAGGCCTTCCCTGACCACTCTGTATAAAACTGAAGCCAGCCTTCTAGTTCTCCTTACCCTCCTCTACTTTTCCTTTTCCCATGGTATTTATCACCATCTAACAACAATTTCATATACTTGTTTATTATATCTGTTGCAAATTATCTCCTGCTCCTAGATAAATGCTCCATGCATGTGTTTTATTCACCTACGCGCCTGACAGCACAGCAGTGCCAGCGATGCCTGGCACACAGGAGATGCACAAGAAATATCTGTTGACTGAATGAATTATCATAAAACACTATTTTCATTGTGACTCGTAAATCATGTATTTATACACCATTATATTTCTAGACATTACGAAGACATTGCTTGAGCTAGATTTTCTCAGCACCTAAACATACTCCTACATGGTAAATCAGGAATCTCTATATATGGCATTTACTCTTTCAAGCCATCATGGTGTAATTTTTAAAGACTTCAACATATTTGTTTTTTAAAATAGAAAGTTTACTTTTTCCTGCTAGGGTACCTTTCTAAATTTCTTTGGCTGAGTCCTAAGCATTCTATAGATACAGCTATAGATATTTTATTCCTCCATTCATCTGTACCTATCATGACTCAGGGAAACATTCCCACCAAGAGTCTGAAGGATGCCTAGCCCTTTGGAAGTCCTAGTCATCATCCCAATGGTTATTCCTTTTTCTTTTCTTTTTTTTTTTTTTTTTTTTTTTTTGGAGCGGAGTCTTGCTCTGTCGCACAGGCTGGAGTGCAGTGGCGCCATCTCGGCTCACTGCAAGCTCCGCCTCCCGGGTTCACGCCATTCTCCTGCCTCAGCCTCCCGAGTAGCTGGGACTACAGGTGCTCGCTACCACTCCCGGCTAATTTTTTGTATTTTTAGTAGAGACGGGTTTTCACCGTGTTAGCCAGAATGGTCTTGATCTCCTGACCTCGTGATCCTCCCTCCTCGGCCTCCCAAAGTGCTGAGATTACAGGCGTGAGCCACCGTGCCCGGCCCCTAATGGTTATTCTTACTCCCATTTCCTCAGCTGCTTCCACAGAACAGACCTGGAGCCTCTGCCCCCTTGTTTCAAATCAACAACTCTGATTTTCGTCATCAGTTATCACTAACTGATATGTTCTTGTTTATGTCCTTCTTTGTATTTTTTAATCACTATGTGATGTTGTCTATGCATTTTTATTTGCTTATTGTTCATCTGCACTTCTTACACACACTCTTCATAGAATTTAAGTTCCTTGACAGCAAGGATCATGTCTGTTATTCACTGCTATATCTCAGAACCTAGCACCCTCTCTCAAGACGTGATGACAAGAGAGTCTATCCGAAGACATCCGACATGCAGTAACCATTTTGATTCATTATAGCTTGCAGGAAAGCATTCCCAAATAAACAAAGGGCCAAGGGCCATGAGCCTTCTATATACCCACACATAGAATTTCATCACAGGGAATGAGAGGCCAGCTTTCCCACAGCAAGGATGTATTTAGTGTTCCTTGTCCTTTCTCTTTCCTCTCTTTTGAACCATTAGCTTGGCTTTTAAGCATTATATCTCTCTCATGTAGCCCCTCCCTACAAAGCCACAACTTCCTTTGCAAAAGTAATTATGAACATCTTCCTCTTTCACGCATCTCTCTCCACCCTGGCACACACCAAAATACACTAATTGTCTCTGCATAAGGCTACTTGAAAACTTGCCGTATCACCATTTACTACATTTTTCAGGCTATCTACAATTTTTAGTGCAGTGCAGTCTTTCTTATCCATTCTCTTTTTACAAGCAAGTTGCCAACACTTGTCCGGTAACACTAAAGTACACTTAGAATTATGCATTTCTTCAAGGGAAGACAGGTGAGCCATGCTCTGCCAGATTCTTGTCTGCAAAGGATGACCTTGAAAAGTCCTGGAGAAACTGGCCTTTTCATTCCTGCGTGTTCACCTCCACTGTGCCTGCTCACAAAGGAAGCCTTAATGCCACGGACCATTGTACTTTTCAAGCATCATTGCATAGGGAAGAGACACTGCCTTCACTACTGCCATAGCCAATCTTAAATAAGCTAAAGAAATACTAGAAGTTGGGACTGTAAGTGAAATGGCATATTCTAAGGGCAAAAACCAATTTCCATGGAACTGAAATACCTGCCTCGTTTAAGGCAACCATATGACACACGGGTTCACAAGTGCTAAAAGTTCATTTACTCCCTCAGGTAAAACAAAGCTGCAGCTGTAGTTAAGGCTTGAGCTGCAGTTGTTTCCGGAACAAGAAATAGAACCAAGAAAAGATCTGCAAAGAAGCACTTGAAATGGACATTCAGACTCTATAGTTTTTTAAAGCAGTGGCAGCGTTGCTTCTTTCTCCAGCCAGACCCCAGATACCAGTGCCTACCAAAGTGTCCTCTCTCACACACCCTCCTACAGTGTTAGGCTTTGTGGGAAGTTAGAGATCATATTCTCCGGGGGCAAGGACTATCTCCCAAATAGGCAATGTGAAGACATCTTAGCAGGGAATTGAGTCATCTTGGGAGCTAGGAGGAAGATGGGTTACACCTTAACAATGGTCTGCAGCAGGAAGATCCATTAACCATTATGCCTTAGCGCACCCACTCATACTCACTCATATTCCCCCAGGGGTGCTCTGATACGACACTGTCCACGGACTGCACACTCTTCAGGTCTAATTAATGATGCCCACCCTCCCCACCTACTAAACACATTTGCAATTTAAGCATCTCTAGCTCTCCACTACCACCCACCTTTCTCCTCCACTGTCCCTTCTTCTCCATGGAGATAATTAACTAGTTGACTACTTATTAGTCCTTCAGTTGATTAGGATTTCAGGCTCACACTAAGGCCTTATCCTAAAGTCTATAAAGATTTGTGACACCGACAGGGTAAAAATTCGAAACCAGCTAGCAAAACTTTCCTGAAGGATAGAGATACTCAAGATCTAAAAATTATCTGAAGGGTTGGATTCCACACCATGAATCCCCTTTTCCCCCTTCCCCACAGCTCCCTATAGTGAAAGATCCGTAACCTTAGGAATAAATGATAAATCCTGTGACTATTAGGTTTTTCCTGGGAGTTCCTCGGAGACCCGGAGGTAACCGTGTATGTGCGTGCGAGTGTGTCTGTGTGCGTACAAGGTCCGGAGAAGCGAAACGGTCGCAGGTTCCTACAGACCCCGACCCTGTTCCCTTGGCCACCTGGTCCCCGGTAGCTGCATCCCTGGGCGGCGCACGCAGTGAAGCGTCGCGCTCTGGCGCCGGTGCCGCACCGAGGGGTATGACTACGACCCCTTGCGCGTGCCCGCCCCCACCTCCGCACCTCGCGCCAGCCCGCGCAGCGTGACCGGCAGCCGCCGCAGACCCGGCTCGGGGAGGCGCGGAGCGCGGCGCGCTGAACCGGAGAGGCGGGCCGGCTGCTGCCTTGCGTTCGCCACGCTGTCCTCCCTCCTCCGCTCCCTGCGCCCCACCCCTGGCGGCCGCGCTGCCTGGCAGCCCGGGAAGCCGCGGCACAGCTGCTCGGCGCCTGCAGCTCCGGCTCGGGGGCTGGAACCGAAGCGGGGGCGGCGGGAGCGCGGAGACCACAGCCCCCGGGGAGAGGCGGAGGGGGTCCCTGGCCTGGGCGGAGAGGCTGAGCTGAGTGCGCGTGAGAAAGAGGGCTGCACCGCTGCTCGGCGCGGACTCTGCCAGCCCCAGCTTCAGCCCCGGCTCAGGTCGCCGCAGCCCGGGAGCCTCCCCGCTTGCGCCCCAAGGCACGCGCGGCACAGCCATGAACACCAACGATGCCAAGGAGTATCTGGCCCGGAGGGAAATCCCTCAGCTTTTTGAGGTAGGGCTAGAGCTGGCCGACGGGCGGTAGCATCCGGGGACTGCATCTCAGGGGTTCGGGTTGAGGCAGCCGCGCCCCGTCCCACCTTCCCCACACGGGGCATGTAATGAAGGGGCTTGTAGAAGCGCACTCGCCCGCTCCCCCGAGGGTAGTCGCCTTTCCCGCGGGTTGCCAGGGTCCTTGTCAGAAGGCTGGGCTTAGAAGCCTGCATCTCACAGATCAAGTTTCAGTCTTCCAGCAGGGTTCTGAAAGCAGCCTGCTCCCATCGCGCCCCTCGGATGTGGACACCCAGGGTGGGCTGCAGACCGCGGCCGGGCCGCACTCTCTGGGGGCGAGGGCCAGGTCAGGTGGCTGCACTGTCGCCCAGCAGCGAGTAAAGACTCGAAACTGAGGGAGCCAGAGCCCTAGTCACTCTGCTGGTCGAGGGTCGGAACCCCTGGGGGAAAGAGGAAATGTGGACGAAGGCAGCCCTTCCTGGAGACAGCTTGGAAGAGAGGGATGAAGATGCAAAAAGCAAAACCCAACCTATCAAGTGCCACCTCCCCGGTGACAGGCCCCCAGCCTTGCTCTGCGCTTTCGCTGAATGAACTCCTGAGCACGTTTTTCCCGTTGCCTAGGAAGGGTTGGGCCGCAGGTTTCGCCAGTGCTCGACAACCCACCTGGAGATAGCGGGTCGGGGAGGGAGCTGCGAGGGGGGCGGACTCCTGTTGCTCAGTCTTCAGACCGCAGCACAGCATCATCTGCACCGGGACCCGGGAATGGGGGGACACTTGGAGACTGAGAGAGAGGAGGCTCGAGGAATGAACCTTGGTCTGTTCTAAGCCACAACCCCTGTCTCAGGTCGTTTGGCTTCCTTTCCTTCTCTTTGTATTTGAATTTAAAAACATTCCTGAATCTCAAGTGCTTTTGCTTGAAGTAGGGGGGAGGAGGAGAAAAGAATAGAAGCAAGCCAGGCTTCCTAAGCGAGCTCTGAAAGGAGAAATCCATTCACTGCAAACCTCGTTCCCCATTTCTGAAAACGGATAGACTGATATCGTAAACTAAAGGTCATGAGGGTTTTTCCCCCCGGTTTGGGGGATTTGTTCTGTTAAAAGGAATTTTAAAGCACCACTTGAGAAAATAATTTTGCCTCAGTTTCCCTAAACTATCTTTAAAATGGGTTGCCATAATTACAGGTCTTCTTTTCTCTCACCTCTATAAGCCACCGTTTTCAGGTCATCTGAAGTCAAGATTTCCAGGTAAACCACTCACTGAACTCAAGCGTGGTATGTGAAGCCCAAATCTAGCAAATGTGTTACTCCTGCGTGAAAATAATTAGGTGGTGTTGCATAAGGACAGGTCTTGAGAATATGTGGGAATCTTAAGAGTTGTTTTTTTTGTTTGTTTTTATTTTCAAAAAGTAAATATGGAAATTAAGAGGCGAAGGTTTTTCTCACAAAGATTACTACTGAGATATATTTCATTTCTACGCTTCTAAAAGAATCATTAAAAACATCTGTAGGAGGACCACGTGATTGCAAAAATTCCTACATAGTACATCTTTTTTTCTTTGTAAATGTGGGTACTGTTTTTCCTCCTTGGTGGAAGGTAACCACAGAGAAGTTTGATAGTTTATTAAAATCTACACTGTGCATGCAAATAAGTTATGGCAGGCCTTTTTGTTAAGGTTTTATGTTTCTTATTTACTTTTCTGCATATGAATGGGATAAATAATGCACACCCAGAAAAGGAAGTCAACTTGCTTGGGTGAAATACAGTAATGGACTTAGATTCACTTGTGGACAATGAGAAGATGGAAGTAGACTGCTGGTGACCTCAAAGGCTACATCCTTCAGTAAGACGAATCTGTGCTATGCGCAGCTCAAGAGGGAAGGAAAATCTGGCAGTTCTCCATGTGATTAGTGTAGACTGTAAAACTAAAAACTTTAGGTTTTTAAAATGGATTTTGCCCACCACAATATTTTAGGTGTACAAAGTTTAACAATTAGCTGTCTACTAAACACCAAGACATTGGCCCCAGCTGTGGATTTTAGACGCTATTACAGACAAACTGACTGATTATTGTATTGACGTATTGTCAGACAAGTAAATATATCTAACTGACCTTTTCAGATTTTTTCCTAATTTGAGACATCATGTAAGCTAAATGGAATATGGGATATCTCTGGTACGTTCATGTTTGAAATGTGTTTCCAGTTTTAGACTTTTTTAAACCCACTTTCTTATTATTTTGTCATGAGTTCTTAATTCTGGCTAACCTTATGGTGTGTATATTGATCTTGTAGCTTACAGCAGAGATTTGGCAATCAATTTGAATACTGTGGAAAGTCAGATTATTCAAGGTCTCAAAGGGTTCACTCAGAGACTGAGCAATAATATGTGCTGGTTGTCTTCAATCCCTGATAGTGGCTGGCTATTAGAAGAAAAGATTTGAATTATCCGTGAAGGAATGGAGCTCATTGTCCCATTTTAAAATCAATGCCCTTTGGTGAACCAGTATTGTTTAAGGACGCTGGAAATGTATATTTTCAGAAAAGAGTCATTGAGAGTGTTCACCCATTTCAGGCAATAGTAGGGATAAAAAGAGGGCATTTTGCAGAGGGCACAGAGAATCTCATGTTTTCTTTTATCTCATATCACGTTTCTGCAACAGGTACAGAGAAGAACATATGGGTTTTGGAATTGGAAACATTGAATTGAAATCCTGGGCCTAGGAGTTTCTAGTTGAGTAAACTAGAGCCATCACTAATATCTCTGAGCCATGATTTCCTAATCTATAAAATGGGGATAATAAAGTCACACAGGGCTGAGAATGCACTGGGTATGCAAATAAATATATGACACAGAGGCTTTTATTTATTAATGAGGCTAATACTGGCTTGGCGTATGGGAAGAATGTGAGAAGCTCAACTGCAATGTGTGTGTATATGGGACAGATTTTGACAAACAAACTGAATTGGATGCCCGGGTAATTTTTTCTGCTCCCTCTGCAATTGAACTTGGCTGATGGAGGTGCACACTCTAGCTTACTCTATTTAGGATTTCAGAAAACAAATGTACCTAGTGAGAATTGCCTACCATTCTGAGGAAATTACACAGGAAATAATTGAAAATAAAATACTGTATTTAAACAGATGTCAGCCCTTCAAAGGGTGTTTTGTATACTAACAATGTATATTGGTAAGAATAATCCTTTATGCATTTTCCATGAAATACTCTAAAGGAAAATATTTTGCACATCAGTCCAGCTTCCAGGAATCAGCATTTCCAAACTGGTAGCATTTTTAGAATCTAGTGCCAGTGACACATCAGACACCATGAACCAAAAAAGTAATAGCAGGATCATGCTTTGTTTCTTTTCCCCTCTGGAATCTCAGTGGATATCGTAGTGACTTACTCTATGTCAAATAGTAATTTTTTTTTTTAGTCTCAGACCTAAATTTTTTTGAGTCTCAGTTAGACTTGAGCTTTGAGGGATTTTTTTTTTCCAATTGGAAAACAGTTAAATATGCACCTACCAAATGCCAGGGAAAGCATCAGTATCTGGGGATTGAAAAATGAATTAGACTCACTCTGTGTTGTTGAAGAGCTTATAGTTTAGAAGAAAGACTATTGCATAACCGAATGGTTTCAGTATAAATGACAAGTATGATGTTTTATGCTGGATACCATGGGAACACAGAAGAAGGGGTTCACAGACAAACCTAGGGATTCAGAGAAGACTTCCTGATAGTAATAATAACTAAAACCAACAAAGTTTATTGGGCACTTACTATGTGCCAAGCATTTAATATGCACTGTACAAATATGAAATTATTTAATTCTTAAAAAACTCTATGAGGTATTTATTATTACCCCCATTTTCTAAAAGAAGAAACTGAGGTTTAGAGACATAAAGGGTGGGTAGGAGTGAGATAAATAATGACCAGGGGCATTTTCACATGCTGCATTTTATCTCACTGTGATGAAGTGAATGGCTCTTCCATTTTAAACTATCTAGTTGCCTGAATTGCTTAAGAGGCAGAGAATGCTGAACTGAAAACTAATTAGGCAAGAATTTAAGGGATTATCTTAATGACTCCATCAGATCGTAATTTCAACTCTAATTGTTTATTAAAAGACAAATGCAAAGGACAAAAACAATCAGAATTCAAAGATGAGCCATAATACTATTTTAACAAAGGTGGGTGGGGTCACGTGCAGTGGCTCATGCCTGTAATCCCAACACTTTGGAAGGCGGAGGTAGGTGGATCGCTTGAGTTAAGGAGTTCGAAACCAACCTGGCCAACATGGTGAAACCCTGTCTCTACTAAAAATACAAAAAGTAGCTGGGCATAATGGTGTGCACCTGTAATCCCAGCTACTCGGGAGGCTGAGGCAGGAGAATCACTTGAACCAAGGAGGTAGAAGTTGCAGTGAGCCAAGATTGTGCCACTGCACTCCAGCCTGGGCAGCAGAGTGAGACTCTATTTCAAAAAAATTAATTAATTAAATTAAATTAAATTAAAGAAAAAACAAAGGTGGGTTTAAAAGATATTTTATTTGTACATATTTTGTTATATTTCAGAGCCTTTTGAATGGACTGATGTGTTCTAAGCCCGAAGATCCAGTAGAATACTTGGAAAGTTGTTTACAAAAAGTAAAGGAACTGGGTGGCTGTGACAAGGTGAAATGGGATACATTTGTAAGCCAGGAAAAGAAGACCTTACCTCCACTAAATGGAGGACAGTCACGGAGATCCTTTCTAAGAAATGGTAATGTATATGGAGAATAATAGACAGTTTTATAGTTATAGCAATTCTCTTTAAAACATGCCATATAGACTATACACAGTGATTTCATTTTTTGAGTTTATAAATGCCTGAAGTCATTGGATCACGATTAATTTTTCTCTGCTACTAATTCTAATCACTTCCATAAAAAGACAAACAAAATTATCTACCATTGTCCAACAATTCACTAGAGGCTTAATGAAATTTTTTATTACTGACTTTATTATTTTGCAAAATAAATTACATTAGCAAGCCATACATACATTTTCCTTAAAATTGCAAACAAGATTTCTCCAAATAAATGAATAGAATACGGGTATAATTGATAGTTATTACATAGCAGTTCAGCATTTTTTATTAGCTAGAAAGAGATTTGGCTTACTAATATTTCCAAGTTCAGAGTTCATATTAATGCATCTGCATAAATGCATGTAAAGTTTATACTAGTGATAAAAGAAAAACTTCAGCCAAGTTAAATCTAAAGGAGTTTAAGTGAGCAATGAACAATTCATGAATTGGGCAACCCCCAGAAACACAGCAGATTCACAGAGAAGCCAGCGCAGCCACGTGGTGGAAGAAGATTTATAGACAAAAAAAGGGAAATGATGTATAGATATCGGAAGTGAGGTACAGAATGGCTGGATTGGTTACGGTTCAGCATTTGCCTTATTGAACACAGTTTGAACACTCAGCAGTGTATGAATGGTTGAAGTACAGCTGCTGGGATCAGCCAAGACTCAGCTATTGTTACAGGCGCATACTCCTAAGTTAGGTTTTCAATCTTGTCTACCTATTAAGCTAGGTTGCAGTTTGTCCACAAGGACTCAAATATAGAGGTACAGAGTCCTTCTCAGGCCATATTTAGTTCACTTTAACACTAGTTAATTCAATAAAAGTGTATTAAGCATCTACTGAATGCAATGTATTAATCTAACACATTAATCTAATCTAGGCATTTGGGTGCTATAAAGGAAGTTGGAGAAGTAAACTTGTTTAAATTTTAGGAGTTGTTTAGAACTAAAAACCGCAGTTCATTAGAGAAGATTTGTGGTGTTTTGATCTCTTTCTGAAATATGTGCTTATCAGAATTAGGGGTTCAACATGAGCCAACCAGCCTTTCAGGCTCTAGATGAATTTGAGACGTATAATAGTATGTGCAAATTAGAATCAGTTCAAATCAGGGGGAACTAAATTCTGTTCTAGTGGCCAAAATCATTATATTTTCAAAACTGAAACCATTCTCAAAAATTGTACAACAAAAGGTTTATGCTATACAGACAGAACCTGAAATGGAGACAATTCTATCTGCAATGAATATCAGCAGGAAGCAATCTTAGTTGCTTAACCTTATTAGTCATGACCTACATAGATTTTATTTGAATGCAGTGTGGGAAAAAGCCATAGTGTGCTAATTTTCAAGGAACACAAGCAAAAGAAGGCAAACAGAAATAGCTTTTCCTCAGAAACATCTCTAAAGAAAAGAGTCCTTCACCATTCATGCAGAAGTCAATGATATGACTCTGACCAAACTTCCCACTGCTGCTGAGAAGTAATGAGATGTCTGAAACTGCTATTTAAAACTAATTTTAGAAACTTTCAAATGTTATAACGGACCAAAAAACAGAGAAATAGAAAATTTTTGATGTGACTATAAGGTAATAAGATTAGCATTCTGAGTCTTAGAGAGCAATTAATCCCATTAACCTACACGGTCTCTCACCACTGTCCATCTTACATAGGCAGGAGGTAAAATAACACTCAGCACAAAATAGCCATGTGGTTACATTCTATGGGAAGTCCTAAGGTAAGGTTGTGTCTTTATATACTTACTAAATCAAATTTGCACCAAATATTTTTATTTGACCCTTAGAAACCTTACAATACCAAAGAGATTTTTCTCTTACCATACAATCTATTCATAGACCCACTTTCTGGTTTGATAACCAAGATGAGTCCCAGGTATAAAGTTCACGCTTTGTAAATCAGCAGGATTTCTGGTTCACTGAGAACAGCCTGGTACACGAGTAGCAAATGAGCAGAATTGGAGTTTAGGACTCCAAACTGTGCAGACACAGCTTAGATGTGCCCTCTTTGTGGGCAGCAGGTACTCATGGTTGTATCTTTAGCCAGTTGCTGCTGCAGCACACCACTTAATACATTACTGCTTTAGTGAATAAATGATATTTTTGTGGGCTTGAACAGTTCATACACATCCCCAGCATATGGGAAGCTTACTTCCCAGGGTGTCGTCATACTTAATGTCTGGCTCCCTGTTAAATACATACCCCATACTTTTGTTACATCAAGGGGGGTAAATATGGGGATCTACTTTCTAAACCTTAAAGTACTAATAAACCTCAGGTATACATTTTAAAAATTAAATCTAAGAAGTTATGACATCTACTTAGTCGGAAAGCTGCTCTGACTGGGTGTAAAAGTGACTGCAACAAAATGAAATCTTGATGCTTCTATTTGATACTATGATTGTACACAGAAGATAGGCATGTGTCAATAGAGAATGGTAAGGACTGTGGTCAAACTAGAGAGAAGAACTAGAGAGAACAGTCATTGTTTAAAAACAGTCAAGTACACCTGTAGTCCCAGCTACTCGGGAGGCTGAGGCAGGAGAATGGGGTGAACCCGGGAGGCGGAGCTTGCAGTGAGCTGAGATCCCGCCAGTGCACTCCAGCCTGGGCGACACAGAGAGACTCCGTCTCAAAAAAAAAAAAAAAAAAAAAAAAAAGTCAATTACAAATTTTGTAAAAATGTCCAGCTGAACAAAACACATCTGTGGGGCTATATTGGGTACACAAATTGTGAGTTTGGAATTCCTGATCTAGCAGGATAAGCTAAAACAAGAATGGAAAATGTAGGCTTAATTTTCATTAAAATAAGATTGCATGTTAATTTTAGGTTCTCCATACCTACTGATACTTTACCAAAATTCCCACACAGGGATCTTTTAGTTAATCATCAAATACAAACTTTTCGTATACCTATGGTGGTAAGAATGTTGCATCACACGGTCTTGTATCTGAAAGGTATGCTAAAAAACGGAAAATGATTTCTAAACTGGTTGGTCCTGTAATAATACAATTCTGTTTCATGAAATGCTTTCTTCATTTGTGCTTTGAAGGTTTTAGCTATAATGTGTGGAATAGTTTATTACATTCAACAAAATTGCTAACTGCCCAGTATCTTAAAGCATACTGATTATTTCTAGAAATGATTTTTGAAAAAATATTGCCATAGCTATGTTAATGTGTTATTACTATGAAAAATTATTCTGTGAAATGAAACATTTTCATCATCTAATCAAGTTACTTTCCTAAGTTAAAATATGATAAAGCAAGGATTAAATTATTGGCTGACTGTCTTTAAAGCATTAAATATGAGATAAGCATCCCTTTCTTTCTGCCACATGCATACAATTGAATAATTATCTGTGAATAAGAGTTCTAATCCCATAACCCCAAACATTCATAGAGCCCATCTTCCAGAATATCTCATTATCTTATATTCAACATGTCCAAAACCAAACACACTATATTTACTTCAAAACCAGCACTTACTTCTTTTCCTGTTTCCATGAAGTCAGCCAGTAAGTCAGTTGGGCAATAAATTAACCATTTATTGAGTACTACTATGTGTCAGACATTCTTTTAGGACTGAAAATACAACCACCAGGAAAGAACAGACATGG
The DNA here is from genome assembly GCF_000001405.40 of Homo sapiens. Classification (NCBI taxonomy): domain Eukaryota; kingdom Metazoa; phylum Chordata; class Mammalia; order Primates; family Hominidae; genus Homo; species Homo sapiens. The sequence continues at coordinate 77,290,849 of NC_000001.11, forward strand.
CACCTTCCTTTGGGGACCTTACAGTCCAGCAGTGAAATCAAGCAGTAGAAATATAAGCAGGAGCACAATGGCACTATAGGAAAATCATAGGTTAAGGAATTAACCATGTTAACAAAGGGCTGAATCTAACCTAGCTTGGGGTTCAGGGTCGGCTTCCTGGAAGAGGTGATGTGCTTATACTTGGAGCAGAAAGCTAAGTGTGTGTTAGCTAGAGAAGGATGAAAGAGATTGTACCAGGGAACAGAGAAGAGAATTTCCTGAGGCAGACAAAGAGGCTGTAATTTGGTCAGGAATGAGAGAAGTCCAATATTGCTGGAGCAGAAAAGAGAGAGCAGAAAGATACTATATGAAATGCAGTATGGTCCTTATCCTTTTAGACTTGAAACCTGGAAATTGTTTTTGAACTGTCACCTCCTTTCATTTCTCATATTCCAACCCTAATCATATCCTTCAGATCTGGCCATCCATTTCCATTTCCCCTGCTGCCACTCTAGCCTAAGCCTTCATTTCTCATCTGTTGATTACTTTAACAGCCTAGCTGCTACTTTTTCTGCTCTTAGTCTTTCCCTGCTCCAATTCATTCTAACTAGCAGATTAACCTTCCTAAAACCTATATTTCATTTCATTGTTTCCTTTCTCTTACCAACCCTCCCCTGCAAATCCTCCACTGGCTTTCTACTAGATTAAAGCTAAACCCTTTACCATGGTAAAGGATTCAGGGACCTCCATATTGAACCACGCTCTACCCACCCATTTTATCTTCTGAGTTTTCTCTATGGGAAACTATTTCAGTAAGATGTTCTTTTTATTACTAATTCAACAAATATTTATTGGACACTGACCATCTGCCAAGCACAGTTCTAGATCCCAGGGATACAGAGCTCCAGACCGTAGGTAAGGCCCCTGCTCTCATGAAACTTATAATCCAATAGGAGAAGACAAACAATGAATGAATGGATAAATGAAAAAACTCTCAGATGGTGAAGTAGATGCTGTGCAGAGCATTAGAGTGATGTCCCTGAGACTCACTAGGAGGCTGCACTGGATTAGGAAGTCAGCAAAGTCCTCTTGCAGGAGGTGGCCTTTAAGGTAAAGTGTCAATGACAAGAAGCAGTCAGCCATGGGAGCAACAGGGGAAGAACATTTCAGGCAGTTGATTGTGGTGGCAAGCATGGAAGCAGGTAGATCAGTAAATAGTCTATTGTGATATTCCAGGTAAAATATGATGATGGCTTGGGAAGAGTTGTGATAGTAGAGATGGAGAGAAGCATATGCATTTGGTATATGTTTTGCAAATAAAGTCTTGTGAGTAGATGTGCAGAGAGAGGAAAAGAAAGTAATCAAGGATAATGTTTTGAATTTTGTCTAATGTTGGATGAACTGATTAAATTTCAAGGCAGAATAGGATACTGTTGTTGGTGCTTTTCCTGATGTAGCCCTTCCCAGCTCTTTCTAAAAGAGATCTACTGTCATCTGCAGACTACCCAGTGCTTTTCATGAAGCTAAAATGAATCTAGTGGGTCTGTGGTCAATGGCCTTATTTATTGTATCAACAGAGAATGGAAAGTTCTAACAGATCAACATCCCTGGGAGGAGATGTGAGCCTTATGCCATGCTAAGATACAGTAGTCATCTTAGCAGAATTCCTCATGGAAGGGCAGGTGGCCTCCTGTTTGCTTTGTGCAAGTGCCTTTTGGGTAGTTAGTGCTTCTCTGTGCCTCCTGGAATACTGACCCCTGAGGTAAAGAAGAGGGAGCCATAAACTATATATCGACAACAGGTTGAGACCATCTCCCTGGTTTGGACTTGCCAGCCCTGTCTTCCGGTCCTTTTGAGTATGTCATTTGAATTTCTGACTCAGAGTCTTTGTACTGTTCCCACCAACTGTGTTATATTTCCTGCATTTCATCACCTGTGCTTGTCTTTCAAAGTTCAGGTCCTGCCTCCTTTGCAAGTCCTTTCTTACCACTGCAGCCCAAATGTAATTCATTAAATTACCGTGGTGCTTATCAGAGAGATACTCATTTTAACACTTATCGTGGCTGGTGTTCATACAGCTATAAGATATAAACATATAAGCTCTAGTTTATAAGCACTGAAGGGACAGGTCTACATCTTATTCTTATGCCAAATTACTCTTAACACACTAACGTATTGGCATGTTATAAACGGCAACAAATAGCAAATATTTGTTGCCATTGTAGATACAAACTTAAACTTTTACATCTTTTAATCAAGTAGATTAAAAATAATAAGTAAATTGATAAAGTAAAATTAGATGATGTTACAAGATATTCCAATTGTAGGAATTGTTTGCACCCTCCTACTGACCGTGACAGTACCTTAATTTTTTATTCATTATGCCACCAAGCCATTCCATTGGACCACAGTAGCATTTCTGGGTCGTAGAAAGCAGCTTATCTATATTTGTTGAATGAATGAAATACACAATATATAAGCATTAGCTTTATGGACAGGCTGCTGCATATGCTTGTGAAGGTTATGTACTACATAACTCCAGAGAGCACCATTTGCAGAGGCCACGATGTATACAACCTACCAAACAAGACTAGGCAGTATCTGAGAAGGTTCCTCTTAGGGCAGAGGGCGGCAAAGTTTCATGAGCCAAGTTCATCTCACTGCCTGTTTTTATAAATGAAGTTTTATTGGAACACAGGCACACTCGTTTGTTTATTATGTTGTTTATGACCACTTTCATACTACCATGGCCAAGTTGAATAGAAACTGCACGGCTCTCAAAGCCCAAAATATTGACTATCTGACCCTTTACAATAAAGCCTGCTGACCACTTAGGGAGACTTCTTCCAGTTAAGAAAAAAACAAACCCATTTAATTTTAAAATTGCTTTTACTAACTGTTTAAGTGTGAAGAGTGTTTTATTATGGTGTTTTTTCCTTTTCAAAGTTATCTTACTCTTTTGCAGTAATGCCTGAAAACTCAAACTTTCCATATCGGCGGTATGACCGGCTCCCTCCAATCCATCAATTCTCCATAGAAAGTGACACGGATCTCTCTGAGACTGCAGAGTTGATTGAGGAGTATGAGGTTTTTGATCCTACCAGACCTCGACCAAAAATCATTCTTGTTATAGGTATGAGGACAGAAAGCAAAAATTCTCATACCGTTGCTGCCTTTGTTTATATATTTACATTTCAAAAAAGTAAATCATATATGTGCAAATAGTTGGATAATGACAAGCAATAGAAACAAAAGCTCAAGGGACAATAAATGGAAATATTCTTAGTATAAGTTTCAATAAAATAGAAATTGTTATAATTATATAATCTAATGCCTATTGCATTTTCATAGATTCCCAATAAAAGGTCATAGAAATTCTCTATAATGAATCGAAAGTAATACCTTCAAGATTTATTGTCCTGTGGTTTTATTTATTTAATCTTGATCACAGATAACTGAGCCAATTGAAGTTTTCTGAGAGCTGAATGTGGTGGTAGTCCCAGCTAGTAGGCAGGCTGAGCCAGGAGGATCCCTTGAACCCAGGAGTCCAGCCTGGGCAACCTAGTGAGACTATTTCTAGAAGAAAAAAAGAAAGTTTTCTAAACATGATGTGATTTTTCCCCCTTTAAATCAACAAATTAAATTTTTACTCACTATTAACTTTAGAGGGAAAAATAAATAATAATATATTGGTAAAGATTCATATAAATGAATCTTCTTTATGGCAAATTGGCACCTATAATAAATCCAAAGTTTCACTGTTAAAAGACAAACAAATCTAATAGAATAGTGTTTTACATAGCACATAACATCTGAGTATTAACCAAAATAACAATGATAATAGTTCATTTTAAAAGTTGCCACTATGAATCTTATGTTAAATATGGAATTATCGGCCCCATGACATTTCACAAGGAATATAAAATGAAAATGTTTTAAATATTTTTGAAAAATTCCTTTTTGGTCAAGGAGGGAGGATCACTTGAGCCCAGGAGTTTCAGACCAGCCTGGTCAACATAGTGAGACCCTGTCTCTACAAAAAATTTTTAAAATTAGCTGGGCGTGGTGACACACACCTGTTGTCCCAACTATTTGGGAGGCTGAGGTGGGAAGATAGCTTGAGCCCAGGAGTTCAAGGTTGCAGTGAACTCCACTGCACTCCAGTCTGGGTGACAGAGAGACCTCATCTCAAAAAAAGAAAAAAAAATTGTGGCTATTTTTGCAAAGTCTTTCTCAAAATCTATAACAATCATGAAGAGACCTGTGAACATGCAACATGTAGTCATTGTTTTCACATTCCAGTTAGAATCACCTTTCACAGAGATGACCAAAAGCAAAACTCTGGCATGAAATATTCAAAGCTGTTCTAGCCAGTTGCATTAACAGAGTGTCAAATTTATGGAGACCCCATGCAAGGAAGTAGTGCTTCAGAGGACATAGCAATGTTGACAACTAGGACAAAAGCATGCAAATAAACACACCAAGCTATAACAAGAATTTAAGCTCACCAGACTAGAAGGAATGACATTTGTACATTTTAAAGTGAAATGAAAATGAAATTGTAAATATATCTACCTTGAATTGTTAAAAACAAAATTACAGAAAGAGAGTTTAAAGTCAGTTTTTGAAGAGTTAAAATATTTTTATGGCTTTATGGTAGCCGCTGTTACGCCATAAACCTCTATTCTTGCAAGTGGAATACATTCTTTTTATGCTTAAAACTTTCAAGTCCTTACATAGAAGACAAGGAAACACTTAAATAAATGATAGAACTACAGATGAAAAATAATCGGGAAGTATCTCATCATTTTATGATGAGATTTGTACGTGGACAGAACACATTCTTTCTATTTTGTTGTTCTTGCTGCTAGTAATAAAGTATTGGTCATTATTAACAGGATGAACAAATGGAAGCTCGATTGTTCATGAAAATGGTTTGATAGCAAATTAATCTTGTATAAAAGAGCACAAATATTTTTTGTGTGTACTATGAATTTTATATGAAAATGATTAAAATATTTCAATAAACTAAGATCTTCGGAGAATATGTAAATACTCAAATCTCTCCCACTTCACATTTCTTTCTATTCAGTGAAATCAACTTGTTTCCCAAAGTTATGATTCTTGTTATAGGCTTACATGCTGTGTTGTAACATTTTATATATTACAAGAATGATGAAGAACCAATAAGTGTAAATAATTTCAAGAGGATTGAAACAAGGGAAGAAAGAAGAGGGTGGATCTTAGGTTGTCTGAGAGAATTGGGACAATTTTATGACTTTTATGGAATTATAAAATAATTGTACCTGAACCTTACAAATTTGTATTAGTTCCAACCTAAAAATGTGAGAGTGAGGTATAGATGCCCACATGGTTTCTCTTCCAGCACTGCAGAATTTTTTTAAAGCTGGCTCTCTTGGAACAGATACGAATCTCTCTCATGTTAACGTAATCATAAAATTTCAGTGAGATGGACCCTAATATTTATAAGTTTTAGAGATAAGTGAACAGAACAAAATTAAGCCCATTCTGGCTTTAGACAGAAGTAAAATTAATTTGATAGAAACATTCAGTAATTAAGCTCATCCAACAAATTAATGGCAGAGAATATCTCTGTCAATTGTGCCAATCATATTTTTTGTTGTCTACTATTGCCTCCATTAGTTGACAAAAAATTTTTTTTCTTGAAAGTACAATAACATTCTCAATGTGTCTGAATTTTTTAAATTAATGGAGTGTATAATCTCTTAGTTTGGTGGTTGTGATTAAGTGTGGAAATATAGTTTCTGAAAGATACCTGATTCTTCAAGGAATAAATCAGTTTGAATTTGCCAATGGAATTGGTCAGATAATTTTTTTATTTCAAGCCAATTCATGATTTGCCCATATATTAGTAGGTTAAAGCAGCTATTTAAAACCAAAACTTACTTTTGATTTAAAAAATAATCTCATAGAAGTCTTTAATCCATTTTAATTTTATTTTGCATATGACAAAGAGATAGAGATCTAGTTTATTTCCTCTGTATATGGATATGTAGTTTTTCCAGCATCATTTATTGAAGAGACTGCTTTTTACACAGTGTGTGTTCTTGGCATCTTTGTGGAAAATGAGTTCACTGTAGGTGTGTGGATTTGTTTCTAAGTTCTCTATTCTGTTCCATTGGTCTATATGTCTATGTTTACATTGCATAAAACTCTAGAATTCAAAGGATATAAGGCAAGGACAGGCATGAGCAAACATTTCAAAAAAGATTTAAATAAGCTGTGTAAATACTGGTAGGCGTTTGTCTAAAAATAATGGTTACGTTTCACCGAATTACACATTAACTCTGTTGGCATGGAATCTATTATTGTTATTTTGATCATTGTTTTTTATATTCCACAGATTTTTCTTTGATTACAGAGGGAAAAATGTTAGATTTTACATAGAAAAAAGTCAAGATTTCTTTCAACTACACTGTTCAAAAATTTTTTTAATTAGCTATTTGCTCAAATAGGTAGAGGAAAAACCTGTATCTCTCATTTAATACAGTTGGTCAAGACAATTCTTTCCTTGACAAAGTCTCTACTTGCTTTACATTCAAAGGCAGCACTGAGAATGCCACAAATGGAACTGTTAACCACCCTGTCTTGGTGACACAGAATTTGCATCCCAGATGAAGTAGTAGTTGTATAAAAGGGAGGTCCTTATTGTATCAGAAGATCACAGTTTTGCCTGTTTTAAATACTAGGTGGTCCAGGAAGTGGAAAGGGTACTCAGAGTTTGAAAATTGCAGAACGATATGGATTCCAATACATTTCTGTGGGAGAATTATTAAGAAAGAAGATCCACAGTACCAGCAGCAATAGGAAATGGAGTCTTATTGCCAAGATAATTACAACTGGAGAATTGGCCCCACAGGTACTGCTGTATAATTATCTTTTATTCTGCAAAATGTTTTCATACCGATTGAGTATACTAAGTTTAACTGTGGGGTTTTTTTGTCATCCTTTCTGTTTATAAAAGGAAACAACAATTACAGAGATAAAACAAAAATTGATGCAAATACCTGATGAAGAGGGCATTGTTATTGATGGATTTCCAAGAGATGTTGCCCAGGCTCTATCTTTTGAGGACCAAGTAAGAATATCTCCTTATATTTTAAATGAACTACTTTTTGCTTAAAATTTTGGGAATAAAAACAAAAAGACTTCTTGGAAGACTTGCGATGCTTTTGAATGAATTCTGGTCTGAAAACAGGCAAATACATCAGTATGGGTTGGCAGAAGGTCATTTCTTTGGCAAACACTTAAAAATTAAAGACAGTCTCTGCCAAAAGGAAAGATAACTAATAATAGAATTCATTTTATTGAAAAATGCAAATCTCTCTAAAATTTATTTCAAAATACTTTTCATACAATTTTTTTTTATTTTGAATTACTAAGAATAAGCCTTATTCAGTACTGTCCAGGGATGCAAAACATTACCCTGTACTTATATTCATGCCAACTAAGGAAACTTTCTTCAGGTTGTGAAATACTGAACCACCTACGTAGATTAAGATAGGGTTCAGTTGCCAAAATTTGAGTAGGCTATGCCTGCTCAACCCCCAATACATCTGTTTTAAAGGAAAATAAATCAATTAAAATATTTTATATATCTATTTAAGCTTTGAAAAGCTTATGTTAATTGATTTTTCATTAAAAAAAATTAAGGCTGGACTCAGTGGCTCACGCCTGTAATCCCAACACTTCGGAAGGCTGAGGCGGATGGATGGCTTGAGCCCAGGAGTTCCAGACCAGCCTGGGCAATATGACGAAACCCCATCTCTACAAAAAAAAAAAACCACACACACACACACACAAAATTAACCGGGTATAGTGGCGCACACCTATAGGCCCAGCTACTCAGGAGGCTAAGAGAGACTGAGAGGCAGGAGAATCACCTGAGCCCAGGACATCAAGGCTGCAGTGAGCCAAGATGGCACCACTGCACTTCAGCCTGGGTGACACAGCAAGACCCTGCTTCAAAAAAATTTTCTTTTAATTACAGAAGTAATATATGCTCATACAAATTTTAAGTCTATCTGTAAAACGTGAAAGTCCATCAATACCCTCCCATTCCGCTGCTCCTCCTTTCCTGAGAAATAGGAGTACTGTTAGGTTTGTTATATATTCTTCCAGACCTTTTTCTATACTTACATGCATACATACATGTATGGACACATGTGCACATGCTCATATACAAATGCATTCTAAATTTTTATAATGACTTTTCCAAGTTATATCAATGTTGAATGACAGTATCTTTTTCTACAGACCCTTTCCAACCAGATACGATTCATGTTTAAAATTTTTGCAAACCTGATGAGTAAATGGCATTTTGTGTTTTAAATTTGCATTTCATGGGTTACTATTAAGGTTAAGTATATTTTCATACACTCATTGGCCATGTGTATTTCTTCCTTATGTGAATTGCTTGTTCTCCTTTGCCCATTTTTCTACAGACTTTTTAATCTTTTTCTTATTTATTTCAAGGAGCATTTAACATATTACAGATATCGTATTAAACAGTATTAAGTAAAATATGATGTCAGTTTATGCATCACATGAAAGAAGCCTGGAGTTGGGCAGTTCACGGCCAGGGGTAGCTTTACAAAACATTTTTTTGAATGTTCCCATTAACGGTTTTGGATCACCTATTGTGCTAGAATGTCTGCCTCCCCTTCTTAGGTTTCCTCTCCCACCATAAGTCCAGAAACTCTGGTGCTCAGTCAGCTTAAAGGCTTGGTTCTAATTGTTCTGGCTTTGAAGAGAGAAAAACTGGAAAATATCTGATGAAGTTTTGTTATTGCTGTTGCTACCACATTATATTGCTGTTGAAAGCGGGTGCTATGGCAGCCATTCCATGTGATTCTTGATTATTGGTAGAAGTGTGATAGGCAGGGAGGCAGGCATTGCCACCCAAACCTGGTTCTCCCACCCACATATTGAATGTGCTAAACTTGGTAGGTACAAGCAGATGAAGCTACTTGATTTTTTTTTAATTGCTTTTTAAACATGCTATGTTGAATATCTTTCTTTTTTGTTGAATTATAACTCAGGAAGAGTCCCTGGCTTTTCTGGTGACTTAAAAAACATTAACAAAATATCTCATTTTCAGCTCTTAAAAAGTCCAGTCCAATCTAAATCAAAACTTTAATTTCGTATTCACTTTAACATATATCTGCTGTCCCCAGCTTGGACCAGATTCAGACTCAGAAAGCTAAGGTGGTGTATCAGAATCCTGAAATTCCTACTCATGTGACTTGCAGTAGGTGGGAGAGGGAGGGAAGAGAGGATTCCCTCCGAAAAGCATAACCCTCTGGTAACTCTCTGGATACCTGATCAATCTACATCTTCTCTTATATAGCCTAGTCACGGGTAACAGTACCGATTTGGGGTCTGTTAGCAAATTCTATAGGATGGTCTGTTATCTCTATGTAGAATGAGCAGTAACTTACATTTATTGTTTTCAACCACACTTCTGAGGCTGAAAAGTTCCAATTTAACATCTTCTTAGGTTGACATTCCAGCAGCCTAGAGGTTCTTTGCCACTGTGGGCAGTACAGAGGTGTCTGAGGTCAATGTCATCTTTGCTCATCCTGCGGGAGTTAAGCGGGTGTGGAGGCAAAGCTGAAATGTTTATGTAAAGCAGTGTCAGGGTCAGCCCTGATTATTCTACACCCTGTGTAGGCTTAAGCTTCTGGGGTGTCTTTTTTTCTGCTACCACTTCTGAGACCAAATGTGTGGGGTCTTCCACACCAGTTCTCCAATTCTCCAACACCAACTGGGTGCCTAAGAATTCAGTTCAACTTGGACACTATCCAGAGTTAGTTCAGACCCCACAGGTTAAGAGCTTAGTTCCACAAGTCTGTTCCTGCTTCAGACATCAGTTGCAAGTCCCAGCAACCACCTGTACTTCTGATTGACAGTCTATAAATTCAAGGTTTCCATAACACTCTCCACAGGTTGTATAATTCACTGCAGTGACTCAGAACCCAGAAAAACACATTTAGTGGTTTATCATAAAGGATACAACTATATTTTTTTTATTATACTGCATCTCCTCAAGGTTTTGCGTTAACTTAGTTTTTGTTTGTTTGTTTGTTAGTGCAAATGTAGGCACATACACACATGCCAACATTTTCCCCAAGATTTCCTCACAGATCTGGGGTGTGAGAAGAGGTGAATTTCTGGTATCAGCCATATATGGGTGATGGTCAGACCACTGTAACAAAAGGGCCTAACACTTAAATGGCTTTTAGGATGAAGAAGTGTATTTTTCTTCTTTTGGAATAGTCTCCATATGAACAGTCCAGCTTGACTGGGCAGCTTTTTTCCTTGAGATCATTTAGGGACCATGGTTCCTCCCAGGTTTTTCTGCCATCTCCTAGGACACTGTCACTGGCCGCGTGGTTGAAAAAGTGTTGTCATCACATATGGGTTCCAGCTGGAATGGACGGGGAAGAGAATGTGAAGGTCTGAAGTCTCAGATCTGGAAGTGACATCCATCGCTTCTGCTCACAAGGCATTGCTGAGAATTTAGTCCTGTTGGAACTGAGAGGAAGGCCGGGAAGTAGAGTCCAGCTGGGCAGCCAGGTGCCTGGCAGCAATGCTATTACTATGGAAGTCTGGGAGAACTAACTAGCATCTTCTCCCACAGTTTGCCTCTCTGGCCATGCAAATGCTCGCCTGCTCCCTTCTTCCCACACATACAATGTACTCACTCACTCCCCAAGTAAAACAACCAGAGTCCCATCATTTAGTTCAAAAGTGGAGAATCTCTACTCTATATATAGTTTTCTTCATCAGGTCTAGCTTTGACTTCTCATACTCAGCCACCTGGAAACTGAACTTCATGTTATCTTCCTTGTCTACCACTAATAAAGAGTGGAGGAGCAAGCCCAGGACAATGAAATAAAGGCTCCTATTCAAAAAAGGAAAGTTTGAGAATATACACAGTACTCACTGAACCACAGTGAATCCTGTTAGGCAGGGATTGCAAAGGTCCTTGCCCTGGCAGTTCCTCTGAGAAGTTCTTCCTTGTCCATTATCTGCATGACACATTGAAGTAGTATATTGGAGACTAATATGCTATCCTCTCCTTTTTTTTTTTTTCCTAAGTGACAAGATCCTTCTCTGTCAGCCAGGGTGGAGTGCAGGGGCACCACTGTAGCTCACTGCAGCCTCGAACTCCTGGACCACACTCAGCTAGTTTTTTAAAAACTTTTTGTGGAGACAGGGGCTCCCTGTGTTACCCAGGCTGGTTTCAAACTCCTGGCCTCAAGTGATCATCCTCTCTCAGCCTCCTAAGTGCTGGGATTACAGGTGTGAGCCACTGCAACTGGCTGAGACCTATTTTAAGTTAAAAAAAAAATGCCTTTTTTTGGCTAGAATTATGTTTATTTTGGTAAAAACTGTTTCTTTCCAAATTTGGTAGATTTCCTCTCAAAAAGAGGAAAAAGCAAAAAGCTTCCAGTCCGTGCTAGTAACTATATCATAAGTCCTTTTCCAGAGATAGTTATTAAGCTGCTTTCTTTTTTATCTTCCCGTTTTTCCTTTTTCTGTTCATTTTTATAGATTGAGGGTACAAGTGCAGTTTCATTACGCAGATATATTGCATAGTGGTGATTTCTTTGCTTTCTCATTTTAATGACAATTAGCTTCAGGCCATCTAAAACAGCAGGCTTGGGTAGAAAGGCAGCATCCTTAGTCTAGGTTTTGCTTCAGGGCTAGGTGCCCTGTTTTTTGGTGGTAGTGGTGGGTAAATGGGAATTCTTTTTGCAATAGCCTAATCTCCTGCTGTTTGGAGGTATACAGGCAGTTGGCTTTTTTAACCTTGTGCGGTCTTAAATTAGTGGATACTTTCTTTTTTCTTATATCTGCTCGCAAAGCAGTCAATTCTTTCTTGAGTTAATCTATTTCTTGTAATATGTTGCTAAACGCAGCAAAGAGCAGTCAGTGTACACAGACACTCTAGCTCTTTCCAGCCATTTCTTTAGCTATGGGCTCCATTGGAACATGACCTGCCTCCCAAGTTATCACAGTAATAATGATGTTATGCAATGACATAACAGGGGTTATCAATTTTCCATCCTAAAATGTCTGTGCCCTTACTACCCAAGCAAATCAATGTCGCATGTTTTAGTTTTTTTGATATAGTAGCATGCCCCCACTTATGTAACTATTGGCTGTATTATTTAGAGTAAATCCCAGGTGCTATAATAGAAAGACACAATGACACAGTAGCATAATACAGAAACTTATTTCCCTTTTATATAATGGATGGCCTCACTGTGAATGAGGGGAGGACAGTTTTAGTCCTCACATTCATGCAGAGATGCGGGGTTTTTTCCAGCTCATTGTCTTTCCAACTCTAGAGCAACAGCTCTAAAATTTTTGGTCACAGGACCTCTTTACACTTTTTAAAAATTGTTAAGGACCTCAAAAAGCTTTCATTTATATGTGCTATATCTATTGATATTCACCATATGAGAAATCAAAACAAATTTTAAAATATTTGTTAAGTCCTTCAAAATAACAATAAATCCACACAAGTTAACTTGAATAACATATTTTTAGAAAAGTAATCATATTTTCCAAAACTTAAAAAGTGTTGAGAGAGATATTGCTTTATATATTTGCAAATCTCTTTAACTTCTAGCTAATAGAAGAGAGTTGTATTCTCATATCTGCTTTTGTATTCAAACTGCTGTGACATCACACTTCCTGTCGCCACTGCGAAACTCCACTGTACCTTTGTGAGAAAGTGAGAGTAAAAAAGGCACATAATGTCATAGTGTTAGTAGGAAAATAGTTTTGACCTATGACCTTCTGGAAGGGGTCTTGACGATCCTCAGAGGTTTAAGAGCACAATTTCAGAACAACTGCCCTGGGACATTGTAGACATCTGCATGTTGAAAGCTAGGTCACTGCCATGGCCAGGTTCCAGCTGATTGGAAGGGGAAGAGAGTGCAGAGGATCTATGCTCAAATTCTTTTTTAAACTTTTTTTATTTTAACTTTTGTGGGTACATAGTAGGTATATATATTTAAGGGGCACATGAGATATTTGGATACAGGTGTGCAGTGTGAAATAAGCACATCATGAAGAATGGGATATCCATCCCCTCAAGCATTTATCCATTGAGTTGCAAACAATCCAATTACACTCTTTAAGTTATTTTAAAATGTACAGTTATTATTGACTATAGTCTCCCTGTTTTGCTATCAAATAGTAGGTCTTATTCATTCTTTCTAACATTTTTTGTACCCATTAACCATCTCTGCCTCCACCCCCCGACACATCCGCAACCCCTTATTACCGACCCTTCCTGGCCTCTGATAACCATCCTTTTACTGTCTATCTCCATGACTTCAATTGTTTTGATTTTTAGATCCCACAAATAAGTGAGAACATGTGATGTTTGTCTTTCTATGCCTGTCTTATTTTACTTAACATAATCACCTCCATCCATGTTGTTGCGTATGACAGGATCTCATTCTTTTTTATGGCCAAACAGTACTCCGTTGTATATATGTACCATATTTTCTTTTCTTTTCTTTTTTTTTTTTGACATGGAGTTTCATTCTTGTTGCCCAGGCTGGAATGCAATGGCACAATCTCGGCTCACCGCAGCGTCTGTCTCCTGGGTTCAAGCAATTCTCCTGCCTCAGCCTCCTGAATAGCTCAGTTTACAGGCATGCACCACCACGCCCAACTAATTTTGTATTTTTAGTAGACACGGGGTTTCTCCATGTTGGTCAGGCTGGTCTCGAACTCCAGACCTCGGGTGATCCACCCGCCTCTGCCTCCCAAAGTGCTGGGATTACAGGCATAAGCCACCATGCCCGGCCTTATGTACCACATTTGCTTTATCCATTCATCTGTGGATGAACACTTAGTTTGCTTGCAAATCTTAGCTATTGTAAACAGTCCTGCAACAAACATAGGAATGCAGATATCTCTTCGATATACTGATTTCCTTTCTTTTGGCTATATACCCAGCAGTGGGATTGCAGAATCATATGGGAGCTTCATTTTTAGTTTTTTGAGGAACCTCCAAACTGTTCTTCCTAGTGGTTGGACTATTTACATTCCCATAAACAGTGTACGAGGATTCCCTTTTCTCCACATCCTCGTCAGCATTTGTTGTTGCCTGTCTTTTGTATATAAACCATTTAACTGGGGTGAGATGATATCTTATTGTAGTTTTGATTTGCATTTATTTGATAATCAGTGATGTTGAACACTTTTTCACATGCCCGTTTGCCATTTGTATATTGTCTTTTGAGAATGTCTATTCAAATCTTTTGCCTGTCTTTTGATTAGATTTTTTTCTGTAGAGTTGTTTGCGCTCCTTGTATATTCTGGTTATTAATCCATTGTCAGAGGGGTAGTTTGCAAATTTTTTTTGCAACCCACCATTCTGTGGGTTGTCTTTTTACTTTGTTGCTTGTATCCTTTGCTGTGCAAAAGCTTTTAAATTTGATGTGATCCCATTTGTCCATCTTTTCTTTGGTTGCCTGTGCTTATGGGATATTGCTCAAGACATTTTTGCCCAGACCAATGTCCTGGAGATTTCCCCCAGTGTTTTCTTTTAGTAGTTTCATAGTTTGAGGTCTTGGATTTAAGTCTTTAATCCATTTTTATTTTATTTTTGTATATGGTGAGAGATAAGGGTCTAGTTTTATTTTTCTGCATATGGACATCCAGTTTTCCCAGAACCATTTATTAAGGCAGAAAGAGACTGTCTTTTCCCAATGGATGTTCTTGATACCTTTGTTGAAAATGAGTTCACTGTAGATGTGTGGATTTATTTCTGGGTTCTCTATTGTGTTTGATTGGTCTATGTGTCTGTTTTCATGCCAGTACCACGCTGTTTTGGTTACTACAGCTCTGTAGTATAATTTGAAGTCAGGTAATGTGATTCTTCCAGTTGTGTTCTTTTTGCTCAGGATGGCTTTGGCTATTCTGGGTCTTTTGTGGTTCTATATACATTTTAGAGTTGTTTTTTTCTATTTCTGTGAAGAATGTCATTGGTATTTTGTTAGGGATTAGATTGAATCTATAGATTGCTTGGGTAGTATGGATATTTTGACAATATTGATTCTTCCAATCCATGAAAATGGATTTTTTTTTCATTTTTTGGTGTCTTCAGTTTCTTTCATCAGTGTTTTATAGTTTTCATTACAGAGATTGTTTGGTTAATTCCTAGGTATTTAATTTTATGTGTAGCTATTGCTCTAGCTAGGACTTCTAGTACTATGTTGAATAATGATGGTGACAGTAGGCATCCTTGTCATGTTTCCAATCTTAGAGGAAAGGCTTCAGTTTTTCCCCATTCAGTATGATACTAGCTGTGGGTCTGTCCTATATGGCTTTTGTTATGTTGAGGTATCCTCCTTCTGTCTCCATTTTTTTGAGGGCTTTTGTAATGAAGGGATGTTTAATTTTATCAAATGCTTTTCAGCATCAATTGAAATGATCATGTGATTTTTACCCATCATTCTATTCATATGATGTATCATGTTGATTGATTTATGTATGTTGAACCATCTTTGCATCCCAGAGATAAATCTCACTTGGTTATGATGAATGATCTTTCTAATGCATTGTTGAATTCAATTTGCTAGGTTTTTTTTTGTTTTTTTTTTTTTTTTTGAGGATTTTTGCATCAGTATTCATCAGAGACATTGGCTCTTAGTTTTCTTTTTTTTGATACGTCTTTCTCTGGTTTTGGTATCAAGGTAATACTGGCTTCATAAAATGACTTTGGAATTATTTCCTCCTCCTCTATTTTTTGGAATGGTTTGAATATGATTGGTAGTAGTTCTTCTTTAAATGTTTGGTAGAATTCAACAGTGAAGCCATCTGGTCCCAGGCTTTTTCTTAACTGGGAGATTTTTTATTGCAGTTTTGATCTTGTTACTTGTTACTGGTCTGTTCAGGTTTGGGATTTCTTCTTGATAAGTGGCATGCATCTCAGAATTTGTTCATTTCTTCTAGATTTCCCAATTTATTGGCGTATAGCTGCTCATATCAGCCACTAATGATCCTTGAATTTCTACAGTATCAGTTGTAATGTCTTCATTTTCATTTCCAATTTTATTTATTTGGATCTTGTCTCTTTTTTTTCCTAGCCTGGCTAAAAGCTGCAAATATTTTCTTTGTCAATTTCATTTTACTTTTCAAAAAACCAAATTTTTGTTTCCTTAACCTTTTATTGTTTTTTCATTTCAGTTTCATTTATTTCTGCTCTGATCTTTATTTCTTTTCTTCTACTAATTTTTTTTGTTTGATTTGCTTTTGCTTTTTTAAAATTCAGGATGCATCTTTAGATTATTTATTTGAAGTCTTTCCTGTTTTTTGATGTAGGCACTTATAGCTATAAACTTCCTTCTTAATACTGCTTTTGCTGTATCCCATAGATTTTGGTATGTTTTGTTTTCATTATCATTTGTTTGAAAATTTTTTTCAGTTTCCTTCTTAATTTCTTGATTGACCCACTGGTCAATCAAGAAATTATATTTGTATAATTATATATCACATATATTTGTATTTTTTCCAGAATTCCTCTTATTATTAATTTCTATTTTTATTCCGTTTTGGTTAGAGAAGATGCTTGATCTTATTTCAATTTTTTAATGTTTTAAGACTTATTTTGTGACCTAAAATATTGTCTGTCCTTGAGAATGATCCATGTGCTGAGGAAAAGAATGTGTATTCTGCAGCTCTTAGATGAAATGCTCTGTAAATATCTATTAGATACATTTGGTCCATAGGTGCAGATTAAGTATGAAGTTTCTTTGTTGATTTTCTGTCTGGAAGATCTTTCCAATGCTGAAAGTGAGGTGTTGAAGTCTCCAATGCTTCTTCTGTGTTCTCCCTCCCCTGGCACCCAGAGAGGCTCTCAGAACTACACCGCCACTTCCAGGGATGAGGGAGGAGTGGCATCTGCAATTTAGGACTGTTTTTTCTATCTTGTCAGTACTTCTTTCAGCAATATGAAGTTAAAACCAGGTACTGTTAGTGCTCACCTGGTTTTCGGTTTTCATGAAGGTGTTTTTTCTATATAGATAGTCGTCAACTTGGTGTCTTTACAAGAGGGACGATGGTGGAGCTGTCTATTCTGACATCTTGCTCCGCCTCAGGTGATGCTCAATTTCTTAAGTCCCAGACACATCATTTCTCATGCTCCATTGATGAGAATTTAAGTCACATGGCTTTATCTCGACTGTAAAGGAGGTGGGAAATGTGATCAAGTGGTCAGTCATGGGTCTCTACAGAGCTGTTATCATGGAAGAAAGGAAAACAGGTTTTGATAGACAACTAGGAGTCTACCACAAGCCGCTTGCAGTGCATAGCGCCATTTTTCCTTACTTCTCAGCCCAAGAGCTGGACTCTCCCAGTCCCCAGGCCTGTCATTTTAAAAGAAGAGGAGGAGATAAGACTGTACTTATCTGCCATAGTAGCCACCTGGCCCTACTTCTTGGCTTTGTATAGTAGTTTCTCCAGGAGATGGAGCTTGCAGTGAGCTGAGATAGCGCCACGGCACTCCAGCCTGGGCGACAGCGAGACTCTGTCTCAAAAAAAAAAAAAAAAAAAAAATCTTTTTCTCATCTTTTGGCCTGATTGTTTAAAGGTTAGTGAGGGGAAAGGAATCAAGATGGGCAAGCATGGGAAGTCTAAGATCTTTTCACTGCCAACTAAACATGCTGCTAGCCAAGATTTCACTAGATAGCCCAGAGTCCACAGTGACAACCTAAGCGATGTGTTTTTAAAAGGTTATAGAATTTCGTATTTCATGGAATGGGAGTGGGGCGAAAAGGTGGATTTCCATAGGGAGGTTTTATTAACCAAGCAGTAAAGCTGAAACTAATAAGAGCTCCATGACGTTATTATTGAAAATGGAGTTCAAGGCCAGCCTGGGCAACATGGCAAAACTCCATCTCTGCAAAAAATACAAAAATTAGCTGGGTGTGATGACGTGTGCCTACAGTCCCAGCTACTCGGAAGGCTGAGGTGGGAAAATTGCTTGAGCCTGGGAGGCTGAGGCTGCAGTGAGCTGACATGGTGCCACTGTACTCCAGCCTAGCTGACAGAGTGAGACACTGTCTTAAAAAAAAAAAGACAACCGAGCACCACATGTTCTCACTTATAAGTGGGAGCAGAACAATGAGAACACATAGACACAGGAAGAGGACCAGCATACACTGGGGCCTGCAGGGTGGTGGGGTCGGGGGAGGGAGAACATTAGGAAAAATAGCTAATGCATGTGGGGCTTAATACCTAGGTGATGAGTTGACAGGTGTGCAAAGTACTGTGGCACACTTTTACCTATGTACCTGTGTAACAAACCTGCACATCCTGCACGTGTCCTGGAACTTAAAATAAAAATAAAAATTGAAAAAAAGAAAGAAAATGAAGGAGGGAAGTCTATAGCAAATCTATAAACACACACGAACACTCAAATTGATCGTGATTAACAATATATTCAACTATCTGGTCCCAACTAATTTTCCAGTTTTATATACCTGTCTACACGTTCGACATGCTGTACCACTTCCTGTTTTTCACAGTGATCTGCTCCTGCTCTTTCCTCAGTGCTATTTATATAATT
The DNA here is from genome assembly GCF_000001405.40 of Homo sapiens. Taxonomy (NCBI): domain Eukaryota; kingdom Metazoa; phylum Chordata; class Mammalia; order Primates; family Hominidae; genus Homo; species Homo sapiens. The sequence continues at coordinate 77,309,471 of NC_000001.11, forward strand.
CTATAACTTGCTTTTATCACTGTGCATTCTGTTTTTGAGCTTATCTGTGTTGATACATATAGACCTAGCTCATCCTTATAACGATTTCATGTTACACTCTATAAATACATTATATTTTATTAGTGAACTTTCATGTTGCTTTAAAATTTGTTTTATCATCAGTACTTACCTTTTTATTTTATTTATCTGATGGATTAGAAGTGTTTCTGTATCACTATTTTAATTTGCATTCTTCAAATTACTAGTGAACTGAAACATTTAGAAATGTGTTTTTTGGCCACTTGTATTTCATTTTTTGAGAATTTCTAAAACATAACCCTGCCCCCACTCTTTTCTTGTTAGATTGTTTGAGTTTTTAAAATCGATTTGGATGTTCTAGATACTAATCCTTTGCTACATATCTTATAATATTTTCTTTCATTTATATTTTTTCTCAGTCATGTTCGAGATATGTTTTGTCCTGCAGAAATTTTAAATTGGAATTGGTGTATTTTTCATTATTTTCCCTTTGGCTTTTGCATTTGGATCTTAAGAAAGTGTTCCCCATAATCTCATAAAAATCTTCTATAGTTTTCTAGTTATTTTTAGTTTTGTTTTAAAGGTCCAGGTATTTATTCTATGTGCACTAATTCTTTTGTATAGTGTGAGGTAGCAATATAACTTTATTGCATGTTTTGAATGGAAATGAAAAATGTATTCAGTGGTCCAAAGAACGTTTGTTGACTTGCGCATCTTTTCCTTCATTGAAATGACTTATTCCTGTATAGACACTGGTCTGTATATGGTTTCTCTATTCAGTTCTTTCTTCTGTTTATATATTTCTGCACCAATATCATGGTTCCAGTTGAAGAAATCTAAATTATATCCTGATATCCAAAGAACAATCCCACCCCTTCTGTTTTTTTGGTTTTTATTTTTTTTTCTTTTGAGACAGAGTCTTACTCAGTAGCCCAGGCTGGAGTGCAGTGATGCGATCTCGGCTCACTGCAAGCTCCGCCTTCCGGGTTCACGCCACTCTCCCGCCTCAGCCTCCCGAGTAGCTGGGACTACAGGCACTCGCAACCACGCCCGGCTAATTTTTTTTGTATTTTTAGTAGAGACGGGGTTTCACCGTGTTAGCCAGGATGGTCTCAATCTCCTGACCTGGTGATCCACCCGCCTCGGCCTCCCAAAGTGCTGGGATTACAGGCATGAGCCACCGCACCCGGCCCTATTCTTTTTTAAGTTAGGTATGCCTATACATTTATTCTTCTTTATAAATTTTAGTATCAGTTTGTCAGATTCTGCTGAGATTTTGATTTGAATTTCAATATAGATTATATTATGTATATAGATTAATTTTAAGAGAACTCACATATTCCCATCCATGAACATTGTCATGTCACTCTGTTTATTCAAGTCTAGCTTTATGTTCTTCATTAAATAAGGTTTTATAATTTTTCATATAAATATCTTGTATGGTTTTGTTAGTTTTGTTCCTAAATATAATCGTTTATAGGTTTGCTACTATTGTGAATGAGCTACTTTTTTCTAACCAATTCTTAACGCTCCATCTTTATAGAATTATTGTTTGTGTTTGTGGGTATGTCTGTTTGTCTCCCTAGACAGCCTTCTTTTCTGTTCTCTTTACGGCACAGCTGACTCATTCATGTTGTAAACTTCCTTCTTTTCTTCTTCCCTTCTTACCACTGCCACCTTCAGGACCCTCACACCTGCCTGCCAACTTAGAACATTCCTTTACTACACTGAGTTCTATTAAATGTATGTTGATTTGAAGTGGCAAATAAATATTTGTGTCATGGATATTCAGAAAAAGGAAAGATTCAAGTGGCTGCATAAAAAGTGATCTTGAGTTTAATTTCTGAGATTCTTATTTCTCAGCTCCTCATATAAATCAATAGAGTTAATTATAGCATCAGCGAAGTATAGTAGTTTGACTCTCATTCAATGTGTACTACTGGCTAATTTATGGACCCTCTTGAAGCCTCGGTGTTTGCCTTTCAAGAATGAGAATAATAATGTCTCACAAGATTATTGTGAAGATTAAATGATATAAAATATCTATAGTTCTAGTACAGTTTGTGGCTCATGGTAAACACTCAATAAAAGAAAGTCGTTATTGTCGTTAGACCATATTAAAGATAAACACTCCATAGATTTATAAGGAGAAGAGCCAACTCTTCCCTTTCTTTTGTCAGAGCTTTTTCCCCCTGATACTGAATCCATTACTCATTGTCAGAGGCTTTGAAGGCAGAAGAACCAGGTTCCTTCTAGGGACTGTTTTTCAAATTGGTTGATGAAACCCTTAGAGGCCACTTTGAGGTGTTAAAGGCTGCCCAGAACAGTTCTGATTTTGTTCTGTTCTGAGGTTCCATGTAAGACTTTGAAGAAGGTTTTCAACTGCTAAGAATGGCTGGAAACCACTCTAGTGATCTGTCAGCTGGAGTCCTGGGACATTCACACCACTGGGCAAGAAGCATTTAGAAGCCCACTAATGAGCACAACCCATTTCCCTCATCCCTTCCTCCCCTACAGCTCCTGAAGCAAAAAAGAAATAATAATTCGTTATTTTCGGCCAGAAGGGATGATAATCCAGAGTTCCAAAATAAGTCCATGGTAGCAGAAGTAATATTTAGGAAGTACGTGCCAAGTGCCAGGCACCTAGCTGTGGTTTAAATACATGATTACAATTCACGTCAATTCTATGAGGAAGTTGTTGACAATCCCGTCTCTAAATTAGCATTGGGTGGTCTCACTTCTTCTAGGTACATGGATATGGGTTGAGTTGTATAGTCGCTGTGCCCTTCACCATAATCTTCTATCAACTCTGCCTTCTAAGAATTGGTTCCTAAAGCAATCTAAGGCTGGACATGGTGGCTCATGCCTGTTATCCCAGCACTTTGGGAGGCCGAGGCAGGTGGATGACTTGAGGTCAGGAGTTCAAGACCAGGCTGGCCAATATGGCAAAACCCTGTCTCTACTAAAAATACAAAAATCAGCCAGGCGTGGTGGCACATGCCTGTAATCCCAACTACTTGAGAGGCTGAGGCAGGAGAATCACTTGAAGCCAGGAGGCGGAGGTTGCAGTGAGGCAAGATTGCATCACCACACTCCAGCCTGGGTGACAGAGCGAGTCTGTCTAAAAAAAAAAAAAAAAAACAAAAAGTCCCTTAAGCAATCTGGTTCATTCACATCACCACGGATGCAATCAGCACAGACAACCACAGAGCTGAGGTGTTCTTAAATATGCATCTTGGTTTTATATATTTAGTGTAACCCAAAGTCCCTCCATTACACGTACTGTCTTTTTTTCCATCCAGTTTTTCTTCCAGTTTTTCCCTCTGAGGGGTTGATCCCACAGTGCTGCCTTCTTCCCTGTCCTAATTAGGCTTGTATATTCACTTCCATGTGATTTTCATGTGAGGAGTGGTTTCGTGTCCCCAGCTGCCTTTTAAGAACCTATGCAGACCTTCCTTCATAATGATGCTGGCTAGTTCTCTTCCAAATGTGTACCAAAAAAATTATTTCTGTGACCCCAAATGTTGCAAAGATCCAGACTTCTTCTTTCTATTGTATTTATAGACACTGATTGATGTTAAACTGATCTGGTTTTTCCACCATTTCTGTATTTATTTTCTGTTTTTGGTACAAGCAAAGTATATTGTTTCTACAATAGTATTTATATTTGAATGTATACATTTTATTCCTGATTTTTATCATGTTATCACTTTACTCCCCAAGATTAGCTGTCATTATTCCACTTTACAGGTAAGGAAACCAAGGCTCAGATGATAACTTGCTTAAAGCCACCAGCAGGCAAGAACAGAGCTAGGCTTCCAATCTTGGAGGGCATACAGACTCTAGACCACTAGCTTTCTCTAACCTTGAGGTCACAAACAGGCAGCCCTGAGGCTGAATGTGGGCTGCAGACAATTTTTTAGGTGTGCACCAAATTTTAAAATTGGGAGGTTACCAATTCAAAAGCAGACTTTTGCTTTTCTTGAAAATTTTGGAGATTTGGCAGCTTTGAGTCTACATTCCTACATGTGTGTAGTGTCTGTTGTTAGGCAAGGTAGGTGCTCCCCAGTTCACAGCAGCTTCCCTCCCTCCCTAGCCCGGCCCTCTCTCTCCTTTCCATCACCAACCTGGTCCTTATAAGGCGATGGAGTCCATACTCTACAGCACACCCTGTCCTCCCCTGTCTCAGTTATGGCCCTCTGCTGGCAGAACTGGGTTTGTGGGTTTGCTTTCCGTACCCTGTGGTACCATGGCAGCTGCTGCCGTGATTCTTAGGATCCTGTTACTTCTTTTACTTCTTTTTCAGTACAGCCTACGCCCTCAGACAAAGATGCCTGTGCAGTCAGATCCTCTCCCTTACGCTGCTCCCTGCGGGGTATGTCCAGTCCGTCAAGATTCTCCCTAAAGACACAGCCTGTAAGAAAGCAGAAGTCTTTGCCTCTGCCTGCCACATATCTTCCTTGAGGCAATGAAGTACAGAGCTGGCTATTTGCTTGATGGACAAAGGGGAAGAGGGGGAGAAATAATAAAATAATTGTAGTCATAGTAATGACAATATTGAACATATATTGAGAATTTGCTATGTGCCATTGTTCTGAACCCATATATGTTAATATATTGATGTTAATCCTCAAAACAATCTTATGATATGAATTGAAGAGTCGTTCTAATTTTATATGTGAGGAGATGGAGGCTACGTTTTCAAGGAGGCTGGAGAATCTGCTCCAAGTCACATGTATCAAGAGGCAGAGGTGGTATTTGAACCAGGCTAAGCAGGTCCTGAGGCTTCAGTCTTAACTACCACCTACTTTTTTAGAAACATAGATTAATATGCCGGAATATTCTCTAGCTACAATTGTTGGGCTTTTATAACCTAAAATCAACTCATACTAAATGAATCAAACAAACGACAACCAAAAAAATAAAAAAAAAAAAGACCAGGAGAATGGACCAAGAAATACAGATGATATAAACACAATACATTTAAAGATATTATTTTTTGTACTTTTTAATGTAGCTTAATTTTTTAATTGATACACAATCATATATTTATGGAGTACAGAATGATGTTTCAATACATATAGTGTATGGTGATCAGATCAGGGTGATTAGCATATCCATCATCTCAAACATTTATCATTTCTTTATGTTGGGAACATTCAATATCCTCCATCCTCCTTTTAGCTATTTGAAACTATATATTTATTGTTAAGTATAGTCATCCTACAGTGGCATAGAACACTAGAACTTATTTATTCAATCTAGCTATAATTTTGTAAAGGTACTGTTTAATTCTAGCAGGAGAATAAAGTGAATGGGAGAGAGGCGAACACCTGTAAGGTCCATAGTATTCCAGATTATGAAATGACACAGATATCTCAGGAGAAGATGAGAGCTTTTCACATAATCATTCCAAGAAGTTTCATTTAACAACAGATATTTATTGAGATGCTATCATGTTCTAGGCTATTGTACTTTGTCCTGGAAACACAAAGATGAATGAATAATGTACCCTTACGGTAAAATACGTGTACATATAATCATGCATAATAGAGTATAAATACATACAATGATTAGCATATGGTCTCTCATTTTTTTAAACTTTAATTTCAAATAGACAACACATTTAGGTAGCTGAATATTTTAAGGATATAAAATTACATACACTGGAAACTCTCTCTTATTCTTGTCTCCAGGTACCTTCCCAGAAAGCAGACACCTTATCCTTCCAGAGATATTTTATACAAGGAAGGATGTGTATAGATTCTTGCTCTCACATTTTTGTTTTTTTCACTTAACACATTTGGATATTATTCGCCATACTTTTTTGGTCATGCATACTACCAGTAAGTTATTTGAGCCCTTAGTATACATTAGAAAGTGAATTATAAAACATAGAGAATATTTAAGAAGGAGAAATGAAGGTGAAATAACCAATAATTTTAGCAATTTATATTCTATTTTAGTATAAAAATGATTTTATCTCACTAACATTTTAAGCACAATGTGATTTAAAATGAAACTACTTTGAAGAAACTTGGTTAAAACTTTATGAAATAGGATTCAAAGATTTGATTAAAAACTTTATGAGACAGGATTCAAAGGTTTGATTAAAACTAAACTGATTGGATAGTGATACTTGATTTTATTTGTTGTTTTGTCACAAAAAATAAAATGTATCACAAAATATGTAGCTCCTATGTAGGCGACAGGTGACTGATACAGTGGGCGCCACAATGTCAGTCTTTATGCCAAAGACTGGTGAAGCTTAATTTATTCTGCTTGTTAAATTTAAAAAGTCAATTTGAACAGAAGATATAATATTTCTTTTTGCACCCCAATTTATCATCTCGAGCCATCCTCCTGGATGTGTGCACCCTACTTAAGGAATCCCGGGCTAGGGAATCAAACATGTCTGATACCAAACTCTCAGCAATCTTGTGGGGAATGACTGAAGGAATGGTTTCTTTAACACAAATTCAAACTCCTGTCGAAAGCAGCAGTTCATGGTGGTGCTTTTGTTTTCTAAGGTGTGAAGTATGCTGTTTATAAAAGTACTGATGCTTGGTGCTAGCAGACACAAAGCATTTTTACCACGATCATAGTGGAGTGGTCATGATGGGAAGGGACTTTAAAGCCCCCATGACCTCCTAAATGCCACTCTTACTCAGTTGCATTCCTTCTGGCTTCTTGAGTAAGACAGAAAGGACTCCAGGAATTGTGCTTAGGAAGGTTGTGGCCCTGGAGCAAACACAGCCCTTGTGAACTCCATTTGTCATGCATGCATTGTGGGATGAGAGAGTGAGGCCTGCTGAAGCATGTAGAATGACTATCTGTTCATTTTTTTTTTCTTTTTCTATTTGTGATTTCCTCTAGGATCTGTAATTTAGCCTCAGCATTGCCATTTAAGGAGTCTAAAATAGAGTAAGTTCTGAGTTTGAGTGAGTGAGAGTGGATATATGAAAAATTCTCAACTAGATAAATATGGTTTTTTAAAAAACGTTAGAGATAAAAGAAAATTAACCCTCAGAGGGCTATCATCCTACTTGCATAGTGAATTGATTTGACAAACTCATAATTTGATTTGCTGTGCCTAAGGGAGACAAATTTGATTTCCTCCTAAGGGAGAGTGATTTAATTTTAATTATGCAATATGTTTTCTAAGCATTAGCACTTTCATGAAAATATTAAAAGAAAATGTTGATGCTTTCTCCTGGAACTAATGACTTAGCTTGTTTATAATTATTTAATAATTAGGTTTTGAAATTGATAATATGTTAGTAGAAGATGATTATTCATTTATTTTTATTGCAATTTGCTGTGATGCTACAAAAGACCATTAAAGTTAAAAGGCTGATGAGATATTTATAATTGCCTTATGCCAAGTGGAGAGTCAATATCCAAACTTTGTGTAAAGATAAAATTAGAGTCATCTTTGATTTTGCCATGTATATCAAGGCATGGTTGCTGCATAACGAATCAACCCAAAAACTTACTGGCTTAAAACAACAATATTTATAATTTCACGTGCTTTATATGGGTCAGGAAATCAAGAACTGCTCAGCTGATTGGTTTCAACTCAGCATCGCTTTTGAGGTTGCATTTAAATGGTGATTGGGGTTGCAGTAATCTCAAAGTCTTCTCAATCTGTATACCTCATGCTTGGTTTGGGAAGACTCCAACTGTTGAGTGCTGGAACAGCTGAGGCTCCTCAGGCATCTCTTCTCATCTCTCTGCATGGAAGTCTCAGGGTAGCTGGACTCCATAGCAGCTCAGGGCTCTAAAGGCATTAACTTGAGAGAGCCAGAAGGAAGCCCTATCACCTTTTGTAACCTAGCTTCAGGAGTCATACAGTGTCGCTTCTATCACTTTCTATTTGTTAAGAATGAGCCACTGAGACTGGCCTATATTCAAGGGGAAGGGAATTAGAATCCACTTTTTTTTTAAATAGGAAGAGTGTAAAAAAACACTTGTTGACATGTTTTAAACCCCCACACCATAAAGCTCAATAAATAATAAATACCTGCCCATTTTTCACTTTGCTGATATGTGTCCCTTCCCTTCATTTTGTTTCTTGCTCATCTTTTCATGCCAGGTGTTCAGTCCCATCTATTTGAACTTTTAGAGTCTTCTCTTAACTACCTTCCCTGTCCTCATTCTTTCCACATCTAGTCTGTCTGTGTCCTGTGGCCAGACTAATCTTTCTGAAAGACCACTGCCATTAGTTCACCCCTTTGATTGAAAACCTTTCATGACAATTATTGTCCACAAATATGTTTCTCCTTCTATGGTTTGATTCAGAATCAAGTACATGTCTTGTTAAAAAATGTGTATTGTCCAGTCTCCCTGAGAGAATTACTGAATTAGAATTTCTGGTGAGCGGAACCCAAGAATCTGCAAGTTTACAAATCAGCAACTTTTAGTAACGTTTATTCTTAAACACATTAGCATGCAAACTTTAGTCTATAATGGCACACAGCAAAGATTCTCAGCCATAGCATGTTGTCATAGTTATGAAACAAGTGGTCTGTTGCGAATAATAGTGAAGCACTGAAATTGGAGCACATCCATCATTATCCCAATTGTATTAGTTCATTCTCACACTGCTATAAAGAAATACCTGAGACTGGGTAATTTATATAGAAAAGAAGTTTAAGTGGCTCACAGTTCCACAGGCTGTACAGGAAGCATGGCAGCATCTGCTTGGTGTCAATCATGGCGGAATCTTAAAGGGGTAGATGGCACTTCACATGGCTGGAGCAGGAGGAAGAAAGAGAGGCGGGGAGATGCTACACACTTGTAAACAACTAGATCTTGTGAGAACTTACTCATTATACAGGAGCAAGGGAGGATGCTGCTAAACCATTCATGAGAACTTTGCCCCCATGATCTAATCACCTCTCACCAGGCCCCTTCTCCAACATTGGAGATTAAAATTTGACATGAGATTTGGGTGGGGACATGATTCAAATCATAACATCAGTAATGTCACCTTCACTAGTCTTCACACTTTCTGACTGGAAGAGAAATTCCTTAGACTATGAGGAATTTCAAGTAAGATGTGTTCCCAGTATTAATGTCATTAGGTGCATGAGTCTCCATGGAATCACTACCCTAAACAATCTGATTTGAACAATCCGATTTGAGCAGGACCCGGCTTGTTTTACCAGTGTGCCTTCAATACACTTTGTTCTTGCTCCCTCACTGCTTGTCTCTCTTCAGTGGGTCTTTTTTTTTTTCTGCTTGTCCAGTCTCCCCTTCTCTTGGACATCTTCCTTTAGGACCCTAAGAGTTGGAGATTTCTGTCTACTCTCCACTTCTTCAGCAAATTATGTTACAATTTACAATATTTATATGATCCTTATCGTATAATGCTTTATATTGCTAATTATTAGTTCATCATATTGCTGTGTCAGGTTCCAGCAGGAAAGCAATGGCATACTCAAATAGGCTGAACAGAAGAGTGTTTAATAAAGGTGTGCATAGGACATGAGGAAAAAATGGAAAGGTATGTGTGGGACAAACAACAAAAGATAGTTCAATACTACAGGGCTGCTGGAAGTGGGTTCTGTTTCCATCCCAAGGCCTATAGGTTCAAGGAGGAGGAGTAGTTACTTCAACCTAGAAAAAGACAGATGTATGAAGAAAGGTTCCTTATAGGGGCCTTGACCTTTAGTAGAGAGAGGTAGCCAGCTCATGATGATTCCACAGGATGAGAGCCAAGGGAATAAATTTCAAGACTTTCCTTTCCTCCCTTCCTCTGATCTCCTACTGATGCTTACCGTTGGTCAAAAACAGCTGCAAGCCAGAGATCAAGAGAACTGATTTATACATTTCAGAAGAGTCATCAGGGCACAGAATTGGGGAGAGAATGGTAGAGTAGAGCTAGAGGGGCAAAGGGAAAATGGATAACACAATCAGATTTATTAAGGGCTGAAACTCTTTTATCTACTTTTTGTATTTCTCATGGCTCTGCAAGGCACTGCCCACAGCAGTTGTTCAATGACTGTGTCTTCATTCTTTTATGCCAGCACACACTGGTTTGATTCCTCCAGAATGCCTCATAAGGATGAGTGACAAAAGGCTGCCCAGTGGTAACATTTTGTATTTTCTGCACCAAGATTCACTCAAACATAAACTATTGTATTTCCTTAATTTCCAGGCCCAATTTCCTTAATGTCTTTAATAGAAAAGACCAGTTTCTTGAGAAAATGCAGAGACAGTTATAATTTGGATATCTTAAGTAATTGCCAAAAATATAAATTCAAATTAAACTGGCTGTCATATATGTTGGAAGTCCAAGATACTATTCTCAGATCCTACTGATTTAGTCTCACTGACTATAAGCACATTGCATTCTGTGAAGAATGATTATGTGTACAAGTGTGCCCCACGTTATGAGAAAAATGTTAGAGATGCTGAATTTCTAAAATGAATAAACAGGGTAATTGTTTATTCTACAGAAGGTGTATTAGTCCATTCTCATGCTACTATGCAGAAATACCCAAGACTGGTAATTTACAAAGAAAAGAGGTTTAATTGACTCACAGTTTTGCATGGTTGGGGAAGCCTCAGGAAACTTAAAATCATGGCAGAAGACAAAGGGAAAGAAAGGCACCTTTTTCACAGGGCGGCAGGAAGAAGTGCTGAGCAAAGTGGGGAAAGCCCCTTAGAAAACCATCGGGTCTCATGAGAACTCAGTATCATGAGAACAGCATGGGGGTAAATGCCCCCATGATTCAATTACCTTGCATCTGGTCCCTACCTTGACACGTGGAGATTTTGGGAACTACAATTCAAGATGAGATTTGGGTGGGGACTCAGCCAAACCGTATTGGAAGGATTTCTACCATAACGGAAAGATTAAAATGGGATTTTCATTATGTGGGTAGAAATAAGCATACTTCATTTTTACAAGAGACACTTTTTAAACAATTAAAACGCAGATTGAAAGTAAAGGATTAAAAAGGTATAACCAAGCCAGGTGCGGTGGCTCATGCCTGTAATCTCACCACTTTGGGAGGCTGAGGCAGGTGGGTCACCTGAGGTCAGGAGTTTGGGACCAGCCTGGTCAATATGGTGAAACCCCATCTCTACTAAAAATACAAAAATTAGCCAGGTATGGTGGTGCATGCCTGTAATACCAGCTACTCAGGAAGCTGAGACAGGAGAATTGCTTGAATCCGAGAAGCAGAGATTGCAGTGAGCTGAGATCACGCCATTGCACTCCAGCCTGGGTGTTGACAAGCAAGACTCTGTCTAAAAAAAAGGTATACCATGAAAACACTACACATAAGAAAGCTGGAGTGATGTTACTGACATTAAAGTAGACTTCAGACAGAGTATCACCAGAGACAGAGGAATACTCCATAGTGGTGAATGCATCAATTCATCAGAAAGACATACAATTTATAAATGTGTATATACCTAATAAAAAGTTTCAATATCCATGACTCAAAAATTGATAGAAATAAAGGAAGAAATAGACAAATGCAAACTCATAATTGGAAATGTTAACAATCTTCTCTCAGTATTTAATATTAACAACTAGGCAAAATACCAGTACAGACATAGAAAATCTAAAGAACAATAGACATGTCTAGAACACTGTATCAAACAACTGAATAATGCACAGTGATTTTGAGTGTGTATGGTACATTCACCAAGATAAACCATTTACTAAGCCATTAATACAAGTCTCGGCCGGGCGTGGTGGCTCACTCCTATAATCCCAGCATTTTGGGAGGCTGAGGTGGGCGGATCACCTGAGGTCAGGAGTTTGACAGCAGTCTGGCCAACACGGTGAAACCCCATCTCTACTAAAAATACAAAACAGCCAGGTGCGGTGGTGCCGCCTGTAGTCCCAGCTACTCAGGAAGCTAAGGCAAGAGAATCACTTGAACCCGAGAGGCGTAGGTTGCAGTGAGCTGAGGTCTCGCCACTGCACTGCAGCATGGGCAATAGATAGAGCGAGACTCCGTCTCAAAAAAAAAAAAAGTCTCAGTACATTTTAAAAGCTTGATGTTCTTTTTGATCATAGTAGCAGAAAAAGCATTTGACAACATTGAACATAAGTTCATTAAAAAACCAGCAAATTGGGATTGGAAGGGAATTCTCCTCTAATAGGGAGCATCTACAAAAACCTATATAGCTAACGTCATACTTAATGGTAAAATGTTGAGTGCTGCCCCCTAATATTGGGAATTGTGAGGGTGTCGGCTTTTACCATTTCTATTTAACGTTGTTAAATAGAAGTAGTAAAAATTCTAAATAGTGGTCTGAGAAGTTCTAAATAGTGCTCTGAGACAAGAAAAAGAAACAAAAGGCATAATACAGGAAAGGAAGGACTAATATTGTCTATATTGTTGAAATACATGATTGTTTACAAAGAAAATCCTAAGGAATCTACAAAATGTGTACCAAAACTATTAGTTAAATTTAGCAAGGTCATGGAATACAAGGTCAATTTACTAATCAATTGTATTTCTATATATTAGCAGCAAATTTTTATGTACTATGAAAACAGGGTGAGCCGTGTCTAGCTTATTATTTAACTTTCCATGATGATTATTTCCTAAAATATTGACTGAGAAGAATAATATCTTTATTTTTAAAATAGCATTGTTTGAATACATAGTCATGGGTATTTGTCCAAATACGTGGATGGGATAGAGGGTGATATGCTTGTGTTTGCATCAGAAGAATGAATAGTGACTAATTTACTAATGTGGTGAGTAGCCCTTGATTATAGGATTTAATCTGTTTGTAGTCCTTGGTTCTTTTTTTCTTCTTTTTTTTTCTGTGAGTCATGGCCTAAAGAAATTCTTTCTCTTCATTCTTTAACTAATGGTCTCCATGAGTACATTGATTCATAGAAGAGTAACTCAAGCACAAATTTTACCGGCTACTTTATCTGGCTTCAGGTGACTGGTGGTTCCTCCCTCTGGGGGTTGCTGAGTCATTGCAGAGGAAAGCAAACCTAGGCAAACAGAAGCATTTTCTCAATCAACTGATGCCAAAAGTACAGCTTTACCATGTGGAGATTCTTGGGATTTTAAAAAAAGCAAAAACAAAGACAAAAAAACTTTAAAAACGGTCTTTGAACTAAAAAAGATTGGTAGCTACTGATCTCATTTTGTAAATGAGAAAATTGAGTCCCAGAGAGATTAAATGACTGGCTGGAATTCACACATCTAGTTAACGTGAGAGCTAAATTACGCACCTTACTGTCTTTTCTCCAGTGCTCTCTCCACCCAACTATACTATCTCCCTAAGCAATAAAAAAGGTCGATCTAGTCTCAAAGGACTGCTGTTTAGATTCAGAAGATCCTGTCTGAAGTTAGATCCCAAAATGCTCTGAGCAGTGGACAACATATTAAAGTGAATTTTTAATTTTCCAAATGCCCTATTTTGTAAGAGAGAATGCATTTAGTTTCACAGAGAATGCATTTAGTTTCACAAGTTCTGCGCTGTTTATTTCAAAATCTTTGTTTTTCTTTTCTTTTTTTTTTTCTTTTGAGACAGAATTTCGCTCTGTCACCCAGGCTGGAGTCCAGTGGCACAATCTCGGCTCATTGCCACCTCCACCTCCCAGGTTCAAGCAGTTCTCCTGCCTCAGCCTCCTCAAGTAGCTGCGACTACAGGCATGCACCACCACGCCCGGCTAATTTTTTTTGTATTTTTAGTAGAGACAGAGTTTCGCCATGTTGGCCGGACTGGTCTCAAATGCCTGACCTCAGGGGATCTGCCTACCTTGGCCTCCCAAAGTGCTGGGATTATAGGTGTGAACCAACGCACCCAGCCTGTTTTTCTTTATAGTCATCTCCTTATAACTGTTTCCCATGCATGTAAAAGAGTTTTTAAATAGCATGTTGTCTGCTTCTTTTCTGCTGAGTAAATAAATTTGCATTTAAGAAAACAATTTTGAATTTATATAGGAGAAACATCTCCTTAAAAGTACCATAAACATTAGAGCAAATTATTAGAGCCAATCATTGATTCTTCTTGTCTGAAAAGTTTTAGGAATTCTTTAATATTATTTTTGTACATATAAACACTCAATATTTACTGAATGAATGATCGAAATGAACGAGCAAATGAATAATTAGAATGAATAATGGTTTAAAATCCCTAGCAGGCCTTTCCATATCTGAACTTCTTTGCTTTCTATTATAATTTAATAATAAGCCTTTTGGAAATTAACTCAAATATATTCCACTTGAACTACCAAATATTCTAATAAATATCATTCTTTAGTCAGTGTGTGTTTATGTATGTGTATGTGTGTGCATACATACACGTGTGTGTAGATAGATATAACACACACACAGAGAAAGAAATAGAGGAGAGAAATATTTGGAAAGGGTTTCCAGTTCAGATTAGTTTCTGTCCAAATCACTCATACATTTCCAAAAATAAGGAAACAATAAAGCACCAAATCAATAATCTAAAAATATCCTGTGAGAATGATTACATTTCAGTGCTCTGGCTCCCTGCTGGAGCAGAAGACCAGGGTGAAAGCAGCTGCTGCTGCTGCTGCAGCCAACAGAGACTCAAAAGTCTGGGTTCAACTCAAGGCACCAGCACAATTTGAAAAGACCCGTTCTTATAATAGCTATTGCCTTGTAGAGCCTTGGCAATCTACCCATTTACTAATGAGAAAGTAGGGTGAAGATTAGCCTGCTGAAAATGCCGAACATTAAGAAATGGCATGAACAATGTTAGGAAATAACTTCTCTGATTTTAATGAAAATGTCTCTTCTGTCCACCACTGCTTTAAAAATTCAATTAATTAAGTGTGGAACATATTAAAAAAAAGTTCACCATTTGCGTGTGTGTGTGTGTGTGTGTGTGTGTGTGTGTGTGTCTTACTCATGGCTATAGAATAAGACTAAAACTAATTTTCGTGTATGCCTATAGAGCCACCTCATTTATGTGTATAAACCAATGGTGGCAAAAAGATTTCATCTTGTGTACCACATTCAAATTGCAACGACTGCCTAACCCAGTATGCTGAGAAGGATTCTGAAGCTGTATCTAAAGTGCAGTGATAATTAGTAATGATGATTCTCTGCTCATCCCAGATATAAACCCACCTGAATGGGGCCACACCCCCCAGGATGTAGACCGCAGAGTTAAACCATTTGAATTCTCATCTCAGATGTTCTAGAAACTCTGAATCTACCAAGACATTTATTAGATCTTTATAGGGAAAAAAAAAAAACCTCTACCCTCCTCCTGGAAGTAGGGTTGTAGTTAAAGGGGCATGAGGCGAGATGGGGAAATTGTTGAACAGAGACTGTTCCTGATTGTCTGAAGGAGACTTGATTTCATGTATTCTGCAGATCGTTTCATTGGGTAGTCTCTCGGCTTAGCTTCCTCTTCTGGATGTGATGGTGGCTACCAGGCCATCAGCCTCTAACTTGAAGCTTGAATTCATCATTCTCTATTACATCAGAGCAATTTAGAGCTGGATGTCAGATTACGAGCTACTTTTTTTTTTGAGACGGAGGCTTGTTCTGTCATCCAGGCTGGAGTGCAGTGGTGCAATCTCGGCTCACTACACTGCAACCTCTGCTTCCTGGGTTCAAGCAATTCTCCTGCCTCAACCTCCTGAGTAGCTGGGATTACAGGCACATGCCACCATGCCTGGCTAATTTTTGTAGGTTTTTTGTTTTTTTTTTTTTTTGTATTTTGTATTTTTTGACGGGGTTTCACCACGTTGGTCAGGCTGGTCTCAAGCTCCTGACCTGGTGATCCGCCCACCTCGGCCTCCCAAAGTGTTGGGATTACAGGCATAAGCCAATGCACCTGACCACCACTTTTTAAATACAAAATGCAACTATTATATTTCTGGTAGTAGTAGAATAAAATCTCACTAATGACTGATAGAAAGGTAATTTGATTATATCATCAGGGTTTCTCACAGACCCATTTTTGCCTGCCAGGACACAACCTTGGATGTAACTCCTTATTTTCTTCCTCTCCCTACACACTTTTACGGGAAAAGCAGAGTCCTAAAAAGTTGCTGGGGAAAGACAACATGCCATATGATCATGTGCTGCTCACGTCGACCACAAGTTTCCAGACCTCAAGGCCCTCTTCTCTACCTCTGTTACACCCTGTGCTGGTCTCCATTTTGGGACTATATTCCAATATAGTGAAACTTCCATACAATTCCACTGTATTGAAATAATATTTTATGTGTCTGCTTCTACAATGGATTGGGAGAACCTTGTGGGGAGGGACTATATCTTGCCCATTTTGCATCTCTTTCATCTAGTGTGGTATTTGGCTCATAGCAAATGCTTAGTAAATGTTTGTTGAACTGAAGTGGACACCTATCAGTGCATTTCCAGGTGGTTTTAGAACCATACTTGTCAGAAAATGTTTAAAAAGAAAAAGAAATGAATGAAGAATAGTGAGCTAGTTTAACCTGTTAAAGGTACATATTAAACAATTAATAAATGTTTATGGATTGGAGTGGAAAAATGAGTGATTCTTCCTTAATGTTTCTTATATGTAGGATGTGCAAGAAAAATTTGAGAACAAGATGCACTAAAGATATATTATCAAATTATGGCTGGACTTTAGGTGTTACTTAATGCCTCAAATATTGGCTGATGATATGTTTAAATTATTTTTTCATTACCAATATGAAAGAGGAGAGTTATTCTGAGATAACTCTCTGAGATAAGCGGAGAGATCTGGTTAAGACCTAATGAATAGAGTGCAATACCATCACTCCTCCATCCATTAATAACTTAATAGCCTTATGAATTTCTTTGGAGACAGTCTTTGTGTTTGAGTGGTAAGAAATAAATGTGGATAAGTGTGAAATAGGACTATATTAAGCATGAATCTTCTTTTGAAGTGTTAGCTTCTTTCAGCTACGTAAATCAAAGTAACTTATTCCTAAAAAAAAGATACCAGTTTGCCTTTGGAATAACACCAAAGTTTTTTTTTTTTAAAGTACTTTCATGTAAGTTTCAAATGGAAATCTTTAATAATGACATTTTGTGTCAAGTTTTTAGTCTATTTTCCATTCAGTAGGTTTGTGCATGAAGTATTAATGGTGCTATCACATAATTTCTCACTCTTTTGTATTCTCCCATTATCAGTTCACATTTAATATACTCTGGAGTTTTATTTTCCTCCAAGAAATGCTTTTAAAAGATTTGAAAATGTGCTTCTTCCTTTAAGAATGTCTAAATCACTTTTCTAATACTTCCTTTGAATAGATGCAATATGTGTGAAAGTATAAAATCCAGTTGTCCAAAGTAGGTAGATCAAGGAGAAATAACACTGTTATTTCTTTTTTAAATGAATACAATGAAACTAAAGATACATATTTTTAGTTAGCTCCAAATTTTTTTTGAAGATTAATTGCTATGCAGATTAAATAGGAATTTGGACCACATGATCTTTAAGGATTCTTCTCAATCTTTGCTTCCATGAATTCATGAACATAGTAGTCAATATACGTCAGGATTGTGTTCACATACCAATAACAGAATCTCATGGGCAATCATTCCTATAGTCAATATCATGAATTTAAATGTTAAATGTTTGTAAGAAGGCAGGTAGAGAGAGCTGGCTTAGAAGTTTGCTAAATGGGGCAGGGTGCAATGCCTCATGTCTGTAATCCCAGCACTTTGAAAGGCCAAGGTGGCAGGATTGTTTGAGGCCAGGAGTTCAAGACCAGCCTGGGCAAACCAGGAAGACCCTATCTCTACAAATACATAAGTAAATAAATAAACTGGGCATGGTGGCATGCACCAGTAGTCCCAGCTATTCAAGAGCTGAGGTGGGAGAATCACCTGAGCCAAAGAGTTTGAGACTGCAGTGAGCTATGATTGTGCCACTGCATTCCAGCCTGGGCAACAGAGCAAGATCCTGTCTCAAAAAAAAAAAAAAAAAACACATACACACAAAGAAGTTTGCTAAATGGTGACATTAACAACATGCTGAAGAAAATCTCTGCAGTGATTTTTCCTGGCTGAGTCTGGCAACATCGGCCAACATTATCGTCCAGTCATTTGACTGCTTCTTAATAGACACTGTTTGCAGTTTATTCAATCATGCATTACATGCACTAGTAATGAGGAATCCATAAACTGATCACCATGAACCAGGCAGGCATAGCTCACCCCACAGGTGTAGAAACAGCTGATGTATTTTTTAACTTTACTCATTTGCCTTCGTTTCTCCCTCCCCTCCAATTTCAGAAAGTTATTTTGTCTAATCTCAGTGCTGTTTGCCTAGTGTTAGCACTTATGGTCATAAAGATCATGTTTTACATTATATGTTATTTGCCCTCTATTCATAAAGGGCACATAATTATAGACAGTTCAGGCTCATTAGCTCTTCCAGATGATCTGTTTGCCTCTAGTCTCTCCCCATCCAGTCTGCTGCCTGCACTGCCATTAGCACTCTAAAGGACAAAATAAAATATATTACTCCCATGTATATGAAACAAAACCCCAGCTGCTTAGCATGGAAGACAATGCCAGCCCATCTAGTCTCAGTCTACCTTTCCAGAACTTCACTTCTAGCTCATAATAGGATCCTAGTAAATACTAGCTGAATAAATGTATAAATAAATGAAATAGATGCCTGAATAATCAAGTTAGCAGTGAGGAAAAGACATCTTGGGGAAAAGAAATAGCTTTGTAACTTTACATTCATTTCCTTATTGTCAACCTGGTATATACTATTCATTAAAACTTCAGGCCAGGTGCAGTGGCTCACGCCTGTAATTGCAGCACTTTGGGATGCTGAGGTGGGCAGATCACGAGGTCAGGAGTTCAAGACCAGCCTGACCAACATAGTGAAACCCTGTGTCTACTAAAAATACAAAAAATTAGCCGGGCGTGGTGGCGGGAGCCTGTAATCCCAGCTACTCAGGAGGCTGAGGCAGGAGAATTGCCTGAACCCAGGAGGCGGAGGTTGCAGTGAGCCGAGATCGCACCGTTGCACTCCCAGGTGACAGTGTGAGACTCCATCTCAAAAAAAAAGAAAAAAAAAAACTTCAACTTTTTCCTCTTTATTAAAGTCCTATATCTTGAGAGCCTAATGTACCCCAATCACTCTTATTGAAATGAAGATTTGAGCCATAAAAATGAAGCCACAGAAATGTATGTTTCATAAACTAATTTTAATGATATATTTTTGAATCCACTAACGATATACTCTGTTCAGCAGATATGATTAATTAGGCTTCTGAAAGGACAGAGTAACTTAGTAACTAACTTATTTACTAAAGTAGTAGAACAATATGCATTTGGGGCTGTAAGAGATTACCACAGGATCATGGAAATGGATAGTGTCTTAGTTCCTTTTATGCTGTTATAACAATACCACAGCCTGGGTAATTTATAAAGAACGGAAGTGAATATGGCTTATGGTTCTTGAGGCTGGGAAGCCTAAGAGGCTGTTGCCAGCGTCTGGCAAGAGTCATCCCATGGCCGAAGGGTGGATGAGAGAACACAAGACAGCAAAGGGGGCTGAACTCCCACTGTAATGGTATTAACCCAATTGCCTCCCAAAGGCCCCACCTCTTAATACCAATAGAATGGCAACTAAATTGCCAACACGTGAACTTTTGGTGGACATACTCAAACAATAACAGATGGAGCGCAGCTTTTCAACAGGAAATGGCTAAACCACCAAAATAAAGATTCATATACTAGTTGTCTCCCTCAGTGAAAAAAAAAAAAAAAGCTTTTTTTTTTCATTTTCATGGTTAATCATATTGATACACTTTGGATTTTTATTGTTGTTATTATTTTACTTTTAAATACCCTACAACTTCACTGAGGTCCCATCTTGACCACTCATTTCTGTGTAGAAAGTTTCTTATAATATAAAGAAGAGGTTAAAACACACTTTCATGGGTCCCATTTCCAGAGATTCTGGTTCAATAAAGCAGAATGGAGCCCATAAATTTGCATTTTTTAAATGGGGTGTTTCTGTGTTGCCCAGGCTGGTCTCAAACTCCTGGGCTGAACTGATCATTCCACCTCATCCTCCTGAGTAGCTGGAATTACAGGTGTGCCACTGTGCCTGGCCATATGAATTTGCATTTCTAACAGGCTTCTAGAGGATGCCTGAACAAGGGCAACTAGTGCAAGGACTACCTTTTCAGAAACAAAACCATTCCTTTGCTGTGAAACTTTGTTATCAAATCCAAGGGGAGTCCCAAAATGCTATCTGAACCACATGAAGAATTCCTTTTATCTGGGCTGGGGATAGCCTGGAGCCTGGGACCAAAGCTGACCAAAGCCTCCTCCAATCCTAATTTCACCCCCAGTCTCAGGTTGCCGTGCTATTGTCACAAAAATGTTGATTCAGGCAATGCTAGTGGAGAAGAAGCCAGGAACTGGAGCCAGAGAACCATAAACTCTGTCAGCTCTTAGCTGCCCAACAGAGGTCTTCTGAGAATTAAGTCAGGCAGATCTCACTAGCTGCATAGAAAAAGCAAGTTCAAAATAGAAAGATGAGCAGCAGACAGAAAGAAAGATGGATATTCTCCAGCCTCTTGGAGATAAAAGAGAGGCAAACCATACCTCTGCTCAGAATTGTAGCAGAGTGAAAAGTCTTTCTGACCAACTGTAGACAACTATTTTCTCCTCAAAAATGAAGAGAGGGAATGAGGTTGGTTATACGTGTGGCAAACATCTCCTGTGTAGCTGACATTTTCTTACTCTTAATGGAGTATTTTAATAATAAGTGTGTTTTTCTCTATTTTAAAGCAATCTATTTTATCAAACTTTTCTTTTATGGTTAGAGTTTTCTAGGTTCTGTTTGAGAAATCCTTACCAACCCTAAGATATAGAAACTATTTTCTTATGTATTATCTTCTAGACTATTTATCATTTTGTCTTTCACATTTAGATCTGAAAATCCATCTAGAATGAATTGTTTGCATATCATATAATGTAGGGAGTCCAGAGTCATTGTTTTCCATATGGACATCCACTTTACCCAGTACCATTTGTTGAAAAGACTGTCCTTTTCCCTACTGCATTGCAGAGCCACCTTTGCCATAAATCAGACTCCCATATATTTGGGCAGTGAATCTGTCTCTAGGTTCTCTCTTCTGTTCCAGTGTTCTACTAGTTTTCCTTACAGCAATACCACACTATCTATTGCTTTATTCTTTTTCCTCAAGATTGGCTTGAAGATCACCTTGGTTATTCTTGATCTTCTGCATTTCCAAATAAATTTGAATCAGCTTTCCAATTTCTGTATCCCTCCCCAGAAAACCTGTTGGAATTTAGGGATTACATTTAATCTACAGATCAATTTGGGAAAAAATGACATATTTTATGATATTAAGTGTTCCATCCATGAATATGGCACATGCCTCATTTTAAGTCTTCTTTAATGTCTACCAAGATTAGTATAGTGTTTTTGTACCATCCTTCATTAGATTTTCCCCCTAGGTAATTAAATGACTTTTTAAAATTTAATATTTTTATTTCCATTTTAAGTTATTTGTTGCTAGTACATAGAAATAAAGTTGATTTTTGTATATTAGCCTTATGCTAATATACAAAAATATAATATGCTAATATACAAAAATATAATATAATTATGCAGACCATGCTAAATTTGCATATTCTAATAGTTTTAAATTTTTCATTTTTATATATACAATCATATCATATGCAAATAATGGCAATTGTATTTCTTTCTTTCCAAACTTGTGTTTTATTTCTTTTTTGTGTCTTATTGAACTGTCTAAAATCTCTATTACAATGTTAACTAGAAGTGATGATAATGAGCATCTTTGTTTCAGTCCTGATCTTGAAGGGAAAGGTTTCAACATTTCCCAATTAAGTATGATGCTTGCTATTCATTTTGTATATTTGTTCTTTATCACATGAAAGAAGACCTCTTGAATTCCTAGTTTGATAAGAGTATCATGAATGAATGTTAAATATTACCAAAGCTTTTTCCGTATTTATTAATTTATTAAGATTATCAAATGATTTTCCCCTTTATTCTATTCATTTCATAAACTACAGTGCTTGGTTTTTGAAAGGTAAATCAATTTTTCACCCACAGGTTAAATCCAAATTGGTCATGATATGTATAATCCTTTTTATATATTGACAGATTCATTTGCTATATTATTAGAATTTTTGTGTCTATGTTCATGAGTGAGATCGGCCTAAAATTTTTTTTTCTTCTAATGTTGTTCTCAGGCTTTGGATTATGGTAGCCTCATAAAATGAATTGGAAAATATTCCCTTTTTTTGGTATTTTACAGAAGGCTTTTGTTAGATTGGTTTCTAGTACATTTCACCAGTGAAGCCACCTAGGTCTATGGTTTTGTTTTTGTGAGAGTTTTGAATTATGGATTTAATATCTTTCATAAATATAGGACTATTTAGACTTTCTGTTCATTCTTTTGTCAGTATGGAGAAGTTGAGTTTTTCTAGAAATCTGTTCTTTCTTTTTGAGACAGGGTCTCATTCTGTCACCCAGGCTGGAGTGCAGTGGCACCATCATGGCTCACTGCAGCCTTGACTTCCCCAGGCTCAGGGGATCCTCCCACCTTAGCCTCTTGAGTAGGTAGGACTACAGACATGCACTATCATGTCCCACTGAAATCTGTTCATTTTATATAACATTTCCAAATTGTTTTCATAAAGTTATTCTTAATATCCTCTTTTAGTATCTTAAACTTTATAGAATATTTAGAGATTCATTTATTTTTATTTGCAATATTATTCGTGCCTTTCCTCTTTTTCTTCATTAGTTTTACCAGGGATTATCAATTTTATTAGTCTTTTCAAAAAACCAACCCCTTAGCTATAATATGCTTATTTTATATTTTATTACTTTCTACTCTTTATCTTTTCTTCTTTCTACTTTTTAGTAGACCTTAAAAGGTCTAAATTTTTCTTTTTTTTTTTACCATTTTGACACAGATAGATCACTGATTTCAACCTTGCAAATGTTTTAGAATGTCACAATTTTGTTATAATTTAATATAAAATATTATTTTTTGCCATGGTGATTTTTCAACCCAGGAAATATATTATTAGTGTGTCATTTAATTTCTATACATGGGGATTTTCTAGTTATATTTTTATTATTTATTTGATTATTTATTTATTTATTTATTTATTTATTTTTATTATTTATGCCGAGCTTATTTCTACTACAGCCATTGATGATTATATGATTTCAATCATTTCAAACTTGCTGAGGCTTCCTTTATGGCTCAGAATATATTCAACTTTTATGACAACTTCTCTGTGTGTTTTTAAAGACTTTATCCTCAACTGGATGGTTGCAGCATTATAAATAAATGTTGGTTTGTTAATTGTGTTGAAATATTCTGTACTCTGAGTTTTTTGCTACTTATTCTATCAGTTGCTCAGAAAGATATATTAAAATTTGCTACTATAATTGTGGATTTGTGACTTTCTCCTTTTAGTTCTGTTCAAGTTCAGCTTTAAATACTTTGAGCTAGCTTACTAGATCATGCAAATTAAAAGTTATTGTTTCTTCCTGGATAATTAAACCTTTTATCATAATGACATGGCACTCTTTAGCTCTAGGTAATACTTTTCTCCCTACAGTCTACTGCTGTGTTTGATATTTGTATAGTTTTACGAGCTTTCTGTTGTTTAGTGTCTTCATGGTATGTTTTCTCATCCTTTTACCTTTAGCTTTTTCACATCTTTAAAGTGTACTCTGTATCAAACACCTCTGAGGCCCCACCTCATAACCTCTGAGTCCACCTTTTACTTAGCCGTTTTTGCTGTGACTAGCTTTGTGCCGGTGTGGCACACATGCACAGGAGAACCCAGCCTAAGACACTCTTATGAACAGCAAGTACTTGAGTTTTGTTTTTGTTTTTATCCAGTTCATATTTTTTTAATTAAAATATTTATTCTGTTCAAATCTAATGTAATTACTTATATACTTAGGTTTAAATCCAGTATTTTACAATTTACCTTCTATTTGTTCCACTTGTTTTGTGTTTCTTTCCTCCTTTCTTACTTTTTTTGAATTAAGCAATTTTTATTTTTAAATCTCCCCCCCACCATGCTAGTTGATTGTATCTTATGTGACAACTTTTTTTGTGATTATTCTAGAGCAGGGGTCAGCAAACTATGGCCCATGTGCCAAGTCCTACTGGCTGCCTGTCCTTGTAAATAAGTTTTATTGGAACACAGCCATGCCCATTATTTTGCTTATTGTCTGTGCTACTTGCACGCTACAAGACCATATGGCCGGCAAAGCCTGAAATATTTGCCATCTGGTCCTTTACAGAAAGAGTTTACCCACTCCTCTTCTAGAAATTATGGCATATTATCATTAACTAACTTATTAATGTCTCATAGAAATCAGTACTTTTACAGTGGTAAAGGTACAATTCCTGAACAAGTAAAAGATTTTAGAACAGTTGAACTTCATTTACTGCCTCATGATTTATGTACTGTCTTTATTTGTAAATACCACAAGATACTTTTACTATTCTTTTATATGGTTAATATTTATTTAGGTTTACCTACATATTTACCATTTTCATTGCCCTTCGTTCATTCTTCTGGGCCAACTTTCTATCCTGGATCATTTTTCTTCTACCTAAAGAATACTCTTTGATGTTTTAATTACTATAGAATTTCTGATGACAAATTCTCTCAGTTTTTGTTTGTTTGGAAATGCTGTATTTAGTCTTCAGTTTTGAAAGATTTTTTTGCTGGATATAAAAATGTAGGTTGGCAGTTATTATATATCAACACTTTAAAAAAATAGTGTCATTGTTTTCTGACTTTCATTGTTTCTTTTGAAAATTTAGCTGTCAGTCTAATTGTTGCTTCTCTGAAAGTAATCTCTCATTTCTTTTTTGGCTGCTTTAAAGATATTTTTTGGTCTGTCTAGGTTTTCAGTTTTACTATGATGTGCTTAGATCTGAGTTTTCTGCTTATTATTGTTGGTTTTTGTATTGCTTCTTGGATCTGGGACTTGATGGCTTTTGTCAGTTTGGAAAATTCTTAGGTATTATATTTTCAAATATTGCTTCTTCATTTTCTCTCCGTTTCTAGAGCCTTCTAACCATGTCTCAGGTGTCTCTTTTGCTCCTTTCCATATTTTTTCTACCTTTTTCTTCTTTTGCTTCATTCTGGATTATTTTCTTCTGACCTGTCCTTTTTGTTCTCTTTTCATTTGTCTCTGTTAAACACATTCAATCACCTTAACACAATAAGAGTTTGAGAGTATCCTAAATGAAATTTAGTTATCTAAGGGTGGTTCACACATACTCTGATGGTATACCATTTTGGAGTCCAACAAAAGCCTGGGGGTGGGGTTTGGTGTGGTTACTTTCTAGAGCCTCTTCCCCTGGGTGGGCCCCATATATCACTTTTTGTCCCCTAACCCTGTGATCTGTTGAAAGCTCTGTCCAGAAATTACCTCCATGTTAAATGATAGCAAAGTCCAGTTGTCTGTCTTTTTTCCTTTTTTTAGAAAGTTTTTGTTTCAACTGTGATTTTCTCTTTTCTTTAGTACTTTACTTTCTGTTTTCTGACAGTTTAGCTTATCTGAATTATGGAGTCTAGACCTTCTAACACTTCTTCATAAAGAATAGGGCAGTCAAAAGTACTGACAGTTAAGAACAAGGAGCATTAAAATGAGCTCACTTTGCAGTCTGACACAATGAATATGTCTTTGCTTATACAAAGGCAGTCACAGGTTCTTTTAACAGAACAGTCATTCAAGTAAAGGCTTTAAAAATGGACAGAGGAAGATTGAGTTGTCTGTGTAATGAAAGAAGAAAAAAAGACTGAATTTGTTGATTCCGCAGGAGAAACAATATCAATAATTTGAAAGTTTACTTCCATGTAGACAAAAGTGATGCCTCAGTTTTTTGGGTTTTTTTTTTTTTTTGTAACTTATTTATTCACTCATTCAATCAGCACATATTTTTTGAGAACATACGCTAAGGAAAAGGATGCAAAGGATCTTATGACCACTGTTTTGTTTGCTGATACTTCTCAACATTTCACAGTGAATTTCTTAAAAACTTTCTGGGGTCTTCACATCTTTTAAAATAGAATGATGTCTGCTACTAAAGTTTTGGGAAAACATAAACAATTTAAGTATATTTTCCCTTTAAAATGGAGCACTATTGGAGAACATCAGGCCATAATGTATGCAGGGGTTACAAGGAATCCCATGAGCATCCTTATGGCTGGGGTGGAGCAGTCAGCTGATTACGCCTACCTGCTGTGGTGATCTTGGCTATTTTGTATTTTAATCTTTTTTACTCCCAGTCATATGTTATTTATCTATTTATCCAGGCTTAAAAACAGTGGAAATTTACTTCTCACAGTTCTGGAGGCTAAGAAGTGCAAGATCAAGGCACTGGCATATTTGGTGTCTAGTGAGGGCCTGCTTCCTGGTTCATAGCGGTCTTTTCTCTGTGCACTCACATGGTGAAAGGGACAGGGAATCTCTGGTTTCTATCTTATGAGGGCACCAATCTCATTCATGCTTTTTATTTATTTGTGTATTCATTGTATGTTTTTTGGTTTGAGGTTACCATGAGGCTTGCACATACTATCTTATAACCCTTTTTTTTTTTTTTTGAGATGGAGTCTCACTCTGTTGCCAGGCTGGAGTGCAGTGGCGCGATCTCATCTCACTGCAACCTCCGCCTCCCGGGTTCAAGTGATTCTCCTGCCTCAGCCTCCCGAATAGCTGGGACTACAGGCATGCGCCACCACGCCCAGCTACTTTTTGTATTTTTAGTGGAGACAGGGTTTCACCATGTTGGTCAGGATGGTCTCGATCTCTTAACCTCATGATCTGCCCACCTCAGCCTCCCAAAGTGCTAGGATTACAGGCATGAGCCACTGTACCTGGCCATAACCCATATTTTAATCTGATAACAACACTGTTTGCATAAACAAGCAAGCAAAAAGACAACTAATAAAAACTCTATGCCTTAACTTCATCCCCTCATTTTTAAACTTTTTTGTTGTTTTTATTTATATCTTATGTCTTGTAAAGTTATCATCGTTATTATTTTTGACTGGTGCATCATTTAGTCTTTCTACTTAGGATAAAAGTAGCTTACACACTACAGCTACAGTATTATAATATTCTGTGGTTTTTTTTGTGTGTGTGTACTTACTATTGCCAGTGAGTTTTCTACCTTCATATGATTTCTTATTGCTCATTAACTAACTTTTCTTTCTGGTTGAAGTACTCCCTTTAGCATTTCTTGTAGGACAGGTCTGGTGTTGATGAAATCTCTCAGCTTTTGTTTGTCTGGGAAAGTCTTTATTTCTCCTTCATGTTTGAAGGATATTTTTGCTGGATATGCTATTCCAGGGTAATGGTATTTTTTTCCTTCAGCATTTTAAATATGTCATGCTACTCTCTCCTGGCCTGTAAGGTTTCCACTGAACTAGTCATATGGCATTAATTTATACCAAGGAAAGACAGCAAATTAATCACAGTTATAACATTAAATAGCTTAGCAGATTCATTTCAAGGTCATCTTTTTCAGGCCTGAAGTTGCATTTATTGATCAAAAATCTTATGTATTCCACTCAATTTTTCTGTAAACCTAAAACTGCTTGGAAAAAGTCTAACTAAAAACATACATAAACAAAATGCAATTTTATTCAAAGTATTAAAAAACCACATAAATTTCAAGCTGTCGCTAGTGTTTCAAAAGCCAATACCTGTAGTAAAAGACAAAATATAGTGATGATTGTAATTGTTGTAGTAATCCCACATAGGTAGAAGGCTATCCATGGCCTTACTGTGTCAAGCAAAGAGAAGCACTTACATTAACAGACTAAAATAAACACAAAATGTATTAAAGTAAAACATTTCAGTGCAAAATGCAAAAATTTAAAAATGCAAGTTTTTATCTGCATTCAATGCTGAGTTAGAAGTTTTTTCTTATATTTTAATATGCGTTATCTCCAAACCAAGCACAATATATCATTTTATTTGTCAAAAAAATTTCTTATGTAATTTATTTAAAGTAAATTTTAAATTATATCTTTTATTATAGTGGCTGAAGCTGGATGTTACTGGTAATTATGTTAACTATGAATTTTATAACATAATATTTGATAAAAATAAAAGCTTTAACTTCAGGTAATCTCTTTATCATATATCATACAAATACTACAAGTGATTCTCTAATTTTTTAAGGTTTCTCAAAAATGATTTGCATGTTGTTTAAAAATTGGGAAATACTAACTTCTGAGTTGGGAGTTTATTCCTTACTTTGCAGCGGGGAAAACTGAGGTTCAAAGGGATTGAACAATTTGCACAAGGACAAACAACGAATAGAAGGCAGATTCTAGATTCAAACTCAGTATTGTCTGATTCTACAATCCATGCTCCTAATCACCTTTCCTAGCATACGCCTGTGCTTACACAGTGGCAATGAGAATTGAAGACGAGACATCTGAACAATGTTTTCTTTTTATTTTTTTTTTTTTTTTGAGACAGAGTCTTGCTCTTGTCACCCAGGCTGGAGTGCAATGGCACGATCTCAGCTCACTGCAACCTCCGCTTCCCGGGTTCAAGTGATTCTCCTGTCTCTGTGTCCTGAGTAGCTGGGACTACAGGCACACGCCATCGCACCCGGCTATTTTTTTTATTTTTAGTAGAGACGGGGTTTTGCCATTTTGGCCAGACTGGTCTCGAACTCCTGACCTCATGATCTGCCTGCCTCAGCTTCCCAAAGTGCTGGGATTACAGGCATGAGCCAATGCACCTGGCCATTTGAACAATGTTTTAAAGACAAAATCAATAGGCAACAGTGATAACTTGGATAGATAGAAGTTTAGATGGGTAAGGGTTAGAATAGATACTAAGTCTTCTAGCTAAGAGATTTAGGAAAGGAGTGTTGCTACAATAAAAATAAATAAGTTGAGATTTTATTTAGGTGGGAAGTTGCTGAGATTAATTTTTGGTCTTGCTGAGTCACAGGTAACATTCAGATGTAAATAGAGCTGTCACATAGACATTTGAAAACATAGAACTGGGTACTATTGAAAGTCAGTGCTGACAGTGTAGATTTGAACTTTATCAGCAAAAGGTAGTGGTTGAAACCAAAACAGTGGAAGGGCACTGAAAGAGTGAGAACCTGGAGAGGGAAGAGTATGATCTAAGCCTTGGAAAACACCCCCACTTCAGGGATCTGAGGAGGAACAAATGTGAGCAGAGGACAAAACAACAAAATAAAAAATAAGAAGTTAAAGGAGAACCAGGACCACATAGAATCATGAAAACTAAGAGATAGTAAATGTGGCTAAAATGTATTGAGCACCTGCCATGAAACATACATGCTATGTATTTTATATTATTTAATCTTCATAATAACTCAAGGAGGTAAGTTCCTGTATCTCTATTGACAGATAAGGACATAGAGGTTTAGCAAGATTAAATTATGTGCCTGTTGTTCAGCTAGTAAGTCCTGGGGCAAAAAAACTGGAATCCATGTCTTCCAGCCTCCCAAGTCCATTTTTTAACTAGTGGTCTCCAGAGTGCACAAAGCAAACCACTGTGATATGGGAAAAAAATCATTAAAATTACAATAATAGAATCCCATCCTTTAAAAATTGTATTTTCATATATATATTTTACAATGTGCATTCTGCACTAGTATAGTAATACATGCATATCATATGTACATGCATAATTTGTAAATTAATAAGTAATTGCGGCATATGCTTAAAACATTTACTAATGTGAAGAGGCAGTAAAACACTTTGGAGATTATTGCTTCAAACCACTATGCAAACTGTCTTTTTGCCTCGTCCCATTCTCAGTTGTAAGCTGCATTCACTTCATATAGTCGTGCTATGTTTTAAATGCAATGCTAGTTCTAATTTAGTTAAATAGAAACTTTTTACTTCATAGGTTCTTTTCATCCTACTTCTTAGTATTTTCTGAAATTTATGAAGACCTTTGGGCCTTTTAGTGCTTTGTGATAGTGAAAGGAACAGAGGCCTTAGACCAGACAGACTTGAGTTCAAACATTAACTTTTACTTTACTGACCATGTGATCTCAGACAAGTACTTAATTTCTCAGAGCCTCAGCTCATCTATGAAATGGAGATAACATTTACCTTGCAGATTGTTGTAAAATTTAGCAATATCTTTTTTTTTTTTTTTTTTTGAGATGGAGTCTTGCTCTGTCACCCAGGCTGGAGTGCAATGGCACAATCTCAGCTCACTGCAACCTCCACCTCCCAGGTTCAAGCAATTCTCTTGCCTTAGACTCCTGAGTAGCTGGGATTACAGGTGCGTGCCACCACCTGTAGAGACGGTTTCACCATGTTGGTCAGGCTGGTATTGAACTTCTGACCTCATGATTCTCCCGCCTCAGCCTCCCAAAGTGCTGAAATTACAGGTGTGAGCCACCACGCCCAGCCAGCAATATCTTAAGGAAACAGCATTGGGCCTGGCATACAGTAGATAATTTTTAAATGGCACCAAATAGTAATAATAACAATAGTACTTGTTTGCTGTAGAGAACATCTGTGGCCCAGTAGTTCCTCCCATCTAAAATCAAGTTGCATATATAATATTTTTAGCAAAGTTTGGCTGAGACTGTTCTTAATTCAACTTGGAAACTTATTTGAGCATATATAAAAAGTGTTGGCTACTGCATATGGCCACATGAGTTAGAGAATGCTATTTACATGGACTACAGTGGGAATGGCTGCTCCTGGCCTTGGGTAGAGCAGCAGCCCTGGAAATACACTGTCAAAAACATAGAGGGCCAAATATATGGCAGCCTCCACAGAACAAAAGGAAATGAATGCAGCTGCCCACACATGCATTAGTTGGTATGTTGAATGCCTCTCTATTTGTTGATGCTCTCCACAGATCTGTACCCCCGATTTGGTGGTATTCCTGGCTTGTGCTAATCAGAGACTCAAAGAAAGATTACTGAAGCGTGCAGAACAGCAGGGCCGACCAGACGACAATGTAAAAGCTACCCAAAGGAGACTAATGAACTTCAAGCAGAATGCTGCTCCATTGGTTAAATACTTCCAGGAAAAGGGGCTCATCATGACAGTAAGTTAGCTCGACTTTTACAAGTCCAATACAAGAGCGCTCTTTCAGATTTCTCATTAGCCCATGTTCTCATGTAGAAATCCTCTTTACCTTAAAAAGTGGCTTTTGGGGGGTACAGAACCAATGGAAAAAAATGTATCATTTTGACCTGATTTGCCTTTTTAAGCCATCATGTTTTTTTAAAAAAACTTTCTTTTTAATTTAATTGATTTTTATGAAAGAAGATAAATTTTAACCTTGGCCAAAATTCTGTAGTCCTCAAGTAAAAAAGTGTTTTAAAGTAACTGTCTGGGTGATTGTAAGCAATATTTGTCCAGTCTCTCCACTCTTTTGTCTGTCTTTGGAAGCCTAACAAAATTGATAGACTTATAACCACACAGTTGATGTGGGGTTATAATAGATTTAAGCGTTGTTTGTCATGATCTACTACATAAAGAAATGAGGTTCTGACTTCACAGAAAAAGTTTCCTAAGGGTTTGACTTGTCATAAAGAAGTGATAATGTATCAAAATGGGAGGTAGTCACCCTTCTGCTCCTTTGATACAATGCAAATATTAATGTTTTCCTAAATTTTTAGTTTGTTTTATGGCTAATGATATTCAATGTGCCAATGAAAGATGACACTGAATCATTAGTTTGTACAGTTTTTAGAATCTAGAACATTAGAGGTGAAGGTTCAGCTAAATTTATGATAATCACAGCATCAGATTCCAGCATTAAAGCGTAGAGGAGACAAAGAGGATAATGGGTCATCTGAAGAAAGCACTTTATGCAAGAGGACACTAAAACCACAGCAGCTGCTTGACAGCTAGATGGTGGCAGACCTTGGCAGAATCCTCCTCTCAGCCCTCGGGCCCGGGCCAGTGGACCAAAGAGTTTTGTGTAGTTGGGTTACAAGCCTCTGTAGAGAATCTAATCAAAGCGATGCATGCCCATCCCAATAAAAAGCACATAAAGACTTTTTTTCACAAATTTTAGGTAAATCAGCTGAAGCCCATCCAGAGAGCTCCTGTGATCTTGACAATTCCTGGGTTAAAACTCTCTTCATTAGACTAGGATGCCCTTAGACCTGAAAGAGACAGACATGACATTTGAAGAATAATTTCTTTGCAATCTTTTTAGCACCATAAAGAAATATTTAACGTGATTTGCTCTTTGAGTCAAAGTTGTCATGTCGCAGAGTTGTAAGTCTGATCTGGAAATTGTTCACAATGCCAGGGTTCATATTTTGATCTAAAGCAGGCATTGAGTAATTGAAAAGATTTGGGAAAATCAGGGTGGATGCTTCTGTGGCTATGTTTTGTTGGGGTTATTGTTTGGTTTTTGTTTTGTTTTGGTTTGGTTTTTTGAGTTGGAGTCTTGCTCTGTCACCTGGGCTGGAGTGCAATGGCGTGATCTCAGCTTACTGCAACCTCCATCTCCTGGGTTCAAGCGATTCTCCTACCTCAGCCTCCCAAGTAGCTGGGATTACAGGTGCACACCACCACGCCCAGCTAAATTTTTGTATTTTTAGTAGAGATGGGGTTTCACCATGTTGGCCAGGCTGGTCTTGAACTCCTGACCTCATGATCTGCCCACCTCGGCCTCCCAAAGTGCTAGGATTACAGGCTGTTGTTTGTTTTTCTCACCAGTTACCAACACTAACTTCCACATTGTATCATAAAAAAAGAAATTTGCCCTACAAACCAAACCCCAACTGTAAGGTGCAGGGCCAGATTTAATTGATGTTTGTAAGGCTCAAAGGTGTTACCAGAGTGTCTCTGATTACTCCCTGCTTGTCACATTCGTCATCACAAGCAGAGCAGATTTCTCAAATGAATGCGGAGTGGATATTATTAATTTACTAATATTTTGCATGGAGGTGAAATGCCATTGCCTCTAATTGAGGGAGTCAATAACAATGTGGATGACAGCCTGTAACCTCACTGCTAAAACCAAATGAGCTTTAAGATAAATGCTTCTAATTACTGACAGAAAACTTGCCTAGTAAAGTCGCCTTTTGGAAAGCAATGAACGCAAACACAGGCTAAGCTCTGGGGAATATAATTTGAAAAAATTTGACAAAGAAGCAAAACATGTGTCCTCTTTTAGAACCTGGATCATAGTTTATTGCTGGAATTAAAATATATTTGGTGACACTTCTGCTTTTAAAGATGAGTTAAATAATAAAAATGATCATTTGTATTAATAATAAGCATGTTAAGATTTTAATAAAAATCTGGGGGTTAATAGATCAAACCCAAATATTTCCTTTTCTCTGTAGTTTTTTTTTTTTCCTTTTCTCCCACCTGCCCCTCCTGATTCATTCATTTACTCATTCAGTAAATATTTACTGAAAACCAGGATACTCTGCTAGGGGACAGGGGTGCAGAGCTAAATAAACAAAGGGTAAGGATCTTTATTTTGGCACAGACATATTGCAGACACCTAGAACAGTACCTTCTCACTATATAGTAAGCTCCAGGAAATGAACAGAGCTTGCAGTGTGTGGAGAAAGAGACATTAAACAATCAGTTATTAAGTGTGATGACTGTTGAGTTATGTGTTATAATTGTGATGGATTATTAAGTGTGAAAATGTGCAGGGTGTCCTCACATATGTCATGCACTGTTTTAGGGATTGGGATTCCCTGTGGTGAATAAAATAGACTGTCTCCACACTCCAATAGCATTAATCACTTATCTCTGCACAAAGTTCTTAAGGGCCACAGAGACCATGTCCCTGTTTAGTCCAGTTGAGAAACTTCATGTTAGTACCCCTCTTCTCTGGCGCTTTGGTGTCTGAATCCTGTCACTTGGAATCTCAGTTCCGTTGCCATTTAATAATTTCATGATGCCCTACAAGGTATAGCCTCTAGGACTTGATCTCTCTATCTCTAAATTGGAGACAGTGTTACCTACCTCATAATATTGTTGTGTGGGTGAAATGAGAGAATATGTATAACATGGTAGATGATAGTAATGCAGAGAGCGTGTTTTAAGATGCTCCATGCAGCCGCTTTGCCTGATTCAGATTCCAGCTGCACCACCTACCACCTGTGTGACTTTCTGCAGGTTACTTATCTGCTCTGCAACTCGTATGCCTTACCTGTAAAATAGGTATAATAATCAATCCTACCTCAGTGTGATTATGAGGAGTAAATGGATGTCAAGAGCTTAAAACGGTGTCTAGAATATTGTAAGGGTAAATGACATGATTGATATTATTGTACAGTTTTTATATTTCTTTGTCTTTCTTCCTTCCCCAGCAAATGCTCATCTTTTAGAATCTACAGTAACCACTAGCAATTCTGTGCCCTTTGAGGGAACTCTGTTGCCTTTTCTCCAATACATAGGTTATTGAAGAAATCCAAAATGAATAGGTTGTAAAAACTTTAGACATAATTCATCTTTTTCTTTAAAAGTGTCTATTAATGAGTTGTAAGTTTGACTCAGTGTCTTCTTTAGATTCTATATTGTCCGTGTAATCAAGCTACATAGTGGCTGTGTCTGAATAGTAACAGACATCATTCCACTCTTTTCTTTTTTACCTCATTGACTATATCTGTTGGCATATTTGACTAGAGAACAAACCCAGTTTGACTGAAAAGAAAGCCTAATCAGATTAGCCAAGAAAAACATGCTGTTGCTTGAATACTGTATCTTACTGACATAGTTTCCATTACATGGACTTCTTCATTTTTGTTCTTGTATTATACATGTCCATATGCAGTCATGTGTGCAAATATGAATGAAAATAATATGAAATCATAAGGCTAGTATATTAGAAACTTCTTCATAGAACTTTCTCAGACATATTTATATGTTGTCTTTAACTTACCCTGAAGTTGGATGTAATTTCTCAATACATCTTTTACTGCTTTATGCTTGTGATTAAAGATTAGGATGCTGTGAGTTCCCAATGTTTGGCAGAAGATTTTTCTTGTAGTTAGTTTAGATATTGCTGGATCTAGGAAAGCTACTTTTACTATTGCTGAGTAAGCTGTGTCTCTTGACATTTTGGAGCACTTGGACTTGAAACTGTATAACTCTTGAATAATAATTTCCCTTTTATAGATTTTTACAGTTCCAATAAAATGTCTGTTTCATGATAATTTTTAATCTTTCTTGTAAAAGTTTTTTTCAACTAGTCTTCATTTCAATCAGTCTCACCAAGTTGGAACACTTTTTTTCTTTTTTTTAATTTATATTTATTGTACATGAATAAGTTCTTTAGCGGTGATTTCTGAGATTTTAGTGTGCCCATCACCTGAGCAGTATTTACTGTACCCAATGTGTAGTCTTTGATCCCTCATCCCCCTCAGGAACCCTTTTCTAAGAAACAGAATTAATTAAGACAAGTCAAGTTTTTGTAAGTTTTATGAACTTTTTAAAAAATATATGCAATTTTGTTTATTTTTAAAGAAAAAGGTCTTCTTAAATTGTGCAAAAAAAAAAAAAGCTCAGATGCAATGTATATGTTATTTTTTCCAGAATGCATTCAAAACTTTGTGCCATTAGATGTTCTATTCAGCCAGAAAAACATGGATTTCACCAGGGAAATGGATATACACTTGTGTGCATTGAAAAAATGCTACTGAATATTGGTAATAATCATTAAAATCCACATTTAGCTTTAGACTGTGAAGTAAACAAATAGTCATTTTCCTTCTGGACTTTTTGTAGGAGTATAACTTGAAATCAGAGGTAAGCTGTGGTCACAGGATGTATGAAAAGGCCTACTAATTCATACGCAGGTTTACCAACTAAATCTCTTCAGCCAGGAAAGGCAGAGGCTGAAAAAAGGTTAAAATCAGGATTATTTATTGTTCACCAATACCAGGTTTCCTGGGAAGTGGTCAAGGAATGTGGGAAGGGCTACACTGCTATTTAGCAAGGCTGTATAGACCAATGTTTCCCTAATTTTAGTACTTACTAGACCAGAAAAAATATTTTTTAAGTAGGGGTGAGATGACTTTTTAATTTTACGAAGTGAAGGCATTAGAAAAAAACTCCCAATACTTGCCTTATTTTTCTAATTTTGCTGTGGATTGGGAAACACTCATCACAAACCAGCATCAGTGCTGGGAAACGATTGACATAGAGAGCACAGGCCTGTCAAACTACACCATTGTTTATTACCAGACATTGTCCCCAAGTCCCAGATAACCCCATTCACACTACGATTGCTTCATTTGCCCCATATCACTTCCTTCAAATTTGAGAATCCCCGCATTATGCATTTCAAATTTACCACTGAAACTATGCACAGTTGACCCTTGAATAACGCAAGGATTGGGGTGCCAGCTCCCATGCAACTGAAAATCCATGTATAACTTTGAGTCCCCCCAAACAGAACTACTACTAATAGCCTACTGTCAACCAGAGCCTTATCAATAACATAAACAGCTGATTAACACATATTTTGTATGTTATATGTATTATATACTGATTCTTACCATAAAGTAAGATAGAGAAAAGAAAATATTATTAAGAAAGTCACAAGGAAAAGAAAATATATTTATTGTTCGTTAAGTGGAAATGCATCATCATAAAGTTCTTCATTCTTGTTATCTTCACACTGAGTAGACTGAGGAGGAGGAGGAAGAAGAGGGGTTGGTGCTTCTGTCTCAGAGTGGCAGAGGTGGACCAAAGTGGACCATGCCCTTCAAACCCCTGTCGTGAAGGATCCACTGTAATTCCCATCCCATCAGACACTCCTAGCCACAGGAAAAATAAGTAGGAATAGTAAAAGTTAATTTAGAGAGAACTGCTGAATAATTATTTGTTAACTGACTTCACATTTCATAGGAACCAACACTAACATTTAAAGTATAATAATACATTTATCCCTAAACTCTCAACGTACAGCCATTGGTTAATTATCACCAACTCCACTTAGCATCACTGCACATATGGTGGAAATGGAAAGAAAAATAACCCAAAGGAGAAAAGAATTTTTTTGTGGGGGATAGGGTCTGGCTGTGTTGCCCAGGCTGAAGTGCAGTGGCGTGACCTCAGCTCACTGCAACCTCTGCCTCCCAGGTTCAAGCCATCCTCCCACCTTTGCCTCCCAAGTAGCTGGAACTACAGGTGTATGCCACCATGCCCACCTAATTTTTCGTATGTTTTGTAGAGACAGGGTCTCACTTTGTCCCTCAGGCTGGTCTCGGACTCCTGAGCTAAAGCAATCCACCCACCTCAGCCTCCCAAAGTGCTGGGACTACAGGATGAGCCACCACACCCAGCCAGGAGAAAAGAAAACTAAACAGCATGAACACTTATCAGCAACCCACCTAAACATAAGAAAAGCAAACAAACATTTGATAACAACTTGCCCCAAAAAACCCATTCTCCTAAAATTACTAGGAAAAAAATTCTGTTACAGCGTCTCAATAGGTAAGGGGTTGATGAGTTTGTAATGTGTTACATAATGAAGCTGTATTTCCTTTGAGTACCATCACTTATATCCTGTTTGAGCATCCATTGTCATGTAACCAAAAGCTCCCACTAATTCCTATTTCTGGATTTAGTGACTAAGAAAATAGTCGAGGAAGAGTTTTTAAAGGTTAATAGGAAAGGCCATGGAAGTATTCTGGAAGATATTTACTTAGGTAACAATGATATCTATATTCACATGGATATATGGTCCCCTAAATTGCTTTTCAGTTGCCAGAGTGTGTTTAAATTAAGTAAACAGTGCCTTCTGGCACAAAACCTGATGCTGATAGAACCTCAGTGAGAGCCCTGAAGCAACATGAGAAATACCGTATCCATTTTTGACTGGAATAAAGAGCAGCTTAAAAGGAATCACATCCTCTGGGCAACAAGCACTTATCAAATCTTAACTGTGTGTAGAGCTGCCAAGATGGTGCCGTTCTCAGAAAAGTCCTGTTGCTTCCCTAAGGAGCTTGCCATCTCTGGGGATTACTCAGTGTTGCCCACTTAATTTACCTATTTACATACCTATCTGTAATTTTGGTTTTAAAATATCCAGAACTAAATTGAAAAGTGAATCTGATTACTTTCATATACTGTCATTATTGTGGGCTCTAAAACCTAAAATACCGTGATCACAATTTCTCTTTCAATCTTTTGGATAGAAAGGAAAATAAAAGCACAAAGATAAAGCCATTTGCTCACAAAATGGCAACCCGCATATAGCAAAGTATATCATCCACTGTCCTGGGCAGCAAATTCTGCTAGTTCCTGAACAGCATCAAAACAACAGGAAGAACAAGCAGATACCACATTTATAGCTCATCCTGGCAATCTGTCTCTGTCATAAGCAACGCCCTGACTCACAACTTTTCCATCCCCAAAGCTCCCTCACTTCCAGTCGTCTTCACACCCCGTAGACAGAAAGCAAACCAAATGACTCAGCAAATGCATCTCTCTCGAGGTTGGAAACTGCTGCTGATTATATGGCAGTCCTACTGTCAGCATCGGATGAGAAGAGCTCTTGCACCAAAAATGCAATATTTTATTGTGATGTTTTATACAGGTATTAACAGGAAAAATAAGGAAGAACTTTAAAAATGAACAACTTCCTCCCCCAACAGAATGTAAAATATTTTTCTGTTGATTTTATTATTACCGACACTCATAAAACAGAGTCTGAAGAGCCCCATGAACAATTTTTTAATCATCTGAAGTAGAAAGCAAGGCTCTCACATGATAACTATAAAACAAATAATGTGGACAAAATCGAGATAATTCAAGTGAAGACCTTTGGAGGTTCACATTAAGAAAATTCTGTGTGTTCTCATTGTTCAATTCCCACCTATGAGTGAGTTTTGTCCTTGCGATAGTTTGCTGAGAATGATGGTTTCCAGCTTCATCCGTGTCCCTACAAAGGACATGAACTCATCATTTTTTATGGCTGCATAGTAACATGGCACATGTATACATATGTAACAAACCTGCATGTTGTGCACATGTACCCTAAAACTTAAAGTATAATAAAAAAAAAATTCTGATTCCAAGAACTGTTACTGACAGGTCTATCTACAAATACTCTAGTTAAGGTCTGTGCTATTTCTATGGGACTGTCTTCAACAATAGCTTGTCTTTTTAATTTTTTTAAAGCAAAAGAAAACAAATTACTAAATAGTTGGTAGCTGAATGTCATGTCATACTAACAACTTCCTATAAACTGCTGTTTCAACCCTGCAGGTTCTATATGTATACACACCCACACACCCACACACCCACACACACACACAAACACATATTTTTAGCTGGTTATTCTCCAGGAGACACTCTGTGATCAGAACAATAATGTTGACAATAATGTCAACAAATATTCCAGACTTCAGAGTTAGGTCTTCATTTGAAATGTTTTACTAAGACTTACTGAGAACATGTGTAAGAAAATAATACTTTTGGTAATGTCCCTAGACTAAATTTTTTTCATGTTTAAGGCCAAACTAATTGGAATTAATCAATATCTTTTAAAGAGACCTGGCACTATAGTTAAATTAAATGTCCCCCCTCCAAAAAAAAGAAGACAAAATAAAAGAAAAAGAATAAGCATTTAAGGCTTGCCCGTCAGGAAAATACAACAAAATATTATGAATAGATGGTGCCTTAGGAAACAATAGCTAACAATTCCTGAATGCTTAATACGTGCCTAGTACTATTCGGAATGTTTCTGTTCTCACTTATAAGTGGGAGCTAAACATTGAGTACAATTACCTATATAACAAACTTGCACATGTACCTCTGAACCTAAAATAAACATTAAAAAAAACTAAAAAACAAACAGAAAATGTTTCACATACGATAACTCATTATTTCTCACCTAATCTTGTTGGGGCAGATACTATTATTATCTCCATTTTGTAAATGAGAAAAACGAAAGCACATGAAAGTGTAGCCTACCAGGATCCCACAAGAGCAGTGGAGTCTCAACCCAGATCACACTGCTGGCCCCAAAGGCTGTTTTGTGATCATTCTGTTGTTCATTCATCAAAATGCTTTCTCCAGGCACTTGTCATTTGACAGGCATCTCTATGCAGCTGTAATCTCTTCATTTCTGTTTTTTAGAAAAGAATAAATGGGAAAATTAATTATATTGGTACATTACATTGAGAAGTTTTAAAAGTAATTTTTGCTAGGTAATAGATGTAAAATAATTAAGATAAATCATAAAATTGATTAAGCACACATTAGAAGTGAAGAAATTATACTACAAATGGCCAATTGTTGGACCTTGTATTTTTGTTTATCTATACTACTATCTCTTTCTTACCTATCTCCTTCTTGCTCAGTCCTACAAATCGAACGTAAAACTGAGGCTTCAGTTCTGGGACAGGCAAAGCACTGTCCTTGTCTCCCTTAAGTCTTACGTTCCATTTCCCCATTATGATAGTCCTTTTATAGTCATTCATTCAAACCATTTTATTGAGGGCCTATGTATTCATGGCACCCTTTTCATCAGACAACAGTGATCCTCCTTTTACTCAACAGCTATCTGTTGACATGCCTGATCATGACATTTTCCCATATCCAGGGTACCACAGCAGGCACTGCAAGGAATACAAAGATGATGTGGAGCCAGATCCTGTCTTCAGGGAGTTTGTGACGCAGGCACAGAGATGATAGAAAGATAAATAACTTGAACTCAGCTGGAGAAGTGGTATGAGCCACCACACTGAAGTAATAGAACAGGCCAGGAAGAATAAAGGGCAGGGAGTGACTTCTTCCTGGAAAGATTAGGGAAGGCTTTCCTGGAAACATTGACCCTTGAGAGGCAGGAAGGAGTTGGAACCCAGAAATAGGAAAGAAGGTCATGATAAGCAGACACGTGTAGAACAGAGTAGTGAGAAGTAGAAACCAGGGGACAGAGGTGCTGTCATCAAACTGAGCAAGGCACTGAAGTGCTAGGCTAAGGAGGAAGGGTTTTTCTGTTGGCAAGGGCCACATTGAAAGGCTTGGAGCATGGGAGTGACACAGCTAGAAATATTAAGCTGGTAGCTGTGTGTGAAACAGTGAATGGAGGAAGCATCTGGAAGAGGCGTGACAAGGGCCTGGACTGGAATAGTGACTGACACAAGGTTTTACTTCTCCATATGGCAGATCGGCAACCATCTGGCACGGATGGCAAACATGGGAGTAATTGGAAAAGTTCTCTAAGGGAAAATAGCACTCAAAAATCACCTGCATCATAGGCGTAACATACATTTTCCCAGTTTAACCATTTTGGTTTACCCTTTGGATAGTGTTCATGGCAAGGCTGAAAGGAAAGGAGATAGGGAAGGAAAGGGAATGTAATCAGGACTCTGACAAGCTAAAGCATTATCAAGTGACATTAAAATCCAAGCAAAGGGAGAGTAGAGTCAGTTGAATCACAAATTTTTCTTTCCACTAATAACTGTTTCAAAATAGTTCATTAAGTAAGTTAATGAATTAATTCAATCGTTATACATGGAACCATTTATTTTCATGGCAGACAGCCCTGCACATCTTGCAGCAGTGAGGACATAATTCCATTAAAGCACTGTGCAATAATTGGTCTTCACCAAAAATAAAAGGTTTGTTTCATTACAATAAAAGAATAACTGGGCCGGGCGCGGTGGCTCATGTCTGTAATCCCAACACTTTGGGAGGCTGAAATGGGTGGATTGCTTGAGGCCAGGAATTGAAGACCAGCCTGGGCAACATGGCGAAACCCCATCTCTACCAAAAATACAAAAAATTAGTTGGGCATGGTGGTGCACACCTGCAGTCCCGGCTACTTGGGAAGCTGAGGTGGGAGGATCACTTGAGCCCAGGAGATGGAGGTTGCAATGAGCCATGATTGCAGCACTGCACTCCAGCCTGGGCAACAGAGCAAGACCCTGTCTCTAAATAAATAAATAAATATATGAATAGCTATGGCTTAAATTAACAGGTTTATTTGATGTGTGTAAAAATATGTTCAGAGATGGACGATCTAGGAGTAGTACAATGACTACATGGTGTCATCAAGGACCCAGGCCCCTTCTGTCTTTCTGTTCCAACATCTTTAATGCTTTCTCATAGTGACAAAATCATCCAGTCTACCTTCCACACAGAAAAAAGGTGAGATAGTAAAGGGCTGGGAAGCCACAGCTATTGCCTTTCTTTAGGAAAGCAAAAGCTTTCCCATAAACCCCCTCTCCCTCCCTCATTGACTGGCACCTGTATCTCATTGGTCAGAAGTGGAGCATGTGTTTCCCCTACCTTCAGGGGAGGCTGCAAAACGGAGTTTTTAGCTTTACAACCTCTGATGTAGAAGAAGACAAAGGAGAAAGGAGCTGGAATAAATGAGTGAGCCAACCTACAATAACCACCAAAAGGTTAAAAATAATCCTTTTTTCTGTTTGAAAAGATACGTAAAATACATCTGCAAGTAATTCTTTTTTTT
This sequence comes from Homo sapiens, assembly GCF_000001405.40. NCBI lineage: Eukaryota > Metazoa > Chordata > Mammalia > Primates > Hominidae > Homo > Homo sapiens. The sequence continues at coordinate 77,351,936 of NC_000001.11, forward strand.
TTTTTTTTCTTGAGATGGAGTTTCGCTCTTGTTGCCCAGGCTGGAGTGCAGTGGTGCAATCTCGGCTCACTGCAACCTCTGCCTTCCGGTTTCAAGCAATTCTCCTGCCTCAGCCTCCCAAGTAGCTGGCATTACAGGTGCCTGCCACCATGCCCGGCTAATTTTTGTATTTTTAGTAGAGACTGGGTTTCACCATGTTGGCCAGGGTGGTCTCGAACTCCTGACCTTGTGATCCGCCCACCTTGGCCTCCCAAAGTGCTGGAATTAAAGGTGTGAGCCACCATGCCCGGCCCATTTGCAAGTAGTTCTATGAAAAATGGTTAAAATAGAAAATGTGCTTAATAATATTAGCTACTTTTCAGTAAGCACTTTCAATATACCAGACTCCTTATTCATCTTATATCTAATTCTTCCAACAGTGTTTTAAAATTAATGAAAGAAACAGAGGCCCAGAGAAGGTCAGGAACATGCCATAAAGCCTGAAGCCAGTAAACAAGGGAGCTGAGGTTTGAAATAGATTCTATGTTAGAGGATCCCTCAGTTAATGACAGGGAATTCAACCAGAACTTATGTCCAAGTAGAGTTAAACACCCCTCTCAAAACAGCCAGAAAATATATTGATAATGCCTGTTAATGTGAACCTGCAGGTTTTTGCTGTTTGAGAAGCAATGATACCTGTTAAAAGGTGAACTGAGGCACAATAAAATTTGAAAGAGTTTATTTGCACAAACAGCGACTGATAAATTGAACAACTCCAAGCTGGAAGTGGTTCAGGAGATCCAACCAGGGAACACCAGGGGAAGGCTTTTCTAGGGCAAACACAGAAGGAAGTGAAGAAAAGAAAACATTTGATTGGTTACTGTTATACAGTTGCCTTATTTGATCTATCTTGCTGGAAAGTCCTTAGTTAAATAAGTTATTTGGCAGCTTCTGATAGGTTAGTCTTAAGTTTCATTTTTTCTTTAATACAGGCATTTACAAGAAGTAGCACAAGTTTGGTTTATGTTTGCAAATTGAGCAAAGTTAAGGTCACTTATGAGACCTAATTGGCTTTATCTTCTCAGAGATTCTTCAAGTCTGGTCTCCATTTTAATTTACCTTTACATACTTAATTATTTTTTTAAAAAAAATAAGAAATTTGTTTCTAAGAGATGTGAAGAACTAACATACTGTATCCAGTGCAGCGCCAACTGATTTACACATTTTTAACTATTTTAATCACTCACCTCTGTCATGTAGGTATTAAAATTATTTAGTGCCAGCCAGGCATGGTGGCTCAAGCCTGTAATCTCAGCACTTTGGGAGGCCAAGGTGGGCGGATTGCCTGAGGTCAGGAGTTCAAGACCAGCCTAGCCAACATGGTAAAATCCTGTCTCTACTAAAAATACAAAAATTAGGCAGGCATGGTGTTCCATGCCTGTAATCCCAGCTACTCAGGAGGCTGAGGCAGGAGAATCGCTTGAACCCAGGAGGCGGATGTTGCAGTGAGCCAAAATCGTGCCACTGTACTCCAGCCAGGGCGGTAGAGCAAGACTCCATCTCAAAAAAAGAAAAAAAATTATTTAGTGCCTTGTGTGTGCCAGGTGTTTCTATTTAGATTATCTCATTTCAGGTAAAGATAGGGACTTGCTACCTTTTCTCAGATAAACTCTAAACTGCGCAGTCTTACTCTTGCCTTACCCACTCTGCGTCTCACTCTGACATTACTCCTTGATCCCAGTCTGCCCTGTTTCACCCTTCAGACTCAACTGCTGTTGTCTTCCTCAATATAATGGGCTTCCCTTGTCTGTGTTTTTGCCTCCCACTCAGCTGGCCTCTGGAGGGCCCTTCCCCAGGCACAACTGCAGGATGCTTCCAGCTAGTTTAACCCAACCTGGCAGGTGGGACACAGGCAGGTACACAGACACGCCACTGCTCTGAGGGAGCCCATAGAGAAAAGGGAGGAAAGGAGATCAGTGAGTGGCCTCATTGCATCTGACCATTGTAATGATAGGAGGAAGGATGTACAAAAGGCTGCAGGAGGGAGTAAATTGCACCTGCCTTTCCATGATAACTCTGGTGGGACTGGATGAACTTGACACTCTGGAACAGAGATTATTCCATGCATTCAAGAAGAAATGAGACATCTGAAATTTCTAAGTGGAGTTACAGCCATTACCAAGTTCAGGATTGGAAATGGGAGTAAGTGGTGGGAAAGACAGAATCAAGAGATAAGCAGCCAGGGAAGGAGTAGGGAATAAAATAAATTTTATCTAAACCATTCTAATTTCTTGTTGCTCTCTCCCTGCTCAACAACCCCACTGAGGAATTTAATTTAGCTTAGTATAAAATAATCTACAAATATATTCATTCATCAATTTCTTTTTAGGCAATTATTCTGAGATTTCTAGCTAATGGGGGGGTACTGAAAGATGTATGAAAATGTTGATTTTTGGCTTTAAGAGCTCCTATATGAAGTAAGAAAGCCAACTCTGAATTTAAAGGGATGTCTGTGGAAGGGAAGCTTGAATGTGTGTAAGTTGTAATGTGATGCAGGCTATTCTTTTCAGTAGTCCACTTAGTAGGGACTGTGCAGCCAGCGCAGTGCCAGACTGTAGTGGGTGCTTTGAATTATTTGTTAACTTAATGCATACATTAATGAATTGTACTACATCCGTTCATCCTAATAAGCTGAGAGTGAACAAGAACCTCTTTAGACTTCATTCACTAGGATTGAATAAACAGCTTTTCAGTAATGCTTCAAATTTGAGCTTTCAAAAATTCATGCTTTCCACTGTGGCCTAGTCTCTAACCATTGCCAATTCACAGGTTATTTGAAGGTGTCAGCAACCATGAGAGATTTCTCAGAAAATACCACAGAGTGTTGCTTCAAAGAATTTCCACAATTGCTGTCAAGTTCAGGATCAAGGAGGAAAAATAGAAGTAATAGATTTTTTTGTAAAGAAAAAATCTTGTATCTTACCTGAAAGTTTAATTTCAAAAGATAAATAGTGCTGTGTATTATAAGATATGATTTTTCCTCTATTCTGAAATTTATGCTTAAAAATCTGAATACAGACATCACGATCACTTGATATATACTTGATAATGTTTATTTTTTCGTTTTTTTACCAAAGCTTTATTTAGAGTTCATATGTTCATGACAAATGAATTCTAGCAGAAGCCCAAAAAGATGATATGGTCTCATACAACTGAATGATTAATGCAGCAGTAATTTCCAACTAAATTCTGTCTGTCTCAGAAGATTTTGTAAAGCCTTAGGTGAAATCCTTTTGGCTCAGTGAGCAGTTGCTGCATGACTGCAGCGTACTTGTGATTGCTGGCTCATTTCATCGGTTCAATCTGAATTCTTAAAACAATGAAATCTGATATTAAAAATATCAAGTAGTGCATTTTCTAAAATCCCATGGATAGGTAATTCCACAGTTGTACTGCTCCACTTCATATTCTGTGAAATGATAGCCCTACTTTAAAATTGTAAGAGAAGAGACAAAACATAGGAAACTTCAGTTATCTCAAATTTTCCTCTGTTACTTGTAGTTGTTCAAAATGGCATTCTCTGCAGCTAAGGACTTTTCCCTCTCCCTGCAGTCCTGATCAACCTCATCACCCTGTCTTGACCTGGATTCTTCTGGGAAGCCACCCTGATGGGGACAGATGCCCCCACTCTGAGGTCCCATAACACCCCATTTTGAGTCCATTCATGGCAATTATGTTATTTTATAATTCTACTTCTTTATGATTCTACCATCTTTCTACTATAACTCTGTCTTTATAATTCCACTGTCTGCTCTCCTTTTTATAATTCTGCTGTCATCATCAATATTTTATTTCCAGCAGCTGGCTTGGAGCCCATAAATTCACCTTCAATATATATTTACTAAATGAATAGACATTACTGGACTGTGAATTTTTTGATGACCCTCATTAAATACACACACACACACACACACACACACACACACACACATATATATATACACACACTTAATATATATAGTTAATATATATGGGGGAAGAAAGAGCAAAAACAAAGCCTGAAAAAATGTTTCCACTTGAAAACCATTTTTCAAATCTTCTCTGCAGTTGATCATAGGTAACACCTTTCAAGATCTCTAGTCTTTAAATTGCTGTAAACATGCTTTGTTTTCATTTTAAGACTTAGATCTCTTGGTTAAACTGCACATCAAATTTTGACATTTTTTGCTTCTACACTCGCATAAAGTAAATTGAAATTCTTCAAATAATGCAAATTTCAGAAATAATGTGTAATGTCACTGAAACAAAAGCTCTATAAGAGAAAGTATTTTGACTGAATTCTTTACTATTGTATCTCAATCTCCTAGAACACTTGGTACATAGTAAGTGCTAAATAAATATTTGTTGAGCGAAACATAGATTTAAACCAACACCCTAATCACAACCTGGATTTGGAAACATAAAGAGAAGAATATAGAAAAAATGAACAGGACCAGACAAGTGAAAGCAACTCTTGTCTATCAAAGGACAAAAACAGGGCTGGTGATTAAAAACTCAGAAGTCAGGGGCAAACAGATCACAGTTCTAGGCCATTCACGAGTTCTTGACCTTTTGCACAAGTTTTTGAAACTCTTAGGGCCTCAGTTCTACCATCTGAAAACTGAATCTCATAATGCCTGCCTCCTAAGTGGGCTGTGAGGACTGAGTGAGAAAAGGTAATTAAAGAACTAAGCACAGTGCCCAGCACAGAAAAAGCACTAACAAGACACAGATATTCTTATTATTTTGATGAGATTGGCCTTGGTACTGTCCAGAAGAATTATTAGTGCTATGGTAGCCATATGTGCTATGTACTTTCACATACTGATTCTTTCAATGTATTGGATTTCTGACAAGAGAGAAATTCCCATAATCCAGTGGTATTTTTAAAATCTCAGGAAAGTGGCTCCCACAGCTCCTATGAAATGATGAGCTGAGAAAAGTGAACACAGCTTAACAGTCAGAAGAAGTGTTGCCAAGCCTGTCACCAACTATAAAAGCCCTTCAGAAGCTATTTGATAAGCTCTTGTGTTGATTTTTTCTCTCTTCTTCTGTCTTCTTCCGATTTGGCTTCCACTGTCTATTGATTTTTTTCCCTTCTCTCTCTTTGAGCATGGTCTCAGTAGACACCAAGGACATTGGGTAGGACTGCCAATTTCATATTTTGTTCATGCCTATGTTATTCACAAACCTTCTCAATTTTTATTATATTCAAATAAACCTTATGCTGGTGAAATGTTGCAAGGAACTCAATGATAAATATTACATTAAGCAAAATGTAGTTTGGTATGGTGATCCAAGGGCTGACTTTGAAGTCACAAAGACAAGGGTTTGAATTCTGGCAAGTCTCTTAATCTCTCTAAGATGAAATGTCCTCATCTGTAAAATGGGAATGAAGGTAAGTGACTTGCAAGATTAATTAAGGATTATAGATAATATATATAAACCTCTCATATCACATGAGTGTTGAAATAAATTATATCTGTGGTTATTAGTGTAATCTATAATAGCATATACTCCAAAACATAAATGATCTAATCAAAATATGTGCTAAATAATGACAAATAATACCTTACATTCATTGAGCACTTCACTGAGCTGGACAACATCATGCAAATATGTTTTAGGAAGATGATAGGTACCTGGTGATCAATTCTCTTCTACTGCATGCTCAGTTATATCTAAGGTATATCTATTCAAAGTGATGGATTCCATGAGAAACCTGAAATCCAGTTCTGAGAGCTACTCATTACTTTTCAAAATGACTAAATCAGAAGACAACACCAACAGCTACTTATTTTAATGAAGACATTTTTCAGAAGAAATGTCAACCACAAATCTGTCTTGGCAGTTGCACGCCATGTTATTTTCTATCATTTTACTTTTCAACATTGGCAAGCGGGAGCTGCCTGAAGGATGAGCAGCTTTCAAGTTTCTATCAAGAGAAGGAAAATGGAGTCTGTTTACTTCTGTTTTTAGTTCTTTCTATCTAAAAATCTTACAGTTCCTTTTTAAAACATGTAATATTTATGGAGAGTAGTGTGTGTGTGTGTGTGTGTGTGTGTGAGAGAGAGAGAGAGAGAGAGACAGAGAGATCAAGCGTGTGCTCATCTATGGGTGGGTGCTGCTGAGGGTCAAGAATGCAGAAGAATATAAGAAGAAAGTAAAAATCACCCATTATTCTGAAGCCCAGAAATAACCATTGTTATCATTTTGAGTCTTTTTCTGTGCAGTGTTTTTCTATGATATTTTGACAGTATGATGGTTGAAATCATATTGTACTCTGCTTTAAAAATTTTTTAACTTAAAATTATTCACAAGCATGTTTACAAGGCATCAATTGGGCAATTTATTTACCCCCAAAAGCCTCAGTGGTAATGACCCAGTGTTTCTACTTCACAGAGTTGGCATGAGGTTCAAATTAGAAAACACGTGAGAACCCTTTGTAAGTCACTTACAGAACGCACAAATGAAATTATTTGTTCTCATCTCCATGTCTTGAGGAGTCAAAAGGTCCCCATTGATTAAGCAGCTGCAGAACCCTCTGCAGATCACTCTGAGGATCTAGAAAAGACCAAGACAACTATTGGTCTGAGAGTTTACAGAATGATCCCAGAGATAAAGCCAAAACATGAAAACATTAAGGAAAAAAGTAGAGGCTTAAACTCTCCTTTTGACACAAGTAGAATTTTGTCTTAATTACTTAAAAAGATTATCCAATACTGAATTCCTTCTATCCTTAGCTCTTTCAATTTGAAAATGAGTCATGCTTCAAAAAATTATTTTTTCTTACCTCAGACAAAATTATAATTTTACCTGCAATAATGTGATTTGTCAGTTGAATAGTAAGTTTCCTATCCCCTGAAAAAAAAAAGAGGAAAGAAAAAGCCTATTTTTGTAAATTCAGATTATTTATAAGGATTGGTTTAAATTAAAACCAGTGTTTTTACTGAGGAAAAAAAATCTTGAACTAAAACAAAAAAAAAAGAAGAAGAAAAGGAAAAGAATAAAAGAATTACAGGCGGTGCATGGTGGCTCACACCTGTAATCCCAGCACTTTGAGAGGCTGAGGCGGGCGGATCACGAGGTCAGGAGATCGAGACCATCCTGGCTAACGCGGTGAAACCCCGTCTCTATTAAAAATACAAAAACTTAGCCGGGCATAGTGGTGGGTGCCTGTAGTCCCAGCTACTCAGGAGGCTGAGGCAGAAGAATGGCGTGAACCTGGGAGGCAGAGCTTACAGTGAGCCGAGATTACGCCACTGCACTCCAGCCTGGCGACAGAGCGAGACTCTGTCTCAAAAAAAAAAAAAGAATTATAAAAGAGAACCCATTAAGATTCTATTAATTTATGTTATAGAAAAAATTAAAACTATTTGTTTTCACCACAAGCATATAAAGAATATTTTTTCATAATTAACATGTTACTATGGAAAATCCATATGTAGCATGTTAATGCCTGGAAGTTAAAATGGTTTTTATATTTTTTCTTATCCTTTTCTACAAATTTTTTATATGTATTCTGTAAACTTTTTTGTAAAAACTTTTCTGTAAATTTTTAACATGTATACTGTTGATAATCTGAAAAAAAAATGGATAAAAATGGTTTAAAACAGCATATACTTCAAAGTAAAACATAACAGTAAACCAGCCAGCTGAAATAAATGAGGAATGGGAGAATTCAGCTCAAACAGACAAAACATAGCAATATGGTATCTGCAGGAAACCAATCAAATATTTGCCATAAGGGAAAGTGCATGCATAACTTATTCGAACTTTTTATAAATCCTCTCCCTATGTAATTCGCTAGCTTTACTTCACATTATTTATTTGGTTTCACAGTATGTCAAACAGCTGTCAAATACAATGGCAGTGTTTTTTCCTGCCTTCATGAAGTCTACCAGGAATATAAAATATCAGAAGTTGTCCAAAGTTAAACAACTTTGTCAGAGCCGGGAATTGAATTAATAGGCCAAGGGACGAACCTTGAGTTAGCTGGAGCTGAGAGATAGATTGGTAAGGGACCAAGTAGAGTTTACCAATACTCAGAAGAAGATGAAGAATAACACAGGAAAAGAGGTCAAATGAAGCAGTCAGCACAAAGAGAGGGAAATGGATTTTCTTAGGGGCCAGCCCATAGAAAGCACTAGGTTGTTTTCCCATTCATTAATTCGGTAAGTATGCATTACCATTGGTGAATAGATTAGAGTTGAATAACATTGACTAGAGAGCAACAAAACATCTGAGCCAAAGCAACATCTTAGGACTGATAGAGGAAGAAGAGTCGGGGAGGGGAAGAGAAGGTGGTCAAAGATGTGAGAGAAAATGAGAATTGGGATATCATAGATGCTAAATTTAAAATGTTCCAGGGAGAGAAATGTCAACTGTCCAAAGTTGCTTCTCTGAGAAGTCAAGCAAGATGAGGACAGTAAAAGCCTGTTCATTTCAACAGCTGGCAGGAAGTTTGTGAGTTTTATCATCTATTGCTTGTTTGGTGGATTGACAGAGACAGAAACCAGGATAGAGTAGGCAGAGAAGTTAGGGGGGGTGGATGTCAGAAAATGGAGTTGGATGAGCAGATGCAGAAGACTAAAGACATCTGACTGCAAAGGAAAGAAAAAAACTAAGGCAGCAGTTAGAAGGGGAAAGGAGGAATGGAGAAAAGAGTTTTTGGTGTGTTTGTGTGCTTGTTTGGTTTGGTTTTGTATTACATTGGTTTTGTTTTTGGGAATGAGAGACTTGAGCATGCTTCAGTGCTGGATGAAGGTACACATTTGAGAGGGAGAGACTGACTTTTAATCTGTGACTGTAAGCAGCCTTGTTGAAAAGTCTAGAATAGATCAAAACCAGCAATTCAGCTAACTTCAACGAATATGTGTTATTCTTATGGGCCAGGGATCAAACATGAACAAGATAAACTCCCTGCCTTTTAGAAGCTATAGTTTGGGGAAAACTTGCTCATAGGAAGGATATTCAGGCAACGGGCAGGAGGCCACATAATGAAAATGTGACAAAATACAGTCCAGAAGAAAATTACCAGAAAAATAAAGACCAATGCAAGCCCACAAGCCACCACAAACTCTCCCTTCTAGCTTGGCCTCCTAATGCTCCCTGTCCAGTTTTCCCATCCAAGCTTTGCTGCTCACTTGAGATGCTCTGGCTCTTCTATTCTACCTTTCAGATCCTATATTTTACTGTCATTCATTATTTCACCTATTTTCCCTGACTACTCAAGCCTCTACAGTCTCCTCTGTTTCTAAATTCCTTTACTACTTAATGTTCGTAACAGACATTTTGGTTCTTAAGTATTTCCTGAGAGGCAATGTGGTATTAAGGGAAGGAGCTCTAACTTTGGTCTCAAAGCGACCTGGTTCAAATCCAGCTTCTATCACTTACTACCTATAGGACCTGACAACTACTGTATTTAGTTTCTCCATCTCTAGAATGGACAGAGAAGTTTACCTCTGATGGTTACTATTAAGACTAAGTGAAATAATATGTATAAAGCAACTATTAAGACTAAGTGAAATACTATTAAGACTAAGTGAAATAATATGTATAAAGCAACTTATACAAAGTTTGGGCAACTTATACAAAGTTGTGTGTATCATGAGCCCTGTGTATTAGTCCATTTTCATGCTGCTGTTAAAGACATACTGAGACTGGGCAATTTATAAAAGAAAGAGTTTAATTAGACTCACAGTTCCACGTGGCTGGGGAGGCCTCACGATAATGGCAGAAGGCAAAGAGGAGCAAGTCACATCTTATGTGGATGACAGCAAGCAAAGAGAGCTTGTGCAGGGTAATTTCCATTTTTAAACCCATCAGATCTCATGAGACTCATTCGCTATGACAAGAACAGCGCAGGAAAGACATCCTCACCCCCGCCGTAATTCAGTCACCTCCTACCGGGTTCCTCCCAGGACATGTGGGAATTGTGGGAGTTACAATTCCAGGTGAGATTTGGGTGGGGACACAGCCAAATCATATCACCCTACTCTGCTGTGGCATCTTGGGTAGGTAACTTACCATGACTGTGCCCCAGATTCCTCCTTATAAAAAATGATTCCTAATTGGTATCCATCTCATAGAGTTGTTGAGAAGAATGGGGCAATAAGAAGAATGAGGGAATACACATATGGTGCTTAGAACAGGACCAGGTTCTTAGGAAATAAATGTTTGTTGGATTTTTTTTCTTTACTGCCATTATGTTATCACAGTAAAGGATAGTTTACTTAAAATGTTTGCAACTCACCCTCAAGCAATATTGACATTCTTATTTTCAGATCATTTCACTTCAGTGAGCACAATGTTTTAATTTTTAAAAACGTTTTTGCATTCTTTTGATTTTTCTCTTACGTGGTTTAAAAAGTGGGCTTTATTATATATGCTTCCTCAATTGTAGTTCAATACTTTAATACTTTAAAACCGCCATTATCTGTCCAAGCATATATTAATTAAATGACCTGGTCATTTAAATATATGTCATTTAATGTCACAACTCATGAGCCACCGGAAGGATCACTATGGTATCAACTAATCTTTCTTCATAGCCTATACTTCCTTATTGTATACCAAAAAACCCAAAAGATTATAAATAATTAAGACTCATAAAGTTACACATTATGCAAATCACAATCACTTTTTAAAAGCACCCCAACAGAAAACTTTCTCTAAGCAGGACATGAAGCATGAATGCACAGAAGAAATAGAAATAATCATCAAACAAATTATAAAAACTTGTTTTACAAGTCATCAGAAAAATCAAATCAGTAGTAAGACTCCATGTTTATATGTGTCAAATTAAAAGAGATTGCTTTAAAGCATAATGTTCAGTGTTGGCTGGTAATATAAATTGCTGCCACTTTGAAAAGTAATTTGGTAATATGAATCAAAATCCTTAGCCATGTGCATACCCTTTGACCCAATAATTTCACTCTTAGAAATCTGTCCTGATGCAATGACCATAGATAAGGATAAGTGTTTATGAAGAAGAATATTCAAACACATAATCACTTCCTTGGTGATCTCATTTACCCTCATGTTTATAGACATCCCTATACAATGCTGACTCTCAAATTTATATTTCCAAGCTTGACCTCTTCCTTGAACTCTGGAGTCCTATATGCAACTGCCCATTGACACCTCCACTTGGATGTCTAATAGGCGTCTCAGGTGTAACACATACAGACTGACCCCCTGCCTTCTCAGCCCCCAACACATACAACCCTATGCTACTACCAGTCTTCTCCATTTCTGTTGGTGGCACCTCTATCCTTCTATAGGAGTCTGAGCCAAAAGCTTTGTGGTCTTTTTCAATAAGTCCTACTGGTTCTTCCTTCAGAACATATCCAGAATTCCACTGCTTCCCACAGCCTCTACCACTACCACTCTTGTCCAAGCCACACCATCTCTCTACTGGATTCTTGCCGTGGCCTCTTAACTGGTCTTCCTGCTTTTGACCTTGCCCTCTTGCAGTCTAGTCACATAGCAGCCCAAGGAAACATTTTTTAAAGTTAATAAGATGATGTCACTTTCCTATTTGAACCCTTCAATGACATTCACTCTCACTCAGAATTAAATCCAAAGTCATTCCCATGTCCCAGGAGGCCTTCTGTATGATGTAGTATCCTGTTCTCTCTATGACCTTATCAGCTCCTGCTTTCCTCTTTGTTTATCCCACTTCTCTCACTGTCCCCCCACTGTTGTTAGAGGCCCCATGCACAATTCCACCTCAGGGCCTTTTGCTGTTTCCCTCTGCTTCCATGCTGTGCCCTGATAGTCACATGGCTTGCTTCTTACTCTCTTCAAGTCTTTGTTCAAATGTTACCTTCTCATTGAGATCTTCCTTGACCCACTATTAAAAATGCAACACCCCTTAACCACACTCCTGATCCTTCCTACCTGCTTTATTTTTCTCCAGGACATTTATTACTTTCTAGTATACCATTTCATTTATGTTATTCTTTGTCTACCTCTTCTGGTTAGATTGTAAGCTCCATGAAGGCCGGGATTTTTTTTGTCTGTTTTATTCATTGCTGTGCAATGCCTAGAGTGGTGCATGGTACGTGGAAAGTGTTCAATAAATATTTGTTGAATGAGTTAATAAATTTACAAGAGCAAAAAAAGGAAATAAAGTCCAACAATAGAATTGTCAATTATATCATGGTACATTCAAACAATGATATGTTAATGGACATTAAGAATTAGTTTTCAGAGACTTTTAATACCATAGAAATGTATGGAATTAAAGATTATCTTAACACATTATACTTTTTAAGTTTTATTTTTTAATTGACATATAATAATTGTACATATTTATGGGGCACATAGTGATATTTCAGTACATGTAAGGTGCAATGATCAGATCAGGGTAATTGGGTTTTCTGTCATTTCAAACATTAATCATTTCTTTGTGTTGGGAACATTAACTATCTTCCTTCTAGCTATTTGAAATTGTATGATATGCTATTGTTAACTATAGTCATCCTATAGTAGTATGTAACTCTAGAACTTATTCTTTCTATCTAGCTGTAATTTTGTAGCCCTTAACAAATCTCTGTATCATCCCCTTCCCCCTACTCTTCCTGGCCTCTAGCATCCTTTGTTCTTTTTACTTTTGTGAGATCAACTTTTTCAGCTTCCACCTATGAGTGAGACCATGTAGTGTTTAATTTTCTGTTCCTGGCTTATTTTACTTAACATAACGTCCTTCAGTTCCATCTGTATTGCTGCAAATGACAGGATTTCATTATTTTTTGTGACTGAATAGTATTCTGTTGGATGTGTATAGGACATTTAGTTTATCCATTCGTCTGTTGATGAACATAGGTTGATTCCATATCTTGGCTTTTGTGAATAGAGCTTCAATAAACATGGGGGTACAGCTGTCTCTTCAGTATACTGATTGCTTTTCCTTTGGATAAATGCCCAGTAGTGGGACTGCTGGACCATACAGTACTTCTACTTTTATTGTTTTTGAGGAGCCTCCATACTGTTCTCCATAGTGGCTGTACTAGTTTACATTCCCAACAACAGTGTATGGCCTACCCCTGTTTTTGCACCTTCACCAACATTTGTTGTTTTTTTTATCTTTTGATAACATTCATGCTACCTGGTGAGATGATACTTCATTGTATTTTGTTTTGCATTTCCTTGATGATTAGTGATATTGAACATTTTTTCATATATTTGTTGGCCATTTTTCTTCTTTTAAAAAATGCCTGTTCAGGTCAATGGCTCATTTTTTAATTGGATTGTTTGTGTTTCCGCTGTGGAGATGTTTGAGTTCCTTGTATATTCTGGATCTTAATCTCCTGTTGGATGAATAGTTTGCAAGTATCTTCTCCCATTCTGTAGGTTGTCTTTTTACTCTGTTAAAAAAAATTTTCCTGTCACCTGGGCTGAAGTGCAGTGGCACGATCCTAGCTCAGTGCAGCCTCAAACTCCTGGGTTTGGGCAATGTTATACTTTGTTTCATCTTGAAGGAAATATAGCAAATTATTAACTCTGGTGTTCTGTAGGTCAGCAGTCCCCAACCTCTTTGGCACAAGGGACCAGTTTTGTGGAAAACAATTTTTCCATGGGGTTGGGGGATTGTTTCAGGATGAAACTGTTCCACCTCAGATGGTCAGGCATTAGTTAGATTCTCATAAGAAGCACACAACCTAGATCCCTTGCATGTGCAGTCCACAATAGGGTTCACGCTTCTATGAGAATCTAATGGCACTGCTGATCTGACAGGAGATGGAGCTCAGGCAGTAATGCTCCCTTGCCCACTGCTCACTTCCTGCTGTGCAGCCCAGTTCCAGCAGGCCATGGACAGGACCAGTCTGTGGCCTGGGACTTGGGGACCTCTGCTCTAGGTGATGTTTCCAAGAGGTTTCTTTTATCTCTTTTGTAATTCTCTTTTATTTCTAAATATGCACATTGCTTTTATAATCAGAGTTTTCTTTCAAAAGCTATATAATTCATGTTTCTTTTCAAAAAAACATGTAATGGCACTGCTTGGGCAATGGGTGCACCAGAATCTCAGAAATCACCACTAAAGAACTTATCCATGTGACCAAACACCACCTGTTCCCCGAAAACCTATTGAAATAAAAATAAGAAGACTGGAAAAAATGTAATGGAAATTAAATCATAATAATAATTATAGCTACTATTGATAAAGGGTATCAGAGACTTTATGCACAAGGGCTAGGTCTTCTATGCCCATTATGAAAGAGACAGAAAAAAACAAGTTTTATAGTCAGGTCCTACTTAGTTTCTTTAAGCCTCTATTTGCTCATCTGTGAACTAGCCTAACAATACCCCCAGAGAATTTCTCTGCAGATTAAATGAGGTTAGGCATATAAAATATTTGGTCCAGTGCCTAGCACATTATAAGCCCTTGATAATTTGTAGGTGCTATTCCTATTTTTGTTTTGGTTGCCATCATTATCTCCCATATGTTTAACAACCTTTAATTATAATATGGATAAGACTATTATATTTATAGAGATAAAATAATTTGTCCAAGTTCACACAGCAAGTGAGTGATAGATCCAGAATTTGTTTCATCCCTGCCAAGATGCAAAGCCCATGCCTGGTCTCTCTACCACACCATTCTACCTCTACCCCAGGAATAAGGGTTGCAAAGCTTTATTTTCACAGTGAGCACCAAAGTGTATGGTATCAAGTTATTCATACTCAGCTGCCTTATTTTTGACATTCTCCTCTGGATGAATGTGTGAACATGAACCATATGTCTTAGAGTTAAACTTTCAGGAAAGAACGTGTGATTTTCAACTTGTGGACAATTTTTAGTTTATAGTATCTCTACTCTTCAGTAAGGTCAAATCATAATGACAAGAGGTTGTCACCGGGCTACAATGCTGGTAAATTACTCAGTGACTTAAAATTCGCTTTTAACTTATATATACCTTAAGCAGAAGACTTAGTATTTTTTCCATCTTTAAAATAAAGGTTTTTATATTAGCCTTCACCCATCATTGTTAAATGTCAACGGTCTACCTGTGAATAGTATCATCTTCACTTCAGAAATGCCAAGGCTCTGAAGCTATTTTCTGTTGGTCTTTGGTTCCGAAATTAATCATTCTCAGGCAAACTTGTGAGGTGTATTAAAGGAGGCTCTTTATTTCTTCCAATTGAATCATGAGTTCATTATTTAATAGTTATACATGCATCCTTAAGGATTAATATAGTATATGGGTTGAGTATCCTTTATACAAAATGCTTGGGACCAGAAGTGTTTCAGATTTGGGGTTTTTTTTGGGGGGAGGGTGGGATTTTGGATAATTTGCATATACATAGTGAGATATCTTGGGCATAGGACCCAAGTCTAAACATGAAATTTATTTATGCTTTTTGGATTTCTGGTTTTTGTTTTTTGAGACAGGATCTCACTCTGTCACCCAGGCTGCAGTGCAGTGGAGCAACCATGGCCCACTGAGACCTCCCAGGCTCAAGCCATCCTCCTACCTCAGTTTCCCAAGTAGCTAGGCGCATGCACCACCACACCTGGCTAGTTTTTTTTTGTTTGTTTTGTTTTTTTGTAGAGACAGGTTTTCCCTATGTTGCCCAGACTCATTTATGTTATTTTTATATATATATATATATATATAATATATATGTTATATATGTAATATATATGTAATATATATGTTATATATGTAATATATATGTTATGTTATATATGTTATATATATGTTATATATAATATATATGTTATATATACGTTATATGTTATATATATGTTATATATAATATATGTTATATATACGTTATATGTTATATATGTTATATATAATATATGTTATATATAATATATGTTATATATGTTATATATAATATATGTTATATATATTATATATAATATATGTTATATATATTATATATAATATATAATATATGTGATATATAATATAAAATATATGTGATATATATTATATATAAAATATATGTGATATATATTATATATAATATATATGTTATATATATATATATAGCTTCAGAGCCTTGGCATTTCTGAAGTGAAGATGATACTATTCACAGGTAGACCGTTGACTTTTAACAATGATGGGTGAAGGCTAATATGAGTCAAAAACCTTTATTTTAAAGATGGAAAAAATACTAAGTCTTCTGCTTAAGGTATATATAAGTTAAAAGCGAATTTTAAGTCACTGAGTAATTTACCAGCATTGTAGCCCGGTGACAACCTCTTGTCATTATGATTTGACCTTACTGAAGAGTAGAGATACTATATATATATATATATATATATATATATATATATATAATATATATGTTATATATATGTTATATATGTTATATATATGTTATATATAATATATATGTTATATATAATATATATGTTATATATGTTATATATATATGTTGTGTATATATATACACACACACACACCTTATACACATAGCCTGAAGGTAATTTTATGCAATATTTTAAATAATGTTGTACATGAAACAAGGTTTGTGTACATTGAGCCATGAGAAAGCAAAGATGTCACTATCTCAGCCACCCGTGTGGACAATCTGCGGTTGTTGGCATCACCATCATTCCTGACTCTGAATTCATATGCTAATGATAAGCAATCATTTTCTTACACTTACTCACACATAGGACTTAATGGTAAAAAATATAGCATATCATTAATACAGTGAAAAAATAATGTGTTCCGTGTAGCTAAGCAGCACAGTAGCATCACCAGAATCCCTGTACGGGTTGAGCCTTCCTAATCTGAGTATCTGAAATCTGAAATGTCAAGTGTGGAATTTTCCACTTGTGGCATCATGGCAGCACTCAAAAAGTTTCAGATTTTGTTCATTTCAGATTTTCAGATTAGGGATGTTCAACCGGAATATATAATCTTAATTTTATGATCCAGCTCCATTTAACAATTAAAGGTGGTTATGTATCACTCCTTAGTCAACCTATAATATTTGCAGTTTATGTCAAGTCTACCAAATGCTTGATTTATTTAAGTGGTGCTCATTCATCCTTATTAAAACCCTTATTCAAAGTGTTTGAGATGATGGATATACTGATTACCCTGATCTATTCACCATAAATTATATGTATCAAAACATCACTATGTATGCCATGAATATGTACAATTATTATTTGTCAGTAAAAAATAAAATTATATTTTAAAATGTTTTATAAAAAATTATATTCAAAGGAGTTTTTGTTATCCACTTTACAGATCAGAAAGCTCAAGTTCAGGGAGGCTAAATAACCTTTCTAAAATCAGACAGTCAGTGATAAAGCCAGGCTTCAAACCAAGATCTGTCTAATTCCAAAGCCTGTGCTCTCCCCAGTCCACAAGCTCAAAATTATTGAGAAGAGTATACATTTTTATCAAGATCCAGTTTTAAAATATAGAGAAATATCAAA
The DNA here is from genome assembly GCF_000001405.40 of Homo sapiens. Classification (NCBI taxonomy): domain Eukaryota; kingdom Metazoa; phylum Chordata; class Mammalia; order Primates; family Hominidae; genus Homo; species Homo sapiens. Next base: position 77,369,370 of record NC_000001.11, read on the forward strand.
CATTTTAGAGAAGTGTTTTATTAGAAAATTGTTTTTTCTTATGAAAGCAGATGCTCCTATTATTTTTCCCTAATTTTCTTCTTCAAATAAATAATACATACTTCTCTCTTGGAATGTTGTAGGCTTTCCCAAATTATTCATAGTAATACAGTCCTCTGTTGTCATCTTGATCTGCCATCACATGTATTAATCTTTTTGTCTCCTATATCAACTGATCATGAGAGTTATATTAATTATGGCCTCTTTATATAATCCGAAGATAAAAATGGGACCATACTTCCTTTTGCATTATATACAGTATAGAAAAATGGTAAATGTGAATTCTTTAAAATAAGAATGTACAATATTAGAATTACTTGTATTATAAAGAAATAGTATTTTACTTTAGAGGTAACCATTGCTTTCTAAAGGTAGGAAACATTTGAGTAGTTTCAAAAAGTGTTTTGACAAAAGCATTAAGGATAAATTTGTCATAAATTATTAAAGGAAAACAAACAAGTTTTAGAGTTAAGAGTGTAGTCATGCCCTTCCACAAAACGCACTTTAATGCCGCTGCCAATAAATGGCATTTGCAATATGGCATTTGCTATTAATGTGAGATAGCAGTTATATCTGCTTTGAGAAAGTCATATAATTTCTCCATGTTGCTTTCCTTCCCAAAGCAGCATCCAGTGTTGTAGGGAGGAACTTTTCCCCGCAGCTCCTGTTCTGTCCTTGCAGAATAAGTCCAAAGTGGCAGGAGCTGCCTGCTGTGAGCCTGGGAGTAGAGACTAGACAGGTGTCTTCTAGAGGGTTCTGATCCCACCCTGCTGGTCCTCACCTGCTCACTCCTGTCCCAAGCCACGGGTACACAGCTTTTGTTTTCACACTTCACCTCCAGCTCCGTGGAGAACTCCAGCAGTGAGCTTGGCTGCCCTAACACTTTTCCCCGTAAGTCACTGAAAAGCTCAAATCTCAAAGCTGAAAGGAAGCAACTAACAGACAAACTCTGTCTCACAAACTCACACGCAACCTCAAAGCCCTACAGGCTCTCTCAAAGTAAACTTTCACACCATGCAGAAAAAACTACAAACAGACTTGGGGGGACTTGGATCACAATTTATTTTCCAACTTTTTGCATGATTACTAGATAATCCACCACATTTTAATGAAAGGGGTTTAAAAACTTTAAAGATGAAAATAAAAATTAAAATTAAAAAAAACTTTAGAGATGGATCAGGATTCTCAAAGGGGACAGTGGATAGAATGGAATGGACATGACATTCTTCCTCTTGGCTGTTCTCCCATTTAGTACAGTCTCTTGTACTGGAAAGTCACAGAGAGTGGAAGGAAAGAAGTCTTTTACCGCACTGTGGGTAAAAAGTGAGTGCCAGACTCCAACCCCAGCCCAGTCCAGCTGGGCAAACCTGCCAAGCAGTGCCAGGCCAGCAGCTTAGGAACCAGATTCTGGGATCCTCCATCCCAGCTGCACATAGCTTCCAGACAGGCCAGGGCCTCCTGAATCATTCAAGTGCTCCTGAAGTTATTCTGGCTGTCCATTGCTATCCTAAGTTGACAATGAGTGCCATACTTTGTTCTACAGCTTCTTTTGAAGTCTTTCTTACCAGTTATGCTTTCTTCTTTCTAAATCATTTATGTGTGGCTGGATGTCACATTTCATTACCTATGACTCCATCCCATGCTGACCCAGAGAGGATGTGGGTATGAAAGGAACTATAAATATTTACACTCCCTTTCCATTTGCATGTCTTCACACAGTTAAGGCACATCCCCCTTGCAGTCAGAATTCTGCTTAGGCTCTGATTCATGGTAATGTGCTTTTATTCCTAACCACAGTTCTCACATGACCAGGACCCCTTCTTGGCACCATTTAGCATCTTCCAAGGATATATTTATATGGGTTATTTAAAGGAGCAGTCCCACGCTGTCCAGGAGCTGGTTATCTAGTCTGTCTATTCTCTATGCAAGAGGACGAAGGGGCTCAATATTATAATTTTCCCTGAAGCCAGGAGATCTCCAGGTGGAAAGAGTACTTTACAGCACTGGAGGTGCTATTTGGAAAGGGGGTTTCAACCCAATGACACTATCAGTCCTGCTGGTAAGTCCTTCCCTATCTTGAGTACCTTAATCTGGTTAATTTTTTTTTCTCATGGCCACCCACCCCACAGGCATTTAATCGTTCACTTGAGAGTATAGTGCAAAGAATGTAGGCTTCCAAGTTGGGAAGATGTAAGTGCTGACCTCTGACTCAGCTGACACTGGAGCAATTTACTGTCCATCTGGGTCAGCTTGCTTCTTTACAGGCAGAAATGAATAACTCCTCCTCTACAGGTTATTAGAAGGACTTAAAAAGATAAGGAGCTTGGCATTTAATAAATGGAAGTCTCTATGATTTCACTATTCCATAGATAGTATGCAGACTAAAGAATAATGGAGGGAAAAGAAATTAATAGTTATTAAGTTCTGATACTTATTAACACTCCTTGGAAAGATCCATCATGGGAGAAGGAAGAGGGAAGGAAGTAACAGAATTAGGTGATTTGATTGGTCAAACTGCTTGACCTCTCAGAAGTGATCAGTAGAAAGACTTGCACTTCCCCATGAAGGTGTGAGTTCATCTGAACTTTTGGGTTTCTTTTATCTGCTTCTGATTTTGTTTATCAATCTTTTTCCCAATTCTTACTAATGCAACATGTGCTGTTAGCATGTCCTTATCTTTGATAAACCACTTCAAATAATACCACATACTTCTCATACATTTTTAATCACTGTCACTTACCAGACCTTGAATAATAACACTAGATTTAAAACAAAAAAAAAATTCCTTGGAAATGTTACAGTGAATTTTAGAAAAGTGCTTAATGAAAATCTAACAACAAAAATTGCACAACAAATAGAAATGGATGCCATTTTCTCTTTCACAGTAAGTTATGAAAATGCAACCATTAACCCAATCATGATAATAATTTTTATGAGCCCTTGAACACCAAAATTTAGACATCCAAAGACTTCCCACACACCACTCTCACCTTTTTAATGGAAAAACAGTTATTACATTTCAACACTCCAGGAAATTAAAAGAAGAGGCATCTTCAACAAACTAGGCTTGTGGTTAAATCTCTATGTTTAATATTCTGAAAAAGAAGTATGACTCTTAGTCATTCTTAATACATTTAACTTACAGTGTCAAAATATCAATGTTTCCTAATGAGCTTCTAAACCTTGTGTTTTCTTTGATCAAGAAGAAGTATCTACCAAATCACTTTGGATATATAAGGACTCAAAATTACTCATGCAAAAAGTAGTATTGGGTAAAAGAGACTGGGAAGTCTTGTAGTCACCTGAATGTCACAATTTTCAAACATTTTGGTGTTCTTTCTAAATAAAATGTGTGTGTGTGTGCGTGTGTGTGTGTGTGTGTGTACATGTGAGATGAAAGCATCTTGTATATATGAGTTAGTGCCAAATATTTGTTCTTAGAATTTTAATGTGAGCATTGACCAGTGACAAATCCCACATAAACACCACTTCAGTGGCCGCCTTGTATTCTATTATAGGGATCTATGTCATTTGTTTCACCATTCTTTTATTCTTTGATGTTTAGGTTTCCAAGTTTTTAACCATTATAAAAATGTGACAAGCATCTTTGCTTTCTTTATGTCCACACTTTTAATTATTTTTTTGGAATTGTGTCTAAGAAGGAAATTTCAGATTATTTTTTATCCTCTTGATACATATTGCAAAATTACTTTCCAGAATAAGCTTGTAACCGTTTATACTCCCACCAGTTGTGTAGGAAGTTCCCACTTCATAACATCCTTGCCAGCATGGGCACTCTCATTTAAAAAAAAATATTTTACATTTGAGGCATAGACTTCAAAGATGAGAGTCTTAGATGCCATTTAGTGTAACCTTTTATTCAATAATTTGTCCTCCCAATGCTCTAACCGTAAATTCCTTGAAGAGGATTCCATGTTATCTATTACTATAATCCCCAATTGCTTACATATATTAATAGTAATACAGTAATATTTGCTGAGGTAGTGAGTGAATATGTGAATTAACATATGATTGAGGCCAGCTGCGATTGCTCATGCCTGTAATCCCAGCATTTTGGAAGGCCGAGGCGGGTGGATCACTTGAGGTCAGGAGTCGAGACCAGCCTGGCCAACATGGTGAAACCCTGCCTCTGCTAAAAATACAAAAATTAGCCAGGCATGGTGGCAGGAGCTTGTAATCCCAGCTACTCGGGAGGCTGAGGCAGAACAATCGCTTGAACCCGGGAGGTGGAGGTTGCAGTGAGCCGAGATCGTGCCATTGCACTCCAGCTGGGGAGGCAGAGCAAGACTCCATCTCAAAAAAGAAAAAAAAAAAACAAAAAACATATGATTGAATAGATGTCCTTAACAGATAGTCATCTAATTGTGAGATCATTATTCAAAATTTAACTGTGTACTCCCTGAAGTAAATTGTAAATTTACTTTTGCTTTTGAAGTTACCATATTCTTCATTTTTTAAATTATTGCGAAATCTTAAGCATTACACTGTAATAAGTATATCAGAAAAGCCTACTTAAAATATTATCCTAACATCAAAAATTGCCCAAGAAACTATATGTATGCCTTTCAGCCCATAAAATACATATATAGAGTAAATGTGTCATTTCTGAGATTTTCATTTAGAACACTGTCATTTCCCAACGGAATTAATTCTAGCTCATAGTCCGTAAGAACTCACCTGAAATTAGATTGGTATCTCAGCTTCTTTACTGAGGCATGTACCAAAAACATAGAATTAAGTTTTAGCCTCTTAATTTGCACCATTCTCAATACTGTCTCATAATAATTCAAAGTGGGTTTTTTTGTTCTCTTGGCCAAGCAAAATGCCCTTGGGCTTGCTTTTACTCTTTCTCTTTTACCTTACTTGATAGCAAAGTGTCCAATTAATTCTCCAAGTAGTTATCATGAAATCCTCCCAAATAGAATTTCCTTCAGATTGAAGTTCTCATTGCATTTCAGTTCAGTCCTTTTATGCCAATTGAGGTAATGCTTTTTTTTTTTTTTTTTTAAGAACCAAGAGAAGGAAGCCCAAAGGTCAGGTTTAGTAATACCCCTTCCAAATATGTTTTATATTCCTGGGTCTCTTCTTCTATAAGTACGACTTTGTTTTAAAGAAAGAGTATATAGTAGAAAAACTTAAAAGTTGTCATTGAGGCTGAGGTGGAAAGATCACATCAGGCCAGTAGTGCGAGACTAACCTGAGAAGCACAATGAGACCCTATCTCTACACAAAATGTAAAAATTTAGCCAGATGTGGTGGCACCTATTTGTAGTTCTAGCTACTCAGGAGACCAAGGCAGAATGTTGCTTGAGCCCAGGAGTTCAAGGTTACAGTGAGCTATGATCTCACCACTACTCTCCAGCCTGGACAACAGAGTGAGACCCTGTCTCAGAAAAAAAAAAAAAGAAGAAGTTATTGAAAAATCAGTTAAATATTCACTACAGTTATCTGATTTTCTGATTTGTCCATTTTAATTATATTAGTAAATGCATTCTTACCAAACTCTTAAAATTAATTATTTTCCTTTTGACACGGGCCTATGTACCCTCAGTAACAAGGTCACCATTTATTCTGTGCTTATTACATGCCAGGCAATGAGCTAAGTGACTCATATTTATTATCTCATTTAGTCCTCTCAATAACGCTGTACTATAGGGTATTATTAGTTTCACTTTATAAATGAGGAAACAGGCTAGAGACACTTGAAGATACTTGGCCAAGTCACTGAGCTGAAGAGCAAGAGTGTTTTAATTGAGTCAAGCCAGGTCAGACCTTACGCTCATGATACTTGGAGGTAACACAGAGTAGTGCAGATCATCAACCTAAGCAGGAATTACAAAATAATTTTATCTGGCATGCCAAACTTGATCAGTAGCCCATTTACGTGCTGTGTTGAGGCAGGTGAACAATTTGAGTTCTATCAGAAAGAGTGTCACATTCTGCAGTAAATGCAGGAAAAGGACATCGGGGCATGCATGCTGGGGATCTGCCATCCCAGGCCTAAAAGAAACAATATCAAGTGGAAATAAGAACAGCCTCAGAGCTGTACTTCCCTAGGTGCTGATGCTCCATGCCCCATCTCCTACCTTCTCCTTGGGCTTTGTTAAATGTGCCAAGAGATTTTCTTTTTACAATCTATAGGTTACAAATGTTTTGATGGACTGGATCTTCAGCTATTCTGCAAGTCTTCCTAGGTCCCTGTCTAGGAGTATTTGCAATATGTCATCTGTAGAGCTGGGAAACTGAATCATCTTAGTGCTGCACTTGGCCCTTTCCTCCTACAGCCACACAATAGAATGCAGCTCTTTAGAGACGCTGTGATAATCAAATAGATTCAAAGCATTGGTTGTGTATGGGAGATAGTGTAGTGCAAAGGATCATGGTTTGGAATTTGGAAGCCTGCGACTGACTCTTCACCCTGCCACTTGCTACATGTGTAACCTAATGACTGAACATCTGAACCCCTGTTTTCTCATCTGTGGGAATAAATAAATCATGTTAATATTTATTTCCCTAGGCCGCTGTGATGCTTAACTGAGAGAATGAAGGTACAAATGTATTGTAAACTATCAAGACCTCGTTATTAGAGATTGGTGTAGTAGCTAATGCTGATATTTTTAAAATGTTTAACAGTTTCTTATGCAAAATACAGCAGTAAAATTTATACTGCAGTGTCGAACACATTCAGCACAGCTTCAGACTCCTGGCTGTGCGTGAAAACTCCAAGAGGATACCACTGGTTTATGTCACTTGAGACTCCAGACATTGAACAGTAATTAGGGAACATGACAGTAATTTGATTTAAAGTCTGCAGCCACAGAGTTCAGGCTCCATCCCTCTCTCCATCATTCTCCCTGAGTGCAAATCCAGAGGGAGGGCAAGTAGGTCGAAGCAGACTCTGATGGTGTTTACTTACTTGCCAGAGATTAGAGAAAGTGTGCCCACTAGGTCTACAGTAGTGCAAAACCAAGCCAAAAAGTGAGCACTTCAGTGCACTCAATGCCAAAAAAAAAAAAAAAAACAAAAAAAAAAAACATGTCTTACTTTTTTTGTCATTACTGACTTCATGAGTAGTGCATGTAACTATTTCTATGGGTCTTCTCTTTGATTTTTTTTCTCTTTGATTTTCAAAAAGAACCATTAACATTTTAATGTTATATTTACTGAGAGGTTGCATGATATCAGCCAAAGTAAAAGGGATATGGATGAAATAAGAAATACAGAAGTCTGGCCAGGCACAGTGGCTCATGCCTGTCATCCCAACACTTTGGGAAGACGAGGTGAGAGGATCACTTGAGTTGAGGAGTTTGAGACCAGCTGGGCAGCATAGTGAGACCTCCTGTCTACAAAAAGATAAAAAAAATTAGCTGATCATCATGGCTCCTTGGGAAGCTGAGGTGAGAGGATCGCTTGAGTCTGAAGGTTGAGGCTGCAGTGAGCCAAGATGGTGCCACTGCACTCCAGCCTGGGCAACAGAGTGAAACTCTGTCTCAAAGAAAAGAAAGGAAATATAGAAGTCTCACTTTAATCATTAAGTCACACCATTAAATAACACTGGTCCGTACTAAAGCTGAAATAAGCAATTATATGACTCTACTTGAATACTTAAATAAATATGACAATAATTTGCCCCAGCAGTACGAAGCAGATCCTCTCCCATCTTTTGTGGGCTGTTTCTCCCCTCAGATTCTGTGTTGTCTTTCTTGGTTTCTCTCTTGACTCTTGTCATACTCTTTATGGAAGCTCAAAACACATATACCAGACTCCCTGTCAGTGGGGTCCTCTCTACTTGGGTGTCACACAACCAACTGAGTTTAACACAGTTTATCCAAGACTGAATTTATAGTTTCTTCCCATCCCCAAACATGCTTCTTTCCTATGTCCCTTACCTCAATAAATGTCAACACCATCTCCTAAGATGCTTATGTCAAAAACCTCAGTCATGCTAGACCACCCTCTCTCACTTAGGCCCAAGTTCTCATCACCCCAACCTCTTGATGTCTCTTCAGGTCAGCCCCTCCTCATTAGTCCTGCTGCCACTGTTTTGATTTAGTCTCTTCCTCCCTCCCATGCCATCTTTTCTTGCTGACATTACTACAATAACTCACTGCTTTCCCTTTTTCTAGCCTAGTCCTTTCCAACCAATATCCACATGCTTCATGGGCAATGTGTATGATCATGTCACTCAACTGCTTAAAATCCTTTAGTGCTTTCTTATTATCTCTTGGGTAAAATGAGGATCTCTTAGCATGACACTTAGGGCTACTCTATCATGTTATCTTCTGACTGTATAGAAATACTAATGGTTCCTTAAGCGGGTGATATAGTTCCATACTTCTGTGCTTTAAGAGATGTTCCTTTACATGCCTTGTTTCTTTTTTTATTTAATTTTTCTTGTTATCCTGTTAGCATCCCAGTATACCTTTGCATGCCTTTTCCCCTAGGAGAATGCCCAATGACTCTTTAAGCCTTAACTTGAATATCACAATCTCTATGAAACTTTTCTCCTTTGTGTTCCTATAGCAACCTGTAAATACTTCCTTGATAGCACTTATCATGTTGTTTTATTATGAATGTTTTTTTCTAAACATCATGAGACAATTTTATTCAAATTTCTTATATGCATCTCTAACATCGGGTATATGTCATCATAAAAGCCACTCTTTAAGTTCTCTCAGTTTTCCAGAATGCATGAAACTCACTTCCACGTAAGCTGTTTGAGACACAGCGCTTTAAAAATCCATGTAGGGTGTTATGAAAATTTTATCCCAAGTCTTGAATACCCATTTGAATAACATTTAATTTTTTTCATTCTTCTTATATGTGCATATTGATAATCTCTGCAATGTGATGACTTACATTGTAAGGTCCTTACACTACAGGAGAAACAGTATAATAGTATTTTTTTTTTAGATGGAGTTTCGCTTTTGTTGCCCAGGCTGTATGCAATGGCACGATATCAGCTCACTGCAACCTCCGCCTCTCGGGTTCAAGTGATTCTCTTGCCTCAGCCTCCCAAGTAGCTGGGATTACAGGCATGCACCACCACGCCCAGCTAATTTGTATTTTTAGAAGAGATAGGGTTTCACCCATGTTGATCAGGCTGGTCTCAAATTCCTGACCTCAAGTGATCCACCCACCTTGGCCTCCCAAAGTGCTGGGATTACAGGCATAAGCCATCGCACCAGGCCAGTATAATAGTATTTGAAGGCAGACTCTGATTAACTAAAAATTCATATTAAAGCAAGTTTGGATTAATAAAAAACCTGGAGAGAGAATATGTGAAAAAAATATGCAGATGGAACTGAGAGAGCTCTCCAGGGAAGATAAAGGAGCTATTAAGGTAACAAGAACTAAGGTTGATGCAATTAAAATGTCAGGAATGCTTACAATCTCTAGGCTGAGGGGAGTTTTAGATAGGCAGGACAGCAAACTGCCGTCAGTCTGAATAGAAAAGAGGTAAAATAAACAGTATTGGAAGTGGGTTGTTATTCCAGCTGTTATGTTTGAGATGGGCCTGCTTTCATAGTCTTGGAGGTCTGGGCAGAAACACACCACAGCAGGCACAAGAGACAACATGCTGGGTTGCTGCTCTGTAAAAATCATGTTTCCTAATCCTGCTCCCCAGGCCCACAGTTTTGTGGCCAGAACCTGTCATGTGTTCTTTGATCTTTGTGGGTCTGGGGTGATCCAGCATGAGAGGAACCAGCGGTTGAACAGGAAGGAGCACTGTGTGGCAGGGGTCCCTTGCTTTGGGTAAGCCCTAGCAGAAAGCTTCCGATGGCTGTCTTCCCCATAGATAAATACCTCCCTTGCGATGGATGCAGTTGGCATCTTCAGCACCCCTTCTGGAGACTTGCCTACTGTGGTTCACAGAGCACATTAATCATCATCATTATCGCAGATCCCAGAAAGGAAGAGGCTTTAGGTTTCTTGCTTCCTTTCTCTGCTGGCAGCAGGTGACAGCAGAATTATTTATCCTTTGGACTTAGGAGTCCCATAGATTAGCGTCAGAGATTTGGCCTAGGACTCTGCACAGATTTAAAGGGCCACTGGTTGTTGTATTTAGTGTCCTTTGTTCCTAGTAACCCAGGTAACCTTCATGGTGGCAGTATGATCCCCTGATACTGCAGGAAACGTAAGGGTGAAGGAGCATGTTCTGTGTTATAAATTTATGACTTAATTAGTTACTTTCTTAACATCTTAGGTAGGAATTTGGGCTTAAGCAGGGCACATCTATCTTTAAAGAATACACAAGTTTTCCAAGTTGAAATTTGAAAGTAAAATAAATGTAAGGAACAGAAACAAGAGAGATTATATACTTCATTACTGCTGTTTGATCTCCATGCTTTCATTGCATGGTAATTTTTCTCAGATTTTAACTTGTATATTACATGAATCTAACAAACATAAATAACGTATCTGGGTCAGTATTTAACATATACATTTCGTAAAGGTCTTGAAAGCCAATGGGGTCTAAAACATGTTTGATTATTTATTGTAAGAAGGCTGGATTTTAAATCTGCTTCTGTAGCATCTCAACAGCTTGCAGGGTTCCAAGGAACTCATAATTATTAATGATAAATCCTGAAGTGTCCCACTGAGCCCACAGAGTAAAGAATGCTTGAGTAAAGAATACTATTAAGAAGGCAGACACTGAATGAGCCAGCTGAAATGCAAAGACACGAGAGTGCAATTTCTCTTTGGCATCCTCCTCGGCAAGGTGGGATGCCAGAAACAACTGCTGAGTACACCATCATGCCAGCCCTGGAGGTTGGAAGGATAATGGGGTGACAGGCAAAACCCAAGCCTAGAGCCCCCAGAGCAGTAATAATAGCTCACGTTTATCAAGCACTTGCTGAGTACCAGATTCTGTGCTAAGTACTTTATAGCCAATCCTCTCAAAATACCCTCATTTTTGAGACTAGAAAGGGTAGGTAACTGCCTCAAGTCACACAACTAGTTAAGTGATAGAGCCAGGACTCTAGAGCCTGCATTTCCAACCAGTTGCACTCTACCATTCCCCACATTTCATCTGGAGGAGTCTCACTCAGTTCCTCAAATATTTATTGACCATTTACAATGTACAACACATGTGCTATGCCCCAGTGGAAAACTGTGAACATATTTACTGATTTAATCAACAATCATTTATTAAGCATCTTCTCTGTACCAGGCACTGTGCTAAATAAGCACTGGGGAGTGCAAATATGACTAAGACATGATCCCTGACCTCAAGGAAAGTATAGGCTAGTGTTGGGCACAGACAAGTCACTCAACAGTCCTGGGTACCATGTGCTGTCAAGATGTGTGCCGCAGAGACAAGGCCATCTAAGAAGGTCAGAGAAAGTCTCCAAAGAAGAGATGGCCCTGAGCTGAGTCATGAAGGGAAGATAGGAATTAGCTGGGTGAAGTGTGGGGACCAAGGCATCCTAGCCAGAGAGAGCATGGAGGTGAAAGTGTGGCATGGTGAGGAAACTCCATTGTGGCTGGAGTTTAGAGTGAGGTAGGACTTTGAAGAAGTGACTCTGAAAATCCTAACTCCACTTTTCATTTTAATACTGTTAATGCTTTAAGCTTGAGGGTCTCTCGGAGCATTAATTCTCTCTTTCTTAAGCAAAAGATTCATTTTAGCACATGCTATAGATTGAATGTTTGTGTTCCCCCCCGAATTTGTACATTGGAACCTAGCATGTAATGGAATTAGGAAGTTGCTTCCACATCAACAACCTTTGGAAGGGGCTAGAGAGACCTTTGGGAGGTGATCAGGTAATACCCAGATGGCTCACTTTACCCTTCTACCCTGTGAAGTTATAGCAACAAGAATGTTTATGAACTGGAAAGAGGGCCCTCACCAGACACTGAATCAGTCAGTGCCTTGATTTTGGACTTCTCCTCCACCAGAACTGGGAAAAATAAATTTCTGTTGTTTGTAACGGACCTAATCTATGATATTTTGTTATACCCAATGGGCTAAGACAGCCCAGATTCCAGTCACTTATTTATTTCTTCAACAGATATTTAACACAGGCCAGCTATGTACAAGACACATGTACAAGACACCATGCTTGGCACCAAAAGAACAAAACATGGTCCTGCTTTGAAAGACATTGTGTACAGGAGGGCAAGACAGACATGCAAACAAGCAGTAGCAAAATATTACTTTACTAAGTGCTCAATAGTGGGATATCCTTGACTTCACAGGGGTTTGCTTAACAGGTCTGAACAAAGGAAATCTGAACAATTTTCTTCAGCTTATAAATATTTGGGGTTCCCAGGTAACTCTATTTTATCATTACCACTATTCTCCTACTATTACCCACTAGAGCATTCAGAGTTCTCTATTTTGTATATTCAGCTAAATTATAGAGACACTTATTTAAAAGTAACTAACATCTTACTAGGTGAAATAAATTCCACATTGACATGGAAGCAACCCTAATAAGGATGCTAGATAGCATTAAAATAAACAAAGTAGTAGATTAATGAGAAAAAACTTAAATGCATTATTGCTTGCCAGACCTCCTCCGCCATGCACATGCCACACCCCTCCACCCACCCTCTGCACAGGGAGAGGCTGCCCAGGTCAAAGGTGGTTGCTGCATTGCCTGGAGATCTCGGACAACCATTTTCACCAGTTCCTCCATGAACTTTTATAAAAAAGATTTTCAGACATTCTTTTCATTAAGAAATCTTTTTCTGCATTAAAAATGATATTAAGTCCTTTCAATCGTTTTCCCATAAAAGAACCCAGATCCTTTTACACTTTCTCGTAAGACCCATTTTATAATCTTTTAATTTTTTTTTTTTTTTTTTGCTTATTTCTGTTTATAAATTATGCTCAAAATGCAAAACTGGAGCAAATGATAGTACCAGATTTAAATATTGCCATTTCCACTAAAGATGTAAAACACTTTTTTAAATTTTTCATTTGTTTTAGAGACAGGGTCTCACTCTGTCACCTAGGCTGGAATGCAATGGTGTAATCACAGCTCACTGCAACCTCAAACTTCCAGGCTCAAATAATCCTCCCATCTCAGCTACCTGAGTAACTAGGAATACAGGCACGCACCATCATGCCTGGCTAATTTTTAATTTTTTATAGAGAGAGGATCTCACTCTGTTGCCCAAGCTGATCTCAAACTCTTGGCCTCAAGTGAGTCACCCGTCTCAGCTTCCCAAAGTGTTGATATTACAGGCATAAGCCAGTGCGCCCAGCCTAGAACACATTTTTGTATGTTTTTATTCTATTTTATCCCACCAACCATCTGTGGATTCTTGGGCAAGTCATTAACATCTTGGGGCTTTGGTTTCCTCAACTGCTAATAAAGAGTTAACATGGATACTAAGCACTGTCTAACAGATCTTCTAGCCTTCAAACCCTATAGTGATGGATGTTATTGTTAATAATAATACTCTTTCATCCAGAATCACAGTATTCTTGAGACACCTTTCATCTTGAGCCTAAATCCTGCCAAGTTGATTGCTAAAAGTAAAGCTTGTTCAGACAACCCACTTATGGTCCTAAATAAAAGAAATACAAAGAGAACAAATGAATATGTTCACAAATTCATTTGTTATACCTAAATAAAGTGTATCCCTAGAACATAGTTTAGTACCATATTAGAAAAACCATTATTATGATAAATGTCAGCAGAATGATTCAAAAACATCATAATGAGTATTTGAATAGATTGCTTTAAAAGACATTTGATTAAAGTCGTACATTTTTCTGGAGTTTTTGAAAAGTAAAGTTTAAGCATAAAATTACTCTTAAAGTAATATTTACTGAAAATTAAGAGTCACTATACTTAACAAAAATATATTACACACATTTCCAAACAAAACAAGAGTACACTTTAGTGCACTCAAGTTATCTATATTATTAAGGATTCCTGCCACTGTGAGAAGTCATAAAAAATGGGGGATTAACACAGGAATAAAGAAAGACAAAGATTACCATTTGCAAACCATTTATGGTTAGGAAATCCAGGGTAATAAACTGAAAGCTATGTGTGATGATCTAGAAAATCTAGTAAAGTGATCATAAAATGAACAATAATGAAGGAAAAGAGATGCCATTCCCCGTATCAAAAAAATGCTAAATATCTGCTACTTATGCTAATATGGCATTCTCTAGCACTGAATAAAAAATATTATGAAACCTTCATGGGAAAAGCAAAGGACTATTTGAGTAAAAGCCAATATATTTCTTGTTTCTGACCCTAATGTTGAAGAACCGTCAAAGTTACTACAATTCCAATTAAAATATCAAAATGTAATATCAACATGTAAAGAACTTTATAAAATATGAAATATAGAGATATGTTAAATCAAGTGTTTTTAAGTGATAATAATGCCCTATGAAATGAGTAGCTATCAACATTAAGAAAAATAAGCCACAATGAACTCTAGTTGAATGAAACAGTTAAATATATGGGGTTTTTCAATTTAAAATGTAATATAATTGCTCCAGTTATTAAGGAAAATGTATTTCCCTTCACTATTGAGCAAATAGAAAAAGGGTGGATGAATTTCATTATTAAAAGATTAAAAATGTTATATTAGAGATATAATAAAACCACCATGAATATGACAGTTTCTTCATATCTAAATTTCACATTTTTAAAAAAAGCCATAAGCATAATAGCAGGCCCTTATTCTACAGATGGGCACGAACAGACATTATTTAGAAAAAAGTTCATACTTGGCTGTTAATCAGGGAAATATTAAGTAACTCAAACGTGCAGTACCACCTCACAACTACTTAAATTATCAAAAATAAAGAAACTCTACAGCGACAGAGCTGTAGAGTATATTCATACATTGCAGGCAGCAGTGTTTTACACTATGGTTGTAAAAGATAGTTGAAAGAATGTAACAAAATCTTTCAAAATCCTTTTTAAGTGCAATATTTCTAGAACTATGTAGTGATGGTGATAATTATATCTACTACACTTACTGGAAAACTAAATTAAGCCCTGCACTGGACACTTTATAGATATTATTTCATATCCTTACTGAAATGCTACAGGTGGACATTACTGACTGTGTTTTAAAGATAAGGAAATTGAGACTCAGAAAGGGACTCAGAAAAGCTACATAAGTCGATCAGATCAGAGAGATTCAAGTCTTGGTTTACCCAAGCTCTTTCTACCACCCCATGCTGCCTCTGAAACAGTGCAAAAGAAAAACAGAAGAGAAAATAAGGAAAAAGAAAGATGAAGGAAAATAAAAGAAATAGGACACCTTTCTGAACTAATCCACATGCCTCATAACAGAAACTAGAAATAATTCAATGCCCAACAGTCACTATGGAAGTGAGTTCAAAGTATATAATAGCATCTATCAAAATGGACACACCCCTCGTATGCAGCAATACTTCTAGGATTCGGTAATGATGACACTACTACTACTACAAGTGATAACCAATTAGTGAATAGCAGGACTGAGGGTTGTTTGGTAGTCGTGGAGTGAGAGGCAGAATGGTATAGTGGAAGTACATCGCCTGGGTGCAAGTCCTAGCTCTGCCCCTTACTAGATGTAGAACAGTAAGTTTAACTCTTAAACTCTATTCATCAACAGCCAAAATTTGTTGATTAATATATTGCTATTAAGTGGGTGAGATGCTCAGGACAGGGCAGTTTTCTTCATGTATCAGTGACATTTTGGGTAGTCTGACTTCATGAAGGTAAATTGAGACTTTACAAAGTGTTTTTTTGTTTTTGTTTTGTTTTGTTTTGTTTTGGAGACAGAGTCTCGCTCTGTCGCCCAGGCTGGAGTGCAGTGGCACAATCTCGGCTCACTGCAAGCTCCGCCTCCCGGGTTCACGCCATTCTCCTGCCTCAG
Source organism: Homo sapiens (assembly GCF_000001405.40). Taxonomy (NCBI): domain Eukaryota; kingdom Metazoa; phylum Chordata; class Mammalia; order Primates; family Hominidae; genus Homo; species Homo sapiens. The sequence goes on from NC_000001.11 coordinate 77,385,279, forward strand.
CCTCCCGAGTAGCTGGGACTACAGGTGCCCGCCACCACGCCCGGCTAATTTTTTGTATTTTTAGTAGAGAGGGGGTTTCACCGTGCTGGCCAGGATGGTCTCGATCTCCTGATCTCATGATCCACCCACCTTGGCCTCCCAAAGTGGTGGGATTACAGGCTTGAGCCACTGCGCCCGGCCAGACTTTACAAAGTTTTTAAGTGTGTGTTTCTGTTTCTGTCTTCTCCCTCTTCTCTGCACCCCTCTCAAAATAATAAATATTTTGGCTACATTTTACTATTAGGCATCAAATTCCCACTGTTCATAAATATGTGTGGTCAACGAAAAGGCCTTTTGAGGAAAGCTTTCAATATGAATGCAGGTGCAATATACACAACAAAAAGCAATGAACCTGGAAGAAATGGAGGTAACACAGGAAATGCGAGAAAACATTAGCAGCAGTCTAGTTACATCTTCAGAGAAATATGAGAAAGTAGTGTCACCACAGAACAGGAACAGGATTCCATGAGAGAATGAATCATGTAGTAGAAAAGAGTGGCATAATAGTATTTAGAGATCACAACCATAGGAGGTGAAAAGTGGTATAAGAGATAAATCCTAAAACTGAGAAATCAAGAAATAGCAGTCAAATATATTGTTTATAATGGCAATAACTTCCAGCGGAAACAGCTAAAATAAAAATAAGTTTGCCTGCAAGAGAGTAGACTGCTATTTTTCATGAAGCCTTTTGATATCATATTATCTTTCTTTTCAAACTCTGTGTATATATTACTTTGATTTAATTATTTTTAAATTTTTAAGAGGCTTGGAATAGTCATAACCTTGCTTAGTATAATAGTTGTGTTCCTGGCAATCACAGAGTAATTTTTAATAAATCAATATTAGTTTTCTTTGAGCCCTTAGTAAATCAAATACATTATTTTAGGCTGTGTGTGAAATTTAGAGACTTGCAAGAAGTCCATTCCTTCCAAGAGTCTATCATTTATTCAGGATGGCAATATTATAAGGCAACATATTCCAAATATTAAATAAGAGTAACAGACTGACACTGTCTGTCTCTGGACTTAAGGGTGGAGATGATGTAGGCTTCAGTTCATGGAGAAGGGGGCTAGAGCTGAGTGTTTAAAAGAACCTTGTGATTACACAGAGGAGTGTGGAGGACTGTGGGGTGAAAGGGAGCACACAGGAGCAGAGGCAGGCAGCTCATATGACACTGTGAGATGAGTAGTAAGCCAGGTTGGCAGCAGCATAAGATATGTATTGAAAGGGTGGGGGAAAATCATTATGAAAGGGCAGCCTGAAGATACCATGTCAGGGGAGGATTTTATCTCATAGGAAATAATAAGTCCCTGAATGTCTTGTATGTGTTTGAAAATTTCTGGAGTGTATGATAAAAGCTGTTACATATGTATAATGTGTAGTGATCAAGTCAGAGGTATTCAGGGCATCCATCACCTGAGTACAATACATTTTTGTTAAGTATAGTCATCCTACTCTGTTATCAACATCATTTAATTTATTCCCTTTATTTTAACCTATTTCTCTTCATCCTCCCCTCTCCCTGCCTGCGCTCACCCTTCCCAGTCTCTATTATCTATTTTTTTCACTTCCTACCTCTATGTGTTCAAATTTTTTCTCTCTCACATGTAAGTGAGAACATGCAATATTTGTCTTTTTGTGTCTGGCTTATTTCACTCAAGATAACGACCTCCAGTTCTACCCATGTTGCTGCAAATGACAGGATTTCATTCCTTTTATGGCTGAATAGAATTCCATTGTGTAAATGTGCTACATTTTCTTTGTCCGTTCATCTGTTCATGGATGCACAGGTTGATTTCATTTCTTAGCTATGGTGAATAGTGCTGCACCTGAATGTTTTTGAGCAAGATATAGGCAAGATCAGCCTGCTGGTAATATGTGGCTTGCTGTGACCAGAAGACTAAGCCAGAAGTCAAGAAGGAGTTAAGCAATTATAGCAACCTTTCAGCTAGGACATGAGCATGACTTTAACTTGAACAATGGCATTGGCAATGGAAAGGAGGAATATTAGAATGTTAAAGATACAAAAACTTAGGGATACACAATTTTTTCATCTCTGAGGAACATTAAATATTATTTTACCCTAATTGTCACTGTAAATTTCTAGAATGTCATTATAATCAATCAGAGCTTTGACCAGCATGAGTTAACCACTATTACTACTAAGTTGACAAGGCCAAGCAAAGAAACTCAAGGTTTTAGCTTACATTTAGAGCATCTTCGTGACATAAATACAATTCCCATTAGGCATTCTGAAATGCAAAATATTTTTTAAAGTAACTTGTGGATGCTTATCACTGCTTTCCTAAACCCCAATCATACTCCCAGGCTGGAAACCACTGACTGGACCTAGAACGTCTTCATTTATAGGTGAAGAAGCTTAATCACATGTGTCTGAAAACATACTCCAAGTGATGAGCAGCATGGAGTCAAAACAAGCCTCTTGCATCTTGCTTAAAGTTAGCTACATTCTGCTGGGAATTAACAGGACTTGGTATCTGATTAGTAACATTTTTAGGGAACAACTGAATCATTTGAAAAGCAAATAATCATCCTTTCATTTATCTTTTGTTTAAGACTGGCTTTCCATTAGTAAAGGTTTGCTCAGAGCAATGTAAACCATTATTTCTGTGTTAAAATTGGCTGCTAAAACCACCACCTGGATACTTTTGTCTAACATTGATTTCTCAGCTGCTTATTTTCTTATTATCCTGCCATTTTAAATGACAAGCATTACTGTTTCTTGATCCATTATGACATAATGCCATATTAACAATCATATTGTTTGAAAGTTCCATTGTCATGCACATATATAAATGAGGCTTTAAGAGACTCAAGGTTTGAATTCCTCTTATTCTACTCTGTAACATTTTTTCTTCCATAATTCTGCAAATACAATATCACAAGTGTTGGGCATTAATTGCTTATTCAGATCAATCTCACTGGTCTCCGTAGTGACATGCATATTTTATGATACAAGTCAAGCTGCTAGATTAACAGATGTTTGTCTTTAAAGGAAAGGAAAAGTGAAACAGCAGTCACAGCATCTCTGTCCCTGTATGCATTCAATGTTAAATGCTACATTTAGAGAACAAATTAATAGGTGTATTATCTCTGAATTATCATCACCCCAAGCACTGTCCTCTGTCAGTAAGTTATTTTCAGCATTCAGGTAGTCTTTGCCACTAAATCTTTAACATCTGAGAAACCCAAAGCCATGTAAAAGAACCTGGTCGTTCTTTTGGTTGTTTTGTTGTTGTTGTTGTTGTTGTTTTTGCATTAAGCATTCCTCATGTATGGGAAACTATGATAATTCAGAATGAAAAACGTGGGAGAAATACCTTTAAAATGTTATCAGCTACATAAAGCCTGACATTTAAGAAAACTATTATGCTCTACTGAAAACAATGTGGGAAGCATAAGCTCTATGGAAAAAAAAAAAAAAGATTAATTACAGCCTTGAACTTTCTCCACTTGGCCAAAAGGAGAATAAGAGAATGTGAAGTGTGAAAGCTCTTTTGACGTGGTGACTGGAAGGGCTGCTGTTGCAATGGACAGTCTGAATCACAGACCGCAAATGAAGGAAGCAAATTCAGAATATCAGGGAAGTGGAGGAAAGTAGAAGAGAAGAACCAGGAGACTGGATGGAAGCAGAGCTAGCTCCGAAATGAGAACTACCTTGTCTGGAAAAAAGAAGGCTTACTGATAGTCAAGCAGCATAATTAAGGATCAGTGAAGCTTACAACGTTGAGAATAGTAACTGACTTCTTTGACTAGAGAGCAGCCTGAATTGGAGGGGACTGTACTGTGGGACCCTGTGAGGTATGAAAGTGGATATCCCAAGGCTGCCTTTCTGATGTCTCCAGAGAGAGACTGTAGAATTACTTTGATGTGATACACTATTGGTAAAAGCCAAGACCACATCTGCCTGAGAAAAGAAAATGGTGGAAATGAGGGAATAGAAACATTCCATTTTCAAACGTGTAGTTAAGATGTTTGCAAATTCTTGTCCCAAACGCCAGGAAAGAAAGTGGATGAATCAATGGCTACTGCAAGAATAGTTTCTGTGCCTTGCTAATAGGGAAGAAGGAAGTATCATTATCTGGGCCACTGAGGCTGCCTGAAACAGGAGAAATGCTGGATTACATAAGTTAAATACAGAAAAGTGACAGAAGGATGTAGTGAGGAGGAGAAGATGACTGCAGAAAAAAGGAAGATGGAGGAAATGAATACAATTTTAGCTTTTCATAGAAACTGATAGTGTGATTAATAGGAAATTTGTGAAAATTTGGGAGGTTAAATAATTGCAAATTATTTTATGCATAATATGACACCACAGTGTCTCTAAAATTTGTTTTTTAAGGCTGGGCACGATGGCTCATGCCTGTAATCTCAGTACTTTGGGACGCTGAGACAGACAGATTGCTTGAGCCCAGGAGTTCAAGACCAGTCTGGGCAACATGGTGAAACCCCATCTCTACAAAAAATACAAGAATCAGCTGGATGTGGTGGTGAATGCCTGTAGTTCCAGATACTTGGGAGGCTAAGGTGGGAGGTTCACTTGAGCCCAAGAGGTGGAGGCTGCAGTGAGCCATGATCTCACCACTGCACTCCAAGTTGGGCAACAGAATGAGACTCTGTCTCAAAAAGAAAAAAAAAATCTTTTTTAAAAAAAGAGTATAATTTCATGGCAGGCAGACTTCAAGCCTTTGGTCTGTCCAAATTCAGGAGTGAGAAGAGGGTCTCAGCTGGACATTCAAGGTCTATTTTAACCCTGTAATTCTGTGATTTGGTGAAGGATCACCAGTTATGAAGGATAATTAGCCATTCAGTAAGAGACCTGCAGAATATTAAGAAATTCATTCTGTTCATTTCTGACATTCCTACCCAGGTAAAATCAGTTATGTTTAGTTTCTTTAAAAAGCCACATAAGCACAGTTCTAATGGTGTGAAATCCCTGTACCAGGCATTCATCTATAATTATTTATAATTGCATTATTTGTCATGGTTTACAAAACACAGATGCAAAAGTTTTTACTAGAGCACATATTTCACTATGTGAAAATTATTTCCCTAGACTACTGCATATATGTTGGATGGCCTCATTACTCAGTATCAGTAAACAGTTAACTGATAAAAATGTTATTCTGGACACTCAGGTGAGAGGGGAGAAGCCCATTTTAGCTCAGAGTTGATGATGCTAACAACTTACTCTTACACAAAAGGACAAGCCCAGACCACTTGTAATGAGTGAATGAAAAAAAGGCAATAGGAATAAACATGGAACCAGGGAGATCATCAAAATCACCAATCTGTTTTAAAAAGTAGAAAGGATTTTATTTCAACTTTGGAAGAACATAGGAAATAAAAGCAAACACAAAATGTTTAAAAGTTCTTAAATAATATTTTTGTTCAACTTAATTTACATCTTTTTATGTATATAATACTATATGTAGAATAGCATGATTTTTTTATGTTTAAAGATGAAGGAGCTCTAAAAAAGCTAAAGTAACAAAGAAAGGCAGAGGCACCTTAATAAGAATACTTAAAATGTTTGTGTACAATCACTTTGGAAGAACAATAGATTATTTGTGTCTGTGTATTTTAAGGAAGCTGTAGAAAGATTTGGTTAGCCATTATTTATTTACTTGAAACCTGTATTGCTGTCAAAATTATTATCAAAATAATCCACGGACAAACTTTGTCTTGGGTTAGATCTCCTGGCAGCAGACCCTCTGACAAGGTCTGTTGAGGGAGTTCTCTCAGAAGACACCTGTCATTGAGCGAAGGGAAAAGCAGAAGGGAGGAAAAGGAGTCAGACACAAATAAATGGGTTCAGGAGAAGTCCAGCCTCAGCCTGGTTGCATGGGCAGGTAGGATGATTATGGAAACAGCCCCAGGGGTTGAGTCCTGCTCCCAGACAGCACCCATTAGCTAAGAGCAGTCCTCTAGAGAAGGGTGCAGAAGTGAGCTCTTAGCTCTTAGCTGCCAACACTCACAGCAGCTGAGGCATAGGCACATCACCCTGGTATACATTTATTTGTCTGTCTCAGTACTTTATGCAAAAAAAAAAATATATATATATATACACACACATATATATGTATATATATACATATATACATATATGTGTGTGTATATATATATACACATATGTGTGTGTGTATGTGTGTGTGTGTATATATATATATATATATATATATATATATATCTCCTCAGGCTGTTGTTGCAGTATCTATCCATCCCAAGTGTTCAATTAATAGCTAATGGGTGAATGAACAGATGGATAGGTGCTACAAAAAAAAGACACTGAAGAACCAGATTCTAAGAAATAAATCATAATAATAACCAGCATCTAGAAAACATTTCCCATGTGCAGACACACTGCTTGGATTATTTTCATCAGGTAGGAATTGTTATTATCTTGATTTTATGCCTGCAGAAACTGAGATGGATGTTTTCCAGAGCCACATGGCTGGTGTGACATCAGAGCTGACACATTTAACTTCTTCGTTACACCAAATGCTCAGAAATTAGGAAGGTGAAATAAATGGGGTGAAACAAATATTGATAACTACTTATCCTGAGTCATTTATAGCTTCATAGAGTGGCTTTGTTTTCCTTTTAAAAGATAGAATTAACAGCTGCATTTTCCTCGTTCTACAACAAATGGACAGGTACGTAGACTCCAACATACTCCTTGAATAAAAATGAGAAATTCTAGAATCCTTGGATCATGCAGAGTACTTGAAACATCCAGAAGATTCTCAGTATTTTTGTCTCCGCTATATTACAGATTAACCATTGACTGTGAAGATATATAATTATACAATCTAAATTGATTATGTTTAGGCCTGCCTGTAGTTTAAAATATACTATGAGTATTATTACAAGGCATGAGATTAAAATGGATGTTAATTTTTCAGTATTCCTCCTAAGCACAAGTTTCCAAGCCCAAATCTCATGAATGGAATGTGAAAGAGCCTCTGATACATTTGAGGCCTTTTTAATGAGTTGCTTAGCTCTTCTTCAGGGTAATTACTGATTTGTTCTGTGCTGTATATGAGATAACTGACTTAAAGTTTAAGCCAAAATCCCTCTGTAATTCACTTGACATATTAGAGAAAGAAATAAAATAACACATTTTAAACAAACACTAATGTTTTCTTAAAGTGAGATAAGTATCTGGCTACTTACAAATCATTAAAAATTATGTATCTGGATTTTAGAAAGAGAGAACCTATATTGGTTTCTCTTCCGTGTGTGCCCAGGGAGTTGTGTTCAACTCTCTCGGCTGTCATTCAGCTGTGTTAATTGTGACTGGCAAACACAGAATCCAAATCCGCACATTCATAATAATAGTTCTGACTCTTCTGACAAGACCGCTAAGTAGGTCATGATTTTATGCCAAAAGGAAATGGCCTTTTGGTGGCCAAAGGAATGATTGCTGGGTTTTTTTTTTAATATAATTCATGGAAATCTATTCTGCAATCTAGTGTTAATGTCATTGTTGTAGTTTCTCATTCCAAATTCATCACTTTGCCCACCATGTCCCATTTTGCCCTTCCAACCAGGACATAGTAGTGGGATTTCCTTTAAAATATTTTATTTATTTATTTAGATTTATATTTTTGAGACAGGGTCTTGCTCTGTCACCCAGGCTGGAGTGCGGTGATGTGATCACAGCTCACTGCAGTCTCGACCTTCTGGGCTCAATCAGTCTTCCGACCTCAGCCTTCCAAGTAGCTGGGACTGCAGGTATGCCCCACCACACGCAGCTACTTATTTTTATTTATTAATTAATTTATTTTTTGTACAGACAGGGTCTCACTATGTTGTCCAGGCTAGTAAAATCTTTTAAAACTGAGGAAAGCATTTTGTGATACTGTAACTATAGTTATTACTACTTCAGAGTAAACACATCAATCTAGCTAGTTGTCAGGGCATAATTTTTGTAATACCTTTTACTTCTTTTGGAGGAAAAGCCATTGAGACAGCAATTCATTTATTCACTTGCAGGGCATCTCCTTTAAGTTAGTGTCTGCTTGATTCAAAAGCGATTATGGAAATGTGAAAGCTAGGCACAGATTGGGACAATTTGTTGCTATTGTGGCTTTTCTTTTATCATTGTTATAATGGTATTTATGAAATAAATGTAAAACGGGATTTTTAAAAAGTAGTGATCATGAGAGCTAAGAAGTTGTCAGAAAGATATGTAAGTCATTTTGGACTTAAAAGAATTTATCCCACCTCAAATACTTCCAGAAAACGTGATTCTACATAGACAACCACTTGCCACTTCCCAGTGTGGTAATTGGCAACACTTAGATTTACTACATGCAAAGTTCTGTACTAATAATGGATTTTCTACCTTTCAGCATTCCATACCCACATGACACTATTTTCTAGACGAGGAAAGAAGCTTAGAGAATCAGTAACTCCTCCAGAGTCACATAGCTAGTAAGGTGTGCCTGGGATTTGATCCAGGTGGTCTACCTCTCCACCTCATCACTTCCCTTGAGTGTGACCTGTGGTCAAAGAGAAACAGTGCATTATTGTTGATATTATTAAGAAACTGATTTATCAAGCCAGATTTTAAAATAATGTAAATCTTGGCCAGGCACAGTGGCTCATGCCTGTTCATCCCAGCACTTTGGGAGGTTGAGGTGGGCCTATCACTTGAAGTCAGGAGTTCGAGACCAGCCTGGCCAACATGGTGAAACCCTGTCTCTACTAAAAATACAAAAATTAACTGGCTGTGGTGACGTGTACCTGTAGTTCCAGCTACTCGGGAGGCTGAGGCAGGAGAATGGAGTGAACCCGGGAGGCAGAGCTTGCAGTGAGCTGAGATCATGCCACTGCACTCCAACCTGGGTGACAGAGCGAGACTCCATCTCAAAAAAAAAAAAAGAAAAAGAAAAAATGTCGTAAATCTGAATGTGTGCTTTGTGATTCATGAATTCTTGTCAGATAAAGAGTATGTGGTGGGGCAGCCACAAACTCAAACAAGGATCTTCATGGGCCTGGAATATTGTGGGCTCAAATTCTCTCTCTCCTATGACACTTTCTTTAATCCTCATTCCCACTTACTCCACAAAACCTTCTTAATCCTCCTTCCCTCTCTGGGACCAGTTAATCCTTCTTTCTCTTTTGATCTCCTACTGTAGTTCTCTATACAGCTCTGTGACAGCCCTTATTTTGCATTAATGTTAGGGTTAAGTAAAAGTCTCCCTCATTGGATTGTGGACTCTTTAAAGGCAAGAGTCCTATTTTACTGAACAATGAACTCTAGTGCATGGCATATAGTAGGTGCACAACAAGTTTTTGTAATGAATTAATTAATATAAATGGCCACACAGTAATGTCACTTTCTCACTCATCTCTAATGGAAGTTCCTACTTGGACAGGGAGAGGACATTCTTAAAAGGTCAAAACATAATCTATATTATATGATACTAGAGAAAAACATCTTTTCATACTATCCGCAACAAATGTATGTACTCAATAAATATTGGTTGAGTCATAATCAACTGTTAAAAACTTCCAATGAGCTTGCGAATTCAAGAATTTACTGGGAAGTTTACCAAAAAATTAATTGTAACTCACATAGCTTTTAAGAGACACAGGATCTAAGAATACTCAGGACAAGAGACCTTTAAATCTGCACTCCCCTCAGTAATTTTAAAAGTGAATATGAGGGCCCTCCTCTCCCTCATTTGTTCCTGCAGTGAAAGAAGGAGATCACTTTGGGAGAGTTCAAACATGATATTGATCTCCTACACTGCTGAGAGACATAATGGATTCTTTTTTTTTTAGGATAAGAATGGAGCTTTGTTTGGAAGAAAAGGGGTCCTGCAAAATGTGATAAACTTTCCAAATATCCTACAAAGTCTCTTTGTCATTTTGTAAAAGTGGACATACTGCCTTTGTTTTTGTGTGATCAAGTTTGACTCATTCTGCAAAGCCTGAGGGTTGCATTTAAAATTGGCATTAATTTTGTTTTTCACAGGCTTAGCTTTTTTCCCTGAGGCTTCTAACAAATTCTAGTTGGCTTCTGTCTCTATTATTGACCATGTGTACCAAGTGGAATATTGTCTATAAAAATTTGAAGGCATCTGTTGCTTTGCAAAGACTATGTGCCTTTTATGCCTTAGGTAAGCTTATCAATTCCAGTCCCCTTTAAGAGGAGGCTGACCATGCCCATGGTTGCAGAGGTGAAAATATAAAGAGAAGCAGATGTGGCTTGAGGCAGCAGAAGGCTAAGAGGCTCTTCAGAGCCTGTGCTCACTTTGTCTTTGAGTGAAGCTGCATCTTTGCAGAACAGCATCTCTCATTGCAAATGTCTTTGGAAGGCTCAAGCATATTTGAAAAAAATAAAAGAGGCATAACTAAACAAAACATAACCTCAAACAAAAGTGATAGAGAAGGTTGAGCCAGGACACATATAAACAGGTTTCGATGGGATGAGAAGTTATTCGAAGGCCTCCAAATAACTGTAGGAAGCCAGAAAGAGCATCGTCTATTTCTTCTCGGATAATCCCAAGATTCTTATCTATATCCCCTGACTCACTCCTCTTCATCCCCTCTATCAGCCCAACTCAACTACTGCCTGAAAGATCTATCAATACCATTCTTACTCAACAGGATCAACATTAGGCTATACATGATTCTGAACTTGCTGAGTTCATAGTTCATTGATATGTGGCTAAAAAATTATTTTTCTGTATGATCCACAATTCAGAAAATAAAATATAGGTATGGATGGCAGGTAATCTCTTTTTCTACATGTTGCTTCCTGTCAAAGCCAATTCTTCTGCCATTTTAGTGGAAGAATAAGAAGAGTAACTACCCATAGAGTTGAGTCAGCTAAATTCACATAAAGTCTTAGCATCAAAAGCATTTATAAGGATTTTTAAATCTATTTGCATATTTTCTTCCTCTGCCCATGGAGGTAAATGTCAATTCCATTATTGTAAATCTGATTTCCAGTCTCATAATTTTCTTTGTCTCTCCTGCTTCATTTATACTTTTCCTAAAACTTGGGGAAAAATTGTTCAATTACACAAAGAGCCCAGTAGCCCAGTGGCTATTAAGTTGTTAAACAAGCCCCCATTCTGTTTTCATTCTGTAATTATTTCTTAAATCAAGCCTGTCATAGCCATCTTGCTAATAAGTTAATTATCCTGAAACAAAGATCAATTTGGTGTTTTGGGAACTTGGTACAAACAATATTAACACAAAGTTATAGACCTGGGAATAGTGAGTAAGGGAAAAAATGAGGATGGTTGTTTAAACGGCTCTGAATTTGGAAATGACCCTCAAGCTAAAAATAGGAAGGAAAAACAAATGAATGTGGGATAACTAGGAACATAGGATTTGTTCTTGCAGAGCTGAAATAGCTTAATGCTTAAGAGCACAGGCATTGTAGTAAGACAGACTTGAGTTCTTATCCAAGATGTGTTCTTCCCTAATTGTATGACCTTAAGTAAGTACTTAGCCCTTTAAATTCTTTCCTTGGGAAAGTGTTACGTTGTGATTGTTCTGGGATTTAACTGGGATGTTTGCAAGATGCTTTGCCTATTACCTAGCATATATAGTAAATGCTTAATAAATGGTAACTCGTGCCATGCACATGAGCCCACCTGTCACATTCCTGTGTGCCCATCACAGCACCCACTCACTACAGACACATGCCCAGGGATTTCTGGTAGAGAATAGTCAGCTACCAGGTGTTAAAATCCCAAGAAAGCCTTCAGATAACTGTAAGAAAAGGACATCTCCCCTTCTCAGAATAATCCCAAGATTTTAAGGCAGAGGCACCCTCATCTTCTTCAAAGAAGTTACATCTTTCTTACCTTCATTTCTTCTCACGGCACTTCCTCTCCCTGGTATGCCCTTCCTTTCCTTTCTTCACCTGCTTAGTCTCACTTGTTCAGAACCTCCCCGAGCCCCACATTGCCACACGTACCCACCGCCTGGCCCCCAGGACCTCCAAGCACACCTCCATCACAGCCCTTCCCACAATGAAGTAATGATTGTCTTAGCAGTCTCTTGGCGCTTCCTCCGTCATGAGGGCAGAGACGTTGCCGTGTTTGACTGAATTAAATTATTTCCCCCAAGTCATCCTTACTTTGAGTCCACTTCTCCAACAGGGGGAAACATTAGCACAATTTTTCTAGCAGCTACTTTACTATCCAGAATGATTGTCCACTAATCCAATTAAATTTTTTTAATAAACATTAAGCTTCTCACTACTGGCAACATTAAATGTGTGTATTAACTAAAAAGAAATTTGGGCTGGGAGCACTGACTCACATCTGTAATTCTAGTACTTTGGGAAGCCAAAGCAGGAGAATCACTTGAACCCAAGAGTTCGAAACCAGCCTGGGAAACATAGTGAGACCTTGTCTCTACAAAAAATTTAAACATAAAAAATTAGCCAGGTATGGTGCCACGTGCCTGTAGCCCCAGCTACTCAGGAGGCTGAGGCAGGAGCATCACTTGGGCCCAGAAGTTAGAGACTGCAGTAAGCTATAATCATCCCACTGCACTCTAGTCTAGGCAACGGAACAAGACGGTCTCTAAATAAATAAATAAATAAAATTAAAATCTAAAATCCAAATGCTTTTTCTACTTTATTAGTGGTATCTCTCATCATAATGTCCTGTCTTCCTACTGCAAGATGCATTCCCCTTAGTTTTCCATCTTCTAAGCTGTTCTTTTTGATTCCACTTGATCTCCATTGAATCTTACAATAATTATGAACTGACCATATTTGGCCATGGTAGTTAACGTCAAAATTGCAGGAGATAAATTTTTTTAAAGGATGAATCACATGGACTTAAACAAGTAATAATAAAAGGAAAGAGAAGGAAAAATAATAAAAGAAAATAGAATGAGCCTGATCTTCCCAGGGCCTAAATTAGCCCCTAGTCACACATCTGTTGCTCAGGCAGCACAGCGGGTTTTTTTCAGGCTTTCAGGGTACCACTTAGAGCTCTGTAGCAGGGAGACACTCGAGCATTAAAGAGAATGGAGCCTGTAATTAGGAGAGGTACCAATGTCACATGAGGCTGAAATTTGACTTCTGAGGCTTTAACGAATTTCTTTAGTTTGGAAGCTTTCTTGGCAAAGCTTTAAATCTCAATGCCACTACTTTGTAGTTTTGCAAAGCCTCAAATTGCTGGAATGCTGGGAGGAGAGAAGAGAAAATAGAAAGGGGAAAAGGGTATGTTAATTAATTTAATTTTCTGGTTAATTCAGCTTGACGAGTATTTGTCTAACTGCTGGGCTCAGAATGCTGTAGGTGCAGTAGAGAAAAAACGAGAACTGCACAGTGTAATTCTTGTCTAAAACGAGCATATCATTTTTCTCATTTTCTCCCTTTAACGCTTTCTTTACCAAGTCATTTCAAAGTATTTTAGTCCTCACTAGTGGTTTAATAAGTACAGAAAAGCCAATATGATTTAATCTTGCTTCCATGCATCTCCAATGATCAGTCTAATACCTAGAACAAAGTAGGTGTTCAATATATCTATATTGAATTGCATCCTGTAGGTGGTATACGAGATTGGGTCCAATCTATATGGATCTCAAGAGATATTCTAAAAGTTTATTTATTTGACGAAATCTATTAATCACCCTATTTTCTGGGCTACAGATCCCTTTCTTAAGCAACTTTTGATTGAGAAGCAATGCATTATCTAGTCAGTATCATCTTAATGAAATCTTAAATCCTCTTGGTATTTACTACATTGGGGTTTATTTCAGCTACCCCCAATAGAAGTAAGTGCTTTCTGCAGCAACTTAATTTTAGAAGTGTTCTGTCATAGTACCCAAAGATTAGCGAGCAGAATATTGGGCACTTGATATCTGCTCATGATCTGGACATTGGTCAAGCTAAGGATGTTTGCTCTGGGGCTGTACCTGAATCTATAAAATTTAGACAATCGGCCACTGCAGCCACCCTCCCTTCAGCTAAAGAATTGTTCCGAACCCCGATTACCACCACTGACTTGGATTCTTTTCTCTTGGGCCCTTTTCTCTCAACCACAACCTCCTGCATGGCCTGAAACCGAGCCTCTCCCTTCTTATTGTTAGTGGTCTGGCTTTGAATCGACTGTCTCCTAATTAGACAGCCAGATCAAGGGGCTCTGGGAAAGGAGTCTGGAATGCTTTCTCTCAGTCAAAGGGGATAGGGGGCCAAAGCCCTGGTTGGGCTGTGAGGGAGGGGCAGCTAAGCTGGGCCCATGTGTGTGGGTGCTGGTGGCTGGAACTCTGGGACAGAACCAGAGCAGCTTCTTTAGGAAGTGCCAGACCAGACATGGCCCATATCAGAAATCCATTCTCCCATCTCAGAGAGGCTCTTGGAAGGAGGCTAGGCCCACTCTTCCTTTGATTCCTGAGGGAGACCGAATAGTGATGAGAGGAGAAAAACAGAATCCATGCTAGATGACCTCAATCCTCTCAGCAAACTAAAAGGCAGGGTTATTTGCAAAGAGGTTTAGAAGGCTGCTGTGGGGTGCAACTAGAGTCAACAATAGACAAAGAGGATTGCTGGGCAGTAGCCAGTTTCCCTGTAGCTTTAAGCTACCAACCCACACAGACCCATAGGAGTTGGGAAGTCATCTGCCTCTTGCAGTCAACTTTGCCTGCCCTTGCTCCTTCTGATTTCCTGGCCAGTCTGCAGGAAGGTTCTTCTGCCAACAACCACAGCCACCCAGCAAGGTACATGCATCATGCAGAGAAACAGAATCACCTACTAAGGTCCCCAAATGGGGAAGAAGATAAAGAATATTTCAGTATATTGCATCTGGACCTGGCTTGGCACAGTTTCTGAGGATTCTTGGGGGTCCATCCTAAGACTACTTCCAAAAGCCCTGCTTTGTTCTGCAAGTGCCCAGCTAAGATCTGATCCTGCCAGCCTTGGCATCTGCATCTGTCTGATGCAGACAGATGTGGATTTGGATCCTGGCTCTGCAATGTAGTTACACAACCTGGACAAGTTATTTAATCTCTTTGAGGCTCAGTTTTTGAATCTTTAAAATGGAGATAATGTTTTATAATGTTATTGTAGGAATCGAATAAATCCATATAAAATCCAAGTGATAAATTAAAATTGATAAAAAATGTATAAAGAAAACCTCTAATGCAGTGTGTGGCACATAGTAGTTGTTCAGTAAATGGCGTTACCTGGTGCTCCTGTTGTTGAGTGCTGATGAAGATTCCAAAAAATATTCTCTGAGCTAATGTCGTAGGAATAATCAAAGTTATCTTAAGTTAACCTTCTCTGCTAGGTTTCTATAGCAGAATAAATCAAAGTCACTATTACAGTGTTAAGCTTCATGTTCAAGGAGAAGTTTTTCATAAAACAGTTCATAAATATCACAACAATTTTCTCTAGTATCTCTTTATTGTGTTGACTTTTTCCCCACAAAGTTCTCTGGGTGCTGCCTATATCCAGTGAAATAAAGATTCTGTACAGAAGGCTTAGAAAATAAGTGTTTTACTCAGATATACACAGCCTTCAAGTGTTCTGTACTCATCCCTTTGCATACCAATCATGTCTGTTTTTAGATCTGTCTTCTTTCATGATTTGTCCTTCTTTCATTCTGTTAAAAAAAAAAAAAAAAAAAAAAGTATGTTCCGCCAAGCTTGGTTCAGCAGGGCTGTACCACAGGAATTCTCATCAAAACATGGGACTGACTCTACTTTCTCAGAGAATTGTTCCCACCCATCTCACTCACCACGTCCACTTAGGTGTTTCTCTTTCAAATTTTGTAGTTAATTATGAGGCTTTAGAAATATGGTTCTGCAAAGTAGTCTCAATGGTTGTTACTCCATTGCTGATAACTTCACTCCAGGAGCCATGAGTTTTTAAAGTTTATTACTCTTTTAGTGCAATCTTCAATTTTTAGTTGAAGAAAAACAAAGTCACTGCAAAGAGAACACCAATCAATCAATCTTTTGGAGGGACATCTCCAAACATATAAAAGAAATTTTGAAGGGCCAGTTATTTGCATGTTGAAGGAGCTTCAGTAACAAACAAGAAATGCCATTGGTGGAGAGCCTGCTTAATTGAAATCTCTTGCATGAATCAAGGGAGAAGTAAAAATTTCAAGAAGCTCATTTGGTTCTTAGAGAATGACACTTATGGGATATATAACACTGAAACAAAACAGCCAATTGATTTCCCCATCAAGAAGGAGAGGAAAAAAATGGGAGACAGACCTAAGTTTAATCAAAAGCAGAATCGCAGAGGAAAGATTGAACTGGTACCATCCCTTTTCAGTCCATTTAGGGTGTCTCATAGACATAACATTGCTCATTATGTGGCAAGCCCTATCTCTATTGCAGTTTGAAAATCAGAGCCAAAAGAAAATAAAAACAAAAACTCATTTCCGCCATTAAAAATGCAAACCATGATTATAGTTTTCTCCTCAGATGGTGCATAATTCTCCTCCCTCTGCTATAATTCCCTTTCCTAATCTAGATATATTTTGTAGACTTTTGAAAGTTGTTACTGCATTTGTTATTCAAATTAAAACATGTGTTGTGAATGAACTAGGGAATTTGGTGAGCATTTCATTTTGAAATTTCCAATTGACCTCTCTAGCCCTCTTATATTAAATGACATAAAACAGATTATGCAGACCACATCCTCTGCAAATTCTGTCCTTAGGAATAAGAAAAGGATTTTCTTAAGATTCCTAGACATTAAATAACAATTACCTAAAACATAGCATCCATCTAATCACAGAATTTCAGAGCTGTGAGCAACTTTAGACATCATCTGGTCTATTGTCCTGCAATTATATCTCCCTGGATCCTTTTCTGACCCATGAAATGTAAATAAATTTTTATTCCTAGAAACTCATCACTCTACCTATGCTACCGCTGCAGCACTATCACTCCTGCTACCCTTTGTATTTTGAAGTTAACATCCAAGGTTCTTGTAGCTGAAAACTTTTTCATTATTATTATTATTATTATTGTACTTTAAGTTTTAGGGTACATGTGCACAACGTGCAGGTTTGTTACATATGTATACATGTGCCATGCTGGTGCGCTGCACCCATTAACTCATCATTTAGCATTAGGTATATCTCCTAATGCTATCCCTCCCCCCTCCCCCCACCCCACAACAGTCCCCGGTGTGTGATGTTCCCCTTCCTGTGTCCATGTGTTCTCATTGTTCAATTCCCACCTATGAGTGAGAACATGCGGTGTTTGGTTTTCTGTCCTTGCGATAGTTTGCTGAGAATGATGATTTCCAGCTTCATCCATGTCCCTACAAAGGACACGAACTCATCATTTTTTATGGCTGCATAGTATTCCATGGTGTATATGTGCCACATTTTCTTAATCCAGTCTATCATTGTTGGACATTTGGGTTGGTTCCAAGTCTTTGCTATTGTGAATAGTGCCGCAATAAACATACGTGTGCATGTGTCTTTATAGCAGCATGATTTATAGTCCTTTGTGTATATACCCAGTAATGGGATGGCTGGGTCAAATGGTATTTCTAGTTCTAGATCCCTGAGGAATCGCCACACTGTCTTCCACAATGGTTGAGCTAGTTTACAGTCCCACCAACACTGTAAAAGTGTTCCTATTTCTCCACATCCTCTCCAGCACCTGTTGTTTCCTGACTTTTTAATGATTGCCATTCTAACTGGTGTGAGATGGTATCTCATTGTGGTTTTGATTTTCATTTCTCTGATGGCCAGTGATGATGAGCATTTTTTCATGTGTTTTTTGGCTGCATAAATGTCTTCTTCTGAGAAGTGTCTGTTCATATCCTTCGCCCACTTTTTGATGGGGTTGTTTGTTTTTTTCTTGTAAATTTGTTTGAGTTCATTGTAGATTCTGGATATTAGCCCTTTGTCAGATGAGTAGGTTGCAAAAATGTTCTCCCATTCTGTAGGTTGCCTGTTCACTCTGATGGTAGTTTCTTTTTCTGTGCAGAAGCTCTTTAGTTTAATTAGATCCCATTTGTCAATTTTGGCTTTTGTTGCCATTGCTTTTGGTGTTTTAGTCATGAAGTCCTTGCCCATGCCTATGTCCTGAATCGTATTGCCTAGGTTTTCTTCTAGGGTTTTTATGGTTTTAGGTCTAACATTTAAGTCTTTAATCCATCTTGAATTAATTTTTGTATAAGGTGTAAGGAAGGGATCCAGTTTCAGCTTTCTACATATGGCTAGCCAGTCTTCCCAGCACCATTTATTAAATAGGGAATCCTTTCCCCATTGCTTGTTTTTCTCAGGTTTGTCAAAGATCAGATAGTTGTAGCCATGCGGCATTATTTCTGAGGGCTCTGTTCTGTTCCACTGGTCTATATCTCTGTTTTGGTACCAGTACCATGCTGTTTTGGTGACTGTAGCCTTGTAGTATAGTTTGAAGTCAGGTAGCGTGATGCCTCCAGCTTTGTTCTTTTGGCTTAGGATTGACTTGGCAATGCGGGCTCTTTTTTGATTCCATATGAACTTTAAAGTAGCTTTTTCCAATTCTGTGAAGAAAGTCATTGGTAGCTTGATGGGGATGGCATTGAATCTATAAATTACCTTAGGCAGTATGGCCATTTTCATGATATTGATTCTTCCTACCCATGAGCATGGAATGTTCTTCCATTTGTTTTGTATCCTCTTTTATTTCGTTGAGCAGTGGTTTGTAGTTCTCCTTGAAGAGGTCCTTCACATCCCTCGTAAGTTGGATTCCTAGGTATTTTATTCTCTTTGAAGCAATTGTGAATGGGAGTTCACTCATGATTTGGCTCTCTGTTTGTCTGTTATTGGTGTATAAGAATGCTTGTGATTTAAAACATCACTATTTCAATTTCAAAACACTGTTTAAAAATCCCAAAGTCAAGAAAACCTAATGTATGTAAGGGCTTCACAATTTTTTCACGACTGACATTTTATGAGATGGGACAAATCTTTGTTGTGAGGATGGCTGTCCTGGGTACTGTAGGATATTTAGCAGCATCCCTGGCAAGTAGCCCCCTGACCCCCTGCAAGTGTGACAACCAAAAATGTCTCCTGCCATTGCCACGTTTCCTTGGGGGAGTGGGGATCGTTTCTGCTTGTTAAGTATCAACATATGTTGTTTATGAAAAACAAGTGAGAAAAAAAGGTTGATGATCTAGAAGCCAGTTCTCCCTTCACCATACACACAACCTCTCCAACACTGAATGTCATCATTTTGTAAAAATCTTTGCCAATTAAGTGGCAATTATGATAATATTCAATCAGAATGCTCTTCAGGGTTCAGTGCCATAATATTTGCTAAAAGAATTAAAAGAAAAGTCCCATGCCACTCTGGAGTTGTAGAAGTGAAATGTTGTAGAAAATGAAATCTGACTTAATTCTGTGGTCCTGATATAAGAGTAAATTGGCTTCAGCAGCATCTGCGCCATCCCATGGCTGAGTTGACTATATGAATGTTATCTTCATTCCTCATGGCTCTACGTTTGTATGTCCAGAGCTTAAGTGGTCAGTTGAAGAATCCACATGTGAATAGCTAGTACATAGTAGTTATTCAACAAATACTTGTTAAATGATTTTATGAATTGTGCTTTATCTTTTCCTCTTGAATTGGACAATCAGCCATTTTAGTCTATGCTGGAAATAAAAATATTCTTGTTCAAATTACTCGGAGGATATAAGACCCCCTAGAAAGTCTCAACGTTTCTTATATTCCTCACTCTACATCCCCAAGTTTTAAAAAAATGTGTATGTGTTTGAGAGAGGGAGAGATCATATGCATGTATGTTACAGAAGCAATCAAAAATATATGGGACATGGTCTCTCAGCCGTAGGGTCTCAAAGAGAGAAATGAAAGTGACAATTTGTGTCAGGCTTTATGCTGGGATATTAAATAGACCATCTCTGTAGTCCTCACAACAATCCCTTGAGGTGGATATTATCACCACTATTGTATAGATGCTAAGAAATAAGTTGCTCAAAGTCAGACAGCTGCTACACGGGAGAGCAGAAACTCCAGTTAAGCACTAGCTGTGTTTTCAGCTGTCTGAACCGGGTTTACAAGCCTCCCATGGCTCACTTGGCCTCATGTGCCCCCTTGGCCTCGGTTGCTTCTTGAATGGAGAGCTCTGTCTGCTACTGCCCTGACTGTCACCGCATATCCTAACCTTGGTGATGGCCCCAGCCAGCCTCTTCAAGGTTGAGGGCTGGACCTCATCATTCTCACCATTGTGGGATCTCCTGCAGAGCCAGTACCTAGACCCCAGCAGACCAGACTTACAGAGGTGCTGGCTCTTTCAGCACTTCTAGATTCAGGGGCTGTGCTGCTCCCTGAGCCCTGGCTTCCCAGTGGCTGCTCAGAGAGGCTGGGCAGTGTAACCAAGAAGTGGAGGGATCCAACTCCCCCTAGGAAAACTTGGAGCAGTGAAAGACAGGAGACTGGAGGAACCAGCAGCTGAAGTCCCCTCACTCCCTCCCCCTACCAGACTGGCCTGAGATAGAGTAGCTCCATGTAGCCCTTCTGGAGACCATGTTGCCGGCTGTGTTTATTAATGAAGCTGGGGTGCAGCTCATAACATTGCCCTCCTTCTTTGCCTTACTCCCCTTTTCCACTTCACGCTTAATGCCCACACACTTAAAATGTTAACTTGGAAGTTTTGCCTTAGTTTCCATTTTCTAGGGAACCCTGGCTAAAACATAAATCTTTAATTTATAAAATGACAGTGCTGCTGCCCATCCCTCAAAAGTTCAAGGAAAAATAGAAACAAAACCCCTGTTAGTAGATATTGCCCCAGACTGATGATAACTAACAGATATCTGAAAAGAAAAACAGCCAGCATATGTAGATGTGAAAAGCAGTGCATTGAGATGGCACTCACTGTACCTTTGTGGCCACCTTGTATCTGCCCTAAACTACCAGTTTTCAAGACACTGGACATCAAGCAATGAAGTGGTCCCTGGTAGAAGGGAAACAAATGCAGTGAGCCCTGTGATTGCTTCAGAGCCTGGAGATGTTTCCAGGCCACGGTGCAGGAAAAAGGAAACCCTTTGGAGGCTGGTGGACTCCATGAGTTGAGGAGATGGAACTGAGAGTCCAAGAAATCAAGGTGGCTAGAGTTGCAGGACAAAAGTATCAGAGATGAGAGAGATACACAGTTGACTCTGGAAATATGCAGAGGGCCTAATCAGATATTCAGTGGCCACCTTGTATCTGTCCTAATGATATCCTGTTTTTTCCCCCTTGCTTTTAGACAGAAGGGCTGTGTCAACACTTACTGGAGTAGAATGGCTGCCTTTGTCTTACTATAATGACCATATGCCACCTGGTAAGATGGAAAGTGTCAGTCATCCCAAGTTCAAATCTTAGCTCTTCTGCATGCACATGAGGAAATTGCCTGATGCTGAGGAAAAAAAAAAAACATACAAAAGGATTAGAGAAAACAGTACCTGGTGCTCACACCAGGCTTGGAATAGTGCCAGTGTCCTTCAGGCAGACTGGAAAACTTCATAATTCACAAAACATGGGGAGAGGCTTTGCTCAACAGTGGGGAATAATTAGCCCTAAACACTGCTCTGATCCAACCTAACAAATCTTAAAAGCAAGACCTGAAAGATGAAACTGTTTCCAAGTAACTAAACTGCATTCCAGAACAAAGCTCAAGAATATTTATAGAAATACAAAAATATCCAGCATCCAACAAGGTCAAATTGTCAATGTCTGGCATCCAGTAAAAAATTACCAGGCATGCAAAGAAACAGGAAAATATACCCCATAATGAGGTAAAAAAAAAAAAAAAATCAACTGAAACTGACTCAGAACTGACACAAATGTTACAATTAACAGAGAAAGACATTAAAAGTAACTGTAATTTTATTTCAGATGTTCAAAAGCTTAAATGGAGACATGGAAAATTTTTTTAAAAGGCTCAAATCAGACATTTAGAGTTGAAAACTACAATGTCTGAGATGACAGATATCCAGGATGGGCTTAATATATCCACACAATGGAATACTAATGAATAATGAAAAGGAATGAACTAAGGATATAACAACATTGATGAATCTCAGAATAATAGTACTGAGTGAAAGAACCCAGACAAAAATAGTTGCATACGGTATTATTCATTTTATGTAAAAATCTAGAAAATGTAAAATAATCTGTGGTTACAGAAAGCAGATAAATGGTTACCTGGGGAGAGGAGAAGGAAAAGGGATTCCAAAGGGGCATGAGGAGTCTTTGGGGGGTGATGGGTATGTTAACTATTTTTATTTTTATGATGGTTTCACGGGTGTAGACATATATCAAAACTTATAATTTGTTTTTTTAAATATAATTTCAATTTTTATTTTGATTTGGGGTACATGTGCAGATTTGCTACCTGGGTATGTTGCATGCTGCTGAGGTTTAGAGTATGATTGACGCCATCACCCGGGTAGTGAACACAGTACCCAATAGATAGTTTTTCAAACTTTGTCCCCCACCTTCCCTCCCCTCTCTAGTAGTCCCCAGAGTCTGTTGTTCCCATCTTTATCTCCCTGCATAACCAGTGTTTAGCTTCCACTTATAAGTGAGAACATGTGGTATTTGGTTTTCTGTTCCTTTGCTAATTCACTTAGCATAATGGCTTCCAGATGCTTCCATGTTGCTGCAAAGGACATGATTTCATTCTTTTTTATGGCTGTGTCTTATTCCATGATGTATATGTACCACATTTTCTTTATCCAGTCCACCATTGTTGGGGACCCAGGTTAATTCCATGTCTTTGCTATTGTGAATAGTGCTGTAATGAACATATGAGTGCATTTGTCTTTTTAGTAGAATGATTTATTTTCTTTGGATATATACCCAGTAATGGAATTCCTGGGTCAAATGGTCAAAGAACCTGTTTTAAGTTCTTTGAGAAATCTCCAAACTGCATTCCACAGTGGCTGAACTAATTTGTATTCCCACCAATAGTAAAAACATTTCCTTTTCTCTGCAGCCTCTGCAGCATCCATCTTTTTTTGTCTCTTTAATAATAGCCTTCTGACTGGTGTGAGATGGTATCTCATTGTAGTTTTGATTTGCATTTCTCTGATGATTAATGATGTTGAGCATTTTTTCATGTTTTTTGGCCACTTGTAAGTCTTTTTTTGAGAAGTGTTTATGTCTTTTGCCCACTTTTTAATAGGGTTATTTGTTTTTTGCTTGTTGAATTGTTTAAGTTTCTTATAAATTCTGGATATTAGACCTTTGTTGGATGTGTAGTTTGTGAATATTTTCTCTCATTCTGTAGGTTGTGTGTTTGCTCTGTTGGTAGTTTCTTTTGCTGTGCAAAAGCTCTTTGGTTTAATTAGGTCCCACTTATCAATTTTTAAAACTTATAATCTGCATATTTTAAATATGTGCAGTTCATTGTGTATCACTTAGAACTCAGTAAAGTTATTTTTATTTTTGTTTGTCATGTTATCTATTTTTTTCTTTTTTAATTTTTATTTTTGGTTTGGGGGCACATGTAAAGGTTTGTTACATAGGTAAACATATGTCATTGGGGTTTGTTATACATATTATTTCATCACCCAGGTATTAAGCCCGGTATCTAATAGTTATATTTTCTGCTTCTCTGCCTCCTCCTACTCTCCCCGCTCAAGTAAACCCCAGTGTCTGTTGTTTCCTTCTTTGTGTTCATAAGTTCTTATCGTTTAGCTCCCACTTACAAGTAAGGACATGTGGTATTTGGTTTTCTGTTCCTGCATTAGTTTTGTAAGGACAATGACCTCCAGTTCCATCTGTGTTCCCACAGAAGACATGACTTCATTCTTTTTTATGGCTGCATAGTATTCCATGGTATATATGTACCACATTTCCTTTTTCCAATCTGTCATTGATGGGTATTTAGGTTGATTCCATGTATTTGCTATTGTGAATAATGCTGCAATGAAGATTCACGTGTATGTGTCTTTATGGGAGAATGGTTTATACTCCGCCAGGTATATGCCCAGTAATGGGGTTGCTGGGTCAAATGGTAGTTCTGCTTTTACTCTTCGAGGAATTGCCGTACTGCTTTCCACAATGGTCAAACTAATTTACACTCCCACCAACACAACCTCACTACCATCTGTTATTTTTTCACTTTTTAATAATAGTCATTCTGATTGCTATGAGATGGTATCTCATTGGGGCTTTGATTTGCATTTCTCTAATGATCAGTGATATTGAGCTTTTTTTTCATATGCTTGATGGCTGCATGTATGTCTTCTTTTGAGACATGTCTGTTCATGTCCTTTGCCCAATTTTTAATGGAGGTATTTGTTTTACTCTTGTAAATTTGTTTAAGTTCTTTGTAAGATGCTGGATAGTAGACCTTTGTCAGATGCATAGTTTGCAAATATTTTCTCCCATTCTGTAGGTTGTCTGTTTACTCTGCTGGTAGTTTCTTTAGCAGTGCAGAAGCTCTCAAGTTTAATTAGATCCCACTTGTCAATTTTTGCTGTTGTTGCTATTGCTTTTCATATCTTTGTCATGAAATCTTTGCCCATTCCTGTGTCCAGGATGGTATTGCCTAGGTTGTCTTCTAGGAATTTTATAGTTTTGGGTTTTACATCTAAGACTTTAATCTATCTTAAGTTCATTTTCATATATGGTGTAAGGAAGGGGTTCAGCTTCAATCTTCTGCATACGGCTAGCCAGTTATCCCAGCACTATTTATTGAATAGGGAGTCTTTTCTGCATTACTTGTTTTTGTCATAGTAAAGCTATTTTTAAAAACTAAAGGGACAAAAATGTGTTAACAAACCACTGAAAAACTCAGAAAATAGAGAATTCATAAATATAACTATGTCATTTTAAAATATTTAAAATTTTGTAAATTTTAGAGAATTATAAAATAAATATTTAAATCTATAATTTTTGTTATATCTAAATCCATAGAATCCACAGACCACATCTATAATATTGTATCTAGTATAGTATCTGAAATTTGGTTTGGAGGTTTTGTTGTTGTTGTTGTTGTTTTTGGAGACAGAGTCTCAGTCTGTCCCCCAGGCTGGAGTACAGCAGCGCCATCTTGGCTCACTACAACCTCTGCCTCCCGGGTTCAAGTGATTCTCGTGCCTCAGCCTCCCTAGTAGCTGGGACTACAGGCACATGCCACCATGCCTGGCTAATTTTTTTGTATTTTTAGTAGAGACGGGGTTTTGCCGTGTTGGCCAGGCTGGTCTCAAACTCCTGGCCTCAAGCAACCTGCCCACCTCGGCCTCCCAAAGTGCTAGGATTACAGGAGTGAGCCACTGCACCCAGCCTCTTTGTGTTTTTGTTTTTGTTTTTGTTTTTAACAATAAGTTTAGAACATCTACTGTTTAGAACTATATATTTTCATGTTTTTCAAATTAGAAAAATGAAGTCAGAAAGCCACAAGATAAATTTCAGTTAGTTTTTCCAAACGTGCTCCATAAATTAAGAAAATATTACACTTTTTTTTAACCATAAGTGACTGTACATTTATTCCCTAATACTCTTCTCTGTTCGATAGGAGGTCTGGGCTTAAAACCCTCTAAATGTCTGATTAAAGACTCAAATGCTTTAATTCCTGTTGTTCTGCTTCATTAGAGATACAGTTGTGTGATGGATGCTCATTATATTTTTGAATTAACTAATTTGTGTATTCTCACATTCCAAACTTGTCTGTCCTGATTTCCCCCAGTTTGATGCCGACCGCGATGAGGATGAGGTGTTCTATGACATCAGCATGGCAGTTGACAACAAGTTATTTCCAAACAAAGAGGCTGCAGCAGGTAAGTCACTGTGTCCTTTAGACAACAGTACGCCGTGATCACCTGCCAAATGTCTGGGGCTTTGTATTAATGGTTGAAGTTCAACAAACTGCTGCAAGTTTTGAAGGATGACAAAGTCTTATACTTTCTGGTATAAAAATAAAAGTATAAAACAAAGTAGAGAGGAAAGGCTATAAATCTGTTCCTTATAGTTGCTGCTTTTCTTCCAGTCATTGCACATGTAAATTACCAGGTAGTCACAATGTAACATAGGGCCTATGTTACTATAATAGAAAAATATCTAACCTAACCCATACTTTGTACAATTAAAATTTACAATATCTCCAGGACCCCCTAACTCATACGATAGGTTTCTACCTCATTGCCTGGATAAAAGCATCCCCTCCAATCTGGTAGCCACTCCCATCCCAACCCACAGCTCCTGTGTGACCCTACCTCTTCTCTTCCTAAGTGCTCTTGCCTGGAATTTTGACTTTGGACTCTGATGTAGAGTAATCATACCTCCTAATGTAGGCAGTACTCATGGTTCTGTCCTGACCCCCCTCTCATTCTCTCCGTACTCTGACCCTGAGCCAACTCATTGTCACAGGTGGCTTCAACATCAATTCTATGTGGATGACTCTCCAATCTTAGTCTCAGTCCTGACCTTCTTTCTTCTGAGTAATGATCTCAAAGGGTAAAGACCAAAAGCTTGGGGCCACAAAGAAAAAAGGCTAAACACTTAACATTTTAAATCACTATTTGAAGCCACCTAAGAGTAGCTTCAAAGAAAGACAGAATTACAAGGGTAAGGTGGTAGTCTTTCTGGGCAGACCCACAGAACACAGATAACCGATGTAAACTCATCTGCCTAACTTTCTGATGAGATTTATAAAAAGTTGGCCTATTGCAAGAAAGATGAAATATTGAGAATCATTTAAGATTATGAAAACATGACTACTGCTGCTCTGAAAAATACTATGACTCTGTGCTTTTCAAGTTAATATTTTATTTAGAAGATGCTTTAGAAGTGACTACCTCTAACGACAAATATCTAACTGCTAGATATCCTCAGTTTGCTAATACAGTGGGATGGAGGGGCTGATTTAAGCCACCCCTTCTTTGGGACACCCAGCACTTCGTGGCTCCCTAGCGGTGTTTCTCCACTAGGGAGCCTTGTGCCCTGCAGTGATGCAACTGTGCTGGTTTCTGTACCAATAGGAAACCGCCTGAGGACACGTGCTGTGTCCTCATTCTCTTAAGGTCCCCTTGGTAAAGTGCATAGTGCCTGAGCCTTAACAGCAGTTTCCAGGTGTCTACTTTCTCCTCTCTGTACCTCAGAGCTCATAAACAGAAGACTCTGTGCTTGCAGCCTCAACTCCCGCTAACTCTTCCACTCCTGAGACCCCCTGAAAGCTGGCTTCTGCTTCAGCCTTAGAATAAGTTTGTTTTCTCTAAAACAGCCCTAGGTGAATAAAGTGCAGTAAACTAGAAGTAAATGGTGCCTCCCCTGCAGGAGGCAGATACTGTGTAGCTCCAGGAAACTGTCGCTGTTAAGGAACAATGGTGAAATCTCCTGGCTTATAAATGTTGATGACTCACCCAATAAATAAGTCATATCCATGGCCTCTGCTCTATGAATTGTCAGCCTCCAGGTTTGGTCCCGCCACTGTTTTTTTCTCTCTCAACTCTCTTTCTGCAGAATCTCAGCTGCCCCACAGCTCCCATATCGCCTCCTATGAATGGCATCCAATTCTCTTTCTCTCACCTTGACCTTTCTCCGGGGAGCCAGGCAGAAGTGTTCTTGCCCTCACACTCCACACTGATCATCAATCCACGGGGGCACCTTGGGAGTCCAAACCTTTGTCTTTATTCCCACTGCAGTCACCAAACGCTTTGTCATTCCTCATCCCTGGCCTCTCCTGTCTGTCATGAATGTCCTGCTGCCATGGAGATCTTCACAGAATGCAGCTCTAATCATCCTGCCTTTCTGAAAAAAAAACAAAACAAAACCTTCAATGACTCCTGCAGGCTGGCCACGAGTACCCTTAGCACAGAAGAAAGCCCCAAATCCTTTGCTTTCCTGCAGTGGTCCTGTTACTGCCATAACATCCCCTCCCCAACGTCACTGGCACCAGCTTCCCCCAGTTCTCTGAATACCTCAAGTTCCTTCCTGCCTTAGGCATTTTCCACCTGCTCTTCTCTCTGCTTAGAAAATGCCTCTCCTCATTTGCATCCCTCTCACTCTCCCAACCCCATAGAGCCCCATCCTGCACCTGGCCAGATTCTACTTTGCGCCTCAGAGTAAACGTGGTGATTTTCTCAAGGAGACTTTCTCAGACCCCACCCCAGACTAGATTAGGCCCTTGAATAGCACCCTGTGACCCACAGGTGTACCAGGACTTTTCTTAGAGACTACCATTGCTCTGATCGTCTGCTTCTTCAAGGCCTGTCTACAGTGTCTCCCCCTCAATGAAGCCCTCCACCCACACTTCTAGCAAAGCCATCTGGCTGCGTCACTCAACTGCTCTGGGCCTCCATCTCCTTATCTATAAAGAGGGGATAATAATAGCAGCTACCCCAGAGGATTGTTCTGAAAAATAAATGGTTTCTGTATGCAAAGTATGTGGTTGTCACATTGAAAAGGCTATCTATGGGTTCCTGTCTTTGCAGCAGATTTGAGGGCTCATGGGGAGAAACCACATCTTACACAATACAACTTTCTCCACTTTTCCTGGATCTACTTCTTCTCTCTTCTCCTTCTCTGCCCTCCTCCCTGCCCCAACCCTGTCCTGGAGTAACTGAAAAACTCCCCACTTCCCCTTCTCACCCAGAGCAACCCATCAACACCCAGATCCCTCAAAGAGTTCTAGTCCCAAATACCGTCAGAATATTTTTCCAAGTAAATACAGTGCTCTTCCTACACATTGTAATGAACACTTTCCATGCCTGTGGAATTCGAGCTGGCCTCTCAGTGCTTAATGCAGGTCAGGCACTTATAGGAGACATTTAATGTTTGTAGCATGGATCAATGAGAGCAAGACCTGTACAGGTAAAGTGGAAGTGTCCTTTCATTTTTAGTCATTTGGTACGTATGCATTGAACACATGTACCTTCTAAGTTTTGTTCTTAGATTCAGAAATGAAACACAACCCTTACAGGTTTAATTTTCGTTAAAATTAAACTGTAACGAAACTGTTAATGAAAATAAAACTGTAAGCTACGCTGTAAGGGACAGGACAAGGGAGAAACTGCTTTCCTCAGAGGGTGCAGTTTAAGGGTTGGAGGAGTTTTATTTACGGACACCCTTCACTGCTTAAGAAGCCCTGCAATTGTAGGAGTGTCTTTATGGGGTACTCAAAGTGGGAGGAGGATTTTCCTAAAACTTTGAGTTAAAGATCCACTAGGAGGAAAAACATCTGTAACGTTGACCCAGAAAGTAATATGGTTAGCCTCTGGTACCTCTAAAGCTAATTTGTATCACCTTCCCCCTTAAATTTAAGGAGCCAACCTGAAAATAATATTTCTGAAGGCCATTCTAAAACTAGCAGCACTGGGTGCTTCCTCTAGGGTTCTGTATTTCAGCGCATACCTTTCTCTGTCATCTATAGAAATAATATTTTTAAATCTGGAAAGAAATTGAAAAATTCAAAACGGGGAAAATGAAAGCTACACTATCACTTTTTCGTAACATCCTAATTTTTCTGTCTTTTTTGAGTAACAATATCATTGCAGTTGTTTTATGTGTTAAATTATCCAACGAAAGAAGGCAGTAATGTGTACATTTGTCTATATTTTCCCTCTATTTTTTGTGTCAAACCTTAGAGTATTATTAAAGGTCCCATTTTCAGCAAACCAAGAAACCAATGCTAAAAGAAAATGAAAGCCATTCAATCATTATCCAAGCTGATAATGATATCCTTTGTCTGTTGCCTCCTATGATATATTAATCCTGTTGCCAGGAGTAACAATGTTTCAAGAAATTTCATCCCTAATGATACAATATAATTCCTGTTGAAAGCATCTTATTGCAACAGAGGGAGACTCTGTCAAAAAAAAACAACATACATTTTATTAGGAAATCCAATCTCTTCTTACTTATAAGCATGAAGCTTTCTTTTAAACAAAGGTATTTTCATTCTACCATTGCTGATGATAGTTTTCTAATTATCTTGCTCCGTTTTCAAGTATTAACGTGTAATATCCGTTAACTGAGTTGTTTAAGAGCCTTTCACATTGTCGTTTTTGAAAACAACGGAAAGAACACTTTGTAATTAAATAAAATAAGTAGGACACGGGTACTAAAAGCAGCTATATGTTTAAAAAGATTTCATGTTCAGATCACAGTACTCACTCCACATGAATCACTCTAAGTACAGGTGAAGCAAAGGTATCATTTGAATCCAATAGCTATCACCACTTCCACCAGTCAGTGGCAGATAATAATCATATTGTGGAAGTAAAGAAAGCCAGATAAAATTTGTGTTATCTTTAATGATGCTTTCAATAGCAGCCACCTAGAAGGGAGCATTGATTGTTACCAGCTTGAATGAGACTCCTTAATTCCACTTCTGATTCTTCCATTTCCACAGCCACCCTATGACCTGCGTCATCATCAACCATTCACTGTTCCTCATTTTCTCAGCACATGGACTTGACAGCATGCTCCTCCAGGTCCTTTCCTGCAGAGCACTGTAGCGAAAGAGGGTCTGTATAAACCCATTTCGATTGCCCTTGCTTAGAATTTGGAGTCAGCATGGTGTGTTATAAAGAGAAGTAGGAGCTACTGGCTCTGCCTTTGGTCTCAGGCACTTTCTACATGACCTAGGCCAAGTTTTTTAACTTCTCTGCATCTCATTTTCCTCTTTTCTAAAATGAGAAGTGGGATTCTGTGAAACAGACGTTGAAAGTAGTGGCAAAAACCACAATTTCTTTTGCACCAACCTGATAGTTCTAAAATGTCTATTATCTTATAATGGGAAAAATACATATATAGATTTTTTTTTTATTTCTGATACTTACTGCCTCACAACATAAGTGCAAACTGACCTTCAAACTGGGCTTTACGACGGCTGAGTATTTTGGCCCCAAAATACACCTTACAAAATTATTTATTTGAAAAAAATACCAAAAGTACAAAGGTAGAAAAATTATGTATAATCCCACTAATGTTAAAATACATATGTAAATTAAAGTTTCCCACCTCTACCTTCTAATCTCTGTTAATAGTATGGTGGGTAGTCTTGCCAACTCCATTCTAGCAGCCATCTTATGAACAGTGGTCTGGCAAGGGCTGTGCTGACAGCATGACTAGCATCACCCAGGGTTGTTCTGAACACACTTATGCAACTGCAACTCTTCATGGCAACGCTATGATTACTTTTCCAAAATGGTTTGATGGTTTAGTATGTCCATTTTGAAAAACTTTATCATCCTGTAAAAAATGTAAAGATATAAACACAGTAAACACTGGCATTACTGCTTAGAACTTAATCAATTTGGTAATGGCTATTACTTTGTCAAGTTGGTAGACAGCAGGGACAATGATAAGAGAAGAGAAGGGGGAAAAAAGAGAAGAGATGAGAGAAGACTGTGTAAGGACATACCCCGACTCATTTGGAAAGAAAATATGAAAGCAACATCGGGGACAGGTCTATATCTGAGAAGTGTATGAGATGCTTAACATTTTTTACAAATTTATATTCATTATGCATTACTCATTGGATATTCTGACTAAGAATGATTTGCCAAGGCCAAGTTTACAGTGAAACAATGTTTTTTCACAGGATATATAATATTTTATGGGCAGCACTGAATTCAGTCTTTCTGGGTAGTTAGATGATATATATTTCCTAGCAGGAAAGAGTTATTAAATGAGAATGATGAATCAGTTGTGCTTCAGAAGTCCCATTGTAAAAATTACCAGTTTAAGTCTGAGCCTTGGGGATTAATGGGTAACTGATTTAATGAAACCTGTAGTACCTAAGGGAAATAATCTCTCTATTCATACATTAAGTTAACCCGATTTTTCTTACCTTCAGCAACTAAGGTGACCCGAAGGCTTGAGGAAAAACTCGAGTTTTCAGGGAGTACGCAAACTTAGCCCTTCCTGTTTCTGGAAACCCCTTACTCTCCTCCCACTCTGTACTTTGCTCATGGTGTTCCTTCTACTTCCATTATTGTTGCAAATCCTGAAACTGCTCCCCCTCCTGGACAACCTGTATTCACCCTCAAAATTCAGGATCATAGATTAGTACCTCATGAAGAATCTTAACTCCACCATCACCTCTACTACTAATCAGAATTAGTAGCTCACTCTCTTGGGTTGCTGAACCTTTAATAATAACTCTTGTTGACAAATTATTCTTCCTCACAGTATTTTCTTCTTCTTAAGGATGCAGACAGTGTCCAGAGTCTCTGCATTTTGAATCTCCAGCAAAACATTGTACCTGGCAGATGAGAACAGTCTAGAAATGTTTGTGAATTTAATGTGATATAGGAAAATATGGAAACCTAGTGAGAGACTGTTTGCTTTAGAAACATACATAGACAACCTCCATCCACTTATCTTTTCTTTCCTAATCTTAGGTTCAAGTGACCTTGATCCTTCGATGATATTGGACACTGGAGAGATCATTGATACAGGATCTGATTATGAAGATCAGGTAATTAAAATCTGAAAATAGTTCTCTATTTAAATGTTTTTAAGTTGAACCTTTGTAAATGTTTTATGAAAATTTGAATTATAAAAACTCATTTTGTGAAATATATACAGATAACTAATAACATATTACATGATAAATTACAGTAGTCTACAGTTTTCATTCACTAAGTTTGGCTTTTTGGCACTCCCTTGTCCTAAGATTCAAAACACAGTGAATTAAAGAAAGGTTTATCATCAAACGTTAACATGGGATAGAAATGAGGTTCTCTTGCCCAAGAATTTGCCTGTGTCTCTATCCCTTCCCACTAATAAACTAATAATATTTACTGAGCATCAGCTACAGGTTCAGGGCTCTGCTATTTTATCGCTAACTGTATTAGTCCATTTTCAAGCTGCTGATAAAGACATACCCAAGACTGGGCAATTTATAAAAGAAAGAGGTTTAATGGAGAACTCACAGTTTCACATGACTGGGGAGACCTCACAATCATGGCAGAAGACAAGGAGGAGCAAGTCACATCTTACATGGATGGCAGCAGGCAAAGGGAGAACTTGTCCAGGGAAACTCCTGATTTTAAAACCATCGGATCTTGTGAGACCCATTCACTATCACAACAGCACAGAAAAGACCCGCCCCTGTGATTCAGTCATCTCCCACTGGCTCCCTCTCACAACATGTGGGAATTATGGGAGCTACAAGATGAGATTTGGGTGGGGACACAGAGCCAAACCATATCACTAGTCTGTGGAAGGGAATGATGAACGAGGAAAGCATAGCCAAGAAGTTAAATACATTTTCTCTTTGAATAAAACTGAAGACATTTATCTGGGTCATTTTCCTCTCAGCAGAAGAACTCTCTCTGCTGCTATATTTTAATGAACCAAAATAGTTGGCAAATGAGCCAACCCCCTAATTAGGCTTTATTTTTAAAAAAGAAAAATGTCCAAAACTTTCTTCCGCCTCTCATCAGTGCTCCTCAGCAATGGCTAAAAGCCAAGTGAACATGTTCTTGGGGGAGGCTTTGTTCCCATCTTTAACTAATATTCATCACAAATAAAGCAAACAGATCAGACCAGTGTCCATGTGTAATGGCTGGCTGTATATTTCATATACGTATTCAGGAGCTATTTTCTTGAGTATAAAGTTCTTTCCTTATAGCACAAAGCAAGGAGATGATGTTGGCAAGTGCTATAATAGCTACACATGTTTATAGTAATTTTTAACATCTATTAAGCACTTATTACATGCAAAACGTTGTGCCGAGTTTCTTATATTAACTCAGCAATTCTTCACAACATCTCTAGGAAGTAAGAATTATTATCTCTATATCACAGACAAAAAAAAAAAGGACTAGAAGAGTAATTTACCCAAGGTTACATAAATAGTTTCACAATAAGGATGTGAACTTAGGGCACATTCTCTAGCATACCCAAGACTGGGCAATTTACAAAAGAAAGAGGTTGTGCTGCCTCTGCCACAATGTACTGCCTCCCATCCTAACCTCCAAAGACAGGTCATTCAATGATATGTATTGGGAGCCTTTTCAGTTGCTGACCCATAAGACTCCAGCAGAGGCTAATGCAAAACAACCACTTACAATCTAAAATTACAGACTGCACAAAGAAATGATTCACAACAAGGAAGCCAGCTAGTTAAAGAAATGGAAGACTCCACACCCCCCAAGAACTAGAAAGAACAGAAAAATCTGAAAGAAATCATAATATAAGGATATTCAAAATATTGAAAGGGAAGATTAGAAGCCATGAAACAAATACATGAACAAATGGAAAAGAAGAAAGAAAAAGGGAAGAAACAGGCATTGTAGGCACACACAAAAATATCGTCAATTGAAACAGAAATTCAATTAACGGTTGAATAGTAAACTAGATGCAGCTAAAAAGGCACTTGATAGAGTAGAGGAAATTGCCATAGAATAAAACACAGAGCTAAATAGTTGTCAAATATGAGAAAGAACTTAGGAGACATTGAGGATAGAATGATTGGTTCAACATATTCTAAAAGGAATTCCAGAAAGAGAGAATGGAGGTGATGGAGCCGAGGTTATTTTTTAACAGTTAATAGTTGAGAATTTTACAGTTATTTTTTAACAGATAATAGTTGAGAATTTTACAGAGATGAATAAGACAAGTCCCAGTCCCAAGATGGAAGGAACATATCCAGTCCTGAGCAGGATTTTTTTTTAATCCTCATCTACTCTTTTTTCATTTAATCATTCAACAAGTATTAATTGGACACCGACTGTGTGCCAGTTTCTGTTTAGGCACTTAGAATATAATTACATAAAAGAAGCAAGGGCTCTTGTGGCAAGAAGCTTACATCAGAGTGCAGAAGACAGAAAGTAAACAATAAACATAGTAAATTAGTCAGTTTTCTAGATTGTCAGAGGTGATAAACTCTATGAGAAAAGAAAGTAGAAAAGGTAAGGGGGTTAGGAATGCTGGGGGAGGAACAGATTACCACATTAATCAGGATGGTCCATATTAAATGGTATGCCCTCATTAAAGAGGTGAGATTTGAGCAGTGACTTAAAATATAATGTAAACCAGCAGAAGATGGAAGAGAAAACTAAAATATTAAAAGTGAAAATATAGTGTTACAGCTCTTTTAGAATTTGTCTAGCAGGCTTTCTAGTTTTTGCTGGAAAGCCCAGAAAAAAAAATTCTTTTAAAAAATTAAAAAGTGAAAATGCAGTTACTATAAAGGAATGACAATTTTGTTTGCAGCAGATTAAATGAAACAAGAACTTGCATTTATTTAGCACCTACTCTAAACCAGGAATGTGTTTTATGGTTTACATGCATTATTGCTGATCCTTACAATAACTCAAGAAGTAAGCTCTGTTAATCCCTAATTTGAAGCCAAGGAAATTGAAGCTCACAAAAGTTAACTGACTTCCCAAGACCATAAAGCTAGCAAGCTGTAGAGTCAGAAATCAAACTTTGATTTGCCTGGCACCAAAATCTATTCTCCACTTTCCCCACTCCAATAAAGCCATTAACAAGCTCACTAGTAATCTTTTGCCAATTCCAGTTAACCCTTTTTAGTTATCTTTCTTGACCTTTGCTGCATTTGACACCGTAAACTAGGGATCACCACACTTTTTCTGTAAAGGACCAGGCAGTGTAAATATTTTAGGCTTTGTGGGCCCGTATGTTATCTGTTGCAACTACTCAAACTCTGCCATCATTGAGCAAAACAGCCATAACAATATGTAAACAATGAATGTGGCTTTGTTGCAGTAAAACATCATATGTGGATACTGAAATTCAAATTCCATATAATTTTCATGTCATTTATTTCCACCATTTAAAAATGTAAAATTCATTCTTGCTGAAAGGCCATATAAAAATAGGCAGCAGAGTGGATTTGACCTGCAGGCCATAGTTTGCTGACTCCTGTCGTGAACCATTCCCCCATTCCTGACATTCTTTCCATTAGCTTTCAACATTTCTAGAGCTTTTAATACTTGTCGGTGTGCTTCATATTTATTACCTCATTTTATCCTCAGACAACTATATTATTATTATCCCAATTTTCCTGATGAGGGATCTGAGGCACAGAGAAATTAAGAAGTTTACTCAAGGTCACATGGTTGGCAAGAGGTAAAGCCAGGATTCAAAAGGTAGAGCTAGGATTCAAATCCAGCTGTGTGACTCCAGAGCCAGGCGCAGGAAAGATAGGCTAGGTTATGCTGGTATAATTAATAAAACTCAAAATCTGAGAGCTTTCCTTCCAGAGTTCCTTTTACATGTGATCTCCAAAGGGATTATGGATGGGAAGGAGAAGAACTTGAGGAAGATGCACCTGCATTTAATTGCACATTACCTCATCTCACATTCAGTAGCAACCCTAGTCACTGGCTCTACCTAGATGCAAGGAGGCTGAGAAATGGAGCTTATTTATATGCCCAGGAAGGGAGAGATGGGTTTGTTGAGCACCAAGCCAGTCTCAGCCACAAAGCTTCTGCTCCTAACCACAGGCTGCAGCACCTGCCTCCATGTGATCCCTCCCTCTTACTTCTCGCTTCACTCATTCTTGGTTTCCTTGCTGAACTCCTCTCCATCAGTCTATTATTTAACTGTGAACACTCCCCAGCATACTGACCATGGCCCCTTCTCTCCTAACTGCACATGTTCTCCTGTGAGAGGCTCAGTCACAGCCATGGTTTTGACTTCACTTAAGGCTTCCTGGTGAGCTCCTGTTGCATATGTCTGACTACTAAGTAACACCAGTTGGATTTCCCATGTGCATCTTGAATTCAACATGTCCAAAACCACGCTCACCATCTTCCCCCACAAAATCTGTTCTTCCTTCTGTTCTTCCTATTTCTGTGAATGATACCACCATTCTCCAGCTGCCCAAGCCAGACACAAGGGCGTCTTCCTAGCCTCCTTCCTTTCTCTCTCTTCCTACATCAGTTTGATCAAGAAGCTACTCAGTTCTCCTGTGCAGGAATTGCTTCTCCCACTCCACTGCCCATGCTTTGGTTCACACCCTCAGCCTTCCTCCCTGGGACCATAGGGCCAGCCTCCTAACCAGTCTCCTTCCCTCAGTCTGCTCACCCATCAAATTATCTTCCTGAAAGCACACACAATCATGGCATTCCATGGCTTAAAACTTTTCTTGGCTCTTCATCGATTTCAGAATTAAACTGGAAGCTCTTAGAAGATTCATAGAAACTTTCAAATCTGAATATGACCCCTACATTTTTCTCCAAACTCATCCATTGCCACTTATCAAAACACACTGACTGCTCCAGCCACACAAAGCCATTCTCAGGTCCCTCAAATGGGTCATGTTTGCACAGTCCCTTTCCTCTATATGGAAGTTTCCTCAACCCTATTGCTTCTGTCCCGTGTGACCTCTACTCATGCACCATCAGGACCAAGCTTCCCCTCTAGGAAACCCTTCTCTTGTCACAGGTTTGGTTCACCTTCTCAGGGGGCCCGTGATACTCTGTGTTGTAATATTATCTTGCATTTCAGGTACTATGTTCTGCTCTCTGTATCCCCAGTGCCTGCCACGGAGCCTGGCATATGGCATATGCTCAATAAATGCCCATTTGTTTAAAGCCAAGAACATGAATTCCAGTTCTTCTACTTAATGTGTGATGTTTTTATGCCTTACTGAGCCCCTTTTGGGCCTCAATTTTCCCTTCGAGAAAATGGTGGTGACAACCCCACTTAGAAGTACTGTTGGCTGGGTGCGGTGGCTCACGCCTGTAATCCCAGCACTTTGGGAGGCCAAGGTGGGTGGATCACGAGGTCAGGAGATTGAGACCATCCTGGCTAACATGGTGAAACCTTGTCTCTACTAAAAATACAAAAACAAAAAATTAGCCGGGCGTGGTGGTGGGCACCTGTAGTCCCAGCTACTTGGGAGGCTGAGGCAGGAGAATGGCGTGAACCCGGGAGGTGGAGCTTACAGTGGGCCAAGATAGCACCACTGCACTCCTGCCTGGGCAACAGAGCAAGACTCCGTCTAAAAAAAAAAATAAAAAAAAAAGAAGAACTACTGTTGTCAGAGGTAGGGAGTGCAGGGTACCTTGTACAGAACAAATGCTGCATAAATGTGAGTTCCCTACCTTCCCTCTTTCAAATATGACTGAACTTTTCAAGATAGCCTTCTATAGCTGACAGAGGCCACCTCTTCTTCAACTAAGTGAATGCCAGTTGTCTGAGCACTTCTGATTCCTGGACTGGCATGTGAGGCACTTAGAAGTTGCTGCTCTATCCTAACAACCAGTAAAAAGCTGAACAACTGAAAATAAACAATCACTCTTAGATCTGTCAGAGAAGTGAGGTTACAGGACAAACCCTTACCCCAAAGATTGGAGAGACAATCAGAGAATCACAACTTACCCAAACAGAAACCCTCAAGCAGAAACGTCTGTAGAAGCCTGTACCAGGGCTGGAAACACTGAACAGTGATAATAGCTGGAGGTTCAGTGTGGACAATATGAGAGTTAAAAATCCCAGAGAGATCCAGTCATGGGACCCCACACTTCTGTAAGTTTTACCTCCAGGAGCTTTGCCAGGTCCTCACAGTGAATATCTGGAAAAATTCCCCTCAGTCTTCTGGCCGTGGGAGGAGAAAAAAAAAACACTTTGAAATATGCTAAAGCATTCTGCTCCTTAACAAGGCCTGCCCTCAGAAGAAACTACTTTACCAGGGCATAACATTCCTAGAGCAAGAGAAAACCCAACTCTAGCCACCTCTAGCCATCCTGTCCCACCCAAAGGGAGAAAAGTATCGAAAAACACTGGCAGAGTTCACAGTCCAGGGCCACAGGCTCACCAAAAGACTGAGACCTAATTATAGGACTGTAGAACAATTCCCCGGCCCCATACTTTATCACAGCATTACTAAAGATTATTTACTGTGGTTCCTTTTATTCAGTATATCAGGTCCATCTGTCAAGGAAAAATTACAAGGTATGTCAAAAGGCAAAAAACATGATTTGAATAGACTAAGCATCAGAACCAGTCATATATAGCAGGAATGTGGGTCATCAGACCAGGAACATTTTATTTTATTTTTTAGAGACAGACTTTTGCTGTGTTGCCCAGGTTGAAGTGCAGTGGCATGATCATAGCTCACTGCAGCCTTGAGCTCCTCAGCTCAAGCAATCCTCTTGCCTCAGCCTCTTGAGTAGCTAGGACTACAGATGTACACCACCATGCCTGGCTAATTTTATTTTTTGTGTAGATGAGTCATGCTGTGTTGCCCAGGCTGGGAATTTTTTAAAACTATGATTAATATGCCAAGGACTTTAATGATAATAAATAGACAACATGCAAGAACAAATGGATAATGTAAGCAGAGAAGGAAATTCTAACACAGAAGCAAAAAGAAATTCTAGAGATCAAAAACACTGTAATAGAGGTGAAGAATGCCTTTGATGGGTACATTTAATAGACTGCACATGGCTGGGGAGAGAATCTCTGAGCTTGAGTATATGACAATAGAAACTTTCAAGGCTGAAAAACAAAGGGAAAGGCTGAAAAAACAGAACTGAATATCTGAGAAACATAGGACAGCTACAAAAGATGTAACATATGCATAATGGGAATACCAGAAGGAAAAGAAAGAGAGTAATGAACAGAAGCAATATTTGAAGCAACATTAACTGAGAATTTCCCCTAGATTAATGAACAACACCAAACCACAGATCCAGGAATCTCAGAAAATATCAAGCAAGATAAACGCCCCAAAACAAAAGGCCTTTATATACAAACTTCAGAAAATCAAAAATAGAGAAACAAATCTTGAAAGAAGCCAGATTTTAAAAATGCCTTACCTGTAGTAGAGCGAAGATCAAAATCATTTTTACTTTCTTTTCAGAAACTTTGCATGCAGGAAGAAAATGGAGTAAAATATTTAAAGTGTTGAAAGAGGGGAATAAAGCACCAACCTAGAATTCTGTACTCGACAAAATTATCCTTCAAAAATGAAGGAGAAATAGAGACTTTCTGAGATCAACAAAAATTGGGGGAATTTGTTGCCAGCAGACCTGCCTGGCAAGAAATGTTAAAAGAACTTCTTTAAAGAAGAAAAAATGACATAGAGCCAGGCATGGTGGCTCACGCCTGTAATCCCAGCACTTTGGGAGGCCAAGGCAGGTGGATTGCTTGAGGTCAGGAGTTTGAGACCAGCTTGGCCAACATGGTGAAACCCCATCTCTACTAAAAATCCAAAAAATTGGCCGGGTATGGTGGCACACGCCTGTAGTCCCAGCTACTCAGGAGGCTGAGGCAGGAGAATTGCTTGAAACCAGGAGGCGGAGGTTGCAGTGAGCCAAGATCATGCCACTGCACTCCGGCCTGGGTGATAGAGCAAGACTCTGTCTCAAAAAAAAGAAAAGAAAAGAAAAATGATGTAGTTCAGAAACTCAAATCTATGTAAAGAAAGGAAGAGCATGAGAGAATGAATAAGTGAAGATAAAATAAAGAAATTTTTCTTATTCTTAATTGATCTAACAGATGAGTATGTTCAAAATAATAGCAACAATATATTTAATTATATATACTTATGATTCTGTATACATGTTTATGTGTAAGTGAAATAAATGAGAGCAATGATACAAAGAACAGAAAGGAGGAATTAGGAATGTTTTGTTATTACAAGGTACTTGCACTACCCATGAAGCAGTAGAGTGTTATTTGAAAGTGGACTTGAAATAGTTGCAAATGTTTATTGCAAATTTCAGGACAACCAATTTAAAAAGTGAGAAAAGAAGTATATGTGGTATGCTCATAAAGGAGAGAAAAAGACTCATAATGCTCAAATAAAACTACAAAAGGCAGAAAAAGTTTGCCAGACAAAAATAGGAACAAAGAACAAAAGCAACAAATAGGAAACAGTAACAAATATGGTATATATTAATCCAAGTATATCAATAATCACTTTAAATTTCAGTGATCTAAGCACACCTATCAAATGACAGAGATTGTCAGAGTGGATCAAAAATCAAGACCCCACTATATGTTGTCTACAAGAAACCCACTTTTAAGTATAAAGACACATATAGATTAAAAGTAAATAGAGAAAGCTCTACCACGCTAACGCTAATCAAAAGAAAGCAGGAGTTGCTATATTAATTTCAGACAGAGCAGAATTTAGAGGAAGGAAAGTTATCAGAGATTTTTTAAAGCATTACATAATGATAAAGAGGTTAATTCTCCAAGAGGACATAATAATTCTTAATGTGTATGTGCCTAACAACTAAGCATCAAAACACGTAAGGCAAAAACTAGTAGAATAGCAAGGAGAAATAAGTGAATTCACTATTATAGCTGGAGACTTCA
Source organism: Homo sapiens (assembly GCF_000001405.40). Classification (NCBI taxonomy): domain Eukaryota; kingdom Metazoa; phylum Chordata; class Mammalia; order Primates; family Hominidae; genus Homo; species Homo sapiens. Next base: position 77,426,544 of record NC_000001.11, read on the forward strand.
ACACTCCTCTATCAGAAATGGACAGATCCAACCAGAAGAAAATCAATAAGGTTGTAGTTGAACTCAATAATACCACCAAACACCACCAGTCAACTGGATATAACTGGCATCTATAGACTGCTTTATCCAACAACAACAGAATACACATTCTTCTCAAGCTCACATGGAATATTCACCAAGACTACATTCTGGGTCATAAAACATACCTTAACAAGTTTAAAAGAATATAAATCATACAGTGTCTGCTCTCAGAACACAGTCAAATTAAACTAGTATTCAATAACAGAAAGATAGAAAATCCTCAAATACCTGGTGATTAAACAGCACATTTCTAAATAACACTTGGGTCAAATAAAAAACCTCAAGAGAAATGTTAAAATATTTTGAACTAAATGAAAATGAAAATTTAACAAAATTTGTGAGATGCACCAAAAGCAGTGATAATGGGGAAATTTATACAATTGAATGGATATATTTGTATATACATTGAATTCATATATTAGAACAAAAGAAAAATTAAAACTAATAAAAGCCTCCACTGTAGAAAACTAGAAAAAGAAGACCAAATTAAGTCCAAAGTAAGCCAAAGAAAAAAAACTAATAAAAATTAAAGCAGAAATCAATGAAATTATAAATAGGAAATCAAAACAGAAAACTAACAAAACCAAAAGCTGGATCTTTGAAAAGATCCATAAAATCAATGAGCCTCTAGCCAGGCTAACCAAGGAAAAAATAGAGAAACACAAATTATTATCAGAAATAGAAGATGGGAAATCACTACAGATCTCATGGACATTAAAGGGATAATAAAGAAATATTATTAACAATGCTATGCCCACGAATTTGATATGAAATGGACCAATTCTTTGAAAGACACAGCCAAAACTCATACAAGAAGAAACAAACTATCTGAATAGGTATATATTATTAAATAAATTGAATCAATAACTAATAATCTCCCAAAACAGAAAGCTCTAGGTTCACTGGTGAATTTTACCAAACATTTAAGGAAGAAATCATACCAATTCTCTATCAGAAGATAGAAGCAGAGGGAATATTTTCTAACTCATTCTATGAACCATTCTCTATATACCAACACTAGACAAAGACATTACAAAAAAAGAAAACTGCAGACCAGTATCTTTATAAGTGCAGATGTGAAAATCATCAACAACATATGTAAAAAGCCTACAGCTAACATCATACTTAATGATGAGAAACTTGAAGCTTTCCTGCTTTTCTGCTAAGAAAAGAAATAAGGCAAGGATGTCTCCTTTCACCATTGCTTTTCAGCATTATACATAGAAGCCCAAGCTAATGCAATAAGACAAGAAAATAAAAAGCATATAGATTAAGAAGGAATAAATAAAAGTGTCCTTGTTCACAGATGAACACATAAAATGGGAACTCACTTATTACCACAAGGACAGAACCAAGCTATTCATGAAGGATCTGCCTCCATGACCCAAACACCTCTCATAGGCCACATCTCCAACAGGGGAGGTCACATTTCAACATGAGATGAGATGGGACAGAACCTCCAAATCGTATTAATGACAGTGGCTTTTTAGATATAGCACCAAAGGTATAATCCACAAAAGAAAAAGTGCATAATCTGGACTCCATTAAAATGTAAAACTTCTGCTAATGGTCTGAGCAGAGTGTGTAGAGTTGCTGAGCCCACACACTAAATCTGAAAATGACACCAGATTGACAAAGGTCACACCAAGGAAAATGTGTGCTGTTCCTCTTCTCTGTGTACTTTTTTGTTCATTGAAAATACCTGCTCAACACAGAGAAAACTATCACTTAGGTTCTCAAAACCTGAAGCCACACTTCTGCAGCTTCAGCTATCCAGAGGAACAAATGCCCCATCAATAAAAGTACTGACTTTTTCCCATAGGATGAAAAACCAAAACCAAAAACACTGATGAAGGTGATAGCCCAGGCCTTCCACTCCATTATTAGGCTTATTTGTACCTTTGTCCATTCAACCAGCTTCAAAGGAGGAGGTGTGCAGCTTGTCTTCAGGTTTATGCTCTATCCAAGTTCTTTTTTTTTTAATTTTTTTAATTATACTTTAAGTTTTAGGGTACATGTGCACAACGTGCAGGTTAGTTACGTATGTATACATGTGCCATGTTGGTGTACTGCGCCCAGTAACTTGTCATTTAACATTAGGTATATCTCCAAATGCTACCCCTACCCCCTCCCCTCACCCCACAACAGGCCCCAGTGTGTGATGTTCCCCTTCCTGTGTCCATGTGTTCTCATTGTTCAATTCCCACCTATGAGTGAGAACATGCGGTGTTTGGTTTTTTGTCCTTGCGATAGTTTGCTGAGAATGATGGTTTCCAGCTTCATCCATGTCCCTACAAAGGACATGAACTCATCATTTTTATGGCTGCATAGTATTCCACGGTGTATATGTGCCTTTTCTTAATCCAGTCTATCATTGTTGGACATTTGGGTTGGTTCCAAGTCTTTGCTATTGTGAATAGTGCCACAATAAACATATGTGTGTGTGTGTGTCTTTATAGCTGCATGATTTATAATCCTTTGGGTATATACCCAGTAATGGGATGGCTGGGTCAAATGGTATTTCTAGTTCTAGATCCCTGAGGAATCGCCACACTGACTTCCACAATGGTTGAACTAGTTTACAATCCCACCAACAGTGTAAAAGTGTTCCTATTTCTCCACATCCTCTCCAGCACCTGTTGTTTCCTGACTTTTTAATGATCGCCATTCTAACTGGTGTGAGATGGTATCTCATTGTGGTTTTGATTTTCATTTCTCCAATGGCCAGTGATGATGAGCACTTTTTCATGTGTCTTTTGGCTGCATAAATGTCTTCTTTTGAGAAGTGTCTGTTCATATCCTTTGCCCACTTTTTGATGGGGTTGTTTTTTTCTTGTAAATTCAATGTGCCAGACTCTATATGAGGTGCTGGGGATACATTGGTGGGCAAAAGATGGCACAGTTCCTGCTATCATAGAGCTTATAGTAGAACTAGACAAGAATAGAATAGTCAGAGAAATAAAGTTAAAACTGTGAAGTACTTGGGAGAATAAGTGCATGGTGCTGTGTGTAGATGTGGTTGGTGAGGTGAGGAAAGTCTTCTCCAGGATGGTCTAGATCTCCTGACCTCGTGATCCGCCCGCCTCGGCCTCCAAAAGTGCTGGGATTACAGGCGTGAGCCACTGCACCTGGCGGGCAAGAGATTCTTGAATTGAGATCTGTAAGATTGGTCATAGGTAACCAAGTATGTATGAGAACAGGAAAGAACTGGGGAGAAGAGAAAGGGATGTTCAAAAAGAGGAAATAGCAGGATGAAGCAGGAAGAAGCATGGCATCCAAAAGAAGACCAGGATAGCTGGAGTGCAGATGAGCCTGGAAAGTAGGGCTTTGTAGAGCAGGTTAGGGGTTTTGACTTTATCCTAAGAGCAATGGGGAACCTTGAAGAGTTGGGGTTTCTGAGGAGGGAGGAGAGTGTGTTGACATAATTATATTTGTGTTTATTTTTTAAAACATTTTTCTGGCTGCAATGTGGAAAACACATTGGAGAAAAGCAATCTATGGAGTTCAAAAAAAAAAAACAAAAAAACAAGGCATCTATGGAGTCCAGAGTGGGAGGCTGCAGTGGTCCAAACAAGAGTTGATGGTGACACTGGAGTAAAAAAGGGGACAGAGAGAAAGAGGTGTATTTGAGAAGAACTTGTGACGAAAGTCAACAGGACTTCATGTTGGAATGGATATGGGAGCCAACAGGGGGTGAGCTGTTGAAGATGACTTCTGGGTTTTCAACTGGTACAGCTGGGTAGACAGTGGTGGCATTCACTGAGAAAAGACGAGTTCTGTAAAGATAGGGCATGAGTGTAATTTTAGACATGCTGAGTTCAAAGTGCCTTAACATATCCAAGTAGAAAATTTCAGTGAGCAATTAAATATATAGGTCTGGTGTTCAGAGGAAATATCTGAGCTGGAAATACAAATTTGTGAGCCTTTTTAATATAGATAGGACTTGAATTTGTGAGTGGAGATGAGATAGAGAAAGAAAACAAAATTGAGAGAAGAGGCTCTATAGCTGAACACCGAGGAAATTTAAAGTCTTAGTAGAGAAAGATGAAAGAGCAGAAAGACGTAGAAGAAGCCATTAGAGAGATATGAGGAAAATCAGTAGAATGTGGTGTTCCAAAAGCCAGAGAAAACAGTATTTCAGGAGGCAGGGAGTGCCAAATGTGGCTGAGAAGATAAGGAAGAGAGAGACTGGAAAATAATCATTGAATATAGAAACACGGAGGAAATTGAGAACTTTACAAAGCGCTATAAAGTGAAGACACTTAAGCATGTTTTAACTCACAGGAAAGGTCTACTTGTTTGTGAAAAGGAGAATATACAAGTATAAGAGAGAGGAAAGTCTATCTGAATGTGGTAGGACTGGGTTCTCCAGCCCTGGTGGAGAGACTGGCATGAGACCAAAAGAGTCTCGTGTGGGTTAAGACAGAAGGAACATTGATAGGATAGGAGGATGGGTTTGTATATTTAATGGTGGGAAGTCAAAGAGTTCCTGTAAGATGACTTCCAGAGGCAAAGCCATCTGTTGAGATTTCAGGGTTTCAAGAGAGTAGAAGCCTGAACTGTTGTGAAATCTAGCAGGCAATGTGCTAAGGAAACACAACAGGATTACCAAGCATTTCATTTGATATTAGTGAATTGAGAGCCCATTTGACATTAGTGACTAGAAATTTATTTTGACGAATCAATCATTTTCATTTTTTTCATTCCTTTAGCAAATGTTTATTGGGTGGCCTTAGGTGCCAGACACTCTTATAGGCGCTATACTGAGTGTTGTGGAATTCTAGCAGGACACAGAGAAGGTCAGTAATTTGGTTCACACAGTGATGGAATTTTAGCAAATATGTGGTTCAGAAAGGCAGAGAGCAAAGCATTGGCAGAGTATAAGTGGTAATGAGCTGAGGATTCTAAGCAGTTTAGGAAGGAAGTGGGTAGAGAACAATTAGGAGCCAACGCCCAAAAGCACTAGAAGCATATTTGACTTCTTTAAAAATATAACCCTATGTCACTCTTTTAAATCAAGAGTGCTATCTCTTGGTTTAAAAGAATATTTGATCCTAGCAAATTGTGTCATTCTAAATAACAGAGAGGGAAATTCTCTAACAGAAAATGATATTTATTCAGAAATGGGCATTGCAATAGGAATATGGGTGCCATTGTAAACTATGTGTGTATTCAGGGAGGTAAAGGAAGACAAAGGTCTTGTAAGAAAAAAATGAGGAGGATTACATAATAGTTTTGAGATAATTATCCTTGGCTACAAGGATAAGTAACAAAGGTGGTGTCAGTCCAAGTTTGGAAAGGCAATTGCTGGGCAGATGTCCTCAAAGAAGTGTTTTCTGTGTAAGGTTGTGATGGCCTTTGTGTGAAGTTGTAGTTTTTGCAGAATTTTTTGTGGTAGTTTTGTTATCAAGAACTTGTGCGTGAGAATCCTCCCTTTATGGCCTTCCCAAGCACTGTTTTTCAGCTGTTTTTGGTTTTGTTTTTTTCTTGTTGACACAAGTGACTCTATTTTGATTCTGATAACTTTCACATTTCCCCCCTTTTGATCAAGATCTTTTTCTGAAAGTATCACCATTCAATCATCCTGTAGTTAGATTTTCATTGTCCCTTGGTGCCAGGATGTGTCCCAGATTGTTGGTCTGGTCCCATATCAGAAGACGTGATTGGTGAGTAGGAATCTGTGTCAAAAGCGTTCTAGCCACATTTGAGCAACAAGGGAGGCTTGGAGGAAATGGCTCTCAGGCTAAGTCTACCTGGAATTTATTGCTATGTTCAGTTTTGTCTATTCCATAGTATTTTGGCCACAATCTCAAAGCACTGGGCCAGCATTATTCTGTTAGGAGTTGTACTTCTGCAGAAATTTAACAAGCAACAGGTACAAGTTTTAAAAACAAAAATATAAAATAAAATTAATAGTAATATGGTAAATCCAAGTTTGTATAATGGTTTTGAGCCATGAATCCAGTCTTAAAGACAAACAATTGAATAAAGCAAATGACCATTGAGAATTAGATGACATCTGTTGTTACTGTGTGACCCATTTAAAAAATTCTGTGGATATGGGCCTCAACTTCCCCAGAGGAATTTACCCAAGTATAACATGTAGTATTAGTGGAAGCGTAGACTTTTTTTTATTTAAACAATAGATACCTAAGAGGTCATGTTCTTTTAAGTTATGAGCAGAAGCTGCTGATTGTGAAATCTGAATTACATCATTATCTTGCCAAAGAAAAAGGTAAGCATAAGAAAGGAAAAATTAAGAGGGGCAAGAGTCTCATTTTGATGGAGTGTCTTGGGAAACGCTGCCTATAGCATGAAGCCATCAACTTCTCTTGGCTTGCAGTTTGAATTCTCTGCTATGGTATCAGGTGGATTGGTGAACTTTCTGTGTGGCACAAGACTTGTCCTTCTTTTTTCGGGTATGAGACTTGTCTCTTGAAATTTATATCAAGTTGTCTAGCTTCATCTTCTAAGGCGGCAAGCACAGAGCAGTTTTTGCTCTTAGTTGGAGAGTTGCAGCCAAATATTGAAGAAAATTAGGAGAATTCAGGTTCTGATCAGATCTACAGGTAGAAGAGAAGAACTTGAAAACAATGCACAGGGGCACAGCCTAATAATAGGTGTATTATAGTTTTTTTCTTTAGAAACATAACATTCTCTCTATAGTCATCCTTATTTTTACCAAAGATAATCACAGTAAGACTAATTTGTTTGTAAAATATGTTTAGTTTTATCAAATTTTGCCAGCAAGAATAGTGATTTGACCATACGGTAATCTCAAACTTAAAAACTTCTTGAGGGTAGGAAGCCAAACCAAAGCTGACTTCAGACTTTATCTGTAGTACCTATAAACAATTTAAATATGACAATTTAGTCAAAACTTTTGTGATAAAACCAATGTTTCCACTTGTATCCCATAATAAAGAGAACAGATTCTTATCAAACTTAAGTAAACAATCATATTGTCATGAATAGTTTTCCCATTTTGGAGGGATCAGGTAGGAAGAAAAAGTAAATGCTTTCATTTTTGTTCACAAATGTTTACTTTACCAAGCAGCTGTAAACTATAGATGGCTTAAGACAAAAAGTTTTCTTCAATCTGGAAAACAAAACATTGAGGAAAAGAACCAGCAATGTTTCAAATAAATAGGCTATAAAATTTTTTATCAGTTCATTTAATTTCATGTAATTAATTCTTTTCCTGCTTGAGCTTGATTATTAGTTTCATAAATTTATTAGTTTCTTCATTAGAGTTCTGAAAATTTTTATTTAGTACATAATTTTTATTTATTTTATTATCTAATAACTTTGATCTTAAAGTTATTAGAAACTTATATTTAAGACTACTTCTTAGAGTCTTTTCCATGAATCTGATTGAGTATGTCTTTAGAAAAGAACTCAAACCAGTAACCGTGGATGACAAAAAGATAGAAAACAACCGTGGCTTAAAATCTGATGAAATCAGAAAAATAGAGTGCAAAGCATAAATAAATAAATAAATAAATAAATAAATAAATAAATAAATAAAATTTGATGAAAGTTCATGATAACCAGAAATTGACAAGGAAATTTGGTTACTTTGCGGCATACAACATAATAAGAATTCTGACTGATATATTAGATTTCTAAGAGTTTTATATGATCTTGGAACATTCATATCAATAACATACTCATAAATGTAACTGAAAAAAGATCTAGCATCACTTATCGTTTGACAATGCTTCCCATACAATTTACTAAGTAAACCTAATCATTTAATATCTCTATAAGTTGAGAGATACAGTCTTTGAGGCTCTCCAGGGCCCAACTGGAAAAATCACAAAATTAGTTTTAGGTCAGAAAGATTAAACTTAGAACTTGACCCTAGGGAAAACTTTCAAAAACTGTCAAGAGGCTGAAAACACTTGATCAAAATTAGATTACAGAAAGACTTCAAAAACAATACAGAAAGTTCCATGGATATAAAACAAACCAACAAAAATCCTTAACCTTTCCAAAGCTCAGTTTTCCTAAATAATCAAAAAACATAATAAAGACAATGTGAAGCACAGGAACTTACAAAAATCTTCATCTTAGGCCAATTACCAAAAGGGGGAAAGAAAGAAAAAGCTTCCTGCAATATAATTGCTTCTTACTGGAAGCCCGTTTAAATAACCTGGAAGTCTAACCTGATGAAAAACTACTTGAATTTAATCAGACACAAGAAGAGTGGGTCCAGTGGTATGAGTTTACATCATATCATAGAAGAAGTAAACAAGAAAACTAGTACCTTGAGCAGAGGAATACATGGCTCTTTAAAAAAGTGAAAACATGAAATTGCCTGGTTAGATGGAACAATTCAAACATATCAAGAAAAACCAAGATTGCAGAATCAAGATATACTGGAGGGGAACATTGCTTTTCTAGGGCTTCAAGACAAACATTTGAGCATCAGGTCATAACAGCAGAGCTTGAAGTAGAGAAAAAAGTTTCAGGAGCTGACGAAAAAGTTGAAGGAGCGAGTTATCAACCTAGCCAAGCAAAAAGATGTATCCTCTCAAGGAGGGACAGGAAGAGCAGAAGGCAGTGTTGTATGACCTCAAATCCTGTGCTGCAAGATACAGCAAAAATTGTACTTCTGAGATATGAATCTGAAAAGCTTCAAGAGGAAAACTTTACCTCAAGAAATGAAATTACCATCCTAAATGAAGAACATAGCACTTTTAATTTGAAACTAGGGAAAGTAAATAGACTGTAAAACAGAGGCTGGGCATGGTGGCTCACGCCTGTAATCCCAGCACTTTGGGAGGCTGAAGCCAGGGGATCACAGGGTGAAGAGACCGAGACCATCGTGGCCTACATGGTGAAACCCCATCTCCATTAAAAATATAAAAATTAGCTTGGCATGGTGGCGTACACCTGCAGTCCCAGCTACTCAGGAGGCTGAGGCAGGAGAATCGTTTGAACCCGGAAGGCAGAAGTTGCAGTGAGCCAAGATGGCGCCAGCACTCCAGCCTGGTGACAGAGCAAGACTCTGTCTCAAAAAAAAAAAAAAAAGAAGCTGCAGTTTAGAAGATGGCTGAAATTTTACAGAATTAAAAATCAAAGACTTTCACAAATTTTACTAAGAGCAGATTAGTACTTCAAGAAAACTCTGTTGTTCTAATATAAGAAACCAAAATCTTAGTTTTATATCTTAGTTGTAAATTAAGTTTTAACTTATAAACTAAGTTATGTATATAATCCTTAATCCTTAGAAAGATATACATAATTCCCTTTTATTTATAGCAAACTTGATTACACACACAAAACTCCTTTTATAAAATTCATCCCTCAAAAACCTTTCACGATCTGCACAGACCTTTGATGGCATGCTTAAGCCGTTAGTTTTGTCCTATACATTCGCTTTTTAAAATAACAAGTCACCTTAGGATAAAAATTTACTTTCCTTGTTCCCTTGTTATTTTGAAAAATTATTCACTTCTAACATTCCATGCCAAAAATACATCTTCACACTTAAAACTTTCTTCACATCTCTGTTTCCTACTTACTGGTTCCTTTCTGTCTTGTTTCTATTTCCTTTCTAAATTCGTATTTTGAAACAATCTTTAAATAACCTCTAAATTAGACAAATTTTTCTTTTTCTCAACAAAGAACATATTTTTATCCCTTTCTTATAACTTCTCCTCCCAAAACACATTTTACATTTATTGGTATGCTTTGTATACAGAATTATATATGTTAATTAAAATTCAAACTCTTAGTAACATTAATTTCTAATGAAAGTGTAGGAAGCAAGAAATTTTGAACTGTTCCATATCAGTATTTTATATATAAGAATGATTTTATAATTTTGGAAACATGTTTCCTCATAATTTTAATGTGTATTAATGAACCCAAATATATTTGTTTTTCTATAAAATTTAAGAAGCCAAGAACAAACTTATATTTGTGTTCAGCAATTTGTTTCAATATTTTATCTTATTTTGAAATGACCCAGATACTTAATGAGTATCTGTTACTTAATTTAACATAACTTTAAAATTTTAAGTTATCAAAAAGATTTTTTGAAACTAAGAAGAATTAATTTATAAATGATTATACCATTTACATTCACCTAATTTGTTTATTTTTAACAATTATAACTATATTACTTATGAAAACTAAGATATTAGACAAGGCTAGTAATTATTTCAGGCTAATTCCTTGTTAGCCGTTTTTACAGGCTGTGACTATTAAGCATTCCTCACCCAACTAAGAACCATAAAGTTAAATACTTCAGTATCTTGCCAATAACTCAGAAAATACAGCTGCTTTCATTAAATCAACAATATTAAATTAGTATTACTTATCAAGGAATTACATAAACAAAGATCGTTCTCTTTTTAGGATGGATTCATAGTTCTATGACATTCATGTCAAACACTGACTCCTTAAAATATATCTAACAAAGATAAATGTAAAACTGCCTGACCAGTAAACTCAGGCACAAATCTTTGCTGACAATTCTTAAGACATTTCTGTTTTTATTTTATCAACAATTTTAAAATCAGTTTACTTATCAAACATTTACCCAAGTCAGGTGAACTTAAAAACTTTGAGGTGGCTATTATGTTTTTGATAACATACTTGATTGAAGTGCTTAATTTTTCCCTTTAATTAATTAATTAATTAGCTCTTTGATATATTTTGGTAGAAAAATACATACATGCAACATAAAAACATACAGACAACATGAATACATCGAAGCAGATTCTTTAGCTTTCATTTTGAAATGTTAATCATGAGACAGCAAAACATAGTAATTTAAACTTACCAGTTTATAAAAGGACAGTTGAATCCAAATTATATTTCTGACAAAATGGGACCTGTTCACATGGCTAAATTTTATTTGCCCTGATAGGTGATCTTATGAAGGCTGTGGACCAAAGCTTTGGGTAAAGCAGTTTCCACAGCAGTTTGATTTTTAGAAACCTCTTTTTCTCCTTCAAGTTTTAAACTGGTACAGAGGTTAAATATTCAAACATTTTCATTTTAGATAGCACCAACTAAATTGTGTAGAAAAACAAAATACCCCGGTGGCCTTGAATTCCGGCAATAAATTTATCTTTTTATTTGTTTGTCTGATTTACTTGATTAGTCGATGCAGGCAGGAAAGCATTTTAGAAAAAGGTATTTAAAGGGTTTTTTTTTCCCCTCAGCTTTTCCTGGCTCACATACAGCAGACAAAGCAAAATTTTTATGTCAAAGATACCTTCTATTATTCCCCTGAGCTCAAGATTTCGACCTGTTTGATCTGAGAGCCTAACTTTTGTAAACCTTAATCTAGTTCTTTCCTTCTTAGACTATCTAGCTTTTAATTAACTAAAGCAATTGTTAAATCACCCTAAGCAATTGCTAGTCAATCAAAACTAAATTAACATTTCCAAAAGGGATGACTCTTAGGTGTACTGGATAGCTTGTTGGCTGTCATGGAACTACTGTAATTTGAAAGCCCTCTCTTTTTTTGTTATTTTGGCTGAAATGCTCTTTAAAAAACTTGTAAGTAGCTTTGGAAACTAGCAAAATTAGGTTATTTTAATACAAGTGAAAAAGCAGATTCAGAGAAGCAGAGATGGGGAAAAAAAGGAGAAAAAAAGAAGTTGAGAGCCTCTACATACCAGCATTTTGTTTTAACCCTATATTTGGTACAAAAAAAAAAAAAAAAAAAAAAAAAAAAAACAAGCTTGGGGAGTTCAAATAACGCCTAAGATGGCCATTGGTTTAAAAACATGCATGAGGAAAAACCATGTAGCTGGCTGGAGTCCCAGAAAAACTGGCATGCCTTAATGTTTGAGAATCTCGTTTTGTTTCTTATTAATCTCTTGAGAGAAAAGAAATCTATGCATTCTATCAGGGAATGTCAGGAGTTTGGTATTTTAGATAGTGGCTTTTAATTGGCCATCTCACACCTACCACTTTGTATGTTTATTTTTGCTCTGGGAAGATGTTCAAAAGCAAGCAAGAAGAGAAAAAAAGTACAAGATTCAAATTATTTATAGATGTGCATAACCAGACCAAAATGAAACCAAAATTAGAGTGCTCACAAAAATGTTAAGCCAGGCATGCTAATCAACCAAAATATCAAACTAGGCATGCAGACCAAAAGTGAATTCACCAGAAGAGACATGCATCACAAACAAAGTACACGTTCTATAAAAACCAGAGTACTCGAACCAGAAGAACATTGTCCTTAAACCAGAAAGGGCTTGCCAGAAAAGACAAAAGTTTTTATCATTCCAGGGGGAATGCAAGGTCCATTATTAAGGTGGCCTTACAATCAAATCAGATCCCAAATAATGTCCAAAAAACTCACCAAAGGGAGAGAGTCAGAAAATCTGAGAAGAAATTCTCCAGGACCAAAAAGGCGACTCGTAGAAACGAAGAGCACAAAGGGCTCAGGTGATACTGCTCTCCATTTCAGGGGCTGATAATCTATCTAAGGTGAGCTGACTTAGATCTCACTTCTGACACCATTTATATAATCCTAAATAAGAGAGAGAGAGACTCTCTGAAAGAAAATAATATTTATTTGGGAATGTACATTGCCATGGGAATACATTTGCTGTAGTAATCTATGTGCATATTTAGGGAGGCAAAGGAAGCGAACATTTTCTAAAGGAAAAATGAGGAAGATTACATAATTTTTATTGATACATATTGTACATATGGGGAACAGGTGATATTTTGGTGCACGCATACAATGTGTAATGATCAGGTAATTAGGATATCTATCACCTCAAACATTTATCATTTCTTTACATTGGGAACATTACAAATCTAGCCATTTTGAAATACACAATGAATTATTAACTATAGTCACCCTACTTTGCTATCAAAAACTAGAAATTATTCTTTTTATCTAACTGCATTTTTATACCCATTAACCAACCTCTCTTCACCTCCTCTCCCTCATCACTCTTCCTAGCCTCTGGTAACCAACATTTAACTCTCTGCCTCCATGATATTTACTTTTTTAGCCCTTGCATATGAGTCAGAACTGTGATATTTATCTTTTTGTGCCTGGCTTATTTCACTTAACATAATGTCCTCCAGTTCCATCCATATTGCTGCAAATGACAGTATTTATATAAAATTTGGCCATAAAAAAGAATATGTATGTATATACATATATATGTATGTATACATGTATATGTATATACATACATATATATGTATGTATGTATATCTCATTTTCCTTATTCATTCATCCATTGATGGACACTCAGGTTGATTCCATATCTTTGTTATTGTAAACAGTGCTGCAATAAACTTGGAAGTGCTATATCTCTTCAGCATACTGCTTTCTGGGGTTTTGTATATCCTTTGTTCTTGCTTTCTTATTTATTGTTATTGCAGTTTGGTGGGTTTTTTGTAGTGATAAGCTTTGATTCTTTTCTTTCTCTTTGGTGTATCTATTCCACCAGTGAGTTTTATACTTTCATGTTTTTTCGTAATGATGATGATGATCTTTTTGCTTCCAGGTGTAGGGCTCCCTTGAGCATTTCTTGTGAAGCCAGTCTAGTGCTTTCAAATTTTCTCAGTTTTTGGTTGTCTGGGAAAGACTTTATTTCTCCCTCATTTCTGAAGGGTAGTTTTGTTGGATATGCTATTCTTGACTGACAATTTTTTGCCATTCTTTGAATATGTCATCTCATTTTCTTCTGGCCTATAAGGTTTCTCCTGAGAAATCTGCTGTTCCTCTAATAGGGATTCCCTTATAAGTAGCTCTATGCTTTTCTCTTACTGTTTTTAAAATTCTCTCTTTGCCTTTGATTTTTGATAATTTGACTATAGTGTACTTTGGAGAGGACTTTTTGGGTTGAATCTGTTTGGGGACTTTTGAGCTTCCTGGATTTGAATGTCCATATATCCCCTCAGACTTGGGAAGTTTCTAGCTATTACATCATTAAATAGGCTTTTTTACACCCTTTACAACATCTTCTCTTTCTGAAACTTCCAACTTCCAGAATAAAAATATTTGTTCACTTAATGGTGTCCCATAAGTCTTGTAGGCTGTCTTCAGTCTTTTGTCTTTTTCATTCTTTTTTTTTCTCTAACTGTATAATTTATAATGGCCTATATTCAAGTTCAGAGGCTCTTTTTTTTTTTGTTGTTTTGTTTTTTGAGACAGTCTCACTCTGTCACCCAGGCTGGAGTGCAATGGCATGCAATCTCAGCTCACTGCAACCTCCACCTCCCAGGTTTAAGCTATTCTTCTGCCTCAGCCTCCCAAGAAGCTGGGATTACAGGAGCCCACCATGCCCAGCTAATTTTTGTATTTTTAGTAGAGACGGGGTTTCGCCATGTTGGCCAGGCTGGTCTCCAACTCCTGACCTCAGGTAATTCACCTGCCTTGGCCTCCCAAAGTGCTGAGATTACAGGCGTGAGCCACCGTGCTCAGCCAGAGGTTCTTTGTTCTGCTTGATAAAGTCTGCTTTTTCAGCTCTCTATTGCATTTTTTATTTCATTAATTGAATTCTTTAGCTGCGGGATTTCTGTTTGGTTTTTTAAATGATATCTCTGTTGTACTTCTCATTCATATCATGAATTGTTTTCTTGATTTTATTGAATTGTCCATCTGTATTTTCTAGTACATCATTGAGTTTCCTTAAGATAATTATTTTTTAATTCCTTTTCCATCAATTCATTGATTTACTTTTTATTGGGGTCTCTTACTAGAGAGTTATGTTCCTTTAGTGATATTAAACTTCCATGCTCTTTTATGTTTTATGTGTCCCTGCATTCATGTCTGTGCATTTAGTGGAACAATCACCTCTTCCAAACTTTCTAGAGTGGCTTTCATAGAAAAAGACTCATCTACAGTTGGGTCCTGGTGTGCTCGTTGGGAAAGATGTGGTGACTCTGTTTCCAAGTAGGTGCCATTTTATAGTCTCTCTGCAGCTTCTCTGGCTGTGTTGAACATCAGTAATAACTGTAGGCACCTCAGTGGTTTAGGCTGTAGGACTTTGTGGTAGCTGTAGTGGCAGTGTTTATTGTTAATATCCTCAGTGGCAAGGGCTTCCGGGGTCTTCCTATTCTTATTTTCCCCACAATGGGGACACTTAGCTGAGAGGATCCTTCTTGATGTCAGGTCTGACACAGCCTAGAAGCAATTGCAGTGGCACTGGTCACAGAGGCAGGTGCCCAGAGTGGCTGTGGGGCCAGAGTTCTGTGCTCAAGATCTCTCAAACCTATTGTGACACTTGGGTATTGGGGTGCAGATTTGCTCTCTGTGGCAGCGTTGGAGGTAGGTTGTTCACAGAGCCAGGATCTGTGACTCTGAGGTACCCCCTAGCAGCTTGGGTCCAGGAGGTTGGGTTGTAGCTGTGATTCTGCCCTGGGAGGCAGGGCACAGCCCTGGCCTGACTCCAAGAAATAAAGGATACTCTGGAGGTTTTAGCCCAGGGCACAGGATATGGCTGCAATTTGGAAGCCTGAACCAGTAGGGCTTGGTGGCAACTCGGGTCCCTAGACATGAGGCACTGTGTAGTGGTAACAGATGGGGAAAGGTATGACAGTGGCTCAAAACTCAGCTTAGGGATGTCAAGCCATGGGCAGGGATGATTCAAAAGCAGTTTAGACTCAGGGATGAAAGACTGCCATGGCTACTCGCACCCAGAGCAAGATACACTCCAGCAGTAATTCCATTTCCAAGATGGTGTGTAGGGCAGTAGCCATGTGGGCACAGAGGGTGGGGCTCCTTCTCTAGAGGGAAGAGAGCTATATGGACTCCAGGCAGCTCCTTCAACTGGGCTTAAGTGCTTGTGAGGGCTGCAGAGGACCCCAGTGGTAAGGACTGTAGGTATCCAAGGTGCTGACAGGAGCTGCTGCGATCCTCTTGCTTACTTTTTCCCTATGGAGAGAAGTTCCTCCAGGTTCCCAGCTTATCCTAGCTGGGGGATAGGGTGGTGGAAGTCAGGTGTTTCCTTCTGTTCTCTGTGTGACCATCCTGAGTTTCTGTGCTCCCCGGAGTTTCTGTTATTGTTTGGATGTACTTCAGTGCCCTCCTTCAGTTATTTTTATTAAAATGTAATTATTTCTTCATTGTTTTATCTGTCTTTGTTGAGGGGACAAGCGCTAAGGACTTCTAGACAGCCATCTTGCTGATGTCACCATCTGCATAATTGTTTTGAGATAATTATCCTTGGCTGCAAGGATCAATAACAAGGATGGTGTCAGTCCAAGGTTGGATGGGCAATTGCTTGGCAGATGTCCTCCCAGAAGCATTTTTTGTGTCAAGTAGCAATGGCCTTTGTGTAAAATTGTGGGGTTTGCAGAATTTTTTTATTGTTTTATCAGGCATTTGTGCATGAGAACCCTTCCTTCATGACCTTCTCTGTCTCCATTTTTCAAGGTTGTTTTTAACACAACTGACTCCATTTTGATTCTGACAACTTTCACACCTACCGGGATTTAAAATTAAATTCTGCATCTTCTGACTTGAGATCTTCTGTAATAATTAAACATTAATTTCCTGCCACTGAACTCCTAAAGCATTAGAGGCTCATACCTTAAGTCTTAGCACTTGATTATACATGTTGAGTATCTCTTACTCAAAATTATTGAGACTAGAAGTGTTTGGGATTTCAGATTTTTTCTGGTCTGGGGTGCTCAACTGGTATTTAATTTTATAATTCATTGTGTACTGACTCGTATTACTCCCTAACTGTCTCCTGTATGCTATATGCATCCATTACAAACAAGAGCATGGAGTCTTAACCCAGATAGACATGGATCAAATTGCAAGGTGCAAGATACTTAACCTCTTCAAGCCTGCATTTGTCTGTAAAACTGACATAACTTGCAGACTATTTTGATTAAAAGAGATAATCTATGTAAAAGCACCTAGCACAGTAGACCATCCAGGAAGTATTTCTTCTTCTTTCTTTCCTTCTTGAGAGGGAGGGCCTATCAGTACTTCTTTTGTGTCCACTGCACTGTGACAGGGACACTGTAGAGATCCAAATAGATTTAATGAATAAAATAATAATGCCGCATTCCATGGCCAGAACAGAGTTTACTGTGGGGAGTCTGTGTGTGTGTGTGTGTGTGTGTGTGTGTGTGTGTGTGTGTGTGTGTTCAACTGAATTTCCATAGTGATATTGAGCTTCTAAATCAAGAAAAATATTTTTTTCTAATTTATTTTTTAAATATTTTAAGTAAACTTTATTGTATATGTGTAAGGTATACAACATGATGTTAAGAGATACATCTATATAGTAAAATAATTATTATAGTGGAACAGATTGACACATATGTCATCTCACATAGTTACCTTTTGTCCTACCCACCCACCCAAGACATGAGCAGCTATAAGATACTTATTTAGAAAAAATCCTGACTGCAGTACACTATTATTAACTATAGTCCTCATGTTGTACATTAAATCTTTTCACTTATTCATCCTACATATTTGCTACTTTGTATCCTTTGACCTATAGCTACCCATTTCCTGTCCTCTCCCTGCCACTGCCCAACCCTGATCCTAGTAACTGCTATTTTATTCTCTCTCTCTCTCACTCTCTCTCTATATATATGTCAGATAAGTGGTATATATATATATATATACCACTTATGTATATATATATAGTATATATATACACAACATATGTGTATATATATAGTATATATACACAACATATGTGTATATATATAGTATATATACACAATATATGTGTATATATATAGTATATATACACAATATATGTGTATATATAGTATAAATATATACTATATATAGTATATATAGTATAAATATATACTATATATAGTATATACATAGTATAAATATATACTATATATAGTATATACATAGTATAAATATATACTATATATAGTATATACATAGTATAAATATATACTATATATAGTATATACATAGTATAAATATATACTATATATAGTATATACATAGTATAAATATATACTATATATAGTATATACATAGTATAAATATATACTATATATAGTATATACATAGTATAAATATATACTATATATAGTATATACATAGTATAAATATATACTATATATAGTATATACATAGTATAAATATTTATATATTGTATAAATATATACAAATATATGTATATATTTGACTTTTCTGTAGAGATTGGGGGGAGGGTCTCACTTTCTTGACCCCAGGGGTCTTGAACTCCTGGGCTCAAGCAGTCCTCCCACCTTGGCCTCCCAAAGTGCTGGGATTATCAGGTATAAAACACCATCGCTGGCCAATATCTGATCTTTATTTAAAGATTCCACATATAAGTGAGAGATCATGCAATATTTTTCTGTGTCTGGCTTATTTCACTTAGCAGAATGTCCTCCAGATCCATCCATGTTGTGACAAATGGCAGGATCTCTTTCTCTTTTACAGATGAATGATATTCTATTGGTATATCTAGATTGTTTCCATATCTTGGCTATTGTGAAAAATGCTGCAATGAGCATGGCAGTACAGACATCTTTATGCGGTGGTGATTACATTTCCTTTGGGTATGAAAGGAAGAGATTGCTGCATCATATGGTAGTTCTACTTTAAATTTCTTTAGGAACCTCCATGTTGTTTTTCATAATGACTACAGTATTATACATTCCCACAAACAGTATACAAAAGTATTCCCTTTTCTTCACACCCTCACCAACACTTGTTATGTTGTCTGATAGTAGCAATCCTAACAAGTGTGAAGTGGTATCTCATGGTGGTTATTATTTGCATTTTCCTCATTATTAGGGATGTTGAGTACCTTTTCATGTACCTGTTGGCCATTTTTAATATCATCTTTGGAGAAATGTCTATCCAAGTCCTTTGCCCATTTTGTAATCAGCTTATATATTTTCCTGCTACCAGAGTGTATGAGTTCTTTACAAATCTTGAATATTAACCACTTATCTGACATATGGTTTGCAAATACTTTTTCCTAATCTGTAGGTTAACCTTTCATACTTTATTTTTTTGAGACAGAGTCTCACTTTGTCACCCAGGCTGGAGTGCAGTGGCATGATCTCAGCTCACTGCAACCTCTGCCTCCCAGGTTCAAGCGATTCTCCTGCCTCAGCCTCCTGAGTAGCTGGGATTACAGGCACCTGCCACCATACCCGGCTAATTTTTGTATTTTTAGTAGAGATGGGGTTTCACCATGTTGGCCAGGCTGGTCTTGAACTCCTGACCTCAAGTGATCCACCTTCCTCGGCCTCCCTAAGTGCTGGGATTGCAGCCCTGAGCCACCACGCCTGGTCAGCCTTTCCTATTTTTTATTGTTTCGTTCACTGTGCAGCTTTTTAGTTTGATGTAGTTCCATGTATTTATTTTTGCTTTTGTAGCCTGAGCTTTTGGTGTAATACACAATAAATCATTGCCAAGGCCAATGTCAAGATCTTTTCTCCTGTGTTTTCTTTTAGGAGTTTTATTATTTCAGTCTTACTTTTGGGTCTCTTATCCATTTTGAGTTGAGTTTTGTATCTGGTATAAAATAAGAGTCCAATTTCACTCTTTTGCAAGTGGAAATCTAGCTTCCCTAGCACCATTTATTGCAGAGACTATCCTTTCCCCATTGTGTCTTTTTGGTGCCCTTGCTGAAAATTGGTTGACCATATATGTTTGCAATTATTTCTGGACTCTATTCTGTTCCACTGGTCTATATTTCTGTTTTTATGCCAGTATCCTACTGTTTTGATTACTATAGCTTTGTAATATAATTTCAAATCAGGAAGTGTGATGCCACCAACTTTGTTTTTCCTCTCAGAATTGCTTTGGGTATTCAGGATCTTTTGTGGATAAATACAAATTTTAGAATTGCTTTTTCTATTTCTGAGAAAAATATCTTTGGGATTTTTATAGGGATTGTATTGAATATATATATTGCTTTAGGTTGTATGGCCATTTTCACAATATTAATTACTCTGATCCATGAGCACTTATTTGTATCCTTTTAATTTCCTTCATCAATATTTTATAGCTTTCAGTATACAGGTCTTTCACTTCCTTCGTTAAATTTATTCCTAAATATTTTACTTCTTTGATGCTATCATAAATGGGATTGTTTTCTTGTTTGTTGTTATTGTTGTTGTTGTTGTTATTGTTCAGGTCATTGGTCAATAAATATTACATTTAGATGAAGCATGTGTTAGCTTATATTTGTAAAGCCGATTTAAAATTAAAATGTGCCATTCCCAAGGCAGTATATTTCAGTAACACAGTGCTGATTATAATTTGAGGACTTAGCAAGTTGTAGCTGACACACTGAGTCCTGTTCCAATAGGTAAGTCGAGGGTTTGGGGCAAGTCCTATGAGGATCAGCTGGAGCCGGGAAGCTGGAATGGCCGGGTTTGCCTCCCGGCTCTGCAGGAAACACTTGTGCTTGATGTTGAAAGTCATTGGTGGTCTACTGCAAAAATAAGAACAGGGATATTGAAGAGGAACAGAGGTCAAAAGGATGTAAGTCCAGCTTTCCCCAAAGACTGAAATAAAAATACTTGCCACAGTTGGTTCAGGCAGCCAGCAATTCCTGGCTATCTCCATTGGCCCTGGGGCCTTAGGGCTAATTGATTCTGTAAGAAGAAAGACAAGTTCCACTTTTAAACCTCATAAATTCATATGGATAAATTTTCACCATTCTTGACTAAAAAGTCAGAAATGTCCTTCATAGCTTCAGTATAAATATTAAACAGTGTCAGTATATCACTTAGGTTGCCAATTCTGAGCAAGGAATTCAATAGATTTCCACTCTGAAGACATAAAAGTGAATGCCTCATCACTATGCATAGCTGGCATGCTCTGTCACAGGAATATAGGAGAAACCTTTGCAGAAGGAAATGAAAACTCATAGAATTATTTATTTCAAAGCAACAGGATATACTCTAGGGTTAGAAAACATATGAAGGACTGATCAGTAGAGACTGTTTTCTTTTAAAAAAAACCCTGTTATTCTTGTCAGACAGGTATTATAATTAATTTCGTGGCTTCTCTAACATCTTATTAACCAGATGACCTTGAATGCCAAGTAATTCTGAAGGCAAGATGAAATCATTTGTGATAACACAATAGTATCACTGCCTAATAAAGAAAAGGAATTAGAACTCAGGTGTAACCCATAATCTGGTATGTCTTGGAGCCTTAAAAGACAGGAAACTGTTGTTAATGAGAAACCAAATAACCTCCTGGGATTATTGTGTATTTACAAAAGGATTGGGTAGTATGCAAAAACCTGGAAACCCAGTCTAAAAGCAAACATAGGCTTATAGGCTTATGCAAACTTAAATGTGGGTGGTAGGAGAGAGATGTGATGAGGTTGCCCTTTGTTCCTCATAGGTAGTTGCCAAGGAGCAGAAGTTACCATTGTCTAACCATTGTCCATCCAGGCTTAGGGCACCGACGAGCATGGAAGGGAGGCTGACAGGGGGCTTAGGGCTGCTCAGCTGAGGCCTACAGGTCCCCCTTGACATGAACAGCCTGGGCACTGTGGACAGCGGGTTGATGGCAGTAGGAAAAAGACATGCCCTTGGGTGGAAAGGGGCGGGTCCTGGTGAAGCCCCACCTTCACACCAGGGATGGCCTGAAGCATGGGGGCCAGGCTGCCAGTTCACAGACTGGAGTAAGAACTTGTGGTGCTCTTTTCAGGCCCATCCATGGCTTCCCATGGGCCAATCAGCATGCCCTTCTTCCCCTCCAAAGCCCATAAAAATCTCAGACTCTGCCAAACTTGGGCAGACGATGGGACAACCTGCCTGCAGATAGGAAATACCCACTCTGGGTCTCCTCTCCGCTGAGGGCTGCAGAGACATTGGGATGACCTGCCTGTGGACAGCAGCTACCCACTCCAGTCTCCTCTCCACTGAGGGATACAGAAACATCAGGACAACCTGCCTGTGGATAGGAACTACCCACTTCAGGTCTCCTGAGAGTGGTATTGTTGCTTAATAAAGCACCTCTTTGCCTTGCTCACCCTCCAGTTTTCTGCATACCTCATTCTTCCTGGTTGCAGGACAAGCACTTGGAACCCATGGCAGGACTGAAAGAGCTATAACACAAACAGGACTGAAACATGCCCTTCACTCACCACATTGCAGACAACAAGAAGGAGGGAAGAAAGAGAGAAGAGCTGTGGCCCTCTGGGGAACCCAGACTTAGGAACTCCCTGAGCCAGGGCTGTAACACCCTCTTTGAGGCTCTGTGGTTCCAGTGTCTCCGAGCTTCCAGGTGCCACCATGTTCCCTGGTGCTCACAGTGGAAGCCACTTGCAGTATGCCTGGTCCAGCCACAGCAGAGAGCTGGCAACAAGAATTGAGGTTTGGGAACCTCCGCCTATATTTCAGAGGATATATGGAAATGCCTGGATGTCCAGGGAGAAGTTTGCTGCAGGGGCGGGCTCTCATAGAGAACCTCTGCTAGGGAAGTACAAAAGGGAAATGTGGGGTCAGAGCCCCTACACAGAGTCCCTACTGGGGCACCACCTAATGGAGCTATGAGAAGAGGTCCACTGTCCTCCAGACCCCAGAATTGTAGATCCACAGACAGTTAGCACCATGCACCTGGAAAAGCCACAGACACTCAACACCAGCCCATGAAAGCAGCCAGAAGAGGGGGGTATACCCTGCAAAGCCACAGGGGCAGAGCTGCCCAAGACCATGGGAATCCACTTCTTGCATCAGTGTGGCCTGGATGTGAGACACAGAGTCAAAGGAGATCATTCTGGAGCTTTAATATTTGACTACCCTGCTGGATTTCAGAGTTGCATGGAGCCTGTAGCCCCTTCATTTTGGCCAATTTCTCCCATTTGGAATGGCTGTATTCACCTAGTGCCTATACCTCCATTGTGTCTGGGAAGTAACTAACTTGCTTTTGATTTTACAGGCTCATAGGCAGAAGGGACTTGCCTTGTCTCAGATGAGACTTTGGACTGTGGACTTTTGAGTTAATGCTGAAATTAGTTAAGACTTTAGGGGACTGTTGAGAAGGCATGATTGGTTTTGAAATGTGAGGACATGAGATTTGGGAGGGGCCAAGAGTGTAATGATAAGGTTTGGCTATGTCCCCACCCAAATCTTATCTTGAATTGTAACTCCCACAATTCCTGCCTTTTATGGGAGGAACCCAGTGGGAGGTAATTGAGTCATGGGAGGGGTTGACATGCCCTGGAGACATTTTCCCCATTGTCTTGGGGATTAACATTCGGCTCCTCATTACTTACGCAAATTTCTGCAGCCAGCTTGAGTTTCTCCTTAGAAAATGGGATTTTCTTTTCTATTGCAATGTCATGCTACAAATTTTCCACACTTTTATGCTGTTTCCCTTTTAAAACTAAATGTCTTTAACAACACCCAAGTCACATCTTGAATGCTTTGCTGCTTAGAAATTTCTTCCACCAGATACCCTAAGTCATCTCTCTCAAGTTCAAAGTTCCACAAATCTCTAGGGCAGGGGCAAAATGCTTCCAGTCTCTGCTAAAACAGCAAGAGTCACCTTTGCTGCAGTTCCCAACAAGTTCCTCATCTCCATCTGAGCCCACCTCAGCCTGCACCTTGTTGTTCGTATCACTATCAGCATTTTTGTTAAAGCCATTCAACAAGTCTCTAGGAAGTTCCAAACTTTCCCACATTTTCCTGTCTTCTTCTGAGCCCTCCAAACTATTCCAACCTCTGCCTGTTACCCAGTTCCAAAGTCGCTTCCATATTTTCAGGTATCTCTTCAGCAATGCCCCACTCTACTGGTACCAAATTACTGTATTAGTCTGTTTTCACACTGCTCATAAAGACAAACCCCTTCTAACCAAATGAGAACACACTTAAAATGTCCAGTTTTTCACTGAATATTCATACTCTTTAAGAAATATCAGAGTCAACAGTTTTTATTAAGTGCCTATCCTGTGCCAAGAGTTCTCATGATCTGGTTTAATCTTCACAACAGTAAAAAAATTATCATTATCCCCAAGGTCACACAACTAATAACGTCCTCACTCTAAGTTCATCACTTTCCAATAAGGCATGCTGCTGCCCCAGAATCTATAATAACTATCCTCAACAACCTTCTGCTAACCCCCTCAAAAAACTAGCTTGATCTTAACATCATATTTGCAATCATGTAAGTTAATTTCTTCACGGGTTTGTAAAATGAGCAAGTTATATAAACATATGCCTAAGATTGTAAGAAATGTCAAGTTTGTGTTTGCTTGTCTTTCAAGCATAATACTCTTTGATTTCCTTATTTTGTTAAATTTAATAACTTTTTTATTATTTATAAAAGCAAAACTAAGCTGGTGCAGTGGTTCACACCTGTAATCCCAGCACTTTTGGAGGTCGAAGCAGGAGTATCATTTGAGCCCAGGAGTTCAAGACCAGCCTGGGCAACATAGTGAGCCCTCATCTCTAAAAAACTTTTTTTAATTAGCCAGGCATGATGGTATGTGCCTGTAGCCCTAGCTATTCAGGAAGCTGAGCTGGGAGGATCACTTGAGCCTGGGAGGTTGAGGCTGCA
The DNA here is from genome assembly GCF_000001405.40 of Homo sapiens. NCBI lineage: Eukaryota > Metazoa > Chordata > Mammalia > Primates > Hominidae > Homo > Homo sapiens. Next base: position 77,451,118 of record NC_000001.11, read on the forward strand.
GTGAGCCATGATTCTACCACTGCACTACAGCCTAGGCAACAGAGAGACCCTGTCTCGAAAAAAAAATAAATACATAAAGACATAAAAGCAAAACTACATGCTATGGAAAATTTGAAAAAAAATACAAAAAGTATAAAGAAGAAAATTAACATTGACATTATGAAGCATTTCCTTGATTGATAGACATTTAATAATGTTATAATCAGATTTTGCATTTAATAATATAGAATTTCCCATGTCATCAAATAATTTTTGTAAACACATTTTAATGGCACTATAAAATATAATTCTATAGGAACACCATATTTATTTTCATCATTCCCTTATTGCAGAACGCCTGTTTTTCCTTTCATCTTTTCACTGTTATAAATAATGCTGCCCTGGCACATCATGGCACATAAACTTTTCCTAAATCTCTGAATATTACTCTAGGAGTAAATAAGGACCAAAGCGTATAACGGATAGCATTTTCAAACCCTCTGAATCTCAATTTGCACATGTAAGTACTTGGGTACATAGGAGCTGCTTAATAAATAATCTTGAATGAATAAACATGACAGTAACGTCAGTCTCTCAGGGTTGTACTTGCAGTTTTCCAAATCATTCTCTTCCTCTCAACCATGCTTTTGTATATTCTATATTCTGTCGGCGATTGCCTTTGCACCATTTCACCTGGTTAACTGGTGCCTGTCCAGAGAAATCTCTCCTGACAAGACCCTCCTACCCCAGGGACCTGAAATCTGTAAGGTACCCATTTGAAGCAGTCTGTGCTTACTGAATTAATCATGTGGAACAATCACATGTTTCTACCTATGTCTGCCCGCCAGATTGTGAGTTCCTTGAGGACAAGGACTATGTTTTATTTCTTTATTTATGTACTTTTCTCAGGTGCAGAGGCCCAAGTTAAACATATCTTTCGGTTCAGGGAAAATTGCCATTATTTCTGTGAAAATCCACTTCGTATTTTCCCCCTTTGATATATTACTTTTTAATTTATTCTTTTTTATATCCCCGTAATCATCTTCCATTTTTCTCTCCTGCACAAGCATCCATTATAATGCAATTATATGTATCTTTTTGTTTGTATGTATTTTCAAAATGAGCTATGTTGTTCTATATATGTATGTCTTACTTAATTTTAATGAATCGACATACTTCTGTATCAACACTTGTTCATGACTGGCATATCTTTAATTTTCAATAAATGCCTGTGGAATTATGAAGAAAAAAGGATAGCATTGCAATATTCTCCTTCTTTCTTATCAGATATACTTTAATAATAAATCAAGGATTATTGATTGGGCAAAGGACTCCAAAAAGGAAGATTTTTAGATAAGGCTGTTTATTTAAATGTTTGGAGTAAGAGCTGTCAGATTGGATCCAATTTAGTCCCACATGACTCATGATGCAGAGTATATTAAATGCTAAAATATCTGCAGTCTGTTGATCAATAAGGTAGTTCTCCAAAATGCCAGTCACCTATGCGGCCAGGCTAGATTAAACGGTGCCACAACAACATGCATTAGAGCCTCTCATGCTTTTCCATGGAACAAGTTCACTCCACATTCAGTCCTTCATTCAGCCAAGCATAGATAGAACAAACAAGTTTCACTGGGCCTGGCTGTCTGCTAGTGCTTCCATGAGCTTCTAGAAACAACAATATTATTCAAAACATCCAAGAGTTCTTGTAATTTCCAAGCACACATGCTTTCTTAAATACCTACAGCCAGAGTCCAGAACATATCCATTTATCTTCCTATGTTTCATTTGATCTCATTTTATCTGTGGAGGCAAATGTGTTTTTATTAAAAAGAAAAGAAATTTGTGGACACTAAACTAGGAAGCAAAATTAAATAGATTGTATAAAATATTTCATACAGACTAAAAGCTATAGAGAATGATATAACAAACATCATTTATCCACTGCCAAGCTTAAGAAATAAAACATTGCAAATAACTGAAAACCTCTGTGCATCCCCTCTTTAGTCACATTCCTCTGGCCTGTCCCCAGAGATGTCCCCGTTCTGAATTCAGTGTTTGTCAATCCCATATTTGTCTTTCTATTTCTGCTGCATGTGTAGGTATATCTGTAGAATGTGAGTTCCCAGAAAGCAAGTACTTTTCTCTGTTCACTGATACATCACCAGCACCTAGAGCAACACATGGCACATGGCAGGTTTTCAAAAAGTATTTATTGACTGTTGAATAAATAATGTATTTGTAATAATGTCAGGATTTTTTCATATTTTAACCCCTTATAAAGTGTTTCATATTGTATATATCCTTCTGCAACTTAATTTGTTTGTTCAATCTATGCTGATAATGTAACTTGGCTCCATTCATTTCACTGCAGTATAGTATTCCAATGTAAGATTAGAAGACTATTTATTTATCTGTTCCAATCATGGGCATCTAGGTTGTTTCCGATTTCTAATATTGTAAATTTGTTGCAGTGAATGTCCTGATACTGTTTTTTTGCTCCATTGTGTAAGAGTTTTTCTATAATAAACAGCAGGGGAGAAAGTGAGAAGGGACTGACTCTTGCCTCTACTATATTTCTTCCTCTTCCAAATCTCTAGGTGAATGGGAAGTTGGGAAATCAGCTCAGCCCTCTGGGCATCAGCTTCCTCACAAAGAAGATGAGGCCAGTTGGTCAGCCAATCTTTTAATGGGTTTATGTATCTTCGACTTTATTATTAGCAACAACGGTATAAGTAGTTAGGAAAGGACTAATTTCCTCCATGTAAACTTTCTGTATTTTTCTGAATCAGTTTCATTCCATAGCCCTATTCTTATTGGTAAAGGAACTTTCATTCTCAGTCATTGTACGGGGAGCCCCTTTTTCCTCTTCTCCAGGGTCTTAATAGGGTCTGGAAAGACTCACCTGGTCCAAAAAGTTTGAGGAAGAAGCTTCTAGTCTTCAGCTCTGTAGGGTCAACATGAGATGCTTATTGTTCAAGCCTGTGTGATCCACCCAAAAGTAGGCTGCTCTACTACGGCATCCATGCTGCTGTGACCGGATGGACCACAGGACAGTTGAGACCCCAGCTAGATATCTGCCAAACCCAGGACTGTCAGCAAGGGAATAGGGTTCAGGTCTTCTCCATTTATAAACTACCAACCCCTCTTTACTCTGGAATATTCTCACTCTCCTGGCTGGGATAGACAGTGTTGGCTCATTCCACTCCCCTCAAATCCTACTCCTAATTGTATGCCATCTTGGTCAGTATTACTCCATCCACCCCAGGAGCCCAGAGCCTAGCCATTCTCTCTCTCTCTCTTTCATGAACCAACAGCAGGAAAAGAAAAAGATATGGTTACTTTCTCATCACATATCTAGCTAGCTTTATTTCTAGATATTTTAATTATTTGTATTTTCATCTGCTTTATTTACTCTGAAAATGATTGCATTCTAACAAAATATATTTAAATTCTGTAGACCAGACCATAGCTATTTTGTTTAATTTATACTTTCCAAAGAGAATTAATAGATTTACCAAAATAGGAAATTAATGTTTATCACCAAAACAAATCATTATCAGGCAAAGTCAAGTTGAATATATAACACTTATACCCGCAGCTCTTCACAATGGAAAAGTTTTAACTGATTTCATCTCGCACACAAATAATTTGATGACATTAGTCTTACACATTTTCTTGAGTGGGTCTAAGTTGCCATTTAAATGGATATGTTCTCTCTCAAGTTTTTTTTTTTCTTTTGTGGAGTTTAGTTCATAAATTACAATCCTTATCAAGAGTTAAAACTTCAAGTGTCATCTTCTCTCTGGACAAAGATGTTGAGCAAGATAGTTAATCATGTTGCCTTTCCTTTTTTGCTCTATGATAAGAAGCTTTTTCCACTATCCAAGCAATGATGATTAACAGCTCACTTTTGCTGAGCACTCAATTTGGGTCAAGTATTAAACTGAGTGTTTCACATACTTCTTTATCCATACCAGAGCCCTATCTAGCGGGCATTAGTAAGCCCGTTTCATAGATGAGAAAACTGAGACTCTGAGTGTGAAATTACTTGGCCAAAAACATCTAGTATATCGCTAACGCAGGAATTGAACCAAATCTCCCTGACTTCAAAACTGCTGTAATCTGAATGATTGTTTTCCCCCACAATTCACCTGTTGAAACCTAATCACCAATATGACCGTGTTGGGAAGTAAGGCCTTTGGGAGGTGATTAGGTCGTGAGGGCAGAGCCATCATGAAGACATGAGTGCCTTATAAAAGAGGCCCCAGCTTGCCCCAGCAAGCTGCCTTGCCCATCCCACCATGAGAAGGAATTCCACCATGGCAGGCAATGTTTGCTGGAGAAAATGAAGAGGGGAAGCCCCTAAAACAGCAAGTAATTCCTCAATATAAGTTTTGAGATTTAATAGTGAGGGCACAGCCAGAAGGCATCATCTATGAACAAAAAAACAGGCCCTCACCAGACACTGAATCTGCCAGAGCCTTGAACTTCTACTTCCCAGCATCCAGAACGGTGAGCTATAAATTTCCATTGCTTGTAACTCACCTAGTCTATGATGTTTTATTATAGCAGCCCAAACAGATGAAGGCAAAAACTACTGCTCTGTACCCAATAGTCATTACCCTAGCTGCACATTAGAATCACCGGGTGAGCTGTAAAACCTCCCCACGTTCACGCCCCACCCCCAGAGATTCTGAGAATGAAGGCTGAGCAAAGTTAGGTTTTGAAATCTCCCCAGGTGATTGTAATGTGTGTCTGGCATGAGACCCACTGTAACTAGCTAGGAAGGCTGACAGCTGAAAGGGATCAAGTCTTCCAGAATAGAGCAGATCAAAAGCACCAGGAGTGGTGGTCTCCAAAATGTAAGAAAGTATGATTTTTAAAATTCATTTAAATGTGAAGGAAATGTGCTAATTCATGAAAGTAACCCATAAAATCAGAGAAGAGTACCTGAAGTGCCTAGGATTGTGCAGTTTCCATGCAGTTATTCAGCTCGGACTTTGTCCACTCTAAGGCAATGTCTGTTTGGAGAAAATGAACAGTGGAAGCCCCTAAAACAGCAAGTAATTCCTCAATACTAAGAGTGAGGTTTCATAGAATTTAGAGAACTGTAATGATAAGACTCTACTACCGCAGTTGTTTCCTCAGCTGATTGAGCCCTGTGGCAGATTTTATCTTTGTTTTTCCACCTGCTTAAGGACACTAGTTTCTGATCTCCCAGGAAACTGGGAGTAAACCCCAACCTGACTGCAGCTCTCACCTCAGCATGGAGAGGTTTCACTTGGCATCTGCCTGAATACAGATGTCTCCGAAGGTTAACAGCCTGTTCTGGTGTTACACCTTGCTAGAGAAGAGAGCCATCTTGACCTGGATACATTTCTCCATCTCCAAGCTTGGGCTGGGGCTCAGGGGGAGAGTAAGAAATGACTGGGCAGAGAGCATGTGCCAGGGAGCAAGAACAGCACCTTCGAAGGCACAGACTTAAAAGAACGAGGATGGGCCTCAGTTCCAAGTATGGAGACCAGCTGTCCCAGCTTACCTGGTAAAATGCCCCATCTTAGGAAACCTCTTCATCCTGAGAAAATGGGATGGTTGGTCACCCTAGTTCCAAAGAACCATGCAGAATGGGGAAGGAGTGACGTGCAGGGCATCACTGAAGCCTAAAGCCTGCTCTTCTCACCTGCCCCATGCAGCCTTTTCTGAAAACCAATTAACTCCTCTGTGTGGGCCTGGTTGAGCCTCATTCTAGTATCTGGGGTCTGTTGTCTTCCTCTCTATGCATCACTTCACTTTTCTGGAGCACATCCTGTAGTAGTTTCCTTAAAAAAAAAAAAAAAGTCAATGGGAGGTACATTTTCTAAAAGTCTTCCATTGCAAATGGCTTTATTCTTTCCTCATAATTTTCTGACAGTTTGCCTGGGTTTTTAATCCTTGTGTTCGCAAATCAGTTTTCCTCCAACATTTTGAGCCACTGTCTTCTGCCTTGCCATATTGTGGTCAGGCGTTGTTCTGATTTTCAGTCCCCTATCCTTGTGACCTGTGCCCTCCTCTCTCCTCACATTCCTGGAAGTTTTAAAGATCCTGTCTGTGTTCCTGGTGTTCTGAAGTATCCCACTGATGTACCTTGGTGCAGATCTTCTTTCATTCACTGGGCTGCACACCTGGTGTGATCTCTCAATGTGGAGACGCAGGTCCCTCGGGCTTGGGACATTTTACAGTTGGTTTTTATTCTTTGCTCATTTTCTACCCTCTGCTCTTTCTGTTCTTGCTTTTTAGAATTGGATATAAGGCTTTCAGAATTGATTCTCTCCTTCTCTACCTAAATTTTCTCTCATTTTCTACCTAAATTTTCTACTACCTTCTGCTTGCTGCAGACTTCCTTAACTTCACCTTCCATCTGTTCTATTGAGTTTATTTCAGCTATCATAGTTTTAATTTTCAAGAGCTCTTTCTTTCTTTAACTGTTCCTTTTTCAAACCATATGTTTTTAGTTTTGTGGGTGTAATATCTTCTTGTATCTTTCTGAGAATAATGTTTAAATTGCTTTCTAAATTTTCTTTGTCTGTTGCATTATTTTTGTTTCCTTTGGATTTTGTTTATTGGGACCTCTTTCCTTTATATTTAAAAGTTTTCTCCTAAGTTTTGAGATTCCTGGCTGCCCATTTGTATTCGTGTGTGCCTGGGGGCCACTGGAGTAGGAGGCTCAGCCAGTGGTGGGCTTTAGTCCAGCATATTTAGGCCGTCTATTAGCTTCCTATTTGCTATAACAAATTACCACAAACTTAGTGACTTAACACAAATTTATCATCTTATAGTTCTGGAGACTGGAAGTCCTAAAGTCAAGATGTCAACAGAAGCCAGGCATGGTGCCCAGCCCCTGTGGTCCCAGCTACTCAAGAGGCTGAGGCAAGAGGATCACTGGAGCCTAGGAGTTAGAGGCTGCAGTGAGATATGATTGTGCCACTTCACTCCAGCTTGAGAGGCAAGATGAGGCCCCATTTCTTAAAAAAAAAAAAAAAAAAAGGGCAAAACAAAACAAATGTCAGGGGTGGTTCCTTCTGGAGGCTCTAGGGGAAAATCCATTTCCTTGCCCTTTTCAGCTTCTAGAGGCTACACACTCCCTACTTTATGGCTCCTTCTGTCATCTTTAAGGCCAGCCTTTTCAAATCTCTCACTCCTCTATTGTCCCCTCTCTTCCTTGCTTTCTCGCACTGCTTCTTTCATTATGTCTCCTCTCTGACAGTGACCCTCCTGTGCACCAAACCTGAGTAGTCAGTATCATCTCCCCATCTTAAGATCCTTAACTCAATCACCTCTGCAAATTCCCTTTTGTAATGTAAAGTGTATTCGTCCATTTTCATGCTGCTGATAAAGACATACCTGAGACTGATCAATTTACAAAGGAAAGAGGTTTAATGGAGAACTCACAGCTCCACATTACTGGGGAAACTTCACAATCATGACGGAAGGCAAGGAGGAGCAAGTCACGTCTTATGTGGATGGCAGCAGGCAAAGAGAGAGCTTGTGCAGAGAAACTCCTGTTTTTAAAACCATCAGATCTTGTGAGACTCATTCACTATCAGGAGAACAGCATGGGAAGACCCACCCCCAGGATTCAATTATCTCCCACCAGGTCCCACCATATGGGAATTATGGGAGCTACAAGATGAGATTTGAGTGGGGACACAGAGACAAACCACATCATAAAGTAACATATTCACAGCTTCTGGGGATTAATACATGAACTTCTCTGGGAAGGGGAGTGGCATTATTTAGCTTACCACAGGCAGGGACCAGTCATTCCTAGTAGACCTCCAAAGCCAGAAGAGAGAGAATTTGCTGTCTTTTTCTAAACAGGGAACTTCTGGTGTCTTGCCCAGGGAGCAGGATCCTGGCTGTTGGTTCCTCACTGCACAGGGAGTTGGTGGTCTGGTTGCCACATAAGCACATTTTAATCTCATTTTCAGCCTCTGGATTCCCTCAGAGGTCCTGGGACCTGGGGCCTTTGTCTTCCACATGTATCCTATGTGGAAAATGTCCACATCACACTTCCACACTTTTCTCCGAAGGACTCAGACATCTTATTTTTAAATAGATCTAAATTTATTGCTGTCTTCCTTAAAACCCTTTTAATGGCTTCTCACTGCCCTTAAGATGAATTTCAAACTCCTTACATGGATTATACTTTTCCAAATGGTTAGGCCCTTGCTCACCTCTCCAGCCTGTAACAGTTTTCCAAGCATTCTTTACGTCCCCTGCTGCAGCCAGTTTTGGGGTTTGTCTTTGCCAATTTATTTCTCTGTGTGCCCCACCACCACCACTACCCCAGTAGACTGGAAGATCCACAAAGGCAGAAACCACTGTCTTCACTCATCTGCTTAACCCAGTGGTTCTCAAGCTTTAAGGAGCATGAGAATCATCTAGAACACTGATTAGAACACAGTCTGCTGGGCCCCATCCCTACAGTTTCTGATTCAATAGGTCTGAGGTAGCCTAAGAATTTGCCTTTGTAATGAGTCCTCAGGTAATGCCGATGGTCCAGGGACCACACTTTGAGAACCACAGATTTAACAAATACTTATTAAGCATTATCTTGTTCACCTCTATACCCCAGCAGCTATCATAGTATCTGGCTCATAGTAGAGCCTCAGTACATGGTGGCTATCATTATTATCATGACCAATAAAAGGAGTTAGAAAAGGAAGTGGGAAGAAGAGCTACTGTGTACATTTTTCTAGAGTTTCTTGAACTAGAAAATAGTTGCTTAACTGTGACTTCTGAATCATTAAAATACATTTTATAATATTTTAAAGAAATGCAATTTATAATCTTTAATCTAGTATAATGCAAGTACCAAGAAGAAACACTGACATTCATTGAAACCTGTCAAGGCTCTAGATCTTATGGTCTTAATGAGCAGAACAATCACTTCAGGCTCAAAGTACATCTGGTATCTCAGAGATATGACACACTTCCTGAACTTGCACAAGAATGCAAATTTCATTAATAAAGGAGTCACTGAGGCATCAAGACAAAAATAAAGAGTATTTTAAAACACAAGACTGTGTCCAATCAATGCTGATAAAGTGATTCAGACCTCACAGAATGGGTCACCATAGTCACAAATTAAGCAAAGGTGTAGATAAGAGATTATATTATTGCTAGCTTCATTACAAAAGATGAATCAAATGAAGAGCATTTAGAATAGTAGCAAACGTCACAGGAAATATACAAAGCAAGACAAAGAAGGAATGGATATTTGTATATAAACACATTCCTTCCTCATTCAAACAGATCTGCTATTGAATCCAAATTAAAATTAGAACATACATTTGTTTGTTCATAGACTTTGGCTCCAGTAAAAATGAAAGAAATATAATCTCCACTGTCTTTTAGAAGTTAATTTGCCAGTCCTGAGAATGCTCTATATTTCAAATTCGTTTAAAATGATTCAGAAGGACAATCAAAATGTTGTATGCATACACAATGAAATACTATTCAGCCATAAAAAAGAACTAAATCCTGCTATTTGCAACAATATGGCTGAACATGGAGGACATGATCTTAAGTGAAATAAGCCAGGCACAGAAAGACAAACACTGCATGATTTCATTTTATGTGGAATTTTTTTTTTTTCTTTTTGAGACAGAGTCTCACCCTGTCACTCAGGCTGGAGTGCAGTGATGCAATCTCGGCTCACTGCAACCTCTGCCTCCTGGGTTCAAGCTATTCTCATGCCTCAGCCTCCCAAGTAGCTAGGATTACAGGCACGTACCACCATGCCTGGCTAATTTTTGTATTTTTAGTAGAGACAGGGTTTCACTATATTGGCCAGGCTAGTCTTGGGCTTCTGACCTCAAGTGATCCACCTTACTCAGCCTTCCAAAGTGCTGGATTACAGGCGTGAGCCACCACACCCAGCCTGTATGTGAAATTTTTTTTTTTTTTTTTTGAGACGGAGTCTGGGTCTTTCGCCCAGGCTGGACTGCAGTGGTGCTATCTCGGCTCACTGCAAGCTCTGCCTCCTGGGTTCACACCATTCTCCTGCCTCAGCCTCCCGAGTAGCTGAGACTACAGGTGCCCACCACCGCGCCTGGCTAATTTTTTGTATTTTTAGTAGAGATGGGGTTTCACCGTGTTAGCCAGGATGATCTCAATCTCCTGACCTCGTGATCCACCCACCTCGACCTCCCAAAGTGCTGGGATTACAGGCGTGAGCCACCGCACCCGGCCCTGTATGTGGAATTTTTAAAAGTTGATCTCATAGAAATAGAAAGTAAAATGTGGTTACCAGAGGCTGGGGTGGTTAGTGGGGAGGGGGGAATGGGGAGATGTCAGTCAAAGCATATATAATGACAGGTAGAAAGAATACATTCAAGAAATCTATTGTGGCCGGGCACGGTGGCTTACGCCTGTAATCCCAGCACTTTGGGAGGCCTAGGTGGGCAGATCACGAGGTCAAGAGATCAAGACCACCCTGGCCAACATGGTGAAATCCCGTCTCTACTAAAATTAGAAAAATTAGCGGGGCATGGTGGTGCGCAACTGTAATCCCAGCTACTCAGGAGGCTGAGGCAGGAGAATTGCTTGAACCCGGGAGGTGGAGGTTGCAGTGAGCAGAGATCGCGCCATTCCACTCCAACCTGGGCAACAGGGCAAGACTCTGTCTCAAAAAAAAAAAAAAAGAAAGAAATCTATTGTACAGCATAGTGACTATAGTTAGCAAAGATATATTGTATTCTTGAAAAATGCAAAGAAAGTGGATGTTAGTGTTCTCACCACAAAAATGATAACTATGTGAGATGATATATTTGTTAATTAGCTAGGTTTAGCCATTTCACAATGTATATATACTGCAAAACGTGTGTGATGAATACATACAATTTTATCTGTCAATTTAAAGTGTTCTAGGAACATTATTTGAAGAATGAAAAGTTTTCTTTATAGAAAGATAAATAGTAGTCTTTAGAAAAACATTTCTGACTTTATGCTTTCTAAAAAGATTTCCTATTTTTTCACAAGCTCTTATCCTACTCGAAATTCATACACAGGAGAGCCAATGGTGTATATTATACACACCATAAACTTTTAGCATTACAACTTCCACACAAGAAAGTGATCAAGCCAAGGAACCCTCTCACTGCCTTGATCCAGCGAGGCTGGACCTGGCATGTTGTAGATGCTTAACAAATATTTGTTGGATAGATGGATGGATGGATGGATGGATGGATGGATGGATGGATGGATAGGTGAATAGGCAGATGAATGGATGATTTATATGTGAGTCCTGAATTTTCCATTTAAATTTTTTTACTTGAGCAATACATATTCATTTTATAAATATTATAAAATATAGATACTTAAAAGGAAAAGCATCTATAACCATGCACTCACATTTAAGCTATTTAATATGCTAACATCTTTTTATTATAAATTCTTGTGAATATATATATACAGTTTTATAAAAATGGGATCACAGTATATCCACTATTTAGTTACCTGTCTATTCACATAATATGTTATGAATCTCTTTCAGTATTAATACACATGCTTTCTCACTATCATTTTTAATAGCTGCATAAAAGTAGGAAAAATACAATAATTTGGGTATTTTCTGGGCTTCCTAAGCCTCAATTTCAAAATTATAATCAATAAATATGGTGGTACTGTTCCCTATACTTTAAAACAATAAAACCGAGTTTGTTGAAAATACCATTGAGATAGCTAAGAAGACAATTATTACTGATAACTTGAACCCTGCTTTACTGGAGAAAATAATTTGTCTCAATTCTTCATAAAGTGGAAGCTCTGCAATCCTTAAAGTTATCTTAAAATTCATTCTAGCTTATTGTGACTAGCTTGATTATACCCCTGCTGCCTTATTTGCAATTTAGTACCAAATCTTTCTTTTTATGATGTGCAAAGAATCTAGATTCTAATGGGATTCTCATAAACATGGATTACTTGGGTATGGATTAATGAACCATTACAAATAAATTATAGAATTTATAGACGTTGGAGGGGGGAACTTCTTCTCTCCTAATGTTTAAGAAGGGCCCAATAACAAGCACCCCAACTCCTCCCTGACTGACTTCTGAACAACTGAGAAGTCTCCAAATAATCTCTCCTTCTCTGGGGAGGAGTAAGTGAGGGATCAGAGCACAGCACAGTTAGTCTGATCATGATCAGCTTGGTTCACATTGATTTAGAGCTTTATGGTTTTTGTACATCTCACTTAATTCAAGAAAATGTCAACGTGTCAATTCAACAAGCACATACTGAACATCTACTAAATGTCAGGCACTATGCCAGATTCTGGGGTTACAAAACTTAATCAAGATTTACCTAGTCCTTGCTTTCAAAAATCTCAGTCTCTTGGGAAAGACAGGCAATTTAAAAACATTCCTTCACTATGTGAGTGTCTTGGTTAAGATTCTTTAGGTTGTAAGACACAAAAACCTGTTTAGCTTTAAAAAAAAAAAAAAGGTAAATTTATTGTAAACCTATGGAGTCCTCTCAAAAATCCAAGAAAGAATGCATCTGAACCCTAGGAACAGTGTGGAACTGGGTGTGGAAAGGTCATTAAGAATTTCCCTCCGTTGTGTGTCTGTTTCCCTCTATTTTTCCCTTATTATAGGCCTGTTTCTTCCCTTAGTTACATAGTAAAAGCATCTACCAACTGGTACAGCCCCCAGCAGGGAGGCCAGTCTCTTTCAGTCTGAATTCCTAGAGAAGGATGCTCATTGTCCAAGCTTGGTTCAGGTACACTCCTCATCCAATCACCTGTGGTCAGGCTTACATGATAGGGGTAGGAGGGGTGCTTAAGCAGAGTCCAATAGGTATCCAGTATATTGAGAATTATAAAAGTGCTATGGGTTAATGAGGAGGGAGCCACTTACTCTGCCTTCTATGTTCAAGGCACTATGAAAGATGAAAAGTTGAATAAAATACACAACTAATTCTGACATAGGACAGAGTATTGTTGTAGCACTTTTGCTTAGTTCAGCTGAAGACAGGGTCCTTTGTCCCACAGCCATGAAAATTCAGGCTTGCAGACAATTTGAATGGTAAGACAGTTTTAATGGGTGAAAAGGAAGAAAAGGGGGAAACAGGGACTCTCTCAAGGCCAGAGTCCCCTGCTAGAATGCTTCCCACCTGGCAGATTGAATGCCAGGTTCCACACAGGAAGAGGAGGGGCCAGGCTCCTTCCTGCTGCAAAGGGTGCCAACTTCCCCGAGGCTCCACCCCAGTGCGCAGGCCGGTTGGAGTTTTTCCGGAGACCTCCTCCCACCTGGCTGTTTCAGTACGATGTGATGTGCACAGTTACAGAGATGTAACATGCTCAGTGAACACATTGGAGAGGAGATTGGTTCCAGTGGGGGAAGAAGAGTGACTTGAGTTCAGTCTTAAAATGAGTCTTTTAATGAGATGAGTTGGGTAGGTAGCTAGGCAGATCATTCTAGGTGAAGATGATAGGCTGAACAGAAGACAGGGCATATTGAGGGACAGCCGGGAGGATGTCTGGGCTCATCAGTGGCAAAGATAAGCCTACGGGATAGGCTGGCCCAGATCAGAAAGAGTTTTGCATACTACAGTAGTGTAAAGTCCCTGGCAGCCTTGGAGCAGAGCGATAACATGGAAACATGACATTGCCACTCATGTGGAGAATGGACTGAAGTGGAGAGACTGGTTTCAGGGATGCTAGTCAGAGGGCATTTTAATTATTAGGCCAAAAGAGATGATGGAGGTGCAGCCAGGGGAGAAGCAGGGGGAATAATGAGAGGAGAGAGAGATTTAGGAGAACAAGGGAGAGCGAATATCCAGTACCTTTTATCTAATTCCAGAATTAAATTCTGATGGCAGACTTTGGGAACTCTTTGCCAAGAACCAGGGTGCTAACTTTGTGGTTGCTCTTGGAAAGAGGGAGCAGCGTCTTCCCTTTGCTTCTCTGCTTCTCACTGTGCTTGCCCTCCTGCTCTGCACACTGCTTAAATATTGTTAGCTGGTGCAAGGTTTGAATCCTGATGAAATTTCCAAACCCTCTCTTCCTGGGATATAGTTTTCTCATTCATGAAATGGAAGTGCTGCCACTTCAGGGTCCTGTAAAGAGATAATGCTGATGCCAGGCCAGGGAAAAAAGCAGTACTCAAGATCACCTTTTTTTAAAGTTCACTGCAACATTCAGTAGATGAAAAATGTGTAGCTGTAATTCATTGAAGGCAATGAGTAGTCTGTTCTTGAGTTACCATGGCAACTGCTCAATTAAGTGAAAAAAAATGAAAAAATAAATATACTACAGTTTCTCTTGAGCTTAACATCCTTTAAAAAGAAACAAAAGAAAGTAATATGCTTGGTGAGATATTTTCCCCAAAGCTTTCCTAGGACTTTGCATTTCTTTGCTTTACCTCTTAACCGGGACGTCTTATTCACCTGCTGCATACTGGGCTGAATGCTAGAGTTGTTGTTCATGGTTGGGAACACACACACCTTAAATTTTCCCCTCAGAATGCTCTTTGGTAATGTTTCCTTACACCGATGCTTAAACAGAATTCTGAGGTGGTGGAGTGGAGCCTGTATCAGAAGGGTAAGTGGGAGTCGTGGCTGGGTTCTAGCACTGGATGTGACCCCAAACTTTCTTTGTAACTTTAAACAAGCAATATGACTTCTGAAACTATGAACAATAGCTCCTGCCTTGACCATACTAAGAAACAAATGATATAATGATAACATCTTACATTTGTACAAGAATTTACAAAATTCTTGCGATCATCTCATTTCCTCTTAGTAGCCACCCTCTGGAGTGAACATTGTTCTTCCCACTTGAGACAGAAGGAAACCTCCAGGCCATGCTTTACACAGAATCTAGAGTGATCTTTTTTAAAAAGCACAAAACTGATCATGCCACTTCCCAGCTTCCAGCCCTCTAATGTCTTACTTCTCGTTGCTCCTGGGATAAAACCCGACTCCCTCACCATGGCCCGTGAGGCTCTGCTGGAGTCCTCTGTGCAGCGTCTTCCCAGCTCTCTGAGCCCCAGCCTCACTGGCTTGCTTTCAGCTTCTCTAAGGCATGTGCTGCTCTTCCTGCAGCCCTTTGCATCCGCTGGTGCTCTTCCTGGGACATGTTTGTCACTCCCCACCCATTCACCCTTCCTTTTCCTTCCCTTCTCCACTTGCCCAACTCAGAGTCCACTCCTCAGCCCAATCCAGATCAGAGCTCCTGTTTTAATCATCCTAGAACTCTATACTTTATATACACCCATGTTCAACATACATTTACTTATATCGTTACCTAATATCAGTTAGCTAGACATTAGACTTCATGAGGAGAGGGACCATGTTTGTTAATCTGCCATTGCACCCCCAGCCTGGGCACAATACCTGGCAGATCAGGACAGATCACGCCCTCAAAGCTGAATAAAGACCTCATTGATGTTAACAAGAGTCCAAAGCAGAATTTGACCCAAACCTAGTGACTTAGCCCATTTTGTGCTGCTGTAACAAAATACCACAGACTGGGTGATTTATAAAAAACAAAAATTTAATCCTCACACTTCTGGAGTCTGGAAACCAAGATCAAGGTGCCAGCATCTGGTGAGGGCCTGTTTGCTACGTCCTCACATGTTGGAACACAGAAGGGCGGCAGAGAACCCACATCCACAAGCCCTTTTTAAGAGGGCTCTGCCCTCATGATCTAAACACCTCCCAGTGGTCCACACCTTCTAACATGGTTGCGCTGGGGATTAAGTTTTCAACACATGAGTCTTGGAGGGGACCAAAACATTCAAACCATAGCAACCATAGCACCCAGGGTAGGGATCTAGTGCTTTTGCCAACATCCCACACTGCATTGCAGGTAGCAGAAATGAAAATATTTTCCATGTATAAAGCAACATATACATGCAAGACACTGAAATTTAAAGAAAATACAATAGCTTCTATGGGACCACATTAACTTAGATGTGAACATGCATCAAATTGTAACTCTCCCTGAATTGTAACATACTCCTGTATAGAAAGTAATATCAAATTGCCTCTTTTATTCATTCCTGGATAGGGAAAAATGCATGGAGTCTTTGGAGTTCAGTCCCCTGGGTCAAGGTATCAGCTCTCTTACATACCAGGTGTGAGACTTTGGTCCTTGTGTCATTCCCTCACCCAAGCCTCACTTTCTTTCCTTGTAAAGTGGAGGCTCCTAGTTTCTCCTTCATGGGTTTCTGTGAACAGACTCACACAATGAATGCATTCACAACAATGAGAATTTCTCCTTCCACCCCACAGACTTCTGTTCTGCGCAGAGCCTGCTGCTCAGTAATAAGTAGAAAATGAATAGGAAAAACACTTCGGAAATCCAAGGCTGATGATTTGGAAATGTGCCTTTGTGAAGCTGATGTTCAAAGATAAAAACTGTTTTGAGCATAAAATAGTTATTTTACAGTCCACTTAGTTCTCATATGGTAATTTCATACCTGATTTTTTTTCTAAAATATATACTAATGTGTCAAATCCATGGCATAATCTTCTTCGTATTTACTCCTCTTTAAGGCTTTTAATTCTTCGATTTTAGTACACATAAAGAAAAGCCATGAAGAGGCATTGATGACAAGTATTGATTCCAGCCTATGAAATATTCCCACTGTCCTTTAAAGTTTTAGGTCTTTACAACCTCAGGGGAAGGAGGAGAGGAGGCTGCTCTGAATTCATACGGTATATCTGAGAGGACCAGCCCTGTCCTCTCTCAAGGTGGACTGGTTTCAGAAGCAGTGAGCATGCCCTGCACTTACATCATCCCTTCCTCATCATCCCTCACCCGGTGCTCATAGCAGTATCATCATGTAAGCACAGGAAAGGAATGGCTGCTCTATTAGGAGTCACTGAAGGCTGAGACCAGCAGCAGCAGCAGCTCCAGAATGTTTACAGAAGAGGGGCTTAAGTGCTGGGGTAGGGTTAAAGGGGGTCTTAGAGGACTGGCCTGAGGCCACTTTAGTACACCAAGCCTCTTGGCTTATAAATGGAGGCATGTTTATTTGAACTCTTGAGGGGGTGGGAGATGTGGTTGCAGTGTCTGACTGATACCATTGAAGCAGCATTTGCAAAAGCAGTAAAATTCTGCTTTGCTTCTTTTTCCCTGTACTCTCTTTCCTTAACATTTAATATGGAAAAAATTGATAAACCTTCACCTCAAGTCAGGCCACTGCTAGCCCATATGGTACTTTTGTGCAGATTAGAAAAAGATCCCCGTCTTGGCAGACACATCAGTGAGACACACAGGTTGGTAACTGGATTCAGTCCCTACTCAGCTCCTTAGCCAGGAATATTTGTGAAGTGCACAACTGTAGAGCTGTACCTGGCAGCCGTGCCTCAGAGGCAGGCCTGTGGCTTCAGGCCCCAGGAAAGGGCTGCCTTCACTCAGTGGCAAGGGTCCAGCCCTGGATTTTGAATTTCCCAGCTTTTAAGAGTTAACTCTCATGCTTGCTTTTCTGTCCTGAGCCTCTTTCATTTCTGCTTTTGGCAGTTTTCTTTTTTCTATACCACATTATATATGATGGACTTTCAGAAGTAGAAAAGAGCAGGCCGGTTTCCTTGGCTCTTCCATCTATTTGTGTTTGGTACTTGGTTGAATGTGTGCTTTTCCAGATGATGTCACCATGTCTTTAAATAGTCCTCAAATACTCTTTGCTAAAGGCTTTTCAAAAGACAGTAAAATGTTTCTCTTTACCTGCTTTGGAGCTTAGTACTGTGATTTTAAGACAAACAGGAGCTATAAAGGCTGGCTTTTGAGTTCAACACGTTTCCAGGAGGCACAGAGCTAGGCTAGGTCACTCTAGAAACCAACCTGGTAGCTGTCTTCTGCATTGTCTTGGGGAAATTATAGCAGACAGCCAAAATAGAAAGGGTAAAAGTCCTTGGGCTAAAGGATTTTCGAATATTGTTTCAAAGTAAGAAGTGCTGCATATGCAGTTAACTGTTGCTGTGTCACTGCCTAGATCTTAATGGCTTAAAACAACATCCATTTATTATTCCTCTTGGTTACTTTGGAGGGAGGGAGGGTTGGCTGAGCAGTTCCACTGATCTAGGCTGGGCTCTATTGATCTCAGCTCACTCACACATCTGCAGTGGGATGGACAGTTTTGTGTGTCAACTTTGCTAAGCTATTGTACCCAGTTATTTAATCAAATACTAATCTAAGTGTTGCTGTGAAGGTGTTTTGTAGATTTGATTAACATCTACAATCAGTTGACTTTGAGGAGAGTTCCTCGATAACCTGGGTGAGCTTCATCCAATTCATTGAGAAGCCTTAAGAACAAAATTGAGGTTTCCCAGAGGAAGAAGGAATTTGGCATATGGCCCGCAGTGAGAGCTCTTGCCCAACAGTTTCCAGCCTGCCCACCTGCCTTATGGATTTCAGACTTACCTAACCAGCCCCTACAATTGTGTAAGCCAATTTCTTGCAATAAATCTCATAGGCATAGACAGCAACATAAATAAACAACAGGTTCTGTATCTCTGTGGAACCCTAACTAATCCATGTGGTCAGCCGCTGGGTCAGCCAGAGCCTTGCTGATCTGGGACGGCCTCAGCTGGGATGACCCAAACTGTGCTCCATATGGTCCCTCATTTTCATGTCCTCATGACAGTGGCAGGAGCCTAAGGGAGGAAATGGAAGCATGCAGGATACTTGAAGCATAGCCGTGGAACTAGCATACTGTAACCTCTTCCTCATTCTATTGGCTGAACAGCAAGTAACAAGACTGGCACAGGTTAAAGGGTCGGGGGAAAATAATCACCTCTGGATGTGAGGATCTACAAAGTGACACTGTAGGAGGCAAGAATGCAAGGAAAAGTGAACATCTGAGGCTACAGTTGTCATTGATCTGCCATAGACAGTTTGGTACAATGGTGCAGGAAAGGACAAACATCGGAATGTTTTGTAACTTCCAATATGCCTTTTTCCTCTCCTTAAGGGAGTTAAAACTATGAAGTAAAATACTCATAGTCTTAATTTTCTCACTTACAAATAAAGGATAATGAAGCTTACCTTGTGGTGTTAGCATGAGAATAATGAGATAGCTACAAAAGCGTCTGTTGCACTACCTGTCAGGAGCTCAATAAATAATGCATCCCTGGCCGGGCGCAGTGGCTCACACCTGTAGTCCCAGCACTTAGTGAAGCCAAGGCGGGAGGATCACTTGAGCTCAGGAGTTCAAGACCATCCTGGGCAACCTAGCAAAATCCTGTCTCCACAAAAAATACAAAAATTAGCCAGGCATGGTGGTGTGTGCCTGTAATCCCAGCTACTCGGATGGCTGAGGTGGGAAGATCACTTGAGCCTGGGAGGCGGAGGTTGCAGTAAGCTGAGATGATGCCACTGCACTCCAGCCTGGATGACAGAGTGAGACCCTGACTCAAATAATAATAATATTAGTAACAACACATCTCTTTACCAGCAACACTTGAGCATGTACTGCATGTAAGAATAAAGAAGACAAAATCAACTGGAGGCACAGGACTGGAAATTTTATTTAAGTGTCTTTGTAGAATCAATATTCATAGGTAAAAACTCTGTTCAATAGAAAATATTTGTTTGACAAATAGTTAAGTCTTATGTGGTAATTCCAACAAAGTTTTGAATTTATAGGCAAAAAACACCTTATGAGCACAAACACAACCCAGTCCCCATAATTTGTCTTCATGATTTTGAATTTTCTCATTTTAATGGCACATTTAGAATATATATATATATATATATATATATATATATATATATATATATATATATTTTTTTTTTTTTTTTTTTTTTTGAGACAGAGTCTCATTCTGTGGCCCAGGCTGGAGTGCAGTGGCATGATCTTGGCTCACTGCAACCTCTGCCTCCTGGGTTCAAGCAATTCTCCTGCCTCAGCCTCCTGAGTAGCTGGGACTAAAGGCGTGTGCCACCATGCCTGGCTAATTTTTTTTTTATTTTTAGTAGAGACGTGGTTTCACCGTGTTAGCCAAGATGGTATCAATCTCCTGACCTCGTGATCCACCCGCCTCAGCCTCCCAAAGTGCTGGAATTACAGGCGTGAGCCACAGCGTTTGGCCTAGAAGACATATTTTTTAAAGCTGGTGCCCAGGTTTTGGAATCAAGCAGACCTGAATTCGAACTCTATCTCACACACTTTCTAGCTCTATGATTGAGGCACATCCCCTAAGCCCTAAGACACAGCTTTAGATCTGTCAAATGGGGATAATACCTCCTTCAGTTGGCTGCTGTGGTAAGCAAATTAAATAATACAAAGTAAATGTAGTTATTGTTATTGTAACCATATAGTATGATGACAGAAACATTCATTCAGGGTTTATAGTGCACTGACATGCTTTCTAAATTGTTTCCACTGCCCACTTACTTCACCTGTTCATGCTTTTCCCCACTGCAATAGTACTGACCTTTATTAAACTAGCACTTTGGGGCTGGTTAGAGACCTATCTTCTGCAACTGGAGTAGTATGGAGTTTCATCTAGAAACCATAGAACTTGTGGGTCTTAAAGCCTATCCCCAAAGATATCCAATGCAAAGGAAGTATCTGTCATTGGAGTGCCAAAGGACATATGGAATGCCACATAAGGTGGCATTAACACCCCACAGCAAATTAAATTGGTAGTAATGAAGATAAAGTCATCATAATTAATAATGAAAAAGCAAGAATAGCAGCAAAATGCATCCTTCCTGAAAACTGTTAAGATTGCCAGTTTCAGTATGTGTACACATTCTGTAGGAGCATTGAACATTGTCGGCCTTGTACAGCGGCCAGATTCTTAAGAGAATGCTGAACTGGAGTTCTCCAAAGCTCTACAAACATGCTGAGTTAAGTTATGGATTCCAAATATTCTTAACCCTTAATAACTTATTTATTAGATTAATGATAAGTGCCTTTTAAATGTAAGCCAAAAATGAAATTGTATATACTCATACCAGTATTCACCCAAGAAAGGATTTTGCAATTGTGCATAAGTTAAGCAGTATTCAGTGAACTTGCTGCCTGCCACCTGCAAGTAACCTAGCTAAAATTGTCATAAACAATTAAAAATGTTATTTTCTTCCTTACCCACATTTTAAAGGTAGATGATCCCAGAGTTGGTCCAGCAGGGACACAAGGTCACATGGGGCCCAGGCAGTTTCCCTATTTCCATCTGCCCTCCTTAACGCATAGGGGATGCCTCCTTTTGTGGTCGCAGGGTGGCAGTGGTGGATCCAAACGTGGCATCTCACACAACCACTTGTAAAACCAGAATGGGAGAGTGAGGCTGATTCTCCCATGTGTGTCTCTCTTTTTTAATAGAGAAAACCTCTTTCTCCCAAAGTCCCCCAGAAGATTGCTTTTTCACATCCTCTTGGCCCTGATTTGGTCACAGACCCATACCCATAATGCAAGGGAGGATGGAAATGCAAGGATCTGGCATTTTCTGCATCCAAAAAGAGAGGTGGGCTCTACCTGCAAGAAAAGAAGAGGAGGGAGGGAGGGCCGGGCACAGTGGCTCATGCCTGTAATCCCAGGACTTTGGGAGGCCAAGGCAGGTGGATCGCTTGAGCTCAGGAGTTCGAGAACAGCCTGGACAACATGGTAAAATACCATCTCTACTAAAAATGAATTTTTTTAAAAAAGACTGGGCGTGGTGGCACACACCTGTGGTCCCAGCTACTGATGAGGCAATTCTTCTGGAGGCTCTAGGGAGAAATCCATTTCCCTGTCTTTTTCAGATTCTAGTTGCCCACATCCCTTGGCTTGTGGCTCCTTCCATCAGTGGCATCATTCTGACCTCTGCTTCTGTTGCCACCTCTCCTCTGACTCTGACCCTCTTGACTCTTTCTTAGAAGGACCCTTGTGATTGCGTTGAGCCCGCCCAGATAATCCAGGATGATCTTCCCATCTCAGGATCCTTAACTTATCCACATCTGCAAAATCCCTTTGGCCATGTAAGGTAACATATTCACAAGTTCCAAGTATTAGGACATGGACATCTTTGCTGGGGGTGGGAGGATTATTCTACCACAGAACTCAGTAAATATTGGTTGAATTGTTGCATGAGCAGTAGAATCTCAGCATTGGAAGCTTCTTGGGGTTTTTTTTTTTTTGGTGTTTTGTTTGTTTTGTTTTGTTTGAGACAGGGTCTCTGTTGCCCAGGCTGGAGTGCAGTGGTACGATCACAACTCACTGCAGCCTCAAACTCCTTGTCTCAAGCTATCCTCCCACCTCAGCCTCTCAAAGTACTTGGATTACAGGCATGAGACACCATGCCCAGCCTCAGAAGCTTCTTTAGACAGCACCTAATCTAACCTCCTACACGGTCTAAGAATCTCTTGACTGCCAGATAGTTAATCTGCCTCCACCTGAATACCTCTGGTGCTGGGATCTTCCAAATCTACACTTCCAGGATTGGACAGCTACGGACATTAAACATTTAGACCTTTCTAATTGCCTATGCACTGATATTACTTCTGCCCTTCTTCCTTCTGGAGAAATCTACTGATTGTATCTTCTCTATCACTATTTTTACTATATTTTGAAAAAAGAAGCTGTCTTCTTATATTCATCATTTACAAATCTTTACTTAGCATGTCTCTGTTAGTCATTTGGGTGCAAAAAGATAAAAGACAGCCCCATCTTTGAGAAGGATTTTGGAAAAACGAATTCTGCACATATGTAGTTAAGTAGCAATACAATTAAATGAGATCATCTACGTAAAGAGCTTAGTGCTGTCCCTGGCATACAGCAAATGCTCCAAAAATGCTCTTGTTGCTCTTCTTACCACTCACACATGCTCTGAGCCAAATGGATGATTCATGGGGAGTTTGGTGAGGGTAAAGTGACTGGCAAAGGCTCAGGGAGGAGGGGAGGTGTAAGAAGGGGCAGAATGTAAACAAGCTCAAGGCAAAGGGGAAGGCATTCCAGGCTGGACAAACAATAAGCAGGGGTCCAGAAGGCAGATTAAACGGGTCAAGCTCTGGGGAAATTAATGGACTCATTTGTCTCATGTGGAGTTTATCTTAACTAGCTTGGGCAAACCAGCCAGTACTTTATAAATATTGTCAATAGTAGCTATAGATAGCAACTGCTCAGCAGTCTCTCCCGAATGTCTCCTCCTGAGCCCTTCTCAGGCTGGTAGACTCAGAGTAAAGCCTGTCACCTCAGGCCCCCATATTGTTTCTAATGGGAAGAAGACTTCTTTTGACCTGCCTCTTTGATTCCCAACTCCGACCTGGATATCATCTTTCATTCCTCCCTGGCTCTATGTCCCACTGCCACTAACTAGCTCTGTCTCACTTTCCACTCAGGCTTACCCTCTAGAGCCTTGGGGATTGAACACAGACATTCATGTTGAGGAATAATGAAAGCAGGAGAAGTAGGGTCCAGGTCAGACTGTAGGCTTCGGAGTGGTTGATGGAAAACTGTTGCTTCTATGACAGTGATGATCAAGAAGTGCTTCAGGCTGCAGGGAAAGCATTAATTAGGGTACAGTGTGACCAATGGAGGAACTCAGAAGGAAGAGGACTGGAGAAGGAGTTGTCAGTCCCTTAAGCTCTCCACTGGCTCACCTCATCTGGACCCACCTTCCCCCAATCTTACTTCCTTCTTAAAGAAAGGTGATGTGACAAAGGATGATGCCTCTGGGTGATCCTTTTTCTCCCTGAAAACACACAAACACACATATAATGTGTTTTATTCTTTTATTTATTTATTTTTGAGACAGAGTCTCTTTCTTTCACCCAGGCTAGAGCACAGTGGTGCAATCACAGCTCACTGCAGCCTCAAACACTTAAATTCAAGTGATCCTCCCACCTCAGTCTCCTGAGTAGCTGAAACTATAGGTGTGCACCATGTCTAGCTATTTTTTTAACTTCTTTGTACAGACGGGGTCTCACTATGTTTACCAGGCTGATCTTGAAGTCCTGGCTTCAAACAATCCTCCCACCTCAGCCTCCCAAAGTGCTGAGATTACAGGTGTGAGCCACTGTGCTCAACCTAGTGTGTTTTATTCTAATAATAAATCTGATTTTCCATTTTGCTAGGAGTATGTGTGTGTGCATGTATATATATATATATATATATATATATATGTGTGTGTGTGTGTGTGTATTCTATATACTCCATATATAGATATATAAAGGCTCCATATATAGATATAGAGAGAAATATATATATTACTCAGGGAGGTGGGGAGGTAGAAGGGGCAGAATGTAAACAAGCTCAGGGCAAATGTATATATATACATATATATTATATATATACAAATATATATTATATATATGTATATATATAATATATATGTATATATATACTATATATTATATATATGTATATATATTATATATATACAAATATATATTATATATGTATATATATTATATATATACAAATATATATTATATATATATGTATATATATTATATATATACAAATATATATTATATATATATATGTATTACTCTCTCTGTATATCTATATATGGATCCTGTATATATGTATGGCACCTAATAAAAGTTAAGAGACAAGCCAGTGTGCTCTGTAATTCCCAGTGACTGAAGCTCAGCTTTGCCATTTTATTTCTGTTTTACAAGGAATTAGAAAACAAAGAGGTAAAGGTCAAATAATTCCTTGGCAAGACTAGTCAGATGTGACTTTATGGCCAACATTAACTTTACATGAAATTAAAATGGGAACTTTGCCCCTTCCTTTAAACCACCAGCCTGACAAAGCTCTTCTTAACAATGGTGCTACATTTGGCATCTGAAGACAAGATCAAAGTGTTTCATAATCTTCTAGCAGAGAGTTGAGTTGAACACGTATTTGAGATGATGAAAAAAGGAACTTAGAGAAAAACAGTGAGAAAATTTTTTTCTTTAAAATTTCTTATTAGAGACACTAATATTGCAATTTATATGTAAGAGAAGAAAAATACCATTTCTCCTAGAGAACTAGGTCTGTTAAAGCAGTTTATATAGAGAAACTGCAATTTAATACAACTGGAAAAAGTTAGCCTAGCATCTACCACATTTTTTTCAACTCTGTTTACTCAGTTATACAAGTACTTTACAGCAAGCAGACCTCTAATTGTGTAGTTCAGTGAATGAGAAATGGGACTTGCTGCGGAATAAATTCTGGGGTGTAACTAAATTACACACCATTTCCCATACTTTTTTTCTTTCAAATTGCCCATTACTTTAAATGAAAACATGGTTTAGAAAAGAACTGTAACCACTCAAAATTTCTGAAGGACCAGTCTCCCTTCTCCCTGGTGATAAAATGTACTTATGTTTGTATTTTTCAACATTCTCCTGCTGAAGTTCCAAGGGATTTCAAAACTTCATTCACAGTTTTCCAGTAAAACCTGTAAAATTCATTTTCAGATCATTGGTTTAGCATGATCCAGCTTCAGCTCCACTTTTAGCAAATGAATCCATCTTCGTTTCTATTCATATGACACCAGGAGCATTTCTAACGATGCCCCTCCCTGCTCACCATACTCCGTCATCCTGCACTTATGTATCATCTCACGCCAGCCGGGTCAGCCGGAGGAAGGCAGAACATGGGCTTGGGGAATTGGGAAGCCCGACCCACCAGGGCATCCTGCACAAGTTGCATAAGCTTTCTGAGCTTCAGTTTCCTCATCTGAAAAATGGGAAACATCAAACTTGCCTACTTCCTAGTTTTTTTCTGAGATCAGATGAGATTGCACATGCTGAAAACACTCTAAGTACTACTGAAATAATAGTTCCAGTAATCATTTTCTAAAATTGTTTAATGTGTGAGGTGTTTTGCTGTTTTTTTAAAAAAAAAAAACAGGTATAAGGAAAGTGCAAAAAAATTCATTTTCAGGTAAAAAGATGAGGAAATAGCCTGATCTATTTTTGATTGTTCTTTTTAGTGTGTGTGTGTGTGTGTGTGTGTGTGCGTGTGTGTGTTTCTGAGACAGGGTCTCACTCTGTCATCCAGGCTAGAGTGTACTGATGCAGTCATGGCTTACTGCAGCCTCAACCTCCTAGGCCCAAGCCGTCCTCCAGCCTTAGCCTCCTGAGTAGCTGGGACCACAGGTGCACACCACCATGCCCAGCTAATTTTTTAAATTTTTTGTAGAGCAGGGTCTCACTATGTTGCCCAGGCTAGTCTCAAACTCCTGGGCTCAAATGATCCTCCCTCCTTGGCCTTCCAAAGTGCTGGGATTATAGACATGAGCCACCACATCTGGCCTGGTTGTTCTTTTTAAATTATTATTCCATCCTATTAAGATTCTGCCCCTCAATGAAGTGAACCCTTCCAAGAACTTACACGATATTTTTTTGCTCCACCTCTATCCCCACCACTCTGCTATTACTTCCTGTAACCAGAGAGAAGTCACTAGACCAATTTAAATAGAAATCTAGGAAAATCCTCATATGCTAGCATTTCATGGTTCATGATTCTTCCAGAATTTGAGTTATTCTGTTTAGTACTCATTGAGGTAAGAAAAAATTAGAAAAGACTGCTCCTTACATTATCTTAGAGACTAAGGAATCACTTTTAAATCCTTTTTTCTTTTTTCTTTTTTTTTGCATTTTGAAGTTATCTATGTTCAGTGTCAGAAAAACAAAGTCTCCTTTTTTTGCAGCATTCATTTGTGAATTTTAGAGCAAGAAATTAATCTTAGCTGTAACATTTTAATGTCAAGTAAGCCCCTTTCTCATAACCCCATTTGAAGTTACACATTTTGCTACCATGAAACACACATGCTGGTTAATACAAACAAGTTACTCTGAACTGGGAATACACCCCCAAAATGACCTATTACTTCTTTCTCCTTCTCAGGAGAACTTTAATTTTGTGGCCTCCAAAAGCATTTTTAAAAACCAAAACGGTTTAAGGAAGGACGGTGGGCATATCTGAATACATGATTGTCATCTCCAAGAGCAGTAAGAGGATGCTGCTGAGGAAGCAGAGGTTAGTGTCAGAGAGCTGACTTCAAAGTTCAGCTCACCTCTTGTGCCATGGGAAGCCCAGGCACATCCCCATCCTGTGCTCCCTCAGAATCTCAACTACAAGTTCCTCATCCATGAGGTTGCAGTGAGGGTCCAGTGAGATCATATCTGCAAACAGGCTTGCAAGCTGAATTATTTAAATGTCAGCTTCTTATGATGAGGTGATCTGTGATATGGTTTGGCTCTGTGTCCCCACCCAAATCTCATCTTGTAGCTCCCATAATTCCCACATGTTGTGGGAGGGATCTGGTGGGAAATGATTGAATCATGGGGGCGGGTCTTTCCTATGCTGTTCTCATGATAGTGAATGGGTCTCAGGAGATCTGATGGTTTTAAAAATTGGAGTTCTCTACACAAGCTCTCCTTGCCTGCTGCCATCCACATAAGATGTGACTTGCTCCTCCTTCTCTTCCGCCATAATTGTGAGGGTTCTTCAGCCACGTGGGACCATGAGTTCTCCATTAAACCTCTTTCCTTTGGAAATTGCCCAATCTCAGGTATGTCTTTATCAGCTGTATGAAAACAAACTAACACAATCTACTGTGGCAATGCCACAGAAATTGGTTCTGTCACCAGGAGCAGTCACTATGCTGTAATCAAACCCAGTTGAAGAAGATAGTTTCTTAAAATTGGTGAACCCATCTGTGAGACTAAGTTGTTCTATTTTGATCTCCCTCATTTAAAATTCAATAATTCAAGGAAATGGAAATGACTAGACATGAATATCTTAAGGTGGTGATGATAGGCACCCTGATCCTAAAGGAAAGCACATATATACCCCAATTAGCCACTCTTCATACAAATGATAGTACCAGAACCCAGCCTTGCAAAAGTAGTTTTTTTTTTTTTTGCATATACACCTACACAGGGAAATAAGGTTGAATGTGGGTTCCTTTTGCCCTCCTAATGGGTCTTGATTGACTGGAAGATGAGGGATAGAGACCAAAGCAAGTCTCTAATCCAAATCTGCAGTTTTCCATAGCCAGTAATCCCACTTTGAAATTTTAAATGTGTCCCTTCAATAGAATTCTAGATTTCTCCTCATCAATTACCAACATATTACCCAATCTATAGCATCAAAATGAGGTAGCAACCTGAAATTGTCTTTTTTTTTTTTTTTTTTTTTTTTTGAGGCGGAATTTCGCTCTTGTTGCCCAGGCTGGAGTGCAGTGGCATGATCTCAGCTCACTGCAACCTCCGCCTCCCAGGTTTCAAGGGAGTCTCCTGCCTAAACTTCCTGAGTACCTAGGATTACAGGCATGCGCCACTATGCCCGGCTAATTTTTGTATTTTTAGTAGAGACGGAGTTTCTCCATGTTGATCAGACTGGTCTCAAACTCCCAACTTCAGGTGATCCGTCTGCCTTGGCCTCCCAAAGTGCTGGGATTACAGGCGTGAGCCACCGTACCCGGCCTGAAATTGTCTTTTGGTGTTAGTGGGTTTGCTGCAGCTTCTCCCACCTTAACAGTATTAATCACAGCATTGCAGGCTGTGCCTTGGCGCCCCATACATGTGAGTCTTAAAGGTCACTTAAATCAAATGTGTGACTATATTTATACTCTCTCTCTCTCTCTTTGTCAGTTCAGAAGATTTAGTATCCCACTTCATGTACCTCAAAACCTAGTTTAATACTATGGAAAGTCACCTATGTCCCGTTGTGCACACAAAGCCTAACTCCATAATTCAGACTTAAGGTGACAAAGGGTGGACTAGATGGAGCCTCAACACAGAAAAAGGCCAGAACACAAAGAGGCACCCACAGACACTCAGAGTGGTGGCTAATGGGTTGAGTCTTCTCAAGTGATGCCTCATTGAAGAGGAAGCTCCAAGGCGACTGAGCATAAACACCTGATCAGACGTCTCCTGAATAAGCCTACAGCCTTTGGTTCCTTGTCCAAGTGACATTCTGAAATTAATGCCTTTCATGCAGAACACACCCAACATTTGAAAAGTAACAAGATTTAGTGCTTACAGGGGCTGTTTGGTATCTTTTTCACCAAAACCAGAAGTGTTTCCCATTCACCCCGAGTGTGTGTGTGTGTGTGTGTGTGTGTGTGTGTGTGTGTAAGATGCCAGATTAATTTTGTTTACAAAATATTCACATTGGAACCATGAGGTTTATTGAGAGTCCCTGGTTACACCCTCCAATCAAACATCTCATTCACCTGGGCTTTCATGTCAGTGCACCGCATTCCTGGTGAGAGTTGATGACAGTTGCATCTATGTCCCAGCAGCCTGTTCACTATTGATGAATTAATGAAAATAAAGCTGGGGCTCATGTGAAACATTTGAGCAAGTGTAATAGAAGGCTGTGAATAATAGCTGTGGATACAAATAGGTCAGACTCAGGAAGCCTGGCAGAGGTCAGATGGGCCCTTTTACAGTGGGATGCACTGTTTCAGGAATTCACATTAACCACGATCAGACTCCCCAAACATGATAGCCATGTAGAAGAAAGATCTAATACAGCCTAGCCTATAAGGTGGGTATAAGTCTGATAATCTAACAATAATATTAAAAATTGAGGGAGAGGACTCCATGGTTTCCTCTCAACATTACCTAGATAGATTCAATAGCTGTTTGACAAACAATAAGAAGATTTAGATTAAACAATCCTTTTCCAGGAAATACTCTTGAGCCTGTTCTATGCAGCTGCACCTTAGGCAAACTTATTAATTGCTTCAAATAGGTCCCTGTCTTAAATCCAAAATTCCCTGAGAATTTGGGAACTCCTCAAGGTCCCTGTCTTGAGCAGTAATTGATATTTTTCCCCTAGAAGCAGAGCCTGAGACAAGAATTCTCATGCAAGTGCATTATTAGGGAGCCCTCTGAGGAGAAGCAGGATAGGGCAGGGGTAAGAGCTAAGCAAAGATGTGGTCCTGGCTCCATCCTAACTTCAGCCTGAGACCATGGTGAGCTCTGGGGCTCAGCTTGCACCATGGATTCATCCCAGCTTGAGGCAGGGAGCCAGACTGTAGTGGGCCCTTAGCAGCAGTTCGGTGGCTGGGTGCCTGGCCAGGTGAGCAGAGGAGAGGGGATGCCCCTACACTGATGAGACCAAATGCATAGCAGCCATGCAAAGTGGTAAAAGAAGTGGTTCTCATCCCATCCTGACGTCACTAAGGACATGACGGCATGGCCATGGGCCCTTCGCATGACCTCTCTGAACATCAGTTTCCTCATCTGTAAAATGGAAGAGTGGGTGGCAGGATTGGATTAGGTGATCCCTAAACTCCAAGCTCTGAATTGCGGTAATTTCAACAAGGGAAGTGGTGGAGAGGCTTGTTGAGGAATAATTGATGTTTTTTCTATTCACAGAAGAGAATTCATTAATGTAAATGTGTCCCTGAATGACCACTCTGTTAATAGCTCTTCTCTTACCTGGAATAGCACTGAATGCACAGGCAACTCTAAGAAGATGAGCAGTAAAATTTCCCTGAAGGCATATATTCTAAACAGGACAGCAAGAATCTGTCTTTAAATAAAGTGTTTTGAGGGCGGTTTACCTCAAGGGAGTGTTAATACAACCAGACAACCTCATTTAACTGACTCAGGCATCAAAGTGAATTAGAGGCAAGAGGCCAGCATAAAGCACAAGCCAGAGGCTGTCCCTTCAAAATGGTACAACCTCTGTGGGGAGCAGTTTGGCAAAATTCGATCAAAATTATAAATACATTTACTCTTTGACCATGCAGTCCCCTCTCTCGAAATTTAGCCTGCAGTATGAAATGATATTTATGCCAATTTACTCACTGTGCCACTTTTTCCAAAAAAAGTTTGAGACTGGAAACTACTCACTGATCCATCAATAAAGGACTAATTAAACAACAACAATTATGGTACCACATATACAATAGAATGCTGTGCAACTGATGATATTTGGTACTGAGAACATTCTGTACTTATATGGAAATTTCTCCAGGATACATTGATCAGAGAAAAAGCAAGTGGAGGAGCAATGTATTATAGAATAGTATTATATCGTAAACACATATGCATGTATAATAAAAGTATAATGCTTTTGTATAAGAAGTGGAGATCATAATATCTATTTATGTTCACATGTATCCCTGGATATCTAGAAGTCATTTTTGTTTGCCTCAAGAAAAATCTGTATAAGTGGTTACCTATGAGGGGTGACAGAGTGGAGAAATGATACAGGTGAAGACATAGGTGAGAGTGAGAGTTCTCACCTAGTGCCTTTTTATAAAATGTTTTTCTGAATTTTTTTCCAACCACCATGGGCTACTCCATAAGGAATAGAGCATCTGTTTGATTAAATTATTTTTTAATGAAAACTTTAAGGTAGGAATCAATAAAAACTGATCACCCCTACTTCCTTTATTTCATGCTTTGGTTCGGGGATTGGCAAATTATGGCTAAATAGTTGCCCTGTAGGGGCCGGGCACGGTGGCTCATGTCTGTAATCCCAGCACTTTGAAAGGCCGAGGTAGGCAGATCACTTGAGGTCAGGAGTTTGAGACCAGCCTGGCCAACATGGTGAAACTCTGTCTCTACTAAAAATACAAAAATTAGCGCAGCACGGTGGTACATGCCTGTATTGCCAGGTACTGGGGAGGCTGAGGCCCAAGTTGTTTGAACCCGGGAGGTGGAGGTTGCAGTGAGCCGAGACTGCACCACTGCGCTCCAGCCTGGGCAACAGGGCGAGACTATGTCTCAAAAAAAAAAAAAAATGGTAGTTGCTACAGGGGACATGTTGCTCACAATGATGAAAATAGTTACTATCTGGCCCTTTACAGAAAACTGTTTCCAACCCCAGCTTTAAAATTTGGAGTTACTCATAAAACCGCTGTGATCACACCTACCACTAAGCTTCTGATACCAAAGGATTTTGTCTTCTTGAAGTCAGCCTTCCTGTCCACAGATAGTTTTTGCACTTTAAAAAAAAAAAAAAAAAAAAAAAAAAAAAAAAAAAAAAAAAAAAAAAAGAGGTGAGATACTGTACTGGTTAAGAAGAGAGCATGTACTTGGGACAGATGACCCAGGTTTAATTCTGAGCTCTGTCCCTCACTACCCTGTCACCTTTGGAAAGTTAACTTTTAGAATTCTCAGTGTCTTTGTCTGTAAAATATTGTCCCTCATAAAATTGTTTGGAGGTGCCTCCCTCTTACAGTTGTTAGGAAGTTCAAGTAGGCCAGTGTTGCCAAGGAGTTCAGCAAAATACCTGCTGTTATTATTATCTAATATTGTGATTTTTTTAACAGGGTGATGACCAGTTAAATGTATTTGGAGAGGACACTATGGGAGGTGAGTTTTCCTTACTGATCAGATCAAAGTTGTCATTTTAGTAACTTTGACCATGCCTTTTTAATTAAACATCAACTTGAGAGAAAAAATATTAACAGCATCACTTTTTCCTTGGCCAGGGAGCATGATTAAGAGTAGAACTCTTTGGGTCTTTCCTGCCTCCATCCATGTAAAGAACCAAAGGGGTGCATTGCTAAGTGATGCATTTCTTAACTGCCCAGAGAACATGATTCCCGAGAGGCTCAGCGAAAAGAGGATGCTCTACTCAAATATCTTTGAAACATGCTTAACACCAACTCCCCACTGGAAGATCCAAGTATATAATAGCATCCAAAGCTCCCACAAGTCCTGCAGTAAAAAGAGTTGTTAAACTTTAATTCAA
Source organism: Homo sapiens (assembly GCF_000001405.40). Lineage (NCBI taxonomy): Eukaryota > Metazoa > Chordata > Mammalia > Primates > Hominidae > Homo > Homo sapiens. Next base: position 77,483,742 of record NC_000001.11, read on the forward strand.
CATTCATTAAACATAATTGAAACACAAAAATATTTTTCCTGCCTGGTAGTTACTATTCCACGTGTACCTTTGGAACTCAACCTACCCTACACCAGGATTATACTGCTTTGTAATTTTTGTCATATTAAAAGTTTTGCAAATGGCCAGGTGCAGTGGCTCACGCCTGTAATCCCAGCACTTTGGGAGGCCAAGGCGGCCGGATCACTTGAGGTCAGGAATTAAAGACCCTGGCCAATATGGTGAAACCCTGTCTCTACTAAAAATACAAAAAAATTTAGAAAGGCATGGTGGTGCACACCTGTAATCCCAGCTACTCAGGAGGCTGAGGCAGGAGAATTGCTTGAACCCAGGACGATGAGGTTTCAGTGAGCCAAGTTTGCGTCATTGCACTCTTGGCGACAGAGTGAGACTACGTCTCAAAAAAAAAAAAAAAAGTCTTGCAAAAAGTAAAAATTCCACCCATAACTAGCTATGCATGTAACTGAAAATAGATATGATTATGTGAATTTGGGACTATCCAAAAAAGAAAAGGTTCATAATTGTCCTAAGTAAAAATACCTTCTAACATATCTACCCTGTAATAAAAGTTATAATATAAGTCATGGAAATATGTTTATAGTATTGATTCTAAACACATATAAGTAAGTGATTTAGCTTTTTAAATAACCCCAGCTCTAATCCTGCACAGATCCATGAGCACAAGGTGGTGGGTAAAGTGTCATTTGATGATAATGGCAAGAGCAGTATGTGAAAATCACAGTCACCAAATGACATCTTGGTGATTCATGAGGAGAGGTACAAATATATGAGCCATAACTTAGCTGTCACTTAGCTAAGTGCAAATAATCAACTTGGTCTCAACTGGATAGGGGATGACTGATTGCCTAAGAAATTTTCTCTTTTATTCTAGTTATAAAATTAACACATACTATAGAAATTTTTTAACGTATAAAATAAGAGCCATTTAAAACCTTATGACATAAATTATCATGGTTAACATTTTGGTACATTTCATTCCAATGCATTGCCTATATATCTATTTTTACATAGTTGAGAATGCATGTGTATATATAAGTATCTCCAAATGTTTTGTATATATCACAACATAAACATGTTCCCATGTCATTAAAAACTATATACTTAATTTGTAATGACTACATTAGATGAATGTCATGTACCATCATTCATTTTAAAACAACTATTTTTTAAAACTGAAATAGGATACAATCATACCAAAAAAAATCACAATAATAACCAGGACCATTTTCCTAGATTGCAAATAGGCTCAGAGTTCCTCAGCTTCGTAAATGTAAACTCACAGGCTAGAGAACCTGAGATGACCATCTGGTTCCACATGTTAGGAACACCAGTGTATCTGCCTTTAATAGAAAACTCCAAACAATGTAAGGTGTTTCCTGTCACCATGGGTTATTCTGTAAAGAGACTGGATTTGATTTAAAAATTCTCTTTGTTTGTTTGTTTTTTGTTGTGGAAACCATATGGTTTCAACGATCCCAAACTTACTTCTATCCTCTGTTTCCAGCTCTTTCTCCTCTCTTTGTCCCCAACCCAATTCATCATGCCCCATGCTCTCTCTTTCTCTGGTAGAGTTGGGGCTTCACTCAGCTGATTGTGAATTCCTACAAAATGTGGTATCGTGCATATAAATGAACTACCCCAATTTCACTAAAAAATGTTTCCTGTCAGAATAATGATCTAACTTTCAAAAGTAGTTATCTACAGAAAATATGAACTGCTGTTACTCAGATACATTTATTTTAAAAGGAAATTTTATATCACTACCTTAAATGTAAAATAACATTATTTGCTCTAAGTGAAACTATTTTTTAAAATATTATTTCCCAGATACTCTACTTGTGTTTTAACCATCTGTATATAAAGGAAGCTTAGCAAATGTTTTAAATGTGAAATAACACCAAACTGAGATAGTTAGGATGATTTAAAAGTAATTTTTAAAAATAGCTTTCTTTGTGATTCATGCTATTAAATGACGTAAATTTTTGCCACCAAAAGTTGATCGTGCATGTTAAAATAAAAATACATTACCGGGGTGGGGGAATAAGACTGAAATAAGCAGGGCACGGTGGCTCACACCTGTAATCCCAGGACTTTGGGAGGCCAAGGCAGGTGGATCACTTGAGGCCAGGAGTTCAAGACCAGCCTGGCCAACATGGTGAAACCCCCTCTTTAATAAAAATACAAAAAGTAGCCAGGTGTGGTGGCATGCCTATAATCCCAGCTATCCAGGAGCCTGAGACAGGAGAATGGCTTGAACCTGAGAGGTGGAGGTTGCAGTGAGACAAGATCGAGCCACTGCACTCCAGCCTGAGCAACAGGGTGAGACCATCTCAAAAAACAAACAAACAAACAAAAACACTGAAATGGTCATTGGTGCCTACTAATTGTAGCCTATTCACACATTTATTCAACTTCAAGCTTTTTATCAAATAAAACTACAAGGTTTGGGTTTTTATATAATATGAGTAAAACCAGGGCTTCAGTACAGTTTTTCTTGCCAATAACTTAAGTTATTCTTATTTTAAAGGTTTCATGGAAGATTTGAGAAAGTGTAAAATTATTTTCATAATTGGTGAGTAACAGCCCTTGCATTTTCTAACAATACAATTGCTAATAATAAGAATTTGGTAGTGGGCCAGGTGCGGTGGCTTACACCTGTAATCCCAGCACTGTGGGAGGCCAAGGCGGGCAGATCACGAGGTCAGGAGATCGAGACCATCCTGGCTAACACAGTGAAACCCCATCTCTAGTAAAAATACAAAAAAAAATTAGCCGGGCATGGTGGCGGGCGCCTGTAGTCCCAGCTACTCGGGAGGCTGAGGCAGGAGAATGGTGTGAACCCGGGAGGCAGAGCTTGCAGTGAGCCGAGATCGCGCCACTGCACTCCACCTGGGTGACAGAGCAAGACTCTGTCAAAAAAAAAAAAAAAGGAATTTGGTAGTGAAAGAGACTATTTATTTCTCATCCTGTTTTGAAGTCTTTTTGGTCAAAATAGTACCCCAAGTTTTCCGGTTATTTCTTTCACGTATGCAGTTGTATATTGCTTTGGGATTTGTATCTTTTCAGCATGGAAAAAGTAGGGCTTGAAAGAATGTCAAACTTCTGAGTTTAGCTCTACAATAACAAAGTGCATTAAAAAGGTAAGAGGTTGTCATGTATTAAAATCTAACACACATCTTTTCAGTTTAAACACTGACCCCCTCCTTCCTAAACTGAATGCATCAATTGCCTCATGTTCAAATATAGCTCAATAGCCAGATCCTGATTCTATACAGCAAACAGTAAAAACTATCTAATTTGCTCTTTGCTCTAGTACAGTGAAACTTATTGATGGATTAATTGTGGGAGAAAATGTGTTTGAGGTTTACCAACATTTTCTGAGCACCCACTATGCTCCAGGTTATCTCAATTAATCCTTATACAATCCCATTACCTAGTCTATTCCTATTACATATCTATTACATAGACAAGAAAAATGAGACTCACAAAGGTTAAGGAATTTGTCCAAGATTATGAAGCTAATGAGTGTGTGAGGGCCAGATTTCCAGTTTTCCTCATGGAAATAAAGGGAACTAGTTGTGCAGTAGTTAAAAATGCATAAAAAAAGGACAAATATTATCCTTTCAAAACTTAGTACTTTTTCCTCTAATCATTCAAGTGCCTCAAAAAATTAGTACACCTACCTGTACATTTTCCAGAAAATGTCTATTTATATTCAGAAATAATGAAAAGGTCCACACCTCCTCAATGAGTGGGAAAAGAATGGTTGTCAACACTACAGAAATATAATCAGATAAACTTAAGACTCTTGCAAGTTAAGATCAGAGTGCCTCCTTGGAAATCTCTGGGTAAAGTTCTCTCATTGTTAGATGAGGAAACTGAGGCCCAGAGAAGTTAAGGGGTCTGATCACAGTCATTCAATTAACTGGTATCAGGGAGAGGACCAGGGTCTCTGACTGTAGTTCCTCACTCCAGGCTTCTCCCTCCTCTGCCACTCAGTTGTGTTGGTTGTTAACCTGAACGCAAGCTGTCTCACACATTCAGCCATCTGACACATGCTTATTGACTGTTGGACCCCTGCTGGGCAGTGAGGAGTCACAGAGCTGCCATCTTAGATGAAGAGAATAATGGATATATCATTAACCTTGAAAAGTATTAGGAAGGAACCAAAGAGCTGAAATAGGGAACAACCTGGGTCAAGTGTTTGGAGTAAAATTAGGTGATTACTTTAGAGAGGGTGACCAGGGAAGGCTTCCCTAAGAATGTAACATTTAAGCAGAGAGATAAAAGGAGAGATGGGCCCAGTGAAGGGATGAATGGGAGGTGAGAGGAGGCAAAGAGAACAGTATGTGTCAAGCAGTGGGAATTCTTGAGACCTACCTTAGTTCCAGTTGTCATCTGCTTACCTCTAGCTGACCTTAACTGTGGAAACTGGATGGACTCTTCCCACACTTATTTTACGTTTTTTTCAGAAAGTAAAACTATATATTGCTTATATCTCTTATTGAAGAGTAACCCAATGTCATAATTGCAAAGGAAAATTAGTTGTGCTATAGATTACTAAAATTCCCTTTTCCACATAAGTTTTAATAATCAATTTTCCTGGCATCCAGACCATACAGAGTCTTATATTTTCTATTCAATCTTTATATTAGGAGCCAAGTTAGGAAAAGGGGAGACCCTTTAAACTTGACAGCTAGGAATTCACAGTAGGAGCCTGTATTAGTCAGCGTTCTCTAGAGGGACAGAACTAATAGAATACATATATACATATAGGAATTTATTAAGTATTAACTTACGTGATCACAAGGTCCCACAACAGGCTGTCTGCAAGCTCAGGAGCAAGGAGAGCCAGTCCGAGTCGCAAAACTGAAGAACTTGGAGTTTGAGGGTAGGAAGCATCCAGCATGGGGGAAACATGCAGGCTGAGAGGGTAGGCCAGTCTCTCCTTTTCACATGTTTCTGCCTGCTTTATATTTGCTGGCAGCTGATTAGATTGTGCCCACCAGATTAAGAGTGGATCTGCCTTCCTCAGACCACTGACTCAAATGTTAATCCCTTTTGGCAACAGCCTCACAGACACACCCAGGATCAATACTTTGTATCCTTCAATCCAATCAAGTCCACTCAGTATTAACCATCACAGAGCCCTTTATTATCACATAGAAATCTGTGTTTTTAATAATGTGGTCCAAAGAAGCTTCCAAAAATAATACAGTATGTTTTGTGGTGGTTGTTACTGTCTTGGCAGTAATATTACTTCAGATTTATCCATTGTTTAACACTCACAGTTGAACTGTGAAATGCGTTGTCAAATGCCACTTCCTTCTCTCTAGGCATAACTAAAGACCTCACCTGTTACTAAGTCCTGTGCCCTTCAAAAGGTCAAACAGCACAGTAGAAGATCTTTGGAATTAGACAAAGCTCGAAACCTCCAAGGGTCCACAGACCACCCTCTAAGAATTGCTGCACTGAGCAAAAGATTTTTCTTCTATCTAACAAAACTCTCCTGTATTTCAATTTACTGATCAGTCACTCTTCTAGTAAAAGAGATTTCAGCTTGCTGTTTGGGCCATAGAAGGTACAAAGCCACTGTGATACAAGGGAAAACGACTGCTCTTCTTCTACTGTACATACTGAACTCTGAGAATTAAGGCCTTAGTTCTAAATATGTCCTTGACAGGTGGCAGAATGGTATTTTGGGACTGCTTTATTGTAAGTCAATTTAACCTTATGAAAATATTCCAGATGTCATAGACACACCCATAGCTGTTTTGATGAGTTCACTTTCAGTGAAACAGAGTGGTTTTGTCTATTTGAGAAGATGACTGGATTGTCACTTTTCAAATTATTGTCTTGGCATATACCCGAAAAACATTGGGGCTGCAGTATTAGCCAGAGTCTAGGTTGACATCCTCACTATTCGCCTTAAGACAAAATTAATATGCCTAAAGCATTCTTCCCCTGTTTTAACATATCCATTAGATCCTTTTTGTCCACAGAAAGGTCCAGACTTCTTAGACTGGCCTTCTGGTCTTTCCCATTTCCCGCCACACTCCCATGTCAATCTTTGGCTCCAGCCACACCTGCATCCTTATTATCGCTTGAGCTTGTCGCACTTTGCCAGCCCTTTCACTTGAAATGTCTTCTCCCCTATTAATCATGCCCCAAGGTCAGGGTTAAGTTCTAGCTCCCTGAGAACTCCGCTGTAATCACCATCCTTCCTCCTCTGCGCTCCTCCTCCCTTGTGTCTACATCATTCATTTGGGTACTACTTAATGACTAGAACAACAAATATTTGTTGGAATAATGAATTCTTTAAGAAGCAGTGTGGTCTGTTTCCATAACAACCAAAATTGCAATTGGAATTCCTGGCCTAGAACTGACAAGCAGCTTGTTGCTGCTGTGGCTGTTTCTTGCAGGATGGTTTTCATGTTAATTAGGAGCCTAATCAGATGCTCCTTTCTCCATGAAGCTGCTACCCTCTCACTGAGAGCAAGCAAAAGCAACTTTTCCCCTGAGCTGGTGCTGTTTCTTGCTCATTTGCAGGGCAGTAGTCACAGGTGGGAGCAGGTGATAGCCCTGATGGTCATCTGAGTGGAAAAAATGTTCAGGGCAAGTGTACCATCTGCACCAAAGGGGAAGGTGGCAAGGACGGACCCAGTCCACCCTTTGAATAATGTGTGACTATATATTCTTGTTCCCGAAGAAAGCAGCTCAGTAGCTGTTTATAAAGAAATACTTTTCAAAAAACAAAGAAGGGATTCCCACAGGGTAGGACCAGATGATCCAAAGGATTGAAAAAGATTCTATGGACTTCAGTTGTTCACATACAAGATATAAGAACCTGCACTGATATACAAGACAGGAGCTCAATCACTTCTGAAAACTGAAAATTATTTGGAAAATGTAAAAATAGCCTTTAAAGGGCCTCATTATGTCCCACTAACAGGTTCCTACAGTTTTTCACAACCTTTTCTGGTACATTTCTTTCCTTTTTTCTTTTTTTTTTTTTTTAAATCTCTTGATCATTATTTTGCTATGAGCCCATTTATTCTGGCGTCTTTTTCCCTTCTCCATTTTTCATTGCCTGCCTATGCCCAAAATGTGACATAATCTAAATTCCTACTAATTTATATCCAAAGCTTGGGTAGAAGTGCTCCAATTTGGGAAACACATCTGACTTTTCAGGTGAGGTATGGTATTAACAACATAATGATCAAGACATCATTCAAAGGCCATAGCTTTCAATGTGTCTGGGACACACGTGGCCTGGTGTACATTGGCATTGATGCTGTGATAAACTGTTTTTAAGTAGTGAACTTTGGGAGGTATTTTGGCAATATTTTATGTTAATTTGTGCATTTTTAACCACTACAAAAATAGTCCTATCTATTTTCCTAAGGAAAACTGGAGTAATAAGAATTTTTGCTTAAAACTCAATATTGCAATGCCTGGCACTATTTCATTATAGCCATGTTGCCATTTCATTATTGCCTTATTATTAAAAAAACATGAATTGAATTTTTTTTTTTTTTTTTTTTGAGATGGAGTTTTGCTCTTTCTCCCAGGCTGGAGTGCAGTGGTGCTATCTCGGCTCACTGCAACCTCCGCCTTCTGTTTTCAAGTGATTCTCCTGCCTCAGCCTCCCGAGTAGCTGGGATTACAGGCGCCTGCCATGGCGCCCGGCTAATTTTTGTGTTTTTCGTAGAGACGGGGTTTCACCATGTTGGCCAGGCTGGTCTCGAACTCCTGACCTCGTGATCCACCGGCCTTGGCCTCCCAAAGTGCTGGGATTACAGGCATGAGTCACCGTGCTCAGCCATGAATTGATTATTTAAAGTATCTACCTGCTGCTTAACATGAGCACTTTTGATGGAATTGACCCACGTATTTGGTTAAATTAAATATGAAAGAACTCGGATTATTTTAACTCAGTGTAGCTGTAATAGCAGTCAACATTTATTGAGCAGTTAACACGTACCAGACACTACATAAAGCACTTTATAATGTTATCTTATTGAATGCTCCTATCCATCTTCTGGAGTAAGCACTATTACTCTCCTGATTTTTCAAGTAAGACATTAGGGAGTTCAGTTATTAGATACTAAGTGGTGGATCTGGAGGTTGAAAGCATGGATTTTTGCAAAAATCACTGCCTGTTGTTTTTGTTTTTTCTTGAAGTGACAGGCTTTATTTATTTTCAAGAAAATTTCTGCCAGATTCTCAAGTCTGAAAAAAACCACAGTTCGTTTGTTAGATGCTCTTTCAGAAAGTAGATACAGTGTTCACTTTTAAAAGCAACTGATTCAGCTACTTAAATAATCACACAAGTGCTTTTCCCAAAACAAAAGCAAAAACCATAGGTGTGCTAAAGGGCCTTATGCGTATTTCCCATTTTGTCACACAAAATATTAAAATGATGTGTGCTTAAGGGTAAAAATTAAATAAAATGTGTCTTTTTTACTGCTTCATCAAGGGCATTCTTATGTAACATTGGCATTTTCTTTCTTTTCTCTGTTTTTTACTGTGAGTACATGGTAATGAAGCACACAACTAGTACAGCAGGACTAATAACACTGCTGCCGTGCACCACAGGTTTACAACCATTGCTTCTGCACCACCTCCGAAATGCTAATAACCTCTTAGTGTTATAATGAATATAGGGGACCTCTAATGTCTGTGGACCACACTTTGAGAACCACCACCATGGGGTTACTTGGGGGTTGGGGTGGGTGTGTTGAGCACATACATAGGACAGAGAGAAACCCCAGATTTAGCACTTAGGGATCTCAAAGGGAAAAAGTTCCTTGTGCCTTTCCAAGCAAATAACCTCAAAAATGTGAGGAAGATGTCAGGGGGAAAATAGCGCATCTGCTGAAAGCCCTGTTTCTCTGGGCTCCTGTAGGCCTGGAAAAAGTTCTGAGTGTTTCTCTGTGCCCAGTAGTGCAAGGGATAACTAAAAGGAAAGTCTGTGCACTTGTCAGAAGAAGACAAAGAGGACTGTAGCAGGAGGTCCCAAAGCAGGGGGCTGGATGGAAGGTGGAGGGGGTACAGCCTAGGGGAGCAACAGCACCAGGAAGAACGAGAACTGAAGGGAGGGCAAAGAAAACCTGCAAGGTGGGAGAATGGCCCTGACATGGAGACTGAACTTTGAACTGGACTATCAAGGTTATCAGAAATCACTGGATTGGACTAAGAAAACCCAGACTGGATTTGATTGTGTTTCCACTCTGAAGTGAAATCGGGCAGCTCATGAGCTAGGGGCAGGTGTGATGGTTAATTTTAGGTGTCAACTTGACTGGGTTAAGGGATACACAGCTAGCTGGTAGAGCATTATTTCTGGCTGTGTCTGTGAAAGTATTTCCAGAAGAGATTGGCATTTGAATCAGTGGACTGAGTAAGGAAGATCCACCCTCACCAGTGTGGGTGGGCACCATCCAATCTGTTCTGGCTCAGCTAGAACAAAAAGGCCGAGGAAAGATGAATTTGCTCTCTCTCTTCTGGAGCTGGGTCATCCATTTTCTCCTGCCCTTGGACACCAGCAGCCCCCCCCAGGTTCTCAGGCCTTTGGACTCAGACTGAACTATACTCCCCCACCTTCCCTGTTCCTCTGCTTATAGAAGGCCTATTATGGAACTCCTTGGCCTCTATAATGGAGTGAACCAATTCTCATAATGAGCCCATATGTATATATGGGCTTATAATGGGAATAATAAGCAACAGGATATATACGTCCAGTCGCTTCTGTTTCTCTGGAGAACCCTGACACATACAGCTGGGATCACCTACAAAATAAGTTGCCATCTGACTCTCCAGCCTTTGGCCTGGCCCAACTGGAGCACTGTTCCAGCTCCAAACACAGACACCAGATCTCCACAGTTCTTTCTCTCCTGAAGGGATGCAGACACAAGGGCCTCTTTCACACTCTTCCAGGCCCGACACCTGTATTTTCAAAGTCCAGGCCATTCAGGATGGTAGAGTAAAGAAAAAGAGACATTGGACTACTTTCCAAGAGACCCTCAAATGCATTTACCAACTAATGAGATATCTTTCTAATGTTGGAGAAATGTGGGCATTTTGTGGTGACAATGAACCTACTTAATGATACAAACCTTTTCACTGCAAAAGGGTTCCAAGTAATGTTGAACTAGAATGCAATGCATTCTTCATTTAATCAAAGCAAATTAATAAGCCTTTATCAAGGGCTTATTATGGTCAAAGAACCGTGAAATTCAAAAAGACATAAAACAGTCCTTGCAACACTGCATGACATGGCAGGAATTTAGGACTCATCTAGAAGGGCAAATTACTGCTAAACAGAAAAGAGCCCAAGTACATGAGGTTACCAGTAAAGGGAATGGAGGCCTCATACTCATTGTGTCCCTACCCATTGGTTGAAATCTTTGGAAGCACTATTAATTCACCAGCTGAGTCACCTGATGAAGTTTTAGGTATTTGGCCTGTTCACTAAAGGCTAAGTGTATTCAAGGAAATGGCCAATGTTCCTTGTCTGTGTTATCCTGGTTATTGATTAGCAATTGAGTTAAGGGACATCTCCAGGCTGACTCACTGAGAGCCTCTTTTGCTTGTTTAGAGAGCCACTCTGAATGATCAGGGGGCAGTAGCAGATGCTGCAGGATCTAGCAGGCCCCAGCACTGGAGAGGAGAGAATACCCAAAGTCTTGTGTTTGTATCCAAGTTCTGTGTACCCTTGGGCCAACCCCTTATCTCCTCTGGATTTCTTTTAAAATAACAAAATCTCTGTCAACTCCAAATTTGAGCGACTAACAAGTTAACACATTGTTAACTGTTCTCTTAATTGGAAACTTGTACAACAGAGACATAGCCCAAGGAAGTGAAGCATGAAGGCAATTAAATAAGTCAAAAACCCCATCCTCTAGCCTAAAATATTCATTTTTATTACCTAATAGCAAGATTAAAACTAACATATACTGGTGACTTACTGTGTTCCAGATACTGTGCTGTCTTCATATGCAGTATCTTTTTTTTTTTTTTGAGACGGAGTCTTGCTCTGTTGCCCAGGCTGGAGTGCAGTGGCTCTATCTGAACTCACTACAAGCTCCGCCTCCCAGGTTCACGCCATTCTCCTGCCTCAGCCTCCCGGGTAGCTGGGACTACAGGTGCCCGTCACCACGCTCGGCTAATTTTTTTGTATTTTTAATAGAGACGGGGTTTCACCATGTTAGCCAGGATGGTCTCAATATCCTGACCTCGTGATCTGCCTGCCTCGGCCTCCTGAAATGCTGGGATTACAGGTGTGAGCCACCGCACCCGGCCCCCATATGCAGTATCTTATTTAATCCTCACACCAGTCATCAGCACTCATATTCTTCCCCATTTTACAGGGAAGAAATGGAAGAAATCAAGGCTCAAAAAGGTTAAATAACTTTCCCAAGGTTACACAGTTAATAAGTGACAGAATTGAGACTCAGACCCAAGTTTCTCAGACATCAAAGCCCATGCTCTAGAAGTTTCTGTAAAAGCAAGGAAACCAAAATGTAGGTGAAGTTGTGGGAATATAGTGGGTGAGAGACGTTTGCCATAATTATTTGAATAAGTACTGCAATTTTCTGTTTTACTTTGCGCCTATGTATCTAGCCATTGGTGTCTGAAAACAAAGGTCAAATACGATAGCAAGTGAATATTAATGACAAAGACCTCTGTCTACCCCAGCCATGTTTCTCTCAAGTATGTAAAATTCCATTTTAACTTCAAAACAGGAAACAATTTGAACCCATAAAAGTACCCTAAACCATCACTGAAAGTACAGTGATTTTAGAATTTATGCTATGTCTTTTACCGTAAAGAAATAGCATAGGCACTTGTTTTGTGAGCACTGCCAAAACTACTTCTGAGGGCCATTGGCAGCAATCAGCAAGTGTTTGAGCGTGTGATGCTGAGTGGGTCTGAGGGAACCTGGTCATGCTGAGATTTTCTCTGTGGGTGGGATGGAGAAGCTCCCCTGTATACTGATCTCAAACAGTGGCCTAGTATGGAGGTGGAGGGGGAAAATCCTACACAAGCAGATATATAGACTTAAAGGGGGGTGCTTAAACTCCCCACATGATAAAGATATTCTCTCTCTGCTATAGTACATTCATCTGTTAGGTATATATGGCTTTGGGTGAATTTTGTTAGTTCATTTGACACATTTATTGAGTTTCTACTATATATCAGCAAAATGGCAGCCTAAGGATACAAAGATGAAAGGCAAGTCTTCCCAGTCTAAAGGAGCTCATGTTGTAGGGAGGAAGCCAACAAATAGCACAGCTTGGCACACGCAATGGCAGAGGCACAGGCAATGGGGAGCAAGACTGAAGTAGGGATCAGAGTTGAGAGAGGAAGTCAGAGCTGAGTCCAAAAGAAGAAAAGGAATTGGCCAAGTGCTAACTGGGAAGAAAGTGGGGGTGAGCCTAAGGCAAGGACTGAGGGAATGGTGTGTGCAGGAGGCAGCCTCAGAGATGAGATGGATGGGAAGTGGTAAGAGCAGAGCTGAAGACAAGGCAAAATCTGGGTCATGAGAGACTGTGATCCCAGGAGAGATAGTATGAACTTCATCCTGTGGCAGTGAGGTGCCATGAAGGCTTTTACTCAGTGACACATCATCAGCTTCCAACTTCAGATGGAGCACTCTGCCAACCAGGACAGGAAGCCTAGGCTTCAGCAGGAGGTCAGCCAAGGTCATCAGAATGGTCATTCAGGTAAGGAAAAAGGAGACAGTTGAGGTGAAAAAAGAAAAGCAGATCCAAGAGATTTAGGAGGCAGAATCAATGGACCATAAAGATCCATTATGGGAACAGGTGAATGAAAGGACCTGAGCATGTCTCAGAAGCAGCTGGTTTAGACAGCCACATGGATGGAAGTGAGAGGTGAAGCCAGCTGGGCTTCTGGGTTGGGTGGGGACTTGGAGAACTTTTGTGTCTAGCTAAAGGATTGTAAATGCACCAATCAGCACTCTGTGTCTAGCTAAAGGATTGTAAACGCACCAATCAGCACTCTGTAAAAATGCACCAATCGGCATTCTGTAAAATGGACCAATCAGCACTCTGTAAAATGGACCAATCAGCACTCTGTAAAATGGACTAATTGGCACGCTGTAAAATGGACCAATCGGCACTCTGTAAAATGGACCAATCAGCAGGATGTGGGCAGGGACAAATAAGGGAATAAAAGCTGGCCACCCCAGCCAGCAGCAGCAACCCACTGGGGTCCCCTTCCATGCTGTGGAAGCTTTGTTCTTTCGCTTTTCACAATAAATCTTGCTGCTGCTGATCACTTTTTGGGTCTGCACTGCCTTTATGAGCTGTAACACTCACTGGTGGCTTCACTCCTGAAGGCAGCAAGACCACGAACCCACTGGGAGGAACAAACAACTCCGGACGTGCCACCCTTAAGAGCTGTAACGCTCACTGCGAAGGTCTGCGGCTTCACTCCTGAAGTCCCCGAGACCATGAACCCACCGGGAGGAACAAACAACTCTGGATGTGCCACCTTTAAGAGCTGTAACACTCACTGCAAAGGTCTGCGTCTTCACTCCTGAAGTCAAGCAAGACCACAAACCCACCGGAAGGAAGAAACTCCGGACACATCCGAACATGTGAAGGAACAAACTCCGGACACACCATCTTCATGAACTGTAACAGTCACCACGAGGGTCCGTGGCTTCATTCTTGAAGTCAGTGAGACCAAGAACCCACTGGAAGGAACCAATTCCAGAGACAGAAGTGCCATGCAAAGAGAAGGAATTTGCAGAAGAAATAGAGTTTGAGAGACAGATGAGTTTAGTTTTAAACTTTTTTGTTTGTTGTTGTCAGCCTTTCTCACCCAGGCTGAAGTGCAGTGGTGCAATCATGGCTCACTGCAACCCCGACTTCCCAAGTTCAGGTGATCCTCCCACCTCGGCCCCCGGAGTAGCTGAGACTACAGGCACGCACCACCACGCCCGGCTTATTTGGTAGAGTATTTTGTATTTTCACCATGTTGCCCAGGCTGGTTTTGAACTCTTGGGCTCAAGCCATCCACCTGCCTTGGCCTCCCAAAGCACTGGGATTACAGGCATGAGCCACTGCACCTGGCCAGTTTTAAACATCTTAAGATTGAGATGCTTATGAGATATCCAAGCAGTGATGTACATTAAACAAGAGATTTTTCACAGCTGACACCAAAAATACAAGTTCTGGCTATAGACACAGATGTGAAGCCATGTGTGTGCAAGAAGTCACCCAGTGAACTTAGGGAGGGTGAGGCTGGAAGAGAGCTAAGACCTGAAACCTTCCCAAGAGCCCTGCCAGAGCCAGAGGAGAAGAGCACAGGGAGGAAAGGGGGATATCTAGAGCAAATGGCATCACAGCAGGCAAGGGAGGAAAATTTTCTTCTGGGAAAGGTTCACTAAAGTATAATGAAAATTGTCTGTGGGGTTTGGCAACAGGTGAGTTATTGGTGACTGGTGACAGCAGTTCCAGAGGAATGGGAAGGGGTAAAGCCAGACGGTTACGGGTGACTAGGAAGTAAGTAAATGGGGATCTGTACAGACAACACTTTCAAGAAAGTTGACTCTGAAAGAGTCTGAAAGAGACTGTTTAAAGCAAAGTGAATATTCAGGGTGGAATATTTTTAAAACGAGAGACTCAAGGTCATTTTTATAAAGAGGGAGGCATTACAGGCTCTAGTCAAAAGCAACACTACATGAGTTCGAATGTCGGCTCCTACATGTACAGCTGTGTGACCTTGGGCATCATCCTTCCACTCACTGTTCCTCAGTTTCTTCACCTGTCATGTGGAAGTATTGATTGTGTCTAGGTCATGGGGTTGATGGGAGAGTGAAATGAGTTAGCACATGCAGCAGGGCTCCTAGTGAATACAAACATTACCTGTCACTGTAGGTACTCTATGCAGAGTGAAGGGAGACATCCAATGAGAGGGAGAGAGTCTTGAGAAAAGGAGGATGAGGATGGGTTCAGAAGTGAATTGGAACAAGGAAAGGAACAAGATGAGGAAACCATAACAGAAGTTTAGAGGTTAAATTCCTGTTTGTTTCCTCAATGTTTCTTCCTCAACATTTCTTGTTAAAATTAAACACTCCCTAAGGGACTGAGCTGTTAAGTGGTGTTTCACCTACAACCAGCTGTAGTTGGCTGAGATCAATCAGTTGAAATGAGAATGTGTCTCTGAAGCCCTGGGCTTAAACTTGCCTATATGCTGCCATTTCCTCTAGCTGACACATTCTTGCAGTTGTCAACAACCCAGCCCTGTAGGAGACCATTTTACCATAGGAGATCATTTTTTGCCTTGAAGAATGAAGCAGAGTAACAAGCCAGTGATTAAGGAGTCAGTGACTATTTTGGCCCTCCAAATGTAACACTCACAAAGTATTTCCTTTCCAACTTGCTCCAGGCTCCTCTGAACCAGGAGTCTGAGTGTTTTCTTAGCTGCAAATGAAAACATATTTAAACCAACCTTCAGGTGGTTAAGGCAAAAAAGGACTCTTTCCTCTTGTAACAGAGTGTAGCTGTTTTGCTTTACTGTGACATGTTACTGCGACTCAGGTGATATTTTTTCTCATATTTGTCTGGGGCACTGACTCTGAAGATGTTCCTCCTGGTTCTGCCAGGCTGCAGGGAATCCCTTCAACTAGGAAGTGGATCACGCGTTACTGCCACGCATCCACCCATCACCACCGGCCCAGCGACCTTGGTGTAAAGTGCATTGAACCTATTTGGGCCAGTTGCGTATGACCCTGTTTGGACTATTGTAGTCAATGCAGGGAAAGCTGGTGGGGAAGAGCCACAAGCAGAACACCCTGGTTTTTTTGGAAGTCCTCAGCATGGTCTGGGTGGAGCTGTTGAGGCAAGCACTGAGACTGCCTCTCATTCCAACATCTGCTGTTGAGAAAGGAAGAGAATGTTCAGCAGTGAGAAACCTGGCCGAGGCCAGCCATCAGACTCCTAGAGAGACCCCTTGGGAACCTCTTCAGAGGACGATTTGCTAGAAGGCCAGTGATAGCCAGTTGATTGGAAGGTGACCTTTACTAAATCTCCTAGATGACAGAGACCATGCCCTTTTTCCATTTTTTTTTTTTTTTTTTTTTTTTTTTTTTTGGTTTGCTTCTGCAGCACCTATCAGGATGCCTGGCATTTAGTAGGCATTCAGTATATGTCTTTAGAATGAATGAATGGAAAATGATGAAAGCTCAGATTAAGTTACTTCCCCCCAAGTTCCTCAAACTCAGGTGTGACTAATACAGACCCATTATCAGAAGCAAATGTACTAATCTGTCTTCCAGTAATAACCATCTCAGAGCCATAATGATAAGAGCAGAGGCTTGAGGTAAAACAATGAGGCATGGCTATTTTTAAGAACTAACCATAACTAAGAAACTCTTCCTCTGGTCCTGAAGGATCAATGCGGAGTCTTTATAAAGTCTTTATGGCCCCTTCCCACAAAATAAATAAAACCAAAAAAAGAGATACAGCTTTTGGTAAATTTGGCTTAGTAAAGTAGCACACGGTTTCCGTATTAGACTCAGGTTTTAGTCCACCATTAGGTAGCTGGCACCATGAGGAAGCAAAGTCAAAATACAAAACAGATAACAGTTATATTGATGATACAGGTCCCAAATGTCACCATCCTTCAAAGAATGGAGTGTGTACTGGAGTTGATGTGTTGATAAAGTGTCCATTAAAGACAAAAGAAGGCAAGGCACGGTGGCTCACTCCTGTAATCCCAGCACTTTAGGAGGCCGAGGCAGGCAGATCACCTGAGGTCAGGAGTTCGAGATCAGCCTGAGTGAGCAACATGGTGAAACCCCGTCTCTACTAAAAATATTAAAAAATTAGCCAGGTGTGGTGGGTGCCTATAATCCCAGCTACTCGGGAGGCTGAGGCAGGAGAAACTCTTGAACCTAGGAGGCAGAGGTTGCAGTGAGCCGAGATTGCACCACTGCACTCCAGCCTGGGCAACAGAGCGAGACTCCATCTCACAAACAACAACAACAGCAACAAAAAAACAAGCAAAGGCTGAATTATCCATCGTTGTGATAAGTACAGTGAAGTTCGTTTTTTGTTTTGTTTTGTTTTTTTTTATGTTCCTACCCATCCCAGAACCTATAATCTGTTCAGTGAAGCCAGAATTCATGCTTATGAAAACTTCAGAGCCCATACAGCGCAGTGTAGAATTAACTGAAAAAGAACCATTCGGTGAAGGTTACCAGGGGTAAGAGGACAAAGAAACCACAATGGTTGGAGTCTCTTCCTAGAAAAGCTGAGAATCGAGGGGAGTCTCAAAGAATGGATGGGATTCCCTAAGTTTGAGAGAGGGCTGAGGAGAGAGGGATTGCAAGCAGGGAGATTCCAAGTTAGGAGCAAATCACAGCAGTAGGGCTATGCCCCTCGTAGCCCAGGAACGGGAAGGAGATGGGCCAAACCTTGAAAGGCCTAGATGCATGAATGTGATGTTGACTGAAGACCAGTCCAGAGCTGGTGAGCAGGGCAGGCAAGGAAACACCAGGAGGACAACTGCCCTCCACGAATTCTCCCATATACAGTCATGCATCACTTAACAACAGGGGTGCATTCTGAGGAATGCCTCATCAGGCAATTTCCTTGTTATGAGAGCATCCTAGTGTGTACTCACACAAACCTAGACAGTGTAGCCTACTATGCGCCTAGGCTACATGGTATAGCCTATTGCTCCCAGGCTGCAAACCCATACAGCATGTTACCATAACAAATAGTATAAATACATAATAACACCACGGTAAGTATTTGTGTATTTCAGCATAGAAAAGACACAGTAAAAATACAGTGTATTATAATATCATGGGACCATCCTTTATGCAGTTCATCATTGAGCGAAATGTTGTTATGCAGCCCTTCTCCTTTTACTTTTTTCTTTTAATACTGTCCATGAATGTAAGGGTGGAAGGATGCAAATATAGAAAAAGGTTTACATTTAAAGTAGGGCTCAGGTCAAACAAAATTAGAGCCCTTGTCTTCTAGTCTTCTCCAAAGAAGAAAGAATCCTGAACTAAAATATCAGCCCCAGCACTGCACAACATCACTAGATAGTGTAAAATCAGAGACTGTGCCTATTTCACTCACTCCTGTTTGGCAGGAGGAGCACAGAGCTCAAAGAGAGGTTAGTCTAGCTTAATTCCCTAATCAAGTCAAGAAGTGAGTCTTGAACATCACTGACAGATAACTATCTAGTCTTGACTTCAGTATTTTGAGTGTCAGGATATTCACTATCCTATTAATAATAGATGACTAATAACAATTGCCCCACTTGGAACTTTGAATCAGTTAGGATTTTGTTTGGCTGAAAGTTTTTAAAAAAATAACTGAAGTTAAACAAGGTAGAAATTTATTTTATGTAAATTTTAGGTACAAGCAGTCATAGCAGTGGTATGACATGCTATGGCCTCAGAGACTCAGGTTCCCTATATTTTTCTGCTCCTTTGAGTGGCTTCTCCAGAGTTATCTCATGTCCCAAATGGTTGCTGAAGCTCCAGCCCTTATGTCCTAAGCCCATTAAAAAGGAAAGAGGAAATGGGGCAGAAGAACTTGCTTCTTCCCTTTAAGGACCTGCCTGGAAGTTGCATTCACCAGTTCCACTAACATCTCATTGGTCAGGAGGACACTTTCACCTGCAAGGGAGGCTAATAAATGTAGTCCGTATTTCAGAGAGCCTTGTGCCCACAATAAAAATCATGAGGTTTAATTTTTTACAAAGAAGGAGAAAGTAGATAACATGTTTCTATGACAGAGTCTAATGTAGGCCTCCTCCTGGAAAATCCAGGAAAAGTGGATTTGGCTTTTAAAAAAAAAGTTTTGATTTTTAATCTTCCCTGGTAGGACCATGCTCACCAAAACAATAGGAAGAAGATGCTCATCTGTGGAGTGGCTGTTACCAACTATGTCCATGGCAGCAGCAGAGTTTAGCTGCACCTCCCAGAGGCCTACAGTTTACTCTCAAAGTGAGAACATAGCAAGTAGGCAGAAGCTGCACCCCTGCTTTTGAAGTCCTTCTTTTGGAGCTGCCCAACAATCCCTCTTGGACTACTCACCAAAGCCCCAGGAATGCCACCCCCTCTCACACCCTGCTGTGGTATAGGTGAACTCAGGTGGCACTGTCCTAGCCTTGAGCCCTAGTAGAAGACGCTGGCTGCATCCACTTGGTCTCCCCAGCAGAGGAGATGGTGTGTTTCTATTGGGCATCTGTTGTCCATAGGAAAGTCTTCCTAAGACTGCGTCAAAACCTGCTCTGTCAGAAATTCCAATATTTAGGCATTTCTGTCTGGTGTCCTAGGCTCTATATCTAGTACATAATTAAAATCACCTATCAGGTTTTTCACCAAAGATAAAAATTGCTGAGAGTTAACATTGTAACATGTAATTAAGACTACTAAAAACCATCAGTTTCACATGCCAGGCCTGTGAGGAAGTGAAATGTGCTTTTAGTAAAAGATTATAAGAAGATACGGGAATGTACATTTTTGCCTAGTTTAGAGGGCTAAAGGATTGTTTTAAATTAGATATGATAAACCTAAATGTTTGAGCAAGTTTTGGAAGGTTTGTGAAAAATTAATTGTAAAAGAGATTCTGTGTATGAACATATTGGCTAAATTTAAAGGGGTATTATTCAGTTTTTTCCATGCTTTTGGAATAAAGCACAACATGGTTTTCTTAGAGCATGGATCTGCTCTTTAACAAGAATTTGTAAAGGGTTATAAAAGGTTTATGAGAAGCTCACCTTATGGTTAAACTGATTAAGACTGGATAGATTTGTCTATAAGGTTTTATTAAAAATTGGGGTGGAGGCCGGGCACAGTGGCTCAAACCTATAATCCCAGCACTTTGGGAGGCCGAGGCAGACGGATCACCTGAGGTCAGGAGTTCGAGACCAGCCTAGCCAACATGGTGAAACCCTGTCTCTACTAAATATACCAAAAAAATGAGCCAGGTGTGGTGGCGGGCGCCTGCAATCCCAGCTACTCAGAAGGCTGAGGCAGGAGAATTGCTTGAACCCAGGAGGTGGAGGTTGCAGTGAGCCGAGATTGTGCCACTGTACTCCAGCCTGGGTGACAAGAGACTGTCTCAAAAAAAAAAGAAAAAAAAATGGGGTTGAAAAAAATTTTTCACTGTTTAGTCTAGTCCTGCCATACAGAGAAAATTAGCTTTCTCTCCACCCTGCCGATTCAAATATTTGAAGACATATACACTTTTCTTGTGATTTATGTCTTCATCCAATTAAAAACATGCAGCTTTTTCTGTTGTAAATTGCAGGTTCCTCAAGAGCAGAGTGCTATCTTCTTGTCTCTGTGTCCCCAGTCCTTACACTGCCTAGCGCATGTGGATTCCTCACATTTTCTTGTGGAATGAATGAATAAATTCTACTTTTATTATTTCCCCCTAAGTCATGTCTCTTTAGACACATGCAGCCCAAATCTCTCCTAAAACAGATTGGCGAGAACATTTTTAAATTTAAGGATTTCTTTTCTTTTTACAAAAAATAATACATCTTCATTCTAGAAAACGTGTATCAACAATAACAAAATCACAAACAGCCCAATACCTGGGAATGAATACTATTAGTATTTTGATTTATATTCCTCTTAGTTTTTTTCTGTGTATATATATATTTTTTTTAATATACATTTTTCATCAGAATGAGATCATATAATTTAAAAACCTACTTTTTATACTTAACAAAACCTCATGGGCATCTTTCCAAGATAGTATTCCTGAATATGCCATGTCATTTTTTAAAGTTCTTTTGTAATTCAACCGAAATACAAAAACAGAAAAGTGCACAAGTCTTAAGTATTCTGTTTGATGAAATTTCACTAATTGGACGCATGTGTCTTACCAAGATGAAGATCAGAAAATTGAACGTGACCAGAACCTCAGAAATCTCCCTTGTGTCTCCTCCTCATCACTACTCCCTGCAAGGACTACCATAGGCATTTTTTAACTTCCATAGATGGAATCACACTATATAACTGTATATATTATTTTCTAGCTGTCTTCTTTCAGCACATCATTTTAATGACTGCATCCTATTCCTTTATTTTGCTGTAATAGAATTTATTCAGTTTATACCTATGATTGTGTTGTCATAATACATTATTTTTTCAACTTTTGCTTTTATTAAAAATTCTGTAATGAATATCTGTGTCCTAAAACAGTGATTTTTTTCTCTTACGGTAAAATTCACAGATATGAATTAAACTTTTAAGATTTGTTTACTTATATTGCCAAATTGCCCTTCAAAACAGTTGTGCCCGTTTTATGTTCCCATCACAATGTGTAAGACTTCCAGTTTCCGTGATGTGGTCTAGAATTGAACATAAAACCTCAGATGTAATCCAGCTAACATTTGCCCTGAATGTCTCACTTCCCTTTACTGTGCACAAATAGACTGCAAGCACAGATAATCTCGAAGTTCTCTGACAAAGACAAAAGTTAGGGTGATAGTGCTGGAAATGACCTTGGAACAGTAAGATACTTATTTTCCATCAACAAGCTTATTTTCAGATGAGAATCCAGAAGCCCAAAGAGGTGAGATATCAGAGCAGACAGATTCCCAAAGAAAACCAAACTAGAAAACCACATGTAGGAAAAAAGCAGCAGAGAAACAAAACAAAATGTGTCTTTAGCAGTTACCTATGGGGAGCGAAACTATTTTTCTTCTTCTTTTTACTTTTCTGAATTATCTAAATCTTCAGTAAGGAGCATATATTTCTTTCCCAGTGGAGAAAAAAAGTATTTCTTTAAAACAAGAGGGCCGACATGGTGGTGCACACCTGTAATCCCGGCACTTTGAGAGACCGAGGCAAGTGGATAACTTGAGGCCAGGAGTTCAAGACTAGCCTGGCCAACATGGTGAAACCCTGTCTCTACTAAAAATAAAATAAAGTAAAAAAAAAAAAACAAAAATTAGCTGAGCATGGTCTTGCATGCTGCATACCTGTAATCTCAGCTACTCAGGAGGCTGAGGCACAAGAATCACTTGAACCTGGGAGGTGGAGGTGGAGATGGCAGTGAGCCAAGATCGGCAGCCTGGGCAACAGAGCAAGACTCCATCTCAAAAAATAAAATAAATAAATAGAAGGAAAAATAGAAAGGAGGAGGTAAATTTGTAATTTCCTATTCTATACACTTAATATATGCCTAAGACCTAGTACAAAGTAGGCTACAAAGTAGGAAAAATGGTGTGTTTAAAAATCTGGAAGAGGCAGGGCACTCTAGAACAATGAATTCCAAGAATTCAGAAACCCAGGCAAGCAGAACCTGAGTGAAGTGACTTTTGAAAAGCAGCTCTGGTCTGTCAATTTGGAAAAATAAATGTGCTTGATGAGCTGGGTCTGGAACAGGCGCTGGAGACCTCTGGGTGAAGAAACAAAGGATCGGTGTTTGGTTGGTTGGTTGGTTGGTTGGTTGGTTGGTTGGTTGTTTTTTTTCATTTTTTGGGGTTTTTTTAATTTTTTAATTTTTCTGTAGATTCATATTCAGCTGAAAGGACAAGTGATTTAATGGTGTTTTCTTATGAGCAGTTTGGAAATCTTGTCTGTGTCTCTGTTCAGAGATGGGGGTAGGGTGAAGATGGGGTTAGGGTGCTGTGAGCTGTAGGAGGTCACCAGCTTCATGGGGTAAAAACATTTCAGAACCACCACCAACAGGCACCAGGAAAGGTATCTGCCCTTTCCTGTCACCTGAGACCTGAACCTTCCTCATTTTCTGTCCATGTAAGAGCTGGAGTCATGGCATTTGGTTTCAGAGTCTTGATTAATGAGGGATTTCACATCTCGCTGTGGCTATGGTGGGTGTTGGCTGAATGAATTGTAAAATCATAGAGTGTTAGTTAGAACATAGATGAAATCACATCCCTAAAGTCTACTATTCATTGTTAATGGGGCCGGGCACGGTGGCTCACACCTGTAATCCTAGCATTCTGGGAGGCTGAAGCGGGCAGATCACTTGAGGCCAGGAGTTCGAAACCAGCCTGGCCAAGATGGCGAAACCCCATCCCTACTAAAAATACAAAAATTAGTTGGGCGTGGTGGCACAAGCCTGTAATCCCAGCTATTCTGGATGCTGAGTCAGGAGAATCGCTTGAAGCCAGAAGGCAGAGGCTGCAGTGAGCCAAGATCACACCACTGCACTCCAGCCTGGGTAAGAGGTTGAGACTCAGTCTCAAAAAAAAAAACCACATAGTTAATAAATAATGGGGCCTGATAAGGTTGCCAGATTTAACAAATGAAAATACAAGAGCCATAGTTAGATTTGAATTTTAGATAAACAGTGACATGGCCTTTAGTCTAAGTCTCATGCAGGATTTGACTGGGTGTCCTGTATTTTATCTGGCCACCTGACGGGGCCATGATGAAAGCCCAGCTCCCAGTGACCATTCCAGTCAACTGCAGGCTGTGCAGTGCATTTCCCAAAGGAGGTCTGTCTGATTTCCAGAAAGACAGGCCAGAAGTGCCCCACATATGAGAGGCTGTAGAGTTTAATGGTACCAGGACACAGTTGGCCCTTGGCATGGTTTCTTCATCTTGTTATAGGATTACAAACAGCACCTGTTTCAAATAGCTGTTGTAAGAATTAAATAATTACAAGTAGAACACATAAAACAGATATTTATTAGATAAAATATCAAGCCAAAAGTATTGTGACTTTTATCTGAGTAGTCTGCAATGACTTCTCAAACATATTTGGTCTCTCAACTATACCACTGGTGTGAAATAGGCCACAGTTCCCCTACTATTCTCTCCAGCTTTATGCTGAGAAAACCAAAAATTCCTCTCATCTGCAAGAGAGAGGTATGGCCCTGATTTTGATAAGGCAATAAGGATTTTTATTAACCATCATAATAATTATTCATTCATGATAGAACCATTATCTTAGCATTATTACGTTGTAAATATAAAAAGAAAAATCAACAAAGACTTCCTGCAGTGACATTGGAGAGTTCACAGCAAATTGCCTTCCTTAGATTATCTAATCTAGAAGTTCCAAATCAGGCTAACCATCAGAATCACCTGGGGAATTATCCTTTTTTATTATGAAAATATTTCAAACATACAGCAAGCTGAAAGAATATTACAGTGAACACTTGTATACCCACCACCTAGTCTTCAATCAACATCTTACTACAAGCTGAGTATCCCTACTCCAAAAATCCAAAATCCAAAATGTTCCAAAGTCCTAATCTTTTTGCATGCCAACGTAACGCTCAAAGGAACTGCTCATTGGAGCATTTGGGATTTTGAATTTTAGGATTTGGGATGCTCAACTAGTAAGTATAATGCAAGTATCCCAAAATAAAAAAAAATTAAAATATAAAACACTTCTGATCCCAAGCATTTCAGATAAGGAGTGCTCCAACCTGTATATCTTGTCTTGTTATTTATCTGTCCCTCTATTCATCCATCAGTACATCTCTTTTTCCTGTCCACTTCCAAGTAAATTGCAGATGTCTGTACACTTTCCCTGGGGAATTTTCTAAAACTATAAGTTCCCAAGCCTCAGCCCAGAGATGTACAGATCTGCTAATTCAGGAATTTTTCCAAACAACTCCCCAGCTTCACTCTGGTAACCATGCTGATGGAGCCCTTATTAGCCGAAACATTACCAGTCTCATGGCAAAGGGAAAAGACCTGGCATACCATGTGCTGGGCGTAAAAACCTCTGCTCCAAACCAGTACACATCCACCTCTGCCCACATTTCATTGACCAAAACAAGTCCCTTGGAACTCTTAACTTCAAGAAGTTTGGGGCAGGCTGGGCACGGTGGCTCTCACCTGTAATACCAGCACTTTGGGAGGCTGAGGTGGGTGGATCACCTGAGGTCAGGAGTTCGAGACCAGCCTGGCCAACGTGGCAAAACCCCGTCTCTACTAAAAATACGAAAAACAGCCAGGTGTGGTGGTGGGTGCCTGTAATCCCAGCTACTCGAGAGGCTGAGGCAGGAGAATCACTTGAACCCTGGTGGCGGAGGTTGCAGTGAACCAAGATCATGCCATTGCACTCCAGCCTTGGCGGCAGAGCGAGACTCCATCTCAAAAAAAAAAAAAAGAAGAAGGTGGGGATGAGTAATCCTTCCACAGGCATGGGGAGAAGCACTATGGAAGGAAAGCTGGGATATTTAAGAAAGTAATACAATCTAACACAGGAAGCCACTCATTTAATTCAGCTTCTTCACTTTACAGACAGAGAAGCTAGCACCCAAAGAGGCAAAGTGACTCTCCCAGAATCACTCGACTAGTTCAAAGCAGGAGTGGTCAAGAGCCAAGGTCCCCTAATTGACTTTCTTGTCATGTACAGGGTTGCCTCTGTGAAGCTCACAGATAGTCCATCATTCATTCACTGATATACTATACACGGGCACTGATAAATAAGGCATGGTTTCTGCTATCAAGACATTCCCAGTCCCATTTAAAGTTTTTCCATATAACCTTCAGCTGACCCTGGCATATTTCCACATATTCACCAAATAACCTGAAGCAGTCAGTGCTTTTCAGAACTAATAAAGATGTTGTCTTTGAGGATAAAGATCTATTTATCTCAATTGTTTTCGGTCCAAGAGTGTCAGTTCCCAGCAACAGCCTGCTGAAGCTTGGCACAGTGATGCAGCTCTTCCCAGATGGAGAAGGTTTCAACTGACCCATGGGCCCAGAATGGTTGAGGATCATTCTTAGGGCACGGTCAGTTCATGATCTGATGGCATAATAATTTTTCTCAGAAAAGAGTCATTCGGTCACAAAAACCTTAACCCAACATAGGGACCTATTTTCATTTAGGGAGAAAGAAATATTTCAACAGGCAGAAATATGATAGATTTCTAAAATATGAAGATTAGAAATAAGATAGTTTGATTTGCAAAAGATATTTGATCCTCTCACAAGCTGTAACTGGGAAGGCTATGCACCTTTAAAGGTGTTAAAACAGTACCAGGATATAAAACTGCTGTGTCCAACCTTTGTAAGCTCATGGAATTTTACTGGGAGTAAGTTAGAAAGAGTTAGAAAGACTTTTAAACATCACCAACAGTAGCTGCCTCATTTTGCAGATAATAATTATGATGTTTATTGTGTGTTTCACTTTGCCAGCTACCAATCCAAGAGATTCACATGCATTATTTTGTCCTCACAACCAACAGGTATTGTGACCACCCCCATTTTGTAACTGAAGAGGTTGAAGCTCAGAGCAGATATGTGACTTGATCAAAGTCATCTAACCAGATGGAGAATGGCCTGAGGTGTGAACCTGGAACTCAAGCCCTTGGGTCCAGTGATCCTTTTATGTGAAAGGAGCAGAGTTGTCATTTTTGTGGGGCCACAGGCTCCTGGACACTGGCTCTTGTTAACAATTGTCTATGACACTGGGCCAGGTTCTGTGGGGATGCCAGCCTAAGTGAAGTGGTTTCTGCCCTCTGCGAGCTTCAGCCTGGCAAAGAAAGGAAGAGAACGTGAGCAAACTGTGTGTGCTAGAGGCCAGAGAAAGAGAGAATTTTGAGATGTTGGTCGTTGGTGTTACAGAGTCAAAGGTATCAAAGACTAGAAGCAAGCCAAAAAGTAATATGACAAATATGCAATCACTGTTGAACTATAAAAGAGCAATTTCAGAATGTGATGAGGTATGAGATAGTTTCCAAGAGGATAGGGAGTCAATAAATGAAGAAGAAATGGAAACAGGCAGTTTTCCGCTGCTAAAAAAAAGAAAAAGAAAGAAAGAAAAAGAATACAAAGATAACTCAGAGGACACACGCAATGGTAGAAATATTTTCATTTGGACTAGGGAGAACCGAGCTGATGTTATACAGAAGAAAAGATGCCAACCGAGAGAAATATATTTCATATGGACAAAAAAGAGAGCGTCAAGTTCTTGGAACAGGCAGGAGAGGATCCATTTATCATTAAATTTTTTAGTCTTTCAGCTGCTATTATAAAGTGTCTATTATATTTCAGGCACTGTGTTTGTGCACCATGACGAGCAAAGCAGACCCAGATCCCATACTCAGATACCATAGAGCCTAATAAGGAAGACAAAATTTTAAGTAAATAATATATATCATACATATAAACTAGATACATGTATCTGTACATACATATGCTTTATCTATTAATATATTTTATATGTATATAATTTCCCTGCTTTGTCTCCTGTAAAATATAATATATATATTTACATTATATATATTTCTATTTTATTTATATTCATATTTATATTTTACGGGGCCAAAGCAGGGAAATCATATATATAGTACCACAATAGCTGGTAAAATAGTACCACAGTATAAAA
The DNA here is from genome assembly GCF_000001405.40 of Homo sapiens. Classification (NCBI taxonomy): domain Eukaryota; kingdom Metazoa; phylum Chordata; class Mammalia; order Primates; family Hominidae; genus Homo; species Homo sapiens. The sequence continues at coordinate 77,511,107 of NC_000001.11, forward strand.
AAAGCTGCATCCAACCTTTGTAAGATTATGGAATTTTACTAGGAATAAGCTAGAAAGGTTTCTAACCATCACCAACAGTAACTGCCTCATTTTACAGATAATAATTCTGATCCTTATTGTGTGGACTGGGGAAAACTGAGCATGACATTACACAGAAAAGAAGCTGCCAACCAAGAGAAATAAATTTCATCTGGACAAAAAAGAGGGTATCAAGTTATCTGTAATATATGTATGTATTTTATGGGAGCCAAAGCAGAGAAATTAGCCTTAAGCTAAATGGCATAAAGTTTTCCAAACAGGATAAAGAAGGATGGAGGGCAAAGGATAGAAACATCAATGTTTTGAAAATGCTGAGGAAATGAGACAGTCTTCATCTTAGTGAGTAAGAGGGTTAAAAATGTTAAGAGTGAGAGGAATGAGGATGTGTTGAAGGACAGTGGGAAATATTAGCATCCATTCATGGACATCCAATTGATGTCCAACTTGATACCAGGAGAAAGAAGGATATTTGCCAAGAAGCATTAAAAACTATTATGAAGTTAGATAGCATGACTCAGTTGGCTCAGTTTTTGGACTCTCTCAAGGGAACTCTTAGCAGCCCAGAGTAGATGCAAATAAAGCCTATGGTGGCCTGGGCAGGGAGAGCAGGCTGATGGTGACACGGCAGGTTCCATAGAACTGAAGTAGGGCAAAGGATTCAAAGTTGCTAGAAAGGGGCTGGCGTCCAGCTAGCTAGGGAGGTAAGTGGAGCTCAAAGGGAATGGGCCAACCCTGTGAGGTCATAACGACAGCAAGGAACAAGTTGAGAAGTGAGGTCAAGGGAAAAGTGAAAGGGAGAGAAAGATGCTATCAGAGTGGGAGAATAGATCCAAATAACGAACGCTCAGTTTCAGCTAGAGCTGCAGGGGGCTGAAATTGGGTTAGTGATGAAGGTCATTGGTGCTGAGGAGGCTTAAATACCTCTCAGACTGGGGTGGAATAGGAATTAAAGCCTAGAAAGCTTTGTTGATAGCAATTAAACCCAGACAATACTGTTCTCTCTGCTTTGAAACTTAGAGAAAATAAACGTTGAGTTCTAAACTAGATACGTATATCTTCACATACGCTGTCACATATATACGTATGTGTGTGTGTGTGAGAGAGAGAGAGACAGAGAGAGAGAGAGATCGTGCACACACGGGTATATCTTAAGTACCTGCAAGTGGCCTGGAAGTCTGGAATTAATGGCTAGTTCCCAAATTCATTACTGACTTTGGATTATGTTTAATTTAAACCTTGATGTGCCAGACAACGTAACTCAGGAAGAGCTATAGAGGTGTATAACCCCCCTTCATTGTAAATAGCTTTTGCCAAGCACCAATATTTTAACAGAGAGATGGGAATAGGAACATTTTTGTTGACATTTGGGGGAACGGGACAAATTTCAGAGACTTTTTTTTTATTATACTTTAAGTTTTAGGGTACATGTGCTAGTTCAACCATTGTGGAAGTCAGTGTGGTGATTCCTCAGGGATCTAGAACTAGAAATACCATTTGACCCAGCCATCCCATTACTGGGTATATACCCAAAGGACTATAAATCATGCTGCTATAAAGACACATGCACACGTATGTTTATTGCGGCACTATTCACAATAGCAAAGACTTGGAACCAAGCCAAATGTCCAACAATGATAGACTGGATTAAGAAAATGTGGCACATATACACCATGGAATACTATGCAGCCATAAAAAATGATGAGTTCATGTCCTTTGTAGGGATATGGATGAAGCTGGAGACTTTTCAAATGTAGACTTGACAGAGCTTGGCAACTGATCAGGTATGGGAGATGAGGAGGGAGACCCTAAAGTGGAATGAGGCAGAAAGTTGGTGATTATTTCCCCCCATTTTACAGATAAGAAACTAAGATTCAGAGAAATTAAAAGATTGCTCTATAACCACGTGACTAGTAAGTGGTGGAACCAGTGTTGATTGTCAGATCACCCATCCCGTGCCCTTCATGATACTTCATACTCCTCCACTTCCACCCCTGTGCAGATGCAGAGCCCTTTCATGCTCCAAGTTCCATTACTGAAGACACCAGGCTCAGCCTTATGCCATCTTTCCCACACTTTCCTTGTGCTGGCAAAGGTGATTAATTACCCTTCCCCTTCCTAAGGAGTCCCAGCCAGTGCTTCTGCGATGGTGTTTACAGCCCCCACTCATAGAACCTATCACACTGCTGTGATGATGGTTCCCCTGTCCATCCTCCCCACTAGATTGTGACCTCTCTGATGGAAAAGACCCAGTTCTGGGTCTTTTTATTTCTAGTGCTTAGCAGTGTCAAACCCATTCTAGCTGTCCAATAGATGTTTCTTTAAAAAGAGCTGTGTTAATTAACTTCATGCTTAATTCCAGGTAACATCCTGGAGTTAGTAAGATGCAATAAAATGTCAACAAAAGTCATTTTAGGCCAGGCCCAGTGACTCACACCTGTAATTCCAGCACTTCGGGAGGCCGAGGTGGGCGGATCACTTGAGGTCAGGAGTTCGAGACCAGCCTGGTCAACGTGGTGAAACCTTGCCCCTACTAAAAATACAAAAATTAGCCAGGAGTGGTGGCACTCGCCTGTAGTCCCAGCTACTCGGGAGGCTGAGGCAGGAGAATCGCTTGAACCTGGGAGGCGGAGGCTGGTCCTTATCTTAAGGAGTCCAGCTCAGGATGCTGAATCCAGGAGCTATCTCACAGGAGAGGATTGCTCCTGTCAATACAAAGCAAACTGGAAAACGTGACCCACGTGGGCATGCCGAGGTGATGCAGATGGTTTCAGTTCTACTTCTCAAAGAACACCAGGTACCGAAGAGAAGGCAGACTTAGACTCCCTGGGCTGGCAATTCCCATACAGTCTCTCCCCTCCCTTCCTTCTGTGGCAATGCTGTCGAGACCTGTAGGGAAATGACTTACTCAGATGCAAATTGGGCGTTCACAGTACATGCACTTTTCACAATATATAGCACCTTTGGCCTCACAGGGAACGCTTTTTACATTTTTCCACCTTTTTTTGAGGTATTCACAGACAACTTCAAAATAGAATCTCATATTCCACAATCTCTTTGTGAATCATATCACGTGGTATGGTGTATGGGCTTATTCAGGGGTTCGAGCCTTGGGTAATGGTACACTAAAAATGAGTGAGATGACAGTAAATGTGACAGCTCCTGTCTGTCATCAGTCGTCTTGCCACCAGAGGACACAGCCCACTCATTCTGAGATGCGGTTCCTCAAAATATCTTTTGCCGGGTAACAAATTATCCTGGAGGGATATCAAGGCCCCATTGTTTTTTTATTTAAAAGTCATAAGTTAAGACCTCAAAGATATGTCGGTGGCAGTATATGAAAATTTATGTTTCTACCAGCAGTTTTTGTGCTTTCACTGCAGTGATAAAATCACTTTGTTTTTCAGTTTGGAGCCAAGGGAAGAATCAAGCTATTGTGTAGATTACTTAAAATTCCACAGTGCCTGCGCCATTTGGCCAAAGAATGCTAAAAATTTGCAGCTGTTGCTCCCACGAAAGTTTCTAACTGGGGCAGCGGCTGCTGTTCAACACACAGCTGTTGTTAATTTGAGCTGAAGATTTTTAATTGCCTTTGTGTCGAGATTTATTAAATAACATTTTAGAGGAACAAAAACTGTAATAGTCATATTAGCAGGATGCTAAAGGAAGAAAATAATTGGAACATGGCATTTTTGCCTTGTAAGCCAAGTCTGAAAATATCTTTTCCACATGGAGGGCTCCCAACCATCCCAGGAAAAGCATTTCCAGGTAAATCCAGCCACAGAAGCCCTGATGGCCTTTTCAGGAGCTCAGCCACTTGCACCCCTTAGTCATTTACCTGGAAGCACCACTTCTCCAGAGTGGCCACCTTGTTCCCACACTCTCCATTCCTATTATACTGAGAGACGGGAGGCATAGTGCTTACAGTAAACATAGCATTAGCTGGCAGTTGGCTGCTTCTTTAAGTGGTCTGCATTATTTTGGGGAGCCTCCATAATTGCTGTTTTCCTATTACATCCAGCCCATCCCTGACTCCCTGACAATACTATGAGGGGTCTGACCTCCTCCCCATTTGGCTTAGAGCAGCTGTATAGATGAGCAGAAGATAGAAAACTCAGACCTTTCCTGGATTTTCTGGCAAGGCAAAGAAGGGGGAAGGAGGGGCCCTTCTATTAGAAAGGGTCAACAACTAATGTTGTCCCTTAAGAGGGAAGTTGCCAACCGCACAAAGAAAGGAGTTTTAAGTATGAAAAAAGGCAAACCAGGAAAACCGCAGAATGAGTTGTAAATCCTCATTACCATACTAAAATTTCAATCATGTTTTGCATGCTGATGGTAAATGTTTCCTTTTAGCAAGAAAACTTTGTCAGGCATTTATGGTGCACTTACGATGTGCAAAGTGCTGTGTGATGTGCTCAGGGCACCCAGAGAAGCTTGCAGGGCCGGCGACCAGTGAGGGAGCTGCAGCCCAAGAGTAAGACAGGCAGGGAGCACCCGGCGCTGTTTACAGCATTGGCTCCAACAGAGCTGAGGGTGAGAGGTCTGGCTCCTGCCAGAAGGGGGAAACATGTGATCTGGACCTAAGGGCTGAGGACGACCTTGATCATTAAAAAAAAGGATGAATGTGACCGGGCACAGTGGCTCAGGCCTGTAATCCCAGAAGTTTGGCAGGCTGAGGTGAGAGGATCGCTTGAGGCCAGGAGTTCAAGACCAGCCTGGGCAACATAGCAAGAGACCCTGTCTCTACAAAAAATCTGAAAATTAGCTGGGTGTGGTGATGTGCACCTGTGGGACCCGTAGTCCCAGCTAACTCAAGAGGCCAAGGCAAGAGGATTGCTTCAGCCCGGGAGTTTTGAGTTCAAGGATGCAGTGAACTGTGATTGTGCCACTGTGCTCCAGCCTGGGGACAGAGCAAGACCCTATCTCAAAGAAAAAAAAGAAAGAAAGAAAAGATGAATGGGTAAAAAAATGTGCTAGAATATAGAATATTATTCAGCCATAAAAAGACAGAAATCCTGCCATTTGTGACAACATATTGGAAGACATTATGCTAAGTGAAATAAGCCAGGCACAGAAAGACAAATACTGCATGATCTCACGTGTACGTGGAATCATAAAAAGTCAAATTCATGGAAGCAGATTGTAAGAATGGTGGTTGCCAGGGGCTAGGGAAGTGAGGAGATGTGGTTCTGGAGACCTCATGTACAGCATGATGGCTACAGTTAACAACACTGTATTGTATACTTGAAATTAGCTAGAATAGATGTGAAATGTCTTCAGCACCAGAAAAAAAAAAGATTATGTGAGGTGGAGGTTTATTAACTTGATTGTGGTAATTATTTCACAATATATATGTATATCAAACATCACATTGTACATCTTAAATTTATAGTTTTATCAATGATACCTCAATAAAGCTGGGGGAGAAAACAAAGAGAAGAGGAGGAAGGAAGGGCCTTTCAAGCTGAGGACCAAGAAGAACAAAAGCGTGGTAGCCTGGAAAAGTCTGTGTGGGCATAGGAGGCCATTGAATGCTATGGAGGTGGGAGTGCCCTCCTTTCCAGGCACATGGAAAGCATTGAAAGTCCAAGAATTGTGTTAGTTGGACATGACAGTGCTGGAGGAGGGTAAGAAATGGGGAGAGGGGCCCGGCACAGTGGCTCATGCCTGTAATCCCAGCATTTCAGGAGGCTGAGGCGGGTGCATCACTTGAAGCCAGGAGTTCGACACCAGCCTGGCCAACGTAGTGAAACCCTGTCTGTATCAAAAAATACAAAAATTAGCCAGGCATGGTGGTGCGCACCTGTAATCCCAGCTAATTGGGAGGCTGAGGCAGGAGAATCACTTGAACCTGGGGGGTGGAGGTTGCAGTGGGCTGAGATCACACCACTGCACTCCAGCCTGGTCGATAAAGCAAGACCATCTCAAAAAAAAAAAAAAAGAAGAAGAAGAAATAGCGGGGAAAGATGCTGGAGAGGTAAAGTCGGACTAGATTCTGGAGAGTTGGGGTGCTGCTGTAGGGAATTTGAATTTTACTCTGGGAGCATAGGAGGCCATTGAGTGCTATGGAGGTGGGAGTGCCCTGCTTTCCAGGCACATCATCCTGCTAGCAAGTCTGTGGGGCTCCAAAGCCCCTCCGATTCTGACATGCAGAGGTGGAGTGATTGCCATACGCCAGGCGGAGAAGATGAGGACCTGAAGTGTGGCCAGGTCAATGTGGCCACAATGGGGAGGAGAGAAGGGAACACCTCTGAGAGTCAGAGCCCAGGCTTCAAATCCTAGGCTTGCTACTCACTAGCAGTGCAGCCTAGGCAATGGATTTAACTTCTCTGTGCCTCTGCTTCCTCGTCTGTAAAATGGGAATAATAACAGTGCATGCCTCTTAAGGTTATTTTATATAACCTTGTACGTAATACCTAAAATGTTTAGAATAATGGCTGGTACAGTAAGCGCTTGATAAAGGTCAGCTATTATTATTATTTTCAGACATAAAATCCTATGACATACTATTATGAAAGGGATATGGCAGATACTCAGAATTGATAATAGCTAAGGAAAAAAATAAGGTAATAAAACATATTGAGGGACATTCTACAAAATAACTATTCATAATCTTCAAATGTGTCAAGGAAACCCACAGAAACTGTTCTATACTGAAGGAAAGCAGAAGGACATGGCAACTAAAGGCAATGTATGATCCTGAACTTGACCCATTGACTTCAGAGGACATTATTGAGTCAATTGGGACAATTCAGTTGAAATTTGTAGGGGTCCAAGGATATCATTATGATGGAGGATATGCTTGTTTCCTTGTTTGTAGGAAATGACACTAAAAGGTTCTGGAGTAAAGAGGCATCCAATTAGCAACTTATTCCCAAGTGTTTCTGAAAGTTCTTTGTCCTCACAACCCTTCTGTAAGTTGGTGATTGCTGAAAATAAAAACACTTATTTTTTTAAATTAAAAGCTAGCATTTGTTGAGCATTCACTAAGTATCAGGAATTGTGGCCAGTGCTTTGCACATGAGTGGGTTCGGTTCTCCAAGGAAACTTTTCTGACTTTGCATCTCTACCAAAACGGAGCCAAGTACCCCTCCTCTGTGCCCCGATAGTAGGCTGTACTCATCTTCACTAACTGCCTGTGACCATGGGTTACAAGTGGTCTATGAAAAGTAACTGCTTGTTTTTCTGTAACACCTGCCCCCTCCCGCTTCATGGATAATCTAAGCTCTTTAAAGGCAAGGGCTGCATCCCATTCTCCACTTGCATCCACCACTCTCAGCACAGCTCCTGGTATAGCAAATCTCAAGTTCCCAATACATGCTTAGTGACTGGAACACTGAGGCTTGCTCACCATGGTGACTACCATTAAAAATGAGGCACCAGACTTGGAATGCATGTCTGACACATGACTTCTTTTCAAGGTGGTCCTGGCTCTGGCAAAGGCACACAGTGTGAAAAGCTGGTGGAAAAATATGGATTTACACATCTCTCAACTGGCGAGCTCCTGCGTGAGGAACTGGCATCAGAATCTGAAAGAAGCAAATTGATCAGAGACATTATGGAACGTGGAGACCTGGTGCCCTCAGTAAGCAACATGGCCTGACCCACATTACTGCCTTTCCTGTCTGGGGAGACCTTTGGGGTTTTTGTAATGAATCTGAGCTGCTGGAACTAAGAAACCCAAAGAAACAATAGCTGTATATTATTTCCCTCCTTTGCAGCAATCCAGATGCAGGCAGGTCTACAGCAGACAGACCTTCTACTCAACCAGGTCGAGCTGGCCCAGGCTCCTTCCATCTTGTTGCTCTACCAGGCCCTCAAATGTTGGCCTAATTTCACATTTTTCCCCTAAATTCATCCCACTTTAGAATTGGAAAGGCTTCAAAATAGAAGTGAGTGTGGTGCAGCAGAGCCTAGAATTAGAAACCCCCAGAAAATATAAAATAATGCTTTGGTTTAGTTCTGGGAGGTATGATTATCTTGAAATTTGGTATCTTCTTGTGTAATTTAAGAATATCCCCTTTTCTATCTTTTTTCTTCTAAAGTCACCATCCATCTCTAAGAAGCTGAATGGTAGGGATATCAAGAAATATTCATCCCTGCCACACTGGGTCCCATGATAGGCTCTGTAATGAGGGCCGTATGATACAGTCTCTGTTAGCAACAGAGCTGTCTGATTTCTCTATAACCAGCTGCACTCTGTTTCCCACCTGGAAGCCAGAATGGTCCTCATGAAAGGAAAACAGACCATTACAGCTGCCACTTAGCTGGCCTCCTGGAGCCCACTCTTTTCCCTAAAGTCTCCTCTTTTCACAGCAGCTGTTACCAGAAAGGGGTCCCAATCCAGACCCCAAGAGAGGGTTCTTGGATCTTGTGCAAGAAAGAATTCAGGGCAAGTTGTAAAGTGAAAGGAAGTTCATTAAGAAAGTAGAGGAATAAAAGAATGGCTGCTCCATGGACAAAGCAGCCCCAAGGGCTACTGGTTACCCATTTTATGTGTTATTTCTTGATGATATGCTAAACAAGGGATGGATTATTCATGCCTCCCCTTTTTTACCATATAGGGTAACTTCCTGACATTGCTGTGGCATTTGTAAACTGTCATGGCGCTGATGGGAGTGTAGCAGTGATGACAACCAGAGGTCACCCTTGTTGCCATCTTGGTTTTGGTGGGTTTTACCCAGTTTCTCTACTGCAACCTGCTTTATCAGCAAGGTCTTTATGACCTGTGTCTTGTACTGACCTCCTATCTCATCCTGTGACTTAGAATGCTTAACCTGGCAGGGCGCAGTGGCTCATGCCTGTAATCCCAGCACTTTGGGAGGCCGAGGCAGGTGAATCACGAGGTCAGGAGTTTGAGACCAGCCTGGCCAACATGGTGAAACCCCATCTCTACTAAAACTACAAAAAATTAGCTGGGCATGGTGGCGGGCACCTGTAATCCCAGCTACCTGGAAGACTGAGGCAGGGGAATTGCTTGAACCTGGGAGGCAGAGGTTGCAGTGAACCAAGATCACGCCTCTGCACTCCAGCCCAGGCAACAGCGTGAAACTCCATCTCAAAAAAAAAAAAAAAAAAAGAGAATACCTTAACCTTCTGGGAATGCAGCCCAGTAGGTCTTAGCCTTATTTTATCCAGCCTTTATTCAAGATGGAGTTGCTCTGGTTCAAACACTTCTGACACAGCCAGAATGATTTCTTTGAAACATTTATCAAAGTGTGTTATTCCCTTCCTCAAAACCTTCCAATGGCTGCCCGCCACACTTAGGATGAAATCAGAGTCCTTTCTGTAGCTCTGGCCTCCAGCTCCCTCTCCAGTGTTATTTCTCACCACTCTCACCTTGCTCACTCCCACCCACCACTAGCCTCCTTGTTCCTCCCACAAGTCAGCCTGTTCCTGCCTCAGGGCCTTTGCATTTGCTGTGTCTGCAGCCTGATGCTCTCCCTTCATACAGTCACATAGTTTGGTCCTTGACTTCATCCAGATCTCCACTTCAGTGTTACACTTTATCAGATGCCTTCCCTGACCACCCTATAGAAAGTAACACCTCTAGCATTCTGTACCTCTTTGTCCTGCTTTAATTTTGTACCTATCAGTTATCTTCGCTGACTCTTCATTATATATTTATTTGTTCATCTATGGTCTGTCTTCTTCATTAGAATATAAACTTCATGAGGACTTCATTCACGATTATCTAGGGATAGATTCTAACCACACTTGCAATGGCCGCATTCCCCAAGCCCCTGCCAAAAGCCAGAGAGCCCACGAAAAGGGAATTCCTCCACTGGCAGCTGATTGCGTTTTTCCTCTACCAATTTCCAGACTCTGGTGTATTTCTCCTACTTCATTTACCATAGCACTTGCTAAATACAAATTTTCAACAAAGAAAGTGATGTTACTTGAAAATGCTACTTTACATCTACCTAAAGTCTTTTAAGTCAGTAGATGTCAAATTTTATAAAATATTTACTGGAAAAAAAGTTAACAGTAAGATACCTTTTTTTTTTTTTGAGACACAGTCTCGCTCGTCACCCAGGCTGGAGGGCTGTGGCAGGATCTTGACTTGCTGCAGTTTCCACCTCCCGAGTTCAAGCGATTCTCCTGCCTCAACCTCCTGAGTAGCTGGGATTACAGGTGCCCACGGCAATGCCCGGCCAATTTTTGTATTTTTAATAGAGATGGGGTTTCACCATGGTGGCCAGGCTGGTCTTGAACTCCTGACCTCAGGTGATCCACGCACCTCGGCCTCTCAACATGCTAGGATTACAGGCATGAGCCACCGCACCCGGCCAGTAAAATACTTTTTATACCATGTTTTGTCTAGTTTTAAATTGCCATTATGCCTAATTCATGGAGTGCTACCATATGAAATGCAGCTACCTTACCTCATCTAATCTAAGATGCCAATATTTTAAGACAGATAACTGGTAAGAATATACCAGTAAGAAAAAAACACTAACAATTAAACTATGACTCAGAACTGATTATAAATACCTGCCAATTTCATAGATATTAAAATATGGGGTGGAGGTGGAAGAGTGAAATGAAATATGGTCAATTGCTGTCTGCTGTTAACCTTACCTGAACCTTCCTCCCTCCCTCAGTGGATGACTGAAGGAGACTTGGGGTACTTCTAGTGTTCTGTGAAAGAGCTCAGGTCCTGACCACTCTCGCTTTGCTCCAGGGCATCGTTTTGGAGCTCCTGAAGGAGGCCATGGTGGCCAGCCTCGGGGACACCAGGGGCTTCCTGATTGACGGCTATCCTCGGGAGGTGAAGCAAGGGGAAGAGTTCGGACGCAGGGTGAGTGGTTGTTACGGGCATCCTTCCAGAAGAAAAATAGGGGACATCCTTGAGGTTGGGTGATAATTCAAAGTCTATTTCTTTCCCAATTACATTAATGAAAACTTTAAGGGGCAGAAACTTGACTCAAACTAGAAATTTAAAAAAAGGAGATTTATTGACTTAAGTAACTAAAACACCCAGCAGTGGTTTAGATTTGGTTGACTCCAGATATCCAAATGTGTTCATCAATTGTCTGACTCTCTCTCTCTCTCTCTAATTCTCTTTCCTTTGTGTTGGTCTCATTTTCTTCCTGATCAAGGCTTACCTTCTACCATCTAAGTGGCTTCATAGAAAAGTGTTTCTGTTTCCCAGTGGGTCCAGCAAAAGACCCAGAGTTGTGTTTCCTATCCTGGATTTGGTCACAGTCCCATCATCACTGAACCAATTACTGAGGCCGAGAGGGAAGAAGAGGGAATACGCTGGCTGGCCCAGCCTGGAGGACCAAGGAAGGATGGGAAGGGAGGAGGGAGCAAGGGCACCACACCTGAACCACACAGGGAAGGAAAATTACCCCCAGGAAAAGTAGGGCTGCCCTTACAAGAAGACGGGGGAATGGGTGCTGGACAGGCAGAATCAGAACTACACACCACCCTCCCACTATCCTCCCACCATCCCACCTCCCTGCCCACCCTCTCCTAGTGAGGAGGGTGGGTCAGGGATACTCACAGGGGAGCAGCAGTAAGTAAAAACCATTGTGGCTGCCACGTATTGAACCCACTCTGGGCCAGATCCTGTGCCCACACTTTATAGAGAGTACCTGTAATCTTACAAGTCCAGGCAAGAAGGGTAAAACTGGCCTCATTGTTAAACAAATACTGACTTGAGAACTTAAAAGAAATTCATATTTATAGAGATATCTCTTCAGACTAGTTTTGAAACATTTTTCATATACAGTTTTCTCGTTTTTTTTTAATAACCTTTTTAGATAGATAGGGGAAGTATTGTCCTCATGTTAAAGGTGATGAGTGAAGCCCAGAAAGGGTTAATGACTTCCCCATGGCCACACAGCTGGTGACAACTTACTGGTAAGTGCCAACTGCTAGCAGGACTAAGATTTTGCGGGACCCATCGCCATCCACTTCTAGTAACATTGATTGAGGTGAATTATACTTGTGTGTCTCTGGGGGTTTACTTTGACCTCCTTCTGAGCCTGTTTCATTTAATTTCCTTAGTGTCAAAATACTTCAAGGTCAATTGCTCATCTTCCCCTACACTTCCTACATGAAACCAGAGTCAAAGAAAACATGTCTAGGTCTAGTTGGCATGGGTGGACCCTGGACCCATTCTGGCTGTCCCTCGACTCCAGAGCTTCCATCAGCAAGATGGGGGTGGGCAGGGAGAAGTGGATTTGCAGAGCAGAGCCCCATTACTGTGGAAGTTTTAGGCAGTTCTTGATGGGGGACACTCACATGCCCAAGTTCTAATGAGCTTTTTCCCATGAAAAAAATCACTTCAAGAGCACAAACCTCAATATAAATTAACTAGTTTTTTACAAGATGGAATTGGGAGCGTTGTTCTACTTTTTAAATAATTGTGGTAAAATAGACATAACAAAATTTGTCATCTTAACCATTTTTAAGTGTACAGTTCAAGGATGTTAAGTACATTCATATTGTTATGAAACCATCACCACCATCTTGAGAACTCTTTTTATCTGCTAAACTGAAACTCTACCTACTATTTATTTTATTTATTTTTATTTTTGGAGACAAGGTTTTGCCCTGTTGCCCTGGCTGGAGTGCAGTGGTGCATTCATAGCTCACTGCATCCTCAACCTCAAGGCCCAAGCAATCCTCTCACCTCAGCCTCCTGAGCAACTGGGACTGCACCACCACACCCAGCTAAACTTTTTGATTTTTTGTAGAGATGGGGATCTCACTCTGTTACAAGGGCTGGACTTGAACTCCTGGGGTCAGGTGATCCTCTCACCTCAGCCTCCCAAAGTGCTGGGATTACAGGTGTGAGCCACCGCACCTGCCTGAAACTCTACCCTCTCCCTCCTTTCCCCAGCTCCTGACAACCACCATTTTTCTTCCTATCTCTGTGAATTTCACTATTCTAGGTACCTCTTATTTCACTTAACAAAATGTCCACAAGGTTCATTAATGTTGTAGCATGTGTCAGAATTTCCTTCCTTTTCTGGGTCAAATAACATTCCATTGTATGTATATGCCACATTATTTTTATTCATTCACCTATCGATAGAGACTGGGGTTGCTTTCACTTTCTGGCTATTGTGAATAATGTTGCCATGACTACATGTGTACAATATCTGTTCAAGTTCCTGCATTAGTTCTTTTGGGTATATACCCACAAGTGGAATTGCTAGATCATATGGTAATTCTATTTTTAATTTTTTGAGGAGCCACCATACTACACATATACATACATACTGCCAGCCATAGTGGCCACACCACTTTACATTCCTACCGACAATGCGTGAGAATTTCAATTTCTTCTCACCAACACTTGTTATTTTATGGGTTTTTTTGATAGTGGCCATCCTAATGGGTGTGAGGTGGTATCTTATTGTGGTTTTGATTTGCAGTTCTCTAATGATTAGTGACATTGAGCATCTTTTCATGTGCTTTAAATGAAGTTGTTTTCTTTTTGTTGTTGTCTAGTTGTAGGAGTTCTTTATATATTTTGGATAGTAACTCCTTATCAGATATATGACTTACAGATATTTTCTTTCATTTGATAGGCTGTCTTTTCACTCTTTTGGTTGTGTCCTTTGATGCACAAAAGCTTTTCATTTTGGTGTAGTCCAATTTATCTATTTTTACTTCTGTTGCCTGTGCTTTTTGTCCTGTACAAGAAGTTATTACCTAATCCCCATGAAGCCTTCCCTCCGTATTTTCTTCTAAAAGCTTTGTAGTTTTAGCGCTTATATATTTAGGTATTTTGATCCAGTTTGTTTGTTTGTTTCTTTGTTTGTTTGTGATGGAGTTTCAGTCTGTCGCCCAGGCTGGAGTACAGTGGTGAATCTTGGCTCACTGCAACCTCTACCTACCAGGTTCAAGCAATTCTCGTGCCTCAGCCTCCCAAGTAGCTGGGACTACAGGCACATGCCACCACGCCTGGCTAATTTTTTTGTACTTTTAGTAGAGACGGAGTTTCACCATGTTGCCCAGGCTTGTGTTGAACTCCTGGCCTCATGTGACCCGCCTGCCTTGGCCTCCCAAAGTGCTGGGATTACAGGCGTGAGCTACCATGCCCAGCCTTGATCCATTTTCAGCTAATTTTTTATATATGGTGTCAGATTATTTTGCATACGGATATCTAGTTTTCCCAATGCCATTTGTTGGAAGAATATTTTCTCCTACAGAATGATCTTGACATTTATGTTAGTCCGTTCGCATTGCTATGAGGAATACCTGAGGCTGGGTAATTTATAAAGAAAAGAGGTTATTTTGGCTCATGGTTCTGCAGCCTGTACAGGAAGCATGGCATTGACATCTGCTTCTGGTGAGGCCTCAGGAAGCTTCCACTCACAGCGGAAGGTGAGGGAGAAGCCAGTGCATCACATGTTGAGAGAGAGATGGCAGAGGCCCCTGACGCTTTTCTATAATCACATCTTCCATGAACTTAGAGAATGAGAACTCAGTCATTACCACGAGGATAGCACCAAGCTGTTCATGAGCAATCTGCCCCCATGACCCAAACACCTCCAACTGGCCCCACTTCCAACACTGGCGGTCACATTTCAACATGGGATTTGGAGGGAACAAATTCCAAACCATACTAGCATCCTCATGAAAAATCATTTGACCATATATATGTGAGAGTTTATTTTTGGACTGTCTATTCTATTGGTCTATATATCTGTCTTTATGCCTGTACCACATTCTTTTGATTACTGTAGCTTAGTAATAAGTTTTGAAATCAGGAAGTGTGAGACCTCCAGCTTTGTTGTTCTTTTTGGTGATTGTTTTGGCAATTGAGGGCCTCTTGAGATTCTATATGGTTTTAAAATGATGTTTCTATTCCTGGAAAAAAAAATTAGGATTTTGATAGGGATTACATTAAATCTGTAGATCACTTTGGGTAATATCGACATCTTAGCAATATTAAGCCTTCCATGGATTGTTTTAGATTTTGTTTATTCTAATCTTCTAGCCAACGTCTAGGCTGTGGATAAGTCCCTAGGGATACATTCTAAGTAACTGAGGAACAGGAGTATTTTTCTTACACCACCTTAGAATCAAGGCCTGTGCAGGGCTGGGGGGTTGGAGGGGAAAGGAAGAGGAAGGTGTGGTACAAACGTTGAGAAGCTTCCTGTCTATGAGGATTGGCAGTTGTGTAAACATGACACTAACATACAATTGTAGATGTGTAATAACTGCTGCAGGGTCAACAGTGTTTCAGGCTTTTCCCACTTACCTTGCCCTTGAACTTAAGGTTAGAAGAGCTCTGAGAGACCCTCCAGGAAAGTCAGGACAGGTCCTGCGCATGTTTGGAAGCGATGGGAATAAAAGTCTTTTTTTTTTTTTTTTTTTTTTTTTTTTGAGACGGAGTCTCGCTCTGTCGCCCAGGCTGGAGTGCCGTGGTGCGATCTTGGCTCACTGCAAGCTCTGCCTCCCGGGTTCACGCCATTCTCCTGCCTCAGCCTCCCAAGTAGCTGGGACTACAGGCGCCCGCCACCACACCTGGCTAATTTTTTGTATTTTTAGTAGAGATGGGGTTTCACCGTGTTAGCCAGGATGGTCTTGATCTCCTGACCTCGTGATCTGCCCTCTCAGCCTCCCAAAGTGCTGGGATTACAGGCTTGAGCCACCTCGCCTGGCCAAGTCTTTTTTTTTTTTTAATTGCTCTGAGAGGTGGTAGAACATTCTCTTGAAACCCTCAAATGATCGAGGACAAGATGTATAGTAAATAAATAAGGTCTCTCTCTCTCTCTCGGTCAACAACAACAAAATTAAATTATAATCCTTATTCTTCTTTGGGGAATTTTAAAATTGAGTCTGAAGGCAAACCCCAGAACTTAACGCCTATGGGGTTCCACATCATTTTGAGCAATGACAACCCTGGACCTTCCCAAGGTGGAATCATTAAAAGCATGTCACTCGTGTACTCTGGAGTCAGAAAATCTAGGTTTTCACCTGTCATTTATTATGGAGATAATAATACCTGTTAACACCTATTTAAAAGGTTTTGTAAACATCAGATCATATAACATGCATAAATGTCTTCTAAGCTATAAAAGTTTATAAAATATTATCTAGTTTAGCATCACTCATTTGTTAATCACACCTCATACAAGCCTCTAAAATTCCTGCTCCATCACCACTTCCTCCTTTGCTTAAAACCCAGTTAGGGTGAGCTCAGAGCTCTATGCAGCCCATTGGTCTGTCCTCTGGCGTAAGTATGAATTCAAATGGTCCATGTGATCTTCCCTAAAGTAAAGCAAAAAACTTCCTCTCCCACTGTGGTCCCCGTTCAGACCGGTTTTAGAATGTGGCAGAGAAGAAGCCTAACTAGAACTAAGGAACAAGAAAGTCATCAACATGGTGACTGGACAGTTACACTCAATGCTAAAATTCATGATTCCATTTCAAACAACACACAGGTAACACATTTCATTACTGAGCATACAACCGTTAAGTGAGATTTTAGACATCTACAAAGATGATTTCTTACATACTGCTAGGAGGAACTTACAGAGACCAAGAGTGACATTGATTTGTCCCTGGGTACAGTAACTTTAGAAGATTCTAGTATCAATTAAGCAGGTGTGCAAGAGAACACATCCAGCCCTCCAGAATGAGCTCCTGCTTTAAACCTGACCAGATGGCCGGGCACGGTGGCTCACGCCTGTAATCCCAGCACTTTGGGAGGCCGAGGCGGGCAGATCACCTGAGGTCAGGAGTTTGAGACAAGCCAGACTAACATGGCGAAACCCCGTCTCTACTAAAAATACAAAATTAGCGGGACGTGGTGGCACATGCCTGTAATCCCAGCTACTTGGGAGGCTGAGGCAGGAGAATCGCTTGAACCCAGGAGGCAGAGGTTGCAGTGAGCCAAGATCGCACCACTGCATTCCAGCCTGGGCAACAGAGTGAAACTCCATCTCAAATAATAATAATAATAATAAAACCTGACCAGATGAACAAAGATGCTACAAACACAGAATGAGCTACTGTTGACTCCTTAATGCCCTGCAGGGCCCTTCATTTGTAGCTCCCCTCCAAATTACAAGCAAGAAATTCATTTGAAATTTGACAAAGACAAATGCAGACATCTGATTTTCCCCAGAGATTCAAAGTAATCAGCTTGGTTGAAAGCATAGTATTTCCCCTAGTGCATCAGGCCTGCAACTATGTTTGAGGTCCATTCAAGCCTGGAGAGGTTTTAACCAGCCCACAAAAATCTCACCAGCCTTTCTGTGTCACCGAGATTGATGCGTCCGATGCATTGGACCATCAGTTCCTTTAAAAATTCAGTTAGTTAGGCTGACACTTTTGCATACCTGTAGCTGAGTTCTCCGAGATACAAGGTCCTTTGAGGATTTCCTTGGACACTGCATATGACATCGCTAAAAATCAAATGCAAACTAATGTCCACAGCTTAAGGGTAAGTCTATGTGTGGTTTCTGTTACCTTCCTATCTTCTATTCCCCAAGCTGGTTTTATCCCTGTTGAATTACAACCTATACCTTCAGTTTACAGAATGATTACTGGGGGAGGGGCTGTGTATATGTACATGTATGTAATGCATGTATGCATGTAGATGTGTGTAATGAGGCAGAAGGAATATGAGGGAGGAGTCAGGGTTTCTGATCACCATCCTCATTCCCCACTCCAGCTGAGAACCCCTGGTTATAGTGACTCTGGTGTGAACAGGCCTGTATTTGGAGCCTGGCTTTGTAATTCATTGGCTGGTAAGCAAGTCAGCTAACTTTGTAGATCTCCTTCTCCTCTTCTACAAAATGTTGGTTGGAAATACATACCTCAGTGATTGTTGGGAAGATTGGATGGGATCCTTGACAAGTGCCTTTACACACTTATAAGCCTACATATGGTGTTCAATAAGTCTTTACAGTTTTTTTAATAATGTGTATTTTTTCTGACTATAGAAATAAAAATTATATAGTATGAAACAATACACAAAAATATAAAACAAAGAATAACTAACCACCCAGTGATAATACCTATTAATATTTAATGTATGTTCTCCCCAAGCTTTGTTCTGCCTGTTTTTGCTTAGTTAAAATCATACAGAACATAGGAATAGTAATTATTTTTTGAGTACTTACAATGCGCCAGAAACTGAACTTGATGCTTTACACATTTCATTTGATTAATTTTTACAGTCCTACTTAACAGGTGTTAGGACCCCCGTTTTATAGGTTTTTTTTTTTTTTTTTGAGACGGAGTCTTGCTCTGTCCCACAGGCTGGAGTGCAATGGCGTGATCTCAGCTCACTGCAACCTCCGCCTCCTGGGCTCAAGTGATTCTCCTGCCTCAGCAGCGGGGATTACAGGTGCCCACCACCACGTCCAGCTAATTTTTATATTTTTAGTAGAGATGGGGTTTCACCATGTTGGTCAGGCTAGTCTTGAACTCCTGACCTCGTGATCTGCCCACCTCGGCCTCCCAAAGTGCAGGGACTATAGGCGTGAGCCATTTTATAGATTCTTACCATCTTGAGAAGGGCTCTGTGCTTAGCCTGACTCCCTGGTGTGAAATTGAAATGCTTTCCTGTATTAAGCCAATCTCATACTCAACATCAGCCAAATTAACCACATATTAACAGAAGTCATATTAACAAAAGTCATATTAATGGAAGTCATATTAACAGAAGTCATATTAATGGAAGTCATATTAACAGAAATCATATTAATGGAAGTCATATTAACAGAAGTCATATTAATAGAAGTAGAATGCATGGGTTTGCTCTTGGCTTTTCCCTCCCAAAAGACTCTTAGCTGAAATTCTGCCTTTAGCCAGAATATGTACATAACTCTCGTGGAGGTGGGAATGATGGCTTCACAGTGATCCCTCTGCCTTACTACTCTCAACTATCTCATGACACTTCATTGACAGAACCAGTGTTTCTGTTTATAAGTGTATTCTAATCTTCAGAATGAGCTCTTAACACACACACACGTGCACATATGCACACATACACAAAGTTTGAGTCTGGCCAAGGGAATGTCCAGTTGGTGTGTTCTAGTTGTTTAGAATTGTGGGGAGCCCTGGAGGCCACATAGGATTTTTCACTTGAGATGTTTCTGCTCTCTTCTGATTCCCGGTTCACTGCAGAACTTAGAGCTGCGTAATGGTGTGTGGGGGGAGAAGTTATATATCAATTGAGTAGTATTACTATCATTAGGGTTGTGTATTCAGGAATGCTGGAATGACCCAGATATTCCTCCTCTAGTGAGGTTCCCCCAAGGGGACATACCTCAAGGTGAGAGCAAATGAGAAATAGGCATGCCACTTTCTTTTCAGCCAGGGCCCTTTCCTGCCAGCACAGGGAGACTCTGGTAAACATGCTGTAGCATGCGACTTAGGCTAAAAGCCTGAGTGAGGCCGCTGACTCTTTCTAGACCTAAATCTGACCAGTGGGATACTTTACAGGTCAAAAGGATGACTATGTTGCAAAGCCCACCTTAAATAACATTAGCTCCCATTTATGTAGTGTTTGAAGTGAGTCAGGCGCTTTACATGTACAAACTCATTTAACCCTCACAATAGTCCTGTGAGTCAAATACTATTATTATCCTCATTTTTAAATGAGGAAACTGAGGCATACACCAAGAATAAGATAGTTGTTATTCTCAACAAAGAGTTCCTGGATGGCATGGAGAGCTCCTGCCCACTGGTAAACGTGGCCTAACCCCCATTCTGACTTAATCAGAAGAAAACTAAGGTGGGGGTGGAGTCAGAGGGCAGGAGGGCAAACTTCTCCTCCCGCTCCACTTGCTGGAATGACCAAAGCAAAACCATGATCACAGTCCACAATGCTCATGTCCTTGTGCTGGTGGGCTGCCCTCATGCCCTGAGGGGTGCAAGGATGAGTGTGGTCCTGTGTCCGGAAATGGTGGGTTCTTGGTCTCACTGACTTAAAGAATGAAGCCGTGGACCCTCGCGGTGAGTGTTACCATTCTTAAAGGCAGCGTGTCCGGAGTTTGTTCCTTCTGATGTTCGGATGTGTTCGGAGTTTATTCCTTCTGGTGGGTTCGTGGTCTCGCTGGCTCAGGAGTGAAGCTGCAGACCTTCGCAGTGTTACAGCTCATAAAGGCAGTGTGGACCCAAAGAGTGAGCAGTAGCAAGATTTACCGCAAAGAGCAAAAGAACAAAGCTTCCACAGTGTGGACGGGGACCCCAGCGGGTTGCCACTGCAGGCTAGGATCTGGCCCCACCCACATCCTGCTGATTGGTCCATTTTACAGAGAGCTGATTGGTCCGTTTTGACAGGGTGCTGATTGGTGCGTTTACAATCCCTGAGCTAGACACAAGTTTTCCAAGTCCCCACCAGGGTAGCTAGATACAGAGTGTGGACACAAAGGTTCTCCAAGTCCCCACCAGAGTAGCTAGATACAGAGTGTTGATTGGTGCATTCACAAACCCTGAGCTATCCACAGGGTGCTGATTGGTGTGTTTACAAACCTTGAGCTAGATACAGAGTGCCGATTGGTGTATTTACAATCCCTTAGCTAGACATAAAGGTTCTCCAAGTCCCCACCAGACTCAGGAGCCCAGCTGGCTTCACCCAGTGGATCCTGCACTGGGCCACAGGTGGAGCTGCCTGCCAGTCCCGCGCCCTGCGCCCGCACTCCTCAGGGTGGATGGGACTGGGCGCCGTGGAGCAGGGGGCTGCGCTCGTCGGGGAGGCTGGTGCCGCGCAGGAGACCAGGGGGAGGTGGGGGGGAAGGCTCAGGCATGGCGGGGGCTGCAGGTCCCGAGCCCTGCCCCGCGGGGAGGCAGCTAAGGCCCGGCGAGAAATCGAGCACAGCAGCTGCTGGCCCAGGTGCTAAGCCCCTCACTGCCTGCGGCCATCCGGCCGGCCGGCCGGCCGCTCCGAGTGCGGGGCTCGCGGAATCCACGCCCACCTGGAGCTCTGCGCACGCGCCTGCAAGCGCTGCGCACAGTCCCGGTTCCCGCCTGCGCCTCTCCCTCCACACCTCCCTGCAAGCTAAGGAAGCCGGCTCCGGCCTTGGGCAGCCCAGAAAGGGGCTCCCACAGTGCAGCGGCGGGCTGAAGGGCTCCTCAAGCGCGGCCAGAGTGGGCGCCAAGGCGGAGGAGGCGCTGACATCGAGCGGGGGCTGTGAGGGCTGCCAGCATGCTGTCACCTCTCAGTCCCACTAGATCCCAAGAGGCAGCAGAGGCAGCTTCTGAAAAATAAAATAAGTGAGTAGGCACCCCACCCCACTCGCTCCCTTTCCCACGGCCCCACCCCCCTCTCCTGGTTCCATTTGGCCCACTCAGCTTCTTGCCCAAACTTCATTCTGAAGGCGTTGGCTCTCTCCATCAGGGTGAGGTCACCAAGCTTTGGGGTTACATGTATCTGCTTCAGGCCTGTCACTCACTAGTCCCTAGTGACCTTGGGAAGGTTAACCTCTGAGGGCCTCCATTTCCTCATCCTTAAAGTGGGAATAATCATACTTCCCGGCAAGAGCGCCAGAGGGCTTATGGGATGGCTGTTTGTAAAGCCCTTAGCACAGTGAAGCATAGCCAGCTGCTGAAATGTTGCTGATGGCATCTCAGCAGCCCTTCCAAGGGCACTTGTGCTCTAACTAAGGTCCCCTGAAAACCAAAGGCCATGGAGAATCCGGTGAGGCTGGTGCCAGAGCCCCAGGGTGCCAGCAGGGTGATGTTGGGGGCAGGCCAATGTCCCCAAGTCTCTGATTCATTCAGCCAAGGGCAGAGTTCTCTGCTCGTCTGCTTACTTGATGTTGAAGACTAACCACAGTCCGGTGAAAACAAGAGCAGAGCTAGGAACCAGACAGCTACTCCAAGGGACTTTCTAATGATACATAGCGAAGCATTTTGAAAAAAATTAGATGGTATCTCATTGAAACATTTCAAAAAATTTTAGGTATTAAAAACAAATGGTTCAGGTCACTTCCAAATAGAATAACTGATCGATAGCTTTTTATATAGGAAGAGAGTGCTGATTCCAGGAGAGAGAGGTTAGGTCAAACCCCCTAGTTTTGGCACAGGAAAATGGCTTGTCAGAGTAGCTTCTCAAACTATGATGCTGTGAAGACTCACTTAGGGATCTGGTTAAGATGCAGACTCTAGGCTGGGTGCGGTGGCTCACACCTGTAATCCCAGTACTTTGAGAGGCTGAGGTGGGTGGATCACTTGAGGTCAGGAGTTCATGACCAGCCTGGCCACCATGGTGAAACCCCGTCTCTACTAAAAATACAAAAATTAGCCGGGTGTGGTGGTGCACACCTGTAATCCCAGCTACTTGGGAGGCTAAGACAGGAGGATTGCTTGAACCTGGGAGGCAGAGGTTGCAGTGATCACATCACTGCACTCCAGCCTAGGCTGCAGAGCAAGACTCTGTCACCAAAAAAAAAAAAAAAAAAAAAAAAAACAGATTCTGCTTCAGCAGGTCGCGTGTTGTGCCTGAGAGTCTATATTTCTAACAAGCTTCCAAATGACATGCTGCTGGTCCGTGGGCCACACTTTGGGAATCAGTGTGGAAGAAAAAGCTACCTCTCTGCCCCGTGCTTATTTTGGTCTAAAAGGTCATTTGCTGCCGGCTCCTGCTCAGTGACATATAATCTCTGTTTGTACCTGTGTCCCTGAATTATCTTTCCTGTCCCCACAAATGGCCTGAAAATAACCCCACAATTGGAAAAATCGCCTGGCTGTCTCATGCAACCCTAACCCAAAGTTGTTTCAGGGAGAACATTAAGCCGCCTCCCAAGCTCGCCCTCTGCTGGTGAACAAGGGTCATTTTTTTCCTAAACCCTCACCCAGCCTTTCTTGCTGCACAAATGCTCTTTTTTTTTTTCCTTCCAATTAATACAGACAGAAAAGTCGCATGACCTATTCCAGAGGTTTATTGCACTGTTGTCGATTTTGGAGAATGTTTCCACTCTGTTCCTTAAAGTACACCCCTCAGAGGAGGTAGATAAATGTTTGACCAACACTGTCTGGCAACTCACGATATTACGAGTTCTCCGTGTTGCCTAAACATCCTCTTCTTGACTGAACTTTGTTCTCATCCCACCCCACACACTTTCTACAGTGGTGGCAAGCCTTCATTTACTCACAGCTCGAATGTGGCAAGGTCAGGGGGAGTAATGGTTTCCTCTGATCCAGGGTTGGAGGAGGATGCAAAGTAAGCATGTCCCAGAGACAAAAGAACATTTAAGAGAAGGATATGGAGATGGGGAGACTCATAACACAGATCATACCACCATCACTCATTCATTAAAACATTTCTTCATCACCTACTGTGTGCAAGACTTGGGACTAGGAGCAGAGAATTCTTAATCCCTGCACACGGGGAACCTAAGCCTCATAGAGGAAATAAGCGTAACAGTGAATCGTTAGTGAGTGTCTGCTGTATGCCAAGGAGCATACGTATGTTACCTTATTTAATTTTATTTCATCCTCACAGCAATCCTATGATCATCCTCATTGTATGAATGAGAAGACTCAGATGCAGAGAAGTTGAGTCAGACTTCTAGTTAATGAGGAAGTCAGTTTAAATGAACAATATGTAAGTCTGGCACAGTGGCATGTGTGTGTAGCCCCAGCTACTCCGGAAGCTGAGGCAAGAGGATCACTTGAGTTCAGGAGTTCAAGACTGTATAGTGCACTATAATTATGCCATGAATAGCCATTGCACTCCAGCCTGGGCATCAGAGCGAGACCCCATCTCTTACAAAAGAAAAGAAAATAAAAACTTTAAAGAACAATTTGTTATTATCTCTCGTGGTTCTGGAAGTTATGGGGCTCAGCGGGCTGGTTCTCACTTGGGGTTCCTTATGCAATTGCACTCAGACAGTGGCTGGGGCTGAGATCCATGTCTGGAGCCAGGGCTGGGATATCTAAAACAGTTGGGGGCTGGTAGGGCATCTCCGTCCACATGGCCTCTCCACATGGCTAACTTGGGCTTCCTCTCAGCCTGGCAGTCTCAGGATAGTTGGACATCTTAGATGGCAGCGGACTCCCCACTGCAGCAAGTGTTCCACAAAACCAGACAGAAACTGCAAACTTTCTTGTGACCTAGACTCTAAAAGCATGGACATTATTTCCGCTACAGTCTGTTGGTCAAAATAGTTACAGGTCAGATTCAAGGTGTTTCTGTGTCTCAGTGGGAGAGTAGCTTACAAGTAAAGTGAGATAACGAATTGATGAAGCCCATCCTGGAGACAAGTCATGACACCAGGGTTTGACCCTAAGCAGCCTGATTCCAGCCTCTGTGTGCTAAAGCATTATGCCCCACTCACCTGACACAGTACAGGCACAGCCACAGAATGCCACCTGTGGCTGTTATATCACGGTGGCTTGAAGGAGAAGTGATTAGCTGTGCCTCAGGTGGTCAGGAAAGGCTTCACATTAGAGGAAACACCCCCTCACACATACATACTCCTTTCTTCTCAGTGCAGAAGAAGACAGACAGTGGCTGCAGTGGGTGGCATATACTCGTCTGCATCACGTGAGGTGGCCTAAAAGCTGAGGGCAAGAGACAGCTCTGAGGCAGTGTGTAGAAGGGAACTGACCTGGAAGGGGGGAGCTATGGAGTCCAGTCCCAGCTGCACCATAGTGTAATGCTGGGACCTTGAAGGGAACCAGAAGGCCAAGAAAGGAAAAACCAGAGGCCCTGGGCCTTTCCAGAACATCAGCAGGGTGAGGTTTCTGACTGTGTTGTGCTCCACTCCCATCTCCAGATTGGAGACCCACAGTTGGTGATCTGTATGGACTGCTCGGCAGACACCATGACCAACCGCCTTCTCCAAAGGAGCCGGAGCAGCCTGCCTGTGGACGACACCACCAAGACCATCGCCAAGCGCCTAGAAGCCTACTACCGAGCGTCCATCCCCGTGATCGCCTACTACGAGACAAAAACACAGCTACACAAGGCGAGTCACTTCACTTTCTCCTCTGAAATGAGCCGCTTACCTTTTTTTTTTTTTTCCAAGAAAAGAGAAAAAGCTGAGAACATTTTAGTTAAGGGATCTGGGAATTAGAACTCTGTGCAGCTGCAGCACTGGGGCCAAAAGGCCCAGCACAGTGGCTTATGCCTGTAATCCCAACACTGTGGGAAGTCAAGGCGGGTGTATTGCTTGAGCCCAGGAGTTCAAGACCAGCCTAAGCAACATAGTGAGACCCCTGCCTCTGCAAAAAATTAGCTGGGTATGGTGGCACATGCCTATAATCCCAGCTACTCAAGAGGCTGACGTGGGAGGATTGCTTGAGCCCCAGAGGTGGAGGCTGTAGTGAGCTGAGATTGTGCCACTACACTCCAGCCTGGGCAACAGAGCAAGACCCTGTCTCAAAGAAAACAACAACAAGAATTTGGACCAAATTATGAATCCCTTACTCTTCACTTCTATTTCAATCAAAATTAAATATCTGTCGTCATATAGACCATAAAAAGGTGGTCATATAATTTTCACAGATCCCCTTATAGTTGCTGAAAACAACTCCTTTTTCCCAAAAAAGAGAGAGAGGGAGAGAGGAAGGGAAGAAGGCAGGGAGGGAGGGAGGCATAGATGAGACGTAGGCTCTGCCACTGACTCTGGACTGTGAGATTATTCACTAGAGCTAAGATTCAATGACTTTGAATTTCTATAATTTTACATCGTTCACAATTGGCTCTTGGCTCCTTTGCCTCAATTTCTTGTGATAACCAACATTTTTAGAAGAAGCTGCATATGGGGCCAGGAGAGCAGGTAATTAAGTAAAACAATGAAGATAGTGTGAGGAAATGAGTGTATCAACCTAGTGATCATGAGCTCTCTGCTGAGTCACCATCAGTTTTATGAATTTGGGAAAACTGCCCAGTCCTCATCCTTCCACTCATCCCATAACTATGTATCAGGAACCCATAGTCCATCAATTGCACTAGTGGTTTGGATGCAAATAAATAAGATTCTTGAATCCTTGCAAAGCTTAGGGTTTCAGTAGGAGAGAGAGACAAACGTGTGATCACACAATGAGATCAAAGCAAGCACAGAATGTGTGGCAAGGGCCCTTTCCTCCAGTGTAAGGGGAAAGGAAAGGATCCAGGAAGGTGGCCTGAGGAGGACTCGGCTGAGTCTCTGAAGCGGGGGTGCACGCCACACCAGAGAAGCCCCAAGTGGAGAAGGTCAGGAAAACCAAGTAACTCCACGAGGCTGTGACATAAAGTGCCAAGGAAAAGAGGGTTAAGAGATGGAGATGGAGAGGCAAGCAAGGACTAGATCAAGATGGATCATATGTAGGAGCAAATAATTGTCCTCTGAGTGATGGGAACTACCAAAGGGGCAGGAATAATCAGGATTTCAATCTAGAAAGCTCAATCCATCATCCTTATGGGGAATGGATGCAAGAAGGTAAGGCTAGGAGACCACTGAGAGGCTAGAACAGTATCCAGGAACAAATCCATAAGGATGACAGAGTGAGCTTTTGTCCAGGAACAAAATCCTGAGTACTCGAACTGGAGAAGGGAGAGTGGGATCTCTTGCTGTTCACAGGATAAGAGACATCATCAATAAATAACAAACTTGTCTCTGAGGAAGCTACATTACTGATTCCTTGGGGGAAAACCATTGATAATGAATTCTTATCTTCTAACTCTGTTAATGGTCCGCTTTCCAGAATCCTAAGAAACACTGGGTATAGAAGTCTGAAAGATGCCTCTGCATTTAACTGAGTGTCAAATATGTGGCATGAGAGACATAATCCCCTACTTCCACATCCATGGCCATTGCTAGTTGATCCCAGCACTGTTTCTCAGTCAGCAGGTGTGGCCTGAGAATGTTTGTCAACACAGCACTCCAGGCAGCTACTGCCAATTAATAGGACTTGATGTGCAACCTGAGACTTATTTGTTGTGCTTTATATAACCTCTGGCTGCCACATTTTAAAAATAAAGACTTCGATCTTTAATAACAGGGCCAAGTGCAATGGCTCACACCCGTTATCCCAGTTCTTTGGGAGGCCAAGACAGGAGGATTACTTGAGTCCAGGAGTTTGAAGACCAGCCTAGGCAACATTTCGAGACCCTGTCTCTCCAAAAAATGCAAAAATTAACTGGACTTGGTGGTATATGCCTGCAGTCCCAGCTACTTGGGAGACTGAAATGGGAGGATCACTTGAGCCTGGGAGGTCAAGGCTGCAGTTTGCCATGATCGCACCACTGCACTCCAGCCTGGGCAACAGAGCAAGACTGTCTCTCAAAAAAAAACAACAACAACAACAAAAAAAAAAAACATAAACAAAAGTGTTTTTGTTATATAAGAGCAATGTCTTAAGAATTCAGGGCTGCAAAGGCCTTTCCAAAATTAGATTGTCTAGTGATTTCCACCTTTTGAGCAGCCTGGAACATTAAAAAAAAAAAAAATCCTGGTGTGGTGGCGCGTGCCTGTAATCCCAGCTACTCAGGATGCTAAGGCAGAAGAATTGCTTGAACCCAGGAGACAGAGGTTGCAGTGAGCTGAAATCACACCACTGCACTCCAGCCTGGGTGACAGAGAGTCCCTGTCTCAAAAAATAAAAAAAAAAATTAAAAAAAAGAAAGGTATTTCTTCCACTTTTAAGATTTGTAAAGGTGGGAAAATTCCTAAGTAATTCAGGATTTAACCACTTTTAGAGTTGGAAAATCCCTCTTAGCTCTCTGTTGTATTATTCCAACCTGAATTCTACAAACTCACAAATGACTGCTCGTGAGTACAGGGTTGAGTTCTCAGACAAATCTGATTTCTGGAATCTTCCTTAGAGCTTTCTAAGTTAGTGGTGTCCAAAAGACCAGATTACAACACATTTAAAGATCTTCATTGGCTTTTATTCATGATTCTAGAATTGGGCAGACCTCAGGACCAGAAAAATGTTTGAAGAATAAGCCACATGGTCAAGCAATATTTATGTTTAGAAAACAGAAGTGAGGAACTGAGGTTAATTAGTTACAGCCTTATGTGAATCAGCTGGCTACCTACTATTGACTTAAGCTCAGCTGCTGGAACTACCAAAACTCAGCCATCTGTTACAGTGTGTACATCCAAGTTGTTTGTTTCATTTAGCACGGATGACTCCACGTTGGTTCGGCCTGTTGGGCCCAGAACGGGAGCCTAGTCCAAACCAATGGCCTCCTACAAATTTTATTTAATGGTGGAAAAGAGGTTTGCAGTCCCCTGGCTCATCTCTTCAACTTCCCCTGCATTTTGGAGATGCTGGCTGCTGGGTGCGTGGTGAGGTAACATTATGATCCACTGCACAAATATGTAAAACCTCTCCAGCCCGGACTGCAGAGCAGCGTGAGCTTCAGCCTTCAGGACTCCCAGAGAGTCTCAGGGAGGCTGCTTCATCCCACTGCCCCTGCCCAGGGCCATCCCCTACCCACACAGCTGCAAAGATGAACAGTCCTCCCTACACACCTAGCATAGAAACAGTGTGTGCTGGGCCCAGGAAGCTGAGATTTGTCTGCAGGTACCCGTGGGGTTTGCCAGTAGCTAGGGTGACAAGAGCGGGGACTGCAGGAGAAGCAGGGGAGGGGACAGGATTGTTTGCCGCTGGAGAGGGAGAAAGCCACTGGCCCACTCTGTTGTCTGGCCTCTGGGTTTTTGCCCAGTCCTCCTGCATCAGCTTAATCTCCCTTGGTTCCTAAGTAACAGCTTGTGGCCTGCTCCTGTGATGCTGTTTGGATTGTTTGCCCCTCCTCCCTGTTGTTTTACTGGACCCAAGACAGGGCTGCTCACCCAAGAGGACCTCTGGGTCACTTAAGGAGCTTTCTTAAAACTAGGTGGGGCTGGTGAATGCACTTCAAGAAAGCAAGTGAGATGAATCAGCAGTTCTGTGAGATTTATTTAGGAATTAAAGCCACAGGGGGGGCCAACCCATGCAGCCCACAAATAGGCCACAAGCACCGCCCTCAGGCCTCTACCCAGCAATGCTGACATTGAACCCATCATCTGACACCCTCCATCCCCCACTCCATGACAAGTCAGCCCTTTGGCCACCAGCTAGCTAAGGAAAGTGCAGCAAAATTTCAAACAAAGATAATTTTTAAAGCAAAGCAGAATTTATACAGCCACTCCCTTATTCTTTATGTCATCATAATGCCATCCTTGTACAATAAAGTTAGAACTTCTTGTAACGTGCACACCAGAGATGGAAGTACATGTGATACAGGTGTATCCCTTTCTGCCTGTTTTTCTCCCTCTCATAAAGCAGAGGTTTGCCCTGCATCTGAGAAAGAATTAGAACAGAACTTTCCTCCATTTCATTCCCCACCTCACTACACTTGGGCCAGGCAGCGTTCGCCAGTCATGGCACTTCCTACCAAGTCTGAATGCTGTCTCAGAAACTTGCTCAACACAGCCGTATGGACCATCACCCCCAACTGACTAGAATTAGCCTACAAGAAGAAGTTTTCTTTCACCTTAGTGAGATAATTTATTATGGCCATAAGTAACTGAAATGTAGCATTTGGGGATGAAAAGCACAGTTACCAGCCAAAGACTCCCTGGGGGATGGCGGGGGGAATATGGGCCTGTGCATCAGAAAGCCCCAGGCACACTTTCATCAACTTCGGTGAGTCATTTTACTGCTTCACCTCTCAGTTCTTCTTCCTAAAGTGGATAGAACACGATCTACTAGAATTGACCAAGTCTATTATTATAAAAGTAACACATACTTGCTTTATAAAATATAGAAAACTGGTCAGGTGTGGTGGCACATGTCTATAATCACAGCAGTTTGGGAAGCCAAGGAGAGTGTGGGTCACTGGAGCTTAGGAGTTTTTTTTTGTTTGTTTCTTTTTTTTTTAGAGATGGAGTCTCGCTCTGTCACCCAGGCTGGAATGCAATGGCGCAATCTTGGCTCACTGCAACCTCCACCTCCTGGGTTCAAGCCATTCTTCTGCCTCAGCCTCATGAGTAGCTGGGATTACAGGCACCCACCACCACACCCAGCTAATGTTTTGTATTTTTATTAGAGATGGGGTTTCTCTTATGTTGGCCAGGCTGGTCTCGAACTCCTGACCTTGTGATCTGCCTGCCTTGGCCTCCCAAGGTGCTGGGATTACAGGCGTGAGCTACCACGCCCAGCCAGGAGCCTAGGAGTTCTTGACTATCTTGGGCAACATGGCAAAACCCATCTCTACAAAAAATACAAAAGTTAGCCAGGCGTGGTGGAACACATCTGTGGTCACAGCCACTCAGGGGACTAAGGTGGGAGGATTATTTGAGCCCAGGAGGTTGAGGCTGCAGTGAACCAAGATAGTGCCACTGCACTCAACTGGCGAGATCCTGTTTCCAAAAAAAGAAAAAAGAAACAAAGAAAATGTAGAAAACTAGGTAGTCCCACCACTCAGAGGCAAACATTGTGGGGCGTTTTCACCACATCTTTTTGCTGTGAATTTTAAAAACATGATTGTGATTGTAGGTAATACTGAGCCAGACTCTGTGGTTGTAGGTAGCAGGTGCCAACTCCCGCTGGCCTAACCTGAAACACAGAACTTCATTATAAGGTTAGAAGACTCAAGGCTGAGGCACAGCAGGCCCTAGAAGGCGTGTGGGATCAGGCCTAAAAGGCTCACAGTGCTCCCTACTGCTTCACAAACACCGTTTCCTTCTCTCTAAGCTGGGTTTTTTTTCTTTCTCTGGCTTATAAGCCAGAATATGCCCACCTGACAGCTTTCGCATTTGCACATTACCACGGCACTCTGATTCCCAGCTCCAGATTCCTGAGAGAAATGATGTGGTTGGCCTTGCTTTGCTCAGGGTCTCCTTGGCTCTCTTAGCTGTGGACAGGCAGCTGGGGTCACAGGGGGCTTTTTTATTTTTTTCTGTACTTTATTGAGTGCATATGGTATGTGTGGGACACGACACTTGGTGCTGGGGACACAGCAGTCAACGTGACAAAGCCCCTCACTGAAAAGAGAAAAACAGGCCAGGCACGGTGGCTCACACCTGTAATCCCAGCCCTTTGGGAGGCCAAAGCAGGCAGATCACAAGGTCGGCAGTTCGAGACCAGCCTGGCCAACATGGCAAATGTCTCTACTAAAAATATAAAAATTCGCTAGACGTGGTGGTGCGCATATGTAATCCCAGCTACTGAGGAGGCTGAGGCACGAGAATTACTTGAACCTGGGAGGCGGAGGTTGCGGTAAGCCAAGATCACACCACTGCACTCTGGCCTGGATGACAAAACGAGACTCGGTCTCAAAAAAAAAGAGCAAAACCGTATACAAGAAAATAAAGCAACCACTAACAAGTTCTGTGGATAAAACAAAACAGAATGCATTGTTGGGAGTGAGCACTGTGGGCAGCTGTTTGGAAAGTCTGAGGAGGTAGCATTTGAATTAGGACCTGACTGATATAAACATGGTTACCTGGGACTCTTCCCTGTGAAGCAGATGGAGGACAAGGAATACCCAGAGAGAAGGGCTCGTTGTGAGCTGAGAGAAACCACAGAAATAGCTATCTCAAGTGGCATAGGCAGAATTGTATCAAATGATATTTAAAGCCTCTTTTTTTCCTAAGTATAAGTAACAACTACACATTGTTTAAAAAAGAAACAAACTAGAAAATTTAAGACTATAAAGGTAAACATTAAAATTATTGAGAATTATTCCACCCAAAGATAATCACCAATGAACATTATGATATATTTCCGTACATTTTGGTTTTTTTCCATTTTTATATACATTTTGTTCATGGCATAATTAGCCCAGAAACACCCCAGGCCATAGATGAAGAGGGCCTGGTAACAGATTATTTCTGTCCCTGCGTTATTTGCTACTCTTAACTGATTAAAAAAATAAAAAGAGAGCCCAGTGACTCATTAAACATGAGTTTTGCAGACAGACAATCAAGTTCCTTGGCAACTCTGCTTTTGTAGAGGAGATAATAAGCTTTTTTCCTCAGCAATTCTGCTGCTGCAG
Organism: Homo sapiens; assembly: GCF_000001405.40. Classification (NCBI taxonomy): domain Eukaryota; kingdom Metazoa; phylum Chordata; class Mammalia; order Primates; family Hominidae; genus Homo; species Homo sapiens. Next base: position 77,543,043 of record NC_000001.11, read on the forward strand.
TGTCTCAACTTTGTAAATAGTTTGACCGTTTCCATTAGGTCCTGAAATGCAATGGTCCACATTGTTCTGGTCACCATGCTGTCAGGAGAAGCCCTATGAATTGAGGCAAGAAGAGTGAGAAGTTTCTGCAGTTTCTGGTATTACTGAGGAAAGTGGAAGCAGAAGGTACCATAAGGTCACATTTCACCGCTTGGTTGCAAAATCTACTGGGTAATTCATAACTGACTGGATCCCCAAGTTTGGAGTCTAACACAAGTAAAGGAAAACCCAAAATTACTTGTATACCTTGAATTCTCTGTACTAAATTCTTAATTTTGATTCTTCTTTCAGTTGGCTAAAGTAACTCAACTAATTTTGAGTTCAATTTCTCATTGAATATCTGAGAATGCCATTATAGTGGCTTCACACACAAATGACAGTTTGACTGGACATAATTTAAGTCATAATAATTATTTTTCTACCAAAAGTCAGTAAACATTGCTCTATTTTTTTTTTATTGTTTGTTTTGAGACAGGGTCTCTCTGTGTTGCCTAGTCGGGTTTGCAGTGGTGCAATTACGGCTCATTGCAGCCTCAACTTCCCTGGGCCCAAGTAATACTCCCACTTCAGCCTCTCAAGTAGCTGGGACCATAGACATGAACCACTGGCGATAGGGAGCAGTCCAAGTTTTCAGAATTCTTGTGACTATTCTCATTTATGGGGGTCTTCAGGAGTATTTTCGTAGGAAGCTGGGAAGCTGTATTGGGATGCTGGCCAGATTCCATGCGAGGTAAGAGCAGGGACAATGGAGGGAATATTTTCCATCTCCGGTTAGTTGAATCTGCAGGTGCAGAACTTTGGATACAGAGAGTAGACTGTATATATTTATGTGTGTATGTGAGAGTACACACACACACACACACACACAGTCATGCATCATTTAACAGTAAGGATACGATCTGAGAAATGCATCATTAAGCAATTTTGTCATTGTGCAAACATCAGAGAGTGTACTAACACAAACCTAGATGGTATAGCCTACTACACACGACAGCCTGTCACTGTATTGAATACTGTGGGAATTGTAAGACAATGGTAACCATTTGTGTATCTAAACATATCAAAATATGGCAAAGATACAGTAAGAATACAGAATAAAAAATTTCAGTGGTAAACTTGCTGTATAGAGTGTTTACCATGAATCCAGCTTTCAGGACTGGAAGGTGCTCTGGATGAGTCACTGAGTGAATGTGAAGGCCTAGGATGTTACTGTATACTACTGTAGGCTTTATAAATGCTGTACAGTTAGGCTATGCTACATTTGTAAAATATTTTTCTTTCTTCAATAATAACTTTGGCTTACTATAACCTTTTTACTTTATAAGCTTTTAAAATTTTTTCACTTTTGACCGTTTCATAGAACTTAGTTTAAAACACAAACACATTGTACAGACGTACATAAATATTTTTTCTTTATATCCTTATTCTATGTTTTTTTCTATTTTAAAAAAAGTCTTTTTTTTTTTACTTTTTAAGCTTTTTTTCTTAAAAACTGAGATGGAGACACACACATTCGCCTAGGCCTGCCTACACAGGGTTAGAATCATCATGCCACTGTCTTTACCTCCGTATCTTGCCCACTGGAAGGTCTTCAGGGGCAGTAACATGCATGGAGCTGTCGTCTGCTTTGATAACAAGGCCTTTTTCTGGAACATTCCTGAAGGACCTGCCTGAGGCTGTTTGACAGTTAGCTCTTTTTTAACAAGTAGAAAAAATGCACTCTGAAATAATAATTGAAAGTATAATATAGGAAATACATAAACCAGAAACATAGTCATTTATTGTCATTATCAAGCATTGCGTACTTTACGTGATTGTACGTGCTATACTTTTCCAACACCGGCAGCACAGTGGATTTCTTTACACCAGCATCACCACAAACATGTGAGTAATCCATTGCGCTGTGACATTGTGATGGCTACCACATCACAAGGCGCTGGAAAATTTTCAGCTTCATTATAATCTTATGAGACTGCCATTGTATAAGCAGTCTGTCATTGACCAAAACATTGTTATCAGTGCATGACTATATATACCCACACGCCCGCAATTAACAATGCCCTTCACAACCTTGCCTCCCTCAAGTAACCAATGTGAACAGCTTATTGTGTATCCTTCCACCTCTCCTCACTTCCTCCTTTTCCTCCTCCTTCTGTTCTCTTTCTCTCTTTCTTTTCTTCTTTCCTCCAGCCCCTCATTCTTTCTCTCTGAAATCAAACTTTTTACTACAGACACACACACACAACCATGGTGGGGGAGGGCTGATTTCATGCAAATACTCCCAAGCTGTACGCATTTCTGTGAAACACCTCCAGGTTAACACATCACAATATTGTTTTCTTTTTAATAGCTATATAATATGCCACAATATAGATATTCTACAGTTTATTCAACTAGGTTGTTTCTAGTTCAGTTTGGTTGTTTTTACCTACTACTAACAACGATGCAGTGGAAAGACATGCTTAATTAGATTTTTTTCTAGTAGGAGCGACTGCTGAGCTATTTTAAGCAAAGGCTGATTTTTTTTAACTCATTCATTTCTACTCCCCTGGCTCTCCATGTTGCCCTGGGAAGAGTTCTTTGAAGTATAACAAGTAAAACAAGGAGCTTTGGAATTTCCCAGCTCCTTGATGCTTAGCCTCTTTTAGCAGTGCCCCACCTTCACTGGGGGTGCCTATCAGTTTCAAGTCTGAAGCGTCCCTGCATTTCATCTGGGCCTGCCTTGGTTGACAACTAGAAACCTAGATTTAGATACAGCCCTCCCTCCTGCTGGTGCAGTGAAGAGAAAGGTGTGCCTGAAGGAGAGAGTGACTTAGAGGAACCCTAAGGTTCTATCCTCTCACTTGACAAATGAAGCATAAGTCTTCCATCTGGCTCTGAGAGACTTAAGAGACTTTTTCTTTATGACTCTGCTTAAAATAGTCTTCTCTCCACCCCCTTTCCTTCCTGATTGTCAGACCTTCACCAGATTCCCGCAAAGACGTTTTGATTCGATGCAATACTGTTTGCACCCCTGCGGTCCTGCTGAAATGAGTTGTGCTTGCTGCGTGTGTGTCTCCTCCCCAAACAGCAAGCAGAAGAGAATTCCAGGCCCTTTTGACTCATCTGTACACACTCTTGATTTCTTCCTCTGTGGTTGCTATAATCACATAGCAGATTTTGCCTTTGCCCATGTTAGGGCACCCCCTTCACTGAGGTCCACTTTAACTCAGAACCCCTCCCAGAGTCACTGACATGAATTCTACCAGCAAAGAATTGGCACCATTCTATGTAAGGTCTTTGACATGCTCAGCAGACATTTACTGGGCATCTCTAAGGTCCAAGGCATGCCACTTAATGTTGGGAATTCATAGGAAAAAGACATGTGCTTGTAATCCCAGCACTTTGGGAGGCCGAGGAGGGCAGATCTCTTGAGGTCAGGAGTTTGAGACCAGTGTGGCCAACATGGTGAAACTCCATCTCTACTAACATTACAAAAATTAGATGGGTGTGGTGGTGTGCGTCTGTAATCCCAGCTACTCGGGAGGCTGAGGCACAAGAATTGTTTGAACCCATGAGGCAGAGGCTGCAGTGAGCTGAGATCGCGCCACTGCACTCCAGCCTGAGCGACAGTGTGAGACTCTGTCTCTACACAAAACAAAACAAAAAAGACTTGTGAAACTCTGTGACACATGAAACCCCAGCGAAGTAGTAGGTGCCATAATAGGATCTACAGAATGCTCCAGGCCTTTGGGGCACAGAGCTCGGGCCTGGGAAGGCAAGTAAATGCTTCAGAGAAAAGAGGACATTTGAGCTGGGTCCTAAAGGATGAAGAGAAACTCAAGCCAGATGAAGGAGAAGGAACAAAGCCACTGACACGTGAAAGCGCCAGGAATGCTGGCCCAGATGAAGTGCCAAATAGATGAATTAAAGTCGTGGCAGATGAGACTAAAGAGCAAGATTGAAGCAAGTGGTGAAGGGCTTTGAATCCATTCATTTATTCATTCTTCCTGCATTCAGTAAATTTGCTAGATCAGCACTGTCAAAAGAAATAGAATGTGGGCCACATGTATAATTTAAACTTTTATAGTAGTCACATAAACAAAAGTAAAAAGAAACAGGTGAAATTAATTTAACAATATATTTTATTTAACTATTTAACCTAATATATCCTAAGTATCATTTCAACATGTAATCAATATAAAGTTCTCTTTTTTTTTTTTTTTTTTTTTGAGACAGAGTCTCACTCTGTCACCAGGCTGGAGTGCAGTGGCACGATCTCAGCTCACTGCAACCTCCGCCTCCTGGGTTCAAGTGATTCTCCTGCCTCAGCCTCCCAGGTAGCTGGAAGTACAGGTGTGTGCCACCATGTGTGGCTAATTTTTGTATTTTTAGTAGAGACGGGGTTTCGCCATGTTGGCCATGATGGTCTCAATCTCTTAACCTCTTGATCTGCCCGCCTCGGCCTCTCAAAGTGCTGGGATTACAGACATGAGCCACTGTACCCAGCCATAAAATTCTTAATGAAATATTTTTACATTTTTTTTATGAACTATGTATTCAAAATCTGGTACTTAGGGCTTTACCTCAAATTTAGTTGCTAAGTTTCCATAAAAAATACTGGAACTATATTTATATTTCATAAAATTTACAGTTGAAAAGTAGATTTCACATACCCAAGTCATTCCAAATATAGTTCTTAATTTTCCAAAAATTGGATCAAATGCCAGGTTTAAATTTTAGATTAATTTTAATTAAACAGTATTAAAAATCAGTTCCTTTCTTGTGCTAGTCAGATTTCAAGTGCCCAGAAACCACGTGTGGCTAGGGGCTACCATATTGCATAGTTCTAGACTACCCAAGGATGTTTGGACTGAATACTGAAAGTACTCAGTTCTAGGAGGGAAGCACTGAGTAACTTTAAACAGGAAAATGATTGAGCAGGTGTTTTAGAGAGGTCATTTTTAGAAAGGATGATTTTTTTTCATATCTGCTAAAAGATGTTATTCAAAACTTTAGGCAGAATGGAGAGGAAGAGAAAAGGAAAAACAGTTACTTAAAACGTTTAAGTGGACAGACTGCACGTACTATGGGAAGTCCTATTTATAGACAGGCCATTAATGTGCTGATTATAAGTCATCCTTATATTTTTGCTGAAGTTTGTCCTTAAATCTCTCTACAGTCAATGTATATATAGTCCTCCTTCTTTCTATGGCTTTGATAACGAGGAGAACTGTGTGGCCTGACTGGATATGTGAACTGGATGACCCCCATGAGCAGTCTTTTACATAACCCCAACTTTTGAAAACTGCATTTGATGATTTTCCCCAGATCATGCCCAGGTTCTGCACACTGAGGTCTACCTTGCTGAGCCGCTGCTGTTATCCTCTGGCAGTGAGGGATCCCTGTGGTGTGAGGCTGTGTCTTGTTTAACAGGGGACAAGATTAGAAAAGGAAGGTGCTGGCACACAGACCGTGATCCTAAACCATGCTGTAACAGCTTGGCTTTGTCCCAGAGGTTCCATGGTGCCAATACATGAAAAATAAAATGAAACTCAAGCAATGGTTTCAACTGTCTGGGAAAATTCAGGAAAAACACAACTAGACATAGGCAATGTTTGGACCAGCCAACTGTTTTATGATTTACAAATCCATGGAACTAAAGAGGAAGAGTAAACAAAATGTGTAATTCCCAAAGCAGTGTAATTGCTTTCCTCATTTAGTCATATGTTCTGTTGACTGTTGGGTAGAAATATTATCACTGACTGCTCTACTTTTCCTTCAAGAAGTCAGGTAAAAGCTCAGAAATTTACTATTTCCTGTTCACTTGCTTTTAGCTTTTTTTTTTTTTTTTTTTTTGAGACTGAGTTTCATTCTGTCACTCTGCTCACTGCAACCTCCGCCTCTCGGGGTCAAGCGATTCTCCTGCCTTAGCCTCCCGAGTAGCAGGAATTACAGGTACCTGCCACCACACCCGTCTACTTTTTGTATTTTTAGTAGAGACTGGGTTTCACCATGTTGGCCAGGCTGGTCTTGAACTCCTGACCTCAGGTGATCCGCCCTCCTCGGCCTCCCAAAGTCCTGGGATTACAGGCATGAGCCACCGTGCCTGGCCTGCTTTTAGCTTTTTAATAAAATAATATTTTGCTACACTGGTCAGAACATCACTTACTGTGGGATTTTTATATCATGTCTCAGACCAAAAATGGTAAATTCTTTTTTTTATGTTTATTTCTTCCTTAAAACTTTTAACTTTTGTGGGTACATATTGGGTGTATATATTTATGGGGTACGTAAGCTACTTTGATACAGGCATGCAGTATGTTAGGATCACGTCAGGGTAAATGAGGTATCTATCACCTCAAGCGTTTGTCCTTTCTTTGTGTTATAGATAATCCGATTATAGTCTTTTAGTTATTTTTAAGTGTACAATAAGTTATTGTTGACTAGAGTTACCCTCTTGTGCTATCAAATACTAGATCACATTCATTCTATCTACCTAAATTTTTGTATCCATTAGCCATTCCCACTTCCCCCTCTCCCTTCCCAGACACTGGTAACTATCAATCTACTATCTGTCTCCATGAGTTCAATTGCTTTAATATTTAGCTCTCAGAAATAAGTGAGAACATTCGAAGTCTGTCTTTCTGTGCCTGGCTTATTTCACTTAACATGACTTCCAGTTCCATACATGTTGTTGCAAATGACAGGATCTCATTCTTTCTTATAGCTGAATAGTACTCCATCATGTATGTGTACCACATTTTCTTTTTTCTTTTTTTGAGACAGGATCTCACTCTTTCACCCAGGCTGGAGTATAGTGGCACAATCATGGCTCACTGCAGCCTCAACCTCCTAGGCTCAAGTGACCCTCCCACCTCAGCCTCTTTTATTTATTTATTTTTTTTTTTTAAGGGACAAGGTCTTACCCTGTTGCCCAGGCTGGAGTGAGTGCAGTAGCTCCATCACAGCTCATTTTAGCCTTGAACTCCTGGCCTCAAGCCATCGTTCACCTCAGCCTCTCCAGTAGCTAGGACTACTGGCATGTGCCTAGCTAATTTTTTTATTTTTGTAGAGACACTGTATTTCCCAAGCTGGTCTCGAGCTCCTGGGCTGAAGCAATCCTCCTACCTCAGCCTCCTAAAGCATGGGCAGTTTACAGGCGTGAGCCATTCCATCCAGCTGGTAAATTCTTGAAGTCAGAAGCAAATCTACTTACCTAGTTTCTAACTAAATTAAATACATTAAGACCTCATACATTCTGATTTTGCTGACTCAGAATTGCAGATCTTTCGGAGAAAGGTCACGATGAAACTTACTTTTGACTGTTCATGATAAAAGAGGGTTACTATAAATTAATATTATAATAATTGATTATAGAGGAAACACACCCTATATTGCAGGACGTATTACTTTTAAGTTTACACAATTACTGAGGAAGTCTCATTCACAGAAAACAGTCAGTAAGCTGATTGTGCAGGATTGTTCTCTGTTTGCTAAGGACATTAAACACCAGCACCCTTATAAGCTAACTGGTTTAAATTTGCTAAAGCTCTAAGCACGAAGAAAAGTTCCTGTAACTTTGAAAGCATTTAGTAAATTGGTTCTTTTCCATTTCTTTTGAGTTGCAGTTATATACAAAAAGATAAATGCCACTTATTCTCTTAAAATACTCTCCACATGGGAATTAGATGAGCAAAGAGAATCTACTTTGAGACTTAGGAAGAGTCGAGCTAACCTGTAGAATGAAAGGAGAAATTTGGAGAGTAGATAAAAGGTTTTGTTCCCACCCAATTCAACTGGGCTCTCTTTTGCTCCTTAAAAATACACTTCAGGCCAGGGGCAGTGGCTCCCACCTGTAATTCCAGCACTTTGGGAGGCCAAGGCAGGCAGATCACCTGAGGTCAGGAGTTTGAGACCAGCCTGGCCAACATGGTGAAACCCCGTCTCTACTAAAAATACAAAAATTAGCTGGACGTGGTGGCACATGCCTGTAATTCCAGCTACTCGGGAGGCTGAGGCAGAAGAATTGCTTGAACCCGGGAGGTGGGGGTTGCAGTGAACTTAGATCATACCATTGCACTCCAGCCTGGGAGACAAGAGCGAAACTCCATCTCAAAACAAAACAAAACAAAAATGCATTCAGAAATCCAGGCCTTTCCCAACACACACACACACACACACACACCTTCTATAAGACAACAGAAATTGCCTCACTGACTTTATTCTCAGAACTTGGCATCTTGGTCCTAAGGAGGATCCCAGATAACTTCACAGAGTTTTCTAGTCACCCAAGTAAAAGACTGCTTTTCCCATCTAGAAAGCCTTATCATTTGATTTTGTCTTTAAACCTACCCATATCTTTGGGCTCCACAGGGGCAAGCACTACAGTACATGACTCTGACTGGTTGGCAATAAGCAGGTTTTTAATTTCATTAATAAACCCCCATATTTAAGCCACACAACAAAATGAGGAGGGGGATTGGGGTTGGAAATAGAGGTGGGCAATGGTCCACTGAGAGCTCTGGGACCCTTCCCAGCTCTCCCCAAAACATTAGCTCTGGCCTGATTGACAGAAAGTAACTAGCACTGCCCTTGAGGTGCTGCGTGCTGAGTCCTCTGTGCTGAAACCAAGTCGCCTTGTTTTTAGAAGGCAGAATCCCTTCTCCTTCCATAAAGCCTAGACTACAGAAAATGGGCTCTAAGAACATGTTTCCTCCCCTACAACAGTTCATTTCTATGAGGAAAGAAAGAGCAAATGTGGGAATAGAGGATACATTCTTTTGTTTACCTTTTTTGTTTTTTGCCTTTCTACCTAGAGCCAGGCACGGGGGGATACTACACTGAGTAATGACCTCGTGCTCATGGAGCTTATTGTCTAGCTGGATGTTGACAAAGGTTCTCTGCTGACCAAACTTTAGTCAAACTCTTAAACCTTCTCCTAGGCCCATCTGTGCACTTCCTCGTAAAACCCAGTTTTAGCAAAGAACTCTGCTAAATCACTTTAGCAAGATCCCCTACTCTGAATATCTGATTGGGGTGCTCATCCTCCATCATCCCCAGGTGCTGTCTGATCATATTGGTCTGTCTTCAGCAAGAGTCCTGTTAGGTCGGTGTAGCCAGAACTTTCCTTACTCCTGATGTTATTACCTCTTAGTAATTTTCCATCCACTGACTCCCAGCCTGCTCTTTGACTATAAATTCCCACTTGCCCACGCTGTATTCAGAGTTGAATCCCATCCCTCTCCCCCACTGCAAAATTCTGTTGCCGTAGTCCCTATACCCATCGTAATGGTCCCCAATAAAGCCTCCCTTACCGTGCTTTAACAAGAATCATTGAACATTTTTTTTCTTTAACAATATACAAATACTTGGGTTAAGACTGGGTTTTATCTGGCCAAGAAGTGAAAAGTTAAATGTTGCAGTGAATTGCAACAAGTAAATGGCCACTGTGATAGTCAGTGGGGAAGGTAATACAGAAAGAGCCTTTAGTTCACTGTGATAGTAAAAGGCAGAAGGTAATAGAGTGCATTCAAAGGTTGTTGTAATGAGCAAATGTGTTTTTATCAGAGTCTAAAAGAAATCCTGGACAAGGATCAACCCAATTTATGTGAGTGTAACACTGGCATTATGTTGAATGACCAAGTTATCCATTATGAAACACAGAGGAAATAGAACATAATGCATGTGTTCTTGGCCAGGCACAGTGGCTTACACCTAAAATTTCAGCACTTTGGGAGGCTGAGGTGGGAGGATTGCTTGAGGTCAGGACTTCAAGCCCAGCCTGGGCAACATAGCAAGACCCCATCTCTACAAAAACATACAAAAAATTAGCTGGGCATGGGGGCACACGCCTGTAGTCTCAGCTAATCAGGAGGCTGAGGCAGGAGGACTGCTTGAGCCCAGGAGTTAGAGGTTACAGTGAGCTATGATCTCACTACTGCACTCCAGCCTGGGTGAGAGAGCAAAACCTTACCTCTTAAAGAAAAAGGGGGTTCTTTAAAAAATTTGTATATTAATAGTGTTAAAAGACACATTACGAGTATGAGAAACATAGGTATGGTTTTCTTTTGGAAAGAAGGTAAATTTGGAAAATCATATATAAAGTTGGGAATGTTAAGTAGTATTGGTTGCAGAAGACAGATTGGAGGAGAGAAATGTTTCAGGGCCAAGGAGCAGAAATAGACCATGCTAAGTCAGTTAAATGCAAGGGACTGGTGGAATTCAGCAAGAGGCTGGAGAACAGATAAATAATGAGGAAGATGCTGCAAAATATCTACCACTTGGTGAGGACAAGAACGGGCCCTAGAACACAGTTGGGTTTGTACAGATGAAGCAGAGGGCGTAACTGAGGCTGAAAAGTCCCACTACACATGTGCCTCAATTAGGTAGTGATATTGTAGTGAGAAAATTCACATGCATTTGAAGTAGATGGTCACTTGGGATCATTCCGTAGGCTAATTATATTCCTCTTCTGGGGAAGATATGGAGCTGATTTGGGGCAGTGTTTGTGCCAAAGACAAAAAATTGGATCACTAGGGTGAAGAACTTACATTATGCACAGAAGAGTTGTATTTGAGTCTGTCCTCATGGAACTTCTTGGGGACCAGTGACAGACCTGATGCATTTTCCACTGATACGATCATGGACAGTGTAAATAATAAATCAAGCGTTTGTGGATTTACACCTTCTTACCCGTCCCTGCTACAGGGGAGGAAACTTGAGAAGGGGCGGGAATGTGAGTTAGCAACCCCTTCCTTTCCTCCCTCCTCCCAGCGTTTGATAAGGCGAGCTCAGGTGACTGTATAGTGGGCTGTGGGCAGAAACAGATTTGCTGAAAAGAGATGAGGAAGGCAGACATCCCAAGGCATGTTTGGAACATTCGGGTTAAATGCAGCATAGCATTATTCAGCAATAAAAAGGAATACAGTATTGATATCCACTACAACATAAACGAACCTTGAAAACATTATGCCAAGAAACCAGTCACAAAAGACCATATATTGTGTGATTTCATTGATATAAAATGTCCTGAGTAGGCAAATCTATGGCGACACCTCATTCCAACCTATTTTTCCAGCTTCCTCTTTTTATCTGCCTGCCCCCATCACCCCATGCAGCATTTGCTCTGTCCTCAACAAATGACCCACTGTTCACTGAAAAATCTATGTGCTTTCAGATCTCTACACCTTTGCCACCTTTATTATCTTCCAGTACATGTCTATTCTTCTAGGCCGAGCTTAACTGGCAACACCAAACTAAACTGAACAATCCTGACACCTGCTGAGAGGAGCTCATCCCCACTAAAAAGTGAGCTCAGATTTGGAATAGCATAGAACATCCAGGCTGGAACCAGACCTGGAGGTTATCTAGTCCTAGTTCAGTCCCTTCATATGATAGAGGAGGAAACTGAGGCCCCAAGAGGATGAATGGCCTGTCAAGTCCTGAAGCACACTGAGGGCAATCCCAGGCACGCCTCATACAGGGCTCTTTGCCTTGCACTTCAACCTTTCTGCAGTTTTTTTGTTTTATTTGGGTTTTGTTTTTGTTTTTGTTTTTGTTTGAGACGGAGTCTCACTCTGTTGCCCAGGCTGGAGTGCAGTGGCGCGATCTCAGCTCACTGTCAGCTCCACCTCCCGGGTTCACGCCATTCTCCTGCCTGAGCCTCCCGAGTAGCTGGGACTACAGGCGCCCGCCACCATGCCCGGCTATTTTTTTTTTTTTTTTTTGTATTTTTAGTAGAGACGGGGTTTCGCCATGTTAGCCGGGATGGTCTCTATCTCCTGACCTCGTGATCCACCCGCCTTGGCCTCCCAAAGTGCTGGGATTACAGGCGTGAGCCACCATGCCCAGCCTCTGCGGTTATTTTTGATGGAACAAATATTTATCAAATATTTGCTGTGTACCCATATTTTATGATGTCAGCCCATTCCTTAAAAACTCTTACATGGGCTGGGCACCTGTAATCCCAGCACTTTGGGAGGCTGAGGTAGGCAGATTACTTGAGGCCAGGAGTTCAAGATCAGCCTGGCCAACATGGTGAAACCCCATCTCTACTAAAAAGACAAATGGCCAGGCATGGTGGCACACACCTATAATCCCAGCTACTCGGGAGGCTGAGGCAGGAGAATCGCCTGAACTTGGGAGGCAGAGGTTGCAGTGAGCTGAGATCGTGCCACTGCACTCCAGCCTGGGTGACAGAGCAAGACCCTGTTTTAAAAAACAAAAAACAAACAAAAAAACAATTCTTACGTGGTTCCTCATTATCGTCATGCAATAGGGTACATAAGCCTCTTCATAGCCTAGCCTGTCCCTACAATTCCAGCTTCACTCCTTGCTACTCCCCCTCATATCTGGCCATCCACCATTTTGAACTGGTCAGCATAGTGTAATGTAGTCAACACGTGCAAAGACTTCAGAATCAAAGGCCTGGGTGTGAACCAGTTCTCTCCACTTACTTAACCACATTATCTTGAAAAAATTTAATTCATCTTTCAGAGCCCCTGTTTCATCATCTGTAAAACTGGGATAACAATACTTCTAAGATCATTGATAGGATTACTTTGGTTATTTAAAAAGCATTCCTGTGCCATTACTAGTAATATTTATCATTTTAAATGATGACAATTATTACTTTCCTCAGAAAGCTTCTCTGCCCTCCCCACATTATGGAAGGTGCCCTTATAGCTCCTGTGCTTATCTCCTAACAGTGTAAATTCCTGTTGAATGTTCATCTCTACCACTGAGCGTGAGCTCTTGGAAAACAGGACCATTGTTTCTCGTTCAACTTGGTTAACTGCAAAACATTGATGATAACCAGGAAATGCTTGTTGGTTGAAAGGAAAAGAAGAAAGAAGTAAAGCAATAAGCAAGGTGCTGTGGGGGCCATGAACATGGCAAAGGCAAAGCCCCTACCATCCAGATGTAGAACCTGTAGCTGGACAGACAAATTGCAGATTGCTATCTTTGAGTCTCCTGTAAGGATGAAGTATATTTATGAGAGGGGAAAAAGAACTTTAAAAAAACTTATTTTTTCCTTATTGTGGGCTATATCATACATACAGGAATGCATAAAAGTAGTATGTAGAGTTTGAGGAATAAAATGAACACTCATGTAACCACCATGCAGGAAAAGAAATAGAAGAGAGTTGCAGAAGCTCCACCCTCCCCATATGTCTCCCCTGTCACAGCTTCCTTCCTCTCCCCAAGAAGTAACTCATGTCCTGGATTTCGTGATAATCATTTCCTTGCTTCTCTTTATGACTTTATTGCCTATGTATGGATCCCTAACCAATATAGCTTTGTTTTTGAACCTTATATAAACTGAACCATACTGTATTCATATTCTTGAGACTGGCTTGTGTCTCTCAAGTTTGTGAAATTAATCCATGTTGTTGAAGATAGCTGTGGTTCTTTTTCTTTTAATTACTATAGTATTCCATTATATGACTATGTCACAATTTATCCATCTATTGCTAATGGACATACAGGATTTTTCCAGTTGGGGAACGACAAACAGTGCTTCCGTTAATATTGTTGTATCCATTTTCTCCACTATCTGAACATGCAGCATTCTTTTTGTTGATATTGTTGAGAATTCACTCTACCTCTGGAAGCAGTGAAAGCCCTAGGGGAAGAAAAATTCAAACTAGTTTGCACAAAGAAGATTTAAATAGGTAGACAAGAGTCTCAAAGTGTGCTTGTAAATGTGTGTTTGAAAACTTTGTGTTTCTCAAAGTGTGCTCCAAGATGGCCCACAACAAAATCATGTGGAGAATTTGTTAAATATACAGATTAAAGACCCAGCCCAAACCCACCAACCAAGACCCTCTGCAGTTATGGCCTGGAAAGCTGTGTTTTAGCAAGCTTACCACCGCCCGCCCCCCACATGACTCATGTAGATCACCAACCCTCTACCTTTTTTTTTTCCTTTTTTCGTTTGTTAGCATTTAGTTAAGCTCCCTCCTTGTGGCTTGAAGCCACCAGAACACAGCCTCCCTACCTCCCCCCACATATACACCCTTAATCTTCTCCCAGCTCTCCTGCCGAAGAACTTGGCCTTCGTGACAGCAGGCTACTTTGGGAGTTTCCCTTCCTCAGAATTCTGCAGTAGCCCATAGCACTCCATCAATGATGGGAGCAGCTCCAGCCTGTTTTATTTATTATTATTTTTTTTTGTCAGCGTGTGATTACTCATGTCTCCTGACTGACCAAGGTCCACATTTGTCAAGGTCAAGAGTTGGGCAGAAGCTCTGGTTTCTCTTTAAGAGGTAATGCCTCATAACCAACTTTACCAAAGTAACCTGGGTGACACTCATGGAAGTTGATGCATACCACCAGCATTTCCCTGGCCTCCCAGGTGCTTCCCGTGCTTGGCCAGGCCTTTACTTTCTGTAGATGATACAGGTGTAATGGAACAAATCTCAGCGGTGGGTGCGTTAGGAGAGGAGAAGGGGCAGTACTTTCGTGCCCAGAAAATCAGCTTCCCTTCATATGTCCTCCTTGGGCTAGCATGCCAACAGTCTCCAAGCGGACTCTACCTTAGCACACCTACACACTGCGGTCCTAGTCTTTTGCTTTCTTCTCCACATCTCTCTCCCTCATCCCTCAATCTCTCCCCTATTCCCAAATGCTGCAGAACACTCAGAAGTCTCATTTTAAGTAACTCCGAAGTCTTTCCATGACCCCTAGCAATGTTTTACCTAAATAGGCACTTATTGTTTTAAATAGACTTTCCTTTTTAGAGAAGTCTTAGCTTCACTGCAGAATTGGGCATAGAGTTCCCATATACTAGTTACACTGCTCTAAAAATCCTGTGCTCTACCTACTCATCCCACCCCCCACCGCCCTCTGTTCATCGATCATTGATCTTTTTAAACCTGCCTCCAGTTTTGACTTTTCCAGAATGTCATATAATTGGAACCATACAATATGTACCCTCTTCAGAGGAGCTTGTATCACTGAGTAATATATATTTAAGTTTAGTGCTGAATAATATTCCCCTGTCCATCTGGATATATCAGTTTATCCATCCATTAAAATACTGAAGATCATCCTGGGTGCTTCCAAGTTTTGTCAATTATGCATGAAGTTGCTGTCAACATCCATATGCAGGTTTTTGGGTAGATGTTCAGGTTTCAGCTCATTTGGGTAAACACCAAGAAGTGCAATTGCTAAAAAGTATGGTAAGAGTATGTTCAGTTTAAGAAACTGCAGTGTCTTCTGAAGTGGGTGTACCATTTTGTGTTCCCACAAGCAATGAGTGAGAGTTCCTATTGCTCCATGTCCTCACCAGCATTTGGCGGTGTCAGTGCTTTGGATTTTGGCTATTCTAATAGATGTGTAGTGGTACTTCATTGTTTTTTTAATTGAGACACCTAGTTTTAAAACTACTCTTCACTTTTTTCTCTGTGTTTTGGGGGGGGTCTTGTGTTTTAAAATTTTGCAGAGCAAATTATGAGCAAGTGATAGTGTTCTTTCATTATTAAACATGATTTACAGATATTTCAGACTAACTCTCTTTTTTTCCTTTTAAATATAGATAAATGCAGAGGGAACACCAGAGGACGTTTTTCTTCAACTCTGCACAGCTATTGACTCTATTTTCTGAAGGCAAAAATGCATGTTTGTTAGAATGGAAACAGAAAAACATTAAAAAGT
Organism: Homo sapiens; assembly: GCF_000001405.40. Classification (NCBI taxonomy): domain Eukaryota; kingdom Metazoa; phylum Chordata; class Mammalia; order Primates; family Hominidae; genus Homo; species Homo sapiens. Next base: position 77,558,721 of record NC_000001.11, read on the forward strand.
TCATTCCTTAACACAATGTTTCAAGTTAAACCTTTTGTGTCACCGCCCCCACCAACCACCACCTCCTAAATCCTGACAGCACTGTTTGCTTCCCAGCTAGACCTGTGTGAGAGGTGTCTGGAAATCATGCATGGTGTATTTGGGACTATATCAACCTATTCTCCACACTTCAGACAACTGTCTGCACTCACGGCACACACACTTTGTATCATGCAGGCCACACTCAGAGCTAGTCAGTACATGAACAGTGGTGCGGTGCCAGTCTGTGTCCGTTGTGATCACAGGCCTTGCTAGACCCTGATCATCTGGTTCTCCTCTCATTAAGCATCCCTAACCCCCAGTCACACCTTCCTCTTACATACTGTTCCCCAATGGAGGCCCCTGGCATAGGGGACAGCCCTGGGCATCTTCCTTTGGTGTCTGGCTGTTTTGTCAACTCTCATCCACTGGTGGCTCAGAGCCATAAGGTGGGTTGATTACACAATGCCTTGTACATGATATAGAGGCATCAAGCAAGTAAAATTTGACAGAAATTTTAAAATATGAAGATGTATAGCTTTCCCAAGATGATGGTAAAACCCAGGTTAGTCATCAGTAACCTTCTCTATTATTATTATTTTTTAGAAACTTGGAATACTGTCGTCATGGCTAAGAGAACAAATCTGATAAATTGTGTAACCTAGTCTCTTCTCTACATGGTGATGCATTTCAGCAATTATAAATTAATATAAATGACCAAAAGTAACTTAAAAGCATGAGATATTTGCTATTTCATTCATTGGGCACATATCAAATTATAATTTTGATTTTAAATGGTCACCCATGTATTTATTTGTTGCCAAGCAAGTAAAAAAATACCCTAACAAACCTGATGTGGGTGGGAGGGGCATGTCAGTAAGTGGTGTGTTCAATGTGTTTGTTTCATATGGGCCCTTTCCAGGAGTTTGCAAACCTTGTCATACCCATATGCAAAACTGTGTTTCCTTGCATTAAACCAGTGAAGTTTGGGTTCTCTTTTGTGCTATCAATCAGTTGTAAAATCAGAGCTGCTTATATATTCTACTGGAATAACTGCATCTTCCACTCAGTCACTACAAAAAAGCATAGTTTCAGTTTGCATGAATTTTTTTTTTTTTCTTCAATGGCTGTGCAGATAAGGATCCATTTCTGGGATAGAATTGTATTTTTTAAGTCATTTTTTTTTCTTGAAATGGATATGTACAAATAAAATAAATGGAAGACAGGATAACTCTTTTTCTATTTATTTGTAACTCACATCATTCTGGAAAGCATTTGAAGCCTTATTCCAAACAGAATTAGAAGCGAACACAGAAATAGTCAAGATGATTTACGATACGCTTATATGGTTTTAATTTTAGCTATAGATCAGTTTTGAGTTATTACAGAGAGAACTCAATGTATTCATGATACATGGTAACTGTCATATTTCCTCTTTCTCTAGCACTCATTCTGAAACAGAAATGTTAGTGTTTGCTAAAGAAGAAATTAAATTTCTTTGGTTACAGTTACGCCTCTATTAACAAAAAGGGGCATGTTCCCATAACTCCCAACAGTTGTCAAATACTTTAATACTACCCCAAGTTGTCACACTCTCTATCGGGGAGCATAATAAGTACCTGAGCAAACTGGAAAAAAAAAAGGTTACAGGATGAAAATCATCAGTTGTGCCAGAAAACATAAAATGACTCTTTGTAGGGATTGACATTCTTGAAACACATACCATATACTGGCAGACACAGTCCATGCCCAGCACAGCTCTGACTGCACAGGTAAGGAAAATGAGACAGCAGAGGGGCAGAAAGGTCCAGCCATCTTTTACAGGCTTCTACGGCTGTAGCTGACAGCCACCTTGAAAAATTTAGCAAGGGTAAATGGCTTTGCCCCTGAAGAGTATCTAGAAGTGCAAATCAACTCTTCTCTAGAACACATTACTGATTTGAATGGCTTGAAATGATATCACTACTTTAAAGTCATAAGATTTTAATACTGGAAAAGACCTTAGAGGTCTCTGTCTAGCGAAAGACCTGTGTGTATGTAGAAGACATCAGAACACAATCTAAACTCCTTTACAATGATGTGTTTTCAAGGCCACATCTGAGCTGGCTTGTGCCCTCTTCGACGCCATCAACTACTACTCTCCTCTTGCTCATTTGGCTTAAGCTACTCTGGCCATCTTAATGTTGCCAGAACAAGCCACGGTCTACTGGCTCAGGGCCCGTGTGCTACTGCTATCCTTCTGCCCCTTCCTACAGATTATTCATGCAGCAAATTCCCTTGCTCTATTCTGGTTTCTATTTGAATTTACCCTGGCCAATAGAGGATTTCTTTGCTTATTCCATCTAAAATGGCAGACTATTCCCCATTCTCCCATTATTATTTTTCTCTGAGCATTACTTATCTTCAAAGCATTTATCCCTGCCTGAATTGAAGTAATAGTTTTTATTTACTTACTTATTGCTGGTCTTCTGCATTAGATTATAACCTCCATAAGGACACGGCTTGGTATCTCCAGTCCCACACACAGTAATTATTATTGAGAGCTAACATATTTAACATACTCTCTGCACCTCCAGTTTTCTCATGTATACAATGGAGAACATAATAGTAATGAACCTCATAGAGGAACTGAGGATTAAACAAAAGTTAGTAAGACACACGAATCATTTACTAGCTCCTAATGTGCAATGAAAGGTAGTTCTTTGTCAACACTTACTGAGTGCTTCACTTCCACAACTGGGACTAAGACCCAGAATTTTCACTCCAGTGTCCTTTCCATTACCTTGCTTTTTTTTTTTTTTTTTTTTGAGACAGCGTTCTCCCCCAGGCTATTATGCCATGGCACCATCTCGGCTTACTGCAGCCTCAACGTCCCAAGTTCAGGTGATTCCCCCAAACTCAGCCTCCCGAGTAGCTGAGACTACAGCCACGTGCCACCATGCCCATTTGTTTGTATTTTAAGTAAAGACAGGGTTTTGCCATGTTGCCCAGGCTGGTCTCAAACTCCTGGGCTCAAGCAATCTACCTGCCTCGGCTTCCCAAAGTGTTGGGATTACAGACGTGAGCCACCATGCCCAGCCCCATTACACTACTCTTAAAAACATGGAAGAGAATCAAGATACACAGCCTATCTAGGGTCCCACAGAGAACCAAAACCACCTCTGCCACCCAGGGTTGAATCACAGCCTTTGGGTAAGATAGAGTCCAATTCCCCTGTCCTCTCACAGAACTGTCAAGATGACCTTCTGATGCAAGGCCTCTAAGGATCTCACAGACACACTCAATCATAGGTGGTGTCTCTCAAGTTCCTGGAGGAAAAAAATGTAAACTCACCAAAATGTTGGTCATACAACCAACACATATTTATTGAGAATCTATTAAATGCCAGGCCCTAGAGATACAGACAGACATGGATCGTCTCTGTTCTCATGGAGCTAAATGTATTATAACTCTGAAAACTCTAGTTAACTAGCTACATTAACTGTAGAAAAAAAAAGTTGTATCTTTTTTCTGGGATCATATAAATAGAAGAACATTTTTCATCAAGAAATAAAAACAGTTTACAGCCTAAACAGAACAATGTCTTCATAAGCTTGTGGAAAACCCTACTGAAATCTGAAGACTTCCAATCCCATCCAGTGCATCTATAGATGAACAACAGGCTTCAAACTTCAATATCCACAATAAGAAATAGTTTTATATAGCACACAACACATATTTATGATTGAAAAAGACATTTCACAAAACAATATTTATCTTTATTACATGTGATGTACCATTTTCTCTATTCCATTTTTTCAAATGTTCATACCTAGTAAATTTTTGTGTTCTGTGAATCAATTTAAACAAAAAGGGGAAGGGGGGAAAACAGACAAGGCATACTATTAGGTTAAGTGAGAAGCACCCAACATGCATAGAAGAAAATCCTACCCAAGGCAGGAAACACAAGCCTTAGTCCCAGCTTTGCCTGAGACTTTGCAAGCCTGGACATATGCTCAGGTTTGTACTCTTAGGAAGCACACCACATCAGGAAAACAGAATGTAAGGCAACATCTGCACACCTCCACTCCTAACACCTAGTGTTGCCTGACACAAGGGGAAATTCCTGCTCAGGAAACAGGATAGTAAGGCAGACGCTGACTCTGAAGTAATCTGCCTAGGTTAAAATCCAAGCATGACCACTTTACTAACTATACGACCTTGGGCAGGTTAATTAACTTCTCTCTGGCGAGATTTCCTCATATGACAACAGGATAATAAATGACCCTGCCTCATAGAGTTGTTAAGAATTAGTTATCATATGCTTGCTTGGCACATAGTAAACACTGTATCAGTGTTTTCTATTATTATGCATCACACAAAAGGAAACCTCCTCTACCTAAATCTTACAACAATGGTTTTAGATATTAAAAGTTTCTTAAGATGTGCAAATAACTTGAGCACAATATATCAGGAAATAGATCTTATCTACTGAATACCACTGAATAAGCAATGCTTTAGCAAGTAGGTCTTTTACAGTCTGTTTTAGCTTACAGTCCAATAATTCTATGTAGGCAGATGGTAGCCTACCGGCAAATGACAGCTCTGCCCATTATTCCTGCAACTCTCAAATTAAAACAATAACAAAACACTACCTACTACTATCTGAACTTCAGGGCCTTTTAAAGCCATGGGGGCTGTTTCCTTGGAGCTGAAAAATGCAAAACAAACACATCTTCTGCTCAAGCCGAAAAATCTTCTTAACTCAAAAATCTCAAAAAATGTTTGCCCTAGAAAAATGCATTCAAATGGTTTGTCTATTCCATTTATATAACAATTGTATCACTCATATCCCTCTTCCAAAGCATACATCATACTTTATGGAATTTTTGAATGGATCTGAATGGCTTTCCAAAACTAACTGGTATTATTTCTACACAAACATAGAAGTTACCATCAAGCATTACTATCTTGCCTAATTACAAGTTGAAGGCAGATCTTCTGGCATATTCACAAAACATTTAATATAAAAACGCCCAGAATGCTAATGATTCCCCTCTTCACCCACTAATAATTCCAGGGTGAGAAGTTAAGCTCAAGTCCATTTACTTTCCTTCTGTTATGATATATTATATCTATATCATCAGTGATCTTTAATCAATATATTACTTTAAAATTCTCATATTTCTATATTTAAAATTCTATTACTTTTCTCAATTAAAAAAAATTCAGGGTATGATTTTAGTACCCTGCTATGTACTGAAGAGAACTAGTAAATAATGTTCCCTTGATTTAAAATAGGAAAAAACAGGTGATTCTAAAAATTGGGTCAAATATAACAATCAATCTTAGAATATTTATACTATCTTTTCCTATAGTTAATAGTAATTTCCAGGAAACAAGGTGATTTTTCAAAAGCCATCTGTTTAAATACATGGGGGCTTATCTTCATGAGACACAACTAGAAAAAAAATTTTCAACTTTAGTTTTCACACCTGAGCATTAATAATTGCCTTTTTCTTTAACCATGGTCCGTGTTTCCTTTTTGTAAGCTAGTTTAATTTAGTGTTTCAGCACACACTGAGTAAAAATCTTTACCATTTTTTACAGGGTTGCTTAAGATCACCCTCTTTTCCATAATACATTCCTTATTCTTCATAAATGACAGAAAGAAAACTCTTAAATATGTGAAGCAAACCATTTTAAAAAATACCAATTTCTGGTTTTAACACTGGTAAAAAAAAAAATCCAAAATCTAACCAAAAGGAAGTCACAACAAGCATTCTATAATATAAACAGACAGTATCCACATAGTTTATTTCTCACAGTTCTCCTGACAAATGAACATCATTCAAGAACATACTGTATACACAGATAAGAAGAAACATACAAAATGTTTTAAATGATGCACAACAAAATCCAGCAGTATAAAAGAATGCATGTGAACCCTTGCTCACTGTGCAGACTAAATTTAATCACTTGTTTAAATAGTAATAAAAATACAATCTTTTATGGATCTTGTGCAGACTACAAAAGAGGGAAATTATTACCATATATATGATTTTTATATTAGGCAGTTTTCTTTGATGAGTTGTACTGACAACTCCAAATACAGAGGCAGAAGGCTGTGTATTTTAAAGGAATTAATGTTGTGAATTAGAAACTTTACACAGTTACTACCACTGGCACTTTTCACCATAGTTTGTACACATCACATGATCATCTTATATAACATTACATTTAAAAAATATATCTGAGTGACAATTTTATAACATTCACACACCATGAGCTGGTTAAGGAAGCAATGCCACAGTTGCCTCCTGTAGTGCTTCACTGTTGGTAATTAAGGACAATTCATTGTGGTTAAAAGAAATTAGATATCAATATGATTAAGCAGCTCCAATTTACTAAAGGCCATCAATGACCACCACTGGGACAGTGAGTTCTTTTAAAGTGTATATCCTAGAAGCAAACACCATCATTGGTTAAAACTTTGTCTAAAGAAGTCAGTTTCTGTGCTGAAAACTATTTTCACAAAACTGAAGGCTACTAAACTGTTTTAATATAAATACTTTGTCTTCTCATTATCATATTTATGACCAAGTTCTTTGAAACCTTTGGAATTTACTCTCTCTTTAATGTGTGCTCTCGTTCCATCTCACCCATTTAAGATCACCACCTAAAACGCAGTGGTGAAAAATTCACCAGGGAAACCTTTGCTCACCAGGAATGTTCAGCTGCTGAACAGTGATCTAGAGCCACAACGGTGCAGAGCTGTACTTGACGAGAACACTCAGGAAGCTCTCATGCTGTGAGTGTCATTTCTGGGAAAGCAGAGAATCTTTCCAAACTGTGCACATAATTAACAATGATACCATTGCTATGTGTTGAAGAGGACTAGTAAATGATGTTCTCTTCCATGTCATCTGTTTGCTGGAAAGTAGTTTGGGTCAAGGTAATTGTAACTGGTGCCCTGAGACACACAGTAGTCTCTGTCTAAGAATGTCTCTGACCTATAAATAGGTTCTAATTGGTGATCTTCCTTGTGAATATCTGTTTCATGTAGACTGTAAAGAAAAAAAGACACACATCATTACATGGTAGTGGATGCATTTTAGTCTGTGTATTACAAAGCTTCCTCACAGCTCTCCCTGTTTAAATCCATTAATCTATCAAAATCTCCAACGGAAAGTTACTTGACATGTGGTATGATTACAGAAAAAAATTAATTGCCTAGAACAACAAAATTTAATTCACTAAGTGTGGGTATTAATATTTTCTATGTTTGGAAATCAAATTCACTAATGGCTGAGAAGCTCTTTTCTTGTCTAAGTTGAAGACTGACAATGAAGAAAACACTTACCAGTCTGAACAAGAATCACAGAAATCCAAAGACATTTCTGGAGGACAATCCTGGCAATGCCACCGAACACCCTGGATGGGTTCTATGCCACAGTTATCACACTATAACAGATTCAGAGAGAAAATGTATTAAGTTATACTGTTCCACGATCTTTTTTATTTTCCACAAGGAAACACATGATGTGCACACAGACATCTTCTCTTCTCTCTCCATGCACAGGACAGTAATATAACACACAAATGGTTATGTGTTAGAGACAATTTCTAGCAAACTAGGTAAAATTCCATCCACTCAATATCAAGATATGGGTGAGTGAGAGGAACATTGGAAGGGATAATCTTCAATCAGCTTAAATTTATTTAAAAATTTTTAAAAGTAAATCATCTCCAACTTGGGTGTTTTGTTATTTGTAATCATCTACTTGAAAGGTACCTCAGACCACTGTATGATGACTATGGTTGAGAAACAGAGAGTTAATACCATAGTTAAAACTATCCAAATACTGGTTAAGGAAGCAATGCCACAGCTGCCTCCTGTAGTGCTTCACTGTTGGTAATTGATACAGAATTGTTTTAGCAGGTTCTCTTGGCTAACATAAACCCAGGCAACAATGAAATTCTGTCTAAACTTTTATCTCTTATTGAATCGCTCTCCCAAAGCCTAAAGACTCCTAATAACCAATGCCCATCATGTCAAAAAGGCAGATCTAGCTCTTTCTCAGCGTGGTGGCATTGTGACAGTCCTCAGTGTGTTCTGTGCACTTTTGGAAATCAAAGGATCTATCATTTCTAGTTTCTTTGATCATCTGGTCAACTATAGTGGCTGACAGAATGGCAAACAAGCCATGGCTGGGTTTTGCAGCAAAATTAGGAGAAGTGAAGCAAGTTTTTCTGAAAGGCCAGAGCTGCCAGTTAGGAAAATCTCTATTGGAGAAACAGGGTCACTGAAAGATCAAGAGGGAAAATCATTTAATATAGTATGGTTACTGGCTACTCTAGAGGATCAAAGGTATAACTTTGTTTTTAATTTGGTTTACCAGTCACAGCACACATCAGTACTTTCATGTGCACCCACCAACACCACCAAGTTTATGGTCTCATTATTACTTCCTCCAGTCCAACCAAGTCAATTCTAATGCCTAAAGGCTTCTCAAACTTGCCAATCTTTATTTCCATGGCCACCAGTCAAGTTCAGGACACCCTCCTCTTTTGTCTAAATTATCAAAAGAATCTCTAACCAGTTTCCTTGACTCTAGTCTTGCCTTCCTCTAATTAAGTTTCCATACTATGGCCAAAATGATGAGGGGAAAAGCTGGTCAGTTCCAAACCCACTGCTTTCCTAAAGATCATCACCCCCAATAGTTTAAGTAACTAGAATGATTCTTTCCAAAACGTAAATGTCATGTTACTTTCTGCTTAAAATCATTCAATGGTTCCCCCCACCAACCTCTCAGGATAGTGTGAGCTCCTTGGCAAAATTTATAAGGCGGTGCAAGCAGCCTCTAACTACTCTCTAGTATGTACTCTAGCCACGCTCAACTATTTTGTTTAACTTCTCTAAATTCCTTATGAGAATGAAAACAGAGTAAGGGCAAGAACTGAGTCTGTCTTGTTTACTGCTGAATCTCTAGCACTTAGCAAAGTGACTGGAACATAATGTGTATTACAAAATTCTGCAGAATGAGTATATGCATTTCTATTAGCCTCTCAATCAGAAAGGGAAAAAAACCCATTTCTGACCCATGAACAACAGCAACAAAAAGAGAAACGGCTAAACAAAAGCCCCTCACATTTTACCTCAATTGATAGCTACCTGTATGTCTGTCTTCACTCTACTAAATAATAAACTCTTCACATCAGGAACGATGGCACCACTGCTTTGCATAAATGAATGGGATAAAAGATAACTTTTTCCTACATGCTTAGCAATTCTGGAGTTTAACACTACAGAAACCACTTTAAAGTATCTCTTATCACCCTTTTAAAATTAAATGAATACTGCAGCCTGGCCAACATGGTGAAACCCCCATCTCTATTAAAAATACAAAAATTAGCTGGGTATAGTGGCACACACCTGTAATCCCAGCTACTTGGGTGGCTGAGACACGAGAATCGCTTGAACCCGGGAGGCAGAGGTTGCAGTAAGCTGAGATCACGCCACTGCACTCCAGCCTGGGCAACAGAGTGAGACTCTGTCTCTAAATAAATAAATAAATAAAATGAAATGAATCCTAAAATTAAATAGAACTTACCTTAAAGCCCACATGTTGCACAAATCCACTTTCAGCTTGCATTTGCTGAAGTTTCTGCTTCTTTAACTTTTTAAACTGTAATAGTTCTTTATATTCAGGTAAATTCCTATACATGATAGGAATACTTTCGTCATCCTATCAAAAAAAAAAAAAAAAAAAAATGTTGGTTTGGTAATTAAAATGAATTAAGTGTAAGTAATACTGATACAGAATATTTTTCTACTGATATTTTTCATTTTTAAAATATCTCTTAGTACTCATAGAAAATTAGTGCTGTTATTAGCAGTATTTTCCACTAATGCTTTTGGACTTTTTTTTTTTTTTTTTTTTAACACAACAGTAATTCTGAATTGTAGCAGACTACTTCAATGCAGGTAAAAGGGAAGCACGGCCATGATTACCACCTCTGTCACACACTATTGCAAACCCAATCCCATCTTTATATTTTCACGGTTACTTGAGTGACTTGTAATCTACTTCTCCCTCATTTAAGGAAGTTCCTCTTCTCCAATCTAACAGATTTTTACATTTGCTCCTGTAAACATGACACTTTCTTAATAACAAGCAAACCAACCTCTGCTCTTGTTTTTTGCTCTGTACTCCCAATGATCAAAGTAGAACATTTCTCTCCTACTCAACAAGATGAACTGAGTTACAAAGACGACTATTTAGAATGGACTGTAAGAGACATAAACAGTAAAAACTATATAAATGTATTAAGTAGGCTAGGTGCAGTGGCTTATACCTGTAATCCCAGCACTTTGGGAGGCCGAGGTGGACGGATCACTTTAGGTCAGGAGTTCAAGACCAGCCTAGCCAACATGGCAAAAGCCTGTCTCTACTAAAAATACAAAAATTAGTTGGGCATGGTGGCACGCACCTGTAATACCAGCTACTCGGGAAGCTGAGGCAGGAGAATTGCTTGCACCTGGGAGGCGGAGGTTGCAGTGAGCCAAGACTGTGCCACTGCACTCCAGCCTGGGAGACAGAGTGAGACTCCGTCTCAAAATTAAAAAATAAAATAAATGTATTAAGTTGAAGTATCCCTTAATAAACTGGCCTTCAAGGTATAAAGTCTATTTATGATTCCGAACTTTTAGATACATATGTTCGGGACCATCCCCCACCTCCCAAATTGACAAGTAGCTTTCTACTCAAAGTATTAACATGCAAAATTTGTCTATTTAAAATTGCTGACAACACTGTGGTTCATCATCCTAGACAACTTCAAGATTATCACAGATGCCCAACTCGCTATTTCTGGCCTCTAATCTTACACTGATTCTACTGAAATAATCTTCATCTTCATTCCTTCTCAGAGTCTCCCACTCCAACAGCCATACCTTGGACCTTGCCTTCAACTATAAGTGTTTTACATCCCAAATATTAAGCTTAGATTTCCTACCTCCACTGTTATTCCTACTTCTCTCATATTCTCACCCCAAATAATCAGCTTATTTTTTTAACCTCATTGAAATTTCTAATCACTATTCTGCTTCCTATTCTCCCAATTCATTTGTGCTCTGCCACCCAGGTTCCATTTCTTTTCTTTGCTACCTTATGACTGATCCCGTGCTCACTTATTTCCTAAAAGCATCCCCAATTCTCTGATCCATGCTCTGTAAATTCCCAATCCCGGACCAGACAAGCCCTACCCCACCCATTCCTCCTGCTACATTAGGTATTAAGTGCTATGTTTATTTTATATCAAGTAAACAAAAGCTTACACAAAGCAGCCCAAGTCAGAAATCTAAGTGTTATCCTCAGTTTTTCTTTTTTTTCTTTTTTTGAGACAGAGTTTCACTCTGTCACCCAGGCTGGAGCGCAGTGGCGCGATCTTGGCTCACTGCAAACTCTGCCTTCTGGGTTCACACCATTCTCCTGCCCCAGCCTCCCAAGTAGCTGGGACTACAGGTGCCCGTCACCACACCCAGCTAATTTTTTTGTATTTTTAGTACAGACGGGGTTTCACCGTGTTAGCCGGGATGGTCTCGATCTCCTGACCTCGTGATCTGCCTGCCTCAGCCTCCCAAAGTGCTGGGATTACAGGCATACCACACCTGGCCTATCCTCAGTTATTCACTCTGTCTTATATCGAATGTAACAAATCCTGTCATTTCTTAATACTTTCTACAATCGCTTTCAAATCGGTCCTCTAGTATCCACCCCCTCCTTTGCCCCTTACCATTACTTAAAATTTCCCAATGGTTTCCTGACTATCTACAGCATCAAGTCCAAAGTCTTTGGCTGAATAAAAGATTCTTCACAATTTCACACTTCATCTATCTTATCTCCCACTTTTTCCTGTTATTTTATTTTTATTTTTATTATTTTATTATTATTATTATTTTTTTGAGAGAGGGTTTCACTCTGTCACCCAGGCTGGAGTGCAATGGTGGGGCTCTCTGCAGACTTGACCTCCCAAGCTCAAGTGATTCTCCCACCTCAGCCTCCTCAGTAGCTGAGATGACAGGCGCACACCACCAAGCCTGGCTAATTTTTTTTTTTTTTTTTTTTTTGTAGAGACGGGGTTTCGTCATGTTGCTCAGGCTGGTCTCGAACTTCTGGGCTCCAGTGATTTGCTCATCTAGGCCTCACTTATTGCTGGGATTACAGCATGAGCCACTGCGCCTGGCCCCACTATCCATTTCAAATTCTTGTCAACTAAAGATGTTTGATGATTGTTATTACCATACTATGTCACCACTGAGAAAGACAACATTAAGTAATGCTATACACTAATAAATAAGTGACCCGAATAATTAGATAATATAGTAAGACACGTCTTAATGAAATTTACTTAATTCAGATATTTTGCAAATGCAAAGAGTGTAAACACTTTTAAATTTTTAGATTTGCATTTAAATGCTAAGGATATTATTAAATGTGATCAGCAAGGCTAAGATTAAGAAAAGTTAAATCACCTCACACCCAGTAGGTGGCTACTACTGAAAAAATAAATAAATAAATAACCAGTGTTGGTAAGGATGTAAATAAATTGGAATCCTTATGCACTGTTGGTGAGAATGTAAATGGTACAGCTCCTATGGAAAACAGTATGGTGGTTCCTCAAAAAATTTAGCATAAAATTACCATACAATCTAGCAATTCTACTTCCCAAAAGAACTGAAAGCAGGATATTTGTATACCTATGTTCACAGTAGCATTATTCACAATAGCCAAAAGGTGGAAGCAACCCAAGTATCCATCAACAAATGAATGGATAAACAAAATGTGGCATACAATATTGGGAATATAATGCAGCCTTAAAAAGGAAAGAAATTGTGATACATGCTACAAAATGGATGAACCTTGAAGACCATACGCTGGGTGAAACGAGCCAGTCACAAAAGGACAAATACTGTATGCTTCCACTTATTTGAGGTATGTAGAGTAGTCAAATTTATAGATATGGAAAGCAGAATAATGACTGCCAGAGGCTAGAAAAAGGGGTGCTGGGGAGATGTTTAATACATACAGAGTTTCAGTCATGTAAGCTGAGAGCTCTGGAAACCGGTTGCACAATAATGTGACTGTACATAGCATTGCTGAACTGTATACTATAAAAATGGTGAGGATGGTAAATTTCATGTTATGTGTATTTCACCAAAATTAAAAGAAAAATTTTTTAAAGCCTCATAGATTTCCTAATCATAATCACTTTAAACTTACTTAAAGGGGACTAATATCAAATGGAGCTAAAACTGTATACAGATTTCGAAGCCACGGGTAAATAACATGTAAGTAAGTGTTCTATCTATTGCTTTTTGAAAAGAGAAACTAAAATCTATAAACTTTTCCACCAGATGCTTCATAAATATACATCTTGAGTAGCTATTTTAAAGTGATCAGAATAATTTGAACTGGCACTCATTTTTAAATAAATAAACTCAACAACAACAAAAATTACATCAAATCTAATCCACTCTATTATATTTTGCCAATTTGTCAAACTGTACCTTTGGGTTTTGTTTTTTGTGGGTTTTTCTGAGGGTTTTGGGTTTTTTTGTTTTGTTTTGTTTTTTGAGACGGAGTCTCACTCTGTCTTCCAGGCTGGAGTGCAGTGGCACGATCTCGGCTCACTGCAAACCTCTGCCTCCTAGGTTCAAGTGATCCTCCTGCCTCAGCCTCCCGAGTAGCTGGGACTACAAGCATGCACCACCATACCTGGCTAATTTTTGTATTTTTAGTAGAGACGGGGTTTCACCATATTGGCCAGGCTGGTCTCCAACACCTGACCTCATGATTCATCTGCCTCGGCCTCCCAAAATGCTGGGATTACAGGTGTGAGACACTGCGCCCGGCCTTTTTGTTTGTTTTTTTAAGACAGAGTCTCCCTCTGTCGCCCAGGCTGGAATGCAGTGGCGTCATCCAGGTTCACTGCAGGCCCAATTTCCCAGGCTCAAGTGATCCTCCCATCTCAGCCTCTTGAGTAGATGGGACTTCAGGAATGCACCACCATGCCAGGCTGATAATTTTTTCTTTTTTCTTTTTTGTAGAGATGGGGTCTCACTATGTTGCCCAGGCTGGTCTTGAACTCCCAGGCTCAAGCGATCCTCCTGCCTCAGCTTCCAACAGTACTAGGATTACAGCTGTGAGCCACCACACCTAGCCAAATTGTACTTTTTTTAAGTACTCCACCACCACTCTTCATCTGGCCAATTTTTATCCATACTTCAAGTACCATCTTCACTGTCACCCTCTCAGGTCTTCCACTGAAACTCTCAATCTAAATTAAGTACCTCTTAAATAATTATGTTAGCATCTCTTTTTCCTTTGAAGCATTTTTTAATTTATTTTTTTGGAGCTGGAGTTTTTGCCCTTGTTGCCCAGGCTGGAGTGCAGTGGTGCAATCCCAGCTCCTGGCAACCTCTGCCTCCCGGGTTCAGGCAATTATCCTGCCTCAGCCTCCTGAGTAGCTGAGATTACAGGCATGCACCACCATGCCCAGCTAATTTTTTTTTTTTTTAAGTAGAGATGAGGTTTTACCATGTTGGCCAGGCTGGTCTTGAACTCCTGACCTCAGGTGATCTGCCCACCTCAGCCTCCCAAAGTGCTGGGATTACAGGCGTGAGCCACAGTGCCCGGTCTGAAGTACTTTTTTAAATGTGTGATTTACTGATGTGATTACACATTTATCTCCTCCCATAGACGAAAATTTATGAGCACAAAGATCAGACATATTTTGTTCATAACTACGTATCTAATCCCTAGCAAAGCCTGATAAATAGTAAGTTTAAATAAATATTTCTCAGATGTACAATTCTAATAATCACAAAGTATGAAATTATACACAAATGCTGTTTAAAACACAGCAATGATAGTAGTCATTTTTCAAAAGACAAGTTTAAAAGGAAATTTTAAAATTTTTATGAATACAGTTATTAAGGTAGTTTGATGCCAAAGTATACAATCAGTATTCGATTAATCTAGCTATAGAACAAAGGAGCTTACTTTTATTTGATAACTTTTCATTAAAATATCCTTTTCCAATTCTATATAATCAGAGTATTAAGGAAGATATAGGGTGATCTTTATGTCCTTTTAAGCAAGGAATCAGAATCAGGTTAAGTATTGAGAAAATAATTTCAGGAATAGTAAATAATAAAAAATATTAACAGCAACAAAAAGAAATCCCTATATATGTAAAGTAAAATAAAGTGAATTAACCTAAATTAATATCCAACCATGGCAACAGTGAGAGGGATTATTTATTCCAAGATAATTTAAAAACCAATTTGACTTTACTTCTGTAGTGGGATATATATATATCTATAGATATAGATATATATATAGATAGATTTACATATAGATATATATAGATTTATATATAGATATATATAGATTTATATAGATATATCTATATATATGGCAAAATAAAGAACTGAAAAACAAACTGTTTTCAGGAACCATATTAATAGTAGTGTTGGTTATTAATATATTCTGAGATTGTTCTGGGCAGTGTGAGACAAAGGAAGTAAGTATTACATTGATGTCATTGAGAACTATGATTTTTAACCCGCAGAAAGGAGATACATATTTAAGATCGATTAGGGTAGATAAAAGTCCTAGAGTTCTTAAGTTGAATTTGCAATTAAAATATGAACTTAATGATGTCTTTCATCCTTAAATAAAATAAAAATGTATCATATTTCCCAGCTCTGTCCATTAACAGGCCTACAAACAATGATGAACCCAGCAGCAAGTAACATTCCTACAGTCAGGATATAGTCTCTAAATACCATTTCCCAGTAAAAAGAAGGACTGACTCTGGGTCTGAGGCAGGAAATATACAAGATGAGCCTGGATTTTCCTTGTTAAAAATGGGTATTAAGCTATTAAACACTATTAGAGTCTTATCAAAAGAACTTATAAGCCAACTTAAATAGGCTACAACAAACCAAAGATGGGCCACTTTGAACACTAACAAAGGCAGTAACATCAATGAATTGAAATACATTAAATACATTTAGGGCCAATAGTTCATAAGAATACAAAAAATTTTTAAACCTCATTGGTCATCTTTGAAGGATATGAGAAAATGAACTCATTATTTTAAAAACCAGAAAACAGGCCAGGCATGGTGGCTCACGCCTATAATCTCAGCACTTTGGGAGGCCGAGGCAGGCAGATCACGAGGTCAGGACATCGAGAATATCCTGGCCAACATAGTGAACCCCCGCCTCTACTGAAAATACAAAAACTAGCCGGGCATGGTGGCACATGCCTGTAGTCTCAGCTACTCAGGTGCCTGAGGCAGGAGAATCACTTGAACCTGGGAGGCAGAGGCTGCAGTGAGCCGAGATTGCACCACTGCACTCCTGCCTGGGCGACAGAGCGAGACTCTGCCTAAAAAAGAAAGAAAAAGAAAAAAAAGGGAGAATTGAGCAATTATCCCACCTTTTCTATATGTACCTCAGAGTAACCAAATAGTTGACTAGGGGGCAGGGGGATTACTTTTAGAATAGTCCAGCAAGTAAATGAAGAAATGATAGCATAATCACTATTCTGTAACATCTAATGAATTAATCAATTTAGTCAATGATCAGTGGCTGTTATGCCAAAAAAAGAGACAACCAGGCTGATGAAAGTAAACGTGAAGTAGTCCTGCCCACCCTAACAAACAAATACATCTGAATCTCATCAATGCTCTTGACCTACTATGAATTTACAGGAAGTTCAGAAAACAGAGGAACAGATTAAATGACAAGAAGATGTAATCAATAAAATCCATACTGCAAAATTCTATAAGACAAATGAACCAGTTCTTCAACAAAAACATTGGGAGAGGGAAAAAAGGAAAGTGAAAGAGGGAGAATGAACCTATTGTGATTTATGGGCTTTATTTGGATCCAAACCCAAATGAAGAAATTAGAAAAAAAATCATGAACAGTGACTATATATTTCACTGTATAACAAATTACCTTTTATAAACATGATAATTATATTGTGTAATATCTGGGACTTGCTCCAAAATAATCCAGAGCAGAGTTGAGGTGGGTAGGGAGTAGAGATTAAAATAAGGTAGCTTCATGTTGATAATTGTTAAGGTTCATTATACTATTCTATTTTTGTATATGTTTGAAATTTTCCTCACAAAAGTACATTACTTAAAAACTATACATTTGACTTGTTCATTAAAAGAAACCAACATTCTCTGAAGAGTGGAAATAATTAGAAAATCCTACTCTCTTCTATACCTTGATGTATATAACAACTTGATGTGTATAACTTACTGATGCATCTTCAACAGCAGTGTTCATGTGGCTATGAAAACAAGATCGGTCATCATCTTCATCCATATACACTGGCGGTTCATGTGAAGTCATGAAAGTGGAAGGCTTAAAGAGATGCTTATTAAGAGGGTGCTGTCGTCTGCTTGTTGAAGACTAAGTAAGAAAACAAATTTTTAATTGGTTCAGTGAAAAATCATTACAAGAATCAAAAATATAAAAATACAAATGTTACTTCCAACAAGTCTATCAGAAGAATTTCACTCTATCCTTTAGCATACTCTTATGTTGTTGCTTTTTCTGTTTTCTGCGTTTTTAAAGCATAACTAGCTTTAAAAAATTTTTTTTAAATGTAGGGGAAATACCCCAACAACGGTAAAATGGACCACATGTTTAATATCTAGCTTATATTTGTATCCCCAGCATTTATCATACTCTTGGCAGTCAAATGCTGGCTGCACTGAATTCTTATGATCATCTTATAGAAGATCAGACAGGATGAAGTGGCCTATGCCAGACATAAAACTATCCAGTAAAAAGTAAAAGGAAAATTTCTATAACATTATGAATATCTGAAAATACTTATCTAACATTGATTGACTGCTTATTCTATGCCAGGGTTGTCCAATCTTTGGCTTCCCCGGGCTACATTGGAAGAATTGTCTTGGGCCACACATAAAATACACTCACACTAAAAAAAAAAACAAAAAAACAACAAAAAAAAAATTTCTTGTAATGTTTTAAGAAAGTTTACCAATTTGTGTTGGGCCACATTCAAAGCTGTCGTGGGCCACATGTGGTACGTGGGTCATGGGTTGGACAAGCTTGCTCTATGCCAATGTCATTTAATCCTTACAACATTCCTATAACGTAGTTATCATCACCTCTAATTTAAAAATGAGAAAACTGAGGACAGGGAGGTTAAGTTTCTTGTTCAGTGTGTTGCAGCTAGATAGTGGTAGAACCAGGATTATAAACTAGGCCTATGTGGTGCCCAAATTCTCACTTTCCACCACTATGCAGCCTGCCTGTCTTGATCAATAGCACAGTCACAAAGAACACCCTCAGCTACATGAAGAACCATCATTTCACCTGTTTCCAAATTTAAACTCTAACAATGGCAAGCAATCATTGTAAATATAGCTGTACTAGATCTTCACAGCCAAAATACAGTACACCTAAGGGAAAAAAACACATGTACGTTCTCCAGTATTCCTTTTGTTATCATTATCCAGTGTTAATGATGAAAACATGGTTACATCTATAAAATTAGCTTAGAAATTAACCATGAAAATAAGAGCTCTTACATTAAACACAGGTTAATGTAAGGTTCCAATATTCCACAGTTATAGGATGAACTCTACAAATCTACACAGGTTGTGCTATATTTGGTGGGAAACCCAAAATATTTAAAACAATTGGCAAATTAAAACAAGCTTCCAAAGCTCGGTTAAAAAAAATTTTTTTTTAATGTGTAAAACATGAAACTGTATAGACAATATTCTTAATGTAAAATTACATGAAATAGCTTCAGTATGGAAGGATAACAGCACTAGATATACTCTTAGCTTCTCTTTATGAGAAAGATGTCAGTGGTGGGGAGGGAAAAGTAACAGGATAACTTATTAAGAAAATTTAAAACAGCCAATTAGGTGTCTTTATTTTTTGCGATTACAAGAACGAACAGCTGGGACTGCAGGTGCGTGCCACCACACCCGGCTAATTTTTGTATTCTTAGTAGAGACGGGGTTTCACCATATTGGCCAGGCTGGTCTTGAACTCCTGACCTCGTGATCCACCCGCCTCGGCCTCCCAAAGTGCTGGGATTACAGGCGTGAGCCACCGTGCCCGGCCGAAACTGGCTACATTTTAATGTAGTGTCCTGTTTGGGAAAGAAACAGTAGCTTCTCCACTGTAGAAAGCAACAGAGAAAAGTGGAAAAAGTGTGGCATCAGAATGGGAGAGAATCAGTGGTTCCCAGACTTAGCAGCTAAGCAACTAGATAATTCACTCAACATACCTGAGGGCCCAGTTTCCTTACCAAATAAAAGGTTATAGAACAGTAGAGTCTGGCTCAGAGCCCTCAATATAACAGCTAGCTATTAATATTATGTCAGTAAAGTGAAGATGATAAGACTACTTATATTTCAAGAATTGTAGAAAGGATTAAATACAATATTTTATTTTTTTAAAGATACGGGACCTCACTATGTTGCCTAAGTTGGACTCAAACTCCTGGCCTCAAGTGTTCCTCGTGCCTCAGCCTCCCAAGTAGCTGGGACAACAGGTGCACACCACTGTGCCTGGCTTTAGAATATCATAATAAACCTTTCTATTCTTGGATTTATGTAGCATTATCTACAAAACAGAAATTGATCTATTAAATTTATTAAATGATTGATTTATTAAATAATCAAATATCCTAAAAACTTTACCCTCACAAAGGCCTTTCTAACATATTTTGAATCTAAAATCTTTCAAGTAGCACTCATTCACATTACTCCAAAGAAAATAATGAAGAATCATGAATTTCACTGAGCAGCAATAATGGAGTCCTTACCCTCCACTTTTGCACAATATAAGGAAATGCTTAGAATGAACAGAAGTTTTAAAATACAACACTATTCTGTCAAATGTGTAGATTTTTACATAGCAATTCTTACTTTAATAAATTTAATCTACAGTTTACTTTCATGTATTTTCTTTTACCTTTTTGGAGTATATATATAAGTTTGGTGTTCTGCCTGGTACTGGAATGCCAGCTTTAGTTAGCTTTATGAAATACTTCTGTACTCGGCTGGCAACCTAAGGAAACATGACAAGTCTCTTAACACAATGAGATGACATACAATACCTGAGTCGTTTTTAAAAATTAAAACGTACATGAGTATCTAATGAATGCTAAGAATTCAATACTCATCATGAATCTAGAATTAACAATAAACTGCCACCAAATACACATATATTTTAAAATCTAGGCCAAACAAAAATTATTCAAGTAAATTTAAATTTGATTCTAAAGCTAAACACATATTTCAACTTGTGAACACTTACATTTGTAGTATAAAAACACATCTATTAATATAGATGGGAATATGAAGGAGTAAACTGCAAGATACATTTTTAGAAAGACAACCAGGAAACACTAAGGCAATGAAACAAATCTGTTTGCTCAGTATAACCAAAAAGTATACAATTAGTATATTTAGTAAGCATTCAAGAGAAATTAAGTCCATTATATGTTCATTTTTTAATATTTCGTAATGATCCAAAGCAGAAGTATCTCAAGTTGTTTCTGAAATCAACGAAAATATATACAATTTTTTTAAAAAAACACCACATACTACAGCACTCTGTAGCTGAAAGTGTTATGGCAGATCGCCCAATGTCAGCTGCATTATTCTCCTTTATTAAAAAACTACCAAAAGCATACCAGCAATCTGCAGTCATCTCCTCAATTACCTGTTTTGCTGTCCTGTTGCCCAATTCATCTGCTATCTTCTGCCAGCGTCGAGATTCTACTTCTTCAGGAGGGTATTTGATGAGTAGCTGTTCCAGCTTTTTCTAAGCCATACCCAAGACCAAATTTAAGAAAATATGTATTTAATTTTAAATATTGGATTTCTAAATAAATACATTCACATTTCATTTCAAAATGTAATACTCTCTCCCACCTTTGGGGGTTACGTAATTAGAAATCCTCATGGTAGGAAAAATTTCTAGTTAGAAACTTAAGACTTCACAGGGAACAATGAAATTAGAGAATAAACTTATGAAAGAGCTTAGAAAAGTTTTCTATTCACATAAGTAAAAATATCTCATAAGAAAACAGAAAATAAGTAAACAAATTGGTAGATTACACATTTTAGTGATTTCCACTGAAATCACTAAATCCACTGAAATCCAAGAAAAGATGGTCAATCTTTTCTTACTTTTCTTTCCCCTACAGTTTTAACAAAAACGTGTAAATTCACTTAAATTTCGACTATTAAAAGAGGCTTTTCCTTCTTTTGTATGGTCCTTTATTCAAATATTTGATTTTAATATTCCTTCTTGTCTCCTGTATCTTCTCATAGTCCTAAAGATGCAGAAAAATCTGGATGCTTGAAATAAATAGATTTCCCAAAGCTTTTTATAAACTGTTAAATGTATAGCTGTGGGGTTAATAGCCATATGAGACAAAGATGTGCCTCAAACTTCACCCACTAACAACCCTAGCCATTAGCCAAAAAACAATTCTAAACTGTATGCCAAAACTGACTTGACTTCCTCACCTCCCTTCGACAACAAAAATAAGAATGCACTTTGAAGCTCAGCTTTACTGGCCTCAGGTTTTTCTCTCTCCCAAAGCTACATTACAAAAACATCTATTTTATTCTATCCACTTCTACTCCCCTCTCAAAACCCAGGTTCCTTCTTTTAAAATTATCCCCAAACAAAAGTTTACACATTCTCAAAATCCAAAATTCTTGACGTATGCAAAAAGGTATACAAAAATAAGCCTAAATATTTAAAACTCATGGCTAACAGGCATCACATACAACAATATACACCTGACTCAAAATACAGGCTCTTTTCTTTTTGAGATGGAGTCTCACTCTGTTGCCCAGCCTGGAGTGCAGTGGCATGATCCTGGCTCAATGCAACCTCTGCCTCCTGGGTTCAAGCAATTCTCCTGCCTCAGCCTCCCGAGTAGCTGGGATTATATATGCACACGCCATCACACCCGGCTAATTTTTGTATTTTTAGTAGGGTTTCACCATGTTGGCCAGGTTGGTCTTGAACTCCTGACTTCAAGTGATCCACCCATATCAGCCTCCCAAAGTGCTGGGATTACAGGCGTGAGCCACTGGACCTGGCCTCATAATACTGACTCTGATGTTAACTGTTTACTTGTTTTTTTAAGCCTACACGATTTTGAAATATTTATTACCTGTTCTTCAACAGTCCACAACTGGTTAAATGTTTCAGGTTTGGTATCATCACACAAGCGTCCTCTTATCATCTGCACATAAGACAAGGCTTTTGTCAGAGAGAAAATAACAACACCTATCCTTTGATATAGCCAAATAACACGCAAATTGTGGAATTTTTAAATTAATTTCAAAATATTTGAGTAAATTTGTTTTTTAATGTATATGCTTTTTTTTTAACTGTTTACAAAATGCCTTCACATTATTTTATTTTGTTTGGTTTTATACTCTCAGCAATCCTGTGAAATACATAATAGTACTGTAACTTCATTTTTTAAAAAAGGGAAAGGAAATGTGGGCTCAGAATTGAAAAGTAACATGTCCACTGAGGTTCATCTAACTAAGAGTGGCAAGGCCAGGACTCAAATCCTGGTCACATTTCACTACACACAAAGGAACTACTATTTTTAGAGTAAATACTATGTGTCGGATACTGTACTAGGCACATTGCATATACTACCTATTTAACCCTCACCAACAACCCTACAAGATAGGTAATATCAACTACATTTTATACAAAAGGAAACTGCAGCTTAGAGACTTCAACGTAAATGATGTCTGAAGGTTCACGGCTAGTAAGTTAGGACTCCAACCTAAGTTTCTCTTAATTTCAAAGTTCTTATCTCCTTTATCTTCCAGTGAAAGACTGCTTTAATTTTAAGAACACAAACCAGCAAAATGTTAAATTGTTTTGTCTAAAATTCAAATTCTCCTACTCCAATATTTCACACTGCTTACCTGAGGACGACTGCTTGAGCCTTCTGGACCATCACTCAAAGGCAACATAGAATATGAAAGGGACTCTCCATCCTTCTTAGGATCTAAAGGACTTTTTGGTCTAGCAGGTAAACCTACTGAAAAATAAGACCACATACAGAACTGTTAAAGCAAAACATTGCCAGATATTTTTCTACTTAAATTCTTATCATATGATTTCTTACCTTTATCAAAAACTAGCTTAACTCTTCTAGTATGTCTTTTACGATTTTTAAATTCTCTTTCAAAATTCCCAAGGCTATGGGTATATTGGTCCCATACGATCTCAGGCAATTGAACAACTCTCTGTGGATATGGAAGCCCAATATCAGCCTGGAGGCAGGGGAGAAAAAACAAAATAAAGTAAAAGTCTAAATTTAATTAAAGAAATAATCCACCACAGTCAAATTTTCAGATGACTCCAAATCCAAATAATCAATGGGGCATTTCTATTCATGTTTAAATCCAAGAGACAATAAAGTTAATTAATATAGTCTAAATATTAAATGCTAAAGATGATAAGTAAAGAAATGAATTTAGCAAAACCTAAGTACGACTTCTAGTTGGAGGGCAGTGTCTTTTAAAATAATGATAGTAATATAAAATAAAACTAACAACCCATAAATGTTCTCTGCATTCCATATACCAATATATATCACCAGTTTCATTAATATGAACTAGGAGGAATTTTTTATATGTCCACTAAAACAAACAAGTTACCAGTCAACAACATAACTAATATGATAAACCTAAATAAAATAGGCAAATTGAGTTGGCATGAGCAAACCCAGAAAAATAGAAGAATCAATCTTTTAAATTAAACCTAGTAGGAAAATTTTTTTCCAAAGAACATAGGACTTTCATGGTAATTTTTTTCTTTTTTTTTTTTTTAAGTCCCAGACACTGATAACCTCATGGTTATTAAAATATCTTAATTTAATATATTTCCATGTAATTGTATAAAAAATTATTAAGATGGTCAACATCACATCTTTATTTCTGAAATAAAGTGAAAAGAAATTCCATTCTAGGCTGAGCGCAGTGGCTCATGCCTGTAATCTCAGCACTTTGGGAAGCCAAGGCTGGTGGATCACTTCGGGTCAGGAGTTCAGACCAACCTGGCCAACATGGTGAAACCCAGTCTCTACTAAAAATAAAAAAATTAGCCAGGTGTAGTACAGTGCATTTGCAGTCCCAGATACTCAGGAGGCTGAGGCAGAAGAATCTGTTGAACCTGGGAGGCGGAAGTTACAGTGAACTGAGATCAGACCCCACTGCACTCCAGCCTGGGTGACCTAGTGAGATTCCATCTCAAAAAAAAAAGAAAAAAGAAAGAAATGAAAGTCCGTTCTAAACTAAACCTGAAAGTGAAGAATCAGGAAATAATCAACTGCATGCAAATCTAGTAAATATGCCTAATTGCATCTTTTTGCCTACCCGGGAAAGTAAATGAAATGAAATTAAGGTTAACAAATTTTTCATTAGTAAAGTAAAAATTTCGTTTCAAATTTTTACTTTACTAACACCATCTGTTTTAGTTGAATCCATTGTAAATAACCATTATAAGTCTTATATCTTTTTGTACCAGTAAATTATTTAATAACAGCAATGCAGAATCAATAAACACTTAAAGGGGCCTCATTTTAACACAGAAGGTACACCAAAATTCTAAAAACCTTAGAAGTTTTAACAAATCAACATATAGGCTCTATATCTATTACGATATTCAATGTTTTCTAAAAGCATGAAGAGAAAGAAATGTTTACCAACTAAATAATATACCTAGGAAAATTCAAATAATAAATTAACACAACTAGTGAAATAAAGTCCCCAGGGCTGCTCTCCTAACACCTGGTAGACCACTTTTGTAACTCACTAAAAACAGGTAACTCATAAAGATACTAAAGTTGTCATACAAGATAAGGTTTCGTTTCTTTTTTAAGAAGAGGATTCTTTTTCATCATTTTTCAGTTTTAATCTTTTCATACAATGCTGATTAACATTATACCTCTCAAATTTAATGAACAATTAGTGGGTCCCTATTACAGCACAAATGCACATCAAGATCATCTCCATATTTACACACCAAGAAACTCATTATAAAAACCTGTATCGCTTTTAAGTGGTTAAGTATTAAACACGAAAGTTCTGTTTTCAGAAAAACAAAATTATGGAGAATTTTCCCACTTAAAAAAAGCATTTTAAAATTAAGTAAAATTTATACTTCTTCCTCATGGACTTGGCTATCGTAACTCTAAAGATATTTAAAATAGATTTTGTTTTGATCACCATTGTTTTCTCTCTCAAAATGCACAAAGGTACTAGTGTGCAAAAGTAGCCCAGAAACAGAAGTAGTTAATCAATTCTGAAGTACTTTTTTCTTTTAGCTTTATTAATCCCTAAGTCCTGAAACAGAGGAGGAAAAATACTCAAAGAAGGGGAAGATAACAGGAAAAGCTAGAAAAAAAATGGCTAAGGAATAGGACAAGTTCCCATACAAATATCCAATAAAAGCTTCTAGCTATTTTCATTTGGATATATTTTATTGTGTGCCTGGTGGAGGTGGAAGAAGTTGGTATCTTGCCTTAAGTAGTACGGCTAATTATAGACGAAAAAAATTAAACATTTTAAAAAGTATATACCCATAAAAAAGAATTAACCAAATTCTCTTAAGCTATTCCCAAATAGATCTTAGTAAATCTTAAAAACAGTTCAATGTATACCTTCTTCTGGAGTTTTTCCACAAATCCAATGGGATTTTTCAGTGCTTCTCTCTGGTGCCTGCCTAAACTTTCAAGGTCTTGGACTGCTTGAGAACGCTGAGCCTCGAGTACAGCAATCGTCTGTAATAGTCTCTGATAACTACAGAGACAAAGAAAAATATTTCACAAAAATTTTCTAGTAACAACAATAAATAAAAACTGAGTTCAAGCCATGATCTACTATTAAGTCACACAGTCTTTTAAGAGTTACCTGAAAGAGTTTAGTAAAACATATTACTGGGAATAAATGAGGTCTTCCTGAGTTACGAAGTACCTACAGAAAATAAGAGTTAGAGAAAGCAAAGCCTTCTTCCCCCATCTTAAGTTTTTAATTCTTGAACCTGAACAAGTACCAAAATAAAAGAGCATTTTGATCTTCCAACAATCAAAGTCGTTAAGAAACTGCTAGATAAAAAAAATATAATTAAAATGATAAAATCTTAATACTAGGAGGAATCACTCAATTCAGGCACTTGGTTGTACTCTGTTGAAATAGGGAAATCTGAGGTATGTTTTCTCGCCCAGAGACACATGACACTGTCACATAATTCCAATGTGATTTTAGTCTCATGATTTCCATTTGCTCTATTATACCCTCCTTCCTATTTTAAAGGTTTACTTTTCCATCAACAAATCTGCTGTTTTTTTCCTCTGCATGAAAGATAAAGACAAATGTTCAATTCTTAAGTATTAATCATTTAAAGAGAAGAAAGGCCATAAAGATATTTATACTTTCCTGCTTGCAAAGGTCCATTTGGCACAACAAACATATAGTTTTACCCACACAAATATATTACATGTCATTATCCTGAAATCTCACTACAATACATCTATTCTAATATTCTCCCTCTGTTTAAATTGTCCTGCCTCTCTAATATTTAACTTCACATTATCAATACACATAGAGAAATACATTAAACCCAAAGCTCCGAATGCTCAAATACATTTTGCAAAACAACTCAAGGAAAAGTCACTCCAAGTTCACTTTAAAATAACTGGTTAAATCCTTAAAGTATAAGCAAAGCACAATTTTTCTATATGGCTTCAGATAACTTTCATTTTGTTTCCTACTAGACTAAACTCCATAATGGCAAGTTCATCTGTTTTGTTCATTGTTTTGTTTAGCTAGTATGCAACATACTTCCCAGCACATAGATGTTCAATAAATATTTTCTAAAGGAATAGATATTCTGCGAATCTTTTAAGTTCTGAAGTAAGCAAACAGCAGAAGTATCAAAGGTGAAATACTGCAGTTTTGAAGTTCACAGGCCGTCATGGCAACATGATGTTCTCTATCAGAATACTTTTCACAGCCTCCTCTCTAAAACAAATCTTATTCTTGTTTTCAAGTCCTTGTTAACTAATCCTTGATGAAATTTTTAATAATTAAGGTAAAACTGCTAACATTGAAGGGCAAGACTCCTCTCCAGCTAGAGATATTTCATTTAAAACTAGAACTATGAGTGGGAAAGGTAGAGCTATACTAAGTCACTACTGGATAAATTACAGAGGGTAAATCTAAATTCACTTTCACTAAGCCTTCTTTTGCTTTGAGGTGTATGCAGTGTACAAATACTGTCTCAGCTGGCTGTTTCTACTAAGCAGGCTCACATAGGCTCAATCTTAGGGTGATGGTAGTGATCTGAATGCTAGAAGCTGTCCTCTCTATATAATACTCTTAACTGTCATACTTCACCTTCAGAATTCCTATCCCACCAGCTGAATACAACCAAAGACTTATATTGCCTCTATCCCTGTTTTAAGCAGGAGTTACACACTTCGGTATCACTTTAAAAACAACTGTGAATCTATTAAAACTTCAGTAAATGCTGTAGGTACAGTAACAACTAATAAGGCACAAGTAAAAATAGGGTTACAAAAAAACAAGCTTGAAAAAGGTGCTACAGTCAATTACATTGGCAGCCGTCTTTTTGTTAGGTTTGGAGCAAACAGACACTGGGAAGAAGGGCCTCTAATTTGAAGCCAACAAATTACCACAATTTTACAGTATGTAAATTTTTCCACAATAAATCTGACTTAAAAAAAAATTCCAACAAAGATGGCAAATAAAGTACAGTTCTTCAATTCTGCTTCCATTTAGTTAAGACAAAATGATTATCAGATTGGAAGGCCTATGATAAACATTGGTAAAGTCTTCAAGCTCAAAATAATGAAGACTCTAAGAAAATAGTAAATTCAAGTCTTCTATCCCAGATAATTGGAATTATTTCCCAGCATACTCAGACACTGCACCAGTAAGATTACCATATATATCCATGAGCAGATATGGAAGAAATTATTTAAACAAAACTGGGGTGACATCTAAAAAACAGTAAATATAGACAAATCTATTTTCAATCCTGCTCACCCACCTACACAAGCAAACTACAGAAGCTGATCCAGGCATAAATCCAAGGCAAGATTCAATTTTTCATTAATTCAACAATTATCTACTTAGAAAACAAAGCATTATACTAAAAGCATTAGTAATTATCAAGATAAACCAGGCATGGAGTCTAAGTGTAATAGAGGAGCTACAATTATACCACGGAGGAACTAGATGAAGTACAAATACGGCTGGATTGGTTGTGTTGCTGGGGATGGAGGATGGGTGTATGAGGGTCCACCATACTAGTCCATCTAGTTTTTTATGTTTTAAATTCTCCACAATGAATGTTTAAAAATCAACTCCAACTTTGACCCTTTTTTTTTTTTTTTTTTTTTTGAGACAGAGTCTCGCTCTGTTGCCCAGACTGGAGTGGGCAGTGGTGTGATCTCGGCTCCCTGCAAGCTCTGCCTCCCGGGTTCAGGCAATTCTCCTGCCTCAGCCTCCTGAGTAGGTGGGACTACAGGCACCCGCCACCACATCCGGCTAATTTTTTGTATTTTTAGTAGAGATGGGGTTTCACCATGTTAGCCAGGATGTTCTCGATCTCATGACCTCGTGATCCGCCCGCCTCGGCCTCCCAAAGTGCTGGGATTACAGGCGTGAGCCACCGCGCCCAGCCCTTTGACCCATATTAATGGGGGAGGTGCCGACTGTACTACTCCTTCTGGGCTGATCAGATCACAGCTGTCACTGCATTCAGCTACGCTTTAAGAAAGACAAACAGGTTCATAAATAGACAAGATGGATGAGAAACAATGTAAGATGAAATAACAATACAGTTGGCCCTTGAACAACACAACACAGTTCGAACTGCGTGGATCCACTTATACACAAATTTTCTTCTACCTCTGACATCTCTGAGACAGCAATACCAACCCCACCTCTTCCTCCTCTACCTCAGCCTACTCAACGTGAGGACAATGAGGGTGAATACTTTTAGGTTGGTCCACTTTCACTTAATGAATAGTAAATGTATTTTCTCTTTATTTTGATTTTCTTAATAACATCTTCTGTTTTCTAGCTTACTTTGTTGAAGGAATACAGTATAAAGTACATGTAACAGACAACATTTGTGTTAATCAACTGTTTATGTTATATAGTAAAGCTTCTGGGTCAACAGTAGGCTATTAGTAGTCAAGTTTTAGGGGAGTCAAAAGTTATACATGGATTTTCAACTACACAGGAGGTCTATGCCCAATCCCTGTGTTGTTCAAGGGTCAACTGTGGTGTCTAACATTTACTGAATGCGTACTACATGCCAGACAAATGTTGCATTTTAAATGTAATAACTCAATCCTCACAATAAATTTATGAGCCCAGTACCAACATTCTTAATTTTAAAGATAAGGAAACCAAGCACAGATTAAGTAACTCCCCAAGATCATACAAGCTATTTATGGTGGAGCTGCAATGTGAGGAATGGTTAAAGACCCTGAGAATATTTAGTCAAGAAATGAAAACCTCCACTAGAATACCACTTCCATTTTTACTTAACAAACAGCTATGCAGGAAAAAAAAAAATAGACTTGTTTTATAGAGTATAAAGGGTCAAACCAGGAGCAAATTGTGATAAAGACACAATATGAAGAAAAACCTTGTCTCAGTCAAAACTAATAAAAGATGGTAGGATAGCACCCAATCACCATAGATGTTCAGACAGATATTTAAAAGAAATTCAAGCACTAAAAACCTGAAACTCTTTAATTCCAATAAATATCCTACTTTTACTTTTGCTACTCACTGAACCAAGCAAGAGAATAGAATAACTCAAAAAAAAAATTACACATATTTTTGCCTGGATAAAATCATAGTTATACCTTTTCCGTAAGGATAGCTTTGTATTAAATCTATTAAAATTATTTGTTATTTATGTCTAAATCTAAATCTTACACAATGCTAACAACAGTGAACTTACTTGTGTCAAAGAATTAGGGTTTTCTTATTTTCGCCTTTTGAGACAGGGAGTCGCTGTGTTACCCTGGCAGGTGGGCAACGTCAGATCATGGCTCAATGCAGCCTCTACCTCTCGAGCTCAAGCAATCCTCTCACTTCAGCCTCCCACGTAGCTGGGACAGGTGTGTACCACCATGCCCAGCTACTTTTTAAATTTTTTGTAGAGAAAGGGTCTTGCTGTGTCGCCCAGGCTGATCTCAAACTCCTGGTCTCAAGCTTTCCTCCCACCTTGGCCTCCCAAAGTGTTGGGATTATAGGCGTGAGCCCCCACACCCAACCAGAACTGTTTTTACTTTTACATCTCAAACAGAAAGACATTTTAGCTTTATATATTTGGCCAAAGTATAAATGCCCCTTCAAGTCCTTATCTAAGTTATTTTTACTACTTTTCAATACCCAAGTCCTCTTGAATTATTTATATTCATGAATATAAAAACATTTATATGAAAGAGTATACAGGTAAAAATCCTGACATCTGAAGAGAACATCAAGGAATTAGCAATCTGGAGGTTGATTTTATTTATTTATTTATTTATTTATTTATTTATTTATTTATTTATTTGATGGAGTCTCACGCTCACCCAGGTTGAAGGGCAGTGGTGCAATCATAGCTCACTGCGGCCTCAAACTCCTGGGCTAAAGTGATCCTCTCGCCTCAGCCTCCCGAGTAGCTAGGGCCACAGGTATGCCACCATTCCCAGCGAATTTTGTTCTCTGGGGTTTGGTTTGGTTTGGTTTTTTTTGTAGGGACAGGGTCTCGCTTTGTTGCCCAGGCTCGTCTCAAACTCCTGGCTTCAAACACTCCTCCCGCCACAGCCTCCGAAAGTGCTAGGATTATAGGCATGAACCACTGTGCTCGGCCTATAAGTTAATTTTACTGTCCAATTTCTAGGCAGTAATATTACATACACAATAATCAGGGAGGGATGGAAGGAAGGCGTGCAGGAGGGAGGCACAGACAGGCAGACAGAAACAGAAGGAAAGATTTTATATTCAACTGCATCAGAATCTTTTTAAAAAAACTAGATTTCCATTTCTACTGTGGTAATAACCCTTAAGATTCCATGGGCATTTGTAATCTAAAAAAACTAATGGAGAAACATTTTTAAAAATCCATATCAAGGACACTCTGCCAAAATATCAGCCTGATTCTTCAAAACTCATTAAATAGTGTCATTAAAAACAAAAAAGAGGGCCAGGTGCAGTGGCTCACGCCTGTAATCCCAGCACTTTGGGAGGCCAAGGCAGGCGGATCACCAGAGGTCAAGGGTTCGAGACCAGCCTGGCCAACATGGTGAAGCCCCTGTCTCTACTAAAAATACAAAAATTAGCTGGACATGGTGGTGCATGCCTGTAATCTCAGCTACCTGGGAGGCTGAGGCAGGAGAACTGCTTGAACCCGGGAGGTAGAGGTTGTTGTGAGCTGAGATCATGCCATTGCTTACTCCAGCCTGGGTGACAGAGCAAGACTCCGTCTCAAAAAACAAAAAGAGGGACAGCTATTTTACAATAGGAGTCTAACTAAAGTTTTATTGGAACATAGCCACACTCATTTGTTTACATAATTTCTATGGCTGCTTTCTAGCTATAATGACAAAGAGGAGGAGCTGCAATAGAACCACATTATCCACCAAGCCTAAAATATTTACTATCTGGTCCTTTAAGAAAGTTTGCCAAGCCATGCTCTAGATTAAAGGACACAAGGACATGACAAGCAAATGTAATGCATAATCTTGGGCTAGATCCCCCCAGGGGGTTAAACAGCTATAAAGGACATTTTTGCAGATAAATGGAAAAATTTAAATATAGATTGTGCAGTATATAATTTTATTGTACCAATGTTAAATTGCTGGAGTATAATAATGGTATTTAAAGTTATACAGGGAAATGCCCTTCTTTTTAGGAGATATTTGCGGAAGTATGAGTGATGAGTCTACAACCTACTTTTAAATGACTAAGCAATTTTAAAAGTACATTGTACCAGATGGGAAGGAGAATAAGGGTAAAAGGAGAGAAAATACATTAGAAAATGTTAAATTGTTAACAACTGGTGAATTTAGGTGAAGGTTATGCAGATTCTTATCATATTACTGTTCTAGTTTTTCTAAGTTTTATACTTTTCCTAAATAAAAACCAAGGAACAAAAAGTCTTCATTATACTTTGCTACTCAAAAAGAGCAGCTTGATTTCCCTATGAACACTGAGCCTCATTAAACATACTGAAAACAACCAGAGGACATAAGGTGACGTAACGATAAATATATGTTATGCAGCACGCAAAATTTTAAAAATTATTTAGTGAAATAAGAGCTGTATAATAAGATGCTTTCTCTTCCTTAATGAAGGGCTCAAAGAGTTTACAGGAAGTGCAAATTCAGTAACTCACAAATAATCTCCCACTTTCTTTCTCTTTCTTTTCTTTTCCTCCCTCCCTCTCTCCTTCTCCCTCTTCGTTCTTTTCTTTCATTATAGATGGTGTCTCACTCTGTTGCCCAGGCTGGAGTACACAATCATAGGTCACTGCAGCCTCAAACTCAGGGCTCAAGTTGTCCTCCCACCCCAGCCTCCCAAGTAGCTGGGACTACAGGCGCATAGCACCATGCCTGGCTAATTTTAAAAACATTTTTGTAGAGACAGGTTCTTGCTATGTGGCTCAGGTTGGTCTTGAACTCCTGGCCTCAAGGGATCCTCCCAGGTCAGCCTACCAAAGTGCTGGGATTACAAGGCATAAGCCAGGCCCACTCACTTTCAATAAAACTCCAGAAGTCAATGGTGATCAAAAGCCTTTTATGATATTCTGTGTTAAGACATAAACTAATACCTCAGCTCTCAATAATATGTCTTCCAGGTATAAAGATCAACTCTGTATTGAAAATAAGTAAAACCCTGAATTTAAAATGAGCAAAGAAAAAAACAGGTACTTGTTTATTTCAGAAGTATGGACAAATCAGCAAGATACTAAGCCCAAAATCTAAGTGAAAGAATAAACTGACAGGGGCAAAAGGAGAACTAAAATTGCTTTTGGCTTGAGGACAGGTACTGAACCATGCAAGCTTGAGCTCAATTTTCTAGACTTCACTTGGCCAAGGAACGTAAGACAAAGCCACCAAGATAGATAGTCTCTCCCCATTAAGCTGGGACCCTATCCCTCACTCCAGCCCCCAAGGAGAGTTGCCTTGGGACTGAGGAAAGAATACATATTTACTGCCCCAAATTATATTAGCTGGGTGGTCCCCAAAACCTCAACCCATGACTACAGTTTAAGTCAATGGCCCTGGACTGGGACACAACTCCCTCCCACCTCCAACCCTGAATCAAGATACCCACAGAAGCAAATGCAATCCTGTCTAGAGAAATATGTTTTCATCCTGGGCCTCAAAGATAATCCATAAGTAATTTTCCAAAGAAAGTGAATAGCTCACATTAAAAAAGTTTCGCTCTGTCCCCCAGGATAGAGTGCAGTGGCGTGATCTCAGCTCACTGCAACCTCCGCCTCCCGGGTTCAAGTGATTCTCCTGCCTCAGCCTCTGAGTAGCTGGGATTACAGGTGCACACCACCACGCCTGGCTATTTTTTGTATTTTTAGTAGAGACGGGGTTTCACCATGTTGGTCAGGCTGGTTTCGAAATCCTGACCTCAAGTGACCTGCCCACCCCGGCCTCCCAAAGTGTTGGGATTACAGGCGTGAACAACCGTGCCCAGCCTGCTCACATTAAAAAATTATCAAGCATGCAAGAAAGCAAGACACAAAGAATAAGAATAAAAGCTGAGCTCAAAAATATTTATGAGGTATAGGAAACTACAAAAATTGAGCATGTAGCTTCTAAAAGGAAGCAAATAAAATATTTAAAAATACAGTAACTAAAACTAAAAGGTCAGTCGGTTCAAATTTTCACTTCTGGAAAACAGACGAGGCAAATTCAGAACAAACTCTTCCCTGAAGACAACCAATATACAGCTGGAGAAAATATTTGAAAGTTCTTAAAAGCATCAAAGAGCTAACAAAATTGTGAGTTATTACGAGGTAAAGATCCACAAGAAGATGGAAACCAGAAAGATAAAACATGTTTTTGGGGCACTTTTGCCTGGAGCAATTTATTGATCCAGAAGAGAGGACTGAGAGGCTGAGCAGTCCTTTTGACAGCTTAAAACAGTAGAAGATCAGAGTTGGAGTCTAGGGCCTATCAAGAGAGAACTTTGAAACCAGCCCAGCCCTTGGGTTGGGATCCTGAAAGGCTATACCTTAGAACTAAGGGTGAACAGGAAACAAACAGCTTTCTCAGAACAGACTAGAATATCTCAGTTTGGAATTAATTAGTAAAGTTGAAGATGTACATACCCTAAGATCCAGACATCCCATACCTAGGTACGACCTCAAGAAACTCTTGAATATACACAGTATAAGACATATGTTCATAGCAGCCTTATTAATAACCCCAAAGTCCATCTAATACTAATGCTTAATATAGCAATGAAAATGGACATCTATTTATATAAACACATACAAATATCACAAACATAATGTATTACAAATGAACAGATACAGTACGGTTCAAAAGCATGAAAAACTAAACTTTATTGTTAAAAGGATACACATATAGGTGGTTACAAGTTTTTAAAACAGCAAAGAATTATTTTCTCAAAAGTAAGATCATATTTACCTCTGGGAAGAGGAAAGGGGCAAGGTATAACTGAAGAACTATTCCTAGGAGACTTGTAAAGTGCTATCAATATTTTATTTCTTAACCTGGATAGTGATTAAACAACTATAGGCTATTTGATTTCATAATTACTCTATAACTGTGCATAAATACTTCATTAGTCTTATATGCATAAGATATTGCACAATTTTTTTTAAGGGAAAATAACTTTTCTAGGAAGAAAATGTTACAAAGAGATCACCTGCACTCTTTAGAACTTTTTAAGAGTCCTAGTTCAAGTCCCAGCTCTACCAGCAACTAACCATGGAACTTTATTCAAGTCATTAAACCTTGGGTCTTGCTTCTTTGTCTTTAAAATGAAAATGGACAAAATGGATAATTGCAAAAGCTTTTTTTCTAAGCAAAACATTCAAGGATCCTAAGATACTTGTACCACTCAGGTCACTCATTACTATATATTCTTTCTGAGTTGTAAATGGATTCCATTTATGTTGTATACACAAATACAGCATTAAGTCTCCACTTTCTTCATACAGAATCGTATCTGACAACTGGGCTTATTGGCTCTGCCCACAGCTAGAAGTATGCAAAGTTACTGCCTTCAAAGAGGAGAATATTTAAAAAGACCTATGTGATAAGTTTCTCCTACTTTATAGTGTCTACTCATGAGGCATAATAACTTTTCTCTCACAAAAGTCACTTCTAAAAGGAAATTATCAGGAATATTATGGCTGGTTTATGAAGAGACTGGCTGTTCCCTAGGTCACTAAACAGTATACTGCCTGAAGGCAAAAATTTTTAGGTACACCTATCCCTTTAGTTCTTAAAATGAATGTCTTATTTTATTATATTGTGTGATTTTTTAAGAGGAAAGCCATTTTTCTACATCTTTAATGCTGTCCCATAGCATAGTAAGGTTCAAGAAACAGAAAGTGCTCATAAAAATGAAAACAGAAACTACAAAAGAAAATAAGAGCTGAGTAGTTATACAGATGGATGACTCTTCAATGACGACAGTTCAGATATAGTTCTAGACTATATTTAGAGCACTGTTTTAATATTCTGTTTATGACATCTTGGGAGTTCTTTAAGTATGCTAAAGGAACATACAAGCCTCAATTCTTTTCAACACTTAACACTTAAATGAACACATAAAAAACAAACTTGCCAAATTTATGAACATGAAGCTGAGAAGGATAGCAAATACTATAGATTAAAAAAATCAGGATTAAGAAATAACAG
This sequence comes from Homo sapiens, assembly GCF_000001405.40. NCBI lineage: Eukaryota > Metazoa > Chordata > Mammalia > Primates > Hominidae > Homo > Homo sapiens. The sequence goes on from NC_000001.11 coordinate 77,594,801, forward strand.
GCAAGCTAGAAAACTAGACCAACAACAAGATAACATTTAACTACATAAACAAAAAATATGGCATTGAATTACAAAACAACCAGATAAGTATAGGATGGTATGAACTTGCCTTGACAGGCCCAAAAAAAAAAAAAAAAAAAAAAAATTGTGGTCCTCTCAGCTGGATCATTAGCTTACTATGAGGCAAAGTATAAAGTGCTGCTCAACAAACATTATTTGTAATATTATCTTGAACTTGCATCAACCCATTCAAACACTTACCATGCACATTCACTGTATGTTCTGTTACATCAACCATTCTAAAGGAGGCACATATAACCAACATGCAGCACTACCTTCAAGATCATTACAATTTAGGGAAGAAGATGTGACTGTGTGAACAGTAGTTGTTTATTTAAATATTGAAAAATAAGAAAGCTTATAAAATTCTTAGTGAATTCCTAGAATTTGCCAGAGTTTTAATGATTAATGTACTCTAAGAGAAATACACATATGCAAAATTTAACTAGCCATGATGAATGCATAAGCATGTTATGAACAAAATGATCATTTCAGGGAGATACAAACAATGCATCATATAAGAAGTAAAAAGCAAGTTGAATCCTGAAAAATAGATGGGATTTCAAAAGGAAAGGCAAAAAGAGGTTAAGACATTCTAGACAGAATATCAAATATTACACCTTATCAGGCTTTTAGTTTCCTCTTCTACAAAATAGGAGACTCTCTAAAATCTCTGTCCAATTCCAGAATCCCCAGGAAGTAGAGCATCTATATATTTTTTAAAACTCCACAGATTATTGTGAAGCATGCCCTTCACAAATTATTGTAAAGTGTACCATTCTAATGCAATACGGAGTAAATGTAAGTTTTAAACAATTAAATGATGATACAAGCAAACATTTGCATTTGGAAGGCTAATATGATCACAATGTATAAGATAAATTGGAGAGAGATGAAAATGGCAAAGGAAACTTCAAAGAAAGCTATGTAGCTGACGTATAAAATTACACTCTGAGCATCCTATTTAGCACCGAAGTTGTTAACTAACTGAAAAGCAGAAAACTTAAAGAAGAGGGTATACTGAAAAGCAAAAGAGGGTATACTGAAACTGCATTCAAGATACGAATACTTGCTACGTAGAAAAGAGAACAGACCTATTTCAAGTCATCCCACAGTCAAATCCAAATCACTGGGTAGAATTTCTGGGGAGGAATTTGAGGCTTAATACCAAGTAAAGAATTTCTGTTATAACAAACAATGGTATGTGCTACTTCATAAGCTAGTGAATTCCCTAGAACTAGATAAACTGAAACAGATATTGAATGACTGACCATCAAAGGATGCTGCAGAGAGGTGGTATATGAGATGAAAGTTTGGATTAGACTTTAATCAAAGTTATTCTAAATCAATGTTTCTAAAGATACTAGGAAAGAACATTAAAAAATTTTTCTTCAGTCTAAAAGGCTACATATACTTTATGATTCTCATTATATGACAATTCATAAAAGGCAAAACTACAGAGACAATAAAAACATCAGTAGTTCCTAGAAGTTCAATGGGGTTGGAGGAGGATTGCATACATGAAGCAAAGGGAATTTTTTTTCAGACTGGTGAGGTGAAACTATTTCATATAACACTGCAATGTTGGGTATATAATACCATGCATTTATCAAAACCCATAAACCTTTTAAGCACAAAGAATTAACCTTAATGTATACAAATTTTTTAAAAGTTATTTACAAGTTCAGGAATAAAAGAATCTGACTATATTACGAATGTCTCAAACAACCTCACTGAGGGGCAGGAAGAAAAGGCGCTGACCTATGTAATTGGAAATGAGTGGCATCTGTAAGACCAAAGGCAAGAGGAACTGTACATAGCACTGTATTCTAGTTGATAAGAGTTTTTCACAATTCACAATTAACAATTCTGATACTGATGTCCATATATAATGAAATTAAATAATTAAATAGTTGACAGGTGGCCAGGATTGCCACTTCTGGAGTGGAATTGTACAGATAAACAAGGGAAGGAGGCTAGAATGATCCATGTGGTGATGGATTAGAGTTGGGAGTCATTACATGAACTCAGGTTTAGCTCAGTTTATAGATATGTGCATATACATGGGTTCATATACACAATTTTCTTGCTCTATCAGCTGAGACAGCTAAATAAAAGCAACAATAAACACATTTGGCACCCAAATTTTGGTTTCTAATACCATTCTCCAATAGGAACTAGGGTTCCCTGGACAGATGGCCGATTCTAGAACTAAGGGAGGAAATATACAAAATGAGCGTCAAGTATTTTATAGTGTCAAAAAGTAAGAAGCACTCAAAAAACAACAAAAAAAGACATCACCTTGATGGGGTTATATCACAGGGACACAAAAGCCAATAGAAAGGTTCCCAACAACCAAAAGCTGGAACAATTTGAGCAACAATAAAGCAGTACCACATTATAATCCAAAGTATAAAACTGTCAGTCCACACTGATATAAATAAATGAGTAAATAAATACATGAGGAAAAAGAGAAAAAGTCTCCCTTGAAGAATTCCAAATAACTTATGCAGACACTCTGCCCTCAAGAATAGGGAACGCAGCTCCCCATTCCTTCAGTGTGGCCTGTGCATAGTGACTTCCTTCCAAAGAATACAGTATGAAAAGGGGAGGAAAAAAGAATAATTACAGTGGAGAAACCTGACCAACACTACCCTCAGCTGGGTGATTAAAGTCACATCAATAGCAATAAATCTTATTGCTAGTATGCACCCTGGTAGCATGTGATAGAAATGGCATTTTACTTCTATTGTTTTCCTTTCAAAAACCCATAACCCCAGTCTAATCATGAGAAAAATATCAGACAAATTCAAATAGAGAGGCATCTGTAATACCTGACTAGTACCCCTCAGAACTGTTCAGATCAACAACAAGGCAAGTCTGAAAAACTGCTCCAGCCAAGCGAAGACTCAGGAGACATGAAAACTAAATGTAATGTGGTATCCTACATGGGATTCTGGAACACAAAAAGGACATTAGGTAAAAACTAAGGAACTCAATAATGTATAAAGTTGAGTTAATAACAATGTTGATTCATTAATTGTAACAAATGAACCATACCATACTACTGTAAGATAGTAATAATACAGGAAATTGGGTATAGAGTATACAGTAACCCTGTAATATGTTCTAGATATTTCTGTAAATCTAAAACCATGCTTTTTTAAAAGTCTATTTTTAAAAATAAATAAATACAGTCGACCCTTGAGCAACAACAGGGGTTAGGAGCACAGATGCTCCCACTGCAGTCTAAAATACTTTTGACTCCCGAAAACTTAACTACTAAGACTACTGTTGACCCAGAAGCCTTACCATATAACATAAACAGTCGATTAACAGATATTTTGTATGATACCTATAATACATACTATATTCTTAAAATAAAGTAAGCTAGAGAACAGAATATGTTATTCAGAAAATCATAAGGAAGAGAAAATATATTTACTACTCATTAAGTAGAAGTGAACCATCCTAAAGGTCTTCATCTTCATTATCCTCACATTGAATAGGCTGAGGAGAAGGAAGAGGAGGGGTTGGTCTTGCTGTTCCAGGGGTGTCAGATGCAGGACAAAATTTGCACATAAGTGGACCTGCGCAGTTTGAACCCATGTACTGTAAATATAAATTTATCAACCTTCCTTGTAGCCACTATTGCTTTATCTTGGAACAGCAAATGAGAAAGTATTTAGTTAAGGTACATATTTAAGATTGCACCAGTTGAAATATCACAATTTAAGAGATCCCGTCTGATTAATTTAAAATTTACCTTTTTATGTTAGCAAATTTATTGCCATTTATTTCTGGTTAAACATTAAGACATAGTGCAATCATGCCACCAGTTCCGGAACTCAACAATTTGTAAATAATTCTCAGCTGCTATCTAGACTCAATGGAGAGATTTATTCGAAATACCTTTTTAGATATTATCTCTATTTTACTTAAGAGTGACAGTTGCTAAAGCATTTCCCATGTTGTAAAACCTTTCTCCAACAAATCTAATCTTTAGACCTACTGTAGTTATATAACTTTAGCTATTAAGTAAGTACACTTCTACTGTTTCAATTTTAGTGCTTTAGCACAGTAGTTAAACCGGCCCCATTATATCTGGCACAGCTACTATATATTCTTAATACATTCTGATGAGGAGGCTGGAGAGACGACAAATTCAAGGGCAACAGTTCCTTCAATTTAGTAATGGTAGTCCTTTTATAGAATCATATTAGACCAACTTAAGCATTTACATGACAGTGGTTTTTAAAGAGTATTTAAATAAATAAATAAATAGTAAAAGTAGTATTTAGGTATATGAGCATCTGGTAAAGGCTCAGTTTATATAAATTTTAAAATCACAAGACAAAATTAAAACTTGTAAAGAAATTATTATATAGCTATTTGCTACCTTATATTATTCATTATACTTTTACAATTCTATTAATTTTATTCTTTATACTGGTATTACCTAACTTATACACTCATTCCACAAATATTTATTGAATATACATTAGTTATGATTACATATGTAATCATACTTATACTTGATGAAAAACCCTTTGAAATAGGTATTATTACCACTTTACAGATGACATAAACAAAATTCAGAAAAGTTAAGTATGGGTGGAAGATTCTTGCCATACAATTCTTTTCATAATATAATTATTTACAAATACTAATTTATCTGTAATACTGAGCTCAGATTTTATACATTGGGACAGTTAACCTACATCTAAAACTCAGAAATGATCCAAAACCTAAATGAGGCCTTAATTTATTGCCTTACTTTTAAATACAGCAGAACGAGTAAAAAAATTAGTCTGTTTAACAACTCTTCCTGCTCTTATTCATCTGCTAGTACAAATACTAATTCAGTAACAGAATACAAAGGCAGAGAAAGAAGAGTACTAGATTTTTAAAAAAATTAAATGTATATATATCAGAGTAGACAATCTTCTAACAAAACATGTCATCCATAATTTAAAAGTTTTTATAACCTCAAACAATTGTACAAAAACACCTGCCTCTTTCCAAAAAGTCTTCATTATATATGTTATCTATGTTAGCCCTCAGAAAGAAGTATATTTTCTAATGTGTTTCAGATGTTATTTTCTTTTGCATGAAAGGTTTCATCAACAATCCTGAAAATATAGCCATTCTTTCAATGGCCTCTATTACAATGGTTACCAGGTTTCTCTTCCCAGAATCTATCCTAATTTGGAAGGTAGACTACATCCACATTAGAGTGCACAATATGTATATGTCCCTATAAGACTTAAAAAAAAAAAATCATGTTTGACAGCTAAGCTATATTTTCCTTGTTTTGTTTATTTGGCTTAAAACTGTAAGAAAAGATTAGCCACTTGGTGTGGTTTACATAGAAGGCTTAAATAAGCCAAACATATACTCAGGCTAAAGTAAAGATGTTTAATATCTTTTTTCTTAGTTCTAAATACCTGAAGAACCAGCAAGATTTCACCCATTTATTCATTAATTCATTTTTACCTATTAAGCTAAGGTACGGTACTAAGCACTGGAGATATAACAGTGAACAAATAGACAAAGAACTTTTCCTAACAGAGGATATCAGTCAAGGGAGAAAGCTGAGAAAATTATATTTATTTGCACAGTTAAGTAAATAAAATACGAGGTGTTAAGTGCTAAAAAGAGAGAAGCACATAATTTAGGAGGGCATCAAACAAAAATCTCTAAGGGTCAGGGGTGGCTTCCCAAAAGAAGTTCAACAGAGACCAGGCAGAAGAAAGACAATTAGCTAAGAAAAGGTAGTAAAAGGGAAAGGGTTCCCGGGGTTGTTCCAAACAGAAGAGATAACATGCAGAAACGTTTTTAGGCAAAGCACAGGACTTTAGGACCACAAACAGCTTTGGCGTGACTTGGAGTGAAAAAAGAGTTGAGACTCAAGAGGAAGAAAGGAATCAATTACACAGTGCTCTATAAAACCAAAACTGTACTCAGACTAGACTAACTAGGACGGAGTTTTAAAGACAGGAATCAATTACACAGTGCTCTATAAAACCAAGACTGGACTCAGACTAGACTGAGTTTTAACCTGAGTTTTCAGTCAGACTAGGATGGAGTTTTAACCTGGAGAATCACAAAAGTTTTGCATTTTACAAAGATCATTCACATCAGAACAAGAAGAATGGATTAGAATGGAACAAGACTCTAGAGAAAGACCAATTAAGGAGCTGTTGTGATAATCCAAGAGAAAGTGGACTGTATTAAGGTAGTGGGGATGGAGATAGAAAAGGTAAGTAGGGTGAATTTGAGAGCTTTGTAAGATAGGCCCTATAGAACTTGGTGACTGTCTAGACAAAAATAATACCACAGAAACTGGAAAAATGTTTCAAGAAGGAGGGTATGACCTACCAAACCGACTACTAATGAAGAATCTAAGGTAAAACAATGAGATGTCTCCACTGGACTTCACACAAGGAAATCACTAGTAAGTCATTTCAGTGGAGTGATGAGGGTCAAACCTAGATTTCAATGGTAAGAGTAAGTGAAAGATGAACAAAACAGAAATAGAAAATAGAATCAAGTTATTCAAGAAATTGCGATGGGAAGAAAGTAAATAGAACAGTAGTTGCAAAAGTATACAGGATATAAAAAAGAGGATTTTTTAAATAAGAAAAAATTGTATCATGTTTAAATGCTGATAGGAACAGGGCCAATAGAAAGGTTGATTTTGAAAAATCAGTGAAGAGTAAGAATACAGCAAGGTCCCAAAAGGGATAGGACCCAATTCACTGGCAGTAGGCTTAGCTTAGAGTAAAAGAGAGAAAGAGATCCCTTCATTTCCCTGTTTAAAAGACGGTTTACATTATCATCATCATTTTGCATTGAAAATTTAGTACTTATAAGATACTATGCTAAGCCCTTTACAACCTCTAGGAGTCCTATAAGTATTACTGCCCTCACTTTATAGATTAGGAAACCAAACTTCAAGAAGGTTAACTAACCTTGCCTAAGGTTTCAAGGGTGGATTTGAACCCACCTAAGCCTGACTGCCAAGAGCATAATCAATAGGCTATATACTCTCAGGAAGGATGGGGACAGATACAGACAAATTAGGTTTGGTGGCAAGATGTTGGCTAAGGAAGTTCCGCTCTGCTAATCTGCTGAATGAGGATATGGCAGCTTAATGAAAGTGAAAAAGATTTTAAATAAACATAAATAAAAAGCTACGTAAGAGAAACATGGAAGGTACAGGGCACCTGAGAGGCTCCCAACTATAATTGGAAACCATGCCTTTAGAGTTGTAGCAATATGCAGAAATATGTGATTTTTCCTCAACAAGAGCAAAGACAATGGGAGAAAGGAAGAAAAACTGTTGGCAAGAAAGCTATGCACTTTAAAGAACAGGCCATCTAAGCCACATAAGTAAAGGAAGCAAGTATAGGTAAGGGGAAATACAGAAAAGGTGCAGCTGTAACAAAATAAATAACTTCATGTATTCTTCTATGTATTTATCTCTCAATTATTACTTGTCCACCTATTCAGAGTAAACCAACAGCAGTACAGAGTGCATATTTGTTTGATTGATAAAATTAAAGACTCTATAATCTAAAGCATTGGGGTTGACCACAGGTAATTACTCTAGCACTGAAATATTATACTTGGAATCCTAAATCATAATGCCAGTGACCAACCAGAATTTCAATTATCATTAAGAACACTAAATAAGAGAAAACAGATGCAGGTCCAGACACAACCATTATTTTTACTGATTTTTTTTTTTTTTTTTTTTTGAGACTGAGTCTTGCTCAGCTGCTCAGGCTGAAGTGCAATGGCGTGATCAGGGCTCACTGCAACATCTGCCTCCTGGGTTCAGGCAATTCTCCTGCCTCAGCCTCCCCAGTAGCTGGGATTACAGATGTGCATCACCATATCTGGCTAATTTTTGTATTTTTAGTAGAGACGGGGTTTCACCATGTTGGCCAGGCTGGTATTGAACTCCTGACCTCGTGATCTGCCCACCTCGGCCTCCCAAAGTGCTGGGATTACAACATGAGTCACCACGCTCGGCTACATGAGTTATGAGTATGATGAACAGGGTACTGCAATTTTTTTCACTCTATCTTCAAGGCAGTTTTAAATTAATTAGTCAGACCTATGACTCTGAACTTAAATAAAAATTGCCATATCTAGCAGTGAAAAAAAAAAACTTCTGAAAACCAGAACATACCTATTTCTTTAAGAACCTGTCAACTTTTTTTTTTTAAACAGAGTCTTGCTCTGTTGCCCAGGCTGGAGTGCAGTAGGATACGATCATGGCTCACTGCAGCCTTGATCTCCTGGGCTGAATCAATCCTCCCACCTCAACCTCCCAAGTAGCTGGGACTACAGGCGCAAGCCACAATGCCCAGCTATTTTTTGGATTTTCTGTAGAGTCAGGGTTTTACCATGTTGCCCAGACTGGTCTTAAACTCCCGGGCTCAAGTGATCCTCCTAACCTTGGACTCCCAAGTGCTACGATTATAGGAATGAGCCACCATGCCTGGCCCCAACTATTAATACAATAGAAATCATACCACAAAAAACCATACCTATGTTTTCTTTGCCTCAATAATTTTCTTCCAAGCAAAGTGAAGATTGTATTTCTCTTCCACCTGCAAAAGTAGGGTCATGGGAATCTCTTAAGAATAAAAGAAAAAGCTTCTAAGGGTCAGGTTTCCCAAAGCGGTGTAAGGACTAGATTATGTGCATGAATATCCCCAAGATGCAAAGTTAAACATCCGGGTGCCCATTTCCTGTCCCTAATCTACTAAAACACTCTCTAAATGCAGACCTAGGAATCTACATTTTTAACAGGACAAGGCAAAATTTTTTTATACTCAAGGTCTAATACATAAGGTAAGTTTTATATAAAGATTATGAGCCACTGATTCGAAGAGCTTCTTAAAAAAAAAGAGGAATATTTCAGATCTCAGATCTTATTTCTGACATAAAACTTTTAACAACAAAATTATTATTTCCGACAACAAAATTAAACTAAAATATCAAGCAGGCTGGGTGGAGCAGCTCATGCCTATAATCCAAGCACTTTGGGAGGCTGATGCAGGAGGATTACTTGATGCTTGGATTTTGAGACTAGCCCAGGCAACATAGTGAGAACCCATCTCTACAAAAAAAAAAATTTAAAAATTACTGGGTATGGTGGTCCACACCGGTAGTCCTAGCTACTCAGGAGGCTGAAGTGGGAGGATCGCTTGAGCCCAGGATTCAAAGCTGCAGGCTGCTATGTCTCCAATTATGAGTAGCCACTGCACTCTAGCCTAGGCTAGAGATATTGTAGTGGGACGCCGTTTTAAAAAAAATTGGTAATAGAGATGACTGAGGCTTCACAGATTAATTAAATTAGATTCTCTAAGGCAGGGCTAGGCATTCATATATTTTTATAACATCCCAAGTGATTCTAATATGCAGCTAGATTTGAAAACCACTACACTGTATCATTCTTAAAAAGAAATAGATTCATTAAGAATTACTAGTAATAGAGAACAAACTGCTATTCATAAGTAAAATGAAAGAATGAAATAACTCTAAACATTAAGGTACAAAGATAATATATAATTGCAACACAATTTTTTTAAAGTATTTGCAGGCTAGATTTCTAAAATCTTCGTAAATCAAGAAAGCAAGAATTACCAGCATCATCTACTAGAAGTAATATTTCTAGTAAACTACGTGAGAACAGGCAACTCAAGCATCCCCTATGTTCTAAATCCATTCCCTTAGATCGATAACCTTGTTGAATGGCTGTATACTTTTGAATGTAAACATGTTTAAATTAAGGCTTACCACACCTCAAAATATTTCAATAAGCATTTGATAGTATCAGTTTACACTTAACCATATTCTTTTTCCTTTTTTTCTCTGCCACTGTAGTGCAAAATACACTTAACCACATTCCAAAGTTTCCTATGTTGTATCTGATAAAATTTTCTAAAAGAATGCTTGTCATTGTTTATAGACCAGCTCCATTATCCATTTATACACGTATCCCTGCCAACACACAAATTTTTTTAACTGCAAAGTGTAGGAGAAAATGTTTCACTTAGAAGATTTTGACTGAAAAAAATCCTAAAGAGGGGCAGAGCAAGATAGCCGAGTATAAGGCTCCACCGATGGTCCCCCCAAAAAGGAACACTAAATCTAACAACTATCTACCCAAAAAAACAGAACCTTCATGAGATCCAAAAATCAGGTGAACACTCACAGTACTTGGTTTTAACTTCATGTTGCTGAAAGAGGCACTGAAGAGGGTAGGAAAGACAGTCTTGAGTTGCAGATGCCACCCCTTCCCTATCCCCCAGCAGTGACCACAAGGCACAGAGAGAAAATCTATGATTAATGAGAGAGAGGGCACTCATCATGAGACTACATCAAATTCCATGCTGCCATCACAGTAGAAAGCAAAACCAGGCAGCTAACGCCCGCTCACACCAGCCCTAGCCAGAGGGCAATTGTTCATTCAGTTCCAGCAACCCTGGCCACCTGGACTAAAGTGCTCTAGAGCATTAAATAAACTTGAAAAGCAGCCTAGGCCACAACTGCAGTTCCTAGGCAAGTTCTAGTTGTCAGCTGGGCTCGAAGCCAGGAGACATGGGGGGCATGTGACCTACTGAGACTCCAGCCAGAGCAATTAAGGGAGTGCTTGCACCACCCTTCCCCTAACCACAGGCAACACAGCTCGTGACCCCTTTCTTTCACTTGAGGAAAGGAGAGAAGAGTAATGAGGACTTTGTCTTGCATCTTGGTTATAAGCTCAGCCACAGTAGGATAGGGAAACAGACAAGGTCATGAGGCCCCCATTCCAGGCCATAGCTCCCAAATAACATTTCTAGACACACCCTGGGCCAGAAAGGAACCCACTGCCTTGAAGGGAAGGAACCAGTCCTGGCAGCATCCATCATTTGCTGACTAAAGAGCCTGTGGACCTTGAATAACCAGCAGTGACACGCAGGTAGTACATCATGGGCCTTGGGTGAGACTCTGAAATGTGCTGGCTTCAGGTGAGACCTAGCACATTCCCAGCTATGATGGCTATGGTGAGAAACTCCTTCTGCTTAAGAAAAGCAGAGGGAAAAGCAAAGTGGACTTTGTCTTGTACCTTAAGTATCAGCTCAGCCACAGTGGGATAGAGCACCAAGCAGGCTCTTGGGGTCCCCAATTCCAGGCCTTAGCTCTTAGATGGCATTTCTGGACTTGCCCTGAGCCAGAAGGGGGTCCACTACCCTGAAGTGTTACTCCCCAACCTGGCAGCATTGACTACAAGTTGACTGAAGAGGCCTTGGGCCTTCAGTGAAAATTAGTGGCAGCCTGACAGTACTCCCCACGGGCCTGTGGTGATGGTGGCCATGGGGTGAGGCTCCTCTGCCTATGGCATGCAGGGAAAGGTGGGAAGCACCATGTCTCATGGTTTGAGTGCTAGCTCGGCTGCAGGAGAATAGAACACCAGGTAGATATCTAAAGTTTTTTACTTCAGTCCCTGGCTCCGGGATGGCATCTCTAGACCTCCCCAGAGTCTCAGGGAACTCACCGCCCTGAAGGGAAGGACACAAGCCTGGCTGGGGTTGCTACATGAATATAAAGCCCTAGAGCCTTGAGCAAACATAGGCTGTAGCCAGGTAGTGGATATAGCGGGCCTTGGGTGAGACTCAGTGCTGTGCTGCCTTCAAGTCTAACCAAGCCCAGTCCCAGTGGTGGTGGCCACAGGGGTGCTTGTCACCCCATGCCCAGCCCCAAGCAGCTCAGCACAGAGAAAGAAACTCTATTTGAGAGAAAGTAAGGGAAGAGAAAAAGAATCTTTGCCTGGTAATCCAGAGAATTCTTTCAGATCTTATCCAAGACCACCAAGGTAGTATGTCTGTAAGAACTACAATGTTACTGGGCTTGGGATGCCCTCTAATACAGATATAGCTTAGATCACAACACTCAAGTCCTTTCAAATACCTGGAAAGCCTTCCCAAGAAGGACAGCTACAAACAAGCCCAGACTGAGAAGACTAAAATAAATACCTAACTCCTCAATGTCCAGACACTGTAGTAGATGTCCAAGCATCTACTACAAGCATCAAGCCAACACAGGAAAACAGAACCTCACCAAATGAACTAAACAAGGCACCAGGGACCAATCTTGGAGAAACAGACATATGTGACCTTTCAGACAGAGAATTCAAAATAGCTGTGTGTCTGTTCTCATGCTACTAATAAAGACATACTTGAGACTGGGTAATTTGGACAGGAAAGCGGTTTAATTGACTCACAATTCCACATGGCTGGGGAGGCCTCACAATCATGGCTGAAGGCAAATGAGGAACAAAGTCACGTCTTACATGGGGGCATGCAAAAGGACTTGTGCAGGGGAATGTCCATTTATAAAACCATCAGATCTTGGGAGACTTACTACTACAAGAATAGTATGCAGGAAACCATCCCCATGATTCAATTATCTCCACCTGGCCCTGCCCTTGACACATGGGGATTATTACAATTCAAGGTGAGACTTGGGTGGGAACACAGCCAAACCATATCAAACTGTTTTGAGGAAACTCAGAGAAATTCAAGATATCATTGAGAAAGAATTCAAAACTCTATCAGATAAATTTAACAAAGAGATTGAAAGAAAAAGAAACAGAAATTCTGCAGCTGAAAAATGCAACTGATATACTGAAGAATGAATCAGAGTCTGTTAATAGAAAAACTGATCACACAGAAGAAAGAATTAGTGAGCTTTAAGACAGGCTATTTGAAAATACAGAGAGGAGGCCGGGCACAGTGGCTCACCTGTAATCCCAGCACTTTGGGAGGCCGAGGCAGGCAGATCACAAGGTCAGGAGTTCGAGACCAGCCTGGCGAACATGGTGAAACCTTATCTCTCCTAAAAATACAAAAATTAGCTGGGTGTGGTGGCACGTGCCTGTAGTCCCAGCTGTGGGAGGCTGACGCAGGAGAATTGCTTGAATCTGGGAGGCAGAGGTTGCAGTGAGTTGAGATCATGCCACTGCACTCCAGCCTGGGCGACAGAACAAGACTCTGTCTCAAAAAAAAAAAAAAAAAGGAAGGAGGGAAGGGAAAATACACAGAGGAAACAACAACAAAAGAATACAAAACAATGAAGCATGACTACAGGATCTGGAAAATAGCCTCACAAGGGCAAATCTAAGAGTTATTAGCCTTAAAGAGGAGGCAAAGAAAGACATAGGGGTAGAAAGTTTATTCAAAGGGATAAGAACAGAGAACTTCCCAAACCTAGAGAAAGGTATCCAAGTACAAGAAGGTTCTAGAAAACCAAGGAGATTTAGCCCAAAGAAAACTACCTCAAGTCATTTAATAATCAAACTCCCAAAGGTCAAGGATAAAGAGAGGATCCCAAAAGCAGCAAATGAAAAGAAACAAATTACAACATAGCTCCAATATGTCTGGCAGCAGACTTTTCAGTGGAAAGCTCACAGGCCCAAAGAGAGTGGCATGACAAACTTAAAGTGCTGAAGGAAAAAAATTTTACCCTAGAATAGTATATGCAGTGAAAATATGCTTTAAACATGAAGGAGAAATAATGACTTTCCCAAACAAAATCTGAAGGATTTCATCAACATCAGACCTGTCCTACAAGAAATGCTAAAGGAAGTACTTCAATCAGAAAGAAAAGGACATTAGTGAGCAATAAGAAATCATCTGAAGGTACAAAACTCACTGGCAATAGTAAGTACCCAGGAAAACACAGAATAATATAACACTGTAACTGTGGTGTGTAAGCTACTCTTAAGTAGAAAGACTAAAAGATGAACCAGTCAAAAATGACTATAACTTTTCAAGACATAGCACAAAAAGATATGAAACAATAAAAAGTTAAAAAGCAGAGGGACAAGGTTAAAGTGTAGAGTTTTTTTAAGTCTTGTTTTTGTTTATTTGTTTATGCAGGCAGTGTGAAGTTGTTATCAGGTTAAAATAATGGGTTAAAGATAGTCTCTGCAAGCCTCATGGTAACCTTACCTCAAATGAAAAAACATATAACACATACACAAAAAATAAAATGGTAGAAATTAAATCACAACACCAGAGAAAATCACCTTCACTAAAAAAAGACACGAAGAGAGGACCACAAAACAACCAGAAAATAAATAACAAAATGGCAGGAGTAAGTCTTTACTTATCAGTAATAACATTAAATGTAAATGGACTAAATTCTCCAATCAAAAGACACAGACTGGCTGAACGGATGAAAAATAAACAAGACCCATGGATCTGCTGCCTACAAGAAACACACTTCACCTATAAAGACAGACATACACTGAAAATAAAGCGATGAAAAAAGATATTTCCTGCCAATGGAAACCAAAAAAGAGCAGGAATAGCTATACTTTTATCAAACAAAATAGATTTTAAGACAAAATCTATAAAAAGAGACAAAGAAGGTCACTATGTAATGATGAAGGGATCAATTCAGCAAGAGGATATATCAATTAGAAATATATATGCACTCAACACTGAAGCACTCAGATATATAAAGCAAATATTGTTAGAGCTAAAGAGAGAGATAGACCCCAATACAGTAACAGCTGGAGATTTCAACACCCCACTTTCAGCATTGGACTGATCTTCCAGACAGAAAAATAAACAAAGAAACAGCAGACTTAATCTGCACTATAGACCGACCAAATGGACCTAACAGATACAGAACATTTCATCCAATGTCTGCAGAATACACATCCTTTTCCTCAGCAAAAGGGTCATTTTTGAGGACAGAATATGTTAGGTCACAAAACAAGTCTTAAAACATTCAAAAAGACTAAAAATAATATCAAGCATCTTCTCTGATCACAATGGAATAAAACTAGAAATCAGTAAAAAGAGGATTTTGGAAACAATACCAACACATGCAAATTAAACAATATACTCCTGAATGACCCGTGGGTCAATGAAGAAATTTAAAAGGAAATTGAAAAACTTTTTGAAACAAATGATAATGAAAACACAACATACCATAACCTATAGGATACAGCAAAAGCCATGCTAAAAGGGAAGTTTATAGGTATCAGTGCCAACATAAAAAACAAAAAACTTCAAATAGATAACCTAAAATGCATCTTAAAGCAAGAGCAAACCAAACCCAAAATTAGAAGAAATCATATAGATCAGAAGTAAATGAAATTGAAACAAAGAAAATAATACAAATGATCAATTTGAAAAGACAAACAAAACTGACAAACTTTGGCCAGACTTAAAAAAAAAGAGCACTCCAAATAAAATCAGAGATAAAAAAAAAAAAGCAGACTTTACAATCAACACCACAGAAAGTCAAAGGATCATTAGAGCAACTAATTGCTCTAATTGGAAAATCTGGAATAGATAAATTGCTAGATATAATCTGCCAAGACTAAGCCATGAAAAAATCCAAAACCTGAACAGACCAATAACAAGTAACAAGATCAAAGCCATAATAAAAAGTCTCCCAGTAAAGAAAACCCTGGGACCCAATGGCTTCATTGCTGAATTCTACCAAACATTTAAAGACGAACTAATACCAATCCTACTCAAACTATACCAAAAAATAGAGGAGGAGGGAATACTTCTAAATTCATTATATGAAGTATTACCCTGATACTCAAACCAGACAAAGACACGTTAAAAAAAGAAAACTACAGGCCAATATCTCTGATGACTGTTGAAACAAAAACCCTCAACAAAATACAAGCAAACAAAATTCAACAATACATTAAAAAAAAAAATTCATCATGGCCAATTAGGACTTATCCCTGGGATGAAAGGATGGTTCAACATATGCAAATCAATGCGATACATCATATCAACAGAATGAAGGACAAAAACTATGATCATTTCAATTGGTGCAGAAAAAGCACTGGCAAAGTTTGACATCCCTTCATGATTAAAAAAAAAAACTCTCAACAAATTAAATACAGAAGGAATGTACCTCAACACCCTCAACACAATAAAGGCCATATACAACAAGCCCACAGCTGACATCATACTCAAGGGTGAAAAGTTGAATGTTTTTCCTCTAAGATCTGAAAAAAGACAAGGATCCCCAAACCACTTCCATTCAACCCAGTAATAGAAGTCCTAGACACAGCAATTAGTCAAGAGAAAGAAATAAATAGCATCTAAATTGGAAAGGAAAAAATTAAATCATCACCATTTGCAGATGACATGATCTTATACATAGAAAACCCTAAAGACTCTACCCAAAACACTTTTAGAATAAACAAATTTAGTATTAGTTAAGTTGCAGGATACAAAAATCAACATACAATAATCAGTAGCATTTCTATACACTAACAATGAATTATCCAAAAAAGAAACCAGGAAAACAATCCCATTTAAAAATACCTACCAAAAAAAAAAAAAAAAAACAACCCACATGCAAAAAAACACAAAAACTCTTAGGAATAACTTTAACCAAGAAGGTAAAAGAACTCTACGCTGAAAACTATAAAATACTGATGAAAGCAACTCAGGAAGATAGAAATACATGGGAAGAATTAATACTATTAAAATGTCCATACTACTCGAAGCAACCTACAGATTTAATGCAATCCCTATCAAAATTCCAATGTCATTTTTCATAGATATAGAAAAAACAATCCTAAAATTTGTATGGAACCACAAAAGACTCCAAATAGCCAAAGCAATCTTGAGCAAAAAACAAAAACAAAACCCAAAGCCGGAAGCATCACACTCAATGATTTCAAAATATACTACACAAAGCTATTACAATCAAAATAGGATGGTACTGACATAAAAAACAGAAAATGAAGTAAAACAGTGCAGAAATAAACCCACGTGTTTGCAGTCAATTGGTCTTTGACAAAGGTGGCGAAAACACACAATAAGGGACAGTCAGTTCAATAAACGATGCTGGGGAAACTGGATATCCACAAGCATAAGGACAAAATTAGACCTTTATCCCATACCATATACAAAAATCAAATGAAAACGAGTGAAAGACCTAAATATAAGACCCAAAACCATAAACTAGAAGAGAACATAGGAGGAAAGTTCCTCAACATTGGTGTTGGCAATGATTTTTTGGGTAATACACAAAAAGCTTAGCTACAAAGGTAAAAATAAATGAGACTAGCTCAAACTAAAAAGCTTCAGCGTGGCAAAGGAAACAAACAACAAAATAAAAAGGCAACCTACAAAGAAGGAAAAATGTTTGCAAATCAAATATCTGATAAGGGATTAGTATCTAAAATTTAAAGACAAATAATCCAATTTAAAAATGAGCAAAGGAGTTGAACAGATATTTCTCCAAAGACATAAAAATGGTCAATGGGTATATGAAAAGGTACTCAACATCACTAATCATCAGGGAAATGCAAATTAAGTCCACTATATGATATAACCTCACACCCATAAGGATGGCTGTTAGCAAAAAGACAGATGATAATAAATGCTGGTTGAGGGTATGGAGAAAGGAAACCTTAGCACACTGTTGGTGGAAATGTAGATTGATACAACCATTATACCAAACAGTATGGAAGTTCCTAAAGACATTTTTAAAAGAACTACCATATGACATAGCAATCCCTCCTCTGGGCATTTACCCAAAGGAGATGCCCAGAGGCATAAAGATATCTGCACTACCATGTTCACTGAAGCATTATTCACAATAGCTAAGATATGGAAACAACCTAAATGTCCATTGACAGACAACGGACAAAGAAATGTGGTACATATATACACAATGAAATACTATTCAATTTTTTAAAAGGAGATACTGCCATTTGCCACAACACCAACAGACCTAGAGGGCATTATGCTACATGAAATAAGCCAGACACAGAAAGACAAATATTGCGTGATCTGGTCTATATGTGGAATATTAGAAAAGAAAAAGAGCTCTAATACACAGAGATAATGAAACAGTGGATACCACTGGCAGGGGGGTGGGGAAAGAGAATATGAGGAGACATAGGTCAAAGGATACAAAATTGTAGATACCTAGGATGATCAAGTTTAGAGAGCTAATATACAGCATGAAAACTAAAGTTAATAAATTATATTAGAGATTTTTATTAAGTAAGCAGATTTCAGTTGCTCTTGTCACCAAAAATGTAGCTATATGAGATGATAGATATGTTAATGTGCTTCACTATAGTAACCACTTACTACCTATATGTATCCTATAACATATTACTAACTTCAAATCTACACAATAAAATTTATTATTTTGTAAATAAAGTGTCTGATAGTCTTTACTTCCACCAATTCTTTAGGTTGTAGTTGACACATTTTGCCTTCAGTAAATCATTTAAGACATCATATAGATGTTGGTAACTTCTTCATGGATTATTAGTCTTTAGTATGAACCACAGAAACACTAACAACATAGAATACAGGGATTACTCTTCCATTTGCAGAAAAAATGTAATCATAATTGAGATTTCTCTGAAAGAGAAATTTGTTTTCATTTGCATTTAGTTGAGTTACACTTTCAAATCCTAACCACACAATTAACCTGTGAAGACTAGGTCTTAAAAAGCAAGATATTTACTACATTATTTATTAGAACCAAGATAAATAAAACTCATTATTCTTCACTGCTATTCCACGCCTTTAAAAAAAAAAAAAAGCATCTATTTTTAAACGCTGCTTCTCAGGTATCTATCATTAAAGAGTTTCTTGGTATATGTTTATATGGTAGGTAGAGACTGAGGAACCAAAATGTCTCCTCTCTAGTGTTGCTATGCAATTGTAAGGAAGAGAGAGTAAGTAAAGAGACTTTTTTAAAGGAGGAAATAAATTAAATTATCCATTTATTAGAATAAAATAAAGACATCCAGCCAAGGACCTTTCTCTTTTCTCCTGACCTTCTCCATTCCCTGCCACACACATACCAAGAGTGCTATTCCTACCTGATAAACTAAACAAGTTATATCCTACATATTGACTTTTCCCCTATGTCGAATATATATTAAAATTTGAAAATCTAGGATCTCTTTAAGCATAGTCTATAATACATTTTTAATATATCAAAAATTTCAAAGGGCCCTTAGACTGAATGCCACAATAACTTAATAACAAATACAAAACAGTTAAAGCTCTGCAGTGCTACCTCTGATGCAGACTGCATGACATCTTTTTAAAAACATAGCAAGCCCACAAAACATAGCTATAAACAATAAATAGAAAATTATTTTAAATGCATCTCTCAGCTAAGGTCTTCCAGTAATACATACAGATTAATGACATGACACTAATGTAAAATATTTTTTAAATATGCTTTTTAAACATATGCAGATTGCTATCAAGACTTAAACACAACCCTTAAATTACTTTAGCCACAGAATGTTTCTGACAGTAGCTTATCAAGATACATCCAATGCTGTAAAACCGGATGCCTCTCCTAAGCCGACTCTAGTGGAACAGCAACTACAGATGCCACGTAATCATAGAGTAACAAGGCTAGAAGTTACCACCTCAAGGATAAACACAACCTCTTCATCTCACAATTGAAAAAATGAAGTTCAAAGAGATTGACTCCTTCATGATTACCCAGCTAAGGGCTAAGACCCCCATTAACGTCTCTTGATTCTGTAACTTAGTTCTGTTTCCTCATCAGCACAAGAAAACTAAAGTTGGTTTCTTTTTAAATCCCCTATAATATCTTTATGAGACTAAATTTTGTTTTTCATTATTTAAATATTTTCTAATTATATTACAAGACAAACTCAGTGCAAAAATGTAAAACATGAAAAGAAATAAAGTTCCAATAATCCTAACACTATATATCACTTTTTTAAGCTTTGAGAAAAAATAAATTTTAATAAGTTAAATATACTGTAAATCAATATACAGGGGAATATGTTACTAGATAAATTTCTTGTTCTAAAGGTTCCAAATCCCACACAGTATTTATCTACTTTCAAATCAAAACAGGACTTCAGGTTCTAACCATGGTCATGAAACCAGATGTTAAAATCTATTTCTAATATTAATGAAGAAAATATAAATAGAACATTCATGTTTATGGCCATACCAGCCCGAATGTGCCCAATCTCATCTGATCTCAGAAGCAAAGCAGGGTCAGGAGTGGTAGGCTTTAAAAAAAAATAAAAATTCATTCTTCAGAGAAGCATTAACTGAATGGGGTAGCAGTAGTGCAGATGACACAGTGGTGGCAGCAAGAGTGGAGGAATCCAGAGCAATCACTGCCTCCACACTGGTACAACTGCTCACTCTTTTCTCTATGCTTTTACAATTGATGATCAATAGACCAAACAATTCAAGGAAGCTTTCTTCCTACCTAACAACAAAAATGGTGACATCACAGTAAATGAATTTTGGATAGCCAAGGGTCATTCGAATTTCAACAGATGCAGAATTACAAAATATAATCAAAGAAGGTTATCAATAACAGTATGAATTCCCAGAATGCTTTTTACCAATATGTTTAGAAAAAGACACACAGAGGGGAAAAAATATCCACACAATATTCTGAATCTTTAAACAAGTATGACAACGGTTAAAATCAACATGGAGAAAGTACATCATAGAAACAAACTTGGCATCTAGCTTCAACAATCTCACAATCTAGGAAAAAAGATGGTTAAATTAACAGTCCACTAAGTGTTACATGCTATATGGTGCGTATGCAAAATGCCTATGGAGTTGTTCTGCTAGAATTCTTTAGAGCCAAATTTATGAGTCACATTTAGTTCAGGTTAGTGAGACATGAAAGGACATAAGTTTCACTACTTATAATTTTATTTTTGACAAAAAATATATTTCTCCATGTTACATATTTCTGCATAATTAAAAATTCTAGTAAAAATTAAATATCCTTTAAAAGGAACTGCCACCACTGAGGATATTCTGCAAACTGTTCCAAAAGTTGAGTTCCAAATATATTTTGAACAACAAGGATTGAGTCCAGTAAAGTGAGGTACTGATTCTTATAAAGAGGAAAACATTCTATTTGGTTTTATTTTTTAGATAAAACTTGGTAATTCAGTAGTGCTACCTTACAGGCATATGCTACCTAATGTAACCACTACATAATTCCTGTGTGTCAAAGGGCCCCCCCACCACACACACACACACAAAATTAACTAGTTTTTCTTTTTAATCACAATTTTAAAAGGAAATAACCACAATGACATGGAACACACTGTGTATAATGTTTATACACATTATACACTGAGTTATTTTTATCTAATAATTTGTCTCTTAAAGAATTCTCATTAATTAGTCAGACACGCTTCTTACCCCTGCTCTTGAGGAAATCATGACTCTTTCCCCCCTCAATCGTTGATTTTTCTTTAAACGCCAAATGTTCATACTTATTATCATTAGTGTTATTGGCTTCATAGTTTCTGAGTATAAAGAACATTAACAAGTTTCTAATGCCCAAGAACACTCTGGTGCTCTTCTTAGGAACACCTGCCACATTTAAAATGTCAGTGCAGTTTTAAAAGATGACACCATTTGCTTAAAAGCAACCCAAGTTATTTTCAAGACTGTTAAGTAAATGTCCATTGAACCCTGTAGTTTCTCTAAATGTGTTACTAGGATTCTGTAACCTATATACTTCAAGAGAATCTGGCACTGTGTTTAAAAACTTCCCCTAAATGCTGAAGTAAAAAATTATTGAGCAATAGGTGGCTTTTCCTTATTAAAAACAACAATTTTCACACTTTTTGCTCTATGCATCTCTACTGGTAAAAAATTAAAATTGTCAGCCGGGCGCGGAGGCTCACGCCTGTAATCCCAGTACTTTGGGAGGTCGAGGTGGGTGGATCACGAGGTCAGGAGTTCAAGACCAGTCTGGCCAATATGGTGAAACCCCATCTCTACTAAAACAAATACAAAAATTAGCCGGGGGTGGTGGCACCCACCTGTAGTCCCAGCCCAGGAGGGAGACTGAAGCAGGAGAATCGCTGGAACCCAGGAGGCGGAGGTTGCAGTGAGCCAAGATCGCGCCACTGCACTCCAGCCTGGGAAACAGAGTGAGACTTCGTCTCTAAAATAAATAAATAAATAAAATAAAAATAAAAATAAAAATTGTCAGGCATGTTCCCAATATATGTACACTTACTTATAAACTATATGTTCTACTATACTTAAATGCATTACAAATATATGTTATAATGTATTTCAAAAAACCCAGACATTCTTAAAATGAGCAAAAAACCTCTAAGTAGTATTTTCTTCTATCTCCCAGTGGATGATCTTGTGCATACCCTGGTATGCACTAATCCCCCCACGCTTTAGTTTCATCTGTCTGTGGTAAAAATCACATAAAATTTACCTTTTTAACCATTTTAAAGTATATAATCCAGTGGCACTTAGTACATTCACAATGTTGTGCAACCATCACCATTATCCAGTTCCAAAACATTTTCATCACCCCAAAAGGAAATCCTATACACATTATGCAGTCAGTCCTCATTCTACCCTTCCCCGACCCCCTGGGTAACCATTCATCTGCTTTCAGTCTCTATAAATTTGCCTCTTCTGGATTATTTCATATAAATAGAAACATATATGACCTATTGTGTCTGGTTTCTTTCATTGGTACAATGGTTTCAAGATTCATTCATATTGCAGCTTCATTCCTTTTTACAGTTGAATACAATTCCATTGTATTGATATACCTTGTTTTGTGTATCCATTCATCAGCTGATGGACACTTGAACTGTTTCTACCTTTTGGCTATTGTGAATTGTGCTGCTGTGAACATCTGTGTACAAGTTCATGTTTAAACACCTATCTTTCATTATTTGGAGTATACATCTAAAAGTGGAATTGCTGAGCCAGACGTGGTGGCTCATGCCTGTAATCCCAGCACTTTGGGAGGCCCAGGTGGGTGAATCATTTGAGGTCAGGCATTGGAGACCAGCCAAGCCAACACGTGAAACCCTGCCTCTACTGAAAAAAAAAAAAAAAAAAATTAGCCAGGCGTGGTGACAAGCACCTGTAGTCTCAGCTACTTGGGAGGCTGAGGCAAGAGAATCACTTGAACCCAGAAGGCGGAGGTTGCAGTGAAACAAGATTGCACCACTGCACTCCAGCCTAGGTGACAGAGCAAAACTCCATCTCAAAAAATAAATAAATAAATGTGGAATTGCTGAATCATATGGTAATTCTATGTTTAACTTATTGAGGAACCACCAAACTGTTATCCACAGTGGGTGCACCATTTTACCCTGCAACCAGCAATGTATTAGTGTTTCCATATCTTATTTTATAAACAATTGACCAAGAGTACAATTTTACCCAAAAAGCTAAATGGTCTATAATGGGCATGTTTTGGCAGCCTACCAACCTGCCCACATACCTTTTTGCTGGAAGATATACCCTTGCTCTAGAAGAGTAGACCAATGCAGCCTTTTTTTTTTTTTTTTTTTTTTTTTTTTGTCCAATAATCCCACCCCTGACAATTGATAATTCGGCCAGGGATGGACTGACCAAGGAAGCCAATCTATTGGATAGTCAAGAACCAGGTTCTCTTTAGAGACTGTGACGAGGCTCTGGGAATAAAATGTCATATAAAGTTGGGATCATGACAAGCACAGTAGGAAGCCAATGCCATCTGCAAAATGAAATTTCAGGGGAAAGGAAGAAAGTGTGCAAAAAACATTAATAAAATAAGAAAAACTAGCCTGTACTGTACAAAGACAAGCAGTGGTGAGAGAGTATATATAATCTTGAATACTGACAGGTTATAATTTCATGAGGTCTGCCTCGAATTTGTTTTCTGATCATGAGTATTCGCAAGATTGTTTGCTATCATTTATTTAAAATAAACCCCTTTGTTGTTTGAGATACTCTGAGTGAATTTCTGATTCCTGCAACAAGCTGCAAACAAGTTCTGATTACCTTAACTTTATTGTCCTTGTTAGTTTTAAATAGCTTAAAGAAGTTATTTACTAGTCACTGAATTTAAGTAACTTGTATAGGAAATTTTAAAACAATCTGTCAGTGTTTTTTAATCACATTATTATAACCTTCAAAAAATGGTCTTTTTCCCCTGAAGACTCAAAGATTCTTATGGGAACAGACCTTAAAAGATGACCTTTTCAATTTATCCCTAGGTTCTGCTTTTCTAAATATATGCCACAGAATTCTTGAGTTTTCTCTCTTAAAATAGAAAGCTAAATGCAACTATATTATAGCTAACAGAATAAAAATTTCACAATCATCTAGAAAAAAACCCCTGACAACCAGTCAGATCAAGATTCCCTTGATATTTCCCTACTCCAGAATTTTAGATTACCTATTCTATGAAACAATCCACTGTAAAATCTAAAATGTTTACCTCTTATTCTAGTATTACAAATACATAAAAGTTTCATATAACAGAGGCAAGTTAGTAACTTCTAGTTAAAAACTAATACTGTAACAAACAACATACCTCAAATATAGCCCAAACTACATGTATGTTAAACTATATGTAGGCTATCATTTCATAGTAACTGCAAAGACACAGCACATGTCATTTTAAATTAATTGTAGCATCTACTCAAAATTATGAGTTTTTAACCAAGAAAGTTGAGTACTATCCTCTACTGAAAATCTTTAATAGAACAGACACACATAAAAAGGCAAGGACACACATTTTCTTTCAAGTCCTTCAATTCAGTAAAGACAACCACAATCAAATTCTTAACCACTCTGTAGGCTTCTAATGCCTACTGGCAAAACTCTAGATTGTAAAATTGTATTTACAATCATATAAAACATTCTGATAATACCAAACCTAAATTTATTTTATAACACAATGACTTCTCTTTGGGAGTCTGGTATTATTAAAAACTGAACTTACATTTCTTATATGACCATGTAAAAACATGATTTTACCACTAGGTAACAAACTCGGACAACTCATCTGTAAACATGAGACTCCTCTTATATGTCTCCACATAGCTGAGTTAAATTAACCATATGAATGATGATATCGCATATTTTTCTTTCGAAAATTTAAATGTTAAAAAATCACTAACACTATATAAAATTCAGAATCTTGAAAGTCAAATAATGGTATTTAAATTTTTCTACTATGAAAAGCATGCTAAATTTTTCTCTGACATTTTCAAAGCAGTATAATGCTTGAAATTTCACCACCGATACATCAACCAACCAGACAGACATGATTCTCTCAAAGAGCTTATGGTCTCTTGTACACATTTACAGGCAATTATAACTACAACACAGCACACAAGGAGCAACTAATAATCAGGCCTAAAGATAAGATTTCTCAGAGAATATGATGTCTAAATTCAGAAAGGCTTTGTAGAAGTAGCACAATAATCAAGAAAACAGGGAAAAGGTAGAGCAGGCAGTTAGGCATATGAGGAGGGCCTAGAATGAGAGAACATAATTAAGGAACTAAGGAAATCAAGATTCAATTGGAATAGAATGTACAGTGAGAGGCAGACAGTAAAAGACATGTTTAAAAATCATGCAATGATTCATTTTAAAGAGTCGATTTTATTCTAAGACATTTACTCCAGCTACAGTATAAGAATTCATTGGCAAAGTAAACTAGCACCACAGAAAGCAAATAAGGAAGTATGTTAAGTAATCCAGAAAAGAGATGACAGTGGCCTACATTAGAAAGAAAGAAAGAACGAAAGAATGGAAGGAAGGAAGGAAGGAAGGAAGGAAGGAAGGAAGGAAGGAAGGAAGGAAACTGAGCTGAATCAGTAAGAACAGTAGGAGAGGAAGGTGTAGTAAACAAGTAGTTGAAGAATACTTTGCTTTTTCTGGATTGGGCAAGTAAAAGACTCCACCAAATCAAGGAAAAAACGTGAATATTCAATGTGAGTATGAAAGAAGCAGTAAGTTCAGTTTCAGACATGTTCCACTGGGTATACTATGGGACATGGAAATGCAGCTATCCACTAAATGGTCTGATACTCAAGAATAATCTAAGCTGGTGATAGGCATTTCAAAATTCATCAGTATATAGATAGTAATTTAAGCCACAGCAGTGAGTGGGAACACCCAGAGAGAGGATGCAAAGGAAGAACAAAGCCAGTAACTGAAGCCTAAGCAGTGCCAAAAATAAGGGCAAGAACACAGAAAGAAGTGAGTCCAAAACCATGTATATAATACACTAATTATAACTACAGAAATCAAAATAAAGTTTTTTTGTAGAAACAAAAGCTTAGCATCATACTGCCAGCGAAAAATAATTGGAAGGCAGTTGTAGAGTTCCTCAAATCTAGCCCAATCACCTTGATTTGGTAAATAATTTAAAGATAAAGTTTAACAATATAGTGAGATTCTAGATCTAAATAATATAAGCATCTTGAAAATAAAAACATTATCTAGTTATAATTAGTGTCTCAAAAAACACTACTGGCCAGGCACAGTGGCTCGTAACTGTAATCCCAAGACTTTGGGAGGATCACTTGACACCCAAAGTTCGTGACCAGCCTGGGCAACACAGAAGGAGCCTGTCTCTACAAAAAAATTAAATAAAATTAGAAGGCTGAGGCGGGAGGATCACTTGAGCCCAGGAGTTCAAGGCTGCAGTGAGCCATGATTGTGTCACTGCACTTGAGCCTGGGTGACAGAGTGAGACCCTCCCTTTAAAAAAAAAATCCAGTGAAGAAAGAGTTTGGGAAAAAATTTAAGAAATAAAAATTTAAATTTAAATTTAAGTTAAAAAAAAAAAAAAAAAGTCCAGGCATGGTGCCTCACACCTGCAATCCCAGCACTTTGGGAGGCCAAGGTGGGCGGATGGCTTGAGCCCAGGAGTTTGAGACCAGCCTGGGCAACATGACAAAACCCCATCTCTACAAGAAAATATAAAAATTAGCCACGTGTGGTGGTACGCACCTGTAGTCCCAGCTACTTGGGAAGCCAAGGCAGGAGGATTTCCTGTGCCCAGGAAATCGAGGCTGCGGTAAGGCATGATCACACCACTGTACTCCAGCCTGGGGAACAGAGCAAGACCCTGTCTTGAAAAAATATAAATATAATAACGATAAAAGAAAAAAGAATATACTTCCAGTTTTTATTGTAATCTTAACTGACATCTTACACTTTTTCAATCTCACATCTCACATGTTAAGACGGTAACATGATCCTTCCCTCCAACTAAAAGTTTAAGCATAATCTTAATTATGTTTTGAGAACCTTTAGTTAAAATATATGAATGCGTTAATAACTGAAGGGTCGGGTGTGCTGGCTTATGCCTGTAATCCCAACACTTTGGGAGGCCGAGGAAAGAGGCCAGGAGTTCAAAACTAGCCTGGGCAACATAATGAGGCCTTGTCTCCACAAAAAAAAAAAAAAAAAAAAATTAGCCAGGTGTGGTGGCACACACCTGTAGTCCCAGCTACTCAGGCAGCTGAGGTGGGAGGATTGCTTGAGCCGGAGGGGCTGAGGCTGCAGTGAGCCTAGACTGTGCCACTGCACTACAACCTGGGTGACAGAGTGAGAACCTGTCTCAAAAGAAACAAAACAAACAAAATAAACTAAAAGGAATGATAATGTAAAACAAATGAAAAATAGCAAAAAAAAAAAAAAAAAACCTGAATCAAATTTTTCCAACACAAATGGTAAAAATTAAAGTACAAGGAAAAATAGATTTCTCCAAAATACTTTACATTTAAATTTATTTAAAAAGAAAACCATCTACTAGAAACTGGATTGAAAAAGAACATATTCACCATGGCTTTATTAAAATATTATACAGCAAATCTGGTACAACAAAAATCCTTGAAATATCTGTGAAAAATAGCTAACAAATACGTAATTTCTTAGACTCTTAGAATTACCATTTGAAACCTAGTAAAAAAGTTTCATATCTTTTTGTATGTCACCTTCTCTCTTTTACCCATCCTCAAGAACTTTATCTCACCAGTAACCTAATTTTTATTTCTGTTCCAACCTCAGCAATACCTAATCATAACTAAAACAAGTAGGTAGAAGTTACCATCATTCTTCAATTAAAATTCTTACTGTTACAATTTCTGACTTCAACTTCTTTAAAAAAAAGAAGTTGCTGAAACTATTTTTTAAGGTATAAGTAAAAGCTCGCCCACAGTAATCCCCAGATAATCAAACTGCAGGCTTGGGTTTGAGTATTATAGGAAGAAAACATACCCAGTGCATACTAAAATTACATCAGAGACATCCACTTACAGTCATAACAGAGTAACTGACACAGAATGGCCATCCTGCCATCCACAACTACAAAACTGGAGAAAATATACAAATAATAACTATTTCCAAACATTAGACAACAGACAGCATGTAACTGTGATCTGTGAGAGAAGGCAAACAGATGAAATAAGCCCTATTATCACCCTCTCTTTCTACTTGGAAGTACTGTCAGTACTATAGAACAGGGAGGTGTGTTGCTCAGCAGAGAGACAGAAAACAGTTTGGGGAAGCTGAAGCGGCTAGAATTTGTGGGACGGAGTATCAAAAAGGAAGAAGCAACACAGAAAGACAAACAATGCTATCTGCATAGAGGTCCTCTTGAGTCTGGCTGAATATAATGCTGCACACACATAAGATGAGACTCCACAAACCAAGCAAAGAACAACTACCAAGGAGCTATATAAAGAACAACTAACAGTGTCCTCATAAGGCTAGAAACATTCATGATTCTATCAACCATAGTAAATTACCTCTTTAAACAAGATATCACTAAGACCATACTATAGAAGGCTAACCGAGATCTAGAGAACAGGCTACTCTGTACTTCCCCTAACAAAGGTAAGCATAAGCCTTAACAGGACCAAGTTTATCCCCAAATTAACTGCCTGTCAGAACAAATGTCAACATTTTTTAAGGAAAGAAAACAAAATCCTGACCCTCAGCAACATATGTACAATGTCTATAATCCAATTCCCAAGATTAGTAGACATGTGAAAATTCAATCACAGCACACCACAGAAAATCTTGCCTGAGAGGGTCCTGCACAAATTATTAGTCTCCTCTGGCCACATTCAGATTTTCCCTATGTTAAAATCAGAGAATAAAGAGACAAACAAAAGCAGCTTTCCACAGTAAAAGAAATAAAAGTTAAACAAACAAAAAGATTCCACTGAAAAGTAAGACCAAAAAAAAAGAGAGAAGTAGATCACAACACAGATCTTCCCATTTATTACTATACATTACAATATCTGATAACATGAAACAACACAAAAAATAGCATATATGGTATACTCTTCTTACTAATATGTAAAAATACAACATTCCTAAGCCTACTTGTGAAATAATAAAAAGTAAATATATTGGTCTCTACTCCCAGTTCTGGGCATAGAGCTCCTAAAACTCTTGTAAATAGGGATGCTAGAAAAATCTTTGTTCCTAATAGTTGGTCTTTGATCCCAGTTCCTGACACAGAGCTCCTAAGACCTCTACAATTTCCTGAGTGACAGGAGTGCCTGACACAGAGTTCCTGAATCCCTTAGAATTTCCTGGATGATAGGAGACCCTTTTGTTCTAATAAAGTCACTCTGGGTGGAGTCCTGGGTGGAGGATGGTCATTACAAAGAGCAAGCCATCATTACAACTTACAAGCCCCAACCCTTGTGTGCTCTGGGGAGGTTAGAAGAGCTGGAGATTGAGTTAATAATCATGCATGCCTGAGAAATGAAGCTCCATTTTGAAAAACCCCTAAAAGACAAAGTTTAGAGAGCTACTAGATTGGTGAACACATCTACGAGCTATGAGGGTTGCTGACCCAAACTCCACAGGAAAAAAAGCTTCTGTGCCTGGGACCCTTCCAGACCTTGCCGTACATACATATCTCTTCATCTGACTCTTCATTTGGATCCTTCGAAATATCCTTTGTAATTAATCAGCCGTAATAAGTAAATTGTTTTCCTGAGGTCTGTGAGCCACTCTAGCAAATTATCAAATCTGAGGAGGGGGTGGTGGGACCCTCCAATTTGTAGCCAAGTCAGACCGAAACTGTGGGTAACCTGAGGACCTACCATTTGTGATTGGCTTCTGAAGTGGGAGGCAGTCTTGTAGGATGGAGACCTTAACCTGTGGGGTCTGCACTAACTCCAGTTAGTGTCAGAATATTGAATGGAATCATAGGACATTCAACTGAGTCAGAGAATTGGTCAGTGGGAAAAACCACCACAAATCTGGTCACAGAAGTGTTGAGTGTGAGTAGAGAGAAAAACAGTTGAGGTTTCCTATAGATCTGGTGTCAGAAGTGAAGTACTGAGACAGAGTGAGTATAGAAGGAAAAAAGTTGGGTTTTCTGTACACTTCTATAAAAAATTACCAAAATTAAGTTTCTGCAACTAAAAGCTAAGCTTCAATTAGTGTCAAAATTGTAGATAAATAATTGTTTTAGATGGGGTTTATTGCTAAGTGAGTCTTTCTTACCATATATATAAGGAAATAATTATTGTTTCTCTGTTCAGAATTTAGATCTGGTAACTTACATGAAACACAGCCCCTAAACCGGAAAGCATACAAACAAGAAAACACAATCAAACATCCCACACACTAACACATATTCATTCAAAGATAAACTCCTCAATGTATCAATCACTAAAGAATCATGAGACATAATTCTGACAAGTGTTATTCTGATATCCAATTTCAGAGAAAACTAAAAGCAGTCAATTAGAAGGAAAGTCTTAGTTACTAAAGGAAGGTGACTCATGAAAGCCAACAAAAATGAAGAAAACAATAAAAAGTCACAGAACTTAGAAAAGAACATAGAAAAGAAACAGATTATAAGAACATAAAAAACCAAGTAGCCCAAAATAATTTATCACAGGAAAAAAACAGACCTATTCTGGCAATGATGCCAGAAAAGTATTACTTCATAACCTCTGTCAAAAAGATGAACCTAAATCAAAAAGAAAAGGTTAAGCCAGGCATGGTGGCTCACACCTGTAATCCCAGCACTTTGGGAGGCTGAGGGGGGCGGATCACTTGAGGTCAGGAGTTCGAGACCAGCCTGGTCAACATGATGAAACTCTGTCTCTACTAAAAAAAAAAAAAATACAAAAACTAGCCGGGTGTGGTGGCACGTCTGTAATCCCAGCTACTCAGGAGGCTGAGGCAGGAGAATCACTTGAACCTGGGAGGCAGAGGTTGCAGTGAGCTGAGATGGCACCACTGCACTCCAGCCTGGGTGACAGAGTGAGACCCTGTCTCAAAAAAAAAAGAAAAAAAAGAAAAGGTTAAATTATACTTGGGTACAAATATACTTGGATTACAGCAGAGAATCACTTTTAGATACCATCTACAGTAGTTGAAACAAAACAAGTTGGTATTCAAAGGAAAAAGCAAAAAATTCACTTAATGTTTTGGTTAGTCAATGGCTTACTCTACTTACAAGCAAAAATTACATATTTTAGAGCAGCAGTCCCCAACCTTTTTGGCACTGGGAACTGGTTTCATGAAGGACAATTTTTTCCACAGACTGGGTGATGGGGTTGTTTCAGGATGATTCAAGCACATTACATTTACTGTGTACTTTATTTCTATTATCCTTATTATTCCATTGTAATATCTAATGAAATAATTATACAACTCACCATAATGTAGAATCAGTGGGAGCCCTAAGCTTGTTTTCCTGCAACTAGACGATCTCATCTGGGGGTGATAAGAGACAGTGACAGATCATCAGGCATTAGATTCTCATAAGGAGCGTGCAACCTAGATCCCTCACATGCATGGTTCACAATAGAGTTCGTGCTCCTATGAGAATCTAATTTCACTGTTGATCTGACAGGAGGTGCTGTTCACCTCCTGGTGTGCAGCCCAGTTCCTAACAGGCCATGGACTGGTTGGGGACCCCTGTTTTAGAAAGCTACCTCTCTCTTCCCATTAATCTTTGTGCCAGACCAGAGGGGTAAATCCGGCTATTATTCTACAGCCTTTTCTGGTGAGTTGAGAAGGTACACCAAGCATGAGTTTTCCTTAGTAATCTTTGACTTTAATATACCTACCGCATTCTAAAATACCCCAGAGTATTCTTTTCATATTATTCAAATCCTCTATTTGAAATCAAGCTACAGCCATAGTTTTATTTCACCAGTTTATTCTTCACAAATAAGATGTTCTTTAAAATAATGAACATGAAAGTATTTCATTCAATAAATAAAGCAAAGTACTTACCTATAATGCTGATTCTGTAACAAATAAAAATCAGATAATCATGACTACAATTACAGAACCTAACCTCAGGGTAAAGAATTCCTGACAACTGAGTCCCCAAGATCTGCTCCATGAGGGTTCTCAACATAGAAACCCAAAAGCCCATGAAGTAAGTCCTCACTGGATGAGGTAACCAAGTATAGTTCAAACTAGTAATTAAAAGATAGAAGTTTGATCCTATTTAGTAATTCATTATATTACTTAAAATTAATAATCTAAAATTCTTAATTACGAGTTAGGAAATGGGGACTGTATAACGGTGCCTATCCTGTCTACTTTCAAACTGTCATGATAGTCAAATGAGAAACTAATGAAATTGCTTTGTAAATTATGAAGCACAATACAGATGTAAAATTATCTTATTCAGGGTAGGATGACTCCTCTAGTGATTTTTAAGCAAGATCCTGGAGTTTTTCTGGCCCCTTGAAAGAAATTACTTTGACCAACAGTAAAAGTAGACTCTCAATAAGTAAATCTCCAAGAACTGATTAAGATTTTCTCTATGCAGCTTCCAAAATTGATGAAAATATCAAATGTTTGTTTAATCAACTATGAAATAAGCATGGTGCAATAAGAAGGACATATTATAATTATTTACTATCATTAACGTTTTCCAAAATCCAAGTTTAACACAATTCTTAGAAACTCTTAAACGTGACTTGAAAATAATATTCTCACCTGCAGAGTACCTGAGCAACACTCTTAGATGAGCAATAACTATCTTACAGGTTCATTATCTAGAAACTTAAGAACTGGTATAAATGTTAGCAATCTGTTATCAATGAGTTAATCTTTGTAAGAGCTCAAGAATCTAGAATCCCTAAATTTGACTTTTCACCCCCTTATCTGTTCATGAAATGTTATAATACCAAAGATCCTTAAATGAAGATACCCAAGGTCTTTCAAACACAAATTTATTTAAGTAATGTTGCACAATGATAATTCAGAGGCAGCTGACCAAAGCACATTTTCATTTAGAAGTTTATTTTCCAGTGATTACGTTTTGAATTGGAAGAAACGCTCTGAACATTAAAACCTAAGACCTAAAATCTTCCACACTTGTGCTTCCTAGAGCCAGACCTTCAAAATTTAGAGATCTGTTTCAGTGCTCCTGATTCAAAAATTAGCAAGGTCAATTCCGAAACAGAAAGGGCAATCACAGTTAAGTAAATAATCTCATTCAGTGAGGCTATTTAAGCCTAAAAAGAAATCATTAGGTACTGTATTATCTAACACTTTAACAGATTCTATCAACCCTGAAGATCAAAGAGCCTTCAGATAAAGAATATTTCTTTTGATCCTCCACCCCTAATCTTTCAGAAGGCATGTCTAATAAAATAATCCACAGATGGAATCTTGCCAGAGAAAAAGATATTCTCTGGTCCCTTTCTCACAGTGGGGTTCTCCATTTGGAAAAATAAATATATAAAAGCACACTGTGGATTTATGCGCTAGAGAAGAGGGATGGCATCTAGAGAGGCATCAAGCTAGTACCCAGAACATCCACAGATTTGTTTCCCTGGTCTAATGCCTAATTTACTATAAATCACATCTAAGACTAGGATTCTACACAATACTTTCGCAAACATTTACAAGTGATCGGATGACCTTATATGGGATATCTTTGCACACAAGACAGATAAACTGTAAGCTGAACACTAGGATAGAAGGCTGTTGATCACTGTTAGGTTAGAGGAAAAGTTTCAACTAGAATAACACAGAGTTATGTCCTCCTGGCTCTAGACAAAGAATTATGCCATGCTCAGTATTTTCTATTAACAACTTACTTTTAAAACTGGCTATCAAGAAGTATTCATTCCCTACTGGTAGAGATATTCATATTTAGGCTGGGCAATGCTCAACCTCGGTTTCAAAAAGCAATTACCTGGAGAACGTTTCTAGCACAGGGAGAATAAGGAAGAGAAGTAACATTTGACAAGGTATGTACATATGTGTGTACAGGAGGAGAATAAACCATCTCCTTCAAGTGCCTTTTTTTAAAACCCAAGTGCTTTTTAACATCATTTTCAAACTGCCAGAAATTTACTTGAGACTTGAAAGCACCAGACAGGTGTCATGATGCTACTTTTAGCGATGGCAACTTGGATTAAAAAGAGCCAACATTATATCCAACCAACTCTTGGCTCTAGACAATGAAGGTATGGGGGAGGAAAGAGACTTTACTGAAAGAGATTAGATCTGACATGATCAAACACCCTCTCCCAATTTTCCTTAAATTAGCTCTGAGATGCTAATCATGATACTCCATCTCATTTCTGATTTGCTTCCTTTGAAAAAAAAGAAAAAAGAGAAAAGTCTCAAAAGTGCGATCCTAGCCAGGTTAGGTGGTTCATGCCTGTAATCCCAGCACTTTGGGAGGCCAAGGCGGGCAGATCGCTCGAACCCAGGAGTTCAAGATCAGCCTGGACAACATGGCGAACCCCTGTCTCAATTAAAATTACAAAAAATTAGACAGGTGTGATGGCGTACACCTGTAGTCCCAGCAGCAACTTGGGAGGCTGAGGTGGGAGGATAACCTAAGCCTGGGAGGTAGGTCAAAGCTGCAGTGAGCCACGACTGTGCCACTGCACTCCAGCCCGGGTGGCAGAGTGAGACTCTGTCTCCAAAACAAAAAACAAACAAACAAAAAAAGTGCTATCCTTCAAAAGATCTGGAGCAAGGCAAAAAGGCAAGAATCAGTAATTTTTTCCCCAATGTCACCCAATGAGGCATTAATTTGAAAACACTGTTCTAACAAAGCAACTAGCATCCAAATTCCAAAGGAGTCTCTATATCTTAAGGAACACATGAAAAATAAACATATAAAAGCACACTATATAAAATGTATAAAAGCACCAATTAAGCTGTATTGTTCTCATCCTCAAAGGGTTATGAATGTGGAATATCAATGTTATGACTGTATCTTTAGGTAACTGTTTTATGTGAACATCATCCTTCAGAATTATTATCGGGCAATCTCTTACAAAAAGTAATACTGTAGTGAATTACTAGAAAAAAAATTTCCACAATCAATAACGAGTCAAGACTAAAACAATAAAAAGCAAAGAACAGAACTAACATATATCATTTTATAAAAATTCACATTTCTTTAGTTTTTGGTATTTTCCTAAGACATACGCTCTCCTTCCCTGCACTGCAGATAAACAGGTCTACTTTTAAAAACTGATACTAGGCCAGGTGCAGTGGCTCATGCCTATACTCAATACTCTGGGAGGCTGAGGTGGGAGGATCAATCGAGCCCAGGAGATTAAGACGAGCCTGGGCACCATGGTGAAAACCTGCCTCTACAAAATACAAAAAAATATTAGCCAGGAGTGGTGGCATGTGCCTGTAGTCCCAGCTACTTGGGAGGCTGAGATGGGAGGATTGCTTGAGCCCAGGGAAGTCAAGGTTGCAGTGAGCCATGATTGCACCTGTGTACTCAAGCCTGGGCAACAAGTGCGATGCTGTCTCAAAAAACGAAAAACAAAAACAAACAAACAAACAAAAAAACTGACAGTATATATGAACAGCAGAACTCAACTTATTTCTAATACAAAAAAAACTTCATTTATGAGTTGTTTTGCTATCTAAAACTGGACTTCAAATATTCCAAATACTCGAGACTCCTAACATTTTCACAAAATTGTAAAATGCTCAGATGACATGAACTATCAAATACAATATTAAGATAGTATTTCAAAAGAAAGCAGAAGAAAACTTTTCAGAAGGGGCCTATGCTGAAAGACCACTGTATTACCATATACAAATCTACACTATCTACAATGCATGGCAAAAAAAATATTATGTCCCACAACCAGGATTTGATACTTTGATCTGACACATACCAGGGTCTGGCAATTGTCACAACAAAACCACTAGAAATGTTCCTCAAATCAAAGTATTTATGTACAGTCTATATAATCTGGTTGTGATATTAATTCAAAAGCCTACCCTGTAGCAATAAAGGTAATTAACTTATTACATAAGTCTGTCTTTTATTGTTGCTAATCATGATATTTATGATGAGCACTGTGTGTTCTAGTTCTTTTCAGGATTATCTAGACATAGTAAGCTCCAAATCTTTTGTGTTATGGCCCTGAATACTTTATAGGAAATCTAGGCAAGAAATATTGTGAAAAATTTGGATACAGAATTCTTTATTTACAACAGTGACTTAGCAAAGGTTGAGAGCTGATAATATTTTAAGATAGTCTTCCTTTATATTTAGTATCAGGAAAAGCTATGTCAAATGTTTTATGTAAACTATCCAGTAGACTAACCCTTGCTAATATGCTAATTACAATATACTGTCATAGTGTTAATAGTAATATCCACTTCTCTAAGTCAAAGTCAAAGATGATGCATAAAGCACATTTTTTAATAAAAAATTTTAATTGGGAATTAAATGTAAGTAAGATAAAAGTAGATGTCAAGCCTGCCAGACTTCACATATCTGGATGATGTCTAAGCACTCATTAATTGTCCTATGCTATCTAGAACTATAAATCAAAGCATACTGTGGTAACTCAATGTGTTTCCATTGTATAAATTAACTAAAAATGATATAAAACATATTAAAAAAACAAAAACACTACCAACCATGTCTTTTCTAATTGAGACATGAAATATCAGAACTGGAAAGACCATGTTGTCATAGAACACACGTGTAAAGTTGAGTTTAAGTCTTTTTTTGGAGTTTTTCTAAGAGTTGAGAAAATCATATTAAACCTAAAATTTTAGTGAAAACATTAATTTTGGCTGTAATAAAAACACTACGAATAGATACTGAAAAACTTGGGGAATAATAAACAAAGCAGAATTCATGGTTACCATATTTACACATACTCTTTGTTGTGTTTCAGTGCCACATGATCTGATTCAAAGTAATAAACATCAGGATCATCATCTTCCTCTTCTGTAATGTGCTGACTGGCACTCTCTTTGGCAGATGGCAAATGTCCAATATTGAGTCTTGCCTCTGAGGGTGGTTTACTTACTCCTTCACTTCCATTATTTTGAGAGTCACAACATATCCCTTTTTCATTTTGAGAAATTTCACCAGGATTTGTAGGAGATTGACTTACATTATCACTAACAGTTGCATTTGTTTCATTAGGACTAAGATTATTCTCCTCAAATTGTCCATTTTCTCTGTAAGGAGAACTGTTTTTAGTGGGACTACCTCTGGTAGGGGCTGCCCTTCGTGGTGAGGTTCTCAGAGTATAACGATGTTCTTGAGGTTCTGATAAAGACATCATTTGAGCTGAAACACAGTCTAGAACAGGAGATGGTTCAGGTTCTCCGGAGGCTGGCATACTCTCAAGACTTGTGTCCAGTTCGTTATTGGTGTTTTCTTTACACTGCTCTTTTGAGGCACTGCTATCTCCCACCACATCTACTTCCTCCTCAGAATCCCTTAAAGATGACTGAGTTTCAGAAAAGGGCCCTGTAGCTGGCTCAGTAGTCAGCTGATTAACATGTTCCACAGGCAAGCAGGCAGTTACTATTTTGTGGTCCTCCAACTTGACCTGCACTTGTGAATCTGTGCAAGGCACCTTATGGTCTATATAACTGTCCTCCTTCCTACTATCAAGGAACATTGAAGTTTGGGTATCCGTATCCCCATTTTCAGCTACTGATTTTTCCTGTAACACATAGGAACCAATGCTATTTTGTTTAGTGTTCCCATCAGGCTGACAGTCATCACAGTTTATAACAGCTGAATCACTGTCATCAACACCATTGACAGCCAAATAGCCTGTGATTTCTTCAACTACTGCAGAATTAAGTGGCCCTTCCTCACTGACATTCACCTTTTTAATTTCCCTTTTCTCACAATCATCCAGTATAAGACATCGACAAGCTCGTTTAGTCCCTTGAAAATCTGCATCATTGTCCACTACTGTACTCCTCTGTTCTACTGACTCCTTGTCTGATTTTATAGGAGAATCTTCTTCTGAACTGTTTGGTGCTTCAGATCTAAGACAACGCTTAATTCTTTTTAAAACTGGTGAAACAGGTTCTGTTTGCCTTCTCTCACAATTTTCTATAGCCTGCCTTTCTATGTTATCCTTTTCTGAAGAAGAAAGTCCTCTTTTCCTAGGGCTTACCCATGATTCTCGGGTACTCTGCTGTTTTAAATCAGTGGTTCTCCCATTATTATTTCCTTTCTGAATTGGCACAGGCTCTGGTCTCTTCTTTGGTGATCTTGATCGTACTTGAGAATTAGAAGAGATTTCTTCAGGATGCGCAATGCTACGATTCCTTAAAGTTCTACCACAAAAAGATTCATCCAAGCCGTTTAACCCCACTGTTGATCTTGTAACACGAGTAGATCGGGAAGCAGCCATACTATGGCAAGTCCCTACAATACGGTCATCATGATCCACTCATTGGGAAACCTTCAAAAATGTAAACAAAATAATGAGAAAAAGGTAATAGTTAATATACCCAGAACGAAAGTATAAAGCTATAACTTTTTAATCCAAGTATACTTGGACATTACAGTCTATAACTATCTATATAACTGCCAATATTAAATTATGTGATAAAAATTCTTTAACGTTTCCAATAATGATATAAATTATAGCTAACAAGCATACAGTACTTAATATGTTCCATGAGTCTTTCTATATGCCTTACATACATTAACTCACTTAAGTCTCACAACAACTCAGATAGGTGCTACTATCATCCCTACTTCACGAATGAGATTAAAGCACACTCTGAATATTCTATCCAAGGTCACAACTCTAGTAAGTAGCAAGGCAGGGCTCTAGAGACCATAACTGCCTCACTGTGTATCTGCCTCTCAGGCATAAAACACCCAGAAGAGATCTATCCTAAAGATGTGATTTCATTTTGGTCATTAAAATAATAATCTTCGGCCGGGCGCAGTGGCTCACACCTGTAATCTTAGCACTTTGGGAGGCTGAGGCGGGAGGATCATGAGGTCAGGAGTTCAAGACCAGCCTGACCAACATGGTGAAACGCTGTCTCTACTAAAAATACAAAAATTAGCCAGGTGTGGTGGCACACGCCTGTAATCCCAGATACTCAGGAGGCTGAGGCAGGAAAATTACTTGAACCCGGGAGGCAGAGTTTGCAGTGAGCCGAGATCATGCCACTGCACTCCAGCTTGGGCGACAGAGTGAGACTGTCTCAAAAAAATAAATAAATAAATAAATAAAATAAATAAAATAATAATCTTGAACTTATATAGCAGCTATCTTTCAAAAAACTATTCCAATCATTTCTCGTGTTCTTTCAAAATGTTCCCGGTATACAGAAAGGCAGGCTCTCCTCTTTTTAATTTACTTTTGCTAAAATGAGTTTCAGATCAAATCCCTTAATAATAATCTGGCATCCAAAAATTTTTTATTGCAGTATAATTTTTCATAACTAAATAGACAAAAATCACAATGCTAGCTTGCATTGGCTAAGAACAAAACAAAGCAAACCCAAGCCTTCCTAGTCTCTAGAAATAAAGCCATAAATTAGCAAGTGAAAGGGAGTGTTCCAAAGACCAGAAAAGAAAATGGGGAAGAAGCCTCTGAAGCAAATACTTACATTTAAGAAATCAAGACTACTCCTGTAATCCCACCCTTTCCTTCTTTGAACTCCTGTGTATAGCATATGCCAGTGCCAGTTTTAATGTGTGGTTTGGGAGATGAGCAGGTATTCTGGTGTGGATGCTTGAGGTTTATATGACAGAAATGTAAGGGATATAGAAAAATGCCTTGATTGATCCATTTGGGTAAACTAGTGATTTGGTGATATTTTCCAGAGGCTCTCCCATCAAGCAGAATAAAGGAGCTGTTAATATTTGAAGTCTCTATTCCCCGACTCCTCTTCTGTTTAGTTTTCACAAGGTACCCTGTCATTTTATTTCCTAACTTTGAATGAGATGCAGGATGATTAGTTAGAGAAAGAGGCCAGTGGTGGCAATAGTGCAAAGTTTCACAGTCCCTTCCTCCTGCCTTTGGTCATCAACAGTCTCCCTTCTCATGTAAACCTCCAAATGCCATTCTGACTCCTACCCCTAAAAATCAAACACAATTTCTCCTTGCTTCAACTAGAACTATCTAACAGTGGAAAGTTTGGAAGAATTATAGAAGACACAGCAACATGCTACCACATATAAAAAAGAAACACTACAGGAAATAATCTCCCTGTTCCTGCCTGCTGACAAGTGAATTAAGTGAGAAAGTACCCTGTAAAATATTTAAGTTGCCTGAGTTTAGTGTTGTCTCAAAGTATGGCATACTTTTAAATTTTTAATTAACAATTTTTTTAAATCTTATAAGAATCACAAAACTAGCCCTGGAATTAAAGCATGGTTATATGTTCTACAGAATTTCATAGCAACCAAGTGAACAATAAGTACAAGACACAAATCAGAACTTAGAAACACATTTCTTACAGTAGTAAACTTTCATTGTTTGGGGGATTCATTAAAAGAACAGCTGACATTTAATTATCGTTTGCTAATATATTATCATGAAGATTACAATCTGTTTCTTTCATGGGTAACAAACACTGAGTGTCCCATAATTTTCCACTTTTAATTGTAAAACATTTAAGTTAAACTTCAAATGATGTTTTAAAAGAACACAAACTGGCCAGGGGCAGTGGCTCATGCCTGTAATCCCGGTACTTTGGGAGGCCAAGGCAGACGGATTACTTGAGGTCAGGAGTTCGTGACCAGCCTGGCCAACATGGTGAAACCCCGTCTCTACTAAAAATACAAAAACTAGTAGGGCATGGTGGCACATGCCTGTAATCCCAGCTACTCGGGAGGCTGAGGCAGGAGAATCGCTTGAACCCAGGAGGCAAAGGTTGCAGTGAGCCGAGATCGCGCCACTGCACTCTAGCCTGGGCAACAGAGCGAGACTCTGTCTCAAAAAAAAATAAAAAGAAAAGAACACAAACTGAAATACATGAAAAGCAACTTACTTGTTTCATGTATCCAAATCTGGCACTCTAAAGGGTTAAGATTACTTATTTTTAAATATTAAATATGTATGTAAATGCACAAAAAAAGCATAAGGCTAAGTTAAATTTAATAACTAAAATGCCTACAAAATCTAATACATATTATCTTTAATGTAAATTCAACTATACTCATAATTTATGGTTCAAAAATAATACTGACAATAGAAATACTTTATAAACACACAAAAGAATCTGTTAGTCTTTACTTTTTAAAATGCAATCCCAATTAAGGGCATAAAAACCTCTTAAATTATTCCAATAATAAGACTTCCTTAACCTTTTCTTTCCACACCAATCTGAATGGGAGCAAAATTTGCCTTGCAGTACAAACTTCTCAAAGAGAGACTATTTTGGATGAAATGAACCTATTATTAGTAGTACTAAAAACCTTTTTTTTATACATATATTCTTTACTATAAAATATCACCTATAAGCTGGTCATGGTGGCTCAGGCCTGTAATCCCAGGACTTTGGGAAACCGAGGTAGGTGGATCACTTGAGCCCAGGAATTCGAGACCAAACTGGGCAACATGGCGAAACCCTGTCTCTACTAAAAATACAAAAAATTTATCCAGGTGTAGTGAAGCCTGCCTGTAGTCCCAGGTACTAGGGAGGCTGAGTGGGAGGATCACTTGAGCCTGGGAAGTCAAGGGTGTAGTGATGTGACTGCCCTTCAGCCTGGGTGATGGGAGCAAGGCCCTGTCTTGAAAAAAAAAAAAAAAAAAAAAAAATCACGTATAGTAAGGCCTATCTTAATTTTTCACCATTCCACTGATTAAAATATGAAAACACTGATTAATACAAAAGTTAAATAAAATATGAAAACACTGATTAATATA
The DNA here is from genome assembly GCF_000001405.40 of Homo sapiens. Taxonomy (NCBI): domain Eukaryota; kingdom Metazoa; phylum Chordata; class Mammalia; order Primates; family Hominidae; genus Homo; species Homo sapiens. Next base: position 77,636,838 of record NC_000001.11, read on the forward strand.
AAAGATTAAGGTTCTTTCCATTTCTTCTGTACCCTAAAAATGCTTTTATTTCACTCAATAACTAGAACAAAGCCCTAGTGCTAGGATTGTCAAATTCTGTGCTATTGGGCTGTATTGAAAGAGAACTTGTTTTATAACAAGGATCCTTGTGGTACCTCAGGCTCTTGCAGCTCAATCACGGGCATCTCCTGGAAGCTTGTTAGAAATGCAGAATACGAGGCTCCGCCCCAGACCTACCAACGAATTAGGCTCCTAGGTGATTCATGTATGTATTAGGGTTTGAGAAGCACTGCCTTAGGCTAGTGAACCCAGACAGAATTCTAATAAGATAATAGTCATCAAGTTTCAAACTAAATTAGAACTATTTATAAAATACCCTTTAATTTCTTACTGGATCCTAATAATAAAAAAATTTATAAATAAGACCAAGGAAGCACCAAATGGAAGACTATAAAAAATCTTACCTGAAATTAACATGTGATGTGCACTTGAGGTAATAAACTGGTTAAAATTATTAAGATCAGAGTTAAACAAAATTTTGCTAATCTTCCCTCTGATCATTTTTTTCTGTTCTAACCTTTTTCTTCATATCTTTTCTATTTTGGATAGGCATATATAAAGGTACACACTTTCTATAATTATCTAATAAACTGAGTGCAAAATTCAGTTAATAAAAAGGGACCAAAAATGTCTAGATTAGCCAGGTGCAGGGGCAGGGAAGTGGGGGCACCTACAGTCACAGATACTCAGGAGGCTGAGGCAAGAGGATCACTTGAGCCCAGGAGTTTGAGAACTGCCTGGACAATAGTGAGACCCTTTCTGTTAGAAAATAAAAAATAAAAAGTCTGTATTATCTCAACCAAGTCTCAACATTGTTTTGCCAAGCTTAGCAAAATATTATAGACTAAAGCAGTTGTTTTCCTCATTTTAGCTGCATTGCAAAATGTTTCTTAAGAATACAATAAAGAAGCTTAGAGTACAAAATTATATTTCTGCCAAATATTGTTAAGGAATAAAAATGAACTTATTTACAAATTATCTCAGGAAATAACCCTGTTGGCTAACAAAATAAGAGGTATATGGTAAAAACCTTAGCCAGCATCCATCTGAAATTAGAAATGCAATCAATCTAGTTTTAGAAATAAGGGAAGCCATTAATTAACATATTCATATGGGCAAAACGCAATCTAACTAACAACTACACTGGAGTTTTTCCTATATGTTATCTACCAAATAATGAATGGTTGCACTTTCTAGAATTCAGAGAAAAAAGAGTGTGGTCAGTAACTAGAATTAACCAGACTCCCTCCCTCTCTTCCCCACCTTCATAAATTCTCATCCTCTTGGAGGCCATATCTGAGAAGGACTAGTCAACCGAATTTCAACTTGTCCATTCATATTAAGCCCTCAATCCTACCTATAATTTCACATATCCTACCCACATATTTGCTGCTGAATTGCCCTCTCATAAATTTGAATCTACTGTTACCCAAATATAACTATAGGATTCTGAAAAACACTCTTTGAAGCATTATCAGCTACATTTCAGGTCATAAATTTCCAGCTCCTATGATCATACCTGTAGAACTGTACGCATAAGAACTAAAACAGATAATAATTATTAAACAAAAAAGGCCCACCTAATGACACACTTCTCCAGCTATTTACTTAAGAGAAAGAAATTTCAAAAAGATATTTCAAAGACCTTGCCTATAAGCTTTTGTTCCTACTATAATCACCAAAGTGGTACAGTTTATTTTGGGAATTGAGCAGCTGGCAATCTTCCATCACACCAATGGTTTAGCTGATATTTATTATCATAATATTTAGTTTTATTAAGTGAAAAATTTTTAGTAAACTGGTCATGATACCAGAATATATTCACATAGACAAACCAAAGTAAAAGGAAAAAAGAGCAAATGCAACTGGAAAGTGTAACCAATATGATTCTTTTTCTAGTTGTCTAAACATAAACTATTTAATAACGTTGAGGCCATGTTTGTCATATAATTATTTTAAGACAATACCTCAGCAGTGCAATTACCACCATATCTATAATGTTAAAAGTAGAAGAGTAAAACCTGGCTGGTAACCCACCCATGCAATTCAACTTAAGGTTCTTAAATAGTCACCTCTTTGAAGTCTGGGAACTCTATTATGCATTGTTTTACATAAAGAGACTTCTTATTTCTTTCCCATTAAGAGAAACTGATATATGACAGATGGTCGGTAGGTAGGTAGGTAGGTAGGTAGGCAGGCAGATAAGCGGACAGTCAGACAGACAGACAGACAGATAGACAAAAGTAAATGAACACACACTTTAAAAGACGATCAGGAAAAGGAAGTCAAGGAATTTCACAATGCCTCCTGAGTAAAAAATTCCAACATAATCAGTCACTTCATTTATACCCCATTGAAAAAAAAAGGGAGGGAAATATTTCATTCCTAACCCATTCCCTGCAGCTCCATACTCCTATAAACAGCCAGCCAAACTACAAGTTGCCACCCAGAGGATGTATGGAAAAATAACAAGTCTCCCCATCTCAAAAAAAAAAAAGAAGAAGAAGTCAAACTATAGCTGTCTTCACTACTGCAAAACTAAATAACTTACCTGTACAACCAAAGATCTATCATTGTGGAAATATAATCTCTTTTCCTTATATCCTGAAGGAGTTGGAGCTATGATCTAGAATGGAGCTTAAGCATCAGGGTTTCAGACTCTCTCAGCTTCAGCCATGAAGAATACTAGAACCTCCTAAATTTTTCTTTAAAATAAAATAATGAAAAAAAAGGATTAAAGAAGATGATGAACTTATGCTAATAGATTTACTCCTTCTATAATAAGAAGAAATACAGGTACAGAAACTGTTCATAGTGACATCTTTCATGCTTCTCGGTAACTCTGTAGCCTCAAGAATACTAAGAAACTGAAATAGGATTTTTAGAAATCAACAAAAGCAAACCAAAAAGATACTAAAATATACCAAATCCTTACAACTCAATATTAGTTTGAACTGAGTCAAAATGTGACTTGCTCTTTTCTAGACATTGCTCTAAGGGAGTATTTTTTTTTTTTTTTGCGGTGATAAAGGTTGCCCTTGATAGCATTTCTCATAACAGAATTTATAATATCATCTCGTACTCTTGTCCTAGAGGACTTCCCAAATTCTCGACATCAAGTATACATAACCATTTAGGTTATGCATAAAAGAATCACACAAATAATCAACCAAATCTTCTATACCTATAGGAAAACCTTGATGCTTATTCAAGTGCTACAAAATTCAATTACAAAAGGACATTTCTATTATTTTTGGCATATGTATTTTTAACAAGAACAAGAACAACAAGGATTTTCCGGTTTTAGTACCCAATTAGCCAGACAATTTAATTAATCTAATTACATTCCATTTCTTAGAACAGTCTGGTTAATTTTTACTATATAATAATTTATTATGATATCCTTTTCAAAGAATGTACAGGCCAGGTGCAGTGGCTCGCACCTGTAATCCCAGCACTTTGGGAGGCCAAGACAGGTGGATCACAAGGTCAGGAGTTCGAGACCAGCCTGGCCAACATGGTGAAACCCCATCTCTACTAAAAATACAAAAAATTAGCTGGGCATGGTGGTGTGCGCCTGTAATCCTAGCTACTCAGGAGGCTGAGGCAGGAGAATCGCTTGAACCTGGGAGGCAGAGGTTGCAGTGAGCCAAGATCACCCCATTGCACTCCAGCCTGGGCAACAAGAGCAAAACTCAGTCTCAAAAAAAAAAAAAAAAAGAGAGAATGTACAATCTGCTAAATGGGTTACTATGAGTGCCCATCTGAAAACAAGGAAGAGGACTAAGAAAACGACCAGCAGATGTTTATGACAGAAACTGTCGCTTTATTATAAGCATAAAACTAGATATTATAATAGTGATACATTTTGGGGAAAGCATTACAACTTAAAGACTGATATAATTACAAAATCTTGTAATTACTAGGCAGACTTACTGCATAATAAAAATAGGTTACTGCTCTAGTCAGCTAGAAAGAGAATAGGGATAGTAATATCTAATATCTATAGATGCCACCTCTCCCAAACATGCCCTGGAAATGCTTTAAAAAGCACAAGGTAGGAAAATTGTCTAATAACCATTTAATACTACAGTACATTAAGAAATGTTCTAAGTTAACATGGGGAGAAGCTCAGCGAAAACATGATCCTACATAAAGTAACCCTTGACTTGAAAACCCACTCTTCTTATAACAGACTCCAAGTGACAACTCCTTTGTACCAAACACTGAAGCCTTTCACAAACATGGCAAAACATTACGTTTTACAGTGTGTGATGGTAGTAGCAATCATCAAAAGCAAAGAACATCTACAACTTAAAGTATATCTCTGAGCATACTGGAATGTGCCCTAGTAGCACTCTATCAAGTTCTAATCAACCACATAACTACTCTATTTGAATAGAGTTCACTATAGGAAGATTATCCACTACGATATTTAGCAGGCAAGAACATCTGCAACTGTTATTTTCACAGAACTGATACTTACAGCTGAGCTCTATCAGCATTAAGATAGACAGGATCCTGCAGTGTTTCTTAAAAGCCTGATACACTGAAAAAGAAACTTCAATCAATTACTTCTAACTAAACCCCACATGGCCTTAATTAAGATTACATTATTTCTTACCTTTTAAAAAGCGTTTTGCCTAGTATTTGATCCCCATGCGTCTGTATTTATCTGTCATCACTGTTAATTGTCCATGTTACACTGAGACTTCAGGTATTATTTATTTATATGGTTGTACTAGAATAACTTGATATCTGTGAAGAGAAACCATAATATAGTCACTATAGATGTGTTACCGTTTACAAATTTGTGAATAAAATTGGTAATATTTCCAAACACTTATATAGCACACTTCATTTTCTACTAAACTTCACAAGTAATTCCTTACATTTAGCTGTGAAATATGTGTCTTCAACAAACTAAGATGATTGGCTAACACTTCCAAGTTCTTCTCAGGGAGTACCCACATACAAACATTCTAAATTTAATTCCATACTTAAACCCTTACAAATTGAAGAGCTCCTCAGGTTCCTTTTCTTACCACCAATATAGACATATGTCATTTTCCTTAAGTCTACAATTACTCTCCATTAATAGAAAAAGTACTTTTTTGTGTGTTTTATATTTTAGGGAATAAATCTATAATTAAAAATGAAGTAAAAAAAAGATAATGACGGTCCTTTAAATGTCACTTTAAACATCTGATATCTTTCTTAAGTAATTTTGGAAGTAAACAGAAAATAAATGTTATTTAAAATAAACTGACATGTAGGTATACAAACATTCCTTAAAGGTAAGCTTCTTAAAAACAGACTTGGTTGACGGTTACAAGTTGGAGAAATAGATCTACACACTTACATTGATGACCAAAAGCACCGTACAGAATTTTAAGTCATTTTAACCAGTTTATCAGTGAAAAAAAGGAGCTACAAAAGAATGTTCATTCATACATATCAAAGAAAGCAGCGTATGAATGGCATTCCAAAATGTTTCATCATGCTGTACCACTCCATTACACAGTAAAAAGAGTACAAATCTACGTGGAAAATACAGATAACCTAGCAAGGCATGGTGGCTCATGCCTGTAATCTCAGCACTTTGGGAGGCCAAGACAGGAGGATCCCTTGAGCTCAGGCATTCGAGACCAGCCTGGGCAACATAGTGAGCCCTCTTCTCTAAACAAAACAAAAAAAAAAAAAATGAAAATTAGCCAGACGTGGTTGTGTGTGTCTGTAGTCCCAAGTACTTGGTTGAGGTGGGAGGATCATCTGAGCCCCGGAAATTGAGGCTGCAGTGAGCCATGATCGTGCCACTGCACTACAGCCCAGGCAACAGAGTAAACCCTATCTCAAAAACAAAATTTTTTTTAATGAAAATGCAGATAACCTTACACATGCTTTCTGGATAAAACTTGTTATTAGGGGTGTCAACCATTCAGATATTCTCAGTGAGAAGTTTCATTAACAATAGAGCGATTAAGAAACATCTATCCTCAAACACAATTCCTTATTCACTTGTTTTCAAACATTAAAACTATATAAGTAACACCATAAAAAAATTAACACTTTGGGATGCCAAGGCAGAAGGATCGCTTGAGCCTAGGAGTTTGAAACCACCCTGGGCAACAAAGTGAGGCCTCATCTGTACAAAAAAATAGAAAAAGGTAGCCACATGTGGTGGTGTGCGCCTGTAATCCCAGCTGCTAGGGAGGATCCTTAGAGGGGCAGTGAGACCTGATTGCATCACTGCATTCCAGCCTGGGTAACAAAGAAAAAAAAAAAGAAAAAACCGATCTAAGTATTTTTTAAGTTTAAAAATTGTCATGACATCTCTTGTAACAAAAAAGCAAGGAAATTAAACTAGCCAAAACTCTTGTAGCCCCTGTATTGTGTTCTTCACCTCATTCAATATACATTTCAAACTCAAGCATTCTGCAAAACTGTTATATGCTTTTTGCAGCAGAAACACTGCTTTGAATTATGACAATACACAGTAATTTTTTCATTTGAATTATTTAACTACAGTTACTTACTTCTAGAAGTTTAAAAAACAGCATTTTGTCTTTTAAAAAGCATACAAAATAGAAAACAAACTATCCAAGTCCTATTCCTAAAGCCATCTTATTTATTCCCTTGGAACAGAGCTTTGCTTGTTTTCATGTACTAATAAAATTCATTGACTATTCAAGCATTCCAAAGCAAACCCAAAACCAATCTTCACTGAAAAGAATTACTTTTCCTACTTCTTGCAGTCTTAACACTGGTACTACTGTGTTAAATAGATTACGTGATCTCAGATTCACAGCACACATGTAATCACTTCAAAAGACTACGTAAATCTCACTAGAAGATACAGCCCTAGTGATATAACCAGGGTATAAGCCACACAACTTACTATTAAAATAAAACAATGAAGTTCAAAGTTAAGCACAATCCCTAAATTCTCAGGCAAATTATTTTTTAGTTTTATAAGAGCTTGGAAAAAATTCAAAAGGAAGGTCATACAACAGAGTCATATTTATTACCTGATTCTTCACTTGTTGTAAGTGAAAGTATCACATATAGGCACTATACTATGATTTTAAATGATTTTATAAGAAAGAGACATTCAACGTCAGTTGTAAAAAGCATAAAGATATGGTCAAAGACAGAAATAACTTTCTTTTTTTTTTTTTTCTTTTTGAGACGGCGTTTTGCTCTTGTTGCCCAGGCTGGAGTGCAACGGTGCGATCTCGACTCAATGCAGCCTCTGCCTCCTGGATTCAAGTGATTCTCCTGCCTCAGCCTCCTGAGTAGCTGGGATTACAGGCGCCTGCCACCACGCCCATTTAATTTTTGTACTTTTAGTAGAGATGGGGTTTTGCCATGTTGGCCAGGCTGGTCTCAAATCCTGACCTCAGGTGATCCACCCACCTTGGCCTCCCAAAGTGCTGGGATTACAGGCATGAGCCACCACGCCCAGCCCAGAAACACCTTTCCTAGACAATTAAGCTTTCACAGCTACTTGCTATAAAGAGCTGAACCGAATTTTCATTTGGTACAATAATCAAAGAAGAGTACATTTTCTGCTCAGAACCACATGTTCAGTGTCTTGGATGCCTTCTATAGATTTTCAAAGATAAGCCTATTTCACAGCCAATAGAAAGACAATAGGAAGAATATAGGATTTGGTGGAAGGAGACAGAAATGTGATTCTCTGTCATCAATAATTATTTCGCCATGAGCAAGTCACTTTGCCTATCTGTACTTTATCTATAAAATGAAACACATAATACCTGCCTACTACCTCTCAGGGTTATTGTGAAGTTCAAAAGAGATCACATCTGTGAAGTACTTCAGGTTACTGACTCCCAAATTTTAGTGTGTCTAAGAAATCCCTGGACCCAATCACCTCATAAATTCAGATTCAGAAGGCCTGAAGACAAATGCATAAATTTTCATTTTCAATTAAGCACTTCAGGTCATTCCAATGTATGGGCTCCCAGTGATGATCATACTTTGAAAAAACTACATCAGTTTCTTCTAAAACTTTAGTGTTCGGGCTGGGCACAATGGCTCACGCTGGTCATCTCAGCTCTTTAAGAGACCGAGGCAGAAGGATCACTTTGAGGCCAGGAGTTCGAGACCAGCTTGGGTAACTTGGCAAGACCCTGTCTCTACAGAAAAAAAAAATGCACACAATAAATTAGTGGGGCATGGTGGTGTGCACCTGTTGTAGTCCTAGCTACTCAGGAAGCAAGAGGCCTGGAGTTCAAGGCTACAAGCTACAGTAAGTTATGATCACACCAATGCACTCCAGCCTGGGCAACCAAGTGAAGCCCTGTCTCTAAAAAATTAACTAATTAATCAATTAATTAAAAGAAATAAAACTTCAGTGTTCATAAGCATTAAATCTAGGTACATGTTTAAAATACAAATTTCTAGCTGGGCACAGTCACACATGCCTATAGTCCCAGCTACTTGGGAGGCTGAGGGAGGAGGATCGCTTGAGTCCAGGAGTTCTAAGTTGTAGTGCACTATGTCAATCAGGTGTCTGCATTAAGTTCGGCATCAATATGGTGATCTCCAGGGAGCAGGGTATGACCAGGTCGCCTAAGGACGGCAGAATGGGCCAAGGTCAGAAACAGAGCAGGTCTAAACTTCCATGCTGATCAGTAGTGGGACTGCACCTATGAACAGCCACTGCACTCCAATTTGAGTAAAACAGACCCTGTCTCTTAAAAACAAAATGAGAAGAAAATGAAATAAAATACAAATTTCTAAACCTCATTCTTAAAAATTCAGATTCAGGCGAGGCGCAGTGGCTCACGCCTGTAATGCAGCACTTTGGGAGGCTGAGGTGGGCAAATTACCTGACGTCAGGAGTTCAAGACCAGCCTGGCAAACGTGATGAAACCCTGTCTCTACTAAAAATACAAAATTAGCCAGGTGTGGTGGTGTGTGCCTGTAATTCCCAGCTACTCGGGAGGCTGAGGCAGAAGAATTGCTTGAACCTGGGAGGTGGTGGTTGCAGTGAGCCGAGATCACACCACTGCACTTCAGCCTGGGCAACAGAGCGAGACTCCATCTCAAAAAAAAAAAAAAAAAAATTCAGATTCAATAAACTTGGAATGGAGCATACAATCTTCATTTATCAACATTTAGGAGATTCAGATGTAAATGAGTTATGATACACCCTTTTAGAAATCCTAAACTAGATTCTTCCTCCTAAATATTTCTCAAATTGTTCCTACCTCTGTAGTATCATCACCCATGACCAACCTTAGGCTCTGATTTGAACTAACCCAAATGCCTTCTAATTAGTCTAAGTTTTTTGTTTTTTGTTTTTTTTTCTTTTGAGACAGGGTCTCACTCTGTTGCCCAGGCTGGAGCGTAGTGGCTCAATCACCACTCACTGCAGCCTTCGACCTCCCAGGCTCAAATGATCCTCCCGCCTCAGCCTCCCAAGTAGTTGAGACTACTGGTGCATGCCACTACGCCCAGCTAATTTTTGTATTTTTTGTAGAGACAGGGTTTCACACCATGTTGCCCAGGCTAGTCCTGAACTCCTGGGCTCAAGTGATCCTCCCACCTCAGCCTCACAAAGTGCTGGGATTACAGACATGAGTTATGGCGCCCAGCTCTGCTTTCGTTAAGTCTTATCCTTTAAAAATGCATGCTCTACAGAATGATATGTCATTCTCCTACCTAAAATTCTTCCAAGAGACTTATGCTTCTTGCCAACATAGAGTAACAGGGATGAAACTTATGCTCCCACCTGAAACAACTAAAAATCTGGACCAAAAAAAGTATGAAAATTATTTCTGACAAAAGAAACAAGACAACACAGGACAGTGATCAATGAAAGAGAAAAAATAAATGAGGTAAAGCCTACAATTGTCCCCAGTTTACTTACTGGAGAATTTCTAAGCTGCAGAGAAAGGAAGGTGTCCCAAGCAAGCTCAGTGGTTTTCTGGAGTTAAGATAATGAAGTGAGGAGTTTAGGGGAGGCCAAGGTAGCTACAGTCTCCCAGAACATAGTACCACAGAGGAGAGAGCAGAAAGGAGAGGCAAGATCTCAGATAATCTGCAGGGGACCTCCTTAAATCTTGAGCTGAGTATTGATCAGTAAAACAGGGAAAGACATCCATAGGCAAGGGTATGCCAGAAAACATGTAATAACTGAAGGGTAAGTAGTATGTAGTTCCTAGTTTATAGGGTTACTAATGTTTGTGGTATATATACTTCCACCACAGCCAATTTCAAGCTACTGACATATCAGTGAATAAGAATCGGAAAAAAATACATGGCAACACATTATACATTACATAGTGTTTCTACCATAAGGACATAATAAGGCTGGCTGCAGCAGCTCACATCTATACTCCCAGCACTTTGGGAGGCCAAGGCAGGCAGATCACTTGAGGCCAGGGGTTCAAAACCGGCCTAGCCAACATGGCGAAAACCCATCCCTACTAAAAATACAAAAATTAGCAGGGCATGGTGGTGCACACCTGTGGTGCCACCTACTCAGGAGGCTGAGGCATGAGAATCGCTTAAACCCGGGAGGTAGAGGTTGCAGTGAGCTGAGATTGCACCACTGCACTCCAGCCAGGCCAACCTAGTGAGACTCTGTCTCAGGAAGGAAAAAAAAAAAAAATACCCAATAGATATAAATTACCATGAGTGCACAAAAACAGTAATATAAAATAATATAATTATATGAGGTAATGAGTTCTGAGCATTTACTACCTTTGTTCGTAATAAGTGATTTAATTATGCTTATATAATTTAATTATCTTAAGAATTAAGCTAGCTCACAAACTTCCTGATATTTTAACAATCGGCTCTCATGAGCCAGCTCAAGGCATAACACCACACGTGGCTCACATATAGTCAGGAACAACTGGTTAACCTACTAGCCACAGTAGACAACCTCATAATTTGTGGGACATGAAGTACAATGCTCAGTACCACACTGCATCAGTAGTGGTGCAAACTGAGCTCTAGACTAAAGACTATTCTGGTCTCACCTAACAAAGATGAAAAGCAAGCCTCAAAAGGATAAAGCCATTTCCAGTGAACTCCACTGTGTCCCAGAACACAGGCCAAGAATATTTATGGGAATTAAAAAAAATCCAGCTCCAAACAAGGTAAAATTGAGAATGCCTGGAATCCAATCAGAAATTACCAAACAGGCCAAGTGTGGTGGTTCACACCTGTAATCCCAACACTTTGGGAGGCCAAGGTGGGTGATTGCTTGAGCCCAGGAGTTTGAGACCAGCCTGAGCAACATGGCAAGACCCCATTTCTACAAAAATTAGCCAGATGTTGTGGCACATGCCTGTAGTCCCAGGTTCTTGGGAGGCCGAGGTGGGAGTTTTGCTTGAACCCAGGAGGTTGAGGCTGCAATGAGCCACGATCATGCCCCTGTACTCCAGCCTGGGTGACAGAGTGAAATCTTGCCTCAAAAAAAAAAAAAAAAAAAAAATCATATAAAGAAGCAGGAAAATATCACTTAAAATGAGAAAAAGCAATCGACAGAAAAAGAACTGTACATGACAGTCACTAGATAAGAATACTAAATCAGTTATAACTGTAGTTCTTATGTTCAAAGCAGTAGATGGATATATTAAGCAAGCTAAGTAGAGATACGTAAGTCTTTTTAATGTGAATTGATTCTTCTACTTAGAAAAACACAGAGTTTGGAATGAAAAATATGCTGGGATTAGACACTGAAAGAAAAGGTCAATCAATCTGATGCCATAGCAATAGAAACCTAACAGAGAGAAACAAGAGTGGAAACAAAACCATGAATGAGATATAGAATATCATCAAGACGCCTAAAACATGGGTAACTGAAGTCCCCAAAAGACTGAAAGAGAAGCAGAAAAAATACTGTAAGAAATGATCCCAAACTTTCTAAATATGATGGAAATGACGAATTCACAGATCAAAGAAGCTCAATAAGCTAGGCATGGTGGCTCAGTGCTGTAATCCCAGAACTTTGTGAGGCCAAGGAAGGTGGATCACTTGAGGTCAGGAGATTGGGTGGGGTTCAACATAGTGAAATCCCATATCTACTAAAAATACAAAAATTAGCCAAGAGTGGTGGTGTGTGCCTGTGGTCCCAGCTACTTGGGAGGCTGAGGCACAAGAATCACTTGAAGATGGGAGGCAGAGGCTGTAATGAGCCGAGATTGCACCACTTCACTCCAGCCTGGGTGACAGAGCGAGACTCCATCTCAAAAAAACAAAATACAAAGAAGCTCAATAAACCCAAGCACAAGAAACATGAATAAAACTACAGTAAGCCAGCTCATAACCAAACTGCTTAAAAATCAATAATATAAAGAATATCTTAAAAGCAGAGAAAAACAACACATTACAGGCACAGAGAGAAAAATAAGAATGACAGCTGACTTCTCGGTGGAAGCACATGCCAGAAAACAGTGAGGTATATCTTTGACGTACTGAAAAAAGTTGTCAACCAAAAATTCTATACTCAATAAAATGTGTTTCAAAAAGTAAGGTGACATAAAAATTATTTCAAACTTAAAATAGTAAAAAACCTATCATAGACAGACATGCATTATAGGAAATGTTAAAAGAAGTTCTTTAGGCAGAAGGAAAAGACACTAGATGGAAGTCTAGATATATCCAAAGGAATATAGAGCACCAGAAATGGTAAATATGAAGATAACTATAAAAAACTTTTCCTGGCCGGGCATGGTGGCTCATGCCTGTAATCCCAACACTTTGGGAGGCCAAGGTGGGCGGATCACCTGAGGTCGGGAGCTTGAGACCAGCCTGACCAACATGGAGAAACCCCATCTCTACTAAAAATACAAAATTAGCCGGGTATGGTGGCGCATGTCTGTAATACCAGCTACTCGGGAGGCTGAGGCAGGAGAATCGCTTGAACCCAGGAGGCAGTGAGCCGAGATTGCGCCATGGCACTCCAGCCTGGGCAACGAGAACAAAACTCCATCTCAAAAAAAAAAAAAGCTTTTCCCCTTAGTTTTTAAACATAAATAACTGACGAGCAAAAAATATACCAATATACTGTACAGTTTATAACATAAATGGGAGTAAATGTAATAGCACAAATGTGGGAAAGGGGACATACAATGTAAGATTCTTATACTACATGTAAAGTGGTATAACAGCACTTCAAAGTATGCTAAGATAAATTAAGATGTATAGTATAAATCTTAAAACCACCACTAAAAAGCAGATGAACAGAGAAAAAGTAATAGTAAAAAAGCTAACAAAAGAAACAAAATGAGAACATGTTTAAAACACTCAATCCAAAGGACAGCAACATAAGAGAAGAAAGGGAACAAAAAGCATATAGAAAAAATAAAAAGCCAATAGCAAGGTGACAGATTTAAACTTTATCAAAAATCACTTTCATACAGCCATTTCAATTATAAATAGTCTAAAAATAGTTTCAAGCAGTTTAGTTATTTGGAAGCAGTTACTTGGAAGGAATAACAACAAATGAACATTAAAAGATTCAAGTCATTTAAACTGTGACCACGATGAAATTAAATCAGAAATCAGTGATAAAAAATACAACTCGAAAATCCTCAAATACCTGGAAATAAATAACATGCTTCTAAATGACCCATAAGTCAAAGAAGAAATCAAAGGGAATTAATGCAGCATATCAAAATCTCTGGGGAACAGCAAAAGCAGTATTTACAGAGAAATCCAAAGCAGTAAACATGTGTTAGAAAAAAAGGAAGGTCTCAATGATGTCAGCTTCTACCTTAAGAAACTAGAAAAAAAAAAAAAGGATACTATAATCCACAGAAAAAGAAGAAAAAATAACAATGAGCAGAAATCAATGAAATAGAAAACAAAAAAGCAATAGAGAAAAATCAATGAACCAAAAGCTGATTCCTTAAGAAAAATCAATAAAATTGACAAATCTTTAGACAGACTCATCAGGAACAAAATTATCAATATTAAAGAAAAAAGAGATGTTGCTATAGATTCTATAGATGTTTTAAAAAGATGGTTCTATAGATATTTTCACAACAAGGGTACCAAAACAATTCATTGAGGACATAATAATCTTTCCAACAAATGCTGCTAGGACAACTGGATATCCACCTACAAAAGAATGACATTGAACCCCTACCTCACACCATATACAAAAATTAACTTAGGATGAACCAAAGACCTAAATGTAAGCACTAAAATGATAATGTTCTTGCTGAGCATGGTGGCTCATCCCTGTAAACCCAGCACTTTAGGAGGCTGAGGGAGGAGAATAGCTTGGGCCCAGGAGTTCACGACCAGCCTGGGCAACAAAGAGAGACCCCATCTCTACAAAAAATAAACAACATTAGTTGGGCGTAGTGGTGTGTGCCTGTGATCCCAGCTACTTGGGAGGCTGAGGTGGGAGGATCACTTGAGCCCAGGAGGTTGCACTGAACCAAGATCACGCCACTGCACCCCAGCGTGGGCGACAGAGAGAGAGAATCTGTCTTTAAAAATAAAAAAACACTAACAAATCTTTGTGCAAATAGGTGCAAATCTTTGTGACCTTGGATTAAACAAGTTTATTACATATGATGCTAAAAGCATAACCAACAAGGACAAATGTGTGATTCCAATTACTACGTGAGTTTATCTAAAATTGTCAAATTAATAAAAACAAAAAACAGAATGGTGGTTGCCAGGGACTAAGGGAGGGGGAAATGTCACGTCATTGCTTAATGAGTACAGAGTTACAGTTATGCAAAATGAAAAACATTCTGGAGATGGACCACAGTGATGGTTACACACAATGTGAGACTATATTTAATGCCACTAAACTGTAACCTTTAAAAATGGTTAAAATGGGGCTGGGCACGGTGGCTCAGGCCTATAATTCCAGCACTTTGGGAGGCCAAGGCAGGCAGATCACAAGGTCAGGAGACAGAGAACATCTTGGCCAACATGGTGAAACCCCGTCTCTACTAAAAATAGAAAAAATTAGCTGGGCGTGGTGGCGTGCATCTGTAGTCCCAGCTACTCTGGGGCTGAGGCAGGAGAATCACTTGAACCTGGGAGGCAGAGACTGCAGTGAGCCAAGATTACACCACTGCACTCCAGTCTGGGCGACAAGAGCAAAACTCCATCTCCAAAAAAAAAAAAAAAAGGTTAAAATGGTAACTTTTACGTTACATATATTCTGCCACAATTAAAACATAAAAATTCAAAAAGCACAAGCAACCAAAGAAAAATACAGATAAATGGGGATCATCAAAATTAAAACCTTTTGTGCTTCCAAGAACTCAAGAGAATAAAAAGATAACCCATAGAATGGGAGAAAATATTTGTAATTATCTCTCTATCTATAAAAACCCTTACAACTTAATAAAAAGATAAACCTAATCTAAAAATGGGTAAAAGACTTAAACAGATATTTCTGCAAATAAAATATACAAATAGCCAATAAGCACATGAAAAAATGCTCAATATCATTAGCCCTCAGGGATATGCAAATCAAAACCACAGTGAGATACTTCACACCCACTAGTATTGCTATAATAAAAAAGACAACAAAAACATGTGTTGGCAAAGATGTAGAGTTATTTGCACCCTCATACATTGCTGGTAGGAATGCAAAATGGTGCAGCTGCTTTGGAAAATAGTTTGGCAGTTCCTCAACAAGTTAGACATACAATTACCATATGACCCAGAAATTCCATTCTTAGGTATACACCCAAAAATAAAGGAAAACATATGTCCACACAAAAACATGTACAAAAATGTTCATAGCAGCATTATTCATAATAGTTATAAAGTGGAAGCAACTTAAAGGTCCATCAACTGCTGAGTGAATAAACAAAACAAGGAATATCATATCAACACAATGAAATACACTTAAGCCATAAAAAACAGTGAGGTATTGACAAATGCTGTAACATGGATGAACCTTAAAAACATTATGCTAACTGAAAGAGGTCAGTCACAAATGGTTACATATTGTAAAATTCCCATTTATATAAAATACCCTGAATAGGCCAGGTGCAGTGGTTCACACCTGTAATCCCAGCACTTTGAGGGGCCTAGACAGACAGGAGGATCACTTGAACTGCAGGAGTTCGAGACCATCTTGGGCAACATGGTAAGACCTTGTTTCTACAAAAAATTAAAAAATTAGCCAGGTATAGTTGCACATGCCTGTAGTTCCAGCTACTCAGAAGATTGAGGCAAGAGGACTGCTTGAGCCTGGGAGTTTGAGGCTGCAGTGAGCCACGATTGTGCCACTGCACTCCAGCCTGGGCAAAAGGGCAAGATTCTGAAAGAAAAAAAAGGCAGGCAGGCAGGCAGGAAGAATCCAGAATAGGCAAATCCATAGAGACAAAAAGGAGATAAGTGATTGCAGAGACTGTGGGAGGGAGGAAATGGTAGAAAGTGAGTGCTATAGGTATGGGGTTTCTTTTTAGGGTGATGCAAGTATTCTGCAATTAGGTACTACTGATGGTTGTCCTACTTTGTAAATATACTAAAAATCACCAAATTGTATAATTTAAAAGGGTGATTTTTATGGTTAAGTGTATATCTCAATGTTTTTAAAAGATAAGAGAATCGGCCAGGCGCGATGGCTCACGCCTGTAATCCCAACACTTTGTGAGGCTGAGGTGGGTGGATCACCTGAGGTCGGGAGTTCAAGACCAGCCTGACCGACATGGAGAAATCCTGTATCTACTAAAAATACAAAATTAGCCAGGCGCAGTGGCACATGCCTGTAATCCCAGCTACTCGGGAGGCTGAGGCAGGAGAATCACTTGAACCTGGGAGGCGGAGGTTGCGGTGAGCCTAGATCGTGCCATTGCACTCCAGCCTGGGGAACAAGATTGAAACTCTGTCTCAAAAAAAAATTAAAAAAGATAATATTACAAATAACTTCATGTCAATAAACCCAACTATTTAGATGAAATGGACACATTCCATGAAAAACTGCAAATTCCCCAAAACTCACTCAAGAAATTATTTCTTAAATATCCTTAAAGAAAGTGAAGCTAGGCCAGGCACGGTGGCTCACGCCTGTAATCCCAGCACTTTGGGAGGCCAAGGCGGGTGGATCAAGAGGTCAGGAGGTCAAGACCATCCTGGCTAACACGGTGAAACCCCGTCTCTACTAAAAATACAAAAAATTAGCCAGGTGTGGTAGCAGGCGCCTGTAGTCCCAGCTACTTGGGAGGCTGAGGCAGGGGAATGGCGTGAACCCAGGAGGCGGAGATTGCAGTGAGCTGAGATGGCGCCACTGCACTCCAGCCTGGGCAACAGCGAGACTCCATCTCAAAAAAAAAAAAAAAAAAAAAAAGTGAAGTTATAGTTAAAAACTTGGCAAAAATAAATTCCAGGCCAAGGTGAGTTCACTGGTAAATTTTAACTATGCCACTTGATATACATTTAAGGAAAAAAATAATCCTAATTCTACCCAAACTCTTCTAGAAAACTGAAGAGGAACATTTCCCAACTCATTCCATGAGGCCAGGATTAGTCTGATTTCAAAACCAGACAAAAAAATTACAAGAAATTTGAACTACAAACCTATATTCCTCATAAACATAGATGTAAAACTCCAAACAACTTTTTAACAAACCAAATATAATAATATTTTTAAAATAATACACCATGACCAAATGATGTTTATCCCCAAAATGTAAGACTGGCTTACATGTACATAAGGTTGGTTCAATGCAATTCACTCTATATTAACAGACTGAAAAAACAAAACCGAAAAGAAAAAATAGGAAATAAACATAACTGGCCCTTTTGACATCAGGCCTTACATATTGCCTTATGTTTGGTACCCACGCCTCTCCATAGATAGATGGATATCTTTTCCATCTCTATGAAGCTTACTCCTTTTTCTATGCTTATAACAGAATACCAGAAATTGGGTAATTTGTGGAAAATAAATTTCTTCCTTTCTTTCTTTTTAAATAGAGACAAGTTCTATGTTGCCCAAGCTGGTCTCGAACTCCTGTACTCAAGCAATCCTCCCACCTTTGCCTCCCAAAGTGCTGGGATTACAGGTATAAGCCACCACACCGAGCCAAGAAATTTATTTCTTACTGTTACAGGGGCTGAGAAGTCCAAAGTCAAGGAATTGTCTCTGGTGAGAGCCTTCTTGCTCATGAGGATTCTCTGAAGAGATTTGAGGTAGCACAGAGCATCACAAGGTGAGAAGGCTGAGCGTGCTAATGTGCTAGCTCAGGTCTCTCTTCTTCTTATAAAGCCACCAGTTCCCCTCCCATGATAACCCATTAATCCATTAACCAATTAACCCATTAATCCATTCATGAGGGCAGAGACTTCATGATCCAATCACGTCTTAAAGGTCCCACCTCTCAATAGTGCCACACTGGGGATTAAGTTTCAACATGAGTTTTGGATGGGACATTCAAACCATAGCATATGATAAGCCAATAAAAGAGTTAATATTTATATAATGTGATCAAGTAAAGGGTTTTTAAGATCAAAATTAATTTTCTTCTAGAATTACCTTTACTTTGATTGGGTTTAGTCAAGTTTAAGCCCCTTCAGCCATGTGAAGACACAGTGAGAAGATGGCCACTTATAAACCAGGAACTGGGCCGTTGCCAACACTTAATCTGCCCTTGGACTTTTCAACCTTCAGAACCATGAGAAATAAATGGCTGTTGTTTATTTGCTACCCAGTCTATGGTTTTCTGTTACAGCTGCCCAAACAGACTAAGACAATAGCTAATGAGACAGACAAACAGACAAGGCAGATAGATAAAACTCTCCTTCAGGTAGCAACAAATAAAGCTGAATTTGTCAGCAGTAGAGCAACAGAAGCAGAGCACTAATATGACATCATTTAAACGTACTGACTTAGCTCAGCCTGAACCAGACAAACACCCTGGACTTTTCAGTTCCAAAAAATCCCTTTGTTGATCTATGACTTAGAAGAAGAAATGAGATGAGAAGGCACCATATATCATTCTTAGGTCCAAACCAGCTTGTTAAATCCTGGAACAGACTAACTTGAAAATGATTATTGGACTAGCAAGACTGATTCATTTCAAGATACATTAGTTTAGCACACACAGTGTACTATGTACTTATCATTAAGACATAATCTCAGCTCTGGACAGCCATTCATCTTCAATGGACATTCATAAATGAAGCATAAATAATTCAGCAAGGCCTAGGTGAAATGCCTGATGTAAAGATCCATCTATATATTTAATTTTTACAAATGTTTCCCTTTCATCAACTTACAGTTTTCCTCACAACAATATATTTTATAGCTGCCTAACTGTATACTGCATTTTGAAAATGCTTACAAAAAATTTTAATTCTTGGCTTGCTTTAAATATTTTTTAAATTTGTCAGTTAAATTTAGGAAAAAAGTCAAAATTTCCATTAATTTTATTTAGTGATACTTATCCTTAAGGATGTTATTTAATGTCAATTTTTTTTAAGGCCAGTGACAGGTAATAAATAAATGACTACTTAATCCTCTCTAAAAGCCATGCTCCATCTGTCTTAAGAATTCTCAATGGTTTCTGTCAACACAACAATCAAAAAGACTAGGAAAAGTCTTAAAAGCAAATAAAATAATCTAAAGGAGACGGATCAAGGTAAAGATTCACAATGAGTTAGGATATTTTACCATTTCTCATGGGACAGAGTCCTCCCTGAAATATCTTTTGATATCAAAGTCAAGGTCTGAATATCAAAATATTGAGACCTTGAATCTTATCAGATATGCACCATTGCTCTAAATTCTTGAATTTGTACTGTCTTCAGAGGGCACAAAAATTTTTACCAGCATATTAACCAACCTCTAAGCTGGACTCTCCGTCACCTCTAAGAATCTACAGGACAGGTAAAGCAGTTCCCAAGCTAGTTTCAGTATTTCAAAATCCCTAAGTGCCATAACAGATCATATATAGTTGATTCTCATAAAGTTGCCATGAGCACTGAATTATCAAATACTCAATACAAGAGAAATTCAGAGTGAAGTTCCTGCTAGCCTCTGACTAAAACATTTTCAACAGCCTAACAACACATATCCTTGTTTTATCTGTACTTTTATTTAAAAACACTTTTATTTCTTTATTTATTTACTTACTTTTCGAGACAGTCTCACTTTGTCGTCCAGGCTGGAGTGCAGCGGTATGATCTCGGCTCACTGAAACCTCCGCCTCCCGGGTTCAAGTGATTCTCATGCCTCAGCCTCCTGAGTAGCTGGGATTACAGGTGTGCACCACCACGCCCAGCTAATTTTTTCTATTTTTAGTAGAGATGGGGTTTCACTGTGTTGGCCAGACTGGTTTCTAACTCCTGGCATCAAGTGATCCACCCACCTCGGCCTCCCAAAGTGCTAGGATTACAGGCGTGAGCCACCGCACCCAGCCTAAAAACACTTTTATATTGCTGATTCATAAACACGGAACTCACAGTCAACAGCACTATAACTTTTCATCACAGCCTTCTTGCACTTAGGAACACTATAGACAGCACTTTAGCACTACACTTAGGGGCAATTTTAAACAGTGAAACCACCTCTAAAAAAAAAAGTGGGAAAGATGTAGCACTAAGTAAATAGACAAGAGAGCTAGAACAAGGCAGCAGAGAGTCATTTTGTTTAACCTCATTTGGAAATGTGTACATCAAGCAACTCAAATTTCACCACTCTGAACATGTCCGCAAATGACTGCGAAAGTGCCAGACATATTGATTTGGGGGTTACAAATAAATTTTAGCCAGTAAATGAGTTCACAAACGTGGAATCCAAGAATAATGAGAACAGACTATAGTCATCCCTCAGTATACGTGGGGGGGATTGGTTCTAGGACCCCAAGTATAGGTATCCAATAAATAATTGTTAAATTATTTAACAAGCATATAGTATCCAATAAATGTTAAATGAATGGACAATTATACAAAATACAATAATTTAGACACATCCACAATATAAAGTACAAATATAGCTTACCCCATTTCAACAACCACTTAACATACTAGTGTAGGTCTGGGTGCGGTGGCTCATGCCTGTAATCCCAGCACTTTAGGAGGCCAAGGTGAGTGGATCACCTGAGGTCAGGAGTTTGAGACCAGTCTGGCCAACATGGCAAAACTCTGTCTCTACTAAAAATACAAAAATTAGCCAGGCTCAGTGGCACACACCTGTAATCCCAGCTACTAGGGAGGCTGAGGCAGGAGAATCGCTTGAATGCAGGAGGCAGAGGTTGCGGCGAGCTGAGATTACGCCACTGCATTCCAGCCTGGGCGACAGAGCGAGACTTTGTCTCAAAAAAAAAAAAAAAAAAAAAAAACACAACATACTAGTGTATTCTCTTCCATTCTTATTTCAATGTGAATTTTAAAAATCAGAATTCACACAACACACACTTAATTTGGCATCCTGGCATTTATTCCCCACTTAAGCCACATAATTAAGGGCTAAATTGTCTGGGATTTTTTTATTTTTTAGAGACAGGGTCTCACTCTGTCACCCAGGCTGGAATGCAATGGGGAGATCACTGTTCACTGCAGCCTTGATCTCCCGGGCTCAAACGAACCTCCCAGCTTAGCCTCCCAAGTAGCTGGGACCTATAGTCATAGGTGTGTACACTACCACATCCTGGCTTTTTTTTTTTTTCTTCTTCTTCTTTTTAGTAGAGACAAGGTCTCCCTATGTTGCCCAGGCTGATCTCCAACTCCTGGGCTCAAGCGATCCTCCCGCCTTGGCTTCCTAAAATGTTGGGATTACAGGCGTGAGCCACACCGCCCAGCCTAAAATTGTTAATGGCCATATAAAAACTGTATAAATAGTTTATAATTTGACCATTTCCATTCTGTTAGGACATTTAAGCTGCTTCTGATATTATACTATTTATTATTTAAAATGCTGTGATTAACATTCTTGTACACTCTATGTCTGCATTTGATTATTACCTTAAAACAGACTTATTGGGTCACAGCATATAAATGTTTCCATCCTTGAAGGACACTGTCAGGTGGCTTTTAAGATAAAGCTTCATTTGTTAAAAATTCTAAATGCATTTTTAAATGACTATGCAAGAAAGTTCATTAAAATATACTTCTTTGGGAGGCCGAGGCAGGCGGATCACCTGAGGTCAGGAGTTCGAGACCAGCCTGAACAACATGGAGAAACCCCGTCTCTACTAAAAATACAAAATTAGCCGGGCGTAGTGGCACATGCCTGTAATCCCAGCTACTAGGGAGGCTGAGTCAGGAGAACTGCTTGAACCTGGGAGGCGGAGGTTGCGGTGAGCCGAGATCATGCATATATATATAAAATATATATTTCTGAATCATACTTTACATAGAAGACTTAATAGGCTTTACTAATTTGCTATCACTCAATGTAGCTTTAAGTGTTTTAATATTACTAATGAAAGAAAAATGTTTAATTTAGTTTAATTCGATTTATTATCTCATTGAATTTTTCTAATATACTTAATCAATTTTTAAATTTAAAAAACCAGTTGATCCAGGTGTGGTAGCTCACTCCTGTAATCTCAGCACTTTGGGAGGCCAAGATGGGTGAATCACCTGAGGTCAGGAGCTCGAGACCAGCCTGGCCAACATGGTGAAACCCACCTGGCCAACATGGTAAAACCCCATCTCTATTAAAAATACAAAAATTAGCCAGGCGTGGGGGCACGTGCCTGTAATCCTACTCAGGAGGCTGAAGCAGGAGAATCACTTGAATCCGGGAGGTGGAGGTTGCAGTGAGCCGAGATCACGCCACGGCACTCCAGCAGCCTGGGTGACAAAGAGAGACTCCATCTCAAAAAAAAAAAAAAAGAAAAAGAAAGAAAGAAACCAGTTGAATCCTATGTTTTGATTACCCAAAAAAAAAAAAAAGTTCCTTTTAAAGTATTACTAGAGGAGTGAGGATTGGGGGAAGGCAGAGCTCAGTTGTTGTGGTTTTGTTTGTTTGTTTGTTTGTTTTTGAGTCAGGATCTCACTCTTGTCACCCAGGCTAGAGGGCAGTGGCAGGACAATAGCTCACTGCCACCTCAAATTCCTGGGCTCAAGCGATACTCCTGCTTTAGCCTCCCAAGTAGCTAGGACTACAGGGGCTTGCCACCACACCCAGCTATTTTTTAAATTTTTATAGAAACAGGGTCTCACTATGTTGCCCAGGCTGGAGTGGTACTCCTGGCCTCAAGTGATCCTCCAATCTCAACCTCCCAAAGAGCTGGGATTACAGGCATGAGCCACTGTGCCTGGCTGACATTTCATTTTCTAGCAGGTAAAGAAGAGTATGCCTCGTTAGTGAGAGGTAAGTTACTTCTCCCCTCCCCAATATTTTTTTTTATTGTGGTAAAATACACATAACATAAAATTTGTCATCTTAATCATTTTTAAGTGTATGGTTCAGTGTAATCCAATACATTCATAATGCAATCATCACTACCATCCATCTCCAAAACTCCATTTTGTAAAACTGAAACTCTACGCTCCTTAAACATTAACTCCGCATATCCCCCACCTCTAGCCTCTGGCAACTACCTTTCTACTTTCTGTTTCTATGATTTTAACTACTCTAAATACCTCATATATGTGGAAACATACAGTATCTTTTTGTGACTGGCTCATGTCACTTAACATAATGTCCTCAAGGTTCATCCATGTGGCAACATGTCAGAATCTCCTTCCTTTTTAGAGGTAAATAATATTCCCTATGCATATACCACATTTTGCTCATCCATTAATGGACACTTGGGTTGCTTTCACATTTTAACTATTGTGAACAGTGTGGCTATGAACACAGGTGTACAAATCTCTCTTCAAGACCCGGCCTTCAATCCTTTCAGGAATAACCCAGATATGGAATTGCAGAAGGCCACATTACTTCTATCCTATTATTTTAGGCCCCAACTCTCAGACTGCTTCTCTCTACACTTCATACTACCATCATGACCAAATTCAAGCTTTCTACCATTCTGGACTAATTTCTATTTCTTCCAATTATATACAGAAATAGTTGATCTAAAAAGAATCACACATTTATGAACACACAATAAACACAAACACGTATTTTTCATTTATAAATATTTTTCTAGGAAACTTCAAACCCAAATTCCTAATTTACTCTAAGTGCATTTGTTACCCTAATTTGCCATCATTAAATTGAGCTTTAATTGCTTTAACGCAAAAAAAAAAAAAAAAAAATCATTGAATGCCCTTTAGGAAAATCACTCAGAACACCATACAGTTAACAATGGTACAGAGGCCAGGCGCAGTGGCTCATGCCTGTAATCCCAGCACTATGGGAGGCTGAGGTGGGCAGATCATGAGGTCAGACCTCGAGACCAGTCTAGCCAACATAGTGAAACCCCGTCTCTACTAAAAAAACAAAAATTAGCCAGGCAGAGTGTCGGGTAACTGTAATACCTGCTACTTGGAAGGCTGAGGCAGGAGAATCGCTTGAGCCCAGGAGTCCGAGGCTGCAGTGAGCCAAGATCACGCCATTACACTCCAGCCTGGGCAACAAGAGCAAAACTCCAACCAAAACCAAAACAAAAACAAAAACAAAAACAATGGTACAGAAAAACCAAGTAAATTTCCAATGCAATGACTAAAAGGGCCCTCAGAAGTTATTTAGCCTAGAAAACATACCATACTGGCTTTTCTGACACTTAGCTGCCCTAATCACAGAGGAATGATTAAGGGCATTGCAGTTAGATACCTGGTAAAAAATTACAACCTCTCTGAGGAGAGATTAACTACTTTTCTCTTCCATGAAAGAAAAAGGCACACCAATCTTGAATAATTATCATTCCATATCAGATTATGGAATGTCTGGCATAAAGTGGGCACTCAAAATTGCTTTCTTTTTCCAAGTTAGAGGAGTCTCTTAAATCACAAGACACCCCCTTTTCATCTCTTGATTATAGTTTCAAATTGCTAACAAGGAATTTTTTTTGTTTTCCAGACGAGGTCTTGCTCTGTTGCCCAGGCTAGAGTGCAGTGACACGATCATAGCTCACTGCAACCTTGAACTCTTGGGCTCAAGCAATCCTCCCACCTAAATCTCCTGAGTAGCTAGGACTACAGGCACAAGCCATGATGCCTGGCTTTTTTTTTTTTTTTTACTTGGTTTTTCTGTACCATTGTTTTTGTTTCTGTTTTGGATGGAGTTTTGCTCTGTCGCCCAGGCTGGTACAGTGGCGTGATCTAGGCTCACTGCAACCTCTGCCTCCCAGGTTCAAGCGATTCTTATGCCTCAGCCTCCCAAGTAGCTGCGACTACAGGCACACACCACCACACCCGGCTAATTTTTGTACTGTTAGTAGAGACGGGGTCTCACCATATTGGCCAAGCTGGTCTCAAACTCCTGACCTCATGATCTGCCCACCTCAGCCTCTCAAAGTGCTGGGACTACAGGCATGAGCCACCGTACCCAGCCTGGCTTTTTTTTTGTAGAGACAAGTTCTCGCTATGTTGCCCAGACTGGTCTCAAACTCCTGGGCTCAAGGGATCCTCCTCCCCTGGCCTCCCAAAGTGCTGGGATTACAGGCATAAACCAATGCACCTCACCCAACAGGTATTTTTAAACATGAAGCAAAAAAACTTAAGATATCACAAATATGGAAGGGTGGGAAATTTGAACATACCCTGTAGTGACTAGAATTGGAAGTATCAGTGTACTCACCCTGAATCTAACCACAAGAAATTCAAACTGAGGGACACTAAATACCTGGCCTAATCTCTTAAAAAATGTCAAGAAATTTGAGGCCAGGCCGGACATGGTGGCTCAGGCCTGTAATCCCAGCTACTTGGGAGGCTAAAGCAGGAGGATCACTTGAGTCCAGGAGGTCAAAGCTACAGTGAGCCGAATTCATGCCACTACACTCCAGCCTGGATGACAAAGTGAGACCCTGTCTCAAAAAACAAATACATAAAATAAAGAAATGTGAGGCCAGGTGCTGTGGCTCACGCCTGTAATCTCAACACTTTGGGAGGCCAAGGCAGGAGGATCCCTCGATCTCAGGAGTTGGAGACCAGCCTGGATAATATAGTGACGCTCCGTCTCTACAAAAAAACAAAACATTAGCCAGGCATGGTAGCACGCACCTGTAGTCCCACCTATTCGGGAGGCTGACGTGAAAAGATTGCCTGGGGCTGGCAGGTGGAAGTTGCAGTGAACCATGATCACGCTACTGCACTCCAGGCTGGGTAACACAGTGAGACCCGGTCTCAAAAAAAAAATTAATAAAAAAAAAAATTTGACTAACTGTTCCAGATTAAAGGAGACTGGAGAGACATGAAATCAAATGCAATGTATGATCTTCGATTTTAAAAAGCTATAAAAATAATTATTAGGATAATTGAAAAAATTTGATTGTGGACTGTAAATTAGATAATGGTATTAATGTTAAGTTTCCTAATTTTGATCACTGTAACTGCAGTTAAGAGAATATCTTAGTTCTCAGAAAAAAAAAGTCTGGTGGTATCCTGGATCTAATTCTACCCTGTAGAACAACTCATTACAGCCCTGCATTACCTGAAAACAACTGTCCCCTTCCCTCCTTCACTCATTCCTGTCAAGTCTTCCTTCTCCACAATAAGCACTCTCAATTCCTTCAAAGGTTCTCATGGGTTACCCTCCTCTTGACATATCTATCTTTTCATTTACTTTTCTTAAAGTGTAGCTTTCAGAAATAAGGCCAACATTGTAAATGTGTCCTAACCAACATGGAATGAATATCATATCCCTTATTATGGACAAAATCCTATTACTGCAGCCTGGTACTTCATTTGTTTTTTCTTTTTTAAGCAACTCACCAGTTGGATGTCTGAGACTATATAAAACTAAACTCCTAATAATATACAATCAGTAAACCCTATTTTTTTTTTTTTGAGACGGAGTTTCGCTTTTGTTGCCCAGGCTGGAGTGCAATGGCGCGATCTTGGCTCACCGCAACCCTCCACCTCCCGGGTTCAAGCGATTCTCCTGCCTTAGCCTCCTGAGTAGCTGGGATTACAGGTGCGTGCCACCACGCCTGGCTAATTTTTGCATTTTTAGTAGAGACGGGGTTTCATCATATTGGTCAGGCTGGTCTCGAATTCCTGACCTCAGGTGATCCGCCCGCCTCAGCCTCCCAAAATGTTGGGATTACAGGTGTGAGCCATGGCACCCGGCTAATAAACCCTACTTATTCTATCACCAAAATGTCTTGGAAAAAAAAAAAAACAAACTATCTACTCTTTCTGTTCTATTGTTATTGCTCCAGCTCAGGCCATCATCATTCTATTTAAACAACTGTAGTAGCCTAATTAATCTCTCATTCCAATTTACTCTTTATTTGCCCACAAATATATCTGTCTTAATAAACACTGTCCTGAATCTGATTTTTCAGTACCTTAAAGAAGAATGGGGAGGGAAAGAAAGGAGATGACTTTCTCCCCTCTTCAATTCCTAGAAAACTCTTATTCCTCAAAGGCCAATTCAATGATCCATCAGAATTAACTACTCTCTCCTTTGCTCCCATAATGCTTAATAATCCTATCATAAAATTACAATGTATAGTTTGATATATCTATATTCCCCATTCAATTATAGGCTCCTCGAAGGAATAGAGCAATACATTTTTTATTCTCTTAGTACATACAGTGCCTTAACATTAATTGAACAAAATTTTACTCATGTAATTTTTTCTATCTGAATTCCATATTTTTTTAATTCCACACTTTTAAGCAGCTCACACTATAGGTTTCTGCCTGTAGTTTCAGACAGAACTTACAAGTTGTTTTAGTTATCCTTGCCAGCTAAATTGTTCTGACATTTTATAAGCACAACTGTACATTTATTCAAAACATTAATGAAAATATTAAAAATGGACAACAAAAAGTACCTTTTTAGATACTTCTCTCAAAGTCTGACATTAATTCCTTCTAACAGTATTTAAGAAAGTTTATTTTACACTATTAATGAAATGTTCTTAATGCTGATGAGCTAAGCCTGTACTTCTCTGCCTCTTCTCCAAGGCATACCTAGGAAAACAATCTCCAAAACTACTGGTTTCCTTTTTAAAAATAAGACCTTATGCTGTTTCTAGTCTTCTGGCATACTTTTTGTTACAACAAATTAACAAAAGCTATCAATACCTCTCAGTTCCTTAATGTCTTTAAATGATCTAAAACCTGTGCTATCAGCCAGACAGAAAATGGATTCCTGGAATCCAATCAAGTGGTGAAATAATCTGGGTGAGGTTTACAAAACTTGATCTGGCAATAGAGTTAAAAAGCAATTACAAAACAATTACAAAAGGTCTTAAACTTCAATTCAGAAGAAACCAACATCAACTTAGAGTTCCACTGTTACCATACAGACAATTTTTACTGACAGTTCATTATGTCCATCTGTGACATGAGAAAAACCACCTAGACAAAGACAGCTTCCAAGGCCAATGTCAAGCTGATAAACAGCCTGTCAAGAGATGGTAACTGAACTGTGGACATAAAGTATGTCACAGGAATCTCAACTTGCTGAAGACAGCAAAACTGTTCCCGAAGGTAAGTGACTGCCCAACGTCCATGATTAATTAGAATATTGAAATTACGTATATCAAACTCATGATACTAATACTGTGTGGTTTAAAACTATCCTAAATATTTTTAAGTTCCTATAGACAATGATAGTTTCTAAATTTAAAATAGTAACTGACTTCACGCTTATGATTTTAAGTTTAAAAGTGTATGAATATTTAGCTTGGTTAATAAGAATACTGGAATGTTTAAGAAAATTTGTGATTCACTGTCTCATTCATTAAATTTAAAATTTTTATATTTACCAATTATAACTCAATAAAGCTAGAGAAAATATAAAATTTTAAAGTTTTAAAGTATTTGGGAAGCCAGGTGTGGTGGCTCATACCTGTAATCCCAGCACTTTGGGAGGCCGAGGCGGGCGGATCACCTGACGTCAGAGTTCAAGACCAGCCTGGCCAACATGGCAAAACCCAGTCTCCACTAAGATAAAAAAATCAGCCAGGCGTGGTGGCACACGCCTGTAATCTCCGCTACTCAAGAGGCTGAGGCAGGAGAATCGCTTGAACCCAGAAGGCGGAGGGTGCCGTGAGCCGAGATTGCGCCAGTACACTCCAGCCTGGGAGAGACAGCGAGACTCCATCTCAAAAATAAATAAAGTATTTGGGAAAATCCTACTTGTTGAAATTTACTCCACAAGGAATAGTGCTTAAAACTAAAACAGTATATCAAACGTATATACGGAATGTAATTAAGTTAAGCAGCAGTAGCAGTGGTAATAGCTAATATTCACACTGCAATGTTCCTAGGGCTCACAACCTTGTTCCAACACTTTACAGTATAAATTCATGCATTCTGGCACGTTGGCTTATGCCTGTAATCCCAGCACTTTGGGAGGCCAAGGCAGACAGATCACTTGAGGTCAGGAGTTTTAAGACTAGCCTGTTCACCAACACAGTGAAACCCTGCCTCTACTAATAATACAAAAATTAGCCAGGTGTGGTGGTGCACGCTTGTAATTCCAGCTACTTGGGAAGCAGAGGTGGGAAGATCGCTTAAACCCAGGAGGTAGAGGTTGCAGTGAGCCAAGATCGTGCCACTGCACTCCAGCCTGGGCGACACAGAGCCAGACTCCATCTCAAAGAATAATAATAATATAAATACTTATATGGACTAAACGTGTGTGTCCCCATTCATGTGTTGAAATCTCGCTCAATAAATAAATAAATAAATTCAGCAAGTATTCACTGACCATCTCCCATGAACTAGGCATCATTCCAGGCTCTAAGAACTGCAGCAGAAAAAACATAATCCCATCCTTCATGGATATTATATTCTTAGAAGAGACAATAAACATCAGGTATGATCATTACTATTAAGAAAAACCAGGGAAAGTGAAGGAAGAAGATACTATTTTAGGTAGTAAAATGAGGTTCACACCAAAGAGCACCATTCACATTGAAGTCTATGTAAATGATGTCCCTTAAAAACTCCCTCAGGGAAAACCTTTCTAGCTGAGGTAACATTTGAACCACAGAAGTGAGGGAACAGGCCATGAAAATATTTGAGAAGAGTATTCCAGGAAAATAAAACAAGTATAAATGCCATTTTACTCAAGGATATTTTAAGGGAGACTTACTGTTCAATTATAATTACTAGGCTATTAATCAAAGTCTTCTCTCACTCAGAAAAAGCATTCTTAGTTTACAATGTGCTAGTTAATAGAATAAGAAAATATATAAGTTGAACCTGAAGACAAGTTTTTACATTGATGATTTTAATTACTCAATATTATTTTAGAAAAGCAAACACTGTGAACAGCTCTACAACCAAAAGCAGCCACTGACATCAATAAACTCAAACTGACACTTCATTGCTCTAAGTATTTTACTGGAATTGGAGCTCTAAATTTCTTTAATGAAAGTAGATGCTTTTTATCATGTAACATACCAAGGAATAAAACTTTGTCTTTAGACAGCTTTTTTTTAACCGTCTCCCTTGCAGTATGAAAACCCTTCTCCTACACTTAAAAGTAAAACAGAATTTGGGTATTTCTCATTATTTAATGTTATCTCCCTAATCAAAAGCCTTCTTTCTTCTTTATTGACTAGTCCTTTTTATTGTCCTTAAGCATTTTTACAAGCCTTACCTCATTCCAGCTCTATCTAGCCTACCTACATTCCTAATTATCTTCTTTTTTTCCTCCCCATTTCCTCTTCATACATTACATAGATTGTGAATGCTCTATTAAGTGAATGAAAGAATGTTTCCTAGCCCTAAACACTACTGTTCACATCACTTTAAATCCTATCAATAAGTCAAATGATTTTTTAAATTAATCTTATATACCATTAGTTAAATGGGTATTCTTTTTTTTTTTTTTTTTTTTGAGAGAGAGTCTCGCTCTGTTGCCCAGACTGGAGTGCAGTGGCATGACATTGGTTCACTGCAACCTCCACCTACTGGGTTCAAGTGATTCTCCTGCCTCAGCCTCCAAGTAGCTGGGATTACATGCACCTGCCACCACGCCCGGCTAATTTTTGTATTTTTAGTAGAGACACAGGGTTTCGCCATGTTGGTCAGGCTGGTCTTGAACTCCTGACCTCAGGGGATCTGCCCACCTCAGCCTCCCAAAGTGCTGGGATTACAGGTGTGAGCCGCTACACCTGGCTAATGGGTATCCTTGATATGTTTTTCTTTTGAAAAAATTTACTTATGAGGAAGTCATATTAATTTCTTTAGATTACTCACGTTTTTCTTCCCCAATGGAATTTTTTTTGTAATTTAAATAACAGGTTTCATTTTTAAGAGCCTATCAGTATTGATTGCTTAAACTATCTGTGGTCATTACCAGTTTCTTTTCTGAACTTTCTGAAACCTGCTTTTCTGGGAATTGCTACCTAAGGTAAACTCCAAGACAGCATAGAATGATCACTGTCTTTTGATTCCCATCATTTCAATTTCTAGCTGGGAGGCATGGAAAAGCATGGGCTTTGGAGTCAGATATTTGTCAGTTACTAGCTGTGTGACAAACTTCTCTGAGCCTCTGTTTCCACATCAATAACAAAGAGCACTTACTGAGCATCTATTTTATATCAAGTACATTATATACTCTCTATATAAGTAGAAAGTACCATATCTATTTATAATAAGGAAAACAAAGCTTAGAAATAAGTAACTTGCTTAAAATTATAGAGCTCATATGATCGCACCACTGCATTCCAGCCTGCGTGACAGAGCAAGACCCTGTCTCAAAAAAAAAAAAAAAAAAAGTTACAGTGCTCTCAGTGCTAGAGCCAGGATTTAAATCAAAGTCTATCTGATTCCAAGTCCATGTTCTTTTTACCACACCACAAAAAAGTGACTATAAACACAGTCCATTTGCCCAAAACAGATGTTCGATAATGGTTAATTCTATATCTAAGTGTTCTTCCTTGTTGGTAAGAATCAATTTCATATCAGCAATTCTCTTCAACTTTTAGGAGATTAAACTACCAGCAAAAACAAGAATTTATCAGAAGCTCTGATCTTTATTATTAGTGAATTATTTAATTAATCAAAACCAAAAACTGTATCAAACTATGCCAAACATATTCTTCAGATATTTTTGTGTTACAAAAAAAAAAAAACAGCCTTATGCACAACGATATCCTAAGTCAGCACACTGTGTGATTATTCATCCCCAGAGTTCTTAAAACACATAGCTTGTAGAGATAAAGCTCTTAAAAGAAAGTGTCATTCTTGAGAGGCATTCAGATCAAGACAACAGAAACACACAGTAGTTTTCCAGAATCCAAATAACCACCACAGACAAGAACTCTGAGGTTGTCAGTATCATCATGGAACTATAGATATCAAGTTTCTCTTATCTTCTCTTTCTCTTCTCCCCATTTCCTCTTCATACATTACATAGATTGTGAATGGTCCATTAAGTGAATGAAAGAACATTTCCTAGCCCTAAACACTACTGTTCACATCACTTTAATCCTATCAACAAATTAAACTGATGTTAAATGAACAGAAATTAAGAGCTAGAATACCATTAAACTTTCTTTCTCAGTTTTTTTTTTTTTTTTTTTTGAGATGGCGTCTCGCTCAGTTGCCCAGGCTGGAGTGAACAGGCGCAATCTCAGCTCACTGCAACCTCCGCCCCTCTGGGTTCAAGCGATTCTCCTGCCACAGCCTCCAGAGTAGCTGGAATTACAGGCACCCACCACCATACCTGGCTAATGTTTGTATTTTTAGTAGAGAGGGGGTTTGTCCATGTTGGCCAGGCTGGTCTTGAACTCCCAACCTCAGGCGATGCACCCACTTCAGCCTCCCAAAGAGCTACTATTACAGGCGTGAGCCACTGCGCCCCGGCCTCTCCGTTTCTTAAAAGTTTAAAAAGGTTTATAGATTAAAGTCTATAGGTTGGTTTTATTACTAAGAACTTCTAAAATGCACCAGCTGATTTAAAAAAAAAAGAAAAGAAAACTGTAATAGGCTGAAGGTGGGAATGACTTAAAACAGGTAAAAGAGATCATTTTGGTGTGACAGAAATGTTCTAAAACGGGATTGAGGTAATAGTTGCATGGCACTGTAATTTTACTAAAAAGCACTGAATTGTGCACTTAAAAAGAATTAATATGACTAACAAATTCCCCCAAAAAACCTATTAATATAATAAATATTGTGACCCCCCCCCCCCATATTACTCCCTTGAAATTAACACCAGCATTTAGGTCTATTATCAAGCAAATCTCCATGTTTTACTTGAATTAAACTCCAAAGCATAATTTTAGTACATGGGAGCCTCCAGATACTGAATTGCATTGTTGTCCTCTTTAATAAACCAGTACTGTCCTTGAACATACAACATGCAATTTTTTTTTTTTTGGGGGGGGGCAGAGTCTCGCTCTGTCACCCAGGCTGGAGTGCAATGGCATGATCTCGGTTCACTGCAACTTCCGCCTCCTGGGTTCAAGCGATTCTCCTGCCTCAGCCTCACCGAGTAGCTGGGACTACAGGCACACTCCAGCATGCCTGGCTAATTTTTTGTTTTAGTAGAGATGGGGTTTCGCCATGTTGACTGGGCTGGTCTCGAACTCCTGACCTCAGATGATCCGCCCACCTCGGCCTCTCAAAGTGCTGGGTTTACAGGCATGATGAGCCACTGCACCTGGCCTAGCATGCAAATTTTTACCAGAAACATTAACCAGTAAGAGCTGCCTTACTGAAATTACACACAAAAACAAAATCTATTAAGGCAACAAAGAGTTTGGATGGATAACAACACCTTGATGAACAGACTTATATGAAAGTTATCAGAATCAAACTGGAGTAGTAGTAGTGTTTGTTCTGTTTTTTTTTAAACAAAACAAAACAAAAAAAAAACACCCTGACAAACAGCCAGGGAAGGCTATGAAGGAAGGGCTGTCATGCGGGTATGCATGATAAAAACTATCACAAAAGACTCTGCAAAAACTACAACCTTATACAAAACGTGAAACAAAAACAAGCCAGGTGCATGGTACATACACACCTATAATCCCAGCTACCCAAGAAGCAGGAAGATTGCTTGAACCCAGGAGTTTACATCTAGCCTGGGCAACACAGTAACACTGTTTTTTTGGGGGGGTGGTGGGGGTTGTTTTTTTTAAAAAAAAAAAAACTTCTGTGAGGACATCTGCCAGCAACTGCCGGTCCAACCTCAGAATGGAGGCACTTTATTGACCCTTGTAGCCAAGAATAATTATCTCAAAATAATTATGAAATCCTCCTCATTTTTCCTTTAAAAACTTTGGTCTTCTTTTACCTCCCTGTATATGCACATGGTTTACTGTAACAACAGAATTCCCACTGCAAAGCCCTATTCCCAAATAAACATTATTTTCTTTTAGAAAGCCTGTTATTTAGGTAGACAAGATCAAAGTATTCAAACCACAGCTATTTCCACTTCTGATTGTTCTGATGAATATGAGACTTGAAAGAAAATTCAAATGTCACTGTAAAATGTGATACCAAAAAAATTCATTAGAATATAATCTATGGCACTGAAACAAGGAAGGACATACATGCACACAAACAGTACTGAAGATACATATGAAGATAGCACCTCAAACTCCAAAACTCCACAGTTTGAGTGCTTAGGTTCAAATCCCAAACCCTCCATTTAGCACCTGTGTGACACCGAGCAAGATATGAAACCCCTCTGCTTTGATTTGCTTATTTATAGAATGAGGGTTACAGTAACCCTCTGTATAAGGTTGTAGGGAGTACTAATGATAATGAATAGAGTATCTAGCATGTATCTGGCCCACAGCAAATATCCAATAAATTTTAGTTATTAGTATTACTTCTATAAGAGTTTTTAAAATCACCTAAAGCAGCTCTTTTCAATCTTCAATATACATACAAACCACCTATGAATCTAGTTACAGTAGTTCCCTCCCCACATCCACAAGCGATACATTCCAAGATCCCCAGTAGATACCTGAATATGAGGATAGTACCAAACCAGATATATACTATGTTTTTTCAATCTGATAACTGAGATGGCTATTAAGTGATTAACCAGTGGGAAGCATACAAAGTATGGACACACTGGACAAAGGGATGATTCACATAACAGGCACGACCAGAGGGACAATAAGAGATTTCATCAGGATACTCAAAAGGGCACACAATTTAAAACATGAATTGTTTATTTCTTGAATTTCCCATTTAGTATGTTCAGCCGAAGGAAAGCGAAACTGAAGAGTGCAGTAGAGACTACTGTAAAATGAGATTCTGATATTCAGAATCTGTTATATGAGAGCTCCGAGTGCAGTGTGAAATTTGAATTTCTAGTAAATTCCCTGATAGGTGCCAGGGAACTATAAAGTTACAAGGATGGTTGTCAAACTTTAGCACACACCAGAATCCTCTAGTGGTTTAGTTTAAAACACATATTTCTGGGTTCCATCTCCAGAGTTGGAGAAAATCTGCATTTGTAAAATTCCCAAGTGATGCTCTGCTGCTATGCCCAGAACCATATACTGTATTGAGAACTATTGATCAAAGGTTCTCTCATCTAGGATATGTAACAGAATCACTTGTAGGGTTTTTGTCTGTTCATTTTGTTTTTTAATGCAGAAGTCCTGACTATACCCAAGTAGTGCTACTCAAAGTGTGGTCTCCTGACGTACTAAATCTGAAACTCTAAGGGCAGAGCCCAGAAATCTATTATTTAAAACAAACAACTTTCAGGCGATTATGATGAATGATAAATACTGAGAACCACTGCCATATAGCTACAAATAAATCAAAATATCCTTGGTGAAATTCTCTTAACTACAGAAAGAGAAGTAGCTACCCATGTGCTTGGCTTAGGTCAAAGTGGAAAATGCTCTGACTAGTTCACTAGGTAGAACAGCATTTATTCAAATTTAGAAGTAACTCTATAACCATTACAAAAGTTAGTTCATCTCTCCCCCATTCTTCAGGAGATAATGTTCCCCTATTGCATGATGTTTCCCCAAAGTCAGACATTTAAACTCTCCAGATTAAAAAACAAGTGATTTTTTTTTAGAAAGTAGGCTAAAACTTTACAATCATTTAATTTCCACAAAAGCTCAGCAAATAAAAGATGACTGAAGTACAGGACTGCTAAGTATACACGTCACTCTTAATCATGACCAAAATACCTAATTTCAACAACTATTGGCCATTTATAATATTCTGGCCCTAACACTTACTGACTGAAATAACTAAAATTCACTTAAAAAGGAAATTAAGCATATCATCCAGGCATATCATAACCATAGGACTTATATGAAAGAAAAATTATGTGCAGGAATACAGTCATAAATCTTTCACTATGACTTTCCTTAAAATTAAGAAAGTGAAATGAGAAGAAAATACAAAAGGAGAACTCCTGAGAAGAAAGTTGCACTTTACGGCCAGGCAGGGTGGCTCACGCCTGTGATCCCTGCACTTTGGGAGGCTGAGGAGGGCAGATCACCTGAGGTCAGGGGTTCGAAACCAGCCTGGACAACGTGGAGAAACCCCGCCTCTACTAAAAATACAAAAATTAGCCAGGCATGGTGGCAGGCGGCTGTAATTCCAGCTACTCGGGAGTCTGAGGCACGAAAATTGCTTGAACTCAGGAGCTGGAGGTCGCAGTGAGCTGAGATCGCGCCACTGCACTCCATCCTGGGTGACAGAGTGAGACTGTGTCACACACACACAAATAAAAGTTGCACTTTACACTTGAAGCTAGCTTGAAAGGGGTTAATAAGCAGGTAAGTCTCTTAGCTGATTCCCAATTTTTTACCAGCCTATTTGATTTTATAATCTACACACCACAATGTTGTACTGTTCATAAATATAAAAGTTGTACTGTTCATAAATGTTAAGTATTTTGAAAGTAAAGTGGCTTAAACTTAAATTGGAATCTTTTTCTTGGTGGGGAGGCTCACAACATGCTTTGAAATAACTGAAGATACTACATGGTATCATAAAAATTAGAATGGGAATCACTGCTTGAGGAATTCAAAGAATGAAAAGCAAGCTACCAAGTCATAAAAGTCCAAAAAGCCATTAGCTGGCCAGGAATCCTGTACCATAGTTTTTAAAACAAAATTTTTAAGTAGGAAAAAAAAAAAAAAGCAGCTGAGGTACTGCATAAGCCATCAGTGACATAAATTTTAAAATCTACTATTTACCCAAATAGCAATAAAACACAAAAAAGGTCATTAAAACACAAAAAAAGGTCTACCACAGAGTTTAAAACAAAGAAGGCTTTTATTTGATGTCCCCTCCTAGGAGTTCTTGAAAACCATGAATGCCATGAGAAAAATGTCTAAGTGTTGAGATCTCAAGGTACAAATCAGGTTGAGTTATAGGATTTCTCAGGTTACTCGTATCAGAACAGGATGAAGACACAATAAAACAGCTGAATCTCACAAACATAACATTGAGCAAAAAAGGCCAAACACAAAAACAATACATACTGTATAAATCCTAGGCTCAAAAGCAAATAAAATAATTCTGTGGTACTAGACATCAAAAGAGTGATTTCTCTTGGTGAGGGGTGGCACCTAGGGACCATTAATGACCGGAATAAACACACAAGTTTCTGGAGTTCTGACAGTGTTCTTCTTAGTGACGATTACACCAGTGTGCTCACACTGTGAAAATTCACTGAGGTGTACATTTATGAGAACTTTCTGTGTGTATTATACTTTAATTGTATTTATCTTTATTTAAAAAGAAGGAAAAAGAGGAGATTTCTCCTTAGGAAAAGACACATTGGCCGGGTGCAGTGGCTCACACCTGTAATGTCAGCGCTTTCGGAGGCCGAGGTGGGCAGATCACTTGAGGTCAGGAGTTCAAAACCAGTCTCCCCAACATGGCAAAACCCCGTCTCTACTAAAAATACAAAAATGAGCTGCACATAGTGGCGTGTGCCTGTAGTCCCAGCTACTCAGGAGGCTAAGTCAGGAGAATTGCTTGAACCCAGGAGGCAGAGGTTGCAGTGAGCCGAGATCACACCACTGCACTCCAGCCTGGGCAACAGAGTAAGACTCGGTCTCAAAAAAAAAAAAAAAAAGAAACATTACTGCAAAAACACCATAAAAATCTACATATAGTGAAGACAGTTCAGGTAAGAATCATAGGTTTGGGGTGGAGAGTGGAGAGTTAATATAGAGAAGTATTACATCCCCAATAATCTATGGAAATAAAAAAATGTAAATAAAAAAAGAGAGAAGTATTACAAAGTTCTTCAAGGGCTATTAGTGGATAAATCTCACACACACCCCTTTGCCAGGAGAAATAATCTTGGTAGTTCCCTCTATAATACAGCCAAGCCACCTAAAAGCATTATTTCATTTTATTTATGAAACACATCAATCTGCTTTCCAACGGGAAAGTGTGTAACAACGGCAGGATCTATTTTCCTTTAACTTCTGACCAATTAAAAAAAAAACTTTAAAAACTAGTAAGGAGGGTAAATAGTGCCAGAATATAATTAGCAACGCTATTTCCTGGACAATTTCAGTGACATTTTGAAAAAGCAACTCATCTCTCATGTGGCAGCCGAATTCCAGTAGGAAAAAAAGGTGTTAAGTTATGTTCCAATCCCTTTAAATCTCACCATAACCCAAGACAGAAGGAAATTACATCACATCGAATTGTTCATCTTCAGTTCTCTGTAGGTGTTCTTCAAGCACAGGACACACTTTTTTTTTTTTCAAATATTTATTATTTTTTCACACTCAAAGTTACTTAAATCTGGCTTTTCTTACTAGCATTATTGTAACCAGAAAAATCTGTAAACAGAAAACATTAAAGCCATTTAATAAAATTAACAGCTTTGTAGCCATCACAATTTCAAAATGTAAACAAACATAAATACCTTTTTTCAATTATTTTGAGATCACAAATTATTTCATAACAGAAAAAAAGGCATCATAGTAAACAGTAAGCACTCTCAGTATTAAAAATGCTCTTTGACATAGATACCTTCCTAAAGCTTACCTGAATGTCTATGCTATTAAATTTCAGTAAATGTATCATATTGCTATCTCAACATTTGAAGAAGGTATTGTGATTCTGTAACCTGAGTCCTACAGCTGTTAAATGAAACTTTTTCACTAAATATCTTAGAGGTATATGATATCAAGTTGTATACTGCTGTTTAACACTTTAAGCATACATCCTAAACTGTTAATCTTAGGAGTTAATTTCTCTAATTCCCCAAAATCTGCCAAAGTAGTTTTACTCCTTACAGTCTCTAGTACTGTACTTGTTGGTTGGGGGTTTTTTGACAAGGGTCTCACTGTGTCACCCAGGCTGGAGTGTAGGGGCGCAATCTGGGCTCATTGTAGCCTCAATCTTTTGGGGTCAAGTGATCCTTCCACCTCATCCTCCACAGTAGCTGAAAGTACAGGCGCACGCCACCACACCAGGCTAATTTTGTGTATTTTTTGTAGAGACGAGGTCACACTATGTTGCCCAGACTGGTGTCCAAATCCTGGGCTGAAGCGATCCTTCCACCTCAGCTTCCCAAAGTGTTGGGATTACAGGCATGAGCCACTGTGGCCAGCATAGTACTTTTAAGTAGTTTCACATTTTATCTCTGTTCAAAAAGGGGGAAATTTTCATTTAATGCAACCAAATTATGTGGTATGGAAAAATCTTATTTCAAATTCTGGCTGACAAGAAAAGGAATTATAAAACATTGTTTTGTTAAAAAATAAACTTTATTATCCTCAACTTACAGTAATCTTAAAAATAAATAAGGAAACAAACACCACAATAAGAAAGCCAAGGCAAAAGATATTAAACATATCACAGAATCATCTAAAAACAATATGAATGTTCTTAAGGCTTGGGGTAAAAATAAACAATTTAAAATAAAAATGATTAAAATGTAAAAATGAAGCATAACAAAAAAATGAGAAAAATTAAAAAATTAAATAAAGCATTATTTAACAGAGTTGAGAAAATTACCAATTTGGAGGAAAACATTTAGATTCTCATTTCACACCAATGCCAGATGAGGTAAAAACTTAAATTTATTTAAATCTAACTTAGAAAAACTAAACAAACAGAATTAAACCAATATTGTTTATTACAGTTCTGAAAAGGGAGGAATTTCATAAAATCAGCAGAACAAAATTATATCAAGATGTTTGGGCCAGGCACCGTGGCTCACCCCTGTAATCCAGCACTTTGGGAGGCCGAGGTAAGTGGATCACCTCAGGTCAGGAGTTCCAGACCAGCCTGACTAACATGGTGAAACCCCATCTCTACAAAAATACAAAAATTAGCCGGGCGTGGTGGTGTGCATCTGTAGTCCCAGCTACTCAGGAGGCTGAGGCAGGAGAATTGCTTGAACCCGGGGGGTAGAGGCTGCAGTGAGCCGAGATGGTGCCACTGCACTCCAGCCTGTGCAATAGAGCAAGATTCTGTCTCAAAACAAACAAACAAAAAGATGTTTGACTGCAATAATGTTAAAATCTATTTATCTTCAAAGTTCACAAGATAAATACATCTATAAACATGCTTCACCTCAGTAATTAAATAAATAAAGCACAATATGTCATACACCCCCATTAAACCTTTATAAAAAATGTTAAATGTTGATGAGTATAGGGTAACAACCACTCGAAAGAGAATACAAATTTATCCCTTTTGATTAATATTGTTCAGTATGTTTTAAGAGCCTTCAAAATGTACCTAAAAAATCAATTCTGGCAATATACAAGAGAGAGATAATACTATATACAAGAAACATGTATAAATATGTTCTTCACATAGGGGAATAACATATGTTCACTGCACAGAACATTTTACAATCATTTATAATGATAGTTATTAAGATGCATTGTGAGAATGGGAAAGTGGTACCTAACAGTAGGTTAAAAAGCAGGACATGAAATTAAATGTTTTTACCCACAAATACATAAAAAATATACATTAAAATAATGGAAGAAATATATCAAAATGCTAATAATTGTTATATTAATTCCCAAAATCTAATTCCTCAAACCAGCTTTCAAAATCATTAAAATACATACACACCCCTTATACACAAGTCAAAGACTATCTACTTTACCACTAATGGAAGCATAAGGTTTAAATTAACATAGTAAATGAGACAGAGGAGGCCAGCAATGCAATGAAAAAAACTCACTACAAAAACCTGGCACCTTAGGACACTTGGGCTAATAGACTCAATACCAGGATTCAAAACTATACAACTGAATCATATGCATAGGTCATTTACTAATTCTAATTATCTGCTTTACTATCTTCTCCATTAGCAAATGTGCTAATCTTTAGGCAATTGGTTGTTCATTACTGATATCAAATATTAAATGTAATAGAGCCTTGTTTGGGAGTAATTCCTTGAAATATTAAGTAGAAAGATAAATAGGTTAAAATAATAAAACAAAGGAAGTTCCATACACAGTAGCACCATTTTTATTTGGTGTCATCTGATAAGGAGAGATCTACACGTAAATTTTCCAGAAAATTGAAACTTAACATTTAATTAACAGAGTTTTGAAAATGGTTACTTTTATAGCAATCTCAAAAGACACCAATTTCTTACTTCCTTAAACATAGTACACAGAATAAAAGTTCATTATTAAAGTTATCATTGTGATGCATCAACTTACTAGGCTGCTCTACGATACTGTCATTCCTTCAGAAGTTAATGATTATAGGAGTGTATGTATTTATGTAATGGCCTTAAAACACTATTCTACTATAGTTCCACCTACTTTTTAATAGTTCTTCCTTTTCCCCTGTAGATGACATTTCAGCTGCCAATGTCCCTAACTCCAATGGCCAACACTGAAGATTTTTATCTGTGGACTAATTCCAATTAGTAGTTTCCTAATAAAGGCTAATGGCTTATTATACTTGGTTGCAGTCATTTTGAAGGCTTAGAGATTTTTTTATGTCCAGGATTGCTGTTATGTTTCAAATGGCTGAGGTCATTAGCAATAAATGTCAGCTGAATTACTGCCTCTAACTTACAAATATACTGAAGTTCCAAAACAACAGTAATAATAATATCTGAATAGTTTGATTAATCACAAAGTGATATTCTCCTCAAGGCAAGTTAGTCAACTCACTCCTCTCTAATAAGACAAAAATTACCTACATAAATGAGAAAAATCAGCTGAAAAGAAAAACAGAAAGGTGAGAACGAAAGGGTCAAACAAAATAATCAAGACTTTGGACTTTGGGAAATATTTACTGAGAGTGGTTTTCAGAGTACAATTATAGTGGTTATCAGAGCATTAACTACAGAAATTTGCACCAGAGTATATACCAAATCTCTAGTAAATACTACTATAAAAATGAAACTCTTCTAGCAACTATTTCTTGTAGGTGACTCCAAACTGAATTTTCATATGAAATTTAGGTGTTTTTATTTTATTTTTGACACAGGGTCTCACTCACTCTGTTGCCCAGGCTGGAGTGCAATGGTGCAATCACAGCTCACTGCAGTCTCAACCTTCTGGGTTCAAGCAATCCTCCCTTCTCAGCCTCCCAAGTAGCTGGTACTACAGGCGTGCACTACCAGGCTAATTTTTTTTCTTTTTTGGTAGAAACGTGGTCTGACTATGTTGTTGCTGGTCTCAAGCAATCCTCCCACCTCGGCCTCCCAAAGTGCTTGTATTACAGGCGTGAGCCACCAGGCCCAGCTTAAGGTAACTTAAAGTTACAGGTCTGTGGAAATTGGCATGGTGTCAGACCTTAAGGAAAAAACTCAAGTGAGAATAAATCAGTATTATTATATTATCACTGTTAATAGTTTCCTCTGATCACTGAAGTTCATTAGCTCTCATCATTTATATGACCGTAATAATTGAGAAAAGTGAAAATTAAATTTCTTGGTTATTTAAATTTTACTCAACCAAACACAAACCATGTAAAAATACATTTTTCCTCTTCCTTGGATTTTTCTCAGTATATTTCTACCAAGTACCTCAAATAATTTCGTGTCTGTAAAAGACTGGTATTTCCCAAGACCCAATACTGAAAAGTTTATAAAACAAAAGTTCTAAGAACAAGGAACATATATTATTTCATAGATCAGATGCACGTGGACTATTAAAGGCCCAGTTACCAAGCTAAACTTATGTAGATACCTTTGCAAAGGCCATTGTAGAACTGTGACCTTCAAACTCATTGTCATTTTCACAATTTCCCACTTCTAAAAATAATAATAAAACGTACTTAACAAATGTTATTTAACAGAATAGCTTTATCTAAAGTAAAGAATTCACAAGGTTTCAATTAAGTATAACCTTAAGCTGCTGACTTTTATGACAGGAAATATCTAGCAATTCTGTGAATAGACCCAGAACTATCTAAAAAAGAATAGGAGGAGAAAGTTGCCTCAAATACCGACTCGGGCTGTCCTCCAACTATTATGAGCCTGACTATTCTTGCACCATGGCTCTTGCCTCACTGTCAACCTTCTACATTCCTCTTTTCTCCCCAACTT
The DNA here is from genome assembly GCF_000001405.40 of Homo sapiens. Taxonomy (NCBI): domain Eukaryota; kingdom Metazoa; phylum Chordata; class Mammalia; order Primates; family Hominidae; genus Homo; species Homo sapiens. Next base: position 77,680,390 of record NC_000001.11, read on the forward strand.
GTCCAATTCCATTTCAGTATCAACCTCTACACTCCCAATGTCCCCTTTTCCTCTTTCCAACATCATACCTCTCAACACTCACTTCTATTCCTCAACATTTCTACTTGCACTGTTACAACAAAAAACCACATTGCCCAAAGAGTGGACAATTCTCTTATGTGACTGGTCTGATAAATATTATTACTGGTAGGTTTGGCGGGGGGAAATTACAAAAACAACACTTACAAAATGATAGCCGCTTAGCAACTTCAAGTATATATACCTTTGTTTGTACTAACTACTAATGTCTACCACTCTCCAATTGAGATCACTAAGTTGCATGGTCAAACTATCATTTTAATCACAGTGATAAACTTTTAAAACGTCTGAAAAACTCCTATATAGTTAGGTTACAGTTTAGAATATATAATATATAAAGTTAAATACATAACACACATTAAAGATAAAAATATAAAACTCAAGTGATAAAACATTAATTTATTTAAATCTTGTTTTACATGTACTTTCTTTCTGTGCAAAGCTACCAAGCACAATAAATCAACTTTACTGCAAAAATAAGTTACTTGTGATATTTTCACAAGATTATACTACCAAAAAAATCAGTACAAACAAAAAAAATCTGCGTAAGTATGCATACGTAAGTCTTGACAAACAGGCATATATCACTAAATAAAAATTTAATTTAGTTAAAAAATGTTTACTGATTGCCAATATTGTGTTGGTACCCCATTAAAACAACACTTTCTCCCCTTCATTTAAGAAACAAAAACTAAACCAAAATATGGAAATATCTGGAATGATACACAGCAACCACAAAGGCTGGTTACAGAGATTTAAGACTGAGGAATGGAACTTTGTGGTACCGTGAAACAAGCACTGTGTTACTCTATACTATATACCTCTCTGTATTATGTATAGGAAAAAAAAACACTTTTGTAGTTTTAAAAAACAAACTATGAATAAATTAACTAGTCACCTGATTCGTTTTGTAATTAACTCCCCACTCCTTATTTAGTACTGCAACTACTAAATAAAATCCAAATACTACTTAAGAATACGAAAAAACAAAGGTATACTGTAAATTCACTTCTGAGACATTAGGGAATTGGAGAGAAATATTAAATTGATTTCAAACTCATTTAAGAAAAATAAAGCTCAAACTCTGATGCCAAAATTTATGAGTTTGCTCTTTACTAAAAAGTTGACCTGAGGCCGGGCGCGGTGGCTCACGCCTGTACAGTGCTGAAATCCCAGCACTTTGAGAGGCCAAGGCAGGTGGATCACTTGAGGTCAGGAGTTTGAGACCAGCCTGGCCAACATGGTGAAACCCCGTCTCTACTAAAAACACAAAAATTAGCCGGGCGTGGTGAAGCGCGACTGTAATCCCAGCTACTCGATACTCGAGAGGCTGAGGCAGGAGAATCGCTTGAACCCGGGAGGCGGAGGTTGCAATGAGCCGAGATCGCCCCACTACACTCCAGCCTAGGCGACAAGAGCGAGACTCCGTCTCAAAAAAAAAAAAAAAAAAATCACATGAAACAGTCTGTTACCTTAAATATATAACCTAAAACAACCATCCCTAAACTTCAAAGATGGCAACCTCAGTAACACAGTAGTAATTAAAACCCTACCGATAACTGAGTTAATAGGCACGTACAAAATGATGAAAAGCAGGATTTTATTCTGACCACAGGTGTTGTCAGAGACATAATGGGCCCTCCAAATACTGCCAAAAGTTACTGAAAATACGAAGTCAGGGTGATGAGTAAATGACACCCAGAGAAAATAGATGGGAGGAGTTCTGTTTCAGGAGACTGGAGTCAGGTACTGCAGCAGAAAACGCGACACAATAGTTAACCGGTCTGGAATACTTTAGAAAATGGCAAGAAGGGAAAAACTGACAAGAACATCTTAAAGTAAGAGGAACGGTATCCAATGGAATCATCAGGTCTGCGCGAGCACGGCTCCCGGACTTCCAGTGAGTGGGACAGGGTGGAACTATCACTGCGTGGGGAGAAGGACCTGGCTGAGGGGTGCATATGCTTTTGCAGGTGGTGGAGCGCCCGCAGGGGGATGGGGAGGGCAGTGTTGCCTCAATGGGGTTACTGTATTCCCTTCAAGACTATGGGAAGCTGATGCAGCACGTATCCCGGCACCAAGAGGCACTCGCCCCGGGCCCCTCCCTAACGACTTGCCTTGTAGAAAGAGTTGCAGGTCCCAGGCCCCCGGAACCCAAGGCTCCGCCATCCAGGACAACTGCTCTGCCAACGAGGTCCCGCGAGAATCGAGAGATCTCGCGATACAAACCCACTCGCATCTCGCGAGCTTCCACTAGACCCAACATGGCGGTACAGAAAAAAATCAGTATTTCGGAACTTAAAAAGCACTTCACTAACGGAGTAGTGAACATTTAAAACACTGAGACAGTAGGAAGTCTTTCCGCTTTATACGTCTCCTCCTTTCCCCTTGTACAGAAAAGCAGAAATCTTAAAAACCTCCGATTACCACGATTATACTACATAAACAGAGCGCAGTGCGCTGCCCCAGGCAGCCTCCCTGTCACGTGGAAACATTTTCGGCGTGCCCGTCACGTGGGCCGCTACTGAGCGAGCGCGCTCCCGACGCCCTCCCAAAAGCCCTCCCCGCCCCCCCTTTCGCCCGCGCACACGTGCGCGCGCACCCCCGCCCCACGTGGGGGCTTCGCCGTCGCAGCCGTCGCAGCCGTCGCAGTCGTCGCCTCCAGCCCACCCCCTCCCGGTACTTGGCTCCAAATCCGGGTCCCAAGCCGATCGTTTCCCACCCCCATTCCCTCCCCCTTCATTCTCCCTCCCCCGTGTCTGGCCCTCACCACGTGTCCCGAGCTCTTGCTCACCTTTCACGCGGGGTCGGACGCAACGGGCCACTTGGGGAGGCGCCGCCGCCGTGGCCGCTCTCCGCCCCCGCCACGGCACTTGCTCGGGTGGCCACCGCTGCAGGAAGCTCGATAGCGGCGCCGCGGCGCTTCCAGGTGGGTCCCCGCCTCCCGCTCCTGCCACTTCCCGCAGCACCAGCGGCTCCTTCCGGTCCCCTCCTTTCTCCTCGTTGGGACTGGCGGGCGGCGGCGGCGGCGGCGACCGCTGCTGCTGCTGTTGCTGCTGCTGCAGGCGCGCTCACTACACCGCCTGCTGGTAACCGCGGCCCGTGCAGCGCCCGCGGGTCGGGCGCCGCCGAGGCCCTCCCCGGCCAGTCCCTGCCCCTGGGCGAAGTTTGGTCTTCCGAGGGCGGGTTGCAGTCCATCCCTTGCAACCGTCCAACCTGGCCCTAGCAGAGGAAAGGCGTCCTCGTAGCTCCGCCATTGGAAATCGGCTTCATCCTGCCCTTTGTGGCCTCCTGAGAGATTTGTAAACCCCACCTCCCTTAGCACTGTGGTCTCAAGCCAGGAGAACATCCATACATGTATTTATGATCGTGCTTCTGCCTCGCCTCGTTCACCTCTGGCTTGTACCACAGCACGCAGGCTCGAACCACTTCGGGCCTTTGTGCTTGCCGATTTCTCTGGCAGAACATTTCCTCCAGATTTTTTTTAACTCCTCGATGTTCGATGCATATTTCAGGTCCCTTCTCAGAGGGCTGCCCAGACCACTGTATCCAAAAAAAGTACACCTGCACCATTGCTTTAACTCTTCACCTGCTTTTATTTCTTCATAACAGTTACAACTTCCAGACCTTATTTGTCAGTATCCTCACCACCAGAAATGTAAAATTTTTAAAAGCAGGGACTTAGTAAACTGTTTTGCTCATTGCTGTATCCCCAGAATTGTGTCTGGCACAAAGCAGTGCTCAGTAATATCAAAACAGATCTACCAACTATATTGAGCATGTAGGAAAATAAAGCCCAACACACATTAATGAAGATAAATAACTTCATCATTTATGAGCTGTGGAAAAACAGCTAAACCTCCTTCCGTGGCTATAAAGATTATGTTCCAAAAATATAAAATCCAGTGGTAGAAGCCGTTAACTGGGGCTCTTCTTTGACAATTGTCCAGTGCTGTTTCATTACTTTTGTTTTCCTTTGCAACACTATTTTTTTTTTCGGGCAAGTGGATACGTGTTGTGCCTTCTTTTATGTTGCTAATAAAAGTTATTAAATGTTTTAAATGGTGTTTTGTATTTTAGCTTTGAGTTCAACTCAAAGTAACATCTACTTCAAGAAAAAGGGTTACATGTTTTTAACACATCAAGTATTTATTGAACATACTAGTGTTTCTGGGTGGCAGTATGTCAAAAAAAAACGGGGGTGGGGGAGGCCGGGCGCGGTGTCTCAAGCCTGTAATCCCACCACTTTGGGAGGCCTTGACAGGCAGATCACCTGAGGTGTCAGGAGTTAAAGACCAGTCTGGCCAACATGGCGAAACTTCGTCTCTACTAAAAATAGAAAAATTAGCCAGGTGTGGTGGCACACGCCTGTTATCCCATGTAATCCCAGCTACTTGGGAGGCTGAGGCAGGAGAATTGCTTGAACCCGGGAGGTGGAGGTTGCAGTGAGCCGAGATCGTGCCACTGCACTCCAGCCTGGGCGACAGAGCAAGACTGTCTCAAAAATAAAAAAGGAAAGATAAAACATACTAGTGCCCTATGCTAAGACTAGAGATACAAAAATAAACACGTTTCCCTACCTTGCTCTTTCTACTTATAGAGCCAAATCCTATTATAATAACCATACTTAGCATGCTTTTGATTCCTATGTGCCAGGCCAAATGCTGTGTACTTTTCTATGTTACCCTATTTTAGGCTTCTGACAATCCTATGAGATATATACTATTTGTGGTAGGCCTTGAGATGCACTTTTCAGACCCCACTTCAGGAATAAAGAACTGAGCTGCTGCTGCCAAGAGTCATACCCACAGCCAGCCATCGGTTGTCAGCCCCTTTCAGGCATGCCAGTGTCACAGAGTCATAATGTTCTCAGAGAGGCCACATCCAGTGACTGATCAATGCAGGGATAAAAGGCTCAGCCCTCTCACCTCCATTTGGTACAATTCTGATGGATTTTCTCCTCCTGCAGAACAACTTGCAGGATCAGCTAAGGCATTCCATTGAGACTTCACTGAAGTCCAACTTCTGCCCAGTTCAGCTTTTCTTCCCTCCCACAAGTAATGATCCCAAGAGCATTCCCTAATAAATCTCCTGCACACTAGTCATGTAAGAGTGTGCTTCCTGGGAACCGAGCCTGTAATATTATTTGTATTTTTCTATTGATAAAGCAAGTAACTTGCCCATTTGAACTGCAGAAGTTTCTATATAGATACATAAAGTACTGTGGGAGGGGAGGAGGGCTTCTGGGAAGGGCTTCTTACAAGGATTGGCATTTAAGTTACAGGATGACTTTGCTAAGAAGAAAAAAATAATTCTTGGATGAGGGAACTGCATGAATGAGTATGTGAATGGGAGAAAACTACAAGTAACCCCAAATGGCTGGACTGTAGGGTCTTTGGGGTAATCCCTACAGGATAAGGAGAAAGCAGTTCATGGATGGTAAAGAGGGTAGCCAAGAAAAAACTCTAGGCCTGAGAATAACTCTTAGCCAAGTGGAAAGGGATGGGAGCCCCTGAGATCCTCAATTAAGAGTAGGAAAGAGAAGCTTCATTGCTCCTGGAAAAGGGAACCACTGCCAACCTTGCTGGCAAATACCACTCCCTAATTACGACATGTATATTCCTACATGGCCTTTGTTATTTTTTTTTTCTTTTGGAGACAGGATCTCGTTCTGTCGCCCAAGCTGGTGTGCACTGGCACAGTCTAGGCTCACTGCAGCCTCCTGTGTCCCTTGTAGCTGAGATACGCACCACTGTGCCCAGTTAATTTTTGTATTTTTTATAGAGATGAGGTTTTGCCATGTTGCCCAGGCTGGTCTCAAAACTCCTGGCCCCAAGCTTCCACCCACCTCAGCCTCCCAAAGTACTGGGATTACAGGCGTGAGCCACCACGCCTGGCCCCCTTTGTTATTTTGACCTAGGATCACGTTATATTGAAGATGGAAGATACATTAACATCAACTAATTCAGCAGTTTGTACAATATTTTCTGAAGCACTGGAAATTTCTTGTATACTCATATTCTTATGCCAGGATCCAATATTTGAGCCAAATAAAACAGGACCTGGGAGGAGGCAACCAGCTGACATTTTCCTCAGTCCCTTACCACGACACATAAGATGCTACCTCAGAACACACTTTGAAAATCATTGATGTAGTTCATTCTTTCAACAAATATGCCAGGTGCCATACAAGGTGCTAGAGATACAGTGGTGAACAAAGCAAGCACAGGCCCTACTCTGACAGAGCTCACAGTCTAGGGAGGGAGGCTGACATTTAAAATATAATCACATAAATTCAAACTGGTTAGTACCATTCATGAAAAGTGCAGGTCACCCGTCTGGGAAGTGAGAAGCGCCTCTGCCCAGCTGCCGCCCTGTCTGTAAAGTGATGAGCCCTCCTGCCTGGCCGCCCAACTGTCTGGGAAGTGAGGAGCGCCACTGCCCGGCCACTGCACCATCTGGGATGTCAGGAGCCCATCTGCCCGGCCCGCACCGTCTGGGAAGTGAGGAGCACCCCTGCCCCGCCGCCTCACCTTCTGGGAAGTGAGGAGCACTTCTGCCCCGCCCCCATCCCGTCTGGGAAGTGAGGAGCACCTCTGCCCCGCTGCTCCACCATCTGGGAAGTGAGAGCACCTCTGCCCCGCTGCTCCACCGTCTGGGAAGTGAGGAGCGCCTCTGCCCTGCCCTCCCCCCTCCACCCCCCCCCCACGCCCCCCGCCACCCCACCGTCTGGGAAGTGAGAAGCACCTCTGCCTGGCTGCTCCACTGTCTGGCAAGTGAGGAGCGCCTCTGCCCAGCTCCCGCCCCGTCTGGAAAGTGAGGAGCGCCTCTGCCTGGCCACCCAACTGTCTGGGAAGTTCGGAGCGCCACTGCCCGGCCACTGACATCTGGGATGTCAGGAGCCCATCTGCCCGGCCTGCACCGTCTGGGAAGTGAGGAGCGCTTCTGCCTGGCCCCCACCCCCTCTAGGAAGTGAGGAGCGCCTCTGCCCAGTCCCCCCATTGTCTGGGAAGTGAGGAGCGCTTCTGCCTGGCCCCCACCCCGTCTAGGAAGTGAGGAGCGCCTCTGCTCGGCCCCCACCCCATCTGGGAAGTGAGGAGCGCCTCTGACCGGCCCCCACCCCGTCTAGGAAGTGAGGAGCACATCTGCCCGGCCCCCACCCCGTCTGCGAAGTGAGGAGGGCCTCTGCCCGGCCACCACACCGTCTGGAATGTGAGGAGCAAGTCGGGGAAGTGAGGAGGGCCTCTGCCCGGCCGCCCCGCCCCCCACCCCTCCTTCCATCTGGGAAGTGAGGAGCGCCTCTGCTGGCCGCTGTGCAACCCTCCAAGTGTGAAGTGACAGCCTTGTGCGTGCTCTTTCTGCCCTCCCCAAGTTTGCATTTTCGACATTAAAGTTTACTTTTTTTTTTGAGACGGATCGCTCTGTCGCCCAGGCTGGAATGCAGTGGCGCGATCTCGGGTCACTGCAAGCTCCGCCCCCCAGGTTCACGCCATTCTCCTGCCTCAGCCTCCCGAGTAGCTGGGACTACAGCCACCCGCCACTACGCCCGGCTAATTTTTTGTATTTTTAGCAGAGGCGGGGTTTCGCCGTGTTAGTCAGGATGGTCTCGATCTCCTGACCTTGTGATCCGCCCACCTCGGCCTCCCAAAGTGCTGAGATTACAGGCGTGAGCCACCGCGCCCGGCCTTAAAGTTTACTTTTTAATTAAAAGTTTTAAATTGGAGAATATACAAAAAAAAAGCGCAGGTCACTATGAGAATATGTCCATATACCCAAAAGTACATACATGTTCTAAAGTACTTCTGAGGAAGCAACATCCAATCTGAGATGAAGTATGCATTCACCACTTCTAAAGTGTGAATGCATTTAGGAGTTGGGCAAAGGTGGGAAAAACACTCCAGAGAAAGAGAACAGTTGATGCAAAGCCCCCTACATGGGATGGAAGTTATTATTTATTTACTACTACTACTTACTATTGCCTGAAAGAAACCACTGTTTTTTTTCCCACGTATATAAAATCTAAGATGAAGTCATATATCCTAATTTCTTTCATTGGATCATAAGCTTTTTTCTATGTCATTAAATATTCTTCAAAAACCCCAAGAACTGGGCCAAGCATGGTGGCTTACACCTGTAATCCCAGCACTTTGGGAGGCCAATGTGGGAGAATCACTTGAAGTCAGGAGTTCAGGCCTAGCTTGGGCAACATAGCAACATCCCATCTCTATAAAAAATATTTTAAAATTAGCCAGGCTTGGTGGTACACACCTGTACTCCCAGCTACTCTGGAGGCTAAGGCAGAAGGATTACCTGAGCCAAGGAGTTTGAGGCTGCAGTGAGCTATGATCATGCCACTGCAGCCCAGCCTGAGCCAACACAGTGGGACCCCATCTCTAAAAAATAAAAATAAACCCTGATAAATGATTGCATAATTTATTTAACCACTTTTCTGTTTGGGGGCACTATCATGGCATTATGATTGGTTTAATAAGTGCCCTCATGTCCAAACGCAGTATATGTCCAGATCTTTTGGGGGCTGAATCTCTTAAGATTTGGGTGGTTGAATTAGTGGGAAGTGAAAGGAGAGTCTAGGCTTGGGTGACCACGGAGATGGAGGTGTTATTGATGACCACAGAAAATACTAAAGTAGGAGCAAGTTTAGATGGGGTAATGATGTGTTTCATTAGAGTATACTGAGTTTCAGGCAACCCCAGTACATCTAAATGAAGAACCCAAGAGTCAGTTAGATACATGTCGAGGATGCTGGCTTCAGGTCTGAGCTGGAAGTACAGGTTTGTGAGTCTTTAGCTTAGAAATAGTTAACTGGAACCTGAGGTTTAGATTTGGTTACCCAGGGAGAGCAGAGTGAGAAAAACAAAATCAAGAACAAAACCCTGAGAAGCACTGACATTGTTGAGGTCAAGGAAGAAAGTAAAAACTACAAAGGAGAAATGAGGGACCAGAACTGTAAAGGAAAACTGAACAGTGGTAACCAAAAACCAGTGAGGAAGAAATTTGAAAATGGAGTCCTAAATGTGAACTTATTAGACAAATTTACCAGGAACCTATTTTGTCTCATACATTATGTTAAACACAAGGGGGTGAACAAGACAAAACCTTTTGGTGCCTACTGTCTGGTGGGGAAGACATTGCTGTACATCACCAAAAAGGCCATATTTTTAATAACTATACCTTGCTTCTTTCTAAAAAGACATGTAGCTTACCCAAAAAAATCAGTATAATAGGTAAAATACAATTCAAAATAATTAAAATGGGAAATTTAGGGCAAAAAGAAAATAGAAACAAAAATGATGCACAAAAATACATGCTTGGTTGGATGCACTGGCTCACACCTCTGTAGTCCCAGCACTTTGGGAGGACAAGCTAGAAGGATTGCTTGAGCACAGGAGTTCAAGGTCAACCTGGGCAACATAGTGAGACCCCATCTCTACAAAAAATAAAAATAAATTAGCCAGGTGTGGTGGTGCATGCCTGTGGTCCCAGCTGAGCCTGAGGTGGAAGGATTGCTTGAGCATGGGAGGTTGAGGCTGCAGTGAGCCATGACCATGCCACTGCACTCCAGCCTAGGCAACACTGCACAACTGTCTCAAAATAAATAATTTAAAAAAACAAAAACAAAAACCATGCTCTAAGGTCCTGAACACTTGCTTTAAGCTTTGTAGCAGATGTTGTAACAAGGAAAAACAAAATCAGTTATAACAGGTTCAGTATGCCTAGGGTAACAAATATTTTGCCCACAGGAGGCATTACTACTCCAGGACTAAGACTAAAGATGAATTTCTCTCAGTTTCTCACAACGACAACATCATGTGAAGAGTATCCTTAACAGCATCTTTCTAGTAAATCCAACAGTTAATTTTATAGGACTCCTTATTACAACATCTCTCAGTCTAGGCTGAAAGCAATTCTGTGGGCTTGGAAGAGGTAAACAGCATATCCTAGGTAGGAAACTCTTATAGTCTGTGTGTGTGTGTATGTGTGTGTGTGTGTATGTGTGTGTTTCAAATTAGCATGACTTCAACCCTAAAAACCAGCATTTCTGCGTAAATTTCCTAACAAGGTTGTTCTCCTATGTTACTGGTTATCATACTCAAGAAACTTAACATTGATATATTACCTAATATCTAATACATATTCTATATTCAAATTTCCTAAACTGTTCCAATATTGTTCCTTAGATATTATCTTTTCCAATCCAGGGCCCAACCTAGGATCACACATTGCATTTAGTAGTCATGTTCTCTTAATCTTCATCTAGCCTTTTTCTGTCTATCATAACACTAATTTTTTAGAATCCAGGCAAGCTGGGTTTATAAAATATGCCTTTAAAAAAATTATCCTGGCTGGGCGCGGTGGCTCACGCCTGTAATCCCAGCACTTCGGGAGGCCGAGGTGGACGGATCACCTGAGGTCAGGAGTTCAAGAGCCGCCTCACCAACATGGCGAAACCCCGTCTCTACTAAAAATACAAAGAAAAAATTAGCTGGGCATGGTGGCAGGTGCCTGTAATCCCAGCTATGGGAGGCTGAGGCAGGAGAATCGCTTGAACCTGGGAGGCGGAGGTTGCAGTCAGCCGAGATCATGCCATTGCACTCCAACCTGGGTGACAAGAGCAAAACTCCATCTAAAAAAAAAAAAAAATCCTGAGGGCTGGGCACAGTGACTCACGCCTGTAAGCCCAGCACTTTGAGAGGCAGAGGCAGGTGGATCACTTGAGGTCAAGAGTTTGAGACCAGCCTGACCAACACGGTCAAACCCAGTCTCTACAAAAATACAAAAATTAGCTAGGTGGGGTGGCGTGCGCCTATAGTCACAGCTACTCAGGAGGCTGAGGCAGAAGAATCACTTGAACTGAGCCAAGATCATACCACTGCACTGCAGCCTGGGCAACAGAGTGAGACTCTGTCTCGAAAAAAAAAAAAATTATCTTGAGTAAACAGACAACCCATAGAGTGGGAGAAAATATTCGCAAACTACGCATCTGACAAAGAACTAATATCCACAATCTACAAGGAACTCAAACAAATCAGCATGAAAAAAAAATAATCCCAGCAATAAGTGGGCAAAGGACATGAAGAGACAATTCTCAAAAGAAGATATACAAACAGCTAACAAACATATGAAAAAATGCTCAACATCACTAATTAGCAGGGAAATGCAAATTAAAACTGCAATAACATACCACCTTACTCCTGCAAGAATGGCCATAATTAAAAAGTCAAAAAACAATAGATGTTGGCATGGATGTGGTGAAAAGGGAACACTTTTACATTGCTGGTGGAAATGTAAACTAGTACAACCACTGTGGAAAACAGTATGGAGATTCCTTAAAGAACTAAAAGTAGAACTACCATTTGATCCAGCAATCCCACTACTGGGTATCTACCCAAAGGAAAAGAGGTCATATGAGAAAGACACATGCACATGCATGTTTACAGCAGCACAATTCGCAGGTGCAAAGATATGGGACCAACCTAAGTACCTGTGAACTAACAAATGGATAAGGAAAATGTGGTATATGGGCACTATGGCTCACACCTGTAATCCCAGCACTTTGGGAGGCCGAGCCAGGCAGATCACCTGAGGTCAGGAGTTCTAGACCAGCCTGGCCAATATGGTGAAACACCGTCTCTACTAAAAATACAGAAATTAGCTGGACGTGGTGGCGGGCACCTGTAATCCCAGCTACTCGGGAGGCTGAAGCAAGAGAATTGCCTGAACCCAGGAAGTGGAGGTTGCAGTGAGCTGAGGTTGCGCCATTGCACCCCAGCCTGGGCGACAAGAGTGAAACTCTGTCTCAAGAAAAAAAAAAAAAGGAAAATGTGGTATATATACACCATGGAATATTATTCAGCCATAAAAAGGAATGAAATAATGTCTTTTGCAGCAACCTGGATGGAACTGGTATTCTAAGTGAAGTAACTCAGGAATGGAAAACCAAATGTCATATGTTCTCACTTATAAGTGGAAGCTAAGCTATAAGGATGCAATGGCATAAGAATGATATGGACTTTCGGAACTGGGATGTAAGTTTGGGAGGGACTGACGGATACAAGACTACATTTAGGTAAAATGTACACCGCTCGAGTGACTAGTGCACCAAAATCTCAGAAATCACTGCTAAAGAACTTATCCATGTAACCAAAAACCACCTGTACCCCAAAACTATTGAAATTTAAATATAAAAAGTTATCTTGCTTCTCTTCTCTTCATAGATTCAGATTCAACATTTTTGACAGGACTCTTACATAAATAATGTTGCATCCTTAGAAATTACACATTTTGGGCCTAGCACGTGGTGGCTCACGCCTGTAATCCCAGCACTTTGGGAGGCTGAGGCGGGTGGATCACTTGAGGTCAGGAGTTTGAGACCAGCCTAACCAACATGGTGAAACCCCGTCTCTACTAAAAATACAAAAATTAGCCAGGCATGGTGGCGTGCACCTGTAGTCCCAGCTACTCGGGAAGCTGAGGCAGGAGAATTGCCTGAACCTGAGAAGCAGAGGTTGCAGTTAGCAGAGATCACGCCACTGCACTCCAGCATGGGCGACAGAGAGACTCCATCTCAAAAAAAAAAAAAAAAGAAATTACACATTTTGAAAAGGAGAAAGAGAATGATGAATTACATCACCGAGTGCCAATTATGTTGTATATATTATATATAATACACATAATTATCATAATCCTATGATTAAGTGTGGCAGCCATGAAGATTGCTGTTCAGACCCCTCTTCCAGAAAGCACTTGCTGCGCAGCTGAGAGGAAGAGGGTTGGGTAACAACCTCTGTTAGCTCCATCAGGGTCAAGCTGAGTGTATTCTCCTTTCCAGGTAGCCACTAGTCAGTGACAGAACAAGGCCTAGTGACAGTACAAGGACCTAGTCATTTCTGCCCAATGCAGGGCTCCTCCAATGGGTAATCTTAGCTCCATATTGCCTTATGGAGACCTGGCAGAGAATTTGTCAGGTCTGCATCATTCTGGTTACTCCTCCTGCTCAATCCTGTTTCTCTCATTTCTTTCATCTGTGTTATTCCCCAACAAATCATATGCATGCATTAACACTATCTCAGTGTCTGCTTCCTGGAAAGCCCAAACTACAACATTCTCATTTAGCAAATGAAGAAAACTGGAAATCAGAGAACTTTAAATATTGTTCCAAATCATAGTTAATATAGCTACTAGGACTTGAATTTAAACAAATGGACTTCAGGGCCTCAAAAGTAATCACCTTCATATTATAAATCAAGACTCTTTTTTCTTTTTTTTTTTAGATGGAGTTTTGCTCTTGTTGCCCAGGCTGGAGTGCAGTGGCACGATCTTGGCTCACTGCAACCTCTGCCTCCCGGGTTCAAGCAATTCTCCTGCCTCAGCCTCCCAAGTAGCTGGGATTACAGGCGCATGCCACCACGCCAGCTAATTTTGTATTTTTAGTAGAGATGGGGTTTCACCATGTTGGTCAGGCTGGTCTCAAACTCCTGACCTCAAGTGATCCACCCACCTTGGCCTCCCAAACTGCTGGGATTACAGGCATGAGCCACCACACCTGGCCTATAAATCAATAGACTCTTAACACATATAGGCTCTCACTAGCCTTTGATTGCAATTTTCCTAATTCTCAGCTTATTTCCAGGAAAATCATCCTTAGAGAAACTATTTATTTTATCCCACATCTGTCAACACATAGATCAATTTTTAGCTATGAGTCTATGGTATTGCTAGACCTTTACTGAACATATTATGTATTTTGACAATTATAATGTAAAAAAAATTGGCCGGTCATGGTGGTTCACGCCTGTAATCCCAACACTTTGGGAGGCCAAGGCGGGTGGATTGCTTGAGTTCAGGAGATCGAAACCAGCCTGGGTGACATGGCAAAATGCTGCCTCTACAAAAAATACAAGAATTAGCTGGGTGTGGTGGCATATTCTTGTAGTTCCAGCTACTCAGGATGCTGAGGTGGGAGAATTGCTTGAGCCCAGGAGGTCGAGGTCGCATGTGAGCTGAGATTGCACCACTGCACTCCAGCCTGAGCGACAGAGTGAGACCCTGTCTCGAAAAAACTATTAAAAAAAAATATATATATATATATATATATATAAGCTCTTAGGGACCAGTATCTTTATCTTATTATATATCCCAATAACAGACACTACTGATATGACTGATACCACAACCAGTTTCAAAGGAATTCATTGGGGATTACATTATGGTAAATAATTTTCTGACTACTAGTCTCAATTTAAAATAGGCTCTTTATTATATAAAGCCATGAGTTGGAGTCCTGTATCTGCCACTTCTTTGCTGTATGACTTTGGGCAAACCATTTAACCTATATCATAGAGTTGTTAGGAGGATTAAATATAAGGAAATAACTTTAGTAAAATGACTGAAACATTCTAAGTTTCAATAAATAACAATCATTAAAATCAAATCTTTTTTGACTAACCACTAAATACTAGACAATACACTAAATTCTGGTGATTCACAAAAAATCAGTAACATTCAGACCTTGAGGAAGATCATATTTTACTATAGTAGAATCATATTTTACTATATATTTTTTAAAACTTCAAATAGATCTTAAATGGCTGCTTATTAAAATTCATTTCATTAAACATCAAAATTTTACTACACTGATTACCAGCCCAAGCAATAAAGTCAGACTTTACAAAAAATAAAACAAATTATCCAGGTGTGGTGGTGCACACCTGTGGTCTCAGGTACTCAGGAGGCTGAGGTGGGAGGATCGCTTGATCCCAGGAGATGGAGACTGCAGTGAGCTGTATTCAACGCCAGGCACTCCAGTCTGGGTGACAGAGCTCGAGAGACCCTGTCTAAAAAAAAAATAAAATAATAAATAAAAACCAACTTTACTAGACTGAATGACTTGTTTGCATACTTCTGATTAAGAAATAACAAGAGGCCGGGTGCAGTGATTCACACCTATAACCCCAGCTTTTTGGGAGGCCGAGGTGGCTGGATCACTTCAGCCCAGGAGTTTGAAACCAGCCTGAGCAAAATAGCAAAACCCCATCTCTACCAAAAAAAGAGATAAAAATTAGCCAGTCTCATAACCCAGTCTCAAAATAAATAAAAATTTTAAAATAAACTGGCTGGGCACAGTGGCTCACACCTGTAATCTCAACATTTTCGGAAGCCAAGGCAGGTGGATCACCTGAGGTCAGGAGTTTGAAACTAGCCCAGCCAACATGGTGAAACCCCATCTCTACTAAAAATACAAAAATTAGCTGGGTGTGGTGGCTCATACCTGTAATCCCAGCTACTTGGGAGGCTGAGGCAGGAGAATCACTTGAACCTGGGAGGCGGAGGTTGCAGTGAGCCAAGACTGTGACACTGCATTCCAGCCTGGGAAAGGGTGAGACTCTGTCTCAAAAGAATAGATAAATAAAATAAAATAGGAACAGCAAGAAGGTATTAATATTAACAAACTTTGCACCTTTTACCTTTAACATCTATCAAATAAATTCAACATTCAAGTTTTACATTTTAAAGACATTTTTATTGAGCTAATTTTAACAACATTGCTTTAGCTGGTGACAGCTGCCCCAAACCAAAACAAAGCCATCATGAATGCTATTCAACATCCTCAATGTAATCCAGTATGTTTTTGTACTTGGAATATAGTTAAACTTTTGACATTACATAATCAAGCAAATAGCAGTGCATACTATATTATTCAAAAAGACTTTATCTATTTCATTTAAAAAATCAAGTTGCAAGTGGCCTCAGCTTTATCAACAATCGTAGTGACACATTCCACACTTCATGCTCTCAAAATAAAAAGTGCCCTAAAACTAACTCTAAGTTTTTTAGTCACTGACATTAATACTAACCAGGTTACAGGAATTGAAGTTTAACATTGTACAATATAAGCGGCAATAAGTTACTGATATCTGCTGACAAATTCCACTCAAACTAAATATATCCTTGATACATTCAAAAAGACATTTTGTAAATTTTAATAAGCTAGTTAGTGTATATGCTGCAGTGCAAAAAAAGTGACACCCTAGTTTCCTGAGCTTTAGGAAATTAACAATTTTCTGACTACTACTTTCAACTTAAAATAGGCTCTTTATTATATGAAGCCATGACAAAACTATACAATTAAATTGGGCTTTTGGAGAACTGAAAGACTGGTCAGAGTCAGGGTGATTTAGGACAATGAAAAAGTTTTCAAAGCAAAAGTATTTACAACACTACAAAGGATACTATGGATCTGCATGTAGTGTAAAGATTAAAGATAACCTACTGATTTCACAATTGTCCCTCCTCTTTCAAAAATATTACACTGGGCCAGGCGCTGTGGCTCACACCTGTAATCCCAGCACTTTGGGAGGCCGAGGTGGGTGGATCACCTGAGGTCAGGAGTTTGAGACTAGCCTGGCCAACATGGTGAAACCCCATCTCTACTAAAATACAAAAATTAGCCGGGCATGGTGGCAGGTGCCTGTAATCCCAGCTACTCGAGAGGCTGAGGCAGGAGAATCGCTTGAACCCAGGAGGTGGAGGCTGCAGTGAGCTGAGGTAACACCACAGCACTCCAGCCTGGGTGACAAAGCAAGACTCTGTCTCAAAAAAAAATTACACTGAAAGACTTTATGGTAAGTATTTAAAACTAAATATACCAACCTGTGGTATATTACACATTTTAATATATTCTTCCATAATGCCCACTAAGAAGAAATAAATGGGATAAATGATGAAAAAAAATAAAGCAAATAAACACGCTTTTAGGAATGTTTTCGCATGTGTACATGTCAGGGCACATGAAAATGATTCCTCATTAGAACTCTCTACATCCTAAAAATTACAAAGACCGAGTTTCTACTTCAATTTTTTCTTCTGCTTGAAGTATATCTGGATCAACATGAACAACCGGAGGTCGCAGGATAACTTCAGGCCCTCCACCATAAATAGACTGCAGAAAATTCCATGTTTCTTCAGAAATCTGGCCAGAATCTGCTCCTTAAAATTACGTAGAAGAAATAATGTTTACAAACCTATATATTCATATTGCAAAAGCGTTCATAATGTACCCCCCAGCATGAATCTTCTCGGGATAATTGAGAACTTCTGGAACATGAATCTGCAGACTACCAGCCCATATTGTTATAAGCTGAAACATATGGCTTGTCTTAAAAAGTCAGAGATGCTTTTGCTTTGCTCTTAACAACAGCCTTAAGACCTTTCCTCAGATAAAAAAAAAGTGGCTGCTTTTCATTACTTGCCCTAGTTAATGTATGGATTACATTCTTCAGTTGAATAAAAAAGTACTATAGATGACTAATGATAACATATTTCTAACAGTGACAAATCACTCACAAGTAAAAGCTTAAATACGAGTCAAACTTACCTTGCCTAAGCATCACATTACCACATTTAGTGACTGCAATCTTAGTATTGTCAATAGGACCTGGAGGATCTAAAGGAAAAAATATCAAAATGTATTTTTCAAAGAAATGTAACAAAAAATTGCATAATTTTGTGCTTGACAAAATTGTGACCTATAACTACATTATCAGACTGGTTATTTCTCAGGCAAATTATTATAGTTAATTCTTTTTTTTTTTTTTTGAGATGGAGTCTCGCTCTGTTGCCCAGGCTGGAGTGCAGTGGCACCATCACAGCTCACTGCAACCTCCGCCTTGGGTTCAAGTGATTCTCCTGCCTCAGCCTCCTGAGTAGCTGGGAATACAGGCACACACCACCACGCCCGGCTAATTTTTGCTTTTTTTTTTTTTTTTAGTAGAGATGGGAGTTTCACCATGTTGGTCAGGCTGGTCTCGAACTCCTGACCTCACGATCTACCCACCTCAGCCTCCCAAAGTGCTGGGATTACAGGCGTGAGCCACTACACCTGGCCTATGGTTAATTCTTAATGTCTTCTCCTGAGCTTCTTCGTTTTTAGTTCTTAGTTCCCCCAAAACAGAACCAGGAAAGAAGGTAAGAGAGGCTCGTTCACAACCATCACAGTTTAACAGAAATGTTTTGTTTTTTTTTTTTTTTTTGAGACGGAGTCTCGCTCTGTTGCCAAGGGCTGGAGTGCAGTGGCATCATCTCGGCTCACTGCAAGCTCCGCCTCCCAGGTTCATGCCATTCTCCTGCCTCAGCCTCCCGAGTAGCTGGGACTACAGGCACCCACCACCACGCCCAGCTAATTTTTTGTATTTTTAGTAGAGATGGGGTTTCACCGTGTTAGCCAGGATGGTCTTGATCTCCTGACCTCGTGATCCACCCCCCTCGGCCTCCCAAAGTGCTGGGATGACAGGCATGAGCCACCACGCCCGGCCCAGAAATTATTTTTTAACTCTCCATTTGGGGATTACAAGTCAAAATGTACCACTAATGCTATAAAATAGCAATTCCTTTGTAATTTGAAAGAAATTATACAATTAATTTGCTTCAGATTATCAAAGTAACATTAAGAACAATAAAAGCATTATAAAAGAAACCGTTTAAATACATTCTTTTTAAAATTTAAGGCAAAAGTGAACCGCATGGTCATCATCAAAAGTTGTAAAAGCAACTTAAACAAATTTACAATTAAAAAAACCCAATTAGAAAGTGGACAAAGAACATGAACACTTCTCAAAAGAAGACATTTATGTGGCCAAAAAAACATGAAAAAAAGATCAACATCACTGATCATTAGAGAAACACAAATCAAAACCACAATGAGATACCATGTCACATCAGTCAGAATGCCAGTTATTAAAAAGTCAAGAAACAGGCTGGGCCCAGTGGCTTATGCCTGTAATCCCACCACTTTGGGAGGCCGAGGCAGGTGGCTCACTTGAGATCAGGAGTTTGAGACCAACCTGGCTAACATGGTGAAACCCCATCTCTACTAAAAATAGAAAAATTAGCCAGGCATGACAGCGGCACCTGTAATCCCAGCTACTCAGGACGCTGAGGCAGGACAATCGTCTGAACCCAGGAGGAGGTTGCAATGAGCTGAGATCACGCCACTCCACTCCAGCCTGAGTGACAAAGTGAGCCTCTTTTTCAAAAAAAAGAGAGAGTCAAGAAACAAGAGATGCTGGCGAGGCTGTGGAGAAATGGGAACACTTTTACACTGTTGGTGGGAATGTAAATTAGTTCAACCATTGTGGAAGACAGTGTGGCAATTCCTCAAAGACCTAGAACCAGAAATACCATTTGACCCAGCAATCCCATTACTGGGTATATATCCAAAAGAACACAATTCATTCTATTATAAAGATACATGCACACATATGTTCATGGCAGCACTATTCACAATAGCAAAGATAAGGAATCAACCCAAATGCCCATCTATGATAGACTGGATAAAGAAAATGTGGTAAATATACACTATGGAATACTACGCAGCCATAAAAAGGAAAGAGATCATGTCCTATGCAGGGACATGGATGGAGCTGGAAGCCATTATCCTCAGCAAACTAATGCAAGAACAGAAAACCAAACACTGCATGTTCTCACTTATAAGTGGGGGCTGAACAACAAGAACACAAGGACACAGGGAGGAGAACACACACTAGGGCCTGTTGGTGGGGGTTGAGGGATGAGGGGTGGGAGAACAACAGGAAAAACAGCTAATGCATGCTGGGCTTGATACCTAGGTAATGGGTTGATAGGTGGAGCAAATCGCCATGGCACATGTTTACCTATGTAACAAACCTGCACATCCTGCACATGTATGCTGGAACTTACAAAATAAAAATAAATTTTTTTAAAGGTGTAGAAAAGCCAGATATGGTGGTGTGCACCTATAGTCCCAGCTACTCAGGAGGCTGAAGCAAGAGGATCGCTGGAGCCCAGGAGTTTGAGGCCAGCCTGGACAATACAGAGAGAACTCAGTAATTCAGCACTTTGGGAGGCCAAGGTTGGTGCACTGCTTGAGCCCAGGAGTTCCTGGGCAACACTGTGAGACCATGTCTCTACAAATAATTGTAAAAAATAATTTTTAAATTAGCCAAGTGTGGTAGTACATGCCTGTAGTCCCAACTACTCAGGAGATGGAGGTAGGAGGATCGCATGGGCTGAGAGTTCAGGGCTGCAGTGAGCCATAATCATGCTGCTGTACTTAAACCTGGGCAACAGGGTTAAGACCTTGTCTCTATTAATTTAAAATTTTAAAAAGTAAATACATAAATACAAAAAGCTTTAACTAGGCATATTGTTGCAGCCTTTTTCACATATCAGAATCTTTTTTTTTTTTTTTTTTTTAAAGACAAAGTCTTGCTCTGTCACCCAGGCTGGAGTACAGTGGCATGATCTCAGTTCACTGCAGCCTCCGCCTCGTGGATTCAAGCAATTCTCCTGCCTCAGCCTCCTGAGTAGCTGGGATTACAGGTGACTGCCACCACACCCAGCTAATTTTTGTATTTTTAGTAGAGACAGGGTTTCACTATGTTTCAGGCTGGTCTTGAACTCCTGACGTCAGGTGATCCACCCACGTCAGCCTCCCAAACTTTTGGGATTATGGGCGTGAGCCACCGTGCCTGGCACATATCAGAATATCTTATTTTCATATTATTAAATATTGTCATACAATTTTACTTTAAAAGTCCACTGTATTGAATAAACCATACTTTAAGCAACCTCTTATTCCTTATAAAGATTTCTAAAATTTTTTCAACATTAAGATCACAGATTTACTTTGTTCAGTCCTCTTATTCCTGCTATAATTCATAAAATAAGTTTAACAAAATTTACAACCAACAGAATATAAACTAGAACGTAAGATCCCTGAGGACAGGATCTTTTTCTCTTCTGTTCAATAGTGTAATCCCAAGTGCACACAGATATTCAAGAAATACTTGTCAAACAAAAAAACAAATAATTTACCAAAAAAAAATTTTTCAGTCAACCACTTACCTCCATCTTTACCCTTCACAAAACTTTCCCATTCTCTAAACCACTGCATACTGATGCAATAAAAAGTAGCTGGAGAGTCCTCTTTTTGGAACGCTCTGTTAAGCTACAAGGGGGAAAAAAAACAGTCATCTAATATCTAAAACTTGCTTTATGGCAAAACAATACCATCATTCCACTTCAGTGTTTGATAACTCAGCACTTTGGGAGGCTGAGGCAGGAGGAGTCCTTGAACCCAGGAGTTCCAAACCAGTCTGGGCAACATCGTGAGAACATCTCTACAAAAAAAACATTATTTTTTATTTTTATTTATTTATTTTTGAGATAGAGTTTTGCTGTTGTTGCCCAGGCTGGAGTGCAATGGCACGATCTGGGCTCACTGTAACCTCCGCCTCCCAAGTTCAAGTGATTCTCCAGCCTCAGCCTCCCGGGTAGCTAGGATTACAGGTGCCTGCCACCGCACCTGGCTAATTTTTGTATTTTTAGTAGAAATGAGGTTTTGCCATGTTGGCCAGGCTGGTCTTGAACTCCTGACCTCAAGTGATACCTGCCTTGGGCTCCCAAAGTGCTGGGATTACAGATGTGAGCCACCACACTCGGCCTACACACACAAAAAATTTTTTTAATTAGCTGTGTGAGGTGATTTGCACCTGTAGTCCCAGCTATTCGGGGAAGCTGAGGTAGGAGGATTACTTGAGCCCAGAAGGTTGAGACTACAGTGAGCCGTGATTGTGCCACTGTACTCCAGCCTGGGTGACAGAACAAGACCCTGTCTCAAAAAAAAAAAAAAAAAAAAAAAAAAAAAAAAAAAACCAGTGGTACAGTAAGATGTATGCTAACTTAGTACTAGAATACGTGGTAGCATCTATGAATAAACAATTCTAGGTTCTGTCTCAAAATTTAACAAGTATACATAAAAGGGGCATAAAGACTGGGTAAATGAAGATGGTCAAGACAAAGTCTTCAAAACAATAAATACGCCACATATTTATTAAAAATCTAATGTGTAAACTTTATGTACACATACTATATCCACAGTCTATACTTTTTGTTTACTTAAGATACTGGTAGACAACTTGCTATTACCATGCTGCAATGAATGAATGATCTTGTACATGTCATTTCACAAGCAATATACATAAATGTATAAGTAAATTCTAATAAGTGGTGGGACAGTCCCTGAAGACCAATTCCCTCTTCCAGCCCTCAGGCCTAAGGAATGGGTATATGACTCAAACTATACACAACTCTGTCAGAAATAAAAATCTTCAGAGAAGTGACCTAATGGTTAGAATGGAATCATTCCAATGTCAATTCAGGTAGATACTCAGGGCTACCTTAGTTCTCAAACTTTTGGAGGTCTGGTTTTTCAATTTTTATTCTTAGTAAATTTCTTTTTTGCCAGGTTAGCCAGTCTGGCTTCTACCACTTGCAATTAAAAAAAAACCCAAGTGAGAGAAAAACTGATATAGAAAGAGAAGCACAAGCAAAAGAGGCTCGGGAAAATTAAGAGTATTTGGAATTAATCTAATTGTAGTAGTGTGTAAGTAGTGTGTAAGTAGTGTGTAGTAGTGTGTAAGTAATTGCCCATCTCATGATGGGCAATTCAATCCATGGAACACACTACCTGTGGACAAAGACAACCAAGTTCAGATTATATAATTCCTCTAACCAAATTAATCAAAACCCTGTAATTATTCACAGATACCCTTATAAAAATAGCCCAGAAGTACCTCCATGATCTCACCCCATAATCTGACCTCATCTTCTTTCTTCCTCATTTTTCACTGGTGATCATACTGGCCACTTTGTTATTGCCAGAACCAAACAAATACACCTCTGCCTCACAAGCCTTTTGCACTAACCCTTCTTTTTGCAGGTGTCTGAATGACTATCTCCCTTACCTCCTTTAAGTCTTTGCTTAAATGTCATCTTCTCAATGAGGCCTATCTTGACCACCCTGTTTAAAACTCCAACCTGGGCCAGGCGCAGTGGCTCACGCCTGTAATCCCAGCACTTTGGAAGGCCAAGGCAGATCACCTGAGGTCAGGAGTTCGAGACCAGTCTGGCCAACATGGTGAAACCTCATCTCTACTAATAATACAAAAATTAGCTAGGCATGGTGGTGGGTGCCTGTAATCCCAGCTACTTGGGAGGCTGAGGCAGGAGAATCACTTGAACCCGGGACGAGAAGGTTGCAGTGGGCCGATATCGTGCCACTGCACTCTAGCCTGGACAAAAAAGCAAGACTCCATCTCAAAAGTAAAATAAAATATAAAACTCCAACCTGACTCCTCCCCCTCACCAGTGTAATCTTGGTGCCTCTAATTCTGTTCAATGTTTCCCTTTTCCATTGTACCCATCACCTTTTAATATAACATATAACATATTTATTAAATATAAGCTCTGGCATGGCACAGTGGCTCACTTGAGACCAGAAAATTCAAGACCAGCCTGGGCAACATGGTTAAAACCCCATCTCTACTAAAAATACACAAAAAATTAGCTGGGTGCAGTGGCACATCCCTATAGTCCCAGCTATTCATCAGGAGGCTGATGTGGGGGATCTCTTGAGCCTGGGAGATCAAGGCTGCAAAATTAACTGGGTATGGTGGCACACGCCTATAGTCTCAGCTATTCATCAGGAGGCTGATGTGGAGGATCTCTTGAGCGTGGGAGATCGAGGCTGCAGAAAGCTGTGATCATGCCACCGTGCTCCAGCCCGGGCAAAAGAGCAACAACTTGTCTCAAAAAAAAAAAAAAAGTATATATGTGTGTGTGTATGCATATATAAGCTCTCTGAAGGCAAAGATCTTTCTGGGACACAAGGTAGCTGCTTCAATGGAACAATGAAATGGAAAATGCTGTGGCAGTCTCTGATGGTTAACAAAGAAATTAAGGCATATTTGTCTCAAGGCATGGAATTAAAGTTCGGGCTTTCTGTGATGTGCAACTTATCCCTAGAGAACTGAGAGTTCTAAAATGTCATATCAGACTGAATCTGCCAGATGCTGGATTCTAACAACCATTAAATTCATACCACTACCATGTTTGAAAACTTTCAGGACTTACTTTATCTTTGGTATTAAGAAGTTACTTCCTATGTGTTTAGGTAGGCGCTTTTTAAAATTTAGTTAAGCACAGTTACCTCATTAATTTAAGGATGTGTTTCTCTCTAGTTCTGGAAAATTTATCTAAATGGTTACTCTAAATGTAGTTCTCACTCTGTTCTCTTTTAAAAAATACATAATAGAAAAACAATGGATCCTATAGCTATCCAACATGTCAAAACTTTTCTTCCTTCTGTTTATCTTTTTGTGCTTCACCTTAGAAGAAATCTTTCCGCTATATCTTTCAGCATACTCATTTCCTCTCCAATAGTATTTATTTTGCCATTCAATCAACCCATCTATTGAGGTTTTGTTTTGTTATTTAGGATACAATATCCTTATGTATCTCCCTGAATATCAATCATACTTCACATGGTCTACACTCACTGCTCTACCCAGGCAGATACCTTTATACTTGCTGCCTGGTACAGTGCAACAGGCAGAATGCTAAGGTCATCATCCGTATCTGTCACTTCCAAAATTAAAGCCCACACAGTCATTTCCTGTGGCCCTTGGCTTGCTTCTTTGATCTGATCCTATCTGCTTTTTCGGTTTTTCAGAAACTTCACTTAGCTTCCAATCCACTAAGGGCACCTATTTTTATATTCCAGTGTTATTTCTGTTAACACAAATGCTTTGTTTAAAAAAAAAAGGGGGGGGGCTGAATAAAACAAAAAAAACCCTAATATTATAGAATAATAATAGGTTTGCACTTTTTATTTTTTATTTTTTTTTTTGAGACAGAATCTCACTCTTTCATCCAGGCTGGAGTGCAGTGGTGCGATCTCGGCTCACTGCAATCTCCACCTCCCCAATTCAAGCGATTCTCCTGCCTCGGCCTCCCTAGTAGCTGGGATTACAGGCACCCGCCACCATGCCTGGCTAATTTTTGTATTTTTAGTAGAGATGGGGTTTCACCATGTTGGCCAGGCTGGTCTTGAACTCCTGACCTCAAGTGATCCGCCTGCCTCAGCCTCCCAAGGTGCTGGGATTACAGGCATGAGCCACTGAGCCCAGCCAATTTTATTTATTTTTAAAGACAGGGTCTTGCTCTGTTGCCTAGGCTGGAGTGCAGGGTCATGGTCATAGCTCACCGTAATCTCCAATTCCTAGGCTCAAGCAATCCCCTATTCTCAGCCTCCCAAAGTGCTAGCAAGGCATAAGCCACCTTGCCCAGCCCCAGATTTGCTTTAAAAAAAAAAAAAAAATTTTATTAAGGTGTAATCCTCCCACTCTTCGTATGGACTTTAATGGTTTTCTGTAAATTTATAGTTGTGCAACTGTCACCACAATCCAGCTTAGAGCCCTCCAACACCCACAAAAGCTGTCTTGCACCAGTTTGCAATCAATTCCCCTTCTCTCAGCCCTTGAAATCACTGTTTGTCTCCACACTTTTTCCCTTTTTAGAAATTTCATATAAATGAAATTAGACATTATATAGTCTTTTGTATGTCTTACACTTGGCATAATGTTTCTACTATTCATCCATGTTGCTTCATGGATCAGTACGCCATGATCTTTTTACTGCTGAGTAGCATTTTATTATACAACTATAACACATTTTGTTTATCCATTTGTCAGATGATAGACATTTCAATTGTTTCCAGTTTTGGGCAATTATGAACAATACTGCCATAAACATTTGTTTACATGTTTTATGTTAACATAAATTTTCATTTCTCTGGAATGAATACCTAAGAGTGGGATTGCTGGGTCATGTACTAGGAGTTGAACCTACAAGAAATTACCAAACTGTTTATCATGTGGCACACAGCATTTTGCATGCTCATCATTGATATTCATAGGAATTCCCTAATGACTGACACTGTGTACTTTTTATGTGCTTATTAGACCTATCTTCTTAAGGGTAATTCCTATCCAAATTTTTTGCCTATCTTCCAATTGGAGTATTTGTTTACTTACTGAGTTGTATGTTCTTTATATACATAGTCTGGATATGAGTCCTTTGATGACACGTGATTTGTAAACACCTATAACTTACACTGGATTTAGGTCTACCTTCCTAACCCAGTGTTTTACCACGTACCACTATTCTTGGACTTAGTGAATGACTCATTCGTAACCATAATATCCTACATTGGCTCTGACCATGGAAGTCATTTTACACAAAAGAAATGAAGAAACAGGCTTACTTCCATAAAATTCACTGATCTTACCATGCGCTATCATGCAAAAGATGTTGGCCTACTGGACTTAGTTTTTTTGTGTGGGTGGCAACACTTTGTGGGTTTGGTACTATCTTACACGATGTAGTATATGCTCCAAATTAGAAACCAATATATGGTGGTTTTTCCCATAACTGGAATACATAAACCTAGGAGTCAGGTAAAGGAAATAAGAGAGCTCATCTACTACTACCTACTGACATATTCACACAAGTTTTGCTTCCCATACTCACAACTTCGGCCTCTACTAAATGTGGAAGATTTATATCCCAAGTGAACACAACAACAATTTGACTGGACTAAAAGTTGAGACAGCCCCCTGGCCATTTTGAGTTTCTCATGTCACTGAATCAGCAAGCAAAGAGGAGGTTACAGTACTGGCTGCAATGACTGACCCCAGTTATAAAGGGTAAATAAAATGAATACTACATTACTACATAGTAGGAACAAAGAGGATTATGTTGGGAAACCAGATTATACCCACTGTGTTAGTTTCAGAGGGATGCTATAACAAAATGCCACAAATTTGGTAAATGAAAAGGTATTTATTCTCTCAGTTTTAGAGAACAGAACTCCAAAATCAAAGTGTCAGGAGAACCATTCACCCTGCAGAGGCTCTAGGGGAAGACTCCATTCCTTGCCTGTCATGCTTCTAAAGCTTCTACCTTGCAGCTGCATCATTCCAATCTCTGCCTCCATCTTCATGATTTTCACCTCTTCTCTGCGTATCTCTCTGCTGTGTATCTCTGTGAAGGGTCACTTACTGGATTTAGGGCCCATTCAGACAACTGAGGATGATCTCATCTCAAAAATCCTTACATATGCAAATACCCTTTTTTCAAGTAAGGTCACATTCACCAATAAGGTTAATTTACAGAGATTAGAGTATGGAAATATCTTTTTGGGAACCACCATTCAACCCACTATAGGCACCATTTAGTATTTCCATACTCAGAGAGAGAAATTTAATACAGACAAGACTACTAAGGGTTCAAACCCTTCAGAAATGAAGGTCTGGGTTATTTTATGAGGTAAATACATTCACAACCAGCCAGGGTATTGGCTGAGAACAGAGGAAATAAGAAATGGGTAGTGATTAGCTATAGATACATATTTCTTCCTTGCTCCACGTACATATTTATAAATATTTACCAGATGTTGAAATAACTACCAATTTATTTTTTTCCTTTCATTTGACTACTATAAGGTATATTGGTGGTGGTTAACGTTACTGTTCATTCTTTAGATTACAGACCATAACAGGGAAAAGTGTGACTATACTCTCTGAACTAAAAGATTTATGAACATCATTTAGAAATAGGTATAGTGACTGGTGGGACTTTGGGTCTCCCAAATATGGGGAAAGGGCAAATGCAACACATACTGGTGCAGGAGCTAGTTGTATTACATCAGGCAGAAGCATGATATTGTTGCTACTGTTGTTTGGTTGTGTAAGTGCATATGGGTGCTGAGTTGACAAAGGGGTAGGCTGTGCTCTATTATCTGTTAATGAACATCATTTTCATGTATTCATATACTCCCTTCTGTGAAGACAAGCCTACATTTTGCAGGATCCATTGCCAGTAGTACACCAGACTATATATAACCATGATATATGAAATATATGAAAGGTATAAGAGAAAGAAAAATGATTTTCCCCTCTGGTGGCAGCTTTGGGCAGGCTTGAGGCATCCACAGATAGCATAAGTAGGGTTTTGCCACCACTTCTAAGCATCTTCCAAAGAATCCAATCTCACTTAGTATTGTATGCAGCTAACATCTTTAACAGCAGCATCCTGTGTCTCCTGGGCGTCCTCTTGAATAATTCACTTGGGTCCTGATAGTAGCAGTAGCTTCTCAGGTTTCTGAGCACTGCCATAGGCAGACAGCTGAAATCGTTTCCAAGGGCTTTATGCAGTTTTGAATTTTTTAAAACTCTGAAGCAATCTGAAACTTATAGGAAAACTCCAAGTATACAAAGAAATTTTCTTTACCTAGTTTGATTTCAGAATAAGTTGCTGAACAGATGTTCCTTTCCTCCAAATAGTTTGTTGTTTTATAAAATGTCCCTCAATTAGGGTTTGTGACTTTCCTCATTTGAGATTCAGGTTATCCACCTGTGTACCAAAAAGTGGTGCCATGTTCTTCTAATTGTATACTATTCTGGCACATAATTTTGATTTTGTTTCATTTCTTTCTTTTTTTTAAGATATAAAGTCTCGCTATGTTGTCCAGGCTGGTCTTAAACTCCTGGGCTCAAGTGATCCTCTTGCCTCCGCCTCCTGAATATCTGGAACTTACACACCAGCACACCCAACTAATTGATTTGTTTCATTTCTAATGATGCTCATTTTATCTTCATCGAGATGGTGTCAGGATTCTCTGCTGAAAGTTAGTCTTTTCCGTTTGTAATTAATAAGTGTTTAATGAGGGAGTTAAGTAGAAATGATATAAGCATTCCAATCCTCATCCTTTCCATTTATTCATTTATTTATTTATACCAATATGGATGCAGTATCTCCTATTTTATTTAATGAGGTTATATGTTACTGTAATTTATTTTGAGGCTAGGCACAGTAGTTTATGCTTGTAATCCCAGAGCTTTGGGAGGCAGAGGCAGGAAAATCACTTGAGGCCAGGAATTAGAGACCAGCCTGAGCAAGACAGCAAGACACTGTCTCTACAAAAAAATTTATTTTTTAAATTAGCTACACATGGTGGTGTGCATCTGTAGTCCTAGCTACTCGGGATGCTGAGGCAGGAGGATCCCTTTAGCCTAGGAGTTCAAGGTTACAGTGAACTATGACCAGCCACTGCATTCCAGCCTGGTGACAGAATGAGACCCTGTCTTTTAAAATAAAATTTAGAAATATATAGATATATATAGATACATATCTATATATCTATATTTTATATACATGTTTAATTTTAACATTCTGTAAATATAGAACATATTCTCTCTCTATATAAAGCTACATATAGATCTATCTAGATAGATCTATATATATATATGTCTCTGACAGCTAGGTATGATCAATCCTACTGGAGTAATCAATAGATTGGAGTAATCAATCTATATATAGATATAGATATCTATATAAACATATAGACATATATATATCTGAGAGCTAGGTATGATCAATCCTACTGGAGTAATCATTGATCCAAGGCACTTTCAGTGAGAGTTAAGAAATATCAAGTTTCTATACATGCATACACATACACACACACACACACACACACACACACACGTCCATATTTACTCAGCTATTATCATGAGTTCACAAAGATACCCATAACTCCAATCCAATAACAACACAAGGTACAGTTTAGTTTTCTCCTTTTCCATATTTGAAACTTCCTCATCTGACAATGAGAAACTTGGTACTCATTACACGTATGTCTTGATCATTTTCCCATATGGAACCAATCGCTCACTGCCACTACCACCACTATGCTGTACCCTTGTAGCCACCAATGTCAGGCCAACATGGGCATCCCTTCTTATCCTGCCTGGGCTCTAACACCCTTGACTGGGCTCATGCCACTCACTATACAGAAATTCTCTTTACCCTCTGTGGTTATAAACACCATTCTTGGCCACTGCTTCTCTCCCACCCACAATGTGGTACCCTATTCCACTTTTAGATTTCCTGAAAGTCAGCAGTGGTCTTCTTGACCTTCACTGCCCAGTCCTTTCAATAGTAATGTACATCTCTCATTCCCTACATTCTGATTCTATTCAAAATACTTAGAATAGCTACTATTAATCAAATCCTGACAGACACAGTCATTAGCCATTATTTAAGCATTGATGGAAAAAACTATTTTTAATATTCAACTAAAGTTTGCTTCCTTAGATTCAAGAAGCAAATGAAGCCCATGTAAAATAAATAAATCTATACCTGCATCTTTTTTATGTAAAATTTACTTTACTTTAGGCAAGGGCACAAAAAAAGCCCTGAATCAATGAGGAAAAGCAGGTGTGTGTGTGTGTCTACACATGTGCAGGAAATGAATAATACAAAACATACTGGACATCTTATTTTGATCTGCTCAATATCTTCTCCACTGCTTTTACTAAAAGAATCCCAATTTTTTTCTTGCAGTATTACTCCTCCCCATAATAGTGTCTCAGTAGATTTATGAATAAACGTGTCTCTCAAGTGATCCAAATTTTCAATTGTCTTAAATAGTTGGAGTTATGTTACTGACAACAGTACTGCAGAGACTTCTTGCTACGTCAATAATTGGAAGGGTACTAGTCCTTGCCCATAAAACCTGGTTGTTCATGCTTTTGATTTTATGACCACACTTTCTGTTGCTTACAATTAAGGGACACCTCATAATATGCTCAGTTTGTGAAAAGTGAGTATATTTATAAGCCCAGGAGTCCCTCAAAAAAACAAAAGAATATTATATCTCACAAAAGAATCAAAGTAGTACATGCAGTCTGGATAGACTACAGACAACACTAACTTAAGGAAACCTGTAATTTTCCATTTCAATAAGATTTCTGCCAGTGCCAATACATTAAAAAAAAAAAAAGTATTGTCAATCCATAAAAGCAAAAACCCACAAAGGGGCCAGGAGCAGTGGCTCATGCCTATAATCCCAGTACTTTGTGGGGCCAAGACAGCAAATCACATGAGGTCAGGAGTTCGAGACCAGCATGGCCAACATGGCAAAACCCTGTCTCTACTAAAAATACAAAAATTAGCCTAGCGTGGTGGGGCATGCCTGTAGTTCCAGCTACTTGGGAAGCTGAGGCAGGAGAATTGCTTGAACCTAGGAGGCAGAGGTTGCTGTGAGCCGAGATTGCACCACTGCACTCCAGCCTGGGCGACAGAGCAAGATTTTGTCTCATACACACACACACACACACACACACACACACACAAAGGGAGAACATAACTCAACAGAACTGTAGTGAACTGCCTGAGGTCATTCACCATTATGCACCTAGAACACTTGAAATCTATTACAACTCTTTCATCTAATCATTTTATTAATATCATATAACTCTGATAATTGTCAGGTCTTCATCTTTATCCTAGATCAATTTGAAAAGCATCACTTTTTTACCCGAATAAAAATTTCCAATTCAGTTTTTCTTCTTTTTTCAATTTTCTCCGCCTCAATTTGGCAAGTATGACAAATGTACAGATGGTTGACAGCTGGTCCTCCACCATACCTAAAGCATGAAAAATTTAAGAATTAATGTTCTAGGAAGTTTGTTTCTAACATTTAAGTCAGTGGCCAAATACCCAGTAAAAATAAATCCTCTTAATAAAATTCTCAAAGTAATATAAAAATCAAAAATCATATAAGGACTTGTTATTATGTTTATTAAGGTCAGTGACTTTATCAGTTTATTGCTTAACCTGCTTTATCTATATTTCAACTTTCCCTTATTTCTGCTCCAAAATGTTAGAGCCAACAACAAACTAAAAGAAGTGGTTTCAAAAAGTATCATACAACATATAAATCTTAGTTACACATCACAGTCATAGTCAAGTTTTCATCAGATGAAGGCCTCCCCTGGCCTCTCAAGTAAGAAGCATTCAATGTATGAATTATTTTTAATATTTAATTAAAGAAAACATAATTAGTAGGAAAACTGTGGTGGAAAATGTTTTAAAATAAAGGTCAGGAGTTGCGAGACCAACCTGGCCAATGTGGTGAAACCCCGTCTCTATTAAAAATATAAACATTAGCCAGGCATGGTGATGTGTGCCTGTAATCCCAGGTACTTGGGAGGGTGAGGCACAAAATCGCTTGAAACTGGGAGGCAGAGGTTGCAGTGAGCTGAGATTGCACCACTGCACTCCCGACTGGGCGACAGAGCGAGACTCCATCTTAAAATTTTAAAGTTTACGATGTTAAGGCCAGGCCCAGTGATGCATGCCTGTAATCCCAATACTTTGGACTTTGGGAGGCCAAAGCAGCCACATGGCTTGAGCCCAGGAGTTCAAGATCAGCCCAGGAGTTCAAGATCAGCCCAGGCAACATGGCAAAACCCCATCTCTACAAAAAACACCCCAAAATTAGCCAGACATGGTGATGCACGCCTGTGATCCCAGCTACTAGGCAGGCTGAAGTGAGAGGACCACTGGAGCCTAGGAGGTCGACGCTGCAGTAAGCCAAGATCGTGCCACTGCACTCCAGCCTGGTTGATGGAGCAAGACCTTGTCTCAAAAAAAAAGAAAAAAAAATTTACAATTTAAGAGTAAGATACTCAATTGTGTGAGTATATACATATGTAAAATTTTAGTGTGGGGATATGCAAAGTATTTTAAACAAGGTACTTAAATTACCACAGCATACCTTCACAGATAGATAATTAGAAAAAATTAAAATTAATTATCTAGACTATGCCACAGTAGCTACAAAGTCTTCCTACTCACACTTTAGAATGAATAAGTAAGGGAAAAGAATAAACACATAGCACAAGGAGCATCTCTGAAATAATCCAAACCCCTTTTAACCAGTTTAACCGACTTTCACAACACTGTATGGTCTGATTTAAAAAACAAACCTGCTATATAGGTTATCCCAAATGTTCTGAGGCAGCATCAAAACCAGGTCTTCAATATAACCAGCTTTTCTTGGAGGAACACCTAAAAAAATATATAAACATATCTGTTTCATGCTTTTAATTATATTCCTTTCAAACATTAAACTCATTTTTTTTTTAACAGTAACTAAATGACAGATCAATCATCATTGTTTTTTTAAGTGGAAGGGTCTTGTTCTGTCACCCAGTCCAGAGAGTGCAGTGGCATGATCATGGCTCACAGCAGCCTCAAAATTCCTGGGCTCAAGGCATCCTCCCACCCCAGCGTCCTGAGTAGCTGGGACTACAGGCATGCTTCAACACACCCAGCTAACTTTTCTTTTTTTTTTTTTTTTTTTTGTAGAAACAGGCTCTCATTATGTTGCCCAGGCTGGTCTCAAACTCATGACCTCAAGTGATCCTCCTGCTTTGGCCTCCCAAAGTGCTGAGCTTAGAGGCATGAGCCATTGTGTCTGGCCATTTTTTTGAGTCAAGGTCTCACTCTGTCACCCAGGCTGGAGTGCAGCAGCATGACCATGGCTCACTGCAACCTCAAACTCTAGGGCTCAAGGAGTCCTCCTGCCTCAGCCTCCTGAGACAATGAGATTACAGGTGTGAGCCACTGCACCCAGCTCAATCATTATTCTTACACTCTCTCTCCCAAGAACGGTAATTATAAAGCATTTTTGGTGATTGTGTTTCCTCAAGATGAACATACACCTTAAAATTTCTATGTCCAATACAGGTATCCCTATCCCTTCTGGTTTCACTACAAACATAATTACCATGAATATCCCATCTTCAACCTTGAAGTTTAATTGGCATCACACAAAGGTCCTATTTATTGTAGAAATAAACATTAACACAGCCAATCTCACAAGGGCCAAAGTTATATTTAATTATGAGGCTTTTTTTTCTTAAATCCCAGATACATTTCCATACTTGGGAAAAAAGCCAGCTATTCATTTAGACAATGGGGTTAAGAACCACCAATATAGTCGATAGATAAAATCACCAGCACAGGAATGCCTCAGGTAGGAAAAATGATGTATAATAGAGGAGCTCACTGTAATGTAAACAGCTGTTTATGTATCTTACTCTACTATGAAATTAGAGCTTTCACAGAAGAAAAAGGATTTTTAGTGTCCTTAGGCACTAGCAAAAAGTTTAGAAAGCATGTACTCAGTAAATATATGTTCAATAAAGAAGCTAGAGATTACCTACAATTAAAAAGGAAGGGTGAATTTCTGAAACCATATGGAATTAAAACACATTAAGTTTGAATGCAGGTGGGGAAATGGGAAATAAGTGGGAGAGGAAAATTCTTGGCTCTCCTAATTTGCAAATTATTTTACAGCAAACTTCTACTACCGGTTTGCATTACAGGAGTTCTTACCTCCATGAATACAAAGAAAGTCATTATTTGAAATAGGGCCAGGTTCGGCAAAGGTCTTAAATTTATTAAGCCACTGTCGAGAAATATAAAACTGAAGGAGGCTTGGTTCCATTATGTTCAATAAATTTGATATCCTTCTCCTCTCTTTTTGTGCCTCTTCGCTGCTCTTCCTATTAAGGACAATGATTAGTTAAATTCAATATGCATTTTACTACATTACTAGTAGATGGATTTTTCTTCTTATTAGACTTAACACACATATTAACACTATCTTTATTAGGTCTTGGGAATTTCAAGAGAAATATACTTTGTATTATCCACCAAATACATTATATACTCATAGGGATGAAACTGTATCTTACCTACAGGTATCCACATAACTACTGGAACACAGTAAGCATTCAAATGTTTGTTAATAAGATCAAGCTAAATAATTAATCTGCTTCTGTTTCAGAAGCTAGCATCTTCTTTTATAAGATGCTAAAAAAAAACAAATATTTTTATAGTAATACTTTCATTATTAGCTACTTTGGGAGAAAATTTGGTACTTAATTCAGACCATCAATGCCTAATTTTTAAATTAAACCTAATCTTTCTTTTTCTTTTTTTTTCAGATGGCGTCTCACTCTGTTGCCGAGGCTGGAGTGCAGTGGCGCAATCTAGGCTCACTGCAACCCCCACCCGCCGGGTTCAAGCGATTCTCCTGCCTCAGCCTCCCCAGTAGCTGGGATTACAGGCACCTGCCACCACACCTGACTAATTTTTGTATTTTTAGTAGAGACAGGGTTTCACCATCTTGGCCAGGCTGGTCTTGAACTCCTGACCTCGTGATCCACCCGCCTTGGCCTCCCAAAGTGCTGGGATTACAGGCCTGAGCCACTGTGCCCGGCACTAAAATTAATCTTTCTAAAACAAAATATATCCCTTTGCTCTTCAAGTAAATGATTTAGCATTTTCTGAACAAAGAATCATTCTACATATACAGCCTTTCACTGTATTTTACTGTAATGAAATAGGAGGAAAACAATTCCTAATCTTGACTCAGCAATCCATTAGAATGTCTTAGAAGTCACTGATAAGCCCAAAATGTGAGAGATGTCCTTTCGCATCTACACTTATTTCCATTACCTATAGAAAAGAACGTAAGCTTCTGCATTTTGTACAGTAGATTCTGAAACTTCAGTGACACTCTGATCATCAAATTCATACCAGAGATTATTTAGATTGTTTCGGCAGTAGGCTATATAGTGTCCACCTGAATTTGAGGGAAAAGAAATCATTACAGTAATACAAAAACAACAGAAGAAAGGAGGATAAACTTTTTATATTTCCAGTGCCTAGCACAGTAGCTGGAATATAGGAAGAATTATGCTTGTATTTTTTTTTCAGTTTGCACGCTTGCCACCATTCCTTCATCACCTGACGACAGAACATGTAATTTTTTAAATTTTTTTATTTTTTAATAGACACAGTCTTGCTCTGTTGCCCAAGCTGGCGTTCAGTGAAGGGATCACAGCTCACTGCAGCCTCAAATTTCTGGGCTCAAGCTATCCTCTTGCCTCAGCCTCCTGAGTAATTGGAACTACAGGTGCACATCACCACACCCAGCTAATTTATTTTTGTTTTTTTACAGATGGGGTCTTGCTATGTTGTCCAGGCTGTTCTCAAACTCCGAGCCTCAAGTGATCCTTCTGCCTCAGCCTCCAAAGGTGCTGGGATTACAGGCATGAGTCATTAACACCTGCGGGGGTCTGTCCCACAGACCCTGACCCAATGACGGATGAATAAAGTACACTGACACAGATATTCTGCTTTGCCAGTCTGGCTAAGCATCTGGGCCACTTACAGACTCCAAGAACAGTGCTGTAAACAGTTGCAGACAGCAGCCTCGACGAGCCAGTGAGACTCGCATTTATTCAGTACAGATTAATTGACAAAGCCTTGAGTCAACACCACTAGAGGGTAATTGATATTGCAAACCTCCCCAGTAGAAAGCAATTAAGAACCCGGTAAATCAAAGGTTAGTCTTAGGACCACATGGGTAAACAAGCTAGTGAGATAAACTCCCCACATTCCTTTTCTAATCTAATTTACTTAACTAAGGGGACAAGGCTGCCTTCAGCCAAGTACTGTATGTAAAAACTCCCAGCCCTCCAGAAGGGTTTGTGTATATTTTCTAAAACTAAAATTTTTCCCACCAGCCTGACTGCGCCCCCACAAACACCCAGCTATTAGAAAACATATTCTTTTTTTTCTTTTTTTTTTTTTTGACATGGAGTTTTGCTCTTGTTGCCCAGGCTGGAGTGCAATGGTGCAATCTCAGCTCACTGCAACCTCCACCTTCCAGGTTCAAGCGATTCTCCTGTCTCAGCCTCCCGAGTAGCTGGGATTACAGGCGCCTGCCATCATGCTTGGCTAATTTTTTGTATTTTTAGTAGAGACGGGGTTTCACAATGTCGGCCAGACTGGTCACGAACTCCTGACTTCAGATGATCCACCTGCCTTGGCCTCCCAGTGCTGGGATTACAGGTATGAGCCACCACACCCAGCTAGAACACATAATCTTAAAAAATCCAGTATAAAAATCATGTTAGGGCCAGGCATGGTGGCTCACACCTGTAATCCCACCACTTCGGGAGGCCGAGGCGGGCAGATCACGAGGTCAGGAGATCGAGACCATCCTGGCTAACACGGTGAAACCCCGTCTCCACTAAAAATACAAAAAAATTAGCTGGGCGTGGTGGCAGGCGCCTGTAGTCCCAGCTACTTGGGAGGCTGAGGCAGGAGAATGGCGTGAACCTGGGAGGCGGTGGTTGCAGTGAGCCAAGATCGCGCCACTGCACTCCAGCCTGGGCAACAGAGTGAGACTCTGTCTCCAAAAAAAAAAAAAAAATCATGTTAATGCCTTATTAACTGTATACAATTTTCAATATTGGAAACATCATAGTAAAAATATTTAATTGCATAAAATTATCTGACATGTTTTTAATAATTAGCAGTAACATCTGTTTTTAACATTTTTTCTTTTATTCAGATATTATTTAAAAGATTAATTAGGATGTTTATTTATTTATTTTGTAGAGATGGGGTTTCACTATGCTGCCCAAGCTGGTCTCAAACTCCTGGCTTTAATTAAGTGATTCTCCCACCTCATTCTCCCAAAAGGCTGGTATTACAGGTATGAGCCACCACGCCCAGGCTTATTTTAATTTTTTTTTAAATCTAGGAACAACTGTTAAACCTATATACTTACTACTTGCAGTTCCATGATGGCAAATGACTGACAGAAGATCATATGTCACAATTTGAGCTGGACTATCCTTAGCAAGAAATGGCTGAAGATCCAAGCCTTCTAGCGGAAATGAAACATGGGTACTGATTTTGGTGGAAAACATTAGTTCATGTCTGAATCTTTTAAGGTGGATGCACAAAATCTAAAAAAGAATAAAATTCAAAACTAATTTGTCAATACAGAAAACAAAAAGCATTATAACAGGTAAAACTTAGTAACATTTTTATTCAACAAGCAAGAAACTGAGGTGTTCAATCAAATTACAATTATGAAGTTATTTAGATTTTTATTTCGTTTTAAATGCTAGATAAAGCAGTCTATTCAATATATACTGAAGTGTCAAGGTTAAGTATTGATCTGCAATTATAACCTGCTTCCAGAGATGTTAAAAATATGGAAATGGTGAAACATGGTACTTTCTAAGTTCACTGCTATTTGTTTTTCTAATTTTACACTTTAGACCTGGCAAGATCCTGCAAGTATGATTAAACTTTGTTCAACACAGCACATTGTTAAAGGGCACTTACGGTATTTAACTCAATATTTTAAAACTGAATAATCTTAAAAAGGCATGCATAGCAATCATTCAATTCTTCAACCAAGCAAAGAGAATTTATTACTACATTTTGTTACATTAATACTTTATGTTCCTACCACACAATATAAGTTGAATTAAAATAATGCCCATACCTCAGGAAAGTTTTGTACTTTACAAAACTTCACTCCATTTCTCAACCTAAGGGGAGAAAAGAGAAAATCAATTAGTCTACAAAAAAACTTAGTATATTTAAATTTGCAACAAAAATCTTTTAGAAAATGCAGAGATCCAGCCTGGCAAACATGGTGAAATCCCGTCTCTACTAAAAATACAAAATTAGCCAGGCATGGTGGCACATGCCTGTAGTCCCAGATACTCAGGAGGCTGAGGCAGGAGAATCACTTGAACCCGGGACACGGAGTTTGCAGAGAGCCAAGATCGCACCATTGTACTCCAGCCTGGGCTAGAGTGAGACCCTGCCTCAAAAAAAAAAAAAAAAAAAGAAAGAAAGAAAGAAAATGCAGAGACAAAAGATATCAGACTAGAAATACTTGCCACTGAATTACGTTACATGTATACATTAAATATCTTAATCAAAACACTGGAGTCCCTTATTGTAAAAAATAATTTAAACTGGCCAGGCGCAGTGGCTCACGCCTGTAATCTCAGCACTTTGGGAGGCCAAGGCGGGCCGATCATAAGGTCAGGAGATGGAGACCATCCTGGCCAACATGGTGAAACCCCATGTCTACTAAAATACAAAAAATTAGCCGGGCATGGTGGCGCACGCCTGTAGTCCCAGCTATTCATGAGGCTGAGGCAGAGGAATCACTTGAACCCAGGAGGCAGAGGCTGCAGTGAGTCAATATCGTGCCACTGCACTCCAGCCTGGGGACAGAGCAAGACTCCATCTCAAAAAATAACAATAGTAATTTAAACCAAGATATCGGTAATCAAAAATTTAGAGAGCTGTATAACTCTTTGATGAAAATTGTTTTGTTTTAACAAATGTGCTACTGTCTGTGGTGTGGCTATGCCTTTAAAACATCTAGATATTAAGTAAAACCAGATAAAGCAAAACCTCAGTTTTATAAAATTTGTAGTTCAAGTCAACATATCAAACTCTTGGCCAGGCACCGTGGCTCACGCCTATAATCCCAGCATTTTGGGAGGCCAAGGTGGGCAGATCACCTGAGGTCAGGAGTTTAAGACCAGCCTGACCAATATGGCAAAACCCCATCTCAACTAAAAATACAAAAATTAGCTGGGTGTGGTGGCGGGCACCTGTAATCCCAGCTACTCAAGAGGCTGAGGCAGGGAAAATTGCTTGAACCCAGAAGGCAGAGGTTGCAGTGAGCCGAGATCACACCACTGCACTCCAGCCTGGGCGACAGAGCAAGGCTCCCTCTCAAGAAAAAAAAAAAAAAAAAAGTCTTGGCCGGACACAGTGGCTCACGCTTGTAATCTCAGCATTTTGGGAGGCCAATGTTGGCAAATCATGCAAGCCAAGGAGTTCACAAACAGCCTGGGCAACATGACAAAACCCCATTTCTACAAAAAATACAAATTAGCCAGGCATGGTGGCATGCATCTGTAGTCCCAGCTACTTGAGAGGCTGAGGCAGGAGGATCGCTTGTGCCCAGGAAGCTGAGCCTGCAAAGAGCTGTAATCATGCTACTGAATCTTCAGCCTTGGCGACAGAATGAGACTATGTCTCAAATGAAAAAAAAAAAAAAAAAAAAAAAAAAAAACCTTTATTCTTACATGTGGAAAAAAAGATAAAGGATGGTTATTATTATATAATCAAAATTAATATACATTTGACAGATCTCTACTTTGAATATGGAGGTAGATGCAAGGTTCTTTTCCATCTTCACTGTTATCTTTTTCTTAGTATGCTTTGCTTTACAAGGAACAATCCCCTTCCAAGCCAACTTCCTTTTCAGCAGTCAGCTAGGGCTTCAAGAACAAAGTGATACTTTCTCCAAAAGTAGAAGTCAGCTTTTTCATCTTTATCAACCAAATAGTATACCATTCCTTTCTGTCATGTCATGATCAGTTGCAGATCAATGTTTCCTTTAGGTTACTGCCAAGAACTAGAAGTCTGTATTATCCCAGATCTTATTAGCAAGCCGTTGCATTCCTATTACAGAGATTGAGAAGAAATTTCCAGTTCACTTTGCCTCACAAATAGTTGCTTTTCACCAAGTCTTCCAACACTTTTTTCTGACTTACCACTAAGAAGCATTAAAAGTCTAAATTGATTACAAGACAGAAAAAGGCAGCTGGTAGTAGATGTAAACAAAATCAGACTTTAGCTGTCTTTCTCGTATGCCATTGTTAACAGCAGATAACATCGAAGTCGGTATAACCTTTAGGAATTTTATGTGGATATGAAACTTTGTACCTTTCACTTCCTGAATCTAGCCTGTTAAAATGGTAATTCAGAAGAAAATATTGCCTTATTTAGGAAAACGTTTTATGCAAAATCACATACAGATTTCATCCCTCAAAATATACTCTCTCACATCTTAATAAGCCTATTAAATTTGTCAAATTTTTACCTCACATTTGTTTCACAAAACAGCTAATCTCTATTATTACTAGGATAAACCTTTCTGGCCTACATTTTTCTAAATACAGTGGCAAATTTAACTCCACATACCCAATTCTAAAAACCAAGAAAAATACACAACATGCAATTAAAAGCACTGTCAATGTCACTTACTTTTTGCATTTTTCACAACTGTACATATTGTCACCTGCAAATAAAACAGATCTGGCATTGGTTTCAAATTAACAGCAAATTGCTTATTATGGTCCTGTAATTATTTGATTTTGCCCCATGCTGACCTCCCAGCACAGAAAAACAAGGTTCCATTTTTTTAATCTATGCTCATGAATCAGGTTACTGTTTACCTTCCCCTCCCTTAACTCCTGCCAACATTGAAGACCTACCTCAAATAATATCTTTTCCATTTATTCATTGAACAAAACTTACTGACTGCCTGTCATATGTCCAAGCAAGGTGCTAGACACACAAAAATAGTGAATGACCTTAAATGATATGGAGTAGTTCACAATTACAGACACACAAATAAGTCCATTATTTTGGTTGAGTTTGCCCTTCTATGGATCTCAGAACAGCTTTAAAACATTTCACTTATCATTTGTCTTATACTACAGGAATTCACATGAATTCCTTCAGGATGTGATTTTTCTTGTTATATTTATATTATCAAGGTAGACACTAACCGAATGCCAATATGTGAATGTACTATTAAGCTGTCTTAAAACTGAGCTTTTATGAATACACTTTATTATTTAGTCCCACTAGTATTTTAGATTTACCTACAAAAATTTAGCCATAGATATTATATTTCTTACCTTTTAGTTCATCTCTGGCAAAGAAGGCAGCAAGACAATCTTGCAAGGTTACTACTGGACCCCAAAACCAGCTAGGGACACATGAGACAACAAACCTGAAACATCATTGATAGAAAAAAAAGGAAGTGTTCTGCCAGTACAGCAGAAACAGCAGGTTTAACAATCATGTAATACAAAGAAAATAAATACATACCTCTTCACATATTCCATGAAAAAAGCTATCCACCCTTGTGGAGCATATGCTTCGCCACATGATCCTGCTTTGACTATAGAAGTTGGATGACTTGATGAATGCAGCTTAGCAAGGTCTTCCTTGCCAGGAATTGGCAAGGACAGATCTTGAAAGGTCTCGAGGGTTACAGACACCTAAAATTGTTTTGTGTTTTAAAAATGGGATGAACATAATGCAGTAAAACATTTCCAAGGTTAGATTTTAGACTCTAAAGATCAAAGCATGTTTAAATAAGCAAAAAAAACAAAAAACAAAAAAAAACACGCAAATTGAACTGCTTTCATAGTCATAATAGCAAAAAAAAAAACAAAAACAAAAAACAAAACACACTTGCTCTGTACCAGGTATCTTCACGTAAGTCCTGTGCAGTAGTATTAGCATCCCCATTACAATCACAGACACTGCAGCATTAAACACCCCAAATCCAGCCACTGCATCTTGAGGTCCAAACTCTTAAGCACTATTGTATTTATTTTTGAAAATTGACCTTTGATGGTAGTTTTAAAATATTTTTTTAAAAGGGTGAGACAAAATCTGGCATCTAATTTTAAATAGCTAAAAACATGCCTGATAATTCCACTTAAATATTTAGTACCAAAATAACCTACATTAAAACGACCCGATTGAAAGTTCTTAGATTTGACTTGAGATTCTAACACAATAATTGAAATCTTCTTTTTGTTTTTGAGATGTTATTTCATATTCATCATTGCACTAAAGTAAAACTGTACTTAAGAAAAGCTCAAAGAAACTTTGAAGAAGTGTTATTAAAAAATTCATGATGATTTTAATGTATGCTTTGTTATTGTCTATGAATTTGATACTACCTTTAGTATCTGAGTCCCATCCTAAACATGGAAAAATATTTACAAACCATATATGACCAAATGTAAGAGATACATTCACAGCTTTGTACCTGTGAATATCAACAGATTCCCAGTATACAAATTTCATCAGCCTGGGAGAATATGCAGGTGTTACCAATTCTTGTTGCTGAGCAACTTCTCACCTTTATATGTAACCAAAATAGATGACGAAGGATAATATGTGCCTGTCCAATGATGGGTCACCATCCTTTAAACAGGATGCTGCTACTTCCAAAAAAAATTCTACACCTAGAATCAAATTTGTGTTGATGTAAACACAATAAATGCATGTATGCTCATCAATAGCAAAGAGAAGGAATTAAACTTTTCACATCATCTTGTCACATTTTTAAAAATCATTTGACACGAATTTTCTGTGTATTCTAATACCCTCATACTCACCCTGTCACAAGTCAGACACTGCACTGAACTAATGATTGTTCCATCAAATATGTCTGAAATAACACTTCTGTATTTCTTGTGCTGTTTTTTTCTCTTTGGAGATGCAGACTGAGCTAGGATTGAAAAACATTAAAAAAAAATCAAAGCAGCTCCTTTAACATTTTTCTCTGGAATCTTTTTTTGTCTTGTCAATCTTACTTGTATATGATCTCTAGAATCCTTAAACTGTAAAAATTACTGTGTTGAAAATTTTCAAAATACTCTTCAAAAGAGCATAAGTATTAAAAAAATAAAAGAAACTAAGCAGAC
Organism: Homo sapiens; assembly: GCF_000001405.40. Lineage (NCBI taxonomy): Eukaryota > Metazoa > Chordata > Mammalia > Primates > Hominidae > Homo > Homo sapiens. The sequence continues at coordinate 77,723,640 of NC_000001.11, forward strand.
AAGGCTTAAGATATTTGTTGTTTTTTTTTGTTTTTTTGTTTTGAGGTGGAGTCTCGCACTGTTGCCCACACTGGAGTGCAGTGGTGCGATCTCGGCTCACTGCCAAGTTCTGCCTCCCGGGTTCATGCCATTCTCCTACCTTAGCCTCCCAAGTAGCTGGGACTACAGGCGCCCACCACCACGCCCAGCTATTTTTTTGTATTTTTAGTAGAGACAGGGTTTCACCATGTTAGCCAGGATAGTCTCGATCTCCTGACCTCATGATCCACCCACTTCAGCCTCCCAAAGTACTGAGATTACAGGCGTGAGCCACCGCACCCAGCCTGTTTTTTTTTTTAAAGTATAAATGATCCTTGGCCACCATAAATGTACATATGAGAAAATGAACAAAATTCTAAATTAGCACAAAACCACAAATGCTTCATCACTGGGATGTTTACTTAAATGTTTTACAAGTCAAAAGAAGAGGGGAAGAGGTTAGAAAGTGAGGGAAAGATGATGAAAGTCATCATCAAGCTAAAGATGAAATAGAAGGGGTTCGGTCTCCCTATCCTGACTTGAGAGCAATTCTGTTTTCACTTATTTGTTTTTGTCTCCAGGTAAGGCTTTATTTGAAGAAAAGATTCTATTATTTAAAGTTTTTAAGAGTTCTTTATATATTTCTGGATACATGTCCTTTGCTAGCTATATGATTTATAAATACATCCAACCTTATCTTTCCATTCTCTGAATGTCCTTTGTCAACAAAAATCTTTAATTTTTTTCTTTAATGGATCATGCTTTTAATGTCTTTAAGAACTCTTTGTCTAACCCAAGGCCATGAAGACTTTCTCCTATGTTTTCTTCTAAGAAAACATAATACTGGAACTCCCATATATACCTGGAAGGAATACTAAATGGTAGACACTCTGGTAAAAAGTCTGGCAGTTTAATACAACTATAAGCATTAAACAAACATAAAACCCAGTAACCCCACTTCTAGGTATTTGTCCTAGACAAATGAAAAAATGTTCTTACAAAAACCTATACATAAATTTTAGAGCAACATTATTCATAATTGCCAAAAATTGGAAACAATTCAAAAGTCCACCAGTAGGTAAATAAACAGTGGTATACCCATAAAAAATGAGATATTAGGCCGGGCATGGTGGCTCATGCCTGTAATTCTAACACTTTGGGAGGCAGAGGTGGGGAGATCACAAGGTCAGGAGTTCGAGACCAGCATGGCCCATCTCTACTAAAAATACAAAAAATTAGCCAGGCATGGTGGCGTGCACCTGTAGTCCCAGCTACTCGGGAGGCTGAGGCAGGAGAACTGCTTGAACCTGGCAGGCAGAGGTTGCAGTGGGCCAAGATTGCACCACTGTACTCCAGCCTGGGCGACAGTGAGACTCCATCTCAAAACAAAACAAAAAAAAAGAAACATTACTTGGTAGTAAAAGGAACAAACTATTCAGACACGCAGTAACATATCTGAATTTCAAATGCATTATCCTGAGAGGCAAACCTGTTTCAAAAGACTACATATGAAAAGATTTAAAAAAATCAAAAGACTACATACTATATGATTTCATTTATATGACATTCTAGGAAAAGGCAAAACAATAAGAAAAGAGGATCAAGGGTGCCAGAACATAGGAATAGAGAAATGATCTGATTACAAAGTAGTACTATGCAGGAATTCTTTGGGGTGTTAGAGCTGTTCTGTATTCTGTTTGTGGTGGTGGTAACAAGAATCTATGCTGCAAGTGTTAAAATTCATAAAGCTCTATACAAGAAAAAGTGAATTCAACTGTATGTAAAATTTTAAAAGCAGAGTACCAACACACAAAATTTTTAATCATGTCTATGTAAAATTATGCTATCAATTTTAAAAGATCAAATCATATTTCATAATTAACACTTTAAATTATCAAGTACCAAAACCATCATTTTAAACTAAGACCCAAAGCAAAAGAGACTGAATAAGAGAAACGTTTTACCTTTTTTGTGTGGTGGTGCCAATCCTGGCCACAAATTGCCTGATTTAGGAGGGCTTGCCGATAAACGTGGATTAACACCTTCATTTGATGGAAGGATCTGTGGTGTAGACAGGTCATTCGAATGGACATCAGTGATATATTCTGTAAGATTTAAAATTTGCATTATTACCTTAAATAGTAAAATTATTCTAACTGTCCAATAATGTTAAAGGTTTCTTAATTTGATATTTTGAACACAATCATATTAACAAATGTCAAGTTAAATACTTAACAAAGTGCTTACTAAGCAAAATAACAGTAATCTTCTACCCAGAAATCCAACTAATTTTTGTTTACTTGTTTTTTTGAGACAGAGTCTCCCTCTGTCCCCCAGGCTGCAGTGCAGAGGTGCGATCTCAGCTCACTGCAACCTCCGCATCCTGGATTCAAGCGATTCTTCTGCCTCAGCCTCCCAAGTAGCTGAGATTACAGGCATGTGCCACCAGGCCCACCTCATTTTTGTATTTTTAGTAGAGATGGGGTTTCACCATTTTGGCCAGGCTGGTCTCAAAGTCCTGGCCTCAAGTGATCCACCCACTTTGGCCTCCCAAAGTGTTGGGATTATAGGCATGAACCACCGTGCCCAATCCCAACTAATGTTTATAACACACGACTATTACAGGCAGTTTAGGAAGTGAGCAGTGGAAATACAAAGCCAAAGAGGATCTTGTTTGTCCAAATATAGCATTAAAAAAAAAAAAAGAGGCTAGGCTGGGTGGCTAACGCCTACAATCCCAACACTGGGAGGCCAAGGTGGGAAGACTGCTTGAGCCCAGGAGTTCAAGACCAACTGCGCAACATCATGAGACCCCCATCTCTACAAAAAAATCTAAAAATTAGCTGGGCATGGTGGTGTACACCTGTAGTGCTGGCTACTCAAGAGGCTGAGGTGGGAGGATCACTTGAGCCCAGGAGGTTGAGGCTGTGGTGAGATGTGATCATGCCACTGCACTCCAGCCTGGGTGACAGAATGAGACCCTGTTTCAGGAAAAAAAAAAAAAAAGATATTCAGGACAGGTTTTTAGAAGTTCTAAAACCATGTGAAAGAAAAATCGATTATTCTCCCAAACTAACATAATAATCAAAATCAAGAAATGTAGGTATAAAGTAATCATAAGTTATTTTATCTTACTATAATAAAAAATACACCACTTCATCAGGAAAGAATCTTTTTTTAGAATTAAATTATAAGATGAATCAAGAAAATATAAGAGCTACCTTGATTGTTTGCTTTGGATTCCTAGTGCCTAACATATTCCAGGGCAAGGGAATGTGCTCAGTAACTATTTGAGTGAAGAAAAGAGAATTGTTCGTAAGAGATCTGGAAAGGGGATGTACTCAGAAATTTTTCCAGATAATGCAAAATCATTTTTCACACAGGCATTTCTCAATATTTCAATCATGACTAAATCAGACTGCATAATATTGGGAGTGAAAAAACAACTCACTCTAGGACTTTCTGAAGGGAATAAAGTTAATGAGATTTAGATGGGGAGTTGGCAATTTTTTCCTCTAACGGACCAGAGATGAAGTGTTTTAGGTTTGTGTGCCTTACAGACTTCGCCAGATTTTTTTCATCAAGCCCTTAAAACACCTAAAAGCTCAGACTCCTGATTTAGGTCATCCCCTTGTTACTATGTGTAAGAACAAACCTGTTACAGAGCAATCAAAGATGAGTATGTCCCTAATCAGGCTTAACTGGGCTTTTGACAAGAAAAGCCTGGACAGCAGTCAAAGCTAAGTCTTTCAATACTGATACCTGACATATTTATTCACTAACAACTTCTACACAAGATCAGTATAATTAAGGAGCCTAACACTCCTAGTCTTCCCGATTAGAAAGCATCTGTGCACTTTACCCAAGTGAACCACAAGTCTTCCTATAGTTAATAATATTTTCAAGAAGAAATTTTGGATTCATTCAAATACCTAAATAAATTGCTTAGTTACTCTCACTCTTCAGTAATTACAGAAAATAAACTTTTTTACATTACATGTCTGCCACTTATTTTAAGATCACATAATTTGAACCTCTAATGGCCCAATTTTGTGTGCTTTGGAAAACTACATACCACATTTTAAGCCAAGATAAGTTAACTCTTGAAGAGATAAATTACAAAGCAATTCAACTTTCATTTGGCCACATGCTCTTTCTCAAAGGAACACTGACTAGTATCATGGCATAATCTATCACAGCAGGGCTCACTATAGTTAATTCAACTTCTACACTAAAACACATCTGATGTGACTCCAATGACAACAATCTAAATCTACTAGTGTATATAATTAGAAAATTGCAATTTGGGTTATTTGCTTTTTTCCAGGATCGCAACATAATTTGCTTAAAATAAAAGAGAAAATTCTGGGGAGCCCAATTTTTTAGATTACTGCATGACTACACAAAAGACATCTGATGAAATGTTTACTTCAAAAGGAGGATTAATTTCTTATATAATTAAATGACCCAAAAAATTCCTTTTATCCTCGGGTTCTATAATTTTATGACTAATACTCACATGCAAATACTGCTAAACTATAATTCTAATTAGAAATACCCAAAGTAACAATTATTTAAACACCCATGTCTACAAATGAAATACTATCATTTTCATGAACAAACTACTAAATTGTCACCTGAAGCTCTGCTGTGTATTTGCACTTTGACAGTTTCCTGGTTGTTTAAGTCGACTGTTTCAGATATAGAGTCTCTATCTTTATCAAATTCGCCTTCAGAATTTACTTTATTAATCTTATTGCACATCTTCTCTTTTTGCCAATCCTTTGACATTTCTGAATTGTTTTCATCATCCTGAATTAACATTGTTGTTTCATTATTATCTTCAGAAAAGCATCTAGAGCCATTTTCATTTTCTGCTCTATCACTGTTGCTACAAGATTCACAAGACTGAAAATCTACATCCGACTGGCTCTTGTCTTCTTCCATTGTCTCCTCAGTGGTTATGGTTTGCGGATCTTCTTCTACTTCCATGACTTGCTCTTTCAATTCTTCATGAAGCAAATCCATTAAACATCGAAGGAATTCTTGAGCATCCTAATATATCAGCAACATAATGTTAACCACTTCATTACATGTGTATATAGAAACGTAAGGGAAAATATACAAAATGTCATTACAAACTTATATATGAAGGTACAGCACTATATTGAGCAAATACCAGTTTGGAGAGCATAAGGCACTAGATAAATGAGATGCATTAACTTCCAAAAAGTTATGTAAATAAAAGTTTTCTTTTTTTGAGATGGGGTCTCATTCTGTTGTCCAAGCTGGAGTGTTGTGGCATGACCACAGCTCACTGTAGCCTCGATCCCCCAGGCTCAAGCAATTCTCCCACCTCAGTCTCCTAAGTAGCTGGGACCAGATGCACGTGCCACCACACCTGGTTGATACATATTTCTAAATTATTTTTAGAAATGAGGTCTCCCTATGTTACCCAGGCTGGTCTCAAGCTCCTGGGCTTAAGCAATCCGCCTACCTCGGCCTTCTGAAGTGCTGGGATTACAGGCATGAGCCATCACGCCCAGCCAGATAAAAATTTTAAAAAACTAAAGATGATCTGAAGATCAACTTCCGCTGGATGCAGGGGCTTATGCTTGTAATCCTAACACTTCGGGAGATCAAGGAGGGAGGATCGTTTGAGTCAGGAGTTCAAGACCAGCCAGGGCAACATAATGAGACATTATCTCTCTTAAAAAAAAAAAAAAAAAAAAGGCTGAGTACAGTGCCTCATGCCTGTAATCCAACACTGTGGGAGGCCGAGGAGGGTGGATTACCTGAGGTCAGGAGTTCAAGTCTGGCTTGGCCAACATGACGAAACCCTATCTCTACTGAAAACACAAAAATTAGCTGGGCGTGGTGGCACACATCTGCAATCCCAGTTACTCAGAAGGCTGAGGCAGGAGAATCGCTTGAATTCGGGAGGTGGAGGTTGCAGTGAGCCAAGATTGCACCACTGCACTCCAGCCTGGGCGATAGAGCAAGACTCTGCCTCAAAAAAAAGATAAAGATAAAGGAAAGTTGAAAAAATATAAACAATAAACATGAAAAAGGGTTACTATTCTTGGCAAAAGAAAGACACAAGGAGTGATGACCCCAAAAGATAAGTAGACCCAAAAAAAACATAATGGCATTTTCCAAATTTATTTAGATTAAAATTACAAATGAAAAGCAATAAACTAACCTGCTGAGAATACCCCCGAAATGTTGGATTTACAGTTTTAATTCCTTGAAACAGAGTAGTAGGCACAACAGATCCTGGCCTGAGCAAGAAAACATTTTTAAAGAGCAATTTTTGTTATTTTTAATTTTCATTTTAAAAATTAACTACCAATAATTCAAAGTGTTAAATAAATTGAAAAGTATGTTTCAAAAAAATCATTCAAAACTGCCTAATATTATGTTTCACAGGCACATCAGAACACCTTATCCTTGATATTTTAAGTGATATTTTACTGCTATCCTCCCTCAATTAAATGATTATGCTTCACCCCATGACTTTTCAAAAATGCAAGTTTCCTGAATAGTTCTAAAACAAAATTATTAACATATTACAGCAAACTATGATCCTAATGCTAAACTTTAGAACAAATAAACATAAGCAGGAAAATATTCATATAGTATTTAGGGTCTGATTTTATCATTGTGAGAATGGCTGCTCCTGAATGCAAAACTCTAAAGTTCCAGTAATAGCAGCTTTAACATTCCAACACTATATACTATATCCAAATACTTGTAGACTTCTATGACACCTTCATCTGCTTCTAAACTTCTATGACACCTTACATTCAGCTTCAAATGTAACATGCCTGAAACAAAGCTGTCTCTAATCTATCTCTCTTCTACTTTTTTCCGGCTCCATAAATGGACCTGCAACCTTTAAATATTTATAATATTCATTTAAAAGTTTAATAAAGAAGAAGAGTATATTAAGTTACATACCTGCTTTTATGCCACAGCTCTGTCATTAGTTTGAGATAACTTTTACAAATGGCAGGTTTCTTATCTGTTCGAGCTAGTCCTCCACAATCAAGAAAAAACTGTGTCAAAGGTGGGCTAATTTTAAAAAGAGAAAAATGTTAGAGTGGAGTCAAAGCTAATACTGATTATTTCTAGTCATTCAATTAACTGACAACACATACATTCCTTTAGCCGTTATTTCTTTCTTTGATCCCTCTTACAGCTTCACTTTCATTCCTTCATAAAGAGCTCAATCCATTCAAATCAGATTTGGCCCCAGCATATCAAGAGTCCTCCATGCTGCCAGATACACTTTTCAGTCCCCACTCAGTAACATTTGCCACAGACAACTATGCCCTCACTCTTGAACAAACATTCTCAGGACTATTGTAATGCATTTTCCTACTTTTCCTCTTTAGCTCTTGAAACTCCTTTTCCCTCTCTATTGCTCTTTTTGGCCTCAGACATGTAAACGTAAGGATTCCTCGGGACTTGATCCTATGACATTTCCCTATATACTTTTTTCCCCTGGGCGATCTAAAATTTTCAACCATATTCCAATGATGGTCAAATTTATATAAAGTCAACCATGTCATCTAAATTTCAGATTTATATGAAATGCCCAAACTAAACAGGATAAAAATTTAACTTTCAAGTGAACCTGCACTTCCTCCAGCCTTCTACATTCCATCATTTGGTATTAATATTTGTTGGTGGCTCAAGTTAGCAATTTATAAGGAAGTATAGTCTGTCTGTCGTGAGTTTGATTAGCTTGAGGGAATCTCCATAAATCTATTTATAGGAAACTGATTAGGCAAAGGACCAAATCCTGACCTACATAAACCAAACCTCCTATGAAGGCAGTTAGATAACTACTAAGTCATCTCTTTGCCAAGTGTAATCTTTTTTTTTTTTTTGGTAGAGACAGGGTCTTGTTATGTTGCCCATGCTGGTTCCAGAACTCCTAGGCTCCTCAAGCAATCCTCCCACCTTAGCCTCCCAAAGTGCTACAGGCATGAGCCACCACACCCAGCCACCAATAGTGTAATCGTATCAGCCACATCTTTTTCAATGAAATCAGAGGAATTACAAAGTAAATCGGTGGAAGCAGTATTGTGCAGTAATAAACAAAACATCTACAAAAACAAACATACACGTAAAAATCTCAGACTCAGAATTTTGTCCCTGCCAGGCATGGTTGGTCATGCCTGTAATTCCAATACTTTGGGAGGCCAAGGCAGGACATGACTCAAGGACAGGAGTTCAAGACCAGCCTGGGCAACATAGCGAAAACCCATCTCTACAAAAATTTTAAAACATTATCTGGGAGCACTGGCATGCACCTGTGGTCGTAGCTACTTGGCAGGCTGAGGCAGGAAGAACCCTTGAACCCAGGAGTTCAAGGCTTCAGTGAGCCATGATCGCTCCACTACACTCCAGCCTGGGTGACAGAGTAAGACCCTGTCTCTAACTTAAAAAAAAAAAAAAAAACCAGAATTCTGCTAGTACTTACTAGCTGGTTATATCGGCAAAGTTATTTAAACTTCTGTGTCTGGTTTTCTTATCTGTATAAAAATAACAATAGTATCAACCTACAGTTCTCTTATCACAGGTTTGTACTGTTAAACTTTGAATCTCCTCTCCCTTTCTCTAGTTACTCTACCCACATCCTATCAATCAATCATCCTCCTAAAAGTGTTTATCTCCAATTCCTTCACTCTTTTCCTACCACCCTAGATGATGTAAACTACCACTACTTCTTGCCTAAATCATTATCATAGTCTCCTAGCTGGTCTTTCAAATTCCACTCTCTTCCCCCTCCAATTCACTGTCCACATAGCAACCACAGTAATATTTTAAAAATATAAGAGAGATTATTAGCTACCCTACTACACAAACACTTCAATGGTATCGTACTACTATGAGAATAAAGACCTACATCTTTAATGTGGTCTACATAACCTAGACCCATGTCATTCAGCCCTATGATTACTGTACCCCGTCACACAGATTTTCTTCCAGTTCCTCAAATGTGTCAAGCTCTTTCCCATCCCAAGGCTGCTTACAAGGAGCATTCTGCTAGGAATGCTCTCCCCATCCTTTCAAACAACCAACCGATACTCATTCCTCAAGTTTCAGAGTAAATGTCTCTTCTTTTTTTTTTTTTTTTTTTTTTTTGACGGAGTCTCACACTGTCACCTGGGCTAGAGTGCAATGGCATGACCTAGGCTCATTGCAACCTCCACCTCCAGGGTTTACACAATTCTCCTGCCTCAGCCTCTCGAGTAGCTGGGATTACAGGCACACACCACCACACCCGGCTAATTTTTTGTATTTTTAGTAGAGACAGGGTTTCACTATGTTGGCCAGGCTGGTCTCGAACTCCTGACCTCATGATCCACCCGCCTCAGCCTCCCAAAGTGCTGGGATTACAGGCATGAACCACCACGCCTGGCCTAAATGTCTCTTCTTTAACGTCCGAGCACAGTGGCCCATGCCTATAATCCCAGCACTTTGGGAGGCTGAGGCATGCGAATCACTTGAACCCAGGAGTTGAAAACCAGCCTAGGCAACAAGGTGAAACCCCATCTCTACAAAAAATTTAAAAATTAGTCAGGTTTGGTGGCATGTGCCTGTAGTCTCAGCTACTCAGGAGGCTGAAGCAGGAGGATCACACAAACCCGGGAGGCAGAGCTGCAGTGAGCCAAAATCGTGCCACTGCACTCTAACCTGGGCAACAGAGTGAGACCCAGCCTAAAAAAAAAAAAAGAAAAAAAAAGTCTCTTCTTCAAAGATGTGTTCTCTGATCACTTAATAAAAATTAGGTTATCTTTATTTCACAAGGTTATGAAACATAAGAAAACTGAAGGCAAAATATTTATGGAGGGTTATGTCTAAATAAAAATTAGATTATTTGGGGAAGAAGTACAGCTTTAATATCCCTAATACAAAATACAAAATTCAAAATGCTCCAAAATCCAAAACTTTTTGAATGCCAACACGATATCCAAAGGAAATGCTCATTGGAGCATTTCAAATATTGGATTTTTGGATAAGGAAAGCTCAACCAGTAAGCATAATGCAAATAAATACTCCAAAATCCAAAAAAATCTGAAACACTTCTGATTCCCAGCATTTCATATGAGGGATACTCAACCTGTAGACATACGTTCAATCTCCAATCACTGCTCTATAATTTAATCCAAGGGAAAGGGTAATGTCAAAGTCATTGATTTCTGAATTTTGGTCCAGACTCAATGCATCTAATTTCAAGGGTAATATCACCTGACTCAATGCATCCAAACTTGAGTAAAACCACCTGACATATCTATTTTGTAAGACTACGATTAAAAAAAAAATCTAACTCCTTTATTAAAGGCTTTCCATCTACAGAAAAATATAAAATATTTTCATAAGATCTCTGAATTAAAAGTGATCTGAATAATTAGCTGACACTCATTTTCTAGATGTAAGAAACAATAACTTGCTCAAAGACACACAACTACCCAGGGTTTACACAAGGACCAGCAGCCTCAAGAAACTACGGGTATACATAGAGTAACATCGTTGGGACAAGAATGGGTTATGTCCCAAACCAGATTCTTGCCTGTTCTACCTTGAGTTAGTCAACTACTATAGTTGCAAGGTTTTCTGCTCAAAAAATAACTTAAAAAATTATACAAATAAAACAAAATTAATTTCTCTATTTACCAATTAGAAAGAGCCTGCAAAGCTGCATTCATGTAACAAGTATTTCCAATATTTTTCAAACCTGTAAGACCTATTAAGAAAAAATATACATGAAGTCATCATTCAATAATGCAAAATGACTCAATTTTAGGGGTCATTAATATGGTTCCCAAATTACATTAAGGACCACGGAAATACAATATAGCAACTTGAACAATTCAGAGAGGTCACACTTTGGGAAGCCTTACAATCACCAAAATTTTGAGTTTTACATAAATTCAAGGATTAAACAGTTCAAACTTTGAAATTTGCACAGGAAGAACAGTCTTTCCTATTAACATTTAAGACTACGTGTTTTTAAAAAGCATTAATTGAGACTTTTACATTTCTTATTATAACTAAAGTTTAATTATTTTGAGAAAATTAATGACAATGCAAAAAAACTCGTCATGATAAATGATAAGCAAACACCCTTTTCCTTTCCATTTCAACGTATTGCACTGAAAGTAGTATTTATGCCGGGCGCAGTGGCTCACGCCTGTAATCCCAGCACTTTGGGAGGCTGAGGTGGGTGGATCACGAGGTCAGGAGATCGAGACCATCCTGGCTAACATGGCGAAACCCCATCTCTACTAAAAATACAAAAAATTTGCCGGGCATGGTGGCGGGTGCCTGTAGTCCCAGCTACTCGGGAGGCTGAAGCAGGAGAATGGTGTGAACCCAGGAGGCGGAGCTTGCAGTGAGCCGAGATTGCACCACTGCACTCCAGCCTGGGCAACAGAGCGAGACTCCATCTCAAAAAAAAAAGAAAAAAAGAAAGTAGTATTTATTAGGTTGAACCATAGGAAACTGCTGACAATCTACAAAAATGGCAATTTCATATGGTTCAAGCTAATATTAAAACGAGCCATTGAATGACTGTTATCTCTTCCATATATAGTCAAGTTCACTTTCATCAGTTTACTTTCATTATTAAAAGATGAAATAAATACTACAAAAAATTATAAATGCTATTTGGATTTGGAGCAAAATGAAGAAAATTTAAAATTCTAAAAATCTCTAAAACAAGACTGAATTACCACTTATTGATAAGTATCCAGTAAAATTAATAGTGTGAGCTAAATTAATGGGTTAAAACTGGGAAATACATAAAATATTTATAACTTATCTCTAGTCATGTTAAGCTTAAACCAAAGTGTTAATTTCCAGATAATTATCTAAATATACATTCAATGTACCACTAGTATCAATTATAAAACAGAAAATTTTAAGCTTATACTAAGAACAGTGGGCCTAAAAGAATATGAAAAATCCAAATAGACCGGTTCTCAATTTAGGGGAAGAAGGGAGAAGTGTATCACCTGATTCTTTTTCCAAATGTTTTCCCCGGAACTTCTGCTAAGGGAATACCTTTATACCTAATACCTCCCCATCACTGACAATAGAAAAATGAGAAACACTGTTCAAACAGACCTCAAAAGGCAAGTTAAACAAAAAGATCATAAGGCTCAACTGCAAAAGAGTAAGTAGGATCCTACCTTTGGTAAACTGACACCAGAGAAACCAAAAGTTTGTTTTGCAAATAAAATTTTACTAGGCCAAATTTCAGAGTCCTTTTGTTTTAATTATCAAGCCCATTTTACCTCCACATTTTGAAACTTTTACATTATATGGTTTTCTAAAGAAATGGGCAGTGCCATACAAAGAAGCGTTACACAGGATTAATTTACCTCTGGCCCTAAGTTCATCTTCTTCATCCGCTTCTATATCCAGATCATCAAATACGGCAACCAGAGGAGTTTTTAATGTTGTATTACTGGGTATTTTAAAATCCTTGATAACAAAAAAAGATAGCACACTTGAACAAATCCTTAAATTTAAAAAAAGTTTTAATTGTAACTTATATAACATCTATACCATAAAAATTATTGAGATGTTATTTTAATAGTGGAACCATAAGAATTTGTGGTATTAGCAATTAAACTTACATTTATATTTTGAAGGAAATAAAACCCTAGGGTAATAGCATGTCAGTCCCGCTTTATTAACATATATATTTGAGTTAAAAAGGCACTTTTTACAACCGAATTTTCTGAATTAAAACTCCACAATAACTGCAATTATGTGACAGTAAACCATAGCTAAAAAGATCTCCGAAGGATACTATCCTACACTGTCTTCTCAGATCTCATTTTCAACAGGGAAAAAGGCAAAAGTTTTTCATCATAACACATTATCTATAGACTTCTACAATCTCTCCTGATACTTATTACTGTATTTACTTTGCACACTTTTTTTTTTCCGAAACAGAGTCTCACTCTGTTGCCAGGCTGGAGTGCAGTGGCACGATCTCAGCTCACTGCAACCTCCACCTCCTGGGTTCAAACGCTTCTCCTGCCTCAGACTCCCAAGCAGCTGGGACTATAGGTGCATGCCACAACGCCCAGCTAATTTTTGTATTTTTAGTAGAGAAGGGGTTTCACCATGTTGGCCTGAATGGTCTTGATCTCTTGACCTCATGATCCGCCCACCTCGGCCTCCCAAAATGCTGGGATTACAGGTGTGAGACACCACACCCGGCCTGCACACTTTTACGTATATTAAATAGTTCAAGCACTTACTTTAAATAATAATATTCTAATATTAATTTCCAACAATTGGCTTGACTCAGAGGTTGCAACTGATAACCTGTTAGCCAAATGCTAGTAAACACTTTAAAAAAAAAAACGAAAAAAACTTTGAGCTAAAGTTTAAAAAATTCGGAGACGACAAATAAAAATCAAAATTTGAAAGTTCTCTTGTAATATCAGAAGATTGAACTACAATGAACCAACATTCAGCAACACCCAAACAGAGAAGGAAACTGAATAGCAGAAAGAATTTAGCATGTACTCTGGTTCTCCAAGTTATTATAGCCTTACTTTACCTCTAAAATGCAGGCATATGCACTAATTCCCAACGATTTTACTTTCCTGACATCTGTAGAGACTGGACATTTGAGTGGACTTCATACTTTCATTTTGTTTTCATAAAGTAATTGCTTTTAAAAAGATACATGCTCACTACAAAATATCTAAATACACAGAAGTACAGAGGCTTAAATCACCTGAAATTTTACTATCTAGAAAAAATGTCTATTTGAAAAATCTTATTAATATTTGCATGGCCTCCAATATTTTACTATTTTGCAAATATCCTGTGGTAAACTGGATTTCAACAGCATATAAGTTTTGGACCACTAAAGAAATCTATCTGAACCACTGTTTTCTTCTGAATAATTTCTTCAACAATGGGATCATAAGGAAGTTGAATGAAATTAAGTTTATGCCTTTTATGTGTTAACATATTTACAAGTCATCAGAAAATTATTAACAAGCCATCAGGAAAGTATCAGTATACTTATTCTATCAGATTCAACATTTATTAAAGTTTGTAATCTTGATCTTTTCTGGCAGAAATGGCAACAGATAGCTTATTTAACTTACTTCTCTAGTAAGTGATGCTGATAGTTTTGCCTTTATATATTATTAGTTCCTTGTGTGATTAAACTTTAGTCATAACATTACACTTTTTTCTTTTTTAAAACTTTTTCTACTTATTACCATTCAGCTATCTTCAGTGGGACAAACTTTTGTTAATAATGTAAGAGGATTCAACGAAACGGCCATTTTCATACTATCTGGACTTTTGAAAAAGACTAAACATGTTTGTGAATGATAAATAGGTATAAGTGGGAGAAACAGTAATGGTTATAATTAACTAGAGCCATTCAACTGAGAAACTGAAAATGCAAGAAATTATTCTTTGACTAAAATCTAGCCATCTTTCATGTGTAAGGCAAGCAAATTTATTATCACAAATATCTACCATAAGAATGTGATACAAACATACAACAGAAAAACCTGACAGTTGGTATCAATGAACAAGTACAGAAATATGTGATTTCTATAACACACATGAGGAAAAAAACTTGCTGTTAATCAAATCTGATCAAATTCTGATCAACTGATGATCTGATTAAGAAGCCAACTATTCTAAGTTAATTTCCTTTTTCCTATTTTTCTATGACTTTAAGAATTCTGAAAATTAAGTGATAAATTCTGCAAGCAAACCCATGTGTTTTCTAAGTCTCTTGATCCAAAAGGAGAAAAATCTTTTTTTCTTTTTTTTTTTTAGATGGAGTCTCACTCTGTCACCTAGGCTGGAGTGCAGTGGCAAGGTCTCGGCTCACTGCCAGCTCTGCCTCCCAGGTTCACGCCATTCTCCTGCCTCAGCCTCCAAAGTAGCTGGGAATACAGGTGCCCGCCACCACACCCGGCTAATGTTTTGTATTTTTAGTAGAGACGGGGTGTCACCATGTTAGCCAGGATGGTCTCGATCTCCTGACCTCGTGATCCAGCCGCCTTGGCCTCCCAAAGCACTGGGATTACAGGCGTGAGCCACCGCACCCAGCCCAAAGGGAGAAAAATCTTTAACCCAAAGACTGATGCTAAGCTTTATTATATTCTACTTTGTTGTCAATAATAAGTAAAATGTTCACAGTAATACAAAGGGGATGGAGGGGAGGAGAGAACGGGGAAGAGAGCTGAATTAGTAACTGCCATATGCTATCAAAGAAGGCCCACCACCTTTCTTGAAATCAGACTTACCAGAAAAAGATAAAGACTACTTGAGTCATTTAAAAAAAAAAACTTCAAAAATTCATTAGGGCCTTTTCCATCTTCAAACAGGTGGGCTTCAATCTCACCCTAATCTAGCACTCTAAGCAACACAAGAAAGGGGAGTCTGAGTGCTTTATTTGAGAGAAAAAAGGCACATTACAGAAATTTTCAAAGTACAGGTTAGGCAGTATTCCTTTTGAAAATTTCAGCTACATGACAAATTCTGAAATTATTACCGGAATGTTTTACAGCTTAACTAAGTGGATCTAGATTATTACCTGGACACTGTTTTCTTGTATTTGGTGAGGTTGTCTTACATGAGGCAATGAAGGCTGAGTTCCTAATTTCCTATCCAAAAATACTTCTTTGCTGCAAGCATAACACCATACTCGAAGAGTGGTAAGGTTCACAGTTAGATAATGCTTTGTCTCCTATATAATTTCACAGTAGAGGGAAAAGAGGAACCAAAATTACATATACTTGAAAAGACTTCTTCAAAAGATAACAGAAGATAAACTGCTTGCCTTTGATGAGTAACAATATACTCAAAAGCTAATTTAGAACATGAAAAAAATTCTTTAGATAAACTTCTAAGGTATAATAAACAGTAACAACATCTAAGCCTACTCTAGAAATTACTCTGCCATTCTCCCCTCACTATTCATTATACAAAAAGATAAACGCAAGAGTGTAAGACCTTGCTTTGCAGTCTACAAATAAATATAACACAAGAAAATAATTAACAATAGCAAGTAACTATTCTAAGAAATCAGAATGGCAAAAGAACACAAATGACATGAGTCAAGGCATAAAACAGCTCTAGCAATACAGAATATATAATCTTGGAAAGATAAAAGTCTAGCCTTTCACAACCAGAGTTCTGCTACAGAATTAAGCCCTACAAAAAATGATCTGAGTGACTAATTTATCAATTCTCCCAATGGTGGTACACAGCAAATACCATCTTAGATGCACAGAAAGAGGCAAATGATATACAATGATGACTCAGAGCTTGGGTATTCAGGCTTAATTAATTCTATAGAGGAATCCTGGTTGAGAACAGTTGATGCTGTAGAGGTATCAATGTGCATCTTAAAACAAAGTCATTCGAGAAACTTTCCATTTAGAATGGGAGCTCTACATAACACTATAGAAGAGGCATGCCAGAGTTACATGGGAAGTACCAAACAACCAGAGCAAAGCAGAAAGGTGAGTCCAGTTAGGACTATGTGCAGGAAAAGGCAATATGACATGAGCTGAGACTTAAAGAAGTTAGCCAGGCCATGTCATAAACCTAAGCACCCACTCTCTCTTGGGCTTCAACCTCCTAATATGCCAGCTATCACCTTCAAATATCTGGATATACACTTTTTTTTTTTTTTTTGAGATGGAGTTTCGCTCTTGTTGCCCAGGCTGGAGTGCAATGGCACGATCTCGGCTCACTGCAACCTCCGCCTCCCAGGTTCAAACAATTCTCCTGCCTCAGCCTCCCGAGTAGCTGGGATTACAGGTGCCCACCACCACACCCAGCTAATTTTTTTGTACTTTTAATAGAGACAGGGTTTCGCCATGTTGGCCAGGCTGGTCTCGAACTCCTGACCTCAGGTGATCCACCTGCCTTGGCCTTCCAAAGTGCTGGGATTCAGGCGTGAGCCACCATGCCTGGCCGGATGTACACTTTTGAAATCAGTGCTTTCTTAATCACAACCTCATTCTAATGTTCATCCTCCTAGCAATTCCCTTCCCCATCCTTCACAGAGAATGTAAGTGAAGTTTTAACTTAGAGTGCAAATTTGAATTACAACTTGAATTAATAATGTTATACTGGCTTTCCCTTTCCTTCAGGCACTTTTTTTAACAAGTCTTCCATTAAATTTTTTATATACATACCTGAGAATGTATGGTGCTGTGATCTACTTGTGATTCACCACAGCCAACATATGAACATCTATTCTATAAATAATTATATAGGAAGAAAAATAAGGTACTTTATAATATACATGTAAATTTATAACAGCATTACAATTACATTTACAATTAAGTTTGGATTACCTGTTTTACATTCAATGAGTAAATGACTTTCCAGTCATTAAATTTAACCAAATGTTTCCAGGCACAAAATAAAACCAGGATATATTTCTAAGCTAAAAGCTATGTCATTTCTAATAAAAGGCAAGCATAAAATAGCTGAGTGATTTACTAAAAACTACAAAAGCACTACAGATTAAGATCTTTCCAAAGTTTAATTTTTGTTATTAATAATGACCTTTTAAAAGCAAGTTTAATTTACAAAAATCACTTTAAGTATCAAAAATTTTCTGGTTATGATTATTCAGATCCAAATTTATTATTATTATAGCAATCTTTTCAGGAAAAAACATATACACACCTCCAGACATGCCCAAAGATTTGGTCCTTGGACTTTACAATCCTGACAAGTACCCTATAAAAAGAAATTAAAAAGACAACATTGGTTATATTGACACAAACACATACAATTCACTAATGCACTAATGACATCATACATATTTTTAAAATACTGCTCATAGAGTATTACAGTAATTTATGAAAATTACACATTCAAGAGAAAAGTGAATAGTTTTTCAAGGAAGAAAAAACCTGTTTCTTACAAGGGATTTTTGTATCAAATCTTCTTTTGTTATTTCACCAACTGAATCCAAATGTGGACAATGATTTCGAAAAGCTGACATTTTGTTAGGAATTTTTTCCTGTTTCCCAAGACTTTCAAAATGAGGTAACACCTATAAGAAAAGTAACACACACAAAAAAATTAATAAATGCTTACAATGCCTGCAAAGATTCCAAAAAATAAAAAAATTAAAATGTTAACATATTAAAAATGATTAAAAGATAACATAAGAATGATATAAGTTTGCCCTGTAAAAAGAGTGTATTCTCAAACATAGATGAGTTTTCAGAATTGAAGTTAATCTGAACACTGGAAATTTCTCTACTACATAAACATTTTATTAAAATTGACATCTATAAACAAATGTAAGTTTGTTTCTCCATGACTTTTGCTGCTTTTCCCCTCTCATTTCACTTTTTATAGATAAATAAAAGGGGGGAATATTCAAGTTATTCAACTGTGAAGCACTTTTATCCTTTTAAAAAAAAAATTAATCCTTAGGCTGGACTAGGAGTTGAAAAAAAAAAACTTCAAGTAGAAAGCTTCATTTTTCTACTAATAGGACCCCCTACTGATGGCATAAATTAAATCATCTGGTATCCTGGCCTTATACCAGGATAAGCACTTTATATCAGGGTTTCTCGATCCCGGCACTATTGACACTTAGGGCCAGATAATTCTTCGCTGTGAGGGATTGTCCTGTGCACTGCAGGTTATTTGGCAACATTCCCACTTCTATCCACAAGAGACAGACAGACCATCCCTGCCACCACTCTGAACTCTGATGACCAGTGTCTCTAGACTGTTTTAAATTATACCCTCTGGGGGACAAAATCTCTCCAGGTTTGAGAACCCCATTTTCATGATCTTTACAACCCCTGAAATAGGCACCATTATTAGCTTCATTTGCACATAAGGCTAAGAGATGCAAACTTTACTGATCCACAGTGTTTGGTTCAAGTAAAGCGAGTGATTTCCAAAGGTCTCAAGTCTAATTTGGTATTCCTAGATCTTTTGGTTGTACCTTTTTAATAACAGGGCTTTTCATGCTCTTAATTCAACTTTGAGGTTTGAGAACACTTTCCCAAAAAAAGTTTAGAACTTGCTAGGATAGAATGAAACAGTTTAAAAGTTTGAACTTCAGAAACACTGTAAATTTAATTTCCTTTGTGGTTTATAAGTTATTCAATAAACCATGCAGGTCTATGTAATAGTTTATAACTATATAGAACCCCTTTGTTACCCTGTAGCTTATATAAGAGTGTCTGTCTGCCTTTTATTATTTATTTATTTATTTATTTATTTATTTATTTATTTATTTTTGAGACAGAGTTTCACTCTTGCTGCCCAGGCTGGAGTGCAATGGCGTGATCTCAGCTCACCGCAAACTTCACCTCCCAGGTTCAAGTGATTCTCCTGCCTCAGCCTCCCGAGTAGCTGGGATTACAGGCATGCGCCACCACACCCGACCACTTTTTTTGTATTTTTAGTAGAGATGGGGTTTCTCCATGTTGGTCAGGCTGATCTCGAACTCCCGACCTCAGGTGATCCACCCGCCTCAGTCTCCCAAAGTCCTGGGATTACAGGTGTGAGCCACTGCGCCTGGCCTCTGTCTGCCTTTTAAACCCATTGCAATAAATTTGCTGAAATATTAACACATTAGTAAATACATTTTTTTTATTATACTTTAAGTTCTAGGGTACATGTGCACAATGTGCAGGTTTGTGTAAATACATTTTTTTAAGAAAAGTTGAACAAAATCAAATCAAATAATCAATTCACTATTACGCTGCAACACACAAAATTCACCAGGAACCACTCTAGGGTTAATAGTGCAAACATTTCTTTTTTCTTTTGAGACAGGGCCTCATTCTGTCACTCACACTGGAGTACAATGGGGCAAACACAACTCACTGCAGCCTCAACCTCCTGGTCTCAAACCGTCCTCCTGTCTCAGCCTCCCATGTAGCTACAACTACAGGTGCACGCCATGTGATTAGACTACCCCAAGCCAGAGAAAAAAACCACGGGAAAGGATTAGGTAAAACAATTCTCAAAGCCTTTAAGGGTTGTTGGTATTCTCATCAGCCACAGTTGAAAGACACCATAATAGAGGAAATAATGCACTCAGAATGGCATTGCCTCAATAATCGGAAGAAATTATCCTTAATCTAAAGGTTACTTTGGTTCTGTCTTTAAAAAGTTCAAAAAGGGCTGGGCGCAGTGGCTCACCCCTGTAATCCCAACACTTTGGGAGGCCAAGGTGGACGGATCACGAGGTCAGGAGATCGAGAACATCCTGGCCAAGGGAACCCCATCTCTACTAAGAATACAAACATTAGCTGGGCGTGGTGGTGTGCACCTATAGTCCCAGCTACTCAGGAGGCTGAGACAGGAGAATTGCTTGAACCCAGGAGGCAGAGGTTGCAGTGAGCTGAGATCGCGCCACTGCAATCCAACCTGAGGACAGAGCAAGACTCTGTCTCAAAAAAAAAAAAAAAAGTTCAAAAAGAAGTCTTAGAAGGATCAAACTGTTCCAAAGGAATTGTGTTCGGAACAAAGCTTAAGGACATTTAAAGGAATGAAAAAATTCAGTACCCATCAAGGTAAAAATCACAATAACTGGCATCTAATAAAAAATGACAGGCATTCTAAGAAGGAAATTCTGACCCACAGTGAAGAGAAAAAGAAGAAACCAAGAAATAGCACAGATGACAGAACAAAGATAGACTAAATCTTAATCTTAAAAATTAAATCAGAACATCAGTGATATAGGGGAAAATGTTCAAATTTGATGAAAACTAGAGCCCTACAGATCCACAAGCAATTTAAACTCAGCACAAAACACACAAACTACACCATGTACATCAAAAACAAATTACTTAAAACTAGTAATAAAAAGAAAATCTTAAAAAATAGCCAACAGGCTGGGTACAGTAGCTAATGCCTATAATCCCAGCACTTCGGGAGGCCAAGGCAGGAGGATTCCTTGAGCTCAGGAGTTAGAGACCAGCCTGAGCAACATAGCGAGACCTCGTCTCTACTAAAAATTTAAAAAATCATCCAGGCATGGTGGCACGTGCCTATAGTCCCACCTACTCACGAGGCTGAGGTGAGAGGATCACCTGAGCCCAGTAGATGGCAGCTACAGTGTGCTGTGATCACACCACTGCATTCCAGTCTGAGTGACACAGCAAGATCCTGTGCCAAAAACAAAAACAAATTTGGAATAAGTGCGACACGGTGCTAAGAATGTATATTCTGTTGATATGGTGTGGAAAGTTCTGTAGATGTCTATTAGGTCCACTTGGTGCAGAGCTGAGTTCAATTCCTGGACATCCCTGTTAACTTTCTGTCTCGTTGATCTGTCTAATGTTGACAGTGGGTGTTAAAGTCTCCCATTATTATTGTGTGGGAGTCTAAGTCTCTTTGTAGGTCTCTAAGGACTTGCTTTATGAATGTGGGTGCTCCTGTATTGGGTGCATATATATTTAGGATAGTTAGCTCTTCTTGTTGAATTGATCCCTTTACCATTATGTAATTGCCTTCTTCATCTCTTTTGATCTTTGATGGTTTAAAGCCTGTTTTATCAGAGACTAGGATTGCAAACCCTGCTTTTTTGTTTTCCATTTGCTTGGTAGATCTTCCTCCATCCCTTTATTTTGAGCCTATGTGTGTGTCTGCACATGAGATGGGACTCCTGAATACAGCACACTGATGGGTCTTGACTTTTTATCCAATTTGCCAGTCTGGGTCTTTTAATTGGGGCATTTAGCCCACTTACCTTTAAGGTTAATATCGTTATGTGTGAATTTGATCCTGTCATTACGATGTTAGCTGGTTATTTTGCTCATTAGTTGAGGCAGTTTCTTCCTAACATCGATGGTCTTTACAATTTGGCATGTTTTTGCAGTGGCTGGTACCGGTTGTTCCTTTCCATGTTTAGTGCTTCCTTCAGGAGCTCTTGTAAACAAAATTGACCACATAGTTGGAAGTAAAGCACTCCTCAGCAAATGTAAAAGAACAGAAATTATAACAAACTGTCTCTCAGACCACAGTGCAATCAAATTAGAACTCAGGATTAAGAAACTCACTCAAAACCACACAACTACATGGAAACTGAACAACCTGCTCCTGAATGACTACTGGGTAAATAATGAAATGAAGGCACAAATAAAGATGTTCTTTGAAACCAATGAGAACAAAGACACAACATACCAGAATCTCTGGGACACATTTAAAGCAGTGTGTAGAGGGAAATTTATAGCACTAAATGCCCACAGGAGAAAGCAGGAAAGATCTAAAATCGACACCCTAACATCACAATGAAAAGAACTAGAGAAGAAAGAGCAAACACAGTCAGAAGCTAGCAGAAGGCAAGAAATAACTAAGATCAGAGCAGAACTGAAGGAAATAGAGACACAAAAAACCCTTCAAAAAATTAATGAATCCAGGAGCTGGTTTTTTGAAAAGATCAACAAAATTGATAGACCGCTAGCAAGACTAATAAAGAAGAAAAGAGAGAAGAATCAAACAGATGCAATAAAAAATGATAAAGGGGATATCACCACCAATCCCACAGAAATACAGACTACGATCAGAGAATACTATAAACACCTCTACGCAAATAAACCAGAAAATCTAGACGAAATGGATAAATTCCTGGACACATACACCCTCCCAAGACTAAACCAGGAAGAAGCTGAATCCCTGAATAGACCAATAACAGGCTCTGAAATTGAGGCAATAATAGCCTACCAACCAAAAAAAGTCCAGGACCAGACGGATTCACAGCCGAATTCTACCAGAGGTACAAAGAGGAGCTGGTACCATTCCTTCTGAAACTATTCCAATCAATATAAAAAGAAGGAATCCTCCGTAACTCATTTTATGAAGCCAGCATCATCCTGACACCAAAGCCTGGTATAGACACAACAAAAAAAAGAGAATTTTAGACCAATATCCCTGATGAACATCGATGCAAAAATCCTCAATAAAATACTGGCAAACCGAATCCAGCAATACATCAAAAAGCTTATCCACCACGATCAAGTTGGCTTCATCCCTGGGATGCAAGGCTGGTTCAACATACGCAAATCAATAAACATAATCCATCATATAAACAGAACCAAAGACAAAAACCACATGATTATCTCAATAGATGCAGAAAAGGCCTTCAACAAAATTCAACAGCCCTTCATGCTAAAAACTCTCAATAAACTAGGTATTGATGGGACATATCTCAAAATAATAAGAGCTATGTTATAATATTTCACTAGTACTTTAATTTACGTTATCCTGACAACCAGTAAGTTTGAATGTCTTTTCATAAATGTTACAGCTTTCTGGATTTGTTCTTTTATTAATTGCTTCTTTAAATCTTTTGCCCTTTTTACTATTGGGTCCATAACCTCTTCTTTTAAAATTAATCCTCTATCCTCTATATTGCAAAATATTTTTTCAAACTTACCTACCTACCTTTTTAATTGTGGTAAACACCATGCTGAAAAGATTGCCCTCTCCCCACTGAATGGTCTTGGCATCACTGTCAAAAATCATTTGATCATATATAGTACATAAGGATTTATTTCTGGGCTTCTGGGCTTTTTTTTTTTTTTTTTTTTTTAAAGAGATGGTGTCTTGTTCCATTACTTTCATTACTCAGGGGAGTGCAGTGGCATGATCATAGCTCACTGCAACCTCCAACTCATAGACCCAAACAATTCCACTGCCGCAGCCTTCCAAGCAGCTAGGACTACAGGTGTGAGCCACCCCACCTGGCTAATTTTTAACTTTCTTTTGTGGAGACAAAGTCTTGCTATGTTGACCAGGCTGGTCTCAAACTCCTAGCCTCAAGCAATCCTCCTAACCTTGGACTCCCAAAGCGCTGGGATTATAAGCATGAGCCACTGCACCAAGCCTATTCCTAATCTATTCCATTGGTCAATATGTCTGTCTTAATGCCAATACTGTTATTAACTTTCTTATGGTATCCTTTACCATTAAAAGGTCTTAATTTTTGTAAAATTAAATATGCCTCTTGTAATAGCTTCTGAGTTTCTTATCTTCACATTTCCTTTACCCTAGCTTGTATAACTAAACCTGGAGAATAACCTTAAGTATTTCTATAAGGCTTTGATCCATCTGGAATTTATCTTAAGATAGGAACCCAATTTTATTTTCTTCCAGATGGGCAGACAGTTGTACCAGCACCACTTATTAAATAATCTCCCCATTTCCCATTGAACTGTAATACTACCTTTATCTTTTATTAAATCTGCACATATACTGGATTTCTGGATTCTCTATTTTATTCCACCAATCTATGACAATACCATATTAATCTGATTACAGAGGCTAGATACAATATTTTGGTAACAAAAGACACACCTCCTCACTAATCCTTTTCATGGTTTCCCTGGCTACACTGTGGCTGTAATGGAAAACATAAGTTTTCCATTTTTATTTTGTTTCAACCTTTCAAAAAGTTTTACTTCTTTTCAAGGGGAGGAGTTTTAGTTCTTATTTCAAGGGGAGGAGTTTTAGTTCTTATTTTCTGATATTAACACCATTATTCACTTTTACTGTTTTAATGCATTTACCAGAACCTCTTAAGACAATACTGAATACAAATGTGATCATGGGCATCCCCAAGTCCCCATCAAGTTTCTAATTTTAATGCTCTTGACATTTAGGATATTTGCTGTAACTTCCCTCTATTCTTACTTTACTTATTAGAAATGGTCTTGATGGGCTGGGCATGGTAGCTCACATCTGTAATCCCAGCAATTTGGGAGGCTGAGGCGGGTGGATCACAAGATCAGGAGTTTAAGACTAGCCTGGTCAATATGGTGAAACCCCATCTCTACTAAAAATACAAAAATTAGCCAGGCATGGTGGCAGGCGCCTGTAGTCCCAGCTACTCAGGAGACTGAGGCAGGAGAATCACTTTAACCCGGGAGGCAGAGGCTGCAGTGAGCCAAGATTGCGTCACTGCACTCCATCCTGGCGACACAGCGAGACTCCGTCTCAAAAAAAAAAAAAAAGAAATGGTCTTGATGAACTATGGCTAATATTGTATTTAGAAATTTTGCATTTCTGGGCATAAGTGAGACTGTTCTTTTTTGGCAGCATTCCTTCCCTCCCCCCCCCCCCCGTGCTTGAATCAGGATTGGCAGCATTTATCAGAGATAAAATATGTGTGCTTCACAGAATGCATTGACTAGCTTTGCATTCTTCATCATGGAAAAGAGAGTTCCTTTTTATTATAATGATGTGTTGTTCTTCATAAATGAAACTCAGCTGTGAAATTATATGCTATGCTGCCTCTGTCAAGAACCAATCTTCCATCATTTTTTCAAACCTTTCATGGGGATTGGGCAATTAACATTTTTACTTCTTGGGTCAATTTTACTCATTGACATTTTGCTATAACAACATCCATTTTCTCTTGAAATAACTTTGACAGTATAGCATTACATGTATATTCTCAAGAAAATCTGCAAAAGATTCCATTAATGTCTCCTGTATTTGGGGTCTATGGTGTTTACTCATTCCCAATCTTGTACATTTTTATTCCATATCTTTTTCTTCTACAAGATGTTTATCTAGATCATTGGTATTTGCAAAGAACCAGATTTGGGATTTATTTATCTTCTCCACTATTTTTGTTCTGATCTGTTTTCAATTCCATTAATATCCATATCCTACTTGCCTTTGGTTGTATTTTTTTATGTTTTTTGTTTTGTTTGTTTTTTTTTTTGGAGACGGAGTCTCGCTCTGCTGCCCAGGCTGGAGTGCAGTGGTACAATCTTGGCTCACTGCAACCTCCACCTCCCAGGTTCGTACGATTCTCTTGTCTCAGCCTCCCAAATAGCTGGGACTACAGGCGTGTGCCACCACGACTGGCTAATTTTTGTATTATTAGTAGAGATGGGATTTCACCATGTTGGCCAGGCTGATCTCAAACTCCTGACCTCAGGTGATCCACTCTCCTCAGCCTCCCAAAGTGCCGGAATTACAGGCATGAATCACTGCACCCAGCCTGGTTTTATTTTCTTAATCCCTAAAGATGAGTACTGAGCGCTTTGTTTACTGAAAGTATTTAAGCTATGTATTTTCCTCTAAAGTAAAAATTCTGCATTTGCCAATGAAATGTAGATGTTCTTCTCACTGCTTTTTAGGCAATACTATTTTGCCTCAGAGGAAAGAAATGGGATCAGAGGATTGAAAAGAAACTTCCAAGATAAATATTTTTTTCTAAAATCTCAAGCAAAAAATAAGATTAAAATAAATTCTCTCTGCTGATAGCTGAGATGAAAAAAAGAATAAAACATAAATACATTCTCTCTGCTCTGCTATTAATTTTGCATTATCTAAACAATTTAATAAGAATTGGCTGGGCAGGGCCAGGTGCGATGACTGTAATTCCAGAATTTTGGGAGGCCGAAGTAGGTGGATCACCTGAGTTCAGGAGTCTGAGACCAGCCTGGCCAACATGGCAAAACCCCTTCTTTACTAAAAATACAAAAATTAGCCGTGCATAGTGGTGGGTGCCTGTAATCCCAGCTACTCGGGAGGCTGAAGCAGGAGAATCACTTGAACCCAGGAGGCAGAGGTTGCAGTGAGCCGTGATCACGCCACTGCACACCAGCCTGGGCAACAGAGCAAGGCTCCATCTCCAAAAAAAGAAAGAAAGAAAGAATTGGCTGGGCAGCCACGCATGACAGCTCAGGTCTGTAATCCCAGCACTTTGGGAGGCCAAGGCGGGAAGATCATTTGAGCTGACGAGTTCAAGACCAGCCTGGGCAACATGGTGAAACCCCATCTCTCTACAGAAAATAGAAAAATCAGCCCAGCGTGGTGGTGCACACCTGTAGTTCCACTGAGGCAGGAGAATCCCTTGAGCCCAGGAGGCAAAGGTTGCAGTGAGCCAAGATTGCACCACTGCACTCCAGCCTGTGCAACACAGCAAGACCCTGACTTAAAAAAGAAAGAAAGAAAGAAAGAAAGAAAGAAAGAAAGAAAGAAAGAAAGAAAGAAAGAAAGAAAAAGGAAAAGAATTAGTGCATGTAAACAAAGGCTAACAATTTGTCCCAAGGATATTTAGTATCCCGTATAATACAATGCTATCAAAATAGAAAACCCTTAGTATTTTCTTTGCCTAGTTTTACTCAGTTTATTTACTAAGGTAATAAAATCATTCTTTTATTCCTTTATTTGACAAATGTTTATTGAGGGTAGGGCATTCAGATATAGTAGGGTAAGACAATGGGAGTTCTTAGCTACTTCAATTTCTTCTCAAATTGTACACCAAAAGAAAGAAGGCATGTATGCTTCCATTCTTGTCTGATAATTTAATCACAGGAGATGAGTATTAGACATTAGAAAAAAACAGAAAATGGTTGTATATGGAAATGCTATTGTCCAATCCACAGAAGTAGATTTTGCAAAACTAAGACTCCTGTAGAAGCTTGTGACTTACAAGTTGGAAATCACAAAGAGTGCACAAGATTTTATCTGTTTGTCCTTATCTTTGTAATCTTGTATCTGGCAGCTTTTTCCTCTATCTGCCACACTAACTGGACTACTGGAAGTTTTCTCACCAATAATGATGGCAGCAACACCAACTGAAAATTTTTCCAGATGAAAACGACTGCACTCACGCTCTATGATGTACAGCTCCGGTGGCTAAATTGCTCATCTGCATTAAAGTAAATGCAAAACTGCTTCTGGGCTGGGCATGGTGGCTCGCACCTGTAATCCCAGCACTTTAGGAGACTGAGGCGGGAGGACTGCTTGAACCCAGGAGTTCAAGACCAGCCTGGGCAACACGGCAATACCCTGTCTCTACCCCAAAAAAATACAAAAATTACCCAGGCCTGGTGGCATGCCCCTGCAGTCCCAGCTATTCAGGAGGCTGAGGTGGGAGGATCACCTGAGCCCAGGAGGCAGAAGTTGCATGCAGTGAGCTGTGATTGCACCACTGCACTCCCGCCTGAGTGACAGAGCTAGGCCTTGTCTCAAAAACAAAACAAAACTGCTTCTGAAGATATTACCTTTTTTTTTTTGAGACGGAGTCTTGCTCTGTCGCCCAGGCTTGAGTGCAGTGGCGCGATCTCAGCTCACTGCAAGCTCCACCTCCCGGGTTCACGCCATTCTCCTGCCTCAGCCTCCTGAGTAGCTGGGACTACAGGCACCCGCCATCACACCCAGCTAATTTTTTGTATTTCCAGTAGAGATGGGGTTTCACTGTGTTAGCCAGGATGGTCTCGATCTCTTGACCTCGTGATCCGCCCACCTCGGCCTCCCAAAGTGCTGGGATTACAGGCTTGAGCCACCGCGCCGCGCCCGAAGATATTACTTTTAAGGGGAGAATATTTTCGTAGTACAATCTCCAAATTCCAGGTTGAAATTCTGACCCCTTATCCTAATAGAAGATAATCAATCAGCTATTCAAATTTTAATATTAGGAAAAGTATAGGGAACCATGTTATTAGTACAATTTTTTTTTTTTTTGAGACAGAATTTCACTCTGTCGCCCAGGCTGGAGTGCAGTGGCGCAATCTCGGCTCACTTGCAACTTCTCCCTCCCAGGTTCAAGCAATTCTCATGCCTCAGTCACTTGAGTAGCTGGGATTACAAGCATGTGTCACCACATCCAGCTAAATTTTTGTATTTTTAGTAGAGACGGAGTTTCACCGTGTTACCCAGACTGGTCTCAAACTTCTGGCCTCAAGTGATCCACCCACCTCGGCCTCCCAAAGTGCTGGGATTACAGGAGTGAGCCACTGCGCCTGGCCTTAATATAATAATTACACATCAGGACATAGTTGGTAACCTAAGGAGCTTTTAATATTGAGAAACTGCCTGAATTCCATTGCCTAGTCTATTCCAAAAAGTAAAGCTCTTCATAAAAAGTCAGATTCACATTACAGAGAAAAAAAATTATGTCAGAAGGATTGGTAGCTATTTAATAGTTACATATAAGATTAATATGAATGCAGGAGGTCTTCACTAGCAGGTGTCAGAACTGCTCAATATTTTTAACAATAACCTGGATAAAGCTACAGAAGGCAGGCTAGTAAAATATAAACTTAAAATTATAAAAATAAGTTTTTAAAGAAAAATTAAACTATTTTTTAAAATAAGCTAAAATTGGCTGGGCGTGGTGGCTCACACCTGTAATCCCAGCACTTTGCGAGGCCGAGGCCGGTGGATCACCTGAGGTCAGGAGTTCATTACCAGCCTAGCCAACATGGTGAAACCCTGTCTCTACTAAAAACACAAAAAATTAGCAGGGCGTGGTGGTGTGCGTCTGTAGTCCTAGCTAGCTGGGAGGCTGAGGCATGGGAATTGCTGGAACCCGCGAAGAGGAGGTCGAAGTGAGCCAAGATCATGCCACTGCACTCCAGTCTGGGTGACAAGAGCAAAACTCCATCTCAAAAAATAAAAAATAAAAAAAATTAGCTAAAATTAACAGGACGAAATTTAATAATGATGGATGTGATATTCGACATTGGGATTCAAAGAATCAACCATATAAACTGAGACCAAAAAAGGGGGTCAGGTATTTGGATTCTAGACCCTTGAAGAAGTAGCAATTCCTACTCAATTAATCAACAGAACACTAGGTTTCAAGGTTTCAGAATAAAAAGAGTAACCAGTCTTGCTGGGTATGGTGGCTCACACCTGTAATCCCAGCACTCTGGGAGGCAGGGGCATGAGGATCGCTTGAGGCCAAGAGTTCAAGACCAGCCTAGGCAACAGAGTGATACCCACCCCCCATCTTTACAAAAAAAAAATAATAATTTTTTAATTGAATAGAGTGGTGAAAAGGGGAAAAAATAATAGCCAATCTTAATGTTCGCATAAAATAAGTAGATTATATCTGGAATACAGTATTTTATTTAAGAAGAATACTAAAAGCTACAGAATAAGAGTGCCTCTCATAGAAAACCTTAAAAGAAATAATTTGAAAACTGTATCTTATAAGATAGCACTGTACTAAGAGTAAAGTTTCTGGAGCAAGGCTCCACTATCTCCTAGATTTGGGACCAGTGGTAAGTTTCTTCTCTTTGCCTTAGCTCCCTCATCTAAAACACTGATCTAATTACAAATATCTACTTTCTAGAGTTTTGGAGAAGATTAATATATAATATTTTAAACTAATTATATAATTACACATAATACGTTAATATATAATTACATATTATATATTAGTATATATAAAATACTTAGAAGAGGGTGATATAGTAAGTACTCAGTAAATGTCAACCATTACGAACTGAAAGCATGGATGTTTAAACAGCAGAAGGCAAAAGATGCCAGGACTTGATACACATGTTCCAATTGAACATGATGACCAAAGGGATCCTTTCTTTTCTGTGCAACTTGAGAAAGTCAGAACAGCATATTCAATCAACGGTGAAGACTTCGGTTCAAATACAGATGAACTTTCATGGAAGGAGCATGTTCCCCATAATTGTTACACAGAGGTTGGGTAACTGTCAGAGGTGCTTCAAAGGACAGCAAGCACTTTGCACTAAAAACTCAGAATTGAATTAAGATTCTATGATTATAAAAAAATTGATTTGTCTTTCAACAGTTTCAATCTAGACTATGGTTCCACGAGTACTAGTCCAGCAGTACCATATGAAATATTACACTTTAGCAAAAATACAATGAAGGAATAAGCTTATGGCTTATCTTTCCATATTTATCATGGAAGAAAATTGCTACCCAATAAAAGCAAGCCAAAAAAACTGATGAATGGAAGGAAGTTATCAATGAAGAGTGCAACAACAAGCAGAAAAGTTTATTTTATTCTCAATCCATAGTAAGTGCTCAGGGAGACTTTTCACAAAAGAAATCAGCTGACAAGCATTTTAAATAACTGTTTCTTTCCCTTTAAACAAATATTCTGAGAATAAAATCATTCAAACCTCTGTGAGGATTTGAAGATCCCACAAAGTCCTATAATACTTACCTAATCATTCTTAATTTTCATTCAAAACCACAACACAGAAAAAGAAATGTAGTGCTAATCTTTTTATTTCTCTTTTACTAGAAAATCTGTCTCATTGATCCTTAAGAGTCTAATTAATGAGAGCCTTAAGGCTATTAAAAGAAATACGCAGTCTTCTAACTGAGTTCTCTGGCTACAACCTATGTGTTCTACAATCTATTCTTAACATTACCACTATTAATAATACCAAAGTATAGCTCCAATCTGGCAATCTTCATTCCAAATAACATCCTCTAAATGAGATTTGTAAATATTAATTAGCATTTCCTATAAAGATTTTTAAAAATCTGTCCAATAATGAATGGCAAAATATGGTCAATTCTAGCCTTATCTCGTTGAAATAATTTTGAGAAATATTGGAAGAGAGAGGAAATAGAAATGAATTAATGAATATGACAGAGTTCTAACAGAGTCTCAAATAAGCTGATGATAATTTTCACTCTAAGTCTCACTTTTGAGCAAGATGAAGAGTTAATATACTGGCATTACGGAACAGTCATTAAAAATATTCATGTAAACCACATAGAAACATGGAAAAACCTAAATCTTCAGTTCAGCTTGTGAGCAAAAAGAAAAAAGAAAGAAAGAATATGAGAAAACAAATGCTATCACCATATTCAAATGAGAACCACCATAAGAAAAATTATCAATTCTTTTATTGTTTACCAGACTATAATATTGATTTTAAAACTAATCAAAACTGATTCATCTAAACACAGTAATGCTTCCATAAAAAATATAAGAAATTCCAGCCAGACATGGCAGCTCATGCCTGTAATCCCAGCACTTTGGGAATCCAAGGTGGGAGGGTCACTTGAGGTCAGGAGTTTGAGACCAGCCTGGCCAACATGGTGAAACCCCCATTTCTACCAAAAAATACAAAAATTAGCTGGGTATGGTGGCGTGCGCCTGTAATCTCAGCTACTCCAGAGGCTGAGTGGTGAGAACTGCTTGAACGCAGGAGGTGGAGGTTGCAGTGAGCCAAGATCGCACCACTGCACGCCAGGCTGGGCAAGAGTGAGACCCTTTCACAAAAAAGTAAAATATATAAGAAATTCCTCTTCTAGGATTTTATAAAAGTTAAAACCTGTGGGAAATGGTCTTATTTTAGGTCACATTCAGCCCTATAGTTTCACCACATTACTGTATTTCAGGACTGTGATAAGCCCTGGGGGATAGAAATTAATTTAACAAATGCTTATAATCCAGCATGGGCCAGACATTATAAGTTTGTGGGGATGGCAGCATTGTTCAAGTCTCCACCCTGCTTTCCTTTTGAATGACTGGTCATCAACACTCTTATCATCACTCTCCTGAATACTATGCAATTTTTTCACTTTCCTTAAAAAACTAATTTGAAAGTCAGTGTCCTTCTGTCAACCCTTCTTTTTCACAAGTTAACTAACTTTTAAACCTCAGTACCATCTTAGATCCCTCCTTACTTTTTTCATTTACTTTTTTTGAAATGGGAGGCTCTCTATATTGCCCAGGTTGGACTTGAACTTCTGGGCTCAAGCAAATCTCCTGTTTCAGCCTCCCAAGTGACTGAGACTACAGGCTCAAGCCACAGCACCTGGCTCCCCTCCTCACTTTCTATCAGTTTCTAAATTCGGCATTTTTTTTTTTAACCACATTTCATCTCACATTTCTTCTAGGTCTCTATCTAAATTGAGGCTTTTATTTCACATCTGGATTATTCAATGAGAATGCCTGTTAAGACACAGAGTTGATACCTGGACCATCTCCTTTCAGCTCACTTCAATGTTTACTTGTAGCTGGTATGCACAGTTAACACACTGACAACTTCCCATCTCAACTACTTCTCTCCTCAGCTCTCCAGCACCTCAGGAGCTTGCCAAGCCCTACCTAACCAGTGTACCTGGGAAGTTCTGGGAGCCTTTTAGATAAAGGCAATCTTTATCAGTGAGGATTGACTGTAGATGGAAAACCACCCAGCTCCCCTTCATTTGGGGCAGTTATACAAAACTCTGAGGCAGTTATACAAAAATCTCCAAAGGCTTAAGCAGCCTCCAGTTGGCCTTCCACTATTAACCTTTTTTCCTCCTTCTCTGATTCTACCTGCTTCCTCACTTGTGCTTTATAGCATCTCACCTGCACCCATGTCATCTCAGGTCCAAGTTCAAGATGCACTTCAGAGAAACCATAAGGGCTACAAAAATAATGGTCACAATCTAGCTTAACATAAAGCCACCCCAGCAGTCTTCCAGTCTCAATCTTCTAACAGTTACAGCTCATTTTCCTTTCATGTGGATCACATACCTCTTCTGATCAAACACCTTCAGTGAAGTCTTTCATAATTTGTCTTCTTTATCTATTATTAACTTACATAAACTATGAATATCAGCCACATTGTTCTACCGATGTTTTCTCAAATGTAAGTTGTACCCTTCAAGGAGCTCATTAATCTGTTCACATTACAAATATCCTCCAATATTTACCTTTCAAAGCTCACTCATCTCAAATACTACCTTCACCAAGCCCCAATCACAAGTAATGTCTACCTCACCTAAATTCCTAAGGAACTTTTATAAAAACTCATAAGGCATTTACTGTTGTGTAAAAAATTGCCTCACTTGACTACAAGTTCTTTGAAGGCAGAAACCACGTTTCATTCTTTTTGTTTTCCAAAGGGCCTTGTCCTGGTAGACTCAAAATATTGACCTAACTTAACCTTCTGAACATTTGACAGCATGATTTATTTTGATATACATATTGTTTCTTAAAGACTAGTTCTCAGTATACAATATAGCACATAATTCATGTGCCTTTTTATAGATAGTTAAAAGCAACTGTACTCATCTCACACTCTTTGGAGTTTTCCCACTTATCAAAATGTTCCTGCAGACACATGTACACTTTTAAAGTTTAAAAACTACACTAAATAGAGCTGTTACTTATTCCCTTCCTTTTTAGAAATGGTTACATTTCACATTTCTCACCAAAAATCTTTCAGCATTTTATGTACTTCATTTTCTTGTGAAGAGTCCACAGTCTTGTCATATGTTATAGTTCACAGTGCTCCAATCTTAATCTATCTGAATTCCCAATCTGTATCAAAAGCTGCTTTGGCAACATTATTTCAGGCTTTACGAAATTCTGATCCTTACACAATCTTGAAATG
Organism: Homo sapiens; assembly: GCF_000001405.40. Classification (NCBI taxonomy): domain Eukaryota; kingdom Metazoa; phylum Chordata; class Mammalia; order Primates; family Hominidae; genus Homo; species Homo sapiens. Next base: position 77,757,806 of record NC_000001.11, read on the forward strand.
TTTCTGTCATGGGGAAAGACTTTATTTCTTGGCATTCGGAGCTCAGAGGACTGGCATGAGGATCAAGTAAGACTGTGTAAGTGAAAGGTCACAGAAAATTCTAATACTACTACATAAATGTAAGAATTATCATCTCAATTCTGAATTTCAAATATTTAAAATCACCTATTTACTACAATCTAATGTCATTAAACTGCAGTTATATAAAAAGACTTGCTTACTGTTAAGTTATAAAAAGTTCAGAAAAGACAGAAAAAAAGTGAAACTGGCCATAAACCAGATCATAAATAGGAAGCAATCTTAAGTAGACTATCCCTCTTGCACATATCAGGTCAAATATTTTATTCCAATAATATTTTTTGTACTGTCCTTTTTTTTTTTTTTTTTTTTTTTGAGACAGAGTCTCGCTCTGCTGCCCAGGCTGGAGTGCAGTGGCATGATCTCGGCTCATTGCAAGCTCTGCCTCCCGGATTCACGCCATTCTCCTGCCTCAGCCTCCCAAGTAGCTGGGACTACAGGCACCTGCCACCATGCCCGGCTAATTTTTTGTAATTTTTAGTACAGACGGGGTTTCACCGTATTACCCAGGATGGTCTCGATCTCCTGACCTCGTGATCGTCGGCCTCCCAGAGTGCTGGGATTACAGGCGTGAGCCACCGTGCCCAGCCCTGACCTTTCTTTCAATCCTGCCAAAGTAATGAAATAATACAAAGCTCCTAGCATTGTGTAACTATTTCTATTATTTTTTCATAAAACTAGCATTGTCTTTAAGATTCCTATTTTCTCTCTTATTTATAATAGTATGAATTCACTAACAATATTTGTATTATGCTCAAATCAAATAGCCTATGACGATAATGTGACTTGGTCAGACCTTTCCAAATAAGACAGTAGGAAAAACGGAACTAGGACGGCCTTGTTACTTTTTGTAACACGTTTTTCTTAAAGGAAAAATAATCTGATTAAACTTAAAAATTCTCTACATCCACATAGTTATTAAGCAAAAGGCCTAGAGATCGTTACGGTAAAATTCACCTTCAATTTAAGTCTATGCTCCTGCCAGAATTTCACCCTCTGGCTCAATTTTCCAGGCCTAATACTGATTCTATGAGAATGTAAACTCCAACGGTACTTGAGTGCAAAACACCCAGGAAAATCTCATCGTCCAAGAGCTCAACGTAAAACCCTGTAAATATTCAAATGAAGAGCGTTTTGTATACGAGAAATATAAGTAAAGGTCTGGGAAACCACACACTATGGATCTTTCATCCAAACAAAGGCTGCAGATGGACAGAAGGTAAGGGGTAACCTCTCAGTCAAGATCAAACATTGGTCGAAGAAAAATTCCAGGGACGATGACACCTCGGTTTTTCCGTTCACAACAACAAACAACGGGGCCGGCCCCCTCAACAGCGCCGAAAAGCGAAACCAGAACCCAGGAGCCGGCGCGCTGCAGGGCTTTCAGTCACCCACTGAGAGGGACTGGCAAGCCTGAGTGGGGAGACCGAGGAAGGGAGCAGAGCCCCCGCTTCTCGGGCTCACCTGCACCTCCCGCTTCCAGGGAAGAACCCCTGAGGACCCTTCCTCAAATCAACGACCGGTTCCCATCCTCCACCGACCGTTGACAGGGCGACCACTAGATTATCTCTGCAACGCAGAGCACCGAGGGGCCAAGGCCTTCTTCCCGCCCGCGAACCCGCCGCCACCCAGGACCAAGAAAAAGAGGCTGCTGCAGCGGCCGCAACCCCAGCGCGCGGAAGCGAGAACAGAGACCGGACCCCGGACGCGAGCGAAACGCCCTTGGGCCCCGCGCCCCTCCCAGCAGCGCCGCGCTCACCTCCACGGCCTGGCCCGCGGGACCCGCCAGCTCGACCAACAACGGCCTGCAGCCGCACCTCCGCAAGCTCCTCTTTTCCTTCTCAGCTCTCGGAGAGGGGCAGTGTCGCGTCAGGAGGGCCGGAAAACGGCCCCGCAGCGCTGCCCTCGGGGGGTCCGCCTCCTGAACTGGCCACTTCCCGCAGCAGCCGCGGCTCCTTCCGGTGTCTCCGGGGCCGCCGCAGGCGTCTCCGGCGATAGGGGAGGTGGGGGCGGAGCCTCGATGGGAGCCCGCCCCAGGGGCGGGGCCACGGGAGCCAGGCCCAGGTGCGGGGACCCAGGCCGGCTCCCTACTCTGACTGCAAACTAACTGTACAGGGTATGTGCAGCAGTTTGAGGCTGTGAGCTTTTTTTTTTTCGTTTTTCACATGTTTTCTCCTTCTCTTTCACAGTCACACACTACGACCATTATAAGGTCTTGTCTCGATGCATTACAAAAACTGCATTAAGGCTGGCCACTGAAGGGCCTCAGGTTTCCAAACTTGAGCAAAGAAATATTAGACTTAACTTATCCCAATTCAACATTGTATTTCCTCCTTTCATCTTTCTTCCCCCAACTTCTTAGGACCTAGATTCTCTGAAAGCAATTATGTTTCCCTTTTCCACCTATGCAAAGAAGAAATTTATCTCACCATTTTCTCCTTAGGCTAAAATCAAGAGGATCAAATCAAATATTTATTGAAACCTTAGTATCTGCTTAATGCCTGGAGCATGGAAGGAGTCCTGCCTTCTAATTATGTAACTGTTAAAATGCACTCGATTGAGGTTCAAATCTATGAATAAAAAAGGTTATATTAATAAAAAATTGTTAAAATTGCCAGTTTCAATCTGTCTCATGACATCTGACTTTTTGGTCTCCAAAATGGGAGCATGTACCAAAGTATCATGCAAGATGCTCAGTCTCCATTGGAATAGGTAGAAAATATAAAAGCTTCTACTTATTTTTATGGTAAAAATGAAATAAATTAACCATGATACAAAATTCTAGGTAGGGATTGACACTCAGGCCTCAATTTGCACCACAAATGATTGCCTATCCTCGGTTCACTGAGGAGAATAGAAATTTCACAGAATAGAAGTTTCACAGGCAGGCGCCATGGTTCATGCCTGTAATCCCAGCACTTTGGGAGGCCGAGGCGGGTGAATCACTTGAGTTCGAGACTAGCCTGGGCAACATGGCGAAACCCCATTTCTACTAAAAATACAAAAATTCGCCAGGCATGGTGACAGGCACCTGTAGTCCCAGCTACTCAAGAGGCTAAGAGTGGAGGATCACTTGAGACCAGGAGTTTGAGGTTGCAGTGAGCCATGATTGTGCCACTGCACTTCAGCCTGGGTGACAAAGTGAGATATTCTCTGGGAAAAAAAAAAAAAGATGCCGTTAGGAGATGAAAAGTTGTCTCCAGCCGGGCACAGAGCCTCACACCTGTAATCCCAGCATTTTGGGAGGCCAAGGCGGGTGGATTACCTGAGGTCAGGAGTTCAAGACCAGCCTGACCAACATGGTGAAACCCCCATCTCTACGAAAAATACAAAAATTAGCCAGGTGTGGTGGCGCGTGCCTGTAATCCCAGCCACTCAGGAGGCTGAGGCAGGAGAATTACTTGAACCCAGGAGGCAGAGGTTGCAGTGAGCCAAGATAGAGCCACTGAACTCCAGCCTGGGCAACAGAGGAGGACCCTGTCTCAAAAAAAAAAAAAAAAAAAAAAAAAGCTGTCCACAGAGGAGATCTACAGAAGAAAAAAAAAGAAGAGAGACAGAGAGAGAAGAAAAGTTAGGCCAGCAAATAGAATTTATTTGAAATACATATAATTGAAAAGGGGCTCAACTCCATATGTATTTCCAGAAATCAATTTTTAAAAAAACAGGCGACCAAATAGAAAAATAGACAAAAGTCACTTCCCCAGAAATTCTTCTATTGAAAATGTATCAGGGGTATTCTGTTCTTACAGTGTCCTAGCAAATTCAATTCAGCCTCCAAGTCCCACCACCATCCTGCTTAGTAACCAAGGTTCTCTCTGGGCTTACCTGTCCTGGAGGAGTTCTAGGGCAGTGTCAATGCAAGGAAGACAACTGACAAGGCTGTTCAAGATCACCAGGTGCGGTGGCTCATGCCTGTAATCCCAGCACTTTGGGAGGCCCAGCAGGGCAGATCACCTGAGATCGGGAGTTTGAGACTAGTGCGTAGATAATAGTAGGCAAGTACTTCTCAGGTGGACACCAAGTGAAGTCCTTGCAGTGGACAAGTTCTCACAAAACAAACTCACTCTGATAGAATATAATGTAATACCTCTCCCACTTTTAACTTCCGTGAATTCCTGCCTCCCACCCTTGGGTGTTTATCCTTTCATCCCACAGTCCAGATTGCTTATCTTTTACTTTTCTTCAAACAATATCTCCTGATGGCTTATAATGGCTTATAAGGAAGAACACTATCATTAGGAAATAAATCAATCAACTTCCCCTTGAGAGAATAGATTATACATTCCAAAGTGTGGACACCCAGCTGAGTCACTGATTCTGGAGTAGAATTCTAGAGGGTGTGTGGACACCCAGCTGAGTCATACTGATTCTGGAACAGAATTCTAGAGGTGCCGTTCATGGAGAATATAATGTAAATAGTATGACTTAGAGTTGTGCATCAGGCCAGGTACTGAAGTCTCTTCTAATGAAAGGGAGAAAAAAGAAGAAATGAAGAGTAGGAAGAAAAAGAAGAAAAGAAGTCTCTTCTAATGAAAGGGAGAAAAAAGAAGAAATGAAGAGTAGGAAGAAAAAGAAGAAAAGAAGGAGAGATACAAACAGGGAGGGAGGAAGACAATTGAATGGTCCTATCAAAAACAAATACCTTCTCATTTTTGTAACTGAGTAATGGCAAGTAAAAAATAGCAACGTAGAAAATATACATTTTGGTGCTTATGTACCTGAGACTAAATAAAGCTTTGTAAATGCTGTTTCCTTAGAGACAATTTTACAGATACTCCCAACCTCTATCCTTCCTTCACCTGGCTAACTCCTACCTAGATATTCTCTGTTTAATACAGAACTCTTTACCCCATTATTTCCGGTTTCAGCATCCTGCTTGCTTCCTTTAGAGAATGTATTATAATTTGTAATTATCTTAAATTTTTTGGTATACTTAATTTTTTGCCTGTCTCTCCTGAACTCCTCAATGGGAGCAGTGAGTATTTATCTTATTCACAATATTCCCAGAGCCTAGCATTGAAGGACTCAAAAACTTGTTGGCACTCAACTGGGGGTGGTTTTGTCCCCTGAGTGGATAGTTGGCAATATTTCTGAAGAGGATTGGTGGGAGAAAGAATTAGTAACATTCCTTTGCATTGATATTACAAGAGAGTCCCAGACATCATTAATGCCACTATTGAGAAACTCTGATTTAAGCTGGGGCTTTAAAATATGTCTTTGGGCCGGGCCCAGTGGCTCACGTCTGTAATCCCAGCACTTTGGAAGGCCGAGTTGGGCGGATCACCTGAGATCAGGAGTTCGAGACCAGCCTGGCCAACATGATGAAACTCCATCTCTATCAAAAATACAAAAATTAGCTGGGTGTGGTGCAGGTACCTATAATCCCAGCTACTCGGGAGGCTGAGGCAGGAGAATCGCTTGAACCCGGGCGGCGGAGGTTGCAGTGAGCTGAGATGGCACCACTGCATTCCAGCCTGGGCAACAAGAGCAAAACTCTGTCTCAAAGTAAAATAAAATATGTTTCTGGGCAGGGCGCAGTAGCTCATGCCTGTAATCCCAACACTTTGGAAAGCTGCGGCTGCTTGAGACCAGAGTTCAAGACCAGCCTGGGCAACATGGCGAAACCCTGTCTCTACAAAAAATTGCAACAATTAGCCGGGCATGGTGGATCATGCCTGTAGTCCCAGCTACTATGGAGGGTGAGGTGAGAGAATCACTTGAGCCCAGGAAATTAAGACTGTCATGAGCCATGACTGTGCCACCCCTCTCCAGCCTGGGCAATAGGAGTGAGACCCTGTCTCTCAAAAAACAAAAACAAGAACAAAAAAAAAAGAAAGAAAGAAAAGAAAAATATATTTTAAAACAAATCTTAGGCAAAGCATTTTTGCTTTTCCGCTCACTGTCACATAATTAAAAAGTCCACCAGGCCAGGTGTGTTGGCTCATGCCTATAATTCAACACTTTTCAAAGCCAAGGTGGGAGGATCAGTTGAGCCCAGGAGTTCGAGACCAGCCTGGTTAACAAAGTGAAATTCTGCCTCTACAAAAAATTTTAAAAAATAATACCAGGATACGATGGCACATGCCTGTAGTACAGCTACTCCAGAGGCTGAGGCAGGAGGATCCCTTGAGCCCAGGAGTTTGAGACTGCAGTGAGTGAGCTATAATCGTGCCACTGTACTCCAGCTTGGTGACAGAGCAAGAGCCTCTCTGTCAGAAAAAAAAAAAAAAAAAGTCCTCCAGTAATTTTCTAGTAATAAAAAAAAGTGGCCTTTTGCCCCTAGTATTAGAAAAAAATCCTGTCCAGTGCAATATCAAAAATTCTCTGCCATTTCCTCTACCTTGTTCTCCCTTCTCCCTGGCTTATTGGCTTTTTGTTTTGTGCCCCTCCACAGTTGAAGAAGACAAGAACAGAAAGGATCTTTCTGGACTGACACAGTTTTAGCAGTCAGTGACTTTTGGGAGTGGCTGAGGTCTGAAGCTGACTCTTTCTCTCATGGAGTCCATCACTGGAACCCTCACCTACAGTCTCTTGGCTCAGCAATGTATCTTCTGGATGGCCACCTATGACCTAGTCCTTAGTCCCCTGATTTCCAGGGATCCTCTCACCCAAACTGACAGTCCTTTTGGACAGACATTTTCAAGGTGACCCAGTCCAAATCTCTTACATGAGGTTCTCACTTAGTCCACAAAAAGCATACAAGTATCTTGCACAGAAGTGTGAACTGTTCCCAATCAGCCCTATATGCATTTTGTGTGTGTGTGAAAGTCTCGCTGCAGTGCAGTGGCACAATCCTGGCTCACTGCAACCTCTGCCTCCTGGGTTCAAGTGATTCTCCTGCCTCAGCCTCCCGAGTAGCTGGGACTACAAGCAGGCACTACCATGCCCGGCTAATTTTTGTATTTTTTTTTTTTTTAGCAGAGACGGGGTTTCGTCATTGTTGGCCACGCTGGTCTTGAATTCCTGACCTCAAGTGATCTGCCTGCCTCAGCCTCCCAAAGTGCTGGGATTACCGGCATGAGCCTCCATACCCAGCCCCTATATGCATCTTCTGCTCAGAGGCGGCCTCAGTCTCTTGATTTAGAACTTTTCAAATGTACATCAGTTACCAGATATCATCTCTGTAAGATTCAAGGGGCACATCTCATCTTTTCCAAATGGTTCTCTTGAAGCCCCTCAGACTTGGCTTGAGATGAGACAGAAGCACCTATTTCCCCACCCATCATGGAGGTATCTTAACTTAAGATGTGTAATTTGGCACTGACATTTGAAGTCTCTGCCAAGAATCTGTTATCATCTATTCACTCTTAGAGTAACGATTCAGGTTACCCTAGCTCAAAGTTTCTAAAAAATGACGCGACACGGACATTTTGGATTAAATAATTCTTTGTTGTGGAGGGTGGTTCCTGTGCACTGAAGGATATTTAGCAGCATCTTTAGTCTTTACCTACTAGATCCCAGCAGCACCTCCTCCAGTGATAACAAACAAAAATGTCTCCAAACATTGCCAAAAGTCACCCAAGGGGCAAAATCACACCCAGTTGAGAATTGGTGCTCTAGTTTAGGCTAGTGCTTCTCAGAGTTTTCTTAGATTATCAGATCAGGTCATTTAGAAAATTATAATACACTGGGATCAATAGACAAGGATGCTTGCTGTTAGAGGTTTCCAGCAGGGATCACTGCCTTGGCATACCTGTAAGCCACTTGAAGCCCATAGGTGAACTGGGATACAGAATTTGGATGCCCTAACTTTGGCAAAAAGGAGGTTTACTGGCTTATAGAATCCAAGGAATGATAGCTAGAACCAGGGACTCAAACATTGCAAGGGCTTTCTAATCTCTTTACCACTCCCTTTTTTTTTTTTTTTTTTTTTGAGGTAGGGTATCGCTGTGTCACCCAAACTGAAGTGCAGTGGCACAATCATGGCTTACTGCAGCCTTGACCTCCTGGGTTCAAGCAATCTTCTCGTCTCAGCCCCCCAAGAAGCTTGGACTACAAGTGCACTCCACCACGCCTGGCTAATTTTTGTATTTTTTATAGAGATGGGTTTTCGCCATGTTGCGCAGGTTGGTTTCATACTCCTGGGCTCAGGTGGTCTGCCTGCCGTGGCGTCCCAAAGTGCTGGGATTACAGGTGTGAGCCACAGTACCTGGCCCGTCACTCACTTTCTAATTTGCCATCTTATAGTTTTCTCCAAAAGCAGAGTTCCCGGTTTAAAAAAAATCCCAAAGAAGGGATTTACTATCTTCACCTGGGTCCAGTGCCTGTCCAAGAGCATTCAGCCAGAGGGTCAGTGTCATGGAAGAACAGGGCACCTTCCATGACAATCAAGTAGATGAATGGAAGACACAATATCATAGATAGCCAATACTGGCTTACAGGCCAAGAAAAATTTCTTACTTGGCCCACCTCGCACTCCCGAAGTGCTAGGATTATAGATGTAAGTCACTGTGCCTCGCTGAACACAGGCCTTTTTTTGGAGTAGCACAGCATTCTCATAACTACTGAGGCAATGCAGTGAAAATATGCTCTAGGTCATTTTCCAGCTTCAGATCTCCAGATTTTACCATTTTCACAATCTTTTCAAGCCTCAATTTCTTGATCTTAAAAATGGCAATAATTTTTTTAATAACAGCTTTATTGAGATATATACACATACCATACAATTCATCCATTTAAAGTCTACACCTCAATGGTTTTCAAGTGTACACTTCCAGAGGAGGAGAGACATTTTTGGCAGAGGGAGGAGAATAGGCAAAGGCACATCAGCAAGAAAGAATATACTGCAATTGGGAACTTACAAGGGGTCAGTATTGCTAAGTAAAGATTGAGAGCAGGGGATAGGGGAAAAGACTATACAAGAGAGGCAGATCATAAGTGGCCTTGTCTGCTAAGTAGTTTTTCTTCTAAGGATACAAATAACTTTGGGAAAGAAAGCAACACAATGAGATTTACATATTGGATTACTTGGATGGTAATGACTGAAATAGAGTAGAGACAGGCTACTTATTGTAGAATCCAGACAAGGGAAGGTAAGGGCCTAGCAGTGGAGATGGTAATGAGAGTTACTTAGGAGTCTAAAATAACAGACTTTTAATTGACTGCATGGGAGATGGAGCCTAGGAGGGCTCCTCTGTACAGATCCTCTAAATTCTTACCTGGGTTATTTTAATAGCTTCCTCACATGTCTTTCCGACTCTATTCTCAGTCTCCTTTAGTCCAATGCCATACTTCTAAACATAACTTTCTAAAACCTGTATCTAGTCATGTAAGTCTTCAATGACTCTTCCCTGCTCCCAAAGAGTTTTTTTCTCACCAAGGTCCTAGGATGAGGCAAATAAGTTGCCTAGAATGCAATATCTAAGAACCCTATATTTGCAGGAACCAGCAAATACTTCTAACTGTATGCCCTAGGCACCTTGCTTGCTTCCTAGGTCCTCATGGCCTTAGTTTGACCCAAATTTACTCCACCTACCTAGTATTTTGCTATGCCCAATCAAACACCCTGTCCTCAAGCTACTCTAACTTATATTTCGTTTTTCTGAAAGGCAAAACATTTGCTTGTGCCTCTCCTACTTAGTGCAACTTTACTTATACAGGGAATGCCTTTTCTCTCAAAAGTGAACTCCATTCCATTCATCCTTTAAAGGGACACCTTCTGGGGCAGCCATGTTCAACCCTTTGAATGCAACAACTTTTTTGCTGATCCATGGTGGTGGATATCATGAAAATTATGCACGGAACTTTTTTTTTTTTTTTTTTTGAGACAGAGTTTCACTCTTGTTGCCCAGGCTGGACTGCAATGGCGAGATCTCGGCTCACTGTAACCTCTGCCTCCCGGGTTCAAGCGATTCTCCTGCCTCAGCCTCCCGAGTAACTGTGATTATAGGCGCCCACCACCACACCCAGCTAATTTTTTTTATATTTTAGTAGAGACGGGGTTTTACCATATTGGCCAGGCTGGTCTCTAACTCCTGACCTCAGGTGATCCACCCACCTCAGCCTCCCAAAGTACTGGGATTACAAGCGTGAGCCACTGCATCTGGCCTTCACGGAACATTTTTTTTTTTTTTTTTTAGCTCATCAGCTATCGTTAGTGTTAGTATATTTTATGTATGGCCCAACGCCATTCTTCTTCCAGTGTGGCCCAGGGAAGCCAAAAGGATGGATACCCGTGTCCTAGGGGAAGCCTCTTCTGACTTTTCTGTGCTGTGTGGGCCTTTCCTTGCATTCTGTACCATGTTCCTTAGTGATTATTACTGCTGCTTGATTATACAATATAACCTGTAATGTCATTATTACACATAGCAGTGATTTGTTCACTTTTCCATTTCCTGAACCAAGCTGTGGGCAGGAATTTTTCTTACTCATTCTAGTATTTCCAGCTTTCAGCACACCACAAGGCACGATGTAAGAAATGAACAAATCAATAAACCTATTACTGAAAAAGACGAATGAATGGGAAAATATGAAAGAATTACAAGATACATTTTTTAACTTAGAGAAGCAGTAATTTTCTTGTACTTCTCAAAATTTCCATCATTTAAATGTATACACAGCAGATGCAGCTCTTTTTAAAAAATAAGTTTAGAAATGACACACGGTTTTCTAGGGTTTTGAAGTCGTAAGATTTTTTAGAAATGCAAAATATGAACTCTTGTTTCTTGGTAGTTTAATTTAAATTTTATGTTCTTTATGTTAAAGTAACTTTAGAATAAACTTACTTGCCTAAACTCTTACTTGAAAAATCTCTGTGGTGTCTATTAGTTATTTTACATTTTGATGTAAATACCTTCCAATAGAACACAGATGTCTCTCTCTCTCTCTCTCTTTGAAAAAGGATCAAACTGGGAGGATAACTTGAGGTCAGGAGTTCGAGACCAGCCTGGCCAACATGGAGAAACCCTGTCTGTACAAAAAATACAAAAATTAGCCGGGCATGGTGGCATGTACCTGTAGTCCCAGCTACTCAAGAGGCTCAGGCGGGAGGATTGCTTGAGCCCAGGAGGCAGAGGTTGCAGAGAGCTGAGATCACATCACTGCACTACAGCCTAGGTGACAGAAGGAAACTCCGTCTCAAAAATAAGTAAATAAATAAAAATAAACAATAAAAATAAAAAATAAATAAATAAATTTAGAACATTTTCACCATTCCCGAAAGAAACCCTGTATCCTTCTGCAGTCACTTAAATTTCCCCTCAACTCTCCCAGCTCTAGGCAATCACTATGCTGCTTCCTCTTTGTATAGATTTGCCTATTCTGGACATTGCATATAATTAGAACCATATACAATATACAGTCTTTGTAACAGGCTTTTTTTTTTTTTTTTTTTTTTTTTGAGACAGAGTCTCCCTCTGTCGTCCAGGCTGGAGTGCAGTGGTGCAGTCTTGGCCACTGCAACCTCCACCTCCTGAGTTCAAGCCATTCTCCTGCCTCAGCCTCCCAAGTAGCTGGGACTACAGGTGCACACCACCATGCCCGACTAATTGTTATATTTTTAGTAGAGATGGGGTTTCACCATGTTGACCAGGCTGGTCTTGAACTTCTAACCTCAAATGATCTGCCCACCTCCACCTCCCAAAGTGCTGGGATTACAGGCGTGAGCCACCGTGCCCCACCTGACAGGCTTCTTTACTTAACATAATGTTTTAAAGATTCGTCCATGTTATAACATTTATCAGTTCATTATTCCTTTTTATGACCAAATAATATCACATGAATATATCACATTTTATTTATTCATTCATCAGTTGATGGACATTTGAGTTGTTTCTATGTTTTGGCCATTAAGAATACTGCTGAGGCCGGGCGTGGTGGCTCACATCTGTAATCCCAGCACTTTGGGAGGCCGAGGCGGGTGGATCATGAGGTCAGGAGATAGAGACCATCCTGGCTAACACGGTGAAAATCTGTCTCTACTAAAAATACAAAAACAAAATTAGCCAGGCATGGTGGTAGGCGCCTGTAGTCCCAGCTACTCGGGAGGCTGACGCGGGAGAATGGTGTGAACCCGGGAGGCAGAGCTTGCAGTGAGCCGAGATTGCACCACTGCTCTCCAGCCTGGGCAACAGAGTGAGATTCCATCTCAAAAAAAAAAAAAAGAAAAGAAAAATGCTGCTAGGCAAGGCACGATGTCTCACGCCTGTAATCCCAGCACTTTGGGAGGCCCAGGCTGGAGGATCACTTGAGGCGAGGAGTTTGAGACCAGCCTGGCCAACATGGTGAAACCCACTCTCTACTAAAAATTCAAAAATTAGCTGGCATGATGGCGGGTGCCTGTAATCCCAGCTACTCGTGAGGCTGAGATGGGAGAATCACTTGGGCCTGGGAAACAGAGGTTGCAGTGAGCCGAGATCGTGCCACTGCACTCCAGCCTGGGTGACAGAGTGAGACTATGTCTCAAAAAAAAAAAAAAGAATAATGCTGCTATGCATATTCATGTACAAGTTTTGGTATGAACGTATGTTTCATTTCTCTTGGGTATTACCTAGGAGTAGAATTGCTGGACCATATGCTAACTCTGTATTTAACGTTTTGAGGAACTGAATCTGTAGTATTTGGATATGTACATACCACTATACTCTGAATAGATGTTCTAAATTAGCATCTAAAACCATACTTTGAGTTCTAGATGCCTTGGTTAGCTTAGTTCTGACTCATAGAAGGGTCCTGTAAAATACTTTCAGAGGTTAGTGAGACTAAAGCTATAATGGCCAATATGTGACCTATAGCATTGTATATATTTGAAAGGAGGCCCTGAGGTATTTCTGGGGACTGCCAAGTTTTTGCAGTTAGTAGAAAAAGTAATTGGAGCTACAAATTACCTAAAAGTGTTCATCTACTTAGGTGATATAATTGCTTTTACAACCTCAATGTGCTAGACTTCTTTCTTCAGGCTTAATGTCGTCACTTGATAAATGTTGTTTCCACTAATCAATCATTCATGAAGTACATTGGCCACATATTGTTTCAGATGGAATGAGCAGTGACCCTAACTATTCTTAGTTTTTTTTTTTTCGAGACGGAGTCTCGCTCTGTTGCCCAGGCTGGAATGCAGTGGCGCGATCTCAGCTCACTGCAAGCCCCGCCACCCAGGTTCACGCCATTCTCCTGCCTCAGCCTCCCGAGTAGCTGGGACTACAGGCCTCCGTCAACACGCCTGACTAATTTTTTGTATTTTTAGTACAGACGGGGTTTCACGGTGTTAGCCAGGATGGTCTGGCTCTCCTGACCTTGTGATCCGCCCGTCCTCGGCCTCCCAAAGTGCTGGGATTATAGCTGTGATCCACCGCGCCCGGCCGACCCTAACTATTCTAAATAAAGTATCAGATATACCCAACCAGTGCAATTAAATCTGACTTTGATGCTGGGCACGGTGGCTCACGACTGTAATCCCAGCACTTTGGGAGGCCGAGGTGGGCAGATCACTTGAGGTCAGGAGTTTGAGATCAGCCTGACCAACATAGTGAAACCCATCTCTACTAAAAATACAAAAATTAGGGCCAGATGCGGTGGCTCATGCCTGTAATCCCAGCACTTTGGGAGGCCAAGGGGGGGCAGATCACAAGATCAGGAGATCAAGACCATCCTGGCTAACATGGTGAAACCCCGTCTCTACTAAAAATACAAAAAATTAGCTTGGCATGGTGGCGGACGCCTGTAGTCCCAGCTACTCGGGAGGCCGAGGCAGGAGAATGTCCTGAACCCGGGAGGAGGAGCTTGCAGTGAGCCGAGACCACGCCACTGCACTCCAGCCTGGGCGACAGAGCGAGACTCCATCTCAAAAAAAAGAAAAAGAAAGAAAGAAAAATTAGCTGGATGTGGTGGCATGAGTCTGTAGTCCCAGCTACTTGGGAGGCTGAGGAAGGAGAATCACTCAAACCCAGGGGGTGGAGGTTACAGTGAGCCAAGATTGTGCCACTGCACTCCAGCCTGGGTGACAGAGCGAGCGAGATTCTATCTAAATAAATAAATAAAAACAAGTCTGACTTTGGTACCTTCTGCATGTGGCTCACTCCTAGATGCTGGCTCTTTTCTTGTCCCTTTTGTATGTTCCTCAATGACTGTCTCCTTTGCTGGGGACCTCTTACTGTTTCATTCCCCAATCCTGGACAAAAAAACCTGTGGCTGAACATTTAGATGGTCAATTTAAACCTGGTTTGAAGATACAACCTTCTAATATAATTCAAGCCTGGCTACATTCTGTGACACTCACATGGTCCACAGGAAAATTTTTCTTGCAAAGTTGCAAGTACAGGCCCCTTCTGTTGTAGGCCTCTCTCTCTCTCTGTTCTGCCATCAAAGGCTTCTCTAGATAGCCTATTGCTTTTAGACTTTTCCAGGTAACATAAATCCAGGGCACAGAGTCAACCTGTCTGAATTTCTTAAAGTTCCTTTACTTGGCTTGAGGTGGAGATGGCGTGGGATAAGCACTCTCTTCTTCCCACTCCTGGGGAAGGGGAACAAAAATGCACAGCACTCCAGAAAACTGTCTCCCAGGCTTTTTTTTTTTTTTTTTGAGACAGGGTCTGGCTCTGTCACCCAGGCTGGAGTACAGTAGCACGATCTTGGATCACTGCAACCTCCATCTCCTGGGCTCATGCCATCACCCTCCCATGTCATCCTCCCACCGCAACCTCCCGAGTAGCTGACACTACAGGTGTGCCCAGCCACACCCAGCTAGTTTTTGCATTTTTACAGAGACTGGTTTTCATCATGTTGCCCAAGCTGGTCTTGAACTCCTGGGCTCAAAGTGATCCACCTGCCTCAGCCTCCCAAAGTGCTGGGACTACAGGCATGAGCCACCAAGCCTGGCCCTTCCAGGCATGTTTATTCTACAACCTTCTTTCATCAATCCTGACATATCATTCCTGGGAGGTGTGTGAGAACTGAGGATTGCTAAACTGGCTTCACAGTCTTCCAGCATGTCCTATGGGGATGGTCTGGCATCCTCTTTTAGAATGCTCAGGGTACTTCACATTTATTTTTCTCAGCTTTGGAGCCTCTGTTAAAAGACGCACTGAAGGGTCTCATTTAATATGCCATATATCTTAGAAATATGTGCCAGGATTGTTCTATGTTCTTTTTTTTTTTTTTTAAGGTGTGCACTTTTATTCAACTGGTCTCAAGTCAGTATACAGGTAAGCCCTGGCTGCCTCCACTCACTCCCAGGGAAACCAAAAGCCTTCATCATACATCTCAAGTTGGGGGACACAAAAGGGGGCCACAAAGGCTGATCATTCAAAATAAAACAAAATAAAAAAGTATTAAGGCAAAGATTAAAAAAATTTTGCGGCGGGGCACGGTGGCTCACACCTGTAATCCCAGCACTTTGGGAGGCTGAGGCAGGCAGATCACAAGGTCAGGAGATCAAGACCATCCTGGCTAACACAGTGAAACCCCATCTCTACTAAAAATACAAAAAATTAGCCGAGCGTGGTGGCAGGCGCCTGTAGTCCCAGCTACTCGGGAGGCTGAGGCAGGAGAAGGGCGTGAACCCAAGCGACGGAGCTTGCAGTGCGCCAAGATTGCACCACTGCACTCCAGTATCGGCCACAGAGCGAGACTCCATTTCAAAAAAAAAATTTGCATTACATAATTTACATGATAGCAATGCTGTCACCTCCCCTGTGTGGACTCAGGAGAGGACTGGGCCGTTCTCCTTAGAGAGAAGTGGGGTGACTTTTAGGAGGGCAAGGGACTTCCTGTAACAATGCATCTCACGATATTTGGAATGACTATTAAAAAAAAGAACAATGTACAATCAAAGTCCTGGGCCACACTGTAGAACTTTGGGGGATGCTCACTTGCTCACTCCAACTGACTACTCTCACCTTCACCGTTCCAGTTTTAAAATACTGAGTCAAGACACCCCCTCAAAAAAAAAATAAAAATAAAAAAAGTCATGCCAATCTCATCTTGTTTTCCATGCAAGTTAGCTTTTGTCAAGAAAGGGTGTAATGCAACTAAGTAAAAGTCTGCTTAGAAGCATTTGCGGTGGACAACGGAGGGGCTGGAGGGGCTGGACTAATTGTATTCCTGCTTGCTGATCCACATCTGCTGGAAGGTGGACAGCAAGGCCAGGATGGAGCCACTGATCCACATGGAGTATCTACTCTCGGGAGGAGCAATGATCTTGATCTCCATCGTGCTGGGCCCCAGGGTGGTGATCGCCTTCTGCATCCTGTCAGCGATGCCAGGGTACATGGTAGTGCCGCCAGACAGCACTGTGTTGGCGTAGAGGTCTTTGCATATGTGCACATCACACTTCATGATGGAGTTGAAGGTAGTTTCTTGGATGCCACAGGATTCCATGCCCAGGAAGGAAGACTGGAAGAGCACCTTGGGGCAGTGGAACCGCTCCTTGCCGATAGTGATGACCTGGCTGTTGGGCAGCTAGTAGCTCTTCTCCAGGGAGGAGCTGGAGGCCACCGTGGCCATCTCCTGATCCAAGTCCAGGGTGACGTAGCACAGCTTCTCCTTGATGCCATGCACGATTTCCCACTGGGCGGTGGTGGTGAAGCTGTAGCGGCGCTCCACGAGGATCTTTATGAGGTAATCAGTCAGGTCCTGGTCAGCCAGGTCCAGAAACAGGGTGGCCTGGAGGAGGGCCTACCCCTCGTAGATGGGCACAGTGTGGGTGACCCTGTCGCTGGAGTCCATCACGATGTGGCCAGAAGCGTACAGGGACAGCATGGCCTGGATGGCCATGTACATGGCTGGGGTGTTGAAGGTCTCAAACATGATATGGGTCATCTTCTCGTGATTGGCCTTGGAGTTCAGGGGGGCCTCAGTCGGCACTACGGGTGCTCCTTGGAGCCACACGCGGCTCGTTGTAGAAGTTGTGGTGCCAGATCTTCTCCATGTCATCCCAGTTGGTGATGATGCTGTGCTCTATGGGGTACTTCAGGGTCAGGATACCTCTCTTGCTCTGGGCCTCATCACCCTCGTAGGAGTCCTTTTGACCCATGCCCACCATCACACAGATGTGGAAGGGCAGCGGAGCTCTGTGCTCGCGGGGTGGACGCGGTCTTAGCAGTCTGTTCTACATTCTTAACCTTTTTTTTTTATGGACCTCTTGGCTTTCTGGTAGAGTCTGGGACCCCCTTTTCAAAGTAATGCTTCTATGTGCATAAAACAAATACATGGGATTACAAGGCAAACCAACTATATTGAAATACAGTTGCCTCCTTGGATCCTATGGAGGTCCAAGTACTCAAGTGAAAAATTTCCATAAGAGCTGGGTGCGTTGGCTCACACCTGTAATCCTAGCATTTTGGGAGGCCAAGGCAGGCGTACTGCCTGAGTTCAGGAGTCTGAGAACAGCTCAGGCAACACAGTGAAACCCTGTCTCTACTAAAATACAAAAAATTAGCTTGGCATGGCAGCATGCGCCTGTAGTCTCAGCTACTTGGGAGGCTGAGGCAGGAGAATTGCTTGAACCCGGGAGGTGGAGGTCGCAGTGAGCCGAGATCGTGCCACTGCATTCCACCCTGGGCAACAGAGCGAGACTTCGTCTCCAAAAAAAAAAAATTTTCCATAAGATTCTTAGTTCTTTCTAAGCATTACTATATTTGTCTTTCTTTTTCTTTTTATTTTTTGAGACAGAGTCCTGCTCTGTTGCCTAGGCTGGAGAGCAGCGGCGTGATCTTGGCTCACTGCAACCTCTGCCTCCTGGATTCAAACGATTCTCCTACCTCAGCCTCCCGAGTAGCTGGAATTACAGGCACGCACCACCACATCTGGCTAATTTTGTATTTTTAGTACAGATGGGGTTTCACCATGTTGACCAGACTGGTCTCGAGCTCCTAACCTCAAATGATCTGCTCACCTCGGCCTCCAGGTGTGAGCCACAGTGCCAGGCCTATATTTGTCTTTCTAACATGCCAGGAGGAAATTGAGACATGAAAAGGGTAAGTACCTTGCTGAAGACCACTGTGACATAAAAAATACATATTTGGGCCAGGCACTGTGTCTCACACCTATAATCCCAACATTTTGGGAGGCTGAGGTGGGAGGATCACTTGAGCCCAGGAGTTTGAGACCAGGCCCTGGCAACATAGGGAGACATTGTCTCTACTAAAATTTTAAAAATTAACTGGGCATGGTGGCAAGTGCCTGTAGTCCTGGCCACTCAGAAGACTGAAGCAGGAAGATCACTTGAGCCCAGGAGTTCTAGGCTGCAGTGAGCTATGATCACACTACTTCAGTGCAGCCTGGGCAATAAAGTGAGATCCTGTATCAAAGCAAGAAAGAAAGAAAGAGAGAAAGAGACAAAGAAAGAAAGAAGGAAGGAAGGAAGGAAGGAAGGAAGGAAGGAAGGAAGGAAGGCGGGCGGGCAGGCAGGCAGGCAAACGAGACAGACAGAAGGAAAAGAAACAAAGAAAGAAAAGATATATATTTGCTCTCTGTCCCCAGTCCTGACACAGAGCTCCTAAATCTCTTGGAATTTCCCGGTTGATAGGAGTGTCTTTTTTTCTAATATTCTTGTTGGGCTCCTGGATAGCTTCAGGATAGGGGCTGGTCACCAGCAAATTCAAGCTATGATTAGAAGCTTAAAAATGTTGGCCCCATACCTACCCTATCCTCTGTGGAGGAGAGAGTAGTTGAAGATTGAGTTAATAATCAATTATGGTTACATTGTCAGAGGGTTCAAACCAGAGCGACTCCGTTTTGAGTGCGGGCTAGGAAAATGAGGCTGGGACTTGCTGGGCTGCATTCCCAGAAAGTTAGGCATTTCTAGCTTCTAAACATTTACAGTTAAGGGAACAGATTGATAATGTTTACTAAACAGACCCAGACTTGGGAGTGTCCTGATGTCCCTGATACCTTGAGAGCAAAAGCATTCCTAATTTTGCTTTAAAGATAATAATATTAATTCTTGCAAAATATGGTAATTAAGAAAATTAATCTTTTACCACAAACCCTCGTAGCAGAGCACATCTTCCCATGATCTTTTTTTTTTTAACTCCTCTATAAATGAATATTGTACCTAGAGTGGATGCATTCCTCTTCTTCCTTTTGGGAACGCCCTACTCTGTCTATAGAGTAAGTGGACATTCACCACTTCACTGTCTTAAACTTGCTTTTGCTTTGGACTGTGGACTTGCCCTGAATTCTTTCTTGTGCGAAATCCAAGCACCCTCTCTTGGGATCTGGATTGGTACCCCTTTCTGGTAACAACATTATGAAGCCTCCACAGAAATCCCTGAAGTACGGGGTTCTAAGAGCTTCTGAGTTGGTGAACACATCCATATCCCAAAAAGGTCATACACCCTGATTCCATGGGGACAGAAGTTCCTGCACTTAGGATCCTTCCAGATCTTGTTTTATGTACCTCTTCATCCGGCTGTTCATCTGTATCCTTTGTAATATCTTCTGTTATAAATCAATAGACTGGTTTGGGATGGGAGGAGAAGATTGTGGGAATTCCTGATTTATAGCTGGTTGGTCAGAAGTACAAGTGACAACCTGGGATTTGCAATTGGTATCTGAAGTGGGGGCAGTCTTGTAGGACTGAGCCCTTAAGGGTTTGGTGCATAGTATTGAATTAAATTTAACTGTACAACACCCAGTTGGTAGACACTAAATTAAAGAGTGGAGTTTATAATAAGAAATAATTGGAGACTTGTTTGGTGGGGAAAAACCTCCACACATTTGGAGTCAGAAGTGTTGAAACTACAGAAAAATAGCTTTGTGTTTCTTTTCCTTTAACAATGCATCTAGTAAGTGGCCAAGAAAGGATTCAAACCCAGGCAGTCTGACTTCACAGTTTTGTTTTGATATTATGCAGATAGGATCCCCTAAATTCATTAATGGTTGCTGTAGCATGTATTGCAGTACTTGTACAGAAGAAACAACTGGTAGTACTCCATGAACTCCATTCTCTGGTTTAGTGAGCATTACACGATGGCTTGGTTATCTGGGGGAGGTACTGGCCTTCAGAATTAATCCAGGCTCCAATTTTTTTTTCCTTGTCTCCAATATCAGAAGACATTGAGTCCCCTGTCCTTCTGGTTTAAACCACTACTTGTTTGGTTTTCTTTTACTTGTAGCGAATATGTTAACTAATATATCCAATAATGGCTAAGATTGAGTGCAGTACTCTGCCAAACCAGAAGAAGGGAGGCTTACAGCAAATTACATTTGGTTTATAAACATAAATTAAATGTGATATTTCTATTTTATATATTTTATTATTATTTTGTAGAAATGAGGGTCTTGCTATTGCCCAGGCTAATCTCGAACTTCTTACCTCAAGGGATCCTCCCTCATCGGCCCCACAAAGTGTTGGGATTACAGATGTGAGCCACCTCACTTGGCCTAAATGTGACATATCTTATTCTCATGCTAAAGAATAAACTCTGTACCCACCGTGTAATACTATTTTTCTCATAATGTTTATTGTGGAATTAAGGAGATAATATGGTCTCAGGAAAGTTGTGTTGAGTGGTAGTCATCATCATTACTGCTATTCTCATTACGTTGAATGTTTGGAAGCTGTGGGAAATGGGAAAGAGGAGGAAATTGGGAAAATAAATGAAAATAGCCTTACAAATTTCAGGTTCTTCAAGTCTCAAGAGCTCCATTTACCCTATAAGTGCAAAATATTTTCACATAAAACCCAGTCTGTGGATCGTTAGTTATTATTAATCTAATAATATCATAAATTGGTACTACTATTCTATTTTCCATTTGGTTAAATGGGAATTTTGAAAACAGAATTATTTTGGCTTTTCACCACAAATATGCTCAGCAACTGGAATTCTTAAATCTGCAGTTTTTTTGTTTTGTTTTGTTTTGTTTTGTTTTTTGTTTTGAGACAGAGTCTCACTCTAGTCACCCAGGTTGGGGTGCAGTAGCACTATCTGGGCTCACACAACCTCCGCCTCCCGGGTTCAAGCGATTTTCCTGCCTCAGCCTCCCGAGTAGCTGGGATTACAGGCAGGTGCCTGGCTAATTTTTGTACTTTTAGTAGAGATGGGGTTTCGCCATGTTGGCCAGGCTGGTCTTGAACTCCTGACCTCAAGTGATCTGCCCGCCTTGGCCCGCCAAAGTGCTGGGATTACAGGCTTCAGCCACCGTGCCCCGCCTAAATCTGCAGTTCTGATGGAATGTTTTGACTGAAGACTGAACGTAGAAACAGTACCTTGGGTTTTGTTGTTGTTATTTTTTCCTAACCCGGCCCCCTATTAGTTTACTATGTATTAGAACCTGAGAGAGGTGACTACTCTGCCAATAAATTGCCACATTCAATATTCTTCGGTTGCCTAATTCAGTGGGAAACACAGAAAAAAAGGTAAAGAGGACATGAAATCAATAATAAATGCATCATCTATACCGGATTGGAATGCCTCTTAACACTCATTCATCTGAGGGCTGAGGGCCTGTGGTAGAAGTTCTTAATCTTGTTTTCAGGGTTTTGAAATTGTGTAACTTTTTTTTCTTTAATGTAATGAGCATGTGTATACACATTTTTTTTTTTCCAGGGGAAACCCTCCATAATTTTTACCAGATTGACAACCGTTCTAGATCCCCCGACAGGTTACGAACTACAATACTAGTTTTTTTTTTTTTTTTTTACCGGTTTGTAAAAGGATGCAATTCTTCGAATATAGTTTTTGCATCCACTTGACGAGGAAGGAGCCTCTACCCTAAACAAAAATGGCGGGAGCTGCTTCACACGTAGTCCCTCACGCAGAAAGCCTGGAAGGCCCCCTCCACTTTCTCTCCACCTTCGCACTCCTGACCCCGGAAGGACTCCGCCTTCTCCATGTCAGACTGCTGCTCAGCGCCAGGCATCAGCTGGGAAGCTGGCGTGGGCAGGCCAGCTGTACCTGGCCTGGAGCTCCAGGTACAGGGCCAGGGGCGGGGTGGGGTGGAGAGGCGGGCGGGAGGAAGCGGAGAGTTGAGCGGCCACGCAGTTGGGGCAGAGGCCTCGGGGCAGGGGTGGCGCGGACTCCATCGCTGGCGTTAGCTCTCGGAGTGCCAGGTGGAGCGGCGGAAAGCCAGAGGGTCTACGGCCGTGCCACCCTGAACACCCCCGACCTCGTCTCATCTCAGAAGCTAAGCAGGGTCGGGCCTGGTTAGTACTTGCATAGGAAAGCAGGAGGGTCCCCACGCCAGAGGGAGGCCTGCAAAGGAAGCGCGGAATTGGGATGGGCTCGCCACTGCTCTGAGCCAGAGGAAGGGTCTGGACGGCCGAGCTGGAGGGACCCCCTTTTCTGGTGTTCTTGGCAAAGAAAAAGGAAGACAGCAGAGGAGAGCTCCGCGAGGGGCTGCTGTGGGGTCGGGGGAGAGCGCGCTGGAGGTAGGGCAGCTGGTGAGGTCTCAGGTTCGGCTTGGATGCGGGTGGTTTTGAGCAGGGAGTGGCTTTTGGATGTGAAAGATTACTCTGCTTTGCAGGTGCTTTAAGAGAATAATTTAGCACGGGAGTATTGTGGTGTCAGGTCCTTCTGTAAAGTTGTTAAATTATCTATTTTCCAGAGGGAAGACTCAGCTTGTTTTTGCACAGGACTTTGAAACCTTTATTATTGTTGTTTTATTGTTGTTGTTATTGCAGCTAAACATGTTTGCTCTGTTCAAAGTGTCAGAGTTAGGTTATATAGATTTGTGCTTCACGTCAATTTTCTTTTTGATACTTCAGACTTTCCTTCCTGTTGGATTATAAAGTCAAAGTTGCAGGATAGAATTTTAAGATGTCTAAGAAACTGTTTATGACACTTATTTTTAATTCCCCAGTAGTTGGAATGTAGAGGAGCAAGTAATATCACACAGGACAATATTTTTGGTTATGTTTTATAGATTCCGTCTATAAATTTGAATAATCATGAAACCCCCTTCATGTTTATTTTTATTATGCTTCTGAAAGCAAATGAAATGACTAGTTTTTTGTTTTTTTTTCTTTAGTTTTTCAATGAATAATGATTAGGTTTGGAATCAACTTCCTCAGTAATATTAAATGAAAAAGAATGAGGTAGTTAGAATGCAAAAATAGAGGTTTGTCATAATATTTTTTCTTTTTTCTTTTTTTTTTTTTTTTGAGGCGGAGTCTGGCTCTGTCGCCCAGGCTGGAGTGCAATGGCGTGATCTCTGCTCACTGCAACCTCCGCCCCTAGGGTTCTAGAAGTTCTCCTACCTCAGCCTTCCGAGTAGCTGGGATTACAGGCGCCCGACATCACTCCTGGCTAATTTTTTTGTATTTGTAGTAGAGATGGGGTTTCGCTATATTGGCCAGGCTGGTCTTGAACTCTTGACCTCAACTGATCCACCCACCTCGGCCTCCCAAAATGCTGGGATTACAGGCGTGAGCCACCACGCCTGGCCGAGGTTTGTCATAATCTTTTAAGAATATCTCTGCAGCCAATTAAAGTGTTTGCTTTATTTTCTTTCTATTCTGCTTAAAAATTTGGAATGCTCCATTATAGGGAAAATTACTTTGGGTGAATTACTCAATACGTTTTTTAAATGCAGTAGCATAGATTGCTTAATGATCCAGAATCTAATTAGTAAAAATGTTTCTCAAAATAAAATGTGTTAATATTTAGGGAGGGGGAAGAATAAATGAGCTTCCCCCCACTTCCTTTTTACTGTAGTAATATTAAAAAAGTAATACATGTAGGCAGGTTTTTAAAAATCAAGTATTACAAACAGACTTATAAGGAAAAGCAGTCATTCTTTGCCCAGCTTTTCTATATCCCTTGTCTTATTCTCCAGAGGACCATTTTTCACTTTCTTAACTGTTCATGGTTTCCTCTGTACTTTTTAATCATATGTCTCTATCACAGGTTGTTGACTGAAATAAATGTATGTCAAGTAGAACTAACTATACTGAATCTAAAAGTTGTACTTAGAACACTGGTAGGGGGGATTAAGTTTATACTGCTGTATCCCTAGTAAGGATTAAGGGAAGCATCAGTAGTAGTAACCCACCCTAAGAGGTATTGCTGTGTTTGATTTTAAAGGAAACCACTACTTAATCAGTGGTTTTGACACTTGTCTGAAAACAGGTGGGTATTAACAGAAGGGGATAGTCTATTGGAGTATAGAAAAAGAGAACATAGAAATGTATGCAGAAATGAAGGGCCTAAAAAAGTGTAGCAAATAATTTTTTTTTTTTTTGGTGTAGGCAGGGTTTCACCATGTTTCCCAGGCTGGTCTCGAACTCCTGGGTTCATGGACTCAAGCAATCCACCCATCTCGGCCTCCCAAAGTCACTCCCAAAGTGCTCAGGCATGAGCCACTCACTGTGCCCAGCCGCAAATAAACTTTTATAGAGGGATTGCTGGTAATTTTTATATTCTGTTATGTAATATACAGCACTACCCAAATAAAAGAAATAATAAATTTGGTAGACATAAACATTGTGGTTATTAGAGAAGCCCATTCTCTTGTGCATTAGAGATAATGCTTAGGCGTTTTCTTGGCCTGAATGAAATATTCCTCAGGACTCTTGATTTTTGCACTCATCAGGCAACATTTTTGACTTATTAGTTCAGCTTCCTATGGTCTTTTATTTCAGGGATGGTATGTTTTGATAGAATATGTACACTAGATCGTTTATTTCTTTATTATAAATAGATAAACTTGTAAAGTGATTTATGCATCAATACCATGTAAATTTGTTTAACATGTGTTCAACTGGGTACAGTGGTAAAATTACGTTTCTGGCTCTATAAAGCAGAGACCCAGACCCTGAACCACTGCCTTAATGACCTCTCTTTGTGTGTCAACTGCTTCTCTGTACTCATCTGACTTTTCTTTTTTTGTTTAAGAGAAATAATACGCATTAAAACTATACCAAAATCATATAGCATATATGTGGCATTTCTTTGAAGATCTTTAAAATGAGACAATAGGAGAATAAATGCGTGAGTTCTGGAGTTCAGTCAGTGAACTCTGAGGTTCTAGCCCCAAGATTCTGTTCCAGATTCCATTCAGCAACCTGCCTGCCACCTACTCTCACCCCCGCAGTTATATGAAGGAAACCAAATGAATGAGAAGTAAATTTTAAATTACTCCCTAAAAAGTGTTAAATTTTTATGTAACCAGAAAAGAGAGAATCTAGAACTCGCAATTTCCTAAGGAAAATTTGCTACCCGGACTCAAAGTTTAAATCTAGCTTTTTTTTTTTTTTAACTTCTTATTTTTTATGCTATCTCCTACAGGAAGGATAGCTTATTGTTTCTTTTACGCGTTTGGTGATTAATAAATATAATTTTAGCTCAAGTGTAATGTCATCAATAATTGACTGCAAAAATAAGCTGATAGAATTAAATTTTCAGTTTGTACCTTTCATTGGTAAAGTAACCAGAAATCTTTGTGGCTAATTTTTTTTATGTTTCATTTAATGAAGATTAGAAGAGGAGCCATGTCAGAAGAAACAGTAAGTGAATCACAGTTTTCCTTGAAGACAGCAGCGCTAAGAGTGTTTGATCTTCCTCTGACTTGGTACTATTCTCTCTCCCAGGTAAATAAAAGAAGCAAACAGGAAGTTGAATATTAAGCTTATTGCTCAGAGCATATTTTGTTTACATTATTTCAGTTTTATTTGAGGTTTCTATATAGTACAGTCAAAATATTTATTACAGTAGTTAAAAAACCTACTTGGTTATTTCACGGGTTTTTGTTTTTGGTTTTGGTTATTGTAACTCTTAAAAAAAGGTTATGTTACTTAAAAATTTTTTTCTGTCTTAAGCAAACTTACATAGTCCATTATTATTACTTTCAGTGAATTATGTTATTCCAGTAGGCCTGTTCTCACTATTAACAATCCTTTAAATTTTATTGTGGTAAGGTACAAATAACATAAAATTGACCATTTTGATCATTTTTAAGTGTATAGTTCATTAGCCTTAAGTACATTCACATTGTTGTACAAACAATATCCAGAATTTTTTTCATCTTGCAAAACTCAAACTCTACAACTGTTTATCAACATCTTACTGTACCTCCTTCCCGTCATTCCCCACCACCATTCTGTTTCCTGTCTGTATGAATTCGACCAGGTACCTCACAAGTAGAACCCTACAGAATTTTTTTGTGACTAGCTCACTTTACTTAGCATAATGTCCTCAAGGTTCATCCATGTTGTAGCATATGTCAGCATTTCCTTTCTTTTTAAGGTAGAATAATATTTCGTTGTGTGGATATACTACATTTTGCTTATGTGTGTGTTTGTTGATGGACATTGGATTGCGTCCATGTTTTTGCTATTGTGAATAATGCTGCTATAAACATGGACATACAAATATCTCTTTGAGATCCTGCTTTTAATTATTTTGTGTCAAGTGAAATTGCTGGATCATACAGTAATTCTACTTTTAATTAAATTTATTTATTTATGTATTTATTTATTTATTATTATTTTTTAGAGGCAGGGTCTTGCTTTGGAGTACAGTGGCAAGATCATAGCTCACTGCAGCCTCAAACTCCTGGGGTCAAGCAATCCTCCCACTTCAGCCTCTCAAGTAGCTGGGACTACAGGCATGTGCCACCATCTCTCCACCAGTTTTTAAATTTTTTGAAGAGACAGAGTCTCAGCATGTTGACCAGGCTGGTCTTGAACTCCTGGCCTCAAATCATCCTCTCACTTTGACCTCCTAAAGTACTGGGATTATAGGTGTCAGCTGGTTCACCCAGCCCTATTTTTAATTTTTTGAGGAACTGCCATACTGTTTTTCACAGTAGCTGTACCACTTTACGTTTCTACCAATAGTGCACAGTTTTTCCACATAGTGCACAGTTTTTCCACATCCTCATCAATGCTTGTTATTTTCTATTTCATTGATAGTAGCCATCCTAATAGGTATGAGGTTATATTAGTCCGTTTTCATGCTGCTGATAAAGATATACCCAAGACTGGGCAATTTACAAAAGAAAGACGTTTATTGGACTCACAGTTCCACATGGCTGGGGAGGTCTCACAATCATGGTGGAAGGTGAAAATCACATCTCATATGGCGGCAGACAAGAGCTTGTGCAAAAAAACTCCCATTTTTGAAACTGTCAGATATTGTGACACTTACTCATTATCATGAGAACAGCAAGGGAAGGACTTGTCCCCATGATTCAGTTACCTACCATTGGGTCCCTCCCACAACACGTGGGAATTCAAGATGAGATTTGGGTGGGGACACAGCCAAACCATATCATTCTGCTCCTGGCCCCTCCCAAATCTCATGTCCTCACATTTCAGAAGCAATCATGCCTTCCCAACAGTCCCTCAAAGTCTTGACTCATTTCAGCATTAACTCAAAAGTCCACAGTCCAAAGTCTCATCTGAGACAAGGCAAGTCCCTTCCACCTATAAGCCTGTAAAATCAAAAGCAAATTAGTTACTTCCTAGATAGAATGGGGGTATGGGCATTGGGTAAATATGGCTATTCCGAATGGGAAAAATTGGCCAAAACAAAGGAGCTACAGGCCCCATGCAAGTTTGAAATCCAGCAGGGCAGTCAAAAATTTTTTTTTTTTTTTGAGAGGGAGTTTGGCTCTTGTTGCCCAGGCTGAAGTGCAATGGTACAATCTTGGCTCACCGCAACCTCTGCCTCCCGAGTTCAAGCGATTCTCCTGCCTCAGCCTCCTGAGTAGCTGGGATTACAGACATGTGCCACCACGCCTGGCTAGTTTTGTATTTTTAGTAGAGATGGGGTTTCTCCATGTTGGTCAGGCTGGTCTTGAACTGCTGACCTCAGGTGATCTGCCTGCCTTGGCCTCCCAAAGTACTGGGATTACAGGTGTGAGCCACTGCACCCGGCCAGGGCAGTCAAATATTAAAGTTCCAAAATGATCTCTTTTGACTCCATGTCTCACATCCAGGTCATGCTGATGCAAGAGGTGGGTTCCCATGGTCGTAGGTAGCTCTGCCCTTGTGGCTTTGCAGGGTACAGCCTCCCTCCCGGCTGCTTTTATGGGCTGGCATTGAATGTCTGTGGCTTTCCCAGGTGTATGGTGCAAGCTGTTGGTGGATCTATCATTCTGGGGTCTGGAGGACGGTGGCCCTCTTCTCACAGCTGCACTAGGCGGTGCCCCAGTAGGGACTCTGTGTGGGGCCTCCGACTCCATGTTTCCCTTCTGTACTGCCCTAGCAGAGGTTCTCCATGAGGGCCCACCCCTGCAGCAAACTTCTGCCTGGGCATCCAGGCATTTCCATACATCTTCTGAAATCTAGGTGGAGGTTCCCAAACTCCAATTCTTGATTTCTGTGCACTGGCAGCCTCAACACCATGTGGAAGTTGCTAAGGCTTGTGGCTTGCACCCTCTGAAGCCACAGCCCAAGCTCTATGGTGGCCCCTTTCAACCATGGCTAGAGTGGCTGGGATGCAGGGCACCAAGTCCCTAGGCTGCACACAGCACGGGGACACTGGGCCTGGCCCCTGAAACCACTTTTTCCTCCTAGGCCTCCTGGCTGGTGATGGGAGGGGCTGCCGTGAAGACCTCTGACATGCCCTGGAGACATTTTCCCCATTATCTTGGGGATTAACATTTGGCTTCTCTTTACTTATGCAAATTTCTGCAGCCTGCTTGAACTTCTCAGAAAATGGAATTTTCTTTTCTATGGCATTGTCAGGTTGCAAATTTTCCAAACTTTTGTGCTCTGCATCCCTTATAAAACTGAATGCCTTTAACAGCACCCAAGTCACCTCTTGAATGCTTTGCTGCTTAGAGGTTTCTTCTGCTAGATACCCTAAATCATCTCTCTCAAGTTCAATGTTTCACAGATTTCTAGGTCAGGGGCAAAATGCCACCAGTCTCTTTGCTAAAATATAGTAAGAGTCACCTTTGTGCCAGTTCCCAATGAGTTCCTCATCTCCATCTGAGACCACCTCAGCCTCACTTTATTATTCATATCACTATCAGCATTTTGAGCAAAGCCATTCAACAAGACTCTAGGAAGTTCCAAACTTTCCCACATTTTCCTCTCTTCTTCTGAGCCCTCCAAACTATTTGAACCTCTGCCTGTTATCCCGTTCCAAAGTCACATCCACATTTTTGGGTATCTTTTCAGCAGCACCCCACTCTACTGGTACCAATTTACTGTATTAGTCCATTTTCATGCTGCTGATAAAGACATACCTGAGACTGGGCAATTTACAAAAGAAAGCTTTATTGGACTTACAGTTCCATGTAGCTGGGGAGGCCTCACAATCATGGCGGAAGGTGAAAGGCACGTCTCACATGGCAGCCGCAAGAGAGAGTGAGAGCCAAATGAAATGGGTTTCCCCTTATCAAACCATCAGATCTCGTGAGACTTATGCGCTGTCATGAGAACAGCAAGGGAAGGACTTGTCCCCATGATTCAATTACCTGCCACTGGGTCCCTCTCACAACACATGGGAATTCAAGATGAGATTTGGGTGGGGACACAGCCAAACCATATCAAAGGTAGTATATCCTTCTGGTTTTGATTTGTATTTCCCTGATGATGTTGAGCATCTTCTCATGTGCTTATTGACCATTTATATGTATCCTTTGAAGAAATGTATATTTTAGTCCTTTGCCCTTTTTTTTTTTTTTTGTAAGACAGAATCTCACTCTGTTGCATGGGCTGGAATGCAGTGGTGCAATCTCACTGCTCACTGCAGCCTCGGCCTCCTGGGTTCAAGCAATTCTCCCTGCCTTAGCCTCCTGAGTAGCTGAGATTACAGGCGCCTGCCACCATACCTGGCTAATTTTTGTATTTTTAATAGAGTCAGGGTTTTGCCATGCTGGCCAGGCTCGTCTGGAACTCCTGACCTCAGGTGATCTGCCCGCCTCCGCCTCCCAAAGTGTTGGGATTACAGGTGTGAGCCACTTGTGCCTGGCCCCTTTGCCCATTTTTGAAATTGTTTTGTTCTCGTGGAGTTTTAGTTCTCTGTATAGTCTGGATATTAATTCCTTGTTAGTTATATGATTTCCATATATTTCTCCAATTCTGTGAATTACTTTTCTTTTCTTTTTTTTTTTTTTTGAGATGGAGTCTCACTCTGTCACCCAAGCTGGAGTGTAGTGGTGCAGTCTTGGCTCACTGCAACCTCTGCCTCCTGGGTTCAAGCAATTCTCCTGCCTCAGCCTCCCGAGTAGCTGGTATTACAGGTGCCTGCCACCACACCTGGCTAATTTTTGTATTTTTTCTTTTTTTTAGACAGAGTCTCGCTTCTTCACCCAGGTTAGAGTGCAATGGCGCAATCTCGGCTCACTGCAACCTCCGCTCACTGCAACCTCCGCCTCCTGGGTTCAAGCAATTCTTCTGCCTCAGCTTCCCAAGTAGCTGGGATTATAGGCATGTGCCAGCATGCCTGGCTAATTTTTGTATTTTTAATAGAGATGGGGTTTCACCATGTTGGCCAGGCTGGTCTTGAACTCCTGACGTCAAGTGATCCGCCTGCCTTGGCCTCCCAAAGTGCTGGGATTATAGGCATGAGCCAGTGTACCTGGCCTAATTTTTGTATTTTTAGTAGAGACGGGGTTTCACTATGTTGGCTAGGCTGGTCTCGAACTCCTGACCTTAAGCGATCCACCCACCTTGGCCTCCAAAGTGCTGGGATTACAGGCATGAACCACGGTGCCCAACCCTGTGAATTACTTTTTTATTCTGTTGATGGTGTCTTTTGATGCACAAAATTTTAAAATTTTCATCAAGTCTTGTTTGTATCTTTTTTTTGTTGCCTGTGTCTTCATTGTCATATTTAAGAAGTCATTGCCAAATCCGATGTTGTGAAGCTTCTTAGGGTTTTAGGACTTATATTTAGGTCTTTGATCCATTTTGAGTTAATTTTTGTATGTATTATTAGGTAAGGGTCCAGTTTTCCCTATACCATTTGTTGAAAAAACTCTCCATTTCCGACTGAATGGTCTTGCACCCCTGTGGAAAATCATTTGATGATATATGTGAGGTTTTATTTCTGTGCCCTTGATGCCAGTACCTTACTGTTTTGATTACTGTCGCTTTATAGTGAGTTTTGAAATTAGGAAATGTGAGTCCTCCAGCTTTGTTCTTCTTTTTCAAGTTTATTTTGGCTATTCTAAGTCCCTTGAGATTCCGTATGACATTTAGGATGGGTTTTTCTATTTCTGCCAAAAAATCATTGGGATTTTGATAGAGACTGCATTGAATCTGTAGATTGCTTTGGGTAGTATTGACATCTTAACAATGTTAAGTCTTCTAATCTATGAACATGGGATGTGTTTCTGTTTATTCATGTTTTCTTTAATTTCTTTCAGCAACGTGTATATATATATATTTTTAAATTGTAGAAGTCTTTCACATCTTTGGTTAATTCCTAAGTATTGTATTCTTTTGGATAATAATCTAAATGGAATTGTGGGGGGCGGTTGCTTTTTTTTTTTTTTTTTTTTCTTTGAGACGAGGTCTTGCTTTGTTGCCCGGGCTGCAAATCCCGGCAGTAAGTCATGGCTCACTGCAGCTGAATCCTCCCAGGCTCAGGTGATCCTTCCACCTTAGCCTCCCAAGTAGCTTGTACTACAGGAGTGTACCAACACACCCAGCTAATTTTTTTTATTTTTTGTAGAGACAGGGTTTTACCATCTTGCCCAGGCTGGTCTCAAACTCCTGGATTCAAGCGATCCTCCCGTATTGGCCTCCCAAAGTGCTAGGATAATGGGTGTGAGCCACCGTGTTTGGCTTTCTCTCTCTTTCTCTTTTTTTAACCAGATTTTAAAATAACAAGATGGTTCTGTAGTATCCTTCACAGCCAATCAATGAAAGTTTTTTAAAAATCGTTTTGATCTTATGGATTTAATTGTATTTGATGTTTTAAACCATTGCATTTATTTATTCTTATTTATGCTCAAATGATCTCATATTTGGCCAGTGAGAGTCTATTCAGGTTGGTTCCTGAGTGCTCTTGATAAAACCCTCGTAATCCTTGCTATCTAGTATAAAATGGCACAGGCTTATCTTGTACTTTTCCTGCTCCATACCTAGAATCAACCACTTCTTCAAGGACCCCTTTAGTGTAAAATGATAAAGACAACAAACTAGGTACCATGAGTCAATTCAGATTACAGTGAATAGTTGTGAGAAGGAAAACAATCCAATTATAAAACCCTCCCAAAAGTTCTTTGGTTTGAATTATTCTGGATTAGAAACTAGGTTGGTACAGCTTATTTTTAAAAACTTTATTTTGAAATAATTATAGATTCATAGGAAGTTGCAAAAATTATACAGCAAGGCCCAGTGTACCTTTTATCCCATTTCCCCCAATGGTTACATTTTATATGACTATAGTACAATATCACAATCAAGAAATTGACAGTGACAATGTATGTATATAATTCTATGCCAAGCCATTTTATCATATGCATAGATTTATGTAACCACAGCCTCTATCAAGATCCAGAACTCTTCTATCACCTTAAAGATTTACCTCTTGCATCCTCTTTATAATCACACTCACACCTTTCTTTTTTTGTCTCTGTCCTCCAGGCTGGAGCACAGTGACGCAGTCTCAGCTCACTGCAAGCTCCGCCTCCCGGGTTCAAGTGATTCTCCTGCCTCAGTCTCCTGAGTAGCTGGGACTACAGGCTCCCGCCACCACACCCGGCTAATTTTTTGTATTTTTAGTAGAGACGGGGTTTCACCATGTTAGCCAGGATGGTCTTGATCTCCTCACCTCGTGATCTGCCCGCCTCGGCCTCCCAAAGTGCTGGGATTACAGGCATGAACCACTGCGCCCGGCCCCCACCTTTCTTTGCACCATTCCTTTTTTTTTTTTTTGAGACAGAGTTTTGCTCCTGTTGCCCAGGTAGGAGTGCAATGGTGCGATCTTGGCTCACTTGCAACCTCCACATCCCAGGTTCAAGCGATTCTCCTGCCTCAGCCCCATGAGTAGCTGAGATTACAGGTGCCCACCATCATGCCCGGCTAATCTTTTGTATTTTTAGTAGAGATGGGGTTTCACCATGTTGGCCAGGTTCGTCCCAAACTCCTGACCTCAAGTTATCCACCCGCCTCAGCCTCCCAAAGTGCTGGGATTACAGGTGTGAGCCACTGTGCCTGGCCCCTCGCACCATTCCTAATCCCTGGTGAACCCTAATCTGTTTTCCATCTATAGTTTTGTCATTTCAAGACTGCTATATAAGGCTGAGAACAGTGGTTTATTCCTGTAATCCCAGCACTTTGGCTGGCAGGAGGATTGCTTGAGACCAAGAGTTTGAGACCAGCCTAGGCAATATAGTGAGACCTTGTCACTACAAAAATAAAAATAAATATAAGCTGGGCATGGTGGTAGGTGCCTATAGTTCTAGCTGAGGAGGCTGAGAAGAGAGGATCACTTGAGCCCAGAATTTCAAGGATGTATTAAGCTCTGATTGCATTATTGCACTCCAGCCTGGCAACAGAGCAAGACCCTGTCTCTTAAAAAAAAAAAAAAAAAAAAAACAAAAAACTGCTATATAAATGGAGTCACACAGGCTGTTACCTTTTGAAATTGGCCTTTTTTCACTCAGCATAATGCCCTTGAGTTCCAGCAAAGCTGTTGAATGTATTACCAGTTTGTTCCTTTTTATTTTGTACTCCATGGTATGTATGGATGTACCACAATTTGTTAACCATTCATTTACTGAGGGTCATTTAATATTACAAAATAAACCTGCTTTAAACATTTGCTTGTAGGTGTTTGTGTGGACATGTTTTTATTTTTCTGGGATAAATGCTCAGAAGTAGATATTTAAGTTTTTTTTTTTTTTTTTTTTTTTAAACAGAGTCTTGCTCTGTCACCCAGACTGGAGTGCAGTGGTGTGATCTTGGCTCATTGCAACCTCAGTCTCCTGGGTTCAAGTGGTTCTTGTGCCTCAGCCTCCTGATTTGGTGGGATTACAGGCGCACACCACCATGCCTGGCTAATTTTTGTATTTTTAGTAGAGACAGGGTTTCACCATCTTGGCCAGGCTGGTCTTGAACTCCTGACCTCAAGTGATCTACCTGCCTCAGCCTCCCAAAGTGGTGGGATTACAGGCATGAGCCACTGCGCCTGGCCCAATACTTAGTTTTTAAAGAAATTACAAAATTAATTATTGGCTGTATCATTTTACATTACTACCATCAAAGTATGAGAAGTCTAGTTTTCCCATATTCTCACCAGCATTTGGTATTGTCACTTCAAAATAATTATTTTAGATGTTCTAATATAACTGAACAAAAGTCTGGCTGCTCACTGCTTGAGGACCAAAACATGAGAAAGAAAGAGTGGTGAAAGGAAAGCAACTTTATTGAAATGCTAGCAGTTGGGATAGGCTAGGCTTATGTCTCCAAAAGACCATTTCAAGTGTTAGGCTGAGGGAAGGGGTTTAAAAAGAGGAGACTTGGTATGGGAAACATAAGAGTAACACAGGATGCAGGTTCCTATGTGTTGTTCCAAGGACTATCTCGAATTATTGTCTGCCTGGAGTACAGGCTGGTGCCATTTTATTTGCTGCTGAGTTACAGATTATCAGTTTTGAGGTAATCTCCCTGTAGAGGAGAATTCATTCCACCGCTGGGTCTTTTTGCCTGGGTTGTTGTAGCCCCTGGAATTTCTTAACAAGCATGCAGTTAGGTAAGTGTGCATGGTGCAAGGGAGTGTCTGGTGGGAAAGAGAGGGGAGCAGAGTTCAAAGAAGATTTCAAGGCCATATTTTAAGACTTAGGACACAAAGTTTCTACAGTTTGTTTCAAGGTTACATCTTAAGACTAGAGAAAAAGGATAAAAAAAGTTTTAAAATGCATTTCAAAGCTGAAATACTCAGTTACACTAATAGTTTTGTACTGGTATCTCACTGTGGTCTTAATTTGCATTTCCCAATTGGCTAATGATGTTGAACATCTTCTTGGGTTTGTGTGTGTTTGCCATCTGTATATCATCTTCAATGAAATGAAATGTCTCTTCATGTCCTTTGCCCATTTTCTAAATTGGATTGTTTGCTTTTTTTTTTTTTTTTTTTGAGATGGAGTCTCACCCTTGTAGCCCAGGCTGGAGTGCAGTGGCGCGATCTCAGCTCACTGCAACCTCTGCCTCCCGGGTTCAAGTGATTCTCCTGTCTCAGCCTCCTGAATAGCTGAGATTACAGGCATGCAGCACTATGCCCGGCTAATTTTTTTGTATTTTTAGTAGAGACGGGGTTTTACCACGTTGGCCAGCCTGGTCTTGAACTCCTGACCTTAGGTGATCTGCCCGCCTCAGCCTCCCAAAGTACTGGGATTACAGGCATGAGCCACAGCACCCGGCCTGTTTTTTTTGTTTGTATGTTTTTTGTTTTTTAAAGACAGGGTCTCTCTGTTGCCCGGGCTGGAGTGCAGTGGTGTGATATCGGCTCATTGTAGCCTCAATCTTCTGGGCTCAAGCAATTCTCTCACTTTAGTCTCCTCATTAGCTGTGACGCAGGCATGCACCACCATGCCTGGCTAATTTTTGTATTTTTTGTAGAGACGGGGTCTCACCATGTTGCCCAGGCTGGTCTGGAACTCCTGAGCTCAAGCAGTCTGTCCGCTTTGGCCTCACAAAGTGCTGGGATTATAGGCATGAGCCATGGTGCCCAGCCTATTTGCTTTTTTTACTGTTGAATCCTGAGAGGTTTTTTTTGTTTGTTTGTTTGCTTGTTTGTTTTGTTTTGTTTTGAGAAAGGATTCCCTCTATCATCCAGACTGGAATGCAGTGGCACAATCTTGGCTCGCTGCAACCTCTGCCTCCCAGGCTCAAGTGATTCTCATGCCTCAGCCTCCTGAGTAGCTGGGACTACAGGCATGCGCCACCATGCCCAGCTAATTTTTTTTTTTTTTTGTATTTTTAATAGAGATGGGGTTTCACCATGTTGCCCAGGCTGGTCTACCTGACTTCAAGTGATCTGCCCACCTCAGCCTCCCAAAGTGCTGGGATTACAGGCGTGAACCACTGTGCCTGGCTGCTTTACTAAAATTTTATCTTTTTTTTTTTTTTTTTTTTTGAGACAGGGTCTCACTCTGTCGCCCAGGCTGGAGTGCAGTGGCGTGATCTCAGCTCACTGCAACCTCTACCTCCTGGGTTCAAGCAATTCTCGTGCTTCAGCCTCCCAAGTGGTTGGGATTACAGGTGAGCACCACCGCACCTGGCTAATTTTTTATTATTTTTTGTAGAGGTGGGGTTTCGCCATGTTGGCCAGGCTGGTCTCGAACTCCTGACCTCAAGTGATCTGCCCGCCTCAGCCTCCCAAAGTGTTGGGATTACAGCCATGAGCCACCGCGCCCGGCCTTAAACTTTTATTTTGAAAGAATTTTATTTACCAAAGAGTTGCAAAGATTGTACATAGAATTCTCGTGTATGCTTTGTATTAACATCTTAATATTAATGTCTGTTATAACTCTAATACAACTATCAAAACTAAGATTAACATTGTAATCTTAATTTTGTAAGTAATATTCTTAACTACACTATAGACTTTATTTAGGTTTTATTACTTTTTTCCACCTTATATCCTTCAGGATCTTATCTAGGTTCCCACATTGCATTTAGTTGTCAGGTTTCCTTAGTCTTCTCCAATCTGTGACAGTTCTTTCAGTTTTCCTTGGTTTATATGACCTGCTGCTTTTGAAATATATAGGATAGGTATTTTGCAGAATGTCCCTCAGTTGAGTGTGTCTTATGTTTTCTCAGGGTTGGATTCAAGTTATGCATTTTTGGCAAGATGTCACAATATCAGGGGATACATGATGATGTCTGTGTGCCTTGTTACTGGTGATAGTAGCTTTGATCACTGGTCAGGCATGGTGTCTCATTCCTATAATCCCAGCACTTTGGCATGACAAGGTGGGAGGATTACTTGAACACAGTGATGCATGTCTGTAGTCCCAGCTACTCTGGAGGCTAAAGTGGGAGGATCGCTTGAGCCCTGGAGTTTAAGGCTCTGGTGAGCTGTGATTGCACACTGCACGCTAGCCTGGGCAACAGAGCGAGACCCTGTCTTTTGAAAAAAGGCACACACACACACCCCTTGATCATTTAGTTAAGGATGTGTCTGCCACACTTTTCCACTTTTTCTCCTTTGTAAATAAGAAGTTTGGAGGTAGAGACTTTGACACTGTAAGATATCTTACTTTAGTACTTATTTCTTGATGCTGCCTTCAGGAGTTTTTTGTTTTTTTTTTAAGATGCACCCTTGCTCTGTTGCCCAGGCCGGAGTGCAGTGGCGTGATCTCGGCTCACTGCAATCTCCACCTCCCGGGTTCAAGCAATTCTCCTGTCTCAGCCACCCGAGTAGCTGGGACTACAGGCGCATGCCACCATGCCCAGCTAATTTTTGTATTTTTAGTAAAGATGGGGTTTCACCATACTGGTCAGGCTGGTCTTAAACGGCTGACCTCAGGTGATCCACCTGCCTCGGCCTCTCAAAGTGCTGGGATTTACAGGTGTGAGCCACTGCACCCAGCCAGCAGTTCTTACTGAAGTGTTTATTGGTGATTTTCTATTTCCTTCATTACTTCTACATTTATTATTTGGAATATTTTTCTTTTTCTTTTCTTTTTTTTTTTGAGATAGTTTCTTGCTCTGTTGCCCAGGCAGGAGTGCAGTGGCACAATCATGACTTACTGCTCGGCTCAAGCAATCCCCCTACCTCAGCCTCCAAGTAGCTGGGACTGTGGGCACCCACTGCCATACCCTGCCAATTTTTGTATTTTTGTTAGAGATGGAGCTTCACCATGTTGCCCAGGCTGGTCTCAAACTCCGGCTCAAGTGATCTCTCCACCTTGTCCTCCCAGAGGTGTGAGCCACCATGCTGGGCCTGGTATATTACTTTCTTTTTTTTTTTTTTTTGGAGAGATTCTCACTCTGTCGTTGAGGCTGGAGTGTAGTGGCATGATCTCGGCTCACTGCAACCTCTGCCTCCTGGGTTCAAGCGATTCTCCTGCCTCAGCCTCCTGAGTAGCTGGGATTATAGGTGTGCGCCACCATGCCTGGCTAATTTTTTTTTGTATTTTTAGTAGAGACGGGGTTTCACCATGTTGGCCAGGCCAGTCTGGAACTCCTGACCTCAAGCTATCCACCCGCCTCAGCCTCCCAAAGTGCTGGTCATATTGATACTTCTGACTTCAATCCAACAACAGATATTTCATTTTAGCATTCCTAGTTGGATCATTTGTGACGTGTTTATTCAGCAGTGAGACACCTGGCTCTCATTAACTATAGTGTATTACTCATAATATATTTACTTATTATAATATCTAGTGTACACATAAAGAAATTTCAGAATTTGCACCCCAATACTCCTCTTTTTAAAATTCAACTTAATTTTTTTTTTTTTTGAGATGGAGTCTCTCTCTGTCACCCAGGTTGGAGCACAGTGGCATGATCTCGGCTCACTGCAAGCTCTGCCTCCTGGGTTCACGCCATTCTCCTGCCTCAGCCTCCCAAGTAGCTGGGACTACAGGCGACCGCCACCATGCCGGCTAATTTTTTTGTATTTTTAGTAGAGACGGGGTTTCACCATATTAGCCAGGATGGTCTCGATCTCCTGACCTCGTGATCCACCCGCCTTGGCCTCCCAAAGTACTGGGATTACAGGCGTGAGCCCACCGTGCCTGGTCTTAATTTTTTTTTTTTTTTTAAGAGATGGAGTCTCACTTTGTCACACAGGCTGGAGTGCAGTGGTGCGATAGTAGCTCACTGCAACCTCGAACCCCTGGGCTCAACTTATTCTCCTGCCTCAGTTTTCCAAATAGCTGAGACTACAGGCAGGTACCACTGCAGTTGGCCCCAGTACTCCTTTGAGAAACAAATTTACCAACAGGTTACAGTATTTATGTCTAACTCTTTTTGTCTGTAGTCTTACAATATCCAGGCAAAACACTGTCACTTAGGTCAGCGCCTTTCTTCCTCACACCTTTC
Source organism: Homo sapiens (assembly GCF_000001405.40). Classification (NCBI taxonomy): domain Eukaryota; kingdom Metazoa; phylum Chordata; class Mammalia; order Primates; family Hominidae; genus Homo; species Homo sapiens. The sequence continues at coordinate 77,796,720 of NC_000001.11, forward strand.
AGTGTGCTTCATTTGGAACAAAGTTTGATTTACTTTTCACAGCCTGTGATTTATCTTTGGATCCATCTGTGATCCCATATCCTGGTTGATTTTTTTTCAATTGACATGGAGCACAATTTGTTCTTTGTTGTGCCCAGTTCTGTGTGTTTTTACAGCTGTGCAATCATGTGTCCATCACCACAGCACCAAACAGAACAGTTCTTCATCCCCAGAGTTCCCGTGTGCTGCCCCTTTGTGGTCACCTCTGACCGCTAGCTGCCATTGATGTTTTCTGTCCCTGTAGTTTTATCTTTACCCACAAATGTCACATAAATGGAATTAAACAACGTATAATCTTTTGAAATTGGCTTTTTCCTTTTACCATAATGCATTTGAAATTCATCCACATTGTTGTTTGTCTGAATAGTTTGTCCTTTTTTGTTGATGAGTAACATTCCATTGTATGAATGTACTACAGTTTATCTGTTCACCTGTTGAAGGGCATCCAGGTTGTTTCTGATTTTAGGTGATTATGAGGTCATACATATTTTCTCCTGTGTTTTCTTCTAGAAATTTCTTCTTTGGATTTTCTTTCTACCTTTGACAAAAATAGATTGACTATATGTTTGTGTGTGTTTCTTGCAGGCTGTCTATTCTACTGTATTGATCTATACGTCCACACTGTATTGCCTGTTGCTTTACAGTTAAGTCTTGAATTCAGCTATTTTGAGTTCTGCAACTTTGTTCTTTTTAAAATTGTTTTGGTTCCTCTAGTTCTTTTGCCTTTTCTTAATTTTTTAAAAATAAGCTTATCAGTAACTACAAAAATTTTTCTGGGTTTTTTATTTGGATTATGTTGTTTATGTAGATCAAATTGGAGAGAAAAATTCCTATAATCCATGAATATGATGTCTCTCTCCTTTTATCTTCTTTGATATCTTTTGTGTTTCATTGTTACCTAGCACAGATTTTATTAGATTTAGCTCTAGTATTTTCCTTTTCTTTTTCTTGGTGCTATTATAAATAGTATTACTTTTTGAAATTCAAATTCCGGTTGCTTATTGCTTTTATACAGAAATACAGTTGATATTGTATATTGACTTTGTATTCTGTTATCTTGTGAAACTTACCTACTAGTTATAGGAGCTTTTTTGTAGATTCTTTGTAACTTTATAGACAGCTGTATCATATGTGAATAGTTTTACTTCTTCCTTTCTAATATGTATTCCTTTTATTCCTGTTTCTTAATTTTTTGTACTGGCTAGTACTTCTAATACGACATTGGTGAAATGACATCCTTGCCTTGTTCATGATCTTATGGGGAAAGCATTTAGTTTTTCACCATTAAGCATGATCTTAGCTACAGGTTTTTAAAATAAATACCCTTTATCAGATGGAGGAATTTCCCTTTTGTGTTAGTTCCCCAGAGTTACCATAACAAATTACTACAAACTTGGTGACTTACAACAATAGAAATTTAATTTTTTAATTATGGAGGCTGAAATCACAGTGTAGCAGAGCCACACTTCCTCTGAAGGTTCTAGGGGAGAATCCTTCCTTGCCTTTTCCAGCTTCTGGTGACTCCAGACATTCTTGGCTGTAGCAGCATGGATTAGTCAGTTCTCACTCTGCTGATAAAGACATACCTGAGACTGGATAATTTATAAAGAAAAAGAGGTTTAATGGACTCACAGTTCCACATGGCTGGTGAGGCCTCACAATTATGGTAGAAGGCAAAAGGTGCGTCTTCCATGGCGGCAGACAAGAGAGAAGTGAGAGCCAAGCGAAAGGAGTTTCCCCTTATAAAAGCATCAGCTCTTGTGAGACATATTCTCTACCATGAGGACAGTAGGAAACTGCCCCTATGATTCAATTATCTCCCACGGGGGCCAACTCACAACACGTGGGAATTATGGGCGCTACAATTCAAGATGAGATTTGGGTGGGGATGTAGCCAAACCATATCACAGCATAGCTTCAGTGTCTTTACATGGCCTTCCCCTTTGTGTATTTATGGCTTACAAAGATACTCTCATTGGATTGAGGGCACACCCTAATCCAGTATGGTCTCATCTGAATTCTTACTTTAATTATATCAGCAAAGACCCTATTTTCAAATATGATCACATTCTGATGTTCCAGGTGGACATGAATCATTCTGGGACACTATTCAACCTACTACACCTTCTATTCCTAATTTGCTGGGAGTTTTTAAGTAGTCATAAATGGATGTTGAATGTTTTAAAGTGTTCTTTTCACATCTGTTGAGATAATATTATGGCTTTCTTTAGCTGATATTATGGTAAGTTACATTGATTTTTAAATGTTGAACCAGATTTGCATTCCTAGGATGTATACCACTTGGTTATTTATATATTTTTTAATATATTGATGGATTTTATTTGTTAATATTTTGTGGAAGATTTTTTGCATCTATCAATGAGGGATATTAACCTATAGTTTTATTTTTTGTGATGTCTTTGTCTGGCTTTGATATTAACTGTCCCCAACTTAACAATTTTTTGACTTCAAGATGATGCACAACCATTGCAAATTTGACATAATGTACGGTATTCAATAAATTACTTGAGACATCTAAGACTTTCTCATAAAAAGGCTTTGTGTTACATGATTTTGCCCAAATGTAGACTAATGTATTAATAAGTGTTCTGAGCATGTTTAAGATAGGCTAGTTTAAGCCATGATGTTTGGTAGTTTGGGTTTATTAAATCAATTTCTGACTTATGTTTTTAAACTTAGGATGGGTTTATTGGCTATAACCCCATTATAAGTCAAACAGCATCTGGACTAGATTGATAACATGATTAGGACGTATCCTCATTGTGAAATTGATACTGTTTCTTCTTTAACTACTTGGTGTAATTTGGCCTTCAGTTTTCCTTGTTGGAAGGTTTTTAACTACCTATTCAATTTCTTTAATAGATATTTAACTGCTTGTGTTACCTGTTTTTTTTTCCGAGTGAGTTTTGATTTTGTCCTTTGTGGTCATAGAATTGTTTATAGGATCCTTTTTACAGACCTTTGTGAGGTCTGCAGTAATGACTCCTCCTCTTTTTTTTCTGATTTTGGTAATTTGTGTCATTCTTGCTTTTTTTTCTTAATAAGACTGGCTAGAGGTTTTATTAGTTTTCCTTCCAAAAAAAAAAACCAGCTGTTGGTCTTATTGATTTCTGCTTTAATCTTTATAATGCTTCCTATATCCTGCTTGTTTTAGGTTGAATTTGTACTTCTTTTTCTAGAATCTTAAGTCGAAAGCTTAGATTACTGATTTGATATCTTTCCTTTTTTAATATAAGCATTTAATGGCATAAATTTCTCTCTAAAGTTAAAGATGCATCCACAGTTTAAGGCTTTTGTTCTTTAATGGGGATAGAGGAGAAAGGTTATGGTGCTGGTTCATGCCCTCCACAGAAGCTGCTGTTTCCCTCCCTCTGTACCATTAGGGAGACTTTTGTAGGACTCTTTCAGTATTTTCTACGAGTGCCTGGTGATTCTTGATGATAAGATATGCAAGAAAGGTGTGGATTTCACCTACATTTGCAGCACCTCTCTCCAGCCTCTCAACAGTGTATTCTTTCTCCACCAGATTTGAAACGATGCTTGCTGACCTCTTCTTGCTAACGTCATGCTATGTCTTGTCCGTGTAAGCCAATGCTAATGTCTTACCTCTCTGCAAATGCCTGTCTCGTTAGTTTAGGGGGCAATTGGTTGCCCTCTGATCTCCGTATTCTGATGGAGTCAGAATACTTTATTTTGTTGTTGGAGGGTTGAAAGTGACATTCTTTCCAGCTCTCAACATTCCAAGCCTTTAGCTTTATTTTAGAGTTCCTTTGCTTTTAGGTATTTAATAGTGTTTGTCTCCCAAGAGAAAGTTAATCGCTTCTTGCTCTGATGTTAGTACTTATATAACTTAGTACTTGTATAACTGTATTTATCACATTATGCTGTAATTATTTGCCAATATATCTGTCTCCACTCTTAGCACACTGCTTGAGGGAAATAGAAGAGTATACGCAAAATGCAAGATCTGTGACCTCTGTATACATAGTGCTTCCTGATTGGTTGTAGGCACTTATTATGTGCTCATAGAATAGAATTACAGTAAGATTTTAATTTATAACACAGTCCTGGTACTTTAAGATTCTGAAGAAATATTTGTTAAATAATTTGTGAATAAAATGGCTTATTTAGAAAGTATTTAGAAATGGATTTAGCTTCTATTTCCTCAGATTTCCAGATAGTTTTTTTTAAAGCTCAGTTTAATCATCCCTGTAAAAAATCTTGCTGTGATTCAGACAGAAGATTCAGTTGCGTGAATTAATCCTTAATTGCTCAAAAAATATTAACGGGGTTGAATTATTTTCTGCTCCTATTGACTTTGGGGTAATATTGTTTACCTGAGATCTTCAGAGTAGTGAGTAATAAATTACAACATTTAAGATATTTTTTAAAAAATCAAATTGGGCTAGCTTGTCATTGAAAGAGTGAAATGATATTCTCTTGATAGTATTTAGAAATAGGTTAGATTAAGAGTAAGTTTAGTTATTAGGTCCTTCTTTTAAGTGAACAAATTAAAGAGATTTTTTTCAATTTTAACTGAATCTTTTCCAGATCAAATTTTCTCCGGTGGCTAAAAAGTTGTTTGTGGTAACTGCAGTGAGTGCTATATCTGTAATTTTTCTGGCTCATCACTTTAAAAGAAAACGTGGAAAGAAGAAAGGAAAAATATTACCATGGGAACCAGAGCACCTCATACTTGAATACACTAAAAGAGCAGCATCAGACAAAGGTATGTGGAAATAGTTGAAGTAAGTGTACAAAAGTGTGTAAATCATAACTGGAATACAGTGATTTTGGTCTTTTAGTCTCCAGAATTTTCTTCCTAATATATTATTTAACTCAAAAGTAGTACAGATTTATTTTAGAAAGATTAGAAAATGTAGATAAGCAAACAAAAAATTAAAATTACTTGACATTCTGGTACCCAGAAATAACTACTGATAATACTTTCATGTATATCAGTCCACTTATATTTGTATTTAAATGTCATATTGAGACATAAAATGTTATATACAAGTAAATTATTTATGTATTTTAAGTAAAATTGTAATCAGACATTTTGTAACCTGCTTTTAAGATATTTGACAGTGTGGAAGAATGTCTTTCCAGGTCAATAAATATCCCTCTGTGCTATCATTTTTAATATATAACTAGTGTTAATTTGTATGAATGTACCCCAATTTATTTAATCATTTCCCCATTGTTCCCTTTAGGATGCTTGTGTTTTTCTTATTTTGTGTATCCTTGTCTATTTTCCTTAGTATGTAGAGTTCAAGAAGTAAGTTGCTGTCTTTTAAAGGATCTTTAATTTTTGGTAAAGATATCGTATGAATAAAAATAATTCCTTAAACATGCTGAGTTTCTTAGTTTTTTATTATTTAGTGAGTGTGTGATATGCTTTTGTGAGTCATCTGTCCAGCATACAATTAATGAGTGACTATTTCGTACTGAGTGCAGTGAACATTGCAACAGTAATGATTGCTGTCACTTGCTGAGATTTTATTAGGTCTCAGGTAAGTGCCATATATTCAGTGCTTTATTTAACCTTACAGCAATCCTGTGAATTAGGATTATAGTCTTGTTATTGTTTCTATATTCTACATAAAGAAAACTGAGATATGCAAAAGCTAAGTGACTTGCCCAAGGTCATATAATTTATAAGTGCCGGGATTTGAATCCAGGAACATCTTAACTGCTGCATTAAGAAAAACTTGTGCAGCATGGTGACTCGTTACTATAATTCCAGCACTTTGGGAGGCCAAAGCAGGAGGATGGCTTGAGCCCAGTAGTTTAAACCAGCCTGGACAACATAGTGGGACCACATCTTTACAAAAATAACAATAAAAAAATTGTTTTTTTTGGTGTGGTGGCACAGCTAGCTAGTCCCAGCTACTCGGGAGGCTGAAGTGGGAGGATCACCTGACCCAGGACGTCAGTGCTGCAGTGAGACATGATTGCACCACTGCACTCCAGCCAGGGTGACAGAGTGAGATCTTTTCTCAAAAAAAGGAAAAAAAAAAACCAAGAAACTAATGTCAGTCTTAGAAGAATGGATAGATGAGTAGAAGAGGCAGAAGTATAACTAATTTCAATGCAATGAGATTTGGGTAAGGTTTAGATGTAATTCAGAAAAGGAAATGCCTGTATTTTGTTAAATTTACAGTTTAACAAAATTGTAAATTTAACATAGTCACCAGTATTTTTATACTGGTTACAATAGACCATTCAAATACCATCCTAATTTATTAGGTGAATATTCTATTCTTCATTTCAGAAGCAGATTTTAGCAGTGTTGAAAAAAGATTATATAAGATTATATAAAGATTTAGATTTTAATAATGATGTACATGTAATAATTTACACAAGTGAGTGATGCATGTTTTAAAATTAGAAGCTTTCTGGGTGAATATATTATAAACTCTGAAATTTTTACCTGAAATTTATCATTGGCGTTATTGATATTTTTAATATTAGTATGTTTATTTGATAGGTTCAAGTTGTTCCAGTAGCAGACAGAATTTGACATTATCTTTAAGTTCTACCAAAGACAAAGGATCTCAAGTTTGTAACTATGCTAATGGAGGACTTTTCAGTAAATATTCAGGTTCTGCACAGAGTTTGGCCTCTGTAAGTACAGAAAAAATATTAATTTTTAAAATTTTTGTTTATATGTCTTCTGTGATCTATTAGTTTAAGTGTCATATACTTATAGTTCTTAGTATGGAAATACTCTTAAGAAATCGTCTGAATGTGCTTTCTTTAGGCAAGTAAAATACCTTTTTGCTGACTATTAGTCAATTTGGTTCTAGGTTTCTTTGAATAAGTGATGTGGTCTCATGGGGTCCTGTGAAAATAGTGTTGATGTGGAAGTATTGCTTCAAAATTAGATGTTCTTGTTTTCACTTATTTGTGGGAGCTAAAAATTAAAACAATTGAACTTATGGAGATAGAGAGTAGAATGATGGTTACCAGAGGCTGGGAAAGGTAACGGGGGGTGGAGGGGAAGTGGAATGGTTAATGGGTAAAAAAATATAGGCAGATAGAATAAATAGGATCTAGTGTTTGATAGCACAATAGGGTGACTGCAGTCAACACAAAGTATTATACATTAAAAAGTAACTAAAAGATTATAATTAGATTGTTTATAACACAAAGAAGGGATAAATGCTTAAAGATAAAGGTGATGGATACCCCATTTACCCTGATGTGATCACTACATGTTGTATATATCAAAATGTCTTATGTACTCCATAAATATTTACACCTACTATATATCCACAAAAATCAAAAATTAAAATTAAAAAGAGTTATTAATTTAAAAGAATTAGCTGTTCTTCAAGAAGCTGGACAATGCAGCCAGACTTTGTGCTGGGTCACAGTAATCACTTGATGAGCCTACATAGGTGAAAGTATTTGGTTTGCTGAAGCCAAGTGTGAGGTTCTTCACCTCCTTCTTTGAATCATTAATACAGTATTGACTGACAAGCAGGAGGCTGCCCATCTTTATTTGGAGCATTACTATTAATGCTGATTGACAAGTGAGGAATGAAGTTAGTATTTGTTTAAATCTAATGTGATTTAAACATTAATTTAAAAAACAGGTAGAATATGTACCTGCTATTAAATACAGAACAGGCAAAAGAATATACAATGAGAGCTGGGTGCTGTGGTGGTGCCTATAGTCTCAGCTATTCAGAAGACTGAGGCAAAATTGCTTCAGTCCAGGAGTTTGAAGACAGCCTGGGCAACATAGAGAAACTTTGTCTCTAAAAAAAATAATAATAAAATAAATGTGTTCCTGATCCACTCAATTCCCCGCCATGGAGATAAACAACATTAACAATTTTTTTTTTTTTTTTGAGATGAATTCTTGCTCTGTTGCCCAGGCTGGAGCGCAGTGGCGCGATGAGCTGGAACTCAGCTCATTGCAACCTCCACCTCCTGGGTTCAAGCGATTGTCCTGCCTCAACCTCCCAAGTAGCTGGGATTACAGGCATGTGTCACCACACCCGGGTAGTTTTTGTGTTTTTAGTAGAGATGGAGTTTACTATGTTGGCTAGGCTGGTCTCGAACTCCTGACCTGGTGATCTGCCTACCTCAGCCTCCCAAACTGCTAGGATTACAGGCATGAGCCACCATGCCTGGCCTGTATTCATTTTTTCTTCATAGTTTATAGAACACCATATTCTGTTCTGTACCTTGCTTCCATATTTCTTTTTTTTTTTTTTTTTTTGAGACGGAGTCTCACTCTGTCGCCCAGGCTGGAGTGCAGTGGCACAATCTCCGCTCACTGCAAGCTCTGCCTCCTGGGTTCATGCCATTCTCCTGGCTCAGCCTCCCGAGTAGCTGGGACTACAGGCACCCGCCACCACGCCCGGCTAATTTTTTGTATTTTTTAGTAGAGACGGGGTTTCACCGTGTTAGCCAGGATGGTCTTGATCTCCCGACCTCGTGATTCACCTGCCTCAGCCTCCCAAAGAGCTGGGATTACAGGCGTGAGCCACCACACCCGGTCCCTTGCTTCCGTATTTCACTGGAATATATAGCTGCCCTATTCTGTAATGCCTAAAAATGTACTAAATTTTTAAAGGCTCTTCTAGGATAGGAACAGCTAGATCAAAGGCCTACAGACTTTCAGTTTCTCTGTGAAACCGAGCAGCATAATGAAGAATATGCCTATTCTTTTTTTTTTTTTTTTTTGTCTTTTTGGCAGTGTATTGATGGAATATACCTATTCTTTTTTCTTTTTTTCTTTTCTTTTTTTTTTTGAGATGGAATCTCACTCTGTTGCCCAGGCTGGAGGGCAGTGGTGTGATCTTGGCTCACTGCAACCTCCATCTCCCGGGTTCCAGTGATTCTCCTGCCTCAGCCTCCCGAGTAGCTGGGATTACAGGCGTGCACCACCACACCTGGCTAATTTTTGTATTTTTGCATGGTTTCACCATGTTGGCTTGGCTGGTCTCGAACTCCTGACCTCAAGTGATCTGCCCGTTTTGGCCTCCAAAGTGCTGGGATTACAGGCGTGAGCCTCTGCGCCTGGCCAGAGTATGCCTGTTCTATAATGTGAACTTCCTCAGTGTCTGAGAAGTGCCTCTTCTGAATTTCCTCAATTGAAAGTTGAAGCCCTTGTTGACTAGAAGTAGATAAGGTGAATTTCATGATAATAGTGTAACAAGTCTTTAGAATCACTGTACTGTACTTGCCTAACTGAACTAGTCATTCCTCTTTTGTTAAATCTTACAATTTAACAAAAATATAAATTTAACATAGTTGCCAGTATTTTTATACTGATTACAGTAGAACATTCAAATACCACCCTAATTAATTAGGTGAATATTTTACTCTTCATTTCAGAAGCAGCATAATCTGTAGGCTATATGTTGTAACTTGTTGCTCCTAGGCTACAAACCTGTACCACATGCTACTGAACTGAATAATGTAGGCAATTGAAACACAATGGTATTTGTGTATCTAAACATATCTGAACATAGAAAAAGTACAGTAAAAATACAATTTTGTAATCTTACGGTAGGGTTGACTGTTGTATATGTGGTCCGTCGTTGACCCAGATGTTGTTATGTCGAAAGTGTCTGTAGTTAGTTTGAGATGCCAGCAGAAGAGCCAAATGGAGTCACCTAAAAGGCAAATGAAAATGTGGGCTTAGATTTCTCAAAACTGAACTGGAATTAGGACAGAACTGGAGTTAGGAATTTGAGAATCATCTGCATAGAGGTGATTGAAATGATTTGCTCAGTGGACCTTGCTAGGAGAGGGCATTTACAAAGATGATAGTGGCTTTTTTATTTTAGGTATCATTTAGCAGAGAGTCAGCATTGTAAAACATTCTAAAAGAAAAATAAGCTAGCTAGCTTAAATCACAGTAGGTATAGATAAAATTTATAAGTGAATGCTTAAAAGAATAAATGATATAAACATAACTGCCTGATTTCTGATGGAAATAAGTGATTTACATTCAAAATACTACTCTTCTTGTGTATTTTTGAGCAAACAGGCTTAGAATAGAGTCGTGATTTCTAAGTTTGATTGATTATCATCAGAATTATTTCTTCATGTGGAAATTACATGGATTGTCTTACCACTAATAGGATTTATAAAAATAATTTGTAAATATGAAAGATCACAACATACTATCATGAGAGAGATTTGAAGTAACTTCTATCCATCTTAATTTTAGGTCCAGAGTGTCAATTCTTGTCATAGCTGCGCTTGTGGCAATTCTAATTCCTGGGACAAAGCAGATGAAGATGATATTAAACTTGTTAATATTCCTGTGACTACTCCAGAGAACTTATACTTAATGGGTAGGAATGAGATGATAACATTTTAAGATACTGTGCTCACATTTAATTTGTTTTGTTCTTGTTTTTTATTTATTGAGACAGACAGGGTCTCACTCTGTCACCCAGGCTGGAGTACGGTGGCGCGATTACTGCTCATTGCAGCCTCAACTTCCTGGGCTCAAGTGATCCTCCCACCTCAGCCTCCTGAGTTGCTGGGACCACAGGCGCATACCACCATGCCCAGCTAATTTTTAAAAAAAATTTTGTAGAGATGGGGTTTTGTCATGTTGCCAGGTTGGTCTTGAACTCCTGAGCTCAAGCAATCTGCCCGCCTCAGCCTCCCAAAGTACTGGGATTACATGCGTGAGCCACCACGGTTGGTGGTAAGTTGAAATTAAAAAACTGAATTGTTCTAAGAGAAGCAACTATAATTTTAAATGTTCTTATATCTGTTGTATCTAGTCTTCATAACGTCATACATTGTGTTAGTTTAAACTAATACAACAAAATTAAAACAGCAGAAAGAGTTTTGGAGGCTAGAATTTCATTATCACTGGGCTGAAATCAATATGTCAGTAGAGCCATGGTCTCTCTGGAGGCTTAGGGGAGAATCTTTTCCTGGCCTCTTCCAGCTTTTGGTGGCTTCCAACATTGTTTGGCTCGTGACCACATCATTCCAGTCTCTACCTTTGTCTTCGTGTCACATTCTCCTCTGTGTGTATCAAATCTCCCTATCTCTCCCTCTCTCTCTTTTTTTTGAGACAGAGTCTCACTCTCGCCCAGGCTAGAGTGCAGTGGTGCAACATCGGCTCACCGCAACCTCCACCTCCCGGGTTCAAGTGATTCTCATGCCTCAGCCTCCCAAGTAGTTGGGCTTACAGGTGTGCATCACCACCCCTGGCTAATTTTTTGTATTTTTAGTAGAGATGGGGTTTCACCATGTTAGCCAGGCTGGTCTTGAACTCCTGAGCTCAGTTGATTTACCCGCCTCGGTCTCCTAAAGTGCTGGGATTACAGGCGTGAGCCACCTCACCCAGCCACCTTTCTCTCTTTTTTTTTTTTTTTTTTATTATACTCTAAGTTTTAGGGTACATGTGCACATTGTGCAGGTTAGTTACATATGTATACATGTGCCATTCTCTTATAAGGACACTTTTGATTAGATTTAGGGCCCACCAGATAAAGTAGGATAATCTCCCTGTGTTGGGATTCTTAATTACATCTAGAAAGATGTAAGATGTTACCTTTATTTATAAGGTAACATTTACATGTTCTAGGAATTAGGACCTGATATCTTTGGGTGACCATTATTCAGCCTACTACACTATCTTAACCTAACCTGTTGACTGTTATATAATGAATCTATCAGAACTCACTTTACTAAATATGTTTTTTCTAGCTATCATTTGTATTATATCCAGAAAAAAATTTTAAATAGAAAGAGGCTTTCTGTGTTTCACATCTCAGTATTTCTTGACTTGACCATGAACATGTCTATGGAGCCTCACTGGAGCCCTGAAGAAGAACCAAATGAACCTGTTGTTGAATCAGAAGATTCAAATGCTTTTCCCTGTTCTCTGTTCTGTTTCAGGCTATCCTCCTTTTAGTGGAAATGCATACTAAATAAAAAACAAAACCAGTAAACTTGATGTGGCCTTGGCCAGTGAGCAATGAAGGGTTGATGGCTCTGTGTAGAAGGACTGAGTGCCTCAGAATGCATTCCTACTCTCTAGAATAGTTAGACTATCTCATCTCCAGTGCCATCACAGTGGGTATTCCTATGGGGAAAGAAGGTCTCCAGAGAGTTAAATTCACATATTTCTAGATTACTCTGTGTCTAGGAAACTTAACATTCACAGCTTCTGTTAATATTACAAGTTTATGGCTGGATATGGTGTCATGTACCTGTAGTCTTACCTACTTGGGAGGCTGAGGCAGGAGGATCACTTGAACCTAGGAGTTCAAGGTTACAGTGAGCTAATTGTGCCACTGCACTACAGCCTGGGTGACAGAGCCCGTTTTCTTAAAACAACAACAACAACAACAACAACAACAAAAACCTCAGAATATTAAAAATTCAAATTGAAGAAATGTAGAGTAAAACTAGAGACGCCACAGGGGGGTCTTTGTGTTACAGGATTAAGATTGCAAGGAGCCCTGTGGACCACCTGGTATCATCACCCATCTGTTTCAATTCTCTTTATAAAATTGAAGACCTTAAAAAAAGATTGGTGACATATGTTTGACTTGCTGTTACAAAACTGATGATATTTGGTAGTCTGGACTATATAGTGAGGTAGACATAGTACTTCTTGAGGAGACAGGTTTTATCTTTGTGTTATACAACTCTGCTGTAAAATAATTCTTCCTGAAGCCAAGTGTGGTGGCACATGCTTGTAGTCCCAGCTACTTGAGAGGCTGAAGTGGGAGGATCCCTTGAGCACAGAAGTACAAGACCAACCTGGGGAACATTGTAAGACCCCATCTCTAAAAAAAGAGACCAAAAAAAACTAAAAAAAATAAAATAAAATAATTATTCCTGTGTTCATATGTTCAGCCAAAATAATAAGTGTATAGAAGGGATAGTGTGAGAAAAGGATGAAGAAATTAGAGTTGCATAACTTGGAGAAAGGAGAATAGATAGTGATATAATTGGTTTTTATGTGCATAAATGTTTTTTTTTTTTTTTTGTACTATGAAAGTTTTATTTATGCCCCATTAAGTCAAAAGTAAATTATAGTAAGCTAATGACCTGCATATTTTCATATGGATGAATGTCAGTATATCTAAATAGGAAATAAATGGCGATCCTATCTACCTATATAAAAAAAATAGAATATCTTTCCAGATTTTGCATACTCCTCACTGTAAGAAGAGGTATGCAGGTTTTAAGGTTTCACAATCAGTTGTCAGAAAAACAGCACTTATGCCTGCAGTATCTCGTTAGCATCTGACTCAATTATTTTTAGATTACATTGTTTAGAAGACATTGTAAACCCATCTAAAACTTTGTAATTATTTTGAGATGGTTCCAATGTTAACCCTAGAATCATCATCAGAAAGAGTAACAATGTGATGTAGAAGAACAGCTAATCGACATGACTAAAAATATGCTCATTTTCAGAAAAACAATCTGGTCATCTGGAAACAATCACAGCTACAACCTAGGGAACACTCCCATGTGGGATACTGATCTGGCCAAGGCACACTTTCTAAGCAGGAAAACTATCAGATCAGGGTGAATTTAGGCCACTTCAGAGGTGCTGCCTATAAACATCCAGACAGACCTTCTTAGGCAGCAGAACTGGTCCCATTCCTCTCAAAGCAGTTTGACACTACCCTACCCACATCAACCCAAAGCTTGACATTAAGTCAAAAGAGCATATTGGAGCAAAAGTGAACAGATGTGTAAACTCTAGCACATTCTTATTGCTGTATTAAGTCTGAAGATGAGCACATCCTACCCACAACAGTATTGTTCCAGGAAGCAGGGTAGGAGTAGTGGTAAATTAGAAAATAGACTATTAATTGCACAATTAATAGAAAAGTAAAAACATGTTTCAAAATCTACAATAAACCTGTATCCCAAGGAGTCCTATACGTCAGTGATGTGCTGGACTCTGAATTCTGTGGTACAGCTTTGCATTGGACTCCGTCCGGCCTACTGGTCTGGGTACGGCTTGCTTCCTGCCTGTTGAAGGGTGAATATGCTACACAGAGCTATGATGGTTTCTACTGAGTGGTAAAATTCACAGAAGTTCCAGGTTCATCATGTCAGGATCATTCCTTGTGCAAAGTTTGATGTAGATGAAGATAAAGTGGTTTCTTGGTCAATAATTGCAATTTCTTTCTTTTAAAGTCAGTGGGTTTCTTGTATAGTTCTATTACAATTGGCCCAGGTTTAATTTCATCCATCTCCATGAAAGCAAAACACTTGGTGCTGGTAAACCTTTTTTTAGGCTTGTAGGGTTTGAATTCAAAGAAGATAGCTGCACCTTTGGTTAATTTTTCAACATGCTTCTGGAGCTCAATGTCCACATTAAAATGAACATATGTATCTTCTTTTCTTGAAGCCACAGGAGTATCTTGCACAGGAGTTAAGTCTATGCCATTCAGATCCTTTACACTAACTGTAATATAGGGATCGATGCACTGCCCAGCATCTTTCAAACCAATTTTCGCAATTCTGATAGTGAGTAATGTCATTCCTGGTTCCGATGGCAACCTTGGTAATAAAGTACCGGGAACTCTAGCAGGAAAAGAATCAGGAGACCCTGCTCCAGCACCACCCTCTTCTTCATCTTCTTCAAATTCCAAATTCTCTTCTTCACCAGGTGCCAAAATTCTTCTTAATGGGACAGGCTGAACATCAAATGGGAATTCTTTATTATATGTAAGAATATTCTTTAGGATTGGTTCTAGCTTCTTCAGGTCCTCCAGTTTAAATTCTTCTTGAGACTGTGTGGACTGTAAAGCTGCACTTCGCAATTCCAAGCATGTTGCAATTTTGCCTATGGTTTTCTTTTGTTCTTCTGTGAATTCAGAATTATTGTGTTGAGCTTGGGCCTCCTTTTGTAGATGTCTTGCTAATATCTGATACTCGTCTATCGCCTCCACCAGCTGGCCCCAAGAGTCGAAGTCGGCGCCTCTCCTAAAACTGGCGCCCCAGCGCTGCAGCAGACTCCGGGTCACCTCCGACATGGCCGGTCCCCACCCCGTCCCCTCCCGCCCCTACCCCAGCAAGGCCGGGTTCTAGGGCGCCATCCTCCCCCGGCCTGGCCCCGACATTAACAGGGCCAGGAGGAACCGCTACGGCCACCACCGCCACCTGCCGAGGAGCCGCCCAAGCCCATTTTGCATAAATGTTTTATGAGGAAGATTCAAAAGCTATTTTTTGCTACAGAAAATCAAACAAGAAGGAAAGGCCTGCATTTCATTTTAAGAAATTTTAGGCCAGGTGTGGTGGCTCACACCTGTAATCCCATAACTTAGGGAGGCTGTGGTGGGAGGATTGCTTGAGCCCAGGAGTTTGAGACCAGCCTAGGTAACATAGTGAAACCTCATCTCTACAAATAAATAAATAAATACATTTAAAAAAATAAAAGAGGCTGGGTGTGGTGGCTCACGCCTGTAATCCCAGCACTTTGGAAGGCTGAGGCTGGTGGATCACCTGAGGTCAGGAGTTCGAGACCAGTGTGGCCAGCATGGTGAAACCCCATCTCTACTAAAAATACAAAAATTAGCTGGGCATGGTGGTACATGTCTGTAATCCCAGTTACTTGGGAGGCTGAGGTAGGAGGTTGCAGTGAGCCGAGATGGTGCCACTGCTCTCCAGCCTGGGCAACAGAGTGAGACTCTGTCTCAATAAATAAATAAATAAATAAATGAATAACAAATAAATACGAAATTGTATTCATTTAGGATTGTAGGTTCTATAGGTAATTGAAGAAATGACTTGAGAGGAGAGGTATTTTTTAGCTACCATATCTTAAAAACATCAAGAGAATGACTTGCCCAGATTCTTAAACAGCTTTTAAAGATCTTTTTCTTTAATATTTAACATCTTAAAAATACTTTAAAAGTTGAAGTTTTAAACTATTTTTGTTTTGTTTGAAGTGCATAGTTATTTTTGTAAGCCTTGTTTTTTAATTTGGAGAAAAGGAATCACATGTTCATTTTTTTTTCACACAAAGCTTTCTCTCAGCAAGGAAAGGAAATTCCTACTTGGACTATAACTAACTTTTGATGGGTTCATTCAGTATCTTGCAGATTTTTAACTCTGGCCCACCAATTTATCCAAATCCGCCTGTTGGGATCATAGTGGTTCAGGACACCCTTTAAGGGACAAAAGGTGGAAAAGGCTTTTATTTTAGACTTCTATATTATTATCTTTTCTTCAGCTTTACTTTCTTTTTTTTGAGACAGAGTCTTGCTCTGTCACCTAGGCTGGAGTACAGTGGTGCAATCTCGGCTCACTGCAACCTCTGCCTCCCAGGTTCAAGCCGATTCTCCCGCATCAGCCTCCTGAGTAGCCATGATTACAGGCACGTATCACCACACCTGGCTGCTTTTTGTATTTTTAGTAGAGATGGGGTTTTACCATGTTGGCCAGGCTGGTCTCGAACTCCTGACCTCAGGTGATCCACCCACCTCGGGCTCCCAAAGTGCTGGGATTACAGTCATGAGCCACCGCGCCGGGCCATCTTCAGCTTTACTTTGTTCTTCTGAGAACTTATAAACCCGGTAGCTTTTTGTAAACTGGTTTCTTCTATCTTCCCATTAGTTTTCCTTTTAATTTACAGGGATATTTTGAAACATAGTTGTGTGGCTATAAAAAATAGCTATTACTGTGGAACTTCTGATGAATTCATTATATTCTTTTAGAAAAATTCTGAGCACCATATACATTTGTGTTATATTTTTAAAGAAATGAAAACATATTGGCCATTTTGTCTCTGATTTTTGGTTAACTGGAACCATAGGCTGAGAATGTATTGGGAAACTAAGATTCTGTCATGAAATGATGTATGATTCTTTAGTGTCAAAATTAGACTGTGACATCAGTGATAATGTATGAAAACATTTCAGGCCCCAATAATTTTATTTTGGCATTGATTTTGCTCAGTTAAAATTGTTCTGTTCTTAATTTTTAGGTATGGAATTGTTTGAAGAGGCATTGCGTCGATGGGAACAAGCTCTGACCTTTCGCAATAGACAGGCTGAAGATGAAGCCTGTGGTTCCATTAAACTGGGTGCAGGAGATGCCATTGCTGAAGAAAATGTAGATGTAAGGGTGATTGATTTGAGTGGTCTTCATAATATTAGAAGAATCAAACTTTTTTTTTGTTTTTTTGGTAGAGGTAGGGTCTCACTGTTGTTACCCAGGCTGAGTCTTGAACTCCTGGGCTCAAGCGATCTTCCCGCCTTGTCCTCTGAGTAATTAGGACTATAGGGATGCACCACCATGCCAGGCTAATTTTAAATTTTTTGTAAAGATGGTGTCTCACTATGTTGCCCAGGCTGGTCTCGAACTCCTGGCCTCAGGCAGCACTTTCACTTTGGCCTCCCAGAGTGCTGGGGATTATAGGCATGAGCCAAGGTGCTGACCCAAAGTATTTTTTAATGTTGATTCAGTGTATTTGCTTTATGTGCATTTAATAGAACTGTTTTTTTCTTCTTCCTTGGGACAATGTGGGGTATTTCTTATTAGTCTTTTTCTATCCAGGTAGTTGTTAAATGCCAGATTTACCATTCATCAAGTTTATTGACTTTCCCAGGATATGCAAAATAAGCAGATTGATTTCTAAAGGATTTTTTTTTAAAGAAATGGGGTCTTGCTATGTTGCCCAGGTTGGAGTACAGTGGTTGTTCATAGGAACAATCATAGTACACTATACCCCAGAACTCCTGGGCTCAATCAATTCTTCTGCCTCAGTCTCCCAAGCAGCTGGGACTGCAGGCACATTCTACCTTGTCTGGCTTGGAATTTTTTAAAGTTTGATTTGTGCTTTGGGATTAATTAAGTGCCATTATGTTCATTAAAATCACATAAAGGTGTAGAGCTAGACTAGTCCTTATTGATTATTTAGTTAAGCTAGTGGTTCTCAAACTTGAGAATGCATAAGAATCACCTAGAGGACTTGTTAAAACACAGATTTGGAGGCCCTACCCCATGGGTTTCTCATTGACTAGGACTGGGGTGGATCCTAAGAATTTGCATTTCTACCAAGTTCTTGGGTGATAATGAAGCTGCTGGCTCAAGGACCTTACTTTGAGAACTGCCAATCTAGTCTAACTCCTTAATTTTATAGGTAAAGAAACTGAATCACTAAGAACTAAGGTAATTTTGCCAAAGACACAGCTAGAACCCAGGCCTCTTGACTTCTGCTGCTGTACTCTTTCCACCATCTCTCAGTTGTTTTTTTATATTACTCACTTTCTTTGCCTTTTATTTAAAAGTGGGAAAAATATTTAGAATTTTAACATTAGAATTTAATTTGTTCTGTGTACTTTTTCTCTCCTTGTAGGATATTATTAGTACTGAATTTATCCATAAACTCGAAGCTCTGCTGCAAAGAGCCTATCGTCTCCAAGAGGAGTTTGAAGCTACCCTTGGGGCATCTGATCCTAATTCCCTTGCTGATGATATTGGTAAGATGGATATTTCATATGGCTTTTATGAAATGTTTACTTTTCTTTTATATCCTTGGAATCATCTGCATAAGTGTCTGTCTTATGTAATAATAGGTTACTTAAAAAAAAATAAACTAGCCAAGAGAAAAAATTTTTATCATATTTCTTTTTTCTTTCAGTTTTAATTTTCAAATGAACTAATGCCCTTAAGATACAAATTCAAGTACTTATCATAGGCAGGCTGTGACATTATTTTAAAATATATTGTGGGTGAAAAAATCTAGTTAAGAGTGTTGGAGGGAGAAAAGAATAAAAATACACAAATGGGACAGACTCAGCACTTCAGAAATATGCATATAATATTACTTAAAATACTTTAAAGAATTATGTATGTTGGGACCCACTTTAATCGCAGGATAGCTGTTGATGTAAATAGTCAGTACATACATCGTTATGGGTCATTACCTTTGTTTCCTACTTTAAAGAGAAAAGAGTTTTAAAGATACTTTTTAAAAAGTTTTTTATTTTTTATTTTTTTGAGACAGGATATCTGTTGCCCAGGTGGGAGTGCAGTGACACGATCACAGCTCACTGCAGCCTTGACCTATTGGGCTCAAGTGATCCACCTGCCTCAGCCTCCCAAGTAGCTGGGACTATAGGCACATGCCACCATGCCTTGCTAATTAAAAAAATTTTTTTTGTGGAGACAAGATGAGGTTTTTCTTTTTTTCTTTTTTTCTTTTTGAGGCAGAGTTTCACTCACTCTGTCACCCAGGCTGGGGTGCAGTGGCATGATCTTGGCTCAACTCAAACTCCGCCTCCCAAGTTCATGCAATTCTCTTACCTCAGCTTCCTGAGTAGCTGGGATTACAGGCATGTGCCACCATACCCAGCTAATTTTTGTATTTTTATTAGAGGTGGGGTTTCACCATGTTGGCCAGGCCGATCTCCACCTCTTGACCTCAAGTGATCCTCCCACCTCAGCCTCCCAAAGTGCTGGGATTACAGGCGTGGACCACCATGCCTGGCCAAGGTGAGGTTCTTGAATGAAGTCTTGGAAGAAAGGAATGATTAAAGTTGCTTCTTCAACTTCTATAAATGCCCCCAAAGAAAGAAAGAAGACAAAATTACATGGTTTTTTTGGTCAAAAATAATTTAAGTCTTTTTTAGTATGAAGAGGATTATTATTTTCCAATTAAAATAAAAGCTAAGGAGTTTTAACTTTTTCCACATTAGTACTGAAAGCAGCTGAACTTTGAGATATTTATATCTATGCATTTTGAGTTTAGGTAAAAGATTTTGTTTGTATTAGAATTATGAATTACTGTGTATATGTCATAAGGTTATATGAAATCTCTTTGGTCTCTGCTTTGTCGTACTATTATTGTCACCAAACATTATTTATTAGACTTGAGTGTTTTTTAATAGCTTCTCTGCTATTAGCATAGGCATAATGTTTTGACATAGCTAGGAGATTACAGTCTAGAAAAAAAGTAGGCAGTATTCGTATCAACAAATATAATTTGTCAAAGCTTTATATTAATTTTTTCTACAGTTTCTTTTGTAACTTTAATTAGAACGTCATTTGTGATACTAAGTAGGAGAAAGAACCGAGAAAAGAAATTTTTTAAAACCTCAAATGTAGAATAAGAATGGAACAACTAGAAAAGTTAGAAAAATGGTGAAGTGGCACGGAATGCCACAGAGAAAAGTAAGTAGGAAAAAATTATAAGGAGGAAAGAGGAAGAGGATCCTGGGACTTTTAATGTCTTACTCTAGGAATGGAGGCTTTGTCTACACTGTCTAATCTTTGGCAGTTTCTTTTAGCCTCATTATAAGGATCTTGTGGATGTGTAGTTCTTGTTCCTTTAGTCTTGTAATATTCATCGCGGATTTGGTTCTGTTTGGCATGCCTGGGCACATTTTTTCTATATCCTTCTGTAGAGGTTGACTGGGTCCGTCTCTTATTTCTTCAGGTTAAAAGGATTCCTTGGGTACAGTCTCAGAGGTCTGCTTTAGATTCTTGTTGCTTTTAGACAAGAATACCTCTGGGCATGTGGCTTAGTTTTTGGGGTCTTAGTTTTGGGGGCTTAGTTTTAGGGGCTTAGTTTTGGGGTCTTCAAGTTGTTTCTGAGGCAACTATTGTTAATCTGGAGCTCTAAATGGATAGGGTGGGACCCACAATCAGTCCATGCACTTAGTTAGCTTAGGTTTGGAATAAGTTCCTGACCCCACTCATGTTTTAACCTGTGCTGTCACTGCCTACTAGACTGATGTGCTTTTCTCTGTAGCCGTCCAGTTCGTTGGCCTCCTGTTGCCCTGGAGATTCCATTTAATGTGAAGCTGTTATATTTTGTTCATTTTGGGGAATTGTTTGGATATTGCAAGTTTGCATTTTTGAACTTCTGGATCAAAAGAGCTGAATTTATGGCTGAGACTCTGGGAGCAGCTCTTTTACAACTGTTACTTGACATTGATCAAAATTGCCTAGAAGTCAGTTAACTCTCCTCATTCTTTAAATCCAAAATCATTGTATACATTTAACTTACTGAGAGGCAACTTAAAGTTAATAGTCATAAATTAAGATAGTGTAACAAATGCCTTCAGAGGCTCGGGGCGAATGTAAACCAAGTATCTATCTGATGTCAGTGAATACTTCATTGTTTTGGAATCTGCTTTGTCTAATTTGATGAACTTCATTTTTTTCCCTTAAGAATCTGGTAGGATTTCAAGATTGGAAGATTTTTTTTTTTTTTTTTTTTGCAGCAGTCTTTCTCTGTCACCCAGGCTGGAGTGCAGTGGTGTGATCTCAGCTTACTACAGCCTCTGCCTCCTGGACTCAAGCCATCCTCTCACCCCACCCTCCTGAGTAGCTAGGACTACAGGTGTGTGCCACCACGTCCTGCTAATTTTTTTTTTTTTTTTTTGAGACAGAGTTTTGCTCTTGTTGCCCAGGCTGGAGAGCAATGGCATGATCTCGGCTCACCGCAACCTCCGCCTCCCAGGTTCAAGCGATTCTCCTGCCTCAGCCTCCTGAGTAGCTGGGATTATAGGCATGCACCACCATGCCTGGCTAATTTTGTATTTTTAGTAGAAATGGGGATTCTCCGTGTTGGTCAGGCTGGTCTCGAACTCCTGACCTCAGGCGATCCACCTGCTTCGGCCTCCCAAAGTGCTGGGATTACAGGTGTGAGCCACTGTGTCCTGCTGAGATAATTTTCATTCAGAATATAACAGTACCTGACCCAGAGAAGACACAAGGATGTACGTGAAGTGCTTAACAAAGGGCCCACCTAGTACATGGTAACAAACAATAGTGGCTACTAGTTATTAGTAGCTACTATTAACTAGCTTCCCCTAGCTATTAACACACAGGGGGAAAGATGAAATTAGATGATGGCTAAGAAGTCTTTCCTGGCTCGACATGGTGGCTCATGACTGCAAACCCAGCATTTTGGGAGACAGATGTGGGAGGATTGCTTGAGCCCAGGAGTTCAAGACCAGCCTGTATAGTTCGAGACCAGCCTTGTATAGTGAGACCTCATCTCTAGAGGAAACTCTAGATAAAAAATTAGCAGGGTGTTGGCTGGGCGTGGTGGCTCACGCCTGTAATTCCAGCACTTTGGGAGGCTGAGGTGGGTGAATCACCTGAGGTCGGGAGTTCGAGACCAGCCTGGCCAACATGGTGAAACCCTGTCTCTTGTAAAAATACAAAAATTAGCTGGGCATGGTGGTGGGTGCCTGTAATCCCAGCTACTCGGGAGGCTGAGGGAAGAGAATCGCTTGAACCCAGGAGACGGAGGTTGCGGTGAGCTGAGATGGTGTCACTGCACTCCAGTCTGGGCGATAAGAGCAAAACTCTGTCCCAAAAAAAAAAAAAAAAAGAAAAAGAAAATCATCTCAATCCCTACAACAACTTTTAGGATATAAATATACCTATCATCCCTATTTTTCAGATGGGGAAAGTGAAGTACAGAGGCATTAATAACTTCCCCAGGGTTACACAGCTATTAAGTGGAGGAACCCGGGTTTGGACCCAGTCAAGCTAGCTTTAGAGTCCTTCCTTTCCTTTTCTCTTCCCTTTTCCCTTTTTCCTTTTCACTCTTGTCACCCAGGCTGGAGTGCAGTGGCGTGATCTTGGCTCACTGCAGCCTCCACCTCCTGGGTTCAAGCAATTCTCCTGCCTCAGCCTCCTGAGTAGCTGGTATTACAGGCACGTGCCACCATGCCCAGCTAGTTTTTGTATTTTTAGTAGAGATGGAGTTTCACCATGTTGGCCAGGCTGGTCATGAACTCCTGACCTCAGGTGATCCACCCACCTTGGCCTCCCAAAGTGCTGGGATTACAGGGGTGAACCACTGCGCCTGGCCTATTCTTTATTTTTTTGAGAGAGAGGGTCTGGCTGTGTTGCCCAGGCTGGAGTGCAGTGGCTCGATCTTGACGCAGTACAACCTCTGCCTCCTGGGCTCAAGCGATCCTCTCACCTTAGCCTCCCAAGTAGCTGGGACTACAGGCACTTGCCACCATACCTGGCTAATTTTTATTTTGGGTAGAGGTGAGGTTTTGCCGTGTTACCCAGGCTGGTCTCAAACTCCTTGGCTCAAATGATCCACCCAACTCGGCCTTCCATACTGCCTGGATTACAGGTATGAGCCACTGTGCCCAGTCACACAGTCCATTCTCTTAATCACCATGCTGTATTGACTTACCACTTATAGGACAGACGTCTTCCTTGAATGGGAGGATTAACTGTGAACTTTTTGTGGACAAAGTATGCCTATACCCAAAATTCCCTGTAGGAAAGGTCAGCTTAGAGCAGGCAGCCTGGAAATTCCACAGCTGACAGAGTAAGGAGACTTTTATTTCTGGTGGTGGTATGCTTTTGTGTAGATCTTTTTTTTTTTTTTTTTTAATTTTTCTTCCTCTATACTCATGTGGTGATCTGTAGTTAGCTCATGTGTCTTTCTTCCTTTCTCAGGCTTTCTAGGCAGATTTCACACATTTTGTAGAAAGAAATTGTCAAGGTTTAATCCAAGAACAAAAGAGGCAAGCTATGTGAGACAGAGGGCCTGACTGTGACCCTGAACTTAGTGTAGTGCTAATGAGTTACTCTGACGGATTATCCTACATCTGTATAATAACTAAAAGTACAGACTGTGGATGCAGACTAACTGGGTTCAACTCCTGACATTTCCATTTATCTGTGTGATTATAAAACCTGTCTAAGCCTTGGCTTCCTCTTCTGAAAAATTAACATATAGAGTACCAATTTTATAAACTGAGGATTAAATGAAAGTTCTAGGAACAGGGTAACAATGTGTATTGGCTCGGAATTTGGAACTTCTCTAGGACACTCAGGAAGACCATCATTTTACCTCTAGAATCTTAGGCTGTCGTTTTTGTTGTTGTTGTTGTTCTTATTCTACCTTTCTGATCCTGTATTTGCCAATTTCAAGACGTTCTTTAAAATTTCTGGTCCACTGATATCCTATTCATGTTTTCCAGTGATGCTATACTTTACTCCATTAAAAAAAATTTCTTCTGTCCTTCTCAATGGGCCTTTGGGAGGAAAGAGAAGTACCTTCTTGAACTAGAAGGTAATTTGCCTACCATGTTGAACTATAAATTCTGGACATTAGGCCAGGCATGGTGGCTCATGCCTGTAATCCCAGCACTTTGGGAGGCTGAGGCAGGTGGCTCACCTGAGGTCAGGAGTTCAAGACCAGCCTGGCCAACCTGGTGAAACCTCGTCTCTACTAAAAATACAAAAATTAGCTGGGTGTGGTGGCGGATGCCTGTAATCCCAGCTACTTGGGAGGCTGAGGCAGGAGAATCACCTGAAGCTGGGAGGTGGAGGTTGCAGGGAGCCAAGATTGTGCCATTGCACTCCAGACTGGGCGACAAAGTGAGACTCCGTCTTAAAAAAAAAAAAAAGATAATAAATTCTGGACATTATAATAATAGAGTCTAAGGTTTACATTGGCTTTTGGTGAACTTATGGTTAACTAAAATTTCTAAGTTCTTTGTTATTGTTAGTTTCTTACCATTAAGCCACATCTTCCCTCATTTATTCCTGTGCAGTTGTTCTTTTGGACCAAGGGTATAGGTACTGTATTTATTATTCTTACTAAATTGTTAGTTCTGAGTCATCATTCTGAATTGTTAAATAGTTTTAGATTTTTTTTTTTTTTTTTGAGATGGAATTTCGCTCTTGTTGCGCAGGCTGGAGAACAATGGTACGATCTCATCTCAGCTCACCGCAATCTCTGCCTCCTGGGTTCAAGCGATTCTCTTGCCTCAGCCTCCTGAGTAGTTGGGATTACAGGCATGCACCACCATGCCTGGCTAATTTTGTATTTTTAGTAGAGACAGGGTTTCTCCATGTTGGTCAGGTTGCTCTTGAGCTCCCACCTCAGGTGATCCGCCCGCCTCCGCCCCCCAAAGTGCTGGGATTACAGTTGTGAGCCACCGCGCCTGGCCAAATAGTTTTAGATTTTGATTTGACATCTAACGTATTAATTATTCTTCTCAACTTTGTATCATTCTCTAATTTGGTTAGTTTTGTATAGTTGGTAATGAGTGCTGTCATTGAAATCATTAATAAAAATTGCTAAAATGGATAGTGTCAGAGTCAGAGACCTGAGGCATGACACTGTCAAATTTCCTTAGGTCACAAATAATTATTAAGATACTTTGTAAGCTTCAGTTATTCAAGATGAATAAATTCTGGAGATCTAATGTATAGCATGGTGACAGTAGTTAATAATACTGTGTTGCATATTTGAAGTTTGCTAAAAGGCTAGAACTTAAATCTTACCTTACACACCACACACACACATACACACACAATCACTCTATAGAGGTGGTAGATACATTAATTAGCTTGATTTTGGTGGTCATTTCACATTGCATACATATAAAAAAAAATCGTACACCTTAAATATATACAGTTTTGTATGTCAGTAATAGCTCATAAAGCTGTTAAAAAAACACTTTGTTCAACCAGCTATGAATTCAGCTTATTCTGTTTTTACGTTTTTCATCTTGATTATAAAGAGACCATGGGGCCGGGCACAGTAACTCACACCTGTAGCCCTAGTTCCTCAGGAGGCTGAGGCAGGAGCTTCACTTGAGCTCAGAAGTTCGAGGCTGTAGTGAGCTATGTTGGTACCTATGCACTCTAGCCTGGGTGGCAGAGTGAGATCCTGTCTCTAGAGAAAAAAAGAGTGAGAGAGATCATGGGATACTTTTTTGTATATCATAACAAAATGTTAACTGGGAATTTAGGAAAATACAGAATTTTTTTGAAAAAGAGGCTGATATTAATTAACACTATTTGGAAATATTGCTGAGGCTGAGTTTTTTGCAGCTAGGGATTTGCCATCAAATGTTCATAGCTGGTTCTATACTCACTTGCAAATCATTTTAGTATTGGAAGGCTAATGTGTCAGATTTTATTTACTTTAGAAGAGCCTTAGCAAAATTTATTTTACTAATTTGGAATTCAAAATTTAAATAAGGATTCTACTTATTATACATTTGTACTATTTATAGAAGAGTAGTTTGCCAACTTAACATTATGGATAAGATTATAGGCGGACTGTTTAAATCCTTTCAGCATGTTTTTTTTTTTTTTTTTTTTTTTCCGAGACAGAGTCTTGATCTGTCGCCCAGGCTGGAGTACAGTGGCACAGTCTTGGCTCGCTGCCACCTCCACCTCTTGGGTTCAAGCAATTCTCCTGCCTCAACCTCCCGAATAGTTGGTATTATAGGCGTGTGCCACCACGCCAGGCTAATTTTTGTATTTTTAGTAGAGACGGGGTTTCACCACGTTGACCAGGCTGGTCTCGAACTCCTGACCTCGTGATCCTCCCGCCTCGGCCTCCCAAAGTGCTGGAATTACAGGCGTGAGCCACCACGCCCGGCCCAGCATGATTCTTTCAGCATTTTTCTTTGTAGATAACAATGAATTTATTGAAAATAAATGATGTCTATTCTCCTTTTTTTTTTTAAATAGCAGATCCAAAAAACTTCTGAGTTATCAGTATTGTGAATTATTTGGGGTTACTTTTGGTAGATGAAGTTAATAACATAGATTTTGAAAAACATATAGTATGGTTCTAACACTGGATATGGTAACCATTGCGCAGCTCTATACATTTAAAACTAAAACACATTGCACACTTAAAGGGGGAGAATTTTGTGGTATGTAAATTATACTTCAATAAAGGAGTTAAAAATACACTGTGGATGGTGTTAAGCTAAGCTTAAGTAAGTAGATTTTCATGAATTTGAAATAGTGCAGAATAGCATTTCATGTTAAATTGAATGCAAATCCCAAATTTTTGTTTTGGGTTTTTTGGTTTTTAGAGACAGGGTCTTGCTTTGTCTCCTAGGCTTCAATGCATTGCCACAGTCATAGGTCACTGCAGGCTCAAACTCCTGGGCTCAAGCAATCCCCCTGCCTCAGCCTCCTGAGTAGCTAGGACTGCAGGTGCATGCCACTGTGCCTGGCTAATTTTTTAATTCTTTTGTAGAGACGGGGTCTCACTTTGTTGTCTAGGCTGGACAAAATTTTTAAAAAGTTCTTTAAAGAATCACTTAGTTTCAAAGCTGGTGGGCCTGTTGAATTCTAAACTCTGTTTCTCTGTTGCCACATAGGTCGTGACACCTCAGCTGGTAACCAGAAATATTAACTATCCTTTGTGAATAGCCTATAAACCATACTGTTGTTTATACGCATGGGAACTTCTGCAAGTGATTTGGTTGTGTTGTTGTTTTTACTTTGGTTAAATTTTAAATCTATTTTCTATTCCGTAACATTGCCATCCAAGAAGCCATTAAATATGATAAATACTGAAAAGAAGATCTGACATTTCTGTTAATTTAGCAGCAAACATGCTGGAAATATTAGAACTAATGCTGAGAAAATAAAAGAGCAGTATTAAAATAGGAGGACTTTTATTTTTAAAATGAAAAACTTCTGACAACCTGGCTCTAAAATTGCAAACATTCAAATGCATTCCTAAGCTGTGCTGTCATCTGTGTTAAAATAGAAAACAGGCTGGGTGTGGTAGCTCATGCCTGTCTGTAATCCCAGCACTTGGGAGGCTGAGGCAGGAGGGTTGCTTGAGACCAGGAGTTCAAGACCCAGTCTGGACAACATAGCGAGATCCCCGTCTCTATAAAAAAATTTAAGCCAGGAATGGTGGTGTGTGCATGTAGTTCTAGCTAGTCAGGAGGCTGAGGCAGGAGAATCCCTTGAGCCTAGGCATTCGAGGCTTCAGTGAGTTACGATTGGGCCATTGTACTTCAGCCTGAGAAACAGTGAGACTCAGTCTCTAAAAATAATTAAAATAGGAAATATTTTTGATATTTTGGAAGGAGGTGATACTGATACAAAATGGTTTACTAGTAATATTTTGTGTTTTAAAAGCATAAACACAGATTTTATTATAATTATTGTGGTTTAAAAGTATGCCTGCAAAAAGAAATATAGCACAGTAGTTGTATTTCAAGCCATCTTTACAATGTTTCCTATGATAAGAAAATAGCTTTGCATTAGGCAGGGTTTGAATTATGTTTTAAGGAATGAATTCCACCCATAAAATATAACCCAC
Source organism: Homo sapiens (assembly GCF_000001405.40). NCBI lineage: Eukaryota > Metazoa > Chordata > Mammalia > Primates > Hominidae > Homo > Homo sapiens. Next base: position 77,824,834 of record NC_000001.11, read on the forward strand.
TCCATATTCTATAATTTATTGTTTGCCATGTTCCATGCTGCATTTCCTTAACCATCCTGAATTAATGAGTCATTATTGCATGCATTTCTAAGTGCTAGTGCACCAAGAGTTTAATACAGGCTTAAACAATAGTTATTTGTTCTATTCCTCTTTTTTTTTTTTTTTTTTTTTTTGAGATAGGGCCTTGCTCTGATGCCCAGCCTGGAGTGCAGTGGCATGATCTTGGCTCACTGCAACCTCCGCCTCCAGGGTTCAAGTGATTCTCTTGCCTCAGCCTCCCAAGTAGCTGAGACTGCAGGTGCGCTGGGGACTACAGTCGTGCCCCACCACACCTGGCTAATTTCTGTATTTTTAGTTGAGGCGGAGTTTCACCATGTTGGCAGGCTGGTCTCGAACTTCTGGCCTCAAGTGATCTGCCCGCCTCAGCCTCCCAAAGTGCTGAGATTACAGCATGAGCCACGATGCCTGGCCCTGTTCTGTTTCTCTTATAGGAATATAGGAGTTGTGCAATCACAAACAAATGAAATGAAGATTTGAGTTAGTTCTCTAAAAATGAAAACGTTTTCCTTATTCACTTATAAGACCGTTTAGTGCTGAATGTGAGATGTTGAAATCACTAGAGGGCAGCACGTTTTATCTACATGTTGGATGCCTGTGACTCAGGTGCCATTCTGTGTTGCTACTTGTAGCACTGGGAGTTAAATATAAGTCAACACTTGCTGGCAGGCTTTGTATGCACCTGGTACTGTAACTCAGAATGAGAAAGAACGTGGAAGTTATGCAGAGAAGACATGAAATAACATTACTGTAAATTTCCATTATTGTGCAAGTTCTTCTAGCTAAAAGTATCTGGAAGTGTTATGTTTATGTTTATTTGTAGCTTCTATTTTCAGAGATTGTTAAATTATAATTGATAAACTTTTTTTTTGTAACTTCTGAAGGCTTAACGAAAACCTCCAATATGATTTCAATTATACATAGTATAACTTAGTAATTAAGAATATGGGCTTTGGAGTCAAACAAGCATGGGTTCAAATCCTGGCTCTACCCCTCTTGCTAGCCGAGACATTAAGCAAGCCTTGACTTTGCTTAGACTCAGCTTTTTCATCTGTAATGTGTAGGAGTATATTAGGATCAACTTCATAAAACTGTGAGGATTAAGTGAGATTACATAACATATTTAGCATAGGCACATGGTAAACACTTATCTATTCATTATTATAATTATAGTCTAGCAGTTTAAAGAGGCCTGTTCTAAGCTGGTTTAAAAATTTCATAGTTATAGATAGGAGGATGTCACATGTTCATAAGTTGTTTTACAATGATATTGTTAGTCAATTCTGCAGACAACATTCTTTTTTTCTGGGAATTAATTTGATTTTTCTCATAGTAATATAAATTTGTATTTAATGAAACAAGGTAAGCCATGTTTAAACTTATTTTTTGGTAAAGTAAAAAAAGGTGCTTTTTATAAATCTACCTTTTTCCGGGTTAGAAATTATCTGAAGGGTTTGAAAAAATAATTATTCTAGATGTAGCTAAGATTACTGATTTTCCCTCATCTCTGACCTTGTCATGCGTAGGAGGAAAATAAAAAATGATAATGGATATACTGCCTCTTGCTGGCATATCCTATTATTATTAATTATTATTATTATTTGAGACAGGGTCTTGCTCTGTTGCTTGGGCTAGAATTCAATGGTGCGATCATGGCTCACCACAGCCTCAACTTCCTGGGTCCAAGTGATTCTCCCATTTCAGCTTCCTGAGTACCTGGGACTACAGGCGTGAACTACCATGACTAGCTAATTTTTTAATTTTTTGTAGAGACAGGATCTCACTATGTTGCCAGGCTGGTCTCGAGCTCCTGGGCTCAGGCAGTCCTTCTTCCTTGGCATCCCAAAGTGCTGGGATTACAGACATGAGCCACCATGCCAGGTCTGGATTCTGAATAAATTAAGAACACAAAAAGAGCCTTTTTTTTTTTCTGAGATGGAGTCTTGTTCTGTTGCCCAGGCTGGAGTGCAGTGGCACATTCTTGGCTCACTGCAACCTCTGCCTCCTGGGTTCAAGTGATTCTCCTGCCTCAGCCTCCCGAGTAACTGGGATTAAAAGCGCCCGCCAGCACGCCCAGCTAATTTTTTTGTATATTTAGCTGAAATGGGATTTCACCATGTTGGCCAGGCTGGTCTCAAGCTCCTGACCTCAGGTGATCCACTCAGCTGGGCCTCCCAAAGTGCTGGAATTACAGGCATGAGCCACTGCACCTGGCCAAAAAGAGCCTTTTTTTTTTGAGATGGTGTTTTGCTCTGTGGCCCAGCTGGAGTGCAGTGGCACGATCTCCGCTCACTGCCTCCTGAGTTCAAGTGATTCTCCTGTCTTAGCCTCCCGACTACCACGCCTGACCTAAACTTTTTTTCTTAATAGCCAGATTGGACAATGTGTTAAGGATTTTTACAACTTCTTCCTTTCCCCTCAAAAAAATTCTCTGGAAGCTGGGTGTGTTGACTCACGCCTGTAGTCTCAGCTACTTGGGAGGCTGAGTGGGGAGGGTTGCTTGAGTCTTGGAAATCGAGGCCGCAGTGAGCTATGATCACACCACCGCACTCCAGCTTGGGTGACAGAGTGAGACCCTGTCTCAAAAAATAAAATAAAATAAAATAAAAAATTATCTGGAGAAGAGAATACAGAGCAAATTAACAACATACTTACCCAGCCAGCTGCGTAGAGATTCCCTGCCTGCCTTACAATTTCTGCCAACACTTTGTCCAGCTCAGAAGGAGTGAGATCCAGAGCAAAAGTGAGGATGGGTTTGCAGACCCTGACCTTTCTCTAGAAAGTCTGCGAAGGAGAGTGAACTAGTACACACCAAGAACTAGTGAACATTAATTTTATCTTATTTTCCTCTACCTGGTTAATTGCATGCAGGTTCTCAGCATTAGCCAAGTTACTCTTCCCATGGGGAGGAGCAATTGAAGAGGTGAAGGGAGCAACTTAAAATGTAAAACCAGAATAGCTGCTTCTTGGAGATTGGAGTGGAAGTCCTATATGAAATATGAAGGTGGGATACAAAAATTAGCTGGGTGTGGTGGTGTGCATCTGTGGTCCCAGCTACTTGGGAGGCTGAGGTAGGAGTATAGCTTGAACCCAGGAGGAGGAGGCTGCAGTGAACCAAGATTGGGCCACTGCACTCCAGCCTGGGCAACAGAGTGAGACTTTGTCTTATAAATAAATAAATAAATAAATAAAGGTGGGTGGGGAGGTTTAATGGTTTCCTTTGTGACATTGATTACTCTTGACAATACATTATAATTATTTATGTACATATCCAGTGTGTTATGCTAAACCTTAAACTCCTTGTGGGCAGAAGACATACTTAATTCTATTCAGTGTCTGAAACTGGTTTGAATGTAGTATAGATAGTAGTAGGTCTGTGGGTCTTCTATGATGTTTATCAGAATCACCTTCATAGGTTTTGCTCTAGACCTACTGAAATTGAAACTTTGGGGTTGGGACATGAAGCTTTGGGTTTGTATTTCCTAGTTCAGCAGGTGATTCTCATGTGCATTTCTGCTTACGAGGCCCTGCAGGTAATATCTGAATGATAGATATTTGGATGGATAGACAAGATGGGTATCATTAAGGTTTTTTGCAATAAATTTAAGTAAATGGTATAATTTCAGCTTATTAAATACAGAACTTTATTTTTAGTGAAGTAGAAATTTAAAACTAATTTTTTAAGTACATGAGGAAAATATAATGTATGGTTCATGTGTATTTTATTTTAAGCCTCAAATATATAAAGTACTACTGCCAGTAAGTCTGTTTGTCTTTTTGTTTTTTCTTTTTAAAAATTTGAAGCAGGGTCTCACTCTGTCACCCAGGCTGGAGTGCAGTGGTGTGACCATAGCTTACTATAGCCTTGAACTATTGGGCTCAAGGGATCCTCCCACCTCAGCCTTCCAAGTAGCTGGGACTACAGGCATGTGCCACACCACCCAGCTAATTTTTTTTGTATTTTTTGTAGACATGGGAGTCTTCCTGTATTTCACAGGCTGGGCTCGAACTCCTGGGCTCAAGTGGTCGTCCTGCCTCAGCCTCCCAAAGTGCTGGGATTACAGGCATGAGCCATTGTACCTGGTCCCAGATATTTAATTTTAATGTCATCACATTTTTCATTCTTTCCTATATGGTTTGTGCTTTCTATGTATTGTTTAGAGGGATAAAGATAATTCTTTTGTATTTTCCTTGGAAAGTGTTAAAGCTTTGTTTTTCATATTTAGGTCTTTATTCTTCTAGAAGTTGGTCAGGTATGGTGGCTCATGCATGTAATCCCAGCACTTTGGGAGGCCAAGGTGGGAGGATTGCTTGAGGCCAAGAGTTTGAGACCAGCCTGGGCAATGTAGTAAGACCCTGTCTCTACAAAAAAATAAGTAGAATAATTAATTTTATAAAAGTAATTAGCTGGGTGTGGTGGCATGCGTGTATATGCCTGTTGTCTCAGCTACTTGGGAGGCTGAGATAGCAGGATCTTTTGAGCCTGGGAGTTTGAAGCTGTAGTGAGCTAGGATGGCACCACTGCACTTCAGCCTTGGTAACAGAGTGAGACCCTGTCCCTTAAAAAATCTTCTAGAAGTTTTGTTTGTTTGTTTTGAGACAGAGTCTCGTTCTGTCACCTAGGCTGGAGTGCCGCGGCGCGATCTCAGCTCACTGCAACCTTCACCTCCTAGGTTCAAGTGATTCTCGTGCCTCAGCTTTCCTAGTAGCTGGGAGTACAGGCACCTGCCACCACGCCCAGCTAATTTTTTTGTATTTTTAGTAGAGACGGGGTTTCACCATGTTGGCCAGGCTGATCTTGAACTCCTGATCTCAAGTGATCCTCCCATCTCGGCCTCCCAAAGTCCTGAGATTACAGGCGTGACCCACTGCGCCCGGCCGTAGAAGTTTTTTTAAATGTATTTTATTGTTTTGTTTTTAATGTTTGGATGGGTAATTGCCTCAGCACCTCTCTTTGAATAATATATTCTTTTCTGACTGATTTGCAAAGCCCCCCCACCCCCCACCGTCATATGTCAGGTCTCTTTCTGTGTGTCTTTTCTGGGCTCTCTATTTTGTTCTGTTAATCTGTTTCCTGCATTGGTTTCACAGTGTCTTAATTACTGTAGCTTTATATAGCTTTATAATAAATCTTGACACTTGGCAGGGTGAGTCCATTCACTGTGGGGCTTTTTGAGACTTGTCATGACTATTCTTAGCCCTTTGCTTTTCCATGTGAAGTTTAGGACAGCTTGTCAAGTTTCATGAAAAACTCTCTTGGGATTTTGATTATTATATTGTATTTATAGGTCAGCTGTAGGCAAATTTACATTTTCATAATAGTAACCTTTATATCTGTGAACATGGTATGGTTCTTTACTTAGGTCTTCATTTATATCTTTCATAATGTTTTATAATCTTCTTCATAAATGTCTTATATGTCTTTTTTCCTAAGTCCCTTACAGTTTCATTGTCATTATAAGTGGTTATCTTTTTAAGTTTACATTTTCTAATTTGTCATTGCTGGGATCTTAAATGTAGGTTTTTGCATTTGAATATTAACAACTCTTGTGAACTCTTATTAGTTGTAATACCAGTAATTTGACATAGGTTCTTTTGGAGTTTTTATTTAGACCACATATTATCTGGGAATGATAACATGTTTATTTTTATTTCATCTTTTCACCACATATTCTTTCATCCCTCTTCCGCACCCCCCTCCCCGCAACCCTGCCCTATCTCACCGCTTTGGGTAGAGTGTTATAATCTTTTTATGTCTGAAGAGAGCTGTGTCAGAAAGAGGACCATAAGTCAGCTGGCCCACTATACAGAATCAAAGACTATATTTCCCTGTGGCTATAGCCTCTCATTAAGGTAAAGGAGCATTAATGGCAGAGATACACATGGAGACTTTAAAGCAGATATAGGTTAAAAATCAGTTTTTAAGTATTTATTTATTTGCTGTGTACCTGACACAGCAAACAAATACTTAAACACAACTCTGAAGCATGTGATGAAATTCAGATGAAATAAGGGCTAATGTGCCTATTTTCAGGTTGCTTGTAGTCTGGTGGGGTAACTAACACTTACACTTATGGAGCAGTTAAAAAGCAATATAAGTTAGTATATTCTTCAATACCGAGCAATTAGACTCAGAGCCTAACCTCCATCCACAAAGTCGAAGATCCTTCTTTAACTTTTCCTCTCCACTTCCATTTCTTCCCATACCTCACAATTGATGTGCCCTCAGCCTGTTTAAGAGCCTAAGATAAGAACTTGAAAGTAAACAGATCTTGTTTGGGACATATGGGTTAATTCTTTAGTTATCTGCAGCTGTTTTTTGCTGCAGTATCTGAATATCTATGAAATTTATTTGGGAACTCAAGTTTCACGTAAGAAGATATGTACAGTGTATTTCTGCATGATAGTGTTACTTTCCTTAATAAACAAGTAATTTTGTAAGCTTTGAAAAGTGGCTATAAATGGGTAGCAAATGCAAAAATGTTTGTTTTATTATTTTGAGTCCAGAAACATGTCTATGCTATGTAGGTAATTTTTATACATTTCAAATATCACACAATAAAAATATATATTTATATATTTTATAATAAACAGAAATTTTATTATCTGAATTATTTTGGTAAAAATTAGGCTTCAGTTGGCCACAACAACTGAGAGATACTCTACCAATCTCTCATGAGGAAATTCTCATCTTCCACCAAAATGTGGGATCCTACCAATCTCTAAAACCAGGAATAACTTATACTTTAGGAGACTTCTGTTACTGTCATATCATGACGAATGTTTGTGATTACATGCTTTGGAAGTTTATTTTTGTAACAGTAGATTCAGGAATTAACATTATTCTTTACGCACTTTGGTTAGACTATTTGGGCAGGAATAAATTGCTGGATTTAATGCCAGTTTAGAAATAAACTGGGTGTGAGGTGGGAGGATCGCTTAAGCCCAGGAAGTTTAGGCTGCAAGACCTTGTCTCAAAACAAAACAACACCAAAAAAGTAAACCCGATTAACAACAGATGTATCTTGTCCACAGTTTCTTGGGGACATTATATAGTTGGTATGGTTTAAATGAATAAAGTTCCAACTTATTAATCTCTAATTTCATTTCCTTCTAAAATTAATTGGGCTTCATATTTTGTGTAGTTACACTTCCTGTGAAGAGTAGTATATATGTACAGTAGTAGTATTAGCAGGCAACACTGAAGCCTGTGTGATAAATGTTATTTTTGTGGCTGAAACAGAGGACTTTGAGATTCTTTTATATTGATGTGTAGGAACAGATTTAGATCTTAAACCAGGAATTTTTGTGGCTTTATTGAAAGCATTGCTTCACATATTTCAGATAAGTGTTTAGGCATCTTCCTAATCTATGTTTTTACAGAATGAGCTCACAGAATCTTGGGTCTGTAATATTTATTTAGCAAACATTTAATTTCCTAGTATATGTCAAACATGGTATAAGACACTGGAGAAATAAAGATGAAGATTTCATCTCTGCCTTTAGGCAATGCAGAGTCTAGTTTTGGAAACAGGCATTAAAAAATACACAGACAGTGGAGTAAGTACATAATAACATGTTTATAAAGTGCTATGGGAACACTAAGGAAAAGCATGTGATTATTCATGGAGCGGGGCTCATGGGAACGTTTCACAGGAGGAGTGACACTTAAAGAAAGATGGTCTGCTAGGGAGACAGTTGAGAAAAGAGCATTCCTAGCAGAGGGAAGAACATGGATCAAGGTGCAGAGTGGAGCCTGTTTAGGGAACTACAAGTTCTTTGATATGTTTTGGAAACACAATATAGGTGGGGAGTGGTAGGAGATGAACCTAGAAAGCTGGGCAGGACATAAATTATGAAGGTCCTTGCTTTGTACCTTTAGACAAAAGGGAGCCGTTGAGGATTATAAGAAGTCATAATCAAATTTATGAGTTTGAAGAAGTCTGGAAGTGTGGCTGGCACAGTTTAAATATTTTATCCATTTTTGTTGCTGCTCCTTTATAAGATTTTATTGAGTCAGTGAGACATCCTTTAAGGGAAAATTAGAGATTTTGCCAGCTTAGTACTGACTGCACAAATTCTCTGGCAGAGCATAGGAAAAGCTGTCAAGTAGAACCTCTTGACCACTAGAGAGATGTTATTCTTCTTTTTTGGTAAGCAGCCAGATAGAACATTTAGAAATACTGAATGAACTTGGCAACAAGAGGAAATACCTCAGCCTAACATCTTACATCAAATGTCAGCCCCAAGTTGAAGCTCTGAGACCTTGTCCTCTCCCATTCCTGCAGAATCATTGTGGTTGGAGGATAAACTCCCTGAGGGTTTATTTTTAGGGAATGATATGAATTGCCAGCTTAAGTTGTATACTCAGACATCTAAATATACAGAGTACACATTGTACAACATATGAGAAATTTGGCTTAGTAATTTCCTCCCATGTGTAAGGCTCATAATCTTATTTTTAAAGGGTTTAGTAATAACACAAAATGAAATCTAACTGGTATTATACAAGTTAAAGTAGGTTCAGAGAAGAAAGCAATATAATGAAAATTGTTGGGGTCCCAGAAACATGAGAAATTTCTGGTGCTTGCCTTTGCCTGTTTTGTGTTGAAGTTATGTCTTAACAGCTTGGATTTCTATGTCCAGGACCATCACTGCCCATATAAGGCCTTTATGTGATTTAGACAAAGGGCCATCCATGTAAGCCCCTTGGGAGGGGACCTTTGTGCCAAGAAGAAGGTCCACTTTCCTTCAGGAAGATGCAGGTCTAGTATTTGGGCTGGATTTCTGCCCCGACTTATTCCTGTGGCAGGGGACCTTTGTGTAACATACAGAATGACCAGTTGTACCTCGTGGCCCTGCTCAAGTCTCTGTAACTGCAGACCTAATCTTAATGACTTCTTGCTCCAGTTTGGGTTAATCTAGTCACTTCTTTCTTCTTTAAACAAAAGGGGGGAGGGTGTAGAAAATGCTGTTACTCTTCTAAAGTGTTTGAATGGTTCCCATTCCCTTTCCTTGTGTTACTCACTTTGCATTGGCAGCTGTACTTCCCAGTTAGGAATCACAGTTGTTGTGTTGGTCAATCATAGTATATAAAAATTTTGATAAATAGGGAATGCCAGAGACAACTATTGTGGAAATCTTCTTTTGGGTAATATCAGGCTGTTTTGTACATACATTATTTCACATGGGTGAAACTTTATACGTCATCACAAATCAAGAACTTTGACAAGTTCTCCTTTTTTCTTTTTTTTTATTATTCCCACCACCTCATCATATATAACTTTTTTTTTCTTTTTTAGAGGAACAGGGTCTCACTCTGTTGTCCAGGCTGGAGCGCAGTGGCGTGATCCTAACTCACTGCAGCCTCAAACTCCTAGGCTCAAGTGATCCTCCTGCCTCAGTCTCCTGAATAGCTGGACTACATTGTGCACACAACCATGCCTGGCTAATGTTTTTATTTTATATAGAGATGGGATTTCGGTATGTTGCTTGGGCTGGTCTTGAACTCTTGGGGTCAAGTGGTCCTCCCGCCTCAGCCTCCCAAAGCACCAGAATTGCAGGCATGAGCCACTGCACCTGCCCCAAGTTCTCTTTTCTTTTGTTTCAGTGGATTTTATTGTTTCTCTTTTCAATATTGAGGCACATTGAGGTTAAAAATCAAGAAAATATTATAACTGTCTTAGTTTTTCACTTTCTGAAATTTTGTTGTTTCTGATTTTTATATTCAACTTTGTTCTTTCTCTCAAATTATACTGTAGTATTTTAAAACAAATCAGAAAGTAAAAATTATCCACAGTATGTATGGGCAGATAGTCATACAGAATAAACAAAGAGCAGCAGTGGTTTCCTAGACTTGATTATTTAAACAAATTATAACAGACTCTGTTTGGAAAATAGCTCATCTTGTCGACAGCAGAAGCTTTTCCATTGTTAATAAAAGCATAGAAAGGACAAGGTTCCAAGTCATATTTTAACTGCTGAATATCACCTGGAGAAAAGCTGTTGACATAGAAGTCAGATGACGTTGAGACAATTGGCAGGCTTCCTCTTGTTGCTCCTGTTATAAAATCTGCAGTGGACAGCCTGGATTTTAAAAGAAGAGTGGCATCTTTGGAATCTCTACTAGAATCTGCTGAGGTTAAAATAGACCCAGTGTTTTCTAAGTGACAGAAAATAGAATGTGCCTAGGGATGGCAAAAGTGAAATGTAGAAAACCCACTTGGATTGGTCTAAGGAAGTAGATCCAGGCCTGAAATTCCAAGTTCCAGGACTTCTAGTTTTCTTTAAAACTTTTAAAGCAAATCCTGCTTTGGAAAAAAACTCAAGTAATATGTGAATTATGAGATTGTGAAAGAAGGGTAAGGCTTGGATCCAGTCAGATTTTTGGCCTAGAATATGTGACAATTGAGTTAAGAGTAAACATTGTGGTGTTAATGTACTTCCAAAGAATATCATCGTTGATATCTGTGTACAGTGAATGCTTTAAAAGTTCTGGGTGATTGAGACAGTTTAAATTTTTTTTAATTATAGATTTACTTATTTTAAAATGTTACCAAAAATAAAAAAGAGCTACTTCACTGAGAGCCAGTGTGGTAATTTACAGAGTATTTTAAATTTAATGTACAATCAACCAGTTTGGGGAAAGCTTTTTAAAATGAACTTCTAATGTTCATTATCATTCATTAAGGAGTGTAAGCTGCATATTTCAGGTTTACAAGATAGTAGTATAAGTTTAGTTAATTTAGGGCTGGCTATTAGAAACATAAGAAATAAGCCAGGTGTGGTGGCTCACAGCTGTAATCCCAGCACTTTGGGAGGTCAAGCCGGGTGGATCACTTGAGGTCAGGAGATTGAGACCAGCCTGGTCAACATGGTGAAACCCCATCTCTACTGAAAATACAGAAATTAGCCAGGCGTGGTGGTGCACACCTCTAATTCCGGCTACTTGGGAGGCGGAGGCACAAGAATCGCTTCAACCTGGGAGGTGGAGGTTGCAGTGAACCAAGATCGCTCCACTGCACTCCAGCCTGGGCAACAGAGCGAGACTCTGTTTCAGAAAAAAGAAAAAAAAGAAAAAAAGAAAGAAACGTAAGAAATTTAACAGGGTTCTGAAAACAAGTTAAAGTCATAGGCAAAATGAACCAGAGTAAGTATATGATAGGCTCTCTAGAGATTTTCATGTCCTGGGGACGGTCCATTTATAATAATAAATTTTAGTTTACATGAACAAATATGTAAGTGTTTGTTATGTGTTCAATAATCTCCCGAGAACTGTACGAACCACCAGGAAAAACAAAAAGGGAAAAGAAAGAAAGTAAAGTCCCTCCACTCAAGTTATATTACAAATGGGAATATTGAGGAACAGAGAAGATAAGAAACTTACTCAAGGTTACACAGCTAATAAGTAACAGAGTCAGTATTGGAATTCAGCTCTAGAACCCATGGTTTTAACGCTTTTGCTATACTGCCTTACATAGGAGCAAAAAATCAGATAAATTTTGGAGGATGTTTACAGGGGATAATACTTGAACTGAGTATTAAAAAAAATGTGCTTATGGGTAGCATAGGGCAAGGGAGCAGAAGGAGAGTAGGATATATGTAGAGTAGAAACAGGAGGAACCAGAGGCTTGAATAAAGAATGCGTTTGGTAATGATAGTAATAGAAAAAATTATTTTATACTCACGATGGACCAAGTACTGTGCCTCCACAAATCTCATTTAACTTTTGCAACAACTCTAGGAAATTAATATTGCTATCCTCAGTTTACGTAGGTGGTAAGTAGCAAATCTTAGGATCAGGATCCAGGTGCTGGCTGGCTGAATCAGAAACCACGCTTTTACCCATTACATTACTGTATGACAAGTGGGGATATGGTCAACATACCCTCAGATAAAGCAGTAAGTTTTTTTCTTTTTTTTAAAATAATTGATAGAAAAGAACATTGGATAGGTAGGATAATCAGAGATAATGGAAAGCTTTGGAAACCAATAGAGGAGCCATTTGATTAGAAAATGGCTTTTTTTCCCAAGTTACAAAAACTCAATATACATAATTAGGCTATTCTTCTCTAATGATTACATATGTCAAGTAAAATAGTCTGTGAAAGCACTTAGTATTACTTGGACACGTAATAGTGACTCAAAAACTATAAGCTGAATCTGAGTCTTCTAAAGAACTTGTAAGCTCTTTGCACTGTAGTGAAAATATGAACAACAAATGCTCTAACAGCAATGTCCAATAGAAATATAATGTGAGCCACAAATGTAATTTTAAAATTTCTAATAGCCACATTAAAGGCTCGAAAGAAACAGATAAAATTAATTTTAATAATATATTTTCTTAAACCCAGTATGTTTTAATAAGATGTTTTCTCTTTTTTGTTGCTAAGTCTTCAGAATCTATTATGTATTTTATACTTACTGCACATCTCATTTCATGTGTTTAATAGACACATGTAACTAGGAGCTACTGTATTGGACACCAGGGCTCCGTAGTTTATAGCATAGCATCTGGTATCAGATGACCTGAGTTTGAATACTACCATTCTCTTTCTTAGATGTGTAAGTATGTAGCAGCTACTTGGCCTCTCTGTTCCTTAGATTCCTGATACATAAAATGAGAAAACTAATAGTATCTACCTCATCAAAGGGTTATTGTGGGGATTGAAAATAAGGTAATATATGTAAAGCATGTAACTTGGTATCTGGCAAGTACTGAGTGAAAAATAAATGTTTATTTTGATTAATTGCATCACGCTTCTATTGTTATGATTAAATAGCAGACATTCCTTAGTTTCCATGTCTTCTCCTTCTTGAAAGTGTTTGGTTATCCCCACTTAAGCATTCCCACTTAAAATTCTAAACCAATCACTAAATAGCAAAGTAAGGTTGCAGAGCTGGAGAAAAAAGGTTATGAGTGGTATATACTTGGCATTATACACTACTACTATTGTTGGTATTCACTACAGGGTACAAATAAATTATTTTCAATTTGCTGTTATATTTAACACTCATCAAGTCTTTTGACTTTTGAATCTAGCATCATTATATATGCTTTCTCAATCAGGTTATAAAATTCGTGTCTGGTAATGATTTACAGCATCATTGGCAACACTGAAATATAGAAAGCATTCATTGTCTTACCCTCCTTCCTCCTGCCTTTGAAGCTCTGATTGAGCCTTTTCTGCTCTCAGCTATTTGGGACCAAGACATATAGTTGATATTGCTTTCTTTTCTTTCCTTCTATTTAAATCCTTAGAGGAAAGTGCACAAAGCAAAAAAGTACAATTATTTATCACACATTCTTATGTAACTATCATGTACAGCAAAATGTAAAACATTGCCAACTTTCAAGATGGCTCTTCTTGTAATCCCTTCCAGTCACCTGCAGAATGAGCAACTGTCCTGATGCTCAGGCTAATTACCTTTTAGCTTATTTATTTATTTATTTATTTATTATTTATTTATTTATTTTGAGACAGAGTCTCACTCTGTCACCCAGGCTGGAGTGCAGCTGTCCTGATGCTCAGGCTAATTACCTTCTATCTTATTTATTTATTTATTTTTTATTTAGAGACAGAGTCTCACTCTGTCACCCAGGCTGGAGTATAGTGGTGCGATCTCAGCTCACTGCAGCCTCCACCTCCTGGGTTCAAGCAATTCTTGCGCCTCAGACTCCTAAGTAGCTGGGGTTACAGGTGCCTGCCACCACACCTGGCTAATTTTTGTATTTTTTGTAGAGGCATGGTTTCGCCATGTTGGCCAGGCTGATCTCGAACTCCTGACCTCAGGTGATCCACCCACCTTGGTCTCCCAAAGTGCTGGGATTACAGGCATCAGCCACTGCACCCGGTCACCTTCTAGCTTTTAAAAATAATTTTATCACTAAGTGTGTTTAGTTTTGTCTGTTTTTGAATTTTGCATGAGTGAATTTAATAATAGTTTTTCATTATGAATGAATTCTGCATGTAATTCTTCACTCAGCATATTGTTAGATTGATCCATGTTACTGCATGTAGCTGCAATTCATTTATTTTCATTGTTGTGTAGTATTTCATTGTATGAATATACTACGGTTTGTTTATTCTATATTTGGACATTTGGTTTCTTTTCCAGTTTGGGGCTATTATAAACAGTATTATTATGAACACTCTTATGCATATAAGCATGCATTTCTGTAAAACACACCCACGGGTAGAATTGCTAGGTCATAGAGAAAGCCATCTTGAACTTTCATAGGTAATGCCAAACTTTTCAAAGTGGTTCTGCCAGTTGTTTCCACCAGTGGTGTGTGAGAGTTTCCACTGACCGTACATCCTCGACCAAAATAATAATAATAATAATAATAACCATTTTCCACCAATTTTAGTGATTCTGGTAGGTGTGTAATGATATTTCCCTGTGGTTTTAGGATTTTTTTTTTTTTGGCTGAGAAAAATTTAGAAGTTTCTGAAAATGTTGACTAAGATGAAGCCTTTGGTTTTTTTCTTTTTTTTTAGAGACAGTGTCATTCTGTCACCCAGGATGGAGTGTAGTGACACGATCATGGCTCACTGCAGCCTTGAACTTACGGGCTCAAGCGATTCTCCCGCATCAGCCTCCCGAGAAGCTGGAACTTTAGGTGTGCACCACCACGCCCTGCTAACTTTTTAAATTTTTTGTAGAGCTGGAGTCTCTCTCTATTGCCCAGGCTGATCTTGAACTCCTGGGGCTCAAGTGATCCTCCCGCCTCAGCCTCCCAAAGTGTTGAGATTACAGACGTGAGCCATTGCACCCAGCTGCCTTTGGTTTTCCGTTTTCCATGCTGTCACTGTCTTTCAGTACCACAGTCGAGTTGATAAAACTTTTTATTAGTTTTGTTTTGTTTTGAGACGGACCCTTGCTCTGTCACCCAGGCTGGAATACAGTGGTGCAATCTTGGCTCACTGCAGCCTCTGCCTCCCAGACTCAAGTGATCCTCCCACTTAGCCTCCCAAGTAGCTGAGACTACAGGTGTGTGCCACTGCACCAGCTAATTTTTTGTAAAGACAGGGTTTTGTCATATTGCCCAGGCTGGCTTTGAACTCCTGGGCTTAAGAGATTTGCCTGCTTCAGCCTCCCAAAGTGCTGGAATTACAGGCGTGAACCACTGTGCCTGGCCAAGAGTTTATGACACTTTTAAGAAAGAGTATTTTAAAATTTAATTGGATGCATGAAAGCAGTTAGTTTGGGATATTGCCCAAGATTCTTTCTTTGTACTTTTTATTGTCGTATCTAAGAAACAGAAGTATTATTTCTCTTTGTAATCATTTAGCTGCCATTCCAGGAATCATAACAATTACTGAAATAAGAGGTATAGTCTATGGTTTATGGACTTGGATTTAATGAGTAAATCCTTCTAATTCCTCTGGAAGTGAGCCATTTTTCTTTGTTAGATTTTTTAAAAAATAAAGTACAAGTATGGTAACTGATCTGGATGACATTGAATAGCTGGTTATTGTTGACTAAAGTAAAACAGACTTTTAACATCAGACATGGGTAATGTCTGAGAGGTAAAGTGACACTAGATAAATGTCTGTATTCTACTCTGAAAATAGCAAAAGCCATATGGAAACAAGAGTTAATTGACTTGTAAATTTAATCCCACTCTCGGCCGGGTGCAGTGGCTCTCACACCTGTAATCCCAGTACTTTAGGAGGCGGAGGCGGAGGCGGGCGGGTCACCTGAGTTTGGGAGTTGGAGACCAGCCTGACCAACATGCAGAAACCCCGTCTCTACTAAAAATACAAAATTAGCCGGGCGTGGTGGCACATGCCTGTAATCTCAGCTACTTGGGAGGCTGAGGCAGGAGAATCGCTTGAATCTGGGAGGTGGAGGTTGTGGTGAGCCAAGGTCGCGCCATTGCACTCCAGCCTAGGCAACGAGCAAAATTCTGTCTCAAAATAAATAAATAATAAAATAAAATAAAATTTAATCCCACTCTGATAATGCCATGACATAATGAAAATTGTAAAACTGTGATTTCTTTTTGTGAAATACTGAGAATGGAAAATAATTAAGATAACGCTTTGAAGGTTGTACACGAGGATTAAGTTTTGTATAAAAGCTCAGTGTGTGTGTATTTGTGTTTAAAAAGCCTTAATATGCACTGAAAAGAGAATTATGGGAGTTTTTCTAATTGAGTGTCCCAAAATACCAGTTTGATAGCTATTTATAAGTGTGAAACAATTATGTTGTTTTATTCTCTAGTTTAATGGAAAAATGTAAATTTCTAAAATATTTTTATAATGGAATAATTTAACCTCAGATTTTATCCCATTAATAGTCATTTAGTAGTAGAAAGATTTTTAAGATGAAAAGTTTTAGGTACTTTAAAAGGATTGATGTAAACGTCATCTGAAAACAATTATAATTTAAACTTGGAAGGTAAATACTTAAAATGTAAAGTCTGATCTCACCAAACATAAAGTAGGAAAAAAATATGTTACATGTATGGTTATTTTTGGTGCTTAATAGGAATGAACCTTGTACCAATTGTGGCTTATTCTGTCTTCTGCTTGTGGTAGAAGCAGAATATATTCTGCTTCTATACTAGGAATTCTATACTAGGAATTATATTCCAAGTAGAGCTTGGAATATAATTGATTGTACAACTTTTGATTTAAACATTTAATTGAAGCCAGATTGATGCTTTGAATAAAAAAAAAAACCCATACTTCCTGGGTAGAGTCACAAGTTGTGTTTTTTGGTACTTAGGGTTTTAAACAGAATTTAACAGATTTCTAGTAGAGGTAATAAATTTTAATTTTGGGAAAATTGTGAAATGAAAATTTGGATGAATCAAAGCCAAGGAGACTTCTGCTTTCTTTCTTTTCTTTTCTTTCTTTGTTCCTTTCTCTCCCTCTCTCTCTCTTTCTTCCTTTTCTTTTTTCTTTCTTTTTTTTTTTGACAAGGTCTCACTCTGACATCCAGGCTGGAGTGCAGTGGTGCAGTCATAGCTCACTGCAGCCTCAAACTCCTGGAGTCAAGCAGTTTTCCTGCCTCAGCCTCCTGAGCATGTGCCACAACACCTGGCTATTTTTTTTTTTTTTTTTTGGACGAGGTCTCACTGTGTTTCCCAGGCTGGTCTCAAAACTCCTGGACTCAAGTGATCCTCCTGCCTCAGCCTTCCAAAGCACGGGGATGATTACAGGCATGAGCTACCTCAGCCAGCTGGTTTCATTTTAAAGAAGATAGTGTCTGACAAATTTGGCAGATTCAGAATCAAAATAAGAAAAATCTATATATGTTTTATTCTTTGCTCTTTCATACTTATGATACATTTTGAAGTTTATCACTTGTTTTCTCCATTATAGTCACATATGTAAGAAGGAAAGTATTTGTTTGAAAATTTAATGTTAACAATTAGATTCCTGATAACAGTACATGAGGATATTCATACCCACATTCCGAATGACAAGTATTGCTAACAGCCTGTCTTGATAGGGCGAGATTAACCATTCCAAAGAATTTGAACTTTTTCAACCTTTTAAAATTTTGGGGGCATTTATATTTGACCCTCAGGTAAGCAGAGTAAACATCAAGGACCTAGGTCTGATTGTTTTTGACCATTCAGTTTTTAAAGTAGGTCTCATTAAAGCCTGAAAAAGTCACAAATATCTTCTTGAATTGTTTTTTTTTGTTGTTGTTGTTTTGAGACGGAGCCTTGATCTGTCCCCCTGGCTGGAGTGCAGTGGTGTGATCTTGCCTTACTGCAACCTCCACCTCCCGGGTTCAAGCAATTCTCATGCCTCAGCCTCCCAAGTAGCTGGGACTACAGGTGCGCACCTGGCTAATTTTTGTATTTTTTTAGTAGAGACGGGGTTTCGCCATGTTGGCGAGGCTGGTCTCGAACTCCTGATCTCAGGTGATCTGCCTGCCTCAGCCTCCCAGAGTGCTGGGATTACAGGTGTGAGCCACTGCACCCGGCCGTGAATTGTTTTAATTGATCAGCTTATCACAAGTGACAGGCTGGATATTTTATGTTAATAATATAGTTGATTTGAATGAACCTACAATGAACCTACAAGTTCTTCTAATTTGGGCAAGACCACTTGCAAATAAATTGCTCTGTTTCAAACTAGCTGTGATATATGCTGACTTCATCATGTATAGTAGATAATCCAACTCTGGTTATAATGTACTAAAAAGCCCTTTTAATAAAAAATTAAGCTTAATTCCTTTTTAAATTAAAAATGAATATTTGCTTTGTAACATTGTCTCCCCTACTTGTCAGAGTTTCAGATTCAGTTAAACAATGGATACTTACTGTTTTCTTTTTGACACTAGTAGTCTAAATAAAGACTGGGGGAAAAATCAAAATCAAACTATGGAATGTGAAATACCACAATGATGTGGAATATCACTTTCTGAACTTTTCACCTTTTACTTTTAAGATAAAGATACAGATATCACCATGAAGGGTAATGTGGAAGACTTTGGCCTGCGAGACACCTTGAGCATCGCATCCACGGATTCCTTTGCTTCCGCAGCAGAGGTAGGACATATGTGTTCCTAATGAGGATTTCTGTTTCTTTTTTGGTGGAAACAACAGTCTTGTCATTATACTGTAATTCAGTTTGGTCACTATTTATTTAGCACGTACCATGTGGTAGGTGCCAGGATACAAAAATGAATAAATCTAACATGAAAATAAGCTCCTACAGGAGCTTACACTCTCTTTAAGGAGATGGACCTGTAAACACATGGTTTAGATGGGCACTTTCATATACTGTAGATTATGGGTGAGGCATATAAATTAGTATGTTAATGGAAAGCAATTTTTCAACTTATATCAAGAGTCTTAAAGATGTTCAATTTCTTTAGTTCAGAAATCATACTTCTAGATTTTTGTTCTAAGAAGGTGATCAGATTCAAAGATTATATATATATAAATATTCACTGTTGGCCAGGTGCAGTGGCTTACAACTGTATTCCCAGTACTTTAGGAGGCTGAGGTGGAAGGATTGCTTGAGCTCTGGAGTTTGAGACCAGCTTGAGCAACATAGTGAGACCTTGTCCCTACAAAAAATTTAAAAAATTAACCAGATGTGGTAGTGAGTAGCCTATAGTTCTGGTTATTCAGGAGGCTGAGGTGGGAGGATCCCTTAAGCCCAAGAGGTCAAGACTGCAGTGGGCCATGATCGTGGCACTGCATTCCAGCCTGGGTGACAGAACAAGACCCTGTCTTAAAAAAAAAAAAAATATATATATATATATATATATATAGATAGATAGATAGATAGATAGATAGATATAGATATATATGTATATACACACACACATACACACATTCACTGTGGCATTTTAGTAACAATGAAAAACTGAAAACAACCTAATGCCAAATTATGACACATCTGTAATTAGAAATGTTATAAAGCTATAAACATGTTTCCAATAATTTTAATGACATGGGAACATGTTAAGTGAAAAGATTAGTATGTAAAGTTTTATATAGATTGTATGATTATAATTTTGTAAAAAGGAAACAAACGTGCGTGATATATAAGTATATAGGCAGAGGAAAAAAGGCTAACCATAAATAAACAGTAGTGATTACTGAATTATAAATCTGTGGATAATTTATTTTTCACTGAGATTTAAATTTTTTACCAAAAGAGACTGCTTGCAAAGAGGTCATCTTTTTGTTTTAATTTTTGTACTTAAAACAGCTTTAAAAATTACGTGTGGCCAATTTTATCTCAGAATATTTGCATTTTTTACAGTAGATTTTGGATATAATAATTTTAGGTGCTCTTTTTTCATAGAAATAGTATTATGCATCTGGCCAGGCACAGTGGCTTATTCCTGTTATCCCAGAACTTTGGGAGGCCAAGGCGGGCCTCCTGAGGCCCTGAGGTCAGGAGGTTGAGACCAGCCTGGTCAATATGGTGAAACACCATCCCTACAAAAAATTAAAAAATTAGCCGGGCATGGTGGTGCATGCCTGTAATCACAGCTACTCAGGAGGCTGAGGCACAAGAATCGCTTGAACCTGGGAGATGGAGGTTGCAGTGTGCCAAGATCGCACCACTGCACTGCAGCCTGGTCAACAGAGTGAGACTCTGTCTCACACACACATGCACAGAAGTAGTATTACACATCTATAACTGATGTGTGAATTTTATCTCTAGTTTGGAAGCTTTAGATATTCCAATACCTGTACCTTAAACTTTGGATCTGCCTTTTTAAAAGTAGTACTGATTCATAATATCTTTTATCTTCTCAAGGTTTTTCTATATGTGTATATTTCAGCCATCACTTACAGTATCATCTCCTAATTGTTTACATTAAAAAAATTTTTCCACTTATAAGTTTGCAGTAGACAGAATATATTTTCTTGTTCTATGGGAAAGCTGTTTCCTCTTCCTTTTACTGTTCATTATATACATATTTGTCTTTCTATTCTGTAGATACTATGTCCTAGGTCGTTTGTAAGGAGAAAAATTGCTATTCACTTTGCACTTTTTTCCATTGTGAGGAACAATATACCTAATTGCTCTAAAGTTTTTTTTCTAATATGCAACTTTAAAAAATATTTTGCTAAGTGTTCATTGTACTCACTTTAAATTTATTGTTTAATAAAGTTTAATAAAAATTATTAAATACTTGTGGAAAACAAAATGCATGAATATACATGAAAAGGACTTACTATTCAAGAAATACCCTAAGAATGCTTCCATGGTATAAATGTATGGTCTCAGAATGTGAATGTTCCAAGATAAATTATTTTATAAGAAATGTTTGTTAAATTATTTTTAACTATATGCCAAGCACTTAAGGTTAAATTAGGGAAAATTGTTTTAATGAAGAAAATTACTAAGTTAATAGAATCAGAATGCTTTGGGAAGTTAAACAAGTTTTTGATCGTTCGAAAACCTTTTCAGGATTACCAGAAAGATTTCTTGCCTAGTTAGATTAAAACAATTTCTGGTATCGGTTTTTCTATAAGCTAGATCAATCATTTGTGAAAGTGATTAACAAGATTTTCCTGTATAAGCTTTGCCAAACATTGGTTTGGAACCACGGATGAAAAGCTTTTTTTTTTTTTTTTTAAATATAGCTTTCTTGACAGTAATTCACATGCCATAAAATTCACCCTTTTAAAATATAGAGTTCAGTGGTTTATAGTATGTTTATATAGTTGTGCAGCCAGCACTACTTTCTAATTTCAGAACATTTTTATCACCCTAAACACAAACCCCTGCCCAATAGCAGTCACTCTCCAACTCCCTTTACCCCCCAGCCCTTGGCACCCAATACCTTCTGACTCTATGAATTTGCCTTATTCTGGACATTTCTTATAAGTGGAATCATACCATGCGATATGTTGTATTTGGCTTTCTTTCACTTAGCATAATGTTTTCTTTCAAGTTCTGAAAAGTCTTTTTGATGTTGGGATACCTTCCCATTTTACTCCTAATTCTTCCATCTGTTAAAGATATTGTCATTTAATAGGTAGAAACTAATATTGCAGAGAGCAGTTTTTAGCTGTAGATTCCATTTTTTATAGAATTACCACTCTGCAATTGTGTATATGTATTTAATAGAGAAATCATAGGCTTCTCTTTAAAAAGAAAATTTTATTTAAAAAAATTTTTTTAAATAGAGGTGGGGTCTTGTCAGGTTGCCCAGGCTGGTCTCAAACTCCTGAGCTCAAGCAATCCTCCCTCGTTGGCCTCCCAAAGTGCTGGGATTATAGGTGTGAGCCACTGTGTCCAGCTGAAAATTTTATTTTTTATAATTCAGATACCTCGGCCGGGACTGCTGGCTCACACCTGTAATCCCAGCACTTTGGGAGGCCAAGGCAGGCAGATCACAAGGTCAGGAGATCGAGACCATCCTGGCTAACATGGTGAAACCCCTCCTCTACTAAAAATACAAAAAATTAGCCAGGCATGGTGGCGGGCGCCTGTAGTCCCTGCTACTCAGGAGGCTGAGGCAGGAGAATGGCGTGAACCTGGGAGGTGGAGCTTGCAATGAACTGAGATTGCGCCACTGCACTCCAGCCTGGGCAACAGCGAGACTGTCTCAAAAAATAAAATAAAATAAAATAATTTAGATACCTCTACTTGTACTCTAAATGGAACCTTGGAAAGCTTTTGCTATATCCACCTCTCTGATTTGACGACACTTATTTATAGCAATCCAGAAACTACACCAACAGTAGGGCCACGTTCAGTAGATATGGGAACAAGATGGTGATTCTGGGCAGGCAGTATGGGTTTATTTTGCCAAAGAAAACACAGCAGTTGCATCCTGTTTTGCAAAAACCGTCAGTGTTTGGGAATGATTCTGATGATGATGATGAGACCTCCATGAGTGAAAGCCTTCAGAGGGAAGCTGCTAAGAAGCAGGCCATGAAACAGACCAAACTGGAATCCAGAAGGCCCTTGCAGAAAATGCTACTGTGTATGAATATGACAGTATTTATGATGAAATGCAGGAAAAAAAGGAGGAAAACAATACTAAATTGCTTTTGGGGAAAGACTGAAAGCCCAAGTATATTCACAACTTGCTAAAAGCAGTTGAGATCAGAAAAAAGGAACAGGAAAAAAGAATGGAAAAGAAAATACAGAGAGAACGAGAAATGGAAAAGGAAATACAGAGAGAAAGAGAAATGGAAAAGGGAGAGTTTGATGATAAAGAGGCATTTGTGACATCTGCATATAAGAAAAAACTGCAAGAGAGAGCTGAAGAAGAAAGAAAAAAGAGGGCTGCTGCGCTGGAAGCGTGTTTGGATGTAACCAAGCAGAAAGATCTCAGTGGATTTTATAGACACTTACTAAATCAAGCAGTTGGTGAAGAGGAAGTACCTAAATGCAGCTTTCGTGAAGCCAGATCTGGTATAAAGGAAGAGAAATCAAGGGGCTACTCTGATGAAGTAAGTTCAAAAAACGGAATACCACAAGAGAAATGCATTCTTCAAACTGATGTGAAAGTAGAGGAAAACCCAGATGCAGACAGTGACTTTGATGCTAAGAGCAGCAAGGATGATGAAATAAAGAAACTAGAGTGAACTGCAGAAGGGAAAAGGTCGTAGAGACCCCTGAGAATCACCCCCAAGCACCACAGGAATCAAAACCACTCTCAGTCACCTAGTGAAGAAAGAGGGCACAGTGCCAGACACCACACGAAAGGATCACGAACATCGAGAGGACACGAGAAAAGGGAAGATCAGCACCAACAGAAGCAATCCAGAGACGAGGAGAACCATTACACTGACCGTGATTACCAGAAAGAAAGGGATTCTCATAGGCACAGGAGACCAGTCATAGAGATTCCCATTGGAAGAGGCATGAACAGGAAGATAAACTAAGGGCGAGGGACCAAAGAGAAAGAAGTGACAGAGTGTGGAAAAGGGAGAAAGATGGGGAGAAATATTCCCAAAGAGAACAAGAAAGAGAGACAACAAAATGATCAGAACCGACACAGTGAGAAAGGAGAGAAGGAAGAGAAAAGCAAAGCAAAGGAAGAGCGTATGAAAGTAAGGAAAGAAAGATATGAAAATAATGATAAATACAGAGATAGAGAAAAACAAGAAGTAAGTGTTTGATCTTCAGAAAGAAATCTTCAGAAAGGAAAGCAGCCCAAGTTCTAGGGCAAAGAATAAATTTCTTGACCAAGAAAGATCCAACAAAATGAGAAACATGACAAAAGACAAAGAAGGAAACCAGGAGAAACCCTCTAATTCTGAATCATCACTGGGAGCAAAACACAGACTCACAGAAAGGCAAGAGAAGGGTAAAGAACAAGAGAGACCACCTGAGGCAGTGAGCAAGTTTGCAAAGAGGAACAACGAAGAAACTGTAATGTCAGCTAGAGACAGGTACTTGGCCAGGCAGATGGTGCAGGTTAATGCAAAGAGCTATATTGACAAACAAGATGATTGATGGCTACCCCAAGAGAAAGATTTAAGGAAGCACAGAAAACTGTAATTCCTGGAACCTGCTGCATAAAACCATAAAGGAGTGTGTTACCAGTAGTTTGGAGGGCATTTTAAAATTTATTTTCAAAATTTTAGGTTAAAATCAAAAGTCAGTCTTACATCTTGGATGTTTGGATGTGGATGTTTGGCTGAATTTATATAGAGTATGTACTTATCAATACCACATTCTTTGTTGTATTCCAGAATCATATTGTGCTAATTCCCTGTAGGTACATAATGAGGAAAATTGGCTCCACTACAACCATTAAAAAATAATTTTGGCCAGATGTGGTAGCTCGTGCCTGTAATACCAACATTTTGGGAGGCCGAGGCAGAAGGATCACTTGAGGCCAGGCATTCAAGACCAGCCTATGCAAGATAACGAGACCTTGTCTCTATTTAAAAAACAAAAAGCCTGGTGTGGTGGTGCATGCCTGTAGTCCCAGCTGTTCGAGAGGCTGAGGCAGGAAGATCACCTGAGCCTAGGAATTTGATGTTACAGTGAGCTATGATCATACCACTGCACTCCAACCTGGGCGACAGCGGGACCCTGTCTCTAAAAAAAACCTTTTTTTAAATAAATAATTTAACTCTTCTAATAATGTTGGTTTTGTTGCACGAGCTGTTTGTTTTATAAATATTGTATTTCAGATAAAATATGGATTTGAACAATAGAAAATACACTTTACGTTCTGAAATTTGTATTAAAGTGTAAAATGTGAATCATACATCTTGTCTAAATAGCTTACAGCATAGTTGGCTTAAATGAAAATAAAAAATAGTGATATGCTTAAAAAATACACCAATAATAATGTACAAAGTGACAAAGATGAATATTTAGGATAATTATAACCTGAAAAGGGAGAGAGGGCTACATCTATCATTTAAAATTTTTCTTCTATGAAAGTATGAAGGCATGGCCGTCCGTGGTGCTCACGCCTGTAATCCCAGCACTTTGGGAGACCGAGATGGGTGATCACCTGAGGTCAGGAGTTCTACACCAGCCTGGCCAACATGGTGAAACCCAGTCTCTACTAAAAATACAAAAATTAGCCAGTGTGGTGGCACACGCCTGTAATCCCAGCTACGTAGTAGGCTGAGGCAGGAGAATCGCTTGAACCTGGGAAGCAGAGGTTGTAGTGAGCCAAGATTGTGCCACTGTACTCCAGCCTGGGCAACAGAGTGAGACTCTCTCTCAAAAAAAAAAAAAAAAAAGTATGAAGGCTTGACTGGGGCTGAAAGATCTGTTCCCAAGATAACTCACTCCTATGAATGGAAAGTTGGTGCTATCCATTAACAGAAGACCTAAGTTTCTTACCACATAGACTTTTCTATAGGACTATTTGAGTATCTTTACAGCATGGCACCTGGCTTCCCGCAGAGGGAGTGACCCAAGAGAGGGCAAGGTGGAAGTGATGACTGTTTTGACCTATCCTCAGAAATCTCATTCTTTCATTTCCACAATGTGCTGTTGGTTACACAGGTTAGCCCTATTCAATGTGGGTTGGGATGTGAGTAACCAGGGTGAGAGAATCATTGAAGACCCAATTTGGAGGGTGGCTATTTTAAGTTCCTATTGTCTATTAAGGGATACAGATTGGTAACAGCCTGCTTTCTTTAACTGTAAGTCTTATTTATAATTTTAGGTGATTGATTTGAAAGGAAAATGTAAACATGTATAAAATGGTCCACATTAAAATAGAACTTAGCCTATTTCATGTCCCTACTTGTAATAATCTTGAAACTTCAGACATTTCATTCATGGTCATTCAGAGGACCTGGTCTGGATTAAGGCTTTTAAAAAATATTACTTCAAATTTAGCAAAGTCATTACATGCCAAGGAGGATAAGGCTCAGTCCATCTTGTACCTCATGGGGCCCAAGAGAAGTAATTTAGGATGTTTGAAATCTTTAGCTAATCCCCAAACACAGTTTTCACTGGTTGCTTCATATGTGGGAATTATCTATTTTTCTGTTTTTATTGTTGCTGTTGTTGTTGACTTGTTTGATTTCTTTCTTTCTTTCTTTTTTTTTTTGTTTTGTTTTTGTGAGATGGAGTTTTGCTCTTGTCACCCAGGCTGGAGTGCAATGGCACGATCTTGCCTCACTGCAACCTCTACCTCCCGTGTTCAAGTGATTCACCTGCCTCAGCCTCCCAAGTAGCTGGGATTGCAGGCACCTGCCACCACACCCAGCTAATTTCTGTATTTTTAGTAGAGATGGGGTTTTGCCATATTGGCCAGGCTGGTCTTGAACTCCTGACCCTCAGATGATCCACCCACCTCCGCCTCCCAAAGTGCTAGGATTACAGGCATGAGCCACCGCGCCGGGCCTTGTTTGATTTCTTTTATGGTCATATTTATGGTACTTCTGAAATATGGGAAATAACAAAAGGTAGGATGATGATTTGGTGTAAACAAATATAGTATTACTTTTCTTTTTGAAAATATTAAAATGAGTTTTTTTTAAATGTAGCCTTTTGGGAGAAGAATAATTTCAAAATACATAGGAAATTTCAGCTAGTAAAAAAAAGACCCCCTTTTAATAGTAAATTGCATGTTCCATAGCTGAAATTAACTGCCTTATTGACCGCTGCTTCTGAAATAACTTCTCAGCTCTATTTAAATGTTAATTTTTTTCTAAAACCTTTTAAAACATGTTTGGGAATTTTGTTGAGAAATTCTTCCTATGTGATGTATTCTGAAATAAGAATTTCAACCAATGTTTTAATGAGTTTCTTTTTGTTTAAAAAAGTTTAAGATTAATGATTTAAATAAATGTTTCTAAGCTGGCATTGTCTCTGAAGAGTCAATAATGTTAGCTAGTATCAAATCTTCAACATGATATATTCTCACAGCTGCAGTCTTATTTTAGGAGGCTTCTTTAAACGATTACTTAAACCAAACCAACAAATAAGCAAGGTAGATCAATAATTCAAGACTCAACTCTGGAATCTCCCATTGTTGGATTGTCTTCTTATTATTGTTAGAAATTATTTCATGTAGAGGGTTTAATTGGAGCCCAGTTTAGTTTTCTTTCTTTTTTTTTTTTTTTTTTGAGACAGAGTCTTACTCTGTCACTCAGGTTGGAGTGTAGTGGTGTGATCTCAGCTCACTGCAACCTTGCAACCTCTACCTCCCAGGTTCAAGCAATTCTTCTGCCTCAGCCTCCCAAGTAGGTGGGATTACAGGCATGTGCCACCATACCCGGCTAATTTTTGTATTTTTAGTAGAGATGGGGTTTCGCCATCATGGCCAGGCTGGTCTCGAGCTTCTGACCTCAAGTGATCTGCGCACGTCAACCTCCCAAAGTGCTGGGATTACAGGTGTGAGCCACCGCACCTGGCCCCCAGTTTACTTCTTAGGATTTTTCTCTAATAGAGGATAGAGAATACTAATAGTACATGTATGTGGGTCTTATTTGTTTTGACAGTGGTACAAAAATTTAAACTGTTTAATATCTAAAGAATTTTCATTCTAAGTTATTTTTAAAAAGCTGTTTAGTTTTGTTAGCCTCAAGAAGACTTTGCCCTTTAGCATAACATATATTCCTTAAAATATGAGGGGAAATGTTACTTAAAGTAGAGAATATATACTGTGAGATACTGTCATCTCTTCATACCTTTTTTTTTGCATCTGGCCTAATGGACATATTTATGTATCATAAATATTGCTGATGCTGAAACTTCTTATCCCTTGGCTGTTTGGATAAGGCTGATAGGAAGGGTATAATTTGGTGCTTAAGTTCTGGAATAATGTGCCTGGGTTTAAATTTTATCATTTAGTTGTGGGATTCTGGGTAAGTTCCTGCTAATTTAATCTCTGTTTCTTCATCTGTAAAATGTGGATTATTTATTTATTTGTTTATTTGAGAGAGAGAATCTCACTCTGTCTCCCAAGCTGGAGTGCAGTGGTACGATCTTGGCTCACTGCAACCTCCACCTCCTAGGTTCAAGTGATTCTCCTGTGTCAGCCTCCCAAGTAGCTGGTATTATAGGCATGTGCCACCACACCTGGCTAATTTTTGAATTTTTAGTAGAGGCGGGGCTTCCCCATGTTGGCCAGGCTGGTCTCCAACTCTTGACCTCAAGTGATCCGCCTGCCTCGGCCTCCCAAAGTGCTGGGATTACAGGAATGAGCCACTGCACCCAGCAAAATGTGAATAATAGTACTTACTTTATGAGCTTTTGTAAGGGTTAAATAAATCAACTGAAAGCATTAGCACAGCACTGGCTGCATGTGAAATACCAAAACCAAAGCCTTGAGAGTTACTTCTAGAATCATAGCGTAGACATTCAAAAGTCTCCTCCACAAAGCAAAAAATGTCAAAAACAAAATTTTCAGAATTCTGAAAATGGATAAAAGACTTGCAAAAATTCAGAGAACATTGAATCAAGTAAAATGGCTGAATCTCCATAAGAGCAGTGAGCTTTGTGGATTTTTAATTTGCTCTCTTCCTTTTTAATAAAAAAATGTTTTGGGTGTGAGAGCAGAGTACAAGCTGTAGTGTCAGGAGTCATGGCAGGACAAGCATTTGGAAGTTTCTTCCACCCTGACCAAGTATTGGTTGAAAGATGTGCTGCAGAAACTACAACCAAAGGAGGCATTACGGCTGGGCACTGTGGCTCATGACTGTAATCCCAGCACTTTGGGAGGCTGAGGCAGGAGGATCACTTAAGTCCAGGAGTTAGATACCAGCCTGGCCAACATAATGAACGCTCGTCTCTATGAAAAATTTAAAAATGAGTGGGAGGATCACTTGAGCCTGGGAAGTTGAGGCTGCAGTGGGCCATGATTGTGCCACTGCACTATTGCCTGGCTGACCTGACAAAAACAAACAAAAACAAACAAAAACCCAAAAACAAACAAACAACACACACACACAAAGGAGGCATCATGCTTCCAGAAAAATCTCAAGGAAAAGTATTGCAAGCAACAGTAATAGCTGTTGCTGTTGGATCAGGCTCTAAAGGAAAGAGTGGAGAGATTCAACCAGTTAGCATGAAAGTTGGAGATAAAGTTACTTTCCCAGAATATGGAGGCACCAGGATTATCTCTTATTTTATTTTTCCATTAAGTTATTGGGGTACAGGTAGTATTTGGTTACATAAGTTCTTTAGTGGTGATTTGTGAGACTTTGGTGCACCTATCACCTGAGCAGTATATACTGCACCATATTTGTAGTCTTTTATCCCTCACCCCCCTCCTACTCTTCCCCTCAAGTCCCCAAAGTCCATTGTATCATTCTTATGCCTTTGCGTCCTCATAGTTTAGCTCCCACTTATCAGTGAGAACATATGATGTTTGGTTTTCCATTCCTGAGTTACTTCACTTAGAATAATAGTCTCCAGTCTCATCCAGGTCACTGCAGATGCTGTTAATTCATCCTTTTTATGGCTGCACAGTATTCCTTCATCTATACATACCACAGTTTCTTTATCCACTTGTCGATTGATGGGCATTTGGGTTGGTTCTACAATTTTGATTCACAATTTTGCTATTGTGAACTGTGTTGCTATAAACATGCATGTGCAAGTATCTTTTTCGAATGATGACTTCTTTTCCTCTGGGTAGATACCCAGTCGTGGGCTTGCCGGATCAAATGGTAGTTCTACTTTTAGTTCTTTAAGGAATCTTCACACTTTTTTCCATAGTGGCTATACTAGTTTACATTCCCACCAGCAGTGTAGAAGTGTTCCCTGATCACTGCATCCACACCAACATCTACTGTGTTTTGATTTTTTGATTATGGCCATTCTTGCAGGAGTAAAGTAGGTATTACACTGTGGTTTTGATTTGCATTTCCCTGATCATAGTGATGTTGAGCATTTTTTTCATGTGTTTGTTGGCCATTTGTATATCTTCTTTTGAGAATTGTCTATTCATGTCCTTAGCCTACTTTTTGATGGGACTTTTTTTTTCTGATTTGTTTGAGTTCATTGTAGATTCTGGATATTAGTCCTTTATCAGATGTAGAGATTGTGAAAATTTTCTCCCACTCTGTGGGTTGTCTACTTACTCTGTCAACTGGTCCTTTTGCCATGCAAAAAGCTCTTTCGTTTAATTAGGTCCTAGCTATTTCTTTGTTTTTATTGCATTTGCTTTTGGGTTCTTAGTCATGAAATCCTTGCCTAAGCCAATGTCTAGAAGGGTTTTTCCAATGTTATCTTCTAGAGTTTTTGTAGTTTCGGGTCTTAGGTTTAAGTCCTTAATCCTTCCTGAGTTGATTTTTGTATAAGATGAGAGATAAGGATCCAGTTTCATTCTCCTACATGTAGCTAGCCAATTATCCCAGCAACATTTGTTGAAAAGGGTGTCTTTTCCCCATTTTATGTTTTTGTTTGTTTTGTCAAAGATCAGTTGGCTGAACTATTTGGGTTTATTTATGTGTTCTCTCTTCTGTTCCATTGGTCTATGTGCCCATTTTTATACCAGTACCATGCTGTTTTGATGATTGTGGCCTTATAGTATAGTTTGAAATCAGGTCGTGTGATGCCTCCAGAATTCTTTTCGCTTAGTCTTTCTTTGGCTATGCAGGCTCTTTTTTGGTTGCATATGAATTTTAGAATTGTTGTTTCTAATTCTGTGAAGAATGATGGTGGTATTCTGATGGGGATTGCATTGAATTTGTAGATTGCTTTTGGCAGTATGGTCCTTTTCACAATATAGATTCTACCCATCCATGAGCATGGGATCTGTTGCCATTTGTTTGGGTCGTCTCTGATTTTTTTCAGCAGTGTTTTGTAGTTTTCCTTGTAGAGGTCTTTGGACTCCTTGGTTAGGTATATTCCTAAGTATTTTATTTTATTTTTTTGTAGCTGTTGTAAAAGGGGTTGAGTTCTTGATTTGAGTCTCTGCTTGGTCGCTGTTGGTGTATAGAAGAGCTACTGATTTGTGTACATTAATCTAGTATCTGGAAACTGCTGATTCTTTTATCAGTTCTAGGAGCTTTCTAGACAACTTCTTAGGGTTTTCAAGGTAAACGATCATATTGACAGCAAACAGTGACAGTTTGACTTCCTCTTTACCGACGTGGATGCCCTTTATTTCTTTCTCCTGTCTGATTGCTCTGGCTAGGTCTTCCAGTACTATGTTGAAGAGGAGTGGTGAGAGTGGGCATCCTTGTCTTGTTCCCATTCTCAGAGGGAATGCTTTCAACTTTTCCCCATTCAGTATTATGTTGGCTGTGGGTTTGTCTTAGATGGCTTTCATTACACTAAGGTATGTCCCTTGTATGCCGATTTTTCTGAGAGTTCTAATCATAAAGGGATGCTGGATTTTGTCAAATGCTTTTTCTGCATCTATTGAGGTGATCGTGTGATTTTTGTTTTTAATTCTGTTTATGTGGTGTGTCACATTCATTGACTCACATATGTTAAACTGTCCCTGCATCCCTGGTATGAAACCCAGTTGATTGTGGTGGATTATCTTTTTGATACGTTGTTGGATTCAATTAGCTAGTGTTTTGTTAAGGATTTTAGCATCTATGTTCATCAAGGATATCGGTCTGTAGTTTTGTTTTTTGGTTACGTCCTTTCCTGGTTTTGGTATTAGGGTGATGCTGAATTAGGGAGGGTTCCTTCTATCTTGTGGAATAGTGTCAAAAGGATTAGTACCAATTCTTCTTTGAATGTCTGATAGAATTCTCCTGTGAATCCATCTGGTCCTGCACTTTTTTTTAATCGGTAATTTTTTAATTACCATTTCAGTCTTGCTGCTTGTTATTGGTCTGATCAAGGTATCTAATTCTTCCTGATTTAAGATAGGAAGGTTGTATTTTTCCAGGAATTTATCCATATCTTCTAGGTTTTCTAGTTTATGTGCGTAAAGGTGTTCATAGTAACCTTGAATGATCTTTTGTATTTCAGTGGTATCAGTTGTAATATTTCCTGTTTCTTTTCTTAGTGAGGTTATTGGGATTTTCTCTCATCTTTTCTTGGTTAATCTTGCTAAAGGTCTATCAATTTTATTTATCTTTTCAAAGAGCCAGCTTTTTGTTTCATTCCTCTTTTGTATTTTTTTTTGTTTCAATTTCATTTAGTTCTGCTCTGATCTTGGTTATTTCCTTTCTTCTTCTGGGTTTGGGTTTGGTTTATTCTTGTTTGTCTAGTTGCTTGAGGTATGACGTTAGATTGTCTGTTTGTGCTCTTTCAGACTTTTTGATGTAGGCGTTTAGGGCTATGAACTTTCCTCTTAGTACCACCTTAGCTGTATCCCAGAGGTTTTGATAGGTTGTGTCATTTTTGTCATTCAGTTCGCAGAATTTTTAAATTTCCATCGTGCTTTTGTTTTTGACCCAGTGCGCATTCAGGAGCAGGTTATTTGATTTCCATGTATTTGCATGGTTTTGAAGGTCCTTTTTGGAGTTGATTTCCAGTTTTATTCCACTGTGGTCTAAGAGAGTGCTTGACATAATTTCAGTTTTTAGTATTGAAATGCGAGGTACTATTACATTCACTCTGCTCTTTGTTGCCTGTGTACTTTGGTTTTTTTTTTTTTGTTTTTGCTTTGTAACTTGTATTGTATTGTATTGTATTTATGTATTTATTTTGTGACGGAGTTTCACTCTTGTTGCCCAGGCTGGTCTTGAACTCCTGACCTCAGGTGATCCGCCTGCCTCAGCCTCCCAAAGTGCTGGAAGGTGCTGGGATTGCGGGCATGAGCCACTGCACCTGGCCCCCCCTAATTTTTTTAATTAGAGGATGTGGTGGTGCGTACCTGTAGCCCCAGCTACTCGGGAGGCTGAGGCAGGAGGATCACTTGAGCCCAGGAGTTTGAGGCCGCAGAGTTATGATTGTGCCACTGCACTACAGCTTGGGTGACAGAGCGAGATCCTGTTTCTTCCAAACAAAACACTCTAGAAGTTTTCTAGAAGTTTTCTGGGTTGTTGTTTTTTTTTTTTTTTTTGCTTAGCTGGCTACTCTACAGTGTTTGCAATTGTTTTTTAATGAACTGTCAGAAGATTGGAATTTCATATGTAGAGTTGTTATGCTAGCCAAAAGCACGACTGTCTTTCAGTTATACAAAAGTTAATCAAAGCTACATATAAGGAAATATGTCTTAGAATAGCAACACTGAGCTTATTTTGTTGTTTTTGTACTAAGTTTTGCTTCATTATAATCATAGGTTATAATACTTGTAAGTAATCTATGGATGATAAAATTCTCCTCCTCTTTTTAAAAAATGCTTCTTCAGTTGTTCTTTTTGGTGAACTATAAGATACAGTATTGCTGGCCAGACGCGGTGGCTGACGCCTGAATGCCAGTACTTTGGGAGGCTGAGGCAGGCGGATCACTTGAGGCCAGTTCGAGACCAGCCTGGCCAACATGGCAAAACCCCATCTTTACTAAAAATACAAAAATTAGCTGGGTGTGGTGGTGCATGCCTGTAATCCCAACTACTCTGGAGGCTGAGGCAGGAGAATCGCTTTAACCTGGGCGATGGAGGCTGCATTGAGCCAAGATCCTGCCACTGTACTCCAGCCTGGGTGACAGTGAGACCCTGTCTCAAAAAAAAAAAAAGATACAGTATTGGTTTTCTGTATGTTCTGTGGATTTAAATAATTGGATTCAGAATGAACTAAGCTTGTTAAAAGTTTTACTCTTTTTAACAACTCTATTGAAGTAAAATCAATTCAGATTTTATTAGCTATAAAATCCTCTTGAATGGTTTTTATGGTTTAATCAAATTTATTGTATTTTGATGTTAGCAAAATCCTATTTTCTTTCCTTTATAGTTTATCTTCTTATATCAGTGTATTCTGCTTTTTGGTTTTCTGGGTTTTTGTTTTGTTTTGTTTTTGAGGCAGGTCTGGCTTTGCCAGCTAGGCTGGAGTGCAGTGATACAATCACAGCTCACTACAACTTCAACCTCCTGTGCTCAAGTGATCTTCCCACCTCAATCTCCTGGGTAGCTAGGACCACAGGTGCATGCCTCCACACCTGACTAATTTTTTTAGATTTTTGTAGAGACAGGGTCTTACCATGTTACCCAGGCTGGTTTCAAACTTCTGGGTTCAAATGATCCTCCCAAAGTGTTGCAATTACAGGCATGAGCCACTGCACCTAGCCTGTATTCTGTTCTAACCCACCGTGCTCTTAGCTTGCAGAACACAGAGAAGTACGGCATACCTACAGCCTGGAGTCCCTTTGTCACTGCCCATTTTACGAGGAAGCCATGCATTTAGTTGAAGAAGGAAAAATTTACTCCAGAGTACTGAGGTACCATTTCAGTTTTGTTTATGTTTATGAAGGATATTAAGGTGTTTGTGTGGTACTTACTAAAAATGTTTATGAAAATAGGAGAAAATATGTTTTTAGGTCCAAGTAAAGAAAAAATTATTTTTACATGTTCTGTCAGTATTGAAAAAACATGTTTTATATTAAGGTCCTGAGGTTAAGCCTTGTTTGAATCCAAATTTATAGTAGGCTTGATCTTGAATGTAGTTTAACAATTGTCTCCCCTGTTTATTACATAGAACTGAAATGTTGGAGTGCCTAGGAGACAGTGATTTTCTTGCCAAACTTCACTGTATTCGACAGGCTTTTCAGGTATTTTTTTAACATTAAGTGACTTCACCCAGCCACTCATCCCCACCCTCATGCTGTAGAGTCCAGTGCAAATAAACAGGACAGCTCTGTGCTCTTGATTATCCCTATTCCTAATGACAAATATAAAGTCCACTAAACTTATTTTTCCTCCCTGCTACTTGCCTTCATTTGTTTCCATATTTCATTATCCTCTCCCATGGCTTCCCAGGCCCACGACACTTTGTCAAAACAGGATATTTTGATACTTCAGGAGTGTAAAAATGGCTGCTTAAAATAAAAACACTCTTTCTTATTAATTAGTGTGTATTTGAGATTTAATTTCAGTCAATTATAAAATTGATTTTCTAAAAAGAAAATAACAAGAATATATTTGTTTTCTTATGTTTTGGGGCTATAGGAAATTTATTTGAGACTGTAATATGATTTTGAACAGAATTTAAATTCAAATTTAACTCCCTTTAATCTTTTTTTGACTATAGGTTTCAAGAGTTCTTTTTATTTTAGTAAATTAGGACTTTCTCTGTGAGCTGCCTGTTGAAATAGCACCACATGCAATGCATTAACTGTTTTAGGATTATTTGTGCTATTAAGTTGAATGTCCATTCACATTCATTATAGGTCTCTTTTTTCTTTGGGGATGAATATTTTTTCAGGTAATTCTTTCAGAATCAGCTAACAGGATATTCCTCGCTGAGAGCGGAAGGAAAATTTTATCAGCTTTAATTGTGAAAGCACGAAAGGTAAACTTGTTCTGTTGGCAAGATTTTTACCATTTACAAAAGTTGTTTTTACCCTTTGAACTGAAGATTAAGACATTAAATTTTTGATAGAAGAAAAATTTTTGTGGATAGTTGAAAAGGGCATTAAGTTATGCTCGGGTTGAACTATGTATAAAGTCCACACTATTTCAACCAAGTTGTTTCTCATAAATTATTTCCAGTTTGCCATAAACTCTGTAAATGTCATGGTGAGAATTATCATTAGATCTGCTGCTATAACCATCACTGTTATTATTACTAATGCCTCCTCTTTTATTACCTCAATCCTGTTCAGGAAGAGGGTTACAGGAAATAGCGTAGGTCTCAGAAATCTGGAATACAAATTGAACTGCCTCATCTTCATGTAGTTGAATGAGGCAGAAGCAATGACAAGAACTTCATTCAGACTGTAAGGAACCACCTTACTTTATGCAAGGTTTGTCCAGATGATGATAAAACAAAACAAGCCTTCCTTGAGCCATTTGCACACCTAGTTTTCAGACTCAATCCCTTTGAACTTTAATTCTTTCATTTATATAATAGAATTGTATTTATATTACCTCATTTCAGAGGGTTTTTAGGATGATTAAATAAATGATAAATGGGAAGCAACTTAAAGAATAAAGTGTTAAGTAGTGTAAAGCTAAGTATATGTAAGGTGATACTATTAATACATGCAATTCCCAATGTAAGTCTTGTGTTGCTTTCTTGGCCTTCTCATGACAGATAAACTCAGTGATTTGAACTAGGGTTCCTCCAAAAGAAGCAGAACTGCAACAAAAGCCTCACATAATGTCTGCTATAACCAAATTTTCATTTTAATTACTGACCAAAATAGGCATACATATTTGAGTAATAAATAGTTTGCTTGTGACATTTTACTGACATTCTTTATCTTGGCTTCTGCAAAATGTTGCAATAGCAAAGTAGTAAACCAGATAAATTTGGCATACCTTTAAAATGTATTTTAGTTCAGTTACCTAGTAGAATTAAGATCTACCAGACTTATTTGAAGAGTAACTTTCTTTGTAGCTTGTTATAAAGTTGAGTTTAGGGTTAAAATGTGTTTTCTTCTTCAGAATCCAAAGAAGTTTGAAGATGTTTTTGATGAAATGATCTATTTTTTAGAGCAGACCGATCACTGGGGTAGTACTGAAATGGAACTTGCTGCTAGAGGGGTAAATTCAAATTTTTTGTGATATTTATTTTTCTTAGTTATTTGCATGTAATTTTATATGAGTTGAGACTACTGTTTCATTGTCCTTGTTAAATAAAGCCAATTGTATGGTTGTGGGACATCTTTTTTTCTGACGAAGTCATAAACCACACTCCTTGTACGTTGGGGCAGTAGTTGTAAATTGTTTTCTAAGAAGCCTTTTTTGCTGTTGTTGGCTCCTTGCTTCCTTCCCTCCTGTCCTCCTTCCCTTGTTCCCTCTCTTCCTTCTCTCCAAAAGTCATTGGCAGGCCCCTAGCAGGACAGGAATGGTGGCCCATGCAAGGACAGCTTTGGGTAGTACAACAGCAGCAGCTCAGTAGGGCTGGGGAATTGGCTGTATACACAAGACTGAACAAATAAGTATACTGAGAAAAATCAGAGCCAGCTTTTCCCTGTGAGAGAAGGGAGGTATAAAATGCTGGGATTGGAATTGGAGCTGTCAGTGTGAGTTCACAGTTTATAATATATATGTAGATACAGATATAGAAATAAATATCGGTCCAGGCATGGTGGCTCACGCCTGTAATCCCAGCACTTTGGGAGGCTGAGGCGGGCGGATCACCTGAGGTCAGGAGTTTGAGACCAACCTAGCCAACATGGAAAAACCTTGTCTCTACTGAAAATACAAAAATTAGCTGGGTATAGTGGCTCACGCCTGTAATCCCAACTACTCGGGAGGCCAAGGAACGAGAATTGCTTGAACCTGGGAGGTGGAGGCGGCAGTGAGCCAAGATCGTGCCACTGTACTCCAGCCTGGGTGACAGAACGAGACTCTGTCTCAAAAAATATATAGATATAGATATTGGTCAGGCATGGTGGCTCACGCCTGTAATCCCAGCACTTTGGGAGGCTGAGGCGGGCGGATCACCTGAGGTCAGGAGTTCGAGACCAACCTAGCCAACATGGCAAAACCTCATCTCTACTGAAAATACAAAAATTAGCCAGGTGTAGTGGCTCACGCCTGTAATCCCAACTACTCGGGAGGCCAAGGAATGAGAATTGCTTGAACCTGGGAGGTGGAGGTGGCAGAGAGTCAAGATCGCGCCACTGTACTCCAGCCTGGGTGACAGAACAAGACTCTGGCTCAAAAAATATATAGATATAGATATCGGTCCGGCATGGTGGCTCACGCCTGTAATCCCAGCACTTTGGGAGGCTGAGACGGGCAGATCGTGAGGTCAGGAGTTTAAGACCAGCCTGACCAACATGGTGAAACCTGTCTCTACTAAAAATACAAAAATTAGCCAGGCATGGAGCGCATGCCTGTAATCCCAGCCTGGGTGGCAGAGCGAGACTCCGTCACACACACACACAAAAGGAATGAAATCCCAGCACTTTGGGAGGCCGAGGCGGGCAGATCACTTGAGGCCAGGAGTTTGAGATCAGCCAGGCCAACATGGTGAAGCCCTGTCTCCACTAAAAATACAAAAATTAGCCAGGCATGGTGGTGCATGCCTGTAATCCCAGCTACTCAGGAGGGTGAGGCAAGAGAATCACTTGAACCCAGGAGGTGGAGGCTGCAGTAAGCCGAGATCGTGCCAGTGCACTCCAGCCTGGGTGACAGAGCAAGACTCTGTCTCAGAAGCAAAAAAAAAAAAAAAGAGTGAGTTTACAAGCAGCTGAAAGGCCTTCTAGGCAGAGAAAACAGTGGATACAACAAATACATGAAGACTTAATTTTTCCTTTTCTAGTGTTCCCTTATTCAGGAAATGAAATCAGTATCCATTTACTTCTGCAGGCCAGCAACCTGAGACTCATCCTTCACCTCTCCCTGATGCTCACCCATTTTATCATATTCATCTCTAATTTTGTCAGTTTTAACTCCTAAATATCTTTCAGTTTCTTCGACTTTTCTCTCTTTCTGTCACCCCTCTTGGCCTAAGTGCCTGTTGTCTTTTCTCTGGGCTACATCAGTAGTCTTTATATTTCCCGATTCCCTGCTCACTCCTTTCCTCCCTGCATTCATTCTTTCCCCTGTTTCATTCTCCACATTTCTGCCAAAATGATACAGCACACTATACTTTTTCCTTTATTGTGCTTCACACAGTTCATAATTGGATATTTGCAGGATTATTTTGTTGCTGTTTTCCCCACTATACTCTAGGCGTCTAATTTGCTTACTCTAGAAGTTTGAGCACTTGGTACAGCATGTAGTATGTAGAGTGTGTATGTATGAATGAATGAAAGAGCAAGATGTTCATGATCTGGTGGGGAAGACAGGCACATATACCAGTAACTAAATAACAAGGCAGAATGAGCATCCTGGATGTTATAATAGAAGCGTGAACAAAGGACTCCTAGAATAGAGAGGAGGAGAGATTATTTTCACTTGAGATCTAGGAAGGAGCAGCGATAATGTGAATTCGTAATTTCTAGTGGCGAGCTTTCATATTTATCTCTCCTTTTATTTTTTATTTTTGAATAAGCTGATTAAAAAAAACCCCTGCTGTTATAAAACCATAAAGCCCTGGCTCAGATTTTATTTCAGCTCTATGTAATAATAATTTCTGTTTCAACTCATAATTTAATGCAGGTGAAAAATCTAAATTTTTATGATGTTGTTCTGGATTTTATATTAATGGACTCCTTTGAAGATTTGGAAAACCCACCCACATCCATACAGAATGTAGTAAATAATCGATGGCTAAACTCATCCTTCAAAGAAACAGTAAGTGGTGGTTAACCTTTCTCAGCCTTTTAAGTTTGATTAAAAAGTGAGGCTGGGCGCAGTAGCTCACGCCTGTAATCCCAGCACTTTGGGAGGCCAAGGCAGGCGGATCACCTGAGGTCAGGAGTTTGAGACCAGCCTGGCCAACATGGTGAAACCCCATCTCTACTAAAAATACAAAAAAAAAAAAAATTAGCTGGGCATGGTAGCGGGCACCTGTAATCCCAGCTACTCGGGAGGCTGAGGCAGGAGAATTGCTTGAACCTGGGAGGTGCAGTGAGCTGAGATTGAGCCATTGCATTCCAGCCTGGGCAACAAAAGCAAAACTCCGTCTCATAAACAAACAAACAAACAAAAAAGTGGTTGGCCAGGCGCGGTTGCTCACACCTGTAATCTCAGCACTTTGGGAGGCTGAGGCAAGTGGATCATTTGAGGTCAGGAGTTCGAGACCAGCCTGGCCAACATGGTGAAAGGCTGTCTCTTTTAAAAATACAAAAATTAGCTGGGTATGGTGGTGGGCACCTGTAATCCCAGCTACTCGGGAGGCTGAGGTGTAATAATCGCTTGAACCCAGGAGGCAGAGGTTGCAGTAAGCCGAGATCGTGCCGCTGCACTCCAGCCTGGACAACAAGAGTGCAACTCTATCTCAAAAAAATGTCAAAACTGGGTAGATTGTTAAGATTTACATATACATCTGTCTGTGAAATAATGTATGGAAACTGAGCTCATCCTTTGATATTCAGCTCAGGCATATACGGCATAACATCTTCAGATGAAATTCTCTTTTCAGCTTCTGTTCTTTTCTGTTCTCAAACCTGTTTGACATTGGTTTTTGTTGGGCTTTAAGTGTGCACCTGGAAGCAAAGTAGGGTGGATATATTTTATGATGCAGTTTGGATACCTTTAAAAAAATGTTCCAGTTGGCAATTTCACAATTATTTTGGAACTTACTGATATTAAACTTAAAAGCATTTTAAATAAATTCATTTTGCCTCAATTAAGTATGTTTTAATAATAAAAGGTACATGTTCTCCATTTCTGTAACTGATTTGGTAAAGTGACCTTGATCAAAGCTGGGTCATGCCAGAGTGGGGTCAGATTTTTCTTTCTTTTTTTTTTTTTTCCTTCCTGGAATCACCTCCAAGGGTCAGATTTCTTCAGGATCC
Source organism: Homo sapiens (assembly GCF_000001405.40). Classification (NCBI taxonomy): domain Eukaryota; kingdom Metazoa; phylum Chordata; class Mammalia; order Primates; family Hominidae; genus Homo; species Homo sapiens. Next base: position 77,865,195 of record NC_000001.11, read on the forward strand.
ACTGGGTGCTTTTGTCCTGTCATGGTTGTATTTCCTAGTTCTTTATTTGGATCAAACTGTTAGCTCTATTCACAAATATTCCAATAGTACTATTCTTGAAAAAAAATTACTTTAGGCCAGGTACAGTGACTCATGCCTGTAATCCCAGCACTTTGGAAGGCCGAAGCAGGCCGATTACTTGAGCTCAGGAGTTTGAGACCAGCCTGGGCAACATAGTGACACCTCGTCTCTATAAAAAAAATACAAAAATTTGCCAGGTGCAGTGGTGTGTGCCTGTGGTTTCAGTTACTCAGGAGGCTGAGGTGGGAGGTTCACTTGAGCCTTGGAGGCGGAGGTTGCAGTGAACCGAGATCACTCCTTTGCACTTCAGCCTAGGCAATGGGAGTGAAACCCTGTCTCAAAAAAAAAGAAGAAGAAAAATTACTTTATTATTACACATAGAATATTTATTTGTGTATGTGAATTCTATATACACATATTTTCACTTTTTTCCCTTAAGGAACAGAACTTTAAAACTCTGAAAATTGAATCTCCTTTGTTCCAGAGTGCAGTCTTTTTCCTTTAGTGGCTTTGTGTTTAATTTTTTAAATATTATTTTACTTTTTTTTTTTTGCCCTTGCAACATACAACTTTGCTCATGATTTAAAAATTTATAAAAATGAAATACCTTTTCATTAATATTTTCAAACAATGTGAGGACCCTGACTAGTTTTGTTTTTTGTTTGTTTGTTTGTTTTGAGACAAAGTCTTGCTCTGTCGCTAGGCTGGAGTGCAGTGGCGCGATCTCTGTTTACTATAACCTCCGCCTCCCGGGTTCAAGCAATTCTCCTGCCTCAGCCTCCCGAGTATCTGGGTCTACAGGCATGCGCCACCATGCCCAGCTAATTTTGTTTTGCATTTTTAGTAGAGATGGGGTTTCACCGTCTTGGCCAGGATGGTCTCCATCTCTTGACCTCATGATCCACCCGCCTCGGCTTCCCAAAGTGCTGGGATTACAGATGTGAGCCACTGTGCCCGGCCGACTAGTTCTTATTAGTAATGAATGTATTGAACGTTTTAGACCCATAAACTTTGAATTTCTAATAAAAATGGAAATGTTTATATAGCTATATATAAATCTTTCTTTTCTCTGCATGTATTTAGGCTGTGGCTTCAAGTTGTTGGTCGGTGCTGAAACAGAAAAGACAACAGATGAAGGTAAAATTCGTTATGTCCTGAATTCCTTTGTTAAATCATTTAAGGATTCTGTCAAAGCAGCTTCTGAGTCACTTCTCCGGTGGGAATTGGCAGCTGTAGGAGGGGTAGGAGGGACTGTCCCTCAGGCTAGATGAGTGACTTACTGGTAGTGGGTTGGCTTCTTTTTTGAAGGCCTTCTTTCTCATCCTTAGTATTGAGGCATGCATGGTATTTCAGCTAACTGGGAGAGGGGTTTCGAGTTGGAAACAGCTCTGATAAGTTTTAGGTTTTTGTTTTTTCTCTTAATGATATTAATTTTTTTTTTTTTTTTTTGAGACAGTCTGTCTCTGTTGTCCAGGCTGGAGTGTGGTGGCGCGATCCTGGCTCACTGCAATCTTTGCTTCCCGGGTTCAAGCGATTCTTCTGCCTCAGCTTCCCAAGTAGCTGGGACCGTAGGTGCCACCACACCCGGCTAATTTTTTTATTTTTAGTAGAGATGGGGTTTCACCATGTTGGCCAGGCTGGTCTCAAACTCCTGACCTCAGGTTATCCGCCCGCCTTGGCCTCCCAAAGTGCTGGGATTACAGGTGTAAGCCACTGCACCTGGCCAGTATTTTTTTACAGTTCTTTAATATAGTGGATTCCCTTCGTTTAATCCAATTAAGAAATAAAGATTTGATTCTAATAGCTGCTTTATTCAGTTTGGAGCCCCTACAAATAAAAAGTCTCAGAGTTTATATCCTGCCTTCACGCCTCACACCCTGTAACCTGTCTTACCTGCTAAGCATTGTTTTCCTCATACACTCCTAGTAGTAAAGGGCAAGGACTCTGGAGTGAGACTACTGGGTTCAAATGCCACATACTAGCTATGTGACCTTAGGCAAGTTGCTTACCCTCTCTATGCCTCAGTTTCCTTATCTCTAAAAATAGAATAGTAATAGTATCTACCTCATAGTGTTTTGTTTTGTTTTAGAGATAGGGTCTTGCTCTGTCATTCAGGCTGGAGTGCCGTGGCATGATCATAGCTCACTGCAGCCTCTATAACTCCTGGGCTAAAGCAATCTTTCTGCCTCATCCTCCCTGAGTTGCTAGGACTACAGGTGCACACCACCATGCCTGGCTGATTTTTTATTTTTGTGTACAGATGAGCTCTTGCTGTGTTGCCCAGGCTGGCCTCAAACTCCTGGCCTCAAGTGATCTTCCAGTCTCGGCCTCCCAAAGTGTTGGGATTACAGGCGTGAGCCACTGTGCCTAGCCCTCATAGGGTTTCTTGAAGATTCAATGTGAAGTGCTTAGAACAGTGCTTGGCATAGTGCATTAAGCAAGTATTGACTGTTACAACATTATTATTTACCCAAGGACCTGTAGTATTTTATCATATCCATATTTTTCAATCTTATAACTTTGAGACAGTATTGCCAGTTGCAGTGATTTTAAAGTATAGTCCTCACAGCATCTTTAGAATGTGCTGGTAGAAATAATTCTGGAGCCCCTGTATTTGAATAATTCTTATTTAAAATGATTCCAGAGACCCATATTTTAAGCAGGTTTCCTTAATGATGATGATGAACTCTAACGTTAGGACTAGGAACAGACTTGTATACATGGGTTTGATTCTCACACTAGCTAGCATGATTACAGTAAGTTACTGACCATCAGCTTACCCTCAGTTTTCCCATTTGCAAAATGGTGTTAATGCCTACTTAATAGGACTGCGGTAAGGATGAAAGCGATGATATCAGCAAGCTTAATTTAAACATTAAACATTTAAAGAGTTTAGTAAGTGGTAGTTATAATAATAATGATATATTATTAACATGTCTAACTTTATTTTTCTACTTCTTAGAATAAATATTGTACTTTTTTTTCTTTTTGAGACGGAGTCTCACTCTGTCGCCCAGGCTGGAGTGCAATGGCATGATCTCAGCTCACTACAACCTCTGCCTCCCAGGTTCAAGCGATTCTTCTGCCTCAGCCTTTCAAGTAGCTGGGATTACAGGCGCTTGCCACCATGTCCGGCTAATTTGTATATTTTTGGCAAAGATGGGGTTTCATCATGTTGGCCAGGCTAATCTCAAACTCCCAGCTTCAAGTCATCCACCTGCCTTGGCCTCCCAAAGTGCTGGGATTTCAGGCCTGAGCCACTGCGCCCAACCTATAACTTTCTATATCCATAGATACCTATATGTCTCACCTCTTAGGAACTATTTCCTATACCTGAAATGCCAAATTCCCTCTGTACTTAAATAAATCTTACCCATCATTGAGCTCAGCTCACATTATTCCTTGCTGAAATTTATCTAGTCTGCTTCAGCCCACACTAAGTTCCCACTTCTCTGAATTCATAATACACTTCAAGTCTGTATGGTATTTAGAACTTTACTATATGTAGAACATACTTTTTGGCCCTCACTAACTAGCTGTGTGTGAATTAGGGCAGTTTATTTAACCCCTCTCCAATATCACTTTTCACATGTTTAAAATGATGTTAACATGACATACTTTTGAAGGAATGTTATAGTAAATTAAATAGAAACTAGCACATTTTCTTTTTTTTTTTAATTTATTTATTTTTTTTTTTTATTGATCATTCTTGGGTGTTTCTCGCAGAGGGGGATTTGGCAGGGTCATAGGACAATAGTGGAGGGAAGGGAGGGAAGGTCAGTAGATAAACAAGTGAACAAAGGTCTCTGGTTTTCCTAGGCAGAGGACCCTGCAGCCTTCCGCAGTGTTTGTGTCCCTGGGTACTTAAGATTAGGGAGTGGTGATGACTCTTAACGAGCATGCTGCCTTCAAGCATCTGTTTAACAAAGCACATCTTGCACCGCCCTTAATCCATTTAACCCTGAGTGGACACAGCACATGTTTCAGAGAGCACAGGGTTGGGGATAAGGTCACAGATCAACAGGATCCCAAGGCAGAAGAATTTTTCTTAGTACAGAACAAAATGAAAAGTCTCCCATGTCTACTTCTATCCACACAGACCCGGCAACCATCCGATTTCTCAATTTTTTCCCCACTCTTCCTGCCTTTCTATTCCACAAAACCGCCATTGTCATCATGGCCCATCCCCAATGAGCCGCTGGGCACACCTCCCAGACGGGGTCGTGGCCGGGCAGAGGGGCTCCTCACTTCCCAGTAGGGGCGGCCGGGCAGAAGCGCCCCTCACCTCCCGGATGGGGCGGCTGGCCGGGCGGGGGGCTGACCCCCCCACCACCCTCCCGGACGAGGCGGCTGGCCAGGCAGAGGGGTCCTCACTTCCCAGTAGGGGCGGCCGGGCAGAGGCGCCCCTCACCTCCCGGACGGGGCGGCCGGCTGGGCGGGGGGCTGACCCCCCCACCTCCCTCCCGGACAGGGCGGCTGGCCGACCCCCCCCCCGCCTGCCTCCCGGACGGGGCGGCTGGCCGGGCAGAGGGGCTCCTCACTTCCCAGTAGGGGCGGCCGGGCAGAGGCGCCCCTCACCTCCCGGACGGGGCGGCTGGCCAGGCGGGGGGCTGATCCCCCCACCTCCCTCCCGGACGGGGCGGCTGGCCGGGCGGGGGGCTGACCCCGCCCACCTCCCTCCCGGACGGGGCGGCTGGCCGGGCGGGGGGCTGACCCCCCCACCTCCCTCCCGGATGGGGCGACTGGCCGGGCAGAGGGGCTCCTCACTTCCCAGTAGGGGCGGCCGGGCAGAGGCGCCCCTCACCTCCCGGACTGGGCGGCTGGCCGGGCGGGGGGCTGACCCCCCCACCTCCCTCCTGGACGGGGCGACTGGCCGGGCAGAGGGGCTCCTCACTTCCCAGTAGGGGCGGCCGGGCAGAGGAGCCCCTCACCTCCCGGACGGGGCGGCTGGCCGGGCGGGGGGCTGACCCCCCCCCCCACCTCCCTCCCGGTCGGGGTGGCTGCCGGGCGGAGACGCTCCTCACTTCCCAGACGGGGTGGCTGCCGGACGGAGGGGCTCCTCACTTCTCAGACGGGGCGGTTGCCAGGCAGAGGGTTTCCTCACTTCTCAGACGGGGCGGCCGGGCAGAGACGCTCCTCACCTCCCAGACAGGGTTGCGGCCCAGCAGAGGCGCTCCTCACATCCCAGACAGGGCGGCGGGGCAGAGGTGCTCCCCACATCTCAGACGATGGGCGGCCGGGCAGAGACGCTCCTCACTTCCTAGATGGGATGGCGGCGGGGAAGAGGCGCTCCTCGCTTCCTAGATGGGATGGCGGCCGGGCAGAGACGCTCCTCACTTTCCAGACTGGGCAGCCAGGCAGAGAGGCTCCTCATATCCTAGACGATGGGGGGCCAGGCAGAGACGCTCCTCACTTCCCAGACGGGGTGGCGGCTGGGCAGAGGCTGCAATCTCGGCACTTTGGGGGGCCAAGGCAGGCGGCTGGGAGGTGGAGGTTGTAGCGAGCCGAGATCACGCCACTGCACTCCAGCCTGGGCACCATTGAGCACTGAGTGAACGAGACTCCGTCTGCAATCCCGGCACCTCGGGAGGCCGAGGCCGGCGGATCACTCGCGGTTAGGAGCTGGAGACCAGCCCGGCCAACACAGCAAAACCCCGTCTCCACCAAAAAAAAAAACGAAAACCAGTCAGGCGTGGCGGTGCGCGCCTGCAGTCGCAGGCACTCGGCAGGCTGAGGCAGGAGAATCAGGCAGGGAGGTTGCAGTGAGCCGAGATGGCAGCAGTACCGTCCAGCTTTGGCTCGGCATCAGAGGGAGACCGTGGAAGGAGACCGTGGGAAGGGGGAGAGGGAGAGGGAGAGGGAGAGGGAGAGGAGGGAGAGGGAGAGGGCAGCACATTTTCTAGAATATAATGGGTACTCATTAAATGGTAACTGCTGCTATCTTATATTTTAAAAATGAGGTTTAGGCCCGGCACAGTGGCTCTTGCATGTAATCCTAGCACTTTGGGAGGCCAAAGAGGGTGGATCACCTGAGGTCAGGAGTTCGAGACCAGCCTGGCCAACATGGCGAAACCCCGTCTCTACTAAAAACTCAAAAATTAGCTGGGCATGGTGGTGCACGCTTGTAATCCCAGCTACTCAGGAGGCTGAGGCAGGAGAATTGCTTGAACCCGGGAGGCAGAGGTTGCAGTGAGCCAAGATGGTGCCACTGCACTCCAGCCTGGGCGACAGAGTGAGACTCCGTCTCAGAAAAAAAAAAAGAAAAGAAAATGAGGTTTAGAAGATTGTCTTGGAGACTGTAAAATAGAAAATAACCCCCGCCCCCCAGGAGACAGAATCTTAAGGTGTAGTTTTCTGTAGTCAGTGCTGTATAACAAATCCCACAGTGTGTTATTTAACAAGGGAAATTCAAAAAGTTATAAATATAGAGTTTCCTAAAACACAGCTATATTGACTAATACTTCACAGGAAGAGGCAATTACACAATTAAATGCTTAAATAATATAGGGTTCCTTAATTAAAAGTTAGGATTCTAGTAAGAGTAATTTAGCTTAATCATTTTACTAGTTTTTTTTTGGTCAGTTAATATAATTAAGTGATTGAGTTGGGCTTTTAAATAGCTAAAACTTTGATAGTCTTAATAATCCCATAAAACTTATACAACTAAGGAACACTGTAGCATTCTTGTTGTTGCTTCGTTGCAAAGCTAATATGATTGCCCTTTTTTTTTTGAGACAGAGTCTTACTTTGTCACCCAGGCTGGAGTACAGTGGCATTATCTTGGCTCACTGCACCATCCAATTCCTGGGCTCAAATGATCCTCCCACCTCAGTCTCCTGAGTAGCTAGGACTATAGGTACACACCACCATGCCTGGCTAACTTTTGTATTTTTTGTAGAGACAAGGTTTCACCATGTTGCCCAGGCTGGTCTCGAACTCCTAAGGGTCAAGTGATCCACCTGCCTTGGCCTCCCAAAAGTGTTGGGATTATAGGCATGAGCCACCATGCCTGGCTGGATTGCTTTTTTATGAAGCATTTTTATGAGGTAAAAACAACTTTTAAGGGCGGGGTGTGGCAGCTCACGCCTGTAATCCCAGCACTTTGGGAGGCAAAGTAGGGAGGATTGCTTGAGCCCAGGAGTTCAAGACCAGCCTGAGCAACATAGTGAGACCTGTTTCTACTAAAAATAGAAAAAATTAGCCAGGAGGGGTGGCGTGCACGTGTGGTTCCAGCTACCTGGAATTTTGAGGTGGGAGGATCACTCAAGCTTGGGAAGTTGAGGCTGCAGTGAGCCATGACTGCACCAGTGCACTTCACCCTGGGCTACAGAGTGAGACCCTGTCTCAAAAAAACAAACAACAAATACAGAAATGTGTCTCAGCACATATGAAACTGTTGGCTAGGATATGAAATCTACATAAAACATTCTATGACTCTAAAGGTTACTTGTAACCTTATTAACTTTCTTAATAGCATGGCTCATGACTGACTCTTGGTTTGCCCTCAAAAAGAGCTAGTCATGAGCCCTGCACTATAGTGCCTGCCTGTAGTCCCCACTGCTTAGGATGCTAAAGCCGGGGGATTGCTTGAGGCCAGGAGTTTGAGGTGTTGCTAGACTCTGGTTCTAAAAAACAAATTTTCTTAAACTCCCACTGGTCATATAATGAATAGCAACTTCAGTTTCTGTACTAGAGAAAGCAAGTAACAAGAAGGTAGAAGTAACTTGATTCTCCTTTACTTCCCAGCAGATCCCAGATGGATTTTTTGCCCATTTTTATGCCATTTGTGAACACATCAGTCCTGTCCTAGCCTGGGGCTTTTTGGGTCCTAGAAATTCTCTGTATGATTTATGTTGCTTTTTTAAGGTATGTTCAGTCATTGAATCATTTCTCTTTTTTTTCTAAATCAAAAAGGAGATACGGTTTTATTCTGTTTTGTTTTGCTTTTGTAGAAGAACAAATGTTATTTAAGAGTAAAGTTATAAAAGTCACCTAAATTCAGCATTTAAATGTCAGTGTTAAATATTTTTGGCATTTTATAATACCACTATTATTATAATGGACCAGTATTTTATAGATTTGGTGCTTTATTCTGGAGTAGACTCAGCATATCCATTCACCTTATCAATTCCCTAATGCAAGGGATACATGGTCTTGCATGGTGTTGCCATGTGACAGTCAAATCAATGTAGATAGTTGGTTTTTCATACCTGGGCACTTTTGAAACTTACAAACAATATCCACCTTTATTGCACATGTGGTAATATAGAATAAGTTGTGGTTAAAGGTGAGATGAATGATAAAATCCAAGTTGTGAGAAATAAAATGGGGGTTTAATGTTATCTCCCAATGTCAGCAGTTTTAGTTTGCCAAAATACAAGTTATAGCTCCTTATAGAATTTTCTGGCTGGCAAAGTGACAAGGAAAGTCTCGCTATGTAATAGTCTTGAGTTTAGGCTGCATTTCAAGGAGCAAATAAAAGTAAACATAATTGAGTATGAATTTGAAAGTTTGGATGTTTTACTATACCATTCATTTTTTAAAATTATGTTTATGTGCTGTCAAGGTAATATTTTTATAAATGGTTTAGAAAATGTGTATTTTACTGTCATTCAGAACACGTTGATTTTTGTAGTTTACTTGACCACCCAAATGTAAGGTATGTGTTTTAGGGGTTGGGAATTAAGTCTGTCATCAGTGAGCATTCTGACTTGGGGCAAATCATTCTTTGATGTTCCTTTTATCTATAAAACGAGGGAGCCTAACAGGTTGATCGCTAATGACCCTTTCAGATATAAAATCCAGTGAATCAATGAAGTGTGTCTTCTTAGTACTTCTTAATAACGTTTGGAAGATACGTTATTAAGAAAGAAGATAGAAATTAAATATTCCTGTTTTTCGCTCTTTGAAATTACTTTTTTTCTATTATGGTGACATAATAGCTGAGACTTAATACTTATTCGTATACAGTTTGCTTACAGTGAGTTTCAGTGTATATAATAACTTACTGAAATGAAATATCCTTCAGGATCTACCACTGATTTGAGACCTGAAATGTTCTTTATTTTTCATGTGCCTTAAGGGTTTTTCTTGTACAAAAAAAAAAAGCACATTTAAAATTATAACGTATTATTTTATTATTATTTATTTAAAACTATTACTGGAAATAGTTTATTCTTCTGTCTTAGAGTAGAGGCAATGCTCAAAGGTCACATTGAAGGGAAAGGACTATAACCCCTTACATTTAAACAGTGCTTTAGAGTTTACAGGCACTTCTTATAGATTATCTTTTTTTAAATGTTTCCCCACCTTTTCATGGTATCACATAGGTTATCTTTTTTGATCATCATGTCATCCCTGAGTAGTAAGTAGGGTGGGTGGTATTAGCCCTATTTCACAGAAAAAGAAAATGAGCCCCCAAAAAGGAAAGGTTAAATCACTTGTGCAAGGTCCCTTTTCTAATGAGATATGAAACTAGCACTGGAAGTCAGGTCTTCTGAGTCCTGATTCAGTGCTCATTATAATATTAGAAGCTTTCTCAATGTAACTTAATTTTGGTCTAATAAATGCCAATTTATGTTCATTTTCCAGAATCAAGTTCTTTTATTTCTCAAAGACATTTTTGACTTTGAGAAGGTGCGCTATTCAAGTACAGAGACTTTAGCTGAAGACCTCATGCAGTTACTCATTCGCCGCACTGAGCTTTTAATGGCCTATCTTGAAGCAGATGCCCTGAGGCATACAAGTAGTTGTCTAAGCAGTCATGGTCATGTTATGTCCACTGGGCTACTGGAAGCCAAAGTACAATAAGTACCATAAGAATCATACAATTTGAGTGTGCTATGAAATATTTTAAGGTAACTATTGATTTTGTAACATATATTACAAAGTTAACAGAATTGATGCATGTGGATTCAGGGAGGAAAAAAAAATCTACTAAAAAATGAGCAACTGTACTGTATTTATACAGAAGTTCTGTCATTGAATTCCTGTGTAGTGTAGTCATAGTGGCTTTTTGCATTCATTAGGTAATAATTGAAGTCATGAAATGTATATTTTACAGAAATATCGCTTGAATTGAAGCCAATATTTGGGAGTTAATTGGTTTGTCTTCTTGAAGCTGTCATTCTCAAAAGCTCTGTTTTTATGCTTTGCACCTTTAAAATGTACACTTTAGCCAAGGTCTTTGTGGCCCACACATGCAAGAATATATTACTTCTAATGTCAATATATTTAACTTTGCCTAGAAACATATTTTTAATTATAAAGTTATTCATTTGTTTAATCAAGTTTAGGCAGTAATGATGTTTAATATGTACTGCATACATTATTGCTTGTGCATTTGCTTATGTATTTGAATCAAAGAAATTGTAATCACTGAATATTGTTATAGAACATTTAAATGGGCCACTTGCAGTGGCTCATGCCTGTAATACATTGGGAGGCTGAGGCAGGAGGACAGTTTGAGGCCAGGAGGTTGAGACTAGCCTGGACAACATAAGGAGATGCCTGTCTCTACAAAAACATAAAAATAAATTAGCTGGTATCAAGCAGAGTTCCATGGAAATATTAAAATTTTTTTAAAAAATAAAAATAGGCTGGGTGTGGTGGTTCATGCCTGTAATCCTAGCACTTTGGGAGGCCAAGGTGGGCGGATCACCTGAGGTCAGGTGTTCGAGACCAGCCTCCCCAATATGGTGAAACCCCGTCTCTACTAAAAATACAAAAATTAGCCAGGTGTGGTGGCGGGCGCCTGTAGTCCCAGCTACTCGGGAGGCTGACACAGGAGTATTGCTTGAACCCAGGAAGTGGAGGCTGCAGTGAGCCGAGATCGCACCACTGCACTCCAGCCTGGGCAACAAAGTGAGACTCTGTCTCAAAAAATAAATTAATTAAATTAAATTAATTAGTTGGGTGTGGTGGCATGTGTCTGTGGTCCCAGCTACTTGGGAGGCTGAGGTGGGAGGATCACTTGAGTCCAGAAGGTCAAGGCTGTCATGAGCTGTGATTGCATCACTGCACTCCAGCCTGGGCGACAGCAAGACCCTATCTCAGAAGTGAATAAATAAAACAAATACAGCATTTAAATGAATTGACATTGAGAAATTTACAATTTACAAATTTATATTAACTGTAGTTTCCAAAATATGTTACTGTTGGTCCTGTAAGTTACAAAGAGACTGAAGAACTTTCTTTTTATACATTAGAGCATTTTCCCCTGGAATGAGTATTGATTAAAAAGATAACATTTATTAATTAATAAAGGCAATTTAAAATTTAGTGTTATTTGAAGACTGTCAACATCTGAAGGTATGAAACTTGGTACAGTGAAATAATTTCTCCTTTCTCCTTCCTTTTAGTTATTCCCACAGAAAACTCAGCCCAGTGGGAATTTGTCATATTATGCCCATGTTTTAAAAATATTCATAGTTTGAATCTTATTGACATTTTAAAGAAGAGTTTTTTCCTCCCTGGAATGTAAAACAAAAATATTTTTTAATGATGTGGAAGTATATATTTCATGTTCATTATGATAAATCTACAAACAAATGAATTGTTTTTATGGGTGGAGTTCTTCTATAAGAGTATATTAAATGCTTTCAGAGTTGTATTAATTTTGTTTCTAAATAATATACCACTTATTTGGAGTGACTAACTCAGTATGTAAGTAGATGAGATTTGTTGATTTTGCCCCTAAAACGGGCTTTAGTCATTTTAGGAGTGAGTTGCACAAAAGGACCTAAAATGCATTGTTTTTTGCCTTCTTTTAAGAGATGGGGTCTCGCTCTATTGCCCAGGCTGGAGTGCAGTGTGCTATCATACATAGCTCACTGCAGTCTCCAACTCCTCATACCAGAGGCATGTGTCACCATGTCTTACTCCTAAAATGCATTTTTAAAAAGCGAATTTTTAGATTAAAGTGCCTAGTTTCTGATTAATAAATAGAAGATGAAAAAAGTGGGCGGGAAAAGCATAATCTTTTAAGATTTGTAATTTTCTGTATGTGCCACATTTATGTAAATTAACTATAAAATATGGAATTCAGGATCATGCTGTTTTGCATGTACTTTATAGGTTATATAGCATGAAACATACAAATTATCACTGTTCTTTAGTATATAGCTCCTTGCCTTTTCTTACATAGATGCTTAATTTAACAATTACCTATTTATAGTTCTTATTATTGACGGGAATATGATTAGAAGTACCAAAACTAAAAATTCCATTATGTACTGTTTACTTTTTATTTAATATTACATGTTTTTACCTTGTTGCGGTATCTTTGGCCTTCACACACACATGTGTGCGTGCACGTGCATTTCATTACCATGTAGACAAGACAGTTATTGCTTATAGTAATTTACCCATTTGAGGGCTAAGTGTTTTAAGCTGTGGTTTTATAAGCAAAGCTGTAAGTAAATGTAATTTATTTTAGAAAGATATTATTTGAAATCAATTTTGAAGAATTGCACTATTTGATAATGCTGCTACTACATGAGATAACTCTGGGGAATTAATTTTATGAGATAAGATGAATGGCTTTCTAGAAGGTGTTGCTTTTTGTTTTTTCTTTTTCTTTTTTACATTTCATCTTAGAAAAAGTTGCTTATATTCAGCAGGTTGGTTTGTCAAATTCAGTGTTTGAGTTTGTTTCTGGTCAGTTCAGTAGCTGCTACTTTAGCAAGATGTGGCCTTTCACAAAAGAGGTAAGAGTGACCAAATAGAATTTTAGGACAATAAGTATAGGAAATATCTCTTTATCGTAAGATAAGAAACTTGAACTTTTTAAAGGAAATGTCCTCTTGAAAAGAACATTTCTGACTGCATGCAGAAGGGTACTTAAGACATATATAACAGGCCAGGAGCAGTGGCTCACGCCTGTAATCCCAGCACTTTGGGAGGCCCAAGTGGGCAGATAACCTGAGGTCAGGAGTTTGAGACCAGCCTGACCAACATGGTGAAACCCCATCTCTACTAAAAATACAAAAATTAGCCAGGCATGGTGGCGCATGCCTGTAATCCCAGCTACTCGAGAGGCTGAGGCAGGAGAATCGCTTGAACCCGGGAGGCGGAGGTTGCAGTTAGCCGAGATCGTGCCATTGCACTCCAGCCTGGGCAACAAGAGTAAAACTCTGTCTCAAAAAAAAAAAAAAAAAAAAAAAAAAAGACATATGTAACGGTTTCCATTTGCCTTAAAATTGGGTTAAATAGCAAAAGCAATGTCTTTAAAAATGATTAGTTTAGAGCCTTTTAGGGTAAACCCTGTTTAAACACTTAATCATGGAATTGCCCTTGCCACCATGAGCTCTACCATCCACTTCCATATGTAAATTATAAGAGGGACTTCAATTAAGTCACTCCTGAGAAAATATCCTTTTTTCTAGAAGAAAGAAGATAAATTTTGAGGCAATTTACATTTGGTATTTCTTTTAATTTCATTTTTTGTATTTTAATTTCCCTACATTTTTGTTCAACTAAGAGTGCTTATTTCTTCTTGAAGGTTAACATTATGTTTATTAAGTATCAAAATGGAATTATCTTTTAAAAAAGAAGACAAGTTTTCCATACTGTCACAGTAAGCTCCAAAGAACTTTGTCTTTCTCATAAAGTAATATTCTTTATTTGCATCCATTTACTATGATTCCGTTAATTTGTTGAATTAAATGCCTTTATAAAAATATTTACAAATGTTTTCTTGCCTTAAAATGTAACATTTTCTACTTAAATTTAATTTCCAAGAGAGTGATTATTTGCATTACAAAGGAATTCTTAATAATTCCTGTAAGCCTAGGAAATAGGAATGCCAAAGTAACATTTAATGTACTTCTCTATAACTTTTCATAATCAGAAATTTTAAATTATGTTTATATAACCCATTTACTTTTATTTTAATGTGAATATATATTCAGAAATTATTTGATGTAAATTTCAAAATGATTATAGGAATTAAGCTGAATTCTAATTTTTTTGCTTAGATTTAGAAATATGTATGTGAAATTTAAGAATTTATATAATCTGTGATTAGTGGAAATAAGAACATCCCTACTTTGTTCCTAATGAGTATATTATGTTATTGTTTTGTTTAGTTTGTGAACAACCATGTATTAGCTTTACTTAGCTGATGTCAGTAAATGTTTCTGTCTCCTAAATGTAAGGACTGTACTCATTAATTTGTGTAAAAGTAAAACACTACAGTAGCAGAAAAAATTGCACTGGCTCTTTAGCCAAAATAAGCACTGTAACATGGATGTATTACTATTACTGCCAAATAAAAAAGTGATGGTACGTCTTGCTGATGTATTGAATATTTTAAACAATGTTAATATATAATTATGAAGTCACACTTGTCTCATCAGATCCTGTATGAGAATATTCAGTCTCCATAAGACCCATATATATGGCATAGAGAACAGGACAACTGCAGAAGCATTATAATCAAATATAAAACTTTATCATTAAAATAAAAAATAAAAGGCCGGGTGCGGTGGCTCATGCCTGTAATCCCAGCACTTTAGGAGGCCGAGGCGGGTGGATCATCTGAGGTCAGGAGTTCGAGACCAGCCTGGCCAACATGGTGAAACCCCGTCTCTACTAAAAATACAAAAATTATCTGGGCATGGTGGTGGGCACCTGTAATCCCAGCTACTTGGGAGGCTGAGGCAGGAGAATCGCTTGAACCTGGGAGGCAGAGGTCGCAGTGAGCCAAGAGTGCACCATTGCACTCCAGCCTGGGCAACAAGAGCGAAACTCTGTCTCAAAAAAATAAAAAATGAAAACAAAGATTAAAAATTTATTGTTTCTCCATGTACTGATATGGGGAAAAAGACAGTTTTGTGATGAATAAAGTGAAAATACTTGTATTTTAATTTAAGTGTTTGGATGATAATGCCATCAAGCATAATATAAACTTATATTGATATATTGATGTATATGCATCATTACTATTCATATATGACCTGAACCTCTCTTCTCATCAATTCTTCAAAAGGCTTCAGATATATGGCCGGGTGCAGTGGCTCATGCCTGTAATCCCAGCATGTTGGGAGGCCGAGCAAGGCAGATCACTTGAGGTCAGGAGTTTGAGACCAGCCTGGCCAACATGGCGAAACCCTGTCCCTATTAAAAATACAAAAATTAGCCAGGCATGGTGGCGCACACCTGTAATCCCAGGTTCTTGGAAGGCTGAGGCAGGAGAATTGCTTGAACCCAGGAGGTGGAGGTTGTAGTGAGCTGAGATCACGCCACTGCACTCCAGCCTGGGCAACAGAGTGAGACTCAGTCTCAAAACCAAAAAACAAAAGGGTTCAGATATATTTAGTCAAGGAGAGGGGTGCCACCTGGATACCACCATAGTCACCAGATGGAAGTCACCTGGATATGAAAACAGATTCTTAGTTTGAGACTTTTAACAAATGGGTTTATTTTAGAATAATTATATATGATATAGATAAATATAGTTATATTTTTAGAATTATTAAACATATAAAGTGAAATATATTGATAAGAAAACCATATAAACATGAATAGAATCTTTCCTTAGCTAGGATACAGGGTTGGAGTGCAATGGGAAACTAGAGCAGCATCTCATTCTCATTTTCTGTTTTGTCATTATCTGCCATACTCTGTTGTCTCATGCATCTTCTTTGATCCTGAACTTAATGTTCAGGATCTGAACTTAATGTTTTGCACTTTAAACATCTGTCTCTGAATTCTTATGTATATTTAAAATGCTTCTCTGCAAACATCTTAGTGCCCTATTGTTAGACTTTATAGGGCTTTGCTGGAAATCTTTATAAATCACTTTGTTAATCTTTCTAAACTAACTGTTCTTATGCTGCTTTTGACTTCTGGTTTTTTCTGCAGTGTTTCTTCCTATGCCCTGTATTCTCTGATACTTTATCCTGCCACTTCTTCTCCCTTGATCTCTTTCTCTTCTTACGCTACTGACATCTTTGATCAGGCTACACAAACTCTTCTGTCTGCTAAGGTTCTTTCTTTGGCTTTTTCTATATCTGAACAGTGAAAACTCTACAGTAACCATCATCTGGGCAGGGAAGGACTGTATTCTACTACAGAGAAGAAAAACAGCCTTCCTTCTATGACACTTTTTATTCTTTACTTAAAAGCCACAGCAAAGCAACTGGTACATCAAATATGTCTTTTATGTGTGTCACAGAAGCCTTTCACAAAGTACATTTATATTTAGGAAATTACAGAACTTTTATAATTTGCTATGTTTGAAATGATACCATAGTACTTGAATATAGAGAAGCACTTTGAATTAGAAAGCACTTGAAATATATGACTTTCTGAACTTTGCTAATTCTTATTTAATAATAACTCTGTGTGAGAATGGTCCCAGGGGCCAGGTGCGGTGGCTCACGGCGTGTAATCCCAGCACTTTGGGAGGCTGAGGCGGGTGGATTGCCTGAGCTCAGAAGTTCGCGACCAGCCTGGGCAACACAGTGAAACCCCACCTCCACTAAAATACAAAAAATGAGCCGGGCGTGGCATTGCGTGCCTGTAGTCCCAGCTACTCGGGAGGCTGAGGCAGGAGAATTGCTTGAACCTGGGAGGCAGAGGTTGCAGTGAGCTGAGATCACGCCATTGCACTCCAGCCTGGGCAACAGAGCGAGAATCCATCTTTAAAAAAAAAAAGAAAGAAAAAGAATGGCCCCAGGAGTTTTACAAAGGACCAATAAAATAATGTGGTAGAAGATGAAGATGGATAATAAATGTTAAAGCAATTATATTCACAATCTGTTACAACAAATTATCCTAAAATTTTAGCAGCTCGAAACAACAAACATGATCTTACACAGTTTCTGAGGGCTGGGAATTCAGGAATGGCTTAGTCTGGTGGTTCTCTCCTGAAGTTGCAGTCATCTGAAGGCCTGATTGGGGCTGGAAGACTCACTTCTAAGGTTTTCTCATTCACATGTCTGTTTTCAGGAGGCCTCAGTCCCTTGCCATTGGCAAGAGACCTTAGTTCCTACCAACTAGACCTCTCAGCTGCCTGAGTGTCTTTTAAGACATGACAGCTGGCCAGCATGTCTTTTAAGGCATGAGCATGGTGGCTCATGCCTGTAATCCCAGCGCTTTGGGAGGCTGAGGCAGGAGGAATGTTTGTTTGAGCCTGTAAGTGTGAAACCAGCCTGGCCACAAAATGAGACCCTGTCTCTACAGAAAAAAAAAAAAAAAAAAGACGTGGCAGCTGGCTTCCTCCCAGATAAATAATCCAAGAAATAGCAAGGTAAAAGACACAATGTCTTTTATAACCTAGATGTGGAAGTGTTGCCACTTCTGCCATTGGTAACACAGACCAACACTGACACAATGTGGGAGGGGATTACACAGGATGCGAGTACCAAGAGGTGGAACATTTGGGGTTGTCTTGGTGGCTGGATACCATGGCAGGGAATCATAATAAATTATACATAATGATGTAGACAAATTACTTTTTTTTTTTTTTTTTTTTTTTTTTTAGGAGATAAGGTTTTTCTCTCTCCCTTACCCAGGCTGGAGTGCAGTGGTTCTCACTGCAACTTCTAACTCCTGGGCTCAAGTGATTCTTCTGCCTCAGCCTCCTGAGTAGCTGGGGCTACAGCCACATGCCACCACACCTGGATTATTTTTATTGTTTAGTAGAGAGGAAGTCTTGGTATGTTTCCCAGGCTGGTCTTGAACTCCTGTCCTCAAGTGATCCTCCCACCTCAGCCTCCCAAAGTTCTGGGATTACAGGCTTGAGCTACCATGCCTGGTTGACATTTTAATGTTAAATGAATGAATGTACTTTCTTTGGCCAATCTTTTGATATAGTATCAAGGCCTTTAGTTGGGAGTATGGATTCACTCGATATTTCAAGATATCTTTGTTACATAAACTAAACCGCTAAATCAGTGGTCTCCAACCTTTTTGGCACCAGGGGCCAGTTTTGGGGAAGACAATTTTTCCATGGACGGTTCGGGGGTGGCTGTGGTGGATAGTTTTGGGATGAAACTGGTCCATCACAGATCATCAGGGATTAGATTCTCCTAAGGAGTGCACAACCTAGATCCCTTACATGCACAGTTCATAATAGGGTTTGCGCTCCTATGAGAATCTAATGCCATCGTTGATCTGACAGGAGGCAGAGCTCAGGTGGTAATGCTCACTCGCCAGTCCTCACCTCCTGCTGTGCAGCCTGGGGTTTGGGGGCCCCTGCCCTAAATCATCATCTGGAATTTCGAGTTTTCCTTACTTTTAAAGGAGAGAAAAGGTACATTAAAAAGCACTGACTGCAGAATCTCCCTAGATTTGTACAATTTTGTACCCAATCTTTTACATTTGTCTTCTCCACACCTAGCTTGGTGGTAATTTTTGTAAGCTATTTGCCTTTATCAAGTCTTTTCAAAGCATTCAACTCAGCTTTTATAAAAAACTATAACTTTATTTTTGCTTTTATAATTTCTTTCTTTATTTTTTTTTTTGGCACGATCTGGGCTCACTGCAGCCTCCGCCTCCTGGGTTCAAGCGATTCTCCTGCCTCAGCCTCCTGAGTAGCTGGGATTACAGGCACGTACCACCATGCCCGGCTAATTTTTGTATTTTTAGTAGACGGGGTTTCGCCATCATGGCCAGGCTGGTCTCGAACTCCTGACCTCAGGTGATCTGCCTACCTTGGCCTCCCACAGCACTGGGCTTACAGGTGTGAGCCACCATGTCTGGCCTATAATTTCATTTTTTAAATGTTTACTTTGTATAATTTCAAAACCGTGCAACTGACATAGAACAAACCTAATCACTCGTGATAAGTATACAAGTAATGCTTATACAAATGGGCAGATCTTGGATTTTTAGTAATCTCAAACTTAGCATGTCAAAACTGAGCTCCTTACCACCCCTGCCTAAACCTCCTCTTCCCACAACCTTCCCTATCTGAGTAAATTACAACTCCATTCTTCCAGATCAAAGGCCCAAAACCTCCTTTCCTCACACCTCACATTCAGTTACAAAAAAAAAAAAAAAAAAAATCCTACCATTTCTACCTAAAAAGGCAACAAGGAAAAAAAAATATGCCAGGTATTTCTCACTACCTTCACAACTATCACTTTGGCCCAAATCCCCATTCCTCATTCCGATTATTGTGGAAGCCTCCTAATTAATTGATCTCCCTGCTTCTTCTCTTGCCTCATTTGGTGTATGTGCAGCACTTAAGCTAGAGAGAGTAAACATGTCAGATCATGTCACTATGTTGTTCAAAACCTACCAGAGACCACCCATGTTAGAGTAAAAACCAAAATCTTTACAATGCTGTACAAAAAGAGGCTGGGCACAATGGCTCATGCCTATTATCCCTACTCTCTGGGAGGCCGAAGTGGGAGGATGCTTAAGCCCAGGAGTTTGAGACCAACCCAGGCAACATAATAAGACCCCATTTCTACAAAAACTAAAAAATTAGCCAGGTGTGTTGTTGCATGCCTGTAGTCCCAGCTACTCAGAGAAGCTGTGGCAGGAGGATCGCTTGAGCCCAGAAGTTAGAGGCTGCGGTGAGCTGTGATTCCACCACTGCACTCCAGCCTGGGTCTCTAAAAAAAAAAAAAAAGGCCAGGCATGTTGGTTTACGCCTGTAATCCCAACACTTTAGGAGGCCGAGGTAGACGGATCACCTGAGGTCAGGAGTTTGAGACCAGCCTGGCCAATATGGTGAAACCCCATCTCTACTAAAAATACAGAAATTAGCCGGGCATGGTGACAGGTGCCTGTAATCCCAGCTACTCGGGAGTCTGAGGGAAGAGAATCGCTTGAACCCAGGAGGCGGAGGTTGCAGTGAGCAGAGTTTATGCTACTGCACTCCAGCCTGGGCGACAGAGCGAGACTTATTCTCAAACAAACAAAATCCTACGTAGTCTTGTCTCCTGCTCCCCACTGCACCTCCTATTACCTCACCCTTCACCTACTCAGCTTCACTCGCACAAGCCTCCTGGTTCTTCCTAGAACATGTCAGATAGAATCCTTCTCTGGGCCTTTGTATCTATCCCTGGACCACTCTTCCTCCAAATATTTGCTTCTCCAGATATTTACATAGCCTACTGCCTCACTCTCCTCAAGGCTTTTACTCATATGAGGCTTTCCTTAGCCACTCTATCTAAAATTACAACATCTACTCAGCCTGCCTCCAGCATTCTCTACTTCCCTGCTCTGGTATTATCCATATTGCCATATTACATGTCACTAAATACTACATAGTTCACTTATTTGCTTATTGTCTGCCTTCTTTCACTAGAATGTATGTTCCATAATGGCAGGGATTTTTCCTTTATCACTGCTGTATCCTTAGCATATAGAACTGAATATCTGTTGAATGAATGAATGATGAATTGGTGGGAAAATAAGCAGGCCTTGCATGCTGTGAGTAGCTATCAGTGTTCTACAGAGAGAATGGAGAGCTTTGTTTAATCTGGTGAATCTATTGGGTGGATATAAAAATAAAAAATTGTTAAGTTTCTAGTTATTTATTTATTTATTATTTTTTGAGACAGAGTCTCACTCTGTCGCCCAGACTGGAGTGCAGTGGCATGATCTCGGCTCACTGCAACCTCCACCTCCTGGTTTCAAGCAATTCTCCTGCCTCAGCCTCCCGAGTAGCTGGGACTACAGGTGCACGCTACCACACTCAGCTAATTTTTATATTTTTAGTAGAGACAGGATTTCGCCATGTTGGCCAGGCTGGTCTCGAACTCCTGACCTCAAGTGATCCACCCGCTTCAGCCTCCCAAAGTGCTGGGATTACAGGCGTGAGACACCATGCTCAGCCAACTCACTTCTTTAAATCACAGAAATAAATATGTAATTATAAATTGATATGTATAGGGGCAGGGCACAGTGGCTCACACCTGTAATCCCAGCACTTTGCGAGGCCGAGGTGGGTGGATCACTTGAGGGCAGGAGTTCAAGACCAGCCTGGCCAACATGGTGAAACCCCATCTCCACTAAAAATACAAAAAGTAGCCAGGTGTGGTGGCACGCGCCTGTAATCCCAGCTACTTTTGAGTCAGGAGAATCGATTGAACTGGGGAAGCGGAGGTTGCAGTGAGCTGAGATCGTGCCACTGCACTCCAGCCTGGGCGACGGAGCGAGACTACATCTCCAAATAAATAAATAAATAAATAAATAAATAAATAAATAAATAAGCAAATAAATAGGAATATATATATATAGGGAAGAGAAAGGTGGGATGAAAGGTGAGGTGCAAGGTGGGGAGAAAGGTGGGATGCAAGGAAGCCTTCTCCGAGGAAGCAGCATTTAAGAAGAGATCGGGAGGATATGTTGAAGTTAGGTGAAGGGGAAAGTGGGAGAAAGGATTTCATGCAGGGAACAACTTATACAAAGGCCCTGCAGCCAGACTGCCCATAGAAAGTTTCATGAACTGAAGAAGGCCAAGGTGATGGCATCAAAGAGAGCAAGGGCACAAGCAAGACTACCAAGACCACCTATCACTATCCGTAGTTCGGTACATTTAAATAATTTTAATTACCAATTTTGAACTTTTCTGTAATCGAGGAATGAATGGCTTACCCTCCTTAGAAAAGTTTCCATCCTGAGTAAATACTGTGGGGATGGGACTGGGGAACAGAGTTATATTTGAGTAGAAGGCCTTTTGTGTGTACGGGTGTGAGAGAGAGAGAAACAGAGAGAGAGAGGGAGTTTCACTCTTGTTGCTCACGCTGGAGTGCAATGGCGCCATCTCAGCTCACAGCAACCTCAGCCTCCCGGGTTCAAGCGAAGTGGGTTCTTCAACCTCAGCCTCCCAGGTAGCTGGGATCACAGGCGCACGTCACCACGCCCGGCTAATTTTTTGCATTTTTAGTAGAGATAGAGTTTCACCATGTTGGCCAGGCTGGTCGCAAACTCCTGACCTCAGGTGATCCACCCGCCTTGGCCTCCCAAAGTGCTGGGATTACAGGCAGGAGCCACCGCGCCCGGCCTTTTTTTTTTTTTTTGGAGACAGAGTCTCATTTTGTCACCCAGACTGGAGTGCAGTGGGATGATCTCTGCTCACTGCAACCTCCGCCTCCTGGCTTCAAGTGATTCTCCTGCCTCAGCCTCCTGAGTAACTCAGATTACAGGTGTGTGCCTCCACACTAGGCTAATTTTTTGTATTTTTAGTAAAGACGGCCTTTTGCCATGTTGGTCAGGCTGGTCTTGAATTCCTGACCTCAAGTGATCCACCCGCCTCGGCCTCCCAAAGTGCGGGGATCACAGGCATGAGCCACCGCGCCCAGCCCAGAAGGCCTTTTCAACATCCCTGAAATATAACCTGAGCACCGCTGTCTGCTTAGGGCCTGAAGGTGGAAGTGGTTACCTTTATTCTTTATCTGGATGTCATTTCGATTTTTTTTTCAAGTGCAGTGAAGAATTAAAGATCTCGTCCACCAAAAATACTCCGAGTGTGCATTTCGGGTTTTAATATGGTATTGTCTGATGGGTTTGACAGGCTGGCGGTCCAAGTTGAAAAAGGTCTGTGGGTGTCTAATAGTCAAAGATGCCTTTATGAAGCTTTAGAAAGACCAGATATGGTTTGCCTTCAATTAAGAAAAAGGTGGAATATAAAGATATTTGTACTTATATAAATATATTCCTTCTTTTCTTCTCCTCCTCCTCCTCTGCCTTCAACTTTCTTCTTCTTCTTCTTCTTCTTCTTCTTCTTCTTCTTCTTCTTCTTCTTCTTCTTCTTCTTCTTCTTCTTCTTCTTCTTCTTCTTCTTCTTCTTCTTTTTTAACTCTCCTTTTAGAGTTAAAGACTGGAGCTAAGAACAGGGGAGCAATAGACAGATGAAGTGTTCCCGGATTGCTGCCCCACGCTCTTTGTAATAAAGGAAAACTTGGCCAAAGGTCAATGCTTAGGGTAGTAGAAGATATGTAGTGGCTTGGCTTCTTGACTGGAAACTAGGACGGGTAGAGTAGCTGAGAGAAGTGGGCCCCAGAGCAAACTGGTTGCGGGTAGGGGGAGCCAGCTTCAGCCCGGTAATGAAGCCCATTTCAGCCTCATTCCTTTCCCATGGCGGAGGCAGCCTTCCTTCCCCAGGCCTGGCTGGAGGTGGAGGCAGGCCCAAAGTTAGGGGGTCAGCTCGCGCACCTAGGGCCGGGAGACAGACAAATTCTGGCGGAAAGTTGGCAGCCACGGTCCCCCTCCCCTGCTTTTCTCCTCAACTCTCCACCCCCACTCCGGGTGATAACGGCGGAGGTGGGGGGTTGGGGGAACTGGCCTTGTGTTTTGGAACAGCTGCAGCCGGCGCTGGGCCCGCCTGGAATGCGGGAACAGGCTGCACACCAGGACTTTTATGGAAACTTGCTGCTGGAGACGGCGGCGGCGGCGGCGGCAGCGGCAGCCAGAGGACTCCCAGCGGCTGGAGCAGAAGTGTTAGCGGCCAGAGCTCCCAGACCCCTACCCACAGCCAGGCGGGACGCGCACAGTCCCTCCACGCGGAAAGAAGTACCTTCGCCGGTCACCGGCTCCTGCAGGGTGAGAAGAGTTGGGGGAACGTGGGCTGGGGGGAGTGGAGACGGAGGTGTCGGGTCCCCTGGTGGGGGCGGGGGCGGGAACGGCGGCTGCAGAGAGGCGCTCGGGGTCTGCGGCTTCTGGCCGTGCTCCGCTGCAGCTCCGGAGGGCGCCGGGCGCCATACAGCTGTGGTCCGCGCTGGCCCCGGCCCGGGCGAACCCTGCCTTGGAGCCGCATCCTGCGGGCTCGGCGGGGTGCCTACCAGGGGCTGCCCCAGGGTCTGAAAGTGTCGGCCGGCCTTGGGCTTCTGGTTGCAATGTCTTTGCCCTGCTCCCCTGCGCCTTGTCGGCTGAGTTTCGGGTGCGTTCCCTACTGTAGGGAGGGAGCCCTCTGTGAGCGGAGTGGGTGCCGATCCCTCGGCTGAACCCTTGGGGTCCTTAGGGAAGTTCAGTGCCGTCCCCCACCACTTGCCCCAGCCGCGGTCTCCGTCTCTGCCAGCAGTGCCAGTTAAGAAATCCTTTCTGATCGGTCTCTGTGGAAGATGGGGAGAAATATGATTTAACAGCCTATTACTCCCCCCCCACACCCCCGCATATCCCCCCACTCCTGTCTCCAACCCTTTTTTTTTTTTTTTTCGTGATTCTGCCCGAGGTGGGATGCTGGGGGTTGAGCAACTAGGGCTGGAAGTTTACGAAGTTTACGTAGTTTAAGTGAGTGAAGAATGTAGTCACCTCTTGAGAACTCCCTTTGCCTATATGCTTTTGAAAACGCCAAACCATTCCAGCTGTTTGTAAATTGTGAAACGTTCTACAAATGCATTAGCATTGGCATTTATAAAGAAAATGACGAAGTTGAGAGGTTATAGTTGGTTACTGCAGTGACTTAGAGATGCTCATTTTATAGTTATTAAAGCACAACGTGAACCAAGTTGGCAGAGAGATAACAAGGTAAAAATAGCATAAGGATATGTCCTAACAAAATGTCCTTGGTGAAGACACAGGTAGAGAAAAGAAGCCATAATAAAGAAATTAGTTCCCTGACCAAAACAACGGGAATATCATTCATCGTTAAATTTTGTTAATGAATTCATGTAGCAGCGGCCCATTGGCCTTCGAGTCACAACATAACTATGTCTTAGGTAATGTGATTAAATAAACTTAAGTATTTATACTTAAGTTCATATCTTAGTCACACGTTATTTATATCTTAGTCACACGTTATTGAGTGGACCACATAATTTCCCCCGCTAAACATTATCCTTTACAGGTTAAACTGCTGCAGTTAGAAAACTTTGTCTCAAATTCTTTTGAGTTTGGGGTATTGTTAAGAAAAAATGCATAATTAATCAAATGAGAGAAAGGTTTTTTGGGGGGAGGTATAATTTGTATAAGTAAACTTTGATTAACCAATGTAGCTGTTTAAGTTTCTTCTTCCTTACAATTAACACCGTATTTTTGCAGATATTTTATATTTTGACTAATGCTTCTGAGGAACAATTTAAAGAAAAATGCATGCAATTATGTAGTTTATCTGCAATTCCCTTAAAGAATTCTAAGCTAAAACCACAACAAAATTATTTTAAATCCAGTTTTCCTCATCATAGTTACAATGTAATCCAGTTTTAATAAAAGATTCATATTTTAAAATCCATTTTCAATTGAAATGTAATGAATAGCAATTGTTCCTGCTCACCTTAAAATGGAATTTGTGCTATTTTTGAAAATTTGACATGTAAGGCTGATCATTGTCAAAATGTATGTCATCTTGAGATGACTATATTTAGCATCAACAAAGGAATGCATTATCTAGGTTTTTGAACAGTCTTTTTCCCCTGAAATTTCACTTGAAGTATTTAGGTTAGGGTTTCATTTTTGAGCAGAATAAAAACTAAATATGCATATTTGGAAGACATTAATTGGGGATTCAGATTGCTTAGAATCTGAGCGGCCTATAATGACATACTTCATTTATTAAAAAAAATACCTGTTATCTTTGAAATACCCTAAAAGACAAAAAAAAGGGGGATTATTTAAATATGAGAGTTGTGCACACCTAAAAGAAAGAAAATAATGCAGTGAATGTGGAAAAGTATGTAACAGACAGGTAAAAGTCTAAACGTTTTTATAGAAGAGAGGACTGTTATTTTATAGTTATGTAGGCCACACACACACAGAACATCTTGGTAGTTTATAATTTGGAGAGAAAATGATTTATAACATTCTTAACAATTTCACATATTTCTGTTCTTATTTAATCAATCTGCGGTCCATATCACCTGTGTAGTTTCTTTCATGTTCTCTTTCTGGGTTTATAATTGCATAGTTACATATTATATACATTTGAAATGGCTACATTTTCCTTTATTATTTAAATATTCAGTGTATAGTTTGGCTTAATTTATAGTAGTTTACTTTCTATACTCCAGGGTGGGTGGATTTGTACCCAGAAATCCACCTTAAATTTTAGTTTAATTTGTATTATAATGTTAATACACCATGTTATATTTATGGTTAAAAATTATGGAGA
Source organism: Homo sapiens (assembly GCF_000001405.40). Lineage (NCBI taxonomy): Eukaryota > Metazoa > Chordata > Mammalia > Primates > Hominidae > Homo > Homo sapiens. Next base: position 77,891,263 of record NC_000001.11, read on the forward strand.
ATGGAAAAAGGGGCTCTTGTAATCTGACACTCTTACTGTTAGGATTTTGATGTATTTCCTTTAAGTCTTTTTCCCATGCATAGAACTCTTTCTTTTTGCATTGACATATCTCAATAAAACAACATGTGAAAGCATCCCATGCAGTGTCTGCCATCCAGTAAGTGCTCAACAGGTGATTCTTTTTCTTCCTCCTTTATTTCCTTCTTGACATCTCTTCCTTTTTACTCTTAGATTAGAAGACAAGCAGATTGGGGCTCCCTATATGAGGTTTCAAGGTTGGTGAAATTCACTTCTCACCGTCCATCCTGGGCCTCTTCCCTGTCTTTTCTTCCCCTTCACTCTTTCTGGCCAAAATAGGCCTCCCCTTTGACCCTTTCCATTTTGTCAGTGTTGTCTATTCATTTAGACTAAGGCTATGGCAGTCAAAAAGTCGACAGTCAAAAAGACACCTTTTACTTCCTGATTACCAAGTGTGGAAAAAAAGTAAAAAAAAAAAAAAAAAAAAAAATCAAAAACAAAAAAGACACTTTTGGGGCTGGGTGTGGTGGCTCATGCCTGTAATCCAAGCACTTTGGGAGGCTGAGGCGAGAGGATCCCTTGAGCCCAGGAGTTCAGGACCAGGCCTGGCAACATAGTGAGACCCACCCCCATCTCTACAAAAAATTTAAAAATTAGCCAGATGTGGTGGTGCATGCCTGTAGTCCCAACTACCTGGGAGGCCGAGGCAGGAGGATTGCTTGAGCTCAGGAGGCTGAGGCTGCAGTGCACCGTGCTTGTACCACTGCACTCCAGCCTAAGCAACAGAGTGAGGCTCTGTGTCAAAAAAAAAAAAGACACTTTTAGCCACAGACATACTTAAAAATTGGTACATTTTACATTAAAATATCGATTTACGTCCTCTCTTAAAAATTGGAAAATCTGGGCAAAATCTGGGTTCACTTTTTTAAAGAAATTATTTTTATTTCAGTAGCTTTAGGGGTACCAAGTGGTTTTTGGTTACATGGATGAATTGTAAAATGGTGAAGTCTGTCTGGGTTTTTAGTGTACCTGTCACCCAAATAGTGTACATTGTACCCAAAGGTTAACATTTTTGCACAGGAACAATATACTGGAACTAAATAGTGGCTGCCCCACAGACAGGCAGGTCACATGCTCTGCATTTGACATAGTCTCTGAGATTCCCTATTGTTTTAAACAAGTCATACACTCATTTACATTACCTGTCAATTATATTACATAACATTACCTTACATTACATTTACATTACCTGACCCTGAATACTTGAGTATGCAGTCCCCGATCTAAGTATTAGGGCAAGTATATCTGATGCATCATATGATGGAAAGTCTGCTGTACTTAGCAACAGGAACTGGGACTTTAAACATTGTAGATATATTTTGGTTAGCAAACCTCTTAAATAATGTGATCATGGGAGTGGGAGAAGAGATTAGCATTCATTGACACTAATTGTTAGTGTCGATTAGAGCTGGAAGGGACCATATATTGCTAACCAAAACAAATAAAATACTTTCCCTGGTGGGATTTTAGAAAGCATGGGGAAGATATTTCTGCTAAGGAAGTATTTCCTAGGATCTTGTAAATAATCTTTTTTTTTTTTTTTTGAGACGGAGTCTTGCTTTGTCACCCAGGCTAGAGTGCAGTGGCATGATCTTGGCTCACTGCAGCCTCTATCTCCTGGGCTCAAGTGATCCTCCTACCTCAGCCTCCTGAGTAGCTAGGACTACAGACATGCACCACCATGCCTGGCTGATTTTTTAATTTTTTGTAGAGATAGAGCCTCACTATGTTGCCTAGGCTTGTCTCAAACTCATGGTCTCAAGCAATCCTCTTGTCTCGGCCTCCCAAAGTGCTGGGATTACAGGTGTGAGCCACTATGCCTGGCCTCCTTAAAAATTCTACTCCCTGTCCATTTGAGAAGTGTTTAGGAGAGTTTTTGTGACTCCTACAGCTTGGCTATAAAGAGGAGTTTACTGTTTTTCTTTTGCCTCCCCATTCCACTGACATGTTTGGAGCCAGAGATCCAGGTCTTCCTATTCCCAGCTGTGTCCTTCAATGAAAGATCATCTTCCGCTTGCAGAGATGGTGAGGAGGCCCAGACTCCAGTGATTACCACATCAATTTGCTTGGGAACAGAACTCCTGAAGCCTCAGGTTTCTGGTTGTTCATGGTATTTAGTTTAGCATAAATTCACCCCATTTTATTTTTTATTATTTTAGTTAGTGCATCTAGATCATCAGTCTTCCTTTTGTAGATAAGAATCATGTGTCTTATTTGGGATGATTTTGGATCAGACAGTTTTCCTGTTATCTCTTTGTCATTCATTCACTAGCTCAAATACGAATAGAGCTTGTACTATGTCCTAGGTGTTGTGCGAAACACTAAAACTATAGAGAGGAATAGAGCAGTTCTTACCTTTCAGGGGCTCATAGTTTGGTGGATATACTTCGAAAAGTATCACATACTGTCATATAAGGGCAAAGTGTTATTTATACTTATTGCGGAAGGATATCAAGGCAGGTTGAAAGATTCAAAAGATTCTTGATTTTCTTTCTTTCTTTTTTTTTTTTTAGACAGAATTTTGCTCTTTTGCCCAGGCTGAAGTGGCACCATCTCGTCTTAGTGCAATCTCCACCCCCTGGGTTCAAGTGATTCTCTTGCCTCAGCCTCCCGAGTAGCTGGGATTATAGCCATTCGCCACCACGCCTGGCTAATTTGTATTTTTAGTAGAGATGGGGTTTCACCATGCTGGCCAGGCTGGTCTCGAACTCCTGACCTCGTGATCTGCCCACGTTGGCCTCCCAAAGTGCTAGGGTTACAAGCATGCGCCACCGCACCTGGCCTTTTTGTATTTTTAGTAGAGACGAGATTTCACCATGTTGGCCAGGCTGGTCTCGAACTCCTGACCTCAGGTGATCCACCTGCCTCGGCCTCCCAAAGTGCTAGGATTACAGGTGTGAGCCACTGCACCTGGCATAAGATTCTTGGTTTTCGGTGAGGAATTGTGTATTGGTAGGAGGGAAATAGATCACTACTTCGTATAGGTGAAATAGGATCTAATTTCATATTTTTGAATTGCAATGAGGTTTATGACAGGTTTTATAGTATCATTTTTACTTCATTATTATTTTTTGGACATTTTATAGTATCATTTTTATTTCATTATTATTATTTTTTGGAGACAGGGTCTCGATCTTTCACCCAGGCTAGAGTGCAGTGGCGTGATCAGGGTTCACTGCAGTCTCTATGTCCCAGCTTCAAGCAGTCCTCCCGCCTCAGCCTTCCGAGTAGCTGGGACTACATGTGTGCACCACCACACCTGGCTAATTTTTCTGTTTTTTGTAGAGATGGGGTTTTACCATGTTGCCCAGGCCTCACCCTCCTAAAGTGCTGGGATTACAGGCATGAACCAATGCACCCAGCCTATAGTATACTTTTTTTTCCTTTTTTTTAGAGATGGAGTCTTGCTCTGTAGCCCAGGCTGGAGTGCAGTGGCCTGATCCCGGCTAACTGCAACCTCCACCTCCCGGGTTCTAGCAATTCTCCTGCCTCAGCCTACCAAGTAGCTGGGACTACAGGCGCACACCACCATGCCTGGCTAATTTTTTGTATTTTAGTAGAGATGGAGTTTCACCATGTTGGCCAGGCTGGTCTCGAACTCCTTAGCTCGGGCAATCCACCTGCCTCAGCCTCCCAAAGTGCTAGGATTACAGGCGTGAGCCACCATCCATGGCCAGCCTATAGTGTAATTTTTTTTTTTTTTTTTTTTTTTTTTTTTTTTTGAGATGGAGTCTCATTCTGTTGCCTAGGCTGGAGTGCAGTGGCACAATCTCAGCTCACTGCAAACTCCGCCTCCCAGATTCACACCATTCTCCTGCCTCAGCCTCCCGAGTAGCTGGGACTACAGGCACCCGCCACCATGATTGGCTAATTTTTTTGTATTTTTAGTAGAGATGGGGTTTCGCCGTGTTAGCCAGGATGGTCTCGATCTCCTGACCTCTTGATCCGCCCGCCTTGGCCTCTGAAAGTGCTGGGATTACAGGCATGAGCCACCGCGCCCGGTCACCTATAGTGTAATTTTTAAAGTATAAGGTTGCAACCTTCATTAATTAAATGCAATAAAGTTACATTATACCTAAGTTTATGTTTCCTGTACAAGTGAAAAATGATAAAAATTTAGGCTCATATTTTATGAAGCTCAAAACAATTTTGTTGCTTGTTCCAAAGACTGTAAGAATTAGGTTTCAACATTTACTTGTAGCATATAGTTAAGTATTACGTTTAAAATCTTCTTAAAAGTTGGCTGGGCACTGTGGCTCACGCCTGTAATTCCAGCACTTTGGGGGTGCAAGGCAGGCGGATCTCTTGAGGCCAGGAGTTAGAGATCAGTCTGGTCAACATGGTGAAACCCCATCTCTGCTAAAAAATACAAAAATTAGCCGGGTGTGGTAGTGCACACCTGTAATCCCAGCTACTTAGGAGGCTGAGGCATGAGAATCACTTGAACCTGGGAGGTGGAGGTTGCAGTGAGCTGAGATAGTGCCATTGCACTCCAGCCTGGGCGACAGAGCAAGACTCCATCTCAAAAAAGAAATCTTAAAAGTTGACAGCCTGGTTGGGCACAGTGGCTCACATCTGTAATCCCAGCACTTTGGTAGGCTTAGGTGAGCAGATCACTTGAGGTCAGGAGTTGGAGACCAGCTTGGCCAACATGGTGAAACCCTGTCTGTACTAAAAAAAATTAGCCAGGTGTGGTTGCATGTGCCTGTAATCCCAGCTATTCGGGAGGCTGAGGCAGGAGAATTGCTTGAACCCAGGAGGCAAAGGTTGCAGTGAGCAGAAATGACACCACTGCTCTCCAGCTTGGGTGACACAGTGAGACTTTGTCTCAATAAATAAATAAATAAATAAATAAATAAGTTGTCGGCCAAGCACAGTGACTCAGAAACTGAGCTCATTTTCTGACTTAAACATGCCTTTTAATTTAATCTCCAGTTAATGGTAACCCTGTTCACCCATTTGCTCAAACTAGAAACCTTGGGTTCATCCTTTTTTATTTACTTGTTTGTTTGTTTATTTCTCATCCTCTGACTCTTGCTTGGGTTCATTCTTGACAATATTCCTCTCCTCACCTCTACCCCTCCAAATCAAATTGGCCAAACCTCTTGCAATTGTGCCCCACTACAGTGTAAGTTCCATCAAGAAGGCTGGGCATGGTGGCTCACACCTGTAATCCCAGCACTTTGGGAGCCCGAGGCGGGTGGAGCTCAGGAGTTCAAGGCCAGCCTGGCCAATATGGTGAAACCCCATCCCTACTAAAAATACAAAAATTAGCTGAGTGTGGTGGCAGACAGTTGTAATCCCAGCTACTCGGGAGGCTGAGGCACAGAACTGCTTGAACCTGGGAGGCAGAGGTTGCAGTGAGCTGAGATTGCACCACTGCACTCCAGCCTGGGTGACAGAGCAAGACTCTGTCTAATTAAAAAAAAAAAAATTTAGAAAAGAGAGAAGAATCAAATAGATGCAATAAAAAATGATAAAGGGGATATCACCACCGATCCCACAGAAATACAAACTACCATCAGAGAATACTACAAACACCTCTACGCAAATAAACTAGAAAATCTAGAAGAAATGGATAAATTCCTCAACACATACACCCTCCCAAGACTAAACCAGGAAGAAGTTGAATCTCTGAATAGACCAATAACAGGCTCTGAAGTTGTGGCAATAATCAATAGCTTACCAACCAAAAAAAGTCCAGGACCAGATGGATTCACAGCCGAATTCTACCGAGGTACAAAGAAGAGCTGGTACCATTCCTTCTGAAACTATTCCAATCAATAGGAAAAGAGGGACTCCTCTCTAACTCATTTTATGAGGCCAGCATCATCCTGATACCAAAGCCTGGCAGAGACACAACCAAAAAAGAGAATTTTAGACCAATATCCTTGATGAACATTGATGCAAAAATCCTCAATAAAATACTGGCAAACTGAATCCAGCAGCACATCAAAAAGCTTATCCACCATGATCAAGTGGGCTTCATCCCTGGGATGTGAGGCTGGTTCAATATACGCAAATCAATAAATGTAATCCAGCATATAAACAGAACCAAAGACAAAAACCACATGATTATTTCAATAGATGCAGAAAAGGCCTTTGACAAAATTCAACAATGCTTCATGCTAAAAACTCTCAATAAATTAGGTATTGATGGGATGTATCTCAAAATAATAAGAGCTATCTATGACAAACCCACAGCCAATATCATACTGAATGGACAAAAACTGGAAGCATTCCCTTTGAAAACTGGCACAAGACAGGGATGCCCTCTCTCACCACTCCTATTCAACATAGTGTTGGAAGTTCTGGCCAGGGCAATTAGGCAGGAGAAGGAAATAAAGGGTATTCAATTAGGAAAAGAGAAAGTCAAATTGTCCCTGTTTGCAGATGACATGATTGTATATGTAGAAAACCCCACTGTCTCAGCCCAAAATCTCCTTAAGCTGATAAGCAACTTCAGCAAAGTCTCAGGATACAAAATCAATGTGCAAAAATCACAAGCATTCTTATACACCAATAACAGACAAACAGAGAGCCAAATCATGAGTGAACTCCCATTCACAATTGCTTCAAAGAGAATAAAATACCTAGGAATCCAACTTACAAGGGAAGTGAAGGACCTCTTCAAGGAGAACTACAAACCACTGCTCAATGAAATAAAAGAGGATACAAACAAATGGAAGAACATTCCATGCTCATGCATAGGAAGAATCAATATCATGAAAATGGCCATACTGCCCAAGGTAATTTATAGATTCAATGCCATCCCCATCAAGCTACCAATGACTTTCTTCACGGAATTGGAAAAAACTACTTTAAAGTTCATATGGAACCAAAAAAGAACCCGCATCACCAAGCCAATCCTAAGCCAAAAGAACAAAGCTGGAGGCATCACGCTACCTGACTTCAAACTATACTACAAGGCTACAGTAACCAAAACAGCACGGTACTGGTACCAAAACAGAGATATAGATCAATGGAACAGGACAGAGCCCTCAGAAATAATGCCACATATCTACAACTATCTGATCTTTGACAAACCTGAGAAAAACAAGCAATGGGGAAAGGATTCCCTATTTAATAAATGGTGCTGGGAAAACTGGCTAGCCATATGTAGAAAGCTGAAACTGGATCCCTTCCTTATACCTTGTAGAAAAATTAATTCAAGATGGATTAAATACTTAAATGTTAGACCTAAAAGCATAAAAACCCTAGAAGAAAACCTAGGCAATACCATTCAGGACACAGGCATGGGCAAGGACTTCATGTCTAAAACACCAAAAGCAATGGCAACAAAAGCCAAAATTGACAAATGGAATCTAATTAAACTAAAGAGCTTCTGCACAGAAAAAGAAACTACCATCAGAGTGAATAGGCAACCTACAAAATGGGAGAAAATTTTCGCAACCTACTCATCTGACAAAGGGCTAATATCCAGAATCTACAATGAACTCAAACAAATTTACAAGAAAAAAACAACCCCATCAAAAAGTGGGCAAAGGTTATGAACAGACACTTCTCAAAAGAAGACATTTATGCAGCCAAAAAACACATGAAAAAATGCTCATCATCACTGGCCATCAGAGAAATGAAAATCAAAACCACAATGAGATACCATCTCACACCAGTTAGAATGGCGATCATTAATAAGTCAGGAAATAACAGGTGCTGGAGAGGAGGTGGAGAAATAGGAACACTTTTACACTGTTGGTGGGACTGTAAACTAGTTCAACTATTGTGGAAGTCAGTGTGGTGATTCCTCAGGGATCTAGAACTAGAAATACCATTTGACCCAGCCATCCCATTACTGGGTATATACCCAAAGGACTATAAATCATGCTGCTATAAAGACACATGCACACGTATGTTTATTGCGACACTATTCACAATAGCAAAGACTTGGAACCAACCCAAATGTCCAACAATGATAGACTGGATTAAGAAAATGTGGCACATATACACCATGGAATACTATGCAGCCATAAAAAATGATGAGTTCATGTCCTTTGTAGGGACATGGATGAAACTGGAAACCATCATTCTCAGCAAACTATCGCAAGGACAAAAAACCAAACACCGCATGTTCTCACTCATAGGTGGGAATTGAACAATGAGAACACATGGACACAGAAAGGGGAACATCACACTCCGGGGACGGTTGCGGGATGCGGGGAGAGGGGAGGGATAGCATTTGGAGATATACCTAATGCTAAATGACGAGTTAATGGGTGCAGCACACCAACATGGCACATGTATACATATGTAACAAACTTGCACATTGTGCACATTAAAACTTAAAATATAATAATAATAAAATAAAAAAATAAAAAATAAAAAAACAAAAAACAAACAAAAAAATTTAATCAAGACAGGGACTTTGACTTTTTGTTCCCTTTCATCTCCCCAAGCTTAGGATAGCGCCTGACACAAAGTAGGAGCGTAAGAAATATTTGTTAAATAAATAATGAGTCACCATGTCCTGTCAATTCCACTTCCAAAATGTCTCTTCCAGCTTTTCATTCCTAATGCTAATGTCCTAATTCAGGCCCTTATCTTCTCTTACCAAGGTCATTGTACTTGTCCTCCTTCCACTAGTCTTTCCCCATTAAACTCCATTCTCTACATTGCTATGAGTTTCTTTTTCTTTTCTTTCTAGGATACATCTTTCAGTCATGCTCGTTTGCTGGCTCTCTATTGCCTATAGTATTATTAGGTAATATCTGAACTTTTTATTAATATGGTGCACAGTATTCATTCTAGTCTGTGCCCAGCCTGTCCTTCTAGTTTTGCCATAGACTGACTGGACAATTTTATAGCTCCCCAGATTTGCAATGGGTCACCAGGCATTGGTATTTTTGTTCATTCTGGTTCTTTTTCCTGGATGCCTTTACAATCTTTTCCACTTTGTGAAATTCTACTTATCTGTCAAGGTCTAACTCAAATGTCATTGTCTCCGTGAAACCTTCTTTAACCCAGCCTCTTCCTTAACCATACCATAGTCTTTTCCATGTTTCTATAGCCTGGTTATAATACTGGTATTATAGCATTTACTACATCATATAATAATTAGTACATCTATTTCTGTCACCAAAGCTATTTGATTCACAAGGGCTAGCTCTTATTTGTTTCGTATCCCATTGCCAGGCATACTTTTTGGCATACAGCAGATTCTCCTTTTCACAAAAATAATGTATTGTAAATACAGACCTCATCTGTCAAATTTGAAAAAATGCAGCTTTTTTGATAAATTGTGTATGGGTTATACTAATATTGCAATATTACCTCTGAAACCTGCGGTGGATACATATTCGTCTTCATTTAACATGAATGCTTAATGTGTTAGAATGCCATTACTAAATCTCTTTATCATCCCAGCCTTCTCTATTATGACCAAACTCTTAGAACCACCTGTTCCATCTTATCTTTTGATCACTGGTTTCTTTCTAATCGTATTCTTGATAACGATTCAATTGACTTGCCTGGGATTTTAGATACATAGGTGTAATGGAGCTGAATTGTTGGGTTGCTGCTGCCCCTTTAAGGTGGCCAAGGACATTGCATCTGCCTACTCAAACAAGAAAAATCACTTAACGCTAGAAGAAGAAAAGCCTGTTAAGATTCCAGATACAAAGTCTCTTGGCATTCAGGTCACTGAGTATAGGAATTAAGTTGTTAAGCCAATCTCCATTTAGCATTCTAAAATACATTTCTAGAATGAGAACTTGATATGACTCAATTAGGATGTTTTTCCTGTAACTCAGCAAATCTCAAAATGTGGTCTTAGAACCCCTGGGAGTCCTCAGTACCATTTAGGGGTCCATAAAGTCCTTCCTTTTCCAACTACATATTAGTATAAGGTCATATTTTCTTAGAGACTTCAATCAAAACAACATCACCGTAGTTTGAATGCAGAAGCAGATATGAGAATGTATTTTTCCTCTATTAAGCCAGATACCAGAGATTAGCAAAAATGTAAAATTATTTTCCTCTTCTTACTAATTATTTTTATGTTTATAAATAATGGTTTGTTATTGTTACTTTAAATGACTTTATAAGTACATATTAGAATATTTTGTTTTAATTTCTAATATATTAAAGACCTATTGTTATTATCCATATAAACAAAACCTCTATTATAACCAAACTCTTAGAACCACATGTTCAACCTTATCTTTTGGTCACTGTTTTCTCTCTCATCTTATTCTTCATAAGAATTCAATGGACTTGCCGGGGATCTTAGATACTTACAAGGTGCAATGGAGCCGAATTGTTGTGTTGTGGCTGCCCCTTTAAGGTGGCCAAGAACCACCTTAGGATCCTCAATAATGGGCCCAGACTTTAGGTCCTGAGCCCCAAAAGTTTGAGACCCACTTTATAATACATAGCCTTTCTTTTTGTGGGGGGATTTTCTTTAACATCACAGATCTTATTATTTTATTTAGAGATGGTGTCTCACTATGTTGCCCAAACCAGATTCAAACTCCTGGGATCAAACGATCTTTCTACCTCAGTCCTCGCTAACTAAGCTGGGACTACAGGAATGCACCCAGCTAAAGCTAATTTTTATGTGTGTTTACACACTTTCAGATGTTACCTAAATAAAGCCTTTTCTAATCTAAAAATGTAAGCCTTATTATATTTTTGATAGTTATATTTTATCTCATCTAGACCATAAACTCCATAACAGATATTTTATCCTATTCGTTATTATTTATGTAGTAGCCTATATACTGTACCTAGCACATTATAGAAAAATGTTCAATAAATGTTTCTTGAAAAAACATCAATGTTCACTAATTTATCTTTTTCTGTTTATTCTTAGTTCTGTCATACTCATCACTCTAAATTTATAAAGCATATGAAAATCACCTAGTTTATGGTACACAATAGGTATTCAATTTGTTATTTTCTCCTCCTTTATTTGGTTTAGAGGTTTCAGAACTTTCCTTTAACGTACTGCAGTTTTAAAAAAATCCTTAAATTTTATTTGTACATGTAACTTTTCATTACTTTATTAATGACTTCATCAAATGAAAGTTTACCAATTTTCTTTGAGTGGTTAAAGTTTTCCCAAAAGAGAATAAAAGGCAAGAATTATAGGTTTTGATTCTGTTCATATTCTGAGAGGATAGGAGGATGTACTACATAGAGCCTAGGATATGGTGAGTACAGGTAGAATATTATTTAAAACATCTATAAAGATGTGTTATGCTGAAATAGGTGTTGCACAAAATAAATGAAACAGACTTTGTATTGCCTAATACAGTGGAAAAAGCTGATAATTGTTGAAGCTTGATATGGGTGTATGGGGGTTCATTGTATTAGTCTCTTTCAGTTTGTATGCCTGAAATTTTCCATAATAAAAAAGTAAACAAAAAAGATAGATTAGACTGATATGTCTGAGATGTTTACCAATATAAAAATGTTTAAAGTTTATGCCAGATACACCTAGAAATCTAAGCATATTTAGAGGTCTCAGAGACTGAAGGAGAAAAAACAACCATGTTTAAGATGAAGTGGAGAAAAATCACCATTTCCATTATAATTAGTTTGGGAAAATACCTCCTTGGTAAAGAAGTGACTTAAGAAAGGTCTTGGAGGTAGAAAAAGGCTACTAAATAGATTTGTCTAGCTGGAAGGTTGAAAAAATGGAGAGAAGACAAAGGAAACTGAAGAGTCTGAGGGTCTGCAGAAGGCCTGTCAAGCCCAGGTGAGAATTTTAGTTCTGATCCATGATGCACTACACAGTTAACATCCTCAGAGTTAGAGTGATACACTAGAGCACAGAGAGGTAGAGATGGCAGTAGTTGAGTAGAGAACCTAGTGGGCCTGGTTGAGGGCAGAAAGAATGGTGGGCTGTTATCCTATCATAAGAAATGAAAAAAAAAAAAGAGAGAAATCAGAACAATCATGGCTAGAAGTTCTTCTGGAACTTTTAAAACCTATTTTTTTTACCAATAATGTATACTTAAATTATTATTCTATTCTAATACAATATGTATCAGTTAAGAGTTCTGAAGAAACTACATTAAAGTAGCTGCCCTATAGCAACTGAAGTTAACTATGTCATTACACTTGGATTCCGGCACCTATTGAAAAGATTGAATAATTTGAAAATGTTTATCAGGATTCCGAAGAAAAGAAAACCAGTAAAGTGAATACTTTGAATTTTATAGCTTCTCATTTTGTAAGTTTATTAATGAAAATTATAGTGATACATATGAAGACTAAATAGAAATAATTTCTGGCAAGCATAATTATATGAAATTGAAGGAGCAGCTGGGGCCTTTTGCTAAATAAAGCAGCAAAATTAAGTTTATAGACTGGTAACTGAAATGTTGACTATTAATATATATAAGCACGAAACTGGGAAGACTGACAAGCCATGGGCAATATGATGAAACCCTGTTTCTACAAAAAATACAGAAATTAGCTGTGTGTGATGGTGTGTGCCTGTAGTTTCAGCTACTCAGGAGGCTGAGGTGGGAGGATTGCTTGAGCCCAGGAGGTCGAAGCTACTGTGAGCTGTGATTGCACCACTTCTCTCCAGCCTGGGCGACAGAGTGAGATCCTGTCAAGAAAGAAAGGAAGTGGGAGGAGATGATAAAATAAGTCAAAGATTAAATTGATATTTGAAATTTTTAGTTTTTATTTTTATTTTTTTGTGACAGAGTCTTACTCTGTCACCCAAGCTGGAATGCAGTGGTGCAATCCTGGCTCACTGCGACCTCTGCCTCCCAGGTTCAAGGGATTCTCCTGCCTCAGCCTTCCTAGTAGCTGACATAACAGGTATCTGGCACCACACCCAGCTAATTTTTGTATTTTTAGTAGGGATGGTGTTTCACCATGTTGGCCAGGCTGGTCTCAAACTCCTGACCTCAAGTGATCCGCCCGCCTTAGCCTCCCAAAATGCTGGGATTACAGGCATGAGCCACTGTTCCTGGTGATATTTGGAATTTTTTAAAAAACCACCTTATTAACATATGATTGACATACCAAAAGCTGTATATATTTAATGTATGATATTTGGCATTTGAGAATATGTTTCTAAAAGACTAATAATCTGCTATAAATGTTCAACAGAAGACTTCTTTAAAATATAGTATAGACAGTTTGTTAAGAGAATGAAAAGTTGAATCAAAGGAACAGAGGATCTTTCAAACTTGCTAGTTTTTGCGTGAATATTGAAAAGCTTTATGTGATAGCTTTTGGGGGTTATTTTAAATTATAATTTAATTGAACAAGATACTGGAAAGCAACTGATCCCCTGCAATCTGGGAAGGGAGCGTAGAGTCTACCATGCGTACAGAGGAAAATCAGGGAGTAAGAGAAGTGCAAAATATGGACTGAGAATGGAAATCATTGATCTTAGTCATCTAACTGGAAGTTGGGGAATAGTGTATACTGCCTTTCAATTCTATAGTAGGCATGGTTGATGTTAGAACCTTACCTGTGTTTGCAAATAGCAAATCAGGCTGGACCACTTAAAAATCCGGTTCCAAGGCTTTTGTTGAGAGTTGTTGCAAAGAGACTGTTAATAGCATGAGAATAGAGACCATGTCTGTGTGTTCAGTGTTATATTTCTCAGTGCCCAGTAGAGTGCCTGGCATAGTAGATGCTTAATAAATACTTATGGGCCAGGCATGGTGGCTCACGCCTTTAATCCTAACACTTTGGGAGGCCAAGGTGGGCGGATCACGAGGTCAAGAGATAGAGACCATCCTTGCCAACATGGTGAAACCCTGTCTCTACTAAAAATACAAAAATTAGCTGGGTGTGGTGGTGCGTGCTTGTAGTCCTAGCTACTCAGGATGCTGAGGCAGGAGAATCGCTTGAACCCGGGAGGCAGAGGTTGCAGTGAGCAGAGATTGCGCCATTGCCCAGCCTGGGCAGTGGAGTGAGACTCCGTCTCAAAAAAAAAAATTAATATAAGTGGCATGTTGTATTTATACAATATCCCTGCATAATGATAATCATAATGATAGTCATGCCTTATATCCAGATAATCTTTATCTGTTCATAAAGTGATTCACCTTGAAGCTGGCAAGATTTACTTGTTCAGGGCTGGGCATGGTGGCTCATGCTTGTAATCCCAGCACTTTGGGAGGCTAAGGTGGGAGGATCACTTGGGCCCAGAAGTTAAAGACTAGCCTGGGCAACATAGTGAGACCCTGTCTCGACAAAAAAATTCAAAACTTAGCTGGGTATGGTGGTGCAAGCCTGTAGTACCACTCAGGACGCTGAGGCAGGAGGTGCTATGGATATAATGGTGTACAAAACACAGTCACTACTCTCAAAGACCTCACCTTCTGGTCGAGGAGGTTTTCAGGAAGGTGGGTCATTACTGTACATTGTGGTCAGTGCTACAATTAGGGTAACCATGGGATGCTGTGTAAGCAAACAGGAGAAGCACTTAACCTAGTCTTGTGGAATCAAGGAAGGCTTCCTGGAGAAAGTGACAATTCAAGAATTAAAGGATGAGTAGGAGTTAGCTGAGTGATAAGGGAATGAGAATAGCATAAAGCTGAGGGAGCCAGCTCTGCAAAGGCTTGAGTTGTGCCAGTATTACAGTATGGGTGATAGAGTGGGAGGGAGGGGTAAAAAGAGATGAGGCTACAGAAGTAATTTAATCTACTAAAGTGTATTAAATCACAGAAGAAAAAGTGGACAATGAGAAGAAAAGGGCAAAGATTGAAAGCTGGGGGCAAACAACATCTAAGAGGTAGAGAGAGGTATAGAAGCCCTCAAAGGACATAGAGAAGGAATGCTCAGAGACATGAAAAAACAGAGGGAGAATAGTGTTATGAAACCAAGCAAGGAGGATTTCAGGAAGAAAGGAGTGACTGAGAGTATCAAGTGTAGCAGTGAAGTTCAGAAAAAGGGAACTGTTCATTTTATTTGGCAATATAATGAGAAAAGCATTATTAGGCCCATTTTACATATAAAACTGAAGTTCACAGAAGTTAACTGGCTCATCCAAAATCACATATCTAATAATTAACCTAAACAGAAACTCTAATCCAAGTTTTCTGGCTCTAACTCCAGTGCTTCTTCCACCGTCAATGTTTTCTTAATGTGCATGAAAAAACCAACAGTTAACTATATAATTATCATTAGGATATAATTAAATACAAAGGTTATTAAGCGCAAAAAGTTCTAGTAGAATATTTTGGGAGATTTCAAATTATTTTTGTATTAATATTAAAATTTAAAATATATGTGGGTTTGGAATTTTTATGAGGGGGTTTATGAAAAGTTATGATAACATTGAGCCTGTATATGTCATTTGTTCTAAAGTTGTTTTTTGTTTGTTTGGTTTCTGTTTTGAGACAGGGTCTTGCTCTGTTGCCCAGGGTGTAGTGCAGTGGTTCAATCATAGCTCACTGCAGCCTTGAACTTATGGGCTCAAGTGATCCTCTTGCCTCAGCCTCCCAAGTAGCTGGGACTACAGGGACATGCCACCACACCCAGATTAATTTTTTTTTAAATTGTAGAGATGGGGTCTTGCTATGTTGCCCAGGCTGGTCCCCAACTCCTGCCTCAAGTGATTCCCCTGCCTCAACTCAGCCTGGATAACAAGTGTGAGCCATAACACCTGGCCGGGAAATGATTTGGAGAGAAGGTTTGATAATAGTATTTACCTTGAAGTGTTGTTGTAGGAAATAAATGACAATGCTTGTTAACTACTTGGCACATTACCAGGCACACGGTAAAGACTTAACAAATGTTAACTTGGATTATCTTCATCATTAATTTTATT
Source organism: Homo sapiens (assembly GCF_000001405.40). NCBI lineage: Eukaryota > Metazoa > Chordata > Mammalia > Primates > Hominidae > Homo > Homo sapiens. Next base: position 77,907,107 of record NC_000001.11, read on the forward strand.
CATGTTTTGTGACTAAAGGATGTATTAGTGAAATAGTGGGTTTAGATAGGATAATACAGTTAATGACTAGGGAACAGAGTTTTCCTGTGAAGTTAATAGGCCAAACAGAGTCAAATTCACACCTTTATCCTTGTGTTAACACAGATAGGTAAATGAGTTAGCAACTGAAATGCACTGTTGTTTCTACCAAGGCAGTGTCATACTTCCCTTTTAATTAACAATAAAGGAATCTTATATGTATTTACAGTGTCTACGTAATTATGAAGTTTTTTCTCCAACATAAAAATATTTAAGAGATGTGAGTTCTATTGGTTTGTAATTTGCACCTTAAGTGCAATTCCATAACACAAAAAGGTCATGAACTTATTTTGCTACAACTTTTTATCCTCAAAAGGCAGAACAGAGCAAACTTTGAGTAAAGGATCACTTGCTTATATTTTAACCAAAAAAGTTAAGGCTAGTGCTGTTCAAATTTTCACTGAGTTTTAAAATGAGAGCTCAGAATACTAAAATGACATTTTAAAAAACGATTTTAAGTGGTTTTATTCATAGTAAATTTTTAAAATCAATTTTATTTTATTCTAAATCTATAATTAAGTCAAGATATAATTTGAGGATTTTTTACAAATTAAATGAAGAGGTCTAGCTGATTCATTTATTTTCTAGGACTATTCTTGACAGATTAATTATTCACTGTCAGTAAGCCACCCAATTTTCTTTCATTTCACACACACACAAAAAAAGCCTTTTGAAGTCCCTTCTGGCCAATTAATTGACCTAAAATTATCAGTTCTTATGATCCCATGATTCCAAGTTTTCCTCATACCCTTTAGTATTACTCTAAAAAAACTGCATGAGAGGCTCGGGCATGGTTACTCATGCCTGTAATCCCAGCACTTTGGGAAGCTGAGGTGGGAGGATCACTTGAGGCCAGGAGTTCGAGACCAGCCTGGGCAACAGAGTGAGACCCCTGTCTCTATTTTTTTTTAAAGACAGTCTCATGCTTTGTTGCCCAGCCTGAAGTGCAGTAGCATGATCACAGCTCACTGCAACCTTGAACTCCTGGGCTCAAGCGATCTTCCTGCTTCAGTGTCCCAAATAGCTGGGACTACAAGCATGTGCTATGACACTTGCAAATTTTTAAATTTTCAGTAGAGATGAGTCTCGCTATGTTGCCCAAGCTGGTCTCAAACTCTGGGCTCAAGCGATTCTCCCACCTCAGCCTCCCAAAGTGTTGGGATTACAGGTGTGAGCCACTGCACCCACCCCCACCCCTCCCCTACCTCTATTTTTTTTTTTTTTTTTTTTTTTGAGACAGAGTTTTGCTCTTGTTGCCCAGGCTGGAGTGCAATGGTGCGATCTCAGCTTACAGCAACCTCTGCCTCCCGGGTTCAAGCAATTCTCCTGCCTCAGCCTCCCGAGTAGCTGGGATTACAGGCATGTGCCACCACTCCTGGCTAATTTTGTATTTTTAGTAGAGATGGGCTTTCTTCATGTTGGTCAGGCTGGTCTCGAACACCTGAACTCAGGTGATCTGCCCGCCTCAACCTCCCAAAGTGCTGGGATTACAGGCATGAGCCACCACAATTGTGTAAGTAATACATTATATATGCTCACTGGCAGGGAAAGATAGGTTTTTTCCTAAATAGAGTAAATTCTAGTAGGGGAGATGAATAGTAATAAAATTAATCAAAGTTATTGATATCTACTAATGTTAGTTATTATTCCAGGGTTCTTCATATAATGCTCTCAGCTAATCCTAACTAAGCAGTTAACAGATTTGAAATTTGGATTTAGGTCTGATTACCAAATTTTGGTAATCTAAATGTGAGGTGATTGAAGGTCTGTATTAGTATGGAGGCCGTGGAAATATGAAGTAATATGTAAGAGAAGTTTGAAAGCAACATTCATAAATCTTGACAATCTATTAAAATCTAGGAGATATAGAAGAATGAATCAAAAATAACTGCAAGGTTTGAGAAGCCATGAGAATGAAGGGTAGGTTTTGTTGGTTATATAAGAAGAAATATCAGGCCAGGCATGGTGGCTCATGCCTGTAATCCCAAAACTTTGGGAGGCGAAGGCGGGTGGATCACTTGAAGTCAGGAGTTCAAGACCAGCCTAATCAACATGGTGAAACCCTGTCTCTACTAAAAATACAAAATTAGCTGGGCGTAGTGGGGCATGCCTGTAATCCCAGCTACTTGGGAGGCTGAGGCAGAAGAATCGCTTGAACCCGGGAGACAGAAGTTGCAATGAGCCAAGATCACACCATTGCACTCCAGCCTGGGCAACAAGGGCAAAACTTCATCTCAATAAATAAATAAATAAATAAATTAATAAAATATCTAACAGGTAACTTTAGATATGATATAATGGCTCAAGTAAGACAACAGGACTAGTGCTATTTATTATTTTTATCTCAGGCACATAAAATTAGGTTACTCATAAACCTTAGTTCATGACACACTCATGTATAGATGGATTCCTTTAATTTACTCCTTTATTTTTAATAATGTCATAAGCACCGACAGACCCACTAAACAAGAAAAGTTAGGATCTTATTAATAATTACAGGGAATCATGTCCCATCCTCTCCCCCATTATATTGTCTCCTTCCCATAAAGAAAACTTCAGTCCCACATGGCTTCACTGGGGAGTTCTTGCAAATATTTAGGGAAAAAATAATACTAAATCCTACATGAACTCTTCCAGAAAACTAAAGAAATAATTCCCAACTCATTCTATAAAGACAATATTACTCTGTTAATAAAAGCGGACATCACAAGAAAAGATAACTTACACAACCAATAATTTATCATAAATACAGATACAAAACTTAACAAAATTTTATCAAATTGATTCCAGCAATATATTAAGAGGATAATGCATTATAACCAATTGGGAATTATCCTAGGAATGTTAAGGTTGATTTAACACTTGAAAATCAGTTAATGTAACTCACAATATTAATAAATTAAAAATGAAAGCCATATGATTATCTCAATAGACACAGAAAAAGCATTAGATAAAATCCAACATCTGTTACTGATAATTACTCCAGTAAACTTAGTCTGATAAACGGCATCTAAGAAAAGCCTACAGCTAACATCTTACTTAACAGTGAAAGACTGGACATATTTCTCCTAAGATCAGGAACAAGACAAAGATATCTGCTCTTACCACTTCTATCTAACATTGTACTGGAGGTTCTAGCTAGTACAGTAAAGCCAGAAAAAGAAATGAAAGGCATCCAGACTGGAAAGGAAAAAGTAGAACTGTGCTCACCGATGATGTGATCATCTATGTATGTAGAAAATCTGATGGAATCTATGAAAAAGCCAATAGAACTAATAAGTTATTAGGCTGGGCTCGGTGGCTAACGCCTGTAATCCCAGCATTTTGGGAGGCCAAGGCAGGCGGATCACGAGGTCAGGACTTCGAGATCAGCCTGGCCAACATAGTGAAACCCTGTCTCTACTAAAAATACAAAAATTAGCTGGGTGTCGTCGGTCGCGCCTGTAGTCCCAGCTACTCGGGAGGCTGAGGCAGTAGAATCACTTGAACCCGAGAGGTGGAGGTTGCAGTGAGCTGAGACTGTGCCATTGCACTCCAGCCTGGGTGACAGAGTGAGACTGTCTCAAAAAAAAAAAAAAAAAAAAAAACTAATAAGTTATTTTAGCAGGGTTGCAAGATATAAAACCAGAATACAAAAACTGTATTTTTTAATTTTAATTTTTTTTCTTTTAGAAATAGGGACTCACTCTGTCACCCAGGCTGGAGTATGGTGATATGATCATAGCTTACAGTAACTTTGAGTTCCTGGGCTCAAGAGATCCTCCTGCCTCTGTTTCCCAAGTGGCCAAAACTACAGACACACACCACCAGGCCTGGCTAATTTTTAAATTTTTTGTAGAGATGGGGTCTACTATGTTGCCCAGGTTGTTCTTGAACTCCTGGCCTCAAGCAACCCCCCTGCCTCAGCCTTCCAAAGTGTTGGTTTGGATTAAAGGAATGAGATACAGCGCCTGGCCCCAAAATTATACTTCTGTATGCAGGTTGAATATCCCTAATCTGAAAATCTAAAATCCAAATGCTCCAAAATCTGAAACCTTTGGAGTACTGACATGACGTCACAAGTGGAAAATTCCACACTTGGCCTCATGTGACAGATCAGTCAAAACATAGTCAAAACTTTGCTTTGGCCGGGCAAAATGGCTCACGCCTGTAATCCCAACACTTTCAGAGGCCAAGACAGGTGGATTACCTGAGGTCAGGAGTTCGAGACCAGCCTGGCCAACATGGTGAAACCCTGTCTCTACTAAAAATACAAAAATTAGCCAGGCATAGTGGCGGACACCTGTAATCCCAGCTACTTGGGAGGCTGAGGCAGGAGAATCGCTTGAACCCAGGAGGTGGAGGTTGCAGTGAGCCGAGATTGCACCATTGCACTCCAGCCTGGGCGACAAGAGCAAGACTCCATCTCAAAAACAAAACAAAACAACTTTGCTTCATGCAAAAGTTATTTAAAATATTCTATAAAACTACCTTCAGGCTATATGTATAAGGTGTATATGGAACATAAATGAATTTCATGTTTAGACTTGGGTCCTATCCCCAAGATAGCCTGTTTTATATATATATATATATATATACACATATATTCCAAAATCCAAAAAAGATCTGAAATCTGAGGCCAGGCACGGTGGCTCATGCTTGTAATCCCAGCACTTTGGGAGGCTGAGGCAGGCGGATCACAAGGCAGGAGTTGAGACCAGCCTGACCAACATGGTGAAACCCCGTCTCTACTAAAAATACAAAAATTAGCTGGATGTGGTGGCACGCACCTGTAGTCCCAGCTACTCAGGAGGCTGAGGCAGGAGAATTGCTTGAACCCGGGAGGCAGAGGTTGCAGTGAGCCGAGATTGCACCATTGCACTCCAGTCTGGGCGACAGAGTGAGACTCTGTCTCAAAAAAAAAAAAAAAAATCTGAAATCTGAAACATTTCTAGTCCCAAGCATTTCAGATAAGGGATACTCAACATGTACTAGCAACAATCATTAATTTAAATCTAAAAAACAACACCATTTACAGTAGTATAAACAACTATGAAATTATTTAGGGATAACTGACAAAAGATGTGGAAGATCTGCACATTGAAAACTACAAAACATTTCTGAGAAATTATAGAATATGTATATAATGGGGGGGACATACTGTGTTCATGGATCAGAAGACTTAACATTATTAAGATATTAATTCTCCCTAGATCCATCTACAGATTCAATGCAATCCCAATCAAAATCCCAGCATATTATTTTGTGGATATTGACAAACTGATTCTAAAGTTTATATGAAAAGGGAAAAGACTTGGAATAGCCAACACAGTGTTGAAGGAGAAGAACAAAGCTGGAGGACTAACACTACTCAACTTTAAGACATACTATAAACCTACAGTAATTGATACAGTGCAGTGTTGGTGAAATAATAAACAAAAAGATCAATGAAACCGAATAGAGAGCCCAGAAATAGATCCACGTAAATATAATCAACTGATCTTTGACAAAGGAGCAAAGGCAATAAAATAGAGAAAAGATTATTTTCAACAAATGGTGCTGGAACAACTGGACATCCACTTGCAAAAAACTGAATCTAGAAATAGACCTTACATTCTTCACAAAAATTAACTCAAAATGAATCACAGACTTACAGCATAGAACTATAAAACTCCTAGAAGAAAACATAGACAGAAATCTAGATGACCTCAGATTTGGAGTTCACTTTTTAGCTATGATACCAAAGTCACAATTCATGAAAGAAAGAATTGATAAGCTGGACTTCATTAAAATTAAAAAATTCTGTTCTGCAAAAGACACTGTGAAAAGAATTAAAAAATAAGCCATAGACTTGGAGAAAATATTTGCAAGTGACATATCAGATAAAGGACTGTTATCCAAAATACACAAAGAACTCTTACAACTCTGTAATAAGAATACAAACAACCCAATTAAAAAATGGACCAAAGGGCTGGGGACAGTGGCTCACGCCTGCAATCCCAGCACTTTGGGAGGCCGAGGTGGGCGGATCACCTGAGGTCAGGAGTTTGAGACCAGCCTGACCAATATAGCGAAACCCCATCTCTACTACAAATACAAAAATTAGCCGGGTGTGGTGGCAGGTGCCTGTAGTCCCAGCTGCTCGGGAGGCTGAGACAGGAGAATTGCTTGAACCCGGGAGGCGGAGGTTGCAGTGAGCCGAGATCATGCCACTGCTCTCTAGCCTGGGTGACAGTGCAAGACTCCATCTCAAAAAAAAAAAAATGGACCAAACAAAGATCTTAGGAGACATCTCACTGAAGAAGATACAGATGGCAAATAAACATATGAAAAGGTGCTTTAATATATTATTTAATATAATTCTAATTTAATATTTATTCATTTAATATATATTCAAGGAAATGCAAATAAAAATGACAATGAAATACCACTCCACATCTATTAGAATGGCCAAAATTCAGAACACTGACAACATCAAATGCAGGTGAGGATATGGAGCAATATGAACTCTCATTCATTGCTGGTGGGAATGCAAAGTGGTAAGCTACATGGTGGTTTCTTATAATACTAAATATGCTCTTACCATATAATCCAGTAATCATGGTCCACAAGAACCTGCATACAGATATTTATGTCAACTTTATTCATAAACACCAAAACTTGGAAACAACCAAGATGTCATTTGGTAGGTGAATGGATAAACTGTGGTACATGCAGGTAATAGAATATTATTCAGTGCTAAAAAGAAATGAGCTATCAAGCCATGAAAAACATAGAGGAAACTGAAATGCACATAACTATGTGAAAAAAGTCAATATGAAAAGGCTACATACTGTGTGGTTCCAACTGTATGACATTCTGGAAAAGTCAAAACTATGAAGACAGTAAAAAGATCATGGTTACCAGGAATTATGGGGGAGAAAAGCATAAGTAAGTGGAGTAAAGAGGACTTTTAGGTCAGTGAAACTGCTCTGTGCAATACTGTAATGATGGACACATGTCATTGTACATTTACCCAAAACCCACAGAATGTACAACTCAGGAGTAAACCCTAATGTAAACTATGGACTCTGGGTGATAATGATGTGTCAGTATAGGTTCATCATTTATAACAAATGTACCACTCCAATAGGTGGTAATAATGGGGTTATCCAGTGTTGATAATGGGGGTGACTAAGCATGTGCAGGGACAGAACATATACAGGAAATCTCTATCTTCTACTCAATTTTGCTGTGAACCTAAAATAAACTCTATTAAAAAAAAAGTTGGCTAGAAAATTCCAAAAGAAAAAAACAAAACAAGATAAAACAAACCTAAAATAAATATTTAAATGATAGGCCTAAACTCATTGATATTAATAATTACATTAAATGTTAATGAACTAAATGCTGCAATTAAAAAAACAGATTTTAGGCCTGGCACGGTGGCTCACGCCTGTAATCCCAGCACTTTGGGAGGCCTAGGTGGGTGGATCACAAGGTCAGGAGTTCGAGACCAGCCTAGCCAACATGGTGAAACCCCATCTCTACTAAAAATACAAAAATTAGCTGGGTGTGGTGGTGGGAGCCTGTAATCCCAGCTACTCAGGAGGCTGAGGCAGGAGAATCGCTTGAAACTGGAAGGCGGAGGTTGCAGTGAGCCGAGATCATGCCACTGCACTCCAGCCTGGGCAACAAGAGCGAAACTACGTCTCAAAAAAAAAAAAAAAGAAAACCCAGATTTTATCAGAATTGATTTTTGTAAAAAGCAAGGTCCAAACATATGCTGTGTCCAAGACATATGCTTTACATATAAAAACATAGATAGAGTGAAAGTAAATAGCTAGAAAATTATATACCATGCAAACTGTAAACCTAAGAAAGTTGGGGGCCAGATGCAGTGGCTCACGGATGCAATCCTAGCACTTCTGGAGGCCAAGGTGGGAGAGTTGCTTGAGCCCAGGGTTTCAAAACCAGTCTAAACAACACAGTGAGACCCCATTTCTATAGAGAAAAAAAAAAGAGCTGGGCATAGTGCTGCATGCCTGTAGTCCCAGCTACTTGGGAGGCTGAGGAAGGAGGATCGCTTGAGCCCAGGAGTTCAAGGGTACAGTGAACTGTCATTGTGCCACTGTACTTCAGCCTGGGTGACACAGCGAGATGCTGTCTCTAAAAAATAAATGTATAAATAAAAAGAAAGCTGGTGGCCGGGCATGGTGGCTCATGCCTGTAATCCCAGCACTTTGGGAGGCCGAGGCAGGCGGATCACGAGGTCAGGAGATTGAGACCATCCTGGCTAACACGGTGAAACCCCGTCTCTACTAAAAATACAAAAAATTAGCCGGACGTGGCGGCACACGCCTGTAGTCCCAGCTACTCGGGAGGCTGAAGTGGGAGAATGGTGTGAACCCGGGAGGCAGAGCTTGCAGTGAGCGAGATGGCGCCACTGCACTCCAGCCTGGGCGACAGAGTGAGATTTCATCTCAAAACAAAAACAAAAACAAAACAAAACAAAACAAGCAAACAAAAAACTACATAGTTGAAGATTGATAGAAATAGCCAAAAATTAGTAAAAATACAGATCTAAAACATGATCAACTACCTTCAGCTAGTTAATATTTATAGAGTAATACACTCAGTAATTGCTGAATACACATTCTTTTCAAGTGAACTTAGTATGTTCATCAAGCTATTCTGGATCAAAAACTTTCAGGGATCTTTTACCATCATGCACCTTATGTTTTCTATACCATGAATCTTGGGAAAAAGAGCTAAAGGTTATCACAATTTATTACTTGCTTGAATCATGTCAGTATTTTTTGAGGGGCAATTAACTGCTATTTCTATTTATAAAAATACATAATATATTACAAATAAATTAAAATTTATTATACAATATAAATTTTTTTCAGGTGCAAATATATACAGAGCTTCATAATCAGCCCAAGACCACATAGAGCAAACATGAATGATATTTCCCAAAAGGCTGAGGTAAGTCTCAAAAGTAAAAATAAAAATAAAAGAGGGAAATGTAGAGTTGACTGTAGAATTGCTGAAAGGACAGTCATTTGGTGGAAAGGTCATATTTAGGAGTTCATAATTAATAACATAATGGCAAGATGTAAAACAAGAAGAGATACAATTCACCAGCTGGTCTTGGGCTAGTATTTTCATTTGGGTTCTAGGAAATTCTACAAAGCATGAGTAGTAAATTTGTGAATGATAGTGAAGTGGATGTGATAGCTAGCATTCTGAGTAGAATTTTAAATATTTTGTTCTTGATAACTCTTAGAAATTATTATTTTAGTATTAAAACAAAGTTTGACCTATACTCATAGGAGAAAACATAATTCCCTCTTAGGTAAGGAACCTTTTTAGTGCCTTATATATATATTTTAATTTTTAGCTTTCTTCTGGTTCTTGACTGTAGATACTGAGAGTTGTAAGAAGAGCTCAGTTGCTGACACCTCAGAATTATAAAGTTAACCCTTAAATGGCCAATGACACATAATAGATTATAAAATACAAGTTGGATGTGCCACAAATTAATTAAGTAATTGTCATTATCACTAGGAAAAAGGATTTGGTGTTCTGAGGCACACATTTTATTTACTGAAATTTCATTTAGAAATCAGCTTAATTTTCAAAGTGGTGAAAATAATTTGCTCTTCTGGTTTTAGAGTGGAGGAAAATCATTTCTTCAGTCTTCTACCAGATTCCCATTCTTTGTGAAGCTGTTGCCATATGGAATTCCTCTTACAGCCCGCCCCCATATAGAATGATATAGCCTTCTTACACATTTTTAATGTGGCTTAAAGAAGTTATAGATGGGAAGTAATAGTAACAACATAAATCACAGCTTGTGCACACAGACCACGGTGTACCTCAGCCACAAATAAGGACTAAAGGACTGGCCTTTGGTTTTGCTTATATTGGATATAGAAACCAGGAAGGGGGTAAAATGTGAATTAGGCTCAAACTTTAAAGCCTAAACTTTTGCTTTGTTTTCAACTTCACCAAATTTACTGAAATTAGTTTGGGTACTTTTTTAGCAAGTGATATCAAATCTGAATCTTTAATAATGGAGTTAGACAATAAAAGACAGTTGTTTTTAATTAGAATTCAGAATTTGATTTTTATATTTTACTGGCTTTCAGCTTCAGTGGAATGCTACCCACAAAATGAGATTTCATTACTATATAACAGTGAAATTTCTACTCTCATATTTTCTGTAATGTCATTTTTCATAGTTAGGTTTTAGAAAGTATCTAATCAGGTTGTGATGGTCAAATAAAGGGTTCAAACACATTTCTATTTTCTGTTTCAATAAATATTTTTTATATTGCTTATTCTTATCTATCTTTACCTAATTTCTTCCTATCTTTTTCGTTAACTTTCTTTTTTTTATTTTCTTCTAATGAAGATTCTGCTTTCTTCATCTAAACCTGTCCCAAAAACCTATGTACCAAAACTTGGCAAGGGTGATGTAAAGGATAAGTTTGAAGCCATGCAGAGAGCCAGGGAAGAAAGAAATCAAAGGAGATCTAGAGACGAAAAACAAAGAAGAAAAGAACAATATATTAGAGAGAGAGAATGGAACAGGAGAAAGCAGGAGGTTATTTTATTTTACTTTATTCTCGTGAAAATATTTGTTTGCATTTTTTCATTTAAATTGTATTTATTCACATTAACCACATTTCACATTAACTATAACTAAAATACTTTTCTGTATTTGTAACCTAATTTAAACTCTGCATATAATGTGATTTAGTCTAATTTTTGGACATGTGCTCACATTAATTTATTTAACCATCTAGATTAAAGAAATGCTTGCTTCTGATGATGAGGAAGATGTATCTTCTAAAGTAGAAAAGGCTTATGTTCCAAAATTAACAGGTAAGAAGCTTGAGGGGTAAATAGTAAATTAAATTGCAAAATAGAAACATAACCAAGTATCAAACTTTTTTTTCATATATTTTTAGGAACTGTGAAGGGTAGATTTGCTGAAATGGAGAAACAAAGACAAGAGGAACAAAGGAAGAGAACGGAGGAGGAACGAAAACGCAGAATTGAGCAGGATATGTTAGAAAAGAGGAAAATACAGCGTGAATTAGCAAAAAGGGCTGAACAGGTATCACTGAAGATTAAGTTCGTATTTGTTTCTGAAACTAACTGTGCAAAGTAAAACTAATCAGTATGTTGCCTAATTAAAATATTTTAATGTAACATAAACCTATTAAAAAGCAGCTAACCGTCTGGGAATGGTGGCTCACCTCTGTAATCTCAGCACTTTGGGAGGCCAAGCTGGGTGGATCGCTTCGACATCAGCCCGGGCAACATGGCAAAATCCTGTCTCTACAAAAAAATACAAAAATTAGCTGGGCATGGTGGCAAGTGCCTGTAGTCCCAGCTATTCAGAAGGCTGAGGTAGGAGGTTCGCTTGAGCCTGAAAGGTGGAAGTTGCAGTGAGCCAAGATCATGCCACTGGACTCCAGCCTGGGTGACAGGGCAAGACCTATCTCAAAGAAAAAAAAAAAAAAAAAAGGCAGCTAACCTGAAAAGATCTGCAGGAAAAATATTTAACATCAGATGCCTAGAAGGACATGGGCAGAATATGCCTATTTTAAGGTAGAATAGTGAGATGATTTGTATCATATACAATCTTACCGCTCTATCCACATTCCTCACCCCGTCTACATTCCTTATTTTTCTTTACAAGTTAGAGAATTTTACAAAGATGTAAGGCAATTTCACATATAAACTATCCATGAGTACCTAACAAAGTGCTGGTCTTCTAATAACAATACTTTTAAATGCTGGTATATTAGTCTGTTTTCATGCTGCTGATAAAGACATACACAAGACTGGGAAAGAAAAGAGGTTTAATTGGACTTACAGTTCCACTTGGCTGAGGAGTCCTCAGAATCATGGCGGGAGGTGAAAGGTACTTCTTACGTAGCGGTGGCAAGAGAAAATGAGGAAGATGCAAAAGCGGAAACCTCTGATAAAACCATCAGATCTCATGAGACTTATTCACTACCATGAGAACAGGATGGGGGAAACCACCCCCATCCCCATGATTCAAATTATCTCCCACCAGGTCCCTCCCACAACACGTGGGAATTATGGGAGTACAATTCAAGATGAGATTTGGGTGGGGACACAGAGCCAAACCATATCAGCTGGTCTTTTAAGGCATACATTAAGTGCTTTCAGTCTTTTTGCTATGCTGCCTTCAGTTTCCATTACCTTTCTGAAAAGAAAAGTGACGATGAAAGCAAAGCATATGCTATACTTGCATACTAAAGAAATGTATTTACCCTGGATTTGCAAAGTGGGGTACAGGTATTGGGTAAATACAGCAGTTCCAAATGGGAGAAATCATCCAAAACAAAGGGGTTACATGGCCCATGCAAGTCTGAAATCCAGCAGGTCAGTCATTTTTTTTTTTTTTTTTTGAGACGGAGTTTTGCTCTTGTCGCCCAGGCTGGAGTGCAATGGCGCAGTCCTGGCTCGGTGCAATCTTGGCTCACTGCAACCTCCACCACCCAGGTTGAAGCGATTCTCCTGTCTCAACCTCCTGAGTAGCAGGGATTACAGGTGCCTGCCACCACGTCTGGCTAATTTTTGTATTTTTAGTGGAGACGGGGTTTCGCCATGTTGGCCAGGTTGGTCTTGAATTCCTGACCTCAGGTGATCTACCTGCCTTGGCATCCCAAAGTGCTGGGATTACAGGCGTGAGTCACCGCACTGGCCTCTTTTTTTTTTTTTAATTGAGACGGAGTCTCGCTCTGTCACCCAGGCTGGAGTGCAGTGGCAAAATCTCGGCTCACTGCAACCTCTGCCTCCCGGATTCAAGCGATTATCCTGCTTCAGTCTCCCGAGTAGCTAGGACTAAGGCACATGCCACCACTCCCAGCTAATTTTTTTGTATTTTTAGTAGAGATAGGGTTTCACCATGTTGGCCAGGCTGGTCTTGAACTTCTGATCTCAGATGATCTGCCCACCTCGGCCTCCCAAAATGATTACAGGCATGAGCCACCGCACCCGGCCTAGTAATTTTATCTTGTAAATATGTAAAGTTTAATTTTCAAATCTAATTAAGTACATTTTCCACTGTACTCCAATATAATTTAATGTATCTTTGAATATAAGGAGTAAAGTATGGCATAGGTAGTCAAGAAGAGTTTTAATGTTTGCTTGTAAAATTTATTTGTATAAATCCATATGCAAGAATGCCATAAAGGATTCCTGAGTCAGAGGGTAGCTGAATGACTTGGTGACCTACAAGATTTGGAGATTCTAGGATCTTATAATGAATTAAAAATGAGAGCTGGACATGGTGACTCATGCCTGTAATCCCAGCTCTTTGGGAGGCTGAGGCAGGAGGACTGCTTGAGCCCAGGAGTTTCAGGATGCAGTGAGCTATGATAATTTCACTGCACTTCCAGCCAGCAACAGAGAGACCCTGTCTCTTAAAAAAAAAAAAAAAAAAAAAAATGGTGGGGGGTGGGTGGGGATTAATAGTAGATACAGTGGATGTTAGAATCAATTTGGGGAAGAAACTTGATTTGATATTATCTGTTTATCTTTGAGGATACCCTGATGAGCAAAGTTAAAGTCCATCAGCTTAGAAAAAAGAGGAGTTACTGGTGAGGGAAGAGAAGGAGATGTTGAAAAGAAAAGGGAGAGAAGGAAGTTGATTTGGGAAGAAGCAAAAGGAGTTTCATTTTTTATAAAGCAAAAGAAATAGGAAGTAGCTCTTCAATATTGTCTTCTGAAAGTCAACACTATACCTGAACTTCTGAATATCTGGTCTCTGTGAATATACTGACACCATGGCTACTTAGACAGATTTATCTTTTTCCTAGTTTGTTGGAAAAAAAGTATTCTCCAATGTTTTCTTGTTTTGGTAATGGTTTAAAGTGAGCAAAGAAGAAAGCAAAAAAAATCTTCAAACATACTTTATTATTTTACCATAAGCTAATAAAGAACTGGAAGCAGGCTGGGTAACAACATAGTGAGACCTCAGCTCTTAAAAACAGACAGACAAACAACTTAGCCAGGAGGTGGTGGTGGGTGCCTATAGTCCCAGCTACTTGGGAGGCTAAAGTGGGAGGATTGCTTGAACCCAGGAGGTTCATGATCAGGCCACTGCACCAAAACAAACAAACGAACAAACAAAAAACCTGGGTTTGGGAAGGTTGTAGCAGCAGCAATAAAAGAAAGTTGAGTTAATAAATTTAGTATTTCTCTTTTCTATATTCTCAATGTCTGGCTTCTCACCGTATCTCCTGGATCTTTTTATTTTTTATTTTTTAAGACAGAGTCTTGCTCTGTTGCCCAGGCTGGAGTGCAGTGGTGCAATCACAGCTCATTGCAGCCTCAACCTTCTGGGCTCAAGCAATCCTCCTACCTCAGCCTCCTAAGTAGCTGGGACTACAGATGCATGCCACCATGCTTGGCTAATTTTTTAAAAATTTTTGGCCAGGTGTGGTGGCTCACACCTGTAATACCAGCACTTTGGGAGACCGAGGCAGGTGGACTGCTTGAGCTCAGGAGCTCAAGGCCAGCCTGGGCAATACACTAAAACCCTGTCACTACAAAAATTAAAAAAAATTAGCTGAGCATGGTGGCGCATGTCTGCAGTCCCAGCTACTTGGGAGGCTGCGGTGGGAGGATGATCGCCTCAGCTCAGGAGGCAAAGGTTGCAGTGAGCCAAGATTGCACCACTGTACTCAAGCCTGGGCAACACAGCAAGACCCTGCTGTCTCTACAAAAAAATCTACCAAAAAAGTCTTTTTTTGTAGAGATGGGGTCTCACTTTGTTGCCCAGGCTCGTCTCAAAATCCGGGGCTCAAGAGATCCTCCCACCTCGGCCTCCCAAAGTTGGGGGAATACAGGCATGAACCACCATGTCCAGCCTCCTGGACCTTTTTATTGAGAGATTAACATGATTTATACAGGAGTTGTGAGTATTCTTTTAAAAAGAGAAGTCTTTTTTTTTTTTTTTTTGAGATGGAGTCTCGCTCTGTCACCCAGGCTGGAGTGCAGTGGCACGATTTCAGCTCACTGCAAGCTCCACCTCCCAGGTTCATGCCATTCTCCTGCCTCAGCCTCCCAAGTAGCTGGGACTACAGGCGCCCGCCACCATGCCTGGCTAATTTTTGTAGAGAGGAGGTTTCACTGTGTTAGCCAGGATGGTCTCAATCTCCTGACCTCATGATCCGCCTGCCTCGGCCTCCCAAAGTGCTAGGATTACAGGCGTGAGCCACCGCGCCTGGCCTAAAAAGAGAAGTCTTTTGTAATTATTTTATTATAGATCCATTAAAGATTTTTAGTATAATATATAATTCAACAAAGCCTTCACCATTTACCTAGCATGTCAGTGTTAACAAGTAATTCTATAACAAAGCAAATTATTCTAAATAAAATATTTTACAGTATACAAAATTATTCTTTTTTTTTTTTTTGAGACGGAGTCTCGCTCTGTTGCCCAGGCTGGAGTGCAGTGGCACGATCTCAGCTCACTGCAAGCTGCGCCTCCTGGGTTCATGCCATTCTCCTGCCTCAGCCTCCCGTAGCTGGGATTACAGGCACCTGCCACCACGCCCGGCTAATTTTTTGTATTTTTAGCAGAGGCGGGGTTTCACCATGTTAGCCAGGACAGTCTCGATCTCCTGATCTCGTGATCCGCCCGCCTCGGCCTCCCAAAGTGCTGGGATTACAGGCGTGAGCCACAGCGCCTGGCCACAAAATTATTCTTAATAAAACTATGAAAATAAACTATTAAAGTATAAAATAGATTTATTTTTAACAAACTTTGCTCAGAATAATTTATTTTTCAAGAAATTGGGTGTCTTTTTTTTTTTTTTTTTTTTTTGAGACAGGGTCTTGCTCTGTCTCCCAGGCACGCTCATGGCTCACTGCAACCTCCACCTCCCAGGCTCAAGTGATCCTCCCACCTCAGCCTCCATAGTAGCTGGGACTACAGGTGTGTGCCACGACACCCAGCTAATTTTTTTTTTTTTTTTTTTGTAGAGAGAGGGTCTCGCCATGTTGCCCAGGTTGGTCTTGAACTCCTGGGCTCAATCGGCCTGCCTCAGCCTCCCAAAATGCTGTGTTTACAGGCATGAGCCACCATGCCTGGCCAGGTATCTTAATAAAATGTATTATTTCTTTCTTGAGAGAAAATATAGAAAAGTGTGATGATGAGAGAACAGGGACTTAGCCTAGTTCCTAGTATGAAGCAGGGTACAACAAAATTCCCTTACACTGCATGAGGAGTTAATGAACTCTTTAACCACTCTTTCATTGGTTTTAAAAGTCAAATTAAAACAATAAACAATCTGAATTCTTACTTTTTTAACGGTTCCATTTTCCCATTGCTTTTGTTTTCTTTTCCTGAGATCTTAAACACTGCATTATTTAAACCACCTATCTTCTCTCAATTATGTTTGCTAAGAAGAGTACATTAGTCTTCCTCTAAAGCTAAACTAACGGTATTTCTTATGAGTAATGGGTAAATTGAGCTCTCTTTTTTTTTTTTTTTTTTTTGAGAGGGACTCTTGCTCTGTCAGGCTGGAGTGCAGTGGTGTGATCTCAGCTCAATGCAACCTCTGCCTCCCGGGTTCACACGATTCTCCTGCACCAGCCTCCCGAGTAGCTGGGACTACAGGCGTGTGCCACCACACCCAGCTAATTTTTCTATTTTTAGTAGAGACGGGGTTTCACCATGTTGGGCAGGATGGTCTTGATCTCTTGACCTCGTGATCCGCCCGCCTCAGCCTCTCAAAGTGCTGGGATTATAGGCGTGAGCCATTGTGCCTGGCCAAGCTCTCACTTTTTAAATGAGGAGCTTTCCTACTTAGACCTCGTCAAAATATAGAGAAAACATGACTATCAGAATTATTTTCCCTTCTAAACTATTCTATCCCAGCTGGGCATGGTGGCTCACGCCTGTAATCCCAGCACTTTGGGAGGCCAAGACACGCAGATCACTTGGGGTCAGGAGTTGGAGACCAGCCTGGCCAACATGGTGAAACCCCATCTCTACTAAAAATACAGAAATTAGCCAGGCGTGATGGTGCACACCTGTAGTACCAGCTACTCAGGAGGCTGAGGCAGGAGAATTGCTTGAACCCAGCATGCAGAAGTTGCAGTGACCTGAGACTACGACACTACACTCCAGCCTGGGTGACAGCACGAGACTCCATCTCAAAAAAAAAAATAAACTAGCCTACATCTTTCACTGCACTGTTATTGTATCAGTTTTATTTTTGCCCTATATTTATGTTGTAAAATATAATCATGACAAGTATTAGATTGCTAATGGATAGGTTTTCCTTTGATGGGGCAGTGACAAAGAATGGAGAAGTGTTTCTATGTGTCTTGGTTTAAATTGCTAATTAAATTAATAATTGCTGCTTGTAAGCTCAATAGCCTGGTCATAAGAGTTTGGTCTGTTATTCAGTTTCTGGGTTACAGAGGGTAGGCTTTATCTTAATTTTTTCTGTTTTTTTTTCTTTTTTTCTTGAAACAGGGTCTCACTCTGTCACTCACACTGGAGTGCAGTGGCATGAACATGGCTCACTGCAGCCTGAACCTCCTGGGCTCAAGTGATCCTCCTGCCTCAGCCTCCAGAGTAGCTGGGACCACAGGTGCGTGCCACCATGCCCAGCTAACTTTTGTACTTTTTGTAGAGAAGGGATCTCGCCATGTTGCCCAAGCTGGTCTTGAACTCCTGGGCTCAAATGATCTGTCCACCTTGGCTTCCCAAAGTGCTGGGATTACAGGCATGAGCCACCTCGTCCAGCCTGATTGTTTTCTTAATATGTTGTTTTCTGGATATTGATATTGATATCAATATGCAACAATAAATATAAAGGATATATTTGGCTAATTTGGAACAACATAAACATATTTCAAAAATTATAAATTTGAAAATTTACTATAAGTCACAACTAAATTACTTTCCAGTTGTTGTTTAAAAGCAAAAAGTAGAAATCTGATGTAATGTAATGATATGAAATTCTCATTCAATAGATTGAGGACATAAACAATACGGGAACTGAATCAGCATCAGAGGTAAACAGACATTTCCTTTAATGAAACATTCACCTAAAATTATCTGATTCACAAATTATCTTTTAGTATAAGAAAAAACTAAAAGAGCTTTTATTATTTTTATTATAAATGTAGAAATAACAAAAAAGTATGTTTTGCAAAGCAAGAGCATACTTTTGCACTTTCAAACACTATAGCTTAGTGTTTTTAAAGAAAAGTATGTTTTGCTTTCATAGTCAGGTTAGAAAGACAAGCCTTATTAGTCTCAGTTTGAGATACTCTGCCAAGACAACGTATTTTTTGAACTGTTACTAACAGCTGAGATTGTTGAACGCTAACATTTATAAAAAGGCAATTTTATTTTCATCATTTGTCTTCTTTCCTCAGAGTTCCTGAGAGTTTATGTTTTGGTTTTTATATAATAGTACAGAGTGCAGTATCTGTTACCAAGAAGAAATGTTCAACAACCACAAAAATTTTAGTCATCCCTTTTATCTAACAGAATAAGTTAAAAATCTTTCAATTTGATGGTGTGCCCAAAACTACAGCCCATAAATTGGGAGCAATTTTATCTCAGGGCCATGTGTTTCATTTCACCACTCTTCTTAGTTTTTAAAAAAGTCAGAGGCAACAACAGATTATATAATTAAAATGAATTAAATAATAATTTTAAAATATTTTAATACAATCAAATACCAGAGAGTTTATCTATAATATATATAAATGTTTAATAAATCACTTGGAAATACTGTGTTTTTTTCTCACTAAATACTGGTTTCATTAAGTATTTAAAAGCTTGCATAGAGAGAAAAATCATATGAGGAAACTTTTTTTTGTTTAAACTGAATCTATCCACCATCAAATTGATTTAGAGTATATTCACATGCACATTTTGTGGATTAGTGCACAAATAGCTTAATTCAGGCAATGTCACTGCAGTTTCGTTATCCAAACAGCTGTATTAACTCCATCTTCTAGGAAATAGAATGCTTCTTGAACCTCGTCAGCAATGGATTTCAGCAAGATTAACTCATAATGCACAAAGAATTTAGAGTAGGAGATATTTAATAATAATCTGTAAAAAAATGTTCTTCATAATAACATTGATGACAGTGTAATGAAATTCACCTATGATGGAGGTAAAGTCCCATGAAACCCAATTTTGATTAAGAAGAAATAGGCTAATTATCTATTTTATAAAATAGGAAGGAGATGATTCACTACTTATAACTGTGGTACCTGTCAAATCATATAAAACATCTGGAAAAATGAAAAAGAATTTTGAGGATCTAGAAAAAGAACGTGAAGAGAAAGAAAGGATCAAGTACGAGGAAGATAAAAGAATAAGATATGAAGAACAACGACCATCTCTCAAGGAAGCAAAGTGTCTTTCATTAGTTATGGTAAATTTTTGTTTGTTTGTTTTCTAAGAAACAAATCAAGGCAGTTTAAGTTAGCAGCATTTTCCTTTATGACTAAAAGGTGGGTTTTCATAACGTTTTCTTAGGATGATGAAATAGAAAGTGAAGCAAAAAAAGAATCACTTTCTCCCGGAAAATTGAAACTAACTTTTGAAGAACTGGAGCGACAAAGACAAGAAAACCGAAAGAAGCAAGCTGAAGAGGAAGCAAGAAAACGTTTAGAAGAAGAGAAGCGTGCTTTTGAAGAAGCAAGGCGGCAAATGGTAAATCTACATATTTAAACCTTACAATTAATATTAATGAAGTTAGCCGACTTAAGATAAGGTTTACTACTACAAATTCAAAGAGATTTTACATATAGAAGGGCTGATTTTCTAATTGTATTCATATTTCATATATAAAATACATCTAGGCTAGGCACGGTGGCTCATGCTGTAATCCCAGCACTTTGGGAGGCCAAGGTGGGTAGATCACCTGAGGTCAGGAGTTTGAAACCAGCCTGGCCAACACTGTGAAATCCCTGTAATCCCAGCTGCTTGGGAGGCTAAGGCACGAGAATCACTTGAACTTAGGCGATGGAGGTTGCAGTGAGCTGAGATCACGCCATTGCACTCCAGCCTGGGTAACAGAATGAGACTGTCTCAAAAAAAAAAATCCATACTGTTTTCCAGTTTTCACTCTGGGGCATTTTACCCAATATGCTTTAAATTTTTATTTTTATACATTGTTATTAATGTATAAATATGCAAAATAATTACTCAATGAACCTGGTTTCCTTCATCTGTTAGTTCAATCTGCAAAGTACTTAATGACATGGGTGCGGGACTGATTATAAGTGTAAACTTGTCCTCAGCAGTCCAGTTTTTCAACTGTTTGAACATATCAAAATAACAGTTTACGGTGGAATATGCAGTTTGTCCTATTAAGTGTATGTGTGTGCATATTTGTGTGCATGCCTCTGTGTGTGTGTGTCTGTGTGTGTGTGTGTGTGTGTGTGTGTGTGTAGTGTGGTTAAGAGCATGGATTGTGGGGCCAGATTGTCTAGATTCAGATATCAGCCATTTACTAACTGTGTAACCATGGACAACTGTTTTAATCTCTCGCTGTGTTAATTAATTAAATCTCTCTTAGTTTCTTCATTTTTAAAATGGTAAAAATGAAAGCGCCTACTTCTTTTTTTTTTTAACTTCCACAATGACTTGGATTTTTTTTCAATGCCTATTTCTTAAATGGTTAAACAAGTTAATATCTAGGAAGCACTTAAAATGGTGTTTGTTACATATACTAAGTTCTTTGAAAATGTTAATTATTACTATGGTATTAATAGATTTATCAACAGAAAGTAAAACTGAAATAAGAAAACACTGATTCCAAACCTCGTTTTAAGATTTAAAAATGCGCCAGGCATGGTGGCCATGCCTGTAATCTCAGCACTTTGGAAGGCTGAGGCAGGCAGATCCCTTGAGCCCAGGAGTTTGAGACCAGCCTGAGCAACATGTGGAAACCATGTCTCTACAAAAACAAATACAAAAATTAGCCAGGTGTGGTGGCACAGACCTGTAGTCCAAGCTCCCCGGGTGCTGAGGCGAGAGGATTGCTTGAGCCCGGGAAATCAAGGCTACGGCGAACTATGAATGAGCCACTGGACTCCAGCCTGGGTGACAGAGTGAGACCCTGTCTCAAAAAAAAAAAAAAAGGATCTAAAAATGGAATATTTGTAATTTTAAAGTTACAGAACTTTCTTGATCAGCTTTCTTGAATGATGTTCTAAGAATTATATATATAAAAATTTAATTTTCTAGACATTTATTTGAAAATGTTATTACTCGGGTATAGCTGCATAATATCTGCACATTTTAGATATTTCTGGTGGTCAACTTAATAAAGAAATAGTATTGTTAAATAAATAATACATTTCAATTGATATTATAGTAAATTTAATAATAAACCTTTAATGATAAAATCATAAAGCTGGAATTTTACATAAAATAGTTCTAGATAATAATCTTTTATCTGATTAGTATAAGGTACCATAGTTCACAGTAAAAAAAAAAATACAAAAATTACAAAATGAGAACATTATTTTACTACCAAAGAGATTCTGTGTAGATATACTTGAACCCCAATTATAGTACACACATACGCATTTTATATTTGTTCTGGGAAAGTTAATACTCAACAGTAACCCCTCACTGCAGCCTCAACCTACTGGGCTCAAGGGATCCTCCCACCTCAGCTTCTCGAGTAGCTGGGACTACAGGCACACACCACCACACTGGCTATAATGTGTTTTTTGGTTTTTAGTAGAGACGAAGTCTTGCTATGTTGCCCAGGCTGGTCTTGAACTCCTGGGTTCAAGTGATCCTCCTGCCTCCTAAAGTTCTGGAATTACAGGCGTGAGCCGCCACAACACCTGGCTAAAAATGTTTTAATATTCAATTTTATCTATAGAAATTTGGCTTATTTGAGAAGTTTTATTTAACCTGAGTACATCTTTATATGGAATTTCTCCAAATTTGAATATTTTATCATAGAAGACATTAAAAAGGAAGGGGATTTAGGTCAAGTATATTAAGGGCATTGAAACTCCTGTGTGATAGTGGCTAATTCTGTGCCTTTTGATTAATAATTCATTCCTTTTTCTGATGAACCTCAATTCTTAGTAATGAATTGTTTATTTGGTTAGGTAAATGAAGATGAGGAAAACCAAGACACAGCAAAAATTTTTAAAGGGTACCGCCCTGGTAAACTCAAACTCAGTTTTGAAGAAATGGAAAGGCAAAGAAGAGAAGATGAAAAAAGGAAAGCAGAAGAAGAAGCCAGAAGGAGAATAGAGGAAGAAAAGAAGGCGTTTGCTGAAGCAAGGAGAAATATGGTAAGACAGAAGCTAACTGGAGAATGCTATTAGAATTCACCTTTGAGAATATGTTAATAGAATCATTAGACTTTAGAGAATACCCTATTATTTCTGGAAACTGTGCCAAGAGTAGAAATGGCAAATATGTTTTAAAGTCTCCCATGGAATAACACCAGTTGGTTGAAGGTATTTGCTTCAATTTAGTGTTCAGAAGATTCTGCTTTAAATTGCCATGCTTGGCACAAAGGATGGAATATTATCTCCCTTCTCTGGGAAGGCATGTTTTCCAGAACTAAGTATCCAAGGAAGAAGAAGAAGTAGGGAGTTTCCTCCCTCAACTTTTCTTTCTTCCTCTCCATTCTTTCGCCACCTCCTTCCCATACTCCCTTTCTCCCTCCTTCATTCCTTTATTTCCTTCCTTTCCTTCTTTCAGTTTTCATCCCACCTACTATATATTAAATGACCTGAGTCATTTAATCAGAATTATTTCTCTCTTCAAAATGCTCACTCATCACTCCTGGAAATTGATACCTAACTTAACTGTCACAAGGTTATGACTGTACTTCCTATACCAGTTTTATGTTTGTACAATGTACAGTTATCTGACAAACAATTTTGAAGCAATTTGAGACTAGAGCACTGCATCTCCTTCTTGAAACACTGTAATTAGCTTTGGTGATATCGTAACCTGGTTTTCTTCCTCTGTATGGGTGAGCATCACACACATATGTCCAAGTGTTTATTTGGCTTTATTGCCCACACAGATACTCAAATCAGAAACGTGGAAGCCTGAAACACTTCCATCTTCTTATTCATGCCTGATGTCCAACCAGTCACTAAGTCTCGTTTATTCTACCTCCTAAATCACTATGAAATCTGTCAGTTTTCCCCCCATTTTCACCGCCACTACTATAATCCAAGTTACTGTTACAACTTGCCTGGGGCCAACTCCTCATTAACTTGCTTTCTTACCTGTAACCTATTCTTTCCTGTAAGGCCAGGAGTGATCTTTAAAAAGAAAGAAATTTTGATTGTGTTTTGTTACTGTTTTGCTTAATATTTCCCCACTTTTCTTAAGCAAAAATCCAAAAACTTCTAAAACAAATTTCTTTATAGTCTTGCTCTTGTATATTGCTCTCGTTTCATTTCTTGATTCTTCCTGAATCTGCTCTTTGTTCCAAATATGCTGAATTTGTTTGTATTTCTTCAAAGTGAGACTCAGCCTTCACACTGTCTGAAAGATGTCCCTCACTCCTTTCCCTATGCTCTGCTAACTCCAATTCATAACTTTCCATTTCCTCTGGAAAGCCTTTCCTGATAATAAACACCTTCCATGAATTCTTACAGCATTTAGTACTCTTCTATCATAGCGCTAATCCTGTATTGTTACCACTTATGGCTGTCTTTTCCACTCCATGAGGCCAAGACTGTTCATCAAACATGTGGCACAATGCTTAGCGTAGCAGACCTCCAATAAATGTTGATGGAACAAGTGATATTGAAATCTTACGTGCAGTAGGTAATCCCTGATTCATAAATGGTTTCTACATAGAAGTCCTACAGACGTTGTGAATGCACTTAATTTTTGGAGAATAAGCAGGTTTAGAAGCGGTAGAAGAAGCCGGGCGCGGTGGCTCACGCCTGTAATCCCAGCACTTTGGGAGGCCGAGGCGGGCGGATCACGAGGTCAGGAGATCGAGACCATCCTGGCTAACATGTTGAAACCCCGTCTCTACTAAAAATACAAAAAAAAAAAAAAAAAAAAAAAAAAAAAAAAATTAGCCGGGCGTGTTGGCGGGCACCTGTAGTCCCAGCTACTCAGAGGCTGAGGCAGGAGAATCGCATGAACCTGGGAGGCGGAGCTTGCAGTGAGCCAAGATCTCGCCACTGCACTCCAGCCTGGGGGACAGAGTGAGACTCCGTCTCAAAAAAAAAAAAAAAAAAAAAAAAAAAAAGAAGCGGTAGAAGAGAAGTAACTGTGAAGATTACTAGACCTAGTCCTTGGGGCAGATTTGTAGGCCAATACTGCCTTTTTACCATGATTCACTAGCGGAAAAAATGCAGGCGAGAAAACTGCATTAAAACAAAACCAAGTTTCCTAAAGACATTTCTAAAGAGAAGAGAGAAAACCTTCCTCTTACATTTATATTGTTTTCTTATCCACAAATAAGTATTGTAATTTATCCAGGAATAAGTATTGTAATTTCATACCATAGCTTAGTTCATGCATATGTAAAATTTAAAAATTTCAGGCAATCTTTGAATTGTAAACCACTTAAACATTGTTTCTGAGTTGAAATAGTTCTGTGGTAAAGCCTGGATTACCTTGATAAAACTTGGAGCAAATGAATAATACCCCTTGCCTCTCTCATTCCCCTGTGTGTATTTCAACCACAGAGTCACAGTTCAGGCCAGAGGGTTATGTTATACCGCGCCCGGCCTATAATCTTTTGTTTTTTTTGAGATGGAGTCTCGCTGTCACCCAGGCTGGAGTACAATGGTGCAATCTCGGCTCACTGCAACTTCCACCTCCTGGGTTCACGTGATTCTCCTGCCTCAGCCTCCCCAGTAGCTGGGATTACAGGCGCCCACCACCACACCTGGCTAATTTTTGTATTTTTAGTAGAGACGGGGTTTCACCATGTTAGTCAGGCTGGTCTCGAACTCCTGACCTCATGATCCACCTGCCTTGGCCTCCCAAAGTGCTGGGATTACAGGCATGAGCCACTGTGCCCGGCCTATAATCTTATTAGAAATATTTTGAAGTTTGAATCCCAGCTTTGCCACATAGTATTTGTGTTGACTTTAGACAATTACTTTTCAGTGCCTCAGTTTCTTTCTCTGTAAAATGAGGATATTAGTAACTACTTCATAGGGTCATAGGATTAAATAAATTAATACATTTTACATGTATTAATACACTTTACGTGCTTATAACTGCACTTGGCAGCTCCAAGTATTAACTATTATTATTTCTTTAAAATTAGCCAGACAGCAAATAAACAATAAACTCATAGCACTAAGAATGATTTTTGCCTGATTATGAAGAGATCATGATGGGTTATCTAATTCATTCAGACAAAATCATGATTAACTTAAATGCTTTAATTACCAACCTGGGGAGTCGTTTCAATCCAATTAAAAAATGTTCTCAAATTAGGAAATCTTAATGTCTAATTTAAAGTACTCATGGTATGAATAAATTATTTCTTTGTCTTCACTGTAATGGAGAATAGATGGTTACCATTTCCTTCATAACCACAAAATACCTCGGTCTTACATTTTCTAATAATTCTTCCCTTTTATTTATTTATTTTTGAACACTGTGTTGAGACTTCCTTGTTTACTGTTAAGTCCCCTTGTTTTTTGTTCAATGTGAAACCTATTTAAGAAATCTGGCCGGGTGCGTGGCTCACGCCTGTAATCCCAGCACTTTGGGAGGCCAAGGCAGACGGATCACCTGTCGGGAGTTCGAGACCAGCCTGACCAACATGGAGAAACCCCGTCTCTACTAAAAATACAAAATTAGCCGGGCGTGGTGGCGCATGCCTGTAATCCCAGCTACTTGGGAGGCTGAGGCAGGAGAATCGCTTGAATCTGGGAGGCAGAGGTTGTAGTGAGCTGAGATCACATCATTGCACTCCAGCCTGGGCAATAAGAGTGAAACTCCATCTCAAAAAACAAAAACAAAAACTAAAAACAAACAAAAAAAAGAAATCCCAGTTTCTTCAAGAAATAGTCCCTTTTTAGTATGTGTAATTCTGGCCAGAGTGATAAAATAATTATTTTAAATAGGTAGTAGATGATGACTCCCCAGAGATGTATAAGACAATCTCTCAAGAATTTCTTACACCGGGAAAACTGGAAATTAATTTTGAAGAATTATTAAAACAAAAAATGGAAGAAGAAAAACGACGAACAGAGGAGGAACGGAAGCATAAGCTAGAAATGGAGAAACAAGAATTTGAACAACTGAGACAGGAAATGGGAGAGGTAAGATTTTAAGAAATATCTATATTCCCCATATTTATTAAGCTAAATATTTTACTTATATCACCTTATAATAACTTTGTATTATTATTCACCTTTAGGATAGTTGACATAGTATTATGAGGTGCTTACATGGTACAGGCGTCTGCACAATTATGTGTACTTTCTAGTCTGCTTTAACTACTCCTTCCTTGCTAGTTTAATAAAAAAGTATCTAGGTTTGCAAGTGACTGAGCTATTACTATTTATTTATATTTGTAGTTCATAAATATGCATATATTCAATACATATATTATATATAGACTATACAGTGCCAGCTTCATGGGCATGCACCTTGTGCACTCACAAGACGCCATGTTCAGAAGGCCTTGCATTTGGGGTTTAATGCTGAGGTTACTGTCTTCAAATCCTTTTTGTGGTGTGAACATGGCTCACTGCAGCCTCAACCTCCCATGCTCAAGTGATCCTCATGTCTCAGCCTTCTGTGTAGCTGAGACTTGGGGTGCACGCAGCACCATGTCTGGCTAATTTTTAATTTTTTTTTTTTTTTTGAGATGGAGTCTTGCTCTGTTGCCCAGGCTGGAGTGCAATGGCACAATCTTGGTTCATTGCAACCTCCACCTCCCAGGTTCAAGCAATTCTCCTGCCTCAGCCTCCCGAGTAACTGGGATTACAGGCATGTGCCACGATGCCCGGCTAATTTTTGTATTTTTGGTAGAGATGGGGTTTCACCATGTCGGCCAGGCTGATCTCGAACTCCTGACTTCAGGTGATCCGCCCACCTCGGCCTCCCAAAGTGCTGGTTATTACAGGCATGAGCCACCGCACCCGGCCTTTTTGTTTTCTTTTCTAAAGATGGGGTGATCGCACTTTATTGCCCAGGCTGGTCTCAAACTTCTGGCAAGCGATCCTCTGACCTGAGCCTTCCACAGTTCTGGGATTACAGGCATTAGCCATCATGCCCAGCCACTGTCTTGAAATTCTTAATTTTACCTTTGAATTTGTGTGTTGTATGTAAGTGAAAACTGATTGGACGATGAAGCATGCCCTATATAGGAGCTTTTGCTCACTAAAGCTTTACGCTGTCTTTCCTGCCTCCCTGGAATGGGTTTTCATCAGCCCCCTTTCCCAGGGCCCTGCCTAACCTTCTTCCCTCTTCGGACTCTGCTGCCATCCCTCTGGGTGGCCCAGGTTGCGTGGGCAGCAGAAGAGAAAGGTAGAATGGGGGCGTGTATTCGCCATCAGCCTTGGCCCCTGCCAGGGGCCAGGCCACACACATGAACAGGGTCAGGGTCTAAGATGTAGCCTCATGACTTGGACTGGCAATGCTATGGCATGTTTGGCAGGCAACTTGGAGGGGTCCTCTCACCAATTTATAACCTAGGAACCAGAAATACTTAATTATTAACTTGAGTATTAAGAGTGATGTTTACTTTGTAAGACTACCATAAAATCAAAAGTAGGAAAAATTTTAGATACTGTGGCTCTATTTAGAGATGAAGAAAATCATACAGTGGGTAAGTAACTGGGCAAAAGCCTGCACAGTATCAGAGCCAGGACTAGAACTCATATGACTCCTAGTCCAGTGTTCTTTTTTGTTTGTTTGAGACAAAGTCTTGCTGTGTCACCCAGCCTGGAGTGCAGTGGCACAATCTCGGCTCACTACAACCTCCACCTCAGCCTCCCAAGTAGCTGGGATTACAGGCACAAGCCACCATGCCCGGCTAATTTTTGTATTTTTAGTAGAAAGGGGGTTTCACCATGTTGTCCAGGCTGGTCTTGAACTCCCGACCTCAGGTGATCTGCCTACCTTGGCCTCCCTAAGTGCTGGGATTACAGGCGTGAGCCACTGCACCCAGCCTAGTGTTCTTTCAATTATTTTTTGCCTTCCCCTAACAAAGATCTTCCTACAACTCCTACAAAAAGCTAATCTTGTCATGAATATTTTAGTTTTAGCAAGTTATCAAGGAATGTCAGAGGATTTTAGCCATATTTCCTAATGAGAATAGCATTTTAAGTAGAATGTTTTCAATAATGCCTTAAATTTGTAGCACCATTTTGAGTTAGTAAATTTGGACCCTGCATTTAGAGAAGAGGTTAAACTGTATTTTTGGTTTCAAATAAGAAATAGTGCACATCTTTTGGATGGTTTCTTGTACAAACTAATATGCTGATATTCAATCTTTTTTTTTTGAGTCACACATGGTGGCATGTGCCTGTAGTCCCAGCTCCTTGGGAAGCTGAGGCAGGAGGATTGCTTAAACACAGGAATTCAAGGCCAGCCTTGGCAACATAGTGAGACTCTCTCAAAAACAGCAGCAACAAACTTATTAATTTTTTTTGAAGGAAGAGGAAGAAAATGA
The DNA here is from genome assembly GCF_000001405.40 of Homo sapiens. Classification (NCBI taxonomy): domain Eukaryota; kingdom Metazoa; phylum Chordata; class Mammalia; order Primates; family Hominidae; genus Homo; species Homo sapiens. The sequence goes on from NC_000001.11 coordinate 77,935,840, forward strand.
AACCTTTGGATTGAGCAGAGAATATGAAGAACTGATCAAATTAAAAAGGAGTGGCTCTATTCAAGCTAAAAACCTAAAAAGCAAGTTTGAAAAAATTGGACAGTTGTCTGAAAAAGAAATACAGAAAAAAATAGAAGAAGAGCGAGCAAGAAGGAGAGCAATTGACCTTGAAATTAAAGAGCGAGAAGCTGAAAATTTTCATGAGGTATATTACCTTTATATTTAACATAGTTATGGTACAGTAATGATAATAAATTTAACAGAAGTAACATTGGCTTTGAAATAAGTTTTAGTACTTAAAATTAATCATTGGTATATACAGTAATCTGGGAAGTAAATAGCAAAACACATGTAGATCTTAGACTTTGAAAGACTAGCATTGTTTCAAAATCACCTTTATCAGTGTTAAAACCTATAGTGAATGTCAAATGGTTCACTCTAGCAAAAATGTTCAAAAATATTTTTTGGCTGGGCGTGGTGGCTCACGCCTATAATCCCAGCACTTTGGGAGGCCAAGGAGGGAGGATCACATGATCCAGGAGTCCTAGGCTAGCCTGGGTAACAAAGTGAAACCCCATCTCTACAAAAAAAGATACAACTAAAATAATATATTTTTTGGCATATGTTTTAGTTGAGTCAGTAGAACCAGTGTATATTCAAGTTAAACTCCAGATTATTCATAATTTCTTAGATGAAACCCATAAAGCCTCTAGTATTTGCTCAAAGTTACAGTAGTAATTCGGTGTGGAAGAGCCTAAATGAGAATTCTGATGACATGAATTTGAATTATCTTCAAACATAAAATAAAGAGGCAATCACTGACCTGCAACATCCCTTCTAGCTTAAGGACTATTTCTGTGATTATGAATACTAGTTTAAATGAGATCTAGAAATTTTTTTTCTGCCAGAATTGCCATCCTATAATATTTAACAGAACTTAACCTATATTCTATTTTGATCAAATATTCAGCTAGCAAAACAGGTATGGGAATTTGGGAGGGCCTTCAGAGGAGACTGAATAAAAGGACAGAATGAAGAAACTGTGTGCCAATTATTGGGACTATAAGCAATTCATTATTATTGAGGCATGCACGAGTGCGAAGGACAGCAAAATGAAGATGCAAGCATAACTGAGATGATCATGGAGTCTTAGATGCCATGTGAAGGGATTTTTAAAACATGGATATTGTCTGGGCACAGTGGCTCACACCTGTAGTCTCAGCACTTTGGGAGGCCGAGGTGGGTGGGTCACTTGAGCCATTTCAAGACCAGCCTGGGCAACATGGCAAAACCGTATCTGTACAAAAAATACAAATTATCCGAGCACAGTGGTGCATGTCTGTAGTCCCAGTTACTTGGGAGGCTGAGGTGGGAGGACTGATTGAGCCTGGGTGGTTGAGGCTGCGGTGAACTGTGATTGCACCACTGCACTCCAGCCTGGGGGTCAGAGCAAGACCCTGTCTCTAACACAATAAAGCATGGATATTGTCAGACAGATATTGTCTATATAGCTGGATCATGCTGAAGCTATATGGTCTTAGATACATGCATTAAAAAAATTATTTGAGGCCAGGCACGGTGGCTCACGCCTGTAATCCCAAGCACTTTGGGAGGCCGAGGTGGGTGGATCACCTGAGGTCAGGAGTTCAAGACCAGTCTGGCCAACATAGTGAAACCCTGTCTCTACAAAAATACAAAAATTAGCCAGGCATAATGGCGGGTGCCTATAATCCCACCTACTAGGGAGGCTGAGGCAGGAGTATTGCTTGAACCCGGGAGGTGGAGACTGCAGTGAGCTGAGATCGCACCACTGCACTCTAGCCTTGGCGACAGAGCGAGTCTCCATCTCAAAAAAATAAAAAATAAAAAATAAAAAAAATTATTTGAATGACTACTATGTTCCAGGGACTGCTTTGGACACAAGACATCAGTAACTAAACTTACAGTCCCTGTTCATATAGTGTTTAGAATCTAATGGATGGGTTGGGGATTGGGAGGGATAGAAAACAATTATCAGGTGGTTAACAAACAAAAGCTATTAAGATTAATAAAGCAGAGTAAGGGAAATAAGAGTATGTGTTACTGTTTTGTACAGCGTGGTCAGAGGCGGCCTGAGGATTTGAACTAGGTCTGGTATGGAAAGGACAGGTAAGTATGCAGGAGTCAAAACTGGCAGGACTTGGGGATGGTGATGGAGAGGAAGAGGAAGGAATCATAGTGACAGGGTATACAGTAACAATACGGGAAACCAGACTAGAGTTTGGAAGGAAAAGAGGTTCCATAAGCTATTTGACACAAATGGAGATGCTGTGAAACATCAACCAATCAATCTGATTTGCATCTAAGCTTGTGTGACATACAAGCCTAAGGCCTGGGTTAGTTGTAGATAAACCTTTTCATCATTGCCAAAAGCAAACACCATTTCTATTTTTTAACATCTACAAAATGTTGAACATTTTTAACATGTTGGATCTGTTGTTTTGGGGATATATATGTGGATATAATAAGCATTTAAGAAGTTTAGTCTACAGCCGGGTGCGGTGGCTCACACCTGTAATCCCGGCACTTTGGGAGGCCGAGGCGGGCGGATCACCAGGTCAAGAGATCGAGACCATCCTGGCCAACATGGTGAAACCCCGTCTCTACTAAAAATACAAAAATTAGCTGGGCGTGGTGGCACGGGTCTATAGTCCCAGCTACTCAGGAGGCTGAGACTGCACTCCAGCCTGGCGACAGAGCAAGACTGTCTCAAAAAAAAAAAAAAAAAAGTTCAGTCTAATGACGTATGATGAAGAAAATTCTAATTATTCTAAGTACTATAATAGAAGTTATTACAGAATCAAATTGGGTGGTCAATATACCTAGGATATGTTTAACAGGGCCAAGAAGGTGACATTTAAGGTGAGTGTGAAGGCTGAATAAAAGTTGCAGGTAAAGAGGAGAGACATTCCAGATAGAGGAGAAGCCTTCCAGATTAACTCAGAGGTTGTAAAAATGTATCTGGGGAATGGAAAACAGGTTCAAAGGACAAGGCAAGGTTCACAGAATAAGTGATAGGATACAAGGTTGTAAAAATAGGTTGTGGCTAGTTAATGAAAGTCTTTTTAAACCTTGCAGGCTCTATGATCTGGGCAACAATGTTAATAACTTTTTAGGTCAGAGTAATAAAATATTTATGTTTATGCAAGAATTCTGGGACCATGGAGGATGAACTGGAAGACAGGCATGAAGTTGGGGCCAAGGGAGAAAAACAGACCTAAATAACAAAACTAGGTTAGACTCTGGTATGGATAGGAGTTGAACAAACAAAAAAGGGTTATAGGTTGCTTTTTGGGCAGTTGGTTGCGGAGGGGTCTACCATTACTTCAGGATATCTAGATGATGCTATAGAGAAATCAGGTCTGGGGAGTTGGGGTGAATAGTTTTGGCATGTAAAGTTTGAGTGATATTTGGATAAGGTAAAGGCAGTCTAACAAAGGTCCTGAACTAAGGTGAGAGGCAAGCAGATACCAACTTTTACAGACAGCACTGGAAAGTACAAGTAGATAAAGCTGCTTATAAAGTTAATTGTTGAAAGTGAATTAAGCCCTGGAGAACACCAATATTTAGTGGATGACTGGCCAAACATCAGCCTTTATAGGTGTAACATGGAAGGTAAAGAAAAGTTCAATCAGCATGCACTTGCTTCCTTTTGTTAATGGTAGTGAAACCTTAGCAGTTATACCTATACCTACAAAATATGTAGGTAATAACAAAAATAAGATAGGTGACTTCTTGTTTTTGCTATTACTGGCTCTCTAGTATACATGGATGTGGTATTAGGACATGGCTGAACTTTTATACCCTATCAGAATATCCTGAATGGAGTTTCCTCTGGAGGACAATGAAGTCCCTCCTATCATATCTTTCTGGCTTAAAGATTATTGAAATCGTATTTAAAAACTTGTTAGCGGCTGAGCGCGGTGGTTTATGCCTGTAATTCCCAGCACTTTGGGAGGCGGAGGCAGGCGGATCACCTGAGGTCAGGAGTTCGAGACCAGCCTGGCCAACATGGCGAAACCCTGTCTCTACTAAAAATACAAAAATTAGCCGGGCGTGGTGGCAGACGCCTATAATCCCAGCTACACAGGAGGTTGAGGCAGGAGAACGGCTTGAACCCGGGAGACAGGGGTTGCAGTGAGCCGAGATCACGCCACTGCACTCCAGCCTGGGTGACACAGCGAGAAATATCAATGTTCAATGTGTCTTCAAAATGTTTATATTCTTTCAAGGCTCAACTCATTTACATAACCTTACCTAATCAAAGAATTCCATCCCAGCTCCTGTAGCACTTAAACATGTACCCCTCATTTGGTACTTAAATGCCTTATATAACATTTGAATTTCTAGTTAGATTTTCCAATAAAGTCTACTCCAAAACCACCTTATGCCCCATTGTATCTCAAGGAAAATACACTGCCTAACTGCTGACTTTAATATTCATGGGCTGAGAGTACCAATGCCCTATAAAGAATGTACCTACAGAATACCATTTATATTACTATCTTAGATTTCTTTCCCAGAAACATGTTTTAACCTGGCTTTTTAGGAGCTCAAGAAAAGTTGACAATTGTACTTGACTGCAGAACTGTGCATAAATTTTCAGCTCAAGAGAAATTATTTTACTTACTCAAATTTATTTTCTAAATGCAGGTTTGAGGCAGCTAAATGAATAGTTATGAATTTGCATAAACAGGCTAAAATCTGAAAGGCAAGTTATTAACTGGGAGGGACTCAGAATAGCAATTATTGTACCTGCTGAAATATTCCATCTTAAAGGTTCATTTGGTAAACAACAAAAAAAGTGTATACTGTGAACAAAGAGGTCCTTTTTAAATTTAAGTCTCAGAAGTCTGTTGAGATGAAACTACAGTAAGCAAATCATGGTTTAACATGTATTTTTCTTAGTCTTTTATGTATAATAATTTTTTAAAAAATGCTGTTCATTCATTCATTAGCAACAACCATAGTCAGGCATTATATTTATCAACTGAAGGTAAATAATGGCACAAAATAGAATTTACGCACCAGGTAGCAGGTTGTCTGATGTCCCATGATTTTCCAACATCAAATAAAAAATCTAATGCAGAACCAGAAAAACCATGCAACTACTTTAACCACCTTCTACTCCTTTCATCGGAAATGAGGTAGGTACAAGGTACGAGGTGTGAGGTGCAACACCTCAAACTGAAGTGAAACACCCGAACCAAGATTTTTCTTATATAGGCAATTAAACTGCTTGTTTCAAATTTCCCTTTAGTTGGATGTGGCAATCTGGAGCAATTTCCTCATAGTACTATGAAATATAAATGGTGAGATTTCCAACTAGATCCACAAATGCCTAGGTAGTTAGAAACCAAAAGTCAAGAAACCAAAAGTCAACAACTGAAGTACTTTAGAAACCATGAATTAACTACCCACATTAACCCCACTCCACCAAAACTGCTCTAGACCTTATCATTACCAAATTATTATTTTCCTAGACACACTATTTGACAGTTGAGACTCTGCTCTTAAATCACTCCCTTATTAGCATTTCGCCCTTCCAATTCACCCCTCAGATGACTCAAACATATTTTACTTAGTGATTTCCCCATGTTTCAGCCATTGCCTCTTTCAACAGTTGTCTCTACCTGTTTTTCTACTTGTAAACACCCTTCCCCTGCCATTTCACCATCAATACATTATTTGGAGGGAATTCATTAGGGACATAGTTCTAAGAAGGGTAAAGAAGGAAAATCATTAAGTGAGAAAACATTTATTATGCAGTAGGGAATGGTATGGACTTACAGGAATCAAGGGAGTACTTTTAACAATTATTTAGAATGTATAGCATTCTGACCTTTTTCAGTTAAGTGCTATCAAAACCAAGCAGAGTTGGTAGGACAAACAGGCTAGGATCCCAGTGATATTGTGATCTTTACATTTGGAGAAAAAGTCTATAACTAAGAGAATGCTTCATAAATGTATCTATCACTTTTCCTGAACTGGAGAGTTAGAAAAAATCTGAGTGTCTGCAGTGTAGCAAAAATATGCATTATAAACATGTTAATCATTTTGTGCTTCTAAACACCTTTAGAACTAGTAACGCTTCTTTGTTTTTAGAAGGCAAGCAATTGTTAATCTTGGCCCACTTTCTTGCAGGAAGATGATGTTGATGTTAGGCCTGCAAGAAAAAGCGAGGCTCCATTTACTCACAAAGTGAATATGAAAGCTAGATTTGAACAAATGGCTAAGGCAAGAGAAGAAGAAGAACAAAGAAGAATTGAAGAACAAAAGTTACTACGCATGCAGTTTGAACAAAGGGAAATTGATGCAGCACTACAAAAGGTACCAGGCTTATGTATCCTTTATTTTCCAAAGATGCCCTCTTAAAACCCATAGTTTTATAATTAGGTAGGTTAAAAAAATGTTTTAATGGTTTTCTTTCAAGTCACTGGAATGTACTGTTAAGTACACTTTGTAGTAGGCACACTTGTATGTTCTTTACTTAAAAAAAAAAATTTCATTTCAAAATTGTTACTAAATCGCTGCCCTGAAAATACTATAAATGCCAACCTGAATGCATTTATTTTAATACAGAAAAGAGAAGAGGAGGAGGAGGAAGAAGGTAGCATCATGAATGGCTCCACTGCTGAAGATGAAGAGCAAACCAGATCAGGAGCTCCATGGTTCAAGAAGCCTCTTAAAAACACATCAGTTGTAGACAGTGAGCCAGTCAGATTTACGGTTAAAGTAACAGGAGAACCCAAACCAGAAATTACATGGTGGTTTGAAGGAGAAATACTGCAGGATGGAGAAGACTATCAATATATTGAAAGGGGAGAAACTTACTGCCTTTACTTACCAGAAACTTTCCCAGAAGATGGAGGAGAGTATATGTGTAAAGCAGTCAACAATAAAGGATCTGCAGCTAGTACCTGTATTCTTACCATTGAAAGTAAGAATTAATCACTCTTTTTATCTTTTATTCTATTAATTTTTTTTTCCTTAAAATCACTTTTCTTCTTCTCTTTTTTAGCTGATGACTACTAGCTCCCCTCCCCTCTCCCTGGAACTTTCTCTTTCACTCCAACTTTCTTACTACATCCATCTTTTCTGTGGCGGGGCCAAAAAAGGAAACCAGGAGTGCCACTATGCTGACTTCTTATTCCTTTTCATAACAGTCTTCAAAGCACAGCTCATCTAAAGAATGCCTACTTCTTTTCCAAATAAGCATCAGATTTATCGCCTATTATGCAGTAACAGTCAATAAAATGTACTTATGGGGGGGAATTACTCAATTATTCTATCAGAACCTATTATAAAGACTGTATTTCCCATAGACGTTTACAGCAACTATGTTTAAAAAACAAAAACAAAAAAAAAACACACAAACCTAAGTAGAATACATTATTTTGCATGAAGGAATGTCATTTCTGAGCTTTTTACACCTAAAATTAGGCTGAAATAGCTGAGATAATTAATTTGGAACCTATCAATTTGAGTGGACTTTTTCTTTAGTAGTACACCATTTTGGTTGTTGTAGTTTCAAAGTCTTTCTGAAGCAGATATATTGGGATTGGAGCGGGGTGGGGAAAACTGTCACTCCTTTCAGAGGAAAAGGGGAGGAGCATGGAGAAAAACAAAAATTAAAGGACTTAAAGAATGGCTATACAGTGTTGAGTGTTGAGGATATTAAACATGTTATTTTTCAAACGTATGTAATATATATTAAATTTATAAAGCAAATTTATGTTGTGATCTTGCCTGAACAAATTATATTTTAATGAAAAAACTTTCTATTAATAGTTCACGCAAGAGAAAACACTTTCAACATAGTCGAAGGCTTCAAGATCTAAGTGTATCAGACTTAGGGAAAAAGTGGCACAACCTTCGATTTAAAATTCTAGTCTTTAAAATGAGTTTGTAAATAATTAGCTATTACGTTCTATTAAGTTGTTTTATATTTTAATTTTCTGGAAGACAATTTTATTTTACAACGTGAACCCAAATAAAGTAACTTCTGTATTTAAAAGTCTTTCTGTATTTTAAGACTTGTGCAACCAGATGTTACCCTTTTATCATTAAAACTTTTTAAAATCATTTTTTCTCACAGTAAACATAAAAAAAAACCCAGTCAAGTAGAAAATTTTACCATGTAATATATGTATAAAAAACACAAAGCACTCCTTTATAATAGTCATCAATGTACATTTATTGAGGAAACCATAATGAATACAAAATTACAGCAATCATGTGACCTTTTACATACAATGTCATTAAAGCAAACTCTAAACCACAGTTGTAAAGTATTCAATTTACCTCAAGTCCAAGCTGCATCTCCCTAAGACACTGTTCCCATCACAGTAGCCATTTTAAGCCAATCTTCTTTTTACACACGGGTAGTTTCTGTAGAGAACATTTTTCTCAGGACGAAAATGCATCGAGCATGCATAAGAAAATATATATATATATATGCGCAAATACATTTAAGAGTTTCTATAGGGGTATCACTGAAGAAAATAAAACCCTGGGATTTATTTGCTTATTAAAAGCACCAATTTAAAAAAATCCCTCAAAAGCTTATATTGTGGCAAGAAAAATGAAGTCACTAACTCAACAAAAAATAAGGTAACTTTCAGAGCCAAAATTATCTTTAATTAGGTATTGTTATAATGCATTTTAAAGTGAGGCAGAGTTTGCAGAAAATAAAAACAAGACATCCTCACTGATTAGTAAACTCTACATCATTATTCTACACAACAGATAACTTTCTAAGTACAGCTGATTTTACTGGCAGAGTATTCAAACAAATAAAATGCTATCACTTCTGAATGACTCCCCTTTCCCTCTGAAAGTACTCTGCTATTCCTACCCAAACCCACCCTTATGAATTAACTACCAAGATAATTTGTTTAAAAGATATATTTTACAATGTTTATAAACAACTAGTATCAAATTACTAGTTTTAGTATTAAAACCATTTTTTATATTAAAAAATAAAACTATACTTCTCATTTCTAAAAGAAACATCAAACCATAGAATTCTAAGTATCACCACACTAAGCTGTCTTAAAAAAAACTAAAAACATTGTCAAATTTTTGTTTAAGTGCTAAATAAGTCAGTTCAGTTTCAATCTAAACTATACATTGTTTCTAACACTAATATCCAATGCATTCAAATCAACTGGCTCACCTTTTCTGCTTTCCATTTATTTCAGACTTAAGATCAGCGTCATTTAAAATAATGCTTATAGTATCAGTGAAGGCTTATGGTAATGAATAAAAGAATTCTCATGAGACAGAAACAATGCCCCAATATCTATTATCATCAATCTATCTGTATTTTTTTTTATAAAAATGCAATCTACAACTAACCAAAACTCAACAGGCTCTCAAGTTTCAATGAGCCCCTTTATATTATCAATTGTACATACCTATCATTGACTATTAAAACATAACATACACATAAATGTGGTGTAGTAACTATGTAACTTAAGAAATTTAACAGTTCATGGAACATTTAAGATCAAGTGAATAGCACTTTAAAATGAAAAGTGATCAAAAGCAGGTACATTACACCCTATACCATATTATGTATGGGAATACATTTCATATTTCTCAATTATGATTTGCCAATTTTACCTTCTACATTGAGCCCTTCTATGGTCCATGCTCATCGGCTCACCAATGGCATACACTCAAAGGATTCCTCTTTATGGGTAACTATCTCAGGACCTGATTTTATGAGCTATGATTTGGTGCTTGCAGCATCTTCAGCACTGTGTGTGAAAATGAAGGCAGTATTTTTGAATATTTTTCTTTGTTGCAGAGATAAGCAGGAGTTTTAAAAGGATCAGCACATTTTAGAAATCGAATAAACAAAACTGATAAGATGCTGCTTTCATACATTCAACTTAACTCAAAATATGTACCAGTTAAAATCATCTATAAAAACACACAAACATTTTAAACTGGCAAAAAAATTAAATGCAGCGTCAGTTATTAAAATATTATTAAATCAGAAAAATACTGATTGCTACAGATTATGAAAGGTTATTTGCTATACAGTTAACATTTCACTGATGCACATGCCTTTTATCAAAACATACTGCCTTATAACTTTTTCCTTCTTCAGCATATAACTTTTGTCTAAGAAAAAAATCATAATAAAATTCTAACCCATAATATCCTTACTGAATTATTATAGTTTAAGAATAAGAAAAAAATAAAGAAATTATAATTTTGGAGGGCAAAGAAATTTTCTGTCCATCATATAAAACAGATTGTGAAGGCTGTTGAAGTTTCTAAACAAGTGATTTCCTAAATCTTGAAAACTGTGTAATTGTCCTTTCTTAATATTAACACTTCTATATTTGGGGAAAAAATACAAAAAGATTTGGATGTAGTTCAATTACTGCAGCAATCTACTCATCATTTTCTTGTCTTAATAAAAAAAAAAAAGTAAAATAAAAAACATTACCCAGAAATGTAAACAGTTGCTTTAACAACTTACAGACTTTCCACTAAGATGGTAGCATAAAATAACAAAATACATTTTGGGGAAGCAGTAGCAGATTGCCTTTGAATACACAACCACAAAAACCTCACAGGGACAACATTAATGTATTGAAATATTTATTTATATATGTCCTTAGGTTGTGCTTACCTGGTGCTTTTTGCAGCAGAACCTAAGGTGGAAGGTCTGGGAAGGCACTGTGAAGTATAAATAATTGCACTGTTTGCAATTAATAAAGATTTTAAACCTTAAATGAATCAAAATCAACAGCCTCCAATTTGTGAATTATGATACTGAATTCAACTGAACTACTTCTTCAGTTCAATTAATAAATGCACCACTTTCCTAAAAGGTCATCTATAAAACAGTATCATGCAAAATACTGCAATTGTTCACGTCAATACCCTACTCTTAAAGATAACAAATAGCTAACTCCTTAACTATTAAACTTCATACTAGAACTATATATGCAGATCTAAATAAGGGTAAGGGAAGTCACTCTAGGTTATATAAAACAATCAAAAACATTTCAAAATATCTACAATGAACTGTACTGCTATTTCCATCCTGTAGGTAATCTCAACATTTATGTCCTTGTACCTCTTCCTTTAAAGTATATTCAAAACAACAAATGGTGCTCTCCACCAATGACAAAATATATATTTATGAAATGTGTTAAAATTGCTACATTGCTCATTATTTGCAAACTGAAATCCCCTTCTGTCTGATACATTTCAAGACTTTCATATTAAATATAGAAGATATGCATATTTTACACTGAAAAACAATATTTTAGGAGCACCAGTGAATAATACTATTCAACTTTGTTAAGTATCAGTTTTCTTTAGCTATAGCTAAAGCATATAAAAAATACTTACCCATTAAGCTCACTTTAAAAAAAATACAGAACTATGTATTATTCTATGTTAAATTAAGAGGCAGTTATGGTTTTCCAAGATATCAGCACTGTATTCCAACATAATATTCACACAACGTATGGCATTTGCATTATGTGGAACATTGACAAAAAGATACTGTTGCAGTTCATCAATTTGTCATTCTGATGTACTTACAGTGCAATGCTCCTTGAAGGAACACAATCAAGGATGATACACAGCACAGTCCTCCTCACCCCTACAGAGCTAGTTCTATACTGGCTGGATCAAACCTGCACTTCAACAGACAATGGCAAGACAGACTGTATTTGCATGTAGTCTAATATATTAATATGCAAAGAGCCAACAAATATGCAAAGAGTAAAACAATGGATTTCAACAAAATATCAGAACTTCAGCATGAGTGTTAAAGAGTAATAAAATGACTTCAAGTACATAAAAAAATTAAGTTGATTCAATGATTGGACTTGTGCATTTACAAAACAAAGCTTATCTATACTGCATAAAGAAAAAAAAAAAGCTTGAACGTTTCCATACCCCATTTATGTTTCAATGGCAGATGCAATGTAGCTATACTTTTTGCACACTATTCACTTTTCTATCCTAAATTTAGAAAGAAACACACTAACATTATATACATTGAAAGAGTTGCTTCACATGGAAAAAAACTGTTCTTATTAGACTACTCATATTCACTATCTGAAAACTGTTTAAAATTAGTTATGCCGAAACAGTCTTGGAAATCAAGTATTATCAAATTAAGAACAGAAAGGTTAACTGTTATAGCAGCAGTACAGGTCTGAAACAGTGGTCATGTATAAAAGGAAATTTCACTGTTAATGCAATGGAAGTATGCCAAAAGATCATTGTACACACATGCAGTTTTTAATCAAACAGAAGGAAAAAAAATGAAGATATCAGGATTACTTGTGCTGAAAGAGCCAATACAATAAATGGAAAAGATCCTCCAATCTACCACTATACTGCAAGGGGGGAAAAACATGCCAGTGTTTAAAAACTCAATATTTCATGGGGAAAGCTTATATATTTGTGTATATGTATCTTAATTTATCATTGCTAAGAAATTATGAATCCTTTAAATACCCACATATCCAACTTACCGACACAGGAGGTTTCATATCATTTATTGTAAAGCACAAAACAGGCATTTTAAAAGTGAAAGTATACATTGAAAAAGTACATTTATATCACAAAGCATCAACCACATAATTGCAAATACATTTGCTGGAATGTGTACATCTACACTAAATACTAAAAACAAACCAATTTTCATTTCTACACAGAAATATTAACCTCCTATCAGTAGTGATAGATATTTTGTACATTTTCAAAAAAAAAAAAAAAAAAGGAAACACTATTTTAAACCAAAAACAAAATTAAGATCTTCATCAAGTCGTCTGCATCCATATATTTAACAAAGGTTTTTTTCCCCCACACAATGAAGCAAATACTGTATTGTCCACTTCTTATTATTGGCCCTGTGCAGAAGAGATACATAAGAAATACACAAAAAGTTAAAGAAAATCCTTGAAATGGAGCTAATTCAGGAGTGAATCCTTTAAGAAAGAAAAAGTGGTTAATATAAATGGTGGTGGCTTCTTGCATGATTTGCAAATCCCTGGGGGAAGAAAATTTATTTTTAAAATCAAAGGCATTGCAGAAATATTCACCACTCAGATGCTGGAAAGCATTATAAAAAACAAAAAAACCCAAACAATACACCGTAGTACTTCATTTAAATAGTTATTATACTTTGCCAGATAAAAATTTAAAAGGCAAACACTCCCAAACAGACAAACAGTAAACATGCAGAAAACAGACTGGAGTAGAAATCAACAAATTAGCAATTACATTATACCTGAGGTGCTGGAGGATGCTGTGGCATTCCCTGGGGACTTGTCTGGGCATAATAGGCTGCTTGTTGTCTATAATACTCAGCCCAGGCTGCACTATAATCTGGCTGACCACCTGGAGGAGCCCCAGTCGGAGCAGGAACTGCCTGACCTTTGAAAAAAAAGAACTTTGTTGCTGTAACCACAATTATAAGCCCAACATCTCATTTCTAATAAAAACAATACCTTGCTTCTTGTAATATTTCTCCCAAGCCTTTGAATAATCTTGTGTTTGCCCTTGTTGACCAAAAAAAAAAACCCCTAAACTTTAATATAAAATTACATCCACTGTAAGTACAGGTTATAAGACAAAAGCACAGAGGGTCAGAATTACTCCTGTTTTATTTAAAATATTCATTTAGTAGTGTCAGGAAACTACTCTGCAATTAGAAAAAAAAAAAGAACGCTCTTTTCTTTTTGCCTTATAATTAATCGTTAACTTTTAGTTCTAGAGCGTCATTATTAGTAAAAAAACAGAATCAACCCCAAATCCACACTGCTTTAGCTAAGGAAGGTAAAGATTTAGGCATAATCTTAATTCGATTCCAGAATTACAAAAAGAACATTTTTGAAAAACTTTAAGCCCACTTAAAGGCAATGATTTAAAGACTGTATTAAGACCTAGCCAAGACTTTTTCCTGATTAGTAACCTATAAAGTGTATGTACACACACACATAATAAGATGTTAAAAGTATTAATAATTTATTCCAATTACAACACAATGTTATTAAAAGTAACCTGACAAGGAATAAAGAACAAGATCAATGAAAACACATAAAACTCAGCTTTCACAATCAGGTCTTTTTCCAAATAAGGTGACTTTGCTGAATTAAGAGATTAAAGAAATATAGCAATGAAATGCAACGCATGAATCTTGAATGTACTCTGAATTAAACAAAACACACAGACGACAAAAGACATATTCCTGACAACTATGGAAATTTAAATATAGTCTGTATGTTTGTGATAATATTGAGGGTATTTATTTTCAGACAGGGTCTCACTCTGCCACCCAGGCTGGAGTGCAGCGGTGCAATCATGGCTCACTGCAGCCTCAACCTCCCAGGGCTCAGGTGATCCTCCCACCTCAGCCTCTAGAGTAGCTGGGACTACAGGCCCACCATGCCTAGCTGACATTTTTCTCTTTTTTTGTAGAGATGGGGTTTTGCCATGTTGTCCAGGCTGGTCCTGAACTCCTGGACTCAAGTGATCCACCTGCCTTGGCCTCCCAAAGTCCTGGGATTACAGGCGTCAACCACTGTGCCCAGACATTGAGTTTATTTAGAGCAAACTGTCTTGTCTGCAACTTACTTTGAAATGGTTCATACACAAAAAACATACATATAAAGCGCATACAGCAAACTTTTAAAAAATGATGAAGCTGAGTGTCTGATGCCTTATTTCCCCAATTTCTGAAGGTATATAATTTTCTAAATAAAAAATTGAGAAGAGAGAGTATATGTTCTCCTATTCAGTTTCTTTACTTAAGCACTATTTTATTTCGTTTGTAACTCGCTTGGCTTTGTGAAATAACTACCATAGACAAAAATACTGGAGCATGGACACACAGGAAGCTCTTTTTATGTTTGTAGGATGCTGCCAACAAGACCAATTTCATAGTTTCAGAAAGCAGTCTATCACCATTGTAAAACAGGTCACAGACTCAAAGCAACTGAGTGAAAGAATTTAAGATTTATGATTCTTTAAAAATGCCTGAAAAAAACCCTCTTTTCTTGGGTAACAGAGAACTCTCATATACTATTAAAAATTCTCATATTTTCCTGTCTTCTATAAATAACTGTTCTCAAAGAGGAAGTAAGTTTAACATTTTCCTCTTACAAGACACAATTCAAGCAAATCTGAAACAGGTTTCAATATCTAAAAAACTGGTGTGACAATAGCAATAAAACCACACATTGTCTCTTACAGGGTGCACACTTGAAACCAAACCTGATCAAGGTAGCAATCAATAGTCTTCAGGTTTTAAACCCCATTGTAAGAGTTACTCATTTTAGAGGCAAATTAACAATGTAAAATGGTAGAAACAGGCATATGCATCAAGAAAATTCATTGATGTTCCCTTAAAAAACTACAACCTCTGCAAACTCCTATATCCCTGTGGAAAGCTAATAGTAAACACTTTAGACTTTAAGAAAAACCAAATTCTTGGTAAATAAGTTGGTAATATTTGACACTCCAATCTTAAAAGATGTTCAAGAAAAGCTTATTTCACTCTTCCAATCTAAAGGGCAAATGTGATTTATTTTGCCCAGTTGGAAGTAGAGAAAGAACTCTTTCCCTGCCCCTTCAGACATGTACTGCCTTACCTTGCGCTCCCCTTATTCCTCTCTTTAGTTACTGGATTTTGTTTTGAGACAGGGTCTTGCTCTGTCACCTAGGCCAGAACACAGTGGCAGTGGTGTGATCATGGCTTAGTTACTGTTTGATGCCAGATAGTTGAGTTTATACTTCAGTAGAACATTATCTAATATTTATTATAGTTTTATAATTATAATGTATAAAGTTTAGCCTTAAATTTCTTTCATCCCAAAGATAAAAGACTTGCTCTAGAGTTAGCTTGCAAGATTCTATTAGAGCCTAAGAGCCAGCCTTGCATGAATAGATTTTCACACTCAGTTGTCTTCCCATATAACTGTACCTTTCCCACAAGTCCTCACTCTACCCTCCTTTAGGCTTAAGGTACCAGATTCTTCAGGGTTCAGAGTCTACCACATCAGTCCTTATCATAATGGCCTTCCTCAAGTCAAACTTTTCCCAAATGTCTTCACTTCTCCAAACAAGAATTACTCCTTTCTATTTTGAAACCCTGTTTGTTCTCTTAAGGGTCTTAAAAAAATCCCTGTATTCTAGCTTTAAAAACACCCATCTTTACTGCTGTTCCTTATAAGCCTCTGAAATCTTATCAAGATTTTCTCTACTTGGGAGGCTGAGGCAGAAGAATTGCTTCAACCTGGGAGGTGGATGCTGCAAGTGAGCCGAGATCATGCCACTGCACTTCAGCCTGGGCGACAGGGAAAGGCTCCATCTCAAAAAAATAAAATAAAAAAAAATAAAATAAAAATTTATCCTCTTAGTTTGGTGTTATCCTTGGGAACTTAGAATTGTTTTGAAATATAAACCTAATTTTGGGAAACTTAACCCACACCTGTTTTCAATAGTTTTTTTTTTTTTTCAGTAAATAAGCAAATAATGACAAATTAAAATCTATGAATGGAGTTTTCTGTTCTTAACAAGAAAAACTTAAATTAGGCTCCAAAAGCTGTGAAAGCCTGCCTAGTTTGGCAAAAGGGGCACTAGGATGGGGAATCAGGAAATCTGAAGTCCTAGCATCATACCCCTGCCACTGGAAAAGTCAACAACAGTTGGCTTTGAGATAAAGATATCTCCCTATTATTCCCTTTCTCCTTCCATTTAAGAAATGTGAAGACTGAACCAAGTTTTATGCTTTAAGGTTTCTTATTTGTGGTAAAAAGATCCTGATGACAGGTAAGGTACCTAGAAGAAATTAAAGCAGTTAAGCAACTAATCATTTACAAAAAGAACTTTTATAGAAAAAGACAAATTGACTCCGTATGATGATGACAAATGCTCATCAAGCACCTGACTAAATTACCTAGCATTATTTCCTTTAAGATATACACATGTGGCCAGGCGCAGTGGCTCACACCTGTAATCCCAACACTTTGCGAGGCTGAGGCGGGTGGATCACCTGAGGTCAGGAGTTCGAGACCAGCCTGGCCAACATGGTGAAACTCTGTCTCTACTAAAAATACAAAAATTAGCTGGGTGTGGTTGGGCGCCTGTAATCCCAGCTACTTGGGAAGTTGAGGCAGGAGAATAGCTTGAACCCAGGAAGCAGAGGTTGCACTGAGACGAAATCGCACCATTGCTTGGGGAGTAAGACCAAGACTCCGTCTTAAAAAAAACAACAACAACGAGATATGCATGTGAAGGACTTGCCCAACTAATCTGTTTTGCTCATAAAATTAACAGGTGAGGCTGGGTGCAGTGGCTCACACCCATAATCCCAACACTTTGGAAGGCTGAGGCAGGTGGATCACCTGAGGTCAGGAGTTTGAGACCAGCTTGGCCAACATGATGAAAGCCCGTATCTACTAAATATACAAAAAATCAGCCGGATGTGGTAGCAGGCGCCTGTAATCCCAGCTACTTGGGAGTATGAGGCCGGAGAATCGCTTGAACCTGGGAGGCGGAGGTTGCAGTGAGCTGAGATTGCGCCACCGCACTCCAGCCTGGGCGAGAGTGAGACTCCCTCTCAAATAAATAAATAAATAAAATTAACAAGTGATTATTGTGGTACTACAGAACAACAACAGAAAAGGTGGGGTAAGGAGGTTCTTTAGTCATACAGCATTATTATTTAACATCTAATTATTATTTAATTATTTCTATGCCATGTTTTCCTACAGAGGATTCAAGACAGTATAGTATAGTATCTCTAACTGGCAGGGAAATGGTAAAAAAAAATAAAAAATTAAAGACAAGGTAAAATGTCTTCCCTTAACAATAAAAATTAGAATTCCACCCACCCACTCATTTTGAGTAAAACATAAAAAGTAAAACAAAAAAGACTAAACAGTAAATGTATTAATGGCCATATTACAAATAATCAATATGGTAAAATAAAGCACAGAAGCCAAACTCATTCCTCCATAATTACCTAAATCCATTAACAAGCCTTTATTTTTACCTACTTAATAATAACTAGGGACCCTATCTAGGGGACATTACCCATTGAGAAAATAGAAGTTGAAGTTAGTGATTTTTAACCCAAACACGTGACCAGGTCTCACTATGATGCCAAGGCTGGCCTCAATCTCCTGTGTTCAAGGAATCCTTCCACCTTAGCCTCCCAAGCAGCTGGGACTACAAGTGTGTGCCACCGCACGTGGCTCATGCTCAAGTCTTTTAAAATGGTGATGCTATTTAATTAAAGTTAAGTTGATTACAGGTCCTGACCACAATGCTGTCAGGGCATGATTATTAATAGCATCCCTATTCATTCTAAAAAGGATCCCAGTTCAGAAAATAAATTATGTAACCAACCTTAATCAGAGTATGCTGTTTTTAAGTTAAAAGTTTCTTTTTGCCGAATTGTAGCTACTGTAGATCTGCCTAAGCTAGGTCACAAAAACATAATCTGTTAAAGCCTCAGAAAGAGACGGAACATGACTCTCCTAGGAAGCCATTCTAAGAGGAAAAACAATTTTTCTTTAAAAAGAAACCAGTTGTGCAAAACAACTTTATCATCAGGTATATGTAATTTTACATCTAGAAGATTAAAATCATCACCTTTCTGGAAATTTTTCTTTCTGTGGAGAATGAGAAACATTCTTTGGCAAAGAAAACATTGAAAATCCCAAGTAGACCGTTCTCTTATGACAAAACTCTACCACCTATAGGTTCTTTTTCTGCTAGTGAAGGATAACCAAGCTTACCAATTTAGCTTTCATTTGTGACATCTAGCTGTGGTATGTAATAATTTTAAATGACTAAGAGCAAAAGCAGCTGAAATATAGTGATTTGTCCAGAAGTATAGTATCAGGTTCCAAATGGTTCCTAAAGAGACAAATTTGGGAGACAAGCTTGGGACTCAGACCCTCTTGGAAGCCAGATTCTGGTTCCATCACTTGGTTACTTTCCGTCACTGCAGATTACTTCTTACCTGCTTATCTTGCAGCAAAAATAATGGTATCACACACAATTTTCGCCTGACACATTAAAATTTAACCTTATGTCATTTAGACTGATAATATATATAACTGTCATTGTCAAAAGTATAGTAATGTTAATATTGTATGTACCAGTAAGGACATTTCTAGTTTCAATTAATAACTGGTTGACAAATGCAATTAGAAAAAAAAATTTCCTTGCCATATAACCACAAATTTAAAAACTATAATTTACAACTGTCTTGATATGTTTACAAGTCCAGTGATTTTATTCAATTATTCTCTTCCTGAAGAGAATAATTTGTTTCAATTTAATTAAGTATGTATTTTCAAGAAATGTATAAAACATACCCATTTTCTTGTAGTACTCTTCCCAAGCCTTGGTATAATCAACCTGTCCAGCTGGGGCTGGATTCTGCTGATCTCCTTGTTCAAGCAAAACAAAACAAAAAACAGAATTAAAGTTTTTAAAAGGCAATTTTGGCCGTTTCCTTGGGTGCAGGAGCTGGCAGGGGCCTGCAATGTGACAGTGAGGGTAGGAGGGAAGTACTATGTGGTGGTGGCATCCCTAACAGTGCCAAAGATAGAAGGTACTGGGGGTACAGAGGTGGTGGACAGAAAAGAAAACCAACCTGTTTGAAGACTGGTTATGTTGAACATATAAGTAAATGCATGTCAAATAAGGAAATACACTGAGGACACCAGGTTTCTCACGTTTGTAAACAAGTACAAAAAAGGAAAAGGCTTGAAAACCCCAAAATGCTGAAACGGATGTGGTGATATGAACATAGTTTTTAAAAATATATACATATATCGATGTTTATGTGTTTTTTGGTGTGTGTATGTAGGTATGCATGTATGTAAATATATTTCCTAGTTCTGCCTGTTGAAAGAAGCTAGAAGCAATTACACCTCAGTAGCAACAAGCATACTCAAGTCTCGTTTCTAACTACCATACTCTACTAAAAGGAATAAGAGCTCCTTGAAGAAATAGCTGACTCGAGGGCTGGAGCCCAGAAAGCACAAAATAACAATCTTACTGTGCCAGACAGTATGGAAGTGCTTAAAAGAATGACAGGTATTTCAAAAGGATATAGGCACCACCCTGAATATACTCCCTGACTGGCCAAATCCAGGATAATCTGATTATCAAAATTATAAAAATACTTTAAAAATATAACCTACTGCAAAAATCAGAAATCCATAATGATATAAAGAACTTAATATATCAATGTTGACTTACTGATTTGGAGGGCTGTATGATGGTTATGTATTTTTGAAGAAGTACCCAACAGGACATCATGTCTACAGTTTAGTCTTCAGTGATTTCTTTCAGAACTAATTATGCTGGATATAATTAGCTTCCTTCAGAACTAATTATAATGGATATTTAAAATAAATACAGATACACATGTATGATATAGATGGTAACAGAGTAAACAAGGGAATAAAACATTAACAGCTGGGCTATCTGGGTGCTCCGGGTATTCTTCTTACAACTTTTATGAAAGTTTGAAACTATTTCAAAGTAACAATTTAAAAAAGGAAAAGTCTGCTTAAATTATAATTAAATAATGTCAGAAATTTTAGGTATTATACAGTGATGTACTTCATATATAATTCCAAGCACAACTTTTGGCTTTCACATACAATAAGTTCTGTAGTTACCTTGTCCATTAGTTTGAGTTGTAGTTGGTGCACCTGCAGGGGCTGCTGGTGGTGGCTGTGCTTGCTGTTGATAATAGTGAGCGTAATAAGCAGCCCAAGCTGCTGAATTTGGATCCGTTCCTGCCTTAGCTAAAATAAATGAAAGTTCAAGGTTTGCATGTGAAGTCTGTAATTCTCTCTCACACACACACACACCACCCCCCCGCCCAGCTCTCTGGCAAATATACAGCCCCCAAAATTAACTAGAACATTAAAAAAAGTATATGAAAACTTAAATTTTCTATTATTTTTGTTGTCACCATCAGCTTTTATTAAAGAAAACCAAGTCTCAGAGACTAAGTGACTTTCCTAGGTTAAAAACTACTGAGTGGCATAACTGGGATATGAATAAAGGTCTTTTGGCTCCAAATCCAATGCTCTGTCTCAAACCATCCTGTGCCCTTGTTTTTTTCTAAATTGGTTTCGCCTCAAGCACAAACAGCTCTATCTAGAAGATGACTAAAGAAAAACATTTCTAGGGACTAACCTGTATAAGAAAGAAAATTATTTTAGAACAATGAACTTTGTCCTTATTTTCAATGAAGAGAAAATATAAAAATCTTAAAAAAGATTAGCCACATTTCATCCTATTTCACATTGAATGTTATAAACTTGATGTCATCCTACTTGAAATTCTTCATTCTCTGCAATCTTCAGGATGTTCAAAGCTTAAGTACAGCCTATCATTCAACATCTTTAACAGCCTGAAGCCCCTGGCTTATCCTTTCCATTTCAGCCTCATCTCTCCCTTTGGTTGTATCTCTTCAACACCCAAGCTCCAGCCACAACACAGTGCTTGTACTTTTCAGAAATCACTATGCCCGTGTCTCGGCTTTTAGCTATGTTGTCTCCTCTACACTTGACTGACCCTCACTCATCTCCCACATCAACTGAAGTGCGAACAGTTTGAGACCTTTCAATCTTCTAGAAACCAGAAAAAACTTGATTGTCTTTTATACTAGGAATACCATACAATTAAAACTTTTAAATTTTCTATTATACCTTCATTCTGAACAGTAGCAATTCTCAGCTGCTTAATAAAGGTTAGTCAAGTTTGAGAAAAATGAGCAAGAATTTCTAGAAAAAGAAAATTGCAAGGTAATATAATTGTAAGGTGTTATTAGGACACCTGCCAAACTTTTCTCAATTGCCCAATGTACTGCTTTTTTATGTTGGATGTTTACATATCTCAATAGTGTCATTATCTGTATTTTTTTTTTTTTTTTGAGATGAAGTGTCTCACTCTGTTGCCCAGGCTGGAGGGCAGTGGAGCAATTCTCAAGGAGTTCTCCTGTCTCAGCCTCCTAAGTAGCTGGGATTACAGACACCTGCCACCACATCCAGCTAATTTTTGTATTTTTAGTAGAGACAGGGTTTCGCCATGTTTGCCAGGCTGGTCTCCAACTCCTGACCTCAAGTGATCCGCCCGCCTCAGCCTTCCGAAGTGCTAGCGTCACAGGTTTTAGCCATGGCGTCTGGCCATTATCTGTATATTAATCAAGAAATCTAGGTATTTCACTTTACACTATGCCTGGATAGAGAATTTGAGATAAAACAGACTTTAGGAAGTGGTATTTCTACTCCCAAATGTGAAAACCATACCAAAAAACCAGTCTCACAGTTACAAATAACTAGTATGTACTAAGAATTTACTAAATATTCACTCAACCCGATTCATTCATTTATTAATTTATAGATAAGAAAACAGAGGCTTAGAGGAGTTCAAAAACTTGCTTGACATCTCACAATTAGTAAACTGTAGGACTAGGACTGATATAGGTTTATTTGACTCTGAAGTCTAAATTCTTGACCACTACATAAATCCATTAACAGACCACTCTTTTTTTAAAGAAACATTTTAGTTCATATAATATTAAAACAGTATGCTATTCTAAGTCTAATATAAGCAATATCCACCCCCAGGGACCCAGTAACCCTTTGATAAATCTGAGTGGGGCCAACCAGCTGGTTTTAGTTAAATGGGTTACTTCTTGCCCAAAGGCCATGCTGCAACCACATTCACTGACCAGCTCTTACAGTAGTGACTTCACTACTACTCCAAGTGAGAAATTCAACTTGTGATACAAAGACCACTTCCACTTCTTATTCCCATCATTTTTCCTCAATCATGCTAACCACCCAGTAGTGCTCAAAAATACAATCCTGGCAGATCCAAGTTACCCAATATGAATCTGCCTTTTAACCTACTCAAACTCTTCAATCCCATTAATTATACCATCCCAATCAGCCAACAAGAGGGAAAGAAAAGCCCTTTCATTCTCCAAAAATTAGTTGTTAAGAGTATTATATCCTGTACCCTGTGAGCCCCTTCCATCAGTGTTGCTTACGCTGGGAGTGCATTCTTTTGCTATAGAACACAACCCCAACTTTGCACACCTATATCCTAGCACAACTCAAGTCATGCTTGGTAACTGTCATGCTGTGTCATCATATTCCAAACAGCACACTTCCTATGAAGTTAATCAAGCAATTTCATTTACATAAATTACTTCAAGTTTTTTTGGGATAAATGTATTATGTGTAGAAAGTATTCCATAATTGAGTATATTTTCCTTGAAACTACACGAGTGAAAGAGGCCTAAAAGGTAGGTAGCAGGTGAGAAAAAAGGATCATAAATAAATGTTAATTGGTTTCAAAGAATGACTCTTTGACCAAGATGGAAAGCAAACTACAGGGTATGGAAAGATGCCAGAATATAATAGGATAAAAATAAATCTGAATATAGAAAATAATTAAACGTATTTGGGCTTTAGCATGCAGTTATTAAATACAGGCCTGATTTTTACTCACATGAAGTTGTCATATGAGGAGTACTAGAACAGATATCTTATTTGACAATTTGGAAGTTTAATGCCCCAATACTTAACACTCTGTTGGACTGTTATATATATATATTTATATAGACTGTTACATATATACATAATTTTTTAAGAGATGGGATCCCATTCTGTTGCCCAGGGGAGTGCAATGGTGTGCCCACAGCTCAATACAATCTAGAACTTCTAGGCTCAAGCAATCCTCCCACCTCAGCCTCAAGTACAGGCACATACCACCCTGCCCGGCTAATTTAAAACAAATTTTTTTAGAGATGGGTCTTGCCATATTGCCCAGGCTGGTCTCAAGCCTCAGCCTCAGACTTCTGAATAGGTGGGATTACAGACGTGAGCCTCAGTGCCCAGCCCCTATCACATACTTTTCTAAATAAGTAAAAACTATTTTTCCACAGATAATGTCACAATGAACATACTACACATTTGACAGCACTGGTATCCAAAACCTATGACACTGTGCTCTTTCCTGCAGCTTTTAGCTTTTATCATTCTACTGTATCAACTCATAAGCCAAAGGCAAGTAGAAAGAAATTCCATAAAAGCAGAGCTCATATTCATGTCAGTCCTATACACTGGGGTAGAGGCAGTGCCTAACACTGTTGAAAGAGTAAAGTGAGTGAAGGTGATGCATACAAATGTAGAATCAACACTAGAAAATTTAATAATGTAACAGGAGTGGAAAATAATACAGATAACACACAAATAATAAGCATCTTCTACCTGGATCAGGAGGAGCCTGCTGCTGCCAGTGTGGATATGCATTTCCCCATCCCTGGGGAGCATATGGGGCTGGAGGACCACTGAAAAGAAAAATCAGCATAAAAAACAGTCCCAAAACTAGAATCTTTGGGGAAAGCCCAGAACTAAACCCAATACTTACTGAGGAGCCGGGCCTGGTGGTCCAGGATTATAAGGTGCAGGGTTGTATGGTCCCATTGGAGTTCCAGGCCCTGGAGGCCCAGGAGGTCCATGGGGGCCTGGGACACCATGGGGCCCATGGGGTACAGGTGGCCCTAAAGGATTTACTGGGCCCTACAAAAAAAAGGATGACATAGAAAAATCAGAAAAACACAGTAATGGTTAAACAACTCTACGGCCAAATAATCATCCATTTCTACCCTCTTATAGTCACAAATAACAAATTTTAGGTTTTCCTTCCTTTCCTCATTCATTTTGCAAAAACTATTTCATCTGCCATAATAATGAGACATGTAAAATTCACTAAAATCAATAGCAGTAGCAATTAAATGCAATTTAAATTAAATTAAATTTAAATTAGCAATTAAATTTCCTTTAGCTTGTTTGCGGACAGCAGTAGTTCCCTTTCCTTTTATCATTCTTACTTTTACTATCTTTTTCCATCTTACTCACAGAAATCAGGTCCTTATCTTCAGCTCTTCTCTCTATATCTACTTGCCTAACATGAGACAACCGTCTTGACAATATATTCCCAAACCGCTTGGGTCCTGTATCATCGTCTTCTGAACATTTCACTGATAACGTTAATAGCTAGTTGTTTCACTATGAAACTAAAATCCACCTCACAACCTATTTCTGTCACTAAAATCCCATTCAGATCAATAATTTATATCCTTTTTGGCCTTTCATGTATCATGATGTTTAATAGCACAAAAATTCCCTTTTTAATTCCTTCAATAAATCAGGATATTTTATATCCTTATCATGCATGCATGCCACATCATTAATAACGCTTAACTGATTTCTGTTTGGTTAAGCCAACAAAGACATTACACTTAACTGTCCTAAAATGCTCCTTCTGAGTAGTTAACACAACCAGGCGACATGTTGGACAAAATGCTAACACTACATTTTGTTGTAAATTTCTCACTGCAAAATAGGGAAACTAAACTTCATGACCTTTAAAGTTCTTTTTATTAACTTGTCTCTTTAAATCTCCAATTGCTGTCATCTCTCACTTACTATCCATGACCTATTCTTTCCAAGTAGTAAAAATAATACTGAAAAAGTAGCAACATTTTTTAGGGTTATGTGGCAGGCATTCTTTTAAGTGACACACACATGAACATTCATTTAATCCCTACAACTCTATGAAGTAGATACCATTATCTTCATTTTACAGGAGGAAACCAAGGCACAGAAAAGCCTGAGTAACTTCTCCAAGGTCACAGAACCAGTAAATGATTCACAGAATTCTGAACTGAGGCAACCCGACTACAGAGTCCATGCTCTTAATCACCACACCAAATTGCTTCTCCAAAACAATCTATCTTGTTTTTCCATGAATCCAACAGAAATCCTGACGCATGCATGTTAGGCTAATACTGTAAAATAAAAAACCAAGATGAGTGCTATTCATTTTTTTGCCATGGCATCAACCTCTATCATTACTCTACAAACATCCTCTTCATTTTTTGAACCATTAAACTATCCATACAACAGAACTCACAATGTTTGTGTACATTTTGTAAGACGTTCCTTAAGCGTCTTTTGTACATCTATTTTTGTCTTCCCAAGTTGACAGAAACAGTGTCAACCTTGTTTTGCACGCACCCCATTCACAGCATGGCAAACACCAAAAATAATTTTTCCTAGGCAATTCTAATAATTTAAGATGCCCCCTGCACACTTTGTGTTAAAAACTCCAGTAAGACACTGTCTGCCTCACTTACAAAAAAGCAGTCAAAGCGTTTCATACTTTTTTGTTCTAACAGAAAACTTTCCTGGAGGAAAAATTTCCAAATTTGTCTGTGCACCAGAATCACCCAAACATCTATGTAAAATTAGATGCTGGGCCCTATCCCAGACATTTTGAGTCAGGTCTGTCTCTGTATATTATGTGTAGGAGTGGGAAGCACCCAAATAGTCTACATTTTAATACCCCCAGATGATCTGTGAGCCAGTCCAAAACCTAGGATTTATGAATTTCTACTGTAGAGTGGCAGATGTATCTGATTTATCTTGTTTGCCTCGCTGGGGTTCAGTAGAGTAAAATCTTAATAAATAATGAATTCCCGTTAACTATGTCCTTCAAGTATGTTCCACAATCCTACACCAACACTAATATCATGCCTACAGGTAACACTACCCTCCTCTTATCTAGCCACACCCAAATGTAAGGTTGTTCTCAAAACCTGTAACTACACATTTAATTAGGTTATTTTCATTGCTGGAAAATCTTCACGTTGTATCTATTATACATATCATGAAATCTATAAATGCTGACTAGTAATGATACATTTTCCTTTGATGTATTTGAATAAACGTCTTAATTTAACTACAGTCTAAGGGTCTACACTAAAAATTAAAAGTTTAAAGTATACTCACACCAATCTTTTCTTCTATGAGTTGCCGAGCATAGTCTATCTGTTGTGGAGTGCCACGAATTGTAAATAACTTCATATTAGGATCTGCATTTGGTGGAGGATTTCTCTGAAGTTCTATTCTTGCACCAGACTGCTGGCTTATGCTTTTTATGGTTTCACCTCCTAAAATCAAAAGACAGTAATTTCTCTAAAGGTTTCAAGGGTGTACTAGGAGCTATTTAGAAGAAAATGGTCACAATTAAATGGGCCATTAAAAATATGGTTTGGTCAGTATCCTAATTGACAATATTGTATTAAGATTTTTCATTTAATATTCTACACTGAAAATCAAATTTTAGGAAGCATTTCATGCTTCTCTTAAAATACATTTACATTTACTTAGTATGTTTAAACATAAACTTAATGTGATTATAATAAAATATTTGAATTAACTGCTTTTAAAAGCAGTGTAAATATAAACTAATACACTTATAAACATTCAAATTTTTAAAATATGAGTCGGGAAAAACCAAAATGCACAAACAAAAACACTCAAACCACTTTTTGGGTCAAAAGACATTTCTTATGCTAATAATTATCTCTTAGTTCGCTTTCTCTAGAAGCTAGTAAGATTAAAATCCTGCTCTTTCTCTAAATATACATGAGATCCCTCATTTATGTTTTACTTGTTACATATTAACATAAGAATTCTTTTCTACTAAAATACGGTCAGAGAAAAAGCATTGCCACTTGTTTACGACAGCAACAGAAAGTGTCCAGAAAAATGAATAATGTGTTAAAACATTAAGAGTTTAAAATACATTGCCTTTTCCTATTATTAATCCAGTTTTCCCAGTTGGCACAATAAAATTAAATTCCTGTAGTCCACCAGGTGGTCCCATGTTCCAGTTGCCTTGACCTCTACCTCTTCCTCGACCACCAGGTCCAGGTCCACCAGGATTACCAGCCTATAGAGAGGGAAAGACAAGAACGAAGAGTCAGCACAGAAATACTTTTGTTTCATGATAAAATTATTAAGTTTATTTTTCCCAGCTCTCATATACCTGAATCAGAAATGTAGAGATGAACTGGCCCTAATAAGTAATAACATTTTTTAAAATACAAGAGTAAATAAGGTAGCACTTAAGGTAGTAGTTCTTCCTGCTCCAAGATCTTTACCTTAAAGCAATTTAAACTTTCTCCATTAATAAAGCATCATCAAGCAGACTCTGATATAGAGGTAACTTCAGATTTCATGAAGGAAAATACTTTTCCATAAAAACAAAAAATGAAAATGTTAACTTTCTATCAAACCTGAACACTTCGAAGAAGGTCTGTAATAATTTCTGCAGCATGTTGACATCGGTCTGGAGGTCCTGTTATTTGTGCTATCCTTTCGGGTGTTGTCCCATCATCTTCAAAACAAAGAAACAAAATTAATTAAACAATAAATGTATGTCAAAACTCACTGCTGCCAACACTTACAAGATTATTATATGTACTCACCTGGCTTAAACTGAATGCGAACACCAGCATCATTTTGTATTTTTTTGATCATCTCTCCATTTCTTCCTATTACAATGCCAACAGCAAATCTTGGAATGGGGACCTTATGTAAAAAAGACTAAGTATTAAGAAAGCTAGCTTCTCAGGGTTTAAAGTAAAAAAAAGTATTTTAAAAAAGCGCCATTTCCTGAAAATCTGCCTCAAATCATAAAAGTACATATAATTCTATATTTATAGTAAATAGGGTAACAAGATATATAGAATTCTGTATTCTAAAGTATAAAGGTGAAATAAAAGGATAACAATGTTAGAGCTACTTAACACAAAACAGAAAACACTATTATATTTATGAATTAGCATACAACCATTTCTGAATGGGTATTTTTACTTACATCTATCCCTTCATTTCCTCCTATTCTTGACCCATACTCATTCCGAACTTCTCTGAAACCGCCTTGATCACGAATTAACTCTAACACCATTTCCTTGGCTTGCTAAAGCAGAAAAAGTTAGCTAATTTAGAAAGCATGTCTCAAAACATTTTAATTATTCATGCATATTTTGCCCAACCCCATTCAACCCACTCTTTCTTTATAAAGTATAAAGTTAAGTTTACTTGAACTTTATATGGGTCTCCTGTAATCCTAAGAGGTTTGTCAGCACCAGTGTTCTGCGGCCCGTCTTGAATCATAACCATTTTAACTCCAGCCCGTTCCTGTTACAATCATAGAAATAATATATATTAACAAAAGGAAGTGGACAAAAATGGGCATCAAAACAGATCAAAAGTAGCCATTTCACAAAAATAACAATACCTGAAGCTGTTTAATAGTTTCTCCCCCTTTTCCAATGACTAATCCTGCCTTGCTAGCTGGAATCATGATTTCTTGAACTGCATTTCCCGGTCCATCGCCATGATGGAAGCCAGGAGCTGGTCTTCCTTTTTCAACAATCTGGTCCAGTAACCGTTTTGCTGACCTGTTAACAAATTAATATTTAAATAGTAAGCTGTAGCATACCCAAGCTTATTCAAATAGAGAAATATAAAACAATATAACCAAGTACTCCTCCTATCCCAGTTCAGGATTAGGTGCCTTGATGCTAACTTTAACAATGCTTTTACTTTTAACTGAAAGAAAATGCCATCAAGGGTCAAAGATTGAGAGATTATGCAAAAAAATTTTCTAGATATACAATTTTTATTTTTAAGAATAGTCCAAAATTTCCAAGAAAGAACTCTAATGCTAAAGTTATCTCAGAATTAAACTGATTCTTCCAAGAACTAAATGATTTATTTACATTTTTAAACTACCATTTTGCTTACTCATATGCTACAATTATTCATTCAACAAATATTTAAATATCAACTATGTGCAGGTGCTATTCTAGGTAATGGGGTAATAGCACTCAAAGAAACAGGGTTCCTGCTAGAGTGGCTTCATTTCATTAAATAAGTAAAAATAACATGTCAAATGAATAACACATTATTTGGAAAGTGCCATAAAGAAAATCAGGCTGGGGGAAGTGGCTCACGCCTGTAATCCCAGGACTTTGGGAGGCCGAGGTGGGTGGATCACGAGGTCAAGAGATTGAGACCATCCCGGCCAACATGGTGAAACCCTGTCTCTACTAAAAAAATACAAAAATTAGCTGGGTGTGGTGGCATGCACCGGTAGTCCCAGCTACTCGGGAGGCGGAGGTTGCAGTGAGCCGAGATCGTGCCCCTGCACTCCAGCCTGGCAACAGAGCGAGACTTCGTCTCAAAAAAAAGAAAAGAAAAAACCTAGTAATGAGGGAGAACTAACAATGCAGAAGAAAGTACAACTGCAAGCTGAACCTTCAGTAGGAAGAAAGGGCTGGCTTTAGGCACTCGAACACAAAAGGAAAGCAATTACCTGAGTACTATGTGAACAGAGGAAAAATGAAGGCTGGTAGGTTTAGTGGTAGGGAAAAAGAAAAGCTTCTTATCATTTGCTTCCATTTTCTCAGTAAATAAGCTTAAGTGGGAGAGCGTGGGGTTAGATGCTGAAGATTTGGAGGTGGGGAAATACAGTATTAAAGAGCCTGGGAGAGGAGTGGAAAAGTGAATGGAACTAGGGAAATGCAGGCAACACAACAGTCCACTTGAGCTTAATGTCTGAGTTTTAAGTGTCACCAGTCGACCTGACTGTGCATTCTTCTCCAGGCTACACGTGGCTTTACAAGTAGAGACTGGAGTAGATATGGAGTTGTTTTAACCATTTTCTGTGTTTAATGATTCAGATGATGAACCCCACCTGAGAAAGGCATGAGGCATAAACTTCAAAGGAGTTGGAGGACTTTGAGGGAAGGTGGCAGCGAAACCACAGTGTAAAATAAAGCAGTAACAAAGAGAAGAGACAAAATTCAAAGAGTTCTGCTGTTGTTACTTAAGTAGATTTTTAAGATTTTTCAAACTTACTGGACAGATTCAGGTGTTCCAGTTAACATACAGGACCTTTCTGGAAGGCCACCACTGTCTACAATTTAAAACAAACAGATAACTTCAGGTCAAAAGATTAAAAGTAGCATTATTGTTACTAGAAGGCTTAAAAAAAAAAAAAAGCTAGTTTTCTAGTCACACTGAAAATACCATGAGAATGTAACATTACCAGGAGCTATCTGTATTTTGCATCCAGATTCCTGTTGTATGCGTGAGATCTGTTCACCTCCTCTGCCAATTACTAGTTAGAAAAAAAAAAATTTTTTTTTTGGTTGAAAGATTCTAAAGTATGTTTTGATCATGTTTTCAAAACTTTAAAAATCAAGTTACTTACTGAATCCAACCATTCCATCTGGAACTTTGTATTCTTCTGTCATTACAGATCTGCTAAGAAATAACAGAAAGCACCATTTTCCTTCAATGAAAGATACTTTGTTTACAAATAAAAGATAATCTATTAATAAAAATGGAAGTCTAATGTCTCCCAATGGCTTAAACTAAGGTTCTAGGCTCAGACTCATGTCAAAAAATATGATCTTATTACTTGAGTAGTTAAATTAAGAAATTTAAGATGACACATCAAGTGAAGAAGGGATGATGAATGGAACAGTCTGAAGGCATTAACTGTAAAGAAGTTGAAGTGGAGTTTAGAGAATGTCATCTTAACAGTTACTCTAATTCACCCCTGTTCTTCTAAAATGTGGTTAATTCCACCTATCTCTCCAAATCACAAATTTTTCTCACTCAAAAGAAAAATCATCACTTTATGGTACCTTCCCAAGGGGAGTGATATGAACTAGGTACACCAAAAAATACACAGACACATATTCAATATACACCAATGTGGTTGTGTTTTTACATACAGCTCAACCAAAACTTGCAGAGTACTTTTTGAAAATCTTGTGACTATACCTTTGCTGCTGATGCATCGGTGGTAACTGTGTTCCAAAAGCTATCAAAAAATTAAATAAAAATAAAACAAAAATTCAAAATTTAAATTTACTTATATATTTAACAACACAATCACATCAAACATTCAAAAATCTCTCCCTAATGCACAGACAACACCTTGAAGAGAGTCAAATTTTTTACACAATATTTATATTGGCATTGACAGGGGCAAGAGAGCCAATGAAAGGGAAGACATTATATTAGCAATGGCACAGAACAAAATAATTTCCTTTTTCAAGTTGTACAAGTATAGATCAAGAATTGGAGTTGTTAAATATGTAAAATAATTCAGCAACCAATCTTTACATATACCCGGCCACAATTAATGGGACAGATTGTAAAATAGGAGAAAAAGGTATATATTTACAAAGAAATTCAGGCTAGCTGATCCAAAATACTCATAAACCAACTAACTTCAAAGATACCCAATAATATGAACAAAATCTTAACATTGAAATTGTTACTTTAGCTTTTGACCCAGTTTAAAAGGAATACTTACAGTCATTTTGAGGAGCAACTTTCTTAGCATCTGGTTGATCTGCAAAATTAAGTGTCTTTTAATTTTTTGCCAATTAAGTACAAAGCTTCTCCCCTCCCAAACAAGAATAAATAACAATATAAACATTTATTGAAATATCTGAAGGTATGGTTTATCATTTGAACCAAAACTGCCAAAATTCAACCCCAACTCAGTAATCTAAAAAAGAAACGATACTTCATTCTCTTCACGTTCAAAAGATGCACAGACATTAAAATAGTTATCTGATTCTTAAGAAATCACTGACCTTAATGTATGTTAAGCACATTAGAATGACACAAGACAACGTACTTTAGGTCCATTACTAGCAAAATATCACATGCTAAAGGCTAATGATGCTTCCACCTCAGGAACTGAAGACTGGGGGGAGAAAAGCCTATCAAACTACAAAAATCTGACATATTAAAGTGTATCTGACAGTGACCACAAAGCTATGCCCAAAAAAAAAAAAACAAAAAAACCCCCCACAACATTACAAGGCAATCTCAACCTAAACTGTTCTATTATTTATAAACAAACATTTCACTGCATAAAACTTTAGCAAAAAAATAAAATCTCAAAGCAACTACATGACTACCTTCACCTAAATCCATTACACAGATGAATACAATGCATACCTTGGAACAGACAACCTATAGCTCAAAGTACTACATTCTCCTCCCCCCTTCAAACTTAAATGATTAAACATCAGAATGTTGTGCAGCAAAAATAAAATATGCGCAGACACATAATCCAAGAAATATTTGTGTCCATTTAAGAATCCACTGGTTTATTTCACGTTTACATACTGAACACAGGTAATAAATAAAAATTCCTGCCTTTAAAAGGAGAGGGCATTCCCTCCCAGTGTGTTGTACTGCTCGGACTTGTCCAAGAGCCATCTACACATAAAATAAAAAGAATACATTACATACAACATCTGAAGCATCATTAGCTCATTTTTTTTCTACATTAAAAACCTCACTATAAATATGAAAGACACTTAAATAAAAGGAAACCAAGTTCTCCTGGTCAAAAGCTACAAATACATTCTATAGCCTCAGTGAGAATCCTCCCTTTAAAAAAAAGGGTAAAAAGAAAATGTATCAAAACTCATATATCAAACCTAAAACAAAAAATACATGCAGACTTCTAAGTTCAGAAGCTTCAACGATTACGATTTTTAAAAATACATAGCACTGTAAATCCACTGTTTTAATCCACAGGTTTAAAGCTAAACGTGAAACACAAAAGTACTGAAAGTAAAGAACATTAAAAAAAAAATGGTATAACCTGCAACACACTAGAGTAGCAAACTATAGGAATTTCAACCTTTAAGGTGCAATTGGAAATAGAAAAATGACGAAAATACAGCATATTAAAATCCATTCACGTATGAGTAAAACCAGTGAAGTGTCTTCTAAGCAATTTATATGTTTTTTAATATTATTAACAAGACGTCTGTGCAAACTTTCAATCTGGCACAATCCTAAAAGAGGGAAAATAAATTGTTTTCTATTAAGACAAAACTTCCTTTTTTAAAAAATTTTTTAAAAAATTTCTTTCAAATTTTACTTACCTTGTCTAGTTTTCTTTCCCCCCTTTTAGGCCAATATACAGCTTACAATTTTAACAACCTTATAATAAAAGTTAATATCTCAATAAAATAACAGAAAAATACCGAGAATCACTTCAACTAAACACTCTGAAAAACAATTTAAAATACTTAGAGTATAACTTACCTCCATCTTCTAAAGGTCTTTTTTGTCCCCCATAACCATAGTCATTTGAATTCAGTGATGTCCCTGCATCACCTCCAATTTTTGCTGCAATCTAAAAAAAAAAAAGAAAAATACCATCATAAACTATTATATACTATTCATTACTAAATTACCCCCATTTACTTCCTGATACATGTATATGTGAAATATTTAGTATCACATAAGAAAATTTACTTGAAAAATTAAAATTATAGTTCAATTTATTGCTACCATTAATACTTCAGGCAGTTAACATAATAATCATAAGATTATTAAACTTCTGATACATCCCTATAAGAAGCAACAAAGAAGTAATCAACTAGGAATCCGGAAGAGAGACCAGATTTAAAGAAAATCTGGATCCTATCTGGCTCTGTCATGACACTTCAAAAGATGTGTGTAAACACATAGAATGTGAACACTTTGTGGGACTCAAAGGCTATGCTATCTAGTAAGGTAGCCACTAGCCATATGTGGTTATTGAGTACTCAAAATGTGACTAGTCTGAAATGATACTTGCTCTAAGTGTAAAATTACTCACTGAATATTGAAAACCTGGAATATAAATCATCTTAAATTTTTATATTAAGCACATGCAAAGGGGGTAATATTTTGGATATGCTGGGTTAAACAAAACATGTGGCTCACATTGTACTTCTATTGGACAATGTTGTTCTAAGGATATATGTAGGAGTCCAGGGAGCTCGAGTCTTAAAAAAACCTCAGCTGCAAAACCATAATTCTTAGAAGATTTTTAAATTTTAGAGTAGGGCAAATAATTTATTGCACCTGACTGAACCAATTTAAGAAATACCCAGCTTTGCTGTCATGGTGGCTCATGCCTGTAATCTTAGCACTTTGGGAGGTGGAGGTGGGTAGATTGCTTGAGCTCAGGAGTTCGAGAGCAGCCTGGGCAACATGATGAAACTCCATCTCTACTAAATACAAAAATTAGCCAGGTGTGGTGGTGCACGCCCATAGTCCCAGCTACTCGGGAGGCTGAGGCACGAGAATCACTTGAACCCAGGAGGTGGAGGTTGCAGTGCACCAATATCATGCCCCTCTTGGATGACAGAGCAAGACTGTTACAAACAAAACAAAACAAAAAAAATAAAAAACAAAAAAAAAAACCTGGCTTCAAGTCACAAGTAGGGCACAATCAGCAGATACTTACTGAATTTTTCTATAAAAGGACAACCGAAGTAGTTCCCATTTCCATGGGGAATCATGGAGTGGTTCTGCCACATTGCTGAGTGGTCAGCAATAGGCCAAGCTCCACACTGCAATGCTGTACATTCATTATTGATGTGTGATGGGCTCATGAGAATTTATTATATAATTCTTTCAATTTTGAGTATATTTGAAATCTTCCATGAAAAAATATTAAAGAAAACCTAACTTTTGGTGACTGGGATTCCCCAAAGAGATCCCCATATGGATAACTGCTTCAAGTTTTTATTATCATCAGACAACTGGAGAGGGTAAAATTATAGTTAAGTGCTGAAGTCATAAATTCAACATGGATCACTTAAGTCTATGTATCAGTTCCCATATACTAACTTCATCAGACAACTGGAGAGGTTAAGATTATAGTTAAGTGCTTAAGTCATAAATTCAACATGGATCACTTAAGTCTAATTACATATCAGTTCCCATATACCAACTGTATTTCCTAGGACTCATAGATTTCCCTTTTCCTCATCTAAAAATGCAAACACCTACCACAAAGATTATTAGGATCAAGTACTAGATTGCTTGATAAAAAAAAAAAAAGGTACACTCTCAGCCGGACACAGTGGCTCATGCCTGTAATCCCAGCATTTTGGGAGGCCAAGGCGGGCAGATCACTGAGGTCAGGAGTTCGAGACCAGCCTGACCAACATGGAGAAACCCAGTCTCTACTAAAAATACAAAGAAATTAGCTGAGCGTGGTGGCGCATGTCACCCAGCTACTCGGGAGGCTCAGGTGGGAGAACTGCTTGAACCCAGGAAGTGGAGGTTACGGTGAGCCAAGATCACGCCACTGCACTCCAGCCTGGGCAACGGCATGAGACTCTGTCTCAAAAAAAAAAAAAAAAAAAAGGTAAATTCTCGCTTTGGTCAATCTAACCTTCTTTAACCATCTTTCACTTTACCAATTACAAACCTGTTTTTGTTTCTGGGTGTCTAATTTAAATCTTATTTTCCTAATAATGCCTGAAAACACTGCTTTTCCACCCTTAGGTCTTAAAGCACTTAGCATTTGAATTGTTCCTCAGGAAAGTAAATACACTGCTGGGTATCGACAGGCACTAATAGTAGAAGGAAAGTATTTCAGGCCAGAGAAAATGGTGCTACCAAGAATAGGAAACGGTTTAGCCTATGAATACCTTCTGCAGTTAGCTTTTATAAATACTCTATGAGTTTGCAAAGCAGCACTCCTTGAACTCCAAGACACTTCTATACAGAGAAAAGACACTTATTTATACAACTTTACCCACTGAATAGTTCAAAAACTAACCAAATGAAAATGAAAGCTGAGGCCAGGCGTGGTGGCTCATGCCTGTAATCCCAGCACTTTGGGAGGCCGAGGCAGGGCGGGGGGGATCATGAGTTCAGGAGTTCAAGACCAGCCTGACTGACATGGTGAAACACCACCTCTACTAAAAATACAAAAAAAAAAAAAAAAAATTAGCCAGGCACAGTGGTGCGCACCTGTAATTCCAGCTACTCGGGAGGCTCAGGCAGGAGAATCACTTGAACCCGGGAGGCAGAGGTCGCAGTGAGCCAAGATCGCACCACTGCACTCCAGTCTGGGTGACAGAGCGAGACTCTGTCTCAAAAAAGAAAAAAAGAAAAGAAAAGAAAAGAAAAGAAAAAATGAAAGTTGACAGTTCACACTAAAGAAACAGTAACAGCATTTCAAAAACTGAGAACTGTTACAAAGACATTAGAGAAAAGTGTTTAATAAAAATACCAATAAAGAAGCCAGGCTCAGTGGCACCTGCAGCCCCAGCTACTTCAGAAGCTGAGATGGGAGAACTGGCTGAGGCCAGGAGTTCAACGCTAATACAGCAAGACTCCATCTCTTAAAAAAAAAAAAAAAACTGAAAAAACAAAATGAACTGTAGATTTGATAATTTTCTAAGATCTATAGAAAATACACAATTCCTAGGTGACTACAAGGATAGTTAATTTAAGAAAAATAGTAATTCCTAAAAACCAACCTCCAACTATATTCAACTCCTTTTTCAGAGTACTTGAACTCAACATATTCAATTTTTATTAGACATTTATGAGGTGTGGGAAACTTTTTACTTTATTTAATTATTATTATTATTTGAGATGGAGTCTCAAGATGTTACCCAGACTAGAGTGCAGTGGCGTGATCTGGGCTCACTGCAATGTCCGCCCCCCAAGTTCAAGCGATTCTCCTGCCTCAGCCTCTCGAGTAGCTGGGATTACAGGCGCCCGCCACCATGCTCAGCTAATTTTTGTATTTTTAGTATAGACAGGGTTTCACCTTGTTGGCCAGGCTGGTCTTGAACTCCTGACCGCAAGTGATCCACCCGCCTCAGCCTCCCAAAGTGCTGGGATTACAGGCGTAAGCCACCATGCCTGGCTACTTTATTTAATTTTAGTTTTACAAAAATAATTCAAGCTTTCCATCTGGACCATTATCTACTTCTTGAATGAGTAAGTTATTTTTCCTGTTTTCACTACTTTAACATTTCTCACCTCTATTGAGGAAGCCAAGAGGTGAGAAATCCAAGAATTTGGGAGTTGAAAAGAAACTTAAAAGACACAGTAGTCTCTTTATCTTCAGTTTTTGCTCTTCACGGTTTCAGTTACCTATGATATAGTACAATCAGATATTCTGGGGTAGGGGAGGGTCCCCTCATTCATATAACTTATTATAGCATATTGGTTTAATTTTTTTTAAATTTGCCCTTCTTGTCCAGTAATACAGTGTATTGTTGTAATTGTTCTATTTTATTTTTTTAATTAAATTAAAATTTTGAGACAGGGTCAGGCTGTTGCCCAAGGATGTAGTGCAGTGGCACGATCATGGCTCACTTATGCAACTACATAAAGGACCCAACATTGTCAACATTCTAGACTTGACCTCCCAAGTTCAAGCAATCCTCCCACCTCAGCCTTCTGGATAGCTGGTACTACAGGCAAGCACCACCACGTCTGGCTAATTTTTTGGTTTTTTTTTTTTTTTTTTTGAGATGGAGTCTCGCTCTGTTGCCCAGGCTGGCATGCAGTGGCGCGATCTCGGTTCACTGCAAGCTCCACCTCCCGGGTTCACGCCATTCTCCTGCCTCAGTCTCCTGAGTAGCTGGGACTACAGGCGCCCACTACTCCCGGCTAATTTTTTGTATTTTTAGTAGAGACGGGGTTTCACCGTGTTAGCCAGGACGGTCTCAATCTCCTGACCTCGTGATCCACCCGCCTCAGCCTCCCAAAGTGCTGAGATTACAGGCGTGAGCCACCGCGCCCAGCCTATTTTTTGGTATTTTTTATAGAAACAGGGTTTCACCATGTTGCCTAGGGTGGTCTCAGACTCCTGGGCTCAAGCAATCTTCCTGACTTAGCTTCTCAAAACACTAGGATTACAGCCATGAGCCACCTTGGCTAGCTGATTTCTTTTCAAAGACAACGTCATAGTTAAAGTGTTAAGATTATAGGTGTGAACCACTATGCCCAGTCTTGCACTAATTTATTATTATCGTTAATACTGTGTCTGATTTAGAATTTAAACTTTATAGATACATATGTATAGGAAAAAATATTACCGTGTATATATTGGATTCAATACTATCTGTGGTTTCAGATATTCACTGAGGTTCTTGGAATGTATCCTCCGAGGTTAAGAACAGACTATTGTAGTTTACTTAATTAACTTCTGAGACTCAGAAAATCTCTAAAATCAGGTGGTATGATCAACTATAGTCCCTCAGTATCCCTGGGGGATTGGTTCCAGGAACCATGCAAATACCAAAATCCACAGATGCTCAAGTTCCTTATATAAAATGGTACAGTATCTGCATATAACCTACGCAAATCCTTCAGTATACTTAAAGCATCTCTAAATTACTTATAATACCTGATACAATGTACATAGTTGTTGTATTGTTTTTATTCATATTACTTGTATTGCTGGACTGTTCTTCCATTTTTCTAATATTTCTGATCCATGGTTGGCTGAATTTGCAGATGCAGAGCCCACAGATACAGAGGTCTGACTTGTACTGTAATTCATTAAAAATGTTTATTGATTTAATTCAGTAAATGTTGAGTACCTACTATAGGCAAGGTCCTGATGGAGTTAGTAGTTCCCATACACCAGACATGTGAAGAAACGTGGACACTAGAAATATTACCATACCATAACTTGCTTATCACAAGCCTTGCTAAACTGTCACAAAATGATTTAAAAAAAGAATCATGCTCAAATGTTAGTTTTCACTGAAGAGACTGATGGAAATAAAAAAAAAAACAGCTCTAGTCTATATTTTCATTTCATTCAAACAACATTATGCAGCCTAAATCACTTTTATAACTGTCAGAGAAGAGACTGCAAGAAGGATCGAATACATAATGACTAATTTCATAGTTGTCTAGAGGGGAAGGGATGAGGGTTAATAGTCTCGCTTAGCTAATCATCTAGTCTGATTCATTTCTACCTTCATATAACCTCGAGGAAAAAAACGGTAGATAAACACATTTTAATTTTCCAATGTTCTAGAGACAGAAGTTGCTATTAGTACCACTGCTAAAGACCCAATCAAACAATCCCAATCTCTGGAGTTACAGCTTGATATACACAAAAATAAATTTCTTAAGTGCACAGGCTGGAAACCCTGAACTAAAGCAGCAATCTGGTGTCCCTGTGTTGAATTTAGCTCAGGATATTATAAAAATCTAAAAATTTCACATAAAAGCCAGAAAAAAAAAAAGAAGATTGGCAACTAAATGACCAGATGTCAACAACCAGCTAGAGTTAACATTACTGGCATTACCAGGTACGGACCAGGAATCATAATTACTTGTCCTGCTTTTCTGAATAACAACTATCCAGCTAAAAATACCAATGGCATCCCCACTGGTACAGCCTTTGAAGCTCCTTGAGAGCAGGAAACTATGCCTATATCTCTTCCTTCCAAAAACAAAAACAGCATAGTATTCTAGACAAAGAAAATAAACTTAGGATTAGTTGAGGATTCTAGAAACTTAAGTCAATATTCTCTTAAATACACAAGGAGGAAGTAGTTCAGATATTAACCTAACTTTTGTCTAAGTACGCTTCTGTATATTCCACTTATATCATCAGAGTAACAGCTACAACTGACATTTAGAGATATCATCAAATGTAATGGGTAATTCCAGGCAAAAACTAAAGTTAGGGAGCTCAGATTTAAGATCATTTTTATAAAGAAATCATTACAGCAAAGACATCAGGACAACTGATCTATTAGCATTATACAACAATAAATTTCACAATTTGCCAACAATTTCTATATTTTAAGAAGTATAAAGAAATTATGGCTTAGCCTAATAATAAAATCCAATTTTTTTTTTTTTGAGACAGGGTCTCGCTCTATGACCAGGCTGGAGTGCAGCAGCGTGATCTCCACTCACTGCAACCTCCACTTCCCAGGTTGAAGCGGTTCTTGTGCCTCAGCCTCCCAAGTAGCTAGGACTACAGGCACAGGCCACCAAGCCCGGCTACTTTTTGTATTTTTTGTAAAGATGGGGTTTCACCATGTTGGCCAGGCTGGTCTTAAACTCCGACTTCAAGTGATCTGCCTGCCTCAGCCTCCCAAAGTGCTGGGACTACAGGCGTGAGCCACCGTACCCGGCCTGAAATCCAATTTTTAATTAAAGCATTGCAACACAAGGTCTTCCAGTATCTGGATCCGCTTGTACCTTTCCTTGCCTCGTTTCACGTCCTCCCACCCCCATCTTCTAGCGACTTCACTTCTGGGTCCTTGCCATTCCCTCAAGTCCCCACACCTCTGCGCATGCTGCTTCTTTTCTTCACTGGCCAAACTCTCTTTCATTTTATAATGTCTTGCTCATATATCACCTTTACTTAGGAAATTGGGCATCCCCTCCTAACAAACTCTATAAACACTTATAAAGCAAGTGGATGAATTAAATATCCATATTTTGTCTGCTCTCGTTAAAGTATTAATCAGATAATCCTGTTCATCTGCATTTGGTCAAGGAACTATATCATAGCTTCTTAGTAGGAAACAATTCATGCATTAAAACAAACAAACGAAAAAAAACAAGGCCGGGCGCAGCGGCTCACGCCTGTAATCCCAGCTTTGGGAGGCCAAGACGGGCGGATCACGAGGTCAGGAGTTCGAGACCAGCCTGGCCAGCATGGTGAAACCCTGTCTCTACTGAAAACAAACAAACAAACAAAAAAAACACAAAAAATTAGCCGGGCATGGTGGCGGGCGCCTGTAATCCCAGCTACTCGGGAGGCTGAGGCAGGAGAATTGCTTGAAGCCGGGAGGCAGAGGTTGCAGTGGGACGAGATCGCACCACTGCACTCCAGTCTGGGCGACAGAGGGAGACTCCGTCTCAAACAAAACAAAACAAAACTCCAGTATCTACCTACAGTGTGCGATACCAATTAATCCAATGTGCTGGTTCTGGTAAAATAAAATAGTTGGTTCCAGTAAATAAAATAGTTCCCTTAAGTTTTACAAATCAATCTAATAAAACACGCTAAGAGTGTTTGTCATAG
This sequence comes from Homo sapiens, assembly GCF_000001405.40. Lineage (NCBI taxonomy): Eukaryota > Metazoa > Chordata > Mammalia > Primates > Hominidae > Homo > Homo sapiens. Next base: position 77,977,690 of record NC_000001.11, read on the forward strand.
TTATATGCTTGTTGCTAAACATGTTCAGAATTTCTTAAATTACGTGGAAAAAACCGCAGAACTAATATTAATGATGACCTTTTGTTGACTACTCCTAGTATTTCTGGTTATAAAAAAGTACAGGTACATGTTTATAATGCGTTCACATTAGATGTGTTACAACGGATTTTATGAATTCTAATTTTGACTCAATGTTCCTTCAACTGTCCCGGTAAAAAGTTAACTAAGTGAACTCCTAATGCAACGAAAACACAGCACAACACTGGTTTCTAATTATCATTAGCTTAAAACTAGTAAAAAATGCCCAGCACCTAGTACAATATGCATAGTGTCACAGAGAATAGGATTCTTTTGCTTACATGCAAATCTATACCAACACCATACATTTTGAAATGTTAAATATATTAGGGGACTATCTAAGAATGTAAAGTTCAAATTAAGGTATCTTTTATTTTCCTGGAATACACGCACTATTTTAACAGCTTTCGTCTGGGAAAGTGGTGCCTTCAGGGCAAATGCACGCACTACGTAATACAAAGAGGTCTGGTCAGTTTACGACTCTGAACTGAGAGGCAGATTCAAATTGAAACCTCTGGTATAATGGGCCTGAGGCCATTTTGAGAAATAAGGGGGGCGGACTGGTGGAACAGACTGACACGTAAATCCCGCCCAGAAAAAGGCTGCTTTCAAGTCCCTTCCTTGTAGAGGTGTGACGGTGAATGGTACTGAAAGCGGTTTTAATTGCGAGAGAGAACGGAAATGAGCTGTAAAGGCTACTTTAATGATAAATCCCTTCCCTTGCTATGGCTCCAGGACAGACCCTAGTTCTTTCCCAAACTCATTACCAGAACCTTCCATTAAATTGTGTGAAACTAACTGCGCTTTATCCCCTGGAAGAGGATCTTTATCTAAACTAGCTCACTGGAGACACGCGAGTGCCGCAGAAGCGGGAGAAAGACTTCAGGCCTTCTTTGCGTAGCACGCGTCGGGGTTCTAAGTGGATTAGGCACCAAGAACACAAAACTGGGTTCTGGTCTCTAATCGTTATTACCAACATGGGGAAACGTGTCTCTTCACATTTCAGCCCGGAAGAACACCTCTTTCCTCTTCCTCATGCGCTTAAGGGTAGCGGCCTACTCAGTCAGCGGCCAATTACCGTGAGCTTTCGGGATTCCGCCGCGCGGTCCACACTTACCTGCCGGGCTCTCTGCAGTGCATCTTTGAAAGCGTCGTTAACTCCTCCACCACCACCGCCGCCACCACCGCCACCAGCTGAGCCAGAAGAGGGGGGAGGCACTGTTGAATAGTCTGCCATGGTTGCACTATAAGAGCCGCTGCCGCCTGTTCAGAGACTTCCTCTCAGCTAACAGCTAAGAAAGAAAGAAAATGGCGGCCGTCGAAGCTCTATTACATTCTTGCGCGACCATCGTGCCGTAAAGGGGCGGAGACTGAAGGAACAAAATCTCGCGATGTTTCCGAGGCAACGCGCTGGTGTGGGTTAGGGCTGAGAAAGAACGACAGGAACAGAGACGTCGCGAGGATTAAGTTTAAGACTTCGCGAGAACAGAATTTCTTTTGGCACCTCCTCTCCGCGCGTTCTTGGGGTGAGGCTGGGTAATTGTTCCTGCAGGGTGGTGGGTGATAGTGGCCAGTTGACTGCGACTGTGTTTGGGTGGTGGGAAGCCTGAAGAAAAGGTTGTTTCTTACCGGTCGCTGCCTCAGGGAGGTAGTGCGGTAGAATTTTCCGCTATGGGTCATTCTCGGTGTCCGCGGGGAAGGGCGTGACAACGACGGGCGTGACGGCGAAGCAACAGTGTCTCGAGAGCGCTGCCGCCCGGAGGGCGCCAGGAGAAGTGCGTCCGAGACGCCGCGCGGTGATGCTCCTGAAAACGTCTGCCCGGCGTAGCGGGAACCCAGCATGATTTTCAGGGTAGTAAAGTGTCCCTGTATTTTACTTACAGACTGTCCGATTTTTTAGTTTTATCACGAGGGTGGGTGTTGAATTCAGGCTGGAAGCCTGTTAGTTCTCGACCATATTTTAAGTTTTTTGTTTAAAATAATGTGGATGAGGCTCTAAAAGTATGACTGCCCTTTTCTTTATCCAAAAACGTGATTGTTCTTAAAGTTCAGTGTTAGCCAGATTTAATAACCTAGTATATGTATGTGTCCATGGCCATTTTTATTAAGGGTTTTTTTTTGTTTGTTTGTTTGTTTTGAGAGTCTCGCTCTGTTACCCAGGCTGGAGTGCAGTGGCGCGGTCTCGGCTCACTGCATCCTCCGCCTCCTGGGTTCAAGCGATTCTCCTGCCTCAGCCTCCCGAGTAGCTGGGACAACAGGCGCCTGCCACCACGTCTGGGCTAATTTTTTGCGTTTGTAGTAGAGACGGGGTTTCACCGTGTTAGCCAGGATGGTCTCGATCTCGTGACCTCGTGATCCACCCGCCTCGGCCTCCCAGAATGCTAGGATTATAGGCGCGAGGCACTGCGCCCGGCCTGTTAAGGTCTCTTAAGTTAAGAACAGCATTGTTTCTTGACCAAAATAGATTTTGTAGCTTCTTAGGCGTAGTTTCTCCCACCCCATCCTGTGGGTACTCAAATGTAAGATCATATTCTGAATTGTCATCACAGGACTAGGTATATATATATATATATGTGTGTGTGTGTGTGTGTGTGTGTGTGTGTGTGTAAATTGGTATTTTATGTTATGTACTTCAGTTACCAAGTAATGCCAGACATTTCTTCAGACCTTCTCCAACATATCGTGGCATGTAATTTACTGTGTTAATAGTAGTAAGCTCCAGGAATCGTGAGGATACTTTAGAAGTCTTACTCTTTATTATTGAGTATATCACAGTGACTTTTTTTTTCCAAAATTATTTGTTTAAATAACAAACAATGAGGTAAAATGAACTTTCTCGACTTTGTGGCATTTTGTCTTACTTGGTTAGGTCTAAAAAAATACTTTTTCAGCAGCTCTTAAGAGTAATTGTGAGAAATATATATATGCTGCATTCTTTCTGAAAACCTAAAAGTAATGTGTTCATTTGCTTAAGCACCAAAATAGCAGTTAATATGAATGTAGATACAGGTGAGCCATCATTTCCCTTTAATCAGCTTTTAAGGCAGTAGTATCCATTTATAGCTCTGATGATCTTTTTCAGTGTTCATGGCCATCCCTATAAATTTTGGTGGAATTTGCATTTGAAAAATCAGTGCACGTATGGGACTACAGATTTAATCATAATGTATAGAAAAACAGTAAAAGCAGTGTTGGGTGTGCGGCTAGGTAGAAATTTTCCAGTTGTATTTTGAAAATGTCTTGATTTTTTCATATTTTATTAATTAGGCAATACAATCAGATCTTTTGATCAATGTAATTTACCACAGTGCTATAATTTACCCTCAAAACAAATTTATGTATATCTCAATTTATTTTAGTTATCACTGAATATTGAAAATATGTAAGGACCTCAATTTTTTTTTTTTTTTTTTTTACATACTCGCTCTGTTGCCCAGGCTGGAGTGCAGTGGCACGATCTTGGCTCACTGAAACCTCAGCCTCCCAGGTTCAAGAGATTCTCCCACCTCAGCCTCTGGAGTAGCTGGGATCACAGGTGTGCACCACTATGCCTAATTTTTTTTTTTTTTGAGACGGACTCACCCTGTCACCCAGACTGGAGTGCAGTGGCATGATCTCGGCTCACTGTAACCTCTGCCTACTGGCTTCAAGCAGTTCTGCCTCAGCCTCCCGAGTAGCTGGGATGACAGGCACCCACCACTACGCCCAGCTGATTTTTGTATTTTTAGTAGAGACAGTGTTTCACCATGTTGGCCAGGCTGGTCTCGAACTCCTGACCTCATGATCCACCCTCTTTGGCCTCCCAAAGTGCTGGGATTACAGGCATGAGCCACCGCGCCCAGCCACAATAAAATTCTTGATAGCTTAATCTTTTGGAAAAATTAATGCTTGAGACAAAGGTTCTTTGTGAAAATATAAATAAACTGCTTTTTAGGATCTCTTCAGTGAAGCTGGGAGGAATATTTGGGGGGTTGCTAAGGTGTCATTCCAAACTTTTCAGTGTTCTTCAAATCTAATAAAAGAACAAACATCTTTAGTGTATTATACAAAAGGCCTCTTTGAATATTAATGGAGTATTTGTTTGGTCACTCCACACATTCATTGCCAGGATCTGTCCTTTGATTATGATCATGGGAGATATAACAGGGCATCATAGGATATATAGGAAATAGATTATTAATTTTTAGAGAAAAATTTGGAGCTCTCCACCTCTTCTTGTAAGACAACACTCCCAGCTTTCCATTACTTTAGGTAATAATGTTAGATTGAAAGTTTGGGACTCCTGAAAGCATCTGTCTTAAATAACTGGCCTTATCATCCGGTTCTTAAGTGAGTTTAGCTTATTCCATAGCATACATTACAATAATTTATAATAAAGCTGCTATATACAAATATGCACTAATATACTTGTAATTTCCTGTAAATTGATCCTATACTTGTTTCCTAGATGTTTCCAAACAGCTACCTACAAAACTTTGGTTTTACATGTTGCCTCAAAAACAAAATGTCTAAAATTCATATATTTACTGTTCTTATTCTCCCTTTTTTTGTGGTCAAAACATTTATTGTTTCTTTTCCTATTGGATCATATATTTAGATAATCAGTTCTTCTATTACATTTATCTTTTTCATTAACCTTTAGCTAAATAAATCCAGATTAAAAATAGTCTTTTCTCATGAAACTTAACCTGACTAACCAATTGCAGTGACCTTTTATTTATTCAGTGGTTACCCACATTGGCTACAGGGAGCTTTTAAAAAATATGAAAGGTAGGCTGGGCGAGGTGCCTCATGCCGAGGCGGGTGGATCACCTAAGGTCAGAAGTTCAAGACCAGCCTGGCCAACATAGTGAAACATCGGCTCTACTAAAAATACAAAAATTAGCTGGGCATGGTAGCGGACGCCTGTAATCCCAGCTACTCGGGAGGCTGAGGCAGGAGAATTGCCTGAACCCGGGACGGGGAGGTTGCAGTGAGCTGAGATCGCACCACTGTACTCCATCCTGGGTGACACAGCGAGATTCTGTCTCAAAAACGAAAGAAAGAAAGAAAGGTTAGCCCTAACTCCTACTCCCAGAAACTGATTTAATTGGACTATATGTGAATCCGTAAAAGCTTCCTGGGTTAATGTAGGGGTGGGTTGCCCCTCCACACCTGTGGGTGTTTCTCGTAAGGTGGAACGAGAGACTTAGGAAAGAAAAAGACACAAAGACAAAGTATGCTGAACCAGCGTTCAGCATATGGAGGATCCCGCCAGCCTCTGAGTTCCCTTAGTATTTATTGATCATTCGTGGGTGTTTCTCGAAGAGGGGGATGTGTCAGGGTCACAAGACAATTGTGGGGAGAGGGTCAGCAGACACGTGAACAAAGGTCTTTGCATCATAGACAAGGTAAAGGATTAAGTGCTGTGCATTTAGATATGCATACACATAAACATCTCAATGCTTTACAAAGCAGTATTGCTGCCCGCAGGTCCCACCTCCAGCCCTAAGGCGGTTTTTCCCTATCTCAGTAGATGGAACATACAATCGGGTTTTATACCGAGACATTCCATTGCCCAGGGATGGGCAGGAGACAGATGCCTTCCTCTTGTCTCAACTGCAAGAGGCATGCCTTCCTCTTATACTAATCCTCCTCAGCACAGACCCTTTACGGGTGTCGGGCTTGGGGGCGGTCAGGTCTTTCCCTTCCCACGAGGCCATATTTCAGACTATCACATGGGGAGAAACCTTGGACAATACCTGGCTTTCGTAGGCAGAGGTCCCTGCGGCCTTCCACAGTTTTTGTGTCCCTGGGTACTTGAGATTAGGGAGTGGTGATGACTCTTAAGGAGAGTGCTGCCTTCAAGCATCTGTTTAACAAAGCTCATCTTGCACCGCCCTTAATCCATTTAACTCTGAGTTGACACAGCACATGTTTCAGAGAGCACAGGGTTGGGGGTAAGGTTATAGATTAACAGAATCTCAAGGCAGAAGAATTTTTCTTAGTACAGAACAAAATGGAGTCTCCTATGTCTACTTCTTTCTACACAGACACAGTAACAATCTGATCTCTCTTGCTTTTCCCCACAGGTTAATCCTAAAGTGCAGACACACTTGAGAACCACTGAAATACACAAGTGTACAAGCTCTGGCCGACTTTTGCTTATTTTTAATGGCTTGCAGTTTGTTTCTAGTTATGGGTATATAGTCTTGAGATGAATTCAGGGTCTAGAAACAGCTTTTTTTAAACTGTTAAAATAATTAAATGGGAAGTGATTAGACTGGGGTACCTCCAGTGCCCTGTGTTCCTACATAAGCAAACTGAAACCTAATTCAATGTAAACTGTCTTAACCAATCAGAAACTGCCAATTAACCTTTAACTAGGGACTTTTCACTGGAATGGTCCAAATCAGGCTGTTGCTCCACTTTAATCAAATGTTTTCTTTGCCTTGTTTCTGCATTCATCCTGTGAAAATCCTCCTTATCCCTTCAGCCCTAAGTCATTGAACTACTTTCAATTGGGGTCTGTCCTATTCATGAATCAATTGAAAGTTTTTCTTTTAACTGGACTAACTCAAACTTTTTGTTAGCTAGACTAAGGCAGAGTTTCTTAACAAAAGGTCACCAGCATCATCAAGAGTGCTTTTTAGCCGTACGTGGACCTACTGAATCATGTTTTGGGGAATCTATATTTCTTTCTTTCTTTCTTTCTTTTTTTTTCCAGAAAGCATCATAGTTGATTCTACTCATCAAGATTTGAAAACTACCCTTTTACACAAAACATATTTAATATTTGAGGAATTAAAGTGAATTAAATTTTGTTTCCCTGGCTAGATTGTAGTAAATGTTATGAATACAGAAATTTTGTCTTCTCCCTTTTCCCCTCCTCTGTATAAAAGAGGGCTTGTCAAGGACCGCGTCTTATTCTTTGGTTTGCCCAGTATGCTTTTATGTTGGTAAAAGTTTAATAAATATCAAGTTGAATTCTTTATTCCACTTATCATTTTCCTACAAAGCTACATATGATTATGAATGTGGAGGGCCTTTGAGGCCAGATGGCACTGAAGGGTAGTTTCACACAAACTTTTCTTAGAATATCAGTCTTGGAAAGACCTTGAAGGTAATCTCGCCCATTTGTTTCATTTTATATTGGAGGAAACCATAACACAGATTGCTGAGTGCCTTCTACAAAGTGCCAAGATTAATTGCAGAGCCAAGACTAGATTTCTAATCCAGTGCTCTTTATTTTGTGAACTGTCTTCTATATGAAGCATCGGTGTTTGGGTTGGAGGTTTTCTGCTTCTTAGGTACAAGAGGAAGAAGAATCTGTACAGAACCAAAAACATCTTAATTTTTGTAATCAGGATGTCTACCTTTACTGACAACATTTACTGACAACATTTCCTTCTGAAAATAGGTTATTGAAAGATCAAGGATCTTTGCCAGTGAAATCCTTAACTGGAAGTGGGTGGGTACAAGATAGAAAACTCATTTGGTATAACAATTTTGTTGTTTTTTAGTGGAACCTTGCTTCTCTGTTCTGACATTTCCATGTCTCTATTTATAGTAGTGATCTCTTTGGAATTTGCCTTCTGATTCCATTTGTTCCTTTATGTTGCTTCATATTAACTGATATTCTCACTTCATTTAAAAAAAATTTGAAGGGACATGTACTTAAGAAAAAGGAATTAATTTTTTTATAAGAAATATCTGGAGGTACTATTTTTCTATGGTTTATCATAATCATTGTTTATGCCAGGTTATCTAATTGTAGCAATAATATAAATACTATTTTTTCAAGCAAGAATGTTAGTTTTAAAAAATTTATGTGCATATTAAGCTTTAGACACCTTTTATCCAGGACAGATATTACCTTTAGATTCTTAACAACCTTGCTCCTTAACTATGCACTTTGATATAAATGAAGATTGAGAGGTTTTAGTTAGAGCTTTTAAGTGGTAAACGGTCAAGGGCAGGAGCTATCTTATTTACCTTTGAGATGACAATAATGCCTGGCATCTAGTAGGTCCTAATTAATCTATTCATTTATTCAATTCAACAAAAATTCTGGGCATTGTTCTAAGTGCTAGAGATACAGTAGTAAACAAAATAGACATATATCTCACCGTCTTGTCTTGAGCATGCTAGTGAGTGAAGGTGGATTGAAACCATGGATCACTTTGCAGAGACTCCCTATTGTTTTCAGACAATTATTTGTATCAGTCTAACCAATAATATCCTGTAGCTAATTAAGCAATGGTTTGAAGAGTCAGAATGGGAGAAGCTGAATGATCAGATAGATCATTCATTCATTAAACATTTAATTTCCTAGTGTATGTTAAATTATTTGAAACAAGCTAGTGAATGTGAGTCATTGTCATCCCAATTGTCAGCCTGATTCTTGTGCTCTGTTTATATCTTGGGGTAAAGACTTCAAGCTTCTGGCCAGGTTACAGCCCGGGAACTTCATCTCAGATCACATACCACTGAATCCTAAGTGCATAAAATAATGTGTGCCATGTAGTAAATATTACTACATTAATCCTTAACTACTCGAAATGCAATTTCCTCACTACTTATGGCCACAGCCTGCATCTAGTCTTCATCCAGACAACTCAAACAATAAAAATCTTCAAGTCTGATATTCTCCTCAAGATGACCTCTTGTCAGTTTGTTTCCTAATGTACTTCTTCCGTTCCTCTAGTCTCTTGACACTTCTCTTTTCTTTCCATCTCTTACTTGCTGGCTTTCCTTCTTTGCCATTCACGTCAGTAATTCTCAACTCCCACTCCCCTTTGTCTTTTAGTTGTGTCCATTCTTTAAATCAACAACTCTTAATCAGTTCAAATTGACTTTGGAGTCGGATGAACTTCAAATCACCATTTGCTACTTCAGTGACCTTGCCAAATTCTTTAACCTTTTTTGAGTTTGTTTACTCCTTGTCACCCTAAGCATTGTTTTGAAAATTAAATGAGATTATTGTATCCAGATACTTTTGACCACAAGTAATGAAAACCCTTATTAAATGGCTTAAATAATAAAAAATCCAGGGGTAGAGTGGCTCTAAGGCTGGTTGATGAGCAGCTCAACAATTTATGAGGTACCCATGTTTTTTTCATCTTTGCCTTCTACCACCCTCAGCTTCTTGACTTTACTCCCCTAATGATTGCATAATGGTTGCCACAGTTCCAGGTGTCATGCAGTCATGATTGTTAAATGGAAGGGGAAAGTTTCTGCTACCAGTGTCCCTACCCTCCACCCCTGCCACAACTGCCAATCTTATTAACCTTGTCCTGACCAGAGTTGAGTCACAGGCTTACTCTATCAAGTGTCATACTGGCTTAGAATAATTAGGATTCATCTCAGGGGTGAGGGAGAGGCCCCACTTTCCTAGTAATAGTTATTCTTACTACTGCATTTGTGAGTGCTAGGACTCAATCCTTGTGCCCTTTTACCCTATCTATGATTCTAGTAATTTCCTCTAGTCTCATGGTTTCAAATATCACCTACACTCTTCCCAAATTTTTCTCTTTTAAGAGACAGGATCTCTGTCGCCCAAACTGAAGTGCAGTGGTGCAATCTTAGCTCACTGCAGCCTTGAGCTCTTGGGCTCAAGTGATCCCCCTGCCTCAGCCTCCTGAGTAGCTAGGACTACAGGCATGCATCAGCACACCTGGCTAATTTTTAAATTTTTTGTAGAGATGGGGGTCTCGCTATGTTGCCTAGGCTGGTCTCAAACTCCTGGCCTCAAGCAGTCCTTCTGCCTTGGCCTCCCAAAGTGCTGAGTTTGAGCCACTGTGCCTGGCCCCATGCATCTTTATTTTATATGTCCAATATTGAACTCCTCAGTTTCTCCCTTCTCCCCTCTCTATTTTAGTAAGTAGCAAGTCTGTTCTGTGTTTGCTGAAGTTGAAAAACCTTGGTGTCCTTATTGGTTTTTCCTCACATTCCCTGTTTGATTCACCAGGAAATCCTGTTGACTCTACCTTTAAGATATATCCAGAAGTTCACCACTTCTCATCACCTCCACTGCTACATCATGGTCCAAACCACCTGAATATATATGTATATTGCTACTTCAGTGACCTTGCCAAATTCTTTAACCTTTTTTGAGTTTGTTTAGTCTTTGGCACCCTAAGCCATATGTATATATGTATATATATTTTATATATGTACATATATATACATAAAGATTTTATATATATACATAATATATATGCATACATTATATATATACATAATATATATGCATACATTATATATATATGTGTGTGTGTGTATTTCCCCCCCCCCCCAGACAGTGTCTCACTTGGTCACTCAGGCTTGAGTGCAGTGTATAATCAGAGCTCACTGTAACCTCAAACTCCTGTGCTCAAGCAATCTTGCCTCGGCCTTCTGAGTAGCTAGGGTTACAGGCATGTGCCACCATATCTGGCTGACATTTTTTATCTTTTGTAGAGGCAGAGTATTGTTATATTGTCCAGGCTAGTCTGAAACTCGTGGCCTCAAGCTATCCTCCTGCCTCAGCATTCCAAAGTGCTGGGATTACAGGTCTGAGCCACTGTGCCCATCAGTTCTTATTGGTCTTCCACCCTTGCCCACCGTCTTTCCCACGCTGTTAAGAATCAAAGTGACCTATCATTCGCGTAAAACTCTCCAATGGCATTGTATCTTCCCTCAGAATGTAAGTCAAAGTCTTTAGTGGCCTACAAGCCTCTGTATTGCATCTGTTATTTCTCTGACCATCTTTCAACCCCTTCACCATCTCTATCATTCTGACTCAGCCACCTTGCGGTTCCTCAAAGATGCCTTGCATTCCCTCACTTCTAGGCTTTGGTGTTTGATATTTCCCTCTATCCAATAAGTTCTACCATATGGATGCATAGCTTTCCTCCTTTCCTTTCAGATTGTAGTGCTAATATCATTTTCTCTGAAATCATTTCTGGCTACCCTATCTAAATTTTGAATCTCCTTATTTACATTTTCTGCTTTATTTTTCTTAGCTTTTATCACCGTCTAACACAACTTACAGTATTTAAAAATTTTTATTGTATCTCCCCCTACTAGAATGTACAGAGAATGAGGCAGGGATTTTTGTTCATACTGTATCCCTAGCACCTAGAAAGGTGCCTTGGCATATGAAAGGTCCTTAATAAAAATTTGTGAGTAAATGAATGTTCATTCATTCTGGTTTCAGCTGGGTCCTTAGTGGGATTTAGTAATTGTTTGTTTCTGATCAGCTGCTTCCCTATTTTCCATAATTGACATACTGAACTACCACCATTCTTATCAAACACCCTACTTTACTCTGAATCCTTAGCAGTGGATGTCCCCCCACTCCTCTCTTTTTAAACAGAGTATTGATACTGTGTATGAACTTCTTGGTCTTCCTAGTCCTTTTACTTTCAAATTTATAAATTGTCGTCGTCTACTTCCTTTTGCTCTCAGAGCCCACCTCTAATTTTATTCACGTCTCATCTACTGGTACTCTTGGTATCAAATCGTATCAAATTTTATCTTCTTTGAGATGTCATTTAAGCAATTATTTCTTTTATTATATGTCTTACATGTTTTTAAATATCCTCCTCTATATTGTTTTCTTCTTCTCTGGACTATCTTAAAACCTCTTTTATCCTTTCCTTATTACAAGTCTATCTCCTTCAGACAACTTGTTAGAAATATTTAAATTTACCATTTCATTTTCATTTCCCTCTTAATGTTCAATTTACCACATTCTAGCTTTTATTGGTCACAATTCTATCTACCTCATAGAATTCTGAGAGACTAAATGAGGATACATGTGTTTTTAGGTTAATATTTTTTTGAGGGCTCACCAGGATTAACTATTACTACTGAAGCCAAAATCATTCTCACTCTTACAGATACTTTTCTATCATCTTTATTTACTTTTCTGTATCCCTCATGAAATAGCTTCTGTCTTTTGGTTTTTGGACACTAGTGGTGTCAGGATGCCTTCAGCTCCAAGTAAGAGAATCTCTTAAGTCCAATGATAGGTAGTTCCAAGATTGATTTAGAGATGCAACACTGTCAAGTTAGGCTCTTACTGTCTTTGTATTCTGCCGTTTTCACTGTGTCATAGACGTCTACCTTTAGGATTGTAAGAATTTCATTATTCAAAAACAGGATGCAGTGCTGGGGTTTCTCCTTGGTGGATATCTCCTTATAGGGAGGAAAATCCCCAGAACATCTCTCTTACATCTCATTGGCTAGAACCATGTCACATGTCTGCCCTTAAACAATCACTGGCAAAGGAAATACTACTGTGATTGATTTAAATCAACCCTGAGCCATCCCCAAGAGACTGGGGGATGCTCTCACCTTCCTTGAGTTCATTACTCTATTTCTGGGAGAAGATATCTGTTAGCTAGAAAGAAGATATGAATGGTTCTTTGGTATGTAACCAGCAGTGTCTGCCGTAGCATTCTCACCTGGTTGATCTCTGATGGTTCCTTCTGTCTTTTTTATTGTCTCCTGTTGATTGATGTGCCCCTTAAATGCTGGTCATCCCAAAGTTCTGTCTTTGATTCTTTCCAAAAATTGTTCCTCCTTCACACTATAAAATATCACTTGCATTAGGATCCTTTCTAAATATTTGTCTCCAACTAATATTTCTAAGCTCCAGTTCAGAATATCTCCTGGATGTCTTCATCCACGTTCAATTCAAATGAATATTGTTGTGTTGGTTTTTGGTGAGTCAAAAATTAAATAAAATTTACCTTATATTATCTTACATTTTAATGAGGTAGTTAGCCAGAGAAATAGATAACTAGGAATGCAGTCTTATGCAGCAAAACTTACCAACTATTGAAGTAGCATAGATGAAGGGGTTATTAATAAGGTTACAGGAATGTTCACAGTAGAACTTGTCTTTACACTTAAAAAGTACTCTTCTTATATTCTATACTTTCATTAGTAGCACAACTGTGCACACCTTTGTCAATCCAGAAATGGGCAGTCTGAAATCCTTCCTCTTCTCTACATCCAGCTGATGGGCAAATTATACAGATGCTATTTCTTACTACTTAATCCTACCTGTTGGTCTGGTTATATCATAGTCATCCTACTTTAGGTTCTTGTTATTTCTCATCTCTTTGTGATTCATTCATTCAGTAAAAGTTTATTGAACAGCAATATATTGTAAACGCCTTGTTCTAGAAATAAAACAGGACCCCGCTGGTTACAATCCAGTGGATGAGGCATAAACACACAGATGGTTATGTAAGGTGATGTGTAATACAGTGGAGATATGGGGGGAAGTGTAGGAGCTCAAGGTCCGGGGAATCTAACCCAAGTTTGGGCTTCACAGAAGCCCATCTACAGGGTGAGTCTCAAAGCAGAAGTAAGCTAGGTGAAGGGCTCCTGGAGTAGGGAAGAGGGAAATACACCTACACACATGCCCTATTTGCTTTATATATAACAAATATCCCTTCAAAGGTATTAACTTTGGTGCCTGTGTACTCATTAATGTTACCGTTGTTCAAAAACAATTTTTTAACTGATTATGGTTAATGCAGAAGATTCTCAGTAATGATATTATTATACAGTTGATTCTCATTATTTGTCAGTTCTGTATTTATGAATTTGCCTACTCACCGAAATGTATTTGTAACCCCAAAAGCAATACTTGAAATGCTTTCAAGGTCATTTTTAGACATACGCATGTTCAGAGTGGCAAAATATTTAAGAACTAGCTGAGCTTTGCACAGAGGCTCACATCTGTAATCCCACCACCTTGGGAGGCTGAGGCAGAAGGATTGCTTGAGGCCAGGAGTTCAAGACCAGCCTGGGCAACATAGTGCAACCCCTCCCACCATCTCTACACACACAAAAAATGAACTAGCTGAGGTTGAACAAGTCAGTGGTCTGCCCTCATGTTTCAGCTCTCATACTTTTAAACAAGTCTCCTTTTCATGGTCCATTTAGTGCCACATTTTTGTATTTTTGTGCTTTTTTTTTATTGGTGACTTTACTATTTAAAATGGCCTCTAAGCATAGTGCTAAAGTGCTGTCTAGTGTTGCTAAGCACAAGAAGGCTGTGATGTGCCTTACAGAGAAAATTCAGGTGTTAGGTAAGCTTCATTCAGGCATGAGTCATAGTTCTGTTGGCTATGAGTTCAATGTCAGTGAATCAACAATATATATTATTAAGGTATCTTTAACAGAAATACACATAGAAGAGGTTATGTATTGACCAGTTGATGAAAATGTGACCAGAGCCTGGCAGGAACCTAACACTGTATTTCCCTTAGGGGCAGTGATTCACTATTCTCTAATTTAGCATTTGGGATGATTTTATAGAACATAACCATGGCAAATGTTTTATAGAACATAACTATGGGTTTTATAGAACATAACAAATGAGGCCGGGCGCGGTGGCTCACGCCTGTAATCCCAGCACTTTGGGAGGCCGAGGCGGGCGGATCACGAGGTCAGGAGATCGAGACCATCCCGGCTAAAACGGTGAAACCCCGTCTCTACTAAAAATACAAAAAATTAGCCGGGCGTAGTGGCGGGCACCTGTAGTCCCAGCTACTTGGGAGGCTGAGGCAGGAGAATGGCGTGAACCCGGGAGGCGGAGCTTGCAGTGAGCCGAGATCCCGCCACTGCACTCCAGCCTGGGCGACAGAGCGAGACTCCGTCTCAAAAAAAAAAAAAAAAAAAAAAAAAGAACATAACAAATGAGAATCAACTACTTCAGGGTAAATTTCATTTTGGGAAATAGCCATTATCATTTATGACCAGGACCGATGAATTAGATGGGAATGGTCAAGGGGAACAATACAGAGGTATGATTATTAAACAGTCTTTCTCTGCCTTTTAAAACACATGCCACCCTTTTTGATAAGCATCTCACCTCACACTTTAAATATTCTAATATATTCCCTTTAGCAGTCATGTCCAGGTTGAGAATCAGCGTATAAGTTTTATTTTACCATCAGACAAGCAAAAACAGGTTGACCTTTATTCTTTTTTTTTGAGACAGAGTCTCTGTTGCCCAGGCTGGAATGCAATGGTGCGATCTCAGTCACTACAACCTCTGCCTCCCGGGTTCAAGCGATTATCCTGCTTCAGCCTCCCGAGTAGCTGGAATTACAGGCATGTGCTACCACACCTGGCTAATTTTTGTATTTTTAGTAGAGACAGGGTTTAACCATGTTGGCCAGGCTGGTCTCGAACTCCTGACCTGAGGTGATCTGTCCGCCTCAGCCTCCCAAAGTGCTAGGATTATAGGCTTGAGCCACCGCGCCCGGCCTATTTCTGAGTGTTTATTGTAAAAACTATAGTTTTTAAAGTTTGCCAGATGCAATAAAATTTTATCATGTTTAGTGCTTTATTTAGACTTTGCTCTCCCTCCAGCGAAGAATAATTTGTATAAAGCAGAAGTTGGCAAACATTTCCTGGTAAGGGCCAGACGGTAACTATTTTAGGCCTTGTGGGCCATACAGTCTCTGCTGCAGCTACTCAACTCTACCGCTGTCTGGCAAAAGCAACAATAGACATTAGGTATTACTTTATATAGTTATAGTATAAACTCCTTTTTCTTTTATTTTTTTTCTTTTTTGAGATCGAGTCTCGCTCTGTCACCCAGGCTGGAGTGCAGTGGAACAATCTTGGCTCACTGAACCTCCACCTCCCGGGTTTAAACAATTCTCCTGCCTCAGCCTCCCAAGTAGCTGGGACTACAAGTGTGTGCCACCACATCTGGCTAATTTTTTTGTATTTTTAGTAGAGATAGGGTTTCACCACGTTGGCCAGGCTGGTCTCGAACTCCTGACCTCAATTGATCCGCCCTCCTTGGCCTTCTAAGGTGCTGGGATATAGGCATGAGCCACCGTGCCTGACTTATTTATAGTATAAACTCCTTAAGGGTAGGGACTATGTATTATACTGTTTTATCCTTCATGTTACATGTAACAGTATAGCACAGTGGGGTCTCAGTAATGGTTGGCTTGATATGCTGATTTGACCTAGATAACAAAAAGTTTATATTTTTGAAATATTAATAACTTGAACATTAAAACCCATCCATTTACAGTTAATTTATTTTAGAGATATATTTTTCTCTAAATATCCTTCTTTAGACAATTATAATAGTTCAAGCTTATGCATTTGGAATTAGGTAGTCAATGGCTGAATTTTATAGTAGTTGGTAAATACTATAGGACATACGGGCTTATTTATATAAATGTTCTAATACTTATATTTGGTAGCCATTATTAAAGTCTTCGAATCATAGTTAAGTCTCCATGGTAGCAGTGGTTTCGTGATTATGTTTTAATGGATGCAGTATACGATAAAGTTAATTCATAGTTAAAGTTTGGTACTGATTTAAATTAAATCATTTGAGAGGCCAGGCACAATGGCTCACACCTGTAATCCTAGCACTTTGGGAGGCGGAGGTGGGAAGATAGCTTGAGCCCAGGAGTTCAAGACTAGCCTAAGCAAAATAGGGAGACCCTATCTCTACAAAAGAAAAAATAGCTAGACATGGTGGCACATGCCTGTAGTCCCAGCTATTTGGGAGGCTGAGTTGGGAGGACTACTTGAGCCCCGGAGGCTGAGACTGCAGTGAGCCATAATGAAACCACTGCACTCTAGCCTGGGTGACAGAGCAAGACTGTCTCAAAAAAAAAAAAAAAAGAAAAAAATTATTTGAGAATTGTAAACAATTAGCTAAACAAACTTGCTAAATAATCAGTTTGTTGCAGTCTTGGCTAAGAGCCTAATAATTCAATGAAACAGCTGCATATCCTCTCCTCCTCTTGGGCTACAGACATTTTTTTTCTGTGTACTCCTTAAACTACTCTCTCTCTTTTTTTTTTTTTTTAACTACTCTCATTTTTCTAATGAGCCAATTAAGATGACATCTCAGGCCACATATAAGAAAAGAGTATGAGAAGAGACATTTTAGAAAAGATAAAAGTGAAAATCACGTAGATTCCTCATTTCCAAGTGTTGCTTTTACAATTAAACATTGTGAAAGTGTATGTCAACTGAGCATGTGTAAATACATTCCTACTACCTTAAGTGTAAAGTATTATTTTGAAAAAAATTATCATATTGTTTATATGGATGAACAATGTAGTACTATTTTATAAGTAAAATAGAGTTCACCTGTTAAGACTTTATTTACCCTAAATGTGCATGTGAGAGGTATGTATGTGTGGTATACTTGGGCTGAGATTCACAGGCTGAGATTTCTGAAAAATTGGATTATAGTACTGCCGACTAGAAGGAACCACTAGATCTGCACTGTCCAACACAGTAGCCACTAGCCACATGAGACTCTTAAGCTACTGAAATGTACCTATCTGAATTGAGGTCAAAGTGTAAAATACATGCTGTATTTCAAATATTTAGTACAAAAAATAAAGAATGTAAAGTATTTCATTGATAATTTGTATTTTGATTATATGCTGCAATGATAATATTTTGGATTTACTAGGTTAAATAAAATACATTATTAAAATTAATTTCACGTTTGTTTTTACTTTAAAAAAATATGGTTTCTGGAAATGTGGCTTGCATTTGTAGCTTGCTTTATATTTCTGTTGGACAGCACTGGTCTAAATAGTGTGATCTTTCAACACAGGCAAAATGTTATAATGAAATATTAGTTTATCAAGACCCATTTAAAATGATGTAGAAACTCTAGCTCTTTTTAAAATTTTTTGGCTAATACAGTGTTTTTGGTTTTGAGACAGTCTTGCTCTGTTGCCCAGGCTTGAAGTGCAGTGGTGTCGTGATCATGGCTTATTGCAGCCTCATCTCCCTGGGCTCAAGTGATCCTCCTGCCTCAGCCTCCCAAGTAGCTAGGACTACAGGTGCATGCCACTACATCTGGCTAATCTGTTTTATTTTTTGTAGATACGAGGTCTCACTATGTTGCTCAGCTGGTCTTGAACTCCTAGACTCAAGTGATCCTTTTGCCTTGGCTTCCTAAAGTACTGGGATTACAAGTGTGAGCTATCACCCTGGGCCTAACTCAGTGTTTAAAATCAGTGTAAAGAACACTTTATTTTAAATTAGCTGGGTGTGGTGGCACATGCCTGTAGTCCCAGCTACTTGGGAGGCTGAAATAGGAGAATCACTTGAACCCGGGAGGCGGAGGTTACAGTGAGCCCAGACTGTGCCATTGCACTCCAGCCTGGGCAACAGAGTGAGATTCTGTCTCAAAAAACAAAACAAAACAAAAAAAGAACTCTTTAAATTATTTCAAAATGCCAGAAAAGTATATTAGCTCGCCATACATTCACTAGTCATTAGCAAGCTTTCAAGGACTTATTGTAAAAGAGGGTAACAAAGAAGGGCTAGTTGTTGCTTGAATATTTTATTCATCCCAGTTAGAATAAGTTAGTTCTATACTCCCCAAAAAAGGAAATGATATATATATTTTTTGGATACAGGGTCTTATTGTGTCACTCAGGTTTGAATACAGTGGCATGATCACGGCTCACCTGCAGCCTTGACCTCCTGGACCCAAGCCATCCCCCTGCCTGAGCCTCCTGAGTAGCTGGGACTACAGGCACATGCCACCATGCCTGGCTGATTTGTAAATTTTTTGTAGGGATGGAATTCTCACTTTGTTACCCAGGCTAGTCTCAAACTCCTGGGCTCAAGTGATCCTCTCACCTCGTGCTTCTAAAGTGCTGGGATTACAGGTGTAAGCTACTGCACCTGGCTGATTTATTTTTTTAAGTATAAAATATGTCTGATCCCCTGGGTGTCTCCAAATCTAGTAATTTCTATACATTTAAAGCAATTTTATTTTCTTGTTTTTTGAAAGGTAGGTACTTTTTAATTTTTTAAACAATTTAAAATCTTGTTTTAAAGACCACTAGACAAAAAAATTAAATGTATATATTATAGTGCTTCGGGGAAAGTATTATAAAACCAAGCCATGACACAGTATCAACATTTGAAAACTTGGGGAATTACTAATATTACTGTAGCGATAAAATGGAAATTTTGATGATACAGACAATAGTCCACAGAGAATTATGACTAAAATTATTCTTCCTACCAACCATTTTAAGTTAGTTTGCCATCTTATGTTGGTGCTCTTGGAGGCTTACAAATTATTATTATTTGAGACAGGATCTCCCTCTGTCACCCGGGTGGACTGCGATCACGGCTCACTGCAACCTTGAGCTCCTGGTCTCAAGTGATCCTCTAGAGTAGCCAGAACCACAGGCGTGAGCCACAGCGCCTGGCCAGGAAGCTTACAGATTATTAATGAAACTTTGTTAAGAACCCTTTACCTTACTGACAACCAGAAAAGTAATTTCACTGGTTTGGGAATAAATGGACACTTAAGAAATGAAGCAACCTCTTCAAGTAATTTTTTTTCAAAGACCAAACTATTGAATTAGTGCTTTTTGAAGAGCATAAAAGAGCAGTCATCAAGTGTGACATTAAAAACTTTCAGCTGGGTGCAGTTGCACATGCCTGTAATCCCAACACTGGGAGGTTGAGACGGGAGGATTGCTTGAGCCCAGGAGTTTGAGACCAGCCTGGGAGACATAGTGAGAACCTGTCTCTACAAAAAAAAAAAAAAAAAAATCTATATCTATATCTATATCTATATATCTATATATATATTAGCAAGATGTGGTGGTGGTGTGAGCCTGTAATACCAGTTACTTGGGAGGCTGAGCCCAGGAGAGATCATGGCTGCAGCGATCTGTGACAATGCCACTGCACTCCAGCCTCGGTGACAGTAAAACCCTGTCTCCATAAAAAAAACTTCGAACAATCTGACCGTAACTTATTTTCTGCCAGCTTCCCAGGGCAAGCCTTCCTAATTTGCATGCATTAATCTCACCAGTATTTTTGCTGTATCAAATACATTTTATGCTCTTTTGCTTCTTGACTTAGTGTTCCTGATCCAAATTGCAAATTCTCCCTTTCTCTGTCAAAATCTATCAGTCTTTCATGACTTTGCTCACAATTTTCTGTTCTGAAGTCTTTCCTATCCCCACCACTCCAGCCCAAGTTGAGGATAATAATTAACTTTTTTTTTCTTCTTTTCTTTTTGAGACAGTCTCCCTCTGTCACCCAGTTTGGAGTATAGTGGCATGATCTTGGCCCACTGCAACCTCCACCTCCCAGGCCCAAATGATCCTTTCACCTCAGCCTCCTGAGTAGCTGAGACCACAGGTGCACGCCACCATGCCCAGCTAATTTTGTATTTTCACGGGGTTTTACCGTGTTGGCTGGTCTTGAACTCCTGGCCTCAAGTGATCTGCAGTCCTTAGCTTCCCAAAGTGCTGGGATTACAGGCGTGAGCCACCGCACCGGCCTCTGTTTGACTATCTTTAAAGCTCTTAAAACGATCTCATTTCGTTATTAACTTTTTATTGTTTGTCTTCCCCCTCTAGAATGAGTTGAATGAGAGCAAGGATAATGTCTATCTAGTTAACAGCACCTAAAATAGTGTGTGACACAAAATAAACACTCCATAAATATTTGCTGAGTGATTGAAATACTTTATTTGTGGAAAATGTGCACTATGATAACCACCTTTTTAAACAGTTTGTGTACCCATCAAATACTATAAAATGGACAGTCAGATACTGTTGACAAATTCCAAATATAATGAATCCAAACTACTGTCATTGCCTAAAAAAGGACATTTACAGGTAAGGGGCGTGGGAGAGTAGGATTTCTAAAACAATTTAAGCTTAAATGGATAGGGCTTAATGTCTTAAAGACACTTGCCTTAAGTTTATGTATTTCAGCTTGTAACGTAGATAAGGTAAGAAGTGAATCTCTTTAAAATTTCTCAGCTGAGTGCGGTGGCTCAGACCTGTAATCTCAGCACTTTGGGAGACCAAAATGGGTGGATCGCTTAAGCCCAGGAGTTCTAGACCAGCCTGGGCAACATGGCGAAACCTCATCTGTACTAAAAATAGAAAAATTAGCCAGGCATGGTGGCATGCCTGTGGTCCTAGCTACTCTGGGGGCTGAGGTGGGAAAATGGCTTGAGCTCAGGAGGTCGAGGCTGCAGTGAGCTGAGATTGTGAGATCAGGAACACAATCAGCCTGGGCAACAGAGTGAGATCCTGTCTCTAAATAAATAAATAAATAAATAGATTTTATGGGTCTGTATCTTGGCAACACATACACAATAAATAAAAATTTCCCTATTTTTCCCCTAAAGACAAAGTTGCATTTGTAGCCATCACAAAATTAAAAGGTACTGTAAGTATTATGCTCTGGAACCTTTTCACAGGAATGAGAATTGAGGGTCTGAGTTGCAAACTTACATCAAGCATTTGCTCTATAGCAATCTATGGTAATGATACCTCTTAGTGCTTACTGGTTTTTTAGGAAATTATAGTATGTAGAGGTAAGATATAGTCCGTTATTAAATGGCCAATAATTTGATTTTATATAACTATTTAGATATTATCTTAAAAACAGGTGAAACATTAGGATAGACACAGCCTAGTACCCTCTAGTTTTATGTAAATATTGGAACAGTGTATGTTTAAGAATTGTCAAGAATATCTTAGCTCATTATTAGACTGTAGCTATAGAAAAGCTCTTTGAAATCTTATCACTTGAGTATCAGATGTATGTGAGAAAGCATATGGAAGTATTTTATAAACTGTAAAGTATTATATAAATGTTATTATGGGGAAGGCATAGAACAGGTTTTTTTTTTTTTTAACACTGAGAAGATAGTAAAATTCAGAGATAAAGGTCTGAAAAGGGAACTTGGCAAGAGGCAAGATCTTGGGGGATGCCAGACTCCTTTGGGGGTGAATCTGGTAGTTACTTTAATGCTTTATGCCAAGTAAAACTTCCTGAGTCAAAGGAGACTATTTGTCAATAAACATCCAAGTGGTAGCAAAATAGTTTATATAGCTTAAAATACTGAAAATAATGTATATGTAGATGTCATATAAATTGTAGTGCTGACACATGTACTATCTCATCTGACTCTCACAATAATCTTTGTGAGTTAGGTATTCAGATAATTTAAATGATTCATCTAAGTTACTCACCTGTTAAGTGGGAGAACTGAGATTAGAAACCAAGTATTCAGATTTTTAAGTCTTTATTCTTTTGTACTAGCCCTCTAAGAGGAATTGATAAATAATGGTTTCCCCTAGATAATTTTCAAGTAATTTGGTACGACTGAGATATGTGAGGCATCAACAGATATTAAGGCTGGACAGATCTTCTGATTCCAAAATCAAATATATATACTTTAAGAATATAAATATTGGAACTGAAATACAATGAATGCTACCTATGGGAAGTTTTAATGATTTTAAATTTTAACAAAATCAACATGAATGAGTAGCAAATATTAACTGGAATATTTAGAAATACCAATTGGACAGCTGTGTGTGTATGTGTGAGTGTGTGTGCATGTATGCTTATAAATAAGAACATTTTGTTATGCATATGGTATAGTAATTTTCCTGGAAAAAAAATTTTCAAGTTCATATGAGATCATCATCATGATAAGAGTAGCCAGCACTTTGGTATTCCTCACTACGTGCCAATCACATTTAAGTATCACACATTGATTGCATTTAATCCTCACAACAATCCTAAATTGGTATTAATGTTACCAGCTTAACAGTTAACAGAGTTAACTCTGTTTGACAGATGAGGAAGCTGAGGTCAGAGAGATTTAAGTCCAAGGTCTTACAGCTGTAAGTAGTATTACCAGGATTCTAACCCAGGCACTCCAGCTCCAAAATCTATGCTTTTAACCACTATATTATGAATATTCCCTGGGTGTCACCTCGGCAAATATAATCACTTTTACATACTCTGAGGTTATATATTCAAATATCTAAAGCACTGTTAACAGAGTTTAAAAGAGCCTCAGTTTATTTGCTTATTCTTGGACAGGAATTATTGGGGAATGGAGGTCATAATTTTCTAATATGAATGACTAAGAAATTTCATGGCCAGGCGTGGTGGCTCATGCCTGTAATCCAGCACTTTGGGAGGCCAAGGCGGGTGAATCACGAGGTCAAGAGTTCAAGACCAGCCTGGCCAAGGTGGCAAAACCTCGTCTCTACTAAAAATACAAAAAAATTAGCTGGGCGTGGTGGCACGCACCTGTAATCCCAGCTATTCGGGAGGCTGAAGCAGAGATTTCTTAAAACCCGGGAGGCGGAGGTTGCAGTGAGCCGAGATTGTGCCACTGCACTCTATTCTGGACCAGCCTGGGCGACAGAGCGAGACCCTGTCTCAAAAAAAAAAGAAATTTCAGGGTCCAAGCACCCTGGTTTATGCCTGTAATTCCAGGATCGAAATTTCAAGTACCAAGCACCCTGGTTTATGCCTGTAATCCCAGGATCTTGGGAGGTCAAGGAAGGAGGATTGTTTGAGCTCAGGAGTTGGAGACTAGCCTGGGCAACATAGTGAGACCTGGTCTCTATAAGAAATTAAAATAAGCCAGATGTTGCATTGGCCTGTAGTCCCAGCTACTCGAGAGGCTGAGGCAGCAGGATCACTTGAGCCTAGGAGTTCAAGGGTGCAGTGAGCTATGATTGTGCCACTTCACTGCAGCCTGGGTGACAGAGCAAGCCCCATCTCAAAAAAGAAAAAAAAAAAAAATTTAGGACTAAATATGACCCATTTAAGAATTAAATATTGCCAGGAAAAGTTATTCACAGGTGCGATGGTAAAATATGAGAAGTCATTTGTCCTCCAGCATTTAAGTGATGATCTGAATTTTGATGTAATTTCTTCTGAGACTCATGGCATTTTATCTTCTTCTGTACTATTTTATTATAAACTGAGAAATGATTTGTGAGTTGGAAAAAGAAAACTTGTTTTTTATTATATATGAATAAAGTCAAAGTAGAAGATGAAGATGACATCAACTGAATAACAAATTATACTTTTAGTTTTTTGTGGTTAAAATGCTATCTTAATTTCCATTTTTTAAAAAAATTAGTTTTTAGTAGAGATAAGGTCTCATTATGTTGCCCAGGCTGGTCTTGAACTCCTGAGCTCAAGTGATCCTACTGCCTTGGCCTCCCAAAGTGCTGGGATTACAGGCATGAGCCACCTCACCTGACTGTACTTTTCTTATAATAAAGGGAAGATAATTGTGTTTTCATGGAATAATCTTACCAATGTTTGAGTAGCAAAGTAAAAATTTAAAAATGCAAGTGCTAATTTTTATATCTTTGTTAAAAATGCAGCATTCTTTAGTTTTAAGGGAAAAAATGTATGTCAGTTACTAACTCAAGCTAGTTTTTGTTCTCTTCAAACTTTCCGTCACACATACATGTAAGCTATAACATCATATAAGCAGCATTTATGTGATATCTAAATATTCCATATAGACTATTTCTATGTATTTTTTTGGTTTTATTTTAACCTTTAAAAAAGCTTTTATTTATTTTACTTTTATTAAATAAGCTTTGATCTCAGCTCTTCTCTGTTCCATTTCCCCTACAGGCTACCACTACTCTCCCTTTTACATACTCTTCCTGTTTTTGTCATAATTATTTGCAGGAATGACAATCCCAACCCCTCCCCCAAATTGCCGCATTCATATCATACAAACTTGGATGACCAAGATTTAATGTAAAGTGATCGTATTGTATAATGGATTTTCAACTCCTAGGTAGTAGAGAAGACATCTCAGTCTGAAAAGGTGAATGTAAGGGTAAAATATCTCCAAAATGCTATGTACTTTTAAAGATGATCATCTTGATGCTTTACCCTATTTCATCTATTTGCAATGGGTATATTTGTACATATAATTATTGTCTTTAAATTATTTTCTAAGGATAAATTCCAGGTGTGGTATTTATAGAGCTATTAAAATAATATTTAGTGGCTTTTACTATTGCCAAATGTTTGAATTATTTACAAAGCTTTACAAAGCTATAAGTGTGCAAGTATCTGTTCATTTTACCAAAAGCTAGCCAGATTGTTGTATTAATACAACAATCACGTAATACAACAATCGCGTAAATCACGATTATATTTGCTTTCTTATTAACTTGAAATGTCAAAGTTGAGGTGAATTCTTGCTTTTCAACTTTACAATTACGATTCTTATGTGTGTGTGATATTTAAAGAAATGTGAAAATCCCTTTTCACCCTTTTCAGT
Organism: Homo sapiens; assembly: GCF_000001405.40. NCBI lineage: Eukaryota > Metazoa > Chordata > Mammalia > Primates > Hominidae > Homo > Homo sapiens. Next base: position 78,002,873 of record NC_000001.11, read on the forward strand.
GTCTAGGGAGCCAGATTTCTTTCCGTCTGTTAATATATAATACAATTTCTCACAAATATGAAAGACCCGGTCTTCAGGTTCTCTAAAATAATTTACTGTGTCAAGTTTTGATAATATTCCTAGCTCTCTGAAAATGATTGAATCAAATAAGTGTCTATTTTTTTTTTCTGCAAACACTACCCGCCAGAACAATTTCCGGTTGTTAAATAGTAAAGTCACCGTTCCTTTGGTAAGGAATATTTAAAGGAACTCCCTTGGAAATGAATTTTGTAATAGGTGATTTTTATTCTGTTTTTACTCTATGTGATACTGATCCTTGCACTGGATTTCAGTTTGGCAATATGCTTTTTAAAACTGGGAGTCTTAAGGTGACTGGATATTAGCATTTTTCACTAAGTTTTTTGGATTTGAAAGTACCTTTTGATATTATTTCTTGGTGAGGCTAAAAAAATTGATAAATAGCTGACAAACCTCTGTAACCTACAGGTAGGCTAGATCAATGTTATACATTTCTAATGTCATGGTGTTGTTAAAGTAGAGAATTTTGAAGAGTAGAAAATCGTAGCTGTCAAAATGCACAAAGATGAACATTCAGAAAGAATTGCTGAATCATCATTGCTTGGCATATAGAGTAGGCGTTCTCATTTCTTTAAAGGTTAACACATGATTATTACCCTTTATTATATTCTAAACATATATGTACATTTTCTTTTCCTCATAAAGGTTTTCTAACATTTTATTTGGACTGTGTGCAATTCTTCTGACTTTTCTTATTTATCTCTCTAATAGAAATGGGAACATTTTTGAAAAGATGAGAAAACCATACAGGAGATAAAAGATGAGTTATATACATAGAAAATGTCTCATAAATACCTGAAATATGTTATACTTTCAAAAGCAGGCATCAAAAGGGTATATAAATGCTATGATCTAACTTTGTTAACAAAAAATTATAAAACTACAGCAAATAACCATGAAGATTTATAGAAAACAGAATTAGAAGTAAATACAGTAATATTTAACAGGGATTACCTAAAATGATATTATAGGGAGATTTTTAAAAACTTTTTTCTGCGTTTTCCAAAATCTCCAACAATGAATATATATTTATAATTAGGGAAATGTGTTTTTGAAAGAAAAAATATTTCTCATATTACTGCCCCTTAAGTGGCATATCCAAATTTTACATTGATGCAGTTGCAGTTAAGTCTTGTAAGGAACATGAGTATGTACTGTCTGTAACCTGATACTTTGTTCTAGCTTTCCTGCAGCACCACAGTTCTTTAAATAGGGATCCTGTGGGGCGGCTGCAGGGGACGGGGGTTGAGGGGTGGCAGGGACCTCATTCAGTTTTAGTTTAGTTGAAGTAACTAAGTTCAGATACTAAAATTTCAAAAATAAGTATTTGTTTGCCAGAACTATGAACTCATGTATACTAGAAATAACTAGTTAGCTAAAATCATGTTTAAGTCCTTTACTTATTTTAAAATAACGCATTTGAATTTTATTATAGATACTCCCTTAACAATGTGAAACTAGTACACAAACTTTCTGGCGTTTCTGATTGATAGACCCCAGGAATTTTGAAGACGACATAAATTACTTGGAAATCCTAATTTAAACAACCTGCGTTTTGGTATTATATACTTAACAGACAAATAGCTTAAAATTAAAAAATCCCTAAAGTAGAATTGTCGTTCCTTTTATCTGTATATTAACTTTAACTTCTTTTAACATAGGGTGTTTAATGACTGTGATGATTTTCACCTAGTATGGAGTACATAAATATATAGTTGTGACATTCTGTGTTGAAATATTGGCATGTTAACCCATTTGTCCTGTTTAATTAGGAAATAAAGACGGTAGAGCTAGTCGGAAAATGAATAGTTAATCGTGGAGGAGGAGAAAACATAGCTCAGTACTTTGACTAGAGGCAGCTGGGAAAGTGACGTCCTGTAGCATTTGCTGTTCTAGAAAGTACAGAGACACGTAGTGAAAATGGGAGGATCTAGAAGGAGGCTGTCTCCTGTGTAGTGTATATTTATCTGTAAGTGAGCCGTTGGGGAAGGATTGAATACAGAGACGCTGTCTGCTTGCTGCCTTAAGACAGCTAGCTGAATTGCTGATTAACTTTTAAAATACCCAGCTTGGTTTATTTTTCTTAGAATCTGTTGCTAAGACTGGGGACGCTGTTTTCTTTTACAAAGGGAAATCTAAGTTAATTTCAAGGCATTCGAAATGGGGAAAGACTATTATTGCATTTTGGGAATTGAGAAAGGAGCTTCAGATGAAGATATTAAAAAGGCTTACCGAAAACAAGCCCTCAAATTTCATCCGGACAAGAACAAATCTCCTCAGGCAGAGGAAAAATTTAAAGAGGTCGCAGAAGCTTATGAAGTATTGAGTGATCCTAAAAAGAGAGAAATATATGATCAGTTTGGGGAGGAAGGTAAGTATTCTCTGTATATCTTTCTGTCTCTTCAGCTCTGTCTCTTTTTTTTTTTTCTCTCTCTCTGCCAGCCTTTTTCCCCTCTCTCTCAGCTTGTTAAGGTTATCCTTAAATTGGATTCTCAGTCATATCAAAAGTAGAAGGACAAATGTATAATAACAAGGTTTCATCTCTGATCATATGAATGAGTATTGCAGAGCCATGAATGAAATGTCCTTGTTTGCCTTTTTTATTTTAGCATTTTGTATTATACATATTTTATCATTAGACTTACAATGTTAACAATGTATATTTTAAAATAAACCTTGAATTCCCATACCTATTAGTAAATTGTGTCAAAAGTCTTATGAAACCTGTTTCGTTTTCTAATGAATTTTCTGCCAGAACCAATAAAGAGTCTTTAGTCATTTAAAACCTTAAGATTGGCATTTCAGATTCTGAGTAGTTTATAGCTTATTCACAAAAACAAAAAGTAGTTTTTTGCCTTTCTTATAGCAAGGCTAGTTTAGACTGAACAAGACAGAGTTGTGACTCTCAGAAGCAGAAGGCGCAGGCATTTAGCTTCTAGTTGTTTTTGGCATTCTGCCTGGAGAGGAAAGAATTTTCCTGATGTCATAAAATACCAGAACAAGTTTTTAGCTTAATTGTAAACAATAATTTTGTGCCAAGAAAATGAAATCTCAGAAATACAATTTTTGACCTAAAATGGCCACCTAGTTAGAATAATTACTGATTTACTTTTAGATAACATTATTTATTTAGAAATTTTACTATCTAGGTATAGAGAAAAACATGACAACTTCCCTTTCCTCTCCCTGCCATACTTTTGTTTTTTGCATTGTGAGATCAAAAACTAGTGAGCACAGTAAAGGAGGATAATTTCAGATTATCCTTTTCTCATTCTGCATTTTAAATCAGGTTTGTCCATCACTTCCATATAAACGGGGCTATGAAGTAAGACTATTTTAAATTGCTAATTGATAACACAAAAAACTTTAACTTGTACTGTTTTGGGGATTTTCAACTTTTAACATCAGGACTAAGTTATTTTATTATTAGTTTTTCTCCCAAAATACTGGCTTTCAAATCACTGTAGCTATGAAAACTTGTTATCCCTTTGATTCCTTTATTACATTTAACATCAAATTTTCCTAATTAGAAATATATCCTTAAAATATAGTCAAGCAGTGACTGCTTATTTTGAATGAAACAAATTAAATGTAGACAAGCAGGGTGATTGTATATAGAGGGTTTTTTCCTTTTTGTTTTGTTTAGCTTTTTTGGTCTATGAGTTGCCCAAAATTGAAGTTTATGTTGCAGGTTTTGGTGTGGTGAGGACCTACAGTGTCAGGTTCTTACAAAGTAAATATTGAAAAAGGCAAATACTGGGCAGTTCAATCTTGCATGATACCTATGGCCATATTACCCAAAATATCATGACTTGGTTTATCTCAAAAGCTAAGCAGGATTCTGAGATACTACCAATAATGTACTACTATTTCTAAAGGAGTAATTTTGTAATTTTGTAAAGAAATTCACAAACATGGAATGACACTGTGAATTCCTGTGAAAAAGCAGATATCCACTGCTTTGTATTTAAAATATTTTGCAACAATTCACTGATAGCTCAAGTTTGTGGCTAAGCCATTGGATCCAGGGTTTAGTAAGGATATTTGTCTTCAGAATTTTCAAGTCACCAAATGATACATTTTTCTTGATTTAACATTATCTCTTAATAGTGCTTTTCTAGAGTGATTTTTCTCATTTAATTTTTATTGGTCATTACACAATGAGTGAATTTTTTAAAAACTAAATCACCCTGAATCTGTATACCCTGGGTTTTTTTTTTTAACTTACATAATTGATATAAGTGATAGAAGGAAAGAGTGAGGAGAGAATGCCTTTTTTAAAACATAGAAATATATTATGCAGAAATACCATTCTCTAGTTATAGGTTACTTGAAAATACAATTGAATGGGCCAGGCGCCGTGGCTCATGCCTGTAATTCCAACACTTTGGGAGGCCGAGACAGGCGATCACCTGAGGTCAGGAGTTCGAGACCAGCCTGGCCAACATGGTGAAACCCTGTCTCTACTAAAAATACAAAAATTAGCTAGGTGTGGTGGCAGACACCTCTAATCCCAGCTACTTGGAAGGGTGAGGTAGGAGAATCACTTGAACCCAAGAGGCAGAGGTTGCAGTGAGCCGAGATCGAGCCACTGCACTTCAGCCTGGGCGACAGAGCGAGACCTCATCTCAAAAAAAGAAAAGGAAAAAAAGAAAATACAATTGAATGAAAGTTATTTGAATTATTTTTTAGAATTATTCTTCCTTCACAGGAAAGTATTATATTTGTTTGCCGTTTATTCAGAATATCTCATTTATTCTATTAAAAAATCCCATTTAGATACACTGTGAAAGTAGGGGAAAACATTTTTTCTCTTTGCCTTTTATTTATCTCCAGACGTGGTTCCATAGGTGTCTCCAGTAGTAACAAAACACTGAACTTTAGGACTATGGAAACACTATTAATTTACCTGGTATCCTTCTTCCCGCTCCCCCCAAGTTATTACAGTCTTGGGACTTAGAGCTGGGATGGTGGGAATAAGGAACCATAAACTGAAAAGTATGTAAGTTGCATATGCTAAATTTATGTATTTAGGAGTGAAAGAACCAGTAATCCAGAACACAGTATATTTGTGTTCTGAATATTCACAATTTAAAATGCTTTGTTTTAAAAACAGTTGGCTAGCTGGGTGAGGTGGCATATGCCTGTAGTCTCAGCTAATAGGGAGGCTGAGGCTGAAGGATTGCTTGAGCCCAAGAGTTTGAGTCCAGCCTTTGCAACATAGCAAGACCCTACCTCTAGAAAAAGCAAAGGAAAGAAAAAAAATACGGATAACTCAAATTTACTTTTAGGAATCTATAAAAGGGAAACAAAAACATGTCCACACAAAGACATGTACCTGAATGCTTATAGCAGCATTATTTATAATAGCCCCAAACTGGAAACAATCTGAAAGCACCATAAATTGGTGAATTAAACAAAATGTGCTATATACATTCAATGAGGAACTATTTAGCAATAAAAGGACCAATTTGTGAAACATGCTACACCATTGATGAACCTCAGAAACTATGCTAAATTAAAGAAGCCAGATGTAAAAGACTATATATTGTATGATTTTATTTATGTGAAATGTCTGGAAAAGGCCAGTATATAGAAAAAGAAAGCAGATCTTTCTTGCCTAGGACTTGAGGTGGGAGCGGGGATTAGCTACAAATAAGAACTAGAGAATTCTTTGGAATGATGGAAATGTTCTATAACTGGATTGTGATGATGGTTATACAGCTCTATCAATTTACTATAATCAATTGAATTGTATTTGTACAATAGGTTAATTTTATATATGTAATAAATCTTTTTAAAAATAAAATTTCTCTATAGTTGAATCATTTGAAAACAAAAACCACAGAACTACAGAAATTTAAAATTGGATTCTGAACCACTCTCTAAAGTTTTAGGTTTAGTCTTGAATAGTTTAGTGGATGTCAACAAAAATTTGTGTTAAGAGATTTAAAAGAAAAGATTTTCAATAACACATCCTCATTTATTCTAGTTTTCTAATTTTTCTTTTTTTATGCTTTCCTTATTTTGTTATTGCATATGATTTATTCAGTAACTTCAAATATTAAAAGGTAGTGTTTAAATGATAAAACTTGTATTTATTAATCTTTATACTAGTTCTCTTCTGTTCTTTAACTTATATATTTAGCTAGCTGGATTTTTTTTAATTCACTGTGTGTTCTAAAAACATGTAAGTAAATTTGATTTTTGTGAATTAAAACTGTTTAAAAAATCTCAGAATCTCATTATTTGATAACTGAAGTCTTGCTGTAAATCTGGATTTTTACATATTAGATCTCCTTGGATGGAGTAAGAGTTATTAAAGTATTATCATGTTTTTTTCTTTGCAATCTGAATTTTTCTCCAGTGTTTCTTCTTTTGGAAACTTTTAGTCAACCTTAACTAATTAGTGGGAATCATTGTTATAGATAGTATTCCAAACACATATTTGGTTTGGGACTGCAAACTGGTTGACTGGTTAGTTGTAAAATAATAGCAGTCTTGCTAAATCATAGGCAAATGTTGCTTCTCTGGTGCGTTTTTTGATCACACAAAGTGATGACGATGTCTAGAAAACATTTTGAATAGCAGAGGGAATCCAATTGGATATTAAACATTTCCATTAGCGTTCAAAATGTACATGATTAAGAACTGACCATATAGTTAATGTGACATTACTTATAATTTTATGTGCTAGACAATGCAAGTGATACTTGCATAATAATGTATATTAAAGTGGCATGAATTTTGGTAGGATTTTTTTCTTTTTTTTGTTGTTTTTGAGACAGAATCAGTCTCCTGAGTAGCTGGGATTACAGGCGTGCGCCACCACGCCTGGCTAATTTTTGTATTTTTAGTAGAGACGAGGTTTCACCATGTTGGTCAGGCTGATCTCGAACTCCAGACCTCATGCTCCACCCACCTTGGCCTCCCAAAGTTCTGGGATTATAGGTGTGAGCCACTGTGCCCAGCCTAGGATTTTTTTCATTCATTAGAGTAGCTTCGTTCTTTGTCTGAGCTGCATAGTTGACTGTTTAATAGTGTCTAGGAAAACCTCAAAGCTGCATTGGAGTCTTTTTATCAGCTTTGGTAAGTTACTTCAGACTTTGTATGAATCTTCTCAGAGACTTTGTAATTATGACCGAATTGCCCTTTTTGGCAGAGGAGGAAGAGGTTTTCCAGAAAGCCAAACCCATGATGTAATAAATTAAAACATTATTCTTTCTTTTCATGAATTCATTATGGGTGCAAGTATTTAAATTTTGTCTTATAAGAGGCTAGATTGGGCAGGCTGATTTACCCAGTTTACTTAACTCAGTTAAATAATTATACTCCCTTAAGTCTATGGGATGAAGGATAAAATTATTTAAATAATTTAAGCATTGGTTGAGTCACTTTGGTCATGACCTTGAGCTACATATTATTCTATCATTAAAAAAAAAATCTGCCATTACCTTTTTAACATTTGGAGTTATAATTATACTACTAAAATTTATAAAAGGGAAATTTGGATGAGCTGCTTATGAAAAGATCTTGTCCTGCTTATACTTGTCATTCTACAAGGAATTTCCCTAACTGCTATTTGGATATATTGTTCAATACATATTTTGGCAATTTTCAGATTATTAGGTCTCTCTTGATCTCTCCAGATTTCTATTCATGGATGAAGGTAAAAATTTTAGATATCACTTGAGACCCTGTTAGATGAAATAGAGTAGATATATACCTTTTAATGGAAGAAGCCAAATGCAGAATAAGACGTAAGCAAAACTAAGTTTCTTTAAAGTATGCTGTGTGTTAGTGGCATTTTAAATTGTTAAATCTCTCATATATGTATATGTGTGATTATATTTTACATTGTTTTTGCTTCTGCCTTTTTCTCTGTACCGATACTCAAGACACCTTTTTTAGTTTTGATTTAGAAGGACTTTAGGAATTAGTTCATTCCCTTCATTCACTAAGCATGAATACCTACCATTTTCAGCCCTGTATGCATGAGCAGTGCAAAATAAATATATTTCCTGCCTTCAAATCACTCACTGTTTGGAGATATTAGAATCTCCTAGCTTAATCTGTTGGATTTTTCATAGTTTTATGATTTTTAGATTCTTTTCCTGCTTGTTTCTTGATCTGTATTGACCCCTTAAAAGATCACCATACTGTTGTTTTTTGAGTTTTAGTAGAACATTTCTTTCATAGTGGAAAATGTTGTTTCAAATATAATCTTTTGTGGGTTAAATATTACTTAGTGGAACCCTTAAGCAAAGGGTCAAAAAGTCACTATATTGTTGCCTGAGGTGGACTGTTCACAAGAGACAGAAATAACCCATATAGAGGCCTTACGTGTCAAAGTTTACAGCTCTTGATTTCAGTCTTCTTACAAGCATTGAAATTAATGCTAAGATGTGATATGCCTAAAAAATTTGGTATCTAGAGTAGGAATGACAATCGTAGTGTCTAAAAAACCATTTTTCATAGAATGTCCTCATTATTAGAATTTTTTTCACTCTCTGACACAGAGTTCTATTTTAATTCTTTTTTTTTTTTTTTTGAGATGGAGTTTTGCTCCTGTTGCCCAGGCCGGAGTGCAATGGTGCAGTCTTGGCTCACTGTAACCTCTGCCTCCCAGGTTCAAGCGATTCTCCTGCCTCAGCCTCCCAAGTAGCTGGGATTATAGGCATGTGCCACCATGCCCAGCTAATTTTGTATTTATAGTAGAGACGGGGTTTCACCATGTAGACCAGGCTGGTCTCGAACTCCTGATCTCAAGTGATCCACCCGACTCGGCCTCCCAAAGTGCTGGGATTACAGGTGTGAGCCACTGCACCTGGCCCTATTTTAATTCCTAAACAGTAAAAGATGATCTGAAATAAAACTAGTTAGAATGAATATGGTATTTTTATTACATTATATTTTTACATATTTCTATTTTATTTATATATAAACAGTATGAATATGGTATTTTATATTTTGCTATATATTTTATTAATATATTTATATTTTTAAATGTTATATATATTGTTTGATTGTAATAAAAATTAAAGATTTAAGTTCTGCACTTTGTGTTGATTGCTGAAGACCTTCCAACTGACATCTTTTAAAAACTTATATATTTATAAGTAGATACTTATATAATTTATATACTTCAGCATGCCAGATCAGTAGTTTATAAGGAGTTCCCAGTTTTATTTTCTTTTTCTTTTCTTTTCTTTTTTTTTTTTTTTTTTTTTGAGACAGAGTCTCACACTGTTGCCCGGGCTGGTGTGCAGTGGTGCGATCTCAGCTCGCTGCAACTTCTGCCTCCCAGGTTCAAGTGATTCTCCTGCCTCAGCCTCCTGAGTAGCTAGTATTACAGGCACCTGCCACCACACCTGGCTAATTTTTTGTATTTTTAGTGGAGGCGGGGTTTCACTGTGTTGGCCAGGCTGGTCTCAAACTCCTGACCTCATGATCTGCTTGCCTCGGCCTCCCAAAGTGTTGGGATTACAGGCATGAGCCTCTGCGCCCGGCCTTATTTTATTTTTCTTACTTACCCGTGGAACAAAGAATCAGGAATAAATATTAGAGATGCTGATTTGGCCGGAAGCAGTGGCTCACACTTGTAATTTCAGCACTTTGGGAGGCCAAGGCAGGCAGATCACCTGAGGTTGGGAGTTCGAGACCAGCCTGACCAACATGAAGAAACCTCGTCTCTACTAAAAATACAAAATTAGCCGGGCGTGGTGGCACATGCCTGTAATCCCAGCTACTCGGGAGGCTGAGGCAGGAGAATTGTTTGAACCTGGGAGGCGGAGGTTGCGGTGAGCCAAGATTGCGCCATTGCACTCCAGCCTGGGCAAACAAGAGCGAAACTCTGTCTCAAAAACACAAACAAACAAAAATGCTGATTTGGAGGAAGAATTTGAAAACTTAACAATTTAACTTAGGATGTAATCATCAAGAGTTTTATAGCTGTTCTGTATTTAGTAAAGTGGCATTTCTGGCCAATATTAATACATTTTAATGTAAGTTAGCCAAAATTTATTAGCAATACAGTTTTTGAAAGTTTAACTTTTAAGAGTTGCAAGCTTTTTTCTAATCATGCTTATCTCTTCAATTAGGGTTGAAAGGAGGAGCAGGAGGTACTGATGGACAAGGAGGTACCTTCCGGTACACCTTTCATGGCGATCCTCATGCTACATTTGCTGCATTTTTCGGAGGGTCCAACCCCTTTGAAATTTTCTTTGGAAGACGAATGGGTGGTGGTAGAGATTCTGAAGAAATGGAAATAGATGGTGATCCTTTTAGTGCCTTTGGTTTCAGCATGAATGGATATCCAAGAGACAGGAATTCTGTGGGGCCATCCCGCCTCAAACAAGATCCTCCAGTTATTCATGAACTTAGAGTATCACTTGAAGAGATATATAGTGGTTGTACCAAACGGATGAAGATTTCTCGAAAAAGGCTAAACGCTGATGGAAGGAGTTACAGATCTGAGGACAAAATTCTTACCATTGAGATTAAAAAAGGGTGGAAAGAAGGCACCAAAATTACTTTTCCAAGAGAAGGAGATGAAACACCAAATAGTATTCCAGCAGACATTGTTTTTATCATTAAAGACAAAGATCATCCAAAATTTAAAAGGGATGGATCAAATATAATTTATACTGCTAAAATTAGTTTACGAGAGGTAAGTTGGTAGGACCTAAAATCCTAAGACCAAATAATTATGTAGTTGATCATAGGGAGTGTATCTAGATAATAGCTAACATTTATTTAATGCCTATTATACGTTAAAAATAATTACTATAAAAATCCTCTAAGATAGTACTAGTATTATACCTCTTTTATGGATGTGATTATATTTTCTAACTTTAGTTACTTATAATTAAAGTGTCAAGTGTTAACTGGATTATGTACTATGAGGCTGCTTTTACAAATGTGGTTTATGAGATCTGCATTGGTAATCTCAACACATTAGTCTTTGTATATAGGGTTTGTTCTAAATTTGTTAATATGGAGTAATAATTGCATACCAAAAAAGATTAGAAGAAAATAATTTATAATTCACTACAAATTTGTATACATTTATATTAATAAAAAATACATTTATAAGTGCATATAAATATATACATTTATAAATTATAATGCTACTATGTTAATACAATTATTATTTGAGTTCTTATTTGCACTATTTCTTTTTTTTTTTTGAGACAGAGTCTTGCTCTGTCACCCACAGCGCAATCTCGGCTCACTGCAACCTCTGCCTCCGGGTTCAAGTGATTCTCTTGCCTCGGCCTCCTAAGTAGCTGGGATTACAGGCGCCCCCCACCACACCTGGCTAATTTTTGTATTTTTAGTAGACACAGGGTTTTACCATGTTGGCCAGGCTGGTCTTGAATTCCTGACCTCAGGTGATCCACTTGCCTTGGCCTCCCAAAGTGCTAGGATTACAGGCATGAGCCACCACGCCTGGCCTATTTGTACTATTTCTCAAATTGGATTGTAACTTTGCAAATATGGTCATAGCAGTTCCCTGCTTCAAATTCTTAAATTGCTCTATATAACCTCTACCATAAAGTCCAAACTCTTTAGCTTAAAATAAGTCATTTTAAATCTGATGTCTACCCATAAAATGTATATGCACTTCCCCAAGTTTGCTCTATTATTATTATTATTATTTTTTTGAGATGGAGTCTCGCTCTGTCACCCATGCTGGAGTGCAGTGGCACAATCTCAGCTAGTACTGCAGCCTCCACCTCCCAGGTTCAAGTAATTCTCCTGCCTCAGGTTCCTGAGTAGCTGGGATTACAGGTGCCCGCCACCATGCCCAGCTGATTTTCATATTTTTAGTAGCGATAGGTTTTCACCATGTTGGCCAGGCTCGTCTTGAACTCTTGACCTCAAGTAATCCGCCCACCTCGGCCTCCCAAAGTGCTGGGACTATAGGCATGAGCCACCGCACCTGGCCCAGTTTGCTCTATTATTATCTTGTATACTTGAGCTGTACTCTATGGAACACTATTGTTTCTTACCCTGCTCTAATACCTACCTGCTACTGCCCAATGCTTAGTTCAAGCATCCTCTACTCCCGGAATCTAAGGGGTTAAGTTGGGTGCTCTTTCTCTTACAAAAGACCTCCATGCTTACCTCTGTTCTTACACTATACAGTATTATAATGGCTAGTTTGCTTCTATGTTTCTGTGAGTTCCTTGTGCATTCCTTGAGCTGGGGTCTGTGTTCATGGTCCCTATAAGGCTCACCATCTAGCCAGAATGTGTGGCATATAGTAAATGCTCAGTAAACATTTGTTATCTAAAACAAATATATTTCTTGTCCTAATACTTTCCAGAGAAATAGTTGCTCCTATCCAGTTCTTTCTAGTCCTGAATTTCTCCCTCTTCTCCCATTCCAATCCCTGCATCTTGAATATATTAATAGCAGCTTCAAAATAACCATGTCATTCCAGGGCAATGTGGAATATATCCTTTACTTCTCTTTTACCTTTTCTTTTCTTCTTCTTTTTTTTTTTTTTTTGTAACATATCTAATAATGCATGTCCTGAAGGAATTTTCCTTTTTTTCTTTTCTTTTCTTTTTCTTTTTCTTTCTTTCTTTCTTCTTTTTTTTTTTTTTTTTTGAGACAGTTTTGCTCTTGTTGCCCAGGCTGGAGTGCAATGGCACGATCTCGGCTCACTGCAACCTCCGCCTGCTGAGTTCAAGTGATTCTCCTGCCTCAGCTTCCCGAGTAGCTGGGATTACAGGCATGTGCCACCACGCTCGCCTAATTTTGTATTTTTAGTAGAGACAAGATTTCTCCATGTTGGTGAGGCTGGTCTTGAACTCCTGACCTCAGGTGATCTGCCCGCCTTGGCCTCCCAAAATGTTGAGATTACAGGTGTGAGCCACCGTGCCTGACCTCTGAAGGAATTTTCTAATGAGGAAAAAAAATTTATAACTATTGTTATTCTTTTGGAGGTTAAAGTTTTACCTTAGTGGTATTATCCTTTACCATCTGGTAAAATTTGTGCTTAGATTTTTGAGTTTTGAAGTGTTTTCATTTTATTTTATTTGGTCCATTTTAGGCATTGTGTGGCTGCTCAATTAATGTACCAACACTGGATGGAAGAAACATACCTATGTCAGTAAATGATATTGTGAAACCCGGAATGAGGAGAAGAATTATTGGATATGGGCTGCCATTTCCAAAAAATCCTGACCAACGTGGTGACCTTCTAATAGAATTTGAGGTGTCCTTCCCAGATACTATATCTTCTTCATCCAAAGAAGTACTTAGGAAACATCTTCCTGCCTCATAGAATGAAGAACTTTGTTACACATATTTTGATAAGGCACTGAAAATATAAAAGGACTGGTAGTTTACTGATGTAGATGTGAATTCTGTATAAAGATGTGTAAATTCTTTTGAGGGTTCATTAAATTGCATGAATAGAGACGGGTCAAATAAATAGGCAAAAGGGATTTTTACAGTTAGAGATAAAAGAGAAAACCATTCACTGTATTTTATTTCATTTCTCCTGATTCAGATATTTTTAGTAATTTGCTTATATGTAAAAGTTGTTTTTGTGGAGTCAGTGGATATATTTCTAATGAAGTGCTAGACTATCCAATTACTTAATTTCTTATACCTTTAGATAATCAGTATGAAAAGTTCCCATTTATAATGGAAATGAAAATTCTTAACTAAACTATACATGTAATATGTATTTCTAGAAGAGAATAAAAACCCAAGTCAGTTATTAGATTTAAATCACCTTCTGAAATGCTGCTATAGGGCTGGTATCTGTAAAAGAATATCCTGATGCATCTGTTTCACCATTTTGATTTTTAAAGTATGCTGTAGCATTTCTTAATAACATCGTTGTGATGTTCTTAAGGCAGATCTTTCTTCATAAAAAGGAAAGTAATGGCAATTTCTCTCCTGTGGAAATCCCAATTGCTTGAATTACTGATATTTTAGAATAGACTTTTTAAAATGCCATATGTAATTTTATGCAAGTTGACTATATATCTTGTACTTAATAAATTATAGGCTCATTTTGTTCTCTGCTAGTTTAAAGTAATTCGTTTAATAATAGATGTGTTTTTAGAGGAAATGCTGTTACTTGGAATTAATTTTCCAGTTATACAGTCTTCTATAACTTACTAATAATATTCTATATGTACTTTATGTAATTTCCCTAAAAAGAATGAACTACCACTACACTATGGTGTTAAACCAAAATATAGGGAAAATAAACACTAACTGCTGCTTATGGATAATGTTGCAACTACTTGTTATGCATATAAATATTTTACTTTTTCACATGTATAGATTGCATTTCTTAGGTGTTTTAATTTTTTAAATATATTTATGTTTTAAAAATTTAGTTTTGTTTTCTGTTTTATAACTATAGTGAGAATGATGTTTTGAAGCAAAATTTTTGGTTATAAAATAGTTTTCAGGATTATATATATATATACTGGATCCTATCGCCTTTTAGTAGAATATGAAATATTCTTTTAGAAATCCAATATAAATAGGTTATAATAGCCATATTCTTTATTACTTTATTGAGATATAATTTACATGCCATAAAGTTTACCCTTAAAATATATAATTCAGTGGTTTTTAGTGATATTTACAAAGTGGTACAATCATCATCACTTTCTAATTCCAGAATATTTTCATCACCCCAAAAAGAAATCCTAAATCCATTAGCAGTTACTTCCCATTCTTCCCTTCCTCCAGCCCCTGAAAACACTACCATCTACTTTTCATCTGTATGGATTTGTCTGTTCTGGACATTTCACATAAATAGACTCAAACAATATATGGCTTTTTTTTTTTTTGGTCTGGCCTCTTTCATTTAGCTTAATGTTTTCAAGGTTCATCTATGTTGTATCACGTATCAGTACTTTATTTTTTGTGTGGCACGTCATATGGATATACCACAATTTGTTTATCTTTTCATTAATTATGGGCATTTGGCTTATTTCTACTTTTTTGGCTATTATAAATAATGCTGCTGTGAACATTTGTGTGCAAGTTTTTGTGTTTCAATTCTCATGGGTATATACCTAAAAGTGGAATTTCTGGGAGTAACCATATATTTGAGTTGCAAATGGAAAATGCTTGAAAAAAATGCCACAGAATTCAGCTAATCGTATTTATTACTCTAATTCATAAATGATTCCTCTATAACTGTCTCTCTGAATGACAGTTAAAACTCCCTACAGAAGTGTGAACATTACAGAAATTTTCTCACAAGTCTAAAGATCTAGATCTGAAAAGCATCAGTCAACGTGGTGAATGATAGTGGTTTCTGTTTTAAACCCATCATTATTTATTGCAATTTTCTTGATTAAGCATTTTCTCCCAGGTAAAATAAATGATTTATAGATAGATATATAATAATCTTTGGATTAAAAAGTTTTTTTAAGCAGAGAATTATTATTCTAGTAGTAAATAAATTTACATAACTACACAAAACCAGTATACCAGTATCTCTCTTATCTTAAAGGATATTGACAATGCTTTAGCATGTAGTAACTGCTCAGTTTTTATGTGTTGAATGTTGAATTAAAAGTAGTAATGAGTAGAGTTTTAAAGTTTTTTAATTTATTTTTTCAAATTATGAGAGTACTTTTTATTTTAAAATGTTTTCTTTAAATTCAACCAGGTTCTTGGATAGCCGGAATAGTTTTGAAGTACTATAGATCCCATAAAGAAGATGTTTATCTTCCCTAAAAGAAAAACCACAAATTGCTTATGTTAAAAAAAAAAAAAAAAGAAGAAGACGACGAAGGCCAGGCACTGTGGCTTATGCCTGTAATCCCAGCACTTGGGGAGGCTGAGGCAGGGGAAAATCAAAACTTGAGTCCAGGAGTTTGAAACCAGCCTGGGCAACATAGTAAGACTCCATCTCTACAAAAAATTTAAAAATTAGCTGAGCCTGGTAGCATGTGCTGTAATCCCAACTACTTGGGAGGCTGAGGTGGGAGGATTACTTGAGCCCAGGAGGTAGAGGCTGTAGTGAGCCCTGATTGCACCACTGCACTCAGCCTGGGTGACAGAGTGAGACCCTCTCTCAAAAACAAAAACAAAAAACAAGTATAAGCCAAGGTGATTAATGGCCTGCTAATAGAGGTATTTTGTTTGGCCAGCTCAGTGGTTTAAAAACTATTTTTTAATTAGAATGCTTTTAGGCAAGACATGGACTCTTCTGTTGCCACTGACCTACCATTATCTATTGCGTTACATAAAGCTGCTTCACATGTTTAGTTATGTTGCCTGGGCCTCTGAAAGCATCTGAGTTAGTCACATCTACTGTAGCTCATCACTCCTGCCTATTGTTAGCCTTCCTTGGAGACAAGGAGTTGAAAATACTCTTGTTTGTTTATTTTTGGGAAACTGTCATTCAAATAGTTATGATGGATAAAGGAAATTAATATATGTGATTAGACTCAGTAAATGGCTCAGAAGGGACTATCTTCATATTCCAAGGACTATTTACATAACCTCAAAGAGTTAAGACTAAATATCATTCTTAATCTAAAAATAATTTTTATCTACTAACGTGTAATGTAGTATACTGCCTATATGTCTGACTTCATGTATACATGGTTTATTTTTTACCCTTTATGGAGAAGTATAGAAAAAAAATGTGGTATGTTACTTTCAAATAATAGCTTAATCAAAATGTGAGTAAATAGATGAAGTTTTATAGAGTAAATATTTCAACCTTTTAAATTTTTTTGTGATACTTCATAAAATTCATAAAACATTTGGAGCTGGAAATAATTTTTAAAATCCCATTTTCTAGATAAAGAAGTAAACCCAGAGAGGCTAAGTGGCTTGTCTGTAGTTAAAGAGCAGGTTTGATGTATTCGAAACTCTTCTGGTCATTAAAAAATAAAAGAAAAAAAAAAAAGGAGAGCAGGCTGGGTGCAGTGGTTCATGCCTGTAATCCCAGCACTTTGGGAGGCCGAGGCAGATGGATCACTTGAGGCTAGGAGTTCGAGACCAGCCTGGTCTACATAGTGAAACCCCCTCTGTACTAAAAATACAAAAATTAGCCGGGCATGGTGGCAAGCACCTGTAATCGCAGCTACTTGGGAGGCTAAGGCAGGAGAATCGCTTGAACCTGGGAGGTGGAGGTTGCAATGAGCTGACATCATGCCACTGCACTCCAGCCTGGGCAACGTGGCAGAGGGAGACTGTCTCAAAAAAAGGAAGCTGGAAAGGGAATTCTTATTCTCAGTGCCATTTTTCTCCAGTATGCCATTGATATCCCCTGTTTCTCAATTTCCAAGACTAGATTAAATTCTTTTACAGCTCATTTGCTGGCCAAGTGTGGTGGCTCACACCTATAATACTAGCACTTTGGGAGGCTAAGGCAGAAGGATTGCTTGAGCCTAGGTATTCAAGACCAGCCTGGGCAACATAGCAAGACTCCATTTAAATATTAAAAAGAAAAGTTCATTTGCCTATTTATTTATGTAGTCTGTGTAATTTAGCATATACATTTGAAATATATTCGGTCATTTAGGAACATACAAAGTTATAATTTGGTGCTCACTAGAAAGCTTTTGAAACATTAATTACAAAAACAGGCTTTTTCTTTTTAAGGATATTAATAGAAGTAATAGTCCATAATTGGGCTGTGTCCTTCATTAGTTTACAAATATATATGCCAATGTTATTCTCAAAATAGTGTAAGGCCACATCTGAGCAAAAAACAAGCATATTATTTTAATTTACATAAATAACAAATGAAGATTTTTACAAGTAAAATACTATTCAAATATTAAATTATATCATTGTAAAAAGAAAAGGAGAGAGAGGAAAGAAAAAAGGCGAGAGAAAAAGAAGGGGGGAAGAAAGGAAGAAAAAAACCCTGCAGATTTTATTGAGAAGAAAAGTTTGTAATGACAAATAACATACGGAATCTCTACAAACATTTGCAAATATTGTAACTCCTCCCAAACTAAAAATTCGTTAGTACATCTTCTCTCCAGCCGTTAGAATTTTGGTTTGTATAAACTTAGTTCTTGAAGTTTTTTTTTTATACTTTAAGTTCTAGGGTACATGTGCACAATGTGCAGGTTTGTTACATATGTATACATGTGCCATGTTGGTGTGCTGCACCCATTAACTCGTCATTTACATTAGGTATATCTCCCAGTGCTATCCCTCCCCCCTCCCCCCAACCCACAACAGGCCCTGGTGTGTGATGTTCCCCTTCCTGTGTCCAGGTGTTCTCATTGTTCAATTCCCACCTATGAGTGAGAACATGCGGTGTTTGGTTTTTTGTCCTAGTTTGCTGAGAATGATGGTTTCCAGCTTCATCCATGTCCCTACAAAGGACATGAACTCATCCTTTTTTATGGCTGCATAGTATTCCATGGTATATATGTGCCACATTTTCTTAATCTAGTGAGTTTTTTTTTTTTTTAAGGCATGGTGGTGTGGCCAGAGCGCAGTAGTGCAATCTGGGCTCACTGCAGCCTCGACCTCCCAGGCTCAAGTCAATCCTCTCACTTCAGCCTCCCCTGAGTGACTGGGATTACAGGCGTGCCCCTCCATGCCTGGCTAATTTTTGTATTTTTTGTAGAGATGGAGTTTCACCATGTTGCCCAGGCTGAGCCATTATTAATTGAGATAATTTTAAGAAGAGGAAACCAGAGGTTGGAAAAAAGGAAATGAGAGTAAAGCGAATGGTTGAGGAAGATGAGAAATTTTTGATGCAGACTTACACATAAGAAATAAAGCCAAGGCCGGTTGTGGTGGCTCATGCCAGCACTTTGGGAGGCTGATGCAGACAGATCTCTTAAGCCCACGAGTTCGAGAACAGTCAGGGCAAAATAGCACAACTCCATCTCTACAAAAAATACAAAAATTAGTCCAGTGTGGTGGGGCACTCCTGTAGTCCCAGCTACTTGGGAGGCTTAGGTGGGAGGCTGATTTGAGCCCAGGAGGCAGAGATTATAGTAAGATCACGCCATTGCTCTCCAGCCTGGCAACATAGCCAGACTGTGTCTCAATCAATCAATATAGCCAGAGGTACAAACCACTGCTGCTGTTTTTGCTAAAGGGATGCCATTGAAATGGATACAAAAAGCCTGGATGGGAAGTAGTTTTGTAAGATGAATTTAAAATTTATATAATAATATAATTTCTATATAATAATATAATATAAATTATATTATATTATTATATAACTTTCTCGAGCTCAAGAAATATTTATTTTATTTATTTATTTATTTATTATTTTTGTTGTTGTTGTTGAGACGGAGTCTTGCTCTTTCGCCCAGGCCAGACCTGCAGTGGCGCTATCTTGGCTCACTGCAAGCTCCACCTCACGGGTTCACGCCATTCTCCTGCCTCAGCCTCCTGAGTAGCTGGGATTACAGGCGCCCACCACAGCGCCTGGCTAAATGTTTGTATTTTTAGTAGAGACGGGGTTTCACCGTGTTAGCCAAGATGGTCTCCATCTCCTGACCTCGTGACCTGCCCGCCTCGGCCTCCCAAAGTGCTGGGATTACAGGCGTGAGCCACCGCTCTCGGCTTAGTTATGTTTATCTGAGTCACTTAAGTAAAAGTTGTGTAATTGTTTTTTATCTTAAGTATACATTTTGCATCTCTGTGACTGGGGATGAAGAGGTTCAAGAAATGAGATTGGCCGGATCAATGGCTCACGCCTGTAATCCCAGCACTTTGGGAGCCCGACGTGGGCAGATCACTTGAGGTCAGGCCTTCGAGATCAGCCTGGCTAACATTGCAAAACCCCGTCTCTCCTAAAAATACAAAAATTAGCCAGGCGTGGTGGCAGGTGCCTGTAATCCCTGCTACTTGGGAGGCTGAGGAAGGAGAATCACATGAACCTGGGAAGTGGAGGTAGCAGTGAGCTGAGATGGAGCCACTGCACTCCAGCCTGGGTGACAGAGTGAGACTCCATCTCAAAAAAAAAAAAAAAGAGAGAGATGAGGTTAACTGAAAATCATAAGATCTGAAAAGTTTAAACATTAGGAATGAGGTTAGACTTTTTAAAAATCGCCTTCTTGATGTGCCTATTATGTTTAACAAACCAAAAATGAATTTGCAAGCATTTTATTGAAGCTATGAAAATGGGAGATCCTGAAAAATTTCTAGTGATCAAGGAATTGTAAATCATATAGTATTTATTATTACTAATTAAATTTACTCTTATCCTCTTTATTTAATACAATCTTCATTTTAGTGAATCTAAAAACTGTCTTCTTAGGGTTCTGCCTAAAACTATTTTTTTTCCCTTCACAACTTAAATCCTAATCGTTTTCTTATCTCAGTGTTTTCAGAAACATATCTGCTTCAGACTGGGAAATTATATTTTACTATGGCTTTTATACATTACACTCCCTTACTTATGAAGGAAACCTTGAAAATTGGCACAGCTAACTTCAGAGTAGTAATTACACAATAGGAATAGTTAGACATTTTATACTTTTTTCCCAGAATATTTTATGTATAAATTTTGGAAGAAATTAATCAGATGTTAAAATTGAAAACCAGGCTTAAGATGGGGCTTAGTATTATTTAAAATTAGTTGCTAGGTTATATAGGCTTATTCTCATTAAGTTTGAAGATGGTATATAAAGTTATATCACTTCTGTTTTGGCACCAAAAAAAGGTAGACTTATATATCACAAAATTTATACAATATAAACTGTATTATTTAACCAAAATAATGTAACTTAAAATAAGTCAAACATTTTAAAATGAAATTGATATCTTATTTTGATTTACAGTTAGAATCTTGAGGTGTTGCGTATGAGAAATGAATTTATTTTACTTATTTATAGAAATGAGGTCTTGCTCAGTCAACCAGGCTGGAGTGCTGTGGCACCATCTTAGCTCATTGCAACCTAGAATTCCTGGCCTCAAACAATCCTCCTGCCTCAACCTCCCAAGTAGCTGGGATTACAGGTGTGAGCCACCATGCCTGACTCAGAAACTTATTTATTTTCTTTCAGTTTTCAAATTTTAAACAATGACTTACTTAATATTATGAATAGATACCAGTCATCTCATTTAATAATTTGTCTTAATAAATGTGATGGGTTTGAATATTAAGAAGATGAACCATTAGCCAGGAATTCTAATTTTATGTTGCTAAGAGATTTTAAAACTTTACCAATCTTTTAATTAATATAAAAATATTTTATTTTTTACTTGTATTTTCGATAATTGTAATGGATTTGAATTATTTCAAGACCTATATGTAGCTTTAAAAAAAGGAATATAGACCATATATACTATGTAAATATCAATAATTTCTTTACATAGGTATTTGATTTAAAAATGTGTTTTTTGTTCTTATGAAATAACATTTTATTAATTTTTTTCTCTTTAGTCAGGGTCTCACTCTGTCACCTAGGCTGGAGTGCAGTGGCATGATTATGACTCACTGCAGCCTCGAACTTCTGGGCTCAAGTGATCCTCTGGCCTCAGCCTCCCATGTAGTTGGGACGACAGGCAAACACCACCATTCCCCTATACTTTTTGTATTTTTTGTATAAACCATGCCCCAATAATTTTTGTATTTTTTGTATAGATGAAGTCTTGCCATGTTGGCCAGGCTGGTCTTGAACTCCAGGGCTCAAGTGATCTGCCTGTGCCCATGGGCATATCCCAGCATGAGCCCACGCCTATAATCCCAGTACTTTGGGAGGCCAAGGCAGGTGGATTGCTTGAGCCTTGGAGTTCAAGATCAGCTTGGCCACATGACAAGACTCTGCCTCTACAAAAAATATGAAAATTAACCAGGCATGGTGGTCCACATCTTTGGTCCCAGCAACACAGGAGGCTGGCACCAGATAATTGCTTAAGCCTGGGAAAGTGAGGCTGCAGTGAGTTATGATTGTGCCACTGCACTCCAGCCTGGGTGACAAAGCAAGACCCTGTTTCAAAAAAAAAAAGAAAAAAATTTTTTTTCAGAAAAGGCACTAAATCAAAGAGCAACATATAATTCTAACTAGTAAATGTAGTTAGACTTAAATACTTTAATGTTAAATATATCTAATGTTAAAACATTTTATTGTATCTAGAGGCACATGAAAGAAAAAATATTTCAAAATTACTGTGAATGTGTGACTATTCTGAAAAGATTGAACCAAGTATCTTATGCCTACTTATATATTGCTGTAAGTACTTTTTTCTTTACATTGACAAATAAAATTGTATGTATTTACTCTGTAAAACATGATGGTTTGAAGTATTTATACATTGTGGGATTTGTAAGTATTTTTAAAATTCGAAATAAAGGCCGGGCATGGTGGCTCACACCTGTAATCCCAGCACTTTGAGAGGCTGAGGCAGGCGGATCACCTGAGGTCGGGAGTTCAAGACCAGCCTGACCAACATAGAGAAACCTCATGCCTACTGAAAAAAAAAAAAAAAAATTAGCCAGGCGTGGTGGCTAATGCCTATAATCCCAGCTACTCGGGAGGCTAAGGCAGGAGAATCACTTGAACTCGGGAGGCAGAGGTTGTGTTGAGCCAAGATTGTGCCATTGCATTCTAGCCTGGGCAACAAGAGTGAAACTCCATCTCAAAAAAAAAAAAAAAAAAAATCAAAATAAAAACCCTGCCTGCTTTTGATTTTAGTTTATGAAATACTAACTTCATGAGAGCATAGAGTGCAAACACATAGTTCATAATCAACATTTTCAAATACGTGGCCCAATATTTTTGTATAGTAATTGATAATTTTGTGAAGTAGTTATTTGTTATTACTACTTCATGTGGCAGATGAGGAAACAGAGATTCAGGCATTCTTAAGTCCTCTATCCCAGATCACACAGATAGAGATGCAACTGAGATTCACGCCCAGATTGTGATTTTCGACCTGCTATTTCTACTGTTCATGGCTACATGGTTGTGAAGATGGTAGTTGTCTTCATTTGTTCTGCCTGAAAAACCTGAACCAATCCTTCCATATCCACTGAATTATTTAGGATAATAATTTTAGGAGATTGACAGAAGCCACCAATTTCTTTCAATGAATAGTGACAAATTCATTATGATGCCTTGCTGTTGTCAGTGTCAGAATTTTTTTTTGCATAGGGCACCAGGCTATGCTGGGGTCACAGATAAGAATGATCTTTATAAAGGCCTTCATAAACTTGAGAATTGAGGACATAATACATAAAATGCATGACAGTGGAAATGTACCATATGCCCTCCTCCTATGAGAAATGTGTTTTCTACCACTAGTAGTTGTTTCTGCCTAGGTATCATTTAGGGGCAGAACCAAGAATATGAGGTTATTTTTTCCTTTTGTCTAAATTGTATTAGTTTTATGATACCCAAATACACCTCTTTTCTCCTGCTTTGCACAAATTAAGGAAAGATGGGGAAATTTATTATTTTACATTAATTTGATAGACATAAAATAAAAATTCATTTCTCCTCTGTGCCAAGATCTGTGTTAGATGTAATGGTGAATTTAACCAACCTGTTCCTTACCCTCATAGAACTTATTATTATTTTTTATATTTTTGAGATGGAGTTTCATTCTGCCCCCATGCTGGAGTACAATGGCATGATCTCGGCTCACTGCAACCTCTGCCTCCTTTCAATACAGTATGTTTTAAAATTTTTTTCTTTTGAGATTCAGGGGATACATGTGTGGGTTTGTTACATGGATATTTTGCATGATGGTGAAGTTTGGGCTTCTAGTGTACCCATCACCCAAAGAGTGAACATTGTACCCAATAGGTAATTTTTCAACTCTTACCCCATTCCCACCTTTCCTCCATTTGGAGTCCCCAGTGTCTATTATCTGTAGGTCCACATGTACCCATTATTTAGCTCTCAAGTATTTTATTTTCTGTTTCTGAATTATTTCACTTCAAATAATGGCTTTCAGCTCCATCCATGTGGCTGTAAAGGACATGATTTCATTCTTTTTATGGCTGTATAGTATTCTATGATGTGTATATACCACATTTTCGTTGTCCAATCAACCATTGATGGACACACTTAGGTTGATTCCATGACTTTGCTATTGTGAATAGTACTGTGATAAACAAACAAGCACCAGTGTCTTTTTTAATATAATAATTTATTTTCCTTTGGGTAGATACCCAGTAGTGGGATTGCTAGGTTTAATGGTAGTTCTATTTTTAGCTCATTGAGAAATCTTCACACTGTTTTTCATAAACGTATCAACATTTATCAGTTATCAAATCACCTTTAGTTAGTTGTTAAACAAGTATTTACTGAGCACACTGAGGCTATAACATTGTAGGTGCTAAAGATACAGTCCTACCCTTAAAGACCTTACATTCTAATCATAGAAGATAAACACTAAGAAACATTACTTGCATTAAAAAACAAGTAAGTCATTTTTTTGAATAATGATAAGCATTAAGAAAAGAATGATAACGGCATAGAAACTGACTGGAGGGGGAAGAAGTGTGTTACTTTTTAGCTAGAGTCATCAAAGACAGCCTCTCTGGGGAGAGAGACATTTGCATTCAGCCCTTAATGATTCAAAGCGGGCAGCTGTTGGAAGAAGATTTAAGGAAAAAGGAACAGCAATGACAAAAGTCCTGAGATGGGAACCTTTATTGAAAAGCAGAAAAATATATAATTTACTTCCTAATTTTCAAATCCTGTTGATGTTATGTTTCCTAATACATATCAAAGAGGCAGAAGTAGATGTCAGATAAAGAAAATGGGACTAGAAAATGTCTTTTTTTTTTTTTTTTTTTTTTGAGATAGAGTCTCACTCTGTCACCCAGGCTGGAGTGCAGTGGTGTGATCTCAACTCACTGAAACCTCCACCTCCGGGTTCAAGATATTCTCATGCGCCATCATGCTGGCTAATTTTTTGTATTTTTAGTAGATACGGGGTTTCACCAGGTTGCCCAGGCTGGTCTTTTAATCTTACCCCATTCCCACCTCTCCTCCATTTGGAGTCCCCAGTGTCTATTATTTCCATCTGTAGGTCCACATGTAACCATTATTTAGCTCTCAAGTATTTTTATTTTCCGTTTCTGAATTATTTCACTTCGAATAATGGCTTTCAGCTCCATCCATGTGGCTGTAAAGGACATGATTTCATTCTTTTTATGGCTGTATAGTATTCCATGATACTTGGCCTCCCAAACTGCTGGGATTACAGGTGTGAGCCATTGCAGCTAGCCAAAGATATGACTAGAAAATGTCAAGTGTTGGCGCCTGATCCTGGCTCTTGCTGTCTATAGAGGCCATTTCTTTTCAGGCTTGTGTTTCCTATTTGTAAATGGAGAATACTTATCATATGTACCTCTTAATAGAATACAGTTCTCTATAAACAATACTAGGTATGGATGAGATAATGTTGAAAGAGAAGTTTACTCAGACATTTTAAATTATGTTACATTAAAATGTTATCTTTGTTCAAATTTTTTTAAATGAAGATTTTAAAAGACATATGATTCTATATTTCTCAGGCTGCTGATTCATATATTGATAGTCTCCCTCATACTCTTAAATTTTGAAATGCTTTACCTCTTGAAAATGAAAATAAAAATTAAATTACAGATAAGATTCATAATAAAAATTTTAAAGATCATGGGTATACTACATTAAAAATTTATTTCATAGCATTGGTTCTAAACTTTTTACCCCAAATAGGCCTTTTATTACATTCTTACCCCCACCCATATTAAATTAAACTTTTTTTTGTGATGAACAGACTGTATTTATTAATAATTATTATATTTATATTTGGGGATGGCTGTTAGAATTATTATATTTAGGCCAGGCACAGTGGCTCATGCCTGTAATCCCAGTGCTTTGGGAGGCTGAGGCAGGAGGATTGCCTGAAGTCAGGAGTTCAAGATCAGCCTGGGCAACATAGTGAGACCCCATTTCTACAAAAAATAAAAAAAATTATCCGGGCATGGTGGCACATGGCTGTGGTCCCAGCGACTTCAGAGGCTGAGACAGGAGGATCACTTGAGCCCTAGGATTTGAGGATGCAGTGACCTATGATCATGCCACTATACTCCAACCTGGGTGACAGAGTGAGGCCCTGCCTCTGAGAAAAACAGAACTATTATTTTAATATATCCAACATAATATGACAGCTAGTCAACTACTGATAAACAGGAAGTGAACAGCTAGAAACAAAAAATGTGATTTTATCTTTTTGTACAGACAAGGTCCTTGCTATGTCACCCAGGCTGATCTTGAATTCCTGGCCTCAAGCAATCCTCCTGCCTCAGCTTCTCAAAGCGCTGGCATTACAGTCATAAGCTATAGCACCTGGCTAAGAATGCTATTTAAAAAAATTCACTCTATAACCTGTTAGGTGTGTGATTCCCATTAGGTGATTTCCAATACTGAAAGTAGCATCACTTATCTATATTACCTACCTCCTTTGTAGTCTCCTTGGGATGTGGAGACATCAGATTAGGAGCTACTAGCCTTGGCTTTGATTATAATTTTGGTGACGGCCGTTAGAAGGAGATGACATTAGATGAGGTCTCTCCTTCTGTAGACGAAACTGCCTTTAGAGATCATACCAGAGTTCACCCTGGAAAATAGACTAGAGTAAAATTTAATTTGTTAGTGTGTATTTTTTAAAAATCATGGACTAGAAGTTTGTGTTGTTAAGAAATTTGGAAGTGTCGGCAAGTATCCTAACAAAAATAAAAAAATAATAATGTTAGGGTAGAAAAAAAAACTTGATGTTCTTTTTAATGTTAAGAAATCACAGTAAATGATGCATGGTATTAAAGTTAGGTAGTTGACTATTTTACAATGCTTTGTTTAAAAAAGCTTGTTACAAAGCTTGTTTACAATAAATTTTTAAATATCCATCCACTTTATAACATAGTATAAAATTTAATAACCACAAACATTTAATAAATAAGTAAAACTACTCTGAAATTCAACAGAAATAAAAACTCTTTAGGCTATTTTCTAGAACTATGTAATATAGAGAGCATTCTTGGGTGTGTGTGGGGGTTGTTTTTGTTGTTACTCTTTGCCAGTAAGAATACATTTTACGGGCAACCCGCTCGGGGCCCCTTCCACACCGTGGAAGCTTTGTTCTTTTGCTCTTCACAATAAATCTTGCTACTGCTCACTCTTTGGGTCTGCACTATCTTTAAAAAAAAAAAAGAATACATTTTACAGTGTCATCTACTAGTTTACATTGTGTGTGAATGTATGTGTATATTAGTTTAAGCCATATGAAATCACAGATACTCAACTTTTTTGATCTATAAAAGTGGCAATATGAAATTACCTATCTTTTACCTATGAAAATAATAATTTCATTTACATATATGTATATAAAATGGAAGTTTAATAAACCATTACTTACCATTCCTAGATAGAATAACTCTGATGTTTTAAAATTATACTCTAGTTTATTAATTTTTTTCTAATTGCATCCCACGGCATTTATTTCATGATCTACATTTGTGAAACAGCTCCACAGTTTGAAAAACACTCCTAGAATTCTCATAAGGATATAAATGTAGTAATTGTTAAATTTTAAAACTTAAATGTCAATTTGTTTAAATTCATTTAAAAACTACTGACTGGAAAATTTTTACTCATTATTTGATTGTTGGAACAGCAGTAGATATAGCTATATAGCTATTTTTGGGTCATAAGACAAATTCTAATAAACGACCATTATTTTGATTAGTTTATAGATGAGTTTATTTCCCCCTTCAACTTAAGATAATTATAGATAGGAAAAGTAAATTTCTGTTGAATTTGCCCTATTAAATTCTCATGTCAGTGGTGACAATAACATTCAGATTTCCTTCAAATTCTGTCTATATAGTATTTTAGCAAACCTATGCTAGTAACATTAGAAAAAAAATAAATTTACTAACCAAAGACTTTATGAAGGTCATACATGAAGAAATGGGTGTTTTAGTAAGAAACAGAAATTTCTTAAGCTTCTCATTAGATTTCTTTAGATTTTAGTTCAAAATAGATTTGAGTGAGTTTATTTCTGATGCGTTGCTTTACCCTGATTACAGAAAAGAGAACTTCTAAATAAATCACATTTAAAAATTTTTAAAAATTCACTGGGGCTGGGTGCGGTGGTTCATGCCTGTAATCCCAGCACTTTGGGAGGGTGAGGTGGGAGGATTGCTTGAGCCCAGGAGTTCAAGACCAGTCTGGGCAATTTGATGAAACCCCATCTCTTCAAAACACAAAAATTGGTTGGGTGTGGTGGTGCGCACCTGAGGTCCCAGCTACTGGGAGGCTGAGGTGGGAGGATTACTTGAGCCCTGGAGGTTGAGGTTGCAGCCAGCCATAACCACAGCACTGCACTCCAGCCTCGGTGACAGAGTGAGACTCTGTCTCAAAATGAAAAAGAAAAATAAAAAAGAAAAAAATTTACTTTAAATTTTAAAATAAGCTTAAAATTTACTTTAAAAAATTTCTACTCAGTTTGCCAGCATCACAACCATTCCTCTAAGGATTATATATGAGAAAACAAAACACCATTAAAAGTATCTGACTAGGCTGGATGTGGTGGCTCACACCTGTAATCCCAGCACTTTGGGAGACTGAGGCGGGCAGATCACCTGAGGTCATGAGTTCGAGACCAGCCTGGCCAACATATAGTGAAACCCCGTCTCTACTAAAAAAATACAAAAATTAGCTGGGCGTGGTGGTGCATGCCTATAGTCCTAGCTACTTGGGAAGCCGAGGCAAGAGAATTGCTTGAACCTGGGAGGCGGAGGTTTTAGTGAGCTGAGATCATGTCTCTGCACTCCAGCCTGAGAGACAGAGCAAGACTCTGTCTCTCAAAAAAAAAAGTATCTGACTAAATTTTATTTTCATATTGTTTCTTAATTGTATGGTTATCATCAGTGACCACAAATATAATGTAGAGGAGAGTTATTCAATGGCTTTCATTTCTAAGCATTCAGTGTAATCTTAATGTTTTAGGAGACTGTACATAGTATCTATGTGTAGCCTGTTAGAATCCATAGACCTTTAGGTAAGTATCCTCTTTATTATTGCTATTTCAGTACAAAGTGTGCTTCTGGGATAGAAATAAATGGGCCACTTAAATACATCTCTGAGGCAACAGCCAAGAATTGTCTAATAATTGTTTTTATAAGTAAGTTAGAAATTAGAAAATTAATTTGCATTAAGTGGTGTATGTGCATACATGTATATTTTTCAAAGCCATCAAAATATATTTTCTTTTCTTTTTTTTAAATATATTTTTAGGGGCTGGGCACAGTGGCTCATGCCTGTAATTCCAGCACTTTGGGAGGCCAAGGCAGGCACATCACCTGAGGTCGGGAGTTCGAGATCAGCCTGATCAACATGGATAAACCCTGTCTCTACTAAAAATAGAAAATTAGCTGGGTGTGGAGGCACATGCCTGTAATCCCAGGTACTCGGGAGGCTGAGGCAGGAGAATTGCTTGAAGCAGGGAGGCGGAGGTTGTGGTGAGCCGAGATCGCGCCATTGCACTCCAGCCTGGGCAATTAGAGCAAAACTCTGTCTCAAAAAAAAATATATACATATACGTATATGTGTGTGTGTGTATATATATATATATATATATATATATATATATATAGAGAGAGAGAGAGAGAGAGAGAGAGAGAGAGAGAGAAAGAGACAGGGTCTCACTATATTGCCCGGGCTGCTCTCAAACTCCTGGCCTCAAGCAATCCTCCTGCCTTGGGCCTACCAAAGTTCTCAGATTACAGGCGTGAGCCACCACACCTGGCCATGAAAATGTATTTTAAGAAAAACTAAAAGCTTCTTTTTAGAAGAAAAATAACAGAGTATTAGTTGACTGAATATATTTGGAAGATATTAGACCTATTAGGTAAATTGTTATACATATTAAGCACCTCAATGTATGTGGTTATTATAAAGAAGTATGTTTCTTTTTCTTATTTCTTACAGAACACGGAAGGAAGTCATAGTTGTTTCATTTATTACATGTATTACCTCTTTTAAAGAAATAAGCACCTATAATAGTGTTTGGCTCAATAATAAACATTAGCTATTATTAGTCACAGCATCTCTTCATTTGAAAGTGGACTTAGATTTCTGGTTTCAGAATTCAGTTGCCAGAATTTATTCATTCAATATTAATTAAAAATTTAAGAACAAACCATATGCTAAGTATGTTTCATGAGAATTTGAGGGTTTCTGGTTTCTGGCCAAGATAGGAAAGCAGCGGGAGTGGCAAGCTCCCTGTTGCATAATCAGCCCTGTAGAAACTATAGAGCTAGATGGAAGCTAGGAATCCTTGTAGAGATTTAAGGCTGTTTTGAACCATTTTGAGTGTTAGGGTAGGCTGGTGAGAGGGTTAGTCAGAGGAAAGCTTTTTAAGTCTGCCCTTGACTTTTTCCAGAATTACCTTGTAACAGATATTGCCTGCAGCTTCACTGCCAAAATTGGAGACAAAAGCTCAGGGTGTGCATGCTGATACTGCAGAGTATTATCAGGGCAGTGCAAAAGCCTTGGTAGCAAGAAGTGTTGATGGAAACAAATGTAGACTGACTTGTAGTCCTTGGATATTCATTTCTCCTCCTCTTTCCTGTCCAAAACCCTTGGGCTGGTGTATTCCTCTCCCAAGGAGGCTTCTCACTAAGGATTTAAAGTAAAAACTCTGACACAGGAGTTGCCTAATGTATAAGCAGCAAACCAGAATGATCAGTAGTATTTACGTGGTGCCTGGGGTTCTGTGGCTTTGGGCTCATCTCCCACGCCCTTCAACTCACTGATTCGGCCAGGGTCCTTGTTGCAGCCCCTTCCTCAATTTACCTTATCAGCTAGAGGATCAAGGGGAAGTGGCCAAGGTAAATAGATATCAGACCATTTTTCTTTCATTCAAAGTGGACAAGTGAACGGCCATAAGTTCTACAGCCTAGGGGGAATTTCCTGTTACCATGCCTTTCAGGGCCACCCATGAGTGTAGTAGCTGTCTACTTCTGGCTGTTCCAGTGTAATGTGCAGAGCAGGCCTG
This sequence comes from Homo sapiens, assembly GCF_000001405.40. Classification (NCBI taxonomy): domain Eukaryota; kingdom Metazoa; phylum Chordata; class Mammalia; order Primates; family Hominidae; genus Homo; species Homo sapiens. The sequence continues at coordinate 78,033,938 of NC_000001.11, forward strand.
AACTTTTTCTCTTTTATTAACTAGTCATTACGTAGGTCCAGTCTTGCATATATCATTCATATTAAATAATGGAATGCATGTCTCAACTTGAAGATTTCGTTGAGGAGTAGCTCCAGTCACATCATCACTTGGCAGTCTATCATAAAGTTGTCAGTCTCTCCCAGAACTCACCAGCAAGTCAGGAGCTGCTTTTCAATGGGAAAAAGCCTGTTGGCAGCAGAGGACATGGCTTACTCCAAAACCCTAGGACTCTGCACCCGGATTCTCCTATTGGGATTTGTTAGAAGCTCCATATAGCTATATCTGCCACAACACTTCAGATACTCTTGAGTGAATTTTGAATGAGCAGGGAACTCTCAGGCTGCCATGTTGGGAAAGTGCTTTCTAGGAGTTCCATGAGCAAAGGGCACAGTGGTGTTTAGGAACTTCTAGCACTGTAACAGAGCTAAAGTATATCATTTAATTTGGGAGAGAGGTAGAGAAATATGTGGGGAACCAGTGCTGAATGTATGCTATCCTAGGTATTTATATTTTATCCTGTAAGCCAGTAGTTTCCAAACTGTAGGGTGCATCAGAGTGCTGGGAGACTTGGTAAAACATGGATTGTGGGTTTGGGGTGGGATCAGAGATTTTGTATTTACAAAAGTTCCTGGGTGATGCTGATAGTGCTGATTTGGGAACTACACTTTGAGCACTACAGAAAACAAGTAGTTTTAAACAGGAGACTAACACAATCAGATTTAAGTTAACCAAGATCACTCACAGGTAGACGTATGGCAGATTGATAGGAAAGATACAGCACAGGAGAAATAAGGCTAGTTGGAAAACAATCAAAATGATTGTGTTAAGAAAGTAAAGGGCTTGCGTTAAAGTTAGCAATAGAATTGAGAAATAGGGAAAAAACCTCATTTCAATGAGTATTTAGCACTTAGTAAATGCCAGGTACTCCACTTTGAATTTTGATGTCTCTCTGGATTTTTTCAAAGCATCTGAAATCTTGGCAGAGAAGGAAGTACTATAATGGCAGAGAACGAAGTGCTATAATGGCCGAGAATGGGATAAACTTTCTTTGGGGGAACATAAATGTGATTTAATCCCTAGAAAGAAAATGTTTGTAACAAACTTAGAACCAGGTATCAGCAAAACTAAATCATATTTTAACCACCACAGGATAGAAAAATTTTAGATTTTCTATTTAAGAAGGAAGAATCCATTTTCACCTTCTAAATGATGCTGAATGACAAAAAGTTATGGTTCTATAGTTTTATATTGAATTATAGAATTATATTACTCTTGTATATAAAAGAATCACATCATTCAGTCAAACACTTAGCTTTTGGTAATATATTTTTTTAAACAAGTGAGGAAAACATTGCGTAATGCTGGTAAATGACTTCCCACAAGCTAATGGGTAGTAGAGCTTGAACTGGGTTTACTCAGTGCTGGTCTGGTGTTCTGCAGTAACCACACAATTGGTTATTGCCAATGGCTAAAAATAAAATTCAAACTTCTTCCTAGTATTTATGACTGTTTGCAATCTGATATCAACTTACCTTTTCCGTTTTACATATTGAAACTCCAACTCTAGGCTTGTTTGTAAGATAAGCCATACATAAACCATCTACTTATGTTTAGTCTCTGCAAGAAAGAATGCCCAACAATTTTTCTCTTCATGGGGTTCCCATTCTACTCCCATCTTCTATTTGTCAAAATCAAGGTCCAGCTCATGTGTGAGACATTTCTGATGTTTTTGAGAACCAGTCATTTTCTTATTCTGCTCATCTCCTTGTAGAGCTTATTACAATCTGCCTTGCATAATAATAATTATGTTAATCTTCCTCATTAGATTGAGCCTCCTTGAAAATGGACTTTTCTTCCCCCACATTTAGGTCAGTCCTTATAGAAAACAATTTTTCAACAAATGTTTGTCTAATTTATGCTGAATAATTGAAATAGTAAACATTTTGTGAAATTAATTTGTTCATATTTTTATTTAAGAAAGACATCCAAGGAGGCAGATTATATAAAATGTTTTTGAAACACAATGAATTGGAATAATTTTAGAAAACTAGACTATTCTGAATTAAATATTAAATACAGTTTATCACAGTGATAGTTTAGTTGATAACTTGAAATATTCATTTGTCAAGTAAATGTTCTTCAGGACTCGAATTAATAAACAGATTAAAAATGTGATTAGCATGCCAATTGTTGAAATTTCCAACTAAACTTCAAAATGATTGCAAGTGTTTTTAACATTTCTCTTATAACTTATATTCACTATTTAAATAAACTTTTCTTAGTCCAAAATGCTTGAATTAGAATATTGTCATTCATTATTTTTGAACAACTTAAATATATGCCATGTTCTGATAGCCTACTTTCAATGCTTAAGAGTACAATGAAATATGCCATATGAAAATTATGATAAAAAACAGAGCATGTACTTGATTTAGAAGATACTACATCCAGCCTGGGTAACAGAGTGAGACCCCCCATCTCTACAAAAAAATTAAATATAAAAAATTGGCCAGGCATGGTGGCACATAACTGTGGTCCCATGTACTCAGGAGGCTGGGGCGGGAGGATCACTTGAGCCCAGGAGCTCATGGCTGCAGTGACCCATGTTTGTGCTACTGCACTCCAGCCTGGATAACATAAAGCGAGACTCTGCCTCAAAAAAAAAAGAAGATACTACAGGATCTTAGAGTATGCCATTCATTTTCATTACGAACATCTATTGTGCAATAATAATATTTTAAATCATTTATTATGTGGTAGGTACTGTCACCTGATACACAAGTATATTTACAGTATGTTTTATGCAATATTTATTTTAGCTATAAGAACTAAATATCTTTAAGTGTGAAAAATTAACCGAGAGATGAAAAGATTCGCCCAAGATTGTAATCGATTACCACTGTACAAACAGCACAATGACTTGAACCAGGTCTCTTGGTTCAATCTAAAACTTGTGCTCTTAATTGGCATACTGAACAGCTTCCTTCAATTATAATAGTTGTGGAAATGATAGAAAAGTGACACATCTCATCATTTCAATTTGTTAACTTGAATTCTGAAGGAAAAGTAGAACGCAGAAGGCCCACCAAAAAATTTTACTTGGATTTTCACGTTATCTCTAGTCCATATAAATCAACATTCTCTGCATTTTTGATTGGCAGATATAAACTTCAGCCCTGCTTCTGGTAAAATTACAACAAAACCTTAATTATGTTATATTGAACTATTAGGGTTATATTTTAATGATGGTTTTCAGGTCAAATTCTTAATTTAAAAAAATGTACTGGGTAAGTTCAGTGTTGTAAAATTAATTACCAAATGTGGCAAAATATTTTTGGATAACATTTACTAGCATTCCTTTTCCAGTATAACTGAGGAACAAAATGAAAAATATTTGGCGGTTTTTGGGAACCTACACTTTGCATTTATTTCAAGTTTAAAATGGAGAAAATTATCTCATTACCAGCTAATGACTTTCAGGGTTTGACAATCTTTTACCTCCCCCCTACCCCAGCAAATGGAAGGAAGATTGACTCCAGGTTTTATGTTTTTGGTCTACAATAGAATTACTCAAAAATTTCTACTCTTATATGAAATGTTTTTTTCTTAAAGACATTATATTTCTTTTTGTCATTGCTATATCTTGGCCTTAAAATTACTGTAATGATTATCTTCAATAGCTTTAAGTTATTCTTTTCATTGAAAATATTTGGATTGGGTGCAGTGGCTCATGCCTGTAATCCCAGCACTTTGGGAGACCAAGGCAGGTGGGTCACGAGGTCAGGAGTTCAAGACCAGCCTGGCCAAGATGGTGAAAACCCGTCTCTACTAAAAATACAAAAATTAGCCGGGTGCGGTAGCAGGTGCCTGTCATCCCAGCTACTTGGGAGGCTGAGGCAGGAGAATCGGTTGAACCTGGGTGGCAGAGGTTGCAGTGAGCCAAGATCGTGCCACTGCACTCCAGCCTGGGTGATAGAGTGAGACTCTGTCTCATAAAAAAAAATAAAATAAAATTGTTTAACTCTATCCAGTATTTTGGGTCTGTATAACAGAAATTATTTGTTGAACTCTGAGTCATCAAAGGCTTGTATGTCAACCAATTACTATTACTATTTTTCAGTTTTGCATACAGTGCTTGAAGATTAAAATGTGTGACTTTGAATGTGGCTGTGCGTTAAACCTCGTGCAGTTTTTCCATATGTATGTTATTGTAGAACTAGTGTTAAATTAGCTTACTGTCCACATTTGTTCTTGTCTCTTCAATGTTTATTCACCATAACCTTGGAGATGTGGAGTAATCTGGAGTCCATGCCAGAGGGTTTCCTCTAAGTATACACAGATGAGATAATGCATGTAAAATATTGAGGACTAAGCCAGACACACAGTAGTTGCTTGCTCATGGAGCACCTACATATTCTTATTATTAAATTTATTCTTCCCCCTCTATCACCCCACCTCCTTTTCCTCTTTCCATTTTCCATTTCTGTATTTCCAATTACTCATAATAAAATTTATTTGAATTTCAGCTAAGAGTTATTTCCTCCCCCATTTGCCACCTTCAGTTGTTCATTGTTGCCATGCAACTATAAAACATGCTATCTTTAGTCCCTGGGAAAACTGCATATGGTTTAACAAATCCTGTGTTTATTTTCTCCCAAGTATTTGCTTACTGGATACATACATAATGGAGAGTGGGGCATAGAGGGAGGTGATCAGTGTGTGTTTCTTCAGAACTCCTAATGTTACATGTTGTAATTAGAGGCTATATTTGCTGGGAAAAACAAGTTAGTAAATTTATCTTATGATTCATTTATAGCTTCTTATAAACAAGACAATTTCTTATAAACAAGACAATGTCTTATAAATAATATTGCTTTTGGCAGACAATCATAGAATTTTTAATGACTCATACTTGACTTTATAGTTGATACTTTAAGGTTGTTGGGAATACCAAATGCTGAGTGGAAATATTGTAGATTGATAATGTGGGTTGAACTCTAAGCCTAGATATAAATTGAAGACCTAATACTTTTAATTAATTGTTTTTAATTTATCTTAAGTAGTAACAAAGGTTAATCAATGTTATCCAATTATATTTACTGATATCTATTATATATATAATACTATGGGAGAATCTGGACAGGATACCAAAGAGGAATATGGAACATGGTTTCTATCATCAAGGACTTATCTTGCTGGATTTCATAATTTACCGTATATGAAAAAAGTCAGTATATATACAAACAAAACTTTGTTGTAAATAAAGTTTTTTACAATAGATGTGTATTAGGAACTCAGAAAAATGAGAGACTAGGTGGGCTGATATGCCACCGTTTCTATTTACATCTCTAGATCCAACCTCCAACCCTCTCCTCTCTCCTGGAGGCATCTGCAGCCTGGGCCATATCAGCAGAGACTCCATTCCCTCTGGCCTTGGGCTTAATTCAATGTTGAGTCTAGGTAGGTAATCCGAGGGTGGGACTGGAATGAGGTCGGTAGGCACATTTGTGGAACCTGGGACAAGAATACAAATAGAGACCCAGATACCATAAGCCTAACTATTTAAAACTGCTTGATAATCAACTGTCAAATAATATATGTTTTATACTTCTATTTTGGCCAATATATCTTCATAGTGATCGGAATGGATAAGTCCAAATTTAAGTGATCGGAATGGATAAGTCCAAATTTAGAGTTCTCCAATTCAATAGTTCCACACTGGAATATAGGGATGTGGGAGAAACAGGTCTCTGCCTGAAGCGTACCCCATTCTTTTTCTATCCAGCTCTGTTCTGTCCTTCCCTAATCCCCACTTTACCCTGGCCAAAAGCTGCTCCTTAGCCATCTCTCAGACATAGGGATGCTGGCTACCTGGACCCTGGTGAAGCCTATGCACATTCTGGAGGCAGGCTGGGGGCCACTTGGGCAGGGAAATCAGGGATCCTGGGTGTGTAGAATGTGGTCTAGAAAGGAGGGCATGAATTCTGGGTGGCCATTCCCCCTTGCCCTTGTGGGCTCCCTACCTTGGGTGGTATGCAGCTAAAGGAATGCCAGAGCAGAACTTCTGCCCAGCTCTAAGGGTAATATTGGGTCAAGGTATTAATTTCCCCAAGTGCTTTCCTTCTAGATTGCCTTGGCCTACATGTTTCCTTCAAGCAAATGTCATAGCTCCTCTTAAAATGAACTCTCTCTACAGAACTTTTTAATTCCTCATGTCTTTGGATTTGGGGATAAAAACAGCCCTGGGGGCCGGGCGTGGTGGCTCATGCCTGTAATCCCAGCACTTTGGGAATGCAAGGAGGGTTGATCACGAGGTCAGGAGCTCGAGACCAGACTGACCAACATGGTGAAGCCCTGTCTCTACTAAAAATACAAAAATTAGCTGGGCATGGTGGCGCATGCCTGTAATCCCAACTACTTGGGAGGCTGAGGCAGGAGAATCGCTTGAACCTGGGAGGCGGAGGTTGCAGTGAGCTGAGATCACGCCACTGCACTCCAGCCTGGGCAACAAGAGTAAAACTCTGTCTCAAAAAAAAGAAAAAAAAGAAAAGAAAAGAAAAAAAGAAACAGCCCCGGAGTACTAATATTATGCTTACTCTCTGACTACCACCTGCCCAGTCTCTTTATTAAACCTTCACCAAATACCTTAACTTGGATGTACCATTTGTTTCCTGTGTGAGCATGCCCAATACAGCTGGTTCCTTAAGTGAGATTTTACAGCAAAAGTGAATTCGACATAGCCTTGAGGGGAACTTTCACTTTCTAAGTAAGAAAAAACAGAATTTAGAAATTGAAAGGGCACAAAAGATTATAGAATCCAACCTTTCCACCCTATGTCAATACACTGGCTTCTTCCTTTGATATTTTGACATGGCTGAAAGATATTCTTCTCTTTGAAGTTTTTCTTAGTTTCACACCTTCTGGTGTTCTGTCACATGCTCGCAGATATTGATAATGAATCTGCCATGTACCTTATGATGATTCACTTCTCTTCCTACTTTTCTTTAGTCAAATTTCTGTGAGCTCTTTATTCATACAATGCATTGTGAAGTCATTGTGCTTTCACTTGATGGGAATGCATCATTTGCTTAGTATTATAGGTTTTCTCTTCTCTTTTCTCATTAGTCCAAGACAAAGTAATACTATTTAGTGCTATAGCAATCATAACCATGAAGGCAAATTTGAGCCCTGAAACTCTGTGGTAGTATCCTGTTTTCAAAGAGTTATTCAGATGAACCAGAATATATTACATTACTTTTTGGGGAGGAGGTGGTAAAATATGTACATTATCTTCATTGAAGTGGTTTATCACTCTCTCTCTCTCTCTATATATATATATATATGTCAGATTTTACCAAACTGTACACCTAATTTTTTAAAAAAAGTCAGTACAGGCCAGGTGCAGTGGCTCACACCTGTAATCCCAGTACTTTGGGAGGCTGAAGTGGGAGGATTGCTTGAGCCCAGGAGTTTGAGACCAGCCTGGGCAACATAGGGAAATCCCATCTCCACAAAAAATCAAAAGAAACAGAAAAGTCCATACAATTATGTATCAATTACAAATTTAAAAATATTTAAAAAGTCATTTGTCTTTTTCATTCTTGTTCCGAGTAACCAGTGCTGTTTTCCAATGGTTAAATGATACAATGTCTTTATTACACCAGCTCCTGAGAGCTGATTGTGTACAACATTCCCAACTCTGTTTAGAGGTGTCATGTAGATAGCTGGAACTCAGCCATGGTGAAGTATTTACACAATGAAAATTAGCAAAATCGAGGCTTTTTCATGAATAGCTGGTTAAACGATTACCAGCCCATCACTAGCTGTTAACATAAATAAACAAAGACTCATTGCAGTCCTATAATACATATATATTTTTGACATGGGGTCTCAGGTTGAACTCAAGGTTCTGGACTCAAGGGGATCCTCTGGCCTCAGCCTCTCAGGTAGCTAGGACTACAGATGCCTGTTACCACGCCTGACAGTCCTTAATTTTGTGTGTGTGTGCGTGTGTGTGTCTCACTCTATCACCCAGGCTGGAGTGCAGTGGCATGATCTCAGCTCACTGCAACCTCTGCCTCCCAAGCTCAGGCGATCCTCCCACCTCAGCCTCCTGAATAGCTGGGATTACAGGCATGCACCACCACACCTAGCTGATTTTTTTTTTTTTTTTTTTTGGTATTCTTTTGTAGAGACAGGGTTTCACCACTTTGCCCAGGCTGCTCTCGAACTCCTGGACTCAGGCTATCCTCCCGCCTTGGTCTCCCAAAGTGCTGGGATTACAGGCGTGAGCCACCGTGCTGGGCCTCAGTCCTTAGTCTATATTTGAAAATTTTATTTTATTTTTTATTTTTTTGAGACAGTCTCGCTCCGTTGCCTAGGCTGGAATGCAGTGGTGAGATCTCGGCTCACTGCAACCTCCACCTCCCGTGTTCAAGCGATTCTCATGCCTCATCCTCCAGAGTAGCTGGGACTACAAGCGTGTGCCACCACGCAAGGCTAATTTTTGTATTTTTAGTAGAGACAGGGTTTCGCTATGTTGGCCAGGTCCTGGCCTGCCTCTGCCTCTCAAAGTGCTGGGATTACAGGTGTAAGCCACCACGCCAGGCTTCAGTCCTTAATTTTTAACTGTGTAAAAGAATTCTGAGACCAAAAAGTCTAAGAATCACTTGGTACAGTGATTGCTTATCTATGGAGCGAGAAAGTCTTACTAGGGGAAAAATTAAAAAAAAAAAAAAAAAAAGGGACTTTGGACTTCCAGACACTCGACCCTATCAAATCTTTTGCAGATTCATACTGTTGCCTTCACCAAATGCCACCACTGCCATTCTCCCATGGGGGTCATTGTTGACCCAGTCTTTCCCCCAAAGACCAAGAGGGTCTGGGGTTGAATGATGAGCTTCTTCTTAAATTTGAAGAGCCCAAAGGCTGCTAGGAAGGAAGGGGCTGCAACCTCCCCTAGCAAACACCAAAGATCTATCACCTTACGTCCTATAGCTACTTGTGGACAAAAAATGGAACTTTAAGGTACTGCTAGGAAAAGAATGGCATCAGATCAAGTTTTCCAGATAATGGATTCCAACTCCAGCAAGTGGGATAAGAGGTTCATGACACAAATATATTTGTATTAGGTGAATCAATCACCAGGATACCAAGATCGGTTACTTTCACAAACTGCTCTGAGGCAACTTAAATACGGAAGGAACTTCAGAGCCAGCTCTTCGGCTCCAGGCTCCTTTTTAACTACTTATTGTGGTGTGGAAAATATCAGCTTGCTGAGGATTTATCATCTTAATAGAGAGCTCCTTGGGAAGGAAAAGGGTGAAATTTAAAAAAAGGATCTTCATTAAAGAATAGGGAGTTGATTATGTTGCAGAATCGTATCTTCTTGTTTTGCGACACGTTGGAAACATAAACTTTAGAGCTTTTTCATCTCCACTGCACAGAGGTCTGATTGCTTCTGTTTAAAAATGGGGATCTGCTGATGGATTTCAGCCAGCTTCTTCAGGTCTATGTCTGAATACATGATTGTTTCTTCCTTGAGAGCCCTAGCAGCAAAGGTTCACTACAGTGCTGTGTCCCCAGGCAACATAGGAGGCTTTGTCATCTTGGGCAGGAGAATGTGGCCACATACACCTGATTATCAAGAGCCTGAAGCAATTCCCAGTGGGCTGGTCCAGTGGTCAAACTGAAAGCCCCTGGATAAACCAACAGCTGGCAGCCTTTCCGTGTGTAGATTTGTGCAAGCTCTGCAAACCAGTGTCATAGCAGATGCCCCGACTCATTCTGCAGTAAGGAGTATCAAATGTGGAGAAACTGTTGCCTGGACTCAACATTGTGGATTCTTGAAACGTCATTTTTCCAGGAACACCAGTGTTAAGCAGATGGACCTTTCTGTGCTTTACTAGTAAAGTTCCATGAGGTGCAAACACAGCATAGGTGTTATCTAATTTCCCAGCATCCTCTTCAGGGATGGAACCTCTAGTGAGGTTGTATTCCTTTGCTACTTCAGAAAGCTTCTGTGTGGATTTACCAGGAATTTTCGCTGCATATTCAGGAAAATATTTTGTGCCATATGGAGAATTAAAGCATTCCAACAAAGAAACCATTTTGGCTCCTTGCGTTGCTGTCTCCCGGACAAGGCTACAAGCTCGAGTGTTGTTATCTGATTTGATGAAGAAACTTGAAGCTGGATGAGGGCCAAGTGGAAAGTTGCCCTGGCTCTCCTGGGAAGCAACAGCAGCAGCACTGGCTGAGTGCAGGTGTCCCTGTATTACTTTTCTAAGTCACAGAAACATAAAACAAAAATGTTAAAGTTATCCTAAAGTTTTTTTTTTTTTTTCATCTCGCTCTGTTGCCCAGGCTGGAGTGCAGTGGCACAATCTTGGCTCACTGCAACCTCCGCCTCCCGGGTTCAAGCGATTCTCCTGCCTCAGCCTCCCGAGTAGCTGGAACTACCGGCATGCGCCACCACGCCCGGGTAATTTTTGTATTTTCAGTAGAGACGGGGTTTCACCATGTTGGCCAGGCTAATCTCGAACTCCTGACCTCAGGTGATCCGCCCGCCTCCACCTCCCAAAGTGCTGGGATTACAGGCGTGAGCCACCGCGCCGGCCTCCTAAAGAATTCTTAAGACTCTCCTCCCCCAGTACATCTGCTAACCTTAAGTTGAGAAATATGGATTTTCGGGACTGAATTGATGTGAGAGGTGAGGGAAGAGGAAAAATCCTGATACGACGACTCCACAATGTCTGGTCTGGGAGTGCTTGGTGATCCTATTAACTGAAATCAGGAGTAAAAAAAAGAAAAGATAGATGCAGGAGAAATGATGAGGTCAGTTTTGTTCAGTCTCAATTTGGGTTTCCTACAGTACATTCCCTTTCTGGTAGAATAAGCTGGAGTTGGAGACATTTGGTAGACAACAACGTCTGTGAAACCGAGAATGTTGATGTGACCATACAGGAAGAACATGCAAAGCTAAGTAAGAAGGGAAGTTTGTCGAGGAAAAACTGTCGGTGAATGCAACTCCTGGAGACTAGCAGTTAGCAAGGAGCAGGGTGGGGACGGGGAGAGGAGAGGTAAGGAAGCCAAAAGAGGACAAAATTTAAGAAGAATGAAATGGGCAACGCAGACCAAGTAAGATAAAAACCTAAAAGAATTACTTGTATTTGGTAATTAAGATATGATAGTGATTTCACTCCACTGAAATTGCATAGTAAGTGAAATTTCAGTAGTGTGGGGGCAAAGTCTGATCACAGTGCTTCTAAGAGCAGAGAAGTGAGGAAATTTCGTAGCTAATAATTCAAGACTGTTTTGCTTTGTTGTAAAAAGCGTAGTTGGAGGGGACTGGACTTGAAAACAATGCAATAAACGCGAGGTAGGGAATTGAGGGAACTCACACTTCACACCGAATGGCCTCAATTTTCTTTGTACTATATGAGGCAAGGTCCTCTGTAGAGACTAAGAAGGGCAGAGCTGGGGCAAATGGCTTTGGAGGCGTGCTGAATGTTGGGAGAGGAAGCAGCCCAGGAAATAGGCAAAAGGGAAACTCAGAGGTGCCAAGGACCCGGCTGAGGGGGTTTATGAATACAACGTAGCACCAAGCTCAAGGTTATGTGACTTTCTCTTCCAATTCTGCCCTGCAGAGCGTAAGACGCAGAAAATGCAGACGAAGGTTGACTTCTACTTAAATCCCTATCCCCGAAAGTCCAGACGTACGGACCCGAAGGCCTGTGGCCAAATCATGCGTGGGTGCCTACTACAGATTTATGAAAAGCAGAGAAGGGCCAGCGTGTTTGCCTTCTAAGGCGTATTGTTCTGTAGCGTCGGCATCCTCAGGCGTTCACGTAAATAGAGCCATTTTTTACAAGGAGTAGGGATAAACCTGGTGATAGGATGAGGGACTACGTAACTTTCTTTCTCTCCAGATCCATCCCGGGGGAGGCTGGGCGGGCGGGCGGCTGCTCCGGTCCAGGGGTGGAGGTCGGGGCCCTGACCCGACGCAGCCAGGCGGAAGCGCGGCTGCCATTGGAGGCTGCTTTTACCTGCGCGGGGCCCGGGGCGCAAAGTCCGAGGCGCCGGGGGGAGGAGGCGGCGGACGGCAGCGCAGGTGGGCCCGCGCTCTCGGCCCTGCAAGATGCCCCTGAAGCTGCGGGGGAAGAAGAAGGCCAAGTCCAAGGAGACCGCCGGGCTGGTGGAGGGCGAGCCGACGGGCGCGGGCGGCGGGAGCCTCTCAGCGTCCCGGGCTCCCGCACGCAGGCTGGTCTTCCACGCGCAGCTGGCGCACGGTAGTGCCACGGGCCGAGTGGAGGGCTTCTCCAGCATCCAGGAGCTCTACGCCCAGATCGCGGGCGCGTTTGAAATCTCGCCGTCGGAGGTAAGGCGCCAGGTGCTCAGGCTCTCCCGCCTCTCCGCCGCGCCGCGCCGCGCCGCGCGTATTTCTGTGGGCCCAGGAGGGTTGAGCGGCGTTTCCCGGAGCGCGAAATCCGATGCCGTGTTGAGTCCGCCGGGGGCGTCCCGGGGGAAAGTGAGTGTGCCTTCCCTGGAAGGGAAAATTTAACTTGGCAGGACCGCAGAAAGTCACAGTCCCCCTTGCTCCGAGATCTGGCCTTTGGGAAGCGGGTTGAGGGAGGCAACCTTTCTTCCGCTTGCAAATGTGTTTGCTCCAGATGTCCCGGATTCCGCCGGCCGTTCAAGGCGTGAGCACCTTCCCAGACTCGAGATCTGGCGGGGCAGATTAATACCCTCCACTTCATCTGGACTTTACTCTCCTGTTTCCTCCGCAGGCGTGAGAGTCACGCAGGTCATCTCCCTAGATTAACGGGGGAAAAAAAAAATAGAAGTGCCTTGCAGGTGATACCCAGATTAAGTGGGGGGGAAAACATTGAAGAGCCTTCCAGGTAATACCAAACGGAGGCCCACTTTCCCCCAATCTGTCATTTCTAACATCAGCACCAGAAACCCTTTGGTGGTATTTCCAAGAAGTTTAAAAAGCTGGGCTGTTATTCCAAGAGTGGATAACCTAGAGATTCATACTTAATCACGTGGGACTAGTTAACAAAATTTTCATGAGGAAGATCAGCTCTTTTACATCGTATCCTTAAAAAGGGACTGAAATTTGCTTTAATTAGATTTCATGGGGGCCTGGAACTAAGTTTGACACAGGCATGACCTAAAGCACTAGTTTATGTGAACGTTTATGTGACCACTTTATTTGTGCTAACCCAAGTGAACTGCAAAGGTAGGTGTGAAAAGTTAGCTCAACAAAATATTTTGTCCACATTTCTAGGAAAAGCATATAATTTTGTTGCCCTGGACTCAGAGGAGTGCAGAGAGCTGTCTTTGAGGCCTACAGCGGCACCTGGAGTTCTTTAATTAGTTGTTTATCAGGTCTGTTCAAGGGAAATTGAGGTCAAGGCAAAATTCCAAGAGGAGACGAAAGAGAGCTTAAAGTGTAACCCTTTGTTCTTTCGAAGTTCCCAGGCACTAAGGGGCAAATCGCAAACCCATCTGTGAATTATTTGTATTGATATAGGATACTAATAATACTTCACATTTATATAGGATTTTTTTTTTTTCAAAAAACACTTTCACAGGACACTTTCCTTTGATCTCTAGGGGAGGCAGGTGGCAGGTTAAATACGATAACTTGGACATGGAGCCAGGTTCTACCCTTTACTAGCTGTGTGGACTTGAATGAGTTTAACTTCTCTCAGTTTTCGCCATCTGTAAAATAGAGATTAGAATATTTGTCTTGAAGAGTATTGTGAAGAGTGGAGTCCGTATGTAAACGTATCAGATTGCATAGTTTATGGTTAGGGCTTAATACATGGTAACTAATATGATTAATACCTAACAGTTAAATGAAGGACTGAAGTACAAAGTGATTGGCCCTTAGCCAAGGTCACATACCTAGCAAAAAAAAACTTGACTGTAATTTAAACTTGGATCTTCTGATTCCTAAGCTAGTGAGCTTGTTAGCATACTTAACTGACAACTTTAAATGTCTTTGCTGTAACCAGGGACTTCAGTTTTAGTTACAGATGGTCCTGGGTTTATGATAGTTAGACTTAAGATTTTTGACTTCGCCATGGATTTATTAGGATGTAACTTCCTGGACTTAAGATTTTTCCACTTTATGGGTTTATTGGGGTATTAAATGCATTTTTGACTTATGATATTTTTGACTCACAATGGATTTATTGGGACATAACACCTTGGTAAGTAGAGGAGCATGTGTATTTTGCATTAACACTTCTCATCATTATATATGACATTATTCTGAGCTCAAGGTACATGATTTTATTCAATCTACTTAATCCCTAAGAAGTAAGTATTATTATTAATATCCCCACTTCACAGAGAGGAAACAGACTTTGAGGTTCAGAATTTTTCCAGAATTACACATAGCAAGTGGCAGAGCCTGGATTTGAATTCAGTGTATTCTTTTTTTTTGTTTTCTGTTTTTCTTTTCTTTTTTTTTTAATGAGATGGGGTCTCACTCTGTTGCCCAGGCTGGACTGCAGTGGTGCGATTATAGCTCACTATAGCTTCAAACTCCTAGGCTCAAGCAATCCTCCTGCTTCACCCTCCCAAGTAGCTGGGACTACAGGCATGTGCCACCACATCTGGCTAATTAAAAAAACTTTTTTTTAGAGATGTGGTTTTTCTGTGTTGCTCAGTGTGGTTTGAAACTCCTACTCTCAAGTGATCCTCCTACCTCAGTCTCTTGAATAACACAGACACGGAGCCATTGTGCCCATCTTTTTTTTTTCCTCCCATGAAGCTATATTGTTACCCAAGTTTTCCAGAGTCTCAGCAATAGCTTGGTAGCCACGTTCAACATTTTCAGTGCACTGACTTGCAAGGTCAGTTTCCAAGATAATATACACGAGTTGTTTTCATGTGTTAGATCAAAGTTTATAACATTTTATAACCCGGGTATATGGGTAAAACCCCAGTTTTACCATGTTTATGCATATAACCAACATTAATGCAAGTTTTCCATCTGGATTAGAAAAAGTTAATTATATGCAGAATAAAGTATTGGTCATCATAGCATAGTACGCATAATATTTCAGTGGTTCACTCTGAAACAGAAGTAACTCACTAAAATGAAATGCACACCAAGGAGATTCCATTTTCATAGCCCATTTCCCCAGCAAGCAATTACCTCAGCAATAATGATGTAAACAACTTTTTTTGGTTGGTTTTTGTTTTTTGAGATGGTGTCTTGTTCTGTCGCCCAGGCTGGAGTGCAGTGGCACGATCTTGGCTGACTGAAACCTCCACCTCCTGGGTTCAAGTGATTGTCCTGCCTCAGCTTGCCTAATAGCTGGGATTATGCACCACCATGCCTGGCTAATTTTTGTGTTTTTAGTAGAGACGGGGTTTCACCATGTTGGCCAGGCTGGTCTTGAATTGATATCCTGACCTCAGGTGATCTGCCCGCCTCGGCCTCCCAAAGTGCGTGAACCACCACGCCCAGCCCTGTGATGTAAATAACTTTTGAGATGTCAGTGGGGACAAAAACATTTGCCCCCCTTAATGGGATTGAATAGATAGTTAACTCAGAAGTCCTGCCTTTTTTCTAGAGTGGTGGCTGTAAGGATATAAATAGCACTACATGAAGAGCTAGCCACTCTTTATTGAGGAGAAAGGGAAAAGACTTGATGTCAAGTGGAGCAGATAATCAGGGCCCATAATGTGCCCACAGCTGTGCTAGGCCTGTAAGCCTACAGTGTGTTCACTCCATCCTCACCAGAATCTTTTCATTTTACAATTTAGTGAAGTGAGACTCTGAGAAGTTAAATAGGCTGGTATGTGGCTGAGCCAGGATTTGAATTCTGGTTTCCTGGTTCTAAGTCTATTACATAGCAGCTGTGAGATTCTTGGTAGCTGCATTCAAATTCCAAATACGAACCCAGAAAAACCTCTTTTTTTTTTTTTTTTTTTTTGAGATGGAGTCTAGCTCTGTCGCCCAGGTTGAAGTGCAACGGTGTGATCGTGGCTCACTGCAACCTCCGCCTTCTGTGTTCAAGTGATCCTCCTGCCTCAGCCTCCTGAATAGCTGGGATTACAGGCACACGCCATCATGCCTGGATAATTTTTGTGTTTTTGTAGAGATGGGGTTTCACCATGTTGGCCAGGCTGGTCTCAAACTCCTGACCTCAGGTGATCCGCCCACCTCGGCCTCCCAAAGTGAGCTGGGATTACCGACGTGAGCTACTGCACCTGGCCGGTTCCAAGTCTATTACATAGCAGCTGTGAGATTCTTGGTAGCTGCATTCAAATTCTAAACACTAACCTGGAAAAACGTCTTTTGTAAACAAATTTTTTTTTTCAATAAAAGCCTCAGACTTAACCACAAAAATATTTATTGCCTCAAAAAGATGTTGATGTGAGACTGACAGTTGTGGACTTCAGCTAGTGTTTTGTGGTCCCTGAAGGAATAAGCTAATGAAGGCTGTGAATCAGTTAAGATTTGTTATTAAGTTGAGACAGATGGCCAGTTATGCAAAAATCCCTCATATCTGATGCCTTTTTTCAAAACAATTAAATGAACAATTCAGTAAAAAGAAAAAAAACCCTGTAAATTAATCTCATCTAAAGAACAATTAACTCCTACATAAATGCAAAGACTCTTCTTGAGAAAGTTTAATACATACCATCTTTTTTTTTTTTTCTTTTTTTTGTGACGGGAGTCTCGCTCTGTCGCCCAGGCTGGAGTGCAGTGGTGCTATCTCAGCTCACTACAAGCTCCGCCTCCTGGGTTCATGCCATTGTCCTGCCTCAACCTCCTGAGTAGCTAGGACTACAGGTGCCTGCCACCATGCCCGGCTAATTTTTTGTATTTTTAGTAGAGGCAGGGTTTCACTGTGTTAGCCAGGATTGTCTCGATCTCCTGACCTTGTGATCTGCCCGCCTCAGCCTCCCAAAGTGCTGAGATTACAGGCGTGAGCCACCGTGTCCGGCCAATACATACCATCTTTTAAAATATCCAGGTTACATGAAACTCTCGAGCTATGGTCATACATTTTGTTGAAGGGGCATTTTGAATATTTGACTACTGTAATTGTTTGGCAAGTAGTTTTTACCATGATATATTTTCCTAATTCTCTATTATGTGGAAATATTGTAGGAAAAAATAATGAATGTGAAAACTTAAGAAAAGACGTATAATAAAAAAAAGAACCCCACTTTGCTCAATACATTCATTTTGTAAAATGTAAAAAAAAAAAGAAATGATGTCATCATTATTGATCCTTGGACATTAAAAGAATAACAAAGAAATATTATTAACAAAAAAAAGATAAATTTTATAGTTAGAAATTTTACATGTCCAGAAACTGGAAATTCAGATGCAGTTTCTCTGCAGAATTCAGAAATTACTTCCTTTTACTTGTTTAGATTAGTTTGCGTGTGATATTAGATACCAAATAGTTCATTGAATAATAAATGAGTAATTCAGTGACTTATTCTCTCCCCATACATAAAGCAGTCAAAGAAAGCAGAGTACTTGAGAAGCAGAAAAGGCAAGAAGTGTTATTCTTTTTTTTTTGAAATGGAGTCTCACTCTGTTGCCAGGCTGGAGTGCAGTGGTGTGATCTCGGCTCACTGCAACCTCTGCCTCCCGGGTTCAAGTGATTCTCCTGCCTCAGCCTCCTGAGTAGCTGGGACTACAGGTGCATGCCACCATGCCCAGCTAATTTTTGTATTTTTAGTAGAGACGGGGTTTTGCCATGTTGGCCTGTCTTGAACTCCTGACCTCAGGTGATCTGCCTGCCTCGGCCTCCCAAAGTGCTAGGATTACAGGCATGAGCCACCGCACCTGGCGTAGAATTGTGATTTTTAAGGTGAGATTTTATCCTCACAAGCATGCTGTTATTTCTCTTAAACAGACAAACCTTCTTTTGACACCTGTTCCCATCCCCTGTATTACCACCTCATTTCTCCTTTTTAGCAAAACTCTTCAAAAGTTGCTGTCTCTGAGATACAATTTGTATCTCATTTTCTGCTCTAAACCTTTCATGGCTTCCCCTCTCACTTGGAACAAACCAAAATACTATGATGGGCTACGGGCTCTGTTACCTCTTCAGAATCGTTGTTCCTTCTGCTCCAGCCAGACTGGTCTCCTTGAATGCTGGAGCCTTAAGACTTTTGCATTGGTTTTTGCCTCCGCCAGAACCTCTTCCTACAGAATGCCCTTCCTTAAGTCTGTTCAAATGTCATCTTCTTGGTGAGGCTAGCACTGATCATCTCTAGGTGCAACACTCCCTGTTCCCTTCTCTGCTTAATTTTTCTCCGTAGCATACTATCCTATGTATATTTAACTTATTTTGTTTATGGTCTGCCCCCTTGCCCCAATAGAAGCTCCACAAAGGCAAGGATTTTTGTCTTTGTTTACTGATGTGGCCCTCAAGGGCCTAGACTTTGCCTGAAACATATTATAGTTGGAGTTTAAAAAATAGTTGTTGAATAAAAGGATCCTCACCAATTCAGTAGTTAAAACCTAGTGTCTTTAGCATAAAGCTTTAGTATTGATTACAATACTAATATCTTATGTAGGTGTTAATTTTTTTTATGTTCTGCTATGAGGAAAGAGACTAGCCTTTAGGTGGGGGTAGTGAGGAACATCACTCATATCTTTAAAATTTTTTGAAAATAAATGTATATATTTAAGGTATACAACACGATGTTTTGATATAAATAGTGAAATAATTATTACAGTCAAGCTAATTAATATATCCATCTTAGAAACTATGAAATTTGAGGCTCTGTTTGCAAGCATAGTCACTTCCTAAATGAGTTACAGCATATGAGGAGCTGCTTCCTGAGGCTTCCCAGAAGCTGCTTCCTTTTCTCAACTTGCTGACACTAGCACTGAGCTCTTTTGAAAGTCAATATTCTGTATTTATGTGGTACTTCTAGAAGACATGAAATGTTCTGCAGACTTTATCATTTCCCAGCAGTGCAAATAACTGGCAAGTGGAACTGTTATCTTTCTGGTTCACAAATGGGAAACTAGGACGAATAGAGAAAATAGGGTTTTACTGATTTGCATATAGCACCCCCTGCCCTGGAAAAACAAGTTACAAAAATCTACAAAAAATGAAAGAATTGGGAATTGGGTGTGAATATTACTATTGAGGTCTGAGGAATATGAAGTAAGCCCGTCAAAATTGAGTAGAAAAAGTGTGAGAAGCAGTCCCTGACATCTGGTAGGGGCCTTGGCACTTGCAGGAAGGCCTTGGCATTCTGTTGCACATAAACAATTGCACAGCATGTCAACAGCAGATAAGACTGCTCTGACTGTGGTAATTTCTCCTACCTTACAGATAGGTTTACTAAGATTCCTGGTCATAGAATTGCACCCATTTCCTGACAGCACCCTATCCAGAACAAACCCATGCTTTGGACCCTCTCCCAAATCACCTAACACAAGCCCAAATCCTTTGTAATGTCTCTTTCTGAAACCCCCAGGATTTCCCATAGAGTGCTGTCACCCTCCTCACAAGGAGCAATAAACTGCAGGTGAGAATCCCTGGTGGTCTTTGCCTGGAAGGTGTTGGCAGTTGTCACTTGTCACTGTTGGGTTATTACAATGCAGATTCTAAAGAGGCAGCCTGAATTTGGTTTCCCTGACTCCACTCATCCTCTTTTAGTATTTTAATGCTGTGATCATACCAGTCTAATCTTAGCACTTTGGAAGGCTGAGAAGGGAGAATCCTTGAAGCCAGGAGTTTGATTGACAACAGCCTGGGCAACATAGTGGTACCCTGCCTCTTAAAAAAAAAAAAAAAAAAAAGCCAAAAAAAAAAAAATTAGCCAGAGGTGGTGGTACGTACCTGTAGTCCCAGTATTCAGGAGGCTGAGGTGGGAGGATCACTCAAGCCGGAGTTTGAGGCTGCAGTGAGCTATGATTGTGCTGCTACACTCCAGCCTGGGCAACAGAGCAAGACTGTCTAAACAAACAAAAACCTGCAAGGGGCTCCTCATTACTTACAAACCAATTACTACCAGCCAAACAATGTCTCATATTCCTGTCTGCCTCTTGAGTCCTCTCCTATGCCCACTGTTCCAATCTCACTTCTTAATAATCCCCTTTACATTCAACAATATTTAACTGTTTCATTCCATTGTGCTTTTTCTCATGCTGTTCTTTGTTCCAGTAACTCCTACTCACTTTTCTAGTCCTGTAATTTCCTCCAAGAAGCCTACCCTGTGAATCCAGAAATCTGGATACCTGCTATTGCATGATTTTTAACATAGCATTTGCACATAAGATTGAATTTAGTTACTCCTCTGTTTCTTCCTGAGGGCTGGGACTTTTTTCCTTTTTAAATCTTGTTCTTAGATGGTTAGCTAGATGGTTTAGCTGCTCCTTAAAAGTTTACTAAATAAAAGTAGATAATGGATATAGTAGGAGAGAAAGCTGAGGATATAGATAGTAGTAAGACTACAAATGTCCTTGAAGTTGTATGGATTTTATTCTGTAGGCAATGAGAATAACTCAGATCTTTTTCGGAAGAAGCAAGGATCCCTGACACATATTTTACAAAGTAGAAGCACACTCAACCATTCATTCTCTGTATTTTCTTTCTAAATAATATTCAGTTTAAATGGAATATAATGGTATTTTCTGGATTTACATCATACCATCTGAGAAGTTATAAATATATCACAGTCATTATGTAGGCTTGATATCCCCTCCTGAGCACCAGCCTCATTTTTATATGAAAAATTCAGGCAAGAAAAACATGACTCATTTTGAGAAGTGGGAGGAGAATCCAACCAGCTGCCTTATAGACCTCATTGCTGTCAGGAGGGTATGAAATGGATAAGACTGCTGTTGTGCTAGAAGTACCCTGAAGAAGATATCTGAACAACCCTAAAATAAAGTTTACACCCTTGGGCAGGGGTAGACTCCTCTTCAAACCCTGGCTACCTGTAGGTTAATAGCCAGCCCCTTCACATTCTCCCACCTGCAATCACCAACCCAGCTACCCTGAGTGGAGTGGAAGGCTCTTGCAGGTTATCTTGGGCAATTTGTATGTATGTATATGTCTGTCTGGCTGCTGTAACAGACTATCAAAAACTGAGTTGCTTCTAAACAACAAAAATTTATTGACTGGGAAGTCCTAGATTGATGTGCCGGCCATGTGGTATCTTGTGGGAGCCCACTTCCTGGTTCATAGACAGCCATCTTGTTGCATCCTCATGTAACAGAAGGGGAAAGGGAGCTCTCTCTAGGGCCTCTTCTATGCAGGCACTAATCCTATTCCTGAAGGCTTGACCCTCATGACCCAGTCACCTCCCAAAGACCCCACCTCCAAATACCGTCACCTGGTAGGAGGTGGGGGATTAGGCTTGGGGACACACACATGTTCAGTCCATATAAATATTTATATTAAAATGTATAGGGAGGTAAGGAAGCTTAGGACAGCTTCTGCAGCTGCACAGTCAGGTTCCATGGACAGTTGGAACGTTGCTCATTCTGTTCAGGTTAAAGCAGTAGCTTTATACTGTAGAGAACTGAGAGCAAGTCTAGTTGTCCTTAACCTTCCATCTCAGCCTCTCTCTCTCCCTGCTTATTCTACTTTTGACTGATTCTTTCTTCTCATCCTCTTGACTTTGCTCCTCCCATTATTACCTCACCCCACTGTGTCTTTGTGTTTCTTTACCTCTCTACTTTCTGTGCCCTGCCTGTGTATCTTATTAAACTTCCTAAGAAAGAGTCTTTGTTGTGTCAGGGTACAGCACAGGTGGGACAGGACCCTTGGGCCTGTGGGTCAGGTTCATCTCTGCTCCAGCCTACAGGGTCATGTGGTACAGAGGTAGGTGAGCAGTGGATAAGGAGTCCTGCAGGAGAGAGCTATGCACATGGTAGATATTCTGAGACATCTTGATTTAGGGGAACGTAAATGGCAGACACCTTCCATGGCCTGTTTAGAAAACGAAAGTATTTTCCGTTCTCTATGACCTTTATGCATTGTTCTCTTTATCTGGAAATCTCTCCCCTACTCTTTCCCTGTTAACTCCTACTTGTGCTGCAGGACTTGCAGGTCATTACCTGAAGCCTCCCCACTACCTCAGGACTGGGTTCTGTGCCTATCCTCTAAACTTCCATAACTCTTATCAGACTTTATGGTCATCATTGCTTTAATGTCTGTCTCTTCCATAAGATTGAGAGCCACTCTGGGCAAAGACTGGCAGTTAGTATGCAGTAAAACTTATGGCTGGGCATGGTGGCTCACGCCTGTAATCCCAGAAGTTTGGGAGGCTGAGGCAGGAGGATCACTTGAGCTCAGGAGTTCTTGACCACCTGGGCAACATGGTGAAACCCCGTCTCCACAAAAAATACAAACAAATTAGCTGGGAATGGTGGTGTGAGCCTGTAGTCCCACCTACTCGGGAGGCTGAGGTGGGAGTATGGCTTGAGTCTGGGAGGTGGAGGTTGCAGTGAGCTGAGATTGCACCAGTGTACTCCAGCCTGGGCGACAAAAGCCCTGTCTCAAAAAAACAAAAGAAAAAATTATTACAGAAATTTTAAATACATGCAAAATCAAGGAAATAGTGTAATTAACTCCATGTGCCCAGCTTCGACAATTGTCAACATTTGCCAACATTTCTTTTCTTCCCTCATTAACAAAATTTTTATTAAATATAACACAAGTAGAGAAAAGCACATAAAACAAATGTGTAAATTAATGGATAAATTGAACACCTTTGTAACCACACCTGTGTCAGGAGATAGACTTTATCAGCCTCCTGAGAACCTTCCATGTGCCCCTTCCCACTTGCACCCAAGAGTAACAACCATCCTGACTTTCATGGTAATGAATCCCATTATATAGTTTTTTCATTTATGTGCTTTCCTAAACACCATAATTTGGACTTCTTTTAAATATGTTTTTGAGTCTTTTTTAATCTATAGATTCCCCTTCGTCTTGTTCTCTTTCCAGTGTATTTGTTGAAGCAGCCAGATCTTTTACCCTGTGTGTTTCACAGTTTGTTTTTTGCTGATTGCATTCCTGTAGTCTAGTTTGGCATCCCCAGTCACTGTATTTCCTATAAATTAATAGTTGTAGTCTAGGTTTAATCAGTTGGGGTTTGATTTTTTTCCCGATGAGACAATATCAAAAGTGTAGTTAAAATTTTATATTGAATGAATAAAATCAACAGATAAAATAGGGGTCTTACCTTTTAAAATGTCATCAGTTCTATTCTACTGGAATAGACTCCATCCCATTTTGAAAAGTCTCTCCTATGTTTTTTATTTCAGTTGTCTGTACGGTGAAGCAACTGTGTTTTTCTATAACCCTCTGAATGTATGGCTGGGACTATCTGTGAGCCCTTCATCCCTAAGAAACCCTCTCAGCTATACCCTCAGCAGAGCCAGATGTGCTTTTCCTACATCTGAATGCTGGCAGAATTTTTCTGATGCATAATTGTACATATTTATGGGATATGTGTGAGATTTTGATATAGGCATGCAATATGTAATGATCAAGTCAGGGAATTTAGAATTACTGGTGGAATTTTAATTTTTCAAAAGAAATCACTGTGGAGATATTTCTTCCTGTTATGTGTATAAAGAACCAAATACAGGGAAGAAAGAACTAAAAACCCTGTAATAAAAGGTGTGTACCATGTCAAAAAAGTTTACTTTGATCATTTGTACATGTTATGAATTTATAGCTGGAAAGAGTGATTATAATACAGTTTTAAAATGGAAGGTAGATAATTTAGGCATGTTCAATCTTATTCTTCATTAGAAAACTTATTGGTTATTGGCTTTGTGCCAGTCACTGCCCCAAATGTTGGGATACATCAATGAATAAAACAGACAATAATCCTTGGCCACATGGAGCTTACATTCTAGTCCTCCATCCTATGAGATGGGTACTTCTTGAGTCAATGAGACTGAATGCAATAGACATTGTTGGGTTATTCTCTGAACTCTTATAAATTATAGGTTTTCTTTTTATACCCACATTTCTTGCCTTAAGGACCTAGAAAAAAGGACCTAGAAGCTTTTGCTAAGCAAGAGGAAAACATAAGTATGTTTATACTTTTTGCTGGAAAATGTTCCATCATTTATATGGCCACTCTTAATACCTCCTCTGTGCCATATACTCTTAAACCTCCCTTCTGTTTGGAAGCATGGAATTATAGTATAGCTTAGTGGTTAGGAGTGCCGCTTACTATCTCTGAGACCTTGGGCAAGTTATTGGCTGCTCTTTGTTTCTGTTCCTCATCTGTTAAGTGGGGTTAATGATACTTGTCATCACAAAAGGTTGTCGTGAGGGGTACATGAAAAATCATGTATGTAAGATCTGTGCCTGGCACATAGTAGGTATTTTTTAAATGGTAGTTATAATTGTAGAGTTGGAAGAGTCTTTATTGTATTCTAACTTTTGAACTTGTTTACCAAATAGACAACCATCTTTAGTTACTTTTAACTGATTTTTTTTTAATTGAAGGATTCACTCAGAGCGCTTATTAGGAGTTCAGCATTGTGCTTGATGCTGGGAACTTAAAGGTGAAGATGACATAGCCCCATCCTCCAGTGGAGTGTGGTTCAATGACAAACAATTTGACAAGCTAGTGTGGGTTTCCTAAAATGTGTTCCAAGCAACATGAATCCCTTGACATATTATAGAAAAAATGCCTCCAGTTGTCAAATAACTTTGGGAACTGTATTTTGTAAATTCATGATACATATTAATGGCTTTGAGAAGTCCACTAAAAATTTAAATATCCAAGAATCTTGGTGTTTATTATTCCCTTCACTTATTTGAGTATCGTGCTCTCCCTTTTTTCCTGCATAACAAACACTCCGTGGACCAATATTCCAAGATATATACTTCAAAAAAATGCTGGTATGTTTTTTCAAAAATGATTCATCAGTTATTCTGTGATAAAAAGGGACTCTATGGTAACTCATAACGTTCTGTTATAGTGAATGCCCATTTAGCACCAAAGAACTCTGCCAAATAGCTTCCATTTCATCCTTGTCCTTTACTGATCGTTTTGCTGCCCTGTCCTCCTCACTATCCAACTTTGGGCAAGTCTTCCCTCTTGTTGGGGTGGGTGAACTACACCAGTGGTTCCCAAAGCCAGTTGCCTCTTAGAATCACCTTGGTGACCTTTTTAAAGAACACAGGCTTCTGGGCTTCACCCCTACAGATTTTGACTAGGGCCTGAGAATGTTGTCATTTTAAAAAAGCTTCCCTGATATACTTAGGTGGCTGGCCTGTCATCCATTGGTAGATTGTGTGTTTGGGAGCCACTGAATTAAATGAAGAGATCCAAGGTCTTTTCTAGCTTGAATGTTCCTCCAGAGCTTGTGCATTCAATTAAAAATATTCCAGTGTCATCTTTATGTACAAAGTATTGAGGGACATACAATGATGACTATGACAGTGTTTTGCAAGTGGCTTGACTATAGAAATCCTTGAAATGGTAGAGACCCTGGTGTATCTAAAGTCATTTAGGCTGGGTGCAGTGGCACATACATGCCTGTAATCCAAGTACTTTGGGAGGCCAAGGTCAGCGGATCACTTGAGTTCAGGGATTCAAGACCAGCCTGGGCAACATGGTGAAATCCCCTCTCTACAAAAAATACAAAAATGAGTAAGGCATGGTGATGTGTGCCTCTAGTTCCAGCTGTAGTCCCAAGTTGAAGCTTGGATAGGACTCGGGAGGCAGAGGCAAGAGGATTGCTTGAGCCCAGGGAGGTTGAGGCTGCAGTGAGCCATGATCGTGCCACTGCCCTCCAGCCTGGGTAACAAGAGTGAGAAAAAACAAAAAACAATAACAAAAAGAAAAAAAGAAAAAATAAATAAAGTCATTTAGAGATCACTTCTTGTTAGAGACGTGCTAGACAGAGAATTTAAAACTGAAGTGCCAATAGCACTCTGTGAATTAGAGATTAAAAAATGAAGATGTAGTATTTTTGAACTTAATGAGGACTTTTGGAAAATAGAATTCTATGAATATAATTCAGTAAGGCATAGTAGTATAAACTTGACATAAGAATTTTTTTAGAAGCTGAAGCATATTTTCTGCTTTTCTGACATCAAATGTAATGTTTGGAAATTTGGGATGGTGATATCACACAAATTCTTTTATAGTTGTTTCAAAGCTTTATAGGTAAAGGATATAGGTGGGCTGTAATCAATTCGTAAGATCTATTCCTAATCTAACCTGTTTCATCTCTCTTTTTTTTTTTTGAGACCCACAGTGATCATCACTTACTGAAGCCTCAACCTCCTAGGCTCAAGTGATCCTCCCACCTCAGCCTCCCAAGTAACTAGGATTATAGGTGTGCACCACCATGTGTGGCTAGTTTTTGTATTTTTAGTAGAGATGGGGTTTTGCCATGTTGCCTAGGCTGGTCTCAAACTCCTGAGCTCAAGCAATTCTCCTGCCTCAGCCTCCCAAAGTACTGGGATTATAGGTGTGTACCACTGCAGCCGACCGACCCTCTTTCATCTCTTGATTTTATCTCAGTGTTAACTGCAACCTACCTCTCAAGTCCTCCTCTTCCCATTAACCTGTTGGCTCTCAGTTAATGAGGGCATCCATAATGTTTGACCAGAGGCTGCCAAAGGAAAGTGATCTCTTGCTTTTGTGCTGCATTCATTTACTGAAGTTACTAGCAGAAATTACTCTCTATAAAGCTGAAGTCCACTGTGGAGCTACACAGTAAATGATTATTTTAGTTGAAAAAGTAAGGTATATAAATTGAATTTTTACATGGTAAACATCCAAAAGATGTGGGCCACCCAGAACCATCTATTGTAACCACTTTCTTTACTGTCCTTCCAGAAAAATACTCTATAAATGTGTGTGTGTGTATATAGATAGATAGATAGATAGGTAGATAGATAAACATTCATATCTGTGTGGGGGGTATATCCCCCCACTTTATCTTCTTTTTTTTTTTTAACTCAATTAAGAGCATATTGTATTCTGTTCTGTATGGTTGGTAGTGGGAGAAGAACAGGAGTAGCCCTAAGAAAGAAATGCTGAGGCCTGGGAATGGCAGTCACTGTATCCTTGCAGTGTCTCATAGGGCCACCAGGGAGTCCTTGTGCAAGGAGAGCTGCCACTGTGTCTTTAATGGTGATTAGACAAATTTTAATAATTTCTAAGAAGTCTACCTGTTTCCTGAAAGGGTTTCCTGTGCTGCCTTTGTTTCCCTGTGTCTTCTTGGTGTAAACCCCCATCACCTGATATAACCAAACGTGTTCCTTGACACTGCTTATTCAGAGAGAAGTAACTAACAAACACCTTTGGGCTAGTTGCTCACTTAGACAAAGAAAAGAGGAAGCCAATTGAAGGTGGACGGCTCTGTCACTGCTTGTCTGAATTGGGATCCAAGAAACTGGCCTTCATTACTCATCTCAGAAACTCTAGCCCTGCTGTTTGGGGTGTGTGGAGTATTCTGAGGTTTGGGTGATTAAAATGTGGAGTGGGAAGTTGAAGGGACTTAGAGCTTTGTCAGTGGTAGAATGGTTTTTTTTTGTTTGTTTTTTTTTTGTTTTGTTTTTGCGATGGAGTTTCCTTCTGTCGCCCAGGCTGGGGTGCAGTGGTGCGATCTGGGCTCACTGCAACCTCTGCTTCCAGGGTTCAAGTGATTCTCCTGTTTCAGCCTCCTGAGTAGCTGGGACTACAGGCGTGAGCCACCAAGCCCAGCTAATTTATAATGAAGTGTTCTTTACACTAATTTTAAACAGGCCCCAGTTTCAAGTGATTTTCCTGCCTCAGCCTCCTGAGGAGCTGGGATTATAGGCGCACACCACCATGCCCGGCTAATTTTTGTATTTTTAGTAGAGATAGGGTTTTGCCATGTTGGCCAGGCTGGTCTTGAACTCCTGACCTCAGGTTATCTGCCTGCCTCGGCCTCCCAAAGTGCTGAGATTACAGGCATGAGCCACTGTGCCCAGCCTGAATGTTTGCTTTTTAGAAACATATTTGACCCTCTGTAGGTGGTGTGGCTAAGAGGCTTAAGAACTCAAGCATTCAGAATGTGTATTTGCTATGTGTATAAAAATCTCCCTGGAGATAAATCAAAGCACATGGAGAGGGATGACTAAAATCCAGGCTCTACATCTCAGTCTATAAAAGTCACAGGTTCTTAAGTTACAGTGTTAAAGTAGCCTTAAAGGGATACACAGTAACAAAGTTGAGGAAATGATAACTGTGTATCTATTCTTAAAACAGGTTACATATCCATATATTTCATTAATGTAGTAGTGGTTGTATAATTGGCGTTAACACTATGTCCCTCATGATCCAGGGCCAGAACCTTAATTTAACCACCTGAAGCTTCTCACATTTGATACTAGCAGTGTGTTCTGGGTGTGGTTGGGTATTAGGTGCTGGTCATGATTCCTGTTATTTCCTTCCTTCTTCTGTGTTCTCTGTGCTTTCCCCTTCCTTTCTCCATTTTCCTGCCTGTATGTAAAAGTGGGTGGAGGAAGGGAAGCATTTCTTAAGAATTGAGGAGAAGGGAATTACTGTGTTTTTTCTTTTTCTTTTTTTTTTTTTTTAATTTGAGAGGGGGTCTCAGTCTGTCACCCAGACTGGAGTGCAGTGGCACCATCTTGGCCCACTGTAACCTCCACCTCCCAG
The DNA here is from genome assembly GCF_000001405.40 of Homo sapiens. Classification (NCBI taxonomy): domain Eukaryota; kingdom Metazoa; phylum Chordata; class Mammalia; order Primates; family Hominidae; genus Homo; species Homo sapiens. The sequence continues at coordinate 78,062,603 of NC_000001.11, forward strand.
GCTTAAGTGATCCTGTCACCTCAGCCTCCTAAGTAGCCGGGACCACAGGCGTGCCACAGTGCCCAGCTAATTTTTTTTTTTTTGTATTTTTGGTAGAGATGGGGTTTCATCATGTGGCCCAGGCTGGTCTCGAACTCCTGAGCTCAGGTGGTCCACCCACCCAAAGTGCTGGGATTACATTCATGAGCCATCGTGCCTGGCCAAGGAATTATTGTTGAACACCTATTACCACTTAACCTATGCTATCTTAACGGAAATGGTAATTCTTGCTAGAACCACCAGAAATTATTACAATCTATAGAAGAAGCAACTGGAGCTTAGAGTAAAAGTAAATTACTCAAGTTTCACAGCCCAGAGGGATATCTTTGACTTGAGGTCTATCTGACGTCAAAGTCTGTATTCTTTCCTTTACGTAAGTGATTCTTAACCTTAGCAGACCCAAAGGCTTCCTCTAATAACAAATATTTTGTGATACCGTCTTTACTTTCCTGAAATAGGATTTTAAACAATGTTTTCTACCTATACGCATAATTGATTCCTTAACTCTAATATTAGAAACAAACTTGGATTTTAATATCCAAGTATTTGGAAAAGTTATCTTAAAAGGCATCAAGCAGCTGGGTGCAGTGGCTCATGCCTGTAATCCCAGCACTTTGGGAGGCCGAGACGGGCAGGGGTCAGGAGTTCGCGACCAGCCTGGTCAACATGGTGAAACCCCGTCTCTACAAAAAATACAAAAATTAGCTAGGTGTGGTGGCATGCATCTGTAATCCTAGCTACTCGGGAGGCTGAGGCAGGAGAATTGCTTGAACCTGGGAAATGGAGGTTGCAGTGAGCCTAGATTGTGCCATTACACTCCAGCCTGGGCCACAAGAGCTAAACTCCATCTCAAAAAAACAAACAAAAAAAAAACCAAAACAAAAAACATGAAGCAGTTGCTTGTATCTACTTGTAGTGAATACATTTGGATTTGAAAAGAGTAAGAATAAGATGAGATTCAGGTTGGGTGCAGTGGCTCATGCCTGTAATCCCAGCACTTTGGGAGGCTGAGGCGGGCAGATCACTTGAGGTCAGGGGTTCGAAACCAGCCTGGCCAACATGGTGAAACCCATCTCTACTAAAAATACAAAAATTTGCCGGGTGTGGTGGTGCATGCCTGTATTTCCAGCTACTCAGCTACTCAGGAGGCTGAGACAGGAGAATCGCTTGAACCTGGGAGGTGGAGGTTGCAGTGAGCTGAGATTGTGCCGCTGCACTCCAGCCTGGGTGACAGAGCAAGACTCTGTCTCAAAAAGACAAAAAAAAAAAAAAAAAAAGATGGGATTCAATTGATTGTTTTTGTCTCTTTTTCCTCATATTCAACATTTTAAAATAAGAGATATTAATGTTTGTAAATGCTCATAGAATTGCCATAGTGCAACAACAGGAGCAGACTGATATAAATGTTTTATGTTACAAATCCAAATAACATGGGCAGCATTGCTGTCAATGACTTGATTTTCTGAAACGATAAATAACTCTTGGTAAGGCACTGCATAAAAAAGTACAGTCTTCCCTTGATTTACATGGTAATTGCAGCCCATAGAAATTCAGAATAAAAAATACGCTGTGTGTAACACAGAATTAGGGGCTAGGCTTAAATAGTTGATAGTTTCCCCCCATCCTTCCAGCATGAATGTCTAATAGGACATTTGAGCATCATGTGGAATACAAAGCAGTTCTTCATGAAGCTGGGCTTCTCAAGCATTGCAATTCAAACAGAATCCTTGACCCATGCCCTGCTTCCCTCAAATGCCAGTGGTGCCATACAATCATTTTAACAATCAAAGAGACCCCTTGATATTTCCACCTGTTTCCTTAGAGGCCAGTATTGGCTGTCACCTCCAGCAATACTGTTTTATACTTGGTTGCTAGAGGTTAAGTAATTGTCCTACACTGTGAAGTTAGAAGATGATAAAAAGGGAGGTGCGGGAGTGAGTGGGGATGGGAAACAATAAGAGGGCGAACAAGGAGAAAGACGTCCTGTTGGTTTTGTACTTTTAGTTTTAGGATCCATCTTTTTAAAAATGTTTTTTAGAGAGAGGGTCTTGTTCTGTCACCCAGGTTGGAGTGCAGTGGTACAATCATAACTCATGCAACCTTTTTTTTTTTTTTTTTTTGAGATGGAGTCTCACTTTGTTGCCCAAGCTGGAGTGTGGTGGCACAATCTTGGCTCACTGCAATCTCTGCCTCCCTGGTTAAAGCGATTCTCTTGCCTCAGCCTCCCAAGCAGCTGGGATTACAGGCACATGCCAGTACCCTTGGCTAACTTTTTTGTATTTTTGTAGAGACAGGGTTTTACTATGTTGGCCAGGCTGGTCTCAAACTCCTGACCTCAAGTAATCTGCCTGCCTTGGCCTCCCAAAGTGCTGGGATTATAGGTGTGAGCCACTGTGCCCGGCCCTCACTGAAACTTTGAACTCCTAAACTCATGTGATCTTCTCGCCTCAGCCCCTGAGTAGCTAGGACTATAGACAAAAGCCACCACACCCAGCTAATTTAAAAAATTTTTTGTAGAGGTAGGATCTCATTATGTTGCCCAGGGTTAGTCTTACAGGACTGTAATTAAAAGAGTAGAACATGTGTTTGGCTTGTTAAATTTGTGATATTCTTCCTATGCACTGACAATGGTCAAGCTGAGAACCAAATCAGGAATGCAATTTCATTCACAATTACCACATGAAAAAAAAAATACCCAGGAATACGGCTAACCAGGGAGGTGAAAGATCTCTACAAGGAGAACTATGGAACACTGCCCAAAGAAATCAGAGATATCACTAACAAATGGAAATAGGAAGAATCAATATCATTAAAATGGCCATATTGCCCAAAGCATTTTATAGATTCAGTGCTATCCCTATTAAACTACCAAGGACATTCTTCACAGAATTAAAAAAAAAAAACTGTTTTAAAATTCATATGGAAAGACAAAAGAGCCTGAATAGCCAAGGCAATTCTAAGTGAAAAGAACAAAGTTGGAGACGTCATGTTATCTGAGTTCAAAATATACTATAGGGCTATAGTAACCAAAATAACTTGGTCCTGGTACAACAATAGATATATAGACCAATGGAACAAAAAAGAGAACCCAGAAGTAAGGCTGCATGCCTACAATTATCTGGTCCTTGACATACCTGACAAAAACAATAGGGAAAGGATTCCCTATTCAATAAATGGTGCTGGGATGACTGGCTAGCCATATGCAGAAGATTAAAGCTGGACCTTTTCCTTACACCATATACAAAAATTAAATCAAGATGGATTAAAGACTTTAACAAAATCCAAAATTATAAAAGCCCTGGAAGACAACCTAGGCAGTACCATTCTGGACATAGGAATGGGCAAAGATTTCATGATGAAGACATCAAAAGCAATTGCAAGAAAAAGCAAAAATTGACAAATGGGATCTAATTAAGCTAAAAAGCTTCTGCACAGCAAAGAAAACTATCAGCAGAGTAAACAGACAACCTAGAGAATTGGAGAAAATATTTGCAAACTAGGCATCTGAAAAAGGTCTAATATACAGCATCTATAAGGAAAGTTACAAGAAAAAAAACCCAACTCCATTAAAAAGTGGGCAAAGAACATGAACAGACACTTTTCAAAAGCAGACATACATGTGACCAACAGTCATATTAAAAAAAGCTTAACATCACTGATCATTAGAAAATGCAAGTCAAAACCACAGTGATATACCGTCTCATACAAGTCAGAATAGTTATTATTAAAAAGTCAAAAAATAACAGATGCTGGTAAGATTGCAGAGAAAAAGGAACATTTAAACACTGTTGGTGGGAGTGTAAATTAGTTCAACCATTGTGGAAGACAGGGTGGTGATTCCTCAAAGACCTAAAAGTAGACATACCATTTGACCCAGCAATCCCATTACTGGATATATACCCAAAGGAATATAGATCATTTTACTGTAGAGACCCGTGCACATGTATGTTCATTGCAGCACTATTCACAATAGCAAAGACATGGATTCAACCTAAATGCCTATCAGTAGTAGACTGGAAAAGAAAATGTGGTCCATATACACCATGGAATGCTATGCAGCCATAAAAAGAACAAAATCATGCCCTTTGCAGGAATGTGGATGGAGCTGGAGGTTATTATCCTTAGCAAACTAATGCAGAAACAGAAAACCACATACTGCGTATTAGCACTTATAAGTGGAAGTGAAATGATGAGAATGCATGGACACATAGAAAGAAGCAACAGACACTGGGGCCTAGTGGAGGGTGGAGGATGGGAGGAGGGAGAAGATCAGGGAGAATAACTAGTGGGTACTAGGCTTAATACCTGGGTGATGAAATAATCTGTACAACAAACTCCCATGACACAAGTTTATCTGTACAACCTGCACATGTACCCCGAACTTTAAATGAAAAAAATCATGTAAAATTGAGTAGCGATTTTAGAAAAATTTGTGATGTCTCAATCTTTTGTAATATCTTGAAGTGTCACCTGTTGCTGTGGCTATTTGACAGGTTTATAGAGTCCTATAGCAGGTGCAAAAGTTAGGGTGGAATGATAGGGAAGCATAGGGTTTGAGATCAGATGGGGAGGAGGGTTTCAGGGTAGGGTGGCCTGTCCTGGGTTTGATTCCTGTAGATGACACCTTCTAGCCATTTTCTCACTAATAAAATGTACAATGAATTACCTTATAGGTCTGTTGTGAGAATTAAATGAAATAGCATGTTAGGTGTCCAGAACAATGGTACAATGGTTCAATAAATGTTACTCCTGTTTTCCTCAAAAAAGATGCTGGATGACACTTATTTTTGCAAATTTTTCTTTTCTTTTTCTTTTCTTTCTTTTTTTTGAGATGGAATCTTGCTCTGTTACCCAGGCTGAAGTGTAGTGTCGTGGTCTCAGCTCAATGCAACCTCCGCCTCCCTAGTTCAAGCGATTCTCCCACCTCAGCCCCTGCGACTAGCTGGGATTACAGGTGCCCACGACCATGCCCGGCTAATTTTTGTATTATTAGTAGAGACAGGGTTTCACCATGTTGGCCATGGTGGTCTTGATCTCCTGACCTTGTGATCCATCTGCCTTAGCCTCCCAAAGTGCTGGGATTATAGGCGTGAGCCACTGCACCTCGCCTCAAATTTTTCTTATAATTTTTCTATTCTAGACCAGGTACAGTTTTCATTCTCCCACCCTTTGCCTACATCCAGAAAATAAGAACAAATTTAATGTCTATCTCTGTAGATGGTCCTCAGTCTAAACTACCTGTTTGGATTCTGTTATAGTAACTAACCCGGACTCTCTGTGGATGGTCCTTAGTCTAAACTACCTGCATGGATTATTTTATAGTAACTAGCCCGGACTCTTCTGATGAGGGCTCTTTCAATCAAATTTAGTATAAACCTAATAAGCAATTTCAGTCAACTAAGTTGAACATTTCAGTTAAACTTGGGCAATAATACAATTTATTCAGAATTGTTTTGTATTGCATTTGTCAATGCTTATTCTTCTAAGCCAAAAAAAAAACCTTTTAGTAATACATGTAGTTCTTCATGTCGTATTTCTAGGCATAGAGAGTACCTGTGACAGAATTTGTTTCAGCATATAATTCTGTTATTCTACTTCTTTCCCCCACTGAACATTTAGAGTTAATATCCAACTCTCCCCATACTCATTAAGTCTCCTAGAATCTTGGTCATTATGCTCAAGTTGTGGGGACTTGTATTTTCTCCCAAGAAGCCCAGGATTGGGGCATGTGGGGAAGATTACTTCAATACCAAGGGATAGAAGAACTCTACCACTGCCTTTCCTCAACATCCAAATCACATGACTTTCCTTTTATCCCATGCTGTCTTAGTCTCAGCATCTTGAAGTGGGAGCATTCTTATTTGATCAGCTTAATATAAACAGGTTAGTGTAAAATTGATATTTCAAACCAACCCAGATGCTTCAGAGAGTGAAAGAGATAGTATCTATAATTACTCTGGAACAACAGGGATAAACTGGGACCTAGAGTTATCCCAGTTATAACCAAACTGCTTGCTAGAAAAGGAGAAAGAAGAAAAATATGATGTGAGAAAGTTTATCATATAATTATTAATTGCCAACAATATATAAGCCATTTTCCTGGGGAATAAGGAAGGTTTTGCATTATAGGCATTTTTTGGAAGGCTAGGGAGAGGGAGTATGTGTGCTCATAAAAATAGAAGCAGGTAGCAAGGGCTCAGTGTCAGCACCCAGACTGGAGCCAGGAGACTGGTACTCCTCATCCTGGCTCTGGCTTGGTGACACATTCCTGGGAGTTGAGGATGGAGTCCTGTGGTAGCCTGTCAGCTTCTTCAGCTCCTGCCCCTGCTTGGTCTTCTCCCTCTCTTTTCTAAGTGCTCTGCCTCCCCTAGCACCGGGAGTCTTGCAGGCAGGAATGGCGGTAATGTTGGCAAGCAGAGAGTTGGAAGAAACTGCTTGGTGAGAGTAGGGAACAGGTTGCTGATAATCAACAACTCCGAGCAAAGGTCAGTCAGCCAGGGCAGTGCCTGGGTATCTCCAAGTCTGTGACAGAATTCTGTTCTTGGCTGCTCTTCACCCTTTCCCATTCTCAGTTTCCTGGGCTTATTCTATCCCTGGGGCAGGAGATGGTTCAAAATTGAAAAGCCTGAACCTAGAAGAATCCTCACATACACTCCAGATTGAGGGCTAACCTCACTTGTGGATTCAGTCCTGTCAGGCCCACCCATAGGTGAATTTTCTTATGCTCTCAAACTTCCTGATGAAACATATAAGTGTGTGAGGTGGTCAGTGAATTTGCCTTCACCCTTTTCTCCCAGATCATTTGGCTCCCTCATCTAGGGAACCCTGTAGTACTTTTTTTTTTTTTTTTTTTTGAGACAGAGTCTCTATCTCCCAGGCTGGAGTGCAGTGGTACAATCTTGGCTTACTGCAACCTCTGCCTCCCAGGTTCAAGTGATTCTCATACCTCAGCCTCCTGAGTAGCTGGGATTACAGGCACCTGCCACCACACCTGGCTAATTTTTGTATTTTTAGTAGACACGGGCTTTCACCACGTTGGCCAGGCTGGTCTTGAACTCCTGACCTCAGGTCATCTGCCTGCCTCAGCCTCCCAAAATGCTGGGATTACAGGCATGAGCCACCGCACCTGACCCCTGTAGTACATTTTTATGATGACTTTTAGGTGTTTTAGTTTAGAAGAAACATCTTTCTCTCTCAAGATGTTTGATATTTTCTCAGGTGGCCCATATTTTCCCCATAGAGTGCTCATCTCTTTCTGTCAGAATTCCTGTTGTAGGGTGTAGTAAGGAATAGACTGTCTTCCCCCATCACTCCCTCTGACACCTGAATGGCTCACCATGCTTACTTTCCAATTTTCCATGATTCATTTGGGTGGTTTTTAAATATCACACTCTCTTCAGACATTTCATTGTAGGGGTTAGAATTCAGCCTCGTGGGCCAAAAGGAACACAGTGCTCTACGAACTTCTGCCAAACAAATTTTAAAGTTTTGTTTAAGGATCCTTTTGAGGTCTAATGGCAATCTTTTACAAGTTATATTTGTATATTTGGTAATTTGGAACGTTTAATCCACAAATCTCTTTACTAATAATTATAATGTATAATTATGATGTTTTATAAACCATCCTATTCCAGCATATAAAATGTCCCCTGTTATAGTCTCTCTTTGCCTGTTTAGAATCTCTTCCATCTTTAATGTTAAACAAGAGGAGGCTTTTAAGAAGATAAGTGGTTCAGAAAGCATGGAAAATTTAACAGCACCTGACGGGGGAAATAGCAGTGATTTATGATGTCTTTCAAATTGGCATGCAATGTTGCAGCATTATTAGACTAGGATAAGCTCAGGTATCTCCTCTGAGTGTAAAAAGATTGTGGGAGAGGATGATATATATATATATATATGGCTATATGCATTTGATTTATTTTATTCGTTGGTTTAGTATTTGTGTAATGTCCACAAAGGCAAGACTTACACCTATTCCAATTCTTTATCCTTTTCTTATGTCTCAAGGATTGCTTTGGGATTTTGATTTTCTTGGATACACAGTTCCCTTTATTATATTTCATTAGTAAAGAAAGTGTTCTTTTGGTTATGCTGGGAAGTCATTTGGTAGATTCAAAATATGAATCTGACTGTTTTTCTTTTTTTGGATAGAATTCTTATTTGTCATATTATTTTACTCATTAGTAATACTGAAAAAAGTAGTTCTACTGGAGAAGAGCACAAAGAGTGATGATTCACCTTTTATTTAAGGCTTGCCACTGCTGACCCAGGGCAGCTAATTTAGAAGTGAATCATTTATAGAAAGTTCTACACAGTTCAGGACAGAGCTTTATACAATATACTCATGAAGGTCTAAATAGAGCATACGGTATCAGGTTTCTAAATATCTGTCTTGTCGCCAATTTTATGTCTTTTCCAGCCTGTGAAACTTGTTTCTAGATGACTGTAGCTATTGACAAGATGAAGTCAAAGGCACTGTATATATATAATGATGCATATTTTAAAACTAATCCTAGAAATTTAGTACATGCATTATACTGGGAAAATAATAGGCTGAGATTTTAAATTACTGTGTTTATAATACAAAGAAACAAATGTAACTAGTCATTTTTAAAACTAGTTGGAATAAATTTTAAAATCATTTATAATAATTTAAATTAAATAATGTTATTGCTATTTTGATATTTATGTTTGGCTTTTAAAGTCTAATTATAAATAGTTATATTATGCAAACTGTCTTACTCCTTTTAGAAAGTGAGGGGTTTATTAAATGAACACAATATATTTGGTTCCATACAGAGTATAAAACTGTATAGTCTCTTCTAGAAGGTTTTTTTTTTTGCTCCTCCTCCTCTTCTTCCTCTTCCTCTCCTTCTTTCTCCTCCTCCTCCTTCCTTCTCCTTCTTCTTCTTCTTTTTTCTTCTTCTTCTTTCTTCTTCTTTTGTTTCTTCTTCTTCTTTTTTTTTTTCTTTAAGAAAAGAAGAGGTCCCACTGAGTTGCCCAGGCTGTCTCGAACTCCTGAGCGCAAGTGATCCTCCTACCTTGGCTGGGACTATAGGTGTGTGCTGTCACGCCTGTCTTCTAAAAGTTTTAAATTCAAAGCTGTGTTTATATTTACATCACAGCTACAGTATCATGGGTTAGAAAAAGCCCGAATTCTAGTTCTGACTTTGTCATTCGCTAGCTGTGTGACCCTACACAAATCACTTAACATGTCTGAGCTGGTTTTCTTTTCTGCACAGGGCATATTGATACTTGTCTTCAAGACCTGACTCACAAGGATTTAGTTCAGCTAACGCATTAGGAAGTGACCAGTAACTTAGATGTCCCCACACAGATAATAGTTGTCAGAGAGGCATTGCCGGGAAAACACCCTGGAGTTGGACAACCAGGGTTGGAGTTCCAACTGCACCAATTACTATATATGTGACCCTACACAAGCCATTTTCTCCTCTAAACCTTTGTTTTCTAATCTATAAAAAAATGGTATTATGATACATCTCACATAAAATTGTTGTTGATAATTAAATGAGGTAACATATGAAAGTAGCTGGTACATTAATCAGTGTTTCTTGGACCTTAATGTTGATTTTGAAAAAAGTCCTTGCTGACCTTCCTCTCCCCAGCTCATTTACTTTCACGATACAGCATTTCACTGGAAGTGGGAGCCAGTATCCAAACTGTGTACAAATAAGAGAGATGAGCAGTTTCCCAGTCTATGCATATAATTGAAGACTAGTTTGAGTTCTAGAAGTTCCTTGATATGACACATTTACCAAATATTTTGGGGGCAATTATGTAGCATAAGACACTCAGCTTTTTGGAAGAGTTTTGAGCAATGTGATTCTGTCCCTGTGGCTTAGGTAGAGCTGATCCTTTCTTTTCAAGCACTTAGGGTACATGACTATTTTTTTTTCTCCCCCATAATTATTTTATTCTTAGTTTCAGGTTGTTTTTAATTCCTATAACTTTAAGGACAGTAATTTAGATGGAGGTCAAATAATTATTATTTTTTCTCTTTGAAGAAAAGTCTTTGAGACTTAGATAATAAGAACAACCCAGATAAAACCTTAGTCACTAACAAAGGAACCATAATCCAGGTGGTTTTCTTATGTATAAATATGTGGTACTAACTCCTGAGGAAAGTATGGTTTCTTTTCTCTCTTATTATTATTTTTGAGACAGAGCCTTGCTCTGTCGCCCAGGCTGGAATGCAGTGGCATGATCTTGGCTCACTGCAAGCTCTGCCTCCCGGGTTCATGTCATTCTCCTGTCTCAGCCTCCCGAGTAGCTGGGACTACAGGCGCCCACCACCACGCCCAGCTAATTTTTTTTTTTGCATTTTTAGTAGAGACGGGGTTTCACTGTATTAGCCAGGATGGTCTCGATCTCCTGACCTTGTGATCCGCCTGCCTCGGCCTCCCAAAGTGTTAGGATCACAGGCATGAGCCACCATGCCCGGCCTTTTTTTTTTTTTGAGACAGAGTATCACTCTGTTGCCCAGGCTGGAGTACAGTGGCCCGATCTCAGCTCACTGCAACCTCTACCTCCTGGGTTCAAGCAGTTCTCCTGCTTCAGCCTCCTGAGTAGCTGGGACTACAGGTGCACGCCACCACACCTGCCTAATTTTTAAATTTTTAGTAGAGACGGGGTTTCACCATGTTGGCCAGGCTGGTCTCGAACTCCTGACCTCAAATGATCCACCCATGTCAGACTCCCAAAGTGCTGGGATTTCAGGTGTGAGCCATTGCACCCAGACTTTCTCTTTATTTTCTATAATGACATTGGCTGATATTTCTATAATGTTTATTTGAGATACAGTATAAAAAAGTAAGCAAAATTTTGGGGGTAGATTGAGATGTAGGAGGGTAGTCATATAAAAATAATAATACTGCTTATGTTTAAAATCACATATACAAATAATGTAACTCTAGCTGCATAAGCCCATAATTTGTTCCAGAGATCTTTGGAACATGTAGAATCTTTGGCCAGCTCAGTTCCTGTTTAAGGAAGGCATTCAACAAAAGAAAGTTGGAAGTGGACTTCCTGGCGTTTTAAACATGAATTTGATGTGTTTTGGGAGAGATTTGTTAACCTGTTTGTGGACCAGAATATCTTTTGAAACACTAATGACAAATAATTTATTTAATGCTATTCACAAAGCACATTGTGGAGTATATAATGGTGCCACCAGAGAAAAAGCAATATTAATTGATATTAATGGCTCTGTGCGATAGTTCAAACTTTTATCTTCCTAGCCATATTGAGTTTCAATGATGAATAATCATAACCATGTGGTAAGAATTTGAAAATACTGAGGAAAGTAGCAATTTAATATAAATGCACAGCAAGAAAACTGTCTGCAAGTTATTCTTCAACAACAACAAAAGTTGAAGGATAGTTTTTTTATGAGGAGAAATGCAATCTATCCTGGTTATGATATTAAAAAGGAGCAAAATCTGATACTTCAGGAAAGTTCATGCACTTTAAGAAGCTTTCAAGCATAAGTATAAATATCATTGTTCATGAAGCCCTGTATTCCAGTAATAATAATAAAAACCTTTAAATTGAGCCTTTTTATTTATTTACTTATTTTTTAGAGATAGGATCTTGCTTTGTCACTCAGGCTAGAGTGTAGTAGCACATAGCACATAGCTCACTGCAGTCTTGAACTCTTGGGTTCAAGCAATATTCCTGCCTCAGTCCTAAGTAGTTGAGACTACAGGCATGTGTCAGATAATTATTTTTTTATTTTATTTTAAGAGGTGTAGTCTCGCTGAGGCGACTAGGCTGGTCTTGAACTCCTGACCTTAAGCGATCCTCCCACTTCAGCCTCCTGAGAGCTTTTTAGTTTAAAAAGTATATTTATACACTTACTGAATTTTTGTAATGACCATTTGATGTAGACCGAACTTTAATAATGCCACAATTTACGTGAGGATCAAGGAGGCCAAATGACTCAACTAAACCCCCTGAGACTGAAGGGTACATAATTGAAACTAGATCCAGAACTCTTAACTCTTAATCCATTATTTTCATCTCTTACGTTTCTTTTTCTCTTCTTTCTATTTAACACATTACAAGAATGAGACTATTCCAGTCTATCGATTTATTTATTTTACTGATATTGGAAGTAAGGAGGAGAGATTGTCTGAAATTTTTGTTAGGGGTGATAGAATATGAAATTAGGATGCCATAATACCTCAGCGTATTAAAAGAAACACAATTCACCATGTACTTTAGATATTTTTTAAAGGATAAAATGAGATGGTAGGCAGAAAGAACTTTTAAACTATGAAGAATTATAAAGATACAAGGCATAATGATTCTATCAGTTAGGAACCTTTTAGTTGAAAGTAACAGAAAATCCAACCCAGGATGGCTTGGTGAAATTTATTGACTCACGTAACTAAACATTCTGGGATAGGACTGTGTATCAGACAGCGTGTTTTCAGCTGCAAGTAACAGAAAACTACTTACTCAAACTGGCTAAACCAAGATAACTTAACTTATTATTTTACATAAAAGAGAGCTGTGTGTGGTGGCTTGTGCCTGTAATCCCAGCGCTTTTGGAGGCCAAGCAGGAGGATCGCTTAGGCCCACAAGTTTGAGACTAGCCTGGGCAACATGGTGAGACCATGTCTCTATGAAAAATAAAAAAATTAGCTGTGTTTGGTAGTATGTGCCTGTGGTCCCAGCTACTAGGGAGGCTGAGGCAGGAGGATCACTTGAGCCTGGGGGGTTGAGGCTGCAGTAAACCATGATCACACTACTGTGTTCCAACCTTGATGACAGAGTGAGACCCTGTCTCAAAATAAATAAGAGGTAGAGTGGGCTCCAAATTGGTTAACTGAGCAACTCACCGATGTCACCAAGGACTTAGGTTTATTTCTTCTTTTTGCTTTGCCATTCTTGGCATTGGTGTCTTTCTCAGCTGGCAGGAAGATGGTGGTAGAAATTCCTAGACCACACACAGATAAGGCAAAATACAGAGGAAGAAAGGGACTGTCTCTTTCTGTGTTTCTTTATTAGGCGTGAAAAAATATTTTCCAGAGCTTCCTGGACATCTTCCTCCTATATCTTATAAGCTGGCATTGGGCCACATGCTTACACCTAAACCATCACTTAGGCTAGTTCACTTTTATGCCTGGAATAGGGGGATGTGAGTCATTTTCCTCCAAAGTGCTTGCAATCTGTACACATCTGGGAATTGTGTTAGGAGGGGAAAAGAGTGGACAATCTCCAGTGCCCACCCCTGACTGTCTCGAAGTAAGACTGGAGCCAGAGGCTCTGCTTTCCTCATGTCAGCGTTGTTGCCAGGCCCACTCTTCTAATGTTTGCAGTGATAACTGCAGTCATTTTAGACCTCATATAATTTAGAAGAAGTGAGGGACACAGAACCACCGTTTGGTAGCTTCTATGGAAAAGAGAAGAGGATTCTTTCCCCAAACCCCCAATAAGTTCATTCTTGGATTTTCTTGGCCTAAATTGGTAGTCATTAAGCAATTTAAACCTGAGGATGTGGTCACTCCCACCCAAGCTACCATATGGCTTAAAATGGGGAAGAGAAGTTTCCAAAGGAAAATTAGGGGGAAAGGGAATAGATACTGAAGATGTTGATGTCTAGCACAATAATAACAATTCAAGGCCCTCCATCTTCTGGCCCCAAAGGGCAATAGCTTTCTCCTTCAATTAGTCTGTCTTCCATATAGATGAGGCAGAGTGATAAGCATGCAGTCCCCAATCTTTATGGCACCAGGGACTGGTTTCATGGAAGACAGTTTTTCCATGTATTGGGACAAGTGGGATGGTCTCTGGATGAAACTGTTCCACCTCAGATCATCAGGCATTAGATTATCATAAGGTGCAGGCAATCTAGATCCCTCGCATGTGCAGCTCACCTTAGGGTTCATGCTCCTATGAGAGTGTAATGCCGCTGCTGATCTGACAGAAGGCTGAACTCAGTCAGTAATGCTTGCCTGCCTGCTACTCACCTCCTGCTGTGTGGCCTGGTTCCTAACAGGCCAAGGGCTGGTACCAGTCTGCAGCCTAGGGGTTGGGGACCCCTGCAATAAGACAAATAAGTCTAGTAAGATAAAATCCCTACCTACTAAAAGGTTTTATTTTAATTTTATTTTTTTTGAGATAGAGTCTCGCTCTGTCACCCAGGCTGAGGTGCAGTGGTGCAATCTCGGCTCACTGTAACCTCTGCCTCCTGGGTTCAAGCGATTCTCCTGCCTCAGCCTCCTGAGTAGCTGGGATTACAGGCACCTGCCACCATGCCTGGCTATTTTTTTTTTTTATTTTTAGAGATGGGTTTTCACCATGTTGGCCAGGCTAGTCTCGAACTCCTGACCTTAGGTGATCTGCCTGCCTCAGCCTCCCAAAGTAATCCCAAAGCCTGGGATTACAGGTGTGAGTCACTGCGCCCAGCCTAAAGACATGAGATTCTAAAGCTGAACTGCCCAATGTTGTAACCACTAGCCGAATTTGGATACTGAGAACTTTAAATGTAGCTGGTTCTTCCAAATTGAGACAAGATGTAAGGGTAAATACATGCTGGATCTTAAAAACTTAATTTAAAAAATGAAAACCATCTTAATAATTTTTACATTGATTATAGGCTGAAATGACAATATTTTGGATATACTGGGTTATATAGTTTTAAATTAAATTAATTCAGCTATTTCTTCTTACTTTTGTTACTGTGACTATTAGAAAATTTAAAATTATTTAGCTTACATTGTATTTCTATTGGGCAGTGATGCTCTAGAAAATGAAATAGTCATGGGTACTCCATCAGTTATGGAAATAGGCAATGATGGCAGTAAAGCAACAAATACAGATTACCCCAGAAGGTGTTAAGGATTTCATTGTACAATGAAAAACATCATTAAGATTATATCTACTGAATCAGTCATTTTCCTTACGTTGTGTGATACCTTGTTACGAGTTTACTTTCCAAATCTTTTTTGATTTAGTTTAGTTTGTCCGTCAGAGAGTGTTATATTTTAAAAAAAAGTTAAATGCTGCCTTTCACTGCCTGTTGTGTAGCGTACTTAGATTCTGGAAGCAAATATTTCTTAGAGGAGCATTGATAATATGGCCACTTCACTGTTAGTTTTATTGTTTTCATATGAGTATGAGTGAGGGTATGAAAGCTCACAGTAGCTTCTTAAGGTTCCTTCTGACTTAAATGTTCATTATCTTTTGATGAGTGAATGAGCAGGAACTTTGCATTCTTTAGAAACTAGTGTATCACGGCCGGGCGCGGTGGCTCACGCCTGTAATCCCAGCACTTTGGGAGGCCGAGGCGGGCGGATCACGAGGTCAGGAGATCGAGACCATCCCGGCTAAAACGGTGAAACCCCGTCTCTACTAAAAATACAAAAAATTAGCCGGGCGTAGTGGCGGGCGCCTGTAGTCCCAGCTACTTGGGAGGCTGAGGCAGGAGAATGGCGTGAACCCGGGAGGCGGAGCTTGCAGTGAGCCGAGATCCCGCCACTGCACTCCAGCCTGGGCGACAGAGCGAGACTCCATCTCAAAAAAAAAAAAAAAAAAAAAAACCTAGTGTATCACTTTCTTATTTTGCAGTTCAAAATATAAAATCTTTGAGGATGCTTGAATTTCTAGACCTTTATCATATACTTAGAGGTATATTTGCTGATAGTTGTGCATTGATACTGTGATAGCTTCTTATTCTCCCGTGAAGAACTGATCTGAAGTCATGGAGCTTTAGTTACCTGCTGCTCTTATTCCACCTTGCAGTGGCTATCACATTCCTACAGGTTTTCAACACAGCTTCCCATGAAGTTCCATTCACTGAAAGATATAGCTGGCTCCATTCCTTACAGAAAAAAGAAACTAATGCCCTGCTTGCCAACTTTTGGCTGTCTAGAATGGAATGTTATTCTGCACGGGAGGAAGCACGATGGAAAAGGGTTCTTCTACCTGCAGGAAATCTAATGTTTGCTTTGTAGTGAAGCATGCGAAAAGTTGAAAGAAAGGAAGCAAAGGAAGAGGCTTGGTCATTAGAAGTTCAGTTTGTGTGAGATTTCCTTTTTTTCCTTTTTGTTTTTCTCTATCCTGTTATACCATCATGGTATTTTAATTTTTTTTTTCCTAGCTAATGGGTAAATTGCTTTTATATTGGTGTTTGGGACCCACTGTGAATACCATGGACAGATTCACCGGAAAAAAAAAAAAAAAAAACAACAAACCAAGGAGGAGAAAAATGTTGTTTCTTCTACTTACTTCCCATCATTTTGTGAAGGAGAGTCAGAAAAGCTGTTTTCTACACATACTCCCTTCTCCCTCAACCCATTCACAGTGATTTTTGTCAGCAAACTAATATGCCATTGATTTTACAGTTAGGATCAGAAATATGCACCATTCTTGACTTAACCGATTTTTTTCCCCCTGAGAACAATATCATTTTTACACTAGAGAATATGTGCAAAAACTTATTATCTACAAAGCTGAATGTATTTTGCCCTTGCCGGGAACATAAAGGGTTAAATTGAAGGCTCAACAAAGACTGGGATGAAAAGAGGACAAGTTGGGGGGCCATAGTTGTTTCCTGTAGGCATTCACTGTTTTGTAGCCAGTGGCATTTTTTTTTGTCCTCATCACTAGCTCCTTTAACACACCTCTGGGATTTGCTCTGAGCTTGGCTGAACACTCTTGACCTTTGATTGTATAGCAGGGACAGCTTTATTTTATGAAGCTCTTCTGATTCAGACACATTTTGACATGGCCTAAAAAGCCATTCAGTAAGTAGTAAATGCACCCTATTTCTGAGTGGGATGCAGGTTATGGATGTGTTAAGGCTCAATCAAGGTTCTGTTAGGAATTAGGACTGGTGTGAAACTCCAGGATACTGGGAGAGGGTTGAGAGTGAGGCCTGAGGTAAGGATCCGGGATGGAGGAAGAGGCTTGCAATGCCTGTGGTGGACATTATCTGATAAATTTCATTTAGTGATTTCGGCATGAAACAGCCATATTAAAATGCCCTTTCTGGCTTATTAAATAGAAGCTACTCAGTACATGTTTGTTGAACTTAGCTTCTTAACCGATGATACCTTTTCAACCCTGCTTCTCTTCTTCTATAATTTGGGCCCCACAAGTTACCCAGATTATGGTTGACAAACTTGAGTAGCACTGCACATTTTAGTCAAGTGAGTCATATTTTTGAAGGAAAATGAGGTCAAATAAAGACTTGGTAAACATAAAAAGCCCCTTTGAAATCTCCACACAACTTTTCACCATTTGGTTTCTTTTTTGCTCTCTTTTTACTGTCACATGAATTGGTACAAGTTGTTTTAAAATCTCCAGACCCCAATTCCATGGCCCCCCTCCCCCCTTTTTAAATTGGGTTAATAGTCTTTAAAGTCCATTTTAGTTCTAAAACATACTGATTTTAACACCTCATTCACTAAATAAATTGCTTTTTTTCAGGCACTATAATGCAAGATAAATAAAATTGTCTATATTTAAAAATGTATTTACCAACTTTCAAATATAGGCTTGCCTATATTTTAATTGTAGTGTATGCATGATGCAGACCTTTGGGACTATAACCTTTGATTTCAGCATTATAAAATGTCAGGTCCCTTGGCAGAAACCACTTTAAAATGGGTGAGACCTGAACTCAAATCCTTGGCTCTGACAAGTACTGGCTGTGTGACCTTAGGCAAATTACTTATTTTTACCAGGCTTCAGTTTCCTCATTTGTAATATGGTGATACCAATGTCCTTTATAAAGTTACTGTAAAGATGAAGTGAGATAATGGGATGTAAATTGTCTAGCGTGAAGCCTGGCCTACAGGAAACCCTCAATACATGTTACCTAATGCTACTGTCTGAAAATGTGTCCCAGAATCTCTCTAGCCAACATAAAAACACATTTTATGATGTAACTCTTTACATCATAAATTGAGGAGTATTTCAGTCAATAAATGTTTATAAATAAATTAACGGTCAGATGTATTCCAAGTGGAAATGGACCTGACATTTTATTTTTCTTTGCAGATCTTATATTGCACTTTAAACACACCTAAAATTGACATGGAAAGACTCTTAGGAGGACAACTAGGACTAGAAGATTTCATATTTGCCCATGTGAAAGGAATCGAAAAAGAAGTGAATGTGTATAAATCTGAGGATTCACTTGGTCTCACCATTACAGATAATGGTGTTGGCTATGCTTTTATAAAGGTAAGTTTTAAAAAATAACAGTGTAACCTAATTGAGGATAACATTTAAGAAAATCTACCAGGCCAAAGAAAGTTAGAAATGATCTTCAGAGTGAGAGCCCGCTCAGCAAGGATGCATGAATTGGTAATGTTTCACTTTCATTTTAAAAATGTTCAGATGTCAGTTTGTGTTTACTATTTTCTTAATTTCTTCCCTTTAGTTTAAACTTCCCCTAGAATTTAGAACTAACTGAAAGGAAAGTCTAACCCTGGTGCCTACTCATTATCCATATAAGCTTTTCCATGTCTGTAGGTTTTAACATCTGATGAATTTCTGGCTTATTTCCATTGAATTAGTGTTATTTTCCAACTGTTCCTAGTTTTGACTGCCTTATTTACTTCTTTAAAAATGCCCTTCAAAATTTTAGGAAGTATATAAAGTTGGATCTCTGTATCTGTAGGTTCTGTATTAGTGGATTCAACCAACCACAGATTAAAGGTAGTTGAAAAAATGGCATCTGTACTGAACATGTATGGCCTTTTTACTTGTCATTATTTCCTAAACAATACAGTACAACTGCTTATGTAGCATTGCCATTGTGTTAGGTATTATAATCTAGAGATGATTTAAAGTATATAGAAGGATGTGGATAGGTTATATGCAAATACTACACCATTTTATACCAGGGACTTGAACATCAGTGGAATTTTAGTATTGATGGTGTGTCCTGGAACCAATCCCCCATGGATACCCAGGGCCAACTGTAATTCCTTTATTCAAATACAAAGAGAGCGATATAGAGCTTCAAAGGCAAGATAAAAGTTTGAAATGGTGTGAAACTAAGAACTGAGGAGAAAGGTAGTCTCATCTCTTAAAAATAACAACTCTATTATTGTAATAGTTATAATAGTAACAGACTTATATTGAATGCATGTACTAGGCACTTTGCATACAATTTCTCACTTAATTCTCACAATTCTATTTGGTTGGTATTATGTTTTTTCTTTGTATTTATTTTTTTGTTGCAGTATAAGACATTTTTAATGTACAGCTTAATGAATGTTTACATACTTATCCCTGTTTAACCATCACCCAGATCAGGATAAATTGCATTTCTGCCACTCAGAAGGCTCATTTGTGCCCCTTCCCAGTCAATAATCTTTCCCCGCAAAGTAGCCATTATTCTGGCATCTATTGCCATGAACTTCATATAATCATATATTATATACTCCACTATTTTCGGCTTCTTTTGCTCAAAAAGATGCCTATGAGATCCATGGATAGGTACTATTTCCAACCTTATTTTACAGATGTGGAAACAGGCTCAGGAAGGTTAAGTAGCTTGCCCAAAGTTATACAGCTGGACACATTCAGGATTTGGATCTATGAGGTCTGACTTCAGAGCTGGCACTTCTATTCACTCGATTAAGAATTAATGATAGATTTCATGCAACAGGGAATATTTTGTGCCTTTATTTTGTCCAAATCTTGATTTGCTGATGCATTGTCACCATTAAATAATCTTAGGGAAGTTATCTTCTTAACTGTAAATGGGACTTTCGCTACCCACTTGATAGAATGGCTATTTTTAGCTCTGCAAAAGATATGACTGTGCTGAAGGTTGAGTGAGTGACCAAATGGAAAATCTGTGACTGGGAAAGTCATATGGGATTATCCAAGGGAAGCTCAGGACATGAGGCACAGGCAGCAGAGAAGGGCTTGGAAGTTTCACAAACGTGTGTGGATTTTTAAAATCTTAGCCTCTGACATTCAGAGCTTGTCTTTCTATTTTTTAAAAAATGCTTTGTCAAACATGTGCCTGACTCAGAGTACTAGTCACTAGCCCTGTGGAGATATAGGGCATGTTAGCAAAGGAGAAAGCAAGGCATAATCTAAACTGCCAACATATAGTTCAACTTAGAAGAGAGATGCACATTATACTGTATACATGGTTGATGAAATTTTTTAAAAATTGGGAGAGGATAATTTCAAACTTACATAAAGATTGCAATAATAATACAAAGAACTCCCATAAATCATTTATCCAAATCTCCAATTTTTACCATTTGCCATGTTTGAGTTTTTTGTTCTGTCTCATACACACACATATATATATATATACTCTTTACCCCTTAGTACTTCAGAGTGTAATTACTAAGAACAAGGATATTCTCTTACATATAACTACAGTACAATTATGAAATTCATACAGTCTAATATTGATATAATACTTTTAAACTAATCTATAGTTCACATTGTAGTCTTATCAGCGTCCTAATTGTGTTCATTATTTTCCCCTCATACAGGTCCAATTTAGGATCCTGTATTTCATTTATGTCTTTTTAGTCTTCTTTATAATCTAGAATAGTTGTCATGTCTTTTTAGTCTTCCTTAATCTAGAATAGTTCCTCAGCCTTTTATAGGATGTCCCTGAATTTGGGTTTTTCTGATGTTTCCTCATGTTGATAAATAGATTGTGCATTTTTGGTAGGAAAATTACATAAGTGATGCTGTGTCCTTCTCAGTGCACCACATCAGAAGGTACATGAAACTGGTTTGTCTCATTGTTTGTGAGATTAACTTTTGTCACTTGTCTGAGGTAGTGTCCACTAGTCTTTTTCACTACAAAATTATTTTCCTTTGTGATACGTAATTGTGGAGAGATGCTTTGATATCATGAAAATACCCTGTTTTCTTACTTGCATGGCACAAATTTAGTATCTGTTGATGAGTCTTACCTGAATTAATTTTTCCTATAATGGTTGAAAAAATGATGATTTTTCTAATTCCATCACTCCTTATATGTTTCTCTGAAAGCATTTTATGGTAGGGAAAAAGCTGCCCTTATTTATTGTCAACATGGGTACATGACTTCGTGTTTTACTGAATGGTTTATAGTCTGTTACTATCAATTATATTGATGCTCAAATTTCCTGAGACTTGGCCTGCAGGAACCCCTGTAAGTGGGCCCCCATGTCCTTTTGACATGGCTCCTATCATTTTATTGAGTAGGTTCTTACTTTCTAGAACACAACAAGATATTCTAGACCCATCTTGTATCTCCTTTTCCCCTGACCTAGAATCAACTATTTCTCTCAGAAGCTCTGATTTTTACTAGAGATTGATAGTCAAGTTCTGGTGTTAGCTGTGCTCATACACTGAAGTCAAGTTCTGGTGTTAGCTGTGCTCATACACTGAAGTCAAGTTCTGGTGTTAGCTGTGCTCATACACTGAAGTCAAGATTGATAGTCAAGTTCTGGTGTTAGCTGTGCTCATACATTGAAGTCAAGTTCTGGTGTTAGCTGTGCTCATACATTGCTATTGGAGTGCATTATTTCTAGATCCTTTCAGTGGTAGAATTAGAGAACATGTTTATTAGAAGTTATGAATTGGGCCAGGCATGGTGGCTCACACCTGTTATCCCAGCACTTTGGGAGGCTGAGGTAGGTGGATAACTTGAGGCCAGGAGTTCGAGACCAACCTGGCCAACATGGTGAAACTCCATCTCTACTAAAAATGCAAAAATTAGCTGGGTGTGGTGCACACCTGTAATTCCAGCTACTTGGGAGGCCAAGACAGGAGAATCACTTGAGCCTGGGAGGTGGAGGTTGCAATGAGCCGAGATCATGTCACTGCACTCCAGCCTGGGCGACAGAGGGAGACTCTGTCTCAAAAAAAAAAAAAAAAAATTACGAACTCGTAACGATGCTTCTAATTGTCATCCTGCCCCACAGGGTTATTTCTTGGCTTCCCCATCAAAATTTTTACTTTCAAAGTCATTAAAATATTTACTCATTGTAGAGATCTTTCACCTTCCTGGTTAGCTGTATTCCTAGGTATTTTATTCTTTTTGTGACAATTGTGAATGAGATTGTCTTTCTGATTTGGTGCTTGGTTTGGCTGTTGGTGTATAGGAATGTTAGTTAGGGATTTTTGTACATTGATTTTGTATCTTGAAACTTTGCTGAAGTTGTTTATCAGCTGAAGGAGCTTTTGGGTCAAGACTATTGGGTTTTCCAGATACAGAATCATGTCATCTGCAAACAGAGATAGTTTGACTTCCTCTTTCCCTATTTGGATGCCCTTTATTGCTTTTTTCTGCCTGATTGCTCTGGCTAGGACTTCCAATACTATGTTAAGTAGGAGTGGTGAGAGAGAGCATATTTGTCTTGTGCTGGTTTTCAAGGGGAATGCTTCTGGCTTTTTTCCATTCAGTATAATGTTGGCTGTGGGTTTGTCATAGATTGGTCTTATTATTTTGATGTATGTATACCTAGTTTGATGAGAGTTTTTAACATGAAGGGTGTTGAATTTTATCAAAAGCCTTTTCTGCATCTATTGAGATAATCATGTTGTTTTTGTCTTTAGTTCTGTTTATGTGATGAAGCACATTTATTGATATGCTTATGTTGAACCAATCTTGCATCCTGGGGATGAAGCCTACTTGCTCATGCTGGATTAGGTTTTTGATGTGCTGCTGGATTTGATTTGCAAGTATTTTGTTGAGGATTTTTGCATCAGTGTTCAGCAAGGATATTGGCCTGAAGTTTTCTTTTTTGGTTGTGTCTCTGCCAGGTTTTGGTATCAGGATGATGTGGCCTCATAGAATGAATTGGGGAGGAGTCCCTCCTCCTCAGTAGTTTCTATAGGAATGGCACCAGCTTTTCTTTGTATATTTGATAGAATTCAGTTGTGAATCCATCAGGTTCTAGGCTTTTTTTTTTTTTTGGTTGGTAGGTTATTTATTACTGCTTCAATTTCATTATTGGTCTGTTCAGGAAATCAGTTTCTTCCTGGTTCAGTCTTGGGAGAGTGTATGTGTCCAGGAATTTATTCATCTCTTCTAGTTTTCTAGTTAGTGTGCATAGAGGTGTTTATAGTAGTTTCTGATGGTTATTTTTATTTCTGTGGGGTCAGTGGTTACATTGTCTTCATCATTTCTAATTGTGTTTATTTAGATCTTCTCTCTTTTCTTCTTTATTAGTCTAGCTAGTGGCCTGTCTATCTAACTAATTTTTTTCATAAAACCAACTCCTGGATCTATTGATCTTTTGAATGTTTTTTTTTTTTTTTGTCTTGTTCAGTTCAGCTCTGGTTTTGGTTATTTCTTGTCTTCTGCTAACTTTGGGGTTGATTTATTTTTGCGTCTCTAGTTCTCTTAGTTGTGATGTTAGGTAGTTAAGGTTTGAGATCTTTCTAACTTTTTTAATGTGGGCATTATAGTGCTATAAGTTTCCCTCTTAAAACTGCCTTATCAGTGTCCCAGAGATTCTGGTATGTTGTATCTTTGTTCTCATTAGTTTCAAATAATTTCTTGATTTCTGCCTTAATTTCACTATTTACCCAAAAGTCATTCAGGAGCATGTTGTTTAATTTCCATGTAATTGCATGGGTTTTAGCAATTTTCTTGACTTCTATTTTTATTGCACTGTGGTCCAAGAGTATGTTTGGTATGATTTCAGTTCTTTTGCATTTGCTGAGGAGTGTTTTATGTCCAGTTATAATATGTGGTCAATTTTAGAGTATATACCATGTGGTGATGACAAGAATGTATATTCTGTTGTTTTTGGGTGGAGAGTTCTATAGAGGTCTTTCAGATCCATTTGGTCCAATGTTGAGTTCAGGTCCTGAATATCTTTGTTAATTTTCTACCTCAATGATCTGTCTACTACTGTCAGTAGAGTGTTGAAGTCTCCCACTATTGTTCTGTGGGAGTCTGTGTCTCTTTGTAGGTCTTTAAGAACTTGCTTTATGAATCTGGGTACTCCTGTGTTGGGTGCATATATATTTAGGATAGTTAGGTTGTCTTGTCAGATTGAACCCTTTTACCATTATATAATTCCCTTCTCTGTCTTTTTTGATCTTTGTTGGTTTGAAGTCTGTTTTGTCTGAAACAAAACAGGGATAGGATTGCAGCCCCTGCTTTTTTTTGTTTTCCATTTGCTTGGTAGATTTTTTTCTCCATCCCTTTATTTTGAATCTTGGGTGTTATTTTGTGTGAGATGGGTCTCTTGAAGACAGCATACCGTTGGGTCTTGGTTCTTTATCCAGCTTGCCACTCTGTGCATTTTAAATGGGACATTTAGCCTGTTTACATTCAAAGTTAGTATTGATATGTGTGGATTTGATCCTATCTTTGTGTTATTAGCTGGTTATTATGTTGGCTTGTTTGTGTGATTGCTTTATAGTAACACTGGTCTATGTGTAAGTATGTTTTGTATTAGCTGGTACAGTGCTCAGAGAAATTAGAGAAGAGACAAACACATGGAAAAATATCCCATGCTTGTGGATAGGAAGGGTCAATATCATTAAAATGGCTATACTACCTAAATCAATTTGCAGATTCAATGCTATTCCTATCAAATTACCAATGACATTCTTCACAGAACTATAAAAAATTATTTTAAAATTCATATGGAACAACAGTGACAAAAAAGCCTGAATAGCCAAGATAATCCTAAGCAAAAAGAACAAAGCTGGAGGCATCATATTACCCGACTTCAAACTGTACTACAGGGCTACAGTAACCAAACAGCATGGTACTTGTACAAAAACAGGCACATAGACCAATGGAACAGAATAGAGAGCCCAGAAATAAGGCTGCACAGCTACAACCACCTGATATTTAACAAAGCTGACAAAAATAAGCAATGGGGAAGACTCCCTATTTAATAAATGATGCTGGGATAGCCATATGCAGCTAAGAAATGATGCTGGCTAGCCATATGCAGAAGACTGAAGCTGGACCCCTCCTTACACCATATACAATAATTAAGATGAATTAAAGACTTAAATGTAAAATTCAAAACTATAAAAACTCTGGAAGACAATGTAGGCAATATCATTCTGAACATTGGAATGGGCAAAGATTTCATGACAAAGACACCAAAGCAATCAGAATAGAAGCAAATATTGACAAGTGGGATCTAATTAAACTTAGGAGCTTCTGCACAGCAAGAGAAACTATCAACAGAGTAAACAGACAACCTACAGAATAGGAGAAAAATATTTGCAAACTATGTATCTGATAAAGGTCTAATATCCAGCATCTTTAAGGAAAGTTACCAGAAAAAAAAGACAACTCCATTAAAAAGTGGACAAAGGACATGAACACTTTTCAAAAGCAGACACACATGTGGCCAACAATAATATTAAAAAAAAAGCTGAACCTCACTGATCATTAGAGAAATGCAAATCAAAACCACAGTGAGATACCATCTCACACCAGTCAGAATGGCTATTATTATTAAAAAATAAAAAAATAAGTTGCTGGTGAGGTTGCAGAGAAAAGGGAACCCTCATACACTGTTGGTGTGAGTGTAAATTAGTTCAGCCATTGTGGAAAACCGTATGGCAATTCGTCAGCTAAAAGCAGAACTACCATTTGACTCAGCAATCCCATTACTGGGTGTATACCCAGAGGATTAGAAAGCATTCTACCATAAAGACACATGCATGTATATGTTTACTGCAGCACTGTTCACAATAGTAATGACATGGAATCAACCTAAATGCCAATCAGCAGCAGACTGGATAAAGAAATGTGGTACATATACACCATGGAATACTATGCAGCATTAAAAAGAATGAGATCATGTCTTTTGTGGCAACATGGATGTAGCTGGAGGCTATTATCCTCAGCAAACTAATGCAGGAAGGAAGAGAAAACCAAGTACTGCATGTTCTCACTTATAAGTGGGAGCTAAATGATGAGAACTTATGAACACAAAGGAGGAAACAACAGACACTGGGGTCTACTTGACCCCAGTCATAGTGAGACTCTGTCTCTACAACAAATAGAAAATCCCTTAACCCCAACATAGTGAGACTCTGTCTCTACAGCAAATAGAAAAAATTAGCTGGGTATAGTGGCATGCACCTATAGTACCAGCTACTCATGAGGCTGAGGTGGGAGAATTGCTTGAGCCTGGGGAACTCAAGGTTGCAGTGAGCCATGATCATGCCACCACTCTCAGCAAGACACTGTCTCTTAAAAAAAAAAAAAAAGTCAAACTATAAAAAATACATTCAGAGATGTGTCACTCCTTCTCCTAACTCTTCTATCCCATTACTTTTCCACACTCCTTAGAGATAACCAATTTTATTAATTTCTGTTTTATCCTTCCTGTGTTTCTTTTTGCCAAGATAAGCAAAATGGAATGTTTCATGAGTTTGCATATCACCATGTGCAGAGACCATGCTGTGTGATTATAATTTTAATGTATGTGCTGCTGAAGTGAGCACTTGGTATGTTTTTAACTTGGCTGGAAATAAGAGTAGGTTAAAGTCACAGTAGGACAGTGTGGTAGGTGTTCAAATGAGGGTGAGCATTCCACGGTGAGAGAGGCATTACAGTGCGGTGCATAGGGGCATGGACTTTAGAATCAGATAGGCCTGCTTTCAGTCTTAGCCAGATCACTTATTTACTGGCTGTGTAACATTGGCCAAGGCATTAAACTTTTCTGAGCCTTCTCTCAAGTGGGAATGTTAGCACCTACTTTATAGTATTATTTGGGGGTATAAATATAATGACACGCTTAAAATGTCTGCAGTACTCACAATTAATAGCTAATATTTTAATATTAGTTCTAACAATAAACTATTACATAATTAGGAGAGATCAATGGCAGAAAAATGCATTTTATAGTTTTGTATGGTTCACACAGATGAAACTGGTTTTTTTGTTTGTTTGTTTTTGTAGAGACAAGGTTTTGCCATGCTGCTCAGTTGAGCAGGGCTCAAGTGATCCCTCTCTCTA
This sequence comes from Homo sapiens, assembly GCF_000001405.40. NCBI lineage: Eukaryota > Metazoa > Chordata > Mammalia > Primates > Hominidae > Homo > Homo sapiens. Next base: position 78,089,598 of record NC_000001.11, read on the forward strand.
GGCCTCCCAAAATGCTGGGGTTACAGGGATGAGCCACCATACGTGGCCCAGATGAAACTTTTTAGGTGAAAAAACAACCTACTTAAATGTTCATGATTTTATTATCTAAGTCTCAACATTTCTAAGAACAAAAAGTATATAAATACCTTAATCAGAAAATTAAGAGCATACTTATAACAAAACCTGTATATAGTTAAGGCAGCAGCTGGAAAATGTTTTCTGTAAAGGGCAGATGGTAAATATTTTGTGCTTTGTGGGTTATATGGTCTTTGCTGCAACTACTTAACTAAGCCCATGTAGCACAAAAACAGTTACAGATAATACTTAGATGAATGAGCATGCATGTTTCCCAGTGAGAACTTACTCATAGACACTGTAATTTGAATTTATTATAATTTTCACATCATAAATCTTCTTTTGATTTTTTTCCGAACCATTCAAAAAGGTAAAAACCATTCATAACTCATGGGCCATATAAAAACAGGTGGTGGCCCATGGTGGAGGGTACACATCACCCTGGAGTTCTGCTGTGAGCCATAGTTTGATGACACCTGGTTTAAGAGAATAGACTTGTACTTTAATTAATTAATTAATTTACTTACTTACTTATTTATTGAGACGGAGTCTCACTCTGTCGCCCAGGCTGTAGTGCAGTGGTGTGGTCTTGGCTCACTGCAACCTCTGCCTCCTGGGTTCAAGCGATTCTCCTGCCTCAGCCTCCCGAGTAGCTGGGGTTATAGGAATGTGCCACCATGCCTGGGTAATTTTTGCATTTTTAGTAGAGACAGGGTTTCACCATGTTGGCCAGGCTGGTCTTGAACTCCTGACTTCAGGTGATCTGCCCGCCTCACCCTCCCAAAGTGCTAGGATTACAGGCATGAGCCACCGCACCAAGCTGAGACTTGTACTTTCAAATTTAAAATAAAAATAAGGATTTATAACATGCAATTAAGAAATGAGGCTAAATTGATTTTTAAAAACCCACCTGACTTTGTTTTAAATTGAAATAGTTTGACTAACCACAAAACTGTCATTCTCAGAATATCTCCTTCAGATCTTTATGATTTGCCATACTTTTGCTTTAGTAGAACCACATTTTAGAGTGATCATTTCGAGAAATATGATACTTACATATTTCTAACATTTTACTTGTTCATTTGCCCAAACTAAGAATCAGCAAGACTGGAAATATAGGAAGTCAAGGGGGCAGAGGATTACAGGATGGAAGCTAGGATCTGAGCAGAGGTCTGTGAAGCCAGAATAGACATGATGATTTGTGAAAACAGGTACTGTTTGAGATCTGGAGACCATGATGAGGTGTTGATGAGAAACAGCTTTAGTAGAAATAAGGAAACGGAAAATGGAAAAATAAGGCTGTCAAAAAAAAATTTCAGAGTTCAAAGGTGATAGATTATTTTGGACATTTATAACCCAAAACTTTGTACTTTAGGTCAGAAGACCTTGGGTTCTATACCTTTTTTAAAAACATTTTTAATTTTAAAAATTATGTCACCTCTGTTTAAGACCTAATTCTGTTGTTTATTAGCTGTGTTATCTTGGGCAAGCCATGTAATTATTGTGGCTTAAATTCCTCATTCATTAAATGGAATGATAAATATCCTTTTCCTAGGCTTATTGTGAAGACTAAATGAGATAACTATTTACAACTGTATGACTGTTAGCTTATTATTATGGGCGAGGTTTGAGGACAGTGTTGGAAGGATCAGCAACACAAATCTCAAAGTTGCTGATCATGGCGACTGGACATGTAGCTCAGAGTCTGGTGCTTAAGATTTTAGGGAGAGTGGAGCCGATAAGGCGGCCGCAGGGGCGGAGCCAGGGGCCTTTGCCTGGCTTGGTGGCTGGCTCTACCTTCCCTGTTTTCACCTCCCGCTGCGCTAATGGCTCCCAAAGGCAGCTCCAAACAGCCGTCCGAGGAGGACCTGCTCCTGCAGGATTTCAGCGGCAACCTCTCGGCCAAGTCCTTCGCGATCTTCTTCGGGAATGCGTTCGTCGTGTCTGCCATCCCCATCTGGTTATACTGGAGAATATGGCATATGGATCTTATTCAGTCTGCTGTTTTCTATAGTGTGATGACCCTAGAAAGCACATATTTGGTAGCCTTTGCATACAAGAATGTTAAATTTGTTCTCAAGCACAAAGTAGCACAGAAGAGGGAGGATACTGTTTCCAAAGAAGTGACTAGAAAACTTTCTGAAGCTGATAATAGAAGGATGTCTCGGAAGGAGAAAGATGTAAGAATCTTGTGGAAGAAGAATGAAGTTGCTGATTCTGAAGCTACAACATTTTCCATTTTCTATTAACAACACTCTGTTCCTGTTCTTGGTCATTTTTGCTTCTTCTTCGTTTTGAAGAACTTCAACCCCACAGTGAACTACATTTTGTCCATAAGTGCTTCATCAGGACTCATCGCCCTCCTGTCTACTGGCTCCAAGTAGACCATGTCAGCTTCACCCCCCGGCTTTGTGTCTGTGGGTGGCCTGTGGTATATGGAAAAGTAGCAGGGTGTTCAGGATGGGAGACACACAAGATGTTTTTATAGTCTAGAGCCTTTAAAAAACCCAAGGGAATGTAATTGAAAGGGGAAAAAAAAGATTTTAGGGAGAGTGTATGCTGCCCTAGACTTCTGCTGACATCTGTGATGAGAAGGCAGAATTCTCTAAATATATGGGATGAACATAATGGAAGATATTATAATAATGATCTGAAATGGTTGGAAACCTCTATGTTTAATAATGTAAATCCTATCTTCCAATAAATAAATAAATCTTCTCTACCTTTTGCACCATCAAGCTTCAAAGACAGGTGAAAGTTCCTGAGTGTTATAGAGAATAGTATAAGTAACTCAGTAAATAAAGTATAGCATTAATGCCTCTCTTTTTTCCTTCTTATTCCTTTGCATCTGATTAGTGCCTTTGGCAATATTATTAATCTCTGTCAAGTTATTTTATGATTATCAAAGCACATTAGGTTTCAGAAACTTGTCTCCATTGCTCCCGTATTGTTTATTCTGCCCACTTTGGAGGCTAAGGCTCAGGTAACCCATAAAATATATAATCCATGTCTCCAACTTTGCTTCTTTATCTGGTTCATCTTCTCCAAGTTTCCTATATTGATTTTCCTGTGTCTTCATTCCAGATTCTTATCTGCTGCCTCTGATAGTGAAATGTGCTGTGACTTTTCTCTTGCTACCTGGATTCTCACCCTGCTGTCTGCTCTGACTTCCGGTGACTGCCTTTCTTCCCTCTGGGCACTCTTCTGGTTGCTGAGGCATCTCTAGGATTACTGAAGTGACTCATGGGCCTCTGCAACCCTAGATTTCTGTTACTCTGACCTTTAATTCCCTGGTGAGATTCAGGTGTGTCTTCAAAGTCTTTAACTTTTATATAATGCTTATTTTAAATAAAATTGTAACTCTAAATCTTAAGCTAAAAATACTGTGTGGTGAGACTCTGAAATTTGTATGGTGTAGTTGACCAAATAAAAAAATAAATTCAAGATGTATCAAGAGATAAATTAGAATAAAAACTAAGAAAAAAAATCAAAGTATAGATTATTGAATTCTTTGATGAATTATGAATTGTGTAAAATATTTAATAGTTTTTTCTTCTTTAGACTCTAGTCTTTTCTTTAATCTTGTTTATTTTTCTATGACAGTTGAGAAACTCTAGTTGTACTGAGTGATTCCCATTGTTTCTGTTAGCGATATAAGTTTAATATGGGTTTCTAATAAAATAATGTTGGTAGATTATGAAACTTCTGGTATCTTTGTTTAACTATTTCTAATGACAGTGAGCTCTGTTTAAATTGGCATTATTGTGACATTTGCATATAGCATGTTAACAGCCACTATTAGAATGAATGAACATAGCAATATTCTTAAAATTTGGGATAAAAGAGAAATCTATTTTGAGTTTTGATTTATAATAATGCAATTTAAACATTAAAAATGCTTAACCTTCCTAAGTTATTCTTGTTCCTGATGACAATATGACGGAGATGCTGGAGGTAGTTGAGATCAGTTTTCTCCTAGCTCTTGGACACAATGATCAATCACCCTGCTGATTCAGAAGATGTTATACTTCCACCTAGCAAGGGTAAAGAATACACAACCTTTATTACACAATAGCAGCCACTCCTGATATTGCTATCATTCCTATGAAGGATTTGGGACTTCTGAGACAGATTATGGCCTTCATTTTGCCTCATTCCTCATCACTGTGGAAGAACTTGTACATCCTCTGCAGGGCTGTTTTCTGCAATTCTGGAAGATTTTTCTGGAGCTCCTGCCCCTAAAATCCTTTCAGAAATTCTTGGTGCCATCTTGGGAATACTAGATACCATTTTGATACTTTACCCTACAGATGTATTGTAGAGAAGTAAGATAGATTTAAGAAAGACCAACTTGAAGTTTCTCCTTGGGGTCCTACATTCTGTTCATCTAAAATACATAAATGAAAAACAATAGCATCAAATCACCCTTACTGGCTCCCAAAATGATAACCATACTTATCTTTTATTGGGTATCAGGCGTCTTAGCTAAGATGGTATTATTCTTTGTGTCTTTGCATCTGTAACTAAATGCAGCCAATTGAAAAAGCTCAAGCTCTATTCTTATGTGATGGGCCTCAATTGAAATGATTCAGTAATCACTAATGAAGGGACTTTGCAGATATTGTGCTAGGCACAGACATGCAGTAGTGAATAAGACCATCTCTGTCCTCAAGGATATTAGTTTAGTAATGGAGACTGAGAAGTAAATGAACAATCGCACTGTGGTATGTTGAATCTGGCAAATTACTTGATCTTCTGAAGCTTTAATCTTCCTGACCTGTGACATGAGAATCTCATAAAGGTTGTTAGAATTAAATGAAATAACAAATGTAAAGTGCTTAGTTTAGAATTCAGCATATACAGCAAAACGTACTGTAGAAGCATGAGAGTGGCACCTTACCCATTCTTGGTGGAGTGGGTTGGGAATGTCAGGAAAAGCTTCCCAGAGGAGGTGGTGTATGAGTGAGCTGAATTCTGAATGATAAGGAAGACGAAGAATGGTTGGAGGTAAGATAGTGGTTCTTGGTTGCTCAGTCTTCCATCTCTAACTGAGCATCAGACTGCATTGTTATGTCAATACATTGTATTTAATGTCTCAAAAGCATAAAAAGTACTGTTACACAGTTTTTTTTTAAACCTGTAGCATCTGATATTCCCAGGCAGTCTCCCATCCAAGTACTAACCAGGCCCAAACCTGCTTAGCTTCCAAGATCAGATGAGATTGGTGCATTCATTACACAGTTCTATTTTATATTATGTTATCATCAATTTCCTTTCAGAGAATTAAAGATGGTGGTGTTATTGACTCAGTTAAAACAATCTGTGTTGGGGATCATATTGAATCCATAAATGGAGAAAATATTGTTGGGTGGCGTCACTATGATGTTGCTAAGAAGTTAAAGGAATTAAAAAAGGAGGAACTCTTTACTATGAAGTTAATAGAACCTAAGAAGGCATTTGGTAAGTCAGGGGTTGGTGGGCGGGTGTGTGAAATGTTTGCTTTCCCTGGTTTATCTTTCTAAGGGAAATGAGTACTGTGATATGGTGCTATGTGCTTTTAGTGTCTTCTTATCTAACATATCAGTTAAAAACATAGAAAATGGTAGCACTACTTATAAGAAAGACAACTATTGAAGGAAGAAAAAAGAGAAAATTATTGCCTTGTAAAAGGACATTTTCCAAACATTTGAAATTACAAAGTCTAATGTCTAGTGACTGAATTTGATGTGGCTGTTCCTATCTCTGAGAACAGCACATTGTATTGTTTTCATTTTGCTGAGCAGTAAGATTTTTGACTGAGCTTTTAAACCATAATAACTGTTGCTCATGGATCTCAGCAGCAAAAATTATAGTTATATACAGAATGGTATTTAAAATAGTTATCTAGTCCATTTTAAAGACCCCCTTCCCCAATACCTTTCCTCCATTGGCATTTTGAATTTGGCAGCATGGGATGGTATGAAATTATTTCCACTTTGGGGTGACATCTGTACTTGCTTGGTTTTAGCCATGACAGCTGTATTCCAACTGTTGTTCAATCACCCAGGGCTATCTCATCTACAGAAAAATGTGCCAGCTTCTCTCTTACCACCCAGAACTATTTTAATAAGCCAAACCAAGGCCTAGCATTCATCAGCGTTAAAATATCTGTAGCAGAATCATCTCAGGCTTGCTGTTACTCATCATGACCCCACGCACCCTATGTTCTTTCCTTTGTTCACAGAACATAAATATTCCATTTAGTTTGTCTCTAATGCCATTTTCTCAGGGCAGTTATTGGAAATAATGGAAGAATGCAGTGGATCTGGGGAATTATGTTTTCTGTGTCTTAGCAAGTAAGTGACAGGTCCTAGGCATGTGGAATTAGAATTTTTTCTCTGCTTCTACATGCTTCTGCACCATTTAACAGAAATACAAGTGTAGGTTATATTACCTGTGGGAGGCAGTTTTCCAGAAGGTGTAAGAAAAAGATGCCTTATACCAGTACCTCCTGGAGGGAGCACTCTAGGAACTACCTCTGTAGATGCTGTGATTCTGCCTGGTGCCTTGCAGCATCTGAGCTCACTTCTCACAGAGGAAGGAAAGCAGCACTCAGGTTTCTATCCAGTAACTCCTTTCAAGATGGCTTCATTTGGTAACCTAACTCCCCAGATAGCATGGTGAAATAAATTGACAGGGTGTAGATGGTTTGAGATAAATATTCTTATTTGATTTAGACTCTTTGTAAATCAAAGCCATTCTATTAGCATAACTCAAGAAATCTATTTTTTTCTGTATTGATCTCCACTACATAATCTGTTTCCAGAGTAAATTTTTCTGTTTTTTTTTTTTTTCCCATTGTCTGCATCTAGATCTTTTGGTCCTCATGTCTTTGTAGAAAGTTATTGATATACCTTAACTTGGATGCTAGGTTGGTGATAGTCTTAAATGTTGCAAAGGTCGTTGTATTTAGCTATTATTGTTCCATGATTAGATTTTCCCTTCAGTGTTGTAGACATGAGTAGAGTCAGTATACTTCACTGCCTTATGTACCTAACTACTATTGAACCGGCTGTTGCCTCATGAAATCAATGGACACATTTGCAAAGTACCCTGAGTAGGATTTTCCTAATAGAGGTATATTATTTGAGCATCCTGAATTCTGGTAGGGCTGTTGGTTAGAACATCCAGAGATTGACTTTGGAGGAATAAGTTTTTATTTTCCAAGGTTTCTATGGAAGTTTAACTCAAGCTGCTGGTCTTTATGCATTTTCTGTGCTGTGGATTGATTCTTGACTCTGGGCCCTAGTGTGAGGGGTTTCTTTCTTAAAAGTAAGCCTGGCTGCTCTGCCTGTCCTCCAGCCCTGAATTTTTCTGCTTATTGTTTTGCCTCTGGGATAAAGACAAAGCTACTTTGTTTTTCATCCTTTGGCTTCGTCCCAGTGCTTAGCTCTTTGCCAGAGAGGGGAGCATATATCAGGGGGTACTTGGGGAATCAGGCTTCCCCCAATTCTCTTGGTTCTAATCTTATCTTTTGCTATGTTTCCTTTCTTTTTTTCCTGTATTTTCTGGCATTATTATTGACTCAGGGCCAAGAATTCAAATTTCATAGTCCTTCATGATTGTCTGATTCTCTGTCCTCTTGGATTTCTACCAGGAGAAGGGCCAGTCTTAGTGAGGCAGAGTTTTCTCTGCATTCAGATAGGCCACCTTGGCTGTAGCTAAGTCACTTATAGGATTTTAACAAAAGCTGTCAGAAATGGCTATATACACCAATATTTTGACATTTTCCTACCAACTTCCCTAAAGACTTAGCCTGGAGAGGCATGTGGACTATATCCCAAAACACAAGAGGAAGGAGCATAGTTGGCTGCTTTGCAATGGCGTAACTAGGACTGCAAGCACCACTTCTTTGTAGTGGTTAGGGAAATCCTTTCTGCCTGCCTTCATTTCCATATTTTAGGTCCACCACTAGCTACACTCCACTTCCAGGGGCCATTATATGTGTTAATATTCTTTGATGGAGAGCTACGTAATAAACACTGTCTAATTTCAGGAGAAGGCATTTATTAGAGACTACCATGTAGGTCCCAGAAACAGTCAATTGAGCCTTGACAAGGTCAGGAACCAAGCCTGTTTCAGGGGTGTGTGTACCAGGAACCATTCATGGCACTGGCTGAATTGACTCTTGGCAATTATTTTCTGTTTTCATATCACTTCACTCAGGATTCAAATTCCTGGGAGAGGTGGAGCAAGTAAGTAGGTCTTGTACCCATCTTGATAATGGGGAAGGCAGGCTATATGATACACCTACCAAAATCACACATAACATGAAGGGATAAATTTCCTTATAGGTAGGAAAAAAGTAGCAGATGCCCATTTTGCTATTTCTTCTAAGCTGTTATATCTTGTTCTGCAGCCACAGCAGTATTGATTTTCTCTTGATTTTGAATCTGACTGTAGCCATGTATGATATCTGTCAGTCTGGGAGTATTGGAATGGATTTGGAGGGAGAAGCGTATTGTCAATTGTTGTGGGTGTTTGACCTTAAGGATTTTATTTTTCTGCTATGAGTTGGGTGCCACATACATAGCTGTTTGGCAGTGGACTATCTAGAGATGATGACAGCATCCAACTTTCTTTCAGAGAAAGAGTAAAGTCACATTTTCCTTGGTGCTGGCCATCAGATTTGGAGGGGACCAATTTTGACTATACTTACCAATTTTGACTATACTTAACAATTTTGACTATAATTACCAATTTTGACTATACTTCTAGGAAGATTTTTAATTATCTGTAAATTATTTTTAATTTATCTATCTCACAAATTATTTTTAAATTATCTATCTCACAAATTATTGAGACTCTTCTGTGTTTCAGGTACTCTGTGTGGCATAGAAAATACTAAGGAGGAAGACTAAGTTATGGCTCCTGCCTTTCGAGGAGCTCATGGTCTAACAGGAGGCTGTTATGGGCTGAATTGTGTCCTTCAAAATTCACATGTTGAAGTCCTAATCTTCACTACCTTAGAATGCAACTGGATTTGTAGATAGGGGCTTTAAAGATGTAACTAGGTTAAAATGACATCATTTGGGTGGGCCCTAATCCAATATGACTGGTGTACTTATTAGAAGAGGAAATTTAGACACAGACACAGGGAGGATGCCATTTGAACATGAAGATAACTATCTATCTGTAAGTCAAGGAGAGAGGCCTCAAAAGAAACCAACCCTAGAGAAACCTTGATCCTGAACTTCTGGCCTCTAGAACTCTGAGAAAATAAATTTCTATTGTTTAAGCCACCTAGTCTATGGTACTTTGTTATGGCAGCACTAGGAAATTATAGAGGATAATAGGAAAAAAATTACAGTACCAGTTCTTTGACTATGGAAGTAGACCTTGGGCTTCCTAATAATCTAGAAGGTACAGGTATTTTAGCATTCCTCTGGCCTTGGGAAGATAGCAAGAGCATACTAATATGTTTCCATTCAGACATTTGTTGAGTAATTAGTATATGCTTGTCTTAGGGTATTAGTTGCCCTAGACAATAATAGTTACCATTTATTGAAAGCCTACTGTATACCATCACCATACCACCTGCTTGGTACATGCATGAATAAGATCCAGATCTAGGAACTCATGTCTAGTGAGAAGAGATGGATATGAAAAAAATAAATAAATTTAATAAAGGCGATTAGAGGTGCTAAAATATACTGGATGTGTAAAGGTGGGAGACATCAAGTGTGCTTAAGAAGTTCAGGAAAAGCTTTCTTTTCTTTTCTTTTCTCTTTCTTTTTTTTTTTTTGAGACGGAGTTTTGCTCTGTTGCCCGGGATGGAGTACAGTGGCACGATCTCAGCTCACTGCAACTTCCGCCTCCCAGGTTCAAGCGATTCTCCTGCCTCAGCCTCCCGAGTAGCTGGGACTACAGGCACGTGCCACCGTGCTCGGCTAATTTTTTGTATTTTTAGTAGAGACAGGGTTTCATTGTGTTAGCCAGGATGGTCTCAATCTCCTGACCTCGTGATCTGCCCACCTCGGCCTCCCAAAGTGCTAGGATTACAGGCGTGAGTCACTGCGCCCAGCCAGGAAAAGCTTTCTAAGGAAAGAGATTTGAGTTGAGTCTGAAGGTATGAATGGTGCTTACTTAGTGGATGAATTGGGGAAGGTTGTCCTAGGAAGTGGGAACAGAATAAGCAAAGTTACAGAGGTACAGAATAGCATCATGTATTTGGGAACACCTTGTTTGCCAGTGTTTTTGGTTAGAGGTTATAGGTGGTGGCGTCACAGGAAATGAAGCTCAAGAGTCAGTAGAGAACAAATATATCAAGGGCCTTATATATGAAGACAAAGACTGGGCAATGAAGAGGCAGAGGGGTAACATGGTGAGTCTTTAATTTTACAAAGATATTTTGGAGACTGTTAGATAAAGGGATATAAGATAGAGTTTAGGAGATCATAAATGTTCTATTAACAATAATAGCTATAATTTGTTCAGTGTGAGAGACATGAATTAAGGCAGTGCCTGTAGGCATGAAGAGAAGAGAAATGGTTTGGAGGAATAGATGGTGGTGTGCTGGAGCCATTTGTACACATCTCTTCCCAACTCCTCCTTCATTGACATCAGGTTAATTGTTTTAAATGAGCTATAATGGGATATTTATAAAAGAGAAATAGGTAAGCCCTGTAAGTCAGGGCTCTTTATTTTAATTTTTTTAGTGCAGAGAGCTGATTGTTAAATGTACCTGCACACCACTGAATAATAAGATTGAATTGGTAACCTGTTGGACATAGAAGTAAAGGAAGGAGAGACTGCAAATGATGACCTCAGATTTGTGGCTTCAGGGAGGGAGTATGCTGTCATTCTTTGAGATGAGGAAAGCTGGCAAAGAAATAGATATGGGCGAGGAGATAGGATAGGAAAGAAATTATAAATACAATTTTGGACTAAATGAATTTGAAATCTGTGGAACGATTCAGTTAGACTTGTACAAAAGGGCTGGGTGCGGTGGTTCACTCCTATAATCCCAGCCCTTTGGGAGGTTGAGGAGGGAGGGTCACTTGAGGTCGGGAGTTTGAGACCAGCCTGGCCAATGTGGTGAAACCCTGTCTCTACTAAAAATACAAGAATTAGCTGGAAATGGTGGCAAGCACCTCTAGTCTCAGTTGCTCGGGAGGCTGAGGCAGGAGAATCACTTGAATCTGGGAGGTGGGGGTTGCAGTGAGCTGAGATCACGCCACTGCACTCCAGCCTGGGCAACAGAGTGAGACCCTGTCAAAAAAAAAAAAATACACACACACACACACACACACACACACACACACACACACATACACACGAGGTAGATGAGCATTGATAATTGGGGCCTAGAGAATGAGATTTATGAGTAATTTTCTTTGATTGGTCGCAGAAGCTATGGAAATAGATTCAATCACTGAGAGTGATAAAAGGACCAAAAACAGAGCAGTGAGGGGAACATCAGCATTTAAGGGGCAGAAAGAGAAGGAGGAGCCAGCACTGAGGAATGGCCAGACATGGAGGACCTGGCCTTCTGGGTAGCCTTTATCCAAGTACTCAAGATCAAGTCACTTGTCCCACGAGCAGATGTTCCATTGCACTTTCCCAAGTTGGCTGTGGGGCTCTGAGGGAGGAATAAAGGCCATTAGAAAATGTACCCTCAGAATCTTCTGTGCTGGTCAGAATTTAAATTACTGTTTTTCAACCAGTAGGTTTCAACCAGTGTGTTTAGAACACAAAGTAGAATAGAGTTGAAAATATTGTGCTTTGTACATTGCAAATATTGTTTCAGTTACAAATAAATATGTGTATTTCAGTTTTATTATCTTTGTGTATATTTATGGGTCATGATATAACGTATGTATTTTTTACTGTGGGTCACAGAAAAAAACATTTGAAAGCCACTGGCTTAAATGACTCCCTTGTTGAAAGTTTGTAGTTGAATGGGAAATCTTTCCCATACTTAACATGGTTCCCCCTGGTCAGCTGGTTACTGATTCAAATTTTCCTTGTTCTAGCCATGAGCTGATGGCAGCATTCCCAGTCCTTATCAAGTATCGGCTGGAATGTCTGTAGTGGTATTTTTTAGGGCATGGCTCACTTCCTTTCTCCTTTTGCCAATGAAAAGGAGCATGGCTTTACAATGAGCTCAACCTTGCAGAGTTTGCCCTGTAAACCTAGATTTTCCCAAGGCCATGAAAATCCCTCTTCCATTTAAATGACTCTAAGACCAGACAAGACCAACTCATTTGTTTTCCTATAAGGTCTTTTAAATGCAGAAAAAGAACAAATCCATAAAGCTTTGATTTGGTTTTACTTAAATGAGTCTCGACTTCATTTATCCTGCAAATTTCCAATTTGTGATTCTTGCGTGCCCTTTATGGAAAGAGGTTTGAGGAAGGAGGCCTGAAATATTTCTGTAAGAGTTTTCAAAAGCAGGAAGAAAATTGGAAGAAGAAACTTACCTCCTAAAGCATTTATGGTCTTTATTTTAGGGTTGGATTTTGTAACAGATCATTGGGTTATATCTTCTTTTAGAAGATTCATTTCTGTGCGGTGTATCCATCAGAATAGGATGTTAAGTATGTGAAGTGCATCTTAGTCTTTTGAGTCATTCACAGCTGGAAAACTCGGACCTCATCTTCGTGATTCAGCTTAACTGATGTACTCACTTCAAAGGCTAAGCCTATTTGATATTAAGAGATAAACTGTGGCTTTTAAGTTTTATATGACTTTTTGGATAGACATTTCAAACATTTAAAAATTACTTTTTATTATTCATGCTGTATCTAGGGAAAAAATTTCAATCAATTAATACTTTTGGTACCTTTTCATATATACTGAATTCTACAAAATATATTTGGGAATATGAAAAAAGTTACAAAAGAGATGATAAATTTCAGTAGTTAAGTGTGTAGTCTCTGCCAGGGACTGGCTTATGATATGTGACATTGGGTAAGTTATTTAACCTTTCTGTGCCTTGGTCTCCTCATACAAAATGTGAAGATGTGTCTACCACATTGAGCTGTTGTGAGGATTAAATGATTAAACATGAAAGAATCATAGAGCAGTCCCTGGTATATAGTAAGTCTTCAATAAGTTATCTGTTATTATTACTATTATTATAAAGGTGTATCCTTTTCTTTAAGGAATAATTTTAGAAACAAGATAAACCCACTGAAACAGGAAAAGCAATGTGGATGAATTGGTGATCAACAAGTATTTGTTGAGAACTCTGGCACTGTTTGGATTCTGGAAAGACAGATGGCAATATCACATCTCATATCAACTAAGGAAATATGTCAGTACATCATAATAGTAGCTGCCATTCGCTTTTCCTAGGACTTTCTAAGTAGGAAATCATTTAGTCCTTACAACCAACCTAAAAGGTGAAGCAGTTTGCCCAAGGTTACAGCTAGTGAGCGAGGGAGGCACACTTCTAAACCAAGCAGTCAGCCTCCAGAGCCAGCTCTCTAACAGCTGTTACAGTGAGTCAACATGCTTGCTGTCCTCAGGGAACTTACAGTTTACATAAAGAGGCAGATACATTAAGAATCAAGTAATTCTACTAACAATAATAGCTACCATTTGTTGAATGAAATATAGTATAGCAGTGAAGAGCATAGACTGTGAGCTCAGTTACTTAGGTTTGATTCCTATCTTTGCTGCTTTTAAACTGTGTGATTTGGGGTGTTATTTAACCCCTCTATAAGCCTGTTTACTTACCCATAAAGTATTTTGAGGATGAAATGAGTTAATGTATGTATGTGCTTAGAACAGTGTTATGTAATTGCAACCCATTGTGACTAGGACTACTGCTATTATGGCCTGACTTAATAATCCTCATGCCATTCCTATGAGGGTTTTTCAGCTAGGTAAACTGAGGCTTGGGCAGTTAATTCATTAAGACTGCCCAGTGGCAGGCGTAAGTGTGGGCATAGCACTCCAGTCCTGTTTGCTCTCGAGGCTTGTGCTCTGAACATTATGTGTTACTGCTTCTTCAGAACATAATGCAGACCATGATGCATGCTATAGTGCAGATTTAAAGAGTGAAGTTTATCTGAGCGCTGACTTGTCCATGATTGGGAGGGGTTCTAAGGCTTAGAGAGTGATAGGGATTGAGAGGTAGTAAGATTGGAAAGAAACTCCCTCAACAAAGAAAGCTATGAGACAGGTGATTTATGGCAGGTCCCACCAGTAACAGGGATCAATGTCCTGTTCTCATGAAAGGCGACAGGACATCTGATAGAATGGCATAAGGATATTAGAGCTTTTAAGTGCTGTGGCTTTGCGATCTCAGGTGAAAGGCCCTTGTACACACTGGGTGTGGGTGTGGGGGTGGCCTGTGAGTGCACACACTGACTTGGACGTAGAGCTTCATGGTCTGGTCTATGATGGACAGAGTGCAGCATCAGCCTTTTGAAGCCTGGGAGATGGGGAGAGGCCTTCAAAGCAAAACCAAGAGTAAATTTCTCACCAAACCTGTGCCATGCCAGTGGTGTGTAGAGGGGGGAGAGGGGGCCGGGGGTGGTGCTCAAAGTCAGATTCAATTAGGCATTTCTTACATTCAGAATTGTGGAGTAAAATTTAAAAGCCACTACAGAAATCTGTAGCAAATCAGGCTGCAAAAGCCGCTCAGGACCCTATTAATAAGAGCTCTGAAAACTCTTATTTTTCAGAGCTCTTATTAATAGCTCTGGGTTCTGGTGGGGAACCCAGGCTTGTTTTACAGAGTAATAGGGAATCATTTAGATGATATTAGAACTGAAGAATGACATGATGAAGCAGATATTTGGGAATTAAGCCCAGGAGACCAATGTGGCTATATATGACTAGAGGATAAACCATGTAAGAGGCTGTTGGAACAGTTCAGGAGGAAATGATCAGGACTGGGATTAGGGGCAGCAGTGGGAATTCAAAGGAAATAAAAAGTGTGAGTAATATTGTAAGGGTAAAAATGGGGTAGGAGGTGGATTGATGACACTTAGCTAAAGGGGAGAAGGGAGAAGGTTCAGAAGCAAATGTCACTCCCAAGATTTCTATCCTAGGAGCCTGTGATAACAATGATGCTATAATTGGAAATGATGCAGTTGGGATGTAGAAATGGTTTGGGGGACAGTCAGGGATAAAAGTTCAGTTTCAGGTGTATTGCATTTTATCTGACAGTGATACTCTCTTTCATGTATTTTTTGGCAAAGTAAGTGTACACAGTGACAGATTTTGAGGGGCAGAGCATACTGTCGATCATCTTATTATGTAGTAGAGTTTTTCCTGGCCTCTTCGTATCTAGCTACACTTTGGCTTAGCATTTGTCACAAAGATACTATGGGAGAAGATGAATAAAAAAATCCAAGTTCCCTTTTGTGGAGTGTCACAGATGTGTTAGACAAGTGCTGAGTGTAATTGATAAATTGGTTTTCAAGGTAGAGACCCAGCTGGATACCTAAATATAGATCCTTTCTACTCTAGTTGTAAACTTGCATTAAAATTTTTTTTATCGAATGCTCAGTTTTTAATCTGAGAAAAATGAAATTATTATAATCTATAATACTAAAAACTTTGTAAGCTATATTTTTCAAGACATTTACCCTAAACAGTGATTGATGTCTTGTAACTGTAATTTTTTTTTTTTTTTTTGAGATGGAGTCTCACTGTGTCACCAGGCTGGAGTGCAGTGGTGCGATCTCAGCTCACTGCAACCTCCGCCTCCTGGGTTCAAGCCATTCTCCTGCCTCAGCCTCCTGAGTAGCTGGGACTACAGACACGCACCACCACGTCCAGCTAATTTTTTGTATTTTTAGTAGAGACGGGGTTTCACCATGTTGGCCAAGATGGTCTCAATCTTTTGACCTCGTGATCCGCCCACCTCGGCCTCCCAAAGTGCTGGGATTACAGGCATGAGCCACCTTGCCCGACCAGAACCGTAATGTTTTTTAAGGACCATTTAGAGTTAATAACAACCATGAATAGGAGGTACATAATAGTTTTCAACTGTTTTTAAGCTTATTAATTAAAACAGCAATGTGAGATGAAGGGGTAAAAAATGATGCTTAAATGTAAGTGGCTTTTCTAATCTGAATAGTATGACTATAATGTTATTTATTAGAAAACAGCAATTATATAAATAATACATATTCTCCCCAAGAGTATTTTTACAACGGGAATTGTCATTTAATTATAGGAAAATGGATCTAATAAATTATGTTAAAAATCGTAGTCAGAGTATGTTTTCAGATAAGTTAGGCAGATAAGCAATTTGATTTATGTGTGGAAAAATGTTTGTGAGGCTGGGCGCGGTGGCTCATGCTTGTAATCCCAGCACTTTGGAGGCTGAGGTGGGCGGATCACCTGAGGTCAGGAGTTTGAGACAGCCTGGCTATTATGGTGAAATCCCCTCTCTACTAAAAATGCAAAAAATTAGCCGGGCATAGTGGCAGTCTCCTGTAATTCCAGCTACTTGGGAGGCTGAGGCAGGAGAATCGCTTGAACCTGGGAGGCGGAGGTTGCAATGAGCTGAGATCGCGCCACTGCATTCCAGCCTGGGTGACAGAGTAAGACTCTGTCTCAAAAAAAAAAAAAAAAAGAAAAAAATGTGAAAAGGCAGATTACGGCAGGGTGTGGTGGCTCACGCCTGTAATCCCAGCACTTTGGGAGGCCGAGATGGGCGGATCACGAGGTCAGGAGATTGAGACCATCCTGGCGAACACTGTTAAACACCATCTCTACTAAAAATACAAAAAAATTAGCCAGGCATGGTGGCAGGCGCCTGTAGTCCCAGCTACTTGGAAGGATGAGGCAGGAGAATGGCATGAACCCAGGGGGCGGGGCTTGCAGTGAGCAGAGATCGCACCACTGCACTCCAGCCTGGGCAACAGAGCAAGACTCCATCTCAAAAACAAAACAAAACAAAACAAAACAAAAACAGATTACAACACAACGTGCTGTAATATCCCAGTTTTGCAAAAACTTTTTAAGTGTAGAAGAAAAATACCTTACAGTGGATTTTTAATTTTATTTATTTATTTATTTGAGACAGAGTTTCGTTCTTGTTGCCCAGGGTGGAGTGTGATGGTGCTATCTCGGCTCTCTGCAACCTCTGTTGCCCAGGTTCAAGTGATTCTCCTGCTTCAGCCTCCCAAGTAGCTGGGATTACAGGCATGTACCACCATGACTAATTTTGTATTTTTAGTAGAGGCAGGGTTTCTCCATGTTGGTCAGGCTGGTCTCGAACTCGCGACCTCAGGTGATCCACCTGCCTCGGCCTCCCAAGGTGCTGGGATTACAGGCATGAGCCACTGTGCCCGGCCTAGGTGGCGAGTTTATGGACGGCTTTTCTTTCTCTTTCCTTTTAATTTCTTCTCCCTCCCTCCCTCCCTTCCCTTCCTTCCTTCCTTACTCTCCCTCCCTCTCTTTCTCCCTCCCTCTTTCCCTCCCTTTCTTTCCCTACCTTTTTCCTTTTCTTTCCCTCCTTCCCTCTCTCCCTTGCTCTCCCCCTTGCTCCCTCCCTCCCTCCTTCCAGGGTCTCACTCTCTGAGGGTGGAGTGCAGTAGTGCAGTCACAGTTCACTGCAGGGCTCAAAAGATCCTCCCACTTCAGCCTCCCAAGTAGCTGAGACCACAGGTGCAGGCCACCAACCTAGCGAATTTTTCAGTGTTTTGTAGAGATGGGATCTCACTCCTTTGCCCAGGCTGGTCTTGAACTCCTGGGCTCAAGCAGTATGCCAGCCTTGGCCTCCCAAAGTGTTAGGATTACAGGCATGACCTACCATGCCCGGCTGACTTTTTTTCTTTAGGCTTATATTTTCCACATTTTAAATATAAAACAAACACATTAACTTTCATAACAAGAAAACAATTATTTTAAAAAGGAAGGCTGGCCAAGTGTGGTGGCTCATGCCTGTAATTTCAGCACTTTGGGAGGCTGGGGCAAGCAGATAACTTGAGGTCAGGAGTTCGAGACCAGCCTGGCTAACAGGGTGAAACCCCATCTCTTCTAAAAATATAAAAATTAGCCGAACATGGTGGCACGCACCTGTAATTCCAGCTACTGGGGAGGCTGAGGCATGAGAATCACTTGAACCTGGGAGGTGGAGGTTGCAGTGAGCTGAGATGGTGCCAACGCACTTCAGCCTGGGCAACAGAGTGAAACTCTGTCTCAAAAAAAAAAAAAAAAAAAAAAAAAAAAAAAAAGAGCTAGCATTCTAGGAAGTAGAAGAAACTTATTCTACGTATTGTAGCTTTACAGTTTTCAACTATATGATGCTCCTCATTAAACAATTTTATTATAAATAGTTCCATGTGAGAAATGTGGTAGAATATGTTATCAACTCTTTACATTTGCAGGATCTGTTTTGGTAACTATTTTTCTTAACTTTGTAAAGTCTAGGGGGAAGGTCCAGGCTGTGTAATAAACCAGTAATAAAGGTGAACAATAATTTTTATTTCTTGAATTCCCATGATAAAATCATATTATAGGGTAAAATAAGTGAAAGGATAAAACGAAATATTTTAGCTATCATTCTTTGTTAAAAGAACGACCTTTTACCTTTCCAAATTAGAGTCTAGAGGTTTGTAATCTTTTTTTGTAACACAGTCTCCTCTGGATTAAAGGTATGAACTTTTTCCCCAGAGATGCACATTAACTTGTGCCTGCAATTTCAGGGAGTTATGAAAACAGCGTTGGGGCTTTCTTAAATGACATCTTAACTAAAGAACAAGAAGATTTCTGGCACAGTTATTGCACTTCTGATATGCATCACACCCTGTTCTGTCTTATCGACGGAATGGTTGAGCCACCTTTGTGTGCTTGTGGGGTTCATTCATATGTGGGCAGCTCTTTTGATCCAATAGACAACAACTGACACCTTCATGCAGGTGGCATCAGTATATGCCTCCTTTTCCTTGCCTTTGGTCTGTCTCAGCACCCTACTAATTGTATTTTTTTAAAGCCTATTCTAAAGAAGCTTCAGAAATATTGGAGAGAGGAAGGATGCAGGGAGAAAGGGAGTGTCGTTAAAATCTTAAATTCTGAGACACAAGCTAGATTTTGTGTCAGCTATCCTGAGGAGTGTGTACATAGGTTGTGGGTGAATGTGGGGTAGGGAGCATGTGTTTATGGACAATGCTGTTGGTATGTATCTAAGCATTGGAAGGTCTTTTCAGATGGGTTGCCTCATTACTTGGACAGAATTCTTTATCTGTGAGGTTTCTTTCATTTGGAGACCATGGTAAACCCTACTAAACTGGCTTAAGCAGAAACGGGAATTGTACAAACCAGCAGTCCATGAGTGATGCTGGCATTAGCAAAGCTCTGTGTGGGGCCCATACAATGTGACTAGGACTCAGTTCCTTGCCTTTTCTCTCTTCTGATGTCCTGTCTGATGTACCTGATTCATCATTTAGGTATCATCATATTAAGGTTAGCTCCACACTGTGTCCCAAGATGGTGGTCAGCAACTGCTGGGACCATCTGCTTTCTTATTCATGCAGAGCAGAAAAGGAGAGAGACTTTGGCTCAGAATTTCTAGCAAAAGTCCTGAGATTTATTCTGACCTTGCGGCCTTTAGTCACATGCTTGCCTCTGAAACAATCACTGTGATGAAGGGGATCAGTTTGGCTTAGCCCATTCTTGTGTCCCATATCTGAAGCTAGGAGCAGTCAGCTTCCCCTGATCCGCAGTGATCCTTAAATGACCAATGGGTGCTAAAACAACCAATGAGAGTTATTTACCAATGGCAACTCATAACTTTTAATAGAATGCAAAATGAGGTAGTGTTTCTAGGGTGGACCTGCCTGGCCTTTTATTCCAGCTCTGCCCACTTACCTGGTTGTCTGTGATCCTGGTGAAATCATTTCACTTTTCCAAGCCTTGGTTTCCTGAATCATGAAATTAGGATAATAATCATACCTATCTCATAATAGTTTTATGAGTATTAAAAACATGTAGATAATTTTATATGCTGTTACCTGGGATATAGTCAATGCTTGGTTAATAAAAAGGCATTACCTTTGACTTACCCCAAATAATTTACCTTGACTATCCCTAGATGAATATAGTGTGTTTTTTTTTCTTTTGAAATAAAATTGGTCTTGAAGAATAATGCTAGTTTAGAACCAACTCAAATGTCCAACAATGATAGACTGGATTAAGAAAATGTGGCACATATACACCATGGAATACTATGCAGCCATAAAAAATGATGAGTTCATGTCCTTTGTAGGGACGTGGATGAAGCTAGAAACCATCATTCTCAGCAAACTGTCGCAAGGACAAAACACCAAACACTGCATGTTCTCACTCGTAGGTGGGAATTGAACAATGAGAACCCATGGACACAGGAAGGGGAACTTCACACACGGGGGCCTGTTGTGGGGTGGGGGAAGGGGGAGGGATAGCATTAGGAGATATACCTAATGTAAATGACGAGTTAATGGGTGCAGCACACCAACATGGCACATGTATGCATATGTAACTAACCTGCACGTTGTGCACATGTAACCTAAAACTTAAAGTAAAAAAAAAAAAAGAAACAGCCTATAATGCTTGATAGGTAGCCATCTGTAGAGGGAACCTCTATACCTTGAGAGATATCTGAAAATGGGGGCAGAAAGCCACAAAGCCCAGGTAGAGCTGTTGACTCTAATTATTATTGCTTTGTAGAAATGTGTCATTCTCCAAGAGAAACCAAAAATTTGAATTTTTATGAGAAATCACCCAATATTTAAAAGGTTGCAACTAATTAAAAAATTTGAAAACACTGCACATCCAACAAATATGTCTGTATACTATATGTAACTGTGAACTCCCTGTTTGTAGTCTTGTCCTGAGAGAATTGTCCTTAATGCCAAAGTCCTTTGCTCTGGTGACATGCACACTAAACCTCTCAGGTAACCCTGTGAGTAGAAAACTTCAAAGGAATCATTTCTGGAAGGGATAGAGAACGAATGAACTGAGAGTTGCCTAGGTGGGAGGGACTTGGAAATGTAACCTCTCCATTCATCGCTTTTGGAATCTTTGAACTTGCTGAACTATATAGCCTGGAACACTTTCCTCTCTCTACTCCTCCCCTTTACCCATCTAGCCTTGCTGTCTTTACCTGTGATGGTTGAGTCTCTGCTTATGAATCACTTTCTCCAGGAAGTCTCAGGCATGTGAGAATGAAGCATGGGAGCCCACTTGGGCCTTTGATAACATCTCTCCCTATGGATTAATAAACTGATTTGGTGAGATCTGTTCTTTGTGAATTTGGCTAGTGTGAATCAATCGCTAAGATTCAGATCAGCTCTGGGAACACTGAAAAAAATAAGCATTCCTGGGTCTGCAATACTGAGGATTGCTGGTGCGCACATCCTGCCGAGTGCTGCTGAGTTGCCATCTGGCCCACCCTTTGATATTTCTCTTGGTGCTCTGTAACTTCAGAGATGGAAAGTACAGAAACTGTTGGTTGAATTTGATGAGATAGCTGAGTTCACCCTGCATGGGTGGTTAGGGGAGGGAGCTGCATGTTTACTTTTCTGGGATGGAGTGGTGATATGGATGGTCACTTGCCCACATGGTGTGATAAAACTGTAATAGGGGATATTGGGGCGGCGGGGGGTACTGGACAGAGACCACAGAGTCCAAGGATTTTACTCTTTTCTCTGGGCCCCTCAGTGGGCTCTTCTTCCCCTTCCTCACTAGAAGGAGCCCATTACAAAGTGCCCTGTGAGGGGCTGGGCTTACACTCATCCACTTTAGAGGACCTCAGATGGAGCAATGGGAGGGGCCATCTGTTGTTTCCACCCTCCTCTAAATTTTAGGGAGAAATCATACTGTTTTAAAGAAGAAATAAAATAGAATAAAGAAGAGACCTTTGCCCCTGGCCTTTCAAGTGACAGCTTTCTGAACATTTTACGAGGAGCCTTTGCATGTTTCATTTTTTAGAGAGAAAATCTATATAAGTTGTTTTGTTAGGAGACAGTGGAAGGGCACATTTCCCTCTCTCCAGGTTGAAACACACCAGCAGAAGCAAATTATAAACTCTAGCAGCAGCGTTCTATTAACGTGAGCCAGGCCAATGGGCAAAGCATCTTTCATACAGTGGTCATTTGAGTACTTAAAACTATGCTGTAAATAGGTGTAAATATTTTGTAAATAAGAACTTATTCCTCAAGTTCACACAACTTGCAAGGTGAGGAACTGGGGTTTTAACTAAGGTGCTCTGATTCCAAAGTCCATGTTCTTAACCACAACACTGTGGATAACAGTACAGATTGAACCAAAATACTAATTTTCTTATAAGTAATCCCAGTAGATATCAGTGATCAGAATGCAATTGAGAGCATTACTTACAAGCATCGTGATACCACATTTGAAAACAGAGTGATGGTAGAGATAATCAGACCTCAGTACTAAAGTCCTTGTAAGATGTTTTAAGAGAGCCAGATAATATGCTTTTGAGAAGTCAGGAAAATTTTATCAGGGTCTCACTTTCAGCAGAGATCTAATCAGAAATATTAGAACAACTTTCATTTCACAGTTTGGAACTGAAAGTAATTGGTTTGTTTCCTTTTTGTCACCAAAATGCCACTCATTATTTTTTTCTCCTACCTCATTTTCACACAGGCCCTCAGCCCACTACAGTGTTCCCCCTTTACAACTATTTCCAGATGTTCTCAAGGGCTTCACATGTGCTCCAAGGAAGTGTGATCCTGTTAGGCAACCTTGTTGACCTTCTCTGTGTCCATAGCATCCCATTCTTCCCTCTGGGCATCTTTGGGCTATTTCTTGTTCACTGAGCAACTTGGATACAGCAGTGTCCATCTGTGCCCACTTCATGTTGAAATTATGGTCTCTGCCCAGGCCCCATAGGTGCTGCTCCATACTCCAGGCCAACCAGGGCTCTCATGGGACCAGAACAAGGCCTCGTTCTGTGCGGAAGTGGGGAGAATATACAGCCTCCCCACTGCTTGGTCCTTCCGTCAGTTGAGGATCTAAGCCGTGTTGCATGTGCTACTCCTGAAAACAGTGCTTTTGTCTTCTGTCAGCACTTCTTTCCCTAGGGCCGAGGCACAGGCTGTTGGGAGGAAGACAGATCCTTTCTGCCTTTTCCATTTCCCTTTCTCTCTACCTGAGCTTCATCAAATAGCAAAAACTAGGGGTTTGCTTGTTTATTGAAAATGTCAGTTAAAATAGGCTCTTGTAAAGAATGATATATGTATATATAAACATTTTATTTTAATTTAAAACATAGATGTGAATAGTGAACAGCATTCGTTATTTGGGTGATGGGTACACGAAAAGCCCAGACTTCACCACTAGCAGCATATGCATGTAAGAAACCGGCACTCGTACTCCCGACATGAAAACTAAAAATCAATGTTTAGGTTCATAGCAAAACTGAACAGAAAGTACAGAAAGTTCCCAT
This sequence comes from Homo sapiens, assembly GCF_000001405.40. Taxonomy (NCBI): domain Eukaryota; kingdom Metazoa; phylum Chordata; class Mammalia; order Primates; family Hominidae; genus Homo; species Homo sapiens. Next base: position 78,113,074 of record NC_000001.11, read on the forward strand.
TTCTATGTTTTAAAACATAGAAGTGTACATTCTTTTATCACTCTTAATGTAAAAGGCCTTTGAGTAGAGGACACAAATTGGAATTCTAAGATGTCTGTCTTATGTAATCACAACCTTAATGCATATGTGTGGGTTCTATTTCATTAAAAAAAAACAGATATGTGAAATGATGGCTGTTTAAAAATATTTTTTCTTTTCAATCATGGTTCACTGCAGTCTCAAACTCCCAGGCTTAGATGATCTTCACACCATAGTCTCCTGAGTAGCTTGGACTACAGGCATGTCCCATCATGCCTGGCTGATGAAATATTTTGTTTTTCTTTTCTTTTTTTGAGACAAGGTCTTGTTCTGTCACCCAGGCTGAAGTACAGTGGCGTGATCACAGCTTACTGCAGCCTTGATGTCCTGGGCTCAAGCAATCCTCCTGCTTCAGCCTCCTGAGTAGCTGGGACTACAGGTACATGCTACCCTGTCTGGCTAATTTTTGTATTTTTTTGTAGAGATGGAGTTTCACCATATTGCCTAGGCTGGTCTCGAATTCCTGGGCTCAAGTGATCCGCCACCCTTGGCCTCTCAAAACGCTGGGATTAGAGGCGTGAGCCATGGCACCCAGCCTAAAATTTCTAATAGAGACAGGGTCTTGCTCTGTTGCCCAGGCTGGTCCTGAACTTCTGAGGTCAAGTGATCCTCCCGCCTTGGCCTGCTAATGTGTTGAGATTACAGGTGTGAGCCACTGAACCCAGCCAAAAATATTTTTTCTAATCTCCTAGAGTCATCTTGCCCATACCTATTTTTTTTTTTTTTTGCAACTCATTCTTATGGAGTCTATCCAAGGCAGTCAACCATCAACCTAGTTTTCATAGCATTAATAACTCCTTGTTTTACACTCATTTCATCAGCTCATGTACTTTTAAATCAAAGCACATAATTAGAGTAACAGATACAATTGCCACAAAAAGGTCTGGGAACAAACCTGATTGCTTCTAGGCTATGTGCAACTCCACTGTGGGAGCGGTTAGGCACCCACAAGCCGTGCATTCCTGTGCCCTAAGTGACGTATGACAGGCGGACGGCCAGTACACTCAACTGGGAGCCCTGGTGCATCTAGCGAGTCAGCTAGCTAGCTGCAGGTGCAGGCTGGTTACCAGTGCCTACTGTATCCACTGCATCCCTGTCATAGCTCAGCCCCAAGAGAAGCCTTGTGCAGATCCGTTCATGTGAAGTGACTGATTTAGGGCTTGGCCTGGTTGGCCAGACGTGCTTAGACAGGCCAGCACCCCAAAAGTAGGCCAGGCTATAAATATATGTGGTCTCCAAAACATTTCAAAAACACAAAACCTGTTTTTTCCCCTGTGGATGAACAGGACCATCCTGCTTGTTTTTGTCTATAAACAGATTGATTTATGTACCTGGATCATAGGCTCATAGACAAACACGGCTTCTGTTTCCTTAGAGGTGAAAACTGCCCTCTGGAGGCTGGTCCAAGCCAGAATTTAAAATTTAACTTTTGCTTTGGTGCCACCAAGTGGTTAGCTTTGAGATGGCTTGGCAAATACATAATGATAAAAAAAAAAAATCTGGGATGTATAGGAGGAGCTCAGAGGATTTTTAGGGCAGTAACACCATTTTGTATAATGCTACAATGGTGGATATATATTATAATATACATTTATTCAAATTCATAGAATGTGTAACACCAAGAGTGAACTCTAAACTATGGACATTGGGTGATTATGATGTGTCAATGTAGGTTCATCAGTTGTAGCAAAAGTCTTACTCTGGTGTTGGAGGTTGATAATGGGAGAGGCTGTGCCTGTGTGGTGGGGATAGGGAGCATATGGAAACCTTCTGTACTTTCTGCTCAGTTTTGCTCTGAACCTAAAACTGCTCTATCAAAAAAGATTTATTAATGAAAAGTCTTCTATGCTACATACATTTTCCCTTCTGGCTACCAGTGTTGCAGGTAAGAGCAAGATAAGATAGAAACGTCATGTAGAGAGGCCAGCTGACTTCTTGGGCAGGGATGATACAACCTTTATGAAGCCCCACACTCCAGAGGCTGGGTCCTTAGCTTTGTAAGTCCCAGAAACCTTTTTATTTTTATTTTTTTTTCAATGTATGTAGAGTTGTTCAGTTTTTCAGGGCTATATCATGCTCACCAAACTTACAAGAGACACTTTTTGAAAAGTCAGATTGGCAATATATTATTTTACAATTAGAAATGTGTAATCAATGGTAAACCAAAGCACATGTGGTAGATGAGAAGTTCATTTTTCACCCTGCAGGAAATTTATATGGGCAGACAAACCATACCAAGTAGGTTGCTTGGTGAAATTGCAGTAGGGTCGGGGAAGGAGGTTGCATGTCTTAAGGTTACTACCATTAAGACGAAGCTATCTTCACCACTTTAGGGATATACATGACTCTGGGCTGGGGATACTTACATTGCTAGGCAGTACGGAATCCTGGACAGTGCTGATGATAGGTCAACTTAATCTTTTTCTTTGGATACTCTTTTTGAAACTCTATGCTGAGTGCATGATAATTCTTTCTTCCCTCACACAGGACATACTATAACTGGCAAGGCCAATACTGTAGGCTTGCTGATACAGCTCTGGTCTCCTGTGAATGTTGGGTCACCTGGATTAGCATTTGGATGTTTCCCAAATCATCAGCCACCATTTATAGGTTTTTGGTTAGGCGGGGCTAGTGTACTAATTACATGCTAATTTTTAATAATTGTATTCTCAGAGGAAGACTTATGTTTTATGTTTTGGTGATTCTGTTCCTGAATATAGGTCAAAATTAATATGCAAAATTAATATGCAAACTCCTTAATCACTTTGGCATAGATTCCTAATAGCAAAACAGTACTTGGCTGAAGATGGGAATTATCCTGGTTTATTAGTCTGTTCTCACACTGCTATAAAGACATACCTGAGACTGGGTAATTTATAAAGAAAAGAGGTTTAATTGATTCATAGTTCCACATGGCTGGGGAGGCCTCAGGAAACTTAAAATCATGGCGGAAGGGAAAGCAGGCATGTCTTATATGGCAACAGACGAAAGAGAGCATGCAAGAGCAGGGAAAACTGCTTTACAAAACCATCAGATTTCATGAGAACTGATTCACTATCATGAGAACAGCATGGGAGAAACCATCCCTCTGATCCAATCACCTCCCACCTGGTCTCTCCCTCCACATGTGGGGATTATGGGGATAACCATTCAAGATGAGATTTGGGTGGGAACACAGAGCCAAACCATATCACCTAGGTTCTTTTTTTCAATTATTATTATACTTTAAGTTCTAGGGTACATGTGAACAACGTGCAGGTTTGTTACATATGTATACATGTGCCATGTTGGTGTGCTGCACCCATTAACTCGTCATTTACATTAGGTATATCTCCTAATGCTATCCCTCCCGCCTCCCCCCACTCCACAACAGGCCCCGGTGTGTGATGTTCCCCTTCCTGTGTCCAAGTGTTCTCATTGTTCAATTCCCACCTATGAATGAGAACATGCAGTGTTTGGTTTTCTGTCCTTACGCTAGTTTGCTGAGAATGATGGTTTCCAGCTTCATCCATGTCCCTACAAAGGACATGAACTCATCAGTTTTTATGGCTGCATAGTATTCCATGGTGTATATGTGCCACATTTTCTTAACCCAGTCTATCATTGATGGACATTTGGGTTGGTTCCAAGTCTTTGCTATTGTGAATAGTGCTGCAGTAAACATACATGTGCATGTGTCTTTATAGCAGCATGATTTATAATCCTTTGGGTATATACCCAGTAATGGGATGGCTGGGTCAAATGGTATTTCTAGTTCTAGATCCTTGAGGAATCGCCACACTGTCTTCCACAATGGTTGAACTAGTTTACAGTCCCACCAACAGTGTAAAAGTGTTCCTATTTCTCCACATCCTCTCCAGCACCTGTTTCCTGACTTTTTAATGATTGCCATTCTAACTGGTGTGAGATGGTATCTCATGGTGAGAAAGTTTTTGCAATCTACTCATCTGACAAAGGGCTAATATGCAGAATCTACAAATAAACAAATTTACAAGAAAAAAACAACCTCATGAAAAAGTGGGCAAAGGATATGAACAGACACTTCTCAAAAGAAGACATATTGCCTAGGTTCTAAGTAAGAATGCAGGCCACTTCATGTCTGTGTCATGAGAGCTTTGCACAGACCTCACTGCCTACTGGTACTCACCAGCCTGTCCTGTGATGCCTCTCTGGAGTGCTCAGTTGTCTCCGGTTCTTTAGTGCAGGGGTCCCCAACCTTTTTGGCACCAGGTACTGGTTTCATGGAAGACAATTTTTTTCCACAGATGGGGCAGGCAGGAGAGAATGGTTTTGGGATAAAACTGTTCCACCTCAGATCATCAGGCATTAGTTAGATTCATAAGGAATGTACAACCTAGATCCCTCACATGCACAATTCACAGTAGGGTTCATTTTCTGTGAGAATCTCATGCCACTGCTGAACTGAAGGGAGGCAGAGCTCAGGCTGTAAGGTAATGCTGTGTGGCCCAGTTTCTAACAGGCCATGGGCTGGTACCAGTCTGCGGCCCTGGAGGTTGGAGACCTCTACTTCAGTGCAGCATCCCCTCCCCACCTGCCTCTTCCCCTGAACTGCTGCCATGTGGAGTCCTCAGTCAAGGAAGCGCACGGTATTTGCAGAGGTTATAAATTAGTATCCTGTGGTTGGAATCTGACCCATAGATCTCTTTTGTTTTTGCCAATATGTTGTTTTTAAAAGTTTGATTTAATTGTCCAAACTTAAAAAATTTAAAAATCCGGAGATGCACACAAAACTCTGAGTATCCTCTTTCTTTCCTTCTTTCTCTCTCTCTCTTTTCTTTTCTTTTCTTTCTTTCACAGGGTCTCACTGTGTTGCAATCATGGCTCACTGCAGCCTTGACCACCTGAGCTCAAGCTATCCTCCCATCTCAACCTCCTGAGTAGCTGAGACTACAGGTGCGTGCCACCATGCCTGGTTAATTTTTGTATTTTTAGCAGAGATGGAATTTCACCCTGTTGCCCAGGCTGGTCTTGAACTCTTGGGCTCAAGCGATCTGCCTGCTTTGGTCTCTCAAAGTGCTGAGATTCAGGCATGAGATTACTGTAATCGCTCTGGCCTGAGTCTCCAGTTTCATTGCAAAAAAAAAAAAAAAAAAAAAAAGTGGATGATCTGGCTATGCAGGGCTTATATTCCCACAGCACAATAAGTTATTGGAGTGGGGCCTACCAAAAAAAAAAAAAAAAAAAAAAAAGTGGATGATCTGGCTATGCAGGGCTTATATTCCCACAGCACAATAAGTTATTGGAGTGGGGCCTACATAGGGCACATTTCTTCCAATTATCCTCTTTCTTCGCCCTTCCCTTTCACTCATTTATGTTACTGCTTGGTAACATATTTGGTGGTGACGCTTAGTTTGTTGCAAATGCAGGATAAGACACAACAGAAAAAACAAGCATAAGGAAAGTAGTGGCTCCCTGTGAACTCTTGCTCCCTGCTCTTGTCCTTGCTGTCTGCAGGGAATTCCTTCCTTGGAACCTGCTTTCAGGCTCTTTTTCTTTTGGACCCTATTTCTGTTGGTATGTCAACTCTGATTTTATCCCTTGTGCTTTCAAGAGGTGTGGGCTGGAGCGTTGTTCAGGAAAGCATATGAACTTTGAAATCTGGTTTGTATCTGCAAGACCTCGTTTTGAATCCCAGCCCCATTTCTTACTGCCTTCAGTTCCCTTATCAGTAAAATGAGGGCAATCACCGGTCTCATAGGTTGGTATGAGTATTAAATGGGATTTTTTAATGTAAAGCATCACACAGAGGGTAGATCCTCAAATAATAGTGCTCTTGTCCCTCTCTTCTCTCTTTTTTTTCCTTTAAATTTTTTTTTTGTTTCTTCTTTTTCTATTGGTCCATTGGGAGAAGAAACCTCTCTTCTTTCAAGACATGATTCTTTCCCTTTTTTTGTGACTTTGATGAAACCACTTACTCCTCTTTACTCTTTTTGTAGAGCCTACTGTTTTTTCTTCCTTGTAACTTTGTCTTTCCCATCTGTACATTTCACATATTCCCTTTTCTTGGAGTTAGAACTCTCTCATAAAGACTCTCTTATAAGAATAATGGATGACAAGTACATTTATTTTGCTTCGGGAAATTCTATAAGAAGGCCTACGTTTTATCAAATTTCTATAACAATTGTATATAGTTTTGTGATAGAAACTACATTAGCCTTCACAGTAATCTGTTGGGATGCTTTCTGTGTATATGTATGTTTCCCTGTTCATTGTATTGTAGAAATAGAGCTGAGGTCAAAGGCTGGAAAGTCATCAGGAGAAAAAATTGGTTGTGGAAGGGCAACACTTCGCCTGAGATCAAAAGGTCCTGCCACCGTGGAAGAAATGGTATGTTATGTTCATTTACTTCCTGTTCTGCTTGGAAATGTTGAGTTAGATAAAATTCCATTCATTCTAACCAAAACTTGGACTTTTAATTCACTGTCTATTTAAACAATCTGGAAATTACTGAAGGTATTTAAAAAGGAAATATAGAAATTAAGGACATGAGAAGAGATTGTGATCTATAGAAATTCTCAGTTACCTGTAGGTGACGTTTCTAGACTCTATAGACAGCTGGACTCTCTCAAAAACTTAAGTCAACCAAAGCTCTCTGAGAACCAAGAAAATGTTTCAGAGCCACCTGTAGGAGTAAACAAAAGAAGATATTGATAATGAAAGATTATATTCGTAAACTCCTCTTCTCACATAAAACACCTGTAGTCATCTTTGACTCTTTTCGTTCATGTCCCATGTCGCTTCCATCAGCAGATCCTAGTGGATCTACCTCTATAAGATACTGGAGTCCAATGACTTCTTACCACCCCTGCCCACCACTGTGCCCCAAGGCACCATCATCTTATCCTGGATTTTGCAATCACCTTCTGTTTAGTCCACCTGTGTTCACCCTTGCCTTCTTTCCACCTGTGCTCAGCACAACCCTCAGAATGATCCTTAAAATATGCAAGAGAAATTATGTCACTTTTCTGTTCACAACCCTCCAGTGGCTTCCCATGACACTCAGAATAAAACCTAAAGTCCTCAGAATGACCAACATGACCGAACTCCGTATTTCTTCTCTGTTCTCATTTCCCATCCCTTTGCCGTGGCTTCCTCTGCTTCAGTCATGCTGATCTCCTTGCTGTTCCCAAACACTCCAGGTGTATCCCCATCTCAGGCTCTCAGTACTGCTGTTGTCTCTGCCTGAATGTTTTGCCCATTTATCTGCATAGCTTGCTCCCTTGCCATCATTAGGTTTCTGCCCACACATTATCTATCTCAAAGGCCTTTCCCGAGCATCCTGTATAAACAGCAACTCCCTCCACCCCTCCCACTGCCCACTCTTCCATGTCCTTAATTTTTGTCAAAGCAATTGTATTAGTCTGTTTTCACACTGCTAATAAAGACATACTTGAGACTGGGTAATTTATAAAGAAAAAGAGGTTTAACGGACTCACAGTTCCACATGTCTGGGGAGGCCTCACAATCATGGTGGAAGGTGAATGAGGAGCAAAGGCACGTCTTACATGGCAGTAGGCAAGAAAGCATGTACAGGGGAACTGCTCTTTATAAAACCGTCAGATCTTGTGAGACTTATTCACTATCATGAGAACAACGGCATGGGAAAAACCTGCCGCCATGATTCAGTTACCTCCCACCGGGTCCCTCCCACAACATGTGGGGATTATGGGAGCTACAATTCAAGATGAGATTTGGGTGGGGACACAGCCAAACCATATCAGCACTAAACACACTAGGACTCTATATCTTTGATTAATTTTGTCTACTGTCTAGCTCCTTTGCTCACATGTCTTGTTCACTGCTGCATCCCCAGCACCTAGAATAGGACCTGATATACCAAAGGAATGGAAATCTTTGGTGCATTAATGAATTAGTAAACGATTCCTTTTAGTTTGAGAAAAGCAAGGATTTTTCCCTTTGAATGACTTTGTCTATATATAGGTCAGTGTTTGAGTGAAAAACACCAGAAGGAGAAGTGACAACTAGAGGCAAGAAGGGTGGAGGAAGAAAACTGCAAGTTTGGGGTGGCGATGGTAAGGATTCCAAGTGGCAAGCAGCAGGCCCACAACAGCAGCAAAGGCATGGGGGTCAAAGCCCTCCCGTGGGCAGATGGGATGTCGAGCAGGTGACTGATGCCTGTGAGCTCGGGGGGGCAGGGGCAAGGCTCTGGGCCCTTCTAGGGTCTCTCTGTATGTGAATGCTGTCTGGGTTCCTATGTGTTTGAAGGGAAAAACAGACAGATGAACAGTTTTGAGGCTGTTTCACAGAGTGGGATCTCAGAACTTGTTGGGTGACAAGGTCCAGGGTTGGTCATGGGGGTGGTTTGTTGAAGTAGACACTTAAGGAACACATGAGGCCAAGGCTGTCCTTAGGAATGTCGAGGCACCCACGGTGTTGTCAGTTTTGGGGGGATCTAGAGGAAGATCCTGAGTCAAATGCGTGGGTTCTGGGAGAATGAAAGGACCGATCAGAGGCAAATGGCAACGAAGAGATCTGATAGAGCAAAAAGTGTTTTGAAAAGGAGATATGATGAGGTATGTGAAGGAAACCCAGGGCAGTGACTTCTGGGCATTTGGAGCCTTTATTTTCCCTCTGTGGCCCAGCACACTGCCTGGTATATTGCTGAAGGCCAGTAAGTGTTTATTGAATGAATAAGCAAATCTCAGTGGAAGAAAGGAATTTATCAGAGAAGGGAAGAACAGAGGGAAGTTGCTGGCTGTGAGGAGCCAGGAGAATGTCAGCTCTGCCTTTTGCTGGAGGCTGTGAGGAAAAATGAGCAGACCTTTAAACAGCTCACAAAGGAAGCAGGTCAGCAGGAAAAATGCCACGTCCCTTCAGGAGGAGGAGCATCTTCTAAGGGTTAAATCATTCGTCACTCTTTGTTAAGCACCTGCTGTGGCAAAGGTGCCTGAATGGAAAAGGAGCAGCTTAAGATCTACCTGGGGAGGTAGGAAAGATTCATTCAAAGATAAACATCTAAAAATCTATTCCTATTTTCATAGTCTGTTTAGTAAAATAGGGCAATTAAAAATAGCTCATAATGAAAGGAAAAAGCTGTTTGGTGCTAATATTAAATTTGATACAAATGACATAAAATCTAATTTCAAACACTTTAAGAATTTAAAGGACTTATGGGATTTAAAACAAATCACTCCTTTAATCACCTAGCACAAATTCTGAAAATGGTGTAAGATTCTCTGTATTAGTCCGTTTTCACACTGCTGTAAAGAATACCTGAGACTGGGTAATTTATAAAGTAAAGAGGTTTAATTGACTCACATTTCCGCATGGCTGGGAGACCTCAAGAAACTTACAGTCATGGCAGAAGGTGAAGGGGAAGCAAGGCACGTCTTACATGGTGGCAGGAGAGAGTGAGTGTGCAGGAGAAACTGTCGCTTTTGAAACCATGAGATCTTGTGAGAACTCCCTCACTATCACGAGAACAGCCTGGGGGAAACCACCTCATGATGCAATCACCTCCCACCAGGTCCCTCCCTTGACACGTGGGGATTGCAATTCAAGATGGGATTTGGGTGGGCACACAGAGCCAAACCATATCAATTCTCCACTTGCATAACCTCATACTTTATTCAATATGTGCTTGCTGAGACAGGCACAGTCTAAGTGCTGGTGATACAAAGAAGAATAAAAACCCTGTTTCTCTTCTAAAAGGAGAGAAGCATGAAAAGAAGCTATTACAACCCAGTGGGATAGGGTTAATGGAAGCAGGTGCAGGATACACAGTGTCACAAAGAAGGGGCTGATCAGCCATTGACAGGGATTGGGGAAAGAAAGGAGGTCAGAAGGCTGGGTGCAGTAGCTCACGCCTGTAATCCCAGAACTTTGGAAGACTGATGTGGGTGGGTTACCTGAGGTCAGGAGTTCGAGACTAGCCTGGCCAATGTGATGAAACCCCATCTCTACTAAAAACATAAAAATTAGCTGGGCATGGTGCTGGGCACCTGTAATCCCAGCTACTTGGGAGGCTGAGGCAGGAGAATCACTTGAGCCCAGGAGGCGGAGGTTGCAGCGAGCCGAGATTATGCCATTGCACTCCAGCCTGGGTGACAGAGTGAGACTCCATCTCAAAAAAAAAAAAAAAAAAAGGGTCAGGAAGTGTTTCTCTCCGGAAGAAATTAGTGAGTGAGTTCAAAATGGGGAAGAAGAGTGTTCTAGGCATGGAACAATAATGGGTTTTGGGGACCTGTAAGCTGTTCATGAGATTGGAGTGTGGGGTGCTGGAAGTACTGGTTAGGTAGGGGTGATGAGGCTAGAGGCATAGGCTGGGGTTAGGATATGAAGGGCCTTGTGGATAATGAGGGAGCCATTTAAGAATTATGAGGGGAGTAACACAATCAGTTTTGTGTTTTAGAAAAATCCCTTGGTTCCAGGGTATGGGTTGTTGAGCAGCTTGGATTTGAGAGGGTGAAGACCAAAGGCAGGGAGACAAAATAGGAAACCTCTGCAAATCAGAAAAGATGAGGACTAAACACTGGCAAACAGAATGTGGATGGAGAAGAGGTGATAGATCCAGATCTGTTCCGTAGCAAATAGGAAATATTAGAATGGTAAAATATTGGTGGCCATTTGGGTATGAGGAGTACTGACACTTGTCACCGTAACTTAAAACGTGCCTGGATAGATATAAAGGTTAATACCTGTTAATTTGCATAGCCTGTTGCTTTATACAGACAATTCAAGATACATTGTAATGAAGGCAAGAGCAATATATTGTCTGTTATTGTTTTTAAGGTTTAGTTCTTGTAAATAAAAATGTGAGAAAGTTGTATTAATATCTTCAAGGAAATAGATTTTTATTTGCTATAAAATGCATGATTTTAATAAAATTTGAGACTACAAAACAACATATATTTATAACAGTATTGAAAGTAACATGAAATTCTTATAATCTAAATAATGAATTCTACATTTGCATGTATAGTTGAGTAGTTAACATCTTTGGGCAATTCCATTTTCAGCTATGATGCCATTTAAAGCCAAGTATTGAAATAAACTGAGCAGAATTTACCAAATATTAAACCAAAAATTTAAAATAATATTTTTACTGAAATGTTTAGTAATCATTTCGGGAAGAACAAAAATGTTTTGGTACCATTAATACATAACACAAAAATGATTTAAAAAGTATTATTTTATCATCTCATTCTTATAAAATTTCCTTTTTTGGTGTATTTTTATAATCTATACAATATATTAATATGGTAATACATGTGTAATTGATAAGCAATACATACAATAAAGTTAAAAATACACAATAAGGGTATTTGTTCAGAAAAGTTTTACTATTGGGATGAGCCATCAAACGTTTGGAGACCCTGGCCTGCACCATAAAGACCAAAGTCCTTTTCATGGTACACAGGACTCCTCAAGATCTAGTCATATTTGTCACTGTGTTCTCCAGCTACATGGGACTTCTGGCATCCCTCTAACATGACTCTGTGACCTTACTTAGACTTTGCCTATCTATTGCATCCTACTTGAAGTGTCCTCTCCTGCTTATCTCCTCTTCATCATTGAAAACACAGTTCTTGGCTGGGCGTGATGGCTCATGCCTGTAATTCCAGCACTTTAGGAGGCTGAGGTGGGCGGATCACTTGAGTCCAGGAATTGGAGACCAGCCTGGCCAACATGGTGAAACCCCGTCTCTACTAAAAAAATACAAAAAATTAGCTGGGCATGGTGGCGCACGCCTGTAATCCCAGCTACTTGGGAGGCAGAGGTTGCAGTGAGCTGAGATCACACCACTGCACTTCAGCCTGGGCAACAGAATGAGACTCTGTCTCAAACAAAACAAAACAAAACAAAGCAAGACAAAAAAACCCCGCCACAGTTCTTAAGACATCCTTCTTTTTCTCTGAGACAGGGTCTTGTCCTGTTGCCGGGTTGGAGGGCAGTGGCAGAATTATGGCTCACTACAGCCTCGTCATCCTGGGCTCAAGTGATCTTCCCACTTTAGCCTCCTGAGTGGCTGGGACTAAAGGTGCATACCACCACACCTGGTTACTTTTAAATTAAATTAATTAATTAGTAGAGATAGAATCTTGCCATGTTGCCCAGGCTTGTCTAGACCTCTCAGGTTCAAGTGATCCTCCTGTTTCAGCCTCCCAAGTGTCTGGGATTACAAGCATGTGCTACCACACCCAGCTAATTATTTTAATTAATTAATTAATTTTTTTTGTAGAGATGGAGTCTCACCATGTTGCCTGGGCTGGTCTTGAACTCCTAGGCTGAAGCAACTCTCCCACCGTGGCCTTCCAAAGTGCTGGGATTACAGGTGTGAGCCACTGTGCTCAGCCAAGTCACCTTCTTTCTAAAGTCTTCCATGACTGTTAGAGATATAAATTTGCTTCCTCCCCTGTGATGCTTCTGTGCCTTTTATATCCTTTAAAAACTGTTACATGTTATTTATTTTCACATCTGTTTCCTCTTCTAGATTGTTAGCTACTTGGGGATTGTGTTCCTGGCTTTTCTTTTTTGAATCCGTAACACTTAGTGCTGACACTAGAAATAAGTATTTACTGTATTGATTTGTATTTAGTTACAGAGCACATTCTAGATCTATTTCCATTAAAATTAGCTGAAATACACAATTATGAACCGGCTCCACATCAGGCTTTCTCTTGTGTATGCCCTGACAATCAAGAGATTTTGTTGTATAATATCTTATTTCTCTCTTTTTTGATAAAGCCTTCTGAAACCAAAGCAAAGGCAATTGAAAAGATTGATGATGTTCTTGAGTTGTACATGGGAATTCGAGATATTGATTTAGGTAAGATTATACTATTTAAAAAAGTCTTATATCTCTTAATCTGCTTAATGTTTATGTCTTGTTTATACATACAGCCAATTATACTTTTGAAGATAACAATATTTGTGGTATGATGAAAAGAATAACAGACATAAAGATAAGAATAATGAAGACCTGTTCCTTACCGCTTTCTAGCTATGAGGTCTTAGTGCCAAGTAAACTTTAAAACATTTTAGTTAGTTCTTAGTCATTAAACTGTGACTACTATCTCCTTTAGTGTTGTTTGTTTGGATTTAAAAAATATACATAAAATGAATTTTGTAGATGATACATATAAAAGGCATTATTATTTGATATATCAGAAGTGCATTGATTGAATTGCACCCTTTAACAGGGTTACTGAAGCCCTATGAACAAGGAATTAGAAATATGAAGAAAGGGGACACACTTGGCATATGACTGAGAAGGGCAGTTGAGCAGTTGAATTTCTGCGTATTTCTTATGTCATCATTAGGCTGTCAGGGTCTTGTTTATCAGTTAAGACTCTACCAGTTGCAAATGACTAAAACAAAAACCAAACAAAAAACCCTAATTCCAGCTGGCTTAAGGAAAAAAAAAAAGGAGAAACTTATTGGTTCTTATAATTGAAAAGTCTAGCGCTAGACCTTGGCTTCAAGAATGGCTGGATCCCAAGTTCTCATGCTGTCATCAGGATATGATTTCTCTTCTCTCAGTCTTGGCTTCATTTCAGGCCCCTGTGGTATCCCCTGGCAGCTTCAGTCTCTCCCTCATGGGGCCAAAATGACTGCTATTGCTCCACCCTCTGCATCCTCGTGGCATCAAGCACAATGAGAAAGAGGGAGGACCTCTTCCAAATCATTCAAACAAAATGCCCAATATTGTCGCTGGTTGGTCTGATTGGCTCAAGTGAGCCAGTCACTGAGGCCAAGAGGATGGTAGGTCTGGGTTGAACGCTCTGGAACTGACAGTGACCCTGAAATACAAGGGTCAAGAGTGTGAAAAAGGCCTGACCCTTCCCATGCAGAAGCAAGATAAATGTTCCACTAAGTAGGGCAGTTGCATGCTGGGTAGAGAAAAGAGAGTAAATGTACACTCCAGTGTGGGGGTTTATGTCTGCATGCATCCACAGGTATGCATTTGAATCAGGTACTTTCTACATTTTTTAAAGGTAAGAACTTGACTATTTTGTTTATCTGCTACCAGGTAGAGTATTTGAAGCTCATTTATCCTTTTCTACTTCCACTCATATTCCATTTTCCTTATAGAATTACCAAAAGACAAAACAAATTTACCTTAAAAATCTCAACTGGCTTTTATTTGCAACTCTAGTATCAGGCAACACCTCAAAATGAGTGCTCTGATGAGCTGAGCAGAGGAGGTTGACTTTAGAGTCAGAAAATGGCTGAAGAAATCAGAAACATAACAAAAAGTGGGTTCCTGTTGCAAGGTTACTTTCTTCGTAAAGGTGAAAACAGAGGGAATTTCCTTATCATGCCAGCTAAAACTGGCCCATTTGGGGATTTGGCTATTACCTGTCTTTCTCCTGATTTTGTGGAAGGTCAGATAAACAACTTAGTTTGGCTTAGTGAGTGGAACTTCAGCATGAGTAACTCCATTTTGGTTTGGTCTGTTAGGCCTAGTATAGGAGCTCAGTCCAAACCAATCACCTCCTATAAATTTTATTTAACAATCTATTCTTATTTTCTTTCTTGCCTGTGTGAACTTTTATTTATCTTCTAATTTTTGAGACAGGATCTCACTCTGTCACCCAGGCTGGAGTGCAGTGGCACAATCATAGCTCACTGCAGCCTTGATGTCCTGGTCCCAAGCACTTCCCCTACCTCAGCCTCCCACGTAGCTAGGACCACAGGTGTGTGCCTCCATACCCAGCTATTTATTTTATTTTACTTTAACAAATTTTTTTTGGTAGAGATGGGGTCTTGCTATGTTGCTCAGGCTCAAGTGATCCCCCTGTCTCGTCTGTCAAAGTGCAGGGAGAGATTACAGGTGTGAGCCATCATTGCCAGCCCTGAGAACTTTTAAAATAAAATTTCTGTACTGGATATAGAGATGCTGTCTGCAACTTAAAAACATTGGTAGTTTGTTCCTTGCTCCTTGGAGAAAAATACAAAATTTTCGTGTGGATGCTTTTATCCTCTGTGCAGACAAGAAGTTAAAGCTGAAAACCAATGTCTGAGAACTTCTCTTTCCAATCCTTTTGCCTGGCTAATTTTTTTAATTTTAATTTTTGTAGAGCTGGGGTCTACTTGTGTTACCTAAGCTGGTCCTGAACTCCTGGGCTCAAGCCATCCTCTTGCCTTGGCCTCCCAAAGTGTTGGAATTACTGGCATTGAGCCGCTAAGCCCAGCCTCAGTCTCCTGTTTTGAAATTGCAGATCTCAAGGAACAATAGAATCCATGCTGTGGTCTGGAGTGAATCACAGACACAGGGCCTAGGAAAAGATCTAACTAGGAATAAAGACAGACATACACATAAACATGAATACTTTTAGACATATAAGGAAATATGTAACATATAAATAGAGGCATCAACGTGTACATAAATCAAATTTAGAATAGAAATGTTTATTCGTACAACAGTCTAGACTGTGGGCCATTCTTTAGTGGTATTTTTCCATACAGGAGGGAAGCAAATGTATATATGTGTACATGAATTTTTACATATACATACACACATACGCATAGATGTATTTATGCTCACATACAGTGAAAGAGATATGATATAGTATTGCTTACAGGCATACATATTTGGCTTGAGGCCCTAACCCTAACCCTAACCCTAACCCTAACCCTAAAAGAGACCAGCCTGGGCAACATAGTGAGATGAGACCCTGTCTCTACTAAAAAAACAAAAACAAAACAAAACAAAAAAATTAGCCAGGCATGGTGGCATGCACCTGAAGTCCTAGCCACTTGAGAGTCTGAGGCAGGAGGATCGCTTGAGTCCAAGAGTTTGAAGCTGCAGTGAGCTAGGATGGCGCCACTGCACTTTAGACTGGACAATAGAGTGAGACCCTGTCTCTAAAAATAAATAAATAAATAAATAAATGAAAAAAAAAAGAAGAAAATGCAGCTTAAAAAAAGGAAATTCAGGGCACTAAACATTCCTTACAAATTCTTTGTAAATTAACCAGAAATTTATTTGTAAGGTGAATTAGTTATCTGTAACAAATTCCTCTAATTGACATGAAAAGCCATTATCATTACACATGATTAGCAATGTAATCAGTTACCTAGAGAGGTAAAGTGTAAGGAAAGTAATTATTTGAAGAATGTAAGCCATTGTTAAATTAGGAATTTCTTTCATTATTCAGATCTGATTAGCATGAAATATAAATCACAAGTGTGATACTGATTTAACAGACAAATATATTTACTTGTATAAATATTCTCAGTATTTCTTAGCTTTCAGAAATGTTAATTCTTAATGCAAATTACACTGACATCACATTTTTCTGTATTTGTTAACGTAAGTATATATCTTAAAAATTTAAAAAGTAATATGGCAACAACGTGACTTAAAACACTATCCTCAAAAAAAGATTAAGAGGTGTTTATTATTTGAAAATGGAAAATAATTTAAATGAATTTTTGTAGAGAGTAATCCTGAAGATGAAAGTGCTTCATTTGATTGTAAAGTTAAGTTGTGAACGATGACTTTTCTACCAGCCAGTGTCAACATGGGTCACCTTGGGATGTTATCCATGAAAAAAATTAAGCGTTCTAAAAGATGCTGAGTCCTATAAGACCTCACATGGTCTTGACCTAACTCAGTGGAAAGTTGTGTCATACAAGTTTCTTCTTGAATGTTTAAAGAAACTGTGTAAGTTGTGTATAGAACTATAATGTTTTCTGATGATACCAATTTAGGAGATCATCCAAGCAACTTCAGAATTTTAGGGTTTCAAATTTATTGAGATCCTGAGATGTGTGGAAAGAAGATTTGAATGATTGTTTCAAAGTCATTTATTCTATAAAATCTTTTCTTTTTTTTTTCTTTTTAAAAATTTTACTACTTTGCTTTTGGAGCAGATATGAAGTCTGTTATAGCTCTTGAAAAAGTATGCAGTAATGGTGTTTTAATAGTGAGAATTACATTTCTTCCTTTCTTCCTAGGATCACTTTTTTTTTTTTTTTTTCAGACAGAGTCTTGCTCTGTCACCCAGGCTGGAGTGCAGTGGCACAATCTCGCTCACTGCAACCCCCGCCTCCCGGGTTCAAGCGATTCTCCTGCCTCAGCCTCCTGAGCAGCTGGGATTATAGGCGCCCACCACCATGGCCAGCTAATTTTTTGTATTTTTAGTAGAGATGGGGTTTCACCATGTTGACCAGGCTGGTCCCGAACTCCTG
The DNA here is from genome assembly GCF_000001405.40 of Homo sapiens. Lineage (NCBI taxonomy): Eukaryota > Metazoa > Chordata > Mammalia > Primates > Hominidae > Homo > Homo sapiens. The sequence continues at coordinate 78,130,333 of NC_000001.11, forward strand.
ACCTTGTGATCCACCTGCCTTGGCCTCCCAAAGTGCTAGGATTACAGGCATGAGCTACCATGCCGGGCCAGATCACTTTCTTTTTATAGTGAATTCAAAACAATGAACACTATAGAAAGTCATCCTTTTCAGATAAAGCCAATGAAGTTTTAGAAATTTTCATTAAAAATCATTCTACATTGACTGCATTTTTGATGTTTGACTTGTGAATTGTTTGAAAAGCATTGATATTTATAAAAAGTCTTAGGAAAAGTAAGGCCTGAAGACCTTCCATAGAATGAGACGTAGTTGCATATTTTATGATTAAACTAGCAATAATGATGACTAATCTTCAAACCCTGCTATTTGCCATTTTATAGATTTGAAAACTGACATTCAGAGAAGTTTGATAACTTGCCCAAAGTTACCTAAGAAGTTAAAAACTAAGATTTAATTCTGAAACTTTGATACCAAGATTTTTAACCGTAAAGATTTTTAACCGTAAATATCTTATATTTAAAAGTTCTGTTTAAGTGTTTAAAAAGTTAATGGAAATTATATGTTGATCTGTATCACCAAAACAAGTTTGTCATTAATAATAATGTAAATGTAGTCCAGTGGCAGTAATAAAAATGGCCACTAGAGGTCAGCACTTAGCTGCTATATGTGGTAAAAAAAAATTCTCTTTACAGTTAAGAAAATTCTTTTTGAGATGGGGTCTCACTATGTTGCCCAGGCTGATCTCAAAATCCTGGACTCAAGCAGTCTCCCTACATCACCCTCCCAAGTAGCAGGGATTACAGGTTAAACATTTACTATTTTTTAAATCTATTTTTTTCTTTTTTTCTCATGTGTTTCTAAACATTATACTGTAAGAAAATTCTACTTTTTTTTCTTTTTTCTTTTTCTTTTTGAGACAGAGTCTTGCTCTGTCGCCCAGGCTGGAGTGCAGTGTGGCGCGATCTCGGCTCACTGCAAGCTCCGCCTCCTGGGTTCACGCCGTTCTCCTGCCTCAGCCTCCCGAGTAGCTGGGACCACAGGCGCTTGCCACCACGACCAGCTAATTTTTTGTATTTTTAGTAGAGATGGGGTTTCACCGTGTTAGCCAGGATGGTCTCGATCTCCTGATCTCGTGATCCACCCGCCTCGGCCTCCCAAAGAAAATTCTACTCTTCTAATGGAATATTTTTTGCCAGATTGCATTCAGGTTTATTATTGCAGTATATTGTAATTTTATTATAATCAACAGATGAAAATAATCTTAGTGGCTATCTTATGTTAATATGCTGTACCTTTATAAAAAGTGTTTTATTTTGCTAAATTTTCTTTTGCTTTTCTCTTAAATCAGAGCTATAATATTTTATCAAAAAGGATGAATTTTACCATTTACTTATCCTGTAAAGATGTCTTAAAAGCTATGTTCACCAAACCCAGCTGAGGATGAGAAATAAAATAAAAAAGCGATGTTTATACTTTATGTATTAGGAAAAATATATAACATATTTAGCTGCATGCTGCATTTTTGAATTCATATAGCAAATTACTGGTTTTTAAAAGATGTATAGAGCACTGTATTACATGCAGTATTTCCAGCACAATTATGTAGCTGTGTAATTGGCATTTTTTTGTTGTTTCTACAAGATCAGGTATTTTTTGAAGGCAGATACCATATCTTGCTCAGTTTTAATCCCAGCTCTTACCACAGTACCTCTCCAAGAGTAAGTACTTGATAAATGTCTGTTGAGAGTCACAAAAGTAGTGAATTCACAGGGAGCATGAGTCCTAATTTTATTAGTTTGGAGCTTTGGCCCTTGGGCAAATTATTAAACTTAGAATCCTAATTTTCACATCTATAAAAGGGACATAATAAAAATAATCTTATAGGGTTGCCAAGGAATCAAATAATCTGTATAAAGTCCTGTCACATCATAAATAATAATGGGTGTAGGTATTATCATTCTTAGTGATGATCACTAATGATGATTACTATTAGTAGTTGTAATGGCAGTGGTAATAGAGGGAGAACATGTGGAGCTGTATAACTAGACTGTATCAGCAGCTCTGGGCAGTACTGAGTGTGGGGGTTTTTCTTCACTTTTCTGCTGTGCCAGAATGAGTGCATGAGCGAGATTATGCATTTTGGACTGTGAGGTTAGACTATGGGCATCTTGAAGCAGCATTTTCTTTCATTTTTGTGACTAGAAACCCAAAGCAGACATTGCAAGTCAGTGCAGGTGAAATCTACAACATGGAGTTCCCGGGCTTAGTGCACTAGACAATGCTGCTGAGCTTCCTGAGGTATAAAAAAAAAATCATGTACCAAGTTGTTTCTTTTTCCCTCTTATAGCCAAGGATGTGTGTGTGTGTGTGTGTGTGTGTGTGTGTGTAGAGAGAGAAATTGATTCAGTGTCCATCAGTGAACATCTGCATCCTTGTCATTGTCTCCCCCAGCATTTAAGAGTGTCATCTATACTGTTAGTTTCTGTTTCTGAATGGTCCGTACATTTTCTTATGTCTTTTATCTGTATGCATCTTATTTCTTCCTCAGCTAGCTTTCTTAACATGTGTTACCCATATGTCATTATAATCTTTAGGTAGTTGTCTTAATAAATGCTACCTGTAAAGCCTATGAGAAAGAGTTAAAATGGTAGAGTAAGCAAAATTCTGAACTGGAGTTCTACTTCAGCAGTACTTCACCTTAACATTCTGGCTACTCTTCTTTTACATCCTGGCTATGAGACCAGAGTTCTGGACTTCACTTTCCCCAGTGCATGCTAACTGTGCCTGTGCAAAAAGTATGTAAGTGTAATTACACACCCTCCTCTTGCACCACCCATTCACTAGCATTTATTATGCATGAGACACTGAATTAGTTACTACGGGCATAAAAGACTGAGTAAGCTACTCAAGATCTGTTGGGAGTTTATTCTTTTAGTAGGAGAGAAAAAAATACACAGAAAAATAAATGTCAGTGCAGAGCAATGTTGAATTTGCAGTCTAAGACCTTTTTATTGAAAGTGTTTCCTGAGGACCAGCATCACCTGGGAGTTGAAAATGCAGAATCTCAGGGCTGCAGAACTACTGAACCAAAATCTCCATTTTGCCAAGATCCTAGGTGATTTGTTTGTGCATTTAAGCATGAAAAACACTGGCAGAAGGGTTTAGAGAATGGGGATATCTCTTCCAGCTGTGGACAAAGGATTTCATGGAGGAGAGAGCCTTGAAGGAGAGAAGGATTTTGATGGTGGTGCTGGTGGCTAGGAGGAGGTTATCCTGGGCAAAGGCAGAAAGCAGCGAAGATAGCATTTTGAGTGGTCAGATTTATGAGGGTACAGCATTAATGTAGTGTAGTGTAGTGAGAACCAAGGGTTCTGTAGATTAGACTGCCACTAGGGTTTAGTTTTAAAGATAAACATTGGTTACACAAGGAAAAAAAAATTGTGTGTGTGTGTGTGTGTGTGTGTGTGTGTGTGTGTGTATGTATGTATTATGGATTCATGGCTTCCTGTTCTATTCACTGGAGTTATAATATATTACCATCATTACTTATTTGGATATTTAAATTATCCCTGATTTGGTCAGTGTGAACTCTTGCACTCTGACATCTATATCCTTTTCACATGTTCCCATCATTTTGTGACACTTTCTTACTTTCTGGTACAAGATAGTCTTGGTTCATATTGCACTTTGCCTGCTCTAGCCCTGGAATCTGCCATTTTTCTGAGGAAGTCTTAGTCTTTCTAATGGAGAATGGTATTTAAGAACCAAGATTTCGGTGCTTTGTGTACTCATTGTAGTTGGGATGTCATGCTTCCAGGACTGAGGAATGTGTATACACATGCATGTATGCATTTATGTCTGTATTTTTATAACACCTCAATTGGAGATATATATATATTTCCAGTGATATCTACAATTCTAATTCCATAGGGTTCATTCTTATTTTCTCCCTTTCCCTATTTATCCTTTTCTGGCAGTGACAAACTTGATTCCTGTTGTTCTGTATGTATGTGTCTGTGTATGTGTGTATGTATGTGTGTGTGTGTGTGTGTATGTATGTGTGTGTGTATGTATGTGATCCATCTCCATATGTGTAACTAATCTCTTATCACCGTGGCTGCTGCCCTCCCTCCCCATTCCCATGCCATCCTCACCACATCTGTACTCTCCCACCCCATGCCAGGCTGCCTGGCCATATAGAAGCCCTCCTTACCTTACTAGAGGTTTGATCCCTCTACTAGTTCACTGCACCCCCACCCTACTTCTGCTCTGATCCTGGTGCTCTTCTGTAGGCCACATCTCTCCCTTTTCTTCCTAGCCTGCCTTGTGTTAGGACTGAACTGATGGGAAGAGGCATAGCTTTTATCTCTCTAGACCTTGTGGCTCGTTCAGAGAAGTCATACAAACTTGGATTAGTTCATCCTTAACCTGGAAGGAAAGGAGATGCTGGAGCTTTTCCCTGGGGCTTTGGCGTTTCCCTTTCACATGGAGGTTTTTCACCCAAGTCCCACATCACATATACACCATCTCTTTCTGGTTGCTGGTGCTTCTAGGGTGCTGAGTGGAAATCCACTGAGCCTCTTGGGCTCCCAGACAGCTGGGGCAAGTCCTAAGTACTCCTGAAGATGCTGGTTCCAAGACATAGAATATGGAACCCAGGCAACTTAGTAGAAAAACTGAACAAGGCCGCCACTTTCATGTTCTATCCCAAACTGGAGAGGGGCTCAGAAAAGGTACCTTGATTCCACAGGTAGACAGATGTCTTCCTCTGCTTCTCCCCAGCTTGACTGCTCCAGTGCAAGCTGTCATCCTTTGTCTTTTTGTCTTTGGGCAGGGAGGACTGGACTCCATCTCAGTTGGCAGTGGGGGACTGGTGGAGGAGGGAGGGAGAGTAGTGACTATTAGGAGGTTGGGGAAGGGGTGTTCTTTAAGTTTCCTGCTAGGGTTAGTCACAGCCACAGGGTTTCTTTCAGGGGATCTTGTTCTACCCATGGGAATGCCAGAGGTTCCCAACTGATGGGCTCCAAGGTTGGGTAGGGGGCAAGGGTGGCAGCTGCAAACCTGGGTTCAGTGGACACATTGTTGAAAAGTATCTTTGCCACCTTGATGTGTGTGTGTGAGAGAGGGTATCTTACTGTTTTAATTTGCATTTAATTTTGCATTTAATTTGAAATATATTTATGCATGTTACTTTTAGCAAGTAATTTTCCTGTTGCCATTTTTCTCAGTCCTTTGATGCTATTTCATTTATTGTTAATTTTTTAATATTATTTTTGATAGCCACCACAATGTTTGAAGCTGGAAAGGACAAAGTAAATCCAGATGAATTTGCTGTGGCACTTGACGAAACTCTTGGAGACTTTGCGTTCCCAGACGAATTTGTCTTTGATGTTTGGGGAGTCATTGGTGATGCCAAACGAAGAGGATTATGATGTGTACACTCCATCTCTGAAGAAACAACCCATCGTTCTTTTTTTTCTCTTTTTTAAAAAGTCCTATAAGATCTGTTTTTGGACACCTTTACTAACTCTGGTTTAATTTCATGTGTATGGAATATATTCTTTGAAATATAATTTTGGTAATTTTGATTTCTGGGCACTTTTTAACATTGCTGATGTAGTATGCTTAAGAGAAATGACCTAAATAAGGATCAATTGTAATATTCATTCAAAAGGTTTTTAAAAGTAAGTTTTAAGGAGTATTTCTCGACAGATGATTTTCTTCTCCATTAATACCCATGCTTTGTTTTTCACATATAAATAGATGATTTCAATAGCTTTGTAGTTTTTTTTCAAAATCTTAATGTAAACTAGGATTGGAGTATGATTTACCTCATAGTATCTTCACTGTGTTATCCTAGTTTGAACAGGATATGTTCAGGAAATGAAAGGTGAATTATGCCCCTTATTGGTCTAGAAGCATTGGTTTTTTTTTGATCCTCTGAGTAAGGGAAGGAAGATTCCTGTGGCATGTTGATTTCTATGGCCAACTTTCTCTCTTTGTAAAACAAAGATTGATTGATTTTCTTGTATGCTTCTTTATACATGCTCTTAAAACTTGTGGTTGAAATCTGTGCTGTGTGTGTGTGTCTCTGCATGTGTAAAAGAAGGGTAAAAAAGAGATGGGTAGGGTAGAACTACTTGCATTTGATTTTTTTTTCAGTCCTTAAAACATTATTTCTTTTTTTCACTCATAGCCACTTTTATGTTACCTTTTATAAGCACTCCAGGGAAGATTTTATATTTTTTTGTAGAGTTTTTGGAAAGATATTTACTCAAAATAACTATGCTTTAGAACTTTTTTTTTTTTTTTTTTTTTGGTTAAACAGCAGCACTTTTTAGTTCCCTAAACTTTAGAAGAAATGCTATCAGAAATAGATTTCCTTCCAGTGGAAAGAAAGGAGGAAGGGAGAATTGAGAAAATATATTAGTCTATTATTTTAGAGTTCTAATACACTCTAAATTAAAGAGAAAATTGAGAGTAAATGACTGTCTTATCACTCTTATTTGACATTTCGTAGGTGTAAGAGAAATGGAAATGAATGGTTTCAACAAAGATCATTTAATACAGCAGAGCATGGCATGACCAAGCATCTTTGTAAAGTGTTAGATGGAAAATGCTGTGTGCTGCCATGGTAATCAGAAATAATAACCTGTTAGGGATGTATTCTAGGAAATCAGAAGTAGTTCTCTTTTCTTGCTGGATTATTGCTTAGATAACTCTTGTTTTCTGGTAAAACTTTAGTTGTATTGCCATCCACTCCTTTTTCAAATGAGTTTAATGCCATAAAGCTGATATTCTTTGTCCGATTAATTTGAAATCTGCACAGAAGCTGTTTTAGTCATTAATGTGTAACAAAAGTAGCTTATAGAATATGGACTGCCTTATTGCTGTTGCTTATCATTTGAAAATAAAATCCAGCTCAGGTTGTAACTTGTTGGTACTCGTTTAGTGAGTTCGTTTTGGAGGTTCTGAAATACCTATTAATTCTTAATATTACCTCTCTTGGAAAGACACAAAAAAAGAGCTGTTATTTTTAGGCATAAGATGACTTAGGAGGCCCATAGAAACATTCTCGTTTAAACAACAACAACAAAATAAATTTATCAGCACTAGATATTAGATTTGAAATAAGTCATTGTTCATTATTGATGGTTGTCAGTTTCTCCTTCCTTTTTGGGCATGCATAAAGACACACTTGGTGCTGATTCCATGTGATTTATGGAATGTCATTTTCACAATGATCTTTCTAGAATTTGTGTGTAAGGTTGTGATATCCATGTACAGCTGTAACTATATATACTTGTCTGTTAGCATTCAGTGGACCATTATCATTACTATCATCACATTACCTGGGCTTCAACTGGGCCCAAGTACTCTATATACTGCCTGTAATAGGTTTTTCCTTGAAATATCCTTATCTTTCACCTCTACAGCTAAACTGATAACAAGGTCAGTTTCTTTATGTCATTTTATTCCCATACCTAAAATTGCATCTATTTGTGAGCTTTCTGCCTTTTTGTAACGCTCAGTGCACCAAAAGCGTCTGTTTTTAGTGCAGTCACATAATATATAAGTGTGGGATACCCTTCTGCAGCTTCAGTGAGACAAATCACTTTTTAAAAAACATTCCATTTTATTGGCATCACTAGATGTTTTTAGGACCCTGTCCTTTTCACTTTTCTGTAGGCTTTTTTTTTTTAAATGGAAGATGATTATTTTGTTTGTTCTTGATTTCCTGTTATTGAAAACAGCATCTTCCTTCTTGCAATGGCCACTAATAGCACACAATGCGTTTTCTTTGATTGTAGCAGAAAATGCAAATGATAATTGTATGTTGGGCTCGATGAGGCCTTGAACATAGCTGAGTCCTAATCAGATGTATATACTCTGATGATTACAAATAGGTACATGTTGGGTTTCTGTGATGTTTCAAAAATACAATTATATAATTATGATGTAAACTCTTTAAGAATTCAATTATAAAAGCAATAATCAGGTAACCTCTATTTGGAGCTGCTACATCCAATATTGTGACTGAAAATTAACTAAAGAGAGATAATTTTTCAAATGATGTATAATTTGCAATATTTTCCCTTGCAACTTTAGCAAATACACATATTCCAAGTAAAACTTTATTTAGTCCCATGTTATTTATTTGTTTATTATTGACAGGGTCTCACTCTGTTGCCCAAGTGGGAGTGCAGGGGTACACATATTCCAAGTAAAACTTTATTTAGTCCCATGTTATTTATTTGTTTATTATTGACAGGGTCTCACTCTGTTGCCCAAGTGGGAGTGCAGGGGTTTGATCATGGCTCACTGCAGCCTTGACCTACCCAGGCTCATGTGATCCTCCCACCTCAGCCTCTCAAGAGCTGGGACTATAGATGTGCACCACCATGTCCAGCTAATTTTTGTACTTTTGTAGAGATGGGGTTTTGCCATGTTGCCCAGGCTGGTTTCAAACTCTTGGGCTCAAGAAGTCTTCCCGCCTTGGCCTCCCAAAGGGATTACAAGCACGAGCCACTGCACCAGGCCAGTCCCATGTTATTTATTGCTAGACCTTTATCACTTCTAGAGACTCCCTGGTCTCCTTCAATTATTGCCTGTCTAACGTAGTAGCAAAATGGAGTTTTCAACGTAATGGTTCTTCTAAAAAGAGTACAGTTATCAACCAAAGATGTAAAAGATTGATCATATAATGGCCCTTTTGCTCTGTGATATATCTAAATATATATGGATACCAATAACATTGCCATTACTCTGGTGGAGATACTAGGTTAGAAGGACAGTTAAGTGTTTTACCCAAGCTATTAGTGAATAGAGACACAAGAGATGCTATTCAACTCACAGTTCCAAGTATTAGTGCCCTGTATAAAATGCACATTTATTATCTTCTTGACACAGATTGAAGGAGATAAAGTAATTACAAGTTCTTACACATGTCATGGTGATAAAATATTTCTAAAATTGTGAAGTGTACAAAATGGTACAGCCTGTCCCTACCCTATTACCTGAAAACCTAGTTCTAAGAAATGACTCATGGTTATTATCTGCTAGGAGTGTGAAAATTGAATGTGACATCTTTAATTCAGTTGGATACAGTCTTCATAAGACTTAAGTATAACCATAGATATTTTTCAAGCAGTAACAGAAAGGAGAAATTTGAAAAAACTTCTTAAAGGTAATTTTGAGTCAATATTTAATGTTTTGAACTGTTTGTGCCATGCAATAGTATTGACTATGCAGATAAAACATTCTATTTTTGTGGGAAAAAAAGGTTTTTCTTTTTTTGATGAAAATCATTACTTAAACTTTAAAAACTTTTGAGATTGAAATTTGAGAGTCTCTTAATATATGAAAGTGTAAATTATATTTTGGAACCATTCTAAAATGTATTGTTTACTATATTTATATTAATAGATGTACAGATTTAGTCATATGTTGATCAAAAAGTGAATTATTTGTAAAGCTATTTTATATATATATATATGGTTTTTTTTTTTTTTTTGAGACGGAGTTTCACTCTTGTTGCCCAGGCTGGAGTGCAGTGGTGCCTTCTTGGCTCACTGCAACCTCCGCCTCCAGGGTTCAAGCAATTCTCCTGCCTCAGCCTCCCGAGCAGCTGGGATTACAGGCACCTCCCACCATATATTTAAAATATGACTCCTTAAAATAAGTACTTTTTCATGAAAAAACTGATGACTATTTTCATCATAAATAGAGTTAGAGTTTTAATAATTTTAGACTCTTTAATATTGTTTAAATAAATGATAAGGATAACACATGTGATTGTTCAGGCCTTTATGGTTTTAACATATCTTTGGTATATTTTTTCTTAACATATTTTATAGAAGGTATAACCTCTAAGTTCTATTTAAAATCCCCAAATTATTTGCCGTGATTCAGTAAAGATGCATAGATAAGCACTGCCATAATACTGTTAATATAAAATAGTCATAAGCTGTTTGTATTATAAGATGGAGGTTTACCCAGGGTGACACTTTATCCTTTGTTCCTTCATTCAACAAGTATTGTGGGAGTAGTTTCCGAACAATAGTGTAAGTCGATAAGTAGAAGAAATGTCAACCTATAGTTGTTAGGCAGTATGCCTTTGGGATTTATTATCTTCATTGATACAGTTTGAAAGGCCTATTAGAGCTGTTGGAAATCCTTGCAAATACTATGCTAATTCCATATGTTAAGGGGGGCCCAGCAATCTGCATTTTGACATGTCCTCCAGGTGATCCTAATGGAGGTGAATCCTAGACCTTTACTTTGAGGTCTCTGAAGGCCCTGACGTAGCACTACAGTGAGAAGATAGACATGACTTCAAGAACTTATGATCTGTCAAGGTAAGCAGAGACATGAAGAGATTTCTAATACAATCAGATAAGTGCTAACATGGACTATAAGGTAGTATGACAAAACGCTGCCTATGACAGTAGGATAGCTCTTAATTTTACAAAGTAGCCAATTTTCTAAATATAACTTGGTATGCTGGAATAATTGGTTACCTTAGTGAAATAGACTTCTTGATTGACACACTATGGATTAATCCATATGATGGTTTTGCCTCGGTTTATATGCAGTGTTTGATGCTTACCAACGATACAAATAAATATTAGCTATTTACTTACCCTTGTAAGGTATTTTATCCTCTTATAGTTTTGCAGACGAGGATCTTCTGAAACAATGGTTTTCAAAGAACATTTCTGCTTTTCGTGGAATGGAATTGCTATGCACGATAAGAAGACTGGCCTCTCTCAAAGACAGCAAGTGCTATGGTTTTGATTATGCAAAAGCTAAGCTTATAAAAATGCTACTTTAATTCTCCTTGTCTAGATTTTCTTTTAGCCAGCATCCCTTCATGTATGAGGTAGGGTACTGAACACAATTTATGCTTTATCTTATATGTCATCTGAAAAATAATGTTTCTGATTTTTAAAAATTACAGATTCAGTGAATTAATTTAGCCTTGGAAAGTGGTTTCCCTAAAAGTTAGAATTTCTACCCCCTTGTGGTTTAGATAGGTTATTATATACATAGTTTGATTAGTTTTAATTCTTAACAACTATTCAGTGAAAAGTAAATGGAAATATACAAATGAAATAAACCAAATACTTTCTTTCCCATAAAGCAAAACATGACCTCTTCTGCAGTAGCACTGGAGAAAAATGCGGAAATAAAATTCTGCAAATTCGGGGAATGGTGGAAGAATGCTGTGATATTTGAGAGAAGGTCCATGGGCACCTCGTAGCCATCTTCTGGCAACATCCCTCCTTTCTTACTCTTTTCTTTGCTGGCTCTCTTCTTCTTTATTCAGCCTCCCTCCATGGAGGCTCCTCAGGTGTCTGACCTGGGTTCCTTTCCCCCACCCCACCCTCTTTTCTTAGGTGACTCATTTATTCCCATGGCTTTTAACATCTTTATGTTTATGACTCCAAAGTACATATCCACAGTCCAGACCTCTCCTCTGAGCTCGGAACTCAATTCCACTTCTTCCTTGACATCTCCACTTGGTGTCTTGAAACTTTAGCATGTCCAGGATAACACTTTAGATTTTTCTTAAAAGTTTTGTTTCTTTCAGTTTTCTCTGACAGGAAATGGCATCAGAATTCCCCTCACTGCTCCTTCACCTGCTGCACCAAATGCATCAGCAAGTTCTTTTCATTGTATCTCCAAACTACTTCCCCAATATGGCCCTTCTTCTCGGTTTCACTGTCACATCTTCACATCTCTGGGCTGCTGCTCCTTCTTCAGCTCCTGCCCTCCTCCATTTTGGACTGTGAAAATGCTATGGCAGGACATGAGGGTGAAGCTTTTTTTTTCCCTAAGTGAGAATGTAAATGTCTCATTTCTTTCTTCTCTGGAAGGGCTTGATATTAAGCCCCTCTGTCTCTGAGGGAAGAGACACTTGTTTTTGGATGATTCATCTTCTGCCACTGTAGGGCCCACAGAGTCTACTGTGAGAAAGCTGGAAGGACAGAGGAGGCAAAAGGAAGAACTTTCACAGGTGTAGACTAAAGGCTATAAAGAATGTGTGTGTGTGTGTGTGTGTGTGTGTGTGTGTGTGTGTGTGTGTGTGTGTTTAGGATGGGGAGAGTGATGCCTTTAGACATTCAAATAGAAGAAGACTGGTCCTTGATTTTTCATACGCATATTGTGGCCACATGGAGCGTTTAGACAGGAACAAAAGTCTTCAAAAGATCCTGATCTTTCAGCATGGCACAGATCAGGAGGAGTTTTTTTTATAGTGACCACAGCGAGGTGTGGGGTGGGAACACTGGAAGGGTTCTTGGAAACAGAAACAATAGGATGGAGATATACATACAGCTCCAAACAGAAACAGTAGGATGGAGATACACACACACACACACACACACACACACACACACACACACACGTATATATATATAGATGTACATATAGATATACACACACATCTCCACATATATACCTACACAAAGACAAATATATAGATATGAACATTATAGGAATTGGTTCACATGGTTATAGAGGCTAAGTCCTCGAAAGTCTGTTATCGACAGCCCCGAGAACCAGGAAAGCTGGTGGTGTAATTCAATGTGAGTCCTAAAGCCTGAGAACAAAGGTGAGGATTTTGCTTGTCAGCAGCCTTGCCTGTTACTGTCCAGCTGGAGTGTCACCCCATCAGCCTAGACTTTTTTGGCTTATATCTGTGGATGCCCCACTCCCAGCCTCTTTATTTGCGATGACATGACCTAACACATGTAAGACTTAGAAAAAGAGAGGTGGTTCCCTGGACACCTGGTGGAATGGTGGGGAAGCCTTTGTGCCTGCACTTGGGAGGCTGACCTAAAACTAGCATGAGAACCCTGTCTAGGATATGAGAGAATGATCCTTTCTGCTACACATTAATGGGATCACATCCCTCCTCTTCAGGCTTCTTTAGTGGCCTCTACGGCCCTGTCCACCCCATTGCCATGCTCCCCCTAGCTCTATGCCCTGGTCACATTGAACTTCCTTTCACTTTCAATATCTTACCTTTCTCAGAGCTTTTTTACTTGCTGTTTTCTCTGCCGTGAACACCCTTCCTCTTTTTGCATGGCCAGGTCCTTGTCTTCCTTTGGCTATTAGCTTAAATGCCACTTCTTTGGAGAAGGCTTTCTTGGTCTTCTTCCTTCCCTTGTTCTCTGTGTTCTCGATTTCAGCCCTTGTTTGTTTCCATCATAACACATCGCTGTTTGTAATTATTGTATTAGTAGGCTTTCTATGCTATTCTCTACTTGAATATCATTCAGGATGAGATCGTTTCTGTCTTTCTCACTGTTGTAGCTGCAGCAATTAGCATGGAGCCTGGTGTATATTGAAAATTAAAAAAAAATTGTTGATGAGGAACTTCAAATATTTGTTGAATGCTTACTGAGTGCCCAGCACAGGAAACGGATCACCTCACCTCATCTTTACCAATCCTTGAAGTAGGTAATGATTACCCCCACTTTAAAAATGAAAAAACAGGCCCAGAGAAATTAAATTATTTGCTCTAGGGCACATATTTGGTTAGTGGCAAAGACAGGATTTGAACCTGGTTTTAAGTCCTGGATTCTCTCCAAAGTTGATTCTGTTAATATTTTACCAGAACAATGTAAATTGTACTAGTCACTTGACTAAGAAAGTTGAGTAGGGGATTAAAGCCTGGAGACCAAAGTTATAGATTCAATTAACTGCTCTCTACAGCCTGAGTAAGGGAATAGCTTCACAGCGGTCAGGCCAACACGAAGTAGATTTAAATGGTTATGTGATGGATTTTAGGTTGGAAATCATATGCTCAAGGACTTTAGTGATTCTTTAGGTTTGAAAATATTAATATTAGTAATTATTGTCTGGAACTTTTTAAAATCCTGTGATCACTGGCATAATAAATTCTTACTAGTATGACTTAAGGAAAAAGATTAAGACAAGAAAGGTTCTGACCATTTCTTGGAGAATGAGGATGAGGGCTGGCCTTAGAATCCTTCCAAGCTTCTTCTGGTTAAGGTGATTTCATGGTTTAATTGATTTGACTTGGACAGTGGGTATTTTGCTTTCTGGAGTCATTATTGTTTATGTTTCAGAAAAGGATGATTTCTCTGTTCTTTAGGCTTTTTTATGACAGTATGAAAGAAAATTTTAAGAAGTAGCAGCTTGTTATCAAATACTTTGTGTGCCATTTACCATTTGAAAATGGAATTAGCATTTGAGGTTTCATGGACCATGGAAAGTTATTAACTTCTTATAAAATTCTGAGGATATTTAAGTTCTGAGAAATGAATTGGGAAGTTATATTGCTTCAGAAGCCCACTTCTGGACTAAAACTCTAATTTGTATGCCGAAGGAGTGAGTTTGTAGAGATGATTCTAAATTCCCTTAATATATTTGCTACTCAATGCTTTCCTATACATAAAGTCAGTCAATTTCAACATATTAACTTGTGCGTTAATGAATAAGGAATACTCATGAGGCTTCCCTCAATATTGAACTCAGACTGTAACTGTGTTGATTTAAAAAATGAAATCAATCATGTTCCTTTCCAGAGAATCAAATATTCATTTGTAATGGGGACATCCTTATTGAATTCCAATTTGAATGAGGTCCAGGGAAATTCTGAAATAGGAAGATAGACTGAAATAGAGACAGTGGCATTTTAAAGAGGGCTCATTCTGAAATCCTATGGAATGTGTCTGTGGTTCTCCTTTTCGACTTTTTTGATAAACATAATCACTTTGGTTTATTCTTTTAAAATTAAGTAGCTATATTCCAGAAAGGTTATTGCAGATGATCTGATGTTTATTTCACTAATTAGAAGGAGATTTTGCACTGTGTCACAACACCAAATGGCCTAGTATGGCTGAAGTTAATTCACTAGGCTATTTCTTTTTTCTACCTTGGCTGACCAGTAGGTGGCATTGCCTGCCCTGGCTGCCACTTCAAGTCTTCTGTCCGCTTGGGAACCTGAATAGCCAGTCAAGCATTTGTTATCTTCTTGTATCCATTCTGATTTGTCCAATCTGATTTTTGAATTCATTTGTGATCCTGCTAAGGATCGCCCCTTGACAACTAAAGTGTCTTTGACACCCAGATAGCTTCTTTTTCAAATCTTGGGGATTATAATCATGTAGTCCCAGAGGGTATTCAGAGTGAATGACTAATTCTACCTAACCAACCAAGGTTCCTCTAGACCTGAGAGGTGAAGAAATGACTGAGTGCTGCAGTGCTTCAGAGGTGATTATGGTTAATATTCTGTGAAAGTTACAGATGACTTCATACCAAGCATAAAATTAAATAGGTACATTAATAACTTTAAAACCTTATTCATGACTTTAAAACTTTTAAATGAGATTCAAGCAAACAGTTGTGAATTAAATTGTCCTTTGCTTGAATAAATAAAGTTGAACTTCTTTGCATTTAGTAATCAATATTAGATGATAAATCATATCACAAAAGCCTTTATTTTGTTGAGATAAAATTATGGCCAGACATCGACTCATAAGATGACTATTTTGGCAGCTCTCAGTTGAACTAACTTTTTCTTCTTTCTGATGTTTTTCAGATTCAAGTAAATTACTAACACTTTTGAGCTATAACACTGTGTATCCCTTTACTTATTGTATATTAGCTCTATTATCATCTGCTCTTACTTGGGAGACTCATTAGCTATAGTTAAATGACATTTGTTAGAAACAAGAATTTTAAAAGTTAGAACCATAATGTTGTCTAAAAATCATAAAAATATAAAACTTCTTCCTAATTGACCATATTTACCAGTTCTTGATCTAGGGACTGTATGAATGACTTCGTGCTGCTGTATGAGGTAGAGTTGCCTGTAAGAGAAGAAACTGAATCACTGATCAGTACCCTCAAGTTAGAATGTTTTCTCTGAGCTTTATAACTGGATGTGGCATATTAGAGGATTACAGGGAATAGCAGAGACATAAAAGCAAAGGGGAAGTTGAAAGGAATCAGTGGCTTCTAGAGCATTTCCCTTCACTGCACCTACTGAAAAGCCCTGTTGTAACCATTGATCTTACTTTAAATGTCTGAATTCTTCATATTACTTTGATAATAAGGATTTCATAATTTCCGGAGCTTAGTAATTGGTTCCAGGAGTAGCACAGACAATTAGGTGGTGAATGTCAGACACTAAATTTTTGTTAGATTTATTAACATAGCAGATTTGTGGCTCATTTTTACACTACTGTTTGTTTTCTCTGTCCACAGTGTTTTATTAGGTATGGCATGTTCCTCCTAATTGGAACCAAATATCCCAACCAAACATCAGAAATGGATTTTAGTAGCCTGTGAGAAATCATCTTCTCCTAATGGACAGTCACAGGGGGTTATCTATGTGCCTCATTTTCTATGGATCTGGAGAATTATGACTCATCTCTTTGAAGCCACAAAAAATCTCCACTTTGGGCATCAGTCTCATTGCCGTTGAGAGAGTATGCTTCTTTTGATGATCTTGGGACCTCTTATTGTTTCTGGGCCCGATATATGGAATTGTATAAAAACCATCCTATTAGTCAGGATTCAATGGCAGAGAACAGAATCTGCCCTGTTTTAAGCAGGAAGGGATTTAGTATAGTTTATATTAAACAAACCCCCGTAATTATTAGTAGGACTCAAGAGAAGACGCTAAGCTGAGAAGACAGACACTAGGATGAATTCCCAAAGCCTTACTCCCCAGGTGGGCTACTGAAGGAGCTGCTGCTCTGATCAGGAAGCTTCTCCTGCTGAAGTGGTACCAACTCTGGGACCACCACCAGTTCTGCCCTGTCTGCACGAGCACAGGCAATGCCTCATACCTGATCTTTCTCACAATTAACTCACTTCTGAAGTCAAGTCTTGAGTGCGTGTGACTGACAGAACTTTAATCCTATCCAGAACACATAGCTGCAAGGAAATCTGGGAAAGGTAAGCTTTAGGTTTTTGGCCATGATCGTGTAAGGCTAACACGAGGAGACTGGATTAGATGGTGAGCACGCCAATCCACATTTTTTTTTTTTTTTTGCCATTACCAGTAGTCTGTATTTAAGTCAGACCAACTCAAACTTACTTTCCAAATTGGTAAAAATCTATTCATCCAGACTTTCTTTTTTGGCATGATGGATAGTAACCAGATAGCCAGAACATATTTATATAGGTTGGTAAACTATTTGTTCTTTAAATGCTGCTATGCTTCTCCTTTTAAATAAAATCAGTACTTTAGTGAATAAGAAATAGCTAACATCTCTTGTTGAGGCATATGTGAAAGTGGTGAAGGTAACTATTGGACACAGGATAAAACAGTACCACCCAAGCAGACACCATTGCCTTAAGACAATGTCATCTATATTAGAGGATTTTATTCTTGAAGACATGAAGTAAACGTGAACATCAAAGATTAATTGTTTTGGTGACTATAGCCTTAAGTATAGTTTGAAATCAGGTAGTGTGATGCCTCCAGATTTGTTCTTTTTGCTTAGTCTATCTTTGGCTATGTGGGCTCTTTTTTGGTTCCATATGAATTTTAGAATTGTTTTTTCTAATTCTGTGAAAAATGATGGTGGTATTTTGATGGGGGTTGTGTTGAATTTATAGATTGCTTTTGGCAGTATGGTCATTTTTCACAATATTGATTCTACCCATCCATGAGCATGGAATGTGTTTCCATTTGTTTGTGTCATCTTTGATTTGTTTCAGCAGTGTTTTGTTGTTTTCCTTGTAGAGAGGTCTTTCACCTCCTTGGTTAGGTATATTCCTAAGTATTTTATTTTTATTTTTTTTGCAGCTATTTTGTAAAAGGGGATGAGTTCTTGATTTGATTCTCTGCTTGGTTGCTGTTGTTGTATAGAAGCATGGTACTGGTATAAAAATAGGCACATAGACTGATGGAACAGAAGAGAGAACCTAGAAATAAACCCAAATACTTACAGCCAACTGATCTTTGACAAAGCAAACAAAAACATAAAAGTGGGGAAAGGACACTCTTTTCAACAAATGGTGCTGGGATAATTGGCTAGCCACATGTAGGAGAATGAAACTGGATCCTTATCTCTCACCATAATCAACTCAAGATGGATTAAGGACTTAAATCTAAGACCTAAAACTATAAAAATTATAGAAGATAACATCGGAAAAACCCTTCTAGATATTGGCTTAGGCAAGGATTTCATGCCCAAGAACCCAAGAACAAATGCAGTAAAAACAAAGATAAATAGTTGGGACTTAATTAAAAGAAAGAGCTTTTGCATGGCAAAAAGAACAGTCAGCAGAGTAAACAGACAACCTACAGAGTGGGAGAAAATCTTCACAATCTATGTATCTGACAAAGGACTAATATCCAGAATCTACAACAAACTCAAATCAGTAAGAAAAAAACAATCCCATCAAAAAGTGGGCTGAGGACATGAATAGACAGTTCTCAAAAGAAGATATACAAATGGCCAACAAACATATGAAAAAATGCTCAACATCACTAATGATCAGGGAAATACAAATCAAAACCACAATGTGATACCACCTTACTCCTGCAAGAATGGCCATAATCAAAAAATAAATAAAAACGGTAGACGTTGGTGTGGATGCGGTGATCAGGGAACACTTCTACACTGCTGGTGGGAATATAAACTAGTACAGCCACTATGGAAAACAGTGTGGAGATTCCTTAAAGAACTAAAAGTAGAACTACCATTCAATCCAGCAATCCCACTACTGGGTATCTACCCAGAGGCAAGGAAGTCATTATACGAAAAAGATACTTGTACACATATGTTTATAGCAACACAGTTCGTAATTGCAAAATCATGGAACCAACCCAAATGCCCATCAATCAATGAGTGGATAAAGAAACTGTGGTATATACATACAATGGAATACTACTCAGCTATAAAAAGGAATTAATTAATGGCATTTACAGTGACCTGGATGAGATTGGAGACTATTATTCTAAATGAAGTAACTCAGGAATGGAAAACGAAACATCGTATGTTCTCATTGATATGTGGGAGCTAAGGTATGAGGACGCAAAGCCATAAGAATGCTACAGTGGACTTTGGGGACTGTGGGGGGAAGAGTGGGAGGGGGATAGGGATAAAAGACTACAAATAGGATACAGTGTATACTGCTTGGGTGATGGATGCACCAAAATCTTGTAAATCACCACTAAAGAACTTACGTAACCAGATACCACCTGTACCCCAATAACCTATGGAACACACACACACACACACACACGCACACACACACAAAGATTGTTGAGTTGTGTGGCATGTGGCATCTTGTTGGTAGACACCTTTCTCTGCATTTCTCTTTGGTGATATGGCACATATCAGGGCTACTTTTAGTTTGGAACTCAGTGGGAAACCATCCGCTGTGTTTTTGTTTTGTTTCAGTTGTATTTTAGTTGCCTTATAGGGTGATTGAAGTGTTCCAGTTTTCTTTTCTTTAAAAAAATCCTTTGTTCTGATACAAAGTCTTTTACTTGAAAGAATTTTATTAGGCTGACTTCGTTATTACAGAGTATCTCAATGCAAAGGATATAGAAAAATCATATTAAAGAACTAATAGGCTTTTAACTGATTTAAATGAACAAAGGCCTTTTTTTGCTTCCTTCTTGTCCATGCTCAAGCATCTTCCCAATCCCAATAAATTACGTATTTACTTTACAAATTGGATTTCACAGGCAATGGTAAATATTAATGATATTTTCCATTATTTATTGTAAGAACTGATCCAATTGAACGCTTTTTCTTCTTCAGTTATTCTAGACACTGTTAATTAGTGAAATTCTATCCCTGATTATTTGATTGTCAAGGCACTAGTTCAGCCATTCTCATAATAGACATTTTCACTTTTGTTTTAAAATCCGTAGATAATGTAATGTTTTAAATGTCCTATACACTGAGAAATTCATAGTGCTGTAAATCTCTTGGCTCTAAGATATAAAAGCAGCAGTGTAAGTGAAAATATCATTGCTATATCATTTAACGTACTACAGAACAAGCCCTGCACTTAGAATTTCATTTTGGCAAGAAAATGTTGTATAACATTTTAAAACTGAAAATGTACAACATTTTCAGTTTTAGGAAAAGTCTGGGATTTCCTAAGCCTATGCCTCTTGACACATTGTGGTGAAGGTTTTGGTATCTTTTTTTTTTTTTTGAGGTGGAGTCTCACTGTCACCCAGGTTGGAGTGCAGTGTTGCTATCTTGGCTCACTGCAACCTCAGCCTCGTGGGTTCAAGCTATTTTCCTGCCTCAGCCTCCCAGGTAGCTGGGATTACAGGTGTGTGTCACCACGCCTGGCTAATTTTTCTATTTTTAGCAGAGATGGGGTTTTACCATGTTGGCCAGGCTGGTCTTGAACTCGTGACCTCAGGTGATCCACCTGCCTCGGCCTCCCAAAATGCTGGGATTACAGGTGTGAGCCACCACGCCTGACCTGGTTTTTGTATCTTATAGATTCCTCTTTCTGTAGGATCTGTAAGATCCTGTAGATCTTATAGATTCCTTTTTTTCTTTTTCAATTCAGACTCTTTCACCATCTGTTACAGGTGAGAGAAATATTTGTAAACATATCCAATTAAATAATACAGTGAAGAATGGCAGAGAGAGAAATGGCTCATAATAGGAGACAACATTGCATCACAATTAAGGAAATGGGTTGAATAAATTACTTAACTCCTCCAATATTCCATTTACTCAACTCTTAAATGGGACTAATACCACCTGCTTGTTACGAGGTTGTTGTAAGGATTACATTAGGTAATATACCTAAAGCTCTTAGCACAGTATCTGGAACATACTAAATATTCAATACGTTTATTTATTACTGTTTTTTATACTCTCTGGGCAGACACTGAGTTTTCAAAAGCTGGTGGAGAGATTTCTGAATATGATGGCAGCTACCTAGAAGTGCCTGATTTGTCTTCTCCACCTTCTCATTTAAATAATCTTGAAATATATTGAAAACTAGAATATTCAGCAACAATCTGCCTTACTTGAGAAGAAATTTTGACCAATAAATGACAGAAAAAAGCTATAATTTTCTGAAAAAATCCTCAAATTGATTCACTGTGAGTAGAAAACCTGAATTATTCAATGACCCTGGGGGAATTCCCCCCCACCTTCCTAATGATGCTGTGTGCAAATAGTTAGAAAAATGGAAATTTTTAAGTTTTGGAAAAAGATAATCTTGTTTTATAGAAGCTGTTGCAGAGCACAGATATATTGTGCTGACATTTTATCAATTAATTTACAAATGTAGTGTGATGCTGACACAAAACTTGATAAAAAGGGGTTTAGAATACTTGAGCAGAAATTTGGGTCAAAGATGATCACTGGGTTAGAATATCATTATAATACTATGTTTGCAAGACATTTAATGTCGTGAGAAAATGTATTATGTTTAGTGAAAAGGGATGGCACATATCCTTATATTCAACAGGATCCTTTTTGTTAGTAAAAAAAAAAAGTAAATATTAGCTTGGTGCAAAAGTAATGGCAGAAGCTGCCATTACTTTTGCACCAAGCTAATATTAACAATAGTAAAACCTGGATAGTACAATTGTGAGTGACTTTTGTGTTTTTCCTTGTGCCTTTGTCTATTTTTGAAATTCTCTACAATGATTATGCATTATTTCTATAGTTAGAAAAGGAATATTATTTAAAAAGAAGACTCCGGCCATATCAAAATGGAGGCAAGAATATTGCAAAATTGAATTGTTTATGAAAAAAGATTGGTTAGACAATTTCCCGTGACTAACTTTGTCCTTAGTAAGCTTTGGGAGGTTTCACTTTTATTTCTTTTCTTCATTTTCGATTTAGTCCCTTAAAACATTTTTTTTTAAATGGGTGAGTTCTATCTGCTCAAGTTGTGTAGGACACCTAATTAGAATATAGCAGGTAGAATATTCCTAATTGGAATATTCCCTAGGTGATGTTTTAGTGATGAGCTTTCTGTTTGAATTTTTTTGTCTGCTTCCTGTAATGGATAAAAACGGAAGAAGGCTAGTTTACTGAATATTCAACAGCAAGTAATTTATAACAAAAGTTTAAGGTATATAAACAGAAATTCAATAAATTAATTAGAAAACACTGTTGGACTTTAAAAATAGGAAAACTTTACATGCTAACTTGTATTTACATTAATGTCAAACTAACAAATTGAATTTAGAACTATAGAGGTCTCTCCCTGCATACAACAGATACTCAATAGTACATGAAAAAATGAATTTGTTTTTAAAATTTTATTAATTTGTACTCCACTTATCTCTCTTGCCCCAAAGAGATTTCATCAAGGATTCTAGAGTATTCCTTCTCCCTTTTGTTCTTAGTCTTAACAGATAGTATTCTTACTGTGTAAGATCATTGTACCATTCTCCAATGTTCTACATCTTCAAAAAATCCACTTGTATCAGCTGAATTTCAAAATAATGTAGTATTTTAAGGATTACTTAAAATTCTACTAGGAATTTGTGAATAATATTGGTCACATATATTAATTAAATATCAGTAATACATATATTTTAGATACTGCTTTGTTGAGAGGAGAGAAAAATTTAATGTATTAATTAATAAAGTATTCAAATTCTGAAAGTATTGTGAAGAGGAAGAAAAATCACTTGAGATTTTTAATACCCAATGATAAATGCTGTTAATATTTTGGTGTGCATACTTCTGGTATTATTCCTATCTGTTTGCTTATATATTTTAACATATTGGGATCACATTATACATATCATTTTAGATCCTGATTTTTTTCATTTAACCATATAGAAGGCATTTCTAATAAATATTCTTCTACAGCATGATTTTAATGATTGAATATTATCCCATCTGATGACTGTATCATGATTTATAGTCTTCATTGTCTGGGCTTATTTGTAGCCATCCTTCTTGGGAAGGATTTCCACATATTTGAAAGAACTTGAGTGTTGTGATCTAAGCTGTTTCTCCTTTAGGGGCTACTCCAAGCCCAGTAATGCTGTGGTTCTTGCAGACTCGTAGAGGTCTGCCTTGATGCTCTTGGACAAGATCCGGGAGAATTCTCTGTATTACCAGGCAAAGACTCTTTTTCTCTTCCCTTTCTCCCAAACATACAGAGTCTTTCTAAAGCTGGGGGTGAAGTGACACAAGCACCCCTGTGGCCACCACTGCTTTGACTGTGCTGGGTCAGACCTGAAGCCAGCATAGCACTGGGTCTTGTCCAAGGCCTGCTGAAACCACTGCCTGGCTACTGTCTATGTTTGCTCAAGGCCAGGGGCTCTACAATCAGCATGTGGCAAAGCCAGCCAGGTCAGTGTCCTCTTCGGGGTGACGAGGTCCCCTAAACCCTGGGTGGGTCCAGAAGTGCCATACAGGAGTCAGGGACTAGAGTTAAAAACCTTAGAAGTCTACCTGGTGCTCTATTGTATTGTGGCTGAGCTGGCAGTCAAACAAGACACAGTCCTTCGCACTCTTCCCTCCGCTTTTCCAAAGGCAGAGGAGCCTCACTCCATAGCCACCACTACCCCTGGCCATGAGGAGTACTGTCAGACTATCATTAATGTTCCCTTATGGCCCAAGGTCTCTTAAGTCAGCTTGTCCTGAATCCTGCTGACCCTTGGAGTCACCCTTCAGGGCAGTGGGCCCTGCTCTGGTGCAGGGCAGGTCTAGAAATTCCATCCAAGAGTCAAGTCCTGGAATCAGAGACCCCAAGAGCCTTCTTGGTGCTCTACCTGCTGTGGCTGTGCTGGTACGTGAAGCCAGCAAGACTGAGAGGCTCACCCAAGGTCCTTAATGTAGTATGATGCCTCACGATTGCTGTGTTCTCTCTGCCCCTCCTCCTGCACCTTGGAGGGAGTGGTGGCCTGAGTGACTCAGGATTATTTTTTCTATCTCTTTAGTGCCTCTTTCAGCAAGATGAGGTTAAAACCAGGTACTATGAGTGCTCACCTGATTTTTGGTACTTATGCAGGTGTTTCTTTTTCTTTTTTTTTTTTTTTTGAGATAGAGTCTCGTTCTGTTGCCTAGGCTGGAGTGAAGTGGTGTAATCTCATCTCACTGCAACCTCTGTCCCCGGGTTCAAGCAATTCTCCTGCCTCAGCCTCCCAAGCAGCTGGGATTACAGGCACCTGACACCACACCTGGCTAATTTTTGTATTTTTAGTAGAGACAGAGTTTCACCATGTTGGCCAGGCTCATCTTGAACTCCTGACCTCAAGTGATTCGCCCGCCTCAGCCTCCCAAAGTGCTGGGATTACAGGCGTGAACCACTGCACTCAGCCAACAGGTGTTTCCTCTGTGTAGACAGTTGTTAACTTGGTGTCCTTGTGGGTGGTGGGGGGCATAATCGGTGGAGCCTTCTACTCTGCCATTGTGTCTGCCTCTGTATCATGATTTATGTACACTGAAAAGTTAGGTTTGTAAAAATAGCTTGTTGGTATTACAAACGACATGGAAGTTTTTCCTTTTCCCACTAAAGGGATATAAGATTCCCCAGACATATACAACCCCCCAAATCCATCAATTTATCATCATAAAAAGACAATTCTTGAATGATTTATTTTATCCCAAACTTTAAAGTGTAAAGCAGAACACTTGATTTTTATTGTATTATTTTTATAAATTTATAGACTATGAAGGAAGGGAAATTGCAGGCTATAAAAGAGGAGGACTGATTGTAAGGTATATCAGAGAAATGGAAAAAAATGCTAATTGAAAAGCATGATGTGGTAGGCAGACTTCAAAGATGGTCCCTATCTTCTGCTATTCATGCCCTTGTGTGATCTTTTATCCTTGATTGCAAGCTGGACTTAATGACTTGTGTCTAGCCAAAAGAATATGGCGAAGGTGGTGGAATGCTGCTTCTGTGATTAGGTTATAAAATATAGTGCCTTCTGTCTTGCTAGCAGATCCTCCCTGTGGTTTTCTCAGCTTGCATGCTTTGATGAATTGAAGTAAGCTGCCATGTGGAAGAGGTGCATTGTTAAGGAAATGAGGGCAACCTCTGGCCACTAGCTAGCAAGGAAGTGAGGTCCTTTGCCCAACAGCCTGTGAAGAAGTGACTGCTATGGACAATCACTGCGTGAGCTTGGGAAGTTGCTCCTTCGTCAGTCAGAGCTTCAGATGAGACTGCAGACCCACATCAACACCTTGACAGAGACTGCAACCCAGAGGACCCAGATAAGCCGTGCCCAGACTCATTTCCCATAGAAACTGAGATAGAAAATGTGTGTTGTTTTAAGTTGCTAAGTTTTGGGGGTAAATTGTTATGCAGCAATACACAATAATACAGATTTGACTAGAAAAAGGAGGCAAGAGCAAATTCAAAGGCCATGAAAAAGATGCATATACTGAACATTGTAGAAAATATTGAACTTTTACTTTTTCAGGATATCTTTTGCTGACTGGATGATAGTAGCTATTTTCTTTATACAATTATTTTAAATCTAATAAAATAACGTTCTTATAAAACTAAAAATATGGAAAAGTTCAAAGTAAAAGTAAAAATTACATAATTTCATCACCAAATATAATTATAATTATTAATTATTATTTTGGTTTATCTTTGTCTTCTCTCTGCCTTTTTTTCCTACAAAATCAGGATTGTACTCTAATAGTGTTTTGTATCTTGTCTTCTAATCTACCACATATTACAGACAGTTTCAATTTCATATTCTTCCACAACATCTTTTACATGGCTGCATGGTTGCCTGTTGTCTGATGTTTTATGGTTTATTTAATCACACTTCTATTATTAGACACAATACTATATTTAAATACACAAAATTGGACTACCCCAGAAAATCAAGGTTACATGGATGACAGTTGTGTTTTGTTTCAGGCTTTGCTTTATCTCAGAGACATGATATATTTTCAGAGCTGAAGGAAGACATAATTTTTAAAGCCAGTTCTCCCAGGTAGACTGCACATTACTCTCTAGAAAGTCTCATCAGGGCCATTTCTGTCTCATGTTAGATGAAAGGACTCGATAATTGAACCAAATGACTGACTAGTGGTAACAAGTTTGGGAAAATATTTAGCAGCTATGACCTCGTTATTTAAAAAGTCTTAGACTTTGGGGGAAAAGATGTCACATTGTGAAATCTAGCTGTTGTAAAGCCATAGAGAAATGTCAGAATAAAATACCTGCCTCTTGTCTGCTTTAGTTGAACTTTAAGACTCAAGCAGTTGACCAGGCCAGTGGGACAGAGATCACACTAGAACCAGGAGGGACATGTGCTTGTGACCATGATTTTCACCCTTTGACACAGAAGTAATATACATGTGATATTTTTCAGTTTTTTCTGATTTTTATTCTTGTCTTTTTCAGTGTTATCTAAAATCAGTTTCAAAACAGATGTTTAAAAATTTAAAAAACATATATCAGAATTTCCCAAATAACTATTTTCCTAAATATCATACTGTACCTCCTTGGTTTTTGGCAAGTAATTTTTAAATTGAAGTTGGATGTAAAATTACCAGCAACTTAACAAATGCTAAATTCAGACTTTCTTTGCTTATCTCCAGACACATTTCATTAAACATAAAAAATTAACAAAACATGGATAGTCAGGCACCTGATGCAGTGTTTTGCTCTAGAATCTAGCTGATATGTTAATGCCTGTCCAATTCTAAATTTCTGTGATTTTATAACTTCATCAGTAAGAGTGGTTAGAAATATTACTGTGTGACTCCTAAGGTGGGGTTCAGTTTTCATTCATCTCTGACCACACCTCAGTCCTAATGAAGTCTCCTTTTTTATATCTGCTCCTAGTGAGTTGACTTTGTGTCCACACAATTTGACTTTGATGATTCTTTCAAAAAAGTGGGATTTGAAGAATCTCAAGGCACTTTTTCCAGATGCAAAGTTCTGGACCCTGTGTCCTGGGCTAGCAATTGTGCTCTTGTTCTGAAAGCTTTGAGATGAAGAATTTATTTAATTGAAGCTGTACATGTATTGATTGTGAAATTTTTGGATTTCTTCCCAGGAAATGTACTATATGAAATGGAAAGATTTTTGTATTGCCATAAATATATCTACATGGGAATTCTTGTGGCTTTGAAGAGTGTCCAACCTCTGATTGCATCAGAATTCCCATAATGCTATACATAAAGTAAAGCTGACCTTGCATTTCTAATTAGAACTGAGAGGAACAGAAATCCTAGTGTGTGTGTTTTAAAAAAATATTTTTCAAGTTGAAGACAAAGCCCAAATATTTGAAGGTGGTAGAAAGAAATATCAGAAAAGGACAATTTGAAATGAATATTATTTTCCCCTAATTAACCTAGAAAGGTTACACAACTTTTTAGGGGAAAAAAAAATGCCAGGTGAATGGGGAATGTATATAGTAGGGGTTCTTAAATATTCAATTTTTGATATATTCTATTGCCATAGGGAAGAATTTAAGTATTTCTTGAACTAAAGAAACATCAGGCTTTGATCCAAGATAAAATTTTGGAGTCTCAGCTTCTGTGCCTACTAAGCCTGTAACCAAGCCACATGACATGCCTGGACATCACATGCCTTTCTTTTACCTTCTATTCCCTTCTGCTAAATTACCTTTCTAAAAGTATCCATTTTTTTTCAGCTTCAAAACAATTTAATGAGCACTTATTATGTAGGTTTGCATTATACCTCATGCTGGGATCATAGATGTGTGATCCCTGCTCTCAGGGGAAGCCTAACTCAGACGTAGACTTAACTCTGACTGTTAGCTCTGAATGTAGGATATGGTCGTTTGTTTTAGACATCACTTTTACAAACCTGAAGTTTAATTTCTTTTTTTAACCAGGCATTTTATTTGCTGCTGCTTGTAATTTTGTCAATAATCATCACCACCTGATTTAAGTTGTCCTTTCTGCCTCCTCAGTACTCATTTCTCTCACTCAGGCATTTTTCCCTTGTCTTTGTCAATATGGTGAATATGAAAAACAATAAACTTAAGTAAGATATTTTATCAGAAAGATTAACTCTGAAAGAGTTAATGTTAAATTTATTATGTCTTAGTAAGTTAGAGCATTCCCTGAGGACATAGTAATTGAAAGTCTACATTTAAATTAGACTTTAAATGTTGACTTTCAATTACTAACTTTGAAAATAAGAGATACAAATGTAAATGACATCCCTAATTGCTATAAAGGGAATTGTAGGTTCTTAAGAATTTGGGACTATGAAGTACTATTATTAAATTCCAGACTAGTAAAGTTACTATAAGAAAAAGAGTTGAGAGAAAAGTTTGTTTTAAAATGTTATGTATGGTGATCTTGGCTCACTGCTACCTCCGACTCCCGGGTTCAAGCAATTATCCTGCCTCAGCCTCCCGAGTAGCTGGGATTACAGGCACATGCCACCATGCCCAGCTAATTTTTGTATTTTTAGTACAGATGGGGTTTCACCAAGGATCCGTTCCAAGATGGCCGAATAGGAACAGCTCCGATCTGCAGTTCCCAGCATGATCAACACAGAAGATGGGTGATTTCTGCATTTCCAACTGAGGTACCTGGTTCATCTCATTGGGACTGGTTGGACAGTAGGTGCAGCCCATGGAGGGCAAGCTAAAGCAGGGCGGGGCATCACCTCACCAGAGAAGTGCAAGGGGTAAGGGGATTTCCCTTTCATAGCCAAAGGGAAGCCATGACAGACTGTACCTGGAAAAAACGGGACACTGCCACCCAAATATTGCACTTCTCCCAAGGTCTTAGCAACCAGGAGACAAGGAGATTCTCTCCTGTGCCTGGCTCAGTGGGTCCCACACCCATGGAGCCTTGCTCACTGCTAGCGCAGCAGTGTGAGATTGAACTGTGAGGCGGCAGCCTGGCTGGGGGAGGGGCATCCGCCATTGCTGAGGCTTGACTAGGTAAACAAAGCAGCTGGGAAGCTCGAACTGGGCAGAGCCCACCACAGCTCAACAAGGCCTACTGCCTCAGGACTCCATCCTCTGTGGGCAGGGCTTAGCTGAACAAAAGGCAGCAAATAACTTCTGCAGACTTAAACCTCCCTGTCTGACAGCTGAAGAGGGCAGTGGTTCTCCCAACATGGCGTTTGAGCTCTGAGAACGGGCAGACTGCCTCCTCAAGTGGGCCTGAACACTGTGTAGCCTAACTGGGAGACACTCCCCAGTAGGGGCCAACTGACACCTCATAAAGCCGGGTGCCCCTCTGGGACAAAGCTTCCAGAGGAAGGATCAGGCAGCAATATTTGCTGTTCTGCAGCCTCCGCTAGTGATACCCAGACAAACAGGGTCTGGAGTGGACCTCCAGTAAACTCCAACAGACCTGCAGGTGAGGGACCTGTTAGAAGGAAAACTAACTAACAGAAAGGAATAGCATCAACATCAGCAAAAAGATCATCTACACCAAAACCCCATCTGTAGGTCACCAACATCAAAGACCAAAGGTAGATAAAACCACAAAGATGGTGAGAAACCAGAGCAGAAAATCTGAATATTCTAAAAATCAGAGCACCTCTTCTCCTCCAAAGGATTGCAGCTCCTTGCCAGCAATGGAACAAAGCTGGATGGAGAATGACTTTGATGAGTTGACAGAAGTAGGGTTTAGAAGGTCGGTAATAACAAACTTCTCTGAGCTAAAGGAGCTTGTTTGAACCCATCACAAGGAAGCTAAAAACCTTGAAAAAAGGTTAGATGAGTGGCTAACTAGAATAAACAGTGTAGTGGAGACCTTAAATGACCTGATAGAGCTGGAACCATGGCACGAGAACTTCGTGATGCATGCACAAGCTTCAATAGCCAATTTGATCAAGTGGAAGAAGGGGTATCAGTGATTGAAGATCAAATTAATGAAATAAAGTGAGAAGAGAAGTTTAGAGAAAAAAGAGTAAAAATAAATGAACAAACACTCCAAGAAATATGGGACTATGTGAAAAGACCAAATCTACGTTTGAAAGTGATGGGGAGAGTGGAACCAAGTTGGAAAACACTCTTCAGGATATTATCCACGAGAACTTCCCCAACACAGTGAGGCAGGCCAACATTCAAATTCAGGAAATACAGAGAACACCACAAAGATACTCCTTGAGAAGAGCAACCCCAAGACACGTAATTGTTGGATTCACCAAGGTTGACATGAAGGAAAAAATGTTAAGGGCAGACAGAAAGGTCGAGTTACCCACAAAGGGAAGCCCATCAGACTAACAGCGGATCTCTCAGCGGAAACTCTACAAGCCAGAAGAGACTGGGGGCCAATATTCAACATTCTTAAAGAAAAGAATTTTCAACCCAGAATTTGATATCCAGCCAAATTAAGCTTCATAAGTGAAGGAAAAATAAAATCCTTTACAGACAAGCAAATGCTGAGAGATTTTGTTACCACCAGGCCTGCCTTCCAAGAGCTCCTGAAGGAAGCACTAAACATGGAAAGGAACAACTGGTAACAGCCATTGCAAAAACATGCCAAATTGTAAAGACTGTCGATGCTAGGAAGAAACTGCATCAATTAATGAGCACAATAACCAGCTAACATCATAATGACAGGATCAAATTCGCACATAACAATATTAACCTTAAATGTAAATGGGCTAAATGCCCCAATTAAAAGACGCAGACTGGCAAATTGGATAAAGAGTCAAGACCCATCAGTGTGCTATATTCAGGAGACCCATCTCATGTGCAAAGACACAAATAGACTCAAAATAAAGGGATGGAGGAAGATCTACCAAGCGAATGGGTAACAACAACAACAAAAAAAGCAGGGGTTGCAATCCTAGTCTCTGATAAAAACAGACTTTAAACCAACAAAGATCAAAAGAGACAAGGCCATTACATAATGGTAAAGGGATCAGTTCAACAGGAAGAGCTAACTATCCTAAACATATATGCACCCAATACAGGAGCACCCAGATTCATAAAGCAAGTCCTTAGATACCTCCAAAGAGACTTAGACTTCCACACAATAATAATGGGAGAGTTTAACACCCCACTGTCAATATTAGACAGATCAATGAGACAGAAGGTTAACAAGGATATCCAGGACTTGAACTCAGCTCTGCACCAAGCAGACCTAATAGACATCTACAGAACTCTCCACCCCAAATCAACAGAATATACATTCTTCTCAGCACCACATCACATTTATTCTAAAACTGACCACATAGTTGGAGGTAAAGCACTCCTCAGCAATGTAAAAAAACAGAAATCACAACAAACTGTCTCTCAGACCACAGTCCAGGACTAGACGTATTCACAGCCGAATTCTATCAGAGGTACAAAGAGGAACTGGTACCATTCCTTCTGAAACTATTCCAATCAATAGAAAAAGAGGAAATCCTCTCTAACTCATTTTGTGAGGCCAGCATCATCCTGATACCAAAGCCTGGCAGAGACACGACAAAACAAGCGAATTTTAGACCAGTATCCCTGATGAACATCGATGCAAAAATCCTCAATAAAATACTGGCAAACCAAATCCAGCAGCACATCAAAAAGCTTTTCCACCACGATCAGGTCGGTTTCATCCCTGGGATGCAAGGCTGGTTCAAAATACGCAAATCAATAAACATAATCCATCACATAAACAGAACCAACAACAAAAACCACACGATTATCTCAATAGATGCAGAAAAGGCCTTCAACAAAATTCAACAGCCCTTCATGCTAAAAACTCTCAATAAACTAGGTATTTATGGAACATATCTCGAAATAAAAAGAGCTATTTGTGACAAACCCACAGCCATTATCATACTGAATGGGCAAAAACTGGAAACATTCCCTTTGAAAACTGGCACAAGACAAGGATGCCCTCTCTCACCACTCCTATTCAATATAGTGTTGGAAGTTATGGCCAGAGCAATCAGGCAAGAGAAAGAAATAAAGTGTATTCAATTAGGAATTGAGGAAGTCAAATTGTCACTGTTTGCAGATGACATGATTGTATATTTAGAAAACCCCATCGTCTCAACCCAAAATCTCCTTAAGCTGATAAGCAACTTCAGCAAAGTCTCAGAATACAAAATCAATGTGCAAAAATCACAAGCATTCCTATACACCAATAACAGACAAACAGAGAGCCAAATCATGAGTAAACTCCCATTCACAATTGCTACAAAGAGAATAAAATACCTAGGAATACAACTTACAAGGTATGTGAAGGACCTCTTCAAGGAGAACTATAAATGAACTAAGAGGACACAAACAAATGGAAGAACATTCCATGCTCATGGATAGGAAGAATCAATATCTTGAAAATGGCCATACTGCCCAAGGAAATTTATAGATTCAATGCCATCCCCATCAAGCTACCAATGACTTTCTTCAAAGAATTGGAAAAAACTACTTTAAGTTCATATGGAACCAAAAAAGAGCCCACATTGCCAAGACAATCCTAAGCCAAAAGAACAAAGCTGGAGGCATCATGCTACCTGACTTCAAATTATACTACAAGATTACAGTAACCAAAACAGTGTGGTACTGATACAAAAACAGATCTATAGACCAAAGGAACAGAAGAGAGCCCTCAGAAATAACGGCACACATCTGCAACCATCTGATCTTTGACAAACCTGACAAAAACAAGAAATGGGGAAAGCATTCCCTATTTAATAAATGGTGCTGGGAAAACTGGCTTAGCCATATGTAGAAAACTGAAACTGGACCCCTTCCTTACACCTTATACAAAAATTAACTCAAGATGGATTAAAGACTTAAATGTTAGACCTAAAACCATTAAAACCCTAGAAGAAAACCTAGGCAATACCATTCACGACATAGGCATGGGTAAGGACTTCATAACTAAAACACCAAAAGAAATGGCAACAAAAGCCAAAATTGACAAATGGGATCTAATTAAACTAAAGAGCTTCTGCAGAGCAAAAGAAACTACCATCAGAGTGAACAGGTAACCTATAGAATGGAAGAAAATTTTTGCAATGTAGCCATCTGACAAGGGCTAATATCCAGAATCTATAAAGAACTCAAAAAAATTTACAAGAAAAAAACAATCCCATCAAGAAGTGGGCAAAGGAAATGAACAGACACTTCTCAAAAGAAGAAATCTATGCAGCCAACAGAAACATGAAAAAATGCTCATCATCACTGACCATCAGAGAAATGCAAATCTAAACCACAATGAGATACCATCTCACACCAGTTAGAATGGCAATCATTAAAAAGTCAGGAAACAACAGGTGCTGGAGAGGATGTGGAGAAATAGGAACGCTTTTACACTGTTGGTGGGAGTGTAAATTAATTCAACCATTGTGGAAGACAGTGTGGCAATCCCTCAAGGATCCAGAACTAGAAATACCATTTGATCCAGCAATCCCATTACTGGGTATATACCCAAATGATTATAAATCATGCTACCATAAAGACGCATGTACACGTATGTTTATTGCGGCACTGTTCACAATTGCAAAGACTTGGAACCAACCCAAATGTCCATCAATGATAGACTGGATTAAGAAAATGTGGCACATATACACCATGGACTACTATGCAGCCATAAAAAATGATGAGTTCATGTCCTTTGTGGGGACATGGATGAAGCTGGAAACCATCATTCTGAGCAAACTATCACAAGGACAGAAAACCAAACACCACATGTTCTCACTCATAGGTGGGAATTGAACAGTGAGATCACTTGGACACAAGGTGGGGAACATCATACACTGGGGCCTGTTGGGGGGTGGGGGCTAGGGGAGGGATAGCATTAGGAGAAATACCTAATGGAAATGACGAGTTGATGGGTGCAGCAAACCAACATGGCACATGTATACCTATGTGTCAAACCTGCACGTTGTGCACATGTACCCTAGAACTTAAAGTTTAATAATAAAAAAAAAATGTTATGTGTGTAACATTTTCATTTCTTAATTTAATTTAGTCTTTAATTTAGTCTCTAATGTGTGACATTAGTCAGTTCTGTGCCTCAGTTTCTTCATCTTAATTATTGAGATACTAGGGTTGTTTGGGGATTAAATTAGGTACAGCAAGGAAAGGAAAGCATTAATTTTGATGAAAGGTGTGACCATTTACACCCATTCTGGGCCTTCCTTGTTGTCAGCATTCTATTCACTCAATAGCACGTGGGGTCGGGATGTAGTAGATGGATGCTCTCCTTAAAGACCATGGCCTGCAGGGGACTCAGCTCAGCCTTCCCTGATGAGGCTAACAATTTTGTATTCTTGACATCAACCATAATATGCTAATACTCTCAAAATAATGGCTCTTAACTTTTTTTTTTTTTTTCAGATTCTCGCTCTGTCACCCAGGCTGGAGTGCAATGGCGTGATCTTGGCTCAATGCAACCTCTGCCTCCCAGGCTCAAGCAATTCTCCTGTCTCACCCTCCCAAGTAGCTGGGATTACAGGCACCTGCCACCACACCCAGCTAATTTTTTGTATTTTTAGTAGAGAAGGGGATTTGCTATGTTGGCCAGGCTGATCTCAAACTCCTGACCTCAGGTGATCCACCCGCCTTGGCTTCCCAAAGTGCTGGGATTACAGGTGTGAGTCAGTGTGCCCGGCTGGTTCTTAATGCTTATAATATGAAAATGTTTTAAAATGTAAACCATTAAAAATTATTCCATCAACTGAAATGGAATCAACTGAAAAATTATTCCATCAACTGAAAACAAATAGTGGAAAAAAGCTTCCAAGATTTCAGGAACATTTTAAAGTGAATTTATTTAAGAAACTAAGGCTGAGTGCTGTGGTTCATGCCTGTAATCCCAGCCACTAGGTGGGCTGAGGTGGGAGGATTGCTTGAGGCCAGGAGCTTAAGACCAGCCTGGGCAACATAGCAAGACCCTATCTCTACAAAAATTAAAAAAATAATTAGCCAGGTGTGGTGGCATGCGTCTGTAGTCCCAGCGACTCAAGAGGCTGAGGCAGAAGGATCTCCACAGAGTGAGATCATGTCTCTTAAACAACAGCTGGGCTTGGTAGCTCACACCTATAATCCCAGCACTTTGGGAGGCCGAGGTGGGTGGACCCCTTGGGTCCAGGAGTTTGACACCAGCCTAGGCAATATAGTGAGACCCCATCTCTACAAAAAATACAAAAATTAGCCAGTTGTGACACATGCCAGTAGTCTTATCTACTTGAGAGGCTGAGAGGCTGGAGGATTGCTTGACCCT
Organism: Homo sapiens; assembly: GCF_000001405.40. Taxonomy (NCBI): domain Eukaryota; kingdom Metazoa; phylum Chordata; class Mammalia; order Primates; family Hominidae; genus Homo; species Homo sapiens. The sequence goes on from NC_000001.11 coordinate 78,165,393, forward strand.
GGGAGGTTGAGGCTGCAGTGAACTGAGATTACATCACTGCACTCCAGCCTTGGTGACAGAGGGAGACCCTGTCTCAAAAACAAAAGCAACAACAACAGAGAAACTAAAGTATTACTCAAGGTCCCCATTCACCTCAGGTGAAATTTGGCTGGAACTCCATTTCCAGAGCCTTATAATGCTGTAGCATGCAAAGTGCTGTTAGTTTTTCTTTGAGTTTCCCCCTCTAATTCCTTATATTTTGCTTTATTCCCACTTTTTTTTTTCTGTCTGGGAGGAGCCCTGTGTCAAATCCAGAAGCTCAGCCTTTTAACCATTTTCCACAAAAAATTTAACCATATACAGAATTTTATGATTGTGGAAATTTTCCTGAAGCCCTGAGAGGTTCCATTGCTTTCCATACAGCCTTAGGCTGTCTTACTGGCTCTACCCCTCTCTCTTCTACTCAGGGCCTTTCAAAGCCCATGCTCCTACCGTGACCCCTGTCATTGATTATGTGCCCCCCCAGAAAGTAAGGCCCCTCCCTCCCTCTGACAGCTTCTACCACAGAGTGTGTCCCTGGGAGATTAGCCTGCCTGGCTTCCCTAACCTGCTGACATTCTGTTACTCATCAGTAAAGTATCTATGTGTTCATGTCAACTGGTAGAACATATGAGTTAGGCATATCATGTGTACAATCCATAGACAAGGCTCGATGTGAGTATGTATTTCCAGGTCTTGTAATAATTGCAGTGGCCTCTAGGCCCTAGAACCTAACTGATTCAGGATCACTCCCCCAAAAGTCTACTTTCAATAAATTTTTATGGAGACATTATGGATTTATTTATCTTTTCATTCTGGTTTGCTCTTGTCTTAGTTAACTAAAACCTAAAGTTTACCCAAATGAGACAAAATTTGTACGTATTTTTATTTTCCCTAAATTTGTCCTCATTTAAATGTCAAATGTATTTCTCCTTCTTTATTATATTCCAGATCTTAGTAAACAAATTTGGTTTACTTCAATATTTTATAAACATTGATCTTTTCTACTTTTGGCTTTGGCCCTTCTCTACTGAGTAATGCTGATTTGTCTATGTTTTAGCTTCCAGAACTCTTAAAGCACCAATGTGGGAACATTACAGATAGTCAATATTTCTTCCCCATTCAGCTGCCCGAATGTTAATACTGTTTATTAATGGTGTTGATATTAGAAAGGGAGGCAACTCCCCATTTTCCCCTTGCTGGATTTTGTAAGAGAATGCTGACATGATGTTAATAGAGATTCTTTTATAAAAGATTGTTTTGCAATAAAGAAGATTTGGAGCTTTCAATCTCTTTTAATCAATAAGCTAAGATATTGGCTTATTGGACAGTTTTAATTTTTGTTATACAACTACACACTATTTGGAACCAGGAATGTAGCACTATTTTTACTTTCCTTGTGCACCCTCACTTAATTCTCTTACAAAATTGCCCTCCTTCCTTTCCCAGGAAAACATCATATATCACCCAACAATGAAGCTCTTGGCCAAGGAGAGGGTTGCAGTGTTGTGTGTAGATTCAGTGTCTCCAGTGGCTTTTGAGTTTTACATTCCGACATTCAGAAAATACTTACTGAACATCCACCATGTACCTACAAATTGCTATACTTGATACCAGAAGTATAAGAAAGGAATAGAAACACTCCTGGTCTTCAGGGAGCTTATGGTTTAGTGTAGAGATCAGACAAGACCAGCAAGTCAGAAAATAACTATGATGCAAAGCAGAAAGTGGTAACTTCCTCAGGACACAGAGAAAAGAAGAGACTCTAAAGAAGGGAAAAGATACATCCCACTGGAACCAGGGAAGATTTCCTGAGTGGAATCTTAGTGGCACTGTAAACAGGGGTTAGTGATAGGTCAGGGAGAGAATTCGAGGCAGAGGACAAAGCATGGAAGTGCAAAAGTGCAGGATAGGTCTAAGAGCAAGAAATCGTGTGAAGAAAAGTAATGGAATTTCAGCCTGCAAAGGTAGGTTGGATCCGATCAAGAATGATCTTCAGGATCAGGTTAAGAAAGTTCAGTCATCTTGGATTCTCTCCTAACCTCCATAGATCTAGTGAGTCCTATTTTTATAGTAGCATGTGCCCTTATGGTTAACCTGTTTATGTGCCTACCTCTTGCATTAATCTGGGAGTGATTTGAAGTCCTGGTTGATCATTTATTTTTCTATCATAGGCACCTATCAGAACACCTGTCACACAGAACAAGTTTGGTAAATGTGGCCTTAATTGAAGCCCCATTTCAGATTTTGTTTTGTTGCATGAATACCATTTATTACCTGAAAAAATATATATCTCTCTGATATACACATGCACACACACACACACACACACACACACACACACACAGTTTCATGAAGAGGCAGATATTACATGTTGGGAGTTTTTCTCTGATAGTTACTGATTTCTCAATGAATTTGGCAGGACTCATTTGATACGAGTTGCAGCTTTAACAGACTGCAAAAGCTGTTGTCAGCCTGGTGATTACATTTTTCACATTTTCAATTTTGGGGGGGCAATAATATGTGAAAGTTTGGATTTTTAGTTACTTTAGAAGAGCAGATTACTGGCAGCATTTACTATAGCAGTTTTAAATAGAAGAAAAAACACTTTTTTTAAGTGGTCCCCATTTTCTGTAGAATAAAGTCCAAATCTTTGCATGGCATTCAAGACCTGCAGGAATTTTCCCAAAGGAATCCTTCAAGCTCATCTTCTGTCACTCTGTCCCTCATGTCTAGAGAAGTCCTCACTCTCGTCAGGCTATGTCATGAATTCCAATCTTCCTGTCTTTGCCCGTGCTTTTCATTCTGCTTGTATATAGATTAGGGTAACCTAGCAATAAACTCCCAAATCTCAGGGGTTTAATATGGTTAAAGCTGATTTATTTTTTGCTCAGTTAGTAGTCAAATGCAGTTGCTTCTAGAGGGTGGCCTTTCTCCACCCTCAGGGACTCAGGTTTTCAGGGACCCAGATTTCTCCATCTTTGGATCAACCATCTTCACACTGACTCCTAAGATTGTCCTAGTCATCTCCAGTGTAGCCATTGGAAGAGAGGGCACAGAAGGTCATGAGTCAGAGGCTTAATGTACCAGGCCTGGTGCCCACATTTCATTGGTCAGAGCAGAGACACATATTATGGCAGCTGTAAAGAAGCCTGGGAAGCATAGTGTAGCAGTGGGCCTGGGAGAAAAAGGAAGTGGTTTTTGGAGACTAGCTAACCAGTGTCCTCCACAGTCTTTCCTTCTGGTCACAAATGATCTGTTCTTCCTCTCTTACACAGAACACACTTACACTTTCCCCAGGGAGGCAAACCCAAGACCCGGACAGGCAACCCCAAAACTCATGAGGTCAATGCAGCTGCAGCAGCAGCAACAGCAGCACAAAGTTCAGGGTCTGCATATGATGCTCCGTCTTCTCCATGGTGTCTGGATGGGGCTTCTGGTGGCAACCTGTGAATAAAGACAGGCTATTCATCCCTTCCTCTCTCAATACACAGTGGTGGAGCAGGGGCAGGAGGACTATTGTAAAAACTATCTTTTATTTTTATTTTTAAGACAGGGTCTTGTTCTGTAGCCCAGGCTGCAGTGTAGTGGCAAAATCGTGGCTCATTGCAGCCTCGCCCTCCTGGGCTCAAGCCATCCTCCCACTTCAGCCTCCCTAGTAGCTGGGACTACAGGCATGCACCACCACGCTGGCTAAATTTTTTTCTATTTTTTTGTAGAGATAGGGTCTCACTATGTTGCTAGGCTGGTCTTGAATTCCTGGGCTCAAGCGGTCCTCCTGCCTTGGCCTCCCAAAGTGCTGGGACTCTAGGTGTGAACCACCATGCCCAGCCAAAACTGTCTTTTAGAAAAGAGAAGGAAAGACACTCAGCAATTACTGGTTGCTGGAACATATGGAATCCTATCAAGCAGGCATTATGAAGGCAGTCTATCCTGTGGGTGGGGAAGTTCCTTGATTAGATTCTGATTCTGCTTTCTGGGATGGACTCCCTAGCCCACGGCCCTTGGTCCATCCCCTGGGAGGGTCTTCATGTCTTGTCCTCCATGGCCACATCTGAAGAGGCTCTTTGAGAGTGTATTCTTGAGGGCCTTCCTGTTTATGTAAGTGTGGGGTTCTGAGGATTGCTTTAATGCTCAAATAGTCAAAGACTTTTTCAGGTTGGGATCATATTTATTTGGTGTACAATTTACTCAGAAACTTGGGAAGTTTCTGACCTGTTGGCTTCCAGTCAGTTCCCCGTGCTGGTAAATATATCCAAAGTTTGGCTAGATGTCCTTCTCAAGTCCCATTTATTTATTTGCTTCCTTACCCCCATGCCCTTCTTTCTCAATTTAATAGTAGTTACCTTGAGGCCAGTAGGTTTGGGTGGAAAGGCCACATCTTTAATGTAATATTTGCAACAATGCTGAGGTTTTTAAAAAATTTAAATTATTCTTATTTATTGCTAATTTTATTACAGAAAGTAATGCAATATTAAAATATGTCATCAGTAAATTAGTATTTACTTAAAAATCTGTTACAGGTAAAATGTAGCATATAGAACGTTCATTAAACATAAATTTTTGGAAAATTTTAAGAGTTTTTGAGAATGGAAATTATAAGTTTACGCTAAAGAGAATTCTACTTTTTGATAAGATGTGTCTTAAAATATTTTGAAAAATATTTTTATCCTGAAAACTGCATCATGGAAGACTACCCAGATTCCTCTAAAACCATGGTTTCTAGTCATCCAATTGCTGTTTTGGTAACATTAAGAAGAAAATGCATTTACAATTTTATACTGCAATCATCTGTTGAGAAATTAGGATAGAATAAATGTTGAAATATACATCAGGCTTACCATTACTTATAATTTTAAAAAAAGAGAATGCGTTTTCATTCATTTAATCTTTAAAAATGCACAATTGAAATGTACACTTAAATCTTATTCTAATATTCCAAAATGCTTGGAATTTTCTTGTAGCACTGAAAATCCAGCCTAATGCTTTTAGTAATAGTCATTGTAACCAAATGAAGTTAGTATTTTGTGGGGTTAATAGTTTACAGGACTTAATTTCTTTGAAAGTGTGATGAAGTGGCCCATCTTTCCATTTGTGTATATAGTCTGAAAATATGGTTCTGCACAATGGACATATTTTCTGTTAAACCATAGGGCACTGGACTATTTATAAAATGTTTGTGAACTGATGGGAAGAATAAGCTTCTGAAATTCCACCTGATGTATTGAACACATCTGAACAAGCTGCTCAGTAACTTTGTTGCATAAAAAATATTCACAAAAACCTATTTGAAAGTTCCAGATAGCCAAAAAATCCAAAAACTTTAAAATGAGGTAGAATAAAGCTGGGCATATCCTGAAAATCTATCTGGTTATATTACCAAACTCTCCATAGTCAGTAAGGTAACAAGACCACAGTGGTGTGGGAATAAAATTCAGTAATACTGACATAATTTTTCTAATAGGCATATACCAGTAAACCCTCGGATTTAAAAAGGTATGATGAAATAAGGCATCAATATTACTCTCTGTAATATGATTAGCAATACATAAAAAGAGCTTATAAAAAGAAATTTTAGAATGAAGTCTGTAATTCCAGTAATCCAAAGTACTTCCTAGAAGCTCAAGCGATCCAAAGCAAGATTTAGAAAGATTAAGCTGTCAGAAAGTGACTGGGAATGAAAGAGAACAGAAGGTCCTGCTAAGAATACCAGTAACCAAGCATGCTGACTTTGAGCACCTCTCTTTTAGAAAAGCCTGATTTACAATGCTTTTGTTTGCATGCATAAATGTTGTTAGAAGCCAGTTCCAAGAGAAATTCCTTATATTTCTGGAGCTTGGATTCTCAGTACATTATTTAGGTGTGGAGTTTAGCCAGATACAAACGTCTCCAAAACTAAGGCAACAGTTTTACCAAATGTTTCGCCTGTGTTTAATGTGGGCGTTCATCTTTATAGCTCTGTTATAGTAGCCTCTCTAAGTCTTGAAATCAAATGGTGAAAAGTCCCTCAACTTTGTTCTTTTTCAGTTGTTTTGACCATCATAGGCCCTTTGCAGTTCTACAAGGATTTTATTTTTCTTATTTTTTGAGATGGAGTCTCGCTCTGTCACCCAGGCTGTTGTGCAGTGGCATGATCTCTTCTCACTGCAACCTCCACCTCCCAGGCTCAAGCGATTCTTCTGCCTCAGCCTCCTCAGCTGGGATTACAGGCACCCACCGCCACACCTGGCTCATTTTTGTATTTTTAGTAGAGATGGAGTTTCACACATGTTGCCCAGGCTGGTCTTGAATTTCTGACCTCAAATGATCTGCTTACCTCAGCCTCCCAAAATGCTGAGATTACAGGCTACATGGATTTTAGAATAATAATTTCAATTGCTCAAAAAAAAAAAAAAAACTCTGCTGGGATCAGGAAATGAAGCTGGGAAAGTAGGGGCTCAGAAAGTAGAGTTGGTGAATCAAGAAAGAGTGACTAATAGCCCTCTTGAAATACGGGCCTGGTGCACTAGTCAGAGCTCCATGGAATCTGCTGGGGAGGGACTGCAAAGGGGGCTAGTGTAGATGTCTACAGAAGCTTGTGGCCTGTCCTAGCTGTTGCCTCTGTGGGTTTGCAGTAGGCATCTGGTCATGGGTTCTGTTGGTCAGCAGGGTTGGCTGATGGGAAGAACAGCTGGGTGCAGAGGCAGAAGAGGATGTAGAATTGAGAGGAAGATCAAGGACAGGTTGATACCTGCTGGCACCTGTGTCTGTCTTTTATCGCCTTTAACAGTGATGACCTTAAGAGTATAATGGCTACTGTTTCACATCACCTTACAAATCTTGTACAATTTTCTCTTTTGGCCCAACCTAACCCAGATTCAAATAGGGAAGGAGATTCTAAAATGTAGTTCCAACTTAGCCAGACTGTTACAAAATGAAACTACCTTATCTTTTACTGCTGTCTTTGCCTTACTATCTTCACTTAGTCATCAATTCCTGTTGATTCACATCCTTAATATCTCTGGATTATGACTCTTTCTCTTCTTTGCCATCGCCCTCCCTTAGTTCAAACATTCATGCATTTTATGCTTGAATTACTGTATGCTGTGGTTTGGATTTGGTTTCTTTGTCCTTACTGAAACTCATGTTTTAATTTGGTTCCCAATGTGGCAGTGTTGGGAGGTGGGGCCTAGTGGGATGCATTCGTTATGAGGACAGATCCCTCATTAATGGCGTGGTACCATTCTTTCAGTAGCGAGATCTTACTCTTAAGAGACCAGATTAGTTCTTGAGGGAAGGATTAGTTCCCCAGAAAGTGGGTTGTTATAAAGCCAGGAGCCCCCTCAGGTCTTCTGCTCTTTGCATGTGTCAGGTTTCTGTTTGACCTTCAATGACATGTTGTGAGGGAGCACAAAAGCCATTTTCAGAAGCAAGTGCCATGCCCTTGAACTTCTCAGCCTACAGTACCGTGAGCTAAATAATCCTCTTTTCTTTATAAATTACCCAGTCTCAGGCATTTTGTTATAGCAACATAAAATGGACTAAGTCACTGTAATAGCGTCCTAACTGGCAGGTTCATGAAGTATGGCTATGTAGGTTGTGCATTGCACAGCACCAGGAGTTGCCATTCACAGACCACAATTTAATGGCTCTTCCTAGAGTTGTACAGAATACAACGTGCAGATGCATAAATAGTGGTCCTGTCTAAGGTCTGTCCCCTCCCCTCATCTCCAGTAGTTTGGACAATCCTTTAAAAAATAAAATTCACCATGTCATTCTCCTACCTAAAATCCTTCTTGTTCTCTCGCGGCCTTCAAGGTAAAGTTCAAATTCCTTAGTGTAGCATAAAATCCGTTCATGATTAGCAGATGAGCCTAGGCTCTGGAATCAGAATTTCTAAGTTGTGGTACTATCTTATCCACTTGCAAAATATATGACCTTGGATAAGTCACTTAGTCTCACTGGGCTTTTTTTTCTTTAGCTGTAAAATGGGGAAAGGGAGGATAAGAATAATGCTTTTTCATCATTTTTTGTCAGGATTCAGTAAGATATAATGCACTTAGTAAAGTGGCTGGTACATGCTAAGTTTTCAATAATATATGTTGAAATAGTATTATTATTCTTTCTATAGTGCAATCTCTCACCACTGTCCATCCCCAGCCCAACTATATTTCAGCTAAACCAAACTTCTTGTAATAGTTCTCCATATTGTGACCCATTCTGCCTCTGTGCCTTCTACCTGAAATACCCTTTTTTTCTTCTCCTGTATAGAATCTGCTCATTCTCTAGGACCCAGGAACTCATTGTCACTTCCTTCTGGAAGACTCCTTTGATGTTTGGTTTGTCAGCCTCATTTAGTGGCTGCTACCTTGGACTGTCAGTCAGTGTTTGATGACATTACAATAAATTATATTTTTCTGTTACCTTCTTAATTCCCCCCACTATATAAATGTATTAGTCAGGATTCTCCATAGAAACAGAACCAATAGGATATAGATGTATAAAGGGAGATTTATTGTGGGGATTGGCTCATGCACTTATGGAGTCTGAGAAGTTCCATGATATGTCATCTGCAAGCTAAAGAACTGGGACAGTTATAATTTAGTCTGAGGCCAAAGGCCTGAGAACTGGTGGGCTGCTGATGTAAGTTCCAGAGTCCAAAGGCATGAGAACCAGGAGCTCTAATGTCTAAGGGCAGGAGAAGATGGAGGTACCAGCTCAAACAGAGAGAAAATTTGCCCTTCCTCTACTTTTTTATTTTAATCACCCATCAGTGTATTGGGTGATGGCTTGCCAACAGTGGTGGGAGCATCTTCTTTATTCAGCCTACTGATTCAAATGCTAATCTCCTTCAAAAACACCTGCAGACACACCCACAAATACTATTTTGCCAGCTATCTGGGGATACCTTAACCCAGTCAACTCAATCCCACAAAGTTAACCATTACAATAAACTATAGACTGTCTCTTCTACTAGACTATGAACTCTAGACAATGTTTTCCTTGAGGGTTAGAACTCTTTTTGTCTTTGTATCGTTAGCTCCAAAACTATACCACAAAGTTCTCCTAAATGTTTGCTAGCAAGTTCTTAAAAATGTTTATTGAATTAATGAATGGTGATAAATGATGAAGAATCTAACAGGCATTGCTATACTTGTTGAGAAATATGAAGACAATGCATAATAGCAGGAATTTTTAGAATTCTGAAATGTGATGATTTAGTAGATTTTGAAATATAATTGTTCTTATTAAGAATGGAAGTTCTCTTAATAGAAAGAATTATTAAGGAGTTTTTCTTGTCAAGGTATTGTTTATAGAATTTGTTCAATATCCATTACTTTAAGGCCTCTTACAAAAATATTGGATAATCCATAAAAATTTCTCTAAGAATATTTTGTTTGTTAGTGGTCAATTTTAATACTTAAAAATATAAAGTTGCTATCCTTGGCAATCTGGATCAACATCTTGGCAGCTATCTGTTAATTATATAATATCTGTATGAGCTCAATATTTTGACAAGTTACCTTACCTCAGTCAGTAGTTTATTCTTGAAGTTTCTGATGATACTCTTTTAATAAAAAAAAAAGTAATTACTTTCTGAGGTATTTTTTCCCTCTCAAATGTCAGATTTCCATGTACTGAATATGCTTGAAATAAAGTACATATGTAAGATTTTTTATATTAAAAATGTCTGAAGCAAAAATCAGTAACTTAAAATTTGAAATAAAAATGCAAGTGTATAACTTGATATCAGAAGATATTAAGTCTAAGCACTTTTGTGGGCTGTAAATCTTGACCTCTTCTAATAACCTGTCTTTTCTTCAAATAGGTTCTTGCATTGGTAAAAGTTTAAAGAAATATGAATATATATGACTGTGACAATAAGAAAATTAAAAAAATGAAAATAATCACTCTCAACAGCAGTATTGTTTTTTGTTAGGCTCAGTGATTCTAACTGCCACCTAATGCATCAGAATTCTAAGATTAAGAAGAGTAAGTTGCACCCGGTGTGGTGGCTCACGCCTGTAATCCCAGCACTTTGGGAGGCCAAGGCAAGCGGATCACACAGTCAGGAGATCGAGACCACGGTGAAACCCCGTCTCTACTAAAAAAATACAAAAAATTAGCTGGGCGCGGTGGTGGGTGCCTGTAGTCCCAGCTACTCGGGAGGCTGAGGCAGGAGAATGGCGTGAACCCAGGAGGCAGAGCTTGCAGTGAGCCGAGATCGCACCACTGCACTCCAGCCTGGGTGACAGAGCGAGACTCTGTCTCAAAAAAAAAAAAAAAAAAAAAAAAAAAAGAAGAGTGAGTTGCTTTAAATATTTTTGCGTCTTACAAATGAATAAGAATAAATGAAAATCTCATTAGAGAAATGGGCAAGCGCATATCAAAGGAGTCAGAAAAGAAGAATAAAAATGGCCCATAAATATATGAAAATATTTTATTTCTATTTTTATTTTTAAAAATTAATTTATTTTTGTTTGAGACGGAGTCTCGCTCTGTCGCCTAGGGTGGAGTACAGTGGTGCAATCTCAGCTCACTGCAAACTCTGCCTCCAGAGTTCAAGCAATTCTCTTGCCTCAGACTTCCGAGTAGCTGGGATTACACACGTGAGCCACCACGCCTGGCTAATTTTTGTATTTTTTTAGTAGAGATGGGATTTCACCATACTGGCCAGGCTGGTCTCGAACTCCCAACCTCAGATGATCCGCCCGCCTTGGCCTCCCAAAGTGCTGGGATTACAGGCGTGAGGCACCGTGTGCAACCAGTATATGAAAATATTTTAATCTTACTAGTAAAGAAATGGAAGCTAAAACAATGTGAGATAACATTTTTAACCGATTGCAATAGCAAAGTGTTAGAAGACATGGACATTTGCATCCATTGCTTTTGGGAGTGTAAATCTGTAGTCTTTCTCTGCAAGTTGATAGTATATGTGAAAAGGTTTAGAAATGCTGTTAGCTTTGCCTCTGGAATCTTCTAGAAATTTATTCTAAAAAATTATAGGACAAATGCACACATGTATACATTATAGGATATTCACTGCAACATTGTTTATGGAATGATACTGGGTAAGTGACCTCCTTTTGTCTGGCACCCTGTTTCTGTGTGGAAGAATAGCCACTTCTGTAATGCTTCTGAACCCACTTCCACCACACAATTCTCTCCAGGGGAAAAGAAGTAACTTGTTTCGTTGATGAGTCAGGGCTCTGCTCTCTCCATTCTTCCACTTTGGGATCTGTCTGCTTGCAGACAGCTGTGCTCTCATGGACTCCCTGCCAAGTGAAGCTTTTATAGGGAAGGCCTCCTTTTATGGGAGAGGCTGGCAGTTTTCCAATTCTGCTTGTGCCTGTGTGGAAAACCCTGTTTCGTTGCAGGTACCGTGTTTGGGCTGCACACCTGAGACATGTCATCCATCCAACTTTAATTTTAAAAAAAGGCTGATGTTTTGATTTCCATTCGTCTGACTCCCCTCTATTGCTTAGTTGGTATTGAACCAGGGCTTCTTGACACCCCAAGAAGTAACCATAATAACAGCAAAACAAAAACTGGATATCCCAAAATATGGGATTGATTAAAATGGTATGTCTGTAAAATTGAATAGAATGCAGTTATTCAAAATGATCCTGTTGAGGCATATACTGGTAAATAAGGAAAAATGAATTCTAGCAGAGCATTTTGCATATGAACACACCTATCCATGTATATAGTCTGCTTTTTCCTCTCTTTTTCTCCCTTCTTTCTTCACCTATATTTTCTGAAGCTTCTGTAACTATTTTTGTTAAAAGTAAAGTAAAAATGGGTTAATGACATTCTTGCCTCTGGTTGATGGGGGCTGGCACATGCTTTACTTTATTCTTTTGTCTCTCAGGCAGTTTCCTTGGTGGGGTAAGCAGGGTCTTGGTCACAGGCAGGTCTAGAATTGATTCAGCTTTCCCTAGCTGGTCACCTCCTTTACATGGCCACCTCTCACAGGACAAGAACGCCTGGTGATTTGTGGCTACTGACTCCAGCCCCTTACCTTCTTTGCAGATTCTCACCTGGTCAGAAAGAAGTTCACCTGTGGGCCCAAAGGAGGCAATAGTCATCTCACTCCTCCACTGCCCTGTTTCATCTCCTTCCCAGGAGGCTGAAGCTTCTGCCTGAGGAGAAAGCCTCAGCCTCCCTGGAGCTGTGGAGGAATGAGAAAATACTCCCACTCAGGAGAATAAACCTGTAGATAATAACAAGATCAGGGTGGGGAGCTGGTGCACGGAGTAACCTCTAATTCATGGAGATGCCTAAATCATCATCATTTGCAGTGGCTCCTGGGAAATGGAATTTTCCACATAACTGAATTCTCTAGATAGCTAGTGTTTACTATTTTAAGATCCTATATTTTCTTAATCATTTTTAATGGAAATCTTATGGAAGCATTTTCAATTTAGTTCAATAAACATTTAACATGTTCTTGATGACTCAGTGTCATCCTTGTAAGGAGTATTTTATTGTGCTCTACAAGGGTGATGTTCTTTGAGCTCATTAAACCATGGAATCCTGAAGCGCCACTGCTGGTTATTGTTCTTTCAAGGTCACACCTGTGTTTTTTAGACCGTTGGCCTACTTGCCTTGCTGAGAACTGTTCCATCTGAGAACTTGTGTATTCTAGTTCTTTTGAGACCCTGCTATATTGTGTAAGCATTTGATTGGGAAGGGCTCTGATTGACATCAAGATTCAGCAGCTCGTGGCAGATATATCTCTGCTGATGTGAGGCTGTTTTCATTTGTTTATGAGTTTGCTGCTGGGTTTTGGCTACTGTGGTTATGGTGGTCAGCAATCTGATCTCTGATTGAATAGGTCATTCTTACAAGATTCCTATTCATCTTTTTCACAACCAAATTAAAACACATTTTCCTTTACAAACAGGCTTCCTTATAGATTAATGATCATTTACATGATAATTGTAGAAAGTGTGTTTCAAACAAATGCAGTAAAATTTCTAATCTCATTCACAATAAAACATTAATGAAGTTCAGAGTCTGTTCCTGAAGCTATACGACTGGAAATCACAAGCTATTTCTAAGAGAATTCCATGGAAACAATTGAATGATCATGCATTCATTAATTATAACTATTCAACTTAACTAAATAGATTCTTTATTGGGTTTCCATTGCCTTAAGTATAAAGCTCAATGTCTTTAACATTGTATCTGTTAGTTTTGCTGTCTAAAACCACCCAAAACATAGGCATTTTAAATAAAACAGTGTTTTATTACATTTCATGATTATATGGACCAGTGAGCAATTCTTTTGGTCTGAGTTGGCTTGGCTGGAATTGGATGGTCTAAGTTGGCCTCACTAACATGCCTGGGGTCTCACCTGAGATGACTGGGATGACTGAGGTCTCTCTCCACAAAGTCTCATGCTCCAGGAGGCTTGCTTGAATATGTCACATGGTAGCAGGAGGGTTTCCAGCAGCAAGAGAGGGCAAACTCCAATACACGTGTACCTCTCAAGTTGCTACTTGTGTCACATTTGCTAATGTTCCATTGGCCAAAGCAAGTTACAATGGCTTGTATTTGTGGGGATGGGACTAGGCATGTGCATGGATATGGGAAGGCATGGTTTGTGGGGGCCATTACTGCAACCACGGACCACAGCATGTTCCAAACTATTACTCTAGCCCTGCAGTTCCCAGACTGGCTGAGCGGCCCAGGGATGCCACAGTGAATTCACAGGGGTGTTGTGGGATTTTTTAAAGTTTCTAGGGACACATAGTTATACTCAACGACTACTGGACATCTAACAATCTATTGGCTTTATGTAGTTTGCAATGTCAACATCATTATATTCCTTTTGGAGTGAGCTGTCATGTCTTTGTAAAGCTGGATTTTTGTGGTTGCTGTGATAAAAAGCAAGTACTGCATAAAAATCAATGTGGAACAGCAGATAACGGTCATGGTGTCCAATATGATCCCAAGATATCAGAAGTTATGCAGTGCCTAATGCCTAACAGGTTCTTATATCCCATTATTGTGGTTAAGAGTGAAACAAAATATTATCTTAAAAAATTTGTGTATTTTTTTTTTTTTTTGAGACGGAGTCTCACTGGGTCACCCAGGCTGGAGTGCAGTGGTGCGATCTCAGCTCAATGCAACCTTTGCCTCCTGGGTTCAAGTGATTATCATGCCTCAGCTTCCTAAGTAGCTGGGATTACAGGCATGCGCCATCACATCTGGCTAATTTTTGTATTTTTAGTAGAGATGCGGTTTTGCCATGTTGGCCAGGCTGGTCTTAAACGCCTGACCTCAAGTGATCCACCCACCTCGGCCTCCCTAAGTGCTGGGATTACAGGCATGAGCCACCACACCTGGTCGTGTATTATGTTTTAAGTGTTTAAATGTATTATGTCTAAGTTGTTAGAACATACATACTTACTAAGTTTTCTGTATCGAAGCACTTATGGAGCTATTAGGTATTTCTTTTGGTCTGGGGTATTGTGAAAAAATCAAGACACATGCCATGAACCAAGAAAAGTTGGTAACTTCTATTCTAACCAAATTTTCTACTGTTCATGAAAGAAGAAAGTTAGGAAATAAAGCAAATTTTATGAAAAGGTGAATGGATTCAGTTTTGGATATATTGAGTCTGAGAATCTTGTGAGCCATTCAGGAAAAGGTACAGTGAGTGAGATTCAACAGAGTGTTTGGAGTGGAGTGAATTTCATCCTTGAATAATCATGTGTATGCACTCTTATTGATTGCTCTGAGTCTTGTACATACTCAAGAATTAATTAGAAACGAAAAAGTCAATTTATTTTCCATATAATCAGTGCTCAATCCCAGAGAGGGATTAATAATATCTAAATAAAATTTATAATATCATTTGCTAGACAGGATAAATATTAGGGAAGGAACCTAATATTGATCGTTATCTACTGTGTACCAAATGATGCTAGTTGCTTTACATATGTTAATTTGTGAAATTCTCAAAACAAATTTGCAAAAAGGACATTCTTGGTTTACTTTTTCATTGTGGTAAAATATTTACAACATAAAATTGACCATTTTTGCAGCTTTTTAATGCATACTTTAGTAGCATTAAGTATATTCACATTATTGTGCAACCATCACCAGTACCCATCTCCAGGCCTTTTTTCTCATCCCAAATTGAAACTCTGTACCCATTAAACAGTAACTCCCATTTTCCACCTTTTGCTTCTATGAATTTGACTTTTTGGGTACTTTATATAAGTGCAATCATAAAATATTTGTCCTTTTATGTCTGACTTGTTTAACTTAGCACAGTATCTTCAAGGTTTATCCATGTTGTAGCATGTATCAGAATTTCATTCCTTTTGAAAGCTCAATAATATTCCATTGTATGTATACCACCATGTTATGCTCATCCATTCATCTGTCGGTGGACATTTGGGATGTGTCTGCCTTTTGGCTTTTGTGAATAATGCTACCATGAACATTGGTGTACAAACATCTCTTCAAGTCCCTGCTTTCAATTCTTTGGGGTATATACATAGAAGTGGAATTGCTGGATCTTGTGATAGTTCTACGTTTAATTTTGTGAAGAAATGTCATACTGTTTTCCACAGTGGCTGCGCCATTTTGCATTTCCTGCAGCCATGTGCAAGTGTTCCAATTTCTCCACATTTTTGCCAACACTTGTTATTTTCTGTGTTTTTCATGATAGCCGTCTGAGTGAGTATGAAGTGATAGCTCATTGTAGTTTTGATTTTCGTTTCTGTAATGATTACTGATGCATCTTTTCATGTAGTTACTGGACATTTGTATTTCTATTTTGGAGAGATGTCCATTCAAGCCCTTTGCCCACTTTTTAGTTGGATTGTTTGTTTTCTGTTGTTGAGTTTGGCTTAAAATTTTTGCAAATGTTTAATAGATGCATTTTAATTTTCCTCTTAAGTCTTTTTTTTTTTTTTGTGTGTGTGTGTGTGTGCAAACAGCAGGCCTCTAAGGGGGCAGCATGAGGTTCATTGTCCTGGGGAGAGAGAAGATGAGCTCTTGTCTCTTGACCTCTTAGGTGTTGGAGAGAGAGAGAGAGAGAGAGAGAGAAAGAGAGTTTGCTAAATTACCTTATTTACTATTTCCCACATTGCTAGCTGAGCCCAGAAAACTCTTACCATAGAAGTTCTCCTCCTATGTAGAGAAGACACCCCTGTGCATAGTAAGGCTTAACTCTCAGATTAGCATCAGGTAGTAGGAGGCTATGACATAGAGAAAGTAAAGAAAAGCCTCACCCATCCCCTGCCTTTTTGGCTAAGAAGGTTGTGGAATGGAATAGAGAGAAAAGTAATTTTTTGTAATTAATTTCTATAATTTTTTCCCACTTGGCTTGGAAAGAGGGAGCTGTGTTACAAAAGTGAGAGGAATAGCAAGGGCAAAGAGGCGAGCTATTGCTCATTTCCAAATTGAGTGTCCTAGAAAGTACATCTCTTGTCCTGCCCACCTGTACCAACTTAGGGTATGACTACAACATCTTGGCCATGCAGCACGATCAGACAGAAGGAGAAATTGTGGCTTTGTTTTCCTAAGTTTCTCCCAGTTTCCATGTTTTATGGACACTCTGACAAGAACCAGTAGGGTTTCCAGGTATCCTCTGCCTATCCTGCCTCAACAAGTCAGGGTGGACTACCAGACCAGTGGACTGGGTGAGAGAGAGAGCAGACACTCCTCAGTCTGTAGCCAACATAGCAGGAATGAGACTGATTCATGTATAGGTGCTATTAAGTCCTGACCAAGCAAGAAGCCCCAGTGAATAATTGTCATTGTCCTGGTGACCGGTAGTAACTTCCTGATGCATGTCAATGGCCAGTATGGGGAGAGGAGGCTCTTACTCCAGTGCCATGATGACCCATCAACACTCCCTCTCCTCAGATATCCAGATGCCATCTTAAGGAAAGGAGCAGGGGAAGGAGGCAACCATCTGAAGGCCAGGATTGGCTGGTCCCAGTGCAAAATGAAAATGCAAGTTCCTTGTTCTAAAATTTAAAATTTCAATACTGTGTCAGCAGAGCATTAAACCAGGTGTGGGGTCCTTCTGAGTATAGGTCCCTGTGCAACTCCACAGGTCGCATGCCCATGAAGCCAGTTCAGCTGAGAATCTAAATATTATTTTTTTCCCTAGAGATTGAGATTGTCAGCATTACCCAAAAGGATTATTTTAATGATCAGATTGGATTAAATTTAAACTGCATCGGACATATAGTTAATTCTTTTTCCATTAACCAGTGAGTGAGTTTTTGGGAGAAATGCCAGATTAGATTATGGATAATCAAGACATTAGTGAGTTGAATATGAGTTAAATTTGTGGTCCTGTGGTAAAGAGCTAATTTTCTCACTTTTATAGGAGAAGAACTGGTGATCAGAGAGGTTAAGGGATTGTTCAACGTTGCTCAGGTGAAACTGAGTACATTGAAGTGAAATTGAAATTTAAATCAAAATGTGATTCCAAAACTTTGACTTGTTTCCCCTCTTCTGATGCAGATGATACTAAAATCAAAGCTAAGCCTAAAACTTGAACTTTGAAGTGAGATTTTTTTTTAAATATGTTTGTTTTCTGAAGCACAGATAAAAGTAAACCTTGGCCAGATGTGGTGGCTCACACCTGTAATCCCAGCACTTTGGGAGGCTGAGGTGGGCAGATCACGAGGTCAGGAGATTGAGATCATCCTGGCTAAACGGTGAAACCCCGTCTCTACTAAAAATACAAAAAATTAGCTGGGAGTGGTGGCATGTGCCTGTAGTCCCAGCTACTTGGGAGGCTGAGGCAGGAGAATTGCTTGAACCCTGGAGGTGGAGGTTGCAGTGAGCCCAGATCACGTCACTGCACTAGGGGACAGAGAAAGACTCCGTCTCAAAAAAACAAAAACAAAAAACAAAAATTAGCTGGGCATGGTGGTGCATGCCTGTAGTCCCAGCTACTTGGGAGGCTGAGGCAGGAGAATGGCTTGAACCTGGGAGGCAAATGTTGCAGTGAGCCGAGATCGCACCATTGCACTCCAGCCTGGGGGATAAAGCAAGAATCCGTCTTAAAAAAAAAAAAGTATACCTTATTATGAATAGAAATGATACTGGGGGCATTTTGGACAATTGGAGAAATGTTTTTGGCTGTTTGAGGGAATGCTTGAGACATTTAGTGGGCAAAGGCTAGGGCTGCTAGAATATTGCAATTTGCAGGGCAGTCCTACACCAGGAAGAGTTATTTAATGTTCTGCATAACTTGAATGCATAGCTAGTGGCTCAGGTAAGTGAAAACTTGTTTATAATTATGAATCTGGAATCTAATTACATTTTACAAATACATCCACAGTATTTTTTGCATGCTTTAAAAATAGGCTGAATTTTCCGTGACTACTACTTTGTAAATTGATGAAAGTATACATTTGACTTGTTTGTAAGTTTTCCAAGAGTTGTTCCCTATTTTGGCAAACCGTATTACCCAAAGACCATGCTGCTTTTGGCATTCCAATCACCAGCGCAACACACCTAAATCAGTATGCATTTGTGGATGACAAATTCCCACTGATTCCATGTGTAGATGCATTGGCTACTTCATTGTGTCTTCTGGAATAGCTGTGCCTGAGCCTCTTGGCATATGTATTATTTTATCATAAATTCCATTCTTTTCATTTCTCATTTGTAGTATAGTCAGGGCATTACACCGTTTTGTTAAATTATTTGTATATGCAGGTTACAGTTTTTTTTTGGATTCCCATTTTAGGACAGTAAAGGGAGCATTAAAAAAATTTGCTACAGAAGGGGATGGGGCCTCATTGACTGAGAACCAATGAGGTCAGAGACATAAACATTTGGAATCAGTGAAGAGCAGATTTCTTTTTGCAAGAAAACCTGAATTATTGAACTTTCCCCATAGGGCTTATTGGCTATGAGGGCAATATTCTTGGGCTTGATGTGAAAGGGTTACTAGATAGATCTTTCAAGAGACTATATTCTGTGAGTTAGGAGTCAAGATGCCTGACACAATTTACTCAAGGAATTGGACTTTTCAGGTGACCTCCTTTTTTTTGTATAAGTTAATTTTTGGTCTCGGCTGGACAAAAGAACTGTATTTTTCGGTTGAGGGAATAACCTTGGCAGAAAAAAAGAAAAAACCTCTTCTGAATTAGTTTCTTGAGAAAAATATCCCTTGAGAGGTAAAATAACAGCTGTGTGAAACATTCATATTGAAACCCGAAGGGTCCCTGTTACTAATTGTTGTGAGGAGGCTGAAATCAAAGAGCTTGGGGTAAGATGTCTCAATCTGCTGAGTTTCCTGCAGGACCACTTTCCTTATGTAACCTCAGGATTCTGTCCTTTTTGTATAGGGGAGTGTGTTATTGCCTATTATTAACAATGCTACTTTTGCCAGTCAATCATGTAAAAAATTGCTGAAAAGAAGGTTAAGAAAACCCACAGTACTTTACTTTGGGTTTTAGTCACATCTTCCAATCAGGGGGTTAGTCCAACTCTAGAATGACTGCTCTGCTTGATTTGACTTAGCCACCTGCTTAAAGACAGTGAGTGTTACGTTCTAGAAACTTGGGGTCATTCTGGGTAGTGACCTCTGTTATGGTCATTAAGGAAAACTCTTCCTCTCCCTCCTTCATCCCCTCTCTGTTGGATCTCCCCCTTCCCCACTTGCTGCAATGTCTCTTTGGGCCCTTGAATGCTTCCTTCCCCAGACGCTTGTCTGTTAGTCATCTCAGTCTCTGGTCTGGGTGATTGGTCAATCTGGTTGGAGAAAAAGGTGGGATGGGAAAATGCCTGTGGATTTTTCAGGCAGAGTTTTTATGCCATAGAGTAGGCAGTTTAGTGTCATGTTTAAGAGCCCAGTCTCTAGAACCAGACAGCCTGGATTTCAATTAATCTGGCTCAACAATGAATAGTTGTGTGACTTAAACTCTCTGTGCTGCAGTTTCCTCATCTATAAAATATAAATTCAAATAATACCTAATCCTAGGGGTTGTTATAATGATTAAATGTGTTTATATATAGTAACTAGGAAGCAAGAAGAAAACAATTTTTCTACGACACTTAGACATTTAAACAGAAGAATGTTTTGTTTGCCTGTTTCCTAGTTGGTGTTTTATGGAAGATTTTTTAAACTTAATTGATTTGTTTACTCTTTTGGATGATGGGACTAGGAGAACAACGTGATAATGCAAGGTAGAAAGAGTAATCAGATTGGGCTTTAGATTTACGAGTTGGGCTTGTGAAGTCTGCACCCCAGGTGGACCCATCTTAGCCCACATGAACTAATGACTACAGAAAATGACTGAGCTAGTGAAGTATCATTCATTTTACTTATTCAAAAATATTTATTGAGCATCTGCAACATTTCAAGCATTGTGCTAAGTAAGTCCTGTGGCTACACTGATGAATAAGGCAAAGGGAGTAAACAGACCATAAATAAATACATAAAAAACTAAACAAGATAATTTCATGAGGTATGAATACTTTGAAGACTATAAAACCAATTTTATGTGACATCTAGTGACTGGGGATAGGTGGCTACTTTAATTATAGGGCTTAGAGAAGGTCTAATCATTCTTTTATTGTTATTATTATTATTATACTTTAAGTTTTAGGGTACATGTGCACAATGTGCAGATTAGTTACATATGTATACATGTGCCATGCTGGTGTGCTGCACCCGTTAACTCGTCATTTAGCATTAGGTATATCTCCTAATGCTATCCCTCCCCCATCCCCCCACCCCACAACAGTCCCCAGAGTGTGATGTTCCCCTTCCTGTGTCCATGTGTTCTCATTGTTCAATTCCCATCTATGAGTGAGAACATGCGGTGTTTGGTTTTTTGTCCTTGCGATAGTTTACTGAGAATGATGATTTCCAGTTTCATCCATGTCCCTACAAAGGATATGAACTCATCATTTTTTATGGCTGCATAGTATTCCATGGTGTATATGTGCCACATTTTCTTAATCCAGTCTATCATTGTTGGACATTTGGGTTGGTTCCAAGTCTTTGCTATTGTGAATAGTGCCGCAATAAACATACGTGTGCATGTGTCTTTATAGCAGCATGATTTATATTCCTCTGGGTATATACCCAGTAATGGGATGGCTGGGTCAAATGGTATTTCTAGTTCTAGATTCCTGAGGAATCGCCACACTGACTTCCACAATGGTTGAACTAGTTTACAGTCCCACCAACAGTGTAAAAGTGTTCCTATTTCTCCGCATCCTCTCCAGCACCTGTTGTTTCCTGACTTTTTAATGATCGCCATTCTAACTGGTGTGAGATGGTATCTCATTGTGGTTTTGATTTGCATTTCTCTGATGGCCAGTGATGATGAGCATTTTTTCATGTGTCTTTTGGCTGCATAAATGTCTTCTTTTGAGAAGTGTCTATTCATATCCTTTGCCCACTTTTTGATGGGGTTGTTTGTTTTTTTCTTGTAAATTTGTTTGAGTTCATTGTAGATTCTGGATATTAGCCTTTTGTCAGATGAGTAGGTTGCAAAAATTTTCTCCCATTTTGTAGGTTGCCTGTTCAGTCTGATGGTAGTTTCTTTTTCTGTGCAGAAGCTCTTTAGTTTAATTAGATCCCATTTGTCAATTTTTGCTTTTGTTGCCATTGCTTTTGGTGTTTTAGACATGAAGTCCTTGCCCATGCCTATGTCCTGAATGGTAATGCCTAGGTTTTCTTCTAGGGTTTTTATGGTTTTAGGTCTAATGTTTAAGTCTTTAATCCATCTTGAATTAATTTTTGTATAAGGTGTAAGGAAGGGATCCAGTTTCAGCTTTCTACTTATGGCTAGCCAGTTTTCCCAGCACCATTTATTAAATAGGGAATGCTTTCCCCATTGCTTGTTTTTCTCAGGTTTGTCAAAGATCAGATAGTTGTAGATATGCAGCGTTATTTCTGAGGGCTCTGTTCTGTTCCATTGATCTGTATCTCTGTTTTGGTACCAGTACCATGCTGTTTTGGTTACTGTAGCCTTGTAGTATAGTTTGAAGTCAGGTAGCGTGATGCCTCTGGCTTTGTTCTTTTGGCTTAGGATTGACTTGGCGATGCGGGCTCTTTTTTGCTTCCATATGAACTTTAAAGTAGTTTTTTCCAATTCTGTGAAGAAAGTCATTGGTAGCTTGATGGGGATGGCATTGAATCTATAAATTACCTTGGGCAGTATGGCCATTTTCACGATATTGATTCTTCCTACCTGTGAGCATGGAATGTTCTTCCATTTGTTTGTATCCTCTTTTATTTCATTGAGCAGTGGTTTGTAGTTCTCCTTGAAGAGGTCCTTCACGTCCCTTGTAAGTTGGATTCCTAAGTCTTTTATTCTCTTTGAAGCAATTGTGAATGGGAGTTCACTTATGATTTGGCTCTCTGTTTGTCTGTTGTTGGCGTATAAAAATGCTTGTGATTTTTGTACATTGATTTTGTTTCCTGAGACTTTGCTGAAGTTGCTTATCAGCTTAAGGAGATTTTGGGCTGAGACAATAGGGTTTTCTAGATATACAATCATGTCGTCTGCAAACAGGGACAATTTGACTTCCTCTTTTCCTAATTGAATACCCTTTATTTCCTTCTCTTGCCTAATTGCCCTTGCCAGCACTTCCAACACCATGTTGAATAGGAGTGGTGAGAGAGGGCATCCCTGTCTTGTGCCAGTTTTCAAAGGGAATGCTTCCAGTTTTTGTCCATTCAGTATGATATTGGCTGTGGGTTTGTCATAGATAGCCCTTATTATTTTGAGATATGTCCCATCAATACCTAATTTATTGAGAGTTTTTAGCATGAAGCATTGTTGAATTTTGTCAAAGGCCTTTTCTGCATCTATTGAGATAATCATGTGGTTTTTGTCTTTGGTTCTGTTTATATGCTGGATTACATTTATTGATTTGCGTATATTGAACCAGCCTTGCATCCCAGGGATGAAGCCCAGTTGATCATGGTGGATAAGCTTTTTGATGTGCTGCTGGATTCGGTTTGCCAGTATTTTATTGAGGATTTTTGCATCAATGTTCATCAAGGATATTGGTCTAAAATTCTCTTTTTTGGTTGTGTCTCTGCCTGGCTTTGGTATCAGGATGATGCTGGCCTCCTGAAATGAGTTAGGGAGGATTCCCTCTTTTTCTATTGATTGGAATAGTTTCAGAAGGAATGGTACCAGTTCCTCCTTGTACCTCTGGTAGAATTCGGCTGTGAATCCATCTGGTCCTGGACTCTTTTTTGTTGGTAAGCTATTGATTATCGCCACAATTTCAGATCCTGTTATTGGTCTGTTCAGAGATTCAACTTCTTCCTGGTTTAGTCTTGGGAGAGTGTATGTGTTGAGGAATTTATCCATTTCTTCTAGATTTTCTAGTTTATTTGCGTAGAGGTGTTTGTAGTATTCTCTGACGGTAGTTTGTATTTCTGTGGGGTCAGTGGTGATATCCCCTTTATCATTTTTTATTGCATCTATTTGATTCTTCTCTCTTTTTCTTTATTAGTCTTGCTAGCGGTCTATCAATTTTGTTGCTCCTTTCAAAAAACCAGCTCCTGGATTCATTAATTTTTTGAAGGGTTTTTTTTTTGTCTCTATTTCCTTCAGTTCTGCTCTGATTTTAGTTATTTCTTGACTTCTGCTAGCTTTTGAATATGTTTGCTCTTGCTTTTCTAGTTCTTTTAATTGTGATGTTAGGGTGTCCATTTTGGATCTTTCCTGCTTTCTCTTGTGGGCATTTAGTGCTATAAATTTCCCTCTACACACTGCTTTGAATGTGTCCCAGAGATTCTGGTATGTTGTGTCTTTGTTCTCGTTGGTTTCAAAGAACATATTTATTTCTGCCTTCATTTCGTTATGTACCCAGTAGTCATTCAGGAGCAGGTTGTTCAGTTTCCATGTAGTTGAGCGGTTTTGAGTGAGATTCTTAATCCTGAGTTCTAGTTTGATTGCACTGTGGTCTGAGAGACAGTTTGTTATAATTTCTGTTCTTTTACATTTGCTGAGGAGAGCTTTACTTCCAACTATGTGGTCAATTTTGGAATAAGTGTGGTGTGGTGCTGAAAAAAATGTATATTCTGTTGATTTGGGGTGGAGAGTTCTGTAGATGTCTATTAGGTCTGCTTGGTGCAGAGCTGAGTTCAATTCCTGGGTATCCTTGTTAACTTTCTGTCTTGTTGATCTGTCTAACGTTGACAGTGGGGTGTTAAAGTCTCCCATTATTATTGTGTGGGAGTCTGAGTCTCTTTGTAGGTCACTCAGGACTTGCTTTATGAATCTGGGTGCTCCTGTATTGGGTGCATATATATTTAGGATAGTTAGCTCTTCTTGTTGAATTGATCCCTTTACCATTATGTAATGGCTTTCTTTGTCTCTTTTGATCTTTGTTGGTTAAAAGTCTGTTTTATCAGAGACTAGGATTGCAACCCCTGCCTTTTTTTGTTTTCCATTTGCTTGGTAGATCTTCCTCCATGCTTTTATTTTGAGCCTATGTGTGTCTCTGCACGTGAGATGGGTTTCCTGAATACAGCACACTGATGGGTCTTGACTCTTTATCCAATTTGCCAGTCTGTGTCTTTTAATTGGAGCATTTAGTCCATTTATATTTAAAGTTAATATTGTTATGTGTGAATTTGATCCTGTCATTATCATGTTAGCTGGTTATTTTGCTCGTTAGTTGATGCAGTTTCTTCCTATTCTCAATGGTCTTTACATTTTGGCATGATTTTGCAGCGGTAGGTACCGGTTGTGCCTTTCCATGTTTAGTGCTTCCTTCAGGAGCTCTTTTAGGGCAGGCCTGGTGGTGACAAAATCTCTCAGCATTTGCTTGTCTGTAAAGTATTTTATTTCTCCTTATGAAGCTTAAGAGAAGGTCTAATCATCCTTGAACTGATTGGTAAATATAAAGATCTGGGAGGAAAACATTGCAGGTAGAATGAATACCAAGTGTAGACAAAGTCCAGTAGATGTGGGACTAGTCAGATTATTATTACTATTATTTTTATTTCCAACTTTTAGGTTTGGGAGTACATGTGCAGGATGTGCAGTTTTGTTACATAGGTAAATGTGTGCCATGGTGTTTTGCTGCACAGATTGTCCCATCACCTAGGTATTAAGCCCAGCATCCATTAGCTGTTCTTCCTGCTGCTGTCTTTCCTCCCACTCCCACCCTCTGACAGGCCCCAGTGTGTGTTGTTTGCCCAGTGTGTCCATGTGTTCTCATTGTTCAATTCCCACTTATAAATGAGAGCATTCGGTATTTGGTTTTCTGTTCCTGTGTTTATTTGCTGAGGATAATGGCTTCCAGCTCCATCCATGTCACTGCAAAGAACATGATCTCGTTCCTTTTTATGGCTGCATAGTATTCCATGATGTATATTTGCCACATTTTCTTTATCCAGTTTATCATTGATGGGCATTTGGGTTGATTCCATATCTTTGCTATTGTGAATACTGCTGAAATGAACATACACATGCATGTATCTTTATAGTAGAATGATTTATATTCCTTTGGGTATATAATGGCCAGTAATGGGCCAGTAATGACCCAGTAATGGGCTTGCTGGGTCAAATGGTATTTCTGGTTCTAGATCTTTGAGGAATTGCCACACCATCTTCCAGAATGGTTGAACTAATTTACATTCCCACTAGCAGTGTGAAAGCATTCCTATTTTTCTGCAACCTTTCCCACATCTGTTTCTTGACTTTTTAATGACTGCCATTCTGACTGGCATAAGATGGTATTTCGTTGTGGTCTTGCTTTGTATTTCTCTACTGATCAGTGATGTTGAGCTTTTTTTCATGTTTGTTGGGCACATGTATGTCTTCTTCTGAGAAGTGTCTGTTCATGTCCTTTGCCCACTTTTTAATGGGGTTGTTTTTTTCTTGTAAATTTGTTTAAGTTCCTTGTAGTTGCTGGATATTAGACCTTTGTCAGATGGATAGATTGCAAAAATGTTCTCCCATTCTGTAGGTTGTCTCTTTACTCTTTTTTTTTTTTTTGAGATGGAGTTTCACTCTTGTTGCCCAGCCTGAAGTGCAATGGCGCAATCTCAGCTCGCTGCAACCTCTGCCTCCTAGGTTCAAGCAATTCTCCTGCCTCAGCCTCCTAAGTAGCTGGCATTACAGGCGTGTACCAAAATGCCCAGTTAATTTTTGTATTTTTAGTAGAGACAGGGTTTCAACATGTTGGCCAGGCTGGTCTCGAACTCCTGACCTCAGGTGATCCATCCGTCTTGGCCTCCCAAAGTGTTGGGATTACAGGATGAGCCACCGTGCCTGGCCAGTTGTCTGTTTACTCTGATGATAGTTTATTTTGCTGTGCAGAAGCTCTTTAGTTTAATTAGATCCTATTTGTCAATTTTGGCTCTTGTTGTCTTCATTATGAAATCTTTGCCTGTGCCTATGTCCTGAATGGTTGCCTAGGTTTTCTTCTAGGGTTTTTCTAGTTTTGGGTTTTACATTTAAGTCTTCAATCCATTTTGAATTGATTTCTGTATATGGTTTAAGGAAGGCGTCCAGTTAAATTTTCTGCATATGACTAGCCAGTTCTCCCAGCATTGGGAGAATAAAGAATCCTTTCCCCACTGCTTGTTTTTATCCTGATACATAAATAGTTGTACACAAGCATTTATAGTACCTTTATTTGTTAATGGCCAAAATCTGAAATAACTCAAATGTTCATCCACAGGTGAATGGATAAACACGGTGTGAAATAACCTTTGTCAAGGATCAAATGGTTGTAGGTGTGTGGTCTTATTTCTGGGTTCTCTATTCTGTTCCATTGGTTTATGTGTCTGTTTTAGTACCAGTACCATGCTATTTTGGTTACAGTAGCCTTGAAGGATAGTTTGAAGTTGGGTAGCGTGATGCCTCCAGCTTTGTTCTTTTTGCTTAGGATTGTCTTGGCTATGCAAACTCTTATTCAGTTCCACATGAATTTTAAAATAGTTTCTTCTAATTCTGTAAAGAATGTCAGTGATAGTTTGATGGGAATAGCATTGAATCTATAAGTTACTTTGGGCTGTTTGGCCATTTCCACGATATTCATTCTTCCTATCCATGAGTGTGGAATGTTTTTCCATTTGTTTGTGTCATTTCTGATTTCTTTGAGCAGTGGTTTGTAGTTCTTCTTGAAGAGGTCCTTCACTTTACTTGTTAGCTGTATTCCTAGGTATTTTATTCTTTTTGTGGCAATTGTGAATGTGAGTTCATTCATGATTTCGCTCTTGAGGTTATTTTTTTTTAAGTGAGCTTGGACAATGTGACTTTCAAGAAATTTTTCCATTTCATCTAGGTGGTTGTATTTAAAGTCATGGAGTTTTTCATACAATTTTCTTATGCTTGTATTCTCTGTAGGGTCTATTGTAATGTCTTCTTTTTCATTTCTGATATTTTGTAATTTTGTGTTTTCCCTCCTTTTCTTGATCAGACTGGCTAGGAGCTTACCAGTTTTTTTCTAAGAATCAGCTATTTGATTTTTGACTTTTAA
Organism: Homo sapiens; assembly: GCF_000001405.40. Taxonomy (NCBI): domain Eukaryota; kingdom Metazoa; phylum Chordata; class Mammalia; order Primates; family Hominidae; genus Homo; species Homo sapiens. Next base: position 78,192,852 of record NC_000001.11, read on the forward strand.
CCCATTTGTCATTTTCCTCAATAATACTCTTCTCTCTAATCCTAATGTAATATCATGCATATTTCTGTTACATTAGGTTTAGAGACAAGTTCAGTTTAGAGATAACTTCAAGAACAGTTTTTATATTTTATTTTCACATTGAAATTCAGTCAGATTCGCCTCAGCCTCAAATAGCATGTTTATGTAAAATTAAATGAGTGCTGGCAGTGAGTTGCACTTTTTTTTCTAAACAGGAAATGGGTTAAATAAATTTTCTACTCGATTTTATTGATTTTTTGCTGTTTTCCTTATTCTTTCCTTCTTTCTACTTGCTTTGAGTTTACTTTGCTCATTATTTTTTCTACTTTCTTAAGGTAGAGATATTGATCATTAATTTGAGAATTTTCTTATTTTCTAACAAAAGCTTTTAATGCTCCAAATTTCTTTTTAAGTACTGTTTTTGCTGCATATCACAAATTTTGATATCTGTGCTTTCATTTGCATTCAATTCAAAATTTTTGATTGAAAGGCAGACTTCTGGAAATGGTCATACTTACTGTTTTGCTAGGCCTTTATTGTGGGGTCTAGCAAACCCATGGAAGTTTATTGACTTAGTCTGTTTGAGCTACTAAAACAGGATACCACAGACTGAGTAATTTATAAAAAAACAAAAATTTATTCCCACAGTTCTGGAGGCTGGGAAGTCCAAGATCAAGGCTCTGGCATCTGGTGAAGGACTTCTTGCCTCATCCTCACAGGGCAGAAAGTTGAAGGGCAAGTGGGGAGTGAATGCTGTGTCCCCACATGCTAGAAGAGCAGAATAGAGAGAACCCACTCCTGCTAGGCCTTTTACAGCCACATTAATTCATTCATGAGGATGGAGACCACATGACCTAAAAACCTCCCATTAGTCTCCACCTCCCAATACTGTTGCATTGGGGATTAACTTTCTAAAACATGAACTTTGGGAGACACATTTAGACCATAGCATTCTGTCCCTGGTCCCCCAAATTCATGTCCTCACATGCAAAATACATTCATTCCATCCCAATATTCTTAAAAGATCTTAATTTTCTCCAACATCAACTCAAAAGTCCAGCGTCTCATCTAAATCAGATATGGGCAAGACTCAAAGTTTGATTTGTCATGAGGCAAACTGCTCTTTAGTTGTGAGCTTGTGAACTCAAGCAAGTTATGAACTTTCAAAATACAATGGTGGGACTGGCATAGGGTAGACATTCCCATTCCAAAAGAGAACAATAGGAAAGAAGAAAGAAGTAACAGTTCCCAAGGAAGTCCAAAACCCAACAGGGCAAACAGCATTACATCTTAAGGTTTGAGTATAATATTTGACTGCATGTCCTGTCTTCCATACACACTGTGGCAGGAGGTTGGGCCCCAAGGCCTTGGGAAGTCCCACTTTCATGATTTTGCTGGGTGCAGCCCATGCTTCGGTTTTCATGCGCTGAAGTTGCATGGCTATGGCTTTCCCAGGCTGGTGTTGTATGCTGGTGGCACTACAGGTCTGACTGAGAAGTCATTTGGGCCTTTTCCCAAATTTGGTATGTTTATATCCTATAATTATTTTCCTTTTAACAAGAAGAAAAAGTTTCTTCATGCCCTTTTGTAATCACTGCCTCCTACTTCTCTTTTTCTACTCCCTTTCTTTGTCCCCAGGAGTTACTGAACTGTGTCTGTCAGTGTAGATTCGTTTGCATTTTCTAGACTTTTGTATAAATGGAATCATGTGGATTGTACTTTTTTTGACTTTCACTCTCGATTATTATTTCAAGATTCATCATGTTATTGTGTGTATCAATAGTTTATTTTTATTGCTCAGTAGTATTTCACTTAAGTTATTTCACATCGTGTTTATCCATTCACTTGTGGATGAACATTTGAGTTATTTCAGATTTTGGCCATTAACAAATAAAGGTACTATAAATGCTTATGTACAACTATTTATATATCAGGACATAGGCTTTCATTTACCTTGGGTAAATAACTTGGAGTGGAACGGCTCGATCGTATGGTAGGTGTATACTTAACTTTTTGAGAAAATGCCAAACTGTTTTCCAAAGCTGTTGTATCATTTACAACCAGCAGTGTATGAATTCCAGTTACTTTGTATTCTTATCATCTCCTGGTGTGGTCAGTTTTTTAATTTTTAGATATTCTAGTGTAGTCATATTTAATTGTCATTTTAACTTGCATTTCTCTAATGACTAATAAGTTTTATTTTTATATGTAGAGACAGGATCTCGCTCTGTCACCCAGGCTGGAGTGCAGTGGTTCAGTCGTAGTTCACTGCAACCTCTAACACATGGGCCCAAGCTATCCTCCTGCCTCAGACTCCCAAGTAGCAAGGACTATATGTGTGCGCCACCATGCCCAGATAATTAAATTTTTTTTTTTTGTAGAGATAGGGTCTCACTATATTGCCCAGGCTGGTCTTGAACTCCTGGTGTCAAGTGATACTTCTGCCTTAACCTCCGAAAGTACTGGGATTACAGACATAAGCCACCATGCCTGGCAATTGAGTATCTTTTCATGTGCTTATTTTCCATTTGTGTATCTATTTACTTTGGTGAAGTGTCTATTAAAATCTTGCCTATATTTTCATAGACTGTTTATGTTCTTATTAATGAGTTTTGAGGGTCTTTCTATATTCCAGATATAAGACCTTCATCAGATATGTGATTTCCAATGATCGTCTCTCAGTCTCTTTGATTTGTTGATTATTTGAAAGTGTGTTAGTTTCCAAATATTTGGGGATTTTCCAGCTATCTTTCTGTTCTTCATTTATAACTGAATTCCTTTGTGGTTAGAAAACACACTTTGTATGACTTGAATCCTTTTAAGTTTATTGAAGCTTGTTTTTTTATGGTCCAGAGTGTAGGTCATATCTTGATACTTTGCACTTAAAAAAAAGTGTTTTCTGCTGTTGCTGGGTGGCGTATTCCATAAATGTCAATTGGGACAAATTGGCTGAGAGTTGTATTAATTCCTAGAGACACCATTACAAAGTGCCACCAACTGAGTGGCTTAAAAGAACAGAAATTTATTCTCCTACAGGTCTGGAGGCTAGAAATAAAAAATTAACACATTGGCAGGACCGTGTTCTCTCTGAAGGCTCTAGGGGAGGATCTTTCTTTGCCTCATCCTAGCTTCTGGTGGTTGTTGGCAATACTTGGCTTGAAGGTGTATCACTCCAACCTCTGCCTCCGATGTCACATGACATTCTTCCTATCCATGTCTAAATTTCCCTATTCTTATGAGGATACCAATCGCTGTATTAGGAACCTTCTCCTTAATCCAGTATGACTTCATTTTCACTTGGTTACATCTGCAAAGACCATATTTCCAAATAAGCTCACATTTGCAGGTACTGGGAATTAGGACTTGAACATATCTTTTTGGAGGATACAATTCAACACACAATAGTGTTCTTTAAGTCTTCCATATTGTTACTGATTTTTCTGTGTACTTGTTTTATCAATTATTGAGAGAGGGATATTGAAATCTGACTACAATTTGTGGATTTTTAAATTTCTCCTTGTAGTTCTCTCAGTTTTGTTTCATGAACTGTGTTCTGTTATTAGGTGCACAAACTTTGATGATTATTATGTACTTTGAGGAAATGACCCATTTATCGTGATGAAATGATCTTCTTTGTCCTTGGTAACATTATTTGCTCTGAATTCTACTTTGATGTTAATACAGACACTGAAGATTTTTTGGATTAGTGTTAATGTTAGATAGTTTCTCCTGTTCTTTTACTTTCAATTTATTCATGTCTTTATATTTAAAGTGAGTTTCTAGTAGGCAATATATAATTGGATCTTGCCTTTTAATTCAATCTTCAAGTTTATTTATCTTTTCTTCTGGGATGTCTAATTTATCATTAATCTCATCCAGTGTATTTTTTTCCTCAGACACCATAGTTTTTCTTAAAAAAAAATCTTTCATGTCTCCACTTAATATGTTCAGTCTTTCCTCTACTTTTCTGGCATATGGAATATGGTTATAAAACTTTAAAAATGCACTTATTTATTACTATTTTTTAAATAAATATTTTATAATTTAATTTTTATCTGAAACAATTTTGATTATTGGTTTCTCTCCTTCTAGGTTATATTTTCTAATTCATTTGCATGCTGGGTAATTTTTGGTTAAATGCCAGACATTGTGAATTTGAGCTTTTTGGGTGCTATTTTTGTATTCCTATAAATATTCTCAAACTTTGTTCTGGGATGTAGTTGAGTTACTTGGAAACATTTTGATCCTGTGGGTCTTGCTTTTCAACTTTGTTAGGTAGGACCATAGTAGAGTTCATTTTAGGGCTAAATTTTTCCCCTTCCTGAGGCAAGAACCTTCTGACTACTCTACCTGATGCCCTATGAATTATGAGATTGTTTTCCAGCCTGGCTGGTGGAGACGAACACTATTCCTGGACCTGTGTAAGCACCAGGTATTGTTATGTAATGGTTAATTTTACGTGTCAAATTGGCTGGGCCATGGTGCCCAGATATTTGGCCAAACATTATTCTGGATGTTTTTGTGAAGGTGTTTTTTGGATGAGGTTAAAATTTAAATGGGTAGAATTTGAGTAAAGCAGATTACCCTCCATAATGTGGACAGTGCTATGCCAATCAGTGAAAGTCCTTAATAGAATAAAGACTGACCTCCCCTGAGCAAGAAAGAATTCTGCCAGCAGACAACAAGGGGACTCAAATTGCAACTCTTCCCTGGGTCTCCAGTCTGTTGACCTACCCTGCAGATTTTGGGTTTACCAAGCCTCCACAATCACAGGAGTCAATTCTTTAATAAATCTCTCATGCTGTATGTACACAGGTTATATTGGTTCTGTTTCTCTGGAGAACTCTGACTAACATGGTTACCTCTAACAATTTCTGGTGACTCCTTTCTTAGCTTCAGAGGCTGAGGGGCAATTTTTGGGCTCACCTTGTTTGTTTTTCATCTTTCAGGGACCATGGTCACTCATTGCCTAGCATCTAGTATCTTGAAAACCATTGTTTAATGTATTTGTCTGTTTTTTTATTCAGTTGTTTCAGGTAAGAGGGTAACTGGTCCTTATCACTCCATCTTGACCAGATGTTAAAGTTCTTAGGTGTGTCTTCTTGCTTTTTCTCCTCTTACCCAATCTGGCTTGTTCTCTTTGTATGCTAGATTTATATCCACTCATAGCTTTTACTTACTCATTGTTTCAGTTTCCTTAAAACCGTGACTTTCTTATTGCTCTTTTCACCTTTCAAAAATGTTTTATTTTTAATTGATACATAATTATAGATATTTATGGGGTACAATGTGATATTTTTATGTGTACATTGTTTAATGATCCAATCAGGGTAATTAGCCAATTCACTACTTCAAACTCATCTTCTTTGTATGCATCTCTTTAGCTTCAGTTCTTGGAGTCAGTCTACAGATGAGCTGCCCTTGTGTTAAATTCCCTTCTCTGACTGGAGCTGCCTGGATGTGGGGAACAGGCTCATGTGAAATAAAACAAGGCTGAATTTGTTCCCTCTATAACATGATGCTGGACAGTCTTGCTTAGAAGAACTATTGGACATGACAAGTCCTATGGAGAACAAAGCCCATTTTTATTTTATTTTATTTTATTTTATTTTTTGGAGACAGGGTCTGGCTCTGTCATCCAGGGTAGAGTGCAGTGATGTTATCTTGGCTCACTGCAACCCTCACCTCCCGGGCTCAAGCCGTCCTCCCACGTCCGCCTCCTCAGTAGCTGGGACTACAGGCATGTGCCACAATGCCTGGCTAACTTTTGTAATTTTTGTAGAGATGGGGTTTTGCCATGTTGCCTAGGCTGATCTCAAACTCCTGAGCTCAAGCAATCTGCCTGCCTTGGCCTCCCAAAGTGTTGGGATTACAGGCATGAGCCACCATGCCCAGCCCCTATTTTTATTTTATAGAAGCAAAATAATAGATTAATACTTCAATTTACCTTTGTCACATCTTATGCCCCTCTACCATACTAGAGTGTAAGCTCCTTGAGAGCAGAGACAGTGTCTAATTTATCACTGCATTCTCATTATCTTGTAATGCCTAACCTGGTTTTTACTAAATCTGTTTTTAGACTCTCCCTTTTCCTTTAATCACCTAGCCTTGTTTCCACAAGCTCCTTTAAAACTGCACCTAAGTCAGGCGAAGCCATTAGATTAATTCTTTTTATCTACCTCACTTGTTTGTTTTTGCCTGTTATGTCCTGTGCGCCTTCCTACTCCTTTCTCCTCACCTCTTTCACAACAAGACGTGTATTTGCAAACACCACTTAGAAGGCCAGTACCTCCAAAGAAGTCTCCTTTGCAGTTAATTTATGTGTACTGTTCCTAAAGCCAGCCCGTACCCATGAAGAGCAACACAATCTGCTAGTCCCAAAAGCAAGAAGTGTCGACCTTGCAGCAAGATTTAGATGCTTCAGAAGCCAAACTAGATGTAGAAGCTCCAAAGGTGCAGAAAAAGAACTCCAAAATGTTGACTTTTACCTCTGTCCTAAGAATCACCCTGATGCTAGCTGTCAAGATACTTATCAGTTTTTCTGCCCTGATTAGACATGTGTAACTTTAGCCACCTACTCTAAAAGGTCAACCAGATCTTCATTCCATAACTCGTGCTTCTCGTCCTAAATTATGTACTAGAAAAAATTGTAATCCTCTTACTATAACTGTCCATGACCCTAATTCAACTCAATAATATTATGGCATGTCATAAAGATTAAGATTTTATATCCCAAGATTTGATATTAAGACTATGTTCACCATCCAAAAAAAATCCTAGTCTCATAGAGCCCACCCAAGCCAATCAAGCCTTTAACTGCTCTGTGACCCTATGTTCCAGGAACCCCCTGACAAAGTTGATTTAACTGTTCCTCCACCATTCTTAGTCATAAAAGATACACTCCAAAAGTTCAAAAAAATCTAAATAAGCACCAACAGAAATGAGAAAATAACATCCCCTAGTATCAAAACATGTTCAACTAGAAACCCTCCTAACTACTTTAATCACTAAGTTAGCTAGACCTCTTCTCATCATACTATTAAGTTTAATTTTTAAGCCTTATATATTAAATTAATTTCTTAATTTTATAAAACAATGCATAGCTTCTGTCAAACTTATGTATCTTAAGACTCAATATAACCCCCTTGTTATAACTAAGGAATCAACGTTTTGATTCCCCAAAAACACAAGTGAGGAATGTAATGCCCAACCTGGTTTTTACTAACTCTGTTTTTAGACTCTCCCTTTTCCTTTAATCACCTAGCCTTGTCTCCACCTGAATTGACTCTCCCTTAGCTAAAAGAGCCAGACAGACTCCATCTTGGCTCTTTCACTGGCAGCCCCTTCCTCAAGGACTTAACTTGTGCAAGCTGACTCCCAGCACATCCAAGAATGCAATTAACTGATAAGATACTGTGGCAAGCTATATCCACAGTTCCCAAGAATTCGTCTGATTGATAACGCCCAAAGCCCCAGGTCTATCACCTTGTAATAGTCTTAAAGCCCCTGCACCTGGAACTGTTTACTTTCCTGTAACCATTTATCCTTTTAACTTTTTGACTACTTTACTTCTGTAAAATTGTTTTAACTAGATCCACCCCCCCATCCCCTTCCTAAACCAAAGTATAAAAGTTAATCAAGCCCTTTCCTTGAAGCTGAGAAAATTTTAAGCGTTAGCCGTCTTCCAGTCACCAGCTAATGAAAGACTCTTAATTTGTCTCAAAGTGTTGCGTTTTCTCTAACTCGCTCAAGTACAACAATCTCCTGTAGTGCTTGGCACTTAGTATCTATTCTGTTACCTATGGAATGAATGAATGGATATATTATACCCTCTGCCTCCAAGTTGTCTTATCATTTATGTTTCTCTGTCATAAACATAATTCAACATATTCCTTTTGGTTGTTCTCAGACTTTCTTAGCTTTCTTATAATTATATGCCATTCTTGTTTTTCATGACGTTTTACATCGTGAATTTCACTTAGAAGATGATTATTTTGGGATGATTCCTTCACCTAAAAGAAGCTAAGGGTAAGTGCATTTAGAGAGAGATTGTTGAGAACCCTTTAGCCCTAATGCATTTATTCAGAGTGCACTGGACTATGTCTTTGCAGAACTTGTCAAATTGTTGTGGTCCTAATGTCCTTTTAGAGTGTTGTTCTTTGCTGATTTGTAGTTTCTAAGCAACATTGTTAGGATTATGGATTTCCAACTCCACTTAACAACTGGTAAAAATGATACGTGGGATAAACTCTAGTCTAAATTTGTTCTTAGTAGACATGAGTAGCCTCTGGTTCTGCACACTCAGGCTTAGCCTAAAAGAGGGTTAAAATAACACTTTGACAACAAGAGCTGTGGGCATGGAGGAATGTTATCCATTGAAATGTTTCCTTGATTTTAATAATCTTGACTCAAATGAGCTCATGTTATTTTTATTTTTAAAGAGCTTAGCACACAATCTGGCACAGAATGAATGTTCGATAAGTGTTAGCTATTATTATTGTTGTTATTGTTAACAAAGCATTTTCCTTTGCATCTTCTTCCTTAGGTCTTTCTTTCTTATGATTCTTTGATATCCCATTACATGCAAATACATCTTACTGAAAAGATCTGTGAACAAATGGTTGACTCATGCTTTTTATTTTGTGCACTGTTACCCTTTGGTCTTTTTGCCTGCATGAAGGCTGTTGTCACTCACTATTGCTATGGGTTGTGTTGCAGCACTTTCCCATTACACTATTTGTACCATCTTCATCCCAAATCAGCCCTGTCTCTTGTTTATCTTAATATGGTCAATCAGTTGCTACAGCTTCCTCACACACTCATAGCCAAAGACTCCCTGTTTGACTAGGGGATTACAAAAAACAACAATCACCACAATAATAACAGCTAATATTTGTTGACTGCTTTCTCTAGGCTAGGCTGTGTGGCACTTAACATCTGTTATGTCATTTAATTAACACAATAAATTGATGAGGTAGAAATCAGTTTGTAAATTACAGTGTTCTGCTAAGGTAATGCTACTGTCATCCCCCAAATTTTGGTCAAGTCTTGTTTCAGTGCTCTAGCCATGTCATAGCTTTGTTACTGGGTATCAGTGCATAGATATATTGATACTAGGTCTGGGGTTGAAAGAGGGAGCTATCAGCTCTTAGAGGCCAGAGGGGACATGACATGATAATGAACAAGAAACACAAGGGAAAGTGTATTAGTTTTCTGTTGCTGTTATAACAAATCACCACAAATTTAGCTATTTAAAACAACATAAATGTGTTACAGTTCTGTAGGTCAGAGTCTGGTGTGGTGTAGGTCAGAGTCTGGTGTTAAAATAAACTAAAACTTTATTTTAGTTTGACCTAAAATAAAGGTCAGACTTTATTTTATTTGGGCCAAAATAAAGATGTCAGCAGGGATGCATTAATTTCTGGAAGCTCTGGAAGGGAATCAATTTCCTTACCTTTTCCAGCTTTCTGGGGCTGCTGGCATTCCTTGGCTTGTTTCCCCTCCTATCTTCAAAGCCAGGAACATTTGAGTGGGTCATTCTCATGCTACCATCACTGTCACTTGCATGCTCTTTTACTTCCCATTTCCACTTATAAAAGCCCTTGTGGTTGCATTGGAGTCACCCAGGTTATCTAGGATGATCTCCCTATATCATACTCAGCTGATTAGCAACCTTAATTCCGTTTACAACCTTAACTTCCCTTTACCATGTAACCTAATACATTCACAGCTTCCAAGGATTAGGACATTTCTGGGAGGTCATTACTTTGCCACAAGAAGTTGAATCCTTAGGAACAGAGTTGGGACACTATGGAATAACCACTTCTGTCCCATCCCAGGAGATTATCCTTATAGTGTCAACATTGGTGACCTTTGCTATTCTTTCTTTTTTTAAATTTTAAATTAAAAAAAAATTGTTTTTGAGACAGGGTTTTGCTTTGTCATGGCTGGAGTGCCATGGCACGATCATGGCTCATGGTGGTCTTAAACACCTGGGCTCAAGCAATCCTCCTACCTCAGCCTTTTAAGTAGCTAGCACTCAGGTGCATGCCACCCACCACACCTGGCTAATTTTAAAAAACTTTTTTTGTAGAGATGGGGTCTGGCTATGTTGCTGGTCTGTAACACCTGGCCTCAAGTGAGCCTTCCTCCTCTGCCTCCCAAAGTCTTGGAATTACAGGTGTGAGCCATTGTGCCCAGTTAACTATTCTCATATTAAAGAATACAGACTTGGGAGACCTGGCAAGATGGCAGAATAGGAACAGCTCCAGTCTGCAGCTCCCAGTAAGATCAACGCAGAAGGCAGGTGATATCTGCATTTCCAACTGAGGTACCCAGCTCATCTCACTGGGACTGGTTAGACAGTGGGTGCAGCCCACAGAGGGCAAGGCAAAGCAGGGTGGGGCGTTGCCTCACCTGGGAAGTGCAAGGGTTCAGGGAACTTCCTCCCCTAGCCAGGGGAGGCCGTGAGGACTGTACTGTGAGGAATGTTTCACCCCAGCCCAGATACTCACTTTTCCTGTGGTCTTCACAACCCACAGACCAGGAGATTCTCTCGGGTGCCCATGCCACCAGGGACCTGGGTTTCAAGCACAAAACTGGGCGGCCGTTTGGGCAGACACTGAGCTTAGCTGCAAGAGTTTTTTTTTCATACCCCAGTGGCGCCTGGAATGCCAGTGAGACAGAACCATTCACTGCCCTGGAAAGGGGTGCTGAAGCCAGGGAGCTGAGTGGTCTAGCTCAGCAGATCCCACCCCCACGGAGCCCAGCAAGCTAAGATCCACTGGCTTGAAATTCTCGCTGACAGCATAACAGTCTGAAGTCGACTTGGGATGCTCGAGCTTGATGGAGGGAGGGGCGTCCACCATTACTAAGGCTTGAGTAGGCAGTTTTCCCCTCACAGTGTAAACAAAGCAGCCAGGAAGTTCGAACTGAAAGGAGCACACCACAGCACCACAAAACCGCTGTAGCCAGACTGCCTCTCTAGCTTCCCTCTCTCTGGGCAGGTCATCCCTGAAAGAAAGACAGCAGCTCCAGTCACAGGCTTATAGATAAAACTCCCATCTCCTTGGGACAGAGCACCTGCGGGAAGAGGTGACTGTTGGCGCAGCTTCAGCAGACTTAAATGTTCCTGCCTGCCAGCTCTGTGCAGTGGATCTCCCAGCACAGCACTCGAGCTCTGCTAAGGGTCAGACTGCCTCCTTAAGTGGGTCCCTGACCCCCCGTGTCTCCTGACTGGGAGACACCTTCTAGCAGAGGCTGACAGACACATCATACAGGTGAGCTCCAGCTGGCATCTGGTGGGTGCCCCTCTGGGATGAAGCTTCTAGAGGAAAAAACAGGCAGCAATATTTGCTATTCTGCAGCCTCTGCTGCTGATACCAAGGCAAATAGGGTCTGGAGTGGACCTCCAGCAAACTCCAGCAGACCTGCAGCAGATGGGCCTGACTGTTAGAAGAACTAACAAACAGAAAGGAATAGCATCAACATCAATAAAAAAAAGTCCACTCAGAAACCCCATCCGAAGGTCACCAACATCAAACACCAAAGGTAGATAAATCCATGAAGACGGGTTCAGCGCAAAAAGGCTGAAAATTCCAAAAATGAAATGCCTCTTCTCCTCCAAAGGATCACAACTCCTGTCCAGCAAGGAAACAAAACTGGATGGAGAATGAGTTTGATGGATTGACAGAAATAGGCTTCAGAAGGTGGGTAATAACAAACTCCTCTGAGCTAAAGAAGCATGTTCTAACCCAAAGCAAGGAAGCTAAGAACGTGGAAAAATGTTTAGAAAAATTGCTAACTAGAATAACCAGCTTAGAGAAGAAAATAAATGACCTGATGGAGCTGAAAACCATAGCATGAGAACTTCATGAAGCATACACAAGTATCAATGGCCGAATTGATCAAGCGGAAGAAAGGATATCAGAGATTGAAGATCAACTTAATGAAATAAAGAGTGAAGACAAGATTAGAGAAAAAAGAATGAAAAGGAACAAACAAAGCTTTCAAGAAATATGGGACTATGTGAAAAGATCAAACCTACATTTGATTGGTGTACATGAAAGTGATGGGGAGAATGGAACCAAATTGGAAAACACTCTTCAGGATATTATCCAGGAGAACCTCCCCAACCTAGAAAGACAGGCCAACGTTCAAATTCAGGAAATACAGAGAACACCACAAAGATGCTCCTTGAGAAGAGCAAGCCCAAGACACATAATTGTCAGATTCACCAAGGTTGAAATGAAGGAAAAAATGTTAAGGGCAGACAGAAAGGTTGGGTTACCCACAAAGGTAAGCCCATCAGACTAACAATAGATCTCTCTGCAGAAACCCTACAAGCCAAAAGAGAATGGGGGCCAATATTCAACATTCTTAAAGAAAAGAATTTTCAATCCAGAATTTCATATCCAGCCAAACTAAGCTTCATAAGTGAAGGAGAAATAAAATCCTTTACAGACAAGTAAATGCTGAGAGATTTTGTCACCTCCAGGCCTGCCTTCCAAGAGCTCCTGAAGGAAGCACTAAACATGGAAGGGAACAAATGGTACCAACAACTGCAAAGACACACCAAATGGTAAAGACCATTGACACTATGAAGAAACTAAATCAACTAATGGACAAAGTAACCAGCTAGCATCATAATGACAGGATCAAATTCACAGATAACAATATTAACCTTAAATGTAAATGGGCTAAATGCCCCAATTAAAAGACGCAGACTGGCAAATTGGATAAAGAGTCAAGACCCATCCGTGTGCTGTATTCAGGAGACCCATCTTATGTTCAAAGATGCATATAGGCTCAAAATAAAGGGATGCAGGAAGATCTACCAAGCAAATGGAAAGCAAAAAAAAAAAAAAAAAAAAAAAAAAAAAAAAAAAAAAAAAAAACAGAGGTTGCAATCCTAGTCTCTGATAAAACAGACTTTAAACCAACAAAGATTAAAAGAGACAAAGAAGGCCATCACATAATGGTAAAGGGATCAATTCAACAAGAAGAGCTAACTATCCTAAATATATATGCACCCAATACAGGAGCACCCAGATTCATAAAGCAAGTTCTTAGAGACCTCCAAAGAGACTTAGACTCCCACACAATAATCCTGGGAGAATTTAACACCCCACTGTCAATATTAGACAGATCAACGAGACAGAAAATTAACAAGGAAATTCAGGACTTGAACTCAGCTCTGGACTGAGCAGACCTAATAGACATCCACAGAATTCTCCACCCCAAATCAACAGAATATACATTCTTCTCAGCACCACATCACACTTATTCTAAAATTGACCACATAATTGGAAGTAAAACACTCCTCAGCAAATGCAAAAGAATGGAAATCATAACAAACTGTCTCTCAGACCACAGTGCAATAAAATTAGAACTCAGGATTAAGAAACTCACTCAAAACCACACAACTACATGGAAACTGAAAAACCTGCTCCTGAATGACTACTGGGTAAATAACAAAATTAAGGCAGAAATAAAGATCTTCTTTGAAACCAACGAGAACAAAGACACAACATACCAGAATCTCTGGGACACAGATAAAGCAGTGTATAGAGGGAAATTTATAGCACTAAATGCCCACAAGAGAAAGCAGGAAAGATCTAAAATTGACACCCTAACGTCACAATTAAAAGAACAAGAGAAGCAAGAGCAAACAAATTCAAAAGCTAGCAGAAGACAAGAAATAACTAAGATCAGAGCAGAACTGAAGGAGACAGACATACAAAAAAATGCTTCAAAAAAACAATGAATCCAGGAGATGGTTTTTTAACAAGACCAACAAAATAGATAGACCACTAGCCAGACTAATAAAAAAGAAGAGAGAAGAATCAAATAGATGCAATAAAAAATGATAAAGGGGATATCACCACTGATCCCACTGAAATACAAACAACCATCAGAGAATACTATGAACACCTCTACACAAATAAACTAGAAAACCTAGAAGAAATGGATGAATTCCTAGACACATACACCCTCCCAAGTCTAAACCAGGAAGAAGTCAAACCCCTGAATACACCAATAACAAGTTCTGAAATGGAGGCAGTAATTAATAGCTTACCAACCAAAAAAAGTTCAGGACCAGACAGATTCACAGCCAAATTCACCAGAGGTACAAAGAGGAGATGGTACCATTCCTTCTGAAACTATTCCAAACAATAGAAAAGGAGGGACTCCTCCTTAACTCATTTTGTGAGGCCAGCATCATCCTGATACCAAAAGTTGGCAGAGACACAACAAAAAAAGAAAATTTCAGGCCAATGTCCCTGATGAACATTGATGTGAAAATCCTCAATAAAATACTGGCAAACCAAATCCAGCAGCACATCAAAAAGCGTATCCACCATGATCAAGTTGGCTTCATCCCTGGGATGCAAGGCTGGTTCAACATATGCAAATCAATAAACATAATCCATCACATAAACAGAACTAATGACAAAAACCACATGATTATCTCAATAGATGCAGAAAAAAGCCTTTGATAAAATTCAACACTCCTTCATGCTAGAAACTCTCAATAAACTAGGTATTGATGGAATGTATCTCAAAATAATAAGAGCTCTTTATGACAAACCCACAGTCAATATCACAGTGAATGGGCAAAAACTGGAAGCATTCCCTTTGAAAACTGGCACAGCACAAGGATGCCATCTCTCACCACTCCTATTCAACATAGTATGGGAAGTTCTGGCCGGGGCAATCAGGCAGGAGAAAGAAATAAAGGGTATTAAAATAGGAAGAGAGGAAGTCAACTTGTCTCTCTTTGCAGATGACATGATTGTATATTTAGAAAACCCCATTGTCTTAGCCCCAAATCTCCTTAAGCTGATAAGCAACTTCAGCAAAGTCTCAGGATACAAAATAAATGTGCAAAAATCACAAGCATTCCTATATACCAATAATAGAGAGCCAAATCATGAGTGAATTCCCATTCACAATTGGTACAAAGAGAATAAAGTACCTAGGAATACAATGCACAGGGATGTGCAGGACCTCTTCAAGGAGAACTACAAACCACACTGCTCAAGGAAATAAGAGGGCACACAAATGGAAAAACATCCCATCCTCATGGGTAGAAATAATCAATATTGTGAATATGGCCATACTGCCTAAAGTAATTTATAGATTCAATGCTATCCCCATCAAGCTACCATTGACTTTCTTCACAGAATTAGAAAAAACTACTTTAAAGTTCATATGGAACCCAAAAAGAGCCCGCATAGCCAAGACACTCCTAAGCAAAAAGAACAAAGCTGGTGGCATCACGCTACCTGACTTCAAACTATACTACAAGGCTACAGTAACCAAACAGCATGCTACTGGTACCAAAACAGATATATAGACCAATGGAACCGAACAGAGGCCTCAGAAATAACTCCACACATCTACAACCATCTGATCTTTGACAAACCTGACAAAAACAAGAAATGGGGAAAGGATTCCCTATTTAATAAATGGTGTTGGGAAAACTGGCTAGCCATACGCAGAAAACTGAAACTGGATCCCTTCCTTACACCTTATACAAAAATTAACTCAAGATGGATTAAAGACTTAAACATAAGACCTAAAACTGTAAAAACCCTGGAAGAAAATCTAGGCAATTCCATTAAGGACATAGGCATGGGGAAAGACTTCATGACTAAGTCATGAAAGCAATGGCAACAAAAGCCAACATTGACAAATTGGATCTAATTTAACTAAAGAGCTTCTACACAGCAAAAGAAACTGTCATCAGAGTGAACAGGCAACCTACAGAATGGGAGAAAATTTTTGCAATCTATACATCTGACAAAGGTCTAATATCCAGAATCTACAAAGAATTTAAACAAATTTACAAGAAAAAAACAAACAACTCCATCAAAAAGTGGGAAAAGGATATGAATAAACACTTCTCAAAAGAAGACATTTATGCAACCAATAAACATGAAAAAAAGCTCATCATCACTGGTCATTAGAGGAATGCAAATCAAAACCACAATAAGATACCATCTCATGCCTGTTAAAATGGCGATCATTAAAAAGTCAGGAAGCGACAGATGCTGGAGAGGATGTGGAGAAATAGGAACATTTTACACTGTTGGTGGGAGTGTAAATTAGTTCAACCATTGTGGAAGACAGTGTGGTGATTCCTCAAGGATCTAGAACCAGAAATCCCATGTGACCCAGCAATTGCATTACTGGGTATATACCCAAAGGATTATAAATCGTTCTACTATAAAGACACATGTACACATGTGTTTATTGCAGCACTGTTCACAATAGCAAAGAGTTGGAACCAACCCAAATGCCCATCCATGATAGACTAGATAAAGAAAATGTGGCACATATACACCATGGAATACTATGGAGCCATAAAAATGATGAGTTCCTGTCCTTTGCAGGGACATGGATGAAGCTGGAAACTATCATTCTTAGAAAACTAACACAGGAACAGAAAACCAAACACCGCATGTTCTCACTCATGAGTGGGAGTTGAACAATGAGAACACATGGACATAGGGAGGGGTACATCACATGCTGGGTCTTGTCAGGGTTTCGGGGGCTAGGGGAGGGATAGCATTAGGAGAAATACCTAATGTAGATGATGGGTTGATGGGTGCAGCAAACCACCATGACACGTGTATACCTATGTAGCAAACCTGCACGTTCTGCACATGTACCATAGAACTTAAAGTATAATAAAAAAGTACATATAGTTG
This sequence comes from Homo sapiens, assembly GCF_000001405.40. Classification (NCBI taxonomy): domain Eukaryota; kingdom Metazoa; phylum Chordata; class Mammalia; order Primates; family Hominidae; genus Homo; species Homo sapiens. The sequence goes on from NC_000001.11 coordinate 78,209,585, forward strand.
CAACTTATCTAAATAATAAAAAATATTAAAAAACAGAATATAGACCTTATTTAGTGTCTATATGCAACATGCCACAGCAGCCATAGCATATGTTTTACTTACATTACCTCTTTTAGCCTCCATCACAATCTTGCAATGTGGCTACTATGACCATTTTACATATGAAGGCATATAAGCTTTGAGAGGTTAAGGAGTGGCTTCAAGTTCACTCAGCTATTGTATATTAATTTTATTTGTTGCATAATGTGTTCCTACAAACTTAGCAGCTGAAAATAACACCCATTTATTAGCTAACAGTTCTGTAAATTAGAGGCTTAGTCATGGTAAGGGTGGTTTTTCTGTTCACATTCTTGAAAGTCTGAAATCTAGATGTTGCCCAGGCTGCCATTTCTTTTCTGGAGTCTCTGAAAAAGAATCTGGTCCCAATATCCTTCTTGTTGTTGGATGAATTAAATTCTTCATGGTTGTAGCTTGCTGTCAGCTGGGGCGACTCTCAAGTCCTATCTTCTGTATTCCTTGCCACATGGCTTCCTCCATTTTCAAAGCTATTAAGAGAGACTCTCCCTTGTGTTGAATCCCTCTCATGCTTCAAATCTCTTGCCAGGGAAAGCTTCACCTTTTTAAGGTTTACCTGATTAGGTTGGGACCACTGAGGATAATTTCTCTTTTTGAAGGTCAAATGTGGTATATAATATACACCAATTAAAGAGAGTTTATCCTATCACATCCCTAAGTCCCTCCTACACTCAAGGGGACAGGACTATACAAGGATGTGAGTCACTAGAGGATCATGTTAGAATTCCACCCACCACAAAGAGGTAAAGTCAGTCTTAAATTTACATATATTGGATTCCAAGGCCCATGCTGTTTCACTAGGATAGCCTGCATGCAAAGACAAAGACCTTTATTTTTTCTCAAAATAATAGTGATATAGTCACAAACATGTCTATATCATTTTGCTATTTTAAAACCTCTGAGGGATGTCTTCTTATCTTATTAATGTCTATTTAACATTGAATTCCTGGAGGCATTCGTATTAAAATAATAAATAAAGCAAAGATGCCTACTAATTACCATTTTAAAATTTAACATTGTTTTGGAAGTTATGGTGAATTTAATAAGACCTGAAACAGAAATTAGGGATGTATATACTGAAATGGATAATATTATTATATTCAGAGGATATTATTGTGCACCCAGAAATTCCAAGAGAAACAAGGTTGTAAATAATTGGGATTAGAAAGTAAATGTTTAGTACAGTAGCTAGACATATCTATCAATAGGTAAAAAATCCAACAGGAAAAAGCATCCCAACTGAAATAATTTTAGAAGACATAAAAATATCTTGATGAATAAATAGAACTTGCATGAAATATATTGAAAACTCTTCTGAGAAAAATAAAAGACAAATAATTAAGAGATATACATTGTTTCTTGACTGGAGTACCAAAAACTTTGAAGATATAAATTACTTCAAATTGAAAATTTATAGGTTTATTATAATTTAAATCAAATATCACAATTGAAATTTTTAAGGAACCTTAAAAAAACTGATTTGTGGCAAGATGGCTGACTAGATGCAGCTAGGAGGAACATCTGCCACCAAGGCCAGGACACAGGGAAGACTGGTGCAGTCCAAGCAGATCTTCAGAAGGATGGCATTGAGAGTGGATGGAGGCAGGACACAGACACTGGGCTAAAGGGGGAAGAAGGTGTAACCCTGCATGGGGCTACTGTAAACCAGGACTCATTCCTGGCCCTGAGTGACTCCTAGGGTAGGGGTGAGTTGAGCAGACAAAAAGTGACCCACCCTCCCCATGGACCTCTGAAATCTGGGCAGCAGGTGAGCCCCATGACTCACATGGAACACATGAGCTAGCAAGGAGAGCTGCTTAGAGAGGTGGTAGGGGCAGGGCTCCAGTCTGTTTGGAGTCCAGAGGGTTTGGTGTGGGAACTTCTGCAGGGAAGTATGGCCAGGGACGCTCATCCCCCAAGGCTTGCTTTGCTCACCTACAAGACTCTAGCCTTAGGAGAACTGTTGGGACTGAACAGAACAGGATGATCTCGCCTGTGAGACAGGGCCAGTCTGACCTGAATGCCTTTCTGTCTCCTGGCCTCTCCTGGGGCCCCAGCCTGGCTGTGCCTGCTTTCAGTGCATCCTGGGGTGCCTCTCAGAGGCCACATCATAGCTCCTGTGCTGGTAGAACATGCCTGACAGTCAGAGAGCTCCAGCAGAGTGGACTTTCCTGACATGCACCAGCCCGCTTGTACCCTCCCCCTACTGCAGCCTTCCCTGTGCCACAGCCACCCCGTCATAGCTTTACCAGTGCATGTGTGCATGGGTGGACCTCACCTCCCTTTCTCTGCTGGTGCGTGGGTGTGCATGCACCCCACTGTGTCATTGCCGCTGGTATGAATGCACCCACCACCCTCCACCACTATGCTGCAGGATTGCCGTTGCCCTGCCCCATGATGACACTGCTGCAGGTGCTGATGTGCACACAGACCCCAGCAGTTCCCGCCCTTCAACTCCCACCTGTGCCAACACTGCCACAGCTGCTAATGTCCATACAGAGGTTGGCAGCCCCAAGCCCATCAGTGCCCCACCCCAGCTGACAAGCATGCACCCTGTTTCATTGCTGTTGCTGCTAGCATGAGCTGCCACCACTCAAAAAAGTGCTTGGAGTGTTGGGGCCAGCAGTCCAGGAACACCTCAGCCCCTCCAGTGAAACAGGTTCCCAGCCTTGAGGGGGCAGAGAACAATGCCAGGGGCCTGATACCAGCTCCCCGAGGTTACAGCATGCAGCCCAGGAGTGCTGAGCTATGCCTTCAAATATCTACTAGAAACAAATATCTGCTAGAAATGAAGAAGATAAAAGCAAAAACCCCACAAACCTATCCAAAGGATGGCAACTTCAAAGATGGAAGAAACATCAGCCCACACAGATGAGAAAGAAGCAGTGCAAGAACTCTGGCAACTCAAAAAGCCAGAGTGTCTTCTTACTCCAAACAACCACACTAGTTCCCCAACAATGGTTCATAATCAGGCTGAAATGGCTGAAATGACAGAAATATAATTCAGAATATGGATAGGAATGAAGATCATCAACATGCAGGAGAAAGTCAAAACCCAATCCAAGGATTCTTAAGAGACGCAATCAAATGATACAGGAGATGAAAGATGAAATGGCTGTTTTAAGAAAGAACAAAACTGAGCTGATAGAACTGAGAAACTCAATTCAAGAATTTCAGAATACAATTGCAACTATTAATAAAATTGGCCAAGCTGAGGAAAGAATCTCAGAGCTTAAAGACCTGCTCTCTGACATAACTCAGTCAGACAAAAATAAAAAAAAAACCCATAAATAAGAATGAACAAAATCTCTGAGAAATTTGGGATTATCTAAAGAATCCAAATCTATGAATCACTGGTGTGTCTGAAAGACAGGGAGAGAAAGCAAGCAACTTGGAAACCATATTTCAGGATATCATCCATGAAAACTTCCCCAACCTTGCTAGAGAGGCCAACATTCAAATTGAGGAAATGCAGAGAACTCTGGTGAAGTACTTCACAAGAAGACCATCCCCAAGAAACATAGCCATCAGATCCTTCAATGTTGAAATGAAAGAAAAATGTTAAACGGAAAATGTTAAAAATGTTAAGGGAGCCCCATCAGGCTAATAGTGGACCTTTCAGCAGAAAGACTGCAAGCCAGAAGAGAAGAGGGGCGTATATTTGGCATTCTTAAAGAAAAGAATTTCGAGCCCAGAATTTTATATCCAGCCAAACTAAGCTTCATAAGTGAAGGAGAAATAAGATCCTTTTCAGACAAGCAAAGGCTAATGGATTTTGTTACCACCAGACCTGCCTTATATGAGGTTCTGAAGTGAGTGTTAAACATGGAAAGGAAAGACCATTACTGGCCACTACAAAAACACGCTTAAATACATAGACCAGTGACACTATAATGCAATCACACAAACAAGTCTGCATAACAACCAGCTAACAACCTGATGACAGAAACAAATCCAGACATATCAATATTAACTTTGAATGTAACTGGGTTAAGTGCCCCAATTAAAAGGCATACAGTGGGCAAGTTGCATAAAGATGCAAGACGGAAGATCATGGCAGATGGGAGGCAGGACTAGATTGCCGCTCTGGACAGAGTAGTGGGAGGTGGCCCACACTGTGAAGTTTAGCTCCAGATTGACTGCAAGAAGAAACCAGCAATCCTGAGAGGATCCACAGACCCTCTGTAGGAAGTAGACTGATCCTGCAGGACCCAGGACACCCCTCAAAACTGCGAGTGCCCAACTGTGGATGTGGGAAAGGGAGACTCTCCTCTCCCGAACACACACCCCCACTAGAGAAGCTGAAGGTCTGTTTGTGGGAGAAGTCTCCGACTTTACCTGGAGCTGAGTCAATTCGGAGAGCTGAGTGAAATACAGGGGTAGAGGAAGCAGCAGAAAGGCCCTGGGAGCTGGCTGGGTCTCCTAGCAGGCCATTCTTGTCTGGCACCACAGGGATCCAACCAGAGAGGAGCAGGGGGTAAAACTACACAGGAAGAAGCAAATCTCTAGCTGAACTTTCTAACAATTTGAATGGGGTGAGAAGCCTCCTGACCAGAACTTGGGGGAGGGTGCATCTGGTGTGCAGACTGCACAGGTGGGGAAGAACCAAGCCCTTTTCTTTCATATCTGGGAGGCGGATAGCCTGAGGCAGGTTTTCAAGCCCATATTGCTCTCCACCTGGAAATGGTCTGGAGGCTGTTGGGGGAGGGGGCATGGTGGGAGTGAGACCCAGCCCTTTGGTTTGCATGGGAGCTGGGTGAGGCCTGTGACTGCCGGCTTTCCCCTACTTCCCTGACAACCTGCCTGACTCAGCAGAGACAACCATAATCCTCCTAGGTACACAACTCCATTGACCTGGGAATCTCACCCCCATCCCCCGAAGCAGCCGCAGCAAGACCCGCCCAAAGAGAGTCTGTGCTCAGACACACCTAGTTCTGCCACCACCTGATGGTCCTTCCCTACCCACCCTGATAGCAGAAGACAAAGGGCATATAATCTTGGGAGTTCTAAGGCCACACCCACTGCCATTTCCTCCCCATAATACCACAGCTGATGCTCTTTGGAAAGTGCCACCTCCTGGAAGGAGGCTAACCAGCACAAAAATAGAACATTAAACCGCCAAAGCTAAGAACCTTCAAGGAGTCCATTGGACCCCCCTGCCACCTTCACTGGAACAGGCACTGGTATCCATGGCTGAGAGACCCATAGATGGCTCACATCACAGGAATCTCTGCAGACAACCTTCAGTACCAGCCTGGAGCCGGGCAGACCTGTTGGGTGGCAGGACCCAGAAAGAGACAACAATCACTGCAGTTCAGCTCACAGGAAGCCACATCCATAGGAAAAAGGGGAGAGTACTACATCAAGGGAACACTCCGTGGGACAAAATAATCTGAACAACAGCCTTGAGCCCTAGACCTGACAGGTCTGACAGAGCCTACCTGTTAGATATGAGTTCTAAATTTCTCTTCAAAGAATCAATATGTCAGTTTGTTCAATTCTTTGCCTTCTACTTTTAAACTTAACTTCCCCATAAAGCAACCTTTTTTGATTACCTGCTCCATCTGACTCATTCTGATTACCTGCTGATTCTCCACCCTGACTCATTCCGATTTCCTGCTCTGCCATAACCATTTTTCCCACCAAACCACTCATCCCATCACTCTCTTTAAATTAGCCAATCAGAATTAGTTTAGCCTGTGCAGTCTAACCCTAGCCAATAGGGGAACAACACAGAAGCAGGTGCCATGTACATCAAGGATAAGGACCCCTTCCCTTCCCTTGTCCAAGTGTGCACTCACCAATTGCTCCATCTGTAAGGGTGCACCCTTCTATAGAAGTACATTGTTTTGCTGAGAATTAAAAAGAAAATTTTATATTCAAGGGCTATTTCTTTTGTGGCATCAAAACTTTATTTATAACATACCCAATTGAGAAGGAACTGGAATACCAACCCTGGTAATATGACAAAGCAAGCCTTTTCCATACACCCCCAAAATCACACTAGTTCACCAGCAATGGATCCAAACCAAGAAGAAATGCCTGATTTACCTGAAAAAGAATTCAAGAGGTTAGTTATTAAGCTAATCAGGGAGGAACCAGAGAAAGGCAGGGCCCAATGCAAGGAAATCCAAAATGTGATGCAAGAAATAAAGGGAGAAATATTCAAGGAAATAGATAGTTCAAAAAAAAAAATTCAGGCAACTTTGAACACACTTTTAGAAATGCACAATGCTCTGGAAAGTCTCAGCAATAGAATTGAACAAGTAGAAGAAAGAAATTCAGAGCTTGAAGACAAAGTCCTCAAATTAACCCAATCCAACAAAGACAAAGAAAAAAGAATAAGAAAATATGAACAAAACCTCCAAGAAGTCTGGGATTATGTTAAATGACCAAACCTAAGAATAATTTGTGTTCCTGAGGCAGAAGAGAATTCTAAAAGCTTGGAAAACATATTTGGGGGAATAATTGAGGAAAAATTCCCCAGCCTTGCTAGAAACCTAGACATCCAAATACAAGAAGCACAAAGAAAACCTGGGAAATTCATCGCAAAAGGATCTTCACCTAGGCACATTGTGATCAGGTTATCTAAAGATAAGCCAAAGGAAAGAATCTTAAGAGCTGTGAGACAGAAGCACCAGGTAACCTATAAAGGAAAACCTATCAGATTAACAACAGATTTCTCAGCAGAAACCCTACAAGCTAGAAGGGATTGGGGCCCTATCTTCAGCCTCCTCAAACAAAACAATTATCAGCCAAGAATTTTGTATCCAGTGAAACTAAGCATCATATATGAAGGAAAGATACAGTCTTTTTCAACAAACAAATGCTGAGAGAATTCACAATTACAAAGCCACCACTATAAGAACTGCTTAAAGGAGCTCTAAATTCTGAAACAAATCCTGAAAACACATCAAAACAGAACCTCTTTAAAACAGAAATCACACATAACAGAAATAAAACAAAAATACAAGTTAAAAAGCAAAAACCAAAAATCCAAAGTACACTGGCAACAAAGAGCATGATGAATGAAATGGTACCTCACATTTCAATACTAACATTGGTTGTAAATGGAACAAATGCTCCACTTAAAAGATACAGAATCACAGAATGGATAAGAACTCACCAACCATCTGCTGCCTTCAGTAGACTCATCTAGCACAAAAGTACTCACATAAACTTAAAGTAATGGGGTAAAAAAAGGCATTTCATGCAAATGGACATCAAAAGCAAGCAGGGTTAGCTATTCTTATATCAGACAAAACAAACTTTAAAGCAACACAGTTAAAACAGGTAAAGAGGGACATTATATAATTATATTATATAATGGCCTTGTCCAACAGGAAAATATCACAATTCTAAACATATATGCACCTAACACTGGAGCTCCCAAATTTATAAAACAATTACCAATAGACCTAAGAATGAGATGGACAGCAACACAATAATAGTGGGGGACTTCAATACTCCACTGACAGCACTAGACAGGTCATCAAGACAGAAAGTCAACAAAGAAACAATGGACTTAAAGTATACCTTGGAAGAAATGGACTTAACAGATATATACAGAACATTTCATCCAACAACTGCAGAATACACATTGTATTCAACAACGCATAGAACTTTCTCCAAGATAGACCGTATGATAGGTCACAAAATGAGCCTCAATAAATTTAAGAAAATTGAAATTATATCAAGCACCCTCTCAGACCACAGTGGAAGAAAACTGGAAATCAACTCCAAAAGGTATCTTCAAAACGATGCAAATAAGTGGAAATTAAGTAACCTGCTCCTGAATAAGCATTGGGTCAAAAACAAAATCAAGATGGAAATTAAAAAATTATTCGAACTGAATGACAATAATGACACAACTTATCAAAACCTCTGGGATATAGCAAAGGCAGTGCTAAGAGGAAAGTTCATAGCTCTAAATGCCTACATCAAAAAGACTAAAAGAGCACAAACTGACATTCTAAGGTTACACCTCAAGGAACTAGAGAAACAAGAACAAACCAAACCCAAACCCAGCAGAAGAAAGAAAATAACCAAGATCAGAGCAAAACTAAATGAAATTGAAACAACAACATCAAAAAATGAAACAAAAAGCTGATTCTTTGAAAAAAATAAATAAAATTGATAGACTATTGGCAAGATTAACCAAGAAAAGAAGAGAGAAAATCCAAATAACCTCACTAAGAAATGAAACAGGAGATATTACAACTGACACCACAGAAATATAAAAGATCAATCAAGGCCACTATGAACACCTTTATGCACATAAACTAGAAAACCTAGAAGAGATGGATAAATTCCTGGAAAAATACAATCCTCCTATGTTAAATCAGGAAGAATCAGATACCCTGAACAAACCAATAACAAGCAGTGAGATTGAAATGATAATTAAAAAGTTACCAACAAAAAAAATCCAGGACTAGATGGATTCACAGCAGAATTCTACCAGACATTCAAAAAAGAATTGGTACCAATCCTTTTGACACTATTTTACAAGATAGGGAAAGAAGGAACCCTCCTTAATTTATTCTCTGAAGCCAGCATCACCCTAATACCAAAACCAGGAAAGGGCATAACCAAAAAAGAAAGTTACAGACCAATATCCTTGATGAACATAGATGCTAAAATCCTTAAAATACTTGCTAACCAAATCCAACAACATATCAAAAAGATAATCCACTCTGTTCAAGTGGGTTTCATACCAGGGATGCAGGGATGGTTTAACATACACAAGTCAATAAATGTGGTACACTACATAAACAGAATTAAAAACAAAAATCACATGGTCATCTCAGTAGATGCGGAAAAAGCATTTGACAAAATCCAGCATGACTTTATGATGAAAACTCTCAGTAAAATCAGCATACAAGGGACATACTTTAATGTAATAAAAGTCATCTATGACAAACCCGCAGGCAACATAATACCGAGTGGGGAAAAGTTGAAAGCATTGCTTCTGAGAATTAGAACAAGACAAGGATGCCCACCCTCACCACTCCTCTTCAATGTAGTACTGGAAGTACTAGCCAGAGCAATCAGACAAAAGAAAGAATTATGGGCCATCCAAATGGGTAAAGAGGAAGTCAAACTGTCATTGTTTGCTGATGATATGATTGTTTACCTTGAAAACCCTAAGGATTCCTCCAGAAAGCTCCTAGAACTGATAAAAGAATTCAGCAAAGTTTCCAGACACAAGATTAATGTACACAAATCAGTAGCTCTTCTTTTTTTTTTTTTTTTTTGTGAGATGGAGTCTCACCCTGTCGCCCAGGCTGGAATACAGTGGTGCACTCTCAGCTCACTACAACCTCTGCCTTCCAAGTTCAAGCAATTCTCCTGCCTTAGCCTCCTGAGTAGCTGGGATCACAGGCATGCGCCACCACGCCCAGCTAATTTTATTTTTTTTAAGTAGAGATGGGGTTTCACCGTGTTGGTCAGCCTGGTCTTGAACTCCTGACCTGGTGATTCACCCACCTCAGCCTCCCAAAGTGCTGAGATTACAGGCATGAGCTACCACGCCCAGCCACAAATCAGTAGCTCTTCTATACACCAACAGCGACCAAGTGGAGAATCAAATCAAGAACTCAACCCCTTTTACAATAGCTGCAAAAGAAAAAATAAAAATAAAATACTTAGGAATATACCTAACCAAGGAGGTAAAAGACTTCTACAAGGAAAACTACAAAACACTACTGAAAGAAATCATAGATGACATGAACAAATGGAAACACATCCCATGCTCATGGATGGGTAGAATCAATATTGTGAAAATGACCATACTGCCAAAAGCAATCTACAAATTCAATCCAATCCCTATCAAAATGCCACCATCATTCTTCACAAAATTAGAAAAAACAATTCTAAAATTCATATGGAACCAAAAAAGAGCCCACATAGCCAAAGCAAGACTAAGCAAAAAGAACAAATCTGGAGGCATCACGGTATCTGATTTCAAACTATACTATAAGGCCATAGTCACCAAAGCAGCATGGTACTGGTACAAAAATAGGCACATAGACCAATCGAACAGAATAGAGAACCCAGAAATAAACCCAAACACTCACAGTCAACTGATCTTTGACAAAGCAAACAAAAACATAAAGTGGGGAAAGGACACCCTTTTCAACAAATGGTGCTGGGATAATTGGCTAGCCACATGTAGGAGAGTGAAACTGGATCCTCATCTCTTACCTCAAGATGAATTAAGGACTTAAACCTAAGACCTGAAATATAAAAATTCTAGAAGATAACATTGGATAAACCCTTCTAGACATTGGCTTAGGCAAGGATTTCATGACCAAGAACCCAAAAGCAAATGCAATAAAAACAAAGATAAATAGCTGGGACCTAATTAAATTAAAGAGCTTTGGCACAGCAAAAAGAACGGTCAGCAGAGTAAACAGACAACCCACAGAGTGGGAGAAAATCTTCACAATCTATACATCAGGAAATACAGTCTTTCCGTGTTTTCAAGAAGAGGTGATGAGACTCGTGAGCATCTAGCTGGTCTGCCACAGTGCTTTATTACTACTCAGCCATAACTATTAAAACCCTTTTGGAACAAATAGGGATCTTAGAATTTGGATCTTACCAACCTTCTTTATAGGTTAATTTTCCTCCTCTTCTATCTTCTCCCAACTTACTCCTCTCGTTCCAACAAAAGGAGCTATGTGCTCTTCCCTGAACAATCTTCCAAGTATGTAGGTTTTATACTATGCCAATTTAGCTGAACTATAACTATGAATCTCAGAATTAACGTCTGTATGGTTCTGCATTAGAGTTGGTTCCAAGAGACATTTGTGCAGGATTTGGGAGGTGGAAGCAAAGCAGCAGGCATCATGCTCAGCAGGGCAATGCAAGGCCCAGAGCCGGCTCACCTGGAAGATGTGGGACAACTGCTGGACCCACAGCTCCTCCAGCTCTTGCCACTCTTTCAACTTCTTTGAGCCCTGGGCCAGGAATAAGTGTGTTTTGTGGTGAAGAATACCAGCTTCTTCCACACGGCACCTGCACTATTAGTAAGAGACAGATGCTGGTTGCACTTTGTCTTTGTATGTTCCAACTTGTTTTTAAAGGTCTTCTTTGTCTTGTACCTTAAGGTTTGTCCTTGCTGTCTCATGATTTGTGTCCTGATTTTTTTTTTAAATCTTCCACACCTGATGACCCACAGCGACTTTGGACCAACCACTAGACACAGAGACAACCACCTTCCATTGCTTTTTCCACCAGTTTCCATTTTTTGTTGTCTCTGATCAGTGACGTTTTCCTGATCCTCCATTCTTCCCCTTCCAGGCTTTTACATTCCTAGCTTCTCCAACAACTCTGTTAGGTTTAATTTCTACAATAAATCTCTTATTCCATACCTGTCATACTGATTGTGCTTCCCTGATGGAGCCCTATATGAGGGAATGTCTCTGAGTCTTTGCATGTACTGCCTCCTCTATCTGGAATGTCTTTTTTCTTTTCTCTGTTGTGTTGTAATTCATACTTCAAGGTTGAGCACAGATATCACCTCTTTTATTAGTGTGATACTGTTCCTCTTAAGGGACACTGTTACTTCTTCCTCTGAAGTTCTACAAGGCTCTGAACATACTTATGTTAGAAACTTCTGCTGTCTTATAATATCTTTATTAGTTCGATCGTATTTTTAAAAGAACTCTTTAAAAAATTCTTAAATTTCTATCCTTGAGAAAAAGCAGGTTTAAATAGAGAAAATAAAGAAGTAGCATTGTACCCAGGGTTGTAGAGTGGCTCTCACACAGCTCTAGTGACTTCCTGGGGTTTGCCTATTTTGTTGTTGCAGACGTCCCTGGAATCCTTGCATTTGGAGTTGTCCAGAAGTGGCATTCCTGACCTTTGATCCCCAGCCTTCCAACAGTGGTGTACATCTTCATTTCTCTATGTTAAAGATTTTCTTATTAAAAAATTGAGTGTGGTAGAGGACTGACTTGGTAAAGGATGGGGGGACATTATGTATTTTGGTTCATTTAGCAGATATTTTTGAGCTCCTACTAACTGCTAGACATGGTGCTAGATCTTGCATAAACATGACGAACAAAGTAGCAAGGTACTTACTAGCCTCATGGGGCTAGTGTGGAAGTGAGTTAAGCAAATAAACTCATATGGGATATATCTTTGTAAAGAGTGGCCAATGCTTTGAAGGCAAAGAAGAGGGTGCAGTAGGAGAGCATAGTGTGGGAGATGGGCTTGACATTAGTGGTCAAGTAAGGCCTCTCCAAGAAGTAACACTCTTAGGCTGGGACCGGCTGGATGAGGAGACAGCTGAGCAGGGGATGTGCTGGGGAGACTGAGGCAGATGGAGTGAAGGGTTCAACCTGAGAAAAAACTGGCACATTTGAGGAACCAAAATAAGGTCACTGCAGCTGGAATGTTGGAGTGAGTGGACTTTTTTCTTTTTTCTTTTCTTTTCTTTTTTTTTTTTTTTAGTGGCTTGCAATAAATCAAGGTAGTCAGGTGGTTGGGGAGGGGAGTTGGGGAGAAGAGGCAAGTCATAGGTAGCTCGAAGCTAGATTAAGAAGCACAGATTTATATATTAAAAATCCGACTCTTTCTCGAACATAATTTTCCCCCTCATGTAAATTTTGTTTGTGTTACTATCTGTCATTTGATCAAGGAAAATAAATACTTTCTGTAGGTAAGTATTCAAAGATTATCTGAAGTCAAAATGCTTTCTCTGATTAATCTTGTTCTGTTATCTGATTGTAGCAGAACATTTTGTGTTGCACAGTTATTTGCATGCTAGTCACCTTTGGACTGGGTTATTTAATATTCACAGAAACGAATGCAGGACAGTTTGTGTGCTTGAAGAAAGTAAGTGGGAAAAAATGTTACAATTTTATAATTAACTCTTGGTTGTTGTGTAGCATTCTTGAATGAACTATAGAAATGATCCCTGAAAGTATAGTCTTTGTGTAGGATTCTCTTTGATTAAATAGTATTATACATAATTTAAAAATATTCCAGAGATTTTTATTTATGAAGGCTGTCTGATGTTCCTAATTATTTTGAATTTATGATTCATTAAAAGCTTACACCATCATTCAACCAGAGTTACAACATTTTGCGTTGCTATGTCTATCTTAACTGTCATCAAATTCCTTTGGTCAAAGGATTTTTTCCCCTCATTTTCCAAGGCTTACCTTTTTCTTAGTTTTGCTGTCTTGTATTTTGAAGATATGTTTTTCATTCTTTCAAGTGTGTTCGTTAGGTATATGTGGTAGAGCCTAATTTGAGGACCATGTGGTATGGTTAATGGTATAGTGGAAACAGCATTGGCATTGGAGTTAGGCAGACCTGGGTATGAATTCCAACTCCTCTATTTACTTAGCTATATCATATTTGTTTAGTTATTTATATTTTGAATCTTAATTTTTTTGTCTGTAAAATGGAGACAGTAATCTCTTTCTCCTAGGGTTGGCAGGACCAAGAGAGACAATGTGCATAAAACACAGCACAGTGCCTACCACTTGGCAGGTGCTAGACTGTGTATGTAGTCTTTGGCAGATCAGATAGCATTTCTTAGAATTATATTTCTAATAGAAGAAATAGATCTGCACTGATTCTTCTGTGTTCTTTTACCTTTACCTTTATGTCCAAGGACACATACTTATTTCTCACTTGGGAAAAAGGAGAGGGTTACTGCATGGAATACAAGGCTGGCTGTGGCCAGGAGGGACAACAGAATGTCACACTACCTTATTTCAGAAGACTTTACAGCTGGGGTGGGCTGCTACGGGAAGCCCAGGCCAGTGTTTAAGCAAAAGTGTGCCCCAATCTTAGGAGAAGAAAGTGTGGTTGGAAGCCGACTTAAAAAGCAAAATCCAGGGCTATAGCCAAGAAGCCAGGTTATTCATTAAAAAAACATTGATTGGGAAACTTCCATGTGTCAGGCACTATGCTAAACACTGGGTTTACTAAGTGGGGCACAGTGTGCCAAAGAGTTTATGATGTAGAGAGGAGTCCAGTAATTACAACACAGGGTGGTAAGTGCTACCATAGTTATGCGAAGCAGGGAAATGGCAGGGATCTGAGAATTTGAAGGTGAGATGGCCATTTTATATTGCTAGGAGGGGGCTGAGAGAAACGGCTCAAGAAAGCCACACCTAGGCCAAGAATAAAATGAAAAGTTGAACAATAAGAAGATAAATTGTGGGTCACTTGGTGAAGAATGGGTTCTGAGCCACTGTGGTTTCTGGTCCTTAAAGGGGGCAAGGAGTAAAGCAAGCAAGGTAATGAGATTGATTCCGATAGCACCTATGGGATGCTCTCTGGAGGGCCAGACATTACTCAAAGAACAGAGAGATGCTGCCTGGGCCATAGGAAACCGAAACCTTGACCTTGCTTTCATTGACTTGAAGTAGAGATTATTTAAACAGTGCCAGTGACCTGAAATAGTTTGTATGTAAGTTCTGTTGGATGTAGCTGAAAAACAGGATAATATTTACTTACAGGGTAATAAAAGTTGATATTGATTTTACAGGATGGGAAAAATGGCAGTGAACTACTTCTTATTCTGGAAATTATAGTGCACCAGTGTATTTGGGAACATTTTTGAATCTTGGTTAAGTATTCTAAATCCTAACTGGAATCTCCTCATTAAGGATTTTTTTCATGGTTGTGGGAGACTAAGAGATGGATTAAATTAGTTTATTTCTGTTCACCTTGCCTGGCAATGTCTGGCTGCACAGATGTAGTGTGAATGTATCCTCCAGATGTTGATGTACAAGAGAACACATAGCTCCTCTGTGGGAATGGAAGATCAGTCATTAGTTCAGCACTGGTTATTGTAATTCTATTTTTCTTTAAAATGCACTCTCAGGAGACCTATCTCTGTGATTGCCTGAGGAAAGATGCAGCTGAGAGAGTAATGGTATTTATCAGAAACTAGAGACATTTGGCATCTTTCTCTGCAGACAAAGTTTGTCAGGTTGATTTCCTAGTAAAGATTCACTTGAGAATAAGCAGGAATACTAACTTGTGTTTACATTATGAATTTCAGAATAACTGCATTCCAAAATGTTCTCAGTATCATAATTCTGGGAAAGTGAGGATTTATATAGAAAATACTTGATCTACTTTTTACTACAGTCTATTCCTGTAATTCCTATGGTTCTCCATTCTTACATTTTATAGACACAACTATTTAAGGCAGTAAATATCTGGAAGTTATCTGAGAGGTGAATCACAGGTACTCACTAGTTGAATTATTAAAATCTGTAAATGTAATTTAAAAACCATTAGGGGATCTAAAAGTCACCATTTCAGCACATCACTCCTTTCTGATTATTACATAGAGAACTCTGTTATCTGGCTTGTTGTTTTAAGCCACCAAGTTTTGGGGTAATTTGTCATGCAACAATAAATAACAGAAACTGTGGATCAAATAGCACCTGGTTTATGATGGGTAGCTGGAGTCTCATTCAAGCATTTTATTTCAACTATGCCCAGTAGCAAGCAGGGAGCTATTTCTTAAAAGGTAAAACTGAAGTTATCAGCAGAGGAGAACCCCAGGGGTGTTTGCTGTGATTCCTTTATTAGGGATTGCCAGAGACTCCCTGCCATGTCTTTCTTTACCACAGGCACATGGAGTTCCCCTGGATTTCCTGGTCATGAGGAGTGGGTAGCAGGATGAAGCGCCTCCAAGCTTGGACCTCCTGCAGAGACTTCTTTAGTTCTGGCCCCACTCAAAACTAGCAGCCTTAGGGCTATTCGGTAAGTGAGTCAGAGCACCATGTCAACATGCGAGATCAGTTGTCTCCTATACCCAAAACAAGGCTGAATTTCTTTCCAGGGGTTATAATTTATTCTCCCACTGGCAGTTTATGAGAACCCCCAGCCCTTCACATCCTTACACATGCTGGTTATTGAGCTATCTTTTAATGTTTGCCAATCTCTTGGGTGTCAAATAAAATCTCATTGTGTTGTTGATGCATTTTGCTGGTTACTAATGAGGTTGAACCTCTTTTTTACATTTTTTATTGGCAGTTTTATTTCTTCTTGTTGGAAACATCTGTTTATGAATTTTACCCCCTCTTTCTATTGGATTGTTCATCTTTCTTATAGCTTTTTTGATGTCATTTATATATTTTGGGTAGAATCCGCATTTGCTTACTTTCTCTTGGCTAGAAAAAATAAATGGTGAGCTACAGTGAAGAAGATTCCCTTGTCAAGGGATCTACCGTATTTTCCTGGCTGCTACTTCCCTTTTCCATCTACTTATTGCTTCATTGAGGTGATTAGTGAATTTTCCCAGGACTTTGTCACCTTACCTTTTGCCCCACGTACTGCTTGAGAATGGGTTTGGTGGATTGGCGAGGTTAGGAGGAGAGTGTAGTGGGAGGAAACAGCTTGATTTCTGGAATCTTTCTATTTCTCTTTGACTAGTCATTGTTTTAAATGTTGACTTGAAGTTGTGTCCCTTGTTTTGAGTGTGCCTGGTTTTTAACATGTATTTGGTATTCATTTTGTTAGGTTTGACTGGGCAATGGCCTGTATTCTGGCTTTATTCTTCCATTTGACCCTGGAAGTCTCTGGGACTACTTTTGAGGCTGCCCTTGATGTTAATTTTAAACGGACGCTCTCAGGTTAACAATGTTGGAGAGAAGAGATTACTTTTACCCTTGGCTCTGTGTTTCTATAGTATGGCCCTGACAGTGGATGCAAGACTCAGCTAGAAGATGTTGGGGTGGAGACGGATTTCACATACCATAAACTTGACAGTGTAAAAATGAAACCTCTCCTTCCCTCTCTAACTAAAAATGTCTAGCCTGAACCCCTATTCTGTCTGAGGCAGAAATCTTAATCCAACAACTTAGCAATAGTGTCAAGCACTTTTGACATTTTTTCTCACATATTTCAGGTTTAAACTTAGTTAACTTTAAGATTTTTAACACTGCTTTCTTCAATTTTCTTGCTTCTGGGGTTGATGCCAAGCTTGGCTTGGGGAGGGGTGCAAATGCCATCTCAGATAGGTGGGAGATTCCCATATCTCCTTCAAAAGCATCTTGGTCTCTGTTGCTGTCTTCTGGGAATGTGCTGTCTTGCTGAGCCTTGAGTGTCTCACCCAAGCTACCCATTTCCCATCCAGTGCTTAGCCCCATGACCCCATCTCTGCATTCTCATTCCTAGCTGTGTTTATTAGTTTTCTATTACTACGTAAGTGACTGCAAACCTAGTGGTTTAAAGCAACACCCCAATATTATTTCACAATTTCTATGGGTAGGAATTCTGGGCACTGTTGAGCTGAGCCCTCTGCTTAATGTCTCACAAGGCTGAAATCAAGGGGTCAGCCAGGCTGTGTTCTCACTCAGAAGCTCTGGGGAAGAATCTGCTTCTACGCTCATTCAGGCTGTTGGCAGAATTTATTCCCTTGTGGTTGTATGACTGGCTTTTTGTCTTCTTGCTAGGAGCCAGTTGGGAACATCTCTCAGCTTTAGGACGGCCTTCAGAGCCTTTCCTGTGGCCCTCACAGGCTTCCTCACATACCACCCTTGGCTTGTTCCAGGCCAGCAGAATAATCTCTCTTACCTTCAATCTCAGGGCTCATCTGATTACATCACACCTCCCAAGATAATCTCCCTTTTTATTAACTCAAAGTCAACTGATTAGGCACCTTAATTACATCTTCAAATTCCTTTCACTTTTGCCATGTAAGATAAGCTAATCATACTTGTAAAATCTTGTCACATTCACAAGTTCTACCCACACTCAAAGGCTGACACCAGGGGCTGGGAATCTTGGGACTGTTTCAGAAGTCTGCCGACCCCACTGTTGGACCCTTGAAGTTATAGTTTTTCTGCTAGCTTTTATATCTCCCTTGGCTCTGGGGCATGGGAATTTCAGACATTGTGCTGTGCCACTCAGGGACTTGGAGGAAACTCAGGGCTCTATACACTCCTGTTCTGTAGTCTACCTTTCTTGTCTGTAGCTGACAGAACTGCAGGGCTGAAGGCCCTCTCACTAAGGTCCATCTCATATCCTCAGGCTTACAGGAGAACCACCTCCTTTTAATCCCACAAGTCTGTGGGTGGGGTGGGCAAAGAATAGGACTCATCTTTTGCTTTATCTCCAAACTCTTGCTACCTCCTCTAATTCATAAAGGTTTTATTTACTCTTCCCACTGGGGGATGGGGAGAGACAGAAGGCATGGCTAGTTAAATAGTCTTTGAAATGTATTGCTTATGCCAAGTCTTCATGTCTGAAAGCTTAAAAGCTAAAAATTAACTTCTTTTGCCTCAATTTGCATTTCAACTATGGTCTAGCTTTTCTGGGGGCAGCAGAGGCCAGGATTAGTTTAAAGTGGGGGTGGGAGCTACAGGGTAAACAAAGGGATTGCAAGGCTATCTCATGTCTCTCTCTCCCCTGTTGTTTGTGGGTTAATACTTCATAAACAACCTGTCACAATAGTTTCGAAAACAGTCTAGGTTTTCTAAATCATTTTGAGAACTGGATTAGTTCCATGTAAATATTTATGCCTCATCTACTATATTCTTTATCTATGAACATTTTTTCCCTTTCTCAGAGCGAGTGGAAACCCCAGAGAAGGGCAAATTGAAACAATTCTAGAAATTAACAAAATGTTAATTAAGTTTTCCCTTGCTGAGGGGAGAGTAAAGTTTGGCAGTGTTTCAGAGACGATAAAGGACTTGTGCTTGTACTAATTAAGAATATTACTCAAGTGAAATAATTGGAAGTCAATAGAAACCCCAAAGCTTAGTAAATGTAGAGAACGGTGTTGGGTTGGAATCAAAAGGGTAAAAGGATATGTCCAAAAAGCAGTTGGTATTTTTCACCGGAATAGTTACGTTAGGGCAATTTTGCACTTAGCTACTAACCAGTACTTCTCTCCATCCCTACCCTCATTATCCAGGCTTGATTGTCACATAAACAACCTGCTAATC
The DNA here is from genome assembly GCF_000001405.40 of Homo sapiens. Lineage (NCBI taxonomy): Eukaryota > Metazoa > Chordata > Mammalia > Primates > Hominidae > Homo > Homo sapiens. Next base: position 78,228,592 of record NC_000001.11, read on the forward strand.
TATAGCCATGATGGAAGTCATGGAAAAATCTCAAAGGAGCACACTTTAAACTCAGTTGGCTTGTTTTCTCAAAGCCACATAGGAACATTTTCAGGCTGTTAATTCACCAGGCAGAGCTTCCACGGCATTTCTCTTTTTCCTTTCCCATTTTTCTGCCCTCCTGACTACCTTCTTCATGTTCTTGCATCCAATTTCTAAAAGTATAGGTTTATCCTGGGAAAAGTCTATCTCATTTCTACATGGCTCATTTTAGAACCCTCATAGCTTTCTGATTTTTAAACTATATATTTTTTTCCCTTCTGAATTTTTCTTTGCTTTACCTGGATAGTATTACCTTACTGTTGAGGAGTAAATTTTTATCTTTGTATCTCCAACATTGATATGAACATCTGGAAAATAGTAGTTGCTAAAATATTTGTTTAATATGAACTCATCAATGAAAGACATATCTACTTACTTGTCTGACTGTCTCCCCACTAAACATAAGCACTTTGAAGGTAAGGACCTGTTTTATTCATTTTTGGATCCCTAGTGTCTAACATAATGCTTGGTATATCATAGATTCTCAAGCAAAGTTTACTGAAAAAATGAGTAATAATCAGGAGTTTATACATGTATCTCAGTATACTATAAAGCAATAATTAGCTCTGATGTTATAATTTCAGAATATACTACTGTAGAAGTAGGTAAGGAAAGGTGACTGCATTGGTCTTCAAACAGTTGCTGTGAAGTTAGGCAGAAAAGGGATGCAAAGAGAAATAATTTTTTTAAAGAGATTACAAGTAAGTGTTCTCTCTCTATGCAATCTTTACAAAATCAAGCACATTTCCGATCCAAGGCAGAGAACGAGTATTTCCTTTACTTTCCTTGAGATGAAATACAAACTTTAAATGCTTCCTTGAAAATTATGAAATCCTTTCAACCAAATGGCTGCAGGGAGTTGAAATCTGAGCTGACGTCTGAGTCAGACAGTTGGAATAGTTTTCATGAGTAGTACTACTTGTGCCATTGCTGATTTGGTAACCACCTCAGAGCCTACCCTATTTATTCCCAGCATGGACCTAAATCCACTTCAGCCAAAAATGAACAAAGAAATGATGAAGAACAGAGCCTGTTTCTTTCTCAGTGGTGTACTCAGGTTTGAAAATAAGACAAAATGATTGTCTGCTTGTTTTCTGTTTCCCTCAAGTTTCTGAAAGGTCTTAACTCTTTCCTTCACCTTTTCCCGTAGTTTCCTATACATTTTAATTATCTGGATATAGCCATTGTCCTGCCATGTTGAACCTTGTAGAGTTGGCTTTTCTGTGATATTTCTAGATAATTAAGGTGGTAATCAGTTTGATTCCAAATGTGCTACATTTTATGCTTATCAATCAAGATGTCCAAATTAATAACAACATATCCAAATTTGAATGGTTTCTCAATTTCTTTGGAGTAGTGTTACAGGAAGACGATATGTTTTAGAATCATACATATCTTTTTGAATTCTGTTTTTGTTACTACAAGGTATGAAGTCTTGAGTACATATCTTAATATTTCCGAATCGGAAAATGTGGAAAATAACTCTATCATAGGAATTGCTTGAGATTTAAGTAAGTTAAAAGGCCTTAATAAATGATACATGGTTTTCTCCTAAGCAAACACTTCAACTAATATTGAAGTTTTATACTGATTCTCTAATCTTACTTTTAAAAAGCATGGTTAATAACCAATATTAGCATAAGTAAATGCAGGAAAAGTTAGCAATAAGAAATTAAGATTTTGTGACATTTAAAATTAATATTTTAGTGATATAACTATTATCTGCAAATTACTTTGAGTAGTTGCAGAGAAAGTGACAATCCATGTTTAATATAATATTTTATTTTACTAATGAAGAAAGTGTATTGAACAAGGAGTTGATTGACTTGCTCAAGATCACACAGTTAAAGGCAAGCCTAGGTAGATTAATGGATTTCTAGTTGAGGGCTAATACAGTGTATCCAGTAATTTCTCACTTCTATCCTCCTCTTTCAGTTTGCACAGTCTTCATCCCACTTCAGAACCTTGCTGTTACTCACTTGGACTACATCAAAAGCATCCTAATTGGCACCTCTGATCCAAGTTGTTCTTCTCTCCAGCTCGTCCTCCTTGGTGTGGTCAGATTAATCAGACTGTTACATTTACTTGCTCAGAAACCTCTACTGGTTGCCTAGTGTCTACTAAGTGAATTCCAAACTTACTAGCCTGGCACTCAATATCTTTCATACTATAGCCTCAGGTTCATACATTTAACTAACAAGTACTTATTGAGTGCCTACTATGTGCCAGACTGGTCTAGGTGCTGGGATATAAGAGATATATAGTCTCTGCCCTTACTGAGCTTATATTCTAGTTCAGCGGTTCTCAAAGTGTAATCGGGGGACCCTGAGGGTCTCTGAGACCCTGTTAGGTGTCTGCCAAGTCAAAATGATTTGTTATGATGTTATTTGTCATTTTCTCATTAAAAAAAGTATGTACAGTGAAGTTTTCCAGAGGCTACCTGACATGTGATATCACAAACAGACTGAATATAGAAGCAGACATAGGAAACCAGTTGTCTTCTATGAAGCCAGACATTAAGGAGCATCACAAAAATGCAAAGCAATGCCACTCTTGTAATTTTTTTTGTTTGAAAGATAGTTTTTTCCATGAATATATGTGTAATGGTTAATGTTAGGTATCAGTTTGACTGGGTTAAGGGATATCCAAATAGCTGGTAAAGCATTATTTCTGGGCATGTCTGTGAGGTTGTTTCTGGAAGTGATTGGCATTTGAATCAGTGAGCTGAGTAAGGAAGATCTGCCCTCACCAAATGTGGGCAGGTATCATCCAATCCATTGAGGGCTCAGATAGAACAAAAGAGCAGAGGAAAGGCAAATTTACCTTCTGGAGCTGGGGCATCCATTTTCTCCTGCCCTTGGACATCAGAACTCCAGACGTCTGGGCCTTGGGACTTTGGGACTTACACCCTCCACTCCCTTGGTTCTTGGGCCCTGTACTTAGAATGAATCATACCACCAGCTTCCCTTGTTTTCCAGCTTGCAGATGGCATAAGATGGGACTTGTTGGGCTCCATAATCACGTGAGCCAATTCCCATAATAAATCACCTCTTATACACACACACACACCCCCACACACCCACACACTATAAGTTCCGTTTCTCCAGAGAACTCTGACCCATACAATATGTTAAACATGTAATGGATTTATTGTAAAAATGAATAAATATTTAGCTATTTAAAATTTTCTCAATTTAACTGTCTGGTACAGTAAGTATTTATAGATATAACTCACATAAACAAAAGCTCTTTGGGGCTTTTACTAATTTTTGATAATGACCAAAAAGTTTGAGAACTTTTATTTTAGTAATTCTAGAAAATAAACAGACAATATAAAGTCAATATAATAATATACTGTCAGCTAGTGACAAAGGTCATGAAATAAAATGCAGCAGGATAAACAAATAGGTCCACTGGGTGTCAGTAACAATCACTGTCTACAACCTGTGCTCCTATTAAACTCAATCATCTAACATTCCCAGAACACAATTCATGCTTTTCCACTTCCATGTCTTTGTAATGCTGTTCCTTCTGCCTAGCTTGCCTTTCATCTCCTATTTCAATGCCTCCTCACTTTCATCTGTCACAATTCTATTCTTCTTTGAAGACCTGTCTCAAATATCACCTGAACGATGATTCCTTCTCTTATGTTCTTCTATCAGAAGTGATTTGTTTCCCTTTTATTTTTTCCATCTTCAATGATATTTTGTTCAATCTCTCTTGTGAAACTCATAATTTTCTGCTTTGTAAAAAGTATACTACTCATATCCTTCTCAAGTTTATGATATTTCTTAAAGTTGAGTACTATTTCCTATTTCCTCTGAATATGTTGTCTTTTCTGTATCAATGAACCTTAGGCTCAGCAGTAACAGAAAACCTCCAAAAATAATAGTGGTTTCACCTAGATAGAAGTGTGTTGTTTCTCATATAAAAGTTGGAAGGTAGGCAGGACAGGCTGATAATGACTCTTGCTCTAAAAGTCCTTGGGGCTGCAGGCTCCTTCAATCTCACTGCTCCTCCATCCTAAGAGTGTGGTTGTCCTTAGCTTCAAGATGGCAGCATCTTTGTTTCAGGAAGAAGAAAGGAGGGAGAGACAAGGGAGCTAACCATATGGACCAGCTCTCTCCAAAGGAAAGTTTGTGGAAGTTGCTGATATGACACTTCTGTTGATATCCTGTTGATAGAACTTAGTCACATGTGCATACCTAGCTTCAGGGGAGGTTGGGAAATGCAGTCTTTATTTGTAGTGGTCTTGTGCTCAGCTGTGGAAAAAGGGGAGAATAGATATTGGGGAACAAGTTTCAGGCTCTGTTATACTCCCCAAAGTGTCTATCATGGGCACTTATCCCAGGTAAATGCTTAAAATTAACTTTCAGCAAATAAGTAATACTGAGCTTCATTCTCACAATTATTTGTTGATAATAAATAAATACACTGGAAATTTTATTCATCATATATTTGCTTGTTGTCTTTAATGAGGTGTTAGAAATGATTAAGGAATTCTAAAATCTCTCTTTCAGACTTAACTACTGCAGGGTTCAATAGCTGATCAATTCCTTCTAGCATATCAAAAAGAGAAGGCTTTTCTATTAGACCAGCCAGCTTGCTGTTTTCATCATTTCACCTTCTTCTGTTCACCCTTCTCCATAGCGGTAAAGACATCACTCAACTCTTCCTTGCTAGAAGTGTTCCCAAGCTTCCCTGTGTTACGTGACGTCTTTGTTCTTAGCTCCCCTGTAGACCCAGAGAAAAATATCCCTTGAAAGAAACCCTCGGTGGCTTGCTCAAGCTATTAGGTTAGTTTGCATATTTGTTCCACCTAAGAGCAGATAAAAGAACATTTGTAATTTTAAAGTACTAAAAATATTGGGGCATTGAACTTCTGCTGTGTGTTTGCTTTCCAATTCTTCTCATTGCATGAAAATCTTAGTAAATGATAGAGCCTACCTTTAAGTTTGAGTCTGACTCTTTATTTCCACAAAATGTTTCACTGGAATCTATAGAAGCAACCTCAACACCCCCCACCCCCACACTTCCGGTCTCGACATACTGTCTAATTACCTCACATGTTGTCTACTTCTGGTTCTCAGAGCTTTGAGGAAGTCATTCCTCCACAAAGAAAACTCTGGAATTCCTACATGATTGAATTTATATTTAAAATAGTCTACCTGGTTATACTAGGTCCATGGCCTATAAATATGGAAACTTACAGTTTTAGGATGTTGGCAATTACCCCAGAAATTGTCTTTGAAAAAAGTTGAAATAAAAAGAGGAATCTGTTAGAAATGGCATTTACTCTGTTTGCTACTATTTCATTTTTTATTTGTACATGACTTATTCCCTGTGGATTATATACTTCTTGAGTACCACAGCTGTGTCTGATGAATGGCTTTAGTTATAAAGTGAAATAAAGTTGGAAGTAACTGAGATAAATTAAGACAGTGATAATGACATGGGGTTTGTTCTTACCATGACATGAGATTTTCACAAAAGAAATGAATATTGTAGAGGACTACATTCATTCATCCATTCATTAATCTTGCAAATATTTACTGAGCATCAACCAAGTGCCCAGTACTCTCGTAGATACTGGGAGACAGTGGTGAGAAATATTGATCTAGTCTCTGTCTTTATGGTATGTATAGCCTAGAAGATAAAGACAGACAAAAAAGTAATAACTGTAAAATATGATAAATGCTTGTTAGGGAAGCAGAGATTGCTATGGGAGCCGTCAAGGGAACATTTATAGTCTTTATAGAGCTTTCACATACAAATACCTCATTTGAGCCTCATTAAGCCATGTTCAGTGAGTAGTGCAGGGATTATTCTTCTCATTTACAGATAAGGAATTAGACTCAGAAAGGTTAGCAAGATGCAAAGTCCCCATAGACCCAGAATTGAGCTTTTGACTCCAAACCCAATGCACTCACCAATACTCCAGACAGCAGCTGGAGTGCCAGGGAGTGTGAGGTCTGTGGCTCCGCTGCATCTGCTTCCTGTCTTTATGATGTTCTAGTCCCAAGCCTGTATAATAACCCCATTGGCATCAATTAATTAATTCTTGGCATCCAATGAAGCTGCCTGGAAGCCATGAGGGTGTTCTGCCTAGCATGGCTCCAAGCCGTGGGCAGCTTATCCAGTGTTCATGCTGGGAACAGCCTCTTCAATTAGGAGAGGGGCCAAGGGATCTTTTAGGCTGATACAGAACCGACAGAAGCTCAGCTCAGCCATAAAGTCTTATTAGAAGGAGCCCCCATGCTTCAGTCTGCTCAGTGGTCTGTTTTCCTGTCCTATGAAGTAAAAGTCAGATTCTCCAATAAGAAAACAACATTAAAATGTCCAGAGTTTGTTTTGCTTTGTGTTTAGTACCACAAAGTTGAGCAGAGGAATAAACACTGTTGTTGGGCAGAAAAACTTCCCTTCTTGCTTTGTACACCTAACTGCATTTTATTCCCTAATTTTTCTAGGAAAATGCTTTTTCTTTCTTATACATTTTTGAACTTGTTGGAAACTTCCAAGTGACATGAGAACTTTTTAGGGATGAGGAAGCTCTGGCAAAATTGAGGAGCTGGTGATACTTGTTTCCTTGATTTGTAGTGTAGTGGAAAGACCATGGTACTTTGGACCATGCAGTAAGAACATGGGCTGAGTTATTATCTCAGCACTTTCATTTTTTGGCTGTATCAACTTTGGAAATATGAGGACTTCCTTGAACCTCAGTTTCTTCAAAGGATGGTTATGAGGATTAGAGGAAAGACAGGTAATATAGCAGGCATAGCCTGGCCAATAATTGGCCCTCGATAAATGGGAAATATTATCATGATGGTTAAAATACCCTTTCTTCTGAGGACTCAATACAAACTCTAGTATCTCCTCTAAGCCTGACCTTTCTGGCAACACGAGTTCCTCTAGACCTTTACCGTTATCATAAATTTCTTGTTTTTTTTTTTTTTTAATCCTCCCAGCTAGGGCATTTATGATTATTTAATCTACAAATACTAATTTACAGTCTAGCTGGAGAGATAGGATATAGGTAACAGGACAAAGTATAACAAGTGTCAATGAGTGACATAGTATTGGTGCTGTAGTATTTCAGATGAATAAAATATGACCATGGGCTGGGATTTTTGAGGATTTGAGCAGACACAGTTGATAATTTACACTTGAATGGGTAGTTGGGAAGGGCTGGAACAGGAACAAAACCTATCTAGGTAGGGACGGTGGACAGGGGGATGAAAGAATAACAGAATTTTAGATATTAGTTTGCAAAACATGGTGTCTCAGTGGTAATGGAAATAGATCAGATCCCTAGCAAGTAACTGGCAAAAAGGTCAAGATAAAGCACCAGGACAGTGACCAATGGTGGGGAGTTTGGGAATGGTAATATTCAAAAGTTGAGGCAGTCATGCACAGTAGGTCCTCACTGTCTAAATTACACTTCCTTTGGCAGGAGACTTGGAGGATTAGCCCAGCCATTGAAGGTTTTTAGGGTCCAAGTCTATGGTGGTAGTGGTGGGGAAGGGTAAGATACAGTGTAGATTTTTCCAAGACTCAGTGCACCTGTGGATCTTAAGATGGTGTTTTGCAAACTTCCTGGACCACATGCTTCAAAATCACCTGGAAGGCTTGTAATAAATACAGATTACTAGAATATCTGAGAATAGACTCTGAGGACATCCATTTTAAATAGGATTTTAGAGAATCTTATATATGTTAAAGTTAAAGAACACTGGGTAATTCATATTAGATTCCAGATTTCAGAGACATGCTGGAGAGTCCTGAAATAAAAAATCCTGTGAAGAAATTGGCTTTTCCTTACTCCATAAAGAGTAGTTTGTAGGAAGTCTGGTTGTACTGAAGAAAAATCTGGAGACAGGTCTTTTGTCCTGGTAGTGAGATTGCAAGATTTGTCTGAAAAGAAAGTTGGAGTTTCTGAAACAGGAATCAAGGCAAAAAGAATCCCAAGAACAAGAAATGGAGCAGAGAGACTGCGAATTGAACAAGATATGATAAAGGATTTGCAACAGAGTTGTTGTTCACCTCTTACCTTCCTCAACTAGACTGTGGGCTCCCTGAGGGCAGGGCTCTTAACTTCCTTATCCTTATTTCTTTTGCGCCTGATATAGGGTCTGGTGCAAAGTAGGCTTTCAGATGTTTTTTAAATAAGTTAATAAGTAAATGTGAGATTGGCAAGGGTGACTTGATGCTGAGCTCTGGAATGTGGGCTGGAATTACTTGGTCTGGGTGACTCAGTTCATACTGGGTCCTGGGATTTGGATCTGGAGCTGCACTTGTAGATTTGGAGTTAAGAGAGGGAGGAATCAGACTGATTGAAGACATTGGCTGAGGCTACAGTTAGGATAGTTTAGGGTGACTTCTGAAAGAAGGTGTGATTTGAATCTGGCTTGAAGCAAGACAGATATTAAATAATTCAATCCAACTTAATGGACATTAGTTGGGCATCTGGTCTGCACAATGGCTTGCAACCCAATGGTGGGTAAAATACAGTTCTTGCCTTGTAGGAAACCAAAAGGAAAGAAATGACTGAAACATAATGTTATATTTGGATGGGGAGGTATGGGATGTGAAAAGGAAAACTATGGAGGAAAATTGAGAGGAGGGATAATGTTTACCTGGGCCTTAAAAATTGGTCAAGCTTTGTTCTACAGTTAAGGCAGGGAAGGACTCTCAGTGGAGAAAACAGCCAGAATAAGAGTAGGTAGGCGTGAAAGTGAAGGTGACCTGGGAGGTAGCCTCTGTGGTTTGGTGGATGAGAGCACAGCATGAATTATGGGTAGGGGGTCTGGACCTCAAACAAAGGTTAATGGGTTAACAAGGGGGGGTTTATTGGGTGTTAATGGGTGTTAACAAGGGCGGATTTATTCTACAAACATTTAAATTTGTCAAAGTGTTTGTTTTAAGCAGAAGAATCACACAATTCAACTTATATTAGGAAGAGAATTTGGGCCAGAGGGTAAAAGAAGGCCTGCAGGAGAGGAAGGCCAGAGGGAGGAATCTGGGCAGGGCAGCAAGGCGAGCCACACTTCACCTAAACTAATTCCTGCTGAGATACTAAAGTAAATAATGGCTTAAGACAAACTCCCTCTGAGTGAGCTGTTTGCCTTTGAACTGGCCCCTCCTCACCTGGAGGAGGTGTGACTTCTAGTGGATAGACTTGCCAGGCCACTGGGAAGATTTGCCAATTTTTGATTCATTCTTCTCACGCCCATAACTGGCTCTTACTAGCTGTTCGGCCCTGAATATGAAATGCAGTTTTGTGACCTGGCTGAGAGTTCACAGGCCCTAGAGCCCAGGTTGCTTTATGATTTACCAAAAAAAAAAAAAAAAAAAAAAAAGTTATGGTAGGAACACTTAACATGAGATCTGTCCTTGGAACACATTTTAAAGTGTGTAATACAGGACCGTTAACCATAGGCACAATGTTGTACTGCGGATCTCTAGAGCTTCTTCATGCTGCACAGCTGAAACTTCATGCCTGTTGACTAGCAACTCCCCATTTCCCCTTCTCCCCAACCTCTGATAACCACTATTCTATTCTCTGCTTCTGAGTTTGACTATTTTAGATACCTCATATGAGTGGAATCATGCCTCATTTGTCCTTTAATAGAACTGCTATATGATTCAGTAATCCTACTTCTGAGTATTTATCCAAAAGAGTTGAAATCAGGATCTCAGAGAGATATTTGCACTCTCGTATTTGTTGCAGCACTATTCACAACAGCTAAAAGGTGGAAACAAACTAACTGCCCATCAATGAATGAATGGATAAAGAAAATGTGGTATATACAGCTAGCTCTCTGTATCCACAGGTTCAAGCAATCACAGATGAAAAATGTAGTATATAAAAAATCCCCCCAAAATAAAAATAGTACAAATAAAAAATAATACAGTATAACAACTATTTACGTAGCATTTACCTTGTGTTAGCTATTAAAAGTAATCTAGAGATGATTTAAAGTATACCGGAAGATGTATTTAGGTTATATGCAAATACTATGCCATTTTATATAAGGGTCTTGTACAACCTTGGATTTTGGCATCCTTGGGGCTCTCAGAACCAATCTGGGGTAGATACCAAGTGACAACCGTAAATACAATATTACTCAGCGTTGAAAAAAGAAGGAAATACTGCCATATATGACCACATAGATGAAGACATTATGCTCTGTGATTTAAAAAAATTGACCAACATATGGTGGGAATGTAAATTAGTTCAACCATTGAGGATGATAATGTGGCGATTCCTCAAGGGTCTAGAATCAGAAATACCATTTGACCCGGTAATCCCATTACTGGGTATATACCCAAAGGAATATAAATCATTCTACTATAAAGACACGTGCATATGTATGTTTATTGCTGCACTATTTACAGTAGTAAAGACATGGAACCAACCCAAATGCCCATCAATGATAGACTGGATAAAGAAAATGTGGTACATATACACCATGGAATACTACGCAGCCATAAAAAAGAATGAGATCATGTCCTTTGCAGGGACATGGATGAAGCTGGAAGCCATCATCCTCAGCAAACTAATACAGGAAAAGAAAACCAAACACCGCATGTTCTTACTCATAAGTGGGAGTTCAGCAATGAGAACACATGGACATAGGGAGGGGAATAACACACACTGGGGCCAGTTGGGGGGTCGAGGGCGAGGGGAGGGAGAGCATTAGGATAAATAGCTAATGCATGTGGGGGCTTAAAATCTAGATGATGGGTTGATAGGTGTATAAAACCACCGTGGCACACGTATACCTATGTAACAAATCTGTACATTCTGCACTTGTATCCTGGAACTTAAAGCAAAATTAAAAAAAAAAAGATTGAAGAAAATTGACCAACATGAGTGTTTACTGTCTGTACCCTGAAGAGTGCTTCCTCAAAGCCATTCCAAATGAGGATCCCCTAGAAGATCCCAAGCACACCAGTGCTGAGGGCAGAGTCAACAACTTCTCTTTTCCCCAAATGGTCTTCAGCCCAGGAACCAGGACTTACAAGCCCAATTATTGTTACTATATGGATTCTTATTATCAAAGTTCTGGATGTCACATTTTCTCAACTGTAAGAAAAGCTGTTGCTTTTAGTGTTAGTAAATGCATTAGAAAGTTCTGTGAATTTACAATAGCACAGAAATGGACTCCACCTAGGTGCCCAATCAATGGTGGATTGGATAAAGAAAATGTGGTCCATATACACCATGGAATACTATGCAGCCATAAAAAAGTATGAAATCATGTCTTTTGCAGCAACATGGATGCAACTGGAGGCCATTATCCTAAGTGAATTAACAGGAACAGAAAACCAAATACTGAGAGAGGGAGGAGGCCAAGGGTTGAAAAATTACCTATCAGGTACTATGTTCACTATTTGGGTGACAGATTCAATTGAAACACAAATCTCAGTATTACATAATATACGCATGTAACCTGCAGCTCTAACTCCTGAATCTAAAATAAACATATAAAATAAAATACAAAAAAGAAAGTTTATGAATTAAAACAAAGTTAAAATGATATTAAAACTGCTCTTTTTTTCCATTCTTTCATTCTTTTCTACCTACTCCCTTCCTTACAAACCCAACAAACATACTCTGTCTGCCAATAAACTGTATGTTTTAGAATAACAATAGATGAATCCTATGGTTTGATTCTGTCCTGGTTGTGTAGTAATGACATACTAGAAGGAGCGTGTTAGCTCAGAAATAAAAACAATTGGGTATTATTCTTTTCAAGGGCACTAACTGATGTGTATCCTGGGGTGATTACTTCACTTTTCTATGCCTTAATTGCTGTAACAAGAGGGAGTTAGACTCGGCTCTATCTCCACAGTTCTGTCTGAGTCTAAGAATCACAGCTTCTCTAAGCAATGCAGGAGTGATGGAATACTTTTTTACATAGTGGAAAAACTTGAACACTGCTTTGGAAAGTTGATTTACCTTTAAAATGGGTATTTGTTGATTGCTTCCTTGGTGTCTATTTCTTAATTTCTTTAACAGACTTGAGTTTTTGTCTTTAAGGTTGGGTTCTGCTTTGCTCAGCTATGCATCTGGCATGGACTGGATACCACGTCTGGCTCCAGTGGTGTATCCTGCCTGGCTTAAACCAACCAGTATATCCCTTTCTGGCAAACGGTGAGATACAGCCAGGCAAGGAACCAGATTCTGCCTGTCTTTGTGGACCGCATGAAGGAATTTGGGCTTTATTTAAAGCAGAGTGGGTGGCCTCTGCAGGGTTTTAAACAGAGGAGCAGCATGATCAGATCTGCATTCCATTTGGACCATGTCTGGCTCAGGGTCATGAGGCTCCCCCTCCAGTTTTGTTCCTCTGTGTGTTTGCACTGTTCCCTCAGCTTCCTCTCTATCTGCTGCCTCTTTGCTTTTAAAACACCCTTAAACTGACTGGAGAAAAGAATGAAATGGGCACTGTGTGTTCCTAGTACTTGTTCCAGCACTCCCTCTGTGGCAATTTGTTTTTCCCGGTAAATATAATTTTCCCTTTCTTAATTATGATTTGAGTTTTCGGTAGCTCTGACCTGTAAATTGGCACTAATTTTCTGCTTTTTCAATCTTAAAAATGGGATCCAGCAGTGGAGGTGTGGACTTTAATAACCTTGTCTGTGACTGGCTTCCCTGTGGCAAGCAGCTGCCAGTGGGGCTCATACTGTGGCCCTTCTTTGGGGTCTTGTTTTGTGCCGCCAGAGCACAGTCTCACCCAGAACTTATCCCAGCAGCGAGGAGCTGCACAGACTGACTCGCAGATATCTCTGTCCTCACTCCTTCCAAAGGGCCTTCATAATGAAAATAAAATGTAGCTCCAAACAGGATCACTTGAAGCCCTTAGTCCCCTCTTGCACTTGTTGGTTACACCCCAGAGCAAGCTCATTCCTTTGCTTGCTTTCACTCTAAAGGGTTGAACCTTGTTTCTGGGTCTGCCTGTAAACTCCTGGAGGGGCCGGGGTCCTTCCAGTTGCTTCTTCCACAGAGACCTCTGGGCACAGTGAGTGCTGGATAACACCAGTAGAATGACTGAAAAGGCAGAGAAATTAAAAAGTTCTGAGTCTGGGTGTTTTTTTTTGTTTTGTTTTTGTTTTTTTGAGACAGGATCTGGCTCCGTCACGGAGGCTGCAGTGCAGGGGTGCGATCTTGGCTCACTGCAACCACTGCCTTCCAGGCTCAAGCAATCCTCCCACCTTAGCCTCCAGAGTAGCTGGGACTACAGGCATATGCCACCACACCCGGCTAATTTTTGTATTTTTTGTAGAGATGGGGTTTCACCATGTTGTCTAGGCTGGTCTCAAACTTCTGAGCTCAAGCGGTTCTCCTGCTTCGGCCTCCCAAAGCGTTGGGATTACAGGAGTAAGCCACTATGCCTGACCACTCTATGTGTCTTTTGTTTGCTAATGAGGTAGCTGGGGGCCCCTAGGTAGCCTCAGGATGGGGCTGGTCACCCAGAAAGACCAAAGCATGATTAGAGGGTTGGGACTTTCAACCCTTACTCTCAACCCCCTGGTGTGGTAGAGGGGCTAAAGGTTGAACTGATCACCAATAGCCAATGATTTAACCAGTCATGCCTATGTAATGAAGCCTCCATAAAAGCCCAAAGGACTGGGTTTGGGGAGCTTCCTAATAGATCAACTTGTGGGGGTTCCTGGAGGGTGGTATGCCACTTGATCCATACCTTGCCCTGTGCATCTTTACAATAAATGGGCAAATAAAGTGTTTTCCTGAGTTATGTGAGCCACTCTAGCAAATCAATTGCACCCAAGGAACAGGTTGTGGGAACCCTGGTTTATACCCAGTCAGTCAGACATAGTGACAATCTACTACTTACCACTGGTATCTGAAGTGAGGGGCTGTCTTGTGGTACTGAGCCTTCAACCTGTAGGATCTGACGCTATCTATAGGTGGACAGTGTCAGAATTGAATTGAATTAGAGGATACTCGCTGGTGTCTGCTATAGAATTGCTTGCTTGTCATGTGTGGAAAACCCCCACAAATCTGATGTCTGAAGTGCTGTATTGAGTGGATGACAGAGATTAAGGAAAAGCAATTCCTCCTCCCTTATCTTTTGTAATAGATTTTTCTGCTTTATCTTGATTATTATTCACCCTGGCTCTCTTTTTCCCCCAACCTTGTTTTCTATTGCTCTATAGCACATTTCACCATCAGACAATATTGTATATTTTATATTTTGCTAATTTACTTGTTTATTATCTGCTTCCCTGCACTGGGGTATAAGCTCCACAAGGGAACAGAGTCTGTTCTGAGCTGCATTCCCAGCACCACACAGCGCTTGGTACAGGTGCTCTATGAATATCTATTGAGTGAATCTGTCCCACCTTTGAAGATGGTTTATTCTTTGGATTTTGCCCTCCTTTTCTTGACTCTTCTCTAGGGCTGGAGTTGTCTGGTAGAATGCTGTTTGGACTCATGTTGCTTTGCTCTGTCGTGATTTGAAGATCACACTATCAAGGTATCCAGGTACTTGGAAAAAAGGCAAAGTGGCATCAGGCCAGCAGCTCGCTAACAGTCTTGAAGATTTTATTTAGATGAGAGCTGTTTGGTTTATTTGGAACCCACTGGGGGTACTTTTTATCAGAAATAATGACTTACTGGGCTTACTGTGTACTGTACTGAATACCTTGCCTACATTTGCTTGATTCATTCTTACAATAAATCTATGATGTTTTCTTTTTTTTTTTTTTTTTTTTTTTTTTTTTACGCAGGAATTGTCTTTTATTTTTTGGCTTAGAAAGATATTGTTTTATAAACAGTGGGGCAAGACACTATTAAATTGTTTTCCAAAAATTTGCCTGGCAACTTTCTTTTTTTTAATTTTTTTTATTTTTTTTTATTTTTTTTATTATACTCTAAGTTTTAGGGTACATGTGCACATTGTGCAGGTTAGTTACATATGTATACATGTGCCATGCTGGTGCGCTGCACCCACTAATGTGTCATCTAGCATTAGGTATATCTCCCAATGCTATCCCTCCCCCCTCCCCCGACCCCACCACAGTCCCCAGAGTGTGATATTCCCCTTCCTGTGTCCATGTGATCTCATTGTTCAATTCCCACCTATGAGTGAGAATATGCAGTGTTTGGTTTTTTGTTCTTGCGATAGTTTACTGAGAATGATGATTTCCAATTTCATCCATGTCCCTACAAAGGATATGAACTCATCATTTTTTATGGCTGCATAGTATTCCATGGTGTATATGTGCCACATTTTCTTAATCCAGTCTATCATTGTTGGACATTTGGGTTGGTTCCAAGTCTTTGCTATTGTGAATAGTGCCGCAATAAACATACGTGTGCATGTGTCTTTATAGCAGCATGATTTATAGTCCTTTGGGTATATACCCAGTAATGGGATGGCTGGGTCAAATGGTATTTCTAGTTCTAGATCCCTGAGGAATCGCCACACTGACTTCCACAATGGTTGAACTAGTTTACAGTCCCACCAACAGTGTAAAAGTGTTCCTATTTCTCCACATCCTCTCCAGCACCTGTTGTTTCCTGACTTTTTAATGATTGCCATTCTAACTGGTGTGAGATGATATCTCATAGTGGTTTTGATTTGCATTTCTCTGACGGCCAGTGATGATGAGCATTTTTTCATGTGTTTTTTGGCTGCATAAATGTCTTCTTTTGAGAAGTGTCTGTTCATGTCCTTCGCCCACTTTTTGATGGGGTTGTTTGTTTTTTTCTTGTAAATTTGTTTGAGTTCATTGTAGATTCTGGATATTAGCCCTTTGTCAGATGAGTAGGTTGCGAAAATTTTCTCCCATGTTGTAGGTTGCCTGTTCAGTCTGATGGTAGTTTCTTTTGCTGTGCAGAAGCTCTTTAGTTTAATTAGATCCCATTTGTCAATTTTGTCTTTTGTTGCCATTGCTTTTGGTGTTTTGGACATGAAGTCCTTGCCCACGCCTATGTCCTGAATGGTAATGTCTAGGTTTTCTTCTAGGGTTTTTATGGTTTTAGGTCTAACGTTTAAATCTTTAATCCATCTTGAATTGATTTTTGTATAAGGTGTAAGGAAGGGATCCAGTTTCAGCTTTCTACATATGGCTAGCCAGTTTTCCCAGCACCATTTATTAAATAGGGAATCCTTTCCCCATTGCTTGTTTTTCTCAGGTTTGTCAAAGATCAGATAGTTGTAGATATGCGGCATTATTTCTGAGGGCTCTGTTCTGTTCCATTGATCTATATCTCTGTTTTGGTACCAGTACCATGCTGTTTTGGTTACTGTAGCCTTGTAGTATAGTTTGAAGTCAGGTAGTGTGATGCCTCCAGCTTTGTTCTTTTGGCTTAGGATTGACTTGGCAATGCGGGCTCTTTTTTGGTTCCATATGAACTTTAAAGTAGTTTTTTCCAATTCTGTGAAGAAAGTCATTGGTAGCTTGATGGGGATGGCATTGAATCTGTAAATTACCTTGGGCAGTATGGCCATTTTCACGATATTGATTCTTCCTACCCATGAGCATGGAATGTTCTTCCATTTGTTTGTGTCCTCTTTTATTTCCTTGAGCAGTGGTTTGTAGTTCTCCTTGAAGAGGTCCTTCACATCCCTTGTAAGTTGGATTCCTAGGTATTTTATTCTCTTTGAAGCAATTGTGAATGGGAGTTCACCCATGATTTGGCTCTCTGTTTGTCTGTTGTTGGTGTATAAGAATGCTTGTGATTTTTGTACATTGATTTTGTATCCTGAGACTTTGCTGAAGTTGCTTATCAGCTTAAGGAGATTTTGGGCTGAGACGATGGGGTTTTCTAGATAAACAATCATGTCGTCTGCAAACAGGGACAATTTGACTTCCTCTTTTCCTAATTGAATACCCTTTATTTCCTTCTCCTGTCTGATTGCCCTGGCCAGAACTTCCAACACTATGTTGAATAGGAGCGGTGAGAGAGGGCATCCCTGTCTTGTGCCAGTTTTCAAAGGGAATGCTTCCAGTTTTTGCCCATTCAGTATGATATTGGCTGTGGGTTTGTCATAGATAGCTCTTATTATTTTGAAATACGTCCCATCAATACCTAATTTATTCAGAGTTTTTAGCATGAAGGGTTGTTGAATTTTGTCAAAGGCTTTTTCTGCATCTATTGAGATAATCATGTGAGGCCAGCATCATTCTGATACCAAAGCCGGGCAGAGACACAACCAAAAAAGAGAATTTTAGACCAATATCCTTGATGAACATTGATGCAAAAATCCTCAATAAAATACTGGCAAACCGAATCCAGCAGCACATCAAAAAGCTTATCCACCATGATCAAGTGGGCTTCATCCCTGGGATGCAAGGCTGGTTCAATATACGCAAATCAATAAATGTAATCCAGCATATAAACAGAGCCAAAGACAAAAACCACATGATTATCTCAATAGATGTTTTCTATTAGTACCTAAATCTTACAGGTAAGAAAAACGAGGCACAGACTGGTTAAGAAAATTGAAGGTCACAAAAGGAGTTAGTGGCCATACTGGGAACTGAATCCAGGTCTTGCTGACTGCAATGCTCATGTACTTAACTGAGAGGCTGTTTGGACTTGCTATTAGGGGCTTCAATTGTATATTTGTACCAATTCTTTGACTTGTTCTCATTGGTTCCAGAGACCAGAGGTTTTCCTGCCTTGCAGACATTCTTCACCTTAGTGATGGAGCATGTTTTAAATAATAAAGGATGGCATACAGGATTTTATGTTCAATATCACTGTAATTGCTTCCAATAATTTAAGTGATCAGATAGACACATAATGCTTGTTAATGCAGTTAATGTTTGTTTCAAAACAATATATATTTCAAAATGATGTAGAACAGTAGTTTTCAAACTTCAGAGTATATTAAGGTAGATCTTATAAAAATTGAAAATGTTGACTGTTATGCCCAGGGATTCTTTTCTGTTTTGTTTTTTAAAAAATATTTATTTAATTTTTTTAAAAATTGATAAATAATATTGGTACATATTCATGGGGTACGTAGCAATGTTTTGATACATATAATGTACAGTGGTCACATCAGGGTACTTAGCATATCCATCATTTTAAACATTTATCATTTCTTTGTGTTGGGAGTGTTCAATATCCTTCTTCTAGCTATTTGAAACTACATAACATATTATTGTTAACTATTGTCATCCTAGTGGTGTAGAACACTAGAATGTACTTCTTTCTAGCTGAAGTTTTGTATCCTTTAACAAATTTCTCCCTATTCCCCCCTTCCCCCTACCCTTCCCAGCCTCTAGTATCCTGTTTTTCTTCTTACTTCTATGAGATCAACTTTTTCTTTGTTTCTACAGATGAGTGAGAACATGTGATGTTTAACTTTCTGTTCCTGGCTTATTTTACTTAACATAATGTCCTCCAGTTCCATCCATGTTATTGTGAGTGACAGGATTTCATCCTTTTTTATGGCTGAATAGTATTCCATTGTGTATATATACTACATTTTCTTTATCCATTCATCTGTTGTTGGACACCTAGGTTGATTCTGCATCTTAGTTATTATGAATAGTACTGCAATAAACATGGGAGTACAAATGTCTCTGTAATATATTGATTTCCTTTCCTTTGGATAAATTCCCAGTAGAGGGGTTGCTACATCATACGGTAGTTCTGTGTAGTTTTTTGAGGAACCTCTGTACTATTTTCCTAATTAGCTGTATTAGTTTACATTTCCAACAGTGTAGAAGAGTTCCCTTTTGTCTGCATCCCTGCCAGCATTTGTTATTTTTTGACTTTTTCATAATAGCCGTCCTAATTAGGGTCTCAGAGATTCTGACCCAGCTGATATAAATGTTTAACAAGACTGCTCAGGTGGTTTTGATGTCAATGTTTCCTGATCACCATTTAAGAAATGCTAACAGGTAAACATCAGGAAAAACACAGGATTAAGGAAGTCTTATATGTAGTCCCAGACAGGGGCTAACAGACTTCAGAGCTCTATTTGCATGAGAATTTGATAGGTGTCCTGAAAATATGGTAAAGAAAATTTGGAATTGTTGATTGATCCTCAAGATAAGGAGACTAAAATTCTCCAGTAAGGTGTTATGCAAGGCTGTGTGTGTGTGTGTGCATGTGTATGCTTGTGTGTGTTGATGTGAGGTATGTGTGGGGATATAAAATAGTCTCTCTTTATCTTTGGGGATCCACTTCCAAGACCCTCACCAGATGTCTAAAACTAAGGATAGTACTGAGTTCTATATATACTATGTTTTCTTCTATACATACATACCTATGATAAAGTTTAACATGTAAATTAGGTACATCAAGAGACTAACAACAATAACTAATACTAGAATAGAACAATTATAACAACATACTATATTAAGAGTTATGTGAATGTGATCTCTGTCTTTTAAAATCTTATTTTCTGTACAGGCATATTTGGAGATATAGGTTTGGTTCTAGACAATTATAATAAAACAAATATCTCAGTAAAGTGAGTTACACTTTTTTTTTTTTTTGGTTTCCCAGTGCATACAAAAGTTATGTTTACGCGACACTGTAGCTTATTGTCTAGAAAAACAACATACATATCTTAATAAAAAATAGCTTATTCTTGGCTGGGCGTGGTAGCTCATGCCTATAATCCTAGCACTTTGGGAGGCTGAGACGGGTGGATCACCTGAGGTCAGGAGTTCAAGACCAGCCTGGCCAACATGCTAAAACCCTGGCTCTACTAAAAATATGAAAATTAGCCAGGTGTGGTGGTGCACACCTGTAATCCCAGCTACTTGGGAGGCTGAGGTGAGAGAATCACTTGAACCTGGGAGGCAGAGGTTGCAGTGAGCCCAGATCACACCACTGCATTCCAGCCTGGAAGACAAGAGTGAGACTCCATCTCAAAAAAAAAAAAAAAAAAAAAAAAAAAAAAAGCTTATTCTTAAAAAGTGCTGACAGACATGAAGTGAGCACATGCTGTTGGAAAATTGGTGCCGATAGACTGCTCAACACAGGGTTGCTGCAAACCTTCAATTTGTAAAAAAAATGCAATATCTGTGAAGCAAAATAAAGTGAGGTTTGCCTATAGCCATCTGTCTTTGGATCACAGGTAACTGGAAGGTGAAACTACAGATAAGAGGGTACTACTGTACAAAAAGTATAATGATACGTATAGGGCGAGATCAAGATGCCTAACTACCTCGGTGGAACAGTAGCATAATCAGTGGGAAGAGACTTGTTGAGCAGGTTATTTAAGCTGCCATTCAAATATTTTCTGACTTTGCTGAGGGGGTTGCTTTTCTTGAGTTATTTGGAAGATAGTTCTGAAGGAAACTAAAAGAGTAAGCTACCCTTTATGGGAGATTTATTAAAAAATGGAGAGATCACGGTCACACTTAAAGGTCTGGTAAAAAGTTACAACAATGATGGAAAGAGAATCCTCCCTTCTGTTTGAGAGAGCCACAGGATCAACTCAGGAGACTGAGAGGGCAACTTTGAGAGGCTGGAGAAGGCAGTGGTGAAGGCATTCATGTTATTAGGGTGGCATCACTAGCAAGACAGGCAGCGTCAGCAGGGCTGGTGGGGAGTGGAGGGAATGACTCTTCAGTAGGAGGAAGGCTAGGCCTTGGGTTCTCAGTGATTTCTCTGGGTGGTGGCTTAGAGCCCCGTTAAACCAGGCTCTTAATAATAACTAACACTTAGTAGAGTACCTTACTATGTGCTGAGTCCTTATCTAAATTGTTTGTATTATTACTTGAATGAGAAATTGTTTTTCTAATTGATCTAGCAAGTGGCAGAGGTGGGAACTGAACCCAGACAGCTAGCTTCAGAGTCTGTGTGTGTAAGTGCTGTGCTATATGTTTTCTCCTATGTACATTAATGCCAGTTAGTGCTCCCCGTTCTGAATGTGCAGATCACATAGGTGAGATCCTGGACAGTTGCTTTTCAAGCACGTGCCATTACTAATTGGTGAGGTAAAAGTAGGGGTTCATTATAAACTTCTACCTGGAAAATGATTCTCAAAGAATATCCCTTGCCCATACCAGACCCATAGAAGCTAGTTGATACATGTTTACTTGAATGAAGAATGAAAAAATCCTGCTTATAATGGTTTGAGAATATTGTCTTTGAGTACTGTACACTAAACAACTCATTCTAATGACAACACCAGAGGCCATTCATATTCATAAGCTGAACTGCTTAATGTAGGCTGAAAAAAATAGACCTTTTTTATTTCACAGTCAGAAAAGTGACATTTTTGACAAAAATAAAAAACCCAAAACAATATTTTCTTGAAAAACAAAAAAGTCCAGATCCTGGTATTCTCCTCCTCCCCAGTTCCGGGAGGGTTTGATTTAAAAAGAAGCCCTTTACGCCCCTAACTGGGTTATTTTAATATTATATCAATAGTTTACAACGAACCATCTATACTATGCTTGTGCCCATGAAGAACTTATGTTCCATTCAGAGGAAAAAATAAGTTTGTTTACTCACTTTTCCCTGTTCTCAGAGCTTTCTAATACTGATTCATTTCTTTTTTTGCTCAAGAAAATGGATGCAAGAGTAGAAGCTGATCCTCGAGGCTTGCAAAAGTGGGGTTCTTTCTGAAAGTGAAGCCAGCAGCCAAGAGCCACCCTTCAGAAGATAGAAGGAAGAGCAGCTGCATGAGTGATGGCCACAGCAATGCATGGGTCCTGTCTGTCCACGTAGTCCTCTCCATCTGCCCGTAGCTTGCCAGGTCTCCTACCCACACTGGGGAAATTCCAGCTGCCGGCCCTCTTTGGGTTGCACCTCCCCTTTTTGCACAGGGCTCTATTGGGAAAGCAGCTGTCATGTGTCTATTTGAAAGACAAGAAACCAGTCTAGTTATAGAAAAGAGATTTAGATTACATCAGAATAACAATGCAAATCATTTGTGCAGTTCTTAGTACAGAAAACAGATTTAGGAACAAAAATTGGGAGGGTTAAAGAAAGTGGTTTTTTATTCTGTCATCAAAATTGTTTTTTAAAAACACATCTGTAGTAAGATAAATAATTGTGTGCCGACTTCATAAACAGAATGAATGACTGAATTCACACAATGTTATTTACTGTTTCAGGGCACACACACATGGTTTCCAAGTGGTTTCTTGCCACTTTGGCCTTCAACTGGCCTTGCTATTTTCCATTGAGGGGTGTCTGATTGTCTCCTCCACAGCCCTGAGTCTAAGCAAAAGCCCATGGGTTGGTTGACTGGTGTTCTTGTTGTCCTTGGAAGTGGACAGACTGGCAGATGTGGGGCTAGTGGGGAAGATTCTCGTAAACACTTTATTTGTTGTAAGAACTCCAGTTGGAATGTGGCTTCCAATCATGGGAGGAGGACTGCTTTAGAACAGGTTAGAGGGAGAGAGAGAGAGGGAGAGCGAGAGAGAGAGAGAGAGAGAGTGTGTGTGTGTGTGTGTTTGTGTGTGTGTGACATGCTTGGTGTTGCTGTTTTGTATCATTTCACCCTTTAATCTGAAATAGAAACTTATTTATTGAGATTTGTTGATTCATGTTGCTGATGATAAATGGTAATGCCACAAGTATGGGAAGAACTTCTAAGTGTGTGGTAATTCAGCCTTTTTCTTTTTTTGGACGCTCTTTCCCTCTGCACCTTGATCTTGAAAAGCCTGGCAAAGAGTTTGTTCAGAGACAAATCTTTAAAGTCTCTCCAGGCCTCAGCAATATCATGTTGTAAATAATCCTCTTACTGGTGCTAAGCTTTTCATGAAGCAGTGAAGAAAATAAGATGTAAATCCCAATCAAATGAGGCCTTGTTGCATAGTGTATCAGAAAACAGCTGAGAACTCAAACAGCAACTGCTTTTTCTTTTTCAGGAAACTTTCTATAATAATACCAATACAACCAAAGACTATTATTCTGAACAGAAAACAAGAAATACAGCTGGAGCTATTTCCTATCTACCTGATGAAGGGCACTACCAGGCGGTCACTCTGGCTCTGTCCACCGATGCCTGTGCCCACTTTGTGCGACGTAGCTTCCATGGAGACAAGAGCAATGGTAATGGAAGAAGAAAGTCTGGATGTACTCTTGCAGAAGCAGAAAGCTTCATGGAACAATATTAATCTTCTGGTCATCTCTGTGCTGGTCTAGTTGCCCATAAAGTTGTCAGATTGACTTTGGATTTAAAGCCTGAAAATGAGTCCCAAGGAAATCCGTTGACATGAGGCCCAAGGAAGACAGTTTTTGGAAGGGGCAAGGTAGGAAGGATGGTTTGGTCACTGTGAGGAAGAGGAGGGTAGAAAAGCATCAGGACATCAGAATCTTTAGGAAGTGGCTACTGATAATCAAGCAGAGCTTTCTCCCTGTGGGTCTCTATCCGTTTAGCGGCTTCTTGTGCTAAGCAACTCAGTGACTGCCCTCTGCTCCAGATGTGACCTTCAGCCTCCGCTGCTCCTTTCTGCTGGCAATGCTCAGTGTAATTTCAGCCACAGAGGAAAGGAGGTGAAGTGAACATCAGTGGGAGCCTAAAAAGTTAAACAACAGACGTGTTTTCCCAGTGTAGAGAAAAGCTTGCTTCTCCACCCCCAGGACTTTGTGCCCTGCTCACCTGGAAGGTAAGCAACAAGCTGCTGGGGCACGAGAAGCCTGTGAGTGGCTGAGAGCGATGACGAGCTCATCCCTTCCTTTAGGCACCTCACCTTCCGCGTCAACCATTTTGGTGGTTTCTTAGATTGTTTCCCTGCCTTCTATTGTCTCTTCTCATTCAGAGTTCATTCTGATGACAGCCACTAAATTAGTCATCCTCAGGAAGAGCCTGGGTCATGCCTCAAACTCTGCAGAGGCTACTGAGGGCTCACTGAATGGTGCTCAAGCCCCTCACCTGCCCCTCGAGACCTGGTATAGTCGGGCTCTGCTTCCCTTTCCCCATCTGTGCTGCTTACACTCCGTTGGACCCTTCAGGTGCATTCTCTGCCCTGCTGTGGGATTTGGGGGCTTGGCTTCTACATGCCTCACTGGGGCTTCCTCACTCTGGCTTTTCACTGGGTTTGGCCACTGACAGAGGGAGGTGGATGTCTGGATACTTATTCCTCCCCTCTCTTCCTGGCAGTCCTTGATTCTGGCAGTAACCAAGTCTTGTTTCTCTACCCAGGCCATGACTCACATCAAGCAACCCCTCTTTCACAGGGTTCTGGTAACTCCACTTCTTTTGCCCCTTCAGATCCATAGGTGGAAATAGCCACATGCTGTTGCTCATCTCTGTTGGCTTTGGCATCCCAGGGTGGATACTTTACTTTGCCCATTCCTCTTAAAGAACAGATTTATTCAATAATTTCCCTTTACTTTCTTGGGTGTGTCACCTCTTTCTTGCTGGAATCCTGTCTCCATCCTGTCCTCTCTTGTCCAAGCAAAAGAGCCACTTGCTATTCCTCGAACATAGCACTTTCTCTTCTCTGTGACTTTTCATTTCCCAGCTTTCTTCATCTAGTCCCAAGGAAACTCAGGTTTGGAGAATCCTACTCAGTAATCAGGTCCAGTAATCAGATGCTTCAATTCTCTCTGCATCTCCCACTAAATGATTGTCTAGTCTTTGTTTAAATATTTGTAAGGCAGGAATTCATTGCCTCTTAAGGCATCAGTATTTATTCATTCAGTTCGTTCAGTGAATATTGTTGTTGCCTCCTACCATGTGCCAAGTGCTATGCATGGTGTCTCTCCTCAAGAAGCTCAAAACAGTGAGGAGATGAATGTATGAATAAGCAATTTTGGGACAATGTGATATGGATTACTTTGGTGTTATTCAGAAGTGCTTTGAGAGCATAGACAGCTGAGATGGGATGGAGTGGAGTCTTGCTGTATTGCCCAGGCTCATCTGAGATGAAATGGAGTCTCACTCTGTCCCCCAGGCTGGAGTGCAGGGGCACGATCTCAGCTCACTGCAACCTCCGCCTCCCGGGTTCAAGAGATTCTCCTGCCTCAGCCTCCCAAGTATCTGGGATTACAGATGCACACCACCACACCTGGCTATTCCTTGATAGGTTTTTAAGCTCTATGAGGACAGAGTCCTTGTCTTGATTATCATGGAATCCCCTTTATTTAGCATTTTATGAGGCTGAAATCAAGGTGTCAGCCTGGCTGAATTTTTCCCTGAAGGAAAGTTTTTTTTCTGAAGGAAAAGTCCAGTTCCAAGCTCATTTTTGTTATTGGCAGAATTCAATCCTTTGCATTTGTAGTATTGAGGTCCCCATTTTTTTAGTAGTTACTGCCAGCCAGAGAAGACTCTGCCTTTAAAAGGGTCATGCAATTAGGTCAGGACCACCTGGATAATCTCCCTTTCTAAAGTTAACTCTGCCATATAAGGTGACCTAATCCTGGGGGGCAAATCCATCAAACTCCCAATCTGGGGGATTAGGTGGAGCATGTACACCAGAGGAAGAAGAGGGAAATCTTGGGGATAATCCTAGAATTCTGGTAGAAAGTGACATAAATTGAAAATAGTATACATGATATGTTGAATCAAAATAGTCACGCTTAATCAATGGTTTCAGAAATCAAGACAGTAATGATCCTTAGGGTCAAGGAGGGAGAGAAACAATAGCATACATGAAAAGTAAGTATTCAGTCAGTGGGTACACACTCATTGCCTTCCAGATGCTAAAGAGAACCTAGCCATGTCATGCTGGACTTATGGCCTACAAAACTATGCACTAATAAGTGGGATTTTTTTTTAATGTTACTTTAAGTTCTGGGATACATTTGCAGAACGTGCAGGTTTGTTACATAGGTATATATTGCCATGGTGGTTTGCTGTACTTATCATCTAGGTTTTAAGCCCCACATGCATTAGGTATTTGTCCTAATGCTCTCCCTCCCCTTGACCCCCATCCCCGACAGGCCCCGGAGTCTGATGTTCCCCTCCCTGTGTCCACATGTTCTCATTGTTCAACTCCCATAAGTTGGATTTTTTAAAGCTGCTAAATTTGTGGTAATTGTTACTCATCGATAGAAAAGTAATACAAGACCTCAAATCCTGACCAGTCTGTGGGTAGTAATCTCATAAAACAAGTTGCCTCATTATATAAACATTTTGCAGCTACTTTATTACAGAGGAGTCATCAGGAAGTTACGTTGCTTAAAACTAGGCATGTTGTAGACACTTTCATAAGATTGATTTATGGCCAAGATGACCTTTAGTCTATACCAGTTTTATCAGATTTCAAGAATAAAATGATTCCATCATAGTAGTGTTTTTTTGTTTTTCTCTAAGCTTGACTATTAGCTCAAATGTTTGTCAAGAGCTCTGCATTTACCTGGAAATATAGAAATGCTGAATTCTAGGTATTTGTCAGCCAGTGAGTTTGAAACCTGGCTTTGCTTATTAGTATATGTATGCCATGCACAAGTTACCCCCTTAAAAACCTTAAGCTTTTCATTTGTAAAATGGGCATAGTAGCTCCTACCTTGCAAGCTGTCTGTAAGGCTTGAAGATGGGGTATATGAAGTGCTACTCTACTTCTTCATATCCTCTCCTTCATCTTTTCTTGGTCCTTTATCCCTTTCTTTTTTTTAAGATGTGATTTTACAGAAAGATACTAAAAATAAACAAAGGAAAGCAAATGTTAGGAAAAGCCTTTTAGGTTTTATCATGAATTTCTTTTGTGAGTTCACTTGTCTATAAAGTTATACTTGGTACCATAACGAACACTGAGGAGAAATGTTTCCTGCCCGAAGGGGACAGACATTCTGAAGGAGACGGGATGGCTTCACATAAGCTATCTTTTTATTTTTGTGTTGGCTCAGTATTCTCTTTTTCTGATTATAAGGGTGTGGTTCCTTTAGGAAGTGGGATTGCTCTAGTGTATTTTATAAGACCAGTGAAGTAATCTTTCCACTGTGACCTATCCTTGGATGGGAGAATGGGAATGGGAGGAAGAAGTGTGGATTTTTTCAAGGTAGTGGCACATGAGCGACAGCCTTTGCTACTTGTGGTGTACGGGATGTTTCTGTAACAGAGCATATAAACACAACATTCATGACTAAGTGTTTTGTAGAATGGAAAAATCAATGACTAGACTAGAAAGGAAACCATCATTATGGACAAATACCATGGCTGGTGTCAGTTGCACAGAAGGACCATAGATCTGATGTAGGCACTGTTGAAGATGCCCAAGTTATTCAAAAGCCATTAAAAAATCAGTTTGAATTTTTCCAATTGTTTCCCGAAACACACAGATTGAAAATCCTGTGTGGTTGACTTTGGCTGCTGTTACATGAAATTTTACAAAGCTTAGGAGATCTATTTTTTTTTTCCATAAAAACCAGTGGAATTCTAATGTGACACTTGGGAATTGTGTTTGAATTCTGAATGTGTGTTTATGTCTCAATTTCCCATCAACACAGATGTTTACTTCAGAAAGACAGTCACTCTAGACATTTCCTGGACTCTCACCCAAGTTTTTCACAAGAATGTTGTATCATTATGTAAGAGAGCAGCTGCTGCTATCTTTTACACTTTTTGGAAAGTTCTTTAATTTTTTCTTCATGAGAGTTTCCACCGGGGTGGAATCATTTTGTTTTAGTGTTAGAATCTATTGTCTTTGAAGGGAAGCTAGTTAACTCCTACAAGCTGAGGGATAGGAAAGAGAGTGGATGTAGAACTGGTCTAGCTGATATTGCTAACATAGATTGCTGTCATTGTCAAATGGGAATGAACATTGAAATAATAAAATATCATTCTTATTCTACAATAGAGAGAAGAGGGTTAGCCCCTTGACAATGGAAAGGAATAAGGGAGAGAAAACAGATGAAGGAGAGTATGAAGAAGTAGAGTAGCACTTTATATACCCCATCTCCAAGCCTCACCGACAGCTTGCAAGGTAGAAGCCACTATGCCCATTTTACAAATGAAAAACTTGAGGTTTTTAAGGGAGTAACTTGTCCATGGCATACATATAATAAAAAACAAATCCAGGTTTCACGCTTACTGGTTGACAAGTACCTGGAATTCAGCATTTCTATGTTGCCAGTTTTCCAGTATCAGATGGAAATAACCATATCTAATCAGTAATAAATGAGACAAAATTATACTCCTTACTGTATAAAGCTTTCTAAACATTAAGTAAATTGAGCAAACTGAGACTCTAGTAAGCAGTCTTAAAGCATTTGACTCAATATGATTCAGAATCACAGTATAGTTTACAGATATTTTTATCTTTCTAATTTCTTCATTCTCTTTGCATCAAGTTAGAATGAGAGGAAAGGCCTTTATCTTGTGCTCAAATTAAGAGTTTGTTACAGAGAAAGTTGGTAGGCATTTTTGAGCGAGGCTTTTGGAAAGATTTGGAACAGAGCTGCGGTTCTGAGAAGAATGAAAACGGTGAGTGAATCCTGTACCGGCAACTGAGGTATCCAGGTTCTCTCATTGGGAATGACTAGGTGGCTGGCATGACCCACAGAGAGCCAGGAAAAGCAGGTTGCTCTGACAGCCCACCCAGGATCTGTAAGAGGCAAGGGGAGCTCCCATCCCCAGCCAAGGGAGGCAGTGAGTGATTGTGCTACCTGCCCAGGAAATGGGCAAATTTTCCATGGATCTGTGCAACCTGCAGATCAGGAGATACCCTCATGAGCCCACACCACCAGCACCTTGGGTTCCAAGCACAGAGCTATGCAGACCCTATTTGGCCGATCCACTGGAGATTGCCTAAGACTACTGAGTTCCTGGGAGGATGGGACAGCCGCCATCACTGTGGCTACCTGCTGCCTAAGACCACTGAGTTTTTCAGGGGAGGAGTGGCAGCCATCACTGCAGCTCCAGTTTGCCGTTTTCCCCTGCTGGTGCGGGGAGACTGAGCAGTTTGGACCCAGGAAGCATTCCCCACAGCACAGCACAGCACAGCGACTGTGGCAGATCACGGCCAGGCTGCCTGTTTAGGCCGAAGTTGGACCCATCTCTCCTCATTGAGTGGGACCTCCCTGTGGGAATTTCAGCAACTCCAGCCTAGGGGTTTACAGACAGAACTCTGATATGCCTGGGATGGAATCCCTGGGGTGAGGGGTGCCCGTGGTCTCTGTGGATCAGTGAACTTAGTCTTTTCCCCTGCTGGCTCTGAGGAATCTGGGCAATCCTGATAAGCAAGATGCCCCCCAGTGCAGTGCACCTCCTCTACCAAGGGGCAGCCAGACTGCTTTGTTAAGAGGGTCCCTGATCCTGTGCCTGCTGGCTGGGTAAGATTTCCCAACAGAGGTTGCCAGACACTTTATACAGGAGAGTTCCTGCTGGCGTCAGGTCTGTCTCTGGGACAGAGCTCCCAGAGGAAGGAGCAGGCAGCCATCTTTGCTGTTCTGCAGCCTCCATTGGTGACACGTCCAGCTGCAGGAGGGAGCCAGGCAAATAGGGTATGGAGTGGACCCCCAGAAAACTGCAGCAGCCCTGTGGAAGAGGGGGCTGGCTGTTAAAAGAAAAACAAACAGAAAGCCACAACAACAATCGACAAAAAAGTCCCCACAAAAACCCCATCCAAAGGTCGGCAGCCTCAAAGATTGAAGGTAGATAAAGTCACGAAGATGATAAAGAATCAATGAGAAAACACTGAAAACTCAAAAAGCCAAAATGCCTCTTCTCCTCCAAATGATTGGAACACCTCTCCTGCAGGGCACAGAACTGGGCTGAGGCTGAGATGGATGAACTGATGGAAGTAGGCTTCAGAAGCTGGGTAGTAATGAACTTTACTGAGCTAAAGGATCATGTTCTAACCCAATGCAAAGAAGCTAAGAACCATGATAAAACACTACAGTAGCTGTTAATCAGAATAACTAGTTTAGAGAGGAACATAAATGAGCTGAAAAACACAACATGAAAACTTCACAATGCAACCACAAATAGCAATAGCCAAATAGACCAAGAGGAGGAAAGAATTTCAGAGCTTGAAGACTGTTTTGCTGAAATAAGACAGGCAGACAAGATTAGAGAAAAAAGAATGAAAAGAAATGAACAAAACCTCTGAGAACTATGGGATTATGTAAAAAGACTGAACCTCTAAGTGATTGGGGTACCTGAAAGAGATGGGGAAAGTGAAACCAAGTTGGAAAACATACTTCAGGATATCATCCAGGAGAACTTCCACAACCTAGCAAGACAGGCCAACATTCAAATTCAGGAAATCCAGAGAACCCCAGTAAGATACTCCCTGAGAAGATCAACCCCAAGACGCATAATCGTCAGATTCTCCAAGGTCAAAATGAAAGAAAAAGTGTTAAGGGCAGCCAGAAAGAAAGGCCAGGTTGCCTACAAAGGGAAGCTCATCAGACTAACAGTGGATCTCTCAGCAGAAACCCTATATGCCAGAAGAGAGTGGGGGCCCATATTCAACATTCTTAAAGAATTTCCAACCCAGAATTTCATATCTGGCAAAACTAAGCTTCATAAGTGAAGGAGTAATAAAATCCTTTTCAGATAAGCAGATGCTGAGGTAATTTATCATCACCAGGCTTGCCTTGCAAGAGCTCCTGAAGGAAGCACTAAATATGGAAAGGAAAAATCATTACCAGCCACTACAAAAACACACTGATGTACACAGACCAATGACAGTATGAAGCAACTACATCAATAAGTCTGAAAAATAACCAGCTAGCATCATAATGACAGGATCAAATTCACACATAACAATATTAACCTTAAATGTAAATGGATTAAATGCCCAATTAAAAGACACAGAATGGCAAGCTGGATAAAGAGTCAAGACCCATCGATGTGTTATATTCAAGAGACCCATCTCATGTGCAAAGACACACATAGGCTCAAAATAAAGGGAGGGAGGAAAATTTATTAAGCAAATGGAAAACAGAAAAAAGCAGAGGTTGCAATCCTAGTTTATAACAAAGCAGGCTTTAAGCCAACAAAGATCAAAAAAGACAAAAAAGAGCATAGCACAATGGTGAAGTGTTCAAGTCAACAAGAAGAGCTAACTATCCTAACTATATATGCACCCAATACAGGAGCACCCAGATTCATAAAACAAGTTCTTAGAGACCTCCAAAGAGACTTAGACTCCCACACAATAATAGTGGGAGACTTTAACACCCCACTGTCCACATCAGACAGATCATCAAGACAAAAAATTAATAAAGATATTCAGGACTTGAACTCAGCTCTGGATCAAGTGGACCTGATAGATATCTACAGGACTCTACACCCAAAAATGACATAATATACATTCTTCTCAGCGCCACATGGCACTTACTCTAAAATCAGTCACATAATTTGAAGTAAAACAATCCTCAGCAAATGCAAAAGAACTGAAATAACAGTCTCTCACAATCAAATTAGAACTAAAGATTAAGAAACTCATTTATAACCACACAACTGTAGGGAAATTGAACAACCTGATCCTGAATCACTTCTGGGTAAATAATGAAATTAAGGCAGAAATCAAGTTCTTTGAAACCAATGAGAACAAAGAGACAATGTACCAGAATCTCTGGGACGCAGCTAAAGCAGTGTTAAGAGGGAAATCTATAGCACTAAACTCCCACATCAAAAAGCTAGAAAGATCTCAAATTGACATTCTAACATGACAACCAAAAGAACTAGAGAACCAAGAGCAAACAAACCCTAAAGCTAGCAGAAGACAAGAAATAACCAAGATAAGCGTGAAACTGAAGGAGAGAGAGACATGAAAAACCCTTCAAAAAAATCAACAAATACAGGTTGTTGAAAAAATTAATAAAATACACCACTATCTAGACTAATAAAGAAGAAAAGAGAGAAGAATCAAATAGACACAACAAAAATGGTAAATGGGATATCACTATTGACTGCACAGAAATAGAAACAACCATCAGAGGATACTATGAACGCATGTATGCAAATAAACTAGAAAATCTAGAAGAAAGGAATAAATTCCTGGACACATACACCCTCTAAGACTGAACCAGGAAGAAGTTGAATCCCTGAAGAGACCAAAAACAAGTTCTAAAATTGAGGCAGTAATAAATAGCCTACCAACCAAAAAAAGCCCCAAACCAGATGGATTTACAGCTGAATTCTAACAGAGGTACAAAGAAGAGCTGGGACCATTTCCTCTTAATCTATTCCAAACAATTGAGGAGGAAAGCCTCGTCTCTTACTCATTCTATGAGGCCAGCATCATCCTGACACCAAAACCTGTCAGAGATAAAACAGAAAAAGAAAACTTCTGGCCAATATCTCTAATGAACATTGATACAGAAATCCTCAATAAAATATTGGCAAACTGAATTCAGCAGCACATCAAAAAGCTTATCCACTATGATCAAGCTGGCTCATTCCTGGGTTGCAAGCGTCGTTCAACATATGCAAATCAATAAATGTAACTCATCACATAAACAGAACTAAAGACGAAAACCACATGATTATCTCAATAGACAAAGAAAAGGCCTTTGATAAAATTCAACATACCTTCACATTACAAACTCTCAATAAACTAGGCATTGATGGAACATACTTCAAAATAGTAAGAGCCATTTATGACAAACACACAGCCAATATCATACTTAATGGGCAAAAGCCGGAAGCACTCCCCTTGAAAACAGGCACAAAACAAGGATATCCTCTCTTACCACTCCTATTCAACATAGTATTAGAAGTTCTGGCAAGGGCAATCAGGCAAGAGAATGAAATAAAGGTATTCAAATAGGAAGAGAGGAAATCAAACTGTATCTGTTTGCAGATGACATTATCTTATATCTAGAAAACTCCATCAACTCAGCCCCAAAGCTTCTTAAGCTGATAAGCAACTTCAGCAAATTCTCAGGATACAAAATAATCTGCAAAAGTCACAAGCATTCCCGTACACCAGCAATAGACAAGCAGACAGCCAAATCATGAATGAACTCCCATTCACATTTGCTACAAAGAGAATAAAATATCTAGGAATACAGCTAACGAGGAAAGTGAAGGACTTCTTCAGGGAGAACTACAAACCACTGCTCAAGGAAATAAGAGAGGACACAAACAAATGGAAAATCATTCCATGCCTATGGATAGGAAGAATCAATATTATGAAAATGGCCATACTACCCAAAGTAATTTATAGATTCAATGCTATTCCCATTAAACTACCACTGACATTCTTCACAGAATTAAAAAAGCCTACTTTAAAATTCATATAGAACCAGAAATATTCTGTATAGCCAAGACAATCCTAAGTAAACAGATCAAAGCTGGAGGCATCATGCTACCTGACTTCATACTATACTACAAGGCTACAGTAACCAAAACAGCATGGTACTGGTACAAAAACAGACATGTGGATCAATGGAGCAGAATAGAGAACTCAGAAATAAGACCACACATCTACAACCATCTGATCTTTGATAAACCTGAAAAAGCAAGCAATGGGGAAAGCATTCCCTATTTAATAAATGGTACTGGGAGAACTGGCTAGCTATATGCAGAAAATCGAAACTGGATCCCTTCCATATACCTTATACAAAGGTTAACTCAAGATAGAATAAAAACTTAAAGGTAAAACCCCAAATTGTAGAAACCCTGGAAGAAAATCTAGGCAATACCATTCAGGACATAGGCATGGGCAAGGATTTCATGATGAAAACGTGAAAAGCAATGGCCACAAAAGCAAAAATTGAAACATGGAATCTAATTAAACTACAGAGCCTCTGCACAGCAAAAAAAAAAAAATATATGTATATGTATACATATATACATATATATACACACATATATATGTATATATATATAAACTCATAAGAGTGAACAGACAACCTACAGAATGGGAGAAAATTTTTGCAATCTGTCCATCTGACAAAGGTCCAATATACAGAATCTAAAAGGAACTTAAACAAACTTACAAGAAAAAAACCAAACAACCCCATTAAAAAGTGGGCAAAGGACATGAACAGCACTTCTCAAAAGAAGACACTTATGTGCCCAAAATACATGAAAAAAAAACTAACATCACTGATAATTACAGAAATGCAAATCAAAACCACAATGAGATACCATCTCATGCTAGTCAGAATGGCAATTATTATTATTATTATTATTTATTATTATTATTATACTTTAAGTTTTAGGGTACATGTGCACAATGTGCAGGTTTGTTACATATGTATACATGTGCCATGTTGGTGTGCTGCACCCATTAATGGCAATTATTAAAAAGTCAAGAAACAACAGATGCTGACAAGGCTGTGGAGAAATAAGAATGCTTTTACACTGTTGGTGGGAATGTAAATTAGTTCAACCATTGTGGAAGACAGTGTGGTTATTTCTCAAAGACCTAGAACCAGAAATACTGTTTTGCCCCAGCAATCCCATTACTGGGTATATATCCAAAGGAATATAAATCATTCTATTATAAAGATATATGCATGCATGTGTTCATTGCAGCACTATTCACAATAGCAAAAACATGGAATCAACTCATATGCCCAACAATGATAGGCTGGATAAACAAAGTGAGGTACATATACACTATGGAATACTGTGCAACAATAAAAAGGAAAGAGATCATGTCCTTTGCAGGGACATGGATGGAGCTGGAGGCCATTATTCTCAGCAAACTAATGCAAGAACAGAAAACCAAACGCTGCATGTTGTCACTTATAAGTGGGAGCTGAACAATAAGAACACATAGACACTGGGAGGGGAAAAACACACACTTGGGCCTGTTGTGGCAGAGGTGTGTGTGGGGAGGGAGAACATCAGGAAAAATAGGTGATGGGTTGACAGGTGCAGCAAACCACCATGGCACATGTTTACCTATGTAATAAACATGTACATCCTGCACATGTATCCTGGAACTTAAAATAAAATAGAAAAAAGAGTTGGAACAACTATTCAAACTAGGCAAGGAGAACAGGAGACCCTGCCATGCCCTGAGTGACCACACTTGCCAGCATGAACATGCATAGAGGGCACACACAGGCCTGCACTTGCCAGCACCCCACCCCTGTGCTAACACCACCACCAGTGTGACCACTCCCACAGTCACTTGTCGGGGGCCCCCTGCAACCCTGCAAGCTGTGCTGCCTCTGTTGTATCTGTGATCACCCACA
Organism: Homo sapiens; assembly: GCF_000001405.40. Lineage (NCBI taxonomy): Eukaryota > Metazoa > Chordata > Mammalia > Primates > Hominidae > Homo > Homo sapiens. The sequence continues at coordinate 78,263,675 of NC_000001.11, forward strand.
TAAAGGCTGGCACCCACTAGCACCCTGCTGTGGTCAACAAGCCTGAATCCCACTGTGCTGCTATTGCTGCTGCTAGCATGTGCAAATGAGGACAGATCTAATTTCAGGGAGCCAGAGACAAAAGCTGGGGCCCGATACCAATCCCCCAGAGTTAGAGCATGCAGTCCAGGAGTTAGGAGCTGAGCCTGGGCCCCCTAAAATCTTCCAGAAATGAACCTAGTTTACTGAACCCACGTTATACCATAGTCTAACCCTCAAGATCATCAAACATAATAAAAAAAAAAAAAACCATCCAAAGGACAGCAACTTCAAAGACTGAAGGAACATCAGTCCACAAAGATGACAAAGAACCAGCACAAGAATTCTGACAATTAAAAAAGCCAGAGTGCCTTCTTTCTTTCAAACGACCTCACTAGCTCTCCAGCAAGTGTTCTGAAACAGGTTGAGATGGCTGAATGATAGAAATAGAATTCAGAATATAAATAGGAACAAAGATCATTGAGATGTAGGAGTATGCTGAAACCTAATCCAAGGAAGCTAAGAATCACAATAAAACAATGCAGGAGCTGACAGACAAAATAGCTGGTATAGAAAAGAATGTAACCAACCTGATAGATCTGAAAAACACACTATAAAAATTTCATAATGCAATCACAAATTTAAATAGAATAGATCATGCTGAGGAAAGAATCTCAGAGCTTGAAGACTGGCTTTCTGAAATAAGGTAGTCAGAGAAGAATAGAGAAAAAAGAATGAAAAGGAATAAATAAAACCTTCAAGAAATATGGAATTCTGTAAAAGACCAAATTTATGATGCATTGTTGTCCCTGAAAGAGATGGGGAGAATAGAAGCAACTTCGAAAATATATTTCAGAGTATCATCCATGAGAACTTTCCCAACCTAGCTAGAGAGGCCAACATTCAGATTCAGGAAATGCAGAGAACCACAGTAAGATACTTCACAAGAAGATTATCCCAAAGACACATAAGGATGAGATTCTCCAGGGTTGAAATGAAAGAAAAAATGTTAAAGGCGGTTAGAGAGAAAGGCCAGATCACCTACAAAGGGAAGCCCATCAGACTTAACAGCGAACCCCTCTGCAGAAACCCTACAAGCCAGAAGAGATTGGGGGCCAATTTTCAACATTCTTAAAGAAAAGAAATTTCAACCCCCAATTTTTTTTCTTTCTTTTTTTTTTTAAATTATACTTTAAGTTCTAGGGTACATGTGCAGAACATGCAGGTTTGTTACATATGTATACATGTGCCATGTTGGTGTGCTGCACCCATTAACTCGTCATTTACATTAGGTATTTCTCCTAATGTTATCCCTCCCCACTTCCCCCGACTCCACAACAGGTCCTGGTGTGTGATGTTCCCCACCCTGTGTCCAAGTGTTCTCATTGTAAAATTCCCACCTATGAGTGAGAACATGCAGTATTTGGTTTTCTGTCTTTGCAATAGTTTGCTCAGAATGATGGTTTCCAGCTTCATCCATGTCCCTACAAAGGACATGAACTCATCCTTTTTAATGGCTGCATAGTATTCCATAGTGTATATGTGCCACATTTTCTTAATCCAGCCTATCACTGATGGACATTTGGGTTGGTTCCAAGTCTTTGCTACTGTGAATAGTGCCTCAGTAAACATATGTGTGCACGTGTCTTTATAGCAGCATGACTTATAATCCTTTGGGTGTATACCCACTAATGGGATGGCTGGGTCAAATGGTATTTCTAGTTCTAGATCCTTGAGGAATCACCACACTGTCTTCCACAATGGTTGAACTAGTTTACACTTCCACCAACAGTGTAAAAGCATTCCTATTTCTCCACATCCTCTCCAGCACCTGTTGTTTCCTGACTTTTTAATGATCGTCATTCTAACTGGTGTGAGATTGTATCTAACTGTGGTTTTGATTTGCATTTCTCTGATGGCCAGTGATAATGAGCATTTTTTCATGTGTCTGTTGGCTGCATAAATGTCTTATTTTGAGAAGTGTCTATTCATATCCTTTGCCCACTTTTTGATGGGGTTGTTTGATTTTTTCTTGTAAATTTGTTTGAATTCTTTATAGATTCTGGATATTAGCCCTTTGTTAGATGGGTAGATTGCAAAAATGTTCTCCCATTCTGTAGGTTGCCTGTTCACTCTGATGATAGTTTCTTTTGCTGTGCAGAAGCTCTTTAGTTTAATTAGATCCCATTTGTCTATTTTGGCTTTTGTTGCCATTGCTTTTGGTGTTTTAGTCATGAAGTTCTTGCCCATGCCTATGTCCTGAATGGTATTGCCTAGGTTTTCTTCTAGAGTTTTTATGGTTTTAGGTCTAACATTTAAGTCTTTAATCCATCTTGAATTAATTTTTGTATAAGGTGTAAGGGAGGGATCCAGTTTCAGCTTTCTACATATGGCTAGCCAGTTTTCCCAGCACCATTTATTAAATAAGGAATCATTTCCCCATTTCTTGTTTTTGTCAGGTTTGTCAAAGATCAGATAGTTGTAGTTGTGCGGTATTAATTCTGAGGGCTCTGTTCTGTTCCATTGGTCTATATCTCTGTTTTGGTACCAGTACCATGCTGTTTTGGTTACTGTAGCCTTGTTGTGTAGTTTGAAGTCAGGTAGTGTGATGCCTCCAGCTTTGATCTGTTTACTTAGGATTGTCTTGGCTATACAGAATCTTTTTGTTTCCATATGAACTTCAAAGTAGTTTTTTCCAATTCTGTGAAGAAAGTCATTGGTAGCTTGATGGGGGTGGCTTCGAATCTATAAATTACCTTGGGCAGTATGGCCATTTTCACGATATTGATTCTTCCTATCCATGAGCATGGAATGTTCTTCCATTTGTTTGTGTCCTCTTTTATTTCCTTGAGCAGTTGAACGCCAAATTTCATATCCAGCCAAACAAAGCTTCATAAGTGAAGGAGAAATAAGATCCTTTTCAGACAAGCAAATGTGGAAGGAATTTGTTACCACCAGACCTGCTTTACAAGAGCTCCTGAAGGAAGCACTAAATATGGAAAGGGAAGATTGTTACCAGCCACTACAAAAACACACTTAAGTACACAGATCAGTGACACTATAAAGCAACCACACAAATAAGTCTGCATAGTGTCCAGCTAACATCATGATGACAGTATCAAATCCACAAACATCAATATTAACCTTGACTGTAAATGGACGAAATGCCCTAATTAAAAGGCATGGAGTGGCAAACTGGATAAAAATCAAGATCTAATGATATGCTATCTCTAAGAGACACATCCCACATGCAATGACACCCATAGGTCAAAATTAAGGGATGGAGAAAAATCTACAAAGCAAATGAAAAACAGAAAAAAGCAGTCGTTACAATCCTAATTTCAAACAAAAGAGGCTTTAAGCCAACAAAGATAAAAAAGACAAAGAGGGCATTATATAATGGTAAAGGGTTCAAACAAACAAACAAGAAGACCCAGATTCACAAAACAAGTTCTTAGAGACCATGAAGAGAGTTAGACTCCCACACAATAATACTGTTACTTGGTTGTGGTCTATTATTCTTTAAATGTACTAAAGAATTTAGTTGGCTAATATTTTAAAGAGTTTTCTTTTTCTACTGCTATATTTTTGTGTGATATATTTGTTAGGATTTTTTTCTCCATCAGGAATGAGCTAGCTTCATAAATAAATTGATAAAATTTCTCTCATTTTCTGTAACTCTGGAACAGTATAAATAGCAGAGGAATGACTGATTTCTGAAGGCTTAGAAGAACTCACTGGGTCCAGGAAGTTTTAAGAGTCTCTAGCTAGTGATCTATCTATTTTGTTAATTTTTTTCAAAAACCCAGCTCCTGGAGTCATTGATATTTTGAATGGTTTTTTGTATCTCAGTCTCTTTCAGTTCAACTCTGATTTCAGTTATTTCTTGTTTTCTGCTAGCTTTGGGGTTGGTTTGCTCTCTTGCCAGTGTGTGCAGAGGGCATTCTTTGATAATTTTTTTTTAATATCAAGTCTCAATTGAAGATCAATCCTCAATATAAGATAAAGTCAATATAGAAAGTGTAAAAAATTGGGTTGGAACTACATCAAAATATGTCCCTGAAATAAAATCATCTCCCCTCCCTCCCTCCCTCCCTCCCTTCCTTCCTTCATGCCTTCCTTCCTTCCTTCCTTCCATTTGCTTATTTTTCTTAACAATGGAAAGAAATACACCTCTTCTTCTTTCCCCGGTTTTTTTCCCTGCCACGCCTTTAAAAAAATCCAGAAATGAATATAGCACCATACAGGAGTCCCTAACTTGAGAACAGTAATTTAAAAATAGGCACACTACATTCTCATGCTTCCCTTATATGGTAGTGGGTACAGAGTAGTGGTAAGAGTATGACTCTTGAAAACTGAACCTCTCTCACCTGTAAAATGGAGCTCATCACCATACCTACATCCTGACTGTGAGCATTAACTGACATGAATGTCTATCAAGGTTTTAACACTATATCTTGGACCCAGTAAGTATTTGTAATATAATAATAATAATAACGGCAATTATGGTTATTTTTACTATTGTCATCTAATAAGTATCATTGAACTTAGCTGATTGTAGCAGCATCTGCTTCTTGAAAATGGTTATTGGGGATGGGAAGCAGAGACAGTTTCCTTATAATCATCATCTGAGCTTAGATACTATTATATTCACCATTTTACAACATGTTACTGCACTTGGTGCCCCTGGCAGACCTCAAGATGTTGAGAAACATATTTTATGTTTCTTATACATTGATGCTGGGGAACATATTTTATGGATCCTTATATCTCCAGAACTTGCATAGCATTAGAATTGGATAGATTCTTCATAAAGGTTGATCTATGGGACTCCCTCCCCCAAAGTGTCTCACTCCTGTATCCTAGAGATGTTGCTCTCTTCTCTTAGCCTTCCCGTGCTTTACCCTATGCCCCATGGCACTTTCTCTGGCTCTTCACTCTCCTTAATACTTTCTCTTCCGCCAAAGGTCTTGCCCCAAGCTGGTAGATCCCCTACTGGAAGCTTACAGCCTGGTGGGCTACAGATCATGTGGGCTATACAGAGTAATAACTGTCAGAGAGATGTGTTTGTATGACATAAGCTTTAGTTTTGAGTGTGCTTTGCAATGTGCTTTGCACAGCCATTTTATCTGCCTTCAAGACCCGTTCTTCCTTCAGGTGTCGCACTAGATATCCCCCTCCCCTCACTGTTGCCTGTGCCTCCTCAACACCCAGCCCGTGTTTCTGTCATGACACCGACTGCTCTCTGCTGGATTTAATGTTCTCCTTGTCTGAGCCAATCCCTGTGAGCTCCTTGAGGACGAGGACTCTGTTCTCTGTGTTCCACAACTCTGTAACTCCAGTACAAGCATGGTGCGTAACCATGTTCCAAAAATACTCCCTTGTTAAATCAATGGAAGCAAGGTTCTCATGTTAATAGGTCCTGCAGTACTATTTACAGAGTGTTGCAGGAAAAGGATGGATTAAATAAATGTTTGTGGGCTGACCTGGTAATCTAAGTTCCCGTTACAACATGTTTCTAGGTGAAAGCATTGTGGGATGCTCATGCCTATTTTCAGCTGCAAAATGTTAGTTCTGCTCCAAAATTCTGAAGGATCCATTGCACTCTTCTCAGATTGGCATAATTCCTCTTGGGTTCAGTGGAAGTCATATGGCCATGGGAGAGAATGTGGCTACTTTTGAATAGAAGATGTTGGAGCAACACTAATAAATTTCAGATTGAATACAATTTGCATATGCAATAGCCTATTCCCATAATTGAGAATTTCCTGAGTGACTGAGAGGTTCTAAAGGTAGAATACATCCTCAATCATTTCCACACAGTATTCAGTTGTTGCCAAGCTCTGACCCTTTAAATGTCTCAAACAACACCCAAAGATTTTGGGAAGAAAACCTATTCAATTTACTAGTATCATTTCACAACGTTTATAGGTCATGATTCTTTAATGTAGGGGGGATATTGAGAATGTGTAGTTGACACATTTTTCTCATGAAGAACACCCTTATTTTTCTTTCCCCTTAAGTATGAATTTTTCAGTAATGATGTTGTACTGGTGGGTTCAATTTAATCAAAGTTTTCCAGGATCTTTCTTGCTAAAGAGTGAATCACCAGGTTTTCTGGTATATTATGGGAGGAACATCTGTGCATTTTCAAGTTTGTGGTATGCAATGAAACATACTGTAAGTCAATCAAGTGAGTTTTATTTATTTATTTATTTATTTATTTTTTAGAGTCAGGGTCTTGCTCTGTTTCCTAGGCTGGAGTGCATCGGTATGATCATGGATGGCTCACTGCAGCCTCAAGTTACTGGGTTCAAACTATCCTTCTGTATCAGGCTCCCCAGTTGCTAGGACTACAGGTACATGCCACCACACCTGTTAATTAAAAAGCAACTTAATTAATAAAATTTATTCTTAATTTTTAATATTTTTAATATTTTTTGTAGAGACAGTGGTCTTGGTATGTTGTCCATGCTGGTCTCAAACTCCTGGCCACAAGCACTCCTCTGCCTTGGCCCTGACAAGTGTTGAGATTTTAGATGTGAGCCACTGCACCTGGCCAGTGAATGGTTTTCTTTACCAGTCCTTTGCAATCTGTCTTCAACATTTATTGAAGAGAGCAACTTCATTTTTTTTTTTTTGCTTTTTCATGTTGAACTTTAATGCCATAGTACTTGATATGTCTCTTGAAACGTCATATATAGTGACTGCAGCAAAATTATTACATAGAAGGGGTATAGGGTAGGTGATCTGGTTGGAATAAAGGACTAGATCTTTACCTTGAAGTTTCACTTGTATAGCGAGCCTACTGTTTGTACATAGAAGGTGTGTTTCTCCCTCATGGTGACTCTAGTCTTCTAGTATCCTAGGTCAAGATCTTTGGGATTATCCTTGACTCATCTTTTTCTCACTCTGTGTCTAATCCTTCAGCTATTTTGTGGGGCCCACCTTCAAATATATCCATAATCACATCTCTTCTCACCTTCATAGCTAGCACCTTGGTCTAAGCTGCCATCATCTCTTGCTGAGATTGTTGCAATCACTTCCTTCCTAACTAATCTCCCTATGTACATCCTCCCTCATACAGTCTGTCTCCAACATATCTTTTGAGTTTCATCTCTTGTTTTCACAATTGTTGGAGTGATCCTGTTAAAAAAGAATCAGATTATGTCATTCCTCTGCAGAAAACCCTCTGAGAGAGTCCCATTCTCACTCAAAATAAAAGCTATAGTTCTGAAAATGGCTGGAAAGGTCTTATACTATCAGGACTTCTGTAACTTCTCAACTCCTTTCTTACTTCCCTTGCTCGCTCTGTTCCAACCACATTGGCCTTCTTGCTGTTCTTTGGGCATGCCTGAAATGTTCACGGCCTTTGCATGTGCTTTCTTTTTATCTGGACTGCTTTTCTTCTGGGTACCCCCCTGGTACCCCTCCAACTCTATCATCTGCTTCAATACTTTACTTATCTCACTTGTCCTCTGTGCTCTATAACATTGCTCATGGTTACCCACTTCTAAAAATGACTCTTGCTTCTGGACACCACATCCTCTTGGAATTATTTGTAACTGTTTGACCATTCCTTCCTTTTAAAAAAAATTTCAACTTTTATTCTAGATTCAGGGGGTACATGTGCAGGTTTGTTACAAGGCTCTGTAGCTTGATGCTGAGGTTTGGGGTATGAGTGACCCTGTCACCAGGTAGTGAGCATAGAACCTAATAGTTTTTCAACCTTGTCTCCCTCTCTCTCCTTCATCTTGCAGGCCCCAGTGTCAATTGTTCCCATCTTGTGTGTATGAGTACTTAATGTTTAGTTCCCACTTATGAGTGAGAAAATGTGGTCTTTGGTTTTCTGTTCTGTGTTAATTCACTTAGGATAATGGCTTCCAGCTGCATCTATGTTGCTGCAAAGGATATGATTTCATTTTATTTTATGGCTGTGGAGTATTCCATGGTATACATGTGCCACATTTTCTTTATCTAATCCACCACCGATAGGCACTTAGGTTGATTCCATATCTTTGCTATTGTGAATAGTGCTGCAATGAGCATATGAATGCATGTGTCTTTTTGGTAGAATGATTTATTTTCCTTTGGGTATATCTCCAGTAACGGGATTGCTGGGTCAAATAGTAGTTCTAGTTTTAGTTCTTTGAGAAATCTCTAAACTGCTTTCTACAGTAGCTGAATTAATTTACATTCCCACCAAGAGTATATAAGTGCTCCCTTTTCTCCACAGCCTTGCCAACATCTGTTTTTTTTTGACTTTTTAATAATAGCTGTTCTGACTGGTGTAACATAGTATCTCATGGTTTTGATTTGCATGTCTCTGATAATTAGTGATGGTGAACATTTTTTCATATGTTTGTTGGCTGGTTGTATGTCTTCTTTTGAAAAGTGTCTGATCATGTCCTTTGCCCAGTTTTTATGGAGTTGTTTGTTTTTTGCTTGTTGATTTAAGTTCTTTATAGAGTCTAGATATTAGACCTTTGTTGGATGCACAGTTTGCGAATATTTTCTCCCATTCTGTAGGTTATCTGTTTACTCTATTAATTGTTTCTTTTGCTGTGCAGAAGCTCTTTAGTATAATTAGGTCCCACTGTCAATTTTTGTTTGTGTTTCAATTGCTTTTGAGAACTTAGTCATAAATTCTTTGACAAGGCCACTGTCCAAAATCGTATTGGTTTTCTTCTAGAATTTTTATAGTTTGAGGTCTTACATTTAAGTCTTTAATCCTTCTTGAGTTAATTTTCATATCTGGTGATAGGTAGGGATCCAGTTTCATTCTTCCGCTGCATGTGGATAGCCAGTTAACCCAACACCATTTATTGAATAGGGAGTTTTTTTTCCCATTGCTTATTTTTGTCAGTTTTGTTGAAGATCAGTTGATTGTAGGTGTGCAGCTTTATTTCTGGGTTTTCTATTTTGTTCCATTGGTCTATGTGTCTGTTTTAGTACCAGTATCATGCTGTTTTGGTTACTGTAGCCTTATAATACAGTTTGAAGTTGGCTAGTGTGATGCTTCTGGATTTGTTTTTTTGGCTTAGGATTGCTTTGGCTACTTGGGCTCTTTTTTGTTTCCATATGAATTTTAGAATAGTTTTTTTCTAATTCTGTGAAAAATGACATTGGTAGTTTGATAGGAATAGCATTGAATCTGTAGATTGCTTTGGACATTATGGATATTTTAGCGATATTGAGTCTTCCAAATCCATGAGTATGAAATAGTTTTCCATTTGTTTGTGTCATCTGTGGTTTCTTTCAGCAGTGTTTTGTAGTTCTCCTTGTAGAGATCTTTCACCCGCTTGGTTAGACATATTCCTAGGTAATTTATTTTTTCATGGATATTTTAAATGGGATTATGTTCTTGATTTGGCTCTCAGCTTTAACATTAGTGGTGTATAGAAATGCTACTGATTTTTTACATTAATTTTGTATCATGAAGTTTTACTGAAGTAATTTATCATGTCTGGGAGCCTTTTGGTTGAGTCTTTAAGGTTTTCTAGAAATAGAATCATATTGTCAGTGAAGATAGATAATTTGACTTCTTTTCATTTATCAGGTCTAGGAGCCTTTTGGTGGAGTCTTTAAAGCTTTCTAGATATAGAGTCATATTGTCAGTGAAGAGAGATAATTTGACTTATTTTCCTATTTGGATGCCTTTTCTTCTTTCTCTTGACTGACTTCTCTGGCTAGGACTTCTAGTACTGTGTTGAATAGGAGTGGTGAGAGTGTGCATACTTGTTTTGCTCTAATTCTTAAGGAGAATGTTTCCAGCTTCTGCCTGTTCAGTATGATGTTGGCTGTGGGTTTGTCATAGATGGCTCTTATTATTTTGAGGTATGTTCCTTTGATACCAAGTGTTGAGGATTTTTATCATGAAGGGATATTGAATTTTATCAAAAGCTTCTTCTGCATCCGTTGAGATGTTCATGTGGTTTTTGTTTTTAATTCTGTTATGTGGTGAATCTCATTTATTGATATGTGTATGGTGAACTAACTTTTACAACCCCAGGAATAAAGCCTACTTAATCATGGTGAAGTAACTTTTTGATGTGTTACTGGATCCAGTTTGCTGGTATTTTGTTGAGGATTTTTGTGTCTATGTTCATCAAGGATATTAGCCTATAGCTTTCTGTTTTCACTGTGTCTTTGCCAGATTTGGGTATCAGGGTGATGCTGGCTTCATAGAATGAATTGAGGAGGAGTCTCTCCTCCTTTATATTTTGGAATAGTTTTAGTAGGATTGGTACCAACTGCTCTTGGTATGTCTGGTAGAATTCGCCTGTGAATTCATCTGGCCCAGGGCTTTTTTTGGTTGGTAGATTTTTTTTATTACTGTTTAAATTTTGGAACTTGTAATTTTGACCACTCTCTTGATCTCTTTCATGAGCTTGTCTTCCTCTGTCCGTCCCTTAACTGCCACTTGTCCACTTTTAGTCCTCTGGAATTCTTGCCACCTATTTATTTTCTTGAGCAATATTATCTTCCCTGAGGTTTTAAATTACCATTTATATGCTCACAAACTCCCAAATATCTATTCTGAGCCTAGTTCTTTCTCCTGATATTCAGATGCATAGGTCCCATTATCTGCTGAACATCTCCATCTAGGTGTCCCAGGTATACCTCAAACTCAACGTGTTCAAAAGGTCGTCATCTTCTTTATTACACTGGGTCTCTGTTCATGTTCTCTATCACAGCAGATGGCACCATCTAGATACTTTAGTTATAAGTTACTCTTGACTTCTCTCTCTCCTTTGCTCTCCACAGCCAACTAATCATCAAGTTCTGCTGGCTATACCTCTCAAATAGTTCTGACTTTTGTCTCTCCCTCTTTATGTTTATTACTGATAATGGGTCGAGTGATAGTTCTTAAAAGATAAATCCACACCAAATCCCTGGAACTTGTGTTCCTTATATGGAACAAGCGTCTTTACAGATGCCATTGTTAAGGATCTTGAGATGAGATTATACTGGATTTTCTGTGTAGACCCTAAATCCAATGACAAGAGAAAGGCAGAGGGAGAACTGTGGCATAGAGAAGGGGGGAAGATACAGACACACGAAGGAGAAAACAATGTGGAGGTGCAGACAGAGGCAGTGATTGCAGTGATGTGGGCACAAACTAAGGAAGCCAAGGAATGATGACAGCCTCCAGAAGGCAAAAGAGGCATGGAAAGATTCTCCTGTATGGGCTCTGCCAACAGCTTGATTTTCATTTCTAGTTTCTAGAAACGTGAGATTGTGAGAGAATATATATTCCTTGCTTTGAGCCACGTAGTTTGTGGTAATTTGTTATGGCAGCCACCGGAATGGAATGCACTGCCTTTGCCAGTTCAGAAACTTGTCATCCTTGTCTTGGATTAGTGAGAGAGCTGCCTAGTGGTTTCTCTGTCTCCAGTCTTAGCCCTTTTATGTTACATGTTCTATTCTGCACCCAGAGTAGTTATAGTCAAAACTCAATTTGGCCCTGTCCCTTCTATGTTTAAATCTATCTAATTCCCTCCACCTGTCATATAGTCTCTCTTCTCCTGTAGCTTCAATGCTTGTTTAGCCTGGAAGCCTTGGCCCCATTTTTTTTTTTTAATCACTCCATTGGTCCTGCAAATCCTCAAACATGGATCAATCCCACTATATACTTTCTCTACTTCTACCTTTAGGCTATTGGGAAAACTGATATAATTGTTTGGATTTTTTCCCTCTATACATTCATAGTACCCAGTCTCAGGTAAGTCTTCAAAATGGTCCAAAAATCTGGCCAGCTCCCTCTCCTAATTGTCCCCAGTGACTCTTCCAAACCTTCATCATTGCCTTCTAAGCTCTTCCACTTTGTTTCGTGTTGCTCCATTCCTTGTCCTTAATGGGAGAAACTTCAAGGTTCTCAGGGATAAAATTCCTCAGATTCCTGTCTCCATCCCCACTAAGTTTCATAGCTTTACCTCAGCTGTCTTCCAGTTTCTGAGAAAGACACCCCCCCCTCATTCCTTCTGTACTGTTGACTTTTTCTGTCCATGTTCCTGAGGACTCAGGTTATTATTTCCTCTTCTATTATATTTTTAGCTCTTTCTATGGGATCCATTCCCAGTGCTGATAAACATGCTGACATCTTTTTTGTTTTGAACAATACCAAGTACTCGACACTTTTAAAATTATGTGACCTGACCTGTTAAAATGAGAACAATTTTGTAGAGATAAACCAAGCTGTCTTAAAAAATGATACACCATCAATTGTCTTTGAAAAGAGTTCTGAACTTTTCTTTTTCTCTCTCTTCCATTTTGATCAAGGAGGAAAATAGACAAATTAGAAGCCCATGCTGAAAGTCTGCCAATGTTACCAGCTGCTTGCTGATAATGATTTTTCTTCTCCCCTGGCTGGAAGGAAGGGTAAATTAAATATCTCTTAGTGACAATCCCCTATCCCTGTCAGGCCGATTTACTCAACACTGGCCCCTCCTGGCATCATCTGCTGCTATATAAAGCATGAGTTTGTAACTTGTCTTTGTCCAACCTGGTCAGAAAATGTGGACTCTCATCATGGTCATACATGGCATTTAAAATCTTTTTCATTTTTATCTTCAATAATTTATAGATGGAAAATCCTAGGGTATTCATACTTCTAATTAAATGTAGAGCTTCTTTTTATGCAGTTGCTGTTTTTTTTTCTTTGAAGAAAATCGACTTTTCTCCTTTTCATATCTTGGATTGAATTCTTTTTCACCCTTTTCCTTTTCATGCTTCTCAGCTGAATTCCTGTGCAACATGAACTGCTGGCAGTGAAGCATTCCAGATGGAACCACCTATAGTCTTGAGGCGTGTAGCCTTGCCCACAAAGACAGGGAATTGGAGAGGAAAGATGCATAACCAGTGAAAACAAAGGTAGCAGTGCTCAGCTGTAATCTTTTAGAAGTGACAGTATTATACTTATATTAGAATTTTAACTGAAGAAAACCAATGGAAATTATAAATTATAATACAATTCTAATTTTCCTTTCCTCATTTGTTGTTTTTCAGATTCTTGTGCCATATTATTTCCTGTCACTGATAGAAAGTTTAACATTATATACTTATTGTTTCTATCAAAATTTGATTCAATTAAAAAATTTTTTTTTTCTATGACTGAGTGTGATAGACAGAATAATGGCCTGCAAAATAAGTTTATGTCCTAATCCTGGAGCCTGTGAGTCTGTTACCTTAGATGGCAAAGGCACCTTGCAAATGTGATTAAGATCTTGATGGGAGATTATCTTGGATTACGTGGGTGGGCCCAATGTAATCACAAGGGTTTTTATGAAAGGGAAGCAGGTAGCTCAGAGTGAGAGCGAGTCAGAGAAGGAGATGTGATGTTGGAAGCAGAGGTCAGAATGATGCCATTGCTAGAAGGAGCCATGAACCAAAGCACCCAAGCAGGCTCTAGAAGCTGGAGAAGCGAGGAACAGATTCTCCCTGAAATCCTCCAGGAGGAGCACAGCCCTGCTGATACCTTGACTTTAGCCCTGTAAGACCCATTTTTGGACTTCTCTAGAATTATGAGATAATACACTGGTGATGTTTTAAGCCACTAAGTTTGTGATAATTTGTTAAAGCAGCAATAGGAAGCTAAAATGCTGGAAGTTTCAGTAAAAAACACAACATGATTTTCATTCTTTTAACCTAAAACTTAGTGACAGGTCCTGTCCAGGGAGCATTGTCACTTTAAGAAGCTATGATAGTCTCACCAAAGCAGCTGGGGGTTTGCTAACCCAAAAGCCACAAAGACTGACTCATTGTCTTGTGGGTTTGATCTTGGGTCCCTCTCTCCCTGCCTTCTTTACTTCCCTCCATGTTCTCTGGCCACCATGCCTGGTCACTGACCTATACCCAGGGTTATGATCTAGTTTCTCACTATGATTTAGTTAATGAGCCTTAGAATCCTCAGCTTCTCCTCTACCTGGTTTGAAGTGATGCACATGCCAGTCCTTTTTGGCTTACCCTGCCTGGCCAATGTGATAAGATGTCTGACTTATACATACAGGCCCTCAACTCTTGTTTGGGCAGTGTTCAGATGCATTTGTTCCTGCTTTGGTTTGCAGATGTGCCTGAATGTTTGGCTCTGTTTGCCTGTCTATTCATCCATTCTTTAATAGTAACTTTCTGAACAGCTACTCTATGCAAGAACTGGAGTAGAAACTAGAGATGAATAGATGAATAAGATATGGTCTGCATCTTCAAGGAGTTCATAGTTCATAGAAGACCAACATAGAGAGGTAATTAGTAAAAGAAAAGATAAAAATATGTATAGTCTGTTACTGATCCTAGAGGAGAGAAGATGTTCTGGGGTAGTGCGAGTGGGGGAAACTTCCTAAAAGGAGTAGATGGCTGAGTGGGAAGTTAGAAAGAATGAGTAGGAATTATCCAGTGGCAAGGAGGTATGCATGGGGGATGGTGTGAATGGAGGAGATGGCACAAAGTGACAGGAGTTCAGAAGAGGTAACAAATCAAGCAAAAGCATAGGAAGCACAGGAGTGTGAAGAAGAAAGTTGCAGGGAGAAGATGGAGAGGTAGACAGGGGCCAGACCTCAGAGTATCTTGCATGCCCTGGAAGGGTGCTTCAACCCTAGCATTCTGGATGTTCATCTTATAATACATAAGATTCATTCATTAAACTCATCAGCACTGTTCAAAACCCTGGGGATCAGATGTAAACAAGACAAAGCTGCTGCCCTCTTGGAACCCAGTGTATCACAGGAGACAGATAACATGAGTAATCACAATGGTAATCACATTGTAATCACAATGAGAGGAGGCATTCAGGGTAGCTCACAATCCAGGCTGAAGGTCCAAAAAGATTTCCTTGAAGACACAATATCTGCTCGGGAGGCTGAGGCGCACACACACACACACACAAAACAATGTAATCTCTGAACTGAGTCTAAATAGATGGGTGGGATTACCCAGGATCTTTTTTTTTTTTTTGAGATGGAGTCTCCCTCTGTCACCCAGGCTGGAGTGCAGTGGCTCGATCTTGGCTCACTGCAACCTCCGCCTCCTGGGTTCAAGCGTTTCTCCTGCGTCAGCCTCCCCAAGTAGCTGGGACTATAGGTGCATGCCACCACACCCAGCTAATTTTTTTTGTATTTTTAGTAGAGATGAGGTTTCACCATGTTGGCCAGGCTGGTCTCCAAATCTTGGTCTCCAAGATCTTGACCTTAGGTGATCCACCCACCTCCACCTCCCAAAGTGCTGGGATTACAGGCATGAGCCACCGCACCCGGCCAAGGATCTTGTTAAGAAGGGAGACCTCTTTAGATCTCAACCTCAGAGAATTTTATTGCCTAGGTCTCAGGTAAACTTAAAAATCTGCATTTTACAAGCCTACCTAGTAGGTAGTTCTCATGCAGTTAGATTCATAGAAGGGTTAAATTTTTTTGCTTCCAGAAAATGAGCGTCACATGTTGGACTTCTATGTAACCTGATTCAGGAGGCTCAAACCATGAATAGCTTCATTGAGATGTGGTAATACTCATGATACTGAAGAAAAACAGTATTGCAATAACTTAGTGTTGTTCTACCCACAACTAGATGGCTCTTGAATGATTCAGAGGGAAACTTTGGATGGGATATATTAGAAGCAGTTTGGGAAGTTCCCTTTGAAAGGTCGAATGGTATGAGAACATGCTTCCATAGATGACTGAAGAATGGGTGAAACTTTCTTTAATTTCTCTACCAGCTCCCATCAACTTCCTGCCTCTGACCCCTAATGCTTTCCAAGAAAATGGACTCAGCTACTTAATCCTTAGGCAGGGTTGAGCTGAGGATACCCACGCTTCCTGTTTAGAATTAGCTGCTCTGAAAAACTTCCCAGATTCCAAATCATTGCCAACGTACTTAGATCTTTTTATTCTAAGATGCAGGGTAGTATTAAAGAAATTTATAAGTAAAATTTGAAGTCAGGCTTATCAGTGAGTATTTACATACTTTGTAAATATCTGAAGTATTGAATTGCTAGGTACTCAGCAAACAAACAAACAAACAAACAAACAAACAAACAAAATCCTGGTCCTGCTCCGTAGAAGTTCACTATCTAGTAAGGGAAACAGATAATATTTATAACAATGTAGTAATTGAAATGAGAGAACTGACAAGCTACTGTGCACAAGAGATTAGCCATTTGGCTAAGCCTGGAGTGAGGGCTTACAAAGAAATAAGCCCTCGGTTAGGTGGCTGGGAAGAAATTAGCTGGGAAAACAAGGTGAGGTTAAGGCACGTATTATTTCCCTCTCTTGTAGCCTTTCTTACCACAACATCTCATAATGGTCTATACACAGTAGATTTGTGGTCTGAGAGAATCATCATTTACATATCTTTATTAACTTTTTACTTGAGTGGAATGAAAAGATCACTTAGTACTGGATTGGATGACCCAAATCAGCAGTTTACTCAAGGTTTCTTAGTGAATCATGTTCAAAGCAAAATATACTTATTTATAAGAGCCTTGTCCTTTAAGGCAATACCCTGTCACTGTATTAGCTTTGTTTGAAGTCTCATCAGTGCACAGTTGGCTTTGGAATGCAATGTGGGCAGGATGCATAACCATAGGTGTGGTGGTCTATTTAGGACCAGTCTAAATGTTACAGAATGGTAGATGGCCTTGCTCAGTTCCTAGACAATCACAATCTCTCCCCATCTCCCCCGACCACATTCTTTTTCTTTTGACAGTTATTTACTACCCATCAAACATATTTACTAAACACTTTGAGAACCTGAAAAAAAATCAAGACTCTTTAAGAAGAAAGAATGCATGAACTTGGACAAAAATGATTAATGTGGGGATGTTCAGAGATTTTCCCCACAGCTTCTCTGCCTAATAAATAGAGTCCTCAGTTTATGTGAAGCAATCTTTTTCTCTCTCCAAATATTTCTTTTTGCAGAAGAGAAGCAAATTTGATGTACCTGGTAAAGTTCTCAGAGAGAAAAGAAAGGGCTCTTCTTCTGATGGAAGAAGAAGGCAGTGGAGGAGTGATGGAGGAATATTTCTCTTTGAAGGTTTTGGGGAGAGAGATGCTGAAATACCCCTAGGAAAAGAGCAAGTGAGCAGGAGAACAAAAGATTTTGGCAAGTGATTTCATGCGTTTTCTGTTGGAATTCCTTTGAGTAATATGAGTAAACCATGGGATTTGTTAATTACTTTTTATTTATTTTGGCTATTGCACTGTGCTTCTTGGATATGATGGCGCTTTCAGACTAAATTACATTATGGGTACATATGCATCCTCATGTGATTCTATAAATACAGCATGTCCTAACCTACCTGTGGGTTCCAGGTTAAGAATGTCTCTTTTGGTCTAGATTACTGAAATAATCTCCAAGCTAATCTTCCCATCACCACTTTTCCTCTTCTCTATTTTTTTCTGCCATACTACTCTTAAAATACATATTGGATTATGTCATTTTCTTGCTTAAATCCTCTTAATGGCTTTATTTTCGTAAGTGTTATGGACTCCATTGTGTCCCTACCAAATCCTTATGTTGAAGTCCTGAAACCCAGTACCTCAGAATGTGACTGCACTTGGAAACACATTCTTAAAAGTGGTAAATATAATAAAATGAAGTCATTAGTGTGGACTCTAATCCAATATGACTGGTGTCCTCATAAGGAGAGTTAGGACACAGATGGGTACAGAGGGAAGACCATGTAAAGACACAGGAAAGCACTGCAAAGAAAATAATCAGCAAAATAAAAAAGTAGCTTTTTCCCCCCAATTCTCAATGGGAAAAAAAATTTGCAAACCATTTATCTGATGGGTGGTTAATATCCAAAAATTATAAAGAACACATACAACTCAACAGTATAAAAACAAATAACCTAATTAAATTGGCAAAGGACCCTAGTAGACATTTCTCCAAGGAAGATTAAAAATGTCCAACAGATGAAAGGGTCCTCAACATCATTAATCATCAGGGAAATGCAAATCAAAATCAAAGATGTCACCTCACATCTGTTGGATTGCTATTATCAAAAAGTCAAAAGATAACAAATGTTGGTGAGGGCGTGGAGACAAAGGAGCCCTGTACACTGTTGGTGGGAATGTAGATTGGTGGAGTCATTGTGAAAAACAGTATTGAGATTTCTAAGAAAACAAAAATAGAACTATCATGTCAGACACTGAGAACAATGAGTATAAAAACTTGGAAACATCAGAACAATCCTATCATCAAGGAATGTCTAGAAGGCCATAATGGCTGGCATTTAAAGAAGAAGAGAAATTTGGGCAGGACATAATCATAGGGTTTTGTAAGACATAGTAAAAAATTTGGATTTTACTTACCGTATTAGTTTGCAGGGGTTGCCATAACAAATTACCACTGTGGCTTCTACAACAGAAACTTATTTTCTCACAATTATGTGGTTTTTTTTTTCTGAGGCTCTTTCCTTGGCTTGTAGGTGGCCATCTTCTCCCTGAGTCTTTTTTTTTTTTTTTTTTTTTTTTTTTTTTAGAATCTGGAGCTTACTTATCATGATCTTTTTTTTTTTTTTTATCATACTTTAAGTTTTAGGGTACATGTGCACCTTGTGCAGGTTAGTTACATATGTATACATGTGCCATGCTGGTGCGCTGCACCCACTAACTCGTCATCTAGCATTAGGTATATCTCCCAATGCTATCCCTCCCCCCTCCCCCGACCCCACCACAGTCCCCAGAGTATGATATTCCCCTTCCTGTGTCCATGTGATCTCAATGTTCAATTCCCACCTATGAGTGAGAATATGCGGTGTTTGGTTTTTTGTTCTTGCGATAGTTTACTGAGAATGATGGTTTCCAATTTCATCCATGTCCCTACAAAGGACATGAACTCACCATTTTTTATGGCTGCATAGTATTCCATGATGTATATGTGCCACATTTTCTTAATCCAGTCTATCATTGTTGGACATTTGGGTTGGTTCCAAGTCTTTGCTATTGTGAATAATGCCACAATAAACATACGTGTGCATGTGTCTTTATAGCAGCATGATTTATAGTCATTTGGGTATATACCCAGTAATGGGATGGCTGGGTCAAATGGTATTTCTAGTTCTAGATCCCTGAGGAATCGCCACACTGACTTCCACAATGGTCGAACCAGTTTACAGTCCCACCAACAGTGTAAAAGTGTTCCTATTTCTCCGCATCCTCTCCAGCACCTGTTGTTTCCTGACTTTTTAATGATTGCCATTCTAACTAGTGTGAGATGGTATCTCATAGTGGTTTTGATTTGCATTTCTCTGATGGCCAGTGATGATGAGCATTTTTTCATGTGTTTTTTGGCTGCATAAATGTCTTCTTTTGAGAAGTGTCTGTTCATGTCCTTCGCCCACTTTTTGATGGGGTTGTTTGTTTTTTTCTTGTAAATTTGTTTGAGTTCATTGTAGATTCTGGATATTAGCCCTTTGTCAGATGAGTAGGTTGCGAAAATTTTCTCCCATTTTGTAGGTTGCCTGTTCACTCTGATGGTAGTTTCTTTTTCTGTGCAGAAGCTCTTTAGTTTAATTAGATCCCATTTGTCAATTTTGTCTTTTGTTGCCATTGCTTTTGGTGTTTTGGACAGGAAGTCCTTGCCCATGCCTATGTCCTGAATGGTAATGCCTAGGTTTTCTTCTAGGGTTTTTATGGTTTTAGGTCTAACGTTTAAATCTTTAATCCATCTTGAATTGATTTTTGTATAAGGTGTAAGGAAGGGATCCAGTTTCAGCTTCCTACATATGGCTAGCCAGTTTTCCCAGCACCATTTATTAAATAGGGAATATACACAATAAAATTTATTTAAAAAAATAAAGACCCTATTTAATAAATGGTGCTGAGTCTTTATTTTTTTAAATAAATTTTATTGTGTATATTTAAGGTATACAACATGATATTAGGCGATGCATAGAGATTGCAAAATGGTTACTATCATGAAGTAAATTAACTATCATGAAGTGAATATCCATCATCTTGTTATCCATTATGTTTGTTTTTGTGGCAAGAGGAGATAAAATCTCACTTTGCAAGAATTCCAAATACAGCCCAATGTTATTGCCTATACTCCTGATGTTGCACATTAGATCTCTAGAGTTATTCATTCAACCTATTTGGTATGATACTTTGTATCCTCTGACCTACATCTCTTCAATTCCCCCTCCCATCACCACTGTTTTACTCTCTAACTCTGTATATTTTACTTTTAAAAACGTTTTTCTATGTCTGGCTTATTTCACTTAGCATGTCCTCCAGGTTCATCCACGTTGTGGCAAATGACAAGATCTTTCTTTTAAAAGGCTAAATAATATTAGCCATGGTTCCTTTATCCAATTATCCATCAACAGACACTTAGGTTGTTTCCATCTCTTGTTCCTACAGTAGCTTGTCAGAGTTCTCTCATGTTGATTATCACATTGTTATAAATATTATCTGTTTCCCCTACTAGATTGTGAGCTTCTAAGGAACAGGACCAGGATTAGGGGTTTGATTGTTAGTTTCCAATATGAGAATATCTTTAGAATTTTGCTCCTGATGGGCACAAGCTAACTGTCATTACTATTATGGGCTATTAGTGTTATATGATACTTGCATTCTGTTGCTAGGGGATAAAATTCTTTTAAATTCCTGATATTTGTCTGGTTTTAGCGGTATTTGATTAGATCAACAATCAGCCCGTATCTCCTTGTATTATAATGAACTGATTTTTTTGTCTTTCCTATTTGATTGGGATATCTTTGAGGGCAAGAATTATATCTTCTGCATTTTCAATTAATTTTTAACTGCAACTAGAAATGCTTTATTGCAGTTGAGAGTCTGTTGCTGGGTAGCAGTGTGATGCAATGGGTATGGGTTGACCTAGTTAGAGATTCTGGGCTCTGGCCGAGAGCAGCCTTTCCCCTGGTTTTTATGTCCAGGCAAATTAGGCCTGACCTAGTCCCTTATCACACACTGCATTTATTGTCATTGTAACCTCTCTCTCCCTGACTGAGTCTTAATCCACTGTGGGTGCTGAATACATGCTTTATGAGTGAATAAATGAGTGTGTGTGTGAATACCTAAAATACCTCTTGTGTTGGTTTTCAAATTTTCTGCCACTGTAGTCTCCTTTGAAATCTAAGCATTATCTAACAAGACCCAAATGAAAATCCGTTATGTGGGAGAGACATCACTGTCTTTCATTAGCAGGTCAGCAGAAGGTACGTCTTGTAAAGAATGATGCAACTTAGAACAGGTACAATTTGTTATGAGAGGCGAGGATGGGAGACTAGAAAGGCCCAAACTGGGGGTCCTTCCTCAGGATGCCAGGCTGGAGTGGGCTGCTGGTAGGGTTGGTGACCAGGGAAAAATATGAGAATCCTGAGTACTGGAGAAGTTTAGGGTATTACTGAAAGAGAGAGAGTGAAGAGGACAGGAGGGGTTGCTAAAGACTAACCAAGCTTTAAGGTTTCGCATAGGGAACCCTATTCATCTTGCCCATAGCGAAACTTGTGTCTGTAATGAGATCATGAGTGCAGTGAAAACTTACTGAATTCAAGTCACTTGGTGGTCTGTGGGAGTCCCAAATGCCTAATTTACTCTCTGTTTTAGGAACTTGTATAAAGAAGGAACAAGATAATTCTGGAAACAAATAAACAAAAAACCAGAAAATACCCTCATATCTAATTGTCAGCTTACTGGATACTCATAAACCAAAAACTTATTTGCTTTACTGTGGATGGAGCAGAACTGACAAATAATGCTAATACCTTACACACAGCACTTCATAGTTTATAAAGTACATTCATGTATATTATTTCAATCTTCCAGTAAAGCAGGTGGGTAAGTTGTTATCCCCCATTTACAGATAGGAACACTGAGGCTTGGAGAAGTTATTTGACTTGCAGATGTTTATGTGACTGGTAAATGGTAGAGGTTAAGACCAGAACTCAGGCCCCCCTGGCTAATCTGTGTGGTCTTCTGTGCCAACCTTTCTTTTGAAACATTTCCCAGGACAGTGGCTCAGGCTAAGTTGCCCAGGGCCTTCTATTGCCTAGCCATCCTGACCCAAACATTTCCAGAATTACTTACTGCATTCACTTATGACTTTGTCTATATTAGTAATTTAAATAAAGATTGCAAAGGTTTGTCCCGGTAAGAAGTAAGTAAATTATCATTTCATTTTTATTTTTCATATCTGGTGATTATGAGTTTTCCTGGCCATAGCCAAGGTTAGGATTTCTATACAATGTCTTAGTTTGGGGACAGAAACAGATTATAGTTCTGAGAGGCGTTTATGCTGCTTATAGAAACTTGAATTCCTATTGTTATCTTGACCACGTTGTGCCTCTTGGATCTTTGTATTCTGGAAAAGAGAAGTTACCTATGGAAGTATATAGCACCCTTAGGTTGAAACTTTACTGTTGTCAGCAAGTACTCAAGGATGCTCTACAAATCAGGTGGGTGGCCCTCAGCATGGCCTCAGCATGGGATCAGCTCTGCTTACTTCAAGTAATTAATATTATTATTACTACTAATTAATAATAATGGGTATTACTTATTGAACCCCATCTCTGTGCCAGGCATAGTGCTACTGTATATACAATAACTCCAATTCTGAAACCGTCATATAAAGTAGACATTGTGATCTCCATTTTATTGGTAATGGCCTCAGAAAGGCTAAGTAACTTATGCAAGTCCTAAAATTCAGTCAGTCAAAACCTGGTCAGTTTCATTCTTGTATTTGAAATGTTAGTAATGTATAATTCTATAAAAAGTTTTAAAAATATACAGAATTTTATTAATTCTTCTTGTACCCCATGATTGATAACTTAAACACCATTCCCAGTGAATGTGCCTAATTATGGGGCCTTTATGAGTATGTGATTCTTTCCCAGGCTTTCTGCTTTGGGGGTTGTAGGCACATGTGGTGGCCAGAGCCCGGAGCAATTCTTTGGCAGAGGCTAACTTTGGTGGGGACAAAACAGAACTACCCTGTGCAGCCTGGACCTTAAAAGAACCCCTTTGAGCACCCCATTTTGGTTGGCTGAACTTTTCATTTCCTTTATCACTTCTGGATCAATGAGCTGAAAGTGTTCTTGTGTGTGCTAAAAGGTAGACTTAGATCCAAAGGATTTATTTGCCTTGGAGCACGCCCTTTAGGAAGGCATATCCGCTCTTTAGATGAGAGTCTTAGAGTTGTTTACAATAACTGCTAGTCTGCTTTCCTATATGAGTAATTTATCTCAGGAAGTGACTTGAGTCTTCAGAAATCTGGCGCAATGCACATCAACACATCTGGGCTTAGGAAAGGTTGTGTTGGCAAGGCAGCCATGGTGAAGTGGACTTGACAAGGAATTAGAAGACTAGGCTTGGGCCCTAGCTTTACCAGGGAACCAGGTTTATGACTTTCACCTAACCTGTATGCAAGGCCACTTACCTTATTAGTGCCTTGATATCCTTAATTTGAACTTGCGTATGTAACCAAAGTTTTGGCTCCTAAAATGATGGACCACAAACCCTCTAACATTCTGGAATGACCCTTAAAAAACTTCTAAATGAATTATCTTGATTTCCTAACCCACACAATGGCATGTCGTTACCAGTATTTTTAAGCACTTTTTTTCTTGGTGGACAGAATGGGAGAGCTTAGGTTTCTCCTGATGCAGGTTACGATGAAGCCTCCTTCTCTCTTGCTCCTCTTTCGAAATTTTCTAAAACCTCACTAGCGCCAAATAGCTGTGCATAGCAGACATATTTTCATGAAATGTTTGAGGGTAATGGAGAGTGTGCATGGGGTTGTTACATTTCAATACAGAGAGAAGTAAACAGCTTAAAATTGAATATTAAACATCATTATGTTCAAAGTCTCTAGCCAGCTCCACCTCTGGTGCCTTCTGAGGTCCCTGCCCCAGCTCTGTGGCTCAGGTTACTTCTTTCTCCCAGAATCTTCTTCTTTATCCTACATCAGAGTATCCCAGATCTGTGTCTTCCCTACCTTGTGGGGAATACAAAATACTTTTGTCAATTTATTGTAAAGGCCAATTTAAGTCTTCTCTTTTTATACCTCTGCCTTCTAGGGTATGTTCAAGGTGGGGTGCCATGTGGGGTCTACCTTTAATAACCAGACAAGTTTGTTAATATGTTTTTCCCAAGGGAGAAAGAGCCTACTATGTGGAAGAAGTGGGGTTTTTTTTTTTGTTGTTGTTGTTGGTTTGATTTCACAGCAATTGGTCTACTCTATGAAGATATTTACCTTGGTTGCCTCACAGTCGGTGCTCCACGCAGTAGGCAGAGGGACTATTCTCAATGCAAGTGAGGTTGTGTCTCCTCCTTTTCTTAAAACTTTTAATAGCTCAGAGTAAAATTCCAAGTTTCTTATGTGGCCTTCAGGGCCCTAACTGCTGCTGCTTTCTTTCCCCATCTGACCTGTGACCTGCCATAACCCTTCCCTCACTATATTTCAGCCACAGTGGCTTCTTGGGACCCACCAAGCTCCTTACCACCTCAGGGCCTTTGCATTTCCCTCAGGTAGCCTGTAACTTCTCTCACTTCCTACAGGTCTCTGCTCAAATGTCTTGGAATCAGGGAGACCTTCTGTGACCACTCTGTAAAATTGTACCTCTCCACTGTTCTTTGTACTAACATATTATTAATCATTGGTATAATTACATGTTCATTTTTTGTCTCCCCACACTAGAATGAAAGCTTATGGGACTAGAATTTACTTTTTCCTGACTTACTGCTCTTTTCACATATCCTATAACAGTACCTTGCATATAATAAGTCTTGATACATTATCTGTTGGATGAATGAATGTATGCATCCAACAGATATTTCTTGAGCACCTACGTGTGCCAGAGTCTGTGATTTCAATCTCTGCAGGTTATATTGTGAGAATTAGTTATGCAAAGATCCTTTCTTAAAAGCAGAATGTTGCTCAGACGTGGGGGTGTGTTTAAAAAAAAAAAAGCAGAGTGCCCCCCAAGGGTAAAGCATTCTTACTTCACTTTCCCCATTTCCTCTTTATTTTGTCCATGTCTCTAGGTGCTCTGTATCAGGAATTGGTACACTTTTTCTGTAAAGGGCCAGGTGTAAGTCTTCTAGGTTTTGTGGGCCTTCCCTTCTCTGCCTCAACTACTCAGCTCCACTCAGCTGTTGCAGCACAAAAGCAGCCATAGGCTGAAGTCAAGGCATGAGCGTGGCTGTGTTCCAACATCTCTGGCTCACAGACCATGGTTTGCTAACCCCTATTGGAAAGAATAAAATCTCCTTCACAAATCAACCCCAAATTAGTTAGAATTAGAGCACAGTGTGACACCCTTCTTGCAGTAATTGACATTTAAGGAGATCCTGAGGGCATAGGTTTCTCTTAGCAGGAACCAATGACTTGTAGTGGAGTTTGTAGAATCAGCAAAATGTTAGAGGGAAGATCATTTTGAGGCAGAGGGAATTTTCCCAGCTGACCACAAATTATATTTGTTATGTTTGAGTAAGGCCCACCCTGTTCCTAAATAAGAGAATAGTCAATCTAAACAGATTTAATACTCAAAACAAATAGGACAACAACTACATCATTCTAACTTCCACTAAGTTCAAAGTGGTGTGAAAAGTAAGCAGTGTTTTCATCTTTCATGAATGATCAGATGTATTTCATGAAAGATCAGGTTTTAATACATTGTCTAGTGATGATCTGCATCATGGGACAACTTTAGGGCTTCATTTCCCAGGATTGTCATACCTCTCTTAGGAAGTGTGTCTCTAAGTAGCAAGCTGGACTACCATTCTGGCACTGGGTGGCTGCATCTCTGGTTCAAGTTCCAAATTGTCCTTACGGTTTATTTTTCACGGCTTTATTTGCCAGCAAAAACTGTTTGGTGAGCCCGGTTGATAACACTGTTCAATTTCAGGATCTGCAGATTGCCTCAAACCTTTGTAGCCATAGGAGAAATTATATTAATTTAATTGTTAGGTGATAGGCAGTTAGTATGTTCCATATGTTTGCTGTCTTATGCCAAATCTTTTAATGGGAAACACACTGTTATCTGGCAGAGCCAGATCAAATTTTTGGCTACTCAGTATATATGTGGATATGTGTAGGGTTTCTTTCTTTTACAAAAAAATGCTAAGGGGAAAAAGAATTGATGAGTCAAAGTATTTCACAAAACTGAGTTTCCACATATAGGGTACAGAGAAAATGTACCTCATTAGTGAGATGCCGTTGTATTTTGGTGACCAAAATTAGAAACATATTTAAGAAATGTTCCACTGCTTTTTCAGGATTCCAAGTTCAGTCTGGACTATTTGTTACTTTTTTTTTCTTAAATTTTTATTCTTCTCAATGGGATTGTTTGTTTTTTTTTCTTACTGATTTGTTTGAGTTCGTTGTAGATTCTGGATATTAGTCCTTTGTCAGATGTATAGATTGTGAAGATTTTCTCCCACTCTGTGAGTTGTCTGTATACTCTGCTGACTGGTCCTTTCATCATGCAAAAGCTCTTTAGTTTAATTAGGTTTCAGCTATTTATCTTTGTTTTTATTGCATTTGCTTTTGGGTTCTTGGGCATGAAATCCTTGCCTAAGCCAATGTCTAGAAGGGTTTCCAATGTTACCTTCTAGAATTTTTATATTTTCAGGTCTTGGGTTTAAATCCTTAATCCATCTCGAGTTGATTTTTGTATAAGGTTAGAGAGGAGGATTCTTTTTTTTTTTTTTTCTTGCATGTGGCTTGCTAATTATCCGAGCACCATTTGTTGAAAAGGGTGTCCTTTTCCCACTTTATGTTTTTGTTTGCTTTGTTGAAGATCAGTTGGCTGTAAGTATTTGGGATTATTTATGGGTTCTCTATTCTGTTCCATTGGTCAATGTACCTATTTTTATACCAGTACCATGCTGTTTTGGTGACTATGGCTTATAGTATAGTTTGAAATCAGGTAGTGTGATGCCTGCAGATTCATTCTTTTTGCTTAGTCTTGCTTGGGCTATGCAGGCTCTTTTTTGGTTCCATATTAATTTTAGAATTTTTTTTATACTTCTGTGAAGAATGATGGTGGTATTTTGATAGGGATTGCATTGAATTTGTAAATTGCAAATTTTTATTCTTCTTGAGAGATAATCAACTTTTAATATGATGTCTTTCAATGAAACTTTGAACAATAATGTTAAAGATTTGTTTTTTAAAAATTAATACAGAATGAATTTTCTTATTATAAAGCTGAATGAAAATACAGTTTAGAAGCACACATTTGGTTAAGAAGCAAGGACACTAGAAGGGCTGTACCAGAAAAGAAAATTTATTTTGGAACATTGTCCTATCCGTCAGAGGAAAAAAACTGCGGGAAGGTAGAGAGGATATTTTGTGCAAAGAAATTACTTTCTTAGCTTAAATAAAATTAGCAAACATTATTCCAAGGAGTTATATAGGGTTGTCTGTTGGCCTGATCTTTTTTCTTTGGCTTGTTGTATTAGTTTGTAATAGTAAGTTAGTTTGTAGTTGTAAATGTTTCTGAGAAGAAAACACTTTCAATTTTATTTCTCAGGAAAGACATTTCTGTGCATTTCTAATCATGAGATTACAAATATATAAACTTCAAATGGGAGTTTACCTGTCAAACTGATTCACGCACCACATTTCAAATCATTTTTACTTCTTTCTCTTCTGCTCTTCCTTCTTTACATCCTCTTTCCTTTCCCTCATCCTCTCTTTCTCTTCCTCCTTCTCCTGTTCCTCTCTTTTTGCTTGAATCTGTTATGAAAAAATAGCAACATTAGACCAATATTTAGTTTTAGAATGAGATTTTAATATAACTAGACAATTCACATAGAGTGGACATTAAATGCAAAGCCAGATAGTTCAGTTAACTTGAATACATGCCCTTCCTATTTCTGGAATAAGATTTATTACGTAAAACCCTGATTGTTTTTCCCTTTTACATCCAAGTTAGCTCTATTATGTTAGTATCTGCAGATGGGTTTAATTTGAGTACTTTTTCACTTTCGACCACCTCATGATTTTTCCTGGGAGCCAACAATGACAGTGATCTCATGGAAGAGATTGCATAAATGCTACTCATTAGGGTTATTTAAGAACTCAAATAGATATTTCCAGTTGCTTATAAAACTATAAAATAAGCAATAATTAAACATGATAAAAAACTCTGCCAAATCTCTTTTCCATATCATGGGATATTACGATAAGAGCTAATCATATGTTTTGATTAATAGCTGGAATTTAAATTTTAGGGCAGATTATTTTTTAACCAAGTCTTACCTTCAAATTATATGTATTTTCAACAACATATTCATTTTCATTCTGATTTAGAGACTTAACACCATTTTCATTTTTATTATTTAATTTGCTTATCAGGCCAAACTTTGAGACATATTGTCCCTGGTTTTCTGAACTAGCAGCCCCCAAGGGTTAATTCAATCACTTGGCTAGGGCAAGTGAAATCAGAGCTGGAAACCAGATGGGACTGATACTCAAATGTGACTACTAGGTTGTGACTTTGAGTATATATTGTGTTTTGTCTGTTTTATTTTAGAATGAATGTGAGGTGGTTGCTTCTCTAGTCTAGATTTAATCTAATGAAAACATTTGAAATAGCTAAAATATTGCATTCCTATGATGGACAATTACTTAATATGTTACTAAAAGTTACAATGAAAAAAAGCTGATATAGCATCTTGTTTTCTTAAAACAAAGAAAAATAACTTCAGTCAAAACTTTCCACATTGAAAACTATTTGTTGAGTCATGTTGTTGATATGAAGTTTGAAGACACCCATGTTAGACGTTACGGCATCTGATTCTTACCCTCTCCCTCTGATCTTACAGGAGGGACAGTTCTCTGCTCCACTGAAGCTAGGTATGGCCATGTGACCCATGTTGCCAGTGAAACAGGAGGAGAAGGGACATCTGGGTGGAAACATTTAAGAGTCAAGTGTATTTCTCCATACTCTCTTTCTTTGGCTTTGGCAGTGATGAAGGTACGTGTTGAGACAGAGATGCCATTAAACTGAAGCAGCTGAGAATGCCCAGCCAACATATGGAGGACAGCTGCCCTGGAGAGCATCCTGGGCCAGTGCTGACTCTGCTTGAGCAAGAAATACACTTCTGTTTTTTACATCCCTGAAATCTTGGAATTATTTGTTACTGTAGCAACCTATCTAAACTGACCAATTCAAGATGAAACTGAATATATTGAGTTAACATGGCTTATTTAATTTCTGAAAGGTTTCCATGGGGCCATGTAATGCTATTATTCCCCCAACTTTTTCTTAACATGCTCTTTTCCTCCTGCAGCACCCCCAAAATCAATATTTTTGAATAGTGTGACCATAATATCAGAGTTATTGAATAACAAATTTGTAGAGAGTCTGGAATCATGAAGGACAAGTTGTTCAAAATCTCTTTTAAATTGTTCTTTCAATAAGGTCAATCCAATTACAGTTGATTCTTGAACAACAGAGGTTTGAACTGTGTGGGTCAACCTATACGTGGATTTTCTTCTGCCTCTGCCACCTCTGAGACAGCAAGACCAATCCTTCCTTTTCCTCCTTCTCCTCAGCCTATACAATGTAAAAATGACAAGGATGAAGACCTTTATGATGATTCACGTCCACTTAATGAACAGTAAATATATTTTCTCTTCCTTATGATTTTCTTAATAACATTTTCTTTTCTCTACTTGTTTTATTCTAAGCATACAGTATATAATACATATATGATATGGTTTGGCTGTGTCCCCATTCAAATTTCAACTTGAATTGTATCTCCCAGAATTCCCACCTGTTGTGGGAGGGACCCAAGGGGAGGTAATTGAATCAGGGGGCCAGCTTTTCCCTGCTATTCTCCTGATAGTGAATAAGTCTCATGAGATCTGGTGGGTTTATCATGAGTTTCCACTTTGCTTCTTCCTCATTTTCTCCTGCTGCTGTGATGTAAGACGTACCTTTCACTTCCCACCATGATTCTGAGGCCTCCCGAGCCATGTGGAACTGTAAGTGCAATTAAACCTCTTTTTCTTCCCAGTCTTGGGTATGTCTTTATCAGCAGTGTGAAAATGGACTAATACAGTAAATAGGTACCAGTAGAGTGGGGCATTGCTGAAAAGATATCTGAAAATGTGGAAGCAACTTTTGAACTGGGTAACAGGCAGAGGTTGGAAGAGTTTGGAGGGCTCAGAAGAAGACAGGAAAATGTGGGAAAGTTTGGAACTTCTAGAGATTTGTTGAATGGCTTTGACAAAAATGCTGATAGTGATATGAAAAATAAGGTCCAGGCTGAGGTGGTCTCAGATTGAGATGAGGAACTTGTTGAGAACTGGAGTAAAGGTGACTCTTGTTATGTTTTAGCAAAGAGACTGGTGGAATTTTGCCCTGCCCTAGAAATTTGTGGAACTTTGAACTTGAGAAAGATGATTTAGGGTATCCGGTGGAAGACATTTCTAAGTGGAAAAGCATTCAAGAGGTGACTTGGGTACTGTTAAAAGAATTACATTTTAAAAGGGAAACAGAGCATAAAATTACAGAAAATTTGCAGCCTGATGATGCAGTAGAAAAGAAAAACCCATTTTTTGAGGAGAAATTCAAGCTGGCTGCAGAAATTTGCATAAGAAGCAAGGAGCCTAATGTTAATCTCCAAGACCATGGGGAAAATGTCTCCAGGCGGTGTCAGAGACCTTCATGGGAGCCCCTCCCATTATGGGCCTTGAGGCCCAGGAGGAAAAAGTGGTTTCATGGGCTGGGCCCAGGGTCCCTGTGCTGTGTGCAGCCTAGGGACTTGATGCTCTGTGCTTCAGCTGCTCCAGCCATGCTGAAAGGGGCTGATGTACAGATTGGACTGTGGCTTCAGAGGGTAGAAGGCGCAAACCTTGACAGCTTCCATGTGGTGTTGAGCCTGCGGGTGCACAGAAGTCAAGAACTGATGTTTGGGAACCTCTGCTTAGATTTCAGAAGATGTATGGAAATGCCTGGGTGCCCAGGCAAAAGTTTGCTTCAGGGGTGGGGCCCTCATGAAGAACCTCTGCTAGGGCAGTGCAGAAAGGAAATGTGGGGTCAGAGCCCCCATACAGAGTCCCTACTGGGGCACTCCCTAGTGGAGCTGTGAGAAGAGGCCCACCATCCTCCAGACCCCAGAATAGTAGATCCAATGACAGCTTGCACTGTGTGTACTGTGTGCACTGTGTGCCTGGAAAAGCTGAAGACACTCAACGCCAGCCTGTGAAAGCACCTGGGAGGGAAGCTGTACCCCACAAAGCCACAGGGGCGGAGATGACTAAGACCATGGGAACCCACCTATTGCATCAGCATGACCTGGATGTGAGACCTGGACTCAAAGGAGATCATTTTGGAGCTTTAAAATTTGACTGCCTCGCTGGGTTTTGGACTTGCATGGGCCCTGTAACCCCTTTAGTTTGGCCAATTTCTCCCATTTGGAACAGCTGTATTTACCCAATGTCTGTACCCCCCATTGTATCTAGGAAGTAACTAGCTTGCTTTTGATTTTACAGGCTCATAGGTGGAAGGGACTTGCCTTGTCTCAGATGAGACTTTGGATTGTGGACTTTTGGGTTAATGCTGAAATGAGTTAAGACTTTGGGGTCTGTTGGGAAGGCATAATTGGTTTTGAAATATGAGGACATGAGACTTGGAGGGGCCAGGGGCGGAATGATGTGGTTTGGCTGTATCCTCATCTCAACTTGAATTTTGTCTCCTAGAATTCCCATGTGTTGTGGGAGGGACCCAGGGAGAGGCAATTGAATCATGGGGGCCAGTCTTTCCCCTGCTATTCTCATGATAGTGAATAAATCTCGTGAGATCTGATGGGTTTATCAGGGGTTTCCACTTTTGCTTCTTCCTCATTTTCTTTTTCTGCCACAATGTAAGAAGTGCCTTTAGCCTCCTGCCATGATTCTGAGGCCTCTCCAGCCATGTGGAACTGTAAGTCCAATTAAATCTCTTTTTCTTCCCAGTCTCAGGTATGTCTTTATCAGCAGTGTGAAACTAATACAGTATATAATATACAAAATATGTGTTAATTGACTGTTTATGTTATTGGGAAGGCTTCTGGTCAACAGTAGGCTATTGGTAGTTAAATTTTTGGGAAGTCAAAAGTTATATGTAGATTTTTGACTGCATGGGGGTTGATGCCCCTAACTTCTGCATTCTTCAAGGGTCAACTGTAGTTTACTTTTTGAGAGTTAAAAAATTATCTAACCAACTTATAAATCACCAATCACATCTTGCCATTAATTATCAACAATCTCCTTTAAGATAAAGTATATATGCCAATGTAGTGTAAAAGAACTGAAATTTTGATGCTTACAGCACTTGGCTCGTGCATTTGTATCAAAATTTGCCTGACTTTTTATGAGGGAGGCCTGCTTTTCACACCTCAGTTTATTTAATACGAGGCAAGTTGAAAGACAACACTCATTCTAGGTGATTCTGTGGTGCCATGAAATTTAAGATAATTTGGGAAAAAGGATTAGTCAGTTTTAAGCAAGAGTCACATCTTCTGAGCTTTTGATTATCAGTGTAGTACCTGACTAAAAATGAAGTAATACCCTTAACCATTTATAATTTCTAGTATTTCTCTGAAAGATCGTTTTGGGGACAAAAGTGACTTGACATGTCCAATTTCATTTCAGAATAAAAAGCTAGCATCTTTAAATATCTCAGATTGCTTGCTTACAGATATAAGTAAGAATTATGGAGAAACGATTCCTTTTAGAGGATTACTTTTTTCAATTTTGGTTTTAGTAATCTAGGCTTTGCCTGTAAATAATACAACAATGGATTTTAAATACTGTTTGTGGAATGTGTTTAAAGGATTGATTCTAGAACCTTTGTATATTTGATAGTATTTCTGACTTTCATTTCTTTACTGTTTGCAGTTAATGTTAATGTTCTGCTATGCAATCATTTATATGCACGTTTCTTTAATTTTTTAAGATTTTCCTGGATGTATAGTTTAAACAACAAAAGGTCTATTTAAAACTGTAGCAGTAGTTTGCAGTTCTAGCAAAGAGGAAAGTTGTGGGGTTAAACTTTGTATTTTCTTTCTTATAGAGGCTTCTAAAAAGATATTTTATATGTTCTTTGTAACAAATATTGTGTACAACCTTTAAAACATCAATGTTTGGATCAAAACAAGACCCAGCTTATTTTCTGCTTGCTGTAAATTAAGCAAACATGCTATAATAAAAACAAAATGAGGGGAAAAAAAGTATATATGCCAATGAACCAACTCAAAGCTGGTTATATATCTTATATAAATGCACTTACAGACATATACATGCATGCACATATATATTTGAGTATTAAAAGTGGTGGTGAATATTTTATACATATCTTATAATATTTAGACTGTATACAAATGACCATTGCAAAGGTTTTCTGCTTTTCAGAGGAGAGGTAGCAAACTAGATTATAA
Source organism: Homo sapiens (assembly GCF_000001405.40). Lineage (NCBI taxonomy): Eukaryota > Metazoa > Chordata > Mammalia > Primates > Hominidae > Homo > Homo sapiens. The sequence continues at coordinate 78,297,082 of NC_000001.11, forward strand.
GCTTTATGCTTGCAGTGGCCATACATATTTCACCTCCTTATCCCTTAAGCTTACAGTGCCAAGCACATAGAAGAAACTTAAATATTTTTAGGAGAAATAGACCAATGGCAAGAATTTGTCTAATTGTACCATCATAGAAAGTGAAAAGGGCAATGTGGATGCCTATAAGTCACTCCCACCTTTCTTAAACACCCTGAGAAGTGAGGCATCAGAGCCCAAGCTACAGGTGAATATATGTTTGTGGACAACTGAGATAACTGTGTAGATCATAGGAAAAGCATTGCATTTGGATTCAGAGGATCTGGGTTTGCATTTCTGTTAATCATTTCCCTACCTTAAGAAAATTCATTGACTCCTTTAAGACTCATTTTTCTCACAGCAGAAGGGAGCTAGTAATCTATTTCACAGGATTTTAACTTGGGGTCTACTTGGAATCCCTTGAAATTATATGCAATTTTTGGATTTGCACACATATATATCAGTTTTTCTAGGGTTGAGAGTGAATAGCTTGCATTTTTCTCAAAGAAGTTAATGAACCAAAAAGGTTAACAGTAACTGATATAAGCTTGATATTATTAAGCTTCTAAGTCCGAGAGTATAGAGTAGAGTTTGGAAGTAACAAGGTATGTTTATCTCCAAACCTCATTTATTTTTTGTATCTTTAGTGGCTAGTTCCAACTACCAGTTTTAAATGTAGAAGAAAGTCAATATAATTCATGAATGATGACTTTACAAACATTTGTAGAGTACACATGGTTTTTAAAGTCTTTACCTATATCCTGTTGTGGAGACAAGCCATACGATTAGTCTCGTGAGTTGCGTTAGAGATTGATTTAGAGCTACGTGATTTGAATTAGTTGGGCCAGGAGCTCCCTCTTCCCTCAGTGACAGTGGCTGTTTCTGAGTTCAACTTCCCTTAGCAAGCAGTCTGATGTGGTTTGGCTCTGTGTCTCCACCCAAACCTCATCTCAAGTTGTAATCCCCATCTGTTGAGGGAGTGGCCTGGTGGGAGGTGATTGGATCATGGGGGTGGTTCCCCATGCTCTTCTCATGATAGTGAGGGAGTTCTCATGATATCTGATGGCTTAAAAGTGTCACTTTCCCCTGTATGTGCTCTCTCTCTCTCTCTCCTGCTGCCATGTAAGACATGCCTTGCTTCCCCTTCACCTTCTGCCATGATTGTAAGTTTCCTGAGGCCTCCCTAGCCAGCAAAACTGTGACTCAATTAAGCATCCTTTCTTTATAAATTACCCAGTTTCAGGTAGCATATTTATAGCAGTGAAAGAATGGACTAATACACAGTCCTCCCAGGTTTCCAAGTGTTCTGGGCAGCCACTGTTTTCTCACAAGCTTCCAACCAGCTGGCACCTATGCTCATCCTGCCTGCTGCCAGAGCCTTGGTGTTCATTTTCCCTATTAAGGATATGCTTATGCTTGTCCCATAAAAGGAGAGACATGGGTGGGGTCCCATAGCATGAGCATAGCTCTAGGGTACATCTAGTTCTGTGCCAGTCCACGAGTGTCACAGGAGGCTGCAAGAAAGGAGAACTTGAGACTCCACTGACCCTGAGGCCTACGCCTTCCAGCCTGCTCCAACGTGATATTTGCTGGTATTTTCCTGAGATGATTGCCTGACATCTGTCTCAATTAAAAATGTAATCCTAACAACAGATCTGTGAGGGAGATATTGCCCTCTCTTCCAGGAAAGGGGGCTCAGAGTACTTAGCTGACTTGTTCCAGTTTGTAACTGGCAGGCCAGAAATCAAATGCTAGCTATCCAACTCAAGCCTGGAATTCTCTGCCCCAAAGCCTGGCTCCTTCCCTCATTTAATAGTTTTGAGCCTTTTTTCCTCATGTGTAAGACATATGTGTAATAATCAGAGGACCACGAAGAAAGGGATATGAGAAGTGTTGCTGTGCATTATGTATCAGATTCTTTTAATGTCCTTCAGGAGATGTAAGTAAATAATGGAATTTCTTTAAACTATTTTCTAAGCTCTTGGGCATATGCTATTTGAATACAACTTTGCTCAGGCACTGATCTGTAGGTTATGGGCTCAATAGGGTTGCAGATGGCTGTCATTTGTCAGAATTCTAACCAGAGCCTTGAAGTTAATGCTACCATGCCATCATTCTTCTCTTGTGCCAAGACCCTCAATTCAAGCCAATACAGTTGTCTCTGATGTGTTAATGTTCATCAGAATACCACTGTGTGCCTTCTGCTCCCAATGCATATTTATTTGCTTCCATCTCTGGCAACTTTTTCCATTGTGTCTTTTAGAACTACCTTTTCTTTCATAGAATCTCGGCTCTGTCTTGAACATCTTTACAGTATCCTACCTCTATTTCTTGTTTTAACAGAAACCTACTTTTCTCACAGGAACATTGCCTCTCATTTAGGGTCTCCCAGGCTGAGTATAATAATGCTGTCACTCTGCAGGAAACACAAGAGGTGATTATGACTTGCTAAAAGCTCAGGTGGTCACTAGCATTTTTTAGCAATGAAGTATTTTAAAATTAAGATATACAATCTTAGATATTAATTTAATGCTATTACACAATGAAGAAACCACAGTATAGTATAAACATAACTTTTATATGCACTGGGAAAGTAAAAATTCCTTGTGATTTGCTTTATTGTGATAGTAGTTTTATTAGGGTGGTCTGGAACCAAACGTGAAATATCTTTGAGGAATGCCTGTATCCCTTTAAACCTCCCCTACATGTATCCCTCAACTCAATGTTCCCTTACCTGTATTTCAAAGTTCAGGGAACATATATTACTTTTATAAATTCTTACAAATTTTATAAAAATGTCTGATTCTGGAACAGATTGATAGAAGCTCTGAAAATTAAATGTTCTTAGCTTTAATAATCTTCTTGAGCATCAGCAAAGAAGACGGAGAGGGAGGGGTTAGGAAAGGAGGAAACAGAAAGAGAAATGGTGGTGAAAAGCTGAGGATGGGGAGAGTTTTAAGAAGGAAGTAGCCATCACTGGCATATTCCACAGAGAACCTAAGCAGGATACGGACTGCAAAACATCTTGGTAGATACAAGGCCACGGCTGACCCCATTTTACATGGGAAAATATTTGATTAGTTTGTGTCTCCTCTACCAGTCCTTCTAGAATAGCTCCTGAAACCTACAGGAATAGAGGAGATCATGCTTTTTGATGGCAAATATGATTAGCTCTCTTAAGATGAAAGAAGCTTCATCTGGCTTCTTGCTCTTGAGAACGTGCCCTAAGACGTGGTGGCTCAAGCCTGTAATCCCAGCACTTTGGGAGGCCGAGGCGGGCGGATCACGAGGTCAGGAGATCAAGACCATCCTGGCAAACACGGTGAAACCCCGTCTCTACTAAAAAGTACAAAAAATTAGCTGGGCGTGGTGGCGGGTGCCTGAGTCCCAGCTACTCGGGGGGAGGCTGAGGCAGGAGAACTGCGTGAACCCGGGAGGCGGAGCTTGCAGTGAACCGAGATAGCGCCACTGCACTCCAGCCTGGAGGACAGAGCAAGACTCCGTCTAAAAAAAAAAAAGAAAGAAAAAAATAAAAAAGAAGAAAGAAGAGAATGTGCCCTAAGAAAGTTTGGGAAACAATTCTACTACAATGAAGACCATTGTCTCATTTGATAGAGAGTCCTGAGAGCTGCTATCTACATAAATAACCCCACTGGTTAATGTGTGACACCAAGTTTTTGTGGATTTTGCCCCACAACAATTTTACTTGAAACATGTTGACTCCCTCCCCCACATATTGTGTTTTTCATCTCTAGAAGTCTCATTTGGATCTTTAAAAAATGCTCTCATTTTTATCTACCTCATGTTCACGTTTTCCTCTCCCTCTTGAATATATACATCATAGCTTTAATAGCTAGTAGTTTAATAGTTATTTTTAGGTTTTTTCTTCTAATTTCATCATTTCATAATTTCTAAATTAGTTTCTATTGTTTGATTCTTCTCTTGGTTGTTGATCATACATTACTGGGAGTTTTTGATTGGGTGCCAGACTTTTATTTTATGTTGTTGCATGCTAGATTTTTGTCATATTCCTTTAAATGTTTTTGGGCTTTGCTCTAGCGCGCAGTTAAGTTACATGAAATCAGTTTGATCCTTCTGAGGCTTGCTTTTAAGTTTTATTGGGCAAATTGAGTGCAATATTTAGTCTAGGGCTAATTTGGCGATACCCTTCTGAGGACTCTACCCAAAGCCCTGGGTATTGGGACATCTTTCCATTCTGACTGGTGGGAAAACAAAACATTCCTAGCCTTGTGTAAGGTCAGGAAATTGTTTGGTCTACTGATTTTTTGCTTGGCCTGGGGCATTTTTCTCTTAGCCATGACTAGATAGTCATAGTGCAGCGGTCAAGATTGGAGGGGACCCCTCTACATGCTCTCCGTGCAGCTCCCTCCTCTTTAGTATTCTTTCCCACACATTCTAGCTTCCTTGGCTTCCCTATTCTCTGAACTCTGTCTCTTCAACCCAGCAATACCGTCAGTCTCTGTTAGGGTCACACCATCTCTGCTGCAGCATGGGAATTCATCTAGGCAGTAAGTAGAATTCACCCCATTTGTTTCCATTTTTGCAGGGGTCAAGTCTCATGCTGCCTGTTGTTCAATGTCTGAAAACCACTTTTTTTTTCATATGTTTTGTTTGGTCTTCTAGTTGTTTAAGGTGGGGCTGTAAACCAGTCTTTCTTAATCCATTTTGGCTGGAAGTGAAGGTTCCCCACACGTTGATTTCTGATTGAGGGCTAAAAGTAATATGTTTCTCCACAAGTATTCTTAGAATTTATTGTTTCTTAAACATATAAACTCTATGCCATGAAAATAACTTGTTTTCTACCTCTTTCCAGATCTAAACCTCCCACAGTGGAATAATTTTTCTCCTTATTATAAGTGATTTTTTTTTAAATGAGGTAGTTTTCAGGAAGATCTGCAGGAAAGTAGATTGAAAGAGTAAGAATTCAGTTATGATAACCCTTGGCTTCTTGAAAGAAATATCTCTAACTAGTTTTCACTGCAGAGTAGTTTTTTCCTGCAAGATCTACATTGGTCATAAAATGAGTTGATGAACAAATGCAGGCCTTTCATATGTCGCTTAGTTTATCCTGATATTGCCCTCCCATGTTATTGTAATCTATTAAACACAGACAACTCATCCAGCCAAATGTGGAATCATTTTCATTTTATGTGTTCACTGACTATGAAAGTACTGAAACACACTGTATATTACAAACCAGCAGCTTTCTAATCACCATTGTACCACTGTCACTGTTATTTGTACAAGTGATTCTGCTTCTGGTTAACTTTAGGGTAAGAAGCAACAGAATGAGAGATTTTAAAGCAGTAATCTCTGTCCAACTGCAAACACTGCAGATGTGTGTTTTGAAACTGGAATAAACATCTCTAAAGTTTGAAATCTAAAGAATTATCCATGTAAAACTTAAAAAAAATCGAACCATTTTAGAAACATATTTAATGGAATTCAAACCTTCTGCTCTGGCTATTTTTATACAGAAATTTCAGAGTAAAAAATTTACTAATAATATAGTTTTGAAAAAATCTAAGGCAAGAAAGAGATTGGAATTTCACTGAGGAATCATGACAAAGAAATCTTATATTGTCCAGACACAAAACCGTCCTTCATTTATTTGTCAAATGCGTATTGAGGGTCCACTATGTGTTAGGCACAGTGGTAAGACTGGGAAACCAAAACCAACCAACCAACCAATCAACCAACCAACCAACCAACCAACCAACCAACCAACCAACCTTACTTTCTCAAAGAGAAGTGACTGTTTTTAATTTTATTGTATTTTGAGGTATTTATTTAATGCTAAACAGTATACCTTATTTTTTCCTTGATTTATAGAACCATGTAGGTGCTACAGTTGGAATGTCACCTCCAAAAATCATGCTGAAATTTAGTTGCCAGTGTAATAGTATTGAGAGGTGGAGTCTTTAAGAGGTGATGAGATTATGAGGATTCTGCTCTCATGAATGGTTTAATGCCATTGCTGGGGGAATGGGTTATTTATTTTGGGAGTGGTCTTGATAAAAGGCTGAAGTTTGGCCCCATTTCTTTCTCTCTGTCTCCTGTGTTCTCTTGCCATGAGATGACTTCCTTCATGAGATCATGCAGCATAAGGCCTTTGCCAGGTGGCCTTGCTATTGGCACCATGCTTTTGCACTTCCCAGCCTCTAGAACCATGAGCCAAACAAACTTCTATTCTTTATAAATTACCCAGTCTATCGTATTCTGTTATAGCAAAAGAAAATGGACTAAGACAGTGGGACAGAGGGTAATTTATCATATGACAAATATTGATCTTCAAGGTTCTGTTTTCATCTACCACTACCATACTAAACTTGACTCCTTTTTGACTCCCTAAAAAGACACATTTTTTTTCCATTAGCCATGCTTGTTAAAAATTTAGGGCTACTTTTAGGGTTCAAATAAAAGATGGATTATATAACAACTTTTTTTTTAAGATACTAGGTTTCCTTGCCTATTGTTTGGCATGGTTCTGCTGGGAAATACGGTTTCTCTACTGGCCTTAGCTTTCTTGTATCCTGATATCATCTCTGATCACCCAGTTTTGACCTACAATCCGTTTTTCCAACTTTTTGTCTGCTTTTCCAGTTTGAGCCCTAGCTCAGTTAAATTCTTTTGGCTCTTGGATCTCCTGCATCACTTCCCAGTCAATGATTTCCTCACTCCTGGCACAGAATTTTCCTTGGATGACTGTTCTGTTAGTGTGAATCATTCCCCCACCCCAGCCACCACCAGTCTTTGGCACAACCATGAGGAAATGTAGCTGTATGCCTGGAGGGATCTACAGCCAGACCAGGTAAATGCCTATAGCCTCTTTCTTCCAAAAGGAGTTTGGTACTTACTTTTATATTGTTCATGCTCTTATTTTGCAATACTACTTATAAAAAGCTTTGGGTTATGTATCTATTAGATTTATCCAAGTCCTCACAACTAGGCTCTGAAGAGTGCAGAATGGAACGTCAACTCATTATCCACAATATCATAGTTTATTTTGGTCAGTTTAGCTCTACCACTTTCCAGCCATCAGATGCCATTCAAAAGTCAATCTTACTTTGAATTCATTATTTTAACATTACATCTGTTTAAGTATTTGATTAGTTAGAACAGTGAAAATATTCACCAGTGTAGATATCTTACTCGTTTTTTAAGACCTCCTAACTAATAAAATCAATCTGGAGAATTAAATCATCAAGGACCTCATGAGGATAAATTTGCAGTGACTAGTGATTATTAACACTAGTCACCTGGGACAGGTGATTGACTTTAGTTATCTAAGTAAAGAATGTGGGACAGAGAATGACAGACATAGGCACATATCACTTGCCATGAATAACAAAGATTTGATCCCTGACCTTCTAGAGTGAAATGACTCTGTTGTAATCGTAGGTTTTATCTTAAAAATGTATTTCAGCCTTATGTAACACTCTGAAATATATACATGTTAGTGTCAAATATGTCTTAAATTATTTACAATTTAGTACAATTATCACTCCAGGAAAATGCTGCACATTTATCCTTTGATTTTTTTTTTTGTAGCCCTGGCATATCATCAAGTATCCCCAAGAAAATTAGAATCCCAGTTTAAGAAGCTTTGGCAAGCACTTGAGAACACTGATTATGAAATTAGCCTGACCTAAAAGGGCATTCTACATAATCTCTTTACATTTTAGTTTCTTTTTGTATAAAATGGAGATTCTGGTGAATGAAAATGAGATCATATATATCAAGCACATTAAGAACCTGTTACAATATACCACTCAATTCATGAATGGCGATTACATGAACTTCTTGAAGTTAGGAAACATGTTCAGCTTCTTCCTCCTTGTGTTTTTGGCACAATGCCCAGTACCCAGGGGGTACACAATAGTTATTAAATAAATAAAGCCAGAACTCATGATTTATTTATGCCAGGATAGTTTATTTTATTTTAATGTAAATTTAGAAAGAAGCTAAAAATAATGCCTGGAATACACTAGTTCTTTATAGATATTTCCTAGTTGCCTGATTTGATGAAAAACTTCACTTGGTGCTCATCCTCAGAAAGTGAGCACTGAACAGAATGTGAACTGTTTAAATCCAAGATTAATTGTACATCAACCTGGTGGTACTTGTACTCTGCTGTCTACTGTGAGAAATGCCTAAGTAGGTAATGCAGAAAATCCATAAAACATGTACAGGTGAGTGAGTGAAGACTCTTATAACCACCACTCAGGTCAAGAAATAGAACTTTGACAGAACCTCAGAAGTCCCTCTGTGTGTCACATCACAATCACAGCTTCCTTTCCTCTCCCAAAGTAACCATTGACTTTTATAGTAGTCATTTCATTATGTTTCTTTATGGTTGTTTCTTCTAAGGTGCATTGCTATATAAAATAGTTTAGTCTTGCCAAATAAAAAAAATTGATGTGTTTTTTAGTCCCTGTCATTCCTATCTTTCCCTCACAAATGATTTTTTGAAGAACTGGAGCTGTTTTGTTTGACCTCTACAGTTTCCCACCATTTGGAGTTTACTGATTGCACACTAATGGTACAGTTCAGCTTGTTCCTTTTTTGCCTATATTTCCTGCAAATTGGCAGCTGGATACAGAGAAATGATCAAACTGAGATCCTAATACTTTGGCAAGACTATAGGTGGTCCTGGTTTATTTTTATTTTTATCAGGAGCTGCATCATGTCTACTTTTGATTTTCTTTGATGTTAGCAGCTGTTGATGCCTTAATTTATGAATTCGGATGGAGATATTCTATAATTTCATTTTCATCTCATAACTGGAATAATTTCATAAAAAAATCCTTCCCCTCCTCAACCATTTGGTTGCTCAGTATTTCAATTTATATAAGAAAGGCTCTCTTATCAAGGCTTCCTCCCCCTTCCCCCTTTTAGTCATTATTCAAGAAAATAAATTGGTTCTCTATCATCTTATAAATTTAAAAAATACTATTATGGACTCATGGATTTGGACATATTTTATAAGTTTGAACCCACTGCAATTCCTTTTTTTGTTGAACCTCAAACTATCCCATCTTTGACCAGTAGTATCCTCTTGAAGGTGGCCCTTGATTCATGTTGATAGCTAACTGTCTGATACGTCAAGATAGTCCACATGCTTCTTGTACATTTCTTGCCCCAGACTTGAAATGAGCAATTTCTTCAAGAAAATCTGGCTTATTTTAATGGGAACTAATTGCAGTAATGGAGATTTTGCTGCTGTGTTGATCATTTTCTAGGATTCTTCAGTGTACATTTAGGACATACATATACAAGGGATGTGTGTGTGCATGTTTGTTTATATATATACAGATATATATTTTTAATGGAAATAAAATTTCTCATAGGGATGTTTCAAGTTTAGTGCTTGTTTTCTGTACACAAGTATTTTGCATATGGCAGAGTAGAGAAGCTGGTTAATAATATGCTAGCTGACTCTGGAACCACTTGATTAAATAACGAATCTCCAGGCTTTCATATGCTTGATATAACAATGTAAAATTACCTCTAATATGTGCATAATTCTATTAACAGGTATCATTTCTACACATTTGAAACTTCCAAATGTTTAAGTAGAAAATGTAGAAAGGGTACAAGGATATTTATAGTAGGCTATGCTTCAGTTTTGCAATTCAAATGAACATATATTCTTACAATAGTATTATATATGATACAGCACTCAATAAGTAGTAATTATATAATCTCTCTGGGTGCTTGTTCATCATTTTATCCCCAGTGCCCAGTATAGTGGGCTTAGCAGACACATAGTAGGTGCCAAACTAACATTTGTGAGATGAATAAGTATTAATGCTGTAATATACCAATGAATGAATTGGTTGAATTATTGTACTTCCTTGGCCCCATCTTTAAAACATAATTTGCATGCACTACCACTAATTTTACACACTTTGTTGAGTCTGTCTGACCCATGATAGCAAGTCAATTAAGAGCGTTAAAAACTTAAGGAGGGCCTTAGCCTAAAAAACAATGTTAAGAGGTTTTTAATATTTTCATCAGTGTCTGTAAATTTCCCAATTGCAGTCCATCTGTGACTTGTACCTTGTATTTTTTCATTGAATCATAAAGGTTAATTTGGTAAAAGAGGTGATATAAATGTGTTATAAGACTAAAAATAATTAAAAACTAAAAAACAACATTGATGAATAAAATTTAATCATTAAGAAGTTAGAACCGAAATTGCTAACATAAAATTTTCATTAAGTAACTGTTAATTAACCCCTAAAAGGGTAGTTATTCTGCAAAATCATGTAAAAGTAGACAATTAGTCACCAGGAAGTTTTTCAGAAATTATTTTATTCTGCTGCTTTCTCAGATAGGATAGAATTTGTTTTTAGCTTTGTGACTAAATTATTAATTTTTTTTTTTGAAGCAGAGTCACTCTGTTGCCCAGGCTGGAGTGCAGTGGTGTGATCTCAGCTCACTGCAAACTCCACCTCCAGGGTTCAAGTGATTTTTCTGCCTCAGCCTCCCCAGTAGCTGGGATTGCAGATACCTGCTACCACGCCCAGATAATTTTTGTATTTTTAGTAGAGACGGGGTTTCACCATGCTGGCCAGGCTGGTCTCCAGCTCCTGACCTCAAGTGATCTGCCCTCTTGGCCTCCTGAAGTGGGGGGATTACAGGCGTAAGCTACCACGCCTGGCCGTAAATTATTAAATTTAAATGTAAGTTAATCATCTTCTTTATCTCCTTTGGGTAGGAGGATATTTCTTTGTTTTTACCTGAAATTGCAGATATTCTGGTACATTTATATTGGGAAGCCACAAAATGGCACAAAATGACACACTTTCAGATTTTATAAAACAGAAAAAGATTAATAAAAGGGTAAAAATGGTAGACTTTACTGTGTGTAATGATTGAAGGGAGAAAGGTAACTTAACTTTTTTTATTTATCTTTCCATTCACCATGCATAAAGATTGAAGGGAAAATGGTAATAGCTTTTTCCTTTATCTTTGCATTTAAGTACTGTCCAGAATGAGCTTGCATGACAATGGGCCAGATGTCTCTTGTTTTGCCATTTAATCAGCAGTACAGGTACTTTTCTGTAGAGCTTAGGAACCCAAAATTTAATTACCTGCCACTGGAGTCCTATATTTTCTTGGGAATTGCTTACGTTTATGTATCTTAAATTACCTTTGCATTTGGTAAGGTCATCTCAACAACTGAAATACCAAAGTGTTTTCTGGAGTCTCAGGTAAATCCAGTGTAGACTATGCCTGGCCAGCAATGTGTTTTATCTGAGCTGTACAGTGTTGGGAAAAGTTGAATTATTTGCCGATGTTAAAAATTATGTGTGTGTTTTCTAACCTCAAGTGTGTATTTCTGGCATCTCTTAAAACAGCAGGCTATTTGACAGTAATGGACCCGCATTTTTGGGTCACAATTATTGACAGGAGGTGAATCCTGGAATTACTCCAGACTCTGCCTCTTCATGTGATCTTCACACTGAGACTGAGCGTGGGTCACCATTTACTAAGAAGTGAAACATTTCTTGTATCCTGGTCTATAGCAACAGTGGCACAATAAAAGATAGACCAAGAAGGCTACATGGGCAAGAAAAATGGGAGAGAGCAAGATGGAATATTTTATATGTGTGCATGTAAGAGAAAAATATTCCATGCCTTTAATATTGAAAGCACATCTGTTCTGAAAGACTACAACTCAAGAAAGTCATTAGGAAACAAACCATCCTAGGACTATGACTGATATAAGATAATTGATAAAAAAGAAAAACCTGATGCTTGGATAAAGAAACTAAAATTTCAGTAGGGCTTGCTTTGGAATGTAGGTGCAAATGCTGTAAAATGTAATTATGGGTTAACTGAAAAAATTGACCAAGCATCAAAATATTTGCAGATGGTGAATTTATAAGATTAACTACTGAGTGCAGCAGAAATGGTCTTAATAGAGGCAAGCACTTACAGAGAGAAGCCTCTTTAGAAATACTGTTTCTTGGTATGTGGAAGGTATGCATAGGAGCATTTATGGAGTCCTTTTTAATTGTAGCTGAAGAGAACACAGATATAAATAATACCACACAATATTCTATATTATCTTGGTATTGATAAAAATTTAGATGTGACTGAAGAACTTTCAGACATAGTGCCCATGACAAGTGTATCATCAAAAAATGATGTATTTTTATATGTTAAGAATTATCTTCCAAAGTTTAATATAGAATGACCAAAATTTTTTAAGTGAAGGGACTCCTTTAATGGATGACATTAGTTTATATTTATTTCAGTATTATAACATTTAAATTAAGGTGGCAACATTTTGCAAGAATGTGAGACTTAAGTGCACTCATTTTATAGCATTCATTGGGAATTGCTTTGCTTTGAAAGTTCAATATGGCATATGCCATGGAATCAATATACTTTTAAGGCATGTAACATGGATAGTTCAGTCACAGTGACTTGGGTGACTATGGGTGGTCTGCTGGAAGTTAGATGCTTTAGTTGTGAAATGGCACTGAAAAGATTTGTTTTGTATTTTTGAAAGAAATTACTGTTCATGTAATCTGATGAAAAATCCTGTTATGGCTCACAAACAGAGAGTAGATTAACAACTTGACATTTCTGGTTGTCATTATAACTTTTAATAGCCTATATGTTATAACAAATTTGACTAAAATTATCTTAGACTTTTGTTATCCCAGGCCTAAGAGCTCATTGACACTTGTTTCATTTCAACATGGTAATTGAACAAGAAGCTGTTTGGAATTGGCAGAAGTCAGATGAATGACCAATCTTACATGCCCATTCTTCCTCTCTTGAGCTATTATTTATATTCAAATTCAGTACACACTGTTTTTCTCTGTAGATACCTAGGTACTTACTAGATTCTAGTTAGTAAACTGCACATGTTCAATAACTTTGAGGACATTTAGTGAAAATGAAGGAAAAGATAAGGAGGTTCCAAGATGGCCAAATAGGAACAGCTCCAGTCTGCAGCTCCCAGCATGAGCGACACAGAAGACAGGTGATTTCTGCATTTCCAACTGAGGTACCAGGTTCATCTCACTAGGACTTGTCAGACAGTGGGTGCAGCCCATGGAGCAGGGCGGGGCATCACCTCACCTGGGAAGCACAAGGGGTTGGGGAATTCCCTTTCCTAGCAAAGGTAAGCCATGACAGACGGTACCTGGAAAATCTGGACACTCCCACCCTAATACTGCGCTTTAAAAACGGCCTAAGCAAATGGCACACCTGGAGATTATATCCCACGCCTGGCTAGGAGGGTCCCACGCCCATGGAGCCTCACTCACTGCTAGCACAGCAGTCTGAGATCAAACTGCAAGGCGGCAGCGAGGCCGGGGGAGGGGCGTCTGCCATTGCTGAGGCTTGAGTAGGTAAACAAAGCTGCCTGGAAGCTCCAACTGGGTGGAGCCCACCACAGCTCAAGGAAGCCTGCCTGCCTCTGTAGACTCCACCTCTGGGAGCAGGGCATAGCTGAACAAAAGGCAGCAGAAACTGCTACAGACTTAAACGTCCCTGTCCGACAGCTTTGAAGAGAGTAGTGGTTCTCCCAGCACGGAGTTTGAGATCTGAGAATGGACAGACTGCCTCTTCAAGTGGGTCCCTGACCCCCGAGTAGCCTAACTGGGAGACACCTCCCAGTAGGGGCCGACTGACACCTCATACAGCCAGGTGCCCCTCTGAGATGAAGCTTCCAGAGGAAAGATCAGGCAGCAAAATTTGCCGTTCTGCAATATTTGCTGTTCTGCAGCCTCTGCTGGTGATATCCAGGCAAACGGATTCTGGAGTGGACCTCCAGCAAACTCCAACAGACCTGCAGCTGAGGGTCCTGACTGTTAGAATGAAAACTAACAAACAGAAAGGGCATCCACACCAAAACCCCATCTGTACGTCACCATCATCAAAGACCAAAGGTAGATAAAACTACAAAGATGGGGAGAAACCAGAGCAGAAAAGCTGAAAATTCTAAGAATCAGAGCACCTCTTCTTCTCCAAAGGAACGCAGCTCCTCTCCAGCAATGGAGCAAAGCTGGATGGAGAATGACTTTGACGAGTTGAGAGGAGAAGGCTTCAGACGATCAGTAATAACAAACTTCTCCAAGCTAAAGGAGGATGTTCGAACCCATCACAAAGAAGCTAAAAACCTTGAAAAAAATTAGACAAATGGCTAACTAGAATAAACAGTGTAGAGAAGACCTTAAATGACCTGATGGAGCTGAAAACCATGGCACGAGAACTACGTGATGCACGCACAAGCTTCAGTAGCCGATTTGATCAAGTGGAGGAAAGGGTATCAATGATTGAAGATCAAATGAATGAAATGAAGTGAGAAGAGAAGTTTAGAGAAAAAAGAGTAAAAAGAAATGAACAAAGCCTCCAAAAAATATGGGACTATGTGAAAAGACCAAATCTACATCTGATTGGTGTACCTGAAAGTGATGAGGAGAATGGAACCAAGTTGGAAAACACTCTTTAAGGATATTATCCAGGAGAACTTCCCCAACCTAGCGAGGCAGGCCAACATTCAAATTCAGGAAATACAGAGAACACCACAAAGATACTCCTTGAGAAGAGCAACACCAAGGCACATAATTGTCAGATTCACCAAAGTTGAAATGAAGGAAAAAATGTTAAGGGCAGCCAGAGAGAAAGGTCGGGTTACCAACAAAGGGAAGCCCATCAGACTAACAGCGGATCTCTCGGCAGAAACTCTACAAGCTAGAAGAGAGTGGGGGCCAATATTCAACATTCTTAAAGAAAAGAATTTTCAACCAGAATTTCATATCCAGCCAAACTAAGCTTCATAAGTGAAGGAGAAATCATATCCTTTACAGACAAACAAATGCTGAGAGATTTTGTCACCACCAGGCCTGCCCTAAAAGAGCTCCTGAAGGAAGCACTAAACATGGAACAACTGGTACCAGCCATTGCAAAAACATGCCAAATTGCAAAGACCATCAATGCTAGGAAGAAACTGCATCAACTAATGAGCAAAAAAACCAGCTAACATCATAATGACAGGATCAAATTCACACATAACAATATTAACCTTAAATGTAAATGGGCTAAATGCTCCAATTAAAAGACACAGACTGGCAAATTGGATAAAGAGTTCAAGACCCATCAGTGTGCTGTATTCAGGAGACCCATCTCACATGCAGAGACACACATAGGCTCAAAATAAAGGGATAGAGGAAGATCTACCAAGCAAATGGAAAGCAAAAAAAAGCAGGAGTTGCAATCCTAGTCTCTGATAAAAACCGATTTTAAACCAACAAAGATCAAAAGAGACAAAGAAGGCCATTACATAATGGTAAAGGGATCAATTCAATGAGAAGAGCTAACTATCCTAAATATATATGCACCCAATACAGGAGCACCCAGATTCATAAAGCAAGTCCTTAGAGACCTACAAAGAGACTCAGACTCCCACACAATAATAATGGGAGACTTTAACACCCCACTGTCAACATTAGACAGATCAACGAGAGAGAAAGTTAACAAGGATATCCAGGAATTGAACTCAGCTCTGCACCAAGCAGACCTAATAGACATCTACAGAACTCTCCACCCCAAATCAACAGAATATACATTGTTCTCAGCACCACATCACACTTATTCCAAAATTGACCACATAGTTGGAAGCAAAGCACTCCTCAGCAAATGTAAAAGAACAGAAATTATAACAAACTGTCCCTCAGGCCACAGTGCAACCAAACTAGAATTCAGGATTAAGAAACTCACTCAAAACCTCTCAACTACATGGAAACTGAAAAACCTGCTCCTGAATGACTACCGGGTGCATAACGAAATGAAGGCAGAAATAAAGATGTTCTTTGAAACCAATGAGAACAAAGACACAACATACCAGAATCTCTGGGGCACATTTACAGCAGTGTGTAGAGAGAAACTTACAGCACTAAATGCCCACAAGAGAAAGCAGGAAAGATCTAAAATGGACACCCTAACATCACAATTAAAAGAACTAGAGAAGCAAGAGCAAACACATTCAAAAGCTAGCAGAAGGCAAGAAATAACTAAGATCAGAGCAGAACTGAAGGAGATGGAGACACAAAAAACCCTTCGAAAAATCAATGAATCCAGGAGCTGGTTTTTTGAAAAGATCAACAAAATTGATACACTGCTAGCAAGACTAATAAAGAAGAATAGAGAGAAGAATCAAATAGACACAATAAAAATGATAAAGGGGATATCACCACCAATCCCACAGAAATACAAACTACCATCAGAGAATACTATAAACACCTCTATGCAAATAAACTAGAAAATCTAGAAGAAATGGATAAATTCCTGGACACACACACCCTCCCAAGACTAAACCAGGAAGATGTTGAATCCCTGTATAGACCAATAACAGGTTCTGAAATTGAGGCAATAATTAATAGCCTACCAACCAAAAAAAAGCCCAGGACCAGACGGATTCACAGCCGAATTCTACTGGAGGTACAAAGAGGGGCTGGTACCGTTCCTTCTGAAACCATTGCAAACAATAGAAAAAGAGAGAATTCTCCTAATTCCTTTTATGAGGCCAACATCATCCTGATACCAAAGCCTGGCAGAGGCACAACAAAAAAAGAGAATCTTAGACCAATATCCCTGATGAACATTGATGCAAAAATCCTCAATAAAATACTGGCAAACCAAATCCAGCAGCACATCAAAAAGCTTATCCACCAAGATCAAGTGGGCTTCATCCCTGGGATGCAAGGCTGGTTCAACCTACACAAACCAATAAATGTAATCTATCATATAAACAGAACCAAAGACAAAATAGATGCAGAAAAGGCCTTTGACAAAATTCAACAGCACTTCATGCTAAAAACTCTCAATAAACTAGGTATTGATGGGAGGTATCTCAAAATAATAAGAGCTATTTATGACAAACCCACAGACAATGTCATACTGAATGGGCAAAAACTGGAAGCATTCCCTTTGAAAACTGGCACAAGACAGGGATGCCCTCTCTCACCACTCCTACTCAACATAGTATTGGAAGTTCTGGCCAGGGAAATCAGGCAAGAGAAAGAAATAAAGGATATTCAATTAGGAAAAGAGGAAGTCAAATTGTCCCTGTTTGCAGATGACATGATTGTATATCTAGAAAACCCCACCATCTCAGCCCAAAATCTCCTTAAGCTGATAAGCAACTTCGGCAAAGTCTCAGGATACAAAATTAATGTGCCAAAATCACAAGCATTCCTATACACCAATGACAGACATACAGAGAGCCAAATCATGAGTGAACTCCCATTCACTATTGCTTCAAAGAGAATAAAATACCTAGGAATCCAACTTACAAGGGATATGAAGGACCTCTTCAAGGAGAACTACGAACCACTGCTCAATGAAATAAAAGAGGACACAAACAAATGGAAGAACATTCCATGCTCATGAATAGGAAGAATCAATATTGTGAAAATGGCCATACTGCCCAAGGTAATTTATAGATTCAATGCCATCCCCATCAAGCTACCAATGACTTTCTTCACAGAATTGGAAAAAACTACTTTAAAGTTCATATGGAAGCAAAAAAGAGCCCACATTGCCAAGATAATCCTAAGCCAAAAGAACAAAGCTGGAGGCATCACGCTACCTGACTTCAAACTCTACTACAAGGCTACAGTAACCAAAACAGCATGGTACTGATACCAAAACAGAGATATAGAGCAATGGAACAGAATACAGCTCTTGGAAATAATACCACACATCTACAACCATCTGATCTTTGACAAACCTGACAAAAACAAGAAATGAAGAAAGATTCCCTATTTAATAAATGGTGCTGGGAAAACTGGCTAGCCATATGTAGAAAGCTGAAACTGGATCCCTTCCTTACACCTTATTCAATTAATTCAATTGAATTACAATTAATTCAAGATGGATTAAAGACTTAAATGTTAGATCTAAAACCATAAAAACCCTAGAAGAAAACCTAGGCAATTCCATTCAGGACATAGGCATGGGCAAGCACTTCATGACTAAAACACCAAAAGTAATGGCAACAGAAGCCAAAATTGACAAATGGGATCTAATTAAACTAAAGAGCTTCTGCACAGCAAAAGAAACTACCATCAGAGTGAACAGACAACCTACAGAATTGGAGAAAATTTTTACAATCTACCCATCTGACAAAGGGCTAATATCCAGAATCTACAATGAACTCAAACAAATTTACAAGAAAAAATCAAACAACCCCATCAACAAGTGGGCAAAGGATATGAACAGACACTTCTCAAAAGAAGACATTTATGCAGCCAACAGACACATGAAAAAATGCTCATCATCACTTGCCATCACACAAATGCGAATCAAAACCACAGTGAGATACTATCTCACACCAGTTAGAATGGCAATCATTAAAAACTCAGAAAACAACAGATGCTGGAGAGGATGTGCAGAAATAGGAATGCTTTTACACTGTTGGTGGGAGTGTAAATTAGTTCAACCATTGTGGAAGACAGTGTGGTGATTCCTCAAGGATCTATAACTAGAATTACCATTTGACCCAGCCATCCCATTACTGGGTATATACCCAAAGGATTATAAATCATGCTACTATAAAGACACATGCACACATATGTTTATTGCAGCACTATTCACAACAGCAAAGACTTGGAACCAACCCAAATGTCCATCAATAATAGACTGGATTAAGAAAATGTGGCACATACACACCATGGAATACTATGCAGCCATAAAAAAGGATGAGTTCATGTCCTTTGCAGGGACATGGATGAAGCTGGAAACCATCATTCCCAGCAAGCTATCACAAGGACAGAAAACCAAACACCGTATGTTCTCACTCATAGGTGGTAATTGAACAATGAGATCACTTGGACACAGGGCAGGGAACATCACACACTGGGGCCTGTCACGGGGTGGGGGGTTGGCGGAGGGATAGCCAATGATGAGTTGATGGGTGCAGCAAACCTAGATGGCACATGTATACATATGTAACAAACCTGCATGTTGTGCACATGTACCCTAGAACTTAAAGTATAATAATAAAAAAATTAAAAAAAGGAAAATATAAAATATTTCTCTTTAGACCTGAGGTTATTTTTAGGCTGGCCCATAGAAACAGGTCCAGATAAGTTGTCTAAAAAAGCAAAGTAGGTACTTATGAATAATATTCAATGCCTAGGATTAACATTTAAAAAGATTCAGTAGTACTGCTAGCTAGCCAATAAAATATAAACTCCATTTGTCTTAGTTATATAGAACTGTGTTTCCAGCTTAGAAAAAGTCAAACCAATGACTTTTATAACAATCTATCCTCATTTTTTATTCAGCTTCTAGAACATGGAAGCTTTAAAATGAATTGGCTAAATAGGCAAGAACTTCAGAAAGTTAACGTGTTAATGATTAAAAACAGTAAGTACAGGTTAGTAATTACCTGGGTAATTAATTGAAACCTTATTCTATTTTCATAAGACTTACTTGCTTAATTCAAGCAAAACAAATTTTGGTCTAAATTACCTAGATAATTATAACATCTTTTTACTTGAGAAGTGTAGAACTTGCCTCAGGCTACAAAACTAACTATGTTATTACTAAACGGATAACCAGGTAGGATTCTGACATTATTGTATGCTTAAGAGTGATTTAACAATAGCTACTCCCAGTAGGGAAATTTTAAAAATCAGATCCAGTTACATGTATTACGATTTTTCTACCTTATGGACTATTTTGGAGGGATAAGCTATTAAGACTAAGACTATGAATGAGAGTTGGGGAGAGAGTAGGAAGGGAGGAACATGCACACCACATTAACACAGTGGCAATCTTCTGCCTCGGACTGTTCTTTACTACTGTTCTTAAAGAAAATATTCATTCTGCTGCAGCTAACTAGCTTCCGTCTTCTACAACAAATCATATTCCATGCCATGGAAGTGCTATGTAATAACTCTCCCAGGTGGCACCTTATACCGTTTAAAAGCCTTTAAAATCTCTAATCTGAAGGTGTCACAGTAAAGAAATGTAAACACTTAGGAAAACAAAAATGTAATTACCTGAGGAAGTCATCTATGTCCATGGAATGGGCCCGTTTGTCACTAAAACCTGTGCTAGTTAGGATTTGCTGTATTTTATCTGCTATACTGAAATCTTCTGGCAATATCTATCAATATAAGATTCAGAATAAATGAACGACATATTATTTAAAAACCCTGTGAATACTTCTCTGTAAACATTTATATGTAGTCACAATAGTGGGATTTGATCTGCTTATTCTTTGTGAAATTGTGTCTTTGAGAACTGATTTGATAAGGTTGACTATCAAAGCATCACTTCATCACCCACAAAGATAGGGCTTTCCATGGACTGTGTTGGATAACAAGCCTTAGGTCCCACGCCGAACTGAGGCTTGCTGCTTTCTGCCCCCAAATTTATCCCTAGGGGCTGCTTGCTTGATGGTTCTGCAGTGGGCTCTTGCCCACTCTGCAGCATGGTATTTCATCTCAGGGGCTTGAGAATCAGGGAAAGCCACTGGGAGACAAGAGCCAAACCTGTATCGCTCTTTAAAATCAATTGGTTTTAATACATATTTAATATGTAGAAATAATAATATACAAAGAATAATGGTAAAACAAACATCCATGTACTTACCACCCAGCTTAAGAAATATATATGATGTATGATGCATGTATTAGTCAGAGTTTTCCAAAACAGAATAGGAGATTATATTTATCTATCTATATATATGTATGTATTTTTTACTATATATATACATATACATAAAATATATACTATAAAATCATACTAATGATTTCCTTGTTCTATTTCTTCATATCTCTGGGTATAAATATTATGTAGACATGGTCATTAAGTAATGCTTGACAACTAATAAAAGATCAAATTCATAGAATAATATTAGACATCATTATTTTTGATAAAGATAAGAGTAAGAGTAAGGTATTTTAGATTCCTCTCATGATTCAGGATTTGCAAGATATTTATTTTCTTTTTCAGCATATTAGTTAAGTTGTTTTTAACTCTCTAGGGACCAATTTCGCTCAACTTTCATAAATATTCTGGTAATAATTGTGTCAGCACCAGGAATGTCTAGCAAAATATCTTTCTTTTCTAACAAAGATTAAAACAGATTGATTTGTGTTTCATCATTTTTTAAAATGATTCACTTCTCTTGCCAACTTAACCACTTATGCAGCTGCTTTTGATACAGAAGATTCTGTTATTGGTGCATCGATTCTTGACCTTTTTCTTTAGTGCCATAGGGAGGAGAGAAGAGTGTAGATAATATAAAAACTTCATATATTTTTGACTTTGAAATTTTTAAGTGTTCTTTCTTCCCCTCCTGATTGAATCTTCCAGAATATTTGCTCTTTTAATTGTGAACTGTGTGACCGATCTTGGACAAGTTACCTAAACTCTCAAAACTTCAGTCTTCTCATTTGGAAAATGAATATAATCAACAATAGTACCTAATTCATAGTAAAATAATGCTGTCAGGGTTATATATGGCAGTCATACAAAATACTAAGTGTATTTCCTGGCAAATAGTAAGCACTTAATTAATGAACATGATTTTTGTTGCTGTTTAAACTGAAATAATAGCTGAGATGGCATGGAGTTGAAGGCATTGGAATTGAGGAGAGGAAGGTATTTAAAGGACAGTGTAGTAAATGGGCTGTCCACACAATGCTGAAGTCACAGAGGATGATAGCATTAGGTGGGTGGAAAGACTGTGTTGTTTGCCAAAGTCTTTGAATAATCAGAGAGAGGTGGCTGGAGGCTGGTCAGGAAGAGTGATGAGGAAAAGAGATGCACAATCTAAGCCTGATATGTATGGCAGAATGGGCATCAGCCCCTGAGTGGGCTGTGGTGGAGGCTGTGTACTTGGGGTGCACCCAGGAGTCAGTTAAGGCAAGGAGTTGGGAGAGATGGAGGGTGTAATAGAGATATTTTTACATGGAGAGGAGGTTCTCTAAGACACAGTAAATAAGCTTTAGAGGGAAGGGAGCAGTATGATTGGTTTAGGGGAAAGAAGCCCAAAACAAAATGGGAATGAGACTGTGGGAGGAGAGCTGACAAGAGGGAATTAAATATTGGATGATGGTAAAGAATAATATCAATATAAACCACAGGGCTTCCAGAAAGAATTAAAAATATTTTTGGTTCCTGTCAAGATGGAGAAATCAACCTGAATAGACTGTAAAGTAAGGGGGTGGGGCAAAGGCTATCTCGAACTGCAGTCTCATGTGGCAAGCTGCAAGAGGCAGTGAGAGGAGGGAGGGAAGTTTTGAAGCTCTGCTCTTGCCTCTTCCACATGTCCTTGGACAATCAGTACCCACTTCTTCATCAGAGAGAGATTGTTGGCAGCAGCCTACCGGTAATAACGGAATAGCACAAAAGCTCTGCTGGGGTGAGATAGCTGAAAGTAGCTGGAGTGAAGCCAAGATGTTGTTGGATGTTCACACTTCCATTTCTTCCCCTTCCAATGGCCCAATGACGATGGAGTTGCAGCGTGGGAAGGCTGCCTTCTGCCAGTGGTGCTTCTTCCTAAGTACTTAAGGGTGAAACTACTCAGAAATCTGCCTGGTGGAATGGCAGCAAAGGAGAGTATCAATAGTGGTTTTGTGTGCCTAGGGCTCTCTACTCTCCTTGCTTTTCTCTCTCCTCCTTTAACTCACTAGGACTGACTGACTAGAGCCTGGCCTTCAAGCCATTCTCATTGCACAATTCTGGGCAGAATAATAGTTAATACCCTCTTGTTCACAAGCCCAGAAAACCAAACCAAACAAAACAAAACATTGACAGACACTAGACCCCTAAGGAAAAATAGTGCTATATGCCAATAAACTTTTTGGCATAAAGTTGCTTATAATATTCTCCCATTATTGTTTTAATGTATATAAGATTTGCTGTGATAAGCGCTCGTTCATTCCCAATAGTGCGGAATGTATTAGCCTCTTTTTCTATTTCTTTTTCTCTCAGTATCTCCTACTTCTAAATTAGAATAAGTCGGACTTTATCAATTCTGTTAATCATTTCAAAGACCCAACATATGACTTTGTTAATTTTTTTCTCTTATGTCTTCTATTTTGTTCACTTCTACCCTTATCTTTATTATTTTCATACTTTGCCATATTCTGGGTTTACTTTACTCTTATTACCCTATCTTCTTTCTATAGAATCTTAAGTTATTGATGTTAGACTTTTTCTTCTGCCCTGAAAAACCTTAGCTAGTCACCGCCTCACAATCAGTGAAAGTTCAAACTTCATCATAGTTACAATCTCAGGCTTCCTGCTCTGCTGTTGCTCTTCAGCTGGGAAATAAGTACTTCAGAGAGAACTCCTTTAGCTCTTCTATCCTGCCTCTAGCCACCAGCATGTCACTTCTATGCACTTGGTGAATATCCTTGGAATAAAATGTGTGGCTGGATTCAGACTTGGTCTGTGGCTAGGCTTCTTGTGATTCTAATTTATCATGCATGTTGTATGTGCAATTAAGTTTGTTAAAAGTTCAGCTGGTCTATCAGTTATCTATTGCTGTGTAACAAACTCTCCCCAAACAGTGGCTTAACATACATATTTGTCATGCTTCTGGTAGATGAGGCAGTTCTGCTCCATATTATATTGATTGAGATCGCTTATGTGGCTTAATTCACCTGGTAGCTGGGCTGGGCTGGAAATTCCCAAATAACCTCCCTCTCTCCTATTTCTGGGGCCTTTATATGTCTCTCTATGTGGCTTTTATATTCACATGATGTTTCATCTTCCAGGCCTCCTCAATATGGCCTCTGGATCTTATTTAATGGTAGCTGGGCTTGAATACAGAAGGTTTTTAAAAGATAAGCCCCGTTGTGCAAGCACTCTTCAAGATTCTGCTGGCATAACACTTCTAACTTGGCCTTGACCAAAGCAAGTCACATTCTAGCCTAGGAGGGTTGGTTCAATGTGAACCAGCCTTGTGATTTTTTCCTTATTTCTTGAGGTCTATGGCATATTCCTCCTTTTCCTGCCTCTCAGCAAGGGATGAAACAACTTTAGGTATTTTTTCTCCTAGAGAGGGATATTTATTTTCTTATTTAGTCCTTTTAGGTTTCTTTGTATCTTCAGCTGTGGGATGAGGTTAAAAAGCCAGAAAGGAAAGCTATGATTTTATAGATTATTATTTGTTCTTAGTGTTAGGGTGAGATCAAACATATTTAGCAACTTTCTGCATCCAAACCCTAAAGTGGAACAAATGCCCACTACTTATATCTCATACTTTCTCACCGTACTTAATACTTCATGCCGTCATAACTTTCCCCCTTCAAGTCGGTAGATAATCTCATCTACTGATGGCACAGAGGAAACAGAAGCCAATAGGATGTGCTGATTTGTTTCAGTACAGAAATAATATCTGCAATAGTAGTTGGATTTGGAACCCTACCTTTTTCAGTTTATGAAAATCCATTGTCATCTTCCAAGACACATCTGTCGTCTGTACAGGTTGAATGGGGATGTGATAGAAATTACTAAATTGCTACCTGTGCATCATTCAAGTCCCTTGTGATGTAATTAATCTCTGCAATCCCTCCAGAAATGTAATACTAAAAATTTATATAGAAGTTGCTAGTTTTATTTATTTTTATTAAAAAACATATTTTTTGAGGCTGGTTTTTGCTATGTTGCCCAGGTTGGACTTGAACTCCTGGGCTCAAGAGATCCTTCCATCTCAGACTCCTGAGTAACTGGGGCTATAGGCACACACCACTGTGCCTGGCTATAAGTTGCTAGTCTTAATGTCCCGGAGTAACCTACGTCATTTTGATGGGCAGTGCTTTTGAAGCTGAATCTCAATTTTTTTGTGGTCATTCTCTGATCATTCACCACTTGTGTGTTGAATGTTTTCTGTGTGAACAGTGTAACAACTTCTGCTTTGAACTGAAACCAAGATAGAAGAGAAAGCCCTGAGCAGATTCTTCCTACATTCTTGATGGTGGTGACCTAACAACACTTACTTACACTTACTTCTCATTGGTCCTGACAACTGCAGGGACCCTAAGAAATTTCTGCTAACCAGATCCTTAACCATCTAATGAAATTTAATCAGAGTTATGGCAAATGGCAAACAAATGCACACAAAATGAAATGCACTAAAATTCCAGGCTAGAACTGTGTGTGAGCCAAGATGGATCTGTGATGTAGCTTAGAACCAGAAAAGCCTCCTCAAATTTGAATATGGGCACAGGCAAAAATAATGAACAACCAGGTTGAAGAATTTCTTTCCCTTCTGACCAATCCAGGCCATTCCAGAATGGCTTCCTGAAATATCCATACTTGCCTCTTTCTTCTCCACTCTTCAGATGAGAAGGACAAAATCTTTGTTCGAAGATAAAATCCTAAATCACTTTAATCTATCATACTTTTCACTTTATCACATTTTCCTTTTGACCTTCAAGACTACAACCTCTTTTCTTGTCTCTATTTTGAGTTAGTTTACAATGCGATCTAGGAAATTATCTGGTATCCTGGAAATACATCCTCATATTTCAAATGATGCCCACTGAACTCAGCTTCTCCATGACCCTCTTCTCCACATTTCCCTCTGACTTTTTTCCCCTTTTTAGGGGAAATTTGACAATTTTACCCTAGTCACACTGAGGTTGTGCCTGGTCTGCTTTTAATGGAAAAGTATTGTCCCTTCAGTCAATCCAAATTGTCTGTAGCTGAGCAGATGGCACCTTCTGTCCACTCATACCTTTTAGCTGCATTGTTTCTCAATTTCTTGAATGCCAAAAGGATAAAAACTAAGTCAATTTTTTCCTTACCTTAACTTCCTTAAAGTCACATGGTTGCTACAAGTCTCAAGAAGAGAAAGAAACTTTTAGCATATTGAGTTGTGGGGACACAAAAACTTCTATTACTCATGTAAGAGCTATTTGTTTTAAACATAAATTTTGTGTCAGTGGTTTCAGCTATTAATATTTATGGTTTCAGGTTCATGACATTATTTTTAAATAAATGAGACAAAACCAGATAAGCACTCTAACAACTAATGAGTATTTATTCCAAGTCGTAAAACCTGTTACTGACTTGATATAAAATAATTTAGAGACCTCCAAAAATGAGTTTGGATTTTAGTGCTTGAAAATGTCAAGTACAAGACATAATGAATTTATTACAGTTATCTCATTCTTCAGGTGATAGTGGCTTTGGTACTTATAATATGGCTCATAAAATTTATCCCTGTCTTAAGATTAATTGACTTCTAAACTTTTAAGAGGGGCACCTTCAGAGAAGCACCTAATTGGAGTTGATAAATGTAGATTTAAACCAAGTGAATCAACCTAATCCCCTGAATACAGAATTTTAATGACAGGTCAATCAAACAGCACATCCATACTTACCTCATAAGACATTCTAGATATGAATCATTCAGTGGCATGTGGTACTGGGCAAAAAACATTCTCTCTGATGAAGAGATTGTGAATTGAGGAGATGTTTTCTTATGGGAGTGGTGGTAAATGTGATAACTTATAAATATGAGTCTTAAAATGTTTTAAAACGTGCTATGGAGCACAAAGCTGAAATAATTAGTTTACAGCAACACAAAGACATGTCCCTTTGCCACCCAATATAAATACGTATAGTTAAAAACAGAATCAGTTAGCGCATAGTCAGAATTCATCAGGGAAGCCAAACTACTATGAATATTATGGGAATAAGAAATTTATTTTAGGAATTGGAACTTACACACATTTAGTCCTTCTGAAACATTGGAGTGGGTAGAGAAGTCGGAGCCTGAAGGAGAATCTGAAAGATCTCATATATCCACCTGTCAAAGTGGGATCTCAAAGTGGGAGCTTGTGGAGAGGCCCATTGGTTGTCTCTGTAGATCTACAGCCAAGACTGTGATGTTAGGCTTGGGACTGCTATTGGGGCCAATAGTTTGGAGGACAAACTGGATGAGGAGCAGATAAGGGTGAATTATAAGCTGGGCACCTCTGCATCCATCCCTCACTGTGTTGAGTATAATGAACTTCTAGAAGTAATGATTCCTACTTCATTTCTACCTCGCAATTCTTATACAAGTTCCCTTTCCCATACCATACTGGAAGATAAATCCAGGAAATGAAATTCGCAGTTTAACCAAATTGATAAGAGCACAATCCAGTTTAGTCCACCTCTTATTAAATTGCTATTTATACAAACCTTTTCATCATGGTTAACATTCAAACAAATTCAATAGCAAAATCATTCTTCCAGTTAACATAATGCAGTCATTCCTCATACAACTAAATGCATGCTAACATTTTCCCTAGCAGAGTATATACAAAGTCCAACTTTATCCATCTTTGGATGATGTTCACTCCTCTTATATCTGAGTCAACTTCTACCTTGATATCCTCTGTATTAAATACTAAAATTAATCTCTGTTAACACGTCTTATGTTCAGTATTAGGGAAGTGAAAAAGGGGAAAAGTAGAAAGAAAAATAGTTGATAAACTTTAGCTTGTCTTAGTTCTTTATTTGTTGAAGTGACTCAAATGTTTATAATGGAAAGGTCTGGGCATTAGTAGCCCTGCCTGCATTGAGTTATAGTTTTCTACTGACTTTAATCATAGGATGTGGAACTACTAAGATGTACCCCAAAGGAATTTCTCCATTTTTCTTCTTCCTACTCCCATTGTGCAGTAGCAAAACCAGGATAAGTCACTCCAACTATCTCCATTCTGTTAGTTTACTGGCATGAGGAACCCAGAGTTGTCAGGTGGCAGTTTCAGCTCCCACATTAATGGTATCGTTGATGTGTCACTTGGTAGAAGTGCTTCTCTTTTGGGAACTCAGATCTCTAAACTAGCAAAGATGCAGAAATGAAAAACATTTTTGCGAGTGGATCATAGAGATAATTGTGAGAAAACTTATTTCCATTTCTATCCCTTGATTTTTGGATTTGTGAACGATGGCTATAGGAGAAACAGAACCATACAGTGCTTACTGATTCAGAGAAAATACTGCATCCTGAATGATGTCACTCTAGAGACACTAAGTGCTGTCATCTAGCTTCCACATAACTAAGTCTTCAAAAGACCATCCCACGGTTCTATCAGGTTAGCAGCTTCAGAGTAATGGGGAAAAGAGTAGGAATGTTGAATTCTATGAGCATGAGCCTATTGGCATACTTCATTTACTGTGAAATGAGTTCCCTGATCAGAAACAATGCAGTGTGGAATATGATGATGGTAAATAAGGTATTCCATAAGTCCATGGATTGGCAAAATCATTGAGGGCTGGAAAGGCAAATTCATATTCAGAGAAACAATTCCAGTGTGAACAAAGTTCTGATGTTTCCTTGATAGAATTGGTCCAAAGGTAATCGACCTGCCACCAGGTGGCTGGCTGGTTCCCCTGAGGAGTGGTGATGTACTGGGAACTCAGTGTTTGTCTCTGCTATTGGCAAGCTTGGCATTTTCTGCAGTTGTTATAGCTAAATACGCTTTGGCGAGTTCAAGTCCATATTGTTGAGCTCATGTGAAATCTTCATTCCTTTGTTCATATGCTGACTGGGGAAAGAAATTGCCTGAGACCACATAATGGGTCATCCCGCTCATCTAAATACTAAGATTCTCCTCTGCTGAGGCTGCTCTTTGGTGAACATTCACAGGGTACACAAATATTTGCACATTCTGTGCCCATTTGGAGACATCTTTTTTTCAAACCCTCTGTTATCTCCCATTAACCAGTTTTCCAACTGTGTTTCTTCTAAGGTAGGGTGTAAAAGTGTATTGATAGCCCTGCCAACTGAAAGAAAACTTCTAATGGTCTTCACTAACAAGTATAGGGATAAAAATATTTGTAGATCAGTAGCTGGATACAAGAGAATGTGCTGATTTGCTTCAGTAAAGACACAATATCTGGAACAGCAGTTGGGTTTGGAATTGCTGCTAACTTAATTTTGTGAAAATCCACTGCCATTTTCCCAGATCCGTATCTCTTCTGTACAGACAAAATTAGGTGAGCTGAATAGGGAGGTGATGGTAATCACCACCTGTGCATCCTTCAGATCCATTATGATGTAATTAATCTTTGCAATTTCTCCAGTAATACAGTATTCTCTTTCAGGCTTTCTGAGTTTTTTTTTTTAACTTAATTGTCGATTATATAGCACTGCACTCAACAACTGAAGATCCATATTCTTTTCAAGTACTCATAAAATGTATATAAAGATAGACCATATGATGGACCATAAATAAATCATAAAAATATTTGAAAAGATTGAATTTTACACAATTTGTTCCCTGATCAAAATGGAATTAAATTACAAACTACCAAAATATCACATCTAGAAAAGCCCCAGATATCAAAAAGTTAAACAACTTACATTTAAACAACTCATGGGTCAAAGAAGAAATCACACAGAAAATTATAAAATATTTTGTATCAATGATAATAAAATCACAACCCATGAACATTTTTGGGTTGCAGCTAAAGTAGTACTTAGGAGATTTTAGTCATTAAGTTCTTGTGTAAAAAAAGAAGTTCTTCCTTCATGATACTGATTCTATTTCCGTTGAATATATACCCAGAATTGGGATTGCTGGATCATATGGGGTTCTATTTTTAATTTTTTGAGGAAATTCTATACTATTTTCAATAGTGGTTGTACCAATATACATTGCCACCAAACAGTGTACTGGGGTTCCCCTTTTCTCTACATCTAAGCAACGCTTGTTAGCGATTGTATTTCTGATAACAGCCCTCCTAGCAGGCATGAGGTAATATCTAATTGTGGTTTTAATTTGCATTTCCCTGATGATCAGTGATGTTCAGCACCTTTTCATATATAATACCTATTGGCCATTATCATTTCTTCTTTGGAAAACTGTCTATTCAGGTCCTTTCCCCATTTGTAAAATCAGGCTATTTGTTTTTGCTGAGTTGTGTATGTTTCTTATATATTTTGGATAACAGCACTTTATCAGATATATAGTCTGTAAATGTGTTCTCCCATTCTGTAGGCTGCCTTTTCATTCTGTTGATTGTTTCTTTTGCTGCACAGAAGCTTTTTAGTTTGATGTAGTCTCGCTTGTTTACTTTTGCTTTTGTTGCCTGTGTTTTCGGTGTCATATCCAAAAGAGTTATGCCAAGATTGATGAATGGATAAAGAAAATGTGATATATATATAATGTTTACATATATTTATATATACATTATCTATATTACATTATAAATGCAATATATGGTATATATAATTATATATAATGTAATAATATTTATAAATATTTATAATGTAATATATAGTTATACATAATGTAACATATAATATATAAATATATAATGTATATAAAAGTAATATTTATATATTTATATATTTATAATGTAATATATAGTATATAATGTAATACATAATATATATAAATATATATAATATATAATGTAATGTTACATTATATATCACATATATTATGTGATATATAATTATAAATGTGATATATATACACACATTTATATAACGTAATATTATTCAGCTCTAAAAAATAAGGAAATCTTGCCTTTTGTGAAAACATGGAAACCTGGATAAACCTGGAGGACATTATGCTAAGTGAAATAAGCCAGACACAGAAAGACAAATACTGTATGATTTCTCTCATATGTGGAATCTAAAAAAGTCAAGCTCATAGAAGCAGAGAGTAGAATAGTGATTGTCAGGGTCTGAGGGGTCGAGGGAAATGAGGAGATGTTGGTCATGGAGTACAAACTTTCAGTTATAAGATGAATAAGTTTTGGGGATCTAATGTACAGCGTGGTGAATATAGTGAATAATCTGTATTATTTACTTAAATTTGATGAGAGAGCAGATTTTTATGCGTGGTGATGGATGTGTTAATTTGACTGTGGTAATCATTACATGATGTATATGTATATCAAATAATCATGATGTACATTCTTGAATAAATACAATTTTCATTTGTCAATTACATATTTTAACATAAATAAAAGACACTTATGAGAAAAGCTCTTAAATTAATCTAATTTTCTCCACTGGAAACTAGAAGAATAGTCAATTACACTCAAAGCAAGTAGAAAGAAGGAAATAATAAATATAAAGGCAGAAATCAGTAAAATTGATAACAAATAACCAATAAAGAAAGTCAATAAAGCCAAAGTTTTTTCTTTGAAAAGATTATTAAAATTGAAAACTTATAGTAAGGCTAATCAGGAAAACCTGCCACAAATGATCAGTACTGTAAAACAAAAATAAAATTCTAAGCCCCCAGCTGACTGATGGACCTCAGTCTGGGCAAAGGGTATTCCAAAGTAAACCCGAAAATCTAGTTTAGGCCATGATGGGAAACAGGGTTGGTGGGGGCAGGGGTTGAGGGTGCTGGTCAGACATACCCTCCTCCCCTTGGCACAACTGACCAGCATTAATATTAGAACAGAGACCTTACAACTGACAAAGCAGACTCTTTGTAGTAATAAGATACCAAAATGACAGCAGGCTCTGAAAGCAGTTGAAGTATTTTACCCCCAAATATATTTCTTTGACACATTTCAAAATGGCCTGCAAAGCTGTCTCTCGTGGGGAAAATCTATATCCTGTAGAGAATCCCCTTCCCTTTCCAGTTCTTTTTCCTGATACAGGAAAGAATTAACTGAGAGTCTGGTACCTTTTTACATCGGATAAGAAACATTTACAATCTATTCTCTTTGAAGCCTGCTACCTGGAAGCTTCACGTACATGATAAGAATCTTGTTCTCCACAACCTGGTATCTTAACCTAGACACTCCTTTCTTTTGATTCTAGGTCTTTAGGTGATGACTTAACTCTTTCAACCTATTGCCAATCAGAAAATCTTTGACTCCGCATATGACCTGAAACTCCTCCTGACACCACACACTTAGTTTTCTTGCCTTTCCAGACTGAACCAATGTAATGTTTACATGTATTGATTGAAGTCATATGTCTCCCCAAAATGTATAAAACCATGCTATAGCCCGACCACCTTGGGCACATGTTCTTAGGACACCCTGGGGCTGTGTCACAGGTCATTGGTCCTCATATTGTTACCAGCAGCAAATCCATAGGGGTCTGCAGCAGCATCAAATCTTGGCTCCTCAGAAGAAAGAATTCTACCGAGGGGCATAAGGCAGAAGGAGAGACTGAGGCTAGTTTTAGAACAGGAGTGAAAGTTTATTAAAAAGCTTTAGAGCAGGAACCAAAAGAAGGAAAGTAGACTTGGAAGAAGGCCGAGTGGGTAACTTGAAAGACAAGTGTGCAGTTTGACCTTTGGACTTGGGGTTTTATATGTTGGCATACTTCAGGGGTCTTGCATTCCTTCTACCCTAATTCTTCCCTTGGGGTGGGCTGTCTGCATGCACAGTGGCTTGCTAGTGCTTGGGAGATGAGCATGTGCAGTGTGTTTCCTGGAATTGTATGCTTGCTCACGTGAGGCGTTCTTCCCTTATCAGCCAAATGTTTCTATCAGGTCACATACCAGTTAAACTCAGCCATTTTGCCTCTTAACGCACATTGTTGAGTCCACATGCCCAACTCCTGAGATCTTACAGGGAAGCTGCTGATTACCAGTTTCAGGTTTTTCCTGTCTATTGGGAGACTGACTTTCCCCTGAGTGGGCTGTGACTAATTATTACTTTAGAGAGAGACAGTTAACAACCACTTGACCATCACCTGATGGCCACCCAACACTCCTGGTGTGTATGTGTGTGCGGGACCCCTCTCCTTCCCTGCTCATGCCTGCGTAGCTAACTACTGTAACAATATTTGGCTCAGAATGAGTCTCTTCAAATATTTTACAGAATTTGCCTGTTTTCATTGACAGTACCAGGCATGAAAGAAATGAAATCACTACAGAGTTCATAGAAATTGTGAACAACTTTATACCAATAAATTAGAAACTTAGATTAAATGAACAATTCTCTTGAAGGTAAAAAAATAACAGAAAGTCAAAAAAAACCTGACAGATTTGAAGAAAATACCTGTAAATCATATATCTGATAAGGTACTTGTGTACGGAATATAAAAACAACTCTTACACTTTAATAACAAAAAGACAAATAACTTGAAAAATGGACAAAGGATTAGAATAGATATTTCTTTAGAGATGATATATGTGAATGGCTAATAAGCACATAAAAAGATACTCCACATCATTAGTCATTAGGGAAATGCAAATTTAAACTACAGTGAGGTGCCACTTCACACTCACTTTAGAGGCTATAATAAAAAAGAGAAAATAACAAGTGTTGGCAAGAATATGAAGAAACTAGAACCCTGATACATTGCTGGCGGGAGTGTTCTCTACTGACTTTAACTTAGGCGTACTCGTAACATTGCTAGGACTCTATTGCACAAAGTCCAGTCACCTTAGAAAACAATTTGGCTTTGCCTCTAAATATTAAACTTAGAGTTACCATCTAATCCACAAATTTTAGTCCTAGGTATATTAGTATTGAATCATGATGACAATAGCTCTTTGAGGCACCTATTGAAAGGGTTTGTTGAAAGCCTCTCTGGAATCACCTGGGTTCAATGAGAACTGGTTTCAGTCCAGGAGTCTCATTGTAAGTTTTGATTATATAAAGACTAAAGCATTTGGAATTTTGTAAAGTATGGCAAAATATTAATCAAAAAGATGAAGACATCTTTGGAAAAATACTTGTTTTTTTTGTGTACTCCAAAGGGAAATAGGATAATGTAATCTAGATATTCACTGGCACCAGATTCTAATATAGAAGTCAAAATTATGCAATGGCCAGCTGGCTAAATGATGTTGATATGAGTGATTATGGAAACCAGTCAGTGTCTTTTGGGGGGGAAAAAACTCTTTGAAAAGAGAAGTGAATTTCAAGATTTCTTTGTGAGCTTGCCAGTGTTGTCTTTGACATTGCTGATGTTTGGTTGTCATAATTTTCTCCATTGTTTGAGATAGAATTTCATAACACCAATAAATATTTTTCATGTTAAAAAATCAAAAATTAAAAATTAAAGTCCAAGAGTTATAATTATTTTGTTTTTTTGAAGAAAATACTAATTTGATGCAAATAATGAGACTTAGAGTGATATATGTATGTGTGTGTGTCTATATATATATAATTCTTTCAACCAATTGACAACCAATCTTATTTATATATGATTTTCTTATATATATATTTAACCAGGGTTCCATTTTAAACCCTAAATTCTTTTGAAATAGAGTAGAAAGGCAAATTGTTTTGAATTAATACAAATAATTTTTTAATAATAAATTAGTAAAATTTATTATAAATTATAAAATCTTACAAATTGTAAAAATTAATAATTTTTGGGGGGCAATCCTTTTTTATTGATGATTACTTGGTAATAGGACTGAACATTTGAGTTTTTTTACTAAATTGGATGGAGTTACTGTGAATTAAGAATCTTTTTAATAGCTTGTAATGTTTAACAAATTCTCTTAATAGCTTGTAATGTTTAACAAATTGGTTAACATGCATTACCAAAAGTGAAATATGTTAGAATTAAGAATGAGATTTTAGATTTAAAGTTTACTAAAATATAATGAACAAAATGAGTATATAATATTAGATAGGCATTTAATTTTCTTAGCAAATGAATCCCAAAGTCATTTAAATTGTATTAAACTAAACTTGCTCACACAAATCTTATATAAAGAAACGTATGTATTTATTCCAAAGGTGGATGGATAGACTAGTCGTCATCAGACCAACTCTACTCCCCTTTCTCTTTTTTCACTTATCCTCTCTCCTTCTCTTTCTTCTTTTCCTCCTTTCTCTTCCCCATATCTCTCTTTTCCTGCCTCTCTTTCTTCTATCTTCTTATCTTTTCTTCCTCTATTTCTCTCTTTTATCCCTCTCTCCCTTTTTTCCACCTTTCTGTGTCTCTCTGTTTCACTTGTTTTCTTTTCCTCTATCTCTTCCAGTGTGCTTTCTTCCTCCTTTTTTTCCTTGCTCTTCCTTTCATTCTCCTTTTGACATTTTCTCTTTTAATCTTTCTCTCATCATCTTCCTGTGTCTCTCTCCCCCACTCTCTCTTCCTACCTATCTTTCTCTTCTTTTTCCTCCAATTCTCTTTGGTCTTTAAGTTAGGGTGCTTGACAACATTACTAGGACCTGACTGTATAAGGAAACAGGTGACTCTGATCTACCCATTTGTAGAGGTTTACCTGGAAAAGCTGCAAAGTGGGCTCAGCAAGGATTTACTTTCCTGAGGGATAAAGATGCCTTCTTGGAAAAAACCTTTTCCAAAGAAAAGAGAATTGAGGCACTGATTTAGTTCATTGTACATAACTCATATTTACAGAGGGCTGTGTGGTTCTTAGTAAGCTTAGAACATGAAAATTCAGAATAGATAGTAATGGAGGGACATGAACTATGTCAGAACAGTGGGAGAAAACATCAAAAAGTGAGTTTTCATTTCCACTGTTTTTCCTGTTTTTTTCACCAATAAAGAAGGAAACCTCAATCCTCAGCATCCATTGTGAGGTGTTATGGCTCCTAATTCATCAAAATTTTCAAGGCTTTTGCTTATGTTCTTCCCTTACCTGGCGTCCCCTCTGCCCATCTGATCTTCTCACCTTTTGTTGATCAGCTATAAATTCGTCTCTTGGTATCACAGTAACCTCACCAGATAAACACATTTCTTTTGGCTTTGTGATTCTAGAACGATTGGCATATACTTTTTTTTTTTTTTGCAGTGCTAATTGTAATTAGTCCCACAAAGATGTGTCTTATTTATTTTTTCTAGAGTTGGTAACACATAAAGAAAGGAACTCAATATTTATACATTCACATGTATTTATGGAGCACTTACTATGTGGTAAAAGCTGAGCTAGGTGCTGAATCTTCATTTATATGAGGAATTAAAGAGACTTTTTTTTCCCTCAAAACTGTTGACTTCAATGGTGCCAACTTTCCCTCAAAATATCCCAATGAAAGCTCAGTGAAATAGCCTATCTACTTACTAATTGCTCTTTTCTTATAGCCTCCTTTTTAGTTTGCATGCTTTGGGGACAGAGGATAAACTCAACTATACATTCATAATCACACCTCCCCCAGCTCTGAATCAGTGTCCCTGGATCCAATTTGGTCCAAACGCAGGATGAGTTTTTTCCCTCCAGAACACACCTTGATTTCCTAATATAAATAGACTTCTGCTGGGACCACCTAATCTTCCCAAATAAATGCATTCTAAACACATCTGAATCCTAAAGTCAATATAACTTGAGTTCTGAAGTTGAGACTCTGGAAACATGCCTCTATAAATGAGAATGCTGAAACAATTTTCTTGAGATCTCTTTGAGAGCAGAACTATGTCTTATATCCTAAATGCTAAGTGCAGTTTCTGGTACTGCGTTTTTGATTAAATAAATCAATTTAGGATCTTTCCTCATAGAGATGCTTCTTTTCTCATTATAAAATCTATTTTGCTTCTAACTTTTTAAACCGTTGCATAATTGTGAAGTACTTCCACAGACAGTCCACTAGGGGGGCAGCACTGTGTATGTGGAAGCTTTGCGTGTTTGTGTTCCGGGCACATGCTTTAAGAAATCTGTCAGCCCCTTGTGTGTAAATCTTCATGCTTATAGAGATAACATTCTACTGCCTCTTTTATGAAGGATTGGGGAGGGAAAAATATTTATTTTTTGGCATTTAGTAGACGTTATGTATTTTAGTCCTTATGACAACACTGTAAGGAGGCAAACTCCTCTTAGCTTAAATGAATAAGAAAACTGAAGCTCTGCCATGTAGGAAAAGTTGTCTCAGGTCTCACCAAAGCTCATAAGCAACTAAACTAAGATTTGGAGTCAGATCTTCCTCAATCCAGAGCACATGCTCCATCAGTAACACCAGGCACCATCCACATAGCCATGAGGGATGGTGAAGGGCCCTTAAATGTACTTCCAGGAATGTATTTCTCCTTCTTTGAGTCCAGCATGGACCAGGAAGCTCTAGACTCAAGGAGCACTAGCTTCAAGGAATCAATTAATTCCAAACTTAAAATAATTCTGAATTCAGAAAATATTTGGTAAATATTGATTAGTAAATGTCTACAGTTCTAGAGGATAAAAAATATATGACATAAAGGAGTGAAGAGGATATTAAAAGAAAGAAAAATAATTGAAATCAAATCATTGAAAAATGAAGACTCATTTGGCATGGTGCCAACATAATTCCTAACTTAGTCTACTTTGAGACAGCGTTGTCTTAAAAGTTATTATGTGTACTATGTGGGTCATCATCCTATTTTAAGATTTATTGAGACCCTGAAGATGGAGGTGTTGAGTAGCTAATGGCTCTGTTGTATTTTGTACATTATTTTGCTGTCTGGCTAGATACTATGACGTTGATATTGAAGGATGTGCAGCTTTTTGGTTTAAAAACATTATATTTAACACATATTCAGGAAAGAAAGTTTCAGTTATGTTAAAGTTAGATAACTAGCTTGGAGATTTCAGCAATTTATTTTTGTCATGGAATGAAAGGAAGAAATGAAGCATAGAATATTAGATTATTAAATCAAATTTTCCTTTTCCTTTTTCTTTCTTCATTTCTTTTTTTTTAACAGAGGTAAAACTGAGGCACAAAGTGGCTGAGTGACTTAGTTGGTTACATAGTTCACTAGTACAGATCTGGGACTAGTTCTAACTCTCTTGATTCGGTGTACTTAGTAATTAGTAGATATATGTAGTTTTCAATTAAAGAATAAAATGTAAGGTAGCTTGTTCTTGCTTCATATAATTAAATATTTAAAATAAAATTGTTACAATAAATTTCAAAAGTTTTTATACACTGAAAGGAAGTATCTTTCATTCTTATGATTTGACCCCACAGATATTCATTAGCTTTGCTTCCTTTCCAATTTGGCCTGGACCCAATGATCAATTACTTCAACTATTCTCAACCAACATCCTCAATTCCCTTAAGACAGTCACTGTCCACATCACCCCGTTTCCAGGCCCCCAGCTGTAGATCAACGATCTGTTTTCTTGATTTCTGCTTCTGGGTTTCTGAGAAGTGCTCAAGAAAGTTGCATAACCATGCTGATGGTGTCATTACTAGTGCAAATGTTCCAAACTCACTCAGGCCACCGATGATGCTTAGCAATTCTTTTATTCATCTGTAGCAGCGTCCCTTTTCCAGTCTTAAAAGGCTTTTGTAAACCACTCTTTTTTTTATGAATCCCTAGCCTCATCCTTGACCTTCAGCTTAGCAGATGGTGTTTCC
Source organism: Homo sapiens (assembly GCF_000001405.40). Classification (NCBI taxonomy): domain Eukaryota; kingdom Metazoa; phylum Chordata; class Mammalia; order Primates; family Hominidae; genus Homo; species Homo sapiens. The sequence continues at coordinate 78,335,344 of NC_000001.11, forward strand.
TTCTTGACTCAGAACATCAAGGCCATCAGAAGAGCATTTCTTCAATATTATCCTTGTTCATTTCTGAAATTAAATATACTTTCTTCGTCTTTCTTTCCTTTCTTAGAGGAAGGAGAGTGGTCAAGAGCAGGGGCTCTGTAGTCAGACTGAGCATCTCAACTCTTCAACCTGTTAGTGTGTGACTTCAGGCAGGTTATTTACTTGTTCTGTGCCTAAGTTTTCTTCTCTGTGAAATGGGGGCAGTAACAGTATCTGCCACCCAGGCTTGAGATGAGGAGTAATGAGGTAATGTTCCTAAGAGCATAAGAAATTTCTCTGCTCTTCCCATAGTAAACCCTATCGCTTCCCTCATTGGTTTTGAGCAACAATTATTTCCCATCCTTCTTCAATGCCATCTTCTCTTCAGTTTGAGAGCACTTCTAAGTGTCCCATACCCTAAAATGGTCAGTGCTTTCACTCTACCTATCTCTTTAGTTTTTATCTAACTCTAACTCTTATTGTGAACTTAATCTTGTCTCACCCTTGTTCTTCCAATTATTACATAAATCCACTGACTCCAAGATGCTATGACTCTATGAGTAAAGATGTAAGGTAGAATTGATTCCTCCTCATAACTAAAAAGAGTTTGTGTGACAACTATTTCTGTGAATCCTTGTGGGGCAAATTAGAAACGAAGTCATAGCAAACCTGACAAAAGCAAGCAATGGGGAAAGGATTTCCTATTTAATAAATGGTGTTGGAAAAACTGGCTGGCCATATGCAGAAAACTGAAACTGGACCCCTTCCTTACACCTTATACAAAAGTGAACTCGAGATGGATTAAAGACTTAAATATAAAACCTAAAACGATAAAAACCCTAGAAGAAAACCTAGGCAATACCATTCAGGACATAGACATGGGCAAAGACTTCATGACTAAAATGCTGAAAGCAATGGCAACAAAAACCAAAATAGACAAATGGGATATAATTAAACTAAAGGCTTCTGCACAGCAAAAGAAACTATCATCAGAGTGAACAGGCAACCTACAGAATTGGAGAAAATTTTTGCAATCTATCCATCTGACAAAGGGCTAATATCCAGAATCTACAAGGAACTTAAATTTATAAGAAAAAACAAAACAACCCCATCAAAAAGTGGGCAAAGCATATGAACAGACACTTCTCAAAAGAAGACATTTATGCAGCCTACGAACATGAAAAGAAGCTCATCATCACTGGTTAATAGAGAAATACAAATCAAAACCACAGTGAGATACCATCTCATGCCAGTTAGAATGGCAATCATTAAAAAGTCAGGAAACAACAGGTGCTGGAGAGGATGTGGAGAAATATGGATGCTTTTACACTGTTGGTAGGAGTGTAAATTAGTTCAACCATTGGGGAAGGCAGTGTGGCGATTCCTCAAGAATCTAGAACCAGAAATACCATTTGACCCAGCAATCCCATTACTGGGTATATACCCAAAGGATTATAAATCATTCAACTTTAAAGACACATGCACACGTATGTTTATTGCAGCACTATTCTCAATAGCAAAGACTTGGAACCAACCCAAATGTCCATCAATGATAGACTAGATAAAGAAAATGTGGTACATATACACCATGGAATACTATGCAGCCGTAAAAAAGGATGAGTTCATGTCCTTTGCAGGGAAATGGATGAAGCTGGAAACCATCATTCTCAGCAAGCTAACACAGGAAGAGAAAACCAAACACCGCATGTTCTCACTCATAAGTGGGAGTTGAACAATGAGAACACATGGACACAGGGAGGGGAACATCACACACTGGGGCCTGGCAGGAGGTGAGGGGCTGGGAGAGGGATCGCATTAGGAGAAATACCTAATGTAGATGATGGGTTGATGGGTGCAACTAACCACCATGGCACCTGTATACCTATGTAACAAACCTGCACGTTTTGCACATGTATCTGAGAACTTAAAGTGTATATATATATATGTATACTTTATATATATACACATTTCTATATATACACTTTATATATACATTTCTCTCTCTCTCTCTCTATATATATATACATATATGAAGTCATAGAAGTTCCTCTCTTCCACTGTAGACAAGCTGAACGTTTCTGTAGAGACCTTCCAGTACAAGCTATTCATAATATACTTGAAGAAATGGAGTCTTGGAAACATTAAATGACTTGGTAATTAAAAATAGAGTCAGGCTTAGAACCCAGAACTTGAATTCAAAGGATGGAAGGTAGTGTAGTGAAGGTCGATCACTGAGTTTATCAAGTTGACTGACAATGAAAATACACAAATACACTTCTGTGAGAGCTTAGGCATAAGGATCATTTTCAGGAAATTTTATAGCTTTTGCCTGTACCTCATTCTATTTGTTTGTGATGTAGTTGTATCCCCTGAGCCCGCATAGAAATTGAACTGTGCTTTTTAGATTATCCAAAGTGATGGAGCCTTGCTGTAATTTCCTGGTAGAGTCCAGGCTGCATCAAATTGCCCAGTAGGTTGATATGTCTTGAAGGATTTTGTTAACCAAGATCTCTAGGATTGGACCCAAGACCAATCTACGTTTGTTACCAGAGGCTGGGGGTGAGGTGGGGTGGAGAGATTGGAGAGTTGTTGGTCAAAGGACACAACATTTCAGTTGGATAGGAGGAATAAGTTCAGGAGATTTATTATACATCATGGTGACTATACTTAATAACAATGCATCGTATACTTGAAAATGGCTATGAGTAGATTTTAAGTGTTCTTGTCTCAAAAATAATAAGTATATGAGGTAATGCATATGTTAAATCGCTTGATTTAGGCATTCTGCCATGTATGCATATATCAGAACATCATGTTGTACATGATAAATATACATAATTTTTACTTGTCATCTGAAAAATAAAGACTAATTGCAGAAGTAATGCTGTGTTCTTCTCACTGCATTCTATCACTTGGCATATCATGGCCATTTGTCCTATAACTAATCATTTTGATTACTCAATTTAGGTGGTGTCTGTCAATCTTCTTTACTGTAAACTTACTCTTTTTCTCTTTGCAATTAGTAAGTTTTCTGTGGGAAGGTATTTTGAAACTATGTAAATATCCCTTTTCTAATCAATCTTTAAATTGTTTATTTATATCACTATGGCTTAATGGTTTTCAATTTTTATTTAATGGATTATAATAATCTATTACTATTATTATTTATGTTGATGCTCAAATTGTCACCTATTTGGTCAGTCTTTCTTTAAATTGCTTTTTGTATTTTCAGACCTGTCCCTATCATTCTTCGATTACTTCCTTGCTTATTTTGCATATAATATTCCTGCCCAATCCTATAATCAGCCATTTCTTCTTTGAGCCTTTATCCCTTTTAGTGGGGGACAGTATCCAGAAGCCAAGATCTGGTTACTAGGAGTACTCACTGCTATTGGGGTATTGCTGCTCCCAGTCCTTTGGGGTGGACAGAGGTAGGTGATGTACACACATACTTATATCCACATATTCACATTTAAACATGCATATACACATTTATATTCATTTTTATATATATCTAGATAATGAAAATTATGAGTTTACACAGATATTTCTGTGTGCACTTATTTATTTGATCAGTTTTCTTGAATATCATTAATCTCCCATCTCAACCATTACTCCTTCCCTTGCATGGATATTTTCCTAGCTTACTTGGGCTCCAACACTGCGTGTTAGGCATTTCCTCTCTGTGGAAGTCCTGCTTTATCTTTCCATGGGCTACAGTAACCGATGTCATGCTATACGTGCAATCCCCCCATGGATGCCCTCTCCACCTGGCTCAAGCTCTGACTTCCCACACTGGGACACCCTGCATAGACACCCTCCTTATCCTCCTTGGCCCCAACATCTCTGCCAGTCTGCCTTTTTTTATTGATGCCCTGCTCGCCTTGCTTGAGCTTTGAAATCTCATTCTAGGTCTCCCTCTAGTCTAGATGCCTTCCTCATCCCACCTCCCCATCACGTGGTCTTCCTCCCTACCCTACTCAGGTTCTGATACTCACAGAAACCTCCTCCTCTAGGTGCATCCCCTCCTCACACTGGGTGAGCTCTGATAGTCTGCTCAAGGTCACCATGGCTGCCTTCTACTTTCAGCAAATACTGTATGGCTATGCTCCCACAAATGGCTTTAGAACTGAATTGTTTGGGAAGGGAAAGAAACTGAAAGGGAAGTTGACAATTGGAATTTGTCATTGGAATTCATCCCTAATTCCAGTTTTTGCCTCCAGTTCTGACCATTCCTAGCCCATCTTGTCAGCTCATTGAGTCATTTGTCTTGCCGGGTCATCTTGGTTTCTTACTAACTCTTGTTTGCAGTATGCTTGACCTTGATGTGTGTCCATTAAGACATGCAAAGGCTTAGCCTCCCAGGGCTGCATCACCTCCTCAGCTCCAGGCTGCTAGATGACAGTTCAGGTTCAGGCTGACTCAAGCTGCTTCTGCAGCAACCACAACCATTCTCAGGAGAAAGAGCTAGAGCAAGGGATACCAAAGAAAGGGTCATCTCTGAGGGGTGGTTGTTGAAACTATAGGTGTGGTAGAAGTTGTCCAAAAGAAAAGTGAAGAAAAGGAAGAGGAAATTAAAGAATATCTTGTAAGGAATGTTTATGTGTTTATATTTAAGATAAATAAGGAGAAAAGGAAAAAAGGAGTTAGAACAGAGATATTATGGAGTAACCTACAACCTGGAAAAACTGAAGAAGTTGCTGTAGGTGACTATGTTCTTTTTGAGGAGAATTTGACTCAATGCTGTGTCCTCAAACAATTAAAATGGGAAAAATAGCATTATTATTATAAAGCCTGAGTAAACTAAGAAATATGACATTATAGAATGCCTTATTACAGTAAAAATGACTCAGTAGGCTGAGTCAAAGTAAGTGATTCATCTATGCAGCCTGTCAGATCATCTGACAATTATTTTGCCTGACTTTGGAGTTCAGGGTCAGTTAAAAGAGGCTTGCCTCTTCTGTTTTAGTCAACTTTTGGGGTGGATAGTTTGTTCAGATAATAGCACCCATGAATTTATTATTAAAAACCTTGTGGGAGAAACCCTTCAAAAAGCATAGAGCTGTCACTTGGATAGCTTGGGTGAAGTTACTTACCTAGGTGACCTTGTTCAGATGGGCAGATTCTCTGGAAATATAAGTAGTATGTATGTCTATCTTATTCACCGCTATATCCTCAGCTCCTAATACAGTGCCTGGCACATTGTGCATGCTCAGTCAGTAGCTGTAAAGTGAATGAATAAAGGAAGATTTGTCTATACTTTTTTGAGAAGTCATAATCTGATGGTGGAGAGGACTCATCTCAGAAATTTTTTTTGGATAACAGTGGGAAGATGGTCATGCCCTAAACATTTTTCAAGATAGTCATCAAGGGCCAGGCACAGTGACTCACGCCTGTAATCCCAGCACTTTGGGAGGCTGAGACAAGCAGATAGTGAGGTCAGGAGTTCGAGACCAGTCTGGCCAACATGGTGAAACCCAGTCTCTACTAAAGATACAAAAAATTAGCCAGGCTTGGTGGCGGGCACCTGTAATCCCAGCTACTTGGGAGGCTGAGGCAGGAGAATCACTTGAACCTGGGAGGTGGATGTTGTAGTGAGCTGAGATTGCACCATTGCACTCCAGCCTGGGCAACAGGGTGAGACTTTGTCAAAAAACAAAACAAAACAAAAAACAAAACAAAACAAAACAACAACAAAAAACGATGATCATCAAGGAACATCATTATTTGGTAGATTAAAGTTGTTCTCTGCAACAAGGCTTTATTTACTGTGAATTTCCTTCATAGAAATTGATGCTATTCTTTGGTGCTAATAATGTAAAACTTTCCCAGAAGGTCAAACAGTAAATCACCTAAGAAATGGGTGTCTAGATTGTAGATGACAATGTAACATTTGGAGGTTCTTTTAGAAGCGAGTAGCTATCTGGGTTGAAATAACTGAGGAATAATGTGTAATAAGCTTATTGGGCCTGAAGCACCCAGAAAGGCAGTTGTGCTAATTGGGTCTTTTCCTCATGTAGCAAAATTTCCTGTAATTGTGGTGACAAAACCATGACCATTTATGAGAAAGTTATTGCAGTGATTAAGTAATATGTCTTTGAGATGGCTTAATAAAAATTATTATAAAGTGGTCTCCTCCATCACAATTATTTTTTGTTTTTATGTTTACTAGACCACTGCAATTTATTTATGTATTTATTTTTTAAGAGATAGAATCTTACTATTATGCCCGGACTGGACTTGAACTCCTGGCCTCAAGTGATCCTCCTGCCTCAACTTCTCAAGTAGCTGGAACTACAGGCATGTGCCACCGTGCCTGGTAAAAGATAGTAAAATTTAATTAGCATATAATCTATGCCTAGCATATTTAATATTTAAAGATTTATTTAGCTCTTTAGTAAAACATAGATAATGATTAATAGCATATGCTTCACTTAGAGAAATCAGTTATGAAAACACCCTAATGGTTAAGAGCTATGACTCAAGAGTAGACAGATATGAGTTTAAATTTTAGCTTCTTTTGTTCTTTTCTAGCTGGGCTTTTGGGTGAGTTATCAAATGTTTCTTTGCCTAAATTTACCCAACAATAAATGGGATTTACTAATATTATTTACCTCATGGAGATGTTTGGAGCATTCAATGAGATAATGTATTTAAAGCATTTAGCTTAATATCTGGCAAATACTAAGCATTAAATCAATACTAATATTCTTTGTTATGGAAGGATTTGCCACAGATTTCCTTCAAATGCTCTGCTCCACTTAAATGTATCAATTCACATGGAACTTCCTAGGAGCTCAGATATTAGCTAAGATAAACAACATATATGAAAGGATAGTATTTTTCATTAAATTTAACCCAGGGACATGTGGTTCTCAATGGGAGTAGGATGGGGAGGAGGGCACTGCTTCCCAGTGTGATGGCTTTTGGAAACATATGAGCTGTCTTTGGTCCACATATACTAGCTAAAGATCTCTGGGTGAGTGACATTTACCTTTCATAATATAAAGAACACTGCTAGTTAGTATTATCTATATATAAAATGTATAGAATATTAACTGATTTCAAAAATGGCAGCAATGCTCATTTTCACATAAGCATTTAGAATGAAACATTGATGAGATTTGTGATATATGTTCTTATGCAATTACTGTTTTTATTCAGCATAATGATTTGGAATGATGCCTAATAAAATAAATGGTTGACCAGAAGATTAATAATGTGTTGGTTTCTCAATAGAAGAGGAGGAAAACATGTTTTTAAGATTCTTACCAATAAGGTAAAGTATTCCTTCAGGTTGTTCATTCATTCATTCTATCTATTTATTCAGCAAACATTTAATGAATGTCTGTTATGTCCATTCTGCTTTATTTATTTATTCATTTTGTGTTTGTTTTAATTTTATTCCTCTTTTATTTTTGATTTTTCTTGTTACATCTTCAAGGGAGAACATTCTGCTTTATCTAATCTGTATCTAATACAATGATTGATAGATTGTTAAGCACAATAATAGGTGCTTAGCAAAAGAACATTGGATCATGGATTGATGAATGAGTGGTAGTTGAATAATAAATACATGATCCCTGCTTTGTAGAAATTTATACCCCAGTGGGTTAGAGAGATGGTTTGGGAGACAGAAAAAAACTGTCTTTTTTTTTTATTATTATATTTTAAGTTCTAGGGTACATGTGCACAATGTGCATGTTTGTTACATATATATACATGTGCTATGTTGGTGTGCTGCACCCAGTAACTCATCATTTACATTAGGTATATCTCCTAATGCTATCCCTTCCCCCTCCACCAACTCCACAACAGGCCCTGGTGTGTGATGTTCCCCTTCCTGCGTCTATGTGTTCTTATTGTTCAATTCCTACCTATGAGTGAAAACATGCAGCGTCTGGTTTTTTGTCCCTACGATAGTTTGCTGAGAATGACGGTTTCCAGCTTCATCCATGTCCCTACAAAGGACATGAAATCATCCTTTTTATGGCTGCATAGTATTCATGGTGTATGTGTGCCATATTTTCCTAATCCAGTCTATCATTGATGGACATTTGGGTTGGTTCCAAGTCTTTGCTATTGTGAATAGTGCCACAATAAACACACGTGTGCATGTGTCTTTATAGTAGCATGATTTATAATCCTTTGGGTATATACCCAGTAATGGGATTGCTGGGTCAAATGGTATTTCTAGTTCTAGATCTTTGAGGAATTGCCACACTGTCTTCCACAATGGTTGATCTAGTTTACAGTACCACCAACAGTGTAAAAGTGTTCCTATTTCTCCACATCCTCTCCAAGACCTGTTGTTTCCTGACTTTTTAATGATGGCCATTCTAACTGGTATGAGATGGTATCTCATTGTGGTTTTGATTTGCATTTCTCTGATGGCCAGTGATGATAGCATTTTTTTCAATGTGTCTGTTGGCTACATAAATGTCTTCTTTTGAGAAGCGTCTGTTCATATACTTCACCCAATTTTTGATGGGGTTGTTTGTTTTTTTCTTGTAAATGTGTTTGGGTTCTTTGTAGATTCTGGATATTAGCCCTTTGTCAGATGAGTAGATTGCAAACATTTTCCCCCATTCTGTAGGTTGCCTGTTCACTCTGATGGTAGTTCCTTTTGCTGTGCAGAAGCTCTTTAGTTTAATTAGATTCCATTTGTCAATTTTGGCTTTTGTTGCCATTGCTTTCAGCGTTTTAGACATGAAGTCCTTGCCCATGCATATGTCCTGAATGGTATCGCCTAGGTGTTCTTCTAGGATTTTTATGGCTTTAGGTCTAACATTTAAGTCTTTAATCCATCTTAAATTAATTTTTAATGAATCCAGGAGCTGGTTTTTTGAAAAGATCAACAAAATTGATAGACTGCTAGCAAGACTAATAAAGAAGAAAAGAGAGAAGAATCAAATAGATGCAATAAAAAATGATAAAGGGGATATCACCACCAATCCCACAGAAATACAAACTACGATCAGAGAATACTATAAACACCTCTACACAAATAAACTAGAAAATCTAGAAGAAATGGATAAATTCCTCGACACATACACCCTCCCAAGACTAAACCAGGAAGAAGTTGAATCCCTGAACAGACCAATAACAGGTTCTGAAATTGAGGCAATAATTAATAACCTACCAACCAAAAAAAGCCCAGAACCAGACAGATTCAGAGCCGAATTCTACCAGAGGTACAAAGAGGAGCTGGTGCCATTCCTTCTGAAACTATTCCAAACAATAGAAAAAGAGGGAATCCTCCCTAACTCATCCTATGAGGCCAGCATCATCCTGATACCAAAGCCTGGCAGAGACACAACAAAAAAAGAGAAATTTAGACCATTGTCCCTGAGGAACATCGATGCAAAAATCCTCAATAAAATACTGGCAAACCGAATCCAGTAGCACATCAAAAAGCTTATCCACCATGATCAAGTGGGTTTCATCCCTGGGATGCAAGGCTGGTTCAACATACGCAAATCAATAGACGTAATCCATCATATAAACAGAGCCAAAGACAAAAACCACATGATTATCTCAATAGATGCAGAAAATACCTTAGACAAAATTCAACAGCACTTCATGCCAAAAACTCTCAATAAATTAGGTATTGATGGGATGTATCTCAAAATAATAAGACCTATTTATGACAAACCCACAGCCAATATCATACTGAATGGGCAAAAACTGGAAGCATTCCCTTTGAAAACTGGCACAAGACAGGGATGCCCTCTCTCACCACTCCTATTCAACATAGTGTTGGAAGTTCTGGCCAGGGCAATCAGGCAGGAGAAAGAAATAAAAGATATTCAATTAGGAAAAGAGGAAGTCAAATTGTCCCTGTTTGTAGATGTCATGATTGTATATTTAGAAAACCCTATCGTCTCAGCCCAAAATCTCCTTAAGTTGAAAAGCAACTTCAGCAAGGTCTCAGGATACAAAAAACTGTCTTTGAGAATGTATTTTATGCTTTCTGCCTTAGCTTCAAATTTTAGAATTTAATATGTGAAGTAGGAAATGTGCTGATTTGAGTCTGATATACAGAGATCTGTCTAATAGGGATGAGAGAGAGCCCTGGAATCTACAGTATTAGCAAGAATTCCAGGTAATTCTTATGTATGTGCTCCATGTTCCCATCTTTGAGAAATAATGTTTTAGTCCTCTTATTAGATCCAGAGAAAAGGGTCAAGATTATTGTCAAATTACCTTTACACTTACTTTTTATTGCTGCTACCACCACCACCAAGAACAACATAGCAAAGAAAAACAAAATAAAACAAAACACACTTAGATTGCTCCAGGGAAGGGAAGCACTAGGAGAAGCAATTTGAGTAGCAGTGTGGGCATCTTTCTGAGTTCAGGAGAGTATGGCTTCTAATCTTCTCAGCTGGATTTCCCTGGTGGATGAGTGTGGGCAAGCAGCATTCTGAACCATTTCTTTATCCTTTGCTGCAGTATTTTCTTTATGTTTTGTGGAGAGAAGTTACTGCTTATACTAATTTTTACAGAACTGATGACTGTTTGGAAAGGGCACTGAAGGCTGGCTTATCTTACCCACTCCTGAGTTTCTGTTAACTATAGCTGTGGTTAACATTAGGGCTATTTGACCTTCGTGACTGTAAATGTCGTAAAGCTATTCATACAAGATGTGATATTCTCATAAACAGCTTCTGCAAAAGGAAAGATACATACTTACACAAAGCAGCAGGCTCAACCAGTTGGAGAACTGATAGCAGAAAAAGACTTTGACTACTTTCCTGTCACTTGGTGTCACTATACAGTCTAAGTATAACAATGTCTTTCAATTTCCAAAGTGCAAAAATTTGACTACCTCACACACTGGAAAGAAGATGCAATAAAAAAATTCAAGAAGCACTTGACTTTTTGAGTATCTTGAAGGAGAAACTGAGTCTTGCTCTTTTAAATCTTAACGTGTAGCTTTAGGCAGAGGGATTGGTAGTAGCTGAGCAGAAACTGGTCTTGGGGAATCCTGGCCTACTGTGGAGTCAGCCACAAGTGCTAGAACATTCATCCAGCTGTAGTTGATCGTTTGGAGGATGGGTTTCCCACATCCCCAGTGTTATGGGGACAAAAACAAGAAGGCTTTAAAGGTTAGAGTGGGCCACTGGGCACCACTTTTTGGCCAGCTCAGAAACAGGGCAGTGGATAACTCTCTCCCATGGAAGACGCAAAGCTACTCAGGATGGTGGTGGCAGTTGATCTCTCCACCAGCACTGAGCCAAGGAAGACTTCTTCTAAAGCTACTTATAAAGTTTGGGCCAGGAGCACATGGCTAAGATGATTAGATCCTTCACTTCAGTTGCTTCCATAAATGTTGGATGGAGGCTAGTGAGAAAAGATATGCCCTTAGTATTAATACTATATTTCATTGTGGAACCTTCATGCTCTATCAGGCATCTGCCCAGGGCCCTGCCTGTTAGTTTTTCAGTTCAAATTCAGTCACATCCTAGGGGGCAAGCCAGTCCTGGAGTGCTGGGCTAGGACTGGTTTTAAAAACTAGCACTTTATGGATCCAAAACCATTGGCCTCCCTGTCTCTTTCAGCATCAGGTTCCTAAGGGATGAGGCAAATTTTCTAATTTTAAAAAATTGTCTACTTTTATTCTTATGAAATTAACTTTCACATAACATGCATTAGTTACCATTTAACCATTTTAAAGGGTTCGATTCACTGGCATTTAGTACATTCACAATGTTTACAACAGTTATCACTATCTAGTTCCAGAATATTTTCCTCACCCTCAAAGGAGACCCCATACCCAATAAGCAGTCACTCCATTTCCCACCTTCCTACCCTCTCTGGATACCACTAAGCTGATTCCTCTGTCTATGAATTTCTCTATTCTGGATATTTTATATAAGTGCAATGATACAATATGTGTTCTTTTGCATCTGGCTTCTTTTACTTAGTATAGAGTTTTCAAGATTCATTCATGTTATAGCATGTATCAATACATCAACAGTTGATGGACATATGGGTTAGTCACATCTTTTGGTCACTGTGAATAGTGCTGCTGTGAACATTTGGGTGCAAGTTTTGTCTGAATACCTGTTTTCAGTTCTTTTGGGTGTATACCTAGAAGTGGAATGGTTGGCTCATATAGTAACTTTATGTTTAATTTTTTTGAGGAACCACAAACTATTTTCCACAGTGGTTGCACCATTTTACATTCCCAGCAGCAATATAAGGGTTCCAATTTTTCCACATCTTTGTCAAAACTTGTTATTTTCCATTTTTTTAAAAATGATAGTATCATCCCAGTGGGTCTAAAGTGGCATTTCATGGAAATTTTGTTTTGCATTTGCTTAGTAACTAATGATGTTGAGCACCTTAAATGTACTTTTTGGCTATTAATGTCTTTTTTTGAGAAATATCTATTCAAGTCCTTGGCCCAATTTTTAATTGGATTTTTAAAACTTTTTGTCATTGACTTGTAAGAGTTCTTTATATATTCTAGATATTAGACTTTTATTAGCTATATAATTTTGAATATTTTCTCTCATTCTGTGATGAAAAAAGTTTCACATTTTGACAAAGTCTAATTTATTTTTTTCTTTTGTTGTGCATGCTTTTGGTGCTATATCTAAGAAACCGTTACTAAATTCAAGGTACTAAAGATTTCCTCCTAAGTTTTCTTTTAAGAGCTTTATCGTTTTTGTAAGTTTATTATGGCTGTATTCTTTTTTGTGTGTGGCCATTGAAATCTGTTCTGTCAGCTAGTGATTTGAGACATTTCCTTAAATACTGAAATGTAGCAGCTTCTTTCTTCATTAAGCATTTCACCGGATGTTGTGCATTGTTTATTAGATTCTAGAGTTCCAAAGTGATTCAAAAAATGACATCCTTTGATTTTGTGGAGGAATGGAATATTGGAGTTCCTTCTCTGCCGCTTTTGGTGATGACACCTATTCGTACTTTTCTTTGTTAAACAGGAATTTTTTAAAACATCCTATATTATGCTGAATAGTGACATTCAAAGATATAAGATTCTAATCCCTGGACCCTGTAAATTTTGCCATGTAAGGAAAAAGGGTCTTTCTAGATGTGATTAATGATCTTGACAAGAAAATAATATCCTGAATTATCCAGAAGGACTTTAAATGCCATCACATGCATCCATGTAAGAGGACAACAAAGGAAGATTTAAAAGACACACACAGAGGAGAAGGCAATGTATCCACAGAGAAGGATATTGAAGTGATGTGGCCACACTCAAGGAATGCCAGAGCCACCAGAAGCTGGAGAAGTCAAAATCCAAATTCTTTCTCAGAGATTCCTGAGGCAGTGCTGCTCAGCCATAACCTTGATTTTGACTCAGTAAAGCTGATTTCAGACTTCTGGCCTCTAGAACTTTGACAGAATACATTTCTGTTGTTTTTAAGATACCAAGTTTGTGGTAAGTTGTTATAGTAGTCCTTGGAAACTAATACTCCTTCCACCATATTACTGGGCTATTTTATTTCATCTATGGCTGCCTGTCAAAGGAAGCTACCTTCAGTGATTTCAAGGTGACTTTTTGACCTATATGTAATTTACTTCACACACACACCCACCCACCCACCCACCCACACACACACACACACACACAGAGTATCAATGTATATATACATATATATATATAGTTGTAACTGGTATGTCCCTTGCAAAATAAGAGAAAAGGAAACAACAAAACCCCAGGAATTTAATCTTTGGCTTGGCTTGTGTTCACTAGGGCATTCCATTACATACCCTATTTATTTTCCACAAACTAGAAGGAAGATGTAAAATATTTATTTGGCATTCAGCCTCAGTGAAAAGGAGCCCAGCACAAATATGAAAACCTCTGCATTTCATAAAGGCAATATATAGAAGAATAATTATAATTCAATGTGATATTATAATAGTATATTAGCAAAAACTCATGGAATCTCAGAAAAGGGACTTGATTATTAGGGATACTGGACATTACTTCTCGAGGATGTCCCATTAGGTCAAGTCTAAAAGGATGACAGGATTTGCTAGGCAGAGAATGCATAAATATGGAATGTCATGTGCAGGGACACTGAAGTGTGAAATGGTGTGATTTATCTGAGAGATATAATGGGAAGTTTTGTTTGTCTAGAAGTTAGGAGGTAAAGAAAAATGGGTGAAAATGCTGGAAAAGTAGGTGGGTCCCAAACTGTAAAGGGTCTTGAATGCTCTGATAAAGAGTAGAAAGAGAGCCCTCATCAGCAACTGAACAGGGCCAGACCCTGATATTGGTGGGCCTTGCAGCTTTCAGGGCTGTAAGAGAATAAATTTCTATGTTCAAGTCACCCAGTTTATGGTATTTTCTTACAACAGCCTGAGCTGACCAATACAATGCTATTGGCTGGTATGTAATACTTAAATATGAAATATTAGTGGCTTTTGACATATTTAAAAGATGAGGGTTGAGTATGAATTTTCTGTTTTTTGATGAACATAACTGGATGTTGGGATCCAATGCCTGGAAATCAAAGTAATTACCATTATTGACTCATTTAGTTCCAGAGAGTGATGGATGAACATTTGCCATCAGGACTCAATTATTCTTATTATTCACAATCACATATAATTTTGTACTTGGGTTGGGGGCCCAAGGCCAAAAATTTCTCCTTGAAGGTCAACAAGTCATGTGTGCATTTGTAAATTAAAAAAATAACCACCTGCCATTTTAACAGGATGATTATATACTCTCAAAAAGTTTTGGAGATCATTTCTACAACAGTGGCCAGAAAAGCAGAAATATATTCAGTAACTTCACCGTTACTGAAGTTTGGGTTTTCTCTATTATACTTGTTATATATAAATGATTGTGGGAAATACCTATGAAAATGATCATATCAGAATAATTCTCATGGGAGCATAGTTTCTTAATAGAATAAAATATATATCATTAATAATAAAGTATGATTTTGTATGTTGCTCCTTTTACTAACCAATCTTTACACCAATTTTATTCCTAAAATTTTTTCCCTTTGATATGTCTGCAAAAATTTAGCAGTGGAGTGCCTGGTCATTGCTTAGTTATATCTGAAATCATTGACAATATATTATTTTTTATAAACTAACCTTCATTATGGAAATTAGAAACATTTCCATAAGTGAAATTGGGTTGAACTTAATGAATTTATGTGTCAAAAATAAAAGAATGAAAATATCTTAGTGACTTGTGAAATGTGGTCATTCAAAAAGTGCCGGCTGCCTTTATTCAGTTTTGGAAGTACCTATACACATGATTATATTCACATGCCTAGATTCTCACTATAATTTTCTAGTACTATTGTAACAAATTACTACAAACTTAGAGGCTTAAGCAATACAAATTTGTTATCTTATAGTTCTGGGGTCCAAAATCTGAAATAGGTCTTAGAGAGCTAAAATCAAGGTGTGAGCGGAGTTGCGATCCTCCTGAAGACACTAGGGGAGAATCCATTTTATTGCAATTCCAGCTTCTAGAGGCCATCACATTCCTTGGGTCATGGCTCCATTCCTCCATCTTCAAAGCCAGCTGGTGGAGTCTTTCTTCTGATGCGTTTCTCTTGTTCTGACCCTTCTGCTTTGTTCTTCTCAATTTGAGGGCCTTTGTGATCACATTGGGCCCGCCCAGATAACCCAGGATAGTCTTCCCATCTCAAGGTTCTTAGCAACAATTCCAGACTTCAGGGAGTTTATAATCTAGTGAGAGACATCAATGCATAAAGATGTTTGCCACCATGCATGAGGACTGCTAAGAGGGGCTGTGCAGAACATAAAGAGAGGGCAGAAGGAGTACAATTGACTGACTCTTCTTGGAACTACCCAAGGAAGGCTTTACAGAAGGGCTAAGTGACCTGGGTCTTTGTGAGGAAGGCAATTGGTCATGCAGAGAATTGGGCCAATGATATTTCAGGCAGATGAAAAATCATAGTCAAGGGCAGGCAAGTTTGGAAGAGCATGTTGCATGTATTATTTGAATAGGAGCAAAAGAATGTCCCAGGAATGAAAATAGCATTTATTATTTATTCAAAGTCAACAAATTAAGAAAGAAGTCATATTTGCACTATCAGTTTCATGTAAATTAATAAATAGAAAACATCCAAATAGTACAAATATATCAAATAGATACAGTAGAACCATGGTGGTGTAGAATGGTCACCTTATTCTGCCACTAACTGGCTATGCAAACTTGGGCACATTAATGTCTTAATAAAATAAAAGAGCTAGAATAGATACATTTTAAAGTTCTTTTTAGCCTAACATTCTATGAAGCAAAACAAACAAGCAAGTGATTCCACAGTTTCTCTTTTTGACTGAGAAATCTGTGAAAGTTAATCAAATCATTTAGACTGGCTTATGTGTGTGGAAGCAAACAGATACTCTGTTCATCATTTCCATATGGTCTATTGGTAGCCATCCTGAGGCATTTTGCCTGGAAACTTCCCCTTGAAATATTGCAGAGAGTGGAGAATGGAGACGGTGTGTTTCAATCAAACATTTGTTAGAGTGGTTTTCACGTGTGTGAAAAATCTGATTTTTTCATGTTCTCCATCATCTGCTCTACTTTCATCTGCCTTAAATATCAGTATGCTCTCTCATGGGTTAAGGCTCTGTCAAGTATACTTTATCCCACTTGTATTTGCTTTCTGAGTTTTCTTCCCAGGAGTGTGTGAGGTTGGTAGAACAAGTGGTTCTTTGATATTTGGCAGAACTTCACATGTGCCACATTTTCTGAAATCTTAGCTCTTAGCTGCTCCCCTTCCCTTACCACCTGTGGGCTTGTTGACATTTATTTTTTTGGCTTTTTGAGTATCATACTTTAAACCAAACAATAATTTTTCACTGAGATTATTGGACAAAGGCTGATGGTCTCACCACTGCCTGTATAGAAGATTATATCCCAAACAGTCATAATGATAGCTTGGGGGACACTTTTAGAGGAGTTTGGTCTATGAAGAGGATCTGTTTCATTTTTCTTTCACTAAAACACCTCATGTATAAATTAGTGAAAGAAAATTGAGAAATTTATTTGGTGTTAATAAACAATAGACTTCAACAGTTACCATTGCAGATCTCATTAGTAATAGAACACATCTTTATTTCTGCAAATGAAGAGGAAGGCTCAGTTTTACATTTTCCAAAGTTATGTGGCTCCTGTAAATTGACTACTGTTGCAAACCGAGGTAGGCTAATGTAATTACACTTTTTTTTCTTGAATAATTCATAATAGCTGCTGAAAATTTTCAGGTAGGTAAGAGTTAACTATTTCCCTAGAGCCTTACTATCATGTCGTAATGAAACATGTCTTAGACCAAACTGGACCACTCAAATAGGTATTTGTGCTATTGGGCACAAAATACTTCATAGATCCTGTACTGATGAAATTCAGGTTTCTGATATTTTTGGTGCTCTGACAATGCAAGAATGGTTCTCTGAAGGAAGGCCCAATGACATTTTAGAGGCAAGACTGTTCTCTCACAGTTGATATCAGGCAACCAGAGATCCTTCAACAACTGGAGCCAGGAACATTTACAGGTCAAGCCACAAACCCTATCTTGAAGGGTTGGGGCTAAAAGTCTCACTAGATTCTTGCGCTTTGCTCATGCAAGGGTAGTAATGCCTCCCAAATATCTTAGCCAATCCACATGTCTTGAATACTTTAAATTCGTCACATGGGAATGCATTTCTATTATAACATTCATGTTGCTAACAAGGCATTGATTTCACCAATAAAACCCCATTTTTGGATAAGATTTATGCTAATTAATAAAGTATCTACTGATGATCAGTGATACTGGTAACAGAAGCACTTGCAATAGCGACCTCTGGAGTGTGAGCTTAACGGCATATAACTAGCTGACTTCTTCTGGAACACAAATTCCTGATTGTACCTGGCTTGTAACTCAACCTAATAAATGTGACACCACACTGTCTATGCTGAAGTCCTTTAAAGAAAATTACAGACAACTACTCAACATTACCTTGTGTATTAGTTTCCCATTGCTGTTGTAACAAATTACTCCAAACTTAGTGTCTTATTCCATTTATGTTGCTATAAAGGAATACCTGAGACTGAGAAATTTATAAAGAAAAGAGCTTTATTTGGCATATAGTTCTGCAGGCTGTATAAGAAGTATGGCACCAGCATGTGGTGGGGGCCTTAGGAAGCTCCCATTCATGGTGGAAGGAGAAGGAGGGCAGGCATCGCATGGTGAGAGAAGAAGCAAGAGAGGGGAAGGAGGTGCCAGGCTCTTTTCAACAATCAGCTCTCGTGAAAAACGACTCACTTTTGCATTAACCTATTCACGAAAGATCTGTCTCCATGACCCAAACGCCTCCTACTAGTTCCCACCTTCAAGATTGGGGATCACATTTCAACATGAGATTTGGAGGGGACAAATACCCAAACTATATCACTTAGTGGGTTGAACAATACAAATTTATTATATTACAGTTTTGGAGGTCAGAAGTCCAAACTGGTCTCACCACTAAAAATCAAGGTATTGGCAGAGTTGCATTCTTTCTGGAAGCTGTAGGGGAGATTCTGCTTCCTTGCCCTTTCCAGCTTCTAGAGGCTGCCCTCATTCCTTGGCTCATGGTCCTATTCTTCCACCTTCAAGCAGCAATGGCAGGTGGAGACTTTCTCATGCTGCATCACTCTGGTTTCATGCTTTCATCATTACATCCCCTTCTCTGACTCTCTGTGCCCCCTCTTTCCTCACAAGGACACTGTGTTTACATTGAGCCTGCCTGACAACCCCATCTCAGGATTCTTAATCACAGTATAAGGTTACACAACTTAAGCGTCCTTTTACAGGTTCCGGGGATTAGAATATGGACATCCTTAGGGGCCGTTATTCTGCCTATCACACCCTGTTAATACACTTAAGTAATTTTCTGAAAGATAATTTTGGCTGGGTGCGGTAGCTGATCCCTGTAATCCCAGCACTTTGGGAGGCCGAGGCGGGTACATAGCCTGAGGTCAGGAGTTTGAGACCAGCCTGGCCAACATGGTGAAACCCCGTCTGTACTAAAAATACAAAAATTAGCCAGGTGTGGTGGTGAGTGCCTGTAATCCCAGCTACTTGGGAGGCTGAGGCAGGAGAATAGCTTGAACCTGGGAGGCAGACACTGCAGTGAGCTGAGATTGCAGGGCCACTGCACTCCAACCTGGGTGACAGAACCAAACTCCACCTCAAAAAAAAAAAAAAGGATAATTTTAATTTCACTTAATGGAATTCTATAGTAAGAAGAAAAAAAACATGGGCTTTCGATCTTACAGATCATGGTGTAAACTCTGGCTCCTTATGAGTTGCAAGCCATGGGAAAGACAAATAAAGTAATAAATATATACCTTGCAGAGTTGCCATAAGGATTAGGTTAAATAATGGATAAAAAGGACTTAGTCTAGTTCCAGCACATAGGAGATACTAAGTAAAAGGTAACTAAAGTTAGCTGTTATGATGATTCATTGAATTTTGAAGCTATACAGATCTTCAGAAATCATTGTGTCTAGCAATTTTCTACCCTTCAGCAGCAGAACTACCTTCTTATAGTCCCAAATAAAATCTTACTTAGAACTTTATAAAGAACCTCAATTTATAAGAAAAATAACAGCAATAGATAGGTCCCTTTGGTGGCATAAGTTTTTCCTGCTCCTCCTCTTCTTTGCCTTTCTCTTCCTTTTCTTCTTCCTCCTTTCCTCCTCCTTCTCCTCCTCCTCCTTTTTCTTCTTCTTTCTTGCCCTCCTTTTCCTCTCCTCTTCCTCCTCCTCCCTTCCTGCTTTTTCTTCTTTCTTGCCCTCTTCCTCCCCTTCTTCCTCCTTTCCCTCTTCCTCCTCTTCTCCCTCCCCTCCCCTTTCTCCTCCTCCTTTTTTTGCCCTCCTTCTTCTTCTCTACCTCCTCCCCCTTTCTTGCCCTTCTCCTCATTCTTTTTTCTCATCCTCCTCCTTTTCCTTTTTTCTTACTGTTTTCCTTCTCCCCGTCTTCCTCTTTTCCTCCTTCCCCTTCCCTTTTTCTTCTTCTTGTTCTTGTTTATCCTCTAATTCTTATTTTTGCAGACAATGTTTTTGCTGTTTCCACAGCCAATGATCTCTATAGTTTAAAGGCAACCACTTGAAAGCCATGGGTCTAGTGTGACCTCTTAGTTTACACTGGAAGAAAAAGAGGTACGGAGAAGTTAGTGACTTCCAAGGTCACACAGCTACTCAATGGAAGAACAGGTACCTGAATTCAGCACTCCTGATTTCCAGTCCAACTCTTTTCCCTATATTACGTTGGAGGTGGGGTAAAGCAGAGTGACCAGAAAGCTGCTAGAGGAATGAGGAATTTTAGATCATTTAGTTAAGGCAAATATCCTTAATGATAGCAAAAGTAAACGGAGTCTCCCCTCCATAAACTCTGGTCTTGTACATCACAAAAACAGTACTCTGAAGTACAGAATTTGGCACTTCATCAGCACCACACAAAAGGAATGTTGTTTGTGAAATATACTAGATTAGAAACAGCTTCTCTTCAGCTCAACAGTATTAGAAATTTTGTTTGAAGCCTGGACTTCTCCACAAAGATTTAGGGTTTTGAATATAGGTTCCAGAAAGCTGTGCTCTGCTGAAAATCTCAGAACACATTGGTAGGAAAAGGCAAGTGCTTGTAAAGCAGGGCATGGCTCTCTTCTGCTGCCCCAGCAGGCTCAGTGGGACCAGAAATCTTCATTTTCAACTTCCCATTCAACACTGGAGTGAGAGTTCTTTCTCTACAAGGTGCTCTGAGGTGTTACAGCATATGTTACAGCATAAACTGCTTGCTGAATTATTGTATAAAAACAATTTTAGTTTAGCACAGCCCTGAAACACAATACTTTTTCCCTTTCAGACTTAAACAAAAAATCAACAGTCCAAAGAAACAGTCTGGCCCTTGTTTGAAATTAGTGAAGAATACGGTACTAGTTTTAAAACCAATGTCACTTATTCTAGGATAAACTATACTTTATTTAATTATTTAATTATTTCTTGAATGAGCTTAAAAGTAAACTCTGAATTGTATGTTTTTCATGGTCCTACTCAATGTGATATCTTGGGATGGTACTCTAAGTATACAAGTACAAGTGTGTCTGTTATCTACACAATAGATTTAGTCCACAGTAAAGACTCACAGTAAAACTGCTTAGCTCAGGTTATCCAAAGGCTCCAATATTTAGGATGAATGTTGAAAATGTCAGCCAAAAACTTCAGCAAGAAAACAAATGAGGGGTTAATTATCTTATCAAAAGAACTGATTTGTTTAGTAAAAAATGAAGATAAAAAACATCATGTATACAAAACCTACCCCCTTTATTGAGCCAGCTTTTTATTCTGACTGTATTGCTTGTACACATACAACCGACGAATTACGTGGCAGAGGTGCCTGGTGAGAAATTTGAGACTAGATTTAAAAAATCACTTATTAGGCTGGGCATGGTGGCTTATGCCTATAATCCTAGCACTTTGGGAGGCTGAGGCAGGTGGATGACCTGAGGTCAGGAGTTCGAAACCAGCTTGACCAACATGGTGAAACCCCATTTCTACTAAAAATACAAAATTAGCCAGGTGTGGTGGCGCATGCCTGTAATCCCAGCTGCTTCGAAGGCTGAGGCAGGAGAATGGTTTGAACCTGGGAGGCGGAGGTTGCAGTGAGCCGAGATCGTGTCATTGCACTCCAGCCTGGGCAACAAGAGCAAAACTCTGTCTTAAAAACATTACCTGTTTATCAATATTGATTTTTCTTAAAGGGCAGTTTGGTATAGTTATACAATAGCATAAACATGGGATTTAGTTTAGCTAGACTTGGCTTAGAGTTCTAGCTTTAGCACTTAGCCTTAGGAACCTAACAACTTCAGGAGAGTTTTCTTATCTACATGATAATACAACATGCCTTACCTAGTTTTTGAGAGATTAAGTAATATACTGATGTAAAAGTATTTGGTGAAATATTATAGAAAGTTAGTATTATTTCTCTGATATTTTTCAGATAGATACCCATCCTGATAAGACAATATACTACTTTGTTAGCCATATTATCTACTTCCAGCAGCTTCTGGCTTCTGTATTTTTTGGTAGAAAATTACTGGCTACTATGACCCGTTACTTCCATCTTGGAATGTTGAAGGATTGTTTCCCCTATTCCTTATTTGTGAGGTCTGCTTCATGTTTCATGTAGAACTTAGTTCCTGCCTCTTATTTGGAAGGTCTTGATTAATATTCCATGGGAAACATTTTACTCATTTAATTATTCTAATACTACAGAGTTTCTTTACTTCTTTTAACTTGGCACAAAAATTTTCACTCACCTGCACCTTGGTTTTGACTTTTGAATCTTATCTGTCTCCTCAAACTTTCTGTCTTTTGGCTTTTTTTTCCTGATTGATTTCCTTCATTCTAAGGACAATTCAAGATGCGTATGGAACGGGAGAGAGAAATCATCCAAGTAGAGCTATGAAACACTTTATTATAGAAATAAAAACATCAGTGGGAGTTGTTTATAGTAATTCATGTAAGAAAATAATTGGTAAGAAGGTATTCATAAAATAGTCAGCTACATAAGTATGTTGACATTATACTGCATAGTAATAAAAAGGAGAAAATGGTACCCAGTGGGTTAGAACCTAAAATTAAGAATCTATGTTAGAAAAGACACAGATTTGCTAAAGATGAAAGATGAGTTATCCTATATGTAAAGTACCTATGTGAAAATCTGCTGTAAGGTTGACGCTGTTAAAAATTATAATTCGGATAAAAATGAGAGAACCTTAGAACTACCATTTTGAGATCATATTAAGAGGCTATGTGAACAGAGAGAAAAAAGTGATTAACGTGCTAATTCAAAATATAAGATTGACATGAGGTTGGATTTTAACAGTCATGAGTACTTCAACTGTCAAGACATATGCTGCAAGTCTTCTTAGGCTAAATCAAGAGCTTCTAACAAAGAATGTTTAACTTGTGTTGCTGACAGGTTTCATTTCCCAGTAGGTATGAGAATTGACCTGGTTAATGAAACGGTAATAATAAGAAATGCATGACAAAGTGACTGTGTCATCTTAGCAGATCTTCGTGAACCAGAATTCTTGGCTCAGAATATAAATTTTAGCCATAGAAGAAGTGAATGTTTGAAGACACATTAAATAAGGTAATGCACATAAAACACTTAGTATAAGGTTTTATTTCTTAGAGCTCAATTTATAGCAGTGTATAGGAGAATGTCAGTTTTCCTTGGTCTTGGACTTTCAACAAAGTATTGTGCATTTAACAAAACAAAACACTTTCCTAGTTTGTTAAATATAAAATATTTTTATTAAATTTAAATTTCTTTTATAGTTAATAAAGATAGACCTTTTTTTTTTTTTTTTTTTTTTTTGAGACGGAGTCTTGCTCTGTCGCCCAGGCTGGAGTGCAGTGGTGCAATCTCGGCTCACTGCAAGCTCTGCCTCCCGGGTTCATGCCATTCTCCTGCCTCAGCCTCCGGAGTAGCTGGGACTACAGGCGCCCGCCACTACGCCCAGCTAATTTTTTGTATTTTTAGTAGAGACGGGGTTTCACCGTGTTAGCCAGGATGGTCTTGATCTCCTGACCTCGTGATCCGCCTGCCTTGGCCTCCCAAAGTGCTGGGATTACAGGCGTGAGCCACCGCGCCCGGCCAAGATAGACATTTTTTTTTTTTAACGGGTTTATTTGTTTCTTCTTTCTTTACTTCAATTACCTTGAACTTTACTCCTCTTTCTAATGTTGTGTCTGTATTTTCTAACTGCTTTTTCAAGGACTGTTTATAAATGAGGCTCTAAAATATGTATAAATGTATTTACAAATATTTTTCAAAGATTTCCATTTACTTGAAAAGTTTATGTGGTATTTTCTGATGTACAGAAGTTTACATTTTTTAAGTATGCAGTTTTTTTCTTTATGATTTCTGCCTTTAGTGCCATGCTTAGAAAGGCTTGCCTCCCTCTCTTTTTTTGACGAATATTTTTCTATAGAAGTGTAATGTTTCTGGGTAGTAGAGAAGGCAGATTATATGGTTTGGCTGTGTCCTCACCCAAATTCTGTCTTAAATTGTAGCTCCCATAATCCCCACATGTCATGGGAGGGACCCAGTGGGAAGTAGTTGAATTATGGGGCGGGTCTTTCTTGTGCTGTTCTCCTGATAGTGAATAAGTCTCACAAGATCAGATAGTTTTAGGAAGGGGAGTTCCTCTACATAAGCTCTCTTGCCTACTGACATGTAAGGTGTGAATTTGCTCCTCATTTACCTTCTGCCATCATTGTGAGGCCTCCCCAGCCATGTGGAACTGTGAGTCAATCAAGCCTCTTTCCTTTATAAATTACCCAGTCTTGGGTATGTCTTCATTAGCAGTGTGAAAACAGACTAATACAGCAGAGTTTCTCAACTGTCTTTGTTTTTAATATTTTTGTCAAGGCAAGTGCACTTTGGACTAGAAATATAAAGTATACAGAGAAGATCAAATTTCAAGAAGCATGAAGGAACTGGTTAAGTGACTTCTAGTTGTTTTGCCTTGTTGTATTAGGTCCTAGAATTCTGAGGCAACCAGCAAAGGAAATAGAAAAATAAAACCTTGATTTCAGTTTTCTTTTAACAGTCATGAAAGAACTACAGCATGAAGAATGGGAATGAACAAATGTGGTTTTGATTTTCAAAAGGGGTCACAGGGAGATTTTGCAGGTGATAGACCGATAAGCCAACCAAATTTGAGCTTGGTTTCAATCTCAGGAAAATTTCTGAATGTATTATTTAAAGGACAGTTGGTGTAATCTCTAAGAAACACTGTGTATTCACTGAAAACAGCTCACGTTAGGCTTTTCTTAATGCTGTCTTTCACTGAACTCTAGAATAGAGAAATGCTGCATATGGTGTGTTTCTCACTACATGCTTACAGAAATGCTGGAGAGATGTGAGTTGGATCTTTGTAATTAGATGAATGTGTAACTATTTGACAGAGTATACCAAAATTATCTATAAATGGATTATTTTGAGCCTATGAGAAATGTGGAAAAATTCTTCCACTAGTTTTAAGCTCTTCAAATTTATCAATGACCTCTGAATAGATGTTTGATACTTATTGAATTTGTATTAGGTAAGTAGTAGGAATATAAGTGTGAAACAATATAAAACTATAGGCAAGATCTACTACTAAAGATGAAGTCTGTTGCAAATAAGTATGTTTTATTTTTCTCCAAATAAATCACACAACTATTAAATTGAAAAAATATGACTTAGAAGCTCATCTAAAACTTATTTAGAAAATGTCAGTAACTTTAATGTGAATCAACATATGGTCACCATGAAAACTAGCTCTGCTGGTTGTTGCAATAGTAAGATTATCATGTCCAGAATTAGGGAAATAGTAGTCATTCTTTACTTAACTTCAGTTAAATTGTCCATGAAGCATTGTGGTGCCAAGTATTAACACTCAAAAAGATAAATTGGTGCACAAGAAGAGAGAAATGACCAGGATGGTGGAGCCATGCCATAGGATGATGGCTGAAGACACATGAAAAGAGAAGACTTAGAGGACATGTGAGAGTTGTTTTCAAACATTTGAAGAGCTATTTTATGGTGAATGTAAAATTAGGTCCAAAAGAATGACGTTATAAGATAGGAGGTTTCAGCTCAACATGATACAGGATTTTACAGAGCTCCTCAGAACTGGAGAAGCAAGTATTTAAGAATAGGGCAATTACTCAGCTGCGAATGCTACTGACAGATGAATAGTTTGCCTAGCTTACCTTTTCAAAACTGAGATTGCAACTTAATAAACTTTTCAGTTTTGCCACTACACAAGTGCATTGAAAAGCATTCCTTAAGCCTGCTGCCTTCATCTGATAAAAAGGCAAGCTGCATGTATAGCAAATGTGACTGGTCACATTGGGTAGGAAACTCTTAGTAAACTGTTCAAAACCTGTCCCTGGAACCAGCCCAGTCTGCCCAGGTCTCTGGGTGACAAGATAAACTTTAGCTTTTTGTTGCTGATTCTGTAAACACAGTCATTTGAAAAGGTGACCAGTAGAAGCCAAGCCTTGCAAATATGGTAAGCATAACAAGTATGACGTTTGGAAAAATAACTCAATATAATAAATTTTTATTCTGAAATACTTGGATTAACTGCAGCCTGAAACAATCTTAGTTTCTGTTTATAAATTTTGTTACCACAGCTTTAGCATTTAATCTGTTTAATCCTTTCATTAAACTTAGTTTTTGAACCAAAAAACCACCTGCTTTGGTGCCCTCCGTTTTAAAAACTGCATCCATAATGACTGAGGAAGGTCATGGCTTCTTCATATTGGCCTCCTAAGAGCACTCAATGGGGAAGGCTGGATGGAACATGGCACATCTTTCTTGGTTATTCCCCATTTGCAGGCAGCATTGTGTGTGGGGGGGAAGTGGGGACAGAAGATGACAATATCACTGTGTATGGGAAGGAAAAACAAGAGCAAACTGGGCATTTTCTTCCCGTTTTTGTGCTGGATGGAATGGATAGGAGTCATTACAAGTTGAGGGCTAAGGATAACTTGTGATTATTGAATGAAACAATGTCGATAATATAAAATGTAATTGCTTGGCACACAGTAAACATTCAGAAAATAATGATTATTATTGGAATTATGATTGTCACTATCTATTCTGGTGGTATGGGATCACAGCCCCGTCGGATGACTTAGGTGCTTGGGGGAAAAATCTGTATTCAGATAAGACAAAATGGCTAGACTAGAGCTCCAGCTTGACTAATTTTCTAAAAAGTTGGGGGCAGTTGTCCTGTTGGGATTCATTAATTCCCATTAGTTCTCCACCCTAATTCTTACAGTCTCTACCCTTTACTAGCTCATGGTCTAGGGAGTAGACAGGCTAACTGTATACACTTATGATATATGTGTGATCCCCCTAAGCTCAATTACTTAACAACCCTTTCTTTGCTATTTGCATTTTTCATGCTGTGATATTCACCTTGACAATGTAAATAGAGAAAGAGGTGTTAGGGGTTAGTTATGTTTCACTAAAAGATATATTGAAGTCTTAACCTCTGGTAGCTGAATGTGACCTTATTTGGAAATAGGGTCTTCACAGATATAATCAGGTGAAGATGAGGTCATACTGGATTAGGGTGGGTCCTAATCCAATCTTATTGGTATCCTCATAGGAAGAAAAAATTTGGACATAGATAGTCACAGAGATGACACGTGTGTGCCTTTTTAGTGTGAAGACTCATGTCTTCCTTCAAAGCTCAAAAATGTTAAAACAAGATTTTTCGAATTAATGCCTTTCTGCCATTCACCATATTATCTTCTGAAACTTCCATTGGATGTATGTTGAAGCCACTCAATCTAACTTTCATTTATCTTAAATGGAGTTTTTATATTCTTAAACTTATTTTTTCTTTTTATAAATGATAAATTTCAAAGTAGGCTGATATGCAGACTTTTCTTAATGATAAAAAACAAAGAAATATAATAAAATTTACTGTGGACTTGTTATGAGTTTGGCACTATACAAATGCTTCATTTAACCATGGAATCTGGTGTGTAGATAATGTATAAACTGTGCTTTAAAAATAATGGAACTGAGGATTTGAGAGGTTAAATAATTGGTCCAGCGTCTTAGGGACCATAAATGGTGAAACCAGAATTTGAGCCGAGGCCAGACTCCACAGTTCTTGATGGCACCCACTCGGCTGTATTGCCTCTTTGTGGATCACAAAGATTATGTGAGTTGTGCACTAAAAGTTTTTCTTTTTTTTAAAGTTAGCATTACAAAAGCTTTTAAATTAAATGAAATAATTCACCCTTCAGAAGTTTTCCTTAGGAGTAAGTCGTGGTTCTCAAGTCATTTTAATTCTCTATTCACTTTCTAATAAAGTTATATTCAAAGATTCTTCTCCTAAGTACAAACATGCACACCCACGTGCATGCAAATACCCATACAGTTGTCCCTCAGTATCTGTCAGGGATTGGTTCCAGGACATCCTGTGGGTATAAAAATCCAAGGTTGCTCAAGTTCCTGATATAAAATGGTATAGTATTTGCATATAACCTATGCATATCCGCTTGTATACTTTAAATCATCTCTAGATTACTTATAATACCTAACACAATGTAAATGCTATGTAAATAGTCATTATACTTTATTGTTTAGAGAATAATTACAGGAAAAAATCTGTATATGTTCAGTACAGACACAACATTTTCTTTTTTTGAGTATTTTTAATTCACCAATGGTTGAATCTGCAGATGTGGAATCCGCTGATATGGAGGGCTGACCCGATATCCCAAACGAATTTTAAAACATTTTTATGGCCTCATTATCTTTTTCAAATATATATTTACCCATTGTAAAAAAAAAGCCAGTTACATTAAAAAGTGCTTTTATGTGAAAATACGTAATCAAAAAATATTCCTGTGCCTTTCCATGGTCTTAATGATTGCTGTTGTCAACATAATCTAATGATTAGAAACTGGTCTCTATGAAAGTCAGGAGAAATATTTTTTTTGAAAAATAGTTGTTTTTCTATGTGCAAATAGATATGGTCTTCATGTGTGTGTTTGTCAAAATTTAAGAAGGGTTAGGAAAATTTTTTTGGAGTGTCCCTTTGGAGAGTGAAGACCTGCCCATCTCACTTTATGGTTTTCAACTGAAATCTAACTGCAAGTAAAACCACTTTATTTCTTGCATTTTTAGTTTCTGGTTTTCTGTAGTGAACTTCTCTGTGGTTTTTTTTTTTTATCAGAAACTTGCCTAATTTATCAGGGATATCTATTATCTATTTTTTTATGTGACTTCTCTTGCACACTGTTTTTTTTTTTTTTTTTTTTTTTTTTTTTTTAGACAAAGTCTTGCTCTGTTGCCAGGCTGAAGTGCAGTGGTGCGATCTTGGCTCACTGCAACCTCCGCCTCCTGGGTTCAAGGGATTCTCCTGCCTCAGCCTCCCGAGTAGCTGTGCCTACAGGTGCGTGCCACCACGCCCAGCTAATTTTTTTTTGTATTTTTAGTATAGATGGGATTTCACCATGTTGGCCAGGATGGTCTCAATCTCCTGATCTCGTGATTAGCCCACCTCGGCCTGCCAAAGTGCTGGGATTACAGGCATAAGCCACCACACCTGGCCTGCACAGTGTTTTTGATAGTATAATTTTACCCATTTTTTTTCCTTTAATCTATATTTTCATCTTAGATCCCATCTAAGGAATAGTAGTTTTGGCCATTTTCAGGTAAGGGAAAAATCTAAACTTTTTACGTAAACTTATTTTGTAGTCTCATAGTTCTACAGCTTTATGGCAGATTCATAGAGTAGTATGTTTGAAAGGCACAACAGCTGATTATTCACTCTATCCTTCTGAGCAGTGATTCCCAAGTGTGGAAAAATAATACCAAATTCTGTGGTGAGATACATGTATAGGTTGAAAAAATACATTCGGTATTATCAAATAAGTTTGTAACTGAAAATGAAAAGGAAACCTGTTATTTTAATAACAAAAATAACAAGTAAAATTCAGCAGCATCTTGGTTGGTATGGATACAGAGAAGCTACAGTCATTCTCCACTGGGATACTCTTTCTCAAGAGGGACAATGTCACAACCTCTGGAGCTGGGGGCAAAAATGGTTAGCTCTGCTCTAGGGGAAGTTCAAGGTATTCCTTCTCTGCCTTCACTTCAAAGCCACTCCAACCCCTCAAGAAGGAGAAGCTCTGGCCTAATCAAGGAGAAAATGCTGTCATCAGGGTCACAAAATGGATTTTTAATACAAGGAAGTACAATACAGTGGAGTGAACATTCTTTCTTTTTCATGCTTTACTCTGTTGCCCTTCTTCTTTTCTATGTTCCTGGTGCTTAGGGAGCCTACATATTCCTCCTGCTTGGGATGATCAGAGTGAAGCCTTAGGAAAAAGAATATTCTCTCTTTTTCATTCTTTTGCTGACATCAGAATAGAAAGATCCTGACACTAAAGAACCATCAGTAGATGGCTAAAGGTACAGGGTTTGTGGACAAGGCTGCTAAAGGCCTGTGTTTAGTCTAGACCTTATTATGCTAAATGGGCCGGAGAGGTCCTTGAAGCTTACAAAACACAGCTTAGCTCACTAGAGAAAAGGAGCCGATAGAAATTTGGAGTTGAAACCTTAGCTAAAATAGACATACATTTACCTAGAATATCCTTGAGCAATTTGTAAAATAGAAGAAATGCAAGATTTATTCAGTCCTGAAGTTGAGTTACAATTCAGCCAGGGTACAATTGGGACATTAAACAATTACCTAAACTTAGTTTCTTCATTTACACAATGAACATAAAAATGAACATCTTCAGGATTGTTGACAGAATTCAATGAGAAAATGAGTGTGATAGCTCTTAGCACATGTGCTCCATAATGGGTACCCAACAAATTGTTGCATTATTACTATATTTCATGTTAGTTCCTAGTGAAGTTCTCTCTTGGAGTCAAGAGAAAATGGGACTTTCAGGCAGTAAGTGGAAAAAAAGATTTTAAAAATCAGTATAGAGGTAACATATAGTGAATACCTATATAGAAACAAAGAAATAGGAGACCTCAATTCAAAAAGTGTACCTTAGTGAGCCTTTCTTTTAGAGTAACTCTTCTGGGTCGCATTCCATGGTTGATGGAGGAAATATTAGGAAAACAACATTAGAGTAAAATTAGGAAATTTTGCTAACATGTCTGGTTTGATATAAATCATCTCATGATCTTAAGAATAAGCATAAAGTGACATCAAGGGACACTTCTGTTGTTCTCAAAGAAGTAGAGAAGCTGTATATATTAATGTGATAATATAAATAGACACTATAAACAAAAAGATATTTGGTAATGTTAAGGTCCTGAAGAGTGTTAGAAGACATCATTGTAATAGTTGGCACACTTTTCAATGGAGTGGCTCTTTGGATGTTGTAGGAGAAATTACTAGATGCCTACCAAAAGCTGTTCCACCTCTAGTAGCAAGACATAGAATTGCACAGCTACCCTGTGTTTTCCAGCTTCCTTTCCAGTTTGTGGTTGGGTATGGTCCTATGACCATGTTCTCTCCAGTGGGATATGAGAAGAGGTAAGATGTGATACTTCCAGACTTGGCCTGTAAAACCTTTCATGTGGCAACTCTGTGGGCTTTTTCCATGGGATTCCATGGGATGGTGACATCCAGAATGACTATGGAAGATTTATGTTGAAAATGTCAGTGCATCTGGCAGCATAGGTCCCAGATTAACGGGGTGGAGAGGACTTATCACCCTGATCCCTGCCAACCTGCCCATTCTGGATTTGAATGAGAAAACAAACAAGAAGCAAAAACAAACTCCCATTGTGTTTGAATCATTATTCAAATGGATTTATTTGAATCCAATCATTCTGGATTTATTTGTTTGTACTTTGCACTTTGACCTACTTTAGACTTTTGGTTAAGATGGTGTTTTAAGTTCATTCTTTGAAGTTTGACATTTGCTTCAAATATATAACAAAGATAGAGGAAATATGATTAATGTGTTAAAAGACACCTTGAAACAAAACAGGCAGTAATGAAAAGGAAGGATATATAAATATGAAAAGGAAACAATTAGAAATCTTGAAAATAAAACATGTAATTATTGAATAAAGACTCAATAGAAAGGATAATGTCTACATTGGCTTAGTTAATAAACAAATGGATTGGGATACAAAAGTAAGGAATTCAACTAGAATGATGAATTGAAGCGAAACAATGAGTTAAAAAATATAAAACAGTTTAAGGTAAATGAAAGTTAGATTGAGTGGCTTCAGCATGCACCCAATAGGAGATTCAGAAGATAATCGAGTGAATTCTGGAAAAGCATTAATTAGAAAACAATGAAGAAGAATTTTTGAGATTTGAAGAAAGATACTAATCTTTACACTGAAATGGCACTCTGAGTACCAAACTGGATAATAGGAACAAATTCACACTTGGAGACATTATGATGAAACTGCAGAACATCAAGTACACAGAGAAAACTGTCAGAACTATCAAAGAGAAAGGACACTTAGAAAAGAGCAACAAGTAAATCACTGGAAGATTTCTCCTCCGGAACAACAGATTTCTAGATGACAATAGAGTAATAGCTCTAAAGAACTGAGAAAAAATAGCTGCCAACCTGGATTTTGTACTGACTTAGCTATCCTTGAGGATGAAGACAATATAGGAATGTGTATTACCCACACACAGTCATGAAAAAACTATTTACACCTTAACAAGTAGAAAAGTGAACCCAGAGAAAGAATATAGGTTACCAGAATCAATAGCGATAACAAAATTTTCTTAAAAATAGAGAATAAATGCAATTAATTAATGACTGAAAATAATTTTATCTGTTAAAAGCAATGTGAAAAAGGCTCTATAAAACAATTATATGATGAGAGAGGGATATAATGGGTAGTCATATCATGTAAAGTTCTTGTTTAAATGACAAACAGATACTTAACTGGTCTAATTTTTCAAAGAAAATTTATAATGAAGTATTAATAACTTAGCTGCTGAAACTCAGTAGTTCAGTACGTATTTCTTTCCCTCTTTTCCCTTCCCTTCCCTTCCCTCTTTCCTTCCTTCCTTCTCCCCTCCCCTCCCCTCCCCTGCCCTCCTCTCCTTTCCTCTGCTTTATTTCCCCACATCCACTGACTAAAATAACAGTGTTCAATGTGGCAAGGAGTACTCTTAAAAGCATCTTTTATACATGTAATTTTAAACATTTCATTACATGCAATACAGTGGCAACTAAGTTTATTTCCTGATGATGAACCTGCCTTTGCAAAATTATGACAGTAGAAGAAATCTGCCATAGTTGACTCCATCTTGCTTCTAACCTCCAAGCTGCCTTTGGTCATTCCTGGGCATAGGCCAAGCTCACTTTGGGAGAAATTTAGTTTATAGTTTAACCTTAAAACAAGGATGATAATAGCCTTGTCCAAAACTAAACTACCTTTGTAAAACTAATGAAAGTTCACAAAGTTAGGATTATGAGAGGGGCCTGAATTATGCTAAGATGTAGGTGTAGTTTCTATAATTACTTACTACTTAGGAGTTATGTGGCCAGAGGTCACAAGATTTGTGACTTTTCCAATTGCTCCTATAGAAAACATCACTATTGCAGAACCAAAGATTGGTCTTTTGAAATGTTTTTCAGGCTCACTCCACCCAGTCCTGTGACTCATGACTCACCTCCAATCAAGAGATGGACTCAGCTCATGAGGACCATTTTCCATACCCCTATGACTGCCTCCGCAACCAACCAGCAACACCCATCACCTAGTCACCTGCCCACCATACTATCCTTGAAAATCTCTAATCTTCAAGCCTTCAGGGAGACTGATTTGAGTAATAACTCTATCTTCTGTGTGTCTGGCCTCGTGTTAATTAAACTCTTTCTTTACCGTAATGCCATGGTCTCAGTGAACTGGCTTTGTCTGTGCAGCCACCAGAAATAACCCACTGGGCAATTACAATAACCTATATTTCAACTGGTGGGTGAGCTAGGTAGTGGTGGTGGTGTCTCTGTTACATGCTATTATTCAGTCACTCAGGCTGATAAATGCTCTATCCTCAGCATAGGGCTTCCATTGTCCCTTAGGACACTGACATACAGCTGGCTAGGGGTGGAAGTAGAGGGAATGGAGGTTTTAATGGGCCAGGCTTGGGAGTGGCATTCCTCACTTCTGCACATATTCCATTGGCTTGACTATAGCTCAGTCATGCAGCCATATCTATCCAACTTCAGGGGAGGCTGGGGAGTAAAGTTCAGCTTTGTTCCCAGGAGAGAAGGAGAATGGGTTTTATGAGCAGTTAGCCAGTCTCTGTCACAAGTCTGTATTTTCATAATTAAAAGTAACACCCAAAGAGTAAAGTTGCTATCTATAATTTCCGAATTTGCAGAACAAAAGGGACCCTAGAAATCTTCAGCCATCCAAAAGAAGGCAAAAAAAAGAGTATCAAGGAAAGAGGATGGCAAACAGAAAATGTAAAAGAAGATGGTAGAAATCACTTCAAGTTGGTAATCACAATATATGTAAATATATTAAACACATCCATTAAAAGGCTATGTGATTAGATTAAAACAATGTAGTTCTATGTGATGCTTATGAGACATACGTATAAAGCAAACCCAGACATAAAGTTGGAAAATTAGAGGCATAGAAAATGACATATTGGTCCAATATTAACAAAAAGAAAGCTTGGGTAGCAAGTATTGGTATTATATAAAAAAAGACGCAATTATTTATAAGAATAAAGAAGAATCTGTTAAATTTACTTTTACTGTCCTATTGAAAGAATCATAATACTCTAAAACTACAGCCATGCATTGTGTAATGATGAGGTTACTTCCTGAGAAATGTAATGTTAGGCAATTTTGTCATTGTGTGAACAACATAGAATATACTTATGCAAATCCAGATGGCATAGCCTACTACACATGTAGGCTATGTGGTATAGCCTATTGCTCCTAGGCTACTAACCTGCACAGCATGCAACTGTACTGAACACTGTAGAAAACTGTATGTAACACAGTGATATTTGTGCATCTAAACATAGAAAAGGTACAGTAAAAATACAGTACAAAAAAATAAAAACTAGTATACTTGTAGAGAGCAGTTACCATAAATGGAGCTTGCAGGGCCAGAAGTGGTCTGGGTAAGTTAGTGAGTGAGTGGTGATTGAATGTGAAGGCCTAGGACATATTCCCATACTTTGGTCAATAAACATTATTACCTATAAAAGGTATAATCTAAACAGAAGCCAAGAACACATTAAATGCAGGTCCCTTGTCTAACCTTCTTCTCACATGTCTAATTTATTCTCTGACTTTGGTTAGAATGAAGTGACCCCAATTAAAAAAATTTTAAATATCACCCAGAATAAATATTTGCTTTGGTCATAATCACAAACTTAATTGATAGAATTCATGTTTGTGTTTAGAAAAAGTCAATGGAAAAGTTTTGGAAAAAAAGCCACTTTCCTATTTCTCCTCCAGGGGTCTGTTGCTCATCTGGGGGCAACATAAAACTATGTTTAAATATGCATATTATTGATTTTACTAAGTAGTTCACTTACAAGCTCTGATTGAGCACTTATGATATGCCAAGCACTGTTAAGAACTGGGCTACAAAGACTATGAGGCCTGACTCATTCTTTTCAGGCACGAGCATACCAATACAGGAAACAGAAAAGTACAAGTTGCAGGAGGTGTATGTAGGAAATGCCATGAGAAGAAGCCCGTGGTACTATGTGACTGGGGACAGAGAGGCAAGTGTTTCTACAGGCAGAAGCCAAACCAGCTGCTGAGTAAATTTACCAGGTTTGCTTGATTCTTGTCATTAATTTTCAAATGAATAACTAATAAAGGAAGCTAAGTGGTCCATGCACAAATGTCTAGGGAGTTGTTCATACAAATTTCTTTGATTAGCTGGATTAAATCAGGTCAGTTTAAACATCCTCTGAAGAAACACCTCTGTTGGTAAGACTTTTCAGAAGGCTTCAGCTACAAATGGAAAACAGGCATCCTGGGAATAAACTGACTAGTACATGTGAGCATCTCTTCAGTTACTTAGCTTAGTCATTGTTTCTAATGTTTTGTGGTCTCAAAGAACCATGTGAATCAACAAACCGCATATAACCAAGAACAGAAGGTTCTGGCTGAAGGATATTTTGTTTTTTTTTTTTCTTTCACAATATTAAAACAAAAGATTGAAGGACAGAACCTTAAAGATCAGAGATAGATAGATAGTGAGATAGACAGAATTTCTAGAGGCTAAAAGTTCCTTCCTCCTTCAACATTTACCTACTTTCAGAAGTGCTTTCCTAACATGAAATGTGCTCATTTTGCTAGAGGGCTGTTCTGGTTATTTATCACTATGTAATAAACCACACCAAAACTTAGTGGCTTAAAATAACATTGTTCATTCTGCCTACAAAACTGCAATTTGAACAAGGCTTTGTGTAGGATGACTGCTGTCTTTTTCACATGATTTCAGCTGGGGCGCTTTGACTGTGGTTGGTGGATCCACTTCTGAGATGGCTTGTTCAATGGCTAACAAGTTGGTGCTGATGGTTGGCTGGTAGCTCAGCTGGAAAACAAGGCTGGAGGCCTTGAGCTTCTCCATCAGGATGCTTGGACCTCTCCACTACAAT
Source organism: Homo sapiens (assembly GCF_000001405.40). NCBI lineage: Eukaryota > Metazoa > Chordata > Mammalia > Primates > Hominidae > Homo > Homo sapiens. The sequence continues at coordinate 78,371,536 of NC_000001.11, forward strand.
GCTTGGGTTTTCTCAAAACATGGTAGCTGGGTTCCAAGAGCAAGTATTCCAAGATCCAGAAAAAGAAACCATGCCAGTCTATTAAGGCCTAGGCTTAGAAACTGCCACAGCATTACTTCCATAATCTATCAGCCAAAGCAGACACAGAGCCTACCTGCATTCAAAGCAGACACAGAGCCCACCTGCATTCAATAGACCTCACCTCTATGGGAGGAATGTGAAAGACTTTGTGGACATTTTTAATCTGCCACAAAGGCCAAAGCTCAAGCCCATTTCTGTCATGAGTAAGCACAATGAGAGTATTGGGACCAAATATAGAGGAAGGGGAGTATCACACTAAGAAATAGAGGAGGTAGATGGATAAATCCAGAGACAGTAGCCTACAGCTTCCATAAATGATTTTACTGCAGTTTGATTAGTTCTACCCTTCCCAAAGAGTGCTAATGCTTTCGTAGTTGTAGGGTATATTAGTCTGTTTTCACACTACTAAAAAGAACTACCTGGCCAGGCGCAGTGGCTCACGCCTGTAATCCCAGCACTTTGGGAGGCCAAGGCAGGCAGATTACCTGAGGTCAGGAGTTTGAAACCAGCCTGGCCAACATAGTGAAACCTCGTCTCTACTAAAAATACAAAAATTAGCCGGGCATGGTTGTGTATGCCTATAATCCCAGCTACTTGGGAGGCTGAGGGAGGAGAATCGCTTGGACCAGGGAGGCAGAGGTTGCAGTGAGCTGAGATCCCGCCACTGCACTTCAGTCTGGGTGACAGAGTGAGACTCCATCTCAAAAAATAACAAAAACAAAAAGCAAACAATCAAAAAACAACAACAAAAAAACCCTACCTGAGCCTGGGTAATTTAGGAAGGAAAGAGGTTTAATTGACTCACAGTTCCACAGGCTGTACAGGAAGCATGGCTGGGGAGGCCTCAGGAAACTTACTATCATGGTGGAAAGTGAAGGAGAAGCAAGCACATCTTATCATGGCAGAAAAGGAGAGAGAGAGAAAGCAAAGAGGGAAGTGCCACACACATTTAAACCATCAAATCTCATAAGAACTCACTCACTGTTACAAGACCAGCCAGGGGGAAATCCTCCTCCACCATCCAATCACCTCCAACCAGGTCACTCCCCTAACCCTGGGAATTACAATTTGACAATTTGACATGAGATTTGGGTGGGGACACAGCCAAACCATATCACATGGATACAGAGTCAGATGTAAAGGATGGTAAATTTTCCTGTCAGGTCAATTTTAGCGGACTCATTATTCTAGTAGTTGCCTCCTTTTTTTTTGTTTCCCTTTCTGTGCTTTTTTCTTGGGATAACTCTAGAATCCAATTTTGTTTCCTCCAATTTGCTACTCTAATTTTGTCCCCTTAGATTTATTGCTCTGTGCTCATTTCTTAAACTGACTATTGTATTTTCTCAATTCATTTAGTCCAAATAATGAACTGTATCCTTTCTCCCTTTCATCTTATCTCCTCATACCCACTTCTCTGTAATTTAAATAGATTACAGATGTGATGAAAATTTTTGCCTACCTAATTTGATTCTCAAAGAACATATTGAGAAAACACATGGTTGATTTCAAATGCTTTATTATAGGGCAAAACCAAATGGAAATACCTTATCACCTTGAGTCCAAAGCAGTTCTTGTTAAAATCATTTATTTTATCAGGCAACGTGATACCACTGTGAGAATTAGATGCATTAAACATAATTTTAGCTGTTTATTTGCATCTTAGAATATTTTGTCAGTTTTAAATTGATGAAGATGTTAAGGAGCATCAAGGTTAATTGATGGTTAATTGCATGTGGATAGAGGTCTTAAATTAGTCTTAACATAAAATCAGACTAATTGATCATCAATTATTCTAGATATTAAGGAAACCTTTAAAACACTGAATAATTATCTTGAGGTTTTTCATTGACAATATGTATATTTTTGGATACTTATTTTGGTCTTAATTTACCAAAAAGGTTTTATGATTCATTTCCAAAGAAGAAAAAATAGTTTTCCTTCTGTCTCTATTTTCCTCATTTTTCCCCTTAAATAACAAGTTACACAAAAGAAAAAAGATAACAAGATAACAAGGTTGTTTCACATCATTATTTGCTGAAGACCAGGTCTGAGAAGTACATGTTCCTATCTTCTTGTTACCTATGTACAAGATGAAAATCCTTAGATTAGAGTCTCCTAATAGATTTAAGATCCCTATTAGTTAAAAACACACGTTATTTTTCTCTGGATAGCTTATACACTGGCAGCACATGAAGATACAGTTGATTGGCTGAACAGGAGAACAACATTCTGTGGCTAAATCTATTCCACACACCAAAAATTGGATCTGGGCCTGAATGCTAATTAGGGATTTAGCACTGAGCACTTGTTGTACAGGAACTTACTGTAATAGGCAAAGTTCACCATTCTCTCTAGCTAAATAAACCTATGTTAGAATATAGAAAAAATGCATTTCTTAAACCATATATCTTTCCAAATATCATGAATGGAATAAGACTTTAAAAAATATCTAGAAGTTGTGACTGGAGTGAGAGGATCATTCATTTATTCACCCACTTAGCAAAGTTATATATCTATTTGAGTTAGTTTTGGGGTCTCTGATGGAGACCGATAAATAGTACCTTCTTTCTTGACCAGATTCTGAACAAATATGTTCAACAAATCATCAAATATTTATTAACTGCGTATTATATGGCAGGCACTATTTTAGAAGCTGGGATATAATCATTGAGCAAAACTGACATAAATTCCTGGTTATGTGGTATTTAAATTCTATTAAGAATAGGTATAATACAAAGAATGACCTTTATCAATAACAAAGGTTAGTTGGAAGAAGTAGGTCAGTTGAGACTCAGATTGTCTTTAAATTAAATCTCCGGATTTGTCACACTTTCCCATCTATTTCCCAGTAATACTGGGCTAAGACAGGCCTCCTCACGTTGGGGCAGATCTGTGCCAACAACTAGCTCCTGAGAGGAAGAAAATGCAGAGAATGCCCAATTATTACCAAATCCATCAGTTGGATAAGCTCTTCCATATCCCCTGGGGAGAAATGAGTAAAGGGGAGAAAAGTAGAAAAAGTTTCATGGAGTGTTAGAGGTGTAGGGTAACCATGTTCCCTTCTACATAGAATTATTGGGGATTTTGTCCTTCATTGCTCTTGATGGACCATGGGAACTCCAAGGCCAGGTAAAAAGCAAGGGTCAGCAAGCTTCCACTCTGTGGAATCACAGATAATAGCAACATTCAACACAACATACCTTGTTTCAGGTGAGATCAAATCTACAGTGTTTGCTAAGAGGCTATGATGGGTATCATGATAAGGTATTATGCTGGGCATCAAAGGGGAACACAAACATCACAGAGACACACTGTAGCCCTTTAGGAGCTTTTATCTAATAGGGAACACAGACAGATGTTTACCAATGACAAAGATATATAGAGTGTGGTAAAAGTGTCTCTGGGAAGTATTTCGGCAATAGGAATTGTGAGAGTTTTCTATAAGAATGTATTCGACCTAGGCCTTGAAGTTCCAGATCAAATGCTCCCTTTCCCATAGAGCCTTCTTTCATACCCACAGCAGGAATCAATCTCCTCTTCCTCACAATTCCCATGGCAATTTAACTAATATTTCTTCCACCCAAGTACTAACCAGGCCCTACCCTGCTTAGCTTCCAAGATCAGGCACATTCAGGGTGGTATGGCCATAGAACTTAACTAACATTTCTTATTGTGCTTATGATTCTTGTACCTTATCTACTAGGTCATTGTAATGAATCTGTTATTTCTCTTTTATGCCACAAGCCATTAAAGACAGGAAACATGTCTCACCTGCAGTAGGTATTTGAGAAACGTTTCTCAAGTTAATAAGCAGTAAACCTATAATGGAGAAAATTTGTTGAGGTGGCTACTAATATTTCTCTTCCACACGTTTTTTTCCCTTATGAAAATAGAAGTGGTGGCATCTCCATGCCTCACCCTGTGTATGATTCCAACCACATAAGGAGAGGTGGCCCCGACCACTTAACTGCTTTGTCCATGCATTCAATCGTCCCTTTAAGTACCCTAGTTGCTTACTTTCTGAGTATTTGCCATTTGTGGCTTTTCTCATAGGACAGAAATTTCTGCCAGAATAATTGTATAGACCTTGATCCAGAGGGCAACAAGTAAGAGCCGTATGTTTTTGTGATTGCCTTCTATGAACAATTTGGGAGTATGGAGCTCCATTATGTTTTTTCTATTCTTTTTAATTTATTGTAGCTCTTTCTGAGATTTTATGGGCTATGCATGGTTTGAATAGCACACATATAATGAGAAACAGATTACAATAGTGCAACTAAGTTTTTTAGAGAAAAATTATCTGTGGCTGTTCTTTCTAAGTTTTAAAGTCTACCACCATTAAGATAACTATGAAAGATTTGCTGAGATATTTACTCAGTGGCCTGAAATAACAGACGAGCAATGTATGAATGGCACTTTAGAATCCTAAAGGATTCTATTTTCAAGAGCTTAAATTGGCACAACTAATTACCAGTGCCAGCAAATGCAGAGTGCTGAAAACATCATTTCCACACTACCTTTCAGATTTGTAAGTGTGGCTCTGGTCTGAGCTGGCAAGGCTTCTCTGAGTTTCACTTTACATGAAGTTGAATGTCTCAGTTGTGTGGTTTGGCTCCTGCTGAACTGCATTTAAAGCAATGGATGAAACTCCTTAGGTCTGAGGCTATGTGAATCAGATCTGATGAAAAGGCATATTGACGGGATTTCACTTATTTCTTCTCAAGTTCCCCAGCCCTGTGGTATCTTTAATTCCGGCTTGCTAGGTGTAGTCTTCTATTCTTGTTTTTGCTAAACACTCTAGAATCCTTGTTAAAGAGATTTGAAATTTATTATATATGCACGGCCTCTTAAAAAGATGACTTAGTAAGGTACTTTAAGTCCAGATGGCATGGAACTTAAATACCATTTTCCAAAGCATAGTGAATATTTTCTGTGATAACTTAGAATCCTGGATAATTCTGTGCGACATTTAGGAAAAGTCAAGAGAGTGGATATTATCAACTAGATAGTAAAATTTAGTAGGTCTGTGGTTTGGCTAAGTTAAACTGCTCCAAATAATAAACACAAAGAAATGTACTTCAGGATTCTCAGAGTTCTAAGTGATCCCCTCTTGCATTCATATTACTTAATGGGAATCATGTGCTTGCAATTTGGCATGCTCGAGAGCAGTGCTTCTCCATCAGGGGTGATATTGTTATCCCTACTCCCACCCCTGGGGACCTTTGCAATGTCCAGGGACAGCGCTGGTTGCCACAACTGGTGGGGTAAGGGGTGGGGAAGGTGACTGGCTACAAGTGGCATCTACTGGGTAGAGGCCTAGGATGCTGCTAAACATCCTACAGGGCACAGAGCAGTACCCCTCACAAACAAGAGTTACCTGGCCCAAAATGTCAATCCTGCTCTGTTTAGAAACCCCGGTCTAGAGATAACTAAGAGGTAATTCTGATAGTTGTTCTTTATGAGTTTTTACATACAGGAGGAAGGGAGAAAGGGAGGGAGAGAGAGAGAAATTTTGCCATAGCAGTCATTTAAATGGGATTTACATTTATAGTTACAATTTTCAATGTAAATATACATTCGTGGGTTTTATTGTTGCCTTAAATGCCACTGTGATTAAAGAAATCTGTGAAAGGTGAGAATTCTCCCAAAGGTGACAATTATCAAGTTGAGAATTGATTTTTCAGGTCTTGGCTCTTGGGCTACATATGACTTGTTGCCTAGAGAGATGCTTTTCTGGCAATATTCAGGAATATTGAATACAAAACTTGGGGCACTCACTGTGGGTCAGACACTGCAGGGGCTCTGCTGGGTTTTAAATACTTGTGTTTTAATGATACTTGTGTTTTAATGATAGATGTACTGTACATCTCCACCTATATATGGCACTGTGGCCTGAATAAGCAGGTGCTAAAGGAGATGAGTCATCTGTAGAGCTCCATCCTGTAAAGCTATATTAGCTTAAAGGTTACAACATCATGTCTTTGAAATCTTCCCTTTCCTCTTTATTCCCATTGCTGCCCCAAGTCTTGTCTCTTATTAACTTTTGTCCACCACTATAGTTCTACATCATTTCTTTTTTGGTCTTCCACTTCTATTTCTGCAACCCAATAGCAATTAGCATTTTTGAAGGTTAATGATTAATTTTGAACCCATCAGTCCTCTGCTCAAAACCTTTCAATTTTCACTGCCTACCCAATAAAGCCTGAATGTTTATCATTTTATAATCTCTCTATGCTGTCCCTAATTTTTCTTTCAAACATGTATTTTTATTGTTCTTCACACCTCCTACTCCCCAGCCAGACAGAACCACCTGCCATTCTCTCACATGTCCTGCACTCTCCTGCCTTAGATGTTTTCACTTACTGGGTTCCCTTTGCAAGAAACAGCTCCACACTTCCCATTACTGCCTGTATATATCTTATTCTTTCTTCAAAGATCAAGACAAATGCACTGAGTTCAAATCTCTTCAGCTGGAAGTTCTCTGCCTTCTCTGAACTCTCCCTGCTTTGAATTTCTCTTTTTCTCTTAAGATACAAAGTATTTTTGTTCTTTATTTATAAACCCTGTGTTATTCCTTCAGGGGAAAAAAGAAACCTGTGTGAAAAGGAGAATGGCAGTATGATGTAGAGCAGTGATTCTCAAACTTTCTTATGTGTGCAAATCACATGGAATCTTATTAAAACCAGGTTCTGAACATGGACACAAGGAGGGGAACATCACACACTAGGGCCGTTGAGGATTTGGGGGAAGAGGAGGGACAGCATTAGGACAAATACCTAATGCATTTGGGGCTTAAAACCTAGAAGACAGGTTGATAGGTGCAGCAAACCACCATGGCACATGTATACCTATGTAACAAACCTTCACATTCTGCACACGTATCCCAGAACTTAAAGTCAAATAAAATAAACAAACAGAAACAAACAAATAAACACACAGAAAACAAAACCCCAGGTTCTGATTTAGTAAGTCTGGGCTGGGAATGAGAGTCTGCATTTCTAACAAATTTCTAGGTTGCTGCTGCTGTTGTTGCTCCATAGACCACACTATAAGTAGCAAAGGTGTACAGGATTTGGAATACAACTCCACTTGTAACTTGCTATCCTGCTAGCTCCTAAAGCCACTATCCTGTTATCCTAAAGCCACTAGCCAGTTAGAAGAAGAAATTCTAGATCTTGGTTTCAAACTCCCTCTCAGTTATTATGAATGGCTTGATAATGATGCTCTGTGACTAGTGTCTGGGTTGGGGGAATCTTGGTACAAGCGGCACTTAAGTGAGTGTCAGACTTCAGCCTTCTTACCCAACTTTTATCATGGGTGTTCAAGTTTCCCATGATCTTCTGTGCTGGTACCTGGTTTTCCCTTAGTCACCTGCTAGAACTAAGGCCCAACTTCTAATTTCTGTTGGCTAGTGTGGCCAATCCCATGCCTCCAGGACTAGCTCTTTTCCTGCTCTTCTTTGTATCACCTGAAATATATTTCCTGGCTTGGATGCTGAGGCCTTAGTTGCCTGCCTCTCTCTATTTCTCTGCCCTTCCTCAGGTAGACTTCTGTATTGTTAGGTCCCAGTAGGATTGAGAGTATTGATTCATTATTTCGATGTGTATTTGAGTGTTTACAATGAGCCAGCACTGTACTGTCTTCAGCCCCAATTAGTTTAATCCATTTCCTTGTCCAAATCCCTATTTCCTGCTGAGAACTTCCTGACCTGGTTCATACTGCTTACAGCATTATTTACATTATGAACTTTTAATGATTGTGAGGTTTAAAAGGATTAATGATTGTGAAAGCCCCCTTTAAGCTAAATGCTAAAATGATGTGATTATTTTGTATTATAATGTATATGAGTACACACAAAAATGTATATTAAATAAGTCTAATTTCTTGACTTCATGTAAGCCTAAAGGATATTTCTTGTATGCAATAAAGACTCACAGGAGGAAAATATTCAGTAATAAATCTCTGATCTAGGAGTATCAATACAACTAAGTTTGGCTTCATGCACAGGTGACTTGATGGACATCTACATGTATTTTCACCCAAGCATATCTTCCCAGATAAGATGTTACAGTACCTGAAATAGTCACCATTAGGGATTCTCTTCTTGGACAAAATAGCTGTGCTAGTTTCTAGCTAAAAAGAAATGTTCTTACAAACAGGTAGTTTTTATGAGTTGTTAATTCCTTTGAGGGGATCTAATTATCAGATTAGTAGCTATCAATTTTGGTAAAAGAAAGCAGGACCCAAAAGGGAAGAAAGACTAAAAAGCAAGGAGATCTTGAGGTAAGAAAGAGAGGAAAATCTTAGAGAATAGGCCTCAGCATTCTAGTTGGCAGGGCAGGACAGATCACCTTTGAAGGTGTGCCTGGCACAATAGGTGTAGCAAACCTGTGCTTGTAGAGGGAAGAACCAAAAATTGGAATATCTTTTGGAAGTGTTGTCTGAGTCAGCTCGGGGTGCCATAACAAAATACCATAAACTGGGCTTAAATAACAGAAATTAGTTTTCTCACAGTTCTGGAGGGTGGATGTCCAAGACCAGGGTCCTAGCAAGTTTGGATTCGAGTGAGGGCTCTCTTCTTGACTTGTAGACAGCTGTCTGAAAGACACTATCTTCCTCATTCGCTTCACGTATTTGTGTTTCCTGTGTTGAGAAGGAGCTGTGACTTAACTGAGCATAATTAAAAACTTATTTTACAGCAGATGGTTTTATCAATGCAACACATAACTACATCACTTTTTTTTTGCATCCTTCTTTGGCTTGCTCTTGCTGGTATTCCCTATTCTATGGGCATCTAAATAACTTGCAATGTGGTCTTATAATATTATATACACACAAAAAGAACTGACCCCTAAGTCTTTCAGCTTAAGATACACACTCTCCCACTAAATAAGTTTTCATTTAATAAATTGTTTATTTCTTCCTTGTGATCTGTAACAAATTGATGACAATATTTTTAGCTTCATTTTTGATTGTGGTAAAATACACAAAAAATTTACAATTTTAACCAATTGAAGTGTACAATTCAGTGACACTTAGTATATTCACAATATTGTGCACCAATCATCACTATGTAGTTCCGTAACATTCTAATCATCCCAAAAGGAAATCCTGTACCCACTAAGCAGTCACTCCCCATTCCCCACTCCTCCCAGTTCCTGGAAACCACTAATTTATCTGTCTTTATGTATTTGCCTCTTCTGGATATTTCATATAAATGAATCACATGGTATGTGGCCTTTTGTGGTTGATTTCACTTAGCTTTCACTTAGTGTAATGTTTTCGAGGGTCATCCACGTTGTAGCATATATCAGTACTTTATTCCATTTTATAACTGAATAATAATAGTCTATTATATGGATATACCACATTTTGTTTATCCGTTTATCAGTTAGTGGGCATTTGGGTTGTTTTAGTCTTCTGGCCACTGTAAATTGTGGTGCTATGAACATTCATGTACACATTTTTTGTTTGGACATGTGGTTTCAGTTTTTTTGAGTATATACCTAGGATTGCATTTGTTGACTCGTATGGTAATTCCATGTTTAACTTATCGGGGAATCACCTAATTGTTTTCCATAGCAGCTGCCCCTTTTACGTTCTCACTAGCAACATATGAGGGCTCCAGTTTTTCTCCTCTTCCCAGCATTCGTTATTTTCCATTTATTTGAATATAGCCACTCTAGTGGGTAAGAAATAGTATCTTGTGTGGTTTTAATTTGCATTTCCCCAATGTCTAATGGCATTTAGCATCTTTTCATGTGCTTGTTGGCTATTTTTTATATTTTTGGAGAACTGTCTATCCAAGCACTTTACCAATTTTAAAAACTGGGTTGTGTCTATTTTTTGTTGATTTGTAAGAGTTCTTTATATATTCTGGATACCAAACTCTCATTACACATATAATGTGCACATATTTTTTCCATTCTGGGATTGTATTTTCACTCTCTTGATAATGTTCTTTAATGAACAGAAGTTTTAAATTTTGACGAAATCCAATTTACCTATTTTTCTTTCCTTGCTTGTGCTTTTGATGTCATAGCTGAGAAACCATTTGCCAAATCCAAAGTAATTAAGATTTATTTCTATGTTTTCTTTTAAGATATTTATGTTTAAATAAAGTTTTAGTGCTTAAATTGAGGTCTTTAATCAGTTTGGGGTTAATTTTTGTGTATGGGGTCCAACTTCATTCTTTTGCATCTAGTTGTCCCAGCATTAGTTTTTGAAGATTATTCTCTTCTCATTAGATGATCTTGACAACCATGTCAACTATAAATTGACATAAATGTGAGGGTTTATTTTTGAATTCTCAATTATACTTCATAGATCTATATGTCTGTCCTTATGCCAGCATGCTAGCTATTTGACTACTGTAGCTTTGTAGCAAGTTTTGAAATCAGGAGATGATACTGTCCTTTGTTTTTACTTTCTTTCATTGAGTAAATTAGTCTCGGTTCAGATGCTACTTTTTTTTCTTTCTTATATTGTATGTGGTGGGACCACAAAATTGCCAATAGCTGTGGAGAAGCGTCTTTGGGTGCATATATGAAAAGGAAGGAGAGATTTGTGATATTACTTGCAGTTCTCTATGCTTCAAATCTTTAAGTGAAAGCCAAATGCAATGGGAATTTTATAGTTCTACATAGGCATTACACTACGTGTTTTTGCTCCTGTGTATTTATGCAACCATGCTGCTATTTCTATAAGATAGATTCCTTGAAATGTGATGGCTATGTATCCTTAAAAATGTGGTAGGACTTGCAATATACTGTTATCAGTTCTTATTTGGGCTAAGGAAATATGAAAGACGAACAGCAATGCCAGCAATGATGTTGTAAAGGATTTTATAAAGAGAACACTAAGTCACAAAGTGATAGAATGAACATCATCATCAGCAATCATTTCCATGTGGTGTTAATTTACACACAAATGAGAACTGAAGCCATGCCTTTGCTCATGTTGTTTCCTCTCTTCCTGCGCAGTCTCCTGGTAAATAATGATTTACAGGAAGCAAGCCTTGTTTTTCAGGTAAGTCTTCTCACTGTCTCTAGACTACCTTCTCTAATTCCTTTTCCCCCCAGCCTCACTCTAGAATAAAACATTCTCACTTTGGTGACGCTTTCTTCCTTTGCCCTATTGTTTTTAGAGATGTCTATCGTAACACCTGCTTCTTTTATTTGTTCCAGTTGTTTGCTTGCTTGTTGTTAAGTAAGAACATATTTCTTACTCATCTTTATGTCCCCAGTTGTTGAATTACAGAATAAGTGAAGGAAATAGGACTGCATCAGATTGTCCAGTGAGGGAATGGAGATTGAATGAAATGGGAATGAAAATTTAAATAAGATTACTATAATTAGTGGTAATTAACAAGATTACTATAAATTATAGTATCTCTAATTTCTAGAATTAGCATTCAAATAGTATGTTATTCAAATGCATCTGTAAAGAAAGGAAGGCTTGGCTCTTTCAGAGATGAATATGGTTTAGAAATTTTGTTGTTTTCACAGAATGGAAGGTTTACTGAAGGAAATAGCAGAAGCATTAGTGGAGAGATAAGATAAAATATCATTTCTTAAGCTAAGACTTAAGGAATACTCTATGGTTCAAGTTCAAAAACCATCAAGGCTTCTGGGAATTCACTAGTGGAGTGACAGGAGTGAGACAAATGTAATTCTGAAGTAAATGTCAGTAAAAATAAAATAAGAGAAAATATTTTAAAATACACTTCTATTATATTTCTATTTATACAAAATAGTCTTCCTTATTATTTTATTATATATATTTACAACTATGCAAAATAGGCTCTATAAGTATATCTTCCTACTTTCTCTTTCATCAATTCACATACTTAGATGTGGCATAAATTAGATGACATATTTTTACTAGTAAACTGATAATATATTATTATTGAGTTACATTTTTTAAGAAAAATTTTTTTATTCAATCCACCTATTCCCTGGCTGCCTTGTCATAGCTGCTAACATTTCTGGTGCTATATGTTAATATCTGATTGAAAATTATCACAGAACTTCCTTGAATTTCGATGTGAAAGTCACAATTGGTGCAAGTGAGTGCTGAGGTGGTCCAATGAGTTTCTCATCAAATTGACCACATCCATGGATGGGATGAGGTACAGGCTGGGGAGATAAGCAAAATTATTGATCACTTGCCATCATGAGTCTTACTGTAACACAAGGAAATTATAAAACATCAATAGAGGAGAAAAAAATTTTAACACTAAATCTCAACCCTAATGTAGAAAATAGTTATATTGGGAGTATACAAGGTTAAGTGTTCTTTAAATAAAGGAAGTTGAAGCCAGTTACCCTTATATTTGCCAACTTCTTTTAGGGCCACTATTGCATTAATTTCATTTGCTGAGGATGGTAGTATTAAGACTAATATATAACAAGTCCTCTGACTTGCTGAACCAGCTCATGGCTCTAGATCTGCTATTGTGTGAATTTATGATGCAATCTTGTTAGTTTGGTCATATCTCTGAGACCAAAATGACCCTTCTGCTCTGTCTTTTGTAACTGTCTGAAGTGCTAGATGTTTGTGTAAACATATCAAATGGTGAGGGCTGAGCCAATTTAACATGCTGTTTGCTCCCTCAAGCATTGGAGAAGTTTGGCTCGACATTTCAAACTGATTTCCCTGAAGTATTTTGGATCCCTTGACAATGATGCAGTTTAGTGTTTTCATTAAATAGAAATTTATCTTGACAGGTGGATACAATTTTATTCCCACTGACCTATTTATAATCTTTTAAGAGTGTCTTAAAAGTGCTTCTTTCAGAAATTTGGAATTTACTGCAAAATTAAAGAGCTCCTAGCCTCCAAAATTACTTAAGACTGTTCAAAGTACTCAAGACAGTGCAAACTCATGGAGGAAGGCTTGGATCTAGGGGTGCATTTAGGAGTGATGTTACTTCTATTGGAACCATGGATTGGGCAGGATTTCCAGGGGAAATCAACCAGGGAGTGGTCGCCTAAAGGAATACATGTGAAACATATATCCATTTTAGTGTTCAATAAATACTGTTGGTTGAATGAATTATGTTTTTGTGTTCTTCTTAATGAGATTCTACATATAACTTTTTATCAATTTAGAGGGAGGGCAAAGGGAAAGATAAGACATGCTACTGCAATAACAAAAAGGCTTATTGTTTTGCATTTGAGTAACAATATTGAACCATCCACAATGACATTTTTCACTCTACTTAATATTTACATTATTACCTAGTATGTGTAGATATGTTTGGGACCAAGATTATTCTATCTATAAGTAATTTTTGAATCATATTATAATCTTACTGATTTATAGTTAATATTGGATGAATAAATGATAGATTATCTGAATTGTCAAGAGGTAGGTACTAGTGATGTAACATGAGAGAGTTTATGTTGCTTTTTAATTTGTACTCTGAGGCAAAGTTAGCAGTTAATACATGAACATGATCTACTGTTAGGTTGAATTGAACATCTCTGGTTACATTGGATGCTTCAACGGGGCACCAAACACATGGCAGGTAGTTTACTGGATGACTAGCATAGGATAACTTATTAATATTAGTATATTAAAGTCCACATTACTAACAACTGAAAGTGATTTGGAGAAGATGATAGTTTTTACCACATGTACTTTCCAAAATATGCTTGGGACGTCCTTTCATTTTAGCAGAAATTCTAGGATCTCGATTGAACTTATTGGAAGATTTTGAAGTAAGTAAGCTAAAGATCAACTATGAAATGAAGACAAAGTCACGGTAGAGATGTCTTAGAAGCTATACTTTTCACTTTACTTAAGAAAATATTTAGGAAAATAAAAATTTATTTCATTTAGGAAAGAGTTCCCACCAGGAGAATAAAATATCAAATATCATTTCTTCTTAGATGACGAAAATGTTCTGGAATTAAATAGTTTTGAAGGTTGCAAAACTTTGTGACTATACTAAAAACCATGGAATAGTACACTTGAAAATGGTGCATTTTATGGTATATGAAGTATTGCTCAATAAAAAAGAATACTAAAAAATATGTGAGAATAGTGTTATATATTGCATTATTAAGGGTTAAAGTAATGCATTAGCCCTATAAGATTCAAATTTCATGCTATTTCTAAGTGCTTGAGAATGAAATCCAGGGAACATTGGCTTCTTATTAGAGGTGTCTTAGCAATCTTAGTGGAGGAAGAGCATGCAAAGATTAAAGTCATGTGACAGTCATTGTACTATGAATGTAGGTATTTTGTTTATGGTATTTTAAAGCTAACATTCAAATTGAACAATTGCCTTTAAGCAATACAGTCCAATAGTTGAGGTACCAGTAGTTGAGAAACCACAAACCTCTAGAAACTAGAAATAGTAATATTTTGATTACAAAGTTTCCATCTACTAACCACAGTGGCAACAATCTTTGTAAAAAGCTGTGATAATCAGAGTTAAAGGTAGCTTTGATGACATTAGTTAAGCAGAATTACTCAAGAAGGAAGGGAAAAGACTCTTATAATTCATAAGAATAATTAAATGTTTAAGAAAACAATGAGAAATGATGATTACTTGAAAAAAATTTTAGTGAGAATAAAAAATCATTGTGTACACTTCAGAATGCCAATGGCATACTTTGCAAGAGTGCTGTTTGAGGTGAAAATGTAGAGGTCTGGTCCAGGAGTCTAGTCGTGGCAACACATCTAAGTGTTGGTATGCTTTTGGGAAATTAATTTGAATTCCCTGAGTTTGCTTATCTTTACTTGGATACTTACTTGGATAGCCTTACTTGGTTACAGGACAGAGAGAGCAGATGATCAATACAATTTCCTTCCTGTTCTAAAATCCTATTCTTTTAATTAATCAAGAGACAATGATTGATAGATGTATAAATTTAAAGCTGCCTCTAGATTACTTAGCGAGAAAAATAACCTGGAAGTTGAATTAGATTTAAACAGCTATAAGCACTTTTAGAAACAATAAGGCAACTTAAATTGAGATTTTTTTATAAATCAAAATTGGAATTAAAAATATGTACTTTAATGCCCTACATTTTAACTCTCCAGGTAACATTATAAGCACTTCAATAGAGTCAACTCAAAAATAGTGTATCTGTGAATGCTTGATGTTAAAAGAGGCTATCCCCTTCATCATTTAGCAAATACTTGTTGAGCACCTGTGATAAACCAGGCACAATTCCAGGCCCGTCCTTGCCCTTATGGAGCTTACATTCTTGTGGTGAGAACAGGCCATAAATGACAAACATAATAAATACATAAATTATGTTATATGTTAGAAGGCGATAATTATGGAAAAACTGTTAAAAGGGTATTTTTATTTCTGGGGGTAAAGTGCAATCTTAAATAGGTGGTTAGGTGTAGATAATATTTACTTATAGCCTCAGAATATAGGTTTAATATACTCATTTATTCAGTAATTTAACAAATATTCATTGAGCACTTACTATATTGTAGTGTTTGCGTCAGGAGCTAGGAGAAAGGGAGTATGGTGCATGATTGCATGGAGCTTCTATTTTAATAAGGGAGGCATGTTAAATAAATCCACAATACATGTGCAAGTGCACATTGTTTTAAGTGTAATGAAAGGAAAGAGCTGGAGGGAGCCTACTTTATGTGAAGGATTAGAGAGAGCCAATCTCTCTGGGACAGGAATCTTGAGTGAAGATATGTATTTGTGAAGAGTATTAAGGAGAGTAGTAGGTTTTACATTTTATTTCCAAATTCAGCAAGCTCTGTGCCTTCCTTTTTCAAAAAGCAGTCATGCTGAGAAACAGACGGCTTGTCTATTGGCAGCCTGCTTTTGTTTTGGCCTACAATGAGGTTTCTTCAAAAAGGAAAAAGAAAAAAACTTAAAAAAATCCTTCTTTCCACTGTTGTCCATTAGAAGAATTTGTAAAATCCAAGTTTTTGCGCTCTTAGGATCTTATAAAGAATCTACATGCTGAGCAGATGTGGAAAGTTCTGGAACATTTAAAATCCTTTGGCTTAGTGGTGTATTGTGACTTTTTTTCTGCACACCTTTCTCAGGTAGTAGCTGCATTATCTACCATGGAGTACTCACCTTTCTGGCCAGTAAAATTCAGGCCTCAAATATCCTTCTCATCTCATCTTTTGTAGAATTTGTTTGTTCATTGAGAACAAAGGAGACTTATATAAGCCTCATAGGAGGGTGTTCTAACATTCTCTTTAAAATGTCTAACAGTCCTTGTCAGTATACTTGAAGTTTGTGATAGATATGGAAAAGTGTGGCTGACTGTGCTTAATCCTGTTTTTGCTGCTTATATAATTCATAAGGGCCATTTTATTGCAGTTTGGCATGGTTTGGTATTATTATCAGTCAGTACTTATGTAATACTTTATAATGGAAAAGTGCTTTCTGGCCATTTATTACGGAAGCCTCTGTTATCAGTGACAAATAGTTCTAGGAGGCTGTTCATCACACAGCTTTGTCTGCTTTATAGTTTCAGCTAAAACACTAGAGAGTGTGCCAACACTAAGAGGAGGATTCAGTACAATAACTTTTCCAGTACAATAATTCTTTCTTTGGATATGAGATCATGGGATTTTCAAAACTCTTGGTAAAAAAATTTGGCTTTTTTGGATGCATTTTTGTACTGACAGAGAAATGATGTGGAGATAATACTAGAGGATTTGTTCAACTCTAGAAAAGAAAAATAATAAAGTGCTTTTAAAAGTCAAGCATCTAGTTAAAACATGGATGATTCTAGAATTATTTAGGGATTGTTTCCCAAGGTGGTCCTCTATGACTCATCACAATAGCATAATATTTAAGTTTTGGAGCAGACAAGGCTGGGTTCAGATTCTTATTTTCACCACTTACCAGATGACTAAGTGAGGGAGAAACCATCAGAAACATTACTGACATTGAATTTCTCACTTTGACCTTGGGCAATCAAACCACTTTAAATCCCTGAGCCTGAATTTTCTCAATTGTCAAAGAAGGGTGTGGTTATCTTTCTTGAAGGTTAATCCTTGTGAGAATTCAATCAGATAAAGCCTAGAACAGAACAACCCACATTTGTTCAATGATTCCTCTTTTTAATTCTCCTCTTTCTGTTCTTCTACTATCTGCCTCATAAAGAAATAGCAATAACAATGAGGTTAAATGGGAGATGATCTGAAAATAATTTCCATACTGGCTAAATATGGTGGTGTGCTTATATTTCCTTCATTTAAATGTTGCTAAGAAGAAAATTTTATTGGAGACCAGTACATGCTAAATGACGAGTTAATGGGTACAGCACACCAGCATGACACATGTATACATATGTAACTAACCTGCACATTGTGCACATGTACCCTAAAACTTAAAGTATAATAATAATAATAAAAAAAAGAAAATGTGGCACATATACAGCATGGAATACTATGCAGCCATAAAAAAGGGATGAGTTCATGTCCTTTGTAGGGACACGGATGAAGCTGGAAACCATCATTCTCAGCAAACTATCGCAAGGACAAAAAACTAAACACTGCATGTTCTCACTCATAGGTGGGAATTGAACAATGAGAACACTTGGACACAGGAAGGGGAACATCACACAGTGGGGCCTGTCGTGGGGTGAGGGGAGGGGGGAGGGATAGCATTAGGAGATATACCTAATGTAAATGACGAGTTAATGGGTGCAGCACACCAACATGGCACATGTATACATATGTAACAAACCTGCAAGTTGTGCACATGTACCCTAGAACTTAAAGTATAATTAAAAAAAAGACCAAAGGAAAAAAAAAACCTATAATTAAATGAAAATAACATTATCTCTTAGGAAACCGCTTGGAAAAGTTGGATTAAAAAAAAGTTCAAGGTGGCATGGCAAGGTCTGTCAGTAATTAATTGAATTTAAGCAAAACGTTTACCATAATCAATAGCTGGTTGATAGGCAATTACATGAAAAGTAATTGTGTCTGATTTGAGTGGCATTGCCTGTGATGTGAGTTTTGATAATACATGGCGCATTGGATTATTTAATTATCAAAACTTCTGGGGGAACTATGAAGGCAAATTTCTCTTTCTTCAAATTGCTGTGGAATTTTGCGGGACTCCAAACTGCTTAATAGAATTCTAATGCATGTAAATATATTGCTTTAAGTTTGCAATAGAATTTAAGGTTTGTTTGGTTGCAGTATTTGTCACTCCATTGTGGCATGGATTTGTCTCATCTGCCTAGCTGGGTTTGTATCTTCTTTCTCTATCTTTTTGTAAGCATCCTTTCAAAGTTTGTGTTTAACCAAAGGGAATGAACCTCCATACAAGAAAAAGACCCTTCCTTATAGATGCTTGATATTAGACCTTTGGCAGATGCATAGTTTGCAAAATCTTTCCCATTCTGTAGGTTGTCTGTTTACTCTGTTGATAGTTTCTTTTGCTGTGCAATATCTCTTAAGTTTAATTAGATCACGTTTGTCAGTTTTTGCTTTTGTTGGAACTGCTTTTAGCATCTTTGCCACAAAATCTTGCCAGTTCCTATGTCTGGAATGGTATTGCCTAGGTTGTCTTCCGGGGTTTTTATAGATTTGGGTTTTACATTTGTCTTTAACCCATCCTGAGTTAATTTTTGTATATGGTCCAAGAAAGAGGTCCAGTTTCAATCTTCTGCATATGGCTAGCCAGTTATCATAGCACCATTTACTGTATAGAGAGTTCTTACCCTATTGCTTGTTTTTGTCAACTTTGTTGAAGATCAGGTGATTGTAGGTGTGTGGCCTTATTTCTGGGCTCTCTATTCTGTTCCATTTGTCTATATGTCTGTTTTTGTATCAGAACCATGCTGTTTTAATTGTTCTGGCCCTGTAGTATAGTTTGACGTTGGATAATGTGATGCCTCCAGTTTTGTTGTTTTTGCTTAGGATTGCCTTGGCTATTTGGGCTGTTTTTTTGGTTCTATGTGAATTTTAAAATAGTTTTTTCTAGTTCTGTGAAGAATATCATTGTTAGTTTGGTAGGAATAGCATTGAATCTGTAAATTGCTTTGGGCAGTATGGCCATTGTAATGATATTGATTCTCCCTATCCATGAGCATGAAATATTTATCCATGTGTTTGTGTCATTTCTGATTTCTTTGAACAGTGTTTTGTAATTCTCAAAAGGTCTTTCACCTCCCTGGTTAGCTGTATTCCTAGGTATTTTATTGTTTTGTGGCAATTGTGAACGGGATTGTGTTCCTGATTTAACTCCCTGCTTGGTTGTTGTTGGTGCATAGGAATGCTAGAGATTTTTTTTTTTTTTTTTTTGAGACATAGTATCTCTCTGTCACCCAGACTGGAGTGCAGTGGTGCGATCTTGGCTCATTGCAGCCTCCGCCTCCTAGGTTCAAGGGATTCTCCTGCCTCAGCCTCCCGAGTAGCTGGGACTACAGGTGTGCACTACCATGCCCAGCTAATTTTTGCATTTTAGTAGAGATGGGGTTTCACCATGTTGACCAGGCTGGTCTTGAACTCCTGACCTCAGGTGATCCACCCTCCTTGGCCTCCCAAACTGCTGGGATTACAGGCATGAGCCACCATGCCCAGCCAAGATTTTTATATGTTGATTTTGTATTCTGAAACTTTTTTGAAGTTGTTTATCAGCTGAAGGAGATTTTGGGCTGAGGCTATGGGGTTTTCCAGATATAGAATTATGCTGTCTGCAAACAGGGATAGTTTGACTTCCTCTTTTCCTATTTGGATGCCCTTTATTTCTTTCTCTTGCATGATTGCTCCAGCCAGGAGTTCCACTATGTTTGATAGGAGTGGTGAAAGAGGGTATCCTTGTCTTGTGCTGGTTTTCAAAGGGAATGCTTCCAGCTTTGGCACAGTCAGTATGATGTTGGCTCTGGGTTTTAATAGATGGCTCTTATTTTTTTTAAGGTGTGTTCCTTCAATACCTAGTTTATTGAGCCTTTTTAACATGAAGGATGTTGAATTGTACTGACTTTTCTGCGTCTATTGAGATGATCATGCATTTTTTTGTCTTTCATTCTGTTTGTGTGTTGAACCAAACTTGCATCCCAGAGATAAAGCCTACTTGATTGTGGTGGATTTGCTTTTAATGTGCTGCTGGATTCATTTTGCAAGTATTTTGTTGAAATTCTTTGCATCAATGTTCATCAAAAATATTGGCCTGAAGTTTTCCTTTTCTGTTAAGTCTCTGCCAGATTTTGGTATAAGGATGATGTCTTAAAGAATGAGTTGAGATGTCTCTCCCCCTTGATTTTTTGGAATAGTTTAAGTAGGAATTATACCATCGCTTTTTTATACATCTGGTAGAATTCAGATGTGAATCTGTCTGGTCCTGGGCTTTTTTTTTGGTTGGCAGGGGATTTATTACTCATTTAGTTTCAGAGCTTGTTATTGGTCTGTTCAGGATTCAATTCAGGAGTAAAATGGTAACATCTACTTCATCATTTCTGAGTTTTTTGGATCTTCTCTATTTTCTTCTTTATTAATGTAGCTTGCAGCCTATCTTATTAATTTTTTAAAAAAACAACTTCTATATTTATTGATCTTTTGAATGGTTTTTCATGTGTCAGTCTCCTTCAGTTTAGCTCTGATTTTTGTTATTTCTTTCTTGTCTTCTGCTAGCTTTGAGGTTGGTTTGCTCTTGCTTCTGCAATTCTTTTAGTTGTGATTTGAGATCTTTCTAACTTTTTGATGTGGACATTTAGTGCTATAAATTTCCCTCTTAACACTACCTTAGCTGTATCCCAGAGATTCTGGTATGTTATATCTTTGATCTCAGTTTCAAAGAATTTCTTGATTTCTGCCTTAATGTCATTATTTGCCCAAACATCATTTAGGAGCAGGTTGTTTAATTTCCATGTAATTGAATGGTTTTCAGTTCTACTATTATCATGTGGGAGTACAAGATTCTTTGTAGGTCTCTAAGAACTTGCTTTATGAATCTGGGTGCTCCTGTGTTGGGTGGATATGTATTTAGGATAGTTAGTTCTTCTGGTTGAATTGAACTCTTTACCATTATGTAATGCCCTTCTTTGTCATTTTTGATCTTTGTTGGTTTAAAATCTTTTTTTTTTCTGAAATTAGGAATACAACCCTTGATTTTTTTCTGATTTCTATTTGCTTGGTAGATTTTCCTCCATCCCTTTATTTTGAGCCTATGGGTGTTTTTGTGTGTGAGATGAGTCTCTTGAATACAACAAACCATTGAATCTTTCTTTTTATCTAGCTTGCCACTCTGTGCCTTTTAAATGGGGGCATCTAGCCCATTTACCTTCAAGGTTAGTATTAATATGTGTGTATTTGATCATGTCATTGTGGTGTTATCTTGTTATTAGCTTGTTTGTGTGGTTGCTTTATAGTGTCATTGGTCTGTGTATTTAAGTGTGTTTTTGTAGTGGCTGGTAACAGTCTTTCCCTGTGATATTTAGTGCTCCTTTGAAGATCTCTTGCAAGATGGATATGGTGGTAAAAAACTCCCTCAGCATTTGCTTATCTCCAAAGGAATTTATTTCTTCTTTGCTGAGGAAGCTTACTTTGGCTGGATATGAAATTCTTGGTTGAAGATACTTTTCTTTAAAAATGTTGAATGTAGACCCCCAATCTCTTCTGGCTTGTAGGGTTTCTACTGAGAGATCCACAGAAACCATTTGAAAATGATCTACTCTTTCTCTCTAGCTGCCTTTAATATTCTTTTTTTCATTTTGACCTTGGAAAATCTGATAATTATGTGTCTTGGGGATGATCTTCTTGTGTAGAATCTTGCAGGGGCTCTCTGTATTTCCTGAATTTGACTGTTGGCTTCTCTAGTAAAATTGGGCAAGTTTTCACAGATGATATCCTGAAATATATTTTCCAAGTTGTTTGCTTTCTCCCCGTCTTTTTGAGGAATGCCAATGAATCATAGGTCTTGCCTCCTTACATACTCCCATATTTCCTGGAGGTTTTGCTCATTTCTTTTCATTCTTTTTAATTTTGCCTGTTTTATTATTATTTTTAAAAATTATACTTTAAGTTCTGGGATACATGCGCAGAACGTGCAGGTTTGTTACATAGGTTTACGCGTGCCATGTGGTTTGCTGCATCCATCAACTTGTCATCTACTTTAGGTATTTCTCCTAATGCTATCCCTCCCCTAGCCCCCTGCCCCCAAACAGGCCCCAGTGTGTGATGTTCCCCTCCCTGTGTCCATGTATTCTCATTGTTCAACTCCCATGTAGGAGTGAGAACATGCCAAGTTTGGTTTTCTGCTCTTGTGTTAGTTTGTTGAGAATGATGGTTTCCAGCTTCACCCATGTGCCTGCACATGTCGTGAACTCATCCTTTTTTATGGCTGAATAGTATTCCATGGTGTATATGCACCACATTTTCTCTATCCAGTTTATTATTGATGGGCATTTGGGTTGGTTCCAAGTCTTTGCTACTGTGAACAGCGCTGTAATATACATACGGATGTGTCTCTATAGTAGAATGATTTATAATCCTTTGGGTATGCTCCACATTGATTTTGTATTCTGAGACTTTGCTGAAGTTGCTTATCAACTTAAGGAGATTTTGGGCTGAGATGATGGGGTTTTCTAAATAATCAATCATGTCATCTGCAAACAGAGACAATTTGACTTCCTCTCTCCCTATTTGAATACCCTTTATTTCTTTCTCTTGCCTGATTGCCCTGGCCAGAACTTCCAATACTATGTTGAATAGGAATGGTGAGAGAGGGTGTCCTTGTCTTGTGCCAGTTTTCAAACGGAATGCTTCCAGCTTTTGCCCATTCAGTATGATATTGGCTGTGGGTCTGTCATAAATAGCTCTTATTATTTTGAGGTATGTTCCATCAATACCTAGTTTATTGAGGGTTTTTAGCATGAAGGGGTGTTGAATTTTATCAAAGGTCTTTTCTGCATCTATTGAGATAATCACGTGGTTTTTGTCACTGGTTCTGTTTATGTGATGAATTACGTTTATTGATTTGTGTATGTTAAACCAGCCTTGGATCCCAGGGATGAAGCTGACTTGATCATGGTGGAGAAGCCTTTTGATGTGCTGCTGGATTTGGTTTGCCAGTATTTTATCGAGGATTTTTACATTGATGTTCATCAGGGATATTGGCCTGAAATTTTATTTTCCTGTTGTGTTTCTGCCAGGTTTTGGTATCAGGATGATGTTGGCCTCATAAAATGAGTTAGGGAAGAGTTCCTTTTTTTCTGTTGTTTGGAATAATTTCAGAAGGAATGGTACCAGCTCCTCTTTGTACCTCTGTTAGAATTTGGCTGTGAATCCATCTGGTCCTGGGCTTTTTTTGGTTGTAGGCTATTAATTACTGCCTCAATTTCAGAACTTGTTTTTGATCTTTTCAGGGATTTGACTTCTTCCTGGTTTAGTCTTGGGAGGGTTTATGTGTCCAGGAATTTATCCATTTTTTCTAGATTTTCTAGTTTATTTGCATAGAGGTGTTTATAGTACTCTCTGATGGTAGGTTGTATTTCTGTGGGATCAGTGGTGATCTCCCCTTTATCATTTTTTATTGTGTCTATTTGACTTTTCTCTCTTCTTTATTAATCTGTCTAGCAGTCTATCTATTTTTTTAATCTTTTCAAAAAACCAGCTCCTGGATTTATTGATTTTTTTGAAGGCTTTTTCATATCTCTATCTCCTTCAATTCTGCTCTGATCTTAGTTATTTCTTGTCTTCTGCTAGCTTTTAAATTTGTTTGCTCTTGCTTCTCTAGTTCTTTTAATTGTGATGTTAGGTTGTTGATTTTAGATCTTTCCCACTTTCTCCTGTGGGCATTTAGTGCTATAAATTCCCCTCTAAACACTGCTTTAAATGTGTCCCAGAGATTCTGGTATGTTGTGTCTTTGTTCTCATTGATTTCAAATAACTTATTTATTTCTGCTTTCATTTTATTATTTACCCAGGAGTCATTTGGGAGCAGGTTGTTCATTTTCCATGTAGTTGTGCAGTTTTGAGTGAGTTTCTTCATCCTGAGTTCTAATTTGATTGCACTGTGGTCTGAGAGACTGTTATGATTTCTGTTCTTTTGCATTTGCTGAGGAGTGTTTTACTTCCAATGATGTGATCAATTTTACAATAAGTGCGATGTGGTTCTGAGAAGAATGTATATTCTGTTGGTTTGGGGTGTAGAGTTCTGTAGATGTCTATTAGGTCCACTTGGTCCAGAGCAGAGTTCAAGTCCTGAATATCCTTGTTAATTTTCTGTCTCATTGATCTGTCTAATATTGACAATGGGCTGTTAAAGTCTCCCACTATTATTTTGTGGGAGTGTGAGTCTCTTCGTAGGTCTCTAAGGCCTTGCTTTATGAATCTGGGTGCTCCTGTATTGGGTGCATATATATTTAGGATAGTTAGATCATCTTTTTGTGTTGATCCCTTTACCATTATGCAATGCCCTTCTTTGTCTTTTTTGATCTTTGTTGATTTAACGTCTGTTTTGTCAGAGACTAGGATTGCAACCCCTTCTTTTTTTTTTTGCTTTCCATTTGCTTGATAAATCTTCCTCCACCCCTTTATTTTGAGCCTATGTGTGTCTTTGCACATGAGATGGGTCTCTTGAACACAGCACACCAATGGGTGTTGACTCTTTATGCAATTTGCCAGTCTGTGTCTTTTAATTGGGGCATTTATCCCATTTACATTTAAGGTTAATATTGTTATGTGTGAATTTGATCCTGTCATTATGATGCTAGCTGGTTATTTTGCCCATTAGTTGATGCAGTTTCTTCATAGTATCGATGGTCTTTACAATTTGATATGCTTTTGCAGTGGCTGGTACTTGCTTTTCCTTTCCATATTTAGTGCTTCCTTCAGGAGCTCTTGTAAGGCAGGCCTGGTGGTGACAAAATCTCTCAGCATTTGCTTGTCTGTAAAGGATTTTATTTCTCTTTCACTTTTGAAGCTTAGTTTGGCTGGATATGAAATTGTGGGTTGAAAATTCTTTTATTTAAGAATGTTAAATATTGATCTCCACTCTTGTCTGGCTTGGAGGGTTTCTGCAGAGAAATTTGCTGTTAGTCTGATGGGGTTCTCTGTGTGGGTAACCTGATCTTTCTCTCTGGCTGCGCTTAACATTTTTTCCTTCATTTCAACCTTGGTGAATCTGATGATTATGTTTCTTGGGGTTGTTCTTCTCGAGGAGTATCTTTGTGGTGTTCTCTGTATTTCCTGAATTTGAATGTTGGCCTGTCTTGCTAGGTTGCAGAAGTTCTCCTGGATAAAATCCAGAAGAGTGTTTTCCAACTTGGTTCCATTCTCATCACTTTCAGGTACACCAATCAAACGTAGGTTTGGTCTTTTCACATAGTCTCATAGTTCTTGGAGGCTTTGCTCATTTCTTTTCATTCTTTTTTCTCTAATCTTGTCTTCACGCGTTATTTCATTAAGTTGATCTTCAATCTCTGATATCCTTTATTCCACTTGCTGGATTTGACTATTGACACTTGTGTATGCTTTATGAAGTTCTTGTGCTGTGTTTTTCGTCTCCATCAGGTCATTTATGTTCTTCTCTAAACTGGTTATTCTAATTAGCAGTTCCTGTAACCTTTTGTCAAGGTTCTTAGCTTCCTTGTATTGGGTTAGAACATGCTCCTTTAGCTTGAAGGAGTTTGTATTATCCACCTTCTGAAGCCTACTTCTGTCAATTCATCAAACTCATTCTCCGTCCAGTTTTGTTCCCTTGCTAGTGAGTAGTCGTGATCCCTTGGAGAAGCAGAGGCATTCTGGTTTTTGAAATGTTCAGCCTTTTTGCGCTGGTTTTTCCTTGTGTTTGTGGATTTATCTACCTTTGGTATTTGATGCTGGTGACCTTCCGATGGGGTTTTTGTGTGGACATCCTTTTTGTTGATGTTGATGTTATAGTTTTCCTTCTAACAGTCAGGGCCCTCTGCTGCAGGTCTGCTGGAGTTTGCTGGAGGTCCACCCTAGACCCTGTTTGCCTGGGTATCACCAGTGGAGGCTGCAGAACAGCAAAGATTGTTGCCTTTTCCTTCCTCTGGAAACTTCATCCCAGAGGGGCGTCTGCCAGATGCCAGCCAGAGCTCTCCTGTATGTGGTGTCTGTTGACCCCTGCTGAGTGGTGTCTCCCAGTCAGGAGGCACGGAGGTCAGGGACCCACATGTGGAGGCAGTCTGTCCCTTAGCAGAGCTCAAGGGCTGTGCTGGGAGATCCCCTTCTCTCTTCAGAGCCAGCAGGCAGGAACATTTAAGTCTGCTGAAGCTGTGCCCACAGCAGCCCCTTCTTTCACGTTCTCTGTCCCATGGAGATGGGCTTTTTATCTATAAGTCGCTGACTGAGGCTGCTGCCTTTCTTTCAGAGATGCTCTGCCCAGAGAGGAGGGATCTAGAGAGGCAGTCTGGCTTTAGTGGCTTTGCTGAGCTGTGGTGGGCTCTGCCCAGTTCAGACTTTCGGGCAGCTTTGTTCACACTGTGAGGGGAAAACTGCCTACTCAAGCCTCAGTAATGGAGGATGCCCCTCCCTCCACCAAGCTTAAGCATCCCAGGTAGACTTCAGACTGCTGTGCTGGCAGTGAGAATTTCAAGCCAGTGGATCTTAGCTTGCTGGGCTCTGTGGGAGTGGAATCTGCTGAGCTAGACTACTTGGCTCCCTGGCTTCAGCCCCCTTTCCGGGGGAGTGAATGGTTCTGTCTTGCTGGCATTCCAGGCACCACTGGGGTATGAAAGAAAAAAACTCCTGCAGCTAGCTCAGTGTCTGCCCAAACATCTATCCAGTTTTGTGCTTGAAACCCAGGGTCCTGGTGGTATAGGCATCGGAGGGAATCTTTTGGTCTGCGGGTTAGAAAGACTGTGGGAAAAGCATAGTATCTTGGCTTGAATGCACTGTTCCTCACCGTACAGTCCCTCATGGCTTCCCTTGGCTAGGGGAGGGACTTCCCCGACCCCTTGTGCTTCCCGGGTGAGGTGGTGCCCTGCCCTGCTTCAGCTCACCCTCTGTGGGCTGCACCCACTGTCTAACAAGTCCTAATGAGATGAGCTGAGTACCTCAGTTGGAAATGCAGAAATCACTCACCTTCTGTGTTGATCTCACTGGGAGCTGCAGACCAGAGATGTTCCTTTTCAGCCATCTTTGCCTGTCTTATTTTAAAGAGCTACTCCTCAAGTTCCAAGATCTTTCCTCAGATTGTTTTCTTTCTGCTGTTAATCCTTGTAATGGATTGCATTGTGAAATTCTTGTGTGTTTTTCATCTCTGTCAGATTATACTGGCTATTTTGTCTGTTAGCTCCTGTATCATTTTCTTATGATTCTTAGTTTGCAGATTGAGTTTTGGCCTTCTCCTGAATATCAATGATTTTTGTTCCTATTCATATTCTAATTTCTGTTTCTGTCATTTCAGCCAACTCAGCCTGGTTAAGAACACCTGTTGAAGAACTAGTGCAGGCGTTTGGAGGACATAGGACACTCTGGCCATGTGAGTTACCAGAACTCTTGCATTGATTTTTTCTCAGCTCTGCATGTGTGTGTCCCTTTAACTGATGGGCTGCCTCTAATTGAAGTGGTCAGTTAGGGGCTGGGTGGACATACTTGAGTCCCAGCTCAGGTGATCCTGTCTAGTGAGGAGAAGTGAGGACTGGGACCTATGTGGAGAACAGTCCAGCCACTTTTCCATGAGGTAGTTGGTCTGTCCTGGGAGTTTGGACCAGTCCCTGGTCCCTTGGATTCTGCAGACCCTTGAAACATCTAGGATGAGAGTTCCAAGATGGCAATTATGGCAACCTGCCCCTCCTACTGGGAGTTTTGTTGCAGAGTTGCTACTGGCTCGATATTCCCAGTGTGGGGTGATTGGAGACCCAGGCTGGGAGGACCCACCCACTGAAGAGATATAGGATTGGGGACCCATGTAGCAAATAGTCTGGGCACTTTTCCATAGGGCTGCTCCAGTATGCTGGAGGTCCGTTCCAGTCCCTAGTCCCCTTGGATATTTAGTACCTGAAGGTATCAGTGAAGGCTGCAAAATGTCTCTTGCTTTTTTAAACTACACTTATTCACATGACTTCATCTGCCTATTGAAAATCATATTATTACCACAAGACTGTTGGGAAAATCAGAGGTACCTAATGGGTGTTCAATATGGTAATTATTATTGTGTTGATACTCACAAATTTGACTATCACCTAGCCATTAATTGTAATATTTAAGAAGAGGCCAGGCACAGTGGCTTGCACCTGTAAGCCCAGCACTTTGGGAGGCTGAGGCAGGTGGATTGCTTGAGCTCACGAGTTCAAGACCAGCCTGGGCAACATAGTGAAGCCCTGTCTCTACAAAAAATACAAAAATCAGCTGGGCATGGTGGTGCATGCCTGTCGTCTTAGCTACTTGGGAGGCTGAAGTGGGAGGATGGCTTGAGCCCAGGAGTTGGAGGTTGCTGTGAGCTGAGATTGCACCCCTGCACTCCAGGCTGGGTGATAGAGCCAGACCTTGTCTCAAAAAAAAAAAAAAAAAAAAAAAAGAAAAAAAAAAAGAAGTGCATCTTATCTTATAGGTATATAAATAGACTTGTGATATTACATTCACTAAATAAAACAGCATAATAAAAGTGTGTAAACTAGATGTCCTTAACTATTTAAAATATATGAAGGGAAAAAACTGAAAGGAAATATGTCAAAATGTTAATTCTAGTTATTTTTGATAGGGTACTATGGATAAATGCTCTTTCTGATTTTAAAATTTTATATTTAAAAATTTTTTGTTTTAAAAGGAAAAATACATTATGTCATATAACCATAAAAACTTGAAAGTGATTTGTAATGAAAACTAATTTAGATTTAGATTTTTTTATGGTAAAACGTTGATTTCATTAAGAATATCTCATTGCTGCAATAAAATGAGATTGTTTTGGAAGAATAACATTTCTAGATTGCCACTCTTTGAATTGAGGAAAACATGCCCTTTTATAGTATTTTATTATCAAATATACTTTGATTTGTAAATGCAATATATGTTATATAAACAAAAATCAAGACATACTGGCCTTTTGTGGAAGTGCTCTGTTCTCTGTAGAAACGTATGTTCTTGTGAATAAAATTTGCTTTTTCTACTCCTGCATGACCATTCAAATCTATGTCTTAGTGTATAACTGCTTTGTTTTCTTTTTGTCTTTTGTTTTTGAAAGTGTATTTATATTCTTTTTAAATTTGCAATATTATATAATCATTGTAGAAAGTTTGAAAATTATTAGAAAATATAAAAATATGTGAAAGAAAATAATTATTAGTGATTCTGTTGTCTGTACATAAGAGCTGTTAACACTATAAAACATTTTTTTCTACATTTTTTTTCAACAAAGTTGAGTAAACTGCAAATGATCTTGTACATTTGGTGAGGATTTTATATCATTAAGTTTTGTTTCAAAGTATGACTTTTTGTTTAATAATTTGAATATTCC
This sequence comes from Homo sapiens, assembly GCF_000001405.40. NCBI lineage: Eukaryota > Metazoa > Chordata > Mammalia > Primates > Hominidae > Homo > Homo sapiens. The sequence continues at coordinate 78,401,000 of NC_000001.11, forward strand.
ATGATTTGTTTAAATTTGTGTTTTTGAAGTTAGTAGTTTGAACAGTCTGTTGGTCAATTGAATTTTTCTATAAATTATTGTTCCCTAACTTTTCTCACTTTTTTATGGAATGTTAATGCTTCTCTTATTGATTTTCTGAACTCAGTACATTAAACATGTTTCTGTAAATTTTAAAACAAATTGTTACTTATATTTTGTCTATTAAAACATTTTAAGAACTGTGCATTTTAATATACATAAACAGCATTAAAAATCTAAACATCTAAACACTGAATATGATGCAGTCTCTTTTACTTTCGGGAAATAATGAGTCAGAGAAGCACTAAGACAAATACTGGTCACTTTCACATACATTCTGTCGAACAGCTCTGTGGAGAGGCAGCTGTAATCTAAGGATTTAAGAGTGTGTTCTCAAATATAGCCCCAGCCTCTGCCATGTAGGGCACTATCCTTTCCAGAAATTAATTATATTTCTTAAAGTACCTCTAGACTGAAGGCATGGGAACTTAACATGACAAAGAATTGCTAATGATGAAATTTAAGATTTGTGGGGAAGATAACTAGTGGGTCCTTTTTGCCTTCCTTTCGTTCCATGGGAGTTGGATGCTGTTTGCTCTTATTTTCTCATATTTAACATGTCCCTGCCTGAATGTTGGAAACACCTTCTGTAACCAACCAAAGTCTCCTATCCCGGGCACTGTGTTTTATATTTTTTCTGCGGATGGGTTGTTCCATGTTTCAGCAGCAATTCCTGGACTGCTAAGCTCTATTTTTTTATAAAGTGTCTTGTTTACTAAGTCAGTTGCCTTCTGGGGCAAGCCATTTTAGGACATAATAACTCTTAATACCTTTTGCACATTTGTCCCATAATATGGTTGTATCCACACATGCAAATACATTTGACTGAATTCAGCAAAACCAGTTAGGTTTTGTTATTATATGTAATGAATAACTGGTTTCATGGCATTTTCAAATTTTTGGCTGTTGGATTTAGTCTCATCCAGATGTGACCTATAAGAATTATTAGCTTATGTAAAAATTTTAAGAAAGGAATAAAAAGTTTTAAAAATCTTTACCACAGAATAAATGAAATTTGCCTTGGCTCCTGTATTAGTGTTCCCTAGAGGGACAGAACTAATAGGAGATACCTATCTATTTATCTATCTATCTATCTATGGAGTTTATTAAGTATTAACTTATTTATATAACTCCATATATATGGAGTTTATTAAGTATTAACTTATATATATAAAATTCCATATATATATATGTGGACTTTATTAAGTATTAACTTACGTGATCACAAGTTCCCCCAGTAGGTTGTCTGCAAGCTTGAGGAACAAGGAGACAAGTCTGAGTCTCAAAACTAAAGAACTTGGAGTCCGATATTTGAAAGCAGGAAACATCCAGCACAGGAGAAAGATGCAGGTTGGGGGGCTAAGCCAGTCTTACTTTTTGGCGTTTTTCTGCCTGCTTTATATTCACTGGCAGCTGATTAGGTTGTGCCCACCAGATTACGGGTGGGTCTGCCTTCCTTCTTCAGCCCACTGACTCAAATGTTAATCTCCTTTGGCAACACCCTCACAGACACCCAAGATCAATACTTTGCATCCTTCAAACCAATCAAGTTGATGCTTGGTATTAACCATCATAGCACTTTAATCTACCTAACATAGCTAATACATTTTAGAATTTAATTTTTAATTCGCTTTCTAATATAGTCAGTTGTGTTACACATTTATAGCAGGAAAGTTCAGTAGACTTTGGTCTTTTTTTCCTGTCTTTGAACTCATTTGGATACACTGTCATGAGGAGTTATTAAAGAAAAATAATAATTCTGTACTGAGCAAACATTAACTTGAGCTATGTGAAATGACTTATATTAGGCCATTTTAAAACTAAAATAATGGGAGTTAATATTACTAATAATTATTATCATAAACTTATTGATTTTCCCCCAAATTCAATGTTTTCGTCACAATTTGAATATTAAAGCTCTGTACTCATTAACTCCTGGAAGTTCATGTGGTCAATAATGGGCTTTTCTTATCATCTAGTTGGATGATGTCACATTTTTGGACTTCATTGTCTTAGTCTGTTGTTGCTGTAACAGAATACCTGAGATTGGGTAGTTTATGAAGAAAATAAGTTTATTTATCTCGTGGTTCTGCAGGTGGGGAGTTCGAGGGACATGGTGCTGACATCTGCTCAGCTTCTGGTGGGGGCTTTTTGCTGTGTCAAAATATGGCAGAAGGTCAAAGGGGAAGTGGCATGTGCAAAAATGGACCAAACACAAAAAGAAACTCCCTTTATAACAAACCACTCTCACGGGAACTAATCCATTCCTGTGATAACTAATCAAGTCTCATGAGAGCCGGAATTCACTACCTAGAGAAGACATTAATCTATTAATGAGGGTTGCAACCCCTAGATCTAAATGCCTTCCACTAGGCTCCGCCTCCCAACACTACACATTGAATAGCAAGCCTCAACATAAGTTTTGGTGGAAAAAATCACATCCAAATCATAGCACTCATAGTGAACATATCAGTAAAAACATATTTGTGTCTTCTTTTTAGGATGACTATTTTACTTTTCAGGAGTGTATTGACCTGTTTTACAAACTCAAGTCAAAATAAAATGCATCAGTAGTAATTTTGTCTCCTTTATTTTGCTAAAGACCAACAGAACTCACATTCCCTGTGTCCACTGGGACAGGTCTTGAGAATGCCCTTGTGCTCAGTCCAGTTCACAAGGATTTATTGAACTCCTGTTATGTGCCAGAGAGTGAGCCAAGTCTTGGGAATACAAAAATGACTATGTGAGAATAGGTGAGTAGGTGAGAATAGGGCCACATGTTGCAGCATTAAAGGTTAAAAAAGTTTTAAGTAATTCTGTGGAACTCTCCACAACTAATAACACATTCTAACGATAATTAATTCAACAAATGTTTACAAAGCCCTGCCACATGCCAGGCACTGTGTTAGGCACTGTGTATCCAACAGGACATAACAGTGAATAAGACATGTGCTTTCCCTGGCCATCTGAAACACAGCACTTTCGTGACACATATTGGCATTAAAAAATGAATCATTTGTAATTGTCTTCACTTTGTTTTTTCATTAATAGATAATAATTGTATATATGGGGTACATGTGATATTTTGATAAATGTATACAATGTGTTATGATCTAATCAGGATAATTGGGATACTCATCATGTCAAACATTTATCATTCTTGTGTTAGGAACATTCCATTCCAAATCTTCTCTTCCAGCTATTTTGAAATGCATAGCAAATTATTGTTAACCATAGTCACCTTACTGCGCTATTGACCACTAGAACTTGTTCCTTCTATATAACTGTATTTTTATACTTGTTAGCTAAACTGTCTCCATCCTCCACTTCCCCTGTATCTTTCCCAGCCTCTGGTAACCATCAATCAACTCTCTCCTTTATGAGAGCCACTATTTTAGCTCCCACATATGAGTAAGAGCATACAATATTTACCTTTCTGTGCCTGTGTTATTTCACTTCACATAATATCTTCCAGTTCCACCTATTTTGCTGCAAATGACAGGATTTTATTCTTTTTTTATAGATAAATAATATTCCAATGTGTATATATACACACCATATTTTCTTTATCCATTCATCCATCGATGGACATTTAGGCCAGTTTCATATGTTGGTTATTGTGAATAGTGCTGCAATAAACATGGGAATGCAGATATCTCTTTTTGACAGACTGATTTCCTTTCTTTTAGAGATATTCCCAGAAGTGGGATTGCTGGGTTATATAGTATTTCTTCTATTTTGAGTTTTTTGAGGAATCTTTATACTGTTTTCCATAATGGCTATATTAATTTCCATTCCCACCAACAGTATATGAGAGTTCCATTTTCTCCACATTTTTAAAAAACAGAATCTGTTATATTTTTTGTCTTTTTGATAATAGCCATTTTAACTGGGGTGAGATGATATCTCATTGTGGTTTTGATTGCATTTCCCTGATGTTAACATTTTTCATATATGTGTAGGCCATTTGTACATCTTCTTTTGAGGAACATTTATTTAGATCACTTGCTCATTTAAAAACTGGATTATTATTATTTTTACTGTTGTATTGCTTGAGTTCCTTATACATTCTGATTATTAATCCCTTGTCAGATTAATAGTTTGAAAATATTTTCTCCCATTCTGTAGGTTGTTTTTTCACTCTATTGATTGTTTCCTTTGCTGTGCAGAAGCTTTTTGGTTTTATATAATCCCATTTGTCTATTTTTGCCTTTTGAGATCTTACAATAATTTTTTTGTTGCCCAGACCATTGTCTTGAAGTGTTTCCCCAATGTTTTCTTCCACCAGTTTTGTAGTTGCAATTCTAATATTTAAGTCTTTAATCCACTTTGAATTAAGTTTTGTATATAATGAGAAGTAGGGGTCTAGTTTCATTCATCTGCATATGGATATCCAGTTTTCCGAGCCCCATTTATTGAAGAGACTGTCTTTTTCCCAACGTATGCCCTTGGCACTTTCATTTAAAATGAGTTGGCTATTACTGTGTGGACATATTTCTGGATTCTTTTTTCTGTTCCATTGGTCTATATGTCTGTTTTTATGCCAGAACCATGCTGTTTTGGTTACTATAGCTTTATAGTATATTTAGAAGTAGTGTAATGCCTCTGGCTTTGTTCACAAAGATTGGTAGAATTTCTATATGCCAACAGTGAACATGCTGAAAGAAAAATTAAAAAAGCAATCTCATTTACAGTAGCTACATAAATACATAGAAATACATTTAACCAAGGAAGTGAAAGATCTCTACAATACAAACTATACAGCCAGGTGCGGTGGCACATGCCTATAATCCCAGCACTTTGGGAGGCTGAAGCGGGTGGATCAAGAGGTCAGGAGATCGAGACCATCCTGGCCAACACGGTGAAACCCCATCTTTATTAAAAATACAAAAATTAGTCAGGCGTGGTAGTGTGTGCCTGTAGCTCCAGCTACTCAGGAGGCTGAGGCAGGAGAATTGCTTGAACCCAGGAGACAGAGGTTGCAGTGAGCCAAGACTGAGCCACTGAACTCCAGCCTGGTGACACAGTGAGACTCCATCTCAGAAAAAAACAAACAAACAAACACACAAACAAAAAAAACTATAAAATGCTAATGTAAAAAATTGAAGAGGACACCACAAAAAAAAAGAGAAGATACCCCTTGTTCATGGATTGGAAGAATTAATATTGTTCTTCCATACTACCCAAAGTGATTTACAGATTCAGTGCAATTCCTATTAAAATACCAACGACATTCACAGAAATAAAAAAAATAGTTCTAAAACTTGTATAGAACCACAAAATAGCTCAAATAGTGAAAGCAATCATGAGCAAAAAGAACAAAGTCTTCACTTTGTTTTGCTCACTGCTGCTGGGGTGAGCTCTGTGGAACAGGAATCTGATTATGTCAATTTCTTTGCATAAAAACTTTGAGTGGTATTCTCATTGCCTGATAAGAAAAGGCCAAATTCATTGGTATGGATTTGCACTCTGACCTCAGATTAATTTTCCAGTTTCTATTCCTTCTCATAAGTCCTTGGCTGTCCACATTTGTCCTTTTGTCAAACTTCTACTCACTCATATGTAACTTCTTCAATGACCTCCCTAGCATAGTTCACTATGTGTAACGCCGTAATCTGCTTATATACTATATCACTTTACTACAGTTATTTTTGTGTCAGTATACTGGGCTAAATGACAAAGTCTTTGAAAGGTTCTAAACTGGAAGCAGCTTTTGTTTAAATTATCTCCAACACTGAAACTCCATCTTTCTTCCTAGAGGGTTGTTTTTGTTTACTGTTGCACCTTCCCAAGGACTTCTATGTTCAAGATCTTCTCACGAACTTAGAATTACCTTGTGGAGCATTCAGGGCCAGCAGAATTATGTCCAGTTCACAGTCAAAGAGTCTGAAGCACAGATGCATGAAGTGCTTGTTTCAAAATAATTAAAGTACTGGGATTATGAAAATTCTCACTGTTGCCTATTCGTATCCATTCTACTGCTTGTCCACATGAAAGATTACATATAATTACTTTCCTGTCTATAAAATTCTAGCCATATAAGAAGTTGAACCCAAGTCATGGCCTGTGTATTAGACTGACTATCTATAAACTCAATAAAATAGAATTTCTTTATATAGTCCTTTCTAAGTTAGCCAAGAAGATGGGTAATTGTGATGACGGCTTGTTCTGTGGGCCCCACCATGTAGTATTACTGAGTTTCTTTGGCTCTAGTCTGTTGATTCTGAGGGCTCTTGGATATGGGTGGTGGTTTCTACCATTGCTGCTGCCTTACTTTTCTTGCCTTGACCACAGGGCTGCTGTCTGTCAGTGTCTTCACTTCTCCCACTGCTCTGGTAGCAGGGTCAGTGGTCCAGTTCTCAAACTGACAAATATTCTTCCCCAGGGTATAAGACTTTGGGCCTATAAAATGTAACCTGAGGACACGATAGGCCTCACCCCTGTGGAACCCAAAGTTATCACCCTTTAACAGTGATCAATTTAGGGTGACTTCCTTCCACTTTAGGGTAAGTTCCCTATATTTTAGTGGGAACTTCTTATACTGGGGCCATTGTTTGCTTTTTTCAGTGCATTAATCTTGAACATTATACCCAAAGTCCTGTTCATTATTTTTCCAAGATTCTTTAGGAGTCTGATACATGTAGAATTTTTATTTGATTTTGTTTAAACCAACACTTATTGAACACCTATTATACCTCAGGTGCTATGCTAGACTATATATAGAGTGTTCCATTTAATAGTCTCAAAACACAGGGATATTCCCATTGGACCCCTGCTACAGATGAGAAAACCTAGCATCTGAGAGTTAAATAACTTGCCCAAGGTATCAAAGCCACTAAGTGGCAGATCTGGGACTGAAACTCAGGTCTGTCTGATCCCAGAGCCTAAGTTCTTTCTCATGCTTCATGCTACATCCCAGTATGTGTGCCACCATGCTCTAAAAGGCTTCAGAGGATTCAGCAAATGTTACCCTGAAGTTAGCATTGAGGAGTTTACTGGGAGACTATTCCTGCTACTACCACAAGTGCCAGTAAATCTATAAGATTTGTAAGAAATTGTGAATGTCAATAAAAGGTAGCCTTCTGTACATATTTAATTTTTGCTCTCCTTCTTAACTACAAACATAGGGGAAAGAAAGACTACTTTTTACAACTTAACTTTCTAAGTGACTTAGACATTTTTGAGGGCTTCTTATTTTCTCTACTTTAATGAGCCCTCTAAGGGCTATCATGCTAAAAATGATGATTATTCTTTCCAGATGTTGGAGTTTTGATTGCAAGGAGAATAGGAGCAGTTAAGTGGTGGTGGTGGAGCTGGCATTGCTTAGTGGAAAATATTCAGACACCACCACTAAAACCTGCCAAGTCTCTTGCAATATTTTATTGGTATTGATACGTGTTTGGCTCAATCAACTCTGCCTGAGGTTGTGGGAATGATTAGAATGACAAAGCAAAAAAACTCTGGGGATATTTCCCCCTTCTTACTATGATTCCTGAGTATCAAGCAGACTAATGATAGGACCAATTCTGCATTTAGGTAAGAGAGTGAACAAATATATACCCTCAGTGGCTGTATTAAGTATCTTAAGAAATTGTATAACTCAGAAAGTAAATGAGAAATAAGATTAGAAGAAAATTCAGAATATTTAAATGAATAGTTACCTATAAAACTACCATTTTGTGAGTTAAGAAAATCAATGATTCACCATTAAATCATATTAATTTTTAGAATTTTGTCTTTTGCTTTAACTAACAGCAGCTAGTGTGCACTGCTCTCATGGAGAGAAGTAGAGGGGGGTGAGTAAATACAGCACTTTCAACTGAAACATCCAGCTACATGTATTGGGATTCAAGAAAACAGCTTGACCCATGGAGAATAGAGAAAAGCAAGGCAGGATGACTGCCCATTTGGGAGTGACTCAGAGCCCGGGGAGCCTCCTCTGCCTAGGGAAGCAGTGAGTGAGTGTGCGACTCTGGGGACTCACACTTCTCCCCTGTATCTTTGAAAACCTTAGGTTAGGAGATCTCCTCATGAACCCACCCCACCAGGACCTGTGGTCTGACACACAGAGCTATGTGGTGTCTTGGCAGAGCAGCTGCTTTGGCACACTCAGAGCCCCAGGAGTTTTAGAAACTCAGGCTTCCCAGCAAAAGTGGTTGCAACTCTAGCAAAGAGGGAGGTTAGAGCCCCATATATACCCCTAGGAAGGGGGCTGAAACCAGGGGGCTGAGCAGTGATGGTCTGCAGGTCCCACTTCCATGATACCTCATAGGATAAGACCCACTGGCCTGGGAATCCAGCCATCCACAGGTAGCAGTGTTACATCTCCCTGACATGAAGCTCCCAGAGGGAGGGGTAGGCTGCCATCTTTGCTGTTTCATAGCCTTAGCTATTATTGCCTTCAGTGCAGCTGCCCTACAAAAATGCAGCCAGACTCTTTTTGTATGGGCGTTCCTGGGCCTGCTTCTCCTCATTAGGCGGGACCTCCTGACCAGGGTCACCAGCCATCCTTGCCAGTGCTTTCCAGCTGGCAGCGGTTCTAAGCCTCCTTGGGATGGAGATCCCAGGGGGAGTGGTGGGCTACCATCTTTGCTGTTTTATAGACTTAGCTGTTGTCTTTGGGCCCTAGGGAGTCTGAGGTGACTAGGGACTGGAGTGGTACCCCAGCACAGTGCAGAAGCTCTATAGAGAAGTAGCCAGACTGCTTTTTCAAGCAGGTCCCAGATCCCATTTCTCTTCACTGGTGCAACCTTCTGATCAAGGTCAACAGCCACCCCTGCTTGTGTTTTCCAGCCAGCAGCAGTTTCAAACCTCTCTGGGATGGAGGTTCCAGAGGGAAGGCTGTGCTGCAATCTTTGCTGTTCAGCAGCCTTAGCCATTGTTGCTTTCAGGCTTTATGGATTCTGAGGCAAACAGTGACTTGAGCAGACCCCCCAGCAAAGCCAGCTGCCCTACAGAAAAGTGGCCAGACTGCTCTTTATGCAGGTCCCCAATCCCATTTCTTCTCACTGGTTGGGATCTCTAGACTGGGGTCTCCAGCCACTTCCTGTTGGTGAGTTTGGGTTGTCAACAGGTCTGTACCTCCTGGGATGGAGCTCCCAGAAGAAGAAGGCTGCCAGTTTTGCTGTTTCACAGCCTTCACTGTTGATACCATCAGGTGCTGAAAAATCTGAGGTGACTAGGGACTGGAACAGATCCACAGCATACTGCATCAGCAGTGGAAAAGTGGCTAGACTATTTTTTTACATTTATGGGGTCCCTGATCCCACATCTCCTCACTGGGTGGGTCCTCCCAGCCTGGGCCTTCAGCCACCCCACACCAGGGCTATCAAGCCAGTATGAGCTCTGCAACTCCCAGGGACAAAGCTCCAAGTAGGAGGGGTGGGTTGTCATCTTTGCTGTCTTTCAGCCCTTTCATTTGCTGTCTCCAGGCTATGGAGAGTCCACGGGGACCAGGGGCTTGTCCAGATCCACAGCATGGAGAACAACCTCATGGAAAAGTGGCCAGACTAGTCTCTACACAGTTCCCAGTCTTCACGTCTCCTCACTGGACAGGGACAGGGTGGCCTGAACTGGGACTCCAGAACAACTACCCTGCCCTCGCCTGATCATTTCAATTAGAGGCAGCCCAGAAGTTAAAAGAACATCCACATGCAGCGATAAGAAAGAACCAATGCAAGGACTCTGGTAACCCAAATGCCCAGAATGTCTTATGTCCTCCAAATGACTGCATCAGTTCTCTTACAAGGGTTCTTAACCAGGCTGAGTTGGCTAAAATGACAGAAATAAAAATCACAATAGGGATAGGAATAGATATCATTGAGATTCAGGAGAATGGCAAAACTCAATCCAAGGAAACTAAGAATCACAATAAAATGTTACAGGAGTTGACAGACAAAATAGCCAGTATAAAAAAAGAATCTAACTGATCTGATAGAGCTGAACAACACACTACAAGATTTTCACAGTGCAATTGTCAATATTAATAACAGAATAGAACAAGCTGAGGAAAGATTCTTGAAACTTGAAGACTGGCTCTCTAAAATAAGGCAGACAAAAAATAAAAGAATGAAAAGGAACAAAAAAACCTCTGAGAATACAGGATTATATAAAGAGGCCAAATCTATAAATCACTGGCATCCCTGAAAGGGATTGGGAGAAAGCAAACAACCTCAAAAACAAATTTCAGGATTTCATCCATGAAAACTTCCCCAACCTCACTAGAGAGGTCAGCAGTCAAATTTAGGAAGTAAAGAGCACCCCTGCAAAATTCTACACAAGAAGATCATCCCGAAGACACATAATCATCAGGTTTTCCAAGGTCAAAATAAAAGAAAGAATGTTATAGGCAGCTAGAGAGAAAGGGCAGGTCATGACTGAAGGGTTTCTGTGGACCTCTCAGAAGAAACCCTGCAAGCCAGAAGAAATTTGGGGCCTGTATTCAACATTCTTAAGAAGTATATATGTCTTCAATCAAGAATTTCATAGCCAGCCAAACTAAGTTTCCTCAGTGAAGGAGAAATAAAATCCTTTTAGCATCAGCAAATGCTGAGGGAGTTACCAACCTTACAAGTGATCTTGAAAGGAGCACTAAATATGAAAAGGAAAGTGACTGTTACCAGCCACTATAAAAACACACTTAAGTACACGGACCAGTGACACTGTAAAGCAATCACACAAACAAGCTGGCATAATACCCAGCTAATAGCATAATGACAGGATCAAATCCATACATATAAATACTAACCTTGAATGTAAACAGGCAAAATGCCCCATTTAAAAGGCACAGAATGGCAAGCTGGATAAAAATTCAAGACCCAATGGTATGCTGTCTTCAAGAGACTCATCTCACAAGCAATGCCAGCCATAGGCACAAAATAAAAGAATGGAGGAAAATCTAACAAGCAAATGGATATCAGAAAAAAGCAAAGGTCACAATCCTGATTTCAGACAAAGCAGATTTTAAATAAAAAACATCAAAAAGGACAAAGAACGGAAATTACATGATGGTAAAGGGTTCAGTTCGATAAGAATACCTAACTATTCTAAATATATGTGCTTCCAACACAGGAGCACCCAGATTTATAAAGAAAGTTCTTACAGACCTGTGAAGAGACTTAGATTCCCATATGGTCATAGTGGAAGGCTTCAATATTCCATTGACGATATTAGATCACTGAGGCAGAAAATTACGAAAGATATTCAGGATCTGAACTCAACGTTGGATCAAATGGATCTAATAGACCCCTACAGAACTCTCCACCACAAAACAAAAGCATACTCATTCTTCTCATTGCCACAGGGTACATACACACATTAAAATTGACCACACAACTGAAAATTAAACAATCCTCGGCAAATACAAAATAACTGAAATATACCAAATACACTCTCAGACCACAGCACCATAAAAATAGAAATCAGACTTTAAAAAATGGCCCCAAACCATTCAATTGCATGGAAATTAAACAGTCTGCTCCTTAATGACTTTTGGGCAAATAATGGAATTAAGGCAGAAATCAAGAAGATCTTTGAAACTAATGAGAACAAAGATACAACATACCAGAATCTCTGGGGCACAGCTAAGGCAATGTTAAGAGGAAAGTTTATAGCACTAAATGCCCACACCAAAAAGTTAAAAAGATCTCAAATTAACAATGCAACATCAGAACTAAAAGAACTAGAGAAACAAGAGGAAATCTACCCCAAAGCTAGCAGAAGGCAAGAAAACCAAAATCAGAGCTGAACTGAAGGAGATCAAGACATAAGAAAACATTAAAAGACCAATATATTCAGGAGTTGTTTTTCTGAAAAAAGTGATAGGATAGGTTGCTAGCTGGACTAATAAAGAAGAAAAGAGAGGAGATACAAATAAGCACAATTAGAAACCACAAAGGGGATGTTACCACTTATCCCACAGAAATACAAATAAACCACCAGAGAATACTATGAACACCTCTATGCACACAAACTAGAAAACCTAGAAGAGATGAATAAATTCCTGGACATACACACCCTCCCAAGACTGAACTGGGAAGAAATTGGTTCCCTGAACAGACCAATAATGAGCTCTGAAATTAAATCAGTAATAAATAACCTACCAACTAAAAAAGCACAGGACCAAATGAATTCACAGCCAAATTCTACCAGATGTACAAAGAAGAGCTGGTAGCATCCTTACTGAAACTATCCCAAAAAGCTGAGAAGGAGGGACTCCTCCCCAACTCATTCTATGAGGCAAGCAACATATTTATACCAAAACCTGGCAGAGCTCACAAAAAAAGAAAACATCAGACTAATATTCTTGATGAACATTGATGCCAAATTTCTAAACTAAATAGTGAGAAACCAAATTCAGCAGCACATAAAAAAGCTAATCCACCGTGATCAAATAGGCTTTCTCCCTGGGATGCAAGTTTGGTTCTACATATGCAAATCAATAAATGTGATTCATCATACAAACAGAAATAAAGATAAAAATCACCTGATTATCTCAATAGATGCAGGAAAGTCTTTTGATAAAACTCAACATCGCTTCATGTTAAAAATGCTCAATAAACTAAGTATTGAAGCAACGTACCTCAAAATAATAAGAGCCATCTGTGAAAAATCCAGAGCCGATATCATACTGAATGGGCAAAAGCTGGAAGCATATCCCTTGAAAACCAGCAGATGGCAAGGATGCCCTCTCTCAACACTCCTATTTAGCATAGTAGTGGAAGTCCTGGACAGAGCAATCAGGCAAGAGAAAGAAATAAAGGGCATCCAAATAGGATGAGAGGGAGTCAAACTATCCCTGTTTGCAGACAGCATGATTTTATATCTAGAAAACCCCCATAGCACGTCCCAAAAGCTCCTTGTGCTGATAAAAAAAAACTTCAGCGAAGTTTCAGAATACAAAATCAACATAAAAAAATCTCTAGCATTCCTATCTACCAACAACAGTCAAGCTGAGAGTCAAACCAGGAACACAATCCCATTCACAATTGCCACAAAAGAATAAAATACCTAGCAATACAGCTAACCAGGGAGGTGAAAGATCTTTACAATGAGAATTGCAAAACACTGTTCAAAGAAATCAGAGGTGACACAAACAAATGGAAAACTATTCCATGCTCATGGAAAGGAAGAATCAGTATCATTACAATGGCCATACTGCCAAAGCAATTTACAGATTCAATGTTATTCCTACCAAACTACCAACGACATTCTTCACAAAACTAGAAATCAGGATCCTAGAAACTAGGATCAGAACAAATAACTATTGGGTACCAGGCTTAGTACCTGGGTGACAAAATATCTGTATAACAAACCTCTGTGACACAAGTTTACATATATAACAAACTTGCATTTGCACCCTGTAACCTAAAATAAAAGTTTAAAAAAATTAAAAAAGCACTTCGGGTCCTGTTAATTTCTGTTCAAACCAGAGATACCTTCCCTGTCCTAATAATAGGCTTCTTTTTATTTCAGCAGTAACTACACAGCTTGCTTCTCCATCTTTCCTGGAGTTTCTAGTGGGAACCAACTTTTAAATCATCAATGTTTTTCCTGCTCAATTACTTTGCCAGTCTAGAAGCTGACATGTATCAGTAAAGCTGGTGCAATTTTAACTGTTACTATATGCTTAGTTTTAAGTGAAAGACATTTCATTTTCTCCATTTTCTGCAGGGACACATTTGTTACCCAACTGTGGTCTGATTTTTAAAGTTGCCTTAGTGTTTTTATCCATGATAGAAGAAGGCAAGTATCACATTGTGGTATGTGTGTGTTCAGCTGATGCCCAGACAGGAAACTTCTACTGAGATTCCTATATGTTGTCCCTTGGTTTCTATTACATAGAAGACAAAATGGGAGAGAGAAAGGAACTATATATTATCAGCCTAAACGTTAAGCTGTCAAGGTGATGCTTTTTTCACTCAAATCAACTTCAGTTTTTCTACTATTGGGAAATAAGTTTGGGTAACAAGATACAAACTGAAAAAATTTTTCTTTCTGTATAGTTTTGTCAGAATAGTTGTTAGCAAATCCCAGACATCTTTTTGGAGTCTCTACGGATTCTGGATTCAAGAAGAAAGAACAGTTTGAAAAACAATTTTATAAATTCAATTTTATTAGTAAAAGTCTTCCAGAAGAGGCAGCACAACAAATGTGAAGACTATGTAGTCAGACAAGTTCTGCCATTTACTAACTGTGTCAATGTGGCCAGGTTATTTCACTCCAGGAGCCTCGGTTTTCTCATTTGTAAAATGATGAAACAAATACATATCTTTCAGAATTGTTAGGAGAAATCAATGTCTGCAGATTTAGGCAAGAGAAGGCCTCTCAATAATAGAAAAATATTTAACACATTTAAATATTATTTATTTAATAATAGTTAATATCAAATATTATTTAACACATAATATTTAATATCAAATATTATTTAACACATAATATTTAATATCAAATATTATTTAACACATTAAATATTTAGATAATAATATTTAATATGAAATATTTTTAGATAATATTTAATATGAAATATTTTTAGATAATAATATTTAATGTTAAATATTTTTAGATAGTAATATTTAATGTTAAATATTTTTAGATAATAATATTTAATGTTAAATATTTTTAGATAATAATATTTAATGTTAAATATTTTTAGATAATAATATTTAATGTTAAATATTTTTAGATAACAATATTTAATATTAAATATTTTTTAGATAATATTTAATATTAAATATTTTTTAGATAGCAATATTTAATATTAAATATTTTTTAGATAATAATATTTAATATTAAATATTATTTAGATAATATGAAAGTTGTTATTACATAGGTTGAATTTGCATTGTGAAGTATATTATAGTAGGCAAAAGATGAATGCTGGCTGGGCATGGTGGCTCATGCCTGTAATCCCAGAATTTAGGGAGGCTGAGGTGGGAAGATTGCTTGAGCCCAGGAATTCAAGACCAGCCAGGGCAACATAGCAAGACCCCCTCTCTACAAAAAAATAAAAAAATTAGCTGGGTATGGTGGCTCATGCTTGTACTCCCAGCTACTCAGGAGACTGTGGTGGGAGGATTGCTTGAGCCTGGAAGATTGAGGCTGCAGTGAGCTATTACCACACCACTGAGTTTAAGCCTGGGTGACAGAGCAAGACCCTGTCTCAAAATAAAATAAAATAATAAAAAGATTGATGCTATGCAGTCTAAAATATGGACATAAATCTTCCTCCTATGGTCATGGTTGTGAATAATAATACTAATAATACTAATAGCTGTCATTTATTGTGTTAGTCTGTATTCGGTATTGTACAAACACTATGTCATTTCAAAACTATCCTAAGGGGTAGCTTATGTGATTCCAAACAATGAGCTTATATAAAATTGAAATTAAAAAATTCATTTTGCTATTGTATAGTCACAGCTAGTGGATTTTTATAAAAATAAGTTAGACTAATTCAATACTCTTCAGAGGTTTTACATAAATGGTTCTAATCAAATGGAAAAAGTTCCAGAAAAAATACAATTGTGCCACTGCACTCCAGCTTGGGTGATAAAATAAAATACTCATGGATCTTGTTCAAAATGCAGATTCCTCAGATTCAATAATGAGAGCTCAGACTGGGAACAGGGCCCAGGAATCTGTGTGGTACAAACCTGCATGATGTTTATGCACACAAAGATATGAGAACCATTGTTTCGAATGCTGCTTCCATTTGACAAAGTCCCGTGATAATTTTTGAAAAGAGAAGCAAACAATGGTGTCTCTTTTATGTTCAGCTTATAATGAAATCTGTTTGTTGACTTATTAGGACTTTGAATTATTTCTTTATTAACACTTTGAGTTTTTGTATGTATTATTATTCAAGAAAAATACAATCAGGATTTTAAACATGTAAATACAAATTTCGCATACCTTTTTATGACATCAGTGAAATTTTCAGGTAGTCTGAGTAATAGATTGTTTTGCCACTTAGAATAGCATTTACCACTTAGTATTTTAAAAAATTACTGTTGGAGTATTTATTGTCAGTTTTGTTCACTTGTTATCTAATACAAAATTATAAAGCCTTCAGAGAGTTTGGACCGCATCTCTTTGGAAAATAGTTTGCAACATATTTAATAGATACTTGATGCCAAACTGACTTTATATGACGATTGTATTTGTGACTTTTAAAACTAATTATTTTATTGTGTAATTGATTTATAAATAACAAATTTTTTTTACAACTTAAAAAAATACAATTGTAAATAGAATCTCAATGTTTTGTTTATTAATTTTTTAAACAGGTGTACGTTTGAAAGGATAAATCCTAGGACTTACCTATCAAGTTTCCTAGGATTGTGAAAAATGTGAGCTGAATGATGTTAGCAATGCCAAGCTCTGTGAGGAAGGCAGAAGTAGTTTTCATCTGCTCATTACCAGGCAGTTTCTTGAAATAGGTAGATAATACCTACTTAGTAGGTACTTATTATAGCAGGCAGCTAATAATACCTGTTGAATGAAATTTCTTGAATAAATTAATTAGTTTTTAACATG
This sequence comes from Homo sapiens, assembly GCF_000001405.40. Taxonomy (NCBI): domain Eukaryota; kingdom Metazoa; phylum Chordata; class Mammalia; order Primates; family Hominidae; genus Homo; species Homo sapiens. Next base: position 78,417,614 of record NC_000001.11, read on the forward strand.
GAAAAATACCCCTGTGAATTGCTTTAAAATAATTTTACCATTGATAATTTTAAAGTTTCAAAAACTTTTTAAGTACTTAACGCTTAAAATAGCTTTTGAGGCTATTCTGAATCTTGCCAAATAATATTTGATTTTGTCTTTTTTTAATGTAAAAAAATTTTTAAAAGTGAGAAAATGCACTCCTAAGAAAATTGCCTTTTTGAATCTTATGTGTAAGTACATGAAATGCTGTATTTATAAAGCTAGCTACATCATGAGCAGCCAAAAAAAAATAAATAAAGAGAAGTAGTAAAATAAGCGACATTCTATTAAGCTTAAGTATTGGCTATAATCCAGTTTTTATGTTTTCTAGGCTATACACAGAGTAAAATAAAAAGGATAATGAAAAATAGGTTATATATTATAGTGCTTATAAAGTTCTAAATCCTGCAAGGTGCTTCGTATACATTATATTTCTGGATCTTCACAATAACCCTGTGAGGTAAGCATTGCTATCTTTCCCATTTTACAACTGGGAAAACTGAGACGTGCAGGTCAAAAGAGTTGCCCAAGGTCACATTGCCAGCAAGTGGCAGAATCGAGATTAGAGAACAGGTATCTCTGGCTCCACATCCCCCAATCCTGTTTACCTGTTTTACTAAGAGTTCAGCCTGAGCTTGGTAGGCAGAGCACCTGCAGGACTTGATTTCTAAAGTATGCAGAGATGGGGTCATTGATCAGTACATTGAACCCAACTAGCAAAATATCTTGTTCACTCTAAAGTATCCAACATTTTTTGGCAGAAGGAATACCTATATACCTTCTCAAGAGAATCAAATACAAGAACCTCTAGGTTTTAAAAAAATGGATGTCTGCAACAAACAAAACTCCATTTGATACTAAATTCTTTTTAAAAATGAGCTATTGCAGGAGTCAAGCTGAATACTGAGGAGTCCCATAAACTATTTAATATGAAGTTTGGTTTCAATTTAATATTGTTGCTCAGTCTAGGAGTTTTCAAAAATTACAACCGTTTGGTTATTGTCCTCTTGTGTGTCTAGACCAAAATATGGAGCAGACAATAGTTTGGAATCTGTACTAGCACCTGAAAAACATTCACACAGCATTTTTCTCCTATGTCCATTAATGCAAAATTCCAGTTCCATTTTCTTCATTTTAAATGGACCTCTGTGTAAAAGCAGGGAAATTTAAATGCAAAAATAATTTGTATGCAACATTAGGTTGAAATTTTCATTATATGAAAGCAAATATTAAAATCAAAAGGCCTCTACAATAATAGTTCTACAGTGATTTTTCCTCCCTCACTGCATTTTTAATGTTCTTTTCATATTACATTACCCTCTATACTATAACATATATCAAATTAAAAAAACACATCAATAATGGGATAGTGAGAGAAATAAATTTTGCTTATTGGCAATGTGAGAAAGATTCATTTGGTTTTGAAAAACCCAAGCAAATAATTTTAATGTCTGCTCATTTATATTTCAAGAACTCTTTTCTCTAAACTTACTCAATTAGCTAAACCCAATTGTCTTATCTTGTGTTTCTGCATCTTTGTTTTAAAAATAATGTGAATGGATTGAATAATCTTATATTTCCTGTAGTAGTACTAAAGAAAGTCAAAATCAAGTAGAATAATCAAAAGAATGCACAGTATTCTAGTAACTAGGCTGTGAAAAACAGCACCTATATTTATTCGGCAATCTTATTCTCAGACAGAACTAAATGGATTTACAAACTTTCCAAAATAAGCACAAACCGAAAGAGAAAAATCGCCCTCAGGCTTAGCAAGAGCATGAGACTTCTAGCTTAATAGGTAATTGTTTTGGAAATTTATGTTTCTAAAAGTGGGGGGAGCAAAATGCAAGCACCATCTCAACCATAGCTAATTTAAAACAGTTGGTGAATGAGCTGATTTTGGCAAAAAGAAATGAGTTGCAACACTTGACATGACTGGTGCAGAACTCAGAAAGAAGTCCAAGGAAGTAAATATTTCTTTGCCTTGTGGGCAATTTATTTTAGCCAGACAACTGCATGAAGGATGGTAGTATCCAGGTTACTCTCTTTGAGACAAGTAGACAACTACCCTTTTAAGGCAATAGTGTTCTCTGAAAAGCAAAACAAAACTAAAAAAAACGACAAACAAACCAAAAAAACCTGGTTTTCGAATATGTTGACTCTCTAAGCATTAAATTTTTTTGCCTCCAAGGAAGGGCCTACAGAATTAGGTATGATTACTTTAAAAATTAATTTAATGTATTTCACTGAAATGTGATAATACTGCTGGCAAGAAGAAAAGGAAGGAAAAGGCTGATGGGAGAACTAAGTGTTAAAACTTTTCTGGAAGACAATTTGTTAACACTACCAAAATCCTTAATGTATGTACAGATTTTGTCTCAGTGATTTCACTTTTACGGAATTAACAAAAGGAATAATCAGAGATGCAGACCAAAAATGCCAACTAATAAGACAATAGTTTTTTTTAAAAAGATAAATTTATACAGGAGAATACTTTGAAGCCAGATTCTGAAATATGTTTCTTGACATAAAAAATAATTGCAATATTTTACTATGCTGCTAAGGGGAAAAAGAGCAGACCAAAAATAGTGTATAGAATAGATACCATTTAAATAAAAACAAAATAAATGTATCCCCTGTGTTTTCTCTTTTTGTAATGTGGTGAGGGTGGCGATTGATGGTCTGCAAACCACAATAGGGAAAAAATAATAAACATTGCAAATGACTGAGATTTCCTTTAACTGTGATGTGTGATAAACCCTCTGCTAGAGTTGGGAGCCAGAGCTGGAACCACAGAATTTTCTGAGTTGACTGGGACATTGATTCATATTTGGAGTGGTCCAAACCTAGATAATGTTTGTGAAATACGTTTTGTATTTGACTATGGATTAGATTTATTTAGAATACTTTTACATATAAAAACGCTCAAATGATTAATCACCATTTTATTTTATTTTATTTTTTATATTGTGAGATTTTGCACTCTATAAATGTCATCAATAAACCACCTTAGGTTGTGTTTAAGCCTGTCAAATTGTCAGCCACTTTGGCATGGCTGGCCTGCCTGCCTTCCTTCCTTCCCTCCTTCCTCCCCTCCTCCCTTCCTTCCCTCCTTCCTTCCTTCCTTCCTTTCTCCCCTCCTCCCTTCCTTCCCTGTTTTCTTCCTTCCTTCCTCCTATCCTTCCCTCCCTCCTTCCATCCTTCCTTCCTTCCTCCCTCCCTTCCCTCCTTCCTTCCTCCCCTCCTTCCTTCCTTCTCTCCCTCCCTCCTTCCTTCTTTCCTTCCTTCCTACCTTCTTTCCTTCCTTCCTACCTTCCTTCCTTTCCTGCTTCCCTCCTTTCTTCCCTCCTTCCTTCCCTCCCTCCCTTCCTCCCTTCCTTCCTTCCTTCCTTCCTTCCTTCCTTCCTTCCTTCCTTCCTTCTTTCCTTCCTTCCTCCCTCCCTTCCTTCCTTCTTTCCTTCCTTTCCTCTCTGTCACCCAGGCTGGAGTGCACTGGCATGATCTCTGCTCACTGCAACCTCCATCTCCTGGGCTCAAACAATTCTCTTGCCTCAGCCTTCTGAGTAGCTGAGATTTCAGGCACACACTACCATGCCTGGATAAGTGTATGTGTGTGTGTTTGTGTTTAGTAGAGACAGGGTTTTGTTGTGTTGGCCAGGCTGGTCTCGAACTCCTGACCTCAGGTGATCTGCCTGCCTTGGCCTCCCAAAGTGCTGGGATTACAGGCGTGAGCCACCACACCCAGCCCCTGCTGCTTTTTTAATGGCACATTTTTAAAACTACGCGTACCATAAGCTGTCTGGTACTGAAATAGGCCTGTGGGATGCCAATTTTGGTTTCAGAATTAGCTTGTATGTGGAATCATGGTGGCATACAGGGTTTGCCATGTCAAAAGATAAACAAAGACGTAAGCTCCCCTGATGGATTTTGGCATTCAACGCTGTAGTGGGAACTTGTAGACATAGATAGAATCACTTTTCTGCTCCCGTGCCTACTCTGGGTGCTCCACTTGAAAAGCAGTGGCAGGATCAGCAGTGGTGGCTGCCAAACATGAAATGGCCATGGAATGAACAATAAAGCATGTTTTGTTTTACAAACCTTCACATAGAACTTGTTAGGTAGCTTGTAGCAACCACTGAATTGCTTTGAGATCTTTGCTTCTATCTTTTCATGATGCATTGAAAGTTCTTGTACTTCAGTGCATTAGTATTAGTGTGGTTGTTTACAAAAAAGTATTTTACTTTAAAGCAGTCTCAAATTTATGGAGAAACTGCAAGAAGAATACTTTTTTTTTCTGAATTATTTGAGAGCAGATAGCCTTCATGATGCCCCATCATTCCTGGATACTTTAGTGTGCATTTTTAACTAATGGGGGCAATATCATAATGAACCACAATAAAATAATAAAATTCTGAAATTAACATAGACACATTACTACCATCTAATCCTCAAACATGATTCAAGTTTCATGAATTATCCAGAAAATGCCCTTTGTAGCCAAAAAGTTCCACATCAAAACCACACATTACCATTCAGTTGTCCTGTGTGACTTTTCAATCTCCTTCAACCTTTCCTTACTCTTTCCTTGACTTTCATGACTATGATGATTATAGGGCAGTTATTTTGTGGAATGTCCTCACTGCATATTTTTCTTATGTTTTCTGTTGATTAGATTCTGTTTGTCTGTCTTTGGCAGGACTATCAGAGAAGTGGTGCTGGGTTCTTCTCATTGTATCCCATCAAGATTTCCATTTGTCCCATTACTGGTGATGATCACTTTGATTATTTGATTGGGGAGGTATCTGCCAGCTTCTCTTTGTAATCAATTACTCTTTATAATTAATAAATGTTTTATGCAGAGGTACTTGAGGTGAGCTAGATATCTCTTTCTTTATCAAACTTCTTATTTAATTTATTTATAAGAGTGTAAACTCATGGGTTTCTATTTTATTCAAAGGATTGGGATCCAAATCTATAATTATTTATTTTGAAGCTCAAATTGTCCCTTCCATTTGATGGAAGAAATCTCCTTCAAGCTGGCTTCTATGTCCTTTGAAATATTATCTGAGCACTTCCTTATTTTCTGGCACAACAAGAAGTTCCAGGCTCATCTTGTCCTTTCCTTCCTCAGCTCGGGAATCACCCATTTCTGCAAGGATTCTTGAGTCTTTTTATTAGAGAATAGTATTTAGAAACCAAAATCTAGGTAGTTATTGCTTTTCAAGTGGAGCACCCAGAGTAGGCACTGGAGCAGAAAAGTGATTCTATCTATGTCTACAAGTTACCTAGATGCTAGGTAACTTCATTGTCACTGTAATGTTGCTGCTCCAAGGCCCTTTGCGTTAACAGAGCTGGAGAATATATAGATACATATTAATATATTTGTATTTTTTCTATGTCTGTTTATATGTTGAAACTATGAGTTCACAGAGATATCTCCAATTCCAATCCACAGGAATCATTTTAGCTCTTTCTCTTTCCATATTTGTGATTTCCCTTTCTGTATTTCCACGTTTTCATTCCTCAACAACTGAGAAATTAGTTCCCAGCAGCCTCAATATATTTACTTATTGCTCAACTCCCCAGAGTATAACAGATTTCCTGCTGCCAACACCCTTTCCATTGAGGATGGTCTACGCACCTTGCTTACCCTTTGACATGTGGACATCTTCCCCACCCTGCTTTGATTTGACATCCCATTATGGATTGCACCCATATATGGAGACTGTCCTCATTCCATTACTTCGGAAACCCCTTGCCTGGGCATCCTTCTTCAGGGATACCTTCCTCACTTTGCTCAAGCTTTGGCAACACACCTTGGGCTGTCTCCCAGCAGGGACATTCCATGCTCACTCCTTATTCTACTTGTGCTCCAACATTTCCTCCAGGATTCCACTTCCTCTACAGCCCCTATGCTAATGCTTACCTTGCTCAACCCCACCTAAAAGCTTTTGGGTTAGAAAGGAGAGACAAAGGAAGAAAAGAAGTAGAAGAAAAAAAAGGTTTATTTTTAAAATTCAGGTCTAAGAAATGGCCAGCAAGCATTCTGTCTCTGGACTACTCTGCCTTTCTTATTAGATGAGGGGGAAATTATTAGAACTCTTATTAGAGTGTGGGTAGCTTGGCTGAACAAGCTGTCAGAATAATGGCCAAGGAACAAGGGTTCAGTGGGCAATTTCATAGCATGTTAAGAAGAAGAATAATAGCCAGTACTTATTGGGTACTCATTTGCTAGGCACTTGTTACAATATTTAGCAATTTTCTTGATAGGTGGGCATTATTCTGACCATTTTATAAAACAGGAAGCAGGTTTGTAGAGATTCACCCACTTGCTATGATCAATAGGGAAGGTCTAAGCCAGGGCTCCAATCCAAGTCAGACCGACTTTTATAATTGTTTCTTTTACCGCACATGATTATAAATGGTAATTTGGGAAAGAGAATTGATATAAATAATTCAAAAATTACACTTTACTTTAATATGGATTTGTGTACAGGTGTTTCTGAAGTTCTTAATTATTTCAACAAAGGAACAAAGGTGTTCCAGGAAAAGCAGATTCAGGAGTTGCTGGCCAACTTCCTAGTTCTTACCTTAGCTCTCCGTTAAGAAAAAAAAAGATTCTGAGAAGGAGCATTCAGACAGTTATATGTCAACTGCAAGGAAAGAATGATCCATAAAGACAACAGGCAGAAATGGGGCCAAGGAAACGAAGCTTATTTACACTGGTCCTTTAGAGTAATCTGTTCGTATGTGGATGATATTAATCCCTAACATGGAAGTGGTAGAAAGAGCAGGCTAATACATATTTGTATCACTACCTCATTTTGATTCCAAGGGCCTCCTTTTTAACTTCTGTTGAGCAGGTGACAAGTGAGATAATGACAGTTTTAACCAGTGTGTATATCTGCAGTTAGATGATGGCTCCAGGGGCACTGAGAGCCTGCCATTTTGTCAGTGTTCCCTCTACATCTGCATGGAAGTGGAGTGTAAAATTATTCTGGTGACCTGTATATCACATAATATTGCAGACCACCTGCCAGTTGTTCCACCAGAAGCATCACAACAGAGACAGCATCCTTCTGTTTCCAGGATCTTGCCATAGTCTGGCGTTGGCACCTGTTGTTTATTTAGATCATTCAAATGGTGTGATTTAACCTTCTATAACAAATGGAATATAGCTTGGCTTTATGGTTTCCCTCATATAAACAACAGTAAACAAACCCATGATTTATTCAAAAAGAATTTATGGTTTGTCTTTCTCTCAATTGTAAAGAACGAAGCATTTGTAAACGAAAACATGATCCTCACCCAGACTTATAAAATGAATTCTACCAGACAGCCTAGACAACAAATTTATGACATTTTGTGGGGTGATACAGAATGTTTGAAACTGAGTGGCCTGGGAGAGGAAGACAGAATGGATTCAGCTGTAGGAGGAGGGAATAAAATCTAGAGGTATGTTCTCGAGGTCCCTTTCCATTTGCGTGGTTCACTTAAATTGTGTTCTTTATTTCTGATAATGTAATGTCACTTGGCATTTAAGTTAACTTTTTATGAGGTACTCATTGCTTTTCAACTACAACTTGTACGTTTTCACTCTATGCCTGTGTTGGTGAGCAATAAATAGCACTGCATATATGCAGATGGTGGAATTGGGCCTTTCTACATGAAGTGATGTGGAGAATTGAGCAATTGATTGGTTTTATTACGTTAGAGAGAGGATGTTAAAGTAATCATCTAGTAAAACAAGCTAGGGCTATTTTGGAGAACTATTTTTAGTTTTCTATAAATTGTAACAATATAATATAGTTATTGCTTTTGTCAGAGAGCTGGAGTCTGCTATTAAGATGATTTAAATTTTATGCCTGAACTTCATATTGGTAATAAATTGTTGGACCTTTTAGTGTTAAATGTAAAAAGGCAAGTTACTTAGCTGCTTGAAGAAAATAGTATGACTGCGTGTTGAAAACAGGTACTAACTAAAGGAATTCTAATATATTCCAGAGAAAGGGGGATACACCACCCCTTATTTTTTTAAAAAAAGAAGATTGTGGTCACATTTTTGCTATGTAGTCTAGCAAATTAATTTGTATTCTACACAATGGGAGAGAATGTTGAAGAGTTAAATTAAAACAATGAAGGAGTAGAATTTTAGAATATTATAGGAATAATGACAATACAGGAAAGAAATAATTATTACATTATATGCAATTATATCCTTAAGTGAATTATAGAGATTCTATTATTATTGATATTAATAATACGTTGGTTTAAATCTAAAACATATTACCATATTGTACTACCTAGTATAGTGCTGGGCACAAACAGAAGTTTAATGTTTCTTGAGTTTTGACACATGTATTAGCCATTCAGTAACTCGTTAGACAGCCTAATGAGGGCTGAAACTTGAGAATATGTGCTAGAAGCTTGTTCACTGTTAATAAGAATTCACTTTTAAATGTTATGAGCATGTTTGCAATCTCAAAGTATTTTTAAGCATAAAGATAGAGGACCTACATTACAAGCATGAATTAAAAGTTAATATGGGTCTGAAGAAACAAAAATATTTTATAAACATTAAGACAATTCTTTACAGAAAAGGCAAGTCTTCTAAGTACACAAATAGGTTGCCAAACAGAAGTTTAAACTTCAAATACAAATATGATAGTATAACCAGAAAAACCATCTAACCTAATGTATGGGTATTATAATTTTAGGAAGAAAAGACTGCAGAAAAGGGAAAAATGTTAGTTACTGGGCCAGGGAGCTCAGTACCCAGGACTTGAACTTCAGAGCCACCAGCAAGACATGAGTTGTTGCCTGGCTGTTTGTCCTAGCATCTAATTCTTCAGGGTTCTCCAGTGGACAGACAGATTTGCTTATGTTGTGAGTTAATGATTAAGAATTCATGTTGTATGGAAAGGAAAACAATAGGAACAATGACAATTAAATAACACCAGGCATTTCGTCAGTGTTTCCACCAGCTCCTTGCAGGAACGCTCCAGTCTGTTGGCCAGGGGAAGATTTTTATTGTCTCCTCTGTGTATTTTTCTTCAGTTCCTAACCAACCAAACCGCTGTGTGTGTTTCGCCTTTGTATAAAAAACAGAGAATGCAGGATAGCCTTCTATCCTAAGTGTTTTAAATAAAATGGGCAATAAAATAATTATTGAAACTGGTAGAAGAAAAGAAGGATTTAGGGGAAAAGAAGCCCACCTACTTTGCTTTATGAGATGTGGAAACTTTCAGAGCTGCCTCTGCTTTGCCTCTGAAGAGAAACTAAAGAAAGAAAGGAATCTTTTGGAATGCAAGATAACTAAATTCATTTGTTATGGTCTTTACAATAAGCTTTGCTGGTTTTGACCTGTGAGAGGACAGAAAACAGAAATTCTAAGCAGTAGAGGGTTGGGGACACTTTATAATCATTTCTTAGTGATACAAGAGCTAATTGTAAAGAGGATGAACAGAGCTTATTAAGGCCGAAATAAGTATGTAGTAACTAAACAGCTACACGCACATTTTACTCTCTTTATGTAACAAGGGACTATATGTACTCCCACATGGTAGGGGAAGATAACTCACTTGTGTTTATTATGTGCCATCTACTATGGTGTGCATTTAACTTAAAATATTTATTTAATTCTAAAATACCCATTAAATTATCACAGAGTGTTACTTATTGAATATTACAAGGTTGATGTGAGAATTAAATGAGATAAAATGGATAGTATCTGGAACATTAAATTTTCACAGTGACCCTGCAAGTCTCAACAAAGGTAAAGTGACCCAGCCAATGTCACACAGCTGGGAAGTAGCAGAGATTGTGTTCTAATCCAGAAGTGACTGCAGAGCTCTCACTTCTGTCGCCACACTGTATGACTATAAAACAGGATATGTTATAGATAATTGTCTGCTACACATGTGATAGGAGAGATCTTGGGCCAGAAATGCCAAGCAAAAGTGTATTGTTGTTAAACGAAATCTATTTCAAAAATAATTTATAGTTACTGGGAAGAGTATTTTTATGCCTCTTCTACTCTTAAAGTACAATGTTTTGCAATTTCCTCTTTGCGAGCTCTGTGCTGCTGGCAAGCTGTTTTCCCACTGACAAGGTATTTCTAAATCCATCTATAGATATTAAGTTTGAAGAAATTTGATATCCCAAACTTTGTGTAGAGAAATGAATGTAAAACTTATTTGGGAATTTTATGATCTGGTGATGATAATTTAGTTTCTCTAAGGCTTCTCATGCAGAATCCTTTAAATCATCTCTTGATCTGATAGAATGGTATGCTACACAGACAGAATGTGAGTGGAGTTTAATATTTATAGAGATGTCAGGGCTGTGGTTTTTAGTCTTAATATTTATTCATTATACATTTTGATGCAAACATTAGGGTAGGTGCACAAATATCAGTTGAAATTGTAAACAGCTTAAGAATGAAAGTACTTAGGCAAAGGGATAGAAGGTTAAGAAGTTGAATCCTAACAATGTTGGAATGGAAAGAATTTTTTATCAGAGGAGCAGAATATTACAGGGATGAACTATTAGTGTAGAAATAATTATATTGAATTAAATCTTCAAATTAAATGTAAATATTTTATTTTTGGTATTTATATTACTATTACAAAGAGGTAGAGCCTCTCCAAATTATCAAAGATAGTCTGCACAATTCTCCCAATTATTCAGAAGAAAAGATGAAAAGGATCGCACTATGATGTCAAATGTTAAATTTTAAGGACTAATTTTAAAAAGTGTGTGTGTGTGTGTGTGTGTGTGTGTCTGTGTGTGTGACAGGGGCAGGTGAAGGAATGAAGTAGAAAGAAAGAATGCACAAAAATTCAAATGAACTCCCTTGATTACATCCTGTTTTAGAGAACTAACCACCAAACAATTGCTTTTGTCAAAAGCAATTGACAAGTGTCTGACAAGCATCTTTTTGGTTTTAGCATTGTCAGTAATAATATAATGCTGCATAATTAGTTTTTTATTTAATTCTTATTTACCTTTGACTATGCTAAACAGAGTTTGCCAAAGTTGCCACTTATTGTAGGGTTAAATGCTTTGCATTACATTCTTCCATTAAATATACATTTTTTCCACTAATAACATGTAAAAGGATCTGCAAGAAAATCTCCCTAGTTTTCTGTCTTTATGTCATTAGGGAAAACATAGAACTTCCTTATATTTGTAACTGGAAACAAAACAAAAAAACCTCCCTTTTATATTTTAATTACTTTGGGGGTATAAGAGTGGAGAATAAGAGGAAGCTTTAACTGAATTCAAGGGAAAAACAAGAAATTGCCTATTTCTAGGAAAAAAGACTTTAAAAGATTATTGAAATAATTCAGAAAGTTTTTGAAATGCTTCTGTGGACACCAATAGTTCTTACAAAACAAAATTTTGATTATTTGTATATATCTAAATCAGAAAGATGTGAATTAAATTTCACTTAAAATACACATGATTTAAAAAAATTAAATGTAAAAAGTGGTTGGCAAAACTTATTTGGTGTTTGGTAAAACACAAAATGTGTTTTGGGTTTGGTGGAGCCACAGATATTTGAAAAATATCTTGGAATGATCATCAAGCCTAAAGTGTTCCTAAGCTAGCCCATCCTCTAGACACTTTTTGTTGTGATGATGTCTGATGACTGATCTGTTTTTTTTTTTAACTAAAGAAAAATATCCACTTAGGGGAAATTCAAGGAAGATCAAATTTTCTTTTTCCAGTGAGTTGTTAGAATTTGAAAAGCCAATAATTTAACAGGCATGTTGTTTGCTTGTTTTTAACAATCTGCAGAAGCACTATTATTACAATTGCTATAATATTCAAAAATTGGCCTCTACTTTCACAGCTCATGTTTCCCTTTAAAGTCTGAAGAAAGCCGAAGAGTTCATCTCAACTATCTCTTGAACTTTCTCCTTTTTGCTTTCCTTCTTTTGTATTTCATTGTTTTTCTTGAGTCTATCTCAATGATAGTTTCTTTGCTTGCATGGTGGGAATTGCAACGTGGGCAAATGTCAACCCTAGTCCTCTTTCATTCTGGCAAACGTGTTCCTTCTCTCATAATTCTTAGCTTCTCTACAGGTGTCCAGTGTTCTATGGCTGCCCCTACTCTTTGCAGTCTCAGCCACACAGACCTATGAAAAGCTGCTATTCTGGAGTCCCCAGACCATCCTCTTATCAAAGTTTACATTGTGGATAGCCATGACCACGTTGTGGAGATGGGTGTTGAAAATGTCTTGTATCATTTAATTGTAGTTGCTTACATGACTTCGTTGAAGAGTAAAACTCACATTAGACTGTAGTTGGAGAGTTTCTAGTAAATTTTTCTTATGGCAACAGGATTTCATTCAAGCTTATTAAAACAGAAAGGTGTAGGGATAGATCATGGTACCCAAGGATCAGGTAGTAAGAGCTAGAACTAGGTGCTACAATACCAACAGGCTCTTTCTGTGTCTCTCATCATCTACTCTGGTTGATTCTGTATAATTATTATTATTATTTTTTTTAGATAGAGTCTTGCTCTGTCGCCAAGGCAGGAGTGCAGTGGCATGATCTCGGCTCACTGCAACCTCCCCACCTCTCAGGTTCAAGCGATTCTTCTAACTTAGCCTTCTGAGTAGCTGGGACTATAGGCATATGCCTCCACACCTGGCTAATATTTGTATTTTTAGTAGAGACAGGGTTTCACCATTTTGGCCAGGCTGGTCTTGAACATCTGACCTTAGGTGATCCATCTGTCTTGGGCTCCCAAGGTGCTGGGAGCCACTGCACCCCACCAAGTCTGTATAATTTTTCCTTTTGCAAGCTTCTTCCTGCAAAAAATGGCTTCTTCTACTTTTTTGGTCTACATAGAAGAAAATGGCTGCATATAGTTTCTGACTTTACTTGTAACAAGTCCAGCCACCAGAAGACAGACTCAATTTTGCTTTTGTTTCAAATTCTAAATTTTAGAGTCAGAATTCTTACTGGCCCAGCTTGGTTAAAGTACTCACTTTCAGACCAGTCAACTGTGGCCAGGGAATGTGGCCAGTTACACTCTAGAATCATGACTACTACTGGCAGCCATTCTTTTAACCACTTGAAGGGGGTTGGTGTGTGGATGGTGCTCAGATAAAGAGGGGCTGGAGGGATAACCCAACAGATGCACACTATGAAAGTTGCTCACGTTTGTCTTAAATTTCTTGTTGAAAAAAATAAAGCTATTCTTTATTTATATTTTATTTACTTGAAATTTCAGAATAGATTTCTAATGTAGATTTTCATTAGGCATTGCAACAGAATGGTAAGAGATGGGTAAAGAGGCAGGACATGTTCACCGCAGCTTTTCATATTATACTTGTAGAAAATTACATAGTCTACTAAAAATTATTTGTTAAAATTTCATGCTGGTTTTAATTTTCCTTGTTGGAAAGAAGTTTCAGGAATATTCCAATACTCTCATTAAAGGTAGGGCATTTATTATTAATTCAGTTCCTTGAATAAAAAGTTATCGAATACCTAGATAGTGTATTAGATAAAGACACAGAGATGCTGAAGATAGTCTTTCCCTGAAGGAGCCCATAGTTAATTTTGGGAGACTAATGATAAAAATATTATCCTACATAGTGCTAAGTGCAATAATAGAAGGAATTACTAGGAACAATGGTGGCACACAAGTTGGAAAAATGAAATTGTTTTCTGCGGGTCAGGGAAGTCACAGAGAATGAAAAACACTTTTGCCAGGAAAATAGAGAAAAAAAAGAGTACTCTAGGCAAGAGAAATTTGATCATAGGCATGGATTTATGAGACAACAAAGTCTGTGAAGAGGCCTCAGACAAGAGCCTGAGTCTAAGAAGGTAGAAGTATTTCATAACTGTTCTCTCTCTCTCGCCTGTTAACTTAGCTCAGTTAATATTACTGCCTCTATATCCTCGCAGGCTGATTTTATTTGGAACCTTCAATGCTGCTCAGCAATCGCACCCTATTTTTCTTTTACTTTACTTTTTTTTTTTTTGAGATGGAGTCTCGCTGTGTCTCCCAGGCTGGAGCGCAGTGGTGCAATCTCAGCTCAATGCAACCTCTGCCTCCCGGTTTCAAGCGATTCTCCTACCTCAGTCTCCTGAGTAGCTGGGACTACAGGCGCCAGCGCCATCACACCTGGCTAATTTTTGTACTTTTAGTAGAGATGGGGTTTCGCCATGTTGGCCAGGCTGGTCTCGAACTCCTGATCTCAGGTGACCCGCCCACCTCGGCCTCCCAAAGTGCTGGGATTACAAGTGTGAGCTACTGTGCCCGGCTGATTTTTCTAGTCTACTCTCTTTGCCATTTTCCTAGATGGTTTCATTTCTTTTCTCAATTCGAACTTTCAGTATTTCTTCTTCCATCTTGATCCTCAGCTAATGACCTGTTTTCTACCTTACTAAGAAAAAAATAGATGCATTCTACAGAAACTTACTCAAGCTCCCATGTGTTCAACTGTACACAGAACTGTGTTGCCTATGTTACTATTGAGAATTGTTCATACTTCTGTCTAAGGTTGATTCCTCCTCTTGTACATGAGTTTGCATCTTTTTCCACCTAATCAAAACCTCATGCAGGCAATTTCCTCTACTCTCTTTACTGGATCATTCAGACTAGCACAGAGATGGGCTGCTTTTTTCCTTCTGCTTAAACAAATCCAAACAAAACAAACAAACAAAAATGCTTTTCCCTTGATCTCACTTCTTTGATTCTCGACTCATGTCCCCATTCTCTTCTGGAGTAAGACTACTTGAAATAGTTGCTTATACTTTTGGTTTTTGATGCCTGTTGTCCTTTGGTTTTTGAACCCTCTCCAACCATGCTTTTACTGCTATCAGTCCACTCAAATTGCTCTTGTCAAGCTTACCAGTGACCACTGTGTTTCTAAATCCAATAGTCATTTCTTAGTCTTCACTTTGGTTTTGACTTATTAGTACAATTTGATATGGTTGATTACTCTCTCATTCTTGAAACATTTACATGATTTGGCTTTCTAACCCATCATACTCACCAGGTTTTCCAATTCCCTGGTCACTTTCAGACTATTTTGGCTAGTTCCTTCTCATCCTCTCAACATCATAACCTTGCATTTCAGTCCTTAGAACCCCTTTCTAACTAGATTTACTACCATGGTGATCTCATCTGGATGTTATGGATTTAAACATCAGCTATATACCTTTACTTAAGGTGTGTCTTCTGTAGCAGCATATAGTCTTATTTTTCTAAAGCCTGGTTTTATAATCTTTTATTTAAAATATTTGGTACATTTGCTACAAATATTGATATATATGAGTTAAATATATCAATGTTTAATTTGTTTACTATTAATTCCCCTTGTCCTATGTTCCTTTTTCCTCTCTCTTTTGATCTCTTTATGATTAAGTAAGCATTAAAAATTATTTTATTATTTTCCTAATTATCTTGTTAGTTATCTACTATTTTACTATGGTGTTAGTGGATACTCTACATCATGCATCCTTGATTTAAAGTCTAATATTATTCCTTATATTATTTTCTTGGTGTTAGAATACTTTAATTCCATTTACTCACCTCCTTCATTTTGTGTTAATATTGTCATGCATTTTAATTCAATGTTTTTTTTTATACCCATAAGAAATTATTATTGGGGTAAATATGTGGGTAAATAATATGTCCAATAGTTGTTTAGATTTACCCACATAATTACCCTTTCTATTGCTCTCAATTTCTTAAGAAATCAGAGGGCTTCCAGCCAGGATAATTTTCCTTCTGCTCAAAGAATTTTCTTTCAGTTTTTTTTTTAGCTTGGGTAATATATTCTTTAGTGTACTGGTAATGAATTTCTTTAGTATGCTTGTAATGAATTCTCTTAGTTTTTGCTTTTCTAAAAAAACCTTTATTTTACATTTATTTTCAAGGAATATTTTTGATGAGTATAGAATTCTAGTTTGGCAGTTATTTTCTATTTACACTTTGTATATATGATACCATTGTTTGTTGAGAAGTCAGCCATAATCTCTGGAAACTTTTAAGATTTTCTCTTTGTCTTTGATTTCCAGCAATTGTATGGGGCCTAAGTGGCTTTTCATCATCTTATCTTGCTTATGGTTTGTACAGGTTCTGAATTCTCTGGTCTGATGTTTTTCATCAGTTTTGGAAAATATTATCAGCCATTGTTTCTCAATTACTACTTCTTACCAATTTTTTCTCCCTTTTCTCCTTCTGCAGCTCCAGTTACGTGTGTGTTAGATTTTTGCACTATGATCTTTGCATCAGTATGGATATTTTTTTCTAATTAATCTTCCAGCCCACAAATTCTCTCTGCAGCTGTGTCTCATGTTCTATTAAAGTCACCTTAATTTTAATTATTGTATTTAAAAATTTCTAGAGTGTCTATTCTTTTTCTTACTCTTTTCACTTCTCTTATGAGATTTTAAATTTTTTTCATTTAATTTCTGGCATATTAATGACAATTAATTCAAGATATGTTTTCTAACTTCAACATTCAGATCTCCCATAGGTCTGTTCTGTGTTGGTTTTTATCCCTTAGTTTGTGGTCAGTTTCTTTCTTTTCTCCCTTAGTAGACATTAATTTCAGGGCACGTATGGTAACTTTCTAGGTTTTATATAACAAAATACCACAGTCTTGGTGGCTTAAACAACAGAAATTTATTTTCTCACAGTTCTGGAAGCTAGACATTCAAGGTCAAGTAGGTTTGATTTCTCCTGAGGCCTCTCTCCTTGCCTGGCAGATGGCTGCCTTCTTATTGTGTCCTTCCATGGCGTTTCCTCTGTATGTGCATCCCTGATGTTTCTCTGCGTGTCTTAATCTCCTTTTCTTATAAGGACACCAGTCATATTGGATTAGAGTCCACTCTAATGGCCTTGTTTTAACCTAATTACCATTTTAAAGGTCTTGTCTTCAAATACAGTCACATTCTGAGGTACTGGGAGCCAGGGCTTCAACATATAATTATGTGGGAACACAGTCATAACATCATTGTATATGAAGAATTACAGGAATAATTTGAAGCTCTGGATAATGTTGTCTGTCTTCAGAGAGAATTTACTTTCATGTCTGGAAAGCAGTTAGATTAGGGACCATCTGTTTAATTCAGTCAAGGATTTAGATGATTAGCAGCTGGTCTTCAGTTTTGGTAAGGACTGATCAGTTCCACTTTACCTTTACTTCTAAGGTATATGTTTCCATAGACCCACCCGAAAGCTTTAACTGCTTTCCAGGATCCTTCCCTTTAGGTGGCCCTGAATTCCAATTTTTGTCCATTCAGACTCTCAACTACAGATTATAAATCAGCAAATGCCTCAGGAGGAGCAGTATCATATGCCATGCTAATCTTTCTGTGTTTCCCTTCTTTTGAGCTTCCATTACTGGTGCTCTTTGATACCTTCAAGTAGATTTTAAAAACACAAAATGGCCACATTTTCTATTTGTTCTTAGCAGGAGAATTAGTCTGAAACAAGCAAGCCCACCAATGTCATAAGGAGAAATCCCAGTTCAAGTCCCTAAAGTCAGTTCTTAGAATACCCATCACCAAAGGATCAATCAAATGACCAAGTTTCTAATTTATATTTTGCTAAGTCCTGCCTTTCTTTTAAGTATTTGTACAATTTATAATAATTTATATTGGATAGGATGATTTTAATAATTTTAATAATTTGGGGAGTTTTTGACAATTCATGTAAGGTTTTGATGAGTCTTTTTATAATGGTATTTAAAGGAATATTGAGTTTGCCTCAACTCCATGTTACTGCAGCTAAAATGCTAAAATGAGTGAGGGCAGATACAGAGGACCCTCTAGTTGAAGAAAGATGGAGAAAAGAGACAGTCATAGCATGACCTCAGCTGAGTTCTTGAGAGTGGGAAACTAAGGAGAAAGGAGGGAATAGAAGCAGGGGAGTTCTAAAGGTCTAAGGAACTTGGAGTCCTAGTTTCTCATCCTTTATTGGAGGACTTTAAATTGTTGACAATTTTATAAAAATGTGAAGGAAAAGGGTTTGGGTTAATAGATAAATTTGGTAAATTTTACACACTGGCATTTAGCAAATTGATCCTTAGGCAAAGTAGGTTCTTTTTGCGATTTTTGATATTTATTAGGTCACAGAATGCTGTAATAGAGACTCCAAGATATCAGGGCTTAAACATGATGAATATTGATATCTCTTTCACTTAATATTCTGAGCCTAATGTTGGTATAGCAGCTCCTTTGTACTGAGGACCCAGAGCCTACAATCTATAAGTGTTGGCTTTGTCAAAATGGCCAAAGAAGGTCAAACCGTAATCATTGCTTCCACATCACAGTGAGTAGGAAGAACAAAACAGGGGTGAAGGAGGGCACACAACTATTATAAATGTGTGAGTCAAAATTTGCACATACTCTTACTTATATGCTCCTGGCCAAGACTTAGTCTCATGGACACAGCTAGATTTAAGAGAAGCTGAGACATGTAGTTTCCATGCTGGGTGGCCATAAGCCCAACTAAACTGTACACATTTTATGAGTTTAAAGGATTGGGAGATTGATATGGGAGAAGACATGGAGTCTCTGCCACTCCTGACTAAGAGCAAACTTAATACAACTTGATTTATATTATTGTTTATTCATTATTTTGGCAAGTTTTCACTGGCAACCTGCACTGAGGGATACATTCATGTAGTCAATGTGTGAAGATGAGCTGTAAAAAAAATAAATGTGTAAAACAGAGTGTCTATGTTAGAGTTCCTGGGAAATACACTCCATGATGGAGTTGAACCTGTAGGCAGTTTGCTGGGGAGTGCACCCTGGTCAGCCCCGGTGGGGAAGTGAAGGGAAGAGTGCGGGGCAGTGAAAGTAGTTCAACTGTTACCACAAAGTCCTCATGGGAGCTCTGGGTCTGGGATAGGAAAGTGGTTGTTGTCTCACTTTGGAGCAAGGGGTCCTTTGTACCCTATCCTCTTCACTGACTAATTAGGGAATTTGAGCTGCCCTGGGGAAAAGAGGTTCTTTCTGGATGAGGGCAATTTCCCTGAGGGATTTGGCTGAGACTTGGTACCTCAGTCCTGAAACAAGAAGCAGAACAACATACACCTCAGAGTGGTGCACAGTATTGAGGCTCAATGGTGGAAATGTGTTGGGATACTGTGAGGAATGAGAAGACAATTCTTATGTGGGTGTGTGTCTCTGTCAGAAAAAGGTTTCATAGGAGAGGTGATATTTGAACTACCTTGCAAGATGGCAGTATATTCTTCAGGTAGAATAGAGACATAGTATTCCACCCAGAGGGAGATTCACAAGCAAAGCCTGGCACTTTCAAAAAAAAAATGTATGTCATTCAGAGTGACTAGGAGTGTAGGGTCCAAGATGAGGGGAAGGAGAACAGGATAGTGAGGTGATAATAAGGAATGAAGCTGAAAAAACAGCAGGGTCTAGATTATGGAGGGCCAAATAGGCCCAGCAGTTTGCATTTTATTCTAATAGCAAGGCAAGCCTTTGAATAAAGGAGGGTCTGGATTATATCTGGCTTTTACAAAGATCACTTAGGCTCCTGGATAGATTGGAAGGCAGGAAGGATAAATCGAAATAGCTCAGTGAGGAGATAATTGCAGTACCCTCTGTTCTTTCCTTCTTCAGATTTTGAACATCTTAAAAACAGATACTGTGATTTTATCTACATAGATATAGATCTCTTTCCTGATGCCTGTGAAATAGCTTCATTATTTTATATTCTTAAAGGTAGTAAAACTGCATTTAAAATTTTTGTAATGCAGATGTTTTGCCTATTTGGACTGATTTTCCTATACACCACGGTTTATGTTTTTAATTTGCAAATTTCTACTGAGGACGAGGTCAGAGAAGAAAGCATAAAGAAGAAATCTCACTTTTGCTATTTTATTTTACAGGAAGGATAGGGGCCTGCTCTTTGCAGACTCTTTTCAACATTCCATTCCTGCCGCATGACATTCTTTGCTTTCCTTCCACTGCCTCCCCCTTGAGTCCAGCCAGCTCCTCGTTGCTATAAATTCACTTCTGAACGTCCCTTGAGTACTTATTTTTTCCTCTAGTATGAAGATCAGGACAATGAGAGAATCCAAGTGACTAAAACCTACAGGGAAGCAAGACAAAGCTTTGGAGAAAGGACTATAACATAGAAAACTGGCATGCTTTATTATGATGCTAAAACAGTTGATCAATTCAATTTGCCTACTTAGTCATTGCATTAGTAAATGGAGGTCAGTCCATACAGCAGTTGACCAAAAATTTCTAGTTTGTATTTTTAATAGAAATTATATATAACTCTATACATATATACGTGTGTGTGTGTATGTGTATATATATATATAGACAATCCCTGCATCCCCATTTCTATGTTCACGTTACATTGATTGCCTATTATTTCTGTCTGTTTCCTGCCAATACTAAGCCCTTTGTGGACAGGGTTCTTGTCAATTTTGTTCTCCCAATAATTCCTCAGTGACAGCTCAGGTTGAGTATAACCTATTCAGTGCACTTAGTAAACATGTGTGTAATAGAAATATGAATTCTCCAGGAAGTTAGTAATAACAGGAAATACTTGCTTGTTTGAATGCTGCCTATCTGCAGGGTGCTAAGTGCTTTAGGTAGATTATTTAATTTAGCTTCACAATAAATCTATGGCAAAGAGCTCCTTACTTGCCTTGCTTTAATTTATAACCAAGGAAAATAAGGCACTGAGAGATTTAATAACTTGCTTAAAGTCGCACTGTATAATAAATAGGAGAGTCAGAATTCAAACCTAGAGATTGTCTTTCAGGAGCCCTTTTTCTGAGCTCCCATGCTATTTAACCCTATTTCATGAGCTATAGTTCTTTGTATTTCTGGTGTTTAGAAACTGTTCAGCCTATTCTTCCAGGTTGTTGAACTTGCTTATACAAAGGGAGAATACCTTCCTATGTGCTTTGCATTGTTTTGTTAAGGATAAACTGAAGAGTACCTTCTTGTGTAGTTTGCATTGTTTTGTTAAGGATAAACTAACTTTTCTCAACTTTACATGGCTGAACTTTCTTTACACTTAACTCTTTCTATGCTACCTGTATTAGTCTGTTCTCACACTGCTATAAAGACATACTTGAGACTGGGTAATTTATAAATAAAAAAGGTTTAATTGGCTCATGGTTCTGCAGGCTATACAGGCTTCTGCTTCTGCAGAGGCTCAGGAAACTTACAATCATGGTGGAAGGCAAAGGGGAAGCGGCACATCTTCACATGGCCAGCAGGAGAGGTGGGGTGCTACACACTTTTAAACAAGCAGATCTTAGGAGAAATTTATTACAAGACAGCACTAGGGGAATGGTGGTAAAGCATTAGAAACCACCCCCTTGATCCAATCACCTCCCACTAGGCCTCTCCTCCAACACTGGGGATCACAATTCCATATGAGATTTGAGCAGAGACACAAATTGAAACCATATCGCTATCCGTTTTTGAGTTGAACTTAAAATTCATTTTTTTCTTTGTTTCAATGATTTGTACTGATCTTTTCTTCACCATCATCAATTTACTATTGTTCTAAAGTTTCATTCTTTAGTTTTTGGTAAACTCTTCTCTAATCAGTTGAAGGTAAAAGAAAACCACAAATTCCCATAGTAAATGCATAACCCAGTAATGTACATGCAATAGTCTGTGTTTATAAGTGTGTTCCCTCTAGGCTATGATGCATTGAGGCAATGATTGTGTCATGCAGCACTGTTTCTCCAGTGCAAGTGTCTAGCACATAGTAGGTGTGAATCACTATGTGGTAACTGAACAAAGGAATGAGTGTTGCTTTTGGAGGTGTAATTTCTTTGGGTCAGTACCAAGATCTTAGATTTTTCACTCAGGAACTTACTTGATATCTTATATGATAATGAATTGTAAGGAACTGCTAAGATAGAATATGAATGTTTTCATTATGTGAACACTAATATATTGATTTCCTCACATAGAACCTAACATCATTCAAAACAATAGTTCATTCACCTGGTGCTTAGAATACATGACATTAAACACTTGTTTGGACATGTTATTGGGTCATATATTATATTGGCTCAGCTTCATGATAAATTAGTTAATTGAGTTGTTTTGTAACTGATAGAGACACAGACACATGTGGTGACATGTGTCACCACATTATCTTCTTCAAAAGGCTGGTCACTATTATAAACAATCTTTTTTTAAGACTGAGGAGTTAATTTTATCTGACAGATAGAAGTTCATGGTTATTTTATTGATTTTATTTAACTATTGATCAGCCCACATGTTCTGTAGGTCAGTAATTTTATAGCACTAGTTAATCTGCCTTAGTTGGTTCCTATAGCTCGAGCAGAGGGTTTGACTTTGAGATAAGAATCCTGGAGCAGCTTATTTTTGTATTTCGCAAAACAACATATAACTCAAGGCATGAGTTTCTTTTTAATGCAGATACGATGGCCAGATAGTTACTCTGGCTTTTGTTTTGTTTTGTTTTGTTTTTGTGTTTGTTTTAGAGACAGGGTCTTTCTCTGTTGCTCAGGCTAGGGTGCAGTGGCATGATCATTGCTCACTGCAGCCTTGAACTTCTGGCCCCAAGCAATCTTCCTGCCTTGGCTGCCAAGTAGCTGGGACTACAGCTGCATGCCGTGATGCCTAGCTAATTTTCTTATTTTTTTGTAGAGATGGGGTCTTGCAATGTTGCTCAGGCTGGACTCTGGCATTTGACAAAAAATTACAGCTGTGTATAAGGGTTGATCAGAAAAAAGAGGCTCTTGGCATTGCACATGTTGCTCTGGCTGGAAATAGCTAGGCTCAGTTTGGGTTTTATAGACGTCTACAACCACAACCCCTGATTGTATTGTCTTTCTCTCTGAGCTATTTAAATAGCTACAAGACAAGCTTCTTTTTCATTAGGGCTGGAGGTTTGACAGTCATGACATAATCCTTTGCTTTCCTCACACTGCATTTTCCTTTAAAAAACACTATAAATTTAAATTAATATAATACACCTTGTTTTGATTTACTCAAAAGGCTTGTGGAAATCTCTGACCATAATCTCTATTTAAGTGATCTCATTCATGCTCATGGATTTAAGTATCATCTATTACTGATGACTCATATACTTAACTCTCCATTTAGAACTTTTCCCTGTTCTTCAAGGCCGTATATCCAACTACCTACTTGATGATACACCTGAATGTTTGCTGGAGTGAATGGGTAATTGGGGTGAAGATCTGTTTAATTTTGAATATGGGAGATTTGAGATTTCTATTCAATATCAAGTTGGATTGTAGAGGTAGAAAAGTAAAAAGAATCTTGGATGGAGCCCCAAAATTTTGGGAGTCAGTGGAGAAGTGAACAAACATTGTAGATACACCCAGGGAGACAGAAAGAAAATCAGGAATTGAGATGTCATTAAGCCAAGTGAGGATTGTGCTTTAAGAAGTTAGAGATAGTCACCTATCATACTGCTAGGCACTAGAGTAAGGTAAGAAACATCAAAGTAATCAAATGATTACTTTGATGGCATGAAACTAGCTGGTAACATGGATATATGTGTGTGTGTGTGTGTGTGTGTGTGTGTGTATGCTGTTGACAAGCGTCTTTATTGGCATGATAGGATAGAAGCCAGATTGGAGTAATTATTTATTTATTTATTTATTTATTTTTTGAGACAGATTCTTGCTCTGTCACCCAGGCTGGACTGCAGTGGCATGATCTTGGCTCACTGCAACCTCCGCTACCCAGACTCAAGCGATTCTCCAGCCTTAGCCTCCCAAGTAGCTGGGACTACAGGCATGCACTACCAACTCCTGGCTAGCTCTTGAGCTTTTTTGTCAAGACGGGGTTTTGCCATGTTGCCCTGAGCTCAAGACGATGCACCTGCCTCGTCTTCCCGAAGTGCTGGGATTACAGGTGTGAGCCACCATGCCCGGACTGGAGTGGATTATATAATGGATTGTCAAATCAATAAAGAAAGTAGCAAATAATTTATACCATACAACTTCACTTTGTTAGGACAAGCAACAACAAAATCCCCATATATGTGCATATATATCTCCGTGTACGTGGAAGAAGATGTAGATGAATACAAACCATGTTATTAACACTGGTTTCCTTACACAAAACACCTTTACACTATTTTCACTTCTCATTGGTACATTGAATAAGTATTATAATGTCACTAAAAATTAAGGAAAATGTTTAAAAAAGGGAATGAATGGAAGGCGTAGAGATGGAGGCAGAGTATTGTGGACTATTTTGCTAAGCTTTGTTTTGAAGTGGAATAGGAAAATGAGACAATAGCTAGAGGGGGACTTGGGGGCCAGGAAGGAAGATCTGAGGGTATTTCTCAACGTGCCAGGATGATTGCATAGAGGAGGAGAGACTGATGATGCAGAACATGGGGAATAACTGCAGAAACGAAACTTCCCAGTTGAAAAGTTATCACAGGGAACTAAGGACAATTCAGGACATTACATTGTGGAATCATCTTCCCTATGACTCAGTGTCTCAGTAATTGAGAGTCAAGGGTGTCAGCATGAAAGAGGGCTGCTATGCATGTCTCCTCCATTGGGCTCTTACTCAACGCTTTGTCTAGAGATGTGACTGTGGTTGTGTCTTTTAGCCTTCATCATATTTGAATGCTACCATGGTTTTCTCAATCCTGTACTTCAATTTCATACTTTTGTTTTCTTTTTTCTACTTATTTTTATATGGTAGGTCTATTTGTATGACTAAATAGTTTTACAAGCTTGCATGGAAGATTTATATTCTTTTGTTTGCTTTTATTGGAATTTTTTTTGTTAAGATACCCTGTTACTAGAAGTATTTATAAATCTTTGAGGCCGAGATATTTCTTACTAACAATGGGCCTCTTTCTTTCTCTCTCTCCCCTACCCATACACAGATGGGTAGAACAGTTCTTTTTCTGACTCCTTACTCTGGATGGAATCATTAAGAGATTTCTTGAGCAACAGAACAAAATGGAGATGACATTTTGCTACTTGAACAACTTTCAGGTTATGACCTACCCTAACCCCAGTTTGGACAATCGACAGGCAGGCTTTGACTCTTCCAAAAATAGATTAATAATTTGAGCATTTTATTTGAAAACCATTGCTATTTTAAATTGGCAAAATCAGTGTCTTTCAGCAACTCATTCTTTAAAGTCTGAGCAAGTCATATACTACATCACAAAGTGATAGATCAGCTACTGTTTTTATCATGCCTATTCTAGTTTGGGAACTAGTCAGTGGCCAGAACTGTATCCACCTCTTTCTTATCCTGAAGGTGATAAGATCTTTATACATGCTCAGGGAAATACAAATGTATGCCACAAAATGGAATAATGTAAGAACTGGGGGATATTTAATCTGGAGAAAAGAAGAACCAGAGGAATATGCTTACTATCATAAAACCTTTTGAAGAGCTATTATTTATAACAGGAATGAACTTATCATTCATGAGCATTTAATGGAGGTTGTAGTGAAAATCAGATTATAGCAAAGTGTGAAGACATATTTTCTGACATTTGGGAGCTGTTTCTAGGGATTTCTAGACCACTTCATAGGAGGCTTTTAAGAATGGAATGGAAAAACAGGCTAGGATGAGTATCATTCAAGAGGACTAAAAAATAGACTTTGCAGTTGAAATAGGTAAGTTAAACACCATTTATTGAATTTTTGTTTTCCAATTACAGAGAGTTTTGAAGATTTTGCAAACATGGAAATCCTTAAGGAAATACAAATCACCAAAAATCTTACTCAGAAGAGATAAGCACTGGTAATATTTTAATATGCAGGGTACTCACATATGGTTGTTCAAGCTGTTGCTTGTTCAAAGGTAACCAGCTGTGGGAGTAAGTAGAGACCTGAGTGTGTGTGTATTTGTAAACCTGAGGTCGCACTGTACCTGCTGTTTTGTAATCTTCTTTTCTCTGTTATCGTATTACGAACACTTTCTCATGTGGTCACATAATTTTTAAGATTAGCTTAGTATACCTTTAGATAGATGTACCATAATTTCTTTGAATAGGCTTTTGTGTACACCTACAATGTTAGTTTCACTCTAAAATGTGGTATGAACACCATTGTGCATATTTTGATCTCTTATGATAAAATCTCTGATGTGGACATAAGTGTTCATATTCGTAAGGCTTTGTGGTCTATATTAGGTGACTCCAATTTTTAAAAAAATCCTGAGATTCTATAAAATTTTTGACCCAGGAGAGCTACCTTGTCAAAAGTCACATGGCTAACTATGGGCAGAGTTGTGTCTAATTGTATTATCCAGTAGCATATGGATTAATACAATTCTCTATGAAAATACAAAATTCAGAAGCAAAGGAAATGTATTTTTTCTCCAATCATTATTACTACCCTTGAGATAAGACTAGTGGAATTATTAAATAATTTATGCATTTTCAATGATTTTTCCCCTCTTATACTTATTTTCTTCACTCACTATGCATAAGTCTTTCTGGACAAAGTGTAAGCTCATTGAGGATAGAGATCAATTTATATACATACTTATTTTTTATCTAACGCTCTAAGTTATTGTCTTTTTAAATTTTTAATTGATTGTCTTGATCTTGACGTAGACAATTAAATCATTTACAGACAGTTTTTTCTTTCCAATATTTACATTTTATTTTTTTCTCCTTTATTGCACTGACAAGTAATCTAGAATAGTGCTAAATCATAGAGGTCATAGTGAGAATCTTTTTTTTTTTTTAGTAATTTTAGTCCAGATGTCTTTAGTGCAGTCTTTGCAAAATTGGAGCTGTGGACACTAGTTTCCAGAGTTGAGAACAAAGGGCTTAGTAATCAAAGAAGCTTGGGAAATCGCACCTTCTATTCCCTTTCAAAAGAGTCGCAGAACAACCATAGTAGCGTGTTAAAGCCTCTGAGAAACTCGCCAGTGATAAATAAATCTGTTTAATTTGTTTAGCTATTAAACGTATTTACTCTGGGGAAGACTTATTTTTTTCTAAACATACTTGTGGCCATCCCCTCCCTTAATACCTGCTTGAGAAACTCTGCTCTCTTGTTTCACCCCTGAGTATGGCATTTGCTGTTAGCTTCTGAGAAATATTTATTTTTTTGATCATGTAAGGAAAGTTGACTATTTTTTTAACTCAGGAATTGATATTGCATTTTATCAAGTATCTTTTCCACTTTTATTGAAATAATCACATATTTTTTCTTCTTTAATTCTTAAAAACAATGTCTTGTCAAAAGTAAATCATTCCTACACATAATAGAGAGGTTAAGAAGATAAGCTTTGTGATCTCTTTACAGTCTGTCTTCCAATACTAGGCCTATCACTTATCATGTGAAATTTGGCAAGTTAACTTTGCCTGTCTTTGTCTTCTTGTTTAGAAAATGAAGTGAGGTAGTAGTCACCTAACAAAGTGCTATGTACAGTGCTTGGCAAATAGCAGGCAACTAGTAAATGCTGACTTGTTTATTGCTGAGTATTAATAACGATAGCTGTTAAAAGCATGGTAACTTTTAGGATCGTACACATTTGACAACTTTTTAATGCTTTTAGTTTTTAGAATTAGTCTTTTCATGTTATCCTTGCCTCTTCTTGTGGCACTTTTGATAATTATTGTTTCTCTAGACTACTATTATTTTATCTAGATTTTCAATTTCACCTGTATCTATGATATTTGCCTTATATCTCTAATTTTGCATATTATGTTTTCTTTCTATATTTTGTTATTAATTAGGGTTGCTAGATATTTGTCTACTTCATTGGGCACTAGAAAAGATTTCATATCATTTTGCAATTTCTAGATATGTTACATTTTTAGTTTATTAACTTCTGCTTCTATCTCTATAAATTCCTTCTTTTGACTCCTTTTTGGCTTATTTAATTGTTCGTTTATAAGCTCCTTTAGAAGAATAAGTTAACTTGGGTTTGATATTTCTTATTTTTTTGATAAATACAGTTGAGCTTATATTATTTTTGTTGTGTACTCTTTGGCTGAATCTTAAAGTTTGAGTTGTATAGCAATATAATTGTCCTTCATTTAAAAATTCAGTAATTTCAGAATAGATTTCCATATAACCTTACGTAACTAGAGGAGGGTTTTTAAAGTTGCAAGTGGGTAGGTGGATGGTGGGAGTGTGGAGGGTGCTTGTTAATGATATCTGGTTTTATTGTAGTGGACAGTGAACATTGCTTGCATTATTTCTACTTTTTGGAATTTAAGATGATTCCTTTTGATTTACTATGTCATCAAATTTTAAGACAATTCCATGGTGCTTGAAAAGAACAGATATTTGTTAGGTACAAAATTCTGCATAGTAATGAATCAAGCTGATCCAGTTATTTGAATCCTCTGTTTCCTTATTTAAGTTTTCTCTACTCGATCTCACAAATATTCCTGGAGTCATGGTTATTTTTCTCAAAACTCTACTATTTTCTGGTAGCTGAGACATGGTCTACTCTTTTTATTCTCATTTTTAATATTATGGTATATACAAGGCCTAGGTCGTGCAGAAGTTTGGAGATCATGGAAAGATGTTGCATTTCATTTGAAGAACATTGGGTGTTCAATGATGCATGTTAAGCAAGTGAGCGAAATTAATAAGATATATTTTTAAAAATTGTTCTAGATGTGGTGTGGAACATTGGATGTAGACAAAAGTGGATGCAGAGAGACTAGTAAGGAGACTGTCATAGTACTCCAGGTGAGAATTATGGTGCAACTTGGGCTATGTTTTGGGACAAAGAAGAGGAGAAGAATGGATAGTTCATGATTCAGATTGGAAGTAAAAACAACTACATTTACAAATGGCTTAGATAAAGGGGATTTGGGAGTGAGAGGAATTAAGGAAACTGAAAAATTTTCAAATTCTTACATCCATGGAAAAGAGGTAAGAATTATAATGGCATATTAAAGACAGTGTTAACACTGTCTTCTTTATTATCTTCATCCATTCCACAAAGATTTTTGTGACTGGATATCTGCTAGGAACTGAGGATGTAAAGATGACTGAGATCCTTGTCAACTCTCAATGGGGTCCCAGGATTATCCTTTATTTAGTGAGCATAAATTCATGGACATAATCTTCATTAAGAGATGTGGTTATGGTCCCTTACCAGCAAAGAGTTTGCATGACAGTGAAACCATATTAGATATCTTTGGTGTGGGTGGATTGTTCAGCAACAGCAGAAGCTCAGTTGCTGCTCAACTGATTGTTGAAGTTTGACAGCATCCCCCAGTCAAGGTTGATGCTAAGGTCTGACTACTTGCTCAAAGAACATTCTGTTTATGTAGAGACACCAGGTTCTCTGACACCTATTTGTAAATAATAAATGTTAGAAAATAACTAAAATTATTGAATCGATAAAAATAAAAATTCTAAATTGAGGTAGAACAGCACAATTGTTAGTGGAATGTATATATATATTGTTAATACATTTAATATGTTACCATATATTCAAATATATCTGTTTCTAATTGTCAGTCCAATTGAATATACATACACACATGTATGCACAGACATATACACATTGTATATATTATATAAAATACTTATAGGTATGTATACATTCCTAGATGATTTTCTAGTTTTTTAGCCTAGTAGTAAATCATTCATGGAGATTTTGGGAAGCAGTACAATATAAATTCCAAGCATGAATCTTAGGAATTTGGCTAAAGCTGACTCATGGAAAAATTCTGTGATGAAATTAAAAGGTTTGGGAAAACATTAGAGCAATGCAAGTAAGAGTACACAAATTAACAGATTTATTTAATAAAGAAATTTTATGATGTTGATTGATGTAGAAGAAAAGACATATTATACTGTAATATCATTGGAACAGCCTAATGCTTAAGGAAGTTCTTCTCAAGGATACAGGAATGGAAATAAATCACTCAATTGTACACCTCTTGAAGTCCAAATTGAAATATTAAGACATAAGAATCATTGCATTTTGAACAATGTAGTAGCACAGAATATTCTATAACAACATGCTCTGTAAGGTTTATGTATATAACCTGATCAATATAGGATTTTGAAGTAGTCAGATGAACAAAGAGAAAAATGCATAAGCAAATGTTGTAATACTAACTTTTCACTGCTTTAAAATGCCTGGAAAATGAAACAAATATGAATATTTAAAATGATTTTTAATAGCTTTCAAATATCTTTTCCCACTGTTCCACATAGAAATAGTAGCAATTACTATTTATATTGTGCTAAGCATTAATGGTTTGGTTTATCATTTGATCAATATAGTAGACAAGTGGGCTTAGTTTGTTGAGGACAAAGACAGGTCTTATCCTGGACTTAGTGTTATCTTACCACTGGGTTCAGTGAATAGGAAATGATGAGTGTATTTTTGATGGATTAATAAACATTTCAGTCTCCAATTGTAAATACCTGCTTTTGAACACCAAATCAACCTTTTAAAGCAACATGAATTATCTCTGTTGTAGATGAACATGTTTTCATGTATTAGTCCATTTTGTGTTGATATAAAGGAATACTGGAGGCTGGGTAATTTATGAAGGGAAAAAGGTTTATTTGGCTCATGATTCTAATGGCTGGAAAGCTCAAAATTGTGTTCATGCATCTGGTGAGGATCTCAAGCTGCTTCCACTCATGGCAGAAGGTGAAGGGGAGCTGGGATGTGCAGAGATCACTTGGTGAGAGAGGAACCAAGACAGAGAGGGCAAGGTGCCAGGCTCTGTTTAACAACTAGTTGGGGCTGGGTGCGCTGGCTCATGCCTGTAATCCCAGCACTTTGGGAGGCCCAGGTGAGTGGATCACTTGAGGTCAGGTGTTCAAGACCAGCTTGGCCAACATGGTGAAACCCCATCTCTAAAAAATAACAAAACAAAACAAACAAACAAACAAACAAAAAAGCAACTAGTTGTTTCAGGAACTAATAAAGAATTCACTCACCCTCAAGGGGGGCATTAATATATTCATGAGGAATCTGCCTCCATGACCCAAACATCTCCCACTAGACTCTATCTCTGACATTGAGGATCAAATTTCAACATGAAGTTTGGAGGGTACAAACATCCAAACCATAGCAAACACCAAATCCAATTTTAGGTATTTAAATTGCTTTGGTTTTATATAAACACCTCTGAATTTGTTGTCTGAGTTAACTCTTGTACATTGAACAAGTGAGTCAGTGAATTTCAAGATCTGTACTTGTGCTGTATAGTCTGCCATATCCAACAGTAACAGCAGTTAAGAGCATGGACTTAAGAGTTAGAGTAATGTTAGTTTAAATCCCAACTCTGGCACTTAATAGCTGCAAGACCTTTGGAAGGTTACTTGTCTCTAGGCCTGAGTTTCTTCATTTGTAAAATGGGGATAATAAGAGTATCTATTTAATAAGGTTGGTGAGAAAATAAAATGGGTTAATGCATGTGAAACAACACTTCTTAAAAGACATTTTTACACTGTCATTTCCCCTTCTTAAACTTCATTCATTCTTTTTTTTAAAAAAATTATGATTAACACAATAATTTCATTTACTCTTAAACCAGTTCTAATCTGGCTTCTATCCCCATTGAAGCTACTCTTGTTAATTTCACTAATAACCTTCATATTGTATTTATGTAGATTTCTGTTTGTTTCTATTGTGTTAATATCTTAATGGCCTTCCTCTCTTATCTTCACCTCTCCCAGGGTTATCTCACTTTTTCCTATGTCTTTGATTACTGTCTGCATATCAGTAATGTTGAAGTGTATGTCTCCATATCAAGTCTCTCACTTGACTTTCAGATTCAAATATCTAGCCGCTTATCTGGTATTTCCATTTGAGTGTCTCCTCATAGGCTTCTCGAATTTATAAATTCCAAAACAGAACCCTTGATATACTTGTACCCAGGTCTGGACCTATCTTCCCTATCTTAATAAATGGTATTACTTCCTGCCCAGTTATGAAATCTACAAATGTGGGAATTACACTTCCTTTTCCTTTTTCTTTACCTCTCATACAGTTCTGTCATTAGTACCTCCAAAACTCCTTTGATATCTAGCCATTCTTCATTATTGACATGGCTGTCACTTTAGTCTATTATCTCTCCTGTGATTTCTATACAGTCTCCAACATCAGTAGATATATTCTGAGGCCTGCATCTCATCCAAATGCTGGATTTTAATGACACTTTCCCCTTCTTATTACTTAAATTAAATGAAACCTATAGACCTTAGAATGAAAACTAATGATATAACCTACATTCCTTTAGTTTAGGTGCAAATGTTATGCTTACAATCTAAATATGTTATTGGAATTTAATAACATATTTTTAAAGAATTTGTGGATTAGTTGTACTTATGCAGGCCAGACACCAAATGCCTGGCTTCTCTCCATAGGACTAAGCATGACACCCAGCTAGGCCCATAAAACAAGGTTTCTTTGGCAGTGTCTCCAGGGCAGTTAGAGCCAACAAGACATTCGTTTTGACCATGCTGCTTCTGTTGCACCTGCAAAGACTCTGGATCAGTTGTTATTCCTCCCCTGACCACATAACCAGACTATTTGGAAAACTCTAGGCTCACAGAATGGTGGCCATCTTCCTTCTCTGTCAAATGTATGGGCTATCCCAGGCCCTGCTCCAGCCTCTCTCCTTTCCTTCTCACTAGTTCTAGGGAGAAGTCAGGAAGAACTAAGGCTGGCTCTTTGTTGACCCCTCTCTTGGGAGTCTGCACTCTCTGTGTAAAGTCTCCTATAACTAGAGAAATAAATTTTCTCTTTTTCCATCTTTAGAATTAGAAAATGATCTATAATCAAGTAAGCATATCTTCTAATTAGTCTCTCTGATTTTGATTTTGCTCCTGCCAATCCAGTTTTTTACACAGCAGCCAGAAAATTGAGTTTTAATAAACTTTAGAATTTGAAATATGCATAGTGAAGAACACACAAATCCTAACTTGATAAGTTATCACAAAGTAATCACTATTCAATTCGAGAAATAGAGTATAACTATTAGAGAGATGTTGTGATGAAAACTGCCTCCAGCTTGGCAGAAAGCTAAATTTCGGAAGGTGCATAGTATAATGGAAAGAAAATAAAAAACTAGGGTGTGAAGACCTAGACTTGAGACCCAATTCTATGACTTGCTTTCCAACCTTTCTCATAATACAGCACAAGCAAAAAATTGTAGTGTTCAGACTGGGGTAAACGGACCAGCTTTCTTGAGGCCAGAATCAACTAGCCCATTATTTTGGCTGCTATAGACCTCTTCCAGCTGAAGAATAGGGATCACTATTTTGCCACAGCTTCATGGCATGCCAGCATGCCATGGCACAGCCTTTGGGAAGCTCTGACATAACCTATGGTTTTGTATTAATGCACACATTTCTTAACTGAAGTTATCTTCAAGTTCCTTCTCTGTAAAATAACAAAACACACTTCACTGGTAGTTGTGAAATTCATAGATGATTCTTTTTTAAAAAATGCCAGAGTATATATAATATTAACTATTCTAATAACTTGTCGTGGAAGATAATTTGACGTTGACAACTCACATGTGATGTTAAGGAATTGCTTAAGAAGCTAGATAGACGTGTTTGGGGTGGTAATGTGCAAATACCATTACCTTATTATATTTTTATTTGGCTTATACCTTGGTATCTTTCTATGTCAGATGAGCTAGCATGAGACTTCCTATAAGGTCCTTGTTTGAACTTCACAGTTCAAACTATGCTATGGTCTTAATATGTACCCTAAAATTCACATGCTGACACTTAATCATCGATATGATGATAGAAAGAAGTGGGGCTTTCAGGATGTGATTAAGTTATAAGAACTGAGCCCTCATGAATAGGATTAATGATCTTATAAAAGACATGTGAGGGAGTTGCCTTTTTTCCCTTTGTTCCTTCCACCATATGAGGGCACAGTGTTTGTTTCCTCATGGAGAATGTAACAACAAAGGGCCATCCTGGAAGCAGAAAGACCGGATCCTCACCAGACACTGAACTTGCCAGTGCCTTGATCTTGGATTTTCCAGCCTCCAGAGCTGTGAGAAATAACCATAAGAAAGTTACTGAGCCTCAGTTTCTTTTGTGAAATGGGGAAAATGATAGTACCTCTTTTATGAGATTATTGTGAGGCTTAGATGAGTTATTGCATGCAGCAAACATTGTGTCTTGCACATTTGAGCACAAGATGATAGCAATAATCATGACTCATCATAGCACTCTTCCTGTCAGTCCTTAAAGTTCATGCTGGCTTTTTTGTATTTTTCATTTTAAAATTGATTGTTTCCTACACAGTGTGCAGTGTACAATGAAGGGAGCAGAATTTACTGACAGTATTCTGCTCTGATTTCATTGAAAATCTATAGCTTTTGGCAAGGTATCCCAAACGCTGACTGGTAGACAATCTCACTCTGATTCAGAGGTTTTAACAACATCTTTAGTGGATTACATACTTCCTGTACAATACTTTTTGTTGGTAATTTAAAAAAATTAGACTGAGAGACTTATGTTCAAATATCCTTGGGTCTTTTATGATTGTTTTGAGTTACCTGATGGCAGAAAAGTTCTAAGCACTATCTCACTATTAGTTTGGAATTATACTGGTTACTGATGATCACATCTTTAATGGATGGAACATATGGGCATGATTCTGTACAAGAGCTTCTGGGGAACCATTTCAGGTGTAGAAAGTAGAGTTAATATACTCCATTTCATATCATATCTTTGTAATAGGTCAAAGTCCATATTTTTATTTTATTTCATTTTATAATTTTAATTTCTTCCAATCATCCAGATTACTTTTCTCATTTTTCTCCTTACCCCATTATAGGAATCATGTAACGCATTTGCTAAGTGTCCTTAAATACTCATACATTTGTATAAAATATACTTCTGTGTTTTTAATTTATGTAATGATAGTGGGCTATAAATCTTGTTCTATATCTTACTTTTTTAAAACTCAATACGCTCTTAAGATTTATCCACATTTGTCTACATACATCTATTACTCTATCTATAGGACATAACCACCACCACATCATATTATCAAATCTCCTAATGATGGGCACCAAAGTTGCCATCAGTTCCCTATAACACAAACAGCTTCACAGTTTATATCCTCATACATGTTCCTATTCAGGCCAGTTTAAGCATTTTTCTGGCAAATATATTGGGAATAATATTGTTGCATCAAAGGGCAAATCATGTACATACTTAATTTCCTAGCAAATAAAGCATGCTTTCCAGAATGGCTGCACATTTTTACATATCCACCAGTAGCATTCAATCTACTTCATATTTAAATAGCTATTTAGGGTTCTTTTTCTGTAAATTGCCTAACATCTTCTTTGCCTATTTTTTCTTTTGATTTTTTTTTCTGTTTACTTTTGTTGATTAGCAGGTATTCTTTAAATATATTTTAAATATTAGTCCCTTATCAGTTTTAGACATTGCAAACATCATCTCTTAGTCTTTCCATTATCTATTAAATTTGATATTCTTTGTTGAGAGAACTTTGTGTATGTTCCTTTGTTGAACTGAAATCCTTAATTTGGATGCCATCAAAACTATTTTAACATATGTCTTGGGTTTTGTTGGTTTCCTAAGAAGACCATTTCTAGTATACAAAGTTATTTTTCTACATTTAAAAAATTTAACATTGGACGTTACAAGGACAAAATTATTAGTTGTAAATAATTGAATCTATATTATAGAATGAATTATGCATTAGTTCTGTATTAGTTTGCTAAAGTTGCCATAACAAAATACCACAGACTGGTGGCAGGGCCATGCTGCTTTTTCTTCACTCCCCACCTTTCCTCTGTAGGTTAGCTCATCTAGTCCCATATAGTCCAAACGTTAACGATTTCTAAATTTATATCTTTTGTCCCTGTTTCCTTTAAACTCTAAAGACATGTGCCCATTTGTGTCTCCCTACCTTTTAACAACTTAAACCATTTTTTGAAGTACTTTCTATCTATCTATCTATCTGTCTGTCTGTCTATCTATCATCTATCTATCTGTCTATCTATCATCTATCCATCTGATATGGTTTGGCTGTGTCTTCATCCAAATCTCACTTTGCATTGTAGTTCCCATAATTCCTACTTGTTGTGGGAGGGAACTGGTGGGAGACAATTGAATCATGGGGGTGGTTTCCCCCGTACTGTTCTCATGGTAGTGAATAAGTCTCAAGAGATCTGATGGTTTTATAACGGGAAACCCCTTTTGCTTGATTTTCATTATGTCTTGTCTGCTGGCATGTAAGACGTGCCTTTTACCTTCCACTGTGATTGTGAGGCCTCCCCAGTCACGTGGAACTGTGAGTCTATTAAACTTCTTTTTTAAAATAAATTACCCAGTCTTGGGTGCTTGGGTATGTCTTTATCAGTAGTGTGAAAATGGACTAATACTCTATCTATCTATCTATCTATCTATCTATCTATCTATCTATCTATCTATCTATCTATCATCTATCTACTGGTTAATTTTATGTATCAACTTAAGTGGGCCATGGCGTATCTAGATTAAACATTGTTTCTGTGTGTATCTGTCAAGTTGTTTCTGGGTGAGATTAGCATTTGAATTTGACTCAATAAAGTGATTGCCCTCCCCAGTGTGATCAGTGTTATTCAATCCATGAGGGCCTGAATACAACAAAAGGTAGAAGAAGAAGGAATTAGCCCCCATTTTCCCTGCCTCACTGTTTGAGCTAGAACATCTCTTCTCATCTTCTCTTGTCCTTAGATTTGGATTTATATCATTGGCTCTCCTGGTTTTCATGCCTATGGACTTGCACTAAATTAACAACACCACCAGCAGCAGTGGTTCTCCTGTGCAGCCTGTCACCACTGGAACGTTCCTGTGTATAAGCTCCCCCGATAAACCCTATGTCTTGTTCACTGTCCCCAGGTCTCTTCTTCAGCCTCTCAGACATGATGGTGCCATCCCTATTGGAGTCAATAGGGGTCCAGCACACCTTTCTCTACTCTTTTGATGACTTTTTCATATGATCTAGGAAACAGAATCAATTAGAAGAAAATTTCACAAACTCCCACCACCACATCTTCCCACTGACTGCATCTGTTCTCTTTGCTCCTTTTACCAGAGATGAACTGTCCATCCTCCTGTCAAAGGTGAATCTGCCTTCCTTGCATTAGGTATCCCTCCCATCTGCCTACTCAAGGAATTGCACCAGTGATTTGCTACTGTTCTACTCTACTGTCATTTTTCCCAGGCTTTGTGGCATTATCTTGACATAAGAACTTGCTGCTGTTTTTTCCACTAAAAATAGGAAGAAAACTCTCACCTCTATTGAGGACTCATTCCTCTTCTGCTGCTGTACCTTATTTTCATTGCATCATTGCAGAGCATAGAGGTGACCCTGGGGGAGGGGCCTGGGTGGAGGCTGTGTGTGTATGGGAACTGGGGAGCTTGAGTAGGCAGCTATAATATTTATCTACTAGCATGAAAGTATTTCCATATTTTAAGAACTAGAGCTCTGATGCTGGTGCATGCAAGGAAATATCAGTGCTAGAGGTAGTACTTTATTGTCCCCCAATTTGCAGTCAAGGAAATCAAGGCACAGAGAGATTAAGAAATTTGCTTAAAGTCACAATGAATTTGTGGCACATCTAGAGTTAAACCAGGAATGTTGGTGCCAGGGCTTGTGCTCTTACCCAATGTGTAATACAACTTCATAAAGAGGTACTCTGCTTATTGGCCCCAATGGGCAGTGTAGGGATTTCAGTGGAAGGGAGATCAATGGATTGTTCTGCCTGTTTGTTTTTCCATCCCAGGTGACATTATAAGTAACTAAGTTGTTCAAGTGACTTCCATAAACCATGAAGCAGAGAATTGCAATAGAAGCTATCTTGGTATATATATTTTTTAGTTTGTAAAATTATGAAATGTTATTTCTGTATTATGTATTTTTTATGGAAACTGGGTGACTTAGAAATGAGAAAAAGTTATAACAGTGTTTAATGAAATTGTGATGTGAGAAATGTCATGAATATATAAAACATATAAAAATATAATAGGCATATTATAAAATTTATGTATAAAATACACAAAATTATAAAGTGAGAAAATGTTATGAGTACATAAGTGACACATCATAAAATGTGTAATGGTAAGCAATAATTGTACTCTAAGTTTTGCTAGATTATTTAATTACTTTAACTTTGATCCCACACTGGTTTTATGAGATATGAGAGTTTGGCTACTATGTGTGAGGTCAAGATCCAGGTGAGGGTCAATTAATGTCCTAACTCATGGATTCCTATTATGAGAGAAGAAGAATTCAGTTTGTGTTTAGCACAATGTCTACTGGGTGTTCTATAAATATTTGGTCTAAGTACAAAGGATTGAAGATTTGGGATGAGCACAGAGAAAGATGAGTTAACATTTCTGGGGATAAAAAATGCACAAATTCTTCAGTGACGAAACTTCCGTACTTATATAAGTATTTTCTCATCTGATCACTACAGTTTTGTTAGAGTGAAATGGCGGTAGTAATACATCCCAGTTTCCTCCGATATCTTTGCTGTGAAGTCAGTCAGCAGAATTTGATTAAGAATGTGGGCTCTAGATCATTGCGGCTTGAATTTTCTCTCAACTTACAACTTACTAACTTTGAGAACTTGGACAATTTACTTCTTTGCAATTCAGTTTCCTCATCTGCAATATTGGGATAATAGTATCTGCCTCATAGTTCTGTCATGAGGATAAAATGTGTTTGTGAGTTAATGTGTGTGAAGTACTTAACAGTGTGTGGACCTTTAGTAGTAAGTGCTAAAAAATGTTGATTACTTCTGAAAGTCCAAGCATGCTGATGACAAAATAAAGTTTACTTTACTGATGAAAACAGGGAATCTTAAGAGTTGTCAAAGTGTACAATATTCCTCGAGAACCGTTATTAAATATCTAATGAATGATTAGCAGAAAAAAAGACTTTCATTTTATGCTCTCATTTAATGGGATCTAGTCATTGTCATTTTGTTTATTACAGGGCATGAGATCAAGACTGAGTGTAAAGCAGAGGTGGCTTGCTGTTCTGATGATCAAGGCTGTGCTTCACGACTTGTGTGGAGCTAATGAGGTGGTTTAAACGAGCTACTTCAACAGAATCATCATATTTAATTAATTTATTTTATTTTAATTCATTAATTGTAATGAATTCTTTTCACTATTGCTTGAGAGAGAATGACATAAAACAATTGTTTTTTTAAAAATTATTATTATACTTTAAGTTTTAGGGTACATGTGCACAACGTGCAGGTTTGTTACATATGTATGCATGTGCCATGTTGGTGTGCTGCACCCATTAACTCGTCATTTAGCATTAGGTATATCTCCTAATGCTATCCCTCCCCTCTCCCCCGACCCCACAACAGTCCCCGGTGTGTGATGTTCCCCAATGTCAAGTGTATGTTGCAGCAGAGCAGTATTGGAACTGTTCTCATCATAAATTCAAATGTACCCATCAGCCACAGCTCTCTCAGCCACAGACAGTTATTGGGTATCTCTCAATCCCCTACTTGTCCCCTCCAATGATGCATTTATTAATTTGCACCACTTGCATCACTTGCTCTGTACAGCAGTCATTTGAGGTAGGTATTGCTGCCCATGTTCAATTGCTTAGAATGCATCACATAATTTATTCTCTATAATAATACTAAGTAGGTATTTAAAAAATCCTTGTTAACATGAGAAATTTGAAGCTCACAGAAGTTAAATAGTGGGATTAGTTATCGGATCCAGATCTTTTATGACTCCAGCATTCCTAATCACCATTATATATTACATGTTATATCATGCTATACATATTAACATTATGGTATGTCTCCCCATTTCCTAGGAATGTTTTTTCCATTCAAATAACTTACATTACCACTCCTTTGTTTGCCTATAACAACAATATGACTATTTTTCCCTTTTTTACAATGTCTACTAGGAAGCTTAGATCCAAATATGAGGCTTAATTGTAGTAATGTTGATGAATTGCATGTTTAATCTTTCTTAGTCTTGGTATCTTACTCACTTATTTGTATTTTGCCCAGGCTTGATTTTTAATTCTATCCTTGAATTTTCATTTTATCATTTGTTTTAATGCCTCCTTCAAGTCACACAGTCAGATCCTTTGTGGAAGACGATGAATGGGTGAATAAGTATTTAAAGCATGTGTTCATAGCGTCATCAATTTTACAACAGGGTGGATTAAACATACGATAATTATGAATTAAAAGTGACCTATGCTTCTGGTTGTTTCCACAAGTCATCAAGTCCCCAAAAATCAAGTGATAAATATATATTTTTTGAGAGTCAATATTGTGAATTATTATCTGGAATAAACATCTTTAAGAGTGTGCTAAGTTTAACATGTCATTCAATAACTGTTTGCTGGCTAGTTAAACATTCTGAATTAAGAACTATAAATTCAGGCATATCTCATTTTATTGTGTTTTATGTTACTGCACTTTGCAGATATTGCATATTTAAAAAAATTGAATGTCT
The DNA here is from genome assembly GCF_000001405.40 of Homo sapiens. Taxonomy (NCBI): domain Eukaryota; kingdom Metazoa; phylum Chordata; class Mammalia; order Primates; family Hominidae; genus Homo; species Homo sapiens. Next base: position 78,458,092 of record NC_000001.11, read on the forward strand.
GTGGCAACCCTGTGTCAAAAATGCCTATTGCCATCATTTTTGTCAATAGCACTGCTCAGTTCATGACTCTGTATCTCATTTTGGTATTTCTCACAATATTTCAAACTTTCTCATTATTATTATATCTTATGGTGATCTCTGATCAATGATCTTTGATGTTATTATTGTAAACGTTCTGTGGTGCCACAAAGAGTGCCCTAAAATTAGTTGTGTCTAAAATTAGACCAATTAATAACCCTATGATGGCTTCTAACTGTTTAGGTGAAGAGTTATTTTCTCTCACTTTAAATCAAAAGCTAGAGGTGATTAAGCTTGGTGACGAAGATATGTTGAAAGCTGAGCTAGTCTAGAAGTTAGGCCTCTTGTGCCAAACTGTTAGCCAACTTGTGAATACAAAGGAAAAGTTTTGAAGAAAATAAAAGTGCTACTTCAGTGAACACACAAATGATAAGAAAGCAAAAGAGCCTTATTGTTGACATGGAGAAAGTTTTAGTGGTCTGGATAGATCAAACCAGCCACAACATTCACATAAGCCACAGCTTAACCTAGAGCAAGGCCCTAACTCTCCTCAATTCTATGAAGGTTGAGAGAGGTGAGGAAGCTGCAGAAGAAAAGTTGGAAGTTAGCAGAGGTTGGTTCATGAGGTTTATGGAAAGAAGCTGTCTCCATAACACAAAAGTGCAAGGTGAATCAGTAAGTGCTGATGGAGAAGCTGCAGCAAGTTACCCAGAAGATCTAGCTAAGATCATTGATAGAAGTGGCTACACTAAACAATAGATTTTCAATGTAGACAAACAGCCTTCTATTGGAAGAAGATGCCATCTAGGACTTTCACAGCTGGACAGGAGAAGTCAATGCCTGGTTTCAAAGCTTTAAAGTACAGGTTGACTATATTGTTAGGGGCTAATGCAGCTGGTGACTTTAAGATGAAGCCCAATGCTCATTTATCATTCTGAAAATCCTAGGTCCCTTAAGAATTATGCAAAATCTACTTTTTCTGTGATCTGTAAACAACAAAGCCTGGATGACAGCATATTTGTTTACAGTGTCATTTACTGAGTATTTTAAGTCCATGGTTGAGACCTACTGGCAAGAAAAAAAGATTCCTTTCAAAATATTGCTGCCCATTGACAATGCACACAGTAACTCAAGAGCTCCAATGGAGATATATACAAGGAGATGAATATTGTTTTCATACTTGCTAACACAACATACATTCTGCAGCCAATGGATCAAGAGGTAATTTCTACTTTTAAGTCTTATTATTTAAAAAATACATTTTGTAAGGCTATAGCAGACATCAACAGTGATTTCTCTGATGTATTTGGGCAAAGCCAAATGAAATCCTTTTGGAAAGGGTTCACTATTCTTTGTATTTTATTTATTCATTTTTCTTTCCAACTTTTATTTTATATTCAAGGGATAAGTATGCAGGTTTGTTGCATGTGCAAATTGTGTGTTGTGGAGTTTGTTGTACAGATAATTTTGTTATCCAGATAATCAGCATAATACCTAATGCTCGATAGGTAGTTTTTCAATCCTCACCCTCCTCCCACCTTTCACCCTCAAGTAGGCCCTAGTGTCTATTGTTCCCTTCTTTGCTTTCATGTGTACTCAATGTTTAGTTCCCACTTATAAGTTTGAACATGTGGTATTGGTTTTCTGTCCCTGCATTAGTTCACTTACAATAATAGCCTCCAGATCCATCCATGTTGCTGCAAAGGACATGATCTTATTCTTTTTTTATGTCTGTGTAATATTCCGTGGTGTACATGTACCACATTTTCTTTAACCAATCCATTGTTCATGGGCACCTAGGTTGATTCCAAGTCTTTGCTATTGTGATAACACTGCTATGAACATACACATCTGTGTCTTTATGGTAGAATGATTTATATTCCTTTGGTATATACCCAGTTACAGGATTTCTGGGTCAAATGGTAATTCTGTTTTATTTTCTTTGAGAACCTCCAGACTGCTTTCCACACTGGCTGAACTTATTTATATTCCAACCAGCAATGTATAATCATTCCCTTTTCTCTGCAACCTTATCAACCTCTGTTATTTTTGACTTTTTACTAGTAGCCATTCTGAGTGGTGTGAGATTGTATCTTATTGTGGTTTTGATTTACATTTCTCTTAACGATCAATGATATTGAACATTTTTTCATATGCTTATTGGCTATGTGTATGTTTTCTTTTGAGAACTATCTGTTCATGTCCTTTGTCCATTTTTAAATGGGGTTGTTTTATGCTTGTTGATTTGCTTAAGTTCCTTATAGATTCTGGATATTAGACCTTTGTCAGATGCATTGTTTTCAAACATTTTCTCCCATTCTGTATGTTGTCTGTTTATTCTGCTGATAGTTTCTTTCAGTATGCAAAAGTTGTTTGTTTAATTAGGTCCCACACTTCAATTTTTGTTTTTGTGGCAATTGCTTTTGGAGTCTTTGTCATAAAGTCTTTGCTAGGACCAATATCCAGAATGGTATTTCTTAGTTTTCTTCTAGGATTTTTATAGTTTTATGTTTACATTTGAATATTTAATAGATGTTGAGTTGATTTTTTGCATATGGTGAAAGGAACAGGTCCAGCTTCAATCTTCTGCATATGGCTGGCTAGTTATTGCAGCATGATTTATTGAATAGAGGGTCCTTTCCCCATTGCTTGTTATTACCAGCTTTGTCAAAGATCAGATGGTTGTAGGTGTATGGCTTTATTTCTGGGTTCTCTAACCTGTTCCATCAGTCTATGTGTCTGTTTTTGTACCAGTACCATACTGTAGCTTTGTGATATAGTTTGAAATTGTGTAATGTGATGTCTCCAGCTTTGTTCTTTTTGGTTAGGGTTGCTTGGCTATTCAGGCACTTTTTTGGCTCCATAGGAGTTTTAGTAATTTTTTCCTAATTCTGTGAAGAATGTCATTGGTAGTTTGATAGAAATCGCATTGAATCTGTAAATTGCTTTGGGTAGTATGGCTATTGTAACAATATTGATTCTCCCTGTCTATTAACATAGAATGTTTTTCCATTTGTTTATGTCATCTCTGAATTCTTTGAGCAGTGTTTTGTAATTCTCATTGTAGACATCTTTCACCTCCTTGGTTAGCTGCATTTTTAGGTATTTTGTTCTTTTTATAGCTATTGTGAATAAGCTTGTGCTCTTCATTTGGCTCTCAACTTGGATGTTTTTGGTGTAAAGAAATACTACTTGTTTTTATACATTAATTTTGTATCTTGAACCTTGCTGTAGTTGTTTATCAGGCCTAGGAACCTTTGGGTAGAGACTATGGGGATTTTTAGGTATAGAATCATATTGCTTGCAAAGAGAGATATTTTAGCTTCCTCTCTTCCTTTTTGGATGATGCCTTTTATTTCTTTCTCTTGCCTGATTGCTCTGGCTAGGACTTCCAGTACTAGGTTAAATAGGAGTGGTAAGAGTGGTCATCCTTGTCTTGCTCCAGTTCTTCAAGCAGAATGCTTCAAGCTTTTTCCCATTCAGTATGATGTTGACTGTGGATTTGTCATAGATGGCTTATATTAGTTTGAGGTATGTTCCTTTGATGCCTAGTTTGTAGAGGGATTGTAACAAGATGGGATGTTGAATTTTATCAAAAGCCTTTTCTGCATCTATTGAGATGATCATGTGGTTTTTGTCTTTATTTATGTCTATATGATGAAATCATGTTTATTGATTTGCATATATTGAACCAACCTTGCATTCCAGGGATAAAGCCTGCCTGATTGTGCTGGATTGGCTTTTGGATGTGATGCTGGATTTGGTTTGTCAGTATTTTGTTGAGGATTTTTGCATCTATGTTCATCAAGGATACCGGCCTGAAGCTTGCTTTTTTGATTGTGTCTCTGCCAGGTTTTGGTATTAAGATGATGTTGGCCTCATAGAATGAATTAGGGAGGATTCCCTCCTCCTTGATTTTCAGAATAGTTTCAGTAGGAGTGATACCAGCTCTTCTTTATATGTGTGGTAGAATTTGGCTGTAAATCCATCTGGTCTAGGGCTTTTTCTGGTTGGTAGGTTTGTTATTACTGATACGATTTCAGAGCTTATTACTGGTCTGTTGAGGATTTAATTTTTTTTTTTTTTTTGTGGATAGAGGTCTTCATAACAGTCTCGAAAGGTTTTTTTTTCCCCCATTTCTGTGGGGTCAGTGGTAATGTAACTATTGCCATTTCTGATTGTGTTTATTTGGATTGTCTCTCTTTTTTCTTTATTAATTTAGCTAGTGGTCTATTAATCTTATTTATTCTTTCAAAAAACCGTTATTTATTGACATTTTGTGTTTTTACTTATCTCCATTTCATTCAGTTCATCTCTCATTTTGGTTTTTTCTTTTCTTCTGGGAGCTTTGGGGTTGGTTTATTCTTGTTTTTCTTGTTCCTCTAGGTATGATGTTAGGTTGTTAATTTGAGATCTTTTTAACTTTTTGATATGGACAGTTAGTGCTATTAACTTCCCTCTTAACACTGCTTTAGCTATGTCCCAGAGATTCTGGTATGTTTTATTTTTGTGTTCATTAGAATTTATTTATTGATTTCTGCCTTAATTTCATTGTTTATCCAAAAGTCATTCAGATAAGATTGTTTAATTTTCATTTAATTGTATGGTTTTGAGAGATCTTCTTGGCATCGATTCCTATTTTTATTGTACTGTAGTCTGAGTGTGGTCTGGCTGGTATATATATTTTTAATTTATTGAGAATTGCTTTATTGCTGATTTTTTGGTCAATTTTAGAATATATGCCATGTGCAGAACAGAATAATGTATATTCTGTTTTTGTCAGGTGAACTATTCTATAGATGTCTGTTAGGGTCATTTGGTCAAGTGTTGAGTCTAGGTCCCGAAATTATTTGTTAGTGTTCTGCCTTGATGATCTGTCCAATACATCAATGGGGTGTTGAAGTCTTCTGCTATTATTGTGTGGTTATCTGAGTTTCTTCATAAATCTCTAAGAACGTGTTTGATGAACCTGGGTGCTCCAGTGTTGGGTGCATATATATTTAGGATAGTTACGTCTTCTTGTTGAATTGAACTCTGTATCATTATATAATGCTCTTCTTTTTTTTTGATAGTTGTTGGTTTAAAGTCTGTTTTGTCTAAAGTAAGAATAGCAACCCCTGCTTTTTCTTGTTTTCCATTTGATTGATACATCTTTCTCCATCCCTTTACTTTGATCCTATGTTTGTTCTTGCATGTGAGATTGGTCTTTCAAAGACAGCATACTGTTGGGTTTTGTTTCTTTATTCAGCTTGCCACTCTGTGCCTTTTAAATGGGGGTGTTTAGCCCATTTATATTCAAGGTTAATGTTGATATTTGTGGATTTGATCCTGTCATCATGTTGTTGGTTGTTATGTAGACTTGATTGTGTAGTTGCTTTGTAGTGTCAGTGGTTTATGTACTTAAGTGTACATAAACTGGTAATGATCTTTTGTTTCCATAGTTCACACTCTCTTAAGGAACTCCTGAAAGTCAGGTCTGGTAATAATGAATCCCCTTAGCATTTGCTTGTCTGAAAAGGATTTCATCTCTTCTTTGCTTATGAATCTTACGGAGTTGGCTGGATATGAAATTCTTAGTTGGAATTTCTTTTCTTTAAGAGTGCTAAATATAGGCCCCCAATCTCTTCTTGCTTGTAGGGTTTCTGTTGAAAGGTCTGCTGTTAACCTGATGTGGTTCCATTTGTAGTGACCTGCCCTTTTACTCTAGCTGCCTTAAATAAATTTTTCTTTCTCTTTGGTCTTGGAGAATCTGATTACTGTGTGTATTGGTGATAGTCATCTTGTGTAGTATCTCACAGGGGTTTTCTGAGTTTCCTCAATTTGAATGTCAACCTGTCTAGCAAGGTTGGGGAAATTTTCATGGACTTTATCCTCAAATATATTTTCCAAGTTGCTTGTTCTCTCTCCCTCTCTTTCAGGGATGCCATGAGTCTTAGGTTTGGTCTCTTTACACAATCCCATATTTTCCAGGAGGTTTTGTTCATTTACTTAAATTTTCTTTATTTCTGTCTGACTGAGTTAATTTGAAGAAGCGGTCTTTGAGTTTTGTGTTTCTTTCCTCAGCTTGGGTCTGTTCTGCTGTTAATACTTCCAATTGTGTTATGAAATTCTTGTAGTAAGCTTTTAACCTCTATCAGCTCAGTTTGATTCTTTTTTCAAATGGCTATTTCATCTTTATCTCTTGAATCATTTTACTGAATTCCTTGGAATGGGTTTCAACTTTCTCCTGAATCTCAATGATCTTTGTTGCCATCCAGGTTCTGAATTCTATGTCTTTGATTTCAGTCATTTCATTCTGGTTAAGAACCATTGCTGGGCAGCTTGTGTAGTCGTTTGGAGATAAGGAGACATTCTGGCTTTTAGTGTTGCCAGAGTTCTTGCATTGGTTATTTCTGAGCTGTGTGGGCTGATATTCCTTTAAGTGTGCTGTAACTTGAATACAGTCAGTTGGCTTTGTTTCTGTATATTTTCAGAGGACCGAGTCTTTGTGTGGGGTCTTTATTTATGGTTGAATTCTTGTCTCTGGTTTCACAAGGGGGCATATTTGCTAAGTATTTTTGGGGTTGAAGTTGGGCTAAGAAGAGGAGCCACATGGTTGAGTAAGAGCTTATCTATTGGCCATTATGATTATTGGCCATTAGCATTGGCTTTAAACACAATGGCCAATAGATAAGCTATTACTCAGCCTTGTGGCTTCTCTGTATTTCCTCATGTTTGCTGTCATGCTTCCTCTCAGTGCTGTGAGAGTGTGTGCTTCTCTCTCATTTGAGTGTTGGTCACAGATCTCATCTTGTCACTATTGGGCTGTGCACCACCACCCTGGGGTGAGCTCAGGCTTTTGTTCCCTCACCATCTTTGAGGCAACAGGGAAGGGACCTTGGCAGTGGTAATGACAAGGGGCCTTTCACTTGTCTTTTGTGGCTCTACACCAAAGAAATACAGAACCACTGCTAATTGGAATGATCTGCTGGGGGTGGGGTGGCTGTGTTGCTGGGCCAAACTGAGGGGCCCTGCCTGATGAAGAGCAGGGGGCACGGGAGAGCTCACAGGGGAGACAGCCTGGCCTCTTCTTTGCAGAACAGTTTCAGCATGCTGGAGGTTCAAGTAAAGCACTCAGGCTCTTTGTTTCTTCCACAGCCTGGTGGTGGCAAAGACTGGGACTGCTGCAGTGGCAATGGCTGAGGGGCTGTCAGTTGCCTCTGGGAACCACACACCAGAAAATCACAGAGCTGCTGCCAATGGGAGTGGGGGTTTAGCTGGGGATGGAGTGGCTGTGCTGCAGGCTGAGCTGGGGGGCCCTGCCTGGTGAAGAGCAGTGGGTGAGGGCTCACAAGGAAGACAGAATGGGCTCCTCTCCATATGTGGCATGCTGGAATGTCAAAAAAATGATCAGGATCTTCATTCCTTCTCTAGCTTGAAGGCACCAAAAGGATATTGATGTAGCAATGGCAGATAGCTGGTGGGTTGTCTTTGGGATTTCCTCCCCAGAGAAATGCAGAGCTGCCACTGACAGAAGTGATCAGGAGGGGCAAGGCGGCTGTCCTGCAGGCCCAGGTAGAGAGGCCCTGCCCAGTGAAGAGTAGCAGGGACAGGGACCCACATGGAAAAGACTGGCCATTTTTCTGTAAGGCAGCTGGGGTGTGCTGGAAGCCCACAATAGTTCTTGGGCTCTTTGCTCCCTCCTCAGCTTGAAGGCAGAAGGTGTGGGGGGCCACAGCAGTGGCAAAAGCTGCAGGCCTGCCAATTACCTCTGGGAGCTCCATTCCAGAGAAATGCAGAGCTGAGACTGGCCAAAGTGCTCAGGCAGGACTCGGGTGGCTATTCTGGGGTCCTAGGCCAGTGGGCTTTGCCTGATGAGGTATAGGAGAGGTGAAGCCTGCAGTCCATCTGTCCCTTGATGCCATGGATGGAGTCTCTATTCTGGGGGCATGTGAGGGATCCTGACCTCCTTTGTTGATGTTGTTACGCCAGCTGATGCCGGGATGCTTAGGAGTCTAAAGCCCTTGGAGTTGTGTGTGGATCTGAGCGGTAGCTCTGCCCAGACTCCATACAGCTCTCCAGGTCAGTCTGGAGGTCCCTAGGGCAGGGAGTCAAGGGGGATCTCCTGTGCCTGGGATTGCAAGGGTCCTTGGCAGAAGTTTGGGTCCCTGGAGACTCTTGCTCACTCATCACTTCCCTGCGGTGGAGAGTTTCCCTTGGCTCCACACCAATCCTGGGTGGGTAGCTGTTCTGTCTCACTCCTCTCTGCTCTCTGTGGGTCATATTGCTTCCTTGATAAATCCCAATGTGCCCTTCTAGGTGATCCATTTGAAGAGCTAGTATTTACTTGCCACTCTATCTCTACTCTGTGAGAGCACTGCACACTAGCTGTTTCTAGTCAGCCCTCTTGGCACCTCCCATAATCCAGAATTCACCATCCTTGATCCATTAAGGAGATTTGTAATTCACAGAAGGAGGTCAAAATACTAACATTAAGAGGAATTTGGAAGAGGTTGATTCCAACCCTCATGGATGACTTGGAGGTGTTCAAAACTTTGGTGAAGGAACGAACTGCTTATGTGGTGAAAATAGCAAGAGAACTAGAAATAGAAGTAGAGCCTGAAGATGTGACCAAATTGCTGCAGTCTCATGATAGAACCTGAAGAAATGAGGAGTTGCTGCTTATGGATGGGCAAAGAAAGAGGTTTCTTGAAATGAAATCTACTCCTGGTGAAGGTGCTGTGAGCATTCTTGAAATGACAACAAAGAATTTAGAAGATGCCGTAAACCTAGTTGATAAAGCAGTAGCAAGGTTTGAGAGGACTAGTTCTAATTTTGAAGCTTCTACTCTGTGTAAAATGCTATCAAATGACATTCCATGCAATAGAGAAATCTTTTGTGAAGAGTCAGTTCATGTGGAAAACTTCATTGTTGTCCTATTTCAAGAACTTGACATAGGTACTCCTACCTTCAGCAACCACCACCCTGATGAGTTGGCAGCCATCAACATCAAGGCAAGACTCTCTACCAGCAAAAAGATTATAAGACACTGAAGGCCTGGTGGTGCAGTCATAGGTCACTGTAGCCTGGACCTCTTGGGCTCAAGTGATCCTTCTGCCTAAGCCTCCCAAGTAGCTGGGACTGCAGACATATACTACCACACCTGGATAGTTTGTTCGTTTGTTTTCTTTAGAGATGGGGTCTTGCTATGTTACTCAGGCTGGTCTTGAACTCCTGGCCTCAGTCTCTCAAGTAGCTGGGATTACAAATGGGAGCCACCACACTCAGCTTAAACATTACCTTTATATGCACTGGGAAACCAAAAAATGTGTGTCTTCCTTTATTGGGATATTCACTTTATTGCTGTGGTCTGGAGCCGAACCCACTATATCCCTGAGTTATGCCTTATATATATAACCTGTGAAGAAGTCCTTCTCAGATATTACAGCATATATACAAAACATAAAGCTGGGTTTAAAAAATGGAGCTAGAAGGGGTCATATTTCAGTCTAGTCATTCAGAAGAGATTCAATTGAAAAAATAATTAACTTGTTATATTAGCCATGACACACTAATACATTCACACAGATTTCATTCTAGAGGAGACAGAGAGTAAATAATAATTACAATCAATCAATCATATAGCATGTTAGAAGGTAATAAGTACTATGGAGAAAGAGGAAAGGGAGTACAGGCAAGGGTGAGTGAAGGTCCCTCATCTGTGCAAGGGTGCTGGAGAAGAACGTGGGGGACACTTTACATTGTAACTACAATGGTGAGAGTAGACCTCATTGAGAAGGTGAGACTAGACCAAAGACATGAAGTTGGTAAAGGAGTTAGCTAAGTAGATACCTGTGGGAAAACTTTCCAGGCTGAGAGAACCACAGTACAAATGCACCGAAGCAGGAGTCGGCCTGGTGTGTTTAAGGAAAGAATAACAGATGACTAGAGTGAGAGGAAGACAAGAAGGGAAATTAGATAAGTAACTGCAGGCTGATTATGTAGGCCATTGTAAAGTCTGGAAGTGGAAGTCATCTTATAGATTTACTAGAAGTTATTTCCCAGATTATAATAAACATCTGGTCAATTCAATTCAATTAACTTTCAACCGAAGAAAATTATTAGCAGGGCAAACTAGAGGATAATTGTAGACATAGAGACTTCTCTTATATTAGTTTCAGAACACTAAATGGTTTGGAAGAACGAAATCAACCAATAGATTGATTCTATGTGTGAGACAAAAACTTCTGAGTATAAATACTTAAAGAATCCACTTAAAGCTAACTAAAATTCATCTGATATCACCTTCTGCTATTTTATAAATTTTTGATTATTTTAAAGTCAAACTTTCATAATTTTGTTGAAATAGTTTCTTCTTAAATTTCTTTATTCTTTTAGCATATAGCTTTGAATCACAGAACTCACGCTGGTACTGTCTTTATCTGGATTTAATGTCATTGAAACTGGCAGATTCTGTGTGTGAGTCAGGGGTATCATAAAGAAATGACCAAATTTCAGTTGAATGGATCAGCTACAGGCCTGCATGGCAGAATAGCCTGGAATGACTGCTTTGAGCAGATGTCCTGGCAAGTTGTAGGCACAGCAACACAATGACTGCCAGCGTAGTCCTGGCTTAGCAGTTCATTTTATATCCAAGCACCTTCAGCCTTTCAGCAGAAGCAAGGTTTACCCATATGTTTTCCATTCCACACCCTAGATGTGGTTAAATTCTAAAATCACCTGCAGATGTGGTGTGATTCTGAGCTCAACTTCTCTTTCTCCTCTCCATGTTATATTTGGATTATGTTTACCATGCCAATTCTATCATAAGTTTCTTGCCCACTTAAATCTTGGCCATATAACATGATGGAAAACTCACTCCAGAAACAGTCTAGAATCATTGCATTCAGAATTTTGTTCAGGCTGAACAAATAAATATTTGTCAAATAAATGACTAAGCTAATGTTATGGGAGTGTCCATAGCACTGGGAGTGTCTGCCCTTGCCCTCCCCAGCTACTTTTCATTTTAAGTTTTTGTAGATTCCTGAGTCTGTTCTGATATTAGATGGCAGTACATCAGCATTCTAGACCATGAGCCAAAGGGAACTGGAGCAGACTTGGTTTATAGGGTATCTGGAATGAGTTCTAGACACCCGCGTGTTTGGTGAGGTGAATCTTCTACTAATCCCGCTACATCCATCCACTCTGTACAAATGGGCTTGTCTTTTGGTTTCTTATTCTCTGCTCCAGTTCCTTGTGTGACTGAAATGTTATTTCATTTAGCTGGTGCCCTGATGACTTGAATGGTGTATGAGAGGGCCAATTTCACTTAGCAGCCCAAGGGATAGGATTAAGCTACTGTATAAGTCAGGGGTTTCCAGAGAAACATAACCAATAGGACGCACACACACACACACACACACACACACACACACACACACACACACAATATCTATATTGGCAGGGGAGAGATGTATTTATTTGAAGGAACTGGCTTATGCTATTGTGGGGCTGGAAATTCCAAAATTTGCCGTGCTAGCTGGGAGGCTGGAGTCCCAGGGAAAAACTGATGTTGCAGTTCAGGTTCAAAGGCCATCTACTGGCACAATTTCCTCTTCCTAAGGGGAGGTCAGTTTTCTGTTCTTTTCAGGCCTTCAACTACTTGGATGAGGGCCACCCACATTATGGAGGGCAATCTGCTTACTCAAAGTCTGCTGATTTAAGCATAAGTCTCATCCAAAATATCCTTCACAGAAACATTCAGAATAATGTTTGAGCAACTATCTGGGCACTGTGGCAAATCATGTTGATATATAAAATTAACTATCACAGTGGTGGAGTCAGAGAGGACCTGTGCATTCTGGGCCTGAGTTAGCCAATGGATCAGTAATTGGTAAACAGGAATATATGTATATATATGCCATAATTATTTTCTTCTTGTTACTCTAAAAGCTTTGTGTAGTTTTTCCCAGTTCAGCTGTGCATAGGGCGTTCTGCCTGTCTGATAATTAAAGCATTCAGATGAAATGCTATATATCTCAGGGACAGTGACTAATAACAATGATTTAAGTTACAGGATCTCAAGCAAAGGCTGAAAGTCAGGGGATAAAGTCAGAGATGTTTTATTACTACCAACCATTCTCTCCCACCTTCTCTCATGGGATTCTCAATCCAGAACAAAAATGGTTAGGCTAAGTCCAGGCTCCTTATAATTTTATGTACCATCCCACTGCTGTTTTGTATTGCTTAGAATTCATCAATGCACTAAAAATGGTTGGGCAAAACATTCTATCAGATTTGCCTGGTTGTTCAAAATGTCTACTGCATATCCACTAAAACAGATGCATGCATTCATTAAAAACATTTAATTGATGTCCCTGTCATTAAGTAATTGATAGCAGAAAGAGTGAGATTAGAACAAATATCCATGATGCAATGTAAAGAGGGATAACTTAAAAAATAGAAAATTATTTCTTTAGTAGTTACGAGAAATAGACAGCATTCCAGCTTGGAACAAAATAGGAAGAGGGACATTTGGGGAAGGTTTGATAGAGGAGACGGTGGTTGAATGGGCTTTAAAATAGGGGCAGTATTTGGATAAAGAGAGTGGAGGCAAGGGCATTTAGGAAAGGGGAAACAATGGGAGCACAGGTACTGAGGTAAAAAATTAAGCATGGAGTGTATTTGGAAGACAGCGGGTCAAAGTGTAGGTCAAGTGGGGAAAAAGTAGAAAACAGCACTAGACTGCGGAGGTCTTGCTAGTTTGACTACAGAGACTGGATTTTTTCTTGATGATTAATTGGAAGCTACTGAAAGATTTTAAGCTTAGATTTATATTTTGGGAAGACTAATCCTACAATAATGTGTAGTATTCTTTAAAGTCGGAAGAAAGAGAAGTAAAGCCTTGTCTTAAGATTCTTTCCAGTGGAACTGAAAAGAAGTAAATAGATGCAAGAAATTCTGTAGAGCTAGAATCAACTGGACTTGGGAACAAAGTATGAAATAATTTACATGGTAGAAAGAATATATAATGCTTAATTTTATGTGTCAACTTCAGCAATATTTATGGATGAGATTAACATTTAAATTGGTGAACTTGGCCAGGTGTGTTGGCTCATGCCTATAATTCCAGCACTTTGGGAGGCCAAAGTGGGAGGATTACCCGAGGTCAGGAGTTTGAGACCAGCGTGGCCAATATGGTGAAACCTCGTCTCTACAAAAAAATACAAAAATTAGCTGGGCATGGTGGTGCACACCTGTAGTCCCAGCTACTTGGGAGGCTGAGATGGGAGGATTGCTTGAAACCAGGCGACAGAAGCTGCAGTTAGCTGAGATGGCGCCACTGTACTCCAGCCTGGGCAACAGAGTGATACCCTGTCTCAAATAAATAAATAAATAAATAAATAAATAAATAAATAAATAAACTTTGGTAAAGCAGGTTGCCCTCCATCGTGTGGGTGGGCCTTATCCAATCAGCTCGGGGTCTGAATGGAACAAAAGGGCCAGCATCCCACAGCAAGGAGAATTCTCCAGAAGACTGACTTTCCATTGGAACTGGAACACGACCTGGGTGTCTACCTGCTGGTCATTGGACTGGAATTGCACCATTGGCTCTTCTCCAGCCTGCTGGGTCACACTTGCAGATTTTGGACTTGCTACATTCCAAAACTTCAGGAGCCAATTACTTATAACAAACTCCTCTCTCTCTCTCTCTCTATATATATATATATGTGTGTGTGTGTGTGTGTGTGTGTGTGTGTGTGTGTGTGCATGTATGTATGTATACCACTCACACACATCCTATTGGTTCTATTTCTCTGGAGAACCCTAACAGACAATCTTGAAGATCATTTTAAGGCCTATGTATGTCTTCTCTTTTTCTTTCCTCTCTTTGCTGCTCTCCAGTGTGTGGATGACATCTGAAACCCAGGGGAAGGGGGGCCAAGTGACTTGTCTAATTTAATCAGCTAATTGGTGACTGAGTTGCTATGTTGAGATATTGATGGGGTGGGGAAAAACGGAGGCATCAGTGATGACTAATGCATCGATCTGCTTGATGCCTGGGAATTGCTGATGAAATGTCAGGAGAATTAATCTATTTTGAGGTGAAGTTTTACCCCTGCCAATTGCATTTTAACCATCAACTGTGGCAGAGATATGCAGAAGGTATTAGATATACAAGTGAGGTGTTCTGAAAAGGGAGACATTTCTGTCTGATGATTATCCTGTTGAGAATAAAAATTTGATTATATGAAAGATCAAACTTCCACATGTGTTTTAAAGACACAATGTTCTGACAACACTTTTGTTCCCCCTGGTTGGTGATATTTGGCTCTGACTGGCATTTTCAGAAGATGAGATCCTTCTACTGCCAGAGAAGTGACTCAGAGAGCCAAGATTTTTTTTTTGAATATTTAAAAACATTTGTGACAATACAGTGCTTTTAATTTTTAATTTAATATCTTTAAAAATTCTATAATAGAAGAAACAATATCATTCATGTTAGAGTTAGTTATCACTGGCTTTTAGAAAATAAGATGTGATGCTTCAGCTATGTCTAGACATGATATATGTGGAGAATGACACAATTTGGGCTGAAAATGACTTTTTTTTCTGTCCCACTGGATAATTTGAGAGTATGTTTCTGTTTTAATTTATTCAGTCTATACTTTTTATTTTCCATTTCATATTATCTAGAGAGATACAGTTTCTGAGACAAGGGAAAGCAGAAACACACATAGTTATTCAACATACATTAACACCAACAAAATAATTGTGTTAAGTTTTATGGAAGATGGAAATATAAAAAGGACACAGCCTCTTTGTCAATTTGGCAGGCAGAACACTGTTAGTGCCATAAGGGAAGGAAAAAATGCCATGGGAGCTTATTCATTCACTAACCAAATATTTATTGATTATATGTTGCCCCGCAGGCACTATGATAGGAGATATGTGATGTCTAAGACCCAGTCACTGCTGTGAAAGATGAGAGAAATGCAAAAAACAGAAAAAAAAGTGCTGTTAAAGTATGAAAATTCACAGCTGTTTATTTTGTGGTCTCTCTCTTGACTAGTCATGATGATTTTTATTTGCTATTAACTTATTAAATAAAGTTAAATTGTTAAATTGTTAGCATGAATTTTATTGTTTATCTTTATATTGTGCAATGCCAATTTAAATGCAAACATCAGGACATTTCATTTGTGTGCAGAATCTCCAAAATTACACAATTTGTATTTCATTGCTTATGCTGGGAGGGTGCCTCTAGCTGGTTGGAAGAGACAAACTCAAGCAAGATCTGGAAGATTGGAAGGAAGACGAAAGGATCTCCAAGGTATCCATTGGCTGAGGGGGCACTTGGGGTATAGGAATACTTGTGGGGCTAGTACAGACTCTTACAGGCATCCAAGGGCCCTGCTCTGTGATTTGGGGTACATTTGTGCTTGCTTGGGCCCAATGGCTACTGAGTTCCTCCTCCCACCAGCCAAGGAATCTTTGTGTTGCCCCCTCCCGGACAGAGGGCTTGGGTGGGAATTGAGTCAGGTGCCTTCCATTTCCTTGGGCCACCACCTCACAGTAGATGGGTGCCCTCTAAATATCTTTAAACCTCTGTGCCAGGATGTGCTCAATGCCTGGATGAGGGTGAGTGAGAAAGTTGTCCCTCCCTCCCTAGACACTTCTCACTTGGAGTGAGAACGGCAGCCACCATGTCCCATCCTGAGCTGCCACAAGGTGTCTGTGCTGGATCACAAGCATATCCAAATTTGAGACCAGGGCCCTTCCCTGGTGAAGGGTGGCAGCAATCACTGGGCAGGGCATGTGAAAGAGGATGGGGGAAGACACAGGGGTTGGCACGTGGGTAAGGGTGCTTGAGAACCCATTACACAGAGGCCCTTCCCACAGAGACAGGTCTATGCTTGGGCAGGTAGTTCCAAGATCCTGGCACATGCTCCATTGTTCTACTGGATTTCATTTACAAAACACAAATTCAAAGATACAGTAATTAAGAATTCCAAACCCCTGCATTTTGTGACCCTGAGGCAGGTGGATCACTTGAGCCCAGGAGTTAGAGAGCAGCATGGGCAACAGGGTAAAACCCAGTCTCTCCAAAAAAAAACAAACAAACAAACAAAAAAACAATTAGCTGGGCACCTGCCTGTGGTCCCAGCTACATGAGGGGCTGAGGTCAGAGGATCACTTGAGCAAGAGAGTTCAAAGGCTGCAGTGAGCCATGTTTACACCTCTGCACTCTGGCCTGAGTGATAGATTGAGATCCTGTGTCAAATAAAATAAAATAAGATAAAATAAAATAAAATAAATTTAAAAATTTCAGGGTGGCAGCTGCAGAGCATTGACCCTAAGTGTGAAGTCTAAGTTCCATGCCTTGTGGGATTGCATTGGTTGCAAGCCCAAGGGGTCAGCTCTACTCTCAAGATCAGCTTTTTTGATGTTATTGTTTCCATTGTTTCCACAGCTGTGATGGCTGCATCTCCCAAAGAAAACTGTTTTCTCTTTGTGCTAAGTTAGAAGTACAGCTAGCCTATCAATATTTTCCCCTTCAGGCTCTCTTTACTTGAATTACAGTTCAAGAGCCTAATTTTTAATGGTTTTTAAAGAGGTAATTTTCTTTACTTTTCTAAGGAAGATCTCATCATCTTTTACGGTGGTCCCAGATTTGCTTTGGATGTAGACGATGGTATTTTGAAACCTCACTAAAGTGAAATTCATGTGAAAATTGCAGGCAAGTATTGATTGCATGCAGTCAAGGACTCAAGATGACTCTCGATAATCAGCTACAAAAGAAGATGCCATGATAGTTGCAGATATGCAGACAACCCTCTGTTTCCAGATACAGTGTGCAGGGGAGTTTTGGCTGCTTATCATTTTCAGTGAGGCAGTGTGGGCCAGAGGTTAAGGTCATGGGGCTTGGGAACTCAGCAGGTCTAAGAGTGAATTCTTCCTCTACTGTTATATGATTTAACCCCTTAATCTTTCTGTGCCTCATTTGCCTCATGTGCAAAATGGGGATTATGGTTTTGCCTTTTCTCATGGAGTTTTTATGAGAGTTAAGTAAATAATACACATGACATAGTATTCAATAAATGTAAACTTTATACCTTTTAATGTGCGAGCATGAACAAAAAAGTGAAGGAGGGAAAGTCTGCTTCCACAGTATTGTCTCATTCTTAGTACCCTGCCCTAGGGGCCCCGGTGCCCTCAGGCATTTCTGTGATGCTGCGGCTGATTTATTCCCTTCCTTGCAACAAACTTTAGCTTGTTACTTTCACCCTTGCTGAACACTGTTTGTATTATGTCCCACTTGCTCAGGACCATTAAGAAAAGTTAGCTGATAGATTAAATTTGTTTCTTAGTTGGCTGGATCATGATTTCTATTTCAAACATTGAAGTGAGATAAGTCAGAAGATAAAGTTCTAAAAGAGCAAACATGGACACAGGCAGGGCAACATCACACACTGGGGCCTGTCGAGGGCTGGGGGCCTAGGGGAGGGATAGCATTAGGAGAAATACCTAATGTAGGTAACAGGTTGATGGGTGCAGTAAACCACCATGGTACATGTATACCTATGTAACAAAACCTCACCTTCTGCACATGTACCCCAGAACTTAAAGTATAACAATAAAAAAATAAATAAAAAAAGAGCAAATGGGTGTCTGGAAAATGATGAAGATAAAATAAAAGTAAAGTAAAAAGCAGGAAATGTTATCAAGAACTATCAGGTCACTCAAGATTTTAAGTTTCTTTGAGGGCACAAACTGGGGCTACAACATTTCCGTATCATCAATATCCTTAGCACAATGTCTCACTCACTTTAAGAGCCCAGCAAATTTGCAGAATTTATAGTGAAGAGTGTTCGGCATCCAGGGTTCTGGAGGGAGTGGTCAGGAACAGGGTCCCGGCTGAATGAGAGATGTGGAAATAGGAAGTTTAAGAGGGTCTGTACTGTCTGCTGATTCCCTGAATGAAGCAGAAAGAGCTGATTACTTCATGGTTTGGGCTGTATCTCACTTTCACCATAGCTGTATAATCTTGGGCAAATAAGTTACGCTCTCTGAGCTGCAGTTTCCTGATCTCTCTTCTGTATAATGAGAATATAACCACCTGATAGCATTAATGTGTGCATTACAAGAGCCTCTCACAGTGCCAGGAACAGGGTAAGAAGCCAATAATTATTATCTTTCTGGTCAACTTCCTCCTAACCTTTCCTTTCTTTCTACCTCCTAAAATTTCTATTTTGTCCTTGTCATGAAGAGTTAACCAAAAAGTGCCACTGTTGGTCAGGGATATTGTGAAAGAATGTTGATGCGCTATTGCAAAACCTTCTGCACTGAATGAAAAACAATAGAATCATCTGTCCTTCTGGCAGTAGAGTGAGCAGCAACAACCTTGTGCATAAAGGACAACACTTTATTATATTTTGTTAAACCCAGAGGCAGTATAAGTTACTTCTTTGTGCTAGGATTTCCAAATCTGTGACATACCTACTTCATTTGTTCACTTATTCATTCATGCATTCTTTCCTGAGCACCTACCATAGTATGTGAAGGTGCTGGAAACAGTGACGATTACAGGCTTGCAGTTAGTGCGGGGTACAGAAAGCACACAAACTTGTGGGGTGCTGAAGGCTGAGGAAGAGTCAGGCAGTGTGTGATTGTTAAAGACAGGAAACTGAGTGCATGAAGGCCGAGAGGTGAGATTGAGGAGCAGAAAATGTCAGTGTTGCTGAGGCATTTACCTCTGATAGTTCTAGGAGTGATGAAAGAGAGTTAAGTGCCGAGGATGAAGCAGCTGGATAGATTAGGAAGGGCCCCGAATGCCACTTTAAAGAATTCAGTTTATTCTAACCATGACAATAGAGCTTCCTGAATAGTACTTTCTGATGAGACCAGACTCCACTGGGACCCACTGAACATTCTCTTCCTTCCAGAAGATTCACAGTCACATTAGTGTCTATTAATTTTCTATAATATTTTATTTAAGGTTTGTTTAAAAGCTTCCCTAAACCCAATTAATATTTAAAATATGTATTACCCTTTTATGAACTGAGGCACCAAAGAATCTGCTTGGGGTGAAATGATGAGAAATGGGAAGACATTTCAGGGTTCTAAGTTGGGAACCAACATAATAATACTTGCATTTTATAAAGATATAATAGCATCTACCTCTGTGGAGCTCCAAGTACTCTTCAGAGTACTTAGCTAATTTAATTCTCATAACAAGTCTGTGAGATAGGAAGTATTATTTTTACATCATGAAAATGAGCAAACCAATGCATATAGAACTTAATTTCCTAAGGTTACAGAACTGGATGTAAGTGGAAGGGTTTAAATGTGAGTGAGCTTGGTCAGCCTGCTTTAGAGACTCTACTCAATAGAGGATTGCATGAGAACAATGGATTGGAGTCAAACAAGATGGCAGACAACTAGGAGGAGATTGTTCTATTTCAGGTGAGAGATGATGTCCACTTGGGCTTCATACATTTGTTTAGAGAATTAAATACTATAATATGCTTAAGGCACCTATTTTAATTTCTACTATATGGTGGGCAGTCAAAAATGATAGTTTTCCTATGCATATAGGGAAAATTGATATATGAAAGATGCATATTCCAGATTAGTGGAGAAGGCAGGGTGTATAAGGCTGCCATAACAAAGTACCACAAATTGGGTGGATTAAACAACAGGAATTCATTGTCTCACAGTCTGGAGGCTAGAAGTCTGAAATTAAGGTGGTATAAGTTTGGTTCTTTCTGAGGGCCATGAGTGAAGGATCTGTTACTCCTTACTTTGACTTGTAGGTGGCTACCTTCATGTTTGCACTGTGTTCTCCTGTATGGGTATCTGTCTCTAAATTTCCCCTTCTTAGAAAGACATTAGTCCTATTATTTTAGGGCCCACTGTAGAGACCTCATTTTAACTTGATTATCTCTTTAAATACCCCATGTCCAAATAAAGTTATATTCTGAGATACTGAGCATTAGCACTTCAACATATAAATTTTGGGGGAAAAAAATCAATTCATAACAGAAGAATTCTTTAATAATGGGACCACAAAAATTGGTTATCATATGGAGAAAAAAATCTAGGTTCTTACTTCACATCATATTAAAAATCATTATCTTAAGGACTCAAGATTTAAATGTGAATGACAGAAATGGTAAGATATTTAGAAAATATATACTAGAATATACTTATAATCTAGTATCTGGAGGGACTTTTAAAATGCAACACAAAAATGCTGAAATGTAACATGAAAGATGGGGTTTAAAATATTTAAATGTGATTACTTTAAAATTGAGGACCGTAAAAAAAGAGAGCATTAAGAAAATGAAAAAGCAAGCTGTAATTTGGATAAATATGTTTGAAATACATAATTTATAATGGATTAGTATCCAGAACATGTAAGGAATCAATAAGAAGACAACTCAATAAAAATTGGACAAAAGAAAACAGACATTTCATAGAAGAAGAAACAGGAATGGACAGAGAAATGTAATTTATGCCTACTATGTGATATTTTATAATCATCTGGTTGGTAAAAATTAAAAAGCTAGACAATTTCAAGCATTGTCATGAATGTGAATGAAGGGGAGCTCATATACACAGCTTGAGGGAATGTGAATTAATACAACAGCTTAACATTATCTTGTAAAGTTGAACTCTATGACTCAGTAATTTCACTCTAAGTCTATATTCTAAAGAAACTCTTCTTGTAGTATAGCTTGAAGTCAGGTAGCATGATGCCTCCAGCTTTGTTCTTTTGGCTTAAGATTGACTTGGCAATGTGGGCTTTTTTTTGGTTCCCTATGAATTTTAAAGTAGTGTTTTCCAATTCTGTGAAGAAAGTCATTGGTAGCTTGATGGGGATGGCCTTGAATCTATAAATTACCTTGGGCAGTATGGCCATTTTCACGATATTGACTCTTCCTACCCATGAGCATGTAATGTTCCTCCATTTGTTTGTATCCTCTTTTATTTCACTGAGCTGTGGTTTGTAGTTCTCCATGAAGAGGTCCTTCACATCCCTTGTAAGTTGGATTCGTAGGTATTTTATTCTCTTTGAAGCAATTGTGAATGGGAGTTCACTCATGATTTGGCCCTCTGTTTGTCTGTTACTGGTGTATAAGAATGCTTGCGATTTATGCACATTGATTTTGTATCCTGAGCCTTTGCTGAAGTTGCTTATCAGCTTAAGGAGATTTTGGGCTGAGACGATGGGGTTTTCTAGATATACAATCCTGTCATTTGCAAACAGGGAAAATTTGACTTCCTCTTTTCCTAATTGAATACCCTTTATTTCCTTCTCCTGCCTGATTGCCCTGGCCAGAAATTCCAACACTATGTTGAATAGGAGTGGTGAGAGAGGGCATCCCTGTCTTGTGCCAGTTTTCAAAGGGAATGCTTCCAGTTTTTGTCCATTCAGTATGATATTGGCTGTGGGTTTGTCATAGATAGCAAGGCTACTGTAACCAAAACAGCATGGTACTGGTACCAAAACAGAGATACAGACCAATGGAACAGAACGGAGCCCTCAGAAATAATGCCACATATCTACAACCATCTGATCTTTGACGAACCTGACAAAAACCAGCAATGGGGAAAGGATTCCCTATTTAATAAATGGTGCTGGGAAAACTGGCTAGCCATGTGTAGAAAGCTGAAACTGGATCCCTTTCTTACACCTTATACAAAAATTAATTCAAGATGGATTAAAGACTTAAACGTTAGACCTAAAACCATAAAAACCCTAGGCAGTACCATTCCGGACATAGGCATGGGCAAGGACTTCATGTCTAAAACACCAAAAGCAATGGCAACAAAAGACAAAATTGACAAATGGGATCTCATTAAACTAAAGAGCTTCTGCACAGCAAAAGAAACTACCATCAGAGTGAACAGGCAACCTACAGAATGGGAGAACATTTTTGCAACCTACTCATCTGACAAAGGGCTAATATCCAGAATCTACAATGAACTCAAACAAATTTACAAGAAAAAACCAAACAACCCCATCAAAATTTGGCAAAGGATATGAACAGACACTTCTGAAAAGAAGACATTTATGCAGCCAAAAAACACATGAAAAAATGCTCATCATCACTGGCCCTCAGAGAAATGCAAATCAAAACCACAATGAGATACCATCTCACACCAGTTAGAATGGCGATCATTAAAAAGTCAGGAAACAACAGGTGCTGGAGAGGATGTGGAGAAATAGGAACACTTTTACACTGTTGGTGGGACTGTAAACTAGTTCAACCATTGTGGAAGTCAGTGTGGGGATTCCTCAGGGATCTAGAACTAGAAATGCCATTTGACCCAGCTATCCCATTACTGGGTATATACTCAAAGGATTATAAAACATGCTGCTATAAAGACACATACACACGTATGTTTATTGCGGCACTATTCACAATAGCAAAGACTGGGAACCAACCCAAATGTCCAACAATGATAGACTGGATTAAGAAAATGTGGCACATATACACCATGGAATACTATGCAGCCATAAAAAATGAAGAGTTCATGTCCTTTGTAGGGACATGGATGAAGCTGGAAACCATCATTCTCAGCAAACTATCGCAAGGACAAAAAACCAAACACTGCATGTTCTCACTCATAGGTAGGAATTGAACAGTGAGAACACATGGACACAGGAAGGAGAACATCACACGCTGGGGCCTGTTGTGTGGTGGGGGGAGGGGGGAGGGATAGCATTAGGAGATATACCTAATGCTAAATGACGAGTTAATGGGTGCAGTACACCAACATGGCACATGTATACATATGTAACAAACCTGCACATTGTGCACATGTACCCTAAAACTTAAAGTATAATAATAATGAAATTAAAAAAAAAAGAAACTCTTCCACAAGGTGTTGGGTGCAAGACCATTCATAGTATAATATTTCATAAGAACAAAACCTGGGAAAATAACTTCATAGCTATTAACAGAATACTATCTTAAAATTTGAATGTCCTAACATTGGGATATTACAGATCTTTGTAAATGAGTAAACCACTGCTGCAAATATCAATATACATGCTTTAAAAAATCTTGCATAAAAAAGCAAGTTGCAGAAAATTTACAATCCAAAATAATTAATATATTGGCTCATCTGCATATCTGTATAACAAAACAATATAAAAATTCAAGAGAACTATGACACAATTCAGGATAGTGGTTATCTGGGGGAAAGATATAGAGAAATGAAATGGAGGGAGAGGCATATAGGCAGATGTAATACTGGTAATGTTCTAATATAGTCCTTGCTATGGATTGAATTGTGTCCATTCCAAAAAAGATTTGTTGAACTCCTAACACCTTGAATCTCAGAATGTGACCTTATTTGAAAATAGGGTAGCTCAGATAAAATTAGTTAAGATCATGTCATATTGGAGTAGGGTAGACCCCTAATCTAACATGACTGAGGTTTTTATGAGAAGACGGCTACATGAAGACAAAAACACAGGGAGAAGGGTATGTGAAAATAAAGGCAGAAATTACAATCATATTCCTCTGCAAGTCTAAGAATGTAAAAGATCGCCAGAAAATCACCAGAAGCTAGGCAAAGGCATGGAATAGATTTTCTCTCACAGTTCTCAGAAAGAGCCAATCCTGTCAACACCTTGATTTTGGACTTCTAGCCTCCAGACTCTAAAACAATACGTTTTTGTTGTTTAAGCTACCTAGTTTATAGTACTTTGTTACAGCAGTCTTAGAAAAATGAATACAGTTCTTAAATAAAGTGGCAGGTTCATAATGTTTATTTTATAATTTATAACTAACAAATGTGTACATATATTATTTTTTATATTTCAAGTAGTTACATAATAAAAATGAAAAGACAAAGTTATTATTTTTATCACTATGAAACAGTGGCATGTATTCACTATTAATCTGTTTTTTTTTTTGACAAGGTCTCACTGTGTTGCCCAGGGTGGAGTGCAGTGGCACAATCACAGCTCACTGCAGCCTTGGCCTTCCAGGCTCAAGTAATCCTCCCATCTCAGCCTCCCAAGTAGCTGGGACTATAGGCATATACCAATAAACCTGGATAATTTTTGTATATTTTTTTATAGAGATGGGGTTTCACCATGTTGCCCAGGCTGGTCTGTAACTCCTACGTTGAAGCCATATGCCCACCTTGGCCTCCCAAAATACTGAGATTATAGGCATGAGCCACTGTGCCCAGCCTCCACGATTAATCTTGATGGCAAATTCCAATAAAGCTTTTCTAGGCAATTTTATCAAAACTATGAAATCAACTTCCAGAACTCCTCTTGATTTTTATGGAACTTTTGTCTCAACCTCAGTGACACAGAGTCCCTGTTTCTCTGATTGTAATTACAGTGTGCCCATCTTCTGAGAGAAGTGTCTTGCCTGTAACCCTGAATGAAGGTGACTGGCAAGCACACACCTGTCATGGCATGTTATCTTCTTGTAGACAGGCTGACATCAGCTCTGCCTCTATTTAACACAAAAAGGACATCTAAAATCCTATCAAGATTTCCAGCATGCATGCTACAAAAGTAAGTGCTTTCTCCTAGCCTAGATGCCACACCAGAGCAGAGGCTAAGATGCCTTATTCATACAGCTGTGTTTCTGCCTCCTAGAAACGGAGTGCGGTGCAAAGTAGATGCTCAATGAATTTACTGAAGAATGTATGAATGAGTGGTTCTATTAGTGTCCACTTCTTTGAAACTATACAAGCTGCACTACTTTTCAGAAGGGTTTATCAGGCATCTCCCACTCTCCACAACATTTTGGTCTGTTAGTTCCTTTCATCTGTGGTTTCCCCAGGTTTTCTTTTTTATATAAGCACTCAAGGGTTGTCTTTGGGTACTTTGAATAGGGATCAGATTTGGGGCCCATAAGACCAGACACACATGTTTGTCTGTGTATGTGAGTTTTTTGTTTTCTTTTGAAAGTAGTTAGTTATTCTTCCTTTAGACTAGTAACATGCAGAGAAGAGATGGAGGTGCTGTAGACTCTTTTATTAATGCTCAGGTGAAATGTGTCTTGATTAAGGAATGGGTTCTAAAAAAGGAACACCAAGAATACATACAAAGTAGATATTGTTTTGAAATCGGATTTATCTAGTACTTTGAAAAAGAAATTAATATTGTTTTGAATATATTACATAATGAATGTTACAATTTGACATTGTATTTATGTGAATTTTTTTCTTGTTTTAAACACCCAGTAGCTAGAGCAGCTGATGTTAGTGAGATGCTCCAGTGAGAGCCTGAAAATTTTCAAAATCCTGAACTCTAATACTGGAAATACTGACTATAGCATTTATTAACTTAAGCAACATTTGATGAGTGGCCAGGCATTGTCCTAGGTGAGAATGAAGAGATGAACAAAACTTCTGCAGTAATTCATTTCAGTGGGAGACATAAGTAAACCAACAATTGCAATGTCATGTCATTAAGTGCTATTAATCATTAAAGGAAAGAATAGGAGGTGGGGCCAAGATGGCCCACTAGAAACAGTGGCGATTGGAGGCTCCCACTGAAAAGAACCATAATAAGCATGTGAATCTTTCACCAGCAACCAAGGTATCCAGGTTCTCTCATCAGAACTGACTAGGTGGCTGGCATGATCCATGGAGAGTGAGGAAGAGCAGTGTGGTGCGGCAGCCCACCTGAGAGCCACATGGGGCAGGGGAGATTGCCCTCCCCAGCCAAGGGAGGTGGTTAGTGACTGTGCTACCCAGCTGGGGAAACTGTGCTTTTTCCATGGAACTGTGCAACCATGGACTGGAAGATCCCACTTGCGAGCCAATGCCACCAGGGTCTAGGGCCCCAATCCCGGAGCCATGCAGATTCTCAACAGCCTCTCAGCTGGAATCCGCTTAGGCCGGCCAAGCTCCTGGGGGGAGGGGCAACCAGCACCAGAGCTGCAGCTGCCTGCTGTTTAAGCCATTTGAGCTCCTTGGGAGAGGGGCAGCACCCAGCGCTGGGACTCACAACTGCCTAACACGCTAAGCTCCCTGGGTGGGGGAAGGGCAGCATCCATCTCTATAGCTCCAGACCACACTTTTCCCCTGCTGGAGCCAGTGAGGCTGGATGGCTTCGTCCCAAAAGTTGTCTCCACAGCCTTACACACCAGCTGTGACAGACTGCAGCCAGAGCACCTCCTCAGGCCTGACCCTGACTCATCCTTCCTTACTGGGTGGGGCTTCCTGCAGGAACTCCAAAAATTCCAACCAGAGGCTCGGGGATAGAACCCCGATCTCCCTTGGCCTGAGCCCCTAGGGGAAGGGGTGACCGCAGTCTGTGGACCAGCAGAATTACCCTTTCCTCCTGGTAGTTCTGAGGAATCCAGGCAGCCCAGATGAGTGGGTTTCCCCCTAGTTAAGTACAGCCCCTCCACCAAGGGACAGTCAAAGTGCTTTGTTAAATGGGTCTTGTTCCCCGTGCCACCCAACTGGGTGAGACCCTCCAACAGGGGTTGTCAGAAACCCTATACAGGAGCGATCCTGCTGGCATCAGGTTGGTGCCTCTCAAGGTCAGAGATCCCAGAAGAAGGAGCAGGCACCCATCTTTGCTGTTCTCCAGCCTCCTTGAGTGACATCTCCAAGCACGGGAGTGAACCAGATGAATAGGGCTTGAAGTGAACCCCCAGCAAACAACAGCAGCCCTATAGAAGAGGGACCTGACCATTGAAAGAAAAACAAACAAACAGCAACAACAGCATCAACAACAACAAAAAGTCTTCACAAAAACCCCATCCCAGGGTCAGCAGCCTCAAAGATTGAAACTAGACAAACTCACGAAGATGAGAAAGAATCAATGAAAAAACACTGAAAACCCAAAAGGCCAGAGTGCCTCTTCTCCAAATGTTCACAATGTCTCTCCAGCAAGGGCACAAAACTGGACAGAGGATGAGATGGACGAATTGACAGAAGAAGGCTTCAGAAGATGGGTAATTAAAAAAAACTATGCTGAGCTAACGGAGCTTGCTCTAACCCAATACAAAGAAGCTAAGAACCTTGATAAAAGGTTAGAGGAGTTGCTGACTAGAATAACCAGTTTAGAGTGGAACATAACCTGATGGGGCTGAAAAACACAGCACGAGAACTTTGTGAAGCATACACAAGTATCAATAGCCAAATCGAACAAGCGGAAGAAAGGATACCAAAGTCTGAAGACCACCTTGCTGAAATAAGGCATCCAGACAATATTAGAGAAAAAAGAATGAAAAGGAAAGAACAAATCCTCTAAAAAATATGGGACATTGTATAAAGACCGAACCTACGATTGACTGGCATACCTGAAGGAGATGGGAAGAATGGAAACAAGCTGGAAAACACATATCAGGATATTATCCAGGAGAACTCCCCCAACCTAGGAAGACGGGCCAACATGCAAATTCAGGAGATGCAGAGAATATCACTAAGATACTCCATGAGCACATCAATCCCAAGACACATAGTCATCAGATTCTCCAACATTGAAATGAAGGAAAAAATGTAAAGGGCAACTAGAGAGAAAGGCCAGGTCACTTATAAAGGGAAGCCCATCAGACTAACAGCAGACCTTTCAGCAGAAACTCTACAAGCCAGAAGAGATTGGGGGCCAATATTCAACAGTCTTAAAGAAAAGAATTTTCAACCCAGAATTTCACATTCAGCCAAACTAAGCTTCATAAGTGAAGGAGAAATAAAATCCTTTTCAGAAAAGCAAATGCTGATGGATTTCATTACTGGCAGGCCTGCACTGCAAGAGCTCCTGAAGGAAGCACTAAACGTGGAAAGGAAAATCAAGTACCAGCCACTGCAAAACACAGCAAAATATAAAGCCTAATGGCACTATGAAGAAACTGCCTCATCTAGTGTGGAAAATAACCAGCTAGCATCAGGATGACATGATCAAATTCACAATAATAACACTAACCTTAAATGTAAATGGGCTAAATGCCCCAATTAGAAGACACAGACTGGCAAATTGGATAAAGAGTCAAGACCCATCAGTGTGCTGTATTCAGGAGACCCATCTCATGTGCAAAGACACACATAGGCTCAAAATAAAGGGATGGAGGAAAATTTGTCAAGCAAATGGAAAGTCAAAAAAAGCAGAGGTTGCAATTCTAGTCTCTGACAAAACAGACTTTAAGTCAACAAAGATCAAAAAAGAAAGAAGGGCATTATATAAAAGTAAAGGGAACAATGCAACAAGAAGAACTAACTATTCTAAATACATATGCACTCAATACAAGAATACCCAGATTCATAAAACAAGTTCTTAGAGACCTACAAAGACATAGACTCTGATGCAATAATAGTGGGAGACTTTAACATCCCACGTTGAACTCAGCTCTGAACGAAGTGGACCTAATAGACATCTACAGAACTCTCCACTCCAAATCCACAGAATATACATTCTTCTCAGTGCCACATGGCACTTATTCTAAATTCAACCACAAAATTGGTAGTAAAACACTCCTCAGCAAATGCAAAAGAACTGAAATCATAACAAACAGTCTCTCAGACTACAGTGCAATCAAATTAGAACTCAGGATTAAGAGACTCGCTCAAAACCACACAATTACATGGAAATGGAACAATCTGCTCCTGAATAACTCCTGGGTAAATAATGAAATTAAGGCAGAAATCAAGAAGTTCTTTGAAACTAATTAAAATAAAGAGAAAACCTACCAGAATTTCTGGGACACAGCTAAAGCAGTGTTAAGAGGGAAATTTATAGGACTAAATGCCCACATCAGAAAGCTAGAAAGATCTCAAATCAATACCCTAACATCACAATTTAAAAAAGCTAGAGAGGCAAGAGCAAACTAATTCAAAAGCTAGCAGAAGACAAGAAACAACTAAGATCAGAGCAGAATTGAAGGAGATGGAGATAAAAAAGCTCCAAAAAACCAATGAATCCTGGAGCTGTTTTTTTTAAATTAACAAAATACATAGACCACTAGCTAGACTAATAAAGAAGAAAAAAGAGAATAATCAAATAGACACTATAAAAATGATAAAGGGAATATCACCACTGACCCCACAGAAATAGAAACTATCATCAGAGAATACTATAAACACCTCTATGCAAATAAAATAGAAAATCTAGAAGAAATGGGTAAGTTCCTGGATACATACACCCTCCCAAGACTAAACCATGAAGAAATTAAATCCCTCAATAGACCAATAATGAGCTCTGAAATTGAGCCTATATAATAAATAAAATAAAGGGTATTCAAATAGGAAGAGAGCCTACCAAGCAAAAAAAAGCCCATGACCAGATGGATTCATAGCCGAATTCTACCAGAGGTACAAAGAAGAGCTGGTACCATTCCTTTTGAAACTATTCCAAATAATTGAAAGGGAGAGACTCCTCCCTAACTCATTTTATGAAGCCAGCATCATCTTGATACCAAAACTGGGCAGATACACAACAAAAAAAGAAAACTTCAGGCCAATATCCCTGATAAACATTAATACAAAAACCCCCAATGAAATACTGGCAAACTGAATCCAGCTGCACATCAAAAAACTAATCTACCATGTTCAAGCTGGTCTCATCCCTGGGATGCAAGGCTGGTTCAACATATGCAAATCAATAAACATAATCCATCACATAAACAGAACCAAAGACAAAAACCACATGATTATCTCAATAGATGCAAAAAAGGTCTTTGATAAAATTCAACATCCCTTGATGTTAAAAACTCTCAATTAACTAGGTATTGATGGAACATATCTCAAAATAATAAGAGCTGTTTATGGCAAACCTACAGCCAATATCATATTGAATAGGCAAAAGCTAGAAGCATTCCCTTTGAAAACCAGCACAAGACAAGGATGCCCTCTCTCATCACTCGTATTCCACATAGTATTGGAAGTTCTTGCCAGAGCAATTTGGCAAGAGAAAGAAATAAAGGGTATTCATATAGGAAGAGGGAAGTCACATTGTCCCTGTTTGCTGAGGACATGATTTTATATTTAGAAAATGCCACTGTCTCAGCCCAAAAGCTTCTTAAGCAGACAAGAAACTTCAGTAAAGTCTCAGGATACAAAATCAATATGCAAAATCAGAAGCTTTTTTTTTACACCAACAATAGCAAAGCAGAGAGCCGAATCATGAATGGGAAGAATAAAATACCTAGGAATAGAGCTAACAAGGGATGTGAAGGATCTCTTCAAAGAGAAGTATAAACCACTGCTCAAATAAATAAGAGAGGGCACAAACAAATGGAAAAACATTCCATGCTCACGGATAGGAAGAATCAATATCATGAAAATGGTCATACTGCCCAAAATAATTTATAGATTCAGTGCTATTCCCATCAAACTACCACTGACATTCTTCACAGAATTAGAAAAAACTACTTCAAATTTCATATGAAATCAAAGAAGACCCCATATAGCCAAGACAATTCTAAGCAAAAAGAACAAAGCTGGAGGCATCATGCTACCTGACTTCAAACTATGCTACAAGGCTACAGTAACCAAAACAGCATGGTATTGGTATCAAAACAGACATATAGATCAATGGCACAGAACAGAGGCCTCAGAAATAACATCACACATCTACAACCATCTGATCTTCAACAAAACTGACAAAAACAAGCAATGGAGAAAGGATGTCCTATTTAATAAATGATGTTGGGAAAACTGGCTAGCCATATGCAAAAAACTGAAACTGGACCCCATTCCTTATACCTTATACAAAAATTAACTCAAGATGGATTAAAGACTTAAATGTAAAACCTAAAATAATAAAAACTCTAGAAAAAAACATAGGTAATACCATTCAGGACATAGGCATGGGCATAGACTTTATGACAAAAACACAAAAAACAATGACGACAAAAACACACAAAAAAATGACAACAAAGGCCAAAATTGACACATGGGATCTAATTAAACTAAAGAACTTCTGTACAGCAAAAGAAACTATCATCGGAGTGAACAGGCAACCTAGAGAATGGGAGAAATACCTAATGTAGATGATGGGTTGACCACCATGGCACATGTATACCTATGCACATGTATCTCAGAACTTAAAGTATAATAATTTAAAAAAAGTTAAAATAAAATATTAATGACTTTCAAAGAAAAAAAAAGTCAAGAAACAATAGATGCTGGCGAGGCTATGGAGAAATAGGAATGCTTTTACACTGTTGGTAGGAATGTAAATTAGTTCAACCAATATGGAAGACAGCATGGTGATTCCTCAAGGATCTAGAACCAGAAATATCATTTGATCCAGCAATCCCATTACTGGGTATATACCCAAAGGAATACAAATCATTCTATTATGAAGACACATGCACACATGTGTTTACTGAAGCACTATTTACAATAGCAAAGTCATAGAACCAACCCAAATGCCCATCAATAACAGACTGGATAAAGAAAATGTGGTACATATACACCACGGAATACTACACAGCCATAAAAAGGAATGAGATCATGTCCTTTGCAGGGACATGGATGAACCTGGATGCTATCATCCTCAGCAAACTAGCACAGGAACAGAAAACCAAACACTGCATGTTTTCACTTATAAATGGGAGTTCAGCAATGAGAACACATGGACACAGGGAGAGGAACAACATGCACCAGGGCCTGTTAGGGGGTGGGGGGCAGGGGGAGGGAACTTAGAGGACAGGTCAATAGGTGCAAAAATTTCATGTTTTTTAAAAAAGAAAAAAATTATATATGCACTCACATATTTTAAAAAATAAAGGAAAGAATAGTACTCTGTGTCATTCATATTTTCAGTATAGCTTATCACATAATTGCCTTTTGGATACTGGCCATTCATGTATAATATTTCTCTAGTAACCAGGTTATCTAACCAAAATGTTTAATTCCCTCACCATAATTAAGTAACAGTTTAGTTTACCAGTTATGATCATATCATTTAAAAAAATCTCAATATCTACCACAAGGGAAAACTGCAATCATTCCTTTCTACAGTTAATGGCTAATTTATTTTATCCCGCTTTTTCATTTTTTGATCCCTTCCAATTTCCAGGAATTTAGAGGTCCCTTCTGGTTTTAGAACGGAGAAACAGGGTTCGTTTCCATGTGGTACTGATTTTTCACATAGGTAGTGGCAACATTTTACTACAATAAAAAGAGCAAAAGTCAATAATAGATTCACATAAGTGTTTAGCTACAAAAATGAGACACAGCTAATGGGTGTGTGTCGAAGCAATATTAGATAAAAGCAATTACAGAATAAAATGGCTCAAATCGTAATTCCTAATGAAAAATAGATTACTTCATCATAAATTTATCTCCACGAAATTTATTAGACGCATATCTCTTGGGGTATACATATCACTAGAAATTCTCTCTCCAGTGGACTTCTAAAATCACTGAAATATTACTAATCCCTTATCTGCAGGTGTACTTCAAGAAGTCATCTCATCCCTTTTCCTTTTCATATTCCTTAGAAAGCTGGAAACAGTCCCAGTCCTCTGTGTGACAGTGAACCCTGAGGCTGCGAGTGTTTTCATTTACAATACTGGGCTTGAATACCTGTTTTTAATTCCCTGGAGATATTTGCCACAAAATTCTCCCTCAAGCACACAACCTCTTTCTACCTGGTTTCTTTATGCGTTTCGAGCTGGACTTGGAATGAATTGTCTGCAAGCTACCATCCGACAGTCTAACACACCATCTTAGGCTTTCCTCGGCTCTCCAGACTGCTGTCTTGCATCCCCAGAGATGGCTTGGGGATAAAAATGAGTTTAAAACCAAACTTTCTTTAGCTGGTCCAGCGGCTAAGTGCAGCTCTGATGCATCCGAGCACGGTGCCCTCTTCTCTCCCAGTACTGCTCTGTGCCCATGGAAAAGGGGGCGGAGGCGAGAGAGAAGAGGAAGAGGCGGAGGTCACTCGCGCGCCCCATCCCTCCCAGGCTGCCAGCGCAGCTAGGTGCAGAGGGATCCCAGGAGCCGCGCGCGCCCCGCAGTTTCCGCGCTAAGGGAACGAGTGCGCGGAGGGGACGAGCGGCTGGACCACAGCCGGCGCCCGATCAGGATCTCCGCGCTGGGATCGGTGGAACTTGAGGCAGCGGCGGCGCGGGGCGCCATGGCACACCGAGCGGCTCCGTCTTCTGCTCCTCAGAGAGCCCGGCTGGCGGCCTGGGATGACAAGGTACCATCCCTCCAGAGGCTGATCCCAATGCATCGGCTTCGCTTATCTAGACCCAGATTTAATCAACTCACCCCCTGAGACACCCAGCCACAGCTTCTGCTGGCTGAGCCTGACACTGAGTTTGGACCAGATTCCCCAAGCTAGGGAGACGCATAGAGAAAGAAGGGTACTCGAGCTAACCCATCCCCATTCTGAGCTGCTCTGCGGGGGATTGGGTAGAAAGGGTCTCAGAAGAGGGAAATCGGCACAGATTCCGCTTCTCGCCGTTGCGGGGTTCCCTGCGGGCGGCACTGCGAGTTCCTCACCCGGGCACGTCCTCACTCCCCGTGCCCGGGATGAGGGAGAAAACAGCCCTTTGGCGTTTGAGCAATTGCAGAAAGTTTCAGCGAGTTCGTTAGTTTGGAGGGAATGTTGCGAGGCCAGGCCGAAGGGCGGGGGGGATAGTAACGGGCGAAAGTCGAACTGTGAGTAAGACCTGGAGAAGGCGACCGTCCTGGGGGTAGCCTAGGCAGTTCCACTCGGGCTGGGCGCAGGAAAGGCTGGCTCCGGAATTCCCAGCCTCCGGGAAAGCTAGCTGCTCGGGAAACGCCAATCGAATTAGCTCAGAGAAGAGTGGCCGTGGCCTTGTGTATCCAGTGTCTGTGCCTCAGGCTTCAACCCCCTAGGGAAAGAGTGACAAGCAAATACTTCGCCTTGAATGTTGCTACTCTGAAGCTGTAACTGGACAGGATCTTGGCCGAGGTGCACAGTGAGCGTGGCCCGCCCCCTTCCTCATCGCGAATCAGAATTTCTACACAGGGGCAGCTAGACCAGAAAACCTTCCCAGAGACTCACCACTCTGCTTTTCATGGGTTCAACGTGTGTGTGGTTTGCTGTTATTTGATTTATGCTTAGAAACATATTCAGAAAATCTGCATTTAACATCAATGAACTTGCTGGTCCCCTTCCAAAGTTTGGAGATAGTTATGTCTGCCTGACAAGCAGGTCGTTTAACTGAGGAATAATCTGCAGTTTGGGGGCAAAGCCCACCAGAGGAAAGAGAAGACACTTTAAAAGGTCTCTCTCTCTTTTTTAATAGACTTAGGATTTAAAAAATCTTATTGGGTTTAAATCTAATCTTGGTAGCGATTTTGTAAAATTTGAAAATTTTAAGGTGTCAGTGACGTGTCAGGGGGACATTCAGGAGGAGGAGGAGGTGCTCATTTGCAGAGGGGCCACAGAAGTTAACCAAGGGGTCTCAATTTCAACAGCTTCTTCACCTTGAAAATGAAATGTGGAACCGCAGGCAGATATGAGCTGCTTTCAGTATGATGCAACCTTGCTTATGATAGGCCAGATAAAACCCATCCCACCACCGGGTGCTGGGGCACGTCAGTCATAAACGTCAGATGAGCAGTAATGCGGTGTTCATAATTCCTCTCCCTTTATCCTACAGATGTCTGGACTGCAATCCTGCACAGTTTTGAGAGGGAGATGACTTGAGTGGTTGGCTTTTATCTCCACAACAATGTCCATGAACAATTCCAAACAGCTAGTGTCTCCTGCAGCTGCGCTTCTTTCAAACACAACCTGCCAGACGGAAAACCGGCTTTCCGTATTTTTTTCAGTAATCTTCATGACAGTGGGAATCTTGTCAAACAGCCTTGCCATCGCCATTCTCATGAAGGCATATCAGAGATTTAGACAGAAGTCCAAGGCATCGTTTCTGCTTTTGGCCAGTGGCCTGGTAATCACTGATTTCTTTGGCCATCTCATCAATGGAGCCATAGCAGTATTTGTATATGCTTCTGATAAAGAATGGATCCGCTTTGACCAATCAAATGTCCTTTGCAGTATTTTTGGTATCTGCATGGTGTTTTCTGGTCTGTGCCCACTTCTTCTAGGCAGTGTGATGGCCATTGAGCGGTGTATTGGAGTCACAAAACCAATATTTCATTCTACGAAAATTACATCCAAACATGTGAAAATGATGTTAAGTGGTGTGTGCTTGTTTGCTGTTTTCATAGCTTTGCTGCCCATCCTTGGACATCGAGACTATAAAATTCAGGCGTCGAGGACCTGGTGTTTCTACAACACAGAAGACATCAAAGACTGGGAAGATAGATTTTATCTTCTACTTTTTTCTTTTCTGGGGCTCTTAGCCCTTGGTGTTTCATTGTTGTGCAATGCAATCACAGGAATTACACTTTTAAGAGTTAAATTTAAAAGTCAGCAGCACAGACAAGGCAGATCTCATCATTTGGAAATGGTAATCCAGCTCCTGGCGATAATGTGTGTCTCCTGTATTTGTTGGAGCCCATTTCTGGTAAGAGCCTGAAGTTTTGACTTCTGCTTTCTTGGGTTAATCCATGTTCAATTCAAGGTTATCTGGAAGTTCAGTCTTTTAAATGCTGAGAATGATCCCTACTCAAAATTTATTTCAGCACTCAGCTCTGGCTTAGAATTACATGACATATGACACATATGGTTACTTTCCCACAAGCCCTGAAGTGAAAGAAATGTGTTGCTAAACAATTCTAACCATAGTGTTAGCTTCCTGCAAAGCAGTGTAGTTCTAACAGAAGTTACATATTTTTAACATACTGAATATGATTATTTCTAAAATGTGAACAAAATGACCAACTATAAAACAACATTTGAACAGATTGCAGTAAGTCTTGATAGAAAGTCACATGAACTTTTAACTTGTAAACAGGGCATATTAGCTACTGGGTTCTCCAAAGCATGTAATGACCAGAACTGCAAAGGGTGGTGCTGAACTGAGATAGGTGGATAGTTCAGGTGTACTGCATGGATAGTTCAAGTGAAGAAATCAGTAATTCACTAACTCAGGAACAATGCCATTAGTCCAGGGAGAGGTATGTTTGGCAGGAAGGCCAGAGATTCCTCCCTTTTTGTTTCATTCATTTAACATTTTAATTTAACCAGCATCTGTATGTGATAGCCTGATAGTTTAATTTGGAAATGAAAGCTAAAGTGAAGCTGTTAGAAACAAACATAAATCATATCACTTTCCAGATAGAAGACAAAAATCATATTTATGATAGATAAGTATGACCTTAACTCCTTCTAATGTTTTGCTTTATAATGTAAGAAGTGACAACATGCCATGAAAGAAAACAAAAACAAAAACAAAAAAAACCCTTCTGTAGGGAGCAAGTGACAGCAAAGATTTTCTTTTTTCCCTCGTCTGTAACAATGGGGAAGTGGGAGGGCATCCAGAGATAGCAATCCAGGTGGGGTGGAAGTAAGACAAAGGTAGTGGTTGTACCTTACCTGGTAGAATGAAGGTGCTTGTTACTAATGCAGTTTTCCTAGGCTCCAAACAGGCTCATTGCCCAAGAATTGTTGCTAGTGCAGGTTTTTTGTTTGTTTGTTTGTTTGTTTGAGACGGAGGCTCGCTCTGTCACCCAGGCTGGAGTACAGTGGTGCGATCTCGGCTTATTGCAACCTCCGCCTCCCAGGTTCAAGCAATTCTCTTGCCTCAGCCTCCTGAGTAGCTGGGATTACAGGCGTGTGGCACCAAACCCGGCTAATTTTTGTATTTTTAGTAGAGACGGGTTTTCACCATGTTGGCCAGGCTAGTCTCAAACTCCTGACCTCGTAATCCTTCCGCCTCGGCCTCCCAAAGTGCTGGGATTACAGGCGTGAGTCGCCACGCCCGGCCCACTAGTGCAGTTCTAATTAACGATCCAGATGATTTTGATACACATAAAAGTTTGTGATAGCTGCTACTGCAGACAGATTCTATGATAGAGTTGAGTTTATTTTACAAAGGGAGTTCTACTTCTCTAATATTTTAAAAATTTCTATTCATATTGTTGCCTCACAACCTGAATTTGGCTTCTTGAATTGTTAAGTCATTCAAATATTTTTTGTGTTGTTCCTGAGTTGGCCAGGTCATAAGAGCTCACCCAAGGGGAGAGTGGGTCTATCAATGGCAAGTCAACCTTTGGAGACCTGATAATTGTCAACTGAGGAGGCCTTGGGTGAACCCAGTAAGAGTCTGATCTGTGATTAAAGTATAGTTGTATGAATTGAATAACAGAAACCGTTTCTAACAACACTGGAGCCACTTCATTGTTTATTTTTGAGGAGGTTAATGTATGTAACTCGACTAAAGAAATTTCCCGAGTGTAATGGTTTTTATTTTTCTGTAGTTAAGCTTTGAAGTAAAGTAGCTTTTAAAACTAAAAAGTGAGTCTGAGTGAGTTGAAATGAATTTGGGGTTGGTGAAAGAAATACAAAGAAAGTGAGAAAAGAAGTGGCTAAAAATGTTTAAATAAACTTTTACAATGAAGGTTGTGTCTCTGGAGAATACCTCAAAACAGTGAAATAGTGAAGTGTCAATAAATGAGAGACATAATCCGGACAACTGAGGTAATCACTTGTATTTTGTTTTTTGTTTATTCTGAGGCATCTTAAAAATTCTGTTGAGTTACTGGGTTTCTACTTTGAGGAATAGGAGTCATAGACTTACTCCTGCAAGATTATGGAAGGAAGCAAAATTTCATACTCTTGGTGTGGATATTTTGAATGTATGTTTTTCCCTAATTT
Organism: Homo sapiens; assembly: GCF_000001405.40. Classification (NCBI taxonomy): domain Eukaryota; kingdom Metazoa; phylum Chordata; class Mammalia; order Primates; family Hominidae; genus Homo; species Homo sapiens. The sequence goes on from NC_000001.11 coordinate 78,495,794, forward strand.
CCATTCCTGGATTTTTGGTTTGGTTTGGAATAAATATTACAATTTAATTCCTATTTTAAACATATTTCCTATTGGAAACAAAGTTTCACTTTTACAGAACATTTTCTGAGGTCCACTTTCTCTTTAACTATGAATTATTGATATATCTGTGTCACCAACGTATCAATACTTTAAGCATGAAAATTATTTCTGTGTTAGATGGGTAGTAGATCCACCACAGGTATTACTTTATGGGCTGATATTTTGAGTTGTTTTAAGCATTCTTTGCATTCCTGGCTTCTTTTATGGAGAGTTGAGTCTTCATGAAAATTTCTGACTGAAAGATTTTGTCAGAACTTTGGTGGTCTGGACACAAGTGCCTTGGGGATTAAGTTAGGGTCCTCAGACAGGTATAAACAACCTTATAAAAATACAGGCTTAAGAATCTCAAAATAACATCCAGTACTAATACTTCAGTTGAATATTTTCTCTTTTTTTCTCTCACATATCTAGGAGGATTTTAATAGATATTAATTACTGAGCCATTATTTTCCTGCCCACCTTGTATTTTAAAAGCTTCTGATTTTTAAAAATACCCCTGAAACCAAGCTTTTAGATTCCCATAGTTGTGCTGTAATAGTGACAGCTTCCAGGTCAATGCCCTATTTCATACCATGTGCCTTTTCTCTCTGATTAACTGTGAATTGTTGGATTTGTATTTGAATGAACATCTGCACACACTCTTTGGCCAGTGTTCACAGTCATTTTCAAGTCTCAAACTGGAACGAAGGTAGAGGTACATGCACTAAAAGGAGGAAAGGAGTAAGGTGGAGATGATGGTGTTTGTGCTTGACAGGAACTACTGCATCAAAACTTGTCAATAGTGGCATAATTTCTAAAATCATTGAAATGTATAAATTGAAATTTATATTTAAGTTTTTGTCAAAGCTGATACTTTATTAATTTGTTGAGTTTTAATCAATACAAAGGTAAAATGATCATAATGTTTGAATTCTCTCTCATGTTAATAGACTCTATTTTACTTTTCTGAGTAGTTTTGGGTCTATAGAAAAATGAATAGAAAGTAGAGAGAATTTACAAATACTCCCTCCCCCTCCCCCACCCCATCAGCTTTATTATTAATATCTTGCTTTGTTGTGGCATATTTGTTAGAATCGATGAGCTGACATTGCTATATTATTATTAACTAAAGTTTGTAGTTTACATTAGGGCTATCTCTTTGTGTTGTACATTCTATGGGTTTTGAAAACATAGAATGACATGTGTCCACCATTACAGGATCATGCAGAATAAATGTTTTAAATTAAAACATTTAATGTGTTTTATTTTTCCAAAAGGGGAAAATGTGCTTTCCTCCTCCTAGTAATTGAAATGTAGAAATGTAGTACAAACATAACATTTGTTTAAAATATAATTACTTAAATTTTTACAATATCTGGGTTTTGTAGTTTTAAACACAGTTAATTCATTCACATTCATTTAATTGTAATGCTAACTGAAAAATACAGGAAACTACAACTGACGCTTATTATCTTACAGTTCCATTTAGCAACAAGTTAATTCTAAACATCTTTGAAAGTGAAACAGCAATTATAAAATTGTCTCGCGTTCTTCCTAGATGAATCACTTTTCCTTAACACATAAATATTGAACACATTCTCCTGATGTCTCTATTGTGAAGGAGAAAAAAGAGATTCACCAGCACTTTTGAGAAACATTTTCTCAATATTCTTTTGTTTCTACTTTTATATGGGTAACGATTCTTTTTAATGCTCCCCTTCTAGAATATGCAAGCCTAAAAGGAATTAATTATTAGTGCTATGCGTAGTTCACCTATTTGGCAGAACAATAAATACTTGTTGACTGGTTGACTGTAACTTAAGTAGTATGAATGTCAAAAGATTGGAAATGATTGACCAGTATATGGATTCTGAGTTTTGTAGGTTAACAGCCAAGCAGACTCTGAAACCAAATGGTAATTTTAATCTGTTCCCTAATCACCAACGGTAGACTTAGGACGCTATTAAACTTCAGCTGTCTTTTACTGGAAGGCCATATGTTTGTTTTACCTTCTCTTCAGGGATACAGAATAATTTTGAATGGGAAAGAGAAATATAAAGTATATGAAGAGCAAAGTGATTTCTTACATAGGTGAGTTTACCCAAGAAATGTGTTCTCTTGCAAATGTAGAATTGGAGCTTGATTTTCCTAAGGTTACTCTTATGCTAATATTTCTAGTCAACATAGTTAAACATTGTTTGGTCACTAAGGTGTTTGTTAGATATAGATCAAAGAACTGGGTGGCTAATTGAACTTTGACTGAAATTACTAAAGGTATTGGCTTCATAATGACCAAGTCTTAAAGGGCTAATGACAAATGATGGAGTAACATGACATCATAGCACATTTTGACTATTAGTGAAGATTATTTTCTTTGAAAGGCTGACCCCCATCATCATATTTAAGAATGGTGTAATGGAAATCTATGTATGTGTCTTGAGCACTTGCCTCAATACCCAAAGGATGGTGAGTGGATATATGTTTATATATTTTAAGTGAAGAGATAATGTGGAAAATTGCACATGTACAATATAAATGTGTACATATATATATGTAGTGTGTATATATATTGTTTATGTATTTAGGTACATACATAAAAGTGTAGATGTGTACATACATACCTGTTTGTGTATGTATATATGCAAATACACACATAAATGTTAAATTATTTCCCAAATTTAAAAAATTAACCCATTGCCATTGGATCAAATAAGAGGGATTCTAGTGGGTGGCATAGCTAATAGATACTGTGTTCACTGCTTGGGTGATATTAGAAGCCTAAACTTCAGTATCCTGCAATATACCCATGCAACAAACCTGTACATGTATCCCCTGACTCTAAAAACAAACAAACACACAAACAAACAAACAAACAAAATGGACTGTTCTATAGTCTTATATTAGATCTTGGAATATAGGTCTTTCAGGTTTACTCTTGGATTTCTGCTGATTTCAGAGGCAATATTTTCATAAATCATTTTAGCTAGTTTTCTTTGTGAAGCGTGAGTGTCCCTCTGTTTGGAACGTGGAAGCAGCAGTGAGGTTGTCTGGATACAGGACTTATGACAACTGGGTTCTACTTCTGGGAAGTTTGTAACTTAGACCTCAACAACTCAAAATTCATATCCAGCAGAAAAGACATATTTTAGAGATACGTTAATGTAGTGTAATCGTGGGAATTCAGGCAGCTTTCTCACATTGGGGAAGGCATGAAGTAAGTGCCATGGGGTGAATGACCAACCATAGCTAGCAGAGGAGCTGCCCTGGGAGATCAGGGAGCACATTCCTGTCCCTGAGCCTTGGTGTTCTCCTGCCTGGAACACTCTCCTCTTGACATTCACGTGACTCTCTCCCTCTTTCTTCTCTGTTCTCTCAAATATCCCCTCCTCTATCTGGGCTATCTTTAAAAAGTTCCTGTTCTCTTTTCCTCTCTTCCTTTCCTCTGCTTTATCTCCCTCATAGGACCTAGCAGGGTGTGATAACATAATACATATTTCTCTGTCTATCTGGTTGTTGCTGGGCTTTTGCCCCTAGCACGTAAGCTCCTGAGGGAGGGGCCTTGCTGATTGTTCTGTGTTCAGCTCCTAGACCAGTGCCTGGCATATAGTTGGGGTCAGTAAGAGTCTGCCAAATGAATCTTATGTAAAGGAGGGCCCAGTTGTTGACTACCTCATTTCCACTTTGAATTAGCTCTGCTGAGGAGGTCAGGACCTGGTTGATAGCCCCTGGGAATACCTGTAGTACTTTGAATTGTGATTTGAGCTGGAGAGGTCTGAGAGGGAGAAATTCTGTGTTCAGGAGTTCCCTAAGAATGTAAGTTGGAAGTAATGTCCTGGAGAATCTTGGACTTTCTGAAGTTTGAATCCAGAATGAGAATTTAGGAATTCTGTCAGCATCTAGAGGAATTTCATGGACATACTAGGCTTGGTATTTTATTTTATGATATTACAATGATTTGTTTATATGTTTTCTCTGTTATTCCAAATGGTGCTTGGTGGCTTTACTCTACATTATTAGTTTATGTTTTAATTTCAAATATAATGAGCCATTAATCGATGTTTATTGAATGAATAAAATAATCACTCAAGTATTGAATGGGAAGTATCAAAGGCAAAGGAAAATATTAGGTAACAGAAATTTGGATTAATTTATCCCCAGTCTTTAACACTGATGTTTTCTCTACAGCCACACATTTTTTTCATAATGTATTTTTTTTTTGGTATTTTATCTCTGAGAGAATCATGTTGGGGGACAAGAGGAGAACTTACTTTGAGTAAAGACCTCCAGATATTGCATGTTCCTTGTCATAAAATGAAAGCTCTGTGGTAAATATGGAAATTTGTCTGAAGCAGGCTTGCTTACATCATGTCTTTACCAGCTGATTAAATGAATGTATATGCTTTAACCTGTACTGCTATCAGACTAAAAGATTAGGTAGGTTTTATATTCACAGAGGATTAATTCTCAAAAAAATCCGACAGACCTTTTTAGTGGACACTGTGGTACTCCTCCCAGATCTTCCTTTTCTCAAGGGAATTTCCTTTAGCTGAAAGTAGCTGCTTTGTCCAAGATTGTGTCCCTGTCTCTTGGGGTCAGTCTATGTGCAGTGACTGGTGGATGTGGGGATACAGGGAACTTGTTCCTTTGCCTTGTTGGGATATTTCCGAAGGTCCATTCATGCTTCAGGGCTTGCTGAGGCGTCTGTTGAGGAGTTTCCTTGCAACTGCCTTGCAGCTCCTCTCCTACCCAATCCTGCTTCCTTCTCCACTTCACACACTCTCTGGAAAGCTTCCTGCGTGCAGATGTCTGCCCCAAAGTCTATTGCCTCCAGAGCCTACCTTAGGACAACCTTCCAGAAGTCTATTTGTTCATGTACTATCTGCATATAAAGTGCATTACACATTGGTTTACAGTGTTATTTGATAAATATATGAGCTATGTGTAGGCTATGTATATGGAATTGAGCTCATTTAAGTATAAAACTATCTCCCTCCATAAAAGTGTATGGTGTAAAATTGGCAAATGTCAATCCATTTTTAAAAGACATTGCTAGGATGAGAATTTACTCAAGAATTTGTTGCTTTGGATGAGCACAGTGATCTGGAATACTTTGTTATTTTAAACTTATTTACTCTTAGAAAAACATGACCTTTTTTTTTTAAGAAGAAAGACTTATAAAAATGCCCAAAGATATCATAGACATCGAGACGACACTTACAAAACATTACTTGAATGACTTAAGTGTAAACGAATCAGAAACATGTGTATTAAATTTATACCCTCAAGGATATAAAAATCTTCTGGCTTAAAGGGTTTTGGGCTTTTCATTAAGCTCCAAAACATTTGAAGAACAATTCAAGATGTTGATGTGTCCCAAAGCTCTTTGGGTTGCCAGTTTTAGCTTTATTTGCTTAAGACTTATCTTTATAGGAAGTATATAAATTGTATTCCATTTATATTTGTTTTGGAAGTCATGTATAGCCACCCCAATTTAACCTGATACATCAGTGTCATTTATCTGTACTCAGAGAGGACTTCATCCAACAGGATAAGTTTGTCTTGTGATACTTGTAAATATACCTTTCAGAGCTTGTGTAAACCTGTCTCCTGTCTGTCCTCTTTTCTGGGTGTAACACAGCTAATGCCATAGAAGAGTGAATACAATTGTGGTTTTACATAGGCAGGGAGGTGTTTTTTTCTCACTCCTCCTCAGCTATTGTATCCCAAATGAAATTCAGACTGTGGAATACTGAAATGGAGTGTGGCCGTGGTGTGATGGTGAAGGAGACAGAGACAATTGGATTATGTAAAATGAATTATTTTAGCTTTTTGTGCATAGTCCCAAGTCAAGTCTTCCTTTGAGAATAGTGTAGTTATTCAGAGTATAGGCGGGGAGCATGAATCTCAGCCTCACCACTTCTTAGCTATGACCTTAGAGTTACTCTAAGACAATTGTGCATATCCGTGATTATAATAATCGTAAACTCAGATGTACTATCAGATTAAATAATTTAATTTCCCTAAAGTCTCATCACAGAGTGATTGGCACATAGTAAATGTACAACAAAATCCAAAAATACTCAAAAAGTTTATTGGTATTAATGCTGCCCACCATCCCAATGAAAAATAATCATCTACGTTTAGTTCAGATATTTTCCATTTTCTCTTCCATTAAGAAGGATTGGTTGCAGTAGAAAGGAAGAGAGAAGAAGCTCATAGCTTCAGAAAACTTGAACATTTCCACTCCAAGTTTCAAATTATAGGTCCTTACTTCACTATCTCATCAGAAGTAAAGATGTTGCCTGCTAACCTCCTAAATATTCTGATAATTTGTGAGGTATTAATTATTAGATCAGAGTTGTGAGTGGTACCAGGGAGTAAAGGATAAAGATCTTTCCTCAAGGAACTTATAATTTATTTGAAGCAAAAGATGTAAGTTATTAGCCTTTGAAAAAGCAATATAGTGTAGTGTTTAAGAATCTGGGTTCAAGTCCTGTTTCTTTCACTTCCTGGCCATGTGTCTGTAGCCACTCTGTGCCTCTGTTTCCTCATAATTAAGTAGTAATAAAGCAAAATAAAGTAAGTAAAATAAAGTGAAATAAGTAGTAATAGTATCCACTTCATAGGGTGGTTGTGAGAATTAAATAATGTTTGTAAAGCACTTAAAATAGTGTTTGACATATAACAAGTACCATATGCTTCAGTTATTATACTATTCTCATTGTTGTTGCTGTTACTATTAAATAATAATGTTGCCCACTAATCATTTTGTCAATGAGATGATCAAAGACACGTTAAAATTATTAAATGAATAATGGGAATTATAAGAGGGATTTGTCACTTCTAATTTGGTGATCCATAAGTGGTTATTTGTTTATTGATTTGACAAACATTTATTGGGCATCTAACATATGTCAGGCACTGTTCTAGATACTAGAATAATAATCACTGTAATTTAACTGTTCATAATGTCTATGGCCTTAAACAATAGTACTTATAAGATAAAAAGAGAAGAGATATGCAGGAAACTGAAATATAACGATTCTATCTTTTGTTACAACAGAATATCAGGTATTTTATTATGAATGTTTGTGGATGAGATTATTCGTGACAGCTTATGAAAAGGAAAAAATTTCTCTGGGCTATCATTTACAAAGAAAAATTACTGGAAATAAATGTAATCGAAAGTCAATTAATGTAAGCTGTAAGAACCAATGAGAAAATAATGCATATAATTCCCAGAGATACGGAAGTGTGAAAATGAGAAGAGAAACTCTTTAGTATTTGGGCCAGGCTTTAACAGGATTAGAATACAGCAGGTTATAATAAGTTAATATTAAATTAAAATTTTTCAAGTAATAAAATATGAGTAGAAAAATTGTCAGATAATAAAAATTTAATAATTCAAATTAGTATTTTATACTATCTTTTGATAAGGAAACCGACTCAGGATGTAGAAGAGAAATAAATTTTGGGTGAAATGAAGCATTACAAAAGCTCCTAACACTTTCTAAGAATTCAAGGAAGTTTTAGAAATAAAGAAAAACAATTAAATCATTAAATTGCTGTGAATATGAGTAATAGGAAGGAAACAAAAAAAGTTCATTTACGTTTTCATTTACTCATGAATAATTTATTCATTGATTTATTCTTTCAGCAGACTTTGCTGAGGAAACTGGTGGGTGTCTCTCCAGGTGGAGGGTAAAGGATAGAGACAGAGACATGACCTGGGAAAATATTCCTGAGACAAATTCTAAGACTCATGCTTTCTATCTCCTTCATTTTGTCTGTGACCTTGCATTCTCTTCTCCAAACTCCACATGCTTCCTCTGCCTACTTTTTCCACTTTTACTATGGGGTAAATATAGCTATTTGTATTTTTCTGGCTTTGCTTTGGAGCAGGTCAGGGAGGTAATGGCTTAGTAATACTGAAGGAACCTCTGATCACAAAGGTGAATTAGTAAGTACTAAATACACAGCAAGAACATTGTTGTAGCAGCAGTGGCATCAATATTGGTTGTTATTGTTATTACATATTCCTTTATTTTGCTTCTTGCATTTATGACCGTGGCTGTGGACCAGAAAATAGAAGGAAAAATAAAAGTCACATGAGTGAAGGAGAAACAGAACGCAAGGGTGAAAACAAGGCAATTAGGGCAGCAGAAAGCTGGTGGTATGAGGGTGAAGAGAGGCACTCTCATGTTTTGGGAACTCTGTTGGAAAGGTGAGACCTCCTTTTATTTTCACAGACGTCTTCTCCTTTATTGAGGGATATTAAATTTCATGTATTATATTCCCCAAGCTATTTGAAAAAAATATAATATTTTCTTTAGCTATAAAATTTCATTGTAAAAAATTACAACAAACTACATATTAAGTTTTTAAAAAAAATCTTCCAAATCCCACTACCCAGAAATAACTACTGTTAGTATTCTGGGTGCATCTATCTTTTTACCTAGCTAATGGGGAAAATACATTATTTTAATTCTTTGATTAATAGAGTAGTTAAACATTTTTTATTACAGTTGTTGGGCATTATCCCTTTTGTGAATGTACAGGTATTTGTATTTTTCTAAATGATTTGCAAGAACTGTTTGGATAGCAAAGAACAGATAATTCTGATATATAAAAATACTTATAAAATAAATTATTATAAAAGCAGTTGTTTGTCCAGGTTTATTGTTTGCCTTTTAATTCAGTATTTGAGTTTACAAAAGTAGTGAATTAATAATTTCTTTTGTGGTTACTGATTGTTTCATGTTTAAAAAATGCTTTTCTCAGGCTGAGATGATATCAGTATTTACCTCTTTTTTTCTTCTAGCAATTTTCCCCATTCATCATTTGTATTTATGTTTTTAATACATTTATGACTTATTTTGGTTTGATTTACAAGTTAATGATCTGAATTTTCTATTGAATGGTTAGCCAGTTGTCCTCAAATTATTTATTGAATGCTCTTCCTGCAACCTGTTTTAAATTCCTACCTTTATTATATATAACATTCTAACATGTGCTTGGATATTTTTGGATCCTTTATCTTATCCTATTGATCTTTATGTACAATTAGTATTAGCTTTATGTACAATTATCATCTCTGTATTTTATTTAGACTTGAGTACAATTGATCAATTTTAATATAGAGTGTTTCTTATCTTGATCACAATCTATCTTATTATCAAAGTCGTGTTTTGAATAAAAATTTTGTAACTTTCCTCATAATAGTGAGGCAAATTAGTTGCATTAGTTTTATAGCACTTTTATTCTAACTTTTTTTTTTTTTTTTTTTGAGATGGAGTGTTGCTCTTGTTGTCCAGGCTGGAGTGCAGTGACGTGACCTTGGCTCACTGCAACCTCCACTTCCCAGGTTCAAGTGATTCTCCTGCCTCAGCCTCCTGAGTAGCTGGGATTACAGGCACCCACCACCACACCTGGCTAATTTTTGTATTTTTAGTAGAGATGAGGTTTCACCACGTTGGCAAGGCTGGTCTCAAACTCCTGACCTCAGGTGATCCACCCACCTCGGCCTCCCAAAGTGCTGGGATTACAGGCATGAGCCACCACGCCTGGCCTATTCTAACTTTTAAAAATTTTTGTTTCTACTGTAAATATAATCATTACTTTCTTTTACATATACAAGTATATAAGAAAGCACTGATCTTGATACATTTGTTATTTATTGTGGGAAAATTTACATAATATAACATTTACCATTTTAACCATTTTAAAGTGTACAATTCCTGACACTTGGTACATTCACAATGTTGTGCAGCTGTCACCACTATCTTGTACAGAACATTTTTTTTATCCCCAAAAGAAAACCCTATATCCATCAGGAGTCACTCCCCACACCCCAAAGTCCGTGACAACCACTAATTTCTCTCTTTCTGGATTTGTTTATTATGGTTATTTTGCATAAACGGAATCTTACAATATGTCACCTTTTGTGTCTGGCTTCTTTCGGTTAGCATAAGGTTTTCAAGGTTCATCTACATCTACACTGAGCAAGGTCAGTACATCTTTCCTTTTTGTAGCTGACTAAATTCATTTGCATCAATATACTGCATTTTGTTTATCTTTTCAGAAGTCAATTAACATTTGGGCTATTTCCATCTTTTGGCTATTGTGAATAATAATGCTACTATGAACATTTGTGTACAAGTTTTTGAACACCTGTTTACAATTCTTTTGGGTATATGACTAGGAGTGGAATTGTTGGTAATATAGTAATTCTGTTTAACTTCTTGAGAAACCACCAAACCTTTTCACAGCAGCTGCACCATTTTCCATTCCTAACAGCAACGTGCGAGTGTCCCAATTATTCCACAGTTTTTGCCAACACTTTTTATTTTCTCTTTTTATTTATATTTATATTTTATTATAATGGCTTTAGTGGATGTCATGGTAACTCATTGTAGTTTGAGTTACATTTTCTTAATGTTGAGCATCTTTTAATGTGCTTGTTGGCTATTTGTATATATTTTTGGAAAAAATCTTTTATTTTTATTTTTGTGTTTAAAAAAGTTATATTGGTCTGTAATTTCCCTGCTTTATTTTATTCTTTTACTTTTAATATTAGAATTATTCCAGTTTTAAAAACCAGTAGGGAAATTCTTATTTTTCCAGGTCTAGAATAATTTAAGTAATTTGGCTGTTAGTTGCTTTATGATGATTTAACATTATTTCAGCATTTTTTTGACAGTTTTAGTTTTATTCCTAGTGATTGGTTTGTTTGATTTTTTTACCTTTTTCTATTTTAATAAGTAAATTCTCAGTAAAAATTTGCTACTAAATGTATACTCTCAAGGATACTGAGTATAGTCTAATAAAATGTAATAACCTAATAAATATAATAGCATATTTGAATAAGATATAATATCTTAATATTCTAAGAATATAGAGTTCTTTTTGGCTAATTCCAGCATTTCTGTATCCTGGAGTCAGTCTCTGTTGGTTCTATTTTCTTTTGAGAGCAAGTCACAGTTTCCTGTTTCTTTGTTTATTGAACATTATTGAATTGTATCTTGGGCATTGTGAATGTTATGTTAGGGAGACTCCGCATTCTATTGTATTCCTCTGAAGAGTGTTAATATTTCTGTTTTAACAGGAAATTGACTTGACCAGACTCAAACTGCAAACAGCAGCTCAAATACCATTTAAATTATTTTATCCTTAACTAGGTTACATGGAATCTACCCTAAACATGCATGATTCAAAGGTCAGCCCAAGATTTGGTCAGAATTTATATATAATATTTGGAGCTTCCCCTCTCTGGCTCTTTTGTTTCCAGGAGAACTCTGTCCTCTGATTCTTCAGGCTGGAAAGACTGTGGGTTTAGTATCAGAGTTTAGCTACTCTGCACGGCACAGACTGGGGTGTGTTTTCAGACTGGAAACTATGGAATAGGAAACTCATCCTTTTTCCCAGAGAATAATTGATTATTCTCAAGAATTTGCCTGCTTTTGGCTATTCTCCAGTGTCTTCAGGTAGTGTGTTTGTTTTTGTTTTTGGCACAGAGTTTATAGCTGTTGAGTGAAGCTTGGTTCCATAGGAGCTTATTTGGCCATACTGGAATGAAATACCACATTTAGATTTTAGATTTGAATTGTTATTTTTTAGAAAAATTAATGCCTCTCCATTTTCTGAAATAATTTTTGATATTTTTGGAAGTTCCATAGGGATATAGTCTATGTCTACTTTGCTAATCATTGTATTTGCAGAGCCTAATACAGGACATGTCACACAGTGAGTATTCAAGAAAATTTGTAAAATGTTGAATAAAATAAGTTTCATAACCATACTAAAAACAGTTGAAAAGTTATGTAGAATTTGATTGACATTTTGTTTTATTGGCTTTGTTACTGCTGCAATTTCTTTTTGATCATATTGTCTCCATTCTAATGTTTGGTATTTTGATTGATTTCTAGATTGCTGAAGTATGAAATTAGACTCTTAATGTGAAGAATAAGGATGAGGCTTGTCTTCAAACTAGCATGTTTGAAAATGTACTTATCTTGGTCAATAGTTTTGCTGGTTATTGAGTTGTTATATCGAAATTATTTTCCCTTAAAGACCTTGCTGACTTTATTCTATTTTGTTTTCTTCATTTACTTGTATAAAGAAGGAGTTTGAAACCAATTTAATTCTTTTCCTTCCTGTGTAGTTACTTATGGGATTATCTTTGGAATTTGTTTCAGTGTGGGAATACTTTTATTACATTTTGCTTATACTCAGGATACTTTTTTAACCTGATTTTTTTTAACCTCACAGAAATGTTCTATTTTCTTTTTTTCTGTTTGTGCTTCTGGCTACTTTGTTTTTTCCTCATGAAATGCTTATTACAAATATATCAGAGCTTCTTGATTTATTATTCATAAAAATTATCTTTTCATGCATCATATGTCTATTTTTATTCTTTTCTACAAAAATTGCCTAGACAGATTTGGTATTCTGTTTTTATTGCATTCTTTATGTTTTGAAATTTAATAATAGTGTTTTTCCTCTGGTATGTGGCTGGAAACTTCATGGTTTTGCTGAACAGCTTCTTTTCATGAGTATTACTGTAGTCCAAAGTTACCTGAGGCACTGCCCTCTTTTGAATCATCATGCCCTTCATTAGGAGTGTGTAGCTGTCATGACCCCCTTTACTGCTCCAAGTACAGCCTAGGAATGAATGTCACTGTCCCCATAGCAAGTGCTAGCTCCCTGCTGTGCACCTCAGAGAAATTCATGTGGTTCAAACTCTCCCCTGACTTCTATCTCTGATCCACTCTCAACAGTCCGGCCTGACTTTTCCAGCATTGGTGGGTATATGTGGTGTTTCTAACTGAGTTGTTCCAATGGGAATTTGGGCAGTAAGAATGCAAAATGTAAAGGTAAAATCACCTTCTTAACCCAGAGGGTCATTGTTACTTTAAAATGTGTATTTCTCATAATATTCTGTATAAATTATAACGGCAAGCCTTAAAGTGGAAAATTAATCTAGTATATAATTTTTGTCATTTCAGTCATTTTGGCTACAAGATACTGATATGAATGTTACAGTCAATTCTTTTTACTGAGGTGATTTTCAAAATTGAATTAGTGAGATGTTTGGGTATTTTGGTATAGTCTAAGGAACTTTTAGTGCCATTCTTATTAGTGGAATATAGACCATCATATTCGAACAGACCAAATAGAGATTTTCTTTCATTCTGTCTCATGCTTGCAGTGCCTCTTGGTTGGACTCCGGAATTCTGACATTAAAAAAATTTTAATGTGGACAGTAACTTTACTACTTACATTCTCCCACCTGTATTCTGGTAGCTGTTTCAGTTCTGCTAAATCAGAAAGGAATCAGTGGATGGAAGGGTATAGCTAAATTTCCACTGTAGGAGGTAGGCCCATTCTGCCTAGTGCCAGGAATATGATGCTGACAATGGTGGTCATCAACGCCTGTAATTGGCCTATCCCTCATCCAGACCAGTCTAGTTGTGGTTTGGAATTGCTCAACACCTGTGCATTAAGAAGAAACTTCTGAGAATATTTCTCCAACCTAGCATATCCTTTTTGTCTGCTTATATTAGAAATGCATCTTTTGGGGAAATGCTGGACTAGAATTGCATATAAAGAACTGTATGAGTGCTGTCTTGTTTCTTATTTCCTAGTATAAAAATTTATTTCCAAATTTCAACAAAAAGTAGCAACTGATATCTCTCTCATTATGCTTGTATTCATTGTGGTGAAAAGATAGTTTCCGATACATCTTAATTTTTAAATGTTTCTATAATGGTGGCTTTTTTGTTACTGAAATCTAGCTTTCCTGGATAGCAGAGAAGATGGCAATCTATGTAGCAGTAATTTCCATTGCATGCTATTGACTTTCTGCTAGTTGCCCAATTTAGATGGTCTGTATAAACTAAATGGTCATAATATAAATGCTAGCCTGCTTATTCATATAGTTTTACATTTTTGTGGATTTCCACATCATTGATTTAGCAAGCTATTTTATGTTTGGTGGTAAAGGTGACTGAATGACCTATTTTACCTATATCAACACTCTCATCTTAAACACCTCCCTCAGGTATGAATTGACATTAGAATGTAACCACAGCATTGATGCCACCCTTCTCTTGGACTTCTTGGGTTGTTTTACATGGTTGCTAAAAATTCAAACTTAAATCAGTTCAACTCATCCAAAGATTACCTGCTAAATGGTGTAAAGAGATAAGCAGCAACCAATTAAAAATCATGCATCACAGTGATGCCTCTGAAAGATGTCCTGTGCATTCAGGTACTAACCTAGTAAGTCCTGAGGGACTTCTCTGCTATCCCTCTCCTCTAGAAGGCCACAACTCTCTTAAAATACTAAGCGTGGAGGATGAATGCATTAGTGCATTTTTGCATGACTAGAAAGGAATTATTGAGACTGCGTAGTTTATGAAGAAAAGAGGTTTAATTGGCTCATGGTTCTGCAGGTTGTAGAGAAAGCATGTTGCTGGCATCGTCTCAGCTTCTGTTGAGGTCCCAGGGAGCTTTGACTCATGGCAGGAGGTGAAGTGGGAACAGGCACATCATATGTCAAGAGAGAGAGTAAGAAAGAGGAAGGGAGGTGCACACTCTGTTAAACAAGCAGATCTCATGAGAACTCAGAGTAAGATCTCATTTGTTACCACAAAGAAGGCATGAAGCCATTCATGAGAGACCCACTCCCAGGATGAATTCACCTCCCACCAGGCCCCACATCCAACACTGGAGATAACATTTCAACATGAAATTTGGAGGGGACAAACACACAAACTATATCATTCCATCCCTGGCCCCCCCAAATCTCATATCCTACTCGTACTGCAAAATGCAACAATCCCCTCACAGTACTGCTCAAAAGTCTCAAGGCATTCTAGTGTCAACTCAAAAGTCCCAAAGTCTTTAATTTCATCTGAGACTCAAGTCAGATTCCTTCCACCTATGAGCCTGTGACAGCAAAGAAAAGATACAATGGTGGTACAAGCATTAGGTAAACATTCTCATTCCCAAAGGGGGAAATAGGCTAAAAAAAAGAGACAAAAGGCCCCACACAAGTCCAAAACCCAGGATGCCAGTCATTGAATTTTAAATCTTAAATAGTTCTTGACTCCATGTCCCACACTCAGGGCACGCCAGTGTAAGAGGTAGGCTCCCAAGGGCTGAGGAAAATTCATCCCTTTGGCTTTGCAGGGTGCAGCCACCATGGCTGCTCCCATGGGTTGGAGTTGAGTGCCTGTGGCTTTTTCAGGCTTATGGTGCAATCTGCAAGTGGCTGTACCATTCCAGGGTCTGGAGGATGGTGGCCCCCTTCCCACAGCTCTACTAGGCAATGCCCCTCTGGGGACTCTGTATGGGGGCTCCAACCCAAAACTTTTCCTCTGCACTACCCTAGTAGAGGCTTTCTGTGGGGGCCCTTCCCCTGCAGCAGTCTTCTGCCTGGGCACCCAGCCTTCCCCATATATTCCCTGAAATCCAGGGGGAAGTCACCAAACCTCCTTCACTTCTGCATTCTGTGCACCTATAGGTTTAATACCATGTGGAAAATGCCAAGGCTTATGGCTCGTGCCCTCAGGAGTGGTGGCAGGAGATTTACCTGAGGCCCTTTGAGCCATGGCTGGAGCTGAAACAGCCTGAACATGGGGAGTAGCGTTGTGAGGCTGCACATGGCAGTGAGGCCCTGGTCCTGGCTCCCGAAACCATTCTGTCCTCCTAGGCCTCTGGGCCTGTGAGGAGAGGGAGCTGCCTCAAAGACTTCTGAAATGGCTTTGAGGCTTTTCCCTCATTGTCTTGTATATTAGCACATGGCTCCCTTTTAGTCATGCAAATCTCTCTAGGAAGTGGTTGCTCCCAGCCCACATAAATTCCTCTCCTGAAAAATGCTTTTTTTCTCTATCATGTGGCTAGCCTGTGATTTTTTCAAATGTTTATCCTCTGCTTCCCTTTTAAATATAAGTTCCAACTTCAAGTCATTCCTTTGTCCCTGTATCTGATCATAGGCTGTTAGAAGCAGCCATGCCACATCTTGAACACTTTGCCGCTTGCTTCTTCTGCCAGATATCCCAGGTCATTACTCTTAAATTCAAACTTCCACAGATCCCTAGGACATGAATACAATACAGACAAGTTATTTGCTAGGGGGTAAAATGGGTGACCTTCACTCCAATTCCTAATAACCTCCTAATTTCCTTCTGACACCTCTTCAACCTGGTCTTCACTGTCCACATTTCCATTAGGTTGTGATTTTCGTCACAACCATTTAATCAGTCTCTAACAAGTTTCTAACTTTCCCTCATCTTCCTGTGTTCTTTTGAGCCCTCCAAACTCTTCCAACCTCTGCCTGGTTCACAGTTCCAAAGCTGCTTCCACATCTTCAGGGATCTTTATATCAACACTCCGCTCATGGTATGAATTTTCAATGTTAGTTCATTTTTTATATTGCTATAAATAAATACCTGAGACTGGGTAATTTTTAAAGAAAAGAGGTTGAATTGGCTCATGGTTCTGTAGGCTGTACAGGAAGTGTGATGCCAGCTGTGCTCAGTGTCTGGGGAGGCCTCAGAGAGCTTTTGCTTATGGTAGAAGGTGAAGCCAGAGCAGGCATGTCACAGGTGAGAGAGGGAGCAGGAAAGGTGAGGGGAGATGCTACACTTTTTAAAAGAATCAGATCTTGCATGAACTCAGAGCAAGAAATTACTCATTACCATCTTGCATGAACTCAGAGGGATAACTCACTCATTATTATAAGGAGGGCACCAAGCCATTCATGAGGTTTCTACCCCTATGACCTAAACACCTTTCTCCAGCCCCTACCCCCAACATTGGGTGATATGGTTCAGATGTTTTTTCCTTCCAAATCTCATGTTAAAATGTGATTCTCAGCATTAGAGGTGGGGCCTGGTGAGAGGTGACAGAATCATGGAGGCAGATTCCTTACAAATGGTTTAGCACCAACTCCTTGGTAAGTGAGTTCTGCCTCATGATATCTGGTTGTGATATCTGGCATGATATCTGGTTGTTTCAGAGTGTGGGACCTCCCCCTTCTCTCTCCTGCTTTTGCCATGTGAAATGCCTGCTCCGCCTTTCCCTTCCTTTATAACCGTATGCTTCCTAATGTCCTCACCAGAAATGGATGCTGGCACCATGTTTCCTGTTCAGCCTGTAGAACCTTGAGCTGAAATAAGCCACTTTTCTTTATAAATTTCCCAGGCTCAGCTATTTTTTATAGCAATGTGAGAAAGGACTAACACAGAAAATTTATACCAGGAGTGGAGTGTTGCTATAAAGATCCCTGAAGATGTGGAAGTGGCTTTGGAACTGTAAAATGGGCAGAGGTTGGAAGAATTTGGAGGGCTCAGAAGAACATAGGAAGATGAGGGAAAGTTGGAAACTTCTTAGAGACTGATTACATGGTTGTGACCAAAATGCTGATGGAAATACGGACAAAGAAGGACAAGCTGATGAGGTTTCAGATGGAAATGAGGAAGTTAATGGGAGCTGGTGTGAAAGTCATCCATGTTATGACCTAGCAAATAACTTGGCTGCATTGTGTTCATGACCCAGGCATCTGTGGAAATTTGAATTTAAAAGTGATGGCCTAGGGTATCTTGCAGAAGAAATCTCTAAGCAGCAAAGCATTTAAGAAATGGCATGACTACTTCTAACAACTTATAATCAGATAGAGAAGCAAAGGAATGACTTAATGCTGGAACTTATATTTAAATGGGAAGCAGAGTGTAAAAGTTTGGAAAATTTGCAGTTTAATCTTCTGGTAGAGAAAGAATTCAAGCAGTCTGTGGAGCAATCACTTTCTAGAGATATTAGCGTGACTAAAAAGTAGCCATGTGCTAATATCTGAGACAATGGAAAAAAGGCCTGAAATCCATTTCAGAAGTCTTTGAGGCAGCCCCTCTCATCACAGGCCCAGAGACCTAGGAGGACCTCCACAGCCTTGCAATGCTGTTTCCCACATCCAGGGTGCCCGGACTCCACCTGTGGCTCAAAGGGCCTCAGGCAGATCTTGGCCACTGCCAAGTGTGTAAGCCTATGGCCTTAGCATCTTCCGTATGGTGTTAAGCCTGTAGGCACACAGAATGCAAAAGTGAAGGAGGTTTGGTGGCTTCTGCCTAGATTTTAGAGGATGTAAGGGGACGGCTGGATCCTCAGGCAGAAGCCTGCTGCAGGGGTGGAACCCCCACAGAGAGTCTCTTCTTGGGTATTGCAGAGGGAAAATTTTGGATTGGAGCTCCCACACAGAGTCCCCAGAGAGGCACTGCCTAGTGGAACTGTGGGGAGGGGGCCACCATCCTCTAGACCCCAGAATGGTACAGCCACTGTTTGCTTGCACCCTGTGGCTGAAAATGCCACAGGCTCTCAACTCCAACCTGTGTGAGCAGCCACGGTGGCTGCATCTTGCAAAGCCACAGGGGTGGATCTTCCCCCTTGGGAGCTCACTCCTTGCATCAGTGTACTCTGGATGCAGGATGTGGAGTTAAGGGAGATTCATTCAGGAGCTTTAAGATTTAATGACTGGCTGCTGGGTTTAGGACTTGTGTGGGGCCTGTTGCCTCTTTATTTTGGCCTATTTCTCCCTTTTGGAATGGGAATGTAAACCCAATGTCTGTATACCCTTGTATCTTGGAACTAAATAACTTGTCTTTTATTTCATAATTTTATAGGTGAAAGAAACTCATCTCCAGATGAGACTTTGGACTTGGGACTTTCGAGTTAATGCTTTGGAGGACTATTGCGAAGGCTTGACTGTATTTTGAAATGTGAGAAGGACATAAGATTTGGGGCCTAGGGGTGGAATGATATAGTTTGGATATGTCTCCCCTCCAAATTTCATGTTGAAATGTGATTCCTAAAGTTGGAGGTGCGGCCTGGTGAAAGGTGATTGAATTATGGGGGTGAATCCTTTGTGAATGATTTAGCGCCAATGCCTTGGTGATAAGTGAGTTCTCACTCAGTTCATAAGATATCCGGTTGTTTAAAGAGTCTGGGACCTCCCCCTTCTCCTTCTTGCTCCCCTCCTCACCAGGTGATGCACCTGTGCCCCCTTAACCTGCTGCCGTGATTGTTAGTTTTCTTAGGCCTTTACCAGACACAGATGCCAGCGCCATGCTTCCTGTACAGCCTGCAAAACGGTGAGCCAACTAAACCTCTTTTCTTTATAAATTACGCAGTTTCAGGTATTTTTTTTTTATAGCAGTGTAAAAATGGACTAACACAATGGGGACCACATTGCGACATAAGATTTGGAGAGGACAAACATCTAAACTATATTGATAAAGTTTTCTCTTTTGGAATTAATCTCATTTTTCTGTCAATTAAAGCACACTGGAATGTGTGGGAAACAGTCAGGAGGCTTCTTTGTGGTGGGTAGAGGAAGAAAACTGGTTTTAGGTTCCCTTACTCAATGACTGGCCTATACCACCCAACCTGAAGAGGGGAGGGGGATTAACGTGCTATCATGACTTTAAGAACAGGTAAATACCATTTATTAACTAATTATTTTATAATTAAAATCAGAAGACTCAAATATGAATACTGGTTAAGTAACTAACATTTTCCTTCCAAATTTTCTTAAAGTCCAATATTTTGTAAATGAAATGCCAAAATTACATGGCTTCACGTGAAGTGTAGTCAAATGTATATGTGGCTGGTGGCTAAAAATCATCTCTCTAAAAAGAATATGTTACTACAGCACATTACACTGATTCAAATCTGAGTTTTTTTATTGGAGAAATTACAATTCTGGACATTCTTTGTCTTTATTTACACATGTAATATTCTCCAAGAAATCTGCTGTGATTATTCTACCTTGTATTTATCTCTCTGTAGATAAAATATAGCATCTAATTCTATATGACCATAGATTTTGTGCTGTTTGTTTTGTGATTAATCTAATTTCTTAAGTGGCTAGAAAGCTCCTCAGTGACAGAGTGAATGTCATATGTTTCTACTCTGTTTCCTATGCTGCCTCACATACTACTTGGAAAAGTTCAAGAAAAATGCAGCTCATCCTTTAGGATCCTTTAGAATCCTTTCACCACAAATAAAATTGGTGAATGAAACAACGTCCTTATAGCTGTGGTTATTAATTGCATTTGAATGTCACATAAGGATTTTTAAAATGTTATTTCTTGTAAAAAGAGTCAAGTTTTTTGAAATGTAACCATAAAACTGTAATTGTGATAATCGTTTTAAATTTAAAATTCTTGCTTAAGAATTTTTCTGTAGTGTAAGAACCAATTAATTTTTTTAAAAAAACCACACGCACAACTCCTACTATATGCCAGACAAGATTCTAAGTGCTTTACAGATGTTAACTCACTGAATCCTCATGACATTTTGTAGAACGTAGATTTCCTTAGATGTGGAAAATATTTATGACTATGTATGTTCAGAGGGTTTACCTAAGGGATACAATCATATAACACAACATTATGAACAGTTGCACAACATTACTGGCCATATATTATATTTGAAATTTTAGTTAAAATTGTCTTCAGATTTAAGTCAATATTCATGGAGAAGAGCTCTGACATGAAGAAAACACAAAGACATGAAGATGGTTGTGATATGTAGAGAAAAGTAAACCTTAAAAGGAGGATTATTTTTGTACTCTGTTGTTATGCTGACAGAGGACTGATTGAGAGCAATCTTTAAACAAATTTGCTAAACAAGGGTGCCTTTAATAATGTTTTAAAAGTAATTTTTGCTTCTCTTCTCCCTTCCAGAGCATTGACAATGCCCTCAGTCTGATAACTTTTTCTATCTCCAACCTAAATAGGTCTTAATTTATCTAAGTAAATTTTAGAATTCAAAATTTAAAAAATGGACAGCTAT
Organism: Homo sapiens; assembly: GCF_000001405.40. NCBI lineage: Eukaryota > Metazoa > Chordata > Mammalia > Primates > Hominidae > Homo > Homo sapiens. The sequence goes on from NC_000001.11 coordinate 78,516,704, forward strand.
GTTAGTTGGCAATGAGTACTAAAAATAACCTAGATTTGTACATAATTTTTTTTTTCCTTTGAGAAGTCGTTTTTCTCTCCTATTCTGTCATTGAAAGGTTAAAACCATATCCAGGGGAGAGAGAGGTCACTGCTGAGTGTTGCGAGGAACCAGTCATCAGGCTTTGATTAAAATCAGAGGGTGCAAGAAGGAGCCAGTTCCAGAATGTTGATGGCAACAAAACAAACTTTTGTCTTGAAAATGTGTTCACCTCTCACTGAGCAGCCTGTTTATCCTAAGTGTCTTGCAAAATCTGATGTGTTTGCTATGAGAACACTACTGTTTGCAATCCTACCTAGGCATATTTGCAGCTGCAGGATACCATAGTTCTTGATTTTTAAAGAGCCAAAGATAGATGTCCTTAGTAAAAATTCGCTATATGAAGGCACTTCAAATATTACCATAAATACCATACCAAGGCACTTAAAATATACCATAAAATGTACCATAATGAGTTTAGAAATACTCATTCAATTATTCAATAAAATTTTTTATCAGTGCTTTCCATGTGTAAGATACTGTTCTAGATGCTAGGACAGTGGTGCTGGCTGTGTTGCTGAACAAGGCAATATCCCTTCTCTTATGGGTTACGGTCTTCTGAAGGTGGTGGTTGAAGTGGGGTAAGGACGGTTTGGAAAGGGGTAGATAATAAGTAAAAAATAAATTTACACGATGATTTTAAAGATTGATAAGTGCTGTGATTGTGGGTGGGAATGGGGCTATTTTAGATTAGATATTCAAGGACATCCTCACCATGAGCTTAGTCCTGAGTGACAAAAAGGAGCCAGCCATGGGAAATTACTGGGGCAGGGTGGTTGAGCAGAGGCAAAATCCAGCACAAAAACCCAATAGCAGGGATGAGCTTCTTGTGATGAGGAACAAAGCAAAGGTCATTCACTGGAGCAAGGGGAGCATAGATGAAGGTGGTAGAATTTGAGGACACAGAAGAAGGTAGGAGTCAGATTGTGTAGGATTTTGGAAGCCATGGTGAGTTTCAATTAAAATTGTTTTGGAAGCCATTGGAAGGGTTTTTAACAAGGGAAAGGTGTGATCTAATGCATGATTTAAAAAGATCATTTTGGGTGCTTTGTAGAGAATGGATTATAATGGAACAGAATATAGCAGAAAGTTTTATTTCGGAAATTTTTTTTGTTAGAAATTTCATTTAATGCATGAGTAACAAGTGATTACTTTTCTGGAATTTATATTAGGAAGTAAGGCAAATAATAAATTACTATTATGCCAAGATTAGTTTGTAAATAACAAAGAAAATGCTTTCAACCTAGATGACAGATTGATAGGTGCAGCAAACCACCATGGCACATGTACACCTATGTAACAAACCTGCACATTCTGCACATGTATCCCAGAACTTAAAGTAGAATAAATTAAAAAAAGAAAATACGTTCAAAATAATTTTCCTTATGGCTTAAAACACAATTATGTTTTGTGGGAAAATTATAAAGGAAACATTTAGTTATGTCTTATCTATTCTACCTGGTTAATAATCTCAATATAACTTCTCTGTTGGTTTAGCAAAGGACATTTTGATAGACATTCATTTGGCTGAGAATATAAAGTTATGTATCTACATTTTTCTTTTTTTGAGGTGGAGTTTTCTCTTTTTATTACTCTTTTATTATTTCTTTTTGGCTTTGGTTTTGCACAGCTTTATACACACAAAAAATTAGGCAACTCTATGTTTTAGTTACCAATTGTTCTATTTCTTGACCCTAGAGAATCAGTTTTGAAGTGCCCTAGTAATTACTTTAATACAAAAGAGAAAGGTTCCACCACTGCAGCATTTGTCATTACAGTATAAAAGACACACACACACACACACACACACACACACACACACACACACACACACACACATACGCATTTATAGCAGAGCATGTATTGCATGTTAGATAGACCATGATCTAGGAATTTAGACACCCCTTATTTGGGGTTCAGTTAGGGTTTAATTCTGGAATTAAAAAAATTTTTTTCATGATTGATTTTAATATCACAGCTCCCATCATTTCAAATGTGTAAAACATGAGCAGAGATTATCATTTTATTTTGCAGAGCTTTTCCATAAGGCCTTAAAATATTTAAAAAAATCGAGTACCCTGCAGAAGCAAATCTTTCTGGGAAGTAAAAGAGACAGAGCACCGTAGCTAACCTCAGTGAATTCTGACTTGTCTGAGTCAAGGTGCTTAACTACTCTTCAGCTTCTGTTACTGGGAAGAAAGGATCAGTATTCATTCCCAGTTGAATAGAATTCTTTGACTTGGGAAACTGTTTAGGTTTCCTAATTTGGCCCTGAAATTGCCTATCAAATATTTATAAGGCACTTACTATATGCAAAGATACCTTGATTTTTGTCTCTATCAATAAGCATCTTCATCAGTGGCTACTCCACAATATGTGACTACACTGAAACCATCTCTGAGAGTGGAAAGCTTATCTCCCAAGTCTATACTTGAACCTCTCCTCCTAATTAAATAAGTTCATATAGCCTATTGTAGTGTGCAGAAATTTCTCACTACCTGAGTTTGAACATAGTTGCCACGTGTCCTTCGGCAAATTATTAAGGATATTTGTGAGCTTCAGTAAAATATAGATATTAGATAATAGATAATAACCTCTGTAAAATATAGATAATATTTTTGACTCTATCACTGATTTAATAAGATAATCTTAGTTTTCACATAATATCTGGTAAGCATCCAGTGAAAGGTGCTGTGTGATTGTTATTGTTACTGTTATGGCCATGATTCCATTTGGTACTCTAGTAAAATTCAGTAGTAACGTATGAAAACGTTCAATGAGTGCCTACCATGGGCCTGTGCACATGTGCTACAGGGGATACAAACATGACTAAAATGCGATACTAACCTCAAAGGAATTTGTAGTTTATTTGGGGAGGCATGAACAGAACCAGCTTTGTTACAAAAGAATCCTGTGAACAAGTGCCCATGGCCTTCCAAGGAACAGCTTTGCTAAGAAACTTCATTTATGTTTAATCTATGCCAAGCAACTAAAAGAGTTCTGGACCAAAGGGCTCCTGAGTTCATATACATTGCGGTGTCTGGTGGTCTCTGGGCTTAGTGGAGTAGGTTCTTACCTACCAATTATGAGAGTGGATTCTCTTCTAAAATTGCAACTCTTCTCTTTTGACTTAATTGTTGATTTATAAATTCCTTTTTTCTTTTTTCCATGGGTTAAATTATCTCATCTTTTCTTCACACTGATTTCTTTTCCATAAACTTGTAGTAAATGTCATTTCAGGTTTATACCACTTCCTTTCTTTTCATGCTGTGCTTAGTAACATGAATGTGTTTAATAAGGTCAATTCTCCTCTAAGATGCCAACCAGACACTATTACCTTTTGGGATTTTGGGTTTGCGCCATTCTGAGATAGGGGGTTTTGGATCTTGAGTCTTTCACTGGTTAAACAACCAGAGAAATCTGAAAGTTAGTTCAGCCCATCTTCTTTATGAAACAATTTACTCGAATACAAATATATACTTGTTGATCATATATATTTATCTCCTCATATTTCTTTAAAAAGTCGTGTTCTTTTAAGTGAGGCCATTTTTGTGGTTTTATTTGCGAAACCTCTTAAGAATACAATATCTTCCGTATAACCACAGAGAACGGGTTTGGCTTTGTGGCATTGGAAATAATACCACAAAACTTGGTAGCTTAATGGAAAAAACAAGATAATTTATACACTGGAAAGAGAATAGTGGAATTGGAGCTGCAGTTTTACAGCAGTGTAATAAAGAAATTTCCGGAGCTTTTGCTGACAATCTCCTAAGAGCAGAAGGACAGTCTTTGGTGGTCATTTTCAGATCTACTCTTGGGATGACTTAGACCTTTCTTAGTTATGTGAGTGAGTCATTAGTATAATTTGGTGATGATTTGCCATTGGTTTGGGATCAATCATGGTTAAAGTATACAGAGCATGTCTTTATTGCTTATCTTGAATGTGTTATAAAGTAAAAATAATTTGATCTAGTACGCTGTTTTTTATGTTAAAATTCACCTACCACTGTGGTGGACTTTGTCAAGTACTTGTTAGGTAGGTAGGTATATATGCTTTAATTGCTGTTTTTTGTTACTTGGGGTGTGAGAATCAAGTTCCATGAGGGACTTTTAACCTTGTCATTTCATAATTTGAAGGCAAGTAATGGCAAGGTCCCCAGCATTCACATGCTTGCAACAACTCTGAGTTCATGCAGGGGGAGGAAATCTGAGCTACGCTTTTTAATCCTGTCTGCTCAGGTAGGATAGTACAGCCACATGCGGGCTGCCTAGGCTGGCTCCTCTCTCTTAATTTCCCATCCCCCAGCTCTATAGACACTCCACTCCCTTCTGTACCAGCTGTGACTTTTGCTCACTGCAACCTTTTAAGTAAGCCATCTTGCCTTGTTGCTTTAATTATACTCCAAAGGAATTACATTCCTTTTCCCCCGATTATGGGAAAAACAATTATTAAGAGAAATTCTCCTTGGCAAAAGTGGGTAGCTAAAGTTTACCCTTCCCAGTGATTTCAAAAAGAGAAATATAATAATCACTTGACAATTATAAGGTATGATGCTCTTGTTCATCTGGTACATACGTATATGGCTGAACTACTTGATTATTGCCTGTGCCATTCTGATTGATCGATAACAGTGTTCTAAATATTTTGACTATGACCATTGATAGGACATGTACTTACTAACAAAGTTATGTGTGTTCATTGTATAAAATTTGAAAAATACAGAAATAATTGTTTTATTTTATTCTATAGTTGGTATTGTTAGTATAGGGAAGTGATTTTGATTTTTCTAAGTTGGTCATATATTCAGCAACAGGTTGAACTCATTGGTTTCAATTGTTTATTGAGTCTAATCATTTTTTTAGGTAACAAAAGTTTATCTCTTTTCTCCTGATTCTTATACTTCATTTTTTGTTTCTTATAGCATTGTCAATACTATGTTAAACGGTAGTAGTAATAGTGGGCACTCTTGTCTTGTTCCAGATTTTAAAATGCATCTACACTTTCTCCAGTAAGTGTAATGGCTGTTGTAGGTTTTTGATCTACTATATATAAATTTCACTGTTTCCTAAATTTAAATCACTCATAAGTACTCTATTAGTTTTCTATTGCTGCATAACAGAGTCCTATAACTTGGCAGCATGAAACAGCGCTCATCTTATCTCACAGTTCTGTAGGTCAGAAATCTGGGTGCATTCAACTGAGTTCTCTGCTCAGGGTCTCAACAAGTGTCTGAGATGAAGGTAGGAGCAGTGTTGGGCTGTTACAGGCTTGGGGGAAGAATCATTTTCAGAGTTCATTCAGGCAGAATCCATTTCCTTGTGACTGTAGATCTGAGGTCCTTGTTTCCTGACTGGCCCTCAGGTCGGGGCTGTCCTCTGCTCCTAGAGGCAGCTTGCATTCCTTCTCCTGTGGCCCCTCTATGCACAAACCAGAAAATGTGCAGTGAATCCTTCTCACACTGGGAATCTCTCTGGCTTCTCTTGCTACCAGCTAGAGAAAGTTATCTGCCTTTAAAGGGACTCATGTGATTAAATTAGTCCCACTTAGATAATCTCACTATCTTAAGGTCGGCCATGCCATATAATATAACATAATCATGGGAATCATATCTCATTATATTCACAGGTTCCAGGGCCTAGGTTGGGCATATTAAAGGGGTCATTTTTGAAATTCTGCCTAACACAAGTACATACCCAGCTTTTGTTATGTACTGTTATATTTTTGTTCATATTCTTCTACTCCTTTCTCAAAGCATATACACATGTATTAGAGAGGCTCTATCGAGCTTGTCCAACCAGACTTATTTTGTTATTGTTGTTCTGTTTTGTTTTGTTTTAGGCTTTTAGCAGACTGAAGCCATGGTTTTCAGTTTCTGTCTCTAGTGATAAGCAGAAAAGAGGGATGAGGAAAGGGCTTTACTGGCCCAACAAGAAACAGAAACTAAGAACGCATGACTGTATTCTCTCCCTTGGACGCCCCTGCAAAATCTGTTTTTTCTAAAAAAACAGTTTGACTTTGTGAACCCAATTTATCTTAACTATCTGTTTGGCTTTACTCAGGATAATTGACTTCCTTTTTTCTCCTTTTCCTTATCATTGAAATGGGAATATTAGTGGTACCTATGTCAGAAAGTACATAGGAATTATGCAATAAGTTTTAACTATGTAATTATTATTATGTTAACCAAACTAAAACACTTTTACTTTGTAATCTTCTTTATTTTCTTAACTACATTATAATTATTTTCCCTTATATGCAAGCATTCCTAGGTGACATCATTTTAATGGCTGCAAAGTATTTCATTGTGTAGGTGTACTATAATCTCTTTTTACAAATCCCTGCTTGTTGGAGATTGCTTACATATTTTTTCATTTTATAAACTACACTGAGATGAACAACTTGTAGGTTGTTGTACACTATTTTTATTTGATTCCTTAGAATAAATTCATAGACATGGAATTGATTCAAGGAGAACTGGCTTACTGATATATTTTTCCAAATTGCCCAAATTGTCCTACAGAAAGATTGAATTAATTTGCACATTTCCTTCCTCTTAGTCCCAGAAATCTCATTTACTTTTAAAGACACTTTTTATATTATAGAATAATATCTTTAGAGAATGAGTCACAGGTAGTCAGTATGTTGGGACAGTGGAAGAAAAAGGAGAAATAATTCAGGTCGAAACTCATGAGGAAGTGGTCATGAAAAGAAGTCTGAGCTGAAGAATAAGTTTTGTGGGAAAGGAGAATGTGAAAAACACGTATAAATACCTTTGGACTAACCAGGAAATAGGGAGTCTGGCACAGGTAGGGTGGATAGGATCTACACGTAGCTCTCAGATATGATAAAGTTTTTGGTAAGGATTATTAACACTGCAACAGAATTTTATTTTAGCTAATTTTTAAATAATATTTTAAACTAGCTTATATAATAAAGAGATGCCACATTATTATGGTGAACCATATTCTGTGGTTTAAATGATAACTTGTAAATGAGTGATATTTTAAATGTTTGTTAGTTGGGGTCTGTCTGCATTTCACTGTTTAAAGAAGAGACTCAAAGGGTTTTTCACATACTCTGGTGATTCCTTAGTTTAAATGTTGAATGATACACTCCTAACTCTTGGGAACTATATGCCCAGCATGTCTGAAAGTAGCATCTAATCCAGCAAATATCTCAGTACTAGATTTCTGAAAGTAAAAAAGTGAAATTTCAGTAACTCCTTTGGAACACAAAGGTCTAGTGCAACTTACATAATACAACAATGTGTGGTTTGCTTAATCTTAATGGTGCCTTTTGGGCAGCTGGTGGAGTCGCTACTATTGAGTATATTCATTAGCTCATTAGAAAAGAATGACATCACATGATGAGGGCACTTGTTCAAGGGTGTGAACCTGTCCCTGTATGCATCCTTCCTCTTTAAACCCCCATCCCTTCCACACCATACTCAACAACTGCACACACATAGGGCTTGATGAGTTGGTTGGCTTCATAATGCACTGGAGCAAGAGTAATCCATTTGGTATCAACAAAATGAGGAAGAGGATAAATACATGTTATCTAGAGGATTACTGGACTTTTATTAGTTCTTGAAGTGACTTCAGAACCAAATACCTAGATTCGACTTATAATAGATGCCTTATAAATGCTTATGGAATGAATATTTGCATAGGCCAACTGTTTAGTTATGTAAGTCAGCAAAAAATTTAAAAAGACATTAAGTTCTATTTCAATGACCAATAAAAGAGAGGCAAGACATTTGATTATATCCTGCATGCTTTCTTTCTCACTGGCAATACAACCTGATCAGAATTTATCTACCTTAGCTAGTGAACAATGTCCTAACTAAAGGAGCTTGGGAATCACAGTGTAATTTTAGATGTTACAGATCTTATGCAGTCCCAGCTACGATACTAAATGGCTATTATCTTGGGCGAATCACCTTCCCTCTTGCTTTGGTTATTTTTTCTCCTATGAAAAGAACAAATTAGACTACACAATTTTTAAATTCTTTCCAGTTCTAACCTTCTGTATCTTTCTATAATAAAATATTTTTCTTATACCAATCAGAGGGAAATGTGGAATAACTTCATCTAAAGCTCTACACTTTGGACAAATGCAAGATTTTTTTTTTTTTTTTTTTTTTTTTTTTTTTTTTACTGTTAATGTATTTGACCCAAGATAACCACCTTGGCTTAATCAAAAGTTCACATAAATCCTCCAACTGCTTCTTAGTGGTATGAAAATAGTACCCCATCCCCAATTCCAACATGCCAGATGTGTATCAGGATGCCTAAACTGAAGCAGCCCAAGACTATTGTAATACTTCCAGCCTTACTTAACCTCTGTCATACTGCCATGCTCAAAGATGTAACAAGGACCCAGCAGGGCAATTCTGACACTAACTACATGGAGTTAGTTCAAATTTCATAGATATATAGCAGAGTCCCCCAGAAGACTGCCCTAACTTCAGACACCATCTGCAAGCTTGGGAGATTCCCAGCCACCTGAACTTCTGACAAACTGGCTACAAATTCAGGTTTCCCACTACCCTCTTGAATTTGATGATTTACTAGAATGACTTGTAGAACTCAGAAAAGTACTATATTTACAATTTTATTATAGAGGATACAAATTAGGACCAGTCAAAAGAACAGACTCCTATGGTGAGGTCTGGGTGGGTCCCAAACACTGAGCTTCCATGTCCTTAGGATGTTTCACCTCCTACTATATTAATGGGTATCATCAACCAGGGAAGATCATCTGAATTGTGGGAATCTAGGGTTTTTAATTACATTTTGGTATGTAGGCATAATTGATTGAATAATTGATCATGTGATTGAACTCAGTCTCTAGAAGGTCAGGCTGATATCATGTGGTTCAAAGCCCTGACCCTCTAATCACATGGTTGGTCTTTCAAGTATGGCCAGTCCCCATCCTGAAATTATTTAGGGTCCCACAGTGAGTCACCACATTAACAGAAATTGAGACTTGGTCCAAGGTGTCCACCAGAACTAATAAAGATACTCCTATCATTAAGGAAATTCCAAGGGCTTAGAGGCTCCCTTCCAGGAACCAGGGACAATGACCAGTCAAACTCTTTATTACACAGTAAGACTTAAAAGTAGTAGCAGAATATTTTGTTTGTTTTAAAATCTTAGAAACTGTTCCAATTGGAAGTAGTCTTCTGGAATTAGCATATTCTTATATTACTAATTCTTCACATAATGATCGTACCAAGGAAACACAGTTGATTTTGGTTGATTGCTGAGACTGGTTTGTACTAGACTTACAGTATGCCTTTAAAAACAAAAACAAACAAGTGAAAAAAAGGTCCTGCCCAACATTGCAAGAATTATACACAATTTATATTATTCACTGGGACTAAAAAATTATTGCTAGATCTTTATTTTAAAGTGGTCTCCTATTCAGCAATAGAAAATTGAAGATAATTAATGCTTTCTTTATGAGAGGCTGTGGAGTATGGGATTGCTGTGGCATCAAATTCAACACACTGAGAGCTGAGATTTGATGCATTTCTAGAGATAGTGTTAAATGAGATCACTGGATCCTGCTAAACATGTTCTAGTGCTCTTGCCTTTTGCTGTATGTTTGGTGTCATTCATCAGCAGGGAATGGCTGAAATGTGAGGTGTAAATTGACAGAGTAGAGAGAACCTATACAGTTTTAACACCATAGCCACAGACATCCAGGCATCCTAACATTTTGTCCTAAATCTTCCTGAACCTGGACGGCAGGATGAGAACACTAGTGATTTTATTGGAATGAAGCCAAGACAAATAACCTTTTTTTGTGCTCTTTATAATATAGCTCTCAAGAATGAACAAATAAAAAGAATGGGGTCACCATATATATCATTGTTTAGCAAGTGACAAGTGACACAGTGAGCAATCCTTAGTCAGTGGCATGACAAGGAAATACTCAAGACAGACACTGACCTGTATTGTGAATGAGGTGCCTTGGTGAAGCAAAGGTTTGGGCCCAATAGTGAGTCAAGGAGCCATTTCAAAGATGGGCTACAGTCACTCATTAAAAGGGATAGAACACAACTGTGCTGATCGTAGAATTAACTGTGACTTGTCCATAAAATAGAGGGAGGATGCAATCTGTTTTATAGAAGGCATATCTTGCAGGGCCTTGTAGCTTTGTTAAGGATAGATGATAGTCAGCAGGCTGAAATTTTCTCTCTAGTGGACCACTTTGACACATTCTCAAGGTTTTATTTGTATACATTACCACAAGACATGGACTTCAGTTACAATGGCAGCAAATATAATACATGCTACTAACTATGAATTTTTAGGTAAGATGAAATGCTTCTTAAAAGACTGTTGGTCAGAAATCTGGAGATTGGTACTTTTTCTCAGAAAGAAAATCAGCTCAACCTAATGGCTGTATACTGCATTGTAACATTTATTTTTATTTAAAAGTTGGATTTTTATGATTTAAAAAAGTAATGTGAGTCTTCATTTAAAAGTTTAAATGGCATAAAGACAGCAAGTTTTCATATAGTAGTAAAATTGTATGAATTTTAGACAATGATTGATGGCCTCTCTTGACTGTATCTTAAACAAAAGGACTTACTGCAATTTTTTCATTATCAGTGTTATGCAAATATACCAGTAAACGACTGCTTTCTGAGATCTTAGGGAAGTAATGATTAATGAAGTATAAAAATGTAATTGTAATTATATCACCTAAATTATGCCAAAGAGATACATTGGTGACATACTTATGCTAAAAAGAGAGAGAGAAAAAAAGACTCCCTCTCTCCCCAAATCTTACAACACATTAAATCTGTCTTCTGTTGCATGTTGAATATAACAGTATCAGGAACTAGATGAAAGTTGGTTATTCATTTATGATGATGATGAGGCTGCTGAAGCAGTTGGTATAGTTTTGTGCATTACAGAGAATGTTGTATGCCAGTTAACAAATAGACAGCCACTATGTGCCCAGCACAGAGAGAAATGAGTCATGGTTTGTGACCTCCATGGATCCTAACATTTCTTCTCATTAATTCCTTCACTTGGTATTTACTGAATGCCAGTATGTACCAAATATTGAGCATGACACTGGGAATAAGGGTGTCCAGAAGACAAAATCTTTTTCTTGATGGAGTTGACGGTTTAATGGAGTCATGGCATAAGCTTCCGAAACAGTTGAAGGATGAGTAATACACAGAAAATTGTCAGGAGAAAATTATGTGGGGTATAACCATTGCACTAGATTGTTTTGTAGAGGAGACAGATTGGCACTGAACTTTGTGGCTAATATTTTAGACCATGAGATAGGAAATGTATTCAAAAGGCTGAAAATTACATGGGAGAGAGTAAATATGATCAGAGATTTGACCCATAGGCTGTTACCTGGAGAATGCTTGGGTATACATTGACTTATAACTAAGAAAGATGAATTTCAATTTTCTGCTTAGGTATGCTGAAGAAAAATTAAAAGTGTAACTCCAGAGAAGTAAGTTCAGAAAGTTAGCAAAAAAAAAAAAAAAAAAAAAAAAAAAAGCACAACACTCAAATTGTCTTATCCTTTTGACCAAACAACAAGATTGACTCAAGTGCCACCACTAAACTGAACTAATTTTAGTGAAATTGACTGGATCATCAGGAAGGGCTGATTTTTTGTCCCGACCAGAAGTATATATGGATTTTATCTTTAACTAGACTCATATTATGCTTTAGGGTTAAATAGACATTTATTATTAATTCTGGCTCAACTCTTTTCTGTGTGTTCCACGTGCCTTAATTTGTTGGTCTTCTAGTATCTTTGCATTTGGTCTGTAGGTTTAGATTGGCTTTTTCAAAGACAAATTTTCTCTAAAATGTATGGATATCTTTTATTTTTGAAAGGACACTCTTCTCATTTAAAACTCCCATCAAATAAAATAGATAGATGCCGAGGCACAGGGAACCAACACATACATTCCAGTAAAGAGATAGGTCCCAAAACAGTGAACCAACAAATGCATTTTAATACATAGTTAGATGTCCAGGCACAGTAAGCAACACATACAAATTTCAATAAATAAGTAGATGCCGAGGCACAGAAGACCAACACATACATTTCAACAAGTAGATGGATGCTGAGACCGTGAACTAATACACACAGTTTCAATAAGCAGATAGAGGCTGAGGCACAGCGAACCAATGCACACATTTCAGTAATGGATAGATGCCCAGGCACAAAAGACCTACACACATTTCAATAAGTAGATAGATGAGAAAAAAATTCTCATTAAATAATTAATTATTGTACCACAACTTTGAGAATGCTTTGAAAAATCTTTCCAAACTACTGTAGCAATAAACTAAATGGGCCAGTTGGAAATTTCTTGCTGGAAAAAACATAATGTGTTATAGGAGAGATGGTTTACTGAAACGCCTAACTGGTATGGTCTGTTTTTGCTATTAAAACGACGTTGCCAGTGGTCAAATAAAGTAGCCTTTTATTCCTGAATCATTGTACCTCCAATATTACAACTAATTACTGGACTAGTTTTTTCTTTAATTCATAGATGGGATGCTAATAATTACTTCAGTCATGATATTTTAGATAAACATTTTTTATTAGGATGAAAATGTCTTATGCATCTATTATTACCAATATTTGGAGCATAACTAATATTTTCTTAGTGTAACTATGTGTTTGATGTAGGTAATCATATCTGGAATGAGCCAGAGGTTTGAAGTAAAATGCCTCAAATTCCTTTTGTGCCAAAGTAAGGCATATATACAAATATAAGATTTTATAGATGTGTTTTCTTCTTCTAAGACTTTTAATTTGCCTACTGATTTTTTAATTTCCACCACTGCCAAGGAATAGAAATAATAAAATAAGGATAACTCTTGGGTGAATACAAAAGTTTGGATTAAAAAAGTAAAAACAAAGTCCAAAAGGACATCTGAATATTAGTCTAAAGCAGGGGTCCCCAACCCCCAGGCCCAGGCCTTTTAGGAACTGGGCTGCACAGTAGGATGTGAGTGGCAGGTGAGCAAACATTACCACCTGAGTTCTGCCTCCTGTCAGATCAGTGGCGGCATTAGATTCTCATAGGAGCACAAACCCTACTGTGAACACATGGGAGGGATTTAGATTGCACGCTCCTTATGAGAATCTAATGCGTGATGATCTGAGGTGGAACAGTTTCATCCCCAAACCATCTCCACTGCCAAGGAAAAATTGTCTTCCATGAAACTGGTCTCTGGTGCCAAAAAGGTTGGGGACTGCTGGTCTAAAGAATAAGAGAAAAAGAACTACTGAAATGAAAATCATGCCATTCATCATGGGACAGATAAGAAGAAGGAAGATAAAAGGTACTGAGCATTGTTTTATTCCATCTATCACTATTAGTGAATCTATTAGTGATACTTTTTTACAATTACCTTTTCATTCTGGGACAGATAGCTGTCCTCTGCACATTCATTGTTTTGACAGCCATCCTTCTGAAGGACACCTTGGTTATGTGGAGTTTAACTCATTTGATTTTCCTATTGGTTATATCTGTTGTTATGGGCACAGAAGATTTGGAGCAAAACATTTATTAGTACCAGTTCCTACTTTTTTAAAAAGATGCTAGTAAAAATGTAATTTTAGAAATATTGGATGAGAGTGTGCTAGAATCAGCTTGAAAGACAACTAGACATAGGCAGATGGAACTAGAATCATAGAGAATTAAAAATGAGCTCTCCTGGTGCCATGGAGGCTAACACACAAATCCTTAGTCATCATCTCCAACTATTCAAATCTTGACTCCACCATGTTTTTGTTTGGCTTGACCTAGAGCAAGTTAACCTCTCTGTACCTCAGCTTCATCTTAAAGTAGAGATAATACTGCTTCTCTCAGAGGTGTAGCAGGATTAAATGAGATAATAGATGTAACATATTAAAACAGTGCCTGAAACATAGTAAGTACTCAATAAATGTTAGCTATTTTTTAATCATCTTATTCATAAATATAACATAGCACCACTGGGAATGGTGTAGTGGAAGACAGATTTGAAATCCAGATAGACTTGGGCTGAAATTTTGCCTTTGCCACTTACCAGCAGTGTGAACTTGGGCAAGTTAATGTGTCTGTGACTTGGCTTTCTTTTTGGCAATATCAGAAAGATAGCAACCACCTCTGGGGGTTTTAGGAGGATGAATTGGATTAAAATATACAAAGTGATAACATGACTTTTTCCTTCCCTTTCCTCCTTCCTTGAAGACACATTGGGGTAAAGAAATTCCATGATCCCTCCTGTGCCTAAGCCACCCCAGTGGACCTGGTCTTCTTGCACCATCCCTGTGGCTGGAGGTTTGAGATACTGACAGGTATATTTGATGGCCAGAAGTAGGTGGGTCAAAGCTTCTTTAAAGTTGAATCGAACTAATTGATTAGTCAGTGAGTTTGATTTAACAAGAGTGAACTAACAACCTATTGTGCAGAGGATGCAGGGATGGCAGAGCTTCTTTAAACAAGAGCAAGTCCTCTAAGACAGAGACGTCTCTGTTGTAGCACCTTGAATCCCACCACCTCCATCCCAGTTCCCAAACCCTTCTGGGATCTGGCCCAGGTAGGAGTCTCTACATCCCTACTTCCTTCTCTTCACCTGCCCCAGTGATCTTCAATTGTGGCCCTTCCTTAAGAACAGCGAAGGCTTATGGGGAGATGTAAGGTCTATCACCATAACAATTAAAAAAGTTAAAACTCACTTTAACTTTACTAGGATTTCTTATCTTGAGTAAATAGAAACTTTTGGGCAGACCAGAAGTTAAAGGTCATAGAGAGTCTGAGGAATTCCTTGAAACAAAAGTTCATATAAGTTTTCTTTCCTTTTATTTAATTAATTAATTTATTTTTTTACCTTAAATCCAACTTGACTCTTTGGACCTGTGGTTGCCTGGCCTGCTTTCTGTTAACCCTCCTAACTCCTGTGCTTGTAATTGCCTGTTTCTTCTTGTCTTCCCCAACTCAAGTGTAGGAGTCTCTTCCTAATGATGTTCTACAAAGTAGAGGAGTAGGATTTGAGAAAGTTAAAGACATAGTTCCTACCCTCAAGACACAAGGGACTATTATACATATACTGACATTATCTCATTTCAATATGTTCTACATATTATACTGATATTATGTTTATCAATATTAAAGGAGTGGTGTCACACATAATGGCTGTATAGAATGAGACATTACTCAGCTACAGAGAGATCAAGAAAGGTTTTCTGCAGAAGATGGGACAAGGGTAGGAGGATTTAGATATGTAATTTTTAGTGAGGGAAGGGCAGGGAACATGGCATGTTTTTGGCATTTGTGAAATATTTTGTAACTAGAGAAAACAAAATGCAATAAGAAAAACAAATAACTAGAGACTGGAAAACCACTTAGGAGTCTATAATATGATGTTTGCTTTTAAAGCGATAAGACACTCAACGAGAAATGACAGAAAAACAAGGTGTGGATGGAGAGGCAACATGAAAGTGGATCAAACAACTTATACATGGGTGCTGGCTCAGACGTGACACCTGAGGCTCCAGAACTGGAAGTTTATGCCGTCAAGTAAATTCATTTATATATATATATATATATATATATATATATATGTATATATGTGTATATATATGTGTGTATATATGTGTATATATTTGTGTGTGTATATGTGTATATATTTGTGTGTGTATATATGTGTGTATATATGTGTATATATTTGTGTGTGTATATGTGTATATATTTGTGTGTGTATATATGTGTGTATATATACATACACACATATACCTTTTTGTTTTTTGAGACAGAGTCTCAACTCTGTTACCCAGGCTGGAATGCAGTGGTGTGTGATCTCTGCTCACTGCAACCTCTGCCTCTCGGGTTCAAGCGATTCTCGTGCCTCAGCCTCCTGAGTAGCCGGGACTACAGGCATGTGTCACCATGCCTGGCTAGTAAATTCATTAATATCGAGTCACAGATATGTCACTGTAACTCCGTGTATATATGTATATTTATATATCCATATTTTCTAAGTATTTGAATAATTTGAAAAATAAGCAGGGAAAAGTGAAGGCTGTCTTACTCTACATATTAACTGAGTAAAAATATTAAGTAAGAGGTTATTTCTTGTAATGTACTATGAACTCGGATCAATCCACAAGGAAATATATAAGGCTAATGTAGTCCTGGAGGCACAGATAGTAGTTTGTCCAAAAGGAAATGATGCTCCATTGAGCTTTGTAGTTATTGGACCATATATAGAGTTAGTTTATTTCTGTCCAGTGTATTTTCTTAAAGAAAGATTGAGAAAACTAGAGTATAAGAGGTAGTGGTTTGCAAACCATTTTGTATGAAAAGCAGTTGAAGAACTATAAGACTAGTATTATTTTAAGATATGTGAAAGGCTGACATTTAGTAAATGGATTGATTATCCCATGATGCTCTAGAAAACTAAATTAAAATATGTTGAGTAAATTTTAGCTCCTGGTAACAGAAAATATTCTACAACTCATACAGCTCAAATGGAAAAGATTTTTTCCTGAGTAGTGCTGAGACTTTCTTCTCACATACTTAATAACATCCCTAAGTAATTTCCACTTTGTATGGAAGTCTGGACTAGACAACATTTTCCTGTACCCTGTAAGATTTGTGATTCTGTCTTCTCATGAGAGGTGATGTAGACAGTCCTCTGTGTGCATAATAAATGGAGCCCATTGTTTCCTTCTGTTCTCAGAATCCCTTCAGTTACATTTCTGTTTTACTCACATTAACTTGGGTCTTGGCGGTAGTGCCATCTAGCACGATGCCTACATACAGCAGACACTCAAAACTACTTGCTGCTGGATTGATTTATGTTTATGAATATGCAGAGGAATGGAAGCATAATTATCAAATTTACCATTGCTTTGAATAGTAAACAGCCACAGAGCCCTGACTCTGGCCAACAGATGTACAGACATGGGGGAGAGATGATGCGATAACATCCAGAATAAAACCTTAGCAAACATGGGCTCTATTATCTATGAGTAAAGTAGCCTGGCAGATTCATTAACTTTGATGATGTTAACAGTTGATAGAATTGTTTTACGTGGCCCAAATGAATGGAGATTCATTGTATTACCAGCCTATTTTATTCTTTGCAAGCTGGCAATGAACATATACTATCCTTCCTCCATGCTTCTTTGACCTCATTCTTTCCCTTATCTTAGTGTCCAGTGTTTTACAGTTATCAGGTGAATTAATTTTTTCATAGAATATTCAAATACTTTGTCCTGTCTACTTCTCAGAATTCTAATCATCAACAAGGATATACAACTGTAATGTGCCAATGTTCACAGGAAGAGATTTTAGAAAATAACCCATATTCCTTTAGCTCCATGTACTGGGTAGCTCTTGGAAACTGTATGAAAGACTGTGTGTATGATGAGACTCTACCTAAGTGTCTGGAATACAAGTGCGGGTGGGCTAGACAGAGAATAATGTTCTCAACGCTTGTCAGGAGACTGTTGCCAGAGACCAGAGAAAATGGCTTCCGACTGCTTTTGTCGAACCAGCTTGCAGACATCCTTGTTCTGACCCCAGCTCCCACATGTCTCTTGCCAGCCTTATCAGGGCTTCAGTTTTCCAGGAGATTCTGTGGTAACTTCAGTGCTGCCCTACTCACATCCATAGAGATGTACACAAATAATCCACATTAGTTTTGATTCTTTAGTAAAATAGTATATCTCCACAAATTTCTTAGGGGAAAAAACATAATTTATAAAAGCAATGCATGATCGATCTAAAAAATTAGTGAATTTGAGACAAACAAAATGAGGAAATCAAAAGTCTCTGTAGTTCTGCTCTCTAGAGTTAACCAACGAAAACAATGACATACACTCCAGGCTTTTTTCTATGAACAAAATTACATATTTGGTTTTTTTTTCAAAAATGGAATCACACAATCAATACAGTTTGGCAATTTGCTTTTTAAAAGGTTAACACTGAATCACAAACATTAAAGTCCGCATATATCTCAATTATGTGAAAGTGTTATAATTTATCTTCTGTTGGATACTTAGGTGGTCCTGAATTATCAATATTATGAATGTATTTGTTATTACTAATATACTAATGATAAAGGATATTTCTTTTACAGAAATACTCTCCCCACATTTATTGGTGGCTGAATGATTAGTGCTTCTCCCAAGTCAGGCTGTGGAATAACCTCTTTCCAAGGCTGGGGTTAGGGGTTAAAGGTGGAGAGAGAGTAATGATGAGTGCTTGGGCAGTGCCCTAGTGTTCTGGGGAGAAGCCTGGGCACTGGGCTCCCTCAGAAGAGGACTCTATGCCTTCCCACATCTGGTGACCACACTGCTGTTTGTAGAGGAGAGAGGAGAATCAGAGGAGTGTGCACCATGTAACTCAAAACAAAAGGAGTTACACAAACAAAAGCTCAGGAGGGCATGGTGCATCTGGGAAAGATGAGGTCTTCACAGTGGTTGTATCATACGGAATTTGCAGGGGAGATGAGAGAGATGAGATTATAGAAATAGACTTCAGATGCATCATCAAGGAGCTAGCTGAGGAGTTTGTACTTTATTGTGTAGACAATGAAGGTTTTGATAAAGAACATTTATTCTTCAACCATTGGTATCATCAGGTCAAATTAAGATATACATTTCTTTCTAGTAATGGGTCTTGATTTTCTTTGTATTTGTGTTTTGGTCTTTGTTACGTCATCTTTTAATGGTGGCACAATGGTCCAAGCTTCACTTTTCAGTTTTACCTTTTGTTTACCTATTTCTTATTTGTTTGTATATCCAAGATGTTTTCAAAGCCACCTTATTTGTTCCACAACTGTTTGTTTGGAAGTCAAAGCTGGGATCAGTGATTTGCTTAGTTCTAACATGTAGCTGGGACAATTTATAGAACTGATTCCATGAAATGATCTCTTCAAAATCATGGGTGGTCAGGAAATGGACACATGAAATCACAAAATACATTGTTACAGTTAAGTCACAACTGTGGTGTAGAGAGAAACTCCTTTCCTCAAAGTCCTTAGAAAATTCCATTGCATACTTTTTGGAATGTTTTAGCCAAGTTAAGGCTAAGGCTAAGAGATGTAGAAAGGGAAATAGAAAATTGAAGACAGTGGTATCCTTGTAGTTAAGAAGCAGAAAATCTCAGAGTAAAATTTGTCATATACCATTTGCAAATTAATATCAGATGCTCTAAATTCATTTTGTAAAACTATTTGTTAGCTTATCTATAATTTATTTATTTAAAAATACTTCATTGAAATAAAACAAATGTGTGTTGGCTTTGCATTTACTATTCTCAGAAGTATGAGAAGGTCAGTTACTGGTATCAGTGTTTGTTCTCCCTTAGGTGATTCTGTTTATGCATATTTGACTTACTATAGAAGTTATCATTTTTGTAGGTCTAATGTCAATTTGAATTAAAATGATTCATTTGTCTCCATCAGTGTTTCTGCTATCATTGATTTCTTTCTGTCAGTATTTTAAACAATAGCATCACTCTGTGGAAAGTGAAATGAATGTCATCTAGCATAGCTAATTTTTTAAAAATTATAGGATTGAAAAGGCTGCATCAACTAATTTCCGTGTTTTCTTCGTTTCTAGGTTACAATGGCCAACATTGGAATAAATGGAAATCATTCTCTGGAAACCTGTGAAACAACACTTTTTGCTCTCCGAATGGCAACATGGAATCAAATCTTAGATCCTTGGGTATATATTCTTCTACGAAAGGCTGTCCTTAAGAATCTCTATAAGCTTGCCAGTCAATGCTGTGGAGTGCATGTCATCAGCTTACATATTTGGGAGCTTAGTTCCATTAAAAATTCCTTAAAGGTTGCTGCTATTTCTGAGTCACCAGTTGCAGAGAAATCAGCAAGCACCTAGCTTAATAGGACAGTAAATCTGTGTGGGGCTAGAACAAAATTAAGACATGTTTGGCAATATTTCAGTTAGTTAAATACCTGTAGCCTAACTGGAAAATTCAGGCTTCATCATGTAGTTTGAAGATACTATTGTCAGATTCAGGTTTTGAAATTTGTCAAATAAACAGGATAACTGTACATTTTTCACTTGTTTTTGCCAATGGGAGGTAGACACAATAAAATAATGCCATGGGAGTCACACTGAAAGCAATTTTGAGCTTATCTGTCTTATTTATGCTTTGAGTGAATCATCTGTTGAGGTCTAATGCCTTTACTTGGCCTATTTGCCAGAGAACATCTTAATGCAGCCTGCATAGTGAAATGGTTATTTTGAGATCACCGCTCTGTAGCTAACCCTTATAAACTAGGCTCAGTAAAATAAAGCACTCTTATTTTTTGATCTGGCCTATTTTGCCCCTCATTGTGTAGCCTCAATTAACACATGCATGGTCATGACACCCAGAATTCATGATGGTTTGTTATAACAACCTCTGCATATTCCAGGTCTGGCAGACAGGTTGCCTGACCCTGCAATCCTATCTAGAATGGGCCCATTCTTGTCATATTTGACAAATAGGACTGCCTACATTTATTATTATGAAGGTCGATTGTTGTTGGAAGTGTTTTTTCATGTCATAGATTAGCAATTTTCAAATAATTATTTTTTCTCTGAAAATTTTGTGTGTGATTGCACAATAAATAATTTTTAGAGAAACAAAGGCTCTTTCTCAGCACATTGATGGGCAACTAGAATTACAGCAGTTTCAAAACTCTACCATGGATAATGCAAACAAACCGAAGCTACATGCCAATGATAGGTGCAAAGAATATTGGCAAAAGGTGCTTTACCTTGAGCCATTATTTGTGTCAGAGAACAAAAGAAACAGAATCAATATATAAAATTCAAAGACTATCTGCAGCTAGTGTGTTTCTTCTTTACACACATATACACACAGACATCAGAAAATTCTGTTGAGAGCAGGTTCATTAAATTTGTAAGATGGCATATTCTAAAGCCTGTGCTACCAGTACTAAGAGGGGAAGACTGGCAATTTGCCAAGCACTTGGGGATTATTATAACAATTAACTAGGAGATCAAGAGATAATAATCTCTCCCCAAATTTTCCAATAATAATTGAGACTTTTTCTTTGCTTGTTTGTGTAATTCAACCAAAAGAATTTCAATACCCATTCAAATTGTCCTAGGTCTATCAGAAATTAGGGAAGGTAGTCCTGCTTTATAATAGGAAAATGTATTTCTGTATAAGAGTTCTTTGCTTTCATTAACTTGGATTCATTTAAAAATTAATCTTCCCTGTTAGGCTGATTTCAGATTCTCTAGGAAATCTGTGTAAGTAACCAGAAGACCTTTCAGATGGTTTATTTGCTTTCAGCAGAGAATTTATTTCATACAGTTACTTAAGAGTGTTGATGTCTTGTGAACAGAGATATAAGGAACCATTCTCCATCCTTCCTTATCATGCTGGGTACAATGCTTCTATGAATATTTCCATGTATTTTGACTGGGGAGAGGCATGGAGAAGAAACTCTCATTCAGGGGCTCCAGGATCCTTCTCCTTGAGGCTTCTAAATAAATGGCAGAATTCTTGCTGTATTGCCATGATGTCACCCTGGCCATGTGTACTGACTTGAGGAGATCTTGCAACATGGCCATGTGCAAGGCTTTAAGGAGTGAGAGAGATGTGTACATATCTTAGGAGGGTTATCTATGTTATCTGAGTATATGTTTGGGTAACCAAATTGGTCTTAAAAATGATGTTAACCCAAGAAGTAGACATCAAAAATTAAAAAAAAAAAAAGGAATGTGTTTTCATTGTTTTAAGTTTTTCTTCTGAGTAAAACAAAATTATAGAAAACAAATGCAACAATGTGCACATCTGACTTAAGAGTTTCATTTCTGTTATTATATGTGTTGCATGTAGCTTGGCGATTTACTGTGTAATGAATAATAGACTGGAACATCTACCAATAACTTTCACATAAATGTTCAAAATAGAAGTGTATTTTTTCAGGTTTCTGGAAATAAATAGTAAAATAAATGGCACAAATAGTTTCAATAAATTTACCAATTTGAGTGTTTTCAGCTCTATTTCAAAACTCATAACTAATCTTCAGAATTACTGAATTTCCTTTTGAACTGGGTAAGGCATTATCCAAGCAACTTCACATACTATTTAAACATGATTTCTCGGTAATTATATATTCTGGGCAAATAACATAAACATGTCAGGATTTTTACAGGTGTTAGTGAATTTTTCTAAAAAGATGAGACAAAAGCAAAAATATCACACATAGGTTTTTATGACTATGAATACAAAGATAATGCTGATTCACAATTAGCTATGGGTAAGTCCAAAACATCAGACCTTTTACTGATGGGTTAACTAGGTGAAAGAAATGGGCCCTTATTTTTTTTTTTCCCTAGAGGCAGAAAGTTACTTCTAATGATCTATATAGCTAAAACGAAAAATACCTGAAAGTTAATACATACATATGTAGATATATTTTGTTATGTGATAAATGTTTCTTGTTTGCACACTTTTGGACTTGAGAAATCTGCTTTTGTTTTGTGCCTACTCTGAGTTTAGAACCCAAATAAGAGGACTTGTTAAATATAGAGTGTACTTTTTGTTAAAACTATTGCTAGCTTCACCTGTATACCATCATTGTTCCAAATTAAATAACTGTTTTGGGTCAGAATATAAATGCTGGGAATATACATTTTATTACTTCTTAATCTGGGTGTCAAAGATTTTACCACCTGGTAAATAATGTTGGACTTCAACTTGTTACTGGCACATTTTAATAGTAGATGAAACATGTTTTTCTTGGTTATGTGAATAAATGTATGTTGTGCTCTTCATACTTGTTGGATTGTATAGAGATTAAATAGTGATATGTATATTTTGTTGTTTGCTTTGGTATGCAACTCATGTAATTTTAGTGCTTTGACTAGCTTAAAACTTCAAACAAGTAATTTTATAATAAAGTTGGACTAATGTTTTTCAAGAGTGATTATTTTTAGAAGGACCATATAAAACTTGAAACGCTTGAACCTAAACTCCCGTTTTATCTGCTACTGGATGAGAAGAATTTCAACTTAATTTCCATTATTACCTTTTGCTCTCCCACCCTGCCCAATCTTCTGTGATATCTTCTCTCTTTTACCTGTGTCTCAACTTACCTAGGCAAGTCATAATTTAGATAGAAATCTGATTTCCCAAACCTCCAGGTTTAGATATATCATTCAGAAAAGCCTCAATGTGTCTGTAATAAGAAACAATCTCCAAATTACAGCGCCATAAACTTCACAAAAGTTTGTATCTCCCACATGGTTCCTGTCCACTCTGAAGGGGAGCTCTGCTGTTGTAATCACTCAGAGAACTCAGGTGAAAAAACAGCCACCATTATATGTGGCTGTTTCTCAAACTACAGAGCATGGTGAATCACACACAGGCTGTTAGAATATCCATCTGGAGGCAACACACATTTGCATACACTTCTCCAGCTAACATAAATAATGTGGCTTTACTAACTTCCCAGGGGGCAGCTAAGTGCAATACTATATGTTAGGAAAACGGAAACTAATTTGTAGACAGCACTAATGATTTCCACATTAGGTAAAAAAAATTTTCATTCTTGTCTTCCTAATAGCATTTAAACAGAAACGATTTTTAAAAGTTGTTTTAAACATTTAGAAACATCATGGCATAGAAACATTTAGGACTCACTCTTTGTAAGTACTGACAAGCATGGTCTTGTAATCTGTAAAGATAAGGTAGAATAAATGAACTAAAAGAAATTTTAGATGACTAAAAGGACTATATAATAGAAAGAGGGAAATCTTGGTTCTTAAAAATTCAGGCAATTGAAACATTTCTGTATAATACCAAGCATTGTTGCAGTATTGTCTGAAATGGTTGCTTTTCTAATAAATGAAAATGACTAAAATGTATTTTGCCTTTGCACTTTTAATTTCCCTATAATAGCATATATTTACCTTGATATAAAGGTAATTTACTGAGTTCTATCAAATTATTGGAAAAGCTGAAGTATAATCGCACTGGAACAAGATAAAACTGTACATTCCTTTTCTTTTCTTTTTTTCCAAGTGGGAATAGTGCCTTCATTTTGAACTCAAACATGACAGTACATGAAGTAAGTCAGAAACTTGGTAAAATTAAGTCTTAGCAATCTTGAGATGTAGTTTCATATAAACCAAATGTTGTGTTCTGAGCTTCAACTGAAAGTTATTGCACAGGATTTTTGGCAGAGCTGTCTTTCTGCCCTGCATAAATATAAACTGAAAGCAATGTGATGAAGATATGATATGTGATTATGAGAAAGTCATTTGAAGGTTTTTATGCTATTAGTCTCATATTTGCTAAAGTATATTTTCAGTAAACAATCTAGATAGTTTATGAGAAAATCATGAACATTTCACTTTATATTTATCTTACATTAAAGAAGAGGCAGAATACTGAAATCTGAAGGAACTATATCTTAAATTTGAAGTGCACTTTAAATTTTAACAAGGATCGAAACTCAATCTTAGTGTTTCACATTTAACTTGAATTATTTTCAATGTCTGATTTGTAAAACCCCAAATTAACAAAATGCATTGTGTTGTTGTAGTGCTAAGCTCTACATTAAATGAGGTAATCTTGTACTAGTATATAGTTACATAATTTTAGTTTTAGAAAGTGAGGCCATGCTAGACATACGTTGTACTGAAAATTTTTATTTCAATAGTCCATGTCAGTACATAAAAGTATTCTTTTCAACAGCTAGATAGTTGTATTAGTCCCTTTTCATGCTGCTAATAAAGACATACCTGAGACTGAGAAGAAAAAAAGGCTTAATGAACTTACAGTTCTACACAGCTGTGGAGGCCTCACAATCATGGAGGAAGGCAAGGAGGAGCAAGTCACATCTTACATGGATGGCAACAGGCAAAGAAAGAGCTTGTGCAGGGAAACTCCAATTTTTAAAACCATCAGATCTGGGGAAACCCATTCACTCATGAGTGGCATGGAAAGACCTGCACCCATAATTCAATCACCTTCCCACTGGGTTCCTCCCAGAACACATGGGAACTGTAGGAGTTACAATTCAAGATGAGATTTGGGTGGGGACACAGCCAAATCATATCAATAGTATTACATAATATGAATTTGTATCATAATTTAAATAACAATTTTCATTTGTTTCCAGTTATTTCCTTTTTTCTTTTCTTTTTCCTTTTTTTTTTTTTTTTTTTTTTTTTTGAGATGGAGTCTTGCTCTGTCACCCAGGCTGGAATGCAACGGCGTGATCTCAGCTCACTGCAACCTTTATCTCCTGGGTTCAAGCAATTCTCCCGCCTCAGTAGCTAAGATTAAAGGTGTCAGCCACCATGCCCAGCTAATTTTTTTGTATTTTTATAGAGACGAGGTTTCACCACGTTGGCTAGGCTGTTCTTGAACTCCTGACCTCAAGTGATCTGCCTACCTCAGCCTCCCAAATTGCTGGGATTATAGGCATGAGCCACTGTGCCCAGCTCCCTCTTTCAAATAATGCTATTTCAATATGTATGTTCTTATATTTCTATCTATCTTAGCAATTTGCAGAATCACCAGATTAGACACGCTCATTTTCAATGTAGATATGTACTGCTAAAATATGTATTGTGCACTCCCATTCTCTTCTAAGAAACAATGCTTGCTTCTTGGTATTAACCACTGTGTATTTTAGCAATCTATTTTTACCAGTTTAATAGACTAAAATTAAATCATATTTAAACCATACTTTATGTTACTTGTATATTCCATTGCTAATAAAGTTGAGGCATCTTTTCATACATTGGTAAGTCATTTATACCACCTCTGTGAATTTCCTGTTCTTGACTTTTTTCCATTTTCAATGTTTTTTTTTGACTTGCAGTAAGACTGTGTATATTAAGGATATTGCCCTTTTATTTTTTATATATAATATTGTTTGGCTGTGTCCCCACCTAAATCTCATCTTGAATTCCCACATGTTGTGGGAGGGACCCAGTGGGAGGTAATTAAATCATGGGGGCAGGTCTTTCCCATGTTTTTCTCATGATGATGAATAAGTCTCAGGAGATCTGATGGATTTAGAAATGGGAACTTCCCTGCACAAGCTCTCCTTGCCTGCTGTCATCCACATAATATGTGACTTGCTCCTCCTTGCCTTCCACCATGATTGTGAGGCCTCCCCAGTCATGTAGAACTGTAAGTCCAATAAATCTCTTTCTTTTGTAAATTGCCCAGTCTCGGGTATGTCTTTATCAGCAGCATGAAAACAAACTAATACAATATATGTTACAATTTTTTTTCCAGGCTGCCATTTTATTCTGCAGTGAGGGTATTTTGTTGGTTTGTTTTTTACCATGTAAGAGTTTTACAAAATTTTACAAAGTTTTAAGTGAGACTTATCTTTTGTAGATTCTTTGATTTGTTTCCTGTTTAGAAAACATTTCTCTCCTCAAAAATTATAAATATATCCCCATTGTCATTTTCTACAATTAGAGTTTTGTTTTACCTTTAGTTTTTCTAGATTTTATGGAATTTTTTTTTGTGTCTCATGTGAGTTAGAAATTTTGTTTTCCCATAAACGTATAGCCAATAGACACCCCAATAGTTTTTAAGCTACATACTTGAAATCTTACTTTAGGTAGTGTATTAGTCCATTCTCACATTGCTATAAAGAACTACTGGAGACTGGGTAATGTATAAAGAGGTTTAATTGGCTCACAGTTTCACAGGCTATATGGAAAGCATGACTGGGGAGGCCTCAGGAAACTTACAGTCATGGTGAAAGGGAAGCAGGCATGTCCTACATGGCTGGAGCAGGAGGAAGAAAAAGAAGGGGGAGTTGCTACACACTTTTAAATAACCAGATGTCATGAGAACTCACTATCATGAGAACAGCAAGGAGAAAATCTGCCCCGAAGATCCAATCACCTCTCATCAATCTCCTCCAACACTGGGGATTAAATTCAACATGAGATTTGGGCAGGGACTCAAATCCAAATCATATGAGGTAGGTTTCTGTGACAGTCACTATGGGACTGAACCAAGGAGGATGAACACCACTTGTGACAGTTACTACTAGACTGAAAGAAAGAGGATGAATGCAGTAATGAAAACTTAAGACAAAAGAATCTGTTTTAAAGAAGGGGTCAGGGGGCTCCTTGCTTCTAGTGGGCAAAGGCCTTGAGCTTCCACGGCCCTCTGTATTTATTGGGTAGAAAGAGCAGGGAGGATGAGGTAATGGTTGGTCAGCTGCTTGGTTGATCACTCATTCACATTATTGCTAACAGGCTTCAGATGTGCCTAATCACAAGAAACACTTGCATCTGAGGCGTGACTGCCCTCAGCACTCCCTCTGGGTGGCAGACGCAGTTTGTCAGTTTGCCAACATTCTGCATTTATGAGAAGAGTTTGCTGTTTACTCATATAGCCTCCAGTGGTATACTGAGCTGATCACAACCCTCATTCTTTCAGCCTCCAACAGGTTTCCATTAGTCTTTTTGAAATATTGAATTTATCTCATCTGGCCTCTGTTATTTACTCAGATTGGGAAACACTAGTAAGACCATAAAATAATAAAAATAATACTACCCTTAGTATTCAACATTGACCTTAAGACCTATCACAGGTTTTTCTAGTAAAGAACATAATTTTATGCAATACCATTTTCCCTTTTTGCCAGATGTCTGCTATGACCAACAGCATTGAGTTTCCAGATGGCTAAGTGGGGGTAGTTAGGAGCTGTATTGGGTTGCTAGGGATGCCATAACAAAGTAATGCAGACTAGGTGGATTAGAACAGAAATTTATTTCCTTACAGTTCTGGAGGCTAGAAGTCTAAGAACAAAGTGTGGGCAGGTTTGGTTTCTTTGGAGGCCTGTCTCTTTGTCTTGTAGATGATTATCTTCTCCCTGTGACTTTATATGGTCTTTCCTCTGTGTGTGTGTGTCTATGTCTCAGTCTCCTCTTCTTACAAGAACACCAGATTAGGGTTTAGTCTAGTGGCATTATTTAATACGTATCTCTACAAAGATCCTACTTCCAAAAACAGTCACATTTGGAGGATTTGGGATTAGAACTTCAACATATAAATTTTGGCTGGATGCAATTCAGTCTGTAACAAAAGTATAGTTAGTGTTGTTGAGATAAAGCTATGCTAACTGGTCCACACAGGTATTGAGCCTGTTAACTTGGGTTTATTGGCCCTACAGCTAATCTAGTTGCTCTGAAACATTAGCATGCAACTTTTTAGATGGAGGATTTACTAAATCAGATGGTGGGGTCCCACATCAGTGACTTAATTCAGTTGGTCTAGGGTGGGGCCAGATAATTTACATTTCTAACCAGGTCCCAGGCAATGCTAATCTTAGGAACAGACTTTGAGAACCACTGGCCAAATCAACTAGGCTAAGCAGCTATATGGCATGATATGAAATATATAATAACCATGAAGATTTTTTTGAGACAGGTTCCACTCTGTTGCCCAGGCTGCAGTGCAGTGGCACAATCATGGCTCACTGCAGCTTCAACTTCCAGGCTCAAGCCATCTCCCACCTCAGTCTCCTGAGCAGCTGGGTACAGGTGCACACCACCATGACTAGGTAATTTTTTAAAAATTATTATTTATTTTTTGTAGAAACAGGATCTTACTGTATTACCCAAGATGGTTTCCTGGGCTTGAGCAATCCTCCCACCTTGGCCTCCCAAAATGCTGGGATTACAGGCATGAGCCACCTTGCCCAGCCTCATGGAGCTTTTTGATAATGCAAAGTTGCTCCACTCTTTTAGTACTGGCAATTTCATCAGTTTCCTAAATTGTATTTTTTGCCTCAACACCAAACCATTTAGACCTGAAAAATGTAAAAGCTGTGCAGAAAGAGGCAAGAACATGAGATTATATCAATTGACAGTAAAAAATGTACATAAAAAAACAAAACACATAAGTGAGTCAAGTGTTGGCTGGTCTAAAATCTCTTATTAGTTTCAAAAGGATTATTGTCATCATGTAGACAGGCAAAATTCCCATAGTCATCTCTGGGAATATTGCTTATATTTTATTATTTTAACTAAAGCTTTTCTTCTTTTTAAAAATTCCAGGTCATTTGGATTAATTTTACGTTTTCATTCTTACACTTTCAATGTTTATAATCTTCTTTGATCCTTGTATTTTCCACTCTTGTTTTAGTCCAGTTGGTCTTAAGATAATTTCCTACTCTAGTAAAATAAGTCTTTAATAAGTTGTTGGCTCTTCATGGGGATACTGGGTATTTATTTTCCAAATAAAATATAAAGCTGATCCTTTTCTTCTGGAGCAAGTAAATTATTAAATGGATTTTATTCAAAATAATTAGAATGACAGTTGAGAATAAATGAATCAAAACCAAATAAAAATACTTGAACACAAAATGCCATTCTAAAGACATTAAAAATACAGAGTCTTTTATGCAATTCCAAATACATGGTATTTCAAAGGTAAGGAGAAGCAGAAAAGCTAACTGCAGAAGCAAAAGTCCAGGCTATGCTTTTTCAAGACATTATTTCCATCCAGGAAAGTTTCTCTCCTTCCTAAGAAGAATATGTCATTGGCTACTATGAAGTTTACAAAGAATATTAAACATACACACAGATTAAAATGTTTTAGTCATTTTAAATGTTATTGTTCTGAAATCTCCATGCAAAGTATCCTAATTCATAAATTGGAACTATTCAAGGAGTAGAAAATGGCAATAGTATACAATTTTTTTGAAGATTGTGACGTTTGTCATCACTTTATGATTTGGGTTTTATAAGATTAGTGATTTCCTCACAGAGCTACTCAAAAGAAAATATAAAACAGGAGCTAAAAAGTGTGAGAATTAAAGAAGCTAAAATTAGAAGTATTACATAGTTATTTGCTTTCCTAATTGTGGGTAAGCAGATATTAAAATTGTGCTTTAGTGATGCTTTCAGAGATGTCTTAGGAAATAATGGCATTTTCCATGAGGTAAAATTCTCCAGAAAATCTAGCTATGGCTCCTGAGGCTCTTACCCTTTTTCTGATTTGTGGCACATTTCTTCCAGCCCTTATTAATCACACTAATCAGAAACTTGTGATACTCAGAAAAGGTTTTACAAGAACCCCATGTGCCAATGCCCAGAAGTTCAACAGAGCTTAGAATTATGTGGTGGTGTGCTTTTGGGCTGTAATATAGTCCAACTGTAGAATCAACTGGCTTTTGCCTTCTATGTTCCCTAGTCACGTTGTTAGCTCATTGTCTGTGCCTGTGAAGGTAGATAGCTAGTCCTCTACTGATTTAAGCTGATATATGGCTTATGTCCTACTAAACTGTAAACATATTTTGAATCAGCTGACCCTTAGCAGAATAGTCTACCATGGACTGTAATTCAATTCAGAATTAAGACAGCAATTCATTCTGACCTAATGAGGCAACATCAACCACTTAGCCCATGGACTGGAAGTGCTATCACTCCCTTGTACATGTGTTTAGGAACTTTCCAGATTCCTGGAGGAGGATAAGTATGGGGAAAGACGGGGGAAGGATTTTAATGTCTGTAGTCTCAGAAGAAAAACTTGCAGATTTCAAGAATAGAAGATGATCTGTCATCATATTACAACATTGCCTTTGGAAATAATTTAATTCTCATTAAGTATTACCAGTAATTCTTTACAAGATTATAACCACCCCCTGAAATTCAACTTTCAATTGTAATTCTGAGTAAATTTTGCAAGTAGGTAAGAGTGTCATTATCAAACTTTAAAATATTAACACCATCTGAAAAAAACGCCTGTGGTTAGACCTCCGCTTGACTAATGGCATATTTTTATTTATAGATACAAGCCCTTTGCTCTAATAATAAAGAGATGGTAGGTGGTTATTGAGTCCCAACATGTGAGCTTCTAACTTTGCTTCATTGCATTGGCCACTGCAGGCAAAGTATCATCATGCCTTAATTGATGTATAGCTGTCTGGGTGTTTTTTTTTACCCCTACCTTTTCATTCCCCTAAGGGTTACCACTGAGTTTTGAATTTTCTCCTAAAATATAATTATGACTGTTGTACTTACCTGTTTTGAATTATTTTTATTCTTCATTGTTTACAGAATAAGATCCAAACTACTTAGCATGATAATCAAAGATCTTCATTATCTTGTCTTTAGTGGATCCTTCCTGGAGAATCTAATCAGCCTATAAATCACCCTCCCCTCTCTGAGATTTCTGAGTCTTTTTCTGTCATGATCAGAGGTGTCTACCAGTAACTACGTTTATACTCTGTGACTGCCTGGATTTGACCATGTTTACACCTGTTCATTAGCCATAAAAATAAGATTCTCTTGCCTGGAAGTTTTAGATTTGTAACCTTCACAATTATTTAATTTGATCCTTACTGTGGTATTATTATATGACTGTATTATTATGTCATCTTAAATAGACAAAAACACTACAGCTTGAAGAAACTATTTGCTAAAATCCCAGAGAGGATTAAAACATCAGCCTCTTAAGATTCAGGCTACACTGCTGCCATGAAAAAAAAACTTAAAATATGGTGTTATAATTAAAAAGCCTAATTTATAGGTTGGACACTGGTACCATTATTAATAATTCCATTTGTCTAATGTTATTTAAAAGTAACTGGGAAGTCCTAGCCAGAGCAATCAGGCAAGAGTAAGAAACAAAAGGCATCCACATAGGAAAAGAAGAAGTCAAACTATCTTTCTTCATAGATAATATGATTTTATACCTACAAAACCCTAAAGACTCTACCAAAAGGCTCCCAGAACTGATAAATGACTTCAGTAAAGTTTTAGGATACAAAATCAGTGTAAAAAAACCTAGCATTTCTGCACACCAATAATGTTTAAGCTGAAAGCCAAATTAAGAACATAATCCCATTTACAATAGCCACACACACAAAATAATTCGCCTATGAATACATCTAGCTGAGGAGGTGAAATATCTCTACCAGGAGAAAACATCCTAAAAGAAATCAAAGATGACACAAAGAAATGAAAAAAAAACATTCCATGCTCATGGATTGGGCAAATCAATATCATTAAAATGGCCCTAACTGACCAAAGCAATGTATAGATTCAACACTACCCCTATAAAACTACCAAAGTCTTTCTTCATAGAAATAGAAAATAACTATTCTAAAATACACATGGAACCAGACAAGAACCCAAATAGCCAAGCAATCCTAAGCAAAAAGAAGAAAGCCATAGGCATCACAGTACCTGACTTCGAATTATATTGTAAGGCTACAGAAGTAAAAACAAGATTGTGCTGGTTAAAAAAAAAAAGAGAGACACATAGACAAATGGAAAAAATAGAAACTCAAGAAAAAAATAAAGCTGCATACCTATAGCCATCTGATGTTTAACAAAATCAACAAATATAAGCAATGGGAAAAGGACACCCTATTCAATAAATTGTGTTGGGTTAGCCGGCTAGCCAAAAGCAGAAGATTGAACCTGCATCCTTATCTTCCACCATATGCAAAAATTAACTCAACATGGATTAAAGAGTTAAATATAAGACCTCAAACTATAAGAATCCTAAAAAAAACCTAGGAAACGCCATTCTGGACATCGGCCTTGGGAAAGAATTTATGACTAAGTCCTCTAACACAATTACAACACAAACAAAAATTGACAAGTAGAAGCTAATTAAAGAGCTCTGCAAAGCAAAAGAAACTATCAGCAGAGTAAACAGACAACCTACAGAATGAGAGAAAATATTTGCAAACTATGCATCCAGCAAAGGTCTCATATCCAGAATCTATAAAGAACTTAAATCAACAAACAAGAACCAAATAAACCCATTAAAAAATGAGCAAAGAACACGAACAGACATTTCTCAAAAGAAAACATACAAGCAGCCAACAAACATGAAAAAATGTTCTATATCACTAATCATCAGATAAATGCAAATCAAAACCACAATGAGATACCATTCTTTGCACAGCAGTCAGAATAGGTGTTATTAGAAAGTCAAAAAAACAACAGATGCTGGCAAGGGTGAAGAAAAAAGGAAATGCTTATGTTACCTGATGGAAGGTCTTGTCTACGAGTTGTCCAGGTTCTTGGTGCATCCAACAAAGAGTTGAACAAAATGCAAAAAGAAGGCAACAAAAGAATGAAGCAATGAAAGAGGAAGCATCAAAAGTGAGATTTATCTAAATGAAAGTACACTCCAAAGAGTGGGAGCAGGCTTGAGCAAGTAGTTCAAGAGCTCTGATTACAATGTTCTTTAGCGGTTTTACTAAGCTAAAAGAATTTGGTAACATGCCTAAGTGCCGTTTAGAGGCCTCCAATTGGTTACACCCTATGAAGGAATGGCTGGTGACCAATCAGAGGCTAAGTAGAGACTTGGCCTGTGGTCAATCAGAGGCTGAAGTGGAAACTTCTGTCTTGTTATACAGGAGCAGGCTGTCTGCTGCCTAATCTTTCCTAGAACTAGATGCACCTGCGGTTCTTTTGCTTCTCCCTTAACCCTTGGTTACCCTAATTCTCTATTCTCCTACCTCACTTATATATACACTGTTGGTGGGAATGCAAATTTGTTCAGCCCCTGTGGAAAGCAGTTTGGAGATTTTTCAAAGAACTTAAAACAGAACTATCATTCAATCCAGTGATCCCAATACTGGGTATACATCCAAAAGAAAACAAATCATTCTACCAAAAGACACATGTGCTCATATGTTCATTGCAGCACTATTCACAATAGCAAATACATGGAATCAACCTAGGTACCCATCAACAATGGACTGGATCAAGAAAATGTGCTACATATGCACCACAGAATACTACACAACCATAAAAAATAACAAAATTATGTCATTTGCAGCAACATGGATGCAGCTAGAGGCCATTATCCTAAGTAAATTAGCACAGAAACAGAAAACCAAATACAAAATGTTATTGCTTATAAGTCAGAGCTAAACACTGGGTACAAATGAATGTAAAGATAGGAGTAATAGAAACTAGAGACTATTAGAAGGTGGAGGGTGGGATGGGGGGCAAGTACTGAAAAGGTAACTATTGGGTACTATGCACAGTACCTGGGTACCTGGGTGATGGGATCATTTGTAGCCTATACTTCAGCATCACACAATATAGCTAGGTAAATAAAGTGCACATGTACCCCCTGAATCTAAGATAAAAGTTGAAAAAAATAAACGTGTATTTTATGTTTAGTATACTACCCCAAATACTACTCATCAAATTTTTTGTCTTTCCAGAAATATGCCTAGCCACTTTATCTCTGCATTTTAAACATATTAACTAAAAAAGTCAAGGTAAATGTATATGTAAAAATATTTATTTCCAGTTCATAATTATCTTTAAGAAATCTTTGAGCAATAAAGTCACTTGACATTATTGATGCAAGTGTACTTCTATACCAATTGCAAGAGGTAGCTGGGAAAGGGAGAGATGGATACGTGTATGTAAAAGGAAGAGAGGTGGGAAATATATTTTTAAAAGTATACTCTATCCTAGGTATTGTACTAGGTATAATTTCTTAATCCTCAAAAAAAATGAGATAAGTATTATTATCAGTATTTCACAATGAATCTGAGGAAAAGTGTCTTGTACATTTCTAAAAGGATTTATACTTTTTAATTTTTCCCAGAGCAGATAAGAGGCTTTTAGTGTGCCTCAGTCACTTGGAAATAGCGAAATAGTGGGAAAACACCAATTTACATGGTTTGGCTACGTCCCAACCCAAATCTCATCTTGAATTATACTCCCATAATCCCCACGTGTTGTAGGAGGAAACTGATGGGAGATAATTGAATCATGGGGGCAGTTTCCCCCGTAGTGTTCTCCTGGTAGAATAAGTCTCATGAGATCTGATGGTTTTATCAGGGTTTTCTGCTTTTGCCTCCTCCTCATTCTCTCTTTGCCTGCTGCCATCCATGTAAGATGGGACTTGCTCCTCCTTGCCTTCCACCATGATTGTGAGGCTTCCCTAGCCACGTGGAGCTGTAAGTCCAGTTAAATCTCTTCCTTTTGTAAATTGCCCCGTCTCCAGTATGTCTATATCAGCAGCATGAAAACGGACTAATACACCAACTCTATTTCTTTAATTCAAAAAAGAAAAAAGGAATTTACTAGAATAGTGAAGGATACCCCAGATCCTGGGGAGGTGACAGTTGATGAACAGCTCCCAGGACAGCATCAGGCTGATGAAAGTGAGTGAAGCTCCAGCATGAACGAGGGGCAGAGGCTCCCATTGTGACTCACCTTTCCACTAGGGATCCAAGCAACCCAGGCCAAGGGAGAGCACCTTGTTTCTCCAAAGCCCTGGGGGAAATGTTGGGAGAAGTTTGGAGATGCAGAGAGGGAAAGACACTGGGAAAAGCTGTAGGCATTTTCTCAGATCCAGGACTTAAAGCAGGATGCCAGTTTTCACCTGGGCTCATGCAAAGTAAGCCATTTTTTAGCAACCCAGCAGTGTGGCCAAGCAAGCATTCCAGTCAGGTCAGAGATTGGTGCACTTACTCTGGAGTGGGACAGGACCCCACAGCCAGAATTGAGTGACAAATGTGGAAAGCATCCCAGCAGTAGGCACTGGAATTGGGCTGTCTTCCATCACAGGTCTGAAGTGGGAGGAGAGTTTCTGAAGCCATTTTTTTCTCCTAGATGGTGAGATCTGCAGCCAGGGTCAGCTTTGCATCCTGGAACCAGTCTGTGTGTGTCATTGCTAGGTGCCCCAGCCTACTTTCCTGAGATCATGGTGCAGTAGCAATCTCTCTGTTTCACACCCAGGTGTATCTCCAGGTGCTTGGAGCACCCTCTCACCAGGATTAGCAGCCTGAGCTGCCCCTCTCTTCCTGTGCAGAAATCCTGGTGCAGTAGCACACTCTCTGTTCCACACATAGCAGGCCTCTGGTGCACCTGCCCTCCTGGAACAGGAAGTTGAGCTGCCATCCCCGACCCATGTAAAAAACTTGGTGTAGTGGCACTCCCTCCACTCTATACCCAGATATAACGTCAGGCATTTGGCACACCTGTTCCCGTAGATTAGGATCTTGGGCTACCTCTCCCTTCCCATGCAAATACCTTGTGGCAGTGGTTTCTCTGCTTCTTCTATGGACATATCACCCAGGATGAGGTGCACCTGCACCCCTAGAGTAGGTGTCTGAGCCACGCTTCCCATCCCCTGCAAAGACCTTGTTGCGGCACCAGTTTCCTCCTTGCCAGAGCAGATTTCCAGGCACTTGGCACATGTACTAGCTTGGATTAGGAGCCTGGGCTACCCCTCTTTTTAGATGCAGAAATCTTGGTGCAGCAGCGTTTTCTCCTCTCAATGCCCAGACCTATCTCCAGGCATTTGGAGCACCCATTCTTTTAGATTAGAAGTTTAGGCTGCCCCCTCATCCCCATGCAGGGAACTTGGAGCAGAGGATGTTTCTCAACTCCATGCCTAGGCACACGTCTGGATGCTAGGTGGCTGTGCACTGGATCCCTTGGAGCTGGTATTTGTGCCTGCCGTTGGGGGACTTATAGGTGGGCCAACCTAGTTCAGCCCTGCCCAGCTTGGTCCCATTCTCCAGAGCTGAGCCGGGAGCCCAAGGCAACAGAGCTTTTTCTCAGTAAACAAGGACCAGGTATATATCCATCGGTATTGGCTACACAGCCAGGTCTTACCCAGAAAAGCCACCAACTGGCCTGCAGGTTGAAGGGCGCAGCACAATAGGAAACCTGCTAACACAAGTGCACAACACTGGTGAATGAGATAGGCTCCCTGGGACCACTGCCACCTCAGTCTGCTAGGAGGCATTGAGCCTGCTCACGTGCCCAGTACATCACTACTACAATCAACATTTGGGAAAGCCACCATGCAAGGCTATCTGCAACCAAGGAACTTTATGCAGACTCTTTGCCATGGAGAACACTCAGAACCAGAGATCTAACCCCCAGCGCAGTCTTCACCTAATGAATGGGAATTACAGCCTGCCTAAGTCCATCTTGGGCCAATGGAAATGTGGGCCAACACCAGCTGCTGAAGGTGGCACTGCCAAAGCTCAGGAACCGATGTGGAGAGGGGTTCATCTCTTGCCCTCTACCTCTCTCCTGAGTGCACTGCTGATGACTTGGCAGTGGTTCTTCCCACTGGGGCCCACAGAGTCAAGGTTGAAAGAGACTGCTGGGGTTTCTAAGGCGGCTTTACCCCAAATAAAGGCAAACACACTCAGGGGAGGAAGCTTTTCATGCTTCTCCTTTGCCTCCGCCCCACCCCCTCTCCCTGCCCGCTCTTACTCTTAAGTGTCACCTACTGGATTGAAGCCTGAATTACACCATCAAACAAAAATATATTGCTGCAACAAGCAAAGCCTGAGAAAGCCACTGCACGAACCTATCTGCAGCCAAAGAACCTGCACAGAGCCTTGGCACCCTGAGCGCACCCCAAAATGAAGCCAATCCATACATAAAATACTCTACAGTCATATTCCCAAGGGAAAACAAGAATAGAAAATCAAAAGGCTTTATTCAGATGATAGCAAATTCAATAAAAAAGTGTCAGCTTTCTCAGATGAGAAAGAACCAGCACAAGAACTCCAGAAATACAAAAAGCCAGAATGTTTTGTTAACTCCAAAGAATCCCACTAGCTCCCAAGTAATGGATTCTAACAAGAATGAAATGTCTGAAATGACAAATATAGAATTCAGAATACGGGTGGCAAAGAAACTCAATGAGATCCAAGAGAAGTTGAAATCCACACAAAACCAGAAAAACAATCCAAGATTTGAAATAGAACATGACTATTTTCACAAAGAACTTCTGGAATTAAAAAATTCACTGGAGGAATTTCTAAATACAGTTGTAAGCCTTAAGAATAGACTAGACCAAACAGAAGAAAGAATTTCAGATTTCAAAGACTGTATCTTTGAATCAAACCAGTAAGACAAAAACAAAGTAAAAAGAATTTTAAAAAATGAACAAAGTTCTCAAGAAATATGGGATTATGTAAAATGACCAAATATATGACTTATTGGCATTCTTGAGAGAGAAGAAGACAAAGCAAGCAACTTGTAAAACTTATTTGAGGACATAATCCTGGAAAAATTTTTCAATGTTGCTGGAGAGGTCAACATGCAGATATAAGAAATCCAGAGAACTCCTACAAGATAATATGCAAGATGACTATTGCCAAGTCATATAGTCATCACATTATCCAAGGTCAAAGTGATAGAAAAAATATTAAAGACAGTTAAAGAATAGGGTCATGTTGTCTGTAAAGGGAAACCCATAAGATTAACAGCAGACTTCTCAGCAGAAACCTTGAAAGCCAGAGAAGATTGGGGGGCCCACTTTTAGCACTCTTAAAGGAAATAAATGCCAGCCAAGAATTTCATATATCTGTTCAAACTAAGCTTCATAAACAAAGGAGAAATAAAGTATTTCCCAGACAAATAATGGTTAAGGGAATTTTCACCCCCCAGACCAACCCTACAAGAGATGCTTAAGGCTTAAGGGAATTCTAATTATGGAAATAAAACAATGGTACTTGCCACCATAAAAGCACATGCAAACACATAGCCCAAGAACCTTATAAGTAACTACATGATTGAGACTACAAAGGAACTAGCTAACAGCACTGTGACAGGAATAAAATCTCACATATCAATATTAATCATAAATGTAAATGACCTTAATGCCCCACTTAAAATACATGAAGTAAAAATTTGGGCTAAAAACTCATCCTTTTGCTGTCTTCAAGAGACCTACTTCACATGTAACAACACCCACAGACTCAAAGTAAAGGAATGGAGAAAGAACTATCACACAAGTGGAAAATGAAAAAGAGCAGAGGTCACTATTCTTCTATCAGATAAAATAGACTTTAAGCAAACAACAGTAAAAAAGGGATTAAGAAGGGAATTACACAATGATAAAAGGCTCAATTCAACAAGAAGATTTAAGTATTCATTTTTTTCCCCAAGGAAAGCTGTTGAAGGAAGATTTAAGTATTCTAAATATATATGCACCCAATATTGGAGCACACAGATTTATAAAACAATTACTTGTAGACCTAAGAAAAGATGTTGAAAGCCACCTGATAATAGTGGGGGACATCAAAATTCCACTGATAGCAGTAGATAGATCACTGAGGCAGAAAACTAACAAAGAAATTCTGGACTTAAATTTGACACTTGACCAATTGGACCCAATAGTCATCTACAGAATACTCCACCCAACAACCACAGGATGTACATTCCTCTCATTTGCACATGGAACACACTTTAAGATTAACCACGTGCTTGGTCATAAAGCAAATCTCAATAAATTCAAAATAATTAGAATCATACTAAGCATCTTCTTGGACCAGAGTAGAATAAAAATAGAAATCAATATCAAGAGAAACTCTCAAAACCAAACAAGTACATGGGAACTAAGCAACTTACTCCTGAATGACTTTTGGAAAAACAATGAAATTAAGGCAGAAATAAAAGAAATTCTTTGAAACAAACAAAAATAGAGACACAACATACCAAAACCTCTGGGATATGGCAAAAGTGTTAACATGAAAGTTTATAGCCCTAAATGCCTATATCAAGCAGATAGAAAGGTCTCAAATTAACAACCTAATCCCACAGATTAAAGAACTAGAAAAAGAAGAACAAATGAAACCCAAAGCTACCAGAAGAAAAGAAATAACATCAGAGAAGAGTTAAATGTAAGTGAGACCCACAAAACCATACAAAGGATGAATGAAATGAAAAGTTTGTGTTTTGAAAGGATAAACAAAACAGATAGACTGCTAGGTAGATTAACAAAGAAAAAAGAGAGAATAAACACAATGAGAAATAAGAAAAATAACATCACAACCAATCCCACAGAAATATAAAAGATGCTCAGAGACTGTGTGAACATCTCTAGGCACACAGACTAGCATACCTAGAGGAAATGAATAAATTCCTGGAAACACAACCTCCCAGGATTGAACCAAGAAGAAATGGAAATCCTGAACAGAGAAATAACAAGTAATGAAATTGAATGATTAGAAAAAAAACCCTATCAATCAAAAAAGCCATTCAAATGGATTCACAGCTGAATTCTACCAGATGTATAAAGAACTGATACCAATCCTATTGAAACTATTCCAAAATATTGAGGAGGCGGGACTCCTCCCTAATTCATTCTATGAAACCAGTATCATCCTGATACCAAAATCTGGCAAAGACACGACAAAAAAGAAAACTACAGGCCAATACCACCGATGAACACAGATGCAGAAATCCTCAATAAAATACTACCACACTGAATCTGGGAGCACATCCAAAAGTTAATTCATCATGATCAAGTGGGCCTTACTCTTGGGATGCAAGGTTGGTTATATATGGAAATCAATAAGTGTGATTCACCACACAGAATTAAAAACACAAATCATATGATCATATCAATAGACACAGAAAAACCATTCAATAAGATCCAACACTCCTTCATGATAAAAAGCTCTCAACAGACTAGGCATTGAAGGAACATATCCCCAAATAGTAAGACCCATCTATGACAAATCCACAGTCAACATCACACTGAACAGACAAAAGCTGGAAACATTCTTCTTGAGAAATGGAACATGACAAAGATGCCTAGTCTCAACACTCATATTCAATATAATACTGCAAAACCTAGCCAGAATAATCAGGCAAGAGAAAGAAAAGGCATCCAGATAGGAAAAGAGAAAATCAAATTATCTCTGTTTGCTGACATTATTCTATACCTAGAAATCCTTAGAGATTCACCCAAAAGACTTCTAGACTTGATAAATGACTTCAGCCAAGTTTCAGGATACAAAATCAATGTACAAAATACAGGAACATTTCTATACATCCATAACATGCAAGCTGAGAGCCAAATCAATACTTCAATTCCATTTACAATAGCCACAAAAAAGTACCTAGGAATACATCTAACCAAGGAGGTGAAGGATCTCGACACAAAGAACTACAAAACAATGGTGAAAGAAATCATACATGACATAAACAAATGGAAAAGCATTCCATGCTCATGGGTTAGAAGAATCAATATGGTTAAAATGGCCATACTCTTCAAAGCAATGTACAAATTCAATGCTATTCCTATCAAATTACCAAAGTGATTTTTTCCCAGAATTAGAAACAAATGGTAAAATTCACATGGAACCAAAAAGAGCCCAAATATCCAAGCAATCCTAATAAAAAGGACAAAGCTGGAAGCATCACATTACCTGATTTCAAACTATACTACAAGATCACAGTAACTAAAACAGCAGGATACTGGTACGAAAATAGACACAGACCAATGGAACAGAATGGAGCTCACTGAAATAAAGCCACATACTTACAACCAGCTGATCTCTGACAAAGCTGACAAAAAATAAACAATAAGGAAAGGATACCCTTTCAATAAATGGTGATGAGAAAACTGGCTAACATAATAAGCAGAAGAATAAAACTGGACCCTCTATGTATCACTAAATAAAAAATTAACTTGAGATGGATTACAAACTTAAATGTTAGACTGTTACATTCTAGATTTTATTCATCTGGAATGGAAATTATAGAAGAAAACTTAGGAAATACTCTGCTA
Source organism: Homo sapiens (assembly GCF_000001405.40). Taxonomy (NCBI): domain Eukaryota; kingdom Metazoa; phylum Chordata; class Mammalia; order Primates; family Hominidae; genus Homo; species Homo sapiens. The sequence continues at coordinate 78,558,361 of NC_000001.11, forward strand.
AACACTGGCATAGGCAAATAATTTATGATGAAAGCCCCAAAAGTAAATGCAACAAAAACAAACATTGACAAGTGGGACTTAAGTAAACTAAAGAGCCTCTGCACAGCAAAAAAAAAAAAAAAAATTATCAACAGAGTAAACAGACAACCTACAGAATGGGAGAAAATATTCACAAACTATGCATTTGACAAAGGTCTAATATCCAGCATCTATAAGGAGCTTAAATAAATCAACAAGAAAAAACCAAACAACCCCATTAAAAAGTGGGCAAAGGACATGAACAGACACTTCTCGAAAGAAAACATACAAACAGCCAACAAACATGAAAAAGTGCTCTACATCACTAATCATCCAAGAGATAGAAATCAGAACCACAATGAGATACCATCCTGCACCAGTCAGAGGCTATTATTAAAAAGTTAAAAAAAAAAAAAAAGAGATGCTGGAGAGGTTGTGGAAAACAGGGAATGTTTATATACTGTTGGTGGAAATACAAATTGTCTCATCCCCTTTGGAAAGCAGTTTGGAGATTTCTCAAAGAGCTAAAAATAGAGCTACCATTTGACCCAGCAATCCCATTATGGAGTACATATCCCAAGGAAAAGAAATCATTTTAGCAAAAAGACACATGCACTCATACGTTTACTACAGCACTATTCACAATAGCAAAGACATAGAATCAACCCAAGTGTCCATAAATAGTGGATTGGATAAAGAAAACGTGGTACATATACACCATGGAATACTATACAGCCATAAATAACAATGAAGTCATGTCCTTTGCAGCAACATGGAAGTAGCTGAAGGCTGTGATCCTAAGCAAACTAATATAGAAACAGAAATGCAGATATCACAAATTCTCACTTATATGTGGGAGCTAAATTTTGGGTTCCTATGGACATAAAGATAGAAACAGTAGTCACTGGGGACTCCAAAAGTTGGGAGGGAGGAAGAGAGGCAAGGGATGAAAAAATTCTTATTGAGTACTGCCTTCACTATCTGGGTGATGGGATCAATAGAAGCCCAAACCTCAGCATCATGCAACATATCCTTGTAACAAACCTGCATGTGTACCTCCAAATCTGAAATAAAAACAGAAATAAAAAAAAAGACAAATGGAAAAAAATAATGAAAGGCTTTGCACATTCATTACATCATAACTTTGCTATTAATGTTAATTTTGCAGAAAATTATGTTAGCAAAAAATAAAACGACAAACAATAACAACTAAGAAACTAAAACAAACAAATCAAAAAACTAGGAGAATTGTTCTGATAAAGTTTTTGTAGTCAGGATGTGAGAGACTCTAAGGTAGTCAAGTCTCTCCAGTGAGATCTGAATTTACCTGGAGTCTTGGGAAAATTTAGTGACTGTGAATTACTGAACTGTGGCATGTAAATGTGATGGCCAAAGTTTGAAAATCCAGTTTTAAACTATCTGCATCACTATCTGCACCACTTTCATGGGTGTAGATGGAAAAGGTTATTTACAGAAAAATCACACAGAGTGTATTAGTTCAGCATTTGAGGTTTCAGTTACAGAAATCACTCAGTCCTAGTTATTTGGTAACATTCTTATTCACTGGGAATGGCTATAGTGCAATACTCATGTTCTGTCTTTGACTTTGTTATTTTGTGCCTTCAGGATTCCTATATTCACACACTAGATTTTTAAACTGTAATATATGAAAAAAATAGCTCTTAATTGATGCTGTTTAAACAAAATTTTCCTTGGTCAAAAACTTTTGAGAAATTCATTCTTATTTTTTTTTTCAGGGCATGTCAAAATCTACACTAGGATAAAAACCTGTTTAACTTTGTTTAAAGACTTGACAATACATTAGCTACAGTAAAAAATGTTTTGCTTGATATATTAGGTTGACATAAAAGTAATTGCATTTTTTGCCATTAAAATTAATGGCAAAACTGCAATCGCTTTTGCACCAACCTATACTTACTGCAATTTCTTAACTAAGAATGAATTTTTTATTCTTTGGGAATGAAAGTCCTTGATAAGAAGCAAAACGTAGTCTCTGGCTGTTCTTAGTTATAATTTGTGACTTTTTCTGAGTACTACTACCTTAGATACCAATTAAATCAGAATACTTCTAGAGCAGAAAGCGATAAAATACTAAAGGTTTTAGGAGTCATCAATGCTACCATGTATATTTGATCTTTGAGACAATAACTCAAGATAGCTTATTGACTTCTGAACAATCATATTCACCAAAAAGAAGAATTACCAAGAAGAATGAAATAAAGTCACTTAGGGGACTGAATGAAGTAATGCTTACATTGTTGCTTTATTTTCCAGTGTTTACTTGCTTTTTCCTTAAGAGAATTGTATTTCTTGCTCTCACATTCTGAAGAAGTGCTTGATGTGGTTTCATCCTTGAATGTCTGAGACAGTTAGTAACCAAATAAGAAGATGTTACATGGAAGCTAGCTGAGAAGAAAAATGTTCCCAATATCTAATATAGATTTAAGAAATTTCTTCCAGCCAGCAGAAAATTTTTATCTAATACAAAATATGAACAACGCATCCATCTCTAATTCTTCTGCTTGCTCCTCCTACAGCAAATTATGTAAATCCAAGCATTGGTTAATAGTGAAAACATGTAATTAGCCCACAATATTAGGAAATCTGGTTCCCAGGATTAGTCACAACCAAGGGCAACCCAGTGGAAAGGCACAGTGTATTAAATATGTCTTTTACCAATTAAGTAGAAAATAGAGCAAACAAAATGGAAAAAGTAATAGGAGTATATGTCTCTCAGGCTAACTAGTTCATTTCTTTTATATGTCTGTTTGATTCCTTTTACATTCTTTTAGGATATGCATTCCTGGAAATATCAAAGATTAAGCTTTACAGACTATCAGACACGTGTGAGAATAATCACCAAAAAATCTTTATTTTTCAACTATAATATCATAGCTATGGTGCCTTTTTGTTGTCAATTACTTGGTGATATGGTTTGGCTGTGTCCCCACACAAATCTCATCTTGAATTGTGGCTCCCATAATTCTCACATGTTGCAATAGGGACTCAGTGGGAGATAATTGAATCATGGGGGTGGTTTCTCCCTTACTGTTCTCGTGGTAATGAATAAGTCTCACGAGATCTGACGGTTTTATCAGGGGTTCCGTTTTCTCTTGGCTCTCACTTTCTTTCTGGCCTGCCACCATGTAAGATGTGCCTTTTGCCTTCTGCCATGATTGTGAGGCCCCCCTGCCCCAGCCACATGGAACTGTGAGTCCATTAAACCTCTTTTTCTTTATAACTTACCAACTCTCAGGTATGTCTTTATTAGCAGTGTGAAAATGGACTAATACACGTGAAGAAGTAGAAGGACTGATTTCAGCCTGTTGCACAATTTGAGGTTTTTGAATGATCAAAGTTTTCCAGAAATGACTGTTACTCTTTCTGACTTCTGTTAACTCTTCCCTATGAGGCCGAAGCAAAAAGAGAAAGAGGGAAGGTGTACAATGGCATCACCACATTCATTGGTCAACTCACAGGACTGAAAATTTTCAATTTGAAGTGGGTTGTTTTTCCAGTGACTCTTGAAGGGAAGAAAAGTTTTTCCTACTTAGTAGAAAATATCAATTCGCTGTTAGAGTAGGCTTCCTTGTGATTTATCTACAACGGAACTTCTCTTTGCAGCTGTGGTGGATCCACCAAGAGCTTCACAGCTTCATTGCTGTTGCTTAATATGAGTCACACAGAATTTTTGAGGGAATAGGGAACCTATTGTCTTGCCACAGAAAATTTTGAAATGTAACCTTAACCCAAATTTCAAGCAAAAGTTTAAACTAGATTCATGTCTGATTAATGGAGTACAGGGCAATGATAGTAGTAATTTTGTACTTTGGTATTAATCTTGTGAATTTGCAAGGGAGGATTTGCAGGGGCAAAATACCCTATGTTAAAACATAAGATAGGGCTGGGAGTGGTGGGTCATGCCTTTAATCCCAGCACTTTGGGAGGCTGAGGCAAGCAGATCACTTGAGGTCAGGAGTTCGAGACCATCTTGGCCAACATGGTGAAACCCCATTTCTACTAAAAATACAAAAATTAGCCAGGCATGGTGGCATGCTTCTGTAGTTCCAGCTATTTGGGAGGTTGAGGTGGGAGAATCACTTGAACCCAGGAGGCAGAGGGTGCAGTGAGCCAAGATTGCACCACTGTACTCCACCCTGGGTTACAGAGTGAGACTCTGTCTAAAAAAAAACCAAAACAAACAAACAAACAAACAAACAAAAAAACCATAAGATAGGCCTCTATTAAATGAGAGGATCTGATTGTAGGATTCTGCTGGAAATGCAATTTGGCATCATGTTGTACCTACAACTTTAATATTACCATGCATTTCTTAAAGGATAAAACAAAGTTAGTGTCTGAAGAGATATCAGGGCACCATCTATCGAGACAAAGATATTTACATCGATTGAAAAGGTTAATTACTATCAGATAAACTAATACGTTTGTTTTTTCTCTAGAAAGAAGTGATACTGACAAACTCATTTGCCAAAGAAATGAATTTTAGACCAATATCCTTGATGAACATTGATGCAAAAATCCTCAATAAAATACTGGCAAACCAAATCCAGCAGCACATCAAAAAGCTTATCCACCATGATCAAGTGGGCTTCATCCCTGGGATGCAAGGCTGGTTCAACATATGCAAATCAATAAATGTAATCCAGCATATAAACAGAACCAAAGACAAAAACCACATGATTATCTCAATAGATGCAGAAAAGGCCTTTGACAAAATTCAACAACCTTCATGCTAAAAACTCTCAATAAATTAGGTATTGATGGGACGTATCTCAAAATAACAAGAGCTATCTATGACAAACCCACAGCCAATATCATACTGAATGGGCAAAAACTGGAAGCATTCCCTTTGAAAACTGGCACAAGACAGGGATGCCCTCTCTCACCACTCCTATTCAACATAGTGTTGGAAGTTCTGGCCAGGGCAATCAGGCAGGAGAAGGAAATAAAGGGTATTCAATTAGGAAAAGAGGAAGTCAAATTGTCCCTGTTTGCAGATGACATGATTGTGTATCTAGAAAACCCTACTGTCTCAGCCCAAAATCTCCTTAAGCTGATAAGCAACTTCAGCAAAGTCTGAGGATACAAAATCAATGTACAAAAATCACAAGCATTCTTATACACCAATAACAGACAGAGAGCCAAATCATGAGTGAACTCCCATTCACAATTGCTTCAAAGAGAATAAAATACCTAGGAATCCAACTTACAAGGGATGTGAAGGACCTCTTCAAGGAGAACTACAAACCACTTCTCAATGAAATAAAAGAGGATACAAACAAATGGAAGAACATTCCATGCTCATGGGTAGGAAGAATCAATATCGTGAAAACAGCTATACTACCCAAGGTAATTTATAGATTCAATGCCATCCCCATCAAGCTACCAGTGACTTTCTTCACAGAATTGGAAAAAATTACTTTAAAGTTCATATGGAACCAAAAAAGAGCCTGCATCACCAAGTCAATCCTAAGCCAAAAGAACAAAGCCAGAGGCATCACCCTACCTGACTTCAAACTATACTACAAGGCTACAGTAACCAAAACAGCATGGTACTGGTACCAAAACAGAGATACAGATCAATGGAACAGAACAGAGCCCTCAGAAATAATGCCACATATCTATAACCATCTGATCTTTGACAAACCTGACAAAAACAAGAAATGGGGAAAGGATTCCCTATTTAATAAATGGTGCTGGGAAAACTGGCTAGCCATATGTAGAAAGCTGAAACTGGATCCCTTCCTTACACCTTATACAAAAATTAATTCAAGATGGATTAAAGACTTACATGTTAGACCTAAAACCATAAAAACCCTAGAAGAAAACCTATGCAATACCATTCAGGGCATAGGCTTGGGCAAGGACTTCATGTCTAAAACACCAAAAGCAATGGCAACAAAAGACAAAATTGACAAATGGGATCTAATTAAACTAAAGAGCTTCTGCACAGCAAAAGAAACTACCACCAGAGTGAACAGACAACCTACAGAATGGGAGAACATTTTTGCAACCTACTCATCTGAAAAAGGGCTAATATCCAGAATCTACAATGAACTCAAACAAATTTACAAGAAAAAAACAAACAACCCCATCAAAAAGTGGGCGAAGGATATGAACAGACACTTCTCAAGACATTTATGCAGCCAAAAAACACATGAAAAAATGCTCATCATCACTGGCCATCAGAGAAATGCAAATCAAAACCGCAATGAGATACCATCTCACACCAGTTAGAATGCTGATCATTAAAAAGTCAGGAACAACAGGTGCTGGAGAGGATGTGGAGAAATAGGAACACTTTTACACGTTGGTGGGACTGTAAACTAGTTCAACCATTGTGGAAGACAGTGTGGCGATTCCTCAAGTATCTAAAACTAGAAATACCATTTGACCCAGCCATCCCATTACTGGGTATATACCCAAAGGATTATAAATCATGCTGCTATAAAGGCACATGCACACGTATATTTATTGTGGCACTATTCACAATAGCAAAGACTTGGAACCCACCCAAATGTCCAACAACGATAGACTGGATTAAGAAAATGTGGCACATATACACCATGGAATACTATGCAGCCATAAAAAATGAAGAGTTCATGTCCTTTGTAGGGACATGGATGAAACTGGAAACCATCATTCTCAGCAAAGTATCACAAGGACAAAAAACCAAACACCACATGTTCTCACTCATAGGTGGGAATTGAACAATGAGAACATGGACACAGGAAGGGGAACATCACACTCTGGGGACTGTTGTGGGGTGGGGGGAGGGGGGAGGGATAGCATTAGGAGATATACCCAATGCTAAATGACGAGTTAATGGGTGCGGCACACCAACATGGCACATGTATACATATGTAACAAATCTGCACATTGTGCACATGTACCCTAAAACTTAAAGTATCATAATAATAAAATAAAATAAATCACATATACCATTTAAAACAATGTAATTAACTTTTAAAAGGATATTCATAGTTTTAGGGGAAAAAAATCCTGACACTTGTCAAAGATGCTAGAAAAGCCAGTGAAGTAAAAGGAATTGATGGAATAGCAAGTGAAATAAAAACAAAGGATGATAAAAATTCTAGGTTTGAGAGATTTCTGGAATGAAACCGAATTGCAGTGAGACTGACTGTAACTTGCGGCCTGACCTTGAGCTCTGCCCCAGTGACCTTGATATGCCCAACAGGATTTCTGCTCTCTTCTAGTTTAAAACTAGTTTAAAAGGAAAACAAAAATGCTCCCTTGATCTCTCTCTGTGTTTTCCTTTCTTTTCCTTCTTCTTCATTTTCTTAAAATGCCTTTCTTAATTTAGGTTCAATTTTCAGACAATGCATATTGCTGGAAGAAAAAAAAGTGAATTGTGTCATTTAATATGTTATTTCTTCTACTCTACAGTTTATTTATTCTTCAAGTAATATTCCAAGAAGGGATCTACTTTGTTCTTACAGCTTTTACCATTACTTTGTAAATCCATTGATTTAATAAATGTTTTTGGCAAATAGAGGATTTTTTTTCTATACCCAGGAATTAGCTAAATAGAAACCATTACAGAAGACCTTCTGCTGAAATTTTTAATTATTGGCCACATCTCTTGAATGCATCAGTAGCGTATTCCAGGAATCAAAGTGGTTTATATTGTAGAGATGCTGACTATACCTATGACTTTTTAAAGAAGTTTAGAAATACCAGAGTCCCAGAATGCCTGCCCTTTATAGAATAATCAAGTACATTAGTCACTAATAAAAAGAACCTCATCTTGGTTGATGTGTACCTCTTCAATATCAATTAATTGTCACAGCACATTATGGAGCTCACTAGGTGAAGAATATGGTACTGGCTACTTTAGAAATCAATATGTAGATGCCAAAGTGGAAATGAAGACACTAATGAGTAGATTCAGAGAAAAATCCATTTGAAATGTGCTTTTAATTTATAAGTCTGAAGTGTTATGGACTGACAAAATAAGTGAGAAATAAAGTTTAATATTTATTTAATAGATTAGGCCAGGGACTCTGCCGCACTTGGGATAAACTCAAGCAGTTTTGATGAGCAGAAATTCTGGAAATTATGTTAATCCAAGGGTTTCTGCCAAGTTTTATGATGTTTAAAATGCCAATGAAGGGCAGGAATGGAAAAGTGTAAATGAAGGCCAGGATAGTTCCCCATGTCTTAAGGTGTATACTCTTCTAAATTGGGGTAGAAAAGAGATCTGGCAAACAATGACACACAGCTGATAGGATGATGTTCGCCCTTATGAACACCCAGAAAGGCTTCTCAAGGGCCAGTTAGTTTCTGAAGTGAGAATTGTTCTTGAAAAACTGTTATGTCACCTATGAGATACAGTATTTAAGGTTTAGTGTGTACAATGATACGGGGTAACATGTATATATAATGATTATAGAAATGTGTTAAGTATAATAAAAAATTGCTGTGGTTATAATGTGTGTTCCCTCCAAAATTTATGTTGAAACTTAATCCCCATTGTATTAAGAGGAGAGGCCTTTTGAAAAATGATTAAGGCTTGAGAGCGGAGTCCTCATGAATGAATTAGTGCTCAATAAAAGAGCTGGAGGGAACTAGCTTAGGTCGTTTGGGCTCTTCTGTCCCTTCTGCCACGTGAGGAGACTTAGATGGAGCCATTTATGAGGAACGAGCCCTCACCAGACACTGAACCTACTAGTGCCTTGATCTTTGATTTCCCAGCCTCTAGAACTGTGAGAAAATAAATTTATCTTGTTTATAAACTAACCAATCTCAGGCATATTGTTAATAGCAGCACAACAAACTAAGATCTGTTATATTATGCAAAATATAATTTCCATCACTATTTACATAGTTTTTTTCTCTTTTGCCAAACATACAATTCCATTTCACATTAACTGTACAAATAATATGACTCCACTGAAATAATTTTAATAATGATTTTAGTGTAACTTTCATTTAAGGAGTGGCTTATTCTGTATTAGGACTTTGCTGATGCTTTTAGATATTTAATTTGATACTTACAACAACACTGTGAGGGAGAGATTGTTTTCTCATTTTACAAATGATGAATCTGACAGAAATTAATACTTATGTAATCAGGGTTTTATCACACTTCAATTCAATCTGACTCTTATACAGTAGGTGCTGTTCATTGAGCTTGAATGTACATATACTATACACACACATAGTACAGTACAATTGTGTTTCTTTCTAAATTGCATAAATTCAGTGCAATTGATAAAATATTACAATTGTATTCAATCCATTTTTGTTCTTATATTCTGAATCACTGAATGAAAATCCGTTGCAGAGAAGAATTAACGTCTGAGGGGCCTCAAACCAAAGTAACGAGGACGCCACTGGTTTCATCCACTATGATATCCTTTAGAATCTACTCTTTGCAGAAGACTGGTTATTGGATCTAGATAAATACTAAAAATATAAATACCTAATGTTTAATAAGGCCTAATTATGAATCAGGGACTTTATATTTACAATGTTATGAGTTGAATTTTATCTCCTCAAAATTCATATGTTGTAATCCTAAGTCTGAGTACCTCAAAACGTGACCTTATTTAAAAACAGGGTCATTGCAGCTGTAATTAGTAAGTTAAGGTGAGGTCTTACTGGGTAGTAGAGTGAGCTCCTAACTCAGTAAGAGTGGTGTTCTTATAACAAGAATTCCACGTGGGAAGAAAGAGATGGATACTGAGGGAAACTGATGTGAACACAGGGTGACGACGGCCATCTACAAGCACAGGAGATAGGCCTGGAACAGACCCTTCCCTCGCAGTCTGCAGAAGGAGCCAACCCTGCCCACACCCTGATTTTGGACTTCTAGGCCTCCAGAACTGTGAGGCAATACATTTCTGTTGTTTAAGCCACCCAGTTTGTGGTGCTTTGTTAAGGTAGTTCCAGCAAACTAATACATATATCATTTCATTGAATCTTCACAGCAAATCTATGTGGCAGGCTTTCTTATTATCTCCACTTCACCAATGAGGAGACAGATACCTAGAAACATTAACTACCAGTTAGTAATGACCTGACTGGGCTGTGATGCTGGGTTCCCTCCCTGCCTCCACCAGAAGCAGACTCATCTCCCTTATTACTACAGAGATTTTTTTTTTTTTTTTTTTTTGAGACGGAGTTTCATTTTGTCACCCAGGCTGGAGTGCAGTGGCATGATCTTGGCTCACTGCAAGCTCCACCCCCTGGGTTCATGCCATTCTCCTGCCTCAGCCTCCCGAGTAGCTGGGACTGCAGGGGCCCACCACCATGCCCGGCTAATTGTTTTGTAGTTTTAGTAGAGACAGGGTTTCACTGTGTTAGCCAGGATGGTCTCGATCTCCTGACCTCGTGATCCGCTCGCCTCGGCCTCCCAAAGTGCTGGGATTACAGGTGTGAGCCACCGCGCCCGGCCAATACTACAGAGATTTTTACAACACCCAGAAAAACATGTTTCTGGTGTGAATTAAAAAGATTGACTTTATACTTTGACTCTCAACAGCTTAAAAGAGTTAATAAAGTTTCCTGGGATACTGAGTAGAGAGTGAAAAGTCAGCTTTTCAGGTCCCAAGAGTGTACTACCTGCCTGTCACCATCACAGACACAGGCACACACACACACAGACACTCCCAAACTGGTATTTATAATATGATGTAAAAATTATGTTAGGGAAGCTTTTTTCCCAGTTTTCCTCTAAAGAATCCCAAGCTCTCTGGGTTCCTTGGGACAGGTACTGAGTGAACACTGAGACTCCAGAGGCTGAGAATAGGTACCTGGGCCAAGAATTGCAGCTCCTCTTGAGATGTGGTGTTCTGCATTGGTATGACCTCCAAATCACACCAGTCCTTTTATTAATAACAACTGAAGGATGAATTGTTTATGCTGCCAGTAAAATGGGCCATTATTTTCTTAGATTGTTGCTAACACTTCAAGATGATTTATTTCTCCTTGTTATTGCTCTGTTTGTACCTTTGGTATTGGAGACCTGATTTAACCAAAAGTTTCCATTTTAAATGGTCTAAAATAGCCTAAGGTTAGTTCTAAACTAATCTCTTAAGGAATGATTAGATTTTTATTGTGGTAAATGATTGTTCAACAAGTAAGGGTGAACAAAATGGAAAGTTACATACATTGCATTCTCTTGTCTCCTCTTGCATATCTATGTTTTGAGGCATTGTAGGAGGAAAATGCTTTTGTAAATAGAGCAGGAGGTTTGGAATTAAGGTGAGTTTGAATGTGGCTTCATTATTTGTGTTATCATATTGTTTACTTCCTTAAGAATTTGAGCCACAGTTTTTTCAACTAAAAAACAGAGATAACAGTCCATAATTTTTAATGGATTTTAAGATTTAAGGAAAATAATGCATATAAAAATTTTATTGTAGCGTACTTACTACATAGTAGGCCCAATTTTTTTCCATTTTCTTTAGTTTGGGAAATTTGATTTTAAAATGCTGCTTTTAAGGTACATATTTTATATTCCCAGCAAGAGATGATGAGATGGCACCACGTATCCACAAAAACAACAAAAATTTAAAAACAGATGATACCAAGTAGAGGCAATAATATGGAGAAATGAGCACTCATATACATTGCTATTGGGTGAGCAAAACTAAAAATAATTTTGGAGAAGCTGAAAGAGTATTTAATGAAATTGTGTAGGTATACTTCCAAATTACCTAGAAATTCTACCACAAAGCACATTACCAGAGGAATTCTTTCACACATGCATAGAGAAGCACACATAAGAATGTTTGGCATGGCAGTTTTTGAAACAAGAATTAGAAACAACTGAAATAATTAAAAGGCAGAATGCATGAATACAATGTCTATTCATGTGATGGGAGGCTATATAATGTTAAAAGGAATGAACTAGACCTGCACACATCAAAACTGATCGATTTCAACATCTCAAAACCACAATTTTTGAGAGAAAACAGATACTTGACCCTGGATGCCTACAGAAGGGTGGAGAGGTAGATGAGCAAGGTTTGGGTAATAAAATGAACCAAAAATGATGACCTAGGCCTGGACCAATATTCGTAATTGTGCTGTGAACTAAGTCTGACAGATTTTATCAATCTCATTATGTTTTCCTGTGGTTCATATAATAACAAATGAAACAGTAACAATAGTAGACATATTACATATTTTTATTCCTCAAATTATTTATATTGAGGGGTGATAGAAACAATATGGTGCCATTAAAAAAATAGGCAAGATTTTGCTTTGCTGAGACTTTTCCCCCTTCTAGTTGGCTCACTTGGACAGGACAGGATCTAAAGACAGACTCCACGTGGGCTCGCTCTTTTGAGGCCCCCTTCTGGCCTTTGTAAACATTTATTAAACCTTTGCCCCTGACAACTCCTGGTCAGTGCCAGTGATCAGAACCTCTCCTTTAATTTTCTAGTCAGGCTACCTTTTGTTTTAAATTTTCAAGGCATCAGATATCACTCCATCATATTTTCCTAACTGCAAAGGAAACATAAATTAAGTTTTCAGAGGAGACTTTTTGGAAACCAACTCACAAGTCTTGTGGTAAGAGGAAAGCACTCCTCTTTGAGGGAGTTGGGACACAAAGTTTAACTCTCTCCAGTGAAATCTCTTCACAGTTTCTCTTCCTCTAATCTCCAGCAACCCAGTCATTTTATACTCTTAAAGTGGATGAAGAACTTAAGAGTTGAGTATTTTTCCCTTTTGCTTTGTATCTTCTTTTTTTTTATCTGTGCTCCACTCTAAACTCATATTTATTCTCTGCTTCTAGAGGCCAAGAAAACCAGTTTCTCATTTTAGAATCTCCACTGCTTATGCAGTGTCTGGCACATAGTAGGTGCTTAATAAATTCTTTTAAAGTTCACCTGGAATAGTATAACAGCCTCCTCTCTCTCTGCTTTCATTTTTGCCACTCCCTGCTATTCGTCATTTTTCCACACAGCAACCAAAGTGAGTCTTTAAAAATGTCAATCTGAAATGTCATGCCCTGGCCTTAAACCTTCAGTGAGCACCTACTACAGAGTTTGAATTAAATCCAGTCTTTATCATGATGTACAAGGCCCTGTCTGACTTGGCCCTGATTATTCTTTCCTCTTGCTAACTCCTCACCAGCTACATGGGCCTCTTTGCTGTTCCGACTTGCCAAGCAAGATACTACCCTAGGAATTTTGTGTTTGTTATTCCTTTTGATAGCCTCTATCCTCAGACATTTGTATGCCTTCCTCCTTCCCTTCTTTCACATCTCTGCTTAACATTTCCCTCAGCTAAGATGCCTTCTAAAAACACTTTACCTTAAATAGCATCTCTCTTCAACACTTCTATTTTCTTATGTGGCTTTATTTCTTCATAGCCCTACCTAACAATATATATTTGTCATTTGTCACTGCCTATTAGATTGGGAGCTCCATGAGGAAAGGGATTTCACTGGTTTTGTGCAATTGCATATCCCTAGTACCTAGGTCAGCCCCTGGCAGATAGCAAGTGTCACCCTTAGCGGTATGTTTTATATTCTTACTTTTCAACAACTTTCATATTGAGCTGAAAACACATAGAGTAGAATTCATGTTTTAAAAATTAACAAAATGTATTAATTCGTTCTGTAATGAAAACGTTTTTTCCCCTTTTGAATTCTAAATATGCCTGTCAATTTTTCTTGGTGTGTGAAAAAATAAATTATGACCTTTAACCTTTAAGATGTCTGATTAACTTATTCTATGAGAATAGTATAACACCATAAAAGCAATGCACACTTTAAAGATATTTCTTGAAAATAGTTATCCAACTCTAATAATTGTGAAATCCTGTGATAATCCTATTTCACTTTAGAGAAAAATCATCCATGTAAGAGCTGTAAAAAGCATTGAACAAATGTGGAATGCTCAAGTCTTATGTTTTATAACATGGGGGTTTCTTCCTAATTCTGGGGAGTCTGGGCATTATTATAAATAAGTCCCTATGCATATCATGCATCATCTGTAGGCTGACTACTTAATATGTCTCTATATGTAAAAGTCTTGTCGCACATCTAAATGTCATATTTAGATGTGTCACATTTAGATGTGAGACAAAACCTTTATATGTAGAATATGGTTAATATGATTCATTTAAAATGATGGAGTTTTTATTAATATTTGCTAATACTTTCTTTCCTGGCCAATGAATATTTTAAAAGTGGAGCTACTGTTGTATGGATGCAAGTGAAATGTTTTTAGCTTAAAAGAAAGACTTGTGCATCCCCTCCCCCCCACCAAATATGGGTAAACAGTGATGTAATTGACAACTGTCATTTTACAGGTAAGGACAGGGAACTGCAGAGAGCTACGTGCAGTGTTTGAGGGCACATAGCTGGTGTTTGGTGCTCTTTCCCTCAGGCCACTTGGTCTTTCCATCAGGTGAGTCCTGTCCCTAGGGCCTGCCCCTTCAGTATCATCAATTTCTTACTCTTATTTTCTTGGAACTCAGAGATGGGCCCTTTACACACGCCTCTTTTCCCCCTCTCTTTATTTCTCTCTCTTCCCTTGTTTTGTGCTTCATCAGTTCTTTTGGGCCTTCAAAAAATTACTGACTTTCCAATATAGAACTGAACCATTAAAATTTGATTGTGCGTATGTTTGCTGAAAGACCCTTTGGCCCAGGGGAATTCAAAGCAAGAGATCACAGCAGTGTTGAGGATGGACCTTATCATGAACCACCTGGGCCAACGATCTACACCATATCTGAATAAAACTGAGAAAGAAACTTATGTCATAAAATGTGTCAAGTGCTTAAAACTGATTTAGGCTCTAAGAGTCACCAGTCAGAAAACAACTAAATTAAACATATCGGACATTACATTTCAGAGATGTAACTGTGCATTATTAACAATTACAAATACGTTGGAATATTTTAGGTAGCACAGAATAAAGTACAGAAACTCAATATAAAGCATACACATATGCTTGAGTTCATATGAGAAAAACAAGACTTTCTAAAAAATTTGCATGCAATTTTTTCCTTTTAGCTTCATATTTATATTTATATTTTTTGTATAGGCAGGTTCTTGCTTTGTTGCCCAGGCTGGTCTTGAACTCCTGGCCTCAAGTGATTCTCCTGCCTCGGCCTCCTGAAGTGCTGGGATTACAGGTATGAGCCACCATGCCTGGCCCTTTTAGCTTTTTATTTTCACAGAATTTTGTGAGAAATGTTTCAAAAAACAGCACAAAAATTCCTTTATAATTGATTTACTTGCAGAAACTGACTCTTTGACCTCTGAATACTTTAGTGGACATTTCCTAAAAATGATATTCTCTCACATAACCACATAATAATGGTCAAAATTAGAAAATTAATATTGATATTATACTCCTGTCTACTCTGCAGACCCAATTCAAATGTTATGGATTATTGCAATCATATTGTATTTTGTAAGAAAGGAACATCCCAAATCATGTGTTGCATGCAGTTGTCTCCTTTATTTTGACTCTTTAGTCTCCTTTATTTTGACTCTTTAGTCTCCTTTATTTTAGAAACTGTGTGTAGTTTTTAAATTTAACTGTAAATTAAATATAATAATATATGCACCATCATAAGTATTCAGTTTGATTAATTTTAGCAATTATATGTATGTATGTAACCATCACCCAAAATAAGACGGATATTTCCTCAGCCCAGACAAAGATTCCTTTGTGCTCATTTCCTCAAGTCTCTTCTCCCCAAGAAGTAATTACTTTTTGATTTCTATTAGCATAGATTAATTGTCTATGCTTGAAAGTCACATAAATGGAATTATACATGTATACTATTGTGTCTGACTTCTTTCACTCAGCAAAATGTTTTTGAGATTAATTCATGCATCAGTACTTTGTTCTTTTTTATTGCTGAGTAGTATTCCATTGTTTGAATACACCATAATTCATTTATCTGTTTTCCTGTTGATGGATATCTTGGCTGTTTTCAGTTTTGTCTATTATAATAAAACTGCTACAAATATGAAAGTACAAGTCATTTAATTGATAAAAGTTTTCATTCTTCTTAGGTAAAAAACTAGAAATGGAATTGATGGGTCCTAGAGTGAATGTTTATGTATTTAAGAATTGTCATATTTATTCACCAAAGAAGATGTGTGATTTTCCACTTCTGCCAGCAATACACGAGAGTGTCAGTCTTTCTATATCCTCACCAAAATTTAGTATGTCAATCTTTTTTATTTTAGCCATCCTAGTGGATGTGAAATGTTACGTATCTTCTCTTCTGCTTGTTGACTATTCATGTGTCTTCTTTTGTGAAGTATCTGTTCAAGTCTTTTGTCCATTTTTTAAATGGGTTGTTTGACTTTTTATTGTGATTTATGAGTTCTTCATATAATCTGTATATAAATCCTTTGTCAGATATACATACTGATTTTTTTTTCTCAATCTGTGACTTGCCTTTTAATTTTTTTCATGGTGTCTTTGGATGAGTAAAACTTTCAAATTTTGATGAAGTTGTTTTCTTTTTGTCATATCCAAGAAGTGTTTGTCTACTAAAAGGGAAGGATATTCTTTATGCTTTAAGAGCTTTTGGTTCTAGGTTTTATGTTCAGTCTATGAACTTTATTAATTTTTTTAATATGTAGTAGCTAAGGACCAAGGTTTGTTTACTTTCATATGACTATCTAGTTGTTTAAATGCCTTTTGTTAAAAACACTTTTCTTACCCTAATGAATTCTACTGGTATCTTGATGGAAAATCAACTGAATGCATACGTGTGCACTTATCCCTAGACTCTATTATTTTTTTCCATTGATGTATCCATCCTATGTCAATATCACACTTTTTGTATTACAGTAGCTTTACAACAAGTTTGGAATCAGGTAGTGTAAGTCCTTCAACATTTTTCTTCTTTTAGTTTTTTTTTTTTTTTTTTTTTTTTAGCAGTTTAGATCTTTTACATTTTAATATAAATTTTAGAATTGGCTTATCAGTTTCTCAAAAAAAAATCCTGCTATAATTTGATAGTGATTGTGTGGAGTCTAAGATCAATATGGAAGAATGGACATATTAACACTGCTAAATCTTAATGGAGATTTGTTTACAATCTTAACAATTTTAATAGCCTTCTAATCTCGGAATATGCTATATCTGTTTTATAGTTCTCCTTCGATTTCTGTCAGCAATATCTTGTGTCTCTGCTCTTTTTCATCTGTCAGGTAGTCTGGAAAATGTAGTTTTCCTTTTGGTAGTTACACACTTTAACCATAGCAAATTAATCAGCAATTTGGATCTTCGAATCAAATAGATTCGTTTAAGGAAACAAATTCTTTAATTCATAGGTGAAGAATGAGGAACAGGTTTCAATAGTCTCAAACTGGCTGAAATAGTAAATACACTTTCCTTTAGACCTGCTGGCTTTTGGAGGAATAAACCTAGAAGATTCCGTTTCAAAGAAACTGCAATAGACAAGTCAGGGTTGACTTAACTAAGTTAGTCAGCAAACAATTAGAACTATCAAATATGTGCTCCCTAAAACAAGAACCTAGATTCTAAGAAAAAGATAAATAAGGAAAATTAATTTCTCAGAGGGAGCTTGTCATAGAAGAGTAACAGATATTTAAACAAATAATATTGCTATATTGTGATAAATGTGACCTTAGAAGAAACTACAAGGAGCTGAAGTAACATGGCAGAGAGAAAAGGGCTAACTTCCATTTGTAAAGTTCTTTAAAAATGGGAACAGAGATCTTGCACGAAAAAACCCAGCATAGTCCCTGGTACATATTAACAACAAATTAATGTTAATGACTGCCACTAACAGCTTTAGATTTTCATGCATAGTCTGTTTTTATCACCAATTCTGTGGTATTACTACCACTATGCTTCTACAAATGGAGGCCCAAGGAGGTCAAAATTATACTGAGCTTTTTGGTAAGAGGCAGAATTAATACTCAAATATTAAATTTTAATACATTATTAATTCTTATATACTTTTTACCAAAAATGTTTACAAACAGAGAGCAACCATTTATCAGTTCTGATTTTTCAGTTACCTAATAAATCAATACCTTTATTGCCTGTCACACTATTTTGAATAAATATAACGAAATTAATAATGGAAATACTTCAACAGTAAGAGCAGAACCAGTTGAAATAATAATGCTGTCTTTTTTTTTCTTTTTTTTTGAGAAAGAGTCCTGCTCTGTTGCCGAGGGGCGTGATCTCTGCTCACTGCAACCTCCACTTCCCAGGCTCAAGCGATTCTCTTGCCTCAGCCTCCCAAGTAGCTGGGACTGCAGGCTTGAGCCACCATACCTGGCTAATTTTTGTATTTTTAGTAGAGATGAGGTTTCACCATATCGGCCAGTCTGGTCTCGAACTCCTGACCTTGAGTGATCTGCCTGCCTCAGCCTCCCAAAGTGCTGGGATTATAGGCATGAGCCACCATGCCCGGCCAATAATGCTGTCTTAATGCATCTTTCCCAAAACCTTAAAATATGTAAAAAACTTGATTATTTTAGATTTTATGTGCCGTTTTGATAACAGGGTGAAATAAAATAGATTGTACTTTGAAATTTCTATGCCAGTTTGGAGCTCTATAGATAACTTTCTCATATGAAGAATAATGCTAATAGGAGAAATCTGTATTATGGTGCTCTTGTGAAGATTTTATAACATTTATTTATTTCACAAATATTTTGAGTACTTACTATAGTTGTGTCTATCTTATCAATTGAATTTGTCTAAATAAATACAGTTTCAATTTATTAGGTCTTTAGGATTGAGAGTAAGTTCAATTTTACACTTTCCCTCTAACATATTCTTGTGCTCTTGTCTTCTGTCACCAAGTTTCCAGACTAAAACTTGGGTGGCAACTTCAAAAATAGAAGACAGAGAACACAGAACATAACTCAGTGTCCGAGGAAATAATGTTGTTGGACTGGTATTTTGTTCATGGAAAGTCTTCCCAAAAGCAGTGATGAAATTTACTTCTGTGAAGATTTTCAAAAACCTCACTGATTTTTTGGCAAAGCCCTGACTCGAAACAGAGTGACTTCTCTGAATTGGGAGGATCTTTTATTTACACGGTGCTGATCTGAGTAGCAATTTTTCTCATCCTGCTACTGGTTTGATCACTAGAGAGATTTTGTTTCCTTTGACTTCAAGATCTCGGGAAGCTCAAAAGAAGGAAATGAACCAATAAAACACCTAATTGGTTTTATTGTATGATGACGTGACCAATTACTGTCTTGTCTTCCTCTGTTTTCATTTTTGATAACATCCAGCAGCTTGTAAATGTGACAGATTACATGCTACTTTGTCGACATGTAAGCCTCCGGAAAGGCCTGTGGTACATCTCAACAGGATTGAGAAATTTCTATGTTACATTTTATCCTCAGTCTTGCCATTTATTTTAGTTAATTAAAACAAAACATTCCCTTAGTGAAACGTTATCCTAACATGGTTGTTATATCAAGATTAATAGATATATTACATATACCATATCTACTGCAAAGAATAGAAAGAATCCAACTTTTTCTGCAGACACTTCATTCTTCAGGGATGTTTGTGCATTCCCTTTGTTAGCCACTTGAGAATAAAAGTCCCCCCGTCAAAAAAATGCAAAATGCAATTTGCCAGTCCTTTACAGCTTGAAACCAGAAAGAACATGTAGAAACACATCAGATTGGATATTTTATTAAATCATACTTAAAGGGAATTTCACATGTTGTGAAAATAGCTTTTGAAGTATTTATTTCATTTAAAATCTTAAGCTCTAAAGGCAAATATTAAACAACAAGTATAAAGATATTTTCAGCTAAGCTTTGTATTATAATATAATTTCACATCATTATAGATGGGAAAAATTTTGGAGACCGATGTAAAAAGTATATAAAAATGTAATTTTAGGAGTGACTTGACATGTTTTTTAGTGTTATCTGATTCATAGGATAAGCTGTTCCAGACAAGAGATTAATTCTGTGTGAATGGACTTTGTTTCAATTCAAATTGTGAATATTATGAAAGAGTTAATATAAATTTTAATAATGAAAGAAAAAAGCTAAGGTTTACTTGGTTTAAAATTAAAAAAAAAATAAATAGAAATGGCCTTTTATATGATTTTGATGTCTGTCTTAAGAGAAGAATAGCAATGAAGAAAAAATCTGCAGCATTGAGTTCTCAATTATGTTCAATTCTAACTTAAAATATTTTTCAGGTAAAATTGGATAATCTGTTATGAGAGTATTGGAAAATAAATGAATGTAAATCTTATAACTGTTCATTTTATCTTTGCCTTTGTAAATAAAAATCTTAATATATCAGGCAAAAGTTTATTTTTATTTTAAAAATAATGCCATGTCTATCTGTATTATTAAAATTAGTCAAATAGTTACTAAATTTCAATAATTTATTTTTATTATATATGTTTAAGTTATACAACATGATGTTTATACATGTATAAATGATTCCTACAGTTAAACAAAACAACATGTCTGTCACCACAGTTTCCATTTTTTGTGTGGTAAAGGGACCTAAAATAACTTTCTTAGCAAATTTTCATTATGCATCAAAATATTATTGACTATATCATGCTGTATATTAGCTCTCTAGACTTATTCATTCTTCATCACTGCTACTTTGTACTGTTTTACCTACATTTCTTTATTCCCACCCTACCCTGCCCCTAGTAACTAATTCATGTTGTCACAAATGGCAGGGTCTCCTTCTGTTTTAGAGCTGAATAATATTCCACTTGTCTAACGCATACACATATACATACCACAATTTCTTTGTCCATTCATCTGTTGAGGGACAGTTGGGTTGTTTACATATCTCAGGTACTGTGAATAATGCTGCACTGAGCACAGGAGTTCAGATATCTCCACAAGGGGAGATAACCCTTTGGGTATATACTTAGAAGAGAGATTTCTGGGTCATATGGTAGTTCTATTTTTAATTTTTTTTTTGAGGAGACTTCATACTGTTTTTCTTTTATTATTTCATTTTTTTATTATACTTTAAGTTCTAGGGTACATGTGCACAATGTGCAGGTTTGTTACGTATGTATACATGTGCCATGCTGGTGTGCTGCACTCATTAACTCATCATTTACGTTAGGTATATCTCCTAATGCTTTCCCTCCCCCGTTCCCCCACCCCACAACAGGCCCTGGTGTGTGATGTTCCCCTTCCTGTGTCCAAGTGTTCTCATTGTTCAATTCCCACCTATGAGTGAGAACATGTGGTGTTTAGTTTTTGGTTCTTGCAATAGTTTGCTGAGAATGATGGTTTCCAGCTTCATCCGTGTGCCTACAAAGGACATGAACTCATCCTTTTTTATGGCTGCATAATATTCCATGGTGTATATGTGCCACATTTTCTTAATCCAGTCTATCATTGATGGACATTTGGGTTGGTTCCAAGTCTTTGCTATTGTGAATAGTGCCTCAATAAACATACGTGTGCATGTGCCTTTATAGCAGAATGATTTATAATCCTTTGGGTATATACCCAGTAATGGGATGGCTGGGTCAAATGGTATTTCTAGTTTTAGGTACTTGAGGAATCGCCACACTGTCTTCCACAATGGTTGAACTAGTTTACAGTCCCACCAACGTGTAAAAGTGTTCCTATTTCTCCACATCCTCTCCAGCACCTGTTGTTTCCTGACTTTTTAATGATCAGCATTCTAAGTGGTGTGAGATGGTAGCTCACTGCGGTTTTGATTTGCATTTCTCTGATGGCCAGTGATGATGAGCATTTTTTCACGTGTCTGTTGGCTGCATAAATGTCTTCTTTTGAGAAGTGTCTGTTCATATCCTTTGCCCACTTTTTGATGGGGTTGTTTGTTTTTTTCTTGTAAATTTGTTTGAGTTCTTTGTAGATTCTGGATATTAGCCCTTTGTCAGATGAGTAGATTGCAAACATTTTCTCCCATTCTGTAGGTTGCCTGTTCACTCTGATGGAAGTTTCTTTTGCTGTGCAGAAGCTTCTTAGTTTAATTAGATCCCATTTGTCAATTTTGTCTTTTGTTGCCATTGCTTTTGGTGTTTCAGACATGAAGTCCTTGCCCATGCCTATGTCCTGAATGGTATTGCCTAGGTTTTCTTCTAGGGTTTTTATGGTTTTAGGTCTAACATGTAAGTCTTTAATCCATCTTGAACTAATTTTTGTATAAGGTGTAAGGAAGGGATCCAGTTTCAGCTTTCTACATATGGCTAGCCAGTTTTCCTGACTGTTTTTCATCTAGTTGTACCAATTTACATCCCACCAACAGTGCACAAGGGTTCAGTTTTTTCAATATGCTTGCCAATAGTTGTTATCACTTATCTTTTTGATAACAGCTATTCTAACAGGTATGAAGTATGTTTTGATTTGCGTTTCCCTGAGTATTAGTGATGTTGAACAGCTTTTCATATACCTGTTGGCTATTTGTATGTCTTCTTTGGAAAATATTCTAGTGCTTTCCTATTTTTAAATTAGGCTATGTACTTTTTTTTTTTTTGCTATTGAGTTGAGCTCCTTATAAATTTTGGCTATTAACCCTTTATTAGATATATGATTTTCCAATATTTTCTCCCAATCAATATGCTACTTTTTCATTTTCTTGGTTGTTTCCTTTACTGTGAAAAATCTTTTGAGCTTAAGATAGTTTCACTTATTTATTTTGTATTTTGTTACTTAAGCTTTTGGTGTTGTATTAAAAAATTGCCATGGCTTATGTCAATAACCTTTTCCCTATGTTTTCTTCTAGGAGTTTTATGATTTCAGGCCTTATGTTTAGGACTTTAATCCATTCTGAGTTGATTTATTATATGGTGAAAGAAAAGGGTCCAATTTTATTCTTTCATATATGGATATAAGGTTTTCCCAACATCAGTTATGGAAGAGGCTGTCCTTTCCCTGTTAGGTCTTCTTGGTGTCCTTGTCAAAGGTTTGTTGACTATATATGTCTGGGTTTATTTCCAGCCTATTTTGTTTGCTCTGAAGATGTTTTATATGTTCATGGAAAATGCTTAAATAATTCTGGAATATGTATATTTTAAAATATTCCTAGAATTGAATTTCATAACCTTTTAAAAGTAATTTATTCCAATGTTTAAATTCCTTTAGTGTCAATAATTGCTTCCTTATAACTAATGGAAATTGATTATGTGTGTATTAAGTTGTTTATCAGTCTCTATACATTAACTCTTCATCTAAAAATAGAGAATGTCTCCAGGAAGTCCAAACTGAAATATTCAATTAACTAGTCAACATTTCCACTTGAATGTCTAGCATTTTAATTATGTCCAGGCCTTAAGTAATGGTTCCCCCTATGTCCCACAAACCTGCCAATCTCAGATTTCTGTATCTCAGTTAATGATTCCTTCAGATTTTTAGTTATTCAGGTTAAATAATCTTTGATCTGTATCCTCTATTAAGTCCATCAGAAAATCCTGTTGGCCTTTCAAAATATATCCTATTCTAACCCAGTACCCAGATATTGGTTTCTCCATGCTATTCTTGAAACAAAGTAACCAAGGACCCTTAGAGAAATGGTTGTTTCTAGGGCTGGGACAGGGTAAACATAAGATAAGCCTGCAGTATCTTGTAGTTACAGAAACTAGGGAAGTGCTAAAAAACAAAAGCTAGGATATGTCAAAGGAACTCAGGAGCTCAGTAACAAATAAAAAATGTAGTTTTGGATTATAACCCAATGTATAAAATAAATATCTATGCATCCACACTGAAATAAATAAATGATTAAATAAATAATGGAGAAGAGACAAATTTTTCTTATATAATTCAAAATAATACATGGATAATAATATATGGGGATATTCCCCGTTCCATAAGAGCTGAGAGTGAAGATGAGTGTTGTTTCAGCGCATTTATGTTCTTCACTGCCTTTATAATTTTATGAACATCAAAGGATGGATTATTTATATTTTCAGCTTCCCCCATTTTGATGCAATGCTGGATATGCTTTAGCAATTTGACTTGCCTTCATTTTACTTTAACTTACTCAGCTATGGCAGTGACCCATTTATCTTTTCTACAATCTAAAATGTTGCGATTTTAGCACACATTTCTCCCCAAATTATCCTGTACTGTACCTATCTAACCAGAAATCATTTGTTTCTAGAGAAAATATAATAATTTTGGGGGGGCATTTTCAATATCATCAAGAAATGTCTATAGCAGTGCTGTGGACTGAATGTTTATGTCCCCCTAAAATTCATACGTTGAAATCTTAATTCTCAATGTGATAGTATTTGGAGGTGGAGCCTTTGGGAGCTATTGAGGTTGGTATAAAAGTTATTGCGGTTTTTGCCATTAAAAGTAATGACAAAAACCACAGTTACTTTTGCACCAACCTAATAACTATTAGATGGGGTCATGATAGTTATATCCTCATGATAGGATTAGTGTTCCATACAAAAAGACAAGAGAAAGGTTGTTTCCTTTGTCAGCTCTCTGCCATGTGAGGCTACAACAAGAAGAAAGCCATTTGCAAATCAGAAAGTGGGCCCTCATCAGATACAAATCTACTGGCCCCTTAATCATGGACTTCCTAGCCTTTAGAATTGTGAAAAATAAATGTTTGTTGCACAAGCCACCTTTTCTATGGTAATTTGTTATAGCAATACAGACTGACTAAAACAAGCATTTATGAAAATAAGGAATTAGTACAGGTCTAAGATTGTGAAGGAAAGGTGGGTGATTCCCTGGGGAAGCAAGTGAAATGGAGAACTGAGAGTTTCTTGACAATTTAGGCCAAGAAAACCACTTCTATTTCAATTATATGAATAGTTCAACTGAAAGTTCCTTATTGAGGAGGAAAGATAATAATCTAGATAGTTTCCTCTTAAATTCTCCATAATTTATTCCTATAGTATAATCTAAGTAGAGTGTTTCCATTCTTGGATAAGTTAAGGAAGGCCAAGTCTAGAAAGAATTGATAACCAATTACCTGGCGAATTGGGTCATACAGTCAACCTAGAAGAAATAGTCATATTTCTTATATCATCAAATAAAATGATAATTCAACTGGATATCTGGATAACTGGATTTCTATAAGTTTACATTTTATTAACAAAAAAATGCAGAAAAATCCCAGACTATTCAGTTAAAATATATAACAGAAAGTCTCTATAGCAAATTATGGTGGATTATTAAAAAGATAGCTGGTTTCATCAAAGATTCCAGGGGATAATTTAAATGTCTAGTTGGAAGTAAAGCTTATAGTTTTTAAAAATTTAATTAAACAAAAATGTGGATATATGTGTTGGCACAAAGATTGAAAATTGCAGTCTAATGTATAAATATAGATGTATAAAATAAAGATGAATGCTGCTGTATTGAATTGGAGGTAAGAACTAGATGGCAGGGATGTAGATATCTGTTTATTAAATTTGATTTACTTTAATATCATTGCTAATTTCCTTAAGAGGAGCAAATCACATGGATTACATTTCTGAATGATAGTACATTGGACAAAATCTCTATTTCAATAATGCCTGAAAAATCACAGAGTTAGAGATCTGCAGAGAATAGTGAAAATATACTTAAAAGTAGAAAATACGAAATGCAAAAATAAAGCTGTTTTTATTTTTAGATGACATGAATGTCTATGTAAAAAACCTTAAAATTCTACAAAAATCTTAGAATTTATGAGTTTAACAATGTCACAAAATACAAGGTCTACACACAAAAATCAATTGTATTCCCATAGCCAACAATGCACAATTAGAGTTTGAAATAAAAACATACCATTACAGTGGCACCAACAAAAATGAAATCCTTATGTAGAAATCTAACAAAATATGGACAATGTCTGTATGCTAAAACAACAAAAATTAATGAAAGAAAATATTAAGAACTCAAAATTAATGGGGAGACAAGATTGTGTTCATGGGTTTGAAGACTCAGGTAGTTAAGATGTCATTTCTTTCCAATTTGATCCGTAGATTCTACATAATTATGATCAAAATTCTAGCAAGTTATTTTACACATATTAACTAGCTGATTCTTAAATTATATGAAATTATATGACTTGGAAACAGCAGAACGATTTTGAAGCAGAACAAAGTTGAAGCACGCACATTATCTTATTTCAGGACTTACTTAATATAAAGCTACAGTAATGAGCATTACTACAGTAATGAGTCCAGCTTCCTGGGTGTCTGATCTGTCCAGTCACACAGGGCCGTGTGCTCAGAAGCACTCCATACTTGGCGTAATGCTTTACTGTCACAGTCTTGGGATTCTTAAAAATTTTTGAACACAGAGCATTACATTTTTATTTTGAATTGGGCCCCACAAATAATCTAGGTGGTCTTGCACAAAATAGACTAATACAAATATAATTAAATGATTTCTGACAAAGATATGAAGACAAACCTTCATACATTTGGTAAAGAATTGTGTTGGAAAAATTGGACCTCTACGTACAAGAAAATGATCTTTGACAACATACCTCAGACCCTATATAAAATTTAACTCAAAATGGATGATAGACCTAAATGTGTAATGCAAACCTATAGGATTTCTAGAAGAAAGCATAGGAGAAAATTGATGAGATCTTTGCTTGGGCAATTAGTTTTAGATACAATACCAAAAACATGGCTCATAAAAGAAAAAAAAAAGCTAAATTGGACTTTTCAAAATTAAAGAGGACTGATAAGAAAATAAAAAGACAAGCCACAGATTGGGAGAAAATATTTATAAATCACAGATCTGGTTAAAGGCTTGTGTCCAGGATATACATAAGTAACTCTTCAAACTGAACATTAAGAAAACAAATAACCCAATTTTAAAATGGTGGTGTATACACCTAGCATTCAATTCTGTTTTCAAGTATAGATCTTATTTCTTCTTTTTGATAAAACTTATCAGGCAAATGCTGCAGTCCAGCTCACTGTTTGTCCTACTTTATCGCAGTTTGTAAACTTTAGTTTTTTCTTCAATATATTTGCTTTCCACCTCTATCACTTTTACTCAATGCATTTAAATAATATTTATTTCTTCCTGTTGCAAGAACAACATGAGTATATTAGTTTGCTAGGGGTGACATAAGAAAATACCACAGACTGGGTGACTTAAACAGAAATGTATTTTCTCATGATTCTGAAGACTAGAAGCACAAGATCATGGTGCTGGTAGGGTTGATTTTTTCTGAGGGCTCTCTCTTTGGCTAGCAGGAGGCAGCCTTCTGCCTGTGTCTTCACACGGTCTTCCCTCTGTATTTGTCTGTGTTCAAATTTCTTCTTTTTATAAGGACACCAATCATGTTGGATTAGGGCCCACCATAATGACCTAATTTTAACTTAATTACCTCTTTCCAAATGCAGTCAGATTCTGGAACCTCTTTCCAAATGCAGTCACATTCTGAGATACTGTGAGTTAAGACGTCAGCATAAGAATGGCGGGGCACAGTTCAGACTATAACAATAAGCTTTTTATGTCTTGAGACGGCACTTAGGAAATGATGGTGGCATTTTCCTCCATCCAGGTTTCCTCACAGTCGTGTCAAAATATAGATCATAACATCATATCTGTAAAACATGGGCCCTGGGAAGAGACAGTGGCAGAAACAGTGCAATACATTCCTTAAATTCATTTCATTTTGTCCTAGGCATGAAGAATACTGCATGCTAAAACCTACTCCTAATACTACTAGTAATAGTACTCCTAAAACCTCATGCATGATTCTGTATGTCCTTTCCTAAATGCTGGAGGATGTCATTGCCCAGGGCAATCCCAGAAGCCATGTGCTGAAGATGGTGGAGCCCTCTTCAGCTTGGGTCTCTACTGTATGAAGCAGAGGGCCGCCCTCCCTCTACCCACCGGCCAGTTTGTGTCGTACTGTTTCATGAGCTAAGAATACACTTCTCTTGGTTTAACCATTGAGATATAGGGAGAGGTTTCTGTAGCAGTCATCTGCCAGGACTACTCAGATTAACTGAAGATTTTGATGAACAAATTGACAATGAATGAAACAACTTCAAGTCATTATCAAGGGAATAAATTACTTCAAGTGTATACAACATTTAGATGATTTTATGAATTTTGAGTCCACATTTTTAAAACAGAAAAGTTTCTGTAAAATTGGGCCCTGATATTAAAAAATGACTTGGCAGCATAGGTTCTCATGGGGGACGACAGCGTGTACTATTATTATTTACATTTTAGAGATGAGGAGACTGAGGCATGGAGAGCCTCATACAACTTTGCACTGCTGGTAAGAAGCTAGTGCAGCTGCAGAGGCTGGGCCTGCAAACCCCACACTGCACACTGCTTCTTATTGCTACAAGGCACTGTTAGACACTTCGTAAATTCTTGGATCTATTGACATATCAACAACTACACTCTTGTGGTTATTAAGACACCCAGGCATCCTTGAAAGAAGAACAAGTGATAATAACTTGAATTTTGTGTGATTAATCATTTTGTGCAAGCCATTCTAGCTTGAAATTGCTTTTCAATGATTCATTATCCATGAAGAACTGTGGTATATAGTTTGTTTCCACAGTTAAAGAAACTCTCCTCCAGATTCATCTGGAGAAGCTGGGTCTTCTTTTCCTGCAAATTGCTTCAGTGCTGCTAGCTCAGCATCACTTTCTATCCTTACTGCACATTCAAAACAAATGGGAATTTTAGAATTGTCATACAAAGACTGATTAGCAAAACTTAGTAATTCAAATGCAGTGCAAAGTCCCAGAGATATGTCAATCACAAACATCTTTAAGTTGTATTCAAACCTTGAATGAAGATTTATCTCTTACTAATTTTAATAAAATAATGAATCTAATATAATTCAGATAGAAACAACCCTCAGTAGCAAAGTACTCTGCCAACTTTCATTTATTCATCAAATATTTATTGCCCACTCATTCTGTGGTAGGCACTGTTCTGGGTACTTAGAATATATTCTTGGCAAAAGAAAGAGTCCAGATCTTATGGAACAAACTGCAAATGTTTTCCAGTGAATAATGCATTATAATGTCCCTGGAAGAATGTGGATTCCACTGGCCTTACATTTTTTTGCAAGAATGCCATGCACGGGGTATACACATGTAATGGCATGTCTAGGGAACATTACATTAGTGTGGGCCAACTTGATTCCAACCAGCAACACTCCTGGTAACCTGCATGTTGTCTTTAGGAAGATAAATCACCTCTAAGGCACAAAATATATTTTCCTTCTGGGGAGTGGAAGTATCAAAGGTCTGTGCCTTCCTTGGAGATAATCAGAAAGTTAAACTCTTCAGAAAGTTGGGTAAAACGTGGGTAAAAATGAGAACACTGGGAGGTTGTTCTGCTGCCAACCAAACCTAGAAATAGATCTACTGGTTTCTAAGATCTGGACTGTATCAGAGGCAGTCTTTTATCTAGGAGGGAAAATGGAGTAAGCTTGTGTGTTTCTCCAGGTGGAAAAATCAAGCAGTCTAACTGGCTTCTCCGGGACTCAAAGGACAGATAGGGGCCAGGGACAACCCAAGGCTCAGATACCTGCACCAATTGATTTCTGTGGCTCTGGGATAGCAGGGACCTTGAAGGGCAGTATATGCCTGAAGGCCTTCGACATCAAGATTCAATCTTGGGCCCAACATAGGTCCTTTTACCTCCCTCTGAGGATCATGTACTGGATCACACTTCTTCAAAGGACCATGCCCGCCCATGCCACAGCTGTCAAAGAAAACCTGTGAATTTGCAACAGGAGCCAGAATAACAGCTGATAATAGATACCAGAGGAGGGAAATAAGAGGAGCTTTGTGTTTAGATTGTATGTGTCCCTTGGGTTCTTTAAAAAAGCAGAGGAGGAAGGGGTGGTATGGAGGGTAGGAGATGTAGCTCAAAAAGCTATTGCTGAACTACCTATCAATCCATAAAAGGGAATTGAGCTGCTTTTAATTTATTTTGGGAACAATTTTAAAACACATGTAACATCTAGGAATCTCCAAAATTTGGGGATATTTAGATCGGTTAATATTTAAAAAGTAGAGAGAAAAATTAGCATTTGTTGAATCACTTCTGTATGTTGAGTATTGTACTAAATAATTTTATCTCCATAAATTTTTATCAGATTGATAATTCTTGAGTGCCAATGTTTAATTTATTTTATATTTGCCCTCATTCATTTTAAGACCCTGGGCCAGTATTTATCTATTCATCCATCCATCCATCCATCTTCCTGTCTATCTACATATGTATTTTTGATGTGGGCATTTGTGTGTGCATATCATAAATAACTAGAACTGTAGCTTTCTATTTGCTCAATAGAATTCTCATAACCAAATCTTGCAGAAGATGTTCATAGGGCCAAAAATATGCTAAAATGTTTTTCTAATTAATAAATAGTTATAGAAGGCTTTACTTTGCTAATATTATTTAAACTCTAAAACAATCCTGAGACTTAAGCCTTCCTAAAAAGCTAGGAAGTAATTTAGGTGACTTTGAATCCTACCCTGTATGGTTACAGTCATTACTGCCAGGTAAGGACTTATGAAAGAGGTGACATTAAATCTTAATTCTTTTAAAAAGGATAACTACATTCACTAACAAGTTCCTCTTGAGGTGCCTCCTGTATCTTTTGACCTTTGCTCACCATGTTGAGCTGCACTGATTTTCTTTCTGTTTCTCAAATAAGCCAGTCTTGTTACCTCAAAGGCTCAATTATCTTCTGGGAGTGTCTTTTCCTCAGATATTTAAGTGGTAGTTGGCCCAGTGTTTTCAATCAGATGTCCAATTAAATGCCCTCTTCTCAGAGAGGCCTTCCTTGAACACTGTCTTGATCCATTCAGGCTGCTATAACAGATTATCATAGACAGAGTGGGTAATAAACAACAGAAATTTGTTTCTCACAGTTCTAGAAGTTGGGAAATTCAAGATTTGATGTCTGGTGAGGGATTGGTTCATGGTTCATAGATGGCTGTCTTCTTTCTGTGTCCTCACGTGGTTGAGGGGTGAGGGAGCTCTCTGGGGCTTTTTTATAAAGGCACTAATTCCATTCATGAGGGTTCTTCCTTCATGACTAATCATCTCCCAAAAACCGCACCCCAAAATATCATCACACTGGGGATTAGTTTCCAACATGTGAATTTTGGGGAGGCATAAAGGTTCAGTATATAGCAATCACTCTGACTAGAATGATGTATCCTCCCCAATCTCATGGCCCTACTCACAAAACACAGTAGGTGTTCTGTAAATGTTTAGTTGTTAGCTCATTCAAAAAGATTGTGCTTGATATCATTTGAAAGCTAACATAAGCAACTTAGAAATACTCCATTCTGTAGCATTCAATGACTTTACTGATTCTGATTTTTCAACTAATCTCTGTTGGGTAATCTCTCCAGAATAGTCACTGTGTGTGTTTGCATGTGTGTACATGCACACACATTTTCTGGTGTGAGTTGAGGAGTATGGTAAGTGATAGAGTGAGAGAAAGGAATAAAATAGGTTATAATAAGATAAAATGCAAGGAAACTGATTTTCAGTACTGCTTCAGAAGTACCAAAGGAATATGTGGAATTATTATTGACTAGAAGTTATGTAGCAGTTTGTGTTACTACCTGACATTCTTAAAACTTGTTAATCAGTATGATTTAGGGCACTTGACCATTGGAAAACCAAAGTAAATATTTTGGGGATAGGTTTACTTAGCTTTTGTATGTTTCATAAATAATATTGTGATAAATGCCATTCAAACTTTTATATTCTGGTAAAATAAAATATGTTAAACAGAGTCTTATCCTAAAAGCTCTTATAAATAATATTTATCTTAATGCTATAGTGATGTATATAAGTAGTTCCATGAAACTGGCCTAGATGTTATTTTATAAATACCTATTAAAAACTAATGACTATCATGAAATATTAGTACAATATCTAGATACTTTTGAGTGATCAAGTCTTTTTCATATATTTGAGAAGAAACTAAACTTTAAAACCTACCTCTGGAGAAATATTTTGTTCTACTGAAAATTATAGAAAGGTAATATAATAGCCCTCAATTATAACAGCTATTACTAATAGCTATGTACTTTGTGCTAAGGTGCTTTAGTAAGCAATTTGCACCCATCATTTTTAATTTTCCTGTAACATTGATTCTTGGTGGAAAATAGAATTTCACTCAAATGGTTCTACTAAACAGACTTTATTGATGGGGACAGGGTTAAGGAAACCAACAAATGATACTGAGCTCCCAGAGCCTAGCAACAGTTGCAAACCACTATGATTTGAGAGTGCTTGAAAAGGGAAATCTCACCAGAATCCAATGAAAGTGGGAGCGCTACTGGAGGGTGTGCCTGACAAGAGCTGAGGTCCTAGACATATTCAGCCACTGTCTGAACTTCATGGTATAAAAGAAGCGGTTTTGCAGGGAGGAGTAAAGGAGAGAAATAACCCAGTTTCTCTCTTTTACTACCTTCTGATCTTCTATTGGTGCCTCAAAATAGGCTACACTAGCAAGGGACTCTATGGATGCAGTCCATCGGTGTCAGCTTACTGAGAAATAGATTAGGGCAGAGAAAGTGGAAACTGATTGGTCATCTCAAGGAATAAAAACTATGTTATAAACATGAAGACACTGGGCTCAGAGAAGTTAAGGAGTCTACCATAGATGGATTATAAATGGTAAGGTTAGGATCTGACCACATACCTCTATTCTTTCTATGATATCATTAGGATTAATTAACTCTGGATGAGGAAGAATAGACTTGCATGCAACAAGATGGACAATGGTGGACAGATTGAAAGAGGTGGTGAAGCTGAATTTCAGAAAAGAGACCAGGTAAATAAAAGATTGAGAAAAAGTCAGATCAATGGTATCCACTATGGCTCACTGAAAGAATGGTAAATGTTAATAATAAACAACTAACATTATGCAATAAATATGATGTTAAGTGAATGGGGAGAGGCTGAAGATGGCCTTTACTCAGCAGACTTCAAGATAGCCTTTCATAAACTGTTTGTCTGTGTTCAGTACAATCTGTCCTCCTCTTTTCCGTATCTATAAGTCCCTTCTCTGGCAGTGAGAAAATGGGTCTACCTATCCATAATGTATTTGCTTATTTACTCAGTCTCCTCTCTGTAACTCAACTCTTGGTCAAGCCAGGTGGAAACTTGGCTTAAGACTCCTTGCTGTGCCTTACCTCCTGTTGAACAGGCTGGCTGAGCCATAGGACGATTGAAGGAAGGAGATTGAAAGAGAAAGTTCAAGAATGCTTAGCTTGGGATATGCTATTCTCCTGCTCCTTGCGAGTGGCAGTGCCATCAAAAAATTTTGTCCGGAACCAAAAACCCTGCTTCACCCTCACCCTGCCCCATGTGGAAAGGCTTAATCCACAATAATTTGATAGTGAGTGAAGGGAATGTTTCCAATTAGCTAGGAATGGTCCCCTGAAATCTTTCAGGTATTGTACCAACTTCTCCTCCCCTTAATTATCTCAGACTTTTTGGCTGAAAATCTTTTAGTAACCAGCATTGCTGTTGCTGACTGAAATGAAATTTAGCTTTCAAGGCTGACTATTAATGTGTGTTTGCAAAGCTGAAGTATCAATTGGGATTTAATACTATAACTATTTAGGTATTAATTTAGGTTTAATACTATAACAGAAAAAAATCTCTCAAAGTAATAGTGGCTTATATAAGATGAAAATTATTTTACTTTCATATAAAAGAAAGCTGGAAATACATAAACTCATGTTAGTACTGCAGCACCACGGTATTAGACAGCCAAATTCTCTTCCTTCTATTTTACCATCCAAGGGTGTGGTTTCCTTCCTCTGGGACATCGCATGATCCATAACAGCTGGTAGAACTTCGGTCATCATGTCATCTGCAGAAGAAGGAATGGCATAAGTGAAAATAATTGGCTTCAACTAACTGTGGTGACTGTTGTCAAGTAAACTTCCTCAAGTACTGAAAA
Organism: Homo sapiens; assembly: GCF_000001405.40. Classification (NCBI taxonomy): domain Eukaryota; kingdom Metazoa; phylum Chordata; class Mammalia; order Primates; family Hominidae; genus Homo; species Homo sapiens. The sequence goes on from NC_000001.11 coordinate 78,592,284, forward strand.
ACTTCTACTGATATTCATTGACCAGAATTTAGTCATAGTTTCCCCACAGCTGCAAGGAATGTCGGGCAGTATACTTTTTTATTTCAGGTGACAATGTGCTTAGCTAAGAATCTATTGCGGAGGAAGAACGGTTAGGACAGGACTTTTCTAGTTTCTGCAAAAACTAATACTGGTCAAGCAATGTTGGAGAGCTTGGAAGCCACTGAACGAGAATAAAGGACACTCAGTAGGTGAGAATATTAAATAAGGAGAATACAGTCATGTGTTGCACAATGATGTTTCAGCTAAAAATAGACCGCATATATGACAGTGGTCCCATAAAAATATAATGGAGCTGCCTTTTCCTGTTGTATCATATTAAAATCTTTTATACCATATTTTTACTGTACATTTTCTATATTTAGATACACAAATACCATTGTGTCACAATTGCTTACTGTGTGCAGCACAGTAGCATGCTATACAGGTTTGTAGCCTAGGAACAATAGGCTACACCACATAGCTCAGGTGTGTAGTGGGCTATACCATCTAGGTTTGTGTAAGTATGCTCCATGATGTTTGCACAATGATGAAATCGCCTAAAGATGCATTTCTTAGAATGTATCTCTGTTGATAAGCAGCTCATCACTGTAATACAAACTCCTAATTTGATAGACAACTCTATTAAATTTTGAAGTCTGTTCTTGGTGTCAACATGTATTAAAAAATACATATGCTCTCCTCTTCAGTGGTCATGAGTTTATATGTAAATGGTCTTCCAGGAACTGACTGAGAAAGTAGCCTTCTCTCAAGAACAATAATACTCAGAGTAACAACTACAAGTGTCTATTGTGTACCTATTAAGTAATAATCCAATTTACTATTAAAATAATAGTTACAAATTAGTTTTAGTAAGTGCTGCCCCATTGATTTTGGAGTGATTTAATTCATTCTTAATCAATCTGATAGCATATTACCCTACTGTACTTAGACTCTCTATAACTAATGACAGGTTTCACATTTCATTTAATATTGAGCTTTAACAGCAGAAGAGAAAAAAAGAGAATAAGGTAATCATAGATCAGAATAAGGAGACCTATTTTAAATGTTTTAATACAATGATGTTAAAAACTGTGTATGTGATTTGGCAATGAGCACTCTTAAAGGGTTGAAGTGCTGGTATGTTCTTACTGAAAGCTGAATGGGATAGACATGATAAGGATATTCTTTTAGAGGGTCTGCCCACTCTGTCTTCCTTGGTATTCCATATGTCTCTCAGTTGAGTTATATAGAGGTTTATAGGTAGATTGAAGAAGCAGTTCATGGATGTAAAAAAGTAAAGGTACAGTGGTCCCCCTCACTTTTGGGGTGGATACATTCCAAGATCCTCAGCATATTCTGTAATTTTCTCTCTGTCTGTTTCACTCTTTCTCTCTGTCTGTTTCACTGTTTTCCTAAGATCCTTTCCAAAATAAACTGTCTGCTTTTAAGCCCTGCCTCAGGCTGTGATTTAAAGGAAACCAAACTAAGACATATATTTACAAGAAATGTTCTGCTTTTCTAAGTGTTATTAGACAATAACAATATCAAAATATCAACAACAGCACAAAAACAATGTTATTTGTCCCTTCTTACTCAGCCTTAGTTTTGGAATAAAACAAGGAGTAGAGGAGCTTAAATTGGAGAGATTAATTCCTACCTAAAGGAGGTAGTACAACCTAACCGTAGTCAATTGTTAATTTGTGGGAACAGGCCAGATCTTCTAATTTTTCAAAAGAAGCTTGAAATAGTGACAATTAAAGTTTTTAAAATTAAAAACAATCAGAATACAGTACTTTGCTTTCAGCCTAGATTCAGCCTTTGGATTACCAGTTATGATATAAAAGTACAATGTCATTAGCTGGCTTTGCTGTATGATAGCCAAATCATTTAATTACAAAGTACCTAGGAATAAATCTAACAAAAATGTGCAGGATCTAAATGAAAAACAAATCAAAACTCCAAAACCGCAGCCAAAACTTTATTGAGGAAGATAAAATAATATTTAAAAATTATAAAGATGTAAATTGTTCCTAAATTAATTGTTAAAATTAGCACAATACTAATGAAAATTACATTGGTATATATTGGGGAACCTCAAAAATTATTCTAAAGTTAATCTGGAAAACAGGTAAACAAAAATAGCCAAAGTTTTCAAAGAAAAGTAGAAGGGGACATCTGCCACAGCAGATAGTAAATTTATTACAAAGTACCATAATTAAAACCTTGTGGAACTGAGGCAGGAGAATAGGGCTTGGAGGCAGGGAACCTAAGACCAATTCACACTGACTTCCTCAAACTGAATCAAAAGGAAAACCCAACTTTCCACTCCCAAGTAACAAAAGGATCAGAGTCTACTCCCTTTGCAACCCCCTCCTTTATGCCATGTGGATGAAAATGGAAAGTACCTCTGACTGGCTCCCTCCCACAACCAATCAGACTGATCACAGGCCTAGTCTTCATCTGCATAGGGGTATAACTTTGCAGCTTCACTTCAGCCTCTGATTGGTCCCCTCCCAAAACCAATCTGATGTTTGCATAGGGGTATAATTTTGTAACTTCACTTCAGCCTCTGATTGGTCACCTTCTGCAACCACTTAGACTGGTTGCTGGCCACTACTTCATTTACATAGGGTGTAACCAAGTAACCAATGAGAAACCTCTAGTGGATATTTAAACCCCAGAAAATTCTGTAACCAGTGCTTTTGAGCCACTTGCTCAAGCCTGCTCCCACTCTGTGGAGTGTACTTTCATTTCAATAAATCTGTGCTTTTGTTGCTTCATTATTTAGTTGCTTTGCTTGTCCGTTTTGTCCAATTCTTTATTTAAAATGCCAAGAACCTGGAAAACTCATAATCAAGATTCTCCACTGGTAACAGAACCACAATGAGATACCACTTCACACAAACTAGGTTGAAAATAATAATAATAATAATAATAATAATAATAATAAAAAAACAAGAAAATAACAAGTGGTAGTGAGGATGTGAAGAAATTAGAGCCTTTGTACATTGCTGGTGAGGATGTAAAAATAACAATGTAAAACCGAATCTACTTTGGGAAACTGTTTGGAAGTTCCTCAAAAGGTTAAACATATAATTAGCATATGATCCTGCAATTTCATCTTTGGGTATATACCAAAGGAATTGAAACAGGTATTCAGACAAAAACGTGTACACAAATGCTTATAACAGCGCTATTCACAGTCACCATAAGGTAGAAGCAACTCAAATGTTCATCAACTGATGAATGGATTAACAAACGTGGCATATCCATACAATGGAATATTATTCAGACATAAAAAGAAATAAAGCACAGATACATGCTACAACATGGACAAACTTCAGAAACATGCTAAGTGAATGAAGCCATACACAGAAAGTCATATATTGCTGAATCTGATTTATGTGACATATCCATAGATTAGTAGTTGCCAGTGGCTGGGAGGTGTGAGGAATGATTGCCTAATGGATACAGGGTTTCCCTCTGGGGTGATGAAAACTAGGTTGGTGTGATGGTTGGACTACATTGCTAATGCATTAAATGCCACTGAATTGTATCCTTTAAACAGTTAGTTTTATGTTATATAAAGTTAGTCTCAAAGTTAAAAAAAAAAAGGCCCTGTATATGGTGCAGGAATAACCAGGTAGAAGAATGGAATATAATCAAATTTCCAGAAATTTATCATATATACATATAAATACTATTTGTTGGATTTAGTGCATCAAGCCAGTGAGGAAAATGATGGATATTTAAATAAATATATTGAGAACAATTTCATATGAAAAATAAAAATTAGTTTTTTACTTACCAAAATGAATTATAGGAAGACAAGGTTATATATAAGAAAACTAACAAAAATAGCCAACAGAAAATACAGTAAAAAATATAATGGAATACCTGCACCTGGGCAGAATAAAAAATGGGAAGAATTAGCAAAAGATAAGACTGATGGATTTGATGACATAAAAATAATTTTCAAGTATTTCCAAGCAATTTTAAAATTTTATTCACTTTTGTCCCCCAAGAATGGGGGAGTATCTCAGTACTGTCGAATGGGGGAGTATCTCAGTACTGTCATCATACATTTTATCATGCCTCTCTTGTATTTTAAAATACTCAGTGGTTTTATTTTGTCTACAGGAGAAATTCTACATTCCTTTGAATGTCATGAAAGTAATTTTATAATAAGATTACCCTTACCTCACAGGCACCCCCTCTTCCCACTCTGCCTCCTGTTCATGTTCACTATGGCAGTTCTGTTGTATAGGGCCAGGTGGCAAATACAACCTAATAATGAAAGTTACAAAGGAAATTTAATTCTTTTAAAACAGTGGGAGTCAAAATAAAATATAGAGACAAATCTCTAAATTTAACTTTTATTTTGGGAGGCAAGAATTGAAATTCAGGGCATACGCAGAATGGGTGTTCTTTGATATGTCTGAAGAACAAAGAAAAGGTTGGGAATCTTATTAGAAAGAGAAATGTTACATATTGTTTTGAAAGAAAGCTCATTAGCACTAGAGAAGCTCTTGGGAGCTGGCAAGCTGTGATTGGTGAGTGGTGATGGTAGGCAAAACTAGTAAGCGTCATGGCAGGTTTTTTCGGCAGCTACTAGGTAAAACTGGTCTTAGGATTACAGTAGACCATTTCAGGAGCTGGGCTTGTGGAAAATTTAATTCCGGGAGCAGATGGTATGCACCCTGAGTGCTAGTTTTTTTCCCTGGCCCTTCTACTCTGATTTAATTGGGTCTGAAAAAAATGATCCAATTTTTATAATCAACTTTCACACAACTTATGTAAAAAATTTGGAAATATTCACATAAATCTATCAGTCACTCTGCATTAATGACAGCTAGACAAGTTTGATTATTACATAAGATTCAGGACCCCAAATGACAATGAAGGTACAATATAGCAACAGCATTAAAGTAAGGACAAGCATCACTGCTAAAAGTGCTTCACAGGCCAGGCACAGTGGCTCACACCTATAATCCCAGCACATTGGGAGGCCAAGGTGGGCAGATCACTCGAGGTCAAGAGTTCAAGATCAGCCTGGCTAACATGGTGAAACCCTAACTCTACTAAAAATACAAAAATTAGCTGGGCGTGGTGGTGTATGACTGTAATTCCAGCTACTCAGGAGGTAGAGGCAGGAGAATTGCTTGAACTCCGGTGGTGGAGGTTGCAGTGAGCCGGGATTGGGCCACTGCACTCCAGCCTGGGTGACAGAGCAAAAGTGCCTCATTGCAAGGTATGCAAGTATGTCTTTACAAATATGTAAATATTTCTTAATAAATATAAGTATTATATTTGAAAATGAGCTAAGATTTCTGTCTAATGATTAGCCCTTCATCTGTAGGAGGAGATTTGACCAGGATGTGGGGGAACAGTGAGGAAGGCTGAGAACAATTCAAGTTTCTTTCAGTTGACAAACATCAGTCTACCCAGGCTTCAGGAGAACAGTTAGAAAACAAAACCGTATGTATCTATCTAAAAAAATTTGGGAATGAAAAAATACTATTATTCCAAAACCTCAGAGGCAGAGTCTACCTCTGGAAATTAGATATACCACCAAAAATATAGAAAACACTGGCATTCTGGAAATGATGAATTAATATAAAGTACAATGAAAGAGGAGGCTGAGATAAAAAGCTGAATAAAATAAACAAAAAACTGGAAATGAAATAGAAAGATTAAAAGCCACATTAGGGATAATAAACAGCAAAACTTATATTGGGGACAGTTTTATTAGAAATAATGGAGGTCAGATTTGATAAAATCTCCTAGAGTGTAAAGGAAAATGAATTAAGAGATTAAAGTGATGAAATAGTTAGTAAGAGAAATAGAAAAAAGAAAATAGAACTCCCACTGAAGAATTAATTGCAATCCTTAGGAAGTACTTTATAAAAGAACAAAATGTCCCTATGTAGTAAAATAAAAGGCCTCATTAAAAGGACTTATTATTTTCAAAGTAAAATTAATTTAAAAATCCATAGAAAGATACTCTGAATTTTTAACATTATATGTGAAAAAGAAATAAGCTTGTATGATAAAGGAAATGTGTTAAGCATCCAAACAGAGAGAAAGAAAGGAATAAGAAGGAAACCAAATTATTTACCTAAAAAGAGTACACATTTATGCTGGGGTAAGTTTTTTTTTCTCCCTCTGAGGTGAAATTGCTAGGAGACCTTGGGTCAACATTTACAGAATTTTGAAGGGGAAGGATATACTCAGATACACCATAGTACAGAGAATATTCTCCCAAAACAGGCTTCTTGGGAACGAAATACTTCAAGACATGCACAAGTTAATAGAGAAATAAATTAAGGTTTATGACCCAAGAATGAGGAATTTGCAGTACTAAAGGAATGGGATAAGCATAGAAAACATTTCAATAAAAATAAAATAGAAGCAATTATTGTCTGTTATTTAATTTTATTTATCTTTATTTTTTTGAGACAGGGTCTTGCTCTGTCACCCAGGTTAGAGTGCAGTGGTGCACTCACAGCTCGCTGCACCCTCGACATCCTGGTCTCAAGTGATCCTCAAACTTCAACCTACTGAGTAGCTGCAACAACAGGTGTGGGCCACCACACCTGGCTATTTTTATTTTTTATTTTTATAGCAATGGGGTCTCCCCATATTGCCTGGGCTGGTCCCGAATTTCTTGGCTCAAGTAAATTTCAAAAGTAGTTTTTAAATGAAAACACATGTAATATTGGAAATAATAATTTGATGTTAATGACATATTGAACTGCTTAGATTATATTTACAAACATAGAGGAGAGAGAACAAAAACTAAGTAAATTTTCATTTTACAAGGAGTGGGGTGAGGCAAATTCATCCTTTGATAATCAGAGAAATTATCATCTTTTTGTTTTTTAATATTAACGTAATTAGCAGCATTTAAAAGCAGGATGTATCTCTCCTAAATCACTGAGTAGATAGTGCTAAGAATATATAGTCTGTAATAAAATGCAAAAAAGTTGGGAGTATTTTTTTAAAAAAAGGAAATTCGAAATAAGTGGAGTTACATCAGTTAAAAAAAATAAACACAAATGGGTTAATCCTCCCTAATGCATAATGATAATCTCATATTGATTTAAAAAGGATAGTTCCACAATATGCTTCTTATAAAAGGCATATCTAATAAACTGACACAATCAGCTGTGTCACTATAGGTTGGTGCAAAAGTAATTGCGGTTTGGTTTTTGCCATTAAAAATAATTGCGGAAACTGCAATTATGTTTGCACCAAGCTATAGTCACACAGCTAATTAAAATAAAGGAACGATAAAAGATTATAAGGCAAGTAGAAAAAATCAGAGGAAGCAGTATTAGATTTCAAAGAAAGGATAATTCAAGGCAAATAATTAAGCAGGAAAATACCATATCAACAAGTATGGTTTACAATGACAGTATTAGTCATGAGTTATTTTAGTAGAATATATAAACTTGAAATATTTTTTGTAAAAATATGCTAGAAGTATACAGACAACTAGAGAGAAACAATATTTGTAGAACATTATAAAGCATTCAACTAATGAAACAAATTATATCTAAAGGACAGCTATTTCAATTAAGAAATTAATAATTTAGTAATTTATATACATTTAAAAAATAAATTATTAAGTAAGCTCACCTAAATAACTATTGGATATAAAATAAAATCCAAACTCAATTTCACACTATTTAGAGAAAACTAATATGAGGCTATGCTGTATGAAAACATGAAATGTATCCAAAGAGATACTCAAGAGCAAATTCAAGGCCTTAAATATTTAAATGGTTCAAACAGATAAAATTTAAAATGATTGATTTCATCATTTAACCACTGGAATTTGAAAATGAACAACAACAAAAAATCTTGAAAGTACTGTGGACTAATGGAAAAATTCTGCAGGAAAGATAAAAGTAATCTCATTTCGAAAGCTCAGAGGAAGAGCATAATGACAAAAGCTATACACTTAGGAACCTGACGATAATTGATTGTTTGGTTTCCTATCACACATGAAGAATGACTTTTATGTCAAAAGAGTATAGAGCAAATAAAAAATTAAAAAAATTAAAAACCTAGAAAATAGATGAAACAAGAAAATTGATAAATTTAAAAATTGATTGTTTTAGGGAAACCCAATAATCTAAAACATAATTGGGATAAAAAGATGAAAATTAATAAAATAAATAATGAGAACTCAAATACACTAACACATGTCTAAATTTGTTTTTAAATAAGAACATACTGTACATGACTCCATCCTAACAATATTACAAACTGGGCAAAATTGATTATTTTTCTTTATCTCAATTTCTCCTATCTCACCATACATTGTATAAATAGAATTTAACTAGTCTTTTATAATGGCACAGACTGAATTAGACTTCAGAATCTAGACTCTATTACTATTTTACTGTCAAAACATTGTTTGAAATATCATTTAGTTGTTTTTTTCTCCATTTCCTTTCTTTAATAATAATTTTATATTCTACCTATCTATCTGATTATCTATCAGCTATCTTTAACCTCTTCTTTCAAAGAATGTTATACACACAAGCCTGCCAATATTTGTAAAGCTCTTTTAAGGTTCCTGGAAGCGTTCACTAACTCTTAAGGTAGAAATAACTTGGAGTTTCATTGTAAACACTCAAGTGTACACCTATTTTTGTAAGGTATCAAACCATCAGCATAAATGTATCTGGCCTTATAGTTTTCCTAAAATGTATTATGCCTCAGCCATCTTAGCTGGGTATCTGGGTTAAAATTTAGCTTCTCAGTGAGACACCCAAGCTTCATTTGAGCTCAGCTTTCCAAAGGCCATAAATTATGAAAGGCAAATAATAACTTCTTAATATTTCCAATGAAGTTATCAGCTACAAAAGTATAGCAACGGAATAGGGCATAGGAAATGAGTAGGCTCTTTGTATATTAATAGAAATAACATCTGTTGGCTCCCAATCCCTGCACTCTGTGTTCCTCAAAACAGGTGCTTAATTTTCCTGCACTAATCATCATGTGTAAATTGTAACACAATATCATCTCCATGAGAAATACTATCCTTCCTTTTAACAAATATTTGCTAACACCTTTCAATATCTCCTAATTTTAGAAGCTACATACTAAAACTACACATTAATCATTAAACTCATGGCAACAGAGTGTCCAATATTACTTTCATAAAAGTAGAAAACAATGGAAATTTGAAGCCTATATGGGGTATTATTAATTTAATAACACCTGGCAGCTTTAAGCATAAATTAATTTTTCCTTGTTCTTTTATAAAACTAAAAATCATTGATTAACACAATATGAATACATCTTTCTTTGATTTATTTTGGCTTAGGCAGATCAGTTAGACTCTTTGGAACCATTTTCTCTCATATATAAAGTGAGAACAACATTATTTACCTCCTGGATTGCTCAATATTTTAATAAATCATAATGATACATAATATATAAATATATGGCCATTATTTCCATTGGTGAATTCTGTACTGCTTCTTGTGGTTGTCTGACTATTAGTGAAGGGTAAGATCAGAATTGTAACAATAAGGGAACTCTCGGTCTGGGTGTAGGGAAGAGTCTATTCAAAGATGCACACGTGTAAAAATATGGTGTTTTAGAAATATCGTATCATTGGAGCTTAGGGTGGAATGTAGTTAAAGATTAGTCTGAAGATTCTTGGAGAACCTGGGCCTTACTGAATTTGTATCATTCTGAAAGCATCACCAAACTATTTTAGAAAGGAAAATCATGTAAGATTTGCATTTTAGAAAGATGCCATGCCTCTCACAGCAGTGAGTAAAATGTATTGGAGGGACTGTTACTCTTGCCTAGTTGAGGGCAATGGTCTGATCCACTGATGAGTCCAGTGATGATCCCAACAGGGACAATGTCAGTCAGTATAGAGAGGGAAGGACAGAACAGAGAGCTAATGCTTAGGAGACAGATTACCAGGACTTGGTGACAATTATATTTAGGGTGCAAGGAAGAGGGAGGAATAAAATTTAATTCCAATGCCATCGATTTAGGTACACTAGGTGGAAGCCTATACTACTCAAGCTAGAGAACAGAGGAAGGTCAGGTTTAGGGAAGAAAATGGTGAGTTTTAAGTGCCTTATATCATTAGAGATAAAGTTCATATTTCCAGTTGTCAGCTAAACACAACAGTCTGGAGTTTAGTTGGGAGGACTGTACAAGTGTAACATAGCAGCTTTGAACATATAGGCTTCATATGGCTTCAGTTAAGCCATGGAAATGAATGGGGTTTCTTAAGTCCAAGGAACATGCTCTTCGGGATGTTGCTAGTACTAGTTAGGCAGAAGATAAAATACTGATGTCAATGATTCATTTTAAAATAATGGAGGTGTATAATTTTTCAAAGGTAGCACACAGACATTAGGTGCCAGATTAATGCTGGATCTTATTATTTAATGAAGATGTTTCATTCTAGGAGTGTCAATTGGGAATTGTACTCTGCTGCATAAAGTAAACTAAATTATCAGTGGTTAACTTAAAAAAGTCCTAAAATAGAATCAAACATTTATGAAATCATGAGAGAAAGACCTCTAAATTTAAGATAAATAATGAAATGGAAACTATTCCAAGAGTTAGTGAGTTGGGCTACTTTCACCAAGGTTAATTACTTTATATAGAAGGAAAAAAAGTAATATTTCTATTTTGAGAAACAATAGTAAGAATTGTGGAGTATAAAAAACTAATTTCTAGATACTTTGAAATTTGAAGCAAGGTATCAAGTATAGTCAAATGAATATTATACGATAAAAAAATTGAGAATCTGGAGAGTGTCAGTGCCAATAAAATGGAATTATAAAGGATCTTTAGCTTTCATAAATTGGTCTTTTTTTTGGGAAAAGAATAAACATTTTTACACAATGTTGTGTATATAACCTATATGCAAAACTGAATTTTTCTGAATAAGTTCTATGACAGACTATACTTCATCAATCCTAGCTGTAGGATTGTATAAGTCAGAAATAATATTACTGACTAGGATTTAAGGAATTTACAGAGAATGACCACAAAAGATACTTAGATGTAATGTTTTCACTGCGCATATAAAATGCCAGAGATTTTTGAGGATACCAAAAACTAGATTTTTGACTGATATTTCAAAGCTATTGGCTAATATGTGGTCTGAAAGTACTATAATCCAATGGTTATAATGATATTGTTCCTTCCTTTTTTTTGTCAGTATGTGTGATCTTATTCCAGTGTGTCTGAGCATGCATATTTTACATCCAAATGGATTCAATCCTACCTGGATGCAAACATTAAAAAAAATCTGTTGCATAATGAAAAACTCTCTGGAGATTTAAGTACTTATGCCTACCATCACACTGATCAGATTCTATAATTTAAAAATATTTGTATAAATGTATTTTCAAGATCTGTCTCTTGCATTAGATGGAAGCTCTGTGATGACAGGGACTATATATATATATATATATATATTTTTTTTTTTCCAGCACTCTCTCTTTGATGCTTAGCTCAGTCGTAACAAAGCACATAAGAGATGGTCCATAAAAATTTGTAAATTAATAATAATGAAAAAACAGTTTTGAATTTTCTCTGTTCATCCCTGCCACTCATTATCATCTGTTACTTCATTTCTTGACGTTCAAGGATAAAGTTTAGATATACTGAGATATAATGCCAGATAGCAAGAACTATATGAATAAAACAAAGAGGTGCTATAAAATGTGATTTTCTAGGAACAGAGTAAGAAGTCATGCTTGATCAATATTATTCTCTTAATATTATATTTAATTTTTTGGAAAGTTTTGAAGAGATTTGAAAGCTAAAACTTCGATGATTTACTGCAGTGAACATGCAAGATGGGATTTATATTTGTTGATTGGAAGTAAATGGCACTGTGTGGAACTAAAGAGTCTAATGCAAGTCCTACTGGCCCTAAAGAATTATTTTCAACACACTTGGTGTTTTCTAAAACACACTATTTATCACTAAATTGAAAATCAGACTTCAAGTAATAGGAGAAACTTTTATTTATATACATATGTCTTATCATTCTATATCTTTCCATTTTTGAACACTTATAGGGAACATTGTTTTCTGATCTGGTAGAATCTGAATGCTTTTCTTTAATTTCAAGAACTAAATGATTTCATGGCCATTTTAAAGAAAGAAAAGAGAATTTTATTTATAATTCTTCTAAGGTTTGTTATTTAGTAGTGTTTATGTCCTCCCCAAATTTATATGTTGAAATTCTCACCACTAAAATGATATTAGGAGGTGGGACCTTTGGGAGTTAACTAGGCTATGGAAGCAGAGTCCTCATGAATGAGATCAATCCCCCTATAAACGAGGCCCAAGTGAGACCCCTGGCCCCTTCCACCATGTGAGATTAGAGTGAGAACACATCTGTCTGTGAGGACGTGGGCCCTCACCACACACGGAATCCACCAGCGCCTTGATCCTAGACTTCCCAGCCTCTAGAACTATGAGAAATAAATTTCTGTTGTTTATAGGCCACCCAGTCTATGGTATTTTGTTAGCAGCCTGAGAGGACTGAAGGGACAAAGACCAACCTAAATGTAAACATGGCAACGTATTTCTCTGAAATCTGTCTCTGTCTTGTCTCTGTCTTTCTTTCTCTCTGTCTCTCTCTCTTCTCCTCTTCTCATTATTTCACATTCTGACTAAAATTAAAATGTGATTTTTTTTTTTTTTTTGAGACAGTGTCTTGCTCTGTTACCTAACCTGGAGTGCAGGGGTACGATGAAAGCTCACTGCAGCCTCAGTCTCCCAGGCTCAAACTATCCATCTGCCTCAGCCTCCTGAGTGGCTGGGATTACAGTCATAAGCCACCATGCCTAGCTATTTTTTTTTTAATTTTTATTTTTAGTAGAGATGAGCTCTTGCTATGTTGCCTAGGCTGGTCTCAAACTCTCGAGTTTAAGTGATTCTCCCACCTCGGCCTCCTAAAAGTGTTGGGATTACTAGTATGAGCCACCGTGCATAGCCTAAAATGTGGATTTTAAGAAGTATTTTTCTTTAATTAAATCAGAAAGTGAAGTTATCTGGTAAGAATGATATTTAATTGGTCTCCAATTCCAGTTTAGAGAAATCTTCATTTATTTTACCAAACTGGTTTGTTACCAGGATTGACTTGCTTTATCAGATTAGTGGAGAAAACAAATCTAATTTGGGCAAACAACGAGTATCTGCCTCATTTAAAAAAAAAAAAATCAAAGTTTTGGTTTTTGAGCTGGCTTCAAAAGTGTTTTCCGGGTGTGGTGGCCCATGGCTGTAATCCCAGCACTTTGGGAGGCTGAGGCGGGTGGATCACCTGAGGTCAGGAGTTCATGACCAGCCTGGCCAACATGGTGAAATCCCGTCTTTACTAAAAAACTACAAAAATTAGCAGGGTGTGGTGGTGGTGGGCACCTGTAATCCCAGAGACTTGGGAGGCTGAGGCAGAAGAATTGCTTGAACCTGGGAGGTGGAGGTTGCAGTGAGCCAAGATCATGTCACTGCATTCCAGCCTAGGTGACTCTGTCAAAAAAAAAAAAAAAAAAAAAAGATAGGCTGGGTGTAGCGGCTCATGACCGTAATCCTAGCACTTCGGGAGGCTGAGGAGGCTGGCAGATAATGTGAATCCATGAACCCAGGAGTTCAAGAACAGCCTGGGCAACATGGTGAGACCCCATCTCTACAAAATATAAAAAAATCTTAGCTGAGTGTGATAATGAACGCCTGTAGTCCCAGATACTTGGGAGGTTAAGGTGGAAGAATCAATTAATCCCAGGAGGTAGAGGATGCAGTGAGCCAAGATCAGGCGACTGCACTCCAGCCTCGGCAACAGAGTGAGACCCTGTCTTAAAAATAGATAAATAAGTAAAACAACTAAAACATAATCTCTTTTCAGGTAATCTGTTTTACATAAATATTAGCATTGGGTCAGGTAATCTAAAAACGGACAAAAAATAGTTTCTTATCCCTGACAACTTACTACTCTCTGGGGAGAGAAATGAGACAAATATTCTGCCTACAAGGCAGAAGTTAAACTGGTTAAACTGTACTCTATTTTTAAAGCAATGGCTGTTTCAGAGCATGTTAGGTTGTGGGGGTAGAGGAGTGACACACTGCACATTATCTAACTGCTGGAGTTTTCAAACAGCAGCTCAAGGGTAGAGAGAGGGAAGGAGAAGATAAATGGGATGAACAAATCATGCAGTGAAAGGCCCTCTTAAGGAGCTCTTGAACGCTCCCATGTCCAACAGCCGATTGAGAAATGTCACATGGTTGTTCAACATCTAACTTTGTATGTCCAAAATGGAACTTTTGGGTCCCTGTGCCAAATATGATCTTTCCTGAGTTTCCCTTTGGTTCAGAAAATGACACCTCCATACAAATAGTTGCTTAAGCCAAACAGCTAGGAGTTGTTCTTTGTTTCTTTCTTCCTGCCAGTCCCATACATAAACAACCTGCATGTTTTCCTGGCTTTCCCTCCAAAACATTAATTTTACTATTATTTGGATTCAAATTACTTTGTTCTTGAATATATTATTTTACCAAATCAAATGAAATGAATATCACTGAGTTTCTACTATATGTTTACTTTATGAGGTATGAGGCATTCAGTACATTTGTGTAAAACAAAAGATTTGTGGAATCTAGTTTAATAAGTCAGATAAAAATATTGTGATCTATTAAAATGATTGTCTAAATTTAACAGAAAGTTAATAGGGATGAACAAAGTCTTGCAATGCAGATTGTACAGATGGTTTAAATATAACTTCCAGAAAAAAATCATCTGTGGATATTAACCAACTGCCAGTTTAAGCAAAGTCTGTGATAGGATATAGCTGATAAAAATACTTCAGTTGACTTAATAGGAGTGTATACTCTGTACAAAACAAAAGAATTTGGTCCTGAGAGAGCAATAACAAAGGCTAGAAATTACAAAAGGTAGATTTAAATATTATGTTAGAATGCACTTTCTAGCAATCAGGTAGTTTTTGGAGAAACATTCCAGTACTCGTTGGATGACCATTTTCAGGATAATTGTAATGAAGCTTCATGCTTTATATTATATTCTATAGATTTACAGACAAAGATTTTCAGAAGAGTGTGCCTTGCTGAGCCTTTTGAAGAAAAATTAGTAAAATGCATCAGAACACCAACAAGAGAATCTAGAAAATAGTCCTTGTAAATAAAGGAATGTAGCAAGAGAACCCCCTTGTGGCCAGAGAAGATTTTTTTCCAAATGACTTTAGATTTTAAAAATCTTAGACCCAGTACACTTGAATTGTGAGTTAATTATACCATATTCACTAATTTGATTTGATCATATTTGTTTGTTTTTGTTTGCTTTTCTCTCCTCTCTTTTTAAAAACAATTTATTGGTCACTGCCAAGATGGCCGAATAGGAATAGCTCTGGTCTGCAGCTCCCAGCGAGATCGACACAGAAGACAGGTGGTTTCTGCATTTCCAACTGAGGTACCTGGTTCATTTCAATGGGACTGGTTGGACAGTGGGTGCAGCCTACAGAGGGTGAGCTGAAGAAGAGGGGGGCATTGCTTCTTGCAGGAAGTGCAAGGGGTCGGGGAATTTCCCTTTCCTAGCTGAGGGAAGCCGTGACAGACTGTACCTGGAGAAATGGTACACTCTGACCAAATACTGCACTTTTCCCACAGTCTTAGCAACCAGCAGACCAGGAGATACCCTCCCATGCCAGGCTCGGTGGGTTCCATGCCCATGGAGCCTTGCTCACTGGTAGTGCAGCAGTCTGAAATTGACCTGCTACGCTGCAGCTTGATGGTGGGGAGGGGTGTCCGCCATTGCTGAAGGTAGCTCACAGTGTAAACAAAGAGGCCAGGAAGCACGAACTGCTTCTGCAGCTCAGTAAGGCCTACTGCCTTTATAGATTCCACCTCTGGGGGCAGGGCATAGTAGAACAAAGGGCAGCAGATAGCTTCTGCAGACTTAAACTTCCCTGTCTGACAGCTCTGAAGACAGCAGTGGTTCTCTCACCATGGCATCTGAGCTTGGAGAACAGACAGACTGCCTTCTCAAGCGGGTCCTGGACCCCCGTGTAGCCTGACTGGGAAACATCTCCCAGTAGGGGCCGACAGACACCTCAAACAGGAGGGTGCCCCTCTGGGACGAAGCTTCCAGAGGAAGGATCAGGCAGCAATATCTGCTGTTCTGCAGCCTCCGCTGGTGATACCCAGGCAAACAGGGTCTGGAGTGGACCTCCAGCAAACTCCAACAGACCTGCAGCTGAGGGACCTGTTAGAAGGAAAACTAACAAACAGAAAGGAATAGCATCAACATCAACAAAAAAGACATCCACACCAAAACCCCATCTGTAGGTCACCAACATCAAAGACCAAAGGTAGATAAAACCACAAAGATGGGGAGAAAACAGAGCAGAAAAATGGAAAATTCTAGAAAACAGAGCACCTCTTCTCCTTCAAAAGATCGCAGCTCCTCTCCAGCCAGGGAACAAAACTGAGTGGAGAATGAGTTTGACAAGTTGACAGAAGCAGGCTTCAGAAGGTCGTGAATAACAAACTTCTTCGAGCTAAAGGAGCATGTTCTAACCCATTGCAAGGAAGCTAAAAACAAGCTTCAATAGCTGATTCGATCAAGTGGAAGAAAGAATATCAGTGATTGAAGATCAAATTAATGAATTAAAGCGAGAAGACAAGATTAGAGAAAAAAGAGTTAAAAGAAATGAACAAAGCCTCCAGGAAATATGGGACTATGTGAAAAGACCAAATATACATTTGATTGGTGTACTGGAAAAGTGACTGGGATAATGGAACCAAGTTAGAAAACACTCTTCAGGATATTATCCAGGAGAACTTCCCTAACCTAGCAAGGCAGGCCAACGTTCAAATTCAGGAAATACAGAGAACACCACAAAGATACTCCTCGAGAAGAGCAACCCCAAGACACATAATCGTCAGATTCACCAAGGTTGAAATGAAGGAAAAAATGTTAAGAGCAGCCAGAGAGAAAGGTCGGTTTACCCACATAGAGAAGCCCATCAGACTAACAGTGGATCTCTTGGCAGAAACTCTACAAGCCAGAAGAGAGTGGGGGCCAATATTCAACATTCTTAAAGAAAAGAATTTTCAACCCAGAATTTCATATCCAGCCAAACTAAGCTTCATAAGTGAAGGAGAAATAAAATCCTTTACAGACAAGCAAACACTGAGAGATTTTGTCACCATCAGACTTGCCTTCCAAGAGCTTCTGAAGGAAGCACTAAACATGGAAAGGAACAACTGGTACCAGCCACTGCAAAAACATGCCAAATGGTAAGGACCACTGACGCTATGCTATGAAGAAACTGCATCAATTACGGAGTAAAATAACCAGCTAACATCATAACGACAGGATCATATTCACACATAACAATATTAACCTTAAATGTAAATGGACTAAATGCCCCAATTAAAAGACACAGCCTGGCAAATTGGATAAAGGGTCAAGACCCCTCGGTGTGCTGTATTCAGGAGACCCATCTTACGTGCAAAGACACAAACAGGCTCAAAATAAAGGGATGGAGGAAGATCTACCAAGCAAATGGAAAGCAAAATAAAAAGCAGGGGTTGCAATCCTAGTCTCTGATAAAACAGACTTTAAACCAACAAAGATCAAAAGAGACAAACAAGGCCACTACATAATGGTAAAGGGATCATTCATCAAGAAGAGCTAAATATCCTAAATATATATGCACCCAATACAAGAGCACCCAGATTCATAAAGCAAGTCCTTAGAGACCTACAAAGAGACTTACACTTCCACACAATAATAACGGGAAACTTTAACACCCCACTGTCAATATTAGACAGATCAACAAGACAGAGGTTAACAAAGATATCCAGGACTTGAACTCAGCTCTGGACCAAGCGGACCTAATAGACATCTACAGAACTCTACACCCCAAATCAACAGAATATACATTCTTCTCAGCACCACATTGCACTTATTCTAAAATTGACCACATAATTGGTAGTAAAACAATCCTCAGCAAATATAAAAAACAGAAATCACAACAAAGTGTCTCTCAGACCACAGTGCAATCAAATTAGAACTCAGGATTAATAAACTCACTCAAAATTGCACAACTACATGGAAACTGAACAACCTGCTCCTGAATGACTTCTGGATAAATAACGAAATGAAGGCAGAAATAAAGATGTTCTTTGAAACCAGTGAGAACAAAGACACAACGTACCAGAATCTCTGGGACACATTTAAAGCAGTGTGTAGAGGGAAATTTATAGCACTGAATGCCCACAAGAGAAAGCAGGAAAGATCTAAAATCGACACCCTCACATCACAATTAAAAGAACTAGAGAAGCAAGAGCAAACACATTCAAAAGCTAGCAGAAGGCAAGAAATAACTAAGATCAGAGCAGAACTGAAGGAGATAGAGACACAAAAAACCCTTTGAAAAATCAATGAATCTTGGAGCTGGTTTTTTGAAAAGATCAACAAAATTGATTGACTGCTAGCAAGACTAATAAAGAATAAAAGAGAGAAGAATCAAATAGATGCAATAAAAAATGATAAAGGGGATATCACCAACGATCCCACAGAAATGCAAACTACCATCTGAGAATACTATAAACACTTCTACACAAATAAACTAGAAAATCTAGAAGAAATGGATAAATTCCTGGGCACATACACCCTCCCAAGAATAAACCAGGAACTAGTTGAATCTCTGAATAGACTAATAACAGGTTCTGAAATTGAGGCAATAATTAATAGCCTACCAACCAAAAAAAGTCCAGGACCAGATGGATTCACAGCTGAATTCTACCACAGGTAGAAAGGAGAACTGGTACCATTCCTTCTGAAACTATTCTAATCAATAGAAAAAGAAGGAATCCTACCTAACACATTTTATGAGGCTAGCATCATCCTGATACCAAAGCGTGGTAGAGACACAACAAAAAAAGATAATTTTAGGCCAATATCCCTGATGAACATTGATGCAAAAATCCTCAATAAAGTACTGGCAAATCAAATCCAGCAGCACATCAAAAAGCTTATCTACCAGGATCAAGTGGGCTTCATCCCTGGGATGCAATGCTGGTTCAACATACGCAAATCAATAAACGTAATACATTGCATAAACAGAACCAATGACAAAAACCACATGATTATCTCAATAGATGCAGAAAAGGCCTTCGACAAAATTCAGCAGGGCTTCATGCTAAAAACTCTCAGTAAACTAAGTATTGATAGAATGTATCTCAAAATTATAAGAGCTATTTATGACAAACCCACAGACAATATCATACTGAATGGGCAAAAGCTGGAAGGATTCCCTTTGAAAACTGGCACAAGACAAGTATCCCTTTTCTCACCACTCCTACTCAACACAGTGTTGGAAGTTCTGACTAGGGCAATCAGGCAAAAGAAAGAAATAAAGGGTATTCAATTAGGAAAAAAGGAAGCCAAATTGTCTCTGTTTGCAGATGACATGATTGTACGTTTAGAAAACCCCATTGTCTCAGCCCAAAATCTCCTTAAGCTGATAATCAACTTCAGCAAAGTCTCAAAATACAAAATCAATGTGCAAAAATCACAAGCATTCCTATACACCAATAATAGACAGCCAAATCATGAGTTAACTCCCATTCACAATTACTACAAAGAGAATAAAATACCTAGGAATCCAACTCAAGGGATGTGAAGGACCTCTTCAAGAAGAACTACAAACCACTGCTCAGCAAAATAAAAGAGGACACAAACAAATGGAAGAACATTCCATGCTCATGGATAAGAAGAATCAATATCATGAAAATTGTCATACTGCCCAAGGTAATTTATAGATTCAGTGCTATCGCCATCAAGCTACCACTGACTTTCTTCACAAAATTGGAAAAAAAAACTACTTTAAAGTTCTTATGGAACCTGCATAGCCAAGAGCCTGCATAGCCAAGACAATCCTAAGCAAAAAGAACAAAGCTGGAGGTATCATGCTACCTGACTTCAAACTATACTACAAGGCTACAGTAACCAAAATTGCATGGTACTGGTACCAAAACAGATATAATAGGCCAGTGGAACAGAACAGTGGCCTCAGAAATAACACCACACATCTACAATCATCTGATCTTTGACAAACCTGACAAAAGCAAGCAATGGGGAAAGGATTCCCTATTTAATAAATGGTGCTAGGAAAACGGGCTGGCCATATGTAGAAAGCTGAAACTGGAACCCTTCCTTACACTGTATACAAAAATTAACCCAAGATGGATTAAAGACTTAAATGTAAGACCTAACACCGTAAAACACTTGAAGAAAACCTAGGTAATACCATTCAGGACATAGGCATGGGCAAAGACTTCATGAGTAAAACACCAAAGCAATGGCAACAAAAGCCAGAATAGACAAATGGGATCTAATTAAACTAAAGAGCTTCTGCACAGCAAAAGAAACTATCATCTGAGTGAACAGGCAACCTACAGAATGGGAGACAATCTTTGCAATCTACCCATCTGACAAAGGGCTAATATTCCAGAATCTACAAAGAACTTAAACAGATTTACAAGAAAACAAACAAACAACCCCATCAAAAAGTGGGTGAAGGATATGAACAGACACTTCTCAAAAGAAGACATTTATGTGGTCAACAGACATATGAAAAAGTGCTCATCATCACCGGTCATCAGAGAAATGCAAATCAAAACCACAGTGAGATACCATCTTACGCCAGTTAGAATGGCGGTCATTAAAAAGTCAGGAAACAACAGATGTTAGAGAGGATTTGGAGAAATAGGAACACCTTTACACTGTTGGTGGGAGTGTAAATTAGTTCAACCATTGTGAAAGACAGTGTGGTGATTCCTCAAGGATATAGAACTAGAAACACCATTTGACCCAGTGATCCCAGTACTGGATATACACCCAAAGGATTATAAATCATGCTACTATAAAGACACATGCACACGTATGTTTATTGTGGCACTATTCACAATAGCAAAGACACTTGGAACCAACCCAAATGTCCATCAATGATAGACTGGATTAAGAAAATATGGCACATATACACCATGGAATACTATGCAGCTATAAAAAAGAATGAGTTCATGTCCTTTGCAGGGACATGGATGAAGCTGGAAACCATCATTCTAAGCAAACTATCACAAGGACATAAAACCAAACATCACATGTTCTCACTCATAGGTGGGAGTTGAACAATAAGAACACATGGACACAGAGCGGGGACTATCACACAGCGGGGCCTGTCGGTGGGTAGGGGGCTGGGGGAGGGATAGCATTAGGATATATACCTAATGTAAATGACGAGTTGATGGGTGCAGCAAATCAACATGGCACATGTATACCTATGTAATCTGCACGTTGTGCACATGTACCCTAGAATTTAAAGTATAATAAAAAAAGAAAAAAATTATTAAAATATAACACATATACAGAAAGCAATACAAATCATAAACTTACAGCTCCATGAATTATCACAAATTGAAACACCACTGTAATCAGCACACAGGTAAAGAATAAGAATATTATTAGCGTTCAGGATGTTCACCTTGTTTCCATTTCTAGTCACTACCCCTGCAAAAATAGTCGCTATTCTAATTTTTAACACCATAAGTAGGTTTTGACTATGCTTGAACTTTGATAAATGGGGTCATATGGTGCGTATTTTTTCTCATCTGGTTTCTTTCACTTAACATTATGTTTGTGGGATTCATCTGTACAGATTGTGTGTATATATGGTTCATTTATTCTCACTGCTCTACAGTATTCCAGTTGTGAATACACGATAATATATTTATTTGTTCCATTGTGCATTTGAATAATTTTCACTATAAAATAAGGCTGCTATGAACACTTTTGTACATGTCCTGTGACAAATTTGCATATGATTATGCATAAATGGGAGTAGAATTACTGGAGCATGAGGTACACAGATGTGCAGCTTTTGTTAATATTGCTTTCCAGTTTGTAAAGTAATTGTACCAACTTGTATTTCTACAGCCAGAATTTCCGCTGTGCCACATTCTAGTTAAAACTTGGTTGACCTTTCTGATTTTAGTCAATATTGCAGGTGAGTAGTGGTATCTCGTTGTAGTTTTCATTGTCCTTTTCTTGATTACTGATGAAGTTGAATACTTTTATATATGTATATTGACTATTTCTGAAGTACCTAATTTTTCTATTGTTTGTCTATGTTGATTTGCAGTTGTCCTTTAAGTAGTCTGAAGTTCTCTGTTGAATATAGGAATGGGAAATATCTTCTTTAACTTTGCAGGATTTTATTTTAAGTTGTGTGTCTTTGATAAGAAGTTCTTAATTTTCAAATTTTAATTTTATTATTTTAAGGGGTTAGCACCTTTTTGCCTTTAAGAATGCTCTGTCTACGCCAAAGCCTGGAAATGTTCTAAAACTTTTAATTCTAAAAGTATGATTGTTTTACCTTTCACATACAAGTTTGCAATCCATTTGGAATTTATTTTTAAGTATGGTATGAGGTATGGGTCAAAATTAATTTGTCTTCTGTGCCTATCAACTGACCTAGAACCATTTATTGAGTGGTTTCTCCATTTTCTCCATTGTATTCCCATGTCTTGTTTGTCATTAATCAGGTGATAGTCTATGTGTGAGTCTGTCTCTGGGCTCTATTCTGTTCAATTGGTCAATTTGTCTCTCTTTGCGTTAATAACATAGCATCTAATTGTCTTAATCTCTCCTGGCTGCTATGACAGAATATGATAAACTAGGTAGCTTTTAAACAAAACAAACTTATTTCTCACAATTCTGCAGGCTGAGAAGTCCAAGTTCAAGGAGCCAATAGGTTCAATGTCTGATGAGGGCTGCTTTTTGGTTTATAGATAGTAATGTATTGCTGTGTCCTCACACAGAGTAAGAGGAAGGCAGCTCTCTGAGGCCTCTTCTATAAAAGCACTAAGTTCATTTATAAAAGCCTGCCCCCGTGACCAAATTACCACCTAGAGGGCCCACATCCTTAAACCATCACATTGGTGATTAGGTTGTAACATATGAATTTAGGGCAGTGTTGGTATATAGAAATGCAACTGATTTTTGTGCATTAAATTTATTTCCCGAGACTTTACTGAATCCATTTATCAGGTCTAGGAGTCTTTTGGAGGAATTTTTAGGGCTTTCTAGGTATAAGATCATGTTGTCAGCAAACAGAGATAATTTGACTCCCTCTTTTCCAATTTGGATGCCTTTTATTTCTTTCTCCTGCCTGATTGCTCTGGCTAGGTCTTCCAGTACTATGTTAATAGGAGTGGTGAGATTAGGCATCCTTGACTTGTTCCAGTTCTTAGGGGGAACGCTTCCAACCTTTGTCCATTCAGTATGGTGTTGACTGTGGGTTTGTCAGAGATGGCTCCGGTATGTCCCTTTGAGGTCTAGTTTGTTGAGGGTTTTTAAAAAAAATCATAATGAGATGTTGTATTTTATCAAGTGCTTTTTCTGTGTCCACACAAAAAATTGCCTAGGAATACATTTAACTGAGGAAGTGAAAGATCTCTACAATAGGAATTATGACACACTGAGGAAAGAAATTGTAGATGACACAAACAAATGGAAAAACATCTAATACTCATGAATAGGAAAAATAAATATCATTAAAATGACCATACTTCCCAAATCAGTTTACAGATTCAATTACTGTAGTCATTTTTCACAGAATTAGAAAAAACAATTCTAAAATTCATATGGAACCAAAAATGAACCCAAAAGTCAAAACAGTCTGAGCAAAAACGGACAAAGCCAGAGGCATTACATTACCTGACTTTATACTATGTGGCTGTAGTAACCAAAACAGCATGGTACTGGTACAAAAATAGATACATAGTTCAATGGGACAGAATAGAGAACTCAGAAATAAAGCCCCATACCTACAACAAACTGATATTTTACAAAACTGACAAAAATAAACAATGAGGAAGGGATACGCTATTCAGTAAATGGTACTGGGAAAACTGACTTGCCATGCAGAAGAATGAAACTGGACCCCATATATCACCATATACAAAAATTAACTAAAGGTGGATGAAAACATTAAGTGTAAAGCCTGAGAGTATAAAAATCATAGAAGAAAACGTAGGAAAAAATTCTTCTGGACATTGGCCTAATCAAATAATTTATGACTAAGACCTAAAAAGCAAATGCAACAAAAACAAAAATAGAGAAATGGGACTCAATTAAACTAAAGAGCTTTTGCACAGAAAAAGAAGCAACAGAGTTAACAGACAACCTACGAAATGAGAGAAAATATTTGCAAACTATGCATCTGACAAAGAACTAATGTCCAGAATCTATAAGGAATACAAACAAATCAACAGAAAAATAACCCCTTTAAAAAGTGGGCAAAGGACATGAACAGACATTACTCAAAAGAAGACAGAAAAGAGGCCAACAAACATATGAAAAATGTTCAACATCACTAATTGTCAGGGAAATGCAAATTAAAACCACAGTGAGATATCATCTCACACCAGACAGAATGGCTATTACTAAAAAGTAAAGAAATAACAGATGTTGGTGAGGATGTGCAGAAAAGAGAATGCCATACACTTCTGGTGGGAATGTAAATTAGTACAAGTCCTATGGAAAACAGTATGGAGATTTCTCAAAGAACTAAAAATAGAACTACTCTTTGACCCAGCAATCCCACTATTGGTATCTACTTAAGGGAAAGGAAATCACTTTACCAAAAAGACACCTACACTTTTATGTTTATCGCAGCATCATTTACAATCTCAAAGTCGTGGAATCAATCTAAGTGTTCATCAGTAGTTGACTGGATAAAGGAAATGTGGCACATATTTCATACGATGGAATACTATGCATAAATTCATGTTCTTTGCAGCAACATGGGTGGAGCTGGAGGCCGTTTTTCTACGTGAAATAACTCGGAATCAAAAAATCAAATATCAGATGTTCTCACTTACAGTGGGAGCTAAACAATGGGTACACATGGATATAAATATGGAAATAGTAGATGTTGAGGACTCCAAAAGAGAGGTGGAAGAGGGCAAAGCCTTGAAAAACTATCTATTGGATACTATGTTCGCTATTTGAGTAATGCTTTCACTAGAAGCCCAAACTTCAGCGTTACATAATATACCTATGCAACAAACCTGCACCAGTAACCCTGAATCTAATGTTTAAAAAAATGAATTTAGAGGGGCGATGCAAGCATCCAGACTATTGCACATGTTTATGAAGGTTTTATAATATTACGTCTTCTAGTTTCATTTTCTTTTGCTCCAGTTATCAATTTATTCCCTCAGCTCCAAACTCATGCATTGCCCAGTCTCTGAAAATGGAAACAGTCCCTTTAAATGTTTTTCCTTTGTCAGCCGGCATAAACTTAACTTTTGTCAGTAGAGGGCGCTGAAGAGACATTGCAAGAGAAAGTTTTGCTCTCTGGTTCTGCAGATTTTGAAGCACGTGTTACTTCCCAGGGCCAGCTTCTGCAGCAGGCACAGCTATTCCAGTGCCAAGCTCCTGCAGTGAGTCCATGGTGGCCAGCAGAGCCTAGCAGCTTTCAGCTTTCCTCAGTATGCCCCTAAGGTGGTTTTGTAGCAATGTGACTCGGGTGAGACATTTCCCTCCCACCAGCTTTCCCCAGTAGCATAGAGTGTGAATTTCCAGCAGTTGTTACCAGTGCAGCGCCATAAGCACTTTTCTGGCATTTCGCGAGCCACAGTCACATCCATGGTCTGGCTATCAGCCTGCCAGGACCTCTTCATTGTCTAATATTTAAAATAATTCACTAGCAAAGTCATGGGGGTTGGGGATTTTCGTTGTAAGAAAGTTGTCCTTTAATTTTTTTTGCAATAATTTCACACTTACAGAAAAGTTGAAATATAGTACAGAAAGTTTTCATATACCCTTGATTCAACTTTCCTTAAAATTAACATTTCTCATAACCAGAGTAAAATTATCAACACCAAGAAATTAACATTGGTATAATATTATTAACTAAATCACAGATCTCATTCAAATTTCATTAGTTTTTCTATTAGTGTCCTTTGTCTGTCCCAAGATCCATTTAAGATCTCACAATGTATTTAGTTGTTTCTTTAGTCTCCTCCAGTCTGTGACAGTTCCTTAGTCTTTCCTTGTCTTTCAGGATCTTGACACTTGAAGAATTCTGGGAAGTTATTTTATAATATGTCCTTCAGTTTGAGTCTGTCTGATGTTTTCTCATGATTAGATGAAAGTTATGCAAAAATACCACACAAGCGATGCACTCTTCTCTGTGAATGATAACTGGGGTACCTGGCATCAATATGCCCATCCTGGCAATGTTAACTTTGATCGTTTATTTGAGGTGGTATCTGTAGGATTTATCTACTTTAAAGTTACTGTTTTTTTCTTTTGAAATTAATAAATATACCAGGGGAGAGTCTTTGAGGCTATATAAATATTCTATTTCTCTCCAAATTTATACTCATTAATTTTAGCATACATTGCTGGATGATGCCTATAAACATTTATTACTATAGAGTTTACCTAATACTGATTTTCTACTTCACTAATTTTTCCTACATTTATTAATTGGAATTTAGAATTGTGAATTCTCACTCATTTATTTACTTACTCAGTTATTTATTTATATCAGTATAGATATTTACTTTATTCTATGGTGATAATCCAATACTCTTATTGTTTTTTTCTCTCAAATTGTTCGGCTTTTGGTCATTTCTCTGCCTTCTGATACGCCCCATTTGTTTTTGAGCATCTTCTTACTTTCTGGCATGAGAAGATATTCTACGTTCATTTTGTAGTTTTGTGATCCCAGACCTGTAGTCAAACATTTCTCCAAGTAGCCTTGTTTCCTTTTATTGGAGACTGATATGACACGATAGCTGGCTAACACCTTGAGTGACAGACCCTGAGCAGAGAATCCAGCTGAGTCATGCTAATCTCCTAATCCATGGAAACTGTGCAATAATATATTTGAATTGTTTTAAAGCCTGTGGATAGTGATAACTTGTTACAAAGTAAGATAAAACTGATACACCCTTTTTTTCTAAGACATTCAATTTTGATATGCCATTCCTCTGCTTTTAGAGCCTTAATAACTTCTCATTGTCTTAATGATAAAATCCAACTTAATTAAAAACTTGCAAGGCCCTCTTGCACCCTCGTCACCTCCCTAGCCCCACCGCTTATGAATCCAATGCTGTCACTCCATTCCAGACAGACCGAAATACTTGGATGGCCCTGATGACACCGTGTTCTCCTGACTTCCTTGCTTTCATTTCATGTCTCAGTTTAAACTTTGATTTGCTAGCAAGCCTTTTACAAGTGCCCCAAGACTGGATGAGGCTACTGTTCTCCTGGCTTTCAGAGAATCTTGTTTAGTCCTTAGCCCAGTAATTCAGTTGTCTGTGTCTGACTGTCTTCTTGAGTATACAGCACTCTCTTTGAGGGCATTTTTTTCATTTTAATTTTTATGTTTTAAATCTTACCCACCGTTATCCTTCCCCAGGGTCTATGCCAGTGTGGACTGAGTGAAGGAGTAAATGAGCAAATGAACAGTGTAATGCCTTATGAATTCAGCAAAAGCCGAATCATCATCTGTTTGTTCCAGTGCAGACAGGCTTGGCTTTGAACAGCATCCAGCTCCACGATTCTATCAGCTAAATTTTTTTTTTGTACTTTAAGAAATAGGGATAGTCATAGTGTTTACTGTACGCAGTTGTTCTGAGGAGAAATTAGGAAAAGGTATGCAGTTACACAATGCCACGTACAACTCTAAATTCCAATTAATAAATGTAGGACAAACGAGGGAAGTAGAAAAATGCACAAGAAATGTTAACTATTAGCTTTACTGCAGTTTCTTCTTGGTAGTTATCATTTCATGCCTGCCTACATACATACAAGGGGACCAGTGATAGTTTTTATGTGCTCAGCAAGATTTTTTTTTTCTTTCTTTCTCTTCCTAGTGAGGAAAAAGAAAGTTAGTGGCAGTTGGCATGCTGCCAGCTGAGTTTTTTTGCTGCTTTGAGTTTCAGGTTTCTTTCTTTCTCTTCCTAGTGAGGAAAAAGAAAGTTAGTGGCAGTTGGCATGCTGCCAGCTGAGTTTTTTTGCTGCTTTGAGTCTCAGTTTTCTTTCTTTCCTAGAGTCTCTGAAGCCACAGATCTCTTAAGAACTTTCTGTCTCCAAACCGTGGCTGCTCGATAAATCAGACAGAACAGTTAATCCTCAATTTAAGCCTGATCTAACCCCTAGAAACAGGTAAGCGACTTTTTAATTGAAACATAGTATTTGTACGTATTTATGGGGTTATGTGTGATATTTTGATACAAGCATACAATGTAATGACCAAATCAGGATCATTGGGAAATCCATCACCTCAACCATTTATCATTTCTTTGTATTTGGAACATTCCAAATTTTCTCTTCTAGCTATTTCAAAATAGACAATAAATTATTGTTAACTATAGTTAAACTGTTGTGCTATGAACACAAGAACTTATTCCTTCTATGTAGCTGTATTTTTGTAACCATTAACCAACCTCTTTTCATCATCTCCTTCCTCTGACTTTCCCAACCTCTGGTAACCACCATGCTACTCTCTGCCTCCATGAAATCAACTTTTATTTTAAGCTTCCACGTGTGAGTGAGAACATCACAGGTAAGTGACTTCTTGCCATCCAATTTTGCTAGCTGTGTGTGAAGAAAAAAGCTTGCTTTCTTTTTTTCTAAAAAGGAGTTTCAGAGTGGAATTGCTGCTAATACTTTGCTCTTTCATTTGTCTTTTATTTTAATGAAAATTTCACACACAGATAACTAGAGAGTATAAATGAACCATACTGTAATCTGATATAGTTTTATCCAATTTTAAAAATGATTTGCTTTTTAAATTAGAATAGTTTTCTTTTACTTAAATACAAAAGCATTACAAATAAAGTTGAAGAAATCTATGACTCTCTACTATATATTGTTTTCTTATGAGATGGAGTCTCACTCTATTGCCCAGGCTGGAGAGCAGTGTCTCGATGTCGGCTCACTGCAACCTCAGCCTCCTGGGTTCAAGGGATTCTTGTGCCTCAGCCTCCCAAGTACCTGGGATTACAGGCGTGCACCAGCATGCCTGGCTAATTTTTGTATTTTTAGTAGAGACGAGGTTTCACCATGTTGGCCAGGCTGGTCTTGAACTCCTGACCGCAAGTGATCTGCCAGCCTCAGCCTCCCAAAGTGCTGGGATTACAGGTGTGAGCCACCACACCTAGCCTCTCCTATATTCTTTACCTTTCTTTTTATTTCCAGAAGGCAACATTATCTAGACTTTGGTATAAATTATTGTCATAATTGTTTTTATGGTTTTCTGTATGTGTGTATATATTTATCTAAATATGATCTCTAGTATAATTTGTTAAAATTACTTCTGTTTTTATATACCAGCAAAAATGGTTTTACACAATAACTTAAAAAATTAATATACTTATATTAATTTTATTTTTATTGATACATAATACATTACATATTTATGGGGTACAGGTGATATTTGGTGATGCACTTAGAATGTGTAATGATCAAGTCAGGGTATTTGTGGTTTCCATCGCTTTGAGTATTTATTATTTCCATGTGCTGGGAACAACCCAAGTCTTCTAGCTACTTTGAAATAGACAATACATTGCTTTTGGCCATAGTCACTCTACTTTGTTGTTGACTAATAGAACTTCTACCTTCTATTTAACTGTATATTTGTACTCATTAACCTACATCTCTTCATCTCTCCCTCCTAGACACCCACCCACCCTTCCTAGCCTCCAGTATTTATCATTATACTATCCACATTTATAAGATCAACATTTTTAGCTGATCTAAAATGATGAGTGAGAACGTGTGATATTTCCTGTGCCTAGGTTATTTCACTTAATATTCTCCAGTTCCGTCCATGTTGCTGCAAATGACATGATTTTACTGTTTTTATAGCTAAATAGTATTCCATTGTGTAATATACCACATTTTCTTTATCCATCCACTTATGGACAGTTAGGTTGATTCCATATCTTTTCTATTGTTAATAGAAATTCACAATAGAAAGGTTGCTGTGATAAACCTGAGAGACACCAGAAGGAATTTTAACATATTGACCATACTAAACAATATTTAACATATTGATTGTATTCAGCTATCTTTTACAATGTGGTGTACAGACTCTAAAATAGCTCCTAATTGTCCCTGTCCTATTTTTTTTTTAATACTCATGTCCGTGTATAATCCCCCCTTGTCTGTGGATGGAAACTGTGACTTAACGGTAACAAATAGAATTTGGCAAATGTGATATGTTAAGATTATAATGTCTGCTATGCTAGGAGATTCTCTCCCTTGCTGGTTTCAATGAAGTAAGTGGTCATGTTGGGGAGGCCCATTTGGCAAAGAACTAAGGGTGACTTCAGGCCAATGACTAACTGAGAACTGAGGATAACCTCTGATCATTAGCTAGCAAGAAATGGAGTTCTCATATCTACAACCATAAGGAACTGAATTCTGCTAACAACCATAGGAGCTTGGAAGCATGTCCTTCTCCCGTTAAACATTCAGAAGAGTCTGCAGCTGTGGCTCGCACTTTGATAACTGCCTCATGAAAAATTCTGAAGCAGAGAACCAAACTGGATTTCTGACCCAGAGAAACTGTGAGACTATAAATGTGTGTTGTTTTAAGTCTCTAAACGTATGAGAAATTGCTATGCAGCAATAGATAAATAGCACACTAAATTAGTTAATACTATTACTTTATCGGTAGATGCTTTAAGGTTTTCCACATATAAGATAATATCATCTGTGAGCAGAGATGATTATACTTCCTTTATAATTCAGGTACCTTTTCCTTTTTCACTTTCTTTTTTATTTTGGCCTACTTGTTCTGGCTAGGACATTCAGTATTATGTTGAATAGAAGTGGTAAAAGTGGATAATCTTGTCTTGTACTTTATCTTAGAGGAAAAGCTGTCAGTTTTTCACTGCTGAATATGATGTTAACTATGAACTTTTTATACATGTATTTACTATGTTGAGGTAATTTCCTTCTACTCCTGGTTTAAGTGTTTTTTGTTTTTTTTTTTTTTTTTTTTTTTTTTTTTTAAATCATGGAAGGACTTGGGTTTTATCAAATGTCTTTTCTGTATCTATTGAGATGACCAATTTGTATTAGTCAGCGTTCTTCAGAGAAACTGAACCAACATAAAAAAAATAAAATTAAAAAAAAACTAAGGAAATTTGTTATGGGAGGTGGCTCATGTGGTGTTGGAGGGCGAGAAGTCTCACTATCTGCCACCTGCCAGATGTAAAGCCAGGAAAGCTGGTGGTGTAATTCAGTCTGAATCCAAATGCCTGAGAACTGGTGGAGCCAGTGGTGGAACTCCCAGTCTGAAATCAAAGTCCTGGGAACTGTGGGAACTGAGAGAGCTGGAGGTGTAAGTCCCAGAATCCGAATGTTTGAGAACCAGGAGCTCAGATATCTGAGAGCAGAAGAAGATGGATACTCCAGCTCAAGAATAGAGAATTTGCTCTTCCTCTGCCTTTTTGCTCTATTTGGGCCCTCAATGGATTGGATGATGTCAGCTCATGTTGGATCTTTTTTATGCAGTTTACTAATTCAAATGCTAATCTAAAATGTGTTTGTATATTCATTTGCCTCAACATTTCTTTTCTTTTCTTTTTTTCCTTTCTTTTCTTTTTTTGAGATGGAGTGTCTCTCTGTCACCCAGGCTGGAGTGCAGTGGTGCAATCTCTGCCTCCCAGGTTCAAGCGATTCTCCTACTTCAGCCTTCTGAGTAGCTGGGACTACAGGTGCACACCACCACACCCAATTTTTGTATTTTTGTATTTTTGTTAGAGACGGGGCTTTTCCGTATTGGCCAGGCTGGTCTCAGACTCATGACCTCAAGTGTTCCGCCGAACTCGGCCTCCCAAAGTACTGGGTTTACAGGTGTGAGTCACCACGCCTGGCCTCAAGATATTTTTAAAATTCCCTTTTGATTTCATTTTGATCCACTGCTTATTCCAGAGGGTGTAGTTTAATTCTCACATCCTTGTTAATTTTCTAGATTTTCTGATATTGATTTCTAGTTTCATTACATGGTTATGAGGAAAGACTTGATATGGTTTCAATCTTCTTAGATTTGTTAAGACTTGTTTTTTGACCTAACATGTAATCTATCCTGGAGAACGCTCCTATAATACACTTGAGAAGAATGTGTATTTTGTTGTTGCTGGGTGGAATGCCCTGTATATGCCTATTAGGTCCATTGGGACTATAGTGTTCAAGTTTTCTGTTTTCCTATTGATCTTCTGTTTGGATATTTTATAATGGATAAAGTATTGAAAGTGGGCTATCAAAATCTCCTTCTCTTATTGTGTTGCTGTTTCTCCCTTCAATTCTTTCAGTGTTTGCTTCATTTATTTAGGTGCTCTGATGTTGGATGAACATATATTTATAACGGTTATATTTTTCTGGAGAATTGACCCTTTTCTTATTATATGATGTCCTTCATAGCCTGTTATGACAGGTTTTGATTTAATGTCTATTTTGTGTGGGATAAGGACACACACCCCTTGCGGGTTATCTTGCGGTTCTTGCAGTTACCATTTGCAAAGGTACCCTTATTATCACTTGATTTTCATCCTATGTGTGTTCTTAAGTCTAAGTGAGTTCTTGGGGACAGCATGCTGTTGTATTTTGTCATGACATGCTTTGACTCAGTATTATCCTTCTTTCTTTCCTTCCTTTTTTTTTTTTGGTTTGCTAATATTTTGCTGAGGATCATTCCATCTATATTTATAAAAGAGATTGGCCTGTAATTTTTCTTGCTTATAACGCCATTAACAGGTTTTGGTATCTAAGTTATTCTCTGGAAGAACATGTGTAAGATTGTGTATTATTTATTCTTCAAAATTTGGTAGAATTCAGCAGCTAGACTCTGATCCTTGAGTTTTCTTGGGGAAGTCTTAAATTAATTATGAATTTAGTTTTTAAAAATAGCTATGAGATAGTCAAATTTTGTATTTACTTTTATGTCAGCTTTGGTAAGTTGTATTTTTCTAGAAATTTGTCCACTTATTCTCAAATTTAATTTTACAAAGTTGTTTATCTTCAGACCATTTTATCGTTTATCATTTATTGCATCTGGACTGATGTTTTCTCTTACGTTTTTGATTTTAGGACATTCTTTCCCTTTTTTCCCTTTATCAGTGTCAGCAGTGTTTTACAAATTTTGTTAATCCTTTTGAAAACTGGGTTTTGGTTTTGTTAATCTTCTCTATTGTATACTTGATTTGTCCATTAATATTTCTGTCCATTATTTCTTGCTTTTATTTTTATTGTTGATTTCTTTCTACTTACTTTGAGTTTAATTGGTATTTTTTCTGACTTTTTGAAGTGAAAGTCTATATAATTAATTTTCAGCCTTTCTCCATTTCTAATACATATGTTTAAACTTATATGATTTTTGTAACATTTTATCTTCATTGTATAAGTTTTAACAAGTATCTTTTGTCATTTAATTAAATTTCATTATGATTTCTTATGTGAATAATGGATTATTTCAAATTATATTTTTTATTTTCCAATGTATGAGGGGATCTACTAGTTATCTTCTTGTTAAAAAAATTCTGGCATATACTGTCTGTTCAATATTATAGTACTTTGAAAATTTTTGAGACTTGCTTGCTTTTTAAGGTTTGTAGAATATCTCTTCTATATTCTTTTTCTTTTATTCTTGTTTTCTGGTTCATATATCTTAACTAATTTTACTGTATCCTTTAATCCCTTTTGCCCTTTTCTCTTTTTATTCTTTTTTTGTCTCAATACTTCAGTTGGTAAATTTTCTTCTAATTCTTTATGCCTACCTTGCAGTTAAATGTATTCATTTAATTATTAATTTCAGATATATATTTTTACATAGCAAATCTCTTTTTGACTTCTTATTGTATTCATTTTACTGTAAATCATTCAATCTTACCTTTTAGCTGTTTGAACATATTAAACATAGTAATTTAAAAATCTCTATGGGTAACTCCAGTATAAGTATGTGTTTGTTTCTAGTGTGTGCTTTTTCCTCTTGGTTTTCTATCATGTTGTTTCATTTACCTCCAAACATGAATGTGTTTATGATGAATGAGAGTCACTGAATATTTAAAAAATCATAGAGATATTTTGAAGCTGGAAGAATGTTCTTTTCATCCAGACAAGATTTATTTTGTTTCTGCTATGCAGCTATGGACACTAGCAATTCTCATTTACCTTAATTCAATCAAGGACTGAGAATACTGAAGTATGAAATTAACTCTGTCTGCTTCCAGTTCATACTTCTTCCCTGTACCTCTTTTCTTAAATTTTTTTTAAAATTTTATTTCAACAGCATTTGGAGTATAAGTGGTTTTTTTTTACGTGGATGAATTATATAGTGGTGAATTCTGAGATTTTAGTGCATCCATCACTCAAGTAGTGTACATTGTATCTAATATGTAGTTTTTTTTAATCCCTAGCTCCTCTTCCATCCTCTCCTTTCTGAGTCTCTAAAGTCCATCATATCAGTCTGTATGCCTTTGTGTACTCATAGCTTAGCTCCCACTTATAAGTGAGAGCATATGGTTTTTGGTTTTCTCTGTAGCTCTTTAGAATCCCAAACTGTAGCCTAAGGGAAAGGTTTCCAAGGTGCTCTCCTTATTGCACTCCAAAGTATGATTTTTATCTCCCTAACTCTATGAATCTAGCAAACACTTTGCTTAACTTTTCAGCATCTCAAGTGCCTTTTCTGAATTTGACAGATACACGTCAGAAATGTGCTCCCAAATGCCTAGCTTATCTCTCTTTATTAACTTCTCCAAATCTTTGCCAATAGCTATATGTCTTAACTGCCTTGTTTGCTCTTTAGAGCTTTGTAACACATGCATTTTTATAGTTTATTCTGCTTTTCAAGTTTTTTTCATTGAAATAATTCTTGTAATGACCAATAGTCTAGTATGCTGCTGTAAGACTTCTATAGCTGTTAACTCCTTTCATATTTCAATTTCTTTATGTGCTGTTTTTTGCAAGAATTCCTAGGCTCCATTTTCTAATTCATACGTTGGCAAATGATGAATGTGATATGACAATGATGACCTCTGTTCCAGCCATATACTTTTTTAAAGAAAATTTTATTGGAACACAGTCATGCTCTCTTGTTTACATATTATCTATGACTTCTTTTGTATTACAGTGGCAAAGTTGAGTAATTGTGGAAGAGACCATATGGCCTACAAAGGCTAAAATATTTACTATCTTGTTCATTAAGAAAAAATTTGCTGACTCTTATTGAGATTTATTTTTCCTTTATTCAACTTTCTGAAGTTTGTCAATTGATTTAAAAATTTTAATGACTTTTCCTTTCTAAATTATATATTTTTATATCTAACATTATTGTGCCATTTCTATATTTTTGCTATATTTTTTGCCTTAACCAAACAATGTGTTTTAATTGAGTCAGTGAATAAAGAACTCACTGAAAGTAGAAGTGGAAACCTAAGCTATAAGCTACTATATTATATAAGCTTCTCAACCTATAATTGTTTTTCCATTAGATATAGAACAATGGAAGTGACAACAAGATTGACATGGAATGATGAAAATCATCTGCGCAAGCTGCTTGGAAATGTTTCTTTGAGTCTTCTCTATAAGTCTAGTGTTCATGGAGGTAGCATTGAAGATATGGTTGAAAGATGCAGCCGTCAGGGATGTACTATAACAATGGCTTACATTGATTACAATATGATTGTAGCCTTTATGCTTGGAAATTATATTAATTTACATGAAAGTTCTACAGAGCCAAATGATTCCCTATGGTTTTCACTTCAAAAGAAAAATGACACCACTGAAATAGAAACTTTACTCTTAAATACAGCACCAAAAATTATTGATGAGCAACTGGTGTGTCGTTTATCGAAAACGGATATTTTCATTATATGTCGAGATAATAAAATTTATCTAGATAAAATGATAACAAGAAACTTGAAACTAAGGTTTTATGGCCACCGTCAGTATTTGGAATGTGAAGTTTTTCGAGTTGAAGGTTTGTAAAATTAGATAATCCTACATCTCACATTATGATTCTAATCCTTGTGTTCGGTAGGTAATAATTGATCTACAAGAGCAAGGAAAGTGAAAGGAACAGTTAGATTCATGCCATACTCTTTGATAAATTCTGAAATGAAACGTGGGGAACATAAGGATTATGAGGTTTTTATCCAGAACGTATAGGCTGCTTTGAGCAAAGCAAGTTGAGAAATATATGTGCAGAGATAGAGATGACAAAGGAGATGGGGATGTGGAGAGAGAGAGATCTTATCATCAGAGCTGCTCTGTTTTGACATATGACCCAAAGATCAGACCCTTATATGACCCTTAGAACTTCTAGGTGTAATTATGTGAGAGCTTCCAGAGCAAGTTAATGTGCAGAGAGGATAATTTTTCCTCCTCTTCCTCTCATGTTGCCAACTCTGACTCCTAACTGAGCAGCTCAGCCCTGGGTTATGCAAGAAAACTCCATGTCTTATTTCAAAAGTAGACTTGGCCACATTTAACCAAACAAGTTTTAAAAATGTATTATGCTATGTTTATTTCCTATAGGAATTAAGGATAACCTAGACGACATAAAGAGGATAATTAAAGCCAGAGAGTAAGTTGGATTCTTGGGCTATCTATTAATCATTTTATTTAGACCAATTGTATAAAGAATGCTGACAAATATGTGGTAAAGATAAAAATCATGCCACTGGAATGATTAAAAAAGAGTTATAATGTTATTGACATAAAATAACAAAAGCACTACTAACTATGAAACTTTAAATATCCACCTGATGACATTGACCAATTTGACTTCATTTCCACTTTAGACCAAAATTTTCCAGGTAGGGTCTGGATAACCATTTTAGGTAATTTCTCTGAATCCTTTCCTTGAGAAACAGCTTTTGAGAATCCTCAGTAAATGTCAAAAACAAACTTTCTTTTTAAATTTATAGATAGCTACATTGCATATATTTTATTTTGATTTCTCCTTAATGTACTTTTAGTGAAAATAATAATTTATGTTCAATGTCACTGATATTTCTTATTACATTCATGTGATCTAAGACTAATAGTTGAAAAATGGTTTGGTTGCAGGTTAATATTTAACTTTAGTCAGATATAAAATAATGCATTTTCTTTAAGCACAAAATGTATAACTTTAGATATTTCAAATCATATTATAGAAGATCTCATTATCAAAATAATAATTAAGTATTGAAAAAATACCCTTCTCAGGGAAGAGAAAGAAGCTCTAGGTGACTTGAGATGTTCTTTATGGTATTCTTTATTGGCTGTTCTGATGCTGTATTTAACCACTATATTTTAACAGGCACAGAAATAGGCTTCTAGCAGACATCAGAGACTATAGGCCCTATGCAGACTTGGTTTCAGAAATTCGTATTCTTTTGGTGGGTCCAGTTGGGTCTGGAAAGTCCAGTTTTTTCAATTCAGTCAAGTCTATTTTTCATGGCCATGTGACTGGCCAAGCCGTAGTGGGGTCTGATATCACCAGCATAACCGAGCGGGTAAGTTATTTCCCTGAGGATTTTATTTTATAGATTACAATTATTATATTGCTTATGTCTTTGCCTTTTTCTCTTAGGGCAATCCTAATATACAATTAAATGCTAAATCAAATGGAAAATAGGAGTAAAATTTTGATCAGAACCACCTCCATTGTGCTATATTATACAGAGAAGCTTTCAAATTTTATGGATGGAAGAAGCAGTTATATAAAGAATACTTTTTAGTATTTGTATAAAAAACAACAAAAAATTAAAAACCCTATGAAAATCTTTGACCATTATATATGATGTTCATTTTACTCATGTACTACATGATTTTACCTGGTTTAAAATGTTTTTCTTTTTTTGTAATAAAATAATGAGAATTATGTAAGGTAATTTTTTTTAATTACGAGACCATTCTCTAAGACATGGTCATGAAAAGCAAAATAGCAATTCACTTTGGTGGGTCAACTTTGAAGGAGAACTTGAAGTGTAAATCTTACAAAAACTATCTTATTTACAAAAAGATATACATAAGGAAATAAATAGTAATATAGAT
Organism: Homo sapiens; assembly: GCF_000001405.40. Taxonomy (NCBI): domain Eukaryota; kingdom Metazoa; phylum Chordata; class Mammalia; order Primates; family Hominidae; genus Homo; species Homo sapiens. The sequence goes on from NC_000001.11 coordinate 78,630,457, forward strand.
TTCTTAATTGTTGCTCTAAAGAACTACAAATTATGATGCAGCACTTGTCTAGAAAATTCTTTCTTGTTTATGCTTTTCAATGTTATCATGCACATGCAATCAAACAAAAAATAATAAAGGGAAAGAATAGAAAATTTTAGAATCAGGCTTTTTTAATGATTACCACAAATTAATATTGTCACTTGTTAGGGAATATGCTGTGTATTATCAATGCAAAATTTAGCATAAGACAGCATAATAAGACAGTAATGGTTCATTTTAGCTTTTGTGTCACATTCAATAACTGGAAGAATTTTCTAGGACTTTCAAGAATCACATCTTATTTGTTGATGTTGGCCAGATACTGTGCTCTTGAGTGGCTTTATTTTAATATATTAGTGTAGTCTCAGAAGCCGTGGCAAGGTACGGCAGCACAAATTAAATTAATTAGGCATTGATTGAAATGTTTCTGTTTGCTAAATATTTATTCAGACATAGAGACCTAAATACAAATAATGCTTGGTCCCATTACCCAGATATCTCAGAGACCAATGCAGATAATAAATCTGTATCATTCATTGTGATATATGCTATAATAGAGATACTACTCAGGACAAAATTTCTCTTTCTTCCTTTTAAGTTTTAAATTCCAAAGGTCTTATTTTAAGAGAAGATGTAGATACTGAACTCCAATGAAATGCAAATGTTATTTAAATTGAAGAAATATAGGGCAGACTTTTATGAGGGAAATTGAATATTTTATTGCTTAAAAGACTCTTTCCTTTGAATAATTGAAGTTGTAAAGAAAGCAAATTAATGGGTAAGGAAACTAGGAAGATGCATATTGGTGTTCCTGAAATTTTACAATGTACTTTAACTCTAGTGCTTAGTATAATTTCTTTCATGTTGAGGCACTGGTAAGTCCTATTCTCCTAGATAAAAATCTTCAGTGGGATTACGCCTCTGCGTTTCATGGCCCAATGAGAGCTTTTGATTTTATTACAGATTACAATAAGTCATAGACTGTTCTCTCCCTTCTGGTTTGAGTGATACTACACCCTTGCCAGCACCACAGATGGAAAAATTGTAATTAAAGTGTCTCTGAGAAATCCTTTTCTTTGCAATCTTCCCAAATCGTCCATATTTTTTTGTGTATGTTGAATGTATATCTGACCATCAAATAAAATACTTTCAGAATTGTTCTAGAAAATATCCTTGCAATAAGATTGAATGTGTTTATCTAGGAAAGAAAGTTCTGTTGTGCTTCTCAAAGTGAAATTTGTGGACCCCTTGGGTTCCCGGAGACATTTTAAGGGTATCTCTGTGTTCAAAACTATTTTTAGAATTATTCTAAGTTTTTTTTGTCTTTTCTAGTGTATTGACACTTGAATTAATTACACAACATAGTTTTACCTGTTGGCACATTAGTATGAATCAAACGGTGGCACCAAACACTACTAGTAGTCACTGTATTTCTCCCAATTACTGCACTTACAGGAAAAAAAATGCCAGTTTTACTCCTTGATGAATAGTAACAGTTATTGGTTTTATTTAAACTCCACTTTGGAATACACATCATTTTGATATTCAGTGTGATAAAATGGGAAGTGCTCATAAAGTACTTCTAATGCATATTGAAAATTGGCAGTTGTCTTTAGAAAAAGCACTGGAGCAGCTGAGTTGTTAACTGAACTTTTTTTAAATGTGACATCATTTTTACTGGACAGCACAGACTTACTCATTCATACTTGGATATTTGGCAGGTATCTTAATGCAAATGCTCAAGTGACCCTACTAATAAAGAACAAAAACAAAAACTGACAGTGTTTGTTGCCAATAACAAAATTTGAGCTTTTGAGAAAAATCAAACTTTGAGAAACCTGTATTCACTATTCTGAGCCTGACAGCTTTTCAACACTTAAAGACTTATCCAATGAAATTAATGGTGGTATTAACAAATGTGATGTTTTAATATTGCATGATGAAATGTGTCAACATTAGGAAGATCTGGATAACCCAGTGGACGAATGTTTTAAGATGATCAATAAATTAGGTTAAAAAATCATGCATGAGTAAAGGATATATTCAAAGTATAAGACAAACCAATGGATTTAATGTGGCAGCATATAAAAATGTCGCAGATTCCACATTGCAACTAACCTTTAAGAAGTTATTACTTGTTGAGCTTTGCTATATTACATTGAGGAATATTCACAATTACCTGAAAGCTATACAGTGAAATATTACCTCCTTTTCATATTATACATACATGTGAGAGGCCATATTTTCTTCACATACTTCAATTGAAACAACATATCAAGAGATTGAATTGGAGCCACATATGAGATTACAGTTATATTCTTTAATCCAGACATTAAAGAGAATTTTACTAATAAACCAATGATTTCTGTTTTCTGTAAATTTTTAAAAAAATGCTTTTTAAGTAAAAAATGTTATTTGATGAACATGTGACAGGTTTATAATTGAATTTTTAATGATTAAAACAACACTTAAGAGCAGGAGGGGCAGAGCAAGATGGTCACATAGGTCTCTCCAGCAATCATTCCTCCACTGAAACATCAATTTGAATAATTATTAGCACACAAAATATCACCTCAGTAAACCAGGTGAAAGATTACTGTACCTAGTTCTAGCACAATAATAACAAAAGATACATTGAAGAGGGTAGGAAAGATAGTTTTACGTTATCTGCATCACCCCCCTCAACCCCAGGGAGCATAGTGTGGAGAGAACTGTCATCTGCTTTGGGGAAAAGAGGGAAGTGAGCACAGGACTTTGCCTGGACTCCAATATCAGGCCTACTGCAGTAAAATCCAGCACTGGATAGAACCTCATGGCCCCAGACTTTAGGCTGTTATTTGACGGCTGAGCCTCTAGCCCCATGCTGGTGCCAAGTGAGACCATGTGGCCCTAGGCTTCAAGCTTGCATGGTGGACTCAGTCCCTGGACCACACCATGGATGGGTTATTAGTGGCCCAACCTCTGAACAGCACTTAGTGACACGGATGCCGCAGTGGCCCTGAGCTTTACGCATGCCTCAGTGCTGCACCAGTCACAGTGGTCCCAGGCTTTGGGACTATGCAAGGCAGCCTGCCCAGAATTTTTGGATAGGCTGATTGTTGAAGGACTTTTCCAGACAAAGGCAATCTGCAAAGATTGGAATAAGTACCTACTTCCAGAGATGTTTATACATTGACACATTGTCACAAGAGTCAAAAGCAATCAGGGTAACATGACGTCAGTAAAGAGAGAAAATAACGTGCCAGTGGCCAATCCTAAAGAAATGGAGATGTATGAACCACCCGAAGAATTCAAAATAATTATTTTAAGGAAGCACAGCAAACTTCAAGAAAATACAGAGAAACAATTTAACAAAATGAGAAAAATGATGAGTGATCAGAATAAGAAATTTAATAGAAAGGTTGTAATAATTATAAAAAAGAAACAAATTTCAGAGATGAAAAATACAATGGGTGAAATGAGAAATGAAATAGAGAGCATCAACAGCAGAATTGATCAAGTAGAAGAGTCTGTGAACTTAAAGGTAGGTTATTTGAAAATATAGATAGAGAATAAAAAAACAGAATGAAGAGGAAGGAAGAAAGCTTATGGGATTTATGGGACATCATCAAAAGGACAAATATTCAAGTTACAAGGGGGAAAGGAGACAAGAAATTAAAAGTAATAGAAATCTTAAGTAAATAAATAGTAGCAAAAAACTTTTAAAACCTGGAGGATGATGTAAATATCCAGGTAAAACTGAGAGAAAAGTCCCCAGTCAGATTTAATCCAAAGAAGATTAACCCAAGATATATTAAAATCAAACTGTAAAATATCAAAGACAAAGAGAGGATTCTGAAAACTGGAAGATAAAAAAGCAAATAACATATTAGAAAGTTTTAATATGACTAGCAGCAGACTTAGCAGAAACTCTGCAGGCCAAGAGAGTAGGATGAAATATTCAAAGTGCTAAAAGAAAAAACAAAGAAACAAACAAACCCATCCAATTGAGAATATTATACCCAGTAAAGCTGTGCTTCAGAAATAAAGGAGGGATAAAGATTTTCCTGGATGAACAAAAGCTGAGGGAGTTCATTACAATTATACCTGTCTTACAAGAATGTTAAAGCGAGTTTTTCAAGCTGAAAGAAAAGGATGCTAATAAGTAATATAAAAATATCTGAAAGTATAAAACTCACTGGTAAAACTACAGTAAAATTCAGAATACTCATACTATAATGATGGTGATGTTTAAAAGACAAAACTGCTAAAATAATAATAGCTATAAGATTTTGTTAAAGGACATGCAATATGGAAAGATGTAAATTGTGGTATCAAAGGTGCAAACTGTGGGGAGGAGTGGAGTAAAAATGTGGAGTGTTTTTTTTTTCTCTGTAAGTGGAGCTGTTATTAACTTAAAATAACCAGTTACAAATATGTTTATTTTTTGTAAGCATCATGGTTAAGCACAAAACAAATACTGATAGTAGATACACAAAATATAAAAAGCATGGAGTCAAAACATACCATTATATATATATATATGTGTGTGTGTGTGTGTGTGTATGTGTATATATATATATATATACACACACGTTTTACATGATAAATTACATAGAAATTTCTTTTTTAATTAAAAAGGAATATTTACATTTTTTTCAGTTGTAATTTCCACTATTTTAAATATCCATAGATATAACCCACATAAACAACAGATCTTTGGGATTCTCAATAACTTTTAAGAGTCTAAAGGGGTCCTGAGACCAAACTGTTTGAGGACCATGGTGTTCAAATATTAACCAATCTCTTTTCTTCTTATTGTCATGTCTTGAATGCTGGGTGATGAATGAACCTTTACACTTAATGTATTTTTTTAACAGTATAGGATATATTCTGTTAAAGATGGAAAAAATGGAAAATCTCTGCCATTTATGTTGTGTGACACTATGGGGCTAGATGGGGCAGAAGGAGCAGGACTGTGCATGGATGACATTCCCCACATCTTAAAAGGTTGTATGCCAGACAGATATCAGGTAAGATTTCTTCAATATCCAAAACATTTCAAATCATTTTCTTCAGTATTTTTCATTGAATTTTTAACCACATAAGGCAATTTCAACTCCCATAATGTGGTTTCAACATCAATCAACACTATTCTACTTTGAATGAATAAGAATTCATATGAAAAAGTAGAGTGACTATTGTTCTTTTCTGTAACATTGAGAAATAAAGCCAAAAGGCAGGATTCTACTCATTTGCATTCTAGTAAAAGATCAAGGAGATAGTGTGTTTTTATCACTCTTTACAATAATGTAAACTAATGATAGTCACTTAATCCCTTGCACTTTTTGGGTTACATAGACAAAATATTGGAACAAGTAACTATTTTGTGTTGAAATGTCATTTTATACTGTAAATGCTTAGATTTCACCACTAAATACCTAGATTCAAAATTTGGCTTTGCTACTAACAGATGTTTACCCGTAAGTTGCACACTTCTCTCTCTCGGTCTTTTTTTTTTTTTTTTCAGGTGTGAAATATTGCTATTAATAGTGTCTATCTCATAGGGTGGCTAAGATGATTAAATGAGATGATATAGTTTAAGTTCTCAAAAAAGCCAACAATGATTGTTACCTTTCTTTTAGGTGTTGGGTATCAGCCTCAATTTCTAAAGAAGAATCTCTTTTGCCTCCCAATTGTGCTGAATTGGAAACCTTACCTATGTATTTATTTATTCATTCAAAAACCATCTATTATAAACCATATTTGTGCCAAACTCTAAGCCAGTTACTGAAAACACATAAGTCAATAACAGCACAATCCTTATCCTCCAGGAGTTCATAATCCAGTCAGGGAAAAGGAGACACACAGATAAAGAGAGGAGGGATAGAGCGAAGACATTGGAGAAATCAGGAGCATACCAACACCCTAATTTTTCACAGCAGGGAGCCAGTCAATTCAGTCCAACACTGAAATACATAGCTTAATAACTACATGTTTCCAAACCATTGTTTCATAATCTATTTCCTTAATCTTAGAAAGATTACTGTCTTGTGGTAAGAAGACATTAACTTCAAATTTGGTATTTCTTTTATTTCACTTTAGTTTATTTTTCTTCTATAAAATCAAAATAAATTACAGTCTTTTAATTTAAATAGCATTTTCAACATATTTTTCTTTCTTTTATTCTCTCTATCCAGTTCATTTAAGCATGCAAAATGCTTAGGGAGGAGTCTTAAATTGTATTTAACAAACGTTAATGGTGTTTATTTCTGGATACTAGGATTTGAAATTAGCTTTTCAAAAATATTATTTAAACTTTCCTGCAATACTTACAATGGATAATTATCATTTTTACCAAAGCAATAAAGTGTTTTTTTTCCTATAAGAGAGATATAATGGCATTATGCTCACAGTGGAAAGGAAGTAAAGAGGAGGTGCTACTGTTTGGGGAAAGAGTAGCTGAGGAGAAAGAGGGAGATCAGTAGTTACAGTATTAGAAGCATTAATTGTGTCTTTAAGGGTTAAACAGAGGCTCTCTGATTTCTGAATGTTACCTTATGTTTTTATAACAGTTTAATTCCCGTAAACCAATTACACCTGAGCATTCTACTTTTATCACCTCTCCATCTCTGAAGGACAGGATTCACTGTGTGGCTTATGTCTTAGACATCAACTCTATTGACAATCTCTACTCTAAAATGTTGGCAAAAGTGAAGCAAGTTCACAAAGAAGTATTAAACTGTGGTGAGTCTCACTGAACTTATAAAAAAATTTACTTTGAAATAATTATAGATTTGTAGGAAGTTGCAAAGAGAGTACAGAGATTTCCCATGTACCTTTCATCCTATTTCCCTGGAGTGGTGGCCATCGGAGGGAGAGATCATTCACAGGCATGACTGAAGAAAGACCCCAAATCCTAATGTTCAGTCTTTAAAGAATAGACTGGCCAACCATTTTTTTTTCGTGTGTGATTTTCCTGAGGCTTTAGATAGGGCTAAAACCTATGTGGGTAGACAGGGAAGATCGAAACCAGAAAATTGATTATTGTTAACAATGTGTGTTTATAGTTCTATGTCATTTTATCACATGTGTAAGTTTATGTACCCATCACTGCAACCAAATATTACATCACTTTGTAGATTTCCCTCATGGCACCCACTATTCCTCCACCATCCTTAACTCTTGGCAACCACTAATATTTTCTTCATTTCCATAATTTTGTCATTTCGTGAATGTTATACAAATGGAATCATACAGTATGTCACCTTTTGAGACTGGCTTTTTTGACTCAACCTAATATCCTTTGACATCCATCCAAGATGTATGTATGTATTTATTGTTCATTTAAAAAATTGTATAGTATTCCATGGTATAGATATACCACAGTTTAACCATGCTCTATCAAAAAATATTCCAGTTTTTAGCTATTGCAAACAAAACTCCTATCAAGTTTTGTGTGGATATAAGTTTTTATTCCTCTGGGGTACATCTCCAGAAATGTAATGCTGGATCATAAAGTAACTGTATGTTTAGCTTTGAAAGAGATCACCAAACTATACTCCAGAGGGACTGTACCATTTTACAATCCCACCAGCAATACATGAGAGATCTATTTTTTCTGCATTCTTGCTAGTATTTGGTATCGTTGCTATTAAAAATTCCTTAACTCTTCTAATAGATGTATGCTGATATTTCATCAGGGTCTTAATTTGCATTGCTTAATGACTAATGACATTGAACATCTTCTCATGTGCTTATTTGCCTTCTGTATAGCTTGTTTAGTGAAATGCCTCTTCACGTCTTTTGATTATTTTCTGATTGGATGATTTGTGTTTTTTAGAAGTTGAATGTTAAAAGATCTATAAATCCTAAATATGAGTCAATTGTCAGATACATTGTTTGCGGATAGTTTCTCCCAGTCTGTAGTTGTCTTACTATTATGATGATTTCCATCCCTGCCATCTCTCATCTCTCCTTTTGGAACTCTGGGACATGAATTCTAGATATTTTGTTATAGTCTCACAATTTATTTATTTATTTTTTATATCTATTTGCTCTTTATTTTTCAGAGTGGGTAATTTCTATTGTTATATCTTTGAATTCACTTGTTCATCACTTTGCCCTCTCCATTCTGCTTTTGAGCATAGCTATTGTTTTTCCTATCTTGGGTATTATGGTTTTTTAGCTCTAAAATTTCAAGTTGATTCTTTTTCAGGTCTTCTATTTCTTTGCTGAGACATCCCACTTCCTTCATTTGTTTCAAGAATGTTCCTACTTGGTTCTTAAGCATTTTTATGATGGTTGCTTTAGAATCCTTGCCAAATAATTCTAACATCTTTGTCATCTAATTAGGGTCATGATCTTCTGATTAGCTTTTCTCATTCAAGTTGAGAATTTCCTGGGTTTTGATGTGACAAATGATTTTTAATTGCATCTTCGATATTTTAGGTACTTTATTTTATGACTCTGGATCTTACATCTTGTGTTTTAGCAAACATATTCTGATACTGGTAAGATGGAAAGTACAGGTTTCCCATAAGGCCTTGTTTGACACCCTTGGAGAAAGGGCACTTTCTTACTGTGCCCCATATAGGATACCCTGACATCACAGGGGCTAGAAGCCTCCTTGCATCGAAGGTTAATGAAGGCTAAAGTTCCAGCTTCTCACTTGTTCTCCTCTGACACTTCCAGAGAGGGAAAAGAGCACCTCATTGCTGCTGATTCGGTGGAAGTCTAGGATCCCCAAGTAGCCTCCCTTGACACCATCAAGAGGGACCTTGTTAGTATAGTGCAGGTATAAATGTCCTGGCTCCCTACATTTTTTTCTTCTCTTATACTACCTTGGCTAAGGGTGAAAGTTGGGAAAGGGAAGGACATATCCATGGATAGGGCTAAGGTGAATTCTGTGGTGTTTGACTGGGGTAGTGTGGCTATTTTCTGAAAGTTTTCTGTCTTGCTACACTGTCCTTTTTCTCATGCTTTGACTAGATGAAACTAGTCAACAGCAAAAAAAATTTTCCTTTTTGCTGGCTCTAATTTGTATTTTCCAGTTGTGAGTGTCTCCAAAAGCCAATCTGGGACATATGAAGTAAAAAGAAAACCTAGAGAGCTCATCTCTGTATTGTTTCTTGGGTCTCAAGGTCTCTAGCCAAATTGCATTATCTGCACTTTTCAATCTTTATGTTTGATTTATGCATAATGTCCAGAGATTTTAGCTACATTTAGTGTAAAGAAGAGGGAAAAGTGTGTCTACTCCATTTGGTCCAGAACTGGAAGTACTCTCACTGAACTTCCAAAAGATTTTAATATAAAGAATTGTTGGGGCATTTATACTCCAAAGCCTCGTTGCTTACTTTATCAGTAGAAAGATCACATATTTAGGTTCCGAAAAGTGCTATGCCGTTTAATGTATAGAGCATGGTCTTGCTTAAGTGAACCTAGTTTTTAAATAGTAGTAAACTTTGACCTCGAGAAAGGTAATTTAATTGCTCTGAACTTTATCTCCTGTTCTTCTAAAATGGGGATAATAAGTTTTGCATCTGAACTTAATAAACTGTCTAACAAAAGTCTGAGTAGTGAACATTAGATATACACAATGTAAATATATAAGCTTATATAAGTACTTAACAGCTCTAAAATTATGGAGGGTTTGGGGTAAGACAGAAATGCTAAGTTTTAAAATGACTTTTCAAGGATGTATGGCAACACATTGTCCTTGGCGTGCTGGATGGCAATGCTTAATGCAACTTAGTGTGCTGACTTAGGACCTCTAAAAGGACATTGTATTAATTTTGAAACAGAAGAATTACATTGCAACAGAGGTTGAAAAAAATTATAGGTGTCAACTGAGAACTGCTCTCTACCAGAACCTAGGTATTAATTGGCCAACTTTGCTAGTTATTCCTCTGAAACCTGAATGAAGAGAAGGTAGTAAAGGAAATCATTTAGTAATGGAAAAAATAAACACAAGATTTTAGTAGGAAGAAGGTACTAAAAGCCCTGTTAAAAGAGTCCTGGGAGCTTCCTTGACTGGCATTTGAAATTAATCTTATATTTTCCTCATAAGCAGTTGTTAGCATAGCAGAATTTTGATTTGTTTAGAAGTCAAATGTGATTTACTAATTCAATCCCTGTGGTTTGAGGGAGAAAGGAGTAGGTCCCTATTAGAACTGTGAAATCAGTACAGTTTGCTCTCATAAATGCTCATACACAACCCTCCTCACTTCCTCTTTTTCTTGTGGTTCTTTTTAGTCCCCAAAGTCCAGCAACCCCTTTTTTCCCCTTGACCAATTTAAAACAAACCATTTGAATGGAATCGTAGATGATTGCAATTTAGTGTGGATTTAGTTGCATTGAAAAATGCTGTCACATGTTGGAAAAAAAAGATCAAAGATCATTTCTCCTCTAGAAAAGCTTCAGGCTCCATATTGAGATGTATTGGGGATATTTCATTCTTCAGCTCTCAAAATCACCCTATAGAGTTGCCTTCACACATATTTAATAACTTGTTGACACATTGCTATTTATGATATAAAATAACTGATTTATCTATTTGATATAGGTATAGCATATGTGGCCTTGCTTACTAAAGTGGATGATTGCAGTGAGGTTCTTCAAGACAACTTTTTAAACATGAGTAGATCTATGACTTCTCAAAGCCGGGTAAAAAATGCTGATCATAACCAGATATTATTGTAATAGTATCACAATCATACGTGTGTGTGTTTGTGTGTGTCTGTACGTGTATATGTGCTTACAGAGTGTATTTGCAGGGAAATGAAGAATGGGATCAATTGCTTGATTAATTCAAATTTATATCACACTTTAAAACTGCAATGATCTGAATTATTGTATGTTCCGAAGATAACTTATTAAGCCATTGCTTTTTTGGTTTCTTTCTTAAATTGTATTTAAAATTGGTCAAATTTCAAATATTAAATACAGGACTTACACTTTTTAAATATACTTTCCACAGGTCATGAATGTCCATAAAATGCTAGGCATTCCTATTTCCAATATTTTGATGGTTGGAAATTATGCTTCAGATTTGGAACTGGACCCCATGAAGGATATTCTCATCCTCTCTGCACTGAGGCAGATGCTGCGGGCTGCAGATGATTTTTTAGAAGATTTGCCTCTTGAGGAAACTGGTAATCTGGCCCTTTTCTCCCCCTGTCATAGATCACTGGTGCCTTTTGAAAAATCCTAAGTTATACATCAGTTATTAGATGACTGGGGCCCACCTGCATGCCCTAGTCCTGAAAGCTACATTAGGATATATGTTTCATTTCCACTCTTGTTTGTTTCATTTTCAGGTGCAATTGAGAGAGCGTTACAGCCCTGCATTTGAGATAAGTTGCCTTGATTCTGACATTTGGCCCAGCCTGTACTGGTGTGCCGCAATGAGAGTCAATCTCTATTGACAGCCTGCTTCAGATTTTGCTTTTGTTCGTTTTGCCTTCTGTCCTTGGAACAGTCATATCTCAAGTTCAAAGGCCAAAACCTGAGAAGCGGTGGGCTAAGATAGGTCCTACTGCAAACCACCCCTCCATATTTCCGTACCATTTACAATTCAGTTTCTGTGACATCTTTTTAAACCACTGGAGGAAAAATGAGATATTCTCTAATTTATTCTTCTATAACACTCTATATAGAGCTATGTGAGTACTAATCACATTGAATAATAGTTATAAAATTATTGTATAGACATCTGCTTCTTAAACAGATTGTGAGTTCTTTGAGAAACAGCGTGGATTTTACTTATCTGTGTATTCACAGAGCTTAGCACAGTGCCTGGTAATGAGCAAGCATACTTGCCATTACTTTTCCTTCCCACTCTCTCCAACATCACATTCACTTTAAATTTTTCTGTATATAGAAAGGAAAACTAGCCTGGGCAACATGATGAAACCCCATCTCCACTGCAAAAAAAAAAAAAAAAAATAAGAAAGAACAAAACAAACCCCACAAAAATTAGCTGGGTATGATGGCACGTGCCTGTAGTCCCAGTTACTCAGGATGATTGATTGAGCCTTGGAGGTGGAGGCTACAGTGAGCTGAGATTGTGCCACTGTACTCTAGCCAGGGAGAAAGAGTGAGATCCTGGCTCAAAAAAACCAAATAAAACAAAACAAACAAACGAAAAACAGAAAGGAAGACTGAAAGAGAATGAAAAGCTGGGGAGAGGAAATAAAAATAAAGAAGGAAGAGTGTTTCATTTATATCTGAATGAAAATATGAATGACTCTAAGTAATTGAATTAATTAAAATGAGCCAACTTTTTTTTAACAATTTACATTTTATTTCTATGGGAAAAAATAAATATTCCTCTTCTAACAAACCCATGCTTGATTTTCATTAATTGAATTCCAAATCATCCTAGCCATGTGTCCTTCCATTTAGGTTACTGGGGCAAATCAGTAAGAAAGTTCTTATATTTATGCTCCAAATAATTCTGAAGTCCTCTTACTAGCTGTGAAAGCTAGTACTATTAAGAAAGAAAACAAAATTCCCAAAAGATAGCTTTCACTTTTTTTTTTCCTTAAAGACTTCCTAATTCTCTTCTCCAAATTCTTAGTCTTCTTCAAAATAATATGCTTTGGTTCAATAGTTATCCACATTCTGACAGTCTAATTTAGTTTTAATCAGAATTATACTCATCTTTTGGGTAGTCATAGATATTAAGAAAGCAAGAGTTTCTTATGTCCAGTTATGGAATATTTCCTAAAGCAAGGCTGCAGGTGAAGTTGTGCTCAAGTGAATGTTCAGGAGACACAATTCAGTGGAAGAAATTAAGTCTTTAAAAAAGACCTAGGAATAGGAGAACCATGGAAATTGAGGAGGTAGGCCTACAAGTAGATATTGGGAACAAAATTAGAGAGGCAACCAGAAAAAGTTATTTTAGGCTCACCAGAGTTGTTCTTATTGCACAGTAACACACCAATATACCAAAACAGCAGGTATTGCAGTAGAGAAAGAGTTTAATAATTGAATGGCAGAAAAATGAGGAAGGTTGAGGAAACCTCAAATCTACCTCCCTGCTGAGTCTAAGTTTAGGATTTTTAAGAGAAAGGCAGGTAAGGTGCTGAAGGTCTGGAGCTGCTGATTTGTTGGGGTATAGGGAATGAAATGAAACATACAGAGATGAAAACTGGAAGTTTTTTTTTGTTTGTTTTGTTTTTTTTTTGTTGTTGTTTTTTTTTTTTTTTGTTTTTTTGCTGAGTCAATTCCTTGGAGGGGGTCTTCAGACTGACTGGTGTCAGCAGACCCATGGGATTCCAAGATCTGGAAAACTTTTTAGATAGAAACTTGATGTTTCTTAACGTTACATATATTATCTTATAGAAATAACTAAGGGAAGTTAGTGCCTTGTGACCACATCTATGTGACTTTTAGGCAGTAAGAAACTATAAGGAAAGGAGCTAACAGTCATGCTGTAAGTAGCTACAGGGAATTGGCTTAAAGGGCAAGTTGGTTAGTACTTAGCTGTGTTTTTATTCAAAGTCTACATTTTATGTAGTGGTTAATGTTTGCTGTTCATTAGGATGGTTTCACAGTTACCATACAAATGTAGAAGCAACAGGTCCAAAAAGTAGGGCATGATTTTCTCCATGTAATCCAGGGAGAAAACAAGCCATGACCATTGTTGGTTGGGAGACTGAAGGTGATTGAAGGTTCACCATCATCCTCACCAACTTTTGGGCCATAATTCACCCAACCCTTTGGTGGAGCCTGAAAAAAATCTGGGCAGAATGTAGGACTTCTTTATTTTGTTTAAAGGGGTAACACAGAGTGCCCTTATGAAGGAGTTGGAGATCCTGCAAGGAAGAGAAGGAGTGAAGGAGAGATCAAGAGAGAGAAACAATGAGGAACATTTCATTTGACCCAACATCCTTTAGGAGCATAAATGTTGACACTAAGTTATCCCTTTTGTGCTAAAATGGACAGTATTGGCAAAATGATACCACAACTTCTTATTCTCTGGCTCTATATTGCTTTGGAAACACTTAAACATCAAATGGAGTTAAATACATATTTGAAATTTAGGTTAGGAAATATTGGTGAGGAGGCCTCAAAAAGGGGGAAACATCTTTTGTCTGGGAGGATATTTTCCATTTTGTGGATTTCCCTGATCTTTTTCTACCACCCTGAGGGGTGGTGGGAATTATCATTTTGCTACATTTTAGAGGTCATCCAGGATTTTTGAAACTTTACATTCTTTACGGTTAAGCAAGATGTACAGCTCAGTCAAAGACACTAAATTCTTCTTAGAAAAATAGTGCTAAGGAGTATAGCAGATGACCTATATGTGTGTTGGCTGGGAGAATATCATCTTAAAGTGAGAGTGATGTTGTGGAGACAGTTGAAATGTCAATGCTAGAGCCTCTGTGGTGTGAATGGGCACGTTAGGTTGTTGCATTAGAAAGTGACTGTTTCTGACAGAAATTTGTAGCTTTGTGCAAACTCACCCACCATCTACCTCAATAAAATATAGAGAAAAGAAAAATAGAGCAGTTTGAGTTCTATGAGGTATGCAGGCCCAGAGAGACATAAGTATGTTCCTTTAGTCTTGCTTCCTGTGTGCCACACTGCCCCTCCACAACCATAGCTGGGGGCAATTGTTTAAAGTCATTTTGTTCCCGACTAGCTGCCTTGCACATTATCTTCATTTTCCTGGAATTTGATACAGAGAGCAATTTATAGCCAATTGATAGCTTATGCTGTTTCAATGTAAATTCGTGGTAAATAACTTAGGAACTGCCTCTTCTTTTTCTTTGAAAACCTACTTATAACTGTTGCTAATAAGAATGTGTATTGTTCAGGACAACTTGTCTCCATACAGTTGGGTTGTAACCCTCATGCTTGGCCCAAATAAACTCTCTACTTATATCAGTTTTTCCTACACTTCTTCCTTTTAGGTCAACAATACCAAGAGGGGTTACTGTGCTGGGTAATGTGTAAACTTGTGTCTTGTTTAGAAAGATAAATTTAAAGACTATCACATTGCTTTTTCATAAAACAAGACAGGTCTACAATTAATTTATTTTGACGCAAATTGATAGGGGGGCCAAGTAAGCCCCATATGCTTAATGATCAGCTGATGAATAATCATCTCCTAGCAACATAACTCAATCTAATGCTAAGGTACCCACAAGATGGCAAGGCTGATCAAAGTCGTCATGGAATCCTGCAACCAAAAGCCATGGGAATTTGGAAGCCCTCAAATCCCATTCCTAATCTGATGAGTCTATGGACCAATTTGTGGAGGACAGTAGATTAAATAGATCTGATTTTTGCCATCAATGTAAGGAGGATAAAAACTTGCATACCAATTGTACACCCTTGCAAAATCTTTCTCTGATGTTGGAGAAAATGGGCCAGTGAGATCATGGATATAGAAGTACAGTCAATGTTCAGCTGTACCCTCCCACAATCCCACTTCCTTCCTCAACACAATTCAAACAAATAGACTCAGACTGTTTCAGGCTCCAGGACAGGAAGTGCAGTGTAGGCAAAATTGCAAAAATTGAGGGCACAGGGGTGGAGGTGGGGGGGTTGAATAACAAGCTGTGCTAAATAATTACGTGTAAATATATTTTTTCATTTTTAAAAATTGATTTCTTTTGCACATTCCATGACAATATATGTCACATTTTTAAAATAAATGCAAAGAAGCATACATCCAAGCCACTGAGCTCATTTGTCTTCTGTTTTGATAAAGTGGTAAAGAAGGAACTAACATGGGAATGCATTGCTACAATTTAAATAAGCATACCAAGATAAATTCATTTATGGTGCTTTGAGTATATGAGACCCTCTTCTACCAGACAGATGATCAGTGTTAGATTTATAGAGAAGGGATTATCAAATTCCCATGGCCAAGAAGGTCAGAGAGAGAGAAAAAAAAAAGTGATTCATGTGCATGGTAGAATTATAGACATATCAAATGGACACTGTATTAGTCCGTTCTCATGCTGCTATAAAGAACTGCCCAAGACTGGGTAATTTATAAAGGAAAGAGTTTTAATTTGACTCACAGTTCCACAGAGCTGGGAGGCCTCAGGAAACTCACAATCATAGTGGAAAGGGAAGCAAACATTTTCTTCTTCACATGGTGGCAGGAGAGAAAAATGAGTGCCTAGCAAAGAGGGAAGCCCCTTATAAAAACCATCAGATCTCATGAGAATTAACTCACTATGACAAGAACAGGATGGGAGAAACTGTCTCTGTGATTCAATTATTTCCACCTGGTCCCTCCTACAACAAATGGGGATTAAGGGAACTAAAATTCAAGATGAAATTTAGGTAGGGACACAGCCAAACCATATCATTCCACCCCTGACCCTTTCCCAAATCTCATGTCCTCACATTTCAAAACACAATCAAGCCTTCCCAACAGTCCCCCCAAATATTAACTATTTTCAGCATTAACTCAAAAGTCCACAGTCCAAAGTCTCATTGGTGACAAGGCAAGTCCCTTCTGCCTATGAGCCTGTAAAATCAAAAGCAAGTTAGTTACTTCCTAGATACAGTGAGGGTACAGACATTGGGTAAATACATCCATTCCAAATGGGAGAAATCGGCCAAAACAAAGGAGCTGCAGGCCCCATGCAAGTCTGAAATCCAGTTGGACAGTCAGAGCTTAAAGCTCTGAAATGATCTCCTTTGAATCTATGTATTACATCCAGGTCACGCTGATGCAATAGGTGGGCTCTGAATGCTTTGGGAAGCTCTGTCCCTGTGGCTTTGCAGGATACAGCACCCCCCCACCCAAGCTGCTTTCACAGCTGGCATTGAGTTTCTGCAGCTTTTCTAGGCACACAGTGCAAGCTGTTAGTGTATCTACCATTCTGGGGAATGAAGGACAGTGGCTCTCTTCTCACAGTTCCACTAGGCAGTGCCCCAGAGGGGACTCTGTGTGGGGGCTTTGATCCCACATTTTCCTTCCACATTGCCCTAGCAGAGGTTCTCTATGAGGGCTCTGACCTTGCAGCAGACTTCTACCTGGACATCCAGGTGTTTCCATATATCCTCTGAAATCTAGGCAGAAGTTCCCAAACCTTATTCTTGCTCTCTGTGTACCCACAGGACCAAGACCTTATGGAAGCTGCCAAGGCTGGGGGTTTGCACCCTCTGAAGCAATTTCCTGAGCTGTACCTTGGCCCTGTTTAGCCACGGCTGGAGTGGCCGTGACACAGTCCCGAGGCTACATACAGTAGTGGGACCCTGGACCCAGCCCAGGAAACCATTTTTTCCCTCCTAGGCCTCTAGGCCTGTGATAGAAGGGCCCGCCATAAGATCTCTGACATGCCCTTGAGACATTTTCCCCATTGTCTTGGTGATTAACATTCAATTTCTTGTTATGTATGCAAACTTCTGCTGCTAGCTTGAATTTCTCCCCAGAAAATAGGGTTTTCTTTTCTATCCCATTGCCAGCCTGTGAATTTTTGAACTTTCATGCTCTGCTTTCTCTTGAATGCTTTGCTGCTTAGAAATTTCTTCTGCCAGATACATAAAATCATCTCTCTCAGGTTTAAAGTTCCACAAATCTCTAGGGCAGGGGCAAAATGCTGCCAGTCTCTGCTAAAGCACAGCAAGAGTCACTTTTGCTCCAGTTCCCAACAAGTTTCTCATCTCCATCTGAGACCTCCTCAGCCTAAACTTTATTGTCCATATTACTATCAGCATTTTGTTCAAAGCCACTCAACAAGTCTCTAGGAAGTTCCAAACTTTCCCACAATTTTGTCTTCTTCTGAGTCCTCTAAACTGTTCCAGCCTCTGTTGGTTACGTTCCAAAGTTGCTTCCACATTTTTGGGTATCCTTATAGCAGTGCCCCACTCCCTCTGTACCGATTTACTGTATTAGTCTGTTCTCACACTGCTATAAAGAACTGCCTGAGACTGGGTAATGTATAAAGGAAAGAGGTTTAATTGACTCACAGTTCCACAGGGCTGAGGAGGCCTCAGGAAGCTTACAATCATGTCAGAAAGGGAAGCAAACATGTCCTTCTTCACGTGGCAGCAGGAGAGGGAAATGAGTGCCCAGAGAAAGGGGAAGCCCTTTATAAAACCATCACATCTTATAAGAACTAACTCACTATGATGCGAACTGCCCCATGATTCAATTATCTCCACCTGGTCCCTCCATTCTACTGTTCACTGCTATCCTCCTCCAAACTTTACTCTGCACTAACCATACTGAACTCCTTACTTCAAAAAGCTGCCACAGGGGTGATTATCCTTGCCATTCTCTCTGCTTATAAAGCACTTTTCCTAGATATTTCCATGGTACTCCCTCTCACTCCATTCAGGACACTTCTCCAATGACATCTCATTAGATAGACCTTTCCTGATTATGCTGTCTAAAGTAGGAGATTTCTTCCCACATCACTCCTATTCCTCCTCTTTTTCTCACTTAATACTCCAAAACTCTGTTTATTTACTTGAAAAGTGGCAATAATATTGGTGTCCTCATCATAAAGTTATTAAAATAAACACACGAGATACATGTAAATTGTCTTGCAAATAATGTCTATAATAATATAATTTTTAAAGCCAAGTATATAATACCTCATAAGCTGCTTAAAATATTTTTATTTGATGATGCTATTGTTTTTAATAGGGCCAGCAAATTAAAAAAACCTTTTTAGGGCAGGCAGGTAATTTAAATTTTTTAGAACCAGTCAGGTATAAAGCAAGAGGGGACAAAGGAGGACTGGAGAGTGGATGCCCAATGATATAAAAGCATTCACGTTCAACAATTAAAAACTATAAAGACATTACATTGGCCCTACAGAACAAATGTGCGGATTGAATTCTGCCTATAGGACACGAATTTATGATCCTTAGCAATGTGAAGTTAGAGAAGGGGTTTTATTGTGAAATTGACACAGGTTGTTTTATATCTTATAAATGAAGTCTCCTCATTTTCCTGTGGTCAGAAGAGAGGGGGCAAGCAGAAAAGCAGAGGAACAAATTTGGAGGCTAAAATAACATTCTACATAAGGAACTATACTACAGTAGAATTAATTGATAGCAGGGATTAAGAGATGTAAATGAATTTGAGATACATATTCTAGAGGTAGAATGTGCAATACTTTTTGTATGTCCATATACAGAAATTGGTTGCATTTTCCTTAAATAAAAAGATTTTTTAAAAGTTAGTGAGCTGTTATGTTTTCTTCCCTCTGACTTCAATTCCTTGATTCTTTCAATTTTTTTAATATAAATTTACTGTCTAAAAGCTGGATCAGCTTATGCTCCTTTGTTGAGAGAAGTTGGCATGCTGTCAAGTGGGCTGGGCACACTGAGTTTCAGTTTCCTTTCTCTGAGTCTTTGAAGCTTCAAGGCTGCTGAATAATTTCCTTCTCCCATTTTGTGCCTGCCTAGCTATCCAGACAGAGCAGCTACCCTCAGCTCTAGCTGATACTACAGACAGTACAACAGGTAAATGTCTTTCTGCTTTTCATTTTTCCTAGCTAGCATTAGTCTCTCTCTGTCTCTCTCAGGTGACAGTGTCACTTGCCAATCTCAGTTTTTGTTTTAATTTAAAAAACAATAATTTATAGTAAAAAATTAGCTAATGATTTTTTTGCTTTCTGTTCATCCTTTGTTTTGTCATTTTTTGTATTATGTAGAGTATATAAGAGGCATAAATGCAAATTTTATAACTACATATTATCTGTTTTTTAATATTTAATGGAAAATATATATGATTTGCCACTAGATCAAGAAGTATGGCAGTGACAACTCGTTTGACATGGTTGCACGAAAAGATCCTGCAAAATCATTTTGGAGGGAAGCGGCTTAGCCTTCTCTATAAGGGTAGTGTCCATGGATTCCGTAATGGAGTTTTGCTTGACAGATGTTGTAATCAAGGGCCTACTCTAACAGTGATTTATAGTGAAGATCATATTATTGGAGCATATGCAGAAGAGAGTTACCAGGAAGGAAAGTATGCTTCCATCATCCTTTTTGCACTTCAAGATACTAAAATTTCAGAATGGAAACTAGGACTATGTACACCAGAAACACTGTTTTGTTGTGATGTTACAAAATATAACTCCCCAACTAATTTCCAGATAGATGGAAGAAATAGAAAAGTGATTATGGACTTAAAGACAATGGAAAATCTTGGACTTGCTCAAAATTGTACTATCTCTATTCAGGATTATGAAGTTTTTCGATGCGAAGGTAGGTTTAATTAGATAATCCTGTAGAGAGTTCTCCCTTGCATGTTTGGTAGGTTTGAACCAATTCATCTCTTTAAGGAAAAATGAACTTTTCACTTGTCAATAATTTGGATGATTCAGACTGAAACCTGGATACAGATTGTTTGCTAAGAGACAACCATGGTCAATAAAATGTATATTTATGATAAGAACCCTTAACGTAAGATTTATCCTCTTAGCACATTTTAAGTACAGTAAATCTTCTGTTAATGTGGACTATAGGTTCTTGGAAAATGTGACTTAAGTGAAAAAACTTACAACGAAACCAGTTTATTTCCCTCATCATTATAGAAGAAAGACATTATTCAGGGACATGCTGTATGTTGTTTTGCTTAAAATTACAGTTTCCAAGAATCCATGGTGATGTTAAGTGACGACTTACCATGTACCAGCAGTGGTCACCAACCTTTTTGGCACCAGGGACCAGTTTCGTGGAAGACAATTTTTCCACAGACTGGTGGTGGGGGGATGATTTCAAGCGCATTACATTTATTGTGCACTTTATTTATATTGCTACTATGTTGTAATATACAATGAAATAATTACACAACTCATTGTAATGTAGAATCAGCGGGAACCCGGAGCTTGTTTTCCTGCAACTAAACGGTCCCATCTTGGGGTGATGGGAGACAGTGAATCATCAAGCATTAGATTATCATAAGGAGCATGCAGCCTAGATCCCTCATGCACAATTCATAATATGGTTTGCGCTCCTATGAGAATCTAATTCCGCCACCGATCTGACAGGAAGCAGAGTTCAGGCTGTAATATGAGCAATGGGGAGCAGCTGTAAATACAGATGAAGCTTCACTCGCCTGCCTCTCACGTCCTGCTCTGTGGCCTGGATCCGAACTGGCCACAAAGAGCCACGGCTCCGTGGTCCCGGGAGTTGGGGACCCCTGCCATATGGTATTGTTGCTGTAGGTACTATGCTGTACAGTAGATCTCTGGGACTTAATTATCTTGCATAAGTAAAACTTTATGCCCTTTGACAAATGTATCCTCCTTTCCTCCTTCCAACAGTCCCTGGCAAACCACCATTCTAACTCTGCTTTTATGAATTCGACTATTTTAGATTCCTCATATAAGCGGGATTATGTAGTATTTGTCCTTTTGTGTCTGGCTTATTTCACTTAGCATAATATCTAATATTGCTGTATTAGTAATTTCAAAGATAGAGGCAAGCAGAAACCTAAGAAAAGGCAGAAAGAGTACTTAGATATTCTGTGTGGCTCCCTAAATCTTTCCTTTCCATATTGGACATATGCTTTAAGGGCCAGAAAAATAGGCAGGGGTTTTAAGTGAAGTTTATGGGCCACTTTACATATTGAAAAATTACACACCAGTTTCCACGACATTTTCAAGGCAGGCAAGCATGCCCCCTTAATCCATGGAATCTGGATTTTTTTTTTTGAGACAGAGTCTCTGTCACCCAGGCTGGAGCGCAGTGGCATGATCTCAGCTCACTGCAACTTCCGCCCCGCGGGATCAAGTAATTCTCCTGCCTCAGCCTCCCGAGTAACTGGGATTACAGGCGGACACCACCATCCCCGGCTAATTTTTTGTATTTTTAATAGAGACAGGGTTTCACCTTGCTGGCCAGGCTGGTCTCGAACTCCTGACCTCGTAATCCGCTTGCCTTGGCCTCCCTAAGTGCTGGGATAACAGGCGTGAGCCACCGTGCCCGGCTGGAATCTAGATTTATTTACTAAGTAATGCTTAGCCACAGGTATCCTGTTAAGGACGTTCAAGAGATGTGTAGTATTCCGTGTGGGAAATATCATTAGTCTATTTACCAGGACATAAAATTACCAGCGTATTTATTAGAAAATTAGACTCAGTCAGTTGTCTTCCTTTTTTCCCTGAGAGTGTTCCCTGGTAAAGTGAGTGAATGTATCTGTCTAGCTGCTTTAGCTCCTACCTTCCTAGTGATTCACCCTTATTTTTGTACGTAGCAATAGTTTGTTCCTTTTCATTCATATAGTATTCCATTGTGGTGCATCCTGCACAGTATTTTATCCAATCATCACTGGTGGACATTTGTTTTCCAGTTTGGGGCTATTACAAATAATACTGCTATAAATATTATTATTGTACTTATCTTTTGGTTGGTACATATAATTGTTTTTTGAAGAAAATACAATGAAATTGCTGGATCATAGGGTATGTATATGTTCATTTTCAGTTGACACTGATGAAATTTCCCAACATAGTTTTATATAAATTTCTAGAACTATAAGTAGTGTACAAAGGTCTCTGTCACTCCAAATCTTTTTCAGCATTTTGTTTTATTTTTAGATTATGTAACTATTTTGGTATATGAGTGGTGATATGACATTTAGCAAATTTGTCTTTCTTTGATAAAACAAGATAATTATTTATTTTACATTTTAAAATAATCAATTACTATATTAATTTATCCTTTCTTCACGTTTTAAAATTTGGTTTTATATTTTATAATTTCTCTTTATATTTGTGTGGTTTGTTTCTTTATTCTTTTTTATTCTATTTTCAATTTTCAATGTTTTCCTTCTTGCCATTAATGAAATGGGATTTTATCAAAACATTGACATAAAGGTTCATATTGCTATTTCCTATATATTTATAATTGTGGTTTTTATTTCCTTTTGGGTATTAAAGTTATTTAAGACAGTTCTTTTTAAACTCCCAGGAGGCTGCTTTTCCAATTGTTTGTACTTGCACTTTGCTAGTCTTATTACATTATAGATATTGAGTGAAGTTTTCATAATTTCTACTATTGGTAATTTATTGTTTACTTTGTTGCCATACATATAGCCATGTTTATAAATGTTCCACATGATATTCTTCTTTTGTAGTTGAGAGAATTGGTAGCATCGCTTATCCTTATCCTTTCTGTTTTAAATTCACCATAAAAATGTCTCTTTCCAAAAAAAAAATTCTGAGCCCGTGCCTTATTGATCTGAATGAAATCCACTGCTTACCCCTGAACAATTTACTGTGCTCTGGTTGGGTAGGCATGAGTCTCATCTTCTCTTCTGGGAGCAGGAATAAAATTAAGTGAGCTGGAAGTTCCTGGAGTTCCAATTGTTAATAGCAGGTTGTAGAGAAAATCTAGTGCCTGTGTTTTCTGTTTTTGTGTCTCTGCACATTATTCCTCTCAGACTTATTGGATTATGGAGGGGAAAATGTCTTATTAGACATTCCCACATTTCCACATTAGATATTCCCACATCTCTAGGCCTTGCTTCTTTTATTTAGAAAACACCCACAGCCTCAATTCCCATGTCGGAGTAAGTTACACACTACTGTTGAGTAATTGAATGAGAAGAGATCTGCTGATAGTACAGAGGGTCTACTTACCTCTAGCCCTAGCCTCTTCAAATGAGATGATGTTAAAGAGATTTATCAGAATTTGCTCTACAAAATTGCTCCCTTTTCACCATACGGGACCATTCTCATGGAAAGGCTATTTTTGTATTTGTCCCTAGTGAATTCACTGATATTCATTCATTCATTCAGCCAATTATTCGACAACTTCTAATCTACATTATTCTTTGATTATTTCCCCAGATTCACTGGATGAAAGAAAGATAAAAGGGGTCATTGAGTAAGTCAATGTTTTTAAGATTCTATTACTCTCTTCATTATCTTTGACTTATTCTATGATAGGTCTCATCAATATAATTGGCAACACATATTATCACACATAACTTGTGGATCATCAAGAACAAACTGTATTTATAATCATAAAATATTTGATAATATTAATGTTAAAAAAAAGGACACTGAGTAGAGGAAAGGAATTTTAATGTCATATACTTGAAGAAAAATAATTACTTGTTTGTATGTCTGTGTTTTGCTTAGAATTCTTGCAGTTAATATTTCAACTACTCTAGAGAGTTGCTGTAGAAGAAGTGGTTGGTGGGTGGAGAAAACCTACCATGAACTTCAAGAACATGTTAGAAATTGTCTACTTTCATGAACTTCAGAAGTCATATATATTGTGACTTATATATATGTGACACAATATATATGACTTCTGAAGTTTAGTCTTAAATAATTGATCTTTATGTTTAAAACAGCTATTACTTATCTTTAGATTTATATGGTCTAGTAATTTAAATCTGAAAGATTTTATGTCTGGCTTTAGTTGTGTATTATTTTTGCCTTTTGTTCTTTTTGCAATAGGATTTCAGGTAGGTTCGTCTCATGTCTTTCATGTAAGAAGTCAAGTTGCTAATCAAAAATAATATCTATGAAAAAATGAATTCTCAGAAAATTTATAATAAGGTTTTGCGACCTAACCTCAGTCAATTGTTAAAAACGGTCATGTCTAAACAGGCTCAGGAAGAGCTTACTGTCTGCCTTGAGAACTTATGAACCATATGGATCCCTGGTTCAACAAATACGAATTCTGCTGCTGGGTCCAATTGGAGCTGGGAAGTCCAGCTTTTTCAACTCAGTGAGGTCTGTTTTCCAAGGGCATGTAACGCATCAGGCTTTGGTGGGCACTAATACAACTGGGATATCTGAGAAGGTAAGCACATTTGAGGCCACCTAGCCTTTGCTTCTCTGTTCAAATCAATTATATTTCAAAAGCCTTTTGCAGATCAACTTTATTACATATAGACTTCATCTCAATTTATAATAAAAAATGAATCTTTAAAATTGCTTTTCTCCCCTCTACAGTATAGGACATACTCTATTAGAGACGGGAAAGATGGCAAATACCTGCCGTTTATTCTGTGTGACTCACTGGGGCTGAGTGAGAAAGAAGGCGGCCTGTGCAGGGATGACATATTCTATATCTTGAACGGTAACATTCGTGATAGATACCAGGTAATATTTGACTAATGAGAAATTATAACTGATTTTTAAAATGCTTATTTTTGTACAAATGTATCAGCGTTTATCTTCTTAAATTATACTTGCTCAAGATCCTTTGTCTCTTTTAGATTTTTTTTTTCAAAAAGAATAAAAACATCTCGAGGGCTCTTCCATCATGGCTATCTTAACAGCTACTCCACTTTCTATTGCTTTCAGCTATGTGAAACAGAAATCCAACTACATCAACTTACCCACACAGATAATTTTTCTTATGTAAGAGGAAGTCTGAAGGCAGGCAGCTTGGGACCAGTGTGGCAGCTATCTGAAGTTACTAACTTCAGAGATCCTTCTGACTTTTTGAGGCCCTCAGCATGGGCTGTTAAGATATGCCTCCCCCAAATTTATATGTTGAAGTCCCTAGTCCTCAATGTGATGGTATTTGGAGGTAGCGACTTTGGGAGGTAATTAGGTCATGAAGATAGAGACCTCATGAATGGGATTAGTGCTCTTATATACATAAGAAAGATGATCTCTTTCTGTCATGTGAAGATAAAGCCTGAAGGTGACTCTCTATAAACCAGGAAGAGGACCGTGACTAGAAACTGAATCTTCTGGCCCCTTGATCTTGAAATTCCCAGCCTCCAGAACTGTGAGAAATAAATGTTTGTTGTTTAAGCACCCGATCTGTATAATGTGTCATAGCAGCCCCACCTGACTGAGACGTATGGCTGTCATTTTTATGTGAAAAAACACTGAGCACTGTCAGTGATCCAGGCAAGAGGAAGGGGAGATCAAAAAACCATCTAAGTATATATTTTTTAAACTTGTAGTCTTTTAATGAACATTCAGATCTCGAATTAATCAGTAAGTTTACTTTGTTCCAAATGGCAGTTAATGATGCCAGCATCACTGAATGCCTTTTGTATCTTTCCATTATGAAATATTTGGGTCAGTTTTTGTATTGTCTAGTTTTTTCTATTGATGTAGTGATCTATTATTTCATGACAGCATTTTAATTATTTTAATTACTATATTATCTAATTGCTTTAATTACCGTAGTAATCAATTATGGCTTGATAAGTTACCAGACAAGTCACATTCATTTTTTATTACTCCTATTTGTTTTTCTTGGCAATTTTCATACATAGGCCTTTTCAAGTGAGGTTTTTTGTGCTTTGTTTGATCATTTGTGTTTGATTTCTTGTTGTTTAGATTGAAATTATATTTACACTTTATACTGAAAATTGATTGACATCTTTACATATCTCGTGTGCCTATTAAAAAACACAGCAAGTTTTGTTTTTCTATTCATGCAAGATTTTTTCATTCTTTAGTATAGAGTTATCTTGTAAATGCTGTTTATTTTTAAATATTCTTTTTTAAATACAAACTTTTTATCATAGAGAATTTTAAAATATACAAAGTAGTTTAATGGATTCCCATGTACTCAGCATCAAAAATTTTTGACTCACAGCCAATCTCGTTTTATCTATATCTACCCACTTTCTCTTCTCTCTTATTATTTTGAAGCAAACCCAAGAAATCATAACATTTCATTCAATATTGAATATACATATAACTATATAAATAGGAGCATATATATATTTCTCCTTAAACATAGCCATAATACTCTTATCCCACCTAAAATTTACAATCATTCCATAAATTATCAAATACAACTCAATGTTCAAATTTCTAATTGCTTTATAAATATACATCTTTAAGTTTGTTTGAAAAACATTCAAATAGGTCTATTCAGTCTCTTTGATTGTATGTTCTGACTTTATATCCCTTGCTTTTTCCTTATCATTTGTTTCTTAAGAAATCTAGTTGTTTTGTAGACTTCTACGTAATCTGAACTCCATTATTTGCATCCCTCGGGGTAGTTTTACATGGTCCTCTGTTTTCTGTGTGTCCTGATTATTGAGAGTTGAAGCTAAAGTGTGTTTCAATTTAGGTTCTACTTCATAGATTGTGTTGTATTATATGAAACCATGCACAATATGGGGATTTATCCCTTTTCTAATACTGGTGTTAATCAATGTTTAATTCCTAGATCCATTTATTTGTTAAAGTGTGAAAATAGTGACATTCTATATTATTCTTTCACCATTTCACATATGAAAGGAAGCTTACCCTCATCCATTCTTTGATTACCCAGTGGCACAGTTTAAAAAGAACAACAGGATATATGCTTGAAATTTTTGCCTTTTTGCAAGACTTTGAAATTATAACATCTCCTTCGCCTTTGCCAATAGGGTCAAGATATTATTTTATTGTTATTAAGAACTCAATATGAATTGAACATACATTGTGTGTTTCAATCCATTGTAGGTTTTCTCCATACTGATGTAAAATGTACCATCTTGTACCAGTGAAAGCCTCTACAATTTGGATCCTGAGTCCTTTTGACATGAACCTAAAAGTCTTTTTTATATTCTTTTATTCTTGCCACAGCTTTTGAAACAGCTATTTCTTCAAGTAGTCCTGGTGTGGGGCATTAGAAATGCTCATAGCTACTTGGTTGGTCATTGTTTCTTGACTTTCTCAGTGAGTAGAGTTAAGTAATATACATTTTAATGAAAAAAAATAAATTATAAACTTATACTAAAACTTCTTATTCAAATTCAGTACTAGAAAGTTTTTACTTACTCTCTTTTCTATCACTCGTATATCTGCTTTCACCCAAACTGAGAATTCTCATTCTCAAAAACACTGGAGGTAACAGAATATCATGTCACAGCTCATTTCCTTTATCTTATATAACATCTATAGTAACCTCAGTATAAAAGCTCTATCAGTACCATGAACAATCTCATCATAATCACACTTAATATCGTTTCATATAATCACAATCAAAACTGGAAACAATTAAAACATTTTAGCATATTTTTATAGTGTGTTTAGGTTGTATCATGTATCCTTGGAGGGGTGTACAAATTATTGTATTTTAAAGTCAATCAGAATAGTTTATTCTTGTATTATAACCATAACAGTTCACTAATTAAATTAAATTTAGGAATTGAATTGTTAAGTTAATTTGGTTTTATATTTATGTTTAGCATTTATGTGGTTCAAAGATCAAATCTACAAAATAATGTATAGTCAAAGAATCTATCTTCCTTCTCTGCCCCTTCAAATAAATTTCTCCCCTCTTCCCATTAGTAACCATATAAAATTTATATTTTACTTGCCTTTTAAAATATGTAACAAAGTACATATAAATTTGCTGCTACTCCCTTCTTAGAGAAGTGGTAGAAAACTATGTTATATTGACTTATCAGACATTGTTTAACTGACATGGCATTTTTCTGCTACAAATGTTCCAGCAGTTAATAATCTTTGCATATATCATTTTGCATTTTTGTCAGTATATCAGTGGGACAGATTCCCAACAGAGAAGTGCTAGATGAAGAGTAAAGTCATCTCACCTTGGACCCCTTCCCTCCTTGCGCTCTGCTTGATGGTACCAGCTTTTTTTTCTGAATGCTCTTACTTCCATCTGTGGGCAGATTGCCTCTCTTATCTAGAACACTTTCAGCCATATCCTTATTCTCTTTAGCAGACTCACTCCTGCTATTTTAGCTCTCAGATTACATGTCCTTTCCTCACAGAGGCCTTACTTGACTAGGTGAAAGGACTGCTGGCTTACTTGCATAATGCCTGTCTTCTCTACCAAGATTGTTAGCCTCATACTATTAGAGACTTTTCTGTTTTGTTTACCATTTGATTCACTTGCACAGTGCCTGGTACATAGTTTGTGCTCATAAATATTTGTTGAATTAATATCTTGCTTTATGTCTACCTTACAGTTTAATCCCATGGAATCAATCAAATTAAATCATCATGACTACATTGATTCCCCATCGCTGAAGGACAGAATTCATTGTGTGGCATTTGTATTTGATGCCAGCTCTATTCAATACTTCTCCTCTCAGATGATAGTAAAGATCAAAAGAATTCGAAGGGAGTTGGTAAACGCTGGTGAGTCTCATTCCACTTTGCTAAGGGTAATACCACTAAGGGTAATTGACTAGACTGTATTTTAGAATGCTTTTTGGACAGGATAAAGAACTTAAGTCATTGCATATTTCAATCTTCCCTAGCCTACCAGGATGCTTCAATGAAATTGAGCATTCATTGGCTATATGACTTTGTGCAAGTAACTTAAACTCTCTGTGCCTCAATTCTCTAATCAATAAAATTAGTATAATAATAGTACCTCTTAGAGACTTTTTTGTTAAGAATTAAAACAAATTAATGCATATGTGAAGGGTAGTACAATCTGAACTACATGCTACCCCTATATCTTCGCATGCTTTATTGACCAATATTGGGCCTTGAGCTTTAAGAATTAGAAAATGAAGAAGAAACATTTCCGAAAGGAAAAGAAACAGGAAGGTAAGATGTTTGTAGGGAGAGGTAAAGAGTTTGGAGAAGGTAACCAGGATCAGGGATTTAGGGTGAGCCATTCTGGCTTTTCTTGTCATATCCACTTTGAGTGAGAAAGAGCCAGTTTATCACTGTTCTTAGTTTTGAAGCAGAGAGTGATCAACTTACCTGCTTGCTGAAATTTAAAACTTTGCAAAGAGGAGATGTGCAGAGAGATGATTGCTAGTGTTGTGAAATAAGGGAAGTTTACTTGTGATGCTTTGACACATTCTGTCTCTTTCTTGAGGATTCTTCTCCCCCATCTTGTTTATTAGAGCCCTTTGGTCTTTAGTCTCTGTCAAAACACAACTTCTGGACAGAATATGAAATCAATCAGTAATATTGCAGCATAAATTTTAGTTACCTCTTCCAAGAGGTGGTTTCATTTGAGGCCTCATTTGTTACCATTGAAATCAATGAAGGTGACTCCCCATGTCAGAGAAATTCCAGATACTAATAAGTAGTCCAGGGGAGTTTTTTGGGGAGATGAGGGTGACCGGGGTGTGGGGGATCTTTCCAAATCTGAAATTGTTCCATAGGTTGCCTATTACATAATTGATAGTTAAATAACTTGAAAATACTGATGCTCTCTAAAATGATTTAAAAAATTCTGTTTGGCATAGGTGTGGTACATGTGGCTTTGCTCACTCATGTGGATAGCATGGATTTGATTACAAAAGGTGACCTTATAGAAATAGAGAGATGTGAGCCTGTGAGGTCCAAGGTAATGAATGATGCCCTTCGTAAACACATTTTCTGGGGTATGTTACTACAATCACATACTAGTGTGTATAAAAATAAAAACAAGCAGCTACTGGGTTTAAGAAGAATTACAAAATTACTTAAATAGGGCCCGTTTCCCAAGATTTAAAAATTAAATACAGTTGTTCCTTGGTATTTGCAGGGGATTAGTTCCAGGACTTTGCATTGTTACCAAAATCTGTGGATGCTTAATGGCATAGTATTTGTATTTGCATATAACCTATGCACATCCTTTGGTATACTTTAAATAATATCTAGATTACTTATAATACCTAACCCAAATTAAATGCTTTGTAAATAGTTGTTCTACTCTATTTTTCATTATTAATGACAAGAAAATAACCTGTACATGTTCAGTACAGATGAAATATTTTTTCAAAATTTATTTTTTTGAGATGAAGTTTCTGTTGCCCAGGCTGGAGTGCAGTGGCATGATTTCGGCTCACTGCAACCTCCGCCTCCTGGGTTCAAGTGATTCTCCTGCCTCTGTCTCTCAGCAGCTGGGATTACAGGCACATGCCACCATGCCTGGCTAATCTTTTCTGTATTTTTGTAGAGATTAGGTTTCACCATGTTGGCCAGGCTGGTCTCAAACTCCTGACCTCAGGTGATCTGCTCATCTCGGTCCCCCAAAGTTCTGGGATTAAGGCATGAGTCCCTATACCCAGCCATTTTTTTTCAATTTTTTTTGAGCCTTAGTTGAACTCACAGATGCAGAACCCATGGATACAGAAGGCTAACTGTCTATCTTTACACTGACATGGGTAAGTTCATTTATTACAATTTAATTCAACTAGATTCAATTCAATAAATGTTTATTGATATTATCTTTAAGGTTGAGCCAGTGTGTTACTCTCTTATCAGCTACACAGATCATGAAAAAAATTCCCCCGCACTAAAAATTTTACAATTTTATAAATAGTGGTGAGGGGATGGGAGTGTGGGATAAGAAAAAGTTGACAAGAGATTATGTACGATTGAGTGTGATAAATATAATGAAACAATGAAAAATAAAGTGCTTTAAAAGTTTAGAGAAGGAAAGTATAGTGTTAAAGGGGTTCGGGGAGATTTCATCAATGGAACGGCACAGGGAAACGGCTTTCAAGGAGAAGAAATATTTCACAAAATGAAGAGACAAAAAGGGCCAACAAATTCAGCATAAGACAATATATTAATGGAGGAAAAGTCAGCATGTTTGGGAAATGTGGAGTTCAGGTTAGTGAAGGGCTGGATCTTTGTAGGCAGAGATAAAATGGGCAAGGAACATTTGCATGAAGTAATTTTATTTAATTAGGAGCATTATGAGGAATCACAGCAATTTTTTGAAAGAGTAATGATATGATCAAAGTTAATTAAAGTTATGATCTTCAGAAAAATTAATCTGGCACTGTGTACAGAATAGATTGGAATCAAAAGGAACCTGGAGGTGGGAACACCAGTTGGGAGAATGCAATGATAGCAAGTATTTGTTGAGCACTAAGTATGTGATAGATTTTCTTAATCAGTCCTTATAACAAGCCTATGAAATGGGTACTATCATTACTGCATTTTACAAGTGAGGAAACAAAGAAAACAGAGTAAACATCTGCCAACGTTTATTGACAGTGCTGAGCAGTGACAGATAAATATTTCGAACCTAGGCAGTTTGATTCTAGAGGTAAAATAGTCTAAACAAGAATTAAACGTTAAACTGGTCTAATAAAATCTACTTATCCAGAGAATGTTTTTTAAAAGAAACAGGAAATATATGGACTGTAGGATAGGTGTCATAAAAATTTTGTTTCTAAATCATTTAGAATCCACTGCATGTATTCCAAATTACAATTATCAGTGACATTAGAACTTGATATGTGAAGTTCTTCAAGAGTACTTTGTGAGACCAGATCTCCATTTTTTTCCAATGGGAAATTATTGCAAGTTCCTACATCTTGATATTGCTTTCATAATTTATACTAACATAAAATAATATTTTTCACTGTTTTGCAATGTCTTTTTAATTTCTGTATTGCAGCTAGAGGAAGTCCAAAGAAAACTTGGATTTGCTCTTTCTGACATCTCGGTGGTTAGCAATTATTCCTCTGAGTGGGAGCTGGACCCTGTAAAGGATGTTCTAATTCTTTCTGCTCTGAGACGAATGCTATGGGCTGCAGATGACTTCTTAGAGGATTTGCCTTTTGAGCAAATAGGTAGATGGTTTGGTGGTGTGGAAGCTTGGAAGCGGTCAGGTAGTTGGCTACTTTCTGCTTGGATCTATTAAATACCTGGCAGCTCTCTGTCTTTTTGTGGGTTGTTGCCCTGTGATTAGTTCTGCTTTTTAACCCACTCCCTGGATGCATTTTTCCCTCCTTGCATTTCCCTCTTTTCCTGGAGTTCATACTAGAGAATCTGCACTATGTTTTTCCCTTTTTGTCTTGAGATGAAAGTTTTAAAATAATCCACCTCTGTCATTTCCACTCTCTGAACATCCCAAGCTGTATCCCTGGCCTCTTTTCTCAGACTATGTTTCTTTACTTGGGACCTAGAACTGGATTGGATTGGCATTGCTCCTGATCAGATGAGACCTTTGATTATTTGCCCCTTCCTTAGGACCTTACACTCCTGTCTTTCTTTGACTTGCCTTTTTGTTTCTTTCCTTCATCTTAGTCCCTCTTCATGCAGTATGGTCATTGCTAGGTAGAGGTATGTCCTTTTATGTAATGGCCACCGCATTTAGTATTACATAAACTTTCTTTTAACAATCTGTGCATAGTACATGCTGCTCTGTTCCATTTAGAGATTTGACAGAGGTTTCAGTTTAGTATACTCAAATCTTATTTTAGTGCTTGGGAAATCAATTCAGAATATCACATCCTCTCCAATTCTCTCTTACTCAAATTGCTGGGAAACTCTCATGTTACTAACTTTGTTGCTCTAACTCTGCCATCTTGGTTTCCCCATCCCTTCTCTTCCTCATGGTACGTGTGCTCCTAATATTAGCGTTGGTTGAGATTTTCAGTGGTCCAATATTCCTCTTCCCTCTGGTTGCCTTTCCTGAGATAATCCACTAAGAATATTTTGTGTTTCTTTTCTCAGGGAATCTAAGGGAGGAAATTATCAACTGTGCACAAGGAAAAAAATAGATATGTGAAAGGTTCACGTAAATTTCCTCACATCACAGAAGATTAAAATTCAGAAAGGAGAAAACACAGACCAAAGAGAAGTATCTAAGACCAAAGGGATGTGTTTTATTAATGTCTAGGATGAAGAAATGCATAGAACATTGTAGTACTTGTAAATAACTAGAAATAACATGATTTAGTCATAATTGTGAAAAATAATAATAATTTTTCTTGGATTTATGTTCTGTATCTGTGAAAAAATAAATTTCTTATAAAACTCGGGTCTAACTTGAGAGTGTGTGTGATTTTGGAAAAATTATGATTTGTCAGCATCTTCTGATATTCACTGCTTTCATCTTAATTTTGCCTTCTGATTTTATTTCTAAAGTATGTGATTTTGGCCTGTATGAATCCCTTCTTAATGTTGTATTCTTTCACCTAAAGCCATTTTTGCTTAATGTTTGATACTTACCGAATGTGGTAATTAATATTCATAAGAATTCTGTAAGACTAAAACTGAAAGAGGCTATAGCTTGATTACTTTATAGTTATAACTATTTTAGTTACAAGTGACAACACTCACCCTGAACTATATGAATAAAAAAGAGGATTATAGTATTGGATCAAGTAATCAAACCAAAGAAAGGGCATAGAACTGGCTTCAGAAATGATTGAATCTGGGGATTTAAAAGCTGTTGACTATTTCTCTCTCTCTAGCTGTCTCTCTATTTCGGTCTCTGTCTCTCTCGCTCTCTCTCTCACACACACATTCACCCCTTCATTATTCCTTTATGTGTTGCTATCATTCTCTCAGGTTAGCATCCTTGATAATCTTAAGCCAACTTAATTCAAGTCTTATTAATACATATAAAATTATTAGCAATTACTTTTAAAAAGCTTTTTTTTAAAATATAGTATAAACATAAAAAGTGCATGATTCATGTATATGGCCCAATGCATTTTTATAAACTTAACAAATCCAAGAAACTAGCACTCAGATAAGAAACAGAACTTCACCAGCAGGCATGTCAGAAGTCCCACTTATGCCCCAGCCTAGTTATTAGCCAGGGTATCCACTATTCTGAGTGTTACCCTGCTGATGGTAAACCTTAGCTGAAGGCAAAGTTAGGTCCACAAAATGGGCAAAATTGAAGGCAGTATATCTGACAGTATAGGACAATTTTGACTCATCTGAGGTAATGCTTGCTATTCTGATTCATGCTGTGGTTAATGCCCTTGCATTTAGCGCATATGAGATCCACATGATCAGTCAATTAAGAATACACTTTGAGGAGCATTAAATTATGAAAATCTGTAGCAATTTTGTGGAAGAATTAAAATGGATCATGTCAGTGGCCACCAAATAAAGCCTAGTTACTGGCTAAAGAGGCATTAGAATACAAAGGCTGATATACTGGTCCATTCCTTGGATGTCTTCATTTGGGTACATGAAATAAACGGAGATATTGTCATTCAAGCTATAAACATTGGGTGGAATCACGACATACTCCTTTATGGAAACTGCTAATGTAGTAACACAGCATTCAGAATGCTAATAGAGAATTTCTAAAACACGGCTTTTGGTAAGATTCTTTGAAAGCAAAGAACCACAGGTAGACTATGTAGAAACCTTACTAGTAGCCCCAGGTGTCTTCAACTGGGTTCTGACTAGAATAAATGAATGTCGGGCTTTGACTTTGCTTATACTTTGGGTGTAGCAATGTCTTAGGACAGTGGTCCCCAACATTTTTGGCACCAGGGACTGGTTTTATGGAAGACAATTTTTCCACAGACCAGTGGTGGGTCAGGTGGTTTTGGGATGATTCAAGCACATTACATTTATTGTGCACTTTATTGCCATTATTATTACATTATAATATAAAAAGAAATCATTATACAACTCACCATAGTGTATAATCTGCGGGAGTCCTGAGCTTGTTTTGCTGCAATTAGACAGTTCCATCTTGGGGTGATGCATGACAGTGACAAATCATTAGACATTGGATTCTCATAAGGAGCGCACAATCTAGATCCCTTACACGCGCAGTTCACAATAGGGTTCACATTCCTATGAAAATCTAATTCCACCGCTGATCTGACAGGAGGCAGAGCTTAGGCAGTAATGTGAGCAATGGGGAGCAGCTGTAAATACAGATGGAGCTTCCCTCAGTCACCCGCTGCTCATGTCCTGCTGTGTGGCCTGGTCCCTAACAGGTCACAACTCATACTGGTCTGTGGCTTGGGGGATGGGCATCCCTGGCCTAGGACACTATTAAAGATGTGGAACAACAGAATGTGAATAAGCTCAGTTTCCTAGGTTGCATTTCCTTAAATCAGAGTATACACATCATGTTGCCTATGTACAAAACCGAGCTAAGAGACTCAGCATCATATGGACTTATGAAGTTCTGCATCATCAATATAGCAACAGTTTGATCAAGAACTGAAATGGGTCATTCTGCCCTTTTTCAGCGTTCAACATGTCTAAGCAAGGATGTGGTGGGTTCTCCAGTGTGAAATACTGGAATTCCTTGGGTTTTCTGATAGGAGCCAAGATCAATTGTGTTGACAACACAGGAGCCAAAAATCTCTATATCATGTCTGTGAAGGGAATCAAAGGGCAGCTGAACAGACTTTCCACTGCTGGAGTGGGTGACATGGTGATGGTCAGTCAATAAAGGCAAACAACCAGAGCTCAGAAAGGAAGTATATCCAGCAGTGGTAGTTCAACAAAAAAAAAGTCATACCAAAGAAAGAATGGCATGTTTCTTTATTTTGCAGATAATATAGGGGTCATAGAAAACAATGAAGGCAAGATGGAAAGGTCCTGCCATCATAAGACCAGTTGGAAAGGAGTGTGCAGACTTGTGGCCCAGGATTGTGTTAGATGCTGACAGCATTGCGTGATTCTCCAGTATATTTGTGTTAAAAAAAAAAAGGCAAGTAACTAATTAAAAATATTTGCTCTTCCCACTCCCCAAAAAACTAACTGGAATGGGCAATTAAAATATCTGTTGATAAAAACTGGTGATGATGAGGTCATGAAGGACTACCTGGCCGGATTGGGTGAATTTAAAGCAGAAAAACCCATTGGGAAGAATTTTGGTAAATGGTTGTAGGGATAAAGAGAAGATTGATGATGCATTTGCACAACTTTATCTTTCCAACAAAAATTTTCTTTTATCTTGCCAGATCAAGTTGTATCAGCTACAATAGCATATCCCAGCATAGGGAGGCATCACCACTCAGGATACTATTTCAATCCCTGTGAATTTGACTTGCATCCTGGTAAGGAAACAATGGACTTGATAGTGACTCCATCTCATGCATAAAGTAGGACTGGCTGTAAGTGTTGCTCCATTGCCTACAAGTGGGGTGGTCCCATCACTACTTATATTTATAGTTCTTCTTCCTGGGGAAGGCCTGGCAGGGTTATTCCAGCTATTTGCCTTATGTAGGTAAGCAGTAGAGACACACCCAAGGAGTAAAATCTGGTAATAAGTAGGTAACAAATGGAAAGCAAAGGGGGAATTGTGGCAGATGAGAAAGGTGTGCATAAAATGTGTAATGATGCTGAGAATGAACACATCACTTTTATCCTAAGAGAATATCTCAGAACAAGACGAAAACACTCTTAACAGTTTCTGTATTCTGTAGTACCAAGTAATTGCCAGCTCAGAAAGAAGATCCTAAAATTTTCTCCCACTGGAAAGGAGAATGGCATTGAAGCCAAGCTACAAGATTAGGCCAAGAACTCTGCTTAGGTTATTTACTGAAAAGACATCAATTACCCTCGATGACCTACCTTTATATTAACTGGTTGAAATTTTCATTTGAATCTCATTTTGTTGGTTACATTTATCGTAGTAGTTCTGTTGTAGGCTGGAGAGAAATCTTACCCTTGAGCTGAGCTGGTTGTATTGTGACTCTCAGCTGGGTATGGCTATGAAGAAAAATGTGCCATCACTGCATTTCTAATAGGCTGGAATCCCCTTTGCTCTTTTCAATAAATCACATGTGAATGTGGAAGAAATATTAAACAAATAGGACATTGGAATGGAGTCCAAGAGAGTAAACTATTGCTTGATATGATGATCAAATATCACTGATGGATTTGCCTTTGAAACTTTGAAAAGAATGATTATGGGCAGTCTTATGCATATTAAATTGAACTGCACCTAGGAGTCATCATGTTCAACTGACAATCTTCTGGAAGATCAGTATTTTGGGTGCCAATTATATACTTCAACAGCACTCACAGCATAAAGAGTTAGTAGCAACTATACTTACGGCATTAACTAAAACCAGCTCCAACATGCTAAGAGGGATTTGGGATCCCTGGGAATTAAATTTGATGTGGTAATGAAGTGCAGATGGTTTTCTGGAGGCTCATTTTTGTGAGAAGGAATTTTAACTCATGGTCACTAGAAGGAATTATTTCTCAGGAATCTTGCCTGTGCTGGGTAGGCCAGTTAGACAATAAAACTATTTGAAATTTAAAAAGAAAGAAAAGAAGGAAGGAAGAAATAGGGGAAGAAAAGAAGAAAGGAAGTAAAAGAGGAGGGAAGGAATTAAAGAAGGTAGGAAGGAAAGGAGGGATGGAAGGAGAGAGAGAAACAGTGGGGCTGGGTAAACTAGAGACTTTGGCTGTGGAAACACTAGTGTCAACCTACTATGGCAAGCTATTACTGGGAATGCAGTCTTTACTGCTAATTTCTTATAACCAGAGTACCCAACTTTAAAAGAAAGCCATATTCCTTATGGTGAAATTGGTTGAGATTGGACAGATTAAGTATCAACACCATTTCCTTTCTATGGGAAACAGATGCTACTTAAAAGCCTTTATCAGTAAAACCTTATTCTGTAAAGGCTGGCATATGTTTTTCTCTCAGACCAGATGGTACTTGGAATTTACAGAGCAGTGGCCTCTGGTAACTACCCCAGTTACAGGAAAATATATAGCATGCAGAAAATGGAATATTTACTGGGATGGGTAGTAAAATGACACAGTAGTATTATTGATGTGTAGTGTGTTAAGCATTATTTAAATTTCCTACCATAACTCTTTGGTGCAATAATGGATATATAGACTCATTTTCACATTACTATGAAAATAAAACTTTCATAGATAGTGAACTTTCACAATGCAATGATCTCCCATTTGACTAATTACCTATGGAAGCTAACTGTCCAGAGGAAGAAGTAAATTTAATTTTGGAAAAGTATACATGCAGTTGAATGCCTCTATCAACATCTACAAAATATGCAAGTAATTGTGAATAAAAACATAAAGTAGTCCATCTATTAAAAAATCATCTACAAAATATGCAAGTAATTGTGAATAAAAACATAAAGTAGTCCATCTATTAAAAAATATCAAAACACTTGTATGTTGTATGTTCTTGGTAAACGTATTTTGCTGAAGGAATTCCAACTCTATATTTAATGATGCAGATCTTGGTGGCCTTCCATTTTAATGTTTTAGTACTTCTGTTTTTGTCTATTAAGCATTGTTGAAGTTGCTTTAATAATAAGCAACTTCATATAATCTAATAAGAATTATTAGAAAATGTCTTAGGAATAGGCAGCAATGATATATTGACAAGTTTTCGGAAAGGAAGGTTTAACAGCTAGTTTTAGGATTACCTGGGGAATTGACTATTGGTCAATTTTCTTTGTAATGAACACAGAGTTCAAGATAAAGGAGAATCTGTTAAAAATTCTGGAGCATACCAAGTGCATGTTATTGAATAACGAGGAAACAGCATTGATGAAATGTAGCTTCCTCAGAGAGTAGGAAGGGGAGGAAGGGTCTGCATGAGTAGCTGTGTGTAAAAGGTAAAGGCCTTTCAGGGATGATGGCTTCCTTAAGCCGAGGTTATCCTCAGATATGTAGCTTCCTCTCTCATGTGAAATGACAGAAACAAACCAACCAAACAAAAAGCCAGCATTCAATAAACTAATTATCTTGAACTAGATTTGGCCCCCTAAAATATAATCCTCTTCCAAGCCTAAGTACAACCAACTCAGAATCCTCTTATGAGCTCATCAAAGCTCAGTTAATCACTGCTATAAAACACCAGAAATAACCGGAGCATGGCCAAAAATCTTATAGTCTGGCGTTATATCATTATTATAATGTTGCTGAGTAGGTTTAATACTTTCTGTATGGATCAACTTAATTGTTGACACTAGAGTAGGTCTAACACTTTAGACCTACTCACTAACATTGACCCATTATTCTAATGTCAGTGAGTAGGTCTAATACTGTATGGGTCAACAGCTACTTATTGTTGACATTACTAATACTGTATAATCTAATACTATTGGGTCAACGTTACCGATTATTAACATTATTGTGAGACCTACTCACAATAATGAGTAGGTCTATAATGTGAGACCTACTCATTATTGTGAGACCTACTCACAGTAATGTTAGTGAGTAAGTCTAATACTGTATGGGTCAACTTAATTGTTGACTTTAGACTTTATGTGAGTAGAATCACACAGAATGTACTCTTTTTTGTTTTTTTGCTCTGTAGTTTTTTTTTTTTTTTTTAGTGTTCTTTCCTGGCATTAGTATCAGGGTGATATTGGCTTCATAGAATGAGTTAGAGAGGATTTTATCTTTCTCAATCTTATGAAATCGTTTCAGTAGGATTTGTGGCAACTCTTTTTTGAAGATCTGGTAGAGTTTGGCTGTTAATCCATGTGGCTTTGGGCTCAGTGTTTGTTGGCAATTTTTTAAATGACTGATTCAACCTGACTGCTTGTTATTGGTCTGTTCAGGATTTCTATTTTTTCCTTGTTCAAGCTAGAAGAGTTGTATGTTTCCAAGAATTTATCTATTTCCTCTAGATTTTCTCATTTGAGTGTATAGAGGTGCTCATAGTAGTCTCAAATGATCTTTTGTATTTCTGTGGCATTGTTTGTAACGTCTCCATTTTCTTTTCTAATTAAGCTTATTTGAATTTTCTCTCTTCTTTTTTGGTTAATCTAGCTAATATTCTATCAATTTTATCTTTTCATAAAGCCAAGTTTTTGTTTCATTGGTCTTTTGTAATTTTTTTGTTTCAATTTCATTTAGCTCTGCTCTGATCTTCATTATTTCTTTTATACTGCTAGCTTTGGGTTTGATTTGTTCTTGTTTCTCTAGTTCGTTGAGGTGTGACATTAAGTTGCCAATTCGTGATCTTTCAGACTTTTTGATGTAGGCTTTTCGCACTCTGAACTTTCCTCTTAGCACTGCTTTTGCAGTATCCCAGAGGTTTTGATAACTTCTGTCACAATTTTTATGCATTTCAAATCATTTTTAAATTTCCATCTTGATTTTATTTTTAATCCCAACATCATTCAGGAGCAGATTGCCTAATTACCATGTATTTGTATAGTTTTGAGTTTCCTCTTGGAGTTGATTTCTACTTGTATTCCACAGTGGTCTGAGAAGAACTTGATATAATTTTGATTTTTAAAAATTTATTAAGACTTGTTTTGTGGCCTACTGTATGGCCCATATTGGATAATGTTTCTTGTGCTGACAAGAAGAATGCATATTCTGCGTTGCTTGAGTAGAATATTCTGTAAATATCTCTTAGGTTCATTTATTCTACAGTGCAGTTTAAGTCCAGTGTTTCTTCATTGACTTTTTCCTTGATGATCTTTCTAGTACTGACAATGGAGTATTGAAGTCTTTCTCTATTATTGTGTTGCTGTCTTTTTCCTTAGGTCTAGCAGTAACTGTTTTATAAATCTAGGAGCTCCAGTGTTAGGTGGATATATATTTAAGGTTATAATATCTTCTTTTCAGATCGATCCTTTTCATCATGTAATGATATTCTTTGTCTTTTTTTTTAACTTTTGTTGCTTTGAAGTTGTTTTAGCTGATCTAAGAAGAGCTATTCCTGCTCACTTTTGGTTTTCATTTGTGTAAAATATCTACCTCCACCCCTTTACCTTGAGTCTGTAAGAATCCTTACATGTTAGGTGAGTCTCTTGAAGACAGCAGATATTTGGCTTGTAATTGTTAAAATCCATTCTTTCAATCTATCCTTTAAGTGGAGCATATAGAACATTCACATTCAACATTACTATTGAGATATGAGGTACTGTTCCAGTCCTCATATTGATTGTTAACTAGATACTCTCCCCCACCCCTTGAGGATGTGACTATAATGATTGTATTTTATTGTAACCTAATATGGTTCTGAGTGCTTTCAATGGTGATGACTCTGTATGAGTTCCTTAGTTTTAGACAGTCTTTCTATGATGGCATACTTAAAGGATAGTTGTGGTAGCAATGTGCTCTGTGTGTGAGTAGATTCACTGTCTCCTGTGGGGTTGAAATGGCAGAGGTTTCTTGATGTTTATCCTGTTTCCCTGTGGTGTGCTCTTATTTATTTATTTTCCTCAGTATTTTATATACTGGATTGACCAGTTCAGGCTTCAGGTCAGTAGGGGAGGTATCCACGAGTGAAAACCAGCTTTTGATAAACCAAGTGGGTAAATGCAATACCCAATGGTGGACAGGGGTCCCATCGTTGAGAGAGCTGTCTGGGGGAGCTCTCAGTGAAACACACTGAGGTCTTTTCACAGGGGAAGCGAGGGAGCTACCTCAGATCCCCTGCCAAGCCAGCAGGAAAATGACCTGCCTCCTATTTGTACTCCTGACCCAGTGTTCCAGCTATTCAGATCAGACAGGCATCTCTTTTCATCTGCAGGAATGCTGATGTTTCACATAGAGAGAGATTGACTCTGCCTCTTGTGCAAGCCTGAACCTGGAGGGCACTCCACCTGTGGGGGTGCAGTCATCCTGAAGTGTTCCAGAAAGGCTGTCTACAGGTGTGCCCATGCCAAGCTCCTGTGGGAGAAGCTCCAGCTGTGCCTTTGGGGGTGGGTGAGAGGGAGAAGCCCCCTTCTCCAAGGCCCTTCATGAGCACAGGGCTGCCTGACTGTTGGGGTAGAGCTGACCCCATCACTGCACCTGTGCCTCTGCTGAAAGAAACTTCCCGCAAGTGGAAAGTTCTGGGACTCAAGCCCTGCTGTCTGGATTCTTTTGTCTCACAGGGTGTTCTCTTAATGTGGTATGTTCTCCCTTTCCCTAGGAGCAGGAGTCCCTGCCAGTCAGAGTACTGTGAATGCTGCTACTCCTCGGGGTCTAGCTACCCTGTGAGGCTGCTGCACACCAGGCTGGTGTTGGGGAATGTCTGCAAGGGATGTAGTGATGTGACCTATCCTCAAGTCTCCCAGCAGCAGCTGCTAGCACCAGCTCTGATGGAGGTGGCAAGGGAGTGCCATAGACTTGGTGAGATTCCTTGTTAATAGCCTTAGTGGGTCAGCTTTCTCAAGTGACAGCTGTAGTAGTAATGAACTGGTAAAATAGACAGACTCAGGACCTTCTGATTAGCCAAGGCGATGCAGGCACTTGTGATAGCTGGGTTCACTCACAAGTTTTCTCTTTCCTGGGCACTGTGCTATTCTACCTGCAAATGTTGTCAGGGACTGTCATTTGGCTTCCAGCCAGGAGGTGGCACTTGCAAAAGAGCTGCGCTGGTAGCAGTGGTATTCATGCTTGCCTTATGTTACCCAAGGGATATACTCTGGAGTCTCAGGCAATAGGTGGGGCCTTAGAGCTCCCAAAAGTTTCTGTCTTTTGTGCGAAGCTACCAGAGCGGGTGGAGGGGCAAGCCAGGTTGGGGCTGGGTCAGGAAAGTCTTATGCTCTGGCTTTTCGCCAGCAAGCAGTGGCCCCAGTAGGGATCATTAGGCAGTTTTCTGGTTGGTGGGGTAATGTTCTAGGGAGGAACCCAGCCGCCTCTGCTGCACAGAAGAATCCACATGGGGATTTGGGAGTAGCAGGCAACAGTAAGCCCCATGTAGAAAGGCAAGTCTTATACCTGCAGTGTTTCACTAGCAGTAGCTAGGTTCCAGGCAGTCTGCACTCAGAACTCAAAGCTGCCTCAGGCCATAAGCTTTCCCCAGGTATTAGCGGTGGAAGGTACCCAAGTCACAGCACCAAAATATGTTACAGGCAGAAATTATTCGAGTTACCAGTGGCGAATCTCCATAGATCTGCAGCAACCTCAATTCTTGCCTCCTTAGAAGAAAGAGTTTAACTGAGGGGCATAAGGCGGAAAGAGACCGAGACAAGTTTCAGAGCAGGAGTGGAAGTTTATTAAAAAGCTTTAGAGCAGGAAAGAAAGGAAAGT
This sequence comes from Homo sapiens, assembly GCF_000001405.40. Lineage (NCBI taxonomy): Eukaryota > Metazoa > Chordata > Mammalia > Primates > Hominidae > Homo > Homo sapiens. The sequence continues at coordinate 78,673,995 of NC_000001.11, forward strand.
ACACTTGGAAGAGACCCAAGCAGGCATCTTGGAGGTCAAGTGCCCTGTTTAAACTTGAACCTAGGATTTTATATGTGGGCCTATTTTCGGTGTCTTGTGCTCCTTCCCCTTCATTCTTCCCTTAGGGTGAGATGCCCACATAGCGCTACCCTGCTTGTGCTTGGGAGGTGAGCATGTGTAGTTTACTGGAGTTTGTACGCATGTTCACGAGTCTTTCTTCCCTTTTTTGGTGGGATGCCCCTGGAAAGTCATTCTCCGCCATTTTGCCTCTTAATGAGCATGCACGAGCCCACTTGCCCAGTTCCTGAGATCTTATAGGAAGCTGCTGATTATCAATTTTAGGTGTTTTTATCTACTGGAAAACTGCCTCTCCATGGCACTGGCTGCAGCCAATGATCATTTAGGAGAGGCAGTGTGACAACTGCTGGACCATCACTTGATGGTCTCCTGGCATTCCTGGTAAGTCGAGGGAGCCCTCTCTTTTCCTGCTCATGTCTGACTACCCACCTACTGTAGCAAAGGGAGAAATAAAATATGGTTTTCAGGCCATGCCTTTTCAGTCAGCCTGTGAAGCAGGGACAACCAGCTCCTGTGCCTATAACTACAGCACACTTCCCGCTAGCCCCTTGGTTCTAGTCGAGGAGATTCATCCCCACTCCAGATTATATTGCAAATCTCAGTTGGGCGTTTTTTTCTACCTGACTGCCACCTGAGTTAGCTGGCCAACTTCCACAAGGCCCCCTGTGAGGTACAATCAGGAATAGCTTCTCTCTGTCCCCTCTGGAGACTGGGTGTGCATGCAAAGCATGTCTTGCTGCTGCTCTTTCTCATATACTTCCCACCGCTCACTAAATCAGCTCCAGAGCTGGGTGGGGTTAAGGCCTTCCCTCATCGCCCTGATTGACAGGTTTCCCGGTGGGACTTTACCTCCCAGAGGTAGTCTCTCCCCTTCTCACACTCTGTGACTTCTCACACTCTGAAAACTCCACCTGGCTCAGGTGTAGGCTGCAGCCTGCCACTTCTTTCAAAGGGTCTGTGATTTGTTTCAGTTTTCCTGTTAATTATCTGTGTTGCTTTTTGGAAAAATTTCACAGTATGAATCTCTACACACTATTTTGTTTTTCCAAGTGGAAGAGGCATGCTAACAATGCCTCACATCTGCCATGTTGGAAAGAAAAAAGACAAAAAGACAAAAAACAAAACCTGACTTCTTTTACGCAGCCTGAATATTTGAAATTCATCTATGTTGTTGCATCGATCAATAGTTCCTTTCTTTTTATTGCTATTATTCCACTGTATGTATTTACTATAATTTCTTTATTAATTTATCTGTTAACTGACATTTGCATTGTTTCCAGTAAAGTTGATGATATGCAGACCTGATGAGCTAGCTCTTTGACTCTTAGTCATACACCTTAGGGAAACTTTTTGCATATCATCTATCTATCTATCTATCTATCTATCTATCTATCTATCTATCTTGGTGTGTGTGTGTGTGTGTGTGTGTGTATATATATATATATATATATATATATATATATATATATATATATATATAATCTTTGCAGTAACCTTGTTCATAATAGTCCCAAACTGGAAACAACTCACATGCCATCAATAGTAGAATATATTATCATGGTATATTACATAGAGCATTTTATTTCATGTAGCAACAAAAACTAAAGAACTATATACTGCAATGTACATGAATCTTACAAATAAAACATCAACCCGAAGGAGAAAGGCATGAATGATTCAATACATTATGAATAGATTTATAGAAATCTCACAAAGGTTTTAAATAAAAGAAAGTGAAGAATGATTATAAAGATGAAGATGGTGTTTACCTTTCAAGGGGAAGGAGTTGTGAACAGTGAGGGACTTACCGGGTGCTTCTTTAGGGGCTAAAAATGTTGTTTGTTTTGAACAGGGTAGTGGTGAAATGGGCATTTGTTTTACAATTATTTTTAAGAAGAGTGTGTGTGTGTGTGTATGTGTATATGTATATATATATTACTTTTCTGCATGTATTGTATATTTTATAATTAAAACAGAAAAAAGTGAGAAGTTATATCTACACAAAATTTGAAATTAGGCAAAACTCTGTCTGAATTCCTACTCTGCCTGATAATTTGTGAGCTTCTAAAAGTCTCTAGTTTCTCCATCTATAGATGAGGATGACAACAGTACTGAATTCAAAGCTATGTTGTAAGAATGAAATTAGGTAATACGTATAAACTAGATTGCTGGTGCCTTCACTTAGAAAAACAAACTCAAGTGCCAATGGACATTGCCAATCCTGTATAACAACAAACTGATAACTTACTATGTCTTTCTTGAGTAAATTTAATTTTATCGTAATTGAAAATAAAGATAAGACGTGGTAGCTCATAAGAAAATGAAAGACTGAAAGTTGAATTATAAATTGGTATCAGGGTTTTCCTTTTCTTATTTAAGTATGCAGTTTTCTTTTGACTTCAAGAGGATATATCTCAAATAAATTCAAAATTTAAAGAAGGAAAGAAACTTATTAAATGGCTTGGTTACGTCTGCCCCCTAGTGGTCAATGCTCTACAACCTACAGAGATGCTGAAGATAGAATTCTGGTTTGAATAAAAACGACTAAGGCTAATTCTTAACAAATAACTGTCACAACTAAAACTGTTTAAATTTGTAATGTGATTAAAACAGGCAATATTTAAATGCAAAATATTTTCATCCTGGCGTTGAATATGCAATAGTATTCGGAGATACTGTGTTCTGTACTACATTTTGATATTTCTGGCATTATATCAAACTGATTATTCACGCACATTTGCACTTTAGGCTGACATCAATGCATCTTATTTTAGCATATTTGTCAACCTGTAGGATAGACATTTAAATGTACAATACTCAGAGATTATAGTGATCAATAAATACGTAAAATAAGTACTTTGGCCGTTTACTTTTTCTAACTATGATTCCTTATTACATAACTTTTGGATAACAAAGTTTTGAAGTGACTTATACATGCATGTGATTTGTACAGACATTTTCAGTCAGAACAAACATACTTCAAGTGCCGCTTTCCCTCAGTTTTAATTTACAGTGGATTTAGGATTTTTCTATAAGAACCAAGAGTTTGCAAGTTGGTCACTACAGCAGATTGCTATGGAAACATGACAATATGCCAATGCTTTATTCACAGAGATGTACAATGGACTCCTTTCAGTTACATGGTAGTAACTCCAGACTTCTTAGGATAGTATATCAGTCAGGGTTCTCCAGAGACAAAGAACGAATAGGATATCTATGTCCCTGAGAGGGAATGTTTTAGGGGAACTGGCTCACGTGATTATGGAGGCTGAGAAGCCACATGACAGGCCATCTGCAACCTGGAGACTATAGGATGATGGTAGCATAGCTCAGTTCAAGTCTGAAGACCTCAGAACCAGGGAAGCTGATGGTGTTACTTTCAGTCTAAGGCCAAAGACCTGAAAACCTGTGCCAGGGTAAGAAGTGGGAGCACTTGGCGCTTGTGCAAATCCCGGAGTCCAAAGGGTCAAGAGCCTGGAGTTCTGATGTTCAAGGACAGGAGAAGGAAGGTGAGTCAGCTCCAAGAGAGAAAGATAATTTGCCTTTTCTCTGCCTTTTTGTTCTATCTGGGCTCCCAGTTAATGGAAGGGTGCCCATCCACATTAAGGGTGGATCTTCCTCACTCAGTCAACCAATTCACGTGCCAATCTCCTGCTGAAACACTTTCATAGACACACCTATAAATAATGCTATACCTGCTATGTAGGTATCTCATAATCCAGTCAAGGTGAAATCTAAAATTAACCATCACAGATGGCTTCTTAAACTGAAATTGATTTCTCTGTCATCTGTCCTCTGCTGATTCTTTGTCGATACTGGTTTTAGGTTCAAGCATTATCATACTATATGTTAATTACTTAGCTTTGTGGAGTTATGCATTATGACACTATATGTTAGTTATTTCACAATATGTCTCTGTACTTGGCTACACTGCTTTTTGTGGTCATGGGTTCAATTAGCATAATTTCTGCCCGTAATAGATGTTCAATAGCGTTTTGGAAGAGTAAATGAAGTGATTAGAAAGCATAAGGGCTTGTAGGATGTGAACCTGATTTGTTAAAAGCCAATTGAGAACAACAACAAAACAACTATTTTTAAATGTAAAGGACTAAACTAGGAAAAGGCAAAGAGAGATGGAGCTGAAGCCATTATCCATTTTGTTAGCCAATATTAATGAACATCTGTGTTTATCAGACTTAAGGCAGAAAATGAAAGCAACTCCGGGTCTTGTAACAAAGGTCATTTAAGGAAGAAAGTTGGCTACAAAAGTGCTGAGGAAGATGAGAAGGTAAATCAAGGTAGAGAATCAAGGCAAGGTTAGCTAAAAACTGGAAGCCATTACCACCCTGAGGGCAGGAGGCACAGTGTGAAGAGGTGCTGTTACCAGAACCAAGAAGCTGAAGCTCTTTGGAGGAAACCATAGTGAGAGCTTCCTGGTGAGAAATGAAACTGCTGGGGGTGATGGGGGAGGGCTGCCAGATGGAAACTGTAGCCATGGAGGCATAGTTGTTTCTAGAAGTCAAGGCCAAGAGAGTGAGAGAGGAGTAGACATACCCTAGGGTGTCTGCACTCTAGCCCTGAAATATCTAGCCAGTATTTCCCATTGTCCAGACCAAGGCATAAACCAGTGAAATGGGGAGTCTGGAAAATGCAGTCTGCAGGGATGGGCATTCCTGTGAAATAGACCAGAATTGGATGCAAGTCTGAGGAACAGATCTGGAGGCAAAAATGTTACTCACCATTCCATAATCCCTCGTTTTCTCCACTCCTTACATTCCAACCTCTCTGGTCTTTGTTCCATTCCTAAACACAGGATTAATGTTCATGCTGTTGGGTGCAGTGGCTCTCGCCTGTAATCCCAACACTTTGGGAGGCCAAGATGGGTGAATCACCTGAGCTTAGGAGTTTGAGACCAGCCTGGGTAACATAGTGAGACACTAGTGTCCAAATAATAAATAAATAAATACATAAATTTATTTAAAAAATATGTCCATGCCTCTGAACCTTTCCCTATACTAATCTTGTATTCTAGAATGCAATCTCTATGTTCTTCCCTATTAGAATTCAACAAATTGTTCAGAACCCAATTTGAATGCCACCTCACGATATAACTTTTCTCATACTACTAACATATTCCATTGGCACTCCCTGTACTTACTACTTTGATGATACTTCTCTTGTAGCAATAATTTCTGCTTTACAGTATGGTGATTTATGTATATGTCTTTCTCTGCTAATATTAGAGGACATATTTAGCTACTGCTTTGACTAAAAATCCCCAAAGATTCAACACTTTGATTAGTGTTAAAATATATGGAGTTCTTGTATTGTTATAACAAAAAGTGGGATTCTGACAAAAAAAAAAGCAGATCACCAAAACCACAGGAGTTGGAGAATGGTTTTCCTCAATGATTCTCGAATTAATGTGTTTTTTTTTGGTTTTTAATATAAAGTCATCCCATCAAATTATGATATTTTGAAAATATTTGAGGTATACAGTATAATTTTCTTCCTTTCAGTAGTTTATTACTTATAATAAACTTAAGTCTCTTAAGTTTCTTTCCAAGAGTTTTAAATCACTCAGGCTGAATTTTTAGAAATCTTGCCTTTTTATTTTCAATTTGAAAATAAAATGTGAGATATCTATTAAGATTCTGTTAAAAACAATGGGAGCTCAAAAATTGTGGGAGGAAGTATGTCTAACTGCATAAGGAAAAATAAAAGCAATTTTTTCCCACCTGAGAAATTTTACTCATAGAAAAGACACACTACCCATGTGGAAATTAAGTATTCAATCATCTATAATTAACAGGCTGGATAATTAGATTGCTGGATATTTTAAATTAATCTAGGTAGTATATATATTTCCCCAGGCCCTGCTAGCTTGAGTGGCTAAAGAAGCAAAGAATATAGGTTGAAATAATAATGCTAACACACACACACACACATGAACACACATATGCATGCTCATCTTTGTCTGAACTTATGTACAACAGAGTTAACTTTTCCTTTAAAAATATGAGTTCCAGATAAATTCTCTGGGTGCCTCAGAATTTGAATTGAGGGTGGCAGTTGCCAGATTCAGTCCCAAAGTGCCATACCTCAAACAGTCCCATTCTCAGGAAAGTCCCTCTTTAGTTATCATCCCTGATGATACTCTGCTCCCCTGACAGCACTACACCCTCAAGAGTTACCACAGAGATCAGGTGTGCCCCTCTGTGTAAGGCTATGAGCCACTCCCATAAGACATTACCTGATGTGCTCTGCCCCCACTCACAGTCCAGGGACTATGGCATATATCTTCTTGGGCACCATGGAGGACTTCTTTCAGATGGTAGGAAAAAGACTTTCTCCCTTAGGCATGGAGAGGTTGAAGCTGCAATAGATGTCAAGATTTTGCCTTCACTCTTCTTAGAGAATCCATCATTACTAGTGCAAGTCAAAGTTGTTTACAAAAATAAGTGCATTGAATTTTGTTTGAGACTTGTTTTCTTCTAAATACAGAGATGATTTTGTCTCATCTTCAAGACCAGGCTACAGAGGATCAGAAAGGTGTAGCCAGTGCAGTTTTCTTTAATAAGAATGGAGGCTGTATATGTGCCACATTTTCTTAATCCAGTTTATCATTGATGAATATTTGGGTTGGTTCCAAGTCTTCGCTATTGTGAATAGTTCCACAATAAACATATGTGGGCATGTGTCTTTATAGTAGGATGATTTATAATCCTTTGGAATACTATGCAGCCATAAAAAAGGATGAGTTCGTGTCCTTTGTAGGGACATAGATGAAGCTGAAAACCATTGTTCTGAGCAAACTATCGCAAGGACAGAAAACCAACCACTGTATGTTCTCACTCATAGGTGGGAATTGAACAATGAGAACACTTGGGCACAGGGCGGGGAACATCACACACTGGGGCCTGTCATGCAGCGTGGGCAGCGGGGAGGGATAGCATTAGGAGAAATACCTAATGTAAATGAGGAGTTAATGGGTGCAGTGAACCAACATGGCACATGTACACATATGTAACAAACCTGCACGTTGTGCACATGTACCCTAGAACTTAAAGTATAACTAAAAAAGAAGAGAATGGAGGCTGATTCATTAGCACAAATATTAGGGTTGGTTGGTATCCGCAGATGTAGCTTCACAGTACATATTTCCCAGTAAGTCAAATAAAAATTTTCTTAGTACTCATGGAAGAGATAATCCACGTGTTCCACAACATTCTTTATTGAAAATCCATGTTCTGTGGCCTGTGTAAATGCCTTAGGAAGGTCAGTTCTGTAGAAAGCTTGATCAATATCACTGGGATGGTGAGGCTGTACCTTTAGAGATGTGTATTGGAGCTTTGAGTGCCCAGCTTGGATTAAAATGATAAAATCTGATTGCATCATAGCAATACCAAGGACGTGTACTTCAGCATTCATATCTCTGTCAGTCATTCCAATATCATAATATCTAGAAACTTGCAATTACTCTGTAGTCTCCACAAACTTGAGATATTCTTTCAGAGTCTCAGCCTCTGGGTTTTGGAGGCTCACTCATTTACTGTTCTTATTTTGCTGCTTTTCCAGGTATATTTTGTTTTTAAAACATTTAGCTCTCATGTAAGATACATTTTCTGTGCACTCCATATACAATGAAAATATGCTTATCCTGAAAATCATGTAAGTGGCAAGTCACAAGGATGAACAACTATTCATATTCAAGAAAATGTATTCCTTTCATTCTTCATGATTATTATTCATGAGCTTCTCCACTGTGCAGGGCATTGTTCCAGATTCTAGAGTCTGAAGAGGGTAGCATTAAAATGTGACTTTGGAAGCCTAGATTCAACATTTTTCTCTATCGTTAAGTAGATCTGTGACTCAAGGTTAATTTCTTAACTTCTATAAGATTTGGGCTTTTTATTTGTAAAATAAAGGGGTTGAACTTCACAAGTTCAACCCTTTCCAGGTCCTTTCCAGGTCTGAAATTCTATGATATTACAACTATAAAAATCCTCATGTAAATATTTGCAAGTATAGGATAAGCAGTTAAAACTCTGTAAAGTATAAAGTTCTAACACATGAGGTTCTAAGTGATATAACTTGATTTGGAAAGTATCTTTGATGAGCTGGAGACGAAAAAAAGTACTGAAAAAAAGACTGGCAACCTATATGTTGCAAGTCATATTTCTGTGACTTATCTCACCTTCCTCTGGTTTCGTATTCAGAACAAGTTTTATCACAATTTGCACCTAAGTAGAATCAAAGTAGGATATAAAATCAATCATGTTTATTCTGTTTTCATACATCATTTAAAATTACCTAATGTACCAAGTGTCTGTAATTGGTCCCAGTTTATCATTTGTGGACTCAAATGACAAGACTGTATGTCCAGAGACGACGTGAGAATACCATTTCATTACTTCAACTCGGTTAGGTCTGTGTGACCAAGAAGAGGCAAGCTTGTAATTGGCAATGAGACCTGGACAGTCGGGAGGAAAGGAGAATGATAGCCCAAGCAGACAGTAAAAAAGATGGACGACCTGTAGGTGAGAGGAGGGCTCAATGGGCTGGGAACATGACTGTACTGAGAAAGAATCATCGTAGTGCAACATCTTAGTGCAGGCCTGGGAAGGCACATTAGCAACTGTTGATCTGGATGATGGCTGGGTGGCTCTGTTCAGCTGCTAATTTTATCTTTTCTCTTTTTTATTATTAGTCACAAAATGAATCACTTGCATTAAGAGCCAGTATAAGTCATAAAACAACAATACATTAACTATGTTATTTTCCCTGCACAACATTTATTGTTGTTGTTTTCCCTCAATGCCAGTTATTATGAATACATTGCAGAAATTTAGAATAATATACAGGATTATGAGACAAAGACTCACAAAGGCTAATTGTATCCCATGTTCTCTTTTTAATTGTTACTTATTAATTTATATGATGCTTCAGGGTAATCAAATCCCCTCACCAAAATCAAAGACAAGGAAAGCCATCAACGCATACTGAAATGAAATTTAAAATATCTAAAGAATTACATTGTTTACTTCATTCTTCCCAAGTGCCTGCCAAAAAGTACCTGGATATGCAAACAGGTGTACAATTAAGTAGAATCTTAGATGTACAAGTCACCAGTGAAAACAGCCTTGATCACTGGAACCTTTCCTAAAAATGACTCATTAAGAGGAATTTTATCAAGTATTAAAGGGGCGACCTGCTGTCTTGATGTGCTACTTCCTGGCTGGAGCTGTGAAGGTGCATCAGAAAGAGCCCAATCAAAGCAAAACCATAAAGTCAGGTTTTTATTTGAAATGTTTTCGTTTCATATTTCCTCATCTCTCTCTTCCTCCTGCCTAGTTATGATCACTCCATCTTTTAGCACCTAGCACTTATGCCATACCATTTCCTTTTAGATCTCTGAAAATAATAATAATAGTAGCACTTTTTATGTGATAAATGCTTTAACAAATATTATCTTAATTTTCACTCCCAAGAGCTCTTGAGATAGGAACTATTATTGTTCCTACTTTTCAAATGAAGTCTTAAAATCAGGAAGAGTTTTGTTCAAGGTCAGCTAGCTGGTACCCAGGAAAGCCAGAACTTGAATAGATTTGTATGATATTGTTGTTGGAGCTTTATTCTCATGCTGTGTTCCAGCCTTATTTGTGTGTCTTTCCCTCTGGATGAAGGATATGAGGGTTTTTTTTTTTTCACCAAGTGCTTGTTTTGAATAGAGTATTTTTACGAAGGAAATGCCCTTAAGAACCAGATAAATCTACCTCCAAAAATAGTTTAGGTTGGAAGAAATAGTTTTGGCTGAAATTTTCCAAGAACTCTTCAAATCATATCCCCAATTCCAGTGCTTTTCAAGCTAGCCCATCTTCAAGTGTGAGACGGAGGTAAGCCAAGAAACTAGAAAAAGCATCACTGCTAGATAACAAGACCAGTTCCCTCAGTCAGCATTCCCATATGACAGAGCAAGGCCATAAGCTACCTTTACCTTCTGGATCCTTGAGCACAGTAGCTTTGCCTCCTGTAATTCACGTGCTGCACACCACTCTGAGTTCTGCTGAGCTGGGCCCAGGACATGAGCAGTGCTACACGTGGCCAAAGCCCTGGCACTTTATTCCTGCTGACCTCATTTAGCCTAATTACTTTGTCCCCTGCCTTTGGAATAAAGTGTTTTAGAGACCCACATATGGCATATGTCAGAATTCCACCAGACAGCTGGGATGACAGGTCTGGGACCTGATCAATGCATTCTTCCTCTCCCCTGGAAAGAAATGAATCTAGATAAATGGAAAATCAAGGCTGAAAAAATTTGACATCTCTAGAAAAAAGGAAAGCATGAGACTCATCCTTGTCTGAAAAATGCTCAGCCTGATACTGTGCTAGGAAATGGAGACATCAAGGTAAATAAGACCTGGTCCTTGATGGCATTCACAGAAGGCAAAAATTAAAGTTGTCGAAAAAGCATGATCTATAGATATTTACATTTTCAGAACAGATGAGTTTGTTTTTTTCCTGCAGAACAATGATAATCATTTGTATGCCATTTTCCTATTATTTGCTATTGATGCTAAAAAAGAAAACTTAAAAATACACTATCCCAGGTGTAAAACAATGATTAAATATAGTGCACTTACAGACTTCTTCACAAACGATAATTGTACAGAGCAGTGATTTTTTTCAAAGTCAAACAAACTCATATAATTATCACCCCTGAGATGCCTCTGTTTTGTCTCCTCTCAGTCATGACCCCGTCCCCCACAGTATTATGATTTCTATACCCTAGATTAATTAAAGTTTTTACGCTTTATATGAATAGAGTCATGTTTGCACGCTTCTGTGTCTGGCTTTTTTTCACTCAACAGTATTTTAATTTGTATTAATATAAACCCATACAACATTACACAATTAATATTCATTTAAATTTAGCCTAATTACTCTGTCCACTGCCTCTTTATTTCTACTGATGCTCTTCAAAATAGAGACCTCATTCATTTTTATAATATCTTATCCATGATACACTGTCTCCCTGTACATTTACTTGATCCTATGGGACATAGTATCACACTTAACAGTGATTATTGAATTCATTTAAGTGATTGAAATTAAAGAACATCTAGAGAGAGGAAAGTATAATAAGCAAGTGGTAAGGACACACTGAAAGCAAAATCCTGAATAGTAGAGTGAAGAACCATAGCAATTAGATTCTCAGCATCAGAAGAATTTTCTCTGTTTATGCTTTGAATCTTGTCAATGTTCCACAAACCCATCTCGTTAATTATATTCTGCAAGATTTTGTTTGAGGATTCCTTTTTCTCCATGAACCAACAGAATCTTGCCAAATTGCCCTTTGTGTTTCATTAGCCATTCTTTGTTGGTTGATTTTCTTCTTTTCACAGTCTAATGAATGTTCAGCCTTGTGATTTCTTCAAAAAAAGTTCGTCATGTACAAGCCTATTGTTCTATAAGAATATTATCAGCTCTATTCAATCTATGAAGCTATTATTTGTTGCAGAACCTATTTCAAGTTAATAATCTCTATATGTTTAATTAAATAATTTCTAAATTTTTTGCTGTATTCATGAGTCAGAACACCACACTGCCTACGCCTTGCTTATAGCAAGGCCTGCTTTTAAGAAATCAAGGAATCTCACACTGGGGTGTGTCACTTTTCCAGTTTAGGAAAACGAGCATTCTATGGTTAGCAGAGGACAGCAATAAAAAGTGAAAGATGGAGGCAATTTGGTTTTGAGTACTTTGTCTGGAGCAAAACTGTATCTGCAATGGAAGCATGATAGAAAGGACAATGGGGGGTATCCAATGGCAGTTCAGACCTAAGTAGTCATTGCACATTCAGACAGTCTCTCAAAGACATTTCATCTTCTAAAGATCTCCTTGGAACACAATTCTGTTCCTATGTAGGTCATGCTTTGGACTTTTCTGTGGCACACAATTGTATTATCTCCAGAATTGTAAAATGCATCCTTTTGACATTCAGTGAAAATATTCTTTATACTATAAAGACATCTCCCAGGATTTCCAGGGTAAGGTCACTTTTTGTTGGAATGAAGTAGATAGAGTTATTATTTGGCAATTCTAGTAGAAAAAATACTTGATGCTATTTACTTTTTAAAAGAGAGAAAACATTTTCCATTTCTGATTTCAAGGGAGTAGTTTACATCAGAATGAATTTCCTGTCTTGGGATAAACAACAAAAACTGTATACAATTTTTTAAAAATAAATAAAATAGCTATTTAAAAGCACTGGAGAAGAACTAAGGCAATCAGAAATAAGAAAAAATACACCAAGTTGGCCTGGTGCAGTGGCTCACCCCTGTAATCCCAGCACTTTGGGAGGCCCAGGCGAGTGGATCAGGAGGTCAGGAGATGGCGACCATCCTGGCTAACATGGTGAAATCCCGTCTCTACAAAAAATACAAAAATTAGCTGGGTGTGGTGGCACGTGCCTGTAATCCCAGCTACTCTGGAGGCTGAAGCAGGAGAATCGCTTGAACCCAGGAGGTGGAGGTTGCAGTGAGCCGAGATCGCGCCACTGCACTCCAGCCTGGTGACAGAGTGAGACTCCGTCTCAAAAACAAACAAACAAAAAACAAAAACAAAAACAAAACAAAACAAAACAAAAAAAGAAAGAAATACACAAAGTTGAGGTCCTCTTTCTCTGCAACTTTTACTCTTCGAGGCATTTGCTGATTAACAGTTTTCAAAGTCAACAGCTAAACAAAAGCAGAGACTTAAAGCTTGCTCTAATCTCACTTGGCTAGTGATGTAAAAATAAGAATTCAGAGATACCAAGGAACTCATGACTTCATAAGCAGGGTTTTGAAGAAAAGGCAACCATAGAGAACAGAACCCACTGTTCTGCTAGGCTCTTGCCCTCATTATAGTATAAAATGAATAAAGATCCCCTTTGAAGATTCTCAGCTTGTTTTCTGTGGATATGCTTGAAGATTTCTAACTCGTTATTAGGTTGGCGCAAAAGTAATTGCGATTTTTGTCATTGAAAGTAAGAGCAAAAATCGCAATTACTTTTGCACCAACCTAATAGAATTAGCCTTCACAGACTGCCAGAAACCAGTCAAGATTTGCATGTGAAATATCTAGTATAACCCTGTTAATCTTTTTGTGTAGTTCAAGGTGAGTCTTGGAAAAGCAGTAAGGGAACCTCAAGATTCTTGAGACCAGCATCTGATGAGGAAAGGATTAAATGTATGAGAAAACAAGGGCAATGGGTTTTCAGGGGTGACGGGCTGCATTTGTTCTCATGATTTCCCTGGAAACCCATTCACTGGGGTCTCTTGCTATAATTCTGCCAAGGACTTCATAGCACCTCACATCTCTTTCCTCAGTTTTTACCTAGGGCAGAGGTTAGCAATTTTTTTTTCTGTGAGGTCTAGTTAGTAAATATTTGCAGTTTGTGAGCCAGGTAGCCTCTGTTGCAACTACTTAGTGCTGCAGTTGTGTGATAAAAGCAGCCAGACATAAAAAGTAAATAAATGATCATGGCTGTGTTCCAATAAAACTTCATGAGCACTGAAATTTAAATTTAATATTTTCATGTCTCATGAAATAATATTCTTCTTTTGAGTTGTTTTCACCATTTAAAATGTAAAATCCACTCTTTTATCTTAGGCTCTGTGAGAACAGGTGGTAGGGCAGATTTGGCCTAGGGCTGTAGTTTTCTGACCCCTGCCTTGGAGCTTCAAGTCTTTCCTGATATTCAGGGTCCTCAGAAGAGTCAGTACTGTTTTCCTACAAAAAAGACATTATGGTCATATAGGATTTGGCAGAAATATTCTGAGGACTATCTGTTTTTGGAATTAACTTCAGCTGCTTAATAACCACCTCGTCAAGAAAGGATGGCTTGTCAGTTTAGTGGTTGTTTTCAATGTTTGCTCCAGAAATAGCTTGCTTGATTTTTCTCCTTCAGAGTAACAGATTCTAAACATGAATGAGAAATTATTCAATATGACTCATGGTTCTGTCAAGAAAGGATGTGGAATGAGACAAGATTTTTTCGTTCTTGTTGAAATTTTACATTTGTTAATGAATGACTTCTATTTATGAATATGTATAAAACTTGACTGGATTCCTGCACATGTTCAGTTGGATCATCAGTAAGAAAGTAAGTGACTGGCTGTCTGGTTGAAACAGCATTAAAATACTGACATTTGTCATCTCTTGATGAGTCAAATCAGAGAATAGTCTGATAAATTAGGAAATTAAACAAGAAAGGCAGGATAAATGGCAATAAAATAATAAAAACATACGATAATACACATCCAACTGTGAGTCAGATTGTTATAGTACAGAAATGTACACTAGAATTAAAAAAATCCTTAAAAATTCCTCCCCCAAATAATAATCAATTTATGCAAATGCTTTAAACTCAAATGAGAATGTGTTACAAATACATTTTAGGTTGACAGAAGGATACCATTCCAAGGCAATTTTCCAGCTTTGGAGAAGGAAAATCAGCACTGATATTTATAGCAGATTGGGAGATGGTTTTCTTGCCTCTTTCAGAAACTGTACCCTCTTTTTCACCGAAAGAGGACTTCTAACAAAGGAATTAATTCAGCAGAGTTTCACTAACAAAGAAAAAACTTAGAACATACCAGTATGAGGGCAAAATGTTGCTTCAGTGCAGATATCTTTAGCAAGATATTCAGTACTTGAGTGAAAAGACTTTCTGTACTTGCTCCTGCAAAACTGTAATATTGCTCAAGTCAAACAGCAAGAGTGAGTTTTGGAAAAACAAGTAATTGAAAGGACCAGTAGATGGCATAAATAAGTCAGGATAGACTTGTTTTGGTGAAAGAAACAAGGACAATTTGCAGCTCCTTACTTTTATGTCTCCCTGTCTGTTTAAGCTTGCACTATTTGCCTCTGTGATCCTAGCACACTGAGCTACTACTATGACTTTAGTTCACACTTAAGAAGGATTCCCTGAGCACAAAGCCCAAAACTTAAAGAAATGATGAGGTCAGAAGAGAGTTATATTTACTATCGTTATTTTCCTACTTCCATCCTCATGCCTTTTTTTCTTTCTCCCTCCCCTTCTTCTTTCTTTTCATTCTACCTCAAATGCAAACATCTGGGCCACATATATTCCTGGTTTGCCAATGTCATTTGTTGCTAATCCATCTCTGGTTTTTAATTCTCCCCTCTTCTGAGACTGCAGCACTCATCTCCTCCACAGGTATTCACACTCATGCATTTGATGTTTACCCTTGACAGTATATGTATGTACACTTATAAAATATGTAGTGTTTTGTGAAGGTATATATTTTTAGTTTTCATACATGGTGTTATGTTGTTGATTTCTTTGTTTCTTTTTTTTTTTCACTCAATACCAGGTTTCTAAGAAACATTGAAGTTGCTGTTACTTCCAACTGCCACCTACTATTATTCTATAGATGTACCTACTGCATTTTAATTGGCTATTCCTTTAGAGATGAACAACATAGGCCTTGGTTATTAGAGAGTAATTTTTATATTTTCTTTCCATTTCTTAGGGTATTTTGAGACTTTAAAAATACATTTTGTAAAATGGCTTTTAAAAATTTGATGAGCAGTAAATAAGGCAGAGAAAACAAGGTGTGTGTTTGGGTGTGTGTGTGCATGTATGTGTGTGTGAAAAAGCCTTCTTACTCCTCCACTACAAATCTGCTCTCTTCCTTTAAGCCTTCTAAAAGGATTTTCTGATTCTTATTACTACTAATTTTTACATTTTTACCTAGCATAAGTATGAAACACAAGGAAATATGTTTATTTCACTCTTAGATTTTTGTGACTCTTGTTCTAACAATGTATTTGAAGAAAGAACAAAAGTGAAAATGTTATAAAATTTAAAAACTGGTGTTGTGTAGCCCACATAATGACTATTCCTAATATGAATCTTCTCCACTTGTGTAATACCTTTTATGGAAAATGAATATATACCATGTTGCATTAAACATCAGTAAAATATCTGTGTCAGATAGACCGGCAATAATGGTGGGGTGGAAAGATCATATTATTTATTATAGACCAGGCATGGCGAAGTGTTTCTATCAGGGCTGCTATCAGCTGTATTGTGTCCCCTCAAAATTTATGTTGAAGCCCTAACGTCCCATGTGACTATATTGGACATAGGGCTTTTAAGGAGGCAATTATGGTTAAACAAAGTCATAAGGGCCCTGATTCAATAGAACTCATGTCCTTAAAAGAAGATGAAGAGATATCAGTGTGCTCTCTCTCTCTCTGCCATGTGACCACACAGCAAGAAGGAGGCTCTCTACAAGCCAGGGAGGGAGTGTCCACCCTGGACAACATGACCATGTTGTCACCCTGCACAATATCTGCATAAAGGCCCAGGTAATAAATATTTTAGACTTATGTACATGACAGCATTGCGAGACTCATTCTGGAAAACCTCTCTAAGGAGTTGACAGTTGGTTGAGAAATCAATCACGAGCGGAACCAGTTACCCAAAATTCAAGGTGTTCTTGGCAGAGTACACAGCAAGTGCAAAGGCTTTGAGGTGTGGAAGTGGCGTTCAGCTTGTGGGGGCAGTGAGGTGCTCAGGACAATGATAGGGCCAGTGTGTCTGGTGTAGAGTGTGAGTGAGACAGATGAGATATGGAAGGAGAATGAGTACAGGGAGGTCATGATGAAGACACAGAAAGGAATGTGGATTTTATCATAAGGATTATCAGAAGATTTTGGAGTGTGTGTGTGTATAGGTAACTTTATATTTATTTGGGACATTTTGAAGCCTGAAAGTAACTTGATCTGACTTATTTTTTTTTCTTTTTCTTTCTTTCTTTTTTTTTTTTTTTAATAATTTTGTCTACTAAATGGAAACTGGGAGCTCTGGTAGGAGGCAATTGCAAACCTGAAACACTGATGCTGGAAGGAGTAGGTAGATTTCAGATATTATTTAGATGCTAAATCATCAAGTCTTGTTGATGGATTACAAGTGGAAGGCAAGGGAAAGAGAGGAATAAAACATTGTGTTTTGATTTCAACAACTATAATAAGGGTGGTGTATTTCAAATGGGAAAAATAGGCAAGGAATAGTGTTTTTTTTTTTCTGATGAGAAGGCAGTGAAAGTTTATTCTGGACATGTTGTGGAATTAATGAGTAGGCAGTTATATGTACAAGTCCACATGTCAGTAGAGAATGTGGGTTGTAGTGTGGTCAGCAGCATAGAGATGGATGAAAAGCTATGGGACTATATGGGAGCCCCCAAGGAAGGAATGAGCAGAGAAAAGAAAAGGAGGGACTTGTAGAAGCTGAGTGATGAAGGAGGAGCCATCAAAGGGCACCAAGAAGAAGCTGTCAGTGAGTCTGGAAGAACCCTTACAACAGAATAGCATACAATATGAAAGTGAAGAGCAGAGAGGATTTCAAGAAGGAAAAAGAGCCCAATTGCTTTGGATGCTGCTGAGAGGTTATGAAAGATGAGGACAGAGTGGTGATCACTGGATTTGGCAGTGGAGGTTGTTGGTGGACTTGACTAGAGTAGTTTCTCTGAAAGAAGGGGATGAAAGCCCTAATGAGCAGTGTTGAGAAGAGAATGAGTGTATGGATTTGGAGGTGAAGAAAGAAAATAGGATGAACATTGAACTTGTCTGATAAGCCTGAGATCGAAGGTGATCTCTACCACTTAGTAACTGAACGATCTGGAAAAAAAAGCACGTAATTTCTTTGAATTTCATCTTGCTTCTCTGTAAATTGTAAATAAAATGCCACACATAAGTGGTGTTATGAGGATTAAATGAGATAACATAAGTATCTTAGTTCATTTGTGCTGCTATAAGAAAATACTGTAGACTGGGCAGTCCACAAAATCAAATTTATTTCCCACAGTTCTGAGGACTGGGAAGTCCAAGACCAGGGAGTTGGCAGATTTTGCATCTGGTGGGGGCTGCTCTTTGATTCCAAGATGGTGCCTTGTTGCTGCATCCTCCAGAGGGGAGAAATGCTGTGTTGAAACGAATGGAATGTGCAAAAAGGGGCAAACTTCCTCCATCAAGTGCTTTTCTAAGGGCACCTAATCCCATTCATGAAGGTAGAGTCATTATGACTCAATCACTGCCTAAAGGTCAGACCTCTTAATACTATTGCACTGGGGATTAAGTTTCAACATTTTCAACATGAATTTTGGAGGGGATACCATCATTCAAACCACAGCAGTAGGTTAAGTACACAATGCACATAATAGGCACTGTACAAGTGTCATTTCCCTTTTCCTCTCATATTCTATTTACCACTCTCCAGGTAATGAATATTTCCAAAGTGCCACAGGTGGCCTTTGCATTTGCCAGAAAACTCTAGCACTGAGTACAAAAACAGCAAACAAAACAAAACAAACCAACCAACAAAAAACAGCCAAACAAAAAAACGACTTTGCTGCTCGAGTTTCCTTATCTGTGCATCATGTGCAATAAGCATCATCATTATTCATCCCTGGGTACCACACACATGGGTGAGTAAGAGGACAGTCACAACACAGTCATAAAAAGTCTTTGGGCTCTATCAAAAAGATCTGATGTAAGGTTTTTCACAACTAAGGCATACATTTGTACAGATTGAGTGACAATAGAACATGTAGAAGCCGAGGATGATGCACTTTTATTCAGTAAAGCAAGACTGGCATTGTCAAGTGGGTCCTGAGAAGTTCTAGGAACCTTGTGGTATGTTGCCATTTAATTGCATTGCACATGGACATAAAATAATTTAATGGCATTGCACATGCAATAGAAAAACAGATTGAGAGAAGCCAGTGAATGGCCTTGCCTGAGTCTTCCACAGGGTTGCTTTTCCAGGAGATTCTATTACATAGCAGACCACATTGGTGCCTACAATGAAAGGAAAATGAGTTATTCCAGTGGAGGAACTTGCCAAAGTCAATTTACCTTCTTTTAAGCATGTCTCCTTATTTCTCTTTTTTCCCACTCCTGCACCTGCTACTAAGAAAAAAACATTCTCTTTAAGCTTTATAATTAAAAAATACTTTACTGATTAAAATATTTGTTTATGTAATAACAATAATAATAACTAATTACATCCTGCCTGATGAGTTGTATATCACGTTTCAGCCAAGTAGGACTCGAAGCAGCTGAGCTATTAAATCCTGACAAGTGATAATGGAAAAGACTGCTCAGCCTTAACTATAGTGATGCTACCAGCAGTGCTATAATCATAATTTCCTCTTTCATTAAGGACCATAATTTGCCATTGATTTTTATGTAAAACCCCATTGACTTCGATAGAAATTCCTTATGCATAGTAAAGGGAAAATATGGCCTTTGTTACTTACTTGAATGTTTCTAAAACATTTAAACTTTTTTTCTTTCTTTCTTTCTCTCTCTTTCTTTTTTTCTTCTTTTTTTGAGACAGAGTCTCACTCTGTCACCCAGGCTGGAGTGCAGTGGCACGACCTTGGCTCACTGCAACCTCCACCTCCCCTGTTCAAGTGATCCTCCCACCTCAGCCTCCTGAGTAGCTGAGACTACAGGCACCCTCCGCCACGCCCAGCTAATTTTTGTATTTTTAGTAGAGACGAGGTTTCTCCATATTGGCCAAGCTTGTCTTGAA
Source organism: Homo sapiens (assembly GCF_000001405.40). Taxonomy (NCBI): domain Eukaryota; kingdom Metazoa; phylum Chordata; class Mammalia; order Primates; family Hominidae; genus Homo; species Homo sapiens. The sequence goes on from NC_000001.11 coordinate 78,693,685, forward strand.
CTCCTGACCTCAGGTGATTTGCCTGCCTCAGCCTCCCAAAGTGCTGGGATTATAGGCAGGAGCCACAGTGCCCAGCCTGAACTTTTATTCTTTACAAGAGCACACAGTATGATTGGGGGCCATGCACACACATTTTCGTCCTGTTCTTCGCATCTTTTTTTCTGTTAGAAAGTATACATAAAATTCCTGCAATTTTTCTTGAAATGTTTATTACTTTTTGAAATACGTTTGTATAGAATCATATTCCCAAAATAAATATAGCACAGGAAACATCTGTTTGAAGATAGGCAAGTTCAAGAGAATAATCTTTTCCCACATTTCATGCCACATTTTGCTCTATTTTATTATTGTTTTTGTTTGTGTGTATGTTTGCATGTTTGATAATGTCTGAAGTCTGTTAATTTCTTGAAGATGTTGAAACATGCTAGAAAAGAGGCTAATTCCCTTTTATCCCAACTATCCACTTACCACTCAAGTCACACACCCATCCCCACTCCACCTTCTTGCTCCCCTGCCAGATATAGACTCGGGCACTTACACCCCTTCTATTACCCAGGAACAACCACATTTATTATCAGGCAAGCATAATGCTACAAATTCCATAATAACCAGCATGTAACCATTTCATGCTTTAGGCCCATTTTCACTTGCCATCAAAGCAGTAGAGCTGGAAAATGGTGAGTTATTCAATCTCTTGTCAGTATTCCTTATTTCTTTCTTTTCTATCTTTTTTTTCCTGGTAAGAGCTTGATGCTGGAGAGAACTGGACCCCTGCCACCTTGCTAAGTAAAAGCGATTGCTTGGACAATCTTCTTTGTCCTTCAGTGGGAGGGAGCACCCTGTCTCTGTCACTTACTGAGCATCATGGAAGAAGGTCCTGGGCATTGTGCTTGGCTGTGGGTTCCACCTTTAGGAGTGGAGTTGATTCCAGGCTCATGCAGTCTTGTGGAAAAATGAAACATGATTCCCTGTTGTTTATGATTTTTTTTTTTAAAGCAAAGCATGCCCAAGCTGTTAGAATTCACTGTGGTTTCAGGAGTATCAATCATTGTGTGAATAGGGAGTTCCAGTTCCACTACAATCTTACCTGGTAAATGTAGTAACCCAACCACTCTGGGAAAAGTCACTGACTATTACAAGCTGAGGGCTGAGAATCACCATGTCTGCTTATCAAACCAACCCCAAATTTAAGTGCCAAATAATAGCTTATGCTTGCCCACTTGTCCATGGATACCCTGGGGGTTATAGGCAGATCTAGGGCGAATGCAATTGTGTGGCTCTGCTTCAACCTTTAGCTCAAGTTGGAATTGGCTACTTTTATTTTTTAAACTTTCATTGTAAGTTCAGGGGTACATGTGCAGGTTTGCTATATAGGTAAACTGTGTGTTGCAGGAGTTTGAGATACAAATTATTTTGTCACCCAGTTAATAAGCATAGTACCCAATAGGGAGTTTTTCAATCCTCAACCTCCTCCCACCCTACACCCTCAGGGAGGCCCTGGTGTCTGTTGTTCCCTTCTTTGTGTCCATATGTTTTGAATGTTTAGCTTCCAATTACAAGTGAGAACATGTGATATTTGGTTTTCTGCGCTGACATTAGTTTTCTTAGGATAATGGCTTCCAGTTCCATCCATGTTGCTGCAATGGACATGATCTCATTTTTTTATGGTGCATATGTACCATATTTTCTTTATCCAGTCTACCATTGATGGGCATTTAGGTTGAGTCCATGTCTTTGCTATTGCTAATAGTGCTGCAATTAACATATGCGTGCATATGTCTTTATGGTAGAATAATTTATATTTCTTCAGTCCAATGACCTCCCAACTGAGCTATCTCAGCTTACTGTGAATAATTTATATTCCTTTGGGTATATACCCAATAATGGAATTGCTGGGTCAAATGGCAATTCTGTTTTAAGTTATTTGATAAATTGCCTAACTTCTTTCCAGAACGGCTGAACTAGTTTACATTCCCACCAGCAATGCACAAGCATTGCATTTTCTCCACAACCTCACCAGTATCTGTTATTTTTTGACTTTTTAGTAATAGTCATTCTGATGGGTGTAAGATGTTATCTCACTGTGGTTTTTGATTTACATTTTTCTGATTAGTGATATTGAGCATTTTTTCATATGCTTGTTGGCTGCATGTATGTCTTCTTTTGAAAAGTGTCTGTTCATGTCCTTTGCCCACTTTTTAATGGGTTTGTTTGTTTTTTGCTTAACTTGTTTAAGTTTCTTATAGATTCTGGATGCTAGATCTTTGTTAATGTACAGCTTGCAAATATTTTCTCCCATTCTGTAGGTTGTCTGTTTACTCTGTTGATAGTTTCTCTTGCTGTGCAGAAGCTCTTTAGTTTAACTGGATCTCATTTGCCAATTTTTGTTTTTGTTGCAATTGCTTTTGGCATCTTTGTCATGAAGTCTTTATCGGGTCCTATATCCAGAATGGTACTAGGTTATCTTCTGGAATTTGTATAGCTTTTCGTTTTAGATTTAAGTTTTTAATGTATCTCGAATTAATTTTTGTAGGTGGTGTAAAGAAGAGGTCTACTTTCAATCTTCTGCATATGGCTAGTCAATTATCCCAGTACCATTTATTGAATAGGGAATCCTTTCATCTTTGCTTATTTTTGCTGATTTTGTCAAATTTCAGATGGTTGTAGGTGTGTGACACTTATTTTTGGGATCTCCATTCTGTCCACATTGGTCTATGTGTCTTTTTTTGTACCAGTTCCATGTTGTTTTGTTATTGTAGCCTTGTAGTATAGTATGAAGTCAGGTAACATAATGCCCCCAGCTTTGTTCTTGTCTAGGATTGCCTTGCTAGGCAAGCTCTTTTTTGGTTCCATATAAATTTTAAAATAGTTTTTATCTAGTTTATGAAGAATTGGCAGTTTTATAGGAATAACATTTAATCTAAATTGCTTTGGGCAGTATGGCCATTTTGATAATATTGATTCTTCCAATCCATGAGCATGAAATGTTCTTTCATTTGTTTGTGTCATCCCTGATTTCTTTGAGCAGTGTCTTGTAATTCTCACTGTAGAGGTCTTTCATCTCTTTGGTTAGCTGCATTCCTAGGTATTTTTTCTTTCTGTGGCTATTGTGAATGAGACTGCACTCTTGATTTGGCTCTCAGTTTGAATATTGTTGGTGTATAGAAATGCTACTGATTTTTGTACATTGATATGTATCCTGAAATTTTGTTGAAGTTGTGTATCAGATCAAGGAGCTTTTGGCAGAGACTATGGGTTTTTTTGGCATAGTATATCAACCACAAACAGGGATAGTTTGACTTCCTGTCTTCCTACTTGGCTGCCTTTTATTTCTTTCTTTTGCCTGAATGATCTAGCCAGAACTTCCAATACTATGTTGAATAGGTGTGGTGATAGAGGGCACTCTTGTCTTGTTCTGGTTTTCAAAGGGACTGCCTCCAGCTTTTGTCTATTCAGTATGATGTTAGTTGTGGGTTTGTCATAGACGGCTCTTCTTATTTGGAAGTATGTTCCTTCAATGCCTAGTTTTTTGAGGGCTTTTAACAACAAGGGATGTTGAATTTTATCAGAGGTCTGTTGTGTATCTATTGGGATAATAATGTGGTTTTTGCTTTTAGTTCTATTTATGTGGTGAATAAGATTTATTGATTTACATATGTTGGACCAACTTTGTATCTCAGGGATAAAGCCTACTTGATCATGGTGGATTAGCTTTTTGATGTGTTGCTGGATTTAGTATACTAGTATTTTGTTGAGGATTTATGCAGCTATGTTCATCAAGGATATTGGCCTGAAGTTGTCTTTTGTTGTTGTGTCTCTGCCAGATTTTGATATCAGGTTGATGCTTGCCTCATAGAATGAGTTAGGGAGCAGTTCTTCCTCCTCAATGTTTTGGATTAGTTACACTAGGAATAGTTCCAACTTTTCCTTATATGTCTGGTAGAATTTTGCTATGAATCCATCTGGTCCTGAAATTTTACTAGTAGGCTATTTTTACTGATTCAATTTTGAAACCCATTATTGGTCTATTCAAGAATTCAGTCTTTTCCTGATTAAATCTTGGGAGGTTGTATGTTTCCAGGAACTTAGTCATTTCTTCTAGGATCTCTAACTTGAGTGCACAGAGGTGTTTGTAATAGTCTTTGACAGTTTTTTTATTTCTGTGGGGTCAGTGGTAACATCCCCTTTGTCATTTCTGATTGTGTTTATTTGTATCTTCACCCTCTCTCTTTTAAATTAGTCTAGCTAGTGGTCTATCTATCTTATTAATTCTTTCAAAGAGACAGCTCCTGGTTTAATTGATCTTTCATATGTTTTTACATGTTTCAATTTCCTTTAGTTCAGCTCTGATTTTGGTTATTTCTTGTCTTCTGCTAGCTTTGGGGTTATTTTATTCTTGTTTCTCTAGTTCCTCTAGATGTGATGTTAGATTATTAATTTCAGATCTTTCCGACTTTTAGATGTGACCATATAGTGCTATAAACTTCCCTCTTAGCACTGCTTTGGCTATATTACAGAGATTCTAGCATGTTGTATCTTTTTTTTCTTATTAGTTTTAAAGGATTTCTTGATTTCTGCCTTAATTTCATTATTTATCTAGAAGTCACTTAGGAGCATGTTGTTTAATTTCCATTTAATTGTATGGTTTTGAGTGATTTTCTTTTTTTTCTTTTATATCTATACTTATTATACTTTAAGTTCTAGGGTACATGTGCACAACATGCAGGTTTGTTACGTATGTATACATGTGCCATGTTGGTGTGCTGCACCCATTAACTTGTCATTTACATTGGGAATATCTCCTAATGCTATCCCTCCCCCCTCTCCCCACCCCACAACAGGCCCCAGTGTGTGATGCTCCCCTTCCTGTGTCCAAGTGTTCTCATTGTTCAATTCCCACCTATAGGTGAGAACATGTGGTGTTTGGTTTTTTGTCTTTGCAATAGTTTGCTGAGAATGATGGTTTCCAGCTTCATCCATGTCCCTATAAAGGACATGAACTCATCATTTTTTATGGCTGCATACTATTCCATGGTGTATATGTGCCACATTTTCTTAATCCAGTCTATCGTTGATGGACATTTGGGTTGGTTCCAAGTCTTTGCTATTGTGAGTAATGCCACAATAGACATACGTGTGTATGTGTCTTTATAGCAGCATGATTTATAATCCTTTGGGTATATACCCAGTAATGGGATGGCTGGGTCAAATGGTATTTCTAGTTCTAGATCCCTGAGGAATCGCCACACTGTCTTCCACAATGGTTGTGGCAGCCTCGCTGCCACCTTGCAGTTGGATCTCAGACTGCTGTGCTAGCAATGAGCGAGGCTCTGTGGGCGTGGGACCCTCCGAGCCAGGCGCAGGATGTAATCTCCTGGAGTGCCGTTTGCTAAGACCATTGGAAAAGCGCAGTATTAGGTTGGGAGTGACCCAATTTTCCAGGTGCTGTCTGTCACAGCTTTGCTTGGCTATGAAAGGGAATTCCCTGACCCCTTGCACTTCCTGGGTGAGGTGATACCTCGCCCTGCTTCGGCTAATGGTCTGTGCACTGCACCCACTGTCCTGCACCCACTGTCTGACAAGCCCCAGTGAGATGAACCCAGTACCTCAGTTGGAAATGCAGAAATCACCCATCTTCTGCATCACTCACGCTGGGAGCTATAGACTGGAGCTGTTCCTATTCAGCCATCTTGGAACCACTGGTTTTGAGTGATTTTCTTAGCATTGATTTCTATTTTTATTGCACTTTGGTCTGAGGGTGTGGTTGGTACAATTTTTTAAAATATTTGTTGAGGGTTGTTTTATGCCCAATTGTGTTGTCTACTTTAGAGTATGTGCCATGTGCAGATGAGAAGAATGTATACTCTGTTGTTTTTGGGTGGAGAGTTCTGTAGATGTCTATTAGGTTCATTTACTCAAGTGTTGAGTTAAGGTCCCAAATATCTTTGTAGTTTTCTGCCTCAATGATCTGTCTAATACTGTCAGTGGGGAGCTAAAGTCTCCCACTATTATTGTGTGGTTATCTAAATGTCTTCATAGATCTCTAAGAACTTACTTTATGTATCTAGGTGTTCCTGTGTTGAGTGTGTATATATTTAAGATAGTTAGGTTTTCTTGATGAATTGAGCCCTTTATCATCATGTACTTCCCTTCTTTGTCTTTTTTGATCTTTGTTAATTTAAAGTCCATGTTGTCTGAAATTAGAATAGCAACATCTGCTTTTCCTTTTTTTCCATTTGCTTGGTAGACTTTTCTCCACCCCTTTATTTTGAGCTTATGGGTGTCATTGTATGTGAGATGGGTCTCTTGAAGACAGCATACCACTGGGTTTTGCTTCTTTATCCAACTTTCCATTCTGTGCCTTAAATTGGGGCATTTAGCCCATTTACACCAAAGGTTAGTATTGATATGTGTGTATGTGTTACTGACATCATGATATTAGCTGGTTATTATGAGACTTATTTGTGTGGTTGCTTTATAGTGTCACTGATTTATATACTTGTGTATGTTTGTAGTGACTGGTAACAGTCTTTCCTTTCCATATTTAGCACTCTTTTCAGGACCTCTTGTAAGGCAGCTCTGATGGTAATGAATTCCTTTAGCATTTGCTTATCTGAAAAGGATCTTATTTCTTCTTTGCTTATAAAGCTTAGTTTGGCCAGATATGAAATTCTTAGTTGAAAATTCTTTCTTTAAGAATGCTGAATATAGGCCCCCAATCTCTTCTGGCTTGTAGGATTTATGCTGACAGGTCTGCTGTCAGCCTGATGTGTTTACCTTTGTAGGTGACCTGCCCCTTGTCTCTAGCTGCCTTTAACACTTTTTTTTTTTATTAAGATGATGGAGAATCTGATGACTATGTCAGATTCTTCTACGTCAGATGGTCTTATTGTATAGTATTTTGCAGGGGTTCTGTACATTTCCTGAATTTGAATGTTGGCTTTGCTAGCAAGATTGGAGAAATTTTCATGATGATATCCTGAAATATGTTTTCCAAGTTTCTTCATTTCTTTTTCTGTCTCATAGGCATGCCAATGAGTTGTAGATTGTGTGTTTTTACATAATCCCTTATTTCTCAAAGGTTTGGTTCATTCTTCTTTGTTGTTTTTTTTTATTTTTCTCTGACTGAGTTATTTCAGAGAGCCAGTCTTCAAGCTTTGAGATTCTTTGCTCAGCTTGGTCAATTCTGCTGTTAATACTTGCAATTGCATTTTGAAATTCTTGTAGAGTTTTTCAGCTCTATCAGATCAATTTGGCTCTTTCTTACAACAGCCATTTCATCTATCAGCTCTTGTATTGTTTTATTGTAATTCTTAGATTCCTTTGATTGGATTTCAACTTTCTCCTGTATGTTGCTCATCTTCCTTCATGTCCATATTCTGAATTCTATTTCTGTCATTTTAGCCATCTCATCCTGGTTAGGAACCATTGATGAGGAACTTGTGTCATTGTTTAGGGGTAAGAAGACACTTTGGCTTTTTGAGTTGCCAGAATTCTTGTGCTTGTTCTTTCTCATCTTTGTGAGCTGATGTTCCTTCAATATTTGAAGTTGGCGACACTTGCATTTTATTTTCTTTTATCCTATTAAACATCCTTGAGGGCTTGATCACTATATAAACTGGGTTCAATAGCCTGGCTTCATTTCTGGAGGATTTTAGGGGGCCAAGTCTCAGCTCAGAACTGCTGAACTACATGCTCTAACTCTGAGTGGCTGGTACAGGGCCCCAGATTTATTCTGTGGCCCCTGGAGGTTAGAAACCTGTGTGCTAGAGGTTGATCTGACTGCAGATCATAACACTCTGATGGGGTCCTCAGTCATAGTGCTTTATAGGGTGGTGGCAGTAGGATCCATTCTCTATTGCACATGCCAACAGCAGCTGCAGTGCTGCAGAATGCATGCTCATTGGCATGCATGCTCCAGAGAGGTGATGGAGGGTATTCCCAGAGGTGGTGGCAGCACAATGCAGTGGAGCAGGGAGCCAGGGGTGGCAGGAAGCCCCACTGACATCAGTACATGCATTCAAGATGGCAGCAGTGTTAGCGAGAGGGCTGGCAGAGTGCTGGTGACATGGAACTGTGTGTGCCCTCTGTGCCTGGCTTCACGAGGGTAACAGCTGTCTCTGGGGGTGGGGGCAGATTTGCTTGTCTTCCTTCCTAGTTTTCCATGCAGGCCGTGTCTACTCAGGGCAGAGGTGCTGGTGGGCAAGGGGCTAGCAGTTTCCATGCCTGTGAACCCCTCCAATAGTAATGGCCAGGTGGAAGGGTTGGGGTTGGGAGGGGCATTGGAAGGGGAATTTGGGAGGGTTGGAGGGGTGGGGTGCACTCAGGCCAGCAGCTGTGGCATGATGGGGTGCATGGGCACATGTGTGCTGATGGGAAAGGGAGACAAAGTCCACCTGTGAGAACTGCCTGCAGCAAAGTAATGTCAAGGTGGCCATGGGTGAGGCAGGCAAAGTGGTTCTGGGGAGGCTGTGGTGGGGGGAGGGTGTAGTGCGGGGAGGGTGCGGTGGGCTGGTGGGTGTCATCAGGTGCATGCTACTGGAGCTCTCTGCTGGTCAAGTAAAGTCACCAGAGCAGTAGCTATGATGTGGGCTCCTAGGAGGCCCCCTACCTGGGCATCCGAGGCTACACTGCAAGCAGGCACTGCCAGACTGCTCTCACAGACCCCTGCACAACTAAAGAGGCCAGTGGACTCAGGGGTGCTTAGGTCGAACTGACCTCCTCTCATAGGCAATACCACCCTGCAGTGTTCAAGTCCAACAGCTTCCCTAGGGCTGAAGTCTAGGGAAGAAAGGTGAGCCTTGGGATACAGACATCCCCAGTAGTGCTCCACTACAGACACTCTTGCACCAACCTCACTGGGCTCCACACTGGTTGGAGTTTTGCTCCCATCACTTCTCTAAGCAGCTCTCCTCACCAGCCCAGGGGGCCATAGTGTCTCCTGCTGGCAGGATTCCAGAGGCCTGTGGCCCGAGCAGGTTACTCTCCTTGCTTTCTCAACTCACCCATTGCCCAGGAGTCCTTGGGGGCTAGGAACAAATCCCAGTGTATTATAGCCCCATGCAGAGTTCCCAGCTTCCTCCCGCTTTAGCTTGGCATCTGTGTCTTCACTCTGTCCACTCTCAATGCCTTCCCTCTGAAGATCTGCTAGGAGTGTACCAGTCTTCCTAGTGTCCCAGTCCCTTGGTGGCAGATGTTCCTCCCAGCTGCATCTGTTTGGCCACTTGCCTCTTACCTCCAGAACTGGCTCCTTTAGAGAGTTAAGCCCACATCTGCTTCACCTGTGTTTATTCTGGGCCCAGGTTGAAGGGATACAGATGCTCTGGGGATGCTCTTGTTATGGTGATATCAGAGGCAAAGGAATGCAACACCAATTCTTGCTCCCAAGCATCTGGCAAGTGTCTTTTTGTGTGTCATATCTGGTAATAACTTGTTTATCAAAACAAGATGTGTGGTTTATTCTGAAGTTAAGGTGCAGGAGAGAAGTGTGTCTCTTCCTTCGAGGTGGAGAAGGGGAGAGGAGTAATTATTTGTGAACAATAAGAATAAAAACAGATTTTTTCTAGATGTTTACATTTCCATTTTATACATTGGTACATCCAGAAAGGAGGGTTTCAATAGAATAAATTTTGGAGGGAATATTTTGAATTGTGGAAATGGGGTGGTAAGGAAAAATGAAAATCAAGGTTTCAAAGTGGTAATTAAGTGAACACCATGGAAAACATTCTTACATTGATTTAATTGTTTCTTTCTTTCTCATCTAATGTCTTGATAATATTTGTTGATGAGGTAAAGCATTTTAGGCATTACTGCTGGGGTCCAGACAGGCTAGATGCATGCAAAAAATTAGAAGTAGAATCTCTGAGTGAAACAGTTCTATCTCATTTCATGTAATGTCTTATCAAAAAGGGAAGCAGAGCAGATATTGATTTTTACAGAATAAAAAGTCATTTATGCAAAAATATAACTGAGTTTCCTATAACCAATCTTAATTTTCATCTCAAGCCATATTCCCATCTGATGGAAGGTAAGATGTTTGGTTTTCCTCTTATACTTGCAGTTAAACTCAGTCAAATTTAGAGATTTTTTTTTCATTTCAATTTTAAACTAAAACGAAATCAAGATTTTTCCTTTCCTCTTTCTTCCCTTTGATTATAATTCTCAGTCCTGGGGCAATGACCTGATGTTGTAGTGTCAATGGACAGAGGGACCCTCCCTGTGCTGGCATCTGTTGAGATGTTCAAACCATCTGTTGGGCCCTTTACGTCATCTGAGTTTGGAATTCAAGTGTACGACATTGGTCTGCAGACAAATTCTTCCATCTTAACTCTGAGAATCTTTATTTTGGCACAGCTCATTTCTATAAACTCATGCAATACAAGAGAAATACAAAGCAAGAAAAACATTCTGCAAACCTCAGACTCCTGTTGGGCTGGGCTGGCACTCTGTGAGGATGCACTCTTCATGGGCATTTCTACGCAGCTGCTCTCGCTGCTCCCCTCTGCTGTCCCCCATGACCCCAGAAGGGCAACAAGAAATATAGATCTCTGCTCACAGGTCCCCAACTTATCTTGGCTTTAAATCATTCCTCCCCAGGGACTCAAGATAGAAGGCAGGGTGCAAGACACTTGGTCCAGTGACTAAGGCCCGTTCTCATCCAGCTCTTTTTCCTTTCAAGTTTAGATGATCTTTATTAAGTAGGATATGGAGGCAGGGGAAACAGTGTTACCTTATTATTATTTTAAATAATTCTGTTCTTACCCAGGGATTTACCAAAGGATTGGTTTGACCTTTAAAAGCAAGAATTTTACATTTTTCTTCTCTATTATGACTTGCCCCTATGGTAATGAGCTACCCTAAGGAAAGATGATCACAAGGCAAAAAGGAAGAGAGAGAAAAACATGCCAGTTAATATAGTACCATATCAACCCATCTTAGCACTTTTAGGAGATGAGAAAAATAATATTTCGACAATAATGGTTTACAGCAGTAAGACTCTGTTGTTTTCAAGTATTTTCACATCATCTCATTTAATTCTCACAATGGCTCTCTGGGGCTGGGCTCATTTGCAGATGTGGAAGTGTAGTTATATTTTCATTTAATATGCTGTGTCTCCTGGGACTGTTGCTTTAGTAGGGTTAGGAAATACAAGTATACATGCAGCTGAAGTTTCCTTGGAGAAAATCCTGCACCTTTTTAAATATATTTTTTTCTTAATTTTAAATTTGAAATTGTTAGATAGCATTGTACGTTTCTTGAGGCTTTGCCAGGTGTACAGAAAGATATAGATGCAGATATTTAGCTTTGCTCAGAAAACTTCAAGGAATCAACACAAAAGTCTACGTAAGTTCACAAGAATACCATTCTTTCTTCTCTACTTTGTGTTTGCTCACAATATTAGCTTATACAGTGGGGTGCTCCAGCTGAGCTTAAACCTAGATTCAGAGCTGTTGGTCAGCTGACATATTGGCCCAGGGCTCCAAAGCTCCATTTTGCCTGAGTGGATATAGGATAAAGAAGGTACTTTTATCCTACAGCACTTATGAAACTTCTCAGAAGGAAGCTTCTACGAAAGAAGCTTTATAAGCTTTGCCTGAGTGGATATAGGATAAAGAAGGTACTTTTATCCTGCAGCACTTATGAAACTTCTCAGAAGGAAGCTTCTACGAAAGAAGCTTTATAAGAGCTGGAAGATAGAAGTAGGAGAGACAAGAAAATGGAATAGGATGAAGCAATAAGATGAAAGGGATTAATTACAAGGTGCTGTGTCTATTTCCCAGTCCTGCCCTTTTGACTAGTTCTGAACCTTAGAGAAAGAGAGCTGTAATTAAAAAATGGAAGGAGCTCTTGTCAGGAGGGACTTTATGAGATTCTGCTCCAGGTCTCAGGTGATAAAATATACAGAATGAGGAGAGGTTGTTCTCTCAGTATCTGCCTGTAGCAGCCTGGCTTTATCTTAGACAACACTCAGAAGATGCAATTGTGAGCACAGCTTAATAGTTTTCATGAAAGTCCATCCTGGGTTCAGCCTCTTGCATAGTTATAGAGGCTGAAAAGGCTGTGAGGAAAAATGGGAAGAAAAGCTCATCATAGTTTCACAGAAAGGGAAGCAAATCATTTTCTTTTCTTAAAAACTGAATGGATCATTTGAGGTCAGGAGTTTGAGACCAGCCTGGTCAACATGGTGAAACCCTGTCTCTACTAAAAGTCCAAAAAATAGCCAGGCATGGTGGCGAGCGCCTGTAATCCCAGCTACTCAGTAGGCTGAGGCAGGAGAATCACTTGAACTCAGGAGGCGGAGGTGGCAGTGAGCCGATATTGCGCCACTGCACTCCAGCCTGGGCAACAGAGAGAGACTCTGTCTCAAAACAAAACAAAACAAAACAAAAAACTGGTGTTTAATAGAGCCTAGTTCAAATCCTGTCCCCACAGTATATTAACCATATGACCTTAGTCATTAGCCATGTGATCACTTTCCATGACTCAATTAATAGTCATTTCTAAATTGTAATAAGGTAACTTCAGCAAGATGGCTGACTAGAGGTGTCCAACGCACATCCCCTCCACAAAAAGTGACCAAAACAATGAATAAACAACTACATTTTGACTAGAGTAACTAAAGGAGAGTGCTAGGGTACTCCAAGGGAATGGAAGAAAGTCTTTGGAGCACAGAAACTCAGGATGGCTCTCCTGGTACCAGAGTTGCCACTATGCACCAACAGTCAAATTGTAGCAATGCCCCACTCCCCAAGGGCCTGAGCCTCTGGAACACTCTTCTTTCCTGGAGCCTTGCCCGTGTTGTGCCCAGATTTCCAGAAATAAAGTCACAGCTACAGCCCGGCCCTCTGGGCCTGAGCTACTGACAAGTGCCTCAGAGTCACAGTCTTCAGACTTGTAGGGGGGCTGTCTCCACTCATGCCTCAGAGAGTTAGCCTGTGCTGACATCAAAGGTGCCACAGTAGTTCAACAAGACACTGAGCCCGGATCCAAAGCCACTCTGAGCACCTGTGCCCTGAAACACAGTACTGCTGTGGCTGCCTGTAGCGTGTATCAGACCCAACACAAAGAGGGATCCCTTCAGCTGTGTATTCTTACTGTGCGGAAAATGAGAACAGGAAGATTCTTAAAGCCCTTGCTACCAAGAACCCTAAGAACCTACCCTGCCACCAATACTGCCATAAACTCCTGCAGCCTAGACCACTGAGTCATTCAGAAATTGGAAATTTGGAAATTGAACAACATGCTTCTGAACAACCAATGGGTTGAATACAAAGTTATAGTTAGATAGGAGGAATAATTTCTAGCCTTCTATACCACTGTATGATGAGTATAGTCAAAAATAATATACTATATAGTTTCAAATAGCTAGGAGAAGGATATTGAATATTCTCAACATAAAGAAATGATAAGTGTTTAAGATGATCTATATGCTAATTATCGTGATCTGATCACTGTATGTATTGAAACATCACTATGTATGCCATAAATATGTATTAATTAAAAATAAAAATATATTGAGATAAGCAACAATAAAAACACAACATATTGAAAACTATGGAATGCAGTAAAAGCAGTTCTGAGAGGGACGTTTATAGCAATAAATGCTATAAAATTTGGAATATTTCCTTTTTAATGTATTTATAATCCATTATATTATAATGTATTATATTATATATTAATATATAATTATTATGTGTTAGTATATTAATTACATATTAATATAATTGTATATTAATTAATTGTATATTATTGATCTATTATATATTATCTTACAATAAATATATAATACGTTGAAGATGAAATATCCCAAATAGATAGAATAACAGTGCATCTCAAGGGACTAAAATAAACCAAACTAAATACAAAGTTAGCAGAAGGAAGAATATAATGAAGATCAGAACATAAATAAATCAAATAGAGAACTAAAAAACATAGAAAAAAATCAATAAAACCTATAGTTTGTGATTTGAAAAATTAAAAAAAATCTACAAACCCCTAGCTAAAATAATCAAGAAAAAGCTTCAAATAAGTAAAATCAGAAATGAAAGTGGAAACATAACAGAGGATGCCCCAGAAATAAAAATTATTGTAAGAAACTATTATGAGAAATTCTATGCTAACAAATTGGATAACATAGAGGAAATAAATTATCAGAAAAATATAATTATTATAGCAAGATTGAGTCATTAATAAATAGAAAGCATGACCAAATGAATAACAAATAAAGAAATTGGAGGAGTAATTATAAACCTCCCACCAAAGAAAACCCAGGAATAGATAGCTTCATGGCTGAATTCTACCAATCACTCAAAGAATTATTACCAATACCTCTTAAACTCTTTTAGAAATTGGGAAATAGGGAATACTTCCAAACACATTTTATGAGGCCAGCATTGCCTTGATACCTAAACCAGACAAAACAACACAAGAAAACCATAGGCCAATATCTCTGATGACATTGGCAGAAAAATTCTCAAAAATATTAGCAAATCAAATTCAATAATACGTCAAAAAGATTATATATCATGACCAAGTAGGATTTACTACTGATGTGCAGGCCTGGTTTCCTATATGCAAATCAATCAGTGTGACACATTACATTAAAAGAAAGAAAGATAAAAACCATGTGATTATCTTAATTAATGCAGAAAAAGCATTTGACAAAGTTCAGCATTCTTTCTTGAAAAAAATCACTAACAGTTTATGTGTAGAAGGAAAGTTCCGTACAATATAAGCGATTTATGAAAAACCTACAGCTAGCATAATCAACAGGGAACAACTGAAAACTTTTTCACTAAAATCTAGTACAAGGCAAGGGTGCCTACTTTCAACCGTTCTATTCAACAAAATACTGGAAGTGCCAGAAAGAGCAATAAGACCAGAAAAAGAAAAAAAAAAGGCATCCAATTCAGAAAGGAAGTAAAATTATCTCTGTTTGTAAATGACATGATCCTATATGTAGAATCCCCAACCCCCAAAGATTTTATTTAAAAAACCTGTTAGAACTAGTGAATGAATTAAGTAAAGTTAAAGGATGCAAAATCAATATACAAAAAATTAGTAGCATTTCTATACACAAATAATGAGCTAGCTAAAAGCGAAATCAAGAAAAGTATTCATTTATAACACACTAAAAAACTTAAATGCTTGGGAATAAATTTAACCTAGGAAGTGAAAGATTTTTATACTGAAAACTATGAAACATTGATAAAAGAAATTGAAACAGATACAAATAAATGGAAAGATATTTTCATGGTTGGAAATAATTAATGTTGTTAAAATGTGCATTCTACTCAAAGCAGTATACAGAATTAATGCATTTAATTTGTTGATCACTTTGGATATTATGGACATTTAATTCCAATGGCGTACTTCACAGAAATATAAAAACAATTCTAAATTTATACAGAACCATTAAAAAACCAAAATAGTGAAAGCAATACTGACAAGAAAAACAAAGTTGGAGGAAACACGTTTCTAATATATCAGAAAATGCAAAGCTATAGTAATCAAAACAATATTGTCCTGGTATACAAACAGAAATATAGAGTAATGAAATATATTAGAAAGCCCAGAAATGAATTCCAACATATATGCTCTACTACTTTTCAGCAGGGTCACCAAGAGGACACAATGCAGAAAGTATAGTCTCTTCAATAATTTATGTTGGTAAAACTGGATTTCCATATGGAAAAAAATGAAATTGGCCACTTATCTTACACCCTAGACAAAAGTCAACTCAAAAGGGATAGAAGACCTAAATGTATGACCTGAAATCATAAAACTCCTAGAAAAGACCACAGGAGAAAAGCTCCTTGACATTGGCCTTGGCAACAATTTTTCGAATATCACACTAAACCTCAGACTACAAAGACAAATAAATAAATGGGACTACATCAAACTCAAAAGCAAGGGAAACAATTAACAAAATGAAAAGGCAACCCACAGACTGGGAAAAGGTTATTTTCAAATCACATACTTAAGAATGTGTTAATATTCAAAATTTGTAAGGAACTCCTAACAGCTCAATGAAAGACAAATGACCCAATTTAAAAGTGGGCAAACAGCTTGAACAAATATTTCTCTAAATAAAACATAAAAATGGCCAACAGATGTATGAAAAGGTGATCAACATCCTAATTATATGAGAAATGCAAATTAAAACCACTATGAGATATCACCTTACACCTGTTAAGATGACCATTATAAAAAAGACAAGATTGGTATAACCATTACAGAAAATAGTATGAAGGTTCATACAAAAATTAAAAATAGAACTACCCTATGACCTAGCCACCTCTTTTCTGGGTATATATCCAAAGGAAATAAAATCACCACCTAGTAAAGATATCTGCACTCCCGAGTTCACTGCAGCATTATTCAAAATTATCCAAGGTAGGAAATTAATCTAAGTGCCTGTTCATGGATGAATAGATAAGAAAAATGTGATGCGCGCGCGCGCGCACACACACACACACACACACACACACACGAATATTATTCAACCTTAAAAAAGAAGATCCTGCCATTTGCCACAACATAAATGGACCTGAAGGACATTATGCTAAGTGAAATAAGCCAGACACAGAAAGACAAATATTGCATTATCCCACTTATATGTGGACCTTTCTTATAAGGTCAAATATACAGACATAGAGAATAAAATAGTGGTTATTGTGGGCAGCAGGGAGTTTGGGGTGGGAAGGAAATGGGAAGTCAAAGCTATAAAGTAACTGGTACATGGGATGAACAAGTCTAAAGATCTAAATGAGGACTATAGTTAATTAAATTGGATTGTATTAGACATTTTTGTTAACTAAGTGAATTTTAGCTGCTCTTGTCACACAAAAAAATAACTACATGAGATGACAAATACGTTAACTAGCTTCACTATAATTACTATTTTACCATCTGTATGTATCCCATAAGACCATGTTGTAGACCAGGCATGGTGGCTTATGCCTGTAATCCCAGCACTTTGGGAGACCGAGGCAGGCAGATCACCTGAGGTCGGGAGTTTGAGATCAGCCTGACCAACATGGAGAAATCCCGTCTCTACTAAAAATATAAAAACTTAACCTGGCATGGAGGTGCCCGCCTGTAATTCCAGCTACTTGGGAGGTTGAGGCAGGAGAATCGCTTGAACCTGGGAGGCGGAGGTTGCAGTGAGCCAAGACTGTGCCATTGCACTCCAGCCTGGGCAACAAGAGCGAAACTCCATCTCAAAAAAAAAAAAAAAAATCATGTTGTAGACCTCAAATATACACAATAAACTTTATTTTTTTTAAATGGTGGTAAGAACAACTGCCTCATTGTTTAGTAATGGGTAAATACAGGAAATAAACCAATTGTGAGTTTAGGGAAAATATGGCATCATATTGCTGTGGGTATAAGGAGTTGGAACAATTTCCTTGCTTCCTTCCTTTCTTTATTCCTTCTTTACTTATTAAGAGTTATCTTCCACAATTTTTTTGATAAAATAAGATTGTTTTATTGTTCTAATTGACCCAAGATGCCCCCTCTTCAAATATTACTTATATTTCTCGATTTTATTTCTCTATTTTAAAAATAAACTTTTTAGTTTGGAATACCTTTAGATTTACAGAAAAAGTACAATGATTGTGAAGAGAATTTCTCAATGCCCTTTACCCAGTTTCCGTTACAGTTAATGTCTTTCTTAATCATGGCACTTTTCTCAAAACTAAGAGACTAACATTGGTACATTGCTATTAGTTAAAGTAGAGACTCTATTTGGATTCCACCAGTTTTCCACTAGTGTCATTTTTCTTTTCTAGGCTATCATATCACATCTGGTTATTTCTATTTTAAAAGAAAAATATCTTCAGAAAATATAAATCTTCAGAAAAATAAAAACAAACTGATATCAATTTGTTTATAACACAATGATTTTCATAAATTAGGCAATTAAAATGACAAGAAATTAGAAAGTTTTGATTCCTAAATACCATTAATACAACTGTATACTATGTGCGTAATGTCTGAATCGCCTTTTATATTTCTAAAATATTAGATAAAATAAGCAGAGCAAGCCCAGAAAATATATTTGTTTATTCAGCCAGGATTTTGTAAGGTAACCTTCAGGAGAGCTATGGTGTGCATTATAAATGCTATTGATTATGTAGAATCATTTCAGTCTTCAAATTTCACCTTCATTGGGATAAATGTTATGTTTTTCTTTTAATTTTTCTAACTACACGAGTACTAAAAATAATATATACCTTTTAATATTAGATCACAATTTGGCTTTAATTTCATTTTTGGTACTTCAATACTGGGTGACATTGGTAAAGTTACTTAACTTCCTTTTGCTCAAATTTGCTCATATAAAAATTAACAGATTGATATAGATGGTCTCTAAGACTCAATTAATTCTAGAAATCCCCTGGATAGGTAGAGTCTGTGGTCCAGTGGGGTTAAATAATGCATCTAGGTAACTCAGCGAGTAAGTGGCCAGCTCTGAGACAAAATAAGGACTTAGGACTGCAAGGCCAGTGTGTTTTCTAACCTGTGGAGTCCTCCTTTGTGAAATACTCTAGGAATAAGAAACATACACGTAGCTCATTAGAGATGGAGAAACACATTTACTTGAAACATCAAAATGAGCTCTTGATTACTTGCTCTATTGCAGCAATTTTGCTTCATTTTCTCCAAGTTTTGAACTATTCTAATGGTTTTATTGTTGATAATGTTATTTCTATGGCTTGTTTTATTCCGAAAAAGCAAGCAAACTTCCATGAAACTAAAATACTTTTGGTCATTTGTGGCCTACAAGAAGACACCATATGACTACCTTTTTGGAAGGGGAAACTGAATACTGGAGAAAGTTAAAAGTGTGGACACCATCACCCAAGAGACCACTGCTTTGCCACTGATGAGACGGCAAGTTTCTAAGTTTACTCCTGTGTAATTGCTAATACCTCTCTGCTGAGAATAGTTGTCTGGTCTCAGCACTCTAGTTGCAAAGCATTGCATGGTTAACTGCTTCTTATTTTCTCCCTGAAAGTAACATATGCAATAGTGAGGCACTCCTATTACTGACAAAACAAGAAACTAGCTGTGTTTTCAAATGCCCGTGGTCTTGACTCTCATTTTTCACAGAAGCAAATGAAGATCTAAATTCTGAGGTCTGTGGGGGATGCACTTGGGTTTCATTAGGGCTGATGTACAGAGGCATCCGTGCAATCTGTCTTTCTTATAAAGATGTGCAGTCCATCACAGGGCAATGGCACTAATGAGCCTTCCAAACAATCAGGATCATACTTTTTAATAAGGATTGGAAAATGAGACCTGCAGTTTATTGCCTGTCAGAGAGGAAGAGGAATGTGAAAGATATACAAAGTCTTGCCTCTTGTAAATTGGTACTTGCCTTTCTAAATGACATTTTTGCTAGCAAAGTATACAAAGATGCCTTAACAGGTACTGCAGAGAGCTGTATGGTCTGTTGGTTTGAAGCAAGTAATCATAAAAAATCTGAACTTGGGGTGGGATAAAGTGGGGTCAGGAGAAAGTGAAAACTTCTGTTGTTTTTTTTCTTTTTGCAGACTCCTTTATTGCCATATGAAACTATAATTTTGACTGCGAGAATGCTGCCAACATTTCAGGCATTCTGTAGAATCTGCCCACTATTTACTGGAATGAACCAGAGCCAACTTAACCTGATAATTAATTGTTTATCAACAGACTGGAGCTTGATAAATACAGAGGTAAGGGGATACCCAGAAGTTAAGGGGTCATTTGTCCAGATGAAAAATAACAGATCAGAGGGAACCACATTGCCAGTATCCAATTTCATCCTCATTATGAAGACAAGTTTTGATCTTAGCTTAAAAAATACTTTGGGCAAACTGTGCCAGAGAAATGTGATTTGGATGCCTAACATCTCATATAGTGGGCATGAGTTGTTCAATCTGACAAATGGAGAAGAATATTAAAAGAAGCAAACACAGAGTCAAATTCCTTTAGAGATCAGGAACTAGCATTATGTCCATTTACTGATAATCAAAATACAGTTTTTGTAGCACAAAAAGTCCCTGAATGCTTCAGGGTAGCTCTAACCAGTCCCAATTACTGATGTGCATTATACTTTAAGATGAGTTCCAGGGTTAGGAGTAAAAAGTTGGTATGTTTTTCTCTTCTATGCTGGGAAACATGAAAGAAAAAAATGTAGTATTTTGAGTAGGTTAAATATAAAATGCTTTTTACAATGAAATATTAAGCTAACCATCTCTTGTTTCTTTTCATCTGAGCATGATTTTAAAAGAGGATAATGTGATTATATTTTTGTATAGGAAGGAGTTGAATTTCTCAATAATCTTATGCTCAGCTTGATTGCTCTATTGATAAGAAAGGAGGACTTGCGAATGTATATTTTATGAGTAATGCATTTATTAAGCACAGACTGTACATAATGCATTAGGTTTTATGTGAATTGCATTGGATTTGTCTTTCTTTTAGAGCATATTAAAATATTTAAAATACTTTACTGCCTCCATTATAACCCCTTTGTAGCTGGGGCCTTACTCCATGGTAATAGTGCTTTGGAATCTTTGATCAAGTTTTAAGATGCTGTGCAAGGGGGAAAAAGGTCACTATGGCATGCACAATCAATAATCAATGCTTCTAGTCTCCTTTTTCTATTTTTTTTTTTCACCTTAAGCAATGCTTTTTTTTTCTTGTGATCTTCTAGTCATTCAAGTTCACTGAGAGATATGTGAAGAAAGTAGAATGATTAGAAATTAAGAGTGGAGGAAATAAACAGACCTAAAAATAGCTTGTAGAGGTAAAGTCAAATGTCTGACAGACAAAAGTAGTATCAAGCTTGATAGGGTGACATGTTCCCTGACAAAGTGAAGCACCCTCTTGATTGTTCTTTGCTGAGCACAAACAAACTCCTACAGGCAACTGGAGTTGGCTTCCACAGCCAGCCTTAAAAAGGGGACCATTCTGGAAATTAAGTACCAGCCACCTGTTTTTCCTTAATAATTGCCTGCATATCAGCTAATATATTAGCTCTAATTTTGTTTTAAGTTTATTTCTAAGGATAAACCCTTTGGAGTTTTTCAGACTTTCATAAACTTCCAATTAAAATTTCCTGTATGTTTTCAAATCTGGCACCGCATTTGTCAGTTTTAGCATTAAGCTGACTACGCGGCTTTATTATCTGCAGCCTGAATAAGCCATATCCTTTAATCTAAATGGAATAATATGATTCATCCTTCCAATAAAAATTCTCAACTGTTTGGAGGTTTATCAAGGTATAGAGAAGAGTATTAGAGCCTTCGTTTAGATTACGTTTGCGTAACTAGAATGTGCAAAGCTTCCCTGATTTTTTTCCTGGCTTTTCTATTTATGAGAAGCATATTGCATATGAAGAAAGTTTAAAACAATTTAAAACAATCCAAATTACACTACAAATTTGGGTCAAGACTCCCAGCATCATCTCTTTGCTGAATTAAGTGATGTTGATGTCATCTTAGAATTACAATTTTCTGACTGATCTGACCCAAAGGTTTTGAAACATCATAAAATATCACATTACCCCAATATGATGTCTGTCATATACAATGTAATGTTGAGAAAGAGATGTCTAGAAAACATTGGTTCTCATTGTCAGACCCTGAGTCATTTCATTTGCCTGCCTCTCTTCTCTTCTCCCCTTTATTGCAGATTTTGAACAAGGTTGGCATTGTGTCTTCCTGTGCACAGAAAGATTTGATTGCCAGGGGAGACACATCACTGTGTCTCCATAAAAGAAAATATGCCAGCTGTTTCCATTACCATTTCCATATCAATGGCTTTTATCTGAATTCTTCTAATAATTGCCACTGTGGTAGAATATCAGACTGTTTATAGGTCTGCCTATTATGAGCACATTTTGAATGTTTTAAATTCCATGGGGGCCCAAACTGCCTGTTCTACTTACCATTATACAGCCATTGGAGGCATAGTTACTGGCACATGTATGCACTTAAGAAGTGTTTGTGGAAATGTGTGAATGAATGAATTATGTAGCTGTTCTTTGCCATATTTACTCAATCAGGGTAATTGTATGGAGTAGACATCTCTGTTTCAGTTGCTGTGACTGCACCACAAACCTAAAGCTTAGTGATTTAAAACATCATGTATTTTGCTTACATCACAAAAACTGGCATTATGGAGAGGGCTCTGTGAGGATATTTTATTTCTTTTTCACTCATCATGGCTGAGGGAGTTCATGGTTGAGGGCAAGAATCTTCTGAAAACTTCTGACTTACCTGTCTAGAGGTTTGACTCAAATGGCTGAGAGCTAGAACAACTGGAGATCCCTGGGCATTTCTATCTCAAAGTGGTCTCTGCTGCACCAAAACTTCATTATAGCTAGACTTCTTACAAAGTGGTTCAGAACTTCAAAGTTGTATTTCAAGAAACAGATGGAAGCTGAATTGTATTTTGTAGCTTTGCCTTGACTGTTATCACATCATTTAAATTCTGTACAGTATTACACATAACATCAGTTTAGCTCTGTACAGCATTTAAACATTATACTCTGTTGATGGAGGCAGTTACAAAAGTTCATGCAAGATAAAGCAGAAGACACAGAGATCCCACTTCTCAGTGGAGGAGCATGACATTACATGGCAAGCAGGGCCACATATGAATGAGCAATCTTTGGAAAAATACAATCTGTTATAATTCTCAACCTCATGTTATTATTTTACTTGGAGATCATACAAGGATTCTTAGAATTCCACAGATTCCTCCTTTTATTCTAGAAATGGAAAAGCAGTAAAAGCTTAAGTGAATAATAATTTTATTTTCACAAGACAATTTTGGATACTAGCCAATGTGAATTTCTCATTTTATGTTTCTAGGGAGATGCAAGATCATTTACATTTTATTAAAACCTTCAAATTTTAACTTTTGATAAATTTTAGCTTTTAGAAGAATGGATAAAATGGAATAAAAGCATTCATATTCTATTTTATTATTATCTACAGAACATATTATATAAGAACATGAAATATAATAAATATCTGAAGAACATGACAATTTGATGGCAAACTTTGAAATCATTTCCTGCTATATTATTAATCAAGTTCTCATCCAATCCTTAAAAATATATCATAGTGCAGTGATAGTATGCATTGTTATTATACCCTTGGGCTTTAACACAGGTCAAATTGTACTCTACGGATAGTGCCTCTGGCCAGAAAAATAATCTTCAGCACAATTGTAGGATATAGAATGGCATTTGTCAAACTGTATTTAAAAGTAATGTTTGGTAGCTCATTTCTGTAATCCCAGCATTTTGGGAGGCTGAGGTCGGGGGATCACTTGAGCCCAGGAGTTTGAGACCAGCTTGTGCAACATAGGGAGAGACCTCATCTCTACAAAAAATAAAAAATTAGCTAGACATGATGGTGTGTGCTTGTGGTTCCAGCTACTTGAGAGGCTCAAGTGGGAGGATCACTTGAACAGGGGAGGTCAAGGCTACAGGGAGTCATAATCAAACTGCTTCACTCCAGCCTGGATGACAGAGTAAGAATCTGTCTCAAAAGTAGATAAAAGAATAAAATGAATAAAAAAGAGAAGTGTTTGTTGAATTTATATGCTAGTCATACAGATTAGTGTGCCAGCTTATAATGGAAGAGTCCCCTGACACTGACTGTAGTAAAATCAGAAAAGAATTTTTAAAGGCTGCCTATCTATAGATTGTTAGTTTTTGCAAATTTTAGAATATTCCTGTTTAACTGACTTTCCACATTTTAAATAAAAGAATTAAATGTTCTTCAATTTGAATTTTAAGAAATAATAATGGAAGTGCAAGAATACTTGCATGATGGCAGAGAGTTAGGTTTATTTGTGCCTCTACCAAACTTCAAACTCTGCAACCTAGGCAAATCACTTAACTTTTTATGTACTTGGTTTCTCAGACAGAGTAACTGAGTGAAGGGATGAATGAATAAATGAAAGAAGAGTTAATGAGCAGTGTATTAGTACATTTCACTTTGCTATAAAGGAATACCTGACACTGGGTAATTTATAAAAGAGGTTTATTTGGCTTACCGTTCTGCAGTTTGTACAAGAAACATGGAGCCAGCATCTGCTTCAGGCAAGGGCCTCAGGAAGCTTTCAATACTGGCAGAAGGAGAAGGAGGAACAGGCATGTTACACGGAGAGTGAGGGAGCAAGAGAGAGGGGAGGAGGTGCCAGGCTCTTTAAACAACCAGTTCTCCTGTGAACTAATATAGTAGAGAACTCACTCATTACCACAGAGAGCCCCAAGCCATTCATGACAGATCTGCCCCCATGACCAAAACACCTCCGACTAGGCCCCACCTCCAACGTTCAGGATCACATTTCAACATGAGATTCAGAGGGGGCAAATGTCCACACTATGTCAAACAGGCCAGGGGGATCACAGATCTAATCCATAAGAGACTATCAAACATGGCTAGGGAATAGAACCTTAGTGGAAATTTAAAAAAAAGAAAAATATGTTTTATTATTTTTCAGGGAAAAATTGAATGTAGATGAAAGAAATGTATTCTGATCATTTCCTATGGGTGGGGCATAAAATCCAACTAGACCTTGAAATGGAATTGTTTTCTAAGATGGCAGGGCTTTGATTTCATACAGTGAAGGTGATGAGAAGGGACTAAAGTATTCGATTTTGGAGCACTGAATAGAAGTTAAGCTCTCTACCAAGTAAATTTCATTCTTTACTTTTCCTTCAGTGATGTTCAGTTTCCCCTGTCTCCCTTCCTACATCCTCCCTCCCTTTTCCCTTTCAGCTAACATTTATTGGTCGTTTACCTTGTGCCAGGCACTGTTATCAGAACTTTCCATAGAGTAACCCATTTGTAAATAAACGTTGGACACTTACTTAATGAATATTTATTAGCCTGCATAGGCACTGTGCTGGTGCTGGAGCAGTTACATCTGTTACCTCGTTTAGCAAGAAATTTTTACTTTTGTCCTGCTCCTGGTCTGGTCTCAGACTTACTAACATCTTGTGCTGAATGAACGGGAACTTCTCTTAGAGCTCAGCTTCTTCACTTCTTCAGGTTTTCCTTGATGACTCATCTTTTAGGCCCTTAACAGGCTAAATTTCCAACCAAAACACATAAACACATTCACATACCAATAGAAGAACAATAATGGATACCATTACCATCACCAATACAAGGAGGAGGTTAGTTTCTTTGCCAGCTAAGGCATTATGTAAGGTGAGATATAATAAATATCCTGGCATTATGGCCAGAAAGAGGACAAAAGATGAGACAAGTGAAACGTCAAGATCAAAGACAAAACTAGAATGAAAAGCGAGCTATTAATTGGTGCTGGGAAGTTAGGAAAGGAGTGGCAGAGATTAGGAAGCAGAGGTAATGGGAATAAATGATTACTGTGGCATGAATGAACATTTGTTAAGGAAAATACAATAAAAGTTTCAAAACTACACAGACTTTGGATAAAGTGTTTTTAGGCATATGCAAGTAAAAAGTTGAAAGTTAAAATGATGTTCTTCATGTTTTTTGAGTGAAAAGTATGTCTCCTGTTGAGATAGGAGCCTCTTCTCATTTTTTCTTTGTATTCCTAGCATCTAACGTATTCTTGGCATGAAATGGAAGGTTAAGAAATATTTGGGAAGGAATAAATGATGAAACTCATTTGCACAAGGATTAAGAATACATAGGATAACATTAAAATCAGGAATAATTAAAATTTAAAGTATTGTTTATTAAGATATCACTCTATTTCTCAGTAGTTGATATGTATGAGTAAAATATGAAGAGTATTTTCTGAATATTTTTATATATTCATATTCCCCTTCTTCATTCATTTATTTCAAACTCTCTATTTTAGCATTTGCCATTATCTCTGCCTAGAACAGTGATTGTTAACTGTCGGTTCACATCAGAATAACAGTATTTAAATTTTATAAGGTCCATGCAGTCCTCTGTATTTTTAAAAGGATTATGGATCATTGTCATAATCACTCCTTGTTAAAAACCACTGGGCTAACACATCTTTTCCCAGTTTAAACATATAGCTGAGTCCTACTTGTTTTTTTTTCTTTATTTTTTTTGAGATTTAGCAGTTGGCTAATATTCAATGTAATCAAAAATTTTAGTTATTTTTCTTTTGATGTTTATGAACAAACACAGATGAACAATACCAGTAAGAATAGACATATTCAAAGCATAAAAGAAGCCTCAGGTACATTAAAATTTTCAGTGAATGTTATCTGGTATTATAACTCAGGTAGACAGGGGAAGTTACTGTCCTTTTATTGCACATTAACTCCAGCATATTAATGTGAAGCTTATGTGTCCTAAGGAAATAAAATTTCTGAGTTTTACAGCATTAAATATTGCATTACACAGCATTAATATATTACAACACACTTGAAAGTAAACTATGATATTTTGATAGTGAACTTTCATTTTCAAGAGAAAATTATTTAAAAATGGAGAAGCCTATAATATTCTAAGAAATCTTACTACCTTACAAATTGTAGTCATATGTGGCTTAATTAACTAGTTTCAAGTTCCTTTTTGGTAGAAGACAATAAAGACAATCCACTTTCATATTCAGAATTACTTATCAATATCAGCATGATATCCAAAGTTAAACGGTAATTTAATGATGCAAAATATATTTTTTATTTTCAGGAACAGAAGAAGCAGTTTAGTTGATAGTATTATTTCCAACAAACTAGATAGCTGTAATTATACTTTTATTATCTAGAAACATTTTATAAATGCCTCTGAAGTAGAGAGTCTAATTTTATAGTCAGGACTCTGAATAAAATCAATATGCTTGATAAATGCACTCTACAATTGTCAAGAAATGGTCCAGTTAAAGGCCAAATGGTATACAGCAGAAATTAATCCTTATGATCATTCATTCCAAAAAAAAAATGAACAAAGGGTTTTAGTTAACTAGTGAAAAACAACAGTCTCTAGTTTTTGAATAGTACAGTATAGTTGATTTGCATTTCTAATATTATATGTTATTGTTCCTATTGTGAATTTTGAAACTTTTATAATAGATGTAAATTTATGGTCATGCACAGATATATTTTTAAACCGTCCTTAAACTAGCTTAATGTTTATGATGGATCAGTAAATAGGTACACTAGGTCTTCTGGTTTAAACCTAGTTGGTGTTCATATATTGTTCCTTTTATTTACATTTTAATCTTTCACAAATGCATAAGTTCCTAAAATTGACATGCTCTCATGATAAAATATGGGAAAGTTGTGGGTCTACCGTTTAAGGAACTAAAGGACTAGTAGGCTGATGAGAGAATTTAAACAATAATTACAAAAGAATCCAATGGAAATATTTAACAACCTTGCCATATGCTTTGCATGGTCTCAGGAACCAGATGAAGGACATTTTGAGCAAGGGACAAAGAAGATTCAAGTAGAGACACATTACAGACAAAAGTGTGTGTGTGTGTAGATACCTGCAGATCAGACCATCTGAACGACATGAAATAACAAGGTTGCCAAGGTGAATTTTTAACTTTCTAGTCAAACCAAATTATTTCCTTTAAGGATAAGGATAGAACGTAGGTAGAGTACCAGTTCATCTGAGTTTTGATATTTTTGTACTAAAGGTCAGCTGTTCTCCTATCCACTGGCTCTTGAGTACAATATGAGTCATTGTGAAAGTGAGCACCTCTTGCATCTTCTTAAAGAACCAACTTATTCACAAACATTAATTTTCAACCGAGAATTAACTCAAACTTTTGTAGGAGAGCTCAGGTGTTGGTGAATTTAAATGCATCACAACAAATTAAATGATTTTAAATGCTCATTCTTTCCAAACTCCTTCCTTTGCCAAGTCAACTAATGGGAATGATAATGGGTTGGGGATTTAGGCAGAGAGCAATCTATGTTGCCCTTTTCTTGCCTGGCATCCATGCAGACTTCTGGTTTTGCTATTTTTAAATAAACACTTTTTATCGAAATTACTTTTGGAGAGTCAATTTTCTTCCTCTTTTGTTATGCACAGCAATTCAGCTTTATTCACCTCCTGAGATTAAATTTAGCTGCTCAAGTCTCCACGCAGTGGTCAATGACACATACAATTCCACTGGTTACCCAGACCCACCCTCCTAGGAGGCAGTTTAATAATCACTTTTTATTGCATGATCATTTCTTTGGTGGCACACTACAAATTATATTTATTTAAATAAACACATTTATTTAAAACATTTAAATGCTTATTAGTTTCCTTCAAAATTTAATGCTCTTCTTAAGAGGAATTTTGGTGAATGAAATTTTGTCCACCTTATTGCTTACTGCATACATCTCAAGGACCTACCTGTGTCCTCTCTTACTATACTCACATAGATCCAACGGTCCCCTAAGTTAGGAACTATTTACGAACAAATGAGCACTTCTGTTTCCAAAGGTACTTACAATCAATGCAATTAATTAAGTTACTTGTTTAAGTCAGATATTTCTGTGTGGCCAACGTGTGTCAAGTCTAACATCCCCACCAAGAAAATAGATGTATAGTTCTCTTTACAAAATCTGTGTTACATGCATGCGTATGTGATGTGGGTGTGTATGCTAATAGAATTTATTCAAATAATGGGATGGAAGTAAAAGTATGAGGCCTGGGATTTGATGATGTACAGTATTAAACAGGACTTAGAGAAGAACCCAGTGGGAAGAGCTATGGGGAACAGACTAAATTCCTCATAGAAACCTCTCTCATGTTCCCTGACATTCTGTCTGTCCCTATCATATTTCAGATTACAAGCCTCCTTGAAGGCATTTACTCTAGCTTGTTTGACACCAAAATCTCTGCATTCCTAGAAACTCAACTTAGTGTTTAGTACATATAGCTACTCAGTATTTATTTACTGAGTGAAGGAAACATGGTTGAGATGGGAGAGGCAGGTAACTAAAAAATGCCAGATGCTTGGAAGTAAAAGAGAGATGGGGACAGGCTAGGCAACAAGTGCCTGGAGTGGAGGTGGGATGGGAAGACCGTAGGATGGAGGTGGAGCCAGAAGTGCCATCTGTGGGCAAGGAGAATTTTTTCTTACTCATCAAGATGCTGCTGGGATGATTCCTTCTTCAATAATTGGTCAGAAGGAATCACTCATTTGAAACAAAATTCTCAAGGAAGGGGATTATAAAATTAGATCAGATTTGCTAGAAGAAAATATTAGTGCTGTTTTTGAAAAGAAGTATCAATGTCTTATCTCTTGGCTAGGAGCTTTAAGTTGATGTACTGTTACAAAATTAAACTCCTTATGTTTTTAGATGAAGATACTCCACAAGTTTCCTATTTGTAAATTAATCATGAATGTCTTGAAACCAAGAAAAACAGTTTGTCACTTGTAGTCTAAAATGAAGAATGTATTTGGTTATGAGGATACATACCAGTTGAGGAGATAACTTACATACCAGAAGACCACAGAAAAATTATCTGAAGGCAGCTATATACGCAAGGCAGAATATTATGGCACGAAGAGTTGAAGGAATTTAACATAAGGGAATAATTATGGGATTTGAAATGTCTCATGATGAAAAAATACATTTCTTAGGCTCAAAGTAAGGCACACATATCACTCCACTTCCTTTGAATTAATGCATTACCCTTTACAAAGGTCAAACTATGACGCTGTTGAATCTAATCAAAATTTTGTTTTATGAAAACTACATGACCAGTTAACTGTGTTCAGAAGTCAAGGGCTGAATTTATCGCTGGGCTTATAAGAAGAAGAAATTGATACCCAGCGCATGCTCACTTAAGAAGCTGGTTAAAATAAAGAATTGCTGGGAATATTGCTAGTGATGTCTCCTTGACACTGCGAGTCATTATCTTTGGTAATTTTATCTACCCAATATACAATGAGAACATGCTGAGGAGCAAGTGATATGTAAATACAGAGAACATTTGATATTTAAGTTGCCTCCACAAAAAAATTGGGGGAGGGTTAAAAAACGCATATCATAAAATAATGGACAATTGAATTAAGAATAAAAACTCAGAACCAAGGAGTTATAAGTAAGAATAAATTGATGGGACTGCAGCAAAATTTGTGCAGTCAGTTAAGACTGAAAAACTTACTTTGATGTAGCCTTAGATTTAGTTTCAGACTACCTTTGAGCCATGGTGATCATTTCTTTTCTCTTACGATAAGAAATGAAGAAGCTCATCAAATACTCAAGGGAACCAGATCTTTTCCTAGAACAGAATTTCAAAAGAAATTTTTCATGTGGGACTTTGTTTGGAAGGCATTTTGGGATGCTGTATGTACTACCTTTAATAGCATTCGTATGTGGTGATGGATTCTTTATGCCTATTTCCTTTAATTACTTCCTATAAAAGCTGAGAGAATGCTAAAATGAAATTAAGTGAAGGCAATTCTACCATAAAAATATGATCTGCGAGTACAATCATCTTATGGTCAAGCATGAGCAAAGGATAGTCCCTAGATCAGTAGTCTTGAATCTAAAATAATTTTGAAATAAAAAAGTACCTTCTTGCTTATCTTTAGGTGGAATTTGAGTTGATTTTTCCATCATAATTTTGAATTGTTACAAACATTGTAATTTCTGGTATACAGTGAATGTTGGCAATTAAAAATAAATCTTAAATTATCCTTTTACATGTATTCAGTGGAATGTACCATTTTTGTCCCAGTTCTCCAGGGAAACAAAACCAATAAGATAAGATAAATATATATATTTATTATATATAATAACTTACATATAATATTATATACATATATAAGTATGTATAAATAAGAGAAGACATACTATGGGAATTGGTTCATGTGGTTATGTAAGCCAAGAAGTTCCACAATCTGCTGTCTGCAGACTGGAGAACCAGGAAAGCTAGTGGTGTAATTCAGTCTGAGCTGAAGCCCTGAGAACCAGGGGAGCTGATGGTGTAAATACCAGTCTACTATGGTTTGAATGTTTGTGTCTCCTCTGAAATTCATGTTGAAACTTAATCTCCAATGCAACATTATTGAGAGGTGTGATCTTCGGGAGGTGATTAGGTCATGAAGGCCCCATGTTCATAATGGATTAGTTCTCTTATAAAAGGGCTGGAGGGAACTAGTTAGGCCCCTTTTGGCCATCAGCTTTTTGCCATGTGAAGATGCAACAACCAGGCGTCATGTCGGAAGCAGAGAACAGGCCCTCACCAGACACCTTGATCTTGGACTTCTTAGCCTCTAGAACTGTGAAAAATAAGTTTCTATCATAATTTACTCACTCAGGTATTTTGTTATTACAGAACCAAAAGATTGAGACAAGGTCAAAGCCCAAAGACCTGAGAACCAGAGTGTGGGTGTGGAAGGAGTGCTAGTATAGGTCCGGAAGTCTAAAGGTCCAAGAAGCAAGAGCTCTGATGTCTGAAGGCAAGAAAAAAGTAGATGTCCCAGCTCAACAAGAAAGGAAGAATTCACCCTTGCCCCACAATTTTGTTCTATTCAGGTCCTCAGCAGCCTGGATGTTGCACTGGTGAGGGCAGATATTCTTTACTCAGTTTATGGATTCAAATGCTACTTTCTTCTGCAAACACTGGTACAGATGCATGCAGAAATAATTTTTTACCAGCGATCTGGGCATCCCATAGCCCAGTCAAGTTGATCATAAAATTAATTATTACACTATCCAGCACAAGAATATGAGACACATCACCCAAATATACAACCAATATAAGCTCCTTTTTTGGGGGTGGGGGGGTGGGGGATGGAGTCTTGTTCTGTCGCCCAGGCTGGAGTGCAGTGGCGCTGGGGTGATCTCACCTCACTACAACCTCTGCCTCCTGGGTTCAAGTGATTCTCCTGTCTCAGCCTCCTGAGTAGCTAAGATTACAGGCGCCTGCTCCATGCCTGGCCAATTTTTGTATTTTTAGTAGAGGTGGAATTTTGCTATATTGGTCAGGCAGGTCTGGAACTCCTGACCTCAGCTGATCCGCCCACCTCAGCCTCCCGAGATGCTGGGATCACAGGCATGAGCCACTGTGCCCGGCAAATATAAGCTCCTTTTTGATGAAAATTTTACATAGCTTTTATTAATCACTGAAATTGTAATTCTATTTTACTTCTCTCACAGAAATTAATTGTAATGCAAATTTTATTCCTAAAATTTCTTAATGACCACTCAAATATACTCCTCTGCAACAAAAATTACATAAAATAATTGCATTTGTTTTTAAAATTCTTTTAACCAAAAGCTTTAAATGTTGAAACTTTCTGCAAATCGATTCTATAATTATTAATAGATAATGAATCAAAAGCATATATGTAGAGGTTCAAATGTTGATGAACTATTATTAAGCATAAAAAGTAAAATACATCTCAAATGAGATACGTAAGGGCTTTTTCCAATTATTTTAAGATAAGTGATGGATATACTGTTTTATGTAAAATGGGGAAAGACAAGTGTGAAAGAGGAGATAAGAAGAAAAACTTTGGACAAAAAAACTCTCAGGCAAATCATTTGAGAGAGGAACATTATATATAGAAGTTAAAGATCTGGAAATGAATTTCTTTAAGTCTTTCTGTACAAATCACTCCTTGGACAATTTTTACATATTTCAGTTTGAAAATGTCTAGATCTCAAACTTATTGGTCGTGGCACACGATTAAATGAGGCAAAAGACCCTGCAGCCTACACATCTTGCCCTGTCCTAGTGGGGTTGTGGGTTTCTAAGTATGTGCACATATGTAGGCACATTAAGAGCTTACTTGAATTTCTTACTGAACTCTTAAAATAACAATGTTCAGAAAATTTTAATGCCATACTTAATTTGGTATGTAAATACCAAATTTAGAAGTAACATATTTACTGGGAAGTTTCTTTAATCATATAAAAAAATGAATCTTTGGAATTGTATGTCTTTCACTATTAAGAATAAGAAAATGGACTTGCATTTTTGAATTAATCTATGGCTCTGCAGGAGGACATCATCACAGCGAAAAATGATCTGTAGGACAAGCTTTGAAAATTACCAATCTATTATAATCGATGGACTGCATGGTTGCCAAACAATCCTTTGAAATATCACCTTTTTTCCCTTTTAAACAGAGTTAATAATAAGTTTACTCAAAGGTCTGGTCTCTATGTATTTTCCTTTTTCCCTGATCCCTCACTAGTACACTAAAGGCATTCTAAGGCCATACTGAAGCAAAACAATGACTCAAAAAAGGATTTCCTAAGATCCAGAAACTTGCCAACAGAACTTATCTTTTCAGCTCTCATAAACCATGCAAAACTTGGGTTACCATAGACCCTAGAGATAGGCTTTTTGGATTTTAATCCCAGCTCTTCCATTTATTAATTCTGTGTGACTTTATGTAAGTCATTTGTGACTCAATGTCCCTATCTGTAAAATGAGACTTAATTGAATTCATATTTATTTAAAGACAAATGCGTAGACTAGTTCTCAGTACATATTAAGTGGTATGTAAGGGCTTATTTATTTTAAAATACATATATGTTCATATAACACTCTCATCACATTTTATACTTAACAAACCACTCTCACATTAAGTACATTATTCATTATTTTATTTTACAACATAGGAATTTCAAGAAAATACAGCTCATTTACTTGTCTTAAAACAAATAATTATAAACCGACATATTTGAAACTTAAATCCAGATTTTCTAGTTCCATGTTAAGAGATCTTTTTACCAAATGTGTATCTGAATTCACTTTACTAATGGAGTTGTTTTGTTACTTTCAAAGTGATTTTTGTATTTAAAGTTTTAACTTACAGAGCACTTTCAGGTGGGTAAAGCAGACATACTTGAATTGGAAATGTCTAGATCTCAAACTTATTGGCCATGGTACACCTATGCAGGTTTTTCACCATCCTTGTAGGTAATTAGAGATTACACTTGGCTGAGTTTCCCTGGTTCCTAGTCCCACCTAGGTCACTTAAAAAGCCATTATCCAGAAGAAGAAAGATAATTACAAGCAACACCTGGTGATACTTATATATGAAGTAAATGATCTCTTCCACACCTATTTCACTGTCCAGAAATACAATTTTCCAAGTTTCTAGATAAAATTTTTGGTTAATAGAAAACAATATACTCAAAAGCCATATATTCTTTTTCTGCCTCAAGTTTTTTCTAATATAAATTCCAATACAATTTGTCTGGTTGGTAACTATTTTCTCTAACTGTTTGAACTAAATGATTTTGATAGGGACAAGAGGCAGGATAATTCTGGACAGAAGACAACAGATGCCCAGCGAGGGCCCCACCCTCAAGACTGGAACCACGGCCCAAAGTGGAACAAACATTCCTGTTTTCCCTCTTGAATGTTGCCTTATCCAAAATCACCCATGGCCTGCCCTGCCCCCCATCCTGTGCCCATAAAAACCCCAGGCTTCGCTGGCAGAGGGAGGAGAAGAGGAGAAGCAGCTGGACGTCAAAGACTATGGTTGGACATTGGAGAGAAGCAGCTTGACTTGAGAGGGACGGCTTGACGGCAGAGCTTTGAAGAATCCTATGCCGGACTCTGGGGGAAGATTACCTTCTCGCTCCATCACCTTTTCAGCTCCCCTTCCCACTGACAGCCACTTTCATTGGCAATAAAATCCTCTGCATTTACCATCACCAATTTGTTCATGTGACCTCATTCCTCCTGGATGCCCAGTAATTACTCGCGTGCGAGTAGGAAAGGCTGTCACACTGATCCTCCACTGAGCTGTTAACACCTAAGCCATCTGCGGATGGCAAAGCTAAAAGAGCACTGACTGCAACTCTCTTTCTGGGGCTTCGGGGTCATGGGCACCCCCACGAATGCTGCCGAATTTGTTCCTGCCGGTGTCCAAAAGTGCTTGCCCTGGCTCCCGCACCCGCTCACCTGCGTGCTCCCTCCCACTAGGGGTTGAGTGCGGCAGCTTCCAGTGAGTGGAGTTCGCCCTTGCCAGCGCCTGTGCACTCCAGTTCCTGCCCACGAAGGGGTCAGGGAAACAAAATGACTCCTGGTCTAGAAAGATAGGAACCTGTCTTTTAGAATTTTAGTTGCCTTTCTTAATTTCTGCTATGTTAATTTGGAAATTATCTATAAATGATCTCTCCACTTTAACTGGTTGGAATTCAAATGTCTCCCAGCCTTGTGTGAACTTTGGGTTTGCTCAGCTTATACGACCCTGGTAGTTTTTGCCCAGCTTCATGGAGTTCTAACTTCATGCCAAATTTGCTGCGTAGATTAGAATTCAGCAACAAACTCAAGGAGACTTACCGTGTTCTTTCTCTTCTTAGCTGCCTCCTTTCTAATTCACTGCCTCACAAGTCACTTCAGTCTCACTGAACTCTGGTCTCTGCCTCCTCAATATTGTGAGCCTGCTCTGCTCTGCTTGGGTTCTCCTTCTCAGTGCGATGCCTTGTGGCAAAAAGCTTGGGTGATAATAAGGCTGATCTTGTTTGTTTTGCTTCTTTTGGGGATCTAAGTCCGTAAGAGGACTTTGATCCTGTATATCAAAGTCCTGTGTTGCTTGTTGTCTCATGTTTGAAAATAACGGTTTCATATGTTTCTGGTGGGATGGCAAGTCTGGTACTTCTTACTCCACTGTGGTGTCTGTTGAAACAAATAATAAAACTTTGGCTTGTGCTTTGCCTATCTTTTTTTTTTTTTTTTTTTAATTTCATTTTACTATTTGTTCTTATTCTACTTTAAAAATACATCAGTCTGTGAGAGAAGGAAAATAAAAAACTACTTTTAAATACAATAGTTTAAATGTTAATGTGCATACAGATCACCTGAGAGATCTTGTTAAAATTCAGATTCTGATTTAGCAGGGGGTTGGAGTCTGAGAGTCTAACAATCTTCCTGGTGATGTCAGTGCTGCCAGTCCAAGCACCACATTTCATGTAGCAATGCTCTATGCAGCAGGAAAACCAAGATTTGAGTTCAGACCCATAATGAGCATTGATAACTGGTAGTTCATGTCATTGAAGCAGCCAAACGCATGAAGAAATATTAAGACAGTCCAGGTAGGGGAAGAGACACTTGTTTCTTTTTTCTCCCTTCTCTCTAAACCAACCTTGGAGGAGTTGGTCTTAAAAGTGGGGAGTGGCGGGGTTGGGGGATAGGAAGAGATGATTCAGATGAAGATCATGTCTTACCTTTACTTGACTATGCCAACGAGTCAGGGTCCCAGCTCAAGGCTGTACTGTGGCAATTCGCTGGCAGCACATGAAACCCTGATGGAATTCAACTCTATTAAACTTTTAAATACTGAAAGTGATAGAATTGCCCAAAATAACATCAAAGCACAAGAAGATTATACAGAATATTACTAAAAGCAGTGATTAGAAAAAAATTATTTCGTATTTATGCTTTTCAATCTTAAAACTATTCAAAAATGTCATTATATATATATACATTTGCCTTGAGAAAATATTTCAACTGCATTTCAAAGTTGGTATGAAAATGAAGCACATTATAAAATTATTTTTAAATGTTACCAAAAAGCTGTGTTTATGCAACTCAAAATTAAAAACATCCTGTTTAGAATAAAACACACATGTGCACACACACATTTTATAATGGAGTCAAGTCAGCATTTTTATGATTGGCATCTCTTATCTGTTTAAGGTTGATCACTTTATGTATAATGTGTTTACTTTTTTAATACAAACTTATTCAGCTTGCAAGTTATTGAGAGATGTGGTGAAATCTAGGTAATGGAAAACATACAATGTAAGGCTGATTAACTCTAAAGAGAAGAATTATTTTGTGACACTGCATAGGCAACAGGATTGGATAATTTTGTGGATGCATAAATTGAATTACAATTATTGCCAAAGGCAGCAGCACCATTAGAAAGCACATCAAAAAAGTAACCAAACCAGACACACTGCCAGCGTTTTTAATGGGTGTATCAATTGTCCCTGAAGATGTTGCTGAAAAATAACTTGGTGAGAATCTCTTTCTGCTGTGCTTCAGAAAAGGGAACTAGAAATACACGCATTCCGTTGACTTAGAAAACTGTGCATATTTTTGGATGTTAAGTGAGCCAGCTCATGCAAACATGCAGACAAGCATGTGCACACATGTGTGCGCACATAAAGCAAGCTTTATTGTGCTTATCTTTTTGACATTCAGAGTGGAATATTTGTCCATCAGCCTTCAGCCAGAAAGCTATATTCCCTAAAAAAATACCCATAGAGAACGTAGCTTCTCTATCCTAATTCTGACATTCGAAATCCTTTTAAAACTTTCCCATATGAAAAAGAGAAAAGGTAACTACTGTTTTGTTAAGATGAATCTACTCCTACTCTTGCTCAACTTTAGTTCCATCTCTTCTAAGAGGTTTTTTTTTTTTGCCATTTCAGTATAAAATGATCTATTTATTTATCATTTTCACTCGTTTGTCATCTATCTATCATCTATATATCTATGTATCTATCTATGTATCTATGTATCTATCTATGTATCTATGTATCTATCTATCTATCTATCTATCTACCTATCTATCTATCATCTATCTCTTTCATTTAAACAGTGCTGAGTATCAGTAATTATTACTCTTTGTGCTATTTGCCAAAATAACTCTTCCAGGGCAAGGAATTTGTCATTTTGGGGTATCTTAGAGCACTTGTCGTGGTACCCAACATACAATAAGTATTTAATAATAATCATGTTGAGCTCTGAGTATATGCTAGATATTGCTATATTACTCACATCTAATATTTCTCTTATGGTAACAGTGAGGTAGCTGTTTTCTCCATTTTCTAGATGAGGAAACTGAGGCTCAGAGAGGTTAAATGGCTTGCTAAGCCCATCCATTGGGTTAGAATTTTAGTCTGACTCCAAAATTTTATTCCAATGATATCTAACTTTTCTGGTACCCTATATAGGCATTATCTAATAAATTAGGAGATCGAATTGTAGACTCTCTAAATATCTCACTGATTTTGCACTAGTCACTTTATTGCTATCAACTTTAGTTTACCTTGCTCTAAGACAAAAATAAATCCACATCACCTACATATGTGTGAACATGAGAAATAATATTTATTGAATACCTTTTATGTACCACAAACTATACTAGTCAACCTGTTACACACATTCATCTCAATTCTCCCAATGCCCCTAAAAAGCATACATTGTTATTTTAAATATTAGATTCAGGAGGTACATGTGCAGGGTTCCATGGGTGTATTGCGTAACGGTCAGGTTTGAGTGTCCGGTGTACCCATCGCTCTAATAGGGAACATTGCGCTCAATGGGTAATTTTCAACCCTCACTTCTCTTCCACTCTCCCCACTTTTGGAGTCCCTAGTGTCTATTATTTCCATAAAAGCATATATTATACCTGTTTTATAGTTACTGAAGGTGAGATCCAAAGAAGTTAAGTAAATTGCTCAAATATTCAGCCTGAAAGCGATGGAGTCTGGATTTGAGCCTAGGTGTATCTGACCTTAAAATTATTGTCTTTCAATTCCTCTGTGTCAACAATTGGAGGAAAAACTGCTGCCGAGTTAATATTGATGTAGACAAATCACTTCTTATTTAGGGAGAAAGGATAGACTTCTTTAATCCACTTATATTGCATATCTCTGTTAGGGCTCAGATTAGCCTTACTTTAAAAAATATTATCCCTATTGAAAATGTGGTTAAAAGCAGAAGTTAATCAAGTCAGAGTGATTGTGATAAAAAAGATGTAAATTTACCAGCATATCTGTCGATAGAAAAAACTGTAACTTGTATTACTTTTGAGATTCTGCAAAGTGTAGGCAATGTTTTACATATCTCTACTTCAGGGACATCTGTGAATGCCTTTGACGTCATTAAAAACGTTTAGCTTTCCAGTTTACAACTAATAGTAGTAGGTATCACTAATGTGTTAACGTGTTTTGTAAGCCCTACCAAAGACATATAGTGAAGAAATCAAGGTTTGATTCTATAAGTAGCCTTTTCACTTGGCCTGTAAATCCAACTTTTTCTTTTAACTGCAGAATTTTTTTTCAGCAACTAATTAGTCAGGGATGGATTTAGGTATTGTTATTACTTGTCTATTTTACTCACTCCAATCTGACATGTGACTAACTTTTTTTTCCATTTCATTATGGAGTATTACATCTGAATTCAGGGTAGTGAGCTGCATTTATGCTGCCGTTAAAATAGTGTAGACTCAGAAAACCAATTTCCTGTTTGGGGGAAAGAATGAACAAACCTATAACTATTTCTCTCAGGATGTCTCCCAGTGCAATTTTCACCTCGAATTAAACCATTAAGTCAAAATCTGCAAACACCGCCAGAAACTTTTGGCTTAATATCATATAGCAGTTAAGATTATTTTCTTTTAAAAGATAAGTTAACAAATCTTTCAATTAACAGGAAGTTGCCACTGCTTGCCTTTATGTGAATATGCTTTATTTAGCATTAAGGCAGTTCTACAAAAAGCCCTCCTAAAAATATACATACATTTTTCTCTATCACGTGAAGGTCACCCTAGCTGCTAATCTAACTTTATTGAGAAGGTCTTTTGTGCAACTGATAAATAGGGAATGTGCTTATTTCAATTTCTCCCCACGTCCCGACAGAGAATTTTTCCTCAAGGCGATATTAAACACGTAAAGTGAAGAACTAATGCAAAATTGGCCTTTACATTGTGCAATCTAAATAACTTCTGTACTATACTTTGCTAATGAATATGTAGCCCAGGAGTCCATTAAGATCTACATGGCAAGGTAGTAGTAATAATCTGAATAGTGTGCAGTTCTTAAGGACCACTAAGGACCCTTAGCAATCCAGAGCCTGAGTTCCTCTGCCAAGCATGTTGAGAACACAGCTTTCATACTTGGAAGTGAGATATCTCCTGCTGCACTAGTTACATCTGGAAAAAACGCCAAAAGTATGAATTCTTCTTAGGCCAACCATCCAGTGCCTGCTTGCACCAAGCCTGACCATGAACAATATTTTGGCTATAATTTAGCTATTGTAAAAGCAGTTTACAGTGAATTTTATGAAAAGTCGAGCACAGCTCTGTTCTGCACTACTGCTTCCAGGTAGATGTGTGAGACTACTGGAACATGTCAGCACTCATTGGTCTCCTACAGGTCTGTATCACCTTACCTGTACATTAAGGTAAGATTGGAGGATGTGAAATTCTGGATATCATGTAGTAGACCGAATACATAATCTTCTAGCAATCTATTTTGCTAACTTGAAACAACTCTGTTGCTTACAGATAAAATTATACATTTCATATTTATTCTTGAAAGCATGGGATTCAATCTCCACCAAGGGTTAAGCCTAGTAAACAATGTTCAAGCTAAAGTTACCTGAGGGAGGGAGACATATCTTGAGTTAATATAGCTGATCCTATAAAGAAGGTTCTTGGCAATTGCATTGATTTCATTTTACTGAGAGTGATTTTGAGACATTAAAAAATAATTGAATATTTTACTCCCTTTACACACTCTGAAACATCTAAAAAGGACAAGGATATTTAGGAGCTATAGTACGTAAAATAATACACACTGTATAGTCACAGTTGAACACTTTTGTACATTTTCATTCTGCTATCTTTGCAGAAAATGCATTAACAATCAAAATGTGTCTTTTTTTGTTTTCCTTTTTTTCTTCTCTCTCTTTACTTTTATAAAAGGATGCTAGCACCAGTAAGCAAACTCTGTGTATGGCATTCTTGGAGAATAAATTTCTAACTGTGGTCAATATATTTCCTGCTGTGTTAGGTTAATAGCGCCTTTCCATTGTTTACTGCAGAAAATGCATTTCACTAAGGTTGTTCCTGTTTCATTAACTTACTTAAAAAACAAAAAAGCAGTAACTTCACGTTTAAAAAAAAGTATGTTCAAGGTGCACATTCCAGTTTCTTTCTTTTTTTTTTTTTTTGAGATGGAGTCTCACTCTGTCATCCAGGCTGGAGTGCAGTGATGCGATCTCGGCTCATCACAAGCTCCACCTCCTGGGTTCATGCCATTCTTCTGCCTCAGCCTCCCGAGTAGCTGGGACTACAGGAGCCCACCACCACGCTTGACTAATTTTTTTTGTATTTTTAGTAGAGATGAGGTTTCACCGTGTTAGCCAGGATGATCTCGATTTCCTGACCTTGTGATCCACCTGCCTCGGCCTCCCAAAGTGCTGGGATTGCAGGCGTGAGCCACCGTGCCCGGCCGCACATTCCAGTTTCTACATCAAGAAAGTAGCCTGAATGAACATTGCTGGTCCAAAGTTTTTCTGGAGACTTGTGTTATAGCAGAGGGGAGGGAATTCTCTCTTCCCTGGTATGAAAAATAATATGGTCACTATTTGCGATACATGATCTGAGCTCCCAGGGCAATAGCTCCTTAGAGACAAAACTATATCAGTTTACACACACACACACACACACACACACACACACACACACTCCACAAAACAACACACACACAATTTGAGTCAGGGGCAGTTTCTGTTTTCGCCATGTGAAGTCCCTAAGATCTCAGCAGACAATTACATCTTGCATAAATGTGAACTCAGAACAAGAACTCCTTATTATCAGGAGGATGGCACCATTAATTAATTAATTCATTCATTCATTCAATAAACACTGAATGTCTTTTATGTGCTGCACACCATTCTAGGTATTACAGATAGAGTGATGAAAGACAAAGTTCCTGTATTCTAGTGAGGGTCACAAATAATAAATAAGTAAAATTCAACAATAGAACTTCAGGTTATATCCTATCTAAAAAGCAGAGTAATGGGGAAGAGAGTGATATCTAGTTTGGAGGCATGACCAAAGACAACCCCAAAGAGGTGACATTTGGGCAGCTGTGGGCAAAGTGAAGGAGTCAGTGATGTGAATATTTGGGACAAGCATATTTCATGCATAGGAGACCCCCCAGTAATAGAGATGTAGAAAAAGAGCTTGTTTTGTGTGTTTGAGGACCAGCCAAAGGCAAGAATAGCTGGAGTGCAGTGGCTAATGTGTAAAGACTAGAGAGTAAGCTGCAGGACACAGTGACAGCAAGGAGAATGGTGGGAGGATCTTTTAATACTCCAGGGGAAAGTATGTTGCTTGGACTCTGGTGGTAATCATGGGTGCAATAAGAATTAATGCTGATTTAGAAAATATTTTCAAGTAGAGTCAAAAAAGTCTTATACAGTGTGAAAAGAGAAAGAGGAACAGTGGTGCCATTAACTGAGATAAGGAAGACCATGGATGTATTAGGCCATTCTTGTGTTACTATAAAGGAATACCTAAGACTAGGTAATTTATAAAGCAAAGGGGTTTAATTGGATCACAGTTCTGCAGGCTGTAAAAGCATGGCATTAATATCTGATTTGCTTCCTGGCACGCTTGAAGGTATTTCCTGAGGCCCAGGCAGAAAATGAAGCAGGAGCACACACATCACATGGTGAGAGGGGGAGCAAGAGAGAGAGAGTGGGGAGGTGCCACACTCTTTTAAACAGCCAGATCTTGCCTGAACGTGAACTCAGAGCAAGAACTCCTCATTATCATGAGGATGGCACCAAACCATTCATGAGGAATCCACCCCAATGACCCAAATATCCCCTACCAGGCCTTACCTCCAACATTGAGGATTACATTTCAACGTGAGATTTGGAGAAGACAAACATCCAAACCATATCAGTGGGCGAGGCTCTTTTGTTGTTTCCAGTGGACAGCAAAAGTCTTATGCTGACCACGCCAAGTTTGGGAAGTTCAGTCAACATAAGAGTGGAGATGCCAAGTAGGTATTGGCTATTTGTATTTGGAATTCTGGG
The DNA here is from genome assembly GCF_000001405.40 of Homo sapiens. Classification (NCBI taxonomy): domain Eukaryota; kingdom Metazoa; phylum Chordata; class Mammalia; order Primates; family Hominidae; genus Homo; species Homo sapiens. Next base: position 78,736,437 of record NC_000001.11, read on the forward strand.
GGAAGGTTGGGACTGGGGTTATAAATGTAGGAGTCACCTGCCTATTGATAGTATTTAGCTCCTTGTGACTGATGTGATCAGGGGAGGCAGTGAGACAGAAGAGGTCTGGAAACTGTGAATAGACATGCTGACTTTGGAGGTCTGGAAGAAGAAGAGAAACCCTGAAGGAGATTTCACATTGTGAGGACTGATGTCTAATCATGCTGCTGACCATTCAGGTCATACAGTGCATCAGAAAACGATTTTACCTAGTCTTTGAACTATCATGGATAGAGGGAAAGAATTCTCTATAACTACTAATTAAAGCAATTATAGAGGGAAGAAACTCTTCAAGGCAGACAGGGTGAATGCCAGAAGAAGATGCACAATCAAAACAACCCTCCTTCTGCAACTCCCTCAAATTAAAGTCTGAGACTTCACTTTGTACCATATTCTATAAACTAGTTCCAGAAAAATATTATTTGAAACTTGTATACATAAGAATTTCTAAGCTAAATCTTAAGAGAACTGAATACAGTTTTTAATTTTTACTTTGAATTTAGTCATTTTTAGTGAATCCTTGTATTATTTCTGAAATACCAATGTAGGAGTGTTCCTTCAAGAAATTATAATTGATTGAATTCATTATTCTATTTCTGATGTTTACAATAGGCAAAATCAGTTGACTTGGTTCTTTATCAGGATAATATCTTAACAGAACTTTTTCTTCTAGTGGTGCACTAAACATTTTAGGTGCTCCAAGCAAATTGTCCAAGGAGACATATCTCTTTGTCAGGATCCTTGATAAAATTGCTTTAAGAACAGGAAAAAAGAGCATTCAAAAAATATAAAAGAAACCCTATAGTTACATTACATGGAGTTATTTTCTTACCACTGAGTTTGCCCTTCATTTGTCTAAGAGTTGTTTACAAGGGTTGAGAAAGCTGACATATCTCTCTGTTCTTTAATTCTTTGTTTATGAACTAGTGTAATCAAACAAGAATGTACACAGCATAGGGAGTGGTAAACAACCATTGCTTTGTTTTCATAGTTTATAAAATTACAGAATTTCTCAGGAGGTTCACATCATTGTTTGGCGCAGAGCATTTTCCCATTAATTAAGATTCACTTACAGAGATTCAGTAAGCACATTTTAATTATTTCTTCAACATTGGCTAAAACCAAATGAATAAGAAGATAATGTACTCACTTTGAATTCATTTTAAAGATTTTTAAGTACATGTATCTTTTGGCCCACATTGTTTACATTAGCCTCATTTTTATTATCCATTTGTGGCAGGATATTCTTAGCAACTAAAGCTGTTGCTACCCTTGTAATGTTCTGTAGAGATGCCACGTTTGAAGCATAGCTGACTTTGGAAGCCAAAGTGAAAGATCTAGTTAAAATGAAGCTCATCTTCACTTTTAAAGATGGTCAGTGTGTTTGACACCTTTCTCAGGAACTCCAGAAAGAAAAATCTATGGCTTGGATTTGACTCTGTGGAACCAATGGATACTCCTGTGGAAACTAAGAAACTAAAAATTTACTGGACAAGACCCCTTAAAACTTGGATGCTAGGTTTGATATCCTGGAACTGCTATTCAGGCTGCTACATATTTGATTCCCAGGAGAATTCCACTCATGTATTTGCTCACAACATCTCCTGGTATTTAAATATTGAAACACCAGACTAAGTATTATTACTGTTGCAAAGGACAAGACTGATAAAAAAAATACGTGCGTATACAGACCTTATCTGATACCATACCTGTTTCCATGTTTAACCAATGAATATCTTTCTCAATTTTGTTTTATATTGGAGAATTTTATTACTTAAGATAATGCTAACTCCAGAAATTGATCAACTAGAAAATTTTAACTACTAGTATGGTTTGGCTGTGTCCCCACCCAAATCTCATCTTGAATTGTAACTACCACAATTACCATGTTTCGTGAGAGGAACCTGGTGGGAGGTAATTGAATCATAGGGGTGGGTTTTCCTCTGCTTTTCTCATGATAGTGAATAAGTCTCAGGAGATCTGATGGTTTTAGAAACAGGTTTCCCTGCACAAGCTCTCTCTCTCTTTGCCTGCTACCATCCATGTAAGATGTGACTTGCTCTTCCTTTCCTTCCACCATGATTGTGAGGCTTCCCCAGCAACGTGGAACTATAAGTCCATTAAACCTCTTTCTTTTGTAAATTGCTCAGTCTTAGGTATGTCTTTATCAGCAGCATGAAAACAGACTAATACAATAAATTGGTACTGGGAGTGGGGCACTGCTGAAAAGATACCTGAAAATGTGGAAGCAACTTTGGAACTGGGTAACAGGTAGAGGTTGGAACAGTTTGGAAGGCTCAGAAGAAGACAGAAAAATGTAGAAAAGTTTGGAACTTCCTAGAGGCTTGTTGAATGACTTTGCCCAAGATGCTGATAGCAATATGGACAGTAAAGTCCAGGCTGAAGTGGTCTCAGACGGAAATAAGGAACTTGTTAGGAATTGGAGAATATGTGGCTCTTGCTATGTTTTAGCAAAGAGACTGGTGGCATTCTGCCCCAGCCTAGAGATCTGTGGAACTTTGAACTTGAGAGAGATGATTTAGGGTATCTGGAGGAAGAAATTTCTTTCTTTCTTTTCTTTTTTTCTTTTCTGAGATGAAGTCTTGCTCTGTTGCCTAGGCTGGAGTACAGTGGCATGATCTTGGCTCATTGCAACCTCTGCCTCCCGGGTTCAAGTAACTCTCCTGCCTCAGCTTCCCTAATAGCTGGGATTACAGGTGCATACCACCATGCCCAGCTAATTTTTGCATTTTTGGTAGAGACAGGGTTTCATCATGTTGGCCAGGCTTGTCTTGAACTCCTGACCTGGTGATCCTCCCACTTCGGCCTCCCAAAGTTCTGGGATTAGGGACCTGGCCAATGGAGGAAGAAATTTCGAAGCAGCAAAGCATTCAAGAGGTGACTTGGGTGCTGTTAACAACATTCAGTTTTATAAGGGAAGCAGAGCATAAAAGTTTGGAAAATATGCAGGCTGACAATGCAATAGAAAAGAAAATCCCATTTTCTGAGGAGAAATTCAAGCTGGCTGCAGAAATTCGCATAAGTAACGAGGAGCTGAATGTTAATCCTCAAAACTATGGGGAAAATGTCTCCAGGGCATGTCAGAGGGCTTCATGGCAACCCCTCCCATCACAGGCCCAGAGATTTAGGAGGAAAAAATGGTTTCATGGGCTGAGCCCAGGGTCCCTCTGCTGTATGCAGTCTAGAAACTTGATGCCCTATGTCCCAGCTGCTCCAGCCATGACTAAAAGGGGCCAAGGTATAGCTAGGGCTGTTGCTTCAGAGGGTGCAAGCCCCAAGTCTTGGCAGCTTCCATGTGGTGTTGAGTCTGTGGGTACACAGAAGTCAAGAATTGAGGTTTGGGAACCTCTGCCTAGATTTCAAAGGATGTATGGAAATGCCTGGGTGTCCAGGCAGAAGTTTGCTGTAAGGGCAGGGCTTTCATGGAGAATCTCTGCTAGGGAAGTGCGGAAGGGAAATGTGGGGTTGCATGGCCCATGCAGAGTCCCTACTGAGGCACTAACTAATGGAGCTGTGAGAAGAGGGCCACTGTCCTCCAGACCCCAGAATGGTCTGTCCTCCAGACCCCAGCTTACATTGTGTGCCTAGAAAAGTCACAGACACTCAATGCCGGCCCATGTAAGCAGCTGGGAGGGAGGTTGTAACCTGTACAGCCACAGAGGTGGAGCTGCCCAAGCCCATGGGAACACACCTCTTGCATCAGTGTGACCTGGATGTGAGACATGGAGTCAAAGGAGATCATTTTGGAGCTTTAAGATTTGGCGGTCCCACTGGATTTTGGACTTGCATGGGGCCTGTAGCCCCTTTGTTTTGACCAATTTCTCCCATTTGGAATGGCTGTATTTATCCAATGCCTGTACTCCCATCTTATCTAGGAAATAACTAGCTTGCTTTTGATTTTACAGGCTCACGGGTGGAAGAGACTTGCCTTGTCTCAGATGAGAATTAGGACTGTAAACTTTTGAGTTAATGCTGAAATGAGTTAAGACTTTGGGGGACTGTTGGGAAGGCATGATTTGTTCTGAAATGTGAGGACATGAGATTTGGGAAGGGTCAGGGGTTGAATGATATGGTTTGACTGTGTCCCCACCCAAATCTTATCCTGAATTGTAACTCCCACAATTCTTATATGTTGTGGGAGGAACCTGGCGAGGAGGTAATTGAATCATTAGGGCAAGTCTTTCCCGTGCTGTTCTCGTTATAGTGAATAAGTCTTAGGAGATCTGACAGTTTTAAAAATGGGAGTTTCCCTGCACAAACTCTCTTTTTGCCTGCTGCCATTCATGTAAGATGTGACCTGCTCCTCCTTGCCTTCCACCCTGATAGTGAGGCTTCTCCAGCCACATGGAACTGTAAGTCCATTAAACCTCTTTCTTTTGTAAATTGCCCAGTTGTCTTGGGTATGTATTTATCAGCAGCATGAAAATGCACTAATACAATTACTTAGTAAAATCAGTGTTGATTTCTCTCACATAAATTCCAAATGGGATGTTCTTGATTGGCAGGTAGCCTTCTATAATAAGGACCCAACCTCCTTCCACTTTGGGGCCCTTGCCTTCTTTAGATCCATGGATTTTCTTTTGAATTTTGTTCATGGAGAGGCAAGGAGAAGGTGGAGAAGGCTCATTTGCTTCTTTATCAGTTTACCTGGGAAGTGTTACTCCCCACTTCTGCCAACACCTTCATTAAGTACCAGTCACGTGGTTACAGTAATCTGCCAAGGAGAATGGGAAATGCAGCCCATTATTTGGCTGTTTCCAAATAAAATCTCCACACAGTGCAACAGAATTATGAATCTATGATTTTCCCTGACTTATCTGCCTCAAAAATCCTTTATAATTGAGACCATCCTGGCTAACAGAGTGAAACCCCGTCTCTACTAAAAATACAAAAAATTAGCCAGGTGTGGCAGTGGGCGCCTGTAGTCCCAGCTACTCTGGAGGCTGAGGCAGGAGAATGAACCCAGGAGGCGGATGTTAGAGTGAGCCGAGATCACGCCACTGCACTCCAGCCTGGGAGACAGAGCGAAACTCCGTCTCAAAAACAAACAAACAAACAAAAAACCAAAAAACAAAAAAAAAACAAAAAAAATCCTTTACATATGCTGAAGTGAGGGTATTTCATTCAAAGCAAATTTGGTAGGTCTTTATGTTTAAGGACATCAAAAACTAACTGTTGCTTACTATGCTCATTACCTGGATGATGGGATCATCATTCATATTCCAAACCTCAGCATCACGCAATATACCCATATAACAAACCTGCACATGTATCCCTAAATCTAAAACAAAAGTTGGAGTTCAAATAAAAAATTAAAATGTTACTCCATTAAAAAAGGAAAAAGAATGTGTAGCTTTATATTTTGTTTCCCTTTTTTTAAAAAAAATTAGTAGACCAAGAGTCCATTAATTTATTCATTCTGGTTTCCGATTAAAACAACTCCCATGTGCTTTGTAAACTCTCCAGTGTAATTGCCCATGTGCATTAGACTTCACTGGTCTTCAACATCAGTTTTTCCCAGTAATACGAAGTAATCTTTTCTAGTATCTGAGTCATATTTAATGGCTTTCTCTTCTGCAAGAAAACAAAATCTGTGTAGTTAGGGTAAGCTGTGCATTAAAGACATTATTCAGACACCTTGATAGATAATAAAAAGAAGTGTTTTTTAAAAGGAATATTTTTTCATTTAAAATAGTTTTTCCTTTTTTAAAGAAATATTTAGGGTTAGTGCAGCATTAATTTGCAGATGACTTAACCTACACAAATATTCAGCAGAGGAAAAAAGTCACATTAATTGAGAGACAGTATCTTGTAATTTGTGACTTTAATTGATTGGTGGGGGTGGGGAAGAATGTGTCCTTTTGTTAGACATTTATTCTCAGCTTCCATTTGAAATTCTAGCTTTTAAGGATTTACTCCATTGAACTTGGAACTTTCCAATAGCCACGCAATAAAATGCAATATAAATATTCCTGTACAATAAATACTACTGTCATTTAAGATTTAGCCTATGAAAAGACTCCTGGAAGCATAGGCCCCAGTGTAGAGGCCTGAGGAAGAAAATAATCTGAAGGAGCTGAGTAGGATGCTGGAGATGGAAGGATGACGCCAGTGACGACTTTGACCTGTTCTGTAACTGCACTTTAAGTGGGGCTGATTGATTTGGAGTACAGTGAACAAGTGTCCGGGAGAAAAGCGAAGCTACTACTTAATTTTCCTCAAATACATTTCTCCAAATACATTTTCTAAATGCCCACTATTTGCTAGACATTTTGCTAGAAGTTGAAATAATGAAGAAAAAGATAATAATTCCTGTACTTCTGGAGCTTATTGTTTAGGGTAATTAAAATGGAAATAACTATCCTGGTAAACTGAATCAATAATAACAACAAATAACAGTGAAAATGGGATGATAATACTAGTAGTTTCAGTTTCATTTGAACTGTTTTGTCTTCCAGTAATATATTTTAATTTACATATGTAACATTTATATTTATATATATACTGCTCATTGATACATTTATATATAGTTAACAATAGGATAAAAGGCAGGACAGTGTTATTCATAGGACCCAGAATAATACTTGGTACATAACAGGCACTCAATCAATGACACTGTATGGATAAATAAAATTGTCTTGGATGAAAAATCAGGAGACTATAGTTCTTACTGAAATTCTACCAATTTTTCTTTGTGACATAACAAGTGATTCCCAGTTTTAGTTTTCTAATCCATATAATGGAATAAAAATACCCATTCTCCACACCTTACAAAGTAGCAGCTCCTTGGGTAGGAAAAAGATAGCAGATATGTAAGACTTGTGAATGTTATTATAGCCAGTAAACAATCAAAATGAAATGGAGCATTTTCTTACTTAACTAAGATAGTTCCCTTTTTTGAAATAAGCTTTCTGATTGACGTGTTTCAGTGAAGTGAAAATCATTTTACTTTAGAACATTTAATTGTATTACCATCAGACAAGTATTTTTGTGAAATTTCTAAGAACCTAGCATCTCTTAGAAATTTAGCCTAATAGAAGTGACTTGGGGCCCTATAAGAATCTCAGTGCATCTTTCCCAATCCTTTCCCATTTCTGGACAGACGTTTCCCAAAGAAATCCTTGGTTCACCCTTCTTCAACCTGGAATGCATAAAAGAATAAACTATCACTTGAAGGCAATCTGACAACAGACTAAGAGAGAGGAGCACACTCAGAAATTTGAGATTAAGATAGAAGAGGCATGTTTTATTCAAAGTTCAATATCCATTTATTTTGAGGATAAGGGTGTCTGTGTTGTGACTCATGCATGCTGTGAAAAAATGCCAAGTGTCTTGATAACTAATGTTAGTAAGGAAAGATTCACCAAGAGGGGGCAGAAGCTCATGAAATGCTAATCCTTGAATTCAAGAGTAAGAATCAATTTCAGATTTTCATGTTTTTGGAACATTTCAGAGGACTTAATATTTTAGTTAAAAATCTATATATTCTGAGAGTAATGATAAACATATTTCTTTGCTACGATTCATCTCTGAGGTTTCTTTCCTTTCTTACTGCTTTGGCTTTCCCATTTTGCTTTTGTCTTCTTGCTGCCTCTCATCTTCCCTCTAAGCATTCAGATTAAAATTCCATTCCTTTACCTTCTTTAAAAAATATGATTATAAATGTGCTCCCTTTATGGTATGTGATGAAAAAGCATAAACTTTAAGCCAGAAAGACAATACTTTCTTTGAAACCTCTCCTTTAACAAATGATTTTTCAGAGCTTTAAAAGCCCATAAAGAGAGTATGTTTTCTCCAGCCATTGAAGGTATGATAAATGATACATCCTGAGAGTGAACGGAAGAGTCATTTTAGAAAGTTTGAAGAACAAATACTCAGGCTTAGTTAGGGATTGTGTACTAACAAGAGGTACAAGGCAGTTAGGTGAATGACAATGTATCAAATTAATCCTATAAAATGACAAGGACAAACACTGGGGACCTCCATTGTGAAATGTCTTGGAGTAAAGGCTTAGCAAGAAGTCAGTCTTGCATAAACGTAAAAGCCAAACTCTTTTAAAAAATACGTTACCAAAGATGATTTATTTTTATGTGAGAATAGCTCTTTAGAAATTATTTTAGACCTTTTTCTTGAATATCAATATTGATTTAGCTAATAGGACATGTCTTTTTTTCATCTTTATACAACAATGACTTCAAAAGAGGAGAAGGGGACTCAGAAGGAGCAATGACAGACTATGAGCACAGAATGATTTCAAAAACTTTTGCATTTGAACACAAAAGTGAGTCAATAAAACCATAGCCTCCTTCAATTTGTAATTCAAACACATAAAATAATTTGACTTCAATAGGCAAGGCAAATTCTCACTTACTTGGAAATTTCTCAGGTACTACAGAAAGCCAAGGAGAGGACTTTAAGGGAAGAAAACATGTTTGACTAATGATTAATAAAACTATTGTTGATCCAAAGTATTGTTGAAAATGGAATCTTTTCAACATCTGAAATATATCTTGATACAAAATGCAATCCTGTTGAATTACTTCAAAAGAAGTACTGGCTCTGTATTAAGAAATCTGGATTTAATGCATAAATAGATGGATTTAATATCTTTGTATTAGACAGTTTTGAAAGAAAATTGGTATAGCCAAATTCATATATTGTTTCATTTGCATATCTTGAGTCTGGTAAATGTAGCTACAGAGAAAACACATTTTTTTAAAAAAAGCAACCATGCCACTTGCTCTTTTTAAATTGCTTTGCTGCATTTTTAAGAGTTTTAAAAATGGCTACTTGATGTGCATGAAACAGCAACTGTTGCTCATTCTGTCTTTACCTCTACTCCAGTGAAGATAAGTTTTGAAAAGGAATACATTAGAAATACATCAAAATACATAATGCAATGGAAATGAGCTTTACTATTTTTTTAATCCTCCATTCCAAGCACTTCATCTGCCCTGCAGAAGAAAATGCCTCTCACAAAACCCTCACAGCCACCTATCACTGTGACCACATTCATAGCTCCATCTAGGCAATTGGCACGGATCAGGAAATATGATAGAACTGTAAAGAACAGGCTGTCCATCATTAGAATAATAGCAGAGTTTTGGTTGAGAATAAACACAGTTGAATTATTTGTAAGGACGTGGAATAGATGAACCGCTTAGAAAGAACACTTCTTCAGATGACTTTTTCCTTCTTCCTCTTTCCTGTATGCCACAATAATTCAAGAAGGTCATTTCAGCTAATAAAAAGAGCAAAGTGAAACACTAAAAATAAAACACTTGGATTTCAAAGATGTACTGAGACTTCTTAAAGAAGTTTGAAAGATCAAAACTCTAAATAGAATATATTACAAACCACAGAATTTGGGATTACTCAATGACCAAAAGATCTCTGAGAATTTTGAAAGGAAGCTGATAAACAATTGTTCCACATCACTAATAAACCCAACCTTATTTTTAAAGAAAGCAAAACAGTGCTATGAGCATTTTGCAGTTCCTTTTCCCTTTGTTATTTTTTGTTCCAATATACAAATATTTAAATATTTTAAAAAACATAAAAATTATATTTGATATATTTACAATGTGTGTGTATATCTATAATAGATTTAGAAAAATAAATAATAAACATTGGTGAACCAATCAACCAACTCAAGAACTAAAAAATATTAACATGACTTTCATCTACCCATATACACTTTGCATGCCCATACTCCTACCTTTCCACCAGAGAAAACTACTGTAGTTACTTATTTACACATACACACACACATGCACATAGACACACAAACACATATATGTAGCTTTTTTGACATATGCATGTAAGCCAAAGTCAAATATAACCTAATATTATTTCTGTTGAGATTTATAAAAATAGTTTCATATCTTCTGTAGTCTTATAGGACTTTTCTGTTTAACATCTTAAGATGCATCCATAGTTTTTACAAATAGTTGTGTTTCATTCACTTTAACTGCTTTTTCATATTTAATTGAGTAAATATAACACCATTAATTTATTTGTTCCTTTGTCATAGTACATCTTTGTAGCTTCCATATTTTATTATTAATCATACCCTTATGAATATTCTTGCATGTATCATAAGCACATATATAAGTTTCTCTAGGGTTCCTACATAAAGGTAGAATTATTGGTTTGCAAGGCACATGAATGTTTAACTTTGCAAAATAGTATCAACAGGTTTTCCAAAAAATTTTCAAATTTGCAATCTTGGCAGCAATTTGTATGAATTTCTGATGATTCACATTCTCCTCAGATTATAATATTTCTTAATTTTTTTCCACTCTAGGGGGTATACATAATAATTACAAAATGATTTTATTAATTAATAGTTCCTATCTCATTGTAGTCTAAATTACATTTCATTTATTGCACATTTAACAAATATTTTTTGAATGCCTACTATCTCGACCTGTCAGACCTGTATTGACTCTAATGAGAGGATGCTATGTCTGAGAGACTGAAGAAAAGGCCCAAAGCCAGCGAATGAGACGTAAGGTTTATCAAGGGAACTTACATATAAGGCAGTCCAGTGGTGACAGCCTAGGCAGGAGAACCGTTTGTAAAAAGATGCAGTTTTGTACCATTTGTAAAAAGTCGAAAGTTTATACAGTTTAGGTGCGTCTGCATTCTCAGGGGATGCTTAAGTTACGGCTATGAGTATGTCTACCATGCAGAGTCATTCTCAGTATCCTTCATTTAAGTTATTGCTCTCAGGTATGTCTGCCATACATATGTTCCAGGAACTGCTAATTATGCTGTAGATTTAACAATAATAAAAAAAATCCCTGCTCTCATGAAGATTAAGTTCAAATAGGTCAGAGACTGAAAATAAACTTAATAAATAAGTGAATTATATAGCACATAAGAAGGTAACAAATGTCATTGAGAAAAATAAAGTGAGATAGGACTCCCATAGCAGAGAACCAGTTGAAATTTTAAATATAATAGTCAGAGTTGACTTTCGTAGTAAGCCATTCTTGCATTGCTATAAAGAAATACCTGAGACTGAGTAATTTATAAAGAAAACCAGTTTAATTGGCCCATGGTTCTGCAGGCTGTACAGGAAGCATAGTACTGACATCTGTTTCTGGCAAGCCACCATACCGAATTCTCATTATTTCTATAAATTTGTCTGTAGATAATTTTGCATATTTTATGTGGTCAACCATGTCATCTATGAATCGTAACCATTTTCTTCTTTTAAATATTCTTCAAATACTTATACCTTTAATTTAATTTTTCTTACTATATTGGAAAGGATCCTCAATAAAAGTAGCAATTGTTTGCAATCCTTAATTTATTCCTGATTTTGAAGGGAACACATTTAATGTTTTGCTATTAAGAGGATATTTGTGATATACTTTGATACCTATCTTTTATCAGGCTAAGCAGATGCCTCTCTTCTTAGTTTCCTATTGTTACTGTACACAAGAGATGTTGAATTTTATAACATTTCCACATTTCTTAGATGATCTTATGGATTTTTTCCTTTAATCTATTCATGTAATTTAAATATATTTTCAATGCAAAAAGCATATTTGTATTCCCAAGATAAGCCCAACTTGGGCATGGTGTATTTTTGAATATTACTTTGGATTCAGTTTGTAAATCTATTGTTTATAATTTATATCTATTTTTATAAATGAAACAAAGCTATGAGTTTCCTTGCTAAAACTCTCCTTTTCTCATTTATAAATGATTCCAGTATTGCTAGTTCTTGGCTGTCAAATCCAGTATATGGAATTTGTCCATACTAAACTTGTGAACAGTATCTTAATTACTCCTGTGGGTTTTCCAAACACTGACATAGCATTCAGAAGCTTTGTGTTTGGGCCACTAGGGTCTTTTAAGATACCAAATACTTGATTAATCTAATGAAATCAGTACCCAGTCAATATATGTTAGGTCCACTGTGTTTTTGTAATTCATAAATGACTATTATTAATATTTTATGCTTATAGATGAGCAGCATAAGAATGATGATTCTATTGGGCTGAGATGTAGTAAGTTGAATAGTGTAGGAAGGTGACATTTTGAACATATGAATGTTAAGTTGGCATCACTATGTAAAGTGTCTACTGTTTTGTTTGTGTGTTTTTTTCTTGGTAACAATTTTGCATACGCACCTTTCCTAGACCCCTGTCCTAGCCATCCGGGCCTCTGTTGTTATGTCTGCTTGCTTTTAGATTATCTAATGAACATTTCTAAGTTAACAGTCTTACTAATAGTAACTACTTGACTAGTTTACCCTAAGGTCAGAGATTTAAGTTGAAAGGCTCTTTGGATTGTTGTCATTTCTAGCTTTCACCAGAGCACAGGATTTGTCAAATAAATATGAATAATTAGGCCCAGAAAACTTTAAAATAACAACTTAGAAGAAAAATTTAAACCACTAGCTTTATAATATTAAGAAGTTGTTTAAATGGATTAATTATGCTCTTCACAATGTGGACTTAAACATTTGCTTTAGACAAGTGGCACTGGGTTTGAAAACTTCAAAAATGTATTTCTTTGACAAATTGAGGTGCTTCTTATATAGCGTTGCCAGATAAAACACCTGCACCTACTCAGTTATCTCAGGACCAGCTTGAGGCTGAAGAAAAGACAAGATCCCAGAGATCATGGCAGACTTCATTTGTCTCTTCCGGAAGAGAACCTTCCCGGTAAAGATACCGGAAAGGCTGGACGCTTCGGTTATTAGAGGATTTTGGAGATGGAGGTGCTTTTCCAGAAATCCATGTGGCTCAGTATCCACTGGATATGGGACGAAAGAAAAAAATATCTAGTGCGCTGGCCATTCAGGTGGATTCTGAAGGAAAAATCAAATATGATGGAATCACTCGACAAGGACAGTCAAAAGACAAGGTCATTTATAGCAAATACACTGTCCTGGTTCCAAAGGATGTTACGAATGCAAATGATCCAGACTTGCAAAGGCCCGATGAAGAAGCTATAAAAGAGATAACAGAAAAGACAAGAGTAGCCTTATAAAAAGCTGTACCACAGAAGGTCACCGCAGTCACGCCAGTTCAGGCAGCTGACAAACCGGCTCCTGCTCAGTATATCCGATACACACCATCTCAGCAAGGAGTGGCTTTCAACTCTGGAGTTAAACAGAGGGTTAGTCGGATGGTAGAAGTGCAGAAAGATCCAACGGAGCCTCCAAGGTTCAAGATTAATAAGAAAATTCCCCGGGGACCACCTTCTCCTCCTGTGCCTGTCATGCATTCTCCTAGCCGAAAGATGATTGTAAGGGAACAGCAAGAGTAAAAGTTTCCTCCTTTTATTTCTAACTGGAAAAATGCAAAGGGTTATACAATTCCATTAGACAAACGTCTGGCTGCCGAAGGAAGAGGACTACAGACAGTACACATAAAAGAAAATGTTGCCACATTGGTGATCCTCTACATTGCTGATCAGAAGGCTTGTGAAGCTGTGGAAATGCGTGCCCGAGTAGAGAGAAAAATGGCTCAGAAAGAAAAGGGAAAATATGAAGAGAAACTTAGAGAAATGGCACAGAAAGCCAGGGAGAGAAGAGCTGGGATCAAAACTCATGTGGAAAAAGAGGATAGGGAGGCACGTGAGAGGAATGAAATCCGGCATGACAGGCGAAAAGAGAGACAGCATGACCAGAATCTTTCCAGGGCAGCTCCTGATAAGAGGTCGAAACTGCAGAGAAATGAAAATGGGGATATCAGTGAAGTCATTGCTCTCTGTGTTCCTAATCCTTGAACTTCCAATGAAGGTCAGTACGACCAAAGGCTCGTCAACCAATCCAAGGGTATGGACAGTGGATTTGCAGGTGGAGAAGATGGAATTTATAATGTTTATGATCAAGCCTAGAGAGGTGGTAAAGATATGGCCCACAGTAGTTATAGGCCCAGTAAAAATCTGGACAAGGACATGTATAACGATGACCTAGAACCCAGAATAAAGACCAACAGATTTGTTCCCGACAAAGAGTTTTCTGGTTCAGGCTGTAAGCAGAGAGGCCGAGAAGGACCAGTTCAGTTTGAGGAAGATCCTTTTGGTTTGGACAAGTTTTTGGAAGAAGTGAAACAGCACGGTGGCTCTAAAAGACCCTCAGATAGCAGCCGCCCCATGGAATATGAGCATGAAGGCAAGAAGAGGAGGAAGGACTAGACACAATTTTCTTCCAAGTGAATTAATTATTATTATCTATAACCCTAATGATGCAAGTCATATGGGGGAACACTTTGTAAATGGTCAGGATAAAAACCAAATCTGGCTGCCAGATCCCAGCACTACTTTTTTACTGGAGAATGGAGGGGATAGAAAATTCTACTTTGAAGTATTTTTTTTAAAGAGTGGACTGTGTTTGTGCTTCTCCCACCTTTCAGCATTTATAGAACATGCTGTCCCACATGCAAAATCAAGACCACTTCCTTTTGTGTGACATTTATAGTTTGGGGTTAATATTTTGTGTGAGAACAGCTGCATATGAGTAAAGGAGGGTGTTCACATATTGTAACAGTCCTGCCAAATAAATTTTGTCCTTATTGTGCTCCGTTTTAATTTGGAGTGGGCAAAGTAAGCTCTTGCTTGGTGCAACTATTTGATTTAAATAAAAATATTTAGACAAAAAATGAGATATACAATATTTGGGACATATAAAAAATATTTGTTTGTCTGAAATTCAAATTTATCTAGGTGCCCTATATTTTTGTTTACCAAATCTGGCAACCTTATTTCTATGTAGATTAAAAACAAAAATAAGCTTTCATAAAAGCAATGTGCAATTCTGAAGCAGCACTTAACTCATCTGACTTAGTATATTATGTAATTACTTCAATTGGTTAGAATCTAATTAGATTCAAGCAAACGCAAATCAATTTGAGATATTTTGTTCATGTGCATTCTTTATGGATATTTAACTAGAATGCTAGACAATTTTGGTGTATGGAATATCTTTTACACACAAAATGGAAATATGTAAGACAATAAAAACAAGTTAGAAAAAAAGGAGTTACTATTAGGTATTAGGTCAGGATCTTCTCATCTAACAATGATCAGGAAGTGAAAACTTATTTCAATTGTCTGGGTCTAAATTCGTTTTGAGCAACTAACTCAAGATGATTATGATGTAGATGTATTAAAGATGGATATTAGTGGAGGAAGAGGACAGAACTCCACAACACAGCAATTACCTGGAAAATAGACTCAGGAGTTCAGGACCAGAGAAAACCTTGATTAAAAGCAGGTGAAATAGCTGATATTTTCAACTACTCCCCATCGTCATCAGTCCAGGCCCAGCTCCCTTAATTGCCATTTCTATCATTTAAGAATTCCTGGAATATTTCAAGGTGGGAACGATGATAAATGCTCTGTTTCTGCCAATAAATTCTCAGTTTCTGAGAAGTTTATTTTCTAAATAAAATTTTTAAAATCCCCTTTTCTATAAACAAACACAATTATGTTGTAAAGAACAATTCCTAATAATTTTAAAGCTGCCTTTGGAATTTGTGTTAAAACAAATGGAAAATTCACATAATGACTGAAATCGCTTTTTAAATAGCCATGGGCTGAATATGCAAATGATATCATACAGTTGATTATCTCAGATAATAGTATAGTTTGAGAATAGATGAGAGAAACTTCACTAAATTTCACTGATTAGGTAGGTTTTTTATTATGATTTTGTAAAAGTCATTCTCCACCTCCCAGTAAGACTCTTCCACCTTGGGGTTAACTCTCCTTTCTGAAAGTTAGAGCAAAACAAAAAGCAAAACAAAAACAATATGTAAAAATAATCAATATCAAGTTTCTCATTTTAATCTATACTCATGCTAATTTTTAAAAGAATAAGATAAAATTCACAGTGCATTTATTATAATATTTGATCTTCTAATGTGCTTTAATTAGAAATGGAAGGCTATTACCAGGAAGTTGAATTCCAGTCTGTTTTCAACAATTTGTCATGTTAGTAGAAGATTAAACATCAATATATTGAGTAGCAGAATATTCTTAAACCCTATGGTATTAATGTTAACTCTAACTATAGAGCACTCTTGCCAATGAACAGCAAACATCTCACTTTCCAAACTCATTCACATATTTTGGAAATAATGTTGTTTGTTATGCAAGATATGTATCATTTTATTTATTTATTTACATTTTTGACATTTTTTCCCAGATTTTATAATAATTTTTTCTTTGTCTTCAATGGTCTCATATGTGAATATACTAAAATACTTTATGGCAAATTATCTGTTAACAAGGGTTTATAAGGATCATTGTGGAAAACTTTAGTTAAATATTGCTCATTACATATTAATACAGATGTTTATTACCTAATACGCATTACTTTTGCTATAACAAACTTGTCTATAAAGAGTATTATTGAGCAGGAAGTTTCTATTTTGATTCTGGTAGTGCTATGGTCAATCACAATGCAAAAAAAGTCCAGGAATCTAGAAGTGTTTTTGTTAACACCTTTGAATAAGGGGTGGAAAAATACTTTTCAATCTGCTATTAATTTTCCAGCAGGAAAATTTAAGGATCTTCCTTTGGCCTGTGAATTGATTACTAATTACTTATTTGACATTTAATAAATTCTAACTGCTATGTTGGATAATGTATAATATAGTTTGTATCCTCAAAGGACTTTCCTATTTATTTGGAAAACAGGACAAAGATTTGTGGCCAAGTCAGGTGGACACTTAACTGTATTAAATAGAACTGCATTATATTATGAAGTGATAAAATCCTAATTTAATTATAATTAAAGAATAAGGTGCTTATAATGTACTAGCTGGAAGTAGAGACAATCAGGGCAAAAGGAATTAGACAAAGTCATCAAAGGAGGCTTCACAGAGATGGTAGGACTTGAGCTATGTCAAAAAGAATATTTAAATGTGAAGTAGGGAAGAAAGCACAATTACTGAATAAGTATTTCTCTAGCCAAGCAGCCTCAGAACCTTGGAATCATCTTTAAATTCTTTTTTTTCCTTTGCCCTCTCATATGGTTTGGCTGTGTCCCCATCCAAATCTCATCTTGATTGTAGCTCCCATAATCCCCATGTTAAGGAAGGAAACTGGTGGGAGGTAATTGAATCATGGGGATGGGTTTTTCCCATGCTGTTCTCATGATAGTGAATAAGCCTCATGAGATCTGATGGTTTTATAAAGGGAGGTTCCCTTGCACGCTGTCTTGCCTGCTGCCAAGTATGACATGACTTTGCTCCTTTTTGGCCTTCTGCTACAATTGTGAGGCTTCCCCAGCCATGTGGAACTGTGAGTCCATTAAACCTCTTTCCTTTGTAAATTACCCAGTCTCAGATTTGTCTTTATTAGCAGTGTGAGAACAGACTAATACAGTAAATTGGTACCAGGAGTGGGGGACTGCTGTAAAGATACCTCAAAATGTGGAAGCGACTTTGGAACTGGGTTATATAGGCAGGGGGTAGAACAGTTTGGAGGGCTCAGAAGAAGACAGGAAAATGGGGAAAGTTTGGAACTTCCTAGAGACTTGGAGGGCTCAGAAGACAGGAAGATGTGGGAAAGTTTGGAACTTCCCAGCTAGAGACTTGTTGAATGGCTTTGACCATAATGCTACTAGTGATATGGACAATAAGGTCCAGGCTGAGGTGGCCTCATATGGAGATGAGGAACTTGTTGGGAAGTGGAGTAAACATCACTCTTGCTATGCAAAGAGACTGGTGGCATTTTGTCTTTGCCCTAGAGATATGTGGAACTTTGAACTTGAGAGAGATGATTTAGGGTATATGGGGGAAGAAATTTCTAAGTGGCAAAGCATTCGAAAGGAAGCAGATCATAAGTTTGAAAAATTTGAAGCCTAATGATGAAATTAAAAACAAAAACCCATTTTCTGGGGAGAAATTCAAGCTGGCTGCAGATATTTGGATAAGTAACAAAGAGCTGAATAATAATTACCAAGACAATGGGGAAAATGTCTCCAGGGCATGGCAGAGAACTTTGTGGCAGTTGCTCCCATCCAGGCCCAGAGGCCTAGGATAAAAAATGGTTTTGTGGGACAGGCCCAGGGCCCTCCTGCTCTGTGCAGTCTAGGGGCTTGGTGTCCTGTGTCCCAGCCACTCCAGCCATGGCTAAAAGGGGCCAAGATACATCTTGGCCCACGGCTTTAGAGAGTGCAAGTCCCAATCTTTGGCAGCTTCCATGTGGTATTGAGCCTGTGGGTGCACAGAGTCAAGAATTGAGGTTTGGGAACCTCCACCTAGATTTCAGAGGATGTATGGAAATGCCTGAATGTCCAGGTAGAAGTTTGCTGCAGGGGTGGAACCCACACGGAGAACCCCTGCTAGGGTAGTGTGGAAGGGAAATGTGGGGTTGGAGCACCCACACAGAGTCCCCACTGGGGCACTGCCTAGTGGAGCTGTGAGAAGAGGGCCACCTTTCTCTAGACCCCAGAATTGTAGATCCACCAACAGCTTGCGCCGCACACCTAGAAAAGCCTCAGACACTCAATGCCAGTCTATGAAGGCAGCTGGGAGAGAGGCTGTACCTTACAAAGCCACAGAGGTGGAGTTTCTCCAGGCCTTGGGAGCCCACTTCTTATATCAGTGTGACCTGGATGTGAGACATGGAGTCAAAGGAGATCATTTTGGAGATTTGAGATTTGACTGCCCTGCTGGATTTCAGACTTGCATAGGGCCTGTAGCTCATTAATTTGGGCCAATTTCTTCCATTTGGAAAGGCTGTATTTACCCAATGCCTATACCTCCATTATATTTAGGAAGTAACTAACTTGCTTGTGATTTTACAGGCTCATAGGTGGAAGGAACTTGCCTTGTCTCAAATGAGACTTTAGACTGTGGACTTTTGAGTTAATGCTGAAATGAGTTAAGACTTTGGGGGACTGTTGGGAAGGCATGATTGGTTTTCAAATGTGAGGACATGAGGTTTGGGCGGGGTCAGGGTGGAGTGATATTGTTTGGCTGTGGCCCTACCCAAATCTCATCTTGAATTATAGCTCCCATAATTCCCACATGCCATGGGAAGGGCCCAGTCAGAGGTAACTGAGTCATGGGGACAGGATTTTCCTGTGCTGTTTTCATGATAGTGAATGAATCTCACAAAATCTGATGGTTATATAAAGGGGAGCTCCCCTGTACATGCTCTCTTGCCTGCTGCCATGTAAGATGTGACTTTGCTCCTCATTAGTTTTCCACCATGATTGTGACGCCCCCCCAGTTGTGTGGAACAAAGAGTCAATTAAAATTCTTTCCTTTATAAATTACCCAGTCTCAGGTATGTTTTTATTAGCAGCATGAGAACAGACTAATACACCCTCATATCTAATCATTTGTCAAACTTGTTGGGTTCCACTTCCCCAGTGTCACATCCATCTAATTCTTCCCATCCTCATGATCTCTAGGCTAAGCCCTGTTATCTCAATTAGAGCTCTGAAAGAGCCTTCTAACTCAACTCCTTGGCTCCATGATGTGGTTTGTGCTCCTGGCTCTCCTTTCAACATTGCTGGTTCATGCTTTTAAAACACAATGCAGCCATGTCTCACCCTGCTGTGTTACAAATTAAGTGCAGTCTCAACTCTGGAAATTTATAGTCTCCATAGCAGGATCACAACCCCTTTCAAGGTCTACAGGCCATTGTTTTCCTGCACATATATTTCATACCTGTGATTCATTCAACTCAGTTCCTGTGCTATGTGCTGTCTGCACAACATGTTAAGACAGTTCTTAACTTTAAGAAGAAACCTAGTATATGATGTAATTGCTTGACACAGTTATAGTCCAGTGGGGTTAGTGGAATGACATGGATACAAACATGGCAGCACAGGAAGGTAAACTTCACCTAGCTGGGAGTAGAGGAGTTGGTTTACAAGGAAAACTTCTAGAAGGAAGTCTTTTTGTTATTAGCTAAAAAGAATAGGCAATTTTTTTTTCAATGCTCATCATCATGTGTCAAGTATTTTAGATGAATTGAATCATTTAATTATCACAACAATTTTGTGAGGAAGTTACTATTGTTATCCACCATTTATAGATAAGAAAAAAGCGAAATCCCAAAAAACAAACAAAAAAAGCAAGACACAAAGATGCTAGGCAACTTTCTCACAGCCCTGGAAGTAGAGGTTGATGCTACAGGATTTGAAGCTCAGCAGGCTGGTCCCAGAGTCTGCAGGTTTAATCAGTTTGTTATGCCTTTTTCTTACCTGATTAGCATTATTCTACTTCTGACCTGTTCATATTGTTCCTCCTTGTGATGCTTCCCCCCACCATCCAGACTTGTCTTCTTATTGAATTCCTACTCATCTTTTATGGTTAATTGCAAAGGTCACCTTTACTTGTGATCACACAAATGTACCTTTTCTACTATTCTACTCCATAGCTCTTTAAAACTCTTCAGCTATTTATCAAATTCTAACATATATTGTGTTAGTCCGTTCCTCTGTTTCAGGAGCAAGAGAGAGATAAAGGAGGCCCCAGATTCTTTAAAACAACCATATTTCTCCTGGAGTAGCTGAGTGAGAACTCACTACCATCAAGGAGATAGTGTTAAGCCACTCATGATGGACCCATGATCCAATCAACCCATGATCCAAGCACCTCCCACCAGGCCCCACCTCCAACATTGGAAATCACATTTGCAGCTGAGATTTGGAGGGGACAAACATTCAAACCACATCTTACTGTTATGATCTCTACACTTATCTGCTTTTTATGAGATTATAAGCTTCTTGACTACATCTTTATTCACTCATTTATTCAGCTGAATTCATTCATTCAACTCAGTTACTGTGCTACATACAGCCTACACAACATGTTAAGTTAAGACAGAGTTCTTAGGTTTAAGAAAAACCCTTGTATGGGATATAATTACATTAAGCAATTATAATCCAGCGGGTTAGTGGAATGACATAGATACAAACATGGCAGCAGAAGAAGGTGAATTTCACCTAGCTGGGAGTAGAGGAATTGATTGACAAGAAAAACTTCTAGAAGGAGTTAATGTTGAGCTGAGGTTTTAGTATTGAATTGACAGGCGAAGAGGTGGATAATGTAATCAGCAGTGCTACCAGACCATGTTCCTACATATAGTAGGTTCTTAACAAATATGCATAATCAAATTAAAATTGTTGCGTGAGTTTTCCTGTTTGTCATTCATATATTCTGCTGCCATGCAGACACAGTGAGAAGGACTTTAAAGCCATTGATCAGAAAAGACTTTATAAAAATGAAAAGTTTCATTTTTTTGAAATCTTCTGTCAAGCAGTCTCACAATTGCACATCATGTTTAATAGTTTGGCAAATATTATGGGCTTTGTAGCTTTTATTTTCTTTAAAACCTCTGTATTTTTTTAGAGATTGCTAGATAAATACATGATAACACTCCATGCAGAGTGCACAGAACAAAACATTCAAGGATAAATCCTAACAAGCTGAGGGGATAAAAGATTTTTAAAAAATCAACTTGCATTTCAGGTTTGTCTGGGCAAAAAAAAAAAGAATAAAAAGAATAGAAATGGCTTTTATTTAGTCCATTCAATAATTCAAATTACTAGAGAACAGTAGTGGTGTAGTCCCCAGGCAGAAAATTCTCCCATTTATTTTTAAAAATAATTTTTTATGCCAATGGTCTATTTCTACCACTTAATGAAAGCTGAAGATTGATGCTTCCCTAGTGAGCACAAAGAGCTGGCCAAATGTGACTGCAACACAGGTGACACATGTCGATACCTGTGGAATTATACAGCATAATAAAAATAGGCAGCCAGAGTTGGCGCTGGTGTTTTAACATTAAAAATATATTGTAAAGATATGAGAGAATGTCTGCTCCCAAAGATTTTTGTACCAGGAAAAGTACTGTAGATATTTCCAGTATAAATGTACTTATATTCTTTTTTAAAAATAATATTGGCAAAAGTGTCTATAATATTGAACGTATGCATAAGATTTTTACATGAAATTTATTTAAATAACTTTTTGTTAACATAGTATTAAAGAAAAGAACAGTACTTTCCATGGCATATGCCCACATTTGTGCTTTAATCATAGCAACCTCGTTTTCCAAAGGTTTATTTACATAAGTGCTTTCTTTGTAAATGTTACGTTAGAAAAAAATATACACATTCACGTAACCTTTTAAATCAACGACTGCTGGCAAAATGAATGGAGGAGACCAAAGAAATGTGCCAAAGTGGTTTGGAAATGTAGTTAGCCTTAGTACTGTTTATAAAATTTATTTTAACTTTGATGCCTGATTACATTGCAACACTTTTTCAAGAATCCATCTGGTGCTATAAGTATAGTGGGTAATCTGTGCTGAAAAGGGAATTTGGAAGGTGTTAAGTACATTGCCTCATGTGGATCTTTGACTAGGCTTTTCAGGCAGATGTACTTCTGAGTGATTAAAATCTGGTGAACCTGACCTTACCTCTTCATCTTGTGCACTGGAGGCCAGCTTTTCCAGAGTGGGCCTCCACACCAGGGCCTTTTTAGTGGATGTTAATGAGAACAAAGAAACCTCCTCCTAACATGGCGAAAGGTCTTGTCATCAGACAGACTATTTTTCACTTTCTAGATGCATTATTTAAAGGAGCTGATGAAATTGACCCATTGTTTTGATCTTGGATGAACAAAGTCTGCAAAGATAATGCTAGAAAAAAACAGCAGGAGCAGTCATAAGCTTCCTAATGAATAAGGGAAACTTTTAATTAGTCATTCAAATTATTTTTAAATTTATCAAACTCACTTTTATCATCCAGATGTCATATTTTCTCAATTCACTTGGTAAATCTTTTCTTCGGTTTGGCTTGTTAATATGGACTTAAATGTTGTAATTGAGTGATGAAAAACAGTTATTTTCACTACTTAAGTTCTGGATTATCTTTATAGATGCTTTACTTTAGAAATACAAATATGTTTAAAACTGGGAGAGATACCAGCAAAACCTATTTCAATCACTTTTCACGTTGACTTTCTGAGGGTAATTAAAGAAAATTCTTCCTCTATTATATTCTTTTTTTTTTTAACCCTCTGGGCCAAATTCTTTGTCTAGATTACACTACCATCTGTTTTCATTTGTTTGGTATTTAGTTACAATTGTTTCACAGGGTATATTTTTGAATAATAATTAATAGAAATAAATCAAACCTTTCAGAGAAATAATTCTCATATGTGGAATAGAAAAACCAGATGAATATATATCTGGAAATATCAAGTTAATTTTCAAAGTAAGGACTAGGGATTTTGCCTTGTGACCTTGATCAAGGTCGATAGGACTCATGTGGGTAAGTCTTGGCACAGTGCTCTGAAAATGCTATCTCCTACCAAAAGCTAAGGAAACTGGAACCAGGTAAAAGACATCAAGAAAACACAGGGGCATAAAAGGAAGAAAACCTAGTAACCCATATTTTGTAGAGCTAGAATAAGTTGTTGTGTTAAATCATTTAGTATTTTTGGCGTTATATTGGAGGTAAAATTTTATACTCCAAAGCAACCATGACTAATTCTTCTACCTGCTGTTCCCTGGGTTTCTATATTATTTCACTGCTGTTTTCTTTCCTTGGCTCTGCTGACGGCAGCTTTCCTCTCTTGGGAAAAAGTGATGAGGAGTCCAATTTTTCATTTTTCAATATGGTCTAAAAATTTCATCTGCATGCTGATCTCACTTTGAAACCGGTGGAGTCTCTGACCCTGGAAGAAGTATTTAACTAAATGAGAAACAGCTTGTGGGAAAATGACAGGGGAATCATTTTATCATGCTAATGTACATTTCAAATCCAAATGCAAAACATGATGGTCAATAGAGGCAAAATCATCTGACGAAGGCCATAATGCCAGGAAATATTATGTCAAAAACTCATTCAGTTCGTGGTAGCCAGTGTCTCAATTAGACATAGAGCGTAATAAAAAAAGCAAATGTTAATGTCATTAAATTAACGAAATTAATGTTGAGTTACTATTATTTAGCATAATTCAATACTTGTTTGAACTCTTAATGAACAGTTTAACAGGATCTATAATTTTTTATTGCCTATGGCTAGAAATAGCTTTGCAGATTTACAAATAGTACATCTTATTACATTATATTATAGAAGGTTATCTGTATTACTTATATGTTATTATAGAATGATAATTATTTGCAGGCATAGTCAGAAACATGGTCATCCCCTGAGAACATTATTTTCCTTACAGATCTGTCCAGTGGAAGGCTCACTCCCTAAAGTTTTTCACTTTTTTTGAAATAGGAAGTGTTGCCATTCTCCCAGACTTACATTTTACTTTACAATTTACAAAAGCTTTTACAACATGATTCTGAAACCATTTGCTACCCTTCCGTATCTTTTTTGTCATTTGCCTTTCATTAACATTGGTGTAAAGTAATTTACATAAATAAAAAATGTAAATTCTTTTTTACATTTCAGGGATTTATTGAGGACGTTGATTCCCATCTCAGTCTTTCTTATCTCTCCACCTTCTATTATCCTGTGTGATTTCACCACATAAATCTCCCCCAAATATTCAGACTTTTATCACTCCTTATTTACTCTATACCATGACTCATATCTCCATGAATTTTGCCCTCCCCTGAAATTGAGCATCCACACATTGGGATTAGAAAGCTTAAGCTCCATTACGTTTTTTTCTGAGTACAGCATCATTTCTTTTCAGACATGCCTGCACACCTATTCTTTGATCTTATTGAAACTTTCAGTCCCTTGACACCCAACTATTTCTTCTAGCCTCTGAATTTATTTTAGACATTCCTTCCTTTTCAAAACACATAGTTCATCACTTCAAGAGTCCTTTAGCTACCAGCCTCAATTCCTTTGTCTCCTTGCCTTTCTGTGTCCTTCCCTATAATCTTGCAAACTTTTAAAGCTTGTCTTCTTCTTCCTGTGTACAAGGACAATCACAATATTTAACAGCTACTCTCTCATTTATTTCAACAATTACGTCGATCCTTCCTTGAGCATATAAAGCACCTAAGTCTGCAAGCTCCCCTGCAGACTTAGACCACTACAATCTTGATTCCTATTTCAAAGAGACAAGTAGAAGCCACGAGGCAGGAACTTAAAGCACATTAAAAGCACACAGAAAAAAAAATACCACATGTTAAAACACATTGAAAACACACAGATAAATGCACAAGAAATAAAAAATGTATCTCAAGATTACACACTACATTATGTGTCATCAGTTTATCTTTATAATAACCTTGTGTGTGTCCATGTTTAAGCCTTAACTTGACCAGTGAAATTCAGGCTCAACAATATTGAGGGTTTTGTCTAATGTCACACTGCTAGTGGTAGAGATCAAGCCATTAATTCCACCATATTTTGTTAATTATCTTTTCACATGCAAATTTTCAAATGAAAAAGTATGCTCCTTATTCATTGTATTTATCACAACGCTTAGCCCAAAACCTTATAAATAATTATATATTCTATATATTTTACAACAAAGCAGTATATAAAAGCTATATACTTTATGGCAACAATATCCATTTCTTGACTAATCATGAAAATTCTAATCGGACACTATTGCCCTTAAAATAAAGTGAAGAAGTGACACTTATGGGATTGTCTGCCTTTATTCTTAATTTTTTCCTTCAGTTTGCAGTTATGTACAACTACAATCTTGCCATCCAGAAAGACTAAAGGGATAAAACAATGTCTACAGGAAAGATACACATGTGGAAATCATTAGAATCATGTGGAAATTATTTAAGATTTTGAGCTCAGGTAAGAGGCACATAGGTTATTTATTGTACGTTATTTATTTTACTCCTGCCTTTTAGACACAACTTGGTGTTGCTAGCAAATAAGCTGACTAATCTAAAATATGCAAATTCTATGGTGGAATCTGGGTTTTAACCATGACACAATGATCCGGTACTTTAAATGCTGCGCACATAACATATAATCATGCAAACTACACTAACAAAGTCCAACTCAAGGAAGTGTAACAGAAACCGCTTTCTAATGGCAGCCAATGAAGGTTGGCATGATGTTTTTAATGTTTAAAATGAGTAATGGTTTACATTACTGAACTGCAAAACTATACTGCTGACTCTTAATGACTTTCTTGACTGTTAAAAGATTTCCCTCACATTCTCCAAATGCCTGAAAATATAGAAAAAGAAAAATCTGAAATACTAAGATTATATTTATAAACTACACCTGGAGAAAATGTTTCCAGTGGTCCTAAAACCACTATGTTACGCAAATAAAACAATTTTACTTTAAAAAATCTCAGGCCAGGCATGGTGGCTTGGGCCTGTAATCCCAGCACTTTGAGAGGCCAAGGTGGGCAGATCAGAAGGTCAAGAGATTGAGACCATCCTGGCCAACATGGTGAAACCCTATCTCCATGAAAAATGCAAAAATTAACTGGGCATGGTGGCGCGTGTCTGTAGTCCCAGCTACTCGGGAAGCTGAGGCAAGAGAATCACTTGAACCCAGGATGCGGAGGTTGCAGTGAGCTGAGATTGCGCCACTGCACTCCAGCCTGATGACAAAAACAAAACAAAACAAAACAAACAAAAACAAAACAAAAACCTCAAGAAGAGAACTTATTTCATGAACCAAAGTATCTAAATGAAGATATAAAAAATACTGTAATTTTTTAAAGTTTCTCTTCCATTTCTAATAGATATTTGTCAATACATTAAATCAAAGATATTTTTTCAAATTACTTTTCTTACACAGTTGTGAAATTATTATTTGTAGATATTGCTTTTCAGTCCTATTGTGGATATTGCTTTTCCATGAAAAAACAATGCAATAACATTACTCTTGCCTGAAGTATTAACAGCTCAAAAGTAATTTTTCTGCTTTAATTTTTTTCTGCTAGTTTTTTGGATGTCATTGCTCTTCCATTCTCAAAGTGTCATGTCTGATTGAATGCATTTTGATAAACTCTTTTTGCCTATGTTAAGTGTGCATCTTTATTTTAGAGGCTAAATTACACCAAAAAGATTTAATACACATTTTAAATCCAGGACACTCTTAAGAGAAATACTTTGATGCCAAGATAGTAGTATTCTGATTGAAAATTGATACTTGTGTTATTTACTGAGCAAGAATTCAAGAACATTTTCTTTCATAAGGTAACGTAAAAAGAAAAGGAAACCACATTAGCAAAAGTGTGGCTGAATTTTAAAACCACCCTGTGCAGTGTGAATCAAGTTACTAATTGCCTAATATGATATAAAGTCTGATATGAGAAATGTTGGAAATCTCAACCATAAAACTGATGTCATTAAACCATCATAAGCAGAACACTGTGCATCTTTGTCCTATTAACATACATAATTAGAGTCCCTTTGTTCATTTCATGGAAATTATAATATTTTTCCAATTGCACCAGCCAGATCATTTGCATTCCTTTAACATTCTGTAGTATCAGCTCATCTAATGAGTATCAGCTCATTAGATGTATTAATAAAGAATTGTTAAATATGAGGTGACAAGAGGATCAACAAATGCAACAAATGACTGTATTTTGCTATCAGTAGGGGAAAACTCTTGAAGGTATTAGAAAGAACTAGGCCAGATGGTGAAGTGTTTTATCAGAGTTTAAATTACATTGAGGTAGTTTGATATATAGAGTAATACCTGCTAAAACGTTAGAAACAAAATCACAGTAAAATCACATCTAACTTCAGAAATATGTGCCTGTCCTAGGGTTGGGTATTGTTCCAAATGTATCCCTTTCTGCTGTGATAGTATTGGGAAAGATATAGGGGTTTACATGTAATCATTTTACTTTGAATTAGATTGATAGCTTGCTCCATCAGGATTGGCAGCAGCAGTAGCAGACTTTGCCAGTATTATATTCTAAGATTTAAAAAATGACTCTCTAGAGCGATTATGAGGCAGATACAAAATTATACATCTTAGAGTGAATGACTCCTCTGGAAATATCTTTTTGACTGGTACGCTCTTAGGGTCCATCTGACTTTCATCTGATAACTCTATTAATTGTTTATGTGAATCTTTTTCATCTAATAAGCAGATAGAAATTTCATTTTGAGAAAATCTCACCCACCTCAAAATCCTTACTCTTCATCCAATTATATTTTACTGAATTGAATTTCAAAGAGGAGTCTTGGATGCATCATAGTGAATATGCATAATATCAAGAAAAGGGATTTAATTTGGCAGAACAAGTAAAAAGTAAACACAGAGATTTTCAAATTGGTAAAATTTGCCTGGTATTGATTGATTTATTTTTTATGGTTAAATAGTACTCCACTGTGCACATATAATACATTTTCTGTATTCATTCTTCTGTTGATGGACACTTGGGTTGCCTCCAAATCTTAGCGATTATAAACAATGCTACAACAAACATGGGAATGCAGATATCTTTTTGATATACTAATTTTCTTTCTTTTGGATATACACCCACAGTGGGATTGCTGGATCATATGGTAGCTCAATTTTTAGTTTTTTGAGCAACCTCCAAACTATTCTCCACAGTGGTTGTACTAATTTACATTCCCACCAACAGTATACAAGAGTTCCCTTTTCTCCATATCCTTGCCAACATTTGTTTTTGTCTCTCTTTTGGATATAAACCATTTTAGCTGGGGTGAGATGTTATCTCATTTTAGCTTTCATTTGTGTTGTTCTGATGATTAATGATGTCGAGCACATTTTCATATGCCTGCTTGCCATTTATATGCTGTCTTTTCAGAAAAATCTAGCCAAGGTTAGCCCTTGGATGAAATGTTTTGTAAATATTTATTAGATCCATTTGTTCTATAGTACACATGAAGTCTAACTTTTCTTTGTTGATTTTCTGTATGGAAGATCTGTCCAATCCTGAAAGTGGCATGTTGAAGTCTCCAGTTATTATTGTATTGGGGCCTGTCTCTCTCTTTAGCTCTAACAATATTTCCTTTACATATCTGGGTGCTCTAATATATATATATGGGTGTATCTACATTTAAAATTGTTATATCCTCTTCCTGAATTGACCTCTTTATAATTATCAGTATAGAGTGACCTTCTTTGTCTCTTATAGTTTTTGTCTTAAAATCTATTCTGTCTGATATAAGTACAGCTTTTTTTTTGCTGTTTGTTTCCATTGGCATGGAATATCTTTTTCCATCCCTTTATTTTCAGTCTGTGTGTCTTTATAGGTGAAGTGGGTTTCTTGTAGGCAACAAATCCATAGGTCTTGTTGTTTTCATCCACTCAGCCAGTCTACGTCTTTTAATTGGAGAGTTTAGTCCATGTACATTCACCGTTGTTATTGAGAGGAAAATACTCCTGTTATTTTGTTATTTGTTTTCTGGTTGTCCTATAGTCTTTTCTTCATTCTTTGCTTTCTTCCCGTCTTCCTCTAGTGAAGGTGATTTTCTCTAGTTTTATGATTTAGTTTCTTGCTTTTTGTTTTTTGTATATCCATTGTATGTTTTTTTTGGTTTGATGGTATCATGAGGCTTGCAAATACTATCTTATAACTCATCATTTTAATCTGATAGCAACTTAACGCTATTTGCATAAACAAATAAATAAGCAAAAATAAAACTAATAAAAACTCTATGCCTTAACTTCGTCCCCCTGCTTTTTAACTTTTTGTTGTTTCTACTTATGTATTATTGTAATAACTAGGTCTTGAATAGTTGTTGTAGTTATTACTTTTGATTGGTTCATCATTTAGTCTTTCTACTTAAGAGTAGTTTACACATCACAGTTAAAGTGTTATAATATTCTGTGTTTCTCTGTGTACTTATGATTACTAGTGAGTTTTGTACCTTCAGGTGATTCTTTATTGTTCATCAATGTCCTTTTCTTTCTTGTAGCACAGGTCTAGTGTTAATGAAATCTCTCAGCTTTTGTTTGCCTGAGAAAGTCTTTACTTCTCTTTCATGTTTGAAGGAAATTTTTGCCAGATATACTATTCTAGGGTAAACCTTTTTTCCTCCAGCACTTTAAATATATCATGCCACTCTTTCCTGGCCTGTAACAATTTCTGCTTGGTTGTTTTTTTTTTCATGCTACAGTGAACACCTGGAGATACATTTTATTTTTTTTATTTTTATTTTTGACTTATAATGCCATAGGTTACTTTTATTCATGTTTGGGCCACATATAATTAGAATCATACATTATGTATTCTTCTGGGTATGGCTATCTTTTTTACTGTTTTTTATTATTACTTTATTTTATTTTTATTTTTATTTTATTTTCAGTTCCAGGATACATGTGCAGGATGTGCAGGTTTGCTACATAGGTAAACATGTGCCGTGGCGGTTTGCTGTACCTATTGAGGTTCTTTTTAAGTATTTCAATATCTTTGTTGAATTTATCTGATAGAATTTTTAATTTATGCTCTGTGTTGTTCTGAATTTCTTTGAATTTCCCCAACGCAGCTCTTTTTAATTCCTTGTCTGAATGGTCATATATCTCTGTTTCTCCAGGATTGGTCCCTGATGCCTTATTTAGTTCATTTGGTGAGGTCTTATTTTCCTGGATGATGTTGATGCTAGTAGACATTCTTCAGTGTCTGGGGATTAAAGAGTTAGGTATTGAGAAAAGAGGCAAGATTTCCAATTAGAAGTAGTCTATGGTGTGTGGCACTCATGGAGAGAAATAAAAGGGGTGAGTGAATATAACACCTTTAACTGAAATATTCATGTACTTGTGTTGGGAATAATCAGGAAAACAACTCGACCCATGGAGAATGAAGAAATGCAGGGCAGGGTGATGGCACACCTGGGAGCAACATGAAGCCAAGAGAACCCCCACCCCTAGACAAGGGAAGCAGTGGGTGAATGTGCGACCCCAGGAAACCACAGATTGGGAGATCCCCTCATAAGCCCACGCCACCAGGAACTTGGGTCCAACACACAGAGCTGTGTGAGACCCAGGAACTTTACATACTCTGGCCCTGAGATCCCCAACAGAGGTGACTAAAACTCAGGCAAGGTGGGAGGTCTGTACATATCCCTGGGAAGGTGGCTGAATCCAGGGGGCTGAGCAGTGTCTGTCTGCAGGCCCCACTTCCCCACTTCCAACTTCCTTGCAGGCCCCATGGAATGGGGCTTATCCACCTCTCAAGATAAGACCTGCTGGCTTAGAATTCTAGCCAGTCACTGGCAACAAGGCAGAGCCTACCTGAGATGGGATGGGGCCCCTGGGGAAAGGGGCAGGTTGCCAGCTTTGTTGTTTGGTTGACAGCCATTCCAGTCTATGGGCTTTGGAGCATCCAAACAGTGCAGATGAGGAAGGGTCCTCTCAGCACAGCACAGCTGCTTTGCCAGAACATAGCTAGACTGCTTCACTGAGCTGGATCTCAATTCATTTCTCACCAGGTGGGATCTCCCAGATGGGGCCTCCAGCTACCTCCACCCACCTGTGTTCTATGGACAGAGCTCTGATCTCTCCCTGGGATAGAGTGCCCAGGGGGAGGGGTGAGCTGCCATCTTGGCTGTTTGGATAACTCAGCCATTCCAGCTTGTGGTCTTTGGAGAGTCCAAGCTGTCCAGGGCAGCTTGGCGAAGCTTTCTATTCCACCATCTTGATCCCTGCCTGGTATTGATTTATGTCAAAATGTTTTTCTTCACATTTGTTTCTACTTCAGACACCTCAATGTTTCTTAGAGTGCCTGGTAAGCATTCTTTCCTCCTCAAAACCACCACTGGGGGTTAACATTATCAACGTTAATCCAGTATTTATTGGTACAGGAGCAAATTAATCTGATAATATATTTACACTGAATTATAAAGGACTGGATATGTTATACTTCCCAAAATTGTAATTAAAGAATAGATTTCCAAAAGTCCTAGAGAGAAGACTAATTAAAAGAAGAAAAACATTACTAACAGTGGAGGAATTCTGTGGACCTTGGGAGCCAAATAGCAGTCATTTAATTCCATTATGCAGTCAGCATTACTCTGCTTATGCATAAAATTTGTGTTAATATACCCTATCTTTTAAAAAGTTCAATTAGTACATATAGTTATTGGTATTTTTAGTAATAAAGCATAAACTTGAGTTTAAAGGTAATTATTGTATTGTCACATCATTATTTCTTCTGAATCTTTACAAATTAGTTTCCAGAATAATGAACTTTTTCTTTTCATGTATGTTCTTTTTCCTCCTATAATCCAAATGCAAATTTCTTTCTTTCTATTTATAAGCTGTAGTTAATTTCCTCATGGCATTGGGTAGGACACATAGTAATTTATCCTTGTATGGGGGAAAGTAAGGGAGGAGAAAAAGAGACACTGCTTGGTAATCCGGGGAATTCTGGATCCAAGACTACCAAGGTGTTACCTCTACAAGTCTGCAAGATTCATAGCATTACTGGGCTTGGGCTTCCTCCTAATGCAGACTCAGCGGCAGTGACCAAAGACTTAGATCACGACACTCAATTTTCATTGGCCTTCTCAAAAGGTCGGTCACAAACAAGCCCAGACTGTGAAGATTACAAAAAACACCTAACTCTTCAATGCCTAGATATTGATAAACATCCACAAGCATCAAGACCATTTAGGAAAACATGACCTCAACAAATAAGCTAATAAAAGCTCCAGCGACCAATTCTACAGTGACAGAGATATGTGACTTTTCATACAGATAATTAAAAATAGCTATTTTAAGGAAGCTCAACAAAATTCAAAATAACAGAGAAGGAATTCTGAATCCTATCAGATAAATTTAACAAACAAATTGAAATAATTTTTTGAAAATCAAGCAGAAATTCTAGAACTGAAAAATGGAACTGACATACTGAATAATGCATCAGAATCTCAACAGCAGAATCAATCAGCAGAAGAATTAGTGAGCTTGAAGACAGGCTATTTGAAAATACAAAGAGGAGACAAAAGAAAGAATAAAAAGAATGAAGCACACCAACTTGTCAATAAATGTGCAAAGTTATTTTATTTTAACATTCTTTTATTTCATATACATTTCTGGTTCTTTGATTTCTCCTTTGAACTGGTTGTGACATCTTAACAGTTTCCCTTATTCTGTTAATGAGTTAAATGCACTTTTGACGTGTATGCATTTGGTATTTGTATAATAGACATGCAGCGTTTTTTGTTTTGTTTTGTTTTGTTTTTGAGACGCAGTGTTACTCTGTTACCCAGGCTGGGATGCAGTGGCACAACCTCATCTCACTGCAACCTCTGCTTCCCATGCTCAAGTGATCCTCCCACCTCAGCCTCCAGAGTAGCTGGGACTACAGGTGTACGCAATCATGCCCAGCTAACTTTTGTGTATTTGTAGAGATGGGGTCTTGCCATGTTTCCCAGGCTGGTCTTGAACTCGTGAGCTCAAGCCATCTGCCCTCCTTGGCTTCCGTAAGTGCTGGGATTACAGGCGTAAGCAACTGTGCCTGGCCAGATATGCAGGTCTTTTAAGATTTGTCACTTAACATTGCAAAAGCACACAGAGCATCTTCTTGTGTAACAAATAGTAACAGTCTTATATTGGTTGGGCCACATTACAAAAGCAGGTATAAATTGAAGTAAATTATAGTAAATTATATTACTTGTAATAGATCTCTCTTCATATTTCTTGTCTTGTACTTCATAAGGTGAGTATTCCCTGGCTTTAAGAATAAAAACTAAATACTAAACCAAGAAGGAGTTTTTTTATAATTACCATTATATCTGATAAAGTAATGTGTTCTCACTGTATATTTTTATATGAAGAAATAAGATATTCAATTTAATTCAAATAAACTGAGTTCAATTCAAATCAACATACCTCTACAGGTGTTCTATAGTTGTTGCAAAGATGTTTTAAATTTTAAAAAATAAAATTATCCTTTTCATCCACATTAGGTATGTTTTGTGCAGTTTTTAGAAATTCTTATGAAAATTATTTCATAATTACAAGGTACTTTTCAGATTTGTATATAAGCAATAACCAGTAACCAATTACTAACATTTCTCCTGGGCAGTGTCTTCTTATAAAAAAGAAAATAGTTTTTTACCTCTGGTCTTACTCAGACATAGATATTTTTCAGCTATTTATGCCAGTCCCTTAGCCTTCATTAGCACCAAATTGTTATTCACAATGAAGAGAAAATATTTACCAATGGAAAACATGTTGACATAGTGAAATAATCCATTCTAGCTATTAAATTCTGGAAGATAAAACTAAATATACAGGTTTCTAACCTGAGGAGATATTTTCATGCTCAATTGCAACTGTTTGAAAATCTTTTAAGGAAGGAGGTACTTATATTTGTAATTACCTTGACTGAATATAAACAATACACAAATACTTCATTAGGCAATTTCTTATGACTTTTTTTTTTTTTAAAGAAAAGCATACGGTTTTGCATATCTAATGCTCTGGCACCTTGAAATGGAAGGCATCAAATATTAGTCACCTCTAGCTGCTATAATGAAATACCACATTAATTTCTTGTAAATAACAGAAATTTATTTTCTTGTCGTTCCGGAGGCTGGTTACAGGAGAAAGTTCTTCAGCGGTGTTTTGTGAGATTTGGTGCACCCATTACCCGAGAGTACACACTGCACCATATTTGTGGTCTTTTATCCCTCCCACTCTTTCCCCCAAGTCCCCGAAGTCCATTGTATCATTCTTTTTTTTTTTTTTTTTTTTTTTGAGACAGAGTCTCGCTCTGTCAGCAGGCTGGAGTGCAGTGGCGTGATCTCGGCTCATTGCAACCTCCACCTCCCAGGTTCAAGCGATTCTCCTGCCACAGCCTCCCGAGTAGCTGGGACTATAGGCGTGCGCCACCACGCCCAGATAATTTTTGTATTTTTACTAGAGACGGGGCATCACCATGTTGGCCAGGATGGTCTCGATTTCTTGACCTTGTGATCTGACCGCCTCGGCCTCTCAAAGTGTTGGGATTACAGGCGTGAGCCACCGCGCCCGGCCCATTGTACCATTCTTATGCCTTTGCGTCCTCATAGCTTAGCTCCCGTATATCAGTGAGAACATACTATGTTTGGTTTTCCATACCCGAGTTACTTCACTTAGAATAATAGTCTCCAATTTCATCCAGGTCAGTGCAAATGCGTTAATTCGTTCCTTTTATGGCTGAGTAGTATTCCATCATATATATATACTACAGTTTCTTTATCCACTCGTAAATTGATGGGCATTTGTGTTGGAACACTTCTCCACTGCTGGTGGGAATGTAAATTAGTGCAGCCACTATGGATAACAGTGTGGAGATTTGTTAAAGAACTAAAACTAGAACTACCATTTGATCCAGCAATCCCACTACTGGGTATCTACCCAGAAGAAAAGAAGTCATTATTTGAAAAAGATACTTGCACGGGCATGTTTATAGCAGCACAATTCACAATTGTAGTTGTATTTCTTTAAGCGTGTCTTTTCAATATCTCTCATGTTTCTGGTATAGATGGTATATATGTTAATCTTGTTCCTGAGGTCTGTTTTTTATTTTTGTCATTAAAGTGGGAATTAAATAGTTTTGTAGTGCATATAAATTAAAGAAAAAGTTCACATAAGCATATTTGCCAATCATCTCAAAATGCTATATTCTCCTTCACGGTTTTGAAAATAATTCAGGGTTTTCTCTTCCTCATTGCTTTCCCACCAACTGACAGTATTATTTTCTTAGTCATTTTACTGACCTTTGAAATTACTCCTTTGAGGTCTTCTAAAAAATTTTATGGGCTCTGCTGCTTTTTGGTGGCCTCCTTGTATCATTTATTCTATTACAGGACGACTTACAAAAGGAAGCACATAAATTGACCCATATACATATCCTATCATTGGGGAGTTTCTGTGCAAATGTTATTTATTGGAAGCTATTACTAAGAATTGTAAGAAAAATAATTGGTATTGATGCAGCTAGTATGGTTCCTGTAATTATCGTACTCAGCCACGTAAATCATAGCTATATGTAGCCAAAGATCCATGAACAAAATTTCCAGTAACATCATTATAATTCAAAAGGCAGACTTTCAGAACCAGACAGACTTGAATTTAAATTCTAGCTTTACCACACATGAATTTAACCTTGTGGAAGGTTAACCTATCTAAACTCATGTTTCTTCATTGGTAGCTGATAAAATTAAGGATCATGTATATAACCACCTAGTAGAGTTGTTTAAGAAACTGTTAGAATTCCATAAATTGTTAGTATTAATGAGTTTTTGTTGGACATGTGTTAGGCTAGGCCACTCCTTGACCTTCATAGAGGTATGGATTATGACACAAATTCTAAACTGTAGGTAGGCATGGCTTTGTAGCAAGTATTAAAATAGTAAATATTTTATTTTTATAAGATAAATGTAAACCTTTTAAAAGTTTCATTACATTTGTATTTATGAAATATCATCCTATATCAACTATAGAGAGAAGATCGCAAGAAGGCAGTGGCAGCAGAGGCTCCAGTTAGGAGGCTACTAGTCCAAATACATTGCGATAAAAACTTGGCAAAAGGTGCTGGTAGTCTGATGAAATAAAGTAGATAAATTTTAGAGGTATTTATAAAATAATTAAAGAATATTCAATAATAGGAGATATATTACCCAATAGAGTGGAGATTCAAAGATAACTCCGAAAGTTTTTTGCTAAAGCAACATTTGGCTGTGCTATCATTTACTAAGAAAGACAACAAGAGAGTAAAATCAAGTTTGAGGATGAAGTGAATTTATTCCTTTTTGATTGATACATAATTGACATGTAATAAAACCCACAATGTTAAGAGTTCGGTTTGATGTGCTTGACTATTTTAGGCACTGGTGTTATCACAACACAAGACAACAGATAGGACATTCTCAGAAAATTTTTTCATGTCCCTTTCCAGTCAGTTTCAAGCCTTCTTTCCATGCAATAATTTTCTCACTTTGCCATTCTAGTAGGTGTGAAAAGATAGCCCTTTTTTCTTTTTGTTTTAATTTGTAATTCCCTGATCACAAATGCTGTTGAGTGTCTTTTCACGTGCTATTTTCCATTTGAATATCCTATTTTGGGAATTGTCTATTGAAATAATTTATCTACTTAAACTTGAATTAATCATCTTATTGTTTGCTGTAGGAGTATTTATATATTCTAGATATAAATGTTTTGTCATATCTATTTCTTGCGAATATTTTTTCCAGTCTGTGGCTTATCCATTTTTAAAATGGAATCTTTGCATGAGCAGACATTCTTCAATTAAACAATTGCACTTATTTTAACCTTTGTGTTTTTTTGTCCGTTCTGATAAAAAAAACTTGCCTGTTCCAAGGTTATGAAGCATTATAGTATGAATTTTTTGGAAGTTTTATGGTTCTGGGTTTTTAAATTTAGGCCTATACTATGGTTTGAATGTGTTTCCTAAAGTTCATGTGTTGAAAACTTAATCCCCAATGCAGCGGTGTTTACATGTGGACCTTTAAGAAATGATTGGGTCATGAAGGCAGAGATGAATTAATGCTGTTATCATGGGAGTGAATTCCTGATAAAAGGATAAGTTTGGCTCCCTCTCCCAGCTTCTGCTTCTCTTGCATGCATGCACATGCCAGTGCTCTCTTGCCCTTTCACCTTCTGCCATGAGAAGATGCAACAATAGGGAGAAGGCTCTCATAAGATGGGAGCCCCTCAACGTTGGACTTCCCAGCCTCCAGAACCATAAGAAATACATTTATGTACTTTACAACTTGCCCAATGTCAGGTATTCCATAATATCAGCACAAAAAGAACCGATAGCCTATAATTTACTTCTAACTTACTGTTTTGTATAGTGTGAAATAGGAGTTTCATTTCATATTTTTCTTATGAATATTTTTAGTTGTTTCATCAACATCAGTCAAAAAGAAAAAGAAAACACCTTTTCTTACCCAATTTATTTAGCAATTGACTAGAAATGTGTGTCTATTTCTGGACTCTTTTTTCTGCTCATTGATTGCTTTGTCCATCTTATGCTAGTATCACACTGTCACAATTATTGTAGCTGTATTGTAAGTTTTGAAATCAATTTGTCTTACTCTAACTCTGTTCAATTTTTTTAAAGATGATTTTCGATATTCTAGGTCTTTGCTTTTCCATATGAACTTTATAATCTTTTTACCAATTTCTACTAGAAACCTACTTGAATTTTGTGAAAGATCATATTGAATCCATAGGACAATTTTGAAATTAACATCTAAAAATATTGAGCTTTCCAACTTATAATCATGGCAAATCTGTATCTTTATTTAAGTCTTAAATAATTTCCTTAGGCAATGTTATTTATTTTTTAATATAAAGGTTGTATATATATTTTGTTGCATTTAATTGTAATATTTAATTTTAATTTTTATTGTGACTTTCAGTGGTGTTTGTTATTAATGTAGATATAAGTACAATTTATTTTTATAGATTTATCTTGAATTCTGTGTTCTTCATCAATTCACTTGTTAATCTTAGTTATTTTTGTAGATGCTACATACTCTACATATACAATTTTATTATCTTCAAATAAATACATTTTTACTTATTTTCTGATATTTGTCTTTCCACTTATTTTTAAACATTTTAAATTTTTATTTCATTGGCTGGACATTCAGTACAATGCTGAATAGAAATAGTGAATGTAAATATTCTGGTCTTGTTTTCTATCTTAGAGGAAAGAGCTTACCATTTCATGATAAACTATAATGTTAACATTAGAATTTTCATAAATTCTCCTTATCGGATTAGAAGAGTTTACTCCTATTCTTAGTTTGATGAATTGTTGCTGTTTGTTAATAATGAATGGGTGTTGAATTCTGCCAAGTGCCTTTTCTGCCTTTCTTGAGATAGTTGGATGTCTTTCTTTTTTATTGTGTTAATATATTTTGGGGGATCTGAGGTTAAGTGAGGTCATAGAATGGGGCCCTAATCTGATAGGACTGAGGTACTTATGAGAAAGGGATATTAGAGCACTTTCTCTCTTCATGAGTATGCACAGACAAAAGGCCATGTGAAAACATGGCAAGCAGGTGCCTTTTGCTAGTTGAGGAGAGAGGCCTCCCTTCTGGCACCTTGATCTTGGATTTCTAACCTCCACATCTATAACAAGATGAGTTTCTGTTGATTAAGTCACCTTAGTCTATGATATTTTATGGTAGCCTGAGCAGACTAATACAAGCAGCAATAGTGTGAACACTGCAATGGGGATCATATTCTACCTCTCATTCCTAAAGTACATAAAATCTGAGAAAATTATTTCATTCATTCATTCATCAGCAAATATATATTATAAATCTACTATACCAAGGGCTAGGCCAGGATATATGTTGGTGGAACAAATCATATATAGATCCTGTTCTCATGGCTATAGTGAACTATATGGACATCAAACCAATGACATCAGCTATAAATTCACAATTACATATTATGTTGAATCCAATGAAGGGAAAGATCAGAGTATTCGGAGGAAAATTACTGAGTGGCTCTGCACATAGAAGGGGCTGTGCAGTGGGAAGGGAAGGGTACACAGATGGATGAGGAAAAGCCTCCAAGAGAAAGGAGCATTTCAAAAAGGGCTTGAAAATGAGTGGTAATTTGGGAAAGGTTCAGGGGATGAGCATTTTAAGCCAAGGAAAGAGCCTGAGGATGGAGTCAACTTTGTTACACTGAAGAAACAGAACAAGGACCCAAATGTGGGGAGTGCAGTGAATAAGAGTAGAAAGAGCTGTGAGATGATGCTGGAGAGAAGGGAGGACCCAGAGTGTGCAAGGCCAGGGGAGCCATACTTAGAGTATGATGTGTTCATACAGTGGGGAGACACTGCGGGATCTAAAGCAGGAAACTGCCTGTCTGATACAGGAATTAAGAAATTCATTTACTCTGTGAAATAAAGAATAATGTGTAATTATGCAAAAGAAAGCACACAATTATAGGAATGAGAAGAGAGAGAGAAAAAAATGACTAGAACAGCTCACAGGTTGGCAGAAATTAAGAATGAAAAAAATCCACGTCTTGTTCAACAAGAACGTTTACAACACTTGTCTTCCCCATCCCCCACCTAAAACATGGCTGGAGAAAAACACTACGTACTGATTAATATTTATATTTATGATTATAACCTCAAATAAGCCTGTAGAGCTTCCTGAAAACCCTAATCCATTTCCCTAGACCATTAATTTTTTTTCGCTATCCTGGATCAGAGATTAAACTATGGCCTGTGAGCCAAATCTAGCTCTCTGCTGTTTTTAAAAGTAAAATTATACTGAAATGCAGCCATACTCATTTGTTTATTTATTATCTATAGCTGCTTTTATACTATAACACAGAAGTCGAGTAGCTATGACAGAGACTACATCATTGACAATGCCTAAAATACTTAATATCTGGTCTTTGACGTAAGCTTGTTGATCTCTGTCTTAGATGGCTATTACATATGTCCTCTGCGTCTGAAACTGCAAGTCTCATTGGTCTCCATATTCTCATCTGATGACCTTGCCTTTTATTTCAAATGAGAGTAGATGAGAATATAGAAAAAATTTCACCTTATCCTAACACTAAGTATATTACCTTCTTAGATGTCTGCTGATACATTCTTTACCTCCTCACTTACCAAAGCAAAGATATTGCTTCAGTAATCTCTCTCAAAATTTTATTTTATATTGTATCGTTTCTAAATTCCTAAAATATGGCTCTCCTCTTTTATCCCAAATCTCCCTTCAGCCACTACCCAATTTCCCCCTTTTCTGCTGCTTTTTGAGCTTTGTCATTCTTGATAAGATTTTCTCAAAAGGGTTATATTTTCTCACGGTCTCCCTTTCTGCTTCTTCCATTCTGTAATAAAGCACTCTAATAAGAGTATTCTTGTCAAGGCCAGTAAAGATTTCCTTGTCACCCAGTTCCTTGGTCAATTCTCACTTGCCCTTTAAGAAGTATTTGACAATTCACCATTCCCTTTCCCTCGAAGCACTTTCTTTACTTAGCAACTCAGAGCCTTCTTGATCCTCAGAACCTTCTCTTACTTCACAGTCTTCTGATTTTCTGTGTCCCTTGACATTTTTTCTTTTTACTTCTGGTCTTGTAACATTGTTGTCCCAAGACTTAGTCCTCTCACCTCTGCTCTCTCTATTCACAATCTCCTTATCTTATCCAGTCTCTTGACATCAAATACCATCTGTGTTGATGATTCTCATATTTACTTCCTTGAATTCCATATTCTTATTTCTCTATTAGGCTGTGTAACACTGCAAATTAAATTTTTCCCCGAACAAATTCTGGATATCCTCCTAAAATGTAACATTCCTCATTTTAGTGACTGGACCCTCAATTATTATAGTTGCGAAGGCCAAAATCTCTGAACTTTTTTATGTTTGTTTATTTTTTGATTTGGGAGTTTTTGTTTTTTGTTTTTTTTCTTATATCTGAAACTCAATCCATCAGAAAATTCTGCCAAATTTCTCCAGTATATATCTTGTATTCAATCACTTCCTAATAAATCTGCTTCTATCATTTCATTCAAGCTAAAATTATTTTTTATCTGGATTTTTATAATATCCTTCTACGTGGTCTCTCTGCTACCTCTGTTCTCTCTATCCTCTGTTCTCCATACAGCTACCAAAGTTATGGCATTTAAATACTCAAAACTCTACAGGGGCTCCATGGGACACCCATATAGAAACCAAACCCTTACCTTGTGTAATACAGTCATGACAAGAAACAAATGGCATATTCAAATTGGCAATTTTTGGAAAGTTTAATCAAGAGTCTATTTACAAAGATATGGGCAAGGAAAAAGGGAAATTTCAAGGGATAGTGAGGATAATGCAGGACCATGGTATTAATGACAGCAGAGGCCAAAACCATCCCCAGGCCCTAAGGGGTGAGGGGAGGAAACTATTACCGGAACCCAGAGAAAGAGAGGGCCACTTGTCAGGAGCTGTGATCTTTAGTGAGAGGCAAAGCCAGCCTGTGGGAAACAGGCAGAGAGAATGCTAGGAGATTACATGTCTCGTCTTCACTCTCCTACCTCCCCCTAATCTCTTGTCCATGCTTATTGCCCAAACCCAATCAAAGCCAGCCTGTTGATGTGTTCCATGAATGAGCACAGATCAAGGTCTAGAAGAGTGGGGCATATATCTGGAAAAACAAGTGGAAGACATCCAGTTCACAGTGCCCTATAAAGCCATACAGGATTTGCTGTACTCCTTCAGCTGTTATACCCACCCATCTCCTTGCTCACACTCGCCTGCTTGCTTTTCCCATTTAGAAAGCATACTTCTACTTTGGACTCTGCTTTTCCTCCTTCCTCTGTCTGGCGCTCTTTTTCCTTCAATTATCTGTTTTAAGTCATTTTGCTAGATAAATTTTCTCTAACTCGTATAAAAACACAACTTATTCTCTCTATTGCCCTACTGAGATTGTTTTATAGCAGTTTACTTCCCAACATGGTATATACTTATTTGTTCTTTGCCCTCCTCACCCCAGCCCGCTGAAATGTAGTCATCTTGAAGAAATGACTACATCTGATTTGTTCATTATTGAATCCCTGGAAGCAGAAAAGTACTTGATATATGGTAAATAAAGTCAATTGTTATTATTCATGATAGTTATTTTCTATAAAATTCCTTGAACAGTGAATTAGTGAATACTGAGCCACTGTTCTTAGGAGAAATGCAGTATTATGTTCCTGACAGTCTGTGGTCACAATATTTTTGCCCATCATTCAACATATAATCTTGTTTTATGTATGTTTCTGTTTAAAGACACTTTAATATGTGTTTCTGACAAATAATTAATTACAGGCAGTATTTTTAAAAAATAATAAAACATCAAACAAGAAGAGTATAAAATTTTCCTGACACTGAGTAACATGACCATAAATTCCTTTGGCTTTCAGTCTTACAACAATGCTGTCCACTCTACCTTTTTCAATAGTTGTCATCTTATGTCATCATCCACAATTTAGCAGATTTTTCATCTTTTCCATAGGCTCATCATGCACATTAGAACTTTCCAGAGAAGCTTCATGTACATATTGGCAAATTTCCTTGTCCTTTTTTGAGACTTGATATACTGTTGATTTGCTAACATTGACTTCATGGCCAACAGCTCTACAACTCATGCGTGAATGACGCTTATCTATCACATATATTTTTGCCTTAAGGCACATCACAGCCCTCTGGTGCTTAGGAGCACTAAACAGCACTTCAACTTTATGCTTGGGGACCATCTAAACAATAAAATTATCACCAAAAAGCACAACATTGCAAAAAACCATGATAGTAAATAGACTGAAAAAAAAAGACATTTGTTTACACTATGAGAGCTGAAACAAGAAGGCAGAGTATTGTCTTGTTCAACTTCAGCTGGGAATGTGTACATCAAATTTTTTGCATATCCATGAATGATCACAAAAATGCCCTAAGTATTGATTTTGAAAGTAAAAATACATTTTAGTGAGTAGGCAAATTCACTAACATAGGACGTACAAATAACCAGGATTGACTGTACCAAAAATATTTGTTAAATTAAAGAATATTTAGCAAGTGTATGCTCAGCTCTTAAGATGTTCCCCTAAGACTTTTAATGTGCAAATTCAAATAGAATAGTTCTTGGCTTCTAATCAAGAAAAGCATAAATTCTAAGTGGAAAATTCTGAGTCATTCTCTGTATTCCTTAGAAAGTCTCAGTGATATCAATCCCCAGTTGGATGAAGCAGGACTACTTTGGTTACATATCCTTATTTTGCCTTTTATTCTTCTTCATTTCACTTTCCTTCTGCCTCACTCACGTTTCCTGGGCTAAGATATAGAGACTATAGGGAAACTGGAGCAAAAGATTAAAAATCAAAATGAAAAATAGATAATAGACATAAAGTTATAGATTATTCAGATATTGGCATTATCAGACATAGATTTCAAAATAATGATAATTAATATGTTCAAGAAGAATAGACAGAAAGAAGAATACTTTCACCAGAAAACAATAACCTATTAATAATAGATATCTTTGAAAAGAAAATACAATGAATGATTTTAACTCTTTAATAGATCAAATTAACCATATATTAGACTGAGGTAAAGTAATACCAACAGAAAATAGATAGATTGAAAAACAGAAAGAAAAAATAGAAAATTGAGAAATGAGAAGAGACAGATGGGGCATTGGGAAAATACTTACTTTACATATAATTGGAATCCTAGAAGGAGGGCAGAGAAAATTTGAAGAAAATCAAACACGGATTCAATATGCTTTATGAGCTCTGAGCAAGATAAATTTTTTAAAAATCACATGTAAGCACATGATAGGTAAATTGTTTAATACCAGGAACAAATAGAAAATCTTTAAGGTA
The DNA here is from genome assembly GCF_000001405.40 of Homo sapiens. Classification (NCBI taxonomy): domain Eukaryota; kingdom Metazoa; phylum Chordata; class Mammalia; order Primates; family Hominidae; genus Homo; species Homo sapiens. The sequence continues at coordinate 78,780,725 of NC_000001.11, forward strand.
GGCTAAGAAAGGGAGCAATAATAAGAGTTTAAGCTGACACTTAAACAGAAACAATAGAATCTAGAAGGCAATTAAGTGGCATTTACAAAATTCAGGATGAAAATAAAAATAGATGTCCATTTACAATTCTAAATCTAATGAAAATAGCCTTCCAAAATAAGACGTATTAGGAAGTAAATGATAATTTATCATTCCTGCCCAATCACACATACATACATTTATGTATGCAAGCACCAACATGTACACACACGAGAGAGATATATCATCATGCAAGTGGAAAATTATCCTAGAAGATGTAAGCACAATCATTCAAGAAGTTAAAAGCACTACAAACACTTTGGGAGGCCGAGGCGGGTGGATCACGAGGTCAGGAGATCAATACCATCCTGGCCAACAGGGTGAAACCCCGTCTCTACTAAAATACAAAAAAATTAGCCAGGCATGTTGGCGGGCGCCTGTAGTCCCAGCTACCAGGGAGGCTGAGGCAGGAGAACGGCGTGAAACCGGGGGGCGGAGCTTGCAGTGAGCGGAGACTGCCCCACTGCACTCCAGCCTGGGCGACAGAGAGAGACTACGTCTCAAAATAAAAAATAAAAAACAAAAAAGGCACTACGAAAGTAATTTGTGTTTAAATTTAAACAAATATTGACTATTTAAAACAATAATAAAATATGCTGTAGATTAATGTAATCAAAATATAAATTCATGACAATAACAACACAGAAGGTAGGAGGAAGCAAATGGGTTAAAAAACCTGTAAGGTCCTCCATTGTCTATGAAGTGAAAAATGTACTAATTTATGGTGAACTAAAAAAGTTTTGTGATGTATGTTTTAATTACAATATTATGCACTAAAAATAATAAACTAATTTATTATTAAAAGTAACTTTATAAAGATAAAAATAGAATAAACATATTAACTAACCTTCAATGAGGCAAAAATGAAGAAACAAGGGGAAATAAAAGAAGAAACACATACTTTGATACTAGTATTTTTAAAATCGAATATATGATAAATTAAATTAAATCTAAATGTAATAAATATTCCATTTCATAGACAAAAGTTATAAGAATGAAGAAAACAAACCAATTACATGATGCTTATAAAACACATTTGCTAAATTTAGGTGGTTGAAAATAAAAGAATGGAAGAAAACTTATCATGCAAATACTAACTGAAAGAGATCTGTTGTAGTTATGCTAATATAAACAAATACGCTTTAAAGTAACGTGTATTATCAAAGACAAAATGGGAATTATAATTTGATAAAGGGGTCAATTCAACAGAAAGTTATAGTAATTGTAAATCTGTACACATTTAATAATAGAACCTCAAAATGCATTAGTGAAAAACTGACAGAATTAAAGATAGGAATACATACATCTGCATTCATAAATGCAGATTTTACCACATCTCCATGAATAAACATTAGACCAAGAAAAAAGTAAGAATATAGGCAATGTGAACAATATAATTAAAAAACTTTATGTGTTTATGTGAAAAACACTCTACTCAAATACTGAAGAATAAATATTGTTTTCAGATGTCTATGAAACATTTGTAAATGAGAAAATAAGAAGACAAACTTTTTTAATTCTTTAAGTTTCAATGGGTTGAAGCCCCACTGAATATTCAGAATATTTCCCTGACAAAATAATCTCATTATAAATATTTAAAAAGATAATTAGACAATATCAGAATGAGAGCAATTAAAATATTTGCTTCTAAGTAAGCCATGGATTAAAGAAAAGAAAATAAATCACTATGGAAATTAGATGTTAGCTTGAGTTGAATCATCACAAAAACACAATATATCAAAACTGAGATGCCAGTAGAGTGGTGCTCAGAAAAAACCTTATATTTCTAAGTTTCCGTATTAGAAAACAAGGTAGATAGAAATCAGTGATCAGAGCATCCATCCCAATTTTTTCACATAACAAAAAAGCAAGCTAAATCCATATTAGGAAGGAAAGATAACATAGGAGACAAAGATACAACACGGAAATTCAAGAAATCTTAAATTTGGTTCTTTAAAATACTAATAACATTGATTAAACCCTTAGCAAGATTTGATGAAGGATAAAAAAAGAGTTATTGTACAAACTACCAATGTCATAAAAGAGTAAGTATCACTCTAGATTCAAAAGACATTAAAATATAAAATAACATTATGAGATATTAATGCCTTTAAATCTGAAAATTCATAAGAAGCCAACAAATTTCATGAAATAAAACTTTCCAAACATAATAAGAAACAGAAACTCTTAATATTTCTACATTAAAATTTGACTTTTATAGTTTAAGTCCTTCCAACAATGAAAACTCACTGTCCATCTGTCTTTGCCAATGAATGCTGTCAAACATTAGAGGAAGACATGAAACCAATCATGCTCAAATTCTTCCAGAGAATAGAAAAAGGGGGAACACTTTCCATTTCATTTTATGAGATAACTATAGTAATAGCACCAAATCTTACAAGAACATTGAAAGAAAAAACATCTCTCATAAGCGTTAATGCAAAAACTTCTAACAAAATATTAAGAAATTGAACATAGCAATATACAAAATGGATAAAACAGAAAGACAAGTTGGGTTTCTTCCAGGAAGCATAGTTTGATTTAAAGTTTGAAAATTAATATAGTCTATCTCATTTCAAGGACAAAGAAGGAAATATATTTGATTACCTAAGTAGATGCAGAAAACACATGCATATCTGATAACATTCACACCTACTCATGATTTTTCAAATTCTTAAAAACTTGAATATCTAAAGAAAATCCCTTATTCAGATCAGATAAAGCTGTATCAAACTTCATAGTTAATAATGAAATATTGAAAGCTTTCCCCCTGAGAATGGAAATGAGACAAAGACATGCTATTACTACTTGTACTCACTGTGCCCACTGCAATAAGGCAAAAAGAAAAAACAAGTATTTGGATTAGACAGGAAGACATCATATGATCATAACTTGCAGAAGAGATGATTGTGAACATGGAAAATATAAAAGAATATATAAATAAAGTATTGGCATAAACAATGAATTTAGTACAATTGCCAGATACAAAAGTCTGTATGCAAAAATTATTTATGAAGAAGGGACAAATATTCCATGAAGAATTCCAAATAAATTATGTAGATCCTTCACCTTAAATGTGGGCTGAGCATAGTGACTTCTTTCCAAAGAATTCAATATAGAAAGGGAGGAAAAGAGTAATATTATAGTGGGAAACGCTATTGCAATGGAAAAACCTGACAAACACTACTTCAGCCAGATAAGCAAAGTCCACATCAAAGGTCATAAATCATGTTGATACATAGACCCTTGATATGATGTGAGCAGAGCTTTCAATGAAAATTTTAAACAGATGGGATCCAAGATCCAGAAGTATTTCTTCGAAGATGTTAGCAGTAGATGGCACATGGCTTTACCAGTACAATCCTGAAGACAAAGCATAATCTGATAATGGCTATCAAAAAGTGGAAGTGCTCCAGTCAAAGCAAAAATGGACCAGTTAAGAGCGAAAGTCATGGTAACAGTTTTTTGGGGATGCTTGAGGCATTTTGCCTGTTGAACTTCTGAAGTGCCAAATAATAACAACATCTCCTTATTACAACATAATTTGAAGAAAGTTAGCCAAAGCTTTCAGAGAAAAACAGTCAGGAAACCACCACCAAAGAGTCCTTCTCTACCACAACAATACTTCTACTCATTCCTCTCATCAAACAAGGGTAATTTTACAAGAGTTTCTATGGGAAATTATTAAGCATCCACTTTATAGTCCTGATGTGCCTCCTTCTGACTTCTTTTGGTTTTCTAATCTTAAAAAAAAATCTTTAAAAGGTACCGATGTTTTTCTTCAGTTACTAAAGAGACCATACTCACATGGTCAAATTTCCAAGACCATTGCTTCTTTAGAGATGGACTTAATGGCTTGTATAATTGCTTTAAAAACTGTGATGGAGCTTATGTTGAGAAATAAAGTTTATATTTTTATTTTTATCTTTTAATTGAATTTTTCCATGAACTTTTTGAAGTGTCCTCATGCAAGCAAAATCAGTTAAAAGAGAAATAAAATAGTAACCTTTTTAAAGTATCAGAAAGGATATCCACAGATAAGTCTGATTAAAGATGTGTGTAAGTCCTCTATACAGAAATCTACGAAACATTACTGAGAGAAATTGAAAAAGACATAAATAAATGGAAAGGTGTATTTGGTGAATTTGAAGATACAATATCAAAAAAGTCAATTATCCACAAATTAATCAGTAGGTTCATTAGAATTGTATTCAAATCCTAGCAGACTTTTTGACACTGAGAAACTATATAAAACTTTCTCAATGTGCCGAGGTATAGAAAGCATACAGGCAATCTTCAGGAACAATGCTGGAGGACTTACAGTACCAGATACCATGACTTATGCAACATAGTAATTAAAAAACATTTTTTACAATAGCCAAATATTCATCATTAGTACCATGGATAAATGAATTCTCATATTCATGTAATTTAATGTTGTAGAATAGAAAAATGATCAAATTAATGCTACGTATGACAATCAGGTTAACCTCATAGCCATAATATTAGTGAAGGAAGCCAGACACAGAAGATTTCACACTATGTGATATCATTTATATAGACATCAAGAATGGTTAAAACTAATCTATGGTGATAGAAAATCAGGATATTGTTTACATTTGGGTGGGTAATTAATAAGATGTAGTGAGACACAGTGAGGCTTCCCATAGACACTTGTGCCTATTTCAATCTATAGTTTCATGCAGCTGTTAGAAGAAGCTTTAAGTAATGCAAACTGTTCTTTTCTGTCTTGATCTGGGTGGCAGTTAGAAGGCTGTGTTTAAGTGTTAACACCAACATGGCACATGTATACATTTGTAACAAACCTGCATGTTGTGCACATGTACCCTAAAACTTAAAGTATAATAATAAAAAAAAAGAAAAAAAATTCCACTTAAACACAACGGAAAGGAAAATATGAGCCAAAAATGTTATACACATCCAAATTACAAGGTGACATTTAAGTATAAGAGAAAGAAAAACCAGCTTGATATATAGATTATCTATCTATCTATCTACCTACTTATCTATCTATCTACCAATCTATCTACTAGATCTATACATCAAGCTGATTTTTCTTTCTCTCATACTTAAATATATATATAAAATTCAGCTGTGACCTTGAAGGAGAGGGAATTAAAAGAAACTACTTTGAAAAACTTTATGCTAATAAAAACTATTTAGTTGAGATAATGAATGGATAATTTTGAAGAAAATATAAATTGCTATTATTAATTGAAAACAAGATTAAAATTAAGCAATAGGTAACAATTAAAAAACTTGAAATTTGCTAAAGGACTAAAGCTCTACAAGTTACCTGTCACAGATATGTTCATGAGGAAATCCTCTTATACTTTTTAATATAAATTCCACATAACTAAAACAAAAGTTTCATGTTATTTTAAATTTAGCACAACACATAACAAACTATGGAAAAAATAGCACACAAAATAAGTGCAAGAATTAAAGCATTAAATAATTAAATGTCATAATGCACTGCTATAATTTAAATGAAAGCATTTATTGAAAAGTCAGAATCCAGACAAGTATCTGGAATGACTCCTATTAAATAACCTTGCTCTGGAATTACTAACCAATAAAACTGTAAAGAGAAGCAAAATGGAGAACAGATATTAGAAAGTAGAATAAACATTTATCAATATTTTAAGATCATAAATTATATTCCTAGAAAAAATATTGGAAATGGTAAGAAATCCAGTAAAATGGTCGAAAAATTTTTTAAAATGATTTCTGAATAAGCAGTAACCAGTAAAAAGTATAAAGATATATGGTAGAAGAAATAAAGAACTATTAAAAATAACATATCCAAAAATAAACTCACTAAGAAATGTGCAGAATCCATATGAAGACAACTTTAAAAAATACATTTTAAAATGTGTTCCTTTTATCCAGCAATTTTATTAACAAAAATAGACTCATTATGTATGCAAATATGTCTTTTCATCCACAGACTTACACACAACCACAAATACACATATAAAAACACAAAAGCATACACTCTCAAAGCTATGTTATCCTGATTGTGCTAGCCAAGAAAATAAAATAAAAAATAGGAGGAAACCCAAATGCCAATCAGCAGGAAATTTGACTTGGAGTTCACATTCAGAGTCAGTGCTTTGTGATGGGAAAAACAATAAAAACAATAGTACTTACTATGTAAAGCTGTAATGGAGAATAAATGAATAAAGGTAGGTAAAGCATTTAGTACAATGCTTGGCACAAAGAAAGGACTTTTTTGGTTTTGTTTTGTTTTTTTTTTGAGAAAGAGTCTCACTGTCTTGCCCAGGCTGGAGTTCAGTGGTGCAATCTCGGCTCACTATAACCTTCGCCTCCTGGGTTCAAGCGATTCTCCTGCCTCAGCCTCCCGAGTAGCTGGGACTACAGGTGTGCACCACCACACCCAGCTAATTTTTGTATTTTGAGTAGAGACGAGGTTTACCATGTTGGCCAGGATGGTCTCGATCTCTTGACCTTGTGATCCACCCACCTCAGCCTCCCAAAGTGCTACGATTACAGGCATGAGCCATGGCCCCTGGCTGAAAGAACTTTTTAATAATAATAATAATTAAAGGAATGGAACACATTACACCTGTGAATGCTGAGATGAAATCTCTCTGAGAAATGTTAGTAGGTATATGAAAAAGCAAGGAACAGAACAATGTATAAGTGTGAGCCACTTCATAAAATTTGTTACATGACACATGTAAATATTTAAAAATATTTTTAAAAAACTAAATGACAAATTTCTAGACTACTTTATGGTATTATAAGCAGCAGAATAAATTATCATATACATTTGTGAGAAAACTGGTGGATGCTCTAAGTAGCTGATGGTGGAATTTCAGCAGAAAGATTGATGGGAAAATAATCTAATTTACATGTATTGTGGCTATGACTAATATTTACATTCAGAATACTGAAAAATACCGTCTATTCAGCATTACTTCATCTCAACCTATCACTTAACCACAATTGATGCTGCTATCATGAAGTAGTAGATTTAGTAACTAATATTTTTAAGGGGGATACTGTCAGGAAAAAGATAGTTTTAGGAAGTGATTTTAAAAATTAGAGGTTTGATAATGATACAATGGTATTGCCATGATTTTCGTTGAGAATCCCAGGTGAATATCCACCATATGGCTACAAATCTAAACCGTTTTGGCTCCAGTAAGTGAAAAGACTTGAAATGGTCTTTGAGGTTCTAATGGACTAGTTTGATTAGGAGCTCACTGAAAAATTTATTATGGTGGTGTAAGAGAATAAGAAAGAAAAACAATCTAAACAAAGAACATTAACTCCAGAGGGAGTTTCTAAAGACTTTATCCTGGCCTGAGCCATGACCTATTTCATCAGCCATATGGCTGATATAGACATATTGAACCACTCAACACTGGACATTTTCCTTCATATATTTTTTGAAGGATCTATCCTTGTAGATATATATCTATATACAAATATAGGTTCAGATATAGATATAAAATATATTCTTTCATAAAGCACTGTGACTCTGCAATCTTCCATATTCCCAAAAGTTAAGTAGTGCTGCTTTTACAATGAAGAGATTGAAGGGGCTATGTTCATATGCTTCTCCACAGTACAGAATTTAGAGTGAAGACATATTCTTATAAATGATGGGAAATGCCAATGCTAGAATGCAATAAGATTGTAATATTTTTGCTGAATATATAGGTAGTATAAATCCCTGAAATGCATAAAAAGAAAACTACATGAATCATGTTAAATATCAAGAAACACTGAACTCTTTGCTTTTGCATTTGTTTCTGCTTATGAAATAAGTTGATTAAATAATCTAAAGTTATATGGTTTTGGTACAATTGAATTGATCTTGGAATAAACTGCTGTGCATTCAAAATTATGCTCTATTGTCTCCCTGAGCACAAAGCAGAAGAAATCCCTCAAGCCCAAGGTTAGCTTGAGCTGAGAATTGTCTGGCTACAGTGTGAAATGGAATTTAGGCTTCTGCATTAAAAAAAAAAAAGACTTAGTTACATTCTGCATGAGTAAGCAAAACATATGATGAAACTTAATTATTTGTCCAAAGCTTGAAAACGTTATCAAAGAAGGTAATTCCAGCTTTCAAATTGGATATATTTTCTTACCTTAATAAAACTTGGTTTCAGATCTGTGCCAGTGACTTCTACTTTACTTTTTGTTTACATCCCAGGTCTTCTAAGTACTGTTGTGGAAATACACTAGAAATGTACTTTCATATTTAGAATCATAAGTCACCCTTTCTGGAAGTTAGGTTCTGAAAAATAAAATACAAGTCCAGAATTACAAGCATGTTCACTTCTACTTAATGATATATGAGAAATATTAATAGCTTAAAATAATGGATGTGCTTTTGTTTCCCTGAAGAACACATGCAAATGTGAAAGCCATACTTATATTGAACTCCTACATACTTTACCCTCTGTGTTAAATTAAATCATGAAAACACTATATATCATACATACTAATATAATAAGATCCAATAATTTATTGAGATAGAAATAGTACCTACTCTAATAAAATCATTGAGTCCATGAACATCCTGGAAGGTAGAAAATATTTCAATTAAATGAGATTAAAAAGAATCATTTATTTTCTCCACTGTATTATAATATTATTCATTTTTTGTATTTCATCTATTTTGTCAATTTTGTCTTCCTTTAATTGATATTTTTCATTTTAAAAGCACATCAAAATAGTTTTTTATTTCATTATTATTAATACACTGAAGAATTTCCTAAAGATCCATTAGATTTTCATATGAGATGCTGAAACTTTTATGTTTATAAATATTCCAAAAACCAATAGTCTGTCTAATGTGTTGTCCACCATGCACTCTTCAGAAAACTGGTCAAAACAAATTTAGAGTTACTCACAAACTCAAGGGGAAAAAAAAAAAGAACTAAAATATACCACCTTATTTTAATGTGATGCTTATTGTGAATAGTCTAAGTTCATTTTAGAAATAAATATTTAGCCAAATGTTTTGGGACTTAATTGTAATAAATATACACATTTTTAGAGTCAATTTAGATCCATAATTACAGGGAGGGCAGATACCACTTTGCTTTCATCAAAGTCTTTGCTCCATTTTTCTGAATATTAAATTTATCTATAATATTTGTATTTTTAACAAATTTCCAGTCATGGTCATATGATATTATAATTATTAGTATATTTAGATAGCTCAAAAATAAGAAAATCATACTCCTATTCCAGTAGTCATTTTTATGCAAATTTAGATTGTTTAGTAATCTAACAAATGATTACAAAATCTAGATGTCATTGAATTATCAACAAAATTTGTTTATGTAATTTTCATCCTACAAACATATTTGATTCTCAGAGAATACTGGGGGTGAATTAGGTAATAAACAAACACAACAGCAGACGTAAACTACGTGCTCTCAGCCAAGTGCTGCGGCCAGAATTCATCTGCTTTTTCTCATTCATTACTCTCAAGAACACAGTGACACAGACATTACTACTATCCTCAATGCACAGATGTAGAAACTGGGGCACATAAACAATTAAGAAACATGATTGAGTTTATAGAAACATGATTGAGTTTACTCAGCTAGCAAATGATGAAGCAATAAAAATGAAAGCTATGATTCCTGTCTCCATCTGAAAGATAAAACTAAAGTGCAAGAGGCAAGTTGCTTGGGGAAATTCTCCCTACTGCATGTAGTCAGTAGGTCAGAAACAAGAATCTAGGTGTCCTATTCCAAGTCTTAGACTTTTTCTATTACTCTGAACAGTTTGGGCTAAACTAAATGCTATATTCTGAATTATTTTGTAAATTACATTTAAATTGCATAGGAAATTACAATTCATATTGACATAAATTAAGATATGAATCTCTGTTATTCATTCTCTATTCATTTACATGAAAATGTATAGTGGCCATAAATCAGACTTTTTATCCTCTAGTAAATTAAAACTACCATTTAAGGGGTATTTAACCTCCAAAGGCTTTGCTTATATTATCTCATTCAATGATGATTAAAAACTCTACGAAGAAGATACAATTACTTCATTTTACATTAGAAAATGTAACCACAAATTTTAAAAAACTAAAGGTCAAATGACCAATAAGTTTTAGAAGCATAATTGAAATACACAATTTTTCTAATTGAAAAGCAACTTCACTTAACAACTATTCTATGAAGGCTCTAAAGTATACCACAAAACTACAGGATGTAAAATAACTTTAAATGAAAAGTAACAACTTTTAATTTTTAAAAATCTTAGGTCCAAGGGGTACACGTACAGATTTGTTACATAGGTATATTGTATAATCTTAGGGTTTGGGCTCCTATGGAACCCACCACCCAAATAGTGAACACAGTAGCCAAGGTAGTTTTCCAGCCCTTGTCCCTCTCCCTCCCTCACTTCTCTTGGAGTCACAGGTGTCTGTCATTATCATCTTTATGTGTTCATGTGTATCTGCTGTTGAGTTGAAACCAAAATCTGGCAAAGGCACACCAAAGAAAAAGAAAACCATGAGCCAGTATACCTGATGAATACAGATGTGAAAATCCTCAACAAAACACTAGCAAACTAAATCCAACAGCACATCCAAAAGATAATTCATTACTGTCAAGTGGGCTGTATTCCTCACATGCAAGGATGGTTCAATATATGCAAATCAGTAAATATAATTGACTACATAAACAGAATTTGTAACTAAAACCATATAATTATCTCAATAGACGCAGAAAAAGCATTAGATAAAATCCAGCATCGCTTCATGACGAAAATCTTCAATAAACTAGGCATAGAAGAAACATATCTCAAAATAATGAGAGCCATCTATGACAAAAGCATAGTCAACATCACACTGAATGGGCAAAAATTGGAAGCATCCCCTGTAAGAACGCAAAGACACAAAGATGTCCACTCTCACCACTCCTATTCGATATAGTACTGGAAGTCCTAGCCAGAGCAATCAGGCAAGAGAAGAAATAAAAGTCACCCAAATAGGAAAAGAGGAGATCAAATTATATTTACTGACCATAAGATTCTATACCTAGAAAACCCTAATGATTCCTCCAAATGACTGCTAGATCTGATAAACAACTTTAGTAAAGTTTCATGATACGAAATCTATGTACAAAAATCAGTAGCATTTCTATACACCAATAATGTTAACTGAACAAATCAAGAATGCAATCCAACTTACAACAGCCAAATATACAAAACAAAATACCTAGGAATACATTTAACGAAAAAGGCGAAAGATTTCTGCAAGGAAAATTACAAAACACTGGTGAAAGAAATAAGAGAAGACATAAATAAGTGGAAAAACAATCACTGTTTGTGGATTGGAAGGATCAATATTGCTAAAATGACCATAGTGCCCAAAGCAATCTACATATCAATGGTATTCCTATAAAATTACCATAATCTTTCACAGAATTAGGATAGAGAATTCTATAATTCATATAGAACCAAAAAAGGGCCTGAATAATGAAGCAATCCTAAGCAGAAAGAACAAAGCCAGAGGCACCGCACTATCTAACTTGAGACTATACTACAAAGATATAGCAACCAAAACATCATGATATTGGTGCAAAAACAGACACATAGATCAATGGAACAGAATAGAGAACTCAGAAATAAACTGACACACGTACCACTAAGTGACTTTCAAAAAAAGCTGACAAAAATAAGCACTAGGGAAAAGATACCCTATTTGATAAATGGTGCTGGGAAAGCTAGCTAGCCATATGCAGGGAATGACACTGGACTCTTACTTCTCGCCATATGCAAAAATTAACTCAAGATGGATTAAAGACTTAAATGTAAAACCTTAAACTATTAAAACCCTAGAAGAAAACCTAGGAAAAATTCTTCTAGACATTGCCCTCCCAAGCATGGGAGAAAATATTTGCAATCTATGCCTCCAACAAAGGACTAAGATCCAGAATCTATAGAGAACTTAAATAAACAAGAAAAAACAAATAACCCCATTAAAAAGTGGGCAAAGGGGATGAACAGACACTTTTAAAAGAAAACACACAAGAGGCCCACAAACACATGAAACAGTGCTCGACATCACTCATCACAGAGAAATGCAAATTAAAATTCCAATGAGATACCATCTCAGACCAGTCAAAGTGGCTATTAGTAAAAAGTCAAAAAATAACAGATGTTGGTGGGATGTGGAGAAAGTGGAACACATACACTGTTGGTTGGAATGTAAATTAGTTCAGCTCCTGTGGAAAATAGTATGGAGATTTTTCAAAGAACTAAATATAGAACTACTATTCAATCTAGCAATCCTATCACTGGGTGTCTACCAAAAGGAAAATAAATCATTTTATCAAAAAGACACCTGAACTCATATTTATCACAGCACTATTCATGACAGAAAAGTCATGAAATCAACCTAAGTGCTCATCAGCAGTAGATTAGATAAAGGAATTTTGCTACATACACACCATGGAATATTGCACAGCCATGAAAAGGAATAAAATCATGTCCTTTGCAGCAACATGGATGTAGCAAAGGCTGTTATCCTCTTAGATTTTAAAATTATTTGCTTTTAAAATGTGTAATAGCCAATAACATATAAGAAATGTTGGCCATTTTAGTTTTGAAACTAGTGTACATTGTGTCATTTTGTTCCATTTTTATGAGACAAATGAATTTTCAAACACAAGCTTACCCTAAGAAGTCTAAGCTCATTTATATTCCATTTGTCTTCATTACTTAATTCAAGCTCCCATATTCCAATTGTCAAAGGACTGGCACTTGGGACATTGAGTTTCCCACACTTATGATTGCCCATTTGAAAGGTCCTTGAGTAGAAAGAAATGAGAAATGCATTTTTAGTTTAGATTCACATTTCTATATGCTTTTTTTGGTTTATATTTATAGAACTACATTTAAAATAAATGAGGTAAAGTTTTTAATATAATAAAAATGTTACTAAGAAAATCAGAAGAAAAATGGTTATCCTTCTAGCCAGTGATATCAATGGACCCCCAAGATCTTCCCATATGAAGAAGTGACTACACAGTCAGATGTGTTATTTTCAAGGATGATAGCAGCATAAACAACCTTATTGAATGAGTGACAATATTAACATTGTCTGCCAGTCCCAGTGCTAAATATTAACCTTATCATAAGCCTATGTAAGAGGTACTCTTTAAAGCTTTATTTTACAGAAGCTAATGAAGCCATGAATGTTCATTAACTTGCCTAAAATCACATAGCCAGTAAGAAGCAGAGTATGAGAAGTAACAGAAAATATGTATAAGCGTTACCTTATCCATAAGACTGTGTTTAAAAACACTCCAGTGTAAATATTCACAGGTAGCTATAAGAGTGAAGATTTACACATATTTTACTCTAAGTTTCAGACAAGAGAGCATGGTAAACTCTCAGTTAGTATGTTGAATAAGTTTTTAATGCAATTTTTTTTAACAGGTACTGAGAGTTACCTACCAACATTATTCTCATTAAGCTCTTATTTTCCATTTCTATAAGTTTGAAACTCTATTTTTTCCACTAAATAATTGATATATTACACAGATATACAAAGTATGAATTAAGCTAAATTAACTTTGTTTATTGCCTCCTATCTTCTTGAGAACTAGTAAGGAAGAAAATGGAGGATTCTCAGCTAAAAAAGGGAGTTAAAGGTTATAGCTGCTCATCACTCCAGGTAGGGTTTAGTGAAGAGTGGATATGGTCACTGTGACAACTGATGAGTCCTTAAAAAAATAAAAAACCTGGACCCAGCATTTCCTAATCAGAAGAAGATCAGAACCTCCATCAGTTCATCTCATCAGCTGCCATGGCAACAGCCAGGGCAGATTTGAAGGACTCAGGGACACACGCGCTCATCCTGCTGTCTTCTCCAGTCCTGGAGATGGTTCTTGGTTCTCTCATTTTATAGGCCAGCTATGTGTACACCAAAAAGTGACTGAGGCAGGTCTCAATCAAGATTTATTTAGTAAATCAAGGTTTATTAAATTGAACAAGTCGAGGTTTATTTAGCCAAGGTTGAGGACATGCCCTGGAAAAAAAGATACAAGTCACAGGAACATCTATGACCTGTGTTTTTCCCAAAGGCGGTTTCGGGAACTTCAGTGTTAAAAGGAGAAAGAGAATGCAGGAGAGAAAAAAAGAAAGGGAGGGAGGGTAGGCAGTGAGGCAGATGATTACATTCTTGTGAGGCTCTGATTAACTTCAAAAAATCTACATTTTACATACAATAAAGAGGGAATAGAGAAAATGAGACTACAACACAGGGTTGTGAAATTACAACTATATATTTGGGAACAAAAAGAACAGTTTTTGTGTGACTCAGTTCCCAAGGTTAACTGTCCTTTTGACATAGTGAGTTTGGGTCCTGAGTTCAATTTTCTTTGACACTTAGGCATGTGGCCAGGTGACAGCACTTATACTGCTTAATCCGTGAAGAGTGACCAAGTGGAAGTAAACCATCATCATTTGAAAATATCTCGCCTGAAAGCCAATTGCACTTTTATTTTATTTATTTATGTATTTATTTTTGAAACAGAATCTTGCTTGTCACACAGGCTGTAGTGCAGTGATCAATCTGGGCTCACTGCAACGTCTGCCTCACAGTTCTCATGCCTCAGCCTCCCTAGTGCTGGGGCCACAGGTATATGCCTGGCTAATTTTTGTATTTTTAGTAGAGATGGATTTCGCCATGTTGGCCAGGCTGGTCTCAAACTCCTGGCCTCAAGTGATTTGCCTGCCTTGGCCTCCCAAAGTGCTGGGATTACAGGCATGAGCCACCGTGCCTGGCCTGCCCTTTTATCTCAAACAGCATTTGTACCTAAATGGAAATTCTTGTGAGACAGTAATTTTATATAATCCAGGTTAATAGCTAAGATCTATTGTTGGAGACCATTTTGTGATCAAAAAGAGAAAGTCTCATATCAAAGCGATGCTTCTTTGATTCTATATTCAACACATGTTTTATTTGCCACCTCAGATTTTCTTGGATTCACCAGTCTAGTGTTCCATCTGGCTGTAAAAAGTTCAACTTGGCAATGCCTCACTTCAGTTTTTGCTGAGTGCCTCTCACCTCCTGTCCTATGGCTTTCCTGTTGACACCAAGGCATGAGGTGCTACAAAACTTTACTGGATTTCCACATGTGAGCAATTTTGTGAGAATGTAATGATCTTGATTCTTCCTAGAGAAAAGGGGGTACGAGTTTCACAGGTCACAGAGTTCTCTTCAATGTGGAAGTTAACCACACTCTGAAAAAACTTAAGGCAAGAGGGTTAATAAAATGTGCTGTAAGCCCCACTGTTGCCACTGGCCTTGAGGCTCTAATTATAGTCACAATCTCTCCTCTCCCTTTCATTTTAGATTTCCCACTCTTTCAGCCAAGCTGGTCTTGCATACCTGCCTAATAGGATAATACAGACACTTATCCCAGAGGTAAAAGTAAAAGTCTCTTATTTACATTGCCCTTGTTGGACCATGGTTTCTGCAGTTGCCCATTTGTCATTATTACTGGGGACAAAAGCACCAAGAATTCCATGTTTCCAGATATGCACACCCTACCCATTGTATAGCAGTGGCCCAAACTTTTGATTACTTGAACCAGTATTTATTTTTCTGCCCACTTGACTGCGTACATGAAGAGCTCAAAGCGGCCAAATTCTGATAGGTGTGCAATTATATTTCACTGTGGTTTTAATATGCATTTTCTTAATGAGTAGTAATATTGGATATTATTATTGTTGTTATTATTTTTGAGACAGAGTCTCACTCTTTTACCCCAGGCTGGAGTGCATCTCGGCTCACTGCAACCTCCGCCTCCTGGACTCAAGTGATTCTCCTGCCTCAGCCTCCCAAGTAGCTGGGATTACAGGAACCCACCACCATGCCTGGCTAATTTTTTGTATTTTTTATAGAGACGGTGTTTTACCACATTGGCCAGGCTGGTCACAAACTCCTGACCTCAGGTGATCCACCCGCCTCGGCCTCCCAAAGTGCTGGGATTAGAGGAGTGAGCCAGGGCACCCGGCCAATATTGAATATTATTTAATGCTTAATGTCATGTGTTTATTTGCCATCTATATGTCCTATTTGATTAAATGTTTGTTATGCTTTCTGTACATTTTCTAATTCAATTGCTCTTCTTTTCCTTTTAGTATGACCCAAGTATCAGTGAACGTCTTGTGATCCTTCCTGTAATATAGCAAGACAGGCAGTTTCAGAAAGAACTAGCACAACAGTTTTTCTTCCACCTCCCTAACGTGTGGGAGGCTCCCTGTCTAGTAGGAGGCTTCCACAAGGAAGTTCCTAATTCACCTCCCTAATTGTGTATAGGATTTCCCACCTCACCCCTACCCACACAACTTATGATACAGGTGAAGGATATAAAACCATGACTTACTGTATCCTAGAGATGGTTTCTCCACAGCAGAGCAATGCCTTAACTGTGCTATCACCTGGCCCATCAGGTTCTTTGTCATTCTATAGGATTAGGGTCATAGGGAGCTGACACCGTGCTGATCTTGCTTTTGCTTTACTTTGTGTAAGTAGTAAACTGTCTAAATTCATTTAGATTCATTGTCTTTTACTAACTGAACCTACGGAAATGTGGCAAGCCAGTCCAGGAGTTACCACCATGCTGCTACTCACAATTGCTTGACCACTTGACAGTATTCATTAACCTTTTACCCAAATACCATTTTGCTTACCTATACTCACAGTAGCTTATGTCCCTGACAATAAACTTTGCTTTTGCAAATCTCTGTTCTACACTGAAACTAGAATGGCTTTTCTAAAATGCAAATCTGATATTGCCTCCACACTTAACATCTTTCAGTTGAAGATAGTAAAGATTTTCGTTTTACCACAGTTTCATTGACTTCCATGATTTGACTATTGACCACCTGTGACACCTCTTTTTTTTTTTTTTTTTTTTTGAGAAGGAGTCTCACTCTGTTGCCCAGGCTGGAGTGCAATGGCACAATTTCGGTTCACTGCAACCTCCGCCTCCCGGGTTCAAGAAATTCTCCTGACTCAGCCTACTGAATAGCTGTAATTACAGGCATGTGCCACCACACTTGGCTAATTTTTATATTTTTAGTAGACACGGGGTTTCGTCATGTTGGCCAGGCTGATCTTGAACTCCTAACCTTAGGTGATCTGCCTGTCTTGGCCTCCCAAAGTGCTAGGATTACAGGCATGAGCCACTGCGCCCTGCCAACACCTCATTTCTTGCCACTCTCCATCTTATACTGTAAGTTCTAGTGGAATTAAATATATTCTTCATTTTTGAGGCAAGACACAAATGCCAAGTTTTAGATACTGAAAATGTTTAATCCTTAACAATCCTGAGTACAAAATATGGCAGCAAGATATGAGGCTGTGTAAGAAAGCAAAGCAATGTTGGATTCATTTAGAATACTGTGGTCTTGCCTTAATCCTCTTTGACTTAATGAGCTGGGTGTGTATCTCTAAAATATATCCAGCAACCCATGATTGGCATGCACAAATACCACATTTACCCTATAGAATGAGTGACAGAAGACTCCACGTCCAGAGCCACATCCTAGTCCCTTTTTCTTATGTTTCCAGGGAAAAAATGACTTGTTAATTTCTTCATATACATATATATATGTTAATTTCTTCATATATATATATATAAAACCTCAGGGGTGAGTAAAACCTGGAGCTTGTTCTGAAATATTTTCAATTGAGCAGTATATGCAACATTATGGACATGGCTGTAGGATTAATTAGGGCCTGTTTGATCTAACCGTTTGCTGCAGTGTTTGAAAAGCCAACAAATGACTCTTGTTGGCATGTGTCAGCATAACACACTAGACTGCAAAATTGGTGTCTTTTTCATCTTTGACATTATACACTCTGCCCTTCTTACTTTCTTCAAATTCTGAGAAACTAAGCAAGACTTTGTAAATATTTTCCAAATATTTGTTTTCAATATAAGATATCTAAAGACAAAACCAAAAATGGGATTTTCAATGAATTTTCCCCTCAAATAAAATGTTCCTTTTTGGAAACATTATAGAATAATGTTCCATAAAAGTACAAAACATCTTGAAGAGAGATGTTCAGAGGTTAAGGTGTTATTTTAACACTTGCGAGTGAAAATATGATACTCCTCCTTAGTGATAAGGAAAGCTGACACTTGTGAATCACCCATTTTAATACATTAATGTGCATCTGATGCTTGGCAACATTGCAGAAAAAATAAGAGTGAACAGAGCATAAATGTGTAAGAATGAATGCAGGATGCTTTAAATTGCAAAGTCCCCTAGATATGAAATGAAAATGCATTTTAATTATCACTTTAGAAATACTGCTTTCACACTGGTGTCATTTCTTGCAAACATATTCTCTTCAGGTAACAGAGTCACATTAATGGCTGTTGAAATTCAGCAGATATTCCTGGTACTTCTCTGACTCCATTCATGATACTGAATTATGGCTTAGTGATACCACTTTCATGTGTTGTTTAGGAACAAAGATGGGATTAGGAAAATTGCTTCCAAGCCACCATAGCAAATTTTCACCAAAACGATCAAGCAGACAGCTATGGCAAATGACATTGCCTTTTACTTTGACATCTGAATACCATATCATTAGAATGGAAAGGACTTCATGTCACATCCCCAAATATATGTTCCATTTTAGAATCCTTTGTTGCTGAGTTATATTTCCTAATATTAGTGTATTCTGTGTCTCTGTACTATTACTTAAAAAGCATCGGCACTTTTAAAAAAGTATAGATTCAGGTGGTATATGTGCAGGTTTGTTACACCAGTGTATTGCATAATAAAAATCAGCACTTTTAACATGGTCTCTTTTTCTTTCAGTATTTGGTGACATTAGTACACAGTCAAAAACATTTTCATGAAGTGGCTAGTATATAGATTGTCACAGTATGGGGATGAAGGTGACATACAATTTTAATTACAACTAATTCTGTGTATTCTCTGTAGATTCCATATATTTTTTCCAAATCCTCCAAAGCACTCATCAATGTAAATTGCAGCTAAATTTTTAAGTGAGGGCTTACACTTTAAAGAAATAATTACATGACCATGATGCAGCACAGTCCAATTCAGTATAAATTGTAGCACTAATTACATGCATGTATTTTACTCACTTATCGTTTGAGAAAATATTTTTGGAAAAGTGTATTGGTAATCATCAAGTCAGAACCCAAAGAGCAACAGTATTCATCTGGCTTGGGGTTTGTGTTTTAACATAAATGCCTTGTCTACAGTGAATGTTCCTGATTGCAATCTGCCATGAGGTTCATCAGCTGTTCTCTTGGCTGCTTCTCTCAGAGTACCCTGGTAAACCATTACACTTCAGTTTCATAGTAAAGGTAATTTTGTCTTGTGGGGAAGTTTTTAATGTCAAAAGGCCAAAATATAGCCTACAATAAAATTAATCATATTCATGTTCTACAGAATTTTCTCTTGTAACATAACAATATTGTGTAATTCCTTTGCTATTATGAAAATATGAGACTATAGCAGTCTTTATTTCTCTCTCAGTCATTTTGCATTAAGATTTTGACATGAGAAAGTAGGAGATTGGGATGTTAGCTCTGACTTTGTCATCTTGTAATGATGTTATCTTGGTTAAATCATATTAATGCTTACAGACTGCTTTTTCCATATATAATATGAAGTAGTTGGACAAGACCACCAATAAGATTTATTTAGTCCTCAAATATTCTAATATAGAGAACTTGCTTATATAGGAGATTTTAAAAAAGTTAAACCACAAAATTTGGTATTGCTTATCTTGTGATTTGAAAGTAAGGTCATTAAAATTTTTTGTTGGTATATTGAAATCAGGGTTACTTCCTTAAAATTTAATTACAGTAATCTATACACTATGTTTCAATTAAACAATGATAAAACATTACTTCTATGGAAGTATGTTTTGAAGAGAAATACACTTTTTTCTGATAGGTTTAATATAGCACAAGATTTACCTTTTTGGATGGTAACTGTATATTATTTTTCTACCTAGAATTGACATTTTGTAGAACACAATAACATCGGGAAATCATGACAATACATAAGTCAGCAGCTGGATATGTCAATAGATTTCACGTGTATAGAGTGTGATGCCCATTTTTTTCATCTCCATGTCACTGTGACACATGGTCAGGATGACATTGGGTCAGAAGAGAGATAAGCATTTTAACACCCAAAGGACTCTTGGTCCTAAATCAAATCTCTTTTGATTTATCTAGTTATTGTTTGTTTATCTAGTTATTGTTTGATTTTGTTTACTTTTTATTTCAAATATTATCCAGTGGAGCAATGATTCAATGACATCAACTTTCTGTATGACAGAGTAATCAGCTTCTGTCTTTATCCGTGTTGAGTTAGAGTCAGGCAGAATTTCTCTTTGGATCTACAGGAGATTTTGTCCACTTATGTTTAGTCTTAGAAAAGGAGCATTCTTAACCACAAAAGAAACTTACGTAATCCTCTAACATAGAGTTCTGCTCATTTATTAACAGATTTTCTACACATTAGCTTATCTCAATAGTAAGTCTAAAAGTTTTTCAGAGAAAGATAGTAGAAAAGGAGAATATTAATTTGTTTTCCATGATCATTTATTATTGGTGATTTAGTAGACACATACCACAACTTAAATCAAGAAAACTAGTTTACTTGCCATAGCTTCAAATTATCCTGAAATTATATATATGTGCATATGTGTATATACATATATGCAATAACTAGTACATAATATTTATAATGAGTATTAATCATTGAAAGATAGGAGATAATTTTCTAGTTACTGAACCTCAGAAGAAATAATATTTAAAAAGGTCCAAACTTAAATGACTTTCGAAATAAGATTATGCTAGGATAATAGCTTATCAGATCACATGCATCTTAATTCTAAATGAGCATATGGGATTGAAGGTAGAATTGAAAAAAAAAGCAGGGGTTGCAATCCTAGTCTCTGATAAAACAGACTTTTGGCTGGGGGCAGTGGCTCACGCCTGTAATCCCAGCACTTTGGGAGGCTGAGGCGGGCGGATCACGAGGTCAGGATATCGAGACCTTCCTGGTTAACACGGTGAAACCCGGTCTCTACTGAAAGTACAAAAAATTAGCCGGGCGTGGTGGCGGGCACCTGTAGTCCCAGCTACTCCGGAGGCTGAGGCAGGAGAATGGCGTGAACCCGGGGGGCGGGGCTTGCAGTGAGCGGAGATCGCACCACTGCACTCCAGCCTGGGCAACGGTGCAAGACTCCGTCTCAAACAAAACAAAACAAAACAAAACAAAACAAAACAAAACAAAACAAAAAACAATTATGTCGGAAGGGTTCCATGTTGATTAAGAAAAAAACAACTTTTTACCACATCTATTTTCAATAATAGAGGTTCAAGAAGCTAACACTGAAAATCAAATCATTGATACATGTTAAACACAAACATAGTTTACACTCTGCCAAAAAAAAATTTGGTTTGCTTTTAAATGGTTCTGCTAGCTTTATGTTTCACTAGATTTCAAAACACTCTTTAGTATAAGATTGCCTGTAATTCTTTTATATTTGTGGTAAAAAAAATAACATTGGTCAGCTGCTCTTCGGAACAATTCCATAGACTGCTATTAGAGATATATACTTGGAAACAATTGTGCTTAGTCTTGGCAATTATCATTGATATACAATGTTATCACTGAGCTCAATTGTCCTGGATGCTCTTTTCAATCATGAATAGAAAACATAGATAATTCTTGAGAACTGATGAGACAAAAATAGAAACTTTTTGCTTCTATCTTTATCTCATCAATTATCAAGAATTATCTATCTTTTCTATTCATGATTGAAATGACATTATGATAAGTTAAAATTTCCAGTATAAAACAGTTGGTGATAACTTATCTTCATGTAAGTTATTGACTGTAGAAACTGATTATCTGGGTCCACAAAACAAAGATACTATAAAGTGAAGAATCTAGAAAAAAAAAAAGGTAACAATGGTACAGTAGACTGGGAAGACAATGAGGTTTTCAATGAAGAAATGCTTAAGTAAGTTTGTTTACCTTCATCTATAGTAGTAGAACTAAGTAGAAAGAAAGAAGATAACAGTCATGTGCATACTTTCACTAAAATAGGTTGAGATGTCATGATAATTTTTATATGACGGGGTAGACAGAGTAATATTTTAACTAAGAAAATTTAATTAATTTAAATTCAAAATGAATACACCTCAAATACAGAATTCATCACCTTATAGTTTAGGACCACAATAAATGTTACTCTTCAACATATTATAGAAATGCTTTCAACATTATCAGACAAAACACTGCATTTTATACAAGTATCTTGGAAATCACAGACAATATAATCTACCTATAAAAAATTTGAATACAATCAATATGATACCTTGCATTCCTAAATGATGAAGGCAGGAGTAATAGTGAAAAACAATTTCTGTAATTCAGGTAAGATGTAATGAGAATCAATCAAAGCTAATGTCACTGGGGTAGGTTTTGTGAAGAGATAAATAAGGCGATCTGGTGGAATAATGAGGAATTCATGTTTCAGCTTGGAATGGTGTAAGTGTGTTGATAATTGAGATAGCAACTTCAGTGAAGAAAGATATGCTGGAGAAAATTCATTAGAGAATATTTTGGACTAATTGAAGTATATATTGGCATTTTGGTAGAGATGCACAGAAAACAGGATAGAAATGCAGAATTAGGTGACATCCTGATAGAGCTCATGGTGAATCATATTACTTAATTAAAGAGGAAGACAAAAAGTGGGCCAAGGTGAAAACTCAGGGAAAGCCCATATTTAAGAATTAAAATAAGTAAGAAGGACAAGTGAT
This sequence comes from Homo sapiens, assembly GCF_000001405.40. Classification (NCBI taxonomy): domain Eukaryota; kingdom Metazoa; phylum Chordata; class Mammalia; order Primates; family Hominidae; genus Homo; species Homo sapiens. The sequence goes on from NC_000001.11 coordinate 78,803,689, forward strand.
AAATATTCAAAGAAAGGAGTCAGAGAAAGGAAGATAATAAGGAGAATACAGTATCTCATATGCCTTGAAAGGGAGTATTTCAAAAGGAAGGGTGAAATAAAGAATATCAAATGTTTCATAAAGAATGGGTGAAAAGAAAATTAAGAATCTGAATATTTTGTCACGTAATTTTCAAAGAAAAGTATGAGTAAAAGATAAATTACAGTATTTTTGGCTTGAAATGTACAAAGAAATCACAGGAACCATAACATTTTTTTAAACGCAGGATCAGAATAATGAGATACAACAAAATGAACACGGATTTAAGGAATTAAAAAAGTACCCTATGCAAAATGGTAGTCCAAAAGATATTTTATTCTCATATCTCACAGGGGTTTTAGCCAGAATAATTTAGTCTTTGGGGTCTTTAGAATGTAATAACTTGACCCTCATTTTTGTCTGTTATTACCTACAGTGAGAAGACCAAAGGGACCAATTTATTAACCAAAAGTACAGAGCCACCCATTAAAGCTGGATTGAAGATAATAGCATGGACTTTCCCTCTGTTTTCACTAGCTTAATCTGAAGCAGAATAACAAGATAATCTCAGCTCTTTCTTGCAGGGCAGAAAACCATGCTCCAATGAACTTTTCCATGTGGAAAAAGAAACCTTAAGGAAAATGAACTTGATCATCAAGCAAGTAAGGCCAAAGTGGAAGAAAGTAAGGTACTGTACTCCAACTCATCAAATAAAGAATTCACATTTGTGGGTGAATAGGGATGGGAAGAGAAAGATGTTTATGGCTCTTAAATTCTCTTCTACCATTCAGATTTATGCTTAAATAGCAAATCATGGGTGATCAATTCTCTGCAAAGGTGTTTTTCAGTGGTTTATCAGGTGAATCCTTTTCTAACTTTCATGAATTATAGTTCAATTCCCAAAATCTGCTTTTTGGTGCATACTCTTAGGGCCAGAAATTATCAATTAAGCTTCTCCATAGGCAGGCTCTGAAATAGGGTTAGAGTAATATATTGATTAATTTCAGACCACACTGTCCCTTTGGCCAAAATGTAACACTTTTCTTTCAAATCAGATTATCCCGGTTATATTGTCTAATGTAACACCAGAGATTAGGAAATAAACCCAAATAACAGCATCAAAATACTCTAAATAGTACACTGTTCTATTAAAACGTGCTAAATTTGAACAATATAAATTATTTGTGCTCAATTTCCAGGAAGAAATTAGATTCCAAAAAACCTAATTTTGAAATTAAATTTCAAAGGAATTAAAGTCCAAACATGTGCTTTCCCCAATTTTTCAATCAGTTTAGTCTCAGCCAAAGGCATCTTGCGCGGATGCTTGGTGAGATACGGGGATCCTGCAGTGTCTGTATGGCCTGGTCTATCTTCCACTTAAAGGACTGACATTTCTTCAGCATCTCAATAGTTGAATTAATTCAATACCGAGTATTGAGGGGAGTTGAGTTACAGAGAAAATATTAAAAAATTTTTTTTTCCGGATTTAACCAGGATGCCAGTCATCCTATGCTACTTGTTTAGAGTCTATGATCTGTGAAATTGAATTCAGCTTGGTAAACTAAACACCCAGAAGTTGAGGCTGTGTATTTACCATATTTAGAGGCGGGCATGAGTTTACCATATGCATGTTCTGTGTCCTCCCACAGAAAAGGTGTTTGAAACATCCCTACCTTTTAGCATATTTGAGTATGTGCAGGAGTAGTCACTTTTTATTTTTAAAATGTTTTCTCATCATTACTGAGGATGATTGACAGATAAAAATTGTATATGTTCAAAGTATGCAACAGGATTATTTGATGTATGTGTACACTGTGAATGATTACCACATTCTAATTGTCACATATATCAACACATATAGTTACCATTTGTGTGTCTATCTGTATGTCTGTGATGAAGACACTTAAGATTTACTCTCTTAGCAAATTTCAAATGAACAATACAATCTTATTAATGGTAGTAACCACAAGATAACCTTTTAAAAACTTTTTTTCGGAGTATAGCATGCATTCAGAAAAGTGCAAAATCTTAATTGTAGAGTTTAATACATTTTTACCAAGTGAAGCTACTTTGTAGCCACTACCCAGATTGAGATACAGAATATATGAATACCACAGAAGCCCCACTCAGATGAAAATTTATTAGTTTAATAATCTATTTTGCTTATGAAAAATAATACTGAATATATTTTCATCTTTTAGTCATTTGTGTATCTTTGTTCCTGTTCAAGTTTTTTTTCCTATGTATTAAATTGTAGTAAAACACTTAGGATGAGATCTACTGTTAACACATTTTTAAGTGCATCATACAGCACTGTTTAATACAGGCACTATGTTGTAAAACAGATCTCCAGAAGTTATTCTTCTTACATTATTGAAATTTTACACTCATTGAACAGTTCTCCATTACCTCTCTCCACCAGCCTCTGGCAACCACTTCTGTTTCTATGAGTTTGACTATTTTAGGTACCCCATAAAAGTGGAAATATGTAACATTTGTCTGTCTGTGATTTGTTTATTTCACTTAGCATAATGTCTTCCAGATTTATTAAAGTTGCATTTGGAAGGATTTATTTCTTTTTAAGGCTATATAATGTTCCATTGTATGTCTATACCACATTTTCTTTATCCGTTCATCTGTCAGTTATGATTTGGATTGTATTCCTATCTTGGCTGTTGTGAAGAATGCTACAAGGAACATGGGAGTGAAGATTTCTTTTTGAGATCTTGATTTCAATTCTTTTGGATATGTATCCAGCAGTGGAATCTCTGGATCATATGTAATTCTATTTTTATTTTTTTAAGAAACCTCCATACTATTTTCCATAGAGTAGTACCATTTTACATTGTTACCAACAGTGTATAAGAGTTTCAATTTATTGACATCACATTATATGTGTACACATATATACAGTATCTTCACTTTATGGTGTTTCCTGATGAACGTATGGTGTTGATTTTAATGAAGTCCAATATATCAATCTTTTATAGTTAGTGGTTTTTTAACATAGTGCTTTTTATATACTTTTGCATACCCCAACATCACGAAGATGGTCTTCTGTGTAATCTTAATCTTGAAGTTAGTTTTATTATTATCCGAACTTCTACATTTAAGTCCATGATCCATATAGAACTTGATTTTTGTGTCTGGTGGGAGGAAAAAGCCGAGATTTTTTCTTTTTCTGTGTAACTCTTCAATTGATACATTGTGATTCATTGAAAAGGCCATCTTCTCCATTATGTGGCATTGACTAGTGTCATAAATCAGGTTATCAGCATGTTCTCACTTACAAGTAGGCGTTAAATAATGTGTACATATGGACATAGCATGTGGAATGATAGACAATGAAGACTCAGAAGGGTGAGGAGGCAGGAGGGGGGTGGATGATGAGAGATTGCTTAATGGATACAATATACGTTATTTCAGTGATGGATACTCCAAAAGCCTTTACATCACCACTGTGCAATCTATACATGTAACAAAATTACACTTGTACTCCATAAATTTATACAAATAAAAAATAAATAAGATGATTAGAAACATATGGGTCTGTTTCTGGATGTTTTATCCTGTTTCTTTGATCTATTTGTCTATCCTTGTGTAATACTACAGATACAACAGATTTAATTCATACACACACAGACAAACATATACATACATTCATTTCATGAATGAATTTTTGAATGTTATGAAACAATTTTTTCTGCATCTATTGAAATTATGCTTTTTCTCTTTCCTTACTCTATTACTGGGATGAATTGCATTTATTGATCTCCAACTGTTATACTAAACTCGAATCCCTAAATAAACCCAAATTGCAATGGTGTGTTGTTGTTGGATTTTTAAAAACATCTACATTCATTAGTGAAATTAGACCATACATTTCCTTTCTTATAATATTATTCTAAAGTTTGGAATCAAGGTCATGCTGACTTTATATATTAGGGAGTATTTCCTTCTTTTTCATACTGTGAAACATTTGTGTAACATTGGAATAATTTCTGTCTTGAATACTTGAATAGTAGCTGTAAATACAACTTCACGATGCATTATTCACATTTAATTCTGCGGATGTTTCCTCCAGGGATATTCACTTGGTAAGCATTGCAATTGGCATTACTAATGTTAATTTTTACTTTCTCTACTTTTTGATCAGTCTTTCTTTTATCTATTTTATCTCTATTTAAATAACTGATTTCTGACTTGGTTCATTTTCTCCAGGTTACATTTGTTTTCTATTGTATTCATTGCTGCTCTTACCTATAATATTTCCTTCATCTACTATATTTGGGTTTAAGTTGCTATACTTTTTCCAGGTGCTGGTATAGATACTTAGGTAACTGAATTTTAACCTTTCTTCTTTTGTAATGTATGCTTTTAAGGTTAAAAGTTTTCCTCTGATCACTACTGTGGCCAGAAAGGTAAGGTTTGATGTATTATATTTTCCTGATCATTCAATTCTAAATATTTTATAATTTTTATTGGGATTTCTTCTTTGGTCAATGGGTTATTGAGAAGTTTATTAAGAGAAAAAAGCAAGTGTTGAGCAATGTGTATACTATGATCTGGTTTTAAAGAATTTACATAGGTGTATAAGTATGCATGCATTTAAATGAAAAAGAAGGAAGGTGGGTGTGGAAGGGTTCAAATCATCCATTTGTTATAACAATATTAGCAAAATGGGTTATATGAATGTAATGCAAAAATGAGGAAGATGGTTGGGATTGGGAGATGTTAATTTTTTTAAAGCATATTGTTTCAGTGTTTCAAAGTCAAAGCCACTGCATATGCAACTCCAATATGCCAATTTCAATGTTTATCAGGTGAATATCCCTTTGAGGAAAAATCCACAAAATAAAATGTGAATAATGCATCTTGAAGTTGTATTTATCAGTGGCTCCGGTTACAATAAATAGGAATTATTTTTGTAAAATAGAAATACATAATTTAAAATTTCAAATGAGAATAAAAAGCCTATACATTGAAACTCCCTATTTTGCAGTGACAAGTTTTTTGTTCTAGCAAAATGCTTAGCCTCTCAATATGTGACAGTAAGCCCTCAGAATGTCAACTTGCCTGCCCGTTCAGAAATAACTGAAGATGGCTGTTCTAACGCGGACATACATTTCTTTCTCTCTCTCTTAATTCTCTGTTCCTATAATTTGAGGTCCTTGACAAGCACTAAAGTGAATCTCCTCTTTTGTAAATACTGCCCAGGCTTACATCTGAGGAAACTAATAATATTTGATATCTTACAGAGGTCAGAGTTTGGTTACAGGAGAGAAAGCTTTAGTCTTAGTCACACTAGGAGTTCTGACCTCTCAGCCTGGTATATGGGTCCTGAAAGACCAATCTGGGGTTTAATATAAAGACTTGGGGCCTTCTAGATATACAATCATGTCATCTGCAAACAGGGACAATTTGACTTCCTCTTTTCCTAATTGAATACCCTTTATTTCCTTCCCCTGCCTGATTGCCCTGGCCAGAACTTCCAACACTATGTTGAATAGGAGTGGTGAGAGAGGGCATCCCTGTCTTGTGACAGTTTTCAAAGGGAATGCTTTCAGTTTTTGCCCATTCAGTATGATGTTGGTTGTGGGTTTGTCATAGATAGCTCTTATTATTTTGAGGTATGTCCCATCAATACCTAATTTATTGAGAGTTTTCAGCATGAAGGGCTGTTGAATTTTGTCAAAGGCATCTATTTGTCTGCATCTGTTTGTCTGCACCTATTGAGATAATCATATGGTTTTTGTCGTTGGTTTTGTTTATATGCTGGATTATGTTTATTGATTTGCATATGTTGAACTAGCTTTGCATCCCAGGGATGAAGCCCACTTGATCATGGTGGATAAGCTTTTTGATGTGCTGCTGGATTCGGTTTGCCAGTATTTTATTGAGGATTTTTGCATCAATGTTCATCAGGGATATTGGTCTAAAATTCTCTTTTTTTGTTGTATCTCTGACAAGTTTTGGTATCAGGATGATGCTGGCCTCATAAAATGAGTTAGGGAGATTCCCTCTTTTTCTATTGATTGGAATAATTTCAGAAGGAATGGTACCAGATCCTCCTTGTACCTCTGGTAGAATTCGGCTGTGAATCCATCTGGTCCTGGACTTTTTTTGGTTGGTCAACCATCTGATCTTTGACAAACCTGACAAAAACAAGAAATGGGGAAAGGATTCCCTATTTAATAAATGGTGCTGGGAAAACTGGTTAGCCATAGGCAGAAAGCTGAAACTGGATCCCTTCCTTACACCTTATACAAAAATTAATTCAAGATGGATTAAAGACTTACATGTTAGAACTAAAACCATAAAAACCCTAGAAGAAAACCTAGGCAATACCGTTCAGGACATAGGCATGGGCAAGGACTTCATGTCTAAAACACCAAAAGCAATGGCAACAAAAGACAAAATTGACAAATGCGATCTAATTAAACTAAAGAGCTTCTGCACAGCAAAAGAAACTACCATCAGAGTGAACAGGCAACCTACAGAATGGGAGAACATTTTTGCAATCTACTCATCTGACAAAGGGCTAATATCCAGAATCTACAATGAACTCAAACAAATTTACAAGAAAAAAAAAAAAAAGAAACACAACCCCATCAAAAAGTGGGTGAAGGATATGAACAGATACTTCTCAAAAGAAGACATTTGTGCAGCCAAAAGACAAATGAAGAAATGCTCATCATCACTGGCCCTCAGAGAAATGCAAATCAAAACCGCAATGAGATACCATCTCACACCAGTTGGAATGGTGATCATTAAAAAGTTAGGAAACAACAGGTGCTGGAGAGGATGTGGAGAAATAGGAACACTTTTACACTGTTGGTGGGACTGTAAACTAGTTCAACCATTTTGGAAGTCAGTGTGGTGATTCCTCAGGGATCTAGAACTAGAAATACCATTTGACCCAGCAATCCCTTTACTGGGTATATACCCAAAGGATTATAAATCATGCTGCTATAAAGACACATGCACACGTATGTTTATTGCGGCACTATTCACAATAGCAGAGACTTGGAACCACCCCAAATGTCCAACAGTGATAGACTGGATTAAGAAAATGTGGCACATATACACCATGGAATACTATGCAGCCATAAAAAATGATGAGTTCATGTCCTTTACAGGGACATGGATGAAGCTGGAAACCATCATTCTCAGCAAACTATCGCAAGGACAAAAAACCAAACACTGCATGTTCTCACTCATAGGTGGGAATTGAACAATGAGAACACATGGACACAGGAAAGGGGACATCACACACTGGGGCCTGTTGTGGGGTGGGGGTGGGGGGAGGGATAGCATTTGGAGATATACCTAATGTTAAATGACGAGTTGCTGGGTGCAGCACACCAACATGGCACATGTATACATATGTAACTAACCTGCACGTTGTGCCATGTACCCTAAAACTCAAAGTATAATTAAAAAAAAAGACTTGAGGCCCATTTATTCAAGTTAAACTAACCACTTGCCTTTTCTTCTCTAAGAATTTTTGAACAATTAAGAACCAACACAAAAAGTAAATTGGGTAACTGTTTAATTAGTCACAGTATAGGGTCCCACAAAAAATCTTTCTTGGAGAACAAGGCTTTGCCTGAGATCATAATGGGGTGAGGTAAGCAGGATGTTAAGGTGGCCCCCCCAAGATTTCCACCTCTTGTTGTACAGTCCCTATGTAATGTCTTTCCCTTGAAAGTGGGTAGAACCTATAAATATGATGATGCATCACTTCCATGACTGTGTAACATTATATGGCATAAGGGAGATTATCCTGGGTAGGCCTGACCTAGCCAGCAGAACACTTAGAAGAGAGAGACTTTCTTTTACTGTCCTTAGAGGAAGAAGTCAGAGAAATTTCCTGCTGGCCAGGAAGAAAACAAACAGCTATTCTGTGAAGTGCTGATGGAGAGGGGCAGCCTCTGGTAGCTGAAGGTGGTTCCTGGTCAACAGCTACCAAGAAAATAGAAACATGGGTCCTATAATCATAAGGAACTGAGGCCTGCCAACAACTGCTGAGCTTGGAAGAGGACCTAGGAGCCCAGAAAGAATCAAAGAGTGAGTGACATGATTTCAGCCTTGTCAGATCCTGAGCAGAGGACCAAGTAAACTTGTATCTGGACTCCTGGGCCGTGAGACAGATGAGATAATACATTTATGTTGTTTCAAGCTACTAAGTTTGTTTTGTGATAATTTTCTACAGAGCAATAGAAAACTAATACATGGGATTCCTTCTGTTTTCCCATAAGTTAAATTTAACTTTGAAAAATGGCAAGGAAGTGGGAGCAAGGGGTGCTCCAGTCACGTCACTGAAGTTTCAAAAGAAAGAGAGAAACAAAGACTCCAGGTTCTGTATTAGCAGCCATCTCTACAAAATGCACCAGCAAGACCTTTCACTTCTACTATCATAAAAAAAAAAAAAAAATCAGCAAGGTTGGCAAAGCAGAAGATCACAAGCCAGTTATTTATCTTATTTTAATAAAAGTTTACTCAGGTTCAGTGATTCCGGGGCTGAGATGCTGCAAATCAGCTTTCCGGACTCTGGATTCCTTTTAAGTTCTGACAAAAAGAGGCACTCGGGAGAGACTGGAAGTTAGGCAGAAAGAAACAGATACTTTCTTCATATTTCCCTGTTCTTGTTGGTGTTGCTCCAGCAGCAGTTGGTGGCCTCAGCTTCCAGTTTCTGTCTGTGTTCCCTACACCAGCCCTGTGACACTCCCTTAGAGACACCGTCAGAACAGAACATTACTACCCCCTCAGAAAACTAAACACCAGCTCACAGGCACTTCTATTCCAAAATTCTAGGATCTTGGAACCCAGTATCTTCCTTTTGGTTCTTTCAGACCTCATTGTGGGAACTTCTGCAGTTATTATCACTGAATACTATAGTGCTCCTTTGTATTTTTTCAGTCTTCCAATACCCAAGTAATGAACCTTTGGTATTAAATAATGTCTGCTTAAGATGCCTATTCTAATTTCTCTTTGCCCAACTGAATCTTTGCCAATAGTGGACTCATATTATTTCCTCCTGGTGAGTGAAGTCTAAAGTACTTTCTACCTGAGAAATGGAGTAGCAAATATGTACTTTAATGCACTCTTTAATGCACACCAACATCCAAATTTATTAACATTTTACTCCAAGAGGTATCTCTAGTTCAGATGTCACTGTTAAGTCATTGACCAAATTTGAGCCATATATGTGCCTTGCTTTGTAAGTGTGTTAGTCTGTTTTTTTAACCTAGAAAGAAACAGCTGAAGTTGGGTAGTTTACAAAGAGAAGAGATTTAATTGGCTCACAGTTCTGCAGGCTGTACAGGAATAGTGCTGGCCTCTGCTTCTAGTGAGGGTCTCAGGAAGCTTCCAAGGCAAAGGAGAAACAGGTATATCACATGGCAAGAGCAGAATGAGAGACAGAGAAGTGGGAGGACACAGACTCTTTTAAACAACTGGATCTTTTGTGAACTGAGCCAGAACTCACAGAAGGGATGGTGCTAAATCATTTAGGAGGCATCATCCCCATGATCCAAGCATCTCCCACCAGACCCCACCTCCAATACTGGGAATCACATTTCAACATGAGACTTGGAGGAGACAGACAGACATCCAAACCATATTGGCAAGCATTATTGATTTAAAAAATATTCCAAGTAGAATCTTGTCATATGGGCTACATGATCTTCAATTTGTGTAATTGATAACTATCCGTATTGTCTTAATATTGTGCCTGTTTCATTATTTAAATTTGCTTTCACATTGCATCTAAGCCCAGTCCAATGCTTGTTTTAAATGGAATTGTCCCTATAGAAACATTTGCATATATATTTATTTCCTCAATTGTTTGTTTATTCGTGTTATTATATATTGATTAGATATAGTGATTGTGGGTGGGTATTTCTATCTTTATAGAAAAGATAGGTGGGTATTTCTATCCTCATTCTGAAGATGAAGGCCCCAAATTCAATGTTATTAAATATGTTACTGAAGCACGTAGGAAATTTCTTCTTGCAATACAACTGAGGAGCTATTTTTAAGCCATCAGCAGTGCATTTTCTGCTTTCAAAATGTTTTTTGAAAACATTATATTTAAACCTCAGAAGAGCTCTATGAACTTCCTTTTACAGAAATGTAAAAAATGTAAGAGTCCTGATAAATATGCCATTACTATCATATTTGGTACTAAAATTGGGAAAATAATTCTAATAATTGAACCAATGATTTTCTAATTACATCATATGACCCATAAGTGACTTTAAGTGAGATTTAAATTGCTAATGAAAAATTAAAATCATTCATAGACATGGCTTGACTAAAAGATTACTCTCCAAGACCAAGATTATCATCCAAGATACTGAAAATTAATTATGCCCTAAGACATGGCTGCTTTTCTTAAACCTAGGACACTGGCATCACTTCTGAAATCTCTCCGTAAGATACCAAACTCGATGGAAAAACAAATACTGATGATATTGAGAAAAGGTACAGGATATTGAGAAAAAGAAATTAGAGAGGATGTAGGAAAGGTATTACCATGGAAACATCACTAGCAATAATAAAAATCACTTTGGGGGGGCATTAGTTTGAAGAAAAACACTAATAATCATTGAAATAGAGTAATCAAATGACATAAGAGCCAGGAAGACAGTAACAAATATGCTGATTCAGGAAAATAAAAAGAACATCATTCAGGTAAAGATGGTTCGCTTGAAGTATCATCATTTGAGTATTATCAGTGTCTTTGTGGTTTTTTTTTGTTTTTTACTTATCATTTTGATGAAAAATTAAATTGTGTATGGCTACAAAATAACAGTGCCTTGACATATATTTTTTAGTTTGTCATTTATTTTATAGTTCTAATCTTTTTACAATTGTTGTACCAATTTGTTACATCTCTTGGAACTGATAATTCTTCCCATCTACCCCCACTCTACACATATATGCTGTATTGTTACAAGAAAAAATGATTTTGTATTTGTCATTAACAGCTTGTTTAATTATGACAGAAGTTTTGCCTCTTTGTTGAAGATTTGCAAGAAAGTGCAGTGAGGCTAATTAAATAGCTATCAGATACTTATCTTCTCTCTCAAGATATTGTGTTGATATTTCACTTTGTTGATTTATGTTCAGCTTATGAATATCTCCTTATTTCCCACTGTTTCATTAAAAATGTAATTCTAACATTCTGTTGCTTTTGCCAAAACTTTCCCCAAATTTATATCAGTAACCAGGACTTCTGCAAATACCTCCAATACCTATCCAAAATTTGACACTGTGTTGCCTCCACTGCTATGGCTCTGGTTTAAGCCACCATCATCTTTCCCCTGGATTATTGCCGCAGTCTCTTAATTGGTCTCTCTGCTCTACCTCTGGACTCTGAGAGTCTGAAACCAGATGGCTCACTTGCTCATCTCTTTCAGGTTTCTGAACAAATGTCACCTTCTCAAATAAAGTCTACCATGAAAACCCTACTTAAAACTGAATTTCTTTACATCCACTCTGCTCCATTTTCATTTCCTCCCCTCCCATCTTTATCACTTATTGATTCTAACATATTTCTTATAATTACATTGTCTGTTTGTGATCACTGCTTTTATGAGCCCAGTACCTGGACCAATGTCTGGTCTATAGAGGATACACAATAATTATTTTTTGTATGCGTGAATGAATGTGTGAGGTGTATAGGTATACAATGGTGTATAGGACATAATATGCTCATTTAGCAATGCAAATCAATTGTATGAAGACTGGAGAGAGACTAAGGACAAAGAATGAAAATGGAAATAGTGCAGGCAAACTCAATCCACCCTTCCACTCAATGAACATCTGCCCCAGAATTAACATGCCACAGTATATGAATCTGCTATTTTATATGTTATGTCAGTGGCCTCACAGTGTGAGAATGGTACATGTTGGGTGGGATTATTTTGCTATTTAAAAATGGGTATTTTTTATACATATGGACTTCAAATGCAAGACAGCCACCTTATCTGAAGCTTAACCAAAACATGATCTGTTCTAAAGCTAAAGGGAAAACAGCTGTGCTGAATTTATGTATAAAGAGAAGACACATTGGCCAGATGTGGCGGACACATGACTATAGTTTCAGCCCCTCCTGGGGCAGGAGGATCACTTGGGCCCAGGAGTTTAAGTTTAACCTGGGCAACATAGTGAGACTCCATTTCTGAAATGTGTCTAACGTGGTATTTCCTAAGGGGTCTTTACCAGCCATCATTTTCACCTTTCAAGTTCACTTTAGAACTTAACCACCAGATAGCTGGGACTTCAGTGTAATCAACGAGGTTTTTTTTTTTTTTAATAATTGAGATGACAAATGGTATCAGGAGCAAACATAAAGTGTGTAATAAGAGCATACCTTCCCCAAACCATACGTGTTTCCTATACGGCATTCTTATTGAATATATTTTGTACTCATGGGGTCCCTGCATTTGCATATCCTTTCCTGCTGCCAGGAATGCCCTGCTTCTTCCCCACTTGGCGGAACTCCACTTTCCTTTTGAGATTCATCCCAAGCACGTTTCTGGAAGAGGACCCTTTGCTGAACTTCCCATCTCCTTCAGCTGTTTTTCAGTTCTCCAGTCATCTCTTTGAGTATGCACTAGATGTTGATTTTATGTGTTTACCTGCTTGTCCCCACTGGTCTTTTGCAAATTTCTTTATGCTTGCAATTTTTGTATTATCTGTGCATTGATTTGTTTAGCAATATCCTCTGGTCCAGCATAGTGACTGCTATGTATTAGGTACTCAAATAATGTTTGATAAATAATGAGGACTAAGAAACCGAGACATATGCCTAGCTCTGACTTAACTCTGACCTAACTTCCCAATGGCTTACCAAGGTGACTCTTTAGAACAGAGAGCACATTTTACCCTGTTTACTTGTGAGGATTACTGTATGAGCTGGAAAATGAGATAATGCAGAGAAATTTACTGAAAGAGAGTAAATTAAATGCAAGGTATTCTTATTATCATAGCTTCTAAGGCATGTGCAAAACAGAGACTGGTGAGTGCTTTCTTAATGATCCTTGTCTTTTCTCGTCCCCTTCTCTCTCCCTCTTCTCCATCTCTCCTTCCTCCCTTCATTTCTTCCTTTCCTCCAACCTCCCTTTCATTCCTCCCTTTTTCTCTCTCTTTTTCTTCCTTAGGATTGAGTTCCTAAATATAAAGTCCTCTAGGAAATTAATCACCTGTCTAGTGCAAATTTTTGAGGCACACTTTCCAACCCCATCTTACTCCATTGGCTCCAACTTATTCCTCTTACCTTCTAGTAAACTTATGTCTTGAGATCTAGTTTGGATTTGTTTTTCTCTGATTAACAGTTAAGTCAGAAACTATGACTTTTTCTCAGAGCACTGAGAGTGGGCACTAGGATACAAGAGTGTATGTATAATATATCATTATTATTCTTTAAAAAACTTTAACTTGAAATAAATTGTTTAAAAGCATATGCATTCTTTACGTATATAAAGAATTTCCTAAAATAGTGCTCAGCAGGAGAACAAGAAGTTTGGATTTTATCATTCTCCTGGGATTTAATCTCTTAGCAAAAAGTTACATTTGCTATGCTAAATCTGGATTTTAAAAAGTCAATAAAATCTAGGAGAAACTCAGACATCACGATGATAAATTGTGATTTTATAGTGGAGTCCATATCACCATATGTATTTTACTTTTTGTAATATAAGTGACATATAATAAAATATTATTTTATATTCCGTATTTTACCTGTGTTGTATTCCTCTATTATACAACTTGGCTGGTCATTGTATAAAGACAACTTGGCCTGGTCATTGTATAAATGCCTCTCTCTGTCACTTGACTTTCTCTCCCTTTTAAAAACAAGACATTCTAGAGGTACTTGGCATGCAAATAATCAAATAGGTGCCATATTGCAGCCCTGAGCCAGGCACATAGAATGGAGCCTATAAGAGGTACATATTTCCTTAAGATAGAATTATACACCCTTTTAGTCTGTCTTTCTTAACAGAGGTAGATTTTTTAAATCTAGTTCTTAGAAGTTACTGAAAATAGATTATACCACCATCAATGTATAAATTATTACTATTGTTTAGGGGATTGTCTTCTTCCTTAAATAGTACTTACTTCCTAAAAAGTGTTGAATTTTTAATGGTTATACTCCCAATAGGAATATCTGAAAGAATCTCTGAAAAAAATTGCATACAGGTTTAAGAGTAGTTATTTGAGAAAAGCAAATTGATGGTGGAAGATTAAGAATTAGCAAAAAAAAAAAAAAAAAAAAAAAATCAGCCTTTTTTTGTGCAGCTGAAAGACATTGCCTGGCATTTTACCTCAGAGTTCACAGGTATCTCTTGGTGACTTTTGAGAGACCACCATTGTGATTTACTGTCACATATATGGAAAAAAGAAGCAATGGGTCAAATGAAAAATGTGTATTGTATCTTTTTATTATTATTTACTAATAATGCTGACTTTTTGCATTAGTTAGATTCTTTCAGGTAAAACTTGTAGTTTCTCTAAGTGATGAGGGGCCAGGTAGGTCAGGAAGCATAGAAAACTCTGTGCAGTCCTTGTCAAGAACTTAAAAATTGCTCAGAAGTGCATTTAAAAGTGTGAAATTCCTATCCAACTACTCCATCTCAGCTTATCCTGTCCTTTACTCTCCTATAGAGTCTACTTATTTATACTTGTACTACTTAGGAGGCTTTAGCTTTTCTGCATATCTGTCTACCATCCGTGTCCCTCTTTGCTCATGTGTCTCATTTCATTAATTTATTTAATAACTTTTAAATCACTTATTTGACAAATGATGAATGGTAGGCACTTAGATAGTTCTGGTATTGAATTCAAATGCCCCAAAATATGATCTTCATGAATCAATTCATTTACTACTAAAATGTTAGACTTTTTTTTTCCTGCCCTCTTTACAGGCCTAGGGATCAATTGGTTGGCTATTTTTAGCTCATTTATCAAAGCCTTGACCATCAGTTATGACCAAGCTGATATGATCAAATGAAACAGGGCTTCTCCATGACGGTGGTTCTGTGTCATGGTGGAATCTGGGGAAAATCCTGCAGTAGCTAAGTTATCACTATGCTTCCATTTTAACACCCCATAATGATTTCCATTCTTCCCAATTGCTTAAAATCTATAACACATTAAAAAAAAAGAGTTCTTCAATAATCAAAACAAAACTGAAAGCAAACTTCATGGTTGAGGCAGCTACTTTAGCAATTTATTCCTCTTCTCTTAAAGGAGCTTTATTAAGAGCCTTTTAAAAGCTGTTATGAAGGAGTGTTTATTTCTTGTTCAGACTGTTTTTTGAATTTGTAACTTCATAGGCACCCTATTATATCTTATCTACAACTAAAAATCTTGGAACAAGTGAGATAAATCTTCAGTTGCCCTTTCAAACTAATTCTTTCAGTTCTATAATTTTTTTTTTTTTTGCAAATATCCATGCCCTCTTAGATTGTGGGAAATGTCTGGTAGAAGAGACACCAGACACCAGACATCCCTTTGCAGCATGTGGATTTTTATGCCATCAGGCATTTTCTCCTATTGGTCTCAGGAAAAAGAAAAAAAGGTGTTTGGGGTCCTGAACAAGATAGAAGGCAAAGGGCAGTGCCAGCTGTATTATTATGGTTTTATCCTCTATTTTCATGTTCCCCTACCATCTTAAATGTGATTTCAGTGTAGGATGAAATTGCATTTATGATTGTACTGATTTGGTTTTTAATTGTCATTAATATGGGTGACATGGTTTGGATCTGTGTCCCTACCCAAATCTCAGGTCGAATTTTAATCCTCATTGTTGAGGTGGGGCCTGGTAGGAGATGACTGGATCATGGGGAGAGATTTCCCCCTTTGGTGCTGTTCCTGTGATAGAGTTATCATGATATCTGGTTGTTTATAAGTGTGTAGCACCTCTCCCCTCTCTCTTCCTCCTGCTCTGGCCATATGGGACGTCTCACTCCCGCTTTGCTTTCCACCATGATTGCATGTCATCTGAGGCCTCCCCAGAAGCTCAGCAGATGCCAGCATCATGCTTCCCATGCAGCCTGTGGAACCATGAGCCAATTAAACCACTTCTCTTTATAAATTACCCAGTCTCAGGTATTTCTTCATAGCAGTGCGAGAATCAACTAATATGGTGGATTTAATTAAAAATAACATGATATGCATGCAAAACAGGTTGTCCTTTTCAGGGAATTAAATTGCTTTTGTTCCTTACCATACATGAGGTTGCTCTGCTTTGAAGGAGCTGTAGACATAGGAGACATTCAGAAAGTCATAGGCTCCTCTTCAGAACATTTCTATATGTGGTTAACAGTTTAAACAGAACTTTTGTGTGCATCTTTGATCCTCTTATTAATGAAGTTAATAATTAGAACTTACATTTTCTCTGTTTTGTAAAATAAGACATTGAAAAATTGATGTGGGCAAAGCCATACAGCCTTTGTTTGACTTGAATGACAGCAATTTGTGGACAAAAACTTATTTATCTTGGTCACCCCCATGCCTAACACACCCTATGTCCTGGCACATAGTTGATGTGCAATTAATGGTTGATGAATACATAAATGAATAAAGATGTAAATGCAATTAGAACCTAGGCTTCTAGTCTTCTGCTCATTTCATTTTATTAAAGGACCTTTAAATTGAAAAATATTTTGAGATCCCATACCCCTGCCATTGGAAATTACTACAGTTACTGCAGAAAGACACCCCTGGGGGATATATAATACAGGAACACAATGACATCAAGCTTAAAATTGCCTGATTGCTAAATATTGTGCATAGATTACATGTTCTAATTTTATTATTCTTCTTCATGAAAAAACATGTTCCTCCTCCATAAACATTTCTATCTCTGTGGCTTAAATTAAATTTAGTTTTAACCTCAATACTTTCTCTTACTGAATACTCACGTTCTAGCTCATTTATACTTATGTCTAGATATCAAGAGATCACACAGATTCAACCTGGACATCTTGCCCTAATTAGACAGATAAAACAAGACACATTTATTAGTTGGTCAGTGTAATTATTTTCATTTTATTTTATGTTTTATTTTTAAATTTTTTCTAGAGACAGGGTCTCACTATGTCACTCAGGCTGGTCTTGAACCCTGGCCTTAGTGTTTCTCTTGCTCCAGCCTCCCAAAGTGTTGGGATTACAGGAGTGAGCCACCATACCCAGCCCTATTTTTTATTTTAAAATATCAACAAAAATATATAAAGTGCTAAGGAAATGTGATATATGTGCTATACACATTTCCATGGAAACACAGTAAGCTAAGACCTACAAATTTGAGACCAATGTTATTTTGGGTCATGTATAACTGAACAACCATCTCTACTGCCAATCAGAATGACAGCTGAAATTCATGAGCTTGATCTGGGGAAAAGAGAAATCTCAAAAGGCGATTTAAGTAAAGGTAGAGTAGAGGAGAAAATGAAATTTGCAGAAACTAGGTGTTGCTGTCCATTATGGTTGCTAAAATTACTACTGGGTCCTCAGAGAAGTGACTGAAATAGTGCTCATGTGCTGGCTAATAACTTGAAAGGATGTAAGTTGAGATTAAAAAGGGAAAATTTAAAGTCCCTATGACAAATATGTGTGAACTGGGTGGTACATTTTCTCATCTAGAAACAAACAAACAAACAAACAAAAACTTAAATAGAAACTTTAATAGAAAACGGTAAACTTTTGGAAAATTGGTCTTTCTGTCAAACTTCATAGTATGATTTAGGTGGGAGTTTTTCTTGCCTCAGGGAGTGAGAGGGCTATTGGGCTTAACTAATGAGATTTCATATAAATAGATGAATTCAAAAGAGAAAAATTGCTCTAATATTTTTACTCTTTTTAATGGTTAGAGATCAAGGAAATTACCTATCTATGTATCCCTGTTCCTAAGTGTGGTATTTTTTTTTAAAAAAGATTTAGACACTAGTAAAAGACTACAAATCCAAAGAAATGTATACATTTCTGCAACACAGTGCCTGGCACCCCATAGTTGATGTATGTTGGCGTGAGCGGGGAGGGGAAAAAGATGGAGGTATCAGAGGATAAGCAAAAGTGAGGAGAGTAAGGAAAAAGAAGGCTCTGCTTTTTTTTCTTTTTTTTTTTTTTTTTTTTTTTTGAGACGGAGTCTCGCTCTGTCGCCCAGGCGGGAGTGCAATGGCGCAATCTTGGCTCACTGCAACCTCCGCCTCCCGGGTTCAAGCGATTCTTTCACCTCAGCCTCCAGAGTAGCTGGGATTACAGACACCCGCCATCATGCCTGGGTAATTTTTGTATTTTTTTAGGGACAGGGTTTCTCCATGTTGGCCAGGCTCGTCTTGAACTCCTGACCGCAGGTGATCCACCCGCCCCAGCCTCCCGAAGTGCTGGGATTACAGGGGTGAGCCACCACGCCTGGCCTCTACTTTTTTATAGTGGTAGCTATGACTTTGCCAGTTAATGTATTACTGGCTTTTAGGTTTAACACTTATTAAATAACATTTCGGACGTTAAAAATGATGTAAAGAATACTATATCAAGTATCCACGTACTTGTCACTCAGTTCAAGAAGATACCTTGTCAACACAGTTAAATCTCCTTTCCAAACCTTTCCTGCATATGAGCTGGATCTCTTCTATAAGTAACATTATCCTAAAGTTATTATTTAGCACTCTCATGAATTTTGTTACAGATATATATATATATTTCCCTAAGTATTAAACAGTGTTGTTTTGAATACTTAAATCTTTATATAATTGGTTTTAGTATTTCATTTCATTTTTTCATTTTACATTGTTTGTGAGATTTATATATATTCATTTATGTTCCCCATGGTATGAATATACCAACATTTATTTCTTTATTCTCTTGCTAATAGATATTTAAATAATTTTCTTTTTAAAAAAAAACAAACAATGCTATTTTATACATTCTCCCAAGTGGTTGTCCCAATTCCCAGATCCACCAGCAGCAGTGTATAAACATTCGTGATGCTTCCTTTCTTTGCCAACACTTGATATTAAACAACTTTAAAAATGTTTGCCAACTCAATTATTATAAAATGATATTTCATTGTGATTTTAATTTATATTTATTATTTTCCTAATTGCTAGTAAAATGGAGTATGATTTCATATGTTTATTGGCCTCTCCTGTGAATTTCCTGTGCATCATGTTTGTTACTGTTTTTAGTTTAAAAAATATATTGTAGTTGTGTGAACTATATATTGTACTGAAACATAAAAAATATATATTTTTCAACCTTCAAGATCTCTTTCCACTTTTGTGTTGTGTTTTAATGAAAATACTTTCACATTTTAATGCAGTCAACATATAAATAAATTCATGGCCCAGATTCTCATTACTATTAGATGCCGTACATCCTACTGAGACCTGCAATCTGCTGAATCTGTAATCTTTTTACTTTCTCTCTTATTCATCACTCCCCTGCATATAACCTTGATTGTCTTGCCTTTTATTGTATAAGTCTGAAAAATATGAACCCTGAATGAATCCAACTGTCTTTGTACTCAGCATCTACACCTGTACTGCTGTTCACACTAGAGAAAAACACACAATCATGATCACTGACCCACTGGAATTCATAATCCTTTCACTCTGCTGTTTTCCTAGGTAACTATTTCCTGCTCCCTTCTTAAACTTAAAGCACCCTCTCATCCATCTTCACTCTCAGCTTATGGCCCTGCTTATTTCACTAAGGAAATAGGAACAATTGAAATAAAAATGCTACATACTTTCTCTACCACATTTACCCAGTTAATTTCAACTATGCCAATAAACCCTACATCACTCATAAAGTGATGCTGTGGTCCTATCAAATGTGAAACCCTCCATTGCATAGTTCATTCTCTCCCATTTATTTAATCGCTCAATTATCTGTCTAGCAATTCTCCTCTTTCCCTTTTGTACACCATCAATTTTCCCTCTTTACTGGATCGTTTTGAATATCGTAAAAATAGGATATAATTTTCGTATCTCTAAAAAATCTCTCTGAACTCTACTCCCTCTCCAGTAAGCACCCCTCCAGCATCTTATTCCTGGGCTTTTTCTTCCTAACAAAACGACTTAGAATAGTTGTGTATAATTGCTATCTTTAATTCTCTCCTTTTATTCTCTTATTTTAGGACTTTTTGTTTAAAAACTCAAACATACACAAAAGTAGAAAGAATAGTTTGATTAAATCTTGCTTTCATATCACTCAGATGTAATAATTATTGCCATTTGCCATACTGCCTACATCTACCTTCTCTTTTCTTTGTTCTTTAGCTAAAGCATATAAAAGCAAATTTTGGACATAATCTTATTCTACTCCTCTACTCAAGCTTTTGCCGTCACCACTTCACCATAACTGCTCTTGTCAATGTGAACCATGACCTTTACATTGTGAAGTCCAATGGTTAATTCTCACTTCTCCTCATACTAGACTGTGATGGTTAATTTTATGTGTCAGTTTGACTGGGCTGAGGGATGCTCAGACACCTGGTGAAATGTTATCTCTGGATGTGTCTTTGAGAGTGCTTTGGTACTATTGGTGCTGTTTTTCTAGAGGATCTTGACTAATACCTCTGCTCATCAGCAGCATTTTACAAAGTTGATGACCTGCCTTGTTGAAACATTTCCTGCACTTGACTCGGATGCATCCTATGGCTCTGGTTTTCCTCCTGTTACACTAGACTCTCCTTTTCAATTTCATTTGCTGGCCTATCTTTAAATGATGGAAGCTTCGAGATTGTTTCTTTACCTCCTCTGTTTTTTGCCTAGGCATATTCCTGGGTAATCAAATTCAATCTTCTGGGTTTAAATGATGACTAAATATCTAATGATTTTCATAGTTATATCTCCAGTCAAGTCTTCTAAACCTGACTCATATGTTCTACAGTCTTGCAAGTATGATAAAGATGTCTAATAGGCATCTCATTTTAATGTCTCAAACTGAACTTGGGAGTTTCTTACCTGCTGCGGGCAAATCCCATCCTCTAAAATGCTCCTTAATTTTTAAAAATAGTATCTCCATTTGTATAGTTTCTCAGGCCCTGAAACCTTCTAGTAGTTGGTCAGGCCTAAACTCCTCCTTTTCCCACATGCAACATTCAATCTGTCACAATACTTTTGATTCTACTTTTGAACTAGCATTTTATATCCCAAATCTGAATCTTTGCTTTTGGTTCTACCTTTGTACTGTCTTCTCTGCTACCACCCTGTTCCAAAACATTATCATCTCTCACCTGTATAATTGCAATGTGCATCCAAGTGGTCTCTCTGTATACTGCCCTTGCTCACCCCAGAGCAGATAGAGTGATCTTTGAATATGTACATAGGAATGTGTTATGTTCTCTCTATAATCTATAAACTGCACCATGTCACTCCTTGACTCTAATGGCTTTTTATTTCTGTCAAAAATAAAACCCAATGTCTTACAAGACTTGTAAGTAAAGTGAGAATACATTTATCCCCCAGACCAGGACACTTTGGGGACTGAAGGAGGATGATCATACTAATTAAATTGATATGATTCTGAAATGTGCATTTATGAATATGTAAATTAATTATATTAGTAGATGTGAAATAATTATATTCAAGAAATGTTTGAAACTAAAATTTTCTTCAAAAACAATGTTTGTGAAAGCAACATTAGAAACCAAATATCTTATTTAAAAATTAACATAATCTGAATAATTATTCTCAGTCCACTTTCCCCCACTTTAGTCATGACTTAGCTATAAATATCTCTAATATTATGTCACTGGTATTTTTTTCTAAAAAATATATGTTTTAAGCATGGCTTTATCAAGTTTTTAAAAAATAATATTACCTTCAAATATTATTCAAATTTGCATTGTTTGGTTAATTTGAAGGTGATTATACTTTCAATGTAGTCCTGTTAGCAAGCTGGGTTTTCAATAATTTTGATTTGCTAAGATCTTCAGATCTGAAATTTTGGCAACAGCTCCATTTGTTGAGTAACTTCCTTAAATATTTCTTGTTTAAAGTAGATGGTAGAGAATCTCAGTATATTTTTCTTCTGGTTTTCATGTGGTCAATGATATCATTACGGTACCCATGGGGGATGGCAAGTGTTTACAAATAGCCACAAGAGCAATGTTGCTTTACAAATATCATACATGTTTAAAAATGTGGGAGCTTAGGACACAGCAAAAATCTATGAATGAGTGCCCAAAGAATACCGTGTTCTTCCATAATACCATAATTATAAGAAAAAACATCTTATTCTACAGGACCAATCATAGAAAAAGAAAAAAAAAAGGTCATGGTTTGGTATGACCAAGCCATGGTTTATGTATGTCCAGAAAATTATAGCTAGAGTTAATTTTTATGTGGTATTTAGTTTGTTCCCAGTATTATTTAAAATATTTTACATATATTAATATATGTAATTTTTATAACAACTCTATGAATGAGGTTTTATTATCATTCCCATTTACAGGGGAGAAAATTGGTGGCCACAGAAGTTGAATAGCTTGTTCAGGATTACACAGCTAAAATGTGGAGGACTTGTACTAAACCCAGGTGCTAGGGACCAAAATTCACTTGTGGAAGCCCCACTCTCTAATGTGACAGGGTGTGGAGGTAGAGACTTTAGGAGGTAATTAAAGTTAAATGAGGTCATAAGGGAAGGACCTAATTTGATGGTATTTCTGTCTTTATAAGAGGAGAAGGACATATCGGAGAGGATTCAATCTTTCTCTACCATATGAGGACACAGTGCGAAGGCAGACCACTTTAAGCCAGGAAGAGAGCTCTCACCAGGAACTGAATTGGCTGGCCCCCTGATTTCAGAATTCCCAGCTTCCCAAACTGTGGGAAATACATTTCTATTGTTTAAGTCAACCTGTCTCTAGTGTTTTGTTATGGCAGCCCAAGCAGACTGCCATACACCAGGCACCTTGGTCCCAGAGTCTGTGGCTCTACTTGATAAAAACTTCCAGGTACAACAGTGATTTATCTAGGCCTTCTCAAACTTGTCTTCTAAGGTATCTAAGACAGCACTGTTAAATGAGCATTTCCACATGAATTTGTAACCTAGGGCTACCATAACAAAGTACCACAAACTGGGTGGGTTAAAACAACAGAAATTGACTCTCATATTTTAGAAGGCTAGAAGTCTGGAATCAAGGTATAAATAGGGCCATGATTCCTTTGAAGAGGGATCTAGTGAAGAATTCTTCCTTGTTTTTTCCAACTTCTTTTGGACCCAGGAGTTCCTTGACTTGTGAGAGCATAACTCCAATTTCTGTCTCCATTGTCACTTGATCTCATGTCTTTCTGTGTGCCCTCTTCTTTTCTTACAAGGATGCTGGTCATCAGATTTAAAGCCTACTTTAATCCAGGGGGAACTCATCTTAACTTAGTTATATCTGCAAAGAAATTATTTTCAAAAAAGACCACATTTTGAGGTTGCAGTGAAACAATAATTTTCAGGGGACACTGGTCAGCTCACTACCATATCTCTAGGAAACTGAGAGATACAGTTAAACACTACTTGAAACTTTCTCTCAAAAGGAAATCAAGAAAGAGGCCATTGTAAATGAGCCCATTTCTCTTGATCTTCCCTCTGGATTTGCTCTTGAGAAGGATTAGGCTGGTTTCCAACCTCTTCTCTCCAAACAAGAAATAAACTTTCATATTTTCTGTGTCTTGAAGAAGGCATTGTAGGATTCAAGGGCTGTGTATGAGCTTGAAGAAGCCACTTTTAGAATTAATTTAAAATGGGGTTACTCTGTTACATGTGAATCTAGAATACTCTAACTCTTAAGCAATTATAGTGTCAAAGAAGCTGATTGAGCTTTAGGAAACAGCAATATTTAGGTTTGTTGATGAGTTTTTCTCTTCCTAACGAATACTAAAAAAAACTATAAGCATTATTTACGAGGAATCATTCTGAAAGCATTGCTATTGATACTTTTCATTATTGGGTTGGAATATACATATACATTGCTATGAAAGATAGTTTGCACATCATCCATTTATTTTATCAGTTCCAAGATATAATAAGAACAAAAGAAATTGACTTTGGAACAATTTGGAACTTTAAAAGATTTTGAGAATATCAAGGAAATTTAGGAGCTTAGGGGAAAAGGTCTGCAGTTCACAATTAATTATAGATTTTAACATAATACTTCAAAATATCTGTGTGTAGGTGAATATCTTGAATTTTGGAACATGGCGAGGAAAGACAAAAGTCACAATGGCAGACCAAACAAATCTCACAGCAAAATGTAGTAAGTTGTTCTGGATGGGCAAGGCCAAGGCTATAGGTTCGTTACTAGATGCTGTTAGGCAATATCATTTTTTGAAAAACTTGCCTGTTGGAGCTGAGAAGCACTTCCACAGTTTGAAGCTATGGATTTACATGAAAGGCCAAATAACTCTTCAGAAGGTGGCATGTGGGTAATTATGAGAACCCTGATCTCTTTTGCCCTACTGAAGTTACATATATATATATATATATGTAATCTAATAGGGTGAGTCCAGACAATGCCAGAATATTGGAAAGGGAAAAAGAAGGCCCTAAGAAGAGCCGTGTCTGGAAAGGGTGTGGACTGCTGAAAGGGGCTGCAGCAGTGGCTGGCCCATCAGAGGGAACAGGGATAGGCTGATTTGAGGGATTAGTCAGATCTAGCGTATTCTTTAAGGAGAAAGACAGGTGTGTGAATTGAAAGTGCTGTGCCACTAAAGAGTATAATATTTTGGGTCCAGGTAGCTTTGTTGTGGTTAGCCTCTGTCTGAATGTATGTGAGGAGCGTACATCCTTCTCTTTGACCTATGAAACCAAGGAAACAGCATGTTTTATATCTCAAAGGACTGCTGGCATTTTTAGATGGGCTATCAAAGACGCTGGATATTTGGCTCCACTGTTAGCCGTGAAAGTCCATTGGGGGTAATAGCAGCAGGCTATAAGGCCAGAGGCAAATGGAATGGCCTGGGGGAGTGTGGGACACCATCAATTGTAGAGTTCAGCCTTGAGTGATGCCATTGGCAACAGGGGATCTCTGACAAGGACTGATTTATGAACAGAGTGCAAGCAGCTCTGGGGATTTGTGTAAATATTTGTATAGAATAGAATTCCGGAAGGAATGGAAATTACCTCAGGTAAAGGGACAGTGGATTTAAGATATTATAATAATGTAAACATAAATATAAATGACTCCTCACTTTTGCCATTGGGTTAGCGAAGCATGAGGAAGTTTTCAGTGTCAACAACGTGTATTAAGCCAGTGTCAAGGTGGATAAATAGCTCAGAAGTTGGAGTCAGGCTTGCGGTTTAAGGCCTGGTGCTACTATTTAGTAGCTTTGTGATTTTTGCAAAAGTTAATTAATATCTCATGCCTCATTTTTCATATCTGCAGAATGGGAGCACAATAGTGCCTACCTCATGGGGTTGTTGTGAGATTTTTAGATTATTTGTGAAGCATTTAAACAATGCCTGACCCATGTACATGCTATATACTATTTAGATAAAAACCAAGGAAATAGAAGAGAATGAGAAGAGTTAAGAGTGCTGTTTCTAAAAACTGAAAATAATAGTGGGAGAGGCCGAATTCATTTGCATTTCAGGGGCACTATTTATCCACTGCACGAACATTAAGTGAATATCACCTGTGTGTCAGACACAATTCCCTAATAAGCTCCAGCATAGGTGAGCCAATGAGAGAGGAGCACTTGTTTCTGTTGGTTTCCATTATTCAGAAGAACTTCACCAGGACAAAACATGTAGTTCTCTGGCCTAAAAAATGACTCTAAGGGCTCTGTCCAAGATTCTCTTCTGAGGATGCTTAGGGCATTGCTAGACATTGAGAGGCAGTAGTAGAATGATATTAGAAATTGGCTATGGCACCAGACAGAAGGAATCCCTGTTTAATAGGGTTTCTGTGAGTTTTAAATAAAGAAATCTGTGTACAAAGTCTAATAATAGGCACATTGTTGGCCACTGACATTAGGAAGTTGCATTTCTTCAATAATTCTTCTCTGCTGTTTCTCTAAGATATTCAGCATCAATCAAATACACAGCACCACTGACAAGTGCTTTGGGGATGCAGCAAATCATAATGGCTAAGCCGTCAGGCTCTGGAGACCTATTTTCTTGTATTCAAATCCCTGCTCCGCCTCTAACTAAGTGTGTGACCATGGGCAGAGTCTACGCTTCAGTTCCATCATCTGTTAAGTGGGAATAATTACTGTTCCCGCTCCACAGGATGGCTATGAAGATTCAATGAGTTAATACATGTGAAACCCCCAGAACATTGCCTGCTGCATAGTAAGTAGCATTAATAGATGTTAACTGCTATTATCAATATAATAAGAGCATGATAAAACACTAGAAAAAGAAATACTATCAGGAAAAATTTCACAGAACTTCTAACAAAGGTGACAAAGTCAGTTGCATTTTCTGCAAATGTTCTGATAGAAGAGTGTTATCACTACTCATGGTTCCAGTGGGACCATAGGCAAGAGAATGGTAGAGGAAGAATTTTGATGGCAGCAGTAATGAAAGTTAAAGCAGGACGCTCACGAAGGATTTCCTAAATATATGAGATACTGAATCGAGGGCAGCAAGCTTATTGAAAACCCTACCAGCTCTTGAGTCTGAAACCCTGTCTCCTTTCCATGGCCTTCAAAGTCCTGCTCGGTCAGCTTTCCTGTCTAGCCCTCTAACCTCTTTTCCCAGTCTCACAGCCACCACCCTACACTGTGATCTAGCATTTATTTTTTCCTTAAGTATGCCAATTCTAAATTCATTCCAGTCCCAGATTTTTGCACTTGAAATTGCCTCTGTTAAATGCTCAGCCTCTGGGCTTTTCATGCCTGGCTCCTGCTCACCACTCAGGTCTTGTCTCATGTTACATCTCAATTTCCCTGACTACCTATTTGAAAGTCTTCAGCAGACTCTAGTTACTTTCAATCTCACCACCTTGCTCTCTTTTATTCTTTGTACTTATCACTGTATAAAATTATCTTATTTGCCTACTTGTATCATGAAAGCAAGGACTTTATCTCAACCACAATTATTCCTATGTTCTAGAACAGCACTTGTCACGTAGTAGGAGATCAGTAACTATTTGTTTTTTTATTTTGTTTTGTATTATATATATATATATTTTTATGATTCTTTAAGTTCTAGGGTACATGTGCACAATGCGCACGTTTGTTACATATGTATACATGTGTCATGTTGGTGTGCTGCACCCATTAACTAGTCATTTACATTAGGTATATTTGTTAAATGAATGAAAAGTGTGCTGGCTGCTGAGAGGAAGGGAGCTGGAATTTTTAAGCAGAATCTTCGGAGCCTGCAGCTGAATAGGCTGACAAATGTAGGGACAGATAGGGACAGACAGTTTCAGGTCTTCTCATTTCCAGAATGAAGTTTACTGGTCATATATGAGGTTTTTGGGCTTATCTAAAAATGTGAGTGCAAATCTGTAATTCTCCAGGTATAGTTTAGACTGAATTTGATATGTTCATATCCATCTTTTCTCCTCTTTCCATTCATATATTAAAATATAGGACTAAAACAAGATCAAATTGATGAATAAAAAAAAGAAAGAGTTTAGGACCTGTCTTGGTTTTATATGTATTTTTAGCATTTTGTTAATATAGTATTTCAAATCCATAGATAACAGATTGGCTATTCAACAAATGATGCTGAGAAAACTAGTTAGCCTTTGGGAGAGAAATGTAGTGAAAATCCATACCTTGCTGAAATCAATTTCAGATAGAGCAATGAATTTCATATTAAAAAGTAAAAGTCTGACAACAGTTGAAGAAAATAGAAGTGAGTATTTGGAATCTTTGTAGAGGACAACTTTCTATGCATGACCTAAAGCCAGAAACTATAAAGGAAATGGCTGATAGAGTTCCCTACATAAACGTTAAAAGTTTCTGTAAGGAATAATAGGTTCTATAAATAAAATTAAGAAACATAACAAACTGGAAAATAAATTTACAAAATAACCTTAATATATTTAGACATTTGTTTACAAACCCTTTCCCCCGCCCCACACAGACACTACCATGCAGTAAGAGGGTGTCTAGCCTTCTTAAGGCAGACTGGACTGATGGCCCACCTCTTAATCATTTCCTTTCCCTCTCATTTCCTCTTTGCCCATGCAGCCAAAATTCCCCACTATAAAGGCTGAGTT
Organism: Homo sapiens; assembly: GCF_000001405.40. Lineage (NCBI taxonomy): Eukaryota > Metazoa > Chordata > Mammalia > Primates > Hominidae > Homo > Homo sapiens. The sequence goes on from NC_000001.11 coordinate 78,831,899, forward strand.
GTCCCCAGAAACATGCTTTGGGGCATTCCTGTGGCTAGGTTGAAAGCATGTGACTCAATCATAGTTAGTGGGATCTGAGTTGAGGTCTTCTGGGCCTCCTAGGAAGTACTTTTTCCTCTAATTAAAAGAGGCTCATAGTAGGAAATACCCCTTTTGTATTTAATATGTAACCGTACATTGTCATGTCTAACTGGGAGCAGATTTTGCTACATTTTGCTACGTTTGCCAAAAATTTCAAGCCTAAAGACCAAGACTACTTGCCAAGAAATTCAACTCCATATTTAAGTTGAGAAGTAATTAATCATACCAAAAGCTGAACATGATTTCATGCTTCATCATTGTTTCAGATATTAAATCAGCTTTTTTTTTTTTCTACTCTAGAAGCATAGGCAGGCTACAACTATCAACAGTCTTGGAAGTTTTTTTTTTTAACATGTCCAATATTTGAATTAATATTCAGAAGCCTCAGCAAATTAGTCTATTGTTTGTGGATCTGCTGCCAACCAGCCCATACAGTGTGTGTAGTTGACAGTTTCTGAGTTTTCCAACAACCAACTCACATAATAGGCAGTGTTCAGGGCATCTGGCCTGGCAATCAAGTTAAATGATAAAATAAGTATCTACTGTCCTCAGCAAGACTGTTGTATCTAACTTCTCACACTGATTCCCGTGTAAGTTAAAGATCCAATTGTCTTCTTCTCTGGCCATCTATGCTCTATTGTTCCATGCTTTCTACAACATTCTGCACGACTTTGCCCCTGGGCTACACTCCTGCACCTACTAAACCCTTCACTGTATCCTCTGAACTTGCTCCTCCGTAATTGGAGATCTCCATTGTGTCTTTGACTTTTTATCTCAGTGTTCACACCATCTTCTTGTTTTAACTATAAACGGCTTCCTTCCTAAGGACACCACTTGTGCCTTTTTCTTTTAACTTTTTCTCGTCTTGCATAACTCATGACCAGGGATTAAGCTAGTGTGTCCTCATTGATCTCCATTATCATCTCCAGCCCATTCCTTTTCCACTCTTGTATAAAACACTAATTCTTGGCCGGGTGCGGTGGCTCATGCCTGTAATCCCAGCACTTTGGGAGGCCGAGGCGAGTGGATCACCTGAGGTCGGGAGTTCCAGACCAACCTGACCAACATGGAGAAACCCCGTCTCTACTAAAAATACAAAATGAGCCGGGCGTGGCGGCGCATGCTTATAATCCCAGCTACTAGAGAGGCTGAGGCAGGACCCGAGAGGCAGAGGTTACGGTGAGTAGAGATGGCGCCATTGCACTCCAGCCTGGGCAACAAGAGCAAAACTCCGTCTCAACAAAACAAAACAAAACGAAACACTAGTTCTTTTAGCTCAAGCCCATGTATTGAAGACTGTCACCTAGTTTGCTGCCATCATACTGCATATCTTCAGAACAAGCAAGAGGAATCCTTCAGGATCCAGGCTTCTGTATCCTGACCTCTTTTTCTCCCATGACTTTCTCCTTCACTCCACTTTAAAAATCTGCTCCAGTAGTCATTCCTAACATCACGCCATCACCTCTATTTTTTTTTCCTTCAAAATAAGTAATTTAAACCTCATACACTCTTTACCATATTCTCCTATATGTTCTGTGTATTTATTCAACTATCCCTTTTGCAACTGATGGACACCATCTGTGTCACTTGTCACTTCTTGTGCATACTCATTCCTTTGTCAACAGCTACATTTCCTGACTCTTGAACGAGGTTACATTCCGTGATTCATCATTTCAACAACACCCTTGCCAGCGTCTTAAATTTCCTTTCTCTCTGTTTTTCTTTTTCATCACATGTACTTGGAAATGTTCCAAATCAGATCAGCCTGACTGTTTAATTTGTTCTGCTTCATTGTATTAGTTAGCCATTAGCTGCTTCTAGCTTCATGCCCCCGCCTTCTTTCCCTCCTCAAAGTTTATTATCCAAACTTCTCAACATAATTCTCTAAAATTATCCATTTTAACCTTCAACCAATTTACTCATTAGTTTAGTTCTGCCAGGATTCCAACCTCATCTTTCCATCAAAACAATATGTAGTAAGACAAAAAATGTCCCCCATCTTCCCAAATCCTTCGTATAACTGTCAGTAATTTACTTGAACTTTCAGCAAGATGTTGTCCTTTTGACTCAATCTTCTTGAAAAAAAATCTCTTTTCTTAGTTTCTATGTCATATCTGCTTTCCTTCATTCTTCTCAGGTCATTTATTCTCTATTTCTTTTGTGGAGGTTCGTTCTTCTGTACCTACTCAATAAAAATTGGTATTACCAAGGGTCACTTTTAGGTAATCTTCTCTGCTCATTTTATACTACAGATTGTACCTTATATCATGAATACCTGTGGATTAAATTGTTCTCAATATGCAAATGACTCAGAAATGGATGTTTCTAGATTTACGATAGCTCCCAAGTTCCAGACCAGTACACGGAATTGCCACTTGATATTTTCTCGTGGTTGTGGTAAAGGGACCACAAAGTAAATATGACCAAAACTAAACAAATGATTTATAGCCATCTCCTGTAGAAAAGAAAAATAAGCACAACACAAACTCTTTTCCAGTGACACCACCATCTACTCAGTTATGTGAACTGGAAACCCCCCATACCCTGTACATAATCATATCCTCTCAGTTTCAACTTTCACACAATCTAGGTTGACATCATTTCTCACCAGAAATACTATCCTGGTATCACAACCAGCCTACCTGCTTATAAGGTATAGTACATCCCCAAGAAACACTTGTTCGATAAATGAAATGAGTGGATAAAATAGATGAAGAAAAAGTCATTATAAACATAAATTACATAAATGTATTTAATGTATTTTTTTGTTTGTTTTTTGTTTTTTTGAGACAGTCTTGCTCTGTTACCAGGCTGGAGTGCAGTGGCGTGATCTCAGCTCACTGCAACCTCCGCCTCCTGGGTTCAAGTGATTCTCCTGCCTCAGCTTCCTGAGTAGCTGGGACTACAGGTGCGTGCCACCACACCCAGCTGATTTTTATATTTTTAGTAGAGACAGGGTTTCACCATGTTGGCCAGTATGGTCTTGATCTCTTGAACTTGTGATCCGACAGCCTCAGCCTCCCAAAGTGCTGCAATTACAGGCGTGAGCCACTGTGTCTGACCTTGGTTGTTTCTTATCAGTGACTTAAGTCACATATATTTTCTAAAATTCTAACTTTTTATATAATAGTACATTGATAACATCCTTTTACTTTATTTAAAATATCATAAAGGAAAATTGACTTTCAATTTTGGTTTTCAGTTACATGAATTTTATCACATGTGTGGTTTCTACTATAATCAAGATACAAAACAGGTGCATCATTCCAAAAAAACTTCCTCAAGCTTCCACTCCATGGTTATACCCTCCTTTCATCCCTTTCTACTGGCAACAACTGATCTGTTTTCCATAAATATAATTTTGCCTCTTTAGGAATGTCTTACAAAAGAAATTATTCAAAATGTAACCCTTTAAAACTGAATTCTGTCATTCAGCCTTTCTCATATGAATTATTATGTGCACTGATAGTTTGCTCATATGTATAGCTGAGTAGTATTCTATCATGTGGGTGTACAAGAGTTTGCTTATCCATTCAACATTTGGGTTATTTTCAGATTTTAATTTATTAATTACTATACTGTCTCTTTTGTATAACTTCTATATTTTTAAGTTCCATAGAGTGTCACTCACTTTTTCTATTATTATAGGAAAGGATAATTAAAGGAAGATTTTTATTTTTTATATAACTACTTCATAAAGTTGTGTGAAATAAAATTTTTTTACAATAAGGACAGGCTACTTTAAATTCTTTTAGTTCACAATATGTCTGTAATCCTTGATTTACAACTTGGTAGGTACAAAATGCTCTTCCATTTAAGATATTGTTTTGAGACCAATGTAGAGAGAAAACTACAAATACGCTACATTATAGATATCTAAAATATTCTTGCTTTACTTCCCTTCAAAGCCTTTAAGTCTTTTTGCATAAGTACCTGTGTAATTCTTTTCACATTAAGACAATTATTTCATGAATAAACTCATGTTCAGAGCCCTGAAGATAGTGGGTTGTTTCTTCATGAAACTTTCATATTTTTGTAGTTGAGGTTGCCTCTTATTTGCCTTTCATATATCTAGAAATTTGCTAAATAAAATTTGTTTAAGTATATATAAAGGTCCTAATATTTTGTGAGAATTTTTTTTAACTTCATGACAACCCTGAAGGTAGAATGCTCTTGAGATATAGCAAAACATTGTGGGAATCAACCATTTATTTAACTCAATGTAGTAATATCCCAGGAAAACTTGGAGGTCCACAAAAGGAGGAACCACCTCCAGGTATATGCAGTACATACTATGTGTGTGTAAGAGTTTGTGTGTTTATGTGCGTGTATGCATGTGTGCCTGCCTGAGCACATATGAGAGAGACAAAGAGAGAGACAGGGGTGGAGATGTGATAACCAGCACCAGATGAAGATAGATATAGTGAAGAGTTTAAGGAAACTTTACAAATTTTATCTTGGGGGTGAGAAATTTACTGCTTGGAAAATTTCTTTTTATATATATATATATAAAGATATATAAGTATATATATATCTTTATATATATGACTATATATATGACAATTTGACTAAAAGCTTATAATATGACAATATATCTTTATATCTTTATATCAATATATCTTTATATATTTATATCAATATATCTTTATATATATGACAATTTTGACTAAAAGCTTACCTTTTATATATTTATATATCTATGTAAATATATATTTATATGTTTAAAGATATATATATATAAAAGGTAAGCTTTTAGTCAAAATTGTCACTTTGTTGAGAGTTTTGGCTCCAACACTGTTAGACCAACAAGACTTCCTTCTCTTGGTACTTGTTGATCTGCATAGAACTTTACTTGATTACTTTTGAAGAAGGAAGAAGTTTGGTTGGAGTATGTGGCAAAGGGAGAGAGAGAAAAATGAAAGTGAAAGCAGATGGTTTGGCATTTGTCTTCTATCAGCATTCATACATTGGTTTGAGCCCTAACCCTTTGAATATTGGGAGTTACAAACATGAGAAATATTTTTGTTTTTGCACTTGAAGAAATTTAAGTAGAAGTGTACTTTTTTCATGGTCCAGGAGAAAAGTGTTATTTTCTCCCCTTTGCCTGGAGCTTGGTTTCTTTAGAACCCCCAAAATGGTGACTGGAAGTATTGGAAAATTGTTCATTGGGTATATTCGTCAAGGGTACTTTCAACTATAGTGTCAAAGAAGTACCCTCAAAATCTCCAGGCTATGACTGTGGACAATAAGTCAGAGAAGGAAAGCAAGACACAGCATGGTGATTTTTACTTATATGTGATCTAGTTTGAATCTTCACATTTTCCAGAAATGACTGTGGGAGAACTGGAGAAATATGCTACAGAAGAAGGCAAGGAATAAGAGTACAGATGGAGTTCAGAAACATAACATTTTAGGCTTATATACTAATGTCCCTCATTTGTACCCATTGGATGATAAGGCCAGGAAAAAATATGTAATCACACTCTTACATATGATACAGACGTGTGATGTATAATGGTAGAGATGTATAAGTTAGACACACCCACTGGTGGTTAATCAACTATTCTTATTTTTTTAAAACCAATTTGAATTGGTGATGGTCCATCTCCTTGGTCTCCATCCATATAATTTGAGGACTGGCCAATCTGTTTTCCCGAGGTACATTAATGGAAATATAATCCATTTTAATGCATGGTTAAAGGACATCAAGAAAGCATATCCCTTATTCCTATATGTGGAGTAAAAGCTGCTCAGGGCTACTGTGTCCTCAGGATGCATGTGTGGAGTCACTATTAGTATTTAATAGAAGCTGGGCATGTGCATCAAGGAGACAATATTATAGTACCTGAGAATGTCAAAAGAGCTATATAATATTAGGGCTTTTCTTGTGGAATAGACATAAAAATGATTGAAATCCTAGTTTAAGGAAAAAAAACACATACTCATTTTAAATGTCTTCTTTGGTGGTATTTATAGAAACAGCTTTTATTCTTTTTCCAACAGCTTCCCTAACTGTGGAAAAAATAAATGATCTCAATATGATTCAATCTAATATAAAAACCCTTACCCTGCAACGTTCCAGATCCCATTCAAGTACAAATAACCATTTGCTTAGAATCTGGAAGAAAAGTAAAGGTTGTCTACACCTAAAATTTGCCTTAAATTGACAGAATAAAAAGATTTGTTTGTGTATCTCTCTGCATATGTTTGTGCATATATGTGTGAAAACATCCTACAGAACATTAAGATACAGAGGTAAAACAATCAGTGATCTAATTCAAATTAGAGATGTTTCATTTTCTAAGTCCTGGTTTGCTAAGAGACTGCCTTTTCAAGGTTGTTGGCCTATAAAAATAAAATAAAATAAAATAAAATAAAATGCTGTATGTTTTAAGTCTGTCTTCTTAAATTTCCTCCCTCTTGTTCCAGCAAGATAAAAATAATTTAGTATTTTTTTTTTTTTTTTTTTTTTTTTTTTTTTTTTTGAGACGGAGTCTCGCTCTGTCGCCCAGGCCGGACTGCGGACTGCAGTGGCGCAATCTCGGCTCACTGCAAGCTCCGCTTCCCGGGTTCACGCCATTCTCCTGCCTCAGCCTCCCCAGTAGCTGGGACTACAGGCTCCCGCCACCGCGCCCGGCTAATTTTTTGTATTTTTAGTAGAGACGGGGTTTCACCTTGTTAGCCAGGATGGTCTCGATCTCCTGACCTCATGATCCACCCGCCTCGGCCTCCCAAAGTGCTGGGATTACAGGCGTGAGCCACCGCGCCCGGCCTTTAGTATTTTTTAAAACACCCTGATAAATCTGTGATTGCTTAAAATGGGGAGATTTTTAAAATTCCAATTATCTTTTCACAATTAGCATTAAGCCTAGTGTAAGGACGCTTAGTGGCCTCCATTTCATTTTTCAGATCACATGTGCCAGATCATCACATTCAAATTCAGTAAACACTCATTGTTTGAAGTAGGATTGTATTTTCAATGTACTGATTTTTTAAAAGTGAGATCTGTGGATAAAAAAGGAACATTTTCCCTTCTTTTTTCTCTAAGGAGTTAGTGGATAGGGGGCCTGGGCTAGAAGGTCTTAGAAGTCTTAGAAGCTATAATATCCCGATGCTGAAATGCGTGTTGGATGGTTCAAAACACTCACCTGAGAACACATGGCCTTTCAGAAATCATGTCTTTAGAGACCCCATGTACTTTGTTAGAAGCCGTATTGTTAGATTCAGATAAATCAACACTTGCTTCTGCTGAGGACTGTATCTTTGCATTATATTCTATACTGAGTTAAAGATAACTACATTTTTAAAATTTAATTTTCTTTCTCAAACACCATATGTGCTGTTTTGATTGTTTCTGTGAGAGAACTTCACTTCTAAAAAGTCAACTCTGTAATTATTTAAATCTATTTAAATTTTACAACCTCCTGTTACTTATATTCTTGTTCCTTTTACTAAATCCTAAATGAATGACTTTGGTTATTTGTATTTCCATAATATTTGAGCTAATTAATAGATTTGAGGTAATCTGCTCTGAATATTTATTTCATTCTCATGTATACACAGTACATTTAAATTTTTTATTACCTTTGGGTTTTCTAAAAATGTGTCTATAGAAAAAATAAGCTAAATTTTAAACAACATAAAAAAAGTCCATCAGTCCTAGACCTAACTATTCTTCCTATAGTTGATCCCTTCCATTCTTTTTCTCTTTATTCCTACTTTAAAAACCAAAAAAAGAAACTTTTTTCTTTGACCAGTTTATCTTTTCTTCTTGTTATTCTTCTTTATTTTTTAAAATCCCTTTTTTTCTTTTGATTATTAGTGGACTCTTCAACTAATTGTTTCTTGGTTTGGGAAAGGTTAAGTTCGTGCAATTTCTGCAGAGCTTGCTTTTAAAGATTTGTCCAGGAGGTGGCACTAAAGCACTATAATAAGATTGAGTCACTATAATAAGATTGACATCAATTTTAAAATGTCACCTGGAAAAAAAAAAATCTCTGAGGAGTCCTGAGGTTGTTACCTGTAAAGAAGGTATGTTTGCAAACAAAGAACAATTTGCACTTGAAATCTTACCACAATATAGATTCAATTATGTCCAGTTAAATCCTTTCTCCTGTACAAAAGAAGTAAATATTCTTGTAAAAATAGTAGGAGTTTGTATGAATATGCGTCTCTGTTAGGGAGAATTAATTGAGACAACCTTTGTCTCCATAGGGTTTTCTAAGTGTTCTATAAAATATTACATTAAATCTGCATAAAATCAGAATTAAAAATGTATTTATTAGTATACAGTTCTCATTTGACACAGGGGGATTGGTGTGCACAGTCTATCTCTTATTAGTGTTAATGGGAATTACATGTGTAAATCACCAAGTCCCAGTGCATGGAGATGAAAATCTCCATAAAGATTAAAATTCTGCATTTGTATTGCTTTTGATTATGGAGAAACTGAAAGTATGATAGTTGTGCTTATATCTTTAAACTTAGTAGGAATAAGTTGCACCTGAAACAACAGACTCTGAATTTATTCAGTTAAACCTTCAGTTTTTTGTGATGATCAATTCAGAACCAAAAGCTAGAGAGGCTTCTCAGATTGCCAACCCTGAATCCTGGAATTTAGCCAACCCCGAAGAGCTCCCACAGCTGTTCCCATAGTAGCAGAGGTTGCTTCTGGGTCTAGCTTCCAAGAAGAAATATCTTCTTTTCGATGCCAGTTCAAGCACCTTAGAAAGAGCAGAGCTTTCTTCTCCCTCCTGACCCTTATCTCTGAAGCTCCTTCTGCCTCACAAAGTGGGGCTGCCCAGCCTCAGTGGCATTTGTTGCACCTGGCCTCTTCAGAACTCTACCTAGGTTTGAAGCTGGTCCCCAGTGACCCTCTAGAAGTAAGTCTCTCCAGAACGCCCCCAGGCCCAGGCAGCAAGGAGTAATGTGAGCCACACTGCGGCAACCAGCAGCTCCTGACTGACAGTTCTGGTTTGGCAGTTAACCAGAAAAGTGAAGAGAGGGTTTTGACAGCTGGGAGATCCCCTGCCCTACAGACCTAGAAGATACTTATGCCAGAAAAAGAAACCCTTCCATCCAGGAATGCGAGGAGCCAGTCAGTCTTTTTCTTAGCTGACTGTCTTTCCCTGCTCTGCTTTTCTGAGCGCTGCCCTGCCTAGATGACTAATAAGTAAGATCGCTTGCAGAATCTGTGTGGTCTCCATCCAGCTGCATTCTCTCCCTCCCGTGGTCCCAAAGGCTTTCTGGCCTTAGTTAAAAGCCCTTCTACTCTTGAGAATATACTTCCAGTAGCTGGAGACTTCAGTTTTCTGTCACCGGATAAGACACTGGACACTCAATAAATATTGAGCTTCCGATGTGGCCAGCACTATTTTACGCTAATTACATGAGGAATAGGGGAAAAGATTCCCACTCTTTTTCAGTTTTTCTTAAGCCCCTTGATTCTAACTAGCTTTGAAGTAAAATAGCCTTTCATTGTCTTTCCTGCTCCTAGGTTGGCTATAGCAACCGTTTCTGTCTCTGCTTGTGGTATTTGCCAAGGTGATAACTGTCCCATATCTATCTGCTGTTCATATTTAATAAGTGGGTTTTAAAAGGCATGATTGGAGACAGTGTATACTCTAGATAGATAATTCCCTCTGGTTTTAAGAAAAGGTGAAAAAGAGTCTTTTATGTTACCTTGAAAATTCACTCTCCTTTGTATCTTGCAGGTTTTTAATTTTTAAAGTAAAATAAAATGTTTTTTTTTTCTTTTTCATTTCAGGACAGAATGGAAAACTGTAACACTAGTACCATGTGTTTCATAAGGATTTGCTTCACTGATAGAGAAAATTGGCTGTTGACAATGGTTGACTGAAGCCGACATAGCCTAATAAGGAAAGGAGACACTTTATTGATTATAAGACAAAAGTGCCCAAACTAGGTTTTGTCCCTTTAAATTTTATTGACTATAAAATGGAGATCTTGTACCTTTTAAATTTGCATTTAGTGTGATATTACAATTACTTTTACTATCACTCTATTCATGCTCTCTAAGAGAGCACACACATTTATTACCGAAAAAAAAAAAAAAAGACTACTACTCTTTAGCAGGCACTTTGCTCAGGAATATTTATATACACCCACACACAGAGAAAAATTCAAAGCAAGAGATAAATGTATTCTAATTTTAAGGAGGACTCTGAGGTCATTGCTAAAAATTTTTGATTTGAAGTCATTGCCTCCAAGTTGAATATAAAAAAAGCATTTCTTTAGCACAGGCTCCTCAATCCATATCTCATTTACCATATTTAAATCCTTAATCCTGTAACACCAATTCAAATAACAGTCCACTTGCTATCTTCCAGCTTTGGGTCACCATTCAATGAAAAATGACAGGCAGTGAAATCAGGAGGGCTCATTGGCACGTAGATAATGGATGTCAAAGAAAGTCAGTATAACTCATAAACAACTAGCTTTTATAAATTGTCCAGTAAACAAATATTTTGTGAGCACTCTGCTAGACAATAGGAGCAGTGACCAAGATAATTACCATTCTCAAAATATTTCCACTGTTCTCAAGGGGCTTATGGTCTCACAAGGCATGTTGATAGAGAACTACAGGACCTAATAACTGCCATAAACTGAGTGATTCAAAATGTCGTATATCTGCTAAGTGCCTAATATACACCATCTTGCTAATCTTCAAAACCCCCTTATGAAATATATATTATTAACTCCACTTTACAAATGAGACAATTAAGGCTCAGAGAGGTTACGTTACATGGTTAAGACATATCTTATTCAGTGATAGAGACGCCATTTCAACCTAAGGTTCGCAGATTCCTGAGACAGAGACCTTTCTTCATACTTTGCTATTTCTTTCTCTTGGGAATACAAATGATCAAGTAAACTTTTCTGCCTGGAACACAGAGGTGAACAGGTAAGACTTCACAAAGAAGAAATCTCTTAGGACTGAGGAACAAATTTTCTAGGCACATTTCATTGGCTAATTAAAAAAAGAAGTGCTGGAGTGTTGCTAGGTAGTTTATATTTTATTCCATTTCAAGTTGGAAAAATACCTAGCTTCAAAGCTTTGTTTTTGTATATATTTTTTTGTGGGGTGGATCACATTGTAGGCAATTTGGAGAAAATGTTTATAGTTGTACAGGCTGAGAATCTGGTCTTTCCCCAACACATATTTTAACATATAGCAAAACATAGCCACAATATAGTCCTGCTGTTCACAAAGTAAAGCTTGATTCTGGGACATATAAACAGGAGTGTAACTACAGGAGACATGAGTTAATCCTCTCACAGTCCTTAGCATTTGCAAAGCTTTTATTAGAGCCTCATGTTTACAGCTGGCTGAAGCAATTTAAACAAGATACATGGAACCTGGAGAGAATCCAGAGGACAGAGGCAGGACGAATATAAGGATTCCTTGAAAAGAATTCAATTCAACAAACACTCATATATAAGGTACCACAGGAAAAAGTATAGCCCCAAAGGGCTGGGCCCACATCTGTTTTATTAATTAATATGTCCACAGTTCTTAGCCCAGTACTGGGTATATAGCAGCACCTCAGTCCACACGTGATGAATTGACTCAAAGGCCTTAGAATCTCATAGGGACGCAAAAATAAAAGAAGGTCTGCAATGCAAGGAGCAGGAGATAAGTGATACAATAAATGTACAAAAAAGGACAGAAGAAAATGATTCATTTTGACTAGTTCGTCACCGAAGTCTTCATGAGTAAGCCTGATGTTTGAGATAGGCTTTGACTATGGGGGAACTTTCTAAAGGCTAAAGAGAAAATGGGCATTTCTGGCTATAGGTTTAGTCAGTGAAAAGATGTAACAGTAAGATAATTTATGCTGCATTTATGGAATTCAGGATGGTAGAATTTCAATCTAAAATTCATGGGTGGAAGTGAAACACAGAGAAAACAAGACTGGAAATTAAGTTAATCTCAGGCTATGAAAGGCTTGAATGGAATGTTAGGAACTCTGTACTTTATTCTTTAGGCAGTGGAGAAAATAAGAAATAACATTTATCGAACTATGGTAATACAAGTTTTATAGTGAATAAATGTGCAATGTACAAACACTAATCCTCAAAACTATGCCAAGTTTTAGAGAGTTTAAGTAATAGTCTCAAGATCACATATCTGGTTTAGCTTATCTGTTTCAATCTACATCTGTGTGACTCCTGATCCAAGGCTATTAACTAATAAACTGAATGGTCTTATTATCAATAGCTTTTAGAGGAGTAACTGATATGATTAGAACCATATCAGTTTGAAGGATGCATTAAAAATATGGAAGGATAGAAATAATGAAACTAGTAAGATTATTGCAATGGTCCAAGAAAATATCATTTAAGGCATAGCTATAGGAATTGCACTGGAAGTGCAAATAGGGCCTGAATATAAAGGCAATGCCAAAGGCAAACGAATAAGGATTCAAATAGTTTTAATTTGAAGATACAGTTGTTAAATAGTGCTGTTAGCCAAATAATTATTGTTCTTTTCTTTCCAGACACATTGATCACACTTTCTGCACTCCTATGGTTAGGTTTAGTCATGTGATTCATTTGTGACAATAATTGTACAGAGAAGTGAAATGTGTTATTTCTTGCCTGAGTATTTAATTGATAATGTATGACTTTCCAGAGCATTCTCTTTTTCTCTATCATCATGATTGGCAATATTTGAGAAGATGACTGCTCTTTCAGCCTGGTCTTAGGCTGAAATATCAGTGGCTATGAAGAACAGGGGGCCTGTTGACCTACAAGAGACCTGAGTAAAAAAGAACCCTCTGTTGCTGTAAACCACTGATATTTTAGTTTTATTTTTTACTGCAACAAACTTAGCCTGTCTTGACTGATACAGAAGTGATGAGGGAACTAGCTAACATTTATTGAGCACTTATTCTGTGACATGCACTTTTCTGAATTGTCTTTCTTAGTTATTAAAATAAGTCTAATAAGTAGATGCCATTATCGTCTTTATATTTGGATGAAGATATTAGGTGTATTGTTGTTAGTAGAGCTTCACTAAAGATTAGCCAAGTACTCCAGCCGGGATTTGAATCTAGGCAGTTTTAACCTAGTGCCCATGTTCTTGTACATCATGTTACTCTTTCATCATGTTTTCTGGTCAGGATGTCAGGGATAATAGTTATGCAAGATTATTTGAAAGAGAGAGAGTAGGATTCTAGAAGGTGTGTTGGGAGGTGACTACATTTTTGAATATTTTAAAGTAGAATTGGAACTTTCAGAAGCAGAACATCAGGCAATATTATATAAATTTAACATTCTGAAAAAAAGTCAAAGCTAGTGTGTTAAACAGAATAATGGCTTCTCAAAAACATCCACATCTTAATCCCCAGATCTGTGAATATGTTACCTTACATGACAAAGGATTTCACACAGGTGATTAAGTTAAAATCTTTTTTTTTTTTTTTTTTTTTTTTTACTTTTCTTTTTTTTTTTTATTATACTTTAAGTTTTAGGGTACATGTGCACATTGTGCAGGTTAGTTACATATGTATACATGTGCCATGCTGGTGCGCTGCACCCACTAACTCGTCATCTAGCATTAGGTATATCTCCCAATGCTATCCCTCCCCCTCCCCCCACCCCACCACAGTCCCCAGAGTGTGATATTCCCCTTCCTGTGTCCATGTAATCTCATTGTTCAATTCCCACCTATGAGTGAGAATATGCGGTGTTTGGTTTTTTGTTCTTGCGATAGTTTACTGAGAATGATGGTTTCCAGTTTCATCCATGTCCCTACAAAGGACATGAACTCATCATTTTTTATGGCTGCATAGTATTCCATGGTGTATATGTGCCACATTTTCTTAATCCAGTCTATCATTGTTGGACATTTGGGTTGGTTCCAAGTCTTTGCTATTGTGAATAATGCCGCAATAAACATACGTGTGCATGTGTCTTTATAGCAGCATGATTTATAGTCATTTGGGTATATACCCAGTAATGGGATGGCTGGGTCAAATGGTATTTCTAGTTCTAGATCCCTGAGGAATCGCCACACTGACTTCCACAATGGTTGAACTAGTTTACAGTCCCACCAACAGTGTAAAAGTGTTCCTATTTCTCCACATCCTCTCCAGCACCTGTTGTTTCCTGACTTTTTAATGATTGCCATTCTAACTGGTGTGAGATGATATCTCATAGTGGTTTTGATTTGCATTTCTCTGATGGCCAGTGATGATGAGCATTTTTTCATGTGTTTTTTGGCTGCATAAATGTCTTCTTTTGAGAAGTGTCTGTTCATGTCCTTTGCCCACTTTTTGATGGGGTTGTTTGCTTTTTTCTTGTAAATCTGTTTGAGTTCATTGTAGATTCTGGATATTAGCCCTTTGTCAGATGAGTAGGTTGCGAAAATTTTCTCCCATGTTGTAGGTTGCCTGTTCACTCTGATGGTAGTTTCTTTTGCTGTGCAGAAGCTCTTTAGTTTAATTAGATCCCATTTGCCAATTTTGGCTTTTGTTGCCATTGCTTTTGGTGTTTTGGACATGAAGTCCTTGCCCATGCCTATGTCCTGAATGGTAATGCCTAGGTTTTCTTCTAGGGTTTTTATGGTTTTAGGTCTAACGTTTAAATCTTTAATCCATCTTGAATTGATTTTTGTATAAGGTGTAAGGAAGGGATCCAGTTTCAGCTTTCTACATATGGCTAGCCAGTTTTCCCAGCACCATTTATTAAATAGGGAATCCTTTCCCCATTGCTTGTTTTTCTCAGGTTTGTCAAAGATCAGATAGTTGTAGGTATGCGGCGTTATTTCTGAGGGCTCTGTTCTGTTCCATTGATCTATATCTCTGTTTTGGTACCAGTACCATGCTGTTTTGGTTACTGTAGCCTTGTAGTATAGTCTGAAGTCAGGTAGTGTGATGCCTCCAGCTTTGTTCTTTTGGCTTAGGATTGCCTTGGCGATGCGGGCTCTTTTTTGGTTCCATATGAACTTTAAAGTAGTTTTTTCCAATTCTATGAAGAAAGTCATTGGTAGCTTGATGGGGATGGCATTGAATCTGTAAATTACCTTGGGCAGTATGGCCATTTTCATGATATTGATTCTTCCTACCCATGAGCATGGAATGTTCTTCCATTTGTTTGTATCCTCTTTTATTTCCTTGAGCAGTGGTTTGTAGTTCTCCTTGAAGAGGTCCTTCACATCCCTTGTAAGTTGGATTCCTAGGTATTTTATTCTCTTTGAAGCAATTGTGAATGGGAGTTCACTCATGATTTGGCTCTCTGTTTGTCTGCTGTTGGTGTATAAGAATGCTTGTGATTTTTGTACATTGATTTTGTATCCTGAGACTTTGCTGAAGTTGCTTATCAGCTTAAGGAGATTTTGGGCTGAGACAATGGGGTTTTCTAGATAAACAATCATGTCGTCTGCAAAGAGGGACAATTTGACTTCCTCTTTTCCTAATTGAATACTTTTTATTTCCTTCTCCTGCCTGATTGCCCTGGCCAGAACTTCCAACACTATGTTGAATAGGAGTGGTGAGACAGGGCATCCCTGTCTTGTGCCAGTTTTCAAAGGGAATGCTTCCAGTTTTTGCCCATTCAGTATGATATTGGCTGTGGGTTTGTCATAGATAGCTCTTATTATTTTGAAATACATCCCATCAATACCTAATTTATTGAGAGTTTTTAGCATGAAGGGTTGTTGAATTTTGTCAAAGGCTTTTTCTGCATCTATGGAGATAATCATGTGGTTTTTGTCTTTGGCTCTGTTTATATGCTGGATTACATTTATTGATTTGCATATATTGAACCAGCCTTGCATCCCAGGGATGAAGCCCACTTGATCATGGTGGATAAGCTTTTGGATGTGCTGCTGGATTCGGTTTGCCAGTATTTTATTGAGGATTTTTGCATCAATGTTCATCAAGGATATTGGTCTAAAATTCTCTTTTTTGGTTGTGTCTCTGCCCGGCTTTGGTATCAGAATGATGCTGGCCTCATAAAATGAGTTAGGGAGGATTCCCTCTTTTTCTATTGATTGGAATAGTTTCAGAAGGAATGGTACCAGTTCCTCCTTGTACCTCTGGTAGAATTCGGCTGTGAATCCATCTGGTCCTGGACTCTTTTTGGTTGCTAAACTATTGATTATTGCCACAATTTCAGATCCTGTTATTGGTCTATTCAGAGATTCAACTTCTTCCTGGTTTAGTCTTGGGAGAGTGTATGTGTCGAGGAATGTATCCATTTCTTCTAGATTTTCTAGTTTATTTGTGTAGAGGTGTTTGTAGTATTCTCTGATGGTAGTTTGTATTTCTGTGGGACCGGTGGTGATATCCCCTTTATCATTTTTTATCGTGTCTATTTGATTCTTCTCTCTTTTTTTCTTTATTAGTCTTGCTAGTGGTCTATCAATTTTGTTGATCCTTTCAAAAAACCAGCTCCTGGATTCATTGATTTTTTGAAGGGTTTTTTGTGTCTCTATTTCCTTCAGTTCTGCTCTGATTTTAGTTATTTCTTGCCTTCTGCTAGCTTTTGAATGTGTTTGCTCTTGCTTTTCTAGTTCTTTTAATTGTGATGTTAGGGTGTCAATTTTGGATCTTTCCTGCTTTCTCCTGTGGGCATTTAGTGCTATAAATTTCCCTCTACACACTGCTTTGAATGCGTCCCAGAGATTCTGGTATGTTGTGTCTTTGTTCTCTTTGGTTTCAAAGAACATCTTTATTTCTGCCTTCATTTCGTTATGTACCCAGTAGTCATTCAGGAGCAGGTTGTTCAGTTTCCATGTAGTTGAGTGGCTTTGAGTGAGATTATTAATCCTGAGTTCTAGTTTGATTGCACTGTGGTCTGAGAGATAGTTTGTTATAATTTCTGTTCTTTTACATTTGCTGAGGAGAGTTTTACTTCCAACTATGTGGTCAATTTTGGAATAGGTGTGGTGTGGTGCTGAAAAAAAATGTATATTCTGTTGATTTGGGGTGGAGAGTTCTGTAGATGTCTATTAGGTCCGCTTGGTGCAGAGCTGAGTTCAATTCCTGGGTATCCTTGTTGACTTTCTGTCTCGTTGATCTGTCTAATGTTGACAGTGGGGTGTTAAAGTCTCCCATTATTAATGTGTGGAAGTCTAAGTCTCTTTGTAGGTCACTCAGGACTTGCTTTATGAATCTGGGTGCTCCTGTATTGGGTGCATATATATTTAGGATAGTTAGCTCCTCTTGTTGAATTGATCCCTTTACCATTATGTAATGGCCTTCTTTGTCTCTTTTGATCTTTGTTGGTTTAAAGTCTGTTTTATCAGAGACTAGGATTGCAACCCCTGCCTTTTTTTGTTTTCCATTTGCTTGGTAGATCTTCCTCCATCCTTTTATTTTGAGCCTATGTGTGTCTCTGCACGTGAGATGGGTTTCCTGAATACAGCACACTGATGGGTCTTGACTCTTTATCCAACTTGCCAGTCTGTGTCTTTTAATTGGAGAATTTAGTCCATTTACATTTAAAGTTAATATTGTTATGTGTGAATTTGATCCTGTCATTATGATGTTAGCTGGTGATTTTGCTCGTTAGTTGATGCAGTTTCTTCCTAGTCTCGATGGTCTTTACATTTTGGCATGATTTTGCAGCGGCTGGTACCGGTTGTTCCTTTCCATGTTTAGCGCTTCCTTCAGGAGCTCTTTTAGGGCAGGCCTGGTGGTGACAAAATCTCTCAGCATTTGCTTGTCTGTAAAGGATTTTATTTCTCCTTCACTTATGAAGCTTAGTTTGGCTGGATATGAAATTCTGGGTGGAAAGTTCTTTTCTTTAAGAATGTTGAATGTTGGCCCCCACTCTCTTCTGGCTTGTAGGGTTTCTGCCGAGAGATCCGCTGTTAGTCTGATGGGCTTCCCTTTGAGGGTAACCCGACCTTTCTCTCTGGCTGCCCTTAACATTTTTTCCTTCATTTCAACTTTGGTGAATCTGACAATTATGTGTCTTGGAGTTGCTCTTCTCGAGGAGTATCTTTGTGGCGTTCTCTGTATTTCCTGAATCTGAACGTTGGCCTGCCTTGCTAGATTGGGGAAGTTCTCCTGGATAATATCCTGCAGAGTGTTTTCCAACTTGGTTCCATTCTCTCCATCACTTTCAGGTACACCAATCAGACGTAGATTTGGTCTTTTCACATAGTCCCATATTTCTTGGAGGCTTTGCTCATTTCTTTTTATTCTTTTTTCTCTAAACTTCCCTTCTCGCTTCATTTCATTCATTTCATCTTCCATTGCTGATACCCTTTCTTCCAGTTGATCGCATCGGCTCCTGAGGCTTCTGCATTCTTCACGTAGTTCTCGAGCCTTGGTTTTCAGCTCCATCAGCTCCTTTAAGCACTTCTCTGTATTGGTTATTCTAGTTATACATTCTTCTAAATTTTTTTCAAAGTTTTCAACTTCTTTGCCTTTGGTTTGAATGTCCTCCCGTAGCTCAGAGTAATTTGATCGTCTGAAGCCTTCTTCTCTCAGCTCGTCAAAATCATTCTCCATCCAGCTTTGTTCCGTTGCTGGTGAGGAACTGCGTTCCTTTGGAGGAGGAGAGGCACTCTGCGTTTTAGAGTTTCCAGTTTTTCTGTTCTGTTTTTTCCCCATCTTTGTGGTTTTATCTACTTTTGGTCTTTGATGATGGTGATGTACAGATGGGTTTTCGGTGTGGATGTCCTTTCTGTTTGTTAGTTTTCCTTCTAACAGACAGGACCCTCAGCTGCAGGTCTGTTGGAATACCCTGCAGTGTGAGGTGTCAGTGTGCCCCTGCTGGGGGGTGCCTCCCAGTTAGGCTGCTCGGGGGTCAGGGGTCAGGGACCCACTTGAGGAGGCAGTCTGCCCATTCTCAGATCTCCAGCTGCGTGCTGGGAGAACCACTGCTCTCTTCAAAGCTGTCAGACAGGGACATTTAAGTCTGCAGAGGTTACTGCTGTCTTTTTGTTTGTCTGTGTCCTGCCCCCAGAGGTGGAGCCTACAGAGGCAGGCAGGCCTCCTTGAGCTGTGGTGGGCTCCACCCAGTTCTAGCTTCCCGGCTGCTTTGTTTACCTAAGCAAGCCTGGGCAATGGCGGGCGCCCCTCCCCCAGCCTCGCTGCCGCCTTGCAGTTTGATCTCAGACTGCTGTGCTAGCAATCAGCGAGACTCCGTGGGCGTAGGACCCTCCGAACCAGGTGTGGGATATAGTCTCGTGGTGCGCCGTTTTTTAAGCCGGTCTGAAAAGCACAATATTCGGGTGGGAGTGACCCGATTTTCCAGGTGCGTCTGTCACCCCTTTCTTTGACTCGGAAAAGGAACTCCCTGACCCCTTGCGCTTCCCAGGTGAGGCAATGCCTCGCCCTGCTTCGTCTTGTGCATGGTGCGCGCACCCACTGGCCTGCACCCACTGTCTGGCACTCCCTAGTGAGATGAACCCAGTACCTCAGATGGAAATGCAGAAATCACCCGTCTTCTGCGTCGCTCACGCTGGGAGCTGTAGACCGTAGCTGTTCCTATTCGGCCATCTTGGCTCCTCCCCTAAAATCTTGAGATGGGAGATTATATTGGATTTTCTGAGTGTGCTCAAAGTAATCACAAGAGTCCCTATAAGGGAAAGAAAGAAGGAAATGTGATGGTGGAAGTAAGCAGAGGTTTGAGAAACAAGAAGAAATTTGAAGATTCTACACTGCTGGCTTTGAAGATGAGGAAGGGGCCAAGAGCCAAGGAAAGCAAGTAGCCTCTAGAAGCTGAAAAGGCAAGAAAACAAATTCTACCCCACAATCTGCAGAAGGAACACAGCACAGTCAACTGATTTTTGACTTCTGACCTTAAGACTTATAAGATAATAAATCTTTATTGTTTTAAGCCATTAAATTTGAGGTACTTTATTATAGCAGTGATAGGAAACTAATACAGCCATAATAGATTTGGGAATTCATTTAAAGAGATTTGATAATTGATGCTGGAGGGCTGGTGAGATTGTCCAGTGAGGAAAAGTAAAGTGAAATGGGAAGGGCTAAAGAGCGAGCACAGGACAATTATAAATTGTCTTCAAGAACAAGGCAAAGGAACAGGGCACAGGCAATGGTGAGAGAGTTAGGGGGCAACTTTGTAAGAGGAGAGCTAGGATTGGGCTAGGCATAGATCTGCTGTGGTCTTGGTGCTACTCATTCTGGAAGGAGTGGCGAACTTGATCTATAGACCAATCACAAAAATAAAAACCTAAGGAAAACAGAACATACAGGTGTGGAACTCTGACCCAGCAAGCTCAGTAATGATAATAATAATAATAACCAATACTTTATTAACAGATTACCATGTACTGGGTAATATTGTAAGGGCTTTACATGTGTTCATATTTTTCAACATTACAACAAATCGCTAAGATATGTACTATTATTAACTTACGTTCATAAATAAGGAAATTATTTGTGACAAAGAAAAATTTTAAATGAAAGCTAAGGTAAAAACCAGGTTGTCCAGCACAGAGTCAACACTCCTAAGCCCAATGCAGATTAATATCTGAGAGAAATGCAAAATAATAAGGCCATTCTGAGTTCAAATTTCTGTTAATCCACTTAATAGATGTACAAATTCGGATAATTTTTATTCTTTTTGAACTTCTTCTTTCTTGTTTTAAAATAAATCTATGAATAGTAGTACCTATTTCATATGGTCAGCGTGAGGTGTACCGACACTGACTGGTTGCAGATAATAGACACTTAACTCAGAACAGCTTAAACCACCCTCTAATCCCACTAAAATAGAAGAGATGGACTTATTGGAAGTGTCTGGGGTGGTTCTCAACATAGAAAGAGGATGAGGAATTCTTGAGAAGGGAAGAAACCAAAACATCTTTGGGGATCCCAGCAATTCAAACATCAAAATTATTTCTGCTGGTCTCTCATCCCAGCTTCTATCATCATGTAAAATGTGTCCTCTTCTACAGAAGGAGATCAATAGCATAGCCAGATTAGAACCCTAACAACTTGGTTATGTCTTTACACTTCATTTTCTCATTTTCTTCGAGACTCTGCTAAAATACCGCCACTTGAAAGAACTGATCATCCTATGTAAAATAATACCCCTGGCATTCTATCCATTTTCTAGGTTCTGTTTTCTTCTAAGCATTTATCACTACTTGGTATTCTATTATGATTCTATTATATATTTATTGGTGGTTGTCTGTATTCTACACTAGTATGTAAGTTCCATGAGAACAGGGACTTGATCTGTGTGCTTAACTACCTGGCACATAGTACCATTCAAATCTCGGTTGGATGAATTAAATTACTGAATTATTGTGTGCTTACTATATGCCAAGCACAATTCTAGAGGCTTGGCATACATCAAAGATCTTTGCTTTTGTGTAATTCACTTTAGGTGGGGATCTTGGGGGAAGAAAGCAAGCAAGCAATAACTGTAATATTAAAGTATATTTGTAAGTGTGTTTGAAGATGACAAATTCCATGAAACAAGAAGAGAGTACAGTTGGGGGAGGGAGAGGTATCAGAAATGCCATAAAGGAAGACGGTTGCTAATTCCAAACTGAAACTTGAAGGTGAGACAGTGAATTATGTAAATATGGGAGGTGGAGGATGAGGAGTGTTTTGGGCAGAGCACACAGCCAGTGCAAAGGCTTAAGGCTGGAACTTGACTGAATTTGTTGCTACTGTGACTGAGTGGAGTGAGGGAGAAATTAGAGGTAGGAGTTGAGGTAAAGAGGATCATAGGCAAGGGAGAAACGGAGGACTTGTTCACCAAGAGCCTTGAGACTCACTCTAAATATCTGAACAAGGAAGGGATATGATTTTGCTGAATGAAGAAATTAATGATCATAAAAAATGAAAAATATATATCATTATAGCTCCAGGTTTTTTTTTAATCTTGAGAATGACTGAGTGGCTCTATTCTGAACTTGTGTATATTTCTGAACAAATCCCATGGCCATGACCAGAAACCTAGGTAGCAAGAGTAGCTCAAATTTGGTCAGTTGCCCCTTTCTCAGAAAATCTACAACAACAACAACAACAACAACAACAACAACAAATCAATTCAGTGTGTATAGAAAGGTGGGCTTGTAGTTTTTCAGTTTGGTAATATTTAGTTAGGTTGGAAAAGAAGGAATAGTTTCCCAAAGGTCAGAATTAGATTCCAGGGGAATAATTTGGCAAGCAGTAAATTTTAAATAAATTATAATGCTCTTTTACCTCTTTTAGACATTGGGAAACATTCTGTTGCACTCCTGGCATCAACTTTAGATTATCTTTTATTAAGCTCACTGTTCCAGGCATTGGGGACGTAAAATTAATTGACCAAGATATGCCTTCAAGAAGCTCACAGTTTAGCAAGAGAAAATACAAACAAATCACATTAATACGACATGCTCCTTGACCTAATGGACTAATGACGCACTGCCTGCTCTGGGGACATGCTGGATGGAATACTTAGCTCATTTTCATGAATCAGGGTTTCACAAAGCATTGTCCATGGATCACCTGTAACAGAATCTCCTAGGGGGTATTTATTAAAATACAGATTTCTGGGCTCCATTCCAAACCTACTGAATCAAAATCTCTACAGATAGGGCTTATGTATCAGCTTTTATAATAAAGCTCCTAATGATTCTTACCTAGATCGAAATTGAGAACTGCTGCCACATATTCTTTCTTCTAATGCTGTCTGGTAATAGTGCTGAGCATAAAACCAGCTGCGATGAGCTGGTTTACAGCTCAGCAGAGTGGCCAGGGAATTCAGATGATAGTCGCTCTGCCACAGGGTGTACAAGTCTGAAAACTCAGAACTGAAAATAGAGCAGCACAGGCCCCTAAGCTACTCTTCAGATTTTAAGCCAATGCTGTGGTTGCCTGTGTTTAGAACCTAAATATTACTGTGGGTGATGTGCTTCATTATTTTTTTATCGTCCGTTGTGACTTAATTATTTTGGAAACCACTAGGCTTTTGAGAAAGTCATTCTTTGACCACTGATATGCCAACTGTTGTTTCCCTCAGGGTCAAGTAGACTTAGTTATCCTGATTGACTGGATTGCCTGATAGGGGGTTGGTGGTTCAAACAATTTGTTCTTCACATAAAAAGAAAAAACCTCTTTCTCTCTCTCTTCTTAAATTTTTGGTCATAGGTCTTATTAATTTCACCCTACAAGAATTTATCTGTGAAATTCAGTTAGGAAATGGACTCTGATGATAGTCATTTCAGTCATCAGGACTTTTTGAGTCTTGTTTTGCAGGGTCACACATGTATGTCTTTGCCTTATTTTCACTGCCATTACCATGGTCTCTAGCCCTCATGCACCCAAATCTAGCTTGCTTCAACATATTCCTAGTAGTTCTCTTTGCCTTTCATTTACCTAGCCCCAAGATTCAGCAGTGTTGCCTGATAAAGATTCTTAAAGTGTCCCTTTCATAATGTCAATGTGTTTAGTTAGACTTATTGAGTCAAAGAACAGAGTTTTGCATTGACTAGGTTAAGTTCAAGGGGATTACTGGCAGCAATTTTCTATTCTCTTAGTTTCCTTTGTGGCCTATGTGGTTTCATGACATGCTTCTATCTGCAAGTTTCCTCTTTTTGACTCTTATACCTGAACAGTCCTTTATGGAGTCAGTTTGATTGGCTTAACTAATAGTCTTCACTTACACTAGGAGAATCTCTTCATTTATCCTGGGCTGGGCACCCACCCTGATCTAGTTAGTTGTCAGCCCAGTGCAAAGAACTATCTTTGCTTACTGGACAGGAGGCTCTGGGTGAGGGTACTTAAAACTTTCCAGCTCAAGAACTTAAAATGACATTCTGTTAAAGCCATAAAAATACTTACTTTCACTCCCTAGATTTAAGTTTTCCTGATGACATGACCCTTCCCTAAATTTTTGATTTTATTGCTAACTAATGTCCAATGTGTATTCACTGCCATAATCAAGCCAGTTTTATTTCAGTTGTTTCCACTTACTGTTCACGTTTCCACCTCTACTCTCTCATCCCTATTCCACAAAGCCATGCATCTCACTTATTTCCACCTATTGACACCTTATGCAACTAGCCACACCTTGCCCATTTCACAAGAATCAGCTTCAATTACCTTCATATAGATGCTCCAAGGATTTCGTCCCATGTTTACCCCTTATTTTCTCATTCTTTTTAAACATATAAGCACTATCTTATTAACTGTGTCTTATTTTTTATGCTCTTTATTTAGTGTGTTTTTATATAATTCTTTGTCCTCTAATTGGATTCTGTGTGTCAGCATTTGCTTAGCACTGTGCTCCTTATGTATTAGGACCATATATTATTGTGCTGTGTGGCATAGTGCCCAGCTCATTTCTGGACACATAACCCATGCTCAAATAATTACATTGTTAAATAATAAACAATGTAAAACAGGATAAGCCATTATTAAACAGGATAACCCTTAAATTGTTGCTACAAGGGTGATGATCAGTGATAACTCCTCAGAAAGTCAATAGGAAACTTGTTCTCAGTATGTGAACCCCTATCAACGAGTAATTATTTTTAACGAAAGACAGTCAACTTTTTATCCTTCCTAGTCACTGCATCTCAAAAAAGTAAATGTTGCTCTGGATAAAGCACAAAACAGAGAAAGGAAATTCCTTGAATTAAGTAGAGAACTTAGCTAAGGGGAAAGAAATAGGAAAGGAAAGGCATTTAAGCCAGAGAAATGGCTTAAACAAAAGTGTGGAAACAAGAACATTCAGGATGTGACCTGGAGTTCAGTTCCATAGAAGCAGAGATTTTACCCATGCTGGCCACTCCCACCTCCAAACTGGATGGTAAGGACCATGAGGACAAGAATTTTTCTGTCTCATACAACTCTTTATCTTCTACAGTGGATAGCATATTTTATGACCTCACTAAATATCTGTGGAAGGATGGGTCAAGTAAGAATGAACAAGCAAGATGTTTTTTTAATGAAGAGAAAATATTCTTCAGAGCTTACTGAAAGAATGCAAAACACCCACAGAAATAAATTTATATAAAATAAAATGTGTACATTTGAAAATTTTATTTTGACCTTGCTTGCCAAGGTTTCTTACAAAATGAGCAAACTAACATCATAACTCATGCTGTTGTATTCAAAGTTGCTCTATTAACTTGTGCCTGGGTTACTGGTATAAAAATTTCTCTCATCCAAGAGAGAACATTATGTTCTTTATCATAAAGTTTTTTTGATTGATTGTTATCCCTTATTATACGATTTTCTTTCCAGTACTTTTATGTATGGGTAACAGAACTAGATGGGTCTCACTCAGGTCAGAAGAACTTTTTCAGCACAGGTTATACTGGAAACTCAGTTTAAATTAACATAAGTCAAAAAGAGAACTTACTGTTTTGTGTAATTTTGTGTAACCTGGAAGTCAAGGTGGGATGTAGTTTCACGCACATTAGAATTTGGGGCTGTACTGATTCCATCAGGCCTTTCTCTTCATCCCTTGACTCTGCTTCTTGCTGTGTATCAGTTTAAATTCTTTCTACTCTGGATACACTTTTTGCATGTGGTTGGCTTAAAAAGGGTACCAGCTGGCACACAGTTCTCCATGTTCTTGACTTAGTAACATCAAAGGATATAGACTTTCTCTTCAACCTCTGCTTTCAGAAAAGACACTGATTGGCCCTATAAGACATGTAGTTTTAGGATTAGTCCCGTCTTTGTTGTCTCCCTTCCCCCGCTGACACTTCCACCCCCATGGCCAGAGTATGGTGGACACTACATGTAACAAACTGCAAGATGGCATATTAAAGGGATAATTCTAAAAAAAATGAAGCTGGATATTCCATATATGTCTACAAATATGATCTAATAATGAATATTATGCTTCCTAGAGTGGGAACAATGAGATAAGCAGCACACCGCCTGACATGGAATGCCATCTTAACAAGATTTATTTTTGCCCTGTGGTACTTTGTAAGATTGTATTTTGTGAAGATGACTGCAATAAATCTTCTGTTCCGCATATTTTTCTTCAATATGATCTTAACATTTTCCCGTCAAGAGGTAATGTCTAATTCCCCCCAGACTGCTGCCCCTCATCCCCAATCTGTACTATAACCAAGACAACAGGCCAGAGGTGGTGTTGCAGGACTCCTGAAGCTGGGTTAGAAGTAGTCTTTCAGTTTCTGCCATGGTATCTTGCAATGCTTGTGCTCAGAATGTTCCTCTAGAAACCCAGAAACCATACTGTGAGAAGCCATAGCCAAATTGCTTGCCCCCATGTAGATATTCTGTTTGACACTCTTAGCTAAGCTCAGCCTTCGAGTCATCCTAGCCCGGGCACCAGTTATGGGAGTGAATTAGTTATCTTGAAAGGGCATTCTGCAGCCCCAGCTTTTTCTGCATTGGGCCATTTATGTCACTCCCAACTGAGACTCCATTTACAAAGGAGGAAAGAATTTCTGACCCTGAAAAGTGATGTGCATACTAAAGTAGTGGTTGTTTTATACTGCTAAGTTTGGGTTGGTTTGTTATGCAGCAATAGATAACTGGGACATGCTCCATGCTCTTAGTGCCCAGCATGAGTTTTTGCACAGGATAGAAAATGAATTTTCCCCCTAACACTTGAAACATAATTATACCAGATGAGAAAGCCTGAAAACAATGTTATCAGAGAGATATTTAACAGTTAACAGTGGAGGAAATCAAACACGTTCTTTTAAAAGAATGAATCGTGAAGTCTTAAAGTCAGTGAAGAATATTAATTAATGGGGAGGAACATAAAAAATAAAACCCATGAACAGAGTTTAGTAATCAGCACGCATTTAGGAGAACAGTAAGAAATTGACATGATTGAAATATATGAAAGAGACTAGAGATAAATTTCAAAAGAGGGGGCACTTTATTTGGCCCTCGATGCTCTGTTAATAAGTTTCCATTTAGATAAGGACTAATAGGAGGGTGCTAAGTTTTATTCTTTCTGAAAGTTATATATCAAATATATATCAAATATGGTAAGAAAGATTGTCATTTTAACCATGTTTAAAATGACTAAGAGTGAGGAGTCCAGAAAAGCGGCAAAAGTAACAACCCCATCACACAGTGACTAGAACATCTGGCAGAAAACATGATGGGCATTGGGTACACTTAGAAAAGGTAGAAGAAAAACAAGTTTGTGCCCAATTGTAATTAGGGATTAATTATAACCTCCTGTTTCTTTCAGATGCTGAATTTCCATAATAATCCCATAGCATGACTATAGTTGGTAGTGAGGGACAATTGGGAAAAGAAGCTTATTTTGAGGGAATTTGAAGTGTTAGTAGTAAGAGATGTGGTTTTGTAAAGTAGCGGTAGAAACAAAGATGCTTTCTCATGGCATATTTGTGATCTTAGATTTTCCACACCTCTCTGTTCATCATGGCTTTCAAATGAGACTAAGGGAATGTGTTGTACTTGATGTAGTGAGCTCTTGCCTTAGGACTTCAAAATCCCAGTTACTAGCTATGTGATCTAGAGCAAGTAATGTTCCTGGAACTTAGTTTTAATATTGGGAACTATGAATTGACTGTTTATGGAAGAATCTGATGAATACATGTTTCATGTATTGTAAAATGTACAAATCGGCACATTTCATGAATATCTTTTATACAGATAAAAGATTGTTAATATGAAACTATATAGTTAGTTTTGGAGGACTCAAAAAATACATTAGAAAATTTCAGTTGTATCAAAAAAGTGTTTTTAGGGTAGAGCCCTGAGATATGTATAACCTGGGCTGGTATATGGATCTTATGTGGGGCTATCAAGAGAGGGGTGGTTCAGCTCAGATGGAAATTGGGGAACATGATTGGATGTTTGATCAGAATAGATGGATGTTGGATCAGAATAGATCCATTTTATAGATAAAGGAGCCAGAAATGAAAGTGAAGACAGCAAATTATAGATAGAGACTGTGCTTAGTCCAAAGGTAAGAATTGAGGAGTCAGTGAAGATCAATCAGAGAAACAGATTTATATAGATGAAAGGAATGAAATCAGAAAGATACCAGTGGGTATCAGTAGGAGAGTCAGAGATAGTAGTATGATCAATTTGCTTTATCTGTGGTCCTCTCGATGTGGGGCTTCCACCCTAAGGGTTTAAGGGGACATTTTCAGAGGTGATTACTTAGCTATTAAGAGATACATCTTTGTTCTTGCAAGTCTCAAAATTGTTGTACAAAATACTTTGACTAAGAGAATTTCTGTTCGTGTCTAACCTTAGACTCTACGAGCTAAGTAAATAGAATGGCTATTGTCCTAGTTGGCTTATTGCTCTACCTGGCATTATTGACAGCACCTTCTCAAGAGGGTAGGTGACACTGTAGACACCACGTGTAAAGCTTCTAATCTGCATCCCAAACCCCAACTATAGCTACTAACTGTAGTTTCATTTTCCCCTTTTGAAGTCGTGTTGCCACAGAAGAGGTTCCACCACGTTGCTTGTCTTCTTTGGATTGTTCATTCTATCAGCTTGGGTCCTCACTCTTTTTTTTGAAACTAGACAATGACTTTTCAAGGTTTTCTGATTCCACGCTCCACAGCCATGTGCCATCATTGCTCTATTCAAGCATTCTAATTTGGTTCTCACTGTCAGGGCCAAAACCTTAAAGGGATTAGTCCGCTATGGCAATTACATATACTGTTAGGTGATTGTTAATGTGGTCAGTTATATTTCAGGTCTAGCATTGAGATTATCTCTTATTTTCATGTGTTATTTGAGTGATGAAGCAGAACTTTATCATTACTAACTAACGCTGTGTATTTGAAAGTAAATAAACTTTAGATAGTGAATACAGCTTATGAATAGAAATATTTTCCACTTACAAATATTTATTCACTTTCCAACATTAGTGTGGCACATTTGTAATAATCAATGGATGAATATGGATACATTACTATTACCTAAAGTCTATAATTCATTCAGATTTCCTTACATTGTACCTAACGTCTTTTTTCTTTTCCAGGATTCTATCCAGTAAACCACATTCCATTTCATCACCATGTCTCCTTAGGCTTTGTTTGGCTGTGACAATTTCTCAACTTTCCTTGTTTTTGATGAGTTTAACAGTTTTGAGTAGTACTAGTCAAGGTTTATATGAAATATACCTCAATAGTGATATGTCTGATTTTTTTTTCATTACTCGTTTAGGATTATGGGTTTTTCGTAGGAAAATCATGAAGTGACATTCTTCTCATATCACGATTATAGACTACCAACATGACCTAGCACTGTTAATGACCTAGACCGCCTGACTGAGGTAGTGTGTACAGGTTTCTCCACTGTGAAGTTACTCTCTCCTCTTCCTTTTCACAGCATGAAGTTGGAAGTTACTCCACACTGTCTACAGGGGATGAGTGGATAGATAAACTCTACTCCTTGAATAGTAATATTTACATACATTATTTGTAATTCTTATGTATGAAAAGTTTGTTTAATCTCTCCTATTTTTAAATTATTTAGTCAATCATTTATTTATATCAGTATGACTGCAGGAATATTAATTTCATACACAGCTATATTCCAGTGCTACTTTATTTACTTATTTATAAAATAAGTTTAATTTTTACAGACATTTTAGGTTCACAGTAAAATTGGGAGGAAATTACAGAATTCCCATATCCCCGCCTCCCTGACACATTCACAGCCTCTTCCACTGTCAGTATCACTAACCTGAAGGGTACATTTGTTGGAAATGATGAACCTATATTGACACATAATTATCACAAAAAGTCCATGTGTTACATTAGGATTCACTCTTGGTGTTGTATATTCTGATTTTGACAAATGAATAATGATAAGTAGCCAATATTATGGTATCACATAGAATAGTTTCACTGCTTTAAAATTCCTCTGTGCTCCACTTATTCATCTTTCTTTCCCGCTAACTCCGGCAACCACTGATCTGTTTATTGTCCCCATCATTTTGCCTTTTTCCAGAATGTCATATAGTTGGATCATACAGTATGTAGCCCTTTACGATTCACTTTTCTCACTTAGTAATATGCATTTACAGTTTCTCTATGCCTTTTCATGGCTTGATACCTCATTTCTGTTCAACACTGAAGAATATTTCAGTGTTTGGATGTACCATAGTTTGTTTATACATTCATATACCAAAAGAACATCTTGGTTGCTTCCAAGTTTTGACAATTATGAAGAAAACTTCTGTAAACATTTATGAATGGGTTTTTATGTGGATGTAAACTGTTTTTTTTTTTTAGGCGGAGTTTCTCTCTTGTTGCCCAGGCTGAAGTGCAATGGCATGATCTTGGCTCACTGAAACCTGTGCCTCCCAGGCTCAAGTGATTCTCCTGCCTCAGCCTCTGAGTAGCTGGGATTACAGGTGCCAATGAAAACTTCCAAACGTTTTAGGTAAAAACCAAGAAACACAATTGTTGGATTGCATGGTAAGAGTATATTTGGTTTTGTAAAAAACTGGTGAACTGTTTCTAAGTGGCTGTACTATTTTGCATTCCCACTAGCAATGAATGAAAGCTCTTGTTTCTCCACATTCTTGTCAGTGTTAGGTGTTGTCAGTGTTTTGTATTTGGGCCATTCTGATAGTGTATATTGGTATATCATTTTATTTTCCAATTCTCTAGTGACATATGATGTTGAGCATCTTTTCATATATGTTTATTTGCCATACGTACATCTTCTTTGGTAAAGTGTTTGTATAGATCTTTGCACATTTTTAAAGGGGGTTGTTGAGCTTTAAGTGTCTTTTGTATACTACACTTTGGATAACAGTCCTTTATCAGATATGTCTTTTACAATTATTTTCTTCCAATCTGTGGCTTGTCTTATCTCGACAGTGTCTTTAAAAGAGAAGAAGTTTTTAAATTTAATGAAGTCTAGTTTATCAATTTTTTTCCCATGGATCATGTTTTTGGTGTTGTATCTAAAAATTCATCATCAAAGCCACACTTACCTAGATTTTCTTCTATGTTATATTCTGAGAGTTTTAAAGTTTTGCATTTTACATTTAGGTCTATGATCCATTTTGAGTTAATTTTTGTGAAGGATGTAAGGAATATATATATATTCTTTTTTTTTTGCCTATGATGTCCAATTGTTCCAGCACCATTTCACAAAAAGACTCTTTTCCCTATTGTATTGCCTTTGCTCCTTTGTTGAATATCATTTATCTATATTTGTGTCTCCTTATTTTGCTGTTCAAATTTGTCCAGCTTTGGCCTTTGGGAGCTATTTCAGTTGACTTCTGTGTCCCATTTGAAATATTCTTATTATTTTTTTCTTTATGAGAATTCTTTACTTTCTAGCACTACACAATACTCTAAGCTCAGTTTATGTATTTCTTGTCCCATTTCTAGAGTCAGCCATTTTTACAAGGAGCCCTGAATGTTTTTATTGGAGAGTAAGTATCTGAAGCTAAGAGCTGAGTGCTTGGTGTGCTCACTGCTACTGGGTTGTCATTGTTTTAGGTCCTCTCAGATGACAGAGCAAGGAAATAGATAAGTGTCTACTAACCTATGTATGTATACACACACATGTAAATATAGTTTTTTTCTCTGAGTAACCATGTATATCTACCTTAAGCGAATTTGTTCATAATAATGTCTCCCACTCTAGTGCATTACCATATTGTATTTTTCTCTAATTTTGTCATGAAGTCTCTCTCTGGAGAGTGGCTATAAACTCTAATTCTGTTTGATGGGGCTCCATAGATGTTCACTTGTGTCTTTCACAGAATACTTATTTATTCTCGTGGATGGTCTAATGCCTAGGTGTCCAACATGTGACCAGTTGTCTCTCTCACAGGAAATTTGTTTATACTGGCAGATGCCCTTATGACTCTTGCTGACCTGTGTTCAGCTTATTCTTACCAAGATAGGCATTCTCTAGAAGAGCCCTGACCATGAAAGAAGTTAGGTTTGGGAGTGGTGGTCAGGTGAGAAATGGTAGAAAACTCAACAAATCTCATGAAATAATAGAAGCAGTTTATACTTATAGATCCCAGAGAGAAGAGGGCAGCGTGCCTCGCAGGGCCAAATGGAAGGGGGAGCTGTCCAGGACACATGTTCTTAACCAGTGAATGAGAGCAAAAGAGAGGGGAACCTGTGGACTAAAGGCTTTATTGGGGTCCAGGGCATTACCCAAGCAGATTTGCTGTAAGGAGTCTAACGGGTAGGTTTATGTAAGCAGGCATGGGTTCCACAGAGTCACAGTGTGACTAAAAGGGGACCACTGCAGCATATCATCATGGTCCATGTGGGGTGTGGGGATCAGTGGAGTGAGTCAAGTAGGTTATTATCTAGCTGTTTCATAGGAAGGTGATCACTAGGAAGTGGTTATGTAAGGCAGATGTTTGGATCCACCATATTGAAAAACTGAGAATAAGTAGAGAACTGGAAAGTTTAGTCAAAGGTGACTATACCCTGCTTCTGATATGAGAAATTCCCACTTATATGCAAAATGGATGCTGAGGCAGCATAAAATTATAACATTTTACTACACATATATATCATTCTTGCTTTCTCTCCTTATTTAACTTTACCCCTAGTTAAACGACGTGAGAAATTTGGGTACTGCAGTCCACCATTCTTTGTTTAATTTTTGTACACATGTATGGTGGTTTCACAATTGTTAACCCATAGTCCATAGGAAACACTTTCATCAAATAAAATACAGTGCTTATGTACATTTCTTTTTTCCTTTAGTCTTGAAGACTCTACTTATTTCCAAAGTTACTTAGCTCAGTACCTTTTTCTTTCATCCCATTTCAATGAGATTGTTTTAATCAGTTGTAATAAAGTTATATTCTTTTGTCACACTGCATTATCTCCTGGGATTCCTCATTTCCTCAATGCTTCTTAAAAATTTGTATACATTAAGGTGTACTCTTTGTGCTGTTAATTTCTGTGGATTTTGACAAATTCATAGTGTTGCATATCTGTTATTAGAGTATCAGACAGGATAGTTTCACAGCTCTAAAAAAGCCCTTGTCTTTTACCTTTTCATAGACCTATCTCCCCATCATCTCCTGGCAACCACTGATCTGTTTACTATCCTTGAAGTTTTGCCTTTTCCAGAATGTCATATACATGGAATTATACCGTATGTAGTCTTTTCAGATTGGCTTCTTTCACTTAGCAGTATACTCTTAAGGTTCATCCATGTCTTTGTGTGGTTTCATAGTGCATTACTTTTAATAGCCAAAGAGCATTTGTATGAATGTCCCATAATTTGTTTATTCATTCACTTATTAAAGGACATATTGGTTATTACCTTTTTGGTGATTATGAATAAAGCTTCTATAAACATTCATGTGTAGGTTCATGTAGACATTACTTTTCAAATCAGTTGGGTAAACACCTAGGAGCACAATTGCTAGATCATATGGCAAAACTGTGTTTAGTTTTGTAAGAAACTGCCAGACATTTCTAGAGTGGTAGCATTGTAGTCCACCAGCAATGAATGAGAGTTCCTATTGCTCTGCATTCTTAACAGTAATTGGTATTGGCAGTTTTTTTGGATTTTAGCCGTTCTAATTAGTGTGTAGAGTATATCTCATTGTTGTTTTAATTTGTGTTTCCCTGATGACAAATGATTTTGAGCATATTTTCATATGCTTATTTGCCATATCTTTCTTGGTGAGGTGTCCAAATCTTTTGCCCATTTTAAATTGAATTCTTTGTTTTTTATTGTTGAATACTAGAGTTCTTTGGATATTTTGGATACGAGCCCTTTATCAGATAGGTGATTGCAAATATTTTCTCCCATTGTGCGCTTTCTTTTTATTCTCTAGACAGTATGCTAAGGAGAGCAGAAGTTTTCAATTTTAATAAGCTCCAACTTACCAGTTTTTTCTTTCATGGATTGTGTTTTTCTTGTTATATTTAAAAAACTCACCACCAAACTGAAGGTTATATGGCTTTTTCTCCCTTGTCTCCTATATTTTCTTATTTTCTCTCGGAAATGCTATAGTTTAGCATTTTATATTTAGGTCTATCATTTTTTTTTTTTTTTGGAAGAGTTTCGCTCTTGTCACCCAGCCTGGAATGCAATGGTGCGATCTCTCTGCTCACTGTAACCTCCACCTCCCGGGTTCAAGTGATTCTCCTGCCTCAGTCTCCTGAGGTAGCTGGGATTATAGGTGTCCATCACCATGCCCAGCTAATTTTTTTGTATTTCTAGTTGAGGCAGGGTTTCACCATGTTGGCCAGGCTGGTCCTGAACTCCTGACTTCAAGTGATGCATCCACCTCAGCCTACCAATGTACTTGGATTACAGGCATGATCCATTTTGAGTTAATTTTTGCGTAAGGTGTAAGTTCTGTTCTAGGTTCATGTTTTTATATAAACATCCAGTTATTCCAGTACTATTTGTTGAAAATACAGTGTTTTCTCCATTGAATTGCCTTTGTGCCTTTATCAAAATCAGTTGAATATATTTATGTGGGTCTATTTGTGGAGTCTAGCCAACTATATAGTGAGAAGACACAGTTCTCACAAAACTTCTCTCATTTAAGTCACCAGCCACAAGTTTCAGGTGTCCCCTAGACCACCTTCACTTCAGACCATTTGGCTACCATGATTGTTTTATGTTTCAAGTTTGCTAGGCTGTAATACCCAGATATTTAATCAAACACTAATATGGATGCTGACTTGAGGATATTTAGTAAATTTGATTAACATCTACAATCAAATTAATTCAAGAAAAATGAGATTACCCTCAATGATGTAGATGGGACTCATCCAATACACTGAAGGTCTCAAGAGTAAACACTGGTTTCTCAGAGAAGAAAAATATTTTGCTTTAAGACTGCCCATGCTGAGTTTTCAGCCAGCTGACCTGCCCTACAGATTTTGGACTCAAGACTGTGGCATTAACCCCTGCCTAATTTCCTAGCCTGCTGATGTGATCTATAAATTTTGGACTTGGCAGCTACCACATTGCATGAGCACTGGTTTTGAGTAAATGTCATATATATATATATATATACACACACACTCATATACACATGATTATGTGTACATATAAATATATATTAGACAACATATGTGATCTGTTTATAGTCTATATAAACTATAATTATATATATATAATATATGTCATATCATACATATAAAAATCTGTTTTTCTTGAGATTTCTGACATATATAGCTACAAATTCTGGGATCCCCACTACCAGTCACAGGTTTGATAATTGGCTAGAACAGCTAGAACTCAGGAACACACTGTACCTATAATATCTTTTATTATGACAAAAGTACACAAATTAAAATCAGCCAAGGGAAGTGATGCACAGGGCAGAGCCAGAAGGGGCCCCAACTTGAGACCCCTGGTTGTTCTCTTCCTGTGGGGTCATAAGCAGCGTTACTTCTCAGCCACAGTGTGTGACAATATACACTGAATATTGCCAACCAAAGAAGCTCACCTGAGCCTTTGTTGTTCACAGTTTTGATTGGGGCTTGATTACATACTTCAGTCTTCAGCTCCTCTCAGAGGTCAGGCTAATACTCTTAGTCTCTAGTTCTGCTGAATGTTAGAACTAATATAGCATGGCTCAAGTCTTCCACCAGAAATTACATTGTTACATTGTACCATGGCCAAAATCCCCAAGTCAACAAAGTCTCTCTTGCCAGATAAGACATTCTAGGGATGTATAGATCCCAGTAGTTGAAGGAAAAGTTCAGACTTTTCTTTGGGCAAGGTTAACTCTTTACTAGATAACACATAATGTAAGAAAAAAAATTGTGTGAATTTTAAATATCATAAAATTGAATTTAAATATGAGTGATAATTATGATACTGGTGTTCAAAAATACACACTTTGGCAGGGTGTAGTGGCTCATGCCCGTAATCCCAGCACTTTGGGAGGCCAAGAAGGGCAGATCGCTTGAGGCCATGAGTTTGAGAATAGCCTGGCCAAAATAGTGAAACCCCGCCTCTATCAAAAACACAAAAATTATCCCAGTGTGGTGGTGCGCACATGTAATCCCAGCTACTTGGTAGATGAAGCACAAAAATCCCTTGAACCTGGGAGGCAGAGGTTGCAGTGAGCAGAGATGGCTGCCACTGAACTCCAGCCTGGGTGACAGAGTGAGACTCTGTCTCAAAAAACAAAAAAATACTTTGAGATTTTACAAAATTTTACTGTCTTATTTTCTATCAGAAAATAAATTATATTTAAATACTTAGTAACACAAAGTTTTTAATAAGAAAACTATTAAAATTGGCCAATTTTTGTAATTAGGCCTCTTAGTTGTGTAAGGCTTTCTCCATTTTTATATGTGTATCTTAATAGGATGTTGTTTATCTCTCATATTGTAGGAATGTGAAGACCCTCACACATAGTCTTTACCTCACAGATATGTTCTACCAATAAGGGTTAGCTATTCTATAAAGTTATTCATCACTTATAAAATGATAATTTTTGTGTGTGCATGTTTTGAAATGACTGTGGCCTCCTCATTGGTTTCCAATAGCTTACAATGCTTTTTAAATGTCACCTCTTGAAAACTAGTTAAACTAAAACCAAAATAATTCTGTCTTCATGTCAAGCCTTTTAGTGCCTGTAGTGCCACCAAAAGGCAATCACCACTTACTTTGAGATTTAGCATATTAGGATCAGAGATGGTTAGCCTAATTAATCTGAAGGAGGCAGGCTAATTTTTTGATGGTGGTTATTTTCCCTTTAAAAATGAGAGGCATAAGCTATGGCTGAAGCTACATGATAATGTGTGCAATGTTCATAGGCTGTTTTTCTCAGGTGGTTTCAGAGAAAAACAGGATTTTTCACTCTTCCCCTATTCTCAAGCCGCCCCTGCTGGGTCAGCAGGGTGATTATGTCTGTTTCAGTAGTCTGCAATACTCTCATCTCACTTGGAAGTGTTGCATACAAATCATCCATTAAAAGAGTAGACTAAAAGATATCATTGAATGCTGTTTTAAG
The DNA here is from genome assembly GCF_000001405.40 of Homo sapiens. Lineage (NCBI taxonomy): Eukaryota > Metazoa > Chordata > Mammalia > Primates > Hominidae > Homo > Homo sapiens. The sequence goes on from NC_000001.11 coordinate 78,868,856, forward strand.
ATTCGGTAGATGCCTTTCCAATTTTGTGTAGCTTCAGGGGAGGCATCCCTGAAAACTGCCTTTATTTAAAGGTTCTCTTATTTCCTAATTCATAAATCCATTTTCTCTTAAACATCATTTCCCTTTTTTCTTTGTACACCATCATAGTGAAGCAGGGATACAAGACTTCTTTAATATCAGGGGCTGCATGCAGATTTTGAGTCAGTCATTTTGTGTTAAAACATTCTACAACTAAATCTGACCTACATGAAATTTAGTCTTAGTGTATAACCTGTTTTGGGTCATAGGCTTTGACTTAGTTGTCACGGAAAGAGAAAGTATGACATAGTTTATGTGACAGATCTTTTAGTCTCACTAAATATGTCAAATTTAAAAATACATTTCTTATATTTATAAACTTTTCTTCCTAATTTTTCTGATATTAAATAATTGTCTTATTTTTGGCTAGACTACTATGTTGAAATACTATTCTTTAAATAACAGCTGCCTACAGCAGTGCCAAAATTGTATACAATTACGTAACTTTAATAATATTTGAGTATGTATTCATTTACTTTACTGAACATTAGCTAATTCACATTTGTTTAGAAAACATTATACTATTACCAGTCTTGTACAATTATTATAGTTAAAATAGTAAATATAATTTAAAATAACATAAAAATAATTTGTTTGCCATTTTATAAGAAGAAAATGTGTTCCTTTAAAGTTTAGATTTATAGTTTTTTTGGAGAACTAAATATTCATGTTCTATACTTGAAACTATTTTTAAAGTTATTAAGTGAATGAAAGAAAAACATTTGTAGGTTTTAACACTGACTAGATTTACAACCTTGAATATAATAGTAAGATCAGTTTATTTGTAAAAGTTCATCAAGCTTGATGTTTGTCTGTATATTGAGTAGGGCAAGATTTTAACTGAATTTTTCCCACTATGCTACATATAAGGAATAGAACTCTGGGCTCTCAATCACACAATCATTTGTTATGTTCTTTGGTTAAGGATTCTTCAAAAAGCTACTAAGTCATCTTTTGCCAGCATTACAAAAGAGCTATATTCCTTGATTAATTGAATGCAAAGGAATATTATTTCACATCCAGATGATACTTGGCTTTCAGTTTATTCTCAAGTCAAATACTACTCACTATTTCTCAACAACCCATCTTTTGGCATGTCTTAGTCCATTCTTGGTTCTTGTATTGCTATAAAAGAATACCTGAGACTGGATAATTTATAAGGAAAAGTGGTTTATTTTGGCACATGTTTCTTCTGGCTGTACAGGAATTGTGATGCTGGTATCTGCTTTTGTTGAGGCCTCAGGAAGCTTCCAGTCATGACAGAAGAAGAAGGAGCAGGCATATCACATAATGAGAGCAGGAGCAAGAGATGGAGGTGTGGGGAGGTTCCATACTCTTTTCAACAACTAGATATCACATGAGTTAACTGAGAAAGAACTCACTTACCACCAAGGGGATGTTAAGCCGTTTATGAAGGATCCACCTCCATAATCCAATCACCTCCCACAAGACCCTCCTCCAACATTGGGGGTTACATTTCAACATGAGATTTGGAGGCAATAGACATCTAAACCACATAATTCTACCTCTGGCTTGCTCCTCAAACCTCATGCTTTTCTTCCATTGTGAAAAGAACAATCATCCCTTCTCAATAGTTTCCCCAAATCTTAACTCATTCCAGCATCAATGAAAAGTCCAAAGTCCAAAGTTTCATCTCAGCACACATGAGCCTGTGTGCTCCATGAGACTCCTTCCACATATGAGCCTGTAAAATGAAAACTATGTTATTTACTTCCAAGATATAATGATGGTATACTCATTGACTAGACATTCCCATTCCAAAAGGGAGAAATAGGCCAAATAAAGGGTCAGTAGGCCCCAAACAAGTCTGAAGCCAGGCAGAGTGATCATTAAATCTTAAATCTCCAAAATACTATTCTTTCACTTCATGTCTTGCATCCAGGGAACATTTATGCAAGGGGTAGGCTCCCAAGGACCTGCGCAGCTCTGCCCCTTTAGCTTTGCAGGGTGTAGCCCCCATGGCTGCTTTCATAGGTTGGAGTATGGTGCCTGTGACTTTTCCAGGCTAAGAGTGCAAGGTACTGGTGTTTCTACCTTTCTTGGGTCTGAGGGTTGCAGCCCATTTCCTGCAGCTCCACTAGGCAGTATCCCAGTGGGGACTCTGTTTGGGGGCTCCAACGCTACATTTCTCCTCTGTACTGCTCTAGTAGAGGCTCTCTGTGAGGGTTATGCCCCTGTGGCAGGCTTCTGTCTGGGCACCCAGACTTTTTCATACATTCTTTGAAATCTACAGGGAAGCTACCAGGCCTCCTTCATGCTTGCATTTGTGCACCTACAAATTTCATGCCATGTGGAAGCTGCCAAGGCTTAGGGCTTGTGCCCTCTGGAGTAGTGGCCTGAACTGTCTGGGGCCCTTTGAGCTGTGGCTGGAGTTAGACTAGCCAGGGTTCAGGAAACAGTGTCTTGAGGCTGAGCAGGACAACAGGGCCCTGGGCCTGTCTCCTGAAACCATTCTTCCCTTTTAGGCCTCTGGGCCTGTGATAGGAGGGGCTGGCTTCAATATCTCTGAAATGCCTCTGAAACCTTTTCCATTGTCTTGGATATTAGCACTCTAGCTCCCTTTTAATCATGCTAATCTCTACAGCTAGTGATCGTTCCATAGCCTGCTTGTATTGCTCTCCTGAAAATGCTTTTTTCTTTCTTTACCACATAGCTAGGCTGCAAATCCTTCAAACATTCACCCTCTGCTACCCTTTTAAATTTAAGTTCCAACTGTAAGTTATTTCTTTGCTTCAGTATCTGATCATAGGCTGCTAGAAGTAGCCAGGCCACATCTTGAATGCTTTGCTCCTTAGAAATTTCTTCCACCGGATTCCCTAAGTTATCACTCTTAAGTTCAAACTTCTACAGATCCCTAGGACATGGACACAATGCAGCCAAGTTCTTTGCTACAGCATAACACAGGTGACCTCTACTATAGTTTCCAATAAAGTTCTCACTTCCGTCTGAGACCTTGTCAGCCTGGCCTTCACTGTCAATATTTCTATTAGCATTTTGGTTACAACCCCTTAAAAAGTCTCTAAGAAGTTCCAAACTTTCCCTTGTCTTCCTGTATTCTTTTGAGACCTCCAAATTCTTCCACCCTCTGCCCATTACCCAGTTCCAAAGCTGCTTCCACATTTTCAGATATCTTTATAGCAATGCCCCACTCCTCAGTATTAATTTTCTGTGTTAATCTGTTTACGTGTTGCTATAAAGAAATACTTGAGACAGGGTAATTTATAAAGAAAAGTGTCAGGCCTCTGAGCCCAAGCTAAGCCATCATATCCCTTGTGACCTGCACGTATACATCCAGACGGCCTGAAGCAACTGAAGATCCACAAAAGAAGTGAAAATAGCCTTAACTGATGACATTCCACCATTGTGATTTGTTTCTGCTCCACCCTAACTGATCAATGTACTTTGTAATCTCCCCCACCCTTAAGAAGGCTCTTTGTAATTCTCCCCACCCTTGAGAATGTACTTTGTGCGATCCACCCCTTGTCCACAAAACATTGCTCCTAATTCCACCATCTACCCCAAAATCTATAAGAACTAATGATAATCCCATCACACTTTGCTGACTCCTTTTTCAGACTCAGCCAGCCTGCACCCAGGTGAAATAAACAGCCTTGTTGCTCACACAAAGCCTGTTTGGTGGTCTTTTCACATGGACACGTGAGACATTTGGTGCCAAAGACCTGGGTCAGCGGGACTCCTTTGGGAGACCAGTCCCCTGTCCTCACCCTCACTCCATGAAGAGATCTATCTATGACCTCGGGTCCTCAGACCAACCAGCCCAAGGAACATCTCACCTATTTTAAATTGGGTAAGCAGTCTCTTTTTACTCTCTTCTCCAACCTCTCTCACTATCCCTCAACCTCTTTCTCCTTTCAATCTTGGCACCACCCTTCAATCTCTCCCTTCTCTTAATTTCAATTCCTTTCATTTTCTGGTAGACAAAGGAGACACATTTTATCTGTGGACCCAAAACTCCGGCGCCGGTCACAGACTCAGGAAGGCAGCCTTCCCTTGGTGTTTAGTCATTGTGGGGATGCCTGCTTGATTATTCACCCACATTTCAGAGGTGTCTGATCATGTGGGAATGCCTGCCTTGGTCATTCATCCTTAGCAGCAAGCTCCACTTTTCGGGGGGGCAAGCACCCCCCACCCCTTCTCCCATGTCTCTACCCTTCTCTTTAAACTTGCCTCCTTCACTATGGGCAACCTTCCACCCTCCATTCCTCCTTCTTCTCCCTTAGCCTGTGTTCTCAAGAACTTAAAACCTCTTCAACTCTCGCCTGACCTAAAATCTAAGCATCTTATTTTCTTCTGCAACGCTGCTTGGTCCCAATACAAACTCGACAATGGTTCTAAATGGCCAGAAAAAGGCACTTTTGATTTCTCCATCTTACGAAATTTTTGTCGAAAAATGGGCAATTGGTCTGAGGTGCCTTACATCCAGGCATTTTTCACACTTTGTTTCCTCCCTAGTCTCTGTTCCCAATGCAACTCATCCCAAATCCTCCTTCTTTCCCTCCCGCCTGTCCCTTCAGTCCCAACCCCAAGTGTCGCTGAGTCTCGTGAATCTTCCTTTTATACTGACCAATCTGACCTCTCACCTCCTCCCCAGACTGCTCCTCCTCAGGTCGCTCCCCGCCAGGCTGAATCAGGCTCCAACTCTTCTTCAGCCTCTGCTCCCCAACCCTATAACCCTTCTATTACCTCCCCTCCCCACACCCAGTCTTGTTTACAGTTTCATTCTGTGACTAGCTCTCCCCAACCTGCCCAACAATTTTCTCTTAGAGAGGTGGCTGGAGCTGAAGGCATAGTCAGGGTACATGTGCCTTTTTCTCTATCAGACCTTTCCCAAATCAGCCAGCATTTAGGTTCTTTCTCATCAGACCCCACTAAATATGTACAGGAATTCCGATATCCTACAATTTAACCTGGAGTGACTTAAATGTCATCCTAACTTCTACCCTCTCCCCAGATGAACAGGAAAGAGTTTTTTCTCTAGCCCAATCTCATGCTGACAACTGCCAGCTCCATGAGCCAGACCTCCAGGAAGGCATTAGAGCAGTTCCCCAAGAGGATCCCCAATGGAACTATCAGGCAGATTCCCCAGGTATAGCTAGTTGAGATTACATGATTTCCTGCCTAGTTGAAGGGTTTAAAAAGGCAGTTTACAAAGCTGTTAATTATGACAAGCTTAAAGAAACTACCCAAGGTAAAGATGAAAACCGAGCCTAGCTCATGGCCCGCTTAGCAGCAACCCTTAGATGCTTTACTGCCCTAGATCCAGAGGGGCCAGAAGGCCGCCTTATTCTTAATATGCATTTTATCACCCAATCCACTCCTGACATTAGGAAAAAACTTCAAAAATTATAATCCAGCCCTCAGACCCCACAACAGCAATTAATCAACCTTGCCTTCAAGGTGTACAATAATAGAGAGGAGGCAGCCAGACAGCAACGCATTTCCGAGTTACAATTACTTGCCTCCGCTGTGAGACAAAACCCAGCCGCACCTCCAGCATACAAGAACTTCAAAATGCCTAAGCCGCACACACCTAAGCTACAGCAGTCAAGCATTCTTACAAGACTTCCTCCATCAGGATCTTGCTTCAAGCGCCAGAAATCTGGCCACTGGGCCAAGGAATGCCTGCAGCCCGGGACTCCTCCCAAGCCATGTCCCACCTGTGCAGGGACCCACTGGAAATCAGACTGTCCAGCTCACCCGGCAGCCACTCCTAGAGCCCCTAAAGCTCTGGTCCAAGGCTCTCTGACTAACTCCTTCCCAGATCTGCTCAGCTTAGAGGCTGAAGACTGATGCTGCCTGATCGCCTCGGAAGCCCCCTGGACCATCACGGACGCCAAGCTTTGGGTAACTCTTACAGTGGAGGGTAAGTCCCTCCCCTGTTTAATCGATATGGGGGCTACCCACTCCACATTACCTTCTTTTCAAGGGCCTGTTTCCCTTGCCTCCATAACTTTTGTGGGTATTGATGGCCAAGCTTCAAAACCCCTTAAAACTCCCCCACTCTGGGGCCAACTTGGACAACATTGTTTTATGCATTCTTTTTTAGTTATCGCTACCTTCCCAGTTCCCTTATTAGGCTGAGACATTTTAACCAAATTATCTGCTTCCCTGACTATTCCTGGACTACAGCCACATCTTATTGCTGCCCTTCTTCCCAAACCAAAGCCTCCTTTGTGTCTTCCTGTCATATCCCCCCACCTTAACCCACAACTATGGGACATCTGTACTCCCTCCCTGGCAACTGATCACATGCCCATCACCATCCCATTAAAACCTAATCACTCTTACCCCGCTCAATGCCAGTATCCCATCCCACAGCATGCTTTAAAAGGATTAAAGCCTGTTATCACTCGCCTCTTACAGCATGGGCTTCTAAAACCTATAAATTATCCTTACAATTCCCCCATTTTACCTGTCCAAAAACCAGACGAGTCTTACAGGTTAATTCAGGATCTGTGCCTTATCAACCAAATTGTTTTGCCTGTCCACCTTGTAGTGCCCAACCCGTACACTCTTTTGTCCTCAATACCTTCCTCCACAGCTGACTATTCCGTTCTTGACCTTAAAGATGCTTTTTTTCACTGTTCCCCTGCACCCCTCATCCCAGCCTCTCTTTGCTTTTACCTGGACTGACCCTGACACCCATCAGTCCCAGCAGCTTACCTGGGCTGTGCTGCCGCAAGTCTTCAGGGACAGCCCTCATTACTTCAGCCAAGCTGTTTATCATGATTTACTTTCTTTCCACCTCTCCGCTTCTCACCTTATTCAATATATTGAGGACCTTCTACTTTGTAGCCCCTCCTTTGAATCTTCTCAACAAGACACCCTCCTGCTTCTTCAACATTTATTCTCCAAAGGATATTGGGTATCCCCCTCAAAAGCTCAAATTTCTTCCCCATCCATTACCTACCTCGGCATAATTCTTCATGAAAACACACGTGCTCTCACTGCCGATTGTGTCCAACTGACCTCTCAAACCCCAACACCGTCTATAAACAACAACTCCTTTCCTTCCTAGGCATGGTTGGATACTTTTGACTTTAGATACCTGGTTTTGCCATCCTAACAAAACCATTATATAAACTCACAAAAGGAAACCTAGCTGACCTCATAGATCCTAAATCCTTTCCCCACTCCTCTTTCCATTCCTTGAAGACAGCTTTAGAGACTGCCCCCATACTAACTCTCTCTGACTCATCCCAACCCTTATCATTATACAGAGCCGAAGCGCAGGGCTGTGCAGTCAGAATTCTTACACAAGGACCAAGACCACGCCCTGTAGCCTTTTTGTCCAAACAATTTGACCTTACTGTTTTAGGCTGGCCATCATGTCTCCATGCAGCGGCTGCCACTGCCCTAATATTTTTAGAGGCCCTCAAAATCACAAACTATGCTCAACTCACTCTCTACAGCTCTCATAACTTCAAAAATCTATTTTCTTCCTCACACCTGACACATATACTTTCTGCTCCCTGGCTCCTTCAACTATACTCACTCTTTGTTGAGTCTCCCACAATTACCATTGTTCCTGTCCTAGACTTCAGTCTGGCCTCCCACATTATTCCAGATACTGCACCTGACCCCATGATTGTTTCTCTGCGATCCACCTGACATTCACCCCATTTTCCCATATTTCCTTCTTTCCTGTTCCTCACCCTGATCACATTTGGTTTATTGATGGCAGTTCCACCAGGCCTAATCGCCACTCACTAGCATAGGCAGGGTATGCTATAGTATCTTCCACATCTATCATTGAGGCTACTGCTCTGCCCGCCTCCACTACCTCTCAGCAAGCAGAACTCATTGCCTTAACTCCAGCCCTCACCCTTGCAAAGGGACTACATATCAATATTTATACTGACTCTAAATATGCCTTCCATATCCTGCACCACCATGCTGTTGTATGGGCTGAAAGAGGTTTCCTCACTATGCAAGGGTCCTCCATCATTAATGCCTCTTTAATAAAAACTCTTCTCAAGGCTGCTTTACTTCCAAAAGAAGCTGGAGTCATTCACTGCAAGGGCCACCAAAAGGCATCAGATCCTATCGCTCAGGGCAACACGTATGCTGATAAGGTAGCTAAAGAAGCAGCTAGAATTCCAACTTCTGTCCCTCACAGCCAGTTTTTCTCTTTCTCATCGGTCACTCCCACCTACTCCCCTGCTGAAACTTCTGCCTATCAATCTCTTCCCACACAAGGCAAATGGTTCTTAGACCAAGGAAAATATCTCCTTCCAGCCTCACAGGCCCATTCTATTCTGTCATCATTTCACAACCTCTTCCATGTAGGTTACAAGCCGCTAGCCTGCCTCTTAGAACCTCTCATTTCCTTTCCATCGTGGAAATCTATCCTCAAGGAAATCACTTTTCAGTGTTCCATCTGATATTCTACTACCTACCCCTCATGGATTGTTCAGGCCCCCTCCCTTTCCTACACATCAAGCTCAGGGATTTGCCCTGCCCAGGACTGGCAAATTGACTTACATGCCCCAAGTCAGGAAACTAAAATACCTCTTGGTCTGGGTAGACACTTTCACTGGATGGGTAGAGGTCTTTCCCACAGGGTCTGAGAAGGCCACTGTGGTCATTTCTTCCCTTCTGTCAGACATAATTCCTCAGTTTGGCCTTCCCACCTCTATACAGTCTAATAATGGACTGGCCCTTATTAGTCAAATCACCCAAGCAGTTTCTCAGGCTCTTGGTATTCAGTGGAACCTTCATACTCCTTATTGTCCTCAATCTTCAGGAAAGGTAGAACGGACTAATGGTCTTTTAAAGACACACTTCACCAAGCTCAGCCTCCAACTTAAAAAGGACTGGACAGTACTTTTTACCTCTTGCCCTTCTCAGAATTAGAGCCTGTCCTCGAGATGCTACAGGGTACAGTCCCTTTGAACTTTTATATGGACGCACATTCTTACTCGGCCCCAACCTCATCCCAGACACCAGCCCTCTAGGAGACTATCTTCCAGTCCTCCAGCAGGCTAGACAGGAAATTCGCCCTGCTGCTAATCTTCTCTTGCCTACTCCAGATTCCCAGCCACAGGAAGACACCCTAGCTGGACGATCAGTTCTTGTTAAGAATCTGACCCCTCAAACTCTACAACCTCGATGAACCGGACCCTATTTAGTCATCTATAGTACTCTAACCACTATCCACCTATAGGACCCTCCCCACTGGGTTCACCATTCCAGGATAAAGCTGTGTCTGTCAGCCAGCCAGACTGATATCTCCTCTTCCTCCTGGAAGTCGCAAGTACTCTCCCCTACTTCCCTTAAACTCACTCACATTTCTGAAGAACAATAAGAACCCTTATGAGCTTAATACATCCCTTCATTCTATTAGGTCTATCCATCCTTACCCTACTCTTTGCAACAGGGCTTTACACAGTCACCCCCACTACTTAGACTGCGCCCCAAAAAGTTGTCATTCCTACTATATTCTGTCTAGTCATACTCCTATTCACCATTCTCAACTACTCATAAATGACCTGCTCTTGTTTACACTGCCGGTTTACATTGTTCCTCCAAGACATCACAGCTGATATCTTCTGGTGCTATCCCCAAACCGCCACTCTTGACTCCCTCTTAGAGTGGATAGATGATTTTTGGTGGTAGGGCATCCTCCAATACTTCCACCCTGATGAAGTTCTATTCTTTAGTTTTCTACTCACTCTTATTCTCATTCCCATTCTTATGCCACTCTCTACCTCTCCCTAGTTACCTCCAGCATGCTGTCAATCTCACCCACTCTCTCCTCACTGCCTCCAATCCTTCTCTAGCAAAGGGTTGTTGGCTATGCATTTCCCTTTCTTCCTGCTTTTACACAGCCATCCCCACGCTACAGGCTGACTGGGCTACCTGCCCCATCTCCCTACACCTCAGAACCTCCTTTAATAGCCCTCATCTGTACCCGCCTGAGGAACTTCTTTACTTTCTAGACAGATTTGGTGAGAACTCTCCAGACATTTCACACCAACAAGCTGCCACACTTTTCCGCATCTACTTACGGCAACTTTCTCCTTATGTCAGTTTCACCCGCCCCATATTTGGATCCCTAACCACACAAACAACTATCCCTGTTGCCATTCCTTTATGCATCTCCCAACAACAGCCTACTGGAATCCCTTTAGGCAACCTTCCACTGTCCAAATGTTCCTTTACTCTTTATCTCCAGAACCCAGCCGCACACATTACCAAACAGATGGGAGCATTCCAACTTCACATTACTGATAAGCCCTCTATCATTACTGACAAACTAAAAAACATTGGCAGTCACTATTGTTCAGGAAGACACCTACCCTGCATCTCACTACATCCTTGGCTACCCTCCCGCTGCTCGTCTGAATCTCCTCCTAGCCCTTCCTCTTGCTTTCTTATACCCAGCCCCATAAATAGCAGTGAAAGGTTACTTGTAGACACTATGTGCTTTCTCATACAGCATGAAAACTGAACCCCTCGCTATACGCAGTTGCACCATCAATCCCCATTACAACCTCTAATGGCTGCTGCCCTTGCTGGATCTCTAGGATTTTGGGTGTAGGATTCCTCTTTCAGTACACCCTCTCACCTTTTCACTTTACATTTCCAGTTCTGCCTGACACAAGGTCTCTTCTTTTTATGTGGCTCTTCCACCTATGTGTGCCTACCTGCCAACTGGATGGGCACATGTACTCTAGTTTTTCTTACCCCCAAAATCCAGTTTGCAGATGGGAATGAACAACTGCCTGTCCCCCTCATGACATCAACATGACAAAAAAGAGTCATCCCACTAGTCCCTTTACTTGTGGGTCTAGGACTTTCTGCCTGCACTATTGCACTTGGAACTGGAATAGCAGGCATCTCAACCACTGCCACAACATTCTGCAGCCTCTCTAATGACTTCTCTGCTATCATTACAAATATATCACAAACTTTATCGTTCTCCAAGCCCAGGTTGACTCTTTAGCTGCAGTTGTCCTCCAGAACCGCCGAGACCTCGATTTACTCACTGCTGAAAAAGGAGGACTGTATATATTTTTAAATGAAGAGTGTTGTTTTTACCTAAATCAATCTGGCCTGGTATATGACAACATAAAAAACTCAAGGATAGAGCCCAAAAACTCGCCAACTAAGCAAACAATAACATTGAACCCCCTTGGACACTCTCTAATTGGACGTCCTGGGTGCTCCCAATTCTTAGTCCTTTAACACCTATTTTTCTCCTTCTCTTATTTGGACCTTGTGTCTTTCATTTAGTTTCTCAATTCATACAAAACTGCATCCAGGCCATCACCAATAATTCTGTATGACAAATGTTCCTTCTAACAACCCCACAATATCACCTTACCCCAAAATCTTCCTTCAGCTTAATATCTCCCACTCTAGGTTCCCACATCGCCCCTAATCCCTCTTGAAGCAGCCCTGAGAGACATCGCCAATTATCTCTCCCTCCCACCCCCCAAAATTTTCGCTGACCCAGCACTTCACCACTATTTTGTTTTGCTTTTCTTAGTCATATAAGAAGACAGGAATGTCAGGCCTCTGAGCCCAAGCTAAGCCGTCATATCCCCTGTGACTTGCATGTATACATCCAGATGGCCTGAAGCAACTGAAGATCCACAGAAGAAAATAGCCTTAACTGATGACATTCCACCACTGCGATTTGTTTCTGCCCCACCCTAACTGATCAATGTACTTTGTAATCTCCCCAACCCTTAAGAAGGTTCTTTGTAATTCTCCCCACCCTTGAGAATGTACTCGTGAGATCCACCCCCTGCCCACAAAACATTGCTCCTAACTCCACTGTCTATCCCAAAACCTGTAAGAACTAATGATAATCCCATCACCCTTTGCTGACTCTCTTTTTGGACTCAGCCTGCCTGCACCTAGGTAAAATAAACAGCTTTATTACTCACACGAAGCCTGTTTGGTGGTCTCTTCACACGAACGCGTGAGACAAAAAGTGGTTTATTTTGGTTCATGGTTCTGCAGGCTATACAAGATGCATGGTGCTGGCATCTGCTGCTGGTGAGGGCTTTGGGAAGCTTCTAATCATGGTGGAAGGTGAAGGAGGAACAGGCGCATCATGTAGTAAGAGCAGAACAAGGGCTGGGGGCGGCAGGGTGGGTTTCATGTTCCTTTAAACAACCAGATCTCACATGAACTATCTGAGCAAGAGCTCACCTATCATCAAGAGGATGTCACTAAACCATTCATGAGGAATCCACCCCCATGACCTAATTACCTTACACCAGGCTCCACCTCTAACATTGGAGATTACGTTGCAACATGAGATTTGGAGGGGATACACTTCTAAACCATATCATAAAGTGAATAATTATGGATGGATGATGGTTGAAGAGTGTGAAAATTCTGTATTATATCATGTTAATCTTTCCTGATCTGTGTTCTGTGAGGTCTCTCATATCTTAATTGGTATCCTAAGGGAAAAAAAGTGTTCTGAGTCTTAAAAGGTGCAGCAAAACTACGTTAAACTAATTCAATATTTGGATTTGTGTTTTTTAGAATGGCAATAATTCTCCAAACTTTTATATATTAAAATATTTTGACTGGCTGACTCAAGTCTATGGTGTAGTTGGAGTGTGAGAATGAGTGAACTATGTAGGATTTCTAAAAAGAACTCTACTTATAGAATGCCTTTATTAATTTATTTTTTTTCAAATAGGGCCCTATTACTAGCAATCAGAATACTTGTATTCAAAATACTAGAATACAATATGGAGAATACTGATACTGATTTTAAAAATATACCCCTAAGTAAAGCTATAAGAGCATAAAATAGTTACCTAGCTCATATAATTTGGGATTTTTATGGCTTTTATTGCTTTAACTAAATTGTTCTTTGGTGCAATTTTATTGGTCTACACTCAAGGACACTACAGGCAACAGTCCTATAAAATGCTTTGCTTTGTCTAATGTAAGGATATTATTGTGATATATAGATAATAGCAAGAGTGTGAAACTTATGGCAGGGCTGGGGGCTAGAGGAGGGATAGCATTTGGAGAAATACCTAATGTAGATGACAAGTTGATGGGTGCAGCAAACCACCACGGCACATGTATACCTATGTAACAAATCTGCACATTCTGCACATGTATCCCAGAACCGGGCGCAGTGGCTCACGCCTGTAATCCGAGCACTTTGGGAGGCCGAGGCGGGGGGATCACAAGGTCAGGAGATCGAGACCATCCTGGTGAACACGGTGAAACCCTGTCTCTACTAAAAATACAAAAATATTAGCTGGGCGTGGCGGCGGGCACCTGTAGTCCCAGCTACTCAGGAGGCTGAGGCAGGAGAATGGCGTGAACCCGGTAGGCAGAGCTTGCAGTGAGCCAAGATGGCACCACTGCACTCCAGCCTGGGAGACTCCATCTCAAAAAAACAAACAAAAACAAAAAACAAAACAAAACAAAAAAAACAAAAAAAAAACTTATGGCAGATTGTATTTTCTAAAAAGGACCTCAATAATATTCCCATTCCCACATGCTCTTATGCAATGTGACCTTGTTAGTATTCCATTAAGAGATGGATCTATTTCTCCTTCCTCCTAAGTCTGGGTGGGCTTTGTGACTGACTGCTTTCACAAAAGTAAGTGATATGACTTCTGAGGTTAGGTAATAAGAAGGTTTTCAGTCTCTACTAGAACCTTTTGTAATGCTTGCTTTCAGGATGCTCCCTCAAGAATCCCAGAATCTATGCTGTGTGAAACCCAAATAACATGGAGAGACCATAAATGGGTGTTTGGTGGGCAGCCGCTGTCAAGATTACAGTCGACAGCCATGTCAGATCACTGTAGCCTCAGTTAATATCTGACCACAGCTGCATGAGAAACTCTGGGTGATAACTACACTGCTGAGGCCAATCAACCAACAGAAATGTGAGAAACAATAATGAATCACTGTTTTAAGGCACTTGATTCAGGAGTGGTTTTGTTACACAGCAACAGATAACAGGACAGAACTTAAGTGAATAAAGCACTCATATTTTATTAAAGTTTTTACCTCCATTTTATGACAGTACCCTTGTTTTTCCTTTGACTCTACTCTCTTGTTTTATATTTGTATTATCCAGTTTATATTTTATCCATCTTTGTAAAGCACCTTAAATTCATTTTGTAAAATGACCATATGTACATAATTATTTATGTAAGAAATTCACATCATGTCCAAGTCAAAAATATACATATTAATCCATTTACCTTTTCTGAGTCTCACAAAGAAAATGGGAGGATACTAAGAAGTAATATTACACTTCTGCTTTCAAGGAAATGGAGCTTTGGGGAGCAAGCAAGAGCTTCCTATTTGTTAGTGCTATTGGAGCAAGTAGAAAAAAATGTTTGGCTATGTAGACTTATTCAGCTTATTCTATCTATGAATGCAAATTTGTTTGGAAAAAAATCACACAATGCTAAGTATGTCTTATACTTTAGTGCATAGAAGAATGAAGAAATATGTTTCTAATCTCTGAAGCATTCTTCATCAAAATAACAAGATTGGCAGATGAGGATGGCAGATATAATGGAAATCTGGATTCTCAAATTAGCAAATAATAAAATTTCTAGTTAATTTTTATCTAAAAAATTTGTAATATCTAGTTTACTAAATATGGAAGCTAGAAATTACCTTTATGTAACAAAGAAATCTATTGTTCAGGAAACAATGCAGAACATTTAAATAGCATAAATAGGTAAAGCCAAATGCATTTTACAAACAAGTAATTGGTATTTATTAAAGAATATTTCTTCTTTTCTATTGGCAATTCCCTTATCAGTTTTTCTCAAGTATTAAAATAGCTCATTTGCTTTTTCCTTTAAAGATATCAGGATTGTGTTTTAAAGGAGCATGCTTTCTGTCATCTTAAATTAGGCAAGAGTAAATGAAATGACTGGAAAGTGTCCTGAACCGAGAATATATACATTTATCCTTTATATATATATTCTTTATATATATTTATCCTTTATATACATATTCTTTATATATATTTATCCTTTATATATATATTCTTTATATATATATAATACGCTGAAAAAAGTACCCAAATGCCAGTGTAAATTTTTTCCTTATTTATGGTAGTACGTGGAAAGCTGAGAATAATAAAATGTCTTTGTTTATGTGCACTATGTTTAAAGAAGAGAAAATATTTTTTAGCTTCATGTAAATGCTAATAATAATTATATTTAAATAAAAATATATTGATGAAAATTTTTTACAGTAAAACCACTTTAATTGTAACTGAAGTACATTAGCACCTGCAGGGGCAGGATTTCTGTGTATACAGAGAATGTGGGACCTGGGCTGCAACCGCACTCCAGAGAACACATCAACAAAGTCGAACATTTAAACTTCTTTTTGGCATACTTCCAGCTCCATATTAGAGGGCAATGAAACTTGAAGTTGGAGTTTTTGGGTGGGGTGAAATGGGGGGGCGGTGGGAGAAACTAGATTGGGGGATGATAGAAAATAAAGAAAGTAAATCTACAGTTTGACTTTATTATTATTCACTTTTGTTTTTACTGTTTCCTTGCTTGTTTCAGAAATAACTTGCTGATAAATCAATAATGTGGAGATCTTCACTTTGAACAAGATATTTATGTTTATTTTTTCTCAGTTTTCATGATTTTTACTGGTTAACTCCACCACATACTGAGAACAGTCACTAGTACCTGGTAAGTGCATGGTCAGTAATTGTTCATGAGGGTTATAATAACAATAGCTAATACTTAGATACCACGTGCCATGTGCTAATCATTGTATTAATTGTCTTCCATATATTAAGTGATTTAATTCTGAAAACAACATTATATCATTGTTATCTCTATTTCCTAGGTGATAAACTGAGGTCTAGGGTTGTAACTTGCCCAAGGTTATACAACCAACTCTGTTAGGAAGGGAATTCTAGCCAAGGTGGTCTGACTGCAGAATCTGAGCTTGCATCCACACCGCTGTTACTGCCTCTCTGAAAGTAAAGTTCTAAAATGTGAGAGGTGATTGTTTATTTACACACCCCTTTAGGAGAATCTGAGAAATTGATCTGAGTGGGAAGATAAAATTGGGGAGCATTTAGGTGGCTCTGCAGAGAAGTTGGCAGCACTTGAGGAACAAGAAACACTGTTGTTTTGAATAATTACATTCCTCACTTGGGTCATCTAAGGTCTTGCAGAAAAGCCTCCTGCATTAGATTGAGTGAAAGTTGTAGTTGTCATGATTGCCGTGTGGGCTGAAGTGACAGAATAAATGACCTCACTGGCACAGTGCCGCTCTCCAGGAGCCAGGATGCACAGAAAAGCAGGGGAATTTTAGGGTAATTCGAGCGATATTTGCAGTGGTGGCAACACATGGCTGTTTCTTCACAGCAGGCAGCAGTAGCAGGGAGTCTTTTTTAGGGCTCTGTTCTTATCACCTAAAACTTCCAAAGCTTAACTGACTGCCAAGATAATTAACCCCCCTGCATACTGAAGGTTCTTTTAGATCCACTTTCTGATACATTAAGAAAAAGAAAGAAAATAATCATTTTCAGGTTGAGCTGCCTGGCCCTTAGATGTTGATATACAGCAAATTGCAGCCTGATAGGAAATAAAACCACATTTCTTAAGGACAATTTTGAAAGAAACCTATTATTTTTTCCCTTATTTTTGAGGGCATAAAATTGTAATATACTTTGTAGACCTTATTATTTACATTGCCTCAAATGGGGGGTTGGAATTAGAAACATAGTACATTGGCACCAGAAGAGATCCGTTGCAGCTAAACTAACCCTCTCATTTTATATTAATCATAACTATCACACAAACCTGTGATGTGCAATGTCTGAATGAAATACCAGGTAAAATGTTCTGCACTTTCAGATTGCTTACCAATCTTAATGCTTGCTCAAGCCATCAATGTAGGGTAAATAATTCAAATCCTTTTCACTTAAATGAAAATGCTCAAGGAGCTTTGTGGATCTCAAATCCATAGTATGATTTTCACTGAATACTTACTAGAAACATCAAACAACCTTTATATCAATGAAAGGGTTATGATGTTTTGGCTCATCAACATGGGTCCACATTCATCTTAAGAAAAAAAACAACATTAGCATTTGGTATTTTCAACAACAAAACCAAGCCGTATGGCATAGGGAACATTATTTTTGAAAGGCAGTGAGCTCTTCCAATATATTATTGCATTAGTTCAGATTGTATATCAGCTGTGCAATTATGGTACATCCTCAATACAAAATATTATTCAGCCATTAAATGAATTAATGGGCTATACTTGTTAATTTAGCAAGTGAGAAAAGCAGGTAACGTAGGCATTATTATAATGTGATGTCATATTAACGTTCTCAATAAGATGATATGAACAGGAAGAACAATATGCAAGAATATATGCCAGTTGGTTAACATGAATTGCCTGGTTGAGGGTGTGAGTAGGAATGGGGGATGGGAATAAATGTGCAAGGAAAGGGCAGCGAAGCGAGAGAAAAAGAATAAAAACACATTAACTTAAAACTTATGCTATGCACTTATTTCAAATCACAGATGCATGTAGAAAAGACATTAAAATCCCATGTTAAAAAAGTATGTCGGCTGGGTGCGGTGGCTCAAGCCTGTAATCCCAGCACTTTGGGAGGACAAGGCGGGCTGATCACAAGGTCAAGAGATTGAGACCATCCTGGCCATGATGGAGAAACCCTGTCTCTACTAAAATTACAAAAAAATTAGCTGGGCGTGGTGGCGCGTGCCTGTAATCCTAGCTACTCAGGAGGTGGAGGTAAGAGAATCACTTGAACTCAGGAGGTGGAGGTTGCAGTGAGCCGAGATAGTGCCATTGCACTCCAGCCTGGGCAACAAGGGCAAGACTCGGTGTCAAAGAAAAAATAAAAAAGTATGTCATGCTTCCTCTAGCCTCAAGAGAACATAATTGTAAACTGGAATATTATCCTTACACTATACAAATGTATAGCTGTGGAATATACCCTACAGAGGCAGAAAGCTTGGGTATGAATCCAGCCATTTTCAATCCTTATCTGAGTCTGAGCAAGTTTGTGAGAGCTCCTATAGGGGAGCAGCAGGAGCTGTAGCTTTGAGTTTGAAAACTAACTTTGCTATTTCCTACCTGTGTGACATTAGACACTTTTCACGTTGAAAAGATAAGGATAGAATTGCATATGTTAGTGTGAGAATTAAATGGGATAGCACAGTTTAACTATTTAAAACTGTATCAACGTTCAAGAAAGAAATATTTTCTTTAAATGCCTTTACCAAGTTATTTAACTCCTATCTGTAATCTAAAACCTAGGAACTTGAAGCTTGAGCACTGAATGATGACTTTACAATGATTCTTATTAAGTGTTATGTTATCATGTACACCCTGTAAGTGCTATAGTGGTAGCGATTGTGGAAATTAATAAGGACCAAATTGACCAGAGAGCTTCATAATGTGAAGTCTTGAATGATGGGTAAAATTTGCATTGAGAAGACATTCCAGGTAGGGGGAAAACTTGAACAATGGGGTACTATTTCTGGATTCATACTGAATTCATAATTCATGCTTCCCTCAAAAATTTCATGTTGGAGAAATTAGACAATAATGTGATACATACAAATGGGTCCTATTTTGTAGGGCAGTGAAGATGTGTGTAGAAAGTTAGATAGAATATATAGAAAATTAATGATGCAGAGTCAGCATTTAATTTTATGGGGCTAGCATTAAATTGAAAAGGACTGAATAAATGATGTCATCATCAAATTATGAAAGGCTTATTAGTTATGCCTAGTATGAAGATTGTGGATTATTTGTTTATAGACCCTCATGTTATTTCTAATTATTATATTGCATGTAAATAAAATTTTCCCAACTACAGTGTAATCGGTTGACGAACAGATATTTTTTATTAGGGGATTATTACATCTCTAGTTAATAGCAAGTTTTCACACAGTCAGAGAATTTATCTTATACTTCCCTGGTGTCTGTCCATCTCATTGCTTTAGGCCAAGCTTAAAGTATTAAGTTATTTGATTGAATCTTCTGAGATTTTATAACTCCCCCTTTGTTTGTTTGTGAAGAAGAGTTTGTAATTTAGTATTTACTGATGATCTTGTGACATATTTTACAGGTTAAGGTGGTTGAGTCTCAAATCTTAATATTTACCTAACTCACTATCAAATGAGGAAGTGGAATAAGGAATAACATGAGGAAAGACAACCAAATGGAAAATGAAGCATAACTTTATTATTTTGGTAAGCTCCTTACAAATCCTCCAAAAATGTCTTTTCTGAAAAAACTGAATTGAATAATATATGCTCAAAGCTATATTGCTCACCTAATTACTCTGCCTTCTCTACTTTACTAATTTGAAGTTGCTGGGTCATCCCTTTCCACCTAATTGCATGGTGTGTGTGAGACAAGCATGAAAGGCTTGGCTAAGTGGGCTTCCAGAACGGAATAGGTAAAGCAAAAGAGCAAAGGCCAGATTGTTCAGAGGGTGCAGACCTCTTATGACATCAAACATGTGGTCAGGAAGCAACAGAAAATAAGTAACATCGATTCAGGAAACCCAAAATAAAAAGGGTACCTGTGTTTAAGAAATAACAGAACACCATCCAGTGAATGTCCTGAGCTGGGCTGAATAATTACAATACAGTGTAATAAATGTTAAATAGATAAGTACTAGATAGAGTGGTGAGACAAAGGTAGAAATGATTAATTCCTTGTGTGAGTCAGAGAAGGCTTCCTAAAGAAAGATGCATTAAGGGCAAGTAATATTTGCCAGAGTAATGATTGTCACAAGGACGAAATTCCAGAAAAGGGGAATTCGGTAAACCATGGCAAATTTGGGGAAAGGTAAAGTGTTTGGTATAACTGAATAAACTTGTCAGGCAAAAATGAAAACTGGGGAGGAAAGTAGATATGAGAAGCTCTTAACTGTCATACTAACAAATATAAGCTTTGTCCAATGATATCTATGAAAAGGTGGATGAAAAGAAGACAGTTGGGTGAGTGCTTGCCCTAATGATCTGAACAGTAGTTCATCTCCAAAGATCTTATTACATAAATATTTCCATCGTATTCATTCCTAATGGCTGCTGTAACAAATTATTCACAAACTCGGCTTAAGACACCATAAACTTATTATCTTATAGGTCTGGAGTTTAGAAGTCTGAAATAGGTTTCCCTGAGCTAAAACAAAGTTATCAGCAGGGCTGACTCCCTTCTGGAGATGCCAGGGAAGAATACATTTCAAGCCTTTTTCTGCTTCTAGAGGCTGTCCTCATTTCTTGGTTTGTGGAGTTCCATTTCAATGCCAGCAATGGCTGGTAGAGTCTGCGCCACACTGCATCACTGTAACTCCTGCCCTTCTTCTGAATCTCTCCTTCACTTATAAGGACATTGTGATGACACTGGGCCCACCCGGATAATCTAGAATCATCTCCTCATCTCAAGGTCAGCTGATTAATAGCCTTAATTTCATCTGCAACTTTAATTCTCCTCACCATGTAATCTACCATATTAAGAGGTTCTGAAGATTAGGGCATGGACATTTTTTTGGGAGGGGGCATTATTCTGTCTACCACGGGAAGTTTTGAATATATCTATTAAACAGATGAGTATTTTCAATATCACATTTCTATAACATTATCCTGCAATGGCACTGATAATAATAGGTCACAGGCTTACCATGTAAGAAATTAGAAGATAATGAGAAGTTATTATCATGGATTCCCTAAAAATGTAAAAGACCCTTGGCAGGTAGCTCATCTTTCTTGAGAACAGGAATTCAGCAAAGCTGTAGCGGAATTACTTCATTTAGATAACATTTTATTTGTTAGAGCAAGATTTGGCAGACTTCATTTCAACAGCTGGAGGAATTAATTTAAAATCACAAATTTAGTGTATTGGCACACTTTTACAGGTCGGCAAAGAAAAATTACCTATTTTTGAGATCAAAATCACTGCTTATACATTTTAATGAGAAGATTTAAAGACAGATAGAAGCTATATATTTAAGCAGATATGATTTAATAGATAGTAGAAAACTGTCAGAAAATGGATCCACTGTGAAAACCTCTACAGTTCTCCATGATTTCTTTGTTAACAATAACAATTTTAAATGTGTTTACACATTGTTAACAATAACAATTTTAAGTGTGTACTTTTCTGAACAGAAAAAATAGCAATTCACTTTATAAATACTTTCATATTTACAATACCCCTTTAAAAATAGTAAATTAAAGGGAATATTGCAATGTGAACTGTGATATTTATAAAATTAAAAATAATAAAGGATTCAAATATACTAATGAGATAGTATAACTTTCACTTCACTGAAAGGTAATAGAATACTTCAGCTTTATTACACTGTTTTTACATTGATAGGTATAAACAATATTATATCTTGACACATTTATATTTTACTGATTAACTATCCAAAGTCACAATCTGTGAAATAAGTAAGGAAATAGTATATATCTCAGTCTAACCTTAGAAACAGATTTTTTTCACTTTTTTTTTTTCAATTTGTGGAGGTAAACCTTTTTTTTTTTTTTAGAATATTAGAAAAAGAAACAGATTTAGCAAACAGAAGTCTAAGTTGTTTTAGTGGACATTTAAGTTCAGAACAATTCACAAAATGGTAAAATGTGTTTCTTCAATTCTTTATTTTATGTCAACAATTTCTCAGCTAGTCTACAGAAAAAACAGTTCATTCAAAATACATCTTATCATTCCCTTTTCACTGTTTGATATTCTGCCCCTTCATTCTCTTATGTTCCACTTTCTGTAATGGAGCTCATTACCGAGGTGGTAGGGGACTAGTTTCAAAGGCAACACGAGTCACAGAAATATCAAGCCAGTGGTTTCCTTCAGGACATTCATATACTTCTCGTGTTAGAAAGAAAATCTTTCCTTGGGTGCAGTGATATCACTCCTGAGAAACCAATTACTTTCCAAATATCTGCAATACTATTTTTGACAGAACTATTTCACATAGAAAAACATAGTATATCTATATGATACATAATTTTACCTTATTATCTACAGTTCCTATAGCATAAACAGAAAAACTGATTTAAAATACTTTTTGTCTAGTAGTTAATAATTGGATAATTTGATGAGTCATTTTTATACATTGGTCATCCACAGCTTGGAATTTTTATTTTTGTGCAGTTGTAATTATCCACCATTCTCTATGTTTACCTTAAACATCCAAAACAACAGGGGACATTTTTGAACAATCTGTAATATTCTTCTTGAATCTAAAAATTAAAAAAAGGAAAGGAAGAAATGTTAATCATAACAATCACATTTAATTTCTTTTTCAAATCACAATAAATTGTTACATATGGTTTTCTAAAGTATTATAGCTCAGAATATGTCCATTTAAGTTATATTTATATCCCTAATACCAAGGTTCTTTTAAAAGCATATTTTCCTATGAACAGCTAGGCGATTTAGGCAATAAAGGCAGAAGTCATAAATCTATGAGAGTAAGAATTTTCTATCAATTTGGCAACTGATGTTACATGAATATACTAGGAACCACCAAAATAAGAAATTGTTTACCTTTCTAGATAAAACACACAGGAATAAAAAAATGAACATCCCCTGGAAAGCATTGCTGACTGTGAAGAGGTAAGCTGTAACCACTGATGCGTGCACAACATGGAGAACCCCAAAGATCCAGGTGGTGCCGAGAAGGAACAGAAGAGCGAGGGCTCCTCTTGCACAAGACCTATCACATATGAGAAATGCGTCAGTGAAGAAAGCTACGTATAGTCAACATATCTCCCAAATTACTCAAATTATGTGGGAGGTGAGTTTTCAGTATAACCAAGAAACCTTTTACAAATAGACCCAATAGAATTTCCAAACTGCTAAGTTGTGCTGCAGTTAGGTGTGACAGCATTTAGGGTATGTTGCTGCTACTGAACCGTGGCAGGGGTGTGCTTCCAAAGTCAAATTGCTGTTACCAAAACATGTTATTATGTTTAAGATTAAGTAATTTCCTTCACCTTAAAATATTTTTGTCTGGTGTACTGCAGTGTGCATGCTTTGATTTCAAATGTAATGTTGCAGGAATTCCCAAAGGTAAGACATATATCTGTTAGGAAGTATTTTCCCTAAGAAACTCCGAAAAGAAAGTATACCATGTGGACTGGGGTCAGCACATATCTACTACATCAAAGGAGGCTCTGCTTTTCTTTCAGGTTGAGAAGAAACGAACGTGTAGGATATAAAAATAGGGTTTTGTTTTATTTTGTTTTGCTTTTGCAATACAAAAATATGTCAAAATAAATTCATCACAGAATACTGTTTTCTTAAAAATTAAAGAAAAAATACACACACATACGCACTCTTACATCTTTTCAGCAGAATGCCTGTGACTTTTGGTAAAACAATATTCTACCCTGCTCACTAAGGACATTGCCTTGGAAATGAAGCAACTAATGATTATTCTCTCATTCATTTTTAGTCCAGTCATTCTTTATTGCAGCAGATGTTTTAGCAGTGTACCTCAGAAAATGAGTCATTTTCAACTTTATTAAAACCAGTACACTACATGAAACCATAACTGGTGAGGACTAAAAGAAAGTAATCGATCAAACATTTATTAAATCCCAACTATAAATCTTGTGCAAAGTATTGAAACTACAGGAGTGTTCCCAAGCAACACAAATAGTCCTTGGTTTCCAGTGTTCCCTATAGTATAATTCAGCTCTTCCTGAACAAATCATTTTCAAGGTTTCAATAAATCAGTTTTAAAGCGGGAGGGTGGGTGTAAAGGAAAAATCATGACAACATGCAAACTAGGGATAACAAGAAAGAAACAGTTACTAAGTTCTGAAAAGCATTTTACAAAAGAAAATCACTAAGGCCTTCCTTGCCTTAAAACACAGTCATCGTCTTTTCCCTTTCAAAGGGGTGTATGTTTGAAAAAATTGCTTCTTACCACTGAATCTGCAGTAATTGTAGTCTTAATATACATACTAAATGCTATTTTCCGATGCGTCTTTTAAATATGGTAAAGTATGAAACAATCATTTAAAAATAATTCCCCAAATTATTTGTACTTTGAGTTACTAAAGCTTTTAATTACCAAAAAAAAAAAAAAAAAGTGAACTTAAAGACGCATTTACCTTATGTTCTCAAAGCAACTAACTTCTGGTTTCAACCCTGCAGTGTGACGAAAAACTTTGTATATGATGACTCCAAAAGCCAAGAGATTAACCTGGAAAAAGAATTAATTTCAAAGAAGAGATAGTTTTCATCTTAAATTGGATACATATAAAGAAAATAAATGGTAAAGATTTCAATAAGATAGAAACTAAAAATCATGGCATTTATATAGTTCTTTACAATATCACTGAAAATTATCAGTACAAGTGGTACCGAAAGCAACCTGTTTATGAAACTTCTTCAGATGTTATCATCATACCTAAAGATTGATGAGTATCATCTGCTGCCACTAATATGATTAATATATACATTAAGTTAAATTTTGGTTTGGAAAGCTTTATAAACACTAAAGAAAGCAAATTTTTGTTCAGTAATTTCTATACTGTTTCTTTGAAGAAATGTGTTAGTGATAATTCCGTGAACCCTTTAAAAATTTAGACTGGAAAAGAAAAATTGAAAGATTGAAAAGAAATAAGAAAACTCAACAAAACACTCTCAGTTTCTAATGTGAGGAAATGTTTGAATGTACTTTCTCTCGTATGATTTATCTAGATTCTCTCCTAATACAAATGTTAATATTTCTTTTTCCTTGATTTAACCGTGGATGCTTTCAAAATGTTAATCAATGAATTAAATGTTTGTTGTTAGGCAAATAAATGTTAACACATTCTATTATTTGTATTTTGTAATATGGGCTAAATAGAATTGGAGAGTTGTCACCCTTTTTATTGTGACTGCATTATGAAAAGTTGCCTCTTATTTTCCTTTTTCTATAGTTTTGAAGACCTCCAAGTCATATTTGCAGTGTTAGAAGGCTAAATGAAGGGTATATGTTAAATGTATAGATAGTCTAATATGAGCATGCCAATAATTTAAAATATTAAATATTATAGAAATAGTTGGAAGGCTAATCCCTTATGAAATCTATTTTATTAATTCAAGCAGATTTTTCCAAAGACACTTTGAAATGACAACAACAAAGTGCAACATTATAATTTTCAGCTAATTCTTCTACTAGTAATTCAGAAGCTTACAGTTTTAAAACATTTCTTTTTTCTATCTTCTAATGAGTTTTATGTAGCCTCTCAAAATGAAATTTAGCATATTGTAGTATTACAAACAGCAGTATAAAATAATGGGCCTGAGAATTTCATGTTGCCACTTTTGTATGGAGGGGTCCTTGAGAGGAAATCTCGGAAGAATAAGGGGTCTAGTCTCTATTTCCTGTTTCCAAATGTCCATTACTTCTAATTATATGAGTAATTAATCCTAATTATAGTAATGCTTCCATACTTTAGCAATTGTAGAGGTGAGATAAAGAATATTTAAATTGATTTAGGTGATAGTTCCATCCTCTTTGTATGCTCAAATAATTAACTGAAATGACAATTAAATAATATTTAATTTTATAAGTAGTCTTTCATACTCATGAAACTGGAATACTTAGTATTTTCTAGATTTCAATAGCTATAGCTTCTTTGTATAAATTTGGAAACAACTGTATTTAATTTTATAAATATATGCACATATATTTACAAATAAGAGTTGTAAAATTTGGTTAGTCTAAATAATATATGCCTACCCATTATTGGTTTGAAAAACTTTAAATAATTTTTATGAGGTATTTATATTGATCTTGCTATCTCAACAAAGAAAGACTTAGAAGATAAAGTAAATGACGAGAAAAGCTGTTCTCTAGATCCACAAGTTTTCCACATAAATAGTAATTTATTTAAGTTTCTTAAACTTCTGTTTTCAATAAAACTGAGTTTGAAAAATAGTTGCTCATACTGCTAATGGTTTCTCAGAAGTTCACATTCATTTTGGATATGCTCTTCTACATCACATGCTGAACTAGTGAAGAGAGGAAATGGAACATTCCCTGAGGTGATCCAAATCTTGAAAGTACATTTTTTCTGTAAAAATGGAAAATGTTTACATACTTATAAAACCCAGGTGCTGCTGGGCAAGTGGGAGACTAATTCTTATTCCATTAGCTCATATTTTTCCAAATTTAAGAGAAAACAGATTAAAACATGTTTATCAAAAGGCGTTATAGTTTCATGTTATCCAAAAATCACAAATATACTGATTATATTATCCACATTCATTGATAATAATACAAATATGCGGAACTTTTTATTTTCACTTATGCTAAGAATTTTTTTAAAGGGCCTATTAAGTGTCTGGTGCAGTGGCAAGGGCTAGGTACCTACTGATGATTAAAACAGACATGGTCTTTTGTTCTCATATATTCTATTGAGAAACAGATAGTAAACAAATAATCATACAATCCTTATAAATCTACAAACTGTGATAAATGCTATTAATTCACAAATTAGAATTGTTAGGAGAGACAAAATGGACATGTAAGACTAGAATGAAGGTTTAGGAAGTACCTGTCTTGGGACTTAGCATTTAAACCTGGATTTAATCAGTTATGATGCATTAGTAGATCAAATAATGAAGGGAAAAAAAGTATTCTACAGAGAAAAACAGCATAGGAAAATCTTCAAGGCTTGAGGAGCTAAGAAAGTGATATTCCTACAAACAATTGATAAAGATGGCTGGAGTATAGTAAGCAAAGCGACGAGTGGCATGACATGAGTTGGGTGAGGAGGACAGGGACAATTATCACTTAGATTTTATTTGAAGTGCAAAGGTTTATTTGCTGTTTTGTTCAATAATTATTTATGTACTGTAGGCTTTCTCCTTAAAGAACCTATAGTATGCTGGAGGAGATGACCAGAAAACAGGCAAGTGCAACACGACTCAGAAAGCACCAGGTAGTTGTTTACATAGTTTCATGAAAGAACACAGGAGACTGCACCTTAAATAGGGATTTCTAAGCAGTCTTGAATGACCAGTAGAGGCGAAGGAGGACAACACAGAGAAATAAATGATTACTGTGAACAGCAATCATTGAACCTATTTATGTACTCTCACTTCCTAGGTGATCAGACCCAATGGTTCATGCCACTCTTCCCTTTGTTTACTATACTCCTGCCGCCTTTATCAATTGTTTATAGGAATATCACTTTCTTAGCTCCTCAAGCCTTGAGGATTTTCCTATGCTGTTTTTCTCTATAGAATACTTTTTGTCCCTTCATTATTTGATCTACTAATTCATTATAACTGATTAAATTCTAGTTTAAATGCTAAGTCCCAAGACAGGTACTTCCTAAACCTTCATTCTAATCTTACATGTCTGTTTTGTCTGTCCTTTGGCCCAATCTAACTCCTCCATTTGGAAGTCTAATAGGCATTGTGAGTTAAAGAAAAGTCAAAAACCAAACTGCTGTTCTTCCTGCAAATAACCTATTTTTTTCTGCAATCTTCCCCATCTCAAAAAAATGTTATCTTACTCTTCTAAGTTATCAGTCAGTGAACTCTTTATTTCTACCTTCAAAACATGTTCAGAATATGACCACTAACTACTTACCATTTCCACAGACACTATCCTGAAACGGGCCACCATCATGCCTCCTCTGTGCTACTTCAGAAACCTCCTAATTGATCTCTCTTCTGCCATCCTTATCTTCCTATAATCTATCTCATAATAACAGTCAGACTGATCTCTTTAAAATGTAAGTCAGATCTTTTCACTGTTCAGAATCCTCCAATGGCTTCCTATGTCATTCAGAGTTAAAATAAAAGATTGCACAGTGGCTTTTAAGGTCTGAATGATTTGATCTCTGCTATACCTCTTCCCCCAAGCGTTACTTCTCTATCTTTTGACCACTTCACTCCACTCACAGTGAGTTCATCATAGTTTCTCCAGTACCCCATGCACCATGCCATAGGGCAGTTGAATTTGGGCACTAAGATATTCCCATGGCTCATACCCTCATCACTCTGTTTAAATGCCATCTTGCCTACATACTCCCTGCCATGTGCTTATATTAAAAAAACTGAAACTCAAATGATAAAATCAGACCTAAGTTCAATTTTATGGAAATGTAGAGAATGATGAGTATTCTTTACTGTTTTGTACAATGCAAACTTTGTAGGCCAACATATTCTTCCCTTGCCTTTGTCATTAAAAAACTGACACTCTCCTTGACCAAGCTTTAGCCAGGTTCCTGTGAGTCCCCTTCACTACTAGTTAAGCCTTGACTTTGGGCTTCAGTGTCTGATCTTGTGGAGTCCAGTTTTAGTAAAATTTCTGATAAGTCAGTTTAGAGAGAATCTCCTCACTTCTGATACCTGATTGTTCTTAATACCTAATCAAATTCTTCAACTCACATCCTTGATATTTGCTCACCCTGGCTTGCCATTCAGTAGGAATCCTGTTAAGTCAGTTTAGCAAGAATTCCTCTTACCCATGTTGTCTCTTCTCAGTAATTATTCCATTACCCTTAACTTGCACCTTGGCTATAAATCCCCTGATTTCAGAGTTGGGCCAATCTGCCTCTCCCCTGCCATAGTTTTGACACCTATCACAGTAGTCCTGAATAAAGTCTCCCATGCCATTAACAACAGTCATAACAAGTTTTTTCTTTAACTTTGTATCAGAATAATAACTTTTGCCAGAAAAAATACTTATCTAAAATTATTTAGAATATGTTTTTCTTTCATTACTCAAAATTTCCTGAATGATATGATCCAAAGTCATATTACAATATTCAGCAAAGTTGGGGTAAATAAAGAAAAATGTAAGTTTTCCCAGTTACCCCTAATGTCATATTAAAATATTCAGCAAATTTGAGGTAACTGGCAAAACTCACATTTACTCGTTTATATTTTCTGTGTCCTCTTTTTATCCATAAATATATAAGCTACTTCAAATCCTTTTTCTAACAGTGTCAAAGCTTTAAATAAAGAATCAGTATCACCTAAAGACATCTAAAGGCACATGAGTTTATGTACCTAGAGGTGGAAATAAAGTTTACACGGTATGGAAAAATATCTTTGGGGAATTTTATGAAATAGGTGTGAAGTGTTTGAAATGAGGTTAAAAAAAAGGATACCTCAAAAAAGGAGGATAAAGAATTAGAAAGCATTTTTAATAATAAAAATCAGTTTTCAGTTAACCCAGAGGTGATGACTTGGAGGAAAGATGATAAAAGTCTCCATTTTGGGTTGAACAGCTAGAAAGATACTATCAGCACTATGTTTATATGGCAGTGTCTAATATCATGATAGCAGACTTGGGTAAATCTTTAAAATGTAAGAAAAATCATTGGTATTCATCTGAATTAAGAAAATAGTGCTTTTCAAATGAGATGCACTTTTACTCTTTAGTGCATATCTGTGTGTGCTTATTTAATCCACTGTGGTCCATTTATTAATCTCTAAATGTTAGTGCCAAAAAAGCACCAGGGATAACTAATGATTTGTAAATGAATATTCCTTCATTATCACTTTTGTCTCATTTTTTTTTTTTTAACGATTTCAGATTGTCAGCTTGGGTTCCATGATACTTTGATAGAAATAAACAGGGCAAGGACCTTAGATGGCAAGTATAAGAACTTTGAAATTCAATGCTGCACTTCAGAATACAGAAGAGAATAAAAATAGCTGTGAAGAAAAAAAGTCACTCAAAGTCATGAACACTTAACTCTTGAGATAAAGCAATATTTTAAATTTAAAGTCATTTTTTGTTTCATCTTAAGTGATATTTATCTATAAAGAGACCTGTTTCTTAAATTCAGATACATGCAGTTCATATATTTCATGTATTTCAAAGCTTAGCACATACATTTTGTTGTTTGACAGTGTGTTAAAATTTTTTAAGTGTCTTTAAAAAAAACAAGAAATTTAAGTAGATGAGTTGGTGAAAGAACGACAACTAATTCTGAAGGATTTAGAGCTACAGGTACATTCAACCCAAAGGCTTCAAAATCAGACTTCAAAATGAAGCATCCCAATCAGTCATTTTTCTTTTCATAGTCTTTTTCTCAATAATTGATGAAGCCATCTATATGATGTTAGATCTCATCGAAAAAAATGAAAAGATTTCTCTTACAGCACTTTTAGACCCATGCTTAAATTTTTCATAAATATCAAACAGAATCTGGTTCATTTAAGGATGTGTCATAATCACAATGTCTTTGTTCTTTCAAATAGTTTTATTACCTTTAAGTCAACTGGCCTAGGACAGACCTGCTTTTGCTATGAACAACAGATGGGTTTCTACTGACTGGCCTACTGAATAGCCATATACAGCAGCTTTTCATTCTCAATCGTTATACCACTGCAGAAATGGCTATGTATGTATGTAAGTATTTATTTTGAGACAGGTTCTTGCTCTGTTGCCCAGGCTGGAGTGCAGCGGTGCAATCATAGTCCACTGCAACCTCAACCTCCTGGACTCAAGCATCCTCCCACCTCAGCCTCCTGAGTAGCTGGGACCACAGGTGCACACCACCATACCTGGCTAATTTTTTGTATTTTAAGTAGAGATGGGGTTTCGCCATATTGCCCAAGCTGTTCTCAAACTTCTGGGCTCAAGCGATCTGTCCACCTAGGTCTCCCAAAGTGCTGGGAATACAGGCATGAGCCACCATGCTTGGCCCTATGTAGTTATTAATTTAAGCATCAGAATTTTAAATTGTGCTCTATTAATTGTCCATGAGTTAAATTGGAATCAAAGTAGAACAGGTTTTGTCTTCTGTCTGATTTTCTTTTTTTTTTTAACCATTTCCCAATTGAGATTACCATATTAAGTGCCTTAGTTACAATGCTTATCACAGAGTATCAGAAAATTGGGTGTGTGTAAAGCAGAATAATGGCTCCCCCTCCAAAAAAATGTCCACACCTTGATTCCTGGAACCTGTGAATATGGCAAAAGGGATATTACAGATAGAATTAATGTTATAAACTTTAAGATAGGGAGGTGATCCTGAATTACCTGGTTGAGCCCAATATAATCACATGAGCCTTTGAGGCAGAGGAGATTTGGTGGGAGAGATACGGCAAAAATGAAGTGGAGGTAGAGAAATTTAAGCAGGAAAAGACACCAACAGCTGTTGCTGGCTTTGAAGATGAATGAGATCATGAGTCAGGGAAGGTGGGAGGCCTCTGAGGTTGAGTAGGAGCCCCGTCTCACAGCCAGCAAGGAAATGGGGTCTTAGTCCCACAACTGCATGGAGCTCAATTTGGCCAACAACCTGAATAAAAATGGAAATGAATTCTTCCGCAGTCCCTCCAGAGACATTGATATCTTGATTTTAGCCCAGTGAGACTCTAAGCAGAAAAACCAGATGCGTCATGCTATACCCAGACTTCTAACCTACAGAACTGTGAGATAATACGTTTGTGTCGTCTTAGGCCACTGAATTGTGGTAATTCGTTATAGCAGCAATAGAAATCTAATATAGGGAGAAATACACGCACATGTACATATAGGTGTGATATGGTTTGGCTCTGTGCCCCCACCCAAATCTCATGCTGAATTGTTATCTTTAGTGTTGGAGGAGGGGCCTGGTGCAGGTGATTGAATCATGGGGGCAGACTTTCCCCTTTGCTGTTCTTGTGACAGAGTTCTCATGAGATCTGGCTGTTTGAAAGGGTGTCGCACCTCTCCCTTCACTATTCTTCTCTCTCTGATCACTATGTGAAGACGTACTTGCTTTTCCTTCACTTCATGATTGCAAGTTTCCCAGCCATGCTTCCTGTACAGCCTGAGGAACTGTGAGTCAATTAAACCTCTTCTCTTCATAAATTACCCGGTCTCAGGCAGTTCTGTGTAGCGGTGTGAGAATGGACTAAATACAATGTGTATATGTATATAATGAAATACCCTATAATTATAGTTTTTATTATCTTTAAATTAGTATTTATTTTAAACTGGATTTTAAATCTTAAAAGGTTTAATGTAATATTAAATTGTATGAGATTTAAAATCCAGTTTAAAATAAATACTAATTTATAGAACCTACCATATTTCTTCTGTAAAATTCTTATCTTTATAGGTCCTTCACATAGGATTGCCAGATGTTGTAAATAAAAATATAGGATACCAGTATCTTGGTTCCAAATATTAATATTAATTCCATGCAATATTTGGGGGCATATTTACACTTAAAAATTAATTCATTGTTTATCTAAAATTTAACTACACTTGGCATCCTTCATGTCAACCCTAACTTCATAGCTTTCAAATTTTGTTCACATCTGATCTTTTTATAATCTGAGGACATTGGCTTCTTAGTGGAAAACCCCAAGGATGTCACCCTCTTCACACAGGCTGATCTATAATTGTTTGAAAGAGACCTCAAAGGAAGGGGGGCTACATTTTTAGATGTTCCAACTATTGTGGAGACTGAATATATGTGTATGTGTTAAAACTGATAAAATGTCCTAAAAGTATGTAGTCTATGAAAGGGCACATAAAGGATTGAACCCAGAAAATGATACATTTGGTCTTGGCAGAACTCTTTCTCTTTGGAAACTCCTTGGTACACATGGTACAGTTGTGTCCAGAAGCAGTGGATTGAGCCAGCACCTGTTAAACACTTTTTGTTAGTAAAGTAATGGTTAGAAATAAAATGTATAAAGCACAGGTATAAAATGGTACTAGTACATTTGTCAAAATTCACAGCAAGTATGATGCCACAGTGTTTGGTCACCTATTGTCAGATTTGTAGAAAAGACAGAATAACTTTCACCCCCACATATAGCTACATGACACTGCTAGGAAGCGTCTCTCTGCTAACACCATGAGCCTCATCATGTTCAGCACTCACTAGGGTCAGGATTTAGCACACTTGGGAGTATCTACAGAGCTAAAAGATATTTCTCTGCTGAGGTTACCAACACTCAGCTCAGCAGAAAGCAGACCTCAGAGAAATGGGAGTGCAGTCTACAATTATGTGAAAAAAATTAAGTGATCTGAAATACACTGAAACATCTGAAACCATAATAAAT
Source organism: Homo sapiens (assembly GCF_000001405.40). Classification (NCBI taxonomy): domain Eukaryota; kingdom Metazoa; phylum Chordata; class Mammalia; order Primates; family Hominidae; genus Homo; species Homo sapiens. Next base: position 78,902,009 of record NC_000001.11, read on the forward strand.
ATACTAAAGTAGGCTCTTTATATCACAAAAGGAGAAAAATTTTAATAGATTGCTCTGGGATAGTAACAGTATCAAAAAATGCAGTAAACTCTTGAGATTTATACTTTAGAAAACAGCAATGTTCTTCTACCAGGCATTGACTGCAGAGGAACCCAATTAGATGAATAATCGCTCTGAGATAATGTGGCATTCTGCATGTACTTCAAAACTACTGTTATATTGAAACTCAAGTGAATGACCACCTCCACATCCCCCAAAATTAAAATTTTGAGTGCTGATATTGAGTGCTTTCTATGTGCCAGATATTGTTCCAAGTCTATTTATTAATTTATTTAACCCTCTCACCAAGTTAATGGGATAAGCATTCTTTGCCTTACTATTATCACCATTACCATTATTATTTCTGTTGTTGCTCTTATTATTACATTTGTTTCACATTTATGGCAACAGAGGCAGAAAGAGGTCAAATAACTTGCCCAAGGTAATACAATTAGGGGGTAACAGAGCCAATATTCATACCTAGTAGACAGGTTCTAGAGTTTATGCTCCTGAGCACTTTACAAAGCTACCAAACTAAGATGAAGGAAACAATAAAGAGAAGCTAAACTGACATCTACAATTTTAAGAATTTAATTGTACAGACATTTATTTACATGCATAGCTAACAGTTATTGCCTTTGAGAAATAATTAAAGGAGAAGAACAACATATTAATAAGTATTACTATGGTTAACTATTTGGCATTAGTGTTCATCCAAATTAGTCATGATACCAGTGATGAAGGCCTTGTTAATAGCTAACAGGATTTAGTGTACTGTGCTAATTATCCTTTACTGGAGACATCTGTCCTCATTGTTCTCTGTGGTCAAGGGATTAAAGAATGTGGTAATTTTTCCTGTACTGGTGAACAACAAAGCTTTCCATCCTTTAGAGTCCAAATATAACTGTATAATCATTTCATGATAGTGGTTTCCAAAGTGGATTGTCAAAAAAATATAAATTGGGGTACATGAAGAACACATTCGAATTCCAGCTGATATTTTCCCACGGAAAAATTAAACTTTAATACTTAAAATATGAATGACACTGGTGTCCTCACTTTTTCCATGCTCTATGGAGTGGAATCCCATGTCAGATCTGAGCCATTCTGAAGGCTATATTTGTTCCTCAAGGTGGAGGAATCCACCCTCTTTATCTTTCAGCCTACTGCATCATATTGTATGCATGCCTGTCATCTTACACTATTTAGTTTTAATAAAGTAATCCTAATGAAATGGACAAATAAGACTTAAGATGTCTCCAAGTGCACTGTGGGTTAAAATTCATACTACTAAGGAAAATACAAACAAGAAAATGACAAACTGACATTTTTCTTACTTCTACAGTGTGCTATGTGCCAGCCAGGCTGCAAGTTCATGTAAAAAGTCCATATAAGCCAGTCACAGTTAAAATCCATGAAGATCTAATCAGATTTGATTAAATGGTATTACAAAACTCAAAGTTTTAAGAAGACAATTTGAAGCATGGATTTAGATCCACAGTTTTCAGTCATATTTAAAGTTATGCATATTCATGAAATGTTTAGAAGTTTCTAGTAATGTTTTCTACTTAACAGTGGAAGTTTAAAAAAAAAGTCAGGTACTATTGGCCGGGCGCGGTGGCTCACGCCTGTAATCTCAACACTTTGGGAGGCCGAGGAGGGTGGATCACGAGGTCAAGAGATTGAGACCATCTTGGCCAACATGGTGAAACTCCCTCTCTACCTAAAATACAAAAAAATTTGCTGGGCCTGGAGGCACGTGCCTGTAGTCCCAGCTACTCAGGAGGCTGAGGCAGGAGAATCCCTTGAACCTGAGAGGTGGAGGTTGCAGTGAGCTGAGATCACGCCACTGCACTCCAGCCTGGTGACACAGCGAGACTCCATATAAAATAAATAAATAAATAAATAAATAAATAAATAAATAAATAAATAATAATAATAATAATGTACTATTGAAGAAAATATCTGTTCTTCATGATAAAATTAACTAAAATAATACATGGAACATAATATAATAACCCATGAAGTAAGACATGGAAAACAAATAGAATAATGGCACCAAATTTCAATGTATTCCTTTATATACTCCTTCACTAAAAACTTCTAGAAAGTGCAATAATAAAACATTGCTGAAGATTTGAAGAAATAAGTATTAGAACAGAGTACCCAGAGTGGTAGATCTGCTACATCTAATGTGAAAGTACAGATTTAATGTATTTTTGAGGTTGCAGCTCCCTGATAGTCATTTAAACCAAGTATTGAACTTAGATCTATACCTTTGAATTGCTGCATTTAAAGTATAATCAATATTTCATTTAAAAAAATGAAATGCTAATATTTTAGTGAGAATCATATTGATCTATTTTAAATATTGTTATTTCATCTTTCATTCTTTAATATATATTTTAAAGTATGTTTTACAATATACTTTATATACTGTATAAGATAATTTATATAAAATATTAGTAAACTAATAAATGAAAGACATTTTCAAGATATAAACATACATTTAGTGAGGTGCATACATTTTACTGATGGGTCTTTAGTCAAAAAGTTTGAAAACCACTTTCTTATATAATATGACAGTTTTAAGAAAGCAACAAATGCACCTTCAAAATAAATGGACTAAATGGACCTTAGAGCCACATTCATAGGTTCAAATTCCAGTTTTCATACTTACAAGAAGATTAATATATTTAGTTATTTGTGTCTTACTTTCCTTGCGTGTAAAATGTGGATAGTATTAGTACTTATCTCACAGGTTGTTTGTGTGTATTAAATTACATAATTAATGTAAAGTACTCCAAAGAGTACCTAATATTTAAGTTCTCAACAAACATCAATTATTATCAGTAGTGGTTATAACACTCATACAGAATTATGGTTCTTCTATATTGTTTTCAAAATTTGAAGTGACCAAAACTACATATAATGTGTATTTATTCAACAATTGGATAATTATTGTTTTGTGATATGGTTTCAATGGACCTGTCAATAGCATCTTAAAATACCAGAACTTATATTTGTCTGTCTTTATTTTTGGCCAATATGTTCTTAATATAGAGGAGGGAAATATTTTCCACTTTCAGGACTTTCTTCTAAAGTGATATCAGCAAAATAATTACTGAAATGGATATAATTCAAGAGTAAGTTGAGCATTTATCATTTGTGTAAACAATTCCTCATTTCTGTTGAAACTTCTCTGGGGTAGAATTGTAATTTGTAGATCATAAACCTGGCTAACTTCAATAAGTTTATAGAAAGAAAGAAATAACTATATTGCAAAGGGTGACCCATAAAGTACCCAGAATATAAGAAGACATATTCATAATTAATCCATTATGAAATTCTGGGAATTTTATGAGAGCAGATAGCTACCTTTTCTTACATTTCTCTAGTATACAGCTGGGATTAGTAAACATTTTGTGTAGAGGTCCAGAAAATAACAATTTGAGGTTTTGAGACACCTGTGGCCTTGATCACAACTATGCCATACCATTAAAGCAGAGAATACAAAAACAAACAAATGAGTGTGGCTGTATCCCAATAAAACTATTTACAAAAACAAGCCATGCTCATTGATGACTCCTGATCTAGAATCCGAGGTCCACAAGGACAAAGACTATTTTCTATTTTATTTGGTGATGTATTCTCAAGGCCTAGAACAGTGTTTGGAATATACAAGATGCTCAACAATCATTTGTTGAATAAATAAAAGGGTGAAGGATAGACCCTATATTTAAATCCCAGGTATCTTTAATAACCTTCATAAAGGAGCATTTAGCCATTAATTTGACTAAACATTTCGAAAAATTACATTTTTATTTTGTCTCACATTTTGCAGATTGTGACATAATAGTATAGAATTAGAAACAGAATATTACATAATATATGGCAACAGAAACTAAGAAATATAGCTCAAATTATCCAAATATAATTATTCTCCAGGAATAACTCTGAGTAGGGAAAAATAATAAAGTTACATCTGTTGATGTGGATAGACACAATGGACAACTTTCAATAGTTTGCATCTAAAAGAAACTAAAGATTCATGGGTTTTATGATATAAATTCATTAATCTAAGACTTGGGCACACTGGTAGGCCACAACTAAATTCTTAGTCAACTAGTTGGCAGGATACTTGTCTATTAGGAAATTAATCCTCATGCTATAGCTTATAGCTAAATAATTGCTCTATTTAATTATGGCTAAAATCCCATCCTAATACATAATCATTTTAGGCATTAAAATAGTATTAGCACTTCATATTTTTAACATGTTTCCATTAGGAATATTTTAATAGTGGTTTTTTTTAGTGTTTGAAGGAATAATTTACTAGTCTCAAAAACAGAATCAAAAGGCAGAGAGAACTGGACATCTGTATCCATGAAGGATAAAGTGACCCGCACGGGAGTAAGTGAGCTACATGGGTTTATCTTTATCACTGGTTTTTAACTGTAGATGATTTTAAACCATGGAAAGGAATAAAGGTGAAGGAGAACAACTGTATGTGAAGAGCATTTACAACAATGTAAATTGATGTAATGTGACAATGAATACTACATAATGAACTATTTCTTCTTAAGATATAAGCAATGAAAAATATTTGTTGTATATACTTGCAATAGAAAACAAGAACAGAGGTTAGTAAGAATCAAACATTTCAAAGGAAGTTTATAAAACTGTAACCTTTAAGGTATAAAAACTTTAATATAAATTTATATAAGTTGCTCGCTGAGAAGCTAAAATAGAACTTTCGCAATTAAATTCAAAGGTATATCTAAAATTATTGCCAATTTAATTTTTCATTTAAAAGGTAAAAATAGAAGAGATATAAGATTTTCCCCCAAATTATTAAGAATTGTCCTTTTCTGACTTTTAAAAAATGCTCTAATAATTTGCTTTTAGTTTTTAACAGTATCTCTGTATCTGGAGTAGATACCATTATCCCCATCTACATATCAGAAATTCAGGGCATGGAAAGAACCCATTGTTTGTACTCTTCACTATCCATATTGCTTTTGAAAACTTCTGGCATTGTCTAGCCAGCACTTCATTTCATTCAGTTAAGTGTAAAACCTCAGTGTTAAAATTCCTACTGAAAGCATGTCATAGGTAGATAGACTAATATACATAGGTAGATATAGTAATGATTTTCTAAGAAAAAAGTAAATAAAGTAAAAGTGATAGTTTATAATGAATGCTGCATATAATTTTCTGAAATTTTTTCTCAAAATAATCTTATGTCCGTGATGATTTATTTCTTTAAATTTCCATTTTAGGGAAGGAAATATCATTTCTGAGTAACTTTTCATGGCGCATCATTCATTTATTCATTCAACAGTATTACTTGAGTGAATTCTACATGCTAACCCCTAAAGATAATATACTGAGAGAAAATCCATAAGGTTTTTGTTTTCACAGAGCTTACAGTACTCCTTTGAGAAGACAGATATTAATAGGTTATTCACACTAACACATGTGTAATTGTAGAATGATAAAAGTTTTCCAAAAGAAAAAAATGGGCTTCTATGAAAGCATTTAACAATGAGACTTATTATGGACTAATGAATCAAGCGGGACTTTCCTTGGAAAGTGTTGTTTGAGTTGATATCTGAAAGACAAATGAGTGGTAACTAGATGGAGGTATAAACAGAAGGAAGTGATAGGGAATGTTTTAGGGCAGAGGTGCTGAGATGGGAAGGTACATAGAACCTCTTAGGAAGTGTCAAGCAGCCAGTGTGACTGAATATGGAGAGCTCTTGAAAAAAAGAAGGTGAGCAGCAGACAGGGTCTAGAACATGCACTTCTAGGTAAAGTATCCACACGTCCCCGTTTGCCTGGGCTGGTTGTCATTTTGATCAGATACAATCAGGAGGAATGATTTTTGCATCAAAAAGAATCTTAAATACTTATTCCTTGGGAAGCCCTGAAACTAGACTGCACAATGTTTCCGTATGAGAGAAAGAAATCAAGACCAAGCCACGCAGACTGTCCATTCTCTCAAAATTTGTAACTCATATTTTGCAGGGAATATTAAAGGGGACAGAGGGATATGACAAACACTTATAGAGAAGTTTAAATATCTTCAGTTGTGTAGAACATGAGCTCTGCAACGACTAAGAAAGACTGATTCAAAGAAAGGCTCCCTCTTGTAGTAGATCAGCTTGGGGAAGGAAATCATGTTACTTTCAGAGGATGATCAGAAGTCCAAAGGTGATTAGAACCTATACTGTGCTCTTGGCTAAGTTTAAGGATTTTATGGATTCTTAGTAAATAGGAGCTTGAAGGTTTTGTCTGTTAGCTACAAAAGAATGCACATAATTTGCCTTAGTGTAATCAGCCCTTTTCAAACAATTGGTCTAAAGCTTTAAAAAGTTATAAATAGCAGAACCCCTGTAGGTATTTTTAAGTAGATAAGTCAATATTACAGTATTACAGTGTAAACATCTAGTAAAACATCATTTTTTATGAAATGCTGTTACTATTTTTATTTGCATGTATTACAGAAGCTTCCATTAGGATTAACTGAGATATAAGTGTTTTGTAAAGGTTAAAAGACTATAGGAATGTAAAGTGAATAATAATTCTAATGACTATCTTGCTTTACCAACATCCATAGTTCTTCCCTTTCATCATATCATTATGTAACATCCTTCAATGTAAAGCTACATTTATAAGGAAATACTAGCGATGAATCTCATCTTAACCAGTTATTTCCAACTGGGCTTTAGAGATCCAAGAGTTTTTAAAAATATTTTTTGGATTTCTAATTTCTATGAGTTTATTCAGCTTTTAAGACATTTTCTACTATGTGTCTTAAGGACATTATCTTTGAAGGTATTTCCAGTAAGAATATATCTCTCATATATAGGAACATATTGAAACTACCAATGTATTATTTATGTTTTTATATAATTCCACTTTTCCTTATTTTGAATTCCAGCTATCTATTGTTTCAAGAAGGTCAAAATAATATGAAAAAAAGTGGAAAAATGTTACAGGCACTGAAATGCTTATTAATACATAATATGGATAAAGGTTAGAGTATTAAAGTGCCTTGAAACACAGAGGTGACTGAAAGATGCACCCAACAAATATGATGATGTTAAATTAAAACACATAATTAAAATGTTGATGCCATTATCCATAACATTTAAAATTACAATGAGTAGTGTTTCTAATATAACTTTAATGTGGACATCTAAAGTACAGTGCCCAAACCATGATTCTCATGATTTTTCTCATTGTATGCTATTTATAGAGGACTGCAAAATACAATCGTATTCAAGATACTTAACATCCATGTCTAGGCTAGTGGTTCCCAGTGAAGAGAACTGGGAATATCATCCCCCAGAGGACATGTGGAGAGGCATTTTTGGTTGTCATATTTAAGTGGCAGTGGTGCTACTGGCATCTAGTGAGTAGAGACCAGAGATGTTCCTAAGCTTATAATAGCACAGACAGGACAGCCTCCACAACAAAGATTTGATCCAACGTGTCAGCTCTGCCATTATTGTGGAATCCTAGTTTATCACAATGCTTTTTGGTTTATATATTCCAATCGAACCATTTATTTTTATTATCTACCTCAGTAGATAATAATATCTAGCATTGGCAGAAGTGTCAGAAAGAGAACACTCTCATATATTGTTGGTGAACCTATCAATTGAAGTAATTGTTTTGAAGGACAATTTGTAAATTTTAAAATCTGTATATACTTGCATTTCTACTTCTAAGAAGTAGTTCCTAATAATTTTATGTAATAGATACATGAAATTATATTGGAATAAAGATTCTCTGTGCAGTATTATTTGTAATAAGTAAACTTTGGAAATACATTAAATATTCTTCAATAGGAAAGTTGTTAAATAAATTAGCACATAGTCATAATATACATGATAAAAAGAGGGTAGAACTGTATATTCTAACAAGGAAAAATGAATATGATATATTACAGATAATAGACAATTCAGGTTTTTTGAATTTATAATCAAATATACACACAGCAGAGGTCTAAAAGGATACAGAGTAAATATTAAGAAAAATGTATTTATGGGGAGAATGAGTGTAGATTGGAATATTCACATTTTTACCTTGCACAGTCTTGTAATATTTGCATTTTTCCAATCTTTGGCAATTTGTGCTACTAAAAAATGTAATAAGAATGTCTTACATAATAACAGATATGTCTAAATGTGGCCCATCTTGTAAGAGTCATAAAAATTCATTTTGAGTAGGTTTTAATAAGTATTTCCTGGTGAAAGGGAATTAGATTGTAGACATATAAAGGACAATTAGAGGTTACAACAAAAAGTGAGTGGAGTTCTGGTCAGATTTGAAAAGAAGTTGGTAAGAGTAGTGATACAGCAACACATAATTATGAGAGTTTTGATTTAAATTCAAATGAAACCTCACAGTTTTTAAATAAAATACCTTACTTGGACATAGCTTAATTAGTATTTGCCTCAATCAAGCAAATGCTATTCTTCAATGCTGAATGTGTCTAGGGGAAACTTCAGTTTCTATTTAAAAGTTAAATTATTTTTATGAACTCTTCTTTATAGTTGTGTACTTGAATCTAATCACTTACATAGTTTTAGTTTAAAGAATTGAGCATTGAAGATTAAAAATATTGAATGAAGAAATAAATTATGGAAATTATCTTCAGTTTGCAGCTTGCTTTACAAAGATTTAGACATCTCTTTTTTGTACAGCTCAAGCTTTCAAAAAGCAAGACTAGGCCTTTTCAAGTACAGTCACAATCTTAACATTTTAAATGTAGTGATTCATAGATAGAATCAATGAGGTCACTGGTTCATATTTCAGAATTCTAAGAGATTTTTAATATTAATGAACCAAACACCTGAAGAATTACTTTAGTAAGATCAATGCAGAACATGTTACTGTTCAAATACCTAAGTAGTTAACACTTATCTGAACGGATTAAAAGCTTAAATATTTGTTTGAAACAACATACATAATAATACATTAGTGTTGAACTAATTCTGTTCTTACTGATTTATATATTACCTCAAAGGCATTTTACATCATATTCCCAAACCAGGCAAGCCTCAGGGCTCCATTCATAAAAATAAGCAAATACCATTTAAGGCATTAGTCTGTAATTCTTACTCTAGAAGTCCTTACTCTATGGATAAACTGTAAGGATTCCATGTAGGAATGATTGGGATTAAAGATTGCTCTATAGAGATTTCTTTTCTGGAGCACAAGTCTTTCTAGATGTGTTCAGAGAAACGGTGAAAGCAATCTTAACCTTCATATAAGGCCATAAAAAATTTGCCCCTAATTACCTATTTAAATTTGAAGCTTCACTTATATTGTGTCTTTATTCTGGAAAATAAATATTATTTATTCTGTTAAGTTTCTATTGGTTTTCTTTGCAATATTTCATGTTTACTTTGTTTTAGCTAAACTTTTTCTGGTATGGTGTACTAGAGACTTCTAACAAATTCTATATAAAAACAGACACACGTATAATAATCATATCTTGCTATAATTAAATACTGCTACTTATTCACTAATATTTTAAAAATCAAGATCTAAACACACACACACACACACACACACACTATAGTTGGCTACACATACATTCCCTTGCATATAATGTTTTGCTGTAAAAATCATGGTTTTAAAATGTCTTTTTATTTAATTTTAATACAAAAATGTAGGTATAGGAATGCCATAAGATTATCCTCCAGAATGTTGTGCATTTTCCTTTTTTAATTGTTAAAAAATAAGTTAAAGTTGTTATTGCTGTTTTTACCATAGCCGTGTTATGTAGGGCTGGCATCATTAACTTCATCTGCATATTAGGAACCCAAGGCTAGGCGTAGAAAAATAGCTTCAGAGAGATCACTTAATCTTGCTTCCTCATTTATTACCATCGATATTTTTAGTGGCTCAATTAAAATATACACATAATTACTGAAGACTTACTAGGCACTTCTATACTGCAGGGTGACCAAAAAGAGGGCCACAAAGTTTTACAGTTCTAGAGTCCATCACTCACAGAGGTTCCAATGTGAATGCAGCTCCCCAAAGACCACATTGCAACTGTGACTCCTAAAGTTGTGCAACACAGTGGCACTGATTATTGAGCAAGATGAATATTGAGTAAGATGCGGTAAATAAATCAAGAAAGGCATAGCTCTATGATTGAGATGTAAACTAAAAATAAAATTTGAATCCCTTCATCAACTGACTAGACTCTGTTGTGCCAAGGAGACCCCAGAAAAACTTGAAAACTGAGTTCCTGGCCATGATGAGTTGGAAGGTCAAAAACACCTTGTTATACCCTCTCTCTTTTATGGTTTAGACAAGGGATTCCCAAACCCCAGGCCATGAACCAGTACTGCCTGAGCTCCCATCCTGTCAAATCATCAGCAGCATTAGCTTCTCATAGGAGGGCAAACCCTATTGTGCAATGTGCATGCAAGGGATCTAAGCTACATGCTCCTTATGAGAATCTAATGCCAATTACCCCTCCTCAACAATCTGTGGAAAAATCGTCTTCCACAAAACTGGTCCCTGGTGCCAAAAAGTTGGGGATTGCTGATTTAAAAACAATAGCTGACTGCATTAATGTTAAAATAGGAGGTCATAAAACTGCCAGAACAGACTCTTTGTGGCAATATGATACCAAATTATAAACAGGACCTGAGGCTATACCAGGCCAGGGTAAGTCATGCACCCCTACACTTTAAAAAAAATTGGCAAATGTGAACTAATTAAACTAAAAAGCTTCTGCACAGCAAAACAATCAACAGAATAAACAGACAACCTATGGAATGGAAGAAAATATTTGCAAATTATGCATCTGACAAAAGTCTAATTCCAGAACTATAAGGAACTTAAACAAATTTAGAAGAAGAAAAAACAAACAACCCCATTACAATGGGGACAAGGGACATGAAGAGACACTGTTCAAAAGGAGACATACACATGGCCAACAAGCATATGAAAAAATGTTCACTGTCACTAATCATCAGAGCAATGCAAATCAAAACCACAGTGAGATATCATCTCACACCAGTCAGAATGGCTATTATTAAAAAGTCAAAAAATTACAGATGCTGGTGAAGTTGGGGAGAAAAAGGAATGGTTATACACTGTTGGTGGGAGTATAAATTAGTTCAGCTATTGTGGAAGACAGGGTGGTGATTCCTCAAAGACCTAAAAACAGAACTACCATTTGACCCAGCAATCCCATTACTTGGTATATACCCAAAAGAATATAAATTGTTCTATCATAAAGACACATGTTCACTGCAGCACTATTCACAATAGCAAAGACACAGTATAAACTAAATGCCCATCAGTGGTAGACTGAATAAAGAAAACATGCATATACACCGTGGAATACTATGCAGTCAGAAAAAGAATGAGTTCATGTCCTTTGCAGGGTCGTGGATGGAACTGGAGGTCATTATCCTTTGCAAACTAATGCAGGAACAGAAAACCAAATACCACATGCTCTCACTTATAAGTGGGAGCCAAATGATGAGAACACATGGACACAAAGATGGGAACAGCAGACATTGGAGCCTACTTGAGTGTAGAAGATGGAAGGAGGGAGAAGATCAGGTAAAATCACTAATGGGTACTAGGCTTAATACTTGCATGATGAAATAATCCATACAACAAATCCGCATGACGCAAGTTTACTTATGTAAAAAACCTGCACATGTACCCTTGAACTTAAAATAAAAGTTAAATAAAATAAAACAAAACAAAGTATAAATTAAAATAAAACCTCTTATTTTTGTTCTGAATACTAAGCATCCTAGTGAGGGATAGCAAGGCCCCGACTATAAACATGGAGGAGAGTAAATGGATGAGTTTATTTGTGGAGGTAAAAATTTGTTTAGTAGTTAATGACAATCTGGACTAAGAAGTGATTAATGTATTTTAAAAAGATGATTCTTGAATACTGTGAATAATGGTGATTCTTCAGTTGATGTCTGGTATTGCCTGGTTTACAATGCTAACTACTTCTTGTTTTGCCGTTTGTTCTCCCTCAGAAGGAATCTGGCATGCTTATAAGGGCTGCTTGCTTTAGTTCACACTTGCAATCCTCTGCCCTTTCGCAATCATATAAAGTAGAACCTGCTTCTTGTCACATCCACAAACAAGGTCCTCCACCTCAATGAAGACTTTTGAATGTCTATGATATATATACTGATCTCTCCACATCTTACCAGTATGACTTATATTGTAATTATATACTTTCCTTTATCATGTGTGTTGTCTTTTTTCCTCTCATTCATACTGTAGTTGGCAGAAGATATTTCTTATATTTTCTTTGTCTTTCTATCATGTCCAGAGCACCCAATTAACACGGTGAACTTAATCATACGGTTTGGGTCTTTACCTAGCAGGATATTCTAAAGCATAGGATGCAAATTCCTAATCAGTAGGTCATTGCTATCCCCAAAATGGCAAGTGGTGATCAATTTTGAACATCTGATCATTTGATGTTCATCTGATCATTTGAACATTTGAACATTCCTACTTCACCAAGGAATCTCTAGTTGGTGAAGTAGAGATTTTTTTTGGTGACATAAAAGTTACTTTTTTTTTTCTTCAGGGACTGCCATAAATTTACATGCCATAGCTTTTAGTAATTTTAGATTTTTTAAAATCTGGTGTTTACTTCTTTTTCCTTTCCAGATACTTGAAGCGTATGTGTTTGAGTAGGGGCAGAGTGGTTGGTTCTGAGATACTGGTCTTCTACTGCTAGGGATCCACAACTCTGCGCTTGGAGGGTAGAAGGATCTGACCACCAGTTGTTATGGGGGAGCTGCATGATATAATTTTGGTTTAGTCTGGTTCTTATTACCATTGCTAGTTGTGGCTTAAGAGACAGTCTTCACTTTGATGGTATGCATAATTTACTTGGTGATCACAGTATTTCATTTCCATCTTGGTCTCTTCTATTCTTCAAAGATGAATATCCATATCTCCATTCAACCCATTCTCTTCATTGTACATATCTTCACATGACCTAGGCAGACCTGCAACTTCTTTCCATTTCTCCGACTTATCTTTGCGTATAGAATAGCTCAAGTCTTTGAGTTTCACCCTATCATTTTATTACTAGGGACACTGTATAATAATCTTTTCTGTCCCTGCTGTTGAAGAATACTCCAGTAAGCACATTGCCTGGAGGAAACTCCGTACAAAAGCAGGTGCTAGTCTCTAGGTTCACATTTGGCTCGAAATCAGGGGATATATGGCAAACTCTCATAAAAAATGCTCATTATAATCTGGTATTCTTATATCCCGGGGACACATGAAAATTCTACAGTCATTCTAGCAATGTGAGATCAGGATGATAATTTTACTCTTACTATTTTGATTCCATGCTCTGCAAACTTTTTTGAGTGTTCCTCCACATCTTGTCTTCAGGGGATAGGGAAACACCATCATTTTTTCTTATTGGTAGAGAAAAGAAAAACTTCTAATAGAGAACATTGTCCTCCCCTAAAGGCCAAGCATGCCTAACTCTGAGCCATCATCCGCTGAGCTCCCTTCTCCAGTCCTCTCACGGGGCTATAGCTGGTGTTTCTCTTTAATTGTATGACCCATGGGAAGAGCAGGCCTAAACTGTTGGTGGTTCTTTTTTAAATGTTTGGTGTTCAATATCTCTTTGACTTTATCTTTGAACTAGCTACTATTCTTGGGCAACAGGAAAAATGTCATCTAACATTGTGTTATATAGCTGAATAATAATAGTAATATGCAAGCATTAGCACAGAAGAACAAAGATAACTGGAGATAAATAATTCACTTTGATTCAATAATTATCTAAGAATTTCTTAGTATTTAAAAAAGGTATTATAAAAGATGAGAAATATTTAATTGTAGAGTAAAACTGAGGGGCCTAGCTCATTTTTTAAGTAGACTGACCCCCTGGTTAACCTGGAAATGATTATCATACAGAGACTGTATGGGAGATAAATTGGCTCACTAGCTCCAGACTAGAACAATGTGACAGTGTTCATTTAGACTTCTAGAAAAGTTTTCAGGACTCATTTTTAAATAATTTCATCTAAATTCTCTGTATCTTACCATAAAATAATCCAAATTAGCCTTACACAAGCAACTGTTAAAAACTATTTCAAAGAATACTTCCCCTTTCTTATTTTAGAGAAGTATGCTCCTGTTTTTGTTGTTTTAATATAATTTCTATCATGCTACTTTTTATCTAAACAATAAGAGTCATTGCTCCACGGACCTTTCACTTGTACAAAACAATGGCAAAGATGGATTTTCCTATGGTGAGAAAATCAGTAAAATTAGGATACGCCATCACATGAAATACTCACATCAGGGCAATCCATAAAAATATGCGAGTGGGACACCATTTTATATTCTTATGTGGGTTGGAAATTTTGGAGTCATAATAAATTAACTCAACTTGTTTTAGCTTAAATCTTGCTCTTGGTTTTTCTTTTATAAAATATTGTTTGATTTATTGTGAGAATTATAAATGAGTTTTTGTGATGAGTAGAAAGTATACTTTATGAATGCCCTTGATTTCACCCACACCATTGCAAAATAAAGCTTGATGAAAATTCTCTGCTTTGCATTTCAGGTCCTTCTCCATTTAGCAGTACCCTCACAACCATAAAAAACTCAAAGGAAAGAGGAAGACAGAAAAAGAAATTCAAAAAGATGGCTAGCTTACGGTCAACACATATGGAACAAAGTTGTCCAAAATATTGCCATAACTTCTCTACTGACAATTCATTCCACTCTAGAGTTTTGTCAGCCCTCCCAGATTCACTGACAGACTATTATATTCAGAAAGACTGTTGAAAACTTTCAGGACTTAGAAATGCTCTTCAGACATACAAAAATGTCTTTATTTAGAATGGAACATATAATGCCTGCCAAATTTGTAGGTTTGAAACCACTTCCAATAAGAATTAAAAGGCCCTCTTCCATGCTGAAATAGGACTATCTCAATATATGACTTGTCTGTTCATGAGAAATAGTGGGTTCTTGTCTCTGCTGTTGCAATTTAGTTTAAAATCACTTTATGATGACAGGGTACATAAAGATGATAAAACTATAAAGATGACAGTCTAATCTTCAAAGATGACCGATCATCGATAAAAGATTAAATAATGTAAACATCTAAAATGCCAAATTATCAGCTGGTTGGCACACTCTGTGTGTTGAAGCATGCCGAGGTATTACTGATAAGCAAAAAATGCTTTTTCCTCTATGTTATGCAGACATCTATACTCCATCAAGAGGGGCAAATGAATTGTAATAGCTTTGAATTTAAAAGCTATACATGATTTTTTTTATATTTAAAAAGTATTATTATATTTTATATTTAAAAAGTATATATTAAAAAATGTATAAAAGCTATACATGATTTAAAAGATATACATGTATTTTTTAATTATAGTATATGTAAAATGCTGATAAGTGATATACTGTAAAATATTCAAATTCTTCTTTTTTAGAATAACACCTTATTGCTGGAAATTTTAAGCACCCTATGATCATCACTTTTTTGAATTGTAATAACAATTTTATATATACATACAAGAATGATTAGGCATGCTGGTCCTATAAAACTCCAAATAAAGTTGTTTTCGGTGCTAAGCCAACATCTGAAAAGTAAATAAAAGATAGAATCTATAAATATGTTTGCATGTATGTTAACATAGCAAAATTATCAAAGAAATGCAAAGCACATTCAAAATCGTATTTCAAATGCTCATGAAATCATTTTAACTTACACTTTGGTTGTGCCATAATATCTGTATCCTAGTGCTGCCGAAAATCCAACTACCACGGCTGGGCTTAGATAGCCAAAGATATAAAAATTCTTGTGCAAAAATCCCTTGTTGTAGATGACACCCACAACAATGAGATAGAGATGTATGCCTTCAATGCACATCCATGCAAAAGCAGCTAAAAAGAAGTAGTGTAGCAGTCCGGCAATGATTGAACAGAAGAGCTAGAAATCAAAGAAAAAAAAAAAAACATTGTCAGTGTTTGTTTTAAAATTATCATAACATACAATCTCTACTTTCGCTGTAAATCACAACTTTCTTTATACTATAAAGTATGCCACTTTATATAATGATTAGTCATATTAAAATACCATGTCAGTTCTTAAAGATTTAGAAAAACAACTGCGTTTCATCAGCGTGAAATATTAACCAATCTTGTGATAGAACTGTTACTGTTTTTGTCCAGAGGTTTGTAACTTTTATATATTTATCTTATGTGATAAATTGTGGATTATTCTCATGTAAACCATGGTATCTTGGTGAATATGTTAGGATTTAAGTTGATTTCTGTTTTGGAGATGCCTCTCTTTTCCTTTATTTTATTCATGCTCAAAGAATGAAAATGACTCATAATACTCTGCTAGACAAAAGAAAATAAATATCTTAGATGACAAAAATAAAATTTACAAAGTAGATTAATAATATATTTCATCAAAATATCCATTACAGAATTACTTTCAACTGTTAAGATTATCATGTAAATTTGAGATGGCTTTCACTTAAACATACTTTTCAGTGTTTATTTCTCATCTTGAGCTAAAGTTAGACCTATAAGAAATAACAGAAGAAGAAGTAGTTACACTTTCCATACTAGTAAAGCTAAAGGTATGTATCATGGGAGAGATAACATAATACATACTTATGTACCTATCCCATTAAAAAAACAGAATATAATTCAAGATTAATGAGATGACATAGTAAAATATGTTAGAGAGTACTCTATAAGGCTGGGGAACAGAAAGATCATTGGCAATTAAAATTTGGAAATCACTTTAGCAAGGAAGTGAGATTTGAGATATGACTGGAAAAATGGGACAAATTTAATAGGTGAAAAGTAGTTGAAAGTAAACACTACACTGAGTAATTTTGGGGTGAAGATAATGGTGGAAGGTAATTGAAATAGGAACTAGGCATTGGAGGATAGTGGGAGATACATAAAATTGAAAAGTGTTACGAATACCACTGCAAAACATAAAAATAGATAAGGAGTTCACAGTCTAGTGTATACTATTTAAAATAAACACTTCTTGCCATCTACTTCAGAAGAATACCTTGCTAACTGATTGTTAGTTTCAGTCTTTGAAAGATTTCTAAGAATGGAAATATGGAGGCAATTTCACTTTTTGTGGTCATGAGAATACACTTCTCCAATCTCCAACTGCAAGGAGTGCAACTGACCTAAGGCTTCAGCCGCAGCTGTAGGAAATCCACTGCTGTTCCCACTTCCCATAGGCTGCTGCCAGCCCATCACTGAGTACAGTAGGGTTACTGCTGTGAGAGAAAAAGGATTCCTCTTACAAAGGATTCCTGCTCCTGAGAGACAAAATGATTCCCCTGACAGGTAACGTTGGCTCAAGGACTTCCGAGAGGACTCCTTGACACCTGTGCTGACTTTTCCTTAGAACTGCATTACTGTGTGGAATGCTTTTGCCCACTCTTCTTTTCTTCCCTCAGGATCATACCTGAATCTTGGTCTGATAGCTCTCCAAGCCTCTCTCTTCCCATTTGCTCTCCCCAGCAATTCTCTTAATAAATCTATTGCATACTTAACCCCATCTTAACACCTGCTTCTAGGAGGACCCAGACCAATACAATATGAAACCTTTTGGGAAGGTTCAAATGGTTCAAAATCAATAATCTTGGGAAATGGGAAGTTAGAAAAGATACTAGGTAAAACCAATTTATCACATTCCAACCTACAAACTGTGACTGCATTTATGTTCAGTCCCTATTCTAAGATAAAGTTTATTTCTAATTGTTTCTCTCCTTGGCCTTTGTTTAACGTCCATTTAAAAACAAAACAGAACAACAAAAAAGTATTTATTCAGTTTGTTGCAAAGTTTTAACTTGTCCCAATAATTCATCATAATGAGGGCCATTTTTGCTGAATGGACTTGATAAGTAGTTTGCTTAGCTGTGTTAGCATTATCAAACTTAGAAAGGATAGCTGAAGAACAAATTATAGAGAACGTCTGCCCCATTAAACCCTAAATTACAAATAATGTTTCTAGGACATATACATTTAAGAAAGTACACATATCATAGGACAAAAATAGAGATTAGGATGCCTACATACCTTATTAGTATTTGTATTGATCCCAACAAGAAAAACAAGTTCAGCAAGAAATAGGCTACAGCAAAGATTTTTGTGAATTGTTGTCCTGGTGCTTTGAATTTCACTGAAGAACCAGAAGGTAAAAATGCATATGGCAAGACAAATCAGTGAAATAATTATTCCTAGTTGAGTGATCCTTGTAAGAATATTATAATCTTTAATACCCTAAGGGAAAATAATAATAAAGCAGTTAAAAGAATAACTCACTAAGTTGTCAAAGGAACTACAACATATAATGAACTTCCTTTTTTGGTGAAACATTAATCAAAATGTTCATAAAATGTAAAAATATAAATGTGCATTTAGATGAGAAAAATTTTGTACTTTTGAAAATCCTCAATATCCACATAAATCTGATGTAAATCATGTAGCACTTTAACAGTTCTGTAATTGGTGATTTTTTTTCTAGGCATAGTATTAGTATTAGTACATGGTTTAACAATGTTATCGTCATTAATTTCACTACATTAGAAAGGCAATCGATTATTATAATGTGAACATGGTTAATTAAAACAGATTTATCAGTGGTAAGACTAAGTCTTATGTCTATGCAGTGATTCATCTAAAACATGTGAAACAAAGGTGTTAGCAATGCAGAATATAAGGATTATCAAGTAATATTGTTCAGAAACTTTGAAATAGAAAATGCTGGTTTTATCCTAACTAGATGAATACTTATGTTTATATACGGAATAGATGTTTATTTGCTTAAGTTCAGGAAAAAATCATTGTTAGGACTGACATTATGTTCAGGTAGATTTATTTGGTTACTTTATATATTTAATGATAGATTATAAATAAATATATTAAAATGGAGATGATAGCACAGAGCTATAAAATAAGAAATTATGTGATAAATATACAATGTAAGTAAGATATTACAAAAGTAAGATAAATGTCATGAAACTATTCACCTTAGAGAGATTCTTCATGTTTAAAAATCTTGTGGCGTTCTACATTGCTAAAAACATGATGTTAGTTATAAGTGTGCTAATACTTATTGCCCAACTGTCAAATATTTTCAGGAGCTTTGTCATGAGTAAAAATAAACTGTCATCACAAAAAAGTGCCTTTAAATTCCGTGATACATTAAAATGGGCAAATGGCTCTTGAAAGCAGCATTACAAGCTAATTTAATATGTAATCTACCAGATATTACAGACTAGATAAGTCTTAGACTAGAAATAATCTTAAATGCATACTAGATATGTTTCAGAAGGTAGGTAGGAAAACAGACAGAAAGAAAGATCCTGTTGGGGTTTTATCTCTTATACTAAATGTGCTATCTAAACCCAAGAAAAATATATAAAAAATTAAATATTGTCTCGAATGATGCGGAAAAAAAACAGAAAAAGCAACATTTATAAATATGAAGGGGAAAATTATCTTACAATGGAAGGACCAGAGGACATCAAAATTGCAAAATGTGTCAGGTGATTACAGCGGCATGAGGTGTGGGTCTCATTTGAGTATGTCAGCTCACAGCCCTCTGAAGACCAGCTGCCATTCATGGTATCAGGTGAGTAATTCCAAAATGCACATAGACTCCTATACCTATCTGTGACCTGAAAAAAAGATACTTTACTGATGAAAAAAGAGAAAAAGTTACATACATAGTATTGTTTTGTCATATTTAAAATACCACTAATGTGATTGAAACAATGCCTTAACAGTGAAACACAAAACAAATTATAACAAAGGCTGCTATGTGGCAGAATGGAAATTTATATTGCAACAATGCTGTATTTTATCAATTTTGTCTCACAAACGTGTGGTAATTTTCATTACAGTAAATTACTCATGTCATTTACCACAGTGCATAATTATCATATGTATCTTTATTCAATACAAGTTTGTTGAGTATTTTCTAGATGTTTATCATTAATCCAGGTACTAAAAATACAACAGTGAACAAAACAGAAAAAGTTGTTTGCATTGTTGACATTAAATTCTAGTTAGAGATGAAAAATTATTCAATGAGAAAAGTAACCCTGGGTAAGAAGAAAGAAAGTGATATGGAGGGTTGTCCAAGGGACGTCTCCTAGATTATGTCTAAGCAGGCACTTCGATGACGTGAAGGGGGGTGTCCAACAGACTTGGGAACAGAGGGTTCCAAACAGTTGGAAATGCAAATGGACAAGCTCTGAAGTGAGGCTGACCAGAGGCATTCCAGAAACTTGTAGAAGCCAGTTAAGTTAGAGCACAGTGAGTGAGGTAATGAATAGTGAAGACAAGATCAGATACAGACATGGGACAGATGACACACAGACTGTGTGATAGTTATTCAATAAACAGTGGAATTCTCCTTATCATACTTTTATATTAACTAATCATAACACTATACCTAATGTATGGTTTAATAATAATTTATCAATAAAATGTTGAACTTGTAGAAATAAAAACTATTTAGTTATATAACAATTTACACTTAACTAGGTGCTTGCTTTCTTATTTTGTTTGGTTTGACCCTCATAAACCTTCTCTGAGATAAATGCTATATTATGTTAAGAGGCCAAGATATGTGATTTTAAGGTGTACTTAAGACTAAACACTGATAGATGGAGTAATATAGAATCAAACTCAAATTTTCAGACAAATATTTATTAAAGAAAACATGTCCTGAGTGACAAATGTATAATATATACTGTTCAAGGAGTAAGGATTATCAGTCAAAAAGATAAAGTATCAGCTCTTCAAGGATGATAGAAACTCAGATGATTTAAATACAATAAGATAATTGTTTTAATGGGATAGATGCTAAATACAACCCTTAGGTCAACAGTTGGAGCACTGAAAAAAACTGTGAGTTTGTCTGGAATGAGTCTGGAAAGATAATTGAGTTAAAATTGGAGAGATTGCTAGAAGTTTGTCAAGGAGGTCAAGCTATATGAAGAAAACTGAAATTCTTTTAGTTCCTAAAAGAGCCTGGGAAGGGCCTAATTCTAGAGAAAGTAGAGGGACTCAAGAATTGAGGAGCCAGACTGAACTGTGATTGTGCGTACCATTCAAAAACAGAGTTAAGTGAGGGTCTGTTTACACACTGGTCTCCCATCATGCCCTACCACATTTTCTTAATTTTCCTAATCCTTTCACCAGACTTCTGTCTGGGGTAGATAGGAAAGGAAAAACATTTCTTCCTAAGAAACGGATTGGCCCAAAATAAACTGCTTTTGGGTACTGACATTCGGGATCTTCCAATGCCATGGCCAGGAGCCTGCCTGATGAAAACTCTAGTGAAGCACACCACTGCCACAAGGTCAGGAGAGCACACCGTGTCTCATTATTAAATGTGAATGGGTGGTCATGAACCCCCAGACATCTGAGGACAAGCTCCAACAGCAAAGACAGGGAACCAAGATGAACAATCCAAAGAAAGAAAGTCAAGAGCAAGATGATGCAGGAAGCAGAAAATAGCTTTTTTAAAAAAATATATAAATAATATCTCAGAGAGATGAGATACTGTACCCATTAAACAAAATCAGGATTGAAAAAATAAAGTTTCTCAGTGAAAATAAAGTATAAAGTGAAAATAAAGTATAAAGTAAAAATAAAAAATATTAGGAGAAAAATTAAAAATAGGAATGAAAAAGTTTAAAAACTCCAAATATTAGAAGCTCTGCTGGGAAGTCTCATAAATACTAAGAGGAACAGAAAAAGAGAGCAGAGATACTGTACAGGGAGAGATTACCAAGAAATCATTGTAGAAAATTCCCTAAAACTGAAGACCATACATTTTCAGACTGAAAAGACTCACAAAATGTTTACTGCAATTAATGAAGGAAGATTCACACCAAAGTACATCTTAAAGATTTTGGAATACTGAGAATAAAGATCCCAAAACTTTACAAGAGAGATAAAGAGAAAGAGACTGATTGCATTCAAAAGACAATAAATTTTAATTAAAATATTAATTGCATTCAACTTCTCCAGGTTACCCTTGAAAGCTGAAAGACATATGAACGAGATCTAGAAAGATCTGAGAAAAAAATATAACTCTGTACCATGGTATTTATCTAACTAATATAAGGGTAAGGTAGAAAAATATATTTGTGTGTGTCTGCGTGTATATGTATATTTATATAAAATCTGATAATGCAAGAGCTTAAAAAATTGACCTTCTCTGCTTCCTCTTTCAAATGGCCACTGGAGAATATGCCACCAAAATACATATATAAACTAAGAAAGAGGAAGACATTGCTGGAGGAAACATGGCATCTGACACAGGAGAGGAGAGAGGTGAATGCTGAATGTTATGTGAAAATGATGGGGGAAGGGAAGGCATGCCTGGGCTGATAAATGACCCAGGGGTAGATCATCTAGACAGCATCAAGGCTACAGAGCCTTGGAAAGGATGTCTCCAAGACAACAAACTGGCTGATAGATAAGCTTACATGTTTGAACGTTTTGAAAAGAGATTTATAATTCTGTCAAAGATTTTGGAGACAAATTAACAATGGATAAATAGAAATTTAAGCAAGTGAAAATAAAGGAATTTATTAACACCAGGGAAATGATTGAGCTCCATGATTCAGTTGTGAATAACACACCAATTTATAGTATTATAAACACTGAAAACTGATTTAACCAAAAATTGGAGGTAAGCATGAGCGGATGGATAGTTGAGGGAGTGTGTGTATCACAGCAGAAGATGTGTGTAAGAAAACTAAATCTGAGTCTTCCATAGATGGAAGTCAGCAGATTACATCTACTTTTTAGAAGCTTAAGATAAAAGGAGTTATTAATTTTTGGTTTTTTGGTTGAAGATGATACAGTACCAAAGGGGAATGGTTTTATTTTTTTATAAGGTAGAGACTTGAGTCTTTTTATTAGCTGAGACACTGACACCAATGTGGAGAGATCCAGGAAAGATGAGATGGTGGATGGAGCATAATTTCTTGGGAAGTAGATTGGGATGGATGTAGTGGGCCAAACTGGCCAGGAGTATCATAGCTTCTGAGAGCATGGACTCTGGAGGAAGGCTGCAGGGGCTTGAAACCTTTTCCTACCAGTTAATTGTTGAGTGACCATGAGCAAATTATTTAATCTCACAGGCTCAGTTTCCTCATCTATAAAATGGTAATAATAGTATGTACCTCATATGGCTTTTCTAAGCATTAAATGCGCTCATTTTTTTAAGTAAAAAAACTTAGAATACTGCCTGGTTTCTAACATAAGCACTATGTAATTATTGATTGCTATGAGAATGGTTAATACTACTATAATTACTGTTACTATTCTTCTGAGGTACTGTAGAATTATGTATTAGTCAAATCGCAGATAAATTATCAGGGAATCAGGACACTGAAGATATTACTTATGAGATAGTTTTTATTTTCTCAGGGGAAAAAATGGGAGCGAAATTTCATTCTCAGAGCAAGGGAACCAGAGACTAAGCAGGTATATTGTCAGAGGAGAGTGGTGAAATTTCATAACAGTCATTACTTATTGAATGGAAAATATATTTGAGCAGAAAGGCAGATAAAAGCAACTAAGTTTTCCCAGGAATTACCGTGAAGAGTTTTTGTTTAAATACGCGTTTTGTTTTGTGTTTTTATCAAACAAGGATTGGTGAAGTGGGTTGTTCTTGGCAACTCTTTAGCTGCCAAACCATTCCACTGATGAAAAACGGAAAAAACATCAGACCATGTAAAAGAACAGTGTTTGGTTTCTAGTATTAAAAACGTCTTTTGCATTTAGCATCTAAAAAAGAAGTCTAAGTTTGGTTTCCAGTCTTAAGCAATTTCACACCTTCTTTTTCCCTCAACATAGTGCTTACCATTATTTAAGTTTGAGCTATTATTTACCTGCACTTTTTATACATTTAGTTTCTCTCTACCTTCAATGTTTTTACTTAACAGTGGCATGTTTGTATTGTGTGTGAGCAAATATACTCTTTTTGTTTAGAAAGCCCCTTTTCCTCCCATAATAATGCAAATATAATTGCTCAACTTCAAGGTACTTCAAATGGAACTTCGAAAGTACTCGAATCATGTACTAGAACTGAAATTCTGTTGAAAGTTTAAGATAACATCAACTGTGAAATGGTAGCAAATAACCTGTGATTTTGAGTTGCCCCCATTCATTTTTAACTAAAATAGCTAAATAGTTGGTTAGTTCTAATCATGCTTTTTTATTGTATAGCTTTAATTATGTATGAGTCTGAAAAATGATTTAGAATAAAAAATAAAAGAGTAAAATGGTCTCCACCAATTTCTTTATGAAACATTGCAAATGTTGCTATAATTTTCTTTTAATCAACACCAGAATCCCTTCAAATATTATTTAAAGTGACAAGTATTAATGAAACACCTCACTTATTACACAAGTGACATTTATTTCTCTGATTGTGATACTTTTTAATAACTCATTCTTCGAAACCATGGATATTTCCAAAATAAACAGTGTACTTATAAATAAAACTAAAATATTGCTTAATTCCAGAGAATCAAATTAATGAATTCCTTGGTATTAATTAGAATGTTTAAAGAGCTGTGAAACTACAAGAATATTTTATACAAAAATTAGTTAAAACTACTTCACTCTTTTAATTTCAAATCTGTATTTTTAAACTCAAGAACTCAGATAATTTAAGTGACACAACAAAGAGTCCAGTTCTCTGACTGTATCACAATCATAGCCAATAACTACCAGAAAAACAGCTTACCTTTCGATGACTTAATGTAAATGTTATTTTTTCAAGTTCATATAATGTGGGTGGGTTTGAGCTCATTGAGACTGAAATTACTGAAGATATGACTCTTTCCTCCTCTTCAGAATTATCATAATTTTGAGGTTTCAATAAGAAGTTGTCAGATGATGAAAGCAAAGGACCAATACTCTTATAATATACAAATGCAACTGCAACATTGCCTATCAATCAAATAAGTATATTTAGTGAAATTCTTATAAAACAAAGTGTATTTAGACTCTTAAGATAAACATAAAAATTGAATAGACAAACATTTTACTTTAGAAATTTATACAAATCCCCAGATACTGAAATATAGACCACAATAAGCCTATGCCTGCATTGTTAAACCATAGGAAGACATATTCTCTGACCTCAAAGAATTCAAAGATAATCATGAACTGTGTAGTATCCCCTTTGCACAAACTATCTTTAGAAGAAAAATAGTCCTAGATAAATTTACACCAAAATCCTGACCAAGAACCAGAGTGTGAAGTGTATTCACTTGAATAACAAAGTTTCAAGTTATTATGTCCTTGTATAAATATATGAACTTAAGAGGTATTGGGAGGAAATTATCACAGGCTGATAGAATCAAGAAAATTTAGAGATGAAGGAGTTGTAACATGCCACTGAGTTCAAATGTATGCCCACTAAAATGGTTTCTATTTAATATTGATAACATGTAATTATGCAGTGTCGGGGTAGAAAACTTATTTGCTTGAGAGATGGCCATTTATCCATGTCCCCTAAAACTCCCCAAATGCAGTGCACCAGCATATAACCAAATAGCGCAAAATCATAAATACAAATATTAATATCATCAAATAAAAGGACTGTAATAACAAAACTGGAAACCTCCACATCACATGAATAAACAGGATTATTTGGATATGACTGTGTGAGCTAGAAGTTGCCAAAGTGTATTGCTATTTATGTTTTCTCTCTTAATCTAAAAAGGCACCTCAAGAGACATTGTTAAGAGCCTTGCTAAACCCAGATACATTACATAAAAGATTTTCCTCAAGTGTCGTCTTACAAAACTTATATTAAAGAAAGTATGACATTGTTGGGCTAGTGAAATTATGACTCCAAAAGATGATAACTATCCCAGCCTTTGCTATAAACAGATGAGGGCCTGAGGCAGGACTTGGATACCTGTTAGGTCAACATGACCAGGTCCAGTTGATGAACCATGTCGTGGGACAGTGGCATCTCAGGAGTTGTAGTAGAAGATGGTTCAAAATCAAATGATGAATCAAAAATATAAGAAGGATTTTTAAAGTCTACTAGTTACTGCTTTCCTTTGTGAAGAAAAATATTTATTTAACATCAATTTTTGACTTTTGATAAGGGGTACCACAAAGAATCCTCCAAGATATCTTCTCACCTCATTTACAAATATATTATCTCAGTATTTATTTGTCCATTCCCAGGGTTTTGAACTTCTTCAATTCCTATGATTTCTCACTAATTTGAGGCTTGATCTAGCTTTGAATTTTCTTAACAAACCTGTACTTTTATTAAAAATTAGGGGTTCATTCACTAATAAAGGGCATAAAAACTTTGAATAATTTGAAAAGAGTAGATCATTTCCTAATAAATCATCATCCATTCTTCCTAATTTTTCTTCTTTACAATGCTTACTTTAGTCTTTTTGCCCTAAGATCTTTCCTGTATTTGTTAACATTACCATATGTTTGCCAGGAACCAGAGATAGCCTTCAATTTAATTGATAGAACATATATCTGAGCATTTACACAGTGCAAATAACTATGCTAAGTTGTGGAGACTTTACTTTAGAATTAATACCTATATATATTTGTTTAAAGATTCCCATTCAGTAGGTCTTCTTCCTTATTCCTATTTTGTTTTGTTGCTTCCAATTCTTTTGAATGAAATTAATAGTTTTTTATTACTGTGGTCCAAGCACAAGCCTTCCAAACTATTAGAAAACTACTGGGGTGACAGGAGTTATGATTTTTCCTTATGTTAAATTCCCATATCAATTTTACCCACATACACTATGCAATGAACTCCTTAGAGAATCATTGCTCTCAAACTGCTTTATTGCTACTTTAACTTGAGAATGACTAAAACCACTTCTCAATAGAGCTTCATATGCTGCTTTATTTTTTCACCTAAATGTTGATTTCATAAGTAATTTGAAAATAAGTATGTGAAATCTCTTAACAAAAGTCTATTATCTTTTTATCATAAAACCATAGATCAGAGCATTGAATCTTGTTCTATTAATTCTCAACCCTTCCTCCTTACTCTTCTAAAATTCAGTCTATAAAAAAATATACATTTAAAAATCCAGGGGCCAGGCACAGTGGTTCAGGTCTGTAATCCCAACACTTTGGGAGGCTGAGGTGGGAGGATCACTTGAGGCAGGAGTTCGAGACCAGCCTGGGCAATATGGCAAAACCACGTCTCTACAAAAAATAGAATAATTAGCCCAGCATGGTGGTATGTTTCTTTGGTCCCAGCTACTTGGGAGATTCAGGTGGAAGGATCACTGGAGCCCTGGGAGGTCAAGACTGCAGTGAGCCATGATCATGTCACTGTACTTTAGCCTGGGCAACAGGGTGAGGCCTTGTCTCAAAAAAGAAAAATAAAATCCACTTGTGCTGCATAGACCTCCTATATTTTCCTACCAATGGTACTGTTTATGTTTTAAAGAATGCATGTGTTTTATTAACTAATTTTTTCAATAAATTAATAAATACTTGCAGACATCATTGAGAGGGTTTGATCAATGTGTTAGATTTGTCCTTATTTTTAAGATACAACCTTGAGAAAAACACATTTTCTTACTCTCCTTTACTGACAGCTAATATTACTGTCCCTTTCAAATGTCACTTTGTACATAGGATCATTAAATATAACAAAGCTACCGTACAATCAGACAAAATTTCTTCAGGATATTAATTCCATGACAATTTCATCATCTGTCACTATAATCGGTATTTTCAATGTCTTTTTTCCAACTTCCAAACAGTACCCAAATTGTCTTTGAAATTTCAACAGTTTAACACATTCTTTGGATTTGTTCCTAAATACAAAATGTATGCTTGGTTAATTAGAATATGGTATAATAGAGTAAAAGCCAAGGTTTCAATGGGAGCATGACTTAGTTATTTTTGCTTCATTTATGGCTATTTCCCACTAGAACATAACAAGAAAGAATAGAGGATACGAAAACACTTCTTTTTATGAAATAGTGTCTCTCCATGAGACCATATGTGTGTTGAGGTATATAGTTTCCATTTGTATTTTACTATTTTGTTGTTGTTCTCATATAGGTAAAAATATATTACCTAGAGAAAATAGGAAATATTATTATTATTTTCTTTGCAAAAATTTTACAATTCCTATTTTCTCAAGGTAATATAATTTTACCTATATGAGAACAACAACAAAATTCTACTATCAGCAGGGTTTTTTCTAAATGCATTGCACTAAGATAACAGATAAATGATTAAATTGAAATAGTAACTACTTACTTGCTAGTTAGGTACCAAGGAAAAGCTGATTTTTTTTTTTTTTTTTTTTTTGTGATGGATTCTTGCTCTGTCACCCAGGCTGGAGTGCAGTGGTGGGATCTCAGCTCACTGCAACCTACATCTCCCCGGTTCAAGCAATTCTCTGCCTCAGCCACCTGAGTAGCTGGGATTACAGGCACCCACCATCACACCTGGCTAATTTTTGTATTTTTAGTAGAGATGGGGTTTCACCATCCTGGCCAGGCTGTTCTTGAACTCCTGACCTCATGATCCACCCACTTTGGACTCACAAAGTGTTGGGATTACAGGCGCGAGCCACCGTGCTTGGTCTGGAAAAGCTGATTTCTTTTTAGAAGAATCAGCTTTTAGCGGTTCTGTACTGTCTGCTGATGGACATGGAACAAATCTATTAAGTTTGCACATTAGTTACATCATCCATATAAGAAGGATATTCAGTTATTTAATCATTAATTTGCTTGCTAGTACCAGAATTGAATCAACATTGAATTTTGATACAATTTTTAAAAAGGGTTGTTTAGTTGAAGAGTTTACTATACAAAGACTAAGAAAAATACAAATTATAAGAGAAATCTAAGCCTAAGAAACTTACTTTATCTCCTACCTAGCAAGACAGGCCAACATGCAAATTCAGCAAATACAGAGAGCACCACTAAGATACTCCACGAGAAGATCAACCCCAAGACACATAAACAGATTCTCCAAGGCCAAAATTAAGGAAAAAATGTTATGGGCAGCCAGACAGAGAGGGCAGGCCACCTATAAAGGGAAGCTCATCAGACTAAGAATGGACCTCTCAGCAGAAACTCTGCAAGTCAGAAGAGATTGGGGGCCAATATTCAACATTCTTTAAGAAAAGAATTTTCAACCCAGAGTTTCATATCCAGCCAAACTAAGCTTCACAAGCGAAGGAGAAATAAAATCCTTTCTAGACAAGCAAATGCTGAGGGATTTCGTCACCACCAGTCCTGCCTTGCAAAAGCTCCTGAAAGAAGCACTGAATATGGAAAGGAAAAACTGGTTCCAGACACTGCAAAAGCAACCAAAATATAAAGACCAATGACACTATGAAGAAACCGCAGCAACTAGTGTGTAAAATAACCAGATAGCATCATGATGACAGGATCAAATTCACACATAACAATACTAACCTTAAGTGTAAGTAGGCTAAATGCCCTAATTTAAAGGCACAGACTGGCAAATTGGATAAAGAGTTGAGACCCATCGGTGTGCTATGTTCAGGAGACCCATATCATGTGCAAAGACATACATAGGCTCAAAATAAAGGGATGGAGGAAAATTAACCAAGCAAATGGAAAGAAAAAAAAAGCAGGAGTTGGCAATCTTACTCTCCAACAAAACAGACTTTAAACCAATAAATATCAAAACAGACAAAGAAGGGCATTATATAATGGTAAAGGGATCAAGTCAACCAGAAGAGCTAATTATCCTAAATATATATGCACCCGATACAGGAGCCAGATTCATAAAACAAGTTGTTAGAGACCTACAAAGAGACTTAGACTCCCATCCAATAATAGTGGGAGACTTTGACGCCCCACTGTCCATATTAGACAGATCAATGAGACAGAAAATAAACAAGGATAATCAGGACTAGAACTCAGTTCCGGATGAAGTGGACCTAATAAACATTTACAGAACTCTTACCCCCAAATCAACAGAATATGCATTCTTCTCAGTGCCACATGGCACTTATTCTAAAATCGACTACATAACTGGAAGTAAAACACTCCTCAGCAAATGCAAAAAACTGAAATCATAACAGTCTCTCAGATTACAGTGCATTCAAATTAGAATGCAGGAATAAGAAACTCACTCAAAACCATACACTTACATGGAAGTTGAACAACCTGCTCCTGAATGAATCCTGGGTAAATAATGAAATTAAGGCAGAAATCAAGAAGTTCTTTGAAACCAATGAGAACAAAGAGACAAGGTACCAGATCTCTGGGACACAGTTAAAGCAGTATTAAGAGGGAAATTTATAGCACTAAATGCCCACAACAGAAAGCTAGAAAAATCTCAAATCAATACCCTAACATCACAATTAAAAGAGCTAGAGAAGCAAGAGCAAACTAATCCAAAAGCTAGCAGAAGGCAAGAAATAACTAAGATCAGAGCAGAGTTGAGGGAGATAGAGACACAAAAACCCCTCCAAAAAAAAAAAAAACAATGAATCCAGAAGCTGGTTAAAAAAAAATTAACAAAATAGACCACAAGCTAGGCTAATAAAGAAGAAAAGAGAGAAGAATCAAATAGGCACAATAAAAATGATAAGGGGGATATCACCACTGACCCTACAGAAATACAAACTACCATCAGAGAATACTATAAACATCTTCATGCAAAAAAACTAGAATATCTAGAAAAAATGGATAAATTCCTGGGCACATACAATTTCCCAAGACTAAACCAAGAAAAAGTCGAATCCCTGAATAGACCAATAACAAGTTCTGAAATTGAAGCAGTAATTAGTAACCTCCCAAACAAAAAAAGCCCAGAGCCAGACTGATTCACAGCCTCTGGAATTCTACCAGAGGTGCAAAGAAGAGCTGGTGTTATTCCTTTTGAAACTATTCCAAAAAATTGAGGAGGAGGGAATCCTCCCTAGCTCATTTTATGAAGCCAGCCATCATCCTGATACCAAAACCTGGCAGAGACACAACAATAAAAGAAAACTTCAGGCCAATATCCCTGATGAACATTGATGCAAAAATCCTCAATAAAATACTGGCAAAATGAATCCAGCAGCACATCAAAAAACATATCCACCACAATCAGGTCAGCTTCATCCCTGGGATGCAAGGCTGGTTCAACATACACAAATCAATAAATGTAATCCATCACATAAACAGAACCCAAGACAAAAACCACATGATCATCTCAATAGATGCAGAAAAGGCATTTGACAAAATTCAGCATCCCTTCATGTTAAAAATTATCAACAAACTTGATACTGATGAAACATATCTTAAAATCATAAGAGCTATTTATGACAAACCCACAGCCAATATCATATTGAATGGGCAAAAGCTGGAAGCATTCCCTTTGAAAACTGGTACAAGATAAGGATGCCCTCTTTCACCACTCTTATTCAATGTAGTATTGGGAGTTCTGGCCAGGGCAATCAGGCAAGAGAAAGAAATAGAGGGTATTCAAATAGGAAGAGAGGAAGTCAAATTGTCTCTGTTTGCAGATGACATGTTTGTTTATTTAGAAAACCCCATCATCTCAGGCTCAGAACTCCTTGAGCTGATAAGCAACTTCAGCAAAGTCTCACAATACAAAATCAATGTGCAAAAATCACAAGCATTCTTTCACACCAACAATAGACAAGCAGAGAGCCAAATCATGAATGAACTCCCATTCACAATTGCTACAAAGAGAACAAAATACCTAGGAATACAGCTAACAAGGGATGTGAAGGACCTCTTCAAGGAGAAGTACAAATCACTGCTCAAGGAAGTAAGAGAGGACACAAACAAATGGAAAAATTGTCCGTGTTCACAGATAGGAAGAATCAATATCGTGAAAATGGCCATACTGCCCAAAGTAATCTATAGATTCATGCTATTCAAACTACCATTGACTATTTCACAGAATTAGAAAAAAAATACTTTAAATTTCATATGGAATCAAAGAAGACCCCATATAGCCCAGACAATCCTAAGCAAAAAGAACAAAGTTGGAGGCATCACACTACCTGACTTCAAACTATACTACAAGGCTACAGTAACCAAAACAGCATGGTACTAGTACCAAAAAGAACAGAGACCTCAGAAATAACACCACACATCTACAACCATCTGATCTTCAACAAACCTGACAAAAACAAGCAAAGGGGAAAGGATCTCTTATTCAATAAATGGTGCTGGTAAAACTGGCTAGCCATATGCAGAAAACTGAAATGGGACCCCTTCCTTACACCACAGACAAAAATTAACTCAAGATGGATTAAAGACTTAAATGTAAAACCCAAAACCATAAAACTCCTAGAAGAAAATGTAGGTAATACCATTTAGGACATAGGCATGGACAAAAACTTCATGACAAAAACACCAAAAACAGTTGCTACAAAAGCCAAAATTGAAAAATGAGATCTAATTAAACTAAAGAGCTTCTGCACAGCCAAAGAAGTTATCATCAAAGTGAACTGGAAACCTAAAGAATGGGAGAAAATTTTCACAATCTATCCATCTGACAAAGGTCTAATACCCAGCATCTACTAGGAACTTCAACAAATTTACAAGAAAAAAATCAAGCAACTCCATCAAAAAGTGGGCAAAGGATATGGACAGACACTTCTCAAAAGAAGACATTTATGCAGGCAACAAACATGAAAAAAAAGCTCGACATTACTGATCACTAGAGAAATGCAAATCAAAAGCACAAGGAGATACCATCTCATGCCAGTCAGAAGGGTGATTATCAAAAAGTCAAGAAACAATAGATGCTGGTGAGGCTGTGGAGAAATAGGAACGCTTTTACACTGTTAGTGGGAATGTAAATTAGTTCAACCATTGTGGAAGACAGTGGTGATTCCTCAAGGATCTAGAACCAGAGACACCCTATTTGAACCCACAATCCCATTACTGGGTATGTACCCAAAGGATTATAAATCATTCTACTATAAATACACATGGGCACGTATGTTTATTGCAGCACTATTTACAATAGCAAATTTATGGAACCAACCCAAATGCCCATCAATGATAGACTGGATAAAGAAAATGTGGTACATATACACCATGAAAAACTATGCAGCCATAAAAAGGAAAGAGATCATGTCTTTGCAGGGACTTTGATGAGAGCTGGAAGCCATCATCCTCAGCAAACTAACACAGGAACAGAAAATTAACAGCACATGTTCTCACTCATAAGTGGGAGTTGAACAATGAAAACACATGGACACAGGGAGGGGAACATCACACACCAGGGCCTGCTGGGGAGTGGGGAAAGAGGGGAGGGAACTTAGAGGACTGGGTCAATAGCTGAGGCAAACCACCATGGCTCACGTATAACTGTGTAACAAACCTGCATGCTGTGCACGTTTCCCAGAGTTAAGCAAAATTAAAAAAAAAAAAACAAACCTACTTTAAAAAAATCTCTATTTTTCTTCCTCACACAATCACAAATTTTGTCTCATGATGAAGAATATGATGGATTATTGAGGAAGAAATATTAAAGGAACTGCAAATATAGTGACTTTGCTGTATAAGGAGTAGTAAAATCAGAGCTCTTTTGTATATTTTCATTAGAATCTCAACAATTTCAGACAGTAACAAAAGTTGGAGGTAAGACAAGGACCCAGATATTGTCAGCCAAAATCCTCCCCAGGTATTTATAACAGAATGGAAATCTCAAGTAAGAATATGGATATTCTGGGCCGGGCGCGGTGGCTCACGCTTGTAATCCCAGCACTTTGGGAGGCCGAGGCGGGCGGATCACGAGGTCAGGAGATCGAGACCATCCTGGCTAACACGGTGAAACCCCGTCTCTACTAAAAATACAAAAAAATTAGCCGGGCGTGATGGCGGGCGCCTGTAGTCCCAGCTACTCGGGAGGCTGAGGCAGGAGAATGGCGTGAACCCGGGAGGCGGAGCTTGCAGTGAGCCGAGATTGCGCCACTGCACTCCCGCCTGGGCCACAGAGCGAGACTCCGTCTCAAAAAAAAAAAAAAAAAAAAAAAAGAATATGGATATTCTGTATACTGTACATACATCAAATGTTTTTATAGGAAACCACATGTTACATGTACATATGACATAATCAAATGCATGATAAATATTTATTGCAAATTCATTGATATATTGTCTGTTAGATTGTTAAAGTCCTACCATTTGAATCATATGCAGCTTTTCTCTTTGGAAATATATTTATGTAGTCTCCATCCATATTCATATGAGGATGAATATGTTTCATGTTATATGAATCAAAAAAGAAAACTTTGAGAGCTGAAACAAAACCATGAAAATAAAAAAAGTGAAATTACTTTAATCAATATACATCATAAATATATTAGCTTAGAGACAATTTCATCCATCATTATTGTGTTTTAAATTATTTATAACAAGTAGAGTGAACATTCTTAATGTGTTTGGACAATGTAATGTATATGTTAAAAATCTGACTCAAGTTTTAATTTTTTAATTTCACTATGGCACTCATGGTTTAACTTTTTTTGCATTAAATAAAATATAATATGTGTATGTAACCAAGCAAGCTATAAAATTATAATTACTAAAGCAAAGATAAGCAACTACAATGGCTTACAGAATAGTGTCTACAACTTACTAATGAGTGATTTAATTAAACGTTTGAGTGATAATTCCTTTGACCTGCTGTATTATCACCATTTTCATGCAGAAACATTATAAAAATATAGAGCACCTATATATTAGTCATAATGCTTGAAACTTTGATTTAGAGTAAACGATGAATCCTGATGAGATTTTTGTAAATCTGCTGTTGCACAGCAGAATGCCAACCAGAAAATGCAATAAAGATGTCTGCAGTGATTATTTCAGCTAACTTACCTTGCTTCCTCAGAAAAAGTTTATAGGGATCCTCAATTTGATACAAGATTCTGAATATTTTAAGTATGAATTTGCATGAAGCAGGAAACATTCTAATTTGCTATGTTGATTGCTTTATATTATGAACATGCAAAGGATTCTTAAATAGAAGTTTAAATGTGTTATATCCGGCTGGGCATGGTGGCTCATGCCTGTAATCCCAGCACTTTAGGAGACCGAGGCAAGTGGATGGCTTGAGGCCAGGGGTTCGAGACCAGCCTGGCCAACATGGTGAAACCCCATCTCTACCAAAAGAACAAAAATTAGCCAGGTGTGCTGGCACACGCCTGTAATCCCAGCAAGTTGGGAGGCTGAGACAGGAGAATTGCTTGAAACCAGAAGGTGGAGGTTGCAGTGAGCTGAGATTGCGCCACTGCACTCCAGCCTGGGTGACAGAGCCAGACTTTGTCTTTAAACAAACAGACAAACAAAATCCAAAAGATCATTGGTCAAGGTAGATCCTAACAAGTCATGAGATGATGGACTCAAAATGCCAAGGGAATAATGTACTCTGACCATTTAATGGCTGTACAGTTCAGGAATCAGAAAAGGTGGATATGATAGGAAGGAGACACTTGTGGATTTATCCTTTTGACTGGTACTTTATTCACAATGCTTTTGCAATATGCATCACCATTCATTTGTACACTGATAAA
Organism: Homo sapiens; assembly: GCF_000001405.40. Taxonomy (NCBI): domain Eukaryota; kingdom Metazoa; phylum Chordata; class Mammalia; order Primates; family Hominidae; genus Homo; species Homo sapiens. Next base: position 78,937,689 of record NC_000001.11, read on the forward strand.
ACTACTTTCAATGTAATCAATACTAGTTTCAACACCATGCCTCCTAACCCCACCCAAAACTTTGAAAATGGCTTATTTGGAAAACACAATTACTTTTAAATGGACCCTTGTTTCTTACCTATATCCGTTGAATTTGTATCAAACTCTGTGGTCTTTTGGAAGCTCTGGGATATCCTTAAAGTAGCTTGTTCAACAGTGTGCATGAGTTTTGTAAGATGTGTTCTCCTATGATTCACAGATAACTTGTCCCAAACTACAAATGTATCCCTTTGAACAAAATTATTCACGGTTTTTACAAATTCCTATTGAAAAAAAGTATGTCTTTTAGAAATGTTGGAATCCTACACTATTCACAAATGAAAGGAAAAATTCAAAGCTCAATTATATTGAGTTAAAGCTGAACATACTTACAGTAAGAGTTGAGTTAGAAAGGGTGTCCTTGGCTGAGATAGTGTTGTTCTTGTAACCTAGTAATGAAGATGATTCAGCTAATATTTCTATATATGTAATTATATCTGTTGGTGAAAGATCTGTCACAGAATTTCTATAGACTTCTTGTAGCAAAGCCACAGGTTCTTTTATGGATCTGATCTGAGAAAAAATGAGTCCAGAAAAAGGAAACTAAATTAGTTCTACTGGAGTTTTACAAGAATAAAACTTACATGTTAAATTTACCCTGAGGTTGGTTTCCTTGGTCTACACATAAATAATATCAAACTAATAAACCTAAACCATAACATGCATCATTGAAACCTGAATTTATTTACAAGAGATTAGCAAATAACTTAAAAGCCTAGACTTGACTTTAGAAAAGAAATAGAGCATGTTTGAATTAATAATTTTTTTAAATGAGCTTTCAAAATAACTTCCTATTCTTCAGTATAGAATTATATCCTAGCCAATGAATCTACCTTAATACTTAAACTTCTTAGTACTTATAAATATTGATATCCTAAGCAATAAATGATAATACTTTAAATTAGATTTTAATCAACCAAAGAAAATTCTTTACAATGTGATTAAGTGAAAATTTGCTTTAAACTGACAGTTTATTACTCATGTTGAGATTCACATTTTCAATCATACGACAATTATTTTATAAATCACCTACTTTATTTGCTCTTTGAATGTTCACTTTGAAGTACCAAATCTAGGTGCATTCAATTATGTCTACTTAGAATGTGGGAATGGGTCTAGAGTCAAAGTATCTCTTTACTATTTTTTAATCAACATTTTTTACACAAAAAGAATTTTCCAACATATGGAGTAATGAAAATGTAGCATATGAAATATGTAAAAGGCCTCTTGAATAATTTGAGGATTTTCAAATTAACCCTATCTTTGATGCAAACATGATGCTTAGATCTCTATATGTAAACGTTTTCGACTCTCCCTAAAGTTTGACTACTGTTTACTCTTCTTGAAATGTGTGACATTGAAAGCATTTTAATTGAAACCAAAATGTCAAAATAAAATAAATTGTTAACTGTTCTACTTACTTTTGTTAAAGTTTTATTAATATTTGCAGCTATACAGACATTATCTAAATGGCAGTTTGCATTCACATTTTCTGTAAAAAAAGAAAATAGATTATACAGTCAGTTTTAAAAAGTATTTTTCCTAAGCTGATCATATCAATCCCAATGATCTTTCTCACTTATTTAAATATTAAAAAGACATTCTCTAACACTTGAATTTCCTCTTCAGTTTTAGAATGTGCAATATTTTACAGAAAATGAAATAAAAGGGTTTTAAGGGCCAAGAAATGTTAGTTCCATAAAATATTATCTACAATTTTGATTAAATTAAAAAAAATAGGCTTTCATTTCTTTGTTCCATAGAAGATAAAGGAATGCAGGCACATTTCTTGGAAGATGTAGCTCTGTGATACTTCACAACTGTGTACTACATATTTTATATAGTTCTTTGATCATACATAAAATTTAATAATGTAATTTACATTGGCAGTAAGCGCCATCATTATGTGTGAACTGTGATTTTCCTGTGGATGTCTGATAACCTTCTTTGCAGGAGCAGTTATACCCACCATTCACATTTTCACATATGGAATGATCATCACAGGCAACTGACTCACTGCACTCATCTATATCTGGAAATACTAATATTTGAAAAAATGTTTTAGTGCTCATATGCCTGCTACCTTGTTGAAAATAGTGTTACTTATGATTAGCAGTTTCATGTCAAATTTTACAAGAAAGCAAGAGAAATACTATCATTTAGACAATGGCAGAACAAACTTAGATGCATATACTTTTTAACTTTAATTCCTCCAATCAATTTTGACAGAGTATTGAAAATATTATTCATGGGCCAAATTCTCAAATTGCTTTCTGAATTGCGTGATTAATCAACAAAGTCATTACAGAAATTTCCATCATTGATGATGTAACATTTAGTTCTAATTTAACAAAGACCCAATTTAAGAAACACATTTAAACTTATTTGTTTTCTAGTATTAAACTAAACTGATTTCAACAACTCAGTGTAATCTGGAGGATAAAAGAGCGACCTGATTTCTTTCCAAAGCTTCATTTTTGCATTTAAGTTAACCTAAAAAACTAAGATATAGCAGAACGTGTGATTGAATTCCCTTAAAATTTTACCACAACTTATTACTTTTGTTCAAGGTTATATTTTACTATGGTTCTTCATACACAATCATCATAAATAAAGTAATACATTATATAGAATTAAGTCTTACATTCTCAAAAGCCATGTATTGAGGCTGTAATAAAGGTGCTGGGTTTTAAGCTTACATAGTATATATTCTTAATTTAAAACTTTACTTACTACAGTGAAATATGCTTCACATTATAAGTACAGTATAAATAATCTGCCACTAGAGAAAAGATTCTAAGGAACTGAGGAGTCTAGATCATTACCTTGAATTAATGCAAAAATTTTTATGTTTCTACCCCAGGTTTGACGTCTTAAAGATACTTTATATTAAATTAATAAATGAACATCTAACCTTAAATTTATAATGTAATTTATTTAAAACTAATAGGGTGGCATAATACTGTTTGCTGTAGAAAAAGGGTGTGTAACCAAAGTCTAATTTAAAATGTCATCTAGCTAGTTATCTTAAATGCAGGTGTTCGTAATTTCTCACTCAAAAATCCAACAAAAAGACCTAGAAAACACATCCAAATTCACACCACCAAAACTGAAAATGGAAAGTGAGCCTCTTGCTACATTCTTAAAGAAAGCTCCATTCACTAGAAAGGTGATGGTACTAGATTTAAGAGGTCAGCTAATAGCCCAGGCCTAAAAGGTTAGAACAGTTCTTGTTCTTCTGACAAGTATATATATTCAAAATCTGTACTACCCAGAAATATGAGCACACCACTTCCAAAGAAACACAAATGCTCCTGTAGCACCCTCACCCCTCATCCTCTATTTCTAAGTGTATTCAGGAACTACCACTCCACAGAAATGAATTAACAGAAAATAAAGTAGGGGAGAAGTAATGACAAGTGACCTTGGGATATGGAGAACCATCAAGGAAAGCATTCTAGGCTGGGCTAAAGACAGAAGCACTCAGATGGTAGTGCAGACTAGGGTTATCACTTGTCATGAAATCAATGAAGTGAGAAAGCTATATAGGACTAAAGCAAAGATGAGTCTTTTTTAGAGCAGAACTGCTGAAGTATGAAATGTTATACTCCAACTGGGAAAACACCCCAATGAAAGTGTGAATAAACCCATGAAGTATCATAAACAACACCAAAAAAAATTTATTTCATGAGCAAGAAAACTACTATGTTCTTTGAATACCCTTGTTTTGTAGTTGAGATGCCTTCTATAGGTAACAGTAAACAAGGTGGTTTTTTCTCTCAATTTCAATCCCCCCTTTTTTTTTTAAATGTGCAACAGTCTTAGAAACTTTATTCCAAACCCAATCTCTGAGAAACACAAAAATCTTGGCTCCATGGACTCAATTTCCATCCTCCTTCTTGCACTTTGAACTTAAATGTCCAGTGAAACTGGCTTGTCTACAGTGAATGTGCCTGTCATTTTGCAGCAAGATCCACACTAATTTCTCTTGCAATCTCTTGCAGGTTCAAATGGCTAAAACCTACGGTTTCCTCTTTCCTGCAGGAAAAGTCTCCGGGATTGCTAATTAGAAGATCTAAATTCAAATCCTGACTATAACACTTATGAGCTGTGTGATAACCTTGGGTAATATCTTAAAAAGACACCTTCTAGGCCCGGCGCAGTGGCTTTCGCCTGTAATCCCAGCACTTTGGGAGGCCGAGGCGGGTGGATCACGAGGTCAGGAGATCGAGACCATCCTGGCTAACACGGTGACACCCCGTCTCTACTAAAAATACAAAAAATTAGCCAGGCATGGGTGGCAGGTGCCTGTAGTCCCTGCTGCTCGGGAGGCTGAGGCAGGAGAATGGCATGAACCTGGGAGCACCACTGCACTCCAGCCTGGGTGACAGAGCGAGACTCCGTCTCAAAAAAAAAAAAAAAAAAAAAAAAAAGACACCTTCTAATCCAAAAGAGTTCTACCTCATCAACAAATAAGAAAATGTATGGGAAGGTGGAATAGTGCCTAGGATATAGTTGCCACCTGATACTGTAACTGGAAAATCAGGACTGGTGATTCTACTCATATTGCATATTTTCCTAATAGCAGGAGCCTTGTGACTAAGTATGTTTGAAGATACAGATAAATAAAGAGTGTTTTCTTCTAGGTTACCATGTCTTGGTAATCTCCAAATCTATTAAAAAAGAAACCTCTTTCCTATCTTAATGAAAGCTAAATCTCTGTTAGGTAATTATTTAAGTCAGGCTAGATTTGACAGACCTGATTTACTGATTGACCCACTTTCCTCACTACCAACTTATTTGATTTTAAACTAATAATTTGATATCACTAAATGCAAGCATATCATTAACAAACAATCTTAACTCATTTTTATTAATAGGTGATGCTTGGCTGGCTCACACCTGTAATCCCAGCACTTTAGGAGGCTGAGACAGCAGAATCACTTGATTCCAGGAGTTTGAGACCAGGCTGAGCAACATAGCAAGAACCTGTCTCTACTAAAAAAATTTAAAAATTAGTCAGACAAGGTGGTGTGTAGTGTAGTCCCAGCTATTTGGGAAGCTGATACAGAAAGATCACTTGAGCCCAGGAGTTCCAGGCTGCAGTGAGCCATAACTGCACCACTGCACTCCAGCCTGGGTAACAGAGACCTCAGCTCAAAAATAATGATAATAATAATAATGATAATAATAATGTTATGTTTGTTTCCATGTGTATAATTAGCCAATCCAGCAATATTTTATCATAATCTTCTTTCAAAACATGATCATATGATGGTTATGATTCTTATAATTATGATCAATAATACAGTTTTCTAATGCGTAACTCACAGACTGCCAAAGAAAGATAAAATGTTCAATTATAGTAAATTATTTTCAAAGACAAAATTTAATATTATTCAAAGCTAGAAAAAAAAATCTACAATTATCATCGAGTGCTCCAGGCAGTAGGACATTACAAGCAGTAAACAATGCTCTAAAACACATGGTGAAATTGAAGGAATTCATGGCTTCTATTAATTTGGTTTTAGGAGATTGACTTTACTATTGGATGCCTCAGCTTCCCCTTGTGAAATTCTTGTGTGTAACTAGGTTTCTCAGGAGCTGGACTTCTGAAGTTCTGTTTTACTGTGATTCAAAGAGGAGGAGAAATATGTGCAGTGCTAAATCTCACCCAGCGCTTTCTGCAGCAAAATGAACTTATGTGTCGAAAATAGTATTTGAATATGGACTAAAGGTAAAGAATTTTGCTTGGATTATTTCTTGCCCTGTATCAAAGTCTTCCATTTTTTATTCATAGAGATTTTAATGACTATAATTACCAGAAATGTCAAATTTAAGGATAAGCTAAAATTTCAAATCAGAAGCAATACACTGTAAGGTGATATACTAACGCAAAAGGGAGTAGATTTATGTTTCTCTGTTCAAATTCCCTGAGGATTATGATATTGTGCAACGAAAATTACTGCAGGACTGAAATAAAAAGAAATAGCTGCACTGCTTTTCAAAAAAGCTTAATCCTTAAAGACAACAAAAATTGATGAGAAATAACATTTTTCTAGAGAATGAATTTTTCACTGAATAATCCATCAAACAAAACAGGTAGAAACAGAAGGGCTCAATACTGGGTATTGGGCTTTAATAAGGTTAGTGCCTTTACTGACTACTTAAAATAGCTAAAAATGGAATTAGCACAAACTCAGGCCCATTCCACCTTAACACAATAGAAATTGAGTATCAAGAGAAAGAGTCTTCAATTACAAATATACTACCTCCATAAAATGTTGCCATTCAGTAATCTTTGTGTTTTTGTTTTCTCTGTATTTATGATTCAGTGTTTTCTAATGCAGAAATTCTCTACTTCAAGGAACATGAACCGAGAAATGTAGCCCTTTGTGAGTTGAGGGTTATTAAAAGTAAACATGATCAGATAAAAAGACAGATGTCTTCTACAGACAAGAGACATTAGGGAATGGAGAGCACAGTTAAAACTGTATTAAATTACAGTGATTAAGATGTTACAAGTTAGACTTCTTCACTAACTGGAACATTTCCACTAAAGCTTGCAGGGCTGCATATTAGAACTGAACTACCAAAGGTAAAAAGCACATTATATGACATTCTAAGACTAGTAACAAGAATATAGGCTTGAGAAGAACAAACAGTGAAGTACTGTAAGTTTTCTGGGCAGAATATCATTGATTCCTATTTCCTGAGAATGTTGTTATGCTATATTGCAATAAAACTTTTTTCTAGAAACACTAAAGGTAAAATTACCATTCAACAGTAATAGCATTGTTTTCTCATATTTTAAATATTTTATACCCTTGCAAAGCTTGATCGGCTGTATTTGGATGATTCAGATCAAAGTGATATTTAAATGGTCTACTACACATTTAAGTATTCCATGGAAATAACAAAGGGTTTTTAGATACAAGACTGTGAGTGTAGCCTTACCTTTATCCAAAATGTATGAATCTAGAGTAGTCCTTTACTTCCTTGGCAATAAAATGAGGAGAATAAAATATTCCTTTTTTACATAACAGAGTAAATGTTGTGAAGCGTAGGTACATGAGACTGGATGATTTCTTTAACACAGACATTTCACAGATAAAATTTTTGAACATTGTGTCATAGCTTACCATCCCAGCACTTTGAGAGGCTGAGGTGGGCAGATTGCCTGAGCTCAGGAGTTCAAGACCAGCCTGGGCAACACGGTAAAACCCTGCCTCTACTAAAATACAAAAAATTAGCTGGGTGTGGCAGCGTGCACCTGTAGTCCCAGCTACTCGGTAGGCTGAGGCAGGAGAACTGCTTGAACCTGGGAGGCAGAGGTTGCAGTGAGCCGAGATCGCACCACTGCACTCCAGCCTGGGCGACAGAGCGAGACTCTGTCTCAAAAAAAAAAAAAATATATATATATATATATATCTCAATAGGGCACTAATCAAAGGCTTTATTGTGATTTAGATTAACTTGAATATCTATCTCTTTTATCTAACTATATCATTTAGAAGCAGCGCATTACCCTTCTCTATGTTGCATGTAGGTTCCTGAATTCTAGTCCCATGTCTAACCTTGGCTACATGATTACATTCTCAGGGCCTCAGCATACCTATTAATTTTGTAGATTACCAATCATAATTATAATAGTTATTGATAAGTTGAATATTTTTTAGAAACCATGCTTAAGATTATTTAAAATTTATTTTCAAAATTAAAGTCTTTGGCTCCAGAGAATTTGCTTCTGAAAATTATTCATCTGTTGAAGTTTATAAATAATTATTTTTTCTCAGGCTGTAATCCAGTTCTCTAGGATCTGATAAATCACATGCATGACCAAATTACAATAGAAGGATATTTTTAAAAATTGTCTAGGTACTCCCTTCAGACACACAATAAGTGAACAATCACTTAAAAATTACATTGAAATTATTTTCCCTACAAAGGACATTTTAGTGACCCTACATGATTTTATAAAGAATTTTCTGACTCTAGTGTTCAGAAAAACTTAATGCATATCTGAAGTGTGACTTTTATTAAAGCAGAGGTAAAACCACTAGAACAATTATTTTATAAATGATGATTGTCTGAAAAATATGTAGAACCCATCACAGAGTGCATATTTACAAAGGCCTCAGTATCTTTTAATGCAAATGACAATTTTCTTGGAGTATTTTATTATTCTAAAGTGTAAACATTTATTCTGTTGTTTGCCACTATACTAGATCTCATGACTCCATGAACATTTCTCTCACTTTCTTTTATTTATTTATTTTTGCAAACTTATTCTCTCAAAAATTAAACCTTCTTCCTGTATCCTTGGATAACTATCCCACAGACTTTAAAACACTGGAGAAATAAGGACATTAATTACATTTCTGAAAGTACTTAACACGTAGGGTACGATCAAGGTCTGGCAGAATTTGGTTTGAATATGTTTAACCTCTGGAGGTAACAAACAATAAGAGATATATACAAATTCTAACTTAGATAACCGAACTTACCTATACAGACGGTTCCATCATTAGTGATAAACCTGTCTTGGTTACTGCTGGATCTGAAGCCAGGTACACACATACAATAATAACTTCCTTCTGTGTTAGTGCAATTAGCATTTTCGCCACAGGACTGAGTTAAATTTCCACATTCATTATCATCTGTTGGCATATGAATTTAAAAGATTATTTTTATATAATTGACATAAATTTTGACTATTTTCCATCAGTATTTTGGAATATTGACTGTTAGATAGTTTAAGGTATGTGATGTTTATATCTACAAACCTTAGTGCTAAAGAATCCATATTCCACACTTCCTTATTCTTGTTTATAATAAGAGATCTTCTTTGTAGTTGCAAAGCAAAATAGTATCTCTTACTTTAAAAGCACTAGATATAACTATTAAATCTATATGGCAATATCTTTCAAATTTTTACATATAATTTAATTATAACCATGTCAACAAATATAAGCTCACTTTGAATTTATGGTACTCTTCATAATCCATCAAAAGCACAACATAAATTAAAAATGAAAAATCAGAAATTACAAATTGACATGTTGTTATCATGTACTATTTATTTCATCCACTGTTCCACAGAAAAAATTTGCATTACTTGGCACACAATCTTTTCATGTATTCATTAATGCATTTATTTACAACTATATGCATTATATTGTTCCACAGAATAGTATGCAATACAAAAAATTAAAAGTAAATAATATAGTCTTTACCTTTATACTCTTACAATATAATTTATCAGGGAAGATAAAGGTTCATAAAACCTTTTTAAACATCAGAGAGCAGATTTATATTATCTGTTAAATAAATTGATTGGAAAATATGTGCTTCTCAGAGATGATCATAATGGTCTGGAGGAGGAGAATATTTTCCAGTGACATGAAACCCTGTTTTGGGTTAAAAAACATAGTTCAAGTCCTAACCCCAAGGTGTCTGTGAATGTGACATTGTTTGAAATAGGCCCTTTGGATATGTTATTAAAGAAAAACAAGGTCATACTCGATTATGGTGGGCGCTAATTCAATGATTGACATCCTTATAAAAGGACGGAAATTTGGATATAGAGACACAGAAGAGAAGGCTTTGTGAAGACAGAGGCAGAGACTGAAAGATGTAACTGCAAACCAAAGAATGACAAGGATAGCTGGCAACCACAAAAGCTAGAGGAGGCAAGGAAGGATTCTTCCCTAGACGTTTTCACGTTTTTGAAGCAGCATGGTTCTGCTGACACCTTGATTTTAGACTTTTAGCCTCCAGAGCTGTGAGAGAATAAATTTCTGATATTTTAAGCCACTAATTTGGTCATATTTTTTTATGGCAGCCCTAGAAAACTGATAGACTCAAACTGGAGAATATAGGATAGGTAAGTATCAGTTAGAGAGAAAGAGAAGAAGAAAGGAAAATAAAGGAATAAAAAATTTTGGACAAAGTTGCAGGCAGAAAAGTGACTGGGATATTCTGAAGATTGTAAGAAGCCTAATTGGGGAGCACAGAGAGAAATCACAGGAGAATCATAAAAACAAGTCAGGTTTGAAAAATGTCTTGAATCTTTATTCTTCATTTTATTCAAACCAGGCTTAATTTCTTTTTAAAGGGTGAGTTGTGTAGCATTTAATTCATATACTGGCTATTGCTCACATATAGTAATTACTAAAAGTTGAAGATTATTCCAAATGTTTTATAAATATTAATTAGCTTAATGCTTTATAGAAGCTCTAGGAGGTAGGTATTATTATCTTTAACTGATGAGAAAAATAGAGCAGACAGAGCCCAGGCATCATACCTAAGAGTTTTTTCTTTGTGGCATCAGATAGCTTTTTACTTTACCATAGTTACCTTCCTGGCAGGTTGAGAGCAAATCTCAAGTTCTGTTGAAAATTTTAATCCCTAGCATTTGACCTGATTTATTACTGGGAAGACAGAAGAGCAGAGCAGCAAGGGAAGAACTTTGAGCTTCTCCTGGAGACCAACAACTTTGAGATATGAAAGAACAAAGGTTGAGTTATCAAAAGTTTGTATAGACCAGGTGGGTAATGTAACAGTTTGATTCCATCAGGAGTCAGACAATAGAAGGTGGTGTCGTGTAGCTTGTGGTACCAGTAAGTACACACTCACTTAAAAAATTTAAAATTTAAAAAATTTTAAAAGCATATTTAAGATACTTTGTTCAGATTTAGCATTTGGCCAGGCACTTGTCAAATGCCCCTAAAGCACAGCATATGGAGGTGGGAGGAAGAGAGAAAAATTGCTGAAATATGACAATAAAGTAAGATAAGTTATGAATAGTCTTCTATAAAATGCGGAAGAGTTAATACTTTATTAACATGCATTTAATTAATTTACCTATTTTATATAAATAAATATATGATGCAACTCTATATGGCTATATATACTCAGAAAGTAGATATGTATGTCTATGAATGCATAAAATAGAAATTAAACTAGTTTCTTAAAATTAACTGAGAGTGGTTCACAAATTGAACATAAGCAAAATAGTTCAACCATATTAGGTTTGATTCAATCATTCAGTTACTCAAATATTTATGGAGTCTCCCAGTTCTCAAAAGTGAATATATCTATATTGGGAAATAAGTAAAAATTAATCAAAAAGTCAGGATCTGTGCCCTGCTGTCAGAGTTCACATTCTAAAGGCAAGTTAACACAGAAGCATATAATTGAGTTTTTATTAAAATAAAAGTTTTCATTTTTATCTTTAAATTTGACTCCCTTCATGGCATACTGGGAGAAGTTTATATTAAACTTTAAAAGAAATTGGCTCTCAGATCAGTTATTGGTAATATAGAGGACGATGAGGATTGTATCCCTTGTGGGCTATAGCTGTAAAAATGATATGCAAAAATATAGAGAAAAAGAACACATGAGGTCTGAGGTATTGGTTGGAGTACAAGAAAATGAACCACTTTATATCACCTAACTGATTGTTTGTAAAAATAGATTAACTTGCCAATATGTTGCTTAACCCTGAAATATTGTTACTAGTCTTGGGTAATACATTAATAGGTAGAAAAAAACAAAAGTTGATATTAATTTTTGTGTCTCTTCCTGCTGTATGGTTTTGAGCGCTTGACCTCTTTGCTTTCTTATCAAGAATTTGGAAAGAAAAATATTTCCTTATCTATCTCCCTATCTTCTGGGCTGGATATATGATATGGACAAATTCCCTAATGTTCCAACTCAAATATTGTTCGGTAAAATACCACTTATCTGAAAGTAACCTCCCTCTTCCCTCAAGATTGTGGAGATAGGCAAGAAATTATCTTTGTGAAGTAATATATAAATATGAATTATTTAAATTGCCTTAAACTTTCCAGTGTCCAACTTCATAATAATTAATCTTCAAGGAGAAAGTTTCTCTGGATGAGTATAGTATAGAAAAATAAAAGTCTGCTTCTTGGGCACTCTTATTTCTAATGTTCAAATCAATTCACCAGTTATACTACCTAATCCCTGTAACTAACTCTATAATTTTGGTAGATTGTAAAATAACTATTTAGATTAAGATGTCCCTTGAAAAATTCTTTAAAATACAATTATATTGTAGATATATTTTAAAATGTTATTAAAATGTTTTAATAAGGAAAAATATTTGGTATTCTCTGATAAAAAATTCTTCCTCGTTCACCTCTGATACGCTGAGTTAAGCACGGCAAGAACACAGGCATACACACAGCTCCTAACTTTAAGGTATCCATAGCTACTGGAGAAGATGTACCAACACCCAAATTATCAGATTGTAGAGTGTGTCAAAAATAAAAGAGGTATTTAGTAGTACAGTGGCAACTGGAAGAAAATGGCTTCCTTAGGTCATTTGCAAGATAAAAAGGTGAAGATTATTGACAGAGAAGTATTAGGAAAGGAAGTGATGTTTGGAGTCAGGTAATGAAGTATAAGCAAGAGTTTAGACAAACAAAAGGGGTCCCCACAATCCAATCAGGCAAAGGAAGAAGTTTACCTAAATGCCTGGAGTCCTGCAGGAACAGCGTAATTTAGAGGAGGATTGTACTGTCAGACACTGGGCAGGAGGGTAACGGCTTCAGGGCAAGAATCTGTGCAGGTAGGCATGGCTGAAACCGAGAAAACGCTTGCCAAGAATTTGGAATTATATCCAGTGGGTAAAGGATGTCCATCAACAGGTTTTATGTAGTGGATAAATATGATCGGATTTGAGTTTCAAAACATGTTTTCAAGGATAAAGAAAACTAAGGCCCAAGTAACTCTGGTTACAAGGCTTGAACTAACCAAAACAGAATCAAGGAGAAAGAAGTAGGGAATATTTCAGAAATATTTAGGTGTTACGAGTCAGTGATTTGGAGAAGATAAAGAAAAGAGGGTAGGATTAAACAGGTGATAGCTACATGCAAATTTTTATATCATATTTTGCTTTTCTGTATTTTAAATTTTTCATAATAAAATAATACTTAAAATATCAGTGGGGCTTGGAGATTGAATGGATATTTGAGTTGGCTGAAGAGAGGGGAGCAGCAAAAATGAAATCCAGGTTCTGACTTGGAGCGATCTGGTGGATAAATTGATCCACTTACCAGGACAGGGAGAAGCAGAGGAGGAACATTCTTGCAGGGTAAGATGTTGAGTCACTTTTGGACATAAAATGTTGATGTGCCTTAATTAACTGAGGACATTTCAGAAGACGTATCAATAGTTCTATAGTCAACCATACAGTCATGAATTGTCTATTCATGAGAGAAAGCTCACGACTCCCTTCTTCTCTTCCAGAGCATGAGTCAGATTCAAGAGCATGGCATTTCTCAGCTCCTGAGAAAAGGGGCAAGCCTGCTGCTTTTCTTTGTGCTTCATCTCTAAATGGACTCCTTTGCTCTCCTTCTAACTCCCCAGGTTCCATCTCAGCTTACAGAGCATGGGTATGGGGCATTATTGCACTCTTGTTTTGCCTCCCCATCATCTGTTTTTTGTTGTCCTTTGTATCTTCTTCCTTGAGTTTACTTCTTCTTACCAATCAAGTGATAAAGTCCAGAGGATTGAGGGTAGGATGTGAAGGTAGAGAAAAATGAAAAAGGAAGCCTCTCCACATATTTTTCTTTCAGCATTACCAGAAAAAGCCTTTGGGGTTTCACATGGTTCAGCCCAACTTGCCAGTAAACTACACAGGGGGTTAAAATAATAAACAGATGCATATGTCTACGATATATTTTCAAAATATCTGTTGGCATTTTGTTTCTGTTGTTGATGGTTATCTACTCGTTTAGTTATTTTGGAGTTATATCAACAAGTAGATTAGCAAGATTTATACCCGATAGTATGAAAGAATTATTTCAGGGAAAACACATATTTCAAGCATTCTGTTAAATGGTACATTTTATATTACTTAGTTGTTGCAAAAATGCAATGATTGATATTGTCTTCATTTTACTTAAGAGGAAACTAAAGCTCAGATGGGTTAAATCATGCTAGCGTAGAAAGAGAATCTGGTAGACACAGTTTTTATGCTTAAGACTGTCTGACTCCAAAGACAAAGTTATTTTTCAGCGTTGAAGAGTGAAGTGTACTTTATCATAAAGTGTACTTCTTAATAAGACATAAAGAGCGAGCATATAATTCTCCAAATTCAAGAGTTATATTGAGTCCCCTAGTAATGAAACATTTTTGACCATAAACCATATGATTATGTTATCTTCTTTGTATAATAGGACAGAAGCTTATTTGCTTTATAAGACACTGGTATTCAAGAATCTCAACAAGATTTTAGTTTATATTTCATTTTTTTAATCTATTGACCAAAGATGGAGAAAAATAAAAAGAAAAAAGAAAAAAGAATCGTCTTTTTTTTATCACTTGAGATATTATTGGCCGGGCTCAAATTGATTATAACAACTTGAAATCTATGGAACTTTAACAGCAGCATCACTCCTGTACACATTTTCCCTCTGGACGTGATTGCCAGTGTTGCTCCGTAAACTTGAACACTAAAATGACTATAACCATTATGTGATTCCTTGTAAAACAGGCCCTCTGTGTCAAAGGTGGAGTAACATAGAAAGCTTTTTTTTTTTTTTTTTCCTCTTTTTCCCCAATGCAGCTGCTGGGCTCATTTGTTTTCAACAGCACTGGGAATTCTCTTTCCATATCAGTACTATAAGGAACTTTAAAAGATCATCACTATCCTTCTCAATCAATTATGGACTTTCTGTGGTTTGTATTTATTCTGTGAATACCAAAGTAAAAATACAGGTAAAGAGATAAGGAGGAAGAAAAGATCACCAGAAAGGAAAGAAAAAAAAAGAACTACAATGAATCCAGAATGGATTCAATCAGTCAAGACAAATAATAGACTTATAAAGCCCATAGTGTAAACTCACATTTCCTTGACCATGAACTCAAGTTCAATTTAGTAAAGGAAATGTAAAATTCATCAAATGAAAGTGTTACAATTATAAAGGTAAATAAAGCAGAGTTATACAAGAATAAAATGTTTGTGTTGGGTATTTATTATTATTTTCAATATCTGCATTGGGAATGAATTTTTAAAGTGTTTGAAACTACAGGTTCATTTCAAAATTTTTTTGAAGGAAAAATGTCACTTTGACTATGAGTCAGACTTTGAAAAGTATGTATAAGCCAGGAAAAAAAACAAACAATACTTGTATAGAATGGTCTCTGTTTCTGTTTACACTTACTTATTTTCTGAGGGAAATGCAGCACTTAAGAAAATGTTCCCGTTTTATATTATTATCATTTTTTGGTCCTCTTTGTCAGAACTATTAATATACACATATTAGAAAAACAAACAAAATGAAGTATAAGTAGAGAAGGTAAATGAAATGAAACAATCTTATGTTTGTACATATTGGAAACCACTTATCTTGACCATTGGAGATATGGAAAATTCTGACACATTTTTTTCAAACTATCAAAGACTCTAAAACTTTGTCATTCCATTGTATCTATCAATCAATGGTACAGTAAAGATGAGTAATGCTCTTACAGTATCTCTGGGACTTACATGATGGCTATGAAGTTGTTTTTGAGGAGCTAGTTTTATTGAATTTTGTTTCTAATCATTGATGTAATGCATATTCAATGGGGAAAATTAAATCATTGGTAGAAAAATCTTACAAGCTCTCAGTTGCAAAAAAAAAGCTGCTAGTTCACAAACGAAAAACTATTAGAATAGTATCAGATTCTTGCTAACATCACTGAAAGACAATAGAGTAACACGTTATGTCACTGAGATAAAATGAGTGTGTCTTTATAATTTTCTAACCTGCTAGAGAA
This sequence comes from Homo sapiens, assembly GCF_000001405.40. Taxonomy (NCBI): domain Eukaryota; kingdom Metazoa; phylum Chordata; class Mammalia; order Primates; family Hominidae; genus Homo; species Homo sapiens. Next base: position 78,953,562 of record NC_000001.11, read on the forward strand.
ACCGTTCTCTGAACAGAATGAAATACATTTGTAGAAATACATGGATTCAGAGAGTAGATCAATCATGCACTGTGTGTGAAGAAAATATTCAAGACAGCATTCTAACCAAATACCAATGAATTCAGGAGACAGAACTTTATATAGGGGAAGATTAGATGGAGAGGTAAAAATGGTGGACAATAAGCTCTGCAATACATAAATTCAAATAGATGATGACTGTGTGATCATGAACACATAACACAAGTGCTAATTATGACTCTCATAGGATACATGTTGATAGGAGAAACTAATAAATGGTCTGCACCGGCCAGGCTAGGTTGCTCAGGCCTGTAATCCCTGCACGTTGGGAGGCCAAGAAAGGCAATCATCTGAGGTCAGGAGTTTGAAACTAGCCTGGCCAACATGGTGAAACCTCGTCTCTACTGAAAATACAAAATTACTGGGCATGGTGGCACATGCCTGTAATCTCAGCTACTTGGGAGGCTGAGGCAGGAGAATCGCTTGAACCTGGGAGGTGGAGGTTGCAGTGAGCCAAGGTCATGCCATTGCACTCCAGCCTGGGCAACAAGAGCAAAACTCCATTTCAGAAAATAAATAAATAAATAAATAAATAATAAATAAATAGTCTGCACCTAGTAGGGTTCATATTACTTTAGTTAGGGTGAGGGTGGAGCACAGTGGGCAAGTAAAACACACTGGAAAAGAGAAGACTCGTTATCTAATTTTAGTAAAGGACAAAAATATCGAATTTATTATAAGTATCTGGAATGAGAAATGTACTGAAAATTCACAATTGAATTTAAAAAACAGGGAAAAAAGATAAAGTAAGCCTTCAAAATCTAACATAAGAGAAAAAACAAAACTCTGAGTAAAAACAAATGAGCTATCATTAAATAATTTTGATGGAATAAGAATAGCAATCAAGTATATCAACTGTTACACTAAATGAGGAAGACATGCATTTCCCCATAAGACACAGCACGTCAGATTATGTTGCAAACAAAATCCAATTATATTTTATTAACAATAAACATACTTAAATTTTAAATGGAAACAACCTTGAAAATTTCAACAAAGAAAATAGGGATGGCACACAATATTAAAGTAGAATTTAAGATTAAAGTTATTAAAAGACACAGAAGCACATTATATCACTAAAAGTTCAGTTTATTAAAAAATTGTAGTTAGAAATATAGAACTTAAACACAACATTTTAGCTTAAAAGCTATAGAGAAACAAATTACATGACATTCAAAGGGAACTAGACAAACGTGCAATAATAGCTAAGTATTTTAATTTTCCTTTTTATGAATCTGATACACCTAACTTACTAAAAAATTTGTGCTTATATCAATAGAGACCAAAAATGTAATTAATAAAATTCATCAGATAGGGGAAAAGTTTTTTCAATGTAGTAATGGCTACTTAACAAAAACAACATAAATATTATTCTAAATCGTGAAACTTTGATCAGCATGGCCAAACTAATCTTCAGGAAATGTGTAGATATTTAGTAATGTAAGAGATGTGCATATTTCTCAATTCCTTTGCATTCAATTTCAATTTGATAGACAAAATATAAGATCTCATTTCTATAATCATGTTGAGATTATGTATTTAAATATTACTGAGTACAGAACCCTCTTGTATATTTACATGACATTTATTTTGTGTTCTTGCTTTTGTTATCTGGCTCTTCATAGCTTTTGCTTGGGCATTATTAATTTTCTTGTAGATTTGCAAGAGGCTTTTAACAATTATCAACTATTGCCTCTCACTGATATGACATAAATGTTAAACTTAAAATTGTTTTTAACTTTATTTGTGGCATAGTTTGTTTTATTTACTTGTTTGCTTCCCAAGCTGCAGAGATTTTTTGTAATCATGTCTTGCATTCTTTTCCTTTCTTGTTTATGATCTTGTATCGCAATTATAAACCATTTATACTCCTAACATTATAAAAATGTTTAATAGTACTTTTGTATTGCCTTTGTTTTTTTTCCTACAATAAAATCTCTAAAATAATATGCAGTTTACTTCAGTGTAAAATGTGAAGTTGAAATCTAATTATTTTCCTAAAATGAGTAAGTTTTTTCATCATTATTTTTGCGTAATCATTCATTTTTTTCCTGATGTAAAATGTTATTTTTTCATACTCAAAATACACTAATTTACTTAGAACAGTTTCTGAAGTCTCTCTTATGTTGATGAGTTTTTCCACACCTTCATAACTGCCAGCCAGGTTTACTTATGAATGAGACCTTGTTTCCTTGATTTGAAGATGCCATAAATTTTAAGACACATCATCAGTGCAATAAAATATTTTGGAAAAAAACTATCTAATCTATACTTACTAAAAGTGTATGCATTTATTTACACAAATACATTGTACTTTCTTTACTATATAATAACGATTGACTCTAGTCTTTTTCCAGATTATATTCTAATATGACTTTGAATTACCTTTGGTATCCAACAGCATATAGCATCAGGATGATACACTCCTTCCATAATTTGTGATTATAACCTTGACCTCTATATGTATTGCATTTAGGAATGACATTAGTTATTAGTTATTGCATTTAGATATTGCCGAAACACAAAAATTAGCAGGACTTTGTCTTCATTTTTTAAATATAAACTAGGATATCACTTGTTTCCCCTTTGCTTCTTGGTATAGCGCTGTAAACTTACATAACTTTCCCAGCATTCAGTTTAAGCTGTCGGATACATGTCCCATACCTAGATAATATCCCTTCTGGAAGCCTACATTGGTTATGTCAACTGCACCTAGCCTTGCACATTTTATTAGTCGTTCATAGAGATTTGACTCTGATTACCTCTAAGCAAGAAATGGCAACAAACTCATAGTTTATTTATGAGTCAACAAGTTCATCTTGCCATCATACTGATTAGTATGTGAAAAACAGTATTTGTCTAGTGTTCAAGTCTATGTTAGCTTTTAATTTTTGGTAAGGCAAGAGCCTAACACTCATTTTGCAAATCTCTCAATCTGTTCACTTTCTTCCCCATTTTTAAAATCTATTATGCAAAACCAGGTTGCTCAAATATTATTTGTCACAATGAATAATAAAATGTAATATTGTTGACAACAGAGAATTGAATTACCTATCAATATCATAAAATTAAAATTACCTAATGTTTGAGAAAACAACAATAAAGAAATAAAAACCCTTGTAAATAATGAGACAAAGAAGAAAAAGAAGTCAAAATGGAAGCATTGTGTCCTTCAGAAAACAGAAATGAGTACAGGCATACCTTGTCTTACTAAGCCTCACTTTATTGTACTTTGCAGAAATTGCAATTTTATGGTTTGTTTCAGCTCTGTGTCAATCAAGTCCATTGGCATCATTTTTCCAAAAGCACGCGCTCACTTCAAGTCTGTGTCATATTTTGGCAATTCTCACAACACTTCAGACTTTTTCATGATCACTATACTAGTTATTGCAATATGTGATTAGTGTTCTTTGATATTATGATTGTAATTGTTTTGGGATGCCATGAACCATGCCCATATAAGATGGCAAACTTAATTGATAAATGTTGCGTGTTCTGACTGCTGAACCTACTGGCTGTTTCTCAGTCTCTCCATTGCTCAGCCCTCCCTATTTCCTGAGACACAATAATACTAAAATTAGGCCAGTTAATAACCCTACAATGTTCTCTAAGTAAGTGCTCAAGTGAAAGGAAGAGTTGCATTTATGTCACTTTAAATCAAAAGCTAGAGATAATTAAGCATAGTGAGGAAGGCATGTCAAAAGCTGAGACAGCCCAAAGCCTAGGCCTCTTGCACCAAACAGCCAAGTTGTGAATGCAGAGGAAAAGCTCTTGAAGGAAATTAAAAGTGCCACTCCAGTGAACATACAAATGCTAAGAAAGTGAAAAAGCCTTATTGTTGATACGGTGAAAGTTTTAGTTGTCTGCATATAAGAACAAACCAGCCACAGCATTTCCTTAAGACAAAGTCTAATCCAGAATAAGACTGTAACTCCCATCAATTCCATAAAGGCTGAAGGAGGTGAGGAAGTTGCAGAAGAATATTTGAAAGCTAGCAGAGGTCGGTTCATGAGGTTTAAGGAAAGAAGCTGTCTCCATAATATAAAAGTGCAAGAGGAGGCAGGAGGTGCTGATGTAGAAGCTGCAGCAAGTTATCCAGAAATCTGGCTAAGATAATTGTTAAAAGTGGCTACAGGAAACAATAGATTTTCAGTGTAGATGAAACAGCCTTCTATTGGAAGAAGATGCCCTGTGAGACTTTCATAGCTAGAGAGGAGAAGTCAATGCCTGGCTCCAAAGCTTCAAAGCACAGGCTGATGCTCTTGTTAGGGACTGATGCAGCTGTTGATTTTAAGTTGATGCCAGTGCTCATTTACCATTCCAAATATCCTGGAGCCTTTAGAATTATGCTAAATCTACTCTGCTTGTGCTCTATAAAGAAACAATCCTTTTATGACAGCACATCTGTTTACAGCATGGTTTACCGAATACGTTAAGCCCATTGTTAAAAAAATAAAACAGTGGGCCTACTTCTCAGAAAACAAGGTTCCTTTCAAAATATTACTGCTCATTGTCAATCCATCTGATCATCCAAGAGCTCTGATGGAGATGTCCCAGAAAATGAAGGTTGTTTTCATGCCTGCAAATAACATCCATTCTGCAGCTCAGGGATCAAGGAATAATTTTTACTTTTAAGTTCTATTATTTAAGAAATACACTTTTATAAGGTTGTAGATGCCATAGATAATGATTCCTCTGATGGATCTGGACAAGTAAATTGAAACTCTGGAAATGATTCACCATTCTAGATGTCATTAAGAACATTTGTGAATCATGGGAGGAGGTGAAGATATCAACATTAACAGTAGTTTGGAAGAAGCTGATTCCAACCCTCATAGATGACTTGGAGGGGTTCAAGACTTCAGTGGAGGAAGTAACTGCGGACGTGGTGGAAATATCAAGAGAACTAGAAATGCAGCCTGAGATGTGACTGAATTGCTGCAATCTCATGATATAACTTTGATGGATGAGGAGTTGCTTCTTATGAATAAGCAAAGAAAGTTTTTTTCCTGAGGTGAAATCTATTTCTGGTGAAAATGCTGTGAACACTGTTGAAATGACAAAAAAGGATTTTGAATATTTCATAAACTTAGTTGATAAAGCAACAGCAGGGTTTGAGAGGACTGACTCCAATTTTAAAAGATATTCCATGGGTAAAGTGCTATCAAATAGCATTGCATGCTACAGGGAAATCTTTTGTGACAGGAAGAGACAATCCAAGTGGAAAATTTCATTGTCTTGTTTTAAGAAATTGTTGCAGTTACCACAGTCTTTGGCAACCACCACCCTGATCCGTCAGCAGCCAACATCAAAGCAAGACCTTCCACCAGCAACACGTTTATGACTTGCTGAAGGTTCAGATAATTGGTGGCATTTTTCAGCAACAAAGTATTTTAAATTAAAGTACATACATTGTTTTCTTTAGACATAATGCTACTACACACTTACTACTGTATAATGTAATGTAAACATAACTTATGTGCACTGGGAAACTAAAAATATTGTGTGACTTACTTTATTGTGATACTCGCTTTATGGCACTAGTCAGAACCAAATTTACAATATCTCTGAGGTATGCCTTTATGTAATTCATTGAAGAAAACAGAAATAGCTCATTGCTCTACATAAATATTTATCTTTACTAATAATCAAAGAAACTAAAATTAAAATAGAAAATGAAAGCCCAATTATCAGCTACAAAATTGGCAAAGTATATTTAGAAACTGCAATCAGTTTTTTAGGCAGTGATTAATAAGTAGGCAAATTGGTTATGACACCATCACACACTCAATACCACCATTTGCCAGGCCAATAGTTTTTAAACCGGACTCAGTCATTGGGCTGAAATAGCAAAAACACATTCATAGCATCCTTAACATCTTCAGTTAGTCATGTCTCCAGTCTGACCTGTGTGTGTGTTTACCTCCTAGGCAAAATGTCAGAACATTGCATGGACTGGTGGACTGCCTGATCTCATAATCTTGTTTTCTTTTTTAATAGCAAGCACCTTATAGAAGTGATGAAATTCAATTTGTATTTCCTTGTATTTTATTGGTCTGGACTCATTTATTCTAACATTTTACTTTCTTAAAACTGTTGATAAAAGTATACTGAACCAGAGTCAGTATAATCAGAGCATTCACGTACCTTGCTCTCTCAAGGATAGACACTTTTACATCAAGATCACCAAAGGTGGCCATATATTTTCCCATGAACCTTCTTGATAGATATTAAGTCTAAGGTTCAGAGTTCTATCAAAAGTTATATACAAGAATATTCACAGAAGTAATATAATATAAAGAATAAGCCAAAGCCTAAATGCCCAACACAAATATTTTGAATAAGCTAAAAGTGTACGCCATTCAAAATAACATTTTGAAGAATACTCATTAACAATAGATAATATCTGCAGTTTAAGAAGTGAAACAGCCCAAAAAACACAAAGATGAATCTCATCCCTCATTGCTTATTGATGAGTTAAAGTATATCTTGCATCTTTTAAGAAAAATGCTTACATAAAAGCATATCATTGTATTAAGTATTTTACAGAAATAAAAATGTGGCTTTAAAAAATCTGTTTATATAATGGTTTTTCTAAAACTATTAAATTTTGCAAAAACTAGTCCGATTTTAAAACCATACCTGTATACATGGCACTTTATGATTTTATATATGTTTGTAAATATCTAGTATCTAAAATTATCACACAAACAATAAACATTTAAATTAGATTTCTGATAACCATAGGCCTTTAGAACATACCATAAATTTGACAATGAATCTGATTCGTGGATCTTGAAACAATAATTATAGCCCCGACACTCTTATTGAGTGACTTAACATAATTATCCTGTGTCTCAGATCATACACATGACAAAGCTAACTGTGAGTAAGGCATGGAGTTACGAGGAAATTGGATATATTGTTTTAACTTTTCCACTTTACTGTGTGCTTCTTAATGTTTTGCAATTTTTTTAAAGTAACCTTGCAATGGACTGCTGCTTGTGTTTTCCCACCCCCAAATTTGTATGTTGAAATCCTAACCCCCAAGGTGATGGTATTAGGAATTAGGAACTTTTCCAGGTGAATGGAATTAGTGCCCTTACAAAAGAGGCTCCAGAGAACTCATTTACCCCTTCCACCCTGCAAGGGTACAGCAAGAAGGCACCAAAAAGCAGATCCTCACCAGACAATGAATCTGCAGTGCTTTGATCGTAGACTTTACAGCTTCTGCAACTGTGAGCAATGAATTTTTGTTGTTTACAAGATATCCAGTGTATGGCATTTTTGTTAGAGCAGTGAAAATGAAAAAGACAAATCTATAGTAAGAAATGCATTTTATGCACCCATATTTATTCATAAATAAATTGAGTAAGTTTTTTTCATCAAAATATTTATCTTTCCATCAGCTATTGTGTGTGCTCTATTTTTTATGACTCTATATACTTCAGTATTTTTTTTTTTATACGGAGTCTTGCTGTCACCAGGCTGAAGTGCAGTTGTGCGATCTTGGCTCACTGCAACCTCCGCCTCCTGGGTTCAAGTGATTCTCCTGCCTCAGCCTCCCCAGTAGCTGGGTGCCAACCTCTGACTCATGGGTTCAAGCGATTCTCCTGCCTCAGCCTCCTGAGTAGCTGGGACTACAGGTGCATGCCACCTCACCCAGCTAATTTTTGTATCTTTAGTAGAGATGAGGTTTCACCATGTTGGCCAGGATGGTCTCGGTCTCTTGACCTCGTGATCCGCCCACCTCGACCTCCCAAAGTGCTGGGATTACAGGCGTGAGTACTTCAGTATGTTTTAAAGTGCGGTAATGATCTGCTACTTTGACTGTATGGCCTCCTAATGGGTCATGAAAGACAGTTTGAACAAGAAGCCATCCGCTCAAGTCACTTGATTCTGTTTAGTTCTGTTTGATTCTGTTTAGCTCTGTTTAGTAAAGTTTCACTTTCTAAGATGCCATTTGATAATGACCTACTGTCTGCCAGGTGTCAGACAATATTTTTAATGGCCTTCACAACAGTCTTGCAGCAGGACATCAGGGTCACATGTAGCCCTGATGTTCTTAAATGGCACCATTGTATGACTTAGAAAAAGATGCTCTTTCTGGGTGGATGCAGCTTTGCAGGCATGTGACTAGGTAAGCATATAGAACCTTTGTTACCTTCTCTGTTAAAGAGCAGTCCTGCATCATGGTACATGGCTTGAGAATCATAATATGGGCAGGATTCCAGGCTATAATTCTTTTTTTTTTTTTTTGGATGGAGTTTTGCTCCTATTGCCCAGGCTGGAGTGCAATGGCAAGATCTCAGCTCACTGCAACCCCTGCCTCCCAGGTTCAAACGATTCTCCTGCTTCAGCCTCCCAAGTAGCTGGGATTGCAGGCATGCGCCATCACACCTGGCTAATTTTGTATTTTTTAGTAGAGACAGAGTTTCACCATGTTCGTCAGGCTGGTCTCGAACTCCTGACCTCAGGTGATCCACTCACCTCAGTCTCCCAAAGTAATGGGATTACAGGCATGAGCCACCGGGCCCGGCCTTCCAGGCTATAATTAAATCAACATTTAATGTGCTCCGAATATGCCTCAGTTTGCAGTCTTTTGTCCTTCTCCTTAGTGATCACATACATTATTCTGTGTTCAACTACTGCCACTGCGGACACTCCTACATATTTTTTCCTCCACATATGATTTCTCTCTGCAATCTAACTCAATAGCTACTAGACATTTCCATTTACCTCTCCAAATATTCTCCTACAATAAATATGGTAAGTTTTAGCCTACTCATATATGCCTTTATCTGTGAAGATGGCAGCCATTTTGGCTCTCGTGTTCTTTCTATCCACACGATTTCCCCCTTCCTCCTGCCGACCCAGGTTGAAGACACATTTCCTTGCCTCTCTCCCCTGTCTCCCCCATCCAAGCTGAAACTTTATATTGATGATGTTAGGATAACATCTTTTTCTTTTGATATTTTCCATAAGTCATCAATTATTCTTCAAAAATATAGTGAAATATCATTCATGTATTTTGTTTCATATATAGAGATGAAAATAGTTTTTATTTGCTTAGAGAAAAGAATACAGAATTTAACTTCAGTGATTTTTTTTTTCATCTTCAGGTAACATTCTTTCAAATCTGACAGATATCTCACAATGTGCAAAATAAAATGCACTAATAGGATATAGTTAAATTCTATGGCTACACAAAACTAAGCAAGCAACAAACGGATTAGGATAAAATAGGGTGCCAATCTACTTGAGAAAAATGTTCATGGAAGTTCATCTTTTCTTATGAAAACTTACTGTGCAAAGCTATTGTGTGTATGAAATCTTTTCATATTTTATTATAAGCTGAGGAACTCTCCACAAATCTGCCCTCTGTTTTAAACTGTGAGATTCTCAAGGAAAAAAGATCATAATTTACTGATATTTGTATTTTCAGAAATTGCTGGAAATTACCTGGCACATAGAAGATGAACAATAAATTCTTGTTCAATGAGGTGACCACAGGAGTAAGCTTTCTTGATTTCACCCAGGTATAAATATGTCAAACATCTATTATTGACAAGTTGTTTAAGGGCTAGCACAGGATTCTTTCATACATACAAATTTTCATGGTGTTCACATTGCAACAGAGAGGCTATGCATGTATAATAGGTAATCAAAAATCCACATTCCCTTTGCCCCAACACCTCTTTGCTTCTTTGATACCTGTCTGCTTTGCCTACCTGATCTCAAACTTCTCTGAGCCCAGAAAGGAGCTGAAGAGACCCTGCCTAGATTGGAGTATTCTCACGCCCAGTATGCTGTCAACATTGTCTTTCTCTGTCTCTTGAAGTCTCCTTAGGAAGATGGAAACATCTAATTGGATGTGTATATTTGAAGTCTAATTTGGGACCATGGAAAATAAATCTTGAATTCTTGTTTTATACCCTCCAGATCAAATATGACATTTGTTTATATTTTAAGACAAATATGCTTTTATCTTAAAGCATGCTACAGAAATATTATCATTTATGTCTACTAGATCTCACATCATTAGTCTTGTGACAATTTTACATGATTTCTTCATAAAATGAGATGAAAATAAATGTATACATGGTAAAAATCAAGGCCCCAAGAAATAACTAAAGCATGTGAAGAAACAGTGTTTATTAGGCATACAATAAACCTATGGAAATTTCTTCAATTCTTAGATGAGTTCATTGATTTAAAGATTGTTGCTGTTCAAAAAATGTGAGTAATTTATAGCTATTTAAATTGAAAATGACACTGAGTGTAATCAAATATCAGGCTTCCAGTTCTACAATAATTGCCTAAAGGGTCAGTTAGAAGTTGCTTTCCTCTATCAGTTTTGCAGTCTTATACCACTGCTTAGGTCCGCTGAACTGTGTGAAGACGATTTAACTAACAGTTCAGAACCTGGAAAAATACATGATGCCTTATTTTCTGGAACAGTGATCTGACCCAATCTGGGATGGTAAAATTGATATATAATTTAAGATATGAATACTTAAGAGCAAAGGAGACTGATTCAAAAACTTTTGTCCAACTTGAAAATGAATGCTCAATGAATGTTCAAGATCAGAGTGATCCTGCTATTATTGTAAAATGTACATTTATTTATCACTCTAGTGCTTTTCTAGCTCAGAGTATGCAGTTACTGTGTTTATGTTTAATAACAGCCTTTTATGACAAGCACTGAAGTCTTAGAGTTATCTCATTTTTATTTCAGACACTATTTGTGATCAAAGTACAAAGCAGAAAAGGTCGCACAATAACCTTAGAATTAAGTTGTTTACATCCCCATATATGAGGCAAAAGTAAGTGAAAATAGCAAGGGCACTGTAGGCAGCTTAGATTAGGTTGCGTTCCTACTATCTACTTAAAATGTTTTTATGTTTATTTTTCCCCTAGCACTACTGTTAGCAATGTCATTTCAAAACCTAATAAAATTCTTCCATTTAAGTTCTTTCCTTCTAAAATGTTTCATCAATCATAGTAAAACTGTGTGCTCTGTCATAGGGTAATTGCAAATTGGCATACCAAGGTGGGCATCTACATGTCCTTATACTCCTTATCTTCACACTGGGCAAGGATGACAGCCAATTTATTAGTTGAGATACTGTTAAACTCATCAAATAAAATACTGTTTTCTGCTTCTGTAATGTTTTCTGTTATGGTATCAAAGTTGTTTCTTTCAAACATCCATTTAAAAATGACTGTGATAGCATTATTTTATTTTTGGAGAGAATAAGTCACTCAATTCTATTTTGTGTCTCTTGTTTTCTCACCTATAAAGTGATTATATTAATTATCCAGCTTTCTAATGTTCTGTAGAATTGTTTTTAGCAAAAAAGAGACAGTGGCTGTAAATAGTCTTAAAAAAAACTGTGAAGCTAAAATATCCTTGGATTTTAATAATTAAAAACAGAAATGTACCAAATTCAAAATATAGAAATCCTTTTGATGCTTATAATTATCTAGTCCAGAGTTCTAGTAAAATGCAAATATATATTTTGGGAGTTTTTTAAAATTTACAAGCTAAAGTCATTTAACTCTTAAATCTTGAAAGCAATCATATAAATGTGACCCAATAAAACTAATTTGTATGATACTTTGTTATAAGAATAAAATTTAGGCAAAAAACTGACGGATCATTCAATATTAACTATGCTAGAAAAAGAAATATTTGGAGCATTAACTCCTTGTACTTGCTTGTTTATAGTATACAAACTTTGCAGACTAATAGAAGATAAAGCACATAGAACAACACGCTAACATTACAGTTATTTCCTGGGAGTTACCCAAACAATCAAGTGTTAATTTAAAAAAAGAAAAAATTTTTCCTATTTCACAACCCACAAATTTTGTAGCAAGCAGTAAAATAATTTACCAACAAAAAGTATAACTAGAAACTTCTTTTAAATAACCTACTCCAAAGACCAATATCTGGATATAACAAGAGATTGTAAGTGTTAAACTCTCCTGTATCCATTTTTACCAATCTTTTATAAAAAGAATTCAATTGCTAACATTGATTCAGCAACTATTATGTTCTAGGCCAGTAAATTAACTCTGTCATTTAAATATTAAAAGAAACCTTTAAAATGACATTGCCCCCATTTTATAGATGAAAATACTAAAAGTACAGACATCTTAAGTCACTCACTGAAGAACACAGCATTAGAGAATGACATAGCTGGCTTTTAAATCTGACAGCTGAGCTGACACTCTAAAATATTAAGCAAGGTTTATACTATCTCAAATGAATGTTTTGCCAAAAGAACTATTCTTCAATGAAAAAGTAAGGTTTATTTCATTTTAACAGTGATGATAGGACAGAACCAAAAAAAAAAAAACAAAAACAAAAACAAAAAAACCAAAGCTGTTTGAAATTTTGGTTGGGAAAAGCCATCATGAGATTGGGAAAACAAATAAGCTACAGAGTCATAAATATAAAGTTTGAATTTTATTGAGATAGCCAGGCGGGAAGAAGCTCTGACAGCCTGTACACTGTGGTGGAGCCATGGGAAGTTCATGCCCTTTGCAGCGGGGAAGAGCCTGGCCTCTCTCTCCTGTTCTGGGGTGTGGTACCCAGGATTCAATCTGTGATCGGGGAAGCACACTAGCAGGACTCTGAGTTTGCGGAAAGTCCCTGTTTTCCTTTTTCCTTTTTTTGCCTAATAAATTCCATTATTCTCAACCTTCAAAGTGTCTGCAAACTTAATATCTCATGATCATGTGACCAGGACCTGGCTCTTAGCTGAACTAAGGAGAAAGTCCTACAACAGCTTTGGCGCCCAACGTGGGTCTTGAGAAGCGGTGAGTAAAATGGGGACTCAAATCCTCTCACTGTTGCTTCTGAGCCTTTTCATCCTTGGTCTTCTGAGGGTAGGAGAAACTGTGCCCCCACCCTCATTGTTCCCAGGGGTCAGGGGCCATTCCATGGTCTTTTCCTTCCTCTTTTTGGAATGGACAGATGAGCAGGGGCTCCTCACTCCCCCTCCTCTTCCAGGTGGGCCTGGGGAATGCCACGCATTCACATCTTCCCCTTCCCTGGCCAAGGGCTTCAACTCCATCGGACAGTAATTAAGCTTCTCTCCCTGGTGGTGGAGGCACCATTTGAATAAGAATAAGAGCTTCTTCTCCCAGGCATTCTTTTTTCTTTTCCACCCTATCAGTCAGCAGTTAACTTTTAAGCTAGTTTTTTTTTCTTTTTCTTTCTTTTTTTTTTTTTCATTTAGAAGACATTTTACTAGGCTAGGAATGATAAAAAAAAAATCCCTGTTTATATTCTTTAAATTTTTAGTTGTGACAAAGGATCTTATGGGGACTGGGTTTTCTCCTGCCTCTGTGTAGTATGCGTTGTGTACGTGACATCTGTAATAAGAGGTCTAATTAATTGGCCTAAAGGAAGACAAGTGCTTGGATCAAATATTTTTTAAAGGAAAGTTAAAAGGTGTGGTACCTTTCAGTTCACATGACTTTAATCTTTGAGAAATAAAAACAGCCTTAAAAATTATTGGTAAAAAGCAGATGTCATCAAAATGTAAATAGGTGGACTAAATTATGCAGGTTAGGTACTAGGCTTGCTAAATGTTTTGAGGCTATAAACTGCTTTGGGGTTTTGAGAACTATCTGACTTGCCAGTTTCACAATTAGTAAGACATGGGGTAAAATGGAACATACCACACCCTTAATTATGCTGGAAGGAGTCAAACCTTGGCTGCACCTAGCACACAATTAAAACAACTTACCAGGTTTTACATTAAATTTTAAATTGCTAGGAGTTACCTTTATAATGTGTAATTGAAACTACTGAGAATAGATTTACATGCAAAGTGTGCAAGAACAGTAAAAATGTGTTTTTAGTAAATGGTTATAATAAAGGCATAGAAATGTAAATTTTTGTTCAGGGTTAAAGGATTGTATTCAGTCACATAAGATAAAGCTGAAGGTTCAAACAAGCAGTGGAAAGATTGTGGAAATTAATCTTGTGGAAGAGGTTCTCTGTGTGAACATACTGACTAAATTCAAAAGGGTATTATGGTTTTTCTGTAAATCAAACATTGAAATAAAAGCACAACAAGGATTTCTTAAGTCATTAATCTGCTCTTTGGCAAAATTTGTAAAAGGTTATAAAAGGTTTTTGCTACTTTAAAATTTTCGAGTCATCATTTTGCCAAAAAAAAAAATAATAACTTATGGTGATCTGGAATTCTATTTCATAACATCAAGTGTTTTAAACTGCTACCATATTTAACAGCCTTCCCAAAATCAAACTTCGGCTCCAAAATTGTCTTTCTTGACACCTGGCTTTTCTGAGGCTCCAGAGGGTGCTTGGAGTGTCCAGAAGAGAAAGGTAAACAAGATTATTTGACATGTTTAGGTACATGAGATTGCCAAAATGATGTTCAATCTTCTTTAGATTATATTTTTGTGAATAAAGCTAACATATATTCCAAAATTATATGGGATTTCTAAGATTCTAATGTCTGATTACATGCATCAATTATAATTAAGGTTGTTATGATGTCACTGTAAGCTACAGAGATAACCAAACTTTTTTGTCAATTGTGTTTCCAACTGTGGGAGTTCAGTCAGGCTGGTGGGAAATATTTTAAAAATAGTTATAGAAATAGAAACAAACCTTCTTGGAAGGCCAGAGGGTTTGCATAAGCTGCAGTAATAGATCAGGCTGGAGGCAGCCTAATCCTTACCTTAAGTAAATAGTTTAAAGTAGATACAAAGGAATGTATAGTAGTTTATCTAAATAGCTTGTTTACTCATGCGGTCCTAAAACCAACCTTTGATCAACCAGGGATGCATAATCGCTCTCTACTGGGGTGGAGGGCGGTGGGGGGGTGGGGGGGAGACGGGGGTCGGCAATCAGTTCAATTACCCTCTAGTGGTATTTACTCAAGACCTTTGTCATTTAATCTATACTGAATAAATGCAAACTTCACTGGCTGAACAGGGCTGCAGCTGCTACTCTTTATAGCACCTTCTTTGGTGTCTGTGAGGAGCCCGGGTTGCTAGCTGGACTGATAGGGAAAATATCTGTGTCAGTGTACTTTATTCATCTGTCATTGGGTCAGGGTCTGCAGGATGGATCCTGCATCCAACTGTAACTCCCATGAAAATTTGTTATTCACAGACGATTGTTATCTGGTTTTAATCCTTTTCAAAAGATGGCTTATAATAAGCTACAGAATTTTGACAGATGCTCTCAAATACAAGTTTCTGATAACTTTGTTGATTTTAATATTGGAATAAAGGAAAAGTGTACAGGACTTATGAGGAGCTGAAATGTTCAAGAATATCAAGCAAATCAAGAACTAAATTGACTGAACTCAGAAAGCTGAAGCAATCTTTTTGACTTTTGATTGGAATATTGCTGATCTTTGTTTTGTTTTTCAGAGTCAAGGGGATTTATTTTGAACTATTTACAGCCTTTAATAATTGAGTAAGGTATATTCCTGTGAACAAAATTTGGAGCATATTTGTCTCTCTTTCTCCCTGGCTTCTCCAGAATTTGGAAACTATCTGTGAGTATTCTTAACTTATGGCAATATCATCATTTGCAACAGTGCAATAAGAATCCATTTTTCTTTTGCAACAGGACACAACTGTAGAAACTCGTTGTTTTATCAAAGCTTTGACTGGAAGGGTATGTTTCCTTTTAAGAGGCCAAGTTCAACTTGCAGAGCTGATAAAAGCCTCTTGGGGAGAAACTTGCCTAGACAGTCCCTGTACAGGGTTCCTGACTGGTGGTCAATAAAGAATATCACTTTCTAACAGGTCCAGGAGCTCCAAGTTTATCTTGGGACCTTAAGAGACAGGATCACCCAACTCACAGATATTTGAGGATACAAACCTATGGCTGGGCTCGGCTTTAAAAGGTCTTATTTGAGATTCCTTGTGGAACAGAGTTTCATCAAAGCCAATCCAAAGGTGTGAGGAAATAGTTACTCTTGCTGCACTTCATTCAAATAATCAGGACAAGTATAAGACTAAAGTCTGTTTTGCAAATGACTCAGTCCTTTGATGATGATTTGTGGGTTTTTTTTTTTTTTTAACAAAAATGAGGACTGGAGAGAGAGAAATTATGTTTCAAAACTTATCGTACATTTGTCATTAATTGTTCTTAAGTTTTCACCTACATTTTAGAGTAACCCTTCTTGTTCCTGTGAACCAACCATCAGCTTCCAGCTGCAGTTCAGAAAGAACAAGAGGGATGGGCAATGTAAAAATCTGGATCAATACTCTAGTTCTGAGCAATTATCCTGCAAATCCTGCCAGGTGATGGGAATAAATAGAATGCTCACCACTTGGAGGTTTCCTTTTTTGGGAAAGTAAAACCAAGGGAGCTAACCATAGCCAAGCACCATGCACCCAAATCCTAGCAAGCGTAACTGCAGCTACCAGTTATCTGGGTGTGTCACAAGACATCCTTTTCTCTTCCTTCTTGGAGGAAGACTCAGTTCCACATTTTCACCTTAGCAGCTGGCTTATGTTAAGGAGTCCATGCAACTCCTCCCCCAAGACACATTTTTGTCCAAAACTCAATTCTAAGTTTTGGGTCAAAGCCCTAGGAAGGAAAATTGGATCTAAAGGATCCAGATGAAGATGACAACAGATGTTAAAAGGCAGAGTGCAGGTAAGCATGGCTAATTAAGCCATTAAGCCAATTAAGCCAAGTCTCCCATTTCATGGATAAAGGTCATGCTAGTATCTGTAGCATAAATGAGGTCTAGGGAACTCCAAAGCTACTGATAGTAGGTGGGATAGAGACATAGGTGAGAGTGGATAATTCCTATTCTCTAGCCCCTCCCTGTGTCATGGGTGCAAGCCACTTTGGCACCAATGCCAGCATGTGCCAAGGTCACCAGGACTCAGGAATGCAAGGACAGAAGAGGGAAAAAGGATGCTCTTCCCTCTCTCCCTCATGTACCCCAGGTATCTGCTAGGAAGAGAAGGAAACAAGGGATGCCTGCTCCCCTTTTCCTAGATGGATAGGCATTAATCTTCAGTCTGTACCACTTTTGAATGCACCCTGAACCCCTGGGACTCCATTGAAAAAATCTCTTTGTTTTTCCCTTTCTCCTCCTCTGTCCTCTCTTCACAGATAGGCAATTGTGTCTCAGTACTATGGGACACTCCCCTCAGATGCATCCTCCAAACTGGGAAAAGTTAATTTCCCAAGCTGTAAACTGGTTGGTTTAGGATTGGGCTCAGGGGAAGGGAATGCAGAAGGCCAACATGATGACAAAAGGGTAAAGTGTTTTTACCAGTCGGGCTTTTGGTCTCCCTCTCCCTATGCAAACTGGTAAAAGGCCTTGGGATTTTTGAGCCATCCTTACCCCTCCCCTTGTTCTGTTTTGATAAATGTTTTCTAATAACCCCGTTTGTCTCTTCTTGCCTTCAGGGCATGAAACTCCAAATGGTCATGCAGTCATGTGACTGGAGCCTTGGAAAATGGCCCCTTCTGCTGGGAACCCTTAGATAGGCCTCTAAGAAAACTCTTGACTGCTATTTTCCCCAAACAGCACCCCCTGACAGCAGGAAGCAGTTAAGATAGGTCTTTGACCTTATCCTTATCCTTATTCTGACAGCAGTTAGATATACTTCTTTTTTTTATTATTATTATACTTTAAGTTTTAGGATACATGTGCATAACGTGCAGGTTTGTTACATATGTATACATGTGTCATGTTGGTAGAGAGGGGAATGAGAGAGCCAGGTGGGAATGGCTCCCTGGAAGAACCTCAGATGACCTGCACACTAGGGTGGAGCCATGGGAAGTTCACACCCTTTGCAGGGGGGAAAAGCCTGGCCTCTCTCCCCTGTTCTGGGGTATGGTACCTGGGATTCAATCGGCAAGGCAGGAAGCACACTAGCAGGACTCTGGTTTTGTAGAAAGTCCCTGTTTCCCTTTATTCCATTATTCTCATCCTTCAAAGTATCTGTGAGCCTAATGTCATGGCCGTGTGGCAAAGATCCGGCTCCCAGCTGAACTAAGGAGAAAGTCCTACAACACTATGTGACTTGTTCAGATTTAGTTTCCTCATTTTCAAATGGAATTAATGACGTTCATTGCAGGATTTGTTGTTTTTGTTGTTGTTTTTGAGATGGAGTTTTGCTCTTGTTGTCCAGGCTGGAGTGCAGTGGTACGATCTCAGCCCACGGCAACCTCCACCTCCAGGTTCAAGTGGTTCTCCTGCCTCAGCCTCCCGAGTAGCTGGGATTACAGGCATGTGCCACCATGCCCAGCTAATTTTTTGTATTTAGTAGAGATGGGGTTTCACCATGTCAGTCAGGCTGATCTCCAACTCCTGACCTTAGGTGATGCACCTGCCTCAGCCTCCCAAAGTACTGAGATTACAGGTGTGCACCACCGTGCCCGGCCAGGATTATTTTAAGGATTAAAAAACCTTAAATATCCTAAAGTAGCACAT
The DNA here is from genome assembly GCF_000001405.40 of Homo sapiens. NCBI lineage: Eukaryota > Metazoa > Chordata > Mammalia > Primates > Hominidae > Homo > Homo sapiens. Next base: position 78,972,104 of record NC_000001.11, read on the forward strand.
GTAGATGCCATACAAATAGTATGGATTATAAAGCATGCTAACTTTTGAATAACTATGTGGGAAATAATTATCCTTCATTTGCTACTTATGTTATGGAATCCTATCTCTATTCATGTAAAACCTGTATTTATCTCCATGGCATATCACCATGATGAAAAAGCCTGACTGGATTTTATGTCAGTATGAATGCTTAGCTCTAATATTTATGGAGGAATCTCCAGTAAAGCAACATTAGAAACTTAGAATTGTGTAATTCTAACATTGTAATTAATAGACCTCATAAATATTACAGATTTAAAAGGTTTCTAATATATTTAGAAGAAATGTAAATTGCAAAGATTTTTAAAATAATAAAATCCGAAACATGAGTCTCTTCCATAAAATATAAGAGGCAATGGTTTCAGTCCTGTAACAACTCTTTATAATTTAAGTACTGTACACATTTATCTCTAGAACACTGATATGCATTTGTTGAATTAGAAAGGGAACATATTGGGAAATAAAATTTAGTATTATTATTTTTAAGTTGTAGAGGACAGTGTTGGCTATTTGGCTTCATAAATGAATCTGCTTATTGCCGAAGCATTCTCAAATTCTATTCAATTTTCTGTTTTCTGGTTCTGCAACAGTTCTGTTTTCCAATTAGTTTCTCAAATTGTAAGACCTTTCACATAATTTCATGGCCAACATACATTTGCATACGGTTCCCACCAAATGTCTTTTGTATCACAGTGGTGTTCCATCTGTTGTTGCTGCATATCCCAGTCTGCACCAAAAGTGTGGGAAGTTTGGTTGAGGAATAAGGCTGCCAATGGACCCTGCTCTTACCAGGTGCAGGCCTCTCAGCTATGAACATAGGACTGATTTCGGTTGCAAAGCACATACTTCTGTAGTTTTAAAGGAAGCCAGACAGGTGGTACCCTTAGGCTGTTAGCATTAGCATTTTCTCTCAAATATCATTTCCTCCTTTAACTCCTTTGTTTTCCTTCCAGTTTTAGTCTTTTTTCCTTAGGAACTAGTTTCAAGGCATTTTTAAAAATAGATTCTTAATTTGGTTCATATTTTAGAATTAAACCAAGAACTACTCTTACTTTCAAATTTGTGTGTTTTTTTAAAATGAGTTTATTTTTACTCCATATAACAGAGTAAATGTCTGGTGATTCCCTTCATATATATGTATAAGCATTATATATAAGCTATACTACTGTATATAAAGAGAGACTGCCTTCAGTTCTAAATAATTGAATGATTATTTGTGAATGTTCTACTTATAATTTTAAATATTATTTTAAAACGTTTCACATAAGCATATGTAGTTTTAAAAGATATTCTTAAGACTGCATTTAAAGTTTCAAATAAGGAATACTTTATGAGCAAGTATGATACATTAAAAATACAAATTAAATAAAATGTAACACACGCAAATCTCTCCTAAGTGATATACGATGTATCATAGGAAAATAATTAAATGTCAATATAAATAAGTAAATTGGTAATATATATTATCTTAAATAATATAATTACTATACATATTATCTTAAATAAGATAATCATATATATATATATGTTAGCCTGAGCATACAAGATACAATTTTTCAGCAAATTTTGCCATTTATAATAAATTGAATTGCTTATTATCCTTCTTAACTTATAAAAAGTGCTAAAATATCCACTGGTGCTAAAGTGGTTTTGTTTTATGTTTCTTTTCTTATATACTCTTGTATTCTGTAATTCCCCTTTTCAATAATGCCAGGAAGATATTTTACTGTTCTAATAAATAAACTAAGGCTAGAACAACTGACTAAATCCTTTGGTAGTTATGGGCTTTACTTGGATTTCATTATTGAGAATATATTTATAGCAATCTTTAGATGAAAATATAGCTTCTTTCTTTGTTTGATTCAATACACTGCATGTGTGCAAGAGCACACACACACCCCTCCCTCCAGCACCCCACGCAAGCCTGTACAGCCACAGCAATCCACTCTGTCATGTTGTCTTCCTGTTCCTCCCTCAAACACGCATATAAATGTTATTTTCCAGTTTATCTTCAGTGCAAAATATTTTACTTAATTTCTATGCTTGGAGTGACTCTTCTGATTTTAAATTATTTAATAATTGCCTACAAAGATGGGAGGAGAAGTCATAACCTTCTATGTATATCAGCCTGTGGATCCTGGTGAATTTTAGGACAATAGTACTATGGTCTATCTTCTTCTACATTTTCAGTTATTTATTGACAAACGAATTGTCTCATTTTGATTTAAGCATGATTTTATAATATCTCTTTTAAAAATGTGGCTCCAAAACCCTAAGAGATTGAAAAAGAAAAGAATGGAAATGTACACAAATGACATTTTTTACTTTTATACATTATACTCAAGGAAACATCCTCAGTTACCATATTATTTTCCTATTGCTGCTATAATGAAATACCACAAATTTTATGTCTATAAAAACACAGGTGTATTATCATACAGATTTAGACGTTGGAGACCAAAATGTGTTACACTGGGCTAAAATGTGTCAGCTGGGTTGACCTCTTTTCAGGAAATTCTAGAGGATAATCTATTTTATTGACTTTTCTGGCTTCTAGAGGCTGCAAGTGTTCCTTAGCTCATGGCCTTCCACTTTCAAAGCCAGAAATGGCTGATTGAATCTTTCTCATATCACCTCAATCTGACACTAACTCTTCTGCCTCCTCTTCCACATTTTAGGACACTTGTTTTACATTGGGCCCATTTAGATAATTCAGGATAATCGACTATTTTGAGGTCACATAGTTAGCAATCTTAATTCCATAGAGAATATTATTTCCCTCTTGCCATGTAACATATTTGTAGTTTTTGAGAATTAAGGAATGGGCATCTTTAGGGGGCCATTATTCTGCCTATCATAGTTACCTGTTTCATATGGTGAATAAATATGAACAAAACCAACAAACAGACTGTAGTGGGCAGGTAAAATTTTGTCTTTTGACTCCTATTACAATCATAGAGAGAAAAATGTGGAGAAATTCACTTTCCTATCTAGTCATAAATTAGAATTGGCAGTTTCTTTAGTAATTATCAGGTAATCCTCACTCTTGACCACCATTTGTTTCTGGATATAACTGTAGTGAGTGGGACCAAAATGATGTATGAGTTGAAACTCTGATGAAGAAAGTATTAATTACTGCTTAGAATAAGTACTTCATGATACTAATAATATTATAATTAGAATATAGGAACAATGATGGTAAATCCTATATTTAAAAAACAAATGAGAATTATGATGCCATATGTCACCCAGATGGACAGTGGGAGATGCCTTGATATTAAGACCTCTTTGTCCCTTAAACAATTATCTGTCTATCCCAACTCCTATCATCCACTTAAAGACCCTCTTAAATGGTCTTACATGAACTCTTCAGTTGACCCCTTATAATTATGTAGGCCCAGGATGACATCTGACTTTGCCACTACTGCAATTTCTTAAACTCTAAAATACAGACTAAAACCCAACTCAGGGGTTATCTTGATATTTACATGAATTGTTATATATAAGCTTTTAAACTTATGCCTCAATAGTATGCATTTGTCAAAAACACTATAGAGTCACTATTTTGCGCTGGGCAAGGTATTATAATTATTATTATATATATTTCATAGATAATGGAACTAAGAGCAACCTAGTATTTAGAATAAAAGGACTATGCTTATAGTGACAAGAGACACAAAGTTTTGAAACACTTTCTTTTTGGTACAGGGATCAGATTTACCCTCTGAACAGAAACAAACATCATTAGTAGCAGCAACAAAAACAATCACTGCCAGAAAAAAATACATGAAAGGGTGACTTTCAAGATACTGGACAACAGTCATCAAAAAACAGTAATCCCTGAAAGATAAGTTTAAAAAATGAGATAAACTATTAATACATGACTGCCCCAGCTTACTGCTTTGAGAGAGTTCAAGAGGCTATGACTTAGATAGAGACTGATGGATTCCCTGTGCTAAGTAAATGGAGTTAACAGTCCCAGAAGAACAAGGTGACTAGAGTTTACAGGACAGAAACAAACAAGCAAAAACATGAGAGAAAGAATCTAGATAACTGCAGAGGTCCCCTTGTAGATTCAGCAAAGTACAATAAATAAGTGCTGCATACTACAAGTGAGGAAAGAACCATCTGAAAGCATAATAGTGAGCAATATCTCTTGCTCATGTAGCAACAGCTTCTGTTCTCACAAACAAGATGGAAAATAGGACATTGGGTAGAATGTTTAATAGAATTGGGCTTCAGTATTTTTTTCACTTGTTAAAAATTAAATATAGATATGAAATATTAAGAAAACAAAATAAAATGAAAAAAAATCCTCTATAAAGTCTTCAACATCTTAGGTGAAAAATAACCTATATGTCTGTTTTAGTTTTTCATTAATTTAGTTTTTATGCTCATGAGCTACAGATGGTTTTATATTTTTAAATGATTACATGTTAAATAATTATATATACATAAGACCTTTGATTGTGTATGGAAAAACTTAAAATATTTACTTTCTGAATCTTTATAAAAAAGTTTGCCAACGCTTGACTTAGACAAAATGGACAAATTCCATAAAAAACACAAACAATCAAAGCTTGTTCAGGAAGAAATAATGTGAACAGCACTATATTTTTTAAGAAATTGAACTTACAATTTAAAGCCTTCCAAGAAAAAAAAAAAACCTCCAGACCCAAATGGCTTCAATGGTGAATTTTCCAAACATTTAAGAAAAAAATACTAACTCTACATAAACTCTCCCAAAATATTGAAGAGAAGGAAATCCTTTCCATTTTATCCTATGAAGCCATCATTAACGCTGGTACCAAAATCAGATGAAGCTAGTACAAATCTACAGACCAATATGCCTCATGAACACAGAGGGAAGAATCCTAAATATAATTGTAACACTTAATCCAACTATACATACAAAGCACCATGACTAAGTTGGGTTTATCTCAAGGGTGTTAGCATAAAAGTTAAATTATGCTTACACCCTTGAGATAAACACAATATAATTCACTATATTGACAAAATGAAAAAGAAAAGATATTATCTCTATCAATGCAGAAAAAGCATTTGACAAAAACCCAACATCCACTCATGATTAAATAACTCTCAGCAAACTGGGAATAGAAGGAAACTTTACCAAAGGACATCCATCAAAAATATTATCTAAAATCACAGGTAATAGTGAAAATTGAATCTGGTGAATTGTATGGGAACTAGGGTAATTGAAATGTTCTGTATATTAATTGTGGTGTTGGTTAAATGGCTTTAGAAATTTATGAAACTCAGAGTGTGCATCTAAAATGGGTCAATATTATCAAATGCAAATTTGTCCACAATGAAGTTGAATTTTTTAAATGCAAAGGACTAAATATATCCAAGATACTCTTGAAGAAAGAAAAACAAAGTAGAATTACTTTATCAGTAGAGACTTAATATAAAGTTACATTAGGTAAGACCATGCGAAGCTGTTGCAAGGAGAGAAAAAGAGACCAATGAAATAGAACAGAGATCCACATGCAAATTGTGTATGTGTAGTAGCAGTAGTAGTTATAGTAGTAGTATGTGTGTGTTCTGGTGAGTAGTTTGGAGAATAAGTGCCTTTTTTTTCATCTGGCACTACCAGAACCTGGCTATAAACTACTTATAGCAAATACATTTTAAAATACAGGGATAAGCATTACCTGGAATTAATTGGAAAGAGCTAACATAATCAAAACAGCTGATAGTCACCCACATCATGTATGTGTGGTAGAAATACTAGCAAAAGAGTATAGGCCAGTAGACCAGAAAAGACATCCAGTAAGTAAACAAGAAATTAACAAATAAACATGTGTTTCTAAATTAATATTAAAATTAATAGTATCCTTCAAACAAGTTTTGCAATTATATAAATATCCACAGGCATTCCCCACTCTGCTCTATCACCTCCTTTACCTTGGTCATGTGGAAAAGATTTTGGGGGTCAGATTCTCTGGCATCTAATATAATAGGATTTCCACTTGGCTCTTTCACCCTAAATCATGTATCAAAGCATCAGCATTCCAGTTACCTTTCAATTAAAAGTAGCCTATATTCCTGTCTGGGTAATCTATGTGCCTATTGTCATGTCCCAGATTTCTGCAGCTTGAGAGACTCTCGGGAAATTTTCTTGCCTTCTGTGAAGATTCAACATAGATCATTTATTGTCATTACTGAACTTTCACTCACACTATTTTTGTTTTGTAAATGTATTGTCTACCATATAGCTGACATTGTAGAAGTGAAAGGCATCACCTCTGTCCACAAGAACATGAAGGATGAAAAGCCACAATTTCCAGGTAAAAAATAGTTTTCAATAGTCAATGTTTCAGTTCTTCTCGTCCAATTCCTCAGGCTATTTTTGCCAGGTTTCCTGTTTATATCATCATTTTTCTCATATCCATATTCTTCAACAAAATGATATGTTTTCCTTTGAGCAGGATTTCCCAAGAAACCTTACTATATTTTACCATACGCACAAGAGCAGACTAACACTTATTGAGTACTTTCCCATTGTTGAAATCTGTAAGTGTTTTACGTGTGCTGTTTCAATTCATCCTCACAAAAATTCCTGTGGGTTAGATTTTATTAGTTCTCTTTCACCAGTTAGAAGATTGAAGTCAAGGAGGTTAACTTTTCAAAGTTTACAGAGGTGCAAAGTTTGGAGGCAGAACTAAAACACAAGTTAATCTAATGCCAAAGATCTTATCTTTTTTTTTCTTCTTTGTCCTAACATCCTATAAATACACTGATAATCTAATGTTGGTATTTCACATTTTAATATTTTTGGACTGTGAATATTTAGTATTTAACACTAGCAGCAGCAATTTTTTGAATGAATTATGAGTTACATTTGAGAACACATTTCTAAATGTGTCTACATTAAACCAGGAAAATATCACAGCGTTTTCTAGATCCTGCATGATTCTCTCCCTAATGCGGCTGGCCTTCCTAACAAAGTGAGTCTAAGATTTTACCATAATTTGGAAATGGTGAACCTAACCTTCAAAAATAAACATTGTTTACGCAGTCATGAGATCTATATTCCTAAAATGAAAATGTCATTGTGTCCTTTCACTACTTAAAAAACCTTTGTTTTCAAAACTAATTTCAAATCCCATACCTTGATTTATAAGTCCGTTCCCTTTAGCTTGGTATTGAAATCCCTTCCTGATTCAGCACATGACCACGTTCTTCTTCTATTCGCACCCTGTAGTCAGTATTTCAAACCTATGAAGTACTTGAAGATTTTCAAACATCTTATGGCTCTAATTTGCCAAGCCATTAAACGTATTGCTTCTGACATATTCTCCCTTAACCTTGCTTTAATAAAGAATACTAATATTTAAGCTAAAAACAGAACTACCATTTCATCCAGCAATCCCACGACTGGGTATCTGCCCAAAGGAAAAGATGTCATAATATGAAAAAGACACACGCACACACATGTTTATCACAACACAATTTGAAATTGCAGAGATATAGAACCAATCTAAGTGCCCATCAGCCAATGAGTGGATAAAGAAAATGTAGAATGTATACACCATGGAATACTACTTAGCCATAAAAAAGAAATGAAATAATGTCTTTTGCAGTGACTTGGATGGAGCAGGAGGCCGTTATTCTAAGTGAAGTAACTTAGGAATAGAAAAGCAAATATCATGCTCTCACTTATAAATGAGAGATAAGCTATGAGGACGCAAAGGCATAAGAATGGACTTTAGGAACTTGAGGGGAAGGGTAGGAGGGAGAGATGATAAAATATTACATATTGGGTACAGGGTACACTGCTTGAATCACAGGTGCACCAAAATCTCAGAAATCACTGCTAAAGAACGTATCCACGGAATCAGAAAACATCAGTGCCCCCCAAAACTATTGAAATAAAATTTAAACAAAAGAAGAACACTAATGTTTTAGTATGTAGCTCAGGTTTCATTTTTTTTTCTAGCAGCATTTCTAATTTCTTATCTGTGTGCTGCACTCACACGCAGATAAGACTCATGCGTGTGCACACACACACAGACACATACACACACACACCCACACACCAGTTTGGGTGGTATTCCCTATTCCATGTGCTACGTCTTCTCAATGCCCTTATTCTTACTGAGTTCTAATTCTTTTTATTTACATTTCGACATTTTCTCTAGGCCTTTATTCTGAAGAGTGGCGACTTTGTTTCTTTCTAGTGCCTAATACATTGTCAGCTAAGAATAAGCATATAATATAAATATTTAGTAAAAACAAAATAAAAAAAACTGTCTCTTACAATATATCATTGTCTCCAACAGAGGCCTATAAATAGAATCCACTTGAGTATTTCATTGTAAAACAGTTCTGACTTCTATAATTAAAAGACTTTTACTTAATATTGTTAAAACACAATTTTATAGCCACTGAGGAGTTAAAGCTTTATTTATATATAGTAAAGCCAGAAAATTTAGAAGAAATCTTTAGCCACTAGTTTACCACTGAGAGTACTAGCTGTAGTCTAATGGAATTTATGAGCAGTTCTGAAGAAATACTTTATTTCCTCACAGAATCGCAAGGCTGGAAATGAACCAGAGAGGTCACGAGGTTCATCTCTCATGTTTAAATCATCCCACAGAGATGAGAAACTACACTATTTATAAAAACCTGCAGAAAGTAGATATGACAACTTCTCTTTGTAACTGATTCCAGCACTTCACACCTTTCATCCTGAAAATCTTTCCCTAAATGTAACCGAAATTTCTAATGCTAGAGTGTAAACCTGTCTGCTGTTGCACGATCACTGATGAAGCCTGAAACTAACAGGTTAGTCTCCCTTATGTTAGAAACTACCAGACATTTGTGCAGTGTAGCCTAATACTGGACCCCTGAGTACTTCTTTTGTCAAAGGTTAAACAGGCATTTTCAAAATAGTATTAATCTTTGTGACACCTCTCAGAATTTTTGTGAAAGACATCAGCCTCTCTATAGAACAGCCTTCTAATTACCACTCTGGCCCCTCAACAATCCCTTTCCCCCAAAGCAGTCATATTGTTATGCAAACTCCAAAGGAGACAGAAGAAAAATATCAACTGATTAATGAAATGAAATCAATAGATAACAAAATGATAAAAAATTTAATATTTTAAAGTAAAATAGATGAATGAATGCGAAGTGTTTCACTCAGGCAGAGGAGGAACAACATAGAAAAATATTGTTTGTTAGGAAACCATGACTTTATCATGCCCATTTCATAATATTTCAAATTATTTTGTGCCATTTTATTCCAGAACTGATTCAGATATAAAGTTATATTGCAACTATTTATTTCACTCATAAAATGCTTACAATAAGAGCATCTACCTCATAGGGTTGATGAAGATTATAGGAATTTAAAAAGCCATTGCAGTCAGTGGATACTCAGTAAATATTGGTTGGTATAATTCATAGTGTTTATAGTAGCATTGATGATCATTTTACCTTATTTAAACATATTAACCATATTGTATGATTTTAATTTCAAAAAAGTCCTGAAATGACTAAAAATATGGTCTTACAGAAATAAATAAAGTTCTATTTTTATGTCTTGGTTTACCCCAGTTTTATAAAAGTGTCTGCTATGAATAATTAAAATATATCTGTCTTGTGTTATGAATTAAGTATAAATATTAATTAATAAAACAAAGATTAAATACAAATTTAATTATTTAAGATATTTTATGTTTCTTAATGTCCTTGACATAATTACAGCACAATTTACTATTTTCACTTTATGTTCAATATATAGTAATTCATTTTCAACTTCACTTTTTACCTCTACTTTTAGTCTTCTTTGTAATCTGCCTCATATTTTCAATTTCAACTAGAGCTCAACCTTTAAGATCTTCTAAAATACATGTTGGTAGTTCGCTTCTTTGAACCTTACACAAATTTTGCATTCATATGCTTTAAATATTAATATTATTTTTGAATTTTGCTGATTTGTTATAGAATTCCAAATTTAAGTTTAATCTTACTCACTAAAACACTTTCTAACTTGAAAATCTCACCTGTATTTCTTGTATTTGCAAACACTCTATTCTAAAATATAAGCCATTTTGCTCACAATTTCATGCTTTAACATTTTCCTATGAAAGGTGGGACAACACTTACACTAATATGGTTGTATATTCAAGGCACAGATGGGGAGAGCTGGAAACCAAAGGAAATGAGCTGATAATAGATCAAGTGAGATGTTTTTTACTGTAAGTACAAGAAACCCATTTCAAAGTGGCTTAAGACATAGGGCAATTAATTATCTCACAAAAGAGAAAAAGTACAGCAGTAGATTAGCTTCAGGGTTGATTAATTTGGTAGCACAACCATGTCATCAAGGTTATTTCCTCTTTCTGCTCTGTCATCCAAAGAACTGAAACTTTTTTCCTTGGGCTAGCTTCCTTTATGCTCATAAGATTATTTATAAGTTTTGAATATCTATTCTTACAATATGAGGACTAGATAATCTCAATACCCTTCTCCAACAAAACATCTAGAAATGCTAGATAAAATATGACAAAGAAAATAAATGTACTCTTAGAAGATAAAACAGCATACTGGAAAATAAGAGAAATCCTTGAGGACAAACATAAATAGAAAGATAAAAATTAGGGGTGTAAAACAAAACCTCAGAAATGCTTTCTGGGGGCTTTGGTTTCTAAGGGTTTCTCTGAAAAAAGAGGTAAGGACTGCACCTGTGCAAGGTCGAGCTAAGACTGAAAAAATTGTCTAAAGTTAGGACTTCAAAGTGCTACATATTCAGTGATAGGATGGCCCTTAAAAGGGTCCTCATCAGGAAAAATAAAATAAAATTATTGGTTTTGGCCTAGGCTACGGGGGCAGAGGGAGAGTGGGAGTCATTTAAGAATGTCTAATGACATGCCTATGATCATAGAAACTCCAAGCTGACAAACAGCAGAAAGTGACCCTGAGGTGGTGGTGAAGAAGGTAGGGTGGCTGAGAGAACAAACGAATATTCTTCCTGTATAGAAAGGTCCTGTGCACTGGCACCACAGGATTCCCACACATAAGGAGTGCCAAAATAAATTTTGCAATTAAGCTACACACACAGACACACATGCCCAAAACATCATCAGTGAGAATCAGCAGAAAGAACAAATAGCAGATTTAGGGTACTTTACAAACAGACTTATTGGATATAGAATACAAGGTAGCTATGTTGAAAACATTAAAGAGATAAGCAATGGAGTTTAATATATGTGAAAGCTACAAGGTTCTATTAAAAAAGACTCAAGAGTTTAAGAGAACCAAGTAGAAGAAGCTCTAGAATTAGAAAAAAAAAAGCAATTAATGTAGCGAACTGGTTGAACAACAGATTAAATATAGCTATAGAAAAAATGAAGTGAAAGATCTGAAATACTAACACGTAAGACACATAAGCAAAGAGATAGAAGATGTTGATGTTTAAGAAACATATAACAGAAAGAGGAACATTCAATTGAAATTCCAAGGACAGTAAATGAGAAAGTTATTATTTTAAGAGCTAACAGATTAAAACTTTTACAGAATTGAAGATAAGAATGTTCAAATTTGGGGAATACAACTTTAGGCAAGATTAATGAAAATAACTCTAAAAATGGAAACATCACAGTGAAATTGCAGAGATGATTTTATAAATAGCTATGGAGAAAAAGTAGATTGCCTACGAAGAAAAAGATACATGAGGACACTTTAAACAGTAACAACTAGAAAATAATGTACCATATACCTTCAAAGTTCTTAGGAAAAAGTATCTGTAAACTCAGATAGCCATCTTCAGATAAACAAACACAAAATTTATCAGGTGAACTTCAGGACAAAGAATAGTGAACTCAGAAGGAAAGAAAGGTAAACATGAAGGAATGACAAGAAGAAACAAATATCCAGGTAAGTCGAAAACAACATTACTACATAAGCAGTACATTAAGAGACAGTAGAGTATACTGATTCAAACATGTTTTAATACAAGCGAAGACACTAGAACAGTTTCTGGTACAAAGTAAGATGGTTCTTATCACTATTGTTACTATTACTACTATTTAAAAATATTAATGATTAATTTGAGGGGCAAAAACACCAAATTAAAATACTGAACTATAAAACTAATTAATATTGAGGTAGGAGATTGGTGCTAAAATATTAAAGTTATTATATTTTTAGGTATGTAAAAATATGGATTATTTTGGATTTATTTAGTTAATTATACAAACTAAAATTAGAACTAAAAGGAAAGAGATGGAAAAAGTAAATGTCCACCAGGAAACAGTCTGGATTAATTTTGAATGTATTCATCTAGGCAGAAAAGGCATGACATCTCTGAGAGGTAAACTTGAGACTAGCCTCAATCTTGACATGACAGCAGTCAGTGACAAAAGGCACAAAATGTAGTGTATGCAAGTTCTAATGATGACAGTTTGACTTAAAAATAGTGTGTCGAAACAAGTTTCCCAAGTGTAGGAGGAACAGTAAGACATTTTCAAATACAGAAGAAAGCAGACAACAGAGTAGTCAGAAACCTTTCTTAAAAAACACACACACACATATTCAATAAAGAAATTTAGCTAGTTAATAATTGCATTTAAAAAAATTCCTAGAAATTTCTCCTAGAAATGGAGAATCTATAGTGAAAATAACCCCGGATAGGGCTAAAACCTTTTCAACATAAACGGAGAGTAAATTACCGTGGGACTCATGGTAGAACAGAATGTCAACGCTATAACCCTTTACAAAGCAATAACATGCAGATAAAAAGGAAAAAGAGGGAGGAAGACGTGTTAGTATGGCAAATGGTCAACTAGTACTGTCTGAAATCTAAATGAGTTGTTAAAAATTCTCAGCACCTATATGTATATATATTTGCTTATATTTATATAGTTAATTTAAAATTTATTTGTTTTGTGGTTATAAATATAAATCTGCAATCAACAATTATTTCCATTTCATTTTAGTCTCTTTTTTCTTCTGTTAAATTATAATAAAATGGGAGTGGACTTTCAGTGAAATAGCATGTAAACAACAATCCAATATTTATAATAGTCTATCATTCTATCTATCTAACCTTTCTCTCATCTATTCTCTAATTTATCTATAATCTATTTTGATAGGTGTCCATGCATAGAAAGATACTCTGAATTATATTAACTAAATACATAAAAGCAGGCTTACAAAGTAAGGATTTGAGTGATGATTTGCTTTTTCCCTTGACTTTTTCAGTGGCTTAAAATTTTTGCAATAAGTATATATTACTTTTATCAAAACAAAATATGCTGAAATGGTATTTAGAAACAAAAGCATAGAGTTTATTACTTATTTGATCAATTTAAGAATAGTATGTTAATTTCGACCTTTAACTGTTGTTACACAATTGGTATAATATATTTCCTCCAATGGTAATTTGAGATTTGTTAATAACTATTGCATAATCTCTCATTTATCATCTAAATGAAGACAGAAAACCAGGGACAAAAATTATATATAACAACTTCCTCTTAAATGTCAAAAGATAGGGGTAGGAAAGCTTAAGCAATATATAAGACATGTGAAAGACATACATGCATGCGTATGTTTATCATAGCACTATTCACAACAATAGTGAAGACATGGAATTAACCTAAATGCTCATCAGTGGTAGACTGGATAAAGAAAATGTGGTATATACACACTATGGAATACTATGCAGCCATTAAAAAGGACGAGATAATGTTCTTTGCACCAACATAGAGTTAAAGGCCATTATGCTAAGTGAACTAACACAGGAACAGAAAACCAAATAATGCCATGTTCTCCCTTATAAGTGGGAGCTAAACATTGAGTATATGTGGATATAAAGAAGGGAACAATACACACTGGGGCCTACTCGGGGGTGGAAGAAGGGAGGAGGGTTAGGATCGAAAAACTGCTTATCAGGTACTATGCTTATTTACTGTTGGCAAAATAATCTGTACATCAGACCTCTGTGACACACAATTTACGTATATAACAAACCTGCACATGAATCCTTGGACCTAAACTAAAGGTTAAAAACAATAATAATAACAATCACATAAAAAACAAAATAAAATAACATTTTTGCCTTTTGAAAAAAAATGTGATTCATATTTAAGTTCTTATACAGCAGAACTATGACTAATTGACTTTGTCTTTTGGCGGTGAAATCTACAACCAAGTTGTTGATGTTTTTGTAATCCTAGCATTTGGGAGGTCAAGGCAGGAGGACTGTTTGAGGCCAAGAGCTCAAAACCAGTTTAGGCAACAGAGTCAGACCCTGTCTCCATGAAATACAATAAGAAAAAAGAAAAAAGAAAATTAACTGGGTGTGTTGGTACATAGACACAGCTACTCTGGAGGCTGAGAAGAAAGAATCACCTGAACTCAGGAGTTCAAGGCTGAAGTAAGCTATGGTTGAGCCACTGCACTTCAGCCTGGATGACAGAATGAGACTCTATCTCAATAAATAAATAAATAAATATTTTAAAAATTAAAAAGCAATATACATTACTTTTTGAATAGTTGGGGTAAAAGTAAAATTTTTCAACTTATAAAATAACATTCAAATTGGAATGCAAACTGTGCTTTCACTAAAATTAAAATATTTTCCCAGTTATTCACTCATCATAACTAAGAGTAGCTGGGGTCCTATTTGAAATAACTATAAATAATCTAAGTTAAAACCTCAAAATGATCAAAAATAGTAAAAATGTATCTTGGATAAAAGATTAGATAGAGTCTAAAAACTAATTTGACCACAAGGGAGGTGTTCTGTAGCAATAAGATGCTTTGAAAGCATATATATCATGAAACTAACGAGGTATGTCATGAAACAAAGTAGATAAATCATGACACGATGGTATCATTTAAACAGGATAGTTTGGAAGGAGATGTCAGTGCTATTTTAAGTAGTAAATTTTCAGTCTCAGATAATTTTTTTTACCAAGAATATTAGTTAAAAGTACCTGCAAATCTCAATATCTAAATCACTATCTAATTGAAAGCATAATAATTATAATTTCCACACATGATTTAAGATAGCTACATAGTATATAAATGACAGGTCATCGTGATATACTATTTATTGAATGACTCAGCAATAGCAGTTTTGTCCAATTCCAATGGGGAAACGCACTCCAAAGTGTGTGCAAAGCCATCCATTGACATATAGGTAAAAATGGTAACATTTCTTCATTTATTTATATCTTATACATTTCTGGTTTGGGGTGTTTTGTAATGTAAGGTGGGGTAAATATAAAATAAACAAATGTATATACATTGGATGTACAGTGTAAATAATTTTCATGAATCAGGATAAAAAAATTACCACCATTAATTAAAATAAGATTGATTCCCAATACAACTAAAAATTTGGAAGTTATTACTCAATCCACTGTACTGAGAAAAATTTTAGGACAATGTCTAGTCAGTGCTGATAAGGGATACCATGATGGTTATCTAGCTGGTAGAAGAACAAAGTATGTTATTGGAACACTAATAGTTAGGTTCGAACCTTACTATACAGCATTCTACTCCAGGCACTGGCAAATATTCTTGATTAATTTATATGGAGAGTTTCTTTGCTGCTATCTTTTCCTTTTCAATATTGCATGACTCTTATCATTTTCCAAGACAGGCCACATTTATTTGCCCTTTTGTCCTTACCCCTGAAGCTTTAGAAATAGTATGAGACATAAATTAGTGAAAGGGAAATTATCCAAAGGAACATTCAATCTTATTGCTCTATTGTCTTTTTTTAATACATACTAATCATACCATAATTTTTAGATTTATAGTAAAGTAATATTTATTGCATCATTATTTAAATTTTTAAAATAGCCACTGCATTTTTTTTGTTTCTGTAATTTAGGAATATTGACCAACTAGTAGGAAACTTGCAAAATGTATTAGAATTTAAAATAACATACTTAAAAGAAAAGCAATTTAAGGTATAACCTACTGTTTTCTTGGCAAATTACAAAATGAAAGTAATGAAAAACAAATGTTATTATATCAAGAATTTAAACAGTTTATTTCAGGGCATTTTAGAAAACTTAAGTTGATGATCAGCTTTTTGACAATTAATTTGAAATGACAGTTTGAAAAAAAATAGGAATAAGTTTAGAATTAGTAGAGCCAGGCAGGAGTTTCTCCCTCTGGCCAAGAGTTAAGACATCTATTCTGACTTTATGAAAACATACTGTTGAGATTTAGTTGCAAAAGGATTCCTTCACAGAATTCATATTTAGCTCTCTACTTTTCATTTATTGGAAAAGTTTCCAAAAACTAGAGAGGGTTCAAATGCAATGAGCAAATATTAGATCATCTACAGTTAACATAAATTAAACTGTAACTCAGAAATGTTGCTGAACTGAATGAAGGTGTCTTGATACATTTCCATACAAATCTATCTTTGTTCAAGATAAAATACTACACTGATGAATGCCTCAACAGCCATGGAACAGAACCCTGACAGAGTAATTCCAGTCATCCCTCTCAACCAGTTTCTGTCAATGAACACACATCACTTCTCCTAGGCATTGAAAATCCTAAGTGATGTCTCACAAGGTGAGTCTACAGATCCATGATTTTTCTCAAAGTTTAAGAATCTACCTGGAGATTACGTGAATCACTTGAGAGGCAGGACACCAAATTCGTCTTTAAAACAAACAAAGTTGTGCTAATTATTCAATCTTTCCACCCTGCAAAATGAATTTTCTTCCATTTTTCCCAGAATTAAAAATATATATGTACTTCTCTATTCTAATAAGCTTTATGCCGAAGTATTCTGCAAGTCTTTTTACAAATTTCATAATAATAATTAAAAGAAACTTCATATATACTAAAATCTGTCATCTATCATTTATTTCGTATATTTTAAGTAACTAATTTCAGTAAAAGATTTGTTAAGCCAAACAAAAATATTTAAAATTTTATAATATAGACACTTATTCAATTTCTGTGTAAATTTCATTATTTCCAAGAAATGAAAACTGTGACAGATATTAATATATTTGTTTCCAAATTTTGATAATATTCACATTAAACTATTTCAAGAATTTATACTTTTAAAATCTATTTTTGTATTGTACTTTATATCATAGCATGCTTTCAATGCTAACCATCTTTTTTAGATAATTGAATGTATTGATATACATATGATTTAGGAAAAGTTAGTTCACAGATTGTCTTTGTAAACATGCTTCTACTTTAAATACAGTCATCCACCATACTGACCAGGTGATTGGTACAAAGGAAATTAAAGAAACTTATTCTTTAAAGAACGCTTACTTTCTTACTTTAATAATTAAATAAATTTTTATTTTGTTTTTTTTCCTTTGGACACAGTGAGCTAAAAATATAAGTTAAAGATTAGTAAACTGGTAAAGAATGGGGAGTAATATGTTCTTCTTCTAGGTATGTCCCGAAGTGCCCGTTATGTGTTGTAGTTTGTGGAGTTTGGGAAAAGCAGAAGAGCATCTTGTTATCTATGTAACCCTAGCATCAGAATCTTGCAGCCTAGATGATCTTAATCAGGTGTCCTGAATGGTTTGGGAAAGTAGAAAGAGACTGAACCCATCAAAAACAATTTTGTCAAAAAGTGATTGACAGATTTACAATGTAACAGTTATCACTTATTAAAGCCTTTCTATATGGCTGGGGTTATAACTAAGTCCTTTAATTGTATTTTCGTCTTTAGTCTTCAAAAATGATTTTGTTGCTGATAAAACTATTTACAATCCACAGATGTAGAAACTGGTAGATGCCAGGACCAGGGTTTGATTCCAGGGATGCCTTCTTTAGAAAGTCTGCTTCCTCCAAGGCCCTGACTCTCACAATAAGCTGTAATTCTACTTCCCATTGATTATCAGGATATTTTCATCAGGTTTTGATCAATCTTGATTGAAATCATCAATATTTCATTTCTGAATCAAAAAAGCTGAGGATCCTTTTTACCTCAGTGGATCTCCATCATAGTGCTTCATCCTCAAAACTATTTTGAAATAAGCAAGCCATTTTTCCCTTCTATGTTTATTATCTGTACTCGATATCTAATTTTGAACACTTGTCATACTTCAGAATTTTATTTTTAATTGTACTCTCTAAGTGTGTCATATTTCTATCCAATTTTAAACACTGCTGGAAGAAAAATTTTTTTCATTAGTTAAGAAATTGATATGGAATTATTAAGGCATTACTAGTAATAAGTCCCCTGTTCACAATTTAGGAATCACTGGAATCTTCTATTAAAAAGCTATCACCAATAATTGATAAGACTTAGGTTTGGCTTTCTTAACACAATAATGCAATTTTTCCTATGGATTACAATCTGAAGACTTGCTTAAATTCAGATTAACGCTATACTTATTTATTCTTAAAGCAACCATTTGATTTTTTTCAAAGGAGAAGTATAAAGGGATTGTTGACTATAAAACAACAATTAATGCTTTTACTGAAAATTTTTTTAATATATTTGTCTACAAATAAACTGAAATTCAAAGACCAAAACACATTTAAAAGACCATTCTTCTCCACATGATATTCCATTGGAAACTGCTGCAGCGAACATAACATTAGTTGAAGAAGCATAACACTAAAATCAAGCATCTGCTTGCCTTTCTGCATTGTGTATACAACAGAGATTTGTTGTACTTTTAAAAAATATTCTCAATAGGTTTCTGTGTTTATAAAGGTCCAGAAATAATCTTCAGAACTTATCCTCCATACGGCACCAGGAAATCTGGCATAAGAACCTTTCTGACACAAAGGATATACAACTCTCTTATTTCAAAATATCAATAATTTGCCACAAAGGCAAAACTATCAAGCAAGTGTTAGAAACACCTCAGCTTCTGTTCAATCTCATGAAAACTGATTTAGTTGCCGGTACATGTCAACTTTAATTATCAAAAATGCATAAAAGACAGCAGCACATTCCTTCCCCATGCTAGTTGTAAATGTTAAATACAACTTCAATTATGTTTTTAATACTAAATTCTTTAAGACTTACGATGTGTTCTTGTCCTTCAGAGGGCCAAAAGCACGAAGTGCTAGATAAGCATGACCTACATTTTGGTTCTGATGTTATATACACAAAAGAGGAATAAGTGAAGATGTGCAGTGCATGTGTCTGGATAATTATTGTATAGATAACTTATCTGGTTAATCAAGCCCCAAAAACCTCATGGGAAGTACATATTTTGGCGTTCTTTGTGCAGAATTTACAAATTTCACAATTTGCTTTAAGTATCTTCTGCAATTCTTTCTCCTGTGTAAATACAATTAGAGTTAATATCGGTTAAATAAACTAACACTTAAGGTATGGAGAATGCTGACAATTTAGTACTTTCACTGTATTCTAACTTCTTTAAAATTACATTCCAAAATTTAGTGAATAACTGAAATAACAACCTTTAAGTCTCGATATGCTCATCAGCACATATTTTCATATTTAAGATTTAATAAATATAACCTTTGAAATATGTGAAAATATAATATAGTATATTTAATATGTGAGAAATATAACTCCTAAATAAATTGAAAGACTTCACCTTCAATATAGTCAACCAACTAAGTATAATGTTAATTACACAAAACCTACTTGCTATTCAATAGAAGGAGATTATTTCTGCTCCCATAGTAGCAAAAAGTAGTTTACATCCTTCTAATGGCAAAAAGGGATTAACTTGCTAGTACGGTGTGAAGGAATAATATGGTTCCAAGTATGTATGGTTCCTTTAACCTAGTCAATACACATTGCCAGATATTTCAATTAATGTGTACCAAGGTCACAAAATCAATTTCTTATCAGCCAAAAACACTCATACAGTAAATTTTATTCTCAAACCATAATCTCTAAATTAAATCTGTGTACCTAAAAAATACAGTGCAGTCAGTCAGTCACTGGGTTTTCTCCCTGATAGCATTTTCACAAATGGCACAAGACTTTGTATGCTATATTTAGACTACAATGTTTGGTTAGATTCTAATCTTCCTAGAGAAAGTCATTATCTCCTTTCATGGCAAATAAAGGACCAAAGTGTTAATTTCCTCCTTAAAATAAGTACAAAGTTTGAACAGTTAACATTCTGTCTTTCGGCAACTTATTTGGGAACTTTTAAACAATTATAAAGAGAATCTATGAAACTGTACACTAATCCGGATTTCTTGGTAATATAAATTATGTATCTGAATGTAAGATTGCAGAAAAATCATGTTAATATGGAAAACAGCATTACCTTGCAATAAATCCCATGCAAAAGGACTTTTCAGGAATTGAGCTTGTCTGACCAATAACACTCAACATAATCACATTTTTAATGAAAACTCTTTGACTTGAACATAAAATATTGTCTATTAGATTCAAGTGTTAGAGTTTGTTCCCTATAGTCCAACAGCCATGAAAACTTTTTTTTCCTCCTAATACTCTCATTCTTATCCTACTCACAACTACACACAAAAGGTTAATAATTTAAGGTTGGTGCTTTTCATCTATGCTCAATGGCAATGGACCAAATAGTTAAGGATAAAAGAATATTTCAATAATCTTGCCTCAGTGTTTTAATATGCAGAAAAATCACAATTTTTATGCCAGACAAATTTGATTTGTTCCATTTTTTATCAATCCAAATGATTGATACTTTTATACAAAAGCTATATAATATATACTGTACAGTGGTGTTCTGTCATACAGCTGACTAACAAACTATACAAATCTATGTAACTTCAGACCAATTGATGTTTGATGGTTGATACAACAGAGGATATTAAATTATATCTTGGGCAGAAAGGAAGTAGAAAATTATCCTGGATAATACATTTAGAATTTCTTAAGTTATTTTTTTCTACATTCTCCTAAACATGTAAATTTTAGTTGATTGTAACACTGCTTAACAGTAGAAAAATAATATTTTCTAGAAGAAAGTAACACTTAAGGAGGGTTAAAATACGTTTTTTTAATTTAAACCAAGCATTTTTTGAGGATGTACACAATATTTTATTTATAATCTTTATATATTGGCAATACAAAAGTTCTCATAAAATGACTTAAAGTTGTAGAGAGAAGGAATACTTTATTTCTTCCCAGTTGGTTTATGTGATCATGCATTCCATTTTAATCAAATTTAGGGCATGATAATAAACAAAATAAATTTTGTAAAATGTGAAATTGTAACAGCATAAAGTCTTTCACCTTTACACCTAAAATAAAAAATGATTAAACCTATAAAACCTCATCTTAAATAGTTTACTGAAGAATAAATTTAGCTCTACATAAAGTTGTGTTTATGAAGTTTGGTTCATTGGAAGTGAATGATAAATGTGAGACAAGCATTATGAATAACACATGGAGTAAAAGGAGTAAAATCATTTTTGTAATTAAAAAGAACTTAAAGTACTAATATGACTCTAAGCAAAAATTCCATTTTTTTTTTTTTTGAGATGGAGTCTCGCTCTCTCACCCAGGCTGGAGTGCAGTGGCAGGATCTCGGCTCACTGAAAGCTCCACCTCCTGGGCTCATGCCATTCTTCTGTCTCAGCCTCCCAAGTAGCTGGGACTACAGGTGCCCACCACCATGCTCGGCTAATTTTTTTTGTATTTTTTTTAGTAGAGACGGGGTTTCACTGTGTTAGCTAGGATGGTCTCGATTTCCTGACCTCGTGATCCGTCCGCCTTGGCCTCCCAAAGTGCTGGGATTACAGGCATGAGACACCGCACCCGGCCAAAAATTTCATTTTTCTAAGTGCCAGTGATTTTACACTTCCCAGAATTTTTGTGAAAAAATCAAAATCATATTTGATACATAAGATCCAAAAGAAAGTAGCAAAGCGATTCTTGGGACTCTGAAGGCTGCCTCAAAAACAGACCATTACAAGGCATTAGTGCCAATATTTCAGCTAACTCTGTCTTAGGAAATGTTACTTCCTTATTCCTGAAAATGTTCACAAAAGCAATAAATAAGTCAATGAAAATTCAGACTTGCATAGTTCATCCCTTAAAATGAAGTAGGAAAACAAAGATATTACAGAGCAAACCAATGTAAAGTTTATGATACTGAGTTTAATCATTTATGCAAATTTTTCATTTGGCTATGATGGATGCTCTGTATTTACAGCAAAATATTTGAGATGGGATTACATCTGAAGTAATCCCATTTCAGCCTTATACAACATATAACATTCAATCAGATCTAAGTGCTTGATTCTTGCAAGCAGAAATACCATTCACGGTCTTTCAATAAATTCAGCATAGGTAAAGAACAATAAAATGGGGCATCAACAAACCAGAATTGTCGCATTTTGCAGACTGAATTTTTGTAGTTTCCAAGGTTACAATAAAAAATAAGAACTAGCCATTCTCCTCAAAAGGGTAGTCATTGCTGGGATTTCCCAGTCACTAATGAAAAGCAGGCAGAGTCCATCGTCAGTTTAAAAATAAAATGAAATTATTTTTTCATTACTAGGATTAATTACTTTAGAGAGCATGATTAAAAACAAACAATTATTACTGACAGATAAAATTTTTTTAAAGCCTTGCAAAGAAAGTGGCATGTGAATCTGGTCTTGGACAGTAACCAGGTTTATAATAGTCCCAGTATTGAAAGGGTCTAATTTGTCCTCTGAGCACACATATATTTGATCATCCTGCCTCATTAGTTGAGCCTGGTGCAAAATTATTTTGATACCTGGCAATATATATTACCCTCAGAATGAATAAATGTAGCTTTTGGATTTACTTCCTAGCTGAGACTACTGCCTGTCTGATCAATTCTACTTTTACCATTCCTGAACATAAACACTCGTTAAGCAAAGATCTTTTGGAATTGCAACACAAAGATCAGTTTCACTATATACCATTTTGTTTTAGTTGTTAGTTACGTGGTAATTATAAAATCACATGAATTACAACCCTCCTGTCCCTTAAATGGATTTGTGCACCATCTTATTCAAAGGAGTACTCTCAATCACACATCACAGTGACTAAACCTTCCCAATAGGAGAGCAAATATAAAAATCATGGATGTAACAGCCTTCTACTTACGTTTAATGGTTCAAGTGACCCCGGTATAGCACTTCTCTCACTGATCATATGACATTTAATGTCTTACTTTTCAGCACTGTAATGCAGGAGGGGTCTCAGAAAATTGATCCAGAAATTCCTTCTGAGGGAGGAAACCACCAGAGAAAATATGGAAAAAACGCTTCCTTTATGTGCCAACTTCTACTGATTTGTAGCACCAGCCTGGTAATATTGGCAGAAGAACTTTCAAGTCACATCCTGGCTCATCAGGAAAGAGTATCATGGTGTGCCAGGTCATAAGTGGAGACGAGATGAGTACAAAGAGTAGATAAAGCATCTCCTGCATTGGTCATGCCAGCTCCAGAGATCAGAGTTTAACACAACTGTGTAATAAAGTGGAAAGGGCACTGAGCTTACAGGCAAGAGATCAAAATCCATCTGTTTCATTTTCATCTTTCAAATTGAGTCCAAAATCAAGGCTATTTGCCCAAGAATTAGTTGAACTGGAAAATGACTACAGTTCAAATACATGTATTACAATAGTAGAATCAAATAACTTTAAATCTTGTAGGGACATCAATAAAGATATTAGTCCAATCTGCTCATTTTAGGGAAACTAAGGCTTGGATGCTCTTTGTGACTTACGATGGGAATCTTAGTAGGACAGGGATAAAATATACATAACAAATTTGAAGACTTTAGCAAAGAAACACTAAAATTTATTATTAGAGAATCTAGTCACTGGAGCATAGGATACCAGGGGGATTTCAATTTGTAACGATGGGTTTTGGTTGTTGGAGCATAAGATATAAAATAGGAGTCCAATAATTAAAACGTGGAGGATAATAGATTAATCTAGAAATTATTTTATTATTAATATGATATACCACAAGATTTCTAATAAATTTCCCTTTACTTTAGACTAGAATTTGTCTCAGGAAAAAGATAAAGTAGTGGTTAAATGAAAGTAGATGGATGTAGAAATGGGAACTGAAGGGATTGACAGAAACTTTCTTGCAGTGGTCACTTGCCTTTCTGGCTGCATGGCATCTATTCATCCTCCTGATAACAGTCACCCAAATGTCCTTTTGAAAAGTACTTTCTCTCTTCTCACGATTTGAGTAGGTTTTTAGCCTAGGCTCTAGATATGGAGCTGCCTGATGTTAAGTCAGCTAATATATTCCATTACTACTTAAGGACATAAAGATTATAAAAAACTTAAATGTATAAATAAAAGTGACAGGTTGTGAAGTAAACTATACTCTTCTTTCATAGCAGGATATCAATGGATATTCCTTAAACATAAACTGAGAAGTGAAGGCACAGGCACATTCCATAGAAGATAAGTGGTCTTCTGTGGTTTCTTTTAATTGAAGGCTCATGACTTTCTTAAGCTTTGGGAAATTAATTTATGTCTTTTATTTTATCCTCTGCTAAATTTTGCCTGAATCCTTCTTCAGTAAGACTTCTATTAGATGAATATTAGGCCTTCCATGGTTGATCCTCTGTTTCTCAGTTTTGTTCTCTTATTTTCCATTTTGCTCTCTTATATTCCATCTTCGCTTTTTAGCTCTACAATTTGGGATGATTATTTCTCAGCCCATTGTTGTACATTATCTCATCAATTATCAGAAGATAAATATATTTTATAGCAGGTGAAAAAATACTTTAGGTTTGTTTCACAGGAAAAATCAAATTAGCCAATGAATTCAGGAAATCATTTGGGGTAAACACACAACACAGGGAAGAGATGATTACACTATTGCAACAACAAAAGTTACAAGTGAGTCACAAAATGAGTTTGAGTTCAATCAAATGAAGCAGAGGTTCTGCAACAATGATTAGCAGGTATGGACTCCATTACTGCATTAATGACATTTCAATGTAAAAATCACAGACAAACCATGCAGTTAGCGTGAGAAAACACATTGATGATCACCTTGTTTAACCTTTGAGATAAAGCACAGGAGGAATATAAAAAAAGGTCTGGACCTAGATTAAAAAAAAAGATTAAAAGAAGTCAAATCGGGATATAAAAAGGGGAATGGTACTGAGGTGATACACTCAAGAATATCTTGACTAATGCTGTCCTGGTGTATCTTCCACAGATACATAAATAAATTGAATATTTGCAGCTTCCCTATTCTATCCCGCAACCACCCTTGCAAGACAGAAAACCCAGGAATGGGAAACTTTAACCTCAATCTTATGGTGGTTTTTAGGCACTGGCTTGCATTACTGACAATTTTAGCAGCTTTGTATCTTGATACCTCTTCCTACGAAAGGAGAAGAATTAGAGAAAGAGTGTGGAAGAGGTTGAGCCATGCAAAATTTTGAGGTTATATCAAAGTAATAAGTTTTTTTTTGTTGTGTGATAGTTCTTTTGTACATAGAAGCCTCTTCTAAATTTTTGTAATTGTTTGGATGCAAAATTTTCCAGAATGTCTTTGAGCATATAAATCAGAGTGTTTTCTTCAACCTAAAAGTATGGCTTCTCTGGCAAATTTTTCTATTTATTCATCTAGGTGTTTATATTGTTCACTTTTCCTCAATGACTGGACTATCTTTAAATGACTCTCATATTTATAATTTAAAAAAAAATGTGATTATCACAGGTAACTTGCTCCAGATTTTGCCAGCTAGCCATTACCATCTCTGAAGTAAAAGAGATTTCAGAGTTTTCTGTAAACGCAGGTGGGTACAGTAATTTTGAGACATTATTCTAGGTAACATCAGTAAGGAGAAGACAGAAAGGTGGCATCAATTTTCAGTCTCAAGAGTTGCTTCCAGGCAGATGACCAAGTTTTCTTTGAGAGTATTTTCTTGACTTTATCTGGAGACAAACAACGAGGAATAGAATGTCCAATCTGTGTAGCCTTTGGAAAACAATGCCTCAAACAATCACCTAGATTTCTCTCCACTTCTGGGAAGAGGACAGGATCCCACCACCACAGGGGAAAGCCAGACTCTTTGCTGCAGGGTTCTTTATGTGCATTGAACTGCCCCCTTTTGTGGCATTTGACGCTGCTTTGAGAATTTCACTCTAATCTGTGGTCTTCTCATGGCCTCCCTCTGATTTCATTGCTTTTTTTTTTTTTTCAATTCACTTATCTTGATGGAGATTGATGAACAGGAGTTAAACTCTTGTACTTGACCTACGCATTTTATCAAGATATTAAAACTTCCACTGATTCTTTTTTTTTTTTTTTTTTTTTTTTTTGAGACAGAGTCTTGCTCTGTTGCCAGGCTGGAGTGCAGTGGCACGATCTCGGCTCACTGCAACCTCTGCCTCCTGGGCTCAAGCGATTCTCCTGCCTCAGTCTCCCGAGTAGCTTGGACTACAGGCATGTGCCACCATGTCCAGCTAATTTTTGTATTTTTAGTAGAGACGGGGTTTCACCATGTTTGCCAGGATGGTCGCTATCTCGACATGGTGACCCACCTGCCTCGGCTTAGCAAAGTGCTGGGATTACAGGCGTCAGCCACCGCACCCAGCCAGTTTCTTAAAATATCTTCATATATATATATGATTGTTTTGATAATGTAGCAGGGAAAAGGCAGATGGGTGTAGGGTAGAACCAAAATAATTCATTTTATCTCAATGAGATTCACTTTCTTTATTTGCAAACCTACACCACAGAGTAGTTTGAGGGTTATATGAGGCAATTGTTGGTATATACTTTCTCTGGCAAATTACTTAATCTATAAATTGGGGATAACACCAGCCCTTACTTCAGAGAACTATTGTGAGAATTAAATTTAAAAATTCATGTGAAGTGCTTAGAATAGTGTCTAGCTCACAGAAGTCACTAAAATCAACATCAATATATAATTTTTTTATTAAGCTGCAAACCTGAAACTTACTTAATAATTAAAGAGAGTAAATAAGGAAGAAGAGAAATAATGGGAACACAGATAAGTACAAGACTGGATAATTTACTTTTAAAATAACCAGGAGTTTACTAAGAAGTGTGCTGATGCCCTAAAAATTGGGACTATAGACAACTGACATTTCCAGAATAACAGAAATGTCATCAATTTTGCAAAATAAGGTTTGCAACCTTAAAATATTGACAAAAGAGTAGAACTATAATAAACAAAGCGCAAAATTTGGACTCAGTGATTTTGGGGGAAGTATTGGAAGTGCTATCTCTGCTATTTCTTTAGTCACCTTTCTACCAGAATTTTCATGGAAAAGCAGCAGGAATTAAAATGTATTATAATCCACATTTAGAATACAATTTTTTACAAACAATTAGCCCGGCGTCGTGGCAGGCGCCTGTAGTCCTAGCTACTCGGGAGGCTGAGGCGGGAGAATGGCGTGAACCCAGGAGGCGGAGCTGGCAGTAAGCTGAGATCGCACCACTGCACTCTAGCTTGGGCGACAGAGCGAGACTCCGTCTTAAATAAATAAATAAATAAATAGAATACAATTTTTATTTAGTTTTACATTCCTAGCAGCTTCAAAATATATGGCAGAACAGGAAATGTATGATGGTACAGTCACCGTGTTCACTTTGCATACAAAATGAACACAAGCTCTAGGAAAACCATATTCAATTTTTATTGTCATTGATCCCTTATCACTAATGCATATTATATGATACACATCTATAGTTATATCTATCTATCTATCTATCTATCTATCTATCTATCTATCTATCTATCTATCTACCTACCTACCTACCTATCAACTTTATAAACTGATGGTAGAGCCTGAAGTATAAACAGAAAATGGTATTCTTAATTTGGGAAAAAAATCAACATTGAAATAATGTCAACCCAGAAGGCATTTTTTTGTGCATAAGTAGAAAATACATTGTGCAAAGTCTTCTTTAAGATTGATTTGGTATAAAATTTTGCATAACATTTTTATTCTTAAAATTAGAACCCAGAAGCTGTGTGTTCATTTTTATTATTTCAGTTTCATTCTTCATCCTATTAGTTACTGGATATTACTTTTCTGGTTCTAAATATTCAATGAATCCATCTAGATAATACTGATTAAAAATAAATGAGGCTTCTACTTGAACAAAAATTTTAATTAGGTTTCATTATCGGTTACTTGGGAAAATCCAAAATCATATGTTCATATTAAACCCTACTTTAAGATTTCAAGAAATTTCTTAGTTGTACCTGATTAATTCTTGGTAATTATCCTGTTAGATAAACATGAAACAAGATGATTTGGAAAAATGATTCCTAAAACTTAGTCTGTAAAGCTGACCTTAATGAACCAGGTCAGCGAAGTCTTTGGTTTTAAAACTGTGGAACTAGTCAGCAAAACTCAAATCACACAGGCCCCTTTCCTTCTCTTTTCAAAGTAAATATTAACCTAAAGAAAGTTTTTACAATGGTTTATTGATTTATTTTCCTCTTTCTATATACTGATGGAATGTGTAATATTGTTGAGTGGATACTTTTGAGGAAGTTCCACCTAATTATTGTGGTAGCTATCTCTACTGCAGAACCTTTCTTGTGAAGAGAGAAAAGAGGTCATATTTCTAGTACAAAGAAAAGAATTTCTGAAATTGGCAAGATATTTTATTTATTTGAATGAAGTTTACAGAAATCATGATCCTGGAAGGTAAACCCTGGGTTAATTTAGACTATAATCTCTTAAAGAGGTTACATTTCCCATTTAATACAGAAACCCTAAAGAAATATAAACCTCTCTTTAAACAAATTTGATACATGACTCTCCAGTAGCACATCTGAGTTTATACTTTTTCAAGTTTGCTGTAGTATTCATTTAAGAAGCTCCTCTGAGATACGTAAAAATTCCCTAAGATTTTTAGTAACATATCTTGTACATGAAGCAAAACATACATATAATATTCGTGAGATATATACTTGTAATTTTTGAAATAATCCTTAAATATTATCTGAAAATCAGGAGCCACCTCCTTTTGAGGATTGTAATTTAAAAAACAAGAAAGAGAGAACGAAGGAAAAGAAGCAAGGAAGGGAAGGAGGAAGGAAGACAGAAGGAAGGAAGGAAGGGAGAGGGGGGGGAGGGAGGGAGGAAGGAAGGAAGGAAGGGAGGAAGGGAGAGAGGGAGGGAGGGAGGGAGGGAGGAAGGAAGGTATGAATGAATTATGAATGCTGGTCCGGGTACTACTCAACTCAATTGACTACTCCTAAATTTCAATACTTAAAAATAAAAGGACAAGAAAAGTTTCAGATGAACTACCAGAGGCTGATAATGTCTGATGAAAACTGAAAACAAATATTTTTAAAATGCTTAAGACAAAAAAGAAAGAAAGAAAGAAAGAAAGAAAAACAAAATATTTAGAAGCTACTATGAAAAATAGCTTCTCCAGAGGGACCTGAAGCAGTTAGTTTTGATAAACTCTATATTCTGGGTATGTGCTCTCACATAAGATACATATTTATACAATTTTAAGGCAATTTGTGAACTTCAACTTTGCTTATTTGTATAACACACTATCTCAGTGAATAAATAGACTAACTTTGGTGAGCAGACTATTTAATCCACTAGGATATGATAAAAATAAGCTGACAGACCATCTTTTTAGGTAAGCAAATTATACTGTTGTTATGCTAATTGCTTAGGGGTACCATTTTGTGAAAATGTCTAGTATGAAGGGGATACGATAAATATTGTAATTGCTAAAATAAGTAAATGATTTTGCCTTTTTCTCATTTTTTCAAGGTAGTTATGGTATTTTATCATAGAGGAAAAAGCTTGGTCTCTTCTTCAAAATGCACTGATATCTTTTAATTATTGTTTTTCTGCTTTGTGATGGTTATTTAAAAAAATGTTTGCATTAATAATTGCATTATGAATATATTTTCTAAATAAGCTGGTTTACCTCTAGGATTTGTTTCAGTAACATATTAGATTTATCTTTGTTACTTTAGGGTTAGAGACATTAGCAATTTCCTTTGGAAGTGGAATTCTGAAGAATTCCACTTAACGTTAATTCCGCTTATAATGTTTATAAGATAAATGCATGAAAATTATTCATTTATATTTCAACAAATAATGGAACATATACATCCAAATGAGAAGTAACAACTTGAAAGTCAATGCATTTATTACAGTCAGCTTGCTATTGCTCAAAACATCTCAAAAGTTTTCAAATTGTCTACTCCATGCTACTCATGAAAAAATGTCCCCCATATATTAGTTTATAACCATACAACGTTTTGAAAAATCATTTTGGCCATTAATTATTCCCTTTACTCATAGGCTGAAACCTAGAAGTTGAACATGTATGATATTTTTAAAGGAGTTACAAGAATTTCATGCCAGATATATATCAGAGGGCATATTTGTTGAGAAGGCAATGGGAATTAAGTCAGAATGTTAAGGGCCTAGACTTTATTCTGTTGACAAAGAAGAGCCATTGGCAGGTATTAAGTAGCCGAGTTACATGATAAATTATGTCTATTAGGAAATGACTCTGTTAGGTAGAATAAACTGAATTAGGAAGGGTCAACCAACCAAACAAGTGGTAGAGCTAATACTTGAATCCAAGTCGGTTTGATTCCACAGCCTGTACTCTTAATCAATATGCTTGACTATAAGGCCTCTGTTAATTAATTTTCTGGACTCAGAGGAGAGTAGATATTAGCTATTCTAATGTTGATGTGATTATGATAATGACGATCAAAGTGCTTAATAAACATCTGTTGAAATTAAAAAATGATTAAATTAAATAAATTCACTACGATTAAAGCTTATTTTGTAGGACCATGCAAAACAAATTATAAATTACTTGTTCAAAACTTGCTCTTTTAATATGTTTAGTGAGGTTGGGTTATTACTATAACATTTCTTTGGTACCTCTGAGAGAGACAAATTTTATGATAATGGCGATATTGAGGACAGAAAAAAGAAAACAAATTCGATTCCTCAAGAAATAGGCATCCTCTGTAGCTAATCTCCTGTCCAGTCATTTCATCTTGACATAATACCAATCTTAGAGAAAGATAGGAAAGGTGAGGAATCTCTTTAGAGACGAAAATGTCAACAAGAATCTTAAAACTCAAAATATAACCTAGACTATTCAGCAGTTGGGAATACAGTGTTTTAATTCTAAAGAGCATATTAACTATCCTGACTAAAAAAAGGTTAAAAACCTGTCAGTGAATTAATAAAAGGTGAAAAAGATGAAAACCACTGTTTGAACAGTTTTAAGAAGACACTACAAATCTCAGATAATAAACATCAAAACAAGTGTATATGGAGTTTTTTTTTTTAAACAGAAAGGGAATTTAAGTTTAACATGAACCTAAGAAAGAAACAAATTCCCATTACAAATTATGTTCTGTGTGAAAAGAAACTGCAGGCCAAAAGGTCTTAAAGAATTTTTTTTTTCCAATGGAAAATATTTTCTGTTTATTAGCTAGTTATTGACTTAGGCAGCAGGGGGAAAACAACTGCATTAGATAATGGAAGATGCGTTTTTAAAAGAAATCATTAGAAACGTGATTATAAGCTGGTTGGCTGCTAAAGGTCCAAAATGTGAAAATTTTTTTATGTTACTTATGCTAAGCATGGCAATTGAAAAGTATCTAAATAACAAAAAGGTAATGCTGGTTATGAAGTACTATGGTACAATTTGTAATGATTAGTGGAAAAGCACATTAATTTGTGAGATGCAGTATTTTGAAGGTCACTCAACTTTACACTTGCTACAATGCCATTCAATTAAATACACAATACATTTCTAAGATTATTTATGAAAAGAATTTTGTAATTCTTGTAAAATAGTATATTACAAATTCTGGCTGTTTATACAAGCAGAAGCGCCTGATTTAATGCACCATTAAGTGAACTGTAGCTTTGCTGTACATTTTTTAAATATTCAACCTAATTATGATGAAGTTTGGTCTTACTAAACACGGCATATTTAATCTTTTTAAAGAGCCTATATAATTCAATCACAAGATACAACTTGTTTTTGTTGTAAGCAAACACATGCAATATTAACAATATACAATATCCTGGCTTAATTAGAAAAAGTTCATGTTATCCTGAATACATTTAGGTGCATAACACCCCACAGCTATAATTTTAACTTGCTATTTAATTATATTTTAAAACTAATTTGTATGACCTAGTACTTTTCTCTCTCTCTCTCTCTCTTCTACACAGGACGTTGGTCTATGGATCCAGTTAAAACTAGATTTTACTGAAAATGAATTTAAAAAGATTGAGTGTGTTGGGGGAGTGGAAGATTGGGGTAGAGGTGACAACTACAGACACGAAATTACGTAAATTTGATTATCAGATGGTGTTCTGCTGATCAAATCAATGGGCTAAACTGCACCCTACAAGGATGCTTTGTGGCATTCTGTCTCTGGACAGTAGCATGAAGTTCTATGATTATAATCTACTTTTTCAAAAGATGACGTCTTTTCAAAATTCTCTCTTTCTCTTGTCATTTCCTATGCCCAGGGTATGCATGAGAAAACCATGAATCTCTTAATATCATCTCCAAATATAGGCGGTCAAGTACCTGTATATGTGGTATCATATACCATATAGGTATAAAAATACTTATATACTTGGTATCATGTAAAGAGGGTATATGAAGGCGATACATAGCAGTATACATTTCGTGAACTCTTTTGTTCCCAAAGCTGTTGACTATGCCCTCTACACCTGGATCTCCAGCATGAGCTAAAAGGAAATCTTTAATATTTGCACCAAAAAATAAGATATGCATGAAGTCTTTTAAAATCAGTAACAAGTATAAATTTTGACATGGTAAGTCAAACTTACTGTTTAGCTACTTACGCGTTTTTTAAATAGTATGAAATTAAACAGTATAACACAAAACAAGTTAGTTTCTGGAGGACAGAAAAGCAGTCCCATCAGAATTTAATCTTACAGTATAATCCAAAAGAAGTAACAAAGCTTGTTTACCTTCACAAATTGTGACACCATTTCCTGAAAATCCCATGTTGCAATAGCAGGCTTCAATTCCATTGCGTATTTCACATTTTGCATTTGGGAGACAAGGTGTCTTGGTGCAATTTTGAGTATAGGAACAATTCAACAAAGTGGAAAAAACCACTAAATAAAATAGAGAAATACACCTTTTCAAAAAGTAAAACAAACATCTCTCCCCATTGTTGAATTAGAGTATAATAAACATAAATTATCCTCTCTTTCTATTTAGATAAATGGATTATAAATTTTTCCCAAGAGAGCACTTAGCTAAGTAACAGCACAAAAGCAAGTAAGTAAAACTTACTTTTAAGATGAAGGCTTTTTTTGTTCCAATTTCAACCTTTATCAAGTAAATCTCAATGAAACTAAAATGTAATAAACAACTCAGCTTTATAATAAAAACTGTGTTCCCAGATCAGTATAGCATGTTGATTAAGTGTTACCCTTCATTCTGAGGTGAGATACTTTGAAAGGGAACTGCCTGATTGTAAAGCAATTTCCCTCCTCTGGGAGTAATCCTGTGTAGAAATGAAGGTAAATTGAGTATTCAGGTTTTTGCAAATTCAAATCTGTGTTATTTTAAGATGACATCTTATCTAGGAGAACAGATGCACTTGCTGTTTTTTTCTGTGTTCTAATGATTGTTTTCAATTTCAATTGTTTTCAATTTCAATTTCAATTGTTTTCAATTCAATTATTCATAATAAAATTTATTTCACTGTTTTTATTTTCCATTAGGGGAAATTTAAAAACAAAACAAAAACAAAAAAAGAAACTCAAGATTATAGTCAAAGATTGATCTTCCAGAAATGGAACAGCACACAAATGTGAACAAAAAAAAATGAAACAAAACAAGGAACAAGACTATACATCAGAGTTATTGAAATACATTTGGAAATTATATGTTGTGGACTGATAGGAAAAAATAAGGAAAAGTAAAGTCGGTTCCTTTTTTATTGTTTTACCAGGCCTACTCAAGAGTCTTGAGGACCAACAGCTATGAAGCATGAGGTCATTGTTCTGAAAACAGTCATCTAACATTAGTTGTCCTTATCAGGTACCAAGAGATTCTTAAGTATTCTGTTCTAAATCCCAGTGGCAAATAACTATGTATACTGACTAAGCCGGAATTAGTTCACCCTCGGAGATGTCATTTACTATCTTTCTGCACAGTATGTTCAAAATGAAGCTCAAATCTGGCCCGGCAATCCCCTTAAAATGCCAGGAAACCTCTCATGGGTGTTAATGGTCTGGATTTCCCAAATTTCTTCGG
Organism: Homo sapiens; assembly: GCF_000001405.40. NCBI lineage: Eukaryota > Metazoa > Chordata > Mammalia > Primates > Hominidae > Homo > Homo sapiens. Next base: position 79,006,370 of record NC_000001.11, read on the forward strand.
GGCAGAACAGAAGAAAGGTGAAAGGGGATGCTGGACACTTCCTCAAGAGGAATAAAAAGGTAACATTCCCTGGACCTTGGAATATTCAACTTTAGAGTTGAAAGGTCAAGGAGAAAAACATCCTGAGAAGTACTAAATCAATTCTCCTCGGAGATTTTGCCAAATACACTTGCCATGTGAGCTCCACCTCTTAAAAAATCCAGTCCCCTACAAGGGATTGGTCCCTCCGACGACCTCGGCGACCAGGGGCGCTGAGCACTCACCTAGGAGCGGGAGGCGTTTCATTGGCGGTGGCCGCAGTGGTGGCGGTGGCGGAGAGCGCGGCGGAGTGAGTGCGGCTGTGGACCCGGGACCGGGCGCCGCTGGGCGGGCGCGGCAGGGTCCCGGATCCGTCCTCCGTGACGCGCCGGCTTCCTCCGGACACTTTCCGGCCTCTTTTGTGTGAGTGTGTGAGTCAAGCCCTGAATCCGCTGGCCACGTCCGGCCTCCATCCCCTTTCCCCACGCCTCCTGGGCTCCATTCCCTGCCTAGTGACCACTGACCCTGAGCAATGTTACAGCCCCACTGAGGAATCAGTTTATCCCCAGGCGCAGCTCCCAGAGTGACACCCTAAAAGTGAGTACTTAAAAAGCAAAGGTCTCTGAGATCCACGGAGAGCCCCTCCAGAGGGAGCATCCAAAACTCAGTAGGTTTCAGGGGTTCTCTCTGACACCTAAATTTCAAGACATAGCCTTTTTTTTAATATACTCGCCAATAAATTTTCCTAAAGAACAATGGGTCAAGAAGTAGTCAGGAGACCTGAATCCATGCAAAGGGGCATGCCAGTGCTCAGGCCCCACCTTGCTGGGACTCAGGGTTGCATCGTGTAAAATAAGGATATAGTCTATTGTGTCTAGGTTAGATTGTGTTTTCCATTATCAACTCAATTTCAGGTAAAATTCACCTGTAGCCCTTCCTTACATCTGCAGAAAAATTGGTGCATCATATCCTTTGCATGTTAATATACAAGTCGATTACGTAGAAAGAGATCGTCCACATTGGAACATGGAAACAATTCTAGCTTAAAAAATTAAAAATAACTGGCAGACAAAACTAATGTATCATGACAGAAAATAGATCAATGGTTGCCCAGGGTTGGGATGCAGAAGAGGGACTGACTGCAGAAAGGCACAAGGAGAAATTGAGGTGATGATAATATTCTATATTTTGATTGAGGTGATGGTTGCATGAGTGCATGCATTTGTCATAACTTATCCAACTGTATTCTTAAAACTGGTGCATTTTATTGTATATAAGTTAGATGAATTGTATTATATGTAAGTTTAAATAAAGTTGATTTAAAGAAAGGAAATGACTAATATTTTTGCCATCAACACAAGCCATTTTACCTTTCAATAGTCAGATCACCTTTGTCACATACCATTTCTATTCTGTTTAAAAAGTGACTAGTGCAAATTTACTTTATATAAAGAGCAGCCTCAGAAAGATGAACAGCCACAGCCCCCGGACTCCAGGGGGATTATGAACTACTGGGAAAACAACTAAAACTAGTCACAATCACACACCACAAAGTGACTTATATATTAACAGCAGTCACAAGTGCTTATGTATTGACACGTTTATCTGGCTCTCCATAGCATTTTCCCAGACTCCTTCTAGGTGAATGTGGGCAAAAGTTCCTGAGAGTGGCACCATAATAGGTGAGGCAAATGAGGAACAAAGGTGTTGCGTGACTTGCTCAGAGTCCACAGCAGCTCTTAGACAGCTGGTCTAAGTGACTGGCCTTGATTGGAACCCGGACTATAAACTCACAGTCCATGTTCTCTATATTGGACTTTTTTTGAGACGCTTTTTTTGAGTGGCTTTTTTTGAGACGGAATCTCACTCTGTTGCCAGGCTGGAGTGCAGTGGCACAATCTCTGTTCACTGCAACCTCCGCCTCCCAGGTTCAAGCGATTCTCCTGCCTCAGCCTCCCGAGTAGCTGGGACTACAGGCACATGTACCATAGCCAGCTAATTTTTGTATTTTTAGTAGAAACGGGGTTTCACCATGTTGTCCAGGATGGTCTCGATCTCTTGACCTCATGATCCGCCCACCTTGGTCCCCCAAAGTGGTGGGCTTACAGGCTTGAGCCACCGCTCCTGGCCACAAATGGGCATTTTTGACGAATTTCATTATGCACTATTCTAGAAACTCTTAATTTATCCAATCAATCAGCACATTTTCAAATTCCATATCTATCACACTCGGGCACTGAATGAAGTGTCATGGAGCAAAACAAAACAAAACAAAACAAAAAGCCAAAAAACAAAACTTTATTCCTGACCTTCGAGTTCTAGGAGATTAAGAACCATTAACAGACATCACACTCAGGAGGCTGTTGCAAGAATGAGGAGTCATCAGATATTGTTATTCGGGGAGTTTGAAAAAGTGATTTAAAAGTCCTAAATGCCATAAAAAAGAAGTTCTAGACTTTGTTGATAACTTTTTTTCTAAAGATTTTTGTTTTTGTTTTTGTTTTAAACTAAAAAGCAATTCAGTGAATCACTGGCAAGAACGCAAATGATGGATTTTAAGGGCATACCAAAGGCAAGGAAGCAAAAATAAACTATGAAGAGTTTAGGAAATAGATTATGAATGCCTGAACAAGGGTAGGCATATTCGTGATGGAGAGATAGGGACAGATTGCAGAAAGCATTAGATAAAGACAAATTGATGTCTGCTTGACTTAGTAAAATTGAGATATAAGGCTGAAACAAAGAGAATGTGGAGGTTTTCCAGTTGTATGAATGGGAGAAGGTGGGAACCATTCACAAAGATACAAAAGATAGGATGAGGAGTAATTCTGAAAGAAAAAATGAATAAGCCCAGTTTGGTAATACAAAATTGGAAGTATGTCAATGATCTGAATTTATTCATGTGAAACCAGTTTCTCCAGTTATAAGAAGTTGAGCTTCAATGTACATACATAGAAACAAACTTTAGAAGGCATAAATATAGAAACACATTATTTTCTGAGATGAGCTATAAACTGAAACACAGCACTTATTTTTAAAATAATTTACTCCTTATATCTGCCACACTTGCTTCATCTTTAATTTTATCCTAAAGATAATAAAATACAGCCCAATCTTTAAAAATATCACTTTTTCCTAGACATTGCTTTAAAATTAGCAAAAGTGAATTAATACTTAAATCTAAAAAAAAAGTTTTCCATTTTTTTCTTTTACATGTGTGTTTTTATTAAAAGGCAAAAGTGTATTCATTGTTCTCATCAAGAAAATGATAGTATATAGGGGAGCATAAGGTGTTTAATGATGCTTATAGGTTTTTTTTTTGTTGTTTTTGAGACGCTCTGTCGCCCAGGCTGGAGGGCAGTGGTGTGACCTCGGCTCACCGCAAGCTCCACCCCCTGGGTTCTCGCCATTCTCCTGCCTAAGCCTCCCAAGTAGCTGGGACTGCAGGCGCCCGCCACCATGACCAGCTAATTTTTTTGTATTTTTAGTAGAGACGGGGTTTCACAGTGTTAGCTAGGATGGTCTCGATCTCCTGACCTCGTGATCCACCCACCTCGGCCTCCCAAAGTGCTGGGATTACAGGCGTCTGCCACTGCGCCCTGCCGACACTTATAGTTTTAATATTGCTCTTTGTAAAAATAAAATCATTTAAAAATGTATTGCTTGAAGAAGTCCGTATTTGTAAAGGAAAACACAGATGATCAATGTATAATTTTGGATTCATTGTCTTGTATTACTTACAAAAAAACATTTAGAAGTTTTGGTCGGGCACGGTGGCTCACGCCTGTAATCCCAGAGCTTTGGGAGGCTGAGGCGGGCGGATCTTGTACAAGGTCAGGAGATTGAGGCCATCCTGGCTAACACAGTGAAACCCCATCTCTACTAAAAAAAAAAAAAAATACAAAAAAATTAGCCAGGCGTGGTGGCAGGCGCCTGTAGTCCCAGCTACTGGGGAGGCTGAGGCAGGAGAATGGCATGAACCCAGGAGGCAGAGCTTGCAGTGAGCCGAGATGGCGCCACTGCACTCCAGCCTGGGCGACAGAGAGAGACTCCCTCTCAAAACAAACAAAAAAAAAAAACAAGTTTCAATCCAAAAAATGTTTTAATTACCAGAAAGAAAACCATATTTAAAAAAAAATATTCTCAAAGGAATATTGGACTATCAGTCTAAACTTTTATTAACAGTTTTCCCTTGGTTACCACTGCGGCATGTTTAACTTTGAAAGATATACAGAAATCACTTAGAGCTTGATTTTGGTCTATAACATAACGCATGGAAGTTAAGTCACTTTAAGCTACCTACCTGATTGTAGCTTTGATGAAATATACCAGTGTGAACACTCCTCTTGCAATGGTAGATCTTATCAGATCCATGATTAGTTCTATCTTAGGTCTGTCTGTAAGTGCCAAATTAAACAGGATTTCCTTGAAAAGTTCTTGGACAGGTTGGAGTTGGCAATGGAAAGTATTCACTCTGAAGACTTGTGTTTAATTCTAGCTTTTGAGTAGAGTATTTTACCCCGTTGGGGATCAGTTCTGTTAAATGAAAATAACCGTATTTGCCCTGCTAGATGATAGTGAGCTGCTAAGGTCATTACTGTACATGTAAGAATAATCAGACATCTATACCTCTGGACACTAAACACATTTAAATATAGGAAATTAGTGTATAGTTGACAGTAAAGCCCTTCTCCAAAAGTGTATTTATTCTGCTCATGGTGACAGATAGTAGGAACCTAATGCCGTTTCTGGATACTTTCTGAGGCCTCTGTAACATTGTCTAGTTCCTCACCTAGATAGACATCAATAATGTGATTAGATTCCAAGTGTTTGTCACGCTGTAAATATATATCTTAATATTAGTCATTACTTATGGATCATTTGACTTTTTCAACTTATTGAACTTTTGCCACCAATTTGTTAATTTAGGTAATTCTGCATTACTACGTATTTTCTTTATTCCCATAGTACCCTCAATAGGATGACAATTTACCACAGTTTCTCGCCTAAAAATATTGATTTTCTCAAGACTCACTTTTAGTCAAAATCAACATTAACAATGTACCGTTGGCAAAAGTGCTATAGAAAGGTTAAAAAAAAGGAAAATTGAGTTATGTATGAAGTAGGAAAGAGTAATTTGATTAAAACATACACAATGTTGAAATTAAGAAAACTTTTAATAAGGTGGAACAGTAGCCCCAGTGTAGAGGAATGCCCGTGAATGGAGAAGGACTGAGGTTTCCAAAGTGGACTTGTCTGTTAATGGTTCTTAATCTCCTAGAACTCGAAGGTCAGGAACAAAGTTTTGTTTTTTGGCTTTTTGTTTTGTTTTGTTTTGTTTTGCTCCATAACACTTCATTCAGTGCCTGAGTGTGATAGATATGGAATTTGAAAATGTGCTGATTGATTGGATAAATTAAGAGTTTCTAGAATAGTGCATAATGAAATTTGTCAAAAATGCCCATTTGTGGCCAGGAGCGGTGGCTCAAGCCTGTAAGCCCACCACTTTGGGGGACCAAGGTGGGCGGATCATAAGGTCAAGAGATCGAGACCATCCTGGACAACATGGTGAAACCCCGTTTCTACTAAAAATACAAAAATTAGCTGGCTGTGGTACATGTGCCTGTAGTCCCAGCTACTCGGGAGGCTGAGGCAGGAGAATCGCTTGAACCTGGGAGGCGGAGGTTGCAGTGAACAGAGATTGTGCCACTGCACTCCAGCCTGGCAACAGAGTGAGATTCCGTCTCAAAAAAAAATGCACATTTGTATTTTTGGAGACTATCTGGAAATTGTCTGCCTCAGAGGTCTTTTAGATTTTCAGATGTATTTTATATCAATGGGATATAGCAAAGGTCAATATTTTGCATTTAATTTTTTAGAAAGCCAGCAAAACATAGTTATTTTTAAAAGTATTCGTAGTTACAAGACAGTAGGAGAAATGAGTCGTTTCCTTTTTTTTTTGGTCTAGTGTTAAACTTAGGTTTTAACCAATTGTAGAGAGATGCTAGTGTGTAAACCTGGCTAGCTGGAAACTTGTGTCTTTCTAATCTATGCTAAATATGTCTAATGTCGGTCAACAGTTGGTATCAAAAACAAATTATAGTGTTTTAATACACATTTTCACTTATGCGTTTAATCAGTTCATCATCTAATTATGAAACTCAAGTTAGTATCCAAAAGCATTTTAAAAGTTGGATTTCTAAGACTATGAACAGGAACACTTGACTAGGTTTTCTGCTACTAATTTTTTCAGTGGAACGGGGTGCAAAAAGCATCTGGTAATTTTCAGTGTTGACTGGAAGGGAGGAGCCCCAAGTTCCTTCCCAGCCTGGTCATTCAATTGTTTTGTGACCTTCAGAAAAATCACTAAATCTTTCCATTATTCTGCTTAACACATTTACAAATGTCCCTGCTTTATATGTTTTTTTCTCTCCTAGAGTTTCTCTTCATAAAGATTAATAAACTAGTACCCACACCTAGGAACAAATTTTCTTCTGAGGCAGGTATTGATGTGAAGAGGAAAAATAAAAATCACCTGCATTTATGCTAATCGTTTCCATTTTAACTGACTTGTAAATTATTTCATTAATTTATTTTTCTTTGGACATTTCTATGTTATAAAAATATCAAGCTGACCTCATTTTCTAAAAGGCAGCACTCCGAAAACAGAAACCAGGTGCAAATCACCTCTTAATACTGTTCTTTTTAGCTATACTTTCAACACTTTGTAACACTGGTTTATTCATAGTTGATTGCTCTCCTTCATTGAGTTGTCCAAAATAATATCTTGAGAGGTTACAGAATCCCTCAGGATGTACAAGTAATTTAAATTATTTCTTTAGGTTTGTAATACATTGTACTTTACATTACATTTCATCTGCCTTTGTGTTCTTCAATCACTCATTTACTATATCTTTTTACAATTCTCCACGATTGCTCAATTTTTATTTGGAAAATTAAATATTGTAATTATGTACTGAGAGCATATTTCAGTTGCTTGTTATTCACTATCATCTATTGTTATTAACATGCATATTGAAGATACAAGTCTCTGGTTCGGGACTCCAGGGAACATCATTAACTTCCTGTTGCTTTGAGAATTATCTTTTTATTCTTACGCTTTATTTTCCACTTTGTCACACATCTTTAATCTCAGACAAGATTTAATTTTTTCATTGTTAACTGTTTTATTAATAGCCTTCTATGTGAAAGAATTGGCTTAAAAATAGAAAGCTGTTTGGAAATCTAAATAAAGTACCTTAACTGATAATCATTTACAATTTATCACATTTAAAAAAATGTTCTTTTAAAGATAAGCATAAGGCTCTGAGTTTCCCTTCATATCTCTATCTATAGACATAAATTAACATAAATAGTACTATCTCCCAACAATTGCAAACATAATTTTGCTTACACTGAAATAATTATCTTAATTTAAAGGTACATTTCCAAAAGCCATGATGATGTAAAGGCATTTTTTTTAATTATACTTTAAGTTTTAGGGTACATGTGCACAACGTACAGGTTAGTTACATATGTATACATGTGCCATGTTGGTGTGCTGCACCCATTAACTCGTCATTTAACATTAAGTATATCTCCTAATGCTATCCCTCCCCCCTCCCCCCACCCCACAACAGGCCCCAGTGTGTGATGTTCCCCTTCCTGTGTCCTTATGTTCTCATTGTTCAATTCCCACCTATGAGTGAGAACATGCGGTGTTTGTTTTTTTTGTCCTTGGGACACCTTGCTGAGAATGATGGTTTCCAGCTTCATACATGTCCCTACAAAGGACATGAACTCATCATTTTTTGTGGCTGCATAGTATTCCATGGTGTATATGTGTCACATTTTCTTAATCCAGTTTATCATTGTTGGACATTTGGCTTGGTTCCAAGTCTTTGCTATTGTGAATAGTGCTGCAATAAACATACATGTGCATGTGTCTTTATAGCAGCATGATTTATAATCCTTTGGGTATATACCCAGTAATGGGATGGCTGGGTCAAATGGTATTTCTAGTTCTAAATCCCTGAGGAGTCGCCACACTGACTTCCACAATGGTTGAACTAGTTTACAGTCCCACCAACAGTGTAAAAGTGTTCCTATTTCTCCACATCCTCTCCAGCACCTATTGTTTCCTGACTTTTTAATGATGGCCATTCTAACTGGTGTGAGATGGTATCTCATTGTGGTTTTGATTTGCATTTCTCTGAGGGCCAGTGATGATGAGCATTTTTTCATGTGTCTTTCGGCCTGCATAAATGTCTTCTTTTGAGAAGTGTCTGCTCATATCCTTCGCCCACTTGTTGATGGGGTTGTTTGTTTTTTTCTTGTAAATTTGTTTGAGTTCATTGTAGATTCTGGATATTAGCCCTTTGTCAGATGAGTAGATTGCAAAAATTTTCTCCCATTCTGTAGGTTGCCTGTTCACTCTGATGGTAGTTTCTTTTGCTGTGCAGAAGCTCTTTAGTTTAATTAGATCCCATTTGTCAATTTTGGCTTTTGTTGCCATTGCTTTTGGTGTTTTAGACATTAAGTCCTTGCCCATGCCTATGTCCTGAATGGTATTGCCTAGGTTTTCTTGTAGGGTGTTTATGGTTTTAGGTCTAACATTTAAGTCTTTAATCCATCTTGAATTAATTTTTGTATAAGGTGTAAGGAAGGGATCCAGTTTCAGCTTTCTACATATGGCTAACCAGTTTTCCCAGCATCATTTATTAAATAGGGTATCATTTCCCCATTTCTTGTTTTTGTCAGGTTTGTCAAAGATCAGATAGTTGTAGATACACGGCATTATTTCTGAGGCCTCTGTTCTATTCCATTGGTCTATATCTCTGTTTTGGTACCAGTACCATGCTGTTTTGGTTACTGTAGCCTTGTAGTATAGTTTGAAGTCAGGTAGCTTGATGCCTCCAGCTTTGTTCTTTTGGCTTAGGATTGACTTGGCAATGCAGGCTCTTTTTTGGTTCCATATGAAGTTTAAAGTAGTTTTTTCCAATTCTGTGAAGAAAGTCATTGGTAGCTTGATGGGGATGGCATTGAATCTATAAATTACCTTAGGTAGTATGGCCATTTTCACGATATTGATTCTTCCTACCCATGAGCATGGAATGTTCTTCCATTTGTTTGTATCCTCTTTTATTTCATTGAGCAGTGGTTTGTAGTTCTCCTTTAAGAGGTCCTTCACATCCCTTGTAAGTTGGATTCCTAGGTATTTTATTCTCTTTGAAGCAATAGTGAATGGGAGTTCACTCATGATTTGGCTCTCTGTTTGTCTGTTACTGGTGTATAAGAATGCTTGTGATTTTTGTACATTGATTTTGTATCCTGAGACTTTGCTGAAGTTACCTATAAGGAGATTTTGGGCTGAGACGATGGGGTTTTCTAGATATACAATCATGTCATCTGCAAACAGGGACAATTTGACTTCCTCTTTTCCTAATTGAATACCCTTTATTTCCTTGTCCTGCCTAACTGCCCTGGCCAGAACTTCCAACACTCTATTGAATAGGAGTAGTGAGAGAGGGCATCCCTGTCTTGTGCCAGGTTTCAAAGGGAATGCTTCCAGTTTTTGCTCGTTCAGTATGATATTTGCTGTGGGTTTGCCATAGATAGCTCTTATTATTTTGAGATATGCCCCATCAATACCTAATTTATTGAGAGTTTTTAGCATGAAGGGCTGTTGAATTTTGCCAAAGAGTAAAGGCATTATTGACACATAACTTGTGAATTAACATTTTAAAATAAGGGCCTGTTACATATAATTTACCTAATTTATTGTACTTATGTATGTCTTAAAAATAATTCACAAGCCAATTGCACTAGTTTCTCTTCCAAAATTATTCAATAGTTATTGATTTTCCAAATTTTAATTATACCAAGTAATCCCACTTCCTATGCTGGTAGCATAGTACATAATACAATATCATTTATAAGTCTATTAATAAGCTTAGACTTCTTTGTCCTATGAAATAATATAGACACATTTGCTTTATTTATTGACTTACAGCAGAGTTACAGAAAGCTAGAATGCTGATCAGATTTGGTGATTTCAAGAATATTTCTATAATGAACTTCTAAAGATTGAGCAAACATTTAAAATTATATCTTTTATAAATGAATCTTGTTTGTGACATGTGAATAAAATTCTTTAAGGTACAAAGAATATCGAGATTGAAAAAAAGTAACATTGTTTTATTTTTGTGCCAAATGTGATCACTGAGCTCAGGCCAATGCAAGAACAAAGAGTTTTTCATTAGTAGATATTCAGGTATTTATAAGTAATTTTCTTAAAAATTCATATAAAATGGAAAGAATTCTGAATCACAATTGTAATTATCTGAGAAACTGTTTGGCCATAGAAGACAGAAGTTGCCATTGAATTATTATCAAGGTAATTGACCTTTATTCCTGAAGTTGAGATTATATTTTAGAATGCGTTTTTCTTTTTGACTAAATAAATTAGAAGATAAAAATAAGATTCTAATGGAGGAAGTTAACATTTTCATCAACCTAGGCACTTCTTTAAAAAAAAAAAGAGCTATATATAAAAGAGTTTCTGAAGTCATTTTTATTTGATTTCTCTTAAATTGTTTTTTACTATTAGTCAGATATTTACTGATTATTCATTGTTTTATTTTAAATAATTTCAATATTGCATCATTAGCAACATATCTTTCAAATATTGTCCTCACTGCCCACATATTTTTGAGAGTATAAAATGTTTTACTCATACCTGAAAAGAGCATTTTTGAAAACTTTATAATAATGCATATCACTAAAATCGTGATTCCTCTGTTGACTTTCTTTCGTTGAAGGCCGAAATTAATTTTATGCATTGTTTTTACTTTGGGTGCTAAGATTGATAAGGTTGCTGTGTACAATATTTAAGTAGTGATGTGTCTTGTTTACACTTTTCGGTGTTCCATTACCACTGCATTTGTGAGGAACCATATGATTATGGTCTTAAAGGTTGTCCTGTAAATATACTAATTTTGTTCCATTTCCCCTCTGTCCTTGTCAATAGAATGCCTAAATCTCAGCCTGTCCTTGTTTTGTTTTGTTTGTTTTCTGAAGGACTCATAAGACTGTCAACAGGATGGATTAATTTTGTACCTCTCTCATCATAAAATGTTTGATCCTAATAAAGAGTTACAGTTGAATTTACTCTCACTGTGCAAAATTTTATTGAGAGATAATGTGGCAAAAAATGAGTCTATTCTTATCAGAATCTTTAAGTTGCAACTTTATAGTTTGTATTGAATGTTGCATAGCACTGAGGAAATATGTGTATGGTAAAATAACTTTCTCAGATATAACTTTTAGTGTATATTAACCAACTCTTAACCTGATAATCTGTTACTAGAGTATGCAAGTATGATTATCAGATAAAAGCAATAGTCTGTATAAAATGCCTAACAATTAACTAAGGCTTGAAGAATAATAGAACTTAAAATCTTTCTGATTTTCTCTGCTTTATCTCAAAAACTGTATTCCAATTCATATTTATCATGCTACAATCACATTAGCTCACTGTCCCAATGGCTTTATATGCCCAAGGCAATGTCAAACTTTTTATGTTCTGAAGCCAAAGGTATTGCTTCATCTACCTGGTCCACCATGTATATCAGAAGAGGAAACTCAGCAGTGTCCATTTCTGGCCTTGCTGCTATTTCATGTGCCTCCACACCAGTTACAAAGGCCTATTTATGTCTCCGGTCCTCAGTGAGAAATTTTTTTTACAATGGATTTTTTTTTTCTTTTATGATTCAGGAAAACTGTTCTAATTAGGTGACTGGAATCACACTGAAAGAACTATAGTAATTTAAAAAGAATGGCATGGAACAAGCTGCCATTGTGATGAGTGATTCTAAGACAAAGGCTCTTAGCATTACTCTCGGAAAGCTCACTCTGTGTTTTCCTTGGTAGAATCTTAGAAAGGGATGCTCTTTCCTAAGAAAACACACACTGACAAGTTAGCAAATCTACAGAAAGGTGACTTTTTTTGTTTCACTTAAGGGACAAATAATTCAAATATTAATGAATTCCCCAATGTTGTTTCAGATGTAGCAGGAAATATTTTATATTTATCCATTAACACTCCAGCCAACATTACTGAGTGTCTGCTGTGTGGCATATTCTGTGTGACACTCTGGAGATTCAAAGCTATAGAGTGACAAAGAGAATCATCCCCAAATGGTTCTAGAAATCAACTGGGTTGCCTGGATAGTCAGCTAGCTGGAACTTGGAGATCCTCTGCTTTGTTCATCAGGAGGGGTTGTGCCCAGCCTGACTTTCCATGGGTCCCAACGTGCCCAGGTACATTCCCAGACAACTGTTGTCAATAGATGGCATCAAAATTGAGACTTCCTGGCACCCAAATTGATAAATTCCTTCCTCACAACTGATGGGATTGAGTTCTTACTCAACTCACCAAAAGGGAAGCAGGACCTTCCCTTCTAGGAAGCACATCTGTACTTCACGAACAGTGGAGAGGCATGCGCAAGTAACAGCCCTTTCCAGCAGATAATGGGAAGACTGGAGGGCCTGTGCCTTTTTCTTCTATTGTTGACTCTTGGCTTGTAAATTTACCCGGACAGGTACTTGTAGTACATGCTATCTGTGTAGGATTGGATTTCTGCGAAAGGGACTGTGTCCTTTGCTCCTGCTCCTTTGTTGTAGGGCAAGCCTACGAAAATGACTTTTTCAGGGAATAGCAGGCACATAGGAGACTAGAAGTCGTAAGTTCTAGCTGCCTAGGAGCAGCGACAATAGGGCCCTTGGGAGGTTGTAATTCTTCCTGTGAGGTGGAAGAAGAAGCTGCTTTCTGTTTGGAGAAGAAGAATCCTTAATCCAAGCTATCTTGGTAGAGTATTTAGAATGAGTCCTCAGTAACTTTTAGACAGTCCTGTTATAACACCATAAAGGTTGACATGACATGTCCCTAGCTTCAATATTATTAAAGTTAAGCAAGGATAAACCAAAAATTATAATGAGAAGAAATCATTGTTAATTGTGGCAGAAAGAACATAGTCTGTTATGAGGGTTTGGCAGAAACTGTTTGTTGCTTCCCTAGCAAATATTATTTTCATCTTTCTTGGTAGTCATACCTTGTACTTGAAGCTGTGAATGTGGTCTACTACTAAAACAAAACTGCATTTTGCAGTCTATCTTGCAACTGGGATTGCTGAGACTAAGTTCTAGCCGTTGAGGTATGAGCACAAGCTCTGGATTTCACTTTTAGAAGCCTCCTTAAAATAGGCTATATATGTTTTTTTTTTCTATTTCTTTCTTTCTGTTACTTTATCACAGTGGTAAAAATTGGAATTCTGTTTTCTTGAACTAGGAGAGAGAACCACAGCCTCATGACATTGGGGGTGATAAACTAGCTGTCCCTAAGAACTACAGAGCCAAGGCAGCCTCCGAGAATTGGTAGAATTGGCCACCCCCAGTCTTCTTTAATGCAAGAAAAATTTACCTACTATCTTGTTTAAGTCATTGTCATTTTGGAACTGTCATTTGGGGACTTAGAATAACTAAACCTAATTCCAACTGATAATGTTTTCAGAACCATCAGTATTTTGGAGTTGAGAGAGCTAGAGATGAGGACACAGTTGGTATAACAGGACCAAGTCATGGCTACCAGAACAGTTTACAAGTGTCTTCATTCTCTGAGAAGCCAGTTACCTTTGTACCAACATAATGCTGCCTGGCCTCGACCTAATTTCTTCTTGGCTTCTTGTAAATAAGCGACTTCCAGCAAGGGAAATCAGAGGTCCAGGCAGGAAGTAAGAACATTAGGAAAAAACAGGGCAATCACATGACCTAGAACGACAGTTTAGGGAACTGAATAGACACAAACACATAAACACACACACACACACGTATATGTATTTTTGGATGCATATTATATGTGTGCGTGCAAATATGTATGTATAACAGTGTGGGAAACTGCACTGTATATGTGTACGCATGCAATTCTAGACAGATAAAAGTAAATTTATATACATTTACATAAGTAAATGCCATATCCCTCTTTATCCAAACTCTTTGCCCATATGAAGCTTATAATAAGTCCTTTAAGTTGTGAAATAAATTAAAGAGGTTGTTCCTTATTAAAATATAAATGCTACATGAAAGTACCTCAGATTGGCAAGCTCAAGACAGTGATTTAACTGTTCATGACTCTATCCTCTGAGTGCTTTGCTTTGTCTATTAAAAATGACAAAACTTCAAGACCTCAAAGATATCCATAAAGATTTTGCTCAAAAGGTCACTGAAACCTTTCTACAGAGTCAACATGGTGGCTTTTATAGATTATGAAGGTCATTAAAAAATAAGATCATATTTATCAGAGTAACATGGAAAAGCTTCCCAGCATGCTATAAGTAATAATGGGAGTCTTATTAATTTATAACTATCACACAGTGTTTTTCTAACACAATCCTGAGCTTTCAGTGAAGCAAATGTGGCTTATTGATAGTCTTTTGGTTTCTAAGTAGTTGGCATCTTGAGTGAAATACTTATACCAGATAGCTTTACTAGTAAAAGTGTCAGTTCTGGTTTTCTCTTCAAATGCAATTATTAGATAATATTAGCTTAGAGATATTGGTGGAATTTCATACAAGTGGAAAAGAATAACATTTTGATATTTAAAGTCAACTTTTGATAGACTTTATTAATGAAGCACACTAAATCTTTTGCTACGGATCAAAATTTATTTTGTATAACAAGAAAATTTTTTTACAATTTATATTATCTTAGAAAAGTGTTGATATTGATAAGATTCACTGAAAATCTTATTTGGGGAAAATATTAAGAAAAATTTGAAGTACATTTTTGAGTTGTAAATAAAATAGAGATTTAAAGTTATGGCCTACGAAGGAATAAAATAAAAGATAATCTAAAAGTCTTTGTACATTACGAACATGCGTTAGTAACGAGCGACACCTTTTGTTCTGTGATTTGTGATTGTTCATGGAATTAAATCTTCCCTCTCCCTGTCTCCCTGACTTTATTTCCTGGTTTTGACCTTCACTGTGGTCTGCCTTAGTGTTACTACCATATATAATTAGAGTGCTCTGCAAAGACAGTAGGTTCTCTCAGTGGACAACGTCTGTCTCATTTGGCTGGAGATATGCGAGATATGCAATTTTTAGCCATATTATTTTCTTACTCATTGCTGCCCACAATGAAAATCAATCCCGTGGCTATTGTTACAGCTACACTGCCTAAGAATGCCTTGGCACTGGAGAAGACCTTCTAGTGAAAATTCTCTGCAGTTGTTAACTAATTAGTAAAGCAAGCAAGCAAGCAAGTGAAAACAAACAAACAAACAAACTGATTTAGAGAACAATTTCTCAATGTTTGTCCATAGCCTTAAAAGGATTCTTACTTTTGACTCAGTAGTTTCCATTTTTAAAATATATTCTAAAACATGCACACACACAAACACACACACACACACACACACACACACACACACACACACCAAATCCAGATTTTGGTAAAGTTGTATGCATCAGGGTATTTATAGCCACTTCAATTATAGCATTCAAATATTGCAAACAATTATTTTAATATAGAGGGTCTCCTTCTGTCCCCTCAGCTGGAGTGCAATGGTGCAACCTTGGCTCACTGCAGCCTCAGCCTCCTGGAGTGATCCTCCTACCTTAGCCTTCTGAGTAGCTAGGAATACAGGTTTGTGCCACCATGCATGGCTGATTTTTGTGTTTTTTTTTTTTTAGACATGAGGCCTCACTGTGTTGCCCAGGCTGATCTAGAATTCCGAGCTCAAGCAATCCTCCCACCTTGGCCTCTGAAAGTGCTGGGATTACAAGTGTGAGCCACAGCACACAGCCTGAAAACAATTTTTAAAAGGAAAGGAAATGAAAAGGAAATAGTTAAGAAAATTATACCATGGAGAGTCAATGTTATATGTTCATAAAAAATTGGTGATAGTAATATTAGGGCAAAATGGGAATATTGGTTTTTTTGACCAATTTCAAAATGCCGTATCAATGCTGTTCTTTTCTTTTAAAAAACAATTTTGAATTCATATAATAAAACAAAATAAATGCATGATACATTTTAAACACAACAAATTATAAATGTATAATAAGACATGCAGTGGAATTATAAATTTATATTTTGCATTGAAATATAAACATAATGAAGTATTTTCAGGGAACAAAATAAAGTGAAAAATATATTTAATTAGGAAACATTTAAAGGAAAATGATACTTGATCTTTTTTCTGAAAAACATCACTATCTTCAAAAAAGTGTCTATATTGTCAACGTTAACTCATGAGTGTATTTTTGTGCAGATTATTACCTGCTGATGAAGAAGACCTTTCTGATTCTATATTAGTCAACAGAATGGTGCAGAGACAGGCTATTAAATAACTCCAAATACTTTTCTCTAAATAATTACCTTCAAAGAATTTACAAATCTCAGTTAATAACCTTGTGGAGATATTTTAAATAAGATTTTAGGATTTTTTTCCTGATTTTGCAAACTTCTCATTGATAGCAAACTATATATTTTGTTTCATTACAAAGTGTATTTTCCTGGTTTGTCCTTTAATTTTATCATGAATAGTTAAAAGTTTGGTGCAGACTTACCTTTATCAGTTTCAATTCTGATTTTTTCATAGTCTACTACTTTGAAATGTTTTTGAAATAGAATAAAAATTGTTCTTGAAAAAGAAGGTTTGCAATATCACAATACACTGCCTATTTAGACTCATTAGCATAGAACTGGCTAGATGAGTAATTGATTTGTCTTTTCACATTAATTATATAATAGAGTCAATGATTTTATCTGAATAAAATACTGATGCAGATTTCAGATTTTTAAAATGCCAACATGATGACTTAATGTTAATAAAATAGTACCAGAGTATTGATTCCTAAAAATAGCCCTGAATACTGGAAAAACTGACCACAGTAAGTATTATAAACACGATTTTAAATGGTTCTTATAAATACTATTCAATGACATGGAAGATTATTAGGGTATAATTTTAAGTAAAGAACAGAAAGATACAAATTACATATACAACGCTATTTATAATAATAAATACTATATAGTAAATATTTGTTATGCACAAGTTTGGTGATATTATATATATATGCTTTTGTCCATGGTTCCTGGCTCATTAACTCCCATGGCCCTTTTTATAATGCTGGGGAGCTTTAGGCCTCAGGAACGGTTCTCAGTAAACAGTCTTTTTCTCTCTGACCTTCTCCTGCCCTCCTTTCACCTGCTCCTTTTTCTCTTCAAGGCAGAAATCTTCTCTTGCCCTTCTGTCTTAGAGTTGGCTGTAAAGAAATTCTCTGACCTACCTTGTAGGTCATAAGATCCCCACTTCGGAAAGGTTCCTACCCCACATTCAAGGAAGGATGCTGCATGGAGAAGCCAAGAATCTAATGAGACAGGCTTTTCTGTGTTTCTCCATTCAGTCTATTAGTATTAGATCATAACAGTTTTGTTCAATCATGTATCAGGACAATTATCCATGCTTCAATCATGAAGTCTCCATAAAGGCCCAAGAGGACAGGGATAGGGGAGCTTCCGGATACCTGAACATGTGGAGTTTCCTAGAAGGTAGCAGGCTCTGCTATCTCCAGGTAGATAGCATCCAAATTGAATTGGAGAACACCCAGCTAATGTCTAACAATATAATTGACTGCTTTCTTGCTCTGTGGCAACAAAACACACACACACACACACACACACACACACACACACAGAAGTCTTCTGTTTTGATTGTTGTTGTGGTGTGAGAGTAGAGGGGAAAAAAAGTGTGAGTTTTTTTGCCCTACAGAACCAGCCAGTTTAAAGCATTTGGTGGATGAAAATGTATGTTCATTTTGAGATAACTCTGTGAAATAAGTACGCCTCACCATTTTTCAAATGAAGATCTGAATATAGAAATAAGCACCTGTGGACAGATGAATGGATAAAGAAAATGTGGTATATACATATATGATGAAATATATTATTCACCCATAAATAAGAAGGAAACCCTGCTATTTGTGATGACATGGATGAACCTAGAAGACACTATGCTAAGTGAAATAAGCCAGGCACAGAGAGATAAATATTGTGTCATCTCACTTATACATAGAATCTAAAATAGCCAAACTCATAGAAACAGAGAGTAGAATCGTGGTTGCCAGGGTCTGGGACAGGAGAAATTGGGAAATAGGGAGATATTGGTCAGAGTACAATGTTTCAGTTATGCAGGCTGAACAAATTATGGAGATCAAAGGTACTGCATGGTGACTATACCTAACATTACTGCATTATTGTATCGTTGAAATTAGGTAAGAGAGTAGATATTCATTGTTCTCACCACAAAGACCCAAAGATAACCATGTGAAGTGATGATTGTGTCAATTGATTTGTGTTAATTCTGTCACAATGTATATTTGTATTAAAACATCATGTTGTACACCTTAAACATATACACTTCTGTTATTATACCTCAATAAAGCTGGAGAAAAAAAGAAAAGAAGTAAATATCTGAGGCTTAAGAATAGAGTGAGTCTGATGTCATTTGCTAGTAAGTGGCAGTGAGGTGGTGCCTGAATCCCATCTCAAAGCCCTGGTTTCTACTGTCACATCAGCATTTTAAAATTGATTTGCCTGCAACCCATAGCAAGAGATTTGTTTAGCATTTCAAACTCAGTACGTGGGCAAACACACCTAAGCACACACATGATGCTATATAGATATACGACACTAAAGAGTGCCATATCTTAACTCACCCCTCCTTTTTAGCTTGTATCCTAACAATTTGGTACTGCATGTTGATGAAGTAGATCCACCTCTTCCTGTCAGAACAACAGGAAAACAAACTTCCTCTTTTCAGGAGTGGCCTCGAGACACAGTGGAATATCTTGGCCGATTATTGTCAGAAAAACATCTATCAATTATGGAAAAATCAGAGTTATTGTTTTACACCAAATCATCCGGTATTTTAATAAATAACACTAAAGCATGTTGTTCAATTTAACTTATTTACTTATCTGGAGGTCTATTTTCTGACTAACCACTCACATGGATATAACTGTTCAAAATCAAATATGTTACAGGAAGCATGTTACTCAATGGGTAGACATCAGAAATGCATAGATCTGAAGTTGAATTATGAGGAATTTGCCAGGCACTATCCTCAAGTACACCTGCTGCATAGCTCCTATAGAGGCAAAATCCTGGCAGGATTTTAAATTTTAATGATCAATTCTTTTTTCCTTCGTGTCTTGAATATTTATTGAACACCTAAGAGCAAGACACTGTGCAAGGCCTTAGGAATGTCATGGTGAAGAGGACAGTTGGGAGCCTTGCAAAGCTCAGGACTTCGTTGTTTATATTTGTTATGTTTTAACTATGATCCTAGCACCTAGAACTGGTTACTTGGCTTTGCCCTTCAAAGGTCTAAAACATTTTCCAAAACTAAACTTCTCCACTTCTCTTCCCCTATTTACTCCTCCAAACAGAACAAAAAAGAAACAAAAAACCCCAAACAAAACAAATCCTCTGATATGGTTTGAATCTGCGTCCCCCTCACAAATCTGATGTTCAATTTTAATCCTCATTGTTGAAGGTGGGGCCTGGTGGAAGGTGATTGAATCGTGGAGGTGGTTTCTCACGGTTTAACACCATCCCACTTGGACCTATCATTGCAATAGTGCGTTCTCATGAGATCTAGTTGTTTCAAAGTGTGTGACACCTCTCCGCACTCTCTCTTGCTCCTGCCCTGACCATGTCAGATATGCCTGCTTCTCCTTTGCCTTCCACCATGATTATAAGTTTCCTGAGACCTCCCCAGAAGCAGAAGCCACTATACTTCCTGTACAGACTGCAAAACTGTGAGCCAGTCAAACCTCTTTTCTTTATGAGTTACTCAATCTCAGGTATTTTCTTTACATCAGTGTGAGAATGAACTGAAATCTGAAACTGAATTGTGTATACTTCCACCTTTAAGTTATAAGCAATTCTGTCCTCTTACTTGAAATACAATCCTCTCAATTACCCTTGACTTCTCTCTCACACCCAGTCTAACCCATCAGCAAATTCTGTGAGCTTTATCTTTTTGTTGTTGTTATTGAGACATGATATCACTCTGTTGCCCAGGGTGGAGTGCGGTAGCACCATCACAGCTCATTGCAGCCTCCACCTCCTAGACTCAAGGGTTCCTCCCATCTCAGCTTCCCAAGTAAATGGGACTACAGGCACACACCACCACACTCAGGTAATTTTTGTATTTTTTGTAGAGTCTCACTGTATTGCCCAGGCTGATCTCCAACTCCGGGACTCAAGGGATCTCCCCACCTCAGCCTCCCAAAGTGCTAGGATTACAGGCATGAGCCACTCTGCCTGGCCCATGAACTCTATCTTCACAATCTATTCAAAATCGCTTCACTTTTTACTGCTACCACCACCTTGATACTGGTCCAAGCCACCATTATTGCCTTTCCTAGATTTCCCCATCTGTCTCTTACCTGGACTTTCTGCTCCCAATTTTGGCCTTATATAGTCCATGCTCAACACAGCAGTCAGAGTAATCATTTTAAGATGTAAATTGCATCATGACACTGCTCTAGTCAAAATTGTCTAATGACAATTCATGTTCATTCAGAATTGAAGCCAAAGCTCTACCACTGACCCACAGATCCCTACATAACCTGAACTCACCTGTATCTGTTTAACTTCACCTTCTATAATTCCTCTTGCCCCACCTCCAAACTCAATTCAACTCTACTAGTGCAAGTGCTGGTCTCCTGGAGGACTTCAAGTTCCACCCTAATTTTCACAGGACATTGTCTGTCTCAGTTACCAGCTTAGCACTGGCACATGGCTTTTGCACTTCAGGTATCTGCTTAAATGTCACCTTATAAAAGGACCCTTTCTGACAACACTATTAAAAAAAGCTTCAGTCCTAAATTTGTCATTCCTTTTCCAAGGTCTTCATTTTCTCCACTGAATTTACTACCATCTGAGAAAATACATAGTTGTGTATATATATATATATATGTGTGTGTGTGTTTATAAACTGAAACTCATTGTTATAGTTTATTACTATAAAAGGATACAGATTAAAATTAGTTAAGGGAAGAGACACACGAAGACTAATTCAAGAGAGTTCAAATGTGAAGACTCTAGTTGTCCATTTTCAGCAGAGAAATAGTGTTAACTCCTCCTGGCAACAAGATATATATATATATTATATATATCTTTCTTGATAGATTGTAAGAGTCATAAGGGTAGAAACTTTTGTCTGATTTGAACTCTTTACTGTGGGATACACAGCATATAGACCAGTGCCTGGCATATAGCAAACAATAATGTTCACTAAATGATTAAATCAGTGAATCAATTGGTAAGTCTATCAATTCTGAATGGCAAATAAATAAAAACCCTGTAAACTAATAAGACAGACAAGATAATTGCCTTTTGAAGCTTGCAGTCTAAAAAGAAAGATAGTTAATCAATTATATGTATGTGAGTATATGTATATATATACACACACATATGTATGTACATATATACATGAAAATATGTGTGTATATATACACACATATATACACGCATACACACACATCACACACATATATGTCATGATATACAGATATACATATACAGTAGCATGAATTAGATCCATTGTAGAAAACTGAACATGTGACTTGCCTTAACGTGGCTGCCTGCACAATTTTCTTTGCATTAGAAATGAAAGCATTTCCCAAGAAGACCTATCCTAAGAGAGCTGGGAATCAGGCAAACAAATGTGTGTCATTACTAAGTACAAATTTGGAGAAGAGTCCACAAGAACACCCTCATTCTGACATCACTTGTAGAATTTAGAGGTTCTCATGACTCCTCTCAGTTGTGATAATTCACTAAAAGGACTCACAAACCTCACTGAAAGCTATGAAACTCATGGTTCTAGTTTATTACTATGAAAGAATACAGACTAAAATCGGTTAAGGGAAGAAACATATGAGGGCCAGTTCAGGAGAGTTCAAATGTGAAGCTTCTAGTTGCCCATATTCAGTAGAGAAATATTGTTAACTCCTCCTACTTACAATGTGAACATATGCATGGAGTATTACCAACTGGGGAAGTTCATTCGAGCCTTGATGTCCAGAGGTTTTATTGGAGTTCAGTCTTATAGACCTGGCTGATCTTCAATGGTTCCGACTTCACTCTCCAGACCCTCCAGAAGTCAAGCTAGTAATGTGTAACTCAAACTCTCTAACATAAATCACATTGTTAGCATTGATTATTTGAAGTGGCCCAAGGCCTCCAGGTTAAAAACAAAAAAACACTTTTATCAAGCAGGACATTCTAAGAGCTTAAGGATTACCTCTAAGGAGCCCATGGCAGAGGCCATACATCTCCTAGGGTAAGATTTTTTTTTTTTTTTGAGATGGAGTCTTTCTCTGTTGCCTAGGCTGGAGTGCAGTGGCATGATTTTGACTTACTGCAACCTCTGCCTCCAGGTTCAAGCAGTTCTCTGCCTCAGCCTCCTGAGTAGCTGGGATTACAAGCACCTGCTAATTTTTTTGTATTTTTAGTAGAGATGGGGTTTCGCCATCTTGGCCAGGCTGTCCTTGAACTCCTGACCTCGCAATCCACCCACCTCAGGCTCCCAAAGTGCTGGGATTACAGGCATGAACAACGGCCCCCTGCCAGGTTAAAATTTTTTACTGCACATGAAGCTTTATTAGTAAAAGGAGATGATTCCTTTGAAGTATAACATTGTTCTTGTTATGTTCATTATTTTTTTTTTTTTTGCATTCCAATGCCTGTGTCTGCTCAAAACCTTGTCCATCTTCTATGAATACAATACTCTTCATTTAGGGAACTTCTAATTTCACTTCAACCAAATGGTGAGAATAGGAGAAATGTTTCTATAAACCTGCCATCCTGACTGTAGTTGAATTTTTTTTAAATTGAGAAAAGGAAAACAGAGAACTTTTCTGATGAAAGACAAGACATGAAACCACAGGACTCCTAGTGGACAGACAATTCTAGTGAACAGAGGCTCTGAAACAAAACATCCTAGATGTAAATTTTGACTTTGCCACTTTATTCTTCCTTCCTCCCTCCCTCCCTTCTTTCCTTCCTCTCTCCCTCCCTCCCTCCCTCTCTTCCACCCTCCCTCTCTTTCTCTCTTTCTTTCTTTTCTTTCTTTTTTTTTTTTTTTTTGAGACAGAGTCTCACTCTGTTGCCCAGGCTGGAGTGCAGTGGTGTTATCTCGGTTCACTGCAACTTCCACCTTCCGGGTTCAAGCCATTACCCCGGATTCTAGCAACGTCCTTAAGCCTCCATGGTTCAAGCCTCCCTAGTAGCTGGGATTACAGGCTTGCACCACAATGCCCAGCTAATTTTTGTATTTTAGTAGAGAAGGGGTTCTGCCGTGTTGGCCAGGCTGGTCTCGAACTCCTGACCTCAAGCGATTCACCCGCCTTGGCCTCCCAAAGTGTTGGGATTACAGGCGTGAGCCACCACGCCCAGCAATGTTAAACTTTTTACTACACATGAAGCTCTATTAGTAAAAGGAGATGATTCCTTTGAAGTATAACATTGTTCTTGTTATTTGGATTATTTTTTTTCCATTCCAATGCCTGTGTCTGCTGAGAACATTGTCCATCTTCTATGAATACAATATTCTTCACTTTGGGAACTTCTAATTTCACTTCAACCAGATGGTGAGAATAGGAGAAATGTTTCTATAAACCTGCCATCCTGACTGTAGTTGAAATTTTTTTAAATTGACAAAAGGAAAACGGAGAACTTTTCTGATGAAAGACAAGACATGAAACCACAGGACTTCTAGTGGACAGACAATTCTAGTGAACACAGGCTCTGAAACAAAACATCTTAGAAGTAAATTTTGACTATGCCACTTTATTCTTCCTTCCTCCCTCCCTCCCTTCCTTCCTTCCTTCCTTTTTTCCTTCCTTCCTCTCCCTCCCTGTCTCTCTCTCTCTTTCTCTCTTTCTTTTCTTTCTTCTTTTTCTTTTCTTTTCTTTTTTTTTTTTTTTTCAGACAGAGTCTCACTCTGTTGCCCAGGTTGGAGTGCAGTGGTGTGATCTCGGTTCACTGCAACCTACACCTCCCGGGTTCAAACGATTCCCTCGGATTCTAGCAATGTCAAGCCTCCAGGGTTTAAGCCTCCCTAGTAGCTGGAATTACAGGCTTGCACTGTGATGCCCCGCTAATTTTTTGTATTTTTAGTAGAGATTGGGTTTTTTCATGTTGGCCAGGCTGGTCTTGAACTCCTGACCTCAAGGGATCCACCTGGCTTGGTCTCCCAAAGTGTTGGGATTACAGGCATGAGCCACCATGCCTGGCCAACTATAACACTTAAGCTGAGCAATCTTTTCTGTGATTTAGTTTCTTCATCTTTAAAATGAATAATGATAATTTATTGCCTCTAAGATAGTTACAAAATTATGAGTGATAGGTTGGGCAATTCGAATTTTGAATATACACTTTGTGTTAATTCTTTTTGTTATTGCCAAGAAAGGTGGTTTTTCAGTAGAAGGTAATAAAGACAGAATTAAAAATAATTTTATTCGGATTAATTTGTAATATTTACCCAAAGGATACATTTTAAGACAAAAATAATTTGTCTTGGCTGATTAAAAAATTATGCTAGAGTAGTCCTATAACAACTTTCAAGTATTTAAAAGTCTTCCCACAGAGAAAACATCAAACCCAGATAATTTTACATGTGAGTTTAATCAAATTTTTAAAGAATATATCATTTAAATCCATTTTATATGAATATTGAGAATGGGGGAAGAAAAGCAACCTGGCCTATAAGATTTGTACAACATGGAAACTAAAATTAAGCAAAAATGGTGTAAATAAAAGATAAATGTCAAATCCACTAGTGTATAAGAAAATAAAAATCCATTGATGTATAGGAAAAAAGCAGTTTTAATTTATCACAAGAATTCAACTTGAAACAACTATGAACTTAGAAAATTTTCAAGTGAATTTATCACCCTAAGTGGCTAAAAGGGAAAAAAATGGAATCACTTCAATAGATACAGAAAAGAATTGTTTGATGAAACTCAGTGTTCATTTCTAATTTCTAAAAGTATGATATTTTAAAACATCTTTAGAATGATAACGTGTTAAATTTAAGCATCCGTAGAAACTATCAGTCTTAATAGAAAACATTAGTCATATCGCTTTAAAATCAGGAAAAAGACGAGGCCTGGTGCAGTGGCTCATGCCTGTAATCCCAGCACTTTGGAAGGCTGAGGCAGGTGGATCTGCTGAGGTCAGGAGTTAGAGACCAGCCTGGCCAACATAGTAAAATCCCGTCTCTACTAAAAATACAAAAATTAGCCAGGTGTGGTGGCGCATGCCTGTAATCCCAACTACTCGGTAGGCTGATACACAAGAATCACTTGAACCCCGGAGGCAGAAGTTGCCATGAGCTGAGATCACACCACTGCACTCCAGCCTGGGTGAAAGAGTGAGACTCTATCTCAATAAATAAATAAATAAATAAATAAATAAATAAATAAAATCAGGAAAAAGACAAAAATGACTTTTATTTTCACTTCTTTGAAAGTTGTGCTGAAAACCTGGCACAGTAAGAAAAAGAAGTATGGCCAGGAGTGGTGGCTCATGCTTGTAACCCAGCACTTTGGGAGGCCAAAGTGGGCAGATCACTTGAGGTTGGGAGTTCAAGACCAGCCTGGCCAAAATGATGAAACCCCATCTCTAATAAAAATACAAAAATTAGGCTGGGCGCAGCGGCTCACGCCTGTAATCCCAACAGTTTGGGAGGCCGAGGTGGGTGGATCACCTGAGGTCAGGAGTTTGAGACCAGCCTGGCCAAAATGGCAAAACCCCGTCTCTACTAAAAATACAAAGATTAGCTGGACATGGTGGCATAGGCATGTAATCTCAGCTACTCAGGAGGCTGAGACAGGAGAATTGCCGGAATCCAGGAGGCGGAGGTTGCAGTGAGCCGAGATCTCGCCATTGCACTACAACCCAGGTGAAAAGAGTGAGACTCCATCTCAGAAAAATAAATAAATAAAAATAAATAAAAAAAAATTAGCCAGGCTTGGTGGTGCGCCCCTGTAATCCCAGCTACTGGGGAGGCTGAGGCAGGAGAATTGCTGAACCTGGAAGGCCGATGTTGCAGTGAACTGAAATCACCCCCTTGCACTCCAGCCTGGATGACAGGACAAGACTCTGTCTCAAAACTAAACAAAAAAAAAAAAAAAAGAAAAAGAAAAGAAAAGAAATGAAAGAAAAAGAAGTACAATATGTTAGGATTGAAAAGAATAAACAAAGCTGCTATTATGTATATATTATTACACATGTATATAACGTATGAATTATTCAAAATAATAAGAAAGATGGACAAAGTAGATCGATACAGACTCAATATATAAAAGTCAAATGCATTTTGCTCCATTAAAAAATACCACTTGGGCCAGATGTGGTGGCTCACTCCTGTAATCCCTGCACTTTGGGAGGCTGACGTAGGTGGATTACGAGGTCAAGAGATCAAGACCAAACCTGCCAACATGGTGAATCCCCGTCTTACTGAAAAATACAAAAATGAACTGGGCATGGTGGCAGGCGCCTGTAGTTCCAGCTACTCGGGAGGCTGAGCCGAGATCGTGCCACTGCACTTCAGCCTGGCGACAGAGCGAGACTCCATCTCAAACAAAACAAAACAAAACAAAGCACTTACCATTTACAAGAAATACAGGTAACAGTATATATAATAAAAATTGGAAGACCTGCCTAGAAAATATTATGAAATATAATGGAAGTCATTAAATAAAATTTAAATGAATGGTGAGTTATACTGAGTTTAAGCCTGCCATTTCTCCACAAACTGATCCACAGATTCAATAAAGTTCTAAACAAAATCTCAATAGAGTTTGAAAAATCAACAGAAATGTCCCTGAGGTTGGTAACAAGTAAGATGCCTGACAATACCAAGTGGTGGTGTGGATGTAAATCGAGTGAAAGTGTATATTTTGCTTCATTGACTTAGCAAAAAAATGATGCCTAACACTCAGCAATTATATTTCTAGACATATAGGCCAAGAAACTTGCACACCTGCCCTGGGAGACAAATACAAAGTGGGTTATAGCAGCTTTGTTTGCAGCACTATAAACAAACAAAAAATAAAAACAAAAACTTGAAAATGACCTCCATGAATATATGGAGAACTAAAAATTAAACTGAAGTATATTCAAATAACATAATATTTTTCAGTAATGTAAAGAAATAAAGGTATAAGTCTTAGAAACAATGAAGAAAGAGAAAAATAAAAAGAGAAAGAGAAAAAAGATAACAAAGTATAATACCATTTTTATAAATTTCAAAAACAAACTGATTTGTTGTTCAGGGATAGATACATGCATGCTAAAATCATTAATGGAAAAAGCATACACAAGAAAATTTAGGGTACTGGTACTTTGGGGTGAAAGATTAAAAGTAAGAGATACAGGAGGATCAGTTAGTACATATAGTGGTATCTGGTTTATTATTATGCTTTAAAATATGTAAGTGTTTATACATGGTCTTTCATCTGTATCAAATATTTTATAATACAAATAATTTATAAAATTTTATAAACAATGTAGTTGTGAGTAAATAATGCTTGCTATAAATTGAAGGGGATCTGTGTTCTAAAACTATTAAAATCATACTATATAACTTAATTTTTCCTATACTATTGACCCAGGGTATCCTCCCTCTCTTTAAAACTCTTACAGCATTTATCATAGTTATATCCACTCAGCAGGCAGCCAATGAATATTAAATGACAGCAATTATGACATTTATACTTATGTTAATTTCTATTGTATTCTTTAGGTTGATGTTACTTGGACAATTTGTTCTCTCATTTGGCTATTCTAGTGAGGTTGAGTTGCAGTAAGCTAGAGTTTTTTAGTTCATGTCAATGTAGGACCCATGATTAATTACACATAAAGAACAACTTGCTTTCAGTTCAATAAATTTCACACCTGACCTTTTTATTAGAATCTATATATTTTTTTAAATTAAACACCTTTAAACTAGAAATTACAAGGTACTTCATGAATATTGACTCATTGGTTTCCATAAAATTTCAAGAGCGGTTGTTAATATTACTATCCTAATATAAATCTAAAAATCTTAATTTTTATAAAGGTGTGTAATTGGAAGTAAATTAGGCATAAGTTGTTATAGGAGTGGTTTCAAGTATTTGGTAAATGAATTATTAATCCTTCCAAATACTTCGTCTGCACTCAGTCTGTTAAAAAGCAGTGTCAACATTTCTTGACAAGGAAATTTGATATTGTTGTATAAAAAATTATAAACACCTCAATAGATTATCTCAACACTCAAAAATTAGACACTAAAATTATTATCTCTAGGGCATAGAGATGCCACACTTTGTGGCTAATTACTGACATGTTTCTTCCTAGAAGCCATAATCCACATGTAGAGCACAGGCTTTGCATTCAGAAACCCTAGTTTTGAATCTTCCTTTTGCTACTTACAAGTTCTGTGATGCTGGGCAACTGAGCTTTGCTTTTATCAGGGAATGTAAACACTATATCTGCCTCATAGTTTTGCTATAAGCATTAAATGCAATGATGCATATCAAGCACAATTCCAGCATGTAGTAATTTCAGTAATGGTAGCAATTTTCAGTCATTGTTTCATAATAAACCTGCAAATGCTAATATGGAATATGTCCACCTAGACCCATGTTTATGATAGAATTGATTAATAAAGACAAAAATTTAGATTAAAAAATTTACCTTTCTGAAAAGAAATAGACTTCAGCTGACAGATTGTGTTTGAGACTAGTGCTAGACAAAATTATGATATAGTAATTCAGTCTCTATCCTAATTTCACTTCTACTTTTGCCATTCCTTTGATTTGAACCCTTTGCTGGATCTCCTGCTTCCAGCACTCTCCCAAACACCAATTACTCTTTTTACATCTAACCCCTCACATTATGCATTATTACATTAGCTAATAAAGACTGAAGCGTTGCAAAGATATCTACACTTATTATTATTATTATTTTTTGAAATGGAGTCTCACTCTGTCACCCAGGCTGGGGTGCAGTGGTGCGATCTCAGCTCACTGCAACCTCTGCCTCCCAGGTTCAGGCAATTCTTGTGTCTCAGCCTCCCTAATAGCTAGAATTACAGGCATGTGCCACCACACCCTGCTAGTTTTTGTATTTTTAGTAGAGACGAAGTTTCACCATGTTGGCCAGGCTGGTCTCAAACTCCTGATCTAGGTGATTTGCCCTTGCTAGCCTCCCAAAGTGCTGGGATTAGAGGCATAAGCCACCACATATCTGAACTTTGATATCAACACACAAGAGAGTGAATCACTTAGGTTGAAATTTTATTAATGAACAGATCATTAGGTGATATGTCATCACTTTGAGCTGCCTGTTCAATCTTTCTCTTGTCTTTTTGTTTTAAGTGTTGATAGTGAGGTGACTAGGATAGTTATACATACATATTGATATGGTTTGGATTTGTGTCCCTGCCCAAATTGTATGTTGAATTAAATCCCCAATGTTGGAGGAGGGACCTGGTGAGAGGTGATTGGATCATGGGGGTGGATTCCCCATTTCTGTTCTCATGATACTAAGTGCACTTTCATGGGATCTGGTTGTTTAAAATTATGTAGCAACTTCCTATTCTCTCTTCTTTTCCAACCATGTAAGACATCCTTGCTTTCCCTTTGCCTTCTGCCATGATTGTCAGTTCCCTGAGGCCTCCCTGGTCATGCTTTCTGTACAGGCTGTGGAAATGTGAGTCAATTAAATCTCTTTTCTTTACAAATTACCCAGTCTCAGGTTTTTCTTTATAGCAAAGCAAGAATGGACTGATACAGAAAATTGGTACTAGGAGTAGGGTATTACTCTAAAGATGCCTGTAAATGTGGAAGCAACTTTGAAACTGGGTAATGGGCAGAGGATGGAAGAATGTGGATGGCTAGGAAGAAGACAGGAAGATGAGGGAAAGTTTGGAACTTCCTAGACTTGTTAAATTGTTGTGACCAAAATGCTGCTAGCAATATGGACAGTGAAGTCCAGGCTGAGAATGTCTCAGAGGAGATGAGGAACTTATTGGAAATTGGAGCAAAGGTCACTTTTATTATGCATTAACAAAGAGATTGGAAGCATTGTTCTTCTGCCCTAGAGAGATGTGAAACTTTGAACTTGAGAGAGATGATTTAGGGTGTCTAGCAGAAAAAAATTTTAAGCAGTAAAGTTTTCAATATGCAGCCTGTCTGCTTCCAACAGCATAAGCTTATATGCATGAGCAAAAAAATGATCTGAAACTGAAATATATTTAAAAGTAAAGCAGATCATAAAAGTTTGGAAAATTTGCAGCCTGGCCATGTGGTAGAAAAGAAAATCCCATTTTCAAAGGGAGGAATTCAAGCAGGCTGCAGAAATTTGCCAAAGGATGGAGGAGCCAAATGCTAATAGCCAAGACAATGGGGTAAAAACCTTAAAGGCACTTCAGAGACCTTTGCATCAGTCTCTTCAGTCACAGGTCCAGTGGCCTAGGAGGGAAGAACAGTTTCATGGGTTGGGCAGAGGGCCCCACTGCCCTGCACAACCTTGGGACACTGCTCCCTGCATCCCAGCTGTTCCAGCTCCTGCAGTAGCTAAGAGGGCCCCAGATACATCGCAGGCCACTGCTGCAGAGGGTTCAAGCCATAAGCATTGGTGGCTTCCATGTGTTGTTAAACCTGCAGGTGTGAAAAGGGCAAGAGTTGAGGCTTGGAAGCCTCTGCCTAGAGCCTGAAGGATGTATGAAAAATGCCTGGATGTTCAGGCAGAAGTCTGCTGCAGAGGTGGAGCCCTCATAGAGAACCTCTACTAGGGCAGTGAAGAGGGGAAATGTGGGATTCGAGCCCACATACAGAGTCCCCACTGGGGAACCTGCCTAGTGGAGCTGTGGGAAGAGGGTCACCATCCTCCAGACCCCAGAATGGTAGATCCACTGAGAGTTTGCACTGTGTGCCTAGAAGAGCTATGGACACTCAATGGCAGGCCTTGAGAGCAAGCTTGGGATCTGAGCCCTGCAGAGCCACAGGGGCAAAATTTCCCCAGAGCTTGGAATCCCACCTCTTGCATCAGTGTGGCCTGGATATGAGACATGGAGTCAAAGGAGGTTACTATGGAGCTTTAAGATTTAATGATTGCTTGGCTGGATTGTGAACTTTCATGGGGCCTGTAACACTTTGTTTTGGCTGATTTCTCCTTTTGGAGAGGGAATATGTACCCAATGCCTATACCCTCATTGTACCTTGGAAGTCACTAACTCTTCAGATTAACAGTCTCATAGGCAGAAGGGACTTAACTTGTCTCAGATGAGACTTTGAGTTAATGCTGAAATAAGGTAAGAATTGGGGACTATTGAAGAGTTAAAATTGTATTTTGCAATGTGAGAAAGATGTGAAATTTGGGAATTGCCAAGTGCAGAATCATATGGTTTGGATTTGTGACCCTGCACAAATCTCATGTCAAATCGTAATTCCCAATGTTAGAGGAAGGGCCTAGTGGGAGGTGATTGGATCATGGAGGCAGACTTCCCCCTTGCTATTCTTGTGATAGTGAATGCGTTCTCATAAGATCTTGTTGTTTAAAGGTGTGTAGCACCTCCTCCCCTGTCTCTTTCTCCTTCTCCAGCCATGTAAGACTTGACTGTTTCCCTTTTGCCTTCTGTCATGATTATAAGTTTCCTGAGGTCTCCAAGCCATGCTTCCTGTACAGCTTGTGGAACTGTGAGTCAATGAAACCTCTTTTTTTCTTTTTTACAAGTTACTCAGTCTCAGGTAGGTAGGTCTATAGCAAGACCAATGTGAGAACAGACTAACACACACACACACACACACACACACACACACACACACACACACACTCTATTATTTTGATCAATGAGAAAAGTTAAGTCATTTAGCTTGCAAATGCAAAATGTAACTCTGAGTAAGCTTTGGACCGTTTTCAGTTAAAGCAACCTCCCCAAGTTTTGCACATTTTCTGAAAATATGTGCACATTTTTAGGTTTCTCCTGAACTTTTCCCAGGACCTTTCTGCCTACATATTTCTTCTAATGTTGTCCTGTATCATTTAATGCAGCCATTCCTAATGCAATGACTGATCAGAAAAATAGAAGTATCCTGACTGGCTGTATTCACCCTTCCAACTTGGGCTGGGTAGGGTTGGTTTCTGCTTTGGGAAACTTCTATGTCCTGGCAACGTACCTATAGATTTCCTTCTCTGGGCTGATTTGCCTACAAATTTCTCACAGATTGAGGCACTTTATTCTTCTTTCACAGCATATTAAAAATACTTTTATTACAGCATATCTGTGCTGTATTGAAATTGTATGTTAACTACCTCATTTTTTTAAAGTGACCTCCCAAGTTTCTGAGCTGTATCTTTCCATTTCTGTGTCTTAAGAGCCTTGTAGAGGAGGTTCTTTACATGCAGTAAAGTTTGTGAAAGATTGAAAAATTGACTTTCCTCTGTCCAAAGTGTCACCAGTAGTGGGTTGTGACTGCAAGTTGTCCAGTTCCTTGGCGTTTTGAACAAAGAATTGGACATAATGCCCCGCAAAGCAAAGAAAGAATGAAGCAGCAGAAGAATGAAAGCAGGGATTTATTGAAAACAAAAGTACACTCCACAGTGTGGGAGCAGACCCGAGCAATGGCTCAAGGGCCAGGATAGAGAATCTTCTTGGGTGCAAATACCCCCTAGAAGTTTCCCATTGGCCACTTCATGCTCACCTCATGTAAATGAAGTGGTAGCCCACAATCAGTCTGATTGGTTGCAGAAAGCAGCCAACCAGAGGCTGAAATGAAGTTGCCAAGGTCACACTCCTGTGCAAACATCTCATTGGTTGCAAGAAGCAACCATCAGAGGCTAGTGTGAAGTTACAAAGTTATACATTGCATGCAAATGAAGGCTCACCACAATCAATCTGATCGGTTGTGGACAGCAACCATTCAGAGGCTGGAGTGAAGTTACAAAGCTGCAAAGGAAGATTCCACCTGCAATCAGTCTGATTTGCTGGGGACAGCCAATTTCTCATCTGCCACGCAGAAAAAAATGGGGTTCGCAAAGGGAGTAGCCCCTGGTCCTTTTGTTACTTAGGTGTGAAAAGTGAGAGTTTTCCTTTCAATTCAGTTCTATGAAGTTGGTGTGAAACAGCCTTTGGTTCCCTGCATCTACACCCAAATCTCCTGTCTCAAAATCAGGTTTCCCTTTTGTAATTTTGGCATTTATAATAACTTATTATACACATTTGTCTCTAGAGGTCTTCTTGAACACACATGGCCTTGAAATAACACTTTCTAAACATTAATAGCTATTGATAAGCAAAGAAAATAAAATAAAATAGAATTAATCAAATTTATCTGCTTTTTAAGCATTTAGATTCTGAACTTAGACTTGTATTTATTTCTAAAATGTTTGAATGGAATGAAAAAAATATTTACCAGATACTTAGGCAGTGGAAATTCAGTATTTGCCACAATATCAGTTGAATGATCCAAAAAAAGTTAAATGATTCTTAATTTACTTAAATTAAGAGAGCAACAGTTTTAAAAACATTGAGGGCTAATTACAACTAAATAAATTAAAATATATGCACATCAAAATATACATGTATGGGTACTTTATTTTCAGCAACCAACTGAGAAATTCCTGTTTAGGCAAGATTCTACCCACTCAGAAGTTTGGTTGATAAGCTATCTTCATGAAATACATAATAATAACTCTGTGTGTGTGTGTGTGTGTGTGTGTGTGTGTGTGTGTGTGTGTAGAGAGAGAGAGAGAGAGAGAGAGAAAGGCTGCTGGTTTTGAAAGTGGAATGATGATAGTTCTACTATTTCAAGTATCAATAGTCTTATAAGGTAAAAATAGTGACAGTCTAATCAGATCTAACCAAAAATTTAACCAAAAAAAAAATTTTCAAGCTCTCTTTTTGAAACAACGCTTTACATAATATACTTACATTCATTACTAATCTCACTCAAGAATACAGGTAATGATACTCTAAAGCCAGTGAGCGAAATATGCAAGTAATATCTAAGTCGCGGTTAAGCTTCCTTCTTTCCTTTGACATGAGGTACTCTGAGACTTGTACATTTTTTCACTTATTCACCTTTTAAGTAATACAGTTTAATTTCAACGTATTAAAATCAGTCACAAAAATGCTCTTCCAAAGCATTTACAAAAGCTTCTGCTTACTAGTGTTTTAGTCATAATTTCAATTTGCTAACTTCCTTTGCAATACGTACTTTCGTTTCAATGTTTTCTCTTAAATCACCACCTCTTTCATGATAAATTGTTGTGATAAAAAAAAGTGCTTCCTCTGGTGGGACGATGTAACTATTCATTTCGCTAATGTACTTCACATCTGTCATTTGCAGTCCCTAAATACTTTGTCACAGCACGAAATAGAAACCTTACAGAGTAGGTCTATGAAGTATGTTTTCATTTTAAGTCACTATCTATGATGTAATTTGGAACAGTGGAATGATTAGATCAGTCTTTTCTTTTCTTCTGTCAGTACCAGAGACAAAGCATGTTAACTATAGAAATGTCAACTTTCATATTCCCTGATAAACTGAGCACTATTTCCAGGATTTATTCTAAACTCAGGCTTTGAGGGTGGGGACTGACCCTTATGTGCCTGCTCATACACAGTTAAGTAATTATTTGTGGTTGATAAGGACTACCTATTTTCTATTGACTTGAAGAAATTGTATTTGCAGTAGGTTTAAAAGAAAAAGCTGCCAGAGGAAATTTGGGTGGAACCCTGTCAATTCAGTTAATTTAAGACCCAGAGTTACTATATAAAGGAAGGAAGCAGATACCAACTCTTAAAAAAGACATCTACATTATCCAGAATAGTGCTCAAAAATATTATGCATTCAAATATATTTTAATAAGTGAATGTTGAGTAATGAATGACATAAAATATTTTTTACTAAATACAACTTTACCATAATATTAAAATATATTTGGCAGGAAAAATCCAAAAGGGATCCCTCTGTTAGGAGATTGCATTCTCTTTTATTCTTTCTTTTCTTTTATCAAATGATGCAGCCAAAGAGAGAGATCTGAATAAGACATAACGCAAGTGTAGAAACAAAAGTCCAGGAAATCATCTTAATTATATGTATTTATTTGTACAGTCTTTCTCTGTCACCAAGGCTGGAGTGCAGTGGTGTGGTCATAGCTCACTGCAGCCTCGAACTCCTGGGCTCAAGGGATCTTCCCATCTCAGATGCCCAAGTAGCTAGAACTAGAAGTGCATGCCGCCATGCCCAGACAATTTTGTAATTTTATTTTTTGTAGAGATGGGGTGTTGCTTTGTTGCCTAGGATGGTCTTAAACTCCAAGCAACCCTCTCACTTTGGCCTCCCATAGCACTTGGATTAG
This sequence comes from Homo sapiens, assembly GCF_000001405.40. Taxonomy (NCBI): domain Eukaryota; kingdom Metazoa; phylum Chordata; class Mammalia; order Primates; family Hominidae; genus Homo; species Homo sapiens. Next base: position 79,041,881 of record NC_000001.11, read on the forward strand.
GGACGTGAGTCACCATGCCTGGCCATCTTAATTGTTTCCAATAAATCATACATTTAAACTACTTAACCTAGCAAATATTTAAATAAATTAAGAGAAAAATATTTTCTAAATTACTTAAGGCCAATCATAAAGAAATTACAATATATGTGAATGGAAATTAACACAAAGAAGTATTTTTGTTTTCAGCATCTAAATGAGAAATTCCTGTTTAGGTAGAATTGTCAGAAGTTTGACTGAAAAACCATCTTCATAAAAGTACACACGAATAACCTAGTATTGTGTGTGTGTGTGTGCATATATATATATATATATATATATATACATACACACATGAGTGTGTGTGTATGTGTGTGTGTGTAGACAGCTCATTTTGAAAGTGGGATGCTAATACTTCTGCTATTTCCAGCATGAGTCATTTAGAGGTAAAAACAGTGACTCATCAGATTTAACAAAAATTTAGCCAAAAACCTAAACTTTCAAGATCCCTTTTTGAAACAAGATTTTTACATAATATGCTATCATTACTTATTAATGTCACTCAAGAATAAAGATAATGATGTTCTAAAGCCATCTCAATAAGGAAGCCGTAAAATATTGTTCATTGTATCTTTATTTCATCTTTTAAAATCTGCTTTTGTTTATGTTTATGTTGTATTTAAGAGAGATTAATCCTGTATGGGATTATATATAAATATATGTATATTTGGTACTAAAAATGAAATGGATATATCAGTCTAATAATAGAATTCTGGAGGTAACTGATACTGAACTAACTGTAGAAGATTGATAGAGCTTCAGAACTTAAGAGGAGCTTGTGAAGAGATAAAAAGAAGCCTCAAAAACGTCCTGAAATTCATATGGATGGAATGGGCAAACATTACGCTAAGTGAAATAAGCCAAATACAGGAAGTCAAATACCACATATTTTCACTTATATGTGGAACCTAAAACAATAGAAGTCACAGAACCAAAAAGTAGGATGGTAGTTACTAGCAACTGGGCTGTGGGGGAATGGGAGGATTACAGTCAAAGGGTACAAAGCCTCAGTAAGGAGGGATATGTTTTATTTTTTTTTAGGTGAATTGCACAGCTTGGTGAATATAGCTGATAATTGAGTCCTTTATGTTTCAATGTTGCTGAGAGTAAATTTCTAATGTGTTCGTCAACAAATGTTAAATATTTGAAGTTAATTAGCTTAATTTACTCTTTCCATGTTGTATTAAAAAAGCGGAACACCACTTCTATAATTATATGCAACTGTAATTTGTGTATAATAAAAATAAAAATTAGAAAATCTAAGTGCATGTGCTGACCTGGATGTTTCTAAAGAGAGCCTTCAGAGCTGTCATGACATTATAAAAAATAGTGACTCATTTTAGCTTAAAAAGAGGCATATTATTCAATACCTTGCAGATTTATACTGAAAAATATTTAAACATATGAGAAACAAATATTTGGTATCTGTTAAGATATTTGAATAAAATAAATTGGATTTACTGTAAAATAAATAAGGCTTCAGAAAATGATATAGGTTGCAAAAATATATAATTGTGTCAATTGACTGAAATGCATCAAATAGCAGGTGTGACAACTGATAGCTAAAATGATATTTAACAGAAATTCGTATGATAGAATTTCATTTTTTCTTTCCCATTTCGTCATCAAAAATACACGATAGATAGAATAAAATGAAAACAGATGAAATGAATTTCCGCATGGGTTATGCAAAGTTGCATCTCCTCAGTGAAATCTTAGGAAGTCCCGAATTCATTCCTGTGATTATGACTGGAATGTGCAGAATCTGTGAATTACTTCTTCATTCTGCCAACTGACAAACTGCTCCAAGTGATGGAACACAAGGCAAAGGGAGGCAAGTTTGTTGATTAAGGCATCAGGAATTTTTTCCTTGCTCTCTGCTCTGCACCCCCTCCCCTCCTCATTTCCCTTTCTTTTTCTTTCTCCCTCCTTCTCTCCCTCCCTTTCTTCTTTTCAGTTCACTTCATGGTTTTAAAAGTTCCAGTTCCCTCAAAAACTATTATTCTGACATTTTATTTTCACAAATCTTGTCAAACATAGGTGTTAAAATGCAGTACATATGTTCACCCTGTTCTGAATTTAGTTTCCTAAAATAAGGAATAGAGTCCAGAGTAAGTTTAAAGTTGCACTAGAAAGTTTATTTATTTGTTAGCATTTGTTATCAACTCTTTCCTCAGTCTGTATGCTAATAGTCTTGTGACAGTTATACATTATTTGATGTCACCCAATGACAAAAGGAAAATTTACAACTCGTTATTAACTTTCTACATTGAATTTATTAAAAGAGGTACATAACTTTTATTGTGTCTTAATTTGTGGTAGTCTTTCAGCTACCTGAAGTTTATTTAAATGTATTATTTTTCACCAGGAAATCAGTAGTAGAACAGTTTCAAGAGGTAGCATTAAAATGTCTTTGACATATAAATGGTACAGTCTGTATTGCTGTACTTCAAATTTCATGAACTGTATCAAAGCTGGTAACATATGACATGAACATTCAGAAATACAGCTACAGATCATTTTCCTAAAATGTTTATTTTACATATCTTAACGTAGCTCATGAATGTTTATTTTGAATCAAAGAAACGTTATTTTATCTAAAAACAATTGCTACTAATTGTATGAGTACATTTTTATTAAGGGAATTCATGGCTTTAAAATAAAATGTGAATGTGACTAAACTAGATTCTTGCCAACTCTAGAAGTTTTACGGATATAATATGATTTATTTACTCACGTTTAAATCCAGAGAAAAAAACACTAATACTTTTAAATGTCATATAATAATTATATGGTTTTTTTTTAGATGTGCTATTTGAAATATAAGTAGAACTTGCTAAGGAGAAGTGCCGAATATCTAAAAACTTCAGTGAATAATTATTTTAACACCATTTGTTAAAAATATTTAATGAAAACTAAATACGTTTAATTTTCTTGCTTTTATATATTAATAAGTGAAATAAAGCACTTTAATCTCTGTATTTTAATCTTTTAACTCATGGAAAATTTTATTTTTAATATAAATAAACATGCTCTATGATCAGTGACTTTTTTCATGTGTCAGAAAGATGTTTTAAGTGAAACGGGAAAAGTTTGCTTGTCCCCCTACAGGGTTTGAGGCAGGGTGTGTGGCTCGCTTCTTCAGTGCTACGCTGCTCAGACCTCTAGGGGAGCATACAGATGGTCAGGCTGTGCGGCTCCGACCCCATGGCACTGTCTAGGGTTGAGTGTTTACAGCTCCTGAACCCCCAGTGGGCATGTATTACTGGGCGCTCTCTTAGTCTGCCATCTATAGGCAGCTTGTGTTAACCAGCTCAATTAGACCCTCTACCTTGTCACAAGAACAGAGGGCTTTCTGTATCCTGGGTTCTTGCCTTGGTGTATGGGAAGAATCAGATCACATACATGTGGGCTTGGAGAATGAGTCCAAAGTTTCATTGAGTGGGAGTAGCTCTCCGACGATAGGGGAGCCAGAAGGGAGATGGTTTTCCCTCAGAGTTGAGTCATTTGGCAGCCCCAGCTTTCCTCTGACTGCCCCGGCCAAACTCCGCCTCATGCCGGCCTTCGAAGGCCTGCCAGTGTACCCTCGTCTGTTAGTGTGCTTTTCTGCCAGCGTGCTCCCATTGACGTCCTCTCGACGTCCAGCCTCTTGTGTCTTCTGCCAAACTGTTTCTCTGTCTCTGCCAGCTGCCTCTGTCTCTGCCTTGGTAGGGTCTCGGGATTTTATAGGCCCAGGATGGGGACGTGGTGGGCCAGGGTGGTCTTGGGAAATGCAACATTTAGGCGAAATGGCAGGACTGCCTGTCCTCACCTAGGTCCGTGGGGGTGGAGCCCTAGCCAGGGACCACGCCCTGCTACACCCAGCGCTTCCCTTCCCTCCTTCTGTATCATTTAAAGGGACCATGCTCTTCCATTTCCAGCACTCCCGTATCATAAGGAATTCTGAAATTCTTTTTTTCTCTTGAAATTAAAAAATAATCTGGACTTCAGTATCAATTGAACACCTTATGGTTTTATTCTTGACGCTTATAACCTTAATTGGCATTAGTGGTTTTTTCTGTAAAATGGGATAGTAATGTCTGTTCTACCATTCTCACACCACAGCTTTTTAGGGGGAGGTGGAGATGTTGAAGACAATTTGAGCTAATGGCTATAAAATAATGTTTGACTCATAAAAGTACAATTTGCTATCAGTATTGTTATGTTATTTGTGATTTATAAAACAACATTGATTTTTTATTTTGAAAATAAATATGAAAATGTATAGCTAAATAGAAAATTGGGGGATCTATAATCCAATCCATATATTTCACAGACCAACAGAAACCAAATGAAGGATGTATGAAGTGATTAGAACCCCAAATGGATTACCTACTTCAGCATACACTCCACTTACCATTATGCATTGGTTTGTGTGCCAATTCATTACTTTATTTTTGCCAACAGATTTTCATTAAGATTCAAATCTATCAGTTTGAATGTTCTTAGCATAAAGAAAAAACTAAATATTTAAGGTGAAGAATATCCCAATTACCCTGATTTGATCTTTATATATTACATGAATATATCTAATTATCACATGTACTCCAAAAATATGTACATGTATTATGTATCAATAAAAAGGTTAAATTATCTGATAAATCTATATATTTTACTTGGTTTATGCAGGGTGGATTAACTACCAAAGACTGCATTAAAGTTGGATGAAAATGTAATCTGGTTAAATTGGCCCAAAATATTAATCACTACCATTAGCACAGTAATCCATTATATTAGTATAAAGCTTTGTGTGACAGTGCAACTTTCACATAAATCTTTAGTCAATCTTGGCAACAATAGTACAAGATAGAAATTATCATTGCCTTTTACAGAGTGTTAAGGCTTTGCCCAAAATCATTCAGCAGGCAAAATGTTTTTTATATATATATTAAATCTACTGATCCCCAACAACATGATAAAATTGAAGCTCTGTTAGTTCAGCAGTCAGTTAATTTAAAATGTTGTTTTAAAATATTGGTATATTAATTTACAGGTACATTGTAATCTAATTAAAAAAGACTCATTTCTACCCAAAATTGGTAGTGTCTTAATTTAGATGTCTAACTCAATTAATTCAGGGTCTATCTTAACTGTCTAACAGTTTCCTAGAATTGTTTCTCAATTTCTACCTATTATCAGTTCCAGCATTCATGTTAGACCCCTAAGTCAGCCTTATGAGTGGATCATAGGGAAAATATTGGCACAGGCACGACAATATAGGCACAAAAATATTATTTGAGGCCCCACTGTGACTTAAATTTTGGAAATAGCTGGGGGATTTGACTCTTTTTGTTTTTATTAAATGTAATAAAAATATCATCCTGTAAAATAGCCTGGATAGATTTTTCTAATGTTGCATTTGAATGATATTTTATAAAGTAATGGCTTCAGAGCAAATTGAGTAGTGTTAGGAGAATTCTATTGGCTGTTTTTGTGATTTATTAGCACACAAAAAAATTCTGCTGGTCATTTTAAGGTACATACCATTGTGATTTTTTTGCTACCAGAAATAATTTTGGCTCTGTAATAAGAGATATACAGTTGTTCTTCTCTATCCTTGGGGAAATAAGTCAAACAAATGACAGGTATGACACTAAATAAATATTCACAGCATTTGAAACATAAATGATTTATTTTTGAGTAGCAATTGAGTTATGTTGTCAAAAGAAATGTTATTTTGCAATGATGAATTCTTAATCTTTAATTCTGTTGTAAATCCCATCCTTTTCAACCTGAATCCTAACTTACAAAGATTTTTGAATGTAAATAAAAAATCTCTAAATGTTTTACACTACTTTTTATAGCTGTGAATTTTTGTGCATAAGTTGTTACTAGTGTTTAAAATGGTGGTGGACAATAACTTTTTCTTTTTTGTTGCATAGTGAAGTAAAGATAAGATCATTTGTTATGATAAAACCCTAGCCATGTAACAAAATGATATGATATAATATTTAATTGTTTTGCTCTACTGTGAGTATGTTTTAGTGTAGTGTATATAATTGCTAATTCTTTACAAATATAAAAACAGAAACAAATGAATAATATCTTAATAAAAACTGCCCTTTTAATAATTTTTACATGCATTTGATCACTAATCGTTTCCTTAAAAATATTTAAGATAGCAGATACTTTTGAAACTGTTGAGATATAACTTTATGAGCAACTATTTCATGTAAATCTATTGGAACAACCAGATATATTCATAATAATAACTGTAGTTTGCTTTGATTTTCATAGTGCATACAGTAAAACAAAATATATTTTATGATTTCCCCAAGTTACATTGTGCCATTTTGTTTGGTTTTGTTTTGTTTTCAAAATACTCAGCTTCCTATTAGCTATTGAAAGATGGGAGAGAAAACATTTTTAGAATAGTGTAAAATTTAGATGTTCTTTATTAAAAGACACTGCCTTTGCTCACAGTTTCTTTGTTTCAAAATAAATGAAGAATATATTTTGGTAAAGATGAAACACAATCTTTTCAGGAGCAAGAGCCTGCTGCATATGGCAATATTTTAAATGGGAAACTCTCTGGTTGTGGGGAGATGTATCCAAAAAGGAACCACAGATTGAATTTGAAAGTGTTTTTCAGATACAGTTGAGGATATTTTCAGAAAAAAAAAATAATTCTTACATTTCTGAGACAGTGTTGTTATTGATTCTTTGGGAAAGCTATCATCCCAATTCTACATGAAACTAAACTGGTCAATATTCCTGTAAAACACACATGCACATGTTTTTTAAAAAACTCTTTTTAAATACTGAGCGTAAAACAAAGACATGTTAGGGAAAAAACATTAGTGGTTATACAAAAACTCATTATATCTTGTCTGAAATAAAGTTTAGAAAAATAACTATCTGAGGAGTTTCAGTAACTGAGAAGTTCAGCAACACGATGGGCTATGTTGACTATTTTGAAAAACTCATAGAACAAGGGACAGATGGTGTAATTGACTATATTATTATAACTTATCCTGATATACTAGAGTATGCTTATGTATGTATTATTGGGGCCTCACAGCACTGTGGAAACAAAGCAGGAAATTATTTTGCCTTTTTCAGATGAGGAAACTTTAAACATTTGCCTCAGGGTAAGGGTTGAGGTAGAACTTAAACACCCACGTGTTTTTATTTTTCTTCTCATAGAACACTCACTCATACACACTGTCCAACCTCTTTTTTTACTTTCAATTATTTTTTAATGGAGAATGAGCATGTGAAGTGGCTCCAAGTCCAGCTGACCCTCAGTTCACTGAGTATACGTGTGCTTGACCTCAAAGTCCTCACCTGTAAAAGAGAGGATTGAATTCCATCTTCTTTTGTTACTGCTCACTCCACCATCTAAGACATGAGGATGATTTTTTTTTTTTTTTTTTTTGAAACAGAGTCTCCCTCTGTTGCCCAGGCTGGAGCGCAGTGACACGATCTTGGTTCACTGCAAGCTCCGCCTCCTGGGTTAACGCCATTCTCCTGCCTCAGCCTCCCAAGTAGCTGGGACTACAGGCGCCCGCCACCATGCCCAGCTAATTTTTTGTTAGTGGAGACAGGGTTTCACTGTGTTAGCCAGGATGGTCTCGATATCCTGACCTCGTGATTCATCCGCCTCGGCCTTCCAAAATGCTAGGATTACAGGTGTGAGCCACCATGCGCGGCCAAGGATGATTTTCAAACTAGAAACAGAGTACATGATCAAGGGAAATTATAGACTCAAACAAAGAAGAGATTCTAAGATATGGTAAAGGGCTTTATATAAGTTAGGGAATACTTGATAATTGGACTGCTTCAAGACTCAAAAATCATGCAGCTGTGCAATCATGACTGCCAACGTGTGGAGAGCAAGTATAAATTCTTTGCCAGCAAGGCATGTTAAGTCAACATTTAAAAAATTATTACAATGTTAGACTGGTAGATAAGTTAGATTACTTTAGATGTGTATGTTACTATGGAATGACAATATTTTTGTGTTCAAGATGTAGAAGTCAATGCAGGCTAGATAATAATCAGGTTAGGTGGGATTTTAGGAGAATAACTATTTCAAAAGAGTGTTGACTGATAGGTAAAATTAACCTGGCACGTGGACTGTAATGATTGGCCATTGGGTACTACAATTAACTATTTCTTGGAATATATTTCCATCTATTACTTAGAGATCTGGTTCAATATTGCCATTTTGTCTTCCCAAAATTCAGTCTTCTATTAGGTTTTCTGTTTATTAAACAAATATATTTTTAATGTTGATATGTATAATTCTAAACATCCTGTTCAGTTGGTTTTGTTATTGAAGCAGTATGTGCTACCTAAATCTTTGCCTCCTTTTTGACTTAATCTCAGAAGACAGAGTTAGAACCTTGAGACCTGTGCTTACTGTTACTAAATGTTTCTATGCTGTAAATGTGTTGTCACTCATGAGGACTTTAATTTGGCAATAAATTTATCACTCCGCATAAGAGTAAACAAAATGTGCTCTATTTGTTTGAGTGTAATTACATTTTTCTTCCTATAAAATACATTTTTCCCCACTTTTTCCAGTAAATAATATTATTTTATTTTAGTAAACTTTCTAATCTGGTAGTTATATTTTACATATTTTAATTAATGACTGAAGACTTAAAATTTGGACATAGACTTTAAGAAGAGATGAGTTATGTTAAGATAATTCTAAGGTCTATCCAAACTCTTAGACTTCTAAGATGTAGCCAAACTCATATTTCTAAGATGTATCCAAACCCTTAGAAGTCTAAGAGTTTTCAACGAAACCAAGAATTTCACTCTGAAAATATTATGCCTGGCATTGCAAACTTTTCTTACAATGCTGACATATATTTCTTTTAGAGATGTTTGTATGAATGTTCTACTAACATACACTATGTTAGAGGGAAAGTCAACAGCTATATTAGTAATGCTAAACTCACATTGATGTTCCATTTCCTATACTACTTTGCTATTTGCAGCACAGAATCAAAACTACATAATGCATAGTAAGGAAAGACAAGTAAAATATTTTAAAACAAATAACAACTGAAAAAACTCAGTAAAACTTTTGCTACCCAATGATTTAAATTTAATGTCAACATTGTCGCTGTTGATTAAATTTGAATCCCTAACTAAACTATATGTTGTTTCTGAAATGTTTTTAATGTGCAAAAGTATACAGGTACCAATTCATTATTACTTCATCTTAGATTACTAGATTTCAAATACACTCTATTTTACGTAGTGTTGATATTTTTTCAAACAAGGACTAGATATCCATCTGCTATTGCAAAATGGTGATCAATCAACAAAGTACCTCAATGTTAGTCTATTTTATATTACCATATCTTTTGCTGTATGAGCTTCTATTTTTGGTGGCTGATCCAAATTAATATGGTTCCTCTACCCAGTGGCATTTATTTTGGTTATAAGATTAGAAATGTAAATTTGCAATAAAAGAAGAAAATAGAAAGCTGGTTTTAATGAATATTTTACACAAGACTAATTAACAGAATCCCCTGCAGGAATTTGGAAGTAATAAGAAATTGACTGAAGATAAATTAAAAATTAATAAAGGAGTCTCCAAACAACTTTGTTTATGAACATTTAACAGTTGCTTTCTTAGTTATAAATATTTCAAGCTGTTTTGTTATTCAGTATGTATTATTCTTGTAGTGTTCATAATTTTAGAGGTGATTAGACAAAAAGAGAGTAACACACAAAACAAAATGTCTTTAAAATGTTAAAAACCCACCTTGGGAAAACTTGCTAATGTGAAAATAATGGCTTAATATTCATGTTTTTTGTCTACCAGTATATGCAAAACAGGTTCTTATATCCATATAAGGATCAAAAGCCCTTAAAAGGAGCTAAAGGAAACTCAGCAGTTTGATTTCTGTGAACAATGTGAATAGTTTTAGAGGAGGCTTCTGAGCAGAAGATAATGCTGGTCTTTGTCAAACATTTTGAAAATTGGTTTAAATGATACAAATTCACTCTTGCATGTAAATTGGTGAGAACATCACCCCAAAAGGATACTCTTAAAACATCTTTCTTCAAGCACATTAGGTCTTAATTTATTCAGGTACCTGAACATTTATGGGCAATTTCCCTCAATGTTTGCAAACAAAAGGCATAAGTTGAAGAACTTTAGCTGCAGTTTGTCAAGAAAAAAATTTTAACTTCAATTTCTACTCAAAGTTAAAATGGAAGAATCAAACAATTTGAATGACATTTATTCTCTGTACTTATCATGTCTGAATAAAAACACCACCAAACAACTTTCAATTATTCTCTGCACATAGTAAGTGAAATGCATTTGGCAAATGTGCTACATAAAAATAACTTAAAATGTAATTTTCAAATACATAGAAAGTATTAATTTTATTCATGGGGACATATATTTTGTATATTTGAACTAATATCTACAAATAATAACAGTTACAAATATTTAGTAATAAGAAGCAGCTCTTAAAGTTACCTCAAGAGTATACCATACATTTCTTGTAATATTAAAATCTCTTAATATTTAAAACTCAGCAGATGTTTCAGAAATGTTTCATAGGGAAATAATAAACATAAGAGTGCTGTAATACTGAAAGAATTTCAAAAGAAAATGAAAGTTAGATTCTCAAAGTTAGATATGTCAATATTCTTTAATCTTCTCCCAAATCTGAAATGCTGTAATAAGAAACTTTTAATGTTCTTAACATACTATATACCTTTTAACAAGAAAGAAATATTTCCCATGTAACCTACAAATTTTATAACCAAATTTAATTGTACTTGTTCTGATATAAACTGTCCTCATTACTATTTCAGTTCTACTATCAATCTGTCTGCAAGATAAATATTCCACTGTCCTTCAAAAGATCCTCCATAGCTTAAAAAGAGTCCACTATATATTGGTGATAAGAATCAGAATCACTAATGCCTCATGAATTTCTTACTTTAATTTGGATTTTCTATAGTACAGTGAATTTTTTTCTGAAAGATAAAGAAACAAAAAGACTTAAGTCAGCATGACATTGTAATTCAGGTGAATAGACTGCATGCTATTAGAAAAAAGGAAATGGAAATATTCAAAGAACAGAAAGAGAAACCAAGAGAAAGAGAAAGTGATACGAGAGAGGGAGGGGAAGAGGAAGGAATACGAGCCTTCAACTAACAGTAGTTAGATGTTATGTGTTACATGCAAAGTACATTGGAAATAATTCTTTAAGACTACATAATAATTCTTTGCTTAGTCTTTCTTATCTTTTAGCCACAGCAGAGCGTAGCATTAGGAGACATTGTGCTTTCCCTGGTTACCATCTCCTCTACCTCCACCCTACTCGTCCTCCTCCCCCTCCTCCCCACTCTCTCTTTCTTTTTCTCTCACTCTCTCTCCCTCCCTCTTTTTTCTCTCCCTCATTCTTCTTTTCTATTCTCTTGCATATTTCTTGAATCCAGAGAAATATAATTTGCAAATAAAACTCTAGAAAAATTTGTATTTTGGAACTAGCAAGTGATAATTATAGACTCTGTATTCTTAGTAATATTGCCATTCTAAATTCTTCTCAGCCTTTTAACAAATGCAAAGACATTTTATTGTATTTTTTGCTTTTGTCATATGCAAGAAAAAAAATCAGCTTTTTTTTAAACTATCAGCAAATCATGCATAAAATTTCTATCAGCACAGAGTAAAATTTACCTTCAAGAATCTAAATGGCTGCAATGAGCCATTTGATACCAAAACTGAGTTAAGATATTCATTTTGATTTTTAAAAGTAAACATATAAAAATATCCTTACCTGCTAACTATTAGCTATACTATCAGGCATTCCTATTTCATTATTTATGGAGACGTTTTTAATATTGAAATAAACTTCTTAGTCTTCATTAGTAGGTACATAATGTAATCTAAAGTAGAAAAACTCAAAACTCTGTAACTGCAACTTTATTTTTCATTGCTATCATTTCCATCTTATTCCATCCTAGGTGATTCTTTTTTTTTTTTTTAGATGTTTTAGGACTTTAATGTTCTTCACATATTCAACATAAAATACTGACAATAGATAAACAATAGGGGAAAGACTTTTGAGCAAAGTATCACTCTCATCGTCAAACATTACAAAGAAAACAGTCAGGAGAACAAAGGATAAGGTAATTTAACAGAAATGTTTAGTTTAATGGCATAATTGAAAAACAACCAACCAATCAACTTTCTCTTCTACCTATGGAAAGAACGGTAAAAATGAATCAAGAACTTCGAGATGTTTTTCATAAAACAGCTTAAAAAGAGGAAGAGGAAGACTGGGGAGGGGGTGCAACTGTTGCTAATGGAATGCTATAATGCACAAGGTCAAGGATTTAATAAATTCTAAAAGTGTCTACATGTATCAATGATAACCGTATTATTAGAAATATAAAAGTATAGAAATATAAAGTATATGGTATTAAAAACAGACCTTGCTAATATAAACATATATAAAGTATGACACTTCTCTTGTAATAACAGTATAATGATCAATCTTCAGTTTGCCCTTTGCCTGGTACTCTTAAACCACTCCTCCAGTGGTCAATGTTGACCTTGAATCAACAGCCTCTGAACACAGGAGACCCCACAGATGTTTAGATTCAGCACCTAGAGGGCCCCACCTACCCTCTATGCTGTGTGTTCCCATGACTCTAGAAATAATTAATTGCAACTTGCAGTATGAAGTCCACAGGCAAGTTGGAAATCTAACTAGAAAAAGTAGCAGCAAAGGCTAAACAAGCGGGAATTTGTTAGAAAAGCAATGAGAAGATTTCTTAAAATGCTTCCAGTTCAAGTCAGAATTAAGGTGAACATTAGTTCCCACCAGCTTTACAGAGCTGTAGATGTTTTGCTGTTGTTCTTTCAAAAAAGAAGAATCTACAATAAACATGTTCATTTGAGGAAAATACTGTGTTTGTTAACCTTTTGTAGCCATACCCAAGTTACTTTAAACTTTGTATGTTGTTCAAGAACAGAGTATATCCTGGTTAGGATGTGTTCATAGCTGATGCATCTCCAAAAAATTTTTCATGAAGGCGGCCAGCTTCTGAACATCTTCAATAGTGACAGCATTATACAGAGAGGCCCGGATGCCTCCCACAGACCTATACCCTTTCAAGGGCAACATATTAAGTTCAAGAGCTTTATCAAAAAGTCTTTTTTCTAAAGCATCATCTCCTTTGGCATTGCAAATGCAGAATGGAATATTCATCTTGCTTCTATTTTGGGGCTCCACCGGACATACGTAGAATCCTTGAGAATTATCAATAATCTCATAAATCATTTGAGATTTGATGGAGCTAAGCTTCTCCATGGCCGCGGCACCTCCATTGTTTTTAATCCACTCCAGGACCAAGCCCATGACATAGATGCTGAAACATGGAGGCGTGTTGTACAAGGAGCTGTTTCCAGCCTGTACCTCGTATTCTAGGACCAAGGGGCACTCTCAGAGGGCAAACCCCAGCAGGTCATCACAGACAATCACCACAGTGACCCCAGCAAAGCCAACATTCGTCTGGGCACCAGCAAAAATCACACCAAACTTGGACATCCACTGGCTTGGACAGGAAGTTTGAGGACATGTCACAAACCAGTACTGCTCCCTTGACATAGGGTATAAAGTCAAACTCCACACCATGCACCACCTCATTTGCGCAATAATACACATAGGAGGCATCCGGGTTGAGGTTCCAGGTGCTTGGATCTGGAATTTTTGTATAACTCCCAAGTTTAGGGTGAATGATATTTATAGTCCCAAACTTCTTGGCTTCTTCTGCGGCCTTAGCTGACCAAGTCCCTGTCACCACATAGTCCGCACATCTTCCTGCTTTCAAGCCAATCAGGTTTAAGGGGACAGCACCGAACTGGCCAGACCCACTTCCTTGCACAAAAATCACCTTACAGCTGTCTGGAACGGCTAGCAATTCCCGCACAAGATTCTCTGTATCGTTAATAATCTTGGCAAAATCTGATGGCCTGTGACTCATTTCAAGAACACTAATGCCAACTCCTTTGTAGTCTAATAATTCCTTTTTTATCTCTAACAACACTGAGTGAGGCAGCTTGGCGGGACCAGGCCCGAAGTTGACCACGTGCCTCGGGGCGTCCATGGTGCGGCAGCGAGGGCGGCGAGTCAGCTAAGGAGGACCGAACACGTGAACGGCTAGTGTTCCTGGCTAGGTAATTCTTACAGATAAGTGGGTAAGTGAGTGGAGGACACAAACTTACAATGATTTGCCTGGTCTTCTAAGCAGACAACAAAAAAACAAATACATAAATTTAATTAAAATCAAATTTATTTTAAAACATAAAGGTAACTCTGATTCTACACTGACCCAAGGTCTATTGAATACTCTGTAGCTGTAAACTCTTCATCCTTTGAAGTCTTTCAGGGAATCAGTATAACAGTGGGCAAGTTGTTTCTTTCTGGGTATTTAAATGACATCCCATTGTCCTGAAAAAAAAAGTAATGATCCTTTTCAGTTGCCCATCTATTAGACACCCTAGTAAAAAAAAATGGTCTAAACACAAGCTTCGGGGTCAGGCAACTTGGAGTGTAGTTTTAACACCATTTTGAAGCCAATTTTGTGATTCTGAGTAATGTGGCAAAGTGATAATTTTCAGTTCCTCAATTCTTTCACTGGGAAAGAAATTGCTGGATAATTTAAAATAATATGTGTCAAAAATTATTACTTCATAATGGGAATATAATAATAATTACATCTATTTTCTATGTTTTTTTCTGTAAAGAAATTATCAGAGAATTCATGGTGAACCAATGGAAATTACTCTGTCTTTATTCTGTGGAACTTTTCTTTCCAAGTTCTTTCCAAGTGAGAATCAGTAAATAGCACTGGGTGCTCAATTTAAGTCTCGAGCAAACTGAAAAACAGTCAAACAGCTAACAGATTTCCTTTGCATTCAAAAATATAAAAGTCCAGAGAATTCAAAAGTAACTGTTTCCTAGACGGCCTACTTTCAGAAAGCATGAAATTTAATGTTAGGTGCTAGAAATCCAGAAACTTTCTCATTCTACCTATAGGTGATTATATTATAAAAGTGCTACTAACATCTGCAGTTACACTTGTTTAACATAGCGTCTTTCTAAAAGTACTTGAACAACAAGCAACATTTGAGAAAGCCACCACACAAATTCTACCCACAATGAAGGAACTCATACAGAGACTTGGCCCTCTGAAAGCAACCAGAAATAAAGCCAAAAGATCATATGCAACATACACCACAGTCATACCCTCAAGGAAAAAAAGAATGAAGCATTTAAAAGTCTCGTACAAATGAAAGCGAATTCAAAAATAGGAAGCAACAGCTCTTTCACATGAGAATGAATCAGTGCAAGATCTTCTGCAGTACAAAAACAGTGTTTTGACACCTTCAAAGATCACAGTAGCTCTCTAGCAATAGATCCTAACAGGAATGAAAATTCTGAAATAACAAAGAATTCAAAATATGGGTTCCAAGGAAACTCAATGAGATACAAGAGAAAGTTGAAAACCAATACAACGAAACCAGAAAAATTATTCAAGATATGAGAGATGAGAAGGCTATATATTATTGTAGCAATTTTTTATATACGTATAGATATATACATATATATCTCCATATATATATATCAAATGGCTATAAATATGTATGGATATGTATGTATATATAATAGAACTGTGGAGTTTAAAAATTCACTAAAAGAATTGCAAAACACAACAGAAAGTTTTAAAAATAGACCAGAACAATCAGAAGAAAAAAAATCAGAACTTGGAAACTGGTCT
This sequence comes from Homo sapiens, assembly GCF_000001405.40. Classification (NCBI taxonomy): domain Eukaryota; kingdom Metazoa; phylum Chordata; class Mammalia; order Primates; family Hominidae; genus Homo; species Homo sapiens. The sequence goes on from NC_000001.11 coordinate 79,057,730, forward strand.
TGCAAATTAACACAGTCAGACAAAAAAAAAAAAGTTGTTTGAAAGAACAAAGCCTTTGAGAAATATGGGATTACGTAAAGCAACCAAATCTATGACTTATAGGCATTCCTGGGAGAGAAGCAAAAAAAAAAAACTTGGAAAACATATTTGAGAGAATAATTTTGTATTTTTTTAAACGTAGTTACAAAGGTAAAAATCTGGATACAGGAAATTTAGAGAACGCCTGCTAGATACTACACAAGATGAACATCACCAAAGCATATTCATAGTCATCAAGCTATCCAAGGTCAATGCTAAAGAAAAGATCTTAAAGACAGCTATGGAAGGGCAAATCTCCTATAAAGGAAATTCCGTCAGACTAACGGAAGACTTCTCAGGAGAAACCTTACAAACCAGTTTATATGCTGCTAAACTGAGCTTTATAAATGAAGGAGAAACAGCCTTTCCCAGACAAGGTAGAGGACAGATGCTAGAAAAGTTTGTCACCACTAGACTGAATCTGCAAGAAATATTCAAAGGAGTTCTAAACATGAAAACAAATGAATAATACTTGCTACCATAAAAGAACATGTAAGTACAAATTTACCAACCCTACAAAGCAATTAAATAAGTTACACTACAAAGCAACTAGCTAAAAACATGATGACACAAACAAAGCCTTACATATCACATATAAATATTAATTTTGAGCATAACTGACCTAAATTCTCCACTTATATAGATTGGCAAATTAAATTTAAAAAATGAGACTGAACCATCTGCTGCCTTCAGGAGATGTACCTAACATGTACTGAGACCCAGAGGTTCAAAGTAAAGGGGTGGAGAAAGACAGATCACATAAATGAAAAACCAAAAAGAGCAGAGGTTGCCATTCTTGTAATAGATAAAACAGATTTTAAACCCACAACAATAAACAGAACAACACACATACACACACACACACACACACACACACACAGAGAAGGTTGTTATATAATGACATAGGGTTCACTTCAAAAGGAAGATTAAATGAAAATCACACAAGTACGTGGAAACTAAACAACTTGCTCCTGAATGACTTTGAGGGAATCAAAGAAATTAAGGTAGAAATCAAAAAATTATTTCAAATGAACGTAGAGACACAACCTATAAAATCCTCTGGCATACAGCAAAAGCAGTGTTAAGACGATAGCTCATAGTGCCAAATGCCTGAACAAAAAGATAGAAATATCTTAAATTAATAAACTAATGCCTCACCTCAAGGAACTAGAAAAACAAGAGCAAACAAAATACTAAGCTAGCAGAAGAAAAGAAATAAAAAAGATCAGAGTGGAACTAAATTAAATTGATTTTTAAAATTATAAAACAATCAATGAAGGCTCAATGAAACAAGAAAGTTTGTTCTTTGAAAGGTTAAACAAAATAAATAGAATGCTAGTTAGATAAACCAAGAAAAAAAGAGAAAGAATCAAATAAGTACAACAGAAATGACAAATGTGTCATGACAACTGATATTGCAAAAATATAAAAGATTCTCAGAGACTGCTACGAACACCTCTATGTATACAAACTAGAAAACCTAGAGGAAATTGATAAATAACCGAAATGTAACTCCCAAGATTGAATCAGGAAGAAATTGAAATCTTGTGCAACCAATAATGATTTATAAAATCAAATCAATAATGAAAAATCTACCAACCAAAAAAAGTTGAGGATCAGATGGATTCTCAGCTGAATTCTATCAGACATGTAAAGAAGAGCCCGTACCAATCTTACTGAAAGTATTCCAGGAAATCAGGGCGTAGGGATTCCTTTCTAACTAACTCACTCTACAAAACTAGTATCACTCTGTTACCAAAGTTTGGCAAGGATACAACAAAAAAGAAAACCACAGGTTAATATCCCTGAGGAATATAGACACAAATATCCTCAAGAAAATACTAGCAAACTGAATCCAAGAGCATAGAAAAAAAGACAATTCATCATGATCAAGTAGGTTTCATCCCAGGAATATAGGAGTGGTTCAACATCTGCAAGTCAATAAATGTGATTCACCACATAAACAAAGTTAAAAACAAATCATATCATCTCAACAGATGCAGGAAAAATATTTGATAAAATACAGTAGCCTTTCATAATAAAAACTCTCAAGTAACTAGGCATTGAAGGAACATACTGTAAGACAAACCTGCAGCCAACATCAAACTGAATGGTGAAACACTGAAAGCATTCCTCAGAACTCGAGCAACCCAAGGATGTCTACTCTCACCACTCCTATTTAACCATAATACTGGAAGTCTTAGCCAGAAAAATCTGATAATGAAAAGAAAGAAAAGACACCCAAATTGAAAAAGAGGAAATAAAAGTGTCTCTGTTTGCTGACAACATGATCTTATATCTAAAAGACCCTAAAGTTTTCTTCAAAAGACTCCTTGACCTGACAAATAACTTTAGTAAAGTTTCAGGATACAAAATTAATGTATGAAAATCAGGTGCCTTTCTGTATACCAACAATACTCAAGGTAAAAACCAAATCAAGAACTCAATCCTATTTGCAATAGCCACACACACAAAACATAAAATATCTAGGAATACATTTTACCAAGGAAGTGAAAACTGCTACAAGGAGAACTACAAAACTCTGATTGAATAAACTGTAGATGTCACAAACAAATAGAAAATTATCCCATATTCATGGATTGGAAGAAGTAATATTCTTAAAATGAGTTTAGAGCCCAAAACAATGTACAGATACAATGCAATTCCTATCAAATTACCAATGTCATTTTCACACAATTATAAAAACAATTCTAAAATTCATATGAAACCAAAGGAAAGCCTGAGTAGCAAAGCAATCCTGAGCAAAAAGAACAAAGCCAGAGGCAACACATTACTTGACTTCAAACTATATGACAAGGCTATAGTAACAAAAACAGCATGGTATTGGTACAAAAGAAGACACATAGATCAATGGAACAGAATAGAGAACTCAGACATAAAGCCACACACCTACAACCAACCGACTGTTGGCAAAGTTTACAAAAGTAAACAATGGGAAATGGGTACCCTATTCAATAAATGACATTGGGAAAGCTGGCCAGCCATATGAAGTCAAACTGGACCCCTACCTCTCACCATATACAAATATTAACTCAAGATAGACTGAAGATGTAAATATAAGACCTGAAACTATGCAATCGCTAGAAGAAAATCTAAGAAGAACTCTTCTAGATATTGGCCTAGGCAAAGAATTTATGACTAAGGCTAAAGGCAAATGCAACAATAAAAATGGACAAATGAGATCTAATTAAACTAAACTTTTGCACATAAAAAAATAGTCAACAGAATAAACAGACAACCAACAGAATGGGAGAAAAAAATGCAAACTGTGCATCTGACAAAGACTAATATCCAGAATCTATGAGGGACTTAAACAAATCAACAAAAACCAAACAAATAATCCAATTAAGAAGTGGGCAAAGGACATGAACAGACACTTCTCAAAACAAGACATACAAGAGGACAACAAACATATTAAAAAGTGCTCAACATAACTAATCATCAGAGAAATGCAGATTAAAATCACAATGAGATACTACTTCAGACCAGTCAGATTGGCTATTATTAAAAAGTCAAAAAATAACAGATATTGGCAAGGATGTGGAGAAAAGGGAAGACTTTATACACTGTTGGTGGGAATGTAAATTAGTTTAACCTTTATAGAAAACAGTATGGAGATTTCACAGAGAAATAAATATAGAACTACCATTCAATCCAGCAATCCCACTCTTCAGTATCTATCCAAAAGAAAAGAAATTGTTTCATCAAAGAGACACCTGCACTTGTATGTTTATCACAACACAATTCACAATAGCAAAATCATGGAATCAACCTAAGGGTCTATTACTGGTTGACTGGAAAAAGAAATGTGGTATATGTATACCATGGAATACTATGCAGGCATAAAAATGAATGAAATTCTGTCTTTTGCAGCAACATATATGGAGCTTGAGACCATCATCCTAAATGAAATAAGTCAGAAACAGAAAATGAAATACCGCATGTTCTCACTTTACAAGTGAAAACTAAACAATGGGTACACATAGACATAGAGATGGAAATAATAGATACTGGGAATCCCAAAAGGGGGTACAGTGGTAGGGGGTAAGGGTTGAAAAACTACTTATTGGGTACTATGTTTACTATTTGGTTAATGGGTCCATGGGAAGCCCAAACCTCAGCATTGCTCAATGTATTAATATAAAAAACCTGCACATGTACTCTCCAAAACAAAATAAAAAAAATAAGTAGCCTAGTCCTCTTAATTTAAATAAAGTAGACTTCCATTTAAAAATAATATAATTTAGATATTAAATTATGAGATTTTATAAGGCCAACAATAATAATCCTTCATTTATTTATAACATTATAGAGCTTGATTAAACTAATGACTTTCTTAGTCTTCAAAATATTTATATATGTGATATCTGGCTGAGTTTTAGCATATGGTATTTGTTCCAAAATGTGTTGCTTCCTGTATTTCTGTTGTTTGTGGAGGAGGTTGAAAGAGGGAGTGGAAGTGTGTAGAGAAATTAGCTTTATGGAAAATAATATGCTCAACTTTGAGTATTAGAATTCTTTCAAATCAAAACAAGGTAACGACTGATTAAATATTTGCAATCCCTGATTCTATGCAACAATTCTTTAGAATAATAAATAATCATTATACAATTACCTGAAAATAGTGAAGACATTTTCTGTGAGAATTTAAGACAGGAAATATTTGTTTAATAAGTTTGGAATACATAAGGCAAAGTTGCTATTTAAACTTCAATTAACCCAATATTCCTTTACTATGAAAATATTTATGAAGCATACACTATGTGCCAGAGAGTTTTCTAGATTCTAGAAGTGCAGAAGCAAACAAGAGAGATAGAGCTTCTTATCTTCTAGAGCTCACCTTTTAGTAAGAGGACATTAAATACATAAACATATAAACAAATAAAATAACAAGGTAAGGTCAGCAAATACAACAAAAGATGTTTATGAAAATTTGACAAATGCCGCTGGATGCCGTTCATTATCCATCTTTTATTGCTAATAGAATATCGCTATTGTTCAATGTGGCAAAAAATCTATTTTTAAGTGTTCCTTGTGGCAATGTGATGCAGTTCTGAACAATAAAATGTGAGAAGACTTGAAATTTCTGGGAGAGTTTCATTCCTTTCCCAGGTATATCCCCTTCTTTGCTGTTTATTTCCTCCTGGCTAGAATGTGGAAGTGATGTCTGATGCTGGGTGGCCACGCTGTGATTATGTGAAAAAGACAGGACAAGGGCCTTGAGTTAACTTTACCAATTGCCTACATGTCTCTTAGGTGTGAGAAAAATAAAATTATAACTCATTTAAGCTACTCTTTGATGAACATTTCAGACAAATGGGAATCCTACTTTCTACAGAAAATGATGGTGTATGACTAATACACTGGATAGTTAGGAAAGGCTTTACTGGTACTTTAACATGACAAGAAGTGATCATGACCATAAAAAAATACTATACAGGAAAAAACGTTCTAGACAGACAGAAGACCTAATATGAGAATATGTGTCAGTCATGAGCTTTACCAATGTGACAAAATTGTCATGAATTATGGAGAAGTTACCTGTGATTATAAGTAGGTGGAATGAAGACACTGCCCAGTAAGTGTATCAATGGTGACTGGGTTTTTGAAGGAGGTAGGTAAAGCAATAATATGGAGAGGGATAGTAAATGAGAAAAAGAATGGTTACTTCTTTGGAGAAATATTGCTTAGTGTGGGTAACCAGGCCACACACCAGATGAGCTCAGCCTGCAGAACAACTTAGTTTGCTAGTCCTTACCACCAGCATATATAATACATATTACCAATTACTCTATTACTAACGAATTGGTAATGCATTTCTTTTAATGTGAGTAGGCAGGGTTTATTTGACATATTCTCTTTCTTCAAATACAGAGTCAAATATATTATTTTCGATTTGAAAGTGCCCTATATACTAGAAATTTTATTTTCAAAAGGACATTATATTTATGTTCATTTATGAATACAAACAAATCTAATATCTAAAATCTGAAGAGATATCTGAAATTTCAAAAAACATGAAAATCTAAATGAAAATGAAAAATCCACACATAAGCGAAACTCTATTGATACTGCTTTGTTAATGATTGATGTAATATTATATTTAAGCTATTACAAATAGTACTTATGTGACTGTACTCTTATTGAACTGAGCCTATATTATTTAGATTCAAAGAAACATAAATCCAGAGAAAAACAGATATTAGGTACTGGAAACTATACACAATTTGATGTTAAGAAATTCTAGATTTGGTGATGTGGAAGAAATAGCATGCTAATGCTAAGAGAGTTCGTGAATTACAGCAGTTAGCATGATCTTAATGAAATTTTGGAGCAATAAAACAAAATATAATCATTGATGATACCTAAATTTTAAAACAACAAATCCTTGTATGTTTTCCATTAACATTTGCAAAACTTCCAACTTTGTTGAATACCAAGCCTTATAATTATTCATTTACCATAATTATTAGTTGGTGTTTAAGTTAAAATAAATGTTTCTTGCAAATTTAAATGTTACATCTTATTGTTTTACTTTTAATATGAAAAGCTACTCTTTTTCCCTTCCCTGAAGTAAAGCTTTACCAAGTGATTTATACCCTTTACCAAGTGATTTATAAATGCAATTTGTTTTTAAATAAAAGTACAGTGGTACAATGATAGAAATTCTTATAACTCAAAGCTTTTAATTAAAACCTAAAATATGTGTGTCACTGTTAAAGAAATTAAAATTTCCAGAACCTTAATAAGAAAAACTATTTGTTAAGGCATCCTGAAGCAATTTTGCTTTTGAAGATAAGGCCTGAAACAACTTCGTTCTGGCATTTGTTTTTACTCTACTTAGCATTTCAGTCCTGTGTTCACAGAAATTTTCTCTATTCTTTATGTGGGAAAGCACCAAGGGTGTATCTGCCTGGAAGGGAGGACCTTTTGCAAAAGCCTAGGAAATTAAAAAGGGGTCAAATAAAAATGTGGAGAGTTGCCCCCAAAACCTCCAAAAAGACATGAGTTTTTTTTTTTTTTAAAGAATCCTAAGGGATTTATCTTTGGAGGGGAGGTTCGTGCATTAAACTGTAGTATAAGAGGAACAATTTTGTATAGACCCATCAGGGGTGTAGTGTAACCAGCAGTACTAATAGGGGCTTTATACTGCAATAACCTGCCAGGAGTGGATGAACAGCTGGGGAACAGTTTGATTCACAGATGCTTCCATGTTGGTAGAAGGCCTGTGGTGAAATTCGTGGATGTTTTACAAATAAGAAATCCATTGCCATTCCAGCTGTGCATCCTCAAGCTGCAGATGATAGTGAAGGGTTCTTATGCCAAATGCCCCCAGAACTAAAACAAAATTGCTTGTATAACACACAGCCCTTACTGGATAATAACTCTTCATCTGTCAATATTTAAAGCCAAGGTTTTTATTTAACGTCACAGTGAACGGGTAAACTACCTGAGATGCAAACAGGAACTCTTCATTACACTTACATGTCTGCCTTACCTTCCTTATTTAAGAGGTTCGGTTCTGAATATACATATGCAGAGATCCCCACTAATCTTTAGACTCATCCCTTGGCAATTTGTTAAGGCTTAGGGTCTCAGTATAGATTTTCTTCACTGAATAAAGCTGTGTGGAAATGTAGCCTATGCCAGTTAAATGAGTCCAGCAAGACATAACCAAGCAGTACAAAACCATTATGATGTTGAGGATCTGGTGGTAATTCTGAATTATTCATTAACCTTCATCCTTTTACCCAGCTGATATGTGGTGTCATCTGATGTTACTTTTATTGCAAACTGGAAAATTGTTCCAAAATATAATTCTTGCTTTTTTTTTTTTTTTTTTTTTCTGACAGAGTCTCCCTCTGTCACCTGGCTGGAGTGCAGTGGCACGATCTTGGCTCACTGCAACCCCCACCTCCCAGATTCAGGGGATTCTCCTGCCTTAGCCTCCTGAGTAGCTGGGACTACAGGTGTGTGCCACCACACCCAGCTAATTTTGTACTTTTAGTAGAGACGGGGTTTCACCATGTTGGCCAGGATGATCTCGATCTCTTGACCTCGTGATCTGCCCACCTCGGCCTCCCAAAGTGCTGGGGTTACAGGTGAGAGCTACTGCGCCTGGCCAAGTCTTGTTTTGTTTTTTTTTTATTTTTTGTTTTTTGTTTTTAAAAAATCCTTTCCCAATATATATGCTAAATTTTAAAAAATATGCTCAGTCCATAATATAAAATTTGAGGATATTTCATTTTTATTTATCATTTAGAAATTTTGGATGATTTATTTCATATGAAGCCATAAAAAGGGAGGAGTTGGGGATCCAGGCACTTTGAGTTGAGTCAGTGACTTGTAAAGCAAAAGTCATCTGAAAAAATACTGTTAATTTTAAAAGGCTTCTAAACCATGCTAATGTTTGTGTTCGTTCTCATAAACAATATCAAAATGTGACAAAATTATATAAGTGATGATAGTTTTTAAAGGTAATGAATAATTTTAATATCATATTCTATTGTTTTCTACAATTGAACTTCAAAAAATTTATTTCTTTTTGAAACATTTATTACTTTAGCTTTACCCATGTGCTCACAGGTGCATTAATCAATGGATGTTATTACTTGTATCCAGGAAGGCAATTCGATCATTTAAGGGTGACTTATTTTACTTGGGGTTAATTTGTAGGCAGCTCTAGAGCTCTGGGACTTTAAGAAGTTAGTGAAGGCAACAAAATGAAAATTAACAGCTTTTGCCCTGTATGGCTGTATTACATGGCAGAAATTGTACAAAGTAGCAATAAAAGTTCACTGCAAACCCTAAGATGTACTTAGCTTGGGGAGTGTCATTGGGCTTTGGGTGTCATTGTCACCACTGGATGCTATTTTTATGTAAACAGATCACAGGAAGTCTGTAAATCCAAAACACATGAGTAAAATAATCTTCCTGGAAGCAATTGTGCATGATTGCCTATGTCTAAAAAAAAATGATGCACTGTCATTTTAAAATGCAAGTGCTTTGCAGACTCCAAGATATGTGTGTGTGTGTGCATACATGCACATATATATATACATATGCACACAGAAATTTGTGTCTCACTTCCACTCTGAGAAGTAAATGGTTCACCTTCCAATATTCCCATTTTACGGTTGAGGATATTGTGGTCCACAAAGGTTAAATGGCTATTAAGTGATGAGGTTAGTTAGTTCTGGCCAAATCACAGATGGACCCACGAGAGTTAGTTGTACCTTCTCAGGCATAGAAATAGGAAGCCTAACATAGAGGCCATTGAAATTATTCAAAATACTATAGGATTAATCAGAACTTGAGCAAAGACTGTACTGCAGAAGACAAAAAATAGTGAAGAGTTAGAAATGACAAGCTTTGGTGGCTGATTGCGTAGGAGTGAAATTAAAAATGAAAATGACTCAGAATTTTAAGTCATTGACACTGATAATAAGAATGTACAATTTTCTAAGGTTAACTTTTACTTTGAGATGAATTCAGACTTAAAAAAGAGTTGTAAAAATAGTATAGAGTTTCCATATTCCCTTTACCTAGGTTGCACTAATTAACATCTTACATAACTATAGTGCAATTATCAAAACTAAGAAGTCTATATTGTTGTGATACTATTAAATTTGTAGTGAACTATAAATTTCACACAGAAATGTAGATGAGATATTCAATTTCACTTATTTGAATAAGTAGCTTTCCATCTCCCATTTTATTTTTGCTTGCATTATAAAACACCATTGCTCACTAGACTCTAGACATGAGACATCGGTGTAGCCAAGATAGAATAACAGAGACCAGGTTTATTCTCCTGCCAGAAAAATCAAAAACTGAGCAAAAACCCAATACTTTTCAAGACACTAGATATCAAGCAATGGAGGGAGTTGAGTTGATCTTTCACCATAATTTTCCACTAACAAAAACCAATTCCGGTATTGCCGGATGCAACAGGCATTATCTTCTTGAAAGACTCCATCATCTTCCTGGAAGAGTCCATTATCTTCCTGGAAGATCCAGGTAGTATAGCTATTCCTTCACCACATAGGGTAAGTTGGGTTTTGTGGTCAGCTGAGCCTCCACTCTTCTCCCAACAGTAATGAGACTTAATAAATAAAGCAGTGCAAATATGGCTGGTCACCACTAGAATTCATTCCTCCCTCTCCTTGTCAGTTAGGGGATGAATCCTCACCTCAACTGGTATCAATAAAACTAAACAAAGAGTTAAAAATAAGTGCTAGTATACACTTTAATTTCTTCCATCTGTAACTTCACTGATATCCAGTTGGGAACAGAATTTCCATATCCACTAGGCAGAAGTGAAAATAAATAAAGTGGTTTGAAGTAGTGTTAGCCACACTCCTGTTTCTGATCATAGCTCCCTAACCCCCCAGCATGGCTTGCAGGTTTAACGGATTGCTGAGCATCCATCCGGGAGGTAGAAAGTAGTGGTGGAGACAAGTCTAGTTAACACTCTGTTTCTACCAGGTCCTTTTTCTTTGGTGCCAGTGGGACCAAATAGGCAACCGAGCTTCTGCCTACCCTGGACCTGCAGCAAAAAACCAATATGGGTTTGAGCTCTTCACTTCCATCCTCTACGAAGCAACACAGCCCTTGGCAAGCTAATCTTACACCTCCACTCAGAAGTGAGGTGTTGTGATACTTTTAAAGGGAAGGTGTCAGCAGGTCAAGAGGGAAGCTAACTGCCATCCCAGCTGTCTGCAGTGAAGCAGCATGAGTCAGTACCTCGTGATTGCAGGAAAGTGTCTATAAGGTATAGTAGGAAGGTGAATATACATACCTAAATGTCCTTAGAGTTACAGCTAAATAGAGGATTGCTTTCTAAAAAAATGGTTAAATAGGATTGAGAGTATCATGTTATAATACCATATAGTTTCAGAGTGCAATTTAAAAATCACTTCTAATTCTAAGAACCAGAAAAATCAAAATGTGAGAAAATATAAGCAATGGATACCAACATCGAGATGAATCATATGTCGATATTATCTGACAAGATATTGAAACAGCTTCAATAAGCAATTACAAATTCTTTTTATACAAGTGAAAAAATTAAAAATCTGCAAATAAATAGGAGTTAGAAGTAGATGGAAATTATAGAACTAAAAGATCTAATAACTGAAAAAAATTACAGAATGGGCTCAATATTAAGATGGAGATGAAAGGACATAAAAACCAATGAACTGGAGAATAGATGAAGATAATTTACCCAAAGTGAAAAACGAAAAAAAAGTACTTAACCAAAAAAAAGTACTTAAAATGATCTGTTGGACAATCCCAAATGGCTAAATTGATATCACTGCAGTCACAAAAGGAGAGAAGAGTACTTGAAGTATTTGAAAAGTATTTTAAGAAATAATGGCTGAAAACTTCCCTAATTTGCACAGAGGCATAAACCTGCAGTTTCAAAAAGCTGAGCCAATTCCAAATAGGATAAACAAACACATCCATGTAAATACGCGTCATAATTAAATTCCTGAAAACTAAGAGCAAAAAAACATATTGAAAGCAGCCATAGGGAAACAACACAGTAATTATGTACTAACACTGATTTGAATTACAGCATATTTCTCATTCGAAATCATGGAAGACCAAAAGAAAGTAAAATATTTTATTAAACACTGAGAGAAGTGAACAATGACAGATTTTATATCCAGCAAAAATATCACTCAGAATTAATGGGAAATAAATACATTCTCAGACAAAGAAAAATTAACAGAATCCATTGCCAGCAAATTTATCCTTAACAAGTGGCTAAAGGAAGTTCTCTAAGCAGAAAACAAACAGAAACAGAAGAAAGCTCGAAACTTCTAAAACGGAAAAAGAATATCAGAATTCATAAAAATAAAGTAAATAATAGATGATCTTCCTTTTCATGAGTTTCTTAAATCATAATTGATGATTGAAGCAAAAATTACAATACCATTTGATGGATGCCCTATGTATGTGGAAGAAATACTTAAGACAACTCTTTTTTTAAAAAGTGGAGAGGGTAAAGAAACACAAATGGGACTAAGATTTCTATACTTTGCTCACTCAAAATGCTAAAACATTGATAAATAATAGAGTACAACAAATTATGTTTGTATATTGTAGTACCTAAAGCAACCACTAAAACAAACTACCTATAAAATGGCATAACAAGGTACTACAAATAAAACAAGATATAATCCTAGAAAATGTTCAGGCTTCCCACAGGGGTCTAAGAAAAAAGAAACAGAAGAACAAGAAACGAAAGAAGCACACAGAAAACAACAGATTGCCCGTAGATGTGACTTGAAAAAGGCAACGGAAGAGATCCTTGTGGTGACAGAATTGTTTTTCATCTTGACTGCATCAATGTCATTATTCTGGTTGTGATATTATTCTATCATTTTTCAAGATGTTACCATTGAGGAAAAATGGGCAAAGGGCACATGAGATCTCTATTATAGCTGCATGTGAATTTGTAGTTATTTCAAAGTAAAAAGTTCAATTAAAAATATACAACCACAGTGCGATACTACCACATCCCTATTAGATTGTTTAAAATGAAAGACTGATCCTACCAACTGCTGGCAATGATTTGGAGTAACTGGAATTCTCATACTGCTGATGAGAATGTAAAATTATGCACTTTGGAAGCAGTATGTTCATTTCCTAAAAATATTTACCCATACACCTGCCACATGATGTAGCCATTCCATACCTAGATGTTTGTCAAGATGTCAAAGCATGTACCCATCCAAACATTTGTTCAAGAATGTTCCAGAAGCTTTGTTTGTAATATCCAGAAACTCAGTACAATCTAGATATTTTTCAATAAGGGAAATGATAAACAAATTTTGGAATATTCATGCAATAGAATACTGCTCAGCACTAAATGATAATGAACTATAGATGAATGCAATTACATAAATTGGTCTCAAAATGATTAAACTGAGTGAATGAATACAGATAACAAAGAGTACATACTGTGTGATTCCATTTATATAAAACTTCAGAAAATGCAACATAATCTATACTGACAAAAAGCAGATTTGTGGTTGCTCAAGAGACTGGGGGGCAGAAGATAAGAGGGAGGGATTATCCACGGCCACTAAGAATCCCTGGTGGTGATGATATTGATGGAAATGTTCACTATCTTGATTGTGGTGATGGTTTCTCAGGGATACATTTATGTAATAACGTATTAGATTATAACTTTAAGAATGTTCAGTTTAATATTTGTTTCAAATTTACCTCAATAAGACAACTTAAAGCAAAAATATCCCTGTAAACCCCTTATTTTGGGTTACTTATGAAAGGCAAACAGATGACATACTATTATCTTCACTGTGCAGATTAGGAAATTGGATTACTGTGTTGTGCAGGGTAAAATTACATATTAACATTTCAAAGTCCACAAGAGATAATCCTCATTTAGGAAACTGGAACCCTTCCTCTTTCTCTCCTCTACACCACAACTTTCACACTCTGTGCTCAATACAATATATCTATTATATTTTTTTAAGAGACATCAATTTTCCACTGTTACCACTTGTCATGCGAAGTACTGGGTAGATTAAATCTAAAAATGTGCTCTGGACCTTTGAAATATTGGATCAAAATAAGCATATGACTTCAGTTTAAGAGCTACATTTTCTTTTCTGACAATTTAAAATATTATGTTACAATGGCTGAACATATAAAACAATTGTTAAATATTTAGAACTACTATGATTTCAAACATTTTGAGAGAGAATACTTATATTTACTTAGAGTCTTTCACATGCTAGGTTTATGCTGGGAACTTTATATATTGTATTTCATTTGACCAACATAGAAATCCGAAGTAGATATTGTTATTTACTATGAAATCTGGAAAGAGACAGATTAAGAAATTCAGTCAAGTTAATGAGGATACAGGGAGATTTCTCTTTTTAATTTTCAAGGGGGCTTTTAAAATCAGAATTTATCTATTCTGTCAATAGATTTCTGTCTTGTCAATAGTTTCCTGTGAATTCTGCATATACATAGACAGTCCACAGCATATATATATATATAAAATATCCAATTTAAATGATATCTGTGTAATCTTTGTAATGATATCTATGAATTTTCTTCATTTAAAAACATTTAATATCCAAACTTATTTAATCACTTATAATGTAGAAAATAAAATAATAGGTTTAATAGTAAATTACAGTGCTTATAAAGACATTGGAAAGACAGGTTAAAATAAAAAAGTCAGGTGTCTTCCTTTCATATTTCAAACATTTAACTTTATAAATCATAAAATTATAGAGGACAAATAGAAAATCATGTAGGTTGATGAAAGTATATCTCTCTAACGTCATCTCATCTAACACGAGGAGTGAGACAGAAAAGAAGAGGATACCAGTTCCTTGAAATCATCACATGATTTCTGTGAAAGAGTGAGAGGTCACGTTTGTTGTCGCTCACAGTCCACAGCTTACTTCTGTGGAGATTCCTTTGAGGTTCCCTTAATGCAGGAAAATGTTACCCAGGTTGGAATATTGTCTTTGTAGTTCTAAATAGCAGGAAGTAACTCAAATCATTTTTGAAGGTTTTAAAGCTTTTATCTCAAAACTCCACAATTTAGAGCTACAGAAAAAAAAAAAAAAAGAAAAAAAAGAAAAAAATAACTTTGGGAGCTGTTGTGTTTTTACAGTTCCCGTAGGCTTCATCATACCATTAGGAAGGTTTTATTACAAATGTTTCATTATGGAACCAAAACAAAACCACAACTCTCAGTTGGTTCTTGTGGTGTCTGGATTTTCTCTCAAATTGAAATTGGAATGAGAATGAAATATTGAATGCCATACAAAATGGCAAACAATGGAAAATTGTATTCTTTCTAAACCAATTTGTATTTTGAAATTTTTTCTAACCAAATCTGATGTCTCCATCTCTGTATTAGTTGACAATACAAATACAATATTAAAATTATATATCTGACTATGGGGCACTGTGGGAGGGCCAACCCTGAAGAATGGAGTAAGAGGTACGAGTGAGTAAAAGAAAGTTTCTTAAAGGAATAGACAGGCGATTCTTAAGGATTAATAGGCATTACCTACATTCCCAAAGGAGGGAAATGTACCCCAAACAAAAGAAGAAAAAAAGGCCAATGAAATTCAAGACATTGGTAAGATATTAGAAATGTGCAGCAGAATTAGAGATTGGAGTGAATGTGAGTGCTGGGGGAGGACAATAGAAAAAGTATGAGACAATATTTTGAAGACATTTAAATATTAATAGTTCATTGAAGGACTTTCAGCAGGAAATTAACTTGGCCAGCTGTGTTTTTAGAAAAAAACAAAGATATTTTTGAGGGGCACATTGGAAGCAAAGAGACCAGACAAGTTCTGAAAATATTTCAAGAAAGAGTGAGTGTTGTAACTAAAATCATGCAGATGGGGAGGAGGAAGAGTTTAAGAAGCAGAATGCATGTGACTTGATGACCCTGGATGAACAGGGGCAGAGAAAAAGGCAGTGTAGAACGATTTCCTAGGTGACTGAATAAATAGACAGATCATCATGGTGGAGATGAAGGCAAATTCTGAAGATTTGGGGAGAGGTTAAGGAGCTAATGTGTGGACATTTAGAATATGGTGTCTGTGTGCGCATAAGAACATGTCTGGTTGGTACTTGTATTAGTCAGAGTTCTCCAGAGAAAAAGAACCAAAGGAATATATAGAGAGACAGATAGATGAGAGGGTATTTATTAGAAGAATTGGCTTATGTGATTACGGAGGCTGAGAGGTCCCATGACAGAGTTGGGGATGCTGATAGTGTGGTTCATTTCAAATCCAAAAGCCTCAGAACTAGGGAAGCAGATGCTGTAACTCAGTCCAAGGCAGCACGCCTGAGAAACCTGGGGAATGGCTGCTGTGAGTCTTGAAGTCCAAAGGCCTGAGAGCCTAAAGTTGTGATGTCCAAGGTCAGGAAAAGGAGGGTGTCCCAGCTCCAGGAGAGAAAGGGAGCAAATTCACCTTTCTTCTGCCTTTTTGTTCTATGCCGGACCCCAGCTGGTTAGATAGTGCTCTCCCACATTGAGGGTGAATCTTCCCCGCTCAGTCCTTGACTCACACACCAATCTCCTCTGGAAATGTCCTCACAGACACACCTTAAAATAATGCTTCACTAGCTATCTAGATATTCCTTAATCCAGTCAAGTTGAACCTAAAGTTGACCATCACAGTACTGAATATAGGGCATGGTATGATAGGAAATGGGATAAAGTGGTGAAAATAAGAAAAACAAAATGGAATAGACATACTCTTACCCTTATGGGTTTTTCTATCTATGGGAAAAGAGTAAACAATTGTAGGAATTGGTTTTAATTAGTGCTATTGTTGCATGGAAGAGGCTGGAAGAATACGTAGTGATAGCTTCTAACAGGTAGATTTAACCTAGTTTGGAGCACAGGGTCTCTTTGCCATGAAAGTTATACTTAATTTGGCCCTGGAGTTGAGTGGAGGTTGGCAAGGTGATTATATGCAGCAGTGGAAGCACAGAAGTAGAAGAACTTTTAACGTATTTGCAAAATAAAGCTGGAGAAGCTAATCAATCTGACCTTAGAGAAAAGTGTACTACATTCTCTGAGCTATAAGATCTATAAATTTTGAGGGATTTTAAATAGAGAGTGACATGATATGGAGGACTAGAGCTCAGAAACATTAAGTCATGGGGATATTGGTAAGATTCAATTTTTAGAAAATATTTCCAAAAGATTAAGGCAAGAGTCTCTTTTTTATGTCAGAAAGTAATATGATGATCTAATTTGTCCTGTTATGTAATGCTATGAGATAATAACATATTTGAAGGGGACTATTAATAATAATATTAATATGAATATTAATAGCAGATATTAATAGTAATGACTTAATATTTATTAAATATTGCAAATCATTTTTGAATCGTTGTCCTGCTATTTAACTGTGACAAGTTAATTGTCTAAATTCTTTCACCTATTTAAGTTTGGCTGTTATTTTTACTTTCAAAGTGGGGATATTAACAGTAACTTTACTGTTAATATATGCTTGCTATGAAGTTACACACTATAAAAGATAAACGGTATTTATATTAGTGACTGCCACACAGGAAGTGCTCAGTAAATGTTACCTATTTTTAGTATTATTAATATACTCATCACCCTCATAGATGTTTACACATTAGACTATTACAATTTTATATCACCTTAATGTAAACTATTTTATTATACCACGTCTTAACTTGAAAGAAGCTAGGAAGCAGAATTGTAGGTATTGGTAAGAATATGGAGAGATATTAATCATTTTCCTCTTGTGCTTGACACAAGGCTTGGCATGTGTAGTCATACACAGCTCATGGTTTAAGTGAAATCCACAGCCAAAGATAAGCCAAGGAGAGCTTACTCATGGCAGGATTACAGCACGGAGACAAGATTATTGACTCCACATTGACACCTGGCTCTCTACAGCAGTGCCCTTAACATTTATTACTGGAAATACTCCTTATTGTTACTGGTAGATAGTATAAAAGGTATGGGTGGATTTCTACTTTAAGTCATAGGGAACAGAAAGGCTTAAGGAGAGGAATACACTAAGTATATCAATATAACCCATCAGCGGCCATATATATATATTTCATATTAATTTATACAAGAATCTCTCAAGGTAAAAATTATCATCTTTCGTAACTACTCCTGATGAATGAGTCTTAGAAAGGATTAAAGACTTCCCCAATATCTCACCACTTGTAATCACAAGACACCAGGTTGCAATCCAGTTTCTAAAGCCTCTTAGTGATGCACACATGTTCCAAGCCCCTTTCATTTCTGATTTTCACTGGTCCCCACCCTCTCTAGGCTCCTTTTCCATAATACATTATCATAAACTTAGTGCTATCTTGATTTCCACATGCTTTTTCTTGCTACCACTATCATAAGAGTATGTGTGTGTGTGTCTGTGTGTATTGGAGGGGGACACATTTTTACTAAATTTCAAAGATTTGCAGTTGTTTCAATAAATATATTAGAGTTATACCACTTTCAAAAGTTCCTCAGCCATTCCTCAACCAGAAACTTGTCACGAAGTTATCATTCACATTGATCCCAAATAGAATTGGGCTCCTTCCTCTTCTTTCTCAGTCTCACCTTCTAGTACCTCCCCTAACGCCAGTTTCCCAAATCCTTCTGACACTGGGGGATTCAGCCTTGGGTTTTTTCTTTTCTTTCCCCCAGAATATTGAAACCATTTCCACAATGTTTTAAAGTTTGATTCCCAAGAAAAATTTGTCTTTTCCTCTTTGAAATATATATATAAAGCATTTAACCAAATCTCTGACACAGAGTAAGAGCCTGATTCTCAGTGGCTTTAAAACTACAGGGAAAAAAAAACAACTTGAGGATATTGACCTCATTTAGGCGAAGGGGATACTCAGAGAATATGGTCAAAGAGTATGTATGTGATGATGGAGGCTATGCATAATTCCAATCTTTCCATCTCTATCTCAACCCTTTTTTTCTCCCATGTAAGAATATGTTAAAACGGTGATAATGACTGTGTTTAAGGGACAAGTTTCAAGTAGCTCTGGCTTATGTTTTAAAAAGTTAATGATGTGGAAAATTGAAGGTAGTGTTTTGTGCACATTTATGAGAGATTCTAAAGCCTGATACTTAAATACTGCTTTGAATTGTAGAGACAATTTTCACATCTTTTTCCATGTGTGAACATTGGTCATTATTTTCTTCAGTTCATGTTAATATTAAGTTTTAAAGGTGATAGAGAAAAGGAACAGGAGAATAGTCTGGCTTCTGGCTAAATGATCACTTCTCCACCTAATGTGGGTCCAGTGGGGATGGAGGGGAGTAGATTGTTGCCATTTTTAAATGAGATAATTTGTAGAAGTGCTTGACATCATCTTTATTTTAGAAAGAGTTTAACAGATGATATTTTGATTCCAATTTTGGAGTGGCTCCTTATTTAAAGAGTAGGGTTAATGCTGTGCTGAGTGTTCACATGGATGTATGAGAAAACTGCTGCTAAACAATAGATTAAAGGTTGGACTCAACATTTTACATTTTTAAAGGGTTGCCAAAGGGAAAGTCTATAAAGTAAGAGCATAACCCCTAAGAACAAAACAAATTTACAATACCTCTTCTAAATCTAGCAGTGCAACACAAGAAGAAAGTGGGGAGAAAGGAAAAGAGAAAGAAGGTAGGGAGAAATAAGTAGTTAGGAAAATCTTTTGAACAGAGTAGTTGAGGGGGCAGTCATCTTTCAGCTGAATCTTTGAACAACGGATAGAAATTGATAGGAAATGGACAACAGAGAAAACAATGATGTTTCAGCAGAAAAGAGTAATAAGAGTGGAGACATGGATACTGGAATTAACATGGATACTCAGGAGGCCAAATGGAGTCAGTATAAGAGAAATGTTAAATAAATGTTTGGATTCACATTTACTTTGTACTCTGTGCCATAAACAATATCTTTTTTTCTCCCCGCAACTCCATAGATAATGTTGAAATACTTCATGCCTTCTGAGATAGTTTTTAGAAGGAATTGTCCAAGAGGAACTAATTGTAGAATGACCTAACTAAATCTTCTAGTTTTCTTTTCTTCAATGGCCCTGCGTAGGTCATGAGTACTTGAGGATTCACTTTTTCTATAAATTCACTATAACCCAACCTTGCCACTTTCAATAGTTTCTTAACACTGACATTGTGGGATGATGACCACTTGTGGAATTCTGGTTGAGAGATAAAATGGCCTTCATAAGCACACTTCAGGTTAATCAGACTTAAGGATATTTAATGTTTCCCTTGATACTGTCTACCAAACAAAGTACATTTATATGCATTCTAGAATGTCTTTCTGTAGCTGAAATAACACCTACATAAAGGTTCTGCTATTAATGAAATATGTAAAAAATATCCCAGAAAATACTAACATTAAAGAGGTATAAAATATAGGCTTTTCTAGTACATCGACCTAGTATGTTCCTGTTACAAGTCTTCCTATTACTTAAACAGCTGAACTGGCAGCTTTAAGACCCTTTAAAAGTTAATAGTGCAATTTCAATGAGACTCTAAAGTCCATATGTGCTTTAATGGATGTTTTAATTACAGTATTTTATACCTGTTTCTATATGTGTCTAGAATTATATGTTTATAACCATCCATATAAGTTACATTATTATAAATTTTTATATTTAACTTTTTGTAACTGAAATAGCATTATGTTTCACTTTTGTTATTTTTCAGGATATCTGTAATGTTTTCAGTTGTACAATATACAATATTTTCACAGGTTTCAGTGCTCACAGAGTTGCCTCAAACTGTGAAAAAAGGAACTTGATAAATCTTTCCAAATAAGACGATCACTTCATTTCTTTCCTTCATGAACTTGTGCTTTCTTTGTAGTGTATTTTGGCTTGAAATAAATTTTTTAAAAAAACCACAGAAATAGATTTTAAAGATGTCCTGGCCATTTTATCTGGGTTTCTCAACAAATACTCATTCAGTATCAACTGCTTATATGCATACCTTATTGACTCTAACTTTAAAAGTTCTTTGATATTATGGATCAATAGTCTATATGTTTTTGAATTTTGTATTTTTACAGAGTTTTAAACAGAAAATATAGTATTAAAAGTTGAATGGTTTGGATTTGTGTCCCCACCCAAATCTCATGTTTAATTGTAATCCTCAGTGTTGGAGAAGGGGCCTGATAGGAGGTGATTGAATCAGCTATCATGAGACTAGCAGATTTCCCCCTTGCTAGTCTCATGATAATGAGTGAGTTCTCATGAGATCTGGTTGTTTAAAAGTGTGTAGCACGTCCCCCTTCTTTTTAATTCCTCTTTCTCTAGCCATGTAAGACATGCCTGCTTCCCCTTTGCCTTCCACCATGATTGTGAGTTTCTTGAGGCCTCCTTAGTCATGCTTCTTGTACAGCCTGTGGAACCACATGCCAATTAAAGCTCTTTTCTTTATAAATTACCCAGTCTCAGTTATTTCTTTATAGCAGTGTGAGAACAGACTGATACAAAAGTATATGGAAAATTTATAAGCAATACCTTGTTGCATTTCTTCCTCCCTCCTTTCCTCTTTTCCTTTATTACTCTTTCTTCTTTTATTTTATCCAGCCTCCATTCCTTTTCTTTCCTTCTTAGCTTAAAATAACAGTTAATAAAATTGACCCTTTATTCTTTAGATTTTGTTTGTTTATCTACATACATAGAGGTTAAATCAAGCTACTTAGTGGCCGAATATCTGATTCAATCTTCAGAAAATTTGAACCTTACTATCACCATATAATAATAGATAGAAGAATAGAGTATTAGTGTTAAGGCCTGTAAAATAAAATGTATATTTTAAAAAGATAGGCTCAGTCAATAAATTCTGATCAGGATTTTCATTATCAAAGATATTTAATAAGTAATGATCTGAAGTGAATATAATGATAGGCATTGTGCACTGGGAAAGCTCCAGCACAAAAACTTTTTCAAGTATTTTAACTACATATAAGTAAATACTCTAAGCACACTTTGTCAAATACTGCATTATGAAATTGTATGAAATATAAAATATGTATGAAATATAAAATATAGGGTAAAATATATCTTTTTAGTCACATATATCAAGGGCTAGAAAGAATCTCCATTTAGAGAGAAACCAGAAAGTGAGATGATGGAGATAATGGGGAGAATAGAACATGTTCATTAGATGTTGAAGGTAAATACTTGACATACTTTTGGAACCTGATTTGTAGAGTGTGAAACAGTAAAAACATAAAAATTTGTTTAAGTTATGCCAACTTGGAATCTGAAAGTCAAGATTTAAATCCTGTTATGACTGAAACCAGATCTGTATTTGGTTGAGTATATCATTCTCTAAGAGATTTTTTTTTTAAAAAAAGAACAACTCAAACTTATAGCAATAAAAATGATAATAGTTCTAATTCTTCAGAAAGCATCTGGCTCTGGGCTCTATTTCCTGAGAAGTTATGTAACTGTTGTATAATACATCAGTATGCCAAGGCAGAGAAGGCAGAGGAGAGTGCTGGAAAATGGAGAAGGT
Source organism: Homo sapiens (assembly GCF_000001405.40). Taxonomy (NCBI): domain Eukaryota; kingdom Metazoa; phylum Chordata; class Mammalia; order Primates; family Hominidae; genus Homo; species Homo sapiens. Next base: position 79,079,895 of record NC_000001.11, read on the forward strand.
GCTGATTTAAGCTTTATCAGCTTCTAAGGATTGTTTGGCCTGCTGTTCTGGTTCCTTCCTCAGGAAGCCAAGATTTGCATGGCTGCTTCTGGATGAGTCATCAGTTTGGGCTCACTAAGCTCAGCTGTGGCCTGGTAGGGAAGGATCCTATGTCAGGAAATCTGGGATATTTACTGACACTCATGCATGTCTGTAGCTAGTAAGCACAACTGATTTGAATCTACATGAAATGAGGCTGAGGTCAGGGGTTTGATCTCTGTTGGGCCAGTTGGCTTTTTTTGACATAGTGATCACAGACTGTATCTCACCCTGACCAGCCAAGTGTCTTGCACATATGAGCTACTCATGAGAGAATGGACAAGTTCCTATGTATGTACTAACCTCAAAAAAAATTCCTTCTCTTAGAAAAACAACTCAAGCATATTGTCGTCACTTATTAGCACCAACTTCATTTATTAGGTGAATTTGATTGTTAGAAAATTCAATGGATTTTTGAGATGGATTTCTGGTTTGCAATGAAATAAATATTCTTCAAATAATGTTGTTAATAATACTTTATTCACATAGACTCTCCTTTAAATTAAATAAAATTAGAGTATTAAAATGACAAAATATTAGCCTTCAAAATTATAGGTGACCATTAGGAATAGTTTAGACACCTTGCAGAATTCTAATGCTGGTGAAGTTCCATTACTGAAATATACTAAAAAATATATATTTATCTCAGGTGAGCTTATGTAGTGTATACATGTTGTGTAAATAATGCTTGTATTTTGCTTTGGGAAACCACCTCTTCCTCACTCTTAATCCATGTAGGATGACCTCACTTTTGAGACCTAGAAGTAACCTCAGTATTCATGCCTTGGTACTGAAATTTAACTAGTGACATTTTTGGTAACTATTGTACAAGAGAGATTTTCCTCTGCCTTGATGAATTAGGTAGGAAGATGAAAGTTGGGCACTGTTAGGGTCATTAGAAGGAAAGGACCTAACTGAAAATAAGGCTAACCTGGAGAAAAACAAGGGCATGGGATGCAGGTGGGGTTGGGTGGTGGTGGTAGACAAAAAACCAAAACAAAAAACAGAGTCTTCATGACATTTTTGATACAACCATATGTGAAGGTAAACTTTGGGACTTCAGAGATTTATAAAGTCAATAAATCCCACTTCCTTTCTGGGGGCTTTGAATCAATGTTATTGTATTTCTACAACTTGCAAATGTAAAATTCCTGGCTAATAGAAATAAGAAATTTTATTTACTCGAACACGTTTTTGAACACCTAATTTGAGCTTCTGACTTATCACTTAGCTATATTTTAATAGAATCTGATAGAATATTTTTCCATTATATATACATATGAAATGTAAATTTTCATATCATCTCTGATGTAACATATAAAATGAAGTGCCTTTTCAGAAAAAAATGACAAAATTTGCAGTCATTTAAATAGGACAAAAATGAACATCTGCAAGCAATGATAACATGCAGATTAATGTTTCTTCCTATTCTCACAACAATAGTAATGTCACATTATAGTTTCAAAGATCTAAAATCCTAATAAAGGCAAAAAGTGTTTTAAAATTAAAATGCAGAGTTGCCAAAAATATTTAAATAATGTGGCTGGAGTGCTGGATTTTTTTAAAAATATCCTATCTTGTAACATTTAATCTCATGTCAGCCAAGCTTAAATGAAGGCATTAAAGCTCAATTCAGTCAAGCACATGGGATGTTACATTTGTTGTAAACATATTACGTATCATAACTAGTACTTTCATATTCTATTGATTTTCACTATGTTGCATGACTAGATAGGTTATTTCATACAGATAGAGTTCACACTATGGAAAATGACATTTCTATTTTAAAAATAGATCATTTGATGCCCTTTGCCTATTGGTGTTTTACAGTCATGCCATATCAACATTATCTGTACATTATAATGAATCGATAATGTTGAAGGCATCAGAATGAAATATCAGAATGAATTTGAACATGAACAGGAAATAGTAGTATTTTTAGTGAGGCATTAACAACCAAAAAACTGTTAGGAAAGAGAAAGCTTCAATTCTAGTCTCTCTTTCCTTTTTAAACTGCATTTCTAAAATGTATCAGATTTATTATGAAAACTATAGAAAAAAAGCTTGAGAGATGAAATGCAGTACAAAAGGGTGAATGGCTAGAATAAAAGTCAGAATTGAGTACACCTTTGATATCACCTTTTACATTTTTATTCTTTCTTCAACCTCTCCTCCTATGTGTGAGAACTCTTAATGGAGAATAAAGTGATATCTGTTTTTTCTCTTTCTTCCATCTTTTATATTATGGCATTCTATCACATTCCCCTTCAAACTTTCCCTGTCAACCTGAATAGTTACTAATGCAGAAGGTTCTTTTATGTGGCTGCTGGTAGGAGGAGCGGTGTCATAATTCAGACGTTATGCTTTCCTTTGGGTCAGTGCACAACTTTCTTGCCTATCTAACAAACACATGACAACTCTACATCAGAAGGATCAAGATCAAACCCATACAACCTAAATGAATAGATTTCCTTTTTCTCTTACAAAAGAGGAAATACCACTTCCCCACCCCTTCCTCTGAAAATGCATGACCTGCTTCTGATGTCCTGGAATTTAGAAAGTTGGAAGGTGGAACAGATAGCTCATCTATCAGGCCATGGTGTTTTATGTACCTAAATTAACATGCTTCTTGACCTCCCTGATTACCCTTAAGAGAAGATTTAAATCCATTTCCTCAGGGCTCAAATCAGGTGAGTTTTGTCTAGAATAAGTCCCAAAGCCCCACTTGACAAAAAGGAAATTGTTCATACACAATATAAAGAAAAAACAAAACAAAAATCTTAAGAAACAGAACAAACTTTTGTCCAATTACTAAGGCAGAAATAGTGTGAATGTGCGTGTGAGGGTGTGTGTGTTAGTCTCGGCTCCTTTTTATCTTTTGATGGATAGATGATACTTGCCTAGGACAAATACTCATGCTGGTATTTCAAAAATATCTCCTCAATAACTACATATATTGACAACTACTTGGTTCATGTTGTTTAAACGGGGTAATCATTAGTTTAAACAAGAACTCTACTTATCATGTTGGGTTTTGCTTTTCCCTGCATAAACTGTGTTTCATGATCGGATGAGTATGACTGTAAGAATGACAGACCATTACTTCATGTTAAAAAGTCTTCTCACTCCTTCAAACGAAGTCATTTCAATCACAATAATAAAAACTAAACTACTTTAAAAGCAAGTTGATGAAAAAAAGGCAGATGTCTCTAACATACAGTTTGAAAAATTTAAACCAATTTGGAATTGGACAATCTGAAGTTGACTCCTAGTTTCCCATCTATAGGATGTTGAGATGTGTGAGGTTCTTCATTTCTAAAAAGGAGAAAATAAAACGATGTGTATTCAAGGAGGTAGAGTTGGTAAAACCCATGGCATGAATTAAATGCATACACAAAATGTTAGTTTTAATTCCAACCTAATTTGCAAATATTTTCAAGTTCTGCAGGCCAGATACAAAGTCTGGCAGTGGGTGATGGACAGGTGAGAAGTTGAATGCTGTTTTGACACAGTAGTAACTTTGCCTGCTCTTTCTTTTCTAAGTGAAGAGAAGAATTTGTTCTTTACCCTCTCCTCTCTCTACCTTTGTCCCTGCTTCGACCTCATTTATTCCATACTCAGCTCTATAAACTTATTTTCCAAATCAAGATTACAGTTTTCTCCAACTCTTTAAACCAACTCCATGAGTATCATATCAAATCTTGTCATCTGAAATACAGAAATAGGAACTCCCCGTTTTCTCTACCCAGAGTAGTTCCTCTTGACATCTATGTTTCTGTTAATGGCCATACCTTTCACACTATTCTCCCTGTTAGACAGTTATAAGAAGTGAGAGGAATGTGATGCAGCATTTTTTTTAATTTTAGATTTAGGGAATATGTGTACAGGTTTTTTACATGGGTATATTGCATAGCGCTGGGGTGATGAAGTATTTAAGAACAAGTTTTATGGAGTAAGGCTGCCCAGGTCTAACCCACTTTTGTCATTGGAATAACAGAGTATCTCAAAACTTAACTTCATATTGCTATTGAATGGATTAAATTCTCTGTGTGCAGTCCTTAGGGGAGTGCCTGTCACATAGTAATCACTGTAAAACGTAGTATATATTGCACTAAATATGTTTATCTGTCATTTTATAAGTACACACTAAATATTTGCACCAGGATGAAATTAGACTCTCCTATAACCTGTATCTCTACCTTTCTGTTCAAAATAGAATAATCATCTTAAAATATCTAATAATCTTCCTAACTAGATAGAAGCTTTTCTTCTTTTATTCCTAAAATATTTAATATTTCCTTTCTGAAATGTACTTTCGGCTTCATATTAATACTATGTGCATGTTATTCTTCTTCCAAAATTAACTGATCAGCTCTTAGGTTCAAGAAAGTGTTTCTTATGCATTTTTGAATCCTCTAAACAAAAGCTTATTCATTGCAAGGACTGAATTGTAAAACTACTTTGAATTGAATTCTCAATTCTAAATATTATTCTACAAAATATTGTTAGTGTTGTATAAAGTACTAATCACATTTCTAGGTTTTATTGAAGCGGTCCTTCTAGTTTCAAGTTTTCTGTTTCCCTGTAGGTTACTAGTGAAAAGAACACTCTGGTCTAATCACATCACTAAGTTTTGTTAACAATGTGTAGGTTTAGTGTCCTAATTCCTTTAGTTTTTCTATATAATTTATATAAAGAAAAACTATTTGGGGTTTTACTATGCGATTTTGTGGGAATACAACTTATCTGAGAACGTGTAGTAAATTGACACAATGAATTATTGAGGTAGGGTTCTAGGGCGTTCATGTGGAGGAGTTGATGAATTACCTAGCTGATCAATTTACAGCCTTTTTCCCTCCAGAATAAGACTACTTGATGACAACTGGTGACTTGAATTTATTAATTAAGAAATTTAAGTGCATATTTAAGGGAGAGATCCTAAGATGGCTGATGTTCTTTGCTTTGGTGTGACCTTTAGAACGTTCCTTTTTTTTTTTTTTTTAAGTTAGTACAAGATTGTTAGGTCAGAGAATTTAGGAATATTGCAACATGTACTTTGCATTCGGTATGACATTAAGAAGAATGGGAAAATGACCAACGAGGAAAAGACAGAAGAGAAAAACCACAATTTGACACAGAGAAAACTTTTCTGGGATTTGAACATAGGGCATAAGTACTAACAACTTTCATCAACACCCAAGCTTTCATTTAGGTTTGTAGATCATCGGAGACAGTAGAAGAGAAATTGGGAAAAGAGCTATTTATTTTGTATTCTACTCAGCTCTCTTCTCAGTCTTTTATCCTATGTTGGAATCATGTGGTGTTTTCTGCCTGTGGCTACTATCAAGTTACTCATTTATTATTTATTTCACTGATTCCTTTTCCCAATATATTTTAAGCACCCACATCAGTCATACATAACAAAAGGTACTATGGGTAGGATGATTAATGAGACAAGGTTCCTGCTTTCATAGACTCAGAGACAGGATTAATTTTAATTAATTAATTAAAGGCAGGATTAATTTTAAAACTCTGAAATAGTCTCCCTCCTATTTCCAAAGTAATTATACTTTCAATTCATCTAGAAACTTGAAAACTGATGACTAGTGCTTACTGAGTGAGCTTCACGGTTCTATAGGTGTTGTTTTGGTCCTTAACTCCAGATTTCACAAACATTGTCCACCAAGTCTTAGATTCTAAAGAATATCTTATGTTATATTATTTTCCATTGATAGTGTTTAAACCCAATGGCTTTGAAAACCTGTAACATTGGTTTTAGCATTTTTAAATCTTTTTAAAAAACTCAATTTAATAACGAGAACTGATTACTATATTTTTCTTATTTGAGTGCTAAGTGTCTCAGGATTTACCTGTGGGAATTAGGTCTTGGTGCTTACATTGTGGAGTTTTAAAAGTAGCATATTTTGTCTCAACTTCTTGGAGGTGCTCCTCCTTTGACAAGAGACAGATGTTTGGGTAGAGGAACTTATTATTCTTGAAGTGACTCCTCATAGCCTCCTGGTTATTTCACTAAGATTTCTCAAAGGCTATAAAAACATAGCTTTCTTGAATAGGAAAGGAAAAAATGTTTTGAAATAGGTTTCCTAAAAGCACCATGGTAGGGTATCTTGATGCTATAATTGGCACTTAGTAGTCACACATCTGGCCATACACATCTTTTGTACTTATGATTCCATTGGTACCTTTGCTTAAGCAATAACATCCCTAAATCCAAAAGATGAAATAGACAAATGATGGAGGCAGAAAAATAAAAAATATAGTGGTGGAGCCACTTAAAGGAAAACTGAAACACAATGGAAGCAGAATAATAAAAAAATATATAGTGGCCTGAGCCACTTAAAGGGAAGCTGGAAAAGCACTACTCCTTATTTACCACTTTGTCAAAACAGCCAGTTGAAGAAAACAAAAACATAATTCACTCAAAGTATTCATATCAGGTAGAACAACTGCATAGTGTAGCGTAAGGGCATAGGTTTTAGACTAGCACAGAATTGGTTAAAATTCCTGCTTCACTCCTGAAACTACTTAGACAGGACATTACTTAAAGACCTCAGTTTCCTCATCTATAAAGTTGGAAAATACAATAGTGCTTATTTGTTAAAAGCATGAACGAAGAATATGTATGGAATATACTTATCACAGCACGAGATGCACTTGATCAAAAAATGTAGTCCCCACCTTCCAATAAATAAAAAAATTATATAAACTATAAAAGATATTTTTACAAATATAATACTTTTTAAATTGACATAAATAAAATTATTGTTTTTGGAAAAAATAGCCTTAAACATTCCACCAAATAATTAAATGAGGGAAAATAGACTTTCTTAATCATTTCTAAGTCTGTTCAAGATTGGACTTCTGAGCAGTGACATGGTATTTACTCTATTTTTTCCCCACTGGAATAAGCACACCTTCAAATGTATCCTCATGACCAGGAATTATGTCTTGTGGCTTGACACCTGTGAGCAATCTTTTTCCAACTGCGCCTATATACTCAAACAACACAAAGAAATATGAAATTCCTTCAGTTATTAGGCTATATTTGCGTTCCCTAGATTCTATTTTTAACTAACGTGAATCACTGGTACATACAGAAGGAACATACAGGTTAAGTATAGTTGTCTCTATAAAAAGCTCATCTGAAGAACTGAACATATTGTGGTTAATTGTGAGCCTCCCTGCACTTTGCTATTGGGTGTGAATTTCAGTGAAACTTCATATCCAGTGAGTTCTCCCTGGGGAAATCAGTTCAGACATTGAAACTCTGCCCTCAGCTAGATGGGGCCATCTTTACAGATATAATCTATCAAGGCTCTCCCAATGGTGACCCCTATTTGATAAAGTTGAAGAGATACATCCTTAGATTATCCAGCGTAGGGAGTAAATGGAGAAAATAGTAAGAGATATTTGTTATATTGAAAAAAAGTACATATATATGCCTCATATCCTGTAGTCTTCATAGGAAATCTTTACAAATGGCTTCATTTTATATACATATATGTGTATACAGTATATGTGTATATAAAATATATGTGCATGCGGTGCATACATATTTTCATTTGTCATATTAAAATAGTTTCTGAAATCATGGTACTTATTTCTGGGTTAGAGAATTATTATTGGAATCTTTAGGACAGTAAAGGTTTATACAGCAATTAGCATATGCCAGAAACGGAACGTAAAAAGCACTTTACACATATAAATTCATTGAGTTCTCTCTCTGAGCTTATCAAATTGGTATTAACAGTTTCATCATTTTAAAATAAAGAGTCATCAGAGAAGTTCAGTAGCTCTTCCAGGGTCATGGATCTGGTGTCGCTCCTGCTCCATATTTTCAATAATTGTATCACTTTATACTATCTTCTCATAAAGGTTCTTGGTTATAAAGTTGAAAACCAAAAAAACATTAAGAATACACTTCTTTCTAATTTATTAGGACAGAATGTTGTATCCAGGAAGTTCTTTATGTATCAATATTTTTTTTTGCAGATCAGATAGGTGTAATTTTGAGATAATTTGAAAAAGTGAATAATTATAACTTTCCTGATTAAATACAGTTTGCAGATCTGTGATCAAAGTTTTCATCCCCCCTCCATTTAAAAATAGTTACAGAAAGAATTGTATTGAATATTAAAGCAGTGAAGTATCTGTTGACATACTACCTTTTATTTAGCACATAGTGATTCAATTCATTTTTCATTTATCCATGAAAGAATTTATTAAATGGTCAGGGATTGGATAACCAAGAAGTTTTATAAAAGGTATGCTGTCAACTAATGGAAAGTATGTCTGCAATCCTTAAGGGATGTAATGAGAGACTGGAAGTATTTCTGTGGACATAACAGCACCTACCCATTCTATTATAATAGCAGAGGGGATTATGAACACAGTTTTTTGCCTTAGGGTGCATTTTTGGAAGTAAGGAGAGAAAAAAAATTGGAAGGAGAGCAGATGCAAGTGCTTTCAGAGGACACTAATAAAGGGAAAATGGCTGACAATAGGACAAGGCAGATTTGGGGAAATTTTAGTATCAACAAAATGTCAATGGTTAACCTTCTTTCTAAGTCTGTCTGCCAGGACACAGATCTCAATAAATGTTTTATGTTATAATTTTAAGTTTGACAAAGGTGAGAGCTGTAAGTAGCAAGGGTCCACAATACTAAAATGACATGTTTCTACTATTTTCATTCTTTTGTTACCTTTAAAAATTTTCTGGCAAATATCTAAAACTCATACATATTATTTTAAAATTTTCCGTTACAAATACTTTTTAGTATCTTCCCCAAATTTTAGGCACTCTGGTTTCTTGTTCTATATGCTAGTCTAAGACTTCCTATACTAGAATCAATGTTTGGTTTTACTTCATTCCTCAGATGGGAATTGTTTTTTACATGTCTGTATTGGAGATCATAGTTCATTTTTGCTTCCATTAACTATTTTCAGAAAATTAATATATGGTCTGTTCCTTGGTGAAACATTCTACTGATCTTTATAGTTGGTTTGAGGTATGTACATATACATATACATATACATATACATATACATATACATATACATATACATATACAGACAAGTTCTGGCTCTATTGCTCAGGCTGGAGTGCAGTGGCATGATCTCAGCTCACTGGAACTTCCACCTCCTGGGCTCAAATCATCCTCCCACCTCAGCCTTCCAAGTAGCTGGGACTACAGGCATGCACCATCATGTCTGGCTATTTATTTATTTATTTATTTATTTTTGCAGAGACAGGGTTTTGCCATGTTGTCCAGGCTGGTCTCGAACTTGTAAACTCAAGCAATCCACCCACCTTAACCTCCCAAATTGCTGGGTTACAGGCATGAGCCACTGTGCCTGGCCTTGAGGTATTTATTTTCATGTAAAATTTGGATTTCCTAGAAAGACATAGCATCATAACAACTGGAAAGCTGTTCTTGGGTCCTTTGAAAAGTGTATCCAATTTCTGTATCTACTGCAAACTCTTATTTAAAATACTGCTCTTCTAAGCTTGTTTTATATTTTCCAAGGAATTGTTCTTTATAATAAATATATATTTAGTTCATTTTACTGTCTTATGCACATATTTTCTATTATAATTGGCTTGTCATTTTAAATCTTTATGATCTCCAACAAATTCATGCCATGGAATACAATCTCTGTAGCAGCTGCGTACCACATCATCTTACATTGACATATCATTGTAATGAAAGGTAAACTTTTACAAATGTATGCCAATTTAATGGTACAATGAATGTTTTATAGACTCTTAAGTGCTTTATATTGCTTGTCATATGAAAATTATATAAATGAAGAAAACAGTCTTGAACACTTAGCTTAAAATTTTGTTATATATAATTACATGTATATTATATATTTATGTATTTTTATTTATTTCTTTTCTTTCAAAGCTTGGAGAATAACTTATTCTCCCAAGATAGAACTTTGTTGTGAGGGAAAACTATGTTTAAAATGCAACATGATTATTAAATAGTTTTATTTCTATTATAAGCAGATAGTAAATGGTGATTCAATATAACGAAAAAATACTTTGAAATTATAAACAGGTGAATACAATAGAAATTTGATTCTATGTTTAATTCAAGAAGCTGTGAGGCATGATAAGTTGGAACATGTCTGGCAGAGAACCACAGAATGCTGATCAGCTTAGAAACTTAACAATGATGGAAGGTAAAATGAATTTGACTTAGAACAGAGAGTATCCAGAGCAATAGTGTCAGGATGAGCAAATTCAAATCAAGTAGGTTTTATCAAATCTTGCCTATCGTTTATTAATTCATTTATTTAATAATAACAATATTATTGAACATCTATAAGATCTCAGGCACTGCAGTAGGAGACAAAGTGCTGAGACAAACACATTATCTGCCCTCACAGAACTTATAACCTAGAGTACTATAATTTCTGATTCATAATAAATTCTGATTCATAATAATTCTGTATTTCCTAAGTACCTATAAATTCACTTGCTAGAGAGCATCAGGAGAATAAAAATGTTCATTGGATAATTTAATTCAAGCCAGAAAAGTAGAAGGCCAAGATTTATGAGTAGAAACACAATGTGCCAATGCATATTCTGTCAGGCTCCATAAGTCTTAAGTCAGAGCCATACCCAGTACCAGCAAGCTGAGGGTAATTTCCATGGGTTCTTTCTGTTAGGAACTCTGGACCTTACTTTAAAACAACAGCAATAATTTGAGGATAAATCCAATAGAGAAGAAAGGAGTAATTACACCATCTGATATTTAAAAATGAAAACAACAAAACAAAATTCTGAAGCTTCTAGACAAACAACTAGTTCATAACTATCCCTTCCACTCCATTTTCCCCATGTATGTAGGAAGAGTGTAACATAATTAGTTAAGCACATGGACTCTGGCACCAGACTGCCAGGTTTTCAGTCTTACTCTACTGCTTTCCAGCTGTGTGACATTAGGCTGTGCCTCAGTTTCCTAATCTATAAAATGGGAATAGTAATAACAACTTTCTCAGAAGGTTATGAGAATTAAATGTATTAATATCTGTAACATTGTTTACAGCAGGGTTTGGTACAATAGTCTGCAGCCCTTTTAAGGTTTAGCTCTTGTTATTAAAATCACAGTTAAGGGAGTAAGAGTATCTCCAGGCTCATATTTTATGATTACACATAAACTCATAAATCCCTTACATGACTCATTTACCTCTGAAAAAAACAATGAAAAGGCAAACACAAATGATGATTTTCCTAAGCAAGGCATGTGTGCCTAGTAATAGTAAGCATTAACCTTGGTGAGGTCAAAGAAAGTCAAATGTGAGTGTAGAAGCTTCTTCTCCCATTACAGTCAAGGCTCTTAGGCTAAAAACAAGAGGAAAACAGGAAGATGCAGAAATTCTAGGAATTCTATTTCACATTAATTTAACTTTGTTGTTGCAATTGATTAGATCAATGATTTGGCCATAGTAGCGAATAGATGTAGTTGTAGTGTAATTGATTTAGAGCAATGGTTTTCAACTAGATGTACAATCCCCTAGAAGTCCTTTGGGAAATGTGTTGGGGCATTTGGTTGTCATGACAAATGGAGAAAACTTGCTGTTATTTAGTAAGCAATTGCAGATACTAGAAGCTCTGTATTTGTATGGGAAATTCCTGTATAATAACTGACTATAGTGTTTGGTATGAATTTCTACTGATCCATTGAACATACATGGCTGTGTAAGAACTGTTCTAAATAAATGAGCCTAGCAAAGTGAAGAATTTTTGTGTTGTTTCAGTACAAGAAGATTTTTCCAGTAATGCAACTCACCATACAAATTGAGGAAAACGTGTACTTTGTCTTGTTAAGAACATTACCATGAGATGTTCACCATTTCTCAAATCACATCACCAATGGTACTGTGTTTCTCTGGTTTTGAGGTAACAATACAATAAGATGAATCAATTTACAATTGTACCTTTAGCATTCACAGAGATGACACCTAGAGGAACACGCATCTACCTATTTCATTATGGTTACTAACATAGTCATGTCTAAACATTTACTCATTAAATGTATAGAATTTTTTATAAAGTAATTTCTTCCTTTTCTCCTTCATATCATAGTTAAGACATTACAGATAGATACATAGACCGATAGGTGACGTATTAAAGTCTGATGAAATTGAAAACCAAAGGCTTAGAGCCCTGTACGAAGATGATGTTTTTGATACTAACAGTTTCTATGGAGAGTTCTGCCTGTAATTTTTTTCCATAATATAATATGTTCTAGATTTTTCTTGTCTTTAATTATCTTTTGTGTGTGTTTGTGTGTGAGAGAGTGTCCATGATAACCTATCAATAAGGTAATTAGTTAAGAATTTCAGTGATTTAATTGAATGGATACATGACTTGTTTTGTATTTGTCATGTTTTAGTAAAAATTAAACTAATAAAAATACCAGATACTAGAGTAATTTATTGACTGGTTTCTCCTTATTTTTTTTAGATAATTTAAGTATACCATTAGACACTTAGACTTATTGACTAATTACAGTGGACAATAATATGCTGGGAGTTGGCAACCTGCTTATTAACTGGAAACATGAACATGAGGTCATTCAGTAAAGCATTTATAAGTTGGCTTTATAGAAAAAATATTCCATCAAAAAGTCATCATCCTTTGACTCTGATTATATTGTCATGTTTTTACAAACTGCTCTTCAAAAATTCTGAATTTCAATCTTTGCAGTGATATGGAAAACTCTACACTTGCATTTGTATTTTCAGTTCTGATAATAGTTTTACAAGTGAAAACAAAAGCAATAAAACCAACCATAGAATGTTATGAAGCAATCATTACAGAGCTGTGGAAAATTGATTATATGGAACATCCAAACATTTTAGAATTGACTTTATAAGAAAAACCTTATTAAGAAAAACACTATTGGCAAAAGAAGGAATATGAAAACAATAGGAATATACATGACAACTAGTGAAATAGAAAATGGAATATAAATGTCATATTAAAAATGTGAACTAATAAAATACCATATTGCTTGTTTATATTTCTATGTGGGTAACTTAATGGACAGAAAATCTTGAAATGGCATGGAGATGTACTAGATGCCTAAGATTCATTTTCTTTGATTCTAATGAATAATTATATTCCATTTCAGAACTGTATCTTCCCAAGTACTTGCACTTGGTGTGTCTTTTCTCTAGTAAGATATTTTCCAGCAACACTGTGTGTGTGTGTGTGTGTGTGTGTGTGTGTGTGTGTGTGTGTGTGTGTTGGGGGGTGGGTGATTGAGGGCTTTTGAACTTAGAACTACAAAATAATACAGAACACCAATCAGTACCTTCTATAGAAAATACAGACAGCATATTTTAAAGATTTAAAATAGAATTTGAAATTCTGATTTTTTTTGTACATTATGCTCTTATAGATTCAGATAGTGGATTTAAAAAAGAGAGAGATTTTGTTTGTTTGATTTAATTAACTCCTAGGATTTCTTGCAAAGACATTTGGGATTTTGAGGGAATCATGGAAATGATGGGGAAGGATTTGACCCACCATTGTCAGGAAATGAATCCTTTTGCAATAGGATATTTTACCTCTTGGATCTCTTAGGTCTGGTTTGTAGTTCTACATTTTTCACAAGCTGAGCGATGTAAAGACCTGGAAGTGCATTTATGATGTCCTGTCCTCTCTTCCCTTCTTGGGTATGTGAGCCTTGCTTCAATTTATTCCCATCCTTTCTTTATTTTCATTTTCTCCCTCTCATATATAAACAAAATACCATTTTGTTTATGGTATTTTATTGAGATACAATAAATGTAAAGTAAGATGCACAGATCTTAAGTACTGCATGATGCTTTTTGACATATACATCAATGGAAACATCCCTACATCAAGATATTAAACATACCCATCACCAAACTTCATCTCCTTTCCTGGTCAATCCTCACCTCTTTGCCAGCCTCCCAGCCCTCCCCTCCAGAAACTACTATTCCCATTTCTATCATCACAAATTGGTTTTGTCTGTTCTTGAATTTCCTATAAGTTATATCACATCATATGCATTCTTTGCCTGCGATTTTTGTTGAATATATCCTTTAAGTTCATGTTTAAAAAGCTATGGAGATCTGTTGTAAAACATTGTGTCTATAAATAAGGATACTCTATTATACACTCAAAAATCTGTTAAGAGGGTAGAGCTCATGTTAAATGATTTTACCACACACGAAAAAAGATTCCATGAACTACTCCAAACTTCAATAGAAACTGAACAATGTAAATGCAATCATGGTTTTTAAGCCAAAGATAAAATCTCAGAGGAAAATATAAGCAGAAAATCCTGTCAATAAGTAATTATTTCTGTTATGCATAGTGAATAAAGTATCATCAACAACAAAACAAACAGCTATTAATAATTAGTTTTACAGAATAATAATTAGAAAGCAAAGCCTGAGTCCTGGAATACTTTGTAATATGATTGCTGCTTTTGTGCCTTTATATGACTAAACTGAAATGAGTCAAGCAATAATTCATATATTACATTTGAAGCAGTTTGTTTTCTAGTAAATATATCTGTTTTTAAATAATGCATTATCCAAATTATGCTTGGAGAATATTAAACATGCTTTAGGGAATAAAAATATAATTATTGGGTTAGGTTGTAGTTTCTCTATTGTATTCATTATCATAATCATAGATCATATGGAAAAATATTCACAGGGAAATTATTTGCCATGTCCCCTTGTAATTTTTCATTTGGTCAAATGCTCATTGTCTCCCTCCATTCTGTGCCTTCCATCAACCCCAGCCGTCCCCATCCCCACCCTCTCACACCCAGCCAAGAATCTGATTTAATCTTCAAACTAGGATTGGCAGAATTCATGAAAACTCAGATTGTATGCGTGGAAATACTGAAGTAAAAAGGACCCAGCATTTTTTCAAATGAGCCTTTCTTTGTGAGGCTCTGCTGCCTGAATTTAAGGCTGCCATCCCAGTGGGAGTTAAACACACTCAAATGCTCCTAACTGTGTTGAGTGGTTGATGATGACGAAACAGTTACTATGTTTGCCCACATTTTCTCCTGTACTGGGACAAAATTGCAGTCTCCTAGATCAAGAGGTAAGCTCTGATTGATCTCATTGGGAGCTTTGCCAGTGAAAGGACAATAGTATTGGGCTCCTGACATCAAACTAATTTCTTACAGGGTGGCCAAAGGTCACGTGGCATCTTCCACTGCAAAGTAGAGAATAGGAAGAGAATGAAACAAGGTGGATACACATTTGAGAAGAATGATTTTCTCTGTAATTATTTGTGCAAAGAATTGATCCTGATTTACCTTACTCAGAAGTAAATGTATTAAGAAAATGAAAAATTATGGAAACCAAGTAATATCTTAAAACATTTATATTTAAAAACACGTCTTGAGATACATTTGTCTATTGTGTTTCTGTACAGACACATTTTCATCTTTCTCATTTACACCATGGATGTATAAATACCTCCTTTGTCTTTCTTGTCCTACCAGGAAAGTGTTCTCCATCCCTACTGCTGTCGTTTACCATTTGGTAGAGTTGGTTTCACCATGAGAAGCCTTTTTTTCATAGCTTGCAATGCATCACACCACTTCATTGCTCCTAGGATGCATTTAGAGGAGGAAAGAGGAAAGAGGCTGTTAGGCCCCACACTTTGAATAATGCCTGACATTTAGTTGGCCCAAATACATTTATCTTTTTTTTTTTCTTTTGAGATGGAGTCTCGTTCTATTGCTCAGGCTGGAGTGCAGTGGTGCGATCTCGGCTAACTGCAACCTCTGCCTCCTTGGTTCGAGCGATTCTCCTGCCTCAGCCTCCTGAGTAGCTGGGATTACAGGCATGAGCCACCACGCCCAGCTAATTTTTGTATTTTCAGTGGAGATGGGGTTTCACAATGTTGGCCAGGCTGGTCTTGAACTCCTGACCTCAGGTGATCCCCCGCCTCAGCCTCCCAAAGTGCAAGGATTATAGGCATGAGCCACGGCATCTGGCCATATGTATCTTAAATATTAATTACTGTCCAGATATTTCCTTGCTCAGGAATTAACATGAAAGGAGTGCAGAAGTAACTTTTAATTCCTTGAACAATAAATGTTTCAAACTATATGAGGTACTTTAAATTTTGTAATCAAATATACATGCACACATAATCTTATATAAATACAAAATTTAAATTGAATAATACATATGCTAATAACTTTTAAAAAGAAATTTCTTTTTTTGCCTGTTTTCCCCTCCCTCCCTCCCTTCTTCCCTCCCTCCCTCCCTCCCTTCTCTCTCTCATCCTCTCTTCCTCTCTTTCTCTCTTTCTTTCTCACTTTCCAAGTTATCTCTCTGTTGCCCAGGCTGGAGTGCAGTGGCACAATCTTAGCTCACTGTAGCCTTAAATTCCTGGGCTCAAGCAATTTTCCCACCCCAGCCTCCCAAGAGCAGTGGACTACAGGCACATACTACCACCCCCGGTTAATTTTTAAAATTTTTTTGTAGAGACAGGGTATCACCCCTATCTCTATCTATCTATCCATCCATAGATAGATATCTATCTATCTATCCATCCATAGATAGATATCTATCTATCTATCCATAGATATCTATCTATCTATCCATAGATATCTATCTATCTATCTATCCATAGATACCTATCTATCCATAGATGTCTATCTATCCATCCATAGATATCTATCCATAGATATCTATCTATCTATCCATAGATATCTATCCATAGATATCTATCTATCTATCCATAGATATCTATCTATCTATCTATCTATCTATCTATCTATCTATCTATCCATATCACTACTCATATAGTGATATGGGTATCACTGTCACCCATAGTGATACCCTATGTTGCTCAGGCTGGACTTGAGTTTCTGGCTTCAAGTGATCCTCCTCTCTCAGCCTCCAAGTGAGCTGAGATTACAGGCATGAGTCACTGTTCCTGGCTTCCTCTCTTTTTCTATGTTACCTCCAACCAATTGCCATAAGTCATATTCACTAGTTTATTTTCTTACAGCTTTATTTAATTATAAAACAAACCTATCTATCATCTATCTACCTATCATCTATCTATCTATCTATCTATCTATCTATCTATCTATCTATCATCTATCTATCATCTCTCTCTAACCTATCATTGTCATCATCTATCTGCAGACATGTAGTAGACATGTACAGAAATCATTTTTGCTATTACTTCACAAAAATGGGATCTTCTTACACAAATTCTTCTGAATTGTATTCTTTCATTGCTAGTGTGAAACTTCCCATGCCAAACACCACCATCTAAGGCAGGGCAGTGTAGAGGCAGTGTAGAGGCAGTATTCCTGCAGAGGAACACATTCATTTACTCTTCTTTAGTGATGTCCTTGGCAGGAGACTCAGGGTTATTTGAAAGAATTCTAATTAATAAATTTGGCTCCAAGTATCTACAACAGATAGTGCTTTTTAGAGACTGAATTCACTGTTTTATTTGAAAGCAGTGAAGCATAGGATGCCATTAATCTTGTTTTGAGAACACTTTTCTAGAAAATCTAGATCCTGGTGTTTGGATTTCCCCTCATCATTTGGCAGAGTCCCGTCCTCTCTTCCTGGGAATGCACACTTTGCTGGACATTGGCAGACCTCTGCCATAATAACCACATTGTAGGAAGAGTTTAATTAACATAGTGCAGTCTGGCAGTATTAAGCAGCATCTGGAAAGCTGAAAATTCCCACAAAACCCAGCTTGTTCAACGTCCTCAGACTCACTTATGATCAGTGCAGGGCAAGGAAGAAGTCCTTCTGTCCTAAGCTGTGGGGGGCCCTGTCTCATGCCTGCCTTCAGTGCTGTGAGATCCACACTTCTGCCAATCTGACCTCTCCCTGGATTCTTTGCCCCCATCCAATAATGGGTTTTCAGCTCTTTGTTGCACTCTCAGCAGAATGGGTGAATCCCTCAATTACCCTGAAGTTGTAAACAGACATCCCTGTGTCTTTGCTTTTTCACTGTGTCTTTCTCAAGTGGAAAAACTGCAATAACAACAAAAACCGGTAGCTCCTAATGGAAGACCAGGAAAGCTTTTGCAGTTCTGTTACTAAACTTTTTTACTCCCTGTAGTAACAGGTCCAACCAATGTGATACGGTTTGGCTGCGTCTCCATCTAAATCTTGTCTTGAATTGTTAACTCCCACAATTCCTACATGCTGTGGGAGGTAATTGATTCATGGGGGTGGGTCTTTCCCGTGTTGCTCTCGTGATACTGAGTGAGTTCTCATGAGATCTGATGGTTTTATAAGGCGGTTTCCCCCTTTTGCTAAGCACTTCTCCTTGCTGTCACCATGTGAAGCAGGACATGTTTGCTTCCTCATCTGCCATGATTGTTAAGTTTCCTGAGGCCTCCCCAGCCATTCTGAGCTGTGAGTCAAGTGCCCTCTTTCCTTTATAAATTACGCAGTCTCAGATATGTCTTTGTTAGCAGCATGAGAACAGATGAATACGCAATTCTCTACAATTCTCATAGTTTACGACAAAATATATTATGTTCATGTCCTTTCTATTAAACAAGTGATTTGATCTTGTACAAATTAGATGTAGGCAACAATTAGAAGGGTTGAAAACAATTATCTTTCTACATGTTTTCAGACATTAGAAAAGGAAGACAATGGGTATTTAGAACGAGAGCATAGAGAAGCTGTGATAAAATGTTACTGGAAGATTAGAGTTGTTGGAGAGAATTAGGGCTTGTTTCTTTTAGAAAGAGGCATTGAAAAATAAGCTAATAAATCAGAAAGACAATATTAAAATTAAACTGAAAACATCTAAATGTTGGTGGTAAAATGGATGGAATCCTTCAAAATTATAAAACAGCCTTTCATTGCTAATTGTAGCATGCGACCTCAGCACAGCTGCTCTAAAGACATGAGGGAGACCAGGCAGTGGCTCACATCTGTAATCTCAGCACTTTGGGAGGCTGAGGATGGAGGATTGCTTGAAGCCAGGAGTTTGAGACCACCCTGGGCAACATAGCAAGACCACGTCTCTACAAAAAAAAAACTCTAAAAAATACTGCCAACTGTTGTGGTGTGTGCCTGTATTGCTAGCTAATCAGGAGGCTGGAGTGGGAAGGTTGCTTGAACCAGGAGTTCGAGGCTTGGAGTTCGAGGCTACAGTGATCCATGATTGTGCCACTACAATCTAGCCTGGGTGACAGAGCAAGATCCTGTCTCAAAAAAAAAAAAGATATGGGTTGATCTCAGTGAAAAATAACAGCACCCCAGATTTGTCTGCTTCTTAGATTTAAAGATTTTTTATTTACAAAGCCTTTCTTCTCTGTTCCCTTTAAAGCAAACTGGTTCCTTTTAACACCAAGTCAGAAATGCATGTTGACAACCTGGTCTATTTTGCACCTTTGGAGGATAATTCTCATTTGAGCTATACCATACGCCTGTGCTTTACAGGGGCTTATACTTGATCTGGGGATTGATTACATTGTTCTGTTTTATTGAAATGGAATAGCTTCATACACACCCAGATGCATTTGTTCATAGTAAATTATCTGGTAGCCTTCTCTATATAGTCTCATAATACAACCTGATGATCGCTTAAGACTCCCTTTTCCTTCCAAATATATTTTTATTGTCAATCTATAGATGTTTTTATAATTTTATTGATTTTCTAGTTTTCAATCTTCCCTCACTGTTAATCAAGATTTGGAAATTAAGTATGCAGGTTTAAAAATGGTACAATGCATTTGATTTTATTATATAATTTAATTAAAGTTTAAATGTTGATTATTATTTCTTTTGGAATGGAGAAAATGGTGAGGGTGACTAGATGATGTAAGAAGGGGCAGAATTAAAACATCTTTTGTGGTAGAATGCAAAATATGATCACAGATTCTTACCATCCTGGTCTACCACTTTAAATCTGTGCTGGTCTTGGGATTTGCGTTGAGCCATAAAATGTGGCAGATGTGAAGTAGTGTGATCTAAGAGCCAAGACTCCAAGATACTTTACAACTTCAACTGTTGCCCTTTTCCAGGGCTGGCTTTTGGGCATGTGACCATGAAGTCTGACTGGGATCTGTACTTAGAAGGACTTGCACTTGGTTTAATGCTCTGCTATCGTCATCTTTAAACTTTTTTTTTTTTTTTTTTAATGGAGTCTCACTCTGCCGCCCAGGCTGGAGTGCAGTGGCGCGATCTCGGCTCACTGCAAGCTCTGCCTCCCGGGTTCACGCCATTCTCCTGCCTCAGCCTCCCCAATAGCTGGGACTACAGGCGCCCGCCACTGCGCCCAGCTAATTTTTTGTATTTTTAGTAGAGACGGGGTTTCACTGTGGTCTCGATCTCCTGATCTCGTGATCCGCCCGCCTTGGCCTCCCAAAGTGCTGGGATTACAGGCGTGAGCCACAGCGCCCGGCCCTAAACTCTTACTTTTTAAACAAGGGGACCCACATTTTTATTTTTATTGAACCCCCACAAATTCCGTAGCCGGCCCTGACATTTTGAAATCCTGATGACGTCATGATCTTAAAACAGTAGAGCCTCTTTCAGTGTGAAAACCTGGAGGCAGATTCAACTCTCTCAATCATTCCAGCTGAGCTTAGCACTTGTTGACCCTGAAGTTGAATGCAGCTGCATGAGTAAGCCGAGTTGAAACCAGCATTAAAATGACTCAGGCAACCAACACAATTGTGAGAAATAATAAATTAAGGTTGTGGTAAGCCACTACATTTTGGAGTTGTTTGTTGCAAAGCAATAATTGTAAGAAACTCAAATAAAGCAGGATCATCAGTAACTTAAGAAAAAGCAGGTTCAAATGAAAATATGAAGAGACTAGTTCACTATATTAAACCTTGAGAATCTGTTTTGCTAATTAATATCATTAATTATGAAGCAAAACAAACATACATGGTTGCTGTAAGTTTAGCTTTTAACCAGAAAATATTACTTAAAATTATGTAAAATCTGAAAACTGAGGACTCCCAGACTAAGTTAATGCTCCATTATTTGCAATAATTATTCAGACACATTATTATATTGAAATTTGTAGATGAAGTAAAGGCAAAATCTAAATATAAAAACACAAACAGCTCTAAAATCGAATCAAGATAGAGACAAGTTGTAACAATTAAACAACATTCAGAGTAAAATCTAAATGTTTATACACCATTTTCATCAAAAAGTGAATAAATCATTCTTATTATAAAAATATTTTCTAAGGAAATTATTGATAATTATAAATTATAAATGTGAACTATTTCTTCAGTTCTCATAAACCCTTAAGTCCTGTAAATGATATTATAACAATGGAAATAGGAACTGTGTTACAATTAAAATAAGGAAGTTAAATTAGGTCAGTCTTTGGTCTGTTAAAAATAATTACAAGTCTCAATCCTCTCTAATAGTATTATTTTGAGACACAAAATATAATCTATATGATTCTTTATTATGTGTCTGTTTAGATGTTTAGATTTGCACATGCTTGAAAATTAAACTCCCCTTAATAGTGAATGATGTGAAGTGCAAATATTTTCAAAATAAGTATTTTGGTATTAAGAATAAGGCTGACATTTTGCAGCACAGCCGTCATGGAGAGTAGAGGTCAACAATTTTGTTTGGATACAGTGCCTTTAATGTTTCTGAACTTATTGAAATAATGACGTCTCAGTACACACGAAAGTAACGTATTTGTATCTATTTAAGAAAATCAAGACTCATGTTCAATCACTAAGAGATATGCCGAATAATAAATTTAGTGTGTGATTGTATTATAGTTCTTCACAACTATCCATTTAAGAGATCTTTGTTACACACTTTATATCATAATACTAACTTCTTAGTACAGAATGTTACTCAATCTCACATAAAATATTTTGTATTCTAATTCACACCTAGAACAATGATCCCAGCTAATATGGTTTGGCTGTGTCCCCACCCAATTTCATCTTGTATTGTAACTCCCATAATCCTCACATGTTGTGAGAGGGACCTGGTGGGAGGCAATTGAATCATGGGGGTGGGTTTTCCTGTGCTGTTCTCATGATAGTGGATAAGTCTCACAAGATCTGATGGTTTTATAAAGGGCAGTTACCCTGCATATGCTCTCTTGACTGCTTTCATGTAAGACGTGACTTTGCTCCTCTTTTTCTTTCCACCATCATTGTAAGGCCTCTCCAGCCATGAGGAACTGTGAGTCCATTAAACCTTTTTCTTTACAAATTACCCAGTCTTGGGTATTTCTTCATAGCAGTATGAAAATGGGCTAACACACCAGCTAGGTCTAAAAAGTGACTTGCTAAGAAGAATATTTTGTCTATTTTAAGCTGTGAAGAATTAATGCAAATTATTGTATTTTCCAGGAGTGATAGTGCATTGACTGTGTGTATAAAATATTTAAATATATATTATTCAAAAATTTTTCTGAATGTTCCTGGTGGTTGAAGCCAATCCATGTTTATGTGAACTCTACCAGTTCACATAAAATATGAAAATATGAAATATGAACTATGAAATATTTCATAAAATATGAACTATGAAATATTTCATAAAATATGAAATATGAACTATTTCATAAAATATGAACTATTTCATAAAATATGAAATATGACAATATGAACAGTATTACATTTAGTGTTTTTTAGATGAATATCCATGACAAATCTTGAACCATGAATAAAATACATGCTGAAGTAAGGACTTTTCATTGTTTCAGTCCCTCAGATCTGTGGGATGTAAAATTTAAAACAAAATGTCTACATCCAACCAGTAAGCAAAAAGATGCCCAATGTCCTAAAGCATTTAAAGGAAATGCTTTAATAAATTGTGGCATACCTATACAAAGCAATGCAATACAATAGTGGAAATGATGGAACCAGAACTATGTTTTTTAAAAATTATAAAAGTTAAAATATCTAATGTTGAGTATAAAAAGGCATCGCAGGTTATAATGAATGTTACCATTATATACATTTTTTAAATAAAAAACGATGCTTTGTTTATAGAAAAATACCTACATAGCAGAATATTAAAATGCTTGAGAATAATAAAAATGTATGATTGTGGTTATCTCTGGAGTATAGAAAAGAAGAGAAATTGAATGGTACAGACCAGAAACTTCCAAAGTACTTGGAATGTTTATTTCTTAACTTGGTTGGATATAGTTTTTACTTTTATGATTACCAACACTTTTATGTTTAACTGAAATACGTCATATAAAATTTTTAAGGCAATCTGTCAAATATATATTGCCACAAAAGTGCTAAGTAATAAATAAACCTAAATATCAATATCTTAAAAAATAAGTGTCTACCTAATAGACTAGTGCAGGAGATCATTTTCACTGGGTTTGTGTAGGCAATTTTTAGATCTTCACTAGACTCATTCAGGTGTATGGTGATGAGCTGGATTTTTGCTGATATAGGCTGAACTTGGCTTGGCACACTGACTATCTGCCATGTATATCCCACTTTAGTGGGTATGTTGTCAAGATGATAGCAAAGGGTTAAGAGAGAGAAAATATAAACTCAAAGCTTTCTTGAATTCTGGGCTCACAATCTAGCCAAGTGTCAGAGAGAAAGGTAATCAACAATTTATGTGTCGAAGAATGTGAATCCAGAGAAATTAAGAATCTGAGCCACTTTGCAAGACCCTAGTCTGTTCTGATGGACAGAATTATTCATTTATCTCTCTTATATAAAATATACTCACTTGCTCATCCAATCACACATAAGCTCCAACTCCAGGATATTGTGATTTATATCAATTTGAATGTAGCTATTCCTGACCTGGCAACCTACAAACCAAAAGAAGACCAGTTTTCTATCTCACCCACATCCAACTTACAGTAGTGGAATAGTGGTAGGTTAAAAGCAATAATGTACTATCATTGGAAAAAGGAAAGAATGAGAAGCTCTATGGCAGTCACTCATCTAAATGTTCTAAGATTACACTGGGAAATTACAATCAGGTCCTTTATTCTGGAGATGGAGAATGCTCTTAGGTCCAATTCTCATACCTATGAAGAGTTTCCCCTTCTTTTATTCTCTATAGCTCTTAGCTCTACCCTCTGGACTATCTTTTCTTTTCCATGAACTCTTTTGCCACTTTTGAAGGCAGCATTAGCAAATATGCTCAATAAAGGTCATTCAAAGTTTGCTTCTCATCATGTAAGTATGAGGTCCTAGAAGCCTCTCTATATTTTGAAAAGTTTCAGTCCATTGTAGACCAGCCTGTTGATTCTTTTGCCAATGCGACTCTCAAAAATGTTAAGTGTGGCCAGGCATGGGGCATGAGCCTGTGGTCCTAACTACACTGGAGGCTGAGGCCGGAGGATTGCCCAGGAGGTTGAGGCTGCAGTGAACCGTCTTCATGTCACTGCACTCCTGCTTGGGCTACAGAGCAAAAATCTTCACACACACACACACACACACACACACACAAAGTGTTGAGTATATTTATTTTATTTATTTACTTTTATTAAGACAGCGCCTCCCTCTCTCACCCGGGCTGGAGTGCAGTGGCCCAATAACGACTCACTGCAACCTCAACCTCCCCAGGCTTTAGTGATCCTGCCACCTTAGCCTCCTGAGTAGCCGGGACTACATGTACGTGTCACCATGCCTGGCTGGCATATTTTTTATAAAGACAGGGTTTTGCCATGTTGCCCAGGCTGGTCTCCAATTCCTGAGCTCAAGCCATCCACCTGCCTCAGCCTCCCGAAGTGCCAGGATTACAAGCATGAGCCACCATGCCCAACCTGTTGACTATATTTTAAACGTTTGTTCTAGTCCACATTAAGCTCAAAAGACACACCATTTATTTATTTATTTATTTATTTATCTATTTATTTATTTATTTACTTAGTTATTTGATGTCTGTCCAACTTGATTCTGGTGCTTGGGTTATACGGGCTGCTAGGGAACCATTCCATTCAGTTCCTAGAGGTTACATTTTGTCCAGGTGAGGGAATCTACTGTTAATTATTTAATCCTCTCAGAGGTCATCATAAAGTGGTCCAGAGCCATACCCTTTATTTGCCCTTATACCTGAGGCCATGTCTAGCATGAGAGGCCAGAAATCAGTAGTTTTACCTTCCAGTTTGGCAGGTTCACATCCCACTATCTTTCCTCTAAATTGTATTTGCACACTCTCAGCACTATTCTGAGCTCATCATTTTACTGTGGTACATTTTCGCATATAGTTAATAAGAAACAATTGCTATTTCCAGTTCTTCCTAGAAATTTCTGTGCCAAGATAAACATTCATTAGTTACTTTATTTTAGTTAAAGCAGTTAAGAGTTTTACCAAATGTTTTGCAACTGCATAATGTGGTTATCATATCTTAGCTCTCCATGGTGGCTCCCTTGCCATTTGTCCAACTTCCTTTTAAAGTCTCTTCCATCCTCTGCCTACCATTTGGTCCCCAAACCAGTGCTACATATTTTAGTGATGCTTTATGGCATCACCCTACTCCTCATACCGACTTCTGAATCAGTTATATCTTCCTACAATAATGCTTAATGAGTAATCATCTCAAAAGTGTTTCAAATAATAGTACTCATTTAGCTGATGAGCCTGTGTGCTGGTGATTTAGGCTTGGCTTTGCTTGGAGTTCTTTAGGTATCAGACTCACCCACATGTCTGAGTGTGTGCTGACTGTTGGCTAAGCCAGGCTGACTGTAGTTGGAGTGACTTGGGCAACTCAGCTATGCTCCACATTTCCCTTTTTCTCCAGCAAGCTAGTCTGAGCATGTTCTTATGGGAATAACAGAAGTGCAAGTATGCAAAGACTCATGAGGCCCAGATTCAAAACTGACAAACTATCGTTTCTATTTGTGTTTGCTAAGACCAGAGCCGGAGTAGAGGAAATTTAAAAAAAAAACAATTATGAAGTAACTGTAAAGTTGCATGGCAAGGGCATGGATTTTGGAAGGGTAAAAATTTGGGCCATTTTTGCCTTCTACTACAGATGACAATCTTACCACCCAAAGTAATTCATAGATTTATCTTTGCGGCCCCTGATGAGGTCTTTATGTAAAATACTTTCATATGAAAAATATTCCCATATTTAATTGTAAAAAAAAAACATTTTACCTACTTCTTAAAAACACTTTATCTTCCCAAAGATGTATCTGCCCTTTAGAACAGAATCATAACTGCACACACAAAATATTTAGAAAACTATTTTTAAACACGCATTTGCAGACTTGTTATTTTAAGACTCAAGGAATTTCCTCATGAAAACTAATGATATGAATCTTGAACACAACACAATTATTCATTGTAGAATTAACTGCTAGTTGCAAAACAACATTCATATCAAAGATGCCCAAAAGCCCATATCACATTATGTGTTTTTATGAAAATGATTCTGTGTAGTAGAAATGTGTGGTACATTAAAAATGGCTGCAAATTATTTGCTGCTCCTCCCAGTGAGAGGGAGACTATGCTTTTCTTCACCTTGAATCTAGATTGGAATGTCTTGCTGGATCAATTGAAAGCAGTGGAAGTGACAATCTGAAATTTCAAAGGCTAGGTTATTAGACGCCTTCAATTTTCACCCAGATCTAATATAACACATTCTTTGGAGCCCTAAGACACATGTAAGAAGTTCTTCATGTTAAGACTGCCAAGCTAGATAGGACACATATAAGTACTTCAGTGGATAGTCTCGGAAGAAACCAGGCTTCTAGACATTCCTGTGAAGACTTCAGCTATGGGAGTAGCCATATTTGACCATCTATACCAGCCTCTGCCAGGTGAGCACCGCCAGGGAACCTCAGCAACGTAATCAAAGAATTGCCTCAGTACTGATCAAATTTCTGACTCACAAAATCACGAGATAGAATACGATGATTATTGTTTTTATTTGCTAATTTTTATTTTATTTTTCTTACAGTAATAGATAATCAGAGCAGAATTTGGCGGCAAGAACTGGGGACCTGCCGTCACCCAAACCTAAAACATATGACACTGGCTTTGAACATAGGTGGCAGGTAGAATCTGGAAGACATGTGAGCGAATTGTTTTGAATGCTAGAAGGGCCTTGAAAAAACTATTGGGAGTTAAAGGACACTAAGTGAAACATTTAGAGTTTAGAGCAAAGAAGAGTCTTTTTATATAGTGAAGAAAAGTTCACCAGCTCTGTTATCTATAGAAATATGGAGAATAAAAAGGACAAGTAATGAACTCACAATCTCACTGGGGAGAATTCCAGGCAGAATACAGAAAGTGCCAACTGACTTCTTATAGGTCCTCAAGATAAAATACGAAAAGAGAGATAACCTAAACATAAAACATTCCAATCTTCCAGCAGAATTTAGAGGAAGCATAAAGTTAGGACATGTTAGAAATGAAATTAGAACTGTCTCTCATTCTCCATCTCTTCTAGTAAAATATTCTCCAAGTATGGCATGGTCTCAAGCAAAAGACTAATTCCAAGGCAGGAAAATGTAATCTTCGGGTAAATAAACCAAGAGTATGGATGATAGAATAGACTCGATGATGTTATTGCACAGTAGTTTCCCAGGTGGCCAAAGGAGCTTGTCTTGACACAATTGGTGGGTGGAGATTTTTTGTTTTTGTTTGATTGAGTGAATTCCAAAAAGGCTTGTAGAAAAGTCACAAAGTTTTTAAGAGAATTACACCACCATCTTAAGACTAAATGGTTTAGGAACAGGACAGCAACAAAAGAAGCTTTAGGACTCCAAATATCTACAAGTAGGAAGTAGTAACAAAGGCTACATAGTGTCCAATACTGGCCATTTTTTATATAAATGGAACAGTGAATATAAAGTCATAACAGTAAACCCAAGGAATTACTTCCAAGGAGGATGGAAGCAAGTGGAACCAAGGAATTACTTCCAAGGAGGATGGAGGGTCCCTAACCAATGATTGTTTTTTTTTTTGTTTTTTTGAGATAGAGTCTCGCTGTGTCACCCAGGCTGGAGTGCAGTGGCGCGATCTCAGCTCACTGCAAGCTCCGCCTCCCGGGTTCATGCCATTCTCCTGCCTCAGTCTCCAGAGTAGCTGGGACTACAGGCACCCGCCACCACGCCTGGCTAATTTTTTGTATTTTTAGTAGAGACGGGGTTTCACCATGTTAGCCAGGATGGTCTCGATCTCCTGACCTTGTGATCCACCCGCCTTGGCCTCCCAAAGTGCTGGGATTACAGGCGTGAGCCACAGCACCAGGCCTACCAATGATTGTTAACAAGTGCCCAGCTGTATTTCAGAATTTCCATGAACTACAGTGACTGTTTTACGGTTTCTCTTCTCCTCTACCCTCCATGAAAGGGAAGGTCTGTTGTGGTCAGCCTATGCCTATCTCATCAATGTTTGTTGGATGTGTGGGGGGTACGTCATAAAACTTGTCTCATTAGTTCACAAGGCCTCAGATAGACTAGAACTCTACTTGAAGAGATGTATTGGAGGAACTGTACCCAGAGATCCCCACACCTGGAGCTGATTTAGGTGACAAGATCCTATACCTTGGCTCTGAGCTGATACTATAATTGGATAAGACTTTGGGAAGTCTTTGGAGGGTATGAATGTATTTTGTTTTTTGGAGGAATGTGGCCAGAGATGGGACTGTGGCAGATTAGAGGTGACCACAAATTATTTGACACTTCTGTGGATGTGGGATGTTTATCTCCTCCCATTGAATTTTGGCAGTTTTTGGCCAATAAAATATGGTAGAAGTGACATTGTGCCAGTTTTCGCTTCTGAGTCTTAAAAAGCTGGCATCTTCAGACCCTGGCTGTGGGAGATGTCAGCCATTATGTAAGAAGTCTAACTATCCTGCTGTGAGGAAACACAAGTTAGCCATTTGGAGAGGCTGCATGAAGTGACATGGGTGACCATATCCCAGGTTTTCAGTCTTCCAGCCCAGACACCAGATGAAGAGTAAAGAAGCCGTTAGATAACCTCAGTCCCAGGAGCTGCCCGAATGTAACAGCATGAGAGATATGGAATGAGAACACACAACCGAGCCCAGTAAATGCACAGAATCATGAGAAATAATAAATATATTCTAAGCCATTATGTTTTTGGATATATTTTATGCAGAAATATATAGTTGGAGCAGAATATAGGTATATATATTTTTAACCTGGAACTGATTTACATGTCAAAATCCTGTGTTGTAATAGGATGACATTTTGGGGAGCTTTAAGAGGGCATCATGTGTATTTTACAAATGGGGAAAACATAAATAATTGGTGACCAGAGGTCAGACTGTGGTAGACTAAAGATGGCTGCAAATTCTTTGCTACTGCTCCTAATGAGAGGTGAAGTTTCACTCCCCAACAAAATGTAGCAGGAGTGACAATCTAGAACTTCCAAGACCAGGATATAGGAACACTTTAGCCTCTATCTATCTCTCCTAGGACAGTTCTTTGATTGTCTAGAGTCATGTAAGTTGGGCTACCCAGAGAGTATGAAGGTGAGGTCATGTGTGGGTGTTTTGGTGGTCAGACCTTGTTAAGGCTGGCCTTTTAGCCATCCTTGCAAAGGCTCTAGACATTTGAACAAAGCCGTCTTGGACCCTAAGACTAGTCCATCTACCAGCTGAATATCATCAGATAACTTCATTTTACACTACATAGAACAGAAGAATCACACAGTTGAACCCTGTCTAAATTGCTGACCCATCAAAAACATAATTAAGTTGGTTAGAGTGACTTAGAGGAATTTGGGGATACTTAGAGTTACTTGGGGGTAATTTTGAAGCAAGTAGTAGGTAACTGCTGCCAAGTGTAAATTATAAAATAGAGTGGGTCAATTCAAATGAAGATATATATTTAAAAATGAAATAAGAAAAGAAAACTAAGTCTCAAGGAAATTATAAAATTCTTCAACAAATTCTTGTGGGCATCTCATGTTATAGAAAGAATAGTGGAACATAGAGTCATATCCTAGAGAGAAAAAATTTCCCCCACTTAAAAAAAACACACACACAAAAAAATTAACATTGCGTTGTATTTTGGCCTGAGGCTCTCAACTCCACAAGTTTTCTTTAACATAAATCAGTTGAACTTAATTCATTAGGTGCAGATTCTCTTCAGGACCTCTGAATTTAAAAAATGAGTACATTCATAACTTGAATTTACATCCCATTATATTAAATCTTCATGTCCAGTATAACCAAAAGCAAGAATACTAAAAGTTCTTTAGCCTTAAACTCTTCAAACATTTCTGAAATTAGTATCAACCTTCAAATGATTGGGGCTTTTTGGATTCCTCACTCTCTAACTTCTATATTTTACAGGGTACAAAGTCCCATACAGAAAAGGACACAGGAATATTACCTGCTGCTGCCAGGATAATGTTACTTGTAAATTTTCCCGGGAGAAGTTATTTGCTTTCTCTTCTGTGCTCCCCTAGAGATACCAACATTTGAAATTTTTACCATTATTGAGCTTATTACACAGCATCACAGTAATTGGCTTCTGTGCCCTTCCTAAAGTCCATGTTTCAAGAGTACATGTGCCAGTGCTTGAAAGAAAAGGGGAGATAATTTATATAAGGTAATCTGGTAACATATTTTTATCTTCCCAATATTAAAAAATCTTAGAAGTTAGGATAGTGTCCTTCTTTTTTTAGGCAGCATCTCGCTCTGTCACCCAGGCTGGAGTGCAGTGGCATGATCTCACCTCACTGAGAGCAATGTGCTATTCTATAATTTTACATTTTTATGTTGTTTAAAAACTGTAGGCATGTGGATTCAGCTACCGTGTCTTCAAAATCTACAGCACATGATATTTTATGTGAAAAAAAGCTAACAGTGACTGTAAATTCAAAGGTAGTTCTGCTCTGTGTTCTGCTTTAGCTCTGCCTTTGAATGGAAAGCCAGTGTAACCTCTTAACTATAGTGTCCTGGGGAAGCTAAATGAATAATCAGTAGATATCTAATATATGACCCATCAAGATCATGCCTGCAGATACTTAAGTGGACTCCAGGGAAACAGCTGTCCCTTTGAAGCAATCTGCTTGCAGAAT
Organism: Homo sapiens; assembly: GCF_000001405.40. Classification (NCBI taxonomy): domain Eukaryota; kingdom Metazoa; phylum Chordata; class Mammalia; order Primates; family Hominidae; genus Homo; species Homo sapiens. The sequence continues at coordinate 79,110,999 of NC_000001.11, forward strand.
CAAAAAGAGCCATTTGAGAAACCCTCTAAAACACTGAAATTTCAAAAACCACTATCTGGACATCATTGTCTGGCCCTTGGTGCTCTGAAATTCTGAGCAGGAGCTATTTTCTCCTAATCTTCATCTTCATCCAGATATAAAACTTGTTTTCATGAAATCAGCACATAAATATTTTTATTGATTACATCAAATTGTCATGATAATCTGTTTCTGTTACAAAAATTTCATGGAAAACAAATTATTGGATGGAATTTGGTAGTTTAACATGATAATTTATCCTGGTGACAGAAGCTTTGAAATTATTTTATGTAAGAGTAGATTTTGACATTTGGAATTCATAGTTGTTACTCAGCACATCATGTTCCTTCTATAGAAACTAGCTAATTTTATCATCTTCCCTTTACCATCTTTCAGTCTTTAGGGATCAATTATAGATGAACTCTGATTTAGAATTTGTATAAGCTAAAGCATTATAGTAATAACTTTTAAAGTAGTATTTAAAATATCCTTATCTTACGTATATATGACTACATATTTGCAATAAAAATATTCTCAGGAAAGAGAAGACTATTAATATGTATTGTAGAAAGTAAATTTGTCCTTATTTCTTCTTTCTGAGCACATGAAAGCAAAGATAAATTTAAAAGGGGCAAAGATATCTTAAAGAGTAAAATATTGATTTTAAAAATAACATTATTTTACAAATTTAGAGAAATCAAATTGACCTAGAGACATTTCCCATTTCAATTTGTAGGAATCCGGCTTCCAAGATATAGCTTTTGTATTTAATTATTAAATATTTCCTCTTCAATTATTTATTATATTTAGTATATTGAAATATGCCATCTTGAGAATTTACCTTGATTTAAGCAAAACCAGTATAAAACTCTGGACAATTCTTTGGTAAGAAATTCATAACTTTCCTTAATAAAAAGCATTGGTACATGATTTGATTAGACAAATTCAATTTGCCTACATCTTTCCAGGACGTATCTATTGCATAAAAGGAAGGCAAACTTTATTTTATTAATGAATCTATTCTAAACCCTTGATAAAGTGTGATACATGATTTTTGTTTTTATTCCCATTCCAATTATTAGGAGAATTCAAGCATTCCAGAAATATAATCTTCTACTTTGATTTTGTCACTGTTTTGATCTTTAATTGGGTAGTTAGGTACTTGATTCTCTTTATTTTTTATGGTCTATTATCATCTGGCAAATGTGGCTAGTTGAAGAAGCCTAGTTATTTAAAATGAAAGTTATTGCATTTCAGAAGAGATAAGGTACATTCTGAAACACTGCAATCATACCCAGACAATGGAAGAAAAGAAATATTTTCTCTGAATTCCTACGACTATAATGGAAACAAGAAAGAAAAACGTTTTGGTTTCCTCTTAAAAATGTAACATCATATTTGTGAAGACAACCACATTGATGCATAATGGGTTCCCAAATATTTGCTGAATAAATGAATAATTAGTCAATACATTTCAAATCTATCCTAATTAAATTCTTGTCACTTTATATTTTAATGGCCCCCTTCAAATAAGGGCCTCTGTTTGTTGTCAGTTTCAGTTGTCTAGGAAGTAGACACTAAATTGAAATCAGAAGTGAAAGAGACATTTTTGGTGGAATGGGGTTGGAGAATGCCTGTAAAAGATACAGGAGAGACAAAACAGGAGTAGGTTGAGAGACTTCAGACTGTTGATATTGAGAGGTGAGGCCAGCTGGACTTTCTGGGTCAAGTGGGGACTTGGGGAACTTTCTTGTCTAACGAGGATTGTAAAACACACCAATCAGCACTCTGTAAAATGCACCAATCAGCAGGATTCTAAAAGTAGCCAATCGCAGAGAGGCTTTTAAAAAGGACACTCTGATAGGATGGAAATGCAACATGGGAGGGGACAATAAGGGAATAAAAGCTGGCCACCCCAGCCAGCAGTGGCAACCCATTCAGGTCACCTTACAGGCTGTGGAAGCTTTGTCTTTTAGCTCTTCACAGTAAGCCTTGCTACTGCTCACTCTCGGGTCCATGCCATCTTTAAGAGCTGTAACACTCACTTGGAAGGTCTGCAGCTCCATTCTTGAAGTCAGCGAGACCACGAACCCACCAGCAGGAACCAACTCCAGACACAATATGGGCCTGACACCTATGAAGACAGGAAAGAAAGAAGGATTTGTTAGGAGGAGCCTAGAGCCACACAGAGCTCTGAGGAAACCTTGACCAGTGTGGGGGGGACCCCCAAACAACGATTTCTCATGAAAGTTTAGCTGTATTGGGCAGGCATGTCTCAGCTAGCACCTCCACCATGGTCAGTCATTGTATAGGAGCTGCCCTGGAATGCTGGGGAATGTGCCTTGACCTGAATAGGGTGGAAGATTCCAAAGAAGTGGCCAGTGGGTGCTCTCAGGTGAGTACACTCCTCATAATGGGTTTTCTCTTGAAAGGAGGTTTAAGGGACACACTTCCATGACTGTCAAAGTCTGTGCCCTTCAAAGTATCTAATTAGTCAATGCAGGGTTCTTAATCTGTCCAATTTTCTGAATATATGTCCATTTGGTTTTCTGATGTCTTGAAAACTACATGTATCTGTCCTTTGGTATCTGTTATACTCTCTGTTTATATCCTTTTCTCCTGCAGGGCTAACTCAGCACTCAATCACACACTCTTCATTCTGTGACTCTTGGGATATACCAGTTGTAAGACGTAACGAGTGGCTGAAGAGTTAGATCTCTCACCAAAATAAGGAATAGAAGGGGAGGGGTGGATGCTCTCTAGGGAAATAAATGATTGATTTAGTCTGCCACACATGTCGGTGAGTGAAATAACAGTGCTACTTTTATGGAAAGAATAGAAAAACAAATGATGTTGAAAAATTATTTTAAAATATCCAGGGTAAAGACAGGAGAGAGACGATGTGTTTGTTGGGGAGTGACATTTTTATAGAGAGTGTTCCAATATGGGGATTTGAGTGAAGGAAACAAGTAAGCCACAGAGTTGTGTCAGGGGAGGAGCCATCCGGGTATAGAAAATAGGAAATGAAAGGCCCTGAGCTAAGCACATTTTTGGCCTGGTCAGAGAAAAGCAAAGACGCCACTGCAGCTGCACTGAAGGAGCAAGGAAATATAGTAAGCGATGAGTTAGAAGAGGCAGTCATTTGTCAGAATAAGCACTGGGGGCCTATTGTAATGTTGAATTTTATTTCGACTCAAAGGGAAAAACATTACAGTATTTCAGCAGATGAGTAATATTCTCTAACTTAGTTTTTAAAAGATCACTCTGGCCATGATATGTGGTGAATAGATGGTAGGAGATATTATTAGGGATAGAGCATCATAAACAAGCATCAAGAAGGCTCAAAACACAAGAACAGAATGTCCAATTCTGTAAGAAGATATAGAAATTCTAAACATGTATGCAATTAATGAAATGGCCTTGGATTATATGAAGCAAAAATTAGAACTGCAAGAAAAATTTAGAAAATTACCATCATAATATGAAATTTCAACACAAAAATAATTCAAAGAAAAGCAGATAATACAATCAGTAGAACAAAATTAATAAGCTTGATCTGAGAGATATAAAAAACCATTTCTGCATCCAACAATGAGAAAATTCTATTGTTTAGGCCTACATGGAATATTTATAAATGTTGATAATGTTAAAAGGTAAATAAAAGCCTCAAAATTTCAAAGACTAGGTATATGCAGATCATATTCACTGATAATATAATAATTAGAAGAAAATAACAAAAGATATGTAAATTTTTTCTGAATAATTAGAAATCAAATAATCACAAATCTGATAAATTAATCATTGAAAAAGAAATTCTAATGGGATTAAAAACTACCCAGCACTGAATAATAAAGAATATACTACATATCAGCATTTAGACCTTGAGGTAGGCAAAACTCTCTTAAATCTACAAAATATCTAGCTGTGTAAAGATGTTCAATTTTACTTTTAATTTTTTTTCATTTTTTTGGTCTAAAAATGCTAATGAACTTATAACTGACAAATCAAATTTAGGAAGTATTTGCAATGCCTACAGATAACAATGGAATGATATCAATCGTATAAAAAAACTCATGATTTGTTCAGAAAAACTCAGAGAACTAATTAAAAATGAGAGAAAAAAAAGACATGAACCAGCATGTTGTAAAAATATATATGGCCGACACACACAAATAAGTACTTAGCTTTATTAGTGAGTATAAAAAAAAATCAAAATCACAATGAGATCCTATTTTACACCTCTTCTATTGGAAAAAATAGTTACAAATCCAAAAATAGCAAGTGATGGAGAAGATATGGATCCACAGACTCATTTATGCATTACTGGTGGAAATGTAAAGTAATACAATCACTTAAAAAACAGACACTGTCTTGTAAAATTGTACTTTCTTACACTCCACAACCCTAGGCAGATACATGTGTCTTGGGTCAAATTTCCTAGAAGCAGACCCCAAGACAGGGATTCTTGGACAATGATTTGTTAAGGCAATGCACTTAGGAGATATTTAACAGGGAGTTAGAAAGCAGGATAGTGAAAGCAGCAAAGCTAAACTGGGTAGTAGGGCTTTTGTACACCTACATTGACTCCCAACTGCCTCCAGTGAGGAGAATGGGTGGGAGGAGCACAAGCCCAGCAACCCGGATAAGGTTGGATCAATTTTGCAAGTGCTGTCACTCAGGGAAAGGTGCAGGTGGAAGCGTTTAGCAGCAGTGCCAACAGAACCCAGTAAAGGAGTCCCTGAGAATCTGGGCAAGATACTGGAAGCATCTGCTACCATCTGGGAGAAACTTTTTACATGTACAAGATTGTTTACAGATGCACGGCTTACAGTGACCAAAACCTAGAAACAATCATTTTAGTTCATTGACACAAGAGTGAATCTATCTCGTGTTGGATAGTCACGTAATAGAATTAATATTAACATATTAATATTAATAAATCATATCAGTAAGCAGTAAGAGTGAATTAACCTCATCCACATGCAACAACATAGATGAATTTCAGCAATATAATATTGAGTATAAATGTACATACACCATGAAAGTGTTTTTAAGAAGCTAATAAAATGTAGAGGAATACATAAAGATGAGTTAAAAATATATAAACCTACAGCAAGGAAATAGTGAATGAAGCATCTTGATGGTTATTACTTGGGTTAGGAGTGGCAGGCGGATGTTGTGGAAGGCTGGGGGATGCATAGATTATCCATTGAGTACCCTTTTTGTATTGAATGATAGGTTCATGAGTGCTTGTGATGTTATTTTTAAAAATGAATTGAAGATTAAATAAATAAGTTTTGGTGTGGATAAATGAGTGTGTAATGAAAAATAAGTAGAATTAAGAAAATTCTGTATACTTATATTTTTTAAAGAAGATTTTTAAATTATGGAGTAGGAATTCTATTCCAGAGATGAGTTAGAGATGATCTTAAAATATTTGCCTTGACTACTGGTAGAATGTGATGGTCCTTTACCTAGATGGGGAAGACTAGAAGGAAAGATTTGGAAGCAGGTAGATAGTGGGAATCAAGATAATGGTTTTGGACATGTTAAGTCTGAAATGCCTATTTGGTCCCCAAATAAAGACATATTGTGTGCAATTGGATTTTAATATTGAAGTTAAAGGGTTAATTCCTGGCCAGAGATAATATTATGAGTTGCTACTATGTTTTGAAGGCTACAGGACTTGATAAGATCACTTAGCTAATGAATGTAAATGAAAAAGTGATGAGATCTGAGAAATGACGCTTGAGACACTTCAGTCATTAAAGGTCAAGAAAAAGGGATTAAGCAAAAGTGTGGGAGGAGTCACATACTGAGGTAGATATAAGAGAGAACGATGTTAATAATGTTCCAGGAACCAGAAGAAGAAATGTTTCAAGAAAAAGCAAGTAATTTGTTGTATTAAATGCCGTGTAAAAGTCTAGAGGAAAAAGAACTGACCACTGGATTATCAACATGGAAGTCATTTGATGTCCTTAAATCAGCAGTTTTAGTGAAGTGGTGGGGTGGTCCAAGAAAGAGTGGGAGCAGAAGAAAGTATAGAAACATCTAATTGCTGGATGTGTGTCCAGGTGGAAATAGGTTAGTGTTCTGAAACACTTTCCTTAACTGAGACAGTCAGCTTCGGTGTCAGAATTTCAGACCTACTGAATTTAAAATCCAGAAAGTGCCCCAGTGATGGCTTACTCCAATTCTATAATTGTACACACGAAATACTTGAGATCTGGAAAGGCAATACTAGTTATAATACATAAAAACAAAGCTGATGAGTTAATGAGATCGCCAGAACCAAATTGAAATTTTCCAAATCTTAATTCAGGGTTATGTATATGCCAGTGAAAAAAAAATCAGCTAGCTTTTAATTCTAATTTATCATGGAAGCAGGAATAAAATGTGTTTTATTTAGCTATCAACAGAACAGATAGCATTGTGTTGTATGTTATACAAAACTTATTGAATTACTTCCTTTCCAGATTGCATCATGAGCCACGACTTTAATCTGTTGAAGTCGTACTCAGCAGTTGGGTTGCAGGTTAGATGTCAAGAAAGCAAAGCCAAATACAACAGCATGTTTTTATTCATGCTTTTGAATCATACATCAACTTACCTCTTCTGTTTGCAGGAATAAGTGAGACTTCATAAGTACGTGAGAGTAAATGACTCATAGCTTCTCTGAGAACTAAGAAGAGCCATTTTCTCCTACCAGTATTTTTTTCTCTTTAGTTATACAAATGCAAATAATCATTGGAAAACTTAGAAATGTATTATTGATTACTTGTACATTTAACCTGACAACTGAGTCATACTCATCAAGCAGCTTTGCATTGAAAAATATAATATCCCAAACAAGTTATAGATCGAAAAGCACTTTGGGAAATATAACCTTATGTGAATGTTCTGATTAGGATACATATTCACTTATGAAGAATTATAAGAGTAATTTCTCAGCCATGTCAATTGATGGCAAAAGGGAAAGCTTCTTTGAAGAAATAATGTGTCACGCTCTTTGGAAGCTTTTATTCAAGAGGAATATAATATTCCTAGTAATATTGAAATCCCCTAGAGTGTGTGATATGGCTAATGTCATCTTTGTGTCCTTTCTTTCTTTCTTTCAGTTGAAAGCCATCCAATGAGCAAAGTATGGGTTCATTCCTTTTGTGCAAGAAAAAGACAACTAAAGCATATTTGTTATCAAAACTGGAAGTTAATGCAGTGCTCATTAATAATATCCAGGGCTAAAAGTCAGGAGAGATCTTAGATTAGTCTTGCCTCTGCAGACTAAATATATTGATTATATGACATAATGTTTAAAAAGATAATTCTATGAAAACTTTCCTTACCTTTTTTTTGTATCAGTTTGGAGATTTAGCATGTATTTTGGAAATCCTTGTCTTTGTCTTTAATATTTAATGTTAGCTATAAACATTTGGTGTATTTCAAAGAAAATTTAATATGCCTACTCCTAATTCATTTACACTGAATTCCTAAAACTATTAAGTTTTGATATTTAAACAGTCTGAAGAGATCTTTCAAAATCTTCACTTAGTAGAAAAGGATACTGGCGAATCTGAGGAAAATATTTGTTAGAATTATTAACATTTGAGTATTCTTCATGTAGAAAAATACATAAATAAAGTTGTGCGTTTCATTCCAGAAACTTTAATCCCTTTTCAGGATGACCCAGAATCAACAGGAAAAGCTGCAGGAAGATTTAACACTTCAGGAGCAGTATATAGACCTGGGTGCTTTATGCCTATTTTTATATTTAATTATCACGTCAAATCTGATGATATTATTAAGCCCATTTAGCAGATGAGGAGACCAAAGTTTAGCAAATTTAAGTATGTTTCCCAGTGTTACAAAGATTTTTGACTCCAAAGCTCAGGCTTGCTACCACAATACTATGCCAAAGAATGAATTACTGAATAAGTTAATGAATTAGCAAAAATATTCTCATGATTACATTTAGTGCAGGTCATATTGCTTTTATATCTTTACCAAGTTAGTTCACTTTTTTCCCTACTAGAACAGCAGTGTCCAATCTTTTGGTTTCCCTGGGCCACATTGGAAGAAGAATTGTCTCGGGCTGCACATAAAATACACTAACAATAACAATAGCTGATGACCTTAAAAAAAATCTCAAAAAAAAAAAATCTCATAATTTTATTTATTTATTTATTTATTTATTTATTTATTTGAGACAGAGTCTTGCTCTGTCACCAGGCTGGAGTGCAGTGGCTCAGTCTCAGCTCACTGCAACCTCTGCCTCCCGGCTTCAAGTGATTCTCCTGCCTCAGCCTCCCGAGTAGCTGGGATTACAGGCACGCACCACCACACCCAGCTAATTTTTGTATTTTTAGTAGAGACTGGGCTTCACCATGTTGGCCAGGCTGGTCTCGATCTCCTGACCTCGTGATCCACCCACCTCGGCCTCCCAAAGTGCTGGGATTACAGGTGTGAGCCACTGTGCATGGCCGTCATTATGTTTTAAGAAAGTTTACAAAGCTGTCCTAGGCCACAGATTGGACAAGAATTTAAGCTCATTGAGGACTCTTAACATACCAATTTTTGTATTAGCATGCAACTTGGCCTAGAGAAAGAATCCAATAAATACATGTATTTTTTGAATACATAACTGATTGGCCAAGAATCAGTGTTTACTCTTCTCTTTTACCCTCTTATGTAGAATTCAATCAAGCCTCAAATACTATCTGTCTTCTTTCCAAGTGTTATAAATTTGAATTTTCAGGCTAGGCCATAATATCAATTAACTTTAAAAGTAGCATAAGGCACTATATTTTCCAATAATCTACCTATAAATCACTGAAAATCAGAACTCCATGTGTGTATTTAGATACTTAGGATTAGCTCCCATTGTGTTTGTATTTCTCATTTTTTTTGTTGTTGTTGAACAGTTTTCCATTCTGCCACATAGTCTACGATAATTTATATTTGTTATAAGATATTTCACTGAGTAAATGTGTCATGTTTTATTTACGTATTTTCCTATTACTGGGCAAAAAAAAAGTTAAATATAGTTATTTTACATAGGATTTTTTTTTTCTTCAGAATAAATTCCCAGAAATGATACACCTGAATCCAAAGCCTGGGAACACTTAATAAAACTTACAATAAATATTGCCAAATTGGCTTTCAAGATTAATTTTCTAAATTATGTTGCCATCAGAAATATTCTAACATGTTTGCTTTTTAGTAAATTTGCCAAAATAGGACATTATTGACATTTAATAAAAAATAAAATAGTAAGTTTAAAACGGTACCTAATGTTTAATTGTTCATTAACATTTGAGTATTCTTCATGTAGAAAAATACATAAATAAAGTTGTGCATTTCATTCCAGAAACTTTAATCCCTTTTCAGGATGACCCAGAATCAAGAGGAAAATCATTTTATTTCCTTTAGAACATAAATTTTTGGACAGATATAGGTATTACCTCATTTTACATGGCCAAACTACTCTTGCTATGGAAAGGATTTTGAGTAAGATTTCTTCAAAAATACTGCCAATCCCACTATTATTAGAACTTAGGTTGAAATAAAATATTTGATATTTAACATGTGAATCCATGTAGCAGCAGTCAGAAATTCTGGCAAATGGCTAATTATCTTAGTTTTACAGCCTTGTGTAATTCTTTAAATTTTTTTTGTGTAAAATACACACTGAATTGATTTCAACATGTAAGTTGTGATTGTTTACAAAAATAAATGTTAGGTTTCAGAGATACCAGATTCTTTTTAGAAAAAGCACAGACACATGTGTAATGTTTTTTTAATGTAACATATTGCCATTGTTAACTGATTGATTAGTATCAGTGACTCCTAAGGTAGAACTTTCATAACTAACAATTCATTTAGGGTTATCTGTGTATCACTAGGGATCTAGGTTACTGAATTTAGTGTTTGTAGTGAAGTAATATTGAAGCAAGAAAGGAAAGCTCTGAAATAGAATACACACGAATTAATTTATAATCCTGGCAATGCCATGAATCAGCCATAAGGCATTAGAATTTTTCTTGCCTAAAATTCTTTTCACATATATATTTTTAAGTTCTAGGGTACATGTGCACAAAACGTGCAGGTTTGTTACATATGTATACATGTGCCACGTTGGTGTGCTGCACCCATTAACTCGTCATTTAGCATTAGGTATATCTCCTAATGCTATCCCTCCCCGCCCCCCCACCCCACAACAGGCTCCAGTATGTGATGTTCCCCTTCCTGTGTCCAAGTGTTTTCATTGTTCAATTCCCACCTATGAGTGAGAACATGTGGTGTTTGGTTTTTTTGTCCTTGCGATAGTTTGCTGAGAATGATGGTTTCCAGCTTCATCCATGTCCCCACAAAGGACATGAACTCATCATTCTTTATGGCTGCATAGCATTCTCTTGCCTAAAATTCTAACCATAGCTTTCTTCCCTTTTATAATTCACAAAGCTGTAGGGGGTTACAGTGCGGTACTGCTTATGAAAAATTCTTTGTAACCTCTATTGGCTAAAGCATTGTTATCGAAAGTTTTTAAAATCATGAATTACTAGCAAAAAGTCAGGTAGTATTCTTTCTGTTTTTAGAAGCACGTTGGTTTTGTGGCTACATCATCCTTATTTTAAAAAATGAGCTTCTCTGAAGTTAGTGTCAATACATAGCTTGATATCTTATAACCTGAGCTGTACTATAGCAAAATTGGGGGGAAAATTGTCTTGTAATAAACACCTTAAATTTTATATTCATTTATTCAATTCACACAATTAGTTAAAAAAAAATTTTAGAGTACCTATGTAGGTACTGGGGAACTACCAATGGTCATGACAAGAAAAATTCCCTGTTGTTATGAAATTCACATTCCAAAGACCTGAAGAATTAAAAAAATAAGAGAACAGTGCTAAAAATGGGTCTAGTAGATTCTATAGGAATATGGAAGAATTGTATATTACTGGAAAAATTAATAAGATTAGTCAATCTGAAGTATTTCACAATCCATTTTATTTGGTAGCTGTGTGATGACCTCTATTCGGGGCCTAGTCATGTATGATTGTCCTGCCTCTCTCAGGTGGACAGAGATTCTAATGTGATCGGTTGGGGACTGGGGACTTTATTTCTGTCAATACACCCTCTCCCAAAATGGAGAAAAATTCCCTCAAAAGCATATGATGAACTGATAAGAAAATGAGAAATACCTAGACTTGGGATTAATTAAGGGAAGGTTGGAGCTTACCATGGTATGTTGAACACTGAAGCTGGCATTGGCCTTGAGAGCATTTGCTGAACTTGATGAACTCCAATCTTGTTTCCCATGAGTTTTAGGGACACAAGGGACAGAAGAGAAAATTCTGGTCCTGATCACCGTAGGGTGACTACTAGGAAATCTCACTGTAAAAAGTATTATCCTAAAAAGATATACTGCAATTCTCAGTATTCTGGTGAACAAAAAATACCCATCCTCTTCCCCAGTCTCATCCAAGTGATGAACTCCTTGAATCTTGATGTTGAGCAGCAGAAGTACCTGAACAGTTAAAGCAAGAAGAAGGACCTCATAGATTTGTAGTGTAAATTTAGAATAGCTAAAATACCAAGAATGTATCTGAAGAGACTCAGCAATTATGCTAAAGTGATGCCAAGCTGGTAATGCTTCCAGCCACCTGGTAGGAAAAAATGTAAATGGTGTCTAAGGGAACATCTGTTTACCCTCTGTCTAACGGAAATTGTGCAATTTGCAGTCAGAACTCAAGAAGTGCATAAGGACCAGGCCCAATGTATTCATTCATTTATTCAATAAATAGTTCTTGAGGATTCACTATGCATTAGGCAGTCAGCAGTAAACTGATTTAATTTTCAATTAAGAATAATAGAAAATTCTTACTCTTAGGAAGCTTACATTCTAGTGGGTAAAGAAAGAATAAAAAAACTAAAATATAAAATATGTTAGATGTTAGTGATAAGTTTATCACAAACTTAAAATGACACAGGTTTATTTTCTTACAGTTTTGTGAGTTAGAAGTCCAATATTGGTCTCACTGGTCTCCAGATCTTGTAGGGGAGAATCTATTTCCTTGCCTTTTCCAGATTTTAGAGGCTGCCCATATTCCTTTGTTCATGGCTCCTTCTGCCATCTTCAAAACCAGCAAAAGCAGGTTGAATTCTTCTCACATCAAATCACTCTAATGGACAATTCTGCCTTTTAAAGGCCTTTGTTTATTGTACCAACCTGGATAATCCAAGATAGTCTCCCCATCTGAAGGTTCTTAATTTATGTTTGCAAATCATTTTTGCCATGTAAGGTAACATATTCACAGATTCCAGGTATTAGGATGTGTACATCTTTGGAGGGCCATTATTCTGCCTTCACAGTCATCTACCACTAGGGGAAATGTTAATTAGAACAAGTATGAAAAAACAATTTGGCATTGCCTAGAGGGATAAACATATGCATATCTAAGACCTACCTGTTTTACTTTCAGGTGTATACCCTCAGGAACTTTTATATTTTCTGAAAAAGATGCAGAATGTTTATAGTGGCATTGTTTTAAATGGCTCCCAAGAAGAAATAACTCAAATACCTGTCAACAGTAGAATGGATGAAATATATTGTGAGATATTATAAAGTGGAATATTATATATCAGTGAACATTAATGATTTAACAAGTATTGGAATTAACATTAATGAATCCCTGAAATAGAATACTGAGGTAAAGAAGCAAGTCACAGAGGGGCATGTATAACATTTTTACATTTATATAAAATCCCAAAACATACAATATTAAATATTTTCTTCATGAATACATAATTATTAATAAAATGTAAATAAAAGAATTGTCAACCTGAGTGGTGGTCTACATACCCATGTGTTTTCTTGATGTTTGTGTTTGCCTGATATTTAATTTTTACTTTATGTATTTTTCTCTTTTTCAGGATGTAAGGTATTTTTAATGATAAAACATTTTAAACATTTACTGAGATGATTATTAGTTTTATTTTACATAGGCTCTATAGCTTTGGGGCAGTTACTTTTATTCTCTGAGTGTCAAGGTTAATAATTTGCAAAATAAGGATAATTATAATTATTAGTGTGAAAATCAAATTAAATAATGCATGAAGTGTTAGACAAGTAACATATAATATTAAATAATTTATTTCCTTAGATTGATATAGTAACCAGAAAAAAATAGTTATGTATCACCAAGTCAATCAACTGAGGTTATTAAACAGTTAAGATATATAAAAAAGATAAGCTGTCATAGTGGCAGAACAAGTGGTACTTGATTGTGAACAAATAAAAGGAAGGCTAGATTACAAATAGTGATTGTTATTATACAACAGTTTCTATAGTATCCAAAAACAATTGGAGACAGTCTTCTGTGAGTACAAGAAGCATTTCTTCTAAGACGAATCACAAGTATTCTTTTTTAACTTACTTTATCAAATATCTTGTCCCCTTATTATCAACTGCATTATTTCAAATAATACAAATATGTCTTCATTAATTTATTTAACAAGTATTTACTGGGTGAACTATTGTTTCAGATACTCCAGATACAGGAGTGAACAAACCATACTAAATCCCTGTCCAATGGAGTTTAGAGTCATTTTTGTGGAGAGAGACAGGACATTAAAATGTCCATTACTGATTCATCCATCAATCCTTCCATCTATACAATTATTTTGGATAGTTACATGTGACGATGACAGAAGAAAATGACACTGCATAATAAGACAAAGAGTAAAAATAAGTAGCTTAAGCGTTGGAAACTGTGAAAGGCACATAAGGAATATTTCTCTGTGGGGATGACTTGAAAATGATGAATCGACTGCAGTGAGGCAAAATGGAATGAGGAAACCAGCCAGAAGATGTGCTGTCTTTCGTCCTGTGTGCACCTTTCTCCACTGCACGTGTGCTTTGGAATACTGACTGGCAAAGACTGTATGAATCAGGAGGCCCCCTTGCCCTGTGACTTCCTGTTGAGTCTAGCCAATGAGGATACTGATAGGAAATCAGAGTGAAGCAGCAGAGTGAGGTAAGGGATTTGTTTTTCTCTGATGTGTCTCCCCAGGCTGGTTTTGTCCTACTATGGACGGCTGGCAGTCATCATGCAGCTTTCTTTTTCCTCTTACCTTTTAAACCTGGTGTGATAAAACCCTCTCAATGTCACTATATCTCCCTTCCTAGAGGGCAGCACCATTCCTTGCTGCTTTTCCTAAGCCCTTCCCATACTTTGCAAGTAGTCTCTTCAATTACCCAGCTTGAGGATGCCATTTCTTTCCTCTTCAGGTTCTGATTGATGCAGAGGCTGTTGAAGTAGACCACACGATTAAAGCAAGAGAGGGAGATAGAAGTGGAGATGGCGGCAACCTATTATACCTGGATATATTTGGTATACAAACAAAGAGACTCAATGATGAATTGAACAATGAATCTGAAGGAAAAAGGAGAAAGAAAACACAAGTGTGCAGGTGTCAATTGTATACCATCATAGTACCATCAAAAGAAGTAGGAAATAGTGGAGATGAAGCAGGTTGATATGATTTGGCTGCTTCCCCACCCAAATCTTACCTTGACTTGTAGTTCCCATAATCCCCACATGTGGGGGGAGGAAGCCTTTAGGAGGTGATTTAATCATGGGGTGGTTACCCGCATGCTGTTCTCATGATAATGAGTGAGTTCTCACAAGATTTAACGTCTTTATAAGGAACTTTTTCCCCTTTTACTTGGCACTTCTTCTTGCTGTTGCCATGTGAAGAAGGACATGTTTGCTACTCCTTCCACCATGATTGTAAGTTTCCCGAGACCTCCCCAGCCATGCTGAACTGTGAGTCAATAAAGCCTCTTTCCTTTATAAATTACAGAGTCTCAGTTATGTCTTTATTTGCAAGATGAGAATGGACTAATACACTGGTGATAAATTTGATGGAACTAAAATTTTATTTTGAGCATGTTACATTTTCTCCTTTCTGCTCTTGTCCTCCATAGGCAAAGATTTAAAGGCGACAGAAAATGGTGGGAGGAGGCCAGGCTGAAGAAAATGGACACTGAGCCATGTTGTTAAGGTCAATATTCAGTTTTGAGCCAGGTATGGAGCTCAGGAAAGAAGTCTGTGCTATATATATAAATTTGGGGGTTATCAGCATGTAAATGATATTTCAAGCCTTAAGACTGGATACAATCACCTATGATGCGAGCTACTCCCTAAAATACATCTCCCCCAAAACTGTATCTGTTTCCTTGGTCCACTGACATTTTTAAATACATATTTTGTTTCATATATGTCAGGGACATCAGAACTACAGATCTCTATTTATGGTGACTAAGTACCAAATGATTTATATTTTTATTAACTCTGCTATCTCTCCTGAAATTATTACAAACAGCCTTTCTTCCCACACTCTTGCTTACCTGAACTCTTCAGTTTTATAGGAGCTACTATATTCCTTCACCCCCTTTCTTACATATTCTTCACCTTCTCTCCCTCTCTATTTCTGTTCAAAGACTATTCTCTCAGTTGTCAAATGTCCTTAGTGCTCTACACAATACACAATGTTTCTGGTACTGCCATTTCTCACTGCATTCAAATTTTGTACTCCTTTACCCCACTATTTTTATGCCTTATTTTATGCAAGAAGCTTTTGTTTCTGAACTAACAAACTGCACCAAAATGAGAAATTTGGCTGTATAATTCCCTCAATTAACTCTCTGCATGGAGGAATTCAGTATTTATTTTCCTTCAAAAAACCCCATGATGATGAAGAATAATAATTATTTTTTAATTGAAGTACTACTCGCAACATCACTCACCAAAATTTATATCGGTATAACATATATAGATATATTTATATATTTTTTCTATGGTATCTTCCATTTTTTGATAGGTAATAATCTCCATTCTATTTTATCTGTGAGACAGAGGAGGATCATCAATATCTGGGTTTTCAGGTAGTGGAATAGTATATTTAAGTCTTTTGTGCCATTGATATATAGGGGTTATAATTAGGGTTCCCTGGTAATTGTGGATTCATTAGGGTTATAAGCTGTTTTTTCTAGTTTTAAACCTGCAAGTTCTGTGCCCCCAAAAGCTCCTTCGTCCCTGGAAAATCAGGACACACATCCTGCACTTAGACTTTTCTGAATCATTTGAAGGTACGTAGATTTATTGCAGAGAAGTAGAACTTGCTTTTACTTGCAATGACTTCAAAGTGACAATTAGGCAATAAGCTAATATGTCTCCCATTTATGAGGATGTAGCTCTTAGTAAATAAACTCTTATCATGTGCAATGAAATTAATGGTATTTTTTTCTCACATTTTCATTCTGATATATCAAGACAGGTGTAATATATTTCTGTTTCTGGCCCAGGATTTGTGATTTATTTATCTAAATATTTTATAGTATGTGAGAATTATAACAAAACAAAAATAAAACAAAACTAAATATTATCTACCTTATATCCTTGGAGTTTCAATATGATAAACATGGTGGGAGATTTAAAAGCAATAACAACATCTCATTCCTCTTGCCTACTACATGAATGGCAAATTTGCTCATTCTCTCTTCAGGGTTCTCAACCACCAGCTTCTGTGTGCATATCTTTGGCACCCTGTACATATTATCTTTTACTTTGTCTTTGTTCTATTTATTTCTTCTCTGAATCTATCAAAATAGTTTCCATGTTTTATACTGCATCATTCTCCCATAAGGAATATGTGCCTTAAAAAAAATCTATATTTTTAATCTTGTTTTGGACAGTGTTTCCCTCTGTCATACAGGCTGGAGTGCAGTCGTGTGATCACAACTCACTGCAACCTCAACCTCCTGGGCCCAAGCGATCCTCCTACCTCAGCCTCTCGAGGAGGACCACAGGCACATGTCACCACACCTAGATAATTTTTTAGTACTTTTTGCAGATACAGGGTCTCCCTAAGTTGCCCAGGCTAGTCTTGAACTCCTGAGCTCAAGCAATCCCCTCACCTTGTCCTGCCAAATTGCTAGGATTACAGGCGTAAGCCACGGTGCCTAACATCTGTTATGCTATTTTTCCTTTCCTTACACTGCCTACTCAAGATTTGCTTAAACAATTATACTTATTTTAAGACAGTGAGTGGAAAAGCAATGTTTGAGATAGTTTGCTTTTTAATTTTACCCAATGCAAGTCAAAACAATGTAAATTTTCTTAAAATATGTAATATGCCTATTTTTCTCATTACCTAACCTTGGCAGAAGAGGTATGTCTTAACCATTCACTGTTTACCATCCCCCTCCTCCTAACTCGAAGTGGAGAAAACATTTCACTTGCTTTAAAAAAAAAAAAAAAAAAAGTTAAACAAGGGTTTGTCTATGAAAGCTATAAAATAATGACTCAATAGGATTTTCAGTGAACCCCCAGGTTGTTTTGCCTCTATTACTTAAACAACAGAATTCCAGGTCAGAAGAACTGAAATCTACCCATGCCATCTCAGAAAACTTAAAATGACATGGTTAGACAAAATTTTAGATTCCTATCCTCTCTGAGATAAAAATTTAAGTGATCCATTGGAACATTTTCTTGATAAATAACTTGACCCAAGAATGCCAGATACTCAAAGACAAAAATGTAATTATGAGGGCCAAGTTGTCTTTGAGGATATTGGATTTTTAAAAAAATGCAAAAGAGATCTCTGTTTCTTCTTTAGCACAGCACGGTGGTCCAAGACTATTGGAGTCTATATGTGTTATTTTCTCATTTTTTAAAAATTCTTTCTTCTCATCACGAATCAATACACAGCTTGACAAGTAAACACATAATGTATAAAGTCAACTTACAGATTGGTATAACTGAAGAGAAAGCATGAGTTTATTGGCAAGGGAACACATTTCGCCTACATGGCAGCTCTGGTGGTGGAAAGCTGTTTACAGTGTTTGATATATGACTCATCACATCTGCTACATGGTGAGGGAATGAAGATACAGTCAAACAGGACTAAAAAGAAAGTGCAGAAATCCAAATTCTCATGCATCTTTTTCCCACTTGCATTTTGTTTCTTTCACACAGTTCTGACCAAATTGGGAATTGATTTATTCTGATAAAAGTCATTTGCGTATATAAAGATGTCACAATTATTTTACCAAAAATGCTATTGAGTCATATTTGTTAACATATTTCATTATGATAGTCATATAAACAATTGAATTAACCAGTTACACTGCAACATCAAAATATTATTTCACATAATTATGCAAATTGTAAGACTCTGTGTTGTAAAGTAGTGTGTCGTGCTGTGTAGCTTAGGAGGGTGTCTCTTTGAAAGTGGAGACAAGATAAATGTTGGCTTAATATGATAAATTCTTTCTAAAACAAGAGATGTTCTAATGCAGAATATTGCCTTATGAAGTTAGAAATTTCCTATGAAGTGGCTGAGCAAATGCTGGTGGACCTTCAGACAGGAATATCATTGAGGGATTTCCATGTTGCTTCCAGCATCAACATAGGATGTCCTCAAAAGTCCCTTCCAAATCTAACATGCTAACGTTTTTATAAGGATTCTATAACAGATATTTTACTATAGTTCCACATTTAAAGTTCCACATATTATAGTTCCATATATATATAAACACACACACATATATATATAACCTTGCTGTCCTTGTAACTTTAGAATTTAAAAATGACTTTGGCTGTTTCTGAGGAAGTACACGTGAGGATGTTAACCTCTTTAAATGTAGTGAATATTATGCTTTTTCTTGAACATTGTCTTTTGCATTTTACTATATTCTAATATTTTTTAAATAAAAACTGTCTGAAACTTTTAAATAATTCATGTTCTTTTTCATTACAAAACCAAAAAGTCAATTTAAAAAGTTAGTAAAATTTTTATGAAAGCTGGAGACTATTATAATGACTTTGACTTTTTAAGGATTGAAGGAAACCACACTGCTTCCTTATATACCTCTTTTCAATAAAAACCAATTTAAAAATTTACATTTTTCAAGGAGGGATGATTCCCGTAAACAAAACTTAAGCATGCATCACCCTGCGCCAGGGTGGATGCCTGTCACTCAAATCACTGTCATGCCGCAAGCTACCCTGATACAATCAGAAAGGAAAATAGAGTTAGTTAGATGAGTTTACAGAATGATGTCTGCATGAGTGGCAGATGTTTCTGCTATAACCACATTATGTGCACTCAATTTTTATTATAGAACAATTGCTTCTAATAACTTTTATGTTCATGATCAATGTGTCATAAATTCACCTGAATTACAAAAATGACCTAAGAAACCTAAAGAATTGTTCTTCAGTTGTTTTCTCTCAATATATTCAATAACAATAAAAAAGTAACTGATTTGAGCATGTATTGAAGTGCAGATTCCAACAATCTGTGATATCTCAAATACATGGCCCAAGTCTTCCTGGTTCATAGAAGAGCTGACATTATGCCCAGGATGATTATCAATCATCAGCGGCACAATATTGTCTGCCGTAAGTGGGCAGTGTGATTAATAACTGCAATTCAGGCATGATCTGAAAAGCTGTGATCTTTATTGACTAAGGGAACTGGTGACTCTCTCTTTTCATGTTATTTGTACTCAATTTATGCTGCTTTCAGTGATTGATACAGTTTATTACTATTTCAGTTGTGATATTCCACATTATATGAACTCAATAGCAAATGTCAGGTGAAGCAAGAAACATGTTCATTTACTCTCTAGAAATACTTTTATCTTACTATTGTGGTCTTCTATTGCATTCATCAACAAGCTGATGGAAATAGTTAATCTACGTTTGACAGTCATTTCATTTACATATATAACAGATTTTTTTTTTTTTTTTTTTTTTTTTTTTTTTTTTTTTGAGACGGAGTCTCGTTTTGTCGCCCAGGCTGGAGTGCTGTGGCGCGATCTCCGCTCACTGCAAGCTCCGCCTTCCGGGTTCACACCATTCTCCTGCCTCAGCCTCCCGAGTAGCTGGGACTACAGGCGCCCGCCACTGCGCCCGGCTAATTTTTTGTATTTTTAGTAGAGACGGGGTTTCACCGTGGTCTCGATCTCCTGACCTCGTGATCCACCCGCCTCGGCCTCCCAAAGTGCTGGGATTACAGGCGTGAGCCACCGCGCTCGGCCCAGATTTTTAACCTTTATATTTACAAGCATGTCTTCTACCTCCGCTGCTGGCTCTAAGTTTTTCCTTCTTCTCTCCCAATTCCTCAACATTACTACTCACTGTGATCACATTTTCAGCTGAATGAAAATGGAAAAATGGAGAAAATAATATTTTAGAAGAGTGTACATTTGTTGACTGTCCGAGAAATCAACTGCTACCTCATTGTTGCCCTGAGTATATATCTGTATAATCTTCAAATGCTAAATGTATATTTATACATAAACATACCTACATACTGCAAGGTTCCTACTAAAAGCAAGTCTGATTTAGAGTAAAAGTCTTCCTGTATTTAGTCTGAAATGCCAGCTTTAACCAGCCAAAAGGAACATAGTGTAATGAGTAAGAACACAGGCAGGTAGGGCCAGATGGTTTGGGTTTAAATTTGGGTAAATGACTTATTAGCTATATAATATTAAAAACTGAATTAAGTACACAGTGTTTTAATTTCATAGTGTGTAAAAAGAGTTCTTGGGAAACTAAATGTATTAATTCTATTCTAAATGTTCCTAGAACAGTTTCTGACTCATAAGAAATATTCAGTAGCTGTTAGTTACTATGACTGGTTATTGTAGTGAAGGTGTCACAGATAGGCAGTTGATTAAATGGGGTTGGAATTCATTATCACTCAGATGACATTTAAACATGGGACTAAGTGAGTTCACCTAGGGAAGAGATGCGGGCTGAGGACTCAGCCATGGGTCATACCAGCATTTAGGGATACTTAGCAAGTGAGACTAAGAAGGAACTGTTCGTGAGACTGGAGAAAACAAGAGTGGTATTCCAAAAGTCTGGTCAAGAAAGTATTTCAAAAAGAAGAAATGATCAAGTATTTCCAACGCTAAATGGAGGTGACAACAGGATTAAGAATCATCCATTAGTTTTGGCAAGAGGGGGGCCTTGATAATAGCAGTTTTATGAGGTAATGGAATGAAAAGCAGTGAGAAAGGGAGAAAATGATGACAGTGAATGGAGACCACAAATTTCAGGAGTTTTGCCCTAAAAGGGAACAGAGAAATGTGGCAATAAATAAAGGGGAATGAAGTATAATTATTTATTTTTAAGCTGAAATATAAAGTGTTTACTTGCTAATAGAAATTATTCAATAGATACTGAGGCTGATGATGAAAGAGACAAAGGAATTGGTTTCAGGAGCAAACTTCTTCAAAAAGTAAAAAGGGCTGGGATTATAATGCTTTAATTTACTATCTAATGCAATTATTTTGTGTTTATTATTTCCTCAGGCCTTCAAATAAGGATCTATGACAGTAGAGTTTTTTTTGTAGTTGTTGTCTTATTGAGAATAGAATTAGGTTATAGGCGTGTAATAGACACACAATATTTGCCAGGCAAAAAAATAAACAAATAAATGAGTGAAAAAATGAATAAATAAATGAAGTAGTTGTGTTTGTCTTAGATGGGAGCACAGACAATTTATTGAAACAGGAGAGAAAGCAGGTATATAAGAATAGATTCATGTAAGTTAGTGGAATTGCTAATCAAAACACATAGATGTTCATATCAGATTACTTATATTTAAATCACTGAAATAAAATATACAAAACTAACTTCAAGGGGAAAATGAAAGATAAAAGCTAGGGAAATCTTGCAGATAGTAATACAAAAATACCCAAGAGATAGACAATAGGAGAATACTTAGAAGGTCAAACAACTGATTAATGAATTCCGGAAAGAAAATAAAGAAAAGAGATGAGAGAAAGTTAACAAATAAGTATTTCAATAAGTGAGTTAAAATGATGATGATTAAAGTGAATAATAATTATTGAATTTTCATAATTACAGGAATGAAGGTGAAAGCCTTAAAGCTACAGAGAGAAGAAAAATAAGATGTTTCTCATAAAGTTTTCATACAAAGTCAGGAGACTCTCAACACAAATATTGGCAGCTAGAAGACAGAGTAATAATTTCAAAATTCTGAGGGAAATTTAAATGTATCATATAATTCCTTTTTGAGAAAACATATCAATTTAATGTGAATATGTGATAAAGACATTATCAGATATGCAAGTTCTCCAAAAAGAATGACTGTCTTTGCACAGTTTAACAGGAATCTACCATGGTGAGAAAGTTAAACAAGAAAGGACAAGACATGAAACCAAAGAAACTGGGAATCCAACACAAAAATTTGAAAGGTAAAGTTGACTGAGCAGGAAAATTCCAGGACAAGAACTATGTGGTAGAGCAAAAGAGTAACCAATTTATATTGTATCAGGAAAATATGAGGTTTTAGGAATAAGCTCTGCAAATAAATTTAAGTGATAAATTATATAGGACATCTGAATATATTAAAAATTATATTTAGTCTACTGGAAGTAATGGTGATGCAAGGCAGGCAAGCTCCAAATTTTGGGCTTAGCCTGAAAGGTTCTTGGAGTCTCCCAGGAAAGAATTCAAGGGTGAGCTGGTGGTGTTAGCAACATTTTTTTTTTTTTTTTTGAGACAGAGATTCACTCTTGTTGCCCAGGCTGGAGTGCAATGGTGTGATCTTGGCTCACCAAAACCTCTGCCTCCCGGGTTCAAGTGATTCTCCTGCCTCAGCCTCCTGAGAAGCTGGGATTATAGGCATGCACCACCACACCCGGCTAATTTTGTATTTTTAGTAGAGTTGGGGTTTCTCCATGTTTGTCAGGCTGGTGTCAAACTCCTGAGCTCAGGTGATCCGCCCACCTCGGCCTCCTAAAGTGCTAGGATTACAAGCGTGAGCCACTGCGCCCGGCCCAGCAACTTTTATTGAAGTGACAGCAGGAGCAGAGCTACTGCCCCTTGCAGAGCAGGGCTACCCCACGGGCATTGTGCCCACAGCAGCTCAGAGCCAGTGCTGCAGTCATATTAATGCTCACTTTTAATTATGTGCAAATTAAGGGGCGGGTCATGAAGAAATTTCTAGGAAAACGGTGGAAACTTCCAGGTAGTTGGGTCATTGCCATGGAAAGAAGCCATAACTTCTGGTTGTTGCCATGGCAATTGTAAACTGACATCACACACTGGTGAGTATGTCCTGTGGAAAGCTGCTTTTGCTCTGTCTCTGCTTTAGCTAGTCCTCAATCTGGTCCAGTGTCTGAGCTCCACCCTTGGAGTCAAGTCTCATCTCCTGAGTTGAGTTCCACCTCCTAGCTCATTAGGAAGAACTGATTATTATAGAAATAAACAGGCAAACACATACAAATAGGGCAATTTTTAACATAGGAAAGACTACTAATGATACAGGAAAGAAAAAAATTCTATTAAGTCACTTGGCTTAAGCATTGTAATATTTTTATATACTTAAAATAGTACAAACACTAAATAACTATTTAATCTAAAAGTTACATTAGGATTATAGGTGGTAAAAAAATCCAGGACTGGAGTACTGGTGTAAGAGAATTAAATTGGCGGGGCACATTGGCTCACACCTGTAATCCCAGCACTTTGGGAGGCGGGGGCAGGTGGATTGCTTGAGGTCAGGAGTTCTAGAGCAGCCTGGCCAACATGGTGAAACCCCCATCTCTACTAAAAATACAAAATGTGGCCGGGCATGGACCTGTAGTCCTAGCTAGTCAGGGGGCTGAGGCAGGAGAATCTCTTGAACCTGGGAGGCAGAGGTTGCAGTGAGCCAAGATTGCACTACTGCACTCCAGCCTGGGAGACAGAGCAAGACTCCATCTCAAAAAAAAAAAAAAAAAAAAACAGAGAGAACTCAATTTATATCTACCCTAATAGTGTAGGAGTACTTTCCTTTGGGAAGCAGAGCAGAAGGCTGGGTGGAATGCGGCCAGAGCTGCTCCTATACATGAACCCTAAGCATATGTTACTTCAATAAAAATAACTTGGGTATGGAATATTTGAGTACAGGAACACATGTGTGATCTCCTCTCTGTGTGTTCATGAAGACTGCAAAATAAGTTTTCCATATCTTCCTTGTAGATGAACTTATTTAAAGCTTGTAATTCATTAGTGATGTACCCTTAGCCATGTCTATATATTACGTTGGTGCACAAGTAATTGCGGTTTTTGCCATTACTTTTAGTGCCAAAACTTCAATTAAGTTTGCACCACCCTAATACATAGAATTGTATAAAAGCACACGTCTAGAAAACATACACACACAAACACACACACACGCACACATACACATGTCATGCTCAGTGAAATGCCAGACAAAATTCAACAACCTTTGCTCAATCCCAGTTACCCTAAAAATTAACTATCAGGGCCAGGTGCAGTGGCTCATGCCTGTAATCTCAGCACTTTGGGAGGCCTAGGCGGATCATGAGGTCAGGAGTTGGAAACCAGCCTGACCAACATGGTGAAGCCCCTTGTCTACTAAAAATACAAAAATTAGCCAGGTGTGGTAGTGCATGCCTTTAATCCCAGCTCCTCAGGAGGCTGAGGCAGGAGGATCGCTTGAACCTGGGAGAGACAGAGGTTGCAGTGAGCCGAGATCGTGCCACTACACTCCAGCCTGCGTGACAGAGTGAGACTCCATCTCACAAAAAAAAAAAAAAAAAAAAAAATTAAGTATCAGTTAGCAAGCGTAAATGAGTAGAGACTTACAGCTGATTTCGATGGCAATTTTAGGTTTCTAGTGCTTGTATCTTTTGTATGTAGAGTAGGGAGGAGCAGTAGTTAAATAGTTATTTTTCAAATTGAAGTATATTTGTAGCACTTCAGCGTACAGTTTAGATGACTTTTGATAAACTGTATCCGGTACTCCCATCATGATATGGAAAATGTTCATTACACCAGAGAGTTCTCTCATGCCCTCTTCCAGTCAATCCTCAATCTTCCAAAGGCAAACGCTATTCTGATTTCTAAATATGTAGATATGCCTGATTTTGCATGTCATATAAAAGGAATCATAAAATATAGCCTCTTTTACATCTAATTTCTTTTACTAGAGTAATGACCTTCGGGTTCATCCACATTGTTGGGTGTAAAACGCAAATTTTGTGCTCTGATTCCCCTTAGAGGAAAGAACTCACTGCCAAGCTGCAAGAATTGTGGTTAGCTGTGTTGCACTTCAGGATGCCTCTAGCCAATGACTGAGCAAAGTCTTGGTATAAGAGTCTCAACATTTATACCCACTGCAAGGCCCCTCTTATGGTTAATCTTTGACTGAATCTCCCCACTGGACTGGCAGAGACCTTCAGCACTGCATGACAGCAAGAGGTGTCCTGATCAGTCATATTTTCTCTCTTCTCTTTCTTCAGGTATTACTCTCTGTCTTAATTCATTTTGAGCTTCTATAGAAGAATAGGTAATTTAAAAAGAACAGAAATGTATTTCTAGGCTGGGAAGTCTATGATCAAGCTACTGGTATCAGTGCGGGCCTTCTTACTGCATCCTTACATGGCAGAAGGTGCAAGTAAAGAGAGAGAAAACCCACTTATGCAAGCCCATTTTAGAGTGGCATTATTCCATCATGAAGGCAGATCCCTTCACTACCTAAATATCTCCTGTTAGTCCCACCTCCCATGCATTGAGGATTAAGTTTTCAACACACTAATTTGAGGGGACACATTCAGATCATAGCCATACATTTCTGTAGCCCTACTTCTTTAGTATTTGCTTCCTGGCAGACTTAAACTATGACATAAGATGATTTGATAGTTCATTCTATTTTGTTAAGACTAGTGATTGCAATTGCAAGAATATGTCAGCATTCTTTCCATTCTCTTGGAACTTGGAGCTATTTGCAATATTTGTCTATTATGAATATAGCTACTCTAAACATTCTAGTTTATGTGTTTTTATGTATTTATTTTTTATGAATTATTTGTTGTAGAGATGGGATCTCATTATGTCACTTAGGCTAGTCTTGAACTCCTGGCCTCAAGCAATCCTCCCACTTTGTCCTCCCAAAGTTCTAGGGCTACGGCCTGAGCCACCATATACAGACTTACAGTTGTATATTTTCATTACATTGGGAATCAAAAAGCTGGGCCGTGGTGTGAGCCATCACATCCAGGCTCACAGACTTATATTTCCATTGCTTTAGGAATTGAAACACTGGGCCATAGGGTAGTTGTACATTAATTTCATGAGAAATTGTCAATTTTCCAAAGTACTTGCATCATTTTATGTTTTCATCAACAATATGGGAATGCCCAAGTTGCACTATATCCTCATTAAATTGGTTTTGAGAGTTTAAATTTTAGCTTTTTTTTTTTTTTTTTTTTTTGAGAGACAGAGCCTCGCTCTGTTGCTGAGGCTGGAGTGCAGTGGCGTGATCTCAGCTCACTGCAACCTCCACCTCACAGGTTCAAGTGATTCCTTGCCTCAGCTTCCCAAGTAGCTGGGACTACCGGTGCACACCACCATGTCCAGCTAATTTTTGTATTTTTTATTAGAGACAGGGTTTCACTATATGTTGGCCAGGCTGGTCTCAAACTCCTGACCTCAAGTGATCCGCCCACCTCGGCGTCCCAAAATGCTGGGATTACAGGTGTGAGCCACCATGCCCGGCCTAAATTATAGCTATTTTAGAATGTTGAAAGTAGTATTATGTGATTTCAGTTTGCCATAAATTTTTCATATGGTTACTAATTATTTCTTTTTTGTGATATATCTTCTGAAATCTATTGAGTTGTTTGTCTTTAGCATTGATTTGTATTTTGTTTGAATTGTAAGAACTTATATATTGTTGCAGGAAGTCAGGGACCCGAACGGAGGGACCAGCTGAAGCCACAGCAGAACATAAATTGTGAAGATTTCTTGGACATTTATCACTTCCCCAATCAATACTCTTATAATTTCCTATGCCTGCCTTTACTTTAATCTCTTAATCCTGTCATCTTTATAAGCTGAGGATGTATGTCCCCTCAGGACCCTGTGATGATTGCGTTAACTGCACAAATTGTTCGTAAAGCATGTGTGTTTGAACAATATGAAATCTGGGCACCTTGAAAAAAGAACAGGATAACAGCAACGTTCAGGGAACAAGGGAGATAACCATTAGGTCTGACTGCCTGGGAGCCAGGCAGGACAGAGCCGTATTTCTCTTATTGCCGAAAATGGGCAAGAGAAATATTGCTGAATTCTTTCTCCAGTAAGGAATATTAATAATTAACAGCCCGGGGAAGAGAATGCATTCCTGGGGGGACCTCTAAAATGGCCACTCTGGGGGTGTCTGCCTTATGCAGTTGCAGATAAGGGATGAAACACGCCCTGGCCTCCTGCAGCACCCCCAGGCTTGCTAGGATTAGGAAATTCCAGCCTGGCTAATTCTAGTCAGACCCGTTCCCTGCTCTTGAATCCTGTTAAGATGTTAATCATTGACAATGGGTGCACAGCAGGACATGGAACTTCATTAGTAATTCTACTTTTGCCCTGACTTTGTGATCTCACCCTGACCTTCTGCCTTGTGATCTTTTGTTGCCCTTGAAGCATGTGATCTCTGTGACCCACACCCTATTCGTACACTCCCTCCCCTTTGAAAATTGCTAATAAAAACTTGCTGGTTTTACCGCTCAGGGGGCATCACGGAACCTGCTGACATATGATGTCTCCCCCAGACACCCAGCTTTAAAATTTCTCTCTTTTGTACTCTTTCCCTTTATTTCTCAGACCGGGGCAAGACAACAGTTAGGGAAAATAGAAAAGAACCTATGTTGAAATACAGGGGGCTGGTTCCCCCGATAATATATATTTTGCATATAAATATTTTGAAGATACATGTGCATTGTAAGTATTGTCTCCCAGTAGCTTGCTTACTCATTTTTCAATGATGTTTTTTCCTAAAATTTTTTAAATGCTGAAAATATTTTTATCCTGTTTTCTTTCATGATTATTGCTTTTGTCATCCTATTTAAGAAATTTTTGCTGACCACCAGTTGCAAAATATTTTTTTCTAAAAGCTTCATAGTTTTAGCTTTAATGTTTAAGTTTACGAACGCTCTCAAATTGATTTTTGTTTATGATATGAGGGGGTGTCTTGATGTATTTTCTCTATACATTTATCCAGTTGCTCCAGCAACATTTGTTGAAAAGATTTCTTTTTCTTTGATGACTTGCTTTGGCACATTTGCCAAAAATCAAGTGCATTGTTCTGTTTTTAGAATGTGCATGTTTTTTTGACCCACTTGCCTATCCTTAAACCCATAGCACACTGGCTTATCCCTGTAACATTATAGCAAGTCTTGAAATCAGAAACTGTTAGTCTTTCAACTGTATTTTTCATTCCAAAAATATTTTGCTATTCTAGGTCAATTGCATTTTTTATAAATTATAAAATCAGCTTGTTAATTTCTACAAAGAAATGGATATTGATTAGGATTGCTTTAAAATATGGATTAAATTAGAAAAAAAGTAAAATCTTAATCATATTGCATTTTCCAGTTCATGACTATGGAATATCTATTAATTTAGGTTTCTAATTTATCTAAATGGCATTTTGTAGTTTTAATTTCAGATATCTTCCCTGTATTTTGTTAAATTTATTCCTACATATTTTATGATTTTGATGCTACTGAAAATAGTATTTCTTAAATTTCAGTTTTTAAATTTATGCCACAAGTATATGGAAATATAATTGTTGTTGGAATATTGCCCTGCTAAATTTGCTTTTCATTTGTAGCCACTTCATTGTAGTTTCCCATAATTTTACATGCAAAATAGTGTCAGGTTATCTGTTAATAAACTGAGTTTATTTCCAGTGCATTGTTGAATAATAGTGTGACAGTGGGCATTCTTGCTTGGTACCTATTCTTAGAATATTTCAATTATGGTGTCAACTGAACTTTGCAAGACTGCCTTTATCATAGAGGGATAGTGTGTACTTTGGTGAGAGCTTTTTAAAATTAAAAAATAGGATGTTAAATTTTACTGGATGTATTTCTTTCTAATAACAGCTTTGTTGAGATTAGAATTCACTGCCCCAGCTCCAGTACAACACAAACAGAAGAAACTAGATATCATTATCTTGTTCCTGAAATCAGAGGGAAAGCATCCAGTCTTTCACCATTATGTGTTATGTTAGTGTGGGTTGTTTTGTAGGTGTCCTTTAACAGATTGAAATAGTTCCTTTCAATCGTAAGTTTGCTAAGGATGTTTATCATGAAAGATGTTAGATATGTCAAATGCTTTTCTATGTCTATTGAGATGATTATGCAGTTTTTGTCTTTCATTCTACTCACCTGATGTATTATATTAATTGATTTCGGATGAGGAGTCTATCTTGCATTCCTGGTACAAAGCCTACTTGTTTATGGTCCATATTTGTTTTTATATGTCGCTGGATTTGGTTTGCAATATTTTGTTGAGGGCTTTTATGTTATTCATAAAGAGATGTAAGTCTATCTCCCTATGAGATATTATCATGATATATATATTTATATTTCCTTATGAGATATTCACATACATAAGAGATATAGCAGTTTTCTTTCCTTGTGATGTCTGTCTGATTTTTGTATCAGGGTCATACTCATAGAATGAGTTGAGAAGAATTCTGCCCTCTTATATTTCTTGGAGGAGTTGATAAAAGTTGGTATTGGTTCTTTAAATGTTTAATAGATTGTACCAATGAAGTTGTCCACACTTGAACTCTTATTTGCGGAAAGTTTAAAAATTACTAATTTAATCTTTTTATCTGTCGTAGCTTCATTCGAATTTTCAGAGGATGATCCCGAGGTTAGAGAGAAAGTAGTTTATTGACAGGTAACCCCAGAAATCACTTGTGGAGGCTATAGAAGGAGAAAAAAAATGTGTGTTAATGAGTTGGTTATCACTGCAGTCTATTAGGGCTCAGTCTTTCTAGGAAATTTTGGAAGACAGAATAGAAAAATTCCCAGTATTACCATATCTAAGGCATGAGGATGCTGCAGAATTTATCCTGAAACTCTTATGTGTTATTTGCTAAACTCTTTTGTGTTATTAATGCTAATGTTGGTGGCATTAATTTGGGGGTATTTCCAGCTTGCTCTACAGAAGAGATTTGAGAAAGTCCTAAGGCTGGGAATTGACAGTGGACACCATTTGCAAGACTGGAAAGTGAAGGACAGAAGGGATATGGGTAGTGCACCAACAGTGTCTGCTCTATGCTCCAACGCACAGTATTTATACCATAGTTCCATTACATTCTGATTTTCAATATAGATTGTTATCTACAAGTCTATTGCCACCAAACTATATGTTTCTTGAATGTTTTAAGCTTTGTATCTTAAACATTTCTCATATCTAATACTTTCTTTCTATTTCTTTACTTTTATTTATTTATTTATTTATTTATTTTTTTTTTTGAGGCAGAGTCTTGCTCTGTCACCCAGGCTGGAGTGCAGCGGCGCGATCTCGCGATCTGGGCTCACTGCAAGCTCCGCCTCCAGGGTTCACGCTAGTCTCCTGCCTCAGCCTCCCAAGTAGCTGGGACTACAGGTGCCCGCCACCAGGCCCAGCTAATTTTTTTGTATTTTTAGTAGAGACGGGGTTTCACAGTGTTAGCCAGGATGGTCTCGATCTCCTGACCTCGCAATCTGCCTGCCTCAGCAACCATGTTGGCCACGATGGTCTTGGTCTCCTGACCTCGTGATCCGCCCGCCTGGGCCTCCCAAAGTGCTGTGATTACAAGTGTGAGCCACAGCGCCCAGACCTTCTTTCTATTTCTAAGGCTACTGTACTAGGTATGGCTCATACAATAATCTTGACTGGATGATTACTTTAGCCTATCAACTTTTATTTCCTTTTTGCTTCTCAGATTCAGGGGAGAATACATAGACCTCACTCTGCCAATAGAAGAGTATCAAAGAATTTTCCAGTGATGTCTTTTTAACTGCTGTAAGGGGCACAGTCTGCCTATAGCAGATCATGTCCTCAAAGCCAACCTCCTCATTTCTGTAAAACAGTATTATTTTTAGTTTCAAAATTCTATAATCATTTTCCCACACCTATGCTCAAAATATTTCAAGGCTTCTAATCAGTACTGCATATGTAGCCCTTTATGATCTGGCCCCTGCCTGTCTGTCTAGCTCATTTTGGTCTTTCCTCCATGTACCTACACTCAATAATACTGAGCCACTTATAATCCTTATAACGTTAGCACCTTTTAATCACTTTTCTTTGTCTTTTAATACACACTAGCTTTTGCTCAAATAAAAATGTTTTAATGCCAATTTAATACCAATTAACTAAGATGTAATTTTAGTTTGCATATTTGCCCATACACTAGACTGAGCTCCTTGAAGATAGAAACTATGGTCTTTTAATAATATTCTATTCCCAGTAGCAAGTGTAGGCCTAACACGTGGTAAATTATCAATAAAATATATGAAACTACTGAAAGCATATACTTATTTTATTTGTATTTGCTACAACTACAGTACCTAGCATGGCAGTTTACACACACACACACACCCACACACGATGTGTTAAGCTGATATTTATTATTTCCTGAAGTATTATCATAATTCTCTAGTTGCTCTTAAAGTCAGAGAGGGTAAAGGGTACAAGGGAAAAGAGTAATTGAAAAGATGCAACCTTTCAAAAGAACAAAATGTATCTTGTGTTCAAACTAAGTTCTGCTCTTTCCTATCTATGTGAACCAGAATAAGGTACTTACACCCTCTAAAATTCAGTTTCCACTTAAAGAAAGAGATAATCTGGATGGCTGCGGTGGCTCATGCCTCTAATCCCAGCACTTTGGGAGGCCAAGGCAGACAGACCAGTTGAGGCCAGGAGTTCAAGACCAGCCTGGCCAACATGGTAAAATCCCATCTCCACTAATATGCAAAAATTAGCCAGGGTCGTGGCGCACACCTGTGGTCCCAGCTACTTGGGAGGCAGAGGCAGCAGATTTGCTTGGACCCAAGAGGCAGAGGTTGAAGTGAGCCGAGATCATGAAGCTACACTCCAGCCTGGGCAACAGAGGAAGACACTGTCTCAAGAAACAAAAACAAAACCGAAAAAAGAAAAAAGAAAAGAAAACGAGATGAATCTATTTTCTAGAGGTATGATTGTAGGTACAAAAAAGGGGGGGGCAATACTTACTGGCCCTTTTTTAATTTGGGGAGCAACATATTCCTTATCTGGGTGTGTTACTCCAGCCCATTTACTAAGTGACCCAAAAAGCTGCTTGTTTCGAGTGAAGCTCAGATCAAGAGAAGGCTCTGCAACAGGTCCAGGCTGCTGTGTAAGCAGCTTTGCCTCTTGGGCCGTATAAACCAGCAGGTCCAATGGTGCTTGACATGTCAGTGGTAGCTAGGGATGCTGTTTCGAGGCTTTGGCAGGCCTTTATGGATTAACTGCAGTGCAGGCCCTTGGGATATTGAAGCAAGGTTCTGCCCTCCTCTGGAGATAACTGGTCCCCTTTTGAGCAACAGTTTTGCCCGGCTACTGGGCTTTATTAGAGACTGAACACTTAACCACGGGCCCACCAAGTTACCATGTGACCAGAGCTGTCCATCATTAATTGGGTTTAATCTGACAAACTAAGTCATAAAGTTGATTGTGCATAGTAGCACTCCATTATCAAATGTAAGTACTATATATGTGTTTTGGCACTGAAGGCACAGATAAGTTAGATGAAGTGGCTCAAATGCTCAGGGTCCCCATTCCTACCATACTACTTTCTCTCTCCTTTACATTAACTATTACATGTATAAGGTTTTGTATATTATAGGCATATGTATGAATTCTCTTGTCTTTCATAAACTTATGAGTTCCAATGACAGAAAGCAAGTATAGTTGATGGAAGTTACTTTGGAAGTCACTTAATATAATTTTCTCATTTGAGGTCCACAAAGTTGAAGTAGTCTTTGTAACCTGAAAAGAGTCTTAATATCAGATCTTCCATAGAAAAACAAAATAAAAAACAAGTTGACTATTTTTTGCACTATAAACCTGAATGTTTGTCTTATGAAAAAATGAGACAGAGAAAAACAAATCTGATAGGATGAATACATTATTAAAGTTCTTTTGTATGTCAGAAATTTTATAGACCATAATAAGTTAAATATTAAATCTGAATTATTTTTATATAACCTCAAAAATGATTTATGTGTAGTACACCAGATATTATGGAGTTGACCATGGAATTTTGCTAATGAATGATATTCGGTCAAGGACTAGAATCCTGTGATTCTGAAATGGTTGATTCACCATGAAATGAGAACAAGTCAAAAACCATCTGGAAAATGATGTGAAATATCTTATCTGTCCTCTGAGATAAAAAGAACTGGTCTTATACTAGGAAACTTCTTTCCTTCTGCTTTTAGGTAATGTTACAATCCGTCAAGGATTTCCTTACTTTTCTACACTTTTAGTAGGGAGGACATTTTCTAGAGCAGAAATATAAATTCAATATTCATGAGGCATATTATTGGTAAACTAAACTGGCATTCCTTGGAAGTAAAATATAATCTCTGTGAAGTTCGTGAAATGCTTCAGAAAACTTTTTGGTGATTTTCTTTTCAGACACTAAATATTTTATTAAATAAGTGAGATCCCTAAACAAATTTCCAAGAAAAAACCAAACAACCCCATTAAAAAGTGGGCAAAGGGTATGAACAGACACTTCCCAAAAGAAGACACACATGTGGCCAATAATCCTATGAAAAAAAATATCAACAATACTGATCATTGGAGAAATGCAAATCAAAACCACACTGGAGAAATGCAAATCAAAACCACCATCTCACACCAGTCAGAATGACTATTATTACAAAGTCAAAAAGGAACTGACACTGGCAAGGTTATGGAGAAAAAGTAATGCTTATACACTGTTCGTGGGAGGGTAAATTAGTTCAATCATTGTGGAAGACAGTGTGGTGATTCTTCAAAGACCTAATGACAGAAATGCCATTCGACCCACCAATCCCAGTACTGGGTATATACCCAAAGGACTATAAATCATTCTATTATAAAGACACATGCACTTGGATGTTCACTGCAGCACTATTCACAATAGCAAAGACATTGGATCAACCGAAATGTCCATCAATGATAGACCAAATAATGAAAATGTGATATATATACACCATGGAAACTATGCAGCCATAAAAAAAGAATGAGCTCATATCCTCTGCAGGGACATGGATGGAGCTGGAGGCCATTATCCTTAGCAAACTAATGCCAGAACAGAAAACCAAATACTGCATGTTCTCACTTATAAGTGGGAGCTAAATGATAAGAACACATGGACACATAGAAGACAACAACAGACACTGGGGCCTGTCAGAGGGTGGAGGTTGGGAGGAGGGTGAGGATGAGAAAAAAATAACTAATGGGTTCTAGGCCTAATACCTGGGTGATAAAATAATCTGCACAATAAACCTCCATGACACAAGTTTACCTATGTAACAAACCTGCACATATACCCCTAAACTTAAAATAATAAATAAAAAAAGAAAAAGAATAAAGAAGTTTGCTTAGAGAATGATTGTTAATTACACTCACTCCTGTGTCTCCTTTGAAATGTAAGATAGAGAGGATACAAACTTGAATTTCTCCAAATTCTGCAGATTTACTCTATTATTCCTAGTGTTTTATCATCAGCTATGTGGTAACACTATAACATTTCTCTTATTTATTATTATTTGGACACTTTTTGCTCTACAAGTAGAAAAAAGGAAATGGCAAATATATGTCTTAATTCTTCGTAATTGCTTTTTAATACTTATGTGTACAATACTTCAATGAAAGCTTTTTATGTGAAAATATGAGAAAGCTGGGTATAAGAAAGTTATTCTCATATTTCTTATTTGCAGAATGTCTTGTATTTCGGGATGATAAAATGAAATATAACTTGAACCTTTTCTTAGGTTTAATATACATAAAACAATAGTGACAATCACATCCTTTTTCCCTTTTGTCCCATTCAAGGAACTGGGGCATTGCGTAGAGACTTCTCTGTAGATGTTGGGCAGATCTGTGAGTGAGCTATGCATATTGTTCCTTTTCGGTAACATGTTCCCACTTCTGTTATGTTATCTTCTTGTTTATTAAGCATATTCAGTGAGCTTTGATAACAAAAATGTAGGCGATAAGGAGAAGAAATTTCCATGGTAATAATGTTTACATAAATATCTCAGCTTGTATGCTGCCTGTTGTCTATTGAATGTGTTTTCCATGCTTTCTTTAGATTGTTCCTTAGGTGGGAGTTGAATAAGTTCTAAAGTTATTATTATGTATGCATTGATGTATACATGAGGCTATTAACACAAAAATCTTTGACAGAACAAGCTTGTAATGACTTCCCTGAAGCTGTTATTTTGAACTGTCTCTGATTTTCCTCTTTTTGGTTGAACAAATCTTTTTAGGAAGAGTGTGTAACACAAATAGAGTTGGAAAACATTTAGATTTTGCCCCTTTGTAGGTTCATAGCAGCCAAACTATTTCATTTTAAAAACGTGAAAAAAAGAATGTTTCTCACTAAGAATATATGCCAAGTTTACACCATCATCACATATTTTATGGCTGATTTATGAACCTCTCAAAAAGGGTGAAAATGTTGACACATTAATAACTCTAGCGGAATGAGTTCTATATACTTCAAGAAAAACTACAAAAAAGAAACAAAGTGGACAATGACAATCTAAAGAAAAGGAAGTTTCTTAATAAAAGTAGAAGATACTTGGTTTTACATAAAGACTTTTACTTTCCATATTTTTTCAGTAAAATATAACTATGATTATTTTATCGAGTATTTAGTGTCATTTTATTTTTCCTTCCTCATTTGATATTAAATTTATTGAATTCAATTAAGTAGTTGAAATTATTCAATTTTCTTTATTCAATATTATTCTAATATTTTAATGCTGTTCAAACAAGTAAGCAATCTTTTTATGCCATTTAACATATTTCTTCTCTTTAATTTTATTTTGTTTTTTAAGTTCTGGGGTACATGTGCAGGATGTGCAGGTTTGTTACATAGGCAAATGTGTGCCGTGGTGGTTTGCTGTGCCTATCAACCCATTATCTAGGTATTAACATGGCATGCATTAGCTTCTTTTTCCCAATGCTCTCCCCCGCCTCCCTCCCGCAACAGGCCCCCGTGTGTGTTGTTCCCCTCCCTATGTCCATGTGTTTTCATAGTTCAGCTTCCACTTATAAGTAAGAACATGCCATGTTTAGTTTTTTGCTCCTGTGTTAGTTTGCTGAGAATAATGGCTTCCAGCTTCATCCATGCCCCTGAAAATGACATTGCATTAGTCTGTTTTCACACTGTTGATAAAGACATACCCAAGACCAGACAATTTACAAAAGAAAGAGGTTTAATTGAACTCACAGTTCTATGTGGCTGGGAAGGCCTTAGAATCATGGCAGAAGGCAAGGAGGAGCAAGTCACATCTTACATGAATGGCAGCAGGCAAAGAGAGAGAATGAGCTTGTGTAGGGGAACTCCTCTTTTTAAAACCACCAAATCTCATGAGACTCATTCACTATCACAAGAACAGCATGGGAAAGACCTGCCCCCATGATTCAATTACCTCCCACCGAGTCCCTCCCACAACATGTGGGAATTCAAGATGAGATTTGGGCGGGACACAGCCAAACCATATCAGATATGATCGTGTTCTTTTTTATGGCTGGATAGTATTCCACGGTGTATATGTACCAGATTTTCTTTATCCAGTCTATCATATTTCTTGTTTTGAATTTGTTTGTGTGTTAAATTTAAATCTTGTAAATCTTATAAGAAACTTCAACAAATTTAACAAGAAAAAGAAAAAAAAAACCACAAAACGTAGACAAAGGACCTGAAGAGACACCTGCCAAAAGAAAACATACATGCAGCCAATAATCTTATGAAAAAGTCCTCAAAATCACTTGTTATTAGAAAATTACAAATCAAAACCACAATGAGATACTATCTCATACCAGTCAGAATGGCTACAATTAAAAAGTCAAAAAATAACAGATGTATAAACTGAGGAAACTGGTACAAATTTAAGTTAAAAAGATATATAAGTACATGTAATAATATAGATGCAGACATAGCAGGATATAAAATGATTGAAATATCTGCCAGTCACTGATATGAAACATGCTGGAATGTTTGCAAAATCATCATATGCATGTTTACAATATAAATTCTTTCAAATCTGGTCTAAGAATTTGGGGGGTTTCTCAGCGACTTTG
Source organism: Homo sapiens (assembly GCF_000001405.40). Lineage (NCBI taxonomy): Eukaryota > Metazoa > Chordata > Mammalia > Primates > Hominidae > Homo > Homo sapiens. The sequence continues at coordinate 79,148,228 of NC_000001.11, forward strand.
AGACTTCAAGATAGTGGATGATGGAGAATTCTTATAAGATAAGGATACAATATTTGCAAAACCTGTGTTTTGAGTCTTATCCTCTTCTGCATCCCAGTAGTGACATAATTTCTTGCCCTATTTCATCAAACCCATTGTCGGAAGTCTATAGAGTTCCAAGGAAATTTTATATGTGACCCTCTATAATGAGAAGGCATGCAAACTCTGTTCTAACTTCCACCAACACACATCTAGAATAAAGGGGGGCCGACTATCGGCACTTTTAGCTGATCCGATCCAGTACTGCTCTGTGAGAATGATTTTCCAGCCTAGACTTTGGTGAAGCAAGGATGAATGGGTAGTTGTCTGCTAAGATGAGGAGTACCAGGAGTAGAATGTGTACATGGCCATCTTAGGTCTGAAGTGCTGGGCATCTGATTGGGCTACGCAGAGAAGGAAGAGGCTCCAGTAAGAAGAAACAGTAAGTTAAACACCTAGCAGCTGAGGAGTTAGTACCAAGTGACCACCCTGATCATCTATGGGAATCAAGGAAGCTGCTAGAGGATTTCCAGAATTTACGAAAGTCAAACAATGTGGGCTTACTACTTTTTTAGATAATTTTTGCAGGCTAACACACTGCACTGCAATTATGAAAATTAGAAGGATCAATTTGGAGAACAGTCAGTAAACTTTGCATCAAGAAGTGTTTCTTACATAGCTTTGTCAGGTCTAAATTCAAGCCTGGTTCTACCAATGACTAGAATGAGTAATCTTAGACAAATTAATTAACTTCCTCAAACTACAGCTTCATCACCTATTTTGTAAAGGGGATAATAATGCTATCTAACTTCGAGAGTTAGAGTGAGGATTAAGTGAGATAATGAATGTAAAACATTTAATCCAGAGCCCTGTAAGTAGTAAATGCTCAGTAAATCTTAATTACGTTGTTATCATCATATTCCTTGTCATACAGAGCAAAACACCTGGGACAATCAGTGTGGCTGTGAGAAGGCTGGGCAAATGTTTCTGAGGATCTTTCCCCATATACGTTTGGGAGATACAGATAAATTCATCATCCTGAAAGTCGCCGTGTAAGCGAAAGTCATTTAAAAATCAAACTTCCAAGATTTTTGAAGACATTAAAAATGCATTTTAAAATTAAAATGCTCACGTTTTCTGCAAATTGTGAACTAGGAAAAAACAGCAACACTAAAAAACCCTGGCATTTCTAGGAATGCCAGCAGTAAATGGAAATTCCACAAAAATTATCTATGTCCCCACTGGGATTATGCCACCAAAAACAACATCTGTTACTTATTCTCAGGACAATTTGTACTGTGCTCAAAAATGACACAGGGACTCTCTTGTTCTCTTCTATATATTTAGCTAGGAGGGATATGAAGTTCATCACCTCTTCATCTGAACTCTGTTCCTGCCAATGTCACAAACAGTGTCACCAGCAGGAAGCTCACAAAAGTTGTTGGTAATCAAAAAGCAACTTTATTCCAAGGCACATGTGTAGTATGTATACAGGAAGAAATGTTTTCATCATGTGAACACTTAGACTATAGCATACAATTTTAAAAGTTAAATTAAAAATATGTGCATTCTTTATTGACTGGACAGCAGTGGCCTGCAGTGAGTCCACATGATTATACGTTGTGGATGCATGGCTTTGAATCCCTGATCTTCAATTTACTGAGCTTTCCTGCTCCTTTCATATATAAATACTTGGCTTGGAAAATCTGATTTCCTTTACTACCAATCCCTGTGATTCATTTTCTACAACTATATGGTGTGAGAACCCTGTGAGCAGACTGCTATCACCCTCCTGCTGCTTTGTCCACCTGTTTAGAATTTACATCCAAAATTAGTCTAAAACATACCTTTTTTTCCCCTGGAGAATAGTAAGTTAATATATTTACAAATTCCAGATGAACTAGATATGTTCTGAGGACTTTGCAATTTTGTATTTTGCAAACTACTCTTTGATAGAGCTGGCAATCTCTTTTTCAGAGTAAAATCAAAACAGAACCCCCTCCCAAAATAAAGCTCAAACAAAACAATACAAAAAAGAATTCCTTCTATGCACATTTTGTGAAATTTTCTCCCCTTTAACCATGCATTCAATGTGCCAGAAACAGGCACAAATGATTATATGCATTTTAGGTTAGATTTTTCTTTATAAAAACAGACAGAATTTATTTTTCATGGGAATTATGCAATTTTTCTGAAGTGCGGGGCTACCTGATTCCTCAGGCAACTCTTCATATATCACAGCTCAAAGCTCAACTTCCTTCTTCCTTCTTACTAGTAAATTACATTAGCATAGATTACTTTGCAGTGAACATTGTATGGACTTATTTAATGAATGTCAGCAGAGTCTTCATGCTTGTAAACTTATTCATAAGTTTCTCTTTTCAGTTTCTTAAAATATGTTTGATTGAGAGGCACAAATAGGGGTGAGGTGGTAAAGAGCTTCTTTAATTTAATATGTTCCTGCTAGAAGACTCTAGCTTCTGAAGAGAATTCTGAAGAACAGATGTTTGGCTTCCAAAGTGAAAAACATCCATCTGTTTCTTAAATGTCAAAACAATAATAGTAAAGTTACAGCATCCACATGTGCGGGTTTGAGTGGGTGTTCTAAAGCCATACAACTGGGCCTTATTTGTAGACAACTCAGAAATCCACCCCAAAAGCACACACATTATCTTACCTGTGCATACATGCAGTTGAGGGAGAAGGAAAGAAAAAAGAAACCATATCAAACAGGCAGAAATTACACTATTTATGGCATACAAATTTAGTTGTTAGCTTGGTTAATAAAGGTTTGTGATGTAAGCAAGACTATCTCTTTAAATATTCTGCCGGGGTTTCTTTCCATTACTCTATTTTAGACTTACCTGGATTCATTTAGTCACAGTTTCCTATCTCTCCATCAGTACATATTTTGGTTTCTGTAACCTGCGGATCAGTTTGTTTTCTTCCAAATGCCTGAGTTTACGGAATGTGGTCAGGAACTGATAGAGTCCAGAATAAACTGGGTTGATTATTTCTTCCTGTTTGGTCAGTACACAAGCTAGCAGGAAGGAAATCCTACCTTTTTTCCCCTTCAGAAATAATGTTTTCACTGTGATATAAGAGGGAACAGATGTAAAAAAGGGGTTAGCTAGAGTGTCAATATTTTCTATACAGAATGGTAAACATTTTAATGTAATTAAATGTTAGGATTAATTTGTTAATCCTTATATATTCCCGTGTCCATTCAAGAGAAGTATCTCTAATTAAATTTCTCTTTGGCTATACTAATAAAAAGAATATCATCTAGAACTCTAGCCATAGTCAGCATGTGTGTGCGGTAGTGATAAGGCTGGGTAATTGCAAGATTAGTCATTGGCTTTTTATTGAGGCTGAAAGCTATGCACTGTATAGAAATTCACTGAATTACTTGAAATCACATCTATAGACTCTTTGCTTTGTGCTATTTGCTTTGTACTGCTTCTTCTAATAAGTCCCTTTTCCCTTTTTTTGTGTTCTGATTTTTGCAAGCAGGGTAACAATCATGCTACGGCTGCTCAATTGTTTTCAGATCTTTTTCTTACTATTAGTTTTATATAATCCCCATAAGCCAGAAGTGCAATTTAAACTGCAACAGTAGTTTTATGATTAAAAAAAAACTGACTTTTAATATCTCCAACTTAGTTTTCTTATTTACAGCACAGACTACAAGATAATTGTTAATATGGCTATGGATACTCATATCTCTCAAATCTTGCAGAGATGCAAAATTATCTTATGATAATACACAGTTTATTATTATACTACCACCATATACAAAAGTATAATTTTGTATCTTTTCCTTGATGGGATTGAGGTGGAAGTGGTGGTAAGGGGTTTTATGAGGAACCTGAGCATTGATCTGGCATCCAAGCAAGATCATCATCATCTATTCCCTTCACCTTCTTTAATATGGAAGCAAAACATTTATGGCCTGGTACAAATTCTTTCTCAGAAGACCCACTGACCCAATCATCAATCAGGTCACCTGATAGCGATATTAGAGTATATTGTAGATAATCTCAACGTAGAGCAGTAGAGAGAATGCCCTCTTGAATTGATGCTATTTGTTATGGCTTGGGCATGATATTCTTCAAATACTGGAACCAATAAAAAATAAATGTATGTTCGGTCTATGATGCTGACTTGTGTTAGGGAGTTAGGGAATCTGCCACTCATTTCATCTCTTACTCTGTGAACCTACAAAGACATGAGGCACCCATGGAATGTTTCTTGGTGCACTGTACTTCTGCTTTGGGTGACAGAGGTTTCTACATTCTGCTTAACAACTCATTCCCTTTACTCCAATATTTATAATCCAATTGTCTGGAAAAAATAGGTAATGTGGTTAGGGCAAAAGCAAATTCTCCAGAGACTACTAAAGCCTACAAAATACTATTTTTTTGCTCACAAAATGACTAAAGAGTGGTAATTCGTGGAGAAGAAAACCTGATTTTTGAAAGTTTAAATAGTAGGCTATATCTATCAGAATTAATTATCAGGTCTAACCAACTAAGTCCATCTTTCACCTGTTAAGTTGTAGCTACTGCCCATTCCTCTTCTTACGGTGATTCAAGTCATAAAGCTTCAGGACATACAATTCTCTGCAGGCTCTGCTTTTGCTAATATTTGTAGAGCCCTAAAATACTGAATGAGTGCCTGGAGGACTTTAGGTATGTTATTATTCTTATTTTGGGCAGCTTAATCATTTAATATTCCTTTGCTATCTCCATATATTAATATTCATTAGCATTATCTAGCTAGAGCTTTCTTTCATACTTGGCGGATACATTTTCTAGCATCATTTACATAGTTAGTGCTCATGATTTCCAATGCACTTAGCAAAAGAAAAGATTAATCTCTGAAAGTAAAATGTAAACTAAGTGCAGTTAAAAATGAGGTGCTGGAATTCAAGGGCGAGTGAAGTACATGTGGTTCTTTCAAACCACAGATTTAAAGTTTGTTTTTATGCATTTCACTTTGACTGTAGTTTTACTTTTAAAAATCCTGTATGGATCCTTTATTTAAGACTAATGTGGAAGTTTATTTTGTTTTTGTAATCTTTTCTCATGGTTTGCTCTGATGAATGAAAATGGTCTTCAGAAATTATTTGCTATAAATTTCCATAAAGAATGCAATTTATCCTGTCCTATATGTCCATTAACTATTACTCTCTTCAATCTGTCAGCCCTTCAACAGTCTTTTTCTTAAATTTATAAGCAAAGCTTGTGAAAACATCTTATTGACTCTTTTATTAGTCAGCATGTTAATTCAATGTTTTTTGAAAAACTAATAAAATCTAAATGCTGAATGAAAATAGAACTGTTTATAATCCAGCGAGAGTGAAATATATCAAATCTCAAAATTTTTTAAAGAGAAAAGTACAGAAGGAGATTTTTATTAATATAAAAGTTTAAAGATGATCTGTGAAGGGGGAGGGAAAAGGACATTTTGCAATTAGAGTTCTTTTGGTAACAAGAAGAAATGGCTTTGAAAGACCTGTGTTGTTGAGGGAGGGAAATTTTTTTTAAAAGTGAAACTGCAGTATTATGGATCTCTAGAAGAAGTATATCCAGATCTATGTGTTTCTTGAAGGCAAGACTAAGAAATCTGTTTTTGTTGGAGCATTTAATTCTATAGGTAGAATTTGTAGATGGAGTTGCAGGCTGATTGGAAGACTATAAGCATATACGTGCAGGCACATACAAGCACACATTTGTGTGTGATGGTGGGGATGGCAGTGGGATTGGTGTTCTTCATTGCTTTTGAACTCATTTCCTTGCCAGAACAACGGCTGTTTCTGAAATTTCCAAAGGAGCTGGAGGCAGTTAAGGAAGTAATGCCTGGCATGGCTGTCTGATAATTTAGAACTTAGGTGATGTACACGTGCACAACTGCATCTTGTTTAGGTGTGCCATATATTTATAACTGATACATGCAAATATACAAACACACACACACACACACACACACACACACACCCCCTCGGTGATCAAACATAATCAAATAACAAAAACAACAAACATAAACACAAGCCAGCCACAAAAAAAAAAATATATATATATATATATATATTTTATCTTAGTTGAGTAAAGTTTGGGTAATGACACCAATGGCATTAAAATCTTGATGTCTACTTTCATACTAGTCATGTTGCTTGGCATGGAAAAAAACTGTGTTGCACAAGCTATGCAGTCTTGCCATTAGTCTCTTTCACATACTACTAGAATGGTATGATCTACCAACATTACTGAGGAAAAATATTCTAAGTCAAGGGCAGTCTGTGACTCAATATATATGAATATCACCATTAAAAAATGTAATACACTGAATGGAGAAAGGGTCTAATGGAATAATGGTGCCCAGAAAGGATTTGTATGAGCTTTCTTCATATAATAAATAAAGAAAATATAAATTGGAAAGAACAGAAAAAGCATCTTTTAACAGGACCTCAGATGATGAGATTTAAGGAAATATCCAGTACACTGGTTCAAAAGAATATTGTTATGTTGGGAGATGTGATACGTTGTGGAGAGGTGGTCAATATGACCACAGTTACTGAAGACAGAATGAAAATGAGTTATTAATTAGAGAGCAATCTAATTTCAGCCTTTAAAAAGTAGTTTAGTTTTATTTTAGAGGTGGTTAGGGCTGCTGTAGCCTTCTAAAGAAGCAATATCAAAGCAATTAAGATAAATGTATTTCTGTGTAGCATATAATAGGGTAGATATGTTTTTAAAAGTTCTACCAAATAGTAAAACATTCATTTTAATTTGTGCTAATTACTCCATAGCTGTGCTTATTAGTGGAGTGAAAGAACCTTGACAAATGCAAACTTTAAGGAGGTGATTTTAGAAATCCAGAGATAATATAGGTGAAGAATACGTTGTGACTTACAGCTGACCAGAAAACATACAGATTATTGTAACAATCTTTTAACTTCTCTAGGCCTCCATTACATATTTGGTAAAATCAGGATACTAAAAAATAATTTCTAGGAGTTTTTCACATATAAAATTTTATGATATATAAATTATTACAACAGCAAATAATAAATCACACATATTTCTCCACATTAGCCTTTTTATTACATGCAAGATGAGACAACATAAAAGTTGAGGACAGCTTCAATATTTTTGGACTTTTAAGCTCAAAGAACTTGCTGGTTCCAATGACCAGTGGGATGATGTGGACCCTCTCAATTTATTTTAGTAGACTATTTGTTTCCTTGTTTCTGCCCTGTTTTTTTGGTGTTTTTCCTTTGTTTGTTTGTTTTACTATCCACATTTCTTTTGAGAATGAAACTTCTGGCTTCCAAATTCAGTATTTTCATATCGGAAGGGACAAAAACATGGTAAAATTTGACACAATTATAAAAGCCAAATCACTTTGTCTTTAATATTCCTGTGCATTACATTTTTACAATGGGAGATACTAGGAGGTTTTCATGAGGAGACATCATTTAAAACAGATACTCTTGATTAATAGCAGACCTGATAGGACCTAACTCAAGTTTTTCTTATAGGTTCTGGGGGAAAATTGCAGTAAAAGTTTGGTCACAATGATCAACTAATTAGAAACCTTAAAGGCACAAGTAATCCACAGTAACTGAAATAGATGAGTTCCTAATTATAGAACTGTTAGAGATATCACATTCCTTGCAGAGGTTGACAAATAGCATTTAAAACAAGAGATTTTACTTCTCTGGTATCAAAGACAAAGGTTATCTTAATGACATTGGTAGGCATTTTATTTTCCATTGATAACACCTCTGCTGCTTTAATCATTTTGTATATCTGCAGAATCTCAAAGAAATAGAGACAACTGAATTTACAGCCACCATTCTGGTAATTGACTTGGTGCCTTGGTAAACAGGAAAGTGTGTGTGTTGTGTGCGCATGTGGTTTTTGCTATCCTCCCCCTTATTTTACCCTAGCCTAAACTGGTTCCTGTAAAGCAGGGTAATAGCTAACTGGAAGGCTTTCCCCCAGAATACCCTATAAAGATACAGAGAGAACTCCAAACTTAATATATATCAACCATTTGCACTCTCAGGTCCTGCATATATTTTCTTGTATCCTTTTTTTTTTCTTTTTCTTTCTTTTGCTGTATATCTTAGCATGTGAGCCAAGTGTCAAAGCCATGACATTCTTCACTCCAGAAATATTTATTCATCTTTAATTCCACCTTCTGCCCTGCCCCTACCACTCTTTATTCCTTATAGCCTAGTGCTTAGTTGACAATACAGCCTCCTCTATGTGCCTTCTTTACCATTAACACCTATATTGTCATTATGAACTTTGTTTTCTGGCTTTACACTAGACTAAAATTTCCTCATATTAGTTTAGAGTCCTTTGGTTGTAATTAACAGAGTATAATGTAATCTGATTTAGAAAAAGGGAGATTATACTATAAATATTTAGAAATCTTTAATGAAACCCAGGGCAGGAAGACACCAAAGGATCAGGAAAAATAGAAAAAGGATGTGAAAATTTAACAGAGGCCAAGGGAGGTTTCTCACTCCACTGTCTTCGTTTTTTGTCTTGGTGTACTTCAGCATTCTCCTTCTTTGTATACCAGATTTCCCTGATTCTGTCCAAATAACTAAATACAGTATGGCCACCCTAAAGTACAAGAGCTTATGTAATATAATTCCAGCTACATAAGGAATGCCACTCTCAACTCCCTTCCTAGATTCGCTGGGAAGATAATTTGATTATCCTACCTTGGATTGAGACCTCTCCACTGCTACAATCAGCCAAAGTCAGGGAACAGAGTCAAAATATAAATATAGCTGCTGAGTGATCACCATTATGGATGAAAGTTGAGCACAATCTTTTCATTATAGTCTATAGATAATCTTTTTTTTTAACTTTTGTTTTAAGTTCAGGGGTACATGGGCAGGTTTGTAGTGTAGGTAAACATGGATCATGGGAATGTGTTGCACAGATTATTTCATCACCTAGGTATTAAGCCATTAGTTATTTTTGCTGATCCTCTCCCTCCTCCCACCCTCCATTCTCCAATAGGCCCCAGTGTGTGTTGTTCCCATCTATGTGTCCATGTGTTGTCATGATTTACCTTATACTTATAAGTGAGAACACGTGATATTTGGTTTTCTGTTCCTGCATTAGTTTGCTGAGAATAATGGCCTCCATCTCCATCCATGTCCTTGCAAAGGACATGGTCTCGTTCTTTTTTATGACTGCATAGTATTCCATGGTGTATATATACCACATTTGCATTATTTGGTCTATCATTGATGGACATTTAGGTTGATTTCATGTCTTTGCTATTGTGAATAGTGCTGAAATGAACATCTCATGCATGTGTCTTTATAATAGAATGATTTATATTCCTTTGGATATAAACCCAGTAACGAGATTGGTGGGTGGAATGGTATTTCTGTCTTTAGGTCTTTGAGGAATCACCATACTGTCCTCCACAATGGATGGACTAATTTACCCTTCCACCAACACTGCATAAGCATTCCTTTTTCTTCACAACCTTGCCAGCATCTGTTATTTTTTGACTTTTTAATAATAGCCATTCTGGCTGGTGTGAGATGGTATCTCATTGTGTTTTTGATTTGTATTTTTCTAATAATAAGTGATTTTGAGGGATTTTTCCTAAGATTATTGGCTGCATGTATGTTTTCTTTTGGCAAGTGTCTCTTCATGTCCTTTGTCCACTTTTTATGTTTTTTTTTTTCCTTTTTCTTGTTAAATTTAAGTTTCTTATAGATGCTGGATATTAGACCATTGTCAGATGCACAGTTTGCAAATATTTTCTCTCATTCTGTAGGTTGTTTACTCTGTTGATAGTTTCTTTTGCTGTGTGGAAGCCCCTTAGTTTAATTAAATCCCATTTGTCAATTTTTGCTTTTGTTGCAATTGCTTTTGATGTCTTCATCATGAAATCTTTGCCTGTATCTATGTCCTGAATGGTATTATCTAGGTTTTCTTCCAGGCGTTTTATAGCTTTGTGTTTTACATATAAGTCTTTAACCCATCTTGAGTTGATTTTTTGTGTATGGTATAAGGAAGGGGTCCAGTTTCAATTTTCTGCATATGGCTAGCCAGTTATCCCAGGGTCATTTAGGGAATTATTTCCTCATTGCTTGTTTTTGTCAGGCTTGTTGAAGATCAGATGGTTGTAAGTGTGTGGTCTTATTTCTGGGTTATTTATTCTGTTCCACTGGTCTATGTGTCTGTTTTTGTATCAATACCATGCTGTTTTGGTTACTGTAGCCCTGTAGTACAGTTTGAAGTCAGGTAGCATGATGACTCCAGTTATGTTATTTTTGCTTAGGATTGCCTTGCCTAATCATGCTCTTTTTTGGTTCCATATGAATTTTAAAATAGTTTTTCCTAGTTCTGTGAAGAATGTCAATGGTATTTTAATGAGAATAACATTCAATATATAAATTCTTTCGGGGAGTATGGCCATTTTGACTATATCGATTCTTCCTGTCTGTGAGCACGGCATGCTTTTCCATTTGTTTGTGTCATTTCTGATTAATTTGAACAGTGGTTTGTAGTTCTCCTTGTAGAGATATTTCACCTCCATAGTTAGCTGTATTCCTAGGCACTTTATTCTTTCTGTGGCAATTATGAATGAGAGTTAGTTCGTGATTTGGATCTTGCAATTTGGATTTTAACTTGCTGGTGTATAGGAATGCTAATGATTTTTGCACATCCATTTTGTATCCTGAGATTTTGCTGAAGTTACTTATCAGTTAAGAAGCTTTTGGGCTGAGATGATGGGGTTTTCTAAACATGGGATCATGTCATCTCTAAACAGGGATAGTTTGACTTCCTTTCTTCCTATTTGGATGCCCTTTCTTTCTTTGTTTTGCCTGAAGTTCCTGGCCAGAACTTCCAATACTATGTTGAATAGAAGTGGTGAGAGAGGGCATCCCTGTTTTGTACCAGTTTTCAGGGGGAATGCTTCCAGCTTCTGCCAATTCAGCATGATGTCAGCTGTAGTTTGTCATGTATGTCTCTTGCTATTTTGAGGTATGTTCCTTCAATAGCTAGTTTATTGAAAGTTGTTAATATGAAAGGATGTTGAATTTTATCCAAGGCATTTTCTGCATCTATTGAGACAATCATGTGGTTTTTGTCCTTAGTTCTGTTTATGTGATAAATCATATTCATTAATTTCCATACGTTGAACCAGCCTTGCATCCCAGCGATGAAGCCTGCTTTATCTGCTTGATCGTGGTGGATTAGTTTTTTGATGTGCCACCAATTCAGTTTGCCAGCATTTTGTTGAGGATTTTTGCATTGATGTTCATCAAGGATTATTAGCCGGGTGCAGTGGCTCACGCCTGTAAACTCAGCACTTTGGGAGGCAGACAGATCACTTGAGGCCAGGAGTTCAAGACCAGCCTGGCCAACATGGTGAAACACCATATCTACTAAAAATACAAACAAATTAGCTGGGTGTGGTGTTGCATGTTTGTAATCTCAGCTACTTGGGAGGCTGAGGCAGTAGAATCCTTAAACCTGGGAGGGAGAGGTTGCAGTGAGCCGAGATCATACCATTGCACTCCAGCCTGGGTGACAGGAGTGAAACTCCATCTCAAAAAAATAAAAATGGATATTCGCCTGAAGTTTTCTTTTATTGTTGTGTCTCTGCTGGGTTTTGGTATCAGAATGATGCTGGCCTTAGAGGATGAGACAAGGAGGAGTCCCTCCTTTAAAATTTTTTTGGAATAGTTTCAGTAGAAATGGTACCAGTTCTTCTTTGTACATCTGGTAGAATTCAGCTGCGAATCCAACTGTTCATGCTTTTTTTTTTTTTTTTTTTTTTTTTTTTTTAGTTAACAGGCTATTCATTACTGCCTCAATTTCAGAACTTGACAATCTTTTATCTTGGAACCCCTAGCTGGCACAACCTTGGCATTTACTTTTCCAAATGTTTTGAATAAATAAAAGAAAAACCATCTCTTTCTTCCATTCACTAATATTTATACTCCTGAATTAGAATTTCTCATGTTTTTTATATATTTCCTATTACCAGAAAAGACATTTAGCTTGCCAGTGCAATGATGACATTTTGCTGAAAATTGTTCAAAATTTTTTTCTGGATGAAATAATTTGCTGGAGCTACATTAAAAAATAATATTTTTCAAGAGTGAAAATATATGGTTGTTGCTATTTTAGGATTGGGATACATGTATTATTATCTCTTTTTACCTAGAGGAAATAAACCCAGTTTTTTTCCCTCAGACATGTAGCCTCTTTTGCATTCTGTTATTTAGATATATCTGCCTGAAAATGTACGTGACATTCTGGTGTTTTTCTACCTTGAAGTTTCAGCTGTGCTAGGAAGGTCCGCAGTTGTCATATGAGTGGCTTGGACATTTTTTGGTTTGTGCCTGTGTTTGTTTTTCCATAAAGGACAACTTGTTGCCAGTGACATTGATCCATTAATAATATCAATATTTACTTAGAAAATTCATCCCTTATTTAAAAAATTATTTATACCCCTTGTAACTAATGTGTGTATATATCAAATTTACAGATTGAGAATGTAATGGTCAAATCTAATAATATCTAACATGTAAGAAATCTCTTGAGAAGTCAAGAGCTTGGCAACCAAGTAAAGATTAAGAATAATTAGAAATAATATTGTCAAGAGTCACACTATATGCATATTATATTAAAATTGGGTACCAATCTATATGACTAGGTTGTAACTACTTTTAAAGTGACAGTCTTTCCAGTTCTAGCTTTACAAGGCTTCCATGAATATATTATATGAATTTGAGGTGATTCCAGTTGCTAAGACTAACCCTAGAATTGTTAAATTTTATTTACTAATGCCAGCAAACATGCATATTCCTGATACTAAAAGGTAGTATGCCTCTTCTAAAATTTTTTCACATGTAACTGTATATGATAAGAATGTATTTAAAGGTCACATTAGCCTGCATTCCTTTGGCTTCCATCCTATTGACTCATGTAGGAAATTAGAGCAGAGATTATTTCCTGTAGCCAAAGAACAGTCAGAAAACACAGCCTGTGCAGTGTTAACTTGCTATTTACAGAATAAGCTACTTACTTTAACTGAGTAATCAATTCAGGAACTACACCCAGGTCACAGCATCCACTGTAGAGAGAGACACTCAAGGACATCAGCAGTCCATCTATTGTTTAACAGAGCATTTTCTAAAGACCTATGAGTGAAGCCTCATAATTAACATGGGCAGTGGAAAGTATGCCTCAGTATTGATATCACATTCACTAGGGGATTAAGGTTCTTAATTCTCTCTTTAAAAATAGCCAGATTTCTTTCTACACATAAATCTATTTATACAAACGAAAAAAAATGAGTATACTCTAAACCCAAACTTTGCTTTACCCTCAGAGAAAAATTGGATGTTAGACTTTGTGTTTTATTTTCAAATTGTCTAAACTATTCAGGATTTTGAGATATCCAGATACTTTTTGGCAAAGTTTTAGAAATCTAAGAGATGATGTAAATAGACAAGGCAACAATATTACAAATCTTATTTGATGGAAAATGTATCATTACCTGAATCTCCCTTAGCATTGATGCCCTTTTATGTCTGTGCTACAGAGTATCTAAGGAGAAAACAGACAGAGGGAATAGCAGGTAGAAGGGCTCCAGAGTGTGAGTAGGTGAGATTGAGGGAGTAGACACGAAAGCAGTAAAAGTCTCTTGAAGGCTATGTGAGGCAGTGGTGCTTTCTTAGCATGAGGAAGTCACTGGAGGCATTTAAGCAGAGTAGGGATATACTCTGACTTAAGTGTTGAAAGGATTTTAGGGTCCTGAATTAAGACTAGAAGTTAGGAGTCTTCACCCAACTTGGGAGCAGAACACCTGGCAGGTCATTATTATAATAAAGTTGAGCAGCAATGGATGGTGATACAGGATAAGGTGGTAGCAAAAGACATGGCGAGAACCAAAGAGATTCAAGATCTATTCCAGAGCAGAATAAATATAACTTAGTACTAAAGCAGACCACGAAGTAAGTGGCAACTTCTCTTTATCTTTATATAATGAATAATTGATATTGGCATATATTTGCTAAAGTCCCTTTATTGGCTGATTACACTTAGGATAAAATCCAAAATCCTTATCAGAGCTTACCAGGCCTCTGAGCTTGTCACATTCTACCTCTGGCTGTATGTTTTCAATCTTCCTAATCTAGCTGTATTAGCCTTTTCACAATTATCTAAATCTGCCATTCTCTTTATTGCCTCAACACATTTGTACATGATGTACCTCTGCCCAGATCATTTTCCCTTCTCTTCAGCGAAACAACCACATTCTTAACCAATTGGTTAGCTGAAGAGAATGGTTATTAACCATAACACATTCTTCTATTCATCTCTTTCCTATCACCTTAAATGTCACTTGTTCCAAACTTACCCTAAAATTGCCTTTTATATGCTCAAATTGCATGTTTTACTTTTAATGGCCCTTCTTATACATGACTTCTGTAGCAGTCAATACTATGTATGCCTATGTAATTTTTGCATTCTTAATTTCTAGCCCAATACCTAGAATGCAGTAGAAATTCAATAAATATTTTTATTAAATTACTGCCTATATCTTCCTCTTGATGGATTGCAATGCACATTAGCTTATCAAAGTTTTAAAAGTCTTCACACACATGCACATACAGTGTATGGCTATATAAAGGTAGATGTGTATATATGTATAGGCATATGTATATATGTATATACATACATATGTAGGTATAGGCATATTTATATACATATATACAAAATACACACACACACACACACACACACACATCCCTATCTTTGTTTAAACCAACATCTCTGGATGTTCTGTGTTCATGGAATTATTTTTCTTATCTATTATCTTCTAAGGTGAAAGAAGAACATACTTGGAAAAATGCCATGTTAGATTATGACTTCTGTGGGAAATCTTATTTTTTACATAGTTTTAAACAGTTAATATTAAATAACCGCATTTCAATTTCCTATAACCATGTAGAAGTTCTTTTGACCTCCCTATGCCATGGTTTCCTCTGGTAAAAGAGGATAATGTCAGTAATTCTTTCATTCAACTGTGAGCATAAATGAGCTCACACATATATGAATGGGGCTTAGCATGGTGCTCTAAACATAGAAAATACTCATTAGATATGAAATATTTTATAATAAGTAATTTGCTGTAGTATAATTGTATATTTGGAGGCATAAAATCTTGAATTATAAACCTCTAATCTAGTTTTATTTGAGATGTGTTTTCTAAAAAATACAGTTTAATAAAAAAGCAGAAAACCTTAAGCATTGTTTAAATCCTAATCAGTTGTTCTGAAATATTTTAATCAAATCATCTTTGGTCTGCTTTCATTTCTGTATAACTTAGGAAAAATATATGACAATGTGCAAAAATACGTATTTTTTGGTTACCTAGACTATGCTTACATGAATTATGAGACTAATACCATATTTGATATAGAGAAACATCAGAAAATTATCTATTAAAGAAAGAAACTACTACTATGGATTTTAATAACATAAAACTGCTGAGATTTCCATAAAATAAACTCAGAAGTTTTACTTATTCATTTACTCTAATAGCACTTTTCCTAGTTTAATTAAGCATTACAATTACCATTTATTTTCTAAGTTTGCAGTGATTCATAAATTAATAATACTAATGATAGCAAGAAAATAGTAATAACAAAAAAATTCACATTTATTAAATGCCTATATTGTGTTGTGTAAAATACAGCCTCTATTCTGCCTTTGATACTGTTTGTTTCAGCAACTTTCTTGAGGTTGGATTTTATTATTTTAAATCTTATTTTCTTGTAGTTTTATATGTTTGTCATTTCTTTTATCACTTATTCATCCTGCTTAGTCCTCATTCTATATGAAAACTTTGCAGTTCCAGTAGAATACAGTTGAATATTTGCAGATCTAGCTCTTGTCAGAAAGACTATAATTTAAAATCCTGACTCACCAAATCATCTCTGGAAAGCAAATAAACCAGTTCTTGTCTCATTTTATACACAGAATAATATATGTTAAAGACCCTTCATTTTATACTTATTTATGTAAATTTCACCAAAGAGAACATTCTTCAATGTACCCATCTTTAATCTACCACACTAACTCATCAACAACAGAAAATGAATTCAGTTCTTCTCCAATAAGAGATAACCTAGCAACTACAATAAATCCTCCTTGAACCAAACCACTTTTGATCTTCCTTCACTATGAAAGAAATGCTTTGCTAAGAGAAAACGCTGCTATGATTCCGATCCATAAATGGTGATATGGGTAGGCTTTGTGTCCCCACCCAAATCTCATTTTGAACTGTAGTTCTCATAATCTCCACATCTTGTGGGAGGGACCCTGTGAGAGGTAATTGAATCTTGGGAGTGGTTACCTCCATGCTGTTCTTGTGATAGTGAGTTCTCATGATATCTGATGGTTTTACAAGGGGCTTTGCCCCCACTTCCCTCTGCACTTCTCCATCTTTCCGCCCTGTGAAGAAGGACATGTTTGCTTCCCCTCCACCATGATTGTAAGTTTCCCTGAGGCCTCCCCAGACATGCTAAACTGTGAATCAACTAAACTTCTTTCCTTTATAAATTACCCCCAGTCTTGGATATGTCTATATTAGCAGTGTAATAATGAACTAATACCATTGATTGGTACCAGGAGTGAGGTGCTGCTGTAAAGATCCCCAAAAATGTGGAAGTGACTTTGGAACTAGGTAACAGGCAGAGGTTGGCACAATTTGGAGTTCTCAGGAGAAGAGAGGAAAATGTGGGAAAGTTTGGAACTTCCTGGAGACTTAGAGGGCTCAGAAGACCAGAAGAAGTGAGAAAGTCTGGAACTTTCTAGAGACTTGTTGAATGGCTTTGACCAAAATGCTGATGGTGATATGGACAATGAAGTCAAGGCTGAGGTGGTGTCAGATGGAGATGATGAATTTGTTGGGAACTGGAGTAAAGGTCACTCTTGCTATGCAGAGACTGGTGGCATTTTGCCCCTGTCCTAGAGATCTGTGGAACTTTGAACTTAAGAGAGAAGGTTTAGGGTATCTGGTGGAAGAAATTTCTAAGTGGCAAAGCATTAAAGAGGAAGCAGAGCATAAAAGTTTGGAAAATTTGCAGCCTGATGATGTCGTAAAAAAGAAAACCTCATTTTCTGGGGGGAAATTCAAGCTGGCTGCAGAAATTTGCACAAGTAATGAAGAGCCAAATGTTAATCACCAAGACAATGGGGAAAATGTCTCCAGGGCATGTCAGAGACCTTCACTGAAGCCCCTCTCATCACAGGTCTGGAGGCCTAGGAGAAAAAAATGGTTTCCTAAGTAAGGTCCAGTTTCCCCCTGCTGTGCACAGCCTAAGGGCTTGGTGGCCTTGATGTCCAGGCAGAAATTTGCTGCTGGGATGAAGCCATCACGGAGAATGCCAGGGCAGAGAAGGGAATGTGGGGTTAGAGCTCCCACACAGAATTCCCACTAGGGCACTGCCTAGTGAAGCTGTGAGAAGAGGGCCACCATCCACCAAATCCCAGAATGGTACATCCACTGACACCTTGCACTGTGTGCCTGGAAAAGCCGCAGGCACTCAACACCAGTCCCTGAAGGCAGCCAGGAGGGGTGCTGTACCCTGCAAAGCCACAGGGGTGGAGCTGCCCAAGAACATGGGAGCTGACCTCTTGCATCAGTGTGACCTGGATGTTAGACATGGAGTCAAAGGAGATAATTTTGGAACTTTAAGGTTTAATGACTGCCCTATTGAATTTCAGACTTTCATGGGGACTGTGACCCCTTTGCTTTGGCTAATTTCTACCATTTGGAATGAGTTTATTTACACAATAACTGTACCCTAACTGTATCTAGGAAGTAATTAACTTGCTTTTGATTTTATAGGCTCATAAGTGGAAGGTATTTGCCTTGTCTCAGATAAAACTTTGAACTTGGACTTTCGAATTAATGCTGAAATGAGTTGAGACTTTGGGGGCCTTTGGGAAGGCATGATTATGTTTCAAAATGTGAGGACATGAGATTTGGGAGGGCCTAAGGGTGGAATGATATGGTTTGGCTTTGTGTCCCCACCCACATCTTATCTAGAACTATGGTTCCCATATCCCCATGTGTTGTGGGAGGGACCTGGTGGGAGGTAAGTGAGTCACAGAGCAGTTACCTGCATGCTGTTCTAGTGATAGTGAGTATGTTTCAATAAGATCTGATGGTTTTATAAGGGACTATTTTACCTCTTCACTCTGCACTTCTCTGTCCTGTTGCCCTGTGTAGAAGTACGTGTTTGCTTCCCCTTCCACTGTGATTGTAAGTTTCCTGAGGCCTCCCCAGCCATGCTGAACTGAGTTAATTAAACCTCTTTCCTTTATAAATTACCCAGTCTCGAGTATGTCTTTAGTAGCAGCATGAGAATGGACTAATATAGATGGGAATGACAGGGAACTGACATGAAATAAATCTGTATTAATTTCTGTGGGTTTCCACAACAAGTACCATGAAATGGGTAGCTTGAAAGAATGGAAGTTTATTTTTTCACAGTTCTAGTGGGTAGAATCCAAAATTAGGTTATTGACATAGACCATGCTTTTTCTCTGAATAGCTCCAGACTTATTCGGAGAAGTCTGGTTTCTATTTCCCAAATCTCCCTGTCACTAATCTAATCTTGGTCATTCCAAGACTCAACATCTAATTGAGAGTGACCATCTCACCTTTTAGGCAAAGTAGAAACAAATTAACCCACATTTTTCTGCCCACTGGAAGAATATCACTTTCCATAATCCCTAAAGGCCATTCTTGGTAAAGTCGTAATGTCTAAACAGACTACTTCTGATTAGATTTGGTGCCACCTATACAGGCTTCTATAAATAACACTAAAGTTTTTAAATTCTCAATCACACAGTTATAAGAACTTTACCATGAAATTATAGTTGTGGGCTATGCGATCGATGGCACTTTGAAAATGGTAACACATATTTAGAATAGGCAACTTTCTCATTCAAATTATTTCTGCCTTTAGGACAATTTGGATCTAACCCATTTATTATCATACTGTTGAATTCACCTAATGGCACCTAGTTTATGATGAGCATTTTCTGGTGTCCTATTATGAAACATTGAGTTTCCAGATATTCTCAATAATAAATCAAGAAATGATTACTTGCTAGAGACTGCATTCTAGTTCCTGTCCCTTCTCTGCCTATTGATCAACTTTTTCTCCCTTAATTCTATTAACTATACTGTATAATTGATTTCACTTAATTCTAATCTGACATAAGAGAATTTATTTCTCATAACAGCAAATGAAGAATTCTAATACAAAATTGACACTGAGAGCTTAACATTTATTTGGCACATGGCTTCAGGTCAATAAAAGAAGCAATAGGATATGAACCAATATTTCAGTCTTTTGGTTCACCTCAACCCAATAACCAACTTCAAATACTCACATTTCCAAGGTTGTATTGCTTATATAACCTACTGTTGTTACCTATTTAGATATCCATTATGGATATTTGGCAGCAAACAGAAACAGATTCTCATTATCTTAAAATTTAAAATAACTTTACCAAAAGGAAGAACTCATTGGAAAGAAATTGCACAGTTTACAGAATTGAAAGAAGGACTGAAAAGCAGAACAAGTCTTTAAACAAGACATCCAGGAACAGGATGTTTTTAATGTATAGCATACACCTAAAAATACTACTAGGTAAACTTGCAGAGGAGCAGTGCCTTTGGCTATGTCTTTAGATCTGAATCAATGACCTTTTCATACAAGCTTCTCATTATATGTTTTCAAATTCATTCCAAATCTCACATTCTGAGAGCCTTCTGAGTTGTATCATACATGGATAATTTGCATTATGAGTTTTATCCACGTATGATAAAACTCTGAAGGCTTTCAAAATGCACCTAAATAATGTTTTACTCAATGATACTTGTATAATTCGGTGGGTGAATTTATGAACATTTCTACTTCCACTTTTAGGCTTTTGCCTAAAAAACAAAGCTGACATTTAACCACAGCCAATGTCACTTTTCCTGATATGTAGACATCTTACTATATTAGTATTATGGCAGATATCTTCCCAATAGTGATTATAATAGAGATTTGTTGATTCATTAAGTGCTATATTTTTTATTTTACCATTAAAATTAAAACAAAATGGACAGTTATATGAAATTGACATGTTTAAATATACCCAGAGAGAAAAATATTCTCACAGTCATATTAATTCAACAGATTTAAGAAATCTATAAATTTGCATTTATATATAGAAAGCATGAAGTAGGTAAATCTAAGCCCTAATTTAAAATATGATTCATATGGAAAAGCTGATGTTTTTATAGTTTACCAATTCACCTTTCAGAAAGATTTCTTTTAATGTGGTCAAAGTTTCTGCCATAAAATTTATAAATCATTTCTTCTTATCCACCATGATCAAGTGGGCTTCATCCCTGGGATGCAAGGCTGGTTCAACATACGCAAATCAATAAACGTAATCTAGCATATAAACAGAACCAAAGACAAAAACCACATGATTATCTCAATAGATGCAGAAAAAGCCTTTGACAAAATTCAACAACCCTTCATGCTAAAAACTCTCAATAAATTAGGTATTGATGGGAGATATCTCAAAATAATAAGAGCTATCTATGACAAACCCACAGCCAATATCATACTGAATGGGCAAAAACTGGAAGCATTCCCTTTGAAAACTGGCACAAGACAGGGATGCCCTCTCTCACCACTACTATTCCACATAGTGTTGGAAGTTCTGGCCAGGGCAATCAGGCAGGAGAAGGAAATAAAGGGCATTCAATTAGGAAAAGAGAAAGTCAAATTGTCCCTGTTTCCAGATGACATGGTTGTATATCTAGAAAACCCCATCATCTCAGCACAAAATCTCCTTAAGCTGATAAGCAACTTCAGCAAAGTCTCAGGATACAAAATCAATGTGCAAACATCACAAGCATTCTTATACACCAATAACAGACAAACAGAGAGCCAAATCATGAGTGAACTCCCATTCACAACTGCTTCAAAGAGAATAAAATACCTAGGAATTCAACTTACAAGGGATGTGAAGGACCTCTTCAAGGATAACTACAAACCACTGCTCAAGGAAATAAAAGAGGATACAAACAAATGGAAGAACATTCCATGCTTATGGGTAGGAAGAATAAATATTGTGAAAATGGCCATACTACCCAAGGTAATTTATAGATTCAATGCCATCCCCATCAAGCTACCAATGACTTTCTTCACAGAATTGGAAAAAACTACTTTAAAGTTCATATGGAACCAAAAAAGAGCCCGCATCGCCAAGTCAATCCTAAGCCAAAAGAACAAAGCTGGAGGCATCACACTACCTGACTTCAAACTATACTACAAGTCTACAGTAACCAAAACAGCATGGTACTGGTACCAAAACAGAGATATAGATCAATGGAACAGAACAGAGCCCTCAGAAATAATGCTGCATATCTCCAACTATCTGATCTTTGACAAACCTGACAAAAACAATCAATGGGGAAAGGATTCCCTATTTAATAAATGGTGCTGGGAAAACAGGCTAGCCATATGTAGAAAGCTGAAACTGGATCCCTTCCTTACACCTTATACAAAAATCAATTCAAGATGGATTAAAGACTTAAATGTTAGACCTAAAACCATAAACACCCTACAAGAAAACCTAGGCAATACCATTCAGGACATAGGCATGGGCAAGGACTTCATGTCTAAAACACCAAAAGCAATGGCAACAAAAGCCAAAATTGACAAATGGGATCTAATTAAACTAAAGAGCTTCTGCACAGCAAAAGAAACCACCATCAGAGTGAACAGGCAACCTACAGAATGGGAGAAAATTTTTGCAATCTACTCATCTGACAAAGGGCTAATATCCAGAATCTACAATGAACTCAAACAAATTTACAAGAAAAAAACAAACAACCCCATCAAAAAGTGGGTGAAGGATATGAACAGACACTTCTCAAAAGAAGACATTTATGCAGCCAAAAAACACATGAAAAAATGCTCATCATCACTGGCCACCAGAGAAATGCAAATCAAAACTACAATGAGATACCATCTCACACCAGTTAGAATGGCAATCATTAAAAAGTCAGGAAACAACAGGTGCTGGAGAGGATGTGGAGAAATAGGAACACTTTTACACTGTTGGTGGGACTGTAAACTAGTTCAACCATTGTGGAAGTCAGTGTGGCGACTCCTCAGGGATCTAGAACTAGAAATACCATTTGACCCAGCCATCCCATTACTGGGTATATACCTAAAGGATTATAAATCCTGCTGCTATAAAGACACATGCACACACATGTTTATTGCAGCAGTATTCACAATTGCAAAGACTTGGAACCAAGCCAAATGTCCAAAAATGATAGACTGGATTAAGAAAATGTGGCACATATACACCATGGAATACTATGCAACCATAAAAAATGATGAGTTCATATCCTTTGTAGGGACATGCATGAAGCTGGAAACCATCATTCTCAGCAAACTATCGCAAGGACAAAAAACCAAACACCACATGTTCTCACTCATAGGTGGGAATTGAACAATGGGAACACATGGACACAGGAAGGGGAACATCTCACATTGGGGACTGTTATGGGGTGGGGGGAGGGGGGAGGGATAGCATTAGGAGATATACCTAATGGTAAATGACGAGTTAACGGGTGCAGCACACCAGCATGGCACATGTATACATATGTAACAAACCTGTATGTTGTGCACATGTACCCTAGAACTTAAAGTATAATAATAATAAAAAAAAGAAAAGAATGTAATATCAACCTTGCCACTTATGATGCAATTCTTTTAAAACTTCTGCTAAGTATTGGGCTGATTCTTCCATAGAAGAGGTTAACAATTCATAAACTGAAGATTTATTAATTTTTCCTTTTCTAATCCTCTCTACATTAAATCTTTTTCAGTGGCTATTTATTTTTTTAAAAGATCAATGCAGATGCAAAGTAAAATTGTCATCTACTTGCATTCATATTATCTGGATACTTATAAATGCAGAAAATATAGCTATTGAATAGCATTTTTCTTGTGAATATTATGACTGTATTCATTTCACAGGAAGGAATTTGTCTAGATTAATGTGTTGATTCAGCATCCTTGAATTTTGAACTTGGAAACTTTTGCTCCACTGACTTAAAACAGGCAAGAATTTTTTGAAGTTGTTTTTATTTCATGTTGTTCTAAGTTCAATAAAAGCTAGAATGACTGCTGATAGGTGTGTAAATTATCTTAGAGAAAAATTTAGGAATAAAGAATTTCCAATTTAAAAAATTAAAGGTACTTGATTACATTTATTCATTCAGTAATTCATTGGGCATTTATTGTGTCATTAGACCCTTGTGCCAGGCACTTGCCTAGGTCTTAAGGATCCAGGATTTTTTAAAAGACTAATTAAATATAATTTTTAATTAAAGAGATACTGATATCACCAAAACTTTTTATCTTAGTAGTAAATCAAAATATTAGTTGATGAAACTCTTCTCAGGTTCCACCATGGACCCAGAACAAAACCATAGGGATCTTCTTTTCAGTCTTTAATTAAGATCATTTAAAAAAATATCAGTAATCAAGTTTGAAAATTAAATGTGCCTTTATCTTTTCATTCTTACATATACTTGGTCATTCAGTTAGAATTTATGCATATATATTAACACCTACACATAGGAGGTATTCTTTCTAATAGGAATTTACAATCTGATCCATGTATATGCTTTGATTCTATTAAAGGAATAAGCACAGAAATAATTTATTTTCAATGAGTACATTATTTAACATTTTTATATCAAACTCACCGTTTTTTGAGCTTTTAAAAATTCATTATATCTTCACATCTTTAGATTTTTTTCCCCTCTTGTAAATCCAGACAGAATGACTATTAGCATTTTGGCATGCTTGACAATGTTATTAGGGGTTTTGGAAGAATCTCAAGGGTTCTTACATGTCAAAATTGTAAGGAAAAATAATTATTTATGAAACTCAATAAGATAATTAAAGCCATTCCTTTCTGAGTATTTGAAACTTGGGTCTAATTGTGATATTCAGACAAGGATACAAACTGGAGGCTAAAAGAAAATTTCTGATACCTATTGATGTTTTAAAAACTGAAAACAAGCAAATATGCTTAAGACTGTGGAAACCCAGTTTCATGAGATTGGACTCAATAGGTGTCTTTGCTATTTTGACATTCTGTGATAGTAAGACTGGTTAAATCAAATTCCTACACCAACCATAGTCTTTCATGTACAAACTAAACCATCGTTTTTGCCTCAGACTTACAACACCTCCCCTGCTTTTGTTCCTTTGGCACCTGGGAATTTTCATGGTCTGCTATATTGAATAGGGCTCTAATTTTGTAACTTGGGAGAGGAAAGGGATATAACTCTTATTAGCAAACACAAGGTTACAGAGAGAAGGCTACACGGAATCCTATTTACATAAAAACACCCTACAAACCCTCACGGGAAAAATGATGACGGTTATTTGGGGATTTTCAGTTCTTTGCACAGCTAGGATTAACATTTCTTAACAGAAACAAAATGCAAGGGGTGTGGGTGAAAACTTACTTTAAAAAAAAACTTACTTTAAAACTTATTTAAAAAAAAAAATGCATGAAAGCGAATACCCTAGGTCTGGAAGCACTAATCATTAATGGAGAGAAATTCTCATTACAAAATCATATAACAAGTTTGCATGGATTAAAAAAAGTTAAATGGTAATGGAGAGTCTATTGAAAACTAACAAGTAATAATGTATGTTTGATTATTGCTCCATTAAACATTCCAATCTTGATCCTCAGAAACAACGTTTTTGTAACCATTTCTGTCTTTAAATCCTTGGGTAGTGCCATTCATAACTTTAAAATATATACTTTGTGTGTTAACCTGTTAATTTTCCAGTGTGCAATACAAAATAAAGATTTGTTCATTCATGCTACTCCCCACTTCTTTTACTGAATCCAGCTTTGAAAACTTTTTTACTGCTATAAAGTTATTTTGTTGGTTAACTAGGTAAAATAGTACACTTGTACTTCTAGTTCTTTTTCCCTCATTTGTTTGCTAATATTATTTGGGTTAACTTAAAATACACTGAGCCCATTTAAAGTGTAAAATCAAGATACAGATTTTCATTAATCCCAAAAGCTTCTTTGTGCATGTTTGTAAACTATAGTTCCCTCCAATCCCTTCCCCAAACAACCACTAACCTACTTACTATTACTATATATCAGTTTTAATTGTCTTGGGATTTGTATTATTTGAAAGATATAGTATGTATTCTTTTGTTATTTGATTCAGCAAAATAATTTTTAAATTTATGCATACTCAGGTGATTTAGTAGTGCTTTTCTTTTGTTGTCTTCAAATTACTGAATAATAAGTTATTTGGATATTATTTATAAGTTATGTTATTCTATATATTATTCATATATTTATATATTCTCAATATAAGTCCTTTTTAGATATGTGTATGACAAATATTACCCCCAACATATGGCTTGCCTTTTATTTCTTAATAAAATCTTTTAAAGAAAAAAGATTTTAATTTTGATAAACCTCATTTTATCATTTTTCTTTTATTATTTGTGCTTGTGTCTTAAAAAAATTGGTTTATCTTAAGATTGCAGATATTTCTTCTAGAAAATTTACAGTTTTAGTTTTTAATTTTTAGAATTATAACCTATTTTATGTTAAAAATCTATCACACAAGTATGGATTTATTACTGGACTCTTTTCTGTTCAATTAATTCTTTTATCTAACTTGTTTTTAATAATACTAGAGTTTTAGCAATGGATCTAATTGGATAGTAAATATTGAAATGTAACTTTTTATAATGTTTCTGCTTTTTAAAAATTGCTTTGGCTACTTTAGATAATTTGAATTTTGATATACAGTTTAGATTTAGCTTGTCAATTTGTACTAAAACATTATGCTCCAATTTTGAAAGAAATTGTGTTGAATCTATGTCTCAAGTTAGAAAGAATTGACATTTAACAATATTGAGATTTCTAATTCATGAACATGGTATACTCTTCACTCTTTTTCAATGTTTACCTATATTTTAGATATTTCGTTAAATTTATGCCTGAGAAATCAATACGTCTATATTTTATTATAAATTAAATCATATTTTTGATAAAACCTAGGATGACACATGAAGTATGATACCATTTAAATGATTTCAAAATATAAAAAATAGCGTTCATATATTTAATTTCTAATGACTATATAGTAAACTTATTTTTTAAACATTCATGAAAATGATATATAGCAAATTGGAGAGGGTACTCACTTCTTGGAAGGGGAAGGTAGGGATGATATAAAAAAGAAGTAGAAAGATTTTAGCTATATGTTAATCTTATTTTTCTTATAATCTCTGCATATATATGACAAATAAATGTTAACTATTACACTCAATGGTTTTGTGAATGTTAAAATATTTCATAATTAAAGTAAGAGAAAGACAATTGAATATGAAAAGGGTTATTAGGAGACTATCACATTAGACTATAGAAGAGAGATTGGTTCCTAGAACTAGTGGGGCAGCTTTGGAATTGAAAAGGTTTAGGTAAATTCAATCTGTACTATTCCACAACACAGCACAGATTCCATAAAAGAGGTAGTAGACAATTTGATGATGTTTTATTCAGTCATTAAAAATGGAAGCATGTGGACAACAGCAGCTCTGTTAGTGGCAACTTGAATCTTTAAGTGCTAAGGATGAAAAAACGGCAATAAGATAATTGGACACAATTCCCCAGGTGAGTTCCAAATCTCCACGTATTTCACTTCTGCGACAACACAGCTAAATCTAAATTAAGAAAAACACAAACTTATGTTGACAGGAGGAATTTTAAATTCATAACCTCAAGTGGGTCCTTAAAGCTGCTTGATCTATTTTCTTTATCTAATAACTTATCGTGTTTGCTTGTTCAATTCAGAATTACAAAGCTCTAAATGTGGTCTACACCTGAATACTCAAAGCTCTACATTTTTTTCTTTTCTTTTCTTAAAGCCTTCTCTCATTCCTCTCAAAGCGTATCTAAATCAATCTTCTAAACAAACAATTAATTCTGATCTTTTTTTTATTTTAGTGAAACAAACAACAAAGTTGTAGTAATCTGGTCTGGACTCCATCAACCAAATCTTATTCTCCAACACAAGCATATCTGTACCCTCTTTCCTTCCACTCAGTCTCACTGTGACACGTCATTTCTCCTTCTCAAGATCAACCTCCTTTACCAATGTTTTTGATTCCCATTCTCTTTCATGATTTTTTCATGAATTATTTTTTCTGCCTACTTTGATGTCTATTTCTGTTCATTAATGACATATAACCTAAAAGTATTCTTTACATTTACATTACAAGCTTCACATTAATTAAAATTTGTGCCTCATGTAGATTTTCCCCTAAATTCCTTTCCTTCTTAGGTGAAATTTTGAAGAATGGTCTCTATTTGTGTTTCCACTTTATCACATCCTATTATACCGCAGACAATTTCAAGTGGTTTTCTCTCTCCATTACTCTAATAAATTTTTTTAATGAAATTACTCAATGACCTTCTAATTGTCATATCTAATCACAAGGAGCTTCTGGCATGATCTTATTATATACCAGTCTTCTATGGTGCTATCTATGTTTCTTCTTAAACTATTAGGACCCTACTCTGTCTTACTTCCTGTAGTTATGGGACTATTGTTTTTCTAACAGCTTTGAAGATTCTTCTTTCTTCTTCCTCTGTTTGACCATGATTTAATTATCTCCTCATCATTTGTTTTTATTTTTATTTTTACTTTTTGTAGAGCCATGGTCTTACTTCTTGGCCAGGCTGGTCTTGAACTTCTCTGACCTCAAGTGATCCTCTCACCTCAGCCTCCCAAAGTGCTAGGATTACAGGTGTGAGCCACTGCCACCAGCCTCATGTTATCATTTTTATTAATTTTTATATTGTTCCTGGGCATTTTATTGTGGGTTACCTGATATTTATGTGGCTGAGTCTAAAATCTAAATCTTTAAATTCACCCCTATCTTCAGACTTATTTATAGGCTGTAGTTTGTAGATACAACTGCCTGTTGGAATCTGCACCTTGTATCTCACAAGAACCTCAAAATCAACTTTGCCAAATTGCACCAATCATTTATTCCCCAATTCTAAGACTATAAATCTTCTCCTATGCTTTCTACTAATTTTAGTACACCACTAAGAACTCAGTTGCTAAGATGAGAAATTAATTTGTCTGGACTCTTTCTTCAGTGTTAACACTAATCATCTGCAAGTACTGCCCAACTTTGCCCTCTCAACCTGTCACAATTTTTCCTCCCTTTGTCATCCCTAATACTATTGTACTGCCTAATTTTTCTATCACCTCTAAGCTGAAAAACTACCATAACCTATTAAAATGTTTTCCTTTTTTCTTTCTTCAAGCAGTCTTTTATCATGGCCACCAAGATAGTACGATATACCAATATAATAAAAATTTCCTTCAAATCTCTTAAATAGCTTCCCATTCCCAGTAGAATAATTTATCATAATTATACAATGGCATTCAATATTCCCAATATAATGAATACTTCTGTATATTTTAACTGTTTCAATTCCCTACCTCCAACCTTGAACTCTAGCAAAATGATAAATTGCCAGTATTTCATGAAATACTACATGTTGATATATGCTTCTAGGCCTTTGACCATTCTTTTTTCCTTCTTCTTATTTTTATATGTATTATCATTTCCCTATATTTTAAATTGTCTAAATTTTACTCATCTTAGAAAGCTTCAACTTTTAAGGACATTGCCACCTATTTAAGTATTACCTTTATTTCTTTATGTTTCCCAAAACCAGATTAGCATATCTCCTCTGTTGACCTATTAGATTACATGATTGTTTTTAATTGTATGTTTATCTTGTTTCCTTTATTTAATCTCTGCAAATACATCTTCCAAAGTAGAGTAAACTCTCTAAGGCTAGAGATCAAATCTTATCATCTTTTCATCCGAGCTGCCTAACATAACGACTATAAAAATGAAGTGAAAATGAAAGCTAGCTTTTGTGGTAGGCAGAATCTTAATATGACTCCCAAGACCCCTAGCCCCTTGACGTTCATACCTTTTATAATCCTGTCCTGTTGCATGTGGGCAAAACCATGAATATGATGGATTGTCACTCTCATGACTGGGTCCCAAATCAGTTGTCTTTGAATTAATCAAAAGAGAGATTTTCCTGAATGGGGCTAACCTAATCATGTAAACCCTTAAAGAGAACTGGGCCTTCTGGAAATCAGAAAAACTTTCCTGCTGTCATTGAAGAAGGAGCTTCCATGAGTTCAACAGCTGCAAGAAAATTAATTCTACTAACAATCATATGAGTTTGGAAAAGTTCACCGAGCTTGAGGTGAAAACTCAGGTCTAAACAACACCTTAGTTACAGCTTTGTGAGATCCTGATCAGAAGTCCTAGTTAACTGTGGCTGTACTCCTGATCCACAGGAACTCTGAGGTAATAAATTTGGTTTTTTAAATTATTAAGTTTGTGATAATTTGTTACATAACAACAGAAAACTAGCATACTTTAAAAAATGCTAAACTACAAAAAGAGCTATGTTTACCTAATTAGCCAAAAGAATTCTAGTCACGGGAGAAGGTTTTCAATAGATCTCTGGTGGTGGTCATGGAAATAGTGGCAATTGCAGGAACACCTCTGGTGTGTGACCAACAACAATAGCAACATAAGTGGAACAGTGATTGATTTCCACTTGCAGCAATGACTGAATTAAAGAAAGCAATAGCAAACTAGGACAGTAACTAAGGAGTAAGAAAATAGGAAAGAGAAGAGTTTGAAAACATGGAGTCTTTGTAACAATACAGTAGGGAGACCTAAAGCAAATATATTTGCTACTTTTATTTAAGGTATGATTAAATCAAAGATGGTATAAACCTGCAAAGGGGCTATATTAATTAATGATATTTTACTCTACATATTAAAGAGTAAGGAATCAAGGGAATAAGATGTGGAAAAGTAGTTTATGACATAGAGTAAGAAGTCAAAAAAGTTCTGGAGTTTGGGATGTTGCCTAGCAACTAGGATGTTGTTCCACAGTCTTTGGATTTAATTGAACTTATGAAGTTTTGTTGCAAACAGACACAGGGAGGTAAGCTCAGAAAATATAAAAATTAATGTACCTTTAGCAAGGCTTTAGGCAGACCTGATAGATTTTCAAGATAAAACAACTCTGTTTGCTATTATTCTGACATAGCTTAGTTCCTTTGCTCTATTTCTATTACCTTTCTATCTCCTCTTTTAGTGTTTACTTGTTTGTCAGATAATTTCCTCACTTATATCTTCCTCAAATGACTTTTCTAACCTGGATAAAACATAATAATAATTTCATTCCCTTTGTTGTTGATTGAGTTACCAAACACTGACCCATAAGGCAGGAAGTCAAGTTTTCTGGAGAATTCTGGAAGGATTCTTGAGGGATTCCGGAGTTGTCTAGAAGGATTCTTTCTCATACAAAAAATTGAATAGCCAGAGAAGAAATGGCTAATTTTCTTGTTACAGGTGCTGTTGGTAGTGGGTTGTAGTTGTTAAATTGTTGTAGCCATTTTGCTTCTGGCTTGAGAATAATGCCATGCATAGTTCATTATTCACTGGGAAGTGGAGCTGGAGCTTTAACATGTAGCCCCTGACTATACCTGCTTCTGAATTTTTTATGTAAGGAAATATAATTTTCTAGTTATTCAATCCAGTTTAGGACAGGGTCGTTGTATTAGTCTGTTTTCATACTGCTCATAAAGACATACCTGAGACTAGGCAACTTACAAAAGAAAGAGGTTTAATTAGACTTACAGTTCCTCATGGCTGGGGAGGCCTAACAATCATGGAAGAAGGCAAGGAGGAGCAAGTTACATTTTACATGGATGGCAGCAGGCAAAAAGAGAGATGACTTGTGCAGGGGAACTCTTCTTTTAAAACCATCACATTTAGTGAGACTTATTCACTATCACGAGGAAAGCATGGGAAAGGCATGATTCAATTACCTCCCAGAGGGTCCTTCCCACCACATGTGGGAATTCAACCGGAGATTTGCCTGGGGACACAGCCAAACCATATCTTTCTGCCCCTGGCCCCTCCCAAATCTCATGTCCTCACATTTCAAAACCAATTATGCCTTCCCAACAGTCCTCCAAAGTCTTAACTCATTTCAGCATTAACTCAAAAGTCTGCAGTCCAAAGTCTCATCTGAGACTTTCTCAGCCTGAACTTTATTGCCCATATCACTATCAGGCTTTTGGTCAAAACCATTCAACAAGTCTCTAGAAAGTTTCAAACTTTCCCACATTTTCTTCTCTTCTTCTGAGTCCCCCAGACTATACCAACCTCTGCCTGTTACCCAGTTCCAAAGTTGCTTCCATAGTTTTGGGTATCTTTTCAGGAGAACCCTACTCCTGGTACCAATTTACTGTATTAGTCTGTTTTCATGCTGCTGATAGAGACATACCCAGGAGTGGGTAATTTACAAAAGAAAGAGGTTTAATTGGACTTACAGTTCCACATGGCTGGAGAGGCCTAACAATCATGGCAGAAGGCAAGGAGGAGGAAGTCACATCTTACATGGATGGCAGCAGGCAAAAAGAGAGATGACTTGTGCAGGGGATCTCCTGTTTTTGAAACTACCAGATCTCATGAGACTTATTCACTATCATAAGAAAAGCACGGGAAAGACTTTCACTCATGATTCAATTACCTCCAACTGGGTCCCTCCCACAACACGTGGGAATTCAAGATGAGATTTGCATGGGGACACAGTCAAACCATATCAGTAGTCTATTAGCTTCAGTTAGAAAGCATTGAAACATGTAATACTCCAAATATCTTTTGGCCTTTAAACTATTTTTGTAATAGGTAGGATTCATCATAGGTGACTGCCTCCTTCTTATCAACTTTGACATCAGAATTTGATTCCTGGGATATTCAGATGTAGCCAGAGATACAGATTCTCATTACAAAATCATGGTAACTTACATAAAGGACAAGCATACAGCTGTATTGCACAGAAGTGAGCACTGAGTTTTGCAGAATGTTTGAGATATCATGACCTGTTCAGGAAAAATACTTCATTGGAGAACCCCAAAAATTGAAAGATGAACTTGTCTCATTTAGTTAGTTTGCTCTACGTTGGTCCCTAATAGGAAACCTCAAAGTAAGACAACGAGAATATGGTCTTACCCCATTGAGGCTATTACAGTGGTCTCTAATGAAAAATAAACATTTCTCTAGTTAAGTTTTGTTTTGCCTTTGATGATGGAAATGCACTTTCAGATCAGCTAATATGTTAAAATCTATAATAGGAAAGTAGAAATACAAAGATAGATTACCCACAATATTTGCATGTTTATTTAAATTAAAAGGAAAAACACTATAAACCAATATAAACCAAATATCAAGACTATATTTTTTAATATTCTGAATTACTGAGCAATTTTTATCAGTTCTACAAAGAACTATACAAACTTTATATATTGTCTTCAAAATAAAAGCTACTCAAGTTTTTTTTCTAGAAGTTTTAGGTCATCAATTCCAACTGAAGCCAGCACTTCTTAAATTATAAGAATGAAATAAAATAAGGAGCTCATTTTCTGCTTTACACAACAGAAAATGAGACCTAAGAATAAACTGGTCATCTAGGTATCAGCATGAAATGTTTCAGAAAGGGACATGTCTCTCTTTCTTCTCCTCCTGTTTTTTTAAATGAATATACATGATAGAACAATGAATTTGTGAATGTGAAATAAGTTTCAGTTTGTTGAAAGAATCACTACAAATTTTACCTGATAAAATGATTATTCAAAACCCAAGAGACATTTCAAATAATAAGACGGCTTTGATAAATAAGTGTATATTAAAAAAACAGGTACTTTCTACAAGACAGCTATTCTTTTAATATGTTGTTTTCATTATTTTCCAGCAGAAAAAGAGACTGCCTGAATGCTAACAAATATCAGTTTGGTCTGGTATTTTCCAACAGATGTATCTGAAAGACAAACATTACATAAACCCATACATATCAGTGGAAGATGAGAAAAATGATGCTTAGGGCAATCTGATGGTATCCTCTAGTATACAAAGCTGTTTGTATCTCTTTTTTGATTATTTTTGTGTCCCAATTATTACACCCATTAGTGCCCTTAGGATAAAGCAACACAAAACAAAACACAACAAAGACCTGTCTGTCTGAAAATGGCAGACAGGTCTTTGAGGTTATAGATGGATTTATTGGTTCTCTGTTTCTAAATTCCTCAAAAGGACCTGAGCAATTTACTGCCTGAAAAATGTTGAGGACTGAGCACCTGGAGGCCTTTAATAATGATGATGGTAGGAAAGCTATGGAGTTAATTTTCAATGTGAATTATATTGAGTACTCAGGCTCAGAATGAAACTCCTCTGGTGAAAGAAAGGGAAATACAACATTTCGTAAAGAGGTTATAAAATGTTTGTTAGATTCTATGTGTAAGAGGTATCAACAACTATAAGAAATAATGCCTCATTCAGGCTCCAGTGAACAATATGAAATATGTCTCAATACCTATTTTTTGTTTTCGTTTTTATACTTGATATGATAATTTAAAGAACTAGCATAACAAGGATAGGTTTTTTCTTCTTTTTGAATAAACAGTATGGTCCTCTCTTGCACTAAAAATAATCTGATTTTGTGACTCTCCTAAATAAAAATAGGATGCATCATTCAAAATTTCTAACTTAAATAAATGGCTTTTCATGTCCACAGATGAATATTTAACAGTAAATTCTTGAATGATCATTCTACCATTTATTACTTTTTATTCAATAATATTAATTGAACTTCTATGTGCTAAGCAGAGTACTAGGAGCCAATGACTAAAAAGTGATAAACATACATGTGGCTTATTCATGTGCACTTTTTTGGTGCTTAGGATGTTTTAAGAGAAACCAATGAATAAATAAGAACTAAACAGGCAGTCAAGACAGTGTGTTAAATGCTCTAACAGGAGAAGCACCTATTTCTAGTTGAATTAAACCACATGATTTTTTTTTCAAAGCACTCAGCTCTCAAAGGCTCAACTACTTTATCCATAAAATAGGGATTATAATTTATTACCTGGGTGAAAAAAAATAAGTGAAGCAGATGCTTTCCTGGGACCTCTTGCCATCCTAACATTTATGATTCAATGAAATAATAATTTCCTGGAAATTGTTTAAAATATAAAATATACGCCAACCACCCATCTCCCCACAAATCACAGAAAAAAATAATCAAGGACACGGAGTCTGACACTATGACCTTGTTTTTCCTTTATGATCTTCCTGGGAGAGGTCTGTTTGGCATATAGAGATTCACAGTAAGAATGTAGCGGTGATTGGTAATGCTAATTTGCCATAGCGTTTTAGTTTTACCAGATGGCTCCATGGTTATCCTGGTTCTGGTTACCAGATGAAGCTAAAGTTTCCCCTTTTATGGATAAGCAGTAGGTATTTTTTAATATGACAACATTTCTTATTAGTATCTAATATTAGTATTCCTCTGAACAAATTCCATAAAGCAGTAAAAGAAATTACTGGGAAAAATTATTAGATTTCTCTAGGTTATGAATATCTTATGAAGCTTTCAAAACAGTATCAGGAAAGAAAGCTGATATAAAAAAGGAACTGGATACACTTCCAAAGAAGGTACTAATAACTGACATTGGTAGATTTGACATTTTAGCACATATCAAATTTTGTATCAGAGTTTGCAGAATATGGTACTAGCTCTGTGCATTTGCCATGTCTTCAAATAAAAGATAATACATGAATGACAACTGCCAATATGTTACTGCATTTTTGTATTTTAAATTTTCTCATTTACATTTTTCTTCCCATATTTAATTTAAACAATATTTGAGAATATAATTTTAACATCCACCCCCAAGTAGGCTAGAATGTCATGTATCTAGAATGATTGACATGGATTGCAATATTACTGAGACAGAAGAACACTGGCTAGTCAGTCAATTTTAAAGTTAATTTTAAAAATATATTAATTTTCCTACAAAGGGATGAGATAATTCAAGTTAGTAATGTGGTATCATTATCACCGTCATTATTATAGGAATAAAGAAATTGGAGTAGATGACAACTTAGGTCATTTCAAGTGATAATTGCTTTTGGTAGTTCTAACTTTATCATAATGCTATAAATTAAATGAAACACTGTATGTAAAGATGATTTGAAAATTATAGCATTCTGTATAAAAGTACATTTCAGGCCATCTGATGGCTAGCTGCTAGTTGATCAGTTAATTCAAACAAATGATCAATTCAGTCTCTTAAATAGCTTTACTTCTTTTTATAAAAATGGTTAGCTATGTTACTGTAATGACTGATTTTTAAGATACTGTTAGGGTACTGTTATCACGTTATTTTTGAGGTCAGAGCTGAAGTCTTATAGGTCAGAGTGTGAAGACGCTAAGCAGCATCACCCCTAAGCGTTCTCTAGTTAGACAAATCTAACTGCAGATGCTCCTCGCCTTACCATGGGGTTATGTCCCTATAAGTCCATTGTTAACTTGAAAAGATCCTAAGTCAAACTCTCATAACGTGAGGACCACCCGTACTACAGAATGGTTGGAAATGGATGTGAAAGAACTAGTGACCCAAACAGGATGGCATTTTCCTTCTGACTGAGGGAAAAAGAGAACCCATGAAAGAATGGCAGTTCAGGGTAGAAAGACTGTTGGTCCATGGTTATGTTGGGAGTATATTTGGGAATCTACTGTACCACTCAGGGAATCATTTAACTAAACAAATGATTGCTACCTTGCCTTCAGATTGCTAGAAGGATAAAAGCTATCATTTATTAAGCACCTACTTGGTATGAGACACCTGTTTATATGTGTGTTATATTATTTATCAATTTATTTAACAATATGGGCCTATGATATGAAAGACACTGTTCGTGGCATTGAAAATACAGCAATGACTGATATAAACAAGATTTTATTTTCATAGGGCTTACAATCAAGTGGAACTGAATTTTTTAAAAAAAGGAAAATTAAGGTAATTTCTGATGTCATCAGTGGTAAGGAGAAATAATATTGTAATTTTGTGGAATGACCAGGGCAACTTGGATCAGTGGAGTCAGAAGGTTACATTTGTTACAGAGCTGAGGAATGAAAAAAGAGTAGAGTAATACTGTCAAAACAAAACAAAACAAAAAGAAGAATTAAACTGCATCTACTTTTGCTGCAGAATTCCATGATAAGGGCAGAAAAAGTGTCATGAGATTTAATAAAACAGAGATCCTGGCAAACTTTGAGAAGATATGAATACAATTGAAATGGCTGAGAATGAAGAGATGGAAGTAGAGACAGTATACAGAAAACTCTCAATTAGTTTGGCTATGAAATAAAACTGGTAGTAGAAGGAGAGAAATTGGTGCCCAAGAAGTAGCATTTTAGTGTTGTGAGATTAGAGTATAATGATAGGCATAATCTTGAAGTATTAATAATACAGATAATGACAATAATGCAAAAATAACAATGATGGCTTATAATATGCAAGATATTTTTCTAAATGCTTTACCTGAATTATTTAAATTTATCACCACAACATACTTTCAAAAAAGGTATACTATATTGCATCTTGTTTTACAGAAATCTGAAAGAGTGAGATGAACTACTTTCCAAGGTTTTACACACAGTAAATGGCAAAGTAGTAATTCAAACCCACAAAATTTGAATATTGACACTCAAAGCACCTTAAATATAAAAACCTCCTCTCATAGACCACTGCAAAATCAACAAATTCCAATCTCTCTAAAGTTATCCAACACTGCATTTGTTTTGGGGTGAAGAAAAGGGGAAGTGAGTAAGGGAAATCATTACATAAAAATTACCAGCCCTAATATACATACCTGGTTATATATTTCAGGAAGCCTGTGTGGTCTTTTGAATTGAAATCTCCCTATTTTTTAGTTACGTGGCTGTGGCTAAATTCCAAATTTCTGAGCGTTAGTTTTCATTTTATAAAATTGAGACCTTAATGATTCTTTCAGTGGATTTTTGAGAAGTAAACTACGTTATATATGTACAGGTGTTTTCTCAGCTATAATGTGTTATACCTCAGTAACATAGCATGACGGTTTTTACTATGATTACTATTGTTATGGTTGAGTGCTGGACTATGGCAGCCATTTCTGAATTTTACCTCCTTTGCTGGATACTCCTCCATTCCCTTATTGGAGAAAAAGAAAACAGGGTCTGACATCTATGTAATAAGTCACCTGGATTATCTTTCCTTCTGTAGGTTGGGTTCCACTAACAGGAGGCATAAGTAGGTGAGTACAAGTTAGAGAGAAAGGATATTCTCTCCTGCCTGGAAGTTTTGAAATAGCTCTTGAGTTTTTTACAAAACCCATAAGTCCTGCATGTATCTTTGGTTCAGTTAATCATTCCCTCCTCTTTCCCCTTTAAGACTAGGGGTGGGGACATCTTTCTACTTATTGGTTCCCTATGCCTGTTTTTACCTTGGTCTCTTCATTAAACACTCTTCAATTACCCTTTCTGGCTACAACAAGGTTTTGTTTGTTTGTTTGTTTGTTTTGCCTAGATCCTGTCTGATAATCTTGTCCCTGAACAACTCTCATGGTGATATTCTCAAGGTCTTCTTGTTTTTTGTTTTGTTTTGTTTTTGTTTTTCCTGAAGTGGATTTTAATCTTTTTCCCGTGGCTCCTTTTAATAACCATCCTGTCCAGAGCATCTTGGTATTTTAAGTGTTGATTCCATTTAAAAACAAAAAGCAAAGTCACACAAAACTGTCAACCATAACTTGTGATAAGCATGAAAAAGCCAACATTAAAATCTAAGTTAAGTATAGACAAAAGTTATCAACAGTATTAATTACACATGTTGTAAAGACCTTCTAGATTTTGTATCCTGTTTCATTATATCCTCAGATAAGCAGAAGGTGTAAATGCTAACATGGTTAAAACTATCAGCTTTTCCTTAGTGAATTGCTTTTTAAAAGATATTTAATAAACCCTGATGTAAATTATTATTCTATTTTATCTACTAAAATATAATCTTTTATATTTAATTATATTAATATACATTAAATATGTTTAATTAATTATTAGTTAATATTTCTATTGAATATATACTGTTATTTATTATATTCTTTTTTATATTTAATTATTTAATCAAAGTAAAATGAATATTGTATTATGTGAAGTAGGACTCAAGTGTCATTTTTTTCAGCAGTAATTACCTATTGTCTTACTACAATTTATTTAATAGTTTATGTTTTCTCCACTTTGTATACAATATCAGCTCTATCATAAACTAAATTTCCATATGCCTATTCTTTCCGTTGGTTAATTTTTCTGTCCTTACTCACACCACCATTTTAATATAGACCTATAATAAGTCCTGATAGCTGTTTGGACACATCTACTAAACCTTGTTTGTTTTCCTTAAGAATGCCTCGCTATTCATGATGCTTTGTGTTCCCAGCCAAATTTTAAAGTTAGACTGTCAGCTACTATATAAACATGTAGGCATTTTAATTTGAATTGCTTTAAATCTATTAATTATTTTGGGACGATTGACATCATTGTGATACTGAAACTTTTAATATCTCCTATTTATGTAAATGTTCTTTGCTGGCTTTAAATAATGTCTCATAATTTTCTGAGTCATATAAATATTTACACATCTAGGTATCTCATTTTGTTTTGCTACTGCAATCTGTAGGTTTAGAAAAATTATATACTCTATTAATACACTTGGGTATTAATTTTAATCCAGTTGCTAAATCTTCTCATTAAATATAATAATTCATTTGCAGCTTTTCTTATGTTTTCTATGAAATCTATTTGTATATTTTTCTATGTAGATAATGATACCATCACAAATAAAGCATATGTTTTCTAGCATCCTGGCAGTTTTCATATGAATAATTATAATGTCATTTAGTTCTATTTTTAAAACTTCCATTTTGATTTCTTCTCAGACAAGTAACTTATTTTGAACTTTTAAAAACAGCCATTGTTATTTTTGCACCTTATTCCTAATTTTATATCGTTTCTTTATTAATA
This sequence comes from Homo sapiens, assembly GCF_000001405.40. Classification (NCBI taxonomy): domain Eukaryota; kingdom Metazoa; phylum Chordata; class Mammalia; order Primates; family Hominidae; genus Homo; species Homo sapiens. The sequence goes on from NC_000001.11 coordinate 79,187,434, forward strand.
TTTTCAAGAATTATGTATTTAAAAATATAATATCAGTAAAGGTACAATCACGAGGCTGTAACCATCTGTTATTTGACAGGGAAACTTCAAAATAAAGAATTACTTAGTACAATACACAATGATTAACTACCAAAGAATTGAAACAAAGCTTTAAGGGGCCCCTTTACTAACCAAATAATGGTGCGTCTCCTGAATGCTACTTTCTTAATAAACGGAAGCATCATTTATCCTGAGGACCAATTTAGAAACCTCTATTATTTTTATAAACCATTTATTCTCGTCTTATCAAGTCATCAAATAGTGAAGATTCTAGGCCCATCCAATCAAGTTTTCACATTGCCACCTAAGTAATATTTTAGAAATGCAAGTTTGATCATTTCTCTCTATTGTTTACAATAGTTCAATGGATCCTTCTTCCCTTGAAGACAGAGATCTTTAATCTGCCATAAAAGAATCTCCAATGTCTGGCTGAACCTGGTTTATTACCCACTTTCTGCCTTTTCTGCACTGAATTACTTGCCATGTACTAATGCACAACGGGCTTAGGTATGTGTATGTCCTACAATCTATCTTTCACAAAATTTTTACATGTATTGGTTCTTTGTATACTCAACATGGAGAAGTTTCACTCTTTTCCCCAAGTCTCTTTTCTGATAAATTTATACTTGACTTGTTCTGTTACTATCTTCAATTTAAGTTAAGCTGTTTGCTCAAGGTTATATATAGAAAGTTATAGATTCAATTGTACTGCTTAGTTTTCTGGTCTTTTAACTATGCTATTATCTGAAGGACAGAGAGACTCCACATCATAGCATGCATAATGGAGAAATAATTCTAAAGGACACTGTTAAGAATTTCACGTGTTTTTTAAAAAAGCACAGCTTCTTAAAAAAATAAAATTGTACTCACTCAGAAACTCAATATGTAATATCTACTCTTCTTCCAGCTTCCTGGGTGTAGCAGTTTGAAAAAAAAGAGCTGTATTTGTTGTCCTTATAGTATCAGAAACAATACAAACCTGCATGCCTAACAAATCATTTGTGGGATAATGGCAACTGGGTGGAAAGCTTAAGAAAAACAGGAAACAATCCTCATCATACTTTAAATACTAATCAAAACAATTTTTCTGTAGGAAGACTTATGGTGAAGCTAAGATCAACAAAATGAGTCATATCCGGTCCAGAACGAGCCAGGCATACAGGAGAAGAAAGTGTCAATTTAGGACTCATTTTACTACAGGGAGGAAGGTTCTGTAATTATGACAAAAATAAATTATATAAAGCATAACAGAATCATATGATATATCCTTATAAAAGACCTAACTATTCCAAAATTTCATGACTTTATCATTTCATCATATTTATCACATCCTTGCAGGATTATTTGTCCATGCAAAGCCAGTAAAAACAGGTGATCATTTAGCTGTATAATCTGATTTTGAAACCAGATTATTTTCCCCTCTTTGTAGTGGGGAAATTTCATTTTGTAATGTTTAAGAGGTTAAGCTCTATTAGTTACACATAGCTTTAAACCTCAACTGTGACATTTGCCAAATGTTGACCTTGGGCAACTTGCTTAACTAAGATTATTTCCCTGCTTCTGTACATGCAAATAATTATATCTATGCTATATGATTGCAATAAGGATATGGCATAAGGATGACTAAAATTGGATATCAATTAAAAAGTGATAAAAAAGTAAAAAAGAAATTAAAACTAGCTTATAGAAAAGGAAATGTATTTACTGGTTCTCATAACTCTTAGGTATAGCAATAGCTTTACTTCAGGTGATGCCTGACCCAGGTTTCAAGCAATGTTACCAGGACTCGATTATACTCTACACAGTCTAGCACATTTCCCTTATGCCAACTGCATTCACAGCTTTCCCTCCATTTATCATATAAAAATACTCTCATAGGTTTTCATATCCTTTCCTATTTATCCTGTAGAAAGTTTGGTAAAAATATAGATCTTGGTTTTAGGCATGTGTAGCAAAAGTTATAAAATACATATTGATTGAACTGTTTTAGATTATATGCTGCTCTTAGAACCATTCACCACAACCATTCACCACAACCAATAAGATTGACTTGGGCCTGAATCACATTGTCCATCCTTGGAGAGGGTGGTTGACCACTATCCTTCTGAGATATTGTAAACTGAGAGGGTGAAATGAATCCCTGAATAGAAATTAGATGGGGAGAGAAAGCCATTCTAGAAGAGTTAATAGATGCCAGGAAGGGGCTAGTGAGTAAACAAAAACTTCCTATTTTCTATAAAGAGGTTAACTTTGTAACTGCATATCTGACAGGTCTCAGTATGCAGCACTATCAGATAACAACCAATCAAACAAACAAGCAAATCAAACACTACTCCTTATTTGTAACACTTCATCCTCCCTGAAATTTTTGGTTTTAAGAATAACGATCATAAGCAGCAGACTTCTTTAGTTTTGACTAGATTTTCATTGAGGTTTTTCTTGTGGTTAGTAGGGTAGCATTTATGATTCTCTTCCTTAAACAATGAAGATCATCAAATAAAAAACATAAATAAAAATAAAAAGCCTTCATTTCTAATATATAGGAAATAATATGTTATTCTTCTAAATTATATTGGATTGGATAAATATAGAAGATTAAATCAAATAATTGCTGGGGTTCAATAACAGGATCATTCATAAATAATGTTCAACTGAGTGAAAGCACAAGGGAGTCCAATAGGTTCCACTCATCTAGGGCAAGTTAAATGGGAGGAAGTAAAACCAGTCTTACAATGATGGTGGCAAGTTGCCCTAAATCTGTCTGTGAAAGGTATTCAAAGGAAAACTTTAGACAAGTTAAATTTAACAGAGTTTAACTGAGCAAAGAATGATTCACAAATCGGACAGCCCCTGAACCAGAATAGGTTCAGAAAGACAGAAAAAAAAGTGATGTACAGGAAAGAGAAGTGAGGCACAGAAACAACTGGCTTGGTTACAGCCCAGTGTTTGCCTTATTTGAATGCTATTTGAACAGTTGGTTATAATATGGACAGAAGGCAGGGAAATACTGGGTAGAAGAGAGCGGTCCCTGGCAAAGGCCCTACCCTCAAGCATGGAAACTCACGGCCCTAAATGGGAAGAGGCATTCCTGTTTTCATGTCCAATGTTATTTCTTCCAAGACCGCTCTGGCCCACCATGCCTGGGGACAGTCAGAGAGGAGATAAGTTGCGGGATGGAGGAACTCCAGGGAAAGATCATTTTCCCACTCCATTCGCTTTCCAGGCCCCTATCCATCCCACTGAGAGCCACCTCCATCACTCACCGTCCCTCCCTGCATTCACCATCCTTCAAGTCCACGTGACCTGATTCTCCCTGGGTGCTGGACAAGGACCTAGGTACCAAGAGGTCAGGGTGTAAAAGACTGTCACCCTGACTTTCCACTGAGCTGGTTTAACACTTAATCAGTGGACAGCAAATGCTAAAAGAACATTAATTGTAACACACCTCAAGACGCTACCATGGGGTTGGAGCCCAAAAGCGCTCACCTGGGCTTCTGCACTTGTGCACCTGGCATGCTCCCCCTCCCATAGGGATTTGAGTGCACAGCAGCCAAGCAAACTAGCCACACCCCTGTTGCAAGTCCCACAGGGGAGTCAGGGAACTTTCTTGCTTCAGTCACCTGTGAGTAGTTGAAGTGTAGCTTCTGTGATTGACTGAGACAGGGCTGCTTGTTACAAGAGTAGACCATTTACATATTGAGTTAGGTTACTGCTCACTATGTTCAGAGAAAACTTCAGGCCAAACTAATAAGGAGGCAGCTTTAAGCTAAATTTGATTTAACAAAAGGCGGCCATGATAAGCTGATTCTTCACCAACCTGCTTTTCCTAGCCTTATATATATCAATTTGTTGCAGCTTTCAAGAACATTTTCCGGTTCAGCTTGGATTACACACACCTCTAGATGTTGCGACTTAGTGTTGTAACTTGCCACTCACATAAAAAATGACATGGTTTCTCCAACTCGATGTCTTCAACTATTTTTATCCCAAAGATCCAGTGTCAGTTTCTGGAAAGCCTGCTATAATGTGGAGGTAGTATAGAGCAATTTGTGTTCATTAAAAAGTATTTTTAAATCTCCTGGTTTATGACAGAACAGATATAGTAATTTCGTGTTTCTAATTGCCTGATATTCTGGGTATCCTGACTCAATAGAGACTGTTGTGTAAAGAAATTGGAAGGATTTTATTTGTAATAAGTAACTAATAGAGTTGGTTAAAACTTTAGCTCCTATGATATTTGTAGATTTTAAGTACAGTACTGCTACAAATGAAATTTCAGTTACCCTAGTTATTTATACAGCACGGTTTCAAACACAACCAAAAGGAATTCATTGAAACCTAACCACTATTAGTATGTTTATGCAGATAATGAAATTTTTGAGATTTTAAATATCTCTTACCTTTGGTAATAGGAGAAATGTGGGAAATAGTTTGTGAACTTATAAATACTTCAGGATGCTGGATTCTGTTTTAGGACCAACTTGAGAGAGATAATTTGTCCTATTTTGGCTAAAATGTAACTTCTGTAGGATAAAATATATCAAGATTCAGGCAGAAAAGAAAAATGGCAAGAAAAGGTTCTTACTTGTTATTTTCATAGTTTCTTAAAGGAAAATAAGCATTTCCTTATATTCTAAGAAGTGCATATTGAACCATCATAGGATAAATCGTTTAGTTGTGTTTTCAAGGGACACTTTCTCACTTTAACTTTCAGTCCCTGCCATGATTGCCTGGTTCCTCTCAAGGAGAGTTGAGAAGTGACTTTACTCAGGCTTTCCTCTGAGACTTAGAAGGTAAATAGTAGTTATCCTCTTTTTGTTCAAAGGACTTTAACTATTACCAAGTCTTGTTCCATGTGGAAAACAGCAGTGAAACATTAAGGACTTTTCAGTAATGTAAATGTTTCTTCACTGACTTTTTATTTGACGCCTTCAACACCAAGTTTTAACTTTGAACATTTAGATCTGCCACAACTGATTGTAAGTTTATAGAAGCTCTGTCTTTATGAAGATTTCACTGTTCTGGGCCACTGAGGAACAATTTGGAGAAATTATTTCTTTCAGTACTGTGAAAAGGACTCAGGAGGACTGGAAGTAGAAAATTACCTCACATGGTTGAACATTGTACATGAAGGGAGTAATTTGCTCATTTCAGTCCCTTCCAGGATCAGCTTAAGTACAAGAGGATATCTCATAGATTTATCCATTAGCATTAGCATACGGCACTGAGGAAAACTGCTAAAGTAAAAGTAGAATTTTGTAATTCAGCCTGGCCAATTAAAACCTACTATTATATTACCTTGCACTTTTACAAAAGCTTGTTTTTAAATATATTAAACTACCCTTTGGGTATTAATTAAAGAAGACACAGCTGGAGGCAGTGGCTCACGCCTGTAATCCCAGCACTTTAGGAGGCCGAGGAGAGTGGATTACCTGAGGTCAGGAGTTTGAGACCAGCCTGACCAACATGGAGAAACCCCATCTCTACTAAATTAAAAAAAAAAAAAATTAGCTGGGCTTGGTGGTGCACGCCTGTAATCCCAGCTACTCGGGAGGCTGAGGCAGGAGAATTGCTTGAACCTGGGAGGCGGAGGTTGCAGTGAGCTGAGATGGTGCCATTGCACTCTAGCCTGGGCAATAAGAGTGAAACTCCACCTCAAAACAAACAAACAAAAGAACACTCATGATTCACTTGAGAGACATCGTTTTTTATGCCAGGGCTATTGTTTTCATGTAAGAAACACCGCGCAAAGAGAACCAAGTTGTCCCAGACACAAGAACATAAACACTGTGCTCAACTGCAGTTTTGCTCTGTGTCTCTGTTGATTGCTCTACCTAAACTGCCTGTATCCTGGTCTTGCTTCCTGACATTGAAAACAAAATTCTACCAGCATGCTGCTGAGTCATAATGAAAGCCTAAGCCATTAAAATCACCAGTCTTTTTTAAAGTCTTAAACGTATTCTTGCTTTACCTTAATTTGTAAGAGTAACTACTATTCAATCAGGTTTCAGAACACGCTGTGAGATTGAACTTGTTTAGGTCAAATTGCATCAAGGAGGGCTTCAGAACAAAGACTTTCTGCCCTTAGCACACCTGGCTTCCCCTTCCTTTGTAGCAGCCCGCAGAGTAAGGCAGGAGTCTACGTTGTTTCCTTAGTGTGACTCTCAGCCCAGCTGCTGAGTAGGAACAAAAGCATTTAAGAAAGATAAAAAGTGACTCTGACATTTTACCCAGATGTTGAGTAACAGCTAAAGACGGTACAAATAAAAATGTTTAATCATAATTTTAAAGGGACAATATAAATATAACAGCATTTGACTTTTGGCAAAGGAAAAAAAAAAGATTTTGACCTTTGTAATGGGCAATTCTTAACTTATCAAAAAAAGCAATACCTCTGCATTGTGTTATGGGTTGGCTCTGGTCCAAAATGACTTCCTTCCAGCCAGTCTTTATAAAAATACAAGAGTAAAATGTTTATAATGAACTATTTTAAATACAAGAATGTGTCAAGTAACTCTAATTAAACAGTTTTACATTGTTCATTAAGAGCCTCATCAAATATTTGGTTTTCTTCAGAAAATCTATCATATTATTTGTCCAAAATGAAGAATATTTAAATGATTCAATATATATTTTGACTTCTAAGATAGCTTACCATGCCAAGGCTTTTTAATGAAATGACTAAAATATTTTTTAATATTCTAAAGTCAAATAAACAAAATAAAACCTTTCACGGATTCTCAATTAACCCATCCACCATTCTTTAAACCTACAATTAATGACTTCTCTGACCTTCTTAATACTCTGTTCTCCTCCCATAACCTCATTAATAAATAATAGAAGTGACATTTTAGTGTTTTACATTAACGTACTAGAAGATACGGTCTTGTCAAAACACACATTAAAAAATAATTTTTTGCATCCTTAGAATTGGTTGAAATGTGTAGATAACCATTTTTTAATGATGTACCACTCTATATGTTCAATAAATTGTGAACAGAACCCTTTCCTAACTAATCCTCAGTTTCTGGGCATAGGTTTTCACAATAATTTTTTTTCAAAAAATAAATTCAAGACTTGGAAAAAATGAAATATGGGCCAGGCGCGGTGGCTCATGCCTGTAATTCTAGCACTTTGGGAGGCTGAGGCAGGCAGATCACCTGATGTCAGGAGTTCGAGACCAGCCTGACCAACATGGTGAAACCCCGTCTCTACTAAAAATACAAATTTAGCCGGGCGTGGTGGCACATGCCTGTAATCCCAGCTACTCAGGAGGCTGAGGCAGGAGAATCACTTGAACCTGGCAGGCAGCGGTTGCAATGAGCAGAGATTGCGCCATTGCACTCCAGTCAGGGAAACAAGCGAGAAACTCCATCTCAAAAAAAAAAAAAAAGAAAAATGAAATATGATGCATCACTTGTTCTCCCTGAATAAACACTACCCAGAGTTAATATTATTAAAAAAGCACTTTTGAAGTAATAATAACACGTAACTCTAAATCTCAGAAAGCCTAATTTTTCAAGCTCTGGCCATGGAGGATGAAACACTAATCTAGTTAAACCAACTTCATTAAACTGCTAAAAGATAGCTAGTACGAACAATTCTATAAAAACAACATTAATGATGAGATGCTGCCCTTGACTCTGAATTAGTGATTTTTAGTAAAAGAAAATGGAATTTTATTCAAGGCCTTATTTTTTACTGTGTGCCCTAATTAGAAATGGAACCAAAAGTAGGCTGTTAGACAGAAATCACTGGACATGAAATATGATTATTCATGGACTTGACATGGAATGCTCATTTGCCCAAAAGCACCATTGCCCCACATTCCTTCACATCCCTGTTTCCTTTCGCCTCTGCCTACTCCTCTGCATCCAGGTGAATCATTGCACAGTGGTGGGATTCTTATGTGCATCACAAAATACAAAAAAAAGAAGGAAGAAGAATATTACAATCACTATTAAAAGAGAAGTGTTCCTTTTATGTACTTCACAATGAACTTTGATTCAGGATAGTGTTTTATTTGTCACATTGAATATGATTTATTCTAAACCTTTTAATGGAGAAATCTTGCTCATTGTGACAATCATAGCCTTCTTATGTCTTTTCCATGGACTGCCCTTCTCCTTCCTCCATCTCTCCACAACAGGTGCTTCTTAAAGAATGGACGGGGTCAATGATTGTCAACATAGAACAAGAGATACAAAGGCATTTCTAGCAAAATACGGGGAACAAGACCTTCATTATTGAAAAGGCAGATTTTCCTTGGAATTTACAGCATACAAAACTGGAGAAAGTGATTGTCTGTAGGAGGGTGGTGTTTGGAGCAGAGATGTGATGCTGGGATTGGCGGTTCATGGACCCTCAACCCCAGATGGCCCTGATTTACCTAGAGCCAAAGCAGTATGCTGCTGAGAGAGAGCCTGTTCATTTTCCACTTGAATGAAATCTGAAAGCCCAGAAATCTCACAAGAAACTTGGGTCTCACAAGGTTTTAAACCAAATTTTGCAGATTCAGGAATGAAGTCAATCGAACTTGATAAAACTGTGTGCTTTGGGTTTTTCCCCCAACGTCTTCAAATGAAGCTTCTGTGCTTTTATATCAAGAACAGGGAGAGAATCATGTCTTTTTCAACCTGTCTCAGATCTCTCTCGTTAGCAATAACCATAGGCAAAGCTATTTTAAATACATTCTGCTGAAGGTGGGAAACATCATTGACCTCTTTCCCTCTTCACTCTTGCTTGCTTCTTGACCACATAGTCTGATGACTCCTTGATAGGCATCCTGTTTTTTCACTACTCCCATGAACTGTGTTAAATGACATGGAGCTTGTCAGTGTGTTGCCTCAGGAAAAGGTGCCATGTACTCGTTGACATTGGACCTGTTATATGCTATTTGATGGGATCTGAGCTTTATTCAGTTTCAACTGGCAGGTCTTCCAGAGAACAGCAGGCATAGAATTAAATGTGTGATAGAGACAGTTGCTCCGCTCTGTTAGCAGGGCACTTAAAATTACTCCATTTGTCTTTAATTAAACCCCATTTGATTTCCTTCAACTTTTTAAAGGTCTGATTAAATATTTAAATTTTGTATTTATTCTGAAATTATTCATGCATTTTGTCTTAGCCAAAATACTAGTTTTTTTGGAGTTAGACACTCAAATACTGAAACATTTCTCTTTTTCCATTTGGAATTTGCTGTGACATAATCATTGTTTGATGGATCAAAATGTTTAATACATTTAGTTATATTTAACATGTCATAATTTTTCCCTCAACCTTCATCTCATTTTTTTTCTCATCCATTGAACATGAAGCCCTATGTAAGTATAGTCCAAGAAATAAAATTGTGCTTGCTATGTACCAGCCATTGTTTTAAGCCCTTTAACATGTATTTAATCATGTAATCCTCCTAACAACCTAATAAATAGGTATTAATTCTATCCACCACATGGAGGTTTAACACTTCGACCAAGGTCACAGTCTAGTGAGGGCAAGAGTTCCATCCAAGCAGCTCAGCTACAGAATCTGCACCCTTAACCATTATGCTATGCTTACTCTCCAGCCTCATAATTTCTTTCAGGGATAATTTATTTTAGGCTGTTGTAAATTGTCCTGGGAGATTTTGTATGTGTAGAAACCTGTTACGGAAGTATATAATTCTCTTGTGTTCCTTTAAATGGCTGATTGCACTGGAGCTACTTCTTGCTCAGTTAAAATGTCTTAAAATGATGAAGTGCTAAAGGAAAGTTTCTGTCACAAACACATTCCATTTAAAAAATACATGTACCGACTCCACTTTTACAAACAGTGCAATGTGACTTCTTTTTTCCAGATTATTTTAGACAAACATCAAAACCAGCAAGACAATAGATAAGTTGATTGACTCAAAAGTGGTGTGTTTTGAAGAGAGGGGGAAGTAAATGTGTACTGTCTAACCTTCATTCAAATAATTTCTGAGACATTTGTTGTTATTGAAGCAGTATGGGGAAGAAAGAATTTCAGATGGGGTGGTTAAAATTACAGTTCTGACTGACTTGACTGCTCTTACTATGCTATTTAGAAAGATAATAAGTTGCCACCAAATGTGTTGTGATTTCATGATGGACTCTTGCTTTTGATTTGTTGGTTGAGTCTTCCATCTGGTGGCAGAATTTGTCTTGAATGCCACTACAGGGGAAGACTCTAGATCCGACATTAGCCACAAGTAGTGTTTCCTAAACCTAAGGCCTTCCGAATAAGTTCTCTTTTATTTAAAATTCATCTTTAGAAATATTAAATATTTTTCTCTTATTATGGCTGAGGGAATAATTATTTCCTAAAGATTTGAAACTGTATGTATTTTATACCATATTGTTGGTGTTTCTTTGCAAGTATTTCTTAAATTGTGGTGGGGGATCAACTCATCAATTTTGGCATGGCTTATAAAAGGCAGATTCCTGAGCTTCATCCTAGACCTGCTTATTACTTATTAGAATCCTCTGAAATGAGACTCAAGGACCAATACTTGAAATGAATATCCCAGGTAGTTTTTATACACAAAACACTAGGGGGGTTGGAGAAAAGGGGGCTTAACTTAGGCTCTTTTAAAGCCATATTACTAGTATTATTCTCAGGTAAGGGAGAACTTCAAAATGCTAAATAAATGAAAATTATTACAGAATTATGATTCAACTACAGAGGTCCATCTTCTCAAAAGGATCTTGTAGACAAGACCATTGTCTGTACCTGCCCACAGCCATCAGTTTCCCTAGCCTGAAACATTCCTTCCATAACATCTTCAAACACTTTTAGAGGTAAAGTATAAAATAATTATTTATTTATATACAAACATATGTGTGTATATAATATGTATCTATGTATGTTTGCCTGTGTGTGTATAATATAGACTAAGTTTATTCTCAAAATATACTGTAGTTTTTCAAAAAATGATGTGACATTTGTTTTTAAAAATTACTTCCTATTTACCAGAACTTCCAGCTGGCACTATACTTTGTAGTAGCTGGCACTAAATTGTTGAACCCTGCACATAAATTAGAATGTAAATCCAAATGTTTGAAAGGGGTCTGCCAATCAAAAAATCTTTTGAGTATATAGACAGTCTTTTTCTTATCTCCTATTGGACAGAGGACCTGAGCTATACTTGTTTTAGCTGGAAGTCATTCCTTGTTTCTCTTACATGGTTAAATTATAAACAGCAGTTGCTTAAGGTGATAAAAACACATTCACATCAATGTGAATTTTAAAACGTGGGGAGGAGTTTCCATTCTCATCTACCTGTCTCAAGAAATAATGCAAAAGAATATACAAAGATATTTTACCTTTAACAGCAATAATAAAATGATGGAAAATCATCTAACTTTAATAATAATAACAAAATAATAGAAAACCATCTTTAACTATAATAACAAAATAATAGCAAACCATATTGTTTTGCTCACATTGATCTCTCTGATTGAAATGCCCTTTATAAACATTTTTCTAGTGCTTCCCACACATTGTTATTTTACCGCTATTGCATGCCAGTCTAACTAGAACGTTCCCCTAAGGCTTTCTCAATTAATATTGTGAGTCATCTTGCCTAGTTCAGAGGCAGCTGATTGTAGCCAGTCTTGAACTGTAGAGATACTACAGTTCCCCTCATTGTTTACTTTTTATTTTCACAGATATAATGGAAACAAAATTCAGAAACATAGTTTTGAAATGAAAATTTCCACATGTCAATATTCAGAGGACATGTTAATATTCAGAGGACATGTTTTGGTCAATGCTTAGAAAATTAAAACTACAGAGTCGTTTTAATTAAAGCTACAGAGTAATATTGTAATGTTTATATCAGTTGACACTTGATGGATAGATACTCTAGAAAGATAAAACAATATGTAAAGATTAAACTGTATTATTGTGGATCTCCTAGACTGGGAGCTTCTTGAAAGATTTTCTCACTTCTCTTTGTCTACCCATGCAGTACAGCACAATGTCTAGATCTCAGAATACAGACGCAGAAAAAATGAGTCTGTTAACTAGCTCAATTTATTGTGTGTTTGGCTAAGTTGCTTCAGTTTTCTCATGTATGAAATGGGAGTAAATACAGTACTTATCTCATGAGGGTTGGTAAGCCCCAAGACACAATAAACAGGTAACTCAGCATTTTTCTTAAAATGTTCTAAATTTTCAACATTGATTATTATTATTTATCAATAGAATATAGATGAGGTTAATATTTTAATTAAGGTGAGTTTAAGACTGTCAGATGCACTCTCTAATCTGTCTTGGCTTTGTTTTTCTCCAAATATATTGTTTCCATATTCCTTTACTCACCTTGATCTCTCTGATTAAAATCGCCTTTATATACAGTTTACTAGTACTCTCCATGAAGAAAAATTCTTACTCATTGAGAAATGGAAGAGAAGGATAAGATAATACGGAAAATTACATTCTCAGAGATTTGAATGCTGAAATCAGCAGGTAATATATGATAATAGAGAAAGCTATCCCGAAGGTGCATAGGTCAACAATACTTGAGCCTAACTCAGTAGATCCTAAAAGAAAGCAATTTTTGCTGCTAACCTAACATTTCACAATGTCTGGAGACATTTACAGTTCCCACAACCTATGGCAGTTACTGGCATCTACTAGAGGTCAGAGATGCTGGTAAATACTCTGTAATGAACAAGAAGCCCCCCATAGCAAATAAATACCCAGCCCAAGATGGCAATAGTGCCCAGATTGAGAAACTTCACCTTAACCTGATATCATGCAAATATATCTGAAGAAAGACACAAACATAACTAAAGAAAGATGATTACCAGAAGAGATATTCATAAATCTTAGAAGCATAGAAAAAGAAACACAAGGCAATGTTTTCAGTGTCCAGGCAATTATCTTCCTGGGAAAAGCTAGCCTACCAGACCAACATGACTTTTGCACCTTGCTGGCAACCATTCTACTCTTCTGAAGAAGGAGACATCATTTGGACTCTAAAATCCCTTTTTCTGATTTCATACTCATCAAGAAATCTATCCATTTGGCTTAGTTTGTAGCTTATGCTGAAAAACGTGACTTGAGATTTCCTTCACTTGGAAATTGAGATTGCTTAATGTAGATTGACATTCTCAACATTTGGACAATAGTGGGATCAATTATCTTAACTTGCAAAGCTGAAGATTATACCTCTGGGCAACAGTCAAATTACCAAGGTAAATGCTTAGTTGTAGTCAGCATGGGATGGTGTTGAACCACTAATTCCATTTTTTAAAGAGATATAGGGCTTTTCAGGTTCTCTTTTTCTTCTTGAGTGAGCTTAAGTAGTTTGTTTCTTTCAAGGAATTAAACTATTTCATATAAGGTGTCACATTTATTGGCATAAGCTTGTTCAAAATATTTCTTATTATCCTAATATCTGTAGATTTTGTAATGATATCACCTCTCACATTCCTATTTTAATATTTTCCTTCTTGTATTTTTTTCTTGATAACTCCAGCTAGAGTTTATCCATTTTATTGATTTCAAAGAGCCAGATTTTAGTTTCATTAATTTTCTCTGTTTTTTTACTCTGTTTTTTTATTTAATTGATTTATAGACTAATCTTTATTTTCTTTTTTTCTACTCCCTTTGAATTTAATTTGCTCTTCTGTCTCTAGTTTTTTTATTTAAGTAAAAGCTAAAATCATTGATTTGATATCATTCTTTTCTATTATCAGAATTTAGGGTATAGAACAGACATGATGGCTCATTCCTGCAATACTAGCAGTTTGAGAGGCTGAGGTAGGAGGATAGCTTGAGGCCAGAAGTTGGAGGCCAACCTTGGCAACATAGCAAGACCCTTTCTATATAAAAAATTTAAAATGAATGTTTTTATTTTCTTGGTGGGGCACACCTATAGTTCCAGCTACCTGAGAGGCTGAGTTGGGAAGAGTCTTGAATCCAGAAATTTGAGGCTGCAGTGAGCTGTGATCACTGCCTTCCAGATTGGGCAACAGAGTGAGACCCTGTTTTTTTTGTTTGTTTGTTGGTTTGTTTGTTTTTTTGAGACAGAGTTTCACTCTTATTGCCCAGGCTGGAGTGCAATGGCATGATCTTGGCTCACTGCAACCTCTCTGCCTCCCGGGTTCAAGTGATTCTCCTGCCTCAGCCTCCCGAGTAGTTGGGATTACAGGCATGTGCCACCATGTCTGGCTAATTTTGCGTTTTTGGTAGAGACGGTGTTTCTCCATGTTGGTCAGGCTGGTCTCGAACTCCCGACCTCAGATGATCCGCCTGCCTCAGCCTCCCAAAGTGCTGAGATTACAGGCGTTAGCCAGAGACCATGTTTCAAAAAAAAAGGAAGAAGAAGGAGGAGGAGGAGGAGGAGGAGAAAGGAAAAGAAAAAGAAAGAAAGAAAAAGAAAAAATTAGGAATATAAAATTTCCCTAAGCATTATTTTAGTGGCATTCCACAAATGCTGCTATGTTGATTTTTCATTTCCATCCAGACAAAAATAGTGTTTAATTTCCTTTTCACTTTTTTGGCCCACAGTTATTTAGTAGTTACTGAATTTACAAAATTTGGGGGATTTATCAGAAATATTTTTATTTTTATTTGAATGTTATTCCATTGTATCACAGAACATAATTTGAATGACTTGAAAGTTTTAAGACTTATTAAGACTTATTTTATCATCCAGGCTATTGTCAATCTTGGTAAATGTTCTGTTTGTATGGGAAAAAAATGTATAGTCTTCTATTGTTTAGTGGGGTGTTCTATAAATGTCAATTGGGTAAGAGAGTGGATACTTTTGTTCACTGGTTATTGGGCAACAGTGAACTCATCAAGGAAAATGTTGAATTCTAGGGTCCTATCTGGGAAGCCGTCTGGCTTTCTCCAGCTGATGTCTTATTTTTTATTGCTCAAAATTTTAGAAACTTATTGTTCAAAATTTTAGAAACTTCCAGTCTGGTCTTTTAGACCATGTACACACACATACTGCACGTGGTGAATGTACGTTATGCGGTGCACAGAAATGTAAGCATGTTTCCACATCTGGTCTTATCATAACTGCTCTTGTTCTGAACATTATATTTTCATATTATAGGTATAGAAAAAAAACAATGGTGGGTGAGATGGAAGAAATTAGAGGCTGTCTACCTCTCTAGCTCTCTTCCAAGCTAACAACCATACACATTTCTGCAGATTTTTCACTGCACAAGAATGTCTAGCTAAAGGGGAAAGAAGAGGATGAAGTCAAATTTCCACTCTGTTGGCTAAGCCTTGTCTTCTGATGTGGAGCTGTGTCTTTCCAAAATAAGAAATGTCTTCTTCCAATTTTAACCACGCTATGCTGTCAGCAATTTTATATATCCAAAGAGAGATGCCTTATCCAATTATTCCAAACAAGTGACCAGTGGTGTTATATATTCTAATAGCAGCCCCCTTCTCCTTCATCCCTCATGCTACAGATGACCAAAAAAAAAAAAAACAAAAAAAAAAAACCATGGCTAAAGTGCTGAATCCACTTTACCTTAAACCATACAGGCAATAGAAACGTGTCCCAAAATGCACTATGGAAATAATTATTCTAGGTGAAATATCTATTTGGGTTTTTGCCCGCATATGTTTACTATTTATATTTAACAATATTTGCTCTATTGATTTAAGAAAGACTTTATATGCTTAGATTTTTCTTCTTATTATATTGGTCTAATGCTGTAAAAAAATCACCAATTCTAATAACTTGAACATGAAGTTGTCAGGTGGGAATGTGCAGAACACAGATATTACAGAAATAAAGGGCATATATGATTATTTGAGGCAGTTTGATTCATTGTTTGGTTAAATTCATATTTCATTTCTGGGTAGCTTTACCATTACTAGGTTAGTTGAAGATAGACCATATACTGTAATGATTTTTACCACAAGGTTTATAGAAATAAAACAATAAAGGCAGACATCACATCATTCCCAACCAAGAAGCTACAAAGTGAAACGTATTAAAATTTAATTTTCTGAATTCCATTGTATTTGCCATATTAGATTTATGCATTATTTCATTTTCTTTCTGCTATAAAATTCATTAATTTTAATCCAGGATTAACAAAATAAGGAGGGGAGAATTGGTTTTCTGCAGCATCTTCCATACTCAAAGTATCCTAACGTGTGTTATAAATAATGAATGAGATACTGTTAGAGTAGGGACTCTGTAGGCAAACAGAGTAGCCATTGTACAAACTGGCAATAACACTCAAAAAAGATAAATACTAAAATGAAAGTCCTTTCCTGCCCTATCCGTTGTTCCTTTAAGTTTTGGTAAAACTTTTAAGTAAGTTGTTACCTGGGTGTAAATGTCATGTCTAAAGAGAAGGATCAGGGAATGGCAATTAGAAAATTCATTAATCAGGGTTGTATTTGTAGAGCACGATAATCATTTATTAGCCTAAGTAAAACTCCTGGGCTTTTTCACTTCTAAAATTTGTCCTTCTATAAGAAACTTGGGCTGAGTTTAGAACCCCTACCAAGCAATGCAAGAATGGGAGACACAGATTATAGCTCACAGAGACTTGTGAAATTCAAGCATATTGTCTTTTACTGCAGGCAGTAATGTATATAGTAAACTAAGATGAGTTTACCCTAAAAAATATGTTTTTAATCAGGAAACAAACCTTAAACCTAACCAAAATGGGTGACTCCATGAATAGCAGTTTCCCACACACAAGTCTTAGTCTGTTTCTCTTTAGCTGTAATATAAGTATACAATGATTTGTGGAAATATGGCAGTAGCTTGAACACCATGATGAATGAGGGAGCCACTGGTAAACTTAGAAGAAGACAACTCCTTTGTAGCTCAAACCCCCTGAAACTCTTTAAATAAACTCTTTCAGGAGGAATTATACTAAAGAAATAATTAAGAAATAATTTGCCATTTTTCTGCTTTGGGAAAGTAACTCAACTGCTTAAAGACTAGCCTCTATTTCAAAGAAAAAAAATATGTATGTGTGTGTATATATATATATATATATATAGAGAGAGAGAGAGAGAGAGAGAGAGAGAGAGAGAGAAGAGCGGTGGGGAGGGAGAGAGGGGAAAGATTAGTCAGGGGAATATTTCTCTACACGTTTATATATTAAGTTAAAAAGTGAATTCATTAACATCTATTATATTGGCCAGAGGCCTTATCTGAAGTAATAGGTGAATCCAAAAGGACTACCAGCCACATAGGTTAATACTGAGAAGCCAAAGCCAGACTAGGTAAGGCTTGGCTGACATCCATGTGGTTGGAAGTATTTGTAGTCTGAGGGGTGTACATCGCAGTCAAAGAAAGGAGCCAAAATGGGTTAGACAGGAATCGATGTGGTTTTTAGAGGGGCTATCTCAGAGGATATGTCCAAAGGACAAAGAAGAAGTCATAGAAGATGGGGTAAGAGTTCCAAAGCTGTGATAATTAGGACCAGATCATGAGGCAGATTGGAAGGCAGAAACTGAAACTACAATACAATTACAGGATGTTGTCTGAGTGGCTCAGGTGCATTGATAATGTGGGGTCAGCAATTTTTTTCTTTAAAGGGCCAGATAGCAAACGGTTTATGCTCTGTGGACTACATGGTTTCCAGGGCATCCACTCAACTTGGCCATTATGGCATGAAAGAAGCCACAGCAGAATAACTGAATGGGTGTGGCTATGTTCCGATGACATTTTTTCTTGTGTAAACAGATGATGGTCTGGATTTGGCCATCAGAGTATAAATTGCTAACCTCTGTCATGAGCAATAGTACTTAAAGTAATTGATAGTTGGACAGGAATAATTGTGTAAGAGTATGGGATGCAGGGCATGTATGTGGTATACACAGACTTCTGGAGTCTGAGGACTATTCAGAGAACCCAGTGCTGCTGAAGATTTATATTGGGAGAGGTCATTGGTCAATAGGAGGCTTAGTTCAGTCTTTGGGCACTGGAGACAAGGAATAAAAAGGGATATAGAAACGTGAAGAACAGCAAAGGGAAAATTTACTTATTTCAAAACTTTGTTCTTCACCTTATAATCATATATCCAGACAGGCATAGAAAAGTCTTGCCATTTTGGGAGGCTAAGTTTCTGTTTTGTTCTTTAGATTTTAAGTTCTGACAGCTGCATGCATCTCCTTTTAAGTTAGACTACTTCATATACAGGGCTACTAACATATGCCTTATTAGATGTATTTCATTATTATTACTAGAAAAGGTATCTGATGAAATTGTGATATATGCCAGCCACTATTTAAAATAATATAGTGCCTGAATGCAAATTTAATCAATGTGCCTGTGCATGTGTGTTTATAAGGTATAAAGTTGCACAACAAAACTTCACTAGTCAGAGAAAAAAAATCAGTGCTCAGAGAACAAGGAGAAAACAAGGACCATTAGTAAACTCATCAGTCTGTACTTGAGTTTTAAAACAAACTCCAAATGGAGGAATAGCCAAATATATTTTTAAGACCTGGAGGCAAAACATTTTTATGTTGAGATATTTTTGAAAATACCATCTTTCAGTTACTGTTAAAATATTTTTGATCTTTAAATATCTTTTAGACATTTGTATATTTTGTTCATAAAACAGTGCATATATACTCTTATTTTTTGTTCTGTCTTTTAGCTGCAGTAATTCTAAGCAACATCTAGAGTCACATCATTTGCTTTTGTAGAATTATAATATCAAAGGATTAGGAAGAAATAATATAATATTAAGGGAAAAGGAAAATCTTCCTTATAAATTCTATTTCTACCTTGAAAGATAATTTTGTTTAGTATGGTAAAACTCTAGTTTGTCCCATTTATATTACTTGAATTTAAATAAACCAATATTGCCATTATAATCATCATCATCACTATTTATCTTACCAGACAGGGCAAGCTTTATGCATTATGTCTCTGGTACTAACAACAGTCCAAGGAAATAGATGAGGACAATAGGCCCAGATACATTAACAATCTTCTTGTGGTCACTAGTTGGTATGTGGCAGAGCTAGGACTTGAAACCAAATCTGGCTGATCCTCTTAACCATTATTCCTAGTACATATATAAATACATGCATACAAACATATGCCTACATAGTATAATTAATAATGCAATTATAATTTATTAAAATTAATTGGCAACATTTATTGAGCACTTATTTATTGAGATAGGACTCTGAGTCTGATGTTTTTTCTATAATAATGTACTCTATATTACCAATGAGCTCTATGATCATGATTTTTAGAGGTGCCTTCAAGAATATCAGTCACCATTCCATTCTTTAGCACAGTACAACTTCCTCTGGCTTAATAGCTAAGTTCTTCTTGTGCTACTTTATTTTGTTTCCTAGATAATAAACATGAATTTGCTTTTAGTGAAGACAGAATCATGTTTCTTTGGAGATTCAGTCTTCATTTATCAATTACATTTTATAAGGAAAGATTACATTCACAATGCAACTTTTCCATCCCTATAAAATGAAATCAGCCATATTCCTTTGAATATCACTCTTTTCTCTTTTATGTTCATTCCTTCATTCATTGCACTAATATTTCCTGAGCACATATAATGTACCATGTCTGATTCTAGGACCAAATTGGGCAGTGAACAGACATGATAAAGTTCCTACAGTTGCAAGGTTTTCATTTCGGTGCATAAAGAGAGACAACAAATGAATAAGTCAAGAAATCAACACTATTTCAGGTAGTAACAAGCACCGTGAAGAAACAAAAGGAAGAAAAAGAAGTAGAAATTTATGAAGCAAGGTGGAGGTGATATTTTGGCTCTCTTGCTCCAACCTTCTAATTTATTTATATGGAATGTTGCTTGCATGGAGTCTAAGTAAGTATGAACCGTGTCATCTGTGAGTCTCCAGGGTCTTCTTAAACATGTATTTCTTTTTTTGTAGCCTTCAGAGTTCCATGTTCTCTTAACTTTGAAATGCTGTGAGTAATATAATTTAAAACGAAAATGCACATAGGGAAGTGAAATAGAAAAATTGCAATGTCTTATTGCTGTCCAAAGGAACATACTTTTAACGATATTTCAATGCTCATAAAAAATAAACAACCAGGACTTCAGGTTTTTCCACCTATGAGTTACTTAACTGGTATCCCATGTTCCACATAAGGACAATCTGTGGCTAGAAATTCTCGTGTGTGTGTGTGTGCACGTGCATGCGTGTGTGTGTCTGTGTGTGTGACTGCATTATGTGACTGCTTGACTATGGTTAGAATGTGGATTTGGCCCCAAGTTCAGAAGGGAGCACTGAGATTGTTTTAAGGTTATTGATTTTAAAGATGGCAAGGGAAAAATTCTGGGCCATTATATTCCTCAGTCCTAAAGTAAGAAATCTGTCATAAGGAAAGTGGATTCAATAGCATCTAAACAGGTTGAGAGATTGATGGAGAAGTGCCTAGAAAACCATGAACAATGGGTCGGAGTGGTACACCATTCCAACTAGGGATGGCATTTGAATGGTGTCATTAATGTGCAATAATCTATGAGCAATGGATCTAGAGCCAACATGAACCATAATGATTCACAGAAGTGAAAACACTCATCCCCAGGTGCAAAATCACCATTCCTTAACAAATCTATCCAGTAACTCCAGATGTTTGTATTGAAAGTCGCTTATAATTAATGTAACTTTTCCAGTTCTTAATAGCCTCCATCCACATACGGGCTTATTTAAAACAACTTAGGTTTACTCATTTTTACTGAAAAACATTCGTTTTATCTCTGTTAATTTAAATTTTATAAAGGGAGATATGATTTGTTGAGATTTTTATTAACTTAAAACATTAGGCTTTTAGTTTAAGCTCAAATCATGATGTGTAAATTAATGTACATTCCCAGAGAAAAACATTACATAAGATTTCGTAGGAGAAAGGGTTTCATAGAAGAAGGACAGAAGGGGATTTATAAAGGATCCAGATATCCAAGAATGTTAATTGCCATAAAATGAAAAAATTAATAGTAACTAAAGATCATTATTTTTAAATACTCAGGATATTAATTTTTTAAAACTCTCATTTTTGAAATATTTGGAGAAAAATGTTTAATGTATAAAGTAAGCAGCGGTACATTTGTTCCTAATTTGAATGTTTTCCCATGGAGATTTAGCCTATCTTTTATACATACAAATACAAGCTGCCAGGAATCCCCAGGCATTAAAGAGGATTCGAGTAAACTTCAACATGGGGGTGAAGCTCATAACCATGACATTGAAAGTCCTGAGAATACATCCTCAGAGCCCAATATGAAAAAAAAAAAAAATCTAAAAACATATAACCTTAGGATTTTTAGTGAAATACTGAAATGAAGAGAATTACTTATAAAGTAATAAGCCATTCAAAATTTTGTCTTGGAAAACACTAAAAGGGAAACTAAATATCATTAAATTTTACACACACACACACACACACACACACACACCCCTTCTTATTGTCATGTTCTGAAAAAGTGTAGAAAAATAAAAGCCAGTTAGAATGTAAAATTGTCATGTTTATGAGAGAATGGCACTAGAAATGTGGTTACAAGGAGGTTTGTATTAAAGAATGTTAAACCTGAAATGACTAAATCAACAGTTATAATAAAAGGCTATTGGAAAATCTTCTCTCCTTAAAGATCTCTCTAGAAATTTGTTTTAACAAGCTTGTCACTGATTGACATGGTACAAGTGCAAGGTTTTAGTCTTCTGATTTTTAACTAAGTTTTGATATTGAATAAGATAATGCCTTTAAAGATATTTTTGCTAATTAACCAATCTTATATGAATATTAAAATTGTAGAAGTATATTTTATATTTAGAGTAAAGGTGTAATTTTTGAAGCTTAAAAATGAAAACAAAAGAAGAGGTAAAGAATATTTACAATATAATGTATTTAATAAATTATAATTAATGCCTATCACCGCCTTTATTTATCAACTCTTATTAAAGATCTACTTTGAACATTAAAAATTATTTGAAATTCAATTCTCATATGAAAAATGGTACAACTCTGAACCCAGCAGATGTACAATCTTGGAAGAATGAAGAGTCCTAACAAATACTTTTTATTTTGTTGGTAAATTCTAAAAGACTGATGATTAGAGAGTTACAGAGGCACAGTGTTTGGCATGCTAGCTTTGACTTTTGGTTATCAAGGAAACTTTTCTGTGGAGAAAGTGACACTGAGATGAACTTGGGGTATGGCTAAGGACTTGGGCAAATGAAAGAGGGGGCAGACAATAAGTCTAAGAAAAAAGAATAGTAGTAAATCCAGAAGCAGTAGAAAGTTTATTTTTTATCATGTTATGTTGCCATATAATCATGGCAGTTTAAAACTTAAGTAGAATAAATTAGTTATTCTAATATTTACTGAGTAACTAGGATGCACCCAGCACCATGCTAGATACTGGGGAGATATAGAGATTCTGTAAAATTCTGCCCCCATTATCAAGAAAGTTACTTACTAAATGGAAACAATAGGTCACTTCAAGAAAAAAATGTTAGAATAATAGAAGCAAAGTTTAATTGAATCAAAGCAACTGAGGCTTTGTGCTGTATTGCAGGGAAGCTTTTCTGGATTACAGGAAGGTGTTTCTCTTTACGTTTTAGTAGGTAGAAGATGTTTTTTCCATTTCTTAAGTCTGATGTTTTGTTGTATACTCTGCTAATATGAGTATATAGAGAATATGAGAAACATACTCTGTGTCTAGAAGGCAACTTGTAGTCTGGGGCTGGGGGAGAGTGTTTTTTCTATCTCACTTGGTCTCGTTGCTGTTTACTTTTTCACTTGCTGCTGAATTTTTCACAATACCTATATCAAATAGTCTTTCTCATTTTGTGAACCTGGAAGCAGAGACGGAGCACATGATAGCTCATGATCTTTACATTTGAATCACTGTTAGAAAAATAAAGCTAAGATAAAAATAAAGCTAAGTTACAAACATATTTGTACCTGCAACAGTTCTGCCACGTAGTTTGGAAGAGAACTTGCCATCTACTTATGGGTTGAATCCAACTTTATTTTAAACCAACTTTATTAAAAATCTACTTTTAACATTAAAAATTATTTGAAATTCAATTCCAATATGAAAAATGGTACAACTCTGATGGTTGACTGAGTTCATTATTAGGGACTAATAATAAAAACAATTTCTCTTTATACTAAAAAGATGTCAAATCTAGACATGTCCTCAATCTATTCATTGACTAATGGGTCTATCTTACTGTCAAACCTGCTTCTAGTTAGGTATAGACATGGTGAAAATGTGATATGAATATTATTTGAAACATTACTACCTTTAGTAGAAGTATCAATCTACTTTTCAACCCAATTCCATAGTAACTATTATTCAAGCAGCCTAGGAAAGTTAAATTATGATCACAAAAAGGCGTAATTTGTCACTCAAATTATTTTATAGTCCTTTGGGTTTTGGTAAGGTTGAATGGTCAGTGGCTCTGGCTGGTGGATATCAATGACCTAATTGGAAATTGTTAGATGATGAACAAATAGGTAAGACTTATGTCTTCTCCTGGATATGATAATTGAACTGAGGGGAATTCCTGGAGCAAAAAGATTAGATAGGTTAGAACTAATAGTGAAGGAAACTCTGTTTTCCAGTTTATTCCAACTTAACTCTAAGGACATAAAACTTCAATTTGCTGGTTGAGCAAAGGTCATGAGGTGATGCGCAAGCAATGTTACAGTCAGAATGCAAGGTGTCTGGAGTGGATATCAGTTATAACCCAAAAGCTTAGGGTTAGAATGTAATAACTTAAAGTATCAACAGCAAATTTGTACCTGTGCTCAAAATATATCTTGGAAAAAATGGTTTCTTTGCTAAGAGGTCTGCTAGTAAGATATATGCATTGGAGACTGGTAGACTACCATAACTGTGATAGCTGAAGTTAATGTCTTCTTTTTTCTTCCCAAGGCTAATTGTTATTAAAAACTTATTTAAAATTAACCATAATTATTCACATAGACTTCATTATACATTTTTCTCATTTGTTCATCATTTGTTCATTTATTCTTTCATTGAAGATAAATTTATTCAGTTTCAACTATCTAAATCAGAACTAGAGATACGGCATGAATCCGATAGACTCAATTCCAGGTCTTGTGAAGCTCATATTAAAGAAGAACACATAGACAAAACAATTAATTACAAAAATAGCCACTAACTTACAATTTTGTTCGGAGGTATCAAAGAGCAGTTAAGAGTACTAGGAGAGTAACTGGGGAATCTGATAGAACCTGAGATTAGGAAAGGTTTCCTTGAGACACCGAATTCAACAGATTCCTAAAGGATGAAGATGCATGAATAAAAAAGGAAGTAGAAATTACTGAAAAAAGTTCTGTGGGTATAGAAAGTAGGATGTACAAATACAAGACAACTGAAGCAGATGTCTTGAAGAAAGCCAGAGTCTTAGGAGATTGGGATTAATAGAGATAATGGAATATGATAGGCTGGTAAGAAAGTCCCTGCTATGCTGTGTTTTCTATTAATATGCTAAGATCACGGTCTTTATCTTAAGAACAATGGGAGGACATTATAGGGTTTTAAACAAAGATTGACATAGCCATTTTTCATTTTAGCAAGATTGTCTGGAGGCAATGTGAAGATTATTCTGGATTGGAAAATGAGAATAATGAATAAGGAAGACTATGGAACTATTTCTGTAATTCGAAGAAGCTACAATAGAACCTTGAAACAAGATGGTGGCAGTAAAGCTGAAGAAAATAAACAGAGATGAGAAATGGAGAGATATTTAAGAGGTAAAATGTATGAAATTTGATGATTAATAGAAAATGCAGGTGTGAGAGGATGGTTTCAAAACCTCCCATATTTGTGGGTTTTGAATTTTGGCACTGTGGTACCATTTATTGATAAATAGTGCAGATGGAACAATTTGGGAAGTAATCACTGATAAACTTGAGCAAGTTAATGATAGGTGAACATGTTATATTTTAACAAAGTGGATGGAGCACAATCACCCTGCTTTGATAGACCCAGGCACTGACCAACATGTTTCACATATTTCTCCTTTTATGGATAAAGTAACTGAGTACAGCATAGTCTATAAAGTAAAGATAGCTTTCTGTTTTATAAAGAAATATTTTCCTACTCTACTTCCTTCACCATTCACTCATTCATTTCTCGATAATTCATCACATACATATTGGACAACTTATGTGTTACTGATTTATCCTGGGTGCTTGAGATATGGGAATGATCAAGGCAGACTCAGACCTGGGCCATTTTGACCTTTCAAACTTTCTAATGTGAAGGTATTTAGAATGTACCAGGAAGAAAAATGACACAACCATTCTTTAGGCAATTTGATATGTCATGAGTTACTAAAAATGTTAATATTCTAAAACAATAATTTACTTTCTAAGAATACTTTTTTTAAATATCGGAGCTAAGTAAAAAATTCTCTATATTTATGAATGTTTTTCAGTGCACTTTATAACAGGAAAAAGGTCAGAAACTTCTTAATGACCAAAAATGGACATTATCACAACATATGATACATTCATACAATATTCTCCACTCATTAATATGGTATTATAGAAAAACATTTTCAGATATGGAAAAATGATTTTATTATATTGCTTACTACAAAAAATATGTACATATGATTCTCACTTTGTAAAAAAAGTAAAAGGTAAATATTGATACACGTGTGACTGAGCCTGGAAATACATACTTTGAAGTACTTTTGGGTGATATTTTGGTGATTCCTCTTTGTGCTCTTCTCTGCCCTCTGAATTTTCTACAATAATTATGTATTCCTTTGTAAACAATAGAAATATCCAATCAATATAAATATTACACATCAATTTTGTTGTCGTTCTTGAAAACCTTTTATAGTGCGTATAATTATTTCTGAGTTAAAACAAAAGTGTGTGTATGTGTGTGGGTTTAGAAAGGGTGGCTATAAAACCATCTTGATGATTTTGAGGCTTATTTCAATCAGGAGACAATAAAACTTTATTATCAGTGTTTATGCCTTTCCATTTCCTATGGAAATGGTCATTAGGTATATCCATGAAAGCCTTTCCATCCCAGATAACACTCAGGGGAATTAACTGAAGAAAAATGATTCTTTTCACAGTGATGTTATCATATGTAAGTTTGATAGTATGTTAGTCACAATTGTTGAATATTTCCAAAAAAGAGATGACAGATTTATTTCATGAAAGACCTATTATTAAATTCTTCCACCAGCATGTTTCATTAGACTATTTTGTTTGAAACTCTACAGTGTTGGTTGTAAATCCCTGAAGTTCTAGAAACCTTAGGCGGTCCCTTGCAAAACACTGTTCAGTATTCAAAACCATGGCAACCAGACAACTTAGTGTCAAAGAAGGAATACATAGTATATTGTGAAAAGAGCTGGATTTGAATGCTACCATTGACTTGCATAGAGATGGTGAGAAAATCTGTTTTCTTACTTATACATTAGAGATAATACT
This sequence comes from Homo sapiens, assembly GCF_000001405.40. NCBI lineage: Eukaryota > Metazoa > Chordata > Mammalia > Primates > Hominidae > Homo > Homo sapiens. The sequence continues at coordinate 79,213,913 of NC_000001.11, forward strand.
TTTTTCATGTAACACGTATTTATGGAGCAATTACTATATGTCAGGCATTAAGGAAGCTGGGGCGAAACAACAAATAAATTAGGAATGGTTGGCCAACATTCTCAGCAAAGGGAAGGGAACAATGTGTAAGGACCTGACATGGTGAATAGTAAGAGAAAGAGAGTGTGCAGGTCCAAAGAGTGAGGCAAATATGTCAAATCGCATCATAATCCAGATAGCATGATGCATATATTTTTATATTTATAAAAATATTTACATTTTTATTGTTACCTCTAATGTTTAACCATTGCAATGTATATTTTAAATTCATCAGTTTCCATCTCTTTCTATAAAAACAAATGTAAAAATTCAACAGAATATTGAGTCAATACAATTTAGAAATTGTATTGCTCTGCTCAGCTGGATGTTTTAAGTGTCTTTTTAATCCTGGATGATCTATAGATTATTTGTTTCCAAGAATACACAAAGGCAGTCTCTTCTGTGAAGTGTTCTCTTTTCTTTATGTAGAGAAGGGGCATCAGAGTTCCATCTGAAAGGGGGCTGCAAGACACTGCTTCTTAGGTATTAATTTAGAGGAAACAGAAAGGCCTCACTCTTCAGAAACAGCTCTCGGAATGGCAGGTTGTGTGACTGAGAATTAAGTTCAAAACTCCAAAATAATTTACCCAGGAAGACTAATGTAAAAATTTCCAGTAGCCAGGGGATGGTCCATAACTGTTGCTGAAATCGCCATACCTTCTGTCTTAGAGGGACATCAGACAGAAATAATAGCTGACACATAAAATGCTGGAAAATGGGACTGAGTCACAGTCAAGGGACACTTGGTTGGGACTGGGCCATGAGACAGGTATAGAGTGAAAGAATGACAATGGACACCTTTTGATAGTGTGAGAATCTTTGGGTAGCTAGAAAAAGAGAAGCTTGTAGTTAAGGCTGCAAAGGATCAGGCAATCTCTGGGAACTAACTCATTGTCCAGAAAAAAACAAGGAAGATACCTAAGTGGAACCAATGAGTTTAACCAAAAGGCATTATCTCAGAGAGAGGAGGGATGTCAGCATCACACACTAAGCAGTGCTACACTGTAGCGGCATGGTCTTTTACTTCATCTCATGTTAAAGGTACCTCATTCCTCAAGGAATATTAACAAGTGTTTATAGAGCAATGGGGACTGGGAAATAGGACTAAGGAATTTCTATGAAAGAAATAACATAAAAAGATTCCCTGGGAATAATAATACTCATATATTGCCTTCACATAGATTTGGAAAACTTATAAAGCCCTTTCACTTTTGTTATTCCTCCCCACTTCTGAGATTAGGCTATATATTACATATCTAGTATGTATATATGTCTATGCATTTGTATATATGTGTGTGTATCTGCTCCTGATCAATTGACATATTGTACTTGTACTGTGAACTTATTGAATAATAGCCTATGCAAACGTTAGTTTAATGCCTAACCTCTAGGAAAACTGAGGACATGGCTGTCTTTTCTTGCTGTATCTTCTGTCTTCCATAATTGAGAGGAGCCTGCCAAGTAAATACCATTAATACAGGAAATACTTTCTTTACTTTGTAGATGAGTAAGTTGAAACTCAGACAGGTACTGTGGTTTCTGTGTGGCCTCCCAGGGTGAAAATGGTATACTGCAGGCCTCTGAACTTAATTTCTTTTTCTTTTTCTTTTTTTCTTTTTGGAGCTGGAGTCTCACTCTGTTGCCCAGGCTGGACTGTAATGGCACGATCTCGGCTCACTGCATCCTCTGCCTCCTGGGCTCAACCGATTCTCCTGCCTCAGCCTCCTGAATAGCTGGGATTACAGGCGCCTGCCACCACATCTGCCTAATTTTTGTATTTTTAGTAGAGACAGGGTTTCACCATGTTGGCCAGACTAGTCTTGAACTCCTGACCTCAAGTGATACATTCACCTTGAACTCCCAAAGTGCTGGGATTACAGGCATGAGCCACCATACCGATACAGGTCTCTGCATTTCAAATCCCTTGCTGGTATACAAGGAAAGACAAAATCAACTGAAGTTTTTAAGAGAGGAGCCTGGGAAACCAGGGGATTCCTGAAAGTCAATGAAATTAAGTAGGTGGGAGAACCCCAAAAGGAAGGCAAAAAAGCACAGAGGATGGGCTGTGGCAAGTTCTTAAATCTCTTTTACCTTTCTCAATCTTGTCAAGAAAAGATGTTTATTCCTATAAATTCTAATTAACTGATTATACAGCTATTATAAATCTATCAAATTAAATGAAGTTAGAGGAAACTAACATTTATTGAGCACCTATTATGTGCTAGAAACTATTTTTTTGGGATTACACATATTGTTTCATTTACTCCTTACAACTATCCTGGGAGAAGTAACTACTATATTTCCATTTTAAAGTTGAAGAATCGGAAACTGATAGAACTTATTAAAGTTTCATAGCAAATGGCAGAGACACTCTTTATAATTCCATGTCTCTCCAACTGTAAGTCACAAAGGTATTGAATCAGCAAATAACTCTCAAGTGCTTACCATAAGAACTTACTGTTCAGTATGGAATATAGACCTGTAAGGAGGCAAGTACAATTAGTGAAATGTGGTAGGACACTTACAGATGCTAAGAAAACATTTGGAGAAGTAGCACATGATGCCATCATTAGGCTGTCAGAAAAATCTTTCTAGAGGAATTATCTTCAAATATGAGACCTAAAGAATACAGAAAGTCTTAAAGTCTTTTCACTGTATTTTCAAAATGAGGGAATGTGGATATCTTCAGTTCAAATTATCTAGATAATTGTCTTAATAGTCCACATTGCCTAACTCTCCACCTCATTGCCCACTCATGCAAGTGTGACTTCAGAAATGGAGTTGTTACAAGATGAATGATCTTACCAAATGGCAGAGAACTAAATGTGAATTGATTTTAAAATGATATAATTTACCAGCAAATTCTATCTAGCTCTATTGTGGAATCATCTACATGTGACTCTTTGATCAATAACTCTCATCGTTTCTTTATATAATACTTGTGGCCTTTTCTGTCTTCATTTCTAAAAGTACTGACATTTTTTATTTCACTTTTCTGTGTAACATGATTTCAGATTCTTTTGTCTTTATTATATCTCCAAATCACATTGACACAAAGTATATTAATTTGGCTCTGTGGTTTTAATTTTCCTTATTTGGTATCTGTGAATGTCGTTAATGTGCCATCTACATCTCTTCCACCCACATACTTATTTTGAAGACAATGTAATAAATGAGAAACAGAAATTCCACTGAGCACCAAACTATATTTTTGGCCTTGTTTTGTTCTCTTCAGCTAGCTTTTAATCTCCATGAATATTAAATGACTTTCAGATTTTAGAGTGAAATATTATGGTACATTGCCAGGTACACGACAGTTAAAACACCCACAGACTGTTGGCAGTGAATAAATCAGTGAATGTTCAGGTGAGTGAACAGTGTCTTAACAAGGGAACCGTATGTGTTCCAATGAAAAGTTTTATAAAAATGTGTTTGTAAAGATATTTGTTTTTTGCTATGTAAAGAAAAAAATTCAACAAAAACTATCAAAGCAACAGTGTTGCCCTTCATGTTGCTAGCAATTAGCCAAACTCCTTGAGGAGCTGTTTGTAACAGTTGTCTTTAGTTCAAGACTAATAAGTAACAGTCACGTTGTCAGAAAAAAATCCTCTGAAGTCCACTGTTTCAGGAAGTACTGTTTTGCTTTTTTTTTTTCCCCTTCAGAAATATTGACTTATATGTAAAGATGAGAACAATATGGGTTATAGTAACGATAAGTCAGAAAAGAGTATGGAAAAATCAAGAGTATTTCTGTTTGAAAGTTATTTTTCTCTGTATGTTGCATCAATCTATACACACACACACACACGCAAACACACACACACATATATATGACTAAAAGAGGAAAAATATATCAAGCAGCAATTAATGTTACCTGAAAGCTGGGGTTTTTAGAAGGTGAAAGCTACAGAGCTTGTTTGATAAGTAAAGGAGGGTTTTCCTTCATCTCTGATGCTTATGTTGGCCGAGGCTTTATGTCCACACAAAAACTTGTACATGAATAGCAGCTTTGTCAAAATTGCCAAAAGCTGAAAGTAACTAATATATTCTTCAATGACTGAATGTTTGTAACCACAAACAATCTGTGAATATCCATATAATAAAATATTATTTAGTGATATTAAAAAATAAGCTTTCAAGCCATGAAATGTATAAATGTATGTTGCTAAATGAAAGAAGCAGGCCTGAGAAGAATGCCTACTCTATGATTACTATTTTATAACTTTTTGGAAAAGTAAAACTGTACAGACAGTAAATACATCAGTGGTTTTCAGCAGTCTGAGGATAGAAGGGTTGAGTAGATAAAGGCACAGGGGATATTTTGGGATAGTGAAACTATTCATATGTCCATGATTATAATATACATGTTACTGTAAACATGGACGTAAGACACCATGCATTTGTTGAAACCCACAGTATTTTGACATAGAACAAATAACAAAATTTAATATATGCAAATTTAAAAAGTAACTTAGGAGGTCATGTTATGTGTGGATGGAATGTGGAACATAACAAAACAATCTAAGTACATTGCATATGTATGAAACTATCACACTGAAAATGTTGGAGAAATAGGTACTGACATAAATAACTCTAGAAATGTGTACTGTCTGTGAGACTGAAGGCTAACAGACAAACAAACAAAAATATAAATAATTGGCCAGGCATGGTGGCTCATGCCTGTAATACCAGCACTTTGGGAGGCCAAAGCCAGCAGATTACTTGAGGCTGGGAGTTCAAGACCAGCCTGGTCAACATGAGGAAACCCTGCCTCTACTTAAAATACAAAAATTAGAGCCGGGCATGGTGGCTCACGCCTGTAACCCCAGCACTTTGGGAGGCTAAAGCAAATGGATCATAAGGTCAGGAGTTAGAGACCAGCCTGACCAACATGGTGAAACTCCATCTCTACTAAAAATACAAAAATTAGCTGGGCGTGGTGGTGCGCACCAGTAACCCAGCTACTCAAGTGGCTGAGTCAGGAGAATCGCTTGAATCCAGGAGGCGGAGGTTGCAGTGAGCCGAGATCATGCCACTGCACTCCAGCCTGGGCAATAGAGCGAGACTCCATCTCAAAAAAAAAAAAAAATTAGCAGGGTAAGGTGGCATGCACCTGTAATCCCACCTACTCAGGAGGCTGAGGCATGAGAATCACTTGAACTTGGGAGGCAGAAGTGAGCCAAGATCGCACCACTGCACTCCAGCCTGGGTGACAGAGCAAGACTCTCTCTCAAAAAATAAAAAAATGTAAATAAGCACTATACTCTAGTTAATAAAATCATTTATCATAAAGTTTACAATATGAGAATTCTTATTTCATTCTACATACATACTAAATTAAACAGTTTACTAAATTTACAGCAGATATTAGGATATCACATATCAGTAAGGGAAGAAGACTAGAATGATTTATATGGTAATGGAATAGAATTGGAGACATCAGAATGAACTTACAGATAATAAAGATACATTGTTATATATAGAAATATTTACAGATATGTATATATGCATTTTGTGTGTATGTGTGTGTACAGAATTCCTTGTTCTGTCAGCTCAGAGGGCCTAGAAGGAACATTTTAGTGTTACAGACATGTATATATGCATTTTGTGTGTGTGTGTGCATGTGTATGTGTACAGAATTCCTTGTTCTGTCAGCTGAGAGGGCCTAGAAGCAATATTTTAGTGGCAATGTACACAGGTCTTGGTTTTTGATACCACTTGGTATGGTATGGCTGTGTCCCCCCTACCAAATCTCATCTTAAATTATAGCTCCTATAATTCTCACGTGTTGTGTGAGGGACCTGGTGAGAGATCACTGAATCATGGGATCAGTTTCCCCCATACAGTTCTTGGGGTAGTAAATAATTTTCATAAGATTTGATAGTTCTTCAAGGGAAACCCCTTTCACTTGCCTTTCATTCTCTCTTGTCTACCACCATGTAAGACATGCCTTTTGCCTTCCACCATGATTGTGAGGCTTCCCCAGCCACATGGAACTGTAAGTTCATTAAATCTCTTTTTCTTTATCAATTGCCTGATCTTGGGTGTGTCTTTATCAGCAGTGTGAAAACAGACTAATACAATTGGTACTGGTAGGGTGGGGTGCTTCTCTGAAGATACCTGATGTGGAAGCAACTTTGGAACACAGTAACAGGCAGAAGTTGGAACAGTTTAGAGGGCTCCGAAGAAGACAGGAAAATGTGGTAAAGTTTGGAACTTCCTAGAGAATTGCTGAATGGCTTTGACTAAAATGCTGATAATGATATGGACAATGAAATCCAGGCGGAGCTGGTCTCAGATGGAGATGAGGAACTTGTTGGGAACTGGAGTAACGGTGACTCTTGCTATGTTTTAGCAAAGAGAGTGGGGGCATATTTCCCCTGCCCTAGAGATCTGTGGAACTTTCAACTTGAGAGAGATGATTTAGGGTAACTGGTAGAAGAAATTTCTAAGCAGCAAAGCATTCAAGAGGTGAGTTGGGTGCTGTTAAAAGCATTCAGTTTTAAAAAGGAAACAGCAAAAATGTTCAGAAAATTTGCAGACTTATGATGTGATAGGAAAGAAAAACTCATTTGCTGAGGAGAAATTCAAGCCAGTTGCAAAAATGTGCATAAGTAATGAGAAGGTAAATGTTAACTGCCAAGAAAATGAGGAAAATGTATCCAGGGCATGTCAGAGCCCCTCCCATCACAGGCCTAGAGGCCTAGGAGGGAAAAACGGTGTCATGGATCAGGCCCAGGACCCCGCTGCTGTGTGCAGCCTAGGGACTTGGTGCCCTGTATCCCACCTGCTTTTGCCATGGCTAAAAGGGGCCAAGGTACAGCACAGGCTGCAGCTTCAAAGGGTGCAAGCCCCAAGCCTTGGCAGCTTCCAAATTGTGTTGAGCCTGCAGCTACACAGAAGTCAGGAACTGAGGTTTGGGAACCTCTGCCTAGATTTCAGAAGATGTATGGAAATGTCCAGTCAGAAGTTTGCTGCAGGGGTGGAGCCCTCATGGAGAACCTCTGCTAGGGCAATGTGGAAGGAAAATGTGGTGTCGAAGCCCCCACACAGAGTCCCCACTTGGGCACTGCCTAGTAGAGTTGTGAGAAGGTGGCCACCATCCTCCAGACTCTAGAATAGTCGATCCATTGACAGCTTGCAGCATGCACCTGGAAAAGCCACAGACACTCAACACCAGCCCTTGAAAGCAGCTGAGAGGGAGGCTATACCCTGCAAAGCTACGGAGTGGAGCTTCCCATGACCATGGGAACCCACCTCTTGCATCAGTGTGACCTGAATGTGAGACTTGGAGTCAAAGGAGATTATTTCAGAGCTTTAAGACTTGGCTGCTCCACTAGATTTTAAACTTGCATGGAGCCTGTAGCTCCTTTGTTTTGTCCAATTTCTCCCATTTTGGATGGCTGTATTTACCCTTTGCCTGTGCCCGCATTGCATCTAGGAAGTAACTAACTTGCTTTTGATTTTACAGACTAATAGGCAGTAGGGGCATGCCTTGTCTCAGATAAGACTTTGGACTGTGGACTTTTGAGTCAATGCTGATATTAGTTAAGACTTTGGAGACTGTTGGCAAGGCATAACTGGTTTTGAAATGTGAGGACATGAGATTTGGGAGGGGGCAGGGGTGGAATGGTATGGTTGGCTGTGTTCCCACCCAAATCTCATCTTGAATTGTAGCTCCCATAATTCCCACAGGTAGGGACCTGTTGAGCGATAATTGAATCATGGGGGTGGTTTCCTTCACACAGTTCTCGTGGTAGAGAATACCTCTCATGAGATCTGATGGTTTTATAAGGGAAAACCCTTTTACTTAGCCCTCATTCTCTCCTGTCTGCCACCATGCAAGATGTGCCTTTGCTCCTCCTTTGCCTTCTGCAATGATTGTGAGGCCTCCTCAGCCATGTGGAACTGTGAGTCCATTATATCTCTTTTTCTTTATAATTACCTAGTCTCAGGTATGTCTTTATCCGCAGTGTAAAAACGGACTAATATATCACTGTCCCAAAAAAGAAACTGGGGTTTTGGAGAAATGGCTAATTCTAGGAAGGAGATAGAGAATATACAATTTAAGCCTGGAGCATCTTGTGCATGTATAATATGGAAATAATTCTTACTCCTTGACAGATCTCTCTCCCATGAGAGACCTCAAAAGTGGAAAAATCTTCCTTTGTTTCTCAATCTTTGTAGTTTGGACAGAAAGCAAGGAAGTAATAAAAGAAAACCTTTAATGATGAGAATACATCAAAGGGACACAGCAGGCAACTAAAGAGTTCCAGATAGCCAAAGATGAAATAATTTGAGCAAAAATATATAAATAAAATAGTCCAGGCACTGTGGCTCATGCCTGTAATCCCAGCACTTTGGGAGGCCAAGGCTCGTGGATTATCTGAGGTCAGGAGTTCAAGACCAGCCTGGCCAACATAGTGAAACCCCCTCTCTACTAAAAATACAGAAATTTGTCAGGCATTGTGATGCACACCTGTAATGCTAGCTACTTGGGAGGCTGAGCCAGAACTGCTTGAACCTGAGAGGAACAGGTTGCAGTGAGCCAAGATCATGCCATTGCACACTCCAGCCTGAGGGACAGGTGACAAAGTAAGGTTGCGTCTCAAAAAAAAAAAAATATATATATATATATATGTGTGTGTGTGTGTGTGTGTGTGTGTGTGTGTGTGTATGTATGTGTGTGGTAATATAATATAATATATATAACTACTCAAAGTATAAAATAATTATATATTAGTCAATACTGACATTACTGTAAGATTGAATGAATAAATAAATGAGAGATAAGAGGTGAAACTCTCAATGCAGGTATATTTCAAATAATTTATGTAGATAGTTTGCCTTCAAGAACATGGAGTAAGATTCTTCACTCCTAGGTATGGGCTGTGCATAGTGAATTCATTCTAGAACATACAGTATGTAGGCCACACACGGTGGATCACGCCTGTAATCCTAGCACTTTGGGAGGCCAAGGCAGGTGGATCACCTGACGCCAGGAGTTTGAGACCAGCCTGGAACACATGGGGAAACCCTGTCTCTACTAAAAATACAAAAATTAGCTGAGGATAGTGATGCATGCCTGTAATCTCAGCTACTCAGGAGGCTGAGGCAGGAGAATCGTTTGAACTCCAGAGGTGGAGGTTGCAGTGAGTCGAGATTGTGCCACTGCACTACAGCCTGGGAGAAAGAGCGAGACTCTGTCTCAAAAAAAAAAATAAATAAATAAATAAAAAATACAGTATGTAAAAAAGGAAAAGAGAATAACTTCATGCAGAAAACTGACAAATGCTACTTCAGTCAGGTAATCAAGGTCATTATCAAAAGTGAAAAGTTGTGTTGATTTTGTTGATACTATATAACTTTGATATAATATGATGAAATGGTGGTACTCTTTCTCTGTAGTTTTCATCTTGAAACATATTACCCAAATCTGATCATGAGAAAAACATTAGATAAATCCTAGTTGAGTGACATTCTGCAGAACACCTGAGCAGCACTCCTTAAAATTCCCCAGGTCATCACAATCAAGGAAAGCCTGAGAAAGTGTTGCAGATAAGAGGAGCCTAAAGAGTGATGACTACTAATGTAATGTGGTAACCTGGATAAAATTTTGGAACAGAAAAAAAATTAGGTAAAAACTGAGGAAATCTGAAAAATATGGATATAAGTGAATGAATAATTTAATGTTGGTTCGTTAATTATAACAAATGTACCTTTCTAATGTAGGATGTTAATAGGAAAAACTGGGTGTAAGGTATATGAGAACTCACTGTAGTAGCTTTGCAGCTTTTCTTTAAGTCTAAAACTTTTCTACAATAGAAAGTTTATTTTAAACATAATTAGAAAATTTTGTCAAAATTTATTAAAAATGGAGTTAAATATTAAAAATAATTAGCGAATTTTGGACTTAGATGAAAGTTACAGAGATTGAGAAGTAAAGGAAGATTTTTTCACTCTTGAGGTATATCTTGGGAGAGAGATCCAAAAAGGACTAAAGATTATTTGTATATTATAGACACACAAAATGCACACACGTGTGCATGTATGTATGCAAAGAAAATATAAACAATATTCATATGATACACAAAAATCTTCATAGCACCAGTCCTTAATTCCCTAACACAACCCCAATTCATTCAGTCTTCATTCATTTTTTTTTCACTCAGTGAACATTTATTCATTGCTAACTACATGCTTTGCATTATTCTAAAATCTGTAAAGAAGAAGACAGACAAGATCCCGGCCCTTCTGGAACTTAAATTATGATGAAGAAGAACGGACAATTAACAAATAAATACTACCTTAGGTTTTATATATGCAATGAGGAAATATATAGGATGAGAGGTTATTCTGCTAGTCAAGGAAAAAATGAACTGTTCAAAAATCTACAAATCTACATAGAAATGAATATCCTACTCTTGAAACTGATAAATCTGATGACTTGCCATTGAAAACTCTGCCAATGGTTGTCCAGAAAAAACAAATTCGCTGAATACCATGCCTGCCTGGCAAAAGCAGCAAAAGCAGTTGGGATTCTGCCCTTACCTTGGTTTTGCCTCCCAGTTCACGTGAGAGGACACTGATTGGTTAAACCTAAATCCCATTTTTAATTCCAGCTTCCAGGAAATCTGGAGACATAATTTTTAGCTTTACATTCTCCTCATTATAGAAAATACATTAGATGTAGGAAGGACTGGTGGTTTCAAGACTGGAAAGTATTTATATCAAATATTGCTGAGTATTCAGAAAAATAATAAGGTTGGAGATATGCTAATTTGATTTGAAACTGTATAAACCATTAGTGCCCTTGATAAATGGAGTTTTGTTATCAGAATTATGGGGCGATATAAATCCTATGCACCTGGTAAGTCTTGCAAAGGAATGTACGTGAATTAAATTCTAAGCTCAAAGCATTATGAGAGTTAAATCAATTATTAGGTCTTGACATGAAACTCGTTGCTTCCTAGCAGACATTTAATGTAAGCTCTATAGCAAGAGAAGTTCAAAGATCATGAAGTCAAACTGATGGGTTAGAAGTGGCTTGTCCTCAAAGTATGGATATCATTGTTTTATTAAGCTAAACAAATCCAGAGGTATAGTCAGAAGAGAACATGTTTTTATTTCCACAGTTGAGCAGATGGAAGTGAAAATGTGGCCAACCCTCAAGCTGAACTATAAAGATGAGGTCCAAAGGTGATACACAGGTAGTTATGTAGAATTTTTAGAACCAAATGCAATTTGTTTCCAGCAGAGACCTGGAAAATTTCTGTAAGCAAGGCTATCAGTTGACGGTTTGTGTATCAAGGATTTCTCCCTCACCATGTGAATGGTGTGTGATGCACAAGTAAGCAAGATGGTGGCAAAAGGATTTTCAGTGTCAGAAAGGAAAATATTAGATGATTAGCTGTAAGATTTAGTAAAATATTATTCTCCAGCTGTATTCCCTTTCGAGGGTAGGCTAAATGGATCAACAAAGGACCTTAGTTTAACTTTGATATAATAAAGCATGTAATTCATAGGACTCTACTTCCAAGAATTCTTATTTTGCCTAATTGTAAAAGAGTATTCCAAGATGCAACCTATCATTCTCTCTTCCTGGCCCCAAAGTAAATACAAACATGCATATGTTCTGTGAACACAATGTTAAAATGGAGTCTTTCCTTTCGCTACATATCACAAACTTTCTAGTACATCCTTATTTATATTCCTCAACATACGATTTGTCAAAAACCATCAACATTTTAATCATGGAGGCTATGTTAGGGAGATAGCTGAAGGGAACCTTTATGTACAAACTTTGATTCCTAAACTCTTTGTTAGAAATTACAATTGGTAAAAATGGCATCATACTTTCTACTTACTAGACAACACAAATTTTTCTTTTAATTATTTTTTCTTTTGAATTTCTTTTAATTTGTTTTTTCTTTTAATTTCTTTTTCCCTGTTCCCTTTTTCCTTTACTTTTTTAATTCATTTTTGCCTTCATTTGGCTGTGTAATTCTTTTAACTCCTAGGTTTGTGTTCCTCTGTGAATTCCCTCCTTCCTTCTTTAAGTGCAGCCTCTATTAGAACACTTTACTTCTTTTTCTTTCTCGTAGTCTCCAAACAGGTTCTCTTTCTTCCATCTTACCCCACTACACTCTAATGTCATACTCTTCTTTATTTCTCTGCTCAGAGGGACTTTTCCCAGAGGAAACTGTTCAAGGATCAATTTTCATTTGGGGTCAAATTTTATAACTCTCTCCCCTAAAATACTTTTATGTGATTTACTAATGATGAAGAGATAATTAATATATATCTGCATAACCAATTTTATTCTTTTGATTTTTATTCTTTTCTAAGTTACATTTTATTTCTCAAACCAAGCTTCGAGCATCTAAGTTATAATAAATGATTTAATGAGTGTTTGTTTATCCCTTTAAAATACTAGCATAAGATGCTACCAACCACTCAATAACTGATTTTGCAGGAAGAGTAAAATAGAGATTTCAAGAATTAGCCAGTAAATAAGACAAATAACTTGAAGAATCTTGATGTTTTTCTTATAAGCATTCGAAAACCTCTTTTCCATAAGTGGTTGAAATATTTTTCCTAGTTGAGATATTTTCCTGGTAATTATGAGAATGGTTTTTCTATTTATTGTACTGTGTTTACATATAGATAGGCAATCTTTAGAGTATTTTTTTGTGTAGTTTCCATTATACTGTGAATGCTTATGGGAGAATAATTGTCAAAAGTAAACATGAGTAAAACATCTTATTTTCTCTGGGAACCATAATCTGCAATAGATTCCATGGTATGATATTAATGTACTTCATCATAAAAATATTTTAATGTAAAATAAGTTTTCTTTCAACATAAGAATTCAGATAAAATTATAAATATAAATTCCTAAGTAGCTGTGGTCTTTAACCCTCAAAAGTACATGAGACTGTAACACCTCGTAACACAGATACTCATTGAAAACTCTCATTAGCATTTTTTCAACTTATTTCAATAGAAGAATATAAGTAAAATGTTACAGTTAACACATCCAGAACTAAACATTTGGATATCATTCTGTAGCTGGTTTATGAAAGGTTTAGTTACATTGTCAAGGTCACTTAAGCAAGCAGTGACAGATCAATTGTTCCTAGCAATATTCACTTTTCTTCCATTTTCCTACTCTTTCTTGATTCAGGTTTGAGGACTGACAGGTATATTATTGTCAAGAGCTAGCAAACTAACATAATGAAATGATTTACGTTTTGAGTGAAGAAACTATTATGAATCCTGGTGGAAAATTTGTGCGGAACAGCAGTCTATTCTGCTCTTCTCTCTTAGCTTTCCCACTATCCCTCATTTTTTTTTATGACCTATAACCAATATCCACTGTCAGTAATTTCACTACAGACCTTGAGAAGAACAAAGCTGTCCCCACACTCCCCCACATACCCCTCACCTTTCCACCTCCTCTCCATCACCGCTACCCCCTGCCCCCTCTCCAACCCAGGTCCTTTCCTTTTCTCTCTCTTATCAAGATTGGAGCTCCAGATAAGACAATTTAAACTTCCATCCTCAGCGATGGCCTGTGATCCTCTCCTCCCAACTCCCATCAAGCCAAATCTTTGGGAGGCTTGTTATTCAACCTTTCACCAGACAGAGTGAACATGGAAACAAAACAATAACTGATTTCCTACATCAAAAAGCTTACATGAGTCCATTAAAAAAGAGAAAAGAGATGGCAGACTAACTTCTAAAGCCCACCAAGCCTATGAAAACCCCCTGCTTCTCACTCCTCGAATGTCACAAATTCTATTGATCATTGCTGATAGTATGATAGATTATTTTATTTTTTATTAGTTCCTGTTACAATTCTGAATTTTCAATTTGGCTGCTGGTTTATTTTAGACATCCCTCTAAAAGGTAAATTATGGAATGTGGGTTTTTTTGTGTTTCTGTGTCTTTGAATTTAGGATAAAAACTGTAAAGTGGATAAAGCCTCAAGTAGGCTAATTGCCATCATTTACAAACATGCACATATAACTGGTAAATAGAAAATAGCCAATAATTACGTGGGAAATAAGCATGTGATAATTTGCAGAATTTTATATGTCAACCAAAAAAAATGTGTAAAGCATAACAAAAACCCAAAACCCTAGAGAACTCATTCCTGTTTTCATAAGAACTGCCTCTCACTTCTGATTGGTGAGCCTGGGCCAAAAATAACGGAGGTCTGGTGCTAAGCAGAATAGTGTTGTGCAAAGAGCTCTGGGGTAGGTATCAAATATTCTGGGTTTGGTGACATCTCTACCACAACCTATTTTTCAGTAACTTGGGCAAGACACTTGAGTCTCTCCAACCTTGATTTTTCTCAACCATAAGAAATGTGGCTGTATTATATGCTCAGCCAACTCCCTAATTTGTTACGAAGTTTAAATTAAACAATGTAAGTGAAATCGTTTTGTAAAATGTAAGTATATCTAATGTAACGTTTCTCTTGTTTTCAATAAAAGACCTATCATGGATTAATGATTAATGAGTCTGACTCCTCACAACCTCTACACATCCTTTCCTCACATCTGAGAGGGGAAAACAAATGAACTCAATCCTCAGGAAATTTTTTCTGAGTGGCATATTTTTCTCAGTTGGTTTTTACTGTACAGAAGTAGGCTGACTGGTGTTTTATTCAAGGGACATGCCTGGTAGGCATAGGGCTTAACTTGACCACTGGAAGTGCTTTATCTTGCCTTCATTAAGACCATACAGCATTTCGGAGGCAATGTGAGCAGGCAGACTTATGCTTGCTCATAGTACAAGTGGCTTTCACCTATATGCTTGTATCAGATTAGTGGCACCCAGTCATGTTGACCGCCACCTCCTGCAGGCAGTTGAGCTTGTTTGTGATCCTTTTCTTTGTCAAATATTTATTATCTTTGTGAAAAGCCCCAGATACTCTGAGATACTCAAAGAACGAAAGCACAAGATAGCATGTGTCTCCTTGGATCTGATTAATGCTCTGATAGTGGAGTGAAATTAAGTAGACAACAAATTGCAATATACAGCAGCATTTGACAAATTCTGTATGTGTTGTTAAGAGAATAAGGATTGCGGAAGCAATCATATCTAGCTGAGGTGATGTGAAATGACTAGGTGGAGCAGAAAATATCTTCCGTTGAAGAGTGGGAGAAATTTTAGAGGACGGAGAAAGAAGGTTTGGTACCAAGGAAGTGCACTGTAGACAGAATGCCAAAGACTTTGGAGATGCTTAGGAACAAAGCTACTTTTTAAATGCCTGGATCCATTGTCATATCATCAGATAGCCTTTCTAATTTTGCATTGCAAATCACAAATAAAATGCCCTCAGGGTTTTATCAGTTGACTCTCAAGAATCAATTGGTATTAAATATAATTCCTGTAAATATAATACATACTGAAATATTAGGTCCTATTATTATTATTATGCATATTAGTGAATATATCTTTAAAATTATTGTTTTAATTAGATTAGACTAACTAGAATGGCAACTGTCACTTATGTTACTATCCATGGTATTATGTTAAGAGTTCTAGTACACTAGCTAGTTAATGATCATAACTGGTCTGTTAAAAAGCCTTCAATTAAAATTTAGTCCTTTTGCAACATAAAAGGCCTGGAAGTCTAAACTCAGATCATACCTGAACTGAGAATAACTTCTAGTTTAGTTAAGACTGCCAGTGAAGAGTAGTAAAAACAGTTCTGGACAAGAAAATAGAAGACCTATTACAGTAGGCCATTCTTGCATTGCTATCCATAAATACCTGACACTGGATAATTTATAATGAAAACAGGTTTAGTAGACTCATGGTGCTACAGGCTACACAAACAGGATGTCAGCATCTGCTTGGCCTCTGGAGAGGCCTCAGGAAGCTTTCACTCATGGTGGAAGGTGACACAGAACCAGACGTCTCACATGGCAGAGGGGGAGCAAAAAAGAATGGACGAGAGTGCTACACACTTTTAAAAACCAGATCTTGTGAAAACTCACTCATTATCTTGAGGACAGCACCAAGCCATGAAGGATCTGCCCCCATGAACCAAGCACCTCCACCTGGCTCCACCTCCAGGGTTGGGGATTATAATTCAACATAAGATTTGGCAGGGATGTATATTCAAACCATATCAACTCTGTTTTGTTCTCAACTCTGCCCTTATCTAACTGGGCACTTTTGATTTATAATTTCTTGAGAACAATCTTGAATTTTCAGGGATTAAGTGAATGGATTATTAACATAAGCCTTGAAGTGTTGCAGGAAGTCAGGGACCTGGAACGGAGAGACTGGCTGGAGCCAAGGCAGAAGAACATAAATTGTGAAGATTTCATGGACATTTATCAGTTCCCAAAATTAATACTTTTATAATTTCTTACGCCTGTCTTTATTGCAATCTCTGAACATAAATTGTGAAGATTTCATGGACATTTATCACTTCCCTAATAATACTCTTATAATTTCTTATGCCTGTCTTTACTTTAATCTCTTAATCCTGTTATCTTCGTAAGCTGAGATTGTGTGTCACCTCAGGACCACTATTGTACAAATTGATTGTAGAAAGCGTGTTTGAACAATATGAAATCTGATTGTAAAACGTGTGTTTGAACAATATGAAATCAGTGCACCCTGAAAAAGAACAGAATAACAGCAATTTTCAGGGAACAAGAGAAGATAACCATAAGGTCTGACTGCTTGCAGGGTCAGGCAGAATACAGCCATATTTTTCTTCTTGCAGGGAGCCTATAAAAGGACGTGTGAGTAGGAGAAATATCGCTGAATTCTTTTCCCAGCAAGGAATATTAATAATTGATACCCTGGGGAAGGAATGCATTCCCAGGGAGAGGTCTATAGACGGCCACTCTGGGAGTGTCTGTCTTATGCAGTTGACATAAGGATTGAAATATGCCCTGGTCTCCTGCAGTACCCTCAGGCTTGCTAGGATAGGGAAATTCCAGCCTGGTAAATTCTAGTCAGACCGGTTCTCTGCTCTTGAACCCTGTTTCCTGTAAAGATGTTTATCAAGACAATGAGTGCACACTGGGACATAGACCCTCATCAGTAATTCTAATTTTGCCTTCACCTTGTGATCTTTATTGCTCTTTGAAGCATGTGATCCTTGTGACCTACTCCCTGTTCATACACCCTCTCCCATTTTAAAATCCCTAATAAAAACTTGCTGGTTTAGCAGCTCGGGGTCGCCATCACAATCCTACCAATATGTGATGACACCCCCAGAGGCCCAGCTGTAAAATTTCTCTCTTTGTACTCTTTCTCTTTATTTCTCAGACCGGCCGACACTTAGGGAAAATAGAAAGAACCTATGTTGAAATATTGGAGGCTGGTTCCCCTGGTATTGAAGTGCTGTTGAAAGAAGGGCAGATTTGGGAATGGAACCAGAAATGTCTGAAAAATTTGGGACCATCCCTAAACCTGGAATTTACCCACTTACCAATGTCTACATTGTTTACACTAAAATTCCTTTGTTCTCCAAAGACACAAAGTTGAACATTAGATTTGTTTACTGAACATGTTAATCTGTCCTAAGGTGAAAGGAATATAATAGAAAAAGCATAAAGTACCGAGGGAAGAACCATGAATGTGTTGCAATCACTGGAACAGATATCCCTAATTCCCTGGGGCTGAAGTTAAAAGTGCTTTGAGGAATTGGAGAAAACTTCTAGGGATCCATCTATATGACAGCTGTTTGAAGCAGTGTGTCACATGCATGAGCATGGCCCCCTCCTCTCTGTATGAGAGGTACAACTTTGCCACACCACAGCCACATTCACAAGGAAGAGTTATGCTGCTTCATGAAACTTAAATGATGGTATATGGCAGCCAGGCATCCTAATTACAAATGGTAAAGTAGGTTCCAGCTAGTTTAAGCAGAAAAGGTTTTACAAAGGCATAGTGGATAGTTTTATGAAACATCAGGGAAGGCCAGAGAACCAGATTTGGTTTTTAATGTCAGTAAAAAAAAAATGCCCAACCACACCATGGGACTCTTCTAATGGAAACAGCTGTGAAGTTGATACCCACACTTAGGAACCTTGGACTTGTCTGGACGCCAATATCCCATGCTGTCCAAAAAATCCGATTTCCCTTTGACCAGCTGCCACCTTATGCAGGTGCATGTGATTGGAAGAAACTGATCACAGGCCTGCAGCCTAGCTGGAAGGGAGTCAATAGGGTGTTGTTTTTAGCTTTCCAGCCTACATTGTAAAGAAAAGAAAACTAGAAAGATGTTGAAACGTATGCTAAGTAAGCCAAATTTCAGGATCCTGTTATCTTCGTAAGCTGAGAATATACATCACCTCAGGACCACTATTGTACAAATTGATTGTAGAACATGTGTAATGTCAAATAATAACAATAATAATGGCAATCATCATCTTTCATATAGCACTTATTGTATACAAGTTCCTGCTTTCAGCCTTTTAGCTGTTTTAATTTACTTAATCCTTAAAAATATGGTATAAGTACAGTACTCATTTGCATTTTATAAAAAATGAGGCACAAGAGGCTTAGTTAGTTGCCCCAGATCATGTACCTGTTCAATGGCAGAAGCAGGCAATGGGTCTTGGCAATCCATCTCCAGAGGCCATGACCTGCACTGCTAGCCCATGCCTCCTTTCATGCACAGAGGGAGGGGACTCTGACAACTAGGGAGGAAGCAGGAGTTACAAAAGCTCTCTGGTAATCAAAATCAGTTAACCCAACTTTACTTGCTTTGGAAAAAAAAAAAAAAAAGCTCTGAACTAGAATTTGGCCCAAACTGGAATTCAACCATAGAATACAGAGCAAACCTACCAAGTAAAGGAATTTTTTTTCTTCTAGGACACAATGAAGGTTGTGCAGCTTGACTGTGCTGTGCTGTGCAGGTTGGCAAGAAGCAGTCTTGTTATTTCTATTTCTCCCAGCCCAGTCTTTTTGCTTTACTGACATAAGAAAACTTGACTGCTGGCATAGCAGAGTAATGTTTCTAGGAAAGGTCAGGGGATATTGTGTTCTGCCTCTTGACATCATCAAGGCAATCTCTGGCCTGACTGTAATTACAGATCTTTATCAATGGCCAAGAGAAGAGAAGGTAGGAATGCAGTTTGAGTTTCAAATCCCAGGGTGCTCATGTAACATAAAAAATTGAGAAAAATAATCTCTGACTTGTAAACTGAGAAAATTTGAAATGGAAATCATTGAGATAAAACAAATATTGACTCTCAGTCTAACGGTTTATAACTACATTTTAAAAATGCATCAGCTGGATTTGCTAGGACAGCAATAGCTGCCTTTTCCTATTTGATGTTTTTATTGTCTGATTTTGATGTGAAATTTTTGTCCTTTGATGTCTGGATTGTGAGAACACATATGCCTGTTAATTACTTTATTTAGAAATACTATTGTTCAGATGTTAGCATGGTTCATGCTTGGACGTCCTAGGGACAATAAGGCTCTCTAGGGGGTACTTGGTCTGATGAAAATGTTGTTCCTGAATGATCATTTCTTCCTTGCATAAGTGTGCTAATAAATACCACTAATGAACATATTAAATATGGTTCTTCCTCCATTATGTACTAGGTCACCCCTAAACATATCACAGATTCATTTTACTTACAAAATGGAGCCATTTATAATATTTCCTCTTTAGAGTACTTTACTACTTTAGAGATTTTCTGTTGAAAAACTATTTATTACTTTTCCCCCATGTGGAATGATTAAAAATATTAGAAAGATGTAAATCTGAATATCATCAGAAAGAAGAGAAAAAAGTGAAAAAATAGCATAGAAAAAGATATAAACATTTTGGTAAGGTCACTAATAAAATTTGTTTTCTATTCAGTAGGTAAAGAGAAGAGCTTTAAATACTGTATCCATGTAACATTCTTATAATGTACAGTTCTTTGCCTTCAGTAAATACATTTGAGCCAAGTCAAATCGTGTTCCAAGGGAGTATAATTTAAGAACAACTTTGTTAGGAAACCCATCAAGATAGTGTAGTTACACAGATGTTTTCCTGGTGGTAGAATAGCTGCATTCTAAAACATTGAAGGAGGAAGGATTGCCTTACATTCAGCAAATACATAAGAACATTCAATAGGCAGCTTGGTTGTTCTAAAGGTAGACATTCCTGTTGCCCCTATGCATTCTTGTTTACTATAGTCCTTTTATTCTATAAGCAGATGACATCAACATATGTGCACCAACTTTTAAAAAGCTATAGCAGGCTTTCTGAGTCATATTTCTATGACCTGTATTCTATTATATCATGTGGCATCAATACAAACATAACTGATAGTAATGGAGCTGCTTTGGTGAAATCTTTTGGCTAATTTTATGTTTTCTGATGCAAAGTAGAACATTATCTCTTCCTGTTTAAGCTCTATATCTCACAATTAAATAAGAGTTTACAAAGATTTCTATAATCTCTCACTTATTTTTACCCATATAGATTTTAAACATAACCTTAAAGAAACCTTGAGACTTTTGGAAGATATGTCATTAGGATAATTTTAAGTCACATAGCAAATCAGAAGAGTGAAATGTAAGAAGACATGAGAAATACCTTTTCTGTTTTAATAAGTAAGCATCTAGAAAGACTGCATGTTCCTGATTAGAAAGTAAGACTATTTTGCAAGCAAGGGAAATATAAAAAGACAGGAGAAAGAGTTCCTTGGAGTGTTTCATCATTTACCAGACAGTCCTTTGAATGGTAACCAATAAAAGCAGGCTATCACTATTAGCACCATTCATTACATCGCTAGAACATATTGATTACTTGGTTTTCAAGAAAATTACATAATAAATTCAGACTTGATTCACCATTTCCTTTTTCTATATTTGTTCTGATTTGCTGTTGAATCCATTTTTTATACATTTAACTCTGACTGTTTTCTCTATAGAGGAATGTGTGTTTCACATAATGAGCAGGATCGAATTTGCGTTCAGATTATTAATGGATTGGTAACAACTGTCACTGTGCCATTCTTCTCTCAACAGCTGTTTATATTTTATTTAAAATCTGTAAAAACATTTTCATGTAGTACCTTGATCTGTATAATAATTTCCTTTTGTTCCAAGCTGTTGAAGGTGTCTTTGAACCCACTAGAAACTATTCATCTATTCCTTCAAGACAGGTTCACTTTCATCATAAAAAATGAACATCATGAAAAATGAACTCTGAAATCAAAGTAAGAAAACAAAGGTGAGTGAACTCTACAAGGCAATAGAATAAAAGTCGAGGCAGCTGCTGAAAATGATCAGTCACTATTGTTCTAACTCACTCTTGATTTGTACCACGAAGCAGTCTTGGTGCACTACACCAAATCTTTTCCTGTTACCTTTTGTGTTCACTCACTGCTTACAGCCTTTCTAAAAATTCAGCTCACTGTTTGTCACAGTCAGGAACAAGTCTGTTAAGCTCCCCTAGTTGATAAGTAGGCGTTGTTACTTATGGATATCCTGTTGTGCTTGCCTCCTGTAGTCTTGAATTTTCTTATTGTTCAAGCCAAAATGATCTCAGAACAGCATTCTTTGTAAAATACAATGTCTACTTAAAAATTTGTCAATGTGCTTCTAAAAATAACTTGGATATGAGTACAAATGACTGTCCTCTCCACATGCTTCGTAGTGATTAAAGTAAAACCAGAAAAAAAAAAATCTTCCAAATGGAAAAAGGAGGCAGAGCACATCCTACAAATTGCTATATAACCCACAAAATGCCATGAAAAGAGCTTCCTTTGTGAAGCAAAGGATGAATAAAAGCATGTGAGTCCAAAATATGCAAGTAGAGAAAAAAATAAAGAGACAAAAGCTTTTACTGCTTTGTCAATACAGGATATGAATAAGTTGAACTGGGTGAGCTGGGGGTAGGGTGTAAGGAAGAAGAGAAAGGCTGAGGAGAGAAGACTGAACAACAGACGTCTGAGAGAACAGGGAGGTTTTGAGCATGCACATTTACAAATAATCTTTCTCTAGTACAAGCAGAAAGTATTCCTTTTTATTCACTTTATGTAACAATCCCTGTTTTATGGGGAACTCTAGAATCAAATTGTGAGGGATTTCTTGAGTCATATTTAATACCATTTTCCCATGACGTTTTAGATGCAAAGATTCCAGATATTTATTAAGAATCAGATCATGATTTTCATGATATTTAACATCTTAAAGCATTCTTTGTGTACAAAGTAGTTCTTCCTTGTACTCAGAAAACTGCTGCTCATCAGTGAAGGGAGGTGAGAAAGACTGGGTTTAAGGAAACGAGGCTTCAGGCTGCAAAAGGAGATGCATGAGTCTACCATCTAAACAAAGCCCAAGAAAAAATAGCAAAATATTTCCAAAGAGAAGTATGTTTATTTGTAGCCTCAGGAGAGGCAATTTATGTGCCAATAATTTACGTGGGTTTTATGTGCCTATTAGTTTCCTATTCAATCAAAAAATGTGTACTTACCATGGCAACACCCATCTCTCCTGATACGCAGTCTAATTGTGAATCATGCAGAGCACCTTCTTAAAGCAACACACAAACAAGCCATCAGATCCCAATACATGCAAATTTCTTTAAAACATATCATTGGAACAGATGTGCTCCAAATGCTATTTTTATTTTAGAAATGCTTTTTGTAGTTCACATGTTAATGGTAATTCTGAGTTTAAATGAGCTATTTAAAAATCAAGTTGCAAAATAGTAAGCACCATAAACTTACAAGTGATCTTTAAAAAAGAAATATGTCCATTTATTAAAGAGTCAATTTTCTAAATTAGTTGTTCTATTAGTTATAAGGTAATTAGGTTATCTTCTGTTTCCTCAAAATATCTGTTTTTATTTTCTCTGCATAATTGTAATCAAATATATTAATGGAAAGAGATGGTTAAAAATTTGCTCCTCTTCATTTTTTTGTCTTTATTTTGATGGTCCCTATCTTTGTAAATATTCTGGTTATTACATTGATACATTGGATGAGATCTATTTAAGAACTTTGGATGGCTTTAGAAGAATTCAGATTATTTTCTATTTTAAATTATTCAGTTTGCATACATATTTGTACATAATGCAAATGCTTCCTGTTATCTTCAATATATTTGGAATATACTGTTGCTGAAATAATTAGATAGCTTAGTGGCCAAGAGCAGAGGTTCTACATCCTAACTGTTTGTGTTTGATTATAAATTCTACTGTTTAAAAGCTGCAGACATTAAGCAAATTATTTAGTCTTTCTTTGGGCCTCCTTCTGATTGATTGTAAAAATAGGATAACTAACCTCATAGGGCTGTTGTGGAAATGGCATGAATTAGTATATATCTGGCATATAATATGTTTGCAATATGTTAGCAAAAATGATTGGACCATAATCTAATATGTCTAG
The DNA here is from genome assembly GCF_000001405.40 of Homo sapiens. Taxonomy (NCBI): domain Eukaryota; kingdom Metazoa; phylum Chordata; class Mammalia; order Primates; family Hominidae; genus Homo; species Homo sapiens. Next base: position 79,237,369 of record NC_000001.11, read on the forward strand.
CAGTTTATATAGTACTTATTTAAATAAGACATTATAAAGCTTACCTTATATACTATACAAAGCCATATAAATAGATAATTTCACTGTAAAATAGCCTTTTATGACAAAGATGAGTTAATTTCCTACATCTTCTGTCATAGTTGTTAGACAAATTCTCTGAGCCTAGTTTTTTCATTAATAAAATAAGGATAATAACATGTAGCCTTATAGGATTGTTATGGGGAGTCAATAAAATAATATAAATCAAATTTCAATGCAGTGAAAGGCATATGATACTCATTCAATGAATAATGGTTTTCTTAAACCTGTAGCACAATCGGTTTATAATTGAAGGTACTTTCTACAATAGAGAGTAAAATACATATGTCTACATAATATTTTAAAGTATTGAATATGTAGAAAAAGAGGAGCAAGTTAAACCTAAAGAAAACACAAAGAAAGAAAAAATAAAAATTAAAGCAGAAATTAATGAAATTGAAAACAAGAAAATAGACAAAAATCAATGAAATCAAAAGCTAGTTCATTGAAAAGATCAATAAAATTAATAAGCCTCTGGCTAGGCTAACTAAGAAAAAAAGACAGAAGTCACAGATTAGTAATCTTAGAAATGAAAGAGGGAGCATCGCTACAGATCCCATGGATATTAAAAGGATATTAAAGAAATACCATGAAACAACTATGAGAACGGTATAAATCTGTACATTTGTATATTTAGAAATTTTTCCACCAATATATACTCATTATCTTAAAAATTCCTTGAGAGTAATCTAGAGTTATTTTAATTGTCATAGTTCAATATGCAAGTCATTAAATACCTTTCTAAAATATTAATATTATAATTAATATTGTCACTCCATTATTTTATATGTAGCTAAGTAATAAGAATAAAAAATAAATCTTGATATACAAAACTTCCAGAAAATAAACTACATCTCCCACATTTTATAAAATAATACTTAAGAACTACCCTAGTTGACCTAGAGATTACAAATAAATATGTATATTTGTACATAAAATATGTATATTTTTACATAAATATAAAATTATTTTATAAAATAATACTTAAGAACTACCCTAGTTGACCTAGAGATTACAAATAAATATGTATATTTGTACATAAAATAACAGAAAAAAACACAGAAAATTAGGGCTTTTTCCCTGCACAATTTGGATCTCAAATTAAAGAATTTAATATTTGTTGGCTAGATTTAATACATTGTGAGTAAATTGCCATCCTGTCCTCAGAACTTCTTCCTCAAATATTTTCTGAGTTCTAAGAAATTTGTTTATAAATTCAATGCTTGGCCCCACAATTCAAATAACTCTAATGATAATTTTTATATCCATACATTTAGACGATACAAACAATGTATTAATCCAGCTGTTATTTTATTGGCTAAACTATGTGCTTGGAACACTGAGAGAGAAAAATTACCTAAATATATATTTTTTCAGGGTTCTCAAAAAAAAAAAAAATAGAAGTAGAATTGAGAATTACATTAGTCCATTCTCATGCTACTGTGAAGAAATACCTAAGACTGGATAATTTATGAAGGAAAAAGGTTTAATGGACTAACAGTTCCACATGGCTTGGGAGGCCTCGGGAAACTTACAATCATGGTGTATGGCACCTCTTCACAGGGCAGCAGGAGAGAGAATGAGTGCCAGCAGGGGAAATGCCAGATGCTTATAAAACCATCAGATTTTGTGAGACTTATTTACTACCACAAGAACAGTATGGGGGAAACCACCCCCATGATTCAATTATCTCCCACTGGGTCCCTCCCACGACACATGGACATTATGGGAGTAAAATTCAAGAAGAGATTTGGGTGGGGACACAGAGCCAAACCATATCACCAAAAGTCCAAGTCCAAAGTCTCGTCTGAGACAGTAAGTCCCTTCCACCTATGAGCCTGTAAATTCAAAAGCAAGTTAGTTACTTCCTAGATACAATGGGGGTGCAGGCATTGGGTAAATATATCCATTTCAAATGAGAGAAATTGGCCAAAACAAAGGGGCCACAGGCCTCATGCAAGTCCAAAATTCGATAGGGCAGTAATTAAACTTTAAAGTTCCAAAATGATCCCCTTTGACTGCATGTCTTATATCCAGGTCATGCTGATGCAAGAAAGGTGTTCCCACAACCTTGGGCAGCTCCACCCCTGTGGCTCTGCAGGGTACAGCCCCATTCCTGGCTGCTTTTACGGGCTGGTATTGAGTGTCTGAGGATTTTCCAGGTGCATGGTGCAAGTTGTTAGTGAATCTACCATTCTGGAGTCTGGAGAATAGTGGGCTTCTTCTAACAGCTCCATTAGGGAATGTCCGAGTGAGGACTCTGTGTTGGGAATCCAACCCCACATTTCCCTTCCATGCCACCCTAGCAGTGGTTCTCCATGAGGGTTCCACCCATGCAACTAAATTCTGCCTGAACATCCATGTATTTTCATACATTCTGGGAAATCTAGGCAGCGGTTCCCAAACCTCAATTTTTGACTTCGGTGCCCCTGCAGGCTCAACGTCATGTGTAAGCCACCAAGGCTTGGGGATTACATCCTCTGAAGCAATGGCCCGAGCTGTACCTTGGTCCCTTTAAGCCATGGCTGGAACTGAAGCAGCTGGAATTCAGGACACCACTTGCCCAGGCTGCACAGAGAAGAGTGGCCCTAGTCCCAACTCACAAAACCATTTTTTCCCCCTAGGCCTCCAGGCTTGTGATGGGAGGGGCTGCCCCGAAGATCTCTGATATGATCTGGACACATTTTCCCCATTGTCTTGGTTATTAACATTCTGTCTCTTCATTACTTATACAAATTTCTGCAGCCATTTTGAATTTATCCCCAGAAAATGGGGTTTTCTTTTCTGTTGCATTATCAGGCTGCAAATTTTCCAAACTTGTATGATGTGCTTCCTCTTGAAAACCTTGCCACTTAGAAAATTCTTTCTCCAGATACCCTAAATCAGTCATCTCTCTTAAATTCAAAGTTCCACAGATCTCTAGGGCAGGAGCAAATGCTGCCAGTCTCTTTGCTAAAACATAGCAAGAGTCACCTTTATTCCAGTTCCCAAGAAATTTCTCATCTCCATCTGAGGCCACCCCAGCCTAGACTTCGTTGTCCATATCACCATCACAATTTTGGCCAAAGTCATTCAACAAGTCTCTAGGAAGTTCCAAACTTTCCCACATTTTCCTGTCTTCTTCTGAGCCCTCCAAACTGTTCCAACCTTTGCCTGTTATCCAGTTCTGAAGTTGGTTCCACATTTTTGGGTGTCTTTATAGCAGCACCACACTCTCTGTGGTACCAATTTCCTGTATTAGTCTGTTCTCACATTTCTATGAAGAAATACCCAAGACTGGGTAATTTATAAAAGAAAGAGGTTTAATTGACTCATGGTTCTGCATAGCTGGGGAGGCCTCAGGAAACTTACAATAATGGCAGAAAGTACCTCTTTACAGGGTGGCAGGAGAGAGAATGAGTGCCAGCAGAGAAATGCTAGATGTTTATAAAACCATCAGATTTCGCTGGAACTCACTATCACAAGAACAGCATGGGGGAAACTGCCCCTATGATTCAATAACCTCCCACCAGGTACCTTTCATGACATGTGGAGGTTATAGGGATTACAATTCAAGATGAGATTTTGGTGGGGAAACAGCCAAGCCATATGAAGAATCACAATGGTCATTTTCATTGTCAAGGAACATGAGAAATTACTTTCTGCATCTTTGCAACTCATAAAAATTCCATAAGTCATTGAGTTTTTTTTACTTGTGAAAAGTCTATAAACCACTCAGTTGAAAATATATATATTTTTTATTATGAGCCCATACACATATCTTCCTACTGGGACACGTGAAGTTCCTGATTAAGGATGCTTAAAAATTATTTTGCCATAATTTCATGAAAATATAAAAATACATTTAAACTGGGTCAATAAATATGGCAACATTTTAATAGTGAAAATAAATTAAAGTTTTAAAATATTTAAAATAGTCTATTTCTTAATATTATAATGAAATTATTATACTTATATAATCACAAAGTGGATGTTTGAAAAATCAGGCAATATAATTTTATATATATCATTTGATCTGAACTCAATAAAAAGAAACAAAAGAGCAGAAGAAATATTCTCAACTTCTAAAAATGTGTAACTCTAGGTGGTGTATTATGGGTAATGATTTTCCATCTTCTACTTTTCTGTATTTTTGTAATTCTAGCATAAAGACATAATATTATAATGAAAATCATCTTAATAAAAATATAAATGCAAACATGCAAAGGGAAAAAATTAGCCTAAGCTTTCCTGAAGAGGAATGAAGTCGAAGTATTTATAGCATTGACAGCTGAGACACCACCATTTTAACACTAAATTGCTATACCACGAACTGACAGAACCCTGTGTGGAGGACGAAAAACTCATAATACACCCAAAGTGAAGAATCATATAGCAGCATGAAGGGGGGAAAATGAACTAAATGGGAGAAGTGTGTATGACACCAACTGCACTTAATTTGTGAGTTGTGGAAAATAAAAGGCATAGGGTGTGAAGAATGGGGTTCCAGGTTCTAACTAACTGTACATCCTTTAAGCAAATTAAGGTTCTTTTAGCTCATCTATAAAGTGAATTAATTAAGCCAGATAATTTCTAAAGTCCATCTTGACTCTAAATCAGATCCTAGCAAAAACAAGAAATCTACCACTTCAGATCCTTATGAAACCTAGGAAAAATATGAAATGCTAAAACACAGCAATGATATTAAAACTGTTCGGAATGAACACAGAACTATAGGGCATTATTATAATGGATTATTATATTATTATATTATCCATTATTATAATGGATTGCAAAGAGAATTTTCTATAGCCTTGCACAACAGTGACACCAAAGTATCTAAATCCTATTGATATTAGTACAAGTATAGACAAACTAACCAATGAGATAAGACAGAAAGCCCAGAAACAGCCACATATATATAGTCACCTCATTTATAGTAATATTGAAGTATACTGAAAAAGGAATTATCCTTTCGATGATATTTGGTCATCGAATATCATATTTTATATATATATATATATCTTGTGCATATATATCCATATTAGCACAAGAGATTGAATGTGTCCCCCCAAAATTCATGTGGAAATTCTAACCCTTAAGGTGATGATATGAGGAGGTGGGACCTTTGGAAGGTGATTAGGCCATGAGGCAGAGCCCTCCTGAATAGAATTAGTGGCCCTATAAAAGAATCCCCAGAGAGTTCATATGCCCATTCCACCATGTGAAGGCACAGTGAAAATACAGCAGTCTATGAACCAGGAAGTAAGCCCTCCAGCAGACACTGATTCTGTCAGTGACTTGATCTTAGACTTTCCAGCCTCCAGAACTGTGAGAAATAAATTTTTGTTGTTCATAAGTCATCAGTTTATGGCATTTTGTTATAGGAGCACAAACAGACCAGACAATGTGATTAAACAAATGTGGACCCTTACCTTGAGCTACACAAAATATTAAATTCCACATTAATAGTCAACCTAAACGTGGACAGTAAAACAATACACATTTGAAGATAAAACATAAAAGAACATTTTTGTAACCACGAAAAATTGTTCTTAAGCAGGACATAAGAAGTAAAAATTATAAAGAAAACCACTAATATCAAAACATACCATTAAGCTGAGCAGGATGGCTCAAGCCTGTAATCCCAGCACTTTGGGAGGCCAAGGCGGATCATGAGGTCAAGAGTTTGAGACCAGCCTGGCCAACATAGTGAAACCCTGTCTCTACTACAAATACAAAAATTAGCCGGGCATGGTGGTGTGTGCCTGTAGTCCCAACTACTCAGGAAGCTGAGGCAGGAGAATTGCTTGAACCCAGGAGGTGGAGGTTGTGGTGAGCTGAGATCGCATCACTGCACTCCAGCCTGGGCAACAGAGAGAGACTCTGTCTCAACAAAAACAAAACAAAACAAAACAAAACAAAACAAAACAAGACAAAACAAAAAACTACACATACCATTAAATAAACTTTTGCATGTGCCTGAATCAACCAAAAACAACAAAATATATAAACCATTGGTGTTCAAGACATAAAAATTAGACAATGCAGGGCAGTTCTCTGAGAGACATAAAATAAATGATGTGAGCCATATTGCTTTTCCGTAGGAAAGGGGAATCCACATTATGCTTAGCAAACTTCCTGAGTAGAAAGACTTTCTAAGAATGTCTTTGAACCATGGTTGCTAGAGTGCTCAGGACAGATTACAAGATAAGACACAGATGCATAGCTAGAGAATGTTAGAGATCTGCAAAGGAATCTCCTCAAGGGTACAGTAGAGTGCTGATTAGCACACTTGTGTGCACCAATACGAGGCAAATAACCAACCAAAATTGCTACAGGGAAAACCACCTGGAATTCTCACAGGTCTGGGAAGAGTGTATTTTCCGACCAGCCAAGTCTGGAAAAACTCATAACCCACCAGGCATTTGGTAGAGTAATAATACTGCTTCAGTTTTGGGGAATAATTATCTCTAGACAAAATATGTCATGACTACCACCTCACAAATTTTAAAAACAAAATTTGAAGGGATCAAACTCTTTCCAAATAACTATCCCAGAACAAAGCTCAAGAGTCCTTACAGGAATTCAAAGATATCCAAAATATTCCAAAATATAATAAACAGTGTCTGACATTCAATCAGAAATTAGTAGATATGCAAAGAAACAGAAAAATACAACCTGTTCTGATGAGAATAATTATTCAACTCAAACCCATTCAAAATAGATTTGGATATTAGAGTTAGCAGTAAGACATTAAAGCTGCTATACTGTATTTCATATGTTCAAAATAGTAAGTAGAGACATAGAAGGGATAAAAGAGAGCCACAGCTAACTTCTAAAAATGAAAACTACAGTATCTAAGATAAAAATAATACTAGATGGGATTAACAGGAAGCTAAATATTGCAGAACAAAAGGACAGTGTACATGAAGACATGGAAGTAGAAATTATTCAAGTAATACACAGAGAATAAAACAATTTTTTTTTGACATGGAGTTTTCTCTGTAGCCGAGGCTGGAGTGCAGTGGTGCAATCTCAGCCCACTGCAACCTCCGCCTCCTGAGTTCATGTGATTCTCCTGCCTCAACCTCCCAAGTAGCCCGGATTATGGGCATGCACCATACTCCTGGCTAATTTTTGTATTTTTTGTAGAGACCAGGTTTTACCATGTTGGCCAGGCTGGTCACAAACTCCTGACCTCAAGTGACCTGTCTGCCTTGGCCTCCCAGTGTGCTGGAATTACAGAATGAAACAATTTTAAAATGCACAGGGCATTGTGAACTGTAGGAAAGATTCAAGTGGCCTTTTATTTGTGTATTTAGAGCCCCCCAAAAAGAAAAAGGAAAGGAGCAAAAAGTGTGAATTAATATTTTCCCCAAAATTTCCTAATTGGATGAAAATCATAAACTCAGAGGCCTAATAAACTCAATAACCCCAGGACATGAATAAAACTACACCAAGAAGCATAAAAACTTGTCAGAAAATTTACATAAAATTAAGTAAAATTTATTAGAACCAATGATAAACAGAAAAATCTTAAAAGTGAAAAGAAAAAGAAACTCATTATATGCAGAGGAACAAAAATAAGGAGGAAAGATTTCTGTTGAAAACAATGCAGATGAGAAAACAATGAAATATTATTTTTTAATGTACCAATGGGGGAAAATTATCAACTGTCTTAGTTCCAACTGCTAAGACAGGATATTATAAACTGTGATATGGATTGGCTTTGTGTCCCCACCCAAATCTCATCTTGAATTGTAATCCCCAGGTGTTGAGGGATGAACCTGGTGGGAGGTGATTGGATCATGGGATCACTTTCCCTCAGGCTGTTCTAATGATAGTGAATGAGTTCTCATGAGATCTGATGCTTTTATAAGTGTTTGGCAGTTTCTCCTTTGCACTCTCTCTCCGTGCCTTGTGAAGAAGGTGCTTGCTTCTCCTTTGCCTTCTGCCATAATTGTAAGTTCCTTGAGGCCTCCCCAGCCATGCAGAACTGTGAGTCAATTAAATCTCTTTTCATTATTAAACTACCCAGTCTTGGGCAATTCTTTATAGCAGTGAGAGAATGAACTAATACAAACTATGTAGCTTAAAAACATAAATTTATTTCTGACAGTTCTGGAGGGTGTCATCAGGGTCAGGTTTTAGTGAGGACCCTCTTCTTGGTTATGTCCTCCCATGGCTTTACCTGCTTTATTTGGTGCACACACACACACACACACACACACACACACAAACAAACAACTCTAGTCTTTTTCTCTTCTTATAAGGACGCTAATCTTATCATGGGGACTCCATTCTCCTGACCTCATCTAAAACTAATTACCTAATTGCCTCTACCTTCTAATACGACTCCATTAGGGGTTAAATTTTCAATGTATGAATTTTCAGGGACGCATACATACAGTCCATAACATTAACCTAGCATTTTTTTTTTTTTTACCTAGGAAAGTATGTTTGTTTTGTTTTGTTTTGTTTGTTTGTTTTTGAGACAGTCTCACTCTGTCGCCCAGGCTGGAGTGCAGTGATGTGATCTCTGCTCACTGTAACTTCCACCTCCCAGGCTCAAGAGATTCTCCTGCCTCAGCCTCCTGATTAGCTGGGATTACAGGCATGTGCCACCATGCGCAGCTAATTTTTGTATTTTTAATAGAGAAAAGGTTTTGCCATATTGGCCAGGCTGGTCTCAAACTCCTGGCCTCAAGTGCTCTGTCAGCCTTGGCCTCCCAAAGTCCTGGGATTACAGGTGTGAGCCACCATGACTGGCCAGAAAGTGTGTTCAAAAGATAAGGACAAAATACAAACTTTTTAGACATACAAAAACTGAAAAAAAAAAAAAAGTATCACCAGCATACCTGCACTACAAGAAATGTTAAAGAAAGTCTTCAGACAAAAGGAAAATAGGAAAATGATACCGCATGGAAACACAAACCCATACAAAGAAGAGAACTAGAAATGATAATGACGTAGGTAAATATACAGAGTACTTTTCCTTATTGTTTATATCTCTGTAAAAGACAATTGACTAAACAAAAACAATAACAATGTAGTATGGAGTTTATAAGAACATAAAAGTCAAATAAATGAAAGCAACAGCATGAAGGTCAGTAGCAGAGAAATGGAAGTCACCTATTATAAGGTTCTTATACTCTGGATGAAGTGGGAAAATATCACTTGAAAGTAGGCTGTTAGGTTAAAGCTGTAGTCTACAAACTCTTGAACAAGCACTTATATAAAAATGTTTTGGCTAAGCTGCCAAAAGAGAAAATAAAATGAAATCATAAAAGGTAATTAAAACAAAGGAAGCAGAGTACAGAAAAAGAGGAAGCAGAAACATAAGGCAAATAAGAAATTTAATGCTAACCATATAAATTAATTGTAAATGGTATAAACATCTCAATTAAAAGGACTCTACGCATCAAGCTTTTAGACATTCACTACTATTATTTGGAAATTTTAATTAGACAATGCAATATGAAATTGATGCCTATTGCTTATTTAAAAACTTATTGAAATGAAATGTACCTAATATAAAATTAATTATTCTAAAGTGAACAATTCCATGGCATTTATTACATTCACAATGTTGTGCAATCACCATCTCTGCCTAGTTATAAAATATTTATTTAAATCCAACATAAAACCCTATACCCTTTAAGCAGTTTTTCCTCATTTCACTCTATCCTCAGCCCCTTCCGACCACCAATCTGCACCTTTCTCTATGAATTTACCTATTACAGATATTTCATATAAAAGAAATCATGCAATATATTACCTTTAGTGTCTGAATTCTTTCACTGAGCATATTTTTGAGGTGTATCAATGTGTAGTATGTTTCAGTACGTCATTCCTTTTTACAGCTGAATAATATTCCATTGCATGTATATACCGTAATTTGTCAACACATTCATCTGTTGATGGATGTTTGGACTGTTTTTTGTCTATGGTGAATAGCACTGCATTAACACACATGTGAAGGTGTTTGGTGTGGGTGCTTACCTTCAACAATTTGGGTATAAACCTAGGAGTTGATTTACCAGGTCATATGATGATTCTGTGCTTAACTTTATAAGGAACCTCCAAACCCTTTCCATGGCAGCTGAATCATTTTATTTCCAACCACACTGTACAAGGGTTCCAATGTATACAACATTTTGTTTATGATTTATATTGAGACAAAATTACATTGAGGTAAAATTTACATATGGTGAAATACAAGTATGTTAAAAGAACATCTTAATGAGTTTGAACAACTATACACAACCATGCAATCAACATCCTAATAAATATATTAAAACATTTCTATCATCCCAAAAAGTTCCCTTACACCCCTTCCCATATCAATAATTGTTCTCATTTATATGGTTTGTCCAAGTTCATCAGTATTTATTACTGCTAAGTTTTCTGTATGAGTATACAATTTGCTTAATATATTGTCCAGTTGATAGAAATTTTAATATTTTAGGTTAGGGTTACTATGAATGAAACCAAGATAAACAAGCTTTTTGTGTATAGGTATTTTCATTTCTTTGGGGTAAATACCCAGCTGTAAAATTGATGGGCCATAGGGTATGTGCATGGTGGACTTTATAAGACGTTGTCGGTTTTCCAAAGTGGCTCTAACATTTTTCACTGCACCAGCAATGTGTGAGAGTTCCAATTGTTCCTCATGCTTGACAACATTTGTTGTTGACAGTTTAAATTTTAGTTATTCTGGTGCATGTAAAGCAGTATGTCACTGTAGTTTTGATTTGCTTTTTTCTGATGACAGATGAGATTGAACAATTTTTCATATTCTTTTTAGCCATTTGTTTATTAGGCTTTTTTGTACAGTGTCTGTTCAAGGCTTCCAGTAATTTATTTGTCACTTTATTATAGTCATGTAGGAATCTTTTTAAATATATTCTGTAGACACATTCTTGGTCAGGTATATATGCATTACAAATATTTTCTCACAGTCTATGGCTTGCCTTTCGTATTCTTAATGCTACCTTTTAGGGAGAAGTCTATTTAATAGAGCCCAATTTATACATTATTATTTGTCTTATGTTTTGTCCATTGTATATGCTAAAAAACATTTTTGTAAAACCTGGAGATATTGCCCTATCTTTCCTACTATAAACTTTAACATTTTCTCCTTTACATTTAAGTGTCAATCTCAAATTAATTTTCATGTGTGGTTTGAGAAAAGGATCATGCTTTATTTTTTCTTATGTTTATCTCCTTGTTTCAACACAATTTGAGAGGAAGATTTTCCATTTCCCGTTGAATTATCTTAGACCTTTTGTCAAAATATCAATCAAACATGTAAGTATGGTTCTATTTTTGGATTCTTTTTTCCCCATTGATCCGTTGCTCTGTCTACATAAGAAACTCAGGAGGCATCTTCACTAATGTCAGGAACAAAACAAAGTTGTCACTATCACCATCACTATTTACTATACATTGGCGAAGTCATTATCTTAAGTGAAATAAGCCAGGCACAAAAAGACAGATGCTGCATGTTCTCACTCATATTGGTAGATAAAAAAACTTGATCTTACGGACATAGAGAGTACAATGATACCAGATACTGGGAAGTGTGGGTAGATCGGAGAGGAAGACGAAAAGAGGTTGGTTAATGGGTAAAAATATATAGTTTGATAGAAAAAATAAGTTCTAATATTTGATAGCATACTAGGGTGACTATATTTAGCAACAATACTTTGTATATTTCAAAGTAAATGGAAAAGAAGACTTGCAATGATATCAACACGTAGAAATCATACATTCCCAAGGCAATGGACACCACAAATACCATGACCTGATCATTACACATTCTATTCTAAATAATAAACATACACTCATATGTACCCCATAAATATGGAACATATTATGTGTTGATAAGAGAGAGAGGTAAAAGGTAAATCTAAGCAAGACTAGGTAGCTATATTAACTATTATTTACAAAACTTGTTGTGGGTCTTTACTATGTGCCAGAACCTGAGCTATCACAACAAAGCATTTTAAGCTTTCAAGGAACTCGTGGTCTAATGAGAAAGATGAATAAACATAATAAATAATAAATAGTATCAGTGGACTCCTATGGGAACACAGAGAACAGTCAGTATTCTGGCTATTTAGAAAAGGTATTATTGAGCAGACATTTGGCATATTCGTGAGTATATGCCAGGCTGAGAACTGGAGAATAGGGCAATGCAAAGAAAGCAGAATGTGCAAAGACATGGCAGTGGGAGAGGATTGGGGACTCTGGGGAATGTTGAGTAATGTGAAGCAAAAAAAAAAAAAAAAATGAAATGAGACTAAATCAAAAGGCAAAAAAAAATTGTCACATGTAATCTAGGCAGAAATAGCTAATGACTTGAAGTTAGGTAAGTCATTTGCAAATAGGAGCTTTGTGTATAACTGAATATAAGACTGGAAAGCACAGATCCATTTATTAAGCACATAATGTTTCTTGGAGCATGCCCAGAAGTAGGCTGGTATGAGGTGCATTGGACCAAGTAATCTCTTTTTGATATAGCTGAATGAAGAAAGCGCAAAAACTGGATAGGTTACATCAAAAGTAAATCACACTTCCATTAGAGGTGCTAATTTTCTGTCCCAAAGGATCCACTTTGAAATTAATAAAGCAGCGGCAAAATGGGCTGATTTAAATTTCACCTTCCCTCACTTTATATCCAACCCCTATTAGAAGTGCTAATATCCATAGGACCATAAGATGGCCTAAAGACCTCTTGTTGTGCAGATAAAGTGAGGATAATGAGGGTAAATTGAATAAATTGCATCTGGAAAATGAGGAGTTATTTGAGAATTCAATAGAACTTTTCAGGTTTCCTGTATTGAACAACCTTTTCTATTTTAACTATCATTTTAATCTAGGTTTTCTACATAAAATAAATGAAACAGAAGTTATTACAAATTGGGATGGAATGGTGAATCAGATAGATTTATCCAAAATGTGAAATCTGTTTTCAGACAAAGCTAAATTTTATCATCTAAGTTTTCATATAGTTATGATTTTATGGTAAGAAAATATAAATATGATTTGTCATCTGCAGACGTTTATGCCATGATAGTGTTTATAAGATTTTTATGAATGCTTTCAATTTTTTTCTTTTATAGATTCATTCAAATTTTAACTGCACAAATGCTATATTTATTGTTTTAAAAATCAAGACAATGTGATAAAATTGGAATTTTTAGATAGTTGACACTCAACTATCTGTTGCTAAGGGCTATTAATCCACTTAGACATAAGAATATTATTTAACTAAATAACTAAACATTCCCTGCTTGCCACAGAAAGTAGCTTTGGATCACAGAAACACAAGAGACCGTATAGATTTTTCTTGATTAAGAGCATGAACTCTGGGGTCTTTCCCAGTTTTCCCACTTGCTAGTTGAGTGCACATTAGGCAATTTATGTACCTTCTTCGTACTTCATTTTTTAATTTATAAATTGGGGATAATATTAGTATCTACCTCAGGAGATTACTACAAATATTTGATGTGATAGTTACAAAGCACTTAGAATAGTGCTTGGCACAAAGTTTGTGTTCAAAGTACACTATTAGCTATATTTATTTGCACAGCTCTTTAGACAGCGGATTTATCAGCTGTCAAAAGCAATATCCCTATTTCTACTGTTGCATTAATTGAAGTAATCTACTCCAGGCCTACTCCAGATCCTATAGATCTTTTAAGGACCAAGTTTGGCATACAGCCATCTCTAATAAAGGCACCCTGGCTTCCAACTCTTCTTCCTCCCAGTACATTTTGTCTCTTAACTCTTTTCTCTGTAGTTGTAATGACAGTTACTCTATTAGTCTGTTTTCACTGCTATAAAGCAACACCCAAGACTGGGTAATTTATAAAGGAAATAGGTTTAATTGACTCACAGTTCCACATGGCTGGAGAGGCCTCAGGAAACTTAGAATCATGGTGGAAGTCAAGAGAAGCAAGCTTGTACCTTCTCACATGGTGGCAGGAGAGAATGAGTGAGTGCAGGAAAAACTGCCATTTATAAAACCATCAGATCTTGTGAGAACTCACTCACTATCACGAGAAAAGCATGGGAAAACTGTCTCCATGATTCAATCACCTCCCACAAGGTCCCTTCCCCAACACACGGGGATTATAATTTGGGTTACAATTGAAGATGAGATTTCGGTAGGGACATGGAGCCAAATCCTATCAGGTACCCAATTCAGCCCTTGATGATTCTGAATTATATATACTTCTTCTTCTCTCAACTGCTCTATAGAATTTTAGTATATTGGATTTACAATAATAATAATTAGCATTTATTAAGTTGTTGATATCTGCCAGATATGGTGCCAAATGTTTAACATATGTAATGTCACTTATGGTATCCCAAGAACTTCATTTTATAGACAAATCAACTAAGGTGCAAGAGTTAAATAAATTACCCTTCTTCCATAGTTTACCAAGCATAGAACTAGGATATGCATTCATATTTGCACAGGCTCAGATAACCAAAGCCTCAGATACATGGCCTCTACTACTGCTCTGTGAATCTCAGCCATATGAAATGGATAATATTCAAGCTTTTCAGAATTAAATATATATAAAGATCATATGATACGACTAATATTATTCTGCTATGCACAATGTAGTTCCTCAACAACTGCTTGGGGTGATTTTAATGACATATCCTTAAAATTTCAAGTCAGATTTCCTCTCAGTAGCTCCCCTTCTTCACCATTATTTGTTATTCTTACACATCTTATTCCTTCTTTATTGTGACTGTTGAGACAGTCTACTGTGACATGAACCCATTTAATCTCAGGCCAATAGAAATCTGATTTCTTTTCTACCTATCAGTATTATTCTTTTTTAAAAATAGAAATTCCTGACTGTTGATTTACATGAATTTGTATAATCAACAGTAGGAACAAGTTAATTTACACAAACATTAATAAAATAAAATAGAAACTGAAGCATTTCCAAGCCTTGTTCTGGTTCAGCTTTATTTTTCCTCCCTGGGTCTTTTTTAATAATACAGAGCCATTCCATGCTTCCCTTTACCATTCTACAATTGCTAAGAAGTCACAGAAAAAAATATAATTGAACTCTTCGCTGTTTTTCAGTACACACGTAAGAGACATAAAATGGCAAATATACCAATTACACACTCAAATAATTATATATCTTTGCACAAAATTGCTTTAGCCACTTATGAACAGTTCCTGCAGAAACAAGTGGAAAAATTAAGAAAAGAAGGGTTCCAAATCAAGTTCCACAGTTTAATAGATGTAAGATTTGGGGAAATAAATTTCTTCTCTTTGAACTTGAGTTAATTTTTGTGTACCACGGGAGCCATTGTTGCTGGCTTAAACAGAGATTGCGAAAGACTGGATCATTCATTGCTTTATAAACCGCTAAACTCCATGCAAGGTAGTATTTTTCCCCCAGACTCTCAATTTATGTCCATCTATTTTGATTTTCTGATTTGTATCAAACTTATTGTTGATCTAACTTTAAGATCCAGAAATTGCCACCAGGTAGTTATGAGGATTGCTCTAAACTTGAACTGGCAGATATTTGTATTTTGTGAATTCCCAAGTTAAACCTACCCTTGACTTTGTTAAGGTAGAACTATCTAAAGATACGAAGAATTTAATGAAACTTCACTCACAATTGATTTCTGAGCATACTATCATCTTTCTGAAAAAGATAGCTCATTTTTAAGCTAGTGTAGATTGAATAACATTTTAAGAATATTTTTTAGTGACTGGATTAAACTTATCATCTTTAGAGACTAGTATCTACCTCATGAATTCTTTCAGCCTACACTTTTCATTTTCTTAGTGAAGGAAAACAACTCCTTGATAAGAGGTAAGAAATAAATGATTTTACAAATACAAAAAAAAGTTTTTTAATAAACTGTATTGTTGCATCAGTTTTGAAGCTGCTAATACACCACAGATACAGTTCCCTCTTGCTTTACCCAAGGGAAGAAGAGCTTTGAGTCCTTTTGTCACATGATGGATGTGAGTGATTTTCCTGAACAAGCACTGCTTTTCTTTCCAGAAGAAGAACATAGTTAAGCATATCAACTTTGATACACCTCCTTAAACAATTTCAAATTGGGCACTGCCGCTTTAATAACCCACACCTGGTTAAGATTCCAGTTCCATTGAATTCACACTGTGGTGATAAGCCCTGAACATCAGGCAGAGACATTAATGAGAACAATGCAATTAATCACCAAATTGTGCTCAATTTCAATAACATAAAAATTTCTCTTACATTTTTTCTCTCCAGAAATAATATTGCATGTAGTAGAAAGATAAAGTTTCAATGATGAACAACAAAAAAGTCCTTATATTAAAAAAAAAAAGCTAATAGCAGACCACATGAAGACAAGTGCATAAATCAAATATCTATACCATCTGTTATAGAAAATTTAACAGGAATTAAGTGACACACATTTCTAAAAATACATTGAAAAAACAGCATGCAAGAGCACATCCAAAGAATTAAATTTCTGAGGAGGAATATAAAAATTTATTATCAATTAAAAAATCCTATCTCATTAAAGAAAAACAAATTTACAGCCAAACTTCTTGCCAGGTGAATCTACTCTTGTAAATATAAGACAATATAACACACACAAAAAAAAACAAAAACAAAACAAACAAAACACTGGGTTAAATTTCCAGAGAGCTGGGTGTACCTGAGTCACTAATTAATTTGTGTGATGTAGGAAAAATCACTCAATCTTTCTAGGCCTGTCTCCTCACCTATAAAAAATAAAGCAGTGGGACAGAAAGTAAAGCAGAATTTAACAGAGTTTAATTCCTTTTTTTTTTTTTTTTTTTGAGACGGAGTCTCGCTCTGTCGCCCAGGCTGGAGTGCAGTGGCGGGATCTCGGCTCACTGCAAGCTCCGCCTCCCGGGTTCACGCCATTCTCCTGCCTCAGCCTCCCAAGTAGCTGGGACTACAGGCGCCCGCCACTACGCCCGGCTAATTTTTTGTATTTTTAGTAGAGACGGGGTTTCACCGTTTTAGCCGGGATGGTCTCGATCTCCTGACCTCGTGATCCGCCCGCCTCGGCCTCCCAAAGTGCTGGGATTACAGGCGTGAGCCACCGCGCCCGGCCCAGAGTTTAATTCTATGGCTTAAGGAATCTAGGTATCTGAAGGCTAGAAATTATAATAATTATTAATTTTTCTTATTCATCTGATTTCTGTGGAATTCTTAGTGACAGCAAGGGAACAACAACAAAAAAAGCACATTAGTAAAGATTTTTTTTTTTTTCTGAACAGACTATTATTTCCTCACGGTGGTTAAACCCTGATGG
Organism: Homo sapiens; assembly: GCF_000001405.40. Lineage (NCBI taxonomy): Eukaryota > Metazoa > Chordata > Mammalia > Primates > Hominidae > Homo > Homo sapiens. The sequence continues at coordinate 79,254,760 of NC_000001.11, forward strand.
ACTACTTGCATATATTCAATACATATGCAGGAGAGTTGATCCTTGTGCTATAACATTTGTGTAGTACACGGCTAGTTGTCTTGCAATTGACACAAAGTCTACATATTTATGACTGAACATATTTCTGGAAAAGACGGTTCACTAAGGACTGTAATTTGAAAAACAGGTGCAATTAGCCCACCTGCAAAATTAGTTTATGTGCACATTTCTGTAATAATAAAAACAAATTGGACATTTAGTTACTAGATATGCATTTTTGTAGTCTATTCTCTTTTATAATAACAAAAGAAAGAAAAGATTTTGCATGCATAATTTGGCATTCATATATGGTATAAACCCTGTTTTTCTCACTTACTTTGGAAACAGTAAGAAGGGCCACAGCTCATAGAATAAATAATATTTTGCGATTAAGAATGACTATGTTCATGCAATTTGCAGACTAGTTTACATGGTTGTATTCTGATTTTAATTTAACAGAGCCAAATCCAAATGAGTAAAAGTGGTGACTCATGTGGAAACTGGCTTTTGAGACATTTAAAATACAATTTAGAGCTTGAGTTTGATGCTGTAAAGTAAATTCATGCTATCTTGAATAGAACGTTTTGCAGTCAGGCATTGCATAAGGACATTATGGTCAATGATAGACCACATATGGGACAAAGATCCATAAGATTATAGCTCCATGTTCCTTGTCTATATTTAAATATTATTAGATGGAAAAATACTTACCGTGATTTACAATGGCCTACGATATTCAATATAGTAACTTGCTCTACAGGTTTGTAGCCTAGGAGCAATAGGCTATACCTTATAGCCTAGGCATGTAATAGGCTATATTATCTATGTTTGTGTAAGTACACCCTATGGTGTTTGCACAATGACAAAGTCACCTAAGGACACATTTCTCTGAACATGTCCCTTTCACTAATAAATACACAACTATTTTGTTTAGCTTAAGCAAATAGTATGTCAAGTGCTGTTAAATGTAAAACTGAAAAGACAGTAGCATTTGGTTGGCCACTAGATGTTATACACAATGCATTTTGCTAAATAACAACACCACAGTTCCTATATAATAGAGATAATACAATCTTTTGAGCAGATGTTATAGGACAGTTAAGTAAAATAGCCACATCATGCCTGTGGAAAGATTTTGTTTTTACCATCTTACAAATAAGAAAATTGAAGATCAGAGAGGCTAAGGTATTTGCCTAAAGTGACGTAGCTGATAAATTTGGTATTGGGATTCAAGCCTGGGCAGTGGAGGCAATTGCTTTTCCATCCAGCAAAATGTTAAAGGACTTCCAAATATTACAGAAATTATATATTGATTTAGAAGTATTTTTCTAACTCATTTTGTGGACTTTTTAATTCATGAGTAAAATCAGGAAATGAATTAACAAAATAATCTCATGATTTCTAGTTCTTTCTATTCTTAGTAAGTGGAGTGGGTGAGGACTGTAAGATGTGCATCCAGACTTCCTCCAATTGAGTAGCAGGCCCACCTGCTGTTAAAGATGCTAGAGAAATATGTTGTAGAGGAATTAAAATTAATTTTGGAGGTCTGGTAGGTTAATGTCATGACTTACGTATTAACGTGTGTAACCTACCATCAATCTCAAATACATTTGAAGAAGAAATGAATTTGAAGAAATGAAAAAAAAAGCCTTTTAATAGGCATAATACCAGTGTTATAGCAAAAATGTTTCCAATGGTCCAATTTTGAAATTAGTCATGATTTCTGAAGCAATGACTCTAATCACACCCACCTCAATTTTATTTCAAAAGAAAGAAAGAACAATAATATCTTAGTGCTAACATAACATCAATACTGTGCATTTCTTTTTCTCTAGAAATAATCCTAACATTACTTTGATGACATCTAGAACTTTGAAGAAATTCAGAAAATGCCTTTGCTTAGATGTTTGCCAGTACTAATCATAGTTTTTTTTAATGCCCCTAACATGGTCCCATTGCTTTATTCTTGTTTGGCCTTATGTGACAAGCCACAGGCAGATTATGATGTAATACAGTGTAGTAAATGTTATTAAAAGTGGTGAAATAAAATGCTGAGTGTGGGCCGGGCGCGGTGGCTCACGCCTGTAATCCCAGCACTTTGGGAGGCCGAGGCGGGTGGATCATGAGGTCAAGAGATCGAGACCATCCTGGCTAACAAGGTGAAACCCCGTCTCTACTAAAAATACAAAAAATTAGCCGGGCGCGGTGGCAGGCGCCTGTAGTCCCAGCTACTCGGGAGGCTGAGGCAGGAGAATGGCGTGAACCCGGGAAGCGGAGCTTGCAGTGAGCCGAGATTGCGCCACTGCAGTCCGCAGTCCGGCCTGGGCGACAGAGCGAGACTCCATCTCAAAAAAAAAAAAAAAAAAAAAAAAAAAAACTGAGTGTGAATCACAGTCATCGGTGCTTTACGTGTTTTTACAGGTGTAGGTCTTTTTCAGGAATTTCCTTAAGTTTAGTCAATTTTTAAATTAATTCTTAATAATTATTTTAATATTCATTAAAATAGAAATAAGGACTATTTTAAAGGTCAACTTTGTCACTTTCCTCGCAAGGAGAGTAAGCACTGGGAATATCAGGTAACTGGGTCTCATAGCTTAGATAATGGGGTAAACCTTATAAACAGATCTTACAGTAGCAGAATATTTCTTAAAATATCTGGTATTTGTCCATCTTTTCATTTCTAAGTAGCTTATAAACTTTATGGAAGTGACCTCATTAACCAATTTACCATTTCTCAGAAGTAGGTTACAAGGTAAAGTATTTTAACTACTGCTTAAGACCAACTTCTGGGAAGTTTTTCCTTCTGAACTCTGACTCTGGGCCCTGGTTTATTTAAATAGCACAATGGTGAGTTCCAGGTTGTGATGAATAAATGGTAGGCCTTGAATGGGACATGAAACAAATTACTTGACTTTTGAAAGTGGTTCATTAGAACTTGTGCAGACTTGTTAATGGAAGGCCTTGAAGAGACCATTAAGTATATTTCTTTATTACTTTGCAACACAACACCTGAGCTAGCTCAGAAATATAATAACCTGTCTTAAAGAAATCTGTTAAGTTAATGTTTACAATACATTCTAGATTGCAAAATTTATGAGGGAAGATGATGTTGGTCTAACTTGCTTTCAGTAAGCATCCTGTTCATGTTTACTTAATATATGAATTAATAGATAAACAATGATAGTTTAAATGTATTGACAATACACTGTTTCAGGCATTATTCTATGAATATTGTGCATACACGTTCACTTAATTATCAGGAGCTAATAATAATTATTATTAATTAAAAGGAAGAAAACAAATTTTCTTGTGAAATTGATAATTTAAATGGTCAAACTTTTTTCAGAAAAGTTTTCCTTCTGCATGAGCAAAACCCTTTATGTTTTCTGTTTCTTGCTCTTTTAAGAATAAACATATAGAAATACTAAGGTAAATACATTAAATATTTCATGACTATAAGAAAATAAGGAAAAACACTTGGGAATTTAATGTAAACATTTCTACAAAAACACAAATAAACTGTAAAGATAAAAAGCACAAGAATTGTTACTTTTACATAAAAATACCTTGTACATTTTATCATAGGTAATATAAATTTAGATGCATCCCCTTTAAATAATTCCATTTGTAAAAGATTTACAGTTTTAGAGCATGTGGTAGATATTTTAACATTATTGGGAAAATAAGATTTATATGCATAATAAAAGATGCAAATTCTTAATGTTGATCTGAGTTACAAGCAGAGACATACTTTTTACATATTTCTTCTCATTATGGATTTAAAAAAATAATTGTGGCAATTATTCAGAGACTTTCACAGCCTCTTCCATTTTAGTAACTGCATTTACCTTTGAATGTAGAATTCATCCGACCAGGGTCATAGTTTTCTTAAAAGAAGAACAGTCATAGTGCTGGAAAAAACACTAATGATAGTGGTAACACATTTAGGAATCCTAAAACTTACATAGTGTTTACTTACAGAAGATGAAGGCCAGTATTTTTATCAAAAGATACTGTGTACTTGTCCCTGAATTGATTGTCAGTCTAGCAAAATAGAAACTTTGCATGTATTCTTGTCATAATCTTATTTTTTTCAAAGTCCTTCATCATCAGTTGGGTTTTTCTTTTGGCTTCATGCAGCACTGGAACCTCATTCTGTAAACCACTAGCTATGTGATCTTTAAAAAGACATCAGCATCTGACATAAATGGTTCCAAACAATTTGAGCAACAAAGCACATGCCACAAATAACTTATGTGCCTTTCCTTTCTAATAAAACCAAAAGCACTCACACGCCATCTTTGTCCCAAGAATGTCTTATTTGAGAGTAAAAGAATAGAAAGAACAATTGCCTTAACTTTTTTTCTCATTTGTAGTAAGAAGATAAGAAATAATAATAATAATAGGACAGAGGTATTATTACCACCCGGTGCAAAATGGGGGCTATCACTCTAAAGAGTGAAATGGAAATGAAAACACTGTTTTAAAATTAAGTTTTATGTTGATAGCTATATTCTGCCAATCCATTAGTGTTGATAAAATAATTCTTAAATGTTTTTAGAGGCCTTGATAAAAAATTGAAATTTGCCAAAATGTTTCTCTCTTTTTCTCTTTGTTTCTCTCTCTCTCTCTGTCTCTCCGTCTGACCCCTATCCTTTTCTTATGAATCTGAAAATTTGCTGTTACTCTGTTGGAATGGGGGTCCTGCTCCTTTGAAACTATATGGCATCCACTCTGAAAGCCAGTAAGTATTTGCAATAGAGTCCAATTCCATTTGAAGGAGTTGTTTTGTTTAGGCTCAAAGTACTGACGTCATTCTGAGCAATTTACAAAATGTGTACCCTGCTGTAAATGTTCAGTGTCAGTTCAAAAATTACATTTATATGAAATGTTCAAATCAGCGTTGTAGTAGACACATTTTATATGAAGTTTTAAAATAACTTAAAAATATTCTCTTTCTATTACACAAAGAAAAAAATCATCATCTATAATTCAATTTACAAAATAATTATTGAAACATTCATGAATATGCATTTATAGGCTGAATTTCTAACTTAAAGATTAGGTCTTTAACTGAGATCATGTTTTTCACATACAATCTGTGCTACTGGTGTAGTGATTGCTTTCTGGGTGTTATTACTAACTCCTTCCAAGAGAGAGCAGTAGTGAATTGCTTTATTTGTGCTGGCTATGTAGTTTTACTCAAAAGTACTGATTTTCATTTTCAACTTTATAACCTTTCAACCTATTGACCATGAAAAATGCTCTGACACAACATGACACATATAAATGTTTAAAGTCGAAAGGGTAATTATCTATATTCATAGTTAAAACTGTGCCTTCATTTCACAATAGAAACCATATGTTCACTCAAAACACTTTCAATAGGTTAAATAACACCCAGATTAACCCTGAGTTAGTTTACTGGTTAAAATAATAACAGCATCTTCTTCCAATTCAGTAGTTCATTTATCATCTCTGATCAAGGCACTGGACATGAACTTTCAAGATTTAAAAGCTTAAGTTTAAAAAGAAAAAAGAAGCGAGAAAAAAAGCCTACAGATGTTTAAATATCCTCTTTCTTGACCTTATCATGGTCTTATCTGTTCAGGTACTTAATATCAGCTTTGAGAGTTATTATTGAAAACTATATATTCAATTTTGTCTGATATTTAATAAAATAAAACAATTTCTCTCTCAAGTCATGAAGGCAATAACTTGTAAATTTTTCCTTAGCACTGTACCATATGGAGAGCAATTTAGAACAATTATTGAATTTTTTTTAATGCAAATTGCATTAGGCCTTGATCAGACCAGTGAGGTAGACCAGAATGAGGAAGGTGGACCTCTGTCAAGGCCAGGCTAGAACATCTTGCTTCACTGGTCAAGTGAGGGATTTTGTGAGACAAATATGTGAAATGAAACTTAACGTCACTTTCAAATAAACCAGCTTATATTTATATAGTCATCCTTACAATAATTGATTATTCTGAAACTTTTAATCATTGCAGCAGAGAGTTACAAACAGAAAACAAAATTGTGTATTATAATAGTAATGAGAAGCCAAAGGAAAAAGACACTTTAGGGAAAAAAAAAAAAAAAGACCAAGAGGCAAATGACTTTTCAGCATGTGCCAGCTCTGGTCATGTTATGCTGGTTGCAAACCCCTCCGCACCATGCTTTGTAATGTCACAGTTCTTTGTCAAGCTGCAGAGGAGATCACCTCCAATGAACAGATGATCTACTGGGGGCTTCATCAAAAAGGACCTTTCTGCCTCTGTAGAAGTGACATATTTTTCCTTAATATTTTATTCAAGCCCCACTGGAAGCAGAGTAAAAGCAGAGTACGGAATAAACCACGAGACCTGTGGATGCTTGGTTGATATACTTGTTCTGATCACAATATTATTATTTTTTATGATGATACAATTGCTTGGAATTGTCATTCCTCTATATAAAGATAATACAAAGGTATGGGAACTGAGGAGGACAGTATTCCCTTTGGATTTAAATAAGTTTCCATCTTTATAGGTAAGGGCATGAACTCTAGGAGGGAGCTTTGACTGAGTGCTTTTTCCCTTGAAATAAAAAAGAAATACCTTTCTGCATATAAAAACCAGAAGTTCTACTTGTTAAAGAACAGCCTCTTTCTATCAATGGAAAAAAATAGTTTTCTAAAATTTTGCAGTTTTGCATCCATCACTGGCTGATATGCTCTAAACAAGTGAGAAAACCATTCACCCTTAGAAAAGCTGGCTGTCACCTAGTTTACGCTCTATATGTGAGTTTTCATATGTTCTCCTTATAAACCTGTACCATCATTTATGCATCATTTACCATAAAGATAGGACTTACTAATAAATCTCTTCTATAGAATGCTATAAAGTAATTTGAAGGTCTTTCATATTCAGTATCTCAAATGACTCTGCAGCCTTCATTTTGTCATAGTATAGATTATTTTGGATATGGTTTACTTGAGCCTTACTGTTATTTATCAACAAGACTCTGAGTCTATGAATATAAAGAAAAATTCTTAGCATCTGCATGGGAGGAATACGCAAGGCTCTTGCCTCAGTTCCAGTTATTGAAAGTTAACACCAAGGCAGCAAGGCTTTTAAAGCTATCTACACTCACAGTAAGTTCTCAGCAGTGGCTGCTAAAGCCCATGAATCCAGAGGTGGTAAAAAACATTTATGTTGCATTATCAGCTCAAAGTGACAAAAGGCAAGTTGCAGTGCCAGGGCGAGTGTTTCATTAAATTTTCCAGTGAGTTAGCACGTGGAAAAAAGAATTGATACATGGTTAACGCTAGCATGTGAAAGGCTGTGCTCTGCAGATCTAATAGATCCCAAATATAAGTAGTATCTACACTGATAGAAAGAAGGGTTGGAAAGAAGCAGTCAGAGAAGTTGTATCAGAGATGATTTACTCTTTTATTGGGTTTACTGTTATAATTTTGTTTTATGGACTAGAAAGAAATTAAAAGTTTTACAAGGAAAATGAGAGGTTATCACTCAACTTCTTTTGTTTTGTAACAAAACAAAACAAAAATTGGAAAAAGTAAGATAAGTTTAAACATTTATTATCCTTTAGCAAGTTTGGTGTTCATTAAGGACACCTACCATGGTCAAAAAAATCAGCTAAGCAAGGGTAAAGTGTAGCATTTTTAGACCTAATTCAGCAGTCTTCAGACAACATTCTCTAAAGGTGCTGCTCACTTAGTTTTGCTCTTTCTGGACAATCAGAAACTTAACTATGATACTTCCATAATTTCATCTCTTATATCCCTGGGTCCTATAACTCTGAATTTAATACAAACTCTATAGAGGTTTCTAATGAGAATTATGTATTGTAATGCATACCTTATTGAAACATAAATATATTTAATAGCTTAAATATAGCCTGTGAATTTCTGGTGTTGACGTCTATTTTCTTCTCACTGAATATCCAGGGACAAATCCCAATCAATGCAGCAGAAACTGACCTGACTTCTCTTGAATTGTTCTGCTGATTGTTTTGTTTGCTTTTCCTGACCTCATTCCTGTGTGCCATTTGGTTCTGGGTTCTTAGTCTTTGCAATGCAAATGCCCAGTGTTAACTTTAAATGCAGTCAGTAAGGAAGCCTTGTTTCTTTCCAAAATGCTCCGAAAAAAAATGCTGGCTGTCTGCTTGACTTGTTAAATGGGAAACTGGTTTTTGTCTCTAAGTTGGCCCTGAAGCACTCTCTCCAGCCTGCTCTGTGATGTCTGTGTTCTTTTTCCAACTCTGAGGTGAGGAGAAGAAGTGATCTGATCCCCAGGGTGAAAGAAACACTTCCTTGTTGGAGACAAATGAAAACATATCTCCTGCTGAGGGGTGCCTTGTCATTTCTTATGTAACAACATTAAGCATGTTTCCGAGGAAAGGGGCTGGGATGTTAATGCTTAGCTACTTCATAGGCTAAGTCATCTGGGACAGAGTACATGTTTCGGGCACAAAGATGGGGGAAAGGTGTTGAAGTAAAAAGAAGTTGCGCAGGAATGTCAGAAACTACTTGCTTTTTAAATTACTCAGCATTTACTAAGCAACAACTTTCCATATGTAATATGATGAGTATGGCAGAGAATTAAAGATGAATTAGACCTAAAATCTTTATTCAGGGAGCTATGGGAGGAAAAAAAAAACTCAGATACATTAATAACTTTGGTACTAAGTAGAAAGACAGTCAGGGTCATTAGTGAGAAACTGGTTGGTGTCAACCAGGGTGGGGAGTAATAAGCAAAGACTTTCTGGAAGAAATGGCCTTTGATTTGGTCTCTAAAAGGTAAGAACCTGTGTGTGCAGAGGTAGGAGTTTGAGGGTCAAAGTGGTTTAGTGCTAAATGGCCTTGCACATATAATAGTATGTAATTATATTTGTTTAATGTATATTGGATGGAAAGAGGATAGTAGAAAATACGTTTTATAAAGTAAGTTTGAGAGAGATGGCATAAGGCTTTGAATACCTGGGAAAGGAATTTAAATTTTATTTTCTAGAGCAGGCTTTCTTAACTTTTAATCTCTTCCATCAGAATCTCCTGAAATGCTTCTTAAACAATCATTTTCATATTCATAGGCCTTACACTAGCATCTCGATTACTAAACCGGTAACAATGGAGTTGGTATTCTGAATTCTGAATAAGTTTTTAACATATAAAAGTTATTATTATACTCACTAAAGATTAAGAACTACTGATCTAAGGTGCATGGAGTCACTGAAAGTTTTCTTTTATTCAACAGTTAGAATAAAAACCTGAAGAGTGCTACAAATGAGAAAACTATAGAAGTGATCGCTTTTCACTAGAACTAGTTATATGATCAATTAAGCTTTCTGTGCTTAATTTACTGTGCTTACACTAGGGGCTATTGTGGGAAAACTCATAAACTTAGTTAAGCATATTATTACAAGTTGCAGATAATAAATGGTATAAAAATTCAAAGAAGGAAAATATTCGCAAGATAAGAATAAGTTGATGAGGTGTCTGTGCTGTCAGGATTTAAGCTGAGCCTTGAAATATGATAGATTCTAGCAAGAATCATAATATCCCTATATTCTGTCAATGAAAGCACAGATGATCATTTGTTGAGACTTTTTCTTTCTAACATTAAACTCATGGCAGGAATTATCATGTGGACTCTCATAAAAGTGACATTGAGCAATATAGTAAACGACATCCTCAGCAATGGCTTGGCTAAAAGTGAGTAATGGTTGTGTGTGGCTATTCTTTATTTAGACTTTCAATGAAAATCAAGGCAAAACATTAAAACACAACAAAGGCATCATTTGAGGAAGTCAAACTAATAAATCTCAGGGATTTCAACCTCTAGTAACTTTATTTAGAGGATGTGAGACTGAAGTCTGTGTTATATAACCAAATAACAGATATTTTGTGTTACTGTTTACAGAAAGATCCATTCCCCCAAAAATTAAAATATCAGACAGTAACATTGACATTCCCTGTGCACATCAGAAGTTTGTATGTGCACACTTAATGAAAGGAGGGTCCCACTTCAGCATTAGAATCCCAGTGTTTTTCCTTAAAAAAAATTTTAATACATTACCTTGGACAACAATTCATTGAGCACAGGGTTCCATGTATAAGATAATTTATGTGGGCCTAAAATATTTTGGGAGCGTCAGATGTCTTATCCATAAGAGAAACCCAGTGTTAGGTCAGAATTGTTCCTGATTTTGAGCGGTGCTACAAGCTGATTGGCTCACCAGGATGAGTTGGGTATGAAACATACTCCTAAGTAATAGGATGGATTGACTTGCTGGATGGAATTATTTAGTACTGTCCATTTTACTACCTGAGGACTCCTGCCAAAGACTACAATTTTAAATTTAGTGGAATTGATGTTAAGCTGTTCTGTCTGACAGTAATTAGCTAAAAGGTTTTATTGCTTCTTTAGGTTGCTCCTAGCTCATGATATAAAACCACGTATTCACTAGAGGAGAGGCCTTTTTGCTATGGCATACGGGCTGGTATCCAACTCATCTAGAAACAGAATCAAGCTATTTAAATGTAACTTAAAAGAGAAAAGGGGCTGTGCAACATAATCCTTTTAAATAACTGTTTAGAATTAGAATGAGATCAGTCCAGAGACTCTTCTCACTCTGCTGCTAGTGTGGCAATAATACTGTAATACAGGAAAAGAAGAAGCATAAATATTCAAGGGTCTATGCTGAGATCAACATTTTAGCTTAAAAGGCAGTTCCTGCTTTCTCCCTGTCTGTTGCAGAAGAAACTGACACTCAGGAAGATGACAACATTGCAGACACTGATGTTATTATTTCAAGCCCTACAATCATGAGCCAACAATAATTGTCCATGACTTTAACAAGCATGAAGTCAAATGCCGAGAGATCACTGAAGGCTCTGAAGAGTCTTGCATTATTGTTAACTTGGCAAGATATAATAGTATAGAATGATCAGTAGTGTGAAAGTTTTTCTATAATGAACTGGTTCTAAGCTATAAGGCTGAGAAATGGCCCAGTTGAGGTAGCATTTTGAAGAGATAGCTGAAAAACTAGTGATATTTGAAGACAAAGCAAGATTCCAATGTTGAGGGTGGGGTAAGCTACTGCTATGATCTGAACGTTTGTGTGTCTTCAAAATTCATGTCAAAACTTAATCTCCATTGTGTGATTTTAAAAGATGGGGCCCTTAGAAGATTATTAGATCATGGGGGCTTGGCCCTCATGAATAGAATTAGTACCCTTATAAAAAAGGTTTAATGGAGACTTCCACTTCTTCCACCAAGTGAGGACACGGCAGGAAAGCACAATCTCTTTTTTTTTTTTTTTTTTTTTTGAGACGGAGTCTCACTGTCGACCAGGCTGGAGTGCAGTGGCCCGATCTCGGCTCATTGCAAGCTCCGCCTCCCGGGTTCACGCCATTCTCCTGCTTCAGCCTCTCGAGTAGCTGGGATTACAGGTTCCGGCCGCCACGCCCGGCTAATTTTTTGTATTTTTAGTAGAGACGGGGTTTCACCATGTTAGCCAGGATGGTCTCGATCTCCTGACCTCGTGATCCACCCACCTCGGCCTCCCAAAGTGCTGGGATTACAGGCGTGAGCCACCACGCCCGGCCAATCTTTAAAGCAGAGAGCAAGCCCTGATCAGACATTCATTCTGCTGATGCCTTGGGTTCTTAGACTTCCTAGACTTCAGAACTGTGAACAATAAATTTCTGTTTATAAATTACTCAGTCCATACTATTTTGTTATAGCAGCCTGAACATAGGAAATAGACATGAGGACTTAATTACACCAAATAATCTGGAAAAGATTGGAACCTTCTGCTTCAGACAAAGTCTAGAGCACTGGCAGCTAACATTCTTTTCATGATGGTTTTTCAGCCTAAACTGACTAGCCAAATGTTTTCAGAACAGATATAGTTTCTGTATCCAAAAAGAAAATAAATCTGAGTTCTACAAAATAAGAATAAATATTAGACAGAAAAAAGAATGGATTTTCTTAGTGGGTTATTAAAAATAATTATAATTTTCTCATTTTTCCCATAGGATCATGTCATGAATGACATGCCAAAATATATATTGTTTTACTTGATAGTCTTCCTATATATATATTACACATATCATATATTATAAATATAATTATAAAATTTAAATTTATACATATATTTTTATATATTATATAACTTTCCACTAATAATATAAAGTTTCCACTAAAATCTAATAATTTTCAAAAGTGACTTTATTAGGCAATTTGAATTTTTAAAAAAATTTGTGTGATTTCCTCTGAATTGTAATTGAAATTTTATTATGCTCAAAATGTTGTTTAACTTGTGGACAAACTTTTTTGACTCTAAAGATAGATTGGTCAATTCCCTTCCATCAGGTATGAGACTATCGCCTTTGTCTACTTTGGTGCTATGTGGAGAATAAAGAAAAACTTCCTAGACAGAGTGTAGTAATACCTTCTTAATATTATATTTTTGTTTATAGAACCCTGGAGAACCAGCCAAGTGTGGTGGCTCACTCCTGTAATCCCAACACTTTGGGAGGCCGAGGTGGGCGGATCACGAGGTTAGGAGTTTGAGACCAGCTTGGCCAACCCCATCTCTACTAAAAATACAAAAATTAGCCGGTTGTGGTGGCACGTGCCTGTAGTCCCAGCTACTGCGGAGTCTTAGTCGGGAGAATGGCTTGAACCTGGGAGGTGGAGGTTGCAGTCAGCCAAGATCACACCATTGCACTCCAGCCTGGGTGACAGAGTGAGAGTCCGTCTCAAAACAAAACAAAACAAAAACCCTGGAGACCCTTAATTCATTTTTGTGCCCATATGGAGACATCAATATTGAGGAGCTTAAAGGATTTAACATGGAAGTGATCACTTTTTATCCTGCCTAAGATGGAAATAGGAAAACAGGTGGTGATTCCTAGTCATCAAATAAAGCTGCGTCCTTAATAAGAGAACTATGGAAATGCCCACTCTTTATTCCCTAAAGTTCCACTTGGTAATTGACTGCCATTTAATAAAATGAGTTTGTAATTATATATGGATTTGGCTAGTTGTTTTTTTTTCTTTTTCTTTGATGAACCCTCTAGGCCTACAGAATAATCTATTCCGAAGTAATCTTTCAACCGCAAGTTTTCTATCAGTAAGAATTTGGCAGAATTGTTGCAAACTCTAGTATTTAGGTTACACATAATTGTCATTAAAGGGTAATGAAATTTATCATTATAACTATCAAGTTATAACTGAACATTATAGGATTCTAAATGGATATTACCTGGAAGGAAATAAGACATGATCTTGGTCATATCAACAGTTAGATCATCCAAATAACAATGAGTCTAATAGGAGATATTCAACCAGTGCAAATCTCACAAGGTCACCCCACATATATCCAAGAATGAACAATTAAAATATCTGCTAACACTTAATATGCAGGTAGTGGAGAAATGTAAACTTAAGAGAAGTTTATTGAGTCAAGTAATTTGTGTTGATTTACCCACCATTTTTCAGATGTTTGCAGACAATTTAATTCTGGTCTTTGGGAGTTATACCCTCAAATTTCCTAAGGGGTAGGAGTAGGAGTTGGGAATATCTTTCGTTCTTTGGAGCTTGGCATTGCTTATTTCCTTGATGGTTTGTTTGTTGTTCTGACCTAGTGCTCTAATTAGCTGTTGAAGGAAAAGGCTCTTTAGGGAAGTCACTGAGTGAGGTGTAACTAAGCCCTGACAAAAGGGGTTAGCCTGTGGCTGGTCAAAGTGGGATTAAAGTAGTGAGGAATCAACCTGAAAGTTTACAACATCAGTAAAAAGCATGTATGAGGGAATATCAGGGTATGGAAACTTCTCAAAGAAATGTTGATCAAAAGCTATGTAGTCTTTCATATTTCCTGTATCGTGCCAGTTATGAGGCTCTTGTCTCTCAGCTTCAAATGTACCCTTCCATATTCTGCTTTGTGATTTTGAAATTCTGCAAAACATATTTCTGCTTTGCCAGCAGGCTTTCTGTTAGACCCTGTCAATAAGAGGTGCTGGAAAAAGACAGTAAGGCTTGAGGAAGAACACATTCCTTTCTGCTCGTTACCTTAGCCTGTTTGTACTTCCTGTTCTTGTTACCGTTGTGTCAGCCATAATTTTTTTTCACCTCAGTAACAGCAGTTGATTTCAGCTTGCAATTTTTTCCAACACTCAGAGACAGAATCTGTTCTGCCACCCTTCGGAGGCACCAGCAACAGCTGACAGTGTCCATGAGAGGCCTGGATCCTAGTTCCCTGGACCCCCAACTCCAAGCAGAGACATCAGTGGTGGCTGAGCACTGTCCAATTAGAGGTCCATGTTCCAGTACTGTGGGGCCCTTTCTCCTAGATTTTATTCTTTAATTCCAACTCTTTTGTTTGTCTTCCCAGCTCTAGAAATAATACCTACTTCTGGAAATTGCCACTTCGAGGACACATTAGTTTTCCTTTTTGCATTTTTATTTTTCAATACTTAACAATTATTTACACTGAATTATCTTTATTAAAATAAGTGGTGTTTTTAATTCTGTGACTGGATGCTATAACTGATACATTCCTTGTCTATTACTCAAAATGGCTTTTTTTTTAAGAGGCTTTCCTCATTTGGGAGTAAACAATGAAGAAAATTAACAAAATAAAATATAGAATGCAGAAAGAAAAATAAAATTATAAAATCGTTTTGTTTCTTAGAAGATCATATATAGTTCTTGCGGGCGCACGGCACCAGGACTGGCAGGCAGCTCCACCTGCAGCCCCGGTGCAGGATCCACTGGGTGAAGCCAGCTGGGCTCCTGAATCTGGTGGGGATGTGGAGAACCTTTATGCCTAGCTCAGGGATTGTAAATACAGCAGTCGGCACTCTGTATCTAGCTCAAGGTTTGTAAACACACCAATCAGCACCCTGTGTCTAGCTCAGGGTTTGTGAAAGCACCAATCCACACTGTATCTAGCTACTCTGGTGGGGCCTTGGAGTACCTTTGTGTGGGACACTCTGTATCTAGCTAATCTGGTGGGGACTGGAGAACCTTTGTGCCTAGCTCGGGGATTGTAAACACACCAATCAGCGCCCTGTCAAAACAGAACACTCGGCCCTACCAATCAGCAGGATGTGGGTGGGTCCAGAAAAGAGAATAAAAGCAGGCTGCCCCAGCCAGCAGTGGCAACCCGTTTGGATCCCCTTCCGCACTGTGGAAGCTTTGTTCTTTCGCTCTTTGCAATAAATCTTGCTACTGCTCACCCTTTGGGTCCACACTGCCTTTATGAGCTGTAACACTCACTGCGAAGGTCTGCAGCTTCACTCCTGAAGCCAGCCAGACCACGAGCCCACCGGGAGGAACGAACAATTCCAGACTTGCCGCCTTAAGAGCTGTAACGCTCACCGCGAAGGTCTGCAGCTTCACTCCTGAAGCCAGCCAGACCACGAGCCCACCGGGAGGAACGAACAACTCCAGACGCGCCGCCTTAAGAGCTGTAACACTCACCGGGAAGGTCTGCAGCTTCACTCCTGAGCCAGCGAGACCACGAACCCACCAGAAGGAAGAAACTCTGAACACATCTGAACGTCAGAAGGAGCAAACTCCAGACGTGCCACCTTAAGAGCTGTAACACTCACTGCGAGGGTCCGCAGCTTCATTCTTGAAGTCAGTGAGACCAAGTTCCGGACACATTCTCAGGGCCAAAATGGCTGACTAGAAGCAGCTACAGTGTGTAGCTCTCAGGGAGAGGAAGGAAAGGGAAGAGTAAATACAGCACCTTCAACTGAAATATCCAGGTATTCACATTGGGACTGACCAGGGAAACAGCTGGACCCACAGAGAACGAAGAAAAGCAGGGCAGGGTGATGGCCTGCACGAGAGTGACACGGAGCCAAGGGAACCTCCCCCTCCCAGGGAAGTGGTGAGTGAATGTGCCAACCCGGAAAACCGTGCTTCTCTCATAGATCTTTGCAAGCCTCAAGTCAGGAGATACACTCCCAAACCCACTGCACCAGGGCCTTTGGTCTGACAGACAGAGCTATGTGGAGTCTCTGCAGAGCAGCTGCTGAGGCACACACAGAGATGCAGGAGCTTTACATACTCTGACCCTGGGACCCTTGGCAAAGGTGCCTGCCTCTCAGGCAAGGAGGGAAGTTGGATTCAGGAAGGGAACTGAATTCAGGAGGCCAAGCAGTGTAGGTCTGTGGGCTCCATTTCCACAGTGCCTCATAGGATAAGATCCACTGGCTTGGAATTCCAGCCAGGAACCTACCCTCCAAACACCCCCGCCCCACCCACAACAGTTTTGCACCTACCTGGGATGTGACAGAGTTCCCGGGTTGGGAGTGTAGGGGCGGGAGGCCACCATCTTTGCAGTTTGGATAACTCAGCCTTTCCAGCTTGCAGGTTTAGGAAAGTCCAAACCAAACTGACTGAGGATGGAAGGGACCCTCCCCCAGCACAGCAGAGGTGCTCTACCTAAATGTGACCAGACTGCTTCTTTAAGCAGGATCCCCATCCATTCCTCATCTCAGGGCAGAGCCTCCCAACAAGGGCCTCCAGCCAGCCCCACCCATATTCTCCAGCAGACAAAGTTTTTATTTCTCCCTGGGATGGAGTGCCCAAGGGGAGAGGAGGGCCAACTTCTTTGTGTTTGGACAACTCAGCTGTTCCAGCCTGCAGACTTAGGAAAGTTCAAACCATCTGGGGGCAAAAGGGACTCCCCCAACCCCCAGCACAGCACATCTGCTCTACCAAAATGCAGCCAGACTGCTTCTTTAAGCAGGTCCCTGATCCACTGCTTATCTCTGAGTAGGACCTCACAACTGTGGCTTCCAGCCACCCCTGCCCATATTTTCAGGCAGACAGTTTTGATTTATCCGTGGGATGGAGTGCCCAGGGGTAGGGACGGGCCACCATCTTTGCTGTTTGGGCAACTCAGCCATTCCAGCCTTTGGGCTTAGGAGAGTCCAAACTGCCCGCAGGTGGAAGTGGTACCACAGCATGGCACAGCTACTCTATGAAAGTGTGACCAGACTGCTTCCTTAGTGGGTCCCTGATCTGTTCATCCTCACTGAGCAGGACTTCCCAACTGGGCCCTCCAGCCACTCCCACCCACATTCTCTGGCTGACAGAGGTTTCAAAACTTCCTAGTATAGCATTCCTAAAGGGAGGGGTGGGCTACCATCTTTGCTGTGTCAGCAACTTAGCCATTCCAGCCTGTGGGCTTTGGTGAGCCTAACTGAAGGGGGAGAAGGGTATGATGGGAGGGAGGGGCAGAAATGGTGCCCCAGCAAAACATGGCTGCTCTACTAAAGTGGGGCTAGGCTGCTTCTTTAAGCGGTTCCCTGATCCTGTTCCTCCTGGCTGCTGGGTGAGACCTTCCAACCAGGGTCTCCAGCCATCTCCTACAGGTACATCCCTGCTGGCAACAGGTGTGTACACTCCTGGGACAGAGTTCCCAGAGGGAGGGGCTGGCTACCATCTCTGCTGTTTTGCAGCCTTCACTGGTGATACGCCAGGTACTGGAAAATCTGTGGTGACTAGGGACTGGAGCAGACGCCCAGCAAACTTCAGCAACCTTATGGAAAAGTGGCCCAACTGTTAAAGAAAAACCAAAACCACAACAACAAAAAAAACTCATCCAAAGGCCAGCAACCTCAAAATGAAGGTAGATAAGCCCATAAAGATGAGGAAGAATCCATGCAAGAACTCTGACAAGTCAAAAAGCCAGAGTACCCTCTCTCTTCCAAATGACCACATCACCTCTCCTGCAAGGGTTCAGAATGGGGCTGAGGCTGACATGGCTTAAACAACAGAAGTGACTTCAGAATGTGGATGATATGGTTTGTCTGTTTCCCCACTCAAATCTCATCTTGAATTCCCATGTGTTGTGGCAGGGACCTAGTGGGAGGTAATTGAATCATGAGGCCAGGTCTTTCCCACGCTGTTCTCATAAGAATAAATCTCATGAGATCTGATGGTTTTATAAAGGGGAGTTTCCCCTGCACAAGCTCGCTTCCCTTGTCTGCCACCACGTGAGACATGCCTTTCACCTTCCGCCATGATTGTGAGGCCTCCCCAGCCATGTGGAGCTGTAAGTCCAATTGAACCTCTTTCTTTTGTAAATTGCTCAATCTTGAGTATGTCTCTATCAGCAGTGTGAAATGGACTAATACAGTGGATAAAAACAAACTTCACTGAGCTAAAGGAGCACATTCTAACTCAATGCAAGAAAGCTAAAAATCACGATAAAACATTGCAGGTGCTAACAAACAAAATATCCAGGATAGAGCTGAAAAACACAATACAATAATTTCATAATGCAATCAAAAGTATTAATAGCAGAATAGATCAAGCAGGGGAAAGGATCTCAGAGCTTGAAGACTATCTTTCTGAAATAAGACAGGCAGACAAGAATAAAGAAAAAAGAATAAAAAAGAATGAACAAAACCTCCAAGAAATATGGGGTTATGTAAAGAGACCAAATCTATGACTGATTGGTGTACCTGAAAGAGCTGGGGAGAATGGAAACAATTTGGAAAACATTTCAGGGTATTACCCATGAGAACTTCCCCAACCTTGCTAGACAGGCCAACATTCAAATTTGGGAAATGCAGAGAACCCCAGTAATATATCTCATGAGAAGATCATCTCCAAGATGTGTAATCATCAGCTTATCCGAGGTTGAAATGAAAGAAAAAGTGTTAAGGGCAGCCACAGAGAAAGGCCTGGTCACCTACAATGGGAAGCCCATCAGACTAACAGACCTGGCAAACCACTGGTTTAAGTCCAAGGGTCCAAAAGCTGAAGAACTTATAGTCCAATGTTCAAGGGCAGGAAGCATCCAGGAAGGAAGAAAGATGAAGGTTGGAAGACTTAACAGGTCTTCTCTTTTCATCTTCTCCCTGCTTTATTCTAGCTGCACTGGCAGTTGATTAGGTGGTGCCCACACACATTAAGGGTGGGTCTGCTTCTTCCAGTCCACTGACTCAAATGTTAATCTCCTTTGGCAACACCATCACGGACACACCTATGAACAATACTTTGCATCCTTCAATCCAATCAAGTTGACAATATTAACCATCACAGGCAGTAATAAATAGCCTACCAATGAAAAAATGTCCAGGACCAGATGGATTCACAGCTGAATTCTACTAGATGTACAAAGAAGAGCTGGGACCATTCCTACTAGAACTATTTCAAAAAATTGAAAAGGAAAGGCTTCTCCCTAACTCATTCTATGCCAAATGATGCCAAAACCTGGCAAAGACACAATGAAAAAAGAAAACTTTAGGCCAGCATCTTTGATGAGCATCAGTACAAAAATCCTCAATAAAGTACTGGCAAACCGAATCCAGCAGCACATCAAGAAGCTTATCCACCACAATCAAGTAGGCTTCATCCCCAGGGTGAAAGGTTGGTTCAACATACATAAATCAATAAATGTGATTCATCACATAAATAGAGCTAAAGACAAAAATTATATGATAATCTCAATAGATGCAGAAAATGCTTACAATACAATTCAACATCCCTTCATGTTAAAAATTCTCAATAAACTAGGTATTGAAGGAACATAACTCTCAATAATAAGCACCATCTATGACAAACCTACAGACAACATCATACTAAATGTTCAAGAACTGGAAGCATTCCCCTTGAAAACCAGCACAAGACAAGGATGCCCTCTCTCACCACTTTTATTCAATATAGTATTGGAAGTTCTAGCCAGAGTAATCAGGCAAGAGAAAGGAAAAAAGGCATTCAAATAGAAAGAGAGGAAGTCAAACTATCTCTGTTTGCAGATGACATGATTCTGTGTAAAGAAAACTCCAAAGTCTTGGCCCCAAAACTTCTTCAGCTGACAGACTACTTCAACAAACTTTCAGGATACAAAATCAGTGTACAAAAA
The DNA here is from genome assembly GCF_000001405.40 of Homo sapiens. Lineage (NCBI taxonomy): Eukaryota > Metazoa > Chordata > Mammalia > Primates > Hominidae > Homo > Homo sapiens. The sequence goes on from NC_000001.11 coordinate 79,274,680, forward strand.
TCACTAGCATACCTATACACCAATAATAACCAAATTGAGAGCCAAATCAGAAAGGTGACCTCATTCAAAATTGTCACAAAAACAAAAAAATATGTAGGAATACAGCTAATCAAGGAGGTGAAACATCTCTACAATGAGAATTACAAAACACTGCTCAAAGAAATCAGAGAAGATACAATTGAATGGAAAAATACCCCATGCTCATTGATAGGAAAAATCAATATCATTATAATGGCTACATTGCTAAAGGCCATTTGTAGATTCAATGTTATTTTTATGAAACTGCCAATGACATGCTTTACAGAACTAGAAAAAATTATTTTAAATTTTATATGGAAACAAAAAAGAGTAGAATAGCCCAGGCAATATTAAGCAAAAGGAACAAAGCTGGAAGAATCACATTACCCAATGTCAAACTATACTACAAAGCTACAGTGACCAAAATGGCATGATACTGGTACAAAAACAGGCACATAGGCCAATGGAACAGAATAGAGAGCTGAGAAATAAGGCCACACACCTACAACTACCAGATCTTTGACATAGCTGACAAAAACAAGCAATGGGGAAAGGACTTCCTATTCAATAAATGGTGCTTGGATAACTAGCTTGCCATATGCAGAAGACTGAAGTTGGACCCTTTCCTTAGACCATATACCAAAATTAACTCAAAATGGATTAAAGACTTTAATGTAAAACTCAAAACTATAAAAACACTGGAAGGCAGCCTAGGCAATACCATCCTGGACATAGGAACAGGCAAAGATTTCATGACAATGACACCAAAAGCAATTGCACCAACAGCAAAATTGACAAATGGGATCTAATTAAACTTAAGAGCTTCTGCACAGTAAAAGAAAATATCAACAGAGTAAACAGACAACCTAAAGAATGGGAGAAAAATTTTGCAAACTACCAAACTATACATCTGACAAAGGTCTAATATCCAGTATCTATAGAGAGTTAAACAAATTTAACAAGAAAAAAGAAATTTAAAAATGGGCAAAGGACATGAACAGACACTTCTCAAAAGGAGACATATATGCAGGCAACAATCATATGAAAAAAAGCTCAATATCACTGATCAAGAAATGCAAATTAAAGCCACAATGAGATAGCATTTCACACTAGTCAGAATGGCTATCATAAAAAATTTTAAAAAAAATTAAAAAAAGGAACCCCGATACACTGTTGATGGGTGTGTAAATTAGTTCAATCATTGTGGAAAGCAGTTTGGCAATTCCTTAAAGACCTAAAAGCAGAACTACCATTCTACATAGCAATCCACTACTGGGTATATACCCAGAGGAATATAAAGCATTCCACGTAAAGCTACTGTTCACAATAGCAAAGACACGAATCAACCTAAGTGGCCATCCATGACAGACTGGATACAGAAAATGTGGTATATATACATCATGGAATATTATGCAGCCATAAGAAAGAATAAGATCATGTCTTTTGTGGGAGCATGAATGGTGTTGGAGGCTATCATCCTTAGCACACTAACACAGGAACAAAAAATCATATACCACATGGTCTCACTTATAAGTGGGAGCGAAATGATGATGGACACAAAGAAGAAAACAACAGACACTAGGTTCTACTTGATGGGGGAGGGTGGAGTAGGGAGAGGAGCAGAAAAGTAACTATCGGGTACTGAGCTTAATGCCTGTGTGATATAATAATATGTACAACAAACGAAGTGTTTATGTAACAAGGCTTCACATGTGCCCCCAAACTTAAACTAAACATTGAAAAAAACAACAATAACACATAAAAAATAGTTCCCTTAAAAAAAGAAAATCATATATACACTTTAGACAGAGAGATGTGAACTAGATAGATACATAGAAAGATATAGATGTAGATGCAAACTTATATAGCGATATGAATATATGGATAGTGTTATGGGTTGAATTGTGTTTTCCAAAAGCGTACATGTTGAAGCCCTAACCTTTAGTGCCTCAAAATGGGACTTTATTGGAAATAAGGACTTGGTAGATATAATTTGTTAAAATGAGGTCATACTGGAGTAGGATAATCCCCTAGTCCAATATGACAGGTGTCCTTATAAAAGGAGAAATTTGGACACAGACATGAATGAGCATTGGGAGAATGTCAGGTGAACACGAAAGCAGAGATTACAGTGATATATCTGGAAGCCAAAGAACACCAAAGACTGCCTGAAAACTACCAGAAAATAGAGGGACATGGGACATATTCTCCCTTACAGTCAATTGAAGGAACCACATTTAGCTACCAGAACTGAGTGTAAACTGAAAATAAAATTCTAAGCCCCCCAACCAATTGAATGGACCCCTCCTCTTGGCCAAGGGCATTCCTAAGATAACACGAAAAACTAGTTCGGGCTAACTAGATGAGGTTAATGAGGGTCAGACATACCACATTATACTCTACTTCTTTTGGATTTCAGGCACAGAAGGCCAGCATTTAACATTAAAACAGACCTTAAGACTGACAAAGCAGACTCTCTGTAGCAATAAGATACCGATATGATAGATAAAAGGCCTTAAAAGAAATCAAAGTATTTTACCCCAAAATATATTTATTTGACATATTTTGAAATGATCCTGCAGAGGTGTCTCTTCCCTTTTCCCTTCCCTTTCCAGGTTTTTTCCCTGATCCAGGAGAGAATTAACTAAGAGTCTGGCACCTTTATAAGTCTGATAAGAAATATTTACAATATATTCTGTCTGAAGCCTGCTACTTGGAGACTTGCTTCATCTGCATAATAAAAATCCTGATCTCCACAATCTTTTGTCTTAACCCAGACACTCCCTTCTATTGATTCCAGATCTGTTTTGTTTTGTTTCTGTTTTTTGAGACAGAGTCTCACTTATCACCCAGGCTGGAGTGCAGTGGCATGATCTCGGCTTACTGCAACCTCTGCCTCCCAGGTTCAATCCGATTCTCCTGCCTCAGCCTCCCAAGTAGTCAGGATTACAGGTGCATGCCACCACACCCAGCTGATTTTTGTATTTTTGGTAGAGACAGGGTTTCACCATGTTGGCCAGGCTGGTCTTGAACTCCTGACCTCAAGTAACCCACCTGCCTCGGCCTCCCAAAGTGTTGGGATTACAAGTGTGAGCCACTGCACCTGGCCAATTCCAGATCTTTAGATAAACTCTTTCAACCAATTGCCAATCAGAAAATCTTTGCAACCACCTATGACCTGGAACTCCCCAGCTTTCCCCTGCCCCTTCAAATTGACCTGTCTTTCCAGACCAAACCAGTGTACATCTGTACATCTTACATGTATTGATTGATGCCTTATGTCTCCCTGAAAACCAAGCTGTGGCATGACCACCTTGGGCATGTGTTCTCAGGACCCTCTGGAGCTGTGTCACAGGCATGTCCTTAACCCTGGCAAAACAAACTTCTAAGCTAATTGAAACCTGTCTCAGATATGTTTTGGTTTACAAGAGAAAATACATTTCTCTTTCTTAAGCTACCCAATTTGTTGTACTTTTTTTAGGGCAGCCTTAGCAAACTAAAGTAGATAGTTATACGAGCACACATATACACTCCAATGTAAAAATAATAGCATACTTCAAAATAGGATGAAAACAGTAAGACAGTACAACTGTAATGATTTGACTTGGGTTTCTTTCAGTGTATATTGATATAACAGAAATGAAAACTGATTCTCATTGAGAGGGTATTCTCCAATTGAGCATCCATGTTGTCATGACATATATGAGGTTGAATCAGCTAAGCTCCAAGCTGAATAAATCCCTGAAACATAAACAATTTCTATTAGGATGTCTGTGTGCCTGAACCCAGATCCTAAGTCTCTTACCACATTTACCCTTTGTTACTCACACCACAGGGATTCTCAACTCTGAAAACTCTAAAAACTTTCCTGTTCCTGTTTAGGTTTCTAAACTTTGTATTCCAAAAGAGCTCTGATGAGGTCCAGCCCAAATTCAGCTTCTCTGACCTTAGTTCCTTCCCACTTTTGCACTATACTTGTCTGTATTGTAGATTATTTTCCACAAAACTCTTTGAGATCTTCTGTAACTTCTCATCCTGTTTTTCAAATTCCATCAAAAACACTTTGCCTCCTATTTTATGAAGAAAACAAAGGCTGAAATCTAAGCTCATTCTACTTCCTCCACTTTGCCTTTCCTGAGGTTGATTGATTGGTTACTTTAATAATCCTAGATTTCCTGCTTAGAAAGACCATTTTCTTTCTGAGTTCTCATCTTGCAATTCTAGGTTCTCTTTAACCGCAGGACGCTAACACATTTATAGCTCTATTTCTCTTATATTCAGTATCTCCATTTCTCCTACCAACAACATGCATTCTGCTTATCCTAGAGTGTCTTTCCTGTACCATCTTATTGGTTAAGACAAAGTAATGAGTCTGGAGCAGGTGAGGAACAAGTCATATAATAATAGAAAAAGATAATTTGACTCCATGAAGCGAATTAAAAATAATTTACCCTCAAGTCTTTATTTCATAAATAAAGAAATCAGGCAGATAAAATATCCAGCCGAAGAAGTTTTGTTTTGTTTTTGTTGTTGTTGTTTTAAAAGTATTCTTTGAAAAATCTCAAAATCATCTCTTAGGCAAACCTGCAAGTTAATCTATCAATTGACGAAATAGGCAAACCTAAAAGTTAATCTATCAATTGACAAAAATAAAAAATAATTCAAGAAAAGCCACTAAGGAAATGGGAGTTTGAATGCTGAACTAGATATTAGTTATTTTTCAAAACATGTTATTAAACAAATATTTATTGGCTAGAATATGTAAGGCATTCTGCTATGTACATTATACGCACTACCTTGTTTGACTCTCACTGCAACTCTGTGAATTAAGTAGTATTATTATTCCCATTCTAAACATAAAGAAACTCATGCTTAATTTAAGTAACTTGCTGTGGTCACAAAGCTTGTAGATTTATGAATAAGGACTTAAATTCCATTCTATCCAGCATCAAAGTTCTTCTCTGACCAACAGTTACAACCAACACTACCTACCTGGCACTAAACTCAATTATTTTTCCCTGACCATGTGGTTAGATAACTAGGGAGTGTGTGTGTCCTGTGAGTCTACTGTGATGGGGTGGAGGAGGAGGGAAGGTAAGAAAGCTGTGGTGAGGCATGAGAAAGAGTGCATATTTGTTTTCAAAGGGGAGAATGAATTTACTCCAAGCCACCATCCTTAAATGTATTTCAGAGATACTTTTCTTTCCTTTCTTTCTTTCTTTCTTTCTTTCTCTTTCTTTTTCTCTTTCTTTCTTTCTTTCTTTCTTTCTTTCTTTCTTTCTTTCTTTCTTTCTTTCTTTCTTTATTTCTTTCCCTCTCTCTCTCTCTCTTTCTTTTTGTTTGATGGAATCTCACTCTGGAGTGCAGTGATGAGATCTTGGCTCACTGCAACCTCCTCCTCCAAGGTTCAAGTGATTCTCCTGCCTCAGCCTCCTGAGTAGCTGGGACTGCAGGTGGGCACCACCACTCCTGGCTAATTTTAGTATTTTTAATAGAGACGGGGTTTCACCATTTTGGCCAAGCTAGTCTTGAACTCCTGACCTCATGATCCGCCCACCTTGGCCTCCCAAAGTGCTGCGGTTACAGGCATGAGCCACCGTGCCCGGCTGAGATACTTATTTTTTATGTGACTTGACGAAGTTTAAAATTCAGTTTTTAGTTGTGAAAGATTGTCCCATCCCAGATGGGAATGATATTTCTAACCACGGCCTCATTAACACCTTCCCAATTAAGTTTAAAATCTAAAAAGAGTGAGAAATATTCCTAAACAGCAAAAATATTTTGATTCATGTCATAAAAAAGGAACATATTCAGAGAGTAAAAAAGCACTTATTGATGCTCTTAAATCTTCAGCCATCAAGGGGGAGAGTCTCTGAAGCATGGGAACCAAACAAGAGGTCACATTGATTTCCTGCCAGCGTTCACAGGTTAACCACCAGAAACATGGCAATGATTATCAATGGGACTGTATGCTCTGTAAAATAAGTAGCATCAAGGTTATTTAAAATTTTCCAGGCTTCTCCTCTCCATCTTGAAAGCTGTTGGTATGCAATACAATTTTCAAGGCCAATGTTACCTACTTCAGGACAGGAAAATAAATGTGAAGCTCTATAGCATTATTTGTCGGTCATATTCTATAAAGAAATTTGAAAAGTTTAGTTCTTCCAGAATTGCTTTAAACCTCTAGGGAAGAAAAAAACCTCATTGGACATCTGTTTGCACAAGAACTTAATTCTCCTTAGAAACTTGCCACTAAATACTTAGGTGGCTTTGGCAAATTTGACAGTAATCTTTTTAAACCATAGTTTCCCCATTTGTAACATGAAGAGTTAAGGGATCAAATTAGTTTTATTACTTTGTCCAGGTCTAAAATGTCATAATAAATACCATGCCATGACAAATAACTGATGATATTTTAACTCATATGATTCATACCATGTCACTAGATTTTTTTCAAATTCCATTTATGCCGAACATAGAAGAAGAAGGCAACTTTGAGACACAGATCACTTGTCTTCAGGATGAAAGACAAATTAGATTTCCAAAAATTTCTGTCTTCCCATTCCTGGTTTTCCAGGGGAAAATGGCTGAGGGTGAGCACAGGGAACATCACTAAGGGAGGCAAATGATGGTGGTAGCTGTAGTGAAATCCCTCTTCTGATCATGATTGTGTCCCAAGTGTTTCCCAGTGTAAGAGGGAGGCTCAAATATGATATTACTGAACACTTCTGGGATGATTAACAATATAAACGCTTGTAGTTTAAATTCTCATCCAAACCTCTATGTGCCCTCTTCGTTACAGAGTTGGTGGAATAGTGCTCATTCTACCCCACCTGAACTACATCTTTACTCAAAATTTTTGTGCGCCTCTTCTGTATAGCTTTTTACCAACACGGACTGAATCTTATTTTTAAAGTCTAAAATAAAGAAGTTATTACTATGTCAGCAAAAACAATTATTCACAGATTGTGAGGCTAACATATAAATCAGTCAGGAGTCAATTGGAGAAGTAAGAGTACTAAGATATATATACACACAAACACGTTATGTATTGTAATTGTCCTACTTATAAGTAAATGTATGCATATGTTACTGTATGTATGTACGTATGCATATGTATACATATGCACATGCATACATACATATATATAAGTATACACACACATGCATACATACACATGCACACATACACACACAGAAAGGATTCTGTTACAAGGATTTTACCTTACACAATTGTAGGAGCTGGCTAAGCAGTTTCTGTAAAGCTGTCATCTGTGCATCTGATGCTGTTGGTACTTGAAGACTACAGGGCAGGCAACAGAAAAGGAAAGATGAATGTAAAACGGAGAAGTGCAAGAGCAAGCTAGAGCCCACAAGCACAAGTTGTCTTGGCATGGATTAAACCTCATATCAGTCTTGTTGCCTCTGATCTTGAGGGTATGGCTGTCCTGCAGATTCTGGGCTCCTTCTTATGAAGCTAAAAATACACCTGGCCCAGAATTGAGAAGAGCTATAGGAAGATCTAGAGGAAGATGAAACAGCTGGAGGTCTGGTCTCTGGCTTACACTATGGTGAGCAGTGTGTGTGTGCTACAAAATGATCGCAACTTCACTTTCACCTTCCCACAAGATCTCCCACAAGAATCTCTCTTGTGACCCATGTTTACCAAAAGCAAACTATGAAAGGGATTTTTAGGAAATGAAATTCAGCCTAGTTAAATTGAAATGTTACAAAGCCACTATTAAGATGCTTTATTGACAACAGCAATATACTGCTAACATAGGAATTATGCCTTGCTGAAAACTGAGCATGTATCAGGCATTCTGCTGGGTAGTTTATATAGATGATTTCAAATAGTCCTCATCTTACCAATTGAGCTAAGTATTCTTATCTCCATTTTAAAGATGAGAAGACTGAGAACCAGAGACAATACAAACTCTCTGAGATAATAGGGGTAGTATGATTTTAGAATCTTTTTCTGTCTCACTCTACCATGAGTTTATATGTTTTAATTATTCCATGTAGGATGGAGATGATGGTAATAACCAGCATCTAATCATGAGTACTATTTTGGCAGGTGCTGTGCTGAGTACTTTACATTCACTACCTTACTTAAACTTTACATATCTATGAAATAGATACTTTTATTCTATTTCACAGATAAAAGAAGAGAGGATTTGATAGGTTAAATAAACTTTCCCCAAATCACAGAAGTGGTAAGTGATTGACCCAGAACTGTGTCCAAATTTGTCTAGCTTCAAAGCCAATGTGCTTAACAGATGTCAGGTTAATGGACTTAAGTCTAATATGTACTTTTGTTTGTTTAAAATGTTCTATACCCAAAAGATATAGGTACAGATTTAAAAAATAGTAGCAGAATGAAATTCTCCAATCTCTTTCTCTCTATCTCTCCATCTAATCATCATCTCTCCCAGTTTAAAAAAGTAGTTTCTCAGCATCTTGGAAGCCCTCTGAGTGCCTCTCCCCAATATTATCATCCACCTTTCTCCCTAGAAGTAACTAAAAACATTCACATTTTATTAATCATCTCCTTTTGTCTAAAGTTTTACATGTCTATTTAGTTTCATTTTATGTATTTTTTTGAAATTTAAATGAAATAAACCATGTCATATGCATTTTTCTGTGACTTCTTTAACTCAGAATTAAGTATGTGAAATTCCTCTAACTTGCTAGTTACTGTAATTGATTCATTTTCCCAGCTGCGTAGTTTCCCAGTATATTAATGTATTACAAATATGTGTCCATTCTGCTGTTGATTGGCATTTGGGTTGGAATATTTACTGTTACAAATAATGATCCTATTCACTTTTTAAAAACCTGTTTATTACTGCATGTACTCAAGTGTTTCTCAATGGTGTTTTTGCAAGAGTGGACTGCTTGAAGTATAAGGCAAGCACATTTTCAAATACTAAGTAGAGGCCGGGCGCGGTGATTCATGCCTGTAATCCCAGCATTGTGGGAGGCCGAGGGGTGTGGATCCCCTGAGGTCAGGAGTTTGAAACCAGCCTGGCCAACGTAGTAAAACCCAGTCCCTACTAAAAAAAAAATACAAAAAAAATCAGCCGGGCGTGGTGGCGCGTGCCTGTAATCCCAGCTACTCCAGAGGCTGAGGCAGGAGAATCGCTTGAACCTGGGAGGCAGAGGTTGCAGTGGTCCAAGATCGTGCCACTGCACTCCAGCCTGGGCAACAGAGCAAGACTCTGTCTCAAAAACTAAACAAAATAAAACAAATTTACTAAGTAGTGTCAAAATCTTTTTGAAAATGATTTAACGCTTTGAAATTTCTACCAACTGTGCTTGAGCATTCCCATGACTCTATGTACTCTCTAACATGATATATTCAACCTTTTAATTGTTGACTGTCATTCAATATATATGATTTAAAATTTTTAATTTGAATTTTTCTGATAATAATATTGAGAGTATTTTCATGTAATATGAGTCATGTGTTTATCTTCTAAGAAAAACTTTTTTGTCTTTTGCTAATTTTTCTAAAGGGCTCTTTATAATTTTCTTATTGATACATAGTTTACTGTTATATGCATGTGTTAGAAATGTCTTCTCCTGGGAAGTGCTTATGCTTTCATGGGAACTTTAGATTATAACAATTCCTTAATTTTATAATATCCTAGTTTTTCAAATTTTCTTCATGATGTGAGTGTTATATCTTCCTAAAAAAATTTGTTTTATTATACATATTAAAATATTCTACTTTATAGAGTTTTAATAAAAGTTTATTGCTTTGCCTTTTACATTTCGTTCTTCAATTCACCTGAAATTATGTATTTTCTGAAGTGGGAATCCAATTTAAAGTTTTTCAGATAAAAAGCTAGCTTTCAGCCGGGCGCGGTGGCTCATGCCTGTAATTCCAGCACTTTGGGAGGCTGAGGCGGGCGGATCACCTGAGGTTGGGAGTTCCAGAGCAGCCTGACCAACATGGAGAAACCCCGTCTCTACTAAAAATACAAAATTAGCTGGGCGTGGTGGCACATGCCTGTAATCCCAGCTACTTGGGAGGCTGAGGCAGGAGAATCACTTGAACCTGGGAGTCAGACGTTGCAGTGAACTGAGATCGTGCCATTGCACTCCAGCCTGGGCAACAAGTGCGAAACTCCATCTCAAATAAAAATAAAAAAATAAAAAAAATTAAAAAGCCAGCTTTCTCAGTGCCAAGTTTTCATAATCTATCCTTTCCCTACTGACCCCTGATGATGGCTTTGACACAAATTATATTTACACCTTTAAGGAAGTATTTTCCTACTGATTTGCTGATAGTTTTCTCAGGAGTGAATGTTAATTTTATTGGACACTATTTCTACAACTATCGAGATGGTTTGCCTATCATAATTTATCAGAATGGTAAATTATATTTATCATTTTAAATGCAAAATTGTCTTTGGTTTTGAAATAAACCCATATTGTTTACAATGTGTGTATATGTGTGCTTGTGTGTGTGTTTTAATACTATGTTAGATTTCATCGGGAACCATTTAGAGGTTTTCCAGATCACAACATTTTCATGAATTTCAAATACAAACCCAGATGCGGTCTGAATTTTGGTTACAAATTTTTAGAGTAGACTATTTTTTCCTACCAGTAAAGACCATTGTTACTGAATTTCCACTCTGAATGGTGTGTCTACTTCTTGTTTATATCGACAAGATATCCCTTTTGGTTCTCAGATTTATGAGGTGGTTTTCTATAGGACTTTTCACCTTCAATGGGCTCAAGGCTTTATCTTCTGTCCCAGTTACCTTAAAGCTGTCAAAGGGGAAACCGAAGTCATCTAGGGTTTATTTGAAGTCCTCTGACTTCCTGTGTTCATATTAATTCTGGATTCTGTGCATTTTTTTTTCATGCTCTTTCCAGTCTCCATGAGGAGAATCATCTAGGACATTTAATCTAGCAGAGGGCTAGCAACAGCATGGTCTATATATTCAATTCAAATTAATATTGATATCTCTCAGTGATTGCAACTCCTAAAGATTCAAGATAATGAAATTCTGAAGAGCTGAATATATATTTCCTATGATTTTAATTAAATTAGTAAAGACACTAAGAGTTTTTTGTTATAATAGCAACTCCCTAATCATATAAAGCTGCATTATTTACAAATGATAGCACAATTTTCACGAGGTCAGCACTAATTAATATAATTCCTAGTGTTAACATTGTTTCTATCATCTGATCTACTTTGTTTGAACCTCATCGTTTCCACATCTTGCCACTGAAGCTATTCTAATTCACTGAATTTAATTGCATCTCTTTTTCTATGTTTGAAATATATTTTTCTGTTGATATCTTAATGGTGACATGGTGGCTTTTAGAAAGAATTCTTAATCAAAATGTAAAAAGGCTGCAGTTTGCTTTTATGTGTTGCATGTGTACAATATGGCAAAAATGACTTCACCACTACATAGGCTTACGTTATCTTTATTATCAAAAAATAGGACTAATTCAACATACTTGTTCCCAAGAACTAGAGCTACGTCTTTGCATAAAAAGCTAGATATTAGTCAAAATTGCTGTATTGCCAACTCTATGGAACAGAATAACTGGCATCAGGTAGTATGAAAAGAAAGACGTAATAGATAAATAGATTGCAAATATTGTTAACTCAGTACCTTTCTGCAGAATGACATCACCTGAGAAATTTTGTTAGCTTAGCATATCAATTGGCCTATAGTCATATTTGTGACTTCTGAAGCTTCTGTATTGTCCTTACCTGCATCCTCTTCCTCCCATCCTAACTTTATTGACTAATTAGTGTTTTCTCTTTCACTGAGTTGGGAGGACAATAGATTCTGCCACTAACAAATATGTTCAGAGTTTATTTTGTACTTACAAATTAAAGATGGAATGGAGAAATCTCCAATTTTAATTAGTTATCTTTCTGGCTGATTTTTTTCATTAAGTTTTCTCTCTTTTCAGAAAGTGCTTTCTGAATATAATTCAGTAGGTGGGCTATTGACTATTATCATGTCTGGCAGTAGAGTATTACATTAATGCCATGCTCAGTTTTCTTGATCCTAGATAAGAAGGGGAAAGAGAGATCACTCATTGGTCTAAGGTTAAGGCAGAAACATCAGGGGCAGGTTGCTGAATTTTATGCTGGGTATTTTTACTTTTGAGAAATCACTTAACCTCTGCTTTGATTTTTCTAGTTGTAAAGTGGGGTGTTGAAGAGGTTATACAATTTATATTCCTAAAGTACTCTTAAAATGGAAAATGCTGTGCAGGGTGTTAATTATCTTGTCGTGTTGTTATTAATAATAATTTAAGTCATACATTTTAGAAAACGACCATCATGCCATTTTTTTGCAACCCAGCTGATTGTTTTCCCCAAAACAGCATGCATGTTAGTATAACATAAATTCAAAGTATATAAAACATCTCTTCTGTAATTGCTAGAGGTGGTAGTATCTAAACAACTTGTAAGCTTACATTATGTTAAGAGAAAAAATAAAGTAAAACAGATAAGAAGACATGCAGACCAGTAATACCATAACACATGTATGGCTGTGTGTGCACGTGCACATATGTTTGCTCTGCCAACTAAGAGAAATGCTGAAGGGATGTTATCTTAATGAAGGAACTAGGTCAGCAATCCTCAGTTTATTTTGACAAACTCTGCTTTCTTCTGTCAATTCTCTTCCTCGTAGGCCAAACAGGAGGAGAATTTCAAGTGACTTTACTGTTTTGTTCAGGCAATAAAGAGAACACATAGGTATGTAATACCTCAGGGTACTGACAGCTCACGGGCCAAGTAATGGAACAGCTCCTATGCGTAACTCCGTTTCGGTTATAAAATGACGTTAAGAGCAGCAGCATTGGCAGGATTCATGTGTTTTCTATGCCATCTGAGAAGAAATGCCCTTTCACGTGAGAAGAAATTACCCTTCTTAGAGTTCTTTAGGACATGTAGCAGGTAGGCTATGTGAGTAATCTTGAAAAGTTTACTGGACATCTGTTATCAGAAGGAGCTTCATTTGTGTAGACTAAGATAGATGTAAAATACTTCTGGAGTATCGCCAGAGTCAGATATAGAGCCTAATCTGCTCATTTCAGCTTGAGCCTATACTAATTTCTGTCCCCTGTCTCCTCAGACAACATTTATCTGAACCACAGATTTTGAATCCTGAAATTCTACTCTCTGTTGCAAATCACTGTGCTTGTTTTAATGGAAAAATTATATGGTAAGATATGAAACTTGCTGAAAGCCCTTAATGTCTGAAAGTGGAGATGAGGTATGTGCATAAATGATTGCATGGGTTGAATGTTTATTTTCAAAAAACTCCATATCAAATGGCTTTTGTTGTGTAATAAGTCACCCCAAAACTTAGTGCTTCACAACAATTGTGTGCTTGGCTCACATTTCCAGGAATTGACAATTTTGCACTAGATTCGGTTGATTTAGATCTGGGATTATTCACATGTCTGCTGTTTGCTTTAGCCTGGGGCCTCAGTTCTTTTCCACATGATGTTGTGTCCTCCAACTGGCTAGCTCAGGCTTTCTCATATTCTGTAGTGTTCCAAGAAAATAAGAGAGAGAACAGAGGAATGCTTAAGCACCTTTCTATCCTCTGTTTGTGTTACATTTGCTAATGTCCGACTGGCTAACACATGTTAAATATCAACCAGATTTGTCTCTTGAAGAAACTGCAATGTAACATTATAAGGTCATAAATGTAATTAGGGAAAGAATTTGGGGCCATTTTTACACTCTACCAACACTGAGGGGCAAAAAATGGAGACTCTTGGGAAAGCCAGATGCCATTTCATGTACTTTGTCAATCAAGCATATATCTGCATATATTAAAAATGTAAAGTCCAATTCCTTTTCTTTGGATCTCTTTCCCTTGAGATTTAAGAAGTTTGCAGGTGTCTTATCATGTCCCAGGGGCCATTTCTTGCTATCTCTAACTCTGCTGAATATAAAACTAGGGTGTACCTTCTTGAGGTTAGAAAGTCTCTACAATCTCTGTTTTTTTTAAAAAAAAAAAAAAGGAAAAAAAAAAGAAAAAAACCTGTCCTTCACCAACACCGAACACTCATAGTTTTAACACAGCTTCCATGCACAAAGAGGGTCTTTGCTTTCCATTGCTTGACTATTGCACGATGCCATTGCAAAGTAGATGGAATTGAGCTATGACAGGTCTCAGGACACCCTATTCCAAAATGCGGCACCTTGGCATACTAAATATTTTAAGCTGAAGGAGTTTGAGAATAGGCAGGGGCAGGAAAGACCCTGACCTTACCCTGAAGCAGGTCATATGTCCCTCATATGAGAGGTGCTCCCCAAATACCTGGCAGAAAGGAAAATTTTTATTCTCAAAGACAGAGGGACACCGACAGGAATCCTAACAAACAAGCCTCGCTAACCGCCCTTTAGTTTAATACACTTAGCTTGTACCCTTTTCTCTTATACTTTTCCATATCTTTCCATTCGCCATCAAATGTAGTATAAAATGCTCAGTTTAACCATTTCTTTGGATCTTCATTTGCTAATGAAGGCATCAAGTCACATAAAACTTATATTAAATGCTTTCCTTTTGTTAATCTGTCTTTTGACAAGGAGACCCAGCCAAGAATCTGGAAGAGTGGAAGGAAAAGGATATGTTTCCTCCTCTCCAGCTATCTGTTCTGATTGCTGCCTCTGTCCTTGCTGCAGAACTTCTTCAAGTTGCAAAGTAAAAAGAAATCAGTGCCTATGCTATCTCAGGGTGTTTAAACCTAAATTTTCAAATTTGTGCCTGTACTTCCAACATTATATCTTTTTATATTCACTTACATATTCACCTTACCAGAAAGTAAGCCTGGCCTCTTACAAATTCAGAACTACCATACATATCTTTTTCACCAGTGTAGCTTCTAGGTAAAGCTCAGGAACTGCATGATGGTTTTATTTTAAGGGCTCTGTTGCTGTTACCTGTGTTCAGGCCTAGTGCAGGGTCATCCTGGGACATCCCAAAGGGTATGGTAACATTAAATTCAAAGATAAATATGTGGTCTTGATCATTTCTTACCAGACTTTCCCTAGAATTCCAATGCCTACTTTCTAGGTGCCCTCTCAGCATCTTTTATTTTTCAATGTCTCTCTCTCCCTATACATCTTACAGCCACAAAACCAATTAATTACTAAATACCTACATTCTTGGCCACACCATACCACAAAAGTAGAATGGTTTAAGTTATAGAAGAGTTCATGGCAGAGATAAGTGTCCATGCTAAAGATAAATTATTTAAAACTAGGGGAATTAAGAGAAAGATTTTATGAAAATTATTATTTCATTTTTTCCTTTACTTGAAAAATGTATAATCTTTGGTTATTAAGAAAAAAATGGGAGAAGCTCTCTGAGTGGATAAAAGTGGAGCAAATGCATAATTACTAGAAGTTCAAGCTGTTTGGGCAGAAGAGAATGCTGGAGTAGATTGAAACTTAGAGTTTTTAAAGGGAAGAAAGAGGTGATAATTATTGATGGTATAAAAAAAGATCTTGTAGTACCTTGAAAGGTAGCCTAAGAGGTTTAAATTTTTCCATAGGGAGTAATAAAAGTGACAAAATCAGAGATATGGTTTAGAAATATGAATTAGAAAATAGCTTGAAGAGTGTACTCGAGAAAGGTATGGTTCATATGGAAATGAGCTTTGGGAAAGCTATCAAGGTAGTCCAGGGTAAAAAAACTTTTCAGTTCACTTATTTGCTTAATGGATGTAATAATATCTTGTTTACTTACCTTGAAGATTAGAAAAGATAATTCACTATAGTATCCAACACAGTACTTGGCACTTAAAAAGAAGGCTGTAATAATGGTAAATTGCTACTGCAAGTTTCAAATATCCCTATCAGAATATATATCTGGTTTCCAATGGAGTGATTCTAAACTTGTTAAGAGGACAAACTTTTTCTATGCCTTTAATGACCCTTTTCCCCCTTTATATTTAACACAATCTAAGTTCTCAGAAAATACTTATTGAATAAAAGGCACACCCACATAGTACACTATTGCTTTTATGTAGAAAAATCTATAATTTGACATAGATTTAGTTATTCAAATTTTAATATTATACACCTTAAACGTTTTAATTTTATTGCCTTTCTATGCTACTATGCAGGGTTTTTTACTTCCCTTTATTGTTGGAATTCTCTCACAAATCCAGAGGTTTTTGCAATCTGGAAAATAAAGTCAGAGGGAGGTTTTTATAACTGTCTCATTTTAGTGCCAAACCACATTTCAGGTTCTAGTTCAATTCATTCTATCGCGGGCCTTCTGCACAGACTCACTTTGCCTCCAGTTACCTGCAGCAGATAAAAATCGAGCCCCTTGTCTTCCAGCACACGTCTAGAACTGGTCTAGCCTGTTGCTTTCTGTTCTCTCTTCTCTCCTGACTTTCAAGGGCTTCTTGGCTTTCCCAGATTTATCTCATTTCTATAATATCCCTGTGTGCACATACTTTTATGACTTTGTCCTTCGTTGTTTTACTTGGATTCCATTTGTTATTTGTTCTCTTTGTCTGTACATCACATCCATTACTCTCTGTTTTATCTAGCGCCCCAGATCCACAGGAGCCTTACTAACTGGAAAGCCCTATTGACCTTCCAGTTGATGTAGGGGGATCAGACACTGTTAAATACTTTGTTCTGTCTTAAGGCAACAAATGTGAGAAGCGCCAGAATTAAGTCAAGGCTATAGGCAAATGTAAATGCCAATGTAACTTCCAGAAGAGTGGGATAAGCATGCCCACAGGTGGCACCCAGTAAAGGATGTCGCTTATTAGTTTGTACGCTCTGGGCTTTGGATTGTTGATGGTGATAGTATTTCAGAGCCTACCAAATCCAAATACGCCTATCTTAGGCTTGTGTATACAATTCAAATATGTTTAGAGACTCACTTGCCTACAGAGGCCATGCAGTTATCCTTAATAAATAAGATCGCTATTGTGTCAGAAAGAAAATAGAAAGTGGAGAAGACAGTAATAAATCAAGAGGATAATTCCGTAGAGAGCTGCCAGCTACTACTCAACTCCAGCTAATTGTTCCATGAGGAAATGCAAGCCTGAATATATGTAATATTCTCAACTTTTTAAAAAGAAGATCAAAATCTGCAGTTTTATATGGCTGAAGTGTACTTAAGACACTGTAGGACCAGTATTTTGTGACTGTAACCTCTCTTTTACAATAATAAGAAAATGGAGTAAAATTTTACAAAGACGTTACTCTATTCAATTAGGGATATTAAAATTAAATTATGATATAGCATTTACTCAGTAGTATAAGCATGCGTTTATTTACAAAAAATAAATATTATTCAGTGGAATTTGTTTTTCATTGTCAATTGATATATCTATTACAGCATATTTGGAAAATATTTACCAGATTTATTTTGTATTTCTCCTGAATAATTTTCCCCTATAGCCTGTTCTTAAGGGCAAGCCAAGAGGCTTACATCTTGGAAAGATGGATATACCAATTAAAGCGATGAAATCATTACTAGATTTTGACTGTCAAATTAGTCATTAAGGCCACTATGAATTTCTGAGTCCTTTGTTAGACAATTATTCTGGAAAGCTATGCATTACTGAGAGAAAAGAGGATTTTCTAAATTCTTTAAGCTCCATTAACATATCAAGAGCCAATTCTGATAGAGTCAAGCTTGAATAGCCAGTTTTATTCTATGCCAGGTAGAGAAACGAGGTTATGATGTACTAGAAATTCCACCTGCCAAAATAGAATGCAGAAACTTGACTGAGTTGGATGCAAGAGAATTTCAAGAGAAAATTTTAATGAAAGAAAACAGGTGCTAATATATAATTTTTCCCTCAAAGAGAATCCTCAAGGTGGTCTGTGAGAGAAATATCTAGATTAAGATGGAGGAACCTGGAAAAAACCAAAACTCTTCTCCAATAACATCACATTGTTTTGGTACCATATCTAGCATGACAAGCATTTGCTAATACATATGTATTTGAAGCAAATGATCAAAGAGTAGTTGTCTTGTTTCTTCATAGCCTGCACACATCGGGTTTCTATGTAGAAGATGTGTAGAATGATCAGAAGATTAACATCTTTTGGTCCAGATGAAGAACTCATGGTATACAAGGCCCATGAACCAAGGCTAATGGTCATGATCTTGAACTTCCACAGCCGATGTCTACAGGATGTCTCTTATGCTGACTGGCACCTTGGATAGGTTAGTGTGGAGTAGGAAAAAACTCTGAAAGACTGAACTTTTACCCATTAGAAAGTGGAATCTACTGGCTTAAACCTGAAAAGTCAAGGCTATCCTCACTTGTCAGTTATAAGTCCTTATTCCTTCCATCACCATTCAACAGGTTAGGAGCTTAAGAGCAAGATTATATCAATCGAAAATAAAATAGCTATTTTCTTGCACGCCTTAAGAATGATTTGTTAGTTATTGACCTTACCACATCTCTAAGTAATTAAAGAGCTTCTTAGATAGGGCTAACTCAATTGTTTCTGCTGGGAAATTGAGTTAATTTCCTTTTTATTTTAATTCTTAATGGTCTTATGCTTTGCTGCTATGTCCAACACTGGTCTTACCTCATGCTTGTTTGCTATAAGATGTTCCTTTCTAAAATTAAGGCATTTACCACTATTTGGGGGAAAAATCAACCTACAACAGTCCATATTTCAGATTTCAATTGTCGAATCCTCATCAACATATTTTATAGTTCCAATTGTTCAGTTCTTTGTCACAATAAACTAAGAATATTTTATTTCTTCATGTAGTTCTTGGCTGATCATTATATAAATCCTCAGTTTTCTGTCCTTTTTTTCTGTAGTTTGCCTGCAAATACCATAAAATGGGAGGATGAGGGGAACATAAACTTTTTATTGGTAGTGTGGAGAATAATTTCACATATCAGACTGATTTACAAGTCCCTGTTTAGCATTTCCCTTCACTGTGAACTCAAACCAAAAAATGTTTGGTCCAGAAATATGGACTTTATGGTACTTGTATAGTGCCAGGATAAAAAGGCTTGTTTAATAGTAATAACAGATTAGGAAGCTCTTATGTTGCCATTTCCTGACAATGTTCTATAGCTATGCCAACATAACATATGACTAAGTTGTGTGTCAGATTGGATGGGAACAGTAAGATATTGAGGATGTTTGGGAAAAGCAGCTCTTCAACACTAGGAAACTGTCATGGTAGAGAAAATCTGAGCGGGCAAAAAAAGCAACAAGCTAATGGGCTAAATTTATGATCAGGCAACTTACAGGAAAGGAAATTGGAATGAACAAAAGCAGATAAAGAAGAGAAACACTGTTGTGACTATATTTGGTACAGCCATTGTGGGGTGATTTTGTGGACAATAATAGTTTGAATGTGTATATACTCTATGACACAAGCTTCCACTACTGAGTATAGTAATACTCTGGAGAAATTCACACACATTGGCAAGGAAACATGTTCAACACTTCCAACTAGTTATTTCTAGTAACAGGGGATTAAATTTAAAAATAGTAAAATTACATAATGGAAAAGTTAAAACTTTAAAGAATTAATTCTCTTTCTTGTTTTTGTTTTTTGGAGATAGTATCTCTCTCTATCACCCAGACCGGAGTGCAGTGGCACGACTGTGGCTCACAGCAGCCTCTACCTCCAGGGATCAAGCAATCCTCCCACCTCAGCCTCCTGAGTAGCTGGGACTACAGCCACACGCCACCACACTCAGCTATTTTTTTTATTTTTTGTAGAGATAAGGTTTCACCATGTTGCCAGGCTGGTCTCAAATTCCTGAGCTCCAGTGATCTACTCACCTCAGCCTCTCAAAGTGCTGGGATTATAGTGCGTGCCACCATGCCTGGCCAGAATAAACTCTCTAGATAGCTAAATAGATGACTCTCTATAAAGGTATGTGTGTATGCATTTGTGTGTATATGTTACATATATACAACATAAATACATGGAAACCAATGTGAATAGCAACTTTTAGAATAATACATAAGGTATATTATGTGATACTATTTGTACAAGTGGTAAGTATAATAGACATTATTCATTCATACATATATAGATATATGGAAATTTGAAATAGAGATAAAAATCATGATAAAGACTGCCTCTGTAAAAACAGACAAGAAGATATGACACAGTGTAAGTCAAATAACACTTCTAATACTTCAAAATTATCTGTATCCTTTTCTTAAAATAATACTTGAAGCAAATTTGGCAAAATGGTTGACAATTTCTAAAAATTATTGGAGCATAAATGTTAGTTACATTATTTTCTTTAACATCTACATTTTAAAAATTTCTAAAAATAATTGATGGAATCAGAAATCCCTCATGATTTTCAGTTTTGAAAAAAATAGATACGGATTATACTATCTTCCAGCTCTTTCTAAGGAAAATGAATCTTAACTTTGTTATAAGATGAGCCATAGTAATAAGAATTCTGCTCCTTTGCTTCATGCCCCAAAGAAACCCGTTCCTAATTCCTTAAAAAGCACAATGAAGGAATTAATGTAGGATTTTTATCTCCATGCCTCTTTGAAAACTTGGGTAGCTGCTGGCATTCTTACTGCTAAGTAATTAGCTAAGGCAGCTCCTGCAAAGACAAGGCAGGTGCATCCATGTGATGGTGGCTCTGAGTTGACTTGTCCAACAAGTTGACACTGAATAGCTTGCATAAAACACTTTGCTCTGATGTTATTGCTTTAGAAAAAAAAATTGCTCCAACTTTCATAATCTCTGAAAACTCATGTAGAATTCAGAACACAAAAAAAGAATATGTGTAAATGGCTTTTAATTAACATAAATTTTGATAATTGTGTTCATGTGGATATGCACTTCACCCATCTCTTTAAAATACTTTAAAATGAATGGAAGCAGTATAACTCACTTTCTGAGACCCAAGGGGTTGAGAACAGTATGTGGCATGTTGCAGCTACTTAGTAAATATTTGTGGAAAGAAAGAGGAACAGAGTAAGAAATTTGTTATGAATAAACATGGAGACCAAAGTTAGATGCAATGCAATCAGCTTCATATTCAGAAAATGACTTGCATTGTAGTCATAAGCAGTAACACCTAGCCCAGAAAAACATCTTGTAAATTTGTGTGAAGTTCCTCCCAAGCTATGGATCTCTGAAATCTTAGGTGAAAGAGTGTTTGAAGGATACGTCGTTGGAAGAGAGGCAGAAGAGGAAGCAAAAGCCCTTATATTTAAGTGACGTTCCCCTATGGGGATTGAGTATTTTTATTCTTATGCTATGATTGATTGTCTTTGGATGAGAACCCGGGAACACCAAATGTGAAGCAGGGCATCTGAGGTCCAGGGAGCGCACTATTTTTATACTTTACAGAATTGTGAAAATCTAAGCAAAATGACTTCTTGTGACTCACATAATACTGGGCCCAGATTACAGGGACCAGCACTTCCACAGAGATATTTGAGGCCAAAAATGTAGATAAACCTCATTTTTTGACCCTCTGTAAATATCCCTGGGATAATACAACTCAAACATGCACTTCTTTAACAGTGGGATTTTGTATTTTCCCATTGCATTGCGACATAACCATGGTATGAGATCAACTGCCTCCAGAGAGCTGAGCATTCACAAAGTCAAATTTCACAGCCCTGTTAATTTCTTCATTTCCACATTTTAATCAACATTACACTTAGGAGGAAAAAATACAGTTACCATTATCATCTGAATATCGCTTTATTTTCTCTTTTAGGGTAATTTCGTGCATAGTCCCTAACCTGTCATTAAAGTGAATTGAAGTAACACACGAATATAAAATACCAGGAAACCTGGGTATGAAATAGTGGCTTTAAACTTTATTTTTGGGAAATAAGAGTATTTTCATATTGATATTTTCTAACTTTTTTTTTCTTTCTGCTTGTCTGTTAAGTTAGTGAGCAGGCTGTTGAACAATGGAAATTTTCCATCTGTAATGCAGAAATACTCTGAGATTTCCAGTCACTGAGTTTTTTCTGCTACACTGTGTGAGTTTTAAAGAGTAACTTACCTTGCCGGTGCCTGTTCCATATTAAATTTTATGTATAACAATTAAATTCCCCTCTGAGCCATCTGGTTTATTGGTTGTTTGAATTTACATTCTTCAAGTTGTCCTCCCAATTTACTCATAGTGGGACCAAATTTTCTCAGCTCGTTTTTCATAAATTCCCTGCATGTAGCCAGTCCAGTAAACTCCCCGCTGAGGTGGCTATAATGTGGCTCATACTTTTAAAGTTATATTTTCATGCATTATACCCCACAAGGAAATGCATGTAGTTCTACTTCTGTGCATGCAAGTAAATTGGGGCACAATCTACTTTCAGAAAAATCACCTTGCTGGAAACTGAGTTTACTCTGAAATTAGTCCCTTTTTCTCTTTTTGTTATAATTGTAATCTGGGAAGAATTCTGTTATATATGTCATAGAGGTCCTTTATTTATACTTTAAATTGGAACCTGTTCTGTATATATTCATCCAAATAATTCATTTTAAGTAAATGAAAAGAAAAAATAATTACTTTTCCTCCAAGCTTTTATTTTAGAAGGTTGGTTAGGTCATCAAATTGAGGGAAAATATCCAAGTTCAAAAATCAAACTTCTTTCTTGTTGAAATGTATATAATTTCTTATTCTTCATACATTTAAGCTGCATAATAGAATATGCAGCCTAAGTAATACATGAATTCAGTAGAAAGGAAAACTAACCAGACTTTCATGTTAGTAAAACCTGGTTGAGAGTTTAATATTTCATTAAATATAATTTCAGGTATTTATTTTTGTAATATGTACTTTAAGTGCCAACAACAGCAAATCAATCTCATCTTACATAATTTATAGTCTTTCCATGTGTTATATTTTCATTGATTGTTTTATCAACTTTTTAAAACATTTTTTAAAAAGAAAAAGAATCTTTCAAATATGCAGACTATACAGAATAATTTTGAATTCTATATATTTTTTTCTAAGCATTTAATAAAGCATATTACGTATATATAGATAATACCTATATTTCATATATGTATATTTCATGCAGATATGAAATATGTATATACTAAAGCCCTTCAAGAAATAATTACTAAACACCACAAATGCTGGGTACTGTGTTAGGTGCTAAGTCTACATTGGTGAATGACAGAAACAAAATTTTTTTCCCTCTTGGAACTTCACGCTAGTGAAGGGAGACAAAAAATAAGCAATAAGTATAATAAAACAATTTATACAGTATTTTAGAAACATATAAATTCTGTTATATAGGTACAGATGAAAGAGATTGAGGGTTCCAGGGTGGGAGTGGGTTTTCTGTTTTAGCTGGGGTTGGGGAGTCATGGTAGACACATGAAGTAGGAGACTGAGTCTTGTAAATAATGGGGGAAGAATGTTCCAGGCAGAGCAAAAAAACAGTAACAGGGTCTTATGGTGGGACTATTTTGAGACCAGGGAGGAGGACAGTGTGTCTAGAGTAGAGGTGGTCCAGCAATGGAGGGAGACATAGTGAATAAGAATAGAGAAATAAAGAAATGATACAAGTCATGAATGACTTTTTAGGCCTTTGTAAAGAGTTTGGGTTTTACTATTAACAAAAATAAGTACAATAATTTTGACTTAGATTTTAATAATATGCCTCATGCTTTTTGTTCTAATCCCTATCTCTTTCCTGAAGCAATCATATCAATAATTCATTGAAGATATTTCTTTTCCTTTTTTATTATTTCACTATTTAAAAAATTTATGACTTTATTGATGTACAATTGACAAACAATAGAACACATGTATTTAAAATGCACAGTTTGTTAACTTTTGACATATGTGTATGCAGTGAGACCATGAATGCAATCAATATAATGACATTTCTACCGCCTCCAAAAGTTTCCGCTTGACTCTTTGTAATCCATTACTCCCTTCACTGTGTCCGCAGGGAAACCCTGAGCTTCTTTTTTATCATTATAGATTATTTTGCATGTTCTAGAGCTTAACATAAATGGAATTATATAGTAGATACTCTATTTTTGGTCTGTCTTCCTTCCTTAAGGAAGGAAGAAATAAATTTTGAGACTTATTCGGGTTGTTGCATGTATCATTAGTTCATTGCTTTTTACTGATGAGTAGTATCCCATTGTATGGGTATAGCATATTTTGGTTATCTATTCAACTGTTGATAGACATTTGGGCTATTTCCACTGTTGGCTATTGTAAATAAAGCTTCTCTAAACATTGGTATATAAGTCTTTACTTATATGTATGAACATATGTTTTCATTTCTCTTTTAGAAATGGAATGGCTGCAGCATATGTTAGTTATATGTTTAGTATTTTAAGACTCTGCTAAACTATTTTCCAAAGTAGAGTGCCATCTATCTTACATTCCCACAGGCAACATGTGAAAGTTCCAGTTGCTCCACATTTTTGCCAACATTTTGTATGTTGATGATTTATTTGTATTATTTTTATTTTTTCCAGCTTTATTGAGATATAGTAGACAAAAATTTTATGTTTAAAGTATACATGTTTTGCTATAAGTGTACATTGTGAAATGATTACCACAATCCAGCCAATGAACATATTCATTACTTCAAATAGTTACCATTTTGTGTGTGTGATGAGAAAATTTGAGATCTACTCTCCTAGCAAATTTCAAGTTCACAAAATAGTATTACTAACTATAGTCAGCATGCTGTATAGATCTCCAAAACTGCATAACAAAACTTTTAACCCTTTGACCAACATCTCTCCATTTCTTCCACTCCACTTCTGCCTGCCCCCTGGCAACCATCATTCTACTCTCTGTTTCTATGAGTCCAGCTTTTTTAGATTCATCATGTAGATGAGATCATGTAGTATCTGTCGTTCTGTACTTGGCCTATTTCGCTTTGCATAATGTCCTCCACATCCATCTGTGTTGTCTCAAATGGCAGAATTTTCTTCTTTTTTAAGGATTAGTAATATTTCATGTTATATAGACACCACATTTTCTTTATCCATTCATCCACTGATGAACACTTAATTTCATATCTTGACAATTATGAATAATACTGTAATGAACATGGGAGTGCAGATATTACTCTGACATACTAATTTTATTTCTTTCTGGCATATA
The DNA here is from genome assembly GCF_000001405.40 of Homo sapiens. Taxonomy (NCBI): domain Eukaryota; kingdom Metazoa; phylum Chordata; class Mammalia; order Primates; family Hominidae; genus Homo; species Homo sapiens. The sequence goes on from NC_000001.11 coordinate 79,299,802, forward strand.
CTCAGAAATGAGATTTCTAGATCATGTGGGAGTTCTATTCTTAATATTTTGAGGAACCTCCATACTATTTTTCATAATGACTATACCAATTTACATTCCCATTGACAGTGTACAAGGGTTCCCTTACCTCCGCACCTTTGCCAACACTTGCTATAATGTTTTTTGATGATAACCATTTTAACATACATTAAGTGATATATCTTATTGTGGTTTTGATTTTCATTTTCCTAATAATTAGTGACACTTAGTGTTTTTTCATATACCTGTTGGTAATTTGTATGTCTTCCATTAATAAGTGTCTATTCAGGTCTTTGCTCAGTTTCAATGTGGTTGTTTCCTAGCTATTGAGTTTAGTTCCTTATATACTTTGGATTTTAAACTTTTACTTGATGTATGGTTTATAAATATTTTTTTCCACTCCTAGGTAAGTTGTGTCTTCTCTCTGTTAATTATTTCCTTGGAGCACAGAATAATTTTTAGTTTCATGCAATCCCATTTGGCTATTTTTGCTTTCACTACCCATCCTTTTGGGGTCATATCTAAAAATTCAGTTTACCCAAAGCATTGCCAAGAAGCTGTTCCCCTGTGCTTTATTCTAATAGTTTTACAGCTTCAGGTTGTAAATTTAAGTTTTTAATCCATTTTGAGTAGTTTTTTAAATATGTTATAAGATAGAGTCCAGTATCATTCTTTTGCATGTGGATATTCAGTTTTCTCAACATCATTTATTGAAGAGACTGTCATTTCTCCGATTGTGTGTTAATGACAACCTTGTGGAAAATCAGTTGGCTGGAAATGCATGAATTTATTTCTGTGCTCTCTGTTCCATTCGTCTATATGTCCATTTTTATGCCAGTGCCATACTCTTTTGTTTACTATGGCTTTGTAGCATATTGAAGTCAGGTAGTGCAATACCTTCAGCTTTGTTCTTCTTGCTCAAGATTGCTCTGTCTATTCCAGATATTTTGTGGTTTCATATGAATTTTAGGGTTGTTTTTACTATTTCTGTGCAAAATGCCATTGAGGTTTTAATAGGAATTGCTTTGAATATGTAGATAATTTTAGGTACCAGAAAAATATTAATTTTGTAATTCCTGAACATTTTCCATTTATTTGAGACTTCTTCAATTTCTCTCATCAAGGTTTTATTGTGCTTAGTGTATGGACCTTTCACCTCCTTGGTTAAATTTATTCTTAGTATTGTATTCTCTTTGATGCTAATAAAAATTGATTTGGTTTCTTAATTTGTTTTTTGGATAGCATATTGTTATTATATAGAAACACTTTTTCTTTGTATTTTGGTTTTGTATTTTGCAAATTTACCTAATTCATTTATTAGCTCTAATAGTTTTTATGATTAAGTCTTTACTTTTTTTGTACAGAAACAAATAAACTAGACTCAAAGCACCGATTTTTATCATTCTTCTTCTTATTTTATTGTCATTATTATTATATTAAAGAGTGAGTTTTCTAGTTCTAAGTGTAACATGCAATTATTGACTATACAGTCTTCTTATATCTTTTCCTATTTGAATGTTTGTTTTTTTCTTATTTGTATGACCTCTGCTGCATATCTTCTAAATATGAATCATTTTTAGTCAAAAGTGTGTCATAATCTTCTTCTAGTCTCTTGTATTTTAAATTAGTTTATGGTATTTATTTCTATCTTTTTGTTAGATTGACTTTCATTATCCCCATGTAAAGTTTAACAATTTTTAAAATATATTTCTATATCTTGTTTTAAATATTCTTTCTATTCTGAGGTAAAAAACATAAAACAAACTGTCGATGTGTTCATAAAAGTGTTGAATGTTTTTTCTCCTCTCTCCCAGACACTGAAAGTTTTGAATTTTCTTCCTCATTTAGGCTATTAATATGTAAGGAGTTTATCTAACTTTTTATTTCTTTTCCATGTAAAAAGCTGGTTTTCCTAACCACTTTGAAGGGTCCTTTCCCCAGTGATTTCCAATGTCACCTCTCATTTACCCAGGTAGTTGTTTTGTATATGACTGACCGTTTTGTTTATGAAGTTTCTGTGGGAAGAAAATCTTCTTTATCTTTGTAGCCATACTAATTAGCACGGACCAGTTAACAATAAAATCTTTCAAAATGGAATGTCATTTGAACTGGAGCTTGACAGAAATGGTACAATTCTCCAAAAGCACATGACTGGGTCATGAGTTTTTATCAAACTTGGTTTAGAAATATTTCTTGAAAGCAAATATAAATATAAGAACTATTTTCCTATCTACTATACCACTCTAAATTTCTTAGGGGCTTACATTTTCAATTTATGTTTGAACAACTATTAAACATAAGATCTTCATGTTAAAATTATTTTTGTTTATTCATTTAACAAAAGATATTGATTATTCAATATCTAATCTGTGATGCAGTATAGCTCAAGGCATAGGGTATAAAATCAGCCAGGTCATATTGTCTATCCTCATGAAGCTCATCATCTTTTCAGGGATAGGTGGATGAAGAAGTAACTTTGATATAATAAGTGCTCTAGGAGGGACATGTATAAAGGACAACAGAATATAATGAAGGAAGAGTTAACTTTGCAGTAAAGAGCCAGAGAAGTCTTCACCGAACTGATCATGACTTAGTTAAATCTCTATACGAAAATTTAAAGTTCACCAGGCAGGAAAAAAAAAAAATGTGTTTTCTTACCAGTGGAATTACAAGCACAAAGTCACAGAGGCCTGATGGCATGTGGCATGTTCAGGAAATAGCAAACAACCTTTTATAACTAAAGCAAATACTTCAGGTATGGGGAAGGGCGTTGAAGATTAATCTGAAAAAAATAGATTGGGATTGGATTTTGAAGAGATTTGTATGAAGAAGTAGGTCATAAATCTATGGGCAACAGGCAACCACTGAAATTTTGAAATAAGCACATCACGTGATCCGATTTTTATTTCAGGAATTAACTGATGTCAGGATGATGAATGGACTGAAAGACATAAAAACTAAGACTTAGTAAAGTTTATTTTCGTAGACAGAACAAGAAGCAGATTTCTGGGTTTCTGTAATAAAATCTTCACTTGTTTTCTTGCCTCTATCTTTGCCTCTTATAGAATAATCATGACACAGCAGCCAGAGCTATTCTTTTAAAGACAAAATCAGGAAAGCAAATCAGGTCATGTCACTTCTCTGCTCAACTCTTGCAATGATTCTTCAAATAGCTCAGAGTAAAAGACAAAGTCTTTATAATCAATAACGTACAAGCTCCCATCACCTGTCTGCTTTGGTCTCTTACTACTCTTTCCCTGGTTCCCTCATTCTAGCCTCACTGGCCTCCTTGCTGATTCTCATAAATGCCAGATATGCCCCATCTTAGGATCTTTGTCTCATAAATGCAGAGTTAATTATTGCTTTTAAATCTTAGCTCAAGTGTCACCCTTTCACTGAGGGCTTTCCTGGTTACCCTATTTGAATTGCAAACATCCATTTCTTCCTAGCGCTCACAATCCTCTATGTCCTGCTCTACATTTCCTCCCAAAGCATTTGTTATTCTCTAACATACTATTTAATTTATTCTTTAAATTATCCGATTGTCTTTCTCCCTTGCTAGAGTTTAAGGCATCAATCTTCTCCTTGGTTCAGTAATGTGTCTGAAAGTGCCTAGAACTTTGTCTGGCACATAGCAGGCTCTTAATTAATATTTTCAGTGAAAAAAATAAGGGTCTTAAGAAAGTAAGATAGTGAAAAAGGAACGGTTGGATTGAAGAGTTTTGAAAAGAATTTAGTGTAATTGTGGGTGGGACTTAGTAATTGATTTAATACAATCATTAAGTGAGATGAGAGAATAAAAGCTTTACCAATTTATCTGGCTTTGTTGAATCAGAGGATTATGGTATTAGTAGCCTATATTCTCTTATTTCTAGAAAAGGCAGAAAAGTTAGTTCCTTATAAATTCTAAAACCATGTAAAGACTATATAAAATATATTAAAGATTTTAAAACTCTCTTAAAATCTCCAGCTATACAGATACACATTGTCTTTGCTTTACTGTTTGATAAATATTTTTATTTTTCCTTGGAAAAGACAGAGAGACAGAGAAATAGAGAGAGCGAGATGCAAGAAGATAGGCTCTTAAATTATCATCTACCTTCCTCAAATACACAAATTAAATAAAGAGAAAAACAGATCCAAATTACCCTCTATTGCTCTTGTTTCTCTCTCTCTCTCTCTCTTTTTTTTTTTTTAAACTATGGGACCCTTGTCCTCATGATTCTGGTTATTGTGAACTTTAGCTCTTACATGGATGTAATTACTTGCTCTTGCAATAGTCTGGTGTCCTATAAGAGCATAGGGACAATGACTGCTATACTCTGAACAGTGTGGCCCCGAGGAGAAAAAAAGAGCTTCAATCTAGCTTGGATTCAACAGTTACTTTCAAGTTCCAGCTTTGTTAATTTATTAGCAACAAACCCTAAAGCAAATTATTTAACCTCATAAAGAATCAGTTCCTTTGTTTGTAAAATGATGCTATTGCAAAATATTGTGTGGTGAAGAAATGTAGTTTTTGAAAATCGTGAAATGCAATAAACGTGTAAGATACAGTCATCATTCTAAACAGCAAAGTGTGCTCATAGACAAGGAATCTGGCAGAGAAGTTAATGTTACTTGGTCTTTAGAAAACTATTCTATTTGTTGGGGGAGGGGAAGAAAAAACTAGTTTTACAATTTTTTCAACCAAGTCTGGTACTAGGTTCCAGTGTTATTTTTCTACTAGACAGTCACAGACAGAGTTGTCACATTTATATTTTTGCCCCAAAAGTTGCCTTGGGGTATAGTCACTCAGGGACCCCTCTAAACTTTATATTAGCTCATATCAGGATATTTCCTGACTAGAAACACTACTGAATGGCATCTCTAAGGGAGTTAAGTGTGTTTAAAAATTAATCAGTACTCTAATTTCATCTTCAGAATATTTGCTAAAATCTGCTAATGTGTAGTCATGAATATAGCATCATACTATTTCTTATTAAATCTAAGATTTGAGTTTTCCATCTTGATTATATGCTTGGAAATTTCAATAATCAGTAATCTTTTTTTTCTATAATTTTTCACTGCTAAAGTTTTTCTGATATTACATAAGGCAAAGTCAATAGTAATTTTTTCCTTTGTCTTTGTACTTATAAAAGTCAATAACTGGAGCAATAAGACATCATAGGTAAAACAGGACTACTTTGAACCTCAGGGAACTAAGGCATTTTAATGCAGTAGAAAGTCCACTGAACCAGAATACCAAAGGCTTACATTTAGTTCTAATCTGCCATTAGCTAGATCCCAGGCCAATCATTTTACCTTTCCGTGAATCAACTCTTTACCCAAAAAGTAAGCAAATAGACTACATAATTTGTCAGTATGTTTTACCTACAAAATTTTATGAAAATTATCTCTTCCTGGAAGAGGATGGCAACTAGTGGAAAAGGAATTGTTTTGAAAGCCTGCTAACTGAAAGTTAGCCAAAGATGTTTGAAGCAGATACTGTCCTGATAACTTGTAGCCATTGGAGAAGACACCATTTACTAATTGTATTAAAATTAGAATTAAAAATAGCAGCATAGAGAGGCAATTTTATTATATTTATAAAATTCCCTCTCTAGGTAGTATAAAAGTCAGTAGCCAGTGATATCTAAAAGCATGCACTTGTTTTGGCTTCCCTGTGAAACTATTTTTGATATAAGAGTTTGTCAGAAGAGATTAGTGGTGATTTATATTCTCTATTTCTAATTACTTTGCCCATTTCAGATCTCCTGAACAATTCTTGATAAAACTACAGTGAAAGTTTCACAAAACCTTCAATATCTATTTCTTAAGGATCTTCAGTTAATTCAAAACCAAAGAACAATCTGATATCCTGTTTAAAAATAACAATGCATGTCATACTAATTATTTATCTGAACAACAGAGGGTTTCAAATAAACAAGCAATAAAAGCAACATGTTAGGGGATAATGCGAAGAGTAACAGCAATTTCATTTTTAACCAATTCTGCTGATGCTATAATTATTATTAGTTTTTGGAAATACTCCTTCATCAAAGAACGCCTACTGTGGCATTCTGGCAGAGCCCATGTAGAGTTGACGATAAGCATTGTAAAAAGTCCCTATGCTTGTTTTTCTCTGGGAAATCAAAAACACCAACAGCTACCAATATGGATTATGAATAAAAACAAACAATAGCTCAGAGTAATTGTGTATGACCACTGTATTTTCTTTCATAGGCTCATTAATTCATCAGGAAACATGTATTGACAACTCTTTACATACCAGGTACAGTGCTCTAACTTAAAACTTTTCATGTTAGACCTTGGGTTATGACTTTACAGGCAACTAGGTACTTTTTTCTGAAAAGAATAACTATTTTTCTGGCATCTTCAACATGTGCCATTTATTGCTGTTTTTCCTGATGGTAACTTCACATAATGTTGCCTTATGTTGTACTTATCAATATTCTTAAAACATTTATTGACTCCATCTTGCTTATTACCAACTCATAAGCTTTCTGCATATTTTGCCATCATATTTTATTTCTGTATTGTCCAGAGCTTTACACTTGAGATGCAGTCATCACAGTTTGGAAGCTTGTGAACATGTTGCACTCCACAATTTACAACTTCATGGAGAAACTCATTTTTCCACAGTGTTCTTATTTTGAAAATCTTCAAACCAATTGCAAAGTTGAAAAAATAGTATGATATAAGTACGCAGCTAGTCTCCAGCTAGGCCTACTAATTGTTAACATTGTGCCATTTTAAGTCTATTTATACATAGATACATTTTAGCTAAACCATTTTTTAATAAGTTGCATAAACCATGACTTTACTTTTGCATGAAGCTTTGAAAAATTACAACAAAAAAAGAGTAGGACATTTTCTACATAATCACAATAACTCCATAATTATAAGTCTTGAAAATTAAAAATTGATCAAACAGATTTATCTAATTTACAGTCCATTATAAAATGACCTCAGTTGTCCCGGTAATGTCCTTCACAGCTGTTTCATTGTTTTGGTGTTGAGCCAAAATTCAATTAAGGATCACATGCTATAAGTTAACTGTCATAACTCTTTACTCTCTTTTAATCTAAAATAGTGCCCTGCTTTAAAAAAGATTGTCTTAATGTATTAAAACTTAAAGAATCCAAGGCAGCTGCTTTTGTGATATAATTCATACTTCTCTAATAATGCTACATAGCTGGTGTTGGACCCTGGTCAATGTGTTTCACTAGAAGTCATGTATCATAAGTCTGATCTATGATTGGTAATGTTTGTTTGCTTGTTTTTTTTCTGTTGGAAAGGCATTTTATGCCCTTTGTAATTATTTTTAAACCCTATTTTAAGTAAATTTGATATAAATCTCTTTTTCTTTTTGACAATTTACTAATGGTTTGCAGAAGACATTGATGACTCTTCACTGTCTTGAAAATATAAACATCTTCATACATCTATTACTCTTTTTGCGCTGGGTAGATCAGTTACAATAATCTTCTTATTCCCCCATGATTCTGTGTAGAATAACTTGAATTCTTGGGCATGCAATTGTGAAATCATTTTTAACTTTTGACCAAATGTAATATCTATTAAATTTTCTACAATGATTCCATCAATCTGTTAAAATAAAGCTGGAATTAATTATTGAAAATCAGAAATATTGAACAGAAATGAAGTCTAACTCTACCTGTCGCATGATACAAAATGTTAGCATAGTTTCTAATATATTCTTTCCTGGGAACCAAATCTTAGTAACTAGCAAATCCAGGATGACTGTTTCTCCAATATCTTTAATAGATGTAGTAAAACGGTAACACAATTATATACTGTTTTCCTAAGTAATGCTCTTGAACTATAATGTTGTATTTCCTAAGTTGTTGAACTCAAATATCTTTTCAAGAAGAGGACATAATTATTTAGCAGTTTCTTTCTTTCTTTCTTTCTTTCTTTCTTTCTTTCTTTCTTTCTTTCTTTCTTTCTTTCTTTCTCTCTTTCTTTCTTTCTTTCTTTCTTTCTTTCTTTCCTTCCTTCCTTCCTTCCTTCCTTCTTTTCTTTCTTTCTTCTCTCTCTCTGTCTCTCTCTTTCTCTCTAGAAATACAAGGAACTTCAGCTTTTTTTCCCTAGATTTTTTGTTTGTCTTACTTTTTTTCAAGGCAAGAAACTCATGGAGTGGTTATACACTCTTTTCCTAGGTCTATGCTCAAAACTAGATGAAGGACAGGCACCGTGGCTCACACCTGTAATCTCAGAAGTTTGGGAGGCTGTGGTGGGTGGATCACCTGAGGTCAGGAGTTCTAGACCAGCCTAGCCAACATGGCGAAACCCCATCTCTACTAAAAATACAAAAATTAGCTGCACGTAGTGGTGCACGCCTGTGATCCCAGCTACTCAGGAGGCTGAGGCAGGAGAATCACTTGAACCCAGGAGGCAGAGGTTGCAATGAGCTGAGATCACGCCACTGCACTCCAGCTTGGGCAACAGAGCGAGACTCTGTCTCAAAAACAAAAAAGCTAGATGAGTGTACCAACATGGTCAGAAGCTCTTTCATGGTTTATTACTTTGGCCAAAGCAATTACATTTTAGAAATAAAATACAATATTACAAATAAAATAACACAAATACAATGCAATATTTTTTGTGAGCATTCTGTACTTTGCCTATACCCTCACCAGTACTAGGATAAATGTATTGAGAAGATTGCCAAAAATCCTTGTCCCTGAGGGGAGATTCTCTTTCTGTCAATGAAGATGATGAACTATTTTCATTTTCTAATTTGAGAAGACAGCCAAATGCCCTGCTGGGTTTAATCTTCTCTATTCCAGAGTATTATTTGGATTCTACAGGCTACATCAACAATTTATGTGCCTTCATTTGATTAGCAGATTATGAGGGTGGAATGTATAAATGCACTTCTTCAGCATTAAGATTGGGAGCACATTTTCTTTAAATAAGAATTGTACAAAATGATGACTGTAATAAATAATAATCATTGTATATTTCAAAATTGCCAAAAGAGTAGATTTTAAATGTTTTTATCATTTAAAAATGATAATTATATGAGGTGAATTTGTTAATTAGTTTGATTCAATCATTCCACAATGTAAACATGTATTGAAACATCACATTGTGCCACACAAACCTATGCAATTACTATTTTTATTAAAAATAGTGTGTTTTTCTTTAAAAAAGAAGAGCGACACCACCTAGATTTAACAGTGCTCTACAGTGTAACAATTTTTTAAGAGATAGGGAATATCAATGAGAAATAGCACAATTCATCTAAATCAATGTGAGAGCCATCCTTTAATTTGATACCTCATCATTTTACATTTGTTGTTTTTAAATTAATAATTTCCCAAAGCGTTCATTTTGATCAAGCCTGTCATACTCTTCGAGTAATCAAGGTACAGTTAGCGTTCAATTTCTATGCCAATTCACTATCTTGAAACAGAGTGACGAGTAAGACATAGTTCAAACATACTCGGGTGATATCCAGAGTTGACAGAAGCAGAAACCTTATTTCCATTTTGTGTCTCTTGCATATCAATAATTTATAAATTATTGACCAAATGGCCTGCATGTCTTGGTTAAGACCTTTAATGAATGAAACAAAAAAGGAACTAGGGTTTAATTAAAGAAAGGCAAATTTGCTTGGGATTCATCCTCTATCTCCAATATTAGTGTAAATAACAATAATAATAAAAAAAAAACAGCTTCACGTGCCTTGTCTTGCAGGGCATGAAAGGTTCAAATAGAAAAGCAGCATGGTGATGGGGCTGACTGTTCCAGAATTGATGTGCCCGTGCTCCGTGAGGAACGCAGCTCATCTGTACCAGCAAATGTGTTGGCTCCTGCCTGCAATTGTATCATTCAGGTGTGCATTGTAAAAACAATTCACGGATAAGCACAGGTAAGCGTTATTACTCATGTCCTATCCTGGTAAAACCATGTAGTGTAGACATGCTGTGAAAGTGCTCACTTTTGTCCAAGTGTTTTTCTTTGGAAATTTTTTAACTGGTCCCTGTTCTGTGTTAGATTCTCGACTTCTTTCAGCAGCACTTTGAAATGACATGTAAGAAGGGGTATTATAGTGTTCAGTGTAAATAAGAAATTCCTTTTTAGTTAAAGTTTTAGGATTCTCTATCTTATTACCTCTCTCAACTAAAAAGTAATACCTCGAGTTCCTGATTGTGCTGTTGGTTGACTTTCTAATGTATTCTTTCCTTCTTTTTATATTTTCTTTCTTTCTAAACATAGTACAATGTCTCTAGCTAAAAAAGAAATGGGTAAGTCACAAATCTGAAATATATTCCTCAGTCATGAACTTCACAGGTAACCAGTGTTCATTACAGAGGCTGAAGTTTTTAAATTTTAAGAACACTTTAAATCAATGCTTTTTGAGTAGCACTGAGTAATTTGTGCTAGTTTTCCTCAGTCGTTTAATGACCCGTAAGTGAACTATTGCACAAAATAATGCAGTGTTCACTTATAATTTTCAAATAATTTTTTGCATGAATGTACTTTTAATTTAAACAGTATTATATAAATTAACATTCTGGAGTCTGAAACATTGTTCATTCCCTCTGTAATATCCCGGTTACAGACATTGAAATAATTTCACCTTTCTTAGATCAGCCTACTATAGCAATAACAGTGTCATTTGGTTTCTCTTTAAGGAAGCATACTGATAAATTTACAATATAGTTTGCAACTATGGCCCAACTACTAAGGATATTCTACTCCATGAAGCTTGTTAAGTTATTCAACGTAAGGCCAAGGGCATATTTTTAAAGAAAATAAAATGAATGCTCTTAATTTATCAATTGTTCTGTCATTAGGGGTCTAAACTGTTGTATACTTTTTCTTGGATCATTAGGCAACCTTGTAATAAGGAGAAAAAAATGTAAATGTCTGGAACAATTTGTTCATAGCTATAAGCCTACAACCACGGTGTTAAAAGCTCCCTAGTGGCAACGTAGTTTCAGAATTCCCATGTGATACATAGCATTGCAAACGAGGTACTATGAAAATTTCTACAGATGGCTGCTTAATGTGTAAATTAATCTGACTCAGTAAGGATCTTGCCAGTCACTGGCAGCTATAATTATAGATCAAAATAAGATCTTGCTCTACAAATTTGTTCAACCAGAGAACTGTAGCATATACACAAGTTTATTTAAATACTTTAATTATTTACTGCCAGGATTTGTGACACACGTGTGCTTCAACTTGCAAACACTAATAGGAATGATATAGCACCATGTTAGTAGCATAAAACAAACAAGGTAATTAAAAATATAGAGGAAAAACAACACAAAATAACAAAACCAAATATCCTTCTCTAGGCACAATAGATTTTCAAAGCAAATTGATCAAATAATAGACATCAGTCAGAATGGGCATTTGGAAGGATCCAATTAAGTATGAAGCTGATACCTCTTTACAATCTTATAATCTTAAAATTAAAATTAAAATCTAAATTACCCCAATTAAGCCCTCATTAACTAGCTTAATTCAGAGGTCTACTTAAATTTCAAGGTAACAGCTGAAAGTTTATTTAAGACAAGCGTGTTTACACTTAATGAGATTCCTATGAATTTTTGGCTTTTTTGGAGAGTTTAGGAAAGCGCCAACCTTGAAAGTCACATCTGTTCTGTTCCTAGAACTAGAAAACAATCCCCTTCCTTCTATTAACTATGAGAAACAGAATTCTCTAGGAAAAATACACTGCAATTGACAAAGGATCCCCTTTTTCCCCCAAGGTAATCTTTAATATTGTCCTTACTCAATTGAAGTAAATCCTAATTTAAATAAACTAATCTGAAACTCCATTCAAAGAAAGGAAGAAGTGGTACCATAAGAGGAGATCTGCTATTACAATTTCAAAGCACTCCTTATTTTCTTTGAGGGTAATACTTAAAGATAACATTAACCAAGCTCTCTGCCTAATATTGAGGAATGTGGCCTTCTCCTTTTCCATAGTGCCAGTCTGTCAATGGAGAGATGATTAAACTATATACATCTTTCTTCACCTTCATTAAGAAACTGTGTAGCATAATGTAGGGAACATAAGGCTGGAAGTCAAGACCTTGGTTTCTGCAAGAATAACTGATTGTCAGCAAAGCACTTAACCTCTATGAACCTCAGTTACTTCATCTATAAAATGAGAAGCTTGGGCCAGGAGACATCTAAGGTGTCTCTTTCAGTTCAGTATTTAATCATCCTATAAAACAGTGTGTATAGAAATGAAGAGAACTGACTGGTTCTCTAGCTAATCTTGACTCTTTAAACAAAGCTTCTCAGTGATATGGATGTTTCAAGGAAAAGAAGTTTGCCTTAATTTTTCACTTCACACAAAAAGCCCTACTTCTAGAAAGAAGAGGTATGTACCTCCATGATATATTCTAAGTTACTGGAAAATCCCTGTAACTCACTAAAGGCTCTGAAGTTGTCAGCTTTAGACACTTCTTCATGTTAGATGGCAGCATTTTTCAGTAGGCTTTGAACTTGATTTGCTGTTACTGGGTTTGTCAAACTGGGAGCATGAATGTTAACGATCTGATCAAGTTAAGGTTATTCACACTTAGTGCAAATGTGTTTTTTAAATCGTGTCTCAGGTCCCCATTCTGCAGTCAGTACAGAAGCATTTGGATGGAAAAGGGACTGAGCATTACCATTTTAGAAAAGATTCTTGAAAGACACTGCATTAAGGATAACTAAGTATTAGCAAACACCAGAAAAGCAAGGGCAGGAACTCTGTGTGTCAAGATATTCAGGGTACTCACAAAATATGATATCCCATTGGGAGGAAATGGGATTTCCTCTTTTCACTAAGAGAAAAACTTAATATTTTGCTGCTAATCTTATCATGAGCTCCTAGTAGGGTTTGACTGTTCTACATTCCTTAGTCCTTTAATTAAAGCAAGACTGGAAAAGTGAAGTGCAACAAACATGAATGGTTTAGTAGCCAGAGCTTTTTCTTTTTTCTTTTTTTCTTAGAAAAACAATAAAGCAAAAGAAAAAAAATTATTTGATGATTGCTACCTAACATTTGTGTTTGGTGTTAGGAGGAAAATAGAGATTAGTGGAGAAAATAGCAAATCCCAGGTCTAAAAGGGGGCTGTGCATGTCCTCAGTTTCAACCAATGTTCCCGTATGATGGGGACTCATTATTGCCATTGATTGCCATGTCTTCTGAGTTCTCACAAGAAGTCTTCAATCTAGACTTTCATAAGCCATCCTCCATTTAAAAAAGAAAAATTGACAGCTATTTTTTTAAAAGTTTAAAATATTATGCAGGTTAAACAAAACACATTGGCAGGCTAGATTGACCCAAATCTACCAGTTTTCAACTTTTGAACTAGAGCTCCATTAAACATATATGTAAGTATCAAACCCTAAAAAGCCAACACTCCTAATTGAATAAAAACAGCAATAACAACAACCAAACTCAATGCCCAAGTCAAAAACCTACCTGGGGACATACAGTAGGCTATCATCACCTGATTTCCTTGATGTTAGCCTGGTACTTAATCCACAGTGCCATGCTTTTACTGGTTAAGAATTTTTTTCCAATAATATGGACATGGAAGTATACCACCTACAGAATCAAAGATTACAGTCATTATTGTGACTAAAATAGCAGTCATATTATTAGAGACACTGACATACACTCAAAAAAATTAGATGTGGGTGTTTGAATATTTTGAAAAAGGATTATGCAGTGTATCTTCTCTATACTCTTTGCAGCTGATAAGTTATTAAATATGTTTGGAGGACAATACGTGGTTTCTTTCTAAAACAAGTAACAGTTTTTAATTTTTTCTTATTTTTTTCTTGTCAGCCATTTGCTGGGAAGTATCCAGTGTGTTCTTTCTTTTACAGATTGCCACAAAAGGCACAACATTGAATTTGAATATTTCATTGTTTTTTAGCTGCTCTAAAGGTAAACCAAGAGAGGAAAGAAAATTCAAGTTAATTAAGGCATAATCCATTAATGGCATAAATACTGCCAACAAAAAAATAATACTCAGTACTCTTAAAACACCTCTAGCCCAATTTTGTTGATTAAGTAGGGGATTCTACTCTTAGTTTTCATATTTTTGCATTTGTTTCATAGGATCTAAACTAATACCATAGGGCAGTGGTACCCAAATGTTTTTTGTCTAATTCCCTATTACTTAAAAATAACACATAGTTAAAATTATATATGTAGTCGTATATACTATATAGACCATGTGTGTGTGTATATGTGTGTGTGTATACATATATATTTGTTTATTTATTAAACAATTATTTATATGGCACCTAGCAAATGTCAGAGACCAGAGACCCAGTGGTAAGCAAGACAGCTACTTCCTATTCTATTCTAAATTTTATAACCTGGTGATTGATATAAACATTAAACAAAAAGCATTAAAAGAATTATTAAAAGTTTAATTGTGAAGAATGTTAATTAAAAAAAGAGTCTCTAATGGGGAGATTAACCATGGCCTGGTGTGGGTAGGGACTGAGAGTTTGGGTCTTGGAGGACAACTAAGAAAGTAGCATTTATGTTACACTTGGAAGAAGGCATGAATGCTGGCCAGACCAAGAATTAGTGGAAGAGCATCCCTAGCAGCTAAAAATCAGAGTTGGCTTTTAAATACTTCTTCCCTAATGGGGCCTCATTCAGCTTTCTTTAAGGCCTGTCAACAATTTCACATTTTATTATGACTTTGGTAAATGATAGTACTATTGGCAAAGGCCTTAGGTCACACAGACTGGGTTCAATTTACTCACTGTGGAAACAAGCAGAGTAAATTATTTACTTCTAATTTTCTTATTTGCAAATAGAAGATATAAAACCTTGTTTCTTCTCTAAACTTTTTTGGAAATTAAGTAAAACATATTAAGCAAATGGCTCAAATTTGATATACGGTAGTTGTTAGTGTGTTATATTTTCTTTCCCCTTCATGATGAAAAACCCTGAAAAAAGATACATCTTAAGAATATTGCAGGTGGATGGAATTATGAAGTTGATTGAAGGGGTTTTATCCCCGTATAAAAGTGTTTGCTTGCAACCCTTTTCTTTGCCTTTTACTTACTCTTCAGGAAACAAATAATCCTGCTTCCAAAAAAACAAAAGCTGCCATTTGTTTAATGTAAGACATTGCACTGATAAACTTTAGTAAGATGTTTAGTTTGGTCTTTACAACCTTGGGTATGAGATATTCTCACTTCCGTTTTACAAAAGGAGAAACTGAGGTTACTAATGTTAAGCAATTTGCCCAAGGTCAAATTCTTACCAAGTAGCCACTTGGGATTTAAACTTAGGTTGCATAACTCTAAAGGCCATGTTCTTAAAACTCTGGGGCATATTTTATGGAATAAATATTTTAATTATGTGTGCACATCATTCGAAATAACTTGGAAAAAAAACCTGTTAAGTATTACATTAGAATTTTATATTAGAAATATAAAAACGTTTATTTTTATGATACAAACATCAGAAAGTACAATTCAAAAAATATTTTCTTATCTCAGTATTAGTGTTTCCTCAAGGGAAGGGTGGGGTGAGCTGAGTTTCAACATTTTTGTTTGATTGTTCTTTTGGATTTAAAACAGAAAGATTTGAGAGCCATTGGCATGGAAAGACATAACAAAATTTAAAGTATTTGATTAAAGTATTTTTCTTCTGATTGTCTCTCAATAGGAAATGATAGAAAATGAGAGAAGAGTTATATACATGAGAATGCTTATTTAAAAAGTGAGCAATTAGAATCGACATCTTTATCCAACAATAGAAAAATAATTGATTAGTACAGAATTAATTCATAAAAATGAATATCAATTAGCCATTTAAAATGATAGTCCCAAAGACACTGGCAAAGTAGACAATATTTTGGTATATGAAGACGTTTGGAGGAAAGCAGGATATAAAACTACCTATTAAGATTTTAACTTGGAATTGAGTCTAGACTCTTTTCCAACCTACAATATCCTGTTGCAGTGATCCCTAAACTTATCACCATGGCTCCCCTTAAATAAAGTCTGCCTTATCATATTTAAAAAAAGAAGAGAAATTATAACTACATAAAAATAGAAATATAATAAACAGACAACAAAATGATAACGGTTGTTCTCTTGGACTTATATATGGGCATTAACACTATTTTTTATTTTCTATTCTTTTTAAAGTGGCCAAAGTGCTTTCAATTTTAAAACATTATTTAAATAAACAGCACACACCAAGTCATAGACATACAGAGCAATTATTTCTAAAATTGTTCAACAGTGGATTATTTCTCCATCAGTTCACCCTTTCTCCTTTTACATACAACTAGACAGTGATTATCATATTTTAATATATTTGTTTTTGTGTCTAGTTCATTTGCCAGCCTCCTGACTAATTAAAAACTGGGATTGTGTCTTATCCATCTTTATATGTTCAGCGCTTAGCACAGCGGCCTACATTTACTAAGATTTCAGTGTACTTTGGTTTAATAAATGGATGAATCACTATATCTTAATACCATTTATTTCTCTAGTGTGGATACAAGGGCTTGGCGATAAAAATTAAGTTTTATTTGTAGCGGGGAATTAAGTTTACTGATTATTTGTAGAGGAAAATTAAGTTTACAAAATAACAGGTTTAAGCAATGACCATCAGTAGTGAAAAACACAAGAAAAGGCAAGGAAAGCAGACCTTATTTGCCTCTTGATGGAAATATACAACATCCTTAATGAAGCATTATTGCCTAAAGTTGAACCTGAAATAGAACACATCTCAAGATTCAACTAGTAGAAATATAAAAGATAGAAGAACATTAAACAACATCATAGAGATTCAATCATCAAAGTCCAGAACATGAGAACTCTAGGGGAGAAATGACCCAGTTTTGTCAACAAATAAATTGCAAAATAAAAAAAAAGAGAGAATGGAAACATATAGATTAAAAGAGGCCTACGAGGCAAATCAATCAAATGCAGACTGCAGCTGGTTTGAATCCTTATTCAAACAAACAAACAAACAAACAAACAAACAAACAAACAATATGAAAAAGGGACTTTTGAACTCTGACTGGTGTTTTGATTGTATTATAAAGTTAATGTTAATTTTAACTGTGATAATTATATTATGGTCATTTTATTGGTGTGTTTGTGTCTTTTCGAGATGCATACAGGCATATTTATGGATTATAATGAAATCTGGGTCTGTGAGAGAAGAAGGAGGGGTATAAATGAAAATGAAACCAGATTACTCATAAGTCCATAATTGCTAAACTCAGATGATGGATATGCGGTGATTTATTATACTACACTATACATTTATATATGTTTGAATTTTTTGTAATTCAAAAAATTCCTTAAAAAATAGGTTCAAAATAATTCAAAGCAAAACAAAACAAAGAAACTGGCTTAGCAAGGAGTCCCTGTTTTATTTATTCAATCAATTGCTTTCTAATAACCTGGCCAGTAAAGCACTTCTTTTGTTTTGTCTGTGATAGATCAATACATTTCCATCTTATGACTATAATTTTTTTAATGTTTATTTTCCTTTCAATAGTTTTCGGGGTATAGGTGGTTTTGGTTATACGGATAAGTTCTTTAGGGGTGATTTTTGAGATTTAATGCACCTGTCACTGGAGCAGTAGTGTACACTGTATTCAATTTTTTTATATATATATATATACACGATATATATTAGTATATATACAATATATATTACTATATATACAATATACATATTACTATATATACCATGTATTACTATATATATCTACTATATATATTACTATATATACAAAATATATATTACTATATATACAATATACATATTACTATATATACCATATATTACTATATATATCTACTATATATATTACTATATATACAAAATATATATTACTATATATACTATATATTACTGTATATACAATATATATTACTATATATATACTATATATTACTATATATACACTATATATTACTATATATACACAATATATATATTACTATATATACACAATGTATATAACTATATATACAATATATATTACTATATATACTATATATATTACTATACATACTATATATTACTCTATATATACAATATATATATTACAATATATACTACATATTACTACATATACTTTATATATTACTATATATACTATATATTACTGTATATACAATATATATTACTAAATATACACAATATATATTACTATATATACACAATATATATATTACTATATATACACATTATATATGACTATATATACACACTATATATATTACTATATATACACAATATATAACTATATATACACAGTATACATATTACTATATATACACAATATATATATTACTATATATACACTATATATTACTATATATACACAATATATATTACTCTATGTATACACTATATATATTACTATATATACAGAATATATATAACTATATATACACTATATTACTATATATACTATATATTACTATATGTACTATATATATTACTATATATACTATATATTACTATATATACACAATATATATTACTATATATACTATATATATTATATATATATATACACACACACACATTTTTATCCCACACCTCCCTTCCAACCTTTCCCCCATGTCCACAAAGTCCATTGTATCATTCTTATGACTTTGCATCCTCATAGCTTAGCTCCCACTTATAAGTAAGAACATATGATATTTAGTATTCCATTCCTGAGTTACCTTACTTAGAATTATGGCCTCCAACTCTATCCAAGTTGTTGCAAAAGGCATTACTGTGTTTCTTTTTATGGATGAGTAGTATTCCATGGTGTGTATATGCCACATTTTCTTTATCTACTCGTTGGCTGATGGGCACTTAGATTGGTTCCATATCTTTGCAATTGCAAATTGTGCTGCTGTAAACATGCATATGCATATGCATATGTCTTTTTCATATAATGACTTACTTTCCTTTGGATAGATACCCAGTAGTGGGATTGCTGGATATGATTTTTTTTCAATGATTTAGTACTCCTAGGATGAATACAGCATATAAAGGCAAATGTAGGCAAATGAATGGATAACTGTTAAAGAACCACTAGTCTTAATTTCACAAATCTCTTTTCTTGGGAGAGAACTAACATTTTGATTTCTTTGGTATTCAATTATTTGTTATTCATCTGACTCTCTTAGGAATTCAAAAGACTGCCCAAAGTCTTCCTGCAGCAAAGCTATGTCTGGGGCCCTATGTAGAGTTAATTAGGTAAGCCAAATAGAACACAGAGATTAGCATAAAGTATAGTTAACCATGTCTACCACAGGGTAATTGTGTTTTCTTACCACTTATGAAGAAATGATTATGTAGTAAATTAATGTTCCAATTTTACTATTATTTATAAAGAGCCACTATGTAAAAGACATTAAAAACTTCTGTAATGGTTGATCGTTACATGTCAACTTGGCTCCACCATGGTCCCCAAATACTGCAGTCAAACATTATTCTGGATGTATTTGTAAGGGTGTTTTTTGATGAGATTGACATTGCAATCTGTGAATTTTGAATAAGGCAGATTTTACCTCCATAGTATGAGTGGACCTCATTCAATCAGTTGAAGACCTAAATAGAACAAAAAATTGAGCTCCACCAAGCATGAGTAAATTCTGTTACAGGAAGCCTTTGATCTTGAATGGTAACATGGGCTTTTTTCCTGGAATTTCAGTCTGCCAGCCTACTCTGCAGATTTTTGGACTTGCCAGGCTCCATAGTCTTGTGAGGCAATTCCATAAAATAACTCTTTTCATACACACACACACACACACACACACTCTCTCTCTCTCTCTCTCTCTCTCTCTCTCTCTCTCTCTAAAGGTTAGGTTTCTCTGGAGAACCCTAATACAGCCTCAGACAAAAGTTTAGATATAATAAAAGTTTCAGTTTAGCACTAAACAGAATACCTATTCACAATAGAATTTAGTAAGAATATTAGTGGTAGTCTGTAGCAGCTACATATAACGGAGGTCCTACCTTCCCTTTAAATAGCCTTACTTCTCAAACTCATCTGAAATGTTGTAGTGTCTTTTGGCTATGTAGTGTATAGATTTTCTCGTTCAATTATTTTTCTGAATTATCCTCTTTTAGAAGCAAATACCAACTTTTTCTCATTATAAATTGTTACATATTTAAATTTTTATTTACTCTTAAAATACGCAATATTAAAGATTGCAGCAGGTAAGACACAAAGATAGCTCACAATTGTATACTTTTTAATCGGTTACAGTTTTGGAGTTGTTCTATGCAATTTATTTAGGGAATATAAAGGCTATTTTAGTCAGTTTGGGCTGCTATCACAAAATGCCATTCACTGAGTGTCTTAAATAACTAATATTTATTTCTCACAGTTCTGGAGCTTGGGGATTCCAAGATCAAGGTGCTGACAGATTGGGTGTCAGTGAGGGTTCTCTTTCTGGTTTGTAAATGGCCTTCTTGTTAAGTCCTCACATGGCTCCTTGGTGTTTTAACAGAGGAAAAGAGAGAGAGAGAGGCAGACAGACATACAGAGAGAGGTAACGAGAGGGAGAGAGAAGGAGAGTTCTCCTGTTTCTTCCTCTTTTTATAAGGGCATTGATACTATCACGAGGACTCCACACTCATACCTAATCTAGTTACCTCCCAAAAGCTTATGTGCTCTTGTTGCCGGGGCTGGAGTGCAATGACGCTATGTTGGCTCACCGCGACCTCCGCCTCCCGGGTTCAAGCGATTCTCCTGCCTCACCCTTCCCAGTAGCTGGGATTAAAGGCATACGCCATCACGCTTGGCTAATATTATTATTTTTTTATTTTTTATTTTATTTTATTATTATTATACTTTAAGTTTTAGGGTACATGTGCACAGTGTGCAGGTTAGTTACATATGTATACATGTGCCATGCTGGTGTGCTGCACCCATTAACTAGTCATTTAGCATTAGGTATACTAATATTGTATTTTAATAGAGACGGGGTTCTCCATGTTGGTGAGGCTGGTCTCAAACTCCCGACCTCAGGTGATCCGCCCACCTCGGCCTCCCAAAGTGCTGGGATTACAGGCATGAGCCAGCGCCTGGCAGAATACTTAATTTTTAAACATTTTATGAGTGCTTCAATGTATAAAATTTGGAGAGACAACAAACATCCAGTCCATAGCAAAGGCAAACAAAAATTATAGACAACCAAGATAGATCAATGACTCAACTTCATCTTTTATGTATACATTCATCATCCTAATTCCTTTTCTCATAAAACAAAAGTATTATATCATTTATTTTCTGATGTTCACACTCACTCTGGATTTTTGTTGCTGTTAATGTGGTCTGACTTCACTGGTATATCCCCATATGGAAGACAGTTCCTCCTATTATTTAAACAAAAGAAAAGAAAACAGAACAAAACAAAGTACAAAGAATGTGAAAAAGTTTTCCTGAGTATAATTGTTTATTAAGATTTGACAAACGAGGATGAAGAGGAGAAAAAAAAATGTTTTTCCATAGGCCAGGGCAAAATTCTATTTATATTTCAAGCAGGACATTACCCTACGATGAATCTACTACCCCTTCAATATCTCACCTCTATCTCATTTTGCCAAATCATCTATGTTGTTTTCTGTCCATCTTTTTTATCTCTTCCCTTTTCTTATAAGAAAAGCACTGTCCTCATGTTGTGCTGCCTGGGCTCTTCTCAGCACCCCGATCTTAGGGTCTTTGAGCTTATTCAATTATTTCTCGCTAAAAATGAGTTGCTGTTACAAGCAGAAATGTGGTGCAAACTGTTAAATGTAAAATCAAATAGAATTAACTAAATTAGAAATAATGTAGTCAATTAAAAATAAATAATTATAATTTAATTAATTAGAACTAATTATGTAGAAATAGATATAATATATTAATAATCATAATAAAGTATAGACAACTTATTTTTTAAGTTAATATAAATGAATTTTTAAAATCCTATTATACGCTCTTTATAAGAGATACAAGTAAAGTATAAATACAAAGAAAAATTTTAGAAAGTTGTATAAAAGTTATATCAGTGCAATATTAAACAAAAAAGATGTTGGTTTATCAGTATCAGATATTTAGAATATAAGGCAAAAAAAAATCCTAAGGAAAAGTAAGGTCACTGAACAATGACTTCAAATATATTGTAGAAAAAAAGAAACAGAGAATTTGATGAATATACCATTGAAGTGCACACAATTAAAAGCATTTTTGTAATTAATAGATCAAGTAGTCAAATTTAATAGAGATAAAGATTTAAACAAAGCAACCAATAAACAAAATCTAGCAGATATACATAGAGAACTCTGCACTGAAGATTTTAATAGTATATGTTTTCTCAGATGTACACATAAAACATTGATTAAAATTTACTAAATTCCCAGTCTCAAATTATTGGTATTAGACCATGAGTTATCATGTCCTATGGGTCTGGGAAGACCCTATAGTGTCAGAAATGAGAAAGATGTTTTAAATAATGCACTTGGAAATAGAATAAATGGGTAAATGAAGCTTACTACCTTCAATCAGTATTTTACTTACTGATATATTTTCACTTCATCCCTTTATGCTGCCCTTTGCGCGTGGTGGTATGAATATTCGACTTTAGTCCTCTAAGGTTTAGATCACTATACTAGTATCAGGTAATTATACATAGTTTCATTAGAAAGTACTCAGGGTAAAATGTTTCATTTTGATGCAAAAATTCATTTTGTTTAGTCGCTCCGTTAGTACTTGGGATTGATCAGAAGGAAAACATATAGCATGGGTTGGTTGAGGCTAATAAGTTTACCTCTGTTTTATGTTTCGATCTTTCACTCTACTACAGGTTACTACCTCTATTTCCTAAATTTAAACTGCGCAAAAGATATTTATCTTCCCCCCACAAACTTGTTCATCCTCTTCTTTTTGGTCCCCCTCTGTCAGTGAGTGGAATTGCATATACCCAGAAAAATGCATTCTGAGTCAGAAACTGCAGACAGACTCTATCCTCCCTTTCAATCTTCACCACCAATCTTTACTGTTTGGACTTAATCTCTCATCATTTCTCATCTTGGTTTTGCATCAGCAGGCTAACAATTGTTCTTGCTTCTAGTATTGTTCTCTTCTAATCCTTTATGGTACAACCAAAAGAGTCTTTCAGAAACACAAATCAAATTATAGCACGTTCTTATTTTATTGATTCCCATTGCCTATGAGATATATTCTAAACTTATTTGTGCAGCATATAAGGTCTTTCAAGAGCTTGCCCTTTCTCAGTTTTCTATCCTCAAATCTTCCCTTTTCTCTCATACTCATCAAGTCACCCTATCAAACTATGCCTTTCTTTGTAACTTCCACGATGCAAAATGCCTTCTCTTGACTCCTTCTTGCTCAGAGAGCTCCCTATGCTTAGAAAATTTTTATTCTTTTTTTTTCCCATTCAACTTCACTAATTTCTACATCATGACTCAGCTCAACATCATCTCCATGAAGGAATGTGTTTGCAATTACTACTAGTTCATGTGCTTTGCCATGTGACTATAATTCCATTGTAATTATCATCCCTGCATAGACTATTTTCCCAGGCATATGACAACATTTAGATTGCAAGCTGTTTGAGAATAAAGAAAGAATTAGTCATTTGTGTATCCTTGGTGCCTATTATTGCTCAACATATATGACTCACACGTCTCATAGGAAATGTGTAGCTGAAGTAGAACCAAAAGGCATGAAGGGAGTATGGGAGTATGGGAAGGAATGCAGCAAGGAGGGAGGTAGTCCCTCTTTCTGTATTAGCTAAATGAAGTAATTTGGATATATTATACACCTAATAAAATTAGCCTGTTTATTTCTTTCATCTGAAAGTCTTATCTGTGCACCCCCAAATTTCCCAAAATGCTGCAATAAATGCTTTGGAAATGAACTTACTCCTCCAGTATACACAGCATCCCTCTTTAGTAGTTATACATGCTTAAAATATTTATTTTGGCTGGACACAATGGCTCATTCCTCTAATCCTAACACTTTGGGAGGCCAAGGTGGTGAAAGGATTGCTTGGGTTCAGGAGTTTGAGGTCAGCCAGGGCAACACAGTGAGACCCCATCTTTACAAAAAATAAAAAATTAGCTGGGTGTGGTGGTTCAGGTCTGTAGTTCCAGCTACTTGGTAGACTGAGGTGGCAGGATTGCTTGAGCCCTGGGAGGTGGAGGCTGCACTCAGCTGTGACTGCACTACTGCACTCCAGCCTGGAAAATAGAGCGAGACTCTGTCTCAATGACAGCAACAACAACAACAACAACAACAACAAAAGAAACATTTTTTAAAACTAATCTAAGAATAATAATTAATGGCATTAATGGTATTCCTATTTCAAAGGCAAAGATCTAAGTTACACAGAAACTTTCCTTCGGTAGTAAAAATTAATTATATTTTTCATACATTTTTCTCCTTTCCTACCATTGCTAATTCTGTTTCCTCCTGAAACAGAATTCTGTTTTAGAATTTATGCACTTCATTTTTAAAAACATTTATTTATTGTCTTCTCTTCATATTTTGACAGGTATATTTAACGTCATACATCTAAATTTAAAATATCTCTATTCTAAGTGGTCTTAGGATTCTGACCACCCTCTTTGCCTTAGGTATTATTATTGTCAAGTATTTCAGTTTTAATGTTCTTTTCCTCTTACGTCTCAAACCACGAGTTCTTATTTTTGTACAGAGTAAATTTTATTTTACATTTACCAAACTTCATATCAACTCTTACTGACATTTCTTCTTGCATTTTAAATTTTCCAGCTGGGACCATAGTCTCTCTTCTGAGGTATATTATTTAGATATTTCCTAATTGAGGATCTGTTATGGTAAACATTTAGTTTGTTCAGCTCTGAAAATGATTGATTTTTTTCCTATATTTCAGTATAGTAAAGTAACTGCCTAAGGGGTTCTTCCTGACTTGTAATAAGGAGAGTTTAGTAGATACGAGGCCTGCAACACCACATGGGAGATGGAGTTTACTCAAATCATCTCCTCTGAAGCTCATAGGTTAGGGGTTTTTCAAAGGCAGCTTTGGGGGAAGAGGCGGGGGTGACTAGGTAACAGGCGCTTGCCGCTGATTGGTTGGGGTGGAGATGACATCATAAACAGTCAAAGCTGCCCTTTTGCAGGCTGAATCGCTTCTGGGTGGGGCCACAGGAGCAGGGTTGATGATGCAGGTGAGCCATGGGTGTCAGACATGCAAGAACCCTAGAAAGATATCTCAAAAGGCCAATCTACAATAGTGGTATTTGCAGGATTAATTGGGGACCTTGCCTTAGTAGGACTCAGGCTCTTCTCCTTCTCCTCAGCATGATGGCCTGCCATTAATTTTACAAAAGCAGATGAGTTTTGGGTAGGGCCTATTATCATTTAAATGATAGCCTCCATGTCTTCCAAAATGAGCTTGGAATAATCATTAATTATTAACATAATAATAATTATCAGTACAGAATATATTAATTATATTAACCAATATTACATTTTACTATATTAATATATTATAATAATGTATAACTTTTAGTATAATTATTCCTTTGAATAAGTATTAAGTATTCATATAATTAATTATTAATATAATTAACAATTATAACTATATGGTCTCAATTATTTCTGGCCCCAACGCCCAGAAATAATTAAGGGAAAGGCACGATGGGCTGTAAGTTAGCTTAGCTTACTGTGAGAATTTTTCTTACTGATAATTTTTGCAAAGGTGGTTTCAATTATTTAACTGAATATTAAGTTCTAAGTTAAGTTTTTTTTTTTCTCAGCCTTTACAAAAAAGGTCATTCTGCTACATTCTGGTTTCCATTGTTAGTATTGAGAAATTATTCCTCCATTCTAATTAACTTTTGTTTTTAGATGTCTCATTTTATTTCTTTTTTCTTTAAAGATCATCTCTTTGGTGTTCTTCAGAATCATGAAGAACAATTTCTTTTTTAGCTATCTGGCTTTGAATTTGTCAGGCTTCTTAAATCTGAGGAGTCATGTTTTTTGTCATGTCTGGAATATTCTCATTTTTATTTTGACTGTAGCTTTTCTTCCATTTTTTTCCCCCTTTTATCCTGAAACAGAAGTTAGACTTATGTTGGACCTCCTCAGTCTGTGCTTCATGTACCTTATTTTGTATTTTTTATCTCATTGTTTCTCTGTGTCAGCCTGGGTAGTTTGATTTGTTATTAACCTCACTAGTTCTTTCCCAAGGTATCTGAATTAAACCTGCAATACAATATGTCATGGAGATTTTAATTTCACTGATTATATATGACTATTTTTACAAATTATATCTGATTAACTTATATATATTATTCTTTTTGGTGTTCCTACCTTTTTGGTAAGCAAATAAAGCTTATTGTATATCATTTAACTGTCATTCAATACTGCATTATCTTTGTGGGTATAACTTTACTCTTTTTTTCTGCTTACTCTTTTTTTTTGTACATTGTTTCTGTAATTTTGGATGATGAGCTCTAACTATGGGATTGCCTCATCCAGACAATACTTGCTTTTACTACTATTAAATTCTGGTAATACTTTTGAGTTCATATCTTTTGGCTGAGTGTTTTAGATCTCATAGTTTCAGTCTTTCATTTGGATATGGCTCTTTTTTTCAAACTGTATATGTGTAATCATCTTCCACATCTTCCAAAGTAAGCTTACTACTCCGATTTCAATTTCTTTAATTTGGGTGGAATTTTTCTTAACGTATTACAATTAGTTATATATTTGAAAAGTTATTTTTTTATATTGTATCCAAAATTTAAAAGTGTTTTGTTAAAAATTTGTTTTGTTAATATCTGTTCTGTTGTTTTATTTTTTCATTCTTTCAATGAAACTATATTAAGTACTAACTATGTACCAGGCATTCTGATAGGTATAGGGAGTTGGGATAAATAAAGAAATAAATTATTACTGAATGACATAATATATGCTGTACTGAAATCTGAATAAGAATTTATGGACACACATGAGATGCTGAATCAAAAAACAATTATTGGCTGGGTATGGTGGCTCATGCCTATAATCCCGGCACTTTGGGAGGCTGAGGCAGGCAGATCACTCAAGGTCAGAAGTTTGAGACCAGCCTGGCCAACATGGTGAAACCCTTGTCTCTAATAAAAATTCAAAAATTAGACAGACATGGTGGCGCATGCCTGTAACCCCTGCTACTTGGGAGGCTGAGGCAGCAGAATCATTTGAATCTGGGGAGCAGAGGTGGTTGCAGTGAGCCAAGATGACGTCACTGCAGTCCAGCCTGGGTGACAGAGACTCTATCTCAAAAACAAAAACAAACAAAAACAAACAAACAAAATTATTAGCCACTTCTAGGAAAATAAATTTTTTTTTAAAATGTGTATGTATATATGTGTATACATACATGTGTATGTATATATGTATATGTATATATGTATACATACACTTGTATGTAGATATAGCGAGAGCATATTTACTTTGGAAAATGTACTTTTATCATTTTCCAAATGATAAAATGGATAGAATCATAAGACAGGCATTCTTTCAAATATGTGATCAAGATATCAGGATGAATTTTGTAAGTGAAGATAAAAGGGAGTATATTTCAGCTGAATAAATGGTAGAAACAATGTCACTGAAATTTAAAAATATAAATATTGCCATGAATTACAAATATTTAATTGTTCTAATTGGCTAGTGAATTGGGTATGTAAAAGAGAGAAGTAAAAAAATAATATTGAAAAAGAATCATGAGAAGAAAAGCTAACACTAGAACTAAGAAATTTGAATTTTATTTTATTAGTGAGAGACAGTAAGTGAAGTGAGTGGGTAGTGGTATTTGACATTATTTGAGAAAGAAATTACATGAGGAATGCTCTTCTAAATTTGGAAATAATTTTTACAAAATGAAAGGTGGGTAGAGATATGATGTGGGCAAAATAGTTCCTCAATCGTATCATTCTAAAAGTATCTTATAACTACAGGATTATTACTGTATGAAGATAATTGATTCAGTCAGGATATTTTAGGAAAACAGAAGCCTTTCTAGGTGTTACATGCTGGAAGAATTAAATACAGGGGAATAGATACTAATAAACCTGCTGGAATAGTTGGAAAAGTGAAGACCATGGAAAAACATGATTAAAGTTCTGAAAATCAGATAATACAATAATCACAAAGAGCCTCTACCAATTATTGCAGCAACCTGTAGAATTGAAGGGGATTATTCATGAAAAGAAATCAGAAAATCTCTTGTGAAACTGCAGGAAGTCATCTGCCACAGGCTCTCTGCCTGTGTGTTATTTTCAGGACAAAATGGCTTTTCATTCTGTCTGCCTTCCAAATATCATTCAAGTGCCATTCACTGGTGAATCTCAAATGGAACCCTGATGGCAAGGGAGCCTGAGAAATGTAAACTCTTGGTTTCCTGCCTCTGAGATACATGAGGGACATGGGAAGGAACAAAAAAGATGTTGAGAGGCCAACAGAAAATTCAGCATACACTTACAAATTTACTACATAGCTCTCAATACTTTGCTCAGTACGCAAAGCAGTAAAAATATATACTGGAAAATGCCTGGAGTGTTTACTGACAATTTTACTTTAGTGCAGAAACAACTAATCAAAAGGTTTAGAAAAATCATTCCTATCTGAAAGCACTTGCTTTAAAAAATCTAAAAAGTACCAATGAAGAAGATTAATAATGGGAAACAAGTTTTTTGATTTGTCTGTTTTTTCTTCAATGTGTGAGCGTTTGTCACAGTTTAAACACCATATTACAGGATATGAAAAGAAAGCATTCTGGAAATGAGGTTCTGTTAGATCACTCTAAGTAATAATTCAATTTTATCAAGGTGGGAACTATTCCACCATGTTAAGTAAAATATGTAGGAAATATAGGATTCCACAAATCTACCAGGGAATATATATTCACTAACACACCAAAATACACACAGCTCTCTCCTTAACTGACATTCAAAAAGATAAGGCATCTAGATATCAATCTAAGTACTTTTCAAAAAGCAAAATTGTTACATATTTGCTTTTCATAGCCAAGCTCATACCGGTCTTTTAAATCCACTTTCTATCCATTTTCTTTTAGTTTGACCTGTAATCAGCAGTCTCCTTTAAGGTTAAAAAACCTAAGAATCATAAATACATGAGGCCTTGAGAGAAAATGTAGTTTATCTGGTTAATTCATGATTTTGACTAACCATGCTTTGTAACAGACACTAAAAGAAATATATATTTCAATTATATTTTTTAAATTGTATACACAACTCTATTTTCATGCTAAATAATGTATGACTTTCATTTTATAATATTATATCCAACTTTAACATTGTAAATAAGACTCATTAAGTAATACTTTCAGTTGATTATTAACTGTACATCTGGAAATGTTAAAATCAGAATTTTGTTTCCTTTTTATCATATTTTAAAAATATCTGCTTAACTTTGTTATATGGCTGGATTATAAAAGCAAATTGATATCTCATATCTAAATCATAAACTTTTTGGTTCATCTCTCTATGTTAGTTGATTTTTATGTAGGGAAAATCAGATGCAAAATAGTTGAAAGGAATAAGAAAAATAAATAATAAATCAGTAATAGTAAGCCTGAGTACCTGAGACCATATTTCTATATCATTGCTTGATCTCTCTCTCTCTCATTTCAATAATTTACATAATTTCAAGTAAGTGCAAAATGATAATATTCATTTCATTATTTGTGTGAGTACATGACCCCAATTTATAACAGCATCCAAATTTACAATCCATAGCACTTTTTTTTAAGAGACGCAAAGCAAACATTTCTCTTCATAGGTCAGTGTAAGTAATCCTTTCATGCAAAGGGAGCTTTGCAGGGCCTCAAAGAAACCCCTTAAAGAGGTTCAGGGATATTACAGTGCAGCTTTCTTCAGAAACTAAATTTGCATTGGAACTGTTTACCTGAAAATAGTTTTTAAAATGTCTTATGCAGCCCCAGAGACTTTTGAACATACTTAGTAATGAGGTAAATACTGGTTAGAATGTTTTAACTAAATAAATACCTGAGAGTTACTCTTTACCTGTTGGCAAGATTCCACAACTCCAGTATCTGAGTGAAAAATAAAGCCGAATTTTCCATCAACCCCAACAATACCTTGGTTTTCTCAGAGACTTCATTAAAATGAATGTTCTTAGAATTTAAACATTGCAGCTCTCACCTCTAAGGTTTGCAGAAATGATTCTTTATTTATGAGAGATCAAAAAAGGTTATACAACACCAGTCATTCTGTCACAAGGGCTTTTGAAGTTTAGTTATATTTTTATGCTCCTGTTTCTGTTCTTAAAAATACAAAGTTTCAGCAGCATGTAAAGAATATTGCAACATATATTTCATAGAATTATTTTTCTTCTAAAAAGGATATTGCCCTCATTATATCTGCTTTCTTTCATGAAGAGAAACAAATTACATATTTTAAGAGCACATTTAAATTTGAGAAATGAGAAAAAAATAGATTCACCTAGATATTTAAAAGTTCCAATGTTCCAGTGTTTTACCTTTCACAGGTGGTTTAGTGATAGGAAGAGGCATTCCTTTTATTGACATATGTGTGTGTGTAAAAGAAAAACTAAAAACTATATTAAATATAATTCTCAGAAGGTGTGGATCTCATATTCATCTTTATCAACACAACTTAGGGAGCATAAGGGAAAGAAATAAATAATTTCATTAAATGCAGGCAGAAATTAACCTGCCTGATAACTCTAGCTGGCTAAAACTCTTCTTTAAGCTGTTGAAATTGTCAAAGGCAGGCCACAGTCCATATTGACTGTAACTACAAGTTAGCCATCTTAGCTGAAGTCCTGGGGAATTCTAGTTTACTTTATAGAAGTATGACACTGTGGTATTTTTTTGGACTTGCTCTTACATAAATGACAGATGTCTTGCCAAGTCATTATCAGTACCTGCAAGAACCTCTAGAGGAATAGGCAAAAGTTAATATATATTGAAAATCAATCCCATTCACTCTTCCGAGTGAATAGAAAAAACAGGCTCATTGCTTGCCTAGGTACAAAGCCTACAAACAGCATTTGAAAGCCAGAGGCAAAAGGTCCAAGACTTCTCCTCTGTACTTTTTCAAAAACTTTACATTTCATCTTCTTGAAAGTCGAAAACAACTCCAAAAAATCAGTTTTTTTTAAAAATTACTGACTTTAATTGTCTCCTTTCATCCAATGAGTCCAAGAAAAGAGAAAGCAATATCATAATCACTTACGTCTTACTTTCATTTGAGCCTAGTGCCAGGAAGTGTTTAATAAGATTTTTCAATAGATGATACAGTAGCAAATTGAAATAAAGACAAAACAAAATGAAATAAAGATTAAGGTATCAAAAACCACTTTTAAAACAAACATAAAATACAGGTCTTAAAAATTTTTAGAAAACGATTCAAATGTTACATCAAAAAAGGGTAGTTATGTCCTTGTAGCTGAATAGAACTATGGCCATATCTTAAAGACACATTTCATTTTTGTATAATTTCTTCTCACATTGGGTATATCAACATGCAACTGTAAAGTAATACATTTTAGGTACATGAGGATTCATGTTTTCCATACTATTTTTGTCTTATCTTATTAGATTCACTTCTACATATCAGCAGTATTGGTAATTATATGTGTTGGCGATTGAGTCTCTAAGAATTCCAAATCTCTAAAAATCTTTCTTTCTATCAGGAAGCCATGTGGGTTACTGATGACTTGGGTCATTAGCCATAAACTCAAGAGCCTACAGTAGTCAGTGAGAGAATTATAATTGATTAGAGTGTATTTTCTGTGCCAGTTATCAATCTATTGCCTCTCAGCTTTAAATCCATATGATGCTTTGCCCTGCTTTGGATTCTGAGGCTGGTCCCTCTTAACATTTTTCCTTTGCCAACTGGCACCTGGGTAAACTTTATCATGGGAAGCAATGGTGGGACACTGCAGGAAGAAGAGTCATCTCTTGCAGGTTCCAGTGTCTGTTTCTTTCCTTCTTGCTTCTGCAATGTGTGGCAGCCAGCAGTAGGCAGGACACATGGTGGCACTCATCCTCCACAAAGTTTTTTATGGTATCCCAGTGGGTGACTTCCCAGTGAGTCTTGCTGGCCGTCCAGCAGGCAGTTTTCTGTGTCCAGTCTTGCAGTCTGCCCTTCTTCCCTATCCGGTATGTCATAGCCAGACCCTCTCCACTGAGGAATCTAGCCCTGGGTTTGAGGGTGATTGTGCTCTCTTCCAAATGTGTTTCTTCCCTAGGTACTCTGCCTTAGCCCTTAGCTGCTTCCTATGGATAGGATCTATGAATCCTTCAAGGATCTCTTTACCCTGTGGCAGTTAATCTCTTGTTACTAGCTAATAATTTTTACGTTAAATTTTCCCTGTACAAATTACTGGTGTGGTTTCTCTCTTCTGACTCGACCCTGAATGATTTATTCCTATCAGTTCTGGCTATTATATGGTGGAATACGTGTTTTTAAATCTTCATATTTTTCAAATAATCTGGAGGTTTTTTTTTGGTAAAAACTTTAAATTTCGTATATGCCATTTGACTTAAAATTTAGAAATCATAATGCAAACAAATATTCTATAAATTTTATGGTTTTCTAATCCTGCTACAGATAAATGGGGAGGCAGACAGGTGAATGTAGAGTCACCGAGCAGGCAAGTTTGTAGCAGAAGTGAAATTCGAACACATCAGCGCAATGAGCCATTGAGGCAGAGAGATTGGAAAGGTGAGGCTAGGGTCAGGCTTTTAAAAGATTGTTTTGGGAGAAAGTTAAGAGAGAAAGAAGATATTTCTCAAGCAAACAAAAAAAATTACAGCCACTTCAAATGTGGTCAGGAAGAAGTTCCACATAATGTATGTACACACACACACACACACACACACACTCAATTAAAACATATAGAAAATTAAAGTTAAGCCATTTGAGGCTAGAATCCCTCATGGAAATGGAAATGATTTCCTATTTCCATTTAACATGAAAAGAATCTTGAGCTTGCCTAGTTTTTAAAAGGGTAAATTGGCACTTTTTTTGCAGCTAAGAATTTTAAAAGATTAGAAGGGTCTAGAAGAGAAAAAAAGTTCAAGCAATTTTAAAAATACATATATTATTTTTGAACTATCTCAAATAAATGTGATGTGATTTTGTCACTTTATTGTGATCTAATTGTATATTCAGGAATGCAAGCCAGTTGCAAGGGTTGGTTCTATTTTTAGGACTCTCTTCTTTCACATTAAAAATGGAGAACAAAAGGGACAGTCAGGTGAATAGTGTCTGCTAATGTAGGTACTGTCCACTCAACCTTAGCATAATGGTTAAAGAAGGCTAAATATTTGAACAGTTTAGCATACAGAAGCATAGGGTCAGTACATCTTTATTTTTCATCTAGGCAGCTGGGCAGAAAATTAGTCAATTGAACTCCATCTGTCTCTATCTTTTCTCATTAGTTTTTGGAGGAAACATAATATTTTTCCAATATATATGCCCTTTCTTTTTTTTCAAAGTATATGAATTATCCTAATGCAAAAGTATGATGAAAAATATTGAATGTCATGTCAGGAGGTTGGTGTATTTTCTCCTAATTCTAGCTAGGTATTGACATCTCCCATATATAATATAAGAATGCTGTTAAGAACAATGCTATTTTTCATCATATAATATGAACAGCACCAACAGTAATTTGTAAAACAATTAAAATGTTGAATAATAAACATGTAACTGTGACTTACTAACTTATATGTATGAGGCATATAACCATGAAAAAGACAAAGTTCCTGCATTCAAAGAGCTCTGTTTTTACCAGTGTGGACGAACACATATCTGACCAGTTTTCTTCCTAGATTATGGTAGGTATTATAAGATAGTAATAAGCAAACTGCTAGGCACCTGGGTAGCAAGGTTGATTAATTCTTCCCAATGTTGATTAACAAGAGATTAACTGTGCTATGATAAATGACTAGGTTATCCCAATGCATACAAGGTAGCAATGGTTACCCACTCAAAGAAAATTGCCTGAGAAAAAATGTAGAATGTTTGTAGGTAGCCAATGATGTAGCAGGGCTAGAACATAAGGTACTTGGGGAAAATAACCAATAGGGCAAAAAGTGAAAGGATTGATGCCCTGCTAAGGAGTTTAGATTTCATTGTCTGTGAAATGGTATTGCCAGAAATGTTTTCCAGCTTCAGAGTGGTTATATATTCATGTTTGTGTTTTAAAAGAATAAGCCTAGCAATGTAAAGAGCGTATTTGGAGACAGAATGCATGAGCTCCCGGGAGCTTAGGGAATGGGCTCATGGAATAACTGAGAGCATTTGATGATGAGGACCGGAATCACGGAAGAAGTGTGGAGGATGAAGCATAAGACAAATTCCAAAGACATTTCAAAGATAAACTTGAGAAGACTTGGTTGACTGGATTTAAAGGGTTAGGAGAGGTCGAAGTCAAAGATGATTGAAGTTTTCTAGCCTGTGTGACTGGGAGGAGACTGGCCCCATTACTGGAGCAAGGGAACACAGAGGAGCAGCAACTTTAGGGCGGGGGTGGAAAGATAATGAGTCTAATTTGAAACATCTTAGGTTTTGAGTGTCTGTGGGCCAGGCATGCTTCGTATTTTCTAAAAATAAAAGGGCTTTTGGGGCAATCATCTAAAATAATTGTAATATTAAAATATAATTTATAAATGTCACCCTGATGTAAAAATATTTAGCAATGCACATCATTAGCTCACACCATGCTATTTCGAGAGGCCTATGCATGCACATTAGGTCTAAGGTGTAAAAGTCTTTCCATTAGAGAATGTGGCCCAGACAATTACATTTGATTTGACCTACCTCCTTGTGCATTTTGGAGACATGGATTAAAGAAATAAAATATTTTTTCTCTTATTTTACTAACAAATATTTTGGATAACTCATATATACAGATAATTGGATTCTTTTAAAGTAAAAATTAGACAATAAAGTATTGAGTAGAGAATCGGGTGGCTTTAACTAATGAAAATAGAATGAACTATATGTTCCTTTTTGTAAAGACTACTTACTCTTTTAAAATGTCTAAAATCAAACAAAAGTGCTCGGTAATTTCTTCCATTAAATTACTATATTAAACCTTCTAATTATGACTGCTAAATATTTGAACTGAATTGTAGAACAGAACAAATAATAGGATTAATACTAAATTCTAAATCTATTTTATATAGTACTATTGAATTTGATTAAATCAATGGTAATTTAGCAATTAGTAGAAGGGCATATAAGATGTTACTATGCAAACAGTCTGTAAGGCATACTAGCAAGCTATTGAAACTTTGGGAAACAGCAGATACTGGTTGTTAGTCTCTTAAAGTCTGTTTCCTCACATTTTCTTGCCTCTAGCCAAGCCCAAAACTCTTTAGAATACTCACCCGATTTTATAAAAATATTAACAACTCATCCATCTAATTGATCAGTACTTTCAACTCTATTGGAACTTTTTGATTCAAATAGAATGCTGGAGGAGCAGCATGCACGAGCAATGGAGTTACATGCACTGTGTTTTTAATATTTATAATTTCTCAGTTTTACTTAGTATTAATGCACTTACACTTCTGCTTTTAGAATTGTCTTATCCCAGGTGATTGTTTTGCTCATAGCTCATCTCAGAGTATACAGCTTACTCTATCACAATTTTCACACATATTTTTGATGACAAACATCAATACATATTTCTTGTGTATAATCACAGTTCATGAAGATTTCACTTATTTTTCTCATTTGATACCTTCAATGGCTCCAAAAGATGATCTGAGAAGTATTATTTGAACACATTTACAGGAGAGGAAATAGTATCAATGATTTGCTTAAGTTCACATCACTAACAAACGATGGAAATCACACTAGAATCCTGAATTTCTTTATTCAAAATACATGTCACAGACTTAGAATGGCCAAAATGCCAGTACTAGAAAAAACATTCCCATTGGAGATTTCTTTGTCTTTGATATTGTAATGTTAAAGAACATTCTCTCTCTCTCTCTCTGTCTGTCTCATTAGCCTTAAGATGAGAATGATTCCTAGTGTGATAGTTAAAAGATGCACACTAAAGTAATATATTTATAATATTCTTTTTCTACAAATAAGCACAACTTACTGTTTAGATTGTCTTGTTTACATTCAATCTTTAATCACCAAAGAGTCTTAAAATTTTTAAAAAGCGTTTTCTATCAGTATAGAAAATGTGGCCAGATATCAGCAATCCCACATAGGAGCAGGCGGAAATAACTACTCCAGATCCATGCTCTAGAACGTATACAAAGGTACCACATTACAAGCAGCACGGCCTTGGAAAATGCAAGGAAACAGAGGCTCCTCAGGACAATCCAATCCATCTCCATTTTGAGTGCAATACGGTCCTAGGAATTTAAGTGGGTAGAATTATCTCTTTACTTCTTTCTGTTCTGTTTTCCTATGTGCTCTCACTTTCATTGAGAAATTAATGAGGGGAAAAAATAACCCAGAGGAAACATTCTGCCTTATCAACGGAGTTCAGTGCAAATAGTCAAAGCATACTGGATATAATAATATTGCAGCTTAATTAAAAGGCTTTTAAAGCAAACCTTAAAATTATCCACATCAAGTAGTGACATTGGCTCTGGTCAGAGCCAGTGCTCTTAGAAAGCTTTTATCCAGAAAGAGATTTGTTTCTGTAAAATGAACAGAGTGGTTGTTATTGCTCTTTCTTTGTTGGCAGACTGAGAATCTCCCCTAGGTAAAAATGTGTAAGACCCTTAGTGTACCACCTCTAGGGCAGTTACTATAGAATCTCAGAGGTCTTTCTTTATCTGTCTTTATATTTTTTGTTTGTTAATAGAACAGTGAAAACATACATGAGGCCATATAGCATTTATTTCTAATCTGTACTCAAATCCTAACTTCTCTCCTTTCTAGTTGTAAATTTTGAGCTACTTGTTTAACTTCCCTCAGTTTCAGTTTATTCATCTCTGAAATGGCAAAAGTATATCTAGGTCACAGGCATGTGGTGAGTATTCCATGAGACTATTAATGTAAAGTACTTATCAGTTTAGAGTACTTTAGGTGTTGTTATTATTATCATTTGTCTTACTAATACCAATTTCATTGTTATTCTGTGATCCTGTGACGTTTTGGAGATCCAGCATACAGCCTTAAAGGCGAGTCTTCACTTAGATTGCAGCTAAGGACCATTGCCATTGGCTGGTCACGACTATATGCTGGCACATGTCCCCAGAATTCTACCTCAAGTCCCAGAGGATGCTAACTATGAAACAAATTCCCAACAGATCAACAAAGAGTTCTTTACTTTTTAAATTCACTGGTACAATGGGCTCCATGAAAAGACAGTGACTTGCACTTTGATTCTTTATTTCTTAAGTCAGCTAAAAAATTCTAGGTTGTGCAAAGACTGAAAAGATACCTATTTATATTTATTTCATTATTATCTCCACCACCCCCAAGCCATCAAGTGAAGGCAGAGGGGAAAGTTGTCTGCAAATCAATATGATATATAAAGGAGTGGTCCTTCAGTCCTTACTGTGTCCTGGACAGCACACTTCCTGCTCTTTGAGGCCAGTCCAGCCAAGGGAGAGGTAGAAAAAATGCTGTGATTGACATGAGACTATACAGTGGGCTGTCTCTGAATCCTGACAAGTTGAATCACTGCTGGAAAAAGGGCACTTATTGAATTTACAGAGCTCTGTAATTAGTTGCAAAGCTAAATTTGCAGCACCAGCAAGCATATCTCAATCCTTACCTGATCCTTATATCGCCAGCTGTAGTTAAGGTTGAGTAAGCTGGCCTTCATGTTGGCACATTACAGAAGGGGAAATATTCTAAGAAACAATATTAGCAGGAAAAAAATGTAGATTTTAAAATAATAAGTAGCTCAACATTTTTCTGATCAAATTTATAAAAATAACTATACACATACATATGCCCCCTTTCCCACCTTTTCTTCCTTCATTGGTTCTTCTTTCTTTCATTTAAAGATAGAGAGAAGACAGTAAAAGTCATTCCATTGGATCCAGTGGGATTTGGTGGGGAACTGAATTCCCATTGGGATTCGGTGGGGAACTGAATTCCCATTGGGATTCAGTGGGGAACTGAATTCTCAGTAGGATTTGGTGGGGAACTGAATTCCCATTCCATGGGATTCGGTGAAGAACTGAATTCAGGCTCTGGGTTGAGGATTGGCTGAGCACAGCACAGGCTGCCTTTCAGCCCCACCGCCCTCATTGGCAAGCAATTGCTGATCAAGGCTTAACTTACACAATTGTACATGACAATAGGAAAGAATTATTGGGGATGAGAACTGCAGTTATTAGAGAAGAGCAGAATTAACGTGACTAATACAATTGGGAAATTATTAAAGGCTGACTAGATGCTTCTCCATGTGGTTCTACTGGATAATCTTTCTGTCAGTTTAGCGAAGAACAAGAGCACAATGGGCAATTATCAAGTTTCATAGCAGATCTCAGGTGGGATTGGGTGGGATTAAGTTTAAAAAGATGTTATGCAATATGAGGAAGCTATGCAACAGGGACCAGTAAACAGTGTATGGTTGTCAAGAGCCACCATAGTAATGGGAGTGCAGATCTCCTCCAAATTCTTTATATTATACACATTGGTATAAACATGTCAGTCTTTTCTAAAATGCATGTTGTTGGCAGCTAAGAGAAATGAGAAAACAGGTGATTCATCAAAAGACTTGCCTAACTATAACATAATTCAATTAAAGAAGTAGAGGCTATCATAGTTAAAAAATGTAAATTGTAATTCCTGATCTCCTTGGCAATATACTTTAAATAATCCAGAATATATGTTCCCTTGTGATATTTCAGTTCTGTATACCAGAAGTTTATGATGCAATATAATAGTCTCATAATTAAAAGGCCCATTTTGCTTTTAAAACTTATAAAGCAAATTAGAACTGATCATGTGTTAATAAATGAACTCATTTATGCATATTGTGCTTTGTTCACTGTTGTTTGCCCAGAGCCTGGGACAGTTCCTGACATATATAATGGGCATGTTATAAATATTTTTCAATGAATCAATGAAATTTAATAAATCAATTTTATGTACTTAGCCCATTTGATCCTGCAGAACATGTATTAGAAACCCTGCTTGATATATATGGAAACATAGGCTAGAAAGTTTAGAAAGAAAAGTTCATTTATTGTTGCACAAAATTTCATTGAGTGAAAATTGGATCTCAAACATGAAGACTACTGGATTCCAGTCTATGGCTTTCTAACATATACTTACTCTCTCATTTGTAACAGTAGGCTATTACCTTCTAACTTCCTAATTCTCTCTAACTAAAAGTTGCTTCCTGTGTCATAGATTTTCAGATGTTATTAGTAATGGCCCAAGGTATCTTTATCACAGATTAAATAACAGAAAACAAGTATTTGAGTAGCAGGTTAAACATGAAAATATTTAAGTATAGGTTGTTAGCACCCAGAGTTTGGATCTTTTGGACCATATTATATTACCTTCTGAATAATAGGAGGCCTGTGTTTTGGTGATAATAAGTAAAAAGGAAATTTAGTTTTTTAGAACATATCCAGACATGGCTTTGTTAACTGTGGTGGAATGGGTTGATTATTTCAACGCTTCACATCTTCAAGGACTCACACTGTTTTTATTGCTCTCCACCCTGCCGTCCTAGGAGGACTCTTCTCACCCTGCTACAGGCAGAGCATTGTTGCAGCATAACCGTGTACTACATTAATGTCACAAAAGTGACCACCGATAGACTGTTCTTTACTCTGTGTCTCTTTCCAAGAACAAAGAAACTTTTCCCTAAAGACCCTAAGCAAACTTCTTTTAATAGCTTTTTGCCATAATTATGTCATATAAATCAATCAATGGCAAGGAGAATGGAATTATCATGATTGACCATCATAATCAGTATTTACTCCCAAGGAACACTAAATGAGACAATATAGGCAGCTTCCTTAGCACCGTCCCTTAGCACAAGATGTCGGCATTCAGTAAATGTGAAGGATTTTCTCCATTAGTCAAGAAATAGGCATATTCTGTGGAATTATGAAGGCAACCACCAAAAGAAATAACACTGGGCCAGATAAAATACAGTTTCTCCTGTAAACTGTGTCTGTATTAAAAGAGAAAGGGAAGATCATATTTTCTTTTTAATATGTTTTTAATTATATGGTTGAAATTGCTTTGCTATGTGTACTTATTAATTTTTATCATGCTTACCCCTTTATATTAGTGCATTACAGTATTCAGGTAAATATCAGAACCCATTTATTAAACTTGGATTATTGTATTGCTGAGCCCTCTATGTTTGCCATAGTCAAAGATCCTGCCATCATTTATGTAATCACATTTATCAAGCACCTATGATGGACCAAGCATAAGGAGAGACTCATAACTTCTCAAGGGGCCTCTCATTATACTGTAGTGCCCAGAAAGCGTAGTTCTCTAATAAACATCTACTAATATTAATGGAGAAAAATGGGAATTTTTAGTTTTATTACAGCGTTACAACCCTACTTTTTAAAAGATTGATGTTTATGAAACAATCTGCTAGAATAAATAATACGGAGGACTCAACTTTTCCTATACATTTGTCAGTTTGGTCTTCTTTTTTATGGCAAGATAAATTATGTGATTTGCTAAGACAATGAAAGAATTAATTTCCACAATTATCTTCTCAATAATAGAAATACTCTTAAAAATTTATTAAACATATCTTTTATCTTTATATATGTATAAACGGTCTCAACTTCTTCTATTTTAGCGTAGCACAGTGTTAAACAGCACCAGCTTTGAAATCAGATAGACCTATTTTCACATTCTTATCCTCTTGGTTTTTCCGTTTAGTCTGTGCGTGACTTTGAATATGGGCAAAATTCTCTAAGCCTCACTCTCCTCATCTATAAGAGGATTCTAATAATCCCTTTCTAAATTGGGTTGCTGTAAGGATGAAATGGGATAATGCAGTAAATAATTTAGTACTGAACTTGACCCATAGTGAGCATCCACTAAATATTTAATGTTATTATATTTGTAGTGAGTAAATGATATCTACTCCTAGTGTCCTAGTGAGTAAATGATATCCAAGGCCGGCGTGGTGACTCACGCCTATAATCCTAGCACTTTGGGAGGCTGAGGCAGGTGGACTGCCTTCGCTCAGGAGCTCGAGACCAGCCTGGCCAACATGGTGAAACCCCATCTCTACTAAAATACAAAAAATTAGCAGGGCATGGTGGTGCACACCTGTAGTCCCAGATACTCGAGAAGCTGAGACATGAGAATTGCTTGAACTCGGGAAGTGGAGGTTGCAGTGAGCAGAGATCGCGCCACTGCACTCCAGCCTGGGCAACAGAGAGAGACTCTGTCTCTAAAAAAGAAAACAATAACAGCAACAACAACCCCCCCCCCACCCACACACACACACACACAAACCAAATGATATTTAAATTGGCTGTTTTCAGCTGTGTTTTAGGATGTATACACTCACAGGAACAAAGTTTCAATGGAAGCTAATTTTTTGAGGTAGTCCTTAAACACCAAGTGCATTAAAAATCTACTAAAAGGCCATATTGGTACCATATGCCCTAGTTCTTGATTTGCTGCCTCATTTGGGGGAAAGGCTGCCCCATTTGGGGGAAAGAAGGAGAAAGATGAAGAATAGGAATAGGAGAAATATGGTGAAAGGATAAATGTTTTCTGTTATTAATACTTCCTGGACACGTTGTTAATTTTGGAGACTAGTTTGAAATAGGTGAAACTTTCTTTTTGATTTGATATATTCCCTTTCCATGAAGCCTCACAGGGTAAGTCTTCAGGTTGGCAGCATTGAGATTCTCTAAAAGAATAAAGATTTTCAGAGTGATTCCATAACAATAGTGGAAACATTAGGGAGTAATAAAATAGTGAAACAAAAATAGTGTTTGTTTGTTATTTGCTTGTACTTATTTCTAACTTGAGAATTGCTTTTATTTGGTATATTTTAAAACTGGAGACTAAATTTACAAAGTGTGCATAATGTGTATTTGTATGTGTTCTTTTGAAAGTATGTCAAGGCTCTTGTAAGAATGGAAGACTCAAGTCATTTCTACCAATATAGGTTATAATAAAGCTATTTAGAATTTGCTTAAATGGAGAATGTGTACTCACTCAGTTAGGT
Source organism: Homo sapiens (assembly GCF_000001405.40). NCBI lineage: Eukaryota > Metazoa > Chordata > Mammalia > Primates > Hominidae > Homo > Homo sapiens. The sequence goes on from NC_000001.11 coordinate 79,342,032, forward strand.
ATTCCGCTATCCTTATAAAAATTTCATGTAGGAGTTTTTCCTCAATTAATCTGCCAGCACACAAGGCAAAAAAGCATATAACTTACAAATTGAATGAAGAGAAGAATCTCATGCAAAATGAGAATAGAAATAGCAAAGCTGCATCGTACCCTTTACATATGGGCTAAATGCTTTCCTGAAATGTCTGGAAAGCGAATTTCTGCATTATTGAACCTATTACCTCTCATTGTATTTACTGGACTGAATATCCATTTTGCCAGGGGTGGAAAAAGAGCCATAAAGAAAACTAAATTCCTTGGGTCCACCCCGATCTACTTTTGAATTCCCCTTCCTCTTCTTTCCCAAATGGAGACCCTGGGGGTAATGCTCTTCGAGGAGACTGCAGACTGTTCCCAGGAAAACTTCTGTAAATCTCCAGACTAATTAGGATGGAGATTATTTCTTGTCCTGATCCTATCTTTTTCTTCCTCACCCTCAACCAGGTCCCTGTCTGTTGTCTTTCCAGAGATGAAGACAGGGTCCCTAAAGGGTACCCTCCTTTACTTCAAATATTGCCAGTGGTGAGGAGCTAATAATACTCATTTAGCTGGAATTTATCTAGAATTTTCTTATTTAGGGATAAGAATGGGAGCAAGGCATATTCCCCTAGTGGGTATCTAAGCATATTTCCTCTGTTCCCTCTGAAGTCCATTCGTTTGGCCCTAGGAAACATTCCACAAATACAGGGTTGGGAGAATGCATGCTTGAAACCATATTCTTGATTTATAAATCCCATAACACAAAATGCTGCACACAGGTCATGAAGCAAAAATCCTACATGGTCACATAAAATACTCTGGCTTTATTTATTTAAAGAATTAACCTTTCTCTCATAGGCAGCTGGAATTTCTATCAGTTCTCCCTAACTAAGGTATTTTATATGTAATTGCCACATTGCCCCACTCAAATAAGAGACACTATCAATTCACTCTGTTGCCTCCAGTTGTTTCTGTCACAAAAATAGGGCCCTTGGCTGCTTTTGCTTCCTTTTAACAAGTATTTGTTAATTTTGATAATTTGCAGAGTTTAAAGAACAGCAGTTCTGTTTGTGTAAATCACAAGATTTAATTAGAGAAGAGGAATCCAAATGGTGCAAATAAAAGTCTGTGCATAATAAAATATTAATTGCCTTTAAAAATACAATAGTGTTCCAGTATTCTATTACACTCTAGCGGAAAGTGCTGCAAGCAACGGAGTGCAGTACCACAGCTCGGCTGTAATCATGGCAGCCATGGAAAACTGTTTGCAACCCTGTAAGGTTGGAGGAGCAACTGCCTTTGTTGCATCGCTGATTAGGATATCTTAGGTGTTTTTTCCCTTGGGGTGTGGGACATCCATCATATTCTCATCGTACTTCTCATCCTTGCACTCTTCTGTACCTTTTCCTAGAAATTTCTAAAATGTGGAATACTTTAAAGAATTTAAGGTCTTAGGGTTTCTGGTAGAGGGAAAAAGCAAGTTAAAAGAAAGGAATTTGTTTTGGCTCTACCATTGAGATATTGCATCAGTAATAAGTCCTGTGACCTTCGGTCCACAGCTTCACATAATGAGATCTCTGCCTCTTCACCTGTGGAATATATAAGGGCAAAGTGCTCAAATCAAAAGGGGTCCCTTTGATTTCTAATCAGTCTAGTATTCTAGTTAGTATTCATTTTCACATTAATCTTTTTTTAGGAGAAGTTACATCTAGAATAAAAATTGTGATATATTATTAGGTAATACATTGTGCTTTCCAAATATAGAGTTTATGATAAATACATGTAAGATCAGAAGTAATACCTTGTCATTTTGCATTGTGTTCAAAGATATGCTTCACAACTTTGGGAGGTGGGTGGACGCTTGAAGTCAGGAGTTCGAGACAAGACTGGCCAACATGGCGAAAACCATCTCTGCCAAAAATACAAAAATTAGCCAGGTGTGGTGGCAAGTGTCTATAATCCCAGCTACTTGGGAGGCTGAGGCAGGAGAATTGCTTGAATGCAGGAGGCAGAAGTTGCAGTGAGCTGAGATTGCCCCACTATACTCCAGCCTGGGTGACAGAGTGAGAGTCTGTCTCAAAAAACAAAACAAAACAAAAAACCAAAAAGATATGCTTGACGTACATTATGTATTTGATTGTATTCAATAGAAATTATCAAGTAATTCTGTATTAGAGGAATTTATAAAGTTTAATGCCAAACAATTACTGTTACTATTGTTATTAGAATTATTGGATTAAATTTTCATAAAAAATAAGCATAAATAAACTTAAGTTAAAAATTAAAATACATATTAGATCCCTATGTTATAAGTTTATTTTAACTTATAATAATTTAATTTTAGAATAACTCATTCACTCATGTATTCATTCATTTATTCAAAAGACAGATATTAAGTGGCACACTCTTTAAAATTACTATGCTATTAATGAATCCGGGCAAGGAGCAAAAGAGGCGTTGGCACCAAAATCACAGATCTTTCCATCCAGGGCAGACAGGTATTTCAAGATGTAATTTTACTAACATTCAATTAGTATGATAATAAGGAGGCTACAGTGTGCTTTAAGAGTACACATTAAAGGTTTAATATCCTTTAACATCCTAGTTTAAAAATAACTAGTAGCCATTGATTAGTAGCAAACACTAAGTATCCCTTTCTAATAAAAAATTTTAGCTTTTACTACATATTTTCTATATTTTTATTGAAAATATCTAGGAATTTCTACCAAATTTGATTTCTAGAATATACATTGTAGAAATTTTATATAAGTAAGTATCAGTGACAGGATAGTCATTCATGGTGAAGAAAAAATATTTTAACTCTGCTTCCTACTATTGTTAGCAGAAATCCTATGGCAAATATATATTTATACTAACAATTTGTTTTCTCAACTATATTTGTTCTTTTATAGCTGTCAAAGAAAATAATACTTGGTGTGAACTAAGCAAATATATCTACCTCCTGTCTCTCTGGAGAATCACTGGAATTAAAGTCTAGAATTAGAAAACAAAATAGTCAAAACAATAAATAGAATATGAGAGGTGTCACTGTTACAAAAATATTTTAATACATTTCTAGAAGACCATAATTGGATGGGGAAAAGCCTTAGCCTAAAGTACAATATTGATTGCTGTAGGAAAAGTTGGGGTTATTCCATCTGAAAGAGCTCTGGAAAATTCCTGTGACTCAGAGGCAGCAGATATGAAAGAGGACAAACCTGTGCGGTAGAGCTATGGTCCACTGGACTGGTCTCTCACTCCTGCCTACACAGTGAAGATGACATTTACCCAACTAGACCATCTGGGGAAGGGTTATGCTTACAGGCTGACCCATAATGACTAGCAATGAATGTTTTCTCACATTGGCATGGTGGTGAGGTCCAGGTTGACCCTGCTCTACCTGTTCTCCTTAAAATGAAGCCAACTAACACACCCACAGACCCCACCGCACCCTTCCACTCAGAGTGTCCAGGCAGAATTCCACGCTCAGGGAAGAAACCGACCAGAAGTAAAAGCAGAGAAATCATACCAGCTATGTGTCCTGTGGAAACCACAGATTACTAACATACGAGGACAGCAAGCTGTGTGGAAGAGAGACACCATATAAACAAAGAAAAAAAATGCCCCAAAGGAAACGTAATTCACAGCACCAGGCAGCTTTTAGAATTTTTTTTACTTATCTTCTGAGATGTTTAAGAAGTTATCAGGTTCATAAAACATGAAAAGTACACAATCAAAGGATCAATCAAAAAACATGAAAAGCTCTTAAGACATCAAAATATGGAATCTGAAATTAAAATAAACCAACAAAACTAGAAGATAATAATAGCAAAAATTTGTATATACTTACAATATGCCAGATCATGTTTTATGCCCTTTATGTGTGTTATCTTATTTAATTTTCACAACAATGCTGATATAGACACACTATTATCCTTTTTTATAAATAAGCCTAAAGCACACAATTGTTAAATTGTTAAAGGGGCACTTATTACCCAGTAAATAAGTGGCAGTAATGAGATACAAGCCTTAGTATTCTGCCTCCAAAAACCTAGCAGTTAGGAATTAAACTATATTTCCTCCCAAAATACATGAATGATAAAGAAAAAATAAGTTTAATAAGGTTCCAAAGGGAGAAAGACAAAAAATTATCTACAAAGTAATAAAAATCAGAGAGGCATCAGACATTTTGTCAACCATACTTTATGCCAGATAGCAATAAGGCTCTTAAATTCTGACATCAAATGATTTTCAATTCAGATTTAATATCAAACCAAGCAGGCCTTTTATAGGATTCAAGGACTGAAACACTTGACCTCTTTAATATCTCTTAGGAAGTATCTGGAGTATGTGTGCCATCAAAATGAAGAAGTACAACAAAAAAGAAGGATGCACAAGATAAAAAATAAATCTGGCCAACCACAGGAAAAAGAGAAAGACAGAGAAAGAGGAAGAAAGAGAGGAAGGGAGGAAAGAAGGAAAGGTGGACATTACTGTATGCTGTTGTAGACTTTATAAACACTGTACACTTAGGATGTACTAAATTTATATTTTTTCTTTCTTCAGTAATAAATTAAACTTAGCTTACTGTAACATTTTTTACTTTATAAACTTTATTAACTTTTTTGACTCTTTCATAATATCACAGCTTAAAGCACACACATTGTACAGCTATACAAAATATTTTCTTTCTTTATATCCTTATTTTATAAGCTTTTTTTCTGCTTTAAACTTTTTTGTTAAAAACTGAAACACAAACGTAATCATTAGCCTAGGCCTACACAGGGTCAAGATCATTGATATCACTGTCTTCCATCTCCACATCTTGTCCCACTGGATGGTGTTCAGGAGCAATAAAGCACATCGAGCTGTCATTTCCTATGATAAGAAGGCCTTCTTCTGGAATACTTCCTGAAGGACCTGCCTGAGGCTGTTTTACAGTTGTTTTTCTTGTGAAGTAGAAGAAGTACACTCAGATACAATGACAAAAATGTATTGCATAGTAAGTATATAAATCAGTCACATAATAATTTATTATCATTATTAAGTATTACGTACTGTACATAATTGTATATGCTATACCTTTAACAGCTGTCAATGCAATGGGTTTGTTTACACCAGCATCACCACAAATGTGCGTGTAAGGCGTTGCGCTGCAACATTACAGTGACTAGGATGTCACTAGTTAATCGAACTTTTCAGCTCCATCATAATCTATAGGACCACCATTGTGTATGTAGTTTGTCATTGACTCAAATGTTACATGGTGAATGACTGTACCTGCGGTGCAGTTCTGATGGGAGTGGGAAGCACAAGGCTTTGGATAGTGATCTCCAGAAAAAAATGACAAATGGAGACAGCAGAAAGCGGAAGCTGCTCTGGCAAAAGTGAAAACATGCTGAAGGTATAAAAATTACGAAGTAGAGGCCGGGCGCGGTGGCTCATGCCTGTAATCCCGGCACTTTGGGAGGCCGAGGCAGGTGGATCACGAGGTCAGGAGATCGAGACCATGCTGGCTAACACGGTGAAACCCCGTCTCTACTAAAAATACAAAAAATTAGCTGGGCGTGGTGGCGGGCGCCTGTAGTCCCAGCTACTCAGGAGGCTGAGGCAGGAGAATGGCATGAATCCGTGGGACGGAGCTTGCAGTGAGCCGAGATCGCGCCACTGCACTCCAGCCTGGGTGACAGAGCGAGACTCTGTCTCAAAAAAAAAAAAAAAAAAAAAAATTACGAAGTAGAAAACTCTTTAGCAGCTCTCGGAATAACAATGAGTTTGAAATATAAACTAAACTGAATTATGGCATAATTCTGAGTAATTGAATGAGTATAAGAAAAGAGAATCCACCTGACATTGCTGGTAGAAACATTCTCTTTGGAATAGCCCAAAAGTCATTGAATTGGGCCCACTAAACCTAGTGTCACTGCTTGGACCAGCACTGAACAATATATGCATGGTCATAGTCAGGTTAATACTGATTCTCAAATTTTAGAGTCAATCGGTATTCATAGAAGATTTATTTGTGGTTGCAGTTTAGATTGTAAATATGACCTGCATAGATGGCATACCTTTTAGAATGTAGCTGAGAGGTAAAATAAAAAAGAGGATTAGGAAAAGTTGAGGAAAATATAGAAGTTCAATTATATTCATCTGACAAAATGAAGAATCAAGAGATAGTTTTGAATGTTATAAACACTAAAAATTGGGGTTTAAAAGGTAACCAATAGGAGATGAAACTGGAGGTCATTGTGTTAAGTGAAATAAACCAGATACAGAAAGACAAATATATTGCATATTCTCATTCATATATGGGAGCTAAAAAGTAGATCTCATAGAGGTAGAGAATTGCTTGGTAGTTATCCTACAATATGGCTTGTATAGCCATGTCATATTATGGGTCATGACACCATAAATTCGGTCAAATAAGTCATAATTGGGTCAATATGGTAGCTACATACACACAAACACACACACACACACACTCACTCTAAAGGCTAGGTTTCTCTGGAGAACCCTGACTAACATAGCCTCAGACAAAAGTTTTGATATAATAAAAGTTTCAGTTTAGCACTAAACAGAATACCTATTCACAATAGAATTTAGTAAGAATATTAGTGGTAGTCTGTGGCAGCTACATATAAGGGAGATCCTACCTTCCCTTTAAATAGCCTTACTTCTCAAACTCATCTGAAATGTTGTAGTGTCTTTTGGCAATTTAGTGTATAGATTTTCTCGTTCAATTATTTTTCTGAATTATCCTCTTTCAGAAGCAAATCCCAATTTTGTCTCATTATGAATTGTTACATATTTAACTTTTTATTTATTCTTAAAATATGCAATATTAAAGATTGCAGCAGGTAAGACACAAAGATAGCTCACAAATGTATACTTTTTAATCGGTTACAGTTTCGGAGTCATTCTATGCAATTTATTTAGGGAATATAAAGGCTATTTTCGTCAGTTTGGGCTGCTATCACAAAATGCCATTCACTGAGTGTCTTAAATAACTAATATTTATTTCTCACAGTTCTGGAGCTTGGGGATTCCAAGATCAAGGTGCTGACAGATTGGGTGTCAGTGAGGGCTCTCTTTCTGGTTTGTAAATGGCCTTCTTGTTAAGTCCTCACATGGCTCCTTGGTGTTTTAACAGAGGAAAAGAGAGAGAGAGAGGCAGACAGACACACAGAGAGAGGTAAGGAGAGGGAGAGAGAAGGAGAGTTCTCCTGTTTCTTCCTCTTTTTATAAGGGCATTAATACTATCACGAGGACTCCACACTCATACCTAATCTAGTTACTTCCCAAAACCTTATGTGCTCTTGTTGCCGGGGCTGGAGTGCAATGGTGCTATGTTGGCTCACCGCGACCTCCGCCTCCCGGGTTCAAGCGATTCTCCTGCCTCACCCTTCCCAGTAGCTGGGATTACAGGCATACGCCATCACTCCTGGCTAATATTATATTTTAATAGAGACGGGGTTTCTCCATGTTGGTGAGGCTGGTCTCGAACTCCCAACCTCAGGTGATCCGCCCACCTCGGCCTCCCAAAGTGCTGGGATTACAGGCATGAGCCAGCGCCCGGCGGAATACTTAATTTTTAAACATTTTATGAGTGCTTCAGTGTATAAAATTTGGAGAGACAACAAACATCCAGTCCATAGCAAAGGCAAACAAAAATTATAGACAACCAGGATAGATCAATGACTCAGCTTCATCTTTTATGTATACATTCATCATCCTAATTCCTTTTCTCATAAAACAAAAGTATTATATCATTTATTTTCTGATGTTCACACTCACTCTGGATTTTTGTTGCTGTTAATGTGGTCTGACTTCACTGGTATATCCCCATATGGAAGACAGTTCCTCCTATTATTTAAACAAAAGAAAAGAAAACAGAACAAAACAAAGTACAAAGAATGTGAAAAAGTTTTCCTGAGTATAATTGTTTATTAAGATTTGACGAACGAGGATGAAGAGGAGACCAAAAAAAATGTTTTTCCATAGGCCAGGGCAAAATTCTATTTACATTTCAAGCAGGACATTACCCTACGATGAATCTACTACCCCTTCAATATGTCACCTCTATCTCATTTTGCCAAATCATCTATGTTGTTTTCTGTCCATCTTTTTTATCTCTTCCCTTTTCTTATAAGAAAAGCTCTGTCCTCATGTTATGCTGCCTGGGCTCTTCTCAGCACCCCCGACCTTAGGGTCTTTGAGCTTATTCAATTATTTCCCGCTAAAAATGAGTCGCTGTTACAAGCAGAATTGTGGTGCAAACTGTTAAATATAAAATCAAATAGAATTACAAATAATTTAGTTAATTAAAAATAAATAATTATAATTTAATTGGAACTAATTATGTAGAAATAGATACAATAGATTAATAATCATAATATAGTATAGACAACTTATTTTTTAAGTTAATATAAATGAATTTTTAAAATCCTATTGTATGCTCTTTATAAGAGATACATGTAAATTATAAATACAAAGAAAAGTTTTAAAAAGTTGTATAAAAGTTATATCAGTGCAATATTAAACAAAAAATATGTTGGTTTATCAGTATCAAATATTTAGAATATAAAGCAAAAAAAAAATCCTAAGGAAAAGTAAGGTCACTGAACAATGACTTCAAATATATTGTAGAAAAAAAGAAATAGAATTTGATGAATATACCATTGAAGTGCACACAATTAAAAGCATTTTTGTAATTAATAGATCAAGTAGTCAAATTTAATAGAGATAAAGATTTAAACAAAGCAACCAATAAACAAAATCTAGCAGATATACATAGAGAACTCTACTGAAGATTTTAATAGTATATGTTTTCTCGGATGTACACATAAAACATTGATTAAAATTTACTAAATTCCCAGTCTCAAATTATTGGTATTAGACCATGAGTTATCATGTCCTATGGGTCTGAGAAGACCCTATAGTGTCAGAAATGAGAAAGATATTTTAAATAATGCACTTGGAAATAGAATAAATGGGTAAATGAAGCTTACTACCTTCAATCAGTATTTTGCTTACTGATATATTTTCACTTCATCCCTTTATGCTGCCCTTGCGCGTGGTGGTATGAATATGCGACTTTAGTCCTCTAATGTTTAGATCACTATACTGGTATCAGGTAATTATATATAGTTTCATTGGAAAGTACTCAGGGTAAAATGTCTCATTTTGATGCAAAAATTCATTTTGTTTAGTCGCTCCATTAGTAGCTGGGATTGATCAGAAGGAAAACATATAGCATGGGTTGGTTGAGGCTAATAACTTTACCTCTGTTTTATGTTTCGATCTTTCACTCTACTACAGGTTACTACCTTTATTTCTTAAATTTAAACTGCCCAAAAGATATTTATCTTCCCCCCACAAACTTGTTCATCCTCTTCTTTTTGGTCCCCCTCTGTCAGTGAGTGGAATTGCATATACCCAGAAAAATGCAAACATAAAGAAGCAGGGAATAGAATAGTGGTTAGGGGCTGGAGGGAAAATGAGAAGATCTAGATCAAAGGGTACAGCAAACATTCTGTTATAAGATGAATAAGCTCTGGGATCTAATTTATAGCATGGTGACTATAGTTATCAGTACTGTATCATACACTTGAAATTTGCTAAAACAGTAGATCTTAAAAGCTGTTACAATACACATGCACACACACATACACACACAAAACAATGGCAGCTATGTAAGGTGAGAAATGTGTTAACCAACTTGATTGACATAATCATTTTACAATGTATACTTATATCAAATAATCATATTGTAGACCTTGAATACATACAATTTTTATTTATTAATTATTCTGCCACAAAGCTAGAAAAAAAACAGGAAGTATGTTTTCAGCAATATAACCAGAAGGTTCTGTCCTTTGTGGAGTGAGCTCCTGGATTCCACAGATAAATTCCTAAGATTGCAGATGTGTGTGGGACAAATGATTTGGGTCAGTATGTTTTCTATATTCTAATATCTGAGTAATCATGATATATTAGATTCATATGTAGCAGAACAAAAGGCAAGATTTATTTTCCAAAAAATTTCTAGATATAAGGAAAAGACTGAAAGTTTATACTTGAAGGCATTTACCCCTTTGAGTTTTGAGTGTATAATTACATGGGATGAATACAGGGTGTAACAAAAATATATTTAGCAGATAAGTGGAAGATATGAATCTTGACTAATTGCAATGTGACAGTGGCCAAGCACTCTATCATTTTTGTGATTCAATTTTCTCATCCACATGAAAAAGTAAGAGAGGAAGAGAAGAAAGAAGGTTGAAAAAGAAGAGGGAGAGAAACAGGGAAGAAGGAAGGATGAATGGAGAAAATAAAGGAAGAAAGGAAAAAAGGCAGGCAGATAGGCGGTCAGTCAAGAGGGAAGGGGGGATTTGACTTTAGATTGGCTCTAAATTTATATATTACTCTGAGTGAGGAAGATGGTTTACTTGGAACTGAAATGATAGATGTGTAGTTTTGGAGATTGGTAGGGATTTTAGAAAGCTTTGAGGCAGAGGTGTATATTTTAGTTGTGGAGTTTCAGGAAATGGGGTCCCTGAAGTCTCAAGAAGTAGGTGGTGGGGTCAAATCAGTTACTAATTACAGAAAACGAAACAAAGCAGAGGATGCTTGGAGACACTGGCAATTTATTAATGTATCAAAACTACATTACTCTATATTCAAAGTACTTTTTTAGGAGCTTTAGAGGTTCAACAGACACAGGCTCTGATTTAAAGAAGGTTACACCCAGACAGGAAGACAACACACAGTGTCTTCTTAAACTTATAAAAAATCAAATGCAATTGCCAAATATGTTGTAGAAAATAAATGGTCTGGGATTGCAGAAGAAAAACCACTAATGCCTTTGCTAGAATGAGAGAAGACTTTTGAGGGCACAACGGGTTAGAGACTGAGATTTCATAGCAGTTCAGACTGGGCCTCCCTCCCGGCAACTCTCCCTTTCTCTTTCCCTTTCCCTCTCAATTTCTCTAAAAGAGGCTACCTGAAACAATAGACCTGGTAAGGGAATAGCGTTAATGCGATCTTTCAGGGAAGGTGGAGTGACTTTGTTTACCTGAGAAATGAAACTAGAAACTGTTGGTCACTGGAGACTTTTTTCAGTCTTTGTATGGAGCGCAGAAGTAGTTGGATTTCGAAATCTATATGGCCCTTGATCCCTGGAACTTTGTTTCCATTCTTGCCTTATTCTTAAGTAGCTTGCTTAGACTAGTCAATGGTGGACAATACTGTGGCTCTTCCCAGCCACTTCCCCTAGAGCTCTCGCTCAACATGTAAGGCATGCTTCCAAGTTATCTCAGACAGTTTTCCAGATATTTGTACTGCACAAGGATTGTAGTTGTCCAGCCTCAGATACCAGTTTTAGCGCCACCTGCTGCTTAACTGTTTTTTTTGTTATAGCAGTACTGCCTTCAGTGACATTTTCTATAATACATCTGGCCAATTTGTGAATCATCTCCGATCCAACTAGCGGGAAAAATCATATGTAAGCAGTATCTTTGGGGTCATGTCTGAATAAAGTAGACATCCTTTCTGCTACATACTGATGGTTAGGACTGTCACATGGTCATTCATAACTAGAGAGAGGTTGGGAAGTGAAGTCTAGCTGTGTGCCCAGGAAGAAGGGAAAGTTCATTTTAATGATCCAGCTAGCAATATCTGGGAAATGGAAAGAGTGTTGTGATAGATTGACAATGCCTGCCACGGGAAAAGGGTTGGTGTGGAAATATTTGTGTCACGTATTTGCCATCCTGGCCATAAACAATGCAATTAGAAACAATTGTTAGCCAAATCTCTTAAAAGTTTATAAATGATCCGATTTTATTTCAAATACGTTTCCCCAATAATCTCCATCTTTTCTTAACGATCCTCTTCAATAGTGCTTTTAAAACAAATTTTGGCTAAAACTAGAGCTTAAATTTAAAACAGCCACCAGAGTATCTTTTATAAAAAGCCTAGTTTTAGAACATCCTTCGCTTTAAAATTCTACTGTCTGTTCTCTAATTCCACAGGGCCCAAATATTTCAGAAGCAATATAATCTTCAGTTTATTTCAAATTTCTAAGCTTTCCCTAGGGCACTTGTCTCTCTATAGGACATGAGTAACTAGGAACTTTGGTCTGATGCTATCCACTTGGTTAAAGTTCACAAAGGGGAGAAATTGCCCATGTGGAAACTGCAGTTCCAATACTTGTCGCTGAACATAAAATAACTCGGGCCTCCAGGGTTAATGGTAACATTAGAATCACTTGAGGCTCAGGTAAGAAAATTGTAATTAAAAAGGAAATAGAGTTTGAGATATAGCTGAACTTTATTGTATAAAAGTACAGTGTAGCATTTCCTTCTTAACCTTGGAGCCAAGTCTCTGAACGTGCTGAAGTTTTTGATACCTAGAAAATGCCTTGATGAGGGAAGGGGAGAAGGAATCGGGGGGAGTTAAATAGACCACTGTTGGAGTTCTGCCCTGAATTTTTTAGAATAATTAAGCCCTGCTTGCCATCTATTTCAAGTTTCTCTACTTTTGTTTCATCTCAGCTCAATTTTCTTCTCATCAGTTCTTGTGCAAGGTGCCTTTGGCTTTAGTTCCTTCACAACTGATTGGCATCCATCCCCTTCCCTTTATGGAATATCCCCCCAATTTCTCCATTTAGGAATTTAGCCAATTAAGCAGAGTATCTTTTTTTAATTATTATTAACTAAAATTGCATGGCCTAGTAGCAGTGTTTTCTTATTCCTTCTCTGTGACAGGCTGAAATAAACATACCACCATCTGATAAAGGTCAGCTTTGAAACACAGCTGCCTGCTGGGCGTGGAGCGCAGACACAGTGCACCCCAAACCTTTCCTGACTACTAATACAATTCCAAATCCAATTAAAACCCTTAGCCTCCTCATTGAATCCTGAAGTGCTTAGGGATCCAGCCTCTTCAGACATAGCCTAGTGAAGTCTTCTTCCCCTTCCTACTTTCAATCACCACTAACTCTCAGCAGTTGTTTATTTCTAGGACTAAATTGAAAAGACCTCAACAAAGACATTTTGGAAATGGAAACCCAAGAGCACAGACCTCTCACTTTTCACATATCCACCCGAGTCTTGGTATAATAATTCACAACGTGGCACATACAACTTCCTCCCTCAACAGACTCACTAGCTAGGAATCCTAAGTCTGCCAAAGCCTGTTTTGTTTTCCCACTTGCATTCACATTGTTTAAATGGAGTGAAGCCCAGGAGAAATTGATTTCTCTTGGTTGCATTATACTTACATGTTTGTCTGATCTCATAGCTATGCTGAGTGCCTAGCAATATGACAGTTTTAATAAACACCACACAGTTCTGAGTAGGAGGCATGCAATCAGGAAAGGTGGGGACCATTAGCGTACCTGCTTATTAGTCCCTTTGACAAGACGGACTTAGGGCACTTGGTATCTTGCACCTGCTACAGATGCTCTGATCCTCAGTAGTGATGTGCTCTTCACCTGAGGACTCAGTTGCAGCAGTGGTATGCATTTCTCTTTGTTGAGTTTCTATCCCTCCTGATACTTCAGCTCTGCAAAGTACTCAGTGGGCCAGAACCACTCTTTCTTTGTGTTTGTGCACATGGTGTTAAGGGATTAAAAAACGGGGAGGAAGATTTACCCTTTAGGAAGTAAAGTGTTGGAAGCTTACACTGCTGCTGAACAGCTTATGACTGCTAAAGGGGGTTTCCTTTCACTCAGATGGTCTAGGGGCCTGAGAATCACAAATGTGGTTCAAACCCTTGACGCTGTACCTATTCTGGCATCTGTCCTCTCCATGCTATTGTTGGTGGCTAATATACAGAGCAACGTCTTTACAAAACATTTACATGTAGGGAAATTTTGCAAAGCACTGAAAGGAGTTTCAAGTCCTCTCAGAAAGTCCACAGGGTTCAGTGAAAATAGAATCTAATCAACCTGTAAAAATTGAAATCCCACATCTATTGCATGACTTGATTTGATTTGAGGTATCTTCTTTTTGATCCCCAAGCAATAAAATGAGTTGACTATCTCTCCTGGAACATTATCTGCGCCTGTCTTTGCTTTTCTCGGCCTCCTCTTTATTCTTTGTCTTCTTTCAGGCTTCTATTTCTGAAATATTACTAATTACTCCTTGGCCTAGGTATAATCCATCTTTACTGTGGTGAGTGGCTTTGCCACTAACTAGAGAGGAAAGGAAAACAGTCCTTACTGCCTGCCTCCTATTTATGAGGTACTTCTTTGCCCATCCCTTTTTTGTGTCCTTCTTTCCCTAAGTTTCATGATTTCCCCCTTGGCTCCCAGGGTTTTATAAAGATTTTGTGAAGAATCATTGCTTAATCAATTAAATTTGTATCAGAGCAGTTTCAGAATTCTGTGTGGTGTTTAGACAGGCATCTCCTGTGCTCACAACACAACAGTACCATAGGGAAGTTGATGTTTAAGTAAATCTTTCATTAAATGTTTCAAGACTGAGACATCTGTCTCATTCAGCATCTCCAATAATAAAAATATTGTATATTCATGCAATATTTAAAAATTCATATGAAAGTGTAACTATTATTTAATTTTATCTTAAAAGGTAACCATGGAAAGTAGTATAGCACTTTTTCAATTAATTTTTTAACACATGAGAAATTAAAACTTGAAGGATTTTAGTGGCAGAAATGGAATTAGAAGCCAGATCTGATAATATTTGGTCCACCTTTCCATTATAACACAGTTGACATAATATCTAAAAATTACAGAGAATCAACAGTGATTATTAGTTTTGATACTATATATAATACTTGCACACATTACATTAACCTAAATTTGCAATAATTTGTAAAATGTCGATTTTTTCATGTTACATCTGCTTTTGAATTATTAGTTACTTTCTCCATTATACCTTGTCCTATACCACCATCAAAAGCATATGTTTAGTATAATATTTTACAATAGGTTTCTTTATGTATTAATACAAACAGACCTTCATTCTGAGAAACTCTGTGCCTGTGTATAATGCCAAGCTCACTGGAGGGGTAAAAAAAATTTTTTTTCAGTGAAAAATGTGTGAATACAATATAGAACTCAAAGGAATTTTACTATAGGGAGTCCAAACTTTCTTACCTACTCAAAAAAAAAATTTCATGGGGATGCTAGGGAACATTGTTTAATGCCACATTCCAGAGGCAATACCCAAAGCAAGGGTTCCTTCTAGCATCACGTTAGCACACAGGTTCAATTATGAATATGTGGAGAACATCAGTGAACTGCCCCCAGCTTCTCCTTTGCCTCTCTTCTACAGTCATCTCCCATCTGTACATTGTTAATGATCTCTGAGCTCTGTGCTGCTCAACTCTAAGCACGAATGTGATCACAGCCTAAGGAGGGAAAGCCTCATTTGAGTTTGATCTGTTCATTCAGCAATAGTGGAAGGAAAGGTGTGGAGTGATTTGCCCAACTCTGGAAGCATTTCTGGAGAAGCGTGTTGAAGCCAGCAGACTTAATTTGTTTGACCTTCAGATTCCATCTTCCTTGAAATTAACCTTTGTTTTTATTCTTTTTCCTTTTTTGTTGTTGTTTTCATGGCCAGTGGTGGTATCTCTTAGAACAGTCAAAACTGGTATGCGTATACATGTGGCAATTATGTGTATTTGGGTGTTGTGGTGTATGGTCTGGCATTACATTAATAAAGAGATCCCATGTTGCATAATTCTAAGATTTAAGATTACTACTTTGAATGCTTTTAAATTTTTGTCCTGATTTGTGCTCATATATATTCTAGCATACTTCATCTTTCCTATGAGGAGAGATAATGGGAGGCAATTTCTACATTACTTATCTCTGCTTTAATTACAACATATTGCATGGGAGACATTATTTTCAAATGCTTTCCCTTTTTTCTCAGTCCTGATTGTTTCTCATCCTAGAGCAAATATTCGCTTAAATGTTGTAAGCCATCTGTAGTTTATAAAACACCTTTAAGCTATTGTTTTAAAGTTTCATACCTTTTAATGTTTTCCTATTTATTTCCTGCTGATATCAACATATACCCTGCCAAAACCAATCTTTGGTGGATACTAACATATTCCTATTGAACATTTGATCCAGAAAGTTTGCATATAATAAGCAGAATGAACATCTGTGAGGGCTAGATAATTTTTAATATTTATGGAGAGTTCATTTCAGTGTTACAATTCTTATGATGAGTTTGGTATTTCAAGACACAGTGTAGGGTGAGTCCTTGAAGCAGATTGCATCATGGGACAAGTTTGAGAACTGAGTACTAAAATGTTGATTAATTGGGATTTCAACTGTGTAGGAAAATATTACTTGTAAGAATTTGAGCACTGTGAAAAGTACTCATGAATAGGAGTTGATGTCATACATTTTAAAATTGGCATATGCCAAATGCATTACAGAAAAATGTTTCCACCTTAGAGAGAAAAGTCCACAAATGAAACTTAATGTTTTTACTCAACAAGATGTCTAATGCTTTGGCTAACACTTTGGAAAACAGAAAAAGTGATAATTGTGGAATTAGAACAACATCTTATTAGTATATTCTCCTGTTCATAAAGTGTTAGTGCCTGGAAACAAGTCACAGGTTCAAGTATAATATCAATGCATTATACGGCAAGGAAACTTGTCTGAGGTGGTTTTTTTTGGAGTCTCGCTCTGTCACCCAGGCTGGAGTGCAGTGACACAATCTCGGCTCAGTGCAACCTCAGCCTACCGGATTCAAGCGATTCTCCTGCCTCGGCCTCCTGAGTAGCTGGGAATACAGCCGTGTGCCACCACGCCCGGCTAATTTTTGTAATTTTAGTAGAGATGGGTTTTCATCATGTTGTCCAGGCTGGTCTCAAACTACTGACCTCAAGTGATCCACGCACCTCAGCCTCCTAAAGTGCTTGGACTACAGGAGTGAGCCACCATGCCCTGCCCTACTCTGAAGTTTTTGGGTTTTATTGATTTTTTTTTTTCCTGTGGGTATTTTAATGTTTTCTAACTCCTCTCCCAGGTAGTTTCCTCAGGGTCAGATAAAGTGAACTGGTTGGCACAGGAGTTTGCTAAGATAATAAATGTTGTTATCATATACTGATGAATAAATTGCCAATCAGATTTAGATTCAGGGATCAGAACAGTATTTAGAGATCGTGTGCTTTCCACCTTCATTAAATTGCACTCTAAATACATTTTAAAAATTCATCTGATGATGTAATGTAGTTTGAGGCAGATGCAGGACTGAAATGTAACTCTGTCTCTTAAAGTACCTGAAGCATAGTGAATCTGGGAAATAAGCTTGAAAAATGGCCAAGATGGGTACAAGTTAATCTGCAATGACTATCCTTGTTTATGGACTACTATTAAGGAGCCTCCACTTTTCTTCACAATCCTCTTATACACATTATGACTTTAGAGAAAGCCATCCTCCCCGAGTTGTTTACATCGGTAGGCAAAATCCCTTTGTGTCCAAAAACAGTATTCATAGGAAAAAGGGCTTCAGGCTTTTTATTCTGTAATTCTCTTCTACCTATCTTTTTCTGCCTCACAATTTCCATTTAGATCCTGAAATCGATACTGAAGATAATTAACCTTAGATCAGAAAAGGCAGCCTCCTCTTCTCAGCTAGCCGTTGGAAATGGCTTGTTACTTAGCCATTGGAAAATAATGAAAGAAGATATTGGAAGATGGTTGTAGCACCATAATTTTGTGCTGTGTTGTTTTAAGCTTCCTAAATATATAATTTGATTAATTATTTATTGATCAAAATGATGCTATGAATTTCCTGTGCATATTTCACTTTGGGTCATACAGAAAAATATAGTTTATTTCTTATTGGTTTTGGAGGTAATGATCCTGCTGAAGGTATTAATGATACATGGATAGAATTCTTCAGCACAGAAGTGCTGCTGTGTTATCCAGAAAATTCTCTAGAACAATAAATATTATAAGCAAATAAGTATCTCACCTCATGGGACCGTGTGGTTTTCTCAACGCCAAACTGAAAAGAATCACTTAAGAGTTCATCTTTGGCTGGGCACGGTGGCTCACGCATGTAATCCCAGCACTTTGGGAGGCCGAGGCGGGCAGATCACGAAGTCAGGAGATTGAGACCATCCTGGCCAACATAGTGAAACCCCGTCTCTACTAAAATACAAAAAATTAACCGTGCGTGGTGGCAGGAGCTGTAGTCACAGCTACTGGGGAGGCTGAGGCAGGAGAATCGCTTGAACCCGGGAGATGGATGTTGCAGTGAGCCGAGATCGCGCCACCGCACTCCAGCCTGGCAACAGAGCGAGACTCCATCTCAAAAGAAAAAAGAAGGGGGTTCATCTTTGACAGGCATGATATAAACAAGAGGGTGCGAAGAAAATATGTATAGAATAAGTAAATCATCTGGAAGAATTAAAAACCAGCACGCTATAAACAATAAGTTGATCAATGTACCCCAATGCTGTTTGTGGATCTCTAGGAAGCAGAGACCATTGTCTCTGCAGTGTCAACGTGAACACAAAGACTGCCCTATACTTGCTATTTAATAAATTGTTGTTGAATTGATTAATTGATTAGCTAGTTACCCAATAAAAACGAAGCCGTTGGCCGGGCGCGGTGGCTCACACCTGTAATCCCAGCACTTTGGGAGGCCGAGGCGGGTGGATCACGAGGTCAGGATATCGAGACCATCCTGGCTAACACGGTGAAATCCCGTCTCTACTAAAAATACAAAAAAAAATTAGCCGGGCATGGTGGTGGGTGCCTGTAGTCCCAGCTACTTGGGAGGCTGAGGCAGGAGAATGGCGTGAACCCGGGAGGCAGAGCTTGCAGTGAGCCAAGATCGCGCCACTGCACTCCAGCCTGGGCGACAGAGCGAGACTCCGTCTCAAAAAAAAAAAAAGAAAAAAGAAAAGAAAAAAAAAAAAAACGAAGCCGTTATTTTCTTTTCTTAATAATCCATATGTATCAAATAAAATGTTTGCAATATGGGTCGTTAAGCAATTTGGTGTTGATATCCCCGGTAATTCAAATAGATCAACAAATCCAGAGAAGAATTTAAAGGTTGGTTCACCATTAGCTAAGAAAAATTGAATAAGGAAGTCAATCTTTCAAGTAAATAATGCATCCCAAGTCTATGTAACGTAAACAAATAGAAGCCTTTTAAATGACATGTTTGTTTTCCTACTTCACTTGACCCTGTAAAGACGGTTTAATAATTATGTTGTACAATGCTTTCTGTCTTTTCAAGGCAACTTAGGATAAGCTATTAGTTTCACATATAATGGAAATTTTCAAAGGTAAAATGTTACATTTAATTGGGCTAGGGACTTGAGCATAATGTTGCTCTCAAACAAAATGCCAGCGTCCCTCAAGGCATGCTAAGAGATATTATCTATGGGGCACCTTACTGCAAACTTCTGTTAACCTGGGTCATAAAGACATGAATGAGTTTATATAAAATGTGTTAGGAGTAGTGGGATTATTTTCCTTATTCTTTAAACCTTTATTCTAACTCTAGAACTTTGAAAAATGCATCATTTATTCTGCTCATTTAACCTTAATCCAGTGAACATAATTTAGCCTTTCTTGGTGACACATTTGGAAATACATAATGTGTGAAAACACTGATACGGGCATAGAGGCAGATGGCATGAGCATGTTGTCATCCATCATTCAGCCTTCTTTTTAGACCATGCCCCTTACCACTCTGCTGAACTGTTGTTGTGGCCACATGGCCTCTGGGTGTGAGACTTTTTGATGTGTAGATTACCCACATACACAATAAACACGCAAATAACCAAACACATATGCTTGATGGATGGAGATGTTTTTCAAGTGTTACAATATGGAGAGGTACATCACTACATTTTTCTTCCCTACCTCTCTTACTCTTTGTTGAGCTATTCCAGTTTCATTCTGCCACTTGGTCTTCCTTCATATTTATAAAAACTAATTTAATTCAATAAATTTTGATAAACACCTTCCATATGTCAAGTACTAGAGTAAGTGTTGAGTATGGATAATGCCTGTTTCTGCCCTTAATGAATTCACAATCTACCATAGTTTACAAGTACATGGCTGCTAGTTCAGAGAGCTGTGACCTTCACAATTTTAAAGATACTGAATTACCAGGTATGCATTTTTGTTTCCCTAACACTGAAACCTACTGGCAATTGCTATTTATAAGCATACTTGCACCATTATTACACAGCTTTGAAGAAAGTGAAATACTCCTTGTTCCCATATCTCTGTCAAAAATGGAAAAATAAAAGATAGGCCACAAGAAAAATGAGAAAGCATGTTTATTTGTAGGAGAAAATAATATTCTTATGAATTTAAATGACAAACAAGTGTTTCAAGACCATGACTTAAATCATCTCACCTTCCACCCTCACAGGTTATTTATCTGCCCCATAGGCATTTGGGTTTGTGATTATATATCTGCGGCTTACTTGCTACTTCTAACTTCCGCCAACAATTCTGCCACAAATTATTTATAAGCTTGGATATCTGCTTTCTTCACTTTTTAAAACTACTACTCTTTTTTGTATCTTCTTTCTTTTAACTTTCTAGTATTTCCTTTGAAAGAGCTGAATTTTCAAAAATGTCATTAGCCAGTGAGAATACTTCTTTCCCTGGTGGACAAACTAATGATAGCATCTTTGCTGTAACCCCTTTTATTTCCATAATTATCATTTTTACAATGTTTTGCTTAGATCGGTTACCAGGTTACATATAGTGAAAAAAACAAAATTCTTTTTAGTTTTTTTCATTTGTTTGAGTTCTTCAATTCAAAAAAGATCATATCATTAGGTAATGTGGTCACATTTTATGTTCTACCCAATGAAATGGTTATAGGAATAACCATTTTATGTATGAAAATTCATGTTTTAATGAAATAGTTTACATTTTGCCTATAGTTCTTTCTCCCTATATGTTTTTGTCCCAGTGTGTTTCAATGCTTTCACTCCTTAACAGCTCCTTTCTAAATTTCCATATTATAAAGATGTAAAAACAGCTGTTGTATTGAGTCTTCATAAATGCAATCTGACCCTAACGAACAGGAGAAATTAGAAAGGGCTGCTTATAGACACATTCAGAACATCTATTTAATCAGTGACAATGAAACATATAATTAACTTTAAAAGGAAACAGCAACATAACAGTGCACTTTGAAGGACAAAGCCTTCATGACATCTCTCCTCTAGCTGAACACAAAGTTAAACACCCACACGTACACAAAAATAGCTGTCTATAAAGTGCCATCTGTGATGCTTAATATTTTGGAGGTGGGTGCGGGGGCAGTGGGGAAAACTTATGTGAGGTAAACCAACATGTGTTAGACATCAGCAAAAGATGAGGCAGTCAGAAACATAAGCCTTAACCGCAAGTCCTATAGTATAAACAGCAATAACATTAACAGTTACCCAAACAAAGAAAACATAAAGAAATCTTTCCATAAACACAAAACAAAAATGTGTTCAGACAAATGTATTTCTGTAGTGTCTGGAAAGCAAGGTTGTTTAGTATTGCTGTAATTATCACAATTACCATTTTCCTGGGAGTGAGAAGGTTGTTTTTGTTTTCTTAAGTTATTGTAATTGCACATTAGTGAGTAAAGACAGTCCCCTTAGGTAAACACCAATCTCATCTTGTGTGTGTAAACATAGATTAAGGCATTTTAATAAGTTCATTCATTATCCAGTTGAATAGGGAACTTGCTGTACCTGTTTGAACAGAATGAAGAGAATAATGCATTTGATATTGCAAAGGTGCTGGATAACTAGAACGGGCAGTATGGAAATGTTCCATTTGTAGGCTCTATTTAGAATGAGCTTCTGAAAAAGAGCCGTAGTCTGAATCAAACTACAAGTGTCATGGTTCTCTCTAGTCTTATAAACAAACTAAATTTGATCTCTTGCTTCAAGATTTTCATTTCTCATATTTGAAGGAAAGAAAAGCATTGATATGTCATTAAGAGTGGGGGTCACCCTTGATGAAATGTGATGTTTGGGAGCAACTCATCTAACTTATTTATGTTTAAAAATAATGAGCTACAGAAATTCGTTGCAATCATCTTGAACCAAAAGGCTACCATGACCTAGATGATTAGGCATATTTCCTATGGATATAGGATCCGAAGAAGGCATAGACAGGGAAAGGCTGCTTATGCCAAAAAAAATGATACATATGCCTAAAAGCAAAAGTGAAGAAAGAGGGAAAAATTGTGGATGGTTGTTCTTGTTTAAAAACGTTCTAAAAGATTTTAGTAATGAGACTGGGGACATAAAAGAATTGAAGTATAGTGCTAAGTCATGAAAGACAAACTTTGAGATGAAAAGAATCTAGAGTTGAAAATAAAAACAAGATTCTTACTTTTTCTTTCCTTTACATGCCTTTGAAATTCAGAGCAGTGCTCTGGTGGACAGGAATATTAACAATTGGAATGCAAACTGAGTTGGTATAATAAGAAATATCAAAACTTTCATTTTAGTAATCAGACTCGAGTCACAGAGGACAGCCCTGCTTGAAGCCCATTAACACATCATAATAACAACCACCTGATGTAATGAAAACAAATGAATTCCAAAGAAATAGAAAATGTAAGAGTGGGTCATTATTGCACACACTAATGAGGAACAGACTTTACCTGTTGTCTTGGGTTCCAAAGACATTTTTCAGTCCACCGAGGGCATTTACAGCAGGAAAAATTTCATTCTTGTTTGGAAATTCTCTTTGGAACATCTTACGGGACAATTTTCTTGTCTTCAGCCTTTTTGTTTCAATTTTGCTACCTAAAATTTCTCTCTGTTGCTCATTACTTTATTTATAATTTTATAGAAAACAAGGATGTGAGAGATCAGGGAGAGAAAAAGCAAAGAGCTTAAAACATTATTGTTCTAAGTCAAATAGCTCAAATAATCAAGACATAAAATATCAGAAAGGACTTTACTCTTATTTATCACATTCCATTTCCTAGATTTTTTTTTTTGTCATTACTAATGACAACCATTCCTGGCACAGTGTTTCAGAAAGGGATGAGTGCAAACCTTGGAATTTGTGTGGCTTTTGGTAACTTGGGATTCTAATCTGTTATATGGGGTAAATAATGACAGTTCATGCTTTAATTCCATGTTGGTTATGAGGATCAAATTGTATGTCTTCCTACACATCTCTGCCCAGCTCCTGACACCATAGGTAGTTTAAAGCAATTTACACATCAACAGCTTCAAAGTCCCCCTACCGTCTCTCCTTCTTTTCTCAAACCAGCTCCAACACCACCCCTCACCATCCACCCTGGAGACAACTTCATAATATTACAATTTAGAGTTTGTCTTTCTCCCAATCTCTGAGCCATTACCCAGCCACTTCTCAGCTGAGAAAAATTGGCACATATGTGACATATTCCCATTGTATTTTGGGCTAAGATATAGGCAAAGTAGGCTAGAGTAATGCACATTTCTTCTCAACTAGTTGCAATTTGACTCTTTTCTTTTGTAGGAATAATCTTGTTTTAGGATTCTTTGTGCCTAGATCAGTGCCTGGAACCTAGTAGATGCTCAAAAGTTTGTGTAATAAATAAAACTGAATGATTTCACTTAGAAACTCTAAAGTACTGTACAAATGTTAGGTGTCTTATTCAAATATCAGATCCTCTTTTGGTTGATTAGAGTTTCTATCCAATGCTGATACCCTGGAATGTCACAAACAAATTCTTCTAACAAAGACAGACATAGACAGATTCCAATTCTCACCCTCTCACTTATTAACAAATCCCAGCACTTTGGGAGGCCGAGGCGGGTGGATCACTAGGTCAAGAGATTGAGACTATCCTGGCTAACACGGTGAAACCCCGTCTCTACTAAAAATACAAAAAAAAAAAATTAGCTGGGCGTGGTGGTGGGTGCCTGTAGTCCCAGCTACTCGGGAGGCTGAGGCAGGAGAATGGCGTGAACCCAGGAGGCGGAGCTTGCAGAGCCGAGATCATGCCACTGCACTCCAGCCTGGGCGACAGAGCAAGTCTCCGTCTCAAAAAAACAAACAAACAAACAAACAAAAAAACACAAGGACAGACATAGATAGATTCCAATTCTCATTCTCTCACTTATTAACTTTATGTTATCAACTTTATGTTAATAAGTGAGAGAATAAGTTATGAAACCTCTCTCAAACTCAGTGTTTTTGTCTGTAAAAAGGAGAAAGTAATACCTACCTCCCAAAGTGATAATGTCCACCTGACAGGAGTGCTGTGAGAACTGAGTAGTAGATGACAACTGGCACAGCACCTGGCTCTGAGGAGGCACTCAATCTATCTCCCTTGACTGACTAGATTAGCCTTGTTGGACAAATCTGGGAGACCATGAAGTCTTTTTACATGGCTTTTAAATATATGCCATGCATTTTTTATGCCCTGCGTTTTGGTGTATGATTGTATCCTGGACGAATCCTACCTGTAACCAAATCAGTCATGAAGGTAACTGCATTAGATGGAAAGCTACAAAGCAGAAATGCCAACCAGATCAAAACATTCCTCACTGGCTCACCACAATGCCAAACAAAAACAAAAACAAAAAAAAGGCCCACAGTTGACTGTTCAGAAATCCTTTATCTTGCAAATATACCTCATGGATACAAATTATTAAACTGTTACTAATATTTTAATATAAAATTGTAACACAAAATAATCTCAGATTTGAAAGAGTCCCTAAATGCAGCAAGGGCATGCATTTTACTTTTCTTGGGATAGTTCAAATTTACGCCTGTTTTTTGATACAATTGTTATCAGCAGCCCCGGATACTCTTGTCCTGGTTTGGATAATAAATGGCATGGTCATCCTACCTAAAAATATCTGTCTAGTCTTCATCTCATACTTAAATGCTTTCTACAATACCCCTATCACATGGCTAGCATTTGGCTTGAACCGTTTTTCTGACAGAGAACTTACTACCCCCTGAGAAAGTCTAATATATCATGGTTTTGTTTTGTTAGGTCTTTCTTAAAATAAGATAATTGGGTCTGGTTTTTGCTTCTACCCTTTGGTTCTCACCATAACCTATGGTTATACAGAACAAGTCTGCCTCTTTTCCTGCATGACAGACCTTTGAATATTTGAAGAGAGCAGTTATGTCCTGCCTGAGTTTGCTCATTTTCTGACTTTGAATCCCCATCTCTTAGTTCAATTGTTCTTTGTATAACTGGCCATAGAATTTCTTCACCTTTCTGACTGCGCTTTTCTGAATGCATTACAGTTTATCTTTGTCCATGCCTAAGTGAATTGCCCAGAAAACAACAACATAATACAACTATGGTTTGCCTAATATCAAGAAAAGCATGACCAAGAACACTGCCTTGGGGTATTATGTTTCTAATAACTAAACTAAAAATCCAGTAGTTGTTCTGATCATCACATCAAACTATTATATTTTTTAGAAATTATTTTCCAAAAACAAAGCCATGCTTTCTCCATTCCAGTAATTGTGAAAGTGAGATTTTGGTATTCACAGTAGAGAGTGAATTTGCTTTGAGGAATCAAGGCATTGAGAGGACACAGTTGTTAAGAAGGAAAGAACTTGTCCGGGAAGGGAAAGTTTGAATGTTTTCTTCGTGGGTGGGAGTATAGCAGAAGGACCCAAATCAATAAAGAACAGGAAACTTGCTGTGGACAACATTATTAGTGTGAGCCAATGCTTCAGATTTTCATCCCTTTCCTGGACCAAGGGAAGATTAACTTTTGTGCAGGGCCATGTGCCTAGTGATGGCCAGTGGGTTTTGATAAGGGGTGATGAACATTAATTTGAGGTATGCGATTTTTCATGTTTCCTTCCACTACTAAGTAGATTCCTGAAGCATCATGTTGAGGTGGAGTTGTCACTATATTAACACAGTCTGAAACACTAAGCCACCATATGGGAACACCTGTCTTGGACAGTCATCCACTTTTACACTTGTTAAGGCCTACACTGACTGTGTACTTGTTATTAGAGGAGGTCTGAGTCTATATACATTGAGGAGATAGTCAACACATGATTCATGGCTTCCATTTACTAATCACTTACCAAGTGATAAGCGCTGTACTGAGCACTATCCATAGATTTTCTCACTCTGTCTTTCTAATTATCCCCAAGACATGCATTAGTTCTAATATACAAACACCAGAGGTGAGGTTAGTTCTTAAGAGGTTAGCTAGCTAGTTTTTGAATGTGGGTCTGTATGGTGTCAAGCTCTGTTCTCGCTGCTGCATTATGCTGCTCTTACACACTTAGCTATACTATTTTGGTGTCCCTGTTGACAAGATGAAGGCGATTATGTTAAGTGTGAAAAGAGAATACATTAGTGATTCATTCAACAGTTCAATCTGCCTTTCAGTAAGCTTTTATTGAGCAATAATTATAAACTTAGTGCAATCCTAGAGATTAGATATAAAGATAATTAAGCTAAGGCTCCTACCCCTCTCACCTATCTTTTCTTCCTTTCTCTTTCCTTCATTTTATTGGGTCACAATTCTTCCATAGGTTTTTTCCCCCTTTTTTAGAGATGCTCCCTATGTTGCCTGGGCTGGACTCAAACTCTCAGGCTCAAGGATCCTCCCACCTTAGCCTCCTGAGTAACTGGGACAAGAGATGCATGCCACCGTGCCAAACTCCTTCCCATTCTTAATATTCCTTCCAGTGAAATGAGTTCAATTATTGTAACTCTGGATATCTCTATAATTTTACTCACTCTGTCTCTGGGTAAGAAGAATGATGTAACGGATTGGTCGTTTTGGGTAAAATAACTAAATATTCTCAGTCCACCTTCCTTTGTTCTTCTTCTTGGGAGGGGACTTGACTTCTGGAAGCTCAGTTCTCCTCTCTTCTTTACTGTTTGTCTTTTCTGTGCTAATTCCTTCCACCTGGGAAGGCCTGTTCTAACTCCATTTTCCCTATGAGGGAGTGAGCTAATCAGTCTAATTTTGGAAATTAGTGGCCAAGCTCATTTGACTCTGACATTAGTCAACCTTCTCTAACATAACTTCTATTAATAATAAAAAGTGCCATTTTGGCCTCTGTATTAGTTTTCTATGGTTGTACAAGAAATTACCACAAACTGCAAGGTAGAAACCAACACAAATGTATTTTCTCATGGTTTTTGTAGGTGAGCAGTCTCGATATGCTATCTAGCTCATTTCTCTGCTCAGGATCTCACTAGGCTGAAATCCAGAAGTTGACTAACGTTGCAGTTCTCATCTGTGCTTAGAGTTCTTCTCCTTGCCAACTGGCTGTTGGAAGACTTCATTTCCTTGCTGGCTTTCAGTTTGGGGCTCCAGACAGCATCTAAAGGCTGCCCATATTTCTTACCCCACAATCTCCTTCATCTTTATGGCAGCCATAGCAACTCAAATCCTTCTTTTGCTTTGTATGTCTGGCTTTGATGACTGACCAGAGAATACTCTTCGCTTTTAAAGGGCTCATGTGATCGTATCAGCCCACTTGGATAATCTCCCTATCTTAAGGCCAACTATGCCATATAACAAAATCTAAACGCAAGAGTAAAATTCATCATAGTCACAGTCCCAGAGATTATGCAGTACATGTATTCTGGGTGTATGTGTTGCAGTGAGGAGGAACTTGAGGGTCACCTTAGAATTCTGACTATTGCAGCTTCCATCTTTTTTTTATTATATTTCTCAGACTGTCTAGAAGTGATGGAAGAGGAGTAGATTTTGTTTATTGGGATTCCCTTAATGCTTTTGATAATTTCTTTTTTTTTCCTGTCTCTATTGTTTATGTATCTTCCTCTTTTTGATGATAGAAAACAAAAGAAAAATTGACCACACATAAATAACATATTCACACACACACAAACTTATATTTTGCATTCTAATTGGAAGAATGAAAAATTGCAAAGGTTAATGAATATATTGAAGCAGCAATTCCTGGAGCTGGGTAAGAATGGAGAGGAGTTGGAGAGGACTTATGGAGTAACTGTTCTATCCATAGTGTCAGCTTCATTCTTTCTTTCTTCTTGGAATTAGAATCAAATGGTTGTCAAAGGAGCACTAACCCTAACCCTAACCCTAGCCAGAATCCCCTTTAGGTGTGCCTAAATACAGGCATACCTCCTTTTATTGGCTTCTTCCTTAAATCCAAAGCTTCATTTTACAGTTTCTCAATAGGTTTCTTATGACAAAGTTTTACTATGACTCTTTCTTTACATGCAGTCTGCCTACAAGAAATTATTCAAAACTTTCTCAGAATGAAATTCCTGGGATTTAAGGGTCCCTTCATATTATCTCCATATTTGTTATATTGCAAGACCTTAAATTTAAAAATATATATATCTACTAGGCTATGTACAAATTTACAATTTTAGGCCTGGCAGGTTAGTTAAGGAAAGGCCGTGATTTATTACACCGACACCACTGACATAGGTAGCTAGAGCTCCTTATGTACAATACTCTTAAAACCTCTGAGATATTCATAGCACAGTCTCATTTTACATAGAAAAAAAGTTGTCAAGACCTTGTGGCTAGTCAGAAGTGAGAAAAGACAATGACGAATGGAAATACATATTGTTTTATAATAACTTTTCTGTTCACTGGAAGAAAACACCATGTTAATTACTGAATTGAATGTGAACACTAAGTTGTTTTGTAAGACGCTTACTATGAAGAGCTTAAATAAAAGCAGAATCATCTTTGTTTATAAAATGCAAACTATGAATTCACCTAAACTCATACAATCTATGAGAAACTATCTAAAAATATTCACTTCTATAAAAGATGGGTATTGCTGGTGAGAGAGATTTGATAACTAAATTAATTATACTCCATCATTTGAGCCCATGACATAATAGATGACAACATTAAATGATCAAAATGTATGATTTTTCTGTAAAAACACTCAAATAAAAAAATAAAATGATTCTGGCAAATTAACTGGAAATACGACATACCTTCTTTTATTGCCTTTCACTTAGCAGTTACTGCCTTTTTACAAAGGGAAGATTTGTGGCCATCCTGCATCCAGCAAGTCTATCAGTACCATTTTTTCAACAGCACATGCTAACTTCCTGTCTCTTTGTAATATTTTGGTAATACTCATAATATTTCAAACTTTTTCATTATAGTGATCTTTGATGTTACTATTGTAAATTTTTGGAGCACCATGATTTGTGCCTGATAAAATCAGAAAATTTAATAAATGTGTGTGTCTGCCTGCTCCACTGACAAGCCATTCTTTCTTCTTTCTCCCTCTCCTCAGGCCTCCCTATTTCCCAAGACACAACGATATTGTATTATAATTATGCCAGTTAGTAAGTAAATAATGGCCTCTAAGTGTTCAGGTGAAAGGAGAAGCTGTGCGTGTCTCACTTTAAATCAAAAGCTCAAAATGATTAAGCCTAGTGAGGAAGGCATGTAGGAAGACGAGATAGGCTGAAGCTAAGCCTGTTGCCACAGACAGTTAGCTAAATTATCAATACAAGAGCAAAGTTCTTGAAATGAAAAGTGTTACTCAGTTGAACACATGAATGATAAGAAAGTAAAATGCCCTTATTGCTAATATGAAGAAACTTCTAGTGATCTGGATAGAAGGCCAAATCAGCCATAGCATTTCTTTAAGCCAAAGCCTAATCCAGAGCAAGATCATAAATCTCCTTAGTTTTATGAAAGCTGAGAGAGGTTAGGAAACTGCAGAAGGAAAGTTGGAAGCTAGCAGAGGTTGGTTCATGAGGTTTAAGAAAAAAAGCCATCTCTGTATGATGAAAGTACAAGATAAAGCAACAAATGCTGACGTAAAAGCTGCAGCAAGTTATTCAGAAGATCTAAGATTCTTGATGAACATGGCTACACTAAGGGACAGATTTTCAATGTAGACAAAACAGTTTTCTAATGTAAGAAGATGCTTTCTAGGACTTTCATAGCTAGAGAGAAGTTAGTGCTTGGCTCCAAAGCTTCAAACAACTGCCCTTCCCTTCCCTTCCCTTCACTTCCCTTCCCTTCCCTTCCCTTCCCTTCCCTTCCCTTCCCTTCCCTTCCTTTCCCTCCCCTCCCCTCCCCTCTCTTCCCTTCTCTTCCCTTCTCCCTCTTGTCTTTTCTTTCTTTCTCCTTCCTTCCTTCCTTCCCTCCTTCCTTCCTCCCTCCCTCCATCCTTCATTTCCCTTTCCCTTCCCTTCTCTTCCCTTCTCTGCCTCTCTAGTTGTGTGAAGGCTGACTCTGTTGTTAGGGGCTGTTGCATCTGGGGATTTGAAGTTGAAGCCAATTTTCATTTACCATTCTGAAAATCCTAGGGCCCTTAATAATTATGCTAAATCTACTCTGGCTGTCTTCTATAAATGGGACAACAAATCCTGGGTGACAGCACATCTATTTACTGAATATTTTAAGACCATTTTTGAAGCCTACTTCTCAGCAAAAAATATTCCTTTTAAAATATTATTGCCCATTAACAATGCTCCCAGTCACCCAAGAGCTCTGGTAATAATGTACAAGGAGATAAATGTTTTCATGCCTGGTAACACAACATCCATTCTTTGGCCTATTAATCAAGGAGTAATTTTGACTTTCAAGTTTTATTATTTAAGAAATATATTTCATAAGGCTATTGCTGTCATAAATAATGATTCCCCGATGGATCCAGGAAAAGTAAATTGAAAACAGTCTGGAAAATATTTGCCATTCTAGGTGCCATTAAGAACATTCATGATTCATGGGAGGAGGGCAAAATATCAACAGTAACAGGAGTATGGAAGAAGTTGATTCCAACTCTCATAAATGACTGTGAGAGGTTCAAGACTTCAGTGGAGGAAGTAACTGCAGTTGTGGTGGAAATAGCTAGAGAACTACAATTAGAAGTGGAACCTGAAGAAGTGACTGAGTAGCTGCAACCTATGATAAAACTTGAATTGATGAGGAGTTACTTCTTACAGATGAGCAAAGTAAGTGCTTTCTTGAGATAGAATCTCCTCCTGGTAAAGACGCTTTGAACACTGTTAAAATAACAACAAGGAATTTAGAATAGTACATAAACTTAGTTGATAAAGCAGCAGCAGGGGTTGAGAGGATTGACTCCAATTTTGGAGGAAGTTCTTCTACTTGAAGTAAAATACTATCAACCAGTATCACATGCTGCAGAGAAATATTTTATGAAAGGGAGAGTCAATCAATCAGACAAACTTCACTGTCTTATTTTAAGAAATTGCCACAGATACCTCAACCTTCAGCAACCACCACCAAGATCAGTAAGCAGCCATCAAAATCAAGGTGAGACACTCCACCAGCAAAAAGAGCCTGACTTGCTGAAGAATCAAATGATAGCATTTGCGGCAGTAACATATTTTAATTAAGTTATACACATTGTTTTGTTAGGTGTAATCATATTGCACACTTAATAGACTTAAAAATACACAGTATAGTGTACACATGAATCTGATATGTGCTGAGAAACCAAAAAATATGTGTGACTCTTTTTTGCAATATCCACTTTATTGGGGTGGTCTGG
Organism: Homo sapiens; assembly: GCF_000001405.40. Classification (NCBI taxonomy): domain Eukaryota; kingdom Metazoa; phylum Chordata; class Mammalia; order Primates; family Hominidae; genus Homo; species Homo sapiens. Next base: position 79,373,523 of record NC_000001.11, read on the forward strand.
AACTGAACTTGCAATATCTCTGTGGTATGCCTGTATACCAAAGAAGTTCATAATAATTTCAGAAACGTCCTGCTTCAGGGCTAGTAAGGCAGATCCCAAGATTACTGAATTCCATACACATGCCCAGTGTTGAGTTGGCAAATCACCTTCTAGGTTGAGTGGCATATTTGACAACTGGAGATTATACAACTATAAAATCAAGGCAAACATTGAAGTCCTTTTCTTCCAGGCTTGTTGAAAAGAAATGAAGACTTGCTCTTTTTTTCGTGTATTCTGGGTAGATGTTTAGGGATTGCAAGGATTTCAGCCAACAGAATCTTGTCAAAATTCCTGAATTGATTCTTCATGGCTGTGAGTCCTCATGCTGTGCAGTGTTGGTCACACTGCAGTGCAGAGCATGGCATGCTTCCCACTGGCAACAGGGTGTTAGACCATTGGCTTCTCTCCAGTACTAACAATCATTGCTACTTCTGGGGAAATTGTGCCACCTTTTTATGCTGCATGAAGTGTCTTAAATAGGCATTTAATTTATTCACTGTAACAGTTGCCTTTGTTGAATAAATATCAACTGCTTATTAGAAACCTATTTATTGAAGATGAGCAGCTATATCATAGACACATATCAAATTTATGGTTACTAAATCTCACTTAACATGCTTTGAATATTCTATTGGTCTTTAACACACTGTACCAAGATGACTGTATTTATTCTAACCTTTCAAACAAAAATAGCTGCTATTGAATACAATGTATAATTTTTATTCTCTCAGGCTTATTTATGCAATGTTAAAAACAATGTGATAGGTACCTACTCTATATTACTTGTAGTGGTTAAGAATTTCAATAAATGTGTTTTTAATATTCATTTGATTTTCAATCAACAGAAATTATCTTATTAAATGTGTGAGATATTTATAATATTTATTGTAATATGTTACCCCAAATTCCTCCTAATCTCCTACTAGCTCTCTTGGGAAGAAGTGGAAACTCTGTTATTAGGAAAAGGATTACTTAATTTGTTCCACAACAAAGCCCTGTAACAGGGCTAATCTGGTTGGAGATTCAATTGACAAATTGGCAGCTAGGATTCTCACCCAAGCAACAATGAACGAGAAAGTTTGCTTTTTTCAAATGTGACATGTTCTCTCATTCAAGAAGCTGTCAGCAGTTGTACATGCTTCTGGTATACTGAATAATTGAATTGGGCCATTTTCAGAATACAACACTAGTGTTTTATTATTATTATTTTGTACTATTGGTTATGAAATGAGTGTAGTCTCTCTTCACTGAGGCTGATGAGGCTTTCAGCTGGCAGCTGACATTTCTAAACCTATCATCATAAGAAAGGGCTACCTAAGATCTGGCATTTCCCATTAAAAAGACTGTGAGTTGAGACATCTGTAATTTGAATTGTTTTCTACTGATTATTTTTTGTTTTCTGATTTTTAAAAATGCTAAAAGATTTTTTTTTCTTCAATCTGTCTTACTGGATTCCTTTTAAACAAATGAGTTGTAAGAACAAGCAGCAAAATTTATAAACGTAGAATATATAGATTCTAGCTGTCAGAAACCATGTTGTCTATTTGGGGAGTGTTTTAATATCTCAAAAAACAAACTTCTATACAAGATTGGTATTTTAAAATGAAAATTGGAATTGAATAACTCACAGGAAACAAGATATTTTAGGTAAGAATAATCAAGTTAATTTAGAGTCCTATCTGACCCCTGTAATAACCCCAGTGAGGGTAACTACTTCCCAAAGGGCATTAGGATATTTTCATGAGGTCATCAACAATAAATAAACTATTATACATGTTGTTTTAAATGCTTCCAATGCAATTTATTTTATTATCAAACGATTTGATGGGAATCATCCTTTATAAACATCATGAAACATTTGTTAAAGTTTTTTTTTTTTTTTAATCCTCTGACTCTGTTGATTATCTTCTTCTCTAGACAAGAGTCAGGCATGTTGTAAGCATTATCTGGGGACTGAGCATTTCCTTGCAAGCCATTCTGCAAAGGTCAACAGAGCAAGAGATTATCCCCTATTGGTTATAGAAGTTAACCCATCCACTTCAAAAGAGCCAACAGTTTCTTGCTCTTTGTGAAATCAGTCATAATCAATGGGATGTAAAGATTACATTTCTGCCTCTAGTCACACACCCTGTTTCTTTTGCATTAGTATTGATTTAGTCATGAGTCTATTTAACCATTAAAGGCATTACTGTATTCCCAAATCCTGCATTTAAAGAAATCCAGAGTGTCTTATTGAGAATTAAGAAAACAGACGGGTCTATCTCCCTTAAGTTACATTGGATTGGATTATGTTGAAAAAAAATCACCATTAGGTAGTTATTTATGCACATGGAGGAATTGCCTATGATTTTTGAATAAGTAGAATAGTTGTTTCAATTTTGAGATAATAATAATGATAAAATAAATAATAATATAGTTATTGATTAAATGAGCCAGGCCTTATAGTGAGCATTTTGTACATTATGCATTTAGTCCTCAGAACAAAGCAGTTTATATACCACTTTGCTGATTAAAAAATGGACACAACTAAGTAATTTATGCAGTCACACCACTATTAAGTGTTGACCCTAATATTAAAACTGGAATCTGTCCGAAGACAAACTCAGTACTTTAACCACTATGCTATACTATTTCCAATACTTTAAAATACATTTGGTGTTTTGAAAATTTAGTTGATTTTACATGACAATAAAAGTTGTTGATAGCCACTTCCTGGTGTGTTACTCAGTGTCTTACAGGAATCTGGCCTTTATCCAGCTTTCTTGAAACATTGAACAGCTAGAATAGACTACTTAATTGTATTTTCCAATGATAATTTCCAGCTCAATAGAAAAATATCCATGTGAAATAGTATTTATCACAATGAGTGAAACCACAGTTACTTGCTTCTCCTGTTACTATTTTTGTTTGTTTCTTCAATAGTTAAACTTGCACTGAAATAATACCAAATGTGTGATGTGTTTACAGAAAAAAGGAAGGAAGGAAGGAAAAGAGGAAGGAAGGAAGGCAGGAAGGAAAAATGGAAGGAAGGAAGGAAGGAAAGAAGGAAGGAGATTGAAAGAGAAAGAGAATGAGGAAAGAAAGTAGATGAATTTTGGAGATATTGCTGCATCCTAGCATATGTTTTAATTCTTGAGGTCTTTCTTTGAATATATGACTTGACTGTTTATGGCTATTTGCCTCTATTATTGCGTGTTTGCAAAATGAGTGAAAACAGATTTTAAAATAAAAATAAATTATTGACTCATGCCAAATATGTATTTGGTATTGACAAAGAAACACATTAAGAGCTAATTTCTTTTAATTGAATGTTTATTCCCTAGTTGGCACGAATCCATCTACTAATAGGTTCAATAATTATGTGAATGCATGTGTTAAATTTACATGAATAGCTCTATTGTTGGGAAAAAAATTAACCAAATGTCCACAACACTGCCTTATCTGATACTTTACAGTAATTCTGAAGGAGAATCAGTAGAGACACTGAAACAATGAAATATCTGAATATTAACAATATGATTTTGGATCAAATGCATTTCAGAATCTGAATGAATGAAGAATATGAACAAGGTAAGAAGTCCTTTTTAGGTTTTGGGCAAAATGGAAGTTCCGAAAAAAGACAAAAATATACAAGAAAATTTATTTGGGAAGTGCATATGTAACTCAAGAGTTGACAAGTCATCTAATAGTTTATCTTTTTTTTTTCTTCTTTTTTTGTTGCCTGAACCAGATGGCCCCTCCTTAATTAAAATGAGTGCATGGTTCCAAAGCGTTCATTGCAGTCTCCCCACGGCCCAGTCGTACCACAAATGATTCTCACTTCTGGGAAAATATATTGTCTTCCTACATAACAAGAACCTTTGAAGCAACCTTCCTTGCAACTCAGTCTCCTTCTTTTTCTTAGTCTAATTATCTTTCAAAAATAATCAGAATTGTAATTTAAATATTACTGTACATAATTAACCACACTGGTTGACAGAGAATGAGAAATTGTGGCTCCAGGCAAGCATCAAAATTAATATATACAACTGGGAATACATCTTGTCATGAAGGAATGTCATCTGTCTAGTATGCAGAGAGAAGCTGAGCTGAGCAGTCCGGGCCCTCCTCTGACCGGACCACTATCTTGGGTAAGGTTCATGAAATCCCATGCACAGTCTGCCCAGTCCTACTCTTTCTGATGCTTTGTTTTCTGTTTTTCTTGGTGAAATTTGTCTGAAACTCCCCAATGACCACCTCTTTCATCTTCTTAGAAGTCTCTGGCTTCTTTTAGATGTCAGCATTTGTAGGTAATTTTTTGCTCTTACTGTTTCTATTTTAGCTTTATGGCCAGTTGTGAAGGGTTCTCAGGTCTGGCTCTTTCCCAGGCATATTGTAGAAAGGTGACTTTGCTGTGAACCCTATATTTTAATGCACTGGGGAGGATGTAAAGGCAAATAAGCTGTAATTAAATCTTTGTGTGCCACAGGGCCAAGTATCATCTGAAGGCTGCTGAGTAGTGAGACTGAGCTAAAACGCTGGTTCTTACAAAAGAAACAGGCACCCCATGCATGGCAAGTAGGTTCTTTCTGGTTTTCACCAAAAATTGGGCTTATCAAGATTTCTGAGATATTGTTGTCTTTCAATACCTTTCAGCTAAAGGACCGTGTTGGGCCGTGTAGAAATGATGGATGTCAAAATGATGCCTCTCAATTAGGAATTACCAGGATTTGCCCTCTGAAATTAATTTTAAAGGAAAATATATCACTTTCTTTATTTTTTAAGAATGCAAAAAGCAACCCTAGGCTGTAGCCCAGATTTCCATAAGAAGCAAAAGGAATCAACCGAAGTATTAGTTGAAGAAAGGAGGATAATAAGACAAGGAAAGAAATGAGAATTAGTGATGATTTCACAATCAAGTAGAGTCTTTTGGTTGCCCTCATTGTTAACTTCGTGAACTTTATAATAACATTTTGCCCATGTTTGCATCTTCCCTGCTGGTACAGCATGCTTACTCTTGTGGTCTCTATTCTTTTTGGTGGTGGTTGTTATTTTGTAATTCCCTTGTGTTGGTTTTTTTCCTTCAGAAGAGGCGTAATGTAATGGATCCATTCACCAAATTTTTTAATTTGGTCCATTGCTTCTACCATGAAGGGAAAGCTGAATGCTGACATTTTTCATCGAAATCCTGTGCACCTTTACTGAAAGCGAAAGGAACATAATGGCTCTGGCAGCTATTTCCTAATAAGGTCTTTCCCTTAATGGCCTTAGAAAGTAAATTAGAAAACATGGCTGCAGATTGTGTTTCTTGATCGGATGCATTTTTCTTGCCCAAAGGATGTAGATGCTAGGCAGCATTGCCTCAGTTAGATGCCATCTTCTTCCTCAGAAATGGAAACTTTTATGTAGCTTTCACTTTAAACTGCACAGGAATGTGGATGACTGCATCTAACTGTAAGCAAGTCTGATAATAAGCTGAGCTGATGATGGAAACAACCATTTGTTACGTTTGCCTTTGATTGTAAATAGCATTAAATGTCTCTTTTCTTCCAATGTTTTCTCAAAATTAAGATGTATTTGTTTAGAACTCAAAAAACATTTATCTTTCTTTTTTTAAAACAGAAGCAGCTATAATAGATGACTGTTTTTCCAGTATTTAGAAACCAATTTTACAGATAATTAAATTACTCTAACAAGATTAATCAACTTTTAATATGAAACTGCAATGTTGATTTCATTGTATATGTATTTTATGCTACTCTCATATATGCCAATTAGAAGTTTATGTATATTAAAATACCTATACCCACTTGCACCCATGGCTATTAAACAATTAACCCACTTTTCATGGGTAATCAACCCACAATAATTTGGTTTGGGTGTTCATTACCCAGATTAATTCAAATAAAAAAGACACAGTGAGGCAGAAATTGGATAAGTGGATACTATCTAATCCCAACTGTCTTAATTTTCCATAGGGAAGTCTGAATTGGATTTTGACAAAATACCTCTCTTCATCACAACTCCTCCAATCAAATACAGTGTGATTTTTTTCTATTTCTTAAATTATTCTTCCATGAGTTGTATGTAGTTAATAGTCTTCAAAATTCTGAAGAACTAAGTTATAAAAATCTCCAACTCCTCCACACCCAAACCCTACTCAATTAAAATTTATTTTATTTACATATATTCATATACATAATATACAAAACAGTAAACACAAGAGAGATAGTGAAGCCTTCTTAAAGGTATAATGAATTGACTTTAAATTTTTAGCAAAAAAAAATTATAAAATCTAGCAATGATGCTCAGTTCTTCTGATTTTTTTTTTTCCTTTTATATCCCCCAGCTGCTGTCAGTTAATCAAGGGCCAAAAAAACTCAAAGAACAATATGTGTCACCTCAGGGTATTTGATTTCTTTCATAATTTAACTCCTGCTTAAAAGGCTAAGACATATGTATCTTTATATGATAATCAGTACCTGGGAAGATTAGGATTTTTTATATAAATGGATCTATTCACATATAAAAATATAATTGAAAATAACGCAAATATTCAAACTAAGGGAATTTAAAATAAATTTTGCTGTGCCCATGCAGTATGCATACTTATTTAAAGTGATGTTTTTGAAAACTGTTTAATGACATGGACAATGCTTATGTGTTCCTTCAGTGATTCTTAACCCTCGCTACACTTTACAGTCAGCTAGGGTGCACATAGAAGAATAAATATGAGTAGCGCCACCTCCAGGCATTCTGATTTAATTGGTCTTGACTGGGATCTGAGGTTAAGTGTATTTTAAAATCACAGAGGATTATTATTTTCCATTAAAATCATGATGCCAACTTGTAAATACAGTATACACTATTTTTAAAATACTACAAATGTTCTTGTAGGCAAGAAGGAGATCTAGAAATAAATGTTTTCAAATAATGTGTTGTTGAACTTAGGTAATGCAATTTTGAATAATAATTATTTTTGATTTGGATATATTTTCACACTGGGTATGTGTTTGTTGAGCTTAAATTTATTTAAAATGAAATTAAAGGCAAATAGTATTCCAATGTATATTTGAAAAAGGAATATCTTAGAGATATATACTTGGACAAATTCATCAGAAATATACTGGCATAAAGATTTATTAGTTGATATAATCTTCTTTCTGCACATCCACATACACAAGCACCCAGTCTCTTGTGTTTAGACCATTCATTCACACATCAAAGTATGATGTTACTCTTTGAAGGACTGAGTCATACCCTTTCACATATATCTTTGTCAGAACATAGGAAGCCACATAAGTGAGCATTATATGTAGAAAAACACTGGTGGTTAAGCACATAGATGGTTTTCAATCCTAGCTGTTCTACCTGGAGTGAGCGTTACATTCTAAGACACAGAAAACAACCCAAGAAGAAAGCTTCAGAGAAATATTAGGAGAGTTTAAGGATAGCACTCAAGTCAAATCTTTTTTCTCCCATTTTAAGTTAAAGACACTTATAAAGAATTTTCTTTAAGAGTAATGTAATGCAGATGCATAAATATTTTGTGCATAGCATGAATATTATGTTCTGTAACCACAATTAAGTCTTCTGGGTTTTATTCAGTAATTTAAAAAATAAAGCCATTTTTGTTGTGGCGGTGATTAGTTTTATGTGTCAACTTGACTGGGCCATGGGGTGCCCAGACATTTGGTCAAACATCATTCTGAATGTATCTGTGAAGGTGCAGATTAAAAGTTGACTCTATGGACTGAGTAATGCAGATTGTCCTCACTGATGTGGATGAGCCCCATTCAATCAAGTGAAAACCTGAATCGAACAAAAAGCCTGAGTAGGAGGGAACTCCTCCTGCCTGATTACTTTGAGTTGGAACATAGGTCTTCTGATTTAAACTGAAACAATTCTTCTTGGGTCTCAAGTCTTTCAGCTTCCAAACCAATTTATACTATCAGCTCTTCTGGTTCTGAAACCTTTGGTCTCAGACTAGAACTACATATTAGCTCTTCCGTGTCTCCAGTTTGCTGAATGAAAATCTTGGGGGTTCTCAGCCTCTGTAATTGTGTGAGCTAATTCCCTATTACACACACACATACACACACACATACCCTATTGCCCTATTGGACTGTTTCTGCAGAGGACTATAAACTAATGTCTAATGATTAATACAATTAGTATAGTCATGAAAAAATATTTACTATGCAAATAAATAGTAAAATAGTGTGACTGGATTTTAGTTAATCTATGAGTTGAATATTACTCATCTTAGGCAACTTGAAAGAGACTGTTTCAAATATTAAAGCCTTACACAATTTTTACTTCTACTGAATTGCTTCATATGATGCAAAATTTTAGTTTCATATGTAGACCATGATTGTTTAGTAAATCCTTTAAAAAAAAAGAACACTGGAATTTCTAATGGCTTTCATTTTTTTTCTGTGTTTATATAAGGACCACAAGTCTTCCCCAAAGCCTCAAGAATATTCACCTCTAATTGAAAATCTACTTATTTCCTGAAGACATTCTTCCCAGAGTCCCTTGGCTGTATGTTTTCTATACAAAAGAATTGATTTCCAGTTTTAGTGCATAGCTACTATTCTCATGCCTCAATTTCATAGCATTCCTGAACTAGATCCACTGATCCTGGACTCAGTATCTCCAGATTTTGGATATTCTTACAATATTGATTCTACATATTCTCCAAGAACTCTTTCCCAAAGTATTTTTAGGGAGATAGTTTGGCAATAACACTCTTAAAAAAACCAGACAGTGTGTTTTCTTTATCTTTTTGGTGAAATATAATGTTTCTGAGTACACAGTGTTAGGATGACTTTTTAATTCTTTCTTGCCACTTTAAAGCCGTTGCTCTGATGCCTATTGGTTACTTACATTATAGCTGTTGAAATTCTATTTTTTATTCATCATTCTCAAAGAGATTTTATTTATTTATTAATCTATTTATTTTTGAGAGATGGTCTTGCTCTGTTGCCCAGGCTGGGGTGCAGTGGCATGAACATGGCTCACTGCAGCCTCAACCTCCTGGGCTCAACCAATCCTCCCAGCTCAGCCTCCCCAGTAGCTGTGATAACAGGTTCATGCCACCATACCTGGCTATTTTTTTTTTTAATTTATTTTTTTAGAAACAGGGTCTCTCCATGTTGCCCAGGCTGGTCCTGAACTCCTGGGCTCAAGTGATTCTCCTGCCTCAGTTTCCCAAAGTTTTGACATGGCAAGTTTGAGCCACCATGCCTCACTCTTGGAAGGATTTTAAATGTTTGAGAATGGGAGCAGGGAGCTATTCTGATGTTTAGTATAAATGAGTATTGATTTGAGTCTGTTTTTACTTATTCCACTTAGAATTCATTGGAATTTTTGAAATTGAAAGTGTATTTCTTAATTGGTTCTGAAAAATTCTCATCTATTAACTTCCTGGACATTGCCTTTTCTCCATTCTCTTTCTCTTTTCTATTCTTCTGTGACTTTGATTACAAATAAATTATGTCTCTGGACTCTCGTCTCTTTGCTTCCTGTTACTTCTGTAATCTCTTTTTTATATTTTTCATCCATTTGATTTCTTCTACTGCATTGTTGGTTTATTCTGCTACATATGATAGTCACAAATTCTCTAGACAGCTGTGTCTACTCTGATTCTTAAATCTTATACAATGTTTCTAACCTCAATGATTGTGTAATTTATTTCCAGTAGTTTTATTTGATCTTTTTTTCAAATCTGCTTAAGCATTTCCGATAGTCTCTGATTCCTTGCTCATGTTTTGGACTCCATCATTTATTTCTTTGAATATTTTTGTAAATACTTTATGTTTTGTGTTTGATGATTCTAATATCTGAAGCCCTTGGGGATCTAAATCTAGTATTTATTGTTTCTGCTTTTAATATTTTTCTCACTCATGGTGATTTATTTCCTTGTGTGCTTGATATTTTTCTTTCTATTGTGAGTTCATACTTACCTGGACTTAATCCATAAAAATCCCATGGAGCCTAAATTGACAGGCTTCCCTCTTGAGTGTAAATGTGTTTGTTTCCATTGAAATAATATGTTTTTAATTCGATCTATTATCTTGGAATTTCTTAGACTATAGTCTTTTCCTGGTCACTATAATAAACAGACTCACATGAGATTAGGCCTATAATCACAATTCTCAGAGCAGGCTCTTACTGCTATTTCTGTGATTAATTTCCCAGCTGTACCTTGGCAACCGACATGCTTTCTCTTTAGTTCTCCTTGCTACAAACGGAATATATATAGCATCATCACCTTCAATGAGAGGGAGACACTATTGAGGTATCTAACTTTGTGTGGTGAAAAGGAATCCTCTCCTTCATCTCCTTCCCCTACCTTTTAGGGATCAGAGTCTCATCTAATTTTTCCCAAGTGTTATACTTAACACACAACTGTAGCTCTTAGTGTCCATTTTCACCCAGGGGTACCACAACTTCCATGTTCATTTAAAACTCTGGCTTCAGAATTCTGCTTTTTTTTTTTAGTCCCCAAGAAATTAATTTTCTTATTTTGACATCAGCACATTTAAAGAAAGCTTGTTATAATTTACTAAGGGTTTTGGAAATGGAAGGTTTTTCAAATGATCTGTCTCCTATAATGGTACCTTATGGAATCATTAATACTCTTTCTACACATGAGTGGCCTTAGAATAACTGTTCATTCTTCTCTAGAAAGCACAGCACTTTATGTACTTGAACGTAGCAACTGAGATTGAACCCTTTATATCTTTGTGTGTGTGTGTTAGGCATCCTCCTGACCTGTTCAAAATTTCCCATTTGACATCATTTCAAGTCCACTTAACATACTGAACTATTACCTCTGAACGCATTTCAGTTGGCTCTGTCTATATTTCAATAACTGAGAAACACACTATAGGTAGGTCCTGACAAGAACAAAGCAGAGTATCATGGTCACCTCCCTCAATCTCTTTCATTAATATAGCTTAGGAGTAAGTTTACTTTTTCATGCGCAGTAACATAACATTTCTCTTGTGTTTGTGGTCTCTTAAACCCTTATGTCTTAGATCGTTGCTAATCCACACTTTCCCTTTTCATACTTGTAGAATTGTTTTTACTAAACAGAATGCCATCACTTGATATTTGTCCTTATTAATCTTCATTTTATTGGTTAAAGTCACTGTATTAGGAGTCTAGTTTGAACTTATTTGTTATCTTTCCTAGCTTTAAAGTATTAGCAGTTATTCGATATTTTATATTCTTCCATGTATTTTCTTCAAATTTCATGAATATATTTCAACATTTAATTTTTTATTCCAAATTTCAATTTCCCACCACCAAAGATGTTTCCTAAACCTGTGAGTATGTGTGTGTGTGTGTGTGTAAGTGCGTGTATGTGTGTATGTGTGAGCTGTCCTAGCAATAGATTATTAAAGATGAAATATTACATCAAGGTGAAGATTACGGACTCAGGATAGAAACGTAAAAGAAATAAGATACACATGTAAATGTAAGAAACACAGGCTGGATTAAAATGTAAATTTGCTTTAAATTGTATGACTCCCTACAAGCATGTGCTGGGTTGTCTGGTTAAAAATTAATTTAATTATTTCTAACATACATTTAAGTGTCTTTTAAAAATATGACACACACTGAGGATAGAAGTTGCAGAAAATTGGCTTCATCTCTACCAATCTTTGTCAAACATTCTTTTCTCTCATTACTGCAATTAATTCGGTCAATAATTTTAACTTATGAATTACAAAAGAAAATTTAAACCAAAACATAATTTTCTTTAACTGAATACATTAAAATAACAAGAAGAAGGAATCTTATTTATTCCCCAATTGCATTGGTATTTACTGAGAACCTTCTCCATTGCTGTTACTATTCTAAGTAGTGGAGATGCAGCATTTAAAATCCGTGTCCTTGTAGAGCTTATGAGAAGCCAGGTAATAAACAGTCACATACTGAATAATTAATGAAAATATATAGTATGTCAGCTTGGAGGAAATACCATGATAAAAGAAGGATGGGATGGTGAAATGGTGATATTTTGGGAATAGAGGGCTTGTAATTTTAAATTGATTGTTTAGGAAAAGCTTCACTGGAAACAAAATGGCATTTGAGCAAAGACAATGTAGCTGAGAGAGTGGGTATGCTTAAATGTGGAGAAACACAAGTTCAAAAGCTTTAAGGCATGAGAATATATGGAGTATTCCAAGGTATCTGGAATGGAGTAGGCAAAGAGGAGATTGTTATAATATTATATGAGGTTGAAATGGCAGGGATGAAATATGGCTAGATTCTCATTGCATTTTGAAGGGAAAACAAACAGGATTTATCATCAGATTGGATTACCCATGTGAATGAAAGAGGAATCAATGATGAAAATGAAATTTTTGACCTAAGTACCTGTAATTATAAAGTGGCCATTCAACTGGATGGGAAAAGTTGTAAGATATTTATGTTTGTTGGTGGAAGATCAGGAGTTTATATTAGAAATGCTGATTTTGGCATGTCTATTAGACATCAAGTAGAGATACTAGATGAATAGTTGGATATCTGAGTGGGGAGTTCAGGTGACCTATGTTGTCTATTGCTGCATAACAAACTACCCCAATTTAGTGGCTTCCAATAATAATTTGTTACTACTTCTCACAATTCTGTACATTGTCTGTGCTCAGCTTAGTGTTTCTTGTTTTGAGTATCTCGTAGCTGCAGTTAAATGAAGACAGAGACTGGAGTCATTTGAAGGCTTGACTAGACAGGTGAAGGACCCATTCACATGGTGTGCAGTCCATGCTAGCTGTAAGCTAGGATTCAGCCAGGGCTATTTATAGAGCATCTACACGTGATCTTTCCTTGTGGCTTTGGCTTGCATGGAGGCTGGGTTCCAAGAAAGAGATCCCAGGAGCAAGGGATTGGTCCAAATGCAAGCTATAAGGCTTCTTATAGCCTAACTTCGGAAGTTACACAGCCTCACATCTGCTGTATTCTACTTGTTGAGAGTAATTTCCAGGGTGGGCCGAGATTCATGGGGAGAGAGTTATGCAAGAATGAGAATATCAGTAGAAGTGGCTCAGGAAAGGCCAGTTTTAAAAGTTAGCTACTACAACATGATATACAGATTGAGTGTCATAAGGCATATGGATGGCATTCATTCATAAGACACGATGAAATCAATAAGGCTGTAATACAGAGAAAAGAATAGGACTCTCAGTGGAGGGAGCCCTGAAACACTTTAAGATTTATGGGTTGAGGAAGAAGAAGAAACAAGTAAAGAAGATGAGAAAGAAAGGCCAAAGAGATAGGAGAGGAAAAAAAAACAAACAAACAGGAGAGTGTAGTGCCTGGATGCCAAAGCCACAAGGAGGATGTTACCAATTATGGCAAATGTTGCTGACAGTGCAAGAAGTTGTCAGATAAGACTTGGCCACCCCAGCATGAAAGCCATCAGTATAGCTTCAGTGGAGTCATGAGGAAGAAAGCTTATTGGGATGTTTTCATGAGCCACTTTGATGAGAAGAGCTAGAGGTAGTCAGTCTAGATCGCTTTTTAAAAAATGTTTATATTACAAGGCAGAAGCAAAGGGAAGTATTTGGTTGAGGGGATCAGGAAGTTGAAAGATGAGTTTTTCCTTATAAGGGTATGTTTATACGCTAACAGAAATTATACAATGCAGAGAGAAAAATTGAGAATCTAAACAGGTTAAGCAGAATTGTTGGTTCTTTGTCCTTAAGTAGATGAGAGGACACTCATGGAAGGATGACCTTAGATTTGCAGTGTGAAAAGTTCACACAAAATAACAGGAAGGAAGACAGGAAATATGGACCTTGATGGAGATTGGAGGATAACTGAAGTGGTAGGAGATTTCGGAATTATCTTCTGTTTGCTGGTGTTTTCTCAGTGAAATTGTAAACCAGATCATCACCAGAGAAACAGAATGTGGAATGAAGTGCAGGAGTTTGAGGGCAAGAAGAAATGTGAAATAGTTATTAGAGAGTGAGGGAGACAGTGTGATGACAGTGGACTTGGGACATGTAAGATTATAAGGCAATAGTAAGAATAGGCCTGTAATATAATTTATAGAGACAGATATTTTATAGTTTTATAGAGCAATAGATAGAGATAGTAATGTTGGTGGGGGAAAGAGAGAAAACCTGTCACCACATTCAGTGGGGGTAACATTTTCTTTTTAAGCCGTAAAAAAATATATACGGGCAAAATTTTAGTCTCATATCAGAGCAGAGAAAATTATGTGCACTACAAGAATTGGTTGGAATATCCTTTCTAAAGAATCAAAAATACAGTTGTAGAGTTTTATTACTTTTACAACCTATATTCTTAAAAGCCCTCAAAAGAGGATTTGGAAAAGGAATAGTTGAAAATATATTGAAAAAAAAGTTATTATGGTTAAAACCTTCAGCTTTTGCTTAAAACTATGAAATCACAGGCCCATGAATGAGTTGCTTTCTCTATATTTAATGACATACATAAGTAAGGACAATTGCTTCAGAAGTACTGTGCTAGGCTATTCTTGCACTGCTATAAATAAATACTTGAGATGGCATAATGTATAAAGAGGGTTAACTGGCTCGTGGTTCTGCAGGCTATATAGGAAGCATAGCAGCTTCTGCTTCTGGGGAGGCCTCAGGAAGCTTTCAACCACGGCAGAAGGCAAAGGGACAGTGAAGCATCTAACATGGTGGGAGCAACAAGGGAGGTGGTGCTACACAGTTTTAACCAAATATCGTGATAACGAACTCACTATCGCAACAACAGTACCAAGGGGGATGGTGCTAAACCATTCTAGAGAAACTGCCCCCGTGATCCAATCATCTCCTACCGGGCCCCACCTCCAACATTAAGAATTACAATTTGACATGAGATTTGTTAGGGACACATATGTATACCATATTAGACACATACTTATATAGAGAGATAAACTAGTTTAAAATTATAGAATAAAATATACTAGGTATCTTACTTCAAACGATGATAAAAAATAGTAAAAGCTTTTCAAAGCATGGAAACATGACAGTATGAGAACATTGAATAAACACCAATAGCCATAGCAATCCCGCAAATGGGTTTAGTTTTTGTAGGTTTTTTTGTCTGAAATTTTAGTGTCTATTTCAATTTTTTGGAAAGAAATGATTTTTACAGGTAGCTTAACCTTTACATTAAATACAATATTTTTTTCGTGTAGAAGATTTAGACAATTTCTGAATATGTTTAATGCATTCATTCAAAAACTTATTACTAAGAGCCTATTTGTTCTAGGCACTGTGCTAGATGCCAGATATTCATGAGAAATAAAAGCAGGCTTGATTTCTCCTCTTATGAAGCTCATAAACAAAAGCACACAAAAGAGCATGAAAAATTATGTTTGCTCGCATTACTCAAGGATTAGTCAAAACAAAGAATTTGGTGTGTTTCAATGGGATAGACCTGCTCACTGGTCTGATAACATGACTCCAGCACCTGTTAATTTCTGATTTTTTTTTTTTAATTATAGCCTTTCTAGTAGATGTGTGATATCTCATTGTGGTTATGACTTGTATTTCCCTAATGACAATCATACTGAGTATTTTTAATATTCTTATTGGCCATTTTTATGCTTCTCTGGAGAAATGTCTATTCAGCGCTTTTGCCCAATTTTAAGTTGAATTGTTTGCCTTTTTGTTGTTGAGTTGTGAGAATTCTTTATATATTCTAAATGTAAACCCTTATCTGATGTACAATTTTAAAATATTTTTTCTATTCTGTGGATTGTTTTCTCACCTTTTTGATAATGTTCTTTCATATGCCAATGTTTTTAATTTTGATGAAGTTCAGTCTATTTTTTCCTTTTGTTGCTC
This sequence comes from Homo sapiens, assembly GCF_000001405.40. Lineage (NCBI taxonomy): Eukaryota > Metazoa > Chordata > Mammalia > Primates > Hominidae > Homo > Homo sapiens. Next base: position 79,389,383 of record NC_000001.11, read on the forward strand.
ATGTCTTTGTTGTCATATTGAAGAATTCATTGCCAAATTCAAGGTCATGAAGATTACTCCAACGTTTTCTTCTAAGAGTTTTATGGCTTAATTCTTAGGTTTAGGTCACTGACCTATTTGAATTAATGTTTTATAGAGCCCAAGATAAGGTTCCACTTCATTCTTTTGTGTATGGAAATCCAGTCATCTCACACCAGCTGTTGAAGAGATTATTTTTTCCCCATTGAGTGAAAAACAAAATCCATTGTCTATAGATATATAGGTTTATTTTGGACTCTCAATTTTTTTTGGTTCATATGTCTATCATTATAGCAGTACTTCCCTATTTTAATTACCATACCTTTGTAGTAAGGTTTGAAATCAAGAAGCATAGGTCCTCCAATTTAGTTTTTCTTTTTCAAGATTGTTTTAGCTATTTGGAGCCCCTTGCCATTCTCTGTGAATTTGAAGATCAATTTTTCCATTTATGCAGAAAAACCTGCTAGAATTTGGAGGGAGATTGCATTGCCATTGTATATGGCTTTGGGTATTACTGCTATCTTAACAATATTAAGCCTTCTTCTTATCCATAAGCATAAGCTATGTTTCTATTTATTAATATTTAGGTGTCTTTTAATTTATTTCAGCAATATCATGTAGTTTTCAGCACATGAGCTTTTCCCTTTTTTGATAAATTATTTCTAGGTTTTTATTCTTTTAGGTGCTATTGTAAATGAAAGTGCTTTCTTAATTTTCTTTATGAATTAGTCATTGCTGGTGAGGAGAGACTAGTCATTATTGCATGCTGAACTTGTACTCTAAAACTTTGCTCAATTGATTTCATAGTTCTAGCAGCTTACTTGTGAATTATTTATAATTTTCTATATATAAGACATATATAAGGCCATATCACATGTGAATATAAATAGTTTTATTCTAGTTTATTTGCCTTTTATTGCTTTTTCTTATTCAGTTGCTCTGGCAAGAACTTCCAGTACAGCGTTGATGAGCAGTGGTAAAAGTGAGTATCCTTGTCTTGCTAAACTGTGGATTATTAGGACATATTATTAACCTAGGAAAATTTTTAAAGTTTTCGTAAGTAAGGACTGCGAGTATATATATGTGTGTGTGCATGTGTGTGTGTTTGTCTATAGTAAGCTAGCTGTCACAAATGACAATCCTCAAGCACTCTGTGGCTTTCTGTAATAAAATGTGTCTTGTTTTGTTTTATTTCTGTTTTTTTTTTTCCTATAATGTTATAGGATGGAGAGGTTGATTGACCCTCTTTCAGCCTTAATCTCTGCCAACTTCGGCTTCAAAGGCTACAGAGGCAGGGGAAAAGAAAACTAGAAAATTTTGAGAGATGTTTTTACAGGTTATGACTGGATGATGTTGCATCAGTTTCATCCACAGAACTGTCACATAGCCTCAATCCACCTGGAAGAGAGGCTGAAAAATGTAACTGCACTATGGATAATAATCACGGTATTGTAAACATGTAACATTTTTTCCTGCCACAATACATATTAATACTATTCAGGTCCACACAATCACACAGATGTATTTTGCTGGCATACATACTGTTTATACTCTGCATGTTTTTTTTCTGCATTAATCTCTGGAAGGCAGCTTCTTTTCCTGTTAACCCTTCCCCAGTGAATATATTCTCACTCTAACCACAACAGACTACTCATTTTTCTCAACATGAAGTTCTGTCACACATTTTACATAATCGTTTTTGCCATAAAAATTCCCTTTTTAAACTATTAGGTTCAGATGTACATGTGCAGGTTTGTTATAGGGGTAGACTCATGGGGGGTGGTTATATAGGTAAACTCGTGTCATAGGGGTTTGTTGTACAGATTATTTCATCACCCAGGTATTAAGCCTGGTACCCAGTAGTTATTTTCCTGATCTTCTCCCTCTTCCCATCCTCCACCCTCCAGTAGGTCCCAGGGTCTGTTGTTTCTTTGTGCCCATGTGTTCTCATCAAAAATGCCCTTTCTGGCCGGGCGCGGTGGTTCACGCCTGTAATCCCAGCACTTTGGGAGGCCGAGGTGGGCAGATCACGAGGTCAGGAGATGGAGACCATCTTGGCTAACACAGTGAAACCCCATCTCTACTAAAAAAATACAAAAAATTAGCTGGGCGTGGTGGTGGGCGCCTGTAGTCCCAGCTACTTGGGAGGCTGAAGCAGGAGAATGGCGTGAACCCAGGAGGCAGAGCTTGCAGTGAGCCGAGATCACGCCACTGCACTTCAGCCTGGGAGACAGAGCGAGACTCTGTCTCAAAAAAAAAAAAAAAAAAAAAAAAAATGCCCTTTCTTTCATCTTCACTTGCAAATATCCTATTTATCATTCAAAACTTAACTCTCATATCACATTTTCTGTACAATTTGCCTAGACAACATAAATCACTCCCTTACATCTTCAGAGCACTTACACAACCATGAATAATATGTACAACATTTACTGGGCACTTACCATGTGACAGGTACAATGCTGTATGTTTTACAGGCTCATCTGTGTAAATCCTCAAAATAACTACATAGAATAAGTAAAATTATAATTATTTTCTCCAGTGTGGAAACTGAGATTTAGAGAGATAAGGTAATTTATTTAAGGTAAAACCTGTCCAAAGTCCATGACCTTAACAATTATTCAACATGGACTCATATTGTTCTGTCATCGCCTTACACTTTTTTTTTGCTTTGTTTAAACTAGGAGTGTAGTCATGAGTTGCTGGAGGGAATAGCTACGTGATCCATTTTGTGTCCCCAGATCACATTACAGGAATACCACTGCTTTTTCCTCACTACTAGAGATTAATTGCCAGCCTATTATTTCTGTGACATATATTACTAACCTTGATCTCTTTGGAAGAAAGTGTTACAAAATCAGCAACAGCTCACATTTTATGATATCTATAAAAAATTAAGGGCTCTGAAGAAAAATATGGGCAACATGTTCTTGTTCCTACATAGATTATCTTAATGAATTATTCCCCTATTCAGTCAAGCAGAGACTGGTCTAGCAACATATACTCAAATTCCTTGTCAGTGGCTATTTATCTAGGAAATACAAGCTAATTTAGGCATTGCCAAACAAATATAATTAGAAAGAGAACTCTTTCAAAGACAGGGACAAATTATGTTTGAAATTTTAATGTTTTGCATTATCTGCACCACTGCCTTCTCCATTGTAATGACTTATTGAGATCTAGTTTTACAGAGAATAACTAATCCTTATCATCAAAAGTGAACTGTGTCAGAGAAGCAGTGGTCATGTCAACCTGCCACCACCAATTAGAACTTATTTGTTTTAGTGGATTCTTTTTCCAACTATTATTCTACGTAATAGCAAATCATATTTCTCAAACATAAAACTTACATTCAGTGGCCTCATAGGTACATGCAAGTATTAATTAAAAATCTTTGGAATTATGTCTCTCAACTTTGATTTAGCGATTCTGTCCTAAATCAGTTACATCTCATTAAAACAACAGAATAGCAAGTATCCAAGTTTCTCTCATAATTCAGACGTTCTGTTTTATATGTCAGTAGTTCTTAAAGGCCTATTTGAAGATCAGCTGTTACAGAATCCCTAGACAACAGTCATACTCACACATACACCACACATGCACACACACACACATACGAATATATATGTAGTACATGTAATTTGTATAAAACTACATATACACATATATACACAGATATACACATATATACATGTGTATGCATATCAAACATGTATATACTGAATTCTGAGTTTGAGGTGGGCTTTAAGAATTTCTTTAAAAATTATGTGTTGAAATTCATAAACACAACTTAAAAATAATTAGTTCAAAGATTTATAGTAAAAAGCAAATGTTCTCTGATCCATACCTCAGAAGAAAGTATCTAGTTCTCTGTCTTTTTTCTCCTTTTTTTGTTTTTAAGACAGAGTCTTGCTCTGTCACCCAGGCTGGAATGCAGTGGCACAACCTTGGTTCAGCACAATCTCAGCTCACTGCAACCACCTCCCAGGTTTGAGCAATTCTCTTGCCTCAGCCTCCCGTGTAACTAGGATTACAGGCACCTGTCACCACACCCGGCAAATTTTTGTATGTTTAATAGATACAAGGTTTCACTGTGTTGGCCAGGCTGGTCTCGAACTGGAGACCTCAGGTGATCTGCCGGTCCTGGCCTCCCAATGTGCTGGGATTACAGGCGTGAGCCACTGTGCCTGGTCTAGTTCTCTGCCTTCAAGTTTTAATAAGAGAGCATGATTCCTTGGTCATTTTTAGTAATTTGTTTAATTTTGAATGTGACTAAAAATACTAGATCAAATTGATCTCTGGCCAATTGAATTGCAATGAATAAATCCATCTTGAGCCTTTAAAATATATCAATCTCTATATTTTAGAGAAGCAATCAGATTAATTTATACATGAATTCCTTAGCAGTGTATGCACTCTCATTTCTGAGAAACCTACTCTAATTTTATGTCTTCAAATAGTCATTAAAATTGTTTGGGACTGAATTATATGACATGTTCCATTATAGCTTTGATGGACATGTTAAAGCTTAATGATTAATACTATGATTAATGCATGGGTGGTGCTATTTACACTGATGTCATATGTCACCATATACACATTAATTAATAAAGTAATTTTGAGCAAATTTTTAATGAGATGTTGTAGTTTGATATATAGTTATCATTCAAAAAACATAGCCCGATTGAAGATGAAGAACAAAGTTGGATGACTGATATTACCTGACTTTAAGACTGACTGACTATAAAGCTACCATAATCAAGACAGTGTGCTATTGGTGAAAGAATAAACACAGATTAATGTAACAGGACAGAGAGCCCAGAAGTAGAACCACATCAATTTTGTTAACATATTTTTGACAAGAGAGCAAAATGTCCAGTTGATCCAGCACCATTTATTAAAAATATGGGTCTTTTTAATAAATGGTGCTGGAAGAGCTGTACATTCATAAGTAAAAAAAATGAATCCAAACATAGACCTTACACCTTTCACGCAAATTAACTCAAAATGAGTCACAGATCTGAAGGTAAAACACAATACTATATAAAACTTCCAAAAGATAATGTAGAGGAAAATCCTGGGTTTGGCAATGACTTTTCAGATACAACACCAAAGGCACAAACCATGAAAGAAATAATTGATAAACTGGATTTTATTAGAATTAAAATTGTTTGCTCTGTGAAAGACACTGTAAAGAAAGAGAAAAGACTAGGCACGGACTGGTAGGAAATATTTGCAACGGATGTATCTGATAAAGGACTGTTAACCAAAATATAAAAAGAACACTTAAAACTCAACAATACAAATATGAACAATTCAATTGAAAAATGGGCAAAAGATCTGGACATCTTATCACAGAAGATATACAGATGTAAATAAGTATATAAAAAGATGTTACATATCATATGCTTTTCAAGGAAATGTAAAATAAAACAAATTAAATACAAATAAGAAACTTGACTGCATATTACTAAGTGACAGGAGCCAGTCTGAAAAGACTAAATACTTTATCATTCCAACTATTTGACATTATGGAAAAGGCAAAACTATGGAAACAGTAAAAATATCTATGGTTATTAAAGTTTAGCAGGGAGGAATGAATAGGTGGAGCACAGATGATTTTTAGAGCACTGAAACTCTGACAATATAATTGTGACTAAAAGTCATTATACATTTGTTCAAACCCATAGAATGTACAACATCAAGAATAAGCACTAATGTAAACTATAGACTTTGGTGATAATGATGTGTCAATGTAGACTCATCAATTGTAGCAAATGTACTACTTTGGTGGGGGATGTTAAGAATATGGGAGGCTGTGCATGTGCATATGGGAACTCTCTGTACTTTCGTCTTAATTTTGCTATGAACCTAAAACTTCTGTACAAATTTAAGTGCATTAACACAACAACAAAAATCCATAGTCCATTTATCAGTAATTTTTTGTTAATATCACAAATCATGAAGTATTTCAGAATGCTACTAATTTGACCATATGAATTTTATATTAAAATGTTAAGGAAGCATCTAATATGTAGGAGATATATATGTGTGTGTGTGTGTGTGTGTACCTATATACACACATGCAAAAAAATCTTAATATAATAGCTGATTGTATTCAACTGTATTTTCCAATAGGGTGAAATAAATTTTAAAAAAGAAAACCAATTATGAGTGCAAAATATATTTCAGTAACTATTACAAAATATCAAAATGTCATCTGATCCATATAGTCAGCATTTATATAATGGCCAATGGCTGGAGTAGATGAAATGCATAAGTCAGGGAAAAGGGAAACAGATTGATAGACCTTTAAAAATTATATTGTTATCACATATGCTTGCAACAATTATGTAATTCTCTGTGGCTATATTATAGTTTTGTAGTGTTCTTAAAAAATAACCTGAAATATCAGTTTCATTAAAATTACTTTTTTCTTTCTTAATGCATTTATTCATTTCCTTATTTATTTACCAGAACATGTGATACATATATGCACTTAATAAAACTAGTGATTTGCACCTGAACAGATGCAATACGTAGCTCAGAACAGGTAAATAAAATAATTTTAAATAGTGCTTAAAACAGGACAAAACAGATTTGTAGATTTCTTCTGTGCTAGAAAATACGGGTTCCTATATTAACTTTTGTGGGGAAATCATATTAGTCCTTTGAATTTACACTCAAGTTGTTTTTTTCTGCTGGTCAGTAGAGGGAGAAGTCCACCAGAGAACTTTTTTTATTGACAGATAATATGTTTATAAACTAGATGAAGATGAAAAAATGACAAAAAAAATCTAAAAGCAGTGCCTAGACTTGGTTCAATATAAAGTTTAGCAAACTTGTGAAAAGTTGGAATGGAAATTTTAAAAAGCAGATTAAAGAAAGATTTTAGTAAGAAATTGATATAATTTTCTATATGTTTTTTATTACATGCTAGTAACACACTATTTTAGATCACTTTTCAAAATATCTAGATTCAATAGAAAAATCTATTTCTTAAGTTTTGAGAACTGTTAAACTTAATATGCTATTGCTGTTAAAAACTGCTTTTATTTTATCTTCCTTGTCCTCCTTTTTTAGGAAATCCTTTATGGGGAAAGAAGAATCCTTTCCTCATAGATTTGGTTAGAAACAAAATTTTTCCGTATGAATTTTTCCTTTTTTACTTTGTTGTACAGAATGTGAGGAACAATCTTTGTCTACATAACAACTGAATATGGTTTAGAGTTAGACAAACTGAACTATAATGCAATAAATTTACATTGAATACCCATTTACTGAATGTCAATAATTTTCTTCAGTGCCAGAAATAAGAGTAGCACTAAAAGATATAATCAATAAAAGAGACAGCCACTCTTTTCAAGATAGTCATATTGCAACATAAAACAGCAGGTAATTCAGATTACTAAAATGGCCTGTAAAGTCAGTCCATTAAGTAAAGTAATATTATTGAGACAATAAAAACTTATGTTACCATGGTCTTTCTATTCTTTTTTTTCTAGATAAAGTTGTTCTATTACGGCAAATCTCTAGAATGTTGGAGCTTGTATTCATATGTTCTCAAACTGCTACAAAGAAATACCTAAGACTGGGTAATATATAAAGAAAAGAGGTTTAATTGGCTCAAGGTTATACAGGCTGTACAGGAAACATAATTCTGGCATCTGCTGGGCCTCTGGGGAGGCCTCAGGAAACTTAAAATCATGGTGGAAGATGAAGGGGAAGCCAGCATGTCACGTAGCTGGAGCAGCAAGACAGAGGGGGAGGTGCCACACACTTTTAAACAACCAGATCTCATGAGAACTCACTATCAGGAAAACAGCAGCAGTGGAGAAATCCACCCCCCATGATCCAATTGCTTCCCACTAGGCTCCACCTCCAATGTTGGGAATTACAATTTGACTGAGGTTTGAACAGGGACACAGATCCCAACCATATTATAACTTATGTTTAAGTTAATGTGCAATGTTTTCTAGTTGTTACAAAACCATAGATTTTGAAAAGAAGATAAATATATTTCCTGATTTTCTTTTTCAATGTAAAATTAACAAGGTTAAGATTGATATATACTTATTTTCTAAGTGGATGGGGGTATTTATGCTTGTACATGAATATGTACATACACAACTCAACATACTGTTTATCCAGTTCTAAATTATTTTATTCATTTTTAATATAGGAGGGCTATTAGGGGAGGTGGAAATGGCCAAGTAAGAAAACAATGACATATAAAGACATGAGATAAGCGGTAAAAAATAAGCATGCTCATATATATATATATATATATATATTTTTTTTTTTTAGATGTAGTCTCTCTCTGTCACCAGGCTGGAGTGCGGTGGTGTGATTTCGGCTCACTGCAACCCCAGACTCCCTGGTTCAAGCGATTCTCCTTCCTCAGCATCCCGAGTAGCTGAGATTACAGGCACGTGCCACTATGCCCAGCTAATTTTTGTATTTTTAGTAGAGACAGGATTTCACCATGCTGGCCAGGATGGTCTCGATCTTCTCCTCACTTCGTGATCTGCCCGCCTCAGCCTCCCAAAGTGCTGCGATTACAGGTGTGAGCCACCACTCCTGGTCAAGCATGCTCATTTTTAAGTAAACAAAGATGACATAAGTGAATGTTCTTTCTAATCTAGGCCACCTCTGGATTTACAACTAAATAGAAAAGGAAAGACGGGATGATTAGATGGTTGCGAACTAGGTATTGGAAGAACAAATAAGGAGTTTATTTTCATAAGATGGATATGAGGTTTATCCCTTTCTTTCAGAGTTTAAACCCATGGCAAAATAAATATGTATATTAATAGTTTATAAAGAGAAAACATATTGTGTATCTTAGGTTGTATTTTCTAGAAACTGAGACTAAAATAGGAATTTAGATTCCTAAATTTATTGAAATAATGCTCTTTAAGGAAAATCTGGGCATGAATGAGGGGAAAAAAAATGAGGAAGAGGAAAGAGCTGACCAGAATACAATTAGGTAAATTGTGTCCTTAGCCTTATCCTGGGAGTATTATGGGGAGTGAATTGCATTGTATAGGAATTCTGCCTTGGAGCCAGGGGGATGTAGACTTTCAGACCTGTGGAGAGGAGTTGACCCCGTCAGTCCAGGGCAAGGCTTCAGAAAAGGTTGTATGTGCACTCAACAGGGGTTGAGAGTTTCAGCCAGTAAAGGGGATTCAAGTGGGGCATACACCAAGATGGCTCCATTATGTTAAACAAACATACAAAATAATAGGGGTGGAAGAGTCTAATTTCAGCTGGGAGATTTGTCAATGTCTTTATGACATGTGGCTCTGTCACATGTCACATGTCCCTACCTAACTAGAGCTTGCAATGGTGGTTCTCCTATGTCATTATTCTCCAGAATTCCTTGTGGGAAATGTCAGAATTCCTTTAGCAGTGATTTTTAAGCTGTTTCCAGTAAAATAAATTCAAATAACTCACTTTCGGTTTTTACAGGCATATTACCAGTGAAGGTTGCAGGTTATCTCAAAGAAATATGAAACATGAAACCAGGATATTTTATGGTCCAAACCTTTATAGTTTCTGTCATTTTTTACAACTGCACTTTTATGCAGCTTTGAGTTTACGTGTGGTGTGTTTTGAGGGGATGCATTTTTCTATTTTGTATTTCTGAAGCTAGTGTTTGAAAGATCATATTTAGGAGCGTCTGTTTTTTTCTTCTATTTACATTGTGGTTTTGTGATTTAATGACAATAGAAGGAGTTATAGTGTGTTGGGGGTTTATAAAATTCATATGGTTAAGAGCGGTAAGTATGTGTGCATTGGAGAAGTCACAATCCACCTATCAATTACACCCAGGGGCTAAAGTAGATGTGGAAGTTGAATCAACCTGAGTCTGGAATGTGTTCATACTCTGCTCAGTTGCAGAGTATGAATCTTTCAGACCGTAATACAATTTTATTTCCAGTCTTATAATCCTATGCTTGCATTAAACCTAGGCTTCTTAGAGGACGGTTGTGGTGGCTCACATCTGTAATCCCAACACTTTAGGATGGCTGAGGTAGGCAGATCACTCGAGCCCAGGAGTTTGAGACCAGCCTAAGCAACCTGGTGAAACCAAGTATCTACTAAAAATAAAAAATAATAATAATGGTGTGGTGGCGCATGCCTGTAGTCCCAGCTACTCAAGAGGCTCATGTGGGAAGATTGCTTGAGCCTGGGAAGCAGACATTGCGCTGAGATCATGCTACTGCATTCCAGCCTGGGTGACAGAGCAAAATTCCATGTCTGAATAAATAAATAAATAAACAAATAAATAGAGGCTTATTTAATGTCCACACTCATTCTCGTAACATGCATTAAAAATTTAAAAACAATCATAGGCAAAATTCATATTTCTAGTCTACTGAGGAAAAAGTAAGCCATTCAACTATTTGGAAATTTATTAAATTTTAACTGACCAACACTGTCCTCAGAATAGCTTATTTTATTAATGATGTTATCAGTTTTGGGAAGGATTATGTCTTAATTTTTCAAACATATGCTATGGAATGTTGGAAGTGATCTTCGGGGAATTGTGTGAAATATTTTTTGCCTAAAAGAGGGAAATTAATCTCTAGACATAGAAATTATACTTTTTTATTACATAGAAGAATGTTTGCCATGAAGATCATAAATGAGATTTTTAGGGGCAGTGATCTCCCATTATCACACTGAGTCTTGTTACTTCTCACTGTCTTATAGCTTTCCTAGCACTCCTCAGAAGTATGATGAAAGGGAGGTTTCAGATATAAGAGAGGAGACCTAATTGCTTTAGCAAACCAGTCTGAATAGGTGGTCTTTATATAGGGAAAAAGAAAGTGATTGAATGGGTATCATAGAGGTTGATTTGGAAAGAGGTAGACTAGTGTAGAGACAAACATTTCAGTAAGTTTCAGGACTCAGAATGGTCAATTGTGAAAAATTATAGAAATATAAGTGAGATCAAGGGACCTGGGACTCCCACCTTGTCTTCTCTGAACCTCAAATTTAAGCTCTAGCTTGAAGATTCCTTTCTGAAAACTTGGAGCCTCCTGTAGTGGTCTAATACAGATCAAAGAACATCACTGCATCCAATTTTAAAGGCAGCATGGTCTTAATACAAAGACTGGGAGTCAAAAATTAGAGTACAGCCTCATCTTGCATCTTCTGCAAAATCATCAAATGTTATCTTGTATACACGAAAGACCAGACTCATCATTTAGCATGGGGATAAAATGATATGCTTCAGAACATGACCGATTCACATTCTAGTTTACCACTTAATGGTGGTCTAATACAGATCAAATTGCTATGTTAATTTGGCCAAGTTCTTAATTTTTCTAAATTTTAATTTCTAAATAATCAATTTTCCTCAAATTTGGAATGAGAAGCTTTGCTAAACTTGATTAAAACAAATATTTAATGTTTAAATTTCTATGTTGAATATAATAATTATAATATAATCATATTTCTGTATATGGGCATGAAGAGTAGTCTTCTTTGACATGCTACCAATACTTACTAAATAACTCATTTTTTACTGAAAGGCAATGTTATATTTGTATTACATTATATAATTTGTGTAACATTGTTATATTTGTATATTTTCTTATGTACAGAAATTTTTATTTCTGTATGTTCTTTAATACAGATACAACTTTGTTCCTTTGACAATACCATATAATTTTTATTATATTGAGCTTATATTAAGTTTTGCTATCTGGTAAGGCAAATATCTCTGTACAGTCTTTCTTACAATATTCCTATATTTTTTCACAGACATTTTTGTTTCACCTGAAATTTTAAATTAATTAAAATCAATTTTATGGAGGTTCCAAAATATCCCTCATTTGAATGATAATTGGATTATATAGTAACAGCATTGGATCTTTTCCCCTAAGCTCCCGACTCAAGTATAACCGGCTATATTTTCATCTGGATATTTCAAATACACAGCCCACATTTAACATGCCCAACACTGAGTTTTTGCTGCAACCCTTCCTTTCTCAGTTAATGGTAATATCCTATGTGTACACGAGCAAAAAATCTTGATCTCATCCTTAATTTCACTCTTTCCTTCACACCAAACAGCCAGTATCAGGGCTTTAGCTTTCATACATATCCAGGATATGATCACATCTCACAAAATCTGGCTACCACCTGGCCTGTGCCACCTTTATTTCTCACGGGGACCACTGCAGTAGCCTCACAACTGTTCTTCCTGTTCTGCCTTGGCTCTCCTTAGTATGGTGAATTGGGCAACAAGAGTTTTCCTGTCAAAAACTCAGAGCATGTTTCTGTCTGCTTAAGGCCCTCCAGTGACTTTCTATCCTACTCAGAGTGAAAAAAAATACTTACAATGATATGAGCTGGTTTTCCCTCACTACCTTACCCTTTGCTTACTCCACTTCAGCTGTATTAGTGTCTTACATATTCTCAACTCAGAGACATTGTACTTTCTTCCTCTGCCTGGGAGGGTCTTTAATCAGATGCCACATGGCTTGCTGTCCTATCCCCTTTAGGTCTGCATTCAAATGTCATGTTCTCACTGAAGCCTTTTCTGACTACGCTGTGAGAAACTTCTATTTCTACAACAGTTTCAGTTTGCTTTTACTGCTTTATTTTTCTTCATAGCATTTTACTCTGTTTAGCATATAATGTGTTTATTTTCTGCATCCCACTTCTATCATTGCATTCTCAATATACAAAGTAACAAAAATTAATATTCATTGAATTAATGAATGATAACACACACACACATACAAGAAATGACATTTACATGATACTGAGTTTTGCCATGCAGGAATACAACATGTTTTTCCCTTTACTTAGGATCTATTTCATGCCCTTATGCATTTAAAGCTCTCTCTAAAGGGACTCTACCCTTCTACTGTATAGTTCACTCCAATATTTTTTATAGTTTCAATGTAATTTAAATGGACTATTTTCAGTTTTAAGTAGCTATATCTATTCTAGAAAAGCCTATTAATATGTATTATTGATCTTGTATCTAGCCATTATACCAAATTATTTTATTAATTCTATTAGTTTTTTACCTGATCAGATGCAAGATCATGGAATTATAGCATCTCTGCTCAATAGTCTTTAGTTTTTTGTGTTTTATTTTATATATATGTATTTTTATTATACTTTAAGTTCTAGGGTACATGTGCACAACATGCAGTTTTGTTACATATATATACATGTGCCGTGTTGGTGTGCTGTACCCATTAACTCATCATTTACATTAGGTATATCTCCTAATGCTTTCCCTCCCCCCTCCCCCCGCCCCACAACAGGCCCCGGTGTATGATGTTCCCCTTCCTGTGTCCAAGTGTTTTCATTGTTCAATAGTCTTTAGTTTTTATGTCATAGCTTCCTAATGCTTCAGATGAAAATTGTAGCACTAATCTGATTCACGTATTGTAATATGGAACCTCTTTCCCCTCATCTTAGGGGATAAGGTTTTATCTTTTAATGTGGAATTTAGAAATTTGTGTTAATTCTGGCTGAAAGTTTGTGAGTCTTTTCCACATGCAATTTCAAACTTCAGCTCAGAAGGTTTTTTTTTCTTTTATTGTGCAGTTATTAGTTTTCCACTCGTTTCTCTTTTTTCTCCTTTTGGCATTCCTATTGTAAGTCCGTAGATATACCTTTCTTACCTTTTAGCTTTTCCTTCAAGACTTACATTCCTTTTTATTTATTTATTTTTTGAGACAGGGTCTCACTCTGTTGCCCAGGCTGGAGTGCAGAGGTGCAATCATGATCACAGGTCACTCTAAAACCTCATACTCCTGGGCTCAAGTGGCTCTTCAACGTCAGCCTGCTGAGGAATGAGGACTACAGGCAAGTGTCACTATGCCTGGCTAATTAACTTTTTTTTTCTTTTGTAGAGACGAAGGTCTCACTATGTTTCCCAGGCTAGTCTCAAACCCCTGGCCTCAAGTGATCCTCCTACCTGGGCCTCCCAAAGTGCTGGGATTACATGCATGAGTCATTGTGCTCAGCTGCATTCCTTTTTGTCAGTGTTGTAAAATTATTTTTTATTAGTGTTATAAAATTTTATTTTCTACTTGATCTTCAAGATTAAAAGATCTCACCTTGACAGTGATCCTTCTAATTTCCAATTTCTGTCTTGAGTTTTTACACTCAAAAATTATATAATATGTGTTGTTGAATACATTTTGTGCTCTAATTGCTTCTCCATGTGTATTTTCATTTCTACTACTTAAAATTAAACTTGATTTTCCCTCAGTCTTTTAAAATAATATATTATTTTACCTTTTAATGTTTCATCAGCAACCATATAGTTCTATAAAACAGCAGGTAAATTTTGGAATAAAGGCATAGAAATTTCTGTTCTTGCGATTTAGTTGATAACAAACTGGAGAAAATTACCCTTCTGCTGAAGAATGGGAAAGAATCCTGATGTGGCCTGATTTTCTTGTGTGTAAATCAAAGCCCTTTCCCAACCGGGAAACTGAGATGTAGCTTAACCCTGAAGTTATCCTGCAGGTCAGGGGTGGTTCTCCCTTTATCATAAACAGCAAACAGGCTGTTCTTTTTTTTTTCTAGGGATTTCACTGTTTTCTGCTATCTGGATTTTCCCAAAGATCCGCTAAATCCTAAACTTCATCTTGGTCTGAAGAAGGGCAAGTCCTCTCTCCAGCTCTTCATTTGCTGACTCTCACTGATGCAAGAAGAATGAAGTCTCTTACCTGCCTTCTCCTAGGACATCCTGGGAGAAACTGTGACTGCTGGTGTGTTCTCAAAACTCACCAACATGATTCTCCTTGTGGCTATATGACTCTAGAAAGGGAATTTAAATAAAATGATAACAATTAACAGATACTTTTATGTAAACAACCGGTAGTGACCACTATACTAGTTGGTTTGTATTTACCAAATTCCATGTCTGAGGCCAAGAATTTATCTCTAAATCCTCTGGGATAAAAATCCAGCATCTCATCTTTTTTTCTGCCAGCTGTAAAAACATTGCAGGAAGGTACTGAGTACTTTTTGTTGTTGTTTTCTCCTTTCTTTGAATCTTTGGCTTTGACAAGCATGGAATGAAAATCATATAGAGCATGGAGCTTATAGCAAAGGAGAATGTAGAGGCAAAGAGAATAAAAATGCTGGGATAATTTCTTGAAAAATTACTTAGAGGAAGATGTCTTATTTTTGTGTCATATAACCTCTCACATGGTTCTTGAATGTTGCTAACTATGGCTAGCAGTGCGATTTCCAACAAGTAAACTGTAATCTAGCCAATGCTGTGAGAGTTGTACATGTCAACCAAGGGTCAAATATGGCTATACCTGTCAAGAGTTGCAAAGTAAATGTAGAATCTTACTTTCCCGAGGTACATATAATTTAAGTTTCTTGTTCTGTTCTTTACTGTGGCATTATTAAAACTTAAACCCACGCCATTTTCCTACTGAGTCACTTTCAATGCATAAGAATATGCTTTCAAGCTATAACTGCATCAATACCTGTGATTGTACTTTCTATTGAGAATACAAATGCTTTTTCCCCCCTTCAGAGCTGTCAAAGCTTCTGATGCTGAAGAGTTGATCTTGGAAAATGCAGGTTCAGTCCTGCTACCAGCAGAAAGTGAAGAAAGTCCTTAATTTCACAATCGATGTCATCCTAACGATGCCAGTATAATAATGGTGCAGAAAACATACTTCATTGATTTTATCTTTTTCTATTTGGGAAGGCAAAATTAATCATTCATCTGATCTGTGATGTGACAAGTTAGATATCATATTCTGTTAAAATCAGTTAGTTGTCGATCAAAATCAACAGTGCTTTTTCTTCAGATTGATTGGCACTAAATTCTTCATAGCTTAAGAAATTTGACATTTTATATAAGAACTCAAACAGCATGGAGCCACAATTTTATTGTCGATTATAACATGCCTGTAATTGACAAGTAAGTAAGTAAACACCTGTTTGGTGTGATCCATTCATCTTAATTCCATTGTGGTCCCATGCTTTTGCTTTAATTTTATGCTTGCTATATTTGGACCTGAAATAACTCCCCACAAGCCTTTCTGTAAGCAATATTAAAAACAAACTTCTTTGGTTAACTTTCTGTATTTCTCAGTCAGATGCTAGGATCAGATGCACAGCCACAAACTTAGTTTCTCACACTATACATGTAATATATTAATTACATAATTTACCCTATGTATATTTGGTTGCTACCAAATGTTGATGAATCTTTGTTAGTGGATTGTGTGCTTTTTCCATATGTAATGAGAGTTTGCGACACTGCTTCTGCTTGGAAAGTATGCTATAGTTAATGCATTTATTTTATTAAACACCAACAGAACTACATCTAGTTATTTCTAATCACTTGGTAGCTAATAAACATTAGCCTAATTTAATAAACCTAATTTGACATCATGATTTTTTCCCTTTGTATTAAATTTGAGCTCTAGAATTTAGGTGGCCAGACCTTCATTAGGTTGTGCCCCTATTTTCCACAGTACTTCCATAGTATTGATTTGGTCTTGTTCAAAAAAGGCAAGTCAATATACTTAATAAAGAAACAAAAATCCTCACTATTCACAGGTTCTATATTCTGAATTTGTAATTTTGTCTACTCGTTAAAATGTCTTTGCAGCCCCAAAATTAATACTTGTGGGCTTTTGGGTCATTTGCAGACATGTGCAGATTAGCCAAAAATTTGAGTCTCTTGGGCATGTTCCCAGCTGAGGTTGAACAAAGTGAATCTGCCTTCTTGTTTCAGGTCTTGGTCACATGGCAAACAAGTGTTTGTTTTGAGGGCTACTTAATGGCACATTTTTTGTATTTTTGTGATTTTTTTAGGTGATTTTTGCTGTTAAAATAGCCCCCAAGCATAGTGCTGAAGTGCTGTCTGATGATGCTAAATGCAAGAAGGCAGTTCTGTGCCACATGGGGAGAATTTGTTTTAGGTAAGTTTTATTCAGGCATGAGTTATAGTGTGGTTGGCTGTGAGTTCAATGTTAGTTCAATGTGAGTTCAATGAATCGACAATATAGTACATCCATAAAAAGGAAGAAGAAATTTACCAATCTGTACATGAGAATGCTCTGGAAAACGCTAAAGTAACTTCTACAGTATGTGATGAAGCTATGGTAAAGATTTAAAAAGACTTAATTTTTCAATTCAACTGATTAAAAAAAAAACAGTGGGTAGCATTATGACGCTGAAAGCCAAATAAATTTATGATCATGTTATCCAGTATCAGGAAAATATTAAACCTTTCTCTGGTAGTGCCAACTGGCTCTCATGTTTCAAAAGGTGCTAAGGTATGAAAACTGCTAAAATTATGGGTAATGTAGATTCTATGAATCAGGAGGCTGAAAAGGAATTTAGAAAATACTATTATATAGAAAAAGCATTCTGTGGAAGAGCAGGTTTTCAAAGCTGATGAGATTGGCTTGTTTAACATTAGTGAATGACCCATACAACTCAAATGGTGTTTTGGTTGAAGTGTTGTGACCATTGTCTTCCAGGCATCTAATTCTGTAGTGCTCCTTGGAGCAATAGTTCCGTACTCACTAATTCAGTGTTTGTGGTGACTTTATAAAGCATATCTACATTGAATAAAGAGAATTGACTGTAAATGAATAAATATATTCCATTGTATTCAAGTGTTCCGTAGAAATATAGAACACAAATCAATTTCTCATCATCATAAATAACAATGTAACTGATGGCAAAAATCTCATTTGTCTTTAATAGCTACTCTCTATATCATTTAGCTTATTTGAGAGAAGCAACATAACATAGACTATATTGCTATCTGATTAGTGAGATCAAGTAGGCTACTAAAAAATTCCCAACCTGAAAGGAAGCAGCACCACAATGACATAACCTCCTATATCAGTCAGGATTTCCTAGATTGCTGCAGTCTGTAACAAACAATCCAAACACCTCAGCAATTTACCATCACATTGCCATTTATGGTAAAGGAGAATGAGATTAGGTACGTCACATATTAATTCTTAAAATTTATGTTCTGTGTCTGGAAGTTCATTATTTCTTTTCTTTTTTCTTTTTCTTTTTTTTAGCCAAAGAAAGTCACATAATTATTCCCGTGAACCACAGAGTAGGATTTTTGGTGAACAGTAAAATAATGCTTCATATTCCCTTAATAATCATGAATTTAAAAATAACAGGTTGGGCGTAGTGGCTCACACCTATAATCCCAGCACTTTGGGAGGCTGAGGCAGGTGATCACTTGAGGCCAGGAGCTTGACATCAACCTGGCCAAAATGGCAACACCCCGTTTCCACTAAAAATACAAAAATTAGCCGGGCATGGTGGTGCGTGACTGTAATCCCAACTACTTGGGAGGCTGAGGCATGAGAATCGCTTGAGCCCAGGAGGCGGAGGTTGCAGTTTGCCAAGATTGCACCATTGCACACCAGCCTGGCCTACAGAGGGAAACTATGTCTCAAAAAAACAAAACAAGACAAAACAAAACCAAACAAACCCACAAAACTAGCAATGGAAAAGGATTGCAATATGTATACCACATGCGAGCAGTTGTGTTAACTCAGATTCATAAATATCAATATTTTCTACTATGGAAATCTAATTATTATAACTTTTCTACTTAGGCCTATCCTGCAGCTATTTGTTGCCATCAGGGTAATTACCAGTTCCCTAGCCTGCCATTTCATTGACTTCGTAATGTGGACTTTACCATCTATATCTTTCCATTTTTTGCCTTCCTTTTATGCAACTGCAATCTTGATAAGAACCAAAATATGTCATGACTTTGTGTTTTGATAATACTGTCTATTCTTCCCGGAATGCAGTTTCTATCATTCCCCCTTGGTTTGGTTAATATTTTCTAATCCTTTAAAAATTCCCTCACTCTTGGCGCTAACCCATTGCAAGACAGATTATCTCCTCTTCTTTGTTCTGAGAATAAACTATCATTATTGCATATTACAACACATTCCATTAAACATATATATATATATGTCCACCAGACTGCGAGCTTATTAATGGCACAAGAACGGTGTCTTAATTATATTTGCATGCTACTGTCTCATAAGGTACCAGAACATTTTAGATTATAAATACTGTGTTGAATAAATAAGTCAGCATTGAGTTCAGATCAAATAGCAATTATTTGTGTGTAATTTTATGTATCAATTCAAAATCATAAATCCAATAATATTCAAGCCCAATATTATGATAAAATTCAAGATACCTGTGTATTCACAGAACTTGTATATCTGGAGAACTCTATAAACTTTATAAATTAATCTTTTCAGCTACAGGATGAATGCTTTGTGATTTTGTTCCTGAAGCACTTCCATAAGAAACCACAAAAATAACTTTCAAAACATCCTATAAAATTAGCTTAAGGGTGAGTACTTGATAAATTTGGAAAAGCCTCTGACTTGTTCATGCATTATGCTCAGGAAATGCTACGCAAAGATGATTTTTAAGTAAGAAATTAGGACCTGAATGCAGGTACTGTTGTGACACTTACACAACACTTTGTCCTGATTTCTTGATTAATGAAAAAGTAAGAAAATAATGCAAATGACCAATTTTTCCCTTGAAGAATGAAGGAAGAAGAATCAAATCAGAAATTAGATCTTGCCTTGCTCCTATGACACTTTACAAAGACCTTCAAACACATTAGCCCGGTATGTTGTATTAAAATTTAAAACTATAAAACCTTAAGATTTATTTAAAATTTCAATACATTTCTTGTCTTCCATCCTGTCATTTAATGTTGCAGTTTTTCAAGACTTAGTCCTAGCTTCTTTTTCTCTATATTATGTATTTTCATCTATGTTCACTTTTTCAATTACCACTTATAAAAAGATTCTCAAATTTATGTGTAGTCTAAATCTTCATTGTTATCTAGACTTTATATGGAGACACTAACATACCATTTTTGGATCTATCAAAAACATATTACTCGATGTGTTCAAACTTATTCCTACTTTCCAAACTAGTTCTCTTCCAGGGCGATACCAGTCAGTGATCAGCACTATCATGCATCTAGATGGGGAAGTCAGAAATTCAGGAGTCTGTTTTGTCCTTCTCTTATGGCTGTAATATACAGTGCAACACCAAGCCCTGCATATTTTGGTTCTTAATTGGCTCTTCAATCCACTTCCCTCAACCTTCACTGCTATTCCACTAAAGCAAGACATTGTGAACCCACACCTGAAATACTATAATAGCCAACATTCTTCTTGACCCACAAACAAATATTCAAATTTGTATTAGGCTTCCCCAGAAAAACAGAATCAATAAGATAGTTATAGATACGTATATATATATATACACACATATAGAGTTATATATAGATATATGTATGTTTGTTTTAAAATATAATATAAATAGTACATTAATAACTATATTTTAATTATAAACATAAATATATTTATCTTAAGGTGTTGTCTCATGTGATTATGAAGGTAGGCAAGTCCAAAATCTCCATAGTGGGCTGGAGACTCAAAAAAGAGCTGATGTGCAATTCAAGTCAGAAGACTGCCTGTTGGTAGAATTTCTTCTTGCTCAAGGGAGGTCAGGCTTTTTGTTCTATTCAAACCTTCAGTTAAGTAGATGAGGCTCACTTATATTATAGAGGTCAGTCTACTTTACTTGAGGTCCACCACCTTAAATGTTACTTTCACCCAAAGACACCTGCACAGAAACATTCGGAATACTGTCTGGCCAAAATATCTGGGCCTATGGCCCAGCCAAGTTGACACATAAAATAAACTTTCACAATATTGCAGGCAGGTTTACACTTTTTTATTACAACTCCAGTCATGCTACCCTTTTCTCTATGAGGGCAGAAATAATATATAATTTTGTCTATATTTGCATTTTCTTCATCATACTATTTCAAGCACAGAGCACATCAAATGTAATAAATGTTGTTGAACAAATGGTGAGAAGCAAAAGAATGACCAAATACCCGGGTAAATTTCTGTGATTACCTGCCATATTTTAATACCAGCCACAAGAAAGAAGAACATTCACTGAAAAAACTATATAAGGACTACAGAATAATCTCATTAACACTCAGTAGGTATCTCCTTTTATTTATCACCTAAATTCTCTACATTCTCTTTGATACTAGCCTTCAAGATATTGAATATCTTGGTTCCTTTTTCTAAATATTTTTCACTCTTATTCTTTTAATGCATCCTCACATATGACCTCTGTAAGAGGCATTATCATTCATTTTCTAGATAAGCAAAATCAACTCGCATTAGTACACAGGACTTGATCAGAGTCTCATTGCTATTCAAACCTGGGAAACTACTGCCATCCAAGTTTTCCCAACATCTCAGCTCTCTCTTTTTACCTAGAAATTTTCGATAAATGGGTTTTTACAGTTTGTAACTTATTGAGTATGCAGAGAGTACACAGAATCACAGGCAGGAGGACTCTAGTAAGAAACTTGGCTAGTAAATGTCAGAAAGAAAACTCTTCTGTAGATTTTAAAACTAACGCAATCTGAGCAGCAGGAAGCTGTAGCATGAATTCTAGTAAGGGAGAATGGGAGCCAAGGAAACAAGATGAAGAGAAAGTTAAACAGCAGGAGGGTTTAAAAAGAAAACACAACTACAGTAGTCCCCCCTTTATCCCTGATGATAAGTTCCAAGACTCCCAGTGGATGCCTGAAACTGCAGATAGTACTTAACCCTATAATATATACTACATTTTTCCCATATGTACCTATGATAAAGCTTATAAATTAGGCACAGGAAGAGACTAAAAACAATAATTAATAATGAATTAAAACAATTATAACAATACACTTTAATAAAAATTATGTGAGTGTGGTTCTCTCTCTTTCAAAAGATCTTACTATACTGTATTCACATACTTTGGAACTGTGATTGACTGTGGGTAACTGAAACTGCAGAATGCGAAACTGCGGATGAGATGGGACTATTCTACCTTGCTCCAGAAACCAAAATAAGGTAAAAGAACAAAAGATAGAGAAGGGAAGGGTAATCTAAATAGCAGCAATAAAGAAAAGCAATGAATGTTAAGGAGACTATCAAGGTGAAGTTAGGTACATGTTGCCTTACAATAGAAAACACAGGGTCATGAAACAAAATGAGGTGACTCATGAAGCAAAGGCAGAAGAAATTAAGGACAAGTATTGAGACTTTTCAGGAAGGAAAGTGAGATCCCTGTCTCAGATTAGAAGAAAGACAGGAATTACTTTTACAATATAACATTGCAAATGAGAAGGGAAGATGGATGGTAGTCACAAAGCTGTTGATAATGATGCTATTAATAGAAGATTATTTTATATTATTACAAGTTCCCACCACTGTTACTTAGAGATGATAATAAATGGATATATCAAGTCTTGAGGAGAAAAATATATTTTTTCTCAAACCTCATAAATTCTTGGTTGGAATAAACCCCTTTAACAAAACACTTAACAAAATTAAAAACAACAGCTTTTTCATATACACATGGGAAATACCCAGAAAATGAGTACTTGTCAAGGAGGTGGCTTTAAATTCCAGTTAATGTAGCATTTTCAACAAAGAACAGTAAATTTTTAGAGAATTGACAAGACACAGGACAAGGACTTTGAGTCTCTAGGGGTGGCAACTTGTAGGAAGACAAATAACTGGCAGATAAAGGCTAATGCATAAGTCAGTGACTGTCAATTCCTCTGGTGCCATCTCTGGACTGTTCAGGGCTAAAGTCTTCAGTGGTCAGCCTTTGCTGTCCCTGATAGAAAGACGATGAGGGAAGCAGGATACTTCTCCCTTTGTATTAATAAATCTATGTCCTGATTTTTAGGCAAATAGAGGAAGGGCAGAGCACTTCCTTGCACTTGCTTCTTCTTAATTGCCTTCAGCTCAACAATCCTTATGCTGAAGAAGCATATTTTTGGGGGGCATGTTCTGTTCTTCCAAGCATCCCAATCTCACAAACATGCCAATATGGGGTTGGGATTATCAAGAATAGAACAGGACCACTTCTATCTCATAAATATTCTGTAGTTCCAGGAATTACATTTCTTGGGATGAGGAATATATTTTTTAATGTAAACAATATATTAAGTAGTATTTAGGTTCCCTGATAAAATTCTAAAAATATATTTTTCTTAAAATGAAACTAAATATTAGTTTTAGTTTATTAGTTTAGCATGCCCTCATTAGACACTTACACAATTAGATATGGTGTCATGACATGACTTGGACTCTGACACCACTGGACCCTGAGTTACTGTCTATTGTTTATTATTATTATTATTATTATTATTATTATTTACTCATATGGATCACTGGTGTTTGAGGACACACATTGAATTTGAAGAGGATGAGGAGATAGATGAAAATATCTTGGCAAATCTAAGTAGAGTTTAAGTTTGAAGCATTTTCAACTCAAGACTTCAGAGGTTGAAATCATTGATGTTTCATTTTTACCTAACTTGAGAAGTTATTAATTAAAAATATTTATTAAACAATACATGTGTTTGTATTTACGCTAGATGTGAGTGATCTCAGGTTGACAATACAATACTGAGTCCCTGACTTTAAGGAATCTAAATCTAGTTATAACTTCTGTTTTCTCCATAGATATATTATGAATAGTTCTCTTTGGTTCTCCCTGATAGAAACAGGGTGGCAGGAGCAGGATACCTTCTCTCTTTGTAAATCCGTATCTTGATTTTTAGACAAATAGAGGGAAAGCAAAGCACTTTCTTGCACTTGATTCTTCTTAATTGCCTTCAGCTCAATGATACTTATGCTAAAGAAGCATATTTTTGGGGTCATATTCTGTTCATAGTATACAAATATCTGAAGAGAGGACAAAGAAGAAACATAGTGAAAGGCAGAAAAACTTTTTTTAATGTGTGAAATAGGTGAAAATTGGGCTAGATGGGTAAAGAAGAAAGGGCTGATTCTGTTTCCTAGCACTGCCCTAATAAATTACCACAAATATAGCAGCTTAAAACAACAGAAATTAATTATCTCACAGTTCTGGGAATTAGAAGTCTGAAATCAAGGTGTGTGCAGTGCCTTATTCCCTCTAAAAGCTCTAGGAGAGACTCCTTCTTTGCTTTTCCCATGTTCTGAGGGCTCTAGGTATTCCTTGGTTTGCGATTGTATTACTCCACTCTCTGCCTGCATCTTCCCATGGCTTTCTCCTATCTGTCTCTGTGTCTTCTCCTCTTATAAGAACAATTGTCATTAGATTTAGGGCTAGCCTAGATTGCCTAAGATGATCTCCTTTCAAGAGCCTTAACTTAATTGCATCTTCAAAGACTTTTTCCAGTTAAGATGACATTCACAGATTCTAGGGATAGAGGTATGGAAACATCTTTTAGGAGGGCCCCATTCAACCCACTACAGGAATTAAAATAGGAACACTTTGTATTTGAGAGGACAGTTGTCGTGGAGTGATAAGTTTAAGAAAGAAAAACATCAAGAGAAAAAGCAAAACAAGCAGAATAATTCTGGAAAATAAGAGAGCTGTGAGGGAAGGATGAGGCAAATTCTTTTCTGTAGCTTTTACTTAGTATTATAATTGGGCACGGATATTGGTTGACCTTCAGAGGAAATAAGTAGAGGTTTTATGGGACATTAGTGCCATGTAATGACTATAGAAAATGTGAACCTATATCTAATAGGCTCTTCCTTTGTATTGGACTGTATGTTTACAAATCAGAAGTTTACTCTTCATGCCTTGAGGTAAAACAAAGGTTTTCACAATTATCTTATTATCAACCAGAATCATCAATCATCTGCAGAGCTTAAAAATAAAAAGGGGAGGTTCCAAGATGGCCAAATAAGAACAGCTCCAGTATACAGCTCCCAGCGTGAGCGACGCAAAAGAAGGCTGATTTCTGCATTTCCAACTGAGGTACCAGGTTCGTCTCACTGGGGCTTGTCAGACAGTGGGTGCAGCCCACAGAGCAGGGTGGGGCAACGCCTCACCCAGGAAGTGCAAGGGGTCAGGGAATTCCCTCTCCTAGCCAGGGGAAACCGTGACAGACGGTACCTGGAAAATCAGGACACACCCACCCTAATACCGTGCTTTTCCAACGGTCTTAGAAAATAGCACACCAGGAGATTATATCCTGCGCATGGCTCAGAGGGTCCCACACCCACAGAGCCTAGCTCACTGCTAGCACAGCAGTCAGAGAATGAACTACAAGGTGGCAGAGAGGTTGGGGGAGGGGCATCCACCATCGCTGAGGCTTGAGTAGGTAAACAAAGCCACCAGGGGAGTCTAACTGGGTGGAGCCCACCACAGCTCAAGGAGGCCTGTCTGTCTCTGTAGACTCCACCTCTGGGGGCAGGGCATAGCTGAACAAAAGGCAGCAGAAACTTCTGCAGACTTAAACATCCCTGTCTGATAGCTTTGAAGAGAGTAGTGATTCTCCCAGCATGGAGTTTGAGAGCTGAGAATGGACAGACTGCCTCCTCAAGTGGGTCCCTGACCCCCGAGTAGCCTAACTGGTAGACACCTCCCAGTAGGGGCCGACTGACACCTCATACAGCTGGGTGCCCCTCTGAGATGAAGCATTCAGAGGAAGGATCAGGTAGCAACATTTGCCATTCTGCAATATTTGCTGTTCTGTAGCCTCCACTCGTGATACCCAGGAAAGCAGGGTCTGGAGTGGACCTCCAGCAAACTCCAACAGACCTGCAGCTGAGGGTCCTGACTGTTAGAAGGAAAACTAACAAACAGAAAGGACATCCACACCAAAACCCCATCTGTACATCATCAAAGACCAAAGGTAGATAAAACCACAAAGATGGGGAGAAACCAGGGCAGAAAAGCTGAAAATTCTAAGAATTAGAGCACCTTTTCTCCTCCAAAGGAACGCAGCTCCTCACCAGCAGGGGAACAAAGCTGGACTGAGAATAACTTTGACAAGTTGAGAGAAGAAGTCTTCAGACGATCAGTAATAACAAACTTCTCCGAGCTAAAGGAAGATGTTCAAACCCATTGCAAAAAAGCTAAAAAAACTTGAAAAAAGATTAGATGAATGGCTAACTAGAATAAACAGTGTAGAGAAAACCTTAAATGACCTGATGGAGCTGAAAAGCATGGCATGAAAACTACGTGATGCATGCACAAGCTTCAGTAGCCGATTCAATCAAGTGGAAGAAAGGGTATCAGTGATGGAAGATCAAATGAATAAAATGAAGCGAGAAGAGAAGTTTAGAGAAAAAAGAGTAAAAATAAATGAACAAAGCCTCCAAGAAATATGGGACTATGTGAAAAGACCAAATATACATCAGATTGGTGTACCTGAAAGTGACAGGGAGAATGGAACCAAGTTGGAAAACACTCTTCAGGATACTATCCAGGAGAACTTCCCCAATCTAGCAAGGCAGGCCAACATTCAAATTCAGGAAATACAGAGAATGCCACAAAGATACTCCTCGAGAAGAGCAACTCCAAGAAACATAATTGTCAGATTCACCAAAGTTGAAATGAAGGAAAAAATGTCAAGGGCAGCCAGAAAGGTCGGGTTACCAACAAAGGGAAGCCCATCAGACTAACAGCAGATCTCTTGGCAGAAACTTTACAAGCCAGAAGAGAGTGGGGGCCAATATTCAACATTCTTAAAGAAAAGAATTTTCAACCCAGAATTTCATCTCCAGCCAAACTAAGCTTCAAAAGTGAAGGAGAAATAAAATCCTTTACAGACAAGCAAATGCTGAGAGATTTTGTCACCACCAGGCCTGCCTTACAAGAGCTCCTGAAGGGAGCACTAAACATGGAAAGGAACAACCAGTACCAGCCACTGCAAAAACATGCCATATTGTAAACACCATCGATGCTAGGAAGAAACTGCATGAACTAAAGAGCAAAATAACCAGCTAACATCATAATGACAGGATCAAATTCACAAATAACAATATTAACCTTAAACGGAAATGGGCTAAATGCCCCAATTAAAAGATACAGACTGGCAAATTGGATAAAGAGTCAAGACCCATCAGTATGCTGTATTCAGGAGACCCATCTCATGTGCAGAGGCACGCATAGGCTCAAAATAAAGGGATAGAGGAAGATCTACCAAGAAAATGGAAGACAAAAAAAAGCAGGAGTTGCAATCCTAGTCTCTGATAAAACAGACGTTAAACCAACAAAGATCAAAAGAGACAAAGAAGGCCATTACATAATGGTAAAGGGATCAATTCAACAAGAAGAGCTAACTATCCTAAATATATATGCACCCAAAAAGGAGCAACCAGATTCATAAAGCAAGTCCATAGAGACCTACAAAGAGACTTAGACTCCCACACAATAATAATGGGAGACTTTAACACCCCACTGTCAACATTAGACAGATGAACGAGACAGAAAGTTAACAAAGATATCCAGGAATTGAACCTGGCTCTGCACAAAGCAGACCTAATAGACATCTACAGAACTCTCCACCCCAAATTAACAGAATATACATTCTTCTCAGCACCACATTGCACTTATTCCAAAATTGAAATAAATAGTTGAAAGTAAAGCACTCATCAGCAAATGTAAAAGAACAGAAGTTATAGCAAACTGTCTCGCAGACCACAGTGCAATCAAACTAGAACACAGGATTAAGAAACTCACTCAAAACCACTCAACTACATGGAAACTGAACAACCTGCTCCTGAATGACTACTGGGTACATAACAATATGAAGGCAGAAATAAAGATGTTCTTTGTAACCAATGAGAACAAAGACACAACATACCAGAATCTCTGGGACACATTTAAAGAAGTGTGTAGAGGGAAATTTATAGCACTAAATGCCCACAAGGGAAAGGAGGAAAGATCTAAAATTGACACCCTAAAATCACAATTAAAAGAACTAGAGAAGCAAGAGCAAACATTTTCAAAAGCTAGCAGAAGGCAGGAAATAACAAATCAGAGCAGAACTGAAAGAGAGACACAAAAAAACCCTTCAAAAAAATCAATGAATCCAGGAGCTGGTTTTCCAAAAAGATCAACAAAATTGATTGACCACTAGCAAGACTAACAAAGAAGAAAAGAGAGAAGAATCAAATAGATGCAACAAAAAATGATAAAGGGGATATCAGCACCAATACCACAAAAATGCAAACTACCATCAGAGAATATTATAAACACTTCTATGCAAATAAACTAGAAAATCTAGAAGAAATGGATAAATTCCTGGACACACACATTCCCAAGACTAAACCAGGGAGAAGTTGAATCTCTGAATAGACCAATAACAGGCTCTGAAATTGTGGCAATAATTAATAGCCTATGAACCAAAAAAAGTCCAAGACCAGACAGATTCACAGCCGAATTCTACCAGAGGTACAAAGAGGAATGGTATCATTCTTTCTGAAATTATTCCAATCAATAGAAAAAGAGGGAATCCTCCCTAACTCATTTTATGAGGCTAGTATCTTCCTGATACCAAAGCCTGGCAGAGACACAACAAAAAAAAGAGAATTTTACCAATATCCCTGATGAACATCGATGCAAAAATTCTCAATAAAATACTGGCAAACCAAATCCAGCAGCACATCAAAAAGCTTATCCAACATAATCAAGTTGGCTTCATCCCTGGGATGCAAGGCTGGTTCAACATATGCAAATCAATAAACGTAATCCATCATATAAACAGAACCAAAGACAAAAACCACATGATTATCTCAATAGATGCAGAAAAGGCCTTTGACAAAATTCAACAGCACTTCATGCTAAAAACTCTCAATAAACTAGGTATTGATGGGACGTATCTCAAAATAATAAGAGCTATTTATGACAAACCCACAGCCAATATCATACTGAATGGGCAAAAACGGGAAGCACTCCCTATGAAAACTGGCACAAGACAGGGATGCCCTCTCTCACCACTCCTATTCAACATATTGTTGGAAGTTCTGGCCAGGGCAATCAAGCAGGAGAAAGAAATAAAGGGTATTCAATTAGGAAAAGAGGAAGTCAAATTGTCCCTATTTGCAGATGACATGAGTGTATATTTAGAAAACCCCATCATCTCAGCCCAAAATCTCCTTGTTGATAAGCAACTTCAGCAAATTCTCAGGATACAAAATCAATGTGCCAAAATCATAAGCATTCCTATACACCAATAACAGACAAACAGATAGCCAAATTATGAATGAACTCTCATTCACAATTGCTTCAAAGAGAATAAAATACCTAGGAATCCAACTTACAAGGGATGTGAAGGACCTCTTCAAAGAGAACTACAAACCACCACTCAACGAAATAAAAGAGGACACAAACAAATGGAAGAACATTCCATGCTCATGGATAGGAAGAATCAATATTATGAAAATGGCCATACTGTCTGAGGTAATTTATAGATTCAATGCTATCCTCAACAAGCTACCAATGACTTTCTTCACAGAATTGGAGAAAACGACTTTAAAGTTCATATGAAACCAAAAGAGAGCCTGCATTACCAAGACAATCCTAAGCCAAAAGTAGAAAGCTAGAGGCATCACGCTACCTGACTTCAAACTATACTACAAGGCTACAGTAACCAAAACACCATGGTACTGGTACCAAAACAGAGAGATAGGCCAATGGAACAGAACAGAGCCCTCAGAAATAATACCACAAATCTACAACCAGGTGATCTTTGACAAACCTGACAAAAACAAGAAATGGGGAAAGGATTCCCTATTTAATAAATGGTGCTGGGAAAACTGGCTAGCCATATGTAGAAAGCTGAAACTGGATCCCTTCCTTACACCTTATACAAAAATTAATTCAAGATGGATTAAAGACTTCAATGTTAAACCTAAAACCATAAAAACCCTAGAAGAAAACCTAGGCAATACCATTCAGGACATAGGCTTGGGCAAGGACTTCGTGACTAAAACACCAAAAGCAATGACAACAAAAGCCAAAATTGACAAATGGGATCTAATTAAACTAAAGAGCTTCTGCACAGCCAAAGAAACTACCATCAGAGTGAACAGACAACCTACAGAATGGGAGAAAATTTTTACAGTTTACCCATCTGACAAAGGGCCAATATCCAGAATCTACAAAGAACTTAAACAAATTTACAAGAAAAAAATCAAACAACCCCATCAAAAGGTGGGTGAAGGATATGAACAGATACTTCTCAAAAGAAGACATTTATGCAGCCAACAGATAAATGAAAAAATGCTCATCATCACTGGCCATCAGAGAAATGCATATCAAAACCACAATGAGATACTATCTCACACCTGTTAGAATGGCAATCATTAAAAAGTCAGGAAACAACAAATGCTGGAGAGAATGTGGAGAAAAAGGAATAGTTTTAAACTGTTGGTGGGACTGTAAACTAGTTCAACCATTGTAGAAGACAGTGTGGTGATTCTTCAAGGATCTAGAGCTAGAAATACCATTTGACCCAGCCATCCCATTACTGGGTATATACCCAAAGGATTATAAATCATGCTGCTATAAAGACACATGCAGACATATGTTTATTGCGGCACTATTCACAATAACAAAGACTTGGAACCAAGCCAAATGTCCACCAATGATAGACTGGATTAAGAAAATGTGGCACACATATACACCATAGAATACTATGCAGCCATAAAAAAGGATGAGTTCATGTCCTTTGTAGGGACATGGATGAAGCTGGAAACCATCATTCTGAGCAAACTATCACAAGGACAGAAAACCAAACACCACATGTTCTCACTCATAGAGGGGAATTGAACAATGAGAACACTTGGACACAGGGTGAGGAATATCACACACTGAGGCCTGTCGTGGGGTGCCGGAAGGGGGAAGGGATAGTATTAGGAGATATACCTAATGTAAATGACGAGTTAATGGGTGCAGCACACTAACATGGCACATGTATACATATGTAATAAACCTGCACATTGTGCACATGTACCCTAGAACTCTAAGTATAATAAATAAATAAGAATCCTGTGATACTTCCCCAACTCTCTTGGGTCAAGTTAATTTGGAAGCTACCGTCCAACTCTACAGGTAGGAGAATCCAATAAATATTATAAAATGTAGCCAAAATTATCCTTTAGAGGTGTTTAGCCCTGCTTATTGCCTAAGAGTAAATGAAAATTTAGTTACATTGCCACAACGGTATTTGAAGGTTCTGAGCCCCATATTTCATAGAAGTGAAAAATGTAAGTGCCTATAATAGTTATATACAGAGAAGCACTAACCCAACCCAGTCAAGTGTTTTGAACAAAAGGCAGCTGTATGGTAGCTATATGGTATGCCTCAACTAAAACAACTCAGAGATTTTCAGGAAAATAAATATTTTTGTGGGGAGACCTTATATTATAAGGAAACTTGGAGTTTGTATCAGCTTTGAAGACATGCTACACTAAAGTCACAGGGAGAAAGGCATAAGCTAAAGAAACATGTATCCTTGCTGTGACCCTTTCTTTCCTCTAACATTGACATTAGACTCACCCAGAGTCGAAGCATGTGCAACTACCCAGCAGGGACCTGCCTCAGTTTCCACTGCACTTGACTCAGCATTGCACAAAACCTACGTGTTTTTATTTTTTCCCTCATATAGTGGCCATCAGCTTTCAAATATGTACAATCTGTAGGCAAATAATATGTGCTTGATTTTAATTAAAACAAATTAAATATTAGTTTTATAAAAATAAACATGTGTACCTAAGATGATATTAGCATTTGCCTCAATTTGTAATGTGGCATGTGAAGTACTTTCTTCTTTAGAATTTGACAAAGCACTCAGGGCTACATTGTGAAACTTCAAGGTAGTGCTAACCCTCTACAGGTACAGACCTCAGCGCGAGAGCTGTCTTCAAAAGCAAGATTTGGAAGAGGACACAGAATAGGTTGCTGAAAGTAGGTTGGAATGTAATTCTTAATAGTATCCTTCTGTGGCCTCTTTAAAAAGACTAGATCTGTCTCTCTAATTAATAAACATCGGTATATTTGGTTGCATTGGTAATGTGTGCATCCTCCAA
This sequence comes from Homo sapiens, assembly GCF_000001405.40. Taxonomy (NCBI): domain Eukaryota; kingdom Metazoa; phylum Chordata; class Mammalia; order Primates; family Hominidae; genus Homo; species Homo sapiens. The sequence continues at coordinate 79,421,344 of NC_000001.11, forward strand.
AGGCTTCCACTCTGTATTATAAATCTTCTTGCTTCAAGTTATCACGGGAAGACTGAGGTGAACATATCTCTGTAACAACCTTACCACTTGCTTGTCTTATAGAGATTATACATCAATATCAACTGACTCAAAGAAAAAATTTGAAAAAACGTTTGGCAGTCAACTTAACTACGTCTGCAATGAGGAAAACCTGAGGATCAGAGACAGGAAAAAGGATGGAAGTGACACTTATTAGGAGCACTATGTATGGAATGGGATTCCCTCCATTGAAATTCATATGAAAGACACTGAAACTGAACATCTTTGAACTCTAATTCTTCTAGGTTTAGTAGCCATGGAGTATCACATATAAAAGGAGGTAAGATGTTCTGTTGAGTTACTACTGCCTTAGCCAAACATTAAGACACATTGCATGGCATACATAGAGTTGTATGTGTGTATACATGCATGAATGTGGGTAATTATTTTATAAGAAGGTAATGAAAGTTTAAGTGAGAAAACAAACTACATGTAGAAAAGAGATAAAAATATTTTAAAAAAGAAGCATAAGTGAAAAAAAAGAAAACTTGAATATTTGCCTATTTCTCTCTTCTTGCCACAAAAAATCGAACCTAAATTCCAGTGTCCAATGTCCTCCTGACAACTGAATCCTGGAAGAGGTGCTTTGAAAGACTTGGATGTTAATCTGAAACTAATTCAAGCCTTTTGAGTTCAAAAATTGGATTGGAAATCTTTTAAGAGCAGGCTTTCTCATGAGATTTCCATTACTTCTATTCTTACTGATAAGCCACAGGTATCAGAGAAACATCCATTTGTGTGCTATCTTTGGATCCTTCACTACAAGAGAAGAGGTACAGAAAAAAAAGGATGGGGCTTGCTTTGATTCAGGTTTCAGAGGAAAGTTTCAATCAATTCGAATTTTGTCTGAAACCACTCTACTATAATAGCTTAAAGTCTTTATTAGATACTCCTATGATGTTACCTTCAGTGTAATATGCCAGCTTTAAGAGAGGGAGTTGATCTGGTCTCATGGATAAGATCTAGTACTGGCTCTGTTCCTGACCTATGAAATAGACCTTGGATAAGTAATTCATTTACTTTGTTCCTCAGTTTCCTTACCTCCGTAGTGAAGCTAGTTACTTAAAAAAGCATTCTCTGTAACATGATTTGAGTTACTTGGTCAAAGTTGACATTTATATATGTGATGTTGTTATTAATACTTAAAAGCATTTTCGTATACGCTGGCTTTGCACATTTCAAGTGGAGTAGCTTGTGAGGAGAGCTAGCTATATGATAAGGGAATATGCCTGGGCTGTATATGGGTGTTTGGTTCCACATGTCCTCTAGTACATTTGCATAAGCTAATTTTAATGAACACATATGGACTTTTTCCCATGAAAAGTTTAAGAAATGTATATTCTTCTTCTTCTTCTTTCCTCCCTCACCCTGAACATGGCTCTGTCACTGATAAGTAATTTTTTATCAGCAGGAGAGCTTTCTTCTACTGCTGGTGTGATATATAAACCCTTGGGGCCAAATTGTGTCAAGCGTCTACCTTTTTCCCACTCCATGACTCAATGTCACACCTGCTCTGTGAAATTACAATGTCAAGGAAGCAGTGTTTTTCTTTTGTCCACTGACATAAAAACAGTCAGCAATACCGGAAATACTAGAGACTCACAGTAGCTTTTTGTTTTAACCTCATTGAGTCCTCTTAGAGACTTCAATTAATAGGATTATATATACTTTCTGAGAATTATCAATATACTTTAAATATAAATTTATGCTGCCAAGTCAACCCTAGAGGGGAAAATGAAAAACAATTGCAAAAATTTCTATTTCTGTAATAAGATGGAACATTTCCCCCAATCGATTCCTGCATTATAGGTCATAAATAAAAATATCACTAAGGAAATGTCTTTCTCAGAATGATGTACTCCCTGTGGCATGGCATAATGAGCTTGGATATGCTACAGACACTGAATAAGCAACAAGCTAATTGAAGATTCAAGTTTATTAAACTTGAATAGCATGATTTTAAGGACTTCTTTATATGGAAATAATGCACGGTTATAGTTTACTTCATTTATATTTTCTTTGTACAAACTAAAACTTAAAGTGCAGTCAGCTTTTATGTATGGTGTCTGCTTTATTTCAAAGACTGCTTTGCTCCTCTAACCTGATGTTCTGTAGACATAAATGAAAATAGAGTATATGATTTTAAGTTTTACTTAAGGTCAAAATCTAAGGCATTGACATTCTACTATGATGCTTAAGAGGTGATATGTTCTTTTGTAATAGTTATGGTATATTTGAGGCTATGTGCTAGTGGTAAAGTGCTATGGTCATGTGCTAAGAGTAATGAATATATATAGAAAGTGAAAGAGGCATTGGATTTTCTTTACTATATTGTTTACCCTTTCTAAGAAGTAATATATTAAAATAAAAAGCGATGCCATCTATCCCTAATTGTTGTCATTGTTTTACTATTATTTATGTTGTTTTAATTAAAAACATCACAGACAACTTTATTCATTTCCAATGCAGAAATAAGCAGCCATGAGATGGGAAATGCTTGATCTGGTCATGTCAATCCTATTGATTACACATTAAGATCACAATATGATCCCATGCATGTATCATGCCATTTCCAGTTACATATAAAGATGCTACTGTATTGTGCATACACACTCTCACACACACATACACACACTCACATTTGCTTTTAGAGCACATTATACTATGCCAGAAGATTAATGAGCACTATTGTAGAATGAATAAAAATCACTGATTAGAGAGAAACAAAAGTCCAAGCTTATTTATTTATTCATTTTTTTAGCAAATATTTATTGAACACCTAATGTGCCCCTGGCATGTTCTAGGTACTACAAATAGGGCATTGAATAAAAAGCAGGCCCCAAATTCTGTACTTGTGGAACTCATATTTCAGTGGAAGGAATTGACTACATAGTAGTACTTAAATAAAATCAGCTGGATGTTGTACAGTATGAGGCATATAGGATAAGGGTAAGAATAAAGATAAATAGGAGGACTAAAATTTAGACAAGATGGTCAGTGTAGACTTCATTGAGAAGATGTATTGGTTTTCTATTGATTTATAATAAATGAGCACAAACTTAGTGGCTTAAAACAATACAAATGTATGAATATTGTTCTAGAGGGGAAAAGTCTAAAATCAATGTGTTGGCAAGGCTGTGTTCCATCTTAGGACAATTAGTTTGTCGTTTCCAGCTTCTAGAAGCTGCCTGCTTGGCTTATGATTTCTTCCTTAAGTCATTCTACCTTGTTGCTTTCGTTGCCTCATCTTCTACTACTCACTGTGACCCTTCTGGCTCCTTCTTATAAGAATACCTGTGAGTAGATTGGGCCTGCCTGGGTAATCCAGAATAAAATCCCATCTGGATCTTTAACTTAATCACATCCGCAAAAATTCTATTGCCAAATAAGGTAAAATGATCATAGGTTCTAGTGATTAGGATGTTGCCAACATATTTTGGGGGTGGGTGGTACTTATTCAATCTGCCACTGAAGGTAAAATTTGGGTAAAGACCTGAGAGAACAAGGGGCCTAGCTATGCAATATATCCAGGGGAAGACCTTTCTAGGGAAAGGAAAAAATAAACACGAAGTTATTGATTAGGAGTATTCCTAATATGTTTCAGGGACAAGAAGAAAGCTGCAAGAGAGAGTAGTGAGGTCACATGGGTGACAATTTTTGTGGGAGTTACATAGAATATCTAGGATATGACAATAAATCACATAGAAAGAGCTTTGTCTTACATGCTGAATGACATAGGGACTTGTTGGATGGTTTTGAGGAAAAAGTGATGTTATCTGTCTAATGTTTAATGGGGATCACTCTGGATGAAAGGTTGAGAATAGTCTGAAAGAGGTCAGTAGTAGAAGCAGGAGATAAACAAGAAGGGTATTGCCATAATGCACATGAGAAATTATGATAGACTATATTAGATGATGGCAGTGGTTGTTCAGATAAGTTATCATATTCTGGATAGATTTTGAAGGTAGAATTGGCCGAAAATGAGAAGCATCAAGGATGACGCCATGCTTTGAAACTAAGAAATGAAAGGAATAGAGCTTTCATTAACCGAATTGGAGAAGGCTATGAGTACAGCCAGTTTTGAAAGGAAGATCCAGGGCATAGTTTGGGGTGCATTGAGTTTGGAATTCCTATTAGTCATACAAATGGAAATCAGATTAGAGTTACAGTATGAAGACATAAATTCAGAAATCATCAGCATATAATGATTTAAATCCCAGAGATTGGATGAGGTCACCTAGGGATTAGATGTAAAGAGAAAAGAGAACATTGCTAATGTTTCATATTTAGGGCCTTTAGGCACTCTAAATTTAGAGGTTGGGCAAGGCTGGCTTCCTGGACTTAATATCTGTATAGTCGCATTAGGCCTCACACACAGAAGGGCCTCAAGTTTGTTTTAAGTTTCTGTTCTTTGCCTTGAAATTCTTGATTTTTGACGAAGGAGCCCCACATCTTCATTTTGCACTGTGCTCCACAAATCATGTAGCTGATTCTGGTTGAGGAGTAATAAAGGAACCAGGAAAAGAAACTAGGAAGTGGCCAGAGAAGTAAAATAAAAATCAGGGAAAAATGGAATCTTGGAAGCAAGATAAATAAAGAATTGTTGGGAACAGAGAGCGATACATCTTGTCAACAGCTGCTGACAGGTCAAGTAAGGTAAAGACTGAAAAATGACTACTAGAGATAGCAATGGGCAAGTCTTTGATGTTTGAGAGGAACAATTTTATTATAGTGGTAGAAGGAAATTCTGATTGGAGTGAATTTATTTAAAATTTCCAAGAGAAATTGCCAAAGAACTTTGCTCTAGAGCAAATAAAGAATGAACTAGGTGAGAGAAAGAGAGAATAGAGGGGTAACAGCATGACTGTATATTAGTTACACTGATAAGAATAGAGGAGAAAGGCGATGAAGCAGGAGAGGAAGAGGGAATAGTTGCTGGAAGAATGTTTTCCGTAGAAATGGTCTCAGAGCCAGTATACAGTAGAAGCACTGGCCTTAACTAGCAGCACAGAAGGATCAGTCATAGTAACATCCTAAAAGTTGCAGTATGTTGGTCCTGACATTGAAAGTGCCGTAAGACTTCTGACACTATCTGTCTGGATTCACCACAAGAGAAAAAAAATGTACTGTGAGAGTTAACAAACACATCCACATTGTCCCTTTATTTATGAAGTAGGAAGGAAGATAGTCAGCTGAGAGTGAGGATAAAGAAAGACGTTAGAGATCTGAGGGGAGAAAGATAAGCATAAAATAGTTTTTTTAGGACAATAGAAGAGAGGAGCTGCAAGGAAAATATAGTGTGATTCGCAGGTAGTACTAAGGGTCTACATGTGTTAAATGATCATCAATTTAAAGTTTGTCTACTGTGTGTTTTCTTCTTCCAACCTCAGCTGGCTGCATCAGTACAGACATAAAGAAATACAGTCAGATGTAATAAGAGTTGTTTTATCAAGGGAATGTATTAAAACAATAGATAAAGTAAAAAGAGGTGAGGTTAAAAGCAAGGTACAGTAATAATGATGTTTATGAAATGTGAGTTACATAAGAAAAAAAAGAGGACATAAATGGATTGAGAAACAGTGAAAGTATGGTGGAATCAAGGGATTTAAGGTACACATGGGAGTGGAGCATTGTTGGAGTTGAAATAACAGAGGAAATAAACACAGAAGAGACTAGGAGACGGCATAGGGCAGGATGTTTGAAATTGTACTGTGGAAGGGTTGCCACTCTTGATAATAATAAGGTAACAGGATGACTGTGGGACTGAGGGGGCTGAAATTGTGTAGAGAGCAAGTTAATTGAAGGAGACAGGGATCTAAGGGGCTACTGATGAAGAAATAGTCTATGTAAATACTATGATCACCAAAACCAAAGAATAGTGTTGGAGAGAGTTATCAACCAGCCTGGTGTTAAAATATTTGGGAAGTGAGTCTTGTTATTACGTGGGAGATTGACAGATGGCTACAGCATAGAAGACAGTGGGTGATCTGGTCTATAATGAGATTGAAAACAGAGACTTTTCTTTTTTAATACATGAGGAAAATGATCTGGAAGTGGAAACATGGAGTATGAAAGAAATATACCCTATCTCCAGAAAACATGTTCTAAGAGATTTGAACGAGAAAACAGCTACCATTTAAGAGGGATCTACAGACAATTGTATCATTAGAGAAGAACAAAACATCAGTTAGGGAACAAAGGTGAAGAGAATATTCACAGAAAAGTTTGAGATTAATGATGATTTTAGTAATGATGAAGCCACTTAAAATATCTTTTCCTTAAAGTGTAAAAGGCTTTAATGAATTTAAAAAGATAGGAATCATACAGAATATATTCTCCAGGAATTAAATATAAAATCAATTACTTCAAAATATCTAAAAATTTCTAAATAGGTAAAAATACACCAACATATTTATAAATAATTGCAAGAGAAATTAGAAAATATTTCAGCATTGAATAGAAATAAAAGCAAAAAATATCAAAATTTGTGTGATGAAGATAAGCAGAGCTTGGGGGAAGTTTGTGACTTTGAATACTTATATTAAAATAAAGAAAAATTTCACATCAATGATTTTAATTCTCAATATTGGAAGCTAGGAAAAGAAAAATAAATCAAAATAAGTAGAATGAAGGTATTAAAGAAGATCATAAAGCAATGAAATAGAGAATAGATAAGCAGTAGAGAAAAATAACAAAAAGAAATAGATAAATTAAACTTTTTTTTTTTCTCTTCAACAAACGTCACTAAGAAACCGTTGGTAAGTTACTTTCTGGGAGAGAATTTTTTGGTATGTATATCTCAGTACTTTTATATTTAGAATAAACAAAGAAGTACAAAAATTTTTAAATAAGAAGACAAAAAATACAATGAACAATAAGCCAAAGGTTAAGAAAACACTTCACAAAAGAAGATATATGGATGACTGGTAAGCATATGCAATATTTTCAACAAATTTAGTAAATTCAAATCACAGTGAGAGACCACTACATATCCACTGGAATAATCAAAAAGATGAACCGTGTTCAATCAGTATCAAGTGTTGGCAAAAATGAATTATCGGAACTCATTGTTGAAGGCGGTATAAAATTTTACAACTACTCTATAGAGTTGTTTGGCTGTAGTTTATAAAGTTCAACCTATGCATACCATAGGACCAAGAAATTATACAAGTAGTTATTTACCCAAGAGAAAGAAAAACATTTATCCATAAAAAAAAAACCCTTGTATACAAATGTTCATAGAGGTTTGGGGAAAAAGGAACCCACATGTCAACAAGATAAGCTTTAGTATGGATAAACTAGTATGTTCATATGATGGGTCACTATTTATCTATGAAATAATATCAGTTACCAAGATATACAACAACATGGAAGAATCACAAAAACATTCCAAGTGAAAGCAGCCAGATACATAAGATTATCTACTGTAAATTTCATTATATGAATTACTAAACAAGTACAATTAATTTAAAATGATGGAAATCAAATCAATGTTTGCTTGGAGAGAGGAATAGGAGTCATTTGGATTGAGAGGGGGCATGAAGGAACTTTTTGGGATGACAGAAATATTCTGTATATGGATTAGGACAATGTTTACACAGCAGATACATTTGTACAATTTGTCAAACGTTAATGTTAATGTACATAAATGAAGTTAAAAAATGAAAGTTAATGCATATGAAGTTACTGCATATCATGGAAATCAGCAAGAAAAAAATATTGTTTTAAGAAGATAAAAACATTGTTTTTTGTTTAGTACTTTTTGTAATTCTTGGGTTTGGGTAATTTCAGATGATGACCAGCTTTGTTTAATATCTTATGGCATTTTCACAAACAATGCAACATTATTTTTAAAGACATTTCTATTAACTTGATAAAGCAGATTAGTTTTTAATGAAAATATGTCCTTTGGTTCTAAAATATGTCTAAAGAAAATTTTATATTTTGTAAACTTATTTCTTACTCTCTCTTGGTGGCTAATGAGATTTAATTAAGTTTAATTACAAAGTTTATCATAATGACAGAAAAGTATATAATCTTTTTCATCTCTATACCTCATCCTAATTCTCTCAGGAAAAAATAAAATTGGTTTCTGTTCTAAGGAGTAGGGAGTAGAGGTACAGATGATGATTGAATAAAGCAACATCTTCTATATACATTTCTTCGTATATATTTAAATTAAGGGGCTTTCATTATCCTTGGACCAGCAACATAATATAACTACAAATAATTATTTTTTGTTTCCAGAATCATTTCTGCTTTTAAAAAGTTTGTGCTCTCATAGCTTACTTTTTATTTTTATTTTTAAACTTTCTGTTGGTTGCACAAGATTATCTTATTCTGAAAGACTTCCTTTTCTTTCTCACCAACCAATCCCACATGCGTAGTGGGTCTGGTATTGGAAACGAACTTCGTAATTTTTCTGGATATACTCAGTGTATAAGATGTCCTGTTTCCTCTGCTTGTATTCCACAAACTATTTTCCTCATCTTATTTATTGAAGCTAATCTGTCCTTAAGTGGATGAGATCATGTTTATGCTTCAGAAAGCTCTTTCTGCTCTGACTGGATGTTTGCGCTCTCATTTTAATCTTTACCCTTTACTCTCTCAATGTAGCTCACCCTACAAAATATTTCCCTCCTACCTTGGGGGAAAAAAACACCAGATAAGAAAAGATGTTTTTTACTCTGCATATAGCATTTTGTCTAATATAGTATAATTGTGTAATAACTATTCATGGGACTAAAGAAAAATTAATGTTGGAAATTTTCTTCCTAAGAAAACAATTATTATGTTACCTATATTGAAATGAATTTCAATATATGGGAATAGTGAGGTCTGGAAAATTGATACTTTCAAAGAGCATCATGAAAATGACTTTTTGAAACAGGGAACAAATCCATAAAGAAATCTAGCAAGATTTGAGATAGCGATGCAGGATTTTTTGCTCCTTAGTTCAGCTAAAATTCAGGTTCTTTTCACACGACCAGGAAAAATTAGGCAGGCACCCGGAAATATTGAAAGGTAAGAAGAGTGGAATTTATTGTTAAGAAAGCTCTCAGCCAACAGAAAGGGGTCCTACCAACAGGCTCCCACCTCCCAGATTGAATACCAGGCTACCACACACAGCTGAAGAGTCCAGGCTCCTCCCTGCTATACTAGGTGAGAATTCCCCGTGGCTCCACCAACTATCCCAGCGCGCAGGCGGGCCGCCAGTCCTTTGTGGGCGCTCAGAAACAAGGTCCTAGGCAGGTTCCCTTATCCGCACAAAAGCATCTGATGTAAACACTTGGGCGGATCGGAGATTCTCCGGGGACCTTCGCTTATCTGCCTCCTGCATCTATCAATAGGATGACCCTAGGAAAGAGAAATTTGTATTTCCTCCATAAACACAATGAAAAGTTTTGTAAAATGGATGAATGGTATTTTTTGCTTTTGGTTGTGTCATTTACGAGTTTGAAGAACTAACTAAAATATCTGCTTTTTTCTTTAGAGCTCGAGCAAAGAGAGATAGGAACTTCATCCCTCAGTGGACTCAATTTCGGCATGACATCAGAATCAGAGTAACATTTCATTAAAAAGAAGAAAAGAGGTAGGAGACTCTAACAACAAAACAGGTCATAGCGTTCCTTTATATTCGAACAACAAAAAAACGCTTTTGAAATGTTGTTGTTTTCTTCTTTATTTTCATAGGAATATAGAAATCTCCTTTTTGGTTAAAGCTCATTTTGTAGACTTGGTAGAAAATCTGGACCTATTAATTTCAATAGCTCTGGTCATTGGGGTTCTAATTATAACCAGTTAAAAACAAGCATATATCTGTTTTATTTATTTATTTATTTTTTCCTGCTGGATGCTACAGATGGATTGTGCCTCTGGCAGTTTATAACTCTCTTTTAAGAAAATACTTTTCAGTATCATTTATAGCAATCAGAATAGATATTCTTTAGCAGAATGGATAATCTGTATTTATGCTTGAATTAGACAATGATTATGTGTGTTTTCATTATTGCTCTTGCTCCATGTCCTGGTGAGATTACTGAAAGAAGGTTCGTTTCACCAAGTAGGAGAGCATGACATCACTGATCAGTGGAAACATCTGACTTCCGGCTGACTGTCACAACCTCTCTGGGGAATTCTGACATGTTTCCAGGGACATTCAAAGCCCTCCTTTGTGTGCAATCAGCCAACCTGTAAACTTCCATGTGGAGGAACTGCACCATTAAACCATATAATATGAGAAGCAAACATGATTAAACTAGAATAAGGCTAAGATATGTAGTCCACAACCTGCCTCACATCCTGAAGGTGGCACACCAGGTCATGTAAAAATTGGGAAATCTGTGAAAAAATTTTCAGCATAGTGTTCTTTCTCATTATATTTTACAATACTAGTAATACTCATTATCTTCACTATATTAACTAATATCAGTTGAATGTTCACTATGGGCCAAGCACTATACTAAGCACTTTCTACGAATTATCTTAAGTAATACTGGCAAGAATGCTGTGTCAGCTTCCCATAAGGCTTAAAGTTATTATTTCTCTCTCCTAGTCTGCACCTCATTTCATCATCCCTAAGAAAAGCTTCCAGTCAGGGTGAGGTACAAGATGAACACTTGTTCCCTCCTGGATTGCAGTCATAGTGATTATCACCATGGCTGAATTCTCCTGTGGAACAGTGCTCATGCATGCATCTCTTTCACAGAAATGGAAAAGTAAACTCAAGGGAATTGAGTTTACCACCAACTAGTGTATGACCTCTTTCTTAACCTTTTTCACACTCCTACTTCCTTACCTGTAAAGGGAAATACTATTTTTTATCTTATAGGCCTAAACTTTTATATATTAGGAATTGAGGAATGCAAGTTAGTGCCTTCAGCTCAGAACATTTCTTCCATTACCCAAATAAAAACATAATAAAAGAATAATTTTTGTTTAAAAATATTTTCCTTTGCAAAATCTTCTAATAAACACATATTACCATATTTATTTGCCCTCAGATAATTATGAGACTTTAATTTATAACTCTCTGTGAACACAGAGTTTCCTGGGGGTGATAGCATTAGAGAGGCAGATAGAAGAACCAAAAAAGGCTCAAGTAGTACTGAAGAGGGAAAATACACACACACACACACATTTTATCTATGTCAAAAAACATTGGTGCAATGTCTATAGCACAACTTTCTGGGTTATCTGATCCTAATTATATGGTAGCTATTTTATAACTCTGAAAGTTATAGATGGCTGATAGCAATGCAAAATAATGTGTGTATGTATATATGTAAATGAATACTGGCTGGTGGAGAGAAGAAACCCTCACCCCAGGAACTACCATCTTTGTCTCCATTTGTACACTCATTTTAGTACTCCTGTCTATAAGTGTGTCTGTCCTTGGAGTCTCCTTTGAACTGGTTATAACACCTCACCAGTTGCCTCATTAGTGAGTTATTTAAATATCTTTAACATATGATTATTTTTATATCTGTAAGAAAGTCATGACTTTTACCTTGTTTGAAAATTTTCTTTTTAACACTCAAGTCTCAGTTCTGGTTTTATCTATCTTTGGACATGTTCGATGCACACATCTTTAATGAGCTGAGCCTCTACATGAGCTTGCACATGCCAAGCACTGTGGTAGACAATAGAAACAGCAAACACACTATCCTACACAGAGAAAGAAAAATGGCTGACTCAGAAAAATAATTCCTGTTTCCTGTAAGCCTCTCAGCCTCTTTTGTTCTTTCTTCTTTGCTTGCTTTCTTTCTGTCTTATGAAGTAAAACAAATGAGATGATTATTTCATTACGATGAATGATACGAGCATAGGTAAATTGCCTCCATTTATAATAAAATTGATAAAGTATTTAAGCTAAAAAGATTATTTTTCAATGCTACAAAGATTAAATATCAGTCCTTATCAAAAAGGGAGAAAAGTGACACACCACTTTGTTCTGATCGAGATTTTTACTCTAAAAATCTCAAAAAGAATTCCAAGGGGACAGAGTGGAGTGATTTGGTGACTTATTCTATGTAGGCAGGAAGAGAGTAAGAATCTGAAAGTAACTGTGGTACAAGACTGCCAATAATTGGTTCACTCACCATTGCCTGGGCTGACAGGTGAATTAAACTGAAAGATATGCCTGCCAGGTATTTGGAAGACTTTCTTCTTCTCACCCCATTATATGCTTTGAACTTTATGTTGTGTCATTGTGATAAAATAAAGACTCGCAGAGTAAAAAGCTAGCCTTTAGCTCGACAATTTAAACCATTTCTTACTTTACTGTAACACTCTATGTATTTTCTAACTATAAAGAGGGATAAAAACCATCACAGGGTGGACACATTCAATAATTTCTATTAAAAGTGGACATGACCCATTACTTTCACTGTGGCCTTTATTTTTCTGCATCTAGAGATTTAATTTTACGGGAATTGTAGAATAACTATGGTGCCATTATACATATAAAACTCAAGTATGAAAGCTATGGCTACAAAAGCAAAGTGTAAAATTTGATACTATTATCTGAATGTTTTCACTCCATTTATTCACACTTTCTCACTGGTATAATTAATCAAATTCAAAAAATATTTATCAAACATTTGACTCTGAGGGTATGGCAATAAATAAAAGACACATAGTCTTTGCATTCATTATTTTACACTGTAATTGAGGATTTAAGTTTAAATCTAAATATAATAGTTTTTAAGTTAAAAATAAATTTGAAATAGGCAAACAAAATTCATATATATGAATACTTACTTAAACAAAATTCTGACAGTAGGTCAGTGTTCTGCAGATAATTAAGATAAGGTGATGTTTAAAAAGTTATTGTTGTATATTACACCAAGCAGGAAAGGTCTCTTCAGGAGAGTCTTTCATTTAAGCTGTGATGAAAATGACAGAAAAGGACACAGTCCAGCAAACTGAGACGAAAGCTTCCCCCAAGCAAAGAGACAGCTAGGTAAAAGATAATTGAAATATGTTCAATATATTGTTCAAACTAATTATATGTTTAATATATTTTTAGATCTATATATAAAAAATTGAGAACGCTACCTCCTACTCAGAATGACTACTAACAATAAAAAAGAAAATAATGTGTTGAAAAGAATAGAAAGAGGTTTGAACCTTTGTACAGTAAGTCTTCACTTACCATCCTAGATTGTTCTTGGAAACTGCGACTTGACACAAAACGAGATAATGAAACCAATTTTACCATGGGCTAACAGATATAAACAAGGGGTGACTTTCCTACAGCATATTTCTGGTCACAGAAACATCACGAAACTTCTAAATAAAGCCCCCAAACACTTCTCATATTAAACACTGGAATAAATGTGGCCTATACATACATTTAAGACATTAGTACAAACAAGTAAGGTCATTATTTACCCATTTATTTCAGTTCAGTGTCGTGGGTTCAGTTCAGTATCATGAGTCCCCAAGGCTCAGAGACCAAGGCAGGAGCGCGCCCTCGACAGGAGGCCATTGCGTGGTAGGGTGCACTCTCACACACACCCACACTCACTCACACTGGGACGACGTAGACACCCCAGTGAACCTAATGTTCATAGCTTTGGGATGTGAGAGGAACCCAGAGTACGTGGAAAAAACCCATGCAGACATGGAGGGAACGTGCAAACTCCACATGGCCCTGGCAAGGAATAGATTTTTTTATTCTCATCTACATTATAATAAAACGACACTGGACGAAATGCCGAGATTGATCACACTACAAAGGGACTATCTTAGCACTGTGGAACTGTGCATTTAAAAAATAGGTAAGATGGTAAATTTTATGCCATGTATATTTTACTACAATTTAAAATATATGGAAATGTCTAAAAGAGCCGTTTTTTAAGAGAAGAACATGCTATTTAATATGTACCCATTTTTTGTTTTTTCAGCTTTTAATTTAGAGAGAAACAGCTAACACAAGAGTCTTAGGAGACACAGCAATGAAAAGGGAGCCATTCCCGAGAAGCTGCCTTATCACAAGGTGGATAGGGAGAACAATGTTCAGGGTCTATGTATCCGTTCTCCTTCCCAAGAATGTCCACTACCTGAAGGCAAAGCTCTGGTTTGATTTATTCACTGTTGTTTTCCAACACCTAGCACAGAACCTGACAAATCATAGACACTCACGAAATATTTGTTCAGTTAATTAGTTTGTTAATAAAGAGAAGATACTGCCATTGGCTCAAATAGTAATCTGTTCACCTTTTTTACTTTTTCCATTTTGAGGAATATAGCTCAGGGTTATATATATATATAAAATGCACACAAATCAAAGGGACAAGACTTTTTTCTTTGTTTTCTTTATCTTTTTTATCTATGAGGAGGGAGGAAAAGTGATCATAGAGGGCTAGATGATGATAACAAGTTAGATCAAAATGTCAAAGTGTTTTAAAAAGTGGTAAGCAATAGTACTAAGAACTCAAATGAAGATAACGTCTAGAGAAAATAAATAAAGTTTAATGTTGGAACTTTTCAGCTGAGAGTATGCAGAACTTTAAGAGGACTTCTCATTGTCTAAGACTCAGCATTGAGGCCACTCCCTATTTCAGAGCTGACAGTAAGGACTCAGATTTGGAAACCTGGAGCCTCAGCACTGAAGAGAAGAGGGTGTGGGGAAGAAGAATGGTGGATATTAACCCTGAGGATTTTTTGAAAACTGGGATATTTCGATAGTAGCAGATATTTAGTTAGAGATAACTGATACTTCATTGAAGAACAACAAGGAAGGCTCCATTTGGTACAAAAATACAACATTTCCCTAATCTGGATTAAAACTTCCATATTTTTAATAGAATGGTGGTTCTCAAAGTTTACAAAGATAGGTATCTGAGAAACAAACATAAATTGCAGATCCCTGGTCTCTACTCCAGACAGTGTTATCTTGAATCAATTTTTATTTTTTATTTTTTTATTTTTTTAGACGGAGTTTCTCTCTTGTTGCCCAGACTGCAGTGCAATGGTGCAATCTCGGCTCACTGCAACCTCCGCCTCCCGGGTTCAAGTGATTCTCCTGCCTCAGCCTCACGAGTAGCTGGGATTACAGGAGTGTGCCACCACACCCGGCTAATGTGTGAGGTAAAATAGCATGACCACAATGCTTTAATTCCCATTTGTAGACAGGTAGATTATTTCCACATTCATCTGTAGCAAAAATATTAGATTAAAATATTTGTAATAATACTTGCGGCATAAAACTATACTGCATATAGCACAATTTATAATTGATAAGATGCGGAACCAACTAAAGTGCCCATCAACCAACGAGTGACTAAAGAAACTGTGGTATGTATACATCATGGGATACTACTCAGCCATTAAAAAAAACCAAAGTAATGTATTTTGCAGCAACTTGGGTGGAGCTGGAGACCTTAAGTGAAGTAACTCAGGAATGGAAAACCAAATATTTATGTTCTCACTTATAAGTGGGAGCTAAGCTATGAGGATTCAAAGGAATAAGACTAATATAATGGGCTTTGGGGACTCAGAGATAAAGGTTGGCAAGTGTGTGAGGGATAAAGGACAACATACTGGGTATAGGGTATACTGCTTGGGTGATGAGTGCACCAAAATCTCAGAAATCATCACTAAAGGACTTATTCATGTAACCAAACATCATCTGTTCCACAAAAGCTACTGAAATAAAAATAAAAAATAAAAAATATATACTGCATATATTATTAATATTATATATTATATACCTACCAATATATGAAGTATAGTTGTGAATGTATGTTGTATGGCTATATGTTACATATATATTTACAAATGTGCATATATACATATGTACATATATACGCCTATGTATATCTATCATCTACCTATTTCCAACAGTGTTGTACTGTGAAAATATACTAGGTGCCATGTACTATGGAAAGAGGAATGAAATAATAAATAAACAGACATGGAATTGACATTTTAGTGGTTTCAAAAGTCAGTAAACAGGTTTATGCTTAAATAATATGCCTGCATTAAGTGCTATAAAGAAAAAAAAAGTGCAGTAAGAAAAAGAAAATTGAGGATGGTACTATTTTTAGATAAAGACATTTTTAAATAAAATTTATTTAAGATAAATCTTGATAAATTCTGTCAAATTTTTCTTAATAATGCTCTAGTTTAATGTCTTCTCATTGTCACTGAAGTTCTTTAATATTACTATGAGCTGTCCAAATATAAACTCCGGCCGTCTTTCCCTTCCTTTCTTCCTTCCTTCCTTCCTTCCTTCCTTCCTTCCTTCCTTCCTTCCTTCCTTCCTTCCTTCCCTCCTTCCTCCTTCACTCTCTCTCTCCCTTCCTCCCTCCCTTCTTCCTTCCCTTCCTTCCTTCCTTTTTTCTTTCTTACTTTTCTTTTTTTTTGCTTCCCCATTATAGTCTCTCTTTTTTCACCTTAATGATGCATTCCAAAAAATTAGTAGATAAGCTAGATATAAATTTGGATTGTAAACTTGTATTTATTGGGCTTTCTCTGAAGTCATCCAATGAGACCTGAGAAGAGATATGCTTTGCTTTTACTGTATATCCCTGGTTCCTGGGTACTACCTATCAAAGAAGGCTTTATGGTAATTTCCTTAGCATGGACTGTTGTGTATGTCATTGTATGTGTGTATTCTGGAAAACTTAGACTCCGAACTCATATGAAGACAGAGTTGATATTACAGATTTGCAAACAAATCATTTTTTTTTCCTACTCAGAGCAAAGGCTAAAACAGATTAGGTTCCTTGTTATCTCTTTTGCTGGACTGCTTAGTTCTTCTGCACATCTGTCTCTGATGGTGTAGTCATTAGACTATTTGAAATTCATGCTTGAATCTGTTCCATATCTAAACTGCAGGAGCCAAAGCTTACATCCTTTCCTCATGTCTAATTCAATTCTAGCTCTGGATTGGCAGGATTAGTTCAGCCATAGCATCAATGATGGTATTACTTTGTTTTGATCTCCCTTTTTGGTTTCGACCTTTTGTTTTCATATGAGCTCAGCTATACACTTAAGACATATCACCATTATTAGAGATTTTGTATTAGGATGGTTTTCAGGATATCTAGTCTGATAATATTTGTAAGAATTGAAGTGCTAGACACTTTTCAGTATATTATAAATTTTCAAAAATAGAAATAAAGTGTTGTTAGCTATGCCCATTTGTTTTACCTAAAAAATACAGTGCTTTGAAATGAAAGGCTAATTTATACTAACAAGGTATCTAGACTGTCTGTTTTATTGACAGAAAGAAAAGACAAAACTGCTAATACTAAACTGTAAAATCAGCTGAGGAACTGTGGTCCTATTTACTATTCTTATCTATTTCTCCTCGATTTTATGGTACAAAAGTCAACCAGTCTCTCATATTTTTTCAACAAATTCAGGTACATGTAAGAGATTTCAAATATAGCTTAACTAGTGTCTCATCCAGGAAAGTCAACGTTGATATGAAATTCTGATTCTGCAAACAAGGATCTACCTCTGTTGGGAATACAGGAGATTTCTGGATGACACCATCTGCTCAAGTTTTTCAGTGGGGACCAATGTGCCAGGAAAGGACACAGAAATGTAGCTTCTGTGTGTTTGTGTGTGTGTTTGTGTGTGAGATTGCATCTCTGGAAAATCAGAGTCATAACTAAATTAACTCTTTCAAAATGTTCTTATCCTATCAATCACATATTTAAAATCCTCTGATGTCTTTTCACAGAAATTAGAATAAATCCCAAATTTCTCACATGGTCTGGCTCCTGTCTGCCTCATCAAGTTCATTTCTTATCATTGTGTCCCTCATTTACTAGTCTCCAGCCACATTAAAAACACATCAGGGATTTTGCCATTGTAGTTCTGTTTTCCTGGAATGGTCTTTTTTCAGATCTTCACGTGGCTACCCACATCTCAACACCGAGTTTCAGTTCAGTTGTTGCCTCTTCAAAAACTCCCTCCAAGGTTACGCTATCTAAAATACAGACAGAATATTTCCAGCTCCACTCATGGGTTTTGGTGGGGTTTATTATTTATTTATATGCTGGCAAATTTTATATATGACCCTCTTTAGAGGATTTAAGTTCTGTGAAGTCAAGAACTTTGTCTTTCTTTTTTTTTTTCAACTCTGTATTTTCAATTCCTAGAATGTTATCTATCACATAGCAGATGTCCAATAAATATTTGCTGAATAAATAAGTGAGTGGATGTTCCAGAGACATTATCCCAAGTGTTTCTGATACCCTTTTAGTGCAAAGCCTGCTGAGGTCAGGAAGAATTACTAGCTTTTTTTTCTTTCTCTTTTTCTTTTTTTTTGAGACGGAGTCTCGCTCTTTCGCTCAGGCTGGAGTGCAATAGCATGATCTGGGCTCATAGCAACCTCCACCTCCCTGGTTCAAGCAGTTCTCTGCCTCAGCCTCCCGAGTAGCTGGGATTACACGCACCTGCCAGTACGCCCAGCTAATTTTTTGTATTTTTAGTAGAGATCGGGTTTCACTATCTTGGCCAGGCTGGTCTTAAACTCCTGACCTCATGATCCACCTGCCTTGGCCTCCCAAAGTGCTGGGATCACAGGCGTAAGCCACCACACCTGGCCAAGAATTACTATTTATAGATCCCCTGCATGGTTCTACTTTCACATCTTTTATTTACTAGAAAAAAATTATTTTCTCTTATTTTTTATTTCTTTATTATTATTATTAATTTTTTTTTAGAAAGGGTCTTGTTCTTTCACCCAGCCTGGAGTACAGTGGTGCAACTTCTCTGGCTCAGACAATCTTCCCACCTCAGCCTCCGAGCAGTTGGGACTACAAAATATTAAAAAATACATACAAATTAGCTGTGCATGATCTTACTATGTTGCTCAGGCTAGTCTTGAACTCCTGGGCTCAAGGGATTCTCCTGCCTTGGACCCCAAAGTTCTAGGATTACAGGTGTGAATCACTACCTGTGGCACCTTACTTTTTAATGCATATGTTCTATCTTATAAGCTGGAGAATTTTAGAACCTGTTTCATCCAAAGAAGTTAATCTAATTTCTTTGCAGCCATTCAGGCAGAGCCAAAAGGTGAATAAGATAGTCCAGTTGGAGCAATATGCAAATGCCCATTGATTAAGTTGTACAACTATACGTGTAAGAGATCTAGAGCCTTTAGAAATAGCCTTGGAGAGTATGGAATACAGATTTAGTGTTCACTATTACAAGAACTCTCTGTATATGTGCCTGTGGGTCTCCATGGAAGTGATGGTTGAATGAAAGTTTTCCCAGCCTAATTATGAAAAGGTGAAAAATCAAAAGCAGAAGAACATATAGAGCTAAAGCATAAAGCAGGGAATCAAGTATAAGAAGTATCAAGGAAGGGTCTGTGGGCTCATTGTTTTGAGAGGACTGTCGATAGAGAAGGCAACCAGCAAAACTGAATGAATATACGGTTTGCAACTGACAGTGTTTTGAGTTCCATGGCTTTGAATGAGCTCAATAAGGAGCCTTCAACTTTGCAGCATAATGAATTAAAGAAAAAAACACCAGAAGGAGATGTGACTGGAGTCTTCCATGGTCACTGTTAGTTAGCATTAGGCTTATCCTTTAGTCCAGTGATTCTCAACTGGGGTCAATTTTGGCCCCCTGAGGGGTAGAAGGTCTTTCTGGTAATGTCTGGAGGGTTTCTTTGATTGTCACAACTCAGAGGTGCTTCTGGTACTGGGAAGGTGGGGGCCAGAGGTGCTGCTAAAGATCCTACAATGCACAGGTCACAGCCCTTTACAACAAATAATTATGCAGCCCACAGTGTCAATAATATTAGCTGAAGTTGAGAACCCCTACTGTAGGCAGTGATCACTTCTTGAAGGTTTTGAGAATGGAGTGACACATGGAAAGTATTATTTTAGTCAAGGTTCCTTCATTGCCTGTGACAGAAACCATCTTATGCCAAAAGGAGGCTTTATTATTAGAATGGAGGCATGTCTCATGAACCTCCAGAGAAGGAATTCAGACAAGCCTTAAGAAGAAACTGAAACCACAAAAACAGAGAGCTGTCGGAGAAGTTGCCTTCTATTTTTCTCTCTGTCAGGCAGTCTTCATTTTTGTCACTCTCTCGACTGTCTTTACTGAAAGCTGTTTCATAAAGATGTCAGAATCTAACTGCCTCATACCTCCCAGAATTAAATGCTACTTTGTTATCCACATTGATAATTTACCATTATCACTATTCCCTCTCTTGGTATGTTAAGAATAAAGATTTTTGCAGCCTAATCTGGGCTTTGAAAATCCAGCTCTCTACAGGGTCTTTCTCTTATTATGCAGACAGGAGTTGAGAGCTCCTATTTTCTCTTTCTGGCAGGAAACTGGAAATGAATCCTGCAAAACAGCCTCTGTCCGTATGCAAATTTTTCAACTAAAAACTTTTGCATACACACTGTTTAGTCACTTGTGTAAGTTTGTTCAGTATTTTCTGCTGTAAGCTACTTGAGGGCCACTGTATAACCAGGGAACTATCACCTTTGATTAACCTGACATAAGCAGGCTATCTAGGGTAACTATGTACTAATAGAAACAAATTAGAATTGTTGGACACATTTTTTTTTTTTTTTTTTTTTTTTGGAGTCTCGCTCTGTCGCCCAGGCTGGAGTGCAGTGGCGCAATCTTGGCTCACTGTAAGCTCCGCCTGCCAGATTCAGGCCATTCTCCTGCCTCAGCCTCCCGAGTAGCTGGGACTACAGGCAACTGCCATCACGCCCGGCTATTTTTTTGTATTTTTAGTACAGACGTAGTTTCACCGTGTTAGCCAGGATGGTCTCCATCTCCTGACCTCGTGATCCACTCGCCTCGGCCTCCCAAAGTGTTGGGATTACAGGCTTGAGCCACTGCCCCTGGCTGGACACATTTTTATAAAAGTTTATAAAATGCTTAATCTCAATTTCTGAATTTATCTTATTCAGAAAAGATTAAATTGTGGATTGTGGATGAGCGAAATCGTTCAGGAACAGGCACCAGTCTATGAATCAGTTTGAAAGACACTGACCCAGTCTGGCAATTTCAAAGGTATGATCTGTGGAACATAGGGCTCAGTATAGTCTTCGAAAATAAGTATTTTATGGTTGAATAGGTGTTATGGGTTGAACTGTGTTCCCCCAAAAGATATGTTGAAGTTTTAGCTCCAGGTACCTGTGAATGTGACTTTATTTGAAAATAAGATGTTTGGATATATTCACAGGTACCTGTGAATGTGACTTTATTTGAAAATCAAGTTCAAATGATGTCATTAGGGTGAGTCCTAATCCAACATGACTGGTGTTCTCACAAGAGAAGAGAAATTTGGACAAAGACAAATAGAGGAGAATGCCATGACACAGACGCAGAGGGAAGATGGTCATGGAAAGATGGAGACAGAGACTGGAGTTACGCCGCCACAGCTAAGGAATACCTAGTGCTACCAGAAGCCAGAAGAAGCAAAGCCACACCCTCCCCTAGAGGGTATGGAAGGAGAATGGCCCTGCCAATACCTTCATTTTAGACTTCTGGCCTCCTTGACTGTGGGATAAGTTTCTGTTGTTTTAGGCAACCAGTTTGTCGTATTTTGTTACAGCAGCCCTAGGAAACGAATACAATACGTTTAAAAAATTCTGCATGCTATTGCATCCTCATCTCAGAGATTTCTGATTCATATTAGCATAAGGATTCTAAGACTTTCTACTTTATTTTTTTAAAAAATTAACTTTAATTCTAAATCTGAGATTTATTTCACCATGAAACACATTTGTACACAATGTTTATATTCCAAAAAGCAAGAGTTCCTTGGATTACTGTTGGGGATTTTTAATTTTTCTGTTTATTTTATAAATGAACAAAAATTAGGGGCTATAGTGGTGATAACTGTTGGTCCTAACTCTCTTTTACCCGGGTTTTACCCTGGTTTTTTTACCATAACATTTTTACTGTAGTATAGCATAGAGATGTAGAGAACAGACAAACAATAACAAATCCTAATTTTCTTTTGAATGAATTGTTAAAATTGTGCAATTTTCTTCCCAGGACTATATCTCATATATATTTGGGATAAAAAGGTAGATGGGCACTGAGAGATTAAGTCTTTTCATTCTTATTTTCAAACACCCTTAAAATAGCTAAGAAAAACATAATATAAAATAAAATACATATAAGGAATGAATTCCAGGTGTTTTAGTTTATACAATACTATTTGAATAAAATACACAACTATGGAAATACAACAAAGTCATAAAGCAGCTATTTATTCAATACCTCCATATGATACCGAAAATAATTTTACATGTTTGAAAAATCTGGATAAATATTAAATAATTGTTAAAAATCCATAGCAGCATGTATTTTTTAAGAGCTAAAGTAGAATTTAGCACAGCACCAAAGCAATTATTTTATTTCCTTTCTGAATATGGAACCACTCAATATTAATAATAAGAAAATAGTAATCCAGAGCATTAGGCTAGATGATTGTTAATTACTAAGTAAAATTAAAATCTGAAAGCACTATAATATTACTTTACCAAATGACATTATTTAAAACACTATCATTATAGTCAAGGGAAAACAGCACTGAAATGTTAAACTCTGTTAATTTTATTTCAAATGATCAATGTCTTTTATGATCAGAGAGTTTATGTTAATACCGGGCTTCACATTTTCTTTTTCAGTGTATTAGCCAAAAGGCTTCCAACTCCTTTTTAAGCAGTAATGCTTCTTAGGGGAAATTTATACAGCCTGTACTGGCAATCCAACACAGAAAAACTACAAAGGCGATGACACTTATCCTGAGAACCACAAAACTATTTGAATTAAAATAAAAATAAGATGAACCTGGGTCCTTTCTCCAAATAAGCCTAACTCAGGTTTTAAATTGGCAAAACAACTTTGAGCTACATCAAAGTTAATTGGGAGAAATTTTGCCTTTCCAGCACAGTCGTGTATTCTCTTCCATTTAAGAGTTTAAGAGCTCATGCTGAGTTCTAACACCCTTCTGGAGCTACATTAAATTGAATGTTTTTTTCTTAATTTCTGACTAATAAAGAAATGATTATTGACCTACAGATTCTCCCTCTCTACTGCAATATTTAGACTTATGATTTTGCACAAATAGAGATTCTTGCAATATATAGAATTTTTAGGAAGCAGAGACCACATAGTAAACAATATGTATTTGTTTAATGGACAATTTGCTGAGTTCTATATGCTCTTGCATTACAGATAAGAAATCTGAGATCAAGAAAATTTCATGAAATATGTTCAAGGTCTCTTGAGTCCCCATAAGTGTGCTACAACATTCTTTTCAATATGCAATACTGCTTGAGACTAGATTAGACTCATTGGATAGTGTTTTCCAAAACCTCTTGGTCCAGTATTGTTCAACGATAAGTTTGCATCAGTTCCAAAATGGAAAAGAGCAATTTTTAATATAAATCTTTCTTTATTCATTAGTGATGGAATCCCAGTTTTATTTGGGCACTAGTCTATCCATAAAGATTACATTTCTTAATTTTTCATACAGATAGATGTGGTCATGTGACTAAATTCTAGCCAATGATGTGATACTGGAAGTAATATCCTGTTCCTGGGTATACAGCAAGATAGAAGAAAACTGAATAAGTAATGAATATGGTTCTCCATGCCAAATATGGACTGTCTCCAGTCATTTTTTTACATGCAATGAAAGTGCATTTCCACCATGTTAAATCGCTACTCTGTATATGTGTATGGGTTTGAGTTTCAGAGTGGGCAGTGGTTTTTTTTTTCTTTTTTATGCAGAAGGATCTAATATTATCTCATTCAGCAATGTGAGTTTCTCCTAAAACTCTATATATTCAATACAAAAACTCAGTCTTGGTTAGGCAATTATATCTTCTTTATCCTTTTCATATTTTGGAATTTAAAATATCTTTGTTTATCATATGAAAAAAAAGCTCAACATCTCTGATCGTTAGAGAAATGCAAATCAAAACTACAATGAGATACCACCTCACATCAGTCAGAATGGCTATTAGTAAAAAGTCAAAAAATAACAGATGCTAGCAAGGTTGGGGAGAAAAAGGAATGCTTTTACACTGTTGGTAGTGTTAATTAGTTCAACCATGTGGAAGACAGTGTGGCCATTCCTTAAAGACCTAGAGACAGAAATACCATTTGACCCAGCAATCCCATTACTAGGTATATACCCAAAGGAATACAAATCATTCTATTATAAAGATACACGCACATGTATGTTCATTGCAGCACTATTAACAATAGCAAAGACATGGAGTTAACCTAAATGACCAATAATGATAGAATAAAGAAGATGTGGTACATATATACCATGGAATACTATGCAGCCACAAAAAAGAACAAGATCATGTCCTTCACAGGGACATGGATGGAGCTGGAGGCCATTATCCTCAGCAAACTAATGCAGGAATAGAAAACCAAATACTATATGTTCTCATTTATAAGTGGGAACTAAATGATAAGAACACATGGATACATAGGAACAACCCACACTGGGGCCTCTTGGAGGGTGGGAGGAGGGAGAGGATCAGAAAAATAACTAATGGATACTCGGCTTCATACCTAGGTGATGAAATAATCTGTACAACAAACCCCCATGACACACATTTACCTAGGTAGCAAACATACACACCCTGCACAAGTGTCCCTGAACATAAAAGTTAAAAAATAATAAAAATATTTTAAAATCTTTGTTTTATGAAATAATTTTAAATAACTGTTAAGTTTTTGTTTACATAATTTGAAAAATTAAAAGTTGGCAAACCTATGAAATTCCAAAAATTTCCATTTTTATATTTTACTAAATGAAAAAATGTGGAGACAACCAATTTCGGTCATTTTTCATTTGCCAGCTTCACCAGATCAAAGAGAAATTTGAAACCTGCAGTTGAATTCATTAAGATTCTAAATAAAAGTCATTTGAACCAATGTTTATTAATTTTTGCATATATATACTGTTAATATGATTTCCTCAATAATGCAGAATTTTTTAATTTTATTTTACTCAAGATTTAAATGCCTGACCTCTTCTTATTAATGTTGATGATATTAATTGTGCTTAAAAGTCATACCATGAAATATAGGTCAATGGTTTATTAATTAGTGGCAATTTAGAATATAACAGTAAACAAAGCAAATAGAGTGAAAATGGCCTAGATATTTGTAATTAGGCAATATATATCCCTTCAAATGTTATTAGACAAAGCAATTCCATTTGCTTTTGAGGAAAATTAAGTTGCCATTGCAAAAATATAAACTCTATTTGAACCAAATAGTGGTGGTTTTGTTCTCTATTGCTAAGCCTGGCATTCTGGGACATCTGTTTTTTACTCTGACCACTGGTCATTAAGTACCTTTAAATACATTGATTGTATTTGCTGAAGGAACCAAACACATGTTATATAAATGTAATTTTTAAAAACTAATTTCCTTGGTCAAATTGTTTTAGTTTTATTATAGTTTTGGCTTTTAGAGAAACATTCAAAATTGCAGATTTAAAGTAACATGCCATTAAACAGGCCTGTGTATTCATCTACTTAAATAATATATATTTAATAAATTTATAGTTAGATTTCTTCCTGAGAAAAATGAAGAAACTGATGGAAATAAATTCAGAATCTTAATTAAAATTTTATTCTAGACAGTATTTTCTAATGTCATTTCATTTATTTGTTTATGTATTTGTTTATAATTTATGAAAATAATAAAAATGTTCTATCAACATTGATTATGTTAGGATTATGAGTACTTTAATTGACAATACTATTAAATATAACTGATCATACCTTTTAAAAATAAATTTATTATCTATCTATATTTATTATCTGCTTTAAATGTTTACCAAACTTAACTTCCTATTGGACTACTCACATTAAAGAGAATCTTGACTTCATTAATGTGCACACTATCCAATTCATGCTGAATCCAAGAGTTATGATATTGAACAATATGCCTGGGGGTTCTTATAATACAAAATTTAAGTATGTCTATAATTATGACATTTTGTGAACTTTATGCGGTTATGCCACCCCATGATGTTTAATGTTGTTCTTTTTAATCCGGTGCATTTGCTTATTTAGCTACTGGCATTTAATGTAAAGGATATGTCTTCTCATATGGCTATAAATGTCTTTTATGTGTTTAATGCAAAGCTTGCTAAGCTTTAGCAATATATATTTTGGTATCTTTATGTTTACACCTGTAAAATCTTTTCTAATAGCTATAATTATGTAGGTGTCTCTTGTAACTCTTACTTTAGAAAGAATGCCATACTATATTTAGTAGATACCATAAATGACTTCAATATAATTTTTCTATTATTCTTATGATCAGCTCAACTCACTTTTCAGACATATGCCTAGTATTTTTCAATCTTCAAATGACCATTGTACTTTTCTAGGGGCAAAAGAGCAGGCTATTTCTAAACAACTACAGTTCCCATTATACCAAAAGAATATCTTCTTAGGGGATTATAAAAGCTGTAATTTCATCTCAGCGTTCCTGCAACTAAACTGCTTGAGTTTCCTCCTGCAATTTATGGCATTACGTGCATCCTCGAAGGAATTATAGACTTATAATACTCCCTTGAGATATATTCTTTATGTTTTCCATGTTTATGTCTAAAAAGGTTCTGCAACTGGCACTTGATGGAAGAGCAGATTGTGTAGTTACCTCTTCAATTATTTTTAGCAATTTAAAAGACAGCAACTGTAACTTAACACAAATGCCTTTCTACAGTAGTTCACTTGGGCTAAAATCTGCAAAATCTGCAAAGTTCTAACTTCCAATAGACATCTCAGGGTTATTGACTCTGCCCTCCAAACTTATGTCTTAATTGAATGTAATCACTGGCTGTTTTATGTAAAACTATATACTGTAGTTTGTAATGAAATATGTTCCTTTTACCAGTTATGCTAAGTGTATGTATACATATAGATACATAATTATGTTTTAGATTTTTGTCTCTGAATATGTGGCCTCATTTTCTTCCTATTAAATTTTAAATCCATATCAGTAATGTCAGTTACTTTTATTATTATTTTCACAAAAGAGTTAAGTAGTCATTTCAGAGCCTGAAAGCTGAGTAACACAATAAACCAGGGTTTCTTAATTTAAACACTAATGGCATTTTGGACTATATAACTACTTGTTGCAGGAGGATCGTCTTAGACATTATAGAGTGTTTGGCAACATCCTTGGCTACTGCCAATTGGAATTAGTCATACACTCCAATTGTGGCAACCCAATATTTCTCCAGACATTGCCAAATGTCTCCCACGGACATCATAATAATGATGTCCAGTGAGAAACATCAATATAATGCATTGAACTTTATTGAACAGATTGGCATCAATTGCTTATTTCAACCTTGAAAATGAATCTTCTCAGAATTCTACCCTATTGAGTCCATATCAAGTATGGTAGTGATAATAACATAGAGAAATAAGACTCTTGACAGTAATCACAGTAATCACACAATATGTCTCAAATACCAGCTATTGATATATTGGTAAGGGTCATATGAGGCCTTGAGTGTGGAACATATGCTACTCTGAGGGTGAAAAAAAAAGCTCACAGTATTGCAGTCTACTAAAATGGATAGGTCAAATATACAGAAAGATTAAGAGTTAAAAGTACCCATGAAAAAGTAGATAGTTCTAGCTCTATTTGATACAATAAATATTTTAATGTACCTGAACTTTTGCCCTAGTTCAGTCAAAATAATAACCAAATTTTTCATTTTATGTTTCATATAAATATTTAAGAGTGTAAATATACTTGTCTGTACTTTTATAAATCAGAAATTGTATCACTCTAGATGTGTTCATATATGGATCTGTTTTTAGATGAATATCAAGATATTACAGGTGTACTTGCAAGTTCACAAGTAGCTAAAATGAAAAGGATTTTGGACAGTGATTTCCTGTCCTTTGATTACAAGCATCACTTATTACATTGCATTAAAAGAAGTATGAAAATTTCTATTCTGTCCAGTCATTTTTGGCTAATTAATATACCTTTCATACAGACACAGGTTTCAAATTTTGGAAACCAGAAGTTATAAACATGTCTGCAACTAAAGGACATGTTTTTGTATAATGCATATCACTGTTATCTATCTGCATATATAATATATGCCAAAATACATACATACATATGCAGACATTAATGAGCATAACTTTGACATAAGACAAATTAACAACTTGTAAATTCTGCTATGATTATTAAGTGCACACATTATCTTAAAAAGCGTTATTGAAAACATTATTATTTTTTGTCTTGCATATTCTCAAAGATGTTAAAACTACATCTCATTATGTAACTAGACATGATTAATATTTTTTACATTTCAAAATTCTAAAATTGGAACTCACTATCTTTGGATAAGTACACTTAGGTTTAGCCTCAGATTTGCTATTTAAATATGTTATATTGAGAAAATAGCTTAATATTTCTGAAACACAATGTCCTTCTATGTAAATTCAGAAGAAACCATTATTTGTAAATTTTGTGGCTTATATTATAGGTTCTTTATCCATTTAATTCTCATTAAATAACTTTTTCATTTACCAGATTTTTATTGAATGTGTGTTATATACTAGTTTCTATATTAGGTGTTGTAAAATTGAAGAAGACAGACATGATCCTTGGAATGATCTTTTGAATCAGTTAGGTGAAGTAAACATGTATTGATGCCCATATATTCAGCATTTTGTGCTTCTTTTTCATTCCTAAAAACACTTAGATTTTTTATCAGAGAACATTGCCTCCAACTTTGTAATTTGAGATTGACCTTCACACTCCTTAGGCCCCCAAACTTGAGATTTTTGGTCAATGGTTAACAAAAAGATGCGCCCTCTCATTCACTTTCTCTTTCTGAGTCTTAACTAAGAATAATGTGGTTGGTCTAAAAATTGTTGATGACTGACTTTTGATACTAAAAGATACTGAAAGATAAAGCAAGGAAATGTAATAAAACCAGTCCTTGGTGACATTGTTGAACCAGTGAATCAACCAACTCTGAATTTGGCCTTACTTCTGATATTTTCTTTTACATAAACCAATATATTCCCTTATTTTTAATGGCAAGTTATCTTGATTTTCTAATACATGCTATAATAAAAGTCTAAACGTATATACAAAGCTTTATCCAGAATGCATAGGAATAAATAAAGAAAATAAAGCTTATCCGTAGCATATTTAGTAAGTGACTGAGCTGAGATTAACATCCAAGTCTGTTTGACTTTAAAATTTCAGAATTAAAGATATGATTTCTATAAAAGTGCAAAACACTATAAAATTTGAAGTGGTAAGATAATCCCAAACATTTAGTCTCTGAGTCTGAGACATGGCTACAAGATTTATTCACATTGCCTTTTTATTTGGCTGGCAAGTGACTAGTAGGTCCTAAAGTTGTGAGTACTATGGAAATGAGATTCTCTTTGAATTGGAGTTTGGCAAATATATTTTGATAGAAGTGAAGACTTGACCATAATTGATGCTGAATACATTGCTTTATGGGGCATTGAGGATTTTGTTGTTTTAACTTGCCTTCACTATGTTTCATAAATGATGACTGCTAGTGTTAAAAATAAATGTTCTGGCATGGTGGCTCATGCCTGTAATCTCAGCACTTTGAAAGGCTGAGGTGGATGGATCACTTGAGTCCAGGAGTTTGAGACTAGCTTGGGCAACATGGCAAAACCCTGCTCTACTAAAAACACAAAAATTAGCCAGGTATGATGGCGCATGCCTGTAATCCTAGCCACTTGGGAAGCTGAGGCACGGGATTCACTTGAGCCCAGGAGGTTGAGCTTGCAGTGAGCTGAGATCACACCACTGCCGTCCAGCCTGGGTGACAGAGTAAGACTCTGTCTCAAAAAAGAAAAACGTGTTATGACACTGTAACAATGAAATATGATTAAGCAAAAAATGCAAATAAAAACGTACAATGACTTCTGTGACTATTTCCCCTTCTTTTTTACCCTCTTGTCTTCTTCCAGTACTTTCTCTTCTTTCATTTCAGACACATAGGCAATGACATGCAGGCAATGGCATGTGCAAATACCTGGACACCCCAAAAGGATGTGACAAGGTTGGTTGCAAAGGATATTGTGTCATCACCGAGTGATATTGTAAAGGCCTGTAGATATTTTAGATTTCCTGGTTTCTAGAAATTACTTTGAAATTTAACCTTTGGGCTGATGGTTCCACCATACAACAGCTTAATTTAAACTTTTTTGAAGTGTAGAGTTTCACTTTCTTTTGGGAACCCATTTTAGCACCACTTCCAGGCGTGTCATTTTTTTTATCAGAATATTTTGAAATATAAATTTTTCCTCTTCCTAACCCACCTAACTTTGCATTATCCCACACTCTCACAAGGATCATTACACTTCCTCTTCAATTTTATTAAGATCTTCAGGGTTTCACTCCCTTCCTGGAGTATCTTTTTTTCTTAATTCTGTCTATACCAACCACTTAAAATCCAATTTCTCAAGTATTCTGATAATTTGCCATCTTGATATTTCACTTAATTCTTCACTAAGTTACAATTTTGGAAAAGGCTATGCATCCACTATTTCTCTTTTTGCTCCTCTGTTTTAGATGGTTAACTGTTATAGCCTCTGACTTCGGCTTTTCTACTGATTTTTAGGGAGCTTTTAAGATTATGTCTGTTCTTATGTATGACTTATTTTCCCTTTTCAGACTTTTCCACATTCTCTAATAGCTGTTTCTTCATTCAGAGTTTATGAATAGCTGTTTTTTGTGCCTTGAACTGAAAATGTTCATCTATCTGTATATCAAAACAGTAGTATGCGTTGAGATGATGTGAAGTTGCATCCTCAAATGCTGAAGTATTTATTAACTAAACTCATTGTAATAATTACTAATAAATTTTTCTACAAAATTTAATCATTTTGGCACTAATTGTGGACAGGTAGAACATTTATCTGCTGAAGTATCTCATTATAGGATGTTAACAGAAAAATTAATATATCAGAAGGGCACATTGATGTCTCAACTCTTCCGGGCTTTTAAAAAATCTGTAAGTTTTAGTACAGTCAGTGTGATAGGACTAAAAGCATTTTGGACATGAATGTAATGCTGTAAACAGTGATTAAATGGTCACTTGGAGTTTAACATCCTGTTCTACATGGAGACCAAGGTAGGAGTGAAGTGGTCGCTAAAAGTGGGATAGCTTATATTAAAACTGCCCTTGTATTAAAAAATGGTATTCTTGGCCAGACATGGACATCAGCAATTAGCACTGATTTTTCACACAAGGACAGATTCATTTCCACGAATGCTCTAAACCAAGAAAAGCCAAGTCTGGTGGAAAAATGTGGTAGAGGATTTTCTCAGCACAAAACATTGGTAGATCTGGAGTCAAGAGATCTAGATTCAAAATTTGAGCTCCCTTTACATCAACTATATAACTTTGAACAAAGTAATTTCTCTGTGCCTCCCTTTTCTCCTATGATAGATGAAAATTATGGTTCTCTTCCTCCCAGAGTTAGAGGTATTAAAAAATAACATATAGAGGATTCTACTACAATGAACGTCATGAATGGTAGATTCATGATTTTTATTATGTGTTAATTTTATTTCCCACCCACCCTTCCTCCACTACTGATTCAAATCTATAATAATGTGTTTTCTTCACCATTAATGTTTTGTGTGACTTTCATGAACACAACTTACTGGGTATCTCTATAAACATCCATTTACAAACTTTTTGTCTAACACTTGATATGTGTATATACATTGATTGATTGACTTTCACAAATCAAATATACATTGATTGATTGACTTTTTTCATCTCCCTCTTCATAATTTCCCTGAGAAGTTTTACCCAACATTGCTGCTTAGTTCTCATCCAACAGATAGAAAATGGAGACCAGATTCTACGCCTGGATTCCATGACATTAAAGTGGACTGCTGTTCTGATCTATGGAAGCCTGTCTGAGCTACAATCTGGTAGATGTATCATCATTCCCTCCTGGCCATGCTAACATCCTAAAATTGAACTATTTGAATGTTAATAATAGAGTAAATTTTTCTATACCCTATGGAAAGTAGAGATTTGAGCACCTGGCCTACCATCATGCTCTACCTCCCCCACTTCCTTTTCAGAACATTCAGCATGATTTATGTGTGGGGTTATACTGGCAATGTCTGACAAATGTGATTGAATTATTCTTTTCTTCTTTATATTTGTTTCAAACGGAAATGGTTTTGGAACTCCAAGTGACCATTTAATCACTGTTTACAGCATTACATTCATGTCCAAAGTGCTTTTAGTCCTATTACACTGACTGTACTGAAACTTACAGATTTTTTAAAAGCACAGAAGAGTTGAGACATCAATGTGCCCTTCTGATACATTAATTTTTCTGTTAACATCCTATAATGAGATACTTCAACAGATAAATGTTCTACCTGTCCACAAGCAAAATTGCTTCTCAACTATTTACCTCTCTTTAACTCATCTTCAATAAAAGTTTGATATCACAGATTGGTCATATGTCGTCTTCATCCAGTTAACACAAATTGTATATACACTTCAGATAGGAAACATAATGAAAGCTTACACTTTTCCAAAAACATCTCCAGAAATCCTTTGACTCTAGTAATAATGTCTTGATTGTTTCTAAGGCCATTTTCTGGTTCTATAATATATCCCTGCCACTGCTCTGTGGATTTTTGAAAATAGTATACTTGATCTAAACATTTTTAAAACAACCGAACAGTAAGTTTAGATTCAAAGCTGCAGAGTGACTATTTTTGTGTCCATCTGTACTTGTCATTTCACATCAAAGCAGAAATCTGTGAAAATATTCTATTTTGTTTCTATTATTGTCACACATAATGATTGCTCAAAAGTGTTCCTCAAAGCCATTTTATTTTAGACCATCCCTGGTTTCCTCAGTGAAATAGCACAATGGAAATTCTGCTATATTTTAACAACCTTTTTTTTCAAAACCCACACTTAAACATGAAGCCTAAGAATTTAAATTTCTGTTTAAACATTCTCTCTTGAGCCATAAGCTGCTGTGCTGTTTTCCTATTCATTCTCAGTATTTCCTCTCTTTTTGTCCTTCTCTACACATCTAGTACTGCATTTTCTACCTCACCTCCCATGCCTCCTTTCCAAGCCTAGACTCCAGGGCTAGTCATTCCAATCATAATTTTCTTCATAGCAGAGACTCTTTCATGCTAAGAAATTCTTATCAACCTTACTGTGACAGATATTTATGAAATTCTTTAACTACTGTTTCTCCTACTGAGGCTGGGTTTGTGGATGGACATCATGAAACTGGATGAATTTAGGCCAGGAGCTCAAATCTCTATTTTCAATAGATTATAGAAAAAAAATTATCCCAATATTGATACTCAATACATTCAATTTCAGGAGTCTGGCATGGCCAGGAGGGAATGATGATAAATCTGCTAGATTGTCAGCAGACAGGCTTTCATATATGAGAACAGCAGTCCACTTTAATGTCAGGGAATCCAGGTATATGATCTGGTCTTCAGTTCCTATCTGTTCAATAGGAACTAGACAGCAATATAGCGTCGAATTTCTCAGGGAAATTGGGAAGAGGGAACTAGGAAGAAACAACACAGACTGTATTATTCAGCTTTAAATCTTTGGTATCTAAATTAATGTCATGAATTGAATGTGTTCAATAATGTCATGAATTTTATGCGTTCAATAAAGTTAGTGAATAAAATTAGACAAGTTTATTCTATTTAATATCCATGCCATACAACCCAATTTCATCTTCTGCTGCTCATCAATGCTTTTATTAATCTCTAGTTGATTACTGAACATATTCCAAAGAACTGCTACTACAAATGGCTCCTACTCTCTCTAAGTGCTCCTATTCAGCTCGTTTTAAATAGTCTTTCTTTCCATTACTCCAATGAAGCAATTCTGGTCAAGGTCAGTCAATAACTTCTATATTCCCCAATTTAATGGTTTTTCCTCCACAATATTAGCTCTGTTGCAGACTCCACTTCAGACTGTATGCTGCTCCTCTTCAAACAAATCTCCCAATATTTGGTTTTATGCAAAGTTTTGGTCACAAGACACCTTCTCCTCTCTATTTGTATTATTGACTTCGTTAATCTCAGCCAGTGCCCTGGTTAATGCATTTATAAACTAGTATCTATCAAACTTCTCTATCTAGTTCTTATTGTTCCCCTGAGCCCCAACCTTATATACGTAACTAGCAATTTGACATCACCACTCAGATTTTAACAGAAATATCAAAATAATCCAAACCCCAACATGACATTTAAATATCCTTTAAAGCTATCTCATCACCATCTCCTCCTTCCTATAACCGTTATCCACCCAGTTTGTTTAAGCAAAACTCCTTGATTTCTCCCTTTGTATCATTTCTCAAGTTCAACCTCAAATATATTTCTCCAACTTTTCTACTTCTCTGCAATGCCACTGCCTCCAACCAAGTTCAAACCACATTATTATATTTTGTCTGTAATTTCCTTCTAAATAATCTTCTTGTTTTTATTTTTCCCCCTTTAAAGCTGGTCTTCTACACAGCATCCTGATCAACTGTTTAAGGACATGATCATGTTACTTGGCTACTTCAACCTTTGAATGACTTTCGTTTACATTTAGAGGAAAAATCCAAACTCTCTATTCAGACCTCTAAGGTCTTAAATGAGGTGGCCCATCCCTACTTCTCTGATCTCATATCAAAATCTTCTCTGCCTTCTCTCACTATCCTAAACTAGTATCACCCTTTTCCTTTAAACATACTCAACTAGTCCACCTATAAGCCTTTGCACTGGGTATTTTCTCTTCCTGTATATGTTTTTCATTGATTCTTTTTATGCCTTAGTCTCTAAATGTCTTAGCTAATCATCGCCTGTGAACCAGAATACATACTTTACTCAAGGGCTTGAACTTATACTCGAGGGCTTGAACTTGTATTATTAGATGAACATCCATTACCAAATGAAATTATAGTTTTATTTGTTTGACTTTTAAAAAAGCCTCTATGCCAGCCATTATCAGCCTGAAGCTCCAATAGTATGAAAAGCTAATTGAACCAAGAATTTTATCTCTCTCTCTTATTGCTCTAAGTCTAGTATCTAAAAGAATAGTAACTGGCTCACAGTGAGAACTCAATACTGTTTACCTTGTCAATGACTGAAAGAGTCCTTGTAATATTTTTGTACCTACCTATTGATATGGTTTGGCTGTGTCCCCACCCAAATCTTATCCTGAATTGTAGCTCCCATAATCCCCATGTGTCATGGGAGATACCTGGTGGGAGGTTATTGAATCATGGGAGTGGGCTTTCCTGTGCTGTTCTTGTGATAGTGAATAAGTCTCACAAGATCTGATGGTTTCATAAAGGGCAGTTCCCCTACACACTCTCTTGCCTGCCACCACGTAAGACGTGCCTTTGCTCCTCCTTCACCTTCTGCCATGATTGTGAGGTCTTCCCAGCCATGTGGAACTGTGAGTCCATTAAGCCTCTTTTTCTATATAAATTATCCAGTCTCAGGTATTTCTTCACAGCACTATGAAAATGGACTAATATATCTATCTTCTTCAGTAGACAAAAAAACTACTTGTGAATAAGGACTAAGTACTATTTTTACAATGGCACCTGATATATATTAGATATTCAAACAAGTTTCAAAACATCAATGCCCAAGTGCTTGGGAGCCCACCCCTTGCATCAGTGTGCCCTAGATGTGGGACATGGAGTCAAAGGAGATTATTTTGGAGCTTTAAGATTTAATTACTGCCATACTAGGCTTTGAACTTGTATGGGGCTTGTTGCCCCTTTCTTTGGGCTGATTTCTCCCCCTTTGAATGTGGTATTTACTCAATGCCTATACTCCCATTGTGTCTTGGAAGTAACTAACTTGCTTTTAATTTTACAGGCTCATAGGTGGAAGGAACTTGCCTTGTCTCAGATGACACTTTGGACTTTGGACTTCTGAATTAATGCTGGAATGAGTTAAGACTTTGTGGGGGCCTATTGGGAAAGGATGATTGCATTTTGCAATGTGAGAAAAACATGAGATTTGGGGGGCCAGGGGTAGGATGATATGGTTTGGATCTGTCTCCCCACTCAAATCTCATTTTCAATTGTCATCCCCAGTTTTGGAGTGAGGCCTGGTGGAAGGTGATTGCATCATGGGGATGGATCCCTCATGAATGGTTTAGCACCATCCTCTCGGTGCTGTCTCATGATAATGAGTTCTCATGAGATCTGGTTGTTTAAGAGTGTATGGCACCTCCATCCCCCACCCCTCCCATCTTGGTCCTGCTCCTGCCATTTAAGATGCTGGCTCTCGCTTCTCCTTCTGCTATGAGTAAAAGCTCGTGAGGCCTTCCCAGTAGCAGATGCTGTCATGCTTCCTATACAGCCTGCTGAACCGTGAGCCAACTAAACTTATTTTCTTTATAAATTTACCAGTCTCAGGTATTTCTTTATAGCAGCATGAGAATAAACTAATACAATAAATAAATGCAATAATTATATAGTCATGGAAATCTTTGAAAAGGGAGAAATGTTTGGATTGTTTCTCAGAAAATTAGTAGAATTTCACCAAAAGAGGAAGTGGAAAAAGACGTTTCAGGAAGAAGAAATGGCAAATAAAAAAGGCCTGAGGATATGAAAGAACATGGCTTTGTGGGGATAATTAAGGCATTTAGAATGCCTGAGGAATTGCAATAAATACCTCATATTTCTTTTAACCAAGTCCTTATTTGTTATAGACTGTTTCTGTCCCCCCAAAATTTATAGTTTAAATTCTAATCACCATTGTGATGGTATTAGGAGGTGGAACTTTTGGGAAGTAATTAGGTCATGAGCGTTGGAGGCCTCATGAAATGAACTAGTGCCCCTACAAAAAAGACCCCAGAGAGGTGTGTCTGTGTTTCCCCTATGGAAGGATAACTGTTCTTGGAATTCAAACCTTCAGAACCATGACAAATTGTTGTTGCTTATAACCAACCCAGTCTATGATACTTTGTTATAACGACCTGAACTAAGATACATTTTTTTCTCTTAAAATCTCTTTCTTATTTGTTGTTATATTGCCTGTCTTTTTAAAATTATCTTTATTTTAAATTGGCACATAATAGTTGTACACATGTATAGGGTAAAGAGTGATATCTTGATACATATAGATAATGTGTAAGGATCAAATCAGGCTAATTAGCATATTCATCACCTCATTTTTTTTTTTGTATTAGAAACATTTAAAATCCTCTCTTCTAGTGATTTTAAAAATATACAATGAATTAGTGTTAAGTACAGTCACCCTACAGTGCTACAGAACAGGGGTCCCCAACCCTCGGGCTGTGGACCAGTACTGCTTCATGGCTTGTGAGGAATCGGGCCATACAGCAGGTGATGAGTGACAGATGAGCGAGCATTATTGTCTGTGAGATCGGCAGTGACATTAGATTCTCACAGGAGAACAAACCCTATTGTAAACTGCACGTGCAAGGGGATCGAGGTTGTGTGCTCCTTATAAGAATCTAATGCCTAACAGTTTCATCCCAAAACCATCTCCCCAACCCCTACCCACCCTGCCGTAGAAAAATTGTCTTCCACAAAACCAGTCCCTGGTACCAAAAACGTTGGGGATGCTATTATAGAACACTAGAAGCTATTACTCTTATCTAGCTGCAATTTTGTAGCTGTTAACCAACTCTTCCCTATTGTTTCCTGCCCCCTACCCTTCCTACCCTCTAATACCTACAATTCTTCTCTGTTTGGTAAGCAGGAGATCCCCAGCAGTCCTCATTCCCTCCACGGACACCTGCAATTCTACCTAAATGAGATGCCATTGCTAATTTCACTGCTCAAGCGTATGGACTCATTATTGTCTACTCTAACTGACAAATGCACATTTTAAAATGTTTCGCAGCCTCTAGTCTGTTTCTGCTCCAATCTACATAACTTGATGTTGCCAGATAGATAATCTGAACACAAAACTCTGATCAGGCACTTCCCTACCCTCAACTGAAAAATCTTCGATGATTCCCCATTGCTAACTGAAAACATTTCCAACTCCCTTAATTGAATAAAAGCTCTTTAAAAGCTCTCGCCGAGCTGTTTTTCCAGACTTACCTCCCACTCTTCTTTTTCTTGTACTCTATACTATAGCCAGAATGGAGTATTTGCATATCCTTGTGCATTTCTAGCTACATTATTTCCAAACTTGGTGATTCTACTATACTTTTCCCTGTGTACAATGCCCTTTCCACTATCTCCACAATCAACACAACTTCCAAGTTTCATATGCCACATCAAGATGTGCCTGAACTTTCCAGGCAGAAATATCTCGCTTTTCACTTAACTCTCCTAAATGGGCAAGTGGTTATTTCTAACTTACATTGTAATTTCAGAAAACCATTCTTAGGTTTTCTACTTTATGTGAGTCCCCTATCCTATTGCCTGTAACTTCTTATTACTCACAATGCACTTTTTTCTCTTCTCATAATTACTTAATTAATATTTCATAATAAAAAGTAAATTATATAGGGATGTAAATATACGTGAATACCACTATTGCTAAGTCTAAAAAAAAGTAGTAACACCATACATAAATGTAAAAGTAGTAACACCATACATACAGACTTTGGTCAAAGATGCTGTGGGAGAGAAGGAATTAAAAGGAGGAGAAAGAAGAATTGGAACCTTTGTCCTCAAGCTCTTGCTATGTGCTATTACCACAATCACGGCTTTATCTACTGTTTTCAGAAAAACTCAGTCAGGTATGAAAAATAAGACTCCAAGTGGCTACAGAACATAAAACAGGTGACTGCCATAGCCAAGAATTAGACCAATTGCCACTTACCTTCAAAACTAGTTTTCTTGCCCAAAATACTGAAAAACTGACTGAGATT
Organism: Homo sapiens; assembly: GCF_000001405.40. Classification (NCBI taxonomy): domain Eukaryota; kingdom Metazoa; phylum Chordata; class Mammalia; order Primates; family Hominidae; genus Homo; species Homo sapiens. The sequence continues at coordinate 79,460,324 of NC_000001.11, forward strand.
CCCTAGACAGTGGGGATTAACATATCTGAGGACCAGTTATTTCAATATAATATTGTTAATAAAGCACAATCTTGACAAGCTGAGTCTCCAAAATTTCAGTACTCGGTGACTTCCATTTTAGTTAACAGACTTATTTTACATTTAAACTACAATAAAATGAAAGCAGTGTTCAGGATTCAATGCAACATCCATTGACTATTGTACAAAACTTTTTTAACCTAAAAAATACAGTTGTATCTGAAAACAACAGCAATGGTCCAGCAATTATATATTTTTTCAATAATAGATTTTATGTTTAGAGTAGACATTAGGTGTCCTGCACCCATCTAAGAAATACCTGAGTATTATTCAACAAACATCTGTTATGCTTACAGCTTGAGAAATGACAGTTGATATTGAAAATATGTCAACTCTCTTAACATCATCAAGAGCAGAATTCTTAACCAGTGGATGTTATCAATAACATGGAATGCTTCTTCTTTGAGAATGAAAGTTATATGGTCAGCTTTGGCTGTTTCACTGTTGATGAAACTCTGGGCAGCCAATGTGTCACTGAGGGGATGACAGTACTCTTAAGAAGGAAGTTACCAAAAGTGAACTGATTCCCCTTGTGACAAATACAGTGATGGAGCAGATGAGGTAAACTTACAACTTTTATGGTTTCTCTGTTTCTATTTCAGGTGCTTAAGTGTCCGAGAAGCTGAAGCCCATGCTTGCCCTTGAATCTCTTCTGTGTTTTTCTCTGTTCCTCAGTGGTCTCTAAAATAAAACTAATCTCAGTGCTGGTTTTAGAAAACCTGATATTGAGGTTCAGCAGGGACTGCTAGATGGTTTCCTGTTCAACATTTTCAATAAGGAATACATACATAGGGTAAAAGTTAAAAACAAAAATCAAAATTTTTCCAGTACATTAAGCTATGCTATGACAGGTGAAAGTTTCTCTCTACCTCCAAAACCTCAGTCCCTTTTGCCTTAGACTGTTTCTCGTTAACTGTATTGAGGATTTGATGTTTTAGTGTTGTTCTACCTGCAGTTATCAACAATGTGCTTTATTAACATGTTTTAACTGTTAGTCATTCTAAGATGTGCTAAAAATTATAGCCCACGAGCAACAGTATCAAGAGGATTCCTTTTTTTTTTTTTTTTGAGACAGAGTCTCGCTCTGTCACCAGGCTGGATGGCAGTGGCGCCATCTCAGCTTACTGAAACCTCCAACTCTCAAGGGGTTTCTTGTTTATGTTTTACTCAATGGTATTTTAAAATTTAGTTTTGTGAATTATTTCGTTCAATCCTTGTAAAACACCAAGAGATAATTATCTCAATTTTTAACTATGAGGAGGTTGAAATTAAGACACCGAAAATAACTTGCATAGAGTCACACCAGTAAGATATGAGTTAGAGAAGCCAGGACTCAAATCTGTCTGACTCCACTGAATGATGTTCTAAAGCATTGCTCTATATGGTATTGCCTTTATGTAGCCTTGAAAATTTAAATTATAGTGATTCTTGGATTTCCACCAGAAACCCAGCTTCAAATTCATCAACTGAGCTGTTTGCCTACACATGTTCATACAAATGTGCTTTCAGTCCAGCCCCCATTCCTAAGGCTGCCAGATTTAGCAAATAAAAAGTCAGGCCGGGCGCGGTGGCTCACGCCTGTAATCCCAGCACTTTGGAGGCCGAGGTGGGCGGATCACAAGGTCAGAAGTTTGAGACCAGCCTGACCAACATGGTGAAACCCTGTCTCTACTAAAAATACAAAAATTAGCCAGGTGTGGTGGCACGTGCGTGTAATCCCAGCTACTCAGGAAGCTGAGGCAGGAGAATTGCTTGAACCCAGGAGGCAGAGGTTGCAGTGAGCCTAGACTCCAGCCTGGGTGACAGAACGAGACTCCATCTCAAAAAAAAAAAAAAAAAAAAAAGTCAGGATGGTTGGTTAAATTTTAATTGCAAATAGACAACAAAAACTTTTCTAGTCTAAGTGTACCCCAACCAAAATAGCGAGAGTGGACATTCACTGGGCAAGTACCATGCAATCTTTGGTAGATAGCTATACTAAAAAGTATTCATTGTTCATGTGAAATTAGAATATAACTGGATGTCTTATGTTTTGCCTAATAATCCTACCCATTCCACTTCTTTTGGGTTTCAGTGCTTTGATATTTAACATACAATCCAAGAATTGCCATTCCCATGAAAGTAACTGTAACCCTCATACCTTATACTTTCTTCACTTTCTGTTTTCCTCAGTACATTGTTTTCTATTCTGAAAAATACAAAAACAAAAAACTGGCATTGGAAGACTTGTGTTCTGTTACAATTTGAAAAATTGTGCAGGGTCAGAGGGATGCCGTTTAGTAAAGGATGTCTGGCCATAATTGATGTCTTCATAGCAGTTGTGATCTTATGCTCCAATCTGTCTAAGTCCAGCTCTTGACTCCATTTTGGGTTCATACAACTGCTCACAAAACATCTAAAAAATAAAAATATAGAATGTGAATATATTAATTTATGATGAGAACTACCTGACTACTTGCTCTCTCTAGAAGGCCCATTCTCTCTGTGTCTACTCAGTCTCACTAAGAGACACATTTTTTTCTTGGTAAAAACATGTGGAAAATAAAGGATTTTGATGACTTTTTTTAAGTTCTATTTTTAAATCTTCTGTTTCTAATCTGCAAAATGGGTTTAATAAGTACTAACCTGATAGGGTGGATGCAAGGACTAGAGATAATATATAGATGAATATTGAATTTTATTAATTTATGTATTCATATTTGGTAAAGAAAACAAAAACGATAATTCAGAAAATTGATTGTTGAACACAGAATCAGAGTGTCAGGAATTAAATGTCATTTTGCTACAATCAGTAATTATAACTCTCTTAAATAAAGGATTATATTTGTTTGATAAATGTAATATTCTTCTTTCGGAATTAGAGTTTCTTTTTACATATTAAGTACTTGAAAGAGCTTTGCCAATGTTAGTGTGACTTCTCTTACCTACTTCTATTTTCTGTGTTTCTATTGTTTACAAACACCTCTTTGGATTTCAAAAAGTAAACATTTTTAAAAGGCATAATTATATTAAATCACCTTTAGATCTACTGATTATACTAACAAAATGGAAGTAGACTAGAAGTTATTCTTTCTCTTTAAGTTGATTTTTCATATATTTTCATTGATTTATTGACTATTGGTTTCATGACAGTATTAGCCTGTTTTCATACTGCTATAAAGAACTGCCTGAGACTGGGTAATTTATAAAGAAAAGAGCTTTAATTGACTCAGTTCCATATGGCTAGGGAGACCTCAGGAAACTTACAATCATGGCAGAAGGGTAAGTAGGCATGTCTTACATGGTGGCAGGCGAGATCGAGTGTGTGAAGGAGGAACTCAAGCACTTATGAAACCATCAGATCTTGTGAGAACTCACTTACTATTATGAGAAGAGCATGAGGGAAACCACCCCCATGATCCAATCAGCTACCTCCCTCAACATGTGGAGATTAGAGGTCCCTCCCTCCCTCGAAACATGAGGATTACAATTCAAGATGAGATTTGGGTGGGGACACAGAGCCAAAGTGTATCAATCTGCCCCTGACCCCTCCCAAATCACGTCTTTTTCACATTTCAAAGCCAATCATGCCTTCCCAACAGTCCCCCAAAGTCTTAATTCATTCCGGCATTAACCCAAAATTTCAAGTCCAAAGTCACATCTGAGACAAGGCAAGAAGTCACCTTCTGACTATGAGCTGTAAAATCAAAAACAAGTTAGTTACTTCCAAGATACAATAGGGGTACAGGCATTGGGTAAATACACCCATCCAAATGGAAAAAATAGTCAAAACAAAGAGGCTACAGTCCCCTTGTAAGTCCAAAACCCAGTGAGGCAGTCCTTAAAGCTTAAAGCTCCAAAATTATGCCCTTTGACTCCATGTCTCACATACAGGACATGCTGATGCAAAGGGTAGGCTCCCATGGCCTTGGGCACCTCCCCTACTGGCTGGCATTGAGCACCTGTGGCTTTTCCAGGCACATGGTGCAAGCTATTGGTGGATCTACCATTCTGGGATCTGGAGGACAGTGGCCTTCTTCTCTCTGCTCCACTAAACAGTGTCCCAGTAGGGACTCTGTGTGAGGGCTTCAAACTCCACATTTACCTTCTGCACTGCCTTAGCAGAGGGTCTTCATGAGGGATCAACCCCTGCAGCAAACTTCTACCTGGACATCCCAACGTTTCCATACAACCTCTAAAATCTAGGCAGAGATTCCCAAACCTCATTTCTTGACTTCTGTACACCCACAGGCCCATCACCACATGGAAGCTGCCAAGGCTTGGCGCTTGCACCCTCTGAAGTAACATCTGAAGCAACAGCCTGAGCTGTACCTTGGCCCCTTTTAGTCTCAGCTGGAGCTGGAGAGACTGGGATACACACAGAGCACCCAGTCCCGAGGCTTCATGCAACAGTGGGGGCCCTGGGCCAGGCTTAGAAAACATTTTTTTTTTCTCCCAAGGCCTCCAGGCCTGTGATGGAAGGGGCTGCCACCAAAATATCTGACATGCCCTGGAGACATTTTCCCCATTGTCTTGGCTATTAACATTTGGCTCCTTGTTACTCATGCTTGAATTTCCCCCCAGAAAAATTGGTTTTTCTTTCCTATTGCATTATCATGGTGCAAATTTTCCACACTTTTGTGCTCTGCTTCCCTTTTAAACATAAGTTCTAATTTCAGACCATCTCTCTCAAGTTCAAAGTTCCACAGATCTCTAGGGCAGGGGCAAAATGCTGCCAGTCTCTTTGTTAAAGCAAGGAAAAGTCACATTTGCTCCAATTCCAAAGAGGTTCCTCATCTCCATCTGAGACTACTTTAGCCTGGACTTCATTGTCCACACCACTGTTAGCATTTTGGGTTTGGACACAGAGCCAAACCATATCATTGACCATCCTTAGAATTATATATTTCTACAGTCCTCAAGGAAAGATTATTGTCACTCTCATATACTACCTACAGTTTCCTGTCCTGAATCTGCTGCTTATTTTTTGTGCAGCTTTTGACAAAGCACTTAGCCTCTCACTACCTCAGGTCATTCATGTGTAAAATGGGAATAGTAAGAATTCATAGGGCTCTCATGATGATCTATTCACAGGTAAGAATAAATTTAAACATAAAACATTTCCATAAAACTATCCTAGCTTGGAACTACTTAAGGCATGTATTTATATTTGAGATGGAAATAATATTTCTTAGTTCTCTAGGTTATTTTATCATTCTTCATTTTCTCCAGTGTCAGATGTTGTATCAGTGCCCTCATTACCTGTATCAATTTCCTATGGTTGCTTTAACAAACCATCACCAATATAACAGCTTAAACAACACAAACTTATTATTGTACAGTTCTGGAGGTCAGAAGTCCAAAATGGGTCTCATTGGACTAAAATTAAGATCTCAGCAGGGCCTTTTCCAGTGTCTTGACGCCACCTCCATTCCTTGGTTTGCAGTTTCTTTCTATCTTCAAAAGGGAAGATAGAAGTATTGAATATTCTCAGATCATTCTTCTGTAGTCACCACTGTATCTTCCTCTTCTCTTCTGCCTTTCTGTTCCATTTGTAAGAATCCTTGTGATTACATTGAGCCTACCCAGATTATTCACCTCAATCTCTCTAAAGACAGCTAACTAGCAACTTTAAATCCATTTGTAACCTTGATTTTCCTTTGTGATATAATCTAACATATTTAGAGAACTAGAATATGAACATCATTGGGGAGACCTCAAATAATGATTCTGCCTACCAAAACATTCCTTGAAGTTAACTTTGTAGAGTGACACCTCAGTATCTTCTACATAGTGGATTTATATACCAGGTATATTGTATCTCATATCCTTGAAGCCCAAGATATCAATGAATATATCTAAAAATTAGGAGTTCTGTTCAAATCAGCAACAATTTATGAAAGAGCCATAATTCATTAGACAAATATTTATTGAGTATCTATCCATTATCAAGTTTCTTGCATTGAGTATTGAGGGCACAGAAATGAATGAATAAATTTAAAGTTTGGCTTTCATGGAACTTAAATTACGTTGGAAAAAGGTAGAAAACAAAGAGAAAACTAAAATAAATGATACTTTCTGACAACAATAATAATGCTTTCTGATAATGATACTTTCTGATAATAAATAATTCTTTCTGAATAAAATAAAATGTGGACTATATAGTGATCGCTTGGGAGTACAATTTTAGCACTTTCTCTGAAAAAGGAGAATTTAGGGTGAAACCTGAAGAGATATAATCCTGCTGAGATTGAAGAAAAGCATTTTAGGTAAGTTAGACAGTGAGAATAGAGTAAGATTGTTTTGTAATAGAGGCAGAAAGAAGGCTGAAGTATCAGAAGCAGAAAAAAGTAAAGGAAGAGTGATGAGAAATGATATGGGAGAGTTAAACAGAGGAGAAAATAAAGGGTCTGCTTTGTAGGTCATGATAAGTAAGATGAATTTTAATCTCATTATAATATAAATTTTCTGAAGCAGCAAAACAAATTCATGTTGTAAAAGGAATACTGGCTCTTTTGTGAAGAAAAGATTATAGGAAAATAATGGAATGCTCTTTTGCAGGCTAGCTAGGGGTCATAATGGCTTGGGTTAGGGTGACAATGGTCAGATTTGACATGTATCATGGTGGCAGAACCAAGATGACTTTGAAGGAATTGACTGTAGGACAAGAAGAAATCAGAATCTTAAAGAGGTGGGTGGATGTGGGCACCATTTACCCACATGTGGAGGCAGGTGTGAGAAGGGTGTGTGAAGCACAGGGAGGGTTAGGGACAGAGAGGGGTCCTCACCCATTATAGGGTCATGACCAACACTCCTGTAACAAAAGACAGGTTAACAAAGGGAAAACATAAAAAATTTATTTAATTACAGTTTTATGTGACATGGGAATCCTCAGGAATAAAGACCCAAAGATCCAGGTCACATGCAGAATAGACAACTGTGGAAAAATGCAATTGGACAAAAGGGTATAGTCTAGTGGAAATTGACAGGGAAACCTAGCACGGTCTGTCTGTTCAGATTCTTCTTGGCTTTTCTGTGTAGTAGTCCTTCCCCCTGGTATAGGGCAGGACCCTTCTGAAATTAGAGAGTTTGAAAAAGAAGGAAGAAGAAAGAGAGTGGCCTTTTGGGGTTTTATGGCTTGCTTTGGGGGAGAAGAGTTTTAATTTCTATGACCCCTTTGGAGAAGACAAATTCTAGTATCTATGACTTGGTTTGAGGAAGTAAGAGGTGTGGGAGACAGGAGAACAGGGGAAGACTTTGCTTCTGAGACTTTGCTTCTGAGGCCCTTCCAATATCCTTCAGTTCAAAATACTCAGCATGCCAAGGTGCCATCCTTTGGGGTATCGTGTTCTGAGCCCCGACAGTGTCATGTGATAGACACTAAGCCAGGACTTGACTCCTCAAATATATGGGCTCAGCCCTAAGAAATGTAATAATTTGACACCATGGAAAATCCCAAGTCTGTAAAATATCACAAGGGGTGGGCGATTAAAAATTATCTGCCTCAACTATTTCTTTTGCAGAAATGCATGGAGATTGGGGCTTGCTCATAACAGCATTACTTAGGAATGGAAAAGCTGAGACTAGAAATCAAGCCACCCTGGCTCCCAAACTCAGTTTGGCAATGTCCCCAAACATTTTCTCTATAGCTGACACTTAGAAGTGCCCTGTCTATAGCCCTCTGACCTTGACTTCTAATTGCCAGCATCTGTCTTCTAGGCCTGCAGGCTTCCTCTACATTAACACAGTCCACCTTCACCCTAGGCAATATTCAACCAATGATTATACGATATGTACTAACCCAGCTCCTCTGTCCTCCTGTGCAGTAACACTAAGGCACTGCTTTACACTGTTGCCCAGTTTCTCTGTGAGATTAAGCTCCAGTAGCCATGTAGGTTTAATAAACTGCCACTTAGTAGCTACCTTTCTTTTCTGTAACACTTCTTTTCTCCCCACCCATGTTCTCAGTACCTCCCAAGTAAAGTACCCACCTTACAACCCTTACCTCAAGAGTTGCCTCTAGGGAAATCAAATTAGCACACAGCTTGTAGCTTAGTGTCTGCTTCTGCATAACTTTGTAGCTCCATTCACTGTTTTAAACTTGGTGCCTGCACCATTTTGGAAAGTTGAAAGGTAAAGAATGCTCCCAGCACTTTGGGAGGCGGAGACGGGCGGATCACGAGGTCGGGAGATCAAGACCATCCTGGCTAACATGGTGAAACTCTGTCTCTACTAAAAACATACAAAAAATTAGCCGGGCATGGTGGCGAGCGCCTGTAGTCCCAGCTACTCCAGAGGCTGAGGCAGGAGAATGGCGTGAACCTGGGAGGCGGAGCTTGCAGTGAGCCGAGATGGCGCCACTGCACTCCAGCCTGGCAACATGAGCGACACTCCGTCTCAAAAAAAAAAAAAAAAAAAAAAAAGAGTGCTGTAAGAATGTTAAGAATGGACTTTAATGACTACCCTCGTAAAATAGCATATTGTGGCTTTTACTTATTTTGCCTATATTCTCACTTCTTCTTCTCAAAAGACATCAAGAAATAAAAAAGACAAATCTTCTTGCATTATTAGTAAGTGTTTCACTTTCCAAAGCCCGGGCAGTGAGTAAGCTAGTATAAAGCTTTGTAAGGTGCTACTTCCAAAAGGGAGAAATTGTAATTTTTCAGCAAATTCAGAAACATCTCAGTTATGTAAAATGCCAGGTCTGCCTATGGACTTTCTTGCATCATCTCTGTTTTATTTTCTTTTGAGCATAGATTTGATATTTTCTTTTCATTAACTATAAAATTTTTCAGTGATGAACTATTTCTTAAATGTTTAAAAATCTTGGTTTTTTCTATGTCTCAAATTTAATGGAATAAAACTATTATCTTTGGGTTGTGGATGCCAATTCTTTATCTCTCATCACTGACACATGCCATAATTCAGTCTCTGTGTCCTGTTGTTGTTCATAAACCAACAAGCTTTGGTGGTTTATGTCATCAGCAGAAAACCTGAAAGTGAATTATAGCCTTGCATTCAATCTCTATGTTCTGTGCAGAAATAGCCAGTTTTTCAGAATGTGCAATTTAGAGACTTGGGAGCAAGAGACTTATAAAGTGTATTTCTTGTAGCCTGTGCCAAAGTCAAAGCTATGAGCATTCAAAATAAAAGATTGATATAAAATCGGTTCAAAATACACCTACAGTTTTATGGGCAACATAATGTTTTTATTAATATTCTGGAAACTTTAGAGAGGATTACATTCTACTTCCTTTTAAACTAGAGAATTTATAAAAGGAAAAAAAAACAAATTTGGATTTTATCAAAATTGAGTTGGGAGGGTGATAACTAGGACATATTGACTCGTGGGCAGTAGACTTTTCACTGTATGTGCTAGTATTTATCCACGTAAAATAGTTGAATAAACATCTATACAAATGTCTATACAGAGAGCTAACCTGAGACCAGACACACAATGTCCTCCTTTAAAAGGTGCTAAAAACCTATATATTTTAAAGTTGATTTAGATAATTTAAGAAAGTAAACTATTGCTATTTATATTAATCACACCTATAATAACTAATATTTTTCACTGCACAAACAGCATATCCCAACACAAAAAGGATTATCCTCCCAAATAGGTTGAGATACAAAGTGCAATTGTATTGGGAAGTGATCAACAACCTATTGGAAAAAACCTCTTAGCTTGAAGCATGGTTTTTGCACCAGACTTTTAACTTTTACTTGGAAAGAGTACTTTGAGGGAAACGTGTAACACTTTTAAATACATGCCCTTATTGAAACTAAAAATGTGCATGAGAATTCATATTTTGAAAACTACACAATTACCTCTTGACCCTCTTTGAGTGTTAAATATTCCCTTAATATGTGCCATATACCGTTTTAGGTTCTGTAAATGTGGAAATAACAGCAGTAAACAAAACAGACACCTCTGTTCTCAATAATCTAATGGAGCAAAATGGAACAACATCTTATGGAACAGTATGAGAGGAAAAGAGTGATCAAAGATGGGGTCAGAAAAATAGCAGAAAACAGATGTAATACAATTTGTAGGCCTTTTAAAAGAGTTAAGATTTGACGGTAGGTGAAGCAGGAAGTCAATAAAGTTGGATCAGAAGTGATCTGAAGATTGCCTCCTCTTTTGTTAAAAGTAGACTGTTTAAGGGAGATGGAATATAAAAGCCAGGAAGTGGATTGGAAAGTCATTGGAAATTGTTCAGTCAAAATATCATAAGGATTTGTACCATGGTGATATAGGTGAAGTAGTGATTAGTTTCTGTATAGATTTTGGAGTAGCATCAAACAAATGTACTGATCCTTTGAATGTAAGATATGACACAGAGGAGTCAAACATGATTCCATGGTATAGAATTTACTTGTTCAATTCTCATTTGTTGGAATAAATAAGTGAAAGTAGATACTAGTCTGAGTGACAAAGATAATGGCTTTGAGAATATGACACATAAAGTGCCCAAGTTGGGGAGGGTGTCACATTAAACAATTTATATCTTTTGTCAGTAAGAAAGATTTAGAAAAATTATTAGCAATCCCAAACTCGTGATCTCATGAACCTTTCTCCTCAGCCAGTAGCACTAAAGGTTAAGAAGTTCTGGTGACTAAACTCACATTTGGGTAGTCCTTGTTACAGTTGTAAAGATTCAATAATTATGTGTAGGGATGTTTTAAAGGAGAGTCACAGAGAAGTAAGAGTTTTATAGCCTTTATTTATAGAATTCAATGGTGCCTGTGGCTTTATTTTTCAACCTCAAAGACCTGAGAGCTTCAGATACCTATTTCCTTTACCAAGGGCCTTGGGTCTGAAGGGAAAACCTCCATAGCTTAGTGTAGTTCCACTTTGGATTCAGTGGATCTTACCATCTATCACAATGTTGGAGGCACATCAAGGGTGCTCATTAAATTTCGGTTAAATTGAAATAAATGTCTTGCTCTTTTAAGAATTTTGACATCAGAAAAATATATTACATTTTAGTGAAAAATGTCCTTGAACAAGCCGTTTTATTGAAATTTTTCTTCATCTAGTGCCTTTTTTTTTGGTCTGACATTCTTCACCACACACAGTTTCCTCACTGATTTTGAACAAAAGAATCATTTTCTAATCCATTATTATAATAGTCTAGTTATAGTATTTCCAAATTGAGAGGGTGATTTTTTTGGAGAAAGCACAGATTGTTGGAGTCTTGGTTTTACCACAGTGAGAACTTGGGCAAGTAGGTGAACCTGAATTAGCATCTGTTTTTCCACAGATACAAAATAAGTAGGGAGACTGATATTTCTCAGGATTCTGGTACTGCAGCACAATCACAAAAGTACCTAACACATAGGAGGCAAATAATACATGAGAATTGTCTTTTTCAAGTATTACATTTAAATTTTGTAGCTTTATAATAATAATTGAATACTATTAATTTTAGAGGATCCTATAGCAACACATAAAAGGTCAAGATGAAGGGGCAAGGAAGAGATCAGCTCCTTGCTGCCCTCATCATTTTTTGAGTTGTCCCAAGTAGGAGTGTTGCTTCATAAAAGAAGCTCTGATATCAAACTATGGAACATTCCCCTGTATATGGAATACCTAAAAATCATTATTTCTTTTCGGGAGATAAAGGGCTCTAAGTTCAAATGGGCTATTGATTTTGTTTAAAGGAGGGAAAACAATCTGCTCCAGGGAAACCTTACTTGACCAATTCTATATATAAACTACCATTATAAATCTATTTTTAGTTGTATCATTCGAAACTGTACATCAAAAAAATTAGAAAAATTGGAATGAGAGAAAAAAAAGATTTGACAGGATGTACAGATGAGCAGCATATGCCTTTAGCACTAAGGCAAGTGTCCTTGCATATTCCAGCATAGTCTGCTCAGGTTAGTAGTCCAAGCATCATTGAAATACAGCCCTGACAGGTATTGCAAAGTCCTCATCACACTGAGCCAAGCAAGGACAGAGCTCAAAAAAAATTTTTTAGATAACCAATATGCAACTCCATTAAAATTGTATTTTATTTACCTAAACAAGATTTTCTGACACTTCTGAAAAACTAGAAGTGAAGCTCACGTTGACGAAAAGAAGAACTGAGAGTATGTGGCTGTTAGAAAATCTGTAGCAAGGTTATCAAAGTTCAAGGTATGCTCTTAGTACCTTAAATCTTACCAATGTGTCTAAGAGTAAGTTTTGCATGTGCAAAAATGCAAAGCTAAAAGTAGGTAATTACAATACCCCGTAAATATTAGGAAATTATATTTTCTGATATCATCATATGAATGAACACGAGATTGAATTTTGGAATCCCACAAAAGGAAATGCTGTAGCACTGCTCTTTAAAATTCTATAGGGCACACATGCACACAATTAGAAAGCAACTTATTTTTATTGACAACAATACATTATAAAAATTTATATGCACCAACTAGCAAAGCATATAGGGTGAATCTGTAATATAACTCTACAAATAAGAAATACATTTTAAATTATTAAAAACGACTAATAATCACTCTTCTTCTTCTGAGTTTCTCAATTAGCTTAAGCAACTGAAATAATTGTTCAAATTATGCATCCATGAAACTGCAAGAGCCCAAATAAAAAGCCATGGTTTTGCCCTGGGCTCAAGCTCTTTTGGAATGCTCTGCAAATACAATTTCCAGAGACTTACATACAACAAAATGGGAGAAAACTCTAACTCACTTATAATAAGGAAAAGTCAGGGTCAGTAGTATTCAAAAACTAAGAACATATTATTGTCTGGAATTAAGTTTTCACCTTTTATATATTTCCTTTTTAAAATTATTAAAAAAAAATTTTCGGGTGTTTTCTTGCCTTCATAATTCAGCTCAAATATCACTCTATGAAATTTCTCCCTAATCTCTGAGGCAGAAAAAGTCACAGACGTATCAGTTCTTATATGTCAGATTCTTTAACGTACTTACTTTGGTATATTTAACAACGTATCTTACTCACTACACCCTGAGCCCTCCAAAAGCAAGGGATATGCATTCTTCAGCTTTGTCCCTGTGTAGAGTACCCAAAGTAGTTCCTAGTGCAGAACAGATGCCAAAGAAATGATTGTTGAACAATTAGGTGTATAAATAAATGTGTAACCATAAAAGCATTTTAACTCAAAGAACCTTTACTATTTTAGCTACCAATAACTTAACTGTTTAAGTACATTAGATAATAAATCACGGCCAGGTGCGGTGGCTCACGCCTGTAATCCCAGCACTTTGGGAGGCTGAGACGGGAGGATCACGAGGTCAGGAGATGGAGACCATCCTGGCTAACACGGTGAAACCCCGTCTCTAATAAAAATACAAAAAATGAGCCGGGCGTGGTGGCAGGCACCTCCTCGGGAGACTGAGGTGGGAGAATGGCGTGAACCTAGGAGGTGGAGCTTGCAGTGAGCCGAGACCACACCACTGCACTCCAGCCTGGGTGACAGAGCGAGATTCCGTCTCGAAAAAATAAATAAATAAATAGATAGATAGATAGATAGATAGATAGATAGATAGATAGATAGATAATAAATCACAAAGGGGTGACTTTCATTTATATAAACTAGGGCGGAGAGAGATGAAGGTAAATACTTAAAAGTCACCTGGAAAACAAAGTCACTGCTATGTGCTTTTTGAGGTAAATCTAACTATAGGAAAATTATAACCTAACTGGAATATAAACTATCGACTTCATCCTTTGCTAGTTATGTGTGAATATTCTTAAACTGAAAACTTTTATTTATTTTGGACACCAATAAAACTGTATAATAGTAAAAAATAAAAATAACAGTCTCTCCAAAAGTGAAGACACACAGACACACACACACACACACACCGGCGCATGCACACAATGTTTGCCAAAGCAAAACAAAGCAATATAACTTTGTAATGAAGAGTTTAATAGTGAAGTCAGCATGAGCTTAAAGGATAGAATGTAATGAACAGTTGATAAAAGTTTGATAAAGATTCAAAGCTTATGTTGATTATGAGAATGAAGGCTTAGCATTTCCATTATTGAACATTTTTCTGCAGCTTTTTTCAGCAGATATTAAGCTTGTAAAGAGCAAAAGCTTTCAAGAATCAAGTCTTTAAGAGAAGCAATAATAGCATTTGGAAAATTTATTAAAATACAAAAGGATGAAAAGTCTTTAAAGAACTAATCTATGTGGCAATCTTGCATTCCTTTGTACAACTAAATTGAATCCAAAGTATTAAACTGAAACCGTGGAACTGTAATTACACAACTAACTAGCCACCTGCAGTTTAGATAGTGTCAAGTGAATTGGGTCAGGTTGGAATAAAGTCAAATACTTAAATGAGGAATAAAACACTTCCTTAGCCCTGTTATTGGGCTGTTAGTGTGACTATGAACTGACTGACACTTTGAATAGCAAAATCTTCAGGGTTTCACACATTTGCCCTTATGTTATCATTTAAAAGTATGTAAAAACATACAAGATGAAAGTGCTTAATTTGACCAGAAATACTCAGGGTATGAAGGTCAAACGGACAATTCCTTCTGCTTTTTTCTTGTATATGTAAAGTAAGAACTAAAAATCAAACTTTCCAAGTATTTTCCCATAAGATATAATAACAAATACGAACACTTGTATCATAACATAATTTCTAAAAGTCTTTCTCATATACTGTCTTATTTGCTCCACAGCTGCTGAGAAAGCTTAGGCTCTGAGAACCTGACTTTTTCAAGATTCTTTAGCTCACAAATGGTGGAATCAGGACATAAATTCAAATATTCTGATTTCAAATTCCAAAATTCCAAGGCTCTTAAAGAACGTTGCTACTAATTACGAGCCTATTATATTATAAGTATATAAGTTCCACCAAAATTCAGCAATATTTTCTAGAAATTAGAATTATGAACCATTGTATATTGTGTTAGAAGTGAGAAATAAGAAATAGCAAGAAATATGTTTTTATAGCAGGAGCCTAATAAGCATTTCAGGTGTCTCCTCCTTAGTAGATATAACAGAAACTTTATAATAGTAAAAGTATAGGTTGAAATAGTATAGGTTGAAGATAAATAATTGTTTAATATGGGAAACTCAAAGTAAAAAAATAAAGAGGGCATTAATAAATAACAACTTAGCACTCAATACTTCTGGAAATTCAGAAGTCACTGCCTGGAACTACCTATTTTGACCTATTGTCTTGAGTAGACATTACTTCCAGATACACAGACTTACACTGACAGCCATAGTAAAAATGTACAGTTTTGCTCATGCTTCTATATATGTAAATTGTACCTTTTCAATATGTGTCAGTTTCTGGGCAGACAAAATATAGTCCCCCGATCGAATCGAATAATGTAATTCAAATGTAGTTTTTTTTTTCTTTGCTGACAGCATGAGGCCCTGTAGCACAGTGGCTTGCAACAATAGCCGAACACAGAGATTACAAGACATCTCTTGGACTCAGCTGGACTTCCTAGTGTGTAATGCAAAAGACCAAGTAGAAGTTTATTTACAGTTTAACTCTGATATGAAAGAGAAGTTTCATTTGGTGTCAACTAGTGTGTATGATACTAGAAATGAGTTTATCACAAGTGGCTTGAGAAATTTCTGTATTCATGATTTGGGATTGTAGCTTACTACTCCTTGATATGTAAAGGATTTTTTTGGTCAATGAACAGAACTCACCCACACTTACAGAAGCTTTTTTATACTTTGTGGGAGTTCATGTTTTTAGAAAATATTCATCCAATCTTGCTGCTGCAGCTGAATTAGACTCTATCCTGGGAACAACAAACCTTAGTTTTGCTGTTGCTCTAGGTTTTTTTTTTTTTTTTTGACTTAAAAATGTATTTTTAATGTACTGCAACATATTTAAGATCTAGTACAATATGTATTTCAGACATATGAATGAATTTTACACACAATGAGATTAAATAGCTTTGAGATAATCTCAGTTAATGCATCCTAATAGAGGTAGAGCAAAAGGTCATTTGATTTCAATTGTGTAAATAGTTGAACATAAAGGAGAGAAGGATACACCAAGAACACGAGAGCCTACCAGAGACAACAGTTATGTTTCTTGGTTATAAATATTTTTAACTTGTTGAAAAACTAGTTTAACAAATAGGTACAATAGATATTGTCTCAGATTGTCCTAAAATCTGACAATTACTTTGAATAATAAGCAAATGCAAAACACTTTCACAGAAGACAATGCAAATGCATTTATCTGGAAAAGCACTTGATCTTCTCTAGGAGCTACCGGATTTATTACAGAGAATATTATACGATAGAACAAAAAACACTAGTGTGTGCTTTATTGGTGAACGGCTAGAGAGATGAACCTGACAAAGAGATCCACATAATGAAAGAAAGAGTGTAGAGAAAAAGTACAAAGAGGCAGGACCTGTGGGTAGGCAAGCATAAGAGGGAAAATTTGGCAAGGTGTGTAAAGCAGTTTTAGGATGTAAAAATTGATGAGTAAAGAAAGGGACGTCAAAGTTTTAATAGACATGTAATTTAAAATGGAGATAGGTTTGTTTATCTGTATCTATCAATCATCTACCTATATTTTATAGCTATTAGGCTCTTTTTCATTCACATGCCTTTTGGATCTTCCTGATATGTTAAGGTTAAATATATCTATAAAAAATTGGGGGCTTCCATATTTTGATGTCAAAGAGATCCGTAATTAACAAAGATAACGTAATGTATGACTCTCAATTTTCTCGTTTCTAATTTAATAATTATAACATTATCAGTAATGATAGTATCTGTATCTATCAATCTATATATCTATATTATTAAATCTATATCTAAATGTAAATCTAGACATGGGCATAGATATGTCATTTATTAAGAACAGTACTAGACAATTTACATTTTAACTTTGTAATAAAAACCCAACAAGGCAGGAAATACTACTATTTATTATTAAACAGATGAGGAAAAAGATTTCCAGTAGCTATCCCACTTAGTCTACATCGCAGAACAGATTCCCAGATCTTCACCAGTTGATTATGTTTTCTAAGAAAATCTTTTTTAAAAATAAAACTGAGAGGAATATTGTAAAGTTACATGAGGTAATAAATGAAGATTTTGTGAAAGAAGATCATTAAGTAAAATTGAGGGACAAATATATGTTGAGAGCACATATTTTATAGCCTAGGCTGCCTGCATGCTTACTCTACCAACTATATGACATAAGGAAAATCATTTAACCTCCCAATCTCTCAGCTACCTCATCTATAAAATAGCATATTGACAGAAGCTACCTCTTGGGCTTGTTTTGAGAAGTAAGTGAATTTAAAAATAAATTATAAAGCATATGGAATAGTGCCAAGCATAAAGTAAGCCTTATGTAATTATCTACTGTTATTTTAGATAGCCCATTGGTTGTTTTTATTTTTTATTTTACAGTCTGGTGCTAAAAGTTTTTAAAAAAGCAAATAAATGTTTGCTGTTCCTCAGTGAGCATAAATAAAATTTGAATATTGTTTGGGAGTCCGAGGTGGGCAGATCACCTGAGGTCAGGAGTTCGAGATCAACCTGGCCAACATGGTGAAACCCCGTCTCTACTAAAAATACAAAAATCAGCCAGGCATGGTGGCCCATGCCTGTATTCCTAGCTACTAGGGAGGCTGAGGCACAAGAATCGCCTGAACCCAGGAGGTGGAGGTTGCAGTGAGCCGAATCCCGCTACTGCACTCCAACCTGGGTGATAGAGCGAGACTTCATCTCAAATTAAAAAAAAAAAAAAAATTGAATATTGTCCCAGTTCTCTGGTTTCTATCTAATTGACCTTCGCAAGACTCACCAAGCGGGTGCCCCATTTACTGAGCCCGCAGCTCTCAACTCCTCGCAGAAGGGAGTGTGTGAACAAAGCGGAAACTGGAGTACAGGAGCGCTGAAGTCAGCTGGCCGCTCTGGTGCCTGCAGGAATGAACTCCATTCACTTGGACCGCTGTGTTCCACCCCTCACGGGAGGGGTGCACAGGTGAGCAAGTGCAGGAGCTGGGGCAAGCGCCCCGGCAGGAGCCAACTCCGTGCCAGCCCTGCAGCAGCATGTGGCGGAGGTGCCCGCGACCCCTGAAGCCCTAGAGCGAGTGTTCTTTTAGCTCTGCTGTCCGTGGACGGCTTAAGTGTTCAATAGCTCAGTGGACCCTTTGCCTTTTCGCATGAGATGGCTGCCTTCTGCCTGTGAGGGCAAAGAGTCAGTGTGACAGCCTTTTTCATCCGCACTCCTGGTACCTGAGCTCTTGTCCAGCTTTTGGGAGAAATGAAGTCACCCGAACGAATTGAAAGATGGTAAATGTGGTAGATTTTATTGCTGATGGAGGTGGCTCTCAGTGGGAAGGGGAACTGAAGAGGAGACGGGAGGGAAGGTAATTTTCCCTTGAAATCTGAACGTCTCTGGCCAAATTCTTCTCCTAAGTTACACTGTCCAGCTGTCCCTCTGAAGTCAAGCCGCTTCTCTCCAATGTCCAACTGTAGTCGCTGACGTCCAGATGCTTCTCCTCTCTCTGCCAGCTGAGTTTGGGTTTTTTTTAATTGGCACAGGATGGCTCCAGGCAGGGCCACAGGTGGTTTTGGAAAAGGCAACACTTGAGAACACAAAGTGAGTTCTCACTTTGGGCGGTGGTTTCAGGCTTCAGGGTGGAGTTTTGTCAGGAACCCACCCTTTTCTGCCTAGAATTTCTCTGTCTCCTGTCCCTATCAGAAGCAGTTATATCTCCGTGTGGTGAAGTTTATTTTAAAAAGAAAAACAAACTGATATCTTCTGGTTGCTATGTGACTAGTGTCTCCTTTGCTGCCACAGGTCTTGTCAAGGACAGGCCACATGAGGACATGCTCCAGTTCTATCTTAAAACACTTCTGCCTTCCCTGTTTGTGACCACCCTATACGAGATTGCTGTAAAACGGCTCTTGACCAGACTGACATCTTCCTGTATTTCATAAAAATTTCCAATCCTAGTCTTATGTTGTACATTTCATTGCTCTACTAATCTGGCTATGGATTCCTTTGAATACCTGGATGGCACAAGGAATCTGGTAATCTGGTTCTCCAGATGACAATGATGTTAAAATTACATTAAAATCAAATGTTAAGGCTGGTGCCATATTCATAACATCTATATGTTAGGTTTTCTACACGTGTGCTGGCTACATAGTAAAACTCAGTAGTAGTTTTCCCTTCTGTACTTCTGAAAAAGCCTTGGAGTATATTATGGTCTCTCTATTCTGGCCTAAACAGTAAATATTATTTATATTATTTTCAATATCTTTTAGCCACCTTCAATATGTTTTCAAGTTTGTAACTCAGCAAATGTTTTTTATATGCTTCTTGGGCAGGTACTTTCTCAGAACTTGAATGACTTACTCCTTGAAATTTCATTATGCACTTGGCCTGTTGTATTGGAATAGCCTTCCAGCTGGTCAGAAACACATTGGGATACCAATTTTATTTTTTGTTTTCTTCATATTGCTTTATGCTCTACTTCTCTAGCTGTTTCTAGTTCTTTTTGTTAGATCTTCATTGAGTCAGCAAAACTGTTTAGCAGTTACTATATGGTAGATAGTGTGGTAGGTACCAAAACTTAAAGTTAAAAAAATAATTTTTATATCCCTGCCATCAAAAAGTTTACAAGCCAGTGGGATGGGAGAAGGGATGAAATACAAAACAAAAAGCAATTAAAAAAAAATAACGTAATGCGTTTTTTTCAGACAATTTGGTGTTGTACATGTGTCAACATTTTATTACAATCTTGCTGCAGGGAAGAAGACTTGTAGCTAGTCACTCGAAAGATTAGATTTCCTTTTCTTTGAGACATACTATAAGAAAAGTGAATGGTTAGCTAATTATTGTACTTCATAAGAGAAAAAACAGCTAGTTAAGAATTATTAAACAATGCCTTCAAGACTGGTTCAAGATAGTTAGGTTCCTCTCAAGGTTAACAGTCCACTGAATAGGTGAGTAGCTGAGCTCTCAGAAGGGTCTTATTTCCATTAAAGTGTATTTATTGGATAATTTTTTCCCAAAAATATTTGATAAATTATAACATGAACAAAGTATCTGTCTTTGGCCAAGGTTGGGTCAATTTTTCCCGTCTTACGTGAGTTTGTAAAAGTAGAACTGAAGGTCTGAATAAGAGATTACTAATCAACGATGATTGGGGAAGAATGAGGGTTAGAAAATCTCAGACAAACATTATTGCTGAGATAGAGATGACACAAACAAATGGAAAAACATTCCATACTCATGGATGTGAAGAATCAATATTGTTAAAAATGGTCATACTGCCCAAAGCAATTTACAGATTCAGTGCTATTCCTATCAAACTACCAGTGATATTTTTCACAGAACTAGATAAAAACATTCTAAAAATCATTTGGGATCAAAAGAGCCTGAATAGCTAAAGCAATCCCAAGCAAAAAGAGCAAAGCTGGAGGCATCACACTACCCAACTTCAAACTATACTAAAAGACTACAGTAACTAAAACAGCATGGTACTGGTGTGAAAACAGACACATAGATCAATGGAACAGGTTAGGGAACTCAGAAGGAAAGCTGCACACCTACCACCATCAAATCTTCAACAAGGCCAACAATAAAAAGCAATGGGAAAAGGAATCCCTATACATGGTACTGGGATAACTGGCTAGCCATAAGCAGAAGATTGAAACTAGAAACCTACCTTTTACCTTATACAAAAATCAACTCAAAATGGGTTAAAGATTTAAGTGTAAAACTTAAAACTATAAAATCCCTAAAAAAAAAACTAGGAAATACCATTCTGGATATTGGCCATGGCAAAGACTTCATGATGAAGATGCCAAATACAAGTGCAATGAAAACAAAAATTGACAAATGGGACCTAATTAAAGTAAGGAGCTTGTGGACAGCAATAGAAACTATCAATAGAGTAAATGGAAAACCTACAGAATAGAATAAAATACTTGCAAACTCTGTATCCTACAAAGGTCCAATAGCCAGAATCTAGAGGAAACTTAATCAAATTTACAAGGAAAAAAGCAACCCCATTAGTAAGTGAGCAAAGGACATGAACAGATACTTCTTAAAAGAAGACATATGGGTGACCAACAAGGATATGAACAAATGATCAATATCACTAACCATTAGGGAAATGCAAATCAAAACCACAATGAGATACCATCTCACACCAGCTGGAATGGCTACTATTAAAAAGTCAAAAAATAGCAGACACTGGCAAGGTTGTGGAGCAAAGGAAATCCTTATACACTGCTAGTGGGAATGTAAATCAATTTACCCACTGTGGAACTCAGTCTGGATGTTTCTCAAAGAACTTAAAACAGAACTACCATTTGACCCAGCAATCCCATTACTGGGTATATGTCCAAAGGAATATAAATCATTCTACCATGAAGACACATCCATGTGTATGTTCATTACAGCACGAGTCACAATGGCAAAGACATGGAATCCACCTAGATGTTCATAAATGGTGGACTAGATAAAGAAAATATGGGACGAGTATACCATGGAATACTACATAGCCATAAAAAAGAATGGGACCAGGCTGGGTGTGATGGCTCACGCCTGTAATCCCAGCACTTTGGGAGGCTGAGGCAGGTGGATTATGAGGTCAAGAGATTGAGACCATCCTGGCCAACATGGTGAAACCCTGTCTCTACTGAAAGTACAAAATTAGCTGGGCATGGTGGTGCATGCCTGTAGTCCCAGCTACTTGGGAAGCTGAGGCAGGAGAATCGCTTGGAGGTTGCAGTAAGCCAAGAATGCGCCACTGCACTCCAGTCTGATGACAGAGTGAGACTCTGTCTCAAAAAACAAAAACAAACAAAAAAAAAATGAGAACATACCTTTTGCAGTAATGTGGATGGAGCTGTGGGCCATTATCTATTATCCTCAGTGAATTAACACAGGAACAAAAAAACAAATAACACATGTTCTCCCCGGGAGCTATTAAGTACACATACACTCAAAAAATGACCAATAGACACTGGGGCCTACATGAGGGTGAAGGGTGGGAGGAGAGTGAGTATTAAAAAACTATCTATTAGATATTATGCTGATTACCTGGAAGACAAAATATCTCCATACCAAAGCCCACAATGTGCAATTTACCCATGTGACGAATCTGCACATGTGCTCCTTGAACTTAAAATAAAAATTGGAAAGAAAAAAAAAGTATTGCTAAGAAGAAAGGATTTATCCATAGTGGAAAAGGAGTATCTGTCATAATTTGGACCATTGATAAACTGAAATAAATGAATGGGTTCAGTAGTTTACTGTTCAAATCTATCTAAAAGTTCTGGCCTAACTGAGTTCTATGGGAAAAAGATGCTGAGATTTAAAAACTTGTCCTATAGAAATCCACCTTCGATGTGGGGCACCACAAAGATTGAGCCAACTAAGACACAGATGAGCTCTTCCCCACTTTCAGCACAATTAAGCGCATGCACACCTCTGTAAGAGTGTATACAAAGAAGAGGTGTTAAAAAACACACAGTATTTTTTTAACTCTAAAGTGAGTAATGTGTACACAAGATTTTTTGTTTTGTTTTGATTTTAGGGCTGTGACAATTGAGATGGTGGGTCACTTTCTTAAAAATGAAAAGTACATAGTTGAGTCAAGTGATCATATGAATGGTCCAGAGCCAGGAAGGGGCATTTTCCAACATGGAGTTAAGTGTGACTTAAAGGAGGGGTGGAAATCAAGAAAGAATTGGAGAGCTATGATGAAAATGATTGGTGAATTCCACTTTCTGCCTAAAAATATTTTGAAAGCAGAAATCCATATATGTTTTTAGTCACAATCATATAAACTTTAAAAACTGTCTTAACCTGTGTAACTCCTTGATGTGTATTATTTTTATAATTACCTGCTGAGTTCCTTGTATTGATTAGCAGTAAAAGCTTTGACAACCCTGATTAACTAGAGATAATAATATTGAAAGTTAAAGCATTATTGATTACATGACTTTCAGGCAGTATCTAATTTAATTTTGAAAACTACCTTATTAGATACATATTATTACTATTTCTGGAAAAAATTCATGACATTAAGGAAAGCTAGGTAACTAGCTCAAAGTCACAGAGAGTGGTTGGCCTTAATGCAAATAGAAGCCTTTCTTTTTTTAATTCCAAAATCTAAGCTGTCAGTGCTATGCCTTCTGTGCAAACCTTAAGTCTTGAGTTCGAATCCTCCCTCTACCACTCTTGCAAATATGAATAAATTATTTGGCTTCTCTGAGGTACATTTTCTTCCAAGTAATGCACCCAATTTGAGGCCTCATCTATTCAAAACACCCATATCTGTCCTGGACCTCCAGAACTAGTTTCTTTTTTTCCTAAAATGTTCGTCTTTGGAAGAAGAAAGGCAAAGGGGAACACTCTAGAGAAACACCACTTTCTTTACATTGAAGCCAGGTTTAAGGGTGAAACTCTCAAAGGACACAAAGTTTGTTGACTCGTTAGGAAAAGACAAAGTCAGAGGAGGCTAGAAAAGTGGCTCTTAGACTAAACATCAGAATAGCAGTGGGGTCCCTCTAAATGTGTATGACCTCATGATTCTGCCCTCAGTCTTCTTTTGCTTTGAGCTGTTTCTTGGAGCAATCGACAACACCTTGTAAGCCTGTTGAGAGGGCTATTGTGAAGATGGCAGTGCAGACCAGGAGGACGTAAGTATGATTCTAATATTGTCTTTTGGTAATCAGACTAGGAACTCCCTATAAAAAGCAGAATTATAGCCCCAGAAGTGTTTCCATGGTAATGATGTTAAAGGGATGACATAAAAGCAAAGCCCAGCATACCATCAAGAAGAAAAAGTGAAAAGATACAAATCCAGACACTATAGTTAGCTTTCTTTCTTTTTACAGTGAGTATGAATGTGGTAGGTGCTCATTAAATATTTATTAAATTGAATTGAAAATAATATTGTGACTGCCATTGTTTTTTCAGTAATCTGTGTGAGATAATTGAATCAATGACAGAAAGCATAAGGAAGGTATTTTGCATATAGTAAGATCCTGTATAAATGGAAGTGGCTTTAAAAAACGTAATTAAACCAGGCTTTTTCGAGTACTAAGCAAGCATGTACTAAGTACTGAAGATGCAAATACTAATAAATTCTTAGTTCTAGAATAAATAAATATTATGAAAAAGGAAGTGTCAGAAAAAAAGTTGTCTTGGAAATGGGTAAACGATTGCCAAAAAAAAAAATCAACTTGCAAATGGCAAATGAGTTTCCTGTGAGTCCTTTCAGTGGAACACTGAACATTGTCTACCAAACTCTCTGGGGTTATCTGTTACTATAAGCTTGTGCACCTTTGATTGTCTTTATTGACTAGGCTATTTTACAACTCTATAGGGACGGAAGCTGCGTGGTAGCAAACTGATAACAATGAAAATCTTTCTTGTCCATAGAAATGCAAATGAATTTTGTCCAGTAGAGAATTAAAATCTCTGTAAGACATTTTCATTTGAATCAGTTTTAACATTTTTCTTGTTTCCTCACTAATTAATGAGCTAAATAAAATCTCTGATAGATATTCATTTTATATTTGATGAGAGTCATGATTTTACCATCTTGAAAATTATCTTTTCACAGAAGGGAATTACTAAGTGCCTCTTAGGTGCCTGGTATTAAACTTGCCAATGTCTTTTATGCTACCTCATTGAATATTCAAGGCAATTCCACAAGGTGGGAAGACTTTCTTGTAGAGTCCTTGTGTACTGATAAGAGCTCTGAGTTTCAGGAGGAAAAGGTAGGTTAACAAATATTTATGAAACAACATGAGAAGTTCTCTACAAAGATTTAAGGGGGATCCTAAATAGCCATGATTGGTAGAAGTGAACTGAAATTATTGGCTTATTAAACATATGAAATGCTTGAATATATATTTTAATATTAGCATACAGTGTTTTATTATAATCTACATTTAAAACAATTTTATTATGTTATACTTATGTTTGAGAATTAAATTCAGTTTTTTATAAACCGGTAATGTACATTTCAGAAACTTAAAAATGAAATTTGTAACATGCTACTATGCTGATTTTACTCTGAACCTCTTTATTGATATATGAGTTATTTTTTCTTTCTGAGGTAAATAAATTACATTTTATAAAGTATACTGCCTTTTTTTTCACTTAGACGATTAAAAAGCAAAACAAGAAGTAGAAAAACAAGAAGAGAACATTTACCTATTTGTTTGAAAGCCAGAAAATACTAAAAAAAAATAGTGAATTGACTAGGAAATCAAAGTGAAGGAAATACTAGTATTACGTGAAGAATTAAGAAAATGGGATATCTTAGAATTTTGATGCATTTTTTGCAAAAGAATAATGAATCCTATTCTTTCCCTAGAGGAGGTATTCATAAACCATTGCCTTACCTGTTTTTACACATTTTTTTGACTCCCTGACCCCACTCTCAGATTCTTTGCTTATCATGGCCATAACTGTAAGCAAACAACTTTTTCCCCTCCATGATTTAGAAATGGACATTCAGCTACAGCAAGAAGAACAAGCACAATAGGGACAGCAAGCAGTATGAGCTTTATTCACATCTCATTCTGGAGAACTAAGATTAGTGGAAGGTAGGGTCAAAAATGTCCAACCCTGTATAATCCCAGATTTGGTGTTTCTTCATGATGTAGCCAAGATCAAATAAACCTAGTTTCTCCTACAAGTGGCCTTTAGAGTCTCCATTATTATTGAGATGAAATAATGGTGTCCTGTGGGACAACAAATGAGTTCTAGAGTTAGATGGACTTGGGATTGAATTCTGGCTCTGTCTTTTATTAGCTGTCTCAACTTTGCTAAGTTTTCTAACACACCAGAACCTATTTCTTTAGCTGCAATATTAGTATGATAATATGTCCTTCATGGGGATGTTGTGAAGGTAGATTGAACAATGCCATATATTGTAATTAACCTATAATTGATTATTAATATTGGTAACTATTATAAATACAATATAAAAATCAGGTACAATCCTGCTAGAAACAGTTTCATTACATTTCAGTGATCAAATACTTTTGTTTGATGTGGTATTTGGACCTCAGTAATTATAGAACCTATCAAAGCATTCTTAAATAATTCAGAGGTAGTTTATTTTACTTTCTGGCTATGAAAATAAACCTCCACACATGAAAAGCTAAAGTAAGTATGAAATTAAGGTGGCTTATACATGGAACCCCAACATTTCGGGAGGCTGAGGCAGGATGATTACTTGAGGCCAGGAGTTAGATACCATCCTGGGCAGAATAATAAGATCCCATCTTGACAAAAAAATAAAATAAAAAAATTAGCCAGATGTGGTGGCCCTCACTTGCAGTCTCAGCTACTCAAGAGGCTGAGGCAGGAGGATTGCTTGAGTCCAGGAGTGTAAGGCTGTTATGACCTATGATCATACCACTGCACTCCAGCCTGGGCAACAGAGTGAGACCCTATCTGTAAATTTTAAAAAAAGAAAAAGAAATTAAGGAAGTCAGCATGGCCATGTATTGGGCCAGAATTAGTATTATAGGCATTTATTTCATCATCTTAGCCTTTCAACATTTCTGTCTTTTGACAGTACTTCAAGCACAAAGTTTGTGTCCTTAATGTAGCTATGCTTTAGAAATCAGCTCTATGGGGCACAGAATCAAAAAGAAATGTATCTGCAGTACAAATGGAGCAAATTGTTTCATGCAAAATTGAATAATAAAGAATACTACTTATATGAAGTAGTGTGAAGATAGTGGGACATATTCAAATTTTGCACTGATAATTTTCACCAAAATTAATACCTCAACGGATGATGTTTATATAGGTGTATTTCACTGGCCTAAGGTAGAATTTCAGGGTAGGAAGATACATGCCAGAAAGAAATAATTTAGTACTGATTGTTAATTTTTTGTGTGTGTCCCTTTTGCATAGGTAGATGAATATCAGCTCTCGATATTTTCCCCTCCTGATCTTCTAAACAATGACCTCTATAACCTGAAAGAAAATTAGTAGTGTGCAGGAAAAACATTTTTTAATGATCCTGAAAAAAGGTTAATTACCTTCACAACTAGAAACTGTTCATTTCTTCCCCAAACCTCTTCTTAATTCCCTTTGCTGCTCTACCTTATTTGTCAGATATTTATATCTCAAATGATTATTTTATTCCCTAAAAGAATGGGGCCTTTCTTGGTTTAGACTTTGCAGAGCTTTCGTTTATTTTATCGTACAAAATAAAATCCATGACATTTGCAAAGTACATTGATATTCTTTTCATATTTACCTTAAATATGAAGATTCATTTAAAGATATCTGTAAAAAGTGCACCCTGCTATGTTTCACTAAATAAATGTTATTCAATTAATGTAAATAATATCTTATTTTTAAGGATAAAGCTTTTTAAAATTTCATACATCTAATTATTTATCCATTTTTTAAAATTTTTAAATTTATTTATTTATTTTATTTTTTAGAGACAGAGTCTCTTTCTGTTGGTCAGGCTGGGGTGCAGTGGCTTGATCCTAGCTCACTGCAGCCTCAAATTCCTGGGCTCAAGTAATCCTCCCATTTCAGCCTCCCCAAGAGCTGGGATTACAGGAACCTGCTACACCCGGCTTGGTTTTGAAATCCTGGCTTCAAGTGATCCTCCCGTCTTGGCCTCCCAAAGTGCTGTGATGACAGATGTGAGCCACCATGCTTGGCCTGTTTATCCTTAAACTGCTTTTGAAAAATCTTGATTTTAATGGGAATTTTTAACATTATAGGAGCTCCTAGTAGCAGTATTTTAAAGACAATGAAACTTTCAAACTATATATATTTATCAACAAAATGTACTCTAAGCAGTTTTACCAGTAAAGTAATTTGAGCAATAAGTCTCTGACTCCACATGCAAACCACATTTTCTACCTTTTGGCTGCCAAAAAAAATGAATATGGCTTTTGGCTTGGAATTCATTTAAACTTCATTTTCCCCTTTGTTTCAAATTTGTATTTCTTCTCTTCTCAAGAGCATTTTCTATACAAAATTTTTCTATCTAAACTTGCATGTGTTTTACCCAGTTAGCTTCATGAACAATGATTATTTCTTCATCACATTAAAAAAAATGAATTAAAAGGTAAGACTCTATAAATCAATTAGTTCTGGATACTACATAATATCAACCATACAACTTTCTGTGGGTTTGAAAAACCCAGATGTTGACATCATAAGGGCAATACCTGTAGAAAATTGACTGTATCTTTCAGTTTTAGTATTTCACTCTCATCCATGTGAAGAGACCATCAAACAGGCTTTGTGTGAGCAATAAAGCTGTTTATTTCACCTGGGTGCAGGTGGGCTGAGTCCAAAAAGAGAGTCAGCGAAGGGAAATAGGGGTGGGGCCGTTTTATAGGATTTGGGTAGATAAAGGAAAATTACAGTCAAAGGGGGGTGTTCTCTGGCCGGCAGAGTGGGGGTCACAAGGTACTCAGTGGGGGAGCTTTTGAGCCGGGATGAGCCAGGAGAAGGAATTTCACAAGACAATGTCATCAGTTAAGGCAGGAACAGGACATTTTCACTTCTTTTGTGGTGGAATGTCAGCAGTTAAGGCAGGAACCAGCCATCTGGATGTGTACCTGCAGGTCACAGGGTATGTGATGGCTTAGCTTGGGCTCAGAGGCCTGACATTCCTGTCTTCTTATATTAATAAGAACAATAAAATGAAATAGTGGTAAAGTGTTGGGACAGTGAAAATTTTTTGGTGGTATGGAGAGATAATGGGTGATGTTTCTCAGGGCTGCTTCGAGCGGGATTAGGGGCGGCGTGGGAACCTAGAGTGGGAGAGATTAAGCTGAAGGAAAATTTTGTGGCAAGGGGTGATATTGTGGGGCTGTTAGAAGAAACATTTGTTATTTAGAATTATTGGTGTTGGCCTGGATACAGTTTTGTATGAATTGAAAAACTAAACAGAATAAGAGAAGGAGAAAAACAGGTATTAAAGGACTCAGAATTGGGAGGACCTACGACATCTAATTAGAGAGTGCCTAAGGTGGTTCAGCATAGCCTTGCCAGTAAAGATTATTTATTTACTTTAAGAGTTAAGAGTGGCGGTTTGGGGATAGCACCAGGAGATATCAGCTGTGCTGGCTTGGAGAAACAGTGTAAACTGGCAGTGTAAACAAGAGCAGGGCATGTATGAGTAGTTGAGAACGGTGAATAGGAGTATGACTAGACAGAAGATAGTAGGGATGACAAGTTTTTTGGGGCACAGTCCAAGTTGGTCTGGTGTCTGGAATGAGACTGGGGCCTAATAAAAAAAGGAGCTCAAATGGGCTGTACCCTGTAGCATTCCGAGGACAGGCCTGAGTTCTGAGAAGTGAAAGTGGTAAAAGTATTGTCCAGTCCTTTTTAAGTTGGTGACTGAGCTTGGTGAGGTGTGTTTTTAAAAGACCTTTAGTCCATTCTACTTTTCCTGAAGACGGAGGACCATAAGGGATATAAAGGTTTCACTGAATACTAAGAGCCTGAAAAACTGCTTGGCTGATTTGACTAATAAAGGCTCGTCTGTTATCAGACTGTATTGAGGTGGGAAGGCTAAACTGAGGAATTGTGTCTGACAGAAGGGAAGAAATGACTGCGGTGGCCTTCTCAGACCCTGTAGGAAAGGCCTGTACCTATCCAGTGAAAGTGTCTACCTAGACTAAGAGGTATTTTAGTTATCTGACTCGGGGCATGTTGAGTAAAGCTAATTTGCCAGTCCTGGGTAGGGGCAAATCCTCGAGCTTGATGTGTAAGGAAGGGAGGGGGCCTGAATAATCCCTGAGGAGTAGTAGAATAGCAGATGGAACACTGAGAAGTTATTTCCTTGAGGACAGATTTCCACGATGGAAAGAAAATGAGAGGTTCTAAGAGGGGGGCTAGTGGCTTGTACTATAGCATAGCCTGCCTTTGCTGGTGTGTGGCGATTAGGCCTGGTGGAACTGCCATCAATAAATCAAGCGTGATCAGGGTGAGGAACAGGAAAGAAGGAAATATGGGGAAATGTGGTGAATGTCAGGTGGATCAGAGAGATACAGTCATGGAGGTCAGGTGTGGTATCAGGAATAATGTGGGAGGCCAGATTGAAGTCCGGGCCAGGAACAATGGTAATTGTGGGAGTTAACAAAGAGTGAGTATAGCTGAAGGAGCCAGGAAGCCGAAAGTATATGCGTCAGGTATGAGGAAGAAAATAGATTTTGGAAGTTATGAGAAATGTAGAGAGTAAGTTGAGCATAGTTTGTGATTTTTAGGGCCTCTAAAAGTATTAGGGTGGCAGCAGCCACGCACGCAGACATGAGGGCTAGGCTAAAACAGTAAGGTCAAGTTGTTTGGACAGAAAGGCTACAGGGTGCGGTCCTGGCTCTTGTGTAAGAATTCTGACCGCACAAACCATGCCTAGGAAGGAAAGGAGTTGTTGTTTTGTAAGGGATTGAGGTTTGGGAGATTAATTGGACATCAGCAGGGAGAGCACGTGTGTTTTTATGAGAATTATGCTGAGATAGGTAACAGATAAGGAATAAATTTGGGCTTGACTGAAGTAATGGGGGCTGTCTGTGAAACTTTGCGGCAGTACAGCCCAGGTAATTTCCTGAGCCTGATGGGTGTCAGGGTCAGTCCAGGTGAAAGCGAAGAGAGGCTGGGATGATGGGTGCAAAGGAATAGTAAAGAAAGCAGGTTTGAGATCCAGCACAGAATAATGGATTGTGGAGGGAGGTATTGAGGATAGGAGAGTATATGGGTTTGGCACCATGGGGTGGATAGGCAAAACAATTTGGTTGATAAGGCATAGATCCTGAACTAACTTGGAAGGCTTGTCTGGTTTTAGGACAGGTATAATGGGGGAATTGTAAGGAGAGTTTATAGGCTTTAAAAGGCCATGCTGTAGCAGGTGAGTGATAACAGGCTTTAATCCTTTCAAAGCATGGTGTGGGATGGGATATTGGCATTGAGCGGGGTAAGGGTGATTAGGTTTTAATGAGATAGTAAGGGGTGCATGATCGGTCGCCAAGGAGGGAGTAGAGGTATCTTATTCTTGTGGGTTAAGGTGGGAGAATACAAGAGGAGGACGCAAAGGAGGCTTTGGATTGGGAAGAAGGGCAGCAATGAGATGTAGCTGTAATACAGGAATAGTCAGGGAAGCAGATAATTTAGTTAAAGTGTCTCGGCCTAATAAGGGAACTGGGCAGGTGGGGATAACTAAAAGGAGTGCTTAGAAGAGTATTGTCTAAGTTGGAACCAGAGTTGGGGAGTTTTAAGAGGTTTAGAAGCCTGGCCGTCAATACCCACAACAGTTATGGAGGCAAGGGAAACAGGCCCTTGAAAAGAAGGTAATGTGGAGTGGGTAGGCTCCGTATTGATTAAGAAGGGGACGGGCTTAGCTTCCACCGTGAGAGTTACCCGAAGCTCGGCGTCCGTGATGGCCTAGGGGGCTTCCGAGGTGATCGGGCAGAGTCAGTCTTCAGCCGCTAAGCCAAGAAGATCTGGGAAGCCGTCAGAGAGCCTTGGGCCAGAGTTCCAGGGGCTCTGGGAGTGGCTGCCAGGTGAGTTGGACAGTCCGATTTCCAGTGGGGTCCCGCACAGATGGGACGTGGCTTAGGAGGAATCCCGGGCTGCAGGCATTCCTTGGCCTGGTGGCCAGATTTCTGGCACTTGTAGCAAGCTCCTGGGGGAGGATGTTCTGGAGGAAGGCCTGGCCGCTGTGGTTCAGGCGTTTGGAAGTTCTTGTGTGCTGGAGATGTGGCTGGGGTTTGTCTCACAGTGGAGGCAAGGAATTGCAACTTTTTTCTATTATTGTACACCTTGAAGGTGAGGTTAATTAAATCCTGTTGAGGGGTTTAAGGGCCGGAATTTAATTTTTGGAGTTTTATTTAATGTCGGGAGCAGATTGGGTAATAAAATGTATTTTGAGAATAAGACGGCCTTTTGACCTTTTAGGGTCTAGGGCTGTAAAGTGTCTCAGGGTTGCTGCCAAACAAGTCATGAACTGGGCTGGATTTTTATATTTGATGAAAAAGAGCCTAAACGCTATCTGATTTGGGATAAAGAAAAAGGAGCATTAACCTTGACTATGCCTTTAGCTCCAGCCACCTTTTTAAGAGTAAATTGCTGGGCAGGTGGGGGAGGGCTGGTCACGGAACGAAACTGTAAGCCGGACCAGGTGTGAGGAGGGGAGGTGATAAAAGGATTATAGGGTGGAGGAGCAGAGGCTGAGGAAGAATTGGGACGTAGCTCGGCCTGGCGAGGAGCAGCCTGGGGAGGAGGGGAGAGGTCAGATGGGTCTGTAGAAATGGAAGATTAGAAAGACTCAGCGACCCTTGGGGTTGGGACTGAGGGGACGGGTGGGAGGGAAAGAAGGAAGATTTGGGATGAGTTGCATTGGGAACAGAGACTAGAGAGGGACCGACGTGTAAAAGAATGCCTGGACGTCAGGCACCTCAGACCATTTACCCATCTTACAACAAGAATTATTTAGATCTTGCAGGATGGAAAAATTGAAAGTGCCGTTTTCTGGCTATTTGGAACTACTGTCGAGTTTGTATTGCGGTCAGGTGGCATTGCGGAAGAAAATAAGATGCTGAGAGTTTAGGTCAGGTGAGAGCTGAAGAGGTTTTAAGTTCTTAAGAACACAGGCTAAGGGAGAAGGAGCAATGGAGGGTGGAAGGTTGCCCACAGTGAAGGAGGCAAGCCCAGAGAAAAGAGAGAGTAGAGAAACGGAGGGAAGGGGTTTGGGGGTTCTTACCCTCCAGAAAAGCGGGAGAGGTAGGGGCACGGAAATAAGGGATCGGGGCACAGAGATATAAGAGGTTGGGGTGTGGAAATAAGGGATCAGGGCACAGAGATATGAGGTTGGGGTACTTTCCCCTCCCCTAGAAAAGCGGGACTTGCCTCTAAGGGTGAAGGACCAAGACAGGCGTCCCTGCGTGGTCTGACACCTCTGAAACATGGGTGAATAATCAGAGAGGCGTCCCTGAAATGATTAAACACCAAGGGAAGGCTGCCTTCCCAGTCCGTGACCAGCACTGGAGTTTTGGGTCCACGGATAAAACGCGTCTCCTTTGTCTCTACCAGAAAATGAAAGGAATTGAAATTAAAAGAAGGGAGAGATTGAAGTGTGGTGCCAAGATTGAAAGGAGAAAGAGGTTGAGGGATAGTAAGTGAGGTTGGAGGAGAGAGTAAAAAGAGGCCACTTACCATACTTGAAATTGGTGAGACGTTTCTTGGGCTGGTCAGTCTGAGGACCTGAGGTTGTAGGTGGATCTTTCTCACGGAGCAAAGAACAGGAGGACAGGGGATTGATGTCCCAAGGGAGGTCCCCCGATCCAAGTCACAGCACCAAATTTCACTCGTGTCTGTGTGAAGAGACCACCAAACAGGCTTTCTGTGAGCAATAAAGCTGTTTATTTCCCCTGGGTGCAGGTGTGCTGGGTCCAAAAAGAGAGTCAGGGAAGGGAGATAGGGGTGGGGCCGTTTTATAGGATTTGGGTAGGTAAATCCTACCCAATCCAGTCAAAGGGGGGGTTGTTCTCTGGCGGGCAGAGTGGGGGTTACAAGTTACTCAGTGGGGGAGCTTTTGAGCCAGGATGAGCCAGGAGAAGGAATTTCACAAGACAATGTCATCAGTTGAGGCAGGAACAGGACATTTTCACTTCTTTTGTGGTGGAATGTCAGCAGTTAAGGCAGGAACCAGCCGTCTGGATGTGTACATGCAGGTCACAGGGGACATGATGGCTTAGCCTGGGCTCAGAGGCCTGACATAGTATAATTTCCACCATCGATTCATCAATCAATTAGCACCAATCAGTTAATCAATCATCATCATCAGTAATTGTTCTTAAATATGTATTGAGCACAAATCATGTTATGACATTACCTTAGAAATTAAGTAAATCTATTGGTGTAAAAATGAGTTATTTTTAATGGCAGCTTATGGTTGACTTGGGGAGGCTCGATATATTGATAAAAAAATGAATTTAAGATAATGTATGATACAGAACAGAAAATGTGTTCTGTGATAGTTCACAGGCAGGAGCGTTTGAGGAGATAGTTCTCCATGAGTCTATCATATTACTGCACAAGCAGAGGCACTGATTCCTTTTGTTCCAGATTATCTCTTATGGATGTTTGTATAACAAGCAGCTTAGAATGTATGGTGTGTCCCTCAGAGTAAAGGGTAGATTTGTGGGCTGCCTAGTGTGATAAAGATAATGTTTCCCTCTAGGAAAAGATTAGGCAGATTTGCTTCCAGTCCATTACAGAAACTCAAGGTTTTCTAAACTCAGGGTTCCTCAGCTCTGATGCAAACCCTCTGCGTGCAAAGCTTCCACAGGAACCATTTTATGTCATTCTGTAGGATTTGAGTAAGAAGGGAGCTGACACAAACATGAAGCTCATAGTGCTTTCTGTGCCATGAGGAGTAAAATCCTATGTCTCTGACCCAAGAGTGTTTTGTTTTCTGCCAGTACATATGAAATTGTGGCAGACTGACTTACTAGTTTGCAAGTAGGCTAAAATTTCAGCCCTTTCACAATTCCTTACAGAGGTTTGTTTTGGAGGAAAGAATCTCAACGTTTAGATTATATAAGTGTAAATAAATTCTTCCCAGGTTTTGGCACATTCCTAGTCATGGACAACTTTTAATTATCTAGAATTTAGAACTCCATCAAACCCCAAATAAAAATGAAGGAGTGTGGTGTAGGTAAAAGGTGTAATTCACAAATTTGTTTGTTGAGGGTGAATGTAACAGGACACACATATGTGAAAGAAAGAGGGGTTGGAAAAGTTGAGTAATTTCAAAATTATGTTTGATTTGCTATTTGACTTGTGTTACTTGAGTAAAAGCCATGATGATAAACCCCTTAATTTTTGCCCAAAACGTTGTATAGATGGTAATTTTTCAGTTGAAAATCCTTATTGTAAATTATATTATTTCTCCATATGTTTATTCTCTAATTTGATTTTTGGCAAGCAGTGTTAGTTATCCTCATCTTGTTTCTGTACAGAAATGTATATAGCATAGCTTTGAAATTATGGCTACCAAATGGAAGATAGCTTCCTATTAAGAGATTTGATCATGGGCATGCTTATGTTCAATAAAAGTTATCAAAATCATGATCATAATTAGGAAATTTGATTCTCCTCATGTACAGCACGTTATGAATTATGCGGAGTTATTTTTGAACCACAATGCAACACTAAATTAGGTTCCTCTTTCTTTAAAAAAATTAAAGAATAATCAGTTACTATTCTCTCCTCATTTCTAATTTCTACAATGGTGCCTTGATTGTAAACCTACAGAAATCATGTCTTTTTTCTCCCCCTATTTTCTGTTTTAATATCACTTCACATCCGTTTCACTTTTTCTCTGGGGCTCGTTTATGAAGCCCACTGGCACTGGTAATGATTCTTCATGGTGGAACCCAGCAAATGCTGTTGCCATTTCTCTTAAGCCAGACTAGTCTTGCAAACATACTGACTCCATTTAGTGAAAATAAAAGGGGATAGAACAGAAAGAGGAGATCATGCGTATCTTAAAATAACAACAGCCATATGACAGTTTCAGGCCTGTGTTTGGAGAGAATTTGCATATATCCCATTAAGCCTGCCTGAGCTCCACTTTCAAATTTTGATGTTGCCAGTCAATTTGCAGAGGTCAACAATATCTTTTCCTAAATGCAAGTTTTCTTATAATTGCACCTCAATAACTGACAACTGGCCCTGACAAAAAGACAAGAAAGACAAGTGTTTGTTGCAAGAAAACATCAATATACAGCGTTTTGTAGACAGGACTACTCTGGAGAGACTCTGCTATATTTGGACCATTAGCATCAAGTCAAGGTTTCAAATGATAAATTCAATTAGAGTGGAGTTGACTAAGTGATCTAAAATAGTGTGCATTAGGAGCAATGTACAAGCATGGAGTTCATTAAATAGCAGTATCAGTGTGATCACCTTTTAGTAACATAATCAATTTACTGGTCTTTGAATAGTAGCAGTGGTCAGACTAAATTAAATTTAATGTACATTGACCAAGTGATTTACAGTATCTAGATTTACAGTATCTCAGAATAAAGAATGATGACTTTCAAGCATTCCAGGAACGAAGGGAGGAATAAATTATAATATGGGCCAAGTAAGGTGAGAAAACTTATCTTTTGTTTGCTTCCAAGTTTTACAATAGTTCTTTTTCTGAAGTCTGCAAAAAAAATGTCAGACTAATTGGAATCCTGTGAACCCCACAGATACTACAGACTTGAGTGCTGCATTGACAAATCGGTATTCCATTTAAATTCCCATCAAAGCCTTTGAGGTTTATATTCCTGAATTCCTAATGACAGGTGCTATGCAATCAGCACTATTACCATATGCTGGAAATAGGCATTGTAGCTTAATAAGGAAAGCTTGAAGATTCAAAGACGGGACAAGCAAAACAGTCTGAATTTATTACAAGCACATCCAAATCCTTCATCTTTCAACTTTTTTCTTAAAATATGATATATGAATAAAAGAATAGTAACAAAGATCTTATCTGAGTGGTGGCCACATGTGTCATATTCAGATATATTTTTCCACAGCCTACATTTTGTCCCCAGAGAGCTGTTGTCTATTTGTATAAGATTTGCCAATAACCATCACAGCCATGTCCAATATTCTATACTTGTACTCCAAGTGTCTGGCTTGTTGATGATTTGGGGGGAAAAAATTAGAGGACCAGTGGAAATCTGTTTGATGTGTTTATGCTCCACATGCTCTTTAGAATAAATCAGCTTCCTATATTTTAACAGCAATTGGTACTATTCAGGGTTAGAACAGGTTGTATACCAGAAATTCTAAACTATAATAGATACAGCGGTTGCTACCAAATAAAATAAGATACGTCTTCAATGGAGAACACTTTTTTAAAGTACCCAGGTTTTACATATATTCTTTAAAATTCCTTTACTACACTTCAATTCCTGCCAGAATTGACTGCTATTCTGTTAGGCAGGGCTAGGGGGTGCTATAACCTTACAGCTGAATGAAATCTGCACCCCAGTGTTGAAAACAAGATATTTTATCAGCCTCAGATCAGAAAAGGTAGGATGTACATGTGTTTGGACAAGCGTGCACACATAGGTTTCTATCCACTTTGGTAAGGTATGAGAAAGAAGAAATTTGAGTAAGAATATTTGCAACTGTTGATTTTTACATAGAATATGTTGGTGCTTCAAATCATTCTAAGTTTTAAAACGTGAATTTTGCATTTTAGTTAAATTATTGAGATTATTTTTTCTTAAGTAAATATTTTTATCTTTCTCCAAATTTTAAGAAAGAGATTCTAGAGGATAATTGAAATTCTGGATAGGCAATTATGCTAATTAAGAATTTTATTATATAATGTTTTTTATTAAGCCAATTGTGTTTCAGGTCAACCTAAGAATATTGTATTTTAGAAAGTAGCAAAAAAGCCAATTCCATCATTTAATTTACTAATTTTCTCACACTTTAGAAAATTAAATATTTTTGGTAAAGAACAAGATTTTCTTAAGTTAGAAAACAGTGTAAGTAATATTGAGCCACTATCATTATTGCTTTTCCTTCTTTAGAAGTATTGAGGATATTTTGGAATTTTTTATATTTTTATTGCAACTTTCTTTTGAATGAGACTTTCCCTAACTAATTAGTAATTAAGTAAAGAAGAGATTTTCTACTCTCTCTCTCTCTTTTTTTTTTTGAGACAGGGTCTCACTCTGCTGTCCCTGCTGGAGTGCAGTAGTTTGATCTCGGTTCACCACAACCTCCACCTCCCTGGCTCAAGTGATTCTCCTGCCTCAGCCTCCCGAGGAGCTGGGATTACAGGCACCCACCACCACACCTGGCTAATTTTTGTATTTTTAGTAGAGAAGGGTTTCACCATGTTAGCCAGGCTGGTCTTGAACTCCTGACCTCAAGTGATCCACTTGCCTTGGCCTCCCAAAATGCTGGGATTACATGCGTGAGCCACCACACCAGGCAGAAGAGATTTTCAAAAAGAACCTTTATATAAAATGTCTTTATATGTAATGTATTTTGTAAGACTCAGATTTACTGTCTTTAGAAGCTGGAATCATAGTGATTTCTTTTTGGCATATTTGGTTTCTTGATAAGCTATTTTTTAAAGGAAATTTTAAATAATGCAATCATGTCATGTCGTTTGAATCCTCCCTATCTTCTAACTTTTGAAGACAACCTGAAACAGGAGATTGGTGAGGAATAAAGCACTTGTGAATTTGGTTAAATTAATTTCAGAAAAATGTGTTAAATCCTACAATGCCTAGCACTATGATAGACCCTACAAATATGGGATGAATGAAAGTGAGGGCCTGTCAGTGGGAAGCTTGGTCCAATCTTTTCTTCATTATGAAGATGGAATATGGACCCCAGATTGGTTTGATTTCATGAACATAGAGAAAAGCCTCCACCTAGTTACTTTACTTGGCCTTTAAATAAGTTACACAGTTTGAAACACCTTTGCTATGTAGGAAAGATGTGAATTGATCTTTGTCTGAAAAGCATACTTTGTACTTCTGAGAAGAATGCTGTTTTTTACATCATCAATTATTTTCACTTATGGGGAGGCCTTCCTTAGGTCCCGGATTTCAGAGGGCAATTAAATTTAATTAATTTGGCAAATAGTGAATGAGAACTTACAATATACCAGTCCTGGTCATCAACTATGGGGACGGGGTGGTTTCTGTCATATTGGAGCCCACATTGTAGTTGAGGAATGAAAAATTACGGAGAAAATTTACGGTATGTTTTACTCTGTGAAACAGGCTAAGTAGACGATGTGAAAATACTTCAAGGGAAAATTACCTAACCTGTATTCTCTAACATGAAAATCACAGCCAAAGAAAAAGAGACAATAAATGTGTGGGATGCAGCAGTTGGAACCACTTTAAATTAACACTAAATTCCTGATTTTATTAAGAAATACCATTAGATTACAGGTTTCTAAGTGATGAGTAGTTATGTTTTGACTGACTGACTGTAAGTAGGGGTTTTGACTTAAACAGTTTTTTTTTGTGTACCCCTTGTGGCGCTCAAAATCATTGTGTATAAAAGACATCAATGAAGTGTTTTTCTACTGATTATTTGTTACTGAAATAATGATATGAAATGCTGTTTTCCTGTTACATGATTAAAATAAGCATTTAAAAGAAAATCTCAAATATATAAACCCCTTAGGGATCCAAGAATCTTAAAACTTGCTTGTCCTAATAATGAGTTAAAATGCATTGTTATTTGTGCATGGTGTTTGTGAGTGGATGTGTGTATTTATTGAACTGTGTGTGTGAAAGTGATTTAGGAGGTCAGCAAGGGCGCCCTTTCTCCTGTGCAGTCTTTACAGCTATTCAGCCCTTGCCAGTCAGAATGTGATGGATGAGTTCAGGAATTGAACTCTGACCCTCACTGGGAGAACATGGACCTTGTCAGAGGTATCTCAAAGAATTCCCATTATCCTTTCATTTTAAAGATTCTTGAAATTGCTTGTAATTCTTGCCTTAGGTAATGAAAACTTTCTTTTCAGTTTATAATAAGCTAATAGCAAAATGATGTGCATTCCAAATATCCACTCATGGCATAAAATTACTATCTGACTCAGATAATATTAATATTATAGCCAAAAAGTATTAATTGCCACTGCAACTTTTATCAAAATAATTGACCAAATTCACCTAATGGCTGTAATTTATTTGTAGCACTGAACAATTATTGGAGAAGATGAAGCCAATTGCCATAGAATAAAAATTATTCTTGTAATTTGTATACTGCATTGTTCCTGAGCACACATACAAACTCTATGTGTAATGCATAAACTCTTTAAAAAAAATTAAACACATACAAAAACACAAGCTCAGTCAGCATTAGCATTTAATTAACTGATTCCTCAAAAATAACTGGATGTTTGATTATTTGTTTCACGTCAATCCTGCTGTTGGCTGCATTTTATTTTATTATTTTTTAAAAGCCTGAATAATGAAATCCAAAACCCCACATCTAGCTCAGAGCTCCCAAAATGCCTCTAAGATAGTTGTATAGTAAAGCAACTACATCTAATTCAAGTAGGCATATTTAATCAATGGGAAAATTGTTAAGTGTCCCAAAAGAAACTATGTTAAAAAATTATTGTAAAACAACGTATATGCTGAATATACTTCAGTTCAGTTAATTTTTTTCTAAGATGTAACAATCAACTAACACTAAAATTGACAACCTTATATAAGACCATTAGGTGACATTTAAGAGCAGAATCAGCATTGCTTCTTATTTCACAGGATTTCTCAGATATTAGAATGCTTTTAGCACTATGTCTGGGGTGACCTGATTATGACAGATTTATTTTCCTTATAAATTGCTTTTAAAGATAAACAGAAGCCATTTGGGAAGAGATTTATTCTTCTCAAAATCAAAAACTCTAGCTACAAGAAAAAGCTTGCAGTTAAAATAAAAGCTGTATTTAAATATTCAACATTCAACAAAGGACATAACTAAGTTAAGTCTCTATATAATCAGAAAACATGGGATTCTACCAAAAAATTATTCATGAGGAATGGGAAGGTTAAGAGAGGAGAAATGCTTAAGTCTTACAAATTAAGCTTCAGAAACACAATTCAAGAAGGGATTGTAGCAATATGGTACCTGTTTTCACATATATTATGACATATCAAAACTTAAACATGCTTTCAGTGGTTTATTCAATATTTCATCTCCAAATAATAGTCAAAATGAAAGAATCTATTTTATGGTATTTGTTAGTTCTTCATTAATTTATCAGTTTAGTCATCCCTTTATCCACCACTCCCTTTTTCACTGCTTCCTCCTAGCACGTAGTTATAACATCTAATAGCTTTGTTTTAAATGCTAATAAAGTGTTTATTGTCATTCAGTGGTATTGCATCAGTAATATTTTCTTCAGGAATTCCAAAAAGCACAACTCTAGGTGGAGCCAAGTACGTTACGCAATCTGAGAATGGTGTTCCTCAGTGGTATTCAAGCAGAGTCACATGATAAAGCTCTGATGGATGTAATAGATGATAAGGCATAGCTCCTAGCAATTGCTAGATAAAGGCTAATTTATGATTGTGTCTCTCAACAATCCAGTTTTCCCTACCCTGACCCCTCCTCTATGTTATAACTTACAATAATGTAAGTTTATATTTGGTAAATTTCATAGTAGTAATAAAATTATTACCTCTGTACATATTTATTGGTTATCTTCTATTTGCACCTTGTTCTATATAGGTGCTAATGTGTTTGGTGGGTCGCCCTTTCATTCTCACATGGCCAATATTTTCCCCATCAAAATTACCTAGTTTCAATCCTGCCAATTCTACTTGAAAATGGTGAGATGATAAAATTGGAGGCAGGGGAAACTTTGAGTGAGGTATAGAAGGAAAAGTTTGCTGTCATTACTCTTCATGTTTGCTCTTCCAACTCTCTCCCCCAACCCCATATAGGATGGATGCCTTCTGAAACCAACATGTAATGATGTTTTCTCTTCATGTTTAAAAGATAGGATAAACTCTAATTATTTTTATTGCTCTTGGGTGGTTACACAAAGATCTATGTACCCCTTTTCCAGAACTAGACTACATTAAAAAGGAAGAAAATAATAACATCAACATGTGCTCTGTTCAAAGTCTCTCTTTAAAGATTATCCAGAAATCACAGGAATCCTTATTTCCTCTCAGAAAATATAAAGTCTTTTTCTTGTAGTGTCCTGAATAAAGTAAGAACGTTATAATTGAATGCCACAAATAAATCTGCCTCAAATGAGGGAAGAAAACTAAAATATTATATGTTACAAATATTCAAAATTTCTGGCCAAAGGCACATACTATAAATGGTCACAAGCCTTCTCCCTTTGAAGAATTCACAGAATAGCACTCAGAATTTGGCTGTGAGTAGTCAAGCTTCATGGCTATACAAACAATGCAGACACAGGGGTCTGAGTTTGGTTTAATGTTCTCCTGTAAACATTTTGAAATTCTTAATAGTTCATGAATACTGAGCCTCACATTTTTGTTTTTTACTGGGCTCTGCAAATTATGTGGCCATGGATTCTGGTGGAAGCACATTTGCATCAGTTTGGGTTCTTGAATGCTTGGAAGTCAAGAAAATTCCATCATCAGCAAAGGACTAGACTTGAAACAATTCCTTAGCAACTGAGAATTACTGCCATTGCTTTAGCTAGAGAATTAAGAGGCAAGAAATACTTCTGTTCATTCTCTGTCTCCTGGTTTTCTGAACATTCATGTTCAGGTTGAAATAACCAAAAGGAGCTCTGGTAAGAAGAAATATTTTTCATTTTGACAGATTCTGAAACAACCTTTCTCTTGGCTGTTTAGCTTTTCTGTTTGTATTCTCTCTTCTGCTTTCTCTGGAAATAGGTGAGTTTACAAAAGTGGAAAATTCACCTGATTCCTTTTTGGCCTTGCCTCTATGACTGCATCTGTGAATGCATCTATGAATTCCTTAGAAGCTTGGACTCTGGAAGCCAAATGCTTTGGTCTGGCTCCCCTTTGGGGTACTTAAAAATTTTTCTATAGAGTGTAAACTTGAAAAACTTTTTAATAATCTCTTCCTGAGATTTCTCATTGGTAAAATAGGAATAACAATAGTATATAGTATATATCTCGTTTCTTTTTATTAGACTTAAATGAGATAATGTATATTAAATATTTAACAAGTTCCTGGCACATACTAAATTATCAGTATATTTAACCATTTCTTTCTACTGTTAAGTTCAGCTTTAATGTCAGTCCTTTATGCATATATCATATTATCTAAAATTATATGCCAAAATATCTTGAAGTATTACGTTGGTAATTATTTTATCAATAAGAATTATTTCTGTTTTGCTACCAGCACTATGTAAATGTTGTTTCTCTGTTGCCTCTTCCTCCTTTATTTGAAGTCTTTTAAATAAATGAAATTTTATAGTAACTATTTTACATAAACGTTTTCTAGTAGTTTCTCTTTTTTCAGAGCTCCACATTTTTTCTTTTGCTTTTTCAAATAAAACATGTAAGAGGAAGCTAAAATATGAAAAAGTGCTT
Source organism: Homo sapiens (assembly GCF_000001405.40). Classification (NCBI taxonomy): domain Eukaryota; kingdom Metazoa; phylum Chordata; class Mammalia; order Primates; family Hominidae; genus Homo; species Homo sapiens. Next base: position 79,503,448 of record NC_000001.11, read on the forward strand.
AATATTTTTTATATTCATAGCTTAAAACTAAATATAATACTAGCTTCCATATATTAAATCAATCTACTGGTTATTTCTATGAATCATAAAAATACCATTTCACAAATTTTACTTTCAATCACAAAGAACTGATAATGTTTTCCTTGCAAAATGAGATTTACATCCTCTTTTCTCAGCAAATGAATATAGAAAATAGTGCAAGAGATTATCGTTGGCAGAGATTCATGAATAGAAGCTGGGCGTTTTTTCTCAGGGACCCCAAAGGGGAAATGTTAACAAGGAGCTATAAGGTGGCAGAGAAAGCCTAATGAAGTTCATTTCCCACCAGTCAAAGAGATGAACATTTTAGGAGGCACAGCAATCGATCAATAGGCTTATTAAATATTAACACATCTTTCTCACTTTCTTCATTAGAGTTTTTGCAGAGTAACTAAGAATGTGACTGTGCCAAAGACTTGAACTCTTTCAAGAACCAAGGTAGACATCAGCAATCAGTGTTGATATTTAATTATAATACATGATGCTTCATCTCAGAAATACCAGTAATGTCACTGGCATGGAACTCTAAAGAATAACCATGTATAATCATCCTGTCTCTTTATCCTCCACGTGCACACACACACACACACACACACACACACACACACACACATACACTTCTTGATTAAAGTCATAAAGCCATAGTCAATTGTTAAGAATAAGCACTTGGCGTATCAGAGAGCTACTAAATAAAATCCCTAGACAGTCTTTGTGATAGTTGTTTTCAAGATCTTAGATGTCTTGACAACATTACCCTTCTAAGTGCAGGTTACAAAGTTTACTCAGACTTACCTCCTGGATATTTTAGGTGAGTGTAGTGCTCAGTCTGGACATCTGCTTTTGAAAACAGTATCCTGTTTGATTTTCAAATGTATTTTGGGGGGCCTCTCCTATTGTGATTATTGTATTGTCAGAGTGTACATTTTAACCACATAGATCTCTTAAAAAACAGCAACTGATTTCTACAGGATGCTGAAATGCCTCCTTAAATACTCAGAAAAAAATGTTTCTCCCTAATGTACTTAATTTTCTTAGTTGAATGATAAATTTGTACTACCTTAAGCAATTCTTCATCACTGTATCCTTAGACCACTGTGAGGGGTATATTTGAAGACTGAGGTTAAATTATTATAGTCATAAAAATATTTCAGGCTACAAATATGCAATTCTTAGGGAAAAATAAAACTGTTTGCTGCTTCTGAATTGAACTTTCAAAATGCTGCTTTGAGAGTATATGTTCACGCTGAAATACTTTTTTTACTCTCCATTGCCCAAAGGTCAAGTCTAGGCTTCCTCTGCAGAGGGTTTCACAATCTGGACCCTTACTTTTCATTTATATCTGTTCCCCATGTCAATCAAACTGGCACACTTAATAGACTGAATTTATTTTGTTTTCTTTCACCTTTATTATTTTGCTCACTTTCCTTGATTGGAATTCCTTTCTCTTTTATGCAGATTCCAACTATCTTCATGTAACATTATTGGGAGCCTACTATCTGCAAGGCCCTATGCTTGTGATTTTATGTGGAATCTCCAAATAAATCTCTGAAACAGTGGTTTATTTTAAAGATTAAGAAACTATGGCTTGCACATACTAAATTCCTTTCCTGAGGCACAGAGCTACAAAATGACAGAGACTAGATTTAAAATACAAGTTCAGTTTTTTTTTCTTTTTTATTTCACAGTTGCCTTCAAGCCAGATAAAATTCTATCTCCTTTATAAGCCTTCTCTACTAAATCTCAAGTAATTTCCAAACTCCTAAACAAAATTGCCTGTATAATTAACTGGCAACTGTAGTCATGTAACATTTCCTTATTCTGTGACTGCCTCCTCCTCTAAATCGTATGCTTCTTAAAATGAAGAGTTCTGACTTTTTCTAACCCCCATAATATTTTGCAAAGCCTAAATTTCTTAATCTATGTATTGATAAAACAGTAAATGGCATTGTTTCAAGTTATAAAAATTTTTTCACTTCCCTAGACCTTATCCTGTTAAAATGTACAATGTCAGAGAAATGTTTCTTTTATGTGAGGATATATGTATACTCATAAATATATGCCTCTATCTAAGAGAGGGGCAAAAAAAGAGTCCTGTTTGATATTGAACATCTAGATGGTACTTGGGAGGATGATAGTGGATCCTCAAGATCCCCTTGGTCTAAGCAGTAGTACATACATCAAGCAGATTACTAGTGTAGTAGGCATAAAGAATCATTACTCATCTGCTGTAATTGTTTATTGTCAGTGGAAACAATGCCTAAGCTCAGTATTCAAGGCAATAGTTAAAGTTAGAGATTTCATGATAGTGAATCTGTCTGAGCAAGGAGTACATTCAAACTTCAGCACTGGATTTACCTCGGCATCTTTTAACCTGCCCATGTTGTATTCAGACAAAAGAGAAATGTAAAAAATAGATTAGTGGTGTACAACATTAAGCCAATGTCAGAAATATGATTTCACCAGGGAATTATACATTCATAATATCTCCTCTTTATCTCTCTAAAAGCAAGCATACTTAAAATTTCACATAGCAATATTTCATGTTTATTTTTGTAATAGAGCCTTGATAGAAACAAATGAGATATACAAGCATACATTTCTAGGAGGTAATTTTGGAAACTGGAATAGCTTAGTACAATAAATGTTTTTAGAATAAATGAATAATTGAATATAACTAGGTTAGACTTTAGTAATAGAAATTCTATACTTAATACCTTAGAGGCCATGACAACTTTTAAAGATCTGTTAAATTTAATTTAATTCAATCCAGAAATCGGTACCTTCCTGTTTGGAGCCGTAGTAATGAGTGTTCTGTAAAAGAGCCCTTGTTGCCAGAGGAACTCCTATCAACTATAGGAATATTCAGATGATATAAGTGAGAATTTTGCCGCTAATGAAAGAAATGGGTTCAAAAAGAACTGCAGAAGGCAGGCAAATGTTGCAAGAAAGGCAGTATTAATAGTGTATTAATAGTCAAATGGCAGTGCTAGAATAATAATAATTTAAGGATATTAACAATGACATTTGTATAATTGTGGTCTGGCACTACCCCTCGAATTCAGAATGATCTTGGTTAGGATAAATGCCAAGTAAACTATTTCAACTTATTTGTAAGTTGCATTTATAACATTGATCTGAAATCCATCTGCAACTGGTATTAAACTCATTTAATGCTGTGTTAGATTCATATTCTGGAAGCTAAGCACTGGTTGAAAAGAAGTGACTGGGAAAATGGTAGGTTTGGAGAAGCACTGGAATCATAACTATAGTAGCTGTGATATTGGGAAAAGTAAGCAAGATGTGCAACAGAAGACCTGGAATGGAGTTCCAAATCCAATCACTACTAATTGAGGTCCTTTAAAAGTCTTGATCCTTTATAAATTTGACTTTATTAAATTGGGATGAAAATGTTAACACCTAACTCAGGCTGTGAAACTATTTGTCAGAAAATATCTGTGAAAGTTCTATGTAGTGGTTAAAGTACACAGAATTATTAGTATACTTCGTCAATTTATGTGAAAGACTGACACAGATGCAGATTAATAGATATCTTCTTCCCTTGTACATGATCTGTTTGTTTTTTTTTTCCTTTGGACGGAGTCTCACTCTGTTGCCCAGACTGCAGTGCAGTGGTGCGATCCTGGCTTACTGCAACCTCTGCCTCCCGGGTTCAAGCGATTCTCATTCCTCAACCTCCCGAGCAGCTGGGATTACAGGCATGCGCCACCATGCCAGGCTAATTTTGTATTTTTAGTAGAAATGGGGTTTCTCCATGTTGGTTAGGCTGGTCTCAAACTTCCAACCTCAGGTGATCCGCCCTTCTCGGCTTCGCAAAGTACTGGGATTACAGGCATGAGCCACCGCGCCCGGACAATCTGTTTCTTCTTAATGAATGGCAAAAGGAAAAGTATTCTATAGGCTGATAGGCTTTGGAAAGGCCTTCTTTGCAAAAGTGCCAGTAGTTTGTTAACTTGTTATGTTTTATGTCAAACAAACTCCTACTTTTCTTCCCACCTTTGAAAGACAGAGTTCATTTGCAAATATCCCCAATTGAAGTAACGTACTAATGGCACATGAAGGTAAAAGTGACTGATGACAGATTAATCTCTGAGATAAGATTTGATAGCAATGGGTTAACTAGTCAAAAAAGCCCTACAACTTTGATATCCAAGGTGCGGAGTACCTTGACAGAGATGCAGCATTTAAAAAGGGATGAATGAGAGTGCCACAAAAATATGGAGTCACTTTAAGTAGAATTCACCCTGTGGTCAAACGATGTAGCAGATTCTTTGGCAGATCAAAGAGAAAATCTAGTTTCCTCAGATAAAGGAGCTTAAACAGTTGAGGAAACAAAAATGGGACCTCAAAATACTTTAGTCAAAGCAGAAAACATGTGAACTAAATGACTGAAAAACTATTCCTGGGGGTGGAAAGTTTAAAAAAGTCACTTTTGAGTCTAGGGAGCAAAGGCCAACAGAGAAACTGAAGAGTAAACACACCATGGTTAAGAGGGAAACTTTTGCCACTGAGTGATGCTGGTGTCAAGAGTATATTTGAAATTACCTTAGAGATCAAGGGTAGAAATTCTGTCTTGGCTAGTGGAGTCGGGAGAAAATCTCCGTGTGTAAGAGGAGAGATCAAAGTTAAAACCTCAAAGCTTCCCAGAAAACCACAGACAAAGTAGCATGTTTCTAATGCACCCTGAATGTGCATTTCCAGAGGCAACACAGAAGTTGAGGGTATTTTGTGAATATGCATTAGAAAATAACAATTATTTTAAATTATGATATTACTTGTAATATAATATTTATATATTTATATAATATAATAAGGGGGAAACAAAGCCATGAGATAAAAAGGCATTATATATTTAGGTAGGTTCAATAGATACTATACATAGTTGTATTTTTGTACTTTGATCCAATTCATACATAAAATTTAATATCTTTAAAGTGAGATAAAATTTAAGCAACTTAAATTTTAGATAATGCCAAAATTAGATTTAGATGCAAGGAATTATTTTCAATATGTTTTCACTAAATATGTAGCAGTGAATATGCATGTGAAGAGATATGTTCCACCATTTAACAGTAAATTAGGAGAAATGTGAACTTTTTCTTCAGTTGTGAAGTTCAGATCTTCCTTTTCTCATGCATGAGCACATCTCTAAGTTCTTTCATGGCAAAAATATTTGGAATATTTATTTTTTTACTATTGATTTTTAAATCTCAACTCTGCCGCAATAGCAAATGTACTTGCACAGAAAAACCAAGTGCTAATATTTGAGACCTTCAAAGAAGGATCACTTCAAATGGAAGTGATTAACATTATGGCTAACACTTTATCACTGTTTTGTGATACCAGTGTTTTGTGCCGACTATCCCAATAATAATGCTAAAAATCGCATTAATATATTGATACAGTAATAATTTATTTCAAATAAACAGAAAAAATGGTGCATAAAACTGAGAAAGATCATATTAATTTATTGTCAATATGATAACTCTGCCACATATAAAGACACCACAGATGTTTCTAGAAAATTGACACAGTGTTTAGTATTGCAGGCTTAACACTGCGATCATTACTGAGCTCACATTCAATGACTTGTTGTAACATGTATAGAACCATTAAGCTGACTTCAAATAAAAGGATGCATTTCGAGTATAATGAATATTCTGCCTTGCCCCAGTATTATTGTTCTGGATGTTTTTCTCACACAAGATCTTTATAGAGTCTTCAGCTCACATGATCTCTGTGACACTTGTTTCTTTGATTACTTTCTATTACTAAAATCCTCCCTTCAGTTTAGCCTGTCATCTACAACTAGCTCCTGAAATCTTTCTACCTCTCTGATTATCTTACTATTTAACCCTACTTGGCTTTCCTCTACCTCTGCCTATCCTTTCAATGTTGGTATTCCCCTGAAGGCACCCTTCCAACTTTTGTGTTCTATACATTCTTCTTGGTAGATCTTAGCCTCTGTCATAGCTGCAGCTACCATTTATAAACTGATGGCTTCTAAAACTTTAAACCAAACCCTATTCTTTTAAATTCAAAAATTATACTTCCAACATTTCTCACAAACCATTACCATTCAGTTTGTATCCCAAGTAATGATTCCAGCTGACACGTTTCTGGAATTTGGCTTTTACTATCTAATTACATAATTCCTGTCCTAGGCAAGTCTCTCATATGCCCCCATATGTCTTGCCTAGCCTTTTAAAAATGGCCTCCCACATACTTTTACAGTGACAACTGTTTCTCCAGACTTTAGCAAAGGTTACTTTAGGTAGAGCACACATTGAACCCTGTGATTTCTCTACTAAAAGACCTTTCATATGACTTGGTGTGTCCATGAGATAGAGTTCAAAGCCTCTGATGCGTATCAGGCAAAATCCTCTAAAATCCAGGCTTTCCAAGCTCACTGAGCCCAAATTCTCCATTACCCTATAACCAGTGGCCTCCAGATCCACTGACCTTCTTAAACTCCTTTTCTTATCATGCTCATTCACTGTTACATGCTTTTTACCTGTAGCTCTATTGGCCTTGAATGTTCTTTCTGTTTCCCATCTGGCAAATGCCTACTTACTCTTTAACTTGTCCACTTTGTGAAAACGTATTAAACTCAAGAGAATGTGTTGTTTCCTTCTCCTTTTTTTCTATGCTATTATTTTCTCTTTTGAAGCATTTTCATCATAGTATTATAATGATCTATTCACAAGCATCTTATCCATTAGAAAGTGTTGTAGTCGTGTTTACATCTTCCATTGCCTAGCACTTAATGGTTCTCTGGAGTTTCACTGTTCATAAGTAACTAAGCTGAGATTTGACTCCCAGTCTTCTAAGTCAATATCCAGACCCATTCCCATTAAAATGGATTGCCACCCTGTCTCGGGGTTCTTTTTTCCTTTTGGGCCTGTATTCTTAGTTACCCGGTATTTTTCACTCTGGCTGTGCTTGCTACTTTATCAAAACAAACTTGGATTCTAATTAATCAGGATTATACTCAGTGGTTTCATTGCCATTGTGATATTTTGGAAAAGGAAAGATGTCACAATAATTTAAATCATTCATATGTAAGCATCCAGATATAATTCACACCGTTTATTTGTGGTTACAATGCATGTGAATAGATATTTTATGCACTTTCTTTATCTGTATAATGGGTCATTTTGACAAGTCTGCAAGATGCAGACAAATTTCTTCTCCTGTGTATGTATTTTCATCCATGATATGTGACTGAATGCTTTCATTTAGGAACTGGGAAATGTTGGGATTGCTAGCAGCTGAAGAAGAAACACTTAGGGATGAGTGAAAGGGATAAAAATGAAGGGAGAGTAGCCTGATGCCTATACTTTATCTGGCCTCTTTAATTGAGTTTGAGTAATATTGGATAAAGATTAGAATATGGTGAAAATTTTGGTTTGGTTTTTAAATGTAGACTTACTAATACCTATAGAATATGTTATAACTATCACAGGTTAGGAAATATTTGAGTGAAATTTACCTATATTATATCCTATCATTACCAAGCAGTTTTGAGGAAGAGTAGGTTTTAGCCATATATGCCTTTATACACAGAGAGAAATATTGTCTGGGCCCACAGAAGAAATCTGTAGCAAATGGGGAGCTACACAGTACCTGAGACATACTGACCCCTCCCAGGCTTAAAAGTGTGTGACAGCAGTACAGAATACAAACACCTTACAAAGACATACAACATATACAGATAGGTATATGAAGATATATTGAATGAATTTTCTTTATTATTATTATTATTATTATACTTTAAGTTTTAGGGTACATGTGCACAATGTGCAGGTTAGTTACATATGTATACATGTGCCATGCTTGTGCGCTGTACCCACTAACTCGTCATCTAGCATTAGGTATACCTCCCAATGCTATCCCTCCCTCCTCCCCCCCACCCCACAACAGTCCCCAGAGTGTGATGTTCCCCTTCCTGTGTCCATGTGTTCTCACTGTTCAATTCCCACCTATGAGTGAGAATATGCGGTGTTTGGTTTTTTGTTCTTGCAATAGTTTACTGAGAATGATGATTTCCAATTTCATCCATGTCCCTACAAAGGACATGAACTCATCCTTTTTTATGGCTGCATAGTATTCCATGGTGTATATGTGCCACATTTTCTTAATCCAGTCTATCATTGTTGGACATTTGGCTTGGTTGCAGGTCTTTGCTATTGTGAATAGTGCCACAATAAACATACGTGTGCATGTGTCTTTATAGCAGCATGATTTATAGTCCTTTGGGTATATACCCAGTAATGGGATGGCTGGGTCAAATGGTATTTCCAGTTCTAGATCCCTGAGGAATTGCCACACTGACTTCCACAATGGTTGAACCAGTTTACAGTCCCACCAACAGTGTAAAAGTGTTCCTATTTCTCCACATCCTCTCCAGCACCTGTTGTTTCCTGACTTTTTAATGATTGCCATTCTAACTGGTGTGAGATGGTATCTCATGGTGGTTTTAATTTGCATTTCTCTGATGGCCAGTGATGGTGAGCATTTTTTCATGTGTTTTTTGGCTGCATAAATGTCTTCTTTTGAGAAGTGTCTGTTCATGTCCTTCACCCACTTTTTGATGGGGTTGTTTGTTTTTTTCTTGTAAATTTGTTTGAGTTCATTGTAGATTCTGGATATTAGCCCTTTGTCAGATGAGTAGGTTGCAAAAATTTTCTCCCATTTTGTGGGTTGCCTGTTCACTCTGATGGTAGTTTCTTTTGCTGTGCAGAAGCTCTTTAGTTTAATTAGATCCCATTTGTCAATTTTGGCTTTTGTTGCCATTGCTTTTGGTGTTTTAGACATGAAGTCCTTGCCCAAGTCTATGTCCTGAATGGTAATGCCTAGGTTTTCTTCTAGGGTTTTTATGGTTTTAGGTCTAACGTTTAAGTCTTTAATCCATCTTGAATTGATTTTTGTATAAGGTGTAAGGAAGGGATCCAGTTTCTGCTTTCTACATATGGCTAGCCTGTTTTCCCAGAACCATTTATTAAATAGGGAATCCTTTCCCCATTGCTTGTTTTTCTCAGGTTTGTCAAAGATCAGATAGTCGTAGATATGTGGCGTTATTTCTGAGGGCTCTGTTCTGTTCCATTGATCTATATCTCTGTTTTGGTACAAGTACCATGCTGTTTTGGTTACTGTAGCCTTGTATAGTTTGAAGTCAGGTAGTGTGATGCCTCCATCTTTGTTCTTTTGGCTTAGGATTGACTTGGCGATGCGGGCTCTTTTTTGGTTCCATATGAACTTTAAAGTAGTTTTTTCCAATTCTGTGAAGAAAGTCATTGGTAGCTTGATGGGGATGGCATTGAATCTGTAAATTACCTTGGGCAGTATGGCCATTTTCACGATATTGATTCTTCCTACCCATGAGCATGGAATGCTCTTCCATTTGTTTGTATCCTCTTTTATTTCCTTGAGCAGTGGTTTGTAGTTCTCCTTGAAGAGGTCCTTCACATCCCTTGTAAGTTGGATTCCTAGGTATTTTATTCTCTTTGAAGCAATTGTGAATGGGAGTTTACTCATGATTTGACTCTCTGTTTGTCTGTTGTTGGTGTATAAGAATGCTTGTGATTTTTGTACATTGATTTTTTATCCTGAGACTTTGCTGAAGTTGCTTATCAGCTTAAGGAGATTTTGGGCTGAGACAATGGGGTTTTCTAGATATACAATCATGTCATCTGCAAACAGGGACAATTTGACTTCCTCTTTTCCTAATTGAATATCCTTTCTTTCCTTCTCCTGCCTAATTGCCCTGGCCAGAACTTCCAACACTATATTGAATATGGGTGGTGAGAGAGGGCATCCCTGTGTTGTGCCAGTTTTCAAAGGGAATGCTTCCAGTTGTTGCCCATTCAGTATGATATTGGCTGTGGGTTTGTCATAGATAGCTCTTATTATTTTGAGATACGTCCCATCAATACCTAATTTATTGAGAGTTTTTAGCATGAAGGGTTGTTGAATTTTGTCAAAGGCCTTTTCTGCATGTATTGAGATAATCATGTGGTTTTTGTCTTTGGTTCTGTTTATATGCTGGATTACATGTATTGATTTGCGTATATTGAACCAGCCTTGCATCCCAGGGATGAAGCCCACTTGATCATGGTGGATAAGCTTTTGGATGTGCTGCTGGATTCGGTTTGCCAGTATTTTATTGAGGATTTTTGCATCAATGTTCATCAAGGATATTGGTTTAAAATTCTCTTTTTTGGTTGTGTCTCTGTCTGGCTTTGGTATCAGGATGATGCTGGCCTCATAAAATGAGTTAGGGAGGATTCCCTCTTTTTCTATTGATTGGAATAGTTTCAGAAGGAATGGTACCAGTTCCTCCTTGTACCTCTGGTAGAATTTGGCTGTGAATCCATCTGGTCCTGGACTCTTTTGGTTGGTAAGCTATTGATTATTGCCACAATTTCAGCTCCTCTTATTGGTCTATTCAGAGATTCAAATTCTTCCTTGTTTAGTCTTGGGAGAGTGTATGTGTCGAGGAATTTATCCATTTCTTCTAGATTTTCTAGTTTATTTGTGTAGAGGTGTTTGTAGTATTCTCTGATGGTAGTTTGTATTTCTGTGGGATCGGTGGTGATATCCCCTTTATCATTTTTTATTGCATCTATTTGATTCTTCTCTCTTTTTTTCTTTATTAGTCTTGCTAGTGGTCTATCAATTTTGTTGATCCTTTCAAAAAACCAGCTCCTGGATTCATTAATTTTTTGAAGGGTTTTTTGTGTCTCTGTTTCCTTCAGTTCTGCTCTGATCTTAGTTATTTCTTGCCTTCTGCTAGCTTTTGAATGTGTTTGCTCTTGCTTTTCTAGTTCTTTTAATTGTGATGTTAGGGTGTCAATTTTGGATCTTTCCTGCTTTCTTTTGTGGGCATTTAGTGCTATAAATTTCCCTCTACACACTGCTTTGAATGCATCCCAGAGATTCTGGTATGTTGTGTCTTTGTTCTCGTTGGTTTCAAAGAACATCTTTATTTCTGCCTTCATTTCGTTATGTACCCAGTAGTCATTCAGGAGCAGGTTGTTCAGTTTCCATGTAGTTGAGCGGTTTTGAGTGAGATTCTTAATCCTGAGTTCTAGTTTGATTGCACTGTGGTCTGAAAGATAGTTTGTTATAATTTCTGTTCTTTTACATTTGCTGAGGAGAGCTTTACTTCCAAGTATGTGGTCAATTTTGGAATAGGTATGGTGTGGTGCTGAAAAAAATGTATATTCTGTTGATTTGGGGTGGAGAGTTCTATAGATGTCTATTAGGTCTGCTTGGTGCAGAGCTGAGTTCAATTCCTGGGTATCCTTGTTGACTTTCTGTCTCGTTGATCTGTCTAATGTTGACAGTGGGTTGTTAAAGTCTCCCATTATTAATGTGTGAGAGTCTAAGTCTCTTTGTAGGTCACTCAGGACTTGCTTTATGAATCTGGGTGCTCCTGTATTGGGTGCATATATATTTAGGATAGTTAGCTCTTCTTGTTGAATTGATCCCTTTACCATTATGTAATGGCCTTCTTTGTCTCTTGGTCTTTGTTGGTTTAAAGTCTGTTTTATCAGAGACTAGGATTGCAACCCCTGCCTTTTTTTGTTTTCCATTTGCTTGGTAGATCTTCCTCCATCCTTTTATTTTGAGCGTATGTGTGTCTCTGCACGTGAGATGGGTTTCCTGAATACAGCACACTGATGGCTCTTGACCCTTTATCCAATTTGCCAGTCCGTGTCTTTTAATTGGAGCATTTAGTCCATTTACATTTAAAGTTAATATTGTTATGTGTGAATTTGATCCTGTCATGATGATGTTAGCTGGTGATTTTGCTCGTTAGTTGATGCAGTTTCTTCCTAGTCTCGATGGTCTTTACATTTTGGCATGATTTTGCAGCGGCTGGTACCAGTTGTTCCTTTCCATGTTTAGCGCTTCCTTCAGGAGCTCTTTTAGGGCAGGCCTGGTGGTGACTAAATCTCTCAGCATTTGCTTGTCTGTAAGTATTTTATTTCTCCTTCATTTATGAAACTTAGTTTGGCTGGATATGAAATTCTGGGTTGAAAATTCTTTTCTTTAAGAATGTTGAATATTGGCCCCCACTCTCTTCTGGCTTGTAGAGTTTCTGCCGAGAGATCCACTGTTAGTCTGATGGGCTTCCCTTTGTGGGTAACCCAACCTTTCTCTCTGGCTGCCCTTAACATTTTTTCCTTCATTTCAACTTTGGTGAATCTGACAATTATGTGTCTTGGAGTTGCTCTTCTCAAGGAGTATCTTTGTGGCGTTCTCTGTATTTCCTGAATCTGAATGTTGGCAAGCCTTGCCAGATTGGGGAAGTTCTCCTGGATAATGTCCTGCAGAGTGTTTTCCAACTTGGTTCCATTCTCCCCATCACTTTCAGGTACACCAATCAGACGTAGATTTGGTCTTTTCACATAGTCCCATATTTCTTGAAGGGTTTGCTCGTTTCTTTTTATTCTTTTTTCTCTAAACTTCCCTTCTCGCTTCATTTCATTCACTTCATCTTCCATCACTGATACCCTTTCTTCCAGTTGATCGCATGGGCTCCTGGGGCTTCTGCATTCTTCACGTAGTTCTCAAGCCTTGGTTTTCAGCTCCATCAGCTCCTTTAACCACTTCTCTGTATTGGTTATTCTAGTTATACATTATTCTAAACTTTTTTCAAAGTTTTCAACTTCTTTGCCTTTGGTTTGAGTTTCCTCCCTTAGCTTGGGGTAATTTGATCGTCTGAAGCCTTTTTCTCTCAGCTCGTCAAAGTCATTCTCTGTTCAGCTTTGTTCCGTTGCTGGTGAGGAACTGTGTTCCTTTGGAGGAGGAGAGGGGCTCTGCTTTTTAGAGTTTCCAGTTTTTCTGCTCTGTTTTTTCCCCATCTTTGTGGTTTTATCTACTTTTGGTCTTTGATGATGGTGATGTACAGATGGGTTTTTGGTGTGGATGTCCTTTCTGTTTGTTAGTTTTCCTTCTAACAGACAGGACCCTCAGCTGCAGGTCTGTTGGAATACCCGGCCGTGTGAGGTGTCAGTCTGCCCCTGCTGGGGGGTGCCTCCCAGTTAGGCTGCTCGGGGGTCAGGGGTCAGGGACCCACTTGAGGAGGCAGTCTGCCCGTTCTCAGATCTCCAGCTGCGTACTGGGAGAACCACTGCTCTCTTCAAAGCTGTCAGACAGGGACATTTAAGTCTGCAGAGGTTACTGCTGTCTTTTGGTTTGTCTGTGTCCTGCCCCCAGAGGTGGAGCCTACAGAGGCAGGCAGGCCTCCTTGAGCTGTGGTGGGCTCCACCCAGTTGAAGCTTCCCGGCTGCTTTGTTTACCTAAGCAAGCCTGGGCAATGGCAGGCGCCCCTCCCCCAGCCTCGCTGCCGCCTTGCAGTTTGATCTCAGACTGCTGTGCTAGCAATCAGCGAGACTCCATGGGCGTAGGACCCTCCAAGCCAGGTGTGGGATATAGTCTCGTGGTGCGCCATTTTTTAAGCCCGTCGGAAAAGTGCAGTATTTGGGTGGGAGTGACCCGATTTTCCAGGTGCCGTCTGTCACCCCTTTCTTTGACTAGGAAAGGGAACTCCCTGACCCTTTGCGCTTCCCGAGTGAGGCAATGCCTCGCCCTGCTTCAGCTTGTGCACGCTGCGTGCACCCACTGACCTGCGCCCACTGTCTGGCACTCCCTAGTGAGATGAACCCGGTACCTCGATGGAAATGCAGAAATCACCCCTCTTCTGCGTCGCTCACGCTGGGAGCTGTAGACCGGAGCTGTTCCTATTCGGCCATCTTGGCTCCTCCCACTCTTGAATGAATTTTCATATTTTAATAATACTGGGCATTTTTTTCACCTAAAAGATGGTATTTGGATCAAATGAATATGTAACAAAAGTGACTTATTTAGTTTCTCAGAGTTTCAATGTTCTTATATTTAAAATGAGAGATTAGGGCTATAAGATCTAAGTATCCTTGTTTGAAATTCTATTACTTTATGAGAAAATCTCGACAATTACTAATACAATAGAGCAAACATAAACATATATTTGTCCTTTGGAAACCTTTATGACATTTGAGAAGTCCAGTAAGGATTGTGTGTCTTGTTAAGCTTGCAATTACAAGAAGTGCAAATACTTTCAGATTTGTTTTGGCGTGATGTACCGTAGATTTCTTTTACCAATGTTGACTATCCACTGAAGTCTGGACTCTAAAATTCTTCAACATTCAAATTCACTGCCTGAGGAAAAACACATGGGTAGAACAGAGAATGAGACTATGGCATTTAATTATTAAATCAATGCATGTGCCTGACTTGCAGAAGCTAGGTACAGTTAAAATCTGGTTACAAGAAGTCAATCATCCATTCTGCAAAATTCTGAAAGCATGCAATCATACATTTTGCATTTGAAAGCACTTGAAAGATACAACAGTCTAGTGTATAACTAATTAACTAACTAGAAAGGAAAACATTACATTTGCATTGGGCACATTATATGACCTTTTTCTTTTGAACTTTTCAAACAGTATTGTAGTATGACAGGCATTTTCCTTTTACATAGTCACAGAGAGTTCTTACAGATCCTACATGAACTCACAGAGGACGTGAGAAGGAAATTTGTGGTTTTTCTTGCTCTTCTGTCTGTAAAACAGCTGAATTTGATTCTTCTTTGTTTTGCCCTAAGACTGTGATGATTTTGCTGTGAGATTTTTTAGACACCAACAACAGTTATAAATAAATATATTGTTTTAATGTGAGCTTAAAATTATGCAAGGCATGATTCTGTGTACTGTACATGCATCATCTTATTTAATATTCACAGAAATCCTAAGAAGTATGTATTCTTATGATACTTATTTTACAGCTATGGAGAAACTGTCAATATAATTTTCTAATGCCTCCTATCTTATAAGTATTGTTAGACATCAAATCCAAAACTTTTACAGATCTCAAAGCTCCTTCTCATAATCATCCATCATGGGGTCTCAGTACTCTTTCCTGTGCATCCATCCACACATATCTTGGTCTCTTCTAGTGCATGGATAAATGGGAGGAGAGCTTAATTTTCAACTGTAGCTATAGAAGAAGAAAGAAGTGTTTCTCATACCACATTAAAGTCAGTTCAATAAAACTAGTATTGGTTAATTTGCTAAGATATTTTACTTCCCTTAAGCATCAAAATGACCTTTTACATGTATCCAGCAGAATGTCCTTACTATATTTTCTTCCATTTTCATGGGTTCAAGTGTGAAAAGTATGCAGGAAAGCTGCAGCTGTGCTTAAAACTCTCATTTTCTATGTGTGGTTCTTTTGATCCTCCAATGAAAGGCCACAGAAGGAAAAAGCATGAATTTCTTTGTTTTGAGAAAAATTCATTACCCACTTGCTCAATAGATTTGAAAAATCCAGTCAAATTCCCAGGTAGGGTAGTAATATTTTCAGTAATGTTCATGTAGATTATCTCTTTCTTTGAGTTGAGTAGAAACTGCTCTGTGATATGGGCAAAATATGTTTCAAACCACATAATTGGTCAGAAATGAAGAAAAAATATGTCATTATAAGGGTATCGTTCTCTTTATGGCAAATAAAAGTAGAGAGGTTGACGATACAAAGCAGACAAGAAATTGCACTTCTATTCTGAGTGGCTTTCTCAGATAATCTCTAGAGGCTTTACAAGAATTAAAAATTCTTAATAGCAACATCAAACTTCAGTTACTTTGGTTTAGGTTTTAAAACAAATTGATTTAGCATTTTAGATCTCTAGTGGGGATTACTTCTGCATTCATGAAAGGTGTTGTTAGAGGCAGGCATACCATATGACCAATATGTGCTGATACAGGCAAAGATTTTTATAGTTTCCAGGAAGTCACAAAGATGCTTCCGTAACAACTGCAGGAATTGACCACCCCAATCTGTGAGAGTTGAGGATGGGAATTTAAATACATGGTTATTAGTGTAGAGAGCAGTTTGCACAAGTATCTTGGAACTGTCCTTATCTATTCTTTTCGTTGTTATTGCTACTATTTTTATAGAGCCCCAGGTGTCCAGAGGACCTCAAAGGTGATGTGAAACACAATGAAACAAAACACCTCTTGCAAATTCAACCTTGTGGTTATGATTTCAAGTATCACATCTGTTCTAATTAGCTCATAAGCAGATATGGAGCCTTATGTAATAAAATATCGTAGGAGTTAGTTACATTATTCTCAGTCTCACTAAAAATAACTGTACTTGACAGTTTGAGTAGCTTTTGTGAACATTGAATATTTTTAGGAGAACGTGAAAATTAGAAGAGGCTTTCTAAATATTTCTTAGTAAAACTTACTTAACAAACAATAAGGAAAAAAGACACTTAGATAAAGATAGAATAAATAAATAAATAAATAGCTTGATATTCACATTTGGATGAAGCAATTCTCTCACATTGATAGAAAAAAAGCATAAATGTGGAGGATCTTAGGTGTTGGAATATTCAATTCTAATACATAGAGTGCTCTATACTTATGAGAGAGAGGGGGAGGGGGGGAAGAGAAGAAGGGGAAAAAGAAGAAGAAGAGGTAAAAGAAGAAAAAGAAGAAGGAAGGAAGAGGAGGAGGAGGAGAAAGAGGAGGAAGGGGAGGAGGAGGGGAAGAAGAAGAGGAAGAGAAGGAAGGAGGAAGAGCGCAGAAGAAGAGGAAGAAGAGGTAGAAGAAAAAAAGAAGAAGGAAGGAAGAGGAGGAGGAGGAGAAAGAGGAGGAAGGGGAGGAGGAGGGGAAGAAGAAGAGGAAGAGGAGGAAGGAGGAAGAGCGCAGAAAATTATGGAAATAAAGAATTGATATCAGTAAGAATTAGAAAGAGAAATTTTACATTAACTTACCTTATAGGAGATGGAAACAGGACAATAATATTTAGTATATAAAATGTTATTTAAGCCTGATAATTTATAAAATAACTAATTAGACTATAATCACACTGAGGAGAGGGGCCCTAGTGATCTGCCAGCATAAAGTCCATCACAAAATAGGTAAAATTAGTGATTACCTAATGCTTGTCAAATAACATGGGGATAATAATTTGCTGCTTAAATCCCTGCAAATCTAGTTATCTTTAGATTAAGGTTAAAGTTTCATGGTAAAGAATATTTTCAACAAATGGTGCTTGCACAACTGGACATCTGCATTCAAGAGAATGAAGTTATACACTTACCTCACACTATATACAAAAATTAACTCAAAAATCAATCAAAGACCTAACTGTAAGAGTGAAAACTATAAAACTCTTAGAAGGAAACAGGTGTTCTTCATCACCTTGGATTAGGCAATGGTTTCTTAAATGTGACACCAAGAGCAGAAGTAATATAGTAAATAAAATAGATAAATTAGACTTCATCAAAATTCAAATCTTTTGTGTTTATAAGATATCATAAAGGAGGTGAAAAGGCAACCTACAGAATGGGAGAAAAATTTTGCTAGTAAAATATTTGATAAGGTGCTTTTACCTAGAATATATGAAGAATATTTATAACTCAATTATTTTAGAAAGACAGATAATATAATTTTTAAATGTAGAAAGCATCTGAATAGACATTTCTCCAAAAAAGATAAACAAATGGATAGAACCCGTGGACATGGCAAACCAGGTTATCAAGTACAAGGCTGCAGTTGCCTGGGAGGCTGGAAAGCCTCTCTCCATAGAGTAGATAGAGGTGGCACCCCCAAAGGCTCATGAAGTTCAAATTGAGATTGTTGCCACTGTGGTTTGCCACACTGACACCTATACCCTGAGCAGAGCTGGTCCTGAGGGTTGTTTTCCGGTGATCTTGGGACATGAAGGTGCTGGAATTGTGAAAAGTGTTGGTGAGGGAGTTACTAAGCTGAAGGCGGGTAACACTGTCATCTCACTTTACATCCCACAGTGTGGAGAATGCAAATTTTGTCTAAATCCTAAAACTAACCTTTGCCAGAAGATAAAGTCACACAAGGGAAAGGATTAATGCCAGATGGTACCAGCAGATTTACTTGCAAAGGAAAGATAATTTTACATTACATGGGAATCAGCACATTTTCTGAATACACAGTTGTGGCTGATATCTCTGTTTCCAAAATAGATCCTTTAGCACGTTTGGATAAAGTTGGCCTTCTAGGTTGTGGCATTTCAACTGGTTATGGTCCTGCTGTGAACACTGCCAAGCTGGAGCCTGGCTCTGTTTGTGCCATCTTTGGCCTGGGAGGATTTGGATCGGGGGTTACCATGGGCTGTAAAGTGACTGGTGCATCCCAGATCATTGGTGTGGACATCAATAAAGATAAATTTTCAAGGGCCAAAGAACTTGGAGCCGCTGAATGCATTAGTCCTCAGGATTTTAGTAAACCCACCCAGGAAGTGCTCATTGAGATAATGAGCACTGATGGAGGAGTGGACTATTCCTTTGAATGTACTGGTAATGTGAAGGTCATGAGAGCAGCACTTGAGGCATGTCACCAGGGCTAGGGCACCAATGTGGTGGTTGGAGTAGCTGCTTCAGGTGGAGAAATTGCCACTCATTCATTCCAGCTGGCAACAGGTCGCACATGGAAAGGCATTGCCATTGGAGGATGGAAGAGTATAGAAAGTGTCCCAAAGTTGGTGTCTGAATATATGTCCAAAAAGATAAAAGCTGATGAGTTTATGACTCACAATCTGTCTTTTGATGAAATTAACAAAGCCTTTGAACTCATGCATTCTGGAAAGAGCATTCGAACTGTTGTCAAGATTTAATTCCAAAGAGAAAAATAACATCCATCTTGTCGTGATCTGATGGGAGCAGCCTAACAGGCAGGGAGAAGCTCCTCCAAGCTCACAGCCTCGCAGACCTTCAGCAGCTACTCCAGAGAATAGTGTGATGTGTGTAATTCATGAATTTCTGTAATCAAGGACAAGGATAATTTAGTCATGAACCTGTTTTCTGGACCATCCTCCACATAAATAATTGCTAGCTCATTAAGGAATATTTTAACATAATAAAAGTAATTTCTACCAAAAAAAAAGACATACAAATGGCCAATAAGCACAAAAAATGTGTCCAGGCTGGGTGCAGTGGCTTATGCCTGTGCTCCCAGCACTTTGGGAGGCCTAGGTGGGTGGATCACCTGAGTTCAGGAATTTGAGACCAGCCTGACCAACATGGAATAACACTGTCTCTACTGAAAATACAAAATTAGCCAGGCGTGGTGGCGCATGCCTGTAATCCCAGATACTTGGGAGGCTGAGGCAGGAGAATTGCTTGAACTTGGGAGACAGAGATTGTGGTGAGCTGAGATTGTGCCATTGCACTCCAGCCTGGGCAACAAGAGCGAAATCCTGTCTCAAATAAATAAATAAATAAATAAATACAATTTAAAAAATGTGTCCAATGTTATTAGCCATTAGGGAAATGCAAATCAAAACCACAATGAGATACTATCTCACATTCATTAGATTGACTAAAATTAAAAAGACAGATAATAACAAGTGTTGGTTAAGATGGGGAGAAAGTCTATTCCTCATATTGCTGGTGGGAATGTAAAATGGTGCAGCCACTTTGCAAAACTATCCAGAAATTCTTCCTAAGGTTAACATTTGAGTTAAAATAGATTTAACATTTGACTCAGCAATTGTACCCCTAGGTATATACCTAAAAGGAATGAAAATATATGTCCACATGAAAACTTGGACATAAATGCGTATGGTGCCATTATTCATAATAGCAATATAGAGATAAATTCTCAGATATCCATCAATTTATGAATGAATAAATACAATGACACATATCCACACAATGGGATAGTATCTGGCAATAAAAAGGAAGTATTGATACTTGCTACAACATGGATGAATCTCAAAACTTTGTACTAAGTGAAAGAGGCTATCACAAAAGACCATATATTATTGCATTTATAAGAAATGTCCAGAAGATCCAAATCTATAGAAACAGAAAGTAGATTAGTGTTTGCCTGATACTGGGGCGAAACAGAGAGTAACTGTTAAAGGATATGAAGTTTCTTTTTGGGGTCATGACAATCACCCCAAATATTCTAAATTGACTATGGTGATGTTGATACAACTCTGTAAATATACTAAAAACCATTGAATTGAATACTTTAAATGTGTGAACTGTAAGGTATATGAATTATGTCTCAACTGTGCTGTTCCAAAATAAAACAATGTAAATGTGTTTCAGACATTTCAATGACAGTCTGAATAGTCTTTTCCATGATGAAAGAAAAACTAGATGCAAAGTATGAAGAGATTATCAAAAGATACCAACCTAAAAATAGAAATGTCATGACAACTGAATTGCTCTAGGGAAAGTTTGCAATTTTTTCAAAAAGTAACATCATCTAACATGTTAATTTATTCTCCTTATCAAATAGGTTTATAATATAAACAAAGGCAAAAAAAATGTTTCATGACATTAATCTGTCTTAGCTAGGGTTTCATAAATTTTTCATTAACTATAAATAGGGCCGGCCAAATTGTTCAGAAGATGCAAAAAAGCATCTATCACCACTTGTAGAAAAAGTTCAAATGTAATGGTCTTCTGACTGGATCATAGAAATCATTTTAACATGCAATATGCATCATATTGGGAAACTTGGTGGAACTTAGGTGTCAAAACAAAAAAAAAACAAGTTAGAAGAGCATAACAATAAGAACAGAAAAAATTATATAAATTGGATAAGGCCATAAGAAACACAGAGGGGATAATTATAAAAGTTGTATAGCACCACCCACTAGACCAAAAAAAAAAAAAAGTCTAGCTGCTACTGGCAAGCTATGAAACACAATGAAGAAACATATTTTCCAACATACTCATATGCATGAAAGACAATAACACTATCCCATCTGTGGTCTGTTATGTCATATTGCAATGTCGTAGTTATTCTGGGTTTGGAGAGGGCTCCCTCAACAGATGTACCTACAACCTGTCCCACAACACATTCTCCTGAGGTAGAAGAAGTACATTAGAGCTCAAATGACATTATTTTTCATATACAGCCATACACTGGAAAAGAAACAACAGATTGAAGTGAGTGGAAATGGAGATGTTAGTAGGTGATGAGGACCCCAAGAATCACAAATTAACATTTATGTAATCATAAAGCATAATATAATGTAATCGGTTATAATATATTGATTGTACCTGACAACTGTGGACATTTTTATAGTTTTCAAAGCGTTTCCAACTCCTTCATTAGATTCACTCTCACCTAAAAAGCAAAGCTGAGCATTTTACAAATAACGCAAAGAAGGCTTAGAGAGTTCAATTATGCTTCTGATACTCGAGTAGGAGTACCCATGTATGAGGAATGATGCCAGTGGGAAATGCAATGCCATATGAGGAAAACGGAAAGATGAAGGATTTTCTTGGAGCTTTAATTCTGCATCAATACAGATAGAATCTTGTCTGGTTCAAGGGGTGTGTGTGTGTGTGTGTGTTTATTATATCATGAAATATAATTTATTGTTTAATAATAAATACATATGTATCACAATTCCAACTATTATATATATATATATTCCAACATATACATATATATTTCTCCAATTCCATCACGAGCTCCCAAGTCGAAGCAGCATCGTCTCCTAAAGCAGAGCCTTGTTAATCTCTTTCCTTCATTCTTGCTGCCTCCCATTTCAGTCTCTCTCCCATGTAGCAGGCAGAGTGATGTTCAACTTGTAAGTTAAATGAATGCACATCTCTGTTCGATATCATCCAATATCTTTCTATCTAACTCAGAGTCAAATCCAAAGTTCTTAAGATGACCTAAAGTTTTATACCGTATGGATCTCTAATAATGTTGTGACCTCCGCTCCTATCCCTCAGTCCTCTCCAACCTCCAATTATGATCCTCCAATATATCCTGAATGTTCCCACCTCGGTACCTTGTCACCGTTCCCTCTACCAAGGATACCCTTCCCCTCATATCCACGTGGTTCTCTACCTCACTTTATCTGAAATGCTTTCCCTGAGCCCCCTATCTAAATACTAGAAAGACAAACACAATTCTTTAGTTTGTTTTATTTATATGACTTAGAACTATGTGAAACTATCATTTATCTGTATCTTATCCGTGTCAGTCTCCACTGCTAGAAATAAGCTCCATGTGGGCAGGCCTTTGGTCTCTTTTGTTCACTGCTTTATCCTCAAAGCTTAAAATTATTCTTGAAACAAAATGGCGTTAAATAAATTTTTATTAAATGAATGAGTGACAAACAATAATAAAAATACAAAATAATAGTAATTATATCTCTTATTCTGCTTCTCACAACAACACTCATCAGTAGAAATATTTAATCTCATTTTTACAGCCAAACAAATTCAGGCTCAGAAAAGTTAGGTTGTACACCCAACAGCTCAGAGCTCTATAGCTCAATTTTTACTCAGATTTGAATCTGATAGCACTGCCCCCTGTTTTCAAGTCATTTCTTTAAGCCCTGAGGTTCCTTGGAGGTTCCCTATGGGCTGCTGTCATCCTTAAGGGAAGGGCTAGCTGTGGGGTTTCAGGTTCCATTGCCGCCATTTCAATCAAGTGTCTGATTCTTCTTTAAGATATGAAGGCTTCATGTAAGATTTCATTTAAAGTACTTTTTTAAAGTATTGTTTCCAAGACCTATAGAAAGAGGTCATGTAGTATATGGCATTATATAGTGTGTGGTATAAAAATACATATAAATGAGTGATTTACTAGGTAATTGGCATGTTTATTTTGCACCCCCAATGAGGAAAAGAGTAAACTTTTTCTTCTTTGTTTTTCTTCCCCTCTAGTGAATGTTAATTGTGTAAAACACTGCACTTGGTGCTATGGAATATGCAGAGTTGAATAAAACGTGCTCTCTTGAGTACTTATATACAAACTAGAAATGTAAAATAAATTGTTAGATATATCATTTACATTTTGTGATATATCTCAGAAGAATTTAACTTGAAATCAGGATATGGAAATCTTAACTTCCTAGAGCACAATCTGAAAGTCAAGGAAATTTAAGATTTTCAGAACTAAAATATCTGATATATAATCAGTGCATGAGAGATCATATTTATACCTGGAAGAGGCCCTCATTGTGTCTGTTAGGGGCTGCTGATTCACACCTCACACACACTTGAAACATGTTTCTATCTTTTCTTCCTCCATTCTTTCCTTTCTTCCTTTTCCTTTTTCTAAGATTTCAGCATAATGGAAGAATACAATTAAAAGTGGGGAGAAGACAGCTAAATTAAGTTCCTACACAAGAGTGGAATATAAGAGCTGATAACCTGGTAATGAGAGAGCTGGAAAAAAAAAAACCTTGACCAATGAGCATCCATACCATCACAATACACAGAAAAATGTGTTCACATCTCTCTTTGCAGATAGGGAGTTAATAGTTAAAATAACATGTTTTACTAAGTGTTAGAATTTAAATGGGAAATCTCAATATTTGACAATATCTTCACAAGACAACTTTTCTTGACCAATATAGATAAGTGAGATGTCATAGTTTTGTGGGCATGTAGGAGTGTGTATATTCCACTAATAAATTCAGTCCTTCGATGAGCTATTTCAAATGAATAAAACAGTTTATTATACATAGATATAACATATAGCACTACATTATAAATCTTTCATGCATGATTTTATTACTTTTATTTTCATGTTTACTGGGTAACGTCGTAAAATAACGGCCCTGTTAAGGTAATTAATGTTGAATTACAGTGGAAATCCAATTGAATTACTTGTGACATTCACATTAATACTAAATGGGTTCACTGTGATTAATGCTGTTAAATAGATACTAGAGGAATTAATATTGATTAGACAATTATTTTAAAGTGTTGCTGTTTATTGCAATTTATACCAACTTCTTTTTTGAGTAAACCTTCCTTTAGTGATGGCATTCAGTGCAAACTGTATTATCATCCAGGGAGCCTGAATGATGGGCATACAGTTTTGTGTTGTGTTGTGTGTTGTTTGTTGCATTTAAAATGGCAAAATATGAAACTTTCTTTTGCTCTGACCTCCTTAGTGATGGCCTACTTATGCTCCCTAAACATCCCAATGTTTTTTTAACAAGTTCTGAATCATTGCCTGTAACTTTTCCCAGATTCAGTGTGCCCCTGAATCCTATGTGTGGTTGCCTAAGATCTACCTGTTCCTTAAGGTCTGTCACGTTCAGTCACCCATTTGGCACCTTTTTAAACCACCCAGTTAAACTTAGTTACTGTATAGTACTTTATAAGTGCTAGAACACTAGCACATCATTTGAGGTTTAGGATATGATACCCTAATATGATGTCCACATTTTAATATATACTTATATAAATATATCACACATAAATATTTTCAACAATAGGTGTTTTTACATAACATGGTTTACTTTTATGGCAATTGTTAAACAATTTGTACTTATATTATATAGGCACATTCAGATGAGTTCCCAAAAATGGTAGAAAATATTGATAGTTATTTCTGTTCTTGTCATTTATCTGTGAGACTGTCTTGTGGGAATGGGGAGAATGAGAATCAATTTAAGCTCCACCCTTCTGATCTTCAGAAAGAAAACTGTGAGGATCAAAAGTATATCTGAACCTCAGTATCTTTTGTGAAAATACGTAATAAGTCATGTTGTCAGGTAGTTACACAAGAATTGTACAGATCTTTTGAAAAATGAATTAAATAAAATAATTTGAAACTATTAATTAAACAACTATGGAAGCTAAAACTTTTTTTTTTTTTTGAGACAGAGTCTCGCTCTGTTACCCAGCCTGGAGTGCAATGGCACGACCTCGGCTCACTGCAACCTCCACTTCCGAAGTTCAAGAGATTCATCTGCCTCAGCTTCCTGAGTAGCTGAGATTACAGGCATGTGCCACCATGCCCGGCTAATTTTTTTTCTTTTTTTTTGGTATTAGTAGAGACGGGGTTTCTCCATGTTGTCCAGGCTGGTCTCGAACACTTGACCTGGTGATCCACCTGCCTCGGCTTCCCAAAGTGCTGGGATTACAGGTGTGAGCCACCACATCCAGCCACTAAAACATTTTTATGTAGAAACAGCTGGTTATATATGTCAGATGAAATTTCTCTTCTCAATAAAACTTGTGAGCAAATTTTCTCCATCAGATCCTGATACCAGGGAAGGGTTTCCTGAATAGCATAAGGAGAGCATTGAGAGAGGCTTACCTTCTGTAGTCTATCAGTCAGAGTTCAAAAACAATTTTATGTATACACATACATACACACACACATATATACACACATACAAATAACATAACACAAAAACACAACATATATACATGAACACATATATAAACATGTAGGCATATTTACAGATACTATTTTTTTTAGGAATTATCTCATGTGGTTGTGAAATTTGTATGGTAGGCTAGCAGGCAGAAGTTGACACTTCAGGGTTGAAGCAGAATTTCTTCTCAGGAAAATCTCAGGGTTTTTTTCTTGAGGCCTTCAATTGATTGGATAAGGCCCACACATACCATTGAAGGGTAATCTTTACTGAAAGTGAACTGGATTGTAGATTTTTGCCATATCTATAACATATCTAAACAGCAACATCTAAGTTACTGTGTAATGAATAACTGGGCACTGTAGCGTAGGTAAGTAGACAGATAAAACTAAGCATCACACCTGAAATGGCAGTATATCTGGTTGGAATAGAAGTCTCTTCTTTTCTTTTCTTTTCTTTTCTTTTCTTTTCTTTTCTTTTCTTTTCTTTTCTTTTCTTTTCTTTCTTTTCTTTTGTTTTTTCTTTTCTTTCCTTTCCTTTTCTTTCCTTTTCTTTCTTCTTTCTCTCTTTCTCTCTTCTCTCTCTCTCCTGTCTCTCTCTTTTCCTTTCTTTCTTCTTTCTTCCTTCCTTCCTTTCTTCTTTCTCTCTCTCCTTCCTTCCTTCCTCCCTTCCTTTTCTTTATTTTTATTTTGTTTTTCTTAATATTATGATTATCAGGGTTTTTTTCTGTTTTAACATGTTTTAATTTCTCATTTTTTAACATCCTTTTACAGAAGTTAAGATATTGATTTTGGTAACTTGGCTTTTGCCAATCGGGATACTTTTTCTTAGCAACAGATATGTATATTTTTCAAAATAATTAGTTGTCTGTCTTAGCAACTATTTTTTTCACTATGGTCAATGATGCCTTGCTTTTTCTGCCATAAATAGTATATCATTCATTTCAAATATTGTAAAGAAAAGACAAGTTACTGTTTAACTTCCTTATCTCATTAACATCACAGCAAGTGCTGGTAATAATGGTAGATATGTATAATGATCAAATGATGAATAATCTGTATAAGAAACAGATAAGAGGTACTCTGATATTATGAACGTGAGAATAATTTTGGGTACATAAGATAATTAAAACCAACAACTAATTGGCATTCTTTATAGTCATATTTGGGGCTTTAGATACTTTCTTATAAATATTTGAAAGCCAGAGAACTTTGCTTACCAAAATATATTCTCAGGGAAAGCTTCATATGTAGACTGATTTGCATTTTTTATTGATTCTCTTTTTCTCCAGGCTTTAATAGATTTACTGAAATTAACTATGTTTCCCAACATCACAGAGTTGGTCTAGAAAATTTTGAAGTATTCTTATTGTTCTCAAAGGAAAAAATGCAATCACTCACTCAAACGCTCTCTGCTTGTGTCCATGTATAATTCCTCAATTTAACTTCAAGAACTGTTTAGTGAATTTCCATAGATACCATGGTTTATTGCATTTTTCTAGCCAGGAGTATATTTAAACTGAAAGTAGTTTGTCTTGGTGTCACAACAGAAAACTGTTATTTCCCTTGTCTTTGCATGATCATGATGCAGTGAATAAAAAGATTTTTAAAAAAGAGAGAACTATAAATGGCAAAACCCAGAAGGGAATGTCTTCAGGCCTTACACCATAATAGGAACATCTATATAAAGAAGCCATTCAAAGATTATGCTCAATTTCGATAAAAATAACTAGCATTGCAAAGTGGAGAAAATTTGTAATACATCTCTAAAATTTGGATTATGTCATAAGTAATGGTTATAAAATATATAAAATCAGTATCAGTCTAGTCCACAAGAGAATAATATTTACAGCTTTTTTTAAAAAAGAATAAACTGAAGAACATTGAAGCGAGCCTGCTTCCTTTGAAAGCAGGATTCTTATCTCCAAAGCATAACTGCTTTTTCTGCAAATCTTATAATATCTTCTTCGGCACATGTGCAATAGCTGATCTTAAAAGATACATAGCATTATGTGGCTGAGTATCTTTGGGAAAAATCCAGCTCTTAAAGTTAAAATATAGTTTGAGGCTTATCAGGTGATATTTATGGCATATCTTGTTGGAGGGGGAAATTATCATTGCTTCCATTAGTGATTAGTGTACCAAAAGTTAAACCTTTTATGCCTTAAAGAATTCATTCTGTTATCATTAGCTTATTATTATTTCATCCTCTTCCTTTAGTATTACCAGTACACTGACTGCTTTCATTTCATCAAGTTAATGCACTAGATGCTAGTGCGATATTTTCCCCCATTATTGTGTAAACTAGAATTTTTCCTTAAACATCTTGGCAAGTGAGTGAAAATGAAAGTTTCTCTCATTTTCTGACTATTTCTTTCTTCAAGAATAGGTGAATGAAGATTTGCACCATTTGTTTATTATTATTATTATTATTATTATTATTATTATTTTGCTAAGTAGGCAAAGTTATGCTTTGCCAATAATGCATATAATATCACTATTACAAAAACTTTTTTTTTGGAAGGGGCATGGTACAGACTATTCTGCTCCCTTTCCTATAAAAAAGTTGTCTCTGCCATGATGTGCCTCAAGACTTCTCACACATCTACAGTGAGACTGTATTCTTTATACAAAATTGGCTTTCCATCTTCCTTGAAAATTCTTATTCTGGAGTATTTGACTTCATTATTAATCATGTTTAGCCTTTTATAATTTTATTATTGGCAATAAATAACAGGACTGTGTTCAGGATAACAGGTAATATCACCCTCAAAATGACCATTGCATGAAATGGTTGTTTTGTTACCTGGTATGTTGTTAAGTCACCTCGTATGAGGATATCCTTGCTAATTTTTCCAGTCCATTTCTTCTTTGGATAGATGTAAAAGTGGATTTTGTACATTTAGTTGTGTTTCTCATATAGTTTATAAACACGTGTAGCAATATTTAAAAAATAGAACCCACTGTCTAAAAACCTACGGTTGTTGACTTGGATTACATACATTTCTATTTTTCAAGTAAAATAACTCTCATTAACATAGCTTATGAGGCCTATCATTAACTGACTCCTGCCTCTGCCTTCAGTCTCTGCTCCCACCTTCACTCCCCACCCCCTATTCTGTGTTTTCCAGTCACATGGACTCACTTGCACTTCCCCAAGTCTCCAGGCTCTCCCTGCATTCTGGCCTGTGTATACACCATTCTTTCTGAGTGTAACATGCCTTTCCCTCCTTCTTTGGCAGTTTAATTCCTCTTCATTCTTAGCTGTAAGCATGGAAGTAGCTTCCTTAGAAGAGTGTTCTTTGTCCTCTCAAGTCCGGGTTAATTGAGTCACCTTGGTCTTTCAGGCCCCTTTTGTACCCACTTGGGTTATGGTACTAATCTCATTAAACTGGAACTGCCCATGTGTCTTTATAGTTGGCCCCTCTATACTTAGCACCTAGCACAGGGCCACAGACATTATAGATAAGATGGGAAAGAATCGTTGATTGAATGAATGAATAGTCTTTGTTTTGTAGTGTACTATAGTGCTACACACGTGAGCAGATAATGTCCTTTCGCTCTATCATTATAACAAAATACATTCTCATTTCCATCCACTTCTTAATTTGATGCGTTATCTAAAAGTATTTTGAAGCCATGGTTATGGGAGGTCACACCCTAGTCTATGCTGAGCGTTGATTTAAAAATACACTTAATAAAATGTGTTCAGAAACACATAGTAATATTTTTGGAAAGGTTTTTCTTCTCCTCTTTTATCCAATTAATGAAGCATTTGTATCCATGGTACCCCTGCTGTTAAGTGGTTAGCTTTCTTCTTTAGCTTTAATTAAGTGTCTTCAGTTAAAGAAGTCTTTTAAAATTTGTTTTTAATCACAAACAAGTGAAAAACGTCTAAATTCCTTTGAGGTATTTTTCTAAGTTTTCCGATTATATTTAAACAAAACAGGTAGTCGAAGCCTTGGCCCACTCTTTCTTGGACTTGGCCTCTTGAAATACTTCCTGAAATTTCTAGTCACCGTTTACCAGGAAGTACCTGACTGTAAAAACAGAGGGTTTCACATCTAAACATTTATTACGTGAAAGGAAACTGCTACTCACATTGAACTTAGCTATAATACTGTTAGCAGAAGTTAATCTGCAGAAGAAGCACTTCTAATTGGAGACTGAAAGCAATCTACAAAGATGTTCACAAACTATTTCTGAGGGTAAATTGCTTTGTATTGCTCAATTTTGTATGTTTTCCCAACTTCATAAACATGGGGATTCTATAGTTCTTTCTTCCAAGAAAAAAAATCTAAATGAATACTATGGCATTGCTCTATTGCTTGCAAACTCTGAACTTCATGATCCTTCAGTGGATGCAAAGCAATTCTTGATCAATGAGTAATACCAAGTATTGAGATAAACAAAATATTCTGTGTGTTCTGCATTCTAACACTACTCAGGTAGAATGAGAAGCTTGAACATTACATTTTAAGATCACTGACAATTGTGTATGATATTGACATGATAAATTAGTTTGTTTTTTTTTTTTTAAGAAATACACGGTTTCAAGTGAGACCATAACCAAGTTTTAATTATATATTTCCCTTGACTGTACCCAATACATACTCAAATCATATAAAATTATACAACAAAATGCTTAAGATGAATTTGGCTGTACCTTCAGATGAAAATAAATGAAAACTACCCAGATGTGGCTTCTAAATAGTCCATGTGTTCTCTGTTCTGGCAATGCCAATATCTTTTAGGAATTTATAATAGCATATTCCTTAAGTTAAATACTTCATGTTGTAAATTGTGCATCTAAAATTCATTATTCCACACTCAGATATATTTTTGCATCATTTATAACTGATCTCTTCTGAGAAGCTCTTATGTATTTGATAAACCATGCACTTCGGTGGTTTATTTTATTTTCTATTTTTATAACTTTTTTTTCTCTGCTAATTGTCTTGAAATATTGGTTTATTCTTGCTTTCTTGACTTTCTTACTACTCTCTTCTCATTAATTGCTCCAATTTTTGGTTTTTGTTGTTTATCATCTTTAACCTTTCTAAAAATTTGGCCCTGTGGATCGTCCCTTGACCTCAATAACACTACTTTCTCTCGATTTTCTTATTTTACCTTACTGGCATTTCTTTGTTCATATTCTTCTGAATCGCAGAGATTCTCAGAGGTTTTATTCCACTTTCTTTTTTTGTCATGCTCTGATTCCATTTAGACTAGACCATCATTTAATCAAAAGAAATGTAGGAAATAATGTACGTTCACAGGGACAAGCCTGAAAAGTGTTAGGCAGGTTCCAGGCCCCAGCCATATTTCTGGACTCAGAATAGAACTGAGAAGTTCTATTTGGACTCAGAAGTCTCAATAGAGCATTATAGTGCTCATCAGAAGCTAATCCAGAGACTCTGCTACAAAGACCTGACTAAAGCAATGTGGCATAGAGGAGAGTTAAGGACACATGCCATATTTGACACCAAGCTGACAGCATTAACACTAATCTCAGATCCCATGCTAATACATATGAGATTATTACAGGCTGCCAACCATACTCAAGACTAATGCAAAATTTAAGCAGGGTTGAGTTTTCTGGCTGAAAATATAATAACATAGGGTCAGGATGATATAAAAGCTTAGACTTCTGCAAACGCACTCCATTTTGTCTATAACCTTTCAAGATTGCTTTAGTTATCTATTACCATGTAACAAACCACTAACTCTTAGTGATAAAACAAAATAACTATTTTTAATCTCTCATTTTCCTGTGGTTTGACTTGAATCAGCTGGGTGGTTATTCTGCTCTATGTGATTTCAGCTGGCACTAAAATCATTGGGAGGCCCGACTGGACTGGAATATCAAAGACTCACTCTTGTGACTAGTAGCTGGTGCTGGCACTCTGTGAGTAGCTCAGCTGGGTCTAACAATAAGAGTGTGACAGTTCCCTTCCACATGTTCTTTGATGGAGTGAGGCCTTCTCATTTGACTTCATTATTAATCATGTTTAGCCTTTTATAATTTTATCATTGGTAATAAATAACAGGACTGTGTTCAGGATAACAGGTAATATCACCCTCAAAACAACCATTGCATGAAACAGTTCTTTTGTCACCTGGTATGTTGTTAAGTCACCTTGTGACTTAACATATTGTTAAGTCATATTGTTCATATTGTGACTTAATGAAGTCAAATCAGCATGGCAGCTGGTTTTCAAGAGAAAGTGTTTTAAGAGTGCCAATGCAGAATCTGTAGATCTCTTCAGACGCAAGCTCAAAGTTACAAAATGTAATTTTTTTGCTTCATTCTCAGACTTCATTTCTCAATGGAAGAAGTGATAAGAAATTTATAATCACCTTTAATCCACTATATATACATAGCAGAGAATTCAATATTCTGGGACTATCATCTAAACATTTTATTTTCATATTTTCAGATTGGACTAAATTATATAATAAAAACATTTTAGGGGGAGCCACATGACACTGCTGAATTATTGTAATTTAAAATCATGTTGCTCTAATATATATGTGTGTGTATGTGTGTGTGTGTGTGTGTGTGTACATCTGCTACTTGTTATAAGTATGCTACACTTTCTTCTTTATTTTTGAATGTATGTTGGATCAATAGGTTGTGCTTCTTTCCAAAAATCATTTGTGCTGAATTTTTGGCAAAGCTAATTATCACTGAGCTGACATTATCAAGTAAATGTTATGAATAATGTAAATTCACAGGGACAACCCTGAATATATATGCATTAACTATAATATATAATATAAATCAAATTTATTAGCTATCTTGTAAAATGCATTTTCTATCCTAATAGCTATAATTCTCAGAACACTGAAATATGAATAAGTTTTTCAAAGATGTCTAAAAAGATAATGCAAAACAAAAATGAAGTTTATGTTTTTTAATTTTCAAGACTATGACATCTTTTGTTATCATTATTATATTACTATCATTTCTTCCTGCTTCATGCCTAATGTAATTATTTAATTAGTCATTTTAGACATTAAAGGGTATATAAATTTTAAATAACATGTAAAATACATTTCTATGGAAAGTACACAAATTCTTAAAAGATAAGGAAGAACTTTACATTTCCACAGATCATTTTCTTGTTTTTAAAAGCTCTTTTTAAATATTTGTATACATTTAGGGAGTACAAGGGCAGTTTTGTTACATGGATATATTGCTTAGTGGTGAAGTCTGGGCTTTTAGTGGCACCATCAGCCAAATAGTGTAAATTGTATCCATTAGGTAGTTTCTCATTCCTCAGCCCCCTCCCACCCTTGCACCCTTATGAGTCTCCAATGCCTATTATTCTGCACTCTATGTCCAAGCTTACACATTATTTAACTCCCACCTATAAATGAGAACATGCAGTATTTGACTTCCTGTTTCTGAGTTATTTCACTTAAGATAATGCCTTGCAGTTCCATCTATGTTGCTGCAAAACACATAATTTTTTATGGCTGAATACTATTCCATTGTATGTGATGTGTACATATATCACATACAATGGAGTAATAGATAGATATAGATATAGATATAGATATAGACATTTTCTTTATCCAGTCATCTGTTGTTGGACACTTAGGTTGATTTCATATCTTTGCTACTGTGAATAGTGCTGCTATTAAAGATACCATTGCAGATTTCTTTTTAATATGATTTATTTTCTTTAGGTTAGATATACAGTAGCAGGGTTGCTGGATCAAATGGTAGGTCTATTTTTAGAGCTAGCTTTGAGAACTAGCTTTCCTGTTTCCCATAGAGTATTACTAATTTACATCCCCACCAACAGTGTATAAGCATTACCTTTTCTCTACATCCTCACCACCATCTGTTAGCTTTTGACTTTTTAGCAATAGCCATTCTGACAGTGTAAGATGGTATTGTATTGTAGTTTTAATTATCATTTCTCTGATGAAAATTAATGTTGAGCATTTTTTATTATGCCTGTTAGCCATTTGTATGTCTTCTTTTGAAAAACGTCTGTTCATGTCCTTTTTTACTTTTTAGAGGGATTATTTTGATTTGTTTATTGTTAAGTTCTTTGAGTTCTTTGTAGATTCTGTATATTAATCTTTTGTCAGATGCATAGTTAGCGCTACTTTCTCTCATTCTGCAGGTTGTCTGTTCACTTGATGTATTGTTTATTTTGCTGTGCGGAGGCTTTTTAGTTTAATTATTTGCCATTTGCCTCTTTTTGTTTTTGTTGCATTTGCTTTGGAGCTCTTAGTTGTGAATTATTTGCCTAGAAAAATGTCCAGAAGAGTTTTTACTAGGTTTTCTGCCATTGTTTTTATAGTTTCAGGTCTTATATTTAAATCTGTAATCCATTGTGAGTTAATTTTTTCCCCAACATTTTCAACCTCTTCATTGAGAGCACCTTGAGTTAATTCTGCATATGGTGAGATGTAGGGGTTCAGTTTCATTCTTCTGCACATGGCAATCCAATTGTGTCAGCACCATTTATTGAATAGGATGTCCTTTCCCCAGTGCATGTTTTTGCCAACTTTGTTAAAGATCAAGTGGCTGTAGGTGTGTGGCTTTATTTCTTGGTTCTCTATTCTGTTTCATTGATCTGTGTGTATATTTTTATACCAGTGGCATGCTTTTTTGATTACACAAGCCTTTTAGTATAATTTAAAGTCAGGTAATGTAATGTCTCCAAGTCAGGTAATGTAATGTCTCCAGCTTTGTTCTTTTTATTTAGGATTTCTTTTGGTTACTTAGGCTCTTTTTTCCTTCCATTTGAAGTTTAGCATTATTTTTACTAATTTTGTGAAAAATGTAGTTGGTATTTTGATAGGAACCGAATTGAATCTGTAGATTGTTTTGGGTAGTATGGTAATTTTAGCAATATTGTTTGTCTGGATCAATAAGCGTGGGATTTTTTTCATTTGTTTGTGGCATCTGTAATTTTTTTCATCACTGTTTTCTGGTTTTCCTTGTAGAGATCTTTCACCTCTTTAGTTAAATACATTCCTGGGATTTTTTTTTGTTTTGGTAACTATGTAAATGGGATTGACATCTTGATTTGGTTCTCAACTGGATTGTTATTGGTATTTAGAAATGTTACTGATCAACAAACTAGGCATAGAATGATGTACCTTAAAATAATAAAAGCCATATATGATGAACCCATAGCCAACATGACACTGAATGGGGAAAATTGAAAACATTTCCCTAAGAACTGGAACAAGACAAGAATGCCCAGTGTTATCACTTCTATTCAACTGAATACTAGAAATCCTAGCCAGGGAAATCAGGCAAGGGGAAGAAATGAAAGGCATTCAAATAGGAAAAGATGAAATCAATCTCTGTTTGCTGATGGCATAATCTTATACCTAGAAAACCTTAGAGACTTCTCCGAAATACTCCTAGATTTGATAAATGAATTCAGTAAAGTTTTAGGATGCCAAATAAATGTACAAAAATCAATTCTACAGATCATTTTTACCATTTGAAATTCCTTTAAAGCATAAATTTTGATTTAGATTTAAATTCTGTTTCTCATTTATGAATCTTCGAATTAATGAGGAAATTGAAATCAAGAGGACAGTCTTCAAGCTATGAGAAGACTGCTTTAATTGACTATTTCCTTATATAATGGATTGAGGAGAATTATTCTTTCCATGAAGTTGTCTGAGAAGGAAAAGCAGCTTCTGCCTCCTTTTTTTTGTGTGTGTTCTCATCATAGCCATACCTAAATGTTTCTTGTATGTCTAGACTTAAATGAGTATTAGAGCTGAGTTAATTTTTGTAACACCATTGATTATTCAATTGGGAGGGATGTCAATTTCTAAGTGACTCAAATTTTCATTGTTATTTTTAGATTTCCATAGTATTATTAATATAATAGCAGCATATGAACTTGTAATAAAGATCTATTTTCTGACATAAATTAAAATGAAACTAAAGTTTTCAAAGACATTTTCTTGAATACTTTTAGTCCTAAGACATTAGTCTTTTAGTTAAAGAACAACCTTAGTAAACTCAAATGAATAAAGGAATCTTTATAAATTAATGTTAGATTGATTGTAGTTTTGAATATTTTTCTTATTTAAAGCCAACCAATTGACCAGAACTAATGACAGTCCCAAAATATACCTGCTCTTACATGCCTTTGTGATTTAAGACAATTACTTTTCCTTTGTGTGTGCGCGCGTGTGTGTGTGTAGCTCTATGGATTGCTATGTAGACAGACAGATACTTTATCCCTTAAATTGTGTTGTCCTTTTGTATCCTCCACTGTCTGGTAAGCTAGTTTAGTGCTTAATAGCAGTATGGTCTCTATGTGTTGTTATAAATCATTCACTGGAATCTCTAATGTTAAAATATCAGGGCCATTTGGCATAAGACACTGGTATAATCCAAAATAGGGAAAGCTTATATTTTATGACTATTATGACTGGCTTTGAGCAGTGAAAAAATAAATTTAATTAGTATTACAAAAATGCAACCCCTGTGGTTTACCCTGAATTGTACATATGACAAAACATCTCAGGCAATTAACCTGGATGTGGCAGATACAGGGCATGCCATATGACAATGTATGAAAGAATGCTATTGCCCTATTTATAATTGTCTAGTAAATGATGTCTAGAATTCTAAGCATAACAATAGTTATTAAATACACTTGAATGAAACCAAAATACTTTGTAGCCAGTATATATCACCATTCTTTTCTTTCACAAATAAGATTCTTCCTGCCATATAGTCTGTTTTTCCAAAATCAACAGCATTCTTGTAACAACTCCCTCCCCATCTTCTGCTTTTGTGGGAAGATTCTGTACCTAGATTGTATTCTGTTCATAGAAACTTTCAATTTTCAACCTGTGTTGTTTTAGAATCCAGATGCTTCATTTGTCAATTTTAAACTCTCATTTTTATCCAACTCCTATTACTTTAAAAAATGGAGTTGCCAAAAAGTTAGTTTAGTAAGTGGTAGTATTTGTTAGAGTGCTAGATGAACAACCAGTTGACTGTGACCTAATATATAGTTAAATGTGTGAAAAGAAAATATTAAAATCAGTAATTTTAGTAAAAAGATTTTTTAAATTACTTGTAAAGAACCTTGTTATGTATAACTGCAATAATTAGCCAAGTCACTTTATGTCTAGAGAAGCTGGAACTAATTGCCTGGTTCCATGTATTCTCAAATATTGAGGAATTTTTCAGCTACCTACAAACACACACACACATACTCACACAAATCACAGCTTTCAAGGATTTGTCTTTTGTCTGTCAGACTGATAAGTATCTCATACAAAAGGGTAAACATCATATAAATACACAACTATATAAATTTATCAACATGTAGGAAAAAACAATAATACTTTAATTCTAATATTCCTTTAGATATATATTTTAGGTCAATATATCCAGAGACAGCACTATTCATTTTTAATGACTAGAAGTGCAGTACAACTGTGAGAAGTATGTTTCTAGCACTTAGACTTAGCAACATCTTCACCAGCTCACATGGCAGACAAAACTGACATAAAAAAAAATAGTAAATTGTCTGTCCACACATTTCTACTGAAAAACCGGTTATACAGCTACATCTAGATGCATGTACAATTCAACAGCCCTGATATAAGACATTAAAAGCATATGAGATAATTTCTAACTTGAATTTTTGTTTGTTTGTTTGTTTGTTTTGAGACGGAGTCTCGCTCTGTCACCCAGGCTGGAGTGCAGTGGTGCGATCTCGGCTCACTGCAACCTCCACCTCCCAGGTTCAAGCAATTCTTCTGCCTCAGCCTCCCAAGTAGCTGGGACTACAGGCGCACACTGCCACGCCCGGCTAATGTTTTGTATTTTAGTAGAGACAGGGTTTCACCGTGTTGCCCAGGCTGATCGCAAACTCCTGAGCTGAGGCAATCTGCCTGCCTTGGCCTCCCAAAGTGCTGGGATTACAGGCGTGAGCCAGAATTTTTTAGATATACGATCATTTTTCACTATCTTTATTATATCACTCTAACTAGCATTTTATATTTGTATAGGACTTAAAGAATAGACTATCACATGCATTGGATTAAATTATTGTAATTAAATAAGACATTTTATATTATTCTAACTTCATTGTTGTTGAAATGTTACTTACTTTTTTTTTATTATACTTTAAGTTTTAGGGTACATGTGCACAATGTGCAGGTTAGTTACATATGTACACATGTGCCATGTTGGTGTGCTGCACCCAGTAACTCGTCATTTAACATTAGGTATATCTCCTAATGCTATCCCTCCCCCCTCCCCCCACCCCCAACAGGCCCCGGTATGTGATGTTCCCCTTCCTGTGTCCATGTGTTCTCATTGTTCAATTCCCACCTATGAGTGAGAACATGCAGTGTTTGGTTTTTTGTCCTTGCGATAGTTTGCTGAGAATGATGGTTTCCAGCTTCATCCATGTCCCTACAAAGAACATGAACTCATCTTTTTTTATGGCTGCATAGTATTCCATGGTGTATATGTGCCACATTTTCTTAATCCAGTCTATCATTGTTGGACATTTGGGTTGGTTCCAAGTCTTTGCTATTGTGAATAGTGCCGCAATAAACATACGTGTGCATGTGTCTTTATAGCAGCATGATTTATAATCCTTTGGGTATATACCCAGTAGTGGGATGGCTGGGTCAAATGGTATTTCTAGTTCTAGATCCCTGAGGAATCGCCACGCTGACTTCCACAATGGTTGAACTAGTTTACAGTCCCACCAACAGTGTAAAAGTGTTCCTATTTCTCCACATCCTCTCCAGCACCTGTTATTTCCTGACTTTGTAATGATCGTCATTCTAACAGGTGTGAGATGGTATCTCATGGTGGTTTTGATTTGCATTTCTCTGATGGCCAGTGATGGTGAGCATTTTTTCATGTGTCTTTTGGCTGCATAAATGTCTTCTTTTGAGAAGTGTCTGTTCATATCCTTCACCCACTTTTTGATGGGGTTGTTTTTTTCTTGTAAATTTGTTGGAGTTCATTGTAGATTATGGATATTAGCCCTTTGTCAGATGAGTAGTTTGCGAAAATTTTCTCCCATTTTGTAGGTTGCCTGTTCACTCTGATGGTAGTTTCTTTTGCTGTGCAGAAGCTCTTTAGTTTAATTAGATCCCATTTGTCAATTTTGGCTTTTGTTGCCATTGCTTTTGGTGTTTTAGACATGAAGTCCTTGCCCATGCCTATGTCCTGAAT
Organism: Homo sapiens; assembly: GCF_000001405.40. Lineage (NCBI taxonomy): Eukaryota > Metazoa > Chordata > Mammalia > Primates > Hominidae > Homo > Homo sapiens. The sequence goes on from NC_000001.11 coordinate 79,541,902, forward strand.
GGTATTGCCTAGGTTTTCTTCTAGGGTTTTTATGGTTTTAGGTCTAACATTTAAGTCTTTAATCCATCTTGAATTAATTTTTGTATAAGGTGTAAGGAAGGGATCCAGTTTCAGCTTTCTCCATATGGCTAGCCAGTTTTCCCAGCACCATTTATGAAATAGGGAATCATTTCCCCATTTCTTGTTTTTGTCAGCTTTGTCAAAGATCAGATGTTTGTAGATATGTGGCATTATTTCTGAGGGCTCTGTTCTGTTCCACTGCTCTATATCTCTGTTTTGGTACCAGTACCATGGTGTTTTGGTTACTGTAGCCTTGTAGTATTGTTTGAAGTCAGGTAGCGTGATACCTCCAGCTTTGTTCTTTTGGCTTAGGATTGACTTGGCAATGCGGGCTTACATTTTTTAAATCATTTTGTAGTTACAAAAATTCTTTCTCTTAAACTTAATGTTTAGCTAGTCCAGTGACTTCAGTCAGTTTTCACTAATTTGAATTGAATCGACTGGATTTATTTGAACAGGCGGTTGTCCTAGGGCAGTCTAAGAATGATTGAGACAAAAATGTCAAATGGAATGTTCAGCAAGATAGAGTGTGCTCAACAGTCAGTGGCCAGAGGACTGGAGTTCAGTATCCATGAAGATTCACTAAAGACAGGAAGCAACGTTAGATTCTGAGCTTTGAATATTTTGTGGCAGCAAGTAGATGATCCACTGTGATGCAGTTCGGAGATAGCACATGCAGGTCAGAAGTAGGAAAGACAAAGCAGAACAATAAACAGAAAAACATCCAAGTGAATTGACTGTTCAATTTCTATTTTCAAGGTTCTCAGACCAATTGGGAAGCAGCTTGCAAATCTTTAGTATTTAAGCAAAGTTAACAAGGACATAAATGAATATTAAGTATTCAGCTGAAGTGGAAACTGTTGGATTCCTACCTGATTAGACACTCCTGGAAATTTCACTCCCAGCTCTGCATGCTTCTCTTCTAGGGGCTGGAATCTATAGTCATCTTCAGCATCCTTGTGGTGCTGGAGTCACTTGTCCCAGAGAGGAAAGTGCCTGGGGGTTTAGGTTTTCACAGGACATGCAATAGCTAGTGATGGACTAATGCCATGTTTTAAAGGTTCAACTGCCTTTACCTTGACACGGGACAAACTACAATGTAATTTACACCCGAGAGCTCTCTGCACCTGCAATTGTACCTTCCTTGGTTTTTTGGCCTTTCCCCCTCCCATACTGGTTTATCATCAGAGCCCTTGTACACGAATTCTACTTTTAATATTCCCTTCTAGGGAAACAAGACTGAACCACCTGCTAAACAATTAGGACTACATGAGTAACTCAATTAGAATTACAGCCTTAATCCAAGGAAAAAGTTTAATGACTCACTATGCAAACCATGCTCACTATGCAGTTTATATTAGGTGTGATGAAGTGTATCTCAAAACATAGTCTGAGAATCACCTGCATCAGAATCTTTTTGGATGGTTATAACAAGCAGGGCTTTTGCCACATATCTACTGCATCAGAGTCACTGAGTTGTGGCATGGAAGTTGCCATCTTTAAAGACAGCCTCTAGTGATGCTTATGCACATCGAAGTTAAAAAGAATACTCTGATTTAAATCATGTATGAAAAGCAGGTTTATTTCCTAGCTTCCATATGGTTGGAACTGCTATTTGTAGCATAGTTTAGGCTGGCTATGGCAAAGAAACCAGACAGAGCTGACGTTATCTGAAAGTATACACACCGTCTGCCAGAGTCAATTTATTTGAGATAATAGATTTACTTAGGACTCCTTTTAAGGATGAGGAGTCCAAGATCTAAAGAGGTTAAGTGATTTGTCCAATAGCATGAAAGGCTATCTTTAGATGGTAAGAAGCCCAGATATCCAAATTCCAAAAACTTTGTACTCCTCTTATCCATGTTACCTCCTATGGTTGTTCATATTACAGCTCTCGAATTAAAGCAAAATTATTATAACGGCCACCACCAACAAAATATTTACAACCACAGTTAATAGTTTTGCTTATTTCGGATTTGCCTATGAAGATATGAACACATATCTGCTTCGGTGAGAAAAGATTTGTTCCATGCATATTTCTAGACTTTTCCCCTTCATTGTGCTATATGGTCATATAAGACAGATTCTGATGGCTTCAGGGGCTAGTAACAGAGCAGCTGCATATGGGAATATACAGCATCCCATATGGATGAGACTTTGTCTAGAATATATGAAAATATTTAGTGGCTTAAATTAATTAAGCAATAGAATGGTTACCTTTATACACACACAAAAAATCATATGCCTGACATCATGTAAAAAAGCAAGCATTAGCTAACTAAATTGTTCACTGTTGAACTAGTTGACTTATTATCACACGGATGGAACCTGAGTGTTTACACAGTTGTACATATGACCACATTCTAATAACAAACGCAAATGTTTGAGGGATTATCTCTTATTTTTCAATGCTGATGCTTTGACTCTCATTAATATATATAAAATCAAGTGTTGAGGATATAGTTTTAAATTTACGTTTCTATTAATTTTGTTTTTTAATCTAAGAGAGAAATGGAAAATCAAAACAATAAAAATTTGGAATTTTCTTAGTGGTTTTGCAATACATTTACTGGTAGTAAAAGTGAATTGGCTGATACTTGTGCTTTATCATTAAAATATATTTACAATTTTATTTAGTATGAAATTAGCATTTGCAGCCTTTAATCATTATAGTTTTCGATGAGTTTCATTCAATTCAGGGTACATTTTCTTTTCACTTAGAGAAATATGATTTTTTTATGTTGCTTTTTATGATTATTTTGGATTTGTGCTATAGCTAGACCCTGAAATGGCCACATTTAAAATGAATAATTCATGAGTTTTTGTTTCGTGTAGTTCTTAAAGTATGTTATTGGACAGGACATTGTGAGTGTGTGTATGTTATTTTTCTTTTTTTCAATGGCAACCGCAGCACACTACATACTAACTGCAAAACGCAAATATTAAATTTTATATTTTTATACCTAAAATGTAATCCAGAAGCCTTAGAGAATGTCAAGAACTTGTCTCTCTCTTAAAAAGCATAGCTTAGTCTGATATAAATTTATTAAGGTGTGTAGCTATGCCAAGTCTCATCATGAGTAGATAGTTCTATAAAATGACCATTGAAAACATACAGTAGCAATTGTCAATCTATACAAATCTGCTGTATGTTCCATAAGCTGCAGTGCTTATTTTTCCACCTAGTCTTATATTGTTAGCCCATTGGATAGGACTTTTTATTCCTGTTTATACTCTGCAAATAGTTCCTTTTCTAAATCAATCTTGCTTTAGCTCTTAAGGCTTGTTCTCAACCACGAAGAAGAAAATAAACAAAGACTAGGGCTCATTAGTATACATGCTCCTTCCTCCTTTGCTTTTATTTCCAGTTATTATTTATATTCATTTTGAATGTATATATACCTTGTGTGTATACATTTATTTACTTATTATTATAAAATACAGACAATTTTTAACCCACATCTCAAAAGCTGCTGTAGGCTTTGTTCATTTGTTTTTACTTGATGACTCTAATTTCAATGCTGCATCCAGAGAATCTCCTATTACATTAGGGGATTGTCTTAGTCCATTTTGTGCCTCTATTAACAGAATGCCCAAGACTGGGAAATTTATAAATAATGTAAAGTTTTTTCTCAAGGTTCTGGAGGTTGGCAAGTATAAGATTAAGGGACCATCTTCTGGTGAGGGCCTTCTTGCTATACAGTCTCCCAGCAGAAGACAAAAGGGCAAGAGAGGGTGAGAGAGGACCAAACTTGCCCTTTTATGTGGCACCAATTCAAACCATGAAGGTGGAGCCCTTATGTCCTAATCATCTATTACAGGTCCCACCAGTTAATACTGTTACAATGGCAATTACATTTCAACCAGAATTTTGGAGGAGACAAATATTCCAGCCATACCATTGATAAAATGACATTTTGGTATAATGGAAAGATTTAACATTAATGAAAGTTTGATTGGGGTTAAGCTGTCTGATTAACATGTATGGACTGTGGCATGCCATGTCACCTCCTTCCCTCAGTTTCTGCACCTATAAAATAAAGATAATTATGATGATACTTTATACGGCAGACTGGATAATGACATAGAGATGCTCACACTGTAATCTCTGAAACATGTGACTATGTTATCTTACATGGCAAAAGGAACTTTGTAGATGGAGTTAAGACTTCAGACCTTAAAATAGGAAGGCTATCCTGGATTATCTGTGTGGGTAAAATGTTATCACATGGCATTCTTAAAGTTAAAGAGGAAGGTAGAAGGTTCTGAGAGATCCAGTGACAGAAGATGAAAGCATGAAAGAGGCTCAACACACCATTACTTGCTTTAGAGACAAAGGAAAGGAACAACTTGCTAAGCAACTCAGATAGTCCTTAGAAGCTGAGAATAGCTCTCAGCTGACAGCCAGTAAGAAAATGGGGAGCTCAGTTCTAGAACCAAAAGGAACTGAATTCTGCCAACGACTGAATGAGCAAGACAACAGATTCTCCCGTAGAACTTCCAGAAAGGAAGACAGCCTGATGACACCTCACAAAGCTATGAGATAATAAACTTGTGTGGTTTTTACCACCACAATTGTGTTTATTTGTTAATGACAACAATAACAACTAATGCAATATGGTTGAAGCAAATATTAACTGTTTGTGAAAACATTTTTCAAGCTTCAAAGTATAATTCAGTTTTATAAACATTTGTTAAAGTCTCACCCTGAACACACTGATATGTGCCAGGGATATAAAGAAAGGTAAGATATCATCCCTGGTCTCCAAAAACTAATATTTTATCAGAAGAGACTAGCATATAAACAAATAAATCAAAGGCACTGTATGTCAAATTTCTTGTAAGAGGTGTCATGTCAGGAACAGTGACAGGATAAATGAGAAAGTTTAGCTTCTGTAGTTGTATATTATCTTGTATTTTTAGCCCTCATTGAAGAGAATCATTAGATTTTTCAACACAACAGAAAATTCCTTTTTTTCCACTCTAAAACTGTAAAAATATATTTGGGTATAAAATTATTTTATGCAACACATTCATGAGTTCTAGATAATGGCCCATATTCAGTTGGTTAAAAAAATTTTGCTACTTTCAATTCTTAAAGTGTAAACAATTTTTGAACTCTTGAGCTTAAGTAATCAGAGTATGCTCAATCTGGTCTTCAAATATGAGGTCTTAGATGCATTGTAATTTGTTGAAAATAAATTTATTACTAGAGAATGGGCTTGCCTTACGCACACAGAATCATATGTTATCATTGTGCTTGTGATGGTAAATTTTATAAGTCAATGTAGTTAGACTATGGTACTCAGGTGGCAAAATACTGTTCTATATGTTACTGTGGAGGTGTTTTTCAGATGTGATTAACATTTAAATTAGCAGATTTTTGAGCAAAGCAGAATAACTTCAGTAATGTGGATGGGCTTTATGAAATTAATTGATGGCTTTAAGAGAAAGAGAGTATCTCAAAGAAAAAGCAATTCTGCCTCTAGCCAGCCTTCAATCTCAGCTGCAGCATCAGCTCTTCCCTGCCTCTCCGGGGTTACTGCAGATTTTGGACTTGCCAGTCCCCACAATTGTGTGAATAAATTCTCTAAAATAAATCTCACTATATGTATATATATATCCTATTGGTTCTAGTGATTCCGTTTCTCTGGGAAATTCTGACTAATAACTCTGATAAGTTCTTGCCATTGATGATAAACTATTCTATAAAATAAAGTCATTCTGCTCTCTTCATAAAATGACACGATCTTTTAAAAATGATGTAATGTTTTCTGTATACAATTGTATAAGTAGGCTGGGTGCAGTGGCTTATGACTATAATCCCAACAAATTTGGGAGTCTGAGGCAGAAGATCGCTTCAGCCTAGGAGATCGAGACCAACCTGGGCAACATTGTGAGACCCCGTTTCTACAAAAAATACATAAATTATCCCGTCGTGATGGAGTGTCTGTGGTGCTGTTACTTGGGAGGCTGAGGTGGGGGGACAGCTTGAGCCTGAGAGGTCAAGTTTGCAGCGAGCTGTGATTGTGGCATTGCACTCCAGCCTGGGTGAAAGAGCAATACTCTGTATCAGAAAAAATAAAAATATATAAATAAATAAAACTGTGTAAGTAAAGTAAGAAAACAAATGTTTTCCTGATAATAAACACAATGAGTCAAAATTAAATTTCTACAAATTGTAATAGATTTCTGTTAAAATAATTTAGAAGAGTACATATTAAACTTTTATTTTACTGCTACATATATTAGATAATAGTTCTTTAAATGTGAGCAGGGGAACTAAAATCTACAAAAAACCACATAAGATAGAATGAAATATAACTTAAAAGAACCAAATCTTCTGATTTATTTTGAACATATATTCTACTTCTGAATATTCCTAATACTATCAAGTTATTGCCATGAAAATAATTCTGTATATTTAGCATTCATTACTATGAGTGTTATGCTTATAGACCTATCTATTGTTTTATTTCATCTAGAAGATACAAATAAAAGCTAGATATTATTTTTTCCTCTTTCTATATTTGAAAGTGAATTCTTAGGGGGAGTCATATAACTTAGAGTCATATAGTTAATTAGGAGGAGGGACCAAATCTTCTAGTGTTCCTAGAAGTGAGATAAATGAGAAGCCTACTGAAATCTTACTTAATTTTTATAAGCAGAAAAGTTCTAGGTCAAGTGAAGGAAACTCTAACTTGAACGAAAAGAAGAGAGAGTCATCCTTCCTAAGTCAATTCCTAGACTTGAGCTTGTTTATCAACCCAGAACACCTTAAATTAAGGTATCAGCCACGTCCCTTGGGGGAAGGACTGTGGTACACTATCAAAAATGTATTCGGCTAATCCTTTTTCCAGCCTTTCCCAAAGTGACCTACAGTCTTTTACCAGAGTAACTGTGCATGGAGGAAAGGAAATAATCAGAACTTTTAGAGACTGCTGGACACTGGCTCTGAACTGACACTAAGTCTAGGAGACGCAAAATGTCACTGTGACCCACAGGTTAGAGTAGGGGCTTATGAAAGTCAGGTGACCATTGGAATCTCAGTTCTGGTTCACCTCACAGCAGATTCAATGTGTCCCTGAACCCATCCTGTGACTATTTCCCCAGTTCCAGGGTGCATAATTGGACTAGACATACTCAGTAGCTGGCAGAATTCCCACATTGGTTTCCTGACCCATACAGTGAGGGGTGTTATGATGGGAAAGACCAAGTGGAAGACACTAGAATTTCCTGTACCTAGGAAAATAGTAAGCCAAAAGCAATATAATATTCCTGGAAAGATTACAGCAACTAGTGCTGCATTAAAGACTTGTAGGATGCAGAGGTGGTGATTCCCACCACATCTCGATTCAACTCTCCTATTTGGCTTGTGCAGACCACAAATGGATCTTGGATAATGACAATGGATTATCATAAGCTTAACCACGTGGTGACTCCAACTGCAGCTGCTATACCAGCTGTGGTTTTACTGCTTGAGCAAATTAACACATTCCCCTGTACCTAGTATGCAGCTGTTTATCTGGTAGATGCCTTTTTTCTCCATCCTTGCCAATAAAGACCATCAGAAGCAGTTTGTTTTCAGTGGGCAAGGCCAGCAATGCACCTTCCATGTCCTAGCTCAGGGGTATATCAACTCTCTAACCCTATACATAATTTAGTTTGCAGTGCTTTTGATCACCCTGCGCTTCCACTAGATTCTACATTATCAATTACATTGATGATATTATGCTAATTGGACCCAGGGAGCAAGAAATAACAACAACTTCAGACTTACTGGTAAGGCATTAACATGCCAAAGAGTAGGAAATCAATATGACAAATTCTGGAATCTACTATCTTGTTAAAATTTCTAATGGTCCATTGTTGGGGATATGTTGAGATTTTTCTTCTAAGGTGGAGGACAATTTGTTACATCTGCCACTTCTACAAATGGCACCATGCCTAGTAAGCTTGGATTTTGGAGGCAACATAATTCTCATTTGGGTGTGTTACTTCTTAAATGAGAGATAGAATTTAAATCTAAATCAAAATTTATGCTTTAAAGGAATTTCAAATGGTAAAAATGATCTGTAGAATTGATTTTTGTACATCTATTTGGTATCCTGAAACTTTATTGAATTCATTTATCAAATTTACTGAGGGACTCGGAGAGTTGATAGTTTTGACTGGTGCTCAGAAAAGGAGAAAGGTCTGCAACAGATCCAGGCCGCTAAGCAAGCTCCTCTGCTACTAGAACATATGATCCAGCGGATCCAATAGTACTTGAAGTGTCAGTGGTAGATAAAGATGCTGTTTGGAGCATTTGATAGGCCAGTATAGGTGACTGACAGCACAGTTCCTCAAGATTTCGGAGCAAAGCTCTGCCATTCTCTGAAGATAAATAGACAACTTCTCTCCTTTTGATAAACAGCTCTTGGCCTGCTGAGACTTAGTAGAGACTGAACACTTAACCACAGTGAGAGTTATCTGATGCACCAAGCCATAAAATCGGACGAGCTAAGCAGCACTTCATCAAATAGAAATGGTATATATGTGATTGATCCTAAGAAGGCCCTGAAGAAACAAGTAAGTTATATGCAAAAGTGGCCCAACTGTCCATGGTACCCACTCCTGTTTCACTTCCTTCTGTCTCTCAACCTGCCTTTGTGGTCTCATGGGGGAGTTCCCTACCATCAGTCAACAAAGGAAGAGGAGACTGGGGCTTGGTTTATAGATGCTCGCGCGTGATATGCAGGCATTACTCAAAAGTGGAAAGCGGCAGCATAATAGCCTTATTCTGGGGCATCCCTGAAGAACAGTGGTGAAGGGAAATATTCCCAGTGGGCAGAACATTGAGCAGTACACCTAGTTGTTCACTTTTCTGGAAGAAGAAATGTCCAGATGTGTAATAATATACCAATTTATTAGCTGTGGCCAATGGCTTGGCTGGATGGTTAGGAGCTTGGAAGAAACATGACTGAAAAATTCATGACAAGGAAATTTGAGGAAGAGTATCAGGATAGACCTCTGTGGGCAGAAAATATAAATATATGTGTGCCATGTGAATGTTCAGTAAAGAGTGACCTCAGCAGAGAAGAGTTTTACAAATCAGGTGGATAGGATGACCTGTCCAGTGGTTACCAGTCAGCCTCTTTCCTGAGACACCACTGTCATCATCGAATGGGCTCATGAAAGAAGTGGCCATGGTGTCAGAGATGGAGAGACAGAGGTTATGCATGGCTCAGCAACATGGATTTCTACTCACCAAGGCAGACCTGACTGTGGTTCCTGCTGAGTGTTTAATCTACTAGTAGCAGAGATCAACAATTTTTCCAACATGGCATCATTTATTTGGGTGTTCAGCCTATTACATAGAGGCAAGTTGATCCTATTGGTCCACCTCCATCAGGGAAGGGGCAGCGCTTTGTTCTTATTGAAACAGATCCTTACTCTATTTAGATACAGTTTGCCTTCCTTGCATACAATGCTTCTGCCAAAACTACCATTCATGGACTTACAGAATGCCTTATTCACCGTTATGGTATTCCACACAGCATTGCTTCTGATCAGGGAACATACCTCACAGCAAAAGCATGGGGCAATAAGCCCATGCACATGGGTCTTAACCATATTTTCCACCATACCGAACAGCTGGTTTGACAGAGCAGTGGAATGGCCTTTTGAGAGCTCAGTTACAGCACCAGCTAGGTGGCAATACTTTTCAGGGCTGGGAAAGGTTTTCCTAGGCTATATATGCTCTGAATCAGCATCCAATATACAGTGCTATTTCTCCCATAGCCAAGATTTTTGAGGTCAGGAATAAAGGGTGGAAATGGAAATAATACTACTTAAAATTACCCCCTAGTAACCCATTCACAAAATTTTTGCCACTTTGTAGTAAGCCCAAAGCTGTCTCTCTGAAGAATCCCGACTAATACAGCTATTGCCACTTTTTACATGAATCGCTGTTCAATCATATTCAATGTTCTCCGTGAGAGCACATTCTCTGTGAATGGAGTATGAGAATTTAGGTCTTTCTGCATAGTGATTTTCTTGTTCTGTCTTCCTTTTCTTTTGTGGTTCTGTTTTCACATTTAATTTTTAAAATGTAACCATGAGTTTTAAATAATAAATTTATGGGCAATCTGCAAAAATTTAGTAACACTTTTGTGAATAGTTTATAACCCTTCATGAATGATGTACAGTTTATTTTTTTTATTTGGAATATGCATTTGGATAAGTTTGTCTAACATTTAGGAGACTGTCAAAGAAATTCTAGAAACATTTTGCTAATTGATTTCCTTTATCTAAACTGATTATTAAAATGGTCACTCAATATTCAATCTTCTAAGTGAGTGTGTGTTAAGTGAAAATAAAGACCAGCTCACTTAAAATACCAGAAGACTTTAAAATGAAACTCGCTGGGTAAAGTGAGTAAAGGTTACATATATAGATTTTCCCCCATAAATTATTTATTTTCACTTATCGGCATTATCAAGAATATAGTTTTAGCTAAGTCTCCATCAAAGCTGTTTTTCGTCTTCTCTTCCTTCTCCTAACTTGTTTTACAACTTGGGAAAACAGCTGTCAATTGAAGTCACTTGTGTGTGGATAACGTCACTTCTTTTTCAGCCCAAACTAGGTCATGTCCTATTCATAAATAGTACTTGCTTTTTCCTCATTATACTTAACGACAGTTTAAAAACTGATGTTTATTTGTATTATATTTATTACCTGATGTCTTCTCCCAAAATTATCCAAATCTTTGAAGGCAGGACCACAATTTTCACATTATTATATTCTAGGTTTCTGGCATAGAGACTGGCTTAAAGAAAGACTTCTATAAGCATTTGATGAATGAAAGAATTAAAAAGTTGATATGTGGTAATAATGTATTTGCATGTGCACCTTAGACTTTAATCACTTAGATGCAGGATTTTTTTTCTTTCATAGTGAAAGAATTTAGCACAGCAGATATACAATAAGATTTTTGAAGAGAGAATTGTTTTATACACAAAGGAAAAATAATGAATACTCCTAGACATTTATTTCATTATGTTCAGTATTCACAGAGTAAATTTGAAAATATTTTTGTTTTGTTTTATAAGGCCTATAGTTAAATGCAATTTACAAATAGATGTGAACTTTATGAGAACAAGAAGAGTTTTCTTTTTCTTGGATTTATCAAGACTATAGTGCTCTTTATGAGTAAATGAGCAAATGCTGAATATAATAAAGTAAGTTAAAAATTTGAAAGGCTTATGCATTTATTCACTTTTAGATTTATTTACCAAGGTGTATCAAAATGAGTATGAATGAATGATTCAGAGAGTTTGTTTTTCATTGTCTATTCAGAAAAGCTTCAATAGATAAAAATTACTGTTTTGAGGTCAACTACCAACAGTTAGAGAACTACTATAATTTGTTTGGTCATAGTAAATGAGACCAAATCAAACATTTATTTATTATGGAATTTAAAACTGTCTAGATGAGTTTCCTGGAAATAGACAGACTTGAAAATGGAGATTATACAAAGAAAATAATATGGGATTGAGGAATAGGATGTTCGTGCATATCATTTACAATACTGAGAGGGAAAATAAGTGGTATATTGAGTTCAGCATGTGAAAAATGTTTTGGGAAAAGCATAACAATTTTTGGAGGGTAAAAGGCATTCTGTAAAACAGCCATTCATTGATAATGATTTTGTCAATTGGCTCTAAATTGCAATAAAGCCTGATATGAGTCAGGTTTATTGTTTAGCTGAACCATTTTTCACTTAAAATGGGTAATTTAGCTATGAATCTGTTTTTCCTTTTGTGGAATTTTAGATGTTTATTTTCAAATGTAATATAACTACAATGCATCAATAGAAAAGTATAACTTTAA